>NC_000002.12:212489618-217489618 GCF_000001405.40 Homo sapiens | reverse complement strand
GCACAGAGACCCCCGGGGAGCCAAACGGCCAAATAGTGAGTTGCTCACAAAGAAGAGTAGGGGGTAGGAGACGAAGAAACCACAGCTAAACAAGTAAAGATTGTCTGGCAACCTCATGTCATCACAAAGGATGGGGCCGCGCTGCTGGCTTTCTGTAAGGTGAGTGTGGCCGACTGTGTGCGGGGATGGACGCACGTGCGCAAGCACATTCGTTCTATAATGACTTCCAAGGAAAACTCCTCCGCCATCCTTCCAATCCACAGTGTTGGAGCAATTAGGTAGGACTTGGGCAGAATGATTCATGCTTCAATAAATTCAATTTCAACAAAACATAATTATGGTGAGTCACCTAATCGCAGCTGTAATCACGGCCCGCCCCTCCAGAAGTCAAAACAGTTGAGGGCATTCAGCAAGGGCGTCTGATTCCTCATTATGACTGAAGCCTCCATCTTTTGCCAAGCAGCCATATTTCAGACTCCAGTTCCTTTCTAATTTTTTAAACTACAGAATGTTTCAGGCATACATAAAGGTGCAATGAGTACGCTAATGAATACCTTTGTATGCACCAACCAGCCTAAAAGTAAACATTACAAATATGGTTTAAATCCCCTGTATCCATCTGTCATCCCATTCCCCTATTTCTAAGTAGGGACAACAGTAATTGATTTTGAGTTTTATCATTCTCTTGTCTGTCTTTACATTTCTACTCTCTCTCTATGTGTCCTTAAAATTATGTAGCATTGTTTTCATATATTAAGTGGTTAAATAAATGGTATAATTGTGTATCGTTCTGCAACTTGGTTTTTTTCTTAATGTTTTGTATTTAAATTGAACACGTATCTCTAGTCTTAACTTATGTTTAAAATTCCATGTATGAATAGATGAAAGCATATTTTTATCAGTTTTCCTCTTGATGGATGTTTAGTTTGTTTCCAACATTTTCAATTACAAACAATGCTTCCATGCACATCCTTATACACGTTTCCTCTCCACATGCGTAGGGAGTGGAGTTTCTGGGTTATGGGATATTTGCCTTGTAAACTTTACTAGATGTTGCCCATTTGCCCTCTGTAGTGTTTGTACCAATTTACATGTCTACCAGAAGTTTATGAGTTTTGTTTTTCTTACATTCTTGCTATTACTTCTTATTATCAGGCTTTTATTTTTTAGCTGCTTAGTGTGAAATGTTTTCTATGTGGTTTTATTTACATTTTTCTGATCACTGAGGTCAAACATTTTTGCATAGAATTAGGAACCATTCAAGTTTCTTCTTTTGTGAATTGCACGTTCATATATTTTGCCACTTGTCTATTGTTTTTCTTTCAGGGAAGCTTTTTGATAATGCAGTAAATTTTCTCATTTCGAAAATGACAATTCAGATTTTGTTTCTTTTCATGCCAACTTTAGTAAGTTGCATTTTTCAAGAAATTTATCCCTTTCATCTAAGCTATAAAATATGATAAAGTTGCTCCAATACTTACTTATTATCCTTTTAAAATCTGTAGGATTTGTGGTGATAACATATTTTTTTATTCCTGATATTGGTGATGTATTCTTTTTTTCTTTCTCTTTCTTTTCTTTCTTTTTTTTTTTTTTTTTGTCAGTATAACTAAGAGTTTGTCAATTTTTTTTTCAAGGAGCCAGCTTTTGGCTTTGCTAATTTTCACTATTAGGTATCTATTTTCAATTTCATTGACTTCTTTCTACTCTTATCTTCATTTTCTTCCTTCTACTTACTTGGGGCTTACTTTGATCTTTTTTGAACCTCTTAAGGTGGAATCATAGGCTGTTGTTTTTAGGCCTTTCTTCTTTTGCATTTAAAGCTGCAAGTTTCCCTTTAAGCAGTACTTAAGTTGCATCTTACAAATTTTGATACTGTATTTTCTCCCTTATTCAGTTCAAAACATTTTTAAATTTTCCTTGTGATTTTGACTGTGATGCATAAGTTATTTAAAAGTATGTCATTTGATTTCCAAATAATTGGAAATGACATTCCAAATGACATACTTTTAAATAATTTTCCTAGATATGGATTTTCCTAGATATGTTATTACTGATTAATTCTCTTATGATTATAGAAAACACTTTACATGATTTCTGTTCCTTTGAACTTATTGACAAGTGTTTTGCAGTACAGGTATATGGTCTATCTTGGTGAATGTACCATGCCTGCTTGAAAAGAATGGATATTTTACAGCTGAATGTAGAGTTCTATTATAATGTCAATCAGATCAGGGTGGTTGACAGTGATGTTCAGATCTTCCGTGTCTCTACTGATATTTTGTCTGGTTATTCTATCAATTGCTGAGAGAGGAGTGTTAAAATCTACTAAGATTATAGAGGTTTTTTTTTTCTACTTCTGTTGAGTATCAGGTTCTGCTATTAGATACATACATATTTATAATTACTGTCTTCTCGGTGAATTGTCCTTTTTGAAATTTTTATTCCTGGTTATGCTCTTTGTCATGAAGTCTACTCTTTTAATTTGTTATTAATATAGTCACTCTAGTCTTCTTAAGCTTACTGTTTGCATGGTGTATCTTTACCATTATCCACTTACTTTCAAACTACATGTATCTTTGTGTTTAAAGTATGTCTCTTGTTGGCAACGTGCTTGAGTCTTGCTTTTTTAAATCTACTCTCACAATATCTTTTAATGCTTAGATCATTAACATTTAATGTAATTACTGATATGGTTAAATTTAGATCTACTGTCTTATTATGTTACGATTTCTTTTTTGTTCCTCTGTTTCCCTTTTCCTGCTTTATTTTAGATTATTTGAATATGTTTAGTATTCTATTTTAATTTATATTGGCTTAAAGCTATGCATTATTATAAATATCTTAATGGTTCTATCTATCACCTGTCATCGTCAACTAAAATTTAATATTACCACTGATGTAAACCCAACAACACTATTGGTCCCTTTATTCTATAGTCAACATATTTTATATTACATATGTCTCATAAAAACTCCACCAATATTAGATTTTAGTGTAAGCAAATATAGGTATTTTAAAGAGCTTAAAAGGAAAGAAAGTAGTGTTTTATATTTACTCAGATGTAATAGCTTTTTGATATGTAAACTTGGCTAGGCTAAACTACCATTCCAGTTATTCAGTCAAACATTGATTTAGGTGCTGATGTGAAGAAATTTTGTAGATGCAATTAAAGCCCCCAATCATTACTATTTGACTTTAAATTAGTCAAAAAGGTTATTATCTTGTGTGAAACCTTTAAAAGAGGGTCTAGGCTTTCCCTGAGCCCAGAGACTCCTACCTGTGGGGTTCAGTCTATTCATCTTCTCTCTTAGGCCACTTGCCCTAGACAGACTCCATAACTGCATAAGCCAATTCTCTGTAATAATCTTCTCCCCACAACTCCCCTGCCCTTCTGTGTATGCATCTCTATATACACTTTTCTATCTCTAACACACACATACATACAGTCATTTGCTGTTTCAGGATGGGGATAGTCTTGGCAAACGTATCCTTAGGTGATTTTGTCATTGTACAAATATCATAAAGCATACTTACACAAACCTATATGGTATATATTATATATATACCTAGATGGTATATCTACATATAATAATTATATTATAAATATAATACAAATATAATATGTATTTATATAAATATAAATATATAATATATAAAAATGTACATGTAGTTTTCCATATGGAAAACCAAATATCCCAGCATGATTACTGAGTACCATAATTTCCTCTACTTGATCTACAATGCCAATATCAAGTGCCATATATCAGATTTCTATATATGCTCCATCATAATTTTGTGGGAGCACCATCATGTATGCGTCTGTCATTGAGCAAAACGTCATTATACAATGCATGACGGCATAAATACTCCTCTGGTTGAACCATGACTTATACACCAGGTATTTACCAGTTTTGATACTTTATTCTTTCCTGAAGATGCAAGTTTTACTCTAGTGTCTTGTTCTTACAGTCTAAAGAAATTCCTTCAGCAATTTTTTGTATCACAGGTCTGCTAGCAATGAATTCTTAGACTTTCTTTATCTGAAAATATTTTTATTTTATCTTCATTCCTGAGAATATTTTAGCTAGATACAAAATTTCAGGTTGATAGTTTTATTTATCTATTTATTTATGTGTCTTCGTTGATAGTTTTATTTATCTATTTATTTATTTATCTTCAGCACTTTAAAGATATTGTTCCACTGTCTTCTCGCCTCCATGGTTCCTGATGAGAATCCACTGTCATTTAAATATTTGCTCTTCTGTATGTAATATATTATTTTTCTTAACTGCTTTAAGATTTGTTCTTTATTCTTAGTCTCCAGCAGTTTGATTACAATGTTTCTAGGCAGGGCTTTCTTTGAATTTATAAAATTTATGATTGGGGGTTGCTGAGATGCTTGAATATGTCTTTTGCCAAATTTGGAAAAATTTTTGGTCATCATTTCTTCAAAAAAAATTTTTTTTTCCCTAACATCTTTCTTTTTTCCTTCTGGAATTCCAGTTACATGCATGTTAGAGCTTTTGATGGTTGTTTTCCTCTTGTTAATTCTTGGAGTCCTGTATGTATTCTAAATACTAATCTTCATAGGTTATATGTTTGCAAATTTCCTCTGCTACTATATTGCTTATCTTTTTCACTTGTTCATAGTATCTTTTGTTGTATATAAGTTTTGTATTTATTTTAATGTAGGTAAATTTATGAAGCCTCTTTAAAGTTGTTGCTTTTTAAATGTTTTTGTTTGTCATAGATTAAAAATTCTTTTCTACTCAAAGGTTTCAAAGATATTCTAAGATTTCTTCTAAAAGGTTTTAAGTTTTCTTTCATGTCTATGCATTTAATCAACATTAAATACAATTTTGTATTAATTAGATGTAGGGATCTAATTAGAATATTTTTTGCTTATTAATAACCAGTTATCTCAACATGTATCATTTTCCCCATGGATCTGCAATGTCGTTCCCATTTTATGTTGTGTTTTCTAATATGGGATTCCTCTTCTTTCTTTAGAAAACTCTTCACCATCATTAGGGGAAAGAAATTCTCCACCTAGAAAGCCTTTCTGGGATCTAACCAATAGCAAAAGGGAGGGTGTCTACAATACATGATTTTATTCAAACCACTGGATTTTGGATTGGCCCTTTCAGATGCTCTTTTAATTTAGTTCTGATATTCTAAAGGAGGAAGTTTTGGGAGAGAAGAGGAAATGGTCAAGTGGTAAAGGCAGCCCCTCCTGGCTAGTGAGCTCTGGAAGGGAAAGGATATTAATCAATTTTTTATAACCCTCAAATGCCATCAAGCTTATTAAGAATAAGTTGGCCATGAGAAGTATCTCTTGGCTAAGTCTTTTCTCACAAATTTTCCAACTAGCAAAATCTGCTGTCCACGTGAATGCCAATTGCAAGTGTCTCCTTGGTGGTAATAAACCATTTAAATTCCTTCACTAACTCCAACTAAACATGAATATCTCAAACTCAAATTATGTCTCTGCTCTTAGAAAGAAGTGCTATTTCTCCAGCCCTCCTTGGTTATGAGTGAAGGGCTACAGGAAAGAAATCTGAAAGGCTCTTTTGGCCACTTTTTTTCTATATTGAGCCACATTCACAGCCAGAAACCATTTCAAAGATTTCTGTACTTGGCTGAAACAACTAGTGGTCATTAGTGATGTACTTAATTCTTCAGTTGTTTGGACCACATGATAACTAGCCCATTCAGAGCCTGAACTCACCAAAGTGATTAGGTACTTTGGGGCTGTAAATGTTGCCTAAATGTTTAACCTATTTTTTTTCTTTCTTGTGGCAAGAGAGAATTAACATAGAATTTGTACTCTGCTCACTGATCACTCCCTCTTCAGAGACTAAAAGACTGTTTTATATTGTGTCTACATAGGAATAATTAACTAGTTTGGATAATTTCCCGAGAAATATACTATTAAACTTTCATTTTTACCAAACTGACCTTTGATTTTAGTAGCTTTTGTAAACAGACACTTAGATTGAAATCATTATTTTTAAATTTTTTTGATAGACAAAATTCCCCCTGTGCCCTTCATATTCTCTGTAAGACTTTATTTATTTATTTATTTTTTGTCTTCGGACTACATCTTGGAGTTGAAAATGGGCATAGTACCTTCTTGATTAAAGTACTGAGAACTACTCCTCAAACAAACCACTCACATACACCCCATCATAAAAATGGACTTGTGTCTTCTAGTCTTCCCACTGAACCTTTCCTTCACAATAAACTGGGTATGAACCAATTGTCTTCTTTAAGGTTCCATAGGGAACATCTTTATCACCTTACTGCTGAGCTGACCCAAGGATTACAGAAGATCACAGGGCATATGGAAATTGTAGGTTTTAACTTTTATTATGTCAACTCCCTGCCCTATTTAATTTTCTTCTTCAGTTGCCCCAGGTTGGCATAGTAAGAGCCTGAAAGCAGTGCTCTATAGTGGAAGATCATTGGCCTAGGAGGCATGAGCCCTGGTTCTAGCTCTTGTCACACCTGCACAGCTGGTCACCTCAGTTAGATCATTTTTCTGGTTCTCAGTTTTCATGTCCACAAAAATCAGGGATCACAAACTTAGATGCTGATAAGAGTTAATCATTTAGGGTACATGAGGCAAGCAAATCTGGTGTGTTCTATGATAAACTAGAGTTTATTTTCTCCATACAACCCCAATCCAAAGAGAAGCACCCAACTCCAATTGCTGCCATGGGAATGAGGACCACTGTGTTTCCAGATCTTTTATGTTTTCTAGAGATCCCAGCTATCTGGATTTTTTTTGAAAGGATCTATCTCAATATCTAAGCATTGGCAACAAATACAAAAATTCAAAAATTAAACTTTCTGTGGCCCTAGTAAAATATGTCTCAATCCTTGGTTACCAGTCGTAACCTCTAGACTAAATGGTATTTAAAGCCTCTTCCAGTTCTGAAATGTTATACTTTAATTATCCAAATGGTCTGAATTGAAGAAAGAATTGGTATTTGAATATGAGGAATATTTTCCTGGCATCCAGTTCTTATATTTTGAAACAGGTGACCATGGGGAATTGTGAAATGCCCTTCAAGTGATCTTGAAGACTAAGAGACACCTCCTTCTATCTGGAATTAGTTAGGAGCAATTGCAGGGAGGAGGTTGAGTGAGATGTTCTCTTGCAATTTTTCTCAGCTGGGATGTTGTGAAAATGGTCTTTTATGAGTTATGTTTCAAATGTCCTCGGGTCCTTTCAGAGGAGGAAGGAGATGGTAGTTTGGTTTCTGATTCCCAGGACCCCTCCCAACTCAATTCCTGGAATCATCCTGGGAGACTCTGTAAACTGAAATTTAAAGTTACAGTTTGTAGTTTCCCCTCTAAGGTTTGGATTAGGTTTCATAACTTGGAACTGAAATCAGGGCAGCAGTCAGAATATGGATGAAAATGTCTGTAGCTTTGGTCATCAGCATGCTAATGAAAACCAGAGAAAGCAATAAATAAAGGTGGGGATGAGTGATGGCAAAGATAAGAGCCTTTTAACCTCACTTTTTTTCACTATAATTCCCTCCTTAGGAAAATTGATCATGATTACCCCAATCCATTTTCTGATGGATTAAGAACACCTAGGAAACCCACAAACATCTTTTATGCACTACGTGTGCTCAAGCCCACATAGTGTATAAAAAGTTCAGCAAGCAGAGAGAATTCAATGTTGTTACTGATTGTATCAGGATAAATACTAGGTCTCTGATTCCAAAGTAACTGCAGCAAAGTAAACACACCACCACCCTTAAAAAGAGACAGAAGATAGAGGCAAGAAAGCAAGATAGAACACAGATGTATTTGATTACTAATCAAGCCTATTTCAACAGTGCAAAACATATTAATGGGAAAGAGGGAGGTAGACTGAAGCCCAGGCAGGCCAAGCTAGGCGAAGGATCTACTTTCATGTATAAATGAATAACATGGATCATTGACAGTGAACCCAAGTGCTTTTGATGGCTAGATAGGAAGATAGGGCTGTCTGAGATTGTAATCTTTTCCATCACCACTATTATCACCGAAACTTTAAGTGCTAGTCTGTACACTTGATGAGTGATGGGCAGAAAGTTCTAGTTAGATATCATACATGGCAGTCGTGTTGTTTTACGTCTGCAGCATGAGTTCTCCCTTTGCATAACAGCACCTTGAATTTCCTTTGGGGTAACACTCTTCTGGCACTGCATGCAGTTTTGGTGGGCCTCTCAATTAACTGGCAATGTGGCCAAGGGCCGGAGATAAATAGGGCCAACAAGTCCTGCTCTCTGAGGAATTTGAATCTTAAGAGAAGTTACACAAGGGTAAGTCCAGAGATCGTCCTGATGGAGATAGTTGATTTGTGCCTGAATGCTATCCTAGGCCCTCTCATTTTCTGAGGTCTAACAGTTCATTTTTTTTTTCTGTGATTCACAGAACTATCCCATAGCTTTAAAATAGATTCTACCTTATATCTAAGCTAGTCAGAGTCACTTCTGTTGCTTACAACCTAAGAAACCTAAAAGATATATCAAGCATCTTCCTTGTGATCTCACCAGCTGAGAGTTGATGGTGAGAAGACAGACTGAGAATCTATAAAATATTATTAGTAAGTGAGTTTGGTGAAGTTACTAGATACAAATTCAATCTATAAAAATCAATTAAATTTGGGGGCAGCAATAGAGTCCTGAAACAGAATCTCAGAGCTGATGATTTGTTGCTGGTATATATAAATCAATATTTCTATATACATATGTAAATAAATATATTTAACAAATAATTTAAAAATAAAATTTAAAAAGCATACCATTTACAGTAATATCAAAAACATATAGTTGGGATAAATCTACCAATGAATCTATATATGTACAAATCTCTACACAGATATCCATAAAACACTGTTGAGATAAAACCAAAAAGACCTAAATAAGTAGATTCTTGTTGTCAGCCATCAAATTTTGGGGCAGCAATAGATTTCTGAAATAGAATCTCAGAGCTGATGGTGGTGCAGTACAAGTCCATCTTTACGTAGATAAGGAGAATGAGGCTAGAAGGAAAAAACATCCTCTTCAAGTTAGCCCAGACAGACAAAAATAGCCCTGTATTAGCACCAGCTTACTGCAGTTTGCTGCCAATCTGGACATCTGTATGCTGGGGCTAGACCCACAATCCTTATCTCTCAGGGCCATTGCTTATACACTCCTGGCCTCTAGTTTGCTCTGCCACTTTTTAAGGACATCCTAGCAATGGAAGTTCTGTCTTGTTTCTTTCCATCTTTCCTGAATATTCTGGTACCCATGGAAAACCAACGGGATGGACTCACTATCTATAAGATTCTCTGGCTGGATTAGGCATCTAAATTCATGTTGATTTCTAGGGTTAGTAACCTGCCATACCTCTGACTGTTTGAAAGTGGCAAGTCCTTGCTTGAAGACTCACTCATTACCTTTAGCTCAAGGGACCACATTCAAACAAGAGACATCTTATCATTACGATTTCCCATTGTCTGGTCACAGACAATGTATAAATGTCACTTCTTCTATTCCTTCTGGAATAACTAGTCTTTAGTAACCAAACTCAGACTAAGAACTGCAGCATTTTTCCCCACTTCCAGCCTAGATTTTCCCTCTGCTGTTTTTTCCTCTTTTCCATGGGTTATTTTTTCCAACTTAGGAGACAAGGAGAATGTGTATCCCAGGTAAAGTGAGGAGGAAAAGGGGAGGAGCTATGGCACAGACACATCAAAAGAGCCCTTTGTGCTCAGGGCACATTATTCCTGGAATCCGATCAAGTGCCCAAAACCCAACCAAGCTTTTCAGACAGCACAGAAACCAGTCATGCAGGCCTCTTGGGCTCCGCTTTTTTAAAGCTTTATAGGGTACACTGAATTATTTGGTTGGGTCTTTTCAACCGTGTGACATTTTGGTTTTCTATGGCACAAATGGAGTTGATCATTAATTATTTGGACGCTTTAATTAAAAAAAAAACCTCACTGTGGATTTATGAGGGTCTGCTGGGGGGCAAGGACAAGGAGCCCTTTAGTGATTCTCTCATTTGAATGAGAGTGAGGGTTGTGGAGGTCTAGAAAGGGAGGGTATAGAATCATCTTCCAAGAAGGTCTTAAACCCAAGTTAGGGTTTATTTGACGGAGGAGGGGCTTACAATGAAGAAAATGGAAGGGAACACAAGAAAGCAGAATTCTGAGACCTGCCAAATGCACTAGGCGGGAGGGCGTTTAATAAACGCACTAGGGGGAAGGGCATTAGCAGGGAGCCCTCAGCCATCAAGAGCTTCTGAATCAATACCTTTCACATCAGAACTAGTAAGTCCTCTGGGTTGAGGTGGGGGAAGGGCTGGTTTCTGGAACATACGATTCACTGAACCACAGAGAGACTCCAGGAGGGGAGTTTGTGAGTGGAATGTTGAATGCCCAGAAGGACAAATGAATGTCTTCCTGTTTCAGAGCAGCGAGGTAGCGAAGGTGTAACATCCGCTTCCTTTCTGGGGCATGTTTTGCAGCCTCAGCCTTCTTCTGTAACATGGATGTGTGTCCCTCCTGGGTCACACACACGCTCCACTTCCTGATATCCTGAAAAAGCTGTCACACTCCCAGAGAGTTGCGCTCCTGGGTGCCTCTCCACAAAGGTTAATCTCAATGACAAGTGATCCTGGGTGGGGTTGGGAAGTCTGGGAAAGGAAGTAAGCTCTTCTCCAGAGACAGCAGGAATTCCCATCTATTCAGCCCCTTGAATCCAGGAGCCTGAGAGAAAAGACTCAGCACATTTAAAAAATACTGATGAAAACTGCTTATCCTTAAAATCAAAATGCATAGTAATGCCATATGCCAAAAAGAAACATACTGATTTGTGTGGATATATTTGCTGATTTCCCCACTTAGATTTTTAAAAACCCTTACCTTGGAGTGATTCAATATGGAAAAAAAATGCCAAAAAACTTGAATGTTACTGATGTCTTTCCTTCTAAAGTGCACAAAATTATTTTAAGAATTGTTCTTATGGTGCCAGCTGACTAGACCATATTATTTATCTTATTTTGCAAAGGAGAGAAACTGAGTCCGAGGGATGTCAACATGCCAAGTCCATGGAAATATCAGTGGGCTGGAATTCTAGCTGCCTGAAAGAAGACATTCCTCACACAAGACCTCACAATCATATCCATGGAATTATAGCACTGGGCTCTCCAGATGGTGCTACAGGAAGACCTCCAGAAATTTGACAAGTAAGTTATTTGTTCTTCCTTACAGTCACTTCTCTGCAAAGGTTGGCTTTATGCATCTAATTTAGAGATGAGAAAAATAAAATTTACCCAAATTTTTGTAGCAAGTCCATTCGGGGTGTTTTTGGTAGTGTTTGCTTTGTCTAAAGTTAAGGGCTGGAGAGGTCATAATGAATTGAAGATAAATCTGGCTTCAGTTATTTGATGATAAAATAATGGAATTAAACATTAGAAAGCATAATTGATGGACTTACTTGACGTGAGAGCAAAAGCAAGCTTTCATGTCTCTTCCCAGCCTCCGTAGATCAAGATGGGAGGAATGTAGCTGGGAGAAGGGGTTCTGAAGCCTGGGGGAAAGAAATGGCTCAGACTCAACCCCACAGGTGGAGAGGGTAATGGGCCATAGCTCAGGAATTTTTAGGTTCCCCAGGGTATGCTGTCCACCTCCACCTGTTAGGGAAGGCATGGGGACATCAGCAATGGGTTTTGGCAGGTAAAAATACAATGACATGGCCTGGAGAATGTGTTCCTTTATCTCAGTTTTGCCCACAGAGAGAAGCAAGGGCTTCACTTTGGCCTGGGATCTACAGGGTGCATTGCTGCCTCCCATTGACAGGAGTTGAGCACTGCCCAGGCCCAAGGCACCCACCAGTTTTCATTCTAAAGTATAGGATAACAGCTAGTCACACACTTATATTTGCACCTAAATTCAAGATACTACCTTATGACAAAGTTTAATCATCTTGCTTATAACTCAGGGCTTAGAGGATATAACAAATTTCAGAGTGTTTAGTGATGAAAGAGAAGATATACTACATAAGAGGCATTTGTTTGGGACCAAACCCTGAAGCAGAGCCACTGTGTCTGAAGTCCCTTTACCTGGAGCCCTCTTTCCCCTCATCTTTACCTGACAGATTCATGTTCTTCATTTCCTTCTCAGTTCAGGGTCAGACTTCCCCAGAGATGCTTTTCTGTACCCCTTGGGCTAAATTAGGTCTTTGTGTAAGGTCTATTAAAGTGCCCTCTGTTTTTTCTTCACAGTACTCATCACATGAAAAAATAGTTACATACTATGATAAGCTATTTAATCCTTCTTTCTTCCAGTGGATGGTAAAGTCCTTGAAGATAAGGACCATGTCTGTGGTGCTCACAATAGATGTCTAGCACCAAGCAATATTTATTGAATGAATGAATGCCCTTGTCAGGAAACCCATTCTAGACTGGGGTTCTGCCATTATATGCCAGGATGGTCTTGGCCTTTCTGAGGCTCAGTTTCCTCATCTGTTAAATAACTCTGTTTGAATGCAGGATCTCTGAGGCCCCTTCTGATGATGCCACTCTACAATCCATTGTAACCCACTTGTGGTTCTGTTTTTCTTTGGCAGTTCCCTTGGCTCTTCAATTCAACCTCCCAAATAATTTCAGCTCTTCAATGCATTAATGATAAGGAGATCTTTTACTGTTGATTCTATAGTTCTCTCGGGGGAAGCTACAGCTCACAGCTCTTAACACTTCACTCCCCAAATTCCTATTAGACATTTTTTTTCCCTTGTTTTCCTTTTTTGGCTCTCTGCAGCTTCCTCTTTCTTCTGGGCCTCTCATTACTCTCTGAAGCCTCAAAAACTTTTGTAATTTATTTAGAGCAGCTCAGCACTGTGCCCAAAACCCTTCTCTGTTCAGCTGCCTCAGGGTATACAGTTGTCCTTGCTCAGATATCCCATGAGCCAGCTGCAGCAGCTCAAGTTTATTGTGTGTCTCTTTCCAAATCCATATTCAGTGACATTATGCTGGTAGCTTGAAATCAGCCATGATGGGAGTAGTTGCACCATGGAAATTGGCAAATGCTACAAATCAAAGTTTTTCTTTCTTGGAGAACTAATTGTTAAATATCAGTTACCAGTACACTACTGTCCAAGCTCTTCCTTGTTTAGGAAGTTGGCTGAACCAAAAGATTCTTTAACTTCAAATATTGTTAACCAGAGTAGCAGAAACTAAGAAAGGTGCATATAAAATGGTAGCTATATTGTTTAAGTTTCAGGCAGGAAAACAGAATCTATGCCAGGCAGTTCAAGAGATGAACCTTAATATGAGAAACTTGCTCCAAAGGTGTTGACAGAGCAAAATGGGCAAATGGGTGAGGCAAGCCTTAGACTATCAGGAAGATATTTCTAGCTAGGGCTAAAGTGACTGAGACGTTAAGTGATGTTAGCAGAGTTTAGGAACTGGGACTGCAAAGGGAGAGGCTTCCTGGTGGAAGTGGAACCCCAGAAGAGACCAGACCACTGCTGCAATGTCTCTGATAAGCAGATGAAACAGGGGAAATACCTTGGCTTTTTCCTTCCTCTAATGTTCTTCTGAGGCCTCCCATTGGCCAAACTTAATCAGGAGCCAGATGGAACAGGAGCTTGGGAAATGTACCAGGAGGAGGTCAGCCCCTGTGATGCAGAACAGGGCAGAGCAAGGCTTGGCAATGAATCTGACAACAAACAGATAAGTCACCATTTTAATAACTAATATTATTCCTGGAGGGACCGTCAATACCTTTCAGGTTACCACCAGTTACGCTGATTTCCTAGAGCCCCAGAGTCGAGCCTTACTCTATGAACCCAAATAATTCCCTGAGTCTGGCTCCCAAGTCCATTCTACAGGGAAGAGGATTAAGTTCTAAAAACTTAAAATGCTGACAATTTTGCTATAGCTTCATGAAATTGATCCCAAGAACCAGGAACTATCATGATTTATAGAAAGATAGATGTTGTATTAGCTTTTGTTCACGGGGAATCTCAGATTTGTTGAATGATCTGATGTTCAGATTAGAAGCAGCCACGAGCCCCTGAAGAAGCAGGCCGAATGCAGCAGGGGAGGTCTGTGCTCCAGTCCTGGATTTGTCGTTTCCTTTCTGCATGTGCTGGAGCAAACCACTTATTGTCTGTCAGCCTCAGTTTCCTCATCTGCATGCACTGATGACCATAATCCTGGCAATGACACAACTTTGCTGTGAGGCTCTCATGAGAGCAGGCAAGTGAAAACATTTTGTAAGTTGGAAAGTGTTACAACTGTGCAAGGGAAAATTGTTTAAATGACATTTCTCAGCAGGATTCAGCTGCCTCCCACAGAGTGAAGGTCAGCTTACTAATGCCACCCTCATAGCAGAAATGGTCCCAACTCGCATCTTTCATTTTTCCTTTTACTAAATTGGGAACAAAACCCTCATTGCTTATCAGTGAAAATTGCTAGAAGGTTCATCTAACTTAGAAATGCCTACAAAAATTTCACTCAATTTGCTTTACATTGTCTCCAGTGTGGAGGAAGAAGCCATCAGGGTTTCTCTAGGAGGAAGTATACGATGCAGGCCTGTAGGTTTGAGCCTCCAAGGGCTCCAGGGGCTGTACAGTCCTCCAAAGGGCGGTGGGAAAAAGGTTCCTCAGGTTTTGAGGGTGTGTTCTGCAGCCCTGCTGAGGAACGTTTGTGTATCCTATGTGTGCTGGTGCATTTATTAGAGGATGTGGTAGTGATGGCGTTGGGCAGGTAGGTTTCCGGTGCCAACAAGCTGCTTGCTTTTCAGAAAAAGTGGAGTTTTCCTTGGCTCCACTGCCAGCTGTGTTATCTGTTTTCATTTTAAAGACGAGTTTCCAAAGTACCATTTCCTGAAATTATCTTGGCCGCAGCCAGGTATGCGACTCGCAGTTGCAAGCCCAGGGAGAAGGTGAGCTGCCGGGGAGAAGTTTACAGTAGGGTGGGTCGTTCGGAGGAGTGCCAATTGAGGTCTTGCCAGGAAGCAAAGAGAGAGCCAGAAACAAGGACCCTCCATGGGAAACTTTCTCCCTCCAGCTCCATCGGGAAATTCACATCTTAGAATTTTAGTTTGAATCATTAGTCTGTGTTCTTGTCAATTGAAGAGGGAATATTGAGCTTCAAGTTTAACAGAGTGACACTAGTTGAAGAGTTTTTACATCAAGGCTTTTTGTTAACTCTCTTTACAATACGTCCCTGTGTTTAGGGGACTCACCATGTCTTATCTTGACCCTTTCTTAGTGCACTTATGGCTACTTGGGTAAATATTTTTCCTTCCCCATCAGATTTTCAGTCCTGAGCTCATGTCACATTTATCTATAAACTCTCCAGTGCCTAATACACACGCAGTGGTTATTAAATGTTGTTTACATAAATGATCAGATGATGAAAACTTAGAGCCATTAACAAGGTTCTGATTAGAGATTCCTTCTTTCCACATGTATTTACTGAGCATCTCATATATGCCAAGCCCTGTTACAGGTTTTGAGAAGATACTGAGAACAAATTATACATAAATAATAGGAATGACCCTAGCGATAACTTCTTTTTTCCACTCTTTATATTCCTGGCTGTTGAGAACTTCTGATCATGCTCAGGTTCTCTGGTCCTATAATTCCCACATTTGTGGCCACTTTTCCATGTGCAAAGCCTGCCCTAGGTGTTGAGACTTACCTTGTTGGACTTCCACAGGAGCTGAATAGCTGCAGGCTAGTTAGTAAACTGGGTATCCCTGTCAGCTCTTCTATCTGACAACAGGATTTTAATCAATTCCCTAGTTATTTCTTTCCCACTGTGTGGTCTCAGAAGACTGAATTAGACTCTGTGGGTGCATGTTACAGACGGGTAGGTTTTTTCCTCAACTCAAGGAAAAACTTCCTAATAGAGCTGCCTGGCAATGAAGCAGACTCAAAAAGTAGTGAGCTCCCTGCTCCTGGAAGTTCTCAAGGAGAGACTGGACAGGGAACTTGATGGGCTGTAGAGGTGGCTTCTACTTTGAGTAGCAGAGAGAACAGTGTACTGCCATGACCCCTTAGAATTTGAGGTCAACCATGGTTCAAGCATTTCGATCTTCGATGTGGCCCTGCTCATTAGGCACCAGATTAGCTGCTCATGCCATCACCCTCAAAATGTCAGAGGAGCTCCCCTGCTCTTTTCTAACTCCCATCTGCCAGGTCTGCAATTGCCTATTTCAGTATAACCTAATGGATGCCCAGGAGGCTCAACCTCGCCTAACAATAGATCAACGGTGGCAGCTCCTGGAGGCTGCATTGAGAGGCAATTTGAGACTGCATGGGAAGCTATGGTCATTTAGCCATGTCTTCCAGGCTAGCAGCCTTTGCATATGGACTCACTATCCCTGATCATCTCAAGTCTTTTTCTCCCTGCATATCCTAAACAGCAACCTTTTTGCTTTAATCCTTCCTCTTGCTGAAATTCCCAGAAGCCTTTGTTTCCTTTCACTCTCTCCTAATGGTTCTGAAATATGGCTCCCTCTTCTTCTATGAGACAGACTTTTCTAGGACCATGTTATTCATAAAAATGTCACATTGAGACTTGAGTGGCCAGTAAAGGTCTTTGGAAAGTCTGTTATTTCCTTTCCTCTTTCTTTTTTCTATCAACTGTACTGATGCTGAAGTCCCATAGGGTCTTACTAAAATGGAAATACTATCCCACCCCCAACCTGGAGGCAGTAACACAAATAACAGCCAGACTCTAATTGTTTAGTATGGAATATCTATTCTACTCCTTTTCCTCTGACAGTATGGGGCCCTGGGTATAGAAGCCAAGAAGAAAAAGGAGGGAGCCAGGGTTTTACCACAAGGCAGAGAAGGGAGTTGTGTGTGTATGTGGGGAGGTGGAGGTGAAGGGGAGGCAGAGTCCCACAGACCGGTAGACTATTTCAGTTCAAAGGAGCCTTGGAGGTCTAGTCTGGCTGTCTCATACATATGGGGAAACCATGGCCACAAGAGGGGAACAGACTTAACCAGAGCCACAGTGAGAAAAGCACACATCTTGTCTTTGCTCAGTTTGTCTTTAGGAGTCCCTAAATGTTTCTGTATAAGAGTCTTTCTCAAGGTGGAGATAGGTTTCCTCAAGTTGGAAAATTAGGATAGATGATGGCTGCCACAGTTTTGCAGAAAGGAAGACAGCATTACAGAACTATACCTCAACCACTGAAGCCAAGTCAAAGTTAATCAGTGCCCCTTCTCTGGTTTGTATATTTTGAAAAAAATTCATAGTAATTTTCTTGTTCATAGGAAGCGTAGGACAACACAAAATGATGCTTGAATTTCTATCTCTGGATGGCATATCTTATGTTACACATCTTCTGTGGTCCTTATCTTCAACATTTTGGCTTATAGAAATCCTAGCACAAGGTTGATACTCCCCAAATGTTTGCAAAGTAGGATGAAAATCCACCCTTTCCTTTTGTGGGGCGTGAGGTGGTGGGGAGTGAGGGAGAGAGAGAGCCAGGAGACATTGCCTATTATTTTATGGATTCCATGCATGTCTTAGAAGAGGACTTTGCAGACAAATGACAAAGGTTGGGACCATTTACTCCCCTTTCCAAGGGTTTAGTGGAACAGTAGCTAGGTGTCTTTCTCTGGGCTAAATTTGTCCCATGTAACCATATTACTGCTGAGAAGCAGAGAGGCTCAAAATGGTCTTATAATTCCTTTCTCCTTTGGGGGGGATTGTCAATGTATTTTTTTCAACACTTTCAGAATCCCAATTGTTTATAGTAACTAGAGATGGCAGAACCTGGCTGAAGTGGGAAGGCTGAATTTTATTTAACCTCTAATTTAGTTCTCCTCTCAAGTTTGTCCAAGTTCCTGAGACGCCTTTTCTCTGTAAGTCAAGCCATTGTTTGTCAAGGGAAATATAAATTAAGAGTTCTGTTCTCTGAATTAAATGGAAACTAGGGCTAGGGAAGCAGATTCTTGCTATGCTCCTCAGATCTCTAATATAATATAGGAACTGAAGTCACTGTGGGTCTTAGATGTGATGGATTCTAGAGGAATCCAAAACTCAAAGAATGTGGGAGTTATGCGAAGCCAGAAACCCAGCCTAAGTTTGACTCATCAGAGCTCTTAATAATCAGGTTGGAAATTCCACAGCATTATTGAAAGGGGCAAGTTCCTTTCTTTTTAGACAAAATGGATTCTGAAACCATCCATATTCTCTAATTGGAATCCCAAATGGACAAGCCACAGGCCATGCCCAGACCAGCAACAGTGATGCCATGGTCATCCCCATGTTTATTGGAGAAGGGGAGCTAAACTTCTAGCACTACATGAGTTGTTCAATTATGGATCTCTGGATTGTGTGATTTGGAAGACACACAACTAAGGAATAACTCTGGCCAAAACTGAGTTTGTAAAACTGGTGTAGAGCCAATGAGAAGCAACACAATCTTCACTTCTCTTTGCAAGGCTAGAAATGACACTTGCAGGCTTTAAGCCTATACTGTGAAAGACAAAGAAAATTGGAAAGAGTGTTCTTTAATGGACACTCACAAGGTACTAAATTCCATTTTTATCACCTCTGCAATCTGATGACCTAGCCATTGAACCAGTATTTCCCACGAATCTTCATAATAGTTACCTTCATGTACCTCACAAAACGTTAAGGACAGATGATGAGCAAAGCTAATACAAAGTATTAACAACCTAAAAACTAAAGCCCTATTTACTTAAATTATGAAAGCTGCCATAGTAAATAGACATTTAATTCAAGTAAGCCCCCTTGGGACAGTGTTTTTTTTTTTTTTTTTTTAACCACTATTATAGAAAACACACCAGGCCAAGTGTGGTGGCTCACACCTATAATCCTAGCACTTTGGGAGGCCAAGGCAGGAGGATCACCTTATATCAGGAGTTCAAGACCAGCCTGGCCAACATCGTGAAACCCTGTCTCTACTAAAAATACAAAAATTAGCTGGGCATGCTGGTGGGCTCCTGTAATCCCTGCTACTCAGGAGGCTGAGGTAGGAGAATCACTTTAACCCAGGAGGTGAAGGGTGCAGTGAGCCGAGATTGAACCACTGCACTCCACCCTGGGCGACAGAGTGAGACTCCATCTCAAACAAAAACAAGAACAAGAACACTCACACACACCAGTGGGTAAAATGTTGATTCTGTGACTCTACTTCCAAATCCACTGGATCAGAGATTCTAGGGTTGGGTCTCAGAAATTTGCATTTTAAACAGAGTATTATAATAGATTTAATAGATGATATACTGAGCACATATATGTACTATGACTTTTTAAACACAGTAGATATTCTGATTAAAAAATATGAGTCATATTTCAGGGGGTGCTGAATTCGTATAGCTTTGGGTTCTGATGTATTCTATTAATCAATAGATATTAATCATAAGACAGTGGTTTATAAAATTTCTTGGTTTTTAAAAATAACACGCACACAGAAAAAGTTGGTAGCCATGCTTTAGAACAAATACGTGCTGAAGGTGCAAATTACTGGTAGCATCTTCCTGAGATTGTGGATGGATTCAGCTTGACAGACACTTAGTGGAGGCCTCCCATATGCTGATTACTAAGCTCAGAATTATTCAGCTATTGATAGGGGCTGGGCTCCAACACAGGTCTGAAGACCCCCACATTTAACTTCTTCCTATCTACAATTATCCTCTGGAAGAAATGACAGCAGAAATGTTCTGACTTTTTGAGGAGGAGGGATGCCAGGAAAGTGAGTAGGGAAAGGACTCCAGAAGTAGGACGACTGAGCTGGAGACATTGAGATTTAAGGTGCCCAGATATTTTATAAAGGCTTGCTCTCCTTATGGGTATAAAATACATTTTACCTGGCTGCAGCCCTCACCTCATGGTTTGGCCTGTTGTTCTGCATGTTATGGTAAGAGTTCTGGGTTGTGCTGTAATGAATAGGATGGGAGAAAGCCTCGGCTGGCAGGAGTGGTTAGCTTGACTGATCTGAGGCTTGGAGAATTATGACTTAAGGATGAGGTGGAAATTGGCACCTCATTGCTTTGTGAGGCTACTCTGACTTGTGCCTTTCCCCTTCTGGGTGCCAAGTTGCAAGATTAGCTCTATTTCTTTGGGGTGGGACTTGCTCTTTAGAAAACTAGTGATTCCTTAGTGTCACAGCACATCATGCCCTCCTCCCTTTGCTGTTGATATTGACCACCCAGCCTGTACATACTACCTTCAACTACTTGCGCAATGATTTGGCCTGATCTCTGGAATAGAGGACTGGAAAGTCCTTGTGGGCTGTCCTTCTATGGTTACTTCAGGGTAAGTGTCTTCAGTCCTGTCCTCCAGGGCTTGCATGAGAAAATCAGAGCCCTTTCAACTCTATTTCTACTCCAGTTTATTGAACACATAGATTAAGCAGAAGCAGTTTCAGGGAAGTAAACCATATACGCTGCTTAGATTAATTATCTAATAGCTTTCTAAGAACTAAAAATGACAATGTTCCACAGTCACTATTTCAATGCTGGGAGTATCAAAAGCTCCTCACCCCACTTTTGTGTATTTATAAACATAGAAGAAGAGTTTAAAGATATAAACTGACTTTCTCCCCTCCAATACTTTCTCCCCTCCAATACTTTCTCCCCTCCAATACTCCAACACTCCCTAGCCCCTGTATGTGCCTGAGTACACATGCGTGTAGCTGCATGGGCACATATACACACACACTTTTCAATTCAGTGTTATGTTCTCAGGGCAAAGAAGGGCTAAGATAGTGCTAGAGAATAGAAATAAAAGGCTATTTGTAGCTTTTGTCTTTAAAGCCCACAACCTCAGGGAGATGGGGAGAACTCAAAACACAGAAAAAAAAATGCCTGGAAAGATCCATCCTAGAAAATGTTCCCACAGCCAGAAGTGGGGAAGATAATGAAAGGGAAAGTGGTAAGATCATACTTTTCGTAGGTCATGTAAAGAGAGGCCCTGCTTCTTATACAGAATCCCAGGCAGGAAATATCTGTGCTGTGAGTCTCAGCATATGGTCCCTTACTGAGATTTCCATGCCTTTGCAGGGCACAGAACAACATAATGGAACCTGTATCTGCAAATGCAGTAAGAAAAGCCCCTGGGCCTAAACAGGCAGGTGACAGGAGCAAAGGACAATTCAGCAGCAATCTGCTTGGATTGATAGCCACTGATAACCAGATGCTTGAAGAATGTCTCTGTGGGCACTCAGGTGAACAGGTGGCCTGAGAGCCCACAGGCTTTTGTCCTCTGTGAACACCCAGACTTAGCCTCTGCCTTTGGAAGGTGATGGGTTCTTGAAAGTATTGAGCTTAAGTACATCAGAATAGCATCTTAAACTATAAAGTTAGTTATTAACGCTTCCCCCTGACCTCAGAGAGGTATATTTTCTGTGCACCCTGGTGGTGGTCTGCAGACTGGCACATACTGTATAGGAAAATCTACTGAGACTTGGAGAGCTTGTGTCTGCTCATTCACCCCATGCATTTGTACTAGACACCAGTGATAGTGAAAAAAAAAAAAAGCACCTTCTAGACATACAGGGGGCTCATTAGTCACTTGGGGGCCTTAAGTCCCTCACTACTGCAGCCAGCTTTAGAGGTAGGGCTAAGGGATATGTTAATGCTCTCTGAGCCACAGTATTTTCTCTTGAATCTTCATGATTTGGGAAAATGTGAGTTAGGACGGATGATAAAGACAGAGAGAAATATAACATTTGGATACTTCTAGGTGCTCTCATTCTGAAGTCAAATACTCAGGCCCACAAATGAGCATTTATTTGAATTCTTTTGTCTTTCATTTGATTCCTCAGATATATTCCCTTTAAAAGGCAATTTCAAAAGTGGAGAGGGGTGATTAATTTATGCTTTTATAGGGTGGACATCCTCTTCATACGTCTAGAAAATCTTTTGCAGATTTCAAACGTTTCTTAACCTTTTCTGACATTTAAAAGCAAACAGAAACTCTGCCAGATAAAAGTGAGCTGAAAACAACGGTCAAGTTGATGTCCAACTGGAAGGAGCCTGATTCTTCCAAATTCCTTCCCTTTTACACACTCTACATTATGAAATGGTACCACAGAATGCTGATGTCTCTCCCTTAAAACACACACACACACACACACACACACACACACGCGCGCGCAAAAATCACTGAATTATCATGGCTAAAATGAGCCCAGGACAAACCGTCAACAGAACATGGTCCAGATAATATTTTATCCCTTTCTCTGTCATTAAGGTTTTAAGGGTGGGATTCAAAACTGGAAGGATTAGAGCAGGCTGTTGGGAAATTTACAGCTGAACACAGACTCTCACTCTCATTCACTCTTTCTTTCTCTCTCCTCCTTCCTCTTCTCTTTAACAAGTTAGCAGCATGTGGCTTGCCCTTGTTCCAGCAGCGATTATTAAAATAAAAAACACCTTTGGCCATAAACACAAGTGAAAATTGAAACACGCTCATGAAAGTTTATTATTTTCACTTCACTAACTTCACCCTACATGGAGAACTTTATTTGCCTCAGGAGGTCCTTAGGTCAGGTAATGAAAGAGCGCAGGGGTGAGGCAATCCCAAATGATCGGGGTTGGGAGGCAGCTGGGGGGTGTTGTGCATCTTGGCCTTGGGCCTGCAGAACCACTCAAGTGTGTAGGCTTACCCGTACTGGAAGCCCACTTCCTCCCTCTCTCTTCTTGGGGCTGCACTGCCTCAGGGGTCATGTTCAGGGAGCTGGACGTTGAGTTGGTTTTAAGCCAATCTGCCCTTCTGCTGGCTTGCTGGCCCAACATTCAAGTCATATGGCTGATTCTGCAGACTTCCTGGAGCTTTGCTTTGACTTAAGGCATTTTTAGCCCCTAACTGGATTTTCTCCCAAACTCAAAAGGAATAAAGGGAAGAATGGAAGGGCAGATATCAAGAGGACAATGAAGAGACACGGTGGGGAAAGAAGGCCTACATTCAAAGAGAGGTGGCCCAATTGAATAATTTACTTCTGAGAAGAGAGGATTAACTGTTACCTGGTAATAGTCTTTAGTCCTAGAGATGAGAGAAGATTTTAAACAGAGGAGGTGGATCTTTGTTTATATGAGAAAAATAAAAACACTTCTATCTCATTTAAATGACAGTTATTTCAGTTGTTTTTGTCACTTGCAGCTAAACCTGGTCCCAAATAGACAGTCATTCATTCCAGGGTGTAGGCTGTCTCTCTCAGAGATGGAACACAAGGTTTGGAGATAAGCCTTCCAGGACCGATGTGATAATTCTGCCCTACAACATTCTTGCAAACTAAGTCTCCATGGAGCTCATCGCTCTACCATCTCTGGAATGTGGCCCTTGTCATCATGGCCCAAGATGGTGCCATCTATATTTAAGGCAGCAGGTGGAGAAAGGGACGATAAAGAAGAGGCCAAGAGAGCATGCTATCTGTCTCCTAAGGGAGATTACATGGGGCTGCCATATGACACACGCATTTATATCCCATAGGCAAGAAGTCAGTTCCTTGGCCACACTTATTGCAAAGAAGGCTGGAAAATCCTATCTTTTTTATGAGTAGCAATATGCTCAGCTAAAAAGTGTATTATTAGGGAAGAAAAAGAGAAATGATTTGGAAGAAATTGAGCAGCCTCTGCCACAGCAATTCCTAGTTGCCTCGCCCTGACCTATCTTACTGGCCTGGGTTGATATAGTCAGTGTGTTCCTTCTATTGTTCCATGAATCCATGTCACTATAGGAAGTCTGTGCTCACCAGTTCCTCATTCTTCTTTCATCTCTGTGACTTTCTGTCAGTGTCTCTCCTCCATGATTTCACATGTATTCTTGTTCTTTGTCCCATCAAAGTCAGCCCCGAGTCAAGTTATACAAACCCGTAGACTTCATACCCTAGACTCAGAACTTAGAACTAACTAATATGGAAAGAAAGAGTTTCCGTGTATTAACACCTTCGATAGCTTTATCATATTTTTTTTTTAAGGATCTGGACACAACAGTGTGTAGCATTTTACATGGCTTATTTTGCACTCACCAATGTGACATAAACTCAACCAGCTTCCTAAAGCCTTCCTGGAAATAGATCGGGATGAGAATCTCCTTTGGATTCTGTTGGGCTCAGGGACTGCTGGTTGTTTTTTTTGTTTGTTTTTTTTCCCCCCATGGGGTGCTGTATGGTTCAGCCCCTCATCCTGGTGGGATGATTCATATCACATCAAATCTCCCTTCTGCTTGCTCACTTTCTCCCAGCCGCCTCTCTCCTGCTTCATGCATGATGTTTCTGGTTGACTCCCTTTCTAGCATAATTAAATCCAGTAGGCCTTCCAGTTGACCTCATGAGTGTGAGTTAAGCCCATTTATGAAATATGAAATGATCCCAAATGTTCATGATACAGCTTTCCCAGGGGGCTGTGGAGGTGGATCATACACTGAGAGCTTCCTGCTGGAGACGCTGCAGGCAAGGCAGATAGGGCCTCCCTGGAGTTAAGCAGCACCTTCCATGGATTCAGCTCTGGTGTCCAGTGGTAGTGATGATCCTCAGTACTCCCTAAGATTCTTTTATCATCTTTGTGCCCCACTTCTCTTCCCAGTCAAGGATACTTGCTCTTATTTTCAGCAAGCAAGGAAAACCAAGATAATGTTATGTCATAATGGGTTAATGCTTTGTACTGACTTTTCATTGTTATTGGAAGCATGGACCAGAGGTGAATTAACCTATTTATATGTGTTCAAAGACATTGCTTGCATGATCATGGAGCTGGGTTTCTTCTATTCAACATTCAGGGTTTCTTTGGTCACAAGAGGAGAATGGAAGAGAGTATGAATGACTCAAGGAAAATTAGCTGCACTGAGGAAATAGAGGCCAAAGAGCTTGCAGCACTTACAGAGTAGTTAGTGCATAGAGACAGCCACGGAGCATGTCAGAGACAAGCCCTGGTGTTAGTAGATAACACCCATTACCCTACTCTTCACACTTCTGTAGAGGAGAAGGGACTTCTGCTTCATCCCCCAGGAGAGAATACAATTAGAGAAAGACTTCTGACTCCTCCCGCCTACTCCCCCCATATGCCCCCAGCTCCTGACCCCTGCCCAGCCCCACCAAGCAAGGAGGAAGAAGAACTCATCTGATTGCTGAGCTTGTGTCCAAGGTCACTGCTTTGGTGGCCTTTCTCTTATAGTAACTAGCTTGGAGTTTTCTCTTCCTTCTCTACTTATTCCAAGATGGGTCCTCATATCTCGATTATGGGTGTGAGGGAGGCCAGGAAGATGGTAGAAAGGAGGTTCCCTATACATCTTTCTGAACCAAAGAAGGCTCAAATCACGTCCTCTAACACAGTAAAGCAGAATCCATGTATTTGGGGGCAAAGAAATAAAGCTAATGCTGACTTTGATTCTTATTTGGATCCTGCTTTCAATTTTGCAGGAACCTGGGGTAGGTTTGGGGGAAAATAAAGCATGACATTAGTTGGCTCTATGCCTGGCTCTGCCTGTTATGCTCACTCCTAAAAAGCCCTTTTAGCACTTACCTTAATAAGCCACAGTCCTTGCCTATATCCCTAGTCATCTTTGGGGTTCCTGCTGAGTGTTTCTCCTTCATTCCAGGATCATTCTGCCATATGCTGTTGTATCTACAAGCAGGTGGGCGGGGGAGGCAGGGGAAGTAAGGGGAAAAGTTAAGGTCAAGAGAGGTAACTGACAATGAGAACATCATGCGTGACAAAAAGAAAAAGTACCAAAATGCAAAGAGATGTGTTTAGAGGAAGTGGCTCACTTCTGTCTTCTGCCTGTCCTGGGCTTGAATCCCAGTCCCACCTTCTGCTAGCTATGTGATCTTGCATGACTTCCTTGACTTCTCTGTGCCTCAATTCAATTATAGAGCCTATCCCCTAGAATTGTTTTGAAGATTAAATAAGTTATTATATAATGGCAAGCACATAGTAGGCATTAGGTGAGCATTAGCTTACCACTGCTGCCACTGCCACCACCACCACCATCATCATCATCATCATCATCATCAATTATCATGACCATGGAATTTCTAGATGTAGGCTCAGGAATGACTGAGGTGGTAGACAGAATTTAGGCCTCTGTCATGCTTTGAAGGAGATTCAGGTATAGTAAAAAAAATTCTGGACTGAGAAGTGACATATTTGAGTTCTAGTCCAGCTGTGTGTGGCCTTTGGCAGTACTTCCATATCCAAGTCTTAGTTTACATAGTTACAAACTAAGGAGTTTGAGGAGTTTGGTTTTTAGCGGCTTCCAAATGTCTGGGGACCAGAGCTGGGATGGCCACATAAACATACCTGGGAGCTTGTTATAAATGTAGATTTCCTGCCCTCCTCACCCCCACCCTCCCAGCCCAAGAAATCTTGATTAGGTGTGTCTGGGGTGGTTTGGGAGCCTGTGTTTTTATCAAGTTCATGCTTTTCTCTTCATGTGCTTACCTCTGGGATACAACTACAGCCCGTGCATCACTGCCTCAGGTCATCTTTGAGGTCTTAGTTCTAAAATGCTCTTGTTGTGTTCAATTGTGACAATTGAATGTTGTGTTCAGTTGTGACAATTGAATGTTGTGTTCAGTTGTGAGAATTGAACACAACAAGAGCATTTTAGAACTAAGCACAGAAGGAGGAAACAATTTTAAAAATAAGTAAAGGAGTAGAAGTGAGTTGCCAGGAATTTAGTGAAGAATTATCTTTGATCATTTTGCTCATTCAGAAACCAAGAGTTTTCTTCCAAATATATAACAGACTTCAACTTGCAGTTCACTAGAGCTTTCCAGTGAGCCAGTCTGACCCGTTCTTCTCTATCCTGAGATGCACAGCCAGGTCTCTGGGAAAAGAACTGTCCCAGAGAAGTGGTATAAATGCTCTTTCCAAAGTCAGTTCCCAGCACCTCCATTTACATTGGGCCACATGCTCATTTGATTAACCAGAATCTCAGGAGGCCAAAGCAGAGAGGAGACTCCATCTTGCCACTACAGCATGGGATGAGAGTGTTCTCAACCTGTCTCATTTCTGAGTCTCTTTCCTTGGCAAATAAGATGACTTTGCTGTAATCCCACAGTGTTTCTCTCTTTAATCCAAAGAATGAAATACAGAAAAACAAAAAGCAAGGCAAAAAAAAAAAATGGTTCCTTCCACCATATAAACTGGAACTTCTTTCATCCATTGAATGACATGTTTTCTCACTTCTTCCCTTCACCATGGGGACAGGGTGGAGACCATATTCCCTCAAGGAACCCAAGGTCATGACATTCATGGTGAACAAACTGCAGCCTCCAGAATGCATTTCCAATTAACACACACAAAGCGTTTCCTACTGTCTCTTAAATTATGGTTCTATATTTATCACTGCCAGCACACCCCTCCCTCTGTCTCCAGCTCCCCCGACCCATGATCCCTGCTCCCCCTTTAATTATTTCCAGAAGTGTTTCCATTCTTCTTTTTTTCCATTTTTGGAACCCATTTTGTTATAAGAAGAATGTAATTGTTGCTAACATTTTGATTTCCCTGTTCAGTGAGATTTACATGACACTGAGTTTCTGTGATATAACTCCTCATTTGCTTCCAAGTTTTCTGTTGATGGGCGTTTAATCTATGCAGAATTTCATTATCATCTGATTTGCTGTGGCCTCAACATAAGGAAAGACTTTTCAGGTGTCAACTTTTTTTTTCGTCTTTCCCTTCCTCTTTGCCCTCTCTCTCTCTTTCACTTGCTGTCTCTCTCCTCTCTGTTGTCCCTCTAAACACACATGAGCATATAGAAACAAACATACACATGTGCCTGCACAATTTCTCTGTCCTCCCTCTTCTCTCTTTCTCTCTCTCCTGTCTCTTCTCCCTCTTTTCCTCTCCCCTGCTTTGCCTCCCTTCACTTTCTCTCTGTCTCTCTTCATCTCCCTGACGTTTCTCTAAACACTCATGAGCACTCACACGCACACATACAAATGTGTGCCTGAACTCTTTCTCTTTCCTCCATCTCCTTTCTTTCTCTGTCTCCTGTCTCTTCTCTCTGTCTGCCCCCTCCTCTGTTTTTGTCACTGTTACGTCTTCTTTCCACCTCCCCTTATATTTGAGTTTCAGTGCTCACATCTAATGGACTGACATCTTGGCTTTGTCCTCCAGCCCAATTCACTCCTCCAAGATCCCTTGAGAGCACAATGCCCACAGGAGACTGCTTGCTGGGAGACGAGGGAGTTGCTTCTGATGGGAGAGTCATATTGGGGATCCTCACAGTGGTCTTAAAAGTCCCCTTGAACTCTAAGATTGTGATTCATAAAGGCCTGACCCTGAGTCTTCTGAAGGGTGAAGATGTACTTTAACTCCTTAGGGGCCAGAGTCAGGGCAATCTAAAGGCTATGATTTTTGCACAATAGTTGCATAATAAAATACCTAAAACGTGTGCTTGAGAGAGAGCAGAATTCATGAGATCAGGTGGTAGGTCACACTTCCCTTGGCCCTTTGTACTCATCTATCCAACACATCAGACCCATGGAAGATAAATGCCCACAAATGGTGGGTCTCAGTGGATTTTCACAGAGGTAGAAAATTCAACTTCCTAACCCCTCCTGGAAGCAAATTTTCATCATCTGTGTTGAGTGTTAGAGCTCCTTCTCCTTTTATCTGTTCTGCTGATAGTCCACTTTTTAAGTAATTCTTCCTCTTCATTCTAACTCATCTGCCCAGGTATTCTGTACCTTTCTCTCCTCTTTCCCTCCACTTTTACAATTTCTCTAGCCCGTAACCTGACTTCAACATCCTCATTTGTCAAAGTTTGTCCATTCTGTGTGGCTTCATCATACTGTGTCCTTAGGATCTTGGGTCCCCGCCCACCCCTGCTTTGGTGATGGGATTGAAAGACTAAGAGATTAATGTGATGAATTTTCACATTTTAATATAGGCAGACAGAAGGTGTTCTACTTGGGCTCTGAAGAAGAATGCTATAGGGTGAGAGATGGAGGCACTTAGAAAGCTCACCAAGAAAACATGAATGTTTAGGGAGCACTCTAGTCCCCTCAAGTTGCACCTTGCCTGCGAAACTTGGAGAGCATCTTGCCTGGCCTTATTAAACCTGAGAGGGAGAGGTCATCCTTGTGTCCATGGATCTGTAATCAGTAGCCAGAAAAGGTGAGACCGATCCAGCTTCCCCCAGTGAATTCCTAGGAGATCTGAAACCATAGTTTTGTGGGGTTTTTTCTTTTTTCCTTTTTAGAACTTTAAAATTATTATTCTCTTCTTGTTTGTAAGAGGTTGGTGGGTGCCTTCTCTATTCTTCCCTCATTGGAACTCTCACTAGCCACTTGACTTATTATTCTGATGGACTTAATTTAATTCTCGGCTTTAGGAACCTGGAAAATGAGCTGACTCACTTTCTGTATTCTATTCTTGAGATTCCTAAGTCTTAAGCTACAGAATCTGGGGTGAGCTGGATGATTCAGGAATTCCAGAAGCCAGGATAATGAGAAATGATATTCCACCATTGTGGAGTTTTTGTTGGCCCAAGGAAGCCCCTACATTTACATCTTGACTCAGGGCTGGCCCAGTAATGAGTTGGGAAGAAGCCCCTAAATTAGCTTTGAAAAGTAGCCTACTGTAGTGGTTTTATAATGCGCCTGCAAATTATTTGGCATTCCTCCATCAAAAGTTGGAGCCTAATTTCCCTCCCCTTGAAGATGGGCCAGGCTTTGTGACTGCCGTGACACATAAAATGTGGCATATGTTATGCTGTGTGACTTTCAGGGCTAGGTCGTAAAAACTATTTGGCTTGTGCCTGCCTTTCTCTCAGGACACCCCACTGGGAACCCAGACACCATGTTCCAAGTAGCACAAGAAGATGACACATGCAGGGCTCCGGCCACAGCTCCATCTTGTGTTCCAGCATCAACAGCTAGACATGCAAGTGAACAAGTCTTCAGGTGATCCCAGCCTTTCAGCTGCCCCAGCTGATGCTGAGTGAAGAAGAAAAGGCCTGTCCCCACAGAGATCTGTGCACATTTCAGATGCACAAGCAAAAGAAATGTTGTTCTTATTTTAAAGCTGCTAAGTTTTGGAGTGGTGTGTCACACACCAATAACTGGAACACCTGACTTTTTTGCCTTATCTTTTGTAACAGGTGTAAGTACCTTCAATTCTTCTGAAATTCTTGACTCTTATCTCAGACCTTCATTCCTGCACACTTCAGTTCTTAAGTGGCATGCTTCCATGAATCAATCCCATGGAATAAGCCCTGGTACGAAAGTGAATTTACCTGTTCCCATCAGTAATTAGCTTTGCAATTACATTGGTAGTCCTGGGAATCAGTTTCCTTGAATGTAAAATCATGGGGTTGAGCTAGGTAATTCCTGAGGTCTGTTCCAGTTCAGTTTGTGGCTCTTCTCTATAGGTCTGCTCTAATGTCTCTCTCACATCTTGTCACCACCTCCCCCTATATTTGAGTTTCAGCCCTCACATCTAATGGACTGACATCTTGACAAAGCCAAGATGTCAGTCCATTAGATGTGAGTGCTGGAACTTAAATATAAGTTTGAGTTTGGCTCAAAGGGTGAGTTTGCTTTCTAGAAGTTCAGTTGCAAATGTCTGATGATGGCTTTGTGACTTTTCTTTACAAGAATTGCCGGTCATGTAACTGGTTGTTGCTGGTCTTCAGTGTTTTCTTCCAATGGAATGAGGGTTGGGGGTGGTTTGGACACTGCAGCAGGCTCAGGGAATAGCTATGTCTGTACTGGAAGAGAAGGGTTAACCCTGATCCAACTGCTGCCAGATATTTGGCACTAAAATAGATAGTGACTCCCCTCTTCCTTACATGTGGCCTGACATAAAGGAATCAAAGGGATCCCTTCCTCACCATGGAAGGCAGATGCTCCTGACATCTCTGGACTGGGAATGACCTATGAGGGCCTGGAAGGTGGATCATGGTCCTCCATTCTGAGACAGCATGGATTTCTGAAGTTTCTCAGAACTCTGACTCTCTTCCTGGTCTCACTCAAAGTGGGGACCTGAGTGGTATTTCTCTCTTTCCTTTAGAAGCTGGAGAGAACTTGATATTAAGTGAGACCACCCCATGAAAATAATTTGTGTCCAAAGAGCAATTGCTTCTTAGTCAGTTTCTCCTGAGAAACAATGAATTGGCTCAAATCAAAGAGAAGGGGAGCAGGCCAAAGTATGCTGTGAAACCAAAAGCAAAAGGAGAATAAGAAAGAGGCTGGAGAAAAAGTCATAAAAAGGGTTGGAACTCTTATAAAATCCCAAACCAACAACGGTAATTCTGAAAATTGTGGGATTTGGTTACATAGCTTCATAAACAGTTTAGTCCTGAGCATTAATGCTAACCACACTCTCCCCCTCTATCTCGGTTTGCCCAGGTGAAGGATTATCTAAAGGTGCTGACTGGGCCTCGCCTTGAATCTAGGGTCTTTCCCTCACAGAAATGACACTGAAAGCTGTGTCTGGTCTTAAATACCTAGCACTCAAATGCCAGATTCTTAGTTCATCTTAGACACTTCTTCTATTGAGCAGCTTGATCTCCAGGTTTTTCTCTGCATAGACACTCTTGCCAGGTCTTGCTCTGCATAGACACACTTGATAAGGTGTGATAAGGTCTACCTTATCTTCTCTCTGGGGCCTTTCCTGGTGCTTCAACTCACGAAAGCATCTGAGTTCCTCAAGGTCTTCTAACATGCCATTGTTCTCTGCATGTCTGCTTCCCATGGGTCATTTTAAAATTATCTAGACTTTAATAGAAAGAATAAATAAATAACAGAGTCAACACATGCCCATGGTTTAAAAAAGGTACAAAAAGTATTGTATTAGTTTGTTCTCATGCTGCTAATAAAGACATACCCTAGACTGTGTAATTTATAAAGGAAGGAGGTTTAATTGATACACAATTCCATAGGGCTTGGGAGGCCTCAGGAAACTTACAATCATGGTGGAAGGGGAGGCAAACATGTCCTTCTTCACATGGCAGCAGGAAGAAGAAGAATGAGAGCAAAGGAGGTGGAGAAGCCCCTTATGAAACCATCCAATTATGTGAGAACTCACTCACTATCATGAGAACAGCAGGAGGGTAACCGCCCCCGTGATTCAATTACCTCTCACCTGGTCCTTTCCATGACACATGGGGATTATGGGAACTACAATTCAAGATGAGATTTAGGTGGGACACAGCCAAACCATATCAGACACACACACACACACACACACACACACACACACACACAGAGAAATGAATCAAATATCTCTAGAAGGATACACAAGAAACTGGTCACATTGGTTGCCTCCTTGGAGGGATGCTGGTTGGAAGCTATGAACAGGAGATGGAGATGTTTATATATATATGTATATATATATATGTATATACATATATATATATACACATATATACATATATATATATATATATATATATATATTCCATTCCTTTTGATTTTTGAACCATGGGAATGTATTTTCTATTTAATTAATTAAAACTCTGAAAGTTATTGAATGAGATAACCAATATTGTGTGTGTGTGTGTGTGTGTGTGTGTGTGTGTGTGTGTGTAGTGAGAATCCTTCCAGGGCTATTCTGTGACAACATAAATATGTACAGAGACATAGAGACACAGAGAGTGTGTGGGGGTGAGGATGAGGGAACGAATATAAGTTCTCTTGTGCACAAGTGGTAGCGTACTATATTTACTGTTTTATATCTTAGCTTCCTTTTTTATTGAGCCATATATTTTGGAGATTATTTGTTATCAGCATAGTTTTAGGTATTTCAGTCTTATAATGATTACACTTTTAATTGTATTTTAAAATTATATATACATTTAATTATACTTAAATTATATTTTAATTTTTATTTAACTTGTTCCCTATTGCTGAATTTTCAGGTTGTTTCCATGTTTCAATTGCAGTAAATTACAAAAACAATCCTTGCTCGAGTCCCTGTGTATAACTTGCTGGGGGCCAGGCCACGGTTTATTCTTTCTTTTTGTCTCCCCGAAACCAGCAGCACAGGTTTGCAGGTTTACAAACAAGTAGGCATTACAAGACCACTAGTTTGGGCTGATCATTGAGTGTCACTGATAGTGTTTAAAGAGCTGAACCTCTCTATTCCTGATACTAGTTAACCAAAAATTTCAGTTTTCTGCGCAAGCAAATTTTACAACAAACCACAGGGTTCTTCTAAATGATTTCTTGAAATGAAATTTTAACAGAATCAAAACCTTGCTAAAAGTAAGATTTCTAATCTGCAGAGAGAAAAAGAATGGCCACCTAGTCTTTTGAGTCTCACTGAGCAAGTGAAAACAAGTGCTTTGGGCACAGTAGGGAAAGAAAGGCGGCTAACACATATAGACTTACCTCTTTCTCTGTCTCAGTTCATGGAAATATTTGCATGTTGAGTCGTGCAAAGTGGTTTGGATTTGTGTGAGTTTCTTTGGGTGGTTAGGAGATTTGAGATAGGGAGGAATGAAAATAGTTGAAACATAATTTTGATGGTGAAACAACTTGCAAAGAGGTCTTAGCTAGGACACAACTAATCTCAACCACTGTGGACCTAACATGCCCAACATAGACTTGAGAGAGTAAACTGCCCAGAGGTCATGTGAGCAGAGTATAGTATTGCTGCTCTTAGAGCAGTGATTATAGGCATGGAGAAAGTGCTTCAGAGTCAACTGGGGAAGACTTCGGATTGTGCTCTTTCCCTCCCTATTCTAATAGCCCCTCCCTCCCTTTATTAATAATCATCGAATCACCACCAGGATGTGTCTCCTTTGGCATCTGCCTTATTCCTTATGGGATTTGAGGAAGAAAAAAGGGGGTGAATAGTACTATTGTAGAGAAGAAATTAGAATTCTTATGAGCCCTAGGATTTAATAGCTTTTCTCACAATGGTCTTTGTTCTCCTAGGACTTTACTCATGTTTACACTGCTAATCAGCTCCTTCATTTTGGTGCTATCCCCTTCTTTGTGCCTTTGCTTTTGCTGTTTTCTTGGCCTTTGATGTCTTTTCCTCCAAGCTCTGATATGTCTTTTCTGAAATTTCCTTTGCTCCTCCTCCTCCTTTCTATACCTAAGATTGAGTGCTGAGGATCCATGGAGTGCTTAGGTTATACTCTTTGGGATCCAGATTATTAGATTGGAATTTTGTTTATATTTGTTTCATTTGATCTCTGAGGTCATTTTGCTTGGATGGATTTCTTGGTGTCCCTGCCTGCAACTCCCAACCCACAGCCATGGCCCGGGTTCTTCCTCATCATGGGGCTGGGATGGAGAGCTGTCTTACACCTGAATACTGATTTCTATCTGCACCCTTCTCACACTGCTCTGTCTTATTTCCAGGTAACAGGGCATCTTGGCAGGGCCATGCCTAACCGGCTGAGCCTCTTTGTAGGGTCTGTCTCGTCAGAATGTGCCCCAAGAATCAGTTCTGAGATTGGCAGCTCCTGTGCCCAATCTGTTTCCTCCCTGCTCCTGCCACCACTATGCAGGCAGTCTTCAAAACTGGACTGTTGTGTCTGAGGCTTCCTCCCTGCACCACCTCCCAAACCCCACCTCCTGTCTCCTATGAAACACTCTTCAGTCCTTGACACCCATGTCAAATATGGCCTTCCCCACAAGGGCTTTCTCATGGGGAAATAAATCCTTGCTTAGAAATGTATAAAGTGAAAAGTAAAATGATTCTCTTTGTACAGCCTCACTCCTCAGAGGAAAACATAGAGTGATTTCTAGTTTTAGACCTTCTGTTGGTTGTCTCCAAAAATGTAAATATCATGTTTTTACCTCCATTAAAAATTGTTTAATAGCATCTTTTAATACTTCAATCACATCTTTTGATAGTATTATAGTTGAGAAATTTATCCTATTACCAGTATTCCCTCCATTAAATGTGTTTATTACATTAAATAATATATTAAAAGCACTATACACTGAAAAATTTAGAAAATATTTTTGTTTTTCCATTATTTCTGAATAAAGTCAGTGTCCAATCACTTCCCTCATTCTTTTCTCTGACCCACTCACCTTCCAGTATTCGTCAAGCATCCCATCCTTTTGAAATTTACAAGTTTATAATATTTACATGCCATTTTGTAACCATAAGGTCTTTTTAACTTTTTGAACATTTATATGAATATTGAAAACCAATAAACAGTATTTGCAAAGTTCTATTTACTCCAAACCTGATAGTGTATTTGGATCTAGAGAGAAAGAATAGAGGTTATATGTTGCCACCTAAAAGAAAATGCTTCAAAGATCAAGATCAAGTAGATGCTCCTTTTAGATTCCATTAATTATTCAGAATTATGCCACAGATTATGACAAAAAGGGGAGGAACATAAATATACAGTCTTGTATTATCACTAAGATGGATAACTCGGGAAGAAGGAATGTATTACATAGAAAAATTACCAGCCCAAAGGCTGGCCACCCAGGCTTGTTCTTCAAGGGGTTGTGGGAAAAGAAATGAGGAAAGGGGAAAAGGAAAAGGAAGACGATGAGTAGGACATGGAATGACAGGTGAGAGCAATCACTTAAGAAAGATCCAAAATATCTAGATTTAATAAAATTTGAAGACTAGGAAACATCTCCCCACCTCTTGGAGAGGCTCACCTGGAAAGCACCAACCTGGCAGTGGCCACATCAAAGTAAAATTGATTGAGTCCCCATTATTTGGAAGAGAAAGAACAAAGGATTTGTTCTCTCAAGCTGTCCTGGGTCCTGGGAGGTATGGACGAGATTTAGACTTGGGGATGGGAAGCTAGTTGAGATGCTAAAAATGAGCTCACTGAGGGCAGTGGGACTGGGTTTCTGGAGCAGGGCTACAGAGGCCTTGTAGGTATGGAATGGTTCACCTGGACTAGAACCACAGGAAGTCCCAGCCAGCTCTCAGCACCATCCATAATGAAAGCAGGAGCCAAGGTGGGCCAGGTCCACCAGCTAGGGCTACTGGGCTGCGGCCAAACCAAAAGAGAAATTAGACAATTGAGTTGCGTCATCCAAGGCCCTCCATAGCCAATGTCAAGAGATTGGCCAGTATAGAACCATCTTCCTAAATGGTCCCACTCTACAGCATTGATCACCAAGAATCCAGAGGGCACCTGTGGATGCAAGGGCCTCTTCTCTCCTCACTGCTTTTAGGACACAAGAAGCCATTCCCCTATGCCCAGAAACCATATTGGGAAAAGAAAGGGTGGGAGAGCAATGAAGTCTGAGAATTCATTGAACATTTTATCTAAAAGCACTGATCTGGGGAGTGTCATATCCATTATAAAAATTTAAAGAAGCACAATTTCTCTGCACATCTGGGTGTATCATGAGTCTCCAACCACAAGAAGTCTGGGCAGTTATTAGATATCATTTTTTGTAGCCATCCAGAGTAGAAATATCTGGCTAACATCCTCTGGCTGAAGAAAGCCTGTGCTGTCCTATAACAAATTTGGGATTATTCACAGTCATGGGAGACAGGTAGAGGCTGGATCATTGAAACTTCCAATAATTCAAAAATCTCATTTTTGCTGAGTGTTGACTATTGACCAAAATTTCCAGTTGCTCAGAGGTTGCCAAATGGACTGATTTGAACTGTATGTCTTTTCATGGCCCCTATCAGAGGAGGGAAGAATCTGTGAAATAATTAAACATGATCTTAGCCCACCCACCCCCCGGTTGCTGGGACTGGGCATGGGGGGAGGAGGTGAGGACAAAAGTTGGGGGATGAGGCAGGGGTGAGTCTGCGTCACTCTAGTAAGGCCCCCAGGGATTTCTCTCAGGGAACCCATGACCTTCTTCAGAGTTCTTTAGTGACGTTCTTCCCAGCGCACCTTGAATAAAATCTAAGCTTCCTTCCGGGCTGCAAGGTTTGCCACACTAGCCTCTGTTCTCCTTTCTGATCTCATTGTGCTACTATCTTCTGCCTCACTAAGCTCTGTTTTAAGTCAGTAGAGTTTTTATACAAATTTTGTTATACAATTCTGAGAATTCTATAACAAAACATTAAGCTCTTTTCTGTCCCTTATAGTCATTACTCTTTTTTTTTTCTCAAAATCCTCTTCAGTCATTTCTTTCCATAGCTATCTCTTTGTCATCCTCAGTTTAAATGTCGTCCTCTCCATTTAAATGTCGTCTCCATGAAATGAAGTTCTTGATCTTCTATGACCTTCTGTGACTCTGCCCCCATGATTAGCTTTCCAAACACCCTGGTTATTAACCTCTTAAGCATGTATCACAAGTTGTGGTGACTTATTTATTTATTGGTTTGCTCCTTTTTCTGTCTCCTGCACTGGAATACAAGTGCAAGCTTCCAAAGGACCATGTCTGTCTTTCTGATCATTGTGTCTGCAGCAACTAGCACAGTGTTGGGCTTGTACTTCCCTCTCAATAGAAAACTGTTGGGTGAATGAAATGGGCAGACATTGTTTAATGCTCTGATCTCAGTTCAGATACATGGTAGTCCAAGGGAGGAAAAGGGACAAATCATCCCTTAAAGTCTGTCAACTGGAAAATGTCCCTCTAGAAGGCTGACTGTCCCTGAGGAGATAGATTAAGTGAGGTTGATCTGGCAAGCTTCCTAGTGGCAGAGAGAGGTTAAAACAAAGGAGAAAAAGAAAAGACAAATGAAATCTGCTCAAAGCAAAACAGATGTTTCACCTCAGATCCACTTTGTTACCATGAGGAATGGGTGGGCTGGTGGGGCAGTGGGGAAACAAGAGTGATTGTTTGCCTAGACTTTGCTTCCTCCTGAGCTGTCCAGTCTCTGGCAGCCTGGGACTCTTTGCTCCCTCCACCTGTTGACCCCTTTGTGCCTCATCAAATGAGTCATGGCCATAGCATTTGTGGAAACTCCTAGCAAGTGGCAGAGGGGAGGGGGCGGGACAGAAACCCAAGAGCTGGCTTCTGGGAGGCTCTGAGGCTGTTTTGACCCCGAGAAGGCAAGTATGGTTGTCTTCCAGGCCGCAGAGGAAAGCATCATGTTTGAATGCTGGCAAGCTGGGTGTCTGAGTGTTAAGACCTCGTGAGAAATAGGAACGAGTTCTATGAGAGGCAAGGAACCTAGGACGCCAGGCTGTGAAGAGGAAGAGAGCTCACTTCCTAACCTCAGGTGCACAGAAACTTCACCAGAGGCAAGGAAGAGTCAAAGGACCTGGTCTTTGGCAAGATGATTGATTACTGGCAGGGAGGGATGTTACTGGGTGCAGTGCTGGAGCAGCTCTCTGACACAGCTGCTCTTATTCAACACACATAGAAGGTACCTACTATGTGCCAGGCCTGGTTCTTATCACTCAAGAATCATCAGTGAGCAAACAGCAAAGTCTAGCCCCCATGGGGCTTCCATTCCAGTGGATTCATGATTTATAGGGGTTCATGGAATTTGATTCTGTGTCCTTGTATTTGGGGTACACTCTAAAGCTGTCCTGTTTGCAGGTTTCTCAAAAATTGTAATCTCAGTTGGAGTAATAGGGGCAGTTGCAGTTAAGATCTTGAGAGAGCAAAACAGAAAAGGCATTAACAGGAGAAATAGCCATTGAAGTCTATTGCAACAGGCTGGCACTAAAGAGCTTCCTGTTGCTAGGATGAGCATGGTTCTTGGAGCACAGAGACCCTCCCCAGGAAAGAAGCAGTTTGCTTGGCTTCTGTGGTATACCTGGCAGACAGTGGGGTAGATTCTTCTGGCTCTCACTCTTACTTCTATCTAGCCCATTGGCAATGTTGCCACCCCAATGCCTCCTCTTTTGAGGTACAGACTTGCAATGCCACCAGCCTCCTTTCCTTCCTAGCTTTGCCATTTGCAGGCCGGTTACTGTCCACTCAGGGCAGGCTGGTATTGGTATCTGTGCTGATGTGTTCTCACCTCTGCTACCTCTTCTATTAATGTTCTAGATGTATCTGTCGGGAAAGGCAGAAGAGGGTGGAGTGGGGATGACTGAGTTTGTGGTTGGCTTGGAACACCCATAATCCCAGCACTTTGGGAGGCCGAGGCAGGAGGATTGCTTGAGGCCAGGAATTGGAGACCAGCCTGGTCAGCATAGCGGGACCTCATCTCTCCCAAAAATAAACTAAAATAAAATAAAAATAAGAGTTTGTGATCTCTAAGGGATGCTAAGAAAGGAACAAAGTCCAGATGAGATTGGTTTCCTCTTTTTCCTCATTGCACTTTAGCAACCCTGTCTCAAGGCCACCTGCAGGTGATTTTGTCTCCCAAAACTTTTCCTCTGATATGGTAACCACTGAATCCCTGCACAGACCACACTGGTCTTCTTTGGCCCTCTCTCCCTTGCTTGCCAGATGCCTCTGAAGTCATCATGTTTTTCTTATCCGCCAAGTGCATTAGCTGAATACCCATCACCCCTAACCAAACTTCACTTCCTTCCTACCTAGCATAGACTCGAGGTTATACCTATTCAGTTGTTATTCTAAGAGAAAATAACACCCTTTTAGCTTAAGCCATTCTTCGTTACTTTTTCTGCTACTTGCAGCCAGATACTTTCTGAACCAATATATCTCATCTCCCTGGTCCATTTGATTTTTGATGTTGCTATGCTGTAGCTGCTTAGAGTTCCCATGTATCTCTTCTTATTATGAACTTCCTATATTTATGAAGCTATCAGAGCTGGAAAATCTTAGAAATCAGCATCCAGTCTCCTAATTTTTATATAGGGAAAGTAAAACCCACAGAGGGAAAGTAATATGGGAGTTAGTGGGACAGCCAGGCCTGGAACCCACAAATCTTGGAAATTAGTCCAGTGTTCAGTGTCAGCCATCTCCCTATTTCCTTGACTTGAAACAATAATAAAGGTTGAGGGTGCAAAGAAAATCTGTGCTTTTGCTTGATGTGGCTGTTGTAGACGTACTGAGCACCCTGTGCCTGAGGCTTTGACCATCTTGTGGGAAGACAGACCCTGAAAATACAGGCAGCGATCTGTCCCAGAGAGTGGAGAGGCCCCAGGCGCTGGCTCACAGAGCTTTTCTCTCCACTCCTGTAAATTACTTTCCTGGAGACAGATTCAGCCTCTGCCCAGCCCCCTATAGCAGTGTTCAGGCGTGAGCTTAGTGGCCGCACTCTTACCGACTCCATGGGCACAAGCCAATTAACTATGAGAGTTGCATGCATGCACACACACACGCACACAGACACACAGACACACACACACACACAGACACACAGACACACACACATAGGAGACATGCTGCTCTCCCGCTGCCCATTTCTTTTTGTCTCTCTCTCTCTCTATCTTGGCCTCTGTTAAGTCCCACTTAAACATTCAATAGCTTACTTTTCTTTCCTCTCTTCTGTCTGTGGGTGTGACATTTTATCCACAGCCCTCACTCCGAACATTGAATATCTTACTAATTTTCTTTTTATAAGCCCCAGTGTTAGAGGCATTTGAACCACAGCAACTCCATCTTAAATAGGAACTGGGTAAAATAAGGCTAAGACCCACTGGGCTGCATTGCCAGAGGGTTAGGCATTCTAAGTCACAGGATATATAGGAGGTCGGCACAAAATACGGGTCATAAATAAATAAATAAAACAGGCTGCAGTAAAGGAGCTGGCTAAAACCCACTAAAATCAATATGGTGACGAGAGTGACCGCTGGTCATCCTCATTGCTACACTCCCACCAGCACCATGACACTTCACAGATGCCATGGCAACGTCAGGAAGTCACCCTATATGGTCTAAAAATGGGAGGCAAGAATAATCCACCTTCTGTTTAGCATATAATCAATAAATAACCATAAAATGGCAGCTAGCAGCCTTCAGGGCTGCTCTGTGTATGGAGTAGCCATTCTTTGATTCTTCTACTTACTTAAACTTGCTTTCCCTTTACTGTATGGACTTGCCCTGAATTCTTTCTTCCTTGAGATCCAGGAACCCTTTCTTGGGGTCTGGATCAGGACCCCTTTCCTGAAACACCAGCGGCAGATTTGGTCATTGAGCGTGCTTCTCCCTTCTGCTGGGGGGGCGCTCCCCCTACCTCTCCCCTGGGCTGCCCCTTGCTGCCATTCTTGTCCCAGCACTGACATCCAGTCCTCCTAGGGGCCTTTGCTCACCTCCTGGCACTGCCAGTCACTCTCTAGCATGCCACTTCCTTCCCTCTTTGGCCTGGATTTTTTTTTTTTTTTTTCAGATGGAATCTAGTTCTGTTGCCAGGCTGGAGTGCAGTGGCGCCATCTCGGCTCATTGCAACCTCTGCCTCCTGGTTTCAAGCGATTCTGCTGCCTCAGCCTCCTGAGTAGCTAGGACTACAGGCGCCCGCCACCATGCCCAGCTAATTTTTGTATTTTTAGTAGAGATGGGGTTTCACCATGTTGGCCAGGATGGTCTCGAACTCCTGACCTTGTGATCCACCATCCTTGGCCTCCCAAAGTGCTGGGATTACAGGCGTGAGCCACCATGCCTGAACTGGCCTGGATATTTTATCTTCTTCAGAGTATTTAGCAGCAACTAAATGATTATGCCGGTTTGTTTACTTGTTTAGTTTCCATTTTTCCTTTTTTAAAAAATTATTATTATTTTTTTAAAGACAGAGTCTCACTCTGTTGCCTAGCTTTAGGCTGGAGTGCAGTGGTGCAATCATAGCTCATGGTAACCTCCAACTCCTGGGCTTAAGCAATCGTCCTGCTTCAGCCTCCTGAGTAGCTGGGATGACAGGTGCAAGCCACCATGCCTGGCTATGTTTTACATTTTTTTTGTAGAAGTCAGGTTTTGCTATGTTGCCCAGGATGGTCTTGAACTCCTGGCCTTAAAATGATCCTCCTGACTTTGCCTCCTAAACTGTTGGGATTACAGGCATGAGCCATGGTGCCTGGCTGCCATTTTTCTTTGTAGAATGCAGACATTTCTTCTAGGACAGAAACATCCATTCTGTTAACATCTTGTGTTGCTTTCCAGTAACAAACCTGTGCCTGGCTTGAGATAGACATTGAAAAATCATTTGTTGAATTTTAAAAGTCCACTGAAGTTGACTGAAGATGAACTTGAAATCATTTGTTGAACTTTAGTGCGCTTTAGATGACTGATGATGGATTTGAAATGAGCCTCCTCCACACCATGGGCCATCTGTGCTGTGGGTATAGGGCAAACAAAAAACAACATGGACAAGCCTCATGCCGGAACTCAGTCCTGGGTGGCCAATACAATGAAGGCCAGTGACGTGTTGACTTTCCTGTACTGCCGTCCTTCCCAGAGTCCTTCCCCTCACACTTGATGTAAATCCAGACTTTCCATCAGGCCTCTTTATATCCATCACAACCTCCCCCCACCCACCGCAGGAGAAAGGAAGATATCTCTAAAGGCTTTACCAGAGGTCCATGCCTTTTCCTGCTGGCTGCTAATCTCACCTTCTCCTGACTCCTCTTGAGCTCTTTGGAGAAAGCATCTCTCCTTCTCCCCTTGGTCTGCCTGCATGGGAAATTCTGAGGCATCAGAGCTCCTGCAATTCTCCTTGAGAGAAGAGAGAGACCACAGCTTCTTACAGACCTCCAGAGATGCTGGGATGGATCTCTGACTTGGCTCCCAATGTCCCCTTGTACTCAATCCAGTCTCCTCAGCTTGAGCTTTTAGGACAGCGTCTCTCCATCACCTCACTCCCCCAGCCCCATTTCACTATGTGCCCACTTCCCCTTATGTTTGGGCTCTCCTAGAATGTTTCCTGGTCCTGGTCTGCATGCCCAGCTCTCATGTGAATATCCCCTGCTGGCCGTAGTTCTCTGTAGAGAACTATACCTGCCTCTTTTTATTCTGGATTTCTCATTCACAAATCCTTACTCAAAATTCTTCCTGTGGGAGGGCTTTCCTGACTTATTCACTCTGACTTTCCCTACTTGACTAATTCCATCTGCCCCTCCAACTTGTCTGTCTGCCCAGAGCCACCTCCACAGGATCCAGGTGTGTCCAGATACTGGTAGGTATCAGATTTTAGGTCCCTATTTAATCTTCATGTTTGATGGAATTTTCTTATGGGTAAGAAAATAATTTTTCTGTGTCTGGGAGGGCAGTCTGTCTATGTATTTTTTTCTTTTTTACTAATTCTTTTTCTCTTTCATGGTCATCACAGTAGAGTGTAAACTGGAAGACCATGAATGAGTAATCATGGTTCCAGGTTTGTTCCTTCTTATCATTCTTGCCAGCCCCAATCCTGCTCACCCTCTCCATAGCCCTGTGGCTGACCAGTTGCAAATTAGATAAATCATCTTGAGTCCATCAGGAATCCTTCTTTTTAAGGTGTCCTAGCACAGGTTTGCAGGAGAAAGAAAGCAGAAGGGGAAGGAGTGGGCAGGAGAGGAAAGCACCTCTGACCTCAGGGGTCTTACAGTTTATCAGAGAAGGGGAACAAGCCATAAAGGAACAAACATAAAGGAAAACACTTAAAGAAGATTGAAGGAAGCAGCTTGGAAGCCCAGAATTTTGGCTTCTGGGTCTTTGTTTCACCCACTATTGACTGTCCTGGCAACCGTCTAGGAATATTTCAGAGTCACTTGGGTAGAGCCCGAGAATGAATCAAACATCTCTTTTCATAGACCCACCAGGCTGGCTGAGAGTGGTGATGGTCATTCTGTCCATCCCCTTGCCCCTAGGCCAGACCACATCAATTCAGCCTGCCCAGTCAGGGGTATCTCCCATTTCCAAACCTCACCGGAGACGGATCCTACCCAGCTCTGTCTGCTCTTCCTGCCCCTGTGGTTTTGAGCCTTGGTAATGAATGGCTGAGACGGCTGCATTCCTTGGACAGCCTCTTAGCCCTGCATATTTGTCAAGGACTCTTGGGAAGGGAGCTCAAGGGGATCTAGAGGCAAAGGCCTGTGTGAGGCTGCCCAGCCATACTCAGCTTTTTCCACTGGGCGTCTCAACTACAATCTGTCTGTGCTCCAAGGTGGGGAGGTGGTTCCCATTTGCAAGGGGATGAATGCTGGTGTTTGACTTATTGCTGTATCAGGGCCCAGAAGCTGTGGCAGAGAAAACATCTCTTTAATTTGGAAAAGAAAAAAAAAGACCAACTTTGAATTCCACCTGCCTCCTCAGTCTTCAGCATCGTTTCCTCTTCCACCCTACTTTTCTCACCTCTCCACGTGGGATGACAGCCCACCAGGACAGGCCTCACTGACAGCCTTGTCTCTGCTGGGGTCCCACAGTTCTGTTGTCCTGCTGGATGAAAGGCTGTCAGCTGATATTGCTCAGTGCTGAGAACTGAGGTTCTAGTGGGATGAAGAAATGGTCTTGGGTGAAAGGGTCACATCAAATAAGTGTTGGTCGAGGCCGAGATTTATGTATTTTTAAAAACAGATACCTCTGCCAAGTTTTCTTTATGTCTTTCCTATAGAAAATCTAATTTCTTCTAGACCACTTCAGCTTTTTCTATTCTTCAGAGTGACCCTATAGAGTTTGGTGGTCAACCATGCAGTCACTGATGGCAAATAAGAAGCAATGGATACCACATCTGTGGTTTCCTCTGTTAGGACATGCTCCCCACCCTGAACCCTGCACCACACCTCTGGCTATCACTAGCCTCATTCCCTTGGGGCCTTCAGGTCTTAATTCAGCCCAGGTAGTTGCTCCTCTTACATGCTGCCTTTGCAGTTTCAAAGGAGGGGAACTGAGAGAAAGTGGTCACACAGAGATCAAGAGGGGAGGAGACTTTAGGCAAGGAGTGCCTCAATGCAGTTGATAAGCATCCAAAAGTTTGGATTGGGTTTATAATTCAGCAAGAAATCAGTAACTTCCTGGAGAGAAATTTCAGGGGGCTATAAAGTCAGAAACTGAACAACAGGAGGTTGAGTAGCAAATAAGAATAAAGTGCAGACAGTGCCTTTAGACAACTCTTTCAAGAAATGACCTATGAAATTAAAAAAAAAAAAAAGTAAAAAAGGCATTAGCTAAAGAGGGGGAAGTGGAAAAGGAAGATGATTTATTTCTGTAATGTGAAGATGGAAGTGACCTGAGAAATGTAGTCTTGGGCTATTCTGTATTCTGTGTGTTCTTTCTTTACCACATCCAGATCCACTCCTTGCCCTACTCTGTGCCCTGAGAGGCTGACCTTTCTTGACTATGTTAAGGGGTCCCTTGCAGTCTGATTTCCTGTTGAGTTTGGCCCATGGGAAGCAGAGGAACAAAGGGCAGGAGAAGGAGTTGGGAGTATTTACTCCTTGGTCTCTGTCTTTACCAAGTTAAGGTTCAGTAGTGGACCATGTTCCTCTATCAAAGGCTGGCACTCCTGCCAGGCAGCTCTCTCCTATAGCACAGTGATAGTTCTCTACTAGGCCTGTTGTTGTTGGCTTGGGAGCTTCACCAATCCTTTCCAATTTATCTTAGCTTGGACTACATCTTTGCAAGCAGTCCCTTTAGTAAACTCTCCTCAATTACCCCCTTTGAGTACAACATCTGTTTCTTATTGGGGACCTGACTGGAAAAGGGGGGCAATTAAAGACCCTGTTTTTATCAGAAGCCTCCAGAGAATGCCAGGAATACAAAGAGAACCATTAGAGAAGCTGTAACAATAGAGGGAGAATAGAAATGGGAGAACTTTAGTCAAAACCATGTTATCACTTCACGTTTTGAGGCCTTTACTCTGCTTTTGACCCATCACAGTGATCGGTAAAATACAAGCCATGTCAATGTAGTTGAATCTCCAGCCCTGTGGGGCCACGGGTCAAAAAAGTAGGCAGAGGAAGCTGCATATGCAATTCTGTTAGTTTAAAATTGGGTATAGAAATCCCCATATTTCTGCTTTTGCTGTCAAGTCATGAAGAGGCTGGGGAAAAATGCTGCAACATGAATCTATGGCTTACATAAAACTGCATGTCTAGGAAGGCAGAAGAAGGTGGAGCACAGCCCCTGAGGGAAGGCCTGGGTCAAGGCACCGGCTAGCTTAGAGACTGATATGGTTTCTCTGTTTCCCCACCCAAATCTCATCTTGAATTGTAGCTCCCATAATTCCCACATGTTGCACAAGGGACCTGGAGGGAGATAATTGAATCTTGGGTGTGGTTCCCCCATATTGTTAGTGCTAGTGAATAAGTTTGAGGAGATCTGGTGGTTTTATAATGGGAATCCCTTTTTGCTTGGTTCTCATTTCTCTCTTACCGGCTGCCATGTAAGAAGTCCCTTTGTTCTTCCTTCATCTTTCACCATAATTGTGAGGCCTGCCCAGCCACGGGGAACTGTGAGTCCATTAAACCTCTTTTTCTCTATAAATTACCCAGTCTCAGGTATGTCTTTATCAGCAGTGTGAAAATGGACTGATACAGAGATTAAATCTGATATTCCTAATATCACACCAAGATAGAAATCCCAAACTGCCCATATATAACCTGAAGTGGACTCATAGAACATGAACCACAAAACCAAAATCCGAGACACGTGAGGAATATTAACCATAAGACAAGCACTTAACAAAATAAAATGTGGGAAAATAAATTCACGTCAGATGAAATGAAAATGATAGGACAATTTGAAAATGATTTAAAATGAAGTCTTTAGGATTGTCAAAGAGATAAAGTATAATAAAAAATTAAAAGATAAAATAAGAAATGATGAAACAAAAAAGCAAAAATTAAACCTATATAAGAGAATATAGTAACAATAGTAAATTGTGTACTAAAAAATTGCTATTTTAAAAAATAATAAATGGAATAAATTCTGAAGTAGAGTTTAGAGCAAACAATAAAAAGAGAGTATTTAAGTGGCAGTGATAATTAATTTTATGTGGCAATTTGACTGGGCTATGGGTTGCCCAGATATTTGGTCAGACATTATTCTGGGTGTTTCTGTGTGGATATTTTTGGGTGAATTTAACATTTCAATTGGCAGAGTAAAGCAGATTGCCCTCCATAACATGAGCAGGTCTCTTCAAATCAGATGAGTAGGACTGAATAGAACAAAAGCCAATCTTCTCTCAAGTAAGAGGAGATTCTCCAGCAGATCACTTAATAGGACTTCATCTGCACCATCAGCTGTCCTGCATCTCAAGCCTGCTGGCCCACACTGCAGATTTAAACTTGAAAGTCTCCATAATTGTGTCAGACAATTCCTTATAACAAATCTCTCTCTATATATATACACACCATATTGGTTCTGTTTCTCTGGATAATCTATTACAATGGGAAAATAGAACTCAGAAATATAAACAAAATATAGACAAAAAGAAAAATTATACATATATATGCATACAAACATATTAATGTTTGTATGGGAAGTTAAGGGGAATAGAAATGGATTGAGAGACTCCAGTATGCATCTGATTAGGAGTTCCAGGGAAAAGAAATAGAGAATGATGTAAGTTTCCAGAATTGAAGTCGTGAATCTTTTGGTGAAAGTTCATATAAAATGCAAACAGAACAAATGAAAATAAAACCACATCTATTTACACTGTAGTGAAACTGTAGAACATGAATAATAAAAATAAATGCATATTAGAAGCTACCAGAAGGAAAAGACAGCTTACTCACAAAGGATTAATGATTATATTCACAAAAGAATGATCTTCAGCTAGATTAGACCCCCATTGCAGATGAGTTGATATCTTCATAGCAGTAAGAAAAAAGTCAACCTAGAATTTCATCCCAGCTAAATTAATCAATTGTGAGGGCAAAATAAGGATACATTAAGTTACAAAAAGACTAAGAAAATTTACTGCTCCCAGACCCTTGCATTTAGTTCAAGAAAGAGAAAAGAGAAATCAGAGAGAACAATTGGGAGCAAGAGAGAAAAATTTGTAAAGTAGTTCAGTAAAAGTGCATTAACTATTAACTACATAAAAATAAATTTTGTATTAAAAAATGGGGCCAAAAGTCTAGACAATAGCATCAAAGAATGTTGGTGGTAGGGAGTGCTCAATAAACTAGTTAAAACATACTAAGATTTCTGTTTTGTTTAAGAGGATTCTAGAAATTATGAATAAACTTAGAACTTAGCAAAAATTTCTGTGAGGTCAGGCACTGCACAGTATTTTGGTCAATGATGGACCACATATATGATGGTGGTCCCAGAAGATTATAATACCATATTTTTACCATACCTTTTCTATATTTAAATATGTTTAGATACACAAATACTTACAATTTTCTACAGTATTCATTACCAAAACATGCTGTACAGGTTTGTAGCCTAGCAGCAATGGGCTATACCATATAGCCTAGATGTGTAATCAGCTATACCATCTAGGGTTGTATAAGTACACTCTACGATGTTTGCACAATGACAGAATTGCCTGATGAGACATTTCTCAAACATATTCCTGTTGTTAAGTGATGCAAGACTGTATATATATGTATATTTAACAATTTATCGGTAACCATTAAAATATAAGAAATACAGGCCGGGCATGGTGGCTCACACCTGTAATCCCAGCACTTTGGGAGGCCAAGGCAGGTGGATCATGAGATCAGGAGATTGAGACCATCCTGGCTAACACAGTGAAACCCTGTCTCTACTAAAAAAAAAAAAAAAAATACAAAAAAATTAGCCAGGCATGGTGTTGGGCGCCTGTAGTCCCAGCTACTTGGGAGGCTGAGGCAGGAGAATGGTGTGAACCCAGGAGGTGGAGTTTGCAGTGAGCCAAGATTGCGCCACTGCACTCCAGCCTGGGCGACAGCGCCACTGCACTCCAGCCTGGGCGACAGAGTAAGACTCCGTCTCAAAAAAAAAAAAAAGAAAGAAAGAAGGAAAGAAATACAATGTAACGTGTAAGTCAGAAGCTGATTGGTGAAAAGGCGTTGATGTGGAGAGAATAGCTAAAGCCCTATTAATCCAACACAAGACAGGGAAGGAGAAAAAAAAAGATTTAAAAAAGAAGCATAAAAGTAGAAAACACAAAAGAAGTGAAAATAAACATTGATTTACTAAAAAGCAAGGAGCAGAATCTTATAAACAGTATGGCATCATTTATTTTTAAAGTTACCAGGTACACAAAACAATAATAAATGTTTTTGTATAAAAATGTACTAAAAATATAAAAACTCATGGAAGTGGGATACATATCTTTATGTGTGGGGTTACCAAAAAGGGGAAGAAAATGAGGGGATGGGGCTTCAGTTGTATTTTAGTGTTTAATTTATTTTTAAAAGGCCTGAAACATATATGATAACATTAATATTTTTCAAAATTTTGGTTGTGGCACATGTGTGTGCTTTAAGTTGTTCTCTAGAATTTTTTATATCCTGTATTAGAAATACTTCACAATTTTTGAAGGAGAATAAAATGAGAAGTAGAACTATATGGCTGCGGAAACAGAATTAGGACCAGTATGAGTTTATGGCAATGGGGGATTTCTTTAGATCTGGAGAATTATTTGGACAGGACTCTCTAGGTCACAATCAGGTAGACACAGGCTGAGGCTCTGGATCACATAATTTTGTACTCACAGAGGTTTTGCTTTGTTCTATTAATAGCTAAGAAAGTAAAAGGAATACTTTGTAAGTAAACCACGGGCTAGGTTCTAGAACAAGTTGTGAAACTGAGAGAAGTTTGGCCCAAGGAGGACCAGAAAGGGGGTGTTTAATTCTCTCACTATATGCCAGGCTGACTTGTATACATGTGAAGTGATTGTGTAGAATTTCTTACCTAATATTTAGAGTATATGCTGTGTTCAAGCCTCTCTGCTAAATGTTTGACCTGTGTTATCTTCTTAATAATCTTCAGCCTATGAGCACTGTTTTGATTGCCTTTGTATTTCATTAAGAGACAGTATGAGGGCCTTTCCTCTCAGAAGTCCTCTCTCTCACACTAGATAGAGAGCTGTTTTCCTTTCTCTTTCTTCTGCCTATTAAATCTCCACTCTTAAACTCCTGGGTGGTGGGGTGGGGGGCGGGGGAAAGAGGCAGTATGATGAAGTGATTGGGGTCATAGACTCTATAGTGTTAGATCACAGCATTGCTCCTCACAAGCTGTGTGATTATGGCAGCTTACTTAACTTCTCTGTGCCTTGGTTTATTTATTTATTATTTTGAGACTAGGTCATGCTCTTTAACCCAGGCTGGAGTGCAGTGGCACTAACATGGCTCACTACAGCCTCAACCTCCGGTGTTCAAGCAGTCCTCCTGTCTCAGCCTCCCATGTAGCTGGAACCACAGGTGTGCACCACCACTCCTGGCTAAGTTTTTTGTTTTTTGTAGAGACTGGGTCTCGCTACATTGCCCAGGCTGGTCTTGAACTCCTGGGCTCAAGGGATTCTCCCACCCCGATCTCTTGAAGTGCTAGGATTATAGACATGAGCTACTGCACCCAGCCTCTCTCATTTTAAAAGTGGGGAGTAGGAGTATTTATCTCACTGCGTTGTTGTGCAGCTTAAATCTGTTGATATATGCAAAGACTTAGGAGACTGATTGGTATATAGTAATCTCTATATAAGTGGTTGCTATTATTATTTGCTATTCTGAGTGAGAAAACAAAAATCCAGAGAGATAAGGTAACTTGAAAAAGCTCCCAGCTAGTAAATGGTAGAGCTAGGCCTCAAATCCAGGATTAATTAACTCTAAATTCAAGTACTTAATTGTTATAATATTCTGCCTCCTCAGGAGACATAAAAAATATAGAGACATTAGAAAACAAAAAACATCAGAGTTACTGGAGAGAAGTAGGGTGAATCAGAAATACAGGAACAGAAACTTTGTGGCAGAAATCTGGATTTTCTCTTACAGGGTAGCAGACAGAGCTGTGAGTCTACCTATCAACACACTCCCCCTTTCCTCTCTTTTAAAAGGCCTACTGATGGGTTCAGGCCTTTGCCTTCCTCTGTGAAGTTATGAACTTCTGGAAAGATGGAGCCCCTCTTCAACTCCAGAACTTTATTTATGGTTGATCCGAGTCAATAGTGGTCCTGTTCTTCTTGATAGGAATTGGTTTGGGCACGGGCAATAAGATGTGAGAGAAGGCCTTATCCCATGGAAGGGTTTCCATGAAAGGTGTATTCATGTGCGAATAGATGAGCTCTCTTTTCTGTTGGATGTTGTGGTGTCTGGGTGTCTTGGTCTTTTGGGCTTCTATAACAAAATACCATAAACTAAGAAGCTTATAAAAAACAGAAATTTATTTCTCACAGTTCTGGAATCTAGGAAGTCCACGATCACGGCACTGGCAGATTCAATGTCTGGTGAGAGCCTGCTTCCCAGTTCATAGATGGTGCTTCTCACTGTGTCCTCACATGGTGGAAGGGGCAAGACAGGTCTCTGGGACCTCTTTTTTAAAGGCACTAATCCCAACCATGAAGGCTCCACCCTCATGACCAAATCACTTCCCAAAGGCCCCACCTTTTAATATGATCACATTAGTGGTTAGGTTTCGACATAGAAACTTGCGGGGGACACGAACACTCAGACCATAGCAATGGGTAAGACTATGGTAGTCACGTTTCACCAGTAGATTAGCTAACCCAAGGACGAGCCCATACATGAGGGTGCTAGAGCAGGAGGACAGAAAGAACCAGGGCCTTGTTGATGTCTGTGAGCTTTGAATTCACCAGCCTCAGAATTGTCCTACCCATAGACTTTTGTTATAGGAGATAATGTTTTCTTAATTGCTCAAGCCAGTTGAGATATATTCTGTTACTTGCAGCCTGAACCATCCAAACCAGTTCAACTACAAAATCAAACTCTTGCTATAAGAGGAGAGAAAGAAATAGTGCCATGGTATCTTTAGGTGTGTGCCTAGAGGGGCGGCCCCAGATCTATGGGTTTGTTTCCGAGAGTGAGGATGGGTTGTGGCCCTGCAGGGTTGCCGCTGAAGCTGGTTTCTCATGTTGTGTTGGAAAAGGCCATTCTGGGAGCTGGGTCACGAGCTCCTGGAGAAGCAGAGTTCCCCAGCCCTTTAAATGGAGGAGCTCCCATAACAACCAAACAAGCAGGATTCCAAGCGGGAAGATAACAATGATCTTGGAGCTTCTCCCTACTCAGATTAGATGCATGAAGGTAATAAAAACCACCCAAAAGAAACTGCAAAAAGAGGCCTTGGGAAGCACATTCAAGAGGGTGAAAAGGAAGAACAGAAGGAACCCGTGGAAAGAAAATCTTCCAGACCAAATGATGGTCCAAAAATAATGAGACCAAAGTTCAAAAAAGTAATTTAAACCAAATAAGGCAGGGAAAGCCTAGCCAGCAAGGGGCGGGCTCACTCTGCAGGGAGCAGGCGAGCAGAGGGGATGGAGCTGAGCAGAGTTCAGTTCAGGACAGCCCATGGGTCAGAGGGAACTGAGGAATGTGCCCGCTGCCCAGGTCAGCAAGGGGGGCAGCATCAGATGGCATGCTGTCTTACCTCCCCTGCCCCAAGGGGCCTGGAGCATTGCCACCACCCTCACTGGTGATAGGGCTGCTTGAAGTTGCAGAGCACAACCCATCTGGGTGGGTTTGCCGCCACTGCAACAGAGAGCCTGTGGGACCAGGCAAATGAAGGAAGCCTTACTTGCTCATAGCCAAGCTTCTTTTCAGGTTCTATTTTATATTTTATTGCAACAAAGAATTCCAGGGCCATACTCTGAGCCAGGGATGATGGGTGCTAAGCTCATTAACTGCCTGCTCAGTTTGTGGACTTGTTCCTGCTGAATCTGTAGTCCAGGTACTGCCAGTTTCTTAGTGTCAGAGCCCTCATAGGGTTCATTTGTGCATCCTGCATGTGGATATGTGTGTGCATTTACCCAGATTTTTAAAAAGCTTTCTATTTACCTTTTCTATTTAGCACATACCCTCTTCCATACTTAAAACTCCACACCTTCTACCACAGCTTTTAGAGTGATAGCACTGGGTTACAATACATGTTTTCGCAGGAATTGAGCATTTAAAGAGGTACTAAAGTGAACATGAAGAATTTAAATTCTAGGTAAACAGCTCTCAAAAGCTCTCTCTTCTTTGTGCTTTCCCTGATTATGATATCTGATATTTATTCTTATGACAGAGGACAAACTAAACTGTGTATCACAGTCACCGATTGATTCACTCTGCACCACTGGTCCCCAGTGGCATTTGGGGGCAATGTGATGTCTTTTTCTTAACTCAGGGCCCTCTTAGTCCCTCCTTGTCCCTCTCTGGAGCACTTATGAATTCTTAGGTCCACTGTTCAGCCCGGGCAGGCCATGGAGTGCAAGCAGTGCTGCTGGAGGCTTGCCTAGCTGGTCACTTTCCTGCTCCACCGCTAAAGTTTCCGCCCTCACTCAGGCCATGCTGAACATGGCTCTGTGTGGGGCTCTTCCAAGATGCTCCCAGTCTCCCCTAAGCTGTGTTTGGGAAACAGTGTCGCTGGTCTCCTCCTCCAAATATTCTCAGGTTCCTTCCATATCTAGTTGGAAATGTTCACTATGCCTCCTTCTGATCTTGGGGTTCACCTCGGGAGTGGGGAGATTAGGACATGTAAGTCACATCTCTCTGCTGTATTTCTGTCTTTCTCTCCTGCTCACAGCCCCCTTGGGATACACAGATAGGTTCCCTTTCCGCTCTGGTCTTCAGAGTAGGGTGTGTGTACAACATTCCTTTATTTTCTTCCCACCTGGCAAGTGATTTGCCCGTCCCTATTTCCTGAGACATGAAGGCAAATAGGGTGCAAGGAATGAGAACTTGTTTTCACAGATAAGTGAACATGACCTTTGAAGTGGTTAGAAAAACACAGCAATCACACTAGCATACATAGACCCTTGAGGCTGGCTGGGAGCCCTGTACAAAAAATAAAAATAATAAATAATAAAGGCTGCTTTCTGGCTGAGAAGGGAAGGGAAGAGTGAGGATTGTCAACAGTATGGGGGTAACAACTCCACAGGTTCTGCAAGTTTTTCTCTCTGAAAAAGAGGACTCTTGACTTTTCCTGCTTTGCTTTTAATTTCAAAACAGCACACATACTTTCATCTCCCACAGGATGTTCCTAGGAGCAATAACGCCAGGGATGAATTTCTTCCCATCACATGAGCAGGATGGCACAATGAAGATGCCCCCGGGAAAGACCCTCCTATTTTTTTCTAATTCAGAAAAAGCAGAAGAATAATATGATACACATATCCCCTGCTCATATTTAAAATGTTCACTTTTTGTCACTTAGGCTTCAGATAGTATATCTCACAGTTAAAATTGAAAACCATTTTGTTCCTCCTCTCCATCCTAGTCTTGCTTCTTTCTCTCCAGCGATGACCACTGTCAGTAATTTGATATATACTATTCCGGTCCATGTTTTTATTAGCTCATTACAGATTTTATATATCAGATAATAGATGGTATTGCTTTGTAGTTGTAAAATTTTGGCTGAATAATACACTGCATGAATTGTTTTGCAATTTGTTTCCAGTAAACAATATGTTTTTGAACTGTATATTTTCTTGCATATAGATACAATCCCTTCCTTTTTTTTTTTTTTTTTTTTCCTGAGATGGAGCCTCGCTCTGTCGCCCAGGCTGGAGTGCAGTGGCATGATCTCAGCTCACTGCAACATCTGCCTCCCAGGTTCAAGCAATTCTCCTGCCTCAACCTCCTGAGTTGCTGGGACTACAGGCACACGTCACCATGCCAGGCTAATTTTTGTATTTTTAGTAGAGACGGGGTTTCACCATGTTGGCCAGGCTGGTCTTGAACTTCTGGCCTCAGGTGATCCTCCCGCCTTGGTGTCCCAGAGTGCCGGGATTACAGGTATGAGCCACCACAACTGGCCAGTCCCTTCATTTTAAACTGCATTTAAGTACTCAGTTTGTGAATACAAATATCTATTAATTCCTCACTAAAAAATATTCGTTTTTCAATCTTTTCTCCCAGGGTTTTATTTTTAATAATAGGAACAATTGGCTCTACCTAATACTTCAATTTCAGCCCAAAATTGGCCAGAAGACATCGTTGCCTTAGAGCAGCCTGTCTTCCAGTTGACACTGAACTGCTGTCGACCGGAAGATGGTTGAGAGTCCACATGTGCCCCCAAATAGTTGCAGACTGTGTGTGCAGGGCCTGATTCTGTTCTCTTCTCTGGAAAATGGGATCGTAACTGTTTCTATCTTCTTGGGCTGTATGAGGGATTGGTGGTGTGGAGCTTGTACCACAGTGTCAAGCAGACACCCCTGTTCATGCTAATACATACAGTATTTAATGCCTGGTATAGACCTAGACCCCTGACTCCCTGGCCAGTTGTTTTTCAAAGACACTCCCTGCCTGTGTTACCACTGTTGGTAAGACCATGTCTCAAAGAGTTAATCATCTGGAAGACAGAAATCTAACCACAAGAGGCAGAGGCAGTAGGCTGTAGAGTTAAGTGGCAGGCTCACAACCCCAAGTGCTGTCAGTACTCACAGCTTCTTCACGCCAGCAGCTGTCTGTACTCTGGATTGTTTTGAGCGTGTCTTTGCAGGGCTTGCTTGTGCCTGCCAAGTTCAGCTGCCTGCAGAAGCACAGCTCAGAGCCGTCCCTATAGGCCTAGTCCTTGCACAGGTCTGGCCAATCAGAGCTCTGTTACCAGGCAGAGCCTCTCTCTCCAGCTCTGGTCACTGTCAGCCTAGCTGTCCAGGCACCCTTCTGCAATTTTCGTTTGAATTGATTTTTTTAAAAGCACCTGATATACACTTTTCTTCTTATTCTTCTCCTTCTAGTCCTCTATTCAAGGCCCTACCACAGAGACACACAGGAACGGAACTCAGAATCACAAACAAAGAAACTTTGATCCAAGAAAGAAAATGATCTTTAAAAAGACCCTCGTTTCATGCTGGCCGATGCTGAGAAAATCTGCTCTGAAGGATATTTGGAGACACTGATTAAAAGGTAGTACCATCACCACATATTTAACTTCCCCCTCTTTTTCCTCTGCTTCTAGGAGTAGAGAAACCAACAAAACCAACCGGAGAGAGATGGTTTCAAACAATCTGTCCCCCACCCCACCACTATTCACACCTTTCACAAGGGCCCAGCCACAAAGCCAGTGCAACATGACATCAATCATCAGCAAAGTGGAGGTGACAGACCCTGCCTTTCCCCTCTTATGGCATATTTGCTCATCTTCTCTCTTCCCCACTCCTCTCTGATAAGAGAAAGGACGAAAGCAAGGCAAGCGCATTCCTGAGCGGGAGCTGCAAGCGCCCAGGCTCATGACTACTGAGGAGCACACTGGAAGGGGAGAAAAGGAGGGGGGAAGATTGAGGGACCAAGATGGCGGGATAAAATGCTGTGGATGGAAGGGCAAGTTCTCCTGGGGTAGGAAGTATGAGGGGTCAGGGAGTTTGGGATGCCAAAGAACAGGAGAAGATTGAAAGTTTAATAAGCAACCTTGACATATGCTATGGCACATCCTAAAATGTTAGAAGAGATGTGAGTACAGGTTGGAATACCGGTATACCCATGCTGTTTTGAATTCAGTAATGCTTTGATACTGAGACATGCCCCACAGCTTTCTAAGCATTACACTTACTTATACTGCATTTTTAAAGCAGTTTTATAAGAACATATGTAAGTAGATCAGTACCATTAAAATGGGGTTAATTTTTTTTCCAAGTCACAATGGTGTAGGGCAGGTTGTGGTGGGAGGATTAATTATCTAGAAATCTGGCTAAAGCTAATTATGAAACTGTTATTGCTAAGAGAAAGGGGGAATTAGGCAGAAAGCCAGTCTACCTTGCTTCAAATGGATTTTCTCTAGATATCTGATCCTCTCAGTCTCTTCCTTAACCTCTCCTTCTCTTCCCCCTTTCTAGATGGTTGTCCCAGTGGAGGGGGATTCTTCGTGTTACGTAGATAGGAAGCACGATGCAAAAGTGTTGAAGCAGGAGTGTAAAGAATAATTAAAACACCTGGTGAGTTCTAATTTTATTTTTGAAGAACATAGCTTCTAAACAAGTGTAAAATACAAGCCATGGCCCTAAAAGCCAGGGTCTAATGAGTTAAAAAATGTCGTGGTTCCCATATCTTAAAGTTTTGCAACTCCTCCCCCTACCCCAAACAAAAAGAATCCTTTTAGGAATGAATATTTCATGTGTTAAAGTGACATTTTTTATATTAGGATTTTTTAAAGGTTCCTAATAATCTTTTTCTTAGTCTAAATTCAGGCAAACTTAATACTTTTGATTTTAAAAAGTAAACAGCAGTAAGATCTCATTTTTAGAAAGTTATGCCTATCAGTATACATTGAGAGATCACAGGAACAATTCTTACGTAAAAGTAACAAGAGTGGTCTTAATGATGGAATACTGGAGTGATTTTTTAAACTTTTTTGTACTTTCCAGCTTGAATAATTTAAAAAACAAAACTATATATTGTTTTATACAGGTAGAACATAAATTTTTTTAAAGGAAAAGAGATTAGGCAATCAGTTGCTTGAGAAGTAATTGAATGCCAAATATTAGGTTGGTGCAAAAGTAATGGTGTTTTTTGCCATTGAAAGGAATGGCAAAAATCGCAAATTACTTTTGCACCAAACTAATACTTTTTCCTGTAGATTTCATGAGGTTTCCTCTGTGTGTGTGTGTGTGTATCTGTGGGGGTGTGTGAGAGAGAGAGAGATAGGGAGAGAGAGAGAAAGAGGGTAGCAGTGCCTCAGTACATCTATTCCCAGGAGACATTTTGTGATATCTGAGTTCTAAGGAATGAGGACCAGACAAAAGGGGCAAAAGCAGTAAGAGGAAAAATGGAGATCAGGAAAACTGGCCATGACTCAGCAAAAACACAGTGACATTTTCAGAAACCCAAAGCCTCAGACATTACAAAGTCGCCCACACCCCTTACTTCTGAAGAGAGTTGTCCTGGCCCTCCCCATTTCAGGTGGGCTCCAGCCTAGGCTGAGTAAGCATTGCGAGCGAGGAGTGAGGAGGCAGGTGGGTGGATTGTCCCTTAAGGTGCAAGGAGGAAACAAGTGCCCTGTCTGTGGCTGATTGAACTGGGGAGGACCAGAGACCGGAAGGTATTCTCAATAGCCAGTATTTCTCAGAAACAGCGGAAGTCTCCCAGACAAAGCAGACGGGTTGGCATCCCTTTCTTGAGAGTCAGTAAGAGGGAAAGGACTGAGGCAGGCCTAGCCAACATACCAGGGACAGTGGTGAAATTTCGAGAATCTGGAGGGTCTGCCAGCTGTGCTTCCCACAGCAGCTTTCAATGCCTGCCCCTGAAAAGCTGGCATATACCTGGCTGCCAAACCATAAAGGGACATACCTAGAGTGAAGGACCAACTGCCCTTAAATTCACTGCCTTGTGCCAGCTCCTAAGTTACTGTAGGGATCTGTGTGGGTCTGGCCCCTCTTCATGGGCCCTGGGACCCTTCAGAAATCTATTCTTGTGCTTGGCATCCCATCTTATCTTCTCCTTGCTCTGCTGTTAGGTGATGGGTGAACCTATCAACACCCTATCTCATGTCACCAAGTACTCAGATTCAAAATTGAAATCCAGTTCCTACTAGATCACTAGCCCTCCTCTTTTACTTCAATTTCTCATAGCCTACAAAGAAAAGAAGAAACAACACATACGAACAAAAGATCAATTAAAAAAAACAGAGGAGAGATTTCCTGGCATTGGGCTGGGGGCACAGCAGGAAATTCTAGCCACACAAACGATTCTCCATGGCCAGAGAGTTATGCATCATGACCCTTGGGTTGAGCAACCCTAATGCAATACCAGGGTGTTAAAGGGCTGGAACTCTCTTGCCCTCTGGTAGGTCAGTTCTTAGCTGTAATATAATTTTACAGATGAAAAATTCCAGAGAGCAGTGACTTGCTCTGTGTTACACAATGAGACATAAATACAACGTACAGCAGCCACATAGGCCTAGTACTAATTATTTGACATCCTAAGACCTTTCCTTTATTGTCTGAAGTGGCTTAGCTGAGATGAATATCCAGCATGTCATTACAGCGGGAAGCCAGGCCAGCAGACTTCATTGTCCTCAATTCTGTCTCAGTTACACTAAGCTTTCCTACCCCATTACCTAAGTTTTGAGATGTAAAGTGGAAAGACACATTTAGTCGACATTGTACCAAGACAGAAGGTAGAAATTCGTCATGCTTGTGCCTCCCAGGTCTCAGGGTGCCTGATCTGTTTTCCTCTCGGCCCAGGCTTATCTTCAGGGCCACTTTCTCTTTCTTTCTTCGACATCAAATATCAACCCAGCCCCTTTGTATATCGCAACAGCGATTTAGTGGACACTCTAGCTGACTGATTTTGTTCCATTACAAAATGAGTTTCCTGCCAGAATAGAGGGGGAGATTATATAGACAGACATACATTTACAAACACAAAAGTAATGTGGAAGGGTGATATGGAGGCACTTTCAAAATGGCAGGACCTGCCTCCAGGCCATGGCAGCTTCTGCCCACAGCCCAGAGAGGCCACTCATATGCTGTGAAAGTAAAGGCATTACCTCGTCGCCTTGTCACCACCTGAGTGATCCATGAATGGCTGTTCTCTCCTCACTACAGGTGAACTTGGTCAGGACAAGAAGCTCCAAAGGCTTAGTCAAATTCTTTGTTGGTACTACCCTACTTTACTCGGTCGTATTATATAAAGCTGTTTAGCCAGGCCCTTGCTTCATACATTCCATGTCGCTGAGCAAGAACTCAAATTCTGGTTAGCTGCCACCCCTCCCAAGTAAATTTTACTTGATGTGCAGTTATGTGCTGAAATATACTGTGTCCTATAGAAATGAGCAAGGTGAGGGAAGGAGATGCAGAAGGAATTGAGTTGCACACTTTGGATCAGATTCGTGCAGGAGTTATATGGATGAACTGACATGCCCCAAACCAGATGAAGAAATCCACCTCTAAAACTCAGCCAAGAGCCTGTTTATAGAGGGCTTCATTGTTTATAATTTCCATGTCAGTGCTTCTCAAATGCTCACTACTCCTCTCTTGTTTTGGCCTTACTAAATTGGGGTGAGCTATGTGGTTCTTGCCCCTGATTTATCAATGTGAAAAGAGAGTCTTTAGGGATTTGACCATAGACAAGTCCCCAGGGGAGTGAGGGGTGGAGGTAGAGTAAGTATTCTGCTTTTCCAGCCTCTTTACTCTTGACTCCACTGCCTTAAAGCAAGGTGTTGCCAGAAACCACGGTCACCTCCTCTTTGTGAGACAAACATGAATCTCTCTTGGCCTATTACTCCCAAGGAAAGCAGAATATAAAAAGACATGTCTTCAGCCTTGCCAGATGGCTTCGGGGTAAAATTCTTCCCCAAACCAAGTGTTAGAGTCCAGTCAACTGTTTCAGGGAGGGCAAGAAGTAACATGGAGAAGTATTTAATGCTCTTTCTTCCCCAAAATTCCATGACATCCAAGCTTGTGGTGAGCAGGCCCTGCCAAGGCAGACAAGATCATTGAGCTGAAATCAAGAGAATGGGTCCTTGGCAGAGCAGACCCTTATAAGGATGAAGATTGGATGCTGGGGAAATCCTACCAGCCCTTGGCAGTCTGAAGGTCTGAGGTTCCAGACTGGGCTCTCATTTTCCATACCTCCCTAGGAGCTGGCTGCATAAGGCATGAAATAAGCTGAAGAATCATGAGCACCATCCAACCCATCTGGGAACCCACAGTGGAAAATTATGGGAGTAATATGTTGGGACAGCCCTGGCTTCTTAAGACTAATGCATATTTTTGTGCTTTTCTGCATACTTTGTACAACTTTTCATTTTGAAAAAAATGAACAGGTAGCATGAAGAATGACTACTTATTCTTCAAATGCTTTGGAGAAGCCAGAGCCTGGGGAAGCCAATGAAAGGGAGGATGGGGGTAACCAAGGAAAATCGCTCTCAGGAGAAGCATGAAGGAGCAGCACATTGGGTCTCAAATCCTGTTATAATGAATGCTTGGGCATTTTGTGCTGGGTTTTTTGATAGAATTAGCATTAGGACTCTTGAATGAATTAATGGGACATGATTTATGCTCCTACTTTACACCAAACACTAGAAAGGTAAAAATAAAGAATGAATAAGTGGTGGCTTTTTCACTTAAGAAATGTTTTGCTTGAGAAATCAAAGCTTTGAAAGCACAGAGACTTCTATTTAGATGTTTGTTTTAACTGCTTTTCTTTTTCCATGCTCTTCCTTACTCTTTTTCCTCTCTTCGCTTTTCCTCTCATCTTTTCTACAAAGTTCTGAGTCTTCTAAACATGAGACAGTCCAAGTCATTGTGATTTAACAGATATCAAAAGAGCAGCACCCTTATCTAAAGAGACACATCTGCACACCAGACCTTCAATGCGGGACACTGCAAATGGGCTATATGGAGCATTTGGGAAATCGCTTAGCAGAGGCTGATTCTAGAGGCATTCACTCTGGGTTGTATCTGAGAACACTGACTTTGCTTCAGGAGCCTACAAACTTCATATTGGGACGTGCAGGAGAGCAAATCAGAGCAAATATGTTGGAGACTTTCCTACCTCATCCTGACCAGGAAAGAGCAAAAGGTCTGAGAGCCTGGCTAAGCACATGTGGGCTCCATGGGCCCTAGATTCTGCAGTGAGCTATTCTTGACTCCAACATTCTATTCCAGGTTCTACCCCCAACCCAAGTGGCCACTCCTCAGTTTCCCCATTTCTTTTTTCTCTCTCTGCCCCTCAAGCACCCATCTCTTTCAGATGCTCTGTTCTCCACTCCCTTTTACAAATTCTTTCTCAAAGACCTCATCCATTCCCATGGCTTTGATTGTCACCCACAGTACATGTTGTCTCTCAAATCGGAACCTGTCTCCTGGGTTCCAACCCTAATTGATTATTGGGTGTTGCAACTGAATTTCCTTCTCAAATAAGACACATAGTCTCAAACTCTTGACCTGTTCCCTCTCTGGTATCTCCCATCTTAATACATGTCACCGAGATGTAACCAGTCTCCCATGCTAGAAATCTGGGAACATCCTGGACTCTGTCCCTTTTATCGCCCTCCTTAAGAGTCACTAATACTATTGATCATGGTTTCTAAAACTCAGTAGAAATCAGCATCTTGGCTTTCTCACCTGTTTCTTCCATTCTTCAGGCCCGTTCATTTCTGTCTGCAACCATAACTCCTAACCATCAAGTGATCCTCACACCATGAGATTGTGAATGAATTCCTTCACCTGTCTGTGGTATTTCTTCATCTAAAACAGAAGGACATTGAACTAAATCTCTGAGAATGTTTCTAGCTCTGACATTCTTTAATTGGTTAGCTTGCATATATCACAGGCCGTAAAGCAAAAAAACTGAGTTTTCTCTCCTTTCACTTATTCCTTGCTTCCCAATAACTTCTTAAATTCTTCTTTCTCCATTTTGCTTTTGATTGAAATATGGCAGCCCAAGACCCAAGCAAGGATAGGATTTCCCAGACATTCGTGAGGGAGAAAATGCCATGTCCTTTCCTTCTGGTGTCACATCAGGTAAGGAGGTTGCCTGGGGCTAGGGCTTAAACAGAGTGGGTGTTGTTCTCATTGTTATCATCACTGTTACTGTTTCCAGGGCACTGCTCCATGGCTATGCAGAGGCAGACATTCAGGTGGAAAGTTATAAGACAATTTCCCCCTGTGAATTAATCAGAGGGCACATATGAACATCTTGTTGCCAATTCACCCCCACCACTGTCTCTTCAGCTAAGACACCAGTTTAATGAGGTAGTTCCTGAGGCTTGGAGTTTCCCTAAAGATCGCGTCTCCTTTGGTGTTGATTGAGAAGCTCCATCGAGGGCACCAAGGGGAGTGGTGAGATGGTACCCTTGCTGAGAGCTGGGGAACTCACCATAGTCTTTGAAATAACACTGCCCTCTGTAAGCGTGAGGAGTCACCATTCTTTCTGACTTCCCACTGGCTGGGAGGTGATAGGGAAGAGCTAAGATTTCCATTCTCCCGTCCCCTGAAGTTGGTGTTTTGCCTCATATTGTGCGGGAAGTGGGCAGTTTGTCTTAAATGTCTCCCATCACTTTTCTTTGTACTAAAAAGATCATTGAGAAATGCCTTTTTTTTTCTTTTATACGCATCATCTTCCTAGAATCTGAAGGCTGCTAGAGAAGGGAGAGAAACATGAAAGTGAGTCCCATGCTGATTGTTGTTGAAATACCTGGAAAGAAACTGGCAAAGACTATCCAAGGGATGCTAAGACATGTCCGAACTTACAAAACAGTAGAACCTGAATAGGAATTTGAAGTTGTCTATACTCTCCTCAGCCACACCCTGCCATTTTACAGGTATGAAAAATAAAATTTTCAGCAAATTAGTGATAGATACAAAGTATCTGGATGCCCAATCCTGTGTACTTTCCATTACCATCTGTTTCCTAATTGTGTGTGGATTTCCTTGCTCTCCAGAGCCAAGGAGCATCAATATTTGGCTTCAGAAATCCTGCTAAATCCTGAATAAACGGGAGTGAACAAGCAAGGTAGCATTCAAGGTCTCTTACTCCTAAACCCAGTTGCAATACTTGTATTAAACCCTGGGCTCCAGGCTGCTTCAGTGCTATTTAACTTTCTCTTTACAAAGAGAAGAGAAAATGTGGGGGTATCAGACATATCCCACCCTTCCAAGGCCCCATGCAGACTCTTAAAAGATGAGGGGGTTTTTGTTTGTGCATATGGATCAAAGAAAGACTTTCTTGAATTTTGGTCAGCAGGGTTTGTTTTAGATCTGTGAAGTGTGGAAGAGGTCTCAATTGAGTGATGTCATGGAGGACTGGGAGGATCCCTTTCCTCATGCAGAATCACTGTTGAGGTGCATTCAACCGTTAGAATTCCGCTAAGGTAAAATACGGGGAAATAGCATAGGTTAGGAGTCATTGTACCTAGTTTCCAAGCCTGGTTCTGCTCCTGTAATTTATAACTTCATCCATATGTTCGTTTAATTAGGAAACAAAACAGTCATTGAATTAATATATGTCTTGTACTATTATATGTGCTGAGTATTCAGTGTGAAATAATGCAATATTTTTATTGATCTTATATTGTGGTGGGGAAAGCAATAATTCACACATACATATATAATATAATAATACCAATGTTATGAAGGAAGCAAAAATCAAATAAGGCAGTAGAAAGTACCAGACAAGGAGATGTGTTTGCATAGGGGTGTGTTATAGTGCTTTAAAATAGGTCCACAAACTCTTTCACCCTCTCTTCAAAAGGTGCAGCCTAAGCTACCTCCCCTTGAATGTGGGCTTGGCTTAGTGACTTCTTCTAGCAAATAGAATAAAGTAGAAGTGATGATGTATGGCTTTCAGGCTGGATAATAAAGCCACTGTGTCTTCCTCCTCCTGTTTTTAGATTGTCTTCTCTGGGGAAGTTAGCTGTCATGTTGTGAGGATACTCAAGCAGTTTATAAAGAGGTTCATGTCGCAAGGAATGGAGGCCTCCTGCCAACAGCCATGTAAAGGAGCCATCTAGGAAATAGATTCTCCAGCCCCAGTCAGACCTTCAGATGATTACAGCCCCTACCAACCTTCTGACTGCGGTGGAAGGAAGGTTCCGGAACCAGAACCACCCAGGTAAGATAATCCTAGATTCCTGACTTAGAGAAACTCTGAGATAATATTTGTTGTTTAAAGCCACAGCTTTGTGGGACAATGTGTTAAACATAACTAATACATGTGATTAGGGAAGCTCTTAATAAGAGGCTAACAGTTGAGCAGAGACCGGAATGAAAAAGGGGAATGAGCCAGGTAAATATATGTATGAAGAATGCTTGAAGTAGAGGGGATAGAACTGGTATAGGTCCTGTGGTTAGAACAAGCTTCATATTTTTCAAGGGAAATTGCAGGACTTGGAAATGGGCAAGAGATACCTAAGTATCCATTCAGTAGAGAGCTGAGCATTGTCTAGGGTATCCTCTGGGGATATCTGATTATATTGAGATGTTTCTCTTTAACTGAATTTCAATTTTCTAAGTTATTTTACTTGTGGAAAACTGACAGTAATGCAAATGATCCTCCTTAAAGAAATACAATGAATTTTGTCTAATAGAGATGTGACTGAATTCTACCCTGTAGAAAAGATAGTCCCAAACAATACATTTTAAGCAGCTCTATTGAAATATGATTCTTATACCATACAATTCATCCATTTAAAGCTTACAGTTCAGTTTTGTTCCGTATGTGCACAAGCTTGTACAAACAGCACAGCAATCTAATTTTAGACCATTTTATTGCTCCTCCTCATCCCTACAAAGAAACCCCATCCCTATTAGCAGATCCTTCTTTCTTTTTCATGTTTTGCTTTCCCCATCTCCCAAGCCCTAGACAACCACCAATCTACTCTCTGTTTCTCTAGATTTGCTTATTCTGAAAATTTTATGTAAATGTAAACATACAGTATACAGTCTTTCAAAACTGACTTCTGTCACTTAGCATAATGGTTTCAAAGTTCATTTATGCTATAACATGTATCAATACTTCATTCTTTATTGCCAAATAATATTCAATTGTATAGATAGCTATATTTTTGTTTTTTTGTATAGGTAACTATTTTCTCCCATTATGAGGTTTGTCTTTTTCACTTCTTGATGGTATTATTTGCAAAATAAGAGTTTTTAATTTTAAATGCAATTTATATTATTTCTTTTGTTACCTGTGCTTTTGATGTTATATCAAAGACACCATTGCTTGACATAAAGCCACAAAGATTTATTTTTTGTTTTCTTCTAAGAGTTTTAGTGTTTTAGCTCTTACATTTAGGTTTATGATTCATTTTGAGTTTATGTCTGTATATATTATGTGGTAGAGATCCAAATTTATTCTTTTGTATGTGGATGTCCAGATGTCCCTCCACAATTTGTTAAAAAGAGTATTCTTTCTTCATGAAATTGCCACTGCACTTTTGTTGAACATCAACTGATCATAAAAATATGGTTTATTTATGCACTCTCAATTTTGTTTCATTGATCTATACATCTAGCCTTGTGTCAGTACCACACTTTCTTGGTGACTATAGATTTGTAGTAAATTTTGAAATTGGGAAGTTTGAGTAATCTAATTTTATTGTTGTTTTTCAAGATTGTTTTAGATTTTTGGGGTCCTTTGCATTTCTAAATGAATTTAAGGACCAATTAGTGATTTCTACAAAGAAGCAGCTGCTAACTTGATTGGGATAGTTTTGTACTTGTGGGTTAAATTGGGAAGCATACTCATCTTAAAAAATATGAAGTCATCTGATTCATGGACATGGACTATCTTTCTATTCATTAAATCTTTAATTTCCTTCAATGATGTTGGTGTATATTTTATTAAATGTACTCCTAAGTATTTTGTTCTCTTTAATATTATTATAAACAAAATTGATTTCTTAATTTCATTTTTGCAATTTTACTGCAGATGCATAGAAACGCAGGTTATTTTAGCATATTGATCTTGTATTCTGCAAACTTGCTCAACTCATTTACCAGTTTTAATAGTTTTTTAATGAAATTGTAAATAGTTTCTATATACAAAATCTTGCCATCTGCAAATGGAATAGTTTTACTTTTTCCTTTTTAACCTTTGACTTTCATTTTCACTTCTTTTTCTTAAATAATTGCCCTGGCTAGACCCTCCCTTACAATGTTGAATAGGAGTTGCAAGAATGTACATTCTCATCTTAATCCTGATCTTATGGAGAGAGCATTCAGTCTTTTACTATTAAGTATGATATTAGCTGTGGGCTTTCCATAGTGATCTTTATCAGGCTGAGAAAGTCCTTTTCTAGTTCTAGTTTGTTGGGCATTTTTATCTTAAATGGGCATTGGGCTTTTGTCAGTTTTTTTCTGCGTCCATTGAGAAAGGATATAAGAAAGTGCTTTGCTCTTTCTTCTATTAGTATGGTATATTACATTAAGTAATTTTTTGACGTTGAACAAACCTTGCATTTCTAGGATAAGTCTCACTTTGTTTTAGTGTATATATGTATTTATATGTTGTTTTATTGAATTTGCTTATGCTTTGTTGAGTACTTTTGGGTCTATATTAATAAGGGGTAATGATCTGACGTTTTGTTTTCTTGTGGTGTCTCTTTGTATGATGACCCAGTAATGCTGACTTCAGATAATGAGGTGAGAAGTGTTCCTTGCTCTTGTGTTTTTTGGAAGGGTTTCTGAAGTATTGGTATCAATTTTTCTTTGAATGTTTGGTGAGTTTTAAACTTACTAATGCAATTGTTTTACTTGTTAAAGATTTATTCATTATTTCTATATTTCTTGAGGAATTTTCTGTAATTTGTGTCTTCTAAAAATTTATCTAATTCAGGTATATTATGTAATTCATTGGTATGTAGTTGTTCATAACATTCCCTTATAAATTTTTTTTTATTTATGTAAGATTGGTAATGATGTCTCTTCTTCCATTCTGACTTTATAATTTGAGCCTTCTTTATTTTTTTTTTTTTTGATTATTCTAGCTAAAAGTCTTGTCAATTTTATTGCTCCAAACTTTATACTTAGTTTTCCTATTGGATTTTAGCCAGTTTTGCATCTATTAGTAAATTCACACCAACATTTCTGTCACCCTACATACTTTGTTCTTCAAATTCTTTTTTGTAACAATATTAACAGGTTACTAATTCTCTCATTAATTAATAAGTTGAATTTATACTTTTATGAAAGTGATGTTTTTAAACTTTTGAAAATTATACTTTAGCAAAAGAAAATATGAAAATAAGAGTCAGAGAGTCATGGAAAATGAGATGAGAGGGAAAGACAGGGCAGACCATGACAGGCCTTGAAGGCCATGCTAAGAAGATTAGTTTCACTCTGAGTGGGATGAGAAGCTTTTGTCATCCCCTTAGACAAGTCTTGCCCCTAACTGAGACCTCAGCTATCTGTAATATGTCTCTATGCCTCCTCACAGGGTGACTGTGAAAATAGAATGAGACAGAATGAAATCAAAAATTACATTGTTATTGTTAGTGCCCAATTGGCTCACCTATGAGGTCAGTTTTCAGGTACAAACAACTTGGCCTAAATTTATTGTTTTCAAATTCTTACCTATTACCAGGATTTCTGAGGGAAGCAGATACAGAGAATTCCAGAAGGCTAAGCCCTGGATTCTGAGAAAGGTAATTTTGTCCAAGAAAATTCTGGTGATTTGTGCATGGGCATGGGATACAGTATGGTCATTAGATCCCTGGAAGAAAAGGAGATAGGGCTGGAGAAGTCTGAAAGCTCAAAAGGCAGATTTGACCTGTGTCTTCAGAACTCCACATGGTACTGACTGTAGGTGGCTAGAAGGCTAAGGTGTTAGAGGGGTAGGGTTCAGGAGAGGACACACAGATCAAGAGAGCAATGCTGGGGTGCATTTCATGAAGCTGATGGAAGGCCTGAGAACTCAAAGGTTTGAGCTTAAAGAAGAAAGCAAAATACTAGACATGAGCATTTGCAAAGCAGGTTTAAGGCATCAGTGTACTGTGATGTTTGGAACTGAGCGACAAAGGCCAAAAGGAAGGATAGCACAGTAAACCAGAGAAAAAATTCCCTTGCACAAATTAACAAGCATTTCTCCTTAGCCTACATCTCGGGGTATTCACAGATGGGAAAATGAATCAAATCAGTATCTCTCTCATTTTATTTTCTTTATTTTTATTTCATTCTGCCCCTGGCTTGACCTAGATCTTAAGTTATTCATGGAGATTTAAAAATATATTCCAGCACTCAAAATCCTCCCTGGCAAACTTCTGCCAGTTGCATAACGTAAATTTTTGTTGTTTATACTAGCTCCGTTTTTCATGTCTGTGTTTTTCAATAGTCCCTCAGCTTGCCTTTCCCAGAGTTCAGCTAAAGTCCTGGGAAGCAACGGTAACCCCAAGACAACCTCTCAGGCAAGTCTAATGGGCTGAAATAGGTGGCCTCCAAAGAAGGAGAATACACCCAGGGAATGGTCTGAGCACACAGCCCTGGTTATTTGAGGTAATGGAAATCTAAATTACTCTGCTCTCAAGCCTTTTGAAGGGGCTTAGTTTATCAGCCGTGACCCAGTACATAGGGCTATAAAGTATGTTCTTTAAAGATTTTCTTTTCTTCCTCTTTCTCTCCTTTCTATTAAGAGTAGAAATCCTCAGGAAAAGAATCGTATAAACGTAAGGGCAGAATTAAGATAAATGCATTTCTTTTCTTTAGGAAATTTTCCATGACGAATGAACAGCACTCTACCCCTTAGCCAGCCAGGTCAAGTGTTGGGTCTTTAAAGATTCACTTTTCTAGAGCTGAGGCTGGGGGTTGGGTCTGGGGACCTGATAAGGGATGAGGGCTTGCGAGAGAAAATAGTTCTCTAGAAAAGGAAAACTTATGGTCAGTGCTGATCTCTCCCAAAAGGTCTGCTGCTTCTTGGTGGTTTCAGAGCTGATGGTGGACTCCGTATTATTGTTTTGGGGCCTCTCCCGCAGTGGCCCTCTGGAGCTGATCTGACCATTCACAGCTGCAGCTGTGGGTGCTGAGAACACTTATTTATATATTTATTTATTTATTTATTTATCTATCTATCTTTAGTTTTATTTTAGTTTTAGAGATGAGGGTTTGTTTCATCACCTGGGCTGGAGTACAGTGATAATCATAGCTCACTGCAGCCTCAAACTCTTGGGCTCAAGCAGTCCTCCTGCCTTAGCCTCCCAAGTAGTTGGAACTCCAGGTGCACCCCACCACACCTGACTATAGTTTATTGATTTATTGATTTTAGATTTTGGGTCTCTCTATGTTGCCCAGGCTCTTCCTGAACTCTTGGCCTCAAGAGATCCTCCTACCTCAGCCTCTGAGTCACTAGGATTACAGGCATGAGCAACCAAGTCTGGCAAAAATACTTTCAATAGGGGGTACACTGCTCATGCCCGATGGACACAAAGCTTGTTTTTCTACATTTGCACTAAAGAGTGAGCACACTTGTAGGTTATGTAATTGGAAAGGCTTCATGGAAGAAAAGTATCAGAATATCTGGGTCCCAAACCTGGCTCTGTCACTGAATGAAACTTAGAGAGTGTAAATGGTATGTCCAAGCTCACCTAGCTAATGCTACAACTTGTGAAGCTGGCAAGGATTGAACCATATTGCCTAAGATCCTTCTAAGTTCTAACATTCTGTGTCTGAATGTTACAGAGATCCCTGAATGTACTTAGATGTTTGCTTTCTTTTTCTATGTCCCCTTCTTGTACTCCCTGTGTAATTGTGTTTTAGAGGGCTTGGTCTAGCAAAGTTAGAAAGCCACTAATTAGCAGATAAAGAAAACGTTACCTTAGGGGTCCTACTTAATTTTACTTATGGAATACTAACAGTTTTGAAATCAAGTAGGGATGGGATGTTTGACGTCTAAGAATGTCAGGCCCAAAGGACATTCTGGAGTGAAATCTTATGCAACAGTAAAACATCATGGGCTGGAGATGAGAGAACTCGGGAAAAATGATCATCTTATTTGTGTGCTCACTGCGTGCTAATGCAGAGGTTCTGGTTGCCAAGGGAAGAGAGGTACAAGTTGAAGCATAGATGGACAAGAAGAAAATGAGGATATGAAATGCAGGTGGTGAGTTATTTTTGTAAGTTTGTATCAGTTTTCAGGACCTTTGGCCATCACCCCAAGAGGTGACACTTTGTTTGGGCTGTACTGACACCAAGTAGTGAATTGAATAGAATCTTAGATGCATGGTTGAGACTGCCTGGGGCCACTGCTGTGAATAAGGCTAATGGGAGTGGATTATAAGTAAAATGAAAATAAAAAGAGGGAGAAAAAGCGAAAGAAGGAGAATAGTTTTATTAAAACAGGCTAGCCTTCTATCAACACATCAGAAGCTTAATCTCTTTGTTTCATCTTTAAAATAAACACTTTGATACCACTTGGTATCTTTCTCACTAATCCTCAAATACTTTTAATCACTTTTGAATATAGCCATAGTCTTAATACTAGGTTTGTTTAAAATATTCCTTTCTACTCACACGGAACCCATTCTTGGAGTCCAGCTTCTTAGAAACTTGTCTATTTCCCTGAAACTTTTGGCTATATTTCCACAAAAAATAATCTCTCAAAAATTTTCAAATATTTGGCACTGGCAATTCAGAAAAAGTCCAGCGACGGGCAAAGCTGGACAGGCATGACTAAACTTTCTCAGAACTCCTGGATTTCAACTAAGCAGTCCAAGAAGTCAGCAAAAGCTAGGCTTCTGTCCTCCCCATCATCTTCTGTGCTCTTTTTGTTTTCTTTGCACCTCTCCACTCACTTCCTTCTTTAGTATGATTGTGGCACTAATAAAAACTGCTAAGTTGCCATTGTTGAGATATGCTAGGACTATCTGGTATCTCTGGTTCCTCAGGTTTTAATTAACTCTCCCTGAGGTGTTAACAGACTGTATTCAAGTCCTTCTCCCACTCACTTCAGCTTATGGATCCTGATGCAGAAATTTCTACTCTCACTTTCCCACTCACAGTTTGGAGCAGGCAATGATGCCAGTAGGTTGAGTTGGAGGGGAGTGATAGGGTTGGAGAGTACTGTGGAGGAACTGGGAGATAGATCCTAGTCAGTGATGAACCTTTTAAGAATGTGTAACTTGACATGCAGCTCCATGGGCTGGAAGAGTTAGAAAGAATTTCTGTGAAGAAGCTGGTTCTGAGAAGTCTCACAATCCAAATGGGTGTGTAATCCCTGCAACTCGGGAAAACCAGACAGAAAGGGTGGATAGCAGCATGGAAGAATCATGATTGCTGAGCGGCTGTATCCCCCTCATAAGGATGGGACAGATGGGATGGGAGATGACCGTAAGGAGAGACCACACAAAAAGATTCCTCTGAGATTAATTAAACTGGGGGTTTTAACCAGAAAAACAGTCATGAAATCATTGACTTGATGAGATGATTTTAAAAAGTAATTAGAAATCAAACCTGGTTTTAAAGGCTATGAAGAAAACAACTCAGCTCAAATTGGAAGGGTAAGGCAAAAACAAAGTAAAGACCTATATGTGAAGGTGGTGGCAAATGCTTCACCTGCCAAGTATCTCACTCCAGTTGTCCACACTCTGGACAGGAGCAGCTCCCTGTGCTCCACATTTTCAGGAGAAAGTAAGGGGAAAGACTTGAATGAGTCAGAATCCAGGACTAGACTGTTTCTGGAGAACCTGACTTTGGAGGTTTCTGGCAGGAGTAGTCTAAGCAGAGATCAGGAATTTTATTTATTTGGGGGTCATCTTTAGATGACCAAGTTTGTCCCACTTCCAGCTAGAAGCATCAAAGTTGCACCTTCAGGGTTGAACCATGGAATTCTTGAATTGCCCAATTCATAGGTCTAGCAGCTCTTGAGTTCTAAATCATAACTCTGAAGATTGCTTTGTGGCGATGGTGGTGATAGGGATGAGAAGTGTCCAATGAAATAAAAGTATATGATCCCAAAATGCACACAGATAATAAGCTATTGTCTAACGGCATAATCAAGAGGTATGGATTCTGAGCAAGTGTTTCATGCCATGGGTACAACTGACAAAAAAAAAATCATTTTTGAAACCCACTGGTTAGTAGGGGCAGAGCACTGGTTATTTTGCCTGGTCGATGCATCTTTTTCTTGGCGTCTGGCTTCTTTAACTCAGCATAATTATTTTGAGATTCACCTGTGTTAGGGATTGCATCAATAGAAAAAAGAATGTGTCTTTTTTATTACTGAATAGAGTACCATAATATGTACAAGATATGCCAAATCTGGTATGACTATTTACCTGATGAAAGACATCTGGGTCATTTACAGTTTTGTGCAATTATAAATCAAGCTGCAGTAAACATCCATGCATAGGTTTTCTGTGTGTGAAGATAAGTGATTATTTTACCTAGGGGTGGGATTGTGGATTATACAGTAAGTATATGTTTAACTTTTTAAAAATCTGCCAAACTGTTTTCCAAAGTGGCTATGCCCAACAGTAATGTGTGTGTCCCAGTCACTCCATATCTTTGACAACACATGAAATGGGTCAGTGTGTTCAATGTTAGCCATTCCAATAACTCCGTAGTGGTATCTAATTCTAGTTTGATTTGCATTCCCCTAACAACTGCTGATGTTGAGCATCTTTCCGTCTATTTATTTGCCAACCATACTTTTTCTTTAGTGACTGTCTGTTCAAATCTTTTGACCATTTGTATTTGATTACTTGCTTTCTTATTATTGAATTTTGAGAGTTCTTTATGAATTCTAAATACAGCTTCTTTGTCAGATATATTATTTACAAATATGTTCTCCTATGCTGCCTTTTATCTTTTAATTCTCTTTACAGAATTTACAAAATTCTGTCTTTTGAAGAGGAGAAGTTTTTAACTTTGAAAGCCAATATATGATTTATTTTCCTTTTATGGATTATGCTTTAGGTGTAAGACCTAAGAAATCTTTGCCTAATTCAAGTTCACAAATGTTTTTTTTTTCTTTATTATTATTATACTTTAAGTTTTAGGGTACATGTGCACAATGTGCAGGTTAGTTACATATGCATACATGTGCCATGTTTTTATCCTGTGCTGTCTTGTGAAGGTTTTATAGTTTAGATTTTACATAGTGGGATGTATTTTGGGTTAATTTTTTATTATGAGGTGAAATATGGATTGAAGGTCATTCTTTGGCATGCGGATATCCAAATGTTACAGCACAATTTTTTGCAGCCTACCTTTCCTACTCTAAATCATCTTTGTACCTTGGTAAAAAACCAAGTTGTCCATCTCTGCGTGGATCTATTTTTGGACCATGTCTTCTGCTCCATTGGTTTGTTTGTTGGTCTTGATGCCAATAGCACCCTGTCCTGATTTCTTCAGCTTTTACAATAAATCTTGAGCTCAGATAGTGTTAGTCATCCAACTTTGTTTTTCTTTTTCAATTTTGCTTGAAATTTGTTTTAGATCTTTTAAATTGTCACATGAACTTTAGAAACAGTTTGTTAAATATACCAAAAATCTGCTGGAATTTTGATTAGGATTGCACTGAATCTATAGCTCAATCTTGAGAGAACTGACATCTTAACAACATGAATGTTCTGACCCGTGAACATGATGTAATCTCTCCATTTATTTGGGTTTTTAAAGATTTCTTTAACAATGTTCTGTAATTTTCAGGGCATAGCCCTTTCATATATGTTGTCAGAATTGTCTTTAAATATTTCATATTTTTGATGTTACTATAAATAATATTATGTTTAACATCAATTTCTATTTTTTCATTGTTACCATATAGAAATCCAATTGATGTTTTGTAGATTCTATCTGATTTTCTACTATTCAGTCATGTAGCCTGCAAATAAAGAAAGTTTCACTTCTTCTTTTCCAATCTGGATGGTTTTTAGTTCTTGCTCTCATCCGACTGCTCTGACTCAAACCCATAGTACAGTAAATAGAAACTGTTAGAGCAGACATGATTTTCTTGTACCTTGTCTTAGGAGAAAGACATTTGGCTTTTTAACCATTAAGTAAGATTGAGGCAGTTCTCTTCTATTCCTGGTTGGCTGAAGGTTTGTGGTTTTTTTATTTTAATTTTAATTTCTTGGTAAGGAATGAACACTGAATTTTGTCAAATACTTTTTTGGTATCTATCAGAAATATCATATGAGTTTTATTTTTTAAAGTATGCTAATAGTGGTGAATTGCATTGATTTGTCGTCAAATATTAAGCCAAACTTGCAGTTCTGGGATAAACCCTATTTGGTCATTTGTAAAATTCCTTGTACATATTGTTGAACTTGATTTGCTAAAACTTTGTATAGACATTTTACATCTATGTTTGATGACAGTTAGTATGTAATTTTCTTTTCCTATAATGTATTTGTATGACTTTTGTATCAGAGTAAGCCTGATTTCATAAAAAGAGTTGGAAAATATTTTGTCCTTTTCAACTTTTAGAGTTGTTTATGTAGAATTGGTATTAGTTCTTTCTAAAATGTAATTCACCAGTGAAGACATCTAAGCCTGAAGTTTTCTTTGTGGGAAGATTTTTAACTACAAATTTAATTTTTTTCTTAGATATAAAGTTATTTGTGCTAAGGTTACCTATTTCTCCTTGAGTGAGCTTTGGTAGTTTGTGCCTGATAGAGTTTGAGCATATGTTCCTGCAAAATCTCATGTTGAAATATAATCCCCAACGTTGGAGGTGGGTCTTAGTGGGAGGTGTTTGGGCAATGGGGGTGAATCCCTCGTGGCTTGGTTGTGTCTTCACGACAGTGAGTAAGTTCTCCTGAGATCTGGTTTTTTAAAAGTGTCTGGAACCTCTCCCACAACCCACACTCACTCTCTCTCTTGCTCTACTTTCACCATATGATGTGCTTGCTGCTGCTTTGCCTTCTTCCCTGAGTAAAAGCTCCATGAGGCTTTCCAGAAGCTGAGCAAACGCTGGTGCCATGCTTGTACAGCCTGAAGCACCATTAGCCAATCAAATCTCTTTTCTTTATAAATTACCTAGTTTCTGAGATTTCTTTATATAGCAACACAAAGAACAGATTAACACAATATCTTTCAAAAAATTTGCCTGTCACTTAGGTTGTCAATTTATTGGCATAAAGTTATATATAATATTTTCCTATTGTCCTTTTCATATGGTAGAATCTGTAGTGATGCTACCTCTCATTCCTGATACTGGTAATTTGTGTCCTTTCTTGCTCTCTGATTTTTCCTGATCAGTCTGATTGAGGTTGATTATTGATGTTTTTAAAGAAACAACTATTATTTCATTGTTTAATTAATTTTTTATATTGTTTTACTCTTATAGTTCATAGATTTTTGTTTTGATTTTTATCATTTCTTTTTTGTTTACTTTGGATTTAATTTACTCTTCTTTTTGCACTTTCTTGATGATTATGGTATCTCCCCTGGTAAGCATCTTTTTTTTTCATTTTCTTTAGGCAGAAGCTGAAGTAATTGATTTGAGATGTGTATCTTTTTCTAATCTAAGCATTTGGCAATATATTTTTCCCAAAGTACTACTTCAGTGCCATACCACAAATTTTTATTTTCATTTAGTTCAAAATATTTTCTAATTTCCCTTTTGAGTTCCTCTTTGATAATCAGATAATTATTAAAATTTGATAATGTGTTAATTGCTATTATGTAAACAAACAGAGTAATGGGATAGAATCTCATAGGGAATTGTCTTTGCTTTAGATGCGGCCATAAGAGAAGGCCTGTTGGAGGAGATGATATTTAATCTATGACCAGAAGGGTGAAGGGAAATCAGCCAGGTAAAGAGCTGATACAAGAGCATTTTAGGCACAAGGGCAGCAAGTACAAAAGTCTTGAAGCAGGAACGAATAGGAAAGAGTCTGAGAAGAAGAAAGAGGTGAAAGAAAATTTGTCGTAAGTTCTAATTCTCAAAGGATGCTGATTCCAAATATTACAAATCGCAGGAACAAGTCATAGTCATAAGAACAGAGCATGGCCATATTTGGGCTGACAACAGCTCTTCTTAGAGTCTGAGTAACAGTCAAGTGACCTCTGGAGAAACTCTGCCATCGCAGGAATCCTATCCCTATTAACTTGTTGAGCTAGTGTTCAACCTTACACTGTGCTGCCGTACATCCTTAGTAAATTAAATTCTTCACCCTTGAAAGTTTGCCATGAGAGATTACTAGATTACTATTCTTTCTTTTAGACGTTTTTTATGTGCTAAAAAAACTTCCCAGATTGACCTCAAATAACTGATTCATGTCAAATATATATATTTTTGCCTTTTCCTTTGCCCTAGCCTGGGTCTCTTCAATTCTTGGTGACAAGATTAAAATGATAAATCATGGACACAATCTGGTGCCATTCATTTTCTACTTTATTCTTTTTCACCACAAAGGATCTGGGATGGAAAATGTTCCTCAGTTAGCCCCAGCTGGCTCCAGTACCACAGTGAGTTAGTAAACATCTGCTAACGACAGGCTGAAGACGTGCCTCCCTCCACTTGTTCTCTCCAAGCCGGCTCACTGAGGAGTTGTTCTCTTTATCTCTGGAAATCTTCCTTTGTACTTTCTCTCCCACTTGGCTTCCATCAGCTCTTCCCATCCTGTCCTCAAGTGAATGATTCACAGTTTATATATGTCAGTCTCGGGAAAATCTACAGAACATTCTCTCTTTTCCTCAGTGGTGAGGACCCTGCTGTTAGGCCTTGGGCCATCACTTCACCTTCCAGCAGATCAGGGAAAACATGGCCTTCTATACGGAGGGGTGTTATTTTTTGCCCACCCACCCCCAGGACCAACAAAGAAGGCTGCAGGATGGGATCAATCAGATATCTTACCATGAATGCAGTTCCAAGGTTGGAAACATTTCAAGAGAGAAAAATTAAAATTCTGCCCCACTTGGGATGTTGTTCTCTCCCAGTCTTGAAACATTCTGAGGAAGGTCTTGCCAAAGTTTCTTTTACTGGTTATGTTCCTGTTTCCTGAATTCCCCCAGTAAGGAAATTCCAACTGAGAGGAGGAACAGTTATACTCTCCTTCTCATGTTTGCACTTTGACTGGTAAAGAAAGAATACAATACTTCCATCTTCTCTCTCCACTTGCTTATTTGCCCCTCCCCAAAGTGGGAGGACTAGCTAACCTGACTGTTGAGGACCTGACTTTCATGGAACCACATTTAATAGTGGATGGGGGACAGTGTTAAATGCCATATGCAGTTCACACATGACATCGTTTCTTAGTTTCTTGGCTCTGTGTTCTCTCGGGGGAATTGCAGGATCATAGTCTTTAATCTCCTCCTCATAGGAAATTCTATGAGATAAACTTCTCTAGGCAAGGTCCCCCAGTATGGAGGGCCCGGAAAGGATATCCTGGAGAGGATATGGGGCAGCCCTGTGCTTCCTTGTAGGTACCTTGCTGGTGGCTAGGCAGGTGAATTTATGTCAGACTCTCAACTCAGCTGTCCAAATAGGTGAGTCCTGAGACCAAGATTTGAGTAGGAGGAGAAGGAAGTTCCATTGAGCTCAAGGTTTAAGTCCTACTCTCTAAAAATTTTCTAGAAGTTCTACTTTTAGAGAATGATTAGGTATATCCTTCAGCAATAAAGAGGCTGATCTTTTAACCCCCATTTGGGTCTGATGAGTCTTGTATCTTTTCATTTGATGAAAGAGAGACTGGCGGGAGAAGACTGTAACCCCTCTTCCAGCCTCCATTTAATTTTTAATGCTAAGTGTAGCCTTTTAAAATGAAAATGAGTGGCACATGCCTGTAATCCCAGCTACTTGGGAGGCTGAAGCACGAGGATTGCTTGAACTCAGGAGAAGGTTGCAGTGAGCCAAGATTGAACCACTGCACTCCAGCCTGAGTGACAGAGCGAGATTCTATCTCAAAAAATAAACAAATAAATAAAATGAAAATGAGTTTTAAAGTTATACCTATTATCTCTCAGAGCACAAAGATTTCTTGTATGTATATGTGCGTCTTACTGCCCTCAGTATGCATGTCTGAAAAACTAAGATACATTAGGTTCAAGCATCCAGAAAAACAGAAAACTAGAAAGGCCAGCTGTCTTGCCTAGAGTCACAGACATATTACTCAGCCCTTTCTTTTTGCATCTTTCCTATGGTATTTGAGTTGGCACTGCTTGTCTGCTTAATGCTGGCAATTGCAGGTATATAATAAGGAGGTTAAAATTACCTTTCCTCTGCATGCCTGTAAACCATCCCCTTGACTCTACTAGAAGTTCCACACACCAAATTTTAGACAAGAGTCCCAAGAATGAAATAACTCCTCTAGACTCTGGGGAGAATGGATTAACCACCAGCTAAATCATCTGCCAGTATTGATAATCCAGCTCCTTTGCTCTATCTGTGGTTATCACCATTGATGTAAACTCTGCAGGTAGAATGGTGATTCTGGTCACATGGAGAAAGGCTTGGATATGTTTAATTTCCTGCCACACTCTGGCCAAAAAAGTGAATTTCATGTCTTATGATCAAATAACCGTAACTTTGCAAGAGCAGAGTGTGTTGGAACAGGGATATTGAGGGTCCCTGTGTGGCTTGGGGCATTGCCAGGGCAGCTACAGGGTCTGAGTGTTTTTATTTTATTCCTGCTTTATTGCCCTGCCTAATACTCCCATTTGAAAATGTCGTGGAGTAGGCTGGTGTCATTTGTTTTCATAAATTAATGTCTATTGCAATTTATGGCCAGATGGGCCCTGAAAAATAAGAGCCTTGTGTGTCTCTTGGAAGGTTTAAAGAAAAGCAGTGGGCAATGCTCAGGGTGAACTTTTGCACTTTAAGGCTTCATTGTGGGGAGAGAGTAAATGCTTGTGAAAAATCCTGTTTTATAACAGCTGGGCACAAAGGACTCCTTATTAGGATTATTTTTTTTGCCACTGCTTCTAATTCCTGTAGCAACCAGAAACACACACACACACACACACACACACAGAAATATAGAGAATTCTTCTTACTGGGAAGCCATGTGTGTTGGGAATAACTTCAACTTGCTTGGAAATCAGAGGTCTAGATTCTCAAAACCCCAGATAGCTTTCCAGCCAACTAATGGGAGTGTGGTACATATTGGATCATAGCACATAAAGGCTCTGACTCAGTGTGCACATCTCTCTTTTTGCTACTTCTTCATGGGTCAATGAGAAGAAATGGGTCAGTGTGAAGCACAGAGAAAAGAAAAAAATGAAAAAAAAAAGCACTAGAGAATTTGATGATTCCATGATTTTAAGAAATAATGGCTTGTGGGAAGCTCGAATCAAAGGTCAGCTTGGTAGCAGCCAAAGAGGAGGCTGCTTGGCTGCTGTAAGCACTCAGAGACCAAGTGCGGCTGGACAGGCTTCCTCCTACAAGTGCACATGCTTCTGAGTATGTGAAGGGTAGGCCTAGAGAAGACCCTTTTTCTGAGCCCTGTTTGTTTACAGCTTTTGACTTGGGCAAGTCACATAGATTCCAAGTCAATTCATTTCCAGGTAGAACAAAGGATAAGCTCCAGAGTCTCTCCGTCTCTAACACCCCTTTGATGATAATCTTTGATTTATGAAATTATGTTAGGATGAGGGTATTATTTTATTCACTTACTCAAGCAATTGGCATTTAAATCATTTAAATTTCTCTGAAGAGGCACAAAATTATCTGAGTGTCTTTTCCCATCAAATGCTTTTGTCTTATTTTTGTAGACCTTCACAATTTGAAAAAACATTTTCATATATAAAAACCCTGTGAGGTAGATAATACAGGAACTATGACTTGTCTCAGATGTCATAACAGGACAGGGATTTAAACTCAATCTCCCAGAGATATCCCTCTCTGTCATTCAACAAAGACAGCCACAGATTTTTTGGGCACATACTAGATGCAAAGTACTTTGCTGAACAGTAGAAATGCAGTAGTGAAAGGAACAGGTGCAATTATATACTCAGGTAACTCATATCTTGCAGGACAGGATGACATTTAATTATAATAAAGTGTATTGTGTGTGAGGATAGGAGATGGGGACATTCAGTAGGAGAACCTATCCTAGAGTAGAGGTCAGTGAAGATCTTACCAGAGTGAAATTTAATGTCAGAAGAATGGGGTCACTTTAGTCAGGGCAAAAGGGAGTTAGGAAAGAATATTCCAGGCAAGGGGAACAACATATTCTCTGGATTAAGACATAATTTCCCCAATACCGTGTGGAGGAAGTACTGTAAGGAGGAAAACAGGGGCTCAAGATTAACAATGGGCAAGGAATAGGTGATTTCCCACTGTGTTTATATCAGAGGCTTTTGAACCAGAGCAACTCCATCTTGAATAGGAGCTGGGTAAAATGAGGCTGAGACCTACTGGGATGCATTCCCAGACAGTTAAGGCATTCTAAGTCTCAGGATGAGATAGGAGGTTGGCACAAGATACAAGTCATAAAGACCTTGCTAATAAAACAGCTTCCAGTAAAGAGGCTGGCTAAAGCCCACCAAAATCAAGATGGCCACGATATTGACCTCTGGTCGTCCTCACTGCTACACTCCCACCAGCGCCATGACAGTTTACAAATGCCATGGCAACGTCAGGAAGTTATCCTATATGGTCTAAAAAGGGGAGGCATGAATAATCCACCCCTTGTTTAGCATATCATCAAGAAATAACAATAAAAATGGGCAACCAGCCACCCTCGGGGCTGCTTTGTTTATGGAGTAGCCATTCTTTATTCCTTTACTTTCCCAATAAACTCATTTTCACTTTATGGACTCGCCCTGAATTCTTTCTTGCATGAGATCCAAGAAACCTCTCTTGGGGTATGGATTGGGACCTCTTTCTGGTAACATTTATGTATAAAATAATTTTCAAGGTTGGTGTTTTTCTTGTGTAACTGTGGCCACTTCACATCAAAATTGGTAAATGGTGAATTTAACAAAATACCAAATGAATGTGTATACTGAGCAGTTCATAGAACTCTGAATGCCTGCCATAGCCATAGCCCCCTTCTATGGAAAGAGCCTGTAACAGATACTCCTTCCCCAGGGGTCAATAGAGTTTAGACCGGTGACCTTCAACACCCTGGAGACATCTGTTGGGCCAGGGGTAGACATCTGAGCTGATCCACAGTAGTCATAAGAAGTGGCCCAAAAAAAGAACTTCACCTCTCATGCCTGTAATCCCAGCACTTTGGGAGGCTGAGATGGGTGGATCATGAGGTCAGGAGATTGAGACCATCCTGGCCAACACGGTGAAACTCCGTCTCTACTAAAAATACAAAAATTTAGCCAGGCATGGTGGTGGGCACCTGTAGTCCCAGCTACTCGGGAGGCTGAGGCAGGAGAATGGCGTGAACCTGGGAGGCGGAGCTTGCAGTGAGCCAAGATCGTGCCACTGCACTCCAGCCTGGGCAACAGAGCGAGACTCCATCTCAAAAAAAAAAAAAAACAAAAAAACCCCAAAAAAACGGAATTTCACCTCACAGATGTTGCTAGACTGGGTAGCAACTAAGGAGCCCAATTAGAGTGTTTGAAGGTCAAAGAGAAAGACAAGGAGGAAAAAAGAATACTAGAAAATATTCAAACATGTTTATTCAAAAAGCAGAAGCCATGAATATGAAGGAACCACATGGGGTGTAGGGGAGGCCAGAGAAAAAAGTGAGGACAGGTAGCAGCAGGGTGGGGTAGGTGGGCAGTGAGAGCAGAAACAGCCCGAGGAAGCAGCAAGATTGTGGAAAGAGGAGAACGATGGAGAAGCAATGGCTGCAAGGTTGGAGAATTGCAGCATGCCAAAGGGTTGGTGTGGGTGTGGGAACTTGTGTACTGCTGCTGGGAGTGTCTCCAGGAACAGGCTTTCTGGTGAGCAATCTGACACAACTTAGTCAAATTAAAATGGACCCTACATGTATTTCCAAGGATATCTCACCCGGATCCATAAGGAGATATCTTTGAAGATGTTCATTATAGTGTTGTTTGTGGTGACAGGAAGTTGGCGGCAATCTGGAAATCCATCAATGCAGATTAGGTAGGCAGCATATGGTGAGTATACATCATGGAGAATGAAGCAACAGTGAGCATGAACAGCCTGGCTGAGCATCTAATAACACAGATGAATTGATAAACAGTGCTGGGTGAAAAAAGTAAGGAACAAAAAGAGATATATAGCAAAGTACCATTTTTTTAAATTAAAAATACATGGATTAAAAAAATGAATGTTTTCTAAGAATACATACAAACCAAAGGATCTAAATTAAACACAAATAAGAGTGTTTGCCTAAGGGAGGGAGGAAGAAAAACTAGGATGAAGGAATAGAGATGAAATAAATAAGCAAACAAGATAAATAATGGGCCATGGACTGAGGAGTGCAATTTACTCAACCTTCTGCAACAAACAAAAGGAAGAAAAGAAGAGAGGGAGGAAAAATGAGTAACAGGAGTAAAGGATTCTTACTTTGCAGACAAGCGGACAAACACTAGTTTGGCAATATGGCAATTTATGCATGCAACAGCTGAAAAGATAAATAATGATTTTCCAGATCTATGTGGCCAGTCATGCAGTTGTGAAGTTCCTGGTCTTTTTTTTTTTTTTTTTTTTTTTTTTTGAGACAGAGTCTCTCTCTGTCACCCAGGCTGGAGTGCAGTGGCACAATCTTGGCTCACTGCAAGCTCCGCCTCCCGGGTTCACGCCATTCTTCTGCCTCAGCCTCCCGAGTAGCTGGGACTACAAGTGCCCACTACCACGCCCGGCTAATTTTTTGTATTTTTAGTAGAGACGGAGTTTCACCATATTAGCCAGGATAGGCTCGATCTCCTGACCTCGTGATCCGCCTGCCTCGGCCTCCCAAAGTGCTGGGATTACAGGCGTGAGCCACCGCACCCGGCCCCTGGTCTTCTTTTATGCCATGTATCTTTGTAATAAGCCCCCAGCATCTGAGGTAATCCAAGCAGGTCTCCATTCTCTGAAACCCAAAGGCACCCAACAAAAAAGTGATATAATGGGATACAAATGACAAATCAAGCTACTTTTGTCAGACAGTTAATATGTACCAAACACGATTGAAAGTTTACTAATTGCATATGTAGATACGATTATTCTCTTTATTTTGCAAATAAGGAAACTGAAGCACAGAGAAGCTAAGTTACATACCCAAAGGCACACAGCCAGTAAGTGTAAGCTGGGATTCAAACCCAGGCAGTTTGATTCCAGAGGCCGAGCTCGCAATCACAAAGCTGTAGCGAAAGGTGCTCCTGAGTAAATGAAATAAGCATCTAGTTTATCCCAATGGCAGACTTGACTAATTTCTCAAAAGTCATAGTTTTTTTTTTTTAATTCATTAACTCTAGTAGAGGCAGTTAATAACTCATAGACTCACTGTGAAGTACCCAGATTTGGGCGGGGGTGGGGGGGGAAGCATTATCTCTATAGCATGACACTCATTTCCAAAGCCCTGATCTTCCTATGCATTAATGAGACAACACCAAGAAAATTAGATTTGGAGGCAATGATTTCTCTTCTTCCAGGCCATGTGACCTTGACTGAGTCATTAAGCTTTCATAGCTTTCATTGCCTCAGTTTTCTCATTTGAAACACTGGGGCCAATAACAGCTCTGGGATCTGTTGTTAATAGGGGTTAAATGAGATAATATAAAGAACTGTGAGCACTGCATAGCATGTGTCTAGGTGACTGGGACACTCCATCTGTGTGGTCCTTCAAGCTCTTCTCCCATAGTGTGCCTTTTGCTGCATTGTGGCACCACCCAGGAGAGCCTTGGTATCCATTGCTGCAGGCACCTTGAATGAGCTTCAACCTGTGAGTGAGGTTATAGTCACTGCTTCTTCCATAGCGCTGCTCTGGGTAAAAACATACATAGTGCATGAATTTGGCCTTAGTGTTGTCTGTTTTCTTACTCCACAGTGGGTAACTTGGCCTTGTGGGTCTGTTTTCGATGTTCTTGACAACTGGAGCATCATGGGACTGCATTTTCCCATCTTTGCTCATTTACTCCCTGCCACATTTCTATTATTGAAAATTGTGCCCATCCCAAATAAAATTTCCCCAACAGGGTGTCGCTGAGCCTCTTCTCTACACCATAATCTAATTTCTCCTTCCTTGGAATTGCTTTAAAAACTGGGTTTGTCTCTTTCTTGTGAAGTGCCCATCATGACTTTTGTCATGGTTATGAATGTGCTAGTCTCTTCCTATGCCCTGTTAGCCTATGTGCTCCGTAAGATGGGGCCTTGCAGGTTTAGCCTCTGTGTCCTCCCCATCCCTTAGCCTGGTGTTTGCCACACAGTGGGCTTATAAAAGATGCCTGGTGAGCCAAAGGGTATGGGCGTGTGCTCCTGCCTGGGCTGGCAAGAGCACTGAACTCCCCCAGGCTGTCTCTCGCATCTCCAGGTTACTCAGGAAATCCTGTTGGTGTAAAGAAAACCTCAGGAAATTATCAACAGGACCTATCATCAGTTTTCAAGATTTTCATTGCATTTTCTAGAATGGTCACTGTTTTACTTCGTTCTAAGATGTAAGGCTTTCAGCTATTACTATTCATTGTTTGTGAATCCATTCAGGAAACATCTATGAAGTGCCTACTTGTATCTGAATGATGGCCTGGAACTAAGAAGACTAAAACATGACTCGAACTTGAGAGACCACAGTCTGGTGAGAAACATAAGTGGACCCAAAAAGCTAAAACACAATAGCAAAGAAAAATGCTACAATAGGGTGGCTAACCAATGGCGAAGCCAAGCATAGTGGAGTCAGACTCCCTCAATTCAAACCCAGGTTCTGATGCTTATTAGGTTGCAGGATCTTTTTCTCAAAGTCTCAATTTTGTCATCTGTAATAGTATTGCCTTTATGAAATTGCTATAAGGGATTAACTGAGATAATGCATGAAAAGTACTTGCACTGTGAATGGCCCATAGAAAGACTTTTAAAATGTTAATTGACACCATTGTTCTCTGTTTCAGTTCTTCTCATTTGTAAAATGAAGGTGGTAACTGTACTTATAGGGTTACCATGAGATTCAAATTATGTAATGCAAGGAAAGTGCTTGGCACAGTGCCTGACAGTAAGCACTTGATAATTGTTAACTGTGATTTTTATTTCGTATAAAGTAAAAAGGAAAGGAACATAAAACTGATTAGAGGTGTCATGTACTAATGTCTGCAATGTACTTTGAAATGCATCAAAAAATAGATGGATTGGGTAGAGGAATAAAGGTATGGAGAGATGCATAGATATGATGGAAAAAATAGAGCAAAATCTTAATTGTAGAACCCTTCATTGTCTTCTCCATGGCTCCTTGTAACCCCTTGTTGAATCGGGGGCTTCTGGAGAGACTCAACTGGAGGAGGGAGGGGAGGGAGGGAAGAAGGTAAAGAGATGGTGAGTACATGGATGTTCACTGTGCTGTTCTTTCAACTTTCCGTGTGGTTGAAATTTTCCATAATAAAACTTTGGAAGAAAAAAGGAGTGATGAATATTAGGACGGATTTTGCACTAAGATTTGAGCAAGGAAGTGTAATGGAGGGGGCTGAACACCTGGAAGTCTCTACCCTTTACTGCCTTTCTCTATCTTATAAGAGAACAGCATGTGCCAAGGTCAGAAACCATCCTGTGGGAAATGCAGGATGGTGAGACGAAGGCACTTGAATGAGGGGCAGAGGTTAGAGAGGCTAGGAATGCAGAAATCCTAGATTCACATCCCAGCTCTGCACTTACTAGCTTTGTCTTTGTGCTTTATTTTCCTTATCTGTAAAAATGGGGATAACATTATCTACTTTATAGGATTCCTTTCAATATTAAATGAGTGAATATCACCATCATCACTGTCTTTATAGGAAAGCTTCTCCTCTCAGCGCTGGTGTCTTCTCCATGGCTCCATAGAACCCCTGGTTGAATGGGGAGCCAGGGAGCTTCTAGAGAGACTCAGTTGGAGGAGGGAGGGGAGAGTAGGGGAAAGGGGTAGAGCTGAGTGGGAATATGGAGTTTAAAAAGATGTATACTCCAAGACCAGTCTCATAAACACAAGAGGCCCATGCTGATTGCTTGCTCGGTGTCATGCACGTGGCTTCTAATATTATGTTTAAAATGCTAGTGAAATTATAATCCTGTTGTAGTGCCTTTGGAGGCTCGTTCATCAACCTGGGCAGTACGTGTGTCTGGCAAGGAGCCAGCGTCATCCCCTGCCCCCACCTCCATATGACTCAGCACACATCAGACACTTTAATAGCTTCTGATTCCAAGTTTGAACTTGCCCCCCAAATGAAAACCTCCCTCCCCCTCTCCCTTCTCCTCCCACCTTCACAACGCACTCCCTACTTCCAATTTATCAGCTAGTAAATTTTGAGCTGATCTTGGAGCCAAAGTTTCATTTATGTTTGGCAAAGGAACAACTTCTTCCAAGAAAAGAACATTTAAGAAAGAAAAAAAAAAAAAGAAAAGAAAAAGGAGGGGTGGAAGGGGGGAGGGTTAAAAAAAAAAAAAAAGTCCAGCTAAACAAAAAGGGCTCATGGAAACAGCCCCACAACATTAAATAGCTCAGCACAGAAAGAGCAGTGCTTTTTTTGGTGCATTTAGTGCGAGTGAATTTGAAACAGAGTTTGAAATAATCTGATCATGCAGCTGGGGTTGCCAACCAAGCACAGATGGCCTTCTGGTCTGGAGAGGTCGTGAAGTCACCAAGACACTGGTGCTGTCAGAACTAAAGAGAGGTTTGGGGATAACCATGGCACTCATACTCATGGATTGTGTGTCCACTGGACACGTGGCCTCCTTTGTGCCTGAGGATGGCAGAAGACCTGTTTGTCTGACTGCCCTGGTGGATCTGCCAACCCCTTGAAGTGCATGGGACATTTCCAATAATGCAAAGTATTCTGAGTTACAGAAAAAGACATTCAAATGGTTTGACTCCACTCACAATGGAAAAACACAAATCAAATCATCAGAATGGAAAAAATATTCAGTCTGATACCAGCCATTAGCTTGCGGAAATTTTTTTGCAAGTTTCATAATATTCACCATTGGAAATATTATGGAAAAAATGGCCACTCTCTTACATTGTAGGGAGTAATGTAAATGGCATGACCTTTCTGGAAGGAAATGTGACAATATTCTCTATCATGTCCCCCTTCTCCCCTCCGCTGCTTGATTGATTGAGTCATTCCTCTTTATACCCGTCTACCCACCTCTCCTAGGCAATCCCTCCCTGTTTGTTTAATGGGTGTCATTTTGCATGTATTTTTGCAAAATGTGAGATAGTGTTTCTTGTGGATTTTTTTTTTTAATGTACAAAAGTAGCATTATGGCATACATCTTATTTTTTTCACTCAGCACTATATTTACAATATCATTATGCATACATTTGCTTCAAACTGCTGCACAAAATCCCATGGTGAACATCCACCACGGTTTATCTAAGAACCCTCCCAATGAGGATCTATCACCAACACCAACTTCTCACCGCTGCTCCAAACAAAGACAGTACAAATAAAATAAAATAAAATAACAAAACTATAATGAACACTCTTGTACATATCCCTTTATGGATATGTGTGAGCATTTCTTTGATATGTCTATATCCTTATCACTATATCTAAATCTATCTACTTAGAGTAGAATTACCAGGTCATAGTATACAAGTACATTTAATTTGACTAACTACTATAGCAATTTGACAATATCCCCTCAAATTAAAAATTGTATATACACATTGACTAGGCATTGCTAAGAATATGCTCGATAGATATAATTCCATATATTTACCAAGACAGACATATAAAGATATTTACAGAAACACTATTTGTATTGGCAAAGCCCTAAGAGCCACTGAGGTGTCATATGAATAGACCTAGAGGTGTATCCCTAAGATGGGTGACCTTGTAGAGATGAGGGAGTGCAGGGATGAGAGCACAGTCTCTGGGGAGCAAATTCATCGGTTGGGTCCTATGCCCACCATGGGCTGTGTGCCTCCAATTTCTCAGTGATGTCATGGGGGTCAATTGCACATATTCCTATCAATCAGCATCCTAGCAGAAAACAAGGTACACTCTTGAATTGAGTGATTTAGAGAGAGTTTAAGAAAAAAGGCCTATTTACAATGACACAGACAGGGTGAAAGAGGCCAGAAGGGACAATGCCGTGCTCCTGGCTGGTGGGAGTGGAGGGTCATTGCCACTCCTCAGCCTGGTATTAGTGAGAGAAGGAGATGGTTTCTGAAATGCAGGGAGAGAGCTGTGTGTGATGGACCATCTGACAGGAGCTGGCCCACAAAGGGAGCAACAGCAGGTGAGAGGCCAAACAACCAACTTTGCTCTCCACCCTCCGTGCCACCCATGGGCTGACCCCACATGGAAGCCAGAGACAACAGAGCTGCTGCTGCTGCTCTTCCTGCAGGTCAGGTGCACAGTGGATTGGGGAGATGGTGGGCAAAGCGAGGTACCCAACCGAATACCAAATGTGAACTTTGTGAGAATTAAATGAATAAATACATATAAAGTGCTTAGATGAGTGAGTGGCACATAATTAATGCCTAATAAAGGTGAGTTTTTATTATCAATATTTCATTAATAATAGCACTGGTTGTCCATCAAAACCTTTGAATCAGGTCCAGATGCACTATAGGGGTTTAGGTATCCATGAAATAGTATATACCAATAACAAAGGGAGACACAAGTGGCATAGTTCTCGGAGTGTAAACTTGTTTGTACAAAAGACAGAAGAAATGCTTTATTGGCAGTTGTCTTTGGAGAGAGGATCTGAAGATGAAATTGGGGTGAGAAGGAGCTTTTACTTTTTATTTTCTTCCCTCTGCTCTCATGTTTTTACTTTTTAACCATGTGCATGCATTCTTTTGATTTTTCTTGCTGAAAATAACAACAAGTGCTACCTGGGTGGTGGATTCATAGAACATGACTTTATTATTCTCTGAAATTTTTACAGTATTTGTTAATTTAAGAAGGCAGTATGTTATTTAGAAGCATAGTATATTCTAAGTATCAAAATTGGCCTCAAATGGTATTTTTGAGACTCTAAGGTGATGTGCTCACTCTTTACTACTGCCATGCTACCTTGGCCCCACACACTTCCTCCCTTTCTTAGTTCTGGAACCAATGACTTCCACCAGTCTTAAACAGTAAGAAGGCAACTTCATTTGCAAAGCAAGATCTTGCTGGATGGGAAGATGCAAATCAATTTAGATATAGGTTGGTATACATATAGGTATTGATATTAATGATACAGATACAGGGAGAGGGAGAGAAATAGATATCAAGATAGAATTGCTTCTCTGTGATTTTATGGATGTGTAATGTGAATTTTATGAATCTATGCAAATACATATACGTGTATTTTTCACAACATGTCACAAGCATACTATAAACAGTAAGACACTGGACTCCACTGTCACAATGCCTAGATTATAATTCTGGCCCCACACTCATCAGCTAGTAATTGTAGGCAAATTACTGACATCTCTAAATCTTGTCTTTGTCACTTCTAACATGACAATTGCTACCTATTTCACAGGCACTTTGGAGGATTAAATGAAATAGGCATGCCTGGCGTTACAGTAATCACTCAATATTTGGTAGCAGTTACTTATTGTTAAAAATAACATTGGGAGGCCGAGGCGGGCAGATCACAAGGTCAGGAGATTGAGACCATCCTGGCTAACACGGTGAAACCCTGTCTCTACTAAAAATACAAAAAATTAGCCGGGCATGGTGGCATGCACCTGTAGTCCCAGCTACTTAGGAGGCTGAGGCAGGAGAATCGCTTGAACCCAGGAGGCGGAGGTTGGAGTGAACTGAGATCGTGCCACTGCACTCCAGCCTGGGCGACAGGGTGAGACTCCATCTCAAAAATAAATAAATAAAAAATAATAATAATCACAGTCCAAACAGCTATGTCCAGTGAAGAATTTTGTTTTATTCCAATCCAGTCTCTCTAACTCATCGACCAGGAATTTCTCCTGACTGGGAAGGGGATGGAGTGGGTGGAAGTGGTTTCTTTAGTCATACAAGCCTGTAGAATGCTGAGCCCCCCGAGCCCAACTATCTTTCTAACTTTAGCCTTCTTGTTTAGGCCTACAAAAACAAAATATCCATGGAAATTCAGTAGCCCATGCAGACTTACAAGGCTTGGGCTATATGACCATGTTTTCTGACCTCCAGAAAGGTAGCCCGAAAGTATTTAGAATCTCATCTATGCATGGCCGCCAGTGGAGTTTTTTTAAGGAGTGGGAGAGTGGTACCCAAAAGGAATCCTCTGGGTGGAAGGGCTGTAAAAGGCCATACAACTCACAGCCCTGCTGTGTGCTTCTTCTCCTGCTGTGGCTTCCTCTCCTGCCTTGCGCTTCCTCTCCTGCCTTGCACTTCCTCTCCTGCCTTGCACTTCCTCTCCCGCCTTGCGTTTCCTCTCCCGCCTTGCGCTTCCTCTCTGGCCGTGCACTTCCTCTCCTCTGGTGCGCTTCCACTTCCTCTCCTGCGGCAGTGCTCCCTTAGGGGCCAGCAGCCAGCAGCAGGGGCAGCTTTCAGCATGCAGGATGGAGCAGCCCTGAGCAGGCCCCGACTGTGGCCTAGCTGCCACCTTACCTGCTCCTTGCAAAGAAGCAGATGCTCTCTCTTACTGCTAGAATCTGGGCTCTTCAATTCAAATGCTGTGTAGATTCTTTGAAACTGGAGTTACTGCCCCTTGTCACTCTCAAGTCCTGCTGCCCAAAAGACCGGGCAATTTTAGCATCCTCTGAGTGGGGAACCAAGCTCCACCATCCAGAAGCCAGTTCTGCTCTGGTGTGATCCCCAGGAGAAAGGAGGTGCCATCTGAACCAATGTAACCACCTTAATCATTACAGAGACTTTGGAGGATCAAAGGCCCTCAGCACTGGCTCAAGCTGAGTGACTTAAAAAAACAAACAAACAAAACAACCTCTGCCCTCAAAAGCCTGGCATGTTTTGGGGTTCATTTCAAGGAATCTCTAATCTGAGATGAATTTCTAGAGCTGTCTGAAACGAAGTAGTAAGTTTCCCATATCTGAAAGTGTCTAATCAGAGACTGACAAACCACATAACATCAACTTTGTACTGGAGTTAGATGATCTCAAAGGCCCTCACTCTATGGCAAGGGTCTATGTTATTCCTTACTCACCGAAGAGGCGGTTAAGTGCAGGGAACTTTAGATACAGCAAGGGAGAATGAAATCAGATTTCCCACACCGAAAGTTGTTTATGTGGCGGGAAACCAATGTGGTGTGTAGGACAAAGCCTTGGATTTGGAGTTAAGACACTAGACAGAACGTATCAATCAGCTGAGTGGCTTTCCTACTAGTTGCTTCTGATAAGTCCATGTTCCTTCACCGATCACATAAGAGCATGGGGTCAGATAATCTCTTAGTCTCCTTATGTTGGAAATTTTAGTTGGGAGCTCATAGTTAGTCAGAAAATTATGTTCAAGCATCTGAATACAGATGAACATATGGCAGATCCACAGTGAAGAAATAAAACCCATAGGACTTTCCAGGACTATGCCATTGTTTACTTAAGTTCCTGGCTAAGAAAAGAGCATGTTGGGGGACTGGATTAGGAGGAGAGTTCTTGAAACCTTCTCCATCAATACTACGTAACATGGTTATGGAGGCCTGGAACCTCCTTACTAAGTATTGCTCCGGTGTTTACAGTGTGTGCCTCAGACCAAAATAAAGAGAGAGTCCATGTTTTAAATCCCCCAGAGTGCTTTCTTCTGCAGGCTAGGAAAATGCTTCTGCCTCCACCCATGCAGGGGCTGCCATACAAAGTATCATAGACTGTGCAGCTTAAACAACAGAAATTAATTATCTTACAGTTCCAGAGCCTAGAAGTCCAAGATCAAGGTATCTCCAGGATTGGCTGCTTCTGAGGACTGTGAGGGGAGGGTCTATTCCAAGTCTCTCTCCTTGGCTTGTAGATGGCCCTCTTATAATTTCTCTTTACATTGTCTTTCTTCTGTGCATGTCCTGTATCAAAAGTCTCCCTTTTAATAAGGATATCGGTCATATCAGATTAGGGCCTATCCTAATGACATCATTTTAATGTGATTATATCTGGAAAGAGCCCATTTCCAAGTAAGGTCATATTCTGAAGTACTAGAGGTTACAATGTGAACATATGAATTTTACAGAGACACAGCTGAACTCATACACACTACCCATACCATCGCACCTACCCCACTGAGTCCTGTCACATTCAGCAGGATGGATATTTGCTAGTAAGTCCTGAGAATTGCCATGTGGTCTTTTAGGTTCGTCCATCTTATTTGGCTCCATTTCTTCCCAGATCTTTAAAGTAATATTTGTTTCTAATATTAATATTCCCTTAGATTTGGTGGGTGGCATATATGTATGTGTGCTTGTGTGTGTGAGAAAGAGAGAGGAGGTGAGGGGGGATTTGCACAAAGCTTCTCCTCCCAGAGCTTCTGCTCAGTAGAGAAGTGGGGTATTTCCTGGTGGATTGTATGTGAGCCCATTTTCTATACAGACAGCTAGCCTTGAGCTTTTGTCTCAGGGCTTTCCTGAGGACAGTCTTGATACATGAATAGGAATGCTATGATTTCCCAGAGTGAAGCAGTAGCCTCACATCCACACCAACAGGAAAATGGCTTGGTATAAATCCAGTCTCATCTCAGTAATTACCCCACCAGGCATTTATGTTGGGCTGGGTCCCAACACCCTACCAGGATAGCCGTCATCTCCACTGTGGGCTCAAATGACCCACTTTGCAGCTGAGTTCATCCTGGAACCCCATGGAGGAAGGAAGAAGGGAGAGTGCTGAGGGTGGGTCTGCTGCTGTATGCTGTGAATCCATGAAGGCTGGGGCCACTGGGCTGGGTCGTTCTCAGGATGGAGACAGTGCCTAATGAAGTCCCCACAGGCCAGAGTATCACCAGGGAATGACTTCTAAGCCCATGCTCCCAGTTTATTTTTGACTTTCTTTTGGGGTTAACTGCCAAGGATAATCCATGATCTTGTTTACTCTGTGGCTGGCTAAATATTTAAGCTGACTAGAAATAAATACCTCAAGTCTACATCCCCTGAAGCAGTTCCTCCAACTTCATGTAGTGGGGCTTTATGAAGCACAAATGAGGGAAGCAGAAGCCAGCGGTTTTGAGGAGGAAGGATTCATGCAGGGAAGGCTAGGAGCCCGATTCAAGTCTTAGTGACTCAGTGGTTAAGAAGAAGACTTTAACTCCTGTCTCTTGGCTCCCAAGTGGAGAGCTGAGTCCAGCAGACTAATCCACTGCCTGACCTGACCCAGCTCTACAAAGCTGTTGGTTGAGAATTCCAAAGGCCATCATGAGCAACAAGTCAGTCCTTGATGTCAGCCTCTCAGATCTGCCAGCCATGAAAACACTAGATCTTCCCCAGTTTCCAGAGTCAGAGAGAGAGTTATCACCTTATTATAATGCAATCTAACTGGAGAATGCTGGTACATGACAACATGAGTTTTACCTATCATCAGAAAACAAGCAAATGAAACAAACATAAGATGGCAAAATTGAGGGAAAGATGTGGTCATCAAAAAAACCCACAGTTCTCTATCCTCTGAAGATCCTTGGGAGTGTGGTAGGAAATAGACCACATTGCCTACCACTTCCAAAGAATTAGCATTTATAATAGTTGACATTTAGCAGGCATATATTATGTGCCTCAGGCATTGTGCTAAACGTACATTTTCTCATTTAACACTTTCCATTGAATCCTTACAAAACTCTTCAAGTTAGAAACAATTTCTAAGAGTGGTGAGGGTCAAATGAACTAATGCATGTAAAAGTGCTTAGAAATTATAAAGTGTTGGCTGGGTGCAGTGGCTCAAGCCTGTAATCTCAGCACTTTGGGAGGCCGAGGCGTGTGCATCACCTGAGGTCAGGAGTTTGAGACCAGCCTGGTCAACATGGTGAAACCCCATCTCTACTAAAAAATTTAAAAATTAGCTGGGCATGGTGGTGGGCGCCTGTAGTCCCAGCTACTCAGGAGGCTGAGGCAGGAGAATCACTTGAACCCAGGAGGTGGAGGTTGCAGTGAGCTGAGGTCACGCCACTGCACTCCAGCCTGGGCAACAGAGCAAGACTCTGTCTCAAAAACAAACAAACAAACAAAAAACAAAAAAAAAAGAAAGAAATTATAAAGTATTAAAAAGATGGGAGGATTCAACGCATGTTATTTTATTAAATGACTCCTAAAAATTCCTTTGAGCCTAAGACTTACGTAATGAAATAATAGATGTCTAAAAGATATGTGATCCAGCCCTATCACATACCACAAAACATCACCTAGAGAAGTGACATCAGCCTTTTCAGAGAGGGAGAGAAATGTTGTACAACCTGCTTAGGGAACCACAATAATGTACAACCTTCCTTCAATAACCATAAGGATGCTCCGGTCAAATAAGTTGGCCACTAACAAAGACCTACGTGTTGTCAGTTACTAGCTGTGGAGGTTCTTCGTTGCTTTTTGCATCTTGGTTAGTGGCTCTGATCAGGGATGTAGAATTTCCAATTTGACCTCTCCTGGCCTCAGTTTTCACACCAGTAGAATGGGGATATTTCACATGTTTGTACTAGTGCATTAAATGAGTTGATCTATTTAAAACATCTGTCAAAGTGCTGACATACAGGAGCTCATAAAAACAATGATTAAACACCCACTGTTTCAGCCCGGTTTGGAAACTAAAGACACAGAGCTGGTGGGGCTTACTCAGGGCACTGACACGTTCTGTAAAATGGGTGGTATTTGAAAGGAAATGAGTCTCCTGGCATAGGAGTTGGTGGAATGTATGTGTCCTTCAGGCAAGATCCTTGTTTGTTCTTGTTCATACAAAGCCACCCACCTTGCCATTGCATCACTAACTCCTCGTTGGCAATTAGTTGTTCTGGAGTGTGGAGGCATATGAAGGAGTTTGTTTGGGACACTGTAGAGATCTGTTTTGTATTTCATTAAGACAGCTAGAGGGGCCAGCCCAAAAGCTGAAGAGCATTAGAACAGCCATCAGGGTCTATACCCCAAGTAAACAGCTTGGGAGATGTATAGCTGCACTGTCAAAAGAGGAACTTCTGAATCAGACAGATCTCTGTGTTTATAGGCAAATTTCTTAACTTCTCTGAGCTTCAGCTTTAAGGATTAGATATAATAATTTATATAAAACACTTGGCCAGTGCATAATAGATATTCCATATTATGTTCATTTCATTGTTTTTCCAATTATTATTTCAATTATATTCCATATTATTATTTTCAAACCACTTTTATATACATTATTTTAAATTATCTCATTTGGTAGTGAGATAAGACAGAAGAGCAGAAGAGAAACTAGAACCAAAGATTCTCAGAAAATTAATTAAATGAGCTGATGCATTCCTGGCCCTAATATTTCCCACTCTGTGTTCTAGTTCTGATTCTGACACCACCCCAATCAATCAGCAGCTGGTTTGCTCTTTGTTCTCTGATGAATTCCATGGACTAAATCATCTTCAGGTGGTGTGACTGAAGAATGACTGTACAATCACATGTGTTTCAGAAGTGGGACATTAACTCTATCCATATTTGGAAGTTGGGGGTGTGAGGGCAGAGGGGTGGAGGGGTGCAGGCTGAATCGCATGGCTGCTATTGAGTCATAGGTTCTTTCCAAAGATTGGCTGTTGAGTTCTGAAAAGCGGATCATCTCTGGCCCTAAATCTTCAGGGTTGCAGAGGCACAGCCCCAGATGAAGGAATTCTTGGCTCTTTCCCATGGGCTCACTGCCCTGCACGAGGTCTGTGGGAGTGCTGGCAGAAGCAAGATGAAGGGAATAAAGAGAGAGGTGGAGCTTGCCATATCTGGTAAGTGCTGGTGCCTGAATTCTCCTTGTCGGCTACAGCTCATTATATCTAAGACCTCAGATTGGATACTCATCAGCTAATTATAGCCTGAGACCTCTGGAAGTGTCCCTAGACATCAGTTGTCCCCATTTAAACTGAGTGGGGGGGGGGGGTGAGGTAGTAGCAATCCTGATCCCTAAGACCACGAGACTCTGACGGTTTCTGGGTCCAACCCAAAAACCTATCTTAGCAATTTAACTGCGGATCATAGAGAGTGGGCAGGTTACATCATGAAGAGAAGTAATATCAGGAGAAGCCCCTGGGATGGCCTTGCCTGCTCATTTGATCAAGCCTTCCCATTACTCATGTTTTCAGAAAGTGCTGCTTGTCTTCTTTTCCATGTGCCCTGTGTGAAAACTTAAAAAGTTTGGAGATGGCAGATCACGAAGAGCCAGGGTAGGAAAGTCAATGTGGTTGTCTTCTGAACACCCAGCGTCTTCCATTCCAGAGCAGGTGGCAGCAGAGAGTTGACACTGCCTCCCTCTCACACTGTACACACACACACTCAATGCATTGTTATTCTTCATTTTGTGTGCTCAACATGTTTATTCTACTGTGTGTCTGTTGTTTGACTGTTTAGGACAGAGTATTGTACCTCAAGTGACATTCTTCTAGCAAAGGACCCTGTCCTTCAGCATTATTTTTCATAACCTGGAGCTGTTCCACTGGTAAACAGCCTGACTTGTCTATTTGGTACTGGTTATCACTCAAAAATATTATTTTTTTGTGGGGGGACACAAGGTGACAAAGTCTGATTTCAGAGTATCTGAAAAGCCTTTATACTTTACTACGAAATGATCTGTGATTTTCTCCCAGAAGTCTCAACCTTTAGAATTTTTTTTCTCTAGCTGAAACCTTTGTTCCCTGGCAAAATGCTAGAGAAGTGCTGTACGAAAGGGTGCACATTAATGTTTATATCTCAGCTACACTGTAATGATGATGAGTATCGGCTTTTATAGAAAATTAATTTTGGGGTGGGGGTGGCAAAAAAAGAGATAACTAATTTTGCAAGGGAATGGATGAAGACCACTTGGCTGGGGTGGCAGAAAGGGGAATAAAAGGGGAGATGAGAGGGAAAGGAAATGGGGCACCCTTTAAGAGGACAGGAATGTAAAAAATAACTATGCAATGTTGCTAAGGAAAAGTTTCATTTTTTCATAATGTTGAGGAAAAGCTGTGCTTATGGTGAGGCTCTGGGAAAACTGACATGCAGTGTGTTCTCTTTAGCTAATCTATTCTTAAAAGGTAAAACCAAAACACCTAGATATTGTAAGATGAGCACATGTCAAAGATTTTATATTGCTCAATAATTAATAAGGGAACCATCAAGATGTTAGAATTGGCTTGCAGGGCAATTCAAAGAATCACACATATACAGTGTTTGCATATGCTAAAGTTAGATCCTGCTTATATGATAATATGATTTGACTGTGTCCCCACCAAAATCTCATCTTAAATTCCCATTTGTTGTGGGAGGGACCCAGTGGGAGGTAATTGAATCGTGGGGACAGGTCTTACCTGTGCTGTTCTTGTGATAGTGAATAAATCTCATGAGATCTGATGGTTCTATAAGGGGCAGTTTCCCTGCACAAGTTCTCTCTCTTGCTGCCACCATGTGAGACATGCCTTTCACTTTCTGCCATGATTGTGAGGCCTCCCCAGCCACATGGAATTGTAAGTCCAATAAACCTCTTTCTTTTGTAAATTGCCCAGTCTCAGGTTTGTCTTTATCAGCAGTGTGAAAATGAACTAATACAGTAAATTGGTACCAGTAGAGTGAGGTGTTGCTGAAAAGATACCCAAAAATGTGGAAGTGGCTTTGGAACTGGGTAACAGGCGGAAGTTGGAACAGTTTGGAGGTCTCAGGAGAAAACAGGAAAATGTGGGAAAGTGTGAAACTTTCTAGAGACTTGTCGAATGGTTTTGACCAAAAGCCTGATAGCGATATGGACAATAAGGCCCAGCCTGAGGTGGTCTCAGATGGAGATGAGGAACTCGTTGGGAACTGGAGCAAAGGTGACTCTTGTTATGTTTTAGAAAAGAGACTGGTGGCATTTTGCCCCTGCCCTAGAGATTTGTGGAACTTTGAACTTGAGAGAGATGATTTAGGGTATCTTGTGGAAGAAATTGCTAAGCAACAAAGCATTCAAGATGTGACTTGGATGCTGTTAAAGGCATTCAGTTTCATAAGAGAAGCAGAGCATAAAAGTTTGGAAAATTTTCAGCCTGACTATGTGACAGAAAAGAAAAACCCATTTTCTGGAGAGAAACTCAAGCTGGCTGCGTAAATTTACATAAGTAACGAGGAGCTGAATGTTATTCCCAAAGACAATAGGGAAAATGTCTCCAGGGCCTGTCAGAGGTCTTCACTGCAGCCCCTCCCATTATAGGCCTGGAGGCCTAGGAGAAAGTGGTTTAGTGGGCTGGGTCCAAGGTCTCCCTGCTGTGTGCAGCCTAGGGACTTGGTGCCCTGAATCCCAGCAGCTCTAGCCATGGCTGAAAGGGCCAATGTACAGCTCGGGCCATGGCTTAAGAGGGTGCAAGCCCCAAGCCTTGGCAGCTTCCATGTGGTATTGAGCCTGAGAGTGCACAGAAGTCAAGAATTGGGGTTTGGAAACCTCCAGCTAGATTTCAGAGGATGTATAGAAATGCATGGATGCCCAGGCAGAAGTTTGCTGCAGGGGTGGGGCCCTCATGGAGAACCTCTGCTAGGACATTACGGAAGGGAAATGTGAGGTTGGAGCCCCCACACAGAGTCCCTACTGTGGTACTGCCTAGTGGAGCTGTGAGAAGACGGCCACCATCCTCTGGACCTCAGAATGGTAGATCTACTGACAGCTTGCACTGTGTGCCTGGAAAAGCCACAGACACTCAACACCAGCCTGTGAAAGCAGCCAGGAGCAGGGCTAAATCCTGCAAAGTCACAGACATAAAGCGCCCAAGACCATAGGAACCCACCTCTTGCATCAGCCTGACCTGGATGTGAGACATGGAGTCAAAGGAGGGATTTTGGACTTGCATGGGGCCTGTAGTCCCTTTGTTTTGGTCAAATTCTCCCATTTGGAATGGCTGTATTTACCCAATACCTGTGCCCCCATTGCATCTAGGAAGTCACTAACTTGCTTTTGATTTTACAGGTTCATAGGCAGAAGGGACTTGCTTTGTCTCAGGTGAGACGTTGGACTGTGGACTTTTGAGTTAATGCTGAAATGAGTTAAGACCTTGGGGGGACTGTTGGGAAGGCATGATTGGTTTTGAAATGTGAAGAAATAAGATTTGGGTGGGGCTGGGGAGGAATAATATGGTTTGACTGTGTCCCACCCAAATCTCATCTTGAATTCCCACGTGTTGTGGGAGGAACCCAGTGGGAGGTAATTGAATCATGGGCACAGGTCTTTCCTGTGCTATTCTTGTGATAGTGAATAAGTCTTATGAGATCTGGTGGTTCTATAAGGGGGAGCATCCCTGCACAAGTTCTCTCTCTTGCCACTGCCATGGGAGATGTGCCTTTCACCTTCTACCATGATTGTGAGGCCTCCCCAGCCATGTGGAACTGTAAGTCTGGCAAACCTCTTTCTTTTGTAAATTGCCCAGTCTTGGGTATATCTTTATCAGCAGTGTGAAAATGGACTAATACACATGAAGTATGTAAAATAGTCAAATTCCTAGAATAAAAGAATGGAATAGTGGTTACCAGGGGCTGGGACAGGGGAAGTGGGGAATTACTGGTCAGCTGGCATAAAGTTTCAGTTAAGCATGATGAGTAAGTTCAAGAGATCTGCTGTACAAAATGGTTGTCAATAATACTGTATTGCCCACTTAGAAATGTGTTAAGCAGTTAGATTCCCATGTTAAATTTTCTTAACACAATAAAATAAAATTAAAAATTAAAAGGACTTGCCACTGCTTCCGAGAAGTGTTCCTGGAAATCCCCAGCTTGGGGTCTTTTCAGGTCTCTCCAACCACTCTGGTATCTCTAGTAAGCTTTGCCTGTCTTCATCATTTCCTTTATTATATTTTAATTAAATATTCCATTTAAGTATCTGAGTTCATCACTAATATGTAAGCTAAAGACTATGTTTTATCTGCTACTTTATACCTGGTATTCAACACACAGTATGCATTCCATAATGTTTGCTGAATTGAGAGAGGCTTTTTGTATTGATTATGAGGATGGTGAAGATGATTATGGTGAACGTGCAATCTAATTTGTAGCTATGAATTTTGATCACAATAGAAAGGTAACAGCTTGTTTTGCCTTCAGGGCTTTAAAAATGTTACGTGAATATGAATATGAAAAAAACAACATAAAATATGTGTAATAATAGCAAATGTATACATGTATCTGTGTATATATATATATATATAAGACTGGAATGATACCTTTTAAACAAAGAATACCAAAGATCAGTAATAAGTGATAATATTGAACCTTCCTCCAAGCTTTCAATAAGAAAGCTTGGAGCATCCTTTCAATAAGAGCCTTCAGTTGCCGTGACTGTGGGGTTGGTATTATCTCCACCAATACAACATTGAGTTTTTTAAAGCAATAATAAAAACTTGATTCCATTGTAGTTAGTTGTAGGGACTTGCTACAAAGAGGATTTGCCAGTATTGGCCTGCAAGCCACCGTGCCGATTTCTGGAAAGAAGAATGATGACAGATTCAGGGATTAATAATGGCTGTAAGCCTTTCTTCCTCTGCATTCATGATCTAAGGAGGTCCACACCTCAGTTTCTTGTTTCCCCAAATAGGGATAATACTAGTTTTGACTTATATTTTCAAAAGATTTTGCTAGAAAACCAGAAAAATAACTGTGTAGTGAATGTAAATGACCACCAAGCCCAGCACCCCAGCACACAGAAGTTGCTTAATTAAGGCTCTGGCAGCCGGGTGTGGTGGCTCATGCCTGTAATCACAGCACTTTGGGAGGCTGAGGCAGGCGGATTGCCTGAGCTCAGGAGTTTGAAACCACCCTGGGCAACATGGTGAAACTTCTCTACTAAAATACAAAAAAAAATTAAAAATAAAAATAAAAATTAGCCAGGCATGGTGGCATGCACCTGTAATCCCAGCTACTTGGGAGGCTGAGGTGGGGGAATCACTGAACCTGGGAGGTGGAGGTTACAGTGAGCCAAGATCTTGCTACTGCACTACAGCTTGGGTGACAGAGTGACACTCCGTCTAAAAAGAAAAAAAAAAAAAGGCTCTGGCTAATGTGTTAGAAATCCAAGTCAAGAAGAGGGAACTCTTTGATGTCCCAGTCCAGACTGACTGGTAGAAGCCTTCTCAACTGGCAAATACCCTTGTCATTTCTCCTGGCAGGCTTCCCCATGTTATTTGTTTGCAGTGACATGACCCGCTGGTGCCCGGAGACAGGGCAGGGCAGAGAAAGCTTTGGAATCCACAGAGCTCATCGCCTTCCCTCACCCCAGCAAAGCTTTGTCCTCCAGCCCTGTCTCTGGGGCCCTGGGATCAGATTGCTTGCTTTCAGGTGCCAGAGAGACACTTTTCTGTTTGCTCTCCCACCCAGACTGCCCTCAGTTTGTCCTTCCCCCAGGTGGGGATGGCAAGTGACAGAGGCTGTTATGAAATGAATTGCTCTCCTTCCTCCCCTGCCTTTCTTTCCTCTGCCCCCTCAAACCACAAGAATATTTTGGCTTTTTTCCATCACTTAGGGTTTGTATTGTAGATTTGAGTCTGTTCTTGTTCATTGTAAATAGCCCAGAAGTTAGGTTGGGAGTGCAGTCTTTAAAGGTAGGCTACTCTTGGGGACACGAGGGAATGCATGGAGCTGCCTGCACTGGTGATGATGACTTCCTTTGATCCTAGCCCATGCAGCTTGTGGTGCCCTAGTGTTTCCATCCTGCTCCAGGTGGCCTTGTCACTGGCTTATTTTCCACTTGCCTCAGGTATAAAATATTATCTCTTTGAGTACCTTCCATGCCCCCAACAGCTGGCAGAGATTCCTGGTCTTGCTCTCTACCTCTCTGGCCTATGCCCCAATGACATGACCCACTGGTGCCTGCAAGATATTTTCCTGAGGATATTTTCTTTTAGAAGAGAACACCTATTGTTCTTAAAGATGGCAGAACTTCTATGTGACTGAGTAACTTCTGTGTTGCAAGTTAACAGAATTAATAGAAAGCCAGGTCAAACTGGCTTAAGAAAAAACAAAAACAAACAAACAAAAAAACTGGTAGCCACTTCTTCATATAACTGAGAAGCCCAAGAGTGTAGATTAATGCGAGGGTTCAGAAATGCAATACCCAAGATGGAGGCTGCCTGCTGCTCAAGTTGCCAGATTTAGCAAATAAAAACAGAGCATACCCAGTGAAATTCACATTTCATATAAATAATGAACAACTTTTTTGTAGTATAAACATGTCCCTGTACTGCTTTCTCTATTTTATTGGACAACTCTACCTGCTACCATATGTCAGCTCTCTCCTTCCTGTGTTGAGATTACTCTCTGGCAGGCTCTGGGCATGAGGTGACAGAATGGTATCCCTAGACATACATTTCAAGGCTTAGGAACCATTGAAGAAGAGCCTCTCTTTCCCAAGAGTTCCATCAAAAATCCTAAGGTTGTATCTCATTGATCCAGCTTGGGTCCTGTGGCCACCTTGGAAGCAAACACTCTGTCCAAGGAGATGAAATGCAAGGTAGGTCTGCACCATACATCTACCTCTACAAATAGGGCGTAGATTTAGCCCCATCCAAACCACTTGAATGAAGACTGGGGAGGAGTGTTTCCCAAAGGAAACCCAGAGTGATGTTACTGGGAGAAGACAGATGGATGCTAGTCAGACATTGACTCTATGGTTAAATGGTAAATATCCTCTTAGGGCCAGGCCCCCTGGAACAATTCACATCACGCATTGGCTGCTTAGCAGCTGATGTGGGTCACATCCCATGGTTTTGGTCCCAGAGGGTGATTTTGGACAATGGATGGCAATTTAGTTAGCACCTGAATTAACAGTAAAGATAGTAAAAACAAAACAAACAAACAAAATTATCTAGTACCTTTTCTGTGTGAACTGCGATACCCAGTATGAGTCCTACACAAAGATAGGAAAGAAGACATGGCTGATGTCCAGAACTAACATTCTAGTGAGAGGCATCACATTGTGCCTTGTTATAGAGTCTCATGATACTTTCCTTATTTTTACCTCTAAGTAATTATGAATCTACAAAGGAAGAATAAATTAATCCCAGGTAAGGCTTATGAAGGAGACGCATTTGGGCTGGACCTTACAGAAAGAGTTTAGATAGGCAGCTATAGAGGGAAGAAAGAGAAAAATTCCAAACAGAGGAACTAGAATAAGCAAACCTGTTGACTTCAGGCTGCTGCCACCCACACTGGGCAGCATTGCCTTTCAGAGAGATGCATCTTGATATGGACACTTGACTTTACCGGGGGCCAGAGAAACACTAGAGAATGCCAGGAAAATAAATAATCTGATACTCTGAACGCTCCTTCAAATGCTTGTTCAGAGTGAATTTGTAGAGAAAGCTGAGTGATATAGGAGAAAAAGAAAAGGAGAAAGACCCTTGGGTGGGACACTCAGTCCGTTTTCTATTGTCCTTGGTAATTCCTGGCCCCAAATTTGCCTACTGCATTCAAGAATCAAAAGACCTTGAGTCAAATGGACTCATCTTCCTTGGTTATCAAATATCCGGGGTTAGTTAAGCTTAACCTTTGGGGGAAGGAGGGTCTCACCTCCTTGTCCCTAAGTGACTTCATTTTCCCTCTAAGCATTTATAGTACTCTTCCTAAGAGTCATTCTGGTAGGTTCTATTTTTTCCATCTCACATTGCCAGAATATTTTCTTTCACTGGTGCATTTAGCAGGATGGCTGGCCTTTTCCTCCAACTCGGACACCACTCCAAAGGGTTCAAGCTGGAAAAATGCTTTGCCCCTCTTCTCCGTGGCTCCCTGAGTGTTTTTCAGAGGAGATATGAGCATATGTCATTAGAACACATAGTCAAATACCACATAGAGTGTGAGGCTTTCTCCAGAATGGTGCTTTTTTGGGGTCTTTTTTTTCTTAAGCACAAACTCCCCTGTATTGCAGTAAGGATCCCGTAATGAAATGAACTGGAATATGTGGTTCTAGAAAAAAAAAAGATGGGAATGGAGAAAAAAACTATCTAGAAAAAAAAAATAGCAAGCTTGACCCATTGAAGGGAAAAGTTATACTCTTGAGTCAAGAATTAGGAATTGAATTAAACTAAAGAAAAAAACAATAGAGTAATAGATCTAAATGGTATTATATTATATTCCTGTTTCCAGGAGAAATCTCACCTACACTCCTTTTGGAAAACTGGGTTATATTGTCTTCTGTAGAGAAAATGGGCAAAACTTCACTTTATTTTATGGTTCAGTCATCAAGTCAGTTTTTGTGAATAAACTCAAGGTTCCTCCTCCCTTGCCACCAGCCCCATCCTCCCAAGGTGCCTGTGTGATTGTGCCTGCCCTTCCACTTCACACAGCATCATTCCTCTTGTCCTAGGCTCTTCTCCTCCAGGGTGAGTTTGTCCTTTCCATTTCTCAGATACTACGAGCCAGAGACAATAGCTCAGCCTAAAATTTGCCTTTTATTTGTTCTTATTCTCCCCATCTCTACAGAAAGGTGTTATTTTCCTAATTTTTTTAAATCCTCATGGAGAAACCCTAAATGTGTATTGTTAAACATGTCTGAAAAGCTACATCCTGACTTATTCCAATATATGACATTCTGGAAAAAGATCAATGGTTGCCAGAGGCTGGTGGGAGGGAGGGATGAATAGTTAGAGCACAGAGGATTTTTAGGGCAGTGAAACTATTCTGCATGCTATTGTAATGGTAGATACATCACATCATACCTTTATCAAAACCCATAGAACTGCACAATAAAGTGAAGTCTAATGTAATCTATGGACATTAGCTAATAATAATGTATCAATATTAGTACATCAGTTGTAACAAATGTATCGATCTCACTAATGCAAAGATGTTAAAAATAGGGTAAACTGTATGTGTGTGGAAGGGAGGGAGTATATGGGAACTCTCTGTACTTTCTGCTCAACTTCTATGTAAACTTATAACTACTCAAAAAATAAAGTTTATTAACTTAAAAAAGTTCTTTTACCCCAAGTATTTTTTTTTTATTTACTGTTTCCTCTATCTCTGATTCTCCCTTAAGGAAAGTTTGAGTTGAAAGTGACTTAAATTTGCCAAGGACCAAATTTAGAACTACAAATACCAAATTTAGAACTCCAAATATGTCCTCAGCTTTTCAATATATTTTGTTAAAACAAAACACAAATTTATTGTTTTTGTGCTAATCTGAAATAATTGGCACATGTTCATTCAAACACGAAGTTGAGTCTTGGGCAAACTTCAAGTTAACAAGATGTTCTTGTTCCCTTAAATTCTCTTCTCTCATATCATAAGGTCTTGGTCATTCTCTTCCCTGTGCCTTCTCGCTGACCTGAACTGACTCCATAAGAAATTTATCCAATTTGCTGGTGAGCAGGGATCTTGCACATAACTCTAAAAGGGTCTCCTTCTCTTGGCCTTGTTGGGAAGAACTTCACCCCATCCCTCACTGACCCCTCTTGACCATCCTTAGATGCCCCAACTTGGGAATCCACTAAGCGTAACCCAAGAGTGTGACTCATTATCTTAAAAACCTTGGCCATACGTATCTGGGGTGATCCATGAAGACTCTCCAGATATTTATTTAATGAGAGAAGCAAACCCAAACATAGAGCTATGTGGTTAAAAAAGAATTTTAAACAAAGTCCTTGAGCAGTGTTTGACCCCTGTCTTCTATAAACAGCCTCCCTCCCAACCCCCGTCATCCTGCTGGTTATTCCAGGGGGTCAGGGTTATCTGTCTTGAGACACTGAAATCACATAATACTGCACTTCCTCAAGGCACAGAAACAGTCGTGGACCTCAGGGAGTGGAGGGTCACAGGGAAATCTCATGGCAGGACTGTTGCAGGAGTCAGAATATTTTCCCACTTTCAGCCCCAAAGGTAGGCTTCGGGGCAGAGAAGTAGCAAAGGAAGACGGCTGAGCCATATGCTGTATTTGGCAATTTCCACAAGCCAGCCCACTTAACTCTTGGAGATGGGTATTAGGGTCCTTCAGTTCATAGATGGGGAGAATGATGGGCAAGGAGAGAAAGCAGCAAGTCCAATGTGAAGTGGCAAGTGCTCACTCCTCCAGAGCTGGCACTATCCAACGGTAATATAATGCAAGACACAACTGTGAGCCACATATGTAATTAAAAAATTTTTAAGAGCCACATTTAAAAATGGGAAATAATCAAGTGGAATTCATTTTAGTAATATATTTTATTTAGCCCAACATCCAAAATATTATCATTTCAACACATAATTAATATAAAACATGTTGAGATATTCTTCCCTTATTTTCATTGTTATGGCACAAAAACTTTAAAATCTGGTGAGCGTTTTATGCCCACAGTCTATCTCAATTTGGATGACTAACGTTTCCAGTTTTATGTGGTTCACGGCCTCATATCAGACAGTGCATTCTAGATTTGCTTTTATCTTTGGTTCCAGCTGCACCTCTCAAGGTCTGTTTTGCTCTAGTCCTTCACTGAATTGTACTTTAACGTGATGCCCTTGACTTTCAGTGAAGAACAAACCACATGAAATGTCACTGCCTCTGCAGCGGAGGAGTTAGTTACTGTTACCAGATCATTCTCTGCTCCCTGCAGCCTCATGATATTTAAACAAAATATTTTATTGTTGTCCTTTCAAAATGGTATGCATCCTTCTTCATCATAATGAGTATTTTGTAGCTGATTTTGTGCTTTGTTTTGCTTTGGCTACCAGGAGGCTCAGGGCCAAATTGGACTCAATTATAACCATGGATAGATTCATGATTGAATAGGAGACTATAATGACATGTTTTGTAAAATGTTCTGGACTTCATAAATATGCATCCTGTGTTCACAGTAAAGTTTTCTCTCTGGTTATGGACTTATATCTATTTCCCTTCCCAGGAAAAAGGTACTATATACAATTTAATATGTGAACAGTCCTGGAAGGTTTGTTGGTAAGTTATGAGACATAGCATGAATACTTTTTAAATTTTAATTTACTTTTGAGCCTTTCAGTAGAACTTTCTTGCTTGAAAATTCTTAAACTGTGCTTCCAAAACGTAGTAAGCCACAGAGTACTATTATCTCTTTCCTTGTGTGATATAAAGAAATAAAGAAAAGGGAGAATAATATTTTTCCAGATGATAGCAAGAAGGGCTTTCCTTTCTCTGTAGGAATGATAGATAGATAGATAGATAGATAGATAGATAGATAGATAGATAGATAGAGATATTTTAATGCTTCCCCCCAACTTGTGTTATATTTACACAGATGGTGCCCTTCAGTGTATTCTATGGGGGCTCTACCAGAGAGATTGCCACAGCTGGAGCTGTTGTGTTCCTGATCCCCAAAAGGCATTTCCATATAACTCTAGAAGATGAGAAGGATCTGACAGGGAACTTTCAAGTCTTTGGGATAATCCACTGTAATTCCTTCCTTTTACAGATGAGAAAATTATAGCCACATCTACCCACAGGAATGATAGCATTTGCAATGGCATCACTTGCATTGCGAGAAGGAAATGCATTAATAGATCTTCAATTGGAATGGAAGGCTATTTATCCATCTCAGAGACATGGGATTTCTTGGGATGCATTCTTTCATCCAGACTCCAAACTGCATTTACTTGAGCTCGTTTGATTTCTAATTTCTTGTTGGTGACACCCTTGCAACTCAAGCCTTACAGAACGTTTAATTCTGTCTAAAATGTATTATATTGTTGGTTTACCTTATCTTTGATGATTTGAACCACCATCTGAAAATGAACTGCTATTTTATATATGTTAAGAGAAAGGGGAGTAGGGAGAGGGAGAAAAAGCGGAAGGCACAGGGAGAGGTGTTAAACATTAATATAAGTGACAAAAGAATAGCATGCCTATTCTAATTACTCAGACATGTACTAAGCACCAGTCAAGGCCATGCAGGTGGATACATAGATAAATAAGACAAGCATGTGTTCCTTGCTTTTGTGTCACAAAATTAAAAAGTATAAAACGAAACCTTTTTGACTTCACTTTTTCCACTTCACCACCAAATCTTTTTCTTGCTTATGCCTCTCCCATCTTAGTAAAATAAACCATTCTCTGGCAAGCTACATCAGCTACAAACCAGGGAGGCATCCTTGATTCCAACCTCTCCCTTGCCACCATTCCAGAATCATCCAGTTTCATTCCTGATATGGTTTGGATGTATGTCCCCAACAAATTTCATGTTGACATGTGATCTCCAGCACTGGAGGTGGGGTCTGGTGGGAGGTGTTGGATCATGGGGGTGAATCCCTCATGAATGGCTTGTTGTCATCCCCTCAGTGATGAGTGAGTACTTGCTCTGTTAGTTCACGTGAGAGCTGGTTGTTTGGAAGGAACCTGGCAACACCTCCTCCCTCCTGGCTCCGTCTCTCACCATGTGATGCGCCGGCTTCCTCCTCACCTTTGGCCATGATTGGAAGCTCCCTGAGGCCTCATCAGAAGCCAAGCAGATTCAGGTGCCAAGCTTGTACAGTCTGCAGAACTGTGAGACAAAATAAACCTTTTGTCTTTATAAATTACTCAGCCTCACATATTCCTTTATAGTGACACAAAACAGACTGACACAATTCCTCAGTTTCTATCTTCAAAACACAGCTCATCTGTCTCCATTTCTCTCCATCTGTACTACCACCATGATGGGTTGATGCCAGTAACTCCAACACTTTCAATGACCTAGTGTCACGTTCCCTCCTTATCATCCATTCTTCACAAAGCAGTGAGCATGATCAGATTATGTTACCTCCTGTTCAAAGTCCTGCAATGCAGTTTGAATGAGACGCACATCCCTTAAGATGGCCTATGAGACTCACCCCCTTCTCACTTCTGCAGCCTCGTGTCAGTCTACTCTCATCTTTACCAGTGAAACTCCAGCAGCACTGGCATCTTTCATCCCCTCTGTTTCATTGTCTGTAATTAACTTTACTGTGCTTTCGTTTAAACGGTGTGATGTTATCTGAGTGTGCAGGTTAGTTTCCGTGTACAATCTAGGGGCAGCTGGGTTATACTTAAGTTGCCCTAATAAAGGATCCATGCTTCAGAAATGGCCTCAGCATGTACTTTAAATATCAATTTCTGAATATGCTTTAGAAGGTATATTAATTAGTATAAGTGATGTTACAAATAACTTTTCATTGATGAAATAAAAGATATATAGCTGAAAGGTTGTGTAACCCCTCCGCCTTTGCATAAATAAAGTACAAGAACCTGGCAAGCCCAGCAATCCAGGACTTTCTGAGTTGCCTCCTTAGCCTACGACTCCATTTGGCCTTGCGTGCCTTTGCTAAGCAGAGGACCCTGATAATAAATCTTGGTGTTGGAATATTTTTGCCTTTACCTCAAAGTTCACATTTCAGGCAAGGTACTTGCGGGGTGCGCCAAAGGACAGAGCAGGTGGTAGGACGGTCTTTCTGTAGGCTCACTGATAAATGTGTGGGCATCTAGTGGAATTTGGTCCGAAGCTTGCTTCCATGGCAATATGCCACCTGGCAGGTGGTTATGGAAGAATAGCCATATGCCTAACCTCCTCCTCTGGTTGTGTAAAGAATGGGATAGCTGTTCAGCCAGATTGGCCTTAAGTGAGGCCTTGTACTCCCAAAGAGACAGAGCTTTTTAACATCTTGGGAATGTTCTGTTACAATTCCCTCCACCTGGAATGTTCTCTCCCTTGATATTCATCTTCTGATTTAGCCAATGTCAATTTAAATTTCAGTTTCTCAGAGTGGCACTAGGTGACCACTTTTTCTTTTTTTTTTAAATTATACTTTAAGTTTTAGGGTACACGTGCCAACGTGCAGGTTTGTTACATATGCATACAAGTGCCATGTTGGTGTGCTGCACCCATTAACTCATCATTTACGTTAGGTATTTCTCCTCAGGCTATCCCTCCCTGCTCCCCTCACCCCCATGACAGGCCCCGGTGTGTGGTGTTTCCCAACCTGTGTCCAAGTGTTCTCATTGTTCAGTTCCCACCAATGAGTCAGAACATGCAGTGTTTGGTTTTCTGTCCTTGCGATAGTTTGCTCAGAATGATGGTTTCCAGCTTCATCCATGTACCTACAAAGGACATGAATTCATCCTTTTTTGTGGCTGTATAGTATTCCATGGTCTATATGTGCCACATTTTCTTAATCCAGTCTATCATTGATGGACATTTGGGTTGGTTCCAAGTCTTTGCTATTGTGAATAGTGCCACAATAAACATACATTTGCATGTGTCTTTATAGCAGCATGATTTATAATCCTTTGGGTATATACCCAGTATTGGGATGGCTGGGTCGAATGGTATTTCTAGTTCCAGATCCTTGAGGAATTGCCACACTGTCTTCCACAATGGTTGAACTAGTTTACAGTCCCACCAACAGTGTAAAAGTGTTCCTATTTCTCCACATGCTCTCCAGCACCTGTTGTTTCCTGACTTTTTAATGATCGCCATTCTAACTGGTGTGAGATGGTATCTCATTGTGGTTTTGGTTTGCATTTCTCTGACGGCCAGTGATGATGAGCATTTTTTCATATGTCTGTTGGCTGCATAAATGTCTTCTTTTGATAAGTGTCTGTTCATATCCTTTGCCCATTTTTTGATGGGGTTGTTTGATTTTGTCTTGTAAATTTGTTTAAGTTTTTTGTAGATTCTGGATATTAGCCATTTGTCTGATGGGTAGATTGCAAAAATTTTCTCCCATTGTGTAGGTTGCCTGTTCACTCTGATGGTAGTTTCTTTTGCTGTGCAGAAGCTCTTTAGTTTAATTAGATCCCATTTCTCAATTTTGGCTTTTGTTGCCGTTGCTTTTGGTGTTTTAGACGTGAAGTCCTTGCCCATGCCTATGTCCTGAATGGTATTGCCTAGGTCTTCTTCTAGGGTTTTTACGGTTTTAGGTGTAACATTTAAGTCTTTAATCCATCTTGAATTAATTTTTATATAAGTGTAAGGAAGGGATCCAGTTTCAGCTTTGTACATATGGCTAGCCAGTTTTCCCAGCACCATTTGTTAAATAGGGAATCCTTTCCCCATTTCTTGTTTTTGTCAGGTTTGTCAAGGATCAGATAGTTGTAGATGTGTGGTATTGTTTCTGAGGGCTCTGTTCTGTTCCATTGGTCTAGATCTCTGTTTTGGTACCAGTACCATGCTGTTTTGGTTACTGTAGCCTTGTAGTATAGTTTGAAGTCAGGTAGCGTGATGCCTCCAGCTTTGTTCTTTTGGCTTAGGATCGACTTGGCAATGCAGGCTCTTTTTTGGTTCCATATGAACTTTAAAGTAGTTTTTTTCCAATTCTGTGAAGAAAGTCATTGGTAGCTTGATGGGGATGGCATTGAATCTATAAATTACCTTGGGCAGTATGGCCATTTTCACAATATTGATCCTTCCTATCCATGAGCATGGAATGTTCTTGCATTTGTTTGTGTCCTCTTTTATTTCGTTGAGCAGTTAGGTGACCACTTTTTCTAAGTAGGTTCCCCTGTGTGTCAGCTGCTCACCTGATTGCTCTCTGATCCATTTCTGTTCCTCTCCTGTTCTGCTCTGAATCACAGAGAACTAGCTCTGGCCAGATTTGGTCAAGGGGAGGCACTACTAGAAAACTGGAGAGTGGGAGGAGGGGAGGAGCCAGAGTACTTTACTCTTTCGTGCTCTGTCTTGGTTGCATCTCCAGTAGACAAGCCCTCGCTTCTAGTCCTCACTGCTGTGAAGCAGCACCTCTTCTTCGATTCTAGCTTCCAGATAGTCTAGGTGTCTGAGTTCTAGTTGTACCCTTTCTTCTGACTTCTCCTCCATCCTTGGGAGTGGTAGTGGGCTTCTTATGTTGCTCATCTCTGGTCTCATTACCCTCTAATCTTTCCATTGTGTGTTCAACCAACTCCTTGTATTAATCTCCTCTGTTTATAAGACCCGGATGGTTTCTGTTTTCTTTTATACTATATTATAGTAGGTTATGTTACCCTGCTTTGCTTTTTTCTCCATGGCTCCTTTTATAAATTATAATTATTTACTTGTTTATTTGTTTACTAACATCTTGTCTATTTCCTGCATCGGATGACAGTCTCCATGAGAAAATAGTCTAGCTATTTTTGGTCACCCATTATATCTGTCATGTCCCAGGTGCTCTATAATAACGTATTAAAAGAACAAATAAATCTAGTGCCTGAATCTTTTAATCCTGGATCCATGAACAACTCAGGGGTTCTATGGATGAACTTGGGGAGAGAAGTAAACCTTTTCAGGATGTAAATGTGTGCATGAATTTGTGTATGTATACTTATCTCCTCATTGGCAAGAGTCCATAGCTTTCAGTAGAGTCCCAGCCTATCAAAAGACCTTTGAAAGTTAAGAGACAGTGCATCTAGTGGAGAGATGCCCACATGCACAATTGTTACTAACATGTTATGATATTAACATTAATAAAAGTAACTGGGAGCACAGATGAAGAAATTAGTTGCTCATTTCAGTTGTTAAAGCCAAAAGCTTGGGAGTCATCCCTGACACCTCTTATTCTTCACATCTAACTCATCAGCAAGTATATCAGTTGGCTCTACCCTCAAAGAACTTCCAGAGTTCAATGTCTACTATCTTCATCTTGGTCCAAGTCACCATTATTTCTTTCCTTCTAAGTGTGGATGGATGAAGAAGACTCTGTTCTGGCTGCTTTAGCTCTTCCCCTTAATAGTTATGGTCTATTCTCAACATTGCAGCTCAAAGTCTGACATGAGCCTGATCACGCTACTCATTTGCTCAAAACTCACCAGAGGCTCCAATCTCACATAGAAGTAAAGTCAGAGTCCTCCCAAAACTCTCTGCTTTGCATCATTTCCCACCTGTCCCCTCTGGCCCTGCCAACCTGCCTTGCTGCTTGTTAGCCAAGCCACACCCTCCCGTCTCAGGGCCTTTGCTCTGGCTGTTCACTCTGCTGGAAGGCTCTTCTTTCACATAGCCTCTTATTTGTTCCTTCATCTTTTTCTGTGCTCTGCCCATATGACAAATATTGCACCTGCTCCCCCTCTCTCTTTCCTATGTACCCTGCAGTGTTTTTAGCCATACCATGAACCACATCCAATACACTGAAGATTTACTTATTTATTTGTTTATTGTCTGTCCCCTACTCCTAGAACATGAGCTCTAGCAGGGCCCGCACTTTGTTAGCTTCAAGCCTGGAACAGTGCCTGGCACATGGTAGGTTCTCAGTACATATTCACTGAGTGACTCTGATGGCGATACCTACCATTGAGAACATTGAACAATGAATGGAGTTTGGAGAAGCAAAGAAGGATGGCTGATAGTGAGGAGAAAAGCAAGTGACAAGCACTCATCAAGGCTGGACTGGGATGGAGTCTTTGCCTCCTGAATATGTTTCATTTTCAGAATTTTATGTTCACCCATCACCGATTTCCCCTTCCCAAAGGTCTGCCCTGCATAAGTCCATAGCTACATAGAGATTCTGCCACATCTACAGAATTGGCTCTACCATTATTTCTTTGTGCTTAGTCCATGGATGTAAGTGGCTGGGTTAAAGGAATTTAGACTAGGGAGCTGGGTTAGCCATTGCTGTTCCAGGGTGAGTTCTTGATATACATGATGAATAATGCAGCAGATGACTGGGTTGGGGGCAGAGTAGGAACTGATGGTGGGAGGCAGAGTAACCTTAAAAGGAAAACAAGATACCGGGCGCGGTGGCTCACGCCAGTAATCCCAGCACTTTGGGAGTCCGAGACAGGCAGATCATGAGGTCAGGAATTTGAGAGCAGCCTGACCAACATGGTGAAACCTCCTCTCTACTAAGAATACAAAAATTAGCTGGGCATGGTGGTGCGCACCTGTAATCCCAGCTACTCAGGAGGCTGAGGCAGGAGAATCGCTTGAACCCGGGAGGTGGAGGTTGCAGTGAGCTGAGATCACACCAATGCACTCCGGCTTGGGCGACAGAGCAAGACTCTGTCTCAAATAAAAATAAAAATTAAAAATAAAAGGAAAACAATGAAAATGTGTGTGTGTGTCTATGTGTGTCTGTGTGTGTGTTGAGTGACAGAGAGAGAGAGAGAGAGAGAGAGAGAGAGAGAGAGAGAGAGAGAGAGAGAGAGAGAGAGAGAGCCAAGCATAACAAATGCTTACCAAGAAGTTCCAGGTCATCCAATAATTCTTTTCAGCCTCTCCCATCTGTCATCCTGAAATGCTGGTAAGATTGACTTCAAGGAACACAGTCAACTTTTGTTTTTGGAGACTGTAGGGTAAATATTGAAGATCTGGAACTGTTTGGCTCAAGACTTCAATGCCTTGAATAAAGCTGCTGGACGGTTTGGAAGCCACCTGGCCGGAAATTTAACTTTTGCAGTTTGGGGTATTTTTTTTCCTTCCTATCCTTTAATTCCTCCCTCCCTCCCTCCATCCACCTTAACACCAAATTAGCAATTTGGATGCCATAAATGTAGTGTGGACATGGGTACCAGCCAAGGTCACGAGGCTCAGTATATAAGAAGTGAATGCCAGCTGTATTTCAGAAAGAATTTCCAAGGCTGGAGAGGCAGAGGGAGGAAAGATCTGGGTTTCCTGATTGTGGCTTTTCCTCCCTTTTCTACACGCACACACACACACACACACACGCACACACACACACTACCCTTTTCTACTTTTAATTTCCTGTTTCTATTCTGGCCCTCTCCTATCTGGATTCAGGCCTCCTCTCTTGGTCCCCCTGCCCATGGATGCACTAACTCAACACATATGAAAGTAAAATTAGAGAATGGTCTGTATGGACCCAAACTAATAAAAACAATGGATAGACTAGAGTGATCTCCAAAACTTAACAAAGGCTTTTGAAACCTAAATTCACATTCTGGGGCATGTGGGGGAGGGGAGACTAATAAATGTAATATACTGAGAGAACTGAATTCAAACAAATATATCATGATTTTATTTGCCAGAAATTAAATAAACATTACTCGAATTTATGAGTTTGCTAATTATTGCCTGTGTCTTCAGTATTAAAACTAAGATCAAGACCTTCCTCTGTATATAACAAGAAACTATATCCAGCTATTTATCTACATAACAATATCTGTATCTGTGTCTATATCTCTATCTATGTATATCTGTATCTATATCTAGCTATCTGCCTACCTGTGTAGATCTAGATATATTATAATGGCTCAGCATTTGCATTCTGTGGTCAATGCACAGCCTACATGCATGCACTTTGCTGTAGTTCACAGTCAGACTCAATTTCTGACTTCTAAACACTAAAATTTCTTTATGGTGCAGAACATTGTACCACAGTACTCCAAAACATCGCCCCCATAAAAAAATCTACCCAATACGAAAAACTAAAATAAAAGCAAAGAACAGGCTGCAGCTATGCATTTGAATTAGTTTGATGGAGCCCATCCTTGTATGTTATTGTGAACATTGTATTTGATTTGGGGTGATTTACAAAGGAGGTTCATATGCCTGGGCCCTTTGAAAACCCTAAACTCTATTTAAACAGTGGATTTATAAATGTGTATCCTTCACTCATCAAGCATTTTTGAGCTTCTGCTGTGTGCCAGGATGGTATCAAGACTCTGAGGATATAGAGTCAAAGGAGTATAGTCTTTGCCTCAAAGAATTCACAATGTCATCAGGACTTGGCCGATAACAGTTGGAGGTGATAGGTGTCAGGATAGCAGGTGGTAGACACAGAGTACAGGGGAACCTCTAGGAAGTGGACTTGACTTCCCAGATGCTGTCTGGTGAAGGTATTTTTCCTGGAGGGGGTGATGGTGCTTTGGCAGATTCACAGGCGTTAGCCAGGTAGAAGGAATGTGGTGCTCGGTCTGAATGTGTTCAGGGAGCTGTGTGTGCAAGGCACAATCACCCTAGAAGGGCTTGTGCCACTGTAATTCTGTGCCTGGAGCCTCCAGGGCAAGGCTGTGGGAAGAAGCCAGACTGATGAGATAGTGAGTGAGAAACAAGATCCCAAAGGGTTAAAAAATCTCCAGGTAATTTGCAAACCAAAGGTTACCATGTTCATGTTTGTGTTTTGTAAAGATGTTTCTTCTTTAGCTCCGGCCTATGATTATCTCCTTGAGAATGGATCTACTTTCTATCAGTTGACATACACAGTTCACAAAGAAAAGACTTACTAAATTAGATTATGTAGAATATGAAGCACCAATTAAAAGCAGAACACAGAACAAACAGAAGTGTTGAGTGCAATGTATGCCAATTTTTAAAAATATAGCCAGTGTTGTCACCACTAGATACCTATTGGTTCAGTAGGGTTGGTAAACTTTTAAGGACTGGCAGGTTTTTAAAACCTTTAGCAATGTAATGCTAAGAGATGCTGTCTTTGAGGACTTTCAGATGAATCCTGGAGTGGAAGGTTCCTTTGGCTCTGCCTCTTGGAGGAATTGTCAGGTAGGAAAAGAGGAAGAAACTTGTTCTGGAACAATTTCAAAAGGGGCCATGTGTCCAGACTGGGGACAGAGAACCTTATCTGATTCAGGCTGTACCCTTGACATGAGGCAAAGAGCAGGTCTCTGGAGTCAGACAGCCATCGGCGGGGAATCTCAGCTCTTTTGCTTGCTGGCTAAGAACATTTCTCTGTGCCTCTGTCTCAGATACTCACCACAGCCTACCACTTGGGGCTATTGTGAGAATTAAATATAAGTTAATGTGTATCCAACAATTAGACTCATGCCTGCACCTACTAGATTCTTCTTAAATATTGGCTATTATCATACTGTGTGATTTCCATTATAAACTTAATGAGGCACCTGGCACATAATTAGATGCAGTAAACATTCATTTCCTTTCTCATTCAATACTGAGAAAATAGACATGGAGTGACGGGTATGATGGAAAGAATGTAGTTCAGGAGTCAGGGGCTTGGTGTAGATGGTCTATTGATGATCCGCCCAGCTCTGAATCTTTGTCCCTCCAAGCAGAGCCAGGGATCTGCCTATGGTGTGTGACTCTGGTTATTACTGTGCTGAGCCCCCTGCCCTGCGCATGGAGATGCACAAGCAAACCCCACATCTTGGAAAACTGCATCCTCTTCGAGGCCAGGAAACTGCTCTGTGCCACCCTGTTTCCCAGGGGCCCCAAATAGTCTTCCTCCATTCAAATGCATTTGCATGTCCTCCAAGTCTGACTGAGGCTAGAGGGGATTTCTTGTAATCCGTGGCACATTTCTTTTGATTTGAAACTCTCTCTCTCTTCATCTTTACCAGGGTCCCAAGAGGTGAAAAGTCCACTTTAGTAGGTGCCAGGTTCAGGAATTCTCACAATCCTCTTAGGCTCTGAAGAGCCCTGAGATTTCTCTGTTAGTACAATGGCCTGATTGTGCCGCCCCGTCGCAGTCCATTGACAGGTCGTCAGGCCAGCTAAAAGCTCATCTTAAACAACTACCTCCAAGCTTAAATCCAAACACCACAGCTGCACTTCTGGAACCAGGTTTGTTTTCCCAGAATATCAGTTACAGCATTTTAAAAATGAGCAACCTCATTATCAACAGTGTTTCTGAGAAGCAAGCATTCTTGTAGAAAATGCCAGCTCTGCAGGGCTGGCAGGAGCTACACGGCACACACATTCTCTTGCCCGCCACCCCCAGCCTCAGGCATCACTCAGCCAAACCCACGAGTGCAGTTTAGCAAAAATGAACACCAGAACTTCATTCCTATAAAGGAGCGAGGTTCCTGGGTGCCGGAAGAAGGGAGTGAGATTTCCTTCCTCAGAGGTCCTGGAGAACAGGAGAGAAGCTTGTTCCCGTAAAGAGTCAGCCTCACTTTACCAGAGGGAATCTTGGATTTGAACCTGGGTTTTATTTCCCAGCTTTGGCATCTACTAGTCGTGTAATCTTCAACAAATACTGAAATTTTCCCAGCCTCAATTTTTTTTGTCTGCTAAATAGCGGTAATTATTTCAAAGATCAAATGAAATTATACACAGGAAAAAGACTTGCAAATTAGAAGGCCTTTAACATTTAAAAAGAAGTATCTTATTCCTCTTAATATGATCTGTTCTTCTTTTATACATACATGTGTATGTGTCTGAACTAATCAGGCTGCTGTAACAGGAGACCATTGACTGGTTGGCTTAAGCAACAGACATGTATTTCTCACAGTTCTGTAAGATGGAAGTCTGGGATCAAGGTACCAGGCTGTTCGGGTTCTGGTGAAGGCCCTCTTCCTGGCTATGTCCTGGCATAGCTGAGAGCAGACAGAAAAGAAGCAAGCTCTCTCCTGTCTCTTAGAAGGACACTAATCCCATCAGGAGCACTCCACTCTCATGACCTAATTACCTCTCAAAGGCCCTGTCTCCAAATACCATCACATTGGGGGTCAGGGTGATCATAGAGCAGCATGTAGCTTACCTCTCTTCAGTTAAACCGCAAACCCTTAAGAGTTTTGGAGGACAACAGTTAATTCAAAATAAGTTCAAAACACTGCTCTTGACACAATGCGAGGCACAGAGCAGACATGAAATAAAAGTATGGAGGAATTATTAAATATTATTCATTATCTATTTAAGAATGCAGGAAATTATGTAACATATTGTTTTTTTAAAAAATCCAAGTATACTTATATCTACACACAGATATAGACGTATCGTGTGTATGTGCGTATGTTTCTTTACCTGCAAAGTGTAAATATCTCTTTCCAGAAGACTCAGCTCTCAATGATTTGTTTGTGTTTGAGGCAGCTTGGTGGCTTATGGAGAGCATGGAATCTGCACTGAGAGATACTTCCATTCAAAAGACCTGCTTCTTACTCGTGCTGACTTGAGGCACATTACCTAACCTCTCTGAGCTTTGAATACATCCGTAAATTGAGTCAATGCCTCCCTCACCAGGTTGTGGTGAGGATGGAATGAGATAGCACATGCAAGGCATTTGTCATCATGCCTGGCCCTCATTACTCACTCAATACAAAGCTGTCATCCTACCAACATGACAAATGGGGGAAGAGGAGGGAAGAGAGTGACAGACATGTGGTTTGGATGGCTCATGCAACAGGCGTCCGGGGGTGACGGGTAATGCACTTTGAAGGTCCCTATAATAATATAACCCAGCTCCATGCAGAAGTAAGCCCAAAGGAACAGAGGGTCAAATTAGAGTTTTGAGGCTGAGTATATGTCTCCATTCTAATGAAAAACCTACGGTCAACCAAGGTTGATCTTTTAGAAGACACTTTAAGAGCCTGTCCAGCACTTTGGGAGGCCAAGGCGGGTGGATCACGAGGTCAGGAGATCGAGACCATCCTGTCTAACACGGTGAAACCCCATCTCTACTAAAAATACACAAAATTAGCTGGGTATGGTGGCCCACGCCTGTGGTCCCAGCTACTCAGGAGGCTGAGGCAGGAGAATTGCTTGAACCCAGGAGGCGGAGGTTGCGGTGAGCCGAGATTGCGCCACTGCACTCCAGCCTAGGTGACAGAGCAAGACTCCCTCTCAAAGAAAAAAAAAAAAAGAGTCTGTCCAAGGAGAGGTTCTGACTTACAGTCTCTGGGCAAGTCAGGAAGTGGGAAGTGGGAAATGGGAAACACATCATAAACATCTCTTTCTCCATTCTTTTCTTAGGTGATAACACCGTCTATGTGCTGATGACTGCCAATGTATGCCAAATTTATATATCCACCCTGAAAATGTCTCCAAAACTTTAGGCTTATAAATGCAGCTGCCTCATCTATATTTCTTGTATATCTATTATATATATACACACACACAGCTCAACTTAAAAGTGCAAAAGTCAGTTTTTGGTCTTTCTCCATCTCCTCCTTTATAACTTTCTCTTAATATTCCTTGGATTTCAAGACTGATTCCATGCATTATTGCACCACCTTTTTTTCCCCTAAGTAAGCAATAATAGCACAATGTACTAGGCTCCAGGGACTGTTCTAAGTAACGGGAAGATAGAATAAAATAAGAGACTATCACTGCCCTCAAAGGGCTCACTAAGTAGTAGGGGAATCAGCACATTGTCCTGAAAGTCTCAATGTTGTAATGCTGTAGAACAGAACAGGGAGATAGATGTTTCCATGGAATGATACTGAAGAGATGACATTTTTAGCTGCTTCTTGAAGGATGATAAGGAGGTTACTATTCGATGGGTATTGTACCATTACTGTCCCCACTCAGTTAACCTCCATGTATTTAAGAGAATTATACACACACATCCCATAGATCGGCTTTTGCTATATGACTTGCATTTGCCAATGGAAAGTGAGCAAAAGTTACGTGGGCTACATCTGAGCAGAAACTTTCAAAAACATCATCAGGTTACACAGCTCATTTCCTTCTTTTGCAAGGGCAGTGTGTTCCAGGGAGGGATTTCTCCTCCAGCCCAGATCTCAAAATGAAGAAGACTCAACAACCAGGACTTAGGACAAACGAATATGTAGCCCAGGGAACTTTAGCCTATTGTTCCACCATTAGTATGCATCCGCTGACTCCTTGTATTAGTTTCTCTTCCACCAAGAAGAGAGTGGAAGTGATGTATGTGTTTGTGCACAATCGGACATATGTGAATAAGGAGAACATTTTGCTTCCCAAAATCTTTCTTAAGCCTTGATAAACCATTCTATTTGGAGAGTAAGATCCCAACAAAAAATTCAGACCCTAAAAGATGGTCTCTAGACTCTTTCTATGACAATAGAAATGGGATTTTCTTCATTCCTTGGAGAGAGAAGGATGCAGAGATAAAAGGAGCTTTTCAACATCCAAGTCTTCAGTAGAGTGAACTAAAAATAAAATGCTAGGTATGAGAATTTTTTTTTCTAAGAAATTGTGAAGCAGTGACATTTCAAGTTTGGGTTGGTGTGGAGTGAAGCAAGTAGGACGCAGCCAGAGGTGAACCAGGGGAGAAGACTGTTAGGACGCAAGCCCCAAGACAATGACAGATGTTACACAGGAGCTTTGGACTTTGTGGGGAGTTTAAATCAACTTTACCTAAACATGATTAGCACAAGCCCAGATCCAGGCAACTTGGGCCAAGTACCTCAGAGGGCTTCTCTCTGGCTGTCCTCAGGATGTCCCTTTCCATGGGGTTAGGAATGTGCTCAGTCTGGTGGTGTGTGCATCTGGAACTCATGCCCTGCCAGGTTCATGGGCCATTGGCATCCCCTGTCCAGATGGTTCCAATCTGGCTTTCTAGGCCTGTGCAGGACTCTCACCTAGGTTCTTCCTCCGGATGGTGGACCACTCCACCGAGGAGCTTTGTTTGTGGGGATGTGGATAGAAATTGAGTGTCCGGACCCTCATATGTCCACATTCCTACTTGTGAGCTGGTCCTGGTGCTGATAGAGTCAGGTGGGAAGAGAAGGGGGCTTGATCAACAACCTCCATTGGCACTCATACCCCAGGCCCTGAAATCTTGGAGGAAGGCTTATCTCTGAAGGGCAGGGAGGCCCCAGCTGACATCTTATGTAGTACAATTTGAGGACAAGGCCCTGCCCATAATACAAGGGATGCTTTGGGCAAGCCTACCCTGAGAATTAACCATGAGCTTCTTCCTTAAATGGCACAGTAATGAGGTGGCAAGAAAAATCCAGTTACAATTTTAATGTCCAAAAGCTCATCCATCTGCATTACAATCCTGTAAGAAAAATATGCCATGTGTGGCACCTGTAAAGTGAAATAGGCAAGCCTTGGTTCTCCTACAGGGCAATGATTTCTTCACTTGGAATGCCAGCAATGTCTTCTCCTTGGAAAGTTTATAGAGCTTATATCCTGCCTGTTCACCTTTAATAAAGAAATGTTAAATATTGTAAAATAAACTTTCTTTAATGGGGCAGGAATTCATATCCTCCGAGTGTTTTGCTTCTTTAAACATCCCGAGGGCTATGAAATGCCCCGGTTGGACTGGCTGCCATGTCAGCGGTGTGCCTGACTCACTTGGTTTTGGGGCCTACAGCTGGGGAAAGGGGAAGGTTCCAGGCATCACTGCTGGATTATTTGTCTTTATTGTCCAGCTACATTCTTCCTGCTGTTTGACTGGGTAAACTCAAAGCTTGCTTTCTTCTGTGCTACTTTTCCTTGTCTGATTATACTTAAACTTCCCGTCATATACCTGACATTCATATGGTGTGTGTCCCCACTGTCCCTCATCCTTCCTGCCTAGGAGTTCTTTCATGGACAGCAGAGAGGAAGGAATGCTGGACTTGGGATTAGGTCAGCAGGCTGCACATCGAAGGCCCTTTGCTTACTGAGTAATGTTGGGCAAATCAATTTAAAAATCTCCCTTTAGAAAGAAGCCAGGCATTCATTTGTTCCTTCAAAAATACGCCTCCAGGCCTACTATGTGTCAGACAGCATGAGGAGCACAGGAAGACAAAGATGAAGCACCCAGATAAACAGAGTGAGTAATTACCTGTGACTTCAGCACTTAAAGAGATTAATACCTTGTCGCTCTCCCAGGCAAGTTGTGAGGGTCAAAGTGAACTTGTGCTCAGAGACATAAGGGAAATAAGAGTGTGCCAACAAAAGACAGTGCCTCCCAACCTTATTTCAGGGCTTCACTCGTAGTTGGTATGCAATAACTGTCTGGATCAAGTGTAGCTGCCATTTTAGTATTTACTGCTCTTGTTTATTTTTTGTAACTTCACTCACAACTTCCTTTAAAAATAAATGCAGGGGTGCACTAAGGTTGAAGTGATTTTCAATAGAGTTTGTTCTGATTATTTGAAAATGGGATCCCCCTGGGGTATTGCAAAACTGGGCTCTGGATCTTGGTCTTTGAATAAGTGGATGGTCTTTCACACTCAGAGAAGAGAAAAGCTGCGGGAGATCTCCAGTCTAACAACAGAGATCATTGTACACCGGTGGGGCTGCTGGGTCAAGAGTTAAATCAGAATAATCTGAATACAAATCATAACATAGAAAAAGGAAAATTTCCATCCTTGCAAACTCCTTGAGCCATTGATTGGAGTCACAGATACTGCTGTTCTCTCAGCAGAAATGTATTAAGACCATATGTAAAGATAAATATTCTGGTCTGAGCAAGATACAAAAACAAGAAGCAAAGAACCGGTCAGTGGGGTGCCTCATGGACTGCTGTGTTTCCACCCACACTAAAGAATACTCAGAACCGTAGGGGGGTTAGATTCTGCTCACCCTTTCATTTGCTCATTTATTCAACAAATATTTATTGAGTACCTGCTGTGTGCTGGGAATTCAGAAGGAAGCAAAATCTGGCTCAGTCCCTGCCTTCATGAGTTAGTGAAGGACACAGACATTAATAGAATAATCACACACTCATCCCACAGTTGTGGTGGTGATTGTGGTAGATAATGCAAAGAGGCTACAAATAAGACAACTGATTTCACAAGGAAAGACAAGATAGGCTTCTCCGAGGAGGTGAAGCTTGACCTCTGTGAAAAAAATCATCACATTACCTTCTCTGTCTCTTCTGCTTTACTCTTCCATCTTTTGGGGATTTTTGTGATTACATTGGGCCCATCTGGATAATCTAGGGTAATCCTCTTCATCTCAAGATCCTTAAACACAGCTACAAAGTCCTTTTGATGTGTAAGGTAACAGTCACAGGTTCGGGGATGAAGCCATCTCTGAGGACATTATTGTGCCTATAGCATCAGGGCATCTGCATTGAAACCTCAGCAGGAATTAAAGGGTAAGTAATATATAAAAAGATGTTGTTAGCTCCAAGCAACTGGAGATCCTATCTTAACTGCACTAGGCTCAGTCAAAGAAAGTGGACAGAAAGTCAGCTGCCTTTGCAGGAGTAGGGCTAAGTAAACGAGAGGCAGAGCCCAGAACTTAATGCCTGAATGAAATGTTTATGGTGTATAAAGCGAGTCTACTCTAAAGGCAAATAAAATGCTTGATAATTCAGAGGATTTGAGAATTGATTTGAAAATACATGGATTCTGGCACTATGCCTCGCTGTGAATATGGCAGGGCTGCCTATGACAATCCCAGGGTGTTATTTCTCTAAATGCATCACCCCAGTCCTTGGAAGGAGTCTGGTTTCTGCTCCTTTGGAAACTTCCAGTATGCACTGTTTATTAGCATCCCGATCCACCCCCTCAAATACACCTCTTCCCAGAAGAATCTAAATTGATTTAATGATATTTTATGTTTCCCTTGTAGAAATTTCCCAGTTCTAATTTTTCTAGTTTGCTTTTACAGTACTATTTTTTCTCCCTTCTCACCTTCCTCCAGCATCAAACGACATAACTACCATCCCTCTGGTGTGGGATACTTACTAGGAAAGCTCAACAGACCTATTGTAATACAACTCAAGGTACAGGAAAGAGCAGAGATTCAATATCACCCCTCCTGGGCCCTGTTAGGCTAAGTGGATAGTTGCTGTTGGCAGCACTTTGCAGAAATTGACCCAAAGCCTTGCCTGCAAGGCCCCCTTCCCTCCCACTCTACCACCCATAGAGGGTTCAAGTGCACTGAGTTTCACTCAGGAGAATACCTTCCTAAGGGGTCTCAGGTATATGAAGGTGGGATAGAGTAGAGCATTCCATGAATAGGTGGGGGTTTTCCAGAAGTCTTCTGAAGCTAGACAAGCAAAGACATCCCAAGACAGGAGCACAAGCAAGGGTTCAAATCACTGTAGTCGGGATCTTCCCAAATTTACTGCAGAAACCAGTCTAATTTTGTTTTTTCCTAAAAGCCACTTTCCTCTTCTCTCTTCCTTTGGAATTTCCATATATTAGCATTAATTCATTTATTCTTTGAGAGGAAGGAAAAATTGGGAAGTCTAAATGGAAGCTGAAATCTTCTGAGCATTTGCTTTCTAACTTGTAGAGGCTAAAATTAGACCTTGGAAAAGGTTAGTTTTCTTCTCTTTACCACCCCTTTTTAGAGTGTGAGGAGAAATTCCTCCCATTCTCCTGACCTGTAGGATATGGCTAATAACAGTCCTGTCTCATGAAAGATGATGTGAGGACTGAAATAATGTATGTAAAGCACTCAAAAGATGCCAAGTATCCAACAAGCTTTTAATAAATGTTCACTAAGAGGTGGGTGATGATGAAGATGGTGTTGATGGTGAAGATGATGATGGTGGTGATGATGGTGATGGTGATGATGATGATGATGACAATGGTGATGATGATGGTGGTGATGATGATGATGATGTTGGTGATGGTGATAATGATTCCTCAATTTTCCTAACTCTACTTTTTGGTTGGATTCTCAAGCTTTAAAAATGTAAGGGCATTTTTAAAAATCTAATTCATCTTTCAAGCTTTGCTCAATTGATAAATAAAATTATAGCAACTTACTTTGCCCCTTAATCAACTGTCTTACAGATAATATTTTTCTCAAGTTTAGCTTTGACTCTTTGCCTCTCATGTCTTGGTTGGTCTCTGTCAGTTACCATCTTTAAGTGACTGTCTGGCTGCTATGGAGATGCTGAGTGTAGATCATGGTGCTCTAGAGAAGTTTTAGAGAGTTAGAGAATTCTAAATCACTGAGTTCTTTAGATCCTTCCACATTGTCCCCAGATCACTCCTTTCAAAATGTCAACTCCTAAAAAAGTTGATCAGTTCTAGCTTAAATCATCAGGTCACACATTCCTCTTTTCCTCACAGGCTGAATAGTTCAGAGTAGATTTTGAGAATGATCTGCTGGAATCTTCTCCTGTCCCACAAATAACCAAGTTGACCAGAGGTAGACGGTGTCTCAGATTTTCCTGAAGGCCCCTTCATAATCTGTCTGCCCTTTCATGCCTTGCCCCCCAAAAACCTTTTTCAATCTCCCTCAGAAAGTCCAAGTGCTCATTTACAAGACTTCCTGTGGGAGGAAAGAAAAAGAACACTGAGAAGATGGTTCATTGCTCAATGCAGCCCCTGACAACAGATTCCCCCAGCTTCCCCTTTTTGCAGCCCATAAACTGTTCTGTAAAAATTAAAAAGCGTTGAATTTACAGGGCCTAAAAGGAGCCAGGAGGTAAAGAACCATCTCCAATCAATGGGTCAGGCATACTGATAAAGCAGGAATATGACGTCTTGCAAATTTCTGGCCAATAAAATACCTTCCTTGTCTTTCCAGATCCTTGACCTTCTCTTTCCCATGCAAAACTAAGTGGGGATAAGAATGAGAAGGGCAAGTAAAAAAAAAAAAAGCAATAAAACAAAGCAAAATATCCAGCATGCTCTGGGCTTATAGGGCCACAATTAGGTCATGAAGGCCTCTCTTCTGGAGCTTTTATTTCTCTGTAAATCCCTTGGCTATCTTTCTTGCCCCAGCATTTCCCTGTTTTCCATTTCAGGGAAGCTTGGGTTGATCAGTAACAAACATTGTTGCTAAAATTGTTCCAACTGCAATGGTCCTGTGGGAATTGAGGTGACTGGGTGTGTCCTGAGTGGTAGTGGAAGAGACATGGGGCAAGGCTGGGCTGTGTTGGCTTTGTGACTTTGGAAGGCAACCTTAACCTCTCTGAGCCTCAGCTTTCTCATCCCTGAAAGGAGGAGAGTAGAGCTGGAATGGAGCTTGAGATTTCTTGGTCTGATATTCTCTAATTCTTAAGCAAGTCTGGAATGCAGGGAAGAGATAGAGGGACTATCAGAGCAAGCATCACGGGACAATGGAAGGCGGAAGCTATCTAGACTCTGCAGCTTCGGCTCAACCTTCTGAGTCCCCAGCGTTATCTGCATCCTGTCCATTTACCTAAATTTGGCCAAGATTGCATTGACTTATGTTCGTATGGCTGATAATCCCTCCAACTCTTTGAGAAAGAGAAAGAGAGAGAGAGAGAGGGAGAGGCTGAAAATAACTAAACCTTGATTAAGTTAGAGGAATAACTATTATGAAGGTATCAAATACTAGGACAGACAGGATTATGATAATATTCCTTGGCTACTTGTTTGAGAATAAGTATCTTATCTGTAACTTAAGGATGTAGCCAGATACTCCCCTCAAAGAAATTTCCCATGTAGGCAATGAATTCAAATTGCCATCAATCCATTTGTGGTGACTTGTCTGTGTAGAGCTGGGGTGGAGTGAATACAGATGAGTTACTGTTGGGGTGATGAGTTACTGCAGGGTTATCTGCCAACCACTTGTATTTGGCAAGAGCAGATATGGAAGCCTCTGGACTTGGAGCACTGGAACCCAGAGAAAATTTCAGTTAAGCTGTTCGGTGGGCTCAAGTTGGAATTGAGAGATGCATGTTCAAGGTTCATCCAGCCCAAGATGTAGATGTAGAACAGGAATGGTTTCAAATGGTCTTTTCAGAAAAAGGAAATGTCAAGACAGCCCCCCAGGAATATACAGACTCCAGGCTGATGGGACAGTAAGAGGAGTATCTGAGCTAGATGCTAAGGCTGGTTTCCTCTGTTGAACTAGATAATCTCTGAGGTCCAGAAAATAGAAGTAGTTTATCTAAGGGCACACGACTGGTTAGTTGATGGGCTGGGATTCATACCTAAGTTCACTCATTCATCCATTCATTCATTAGCCAATGGCTACCAAATGTGGCCTGTTCTGGGCTGGATGTTGTGTGCTTCAGTCTACTGACACCCTGCCCAATTCTCTTCCTCACAAGTCATGACAATTTGATTTCTATTGAATGCACAGAATCAGCAAAGCCATACACTTCTTTCCTTGCCAAACCTTTCTTCTTTTTGTTAAGGTAATAAGGTGGGGAAAAAAAGCATAGAGGATAGACGTTTTTAATTTGAAATGAGAGTAGTGGTCATGAGTTTTTGAATAAGGCCTCTATAAGTATTCTATAACTATCCCCAAAATAGCCAGAGTTGCTTCAGCCAGGCCCACTCCATCAACAAAGGAGTCTGAGGTGCTTGCCAGGGAGTGGGAGCCTCTCAGAGCTGGAGGGATAGACTCAGAGAGGATGTGCAAATCTGAGTTCTGGAGAAGTATCTCAGAAAGAATCAACTTTTGCACTAATGCCTGGCAAGTGAAAGCTGTTCTATAAATAATATCTCTTTCCTCTTTGGTACAGCTTTTAGTTTAGTCGTTATATATTTTCTTTTTCTTACTCAGTTGCTCCCTTGGTTGTATATGATTTCTGCACCCAAAATGAACTTTTGAGGTTTTAATATATACATAGGGGTGTATCTGTGTCAGTGAGGGGAGATGTTGTAGCCTTGTTTTTAGAGTAGCTGGGGCTGGACGAGGTCAGCTGAATTTTTGAGAGTTCAGGTCAAGGCCCTCCAACTGGCAGGGAGCAGTCACACCCTCCAGGCTCCCCAGCCAAGTGCATGCTCCTCTGAAAGTCACTGAGCTGAAGATAAACATGGAGCCCATAATAGCTTTTTCACTTGATCTCCTTTATTACATGTTCCACACTTTAAATTCCTTTGCTACACTCCTGTATTCTTTTGGATCTTTCAGAACAAACATTGAAGTAGGCAAAAAAAAAAAAAAAAAGAAGCAAACTGCCCTCTTCCCTCCACCCTTCCCATCCTTTCTAAGTGAGTCACTTCGACTGGGACAATTAATCTTAATCAGGACGGTATGACAGCAGAAAAAAAGACATCCGCAGTGAAGCACTTTGGTGCCAAAGATTGGTGAGGCAACCAGTTCCTTCCTCTAGGCTGTGAAGGGGGCAATGTAGAAATGATTTGGTTGTTTTAAAAATAGCATGTCACAAAATCAGAGCTGCCTGTATCTTCAGGGTGGGCAGCAGGGATGGGGTGGTGTAATGCCTGTGCTAACCACTGAGTGTAAGCAGGCACTTTAAATATTGTTGGCTGGAAGGTCATACAGGCCACCAAGGCCCCAATGATCAACTCCACCTTCTCCAGGGGACATTGAGGACAAATAATTCCTCGTATTTGCCCTGGTGTTTTTCTCCATAAAACTCAGAGCTTCCATGCTAGTATCCTTAACCATTATCCTCATTTTCTGACAGGTGCAATTACTCATCTCCTGTCCTCTGCCCATCTCCTGTTTTGTTTTTCTCTGCATGGGTCATACTTTCCAATAAGCCATGGCTACACCTGGTACCCTAGAAAGGTTTTAGTCAACGAAGTGTACCTATTGCAGACAGACTCAGCAAGTCCTGGAATGACCAGGAGGAACCACTTCATCCCCTTATGAATGCAGTCTCATCTTTTCATTTGCAATTAGCTGATCGAGTCCTCATTAGCAGGAGGACTAGTGTTACTCTTTTGAGGTCCAAGAACTGCCGGGACACAGTCCAAAGTGCACAGTCCTGCTTCCAAATACAGGGCTGAGAGGGAACAAGAGCTTCTGAGCTGCCCAATTATGGGTGAGTATTGTTTCAGTTCCTTCTGCAGGTGCCTTTGTTAAAAACTGCCCTAAAGCAGACTGATGGATGCCTCTCCACTGCCATGGTCATGTCCTTGTTGGCCTGGATACAGGCATAGACCACAGTGGTTTCAAGGCTGCACATAGGTATCAAGGTTCCAACCCTAATGAAACAAGATGCAAAAAAGACTGAATCAGAGTTGGTGGGGTAGTGATAAAAGGAACTCGCAGTCATTCGGGGTGAGTTCTGCCCGCCCCTGGGAGAATGGTCTCCTTTCCTTCCAGCAGACTTCGGTTGGGACCATCCCAGTCCTCCTACAGTTCTAATAAGGTCTCTCTTGAGACGGTTCTTTAGCCCCATTGTGAATTTGCCTTTCTCCTTTGCAAATATTGTGAAAAGTAACAGGCCATCAGTTTCTTTACCTCTAAGGGAATTCTCTCCTCTTATTTTCCCTATGTTCTGCTCCCTGGTGTCTGGCTGCCTTCGGTTCTATATAAGGAGTCTGACCTAATAATTTTCTATATTCTGCCTCATTGTGCACACTATTGTACTGGCATAAGAAGGAAGCTATCCTTTGGTTTGAATTGTGCTCTGGTACATCCAACAGACTAACCAGTTATCGGCTTGAGAACAGAAGTCATAATGTAAGAACACATTCCCCTCCCATCCCTCCATATTGTGTGTGTCAGTTTAGGGTCTTCAGGTCCCTGTTGACACTACATTTTCCAAAACCTCTTGTCATTCATTCATGCCACAGACCATATTGAGCACTAACATTATGCTAGATTATAATGCAGATAAAGAAACTCACAATAATTATGTAGTCTAGTCAGGTGGAACAAGATACATGCATAAGCAACTGTGTTGTCAAGTAAAAAGTGATAGGTTTGGGTGCCCCGGAAATCAGAACTGGATACAAAAACTATCATGCTACTTCTTTATTGGGGAATGCAAACCCAGGAAAGGAGAAATGAAGAGAAAAGGAAGGAAAGGTTTCCTGAGCTGGATACCACTTGGTAATAAGTGTAAATAATTGATCACTCTCACAGACCCTCTTCCTAGAGGGTGGGCAGGGGAAAGAGAACAGAGAAGAAATTTTTCCCTGGCTCCTGTGTCCCACTGACAAAAGCTTCAATCTAGGGAGCATTAACTTCCCTTAACTACTTGTACATATGTGTGTGCGTGTGAATGCGTGTATGTGTGTGTGCATGTGTGTGTGTGCATGTGTGGGTGGTGTGTGTGAGGGGGGGCACATGCATGCCCACTGAGCACCCATGTATATTCCTCTGGCTCTAATGTCTCAGTAACAGCAGGAATATGCTAAGACAGGAGGCAAGAGGTTTAGAGCATGAGCACGAAGCAAGGCACCGCCCGGTTGTGTCCCTGTGCAGTTGGCCAGAGTCCACACAGTTCTGCTGGCCTCAGCGGCAACTGGGACAGAACAAGGGGCCATGGACCCCCTGAATCACCTGAGGCAAGGGAATCTGAAGTGATGCATAAAGGGACCTTGATTCAGTAACATAAGTCAGGTTCAGATAAAGTGCTTTGGGGATTCAGAGACGGGAGCTTTTTCTTAGAAGCAGAACGGGACGGAGACTTGAGGGAGGACTTTTGGAGAAGGCGGATCTTGAATGGGACTTTGCAGGATGGGGAGGTATAACTAGGCGAGGTGGGGTTGGGTGGAGGGGGCGTTCCATGAAAGGAAGACTCTATGATTGCAAGGACCCAGAGGACAGCACTGAGGACAAGTAGACAATAGTGCAGGTCTCGGTTTGGCCAGAGGATAGGGAATGGAAAGGTATGTTAAGGGATAAGGCTGAAAATGTAAACAGGGACAGCTGGGGAGCCAGGGGGAGGAATTTTGATTGGAATCTTCAGACAATAGGGGGCCACCTGTGCTGTCGTGATAAACATTTTAACTCAGGAATTTCAGTCCCTCTTCTTCACAAATTCTGTTGTGTATAGTCAGATACTTGTGCACACAATGACATTTTTAACAAGACTTTTGGAATTCCAGAGTCTACAGAACACAGTTAAAAGCTCTGCATGCTGTCCTTTCCATTTTTCCGATGAAGAAATGGAGACTGGGAAAGCTTAGTAGTGAAGATTCTGGCTTTTACTCGTTCTTGTATTTACAGAGCCTGGAGGCAGATCTGGCTCAGGCAAGGGCTGAAGCAGGTGCTCGGATGATGTGCCCAGGACTCTGTCCACTCCACCTCTCAACTCTCCCCACTCCTGTCCTGGCTTCAGTCTCATGCAAGTGCCCTTATGGCAGGGACAAGAGTTCTCAGCGCCTCCAGGTTTCCATCTTATTAGCTTAGCAAGTTCTAAAATGGACAGCAAGTGGAGAATGGAATGTTCTATCAACAAAACAAAACAAAAAGAAGGACTTTGACTAGAAAATGTGGAAATAGAGAAATGACAGTTGTTCACTCCTGGAATCAGAAATGTATTGGCTCTAGTGGAATTAGAGCTTCATTCTAAACTATTTCTTGGAGGTGGTGGTAGAGGGCTCAGGGGTGGAAAATAGCTATTGCTACTTGCTTTTCTTGTTTTAAAAAGTCTCCTGGGACAAGACATCTTCTATTAAGGCCTGAACTCAAGGATAGAAGTCTTGTTTAATCCTTTCCCAAAGAGGAGATCATAGCTTTACGCTGCGTGCTTCAGTGGGCTTTCAATTTGGCCCAGTCTTTCCTTTTCTTTTTTTGAGATGGAGTCTTCTTCTGTCACCCAGGCTAGAGTGCAGTGGCACGATCTCAGCTCACTGCAAGCTCTGCCTCCCGGGTTCACGCCATTCTTCTGCCTCAGCCTCCCGAGTAGCTGGGACTACAGGTGCCCACCACCACACCTGGCTAATTGGCCCAGCCTTTCTTCTTCTAGAGAACTGAAGAGGGAGGTTTTCCCTCTGTGTATTCTGTGAGGGACTCCTGGTACGGGAGTGTGATCTTCACTGCCTAAGTCCTGAAAGGGAGCTTAGACCCTTGTATCAAAGGAGTAGACTTTAAAAAATTCTCCTTGAGAATGAAAGATGGTATCTCAGCATTTTGAGTTTTTGTTTCTTTCTTTCTCTCCTCTACTTGAATTAACATGAAGTCAAAACTAGATCTTAGAGTGGAGTTGGCTGCCACACAATTTAGAGTTGTTTGCATAACATTCCAAAAATAATTCAATAAGAATGGGTTTTTCTTGGAATTTATCACTGCCTGGCAAATTAGAGCCCAAGCACAACAACTCTGTGCAAAAAAGGCATGAGACCTGGCAAATGGAAATGACAGGGGCAGAGAGAAAGGAAACCCCGGCAGCCAGTCAACTTTCATTATCCATGATGGCGTGGCAGGAATGAGAACACAAGGCCGGAGCAGGGACAAACACGGCCTCTGTTCAGATGCCCGATTTTCTCCAGGACTCGGCAGCAGCTGAGAGGCCAAGGGGGAAGGGCACGGTATCTTAGGTCTCAGAGGAATTCTCTCCTGCTGTATTTTTCCACCTCTTCAGCCAAAGTGTCTTTTTCTTATTGTTTTCATGGAGAGGATCCACAGGTTAAGAAGAGAATAAATTAACATAAACATATAGCTGCAATAAATAGGAGTTTAAGAAAACAGGAACAGGGGAGTGAACCTGAATTGGACGACTAGGAAGAATTTCAGGCTCTGCCATTGTCCCTGAATTACCTGGTATAAGCCAAGTAACTTTTCTGAACTTAAAGTCTTTCATCTTTAAAATGGGAGAGAATAATAGCTAGAATCACAGTGAGAATTATTATGAGTATAATGTTTTATAGTTACAGAGAATTTTTAAATCTATGTGATGTAGACAGGAGACTTCACTTATCTAACTCAGGTTCTTTCATAGATGTCAACTCCTTCTAGCCCCACTGTTACTAGGCTAGAAACAAAAGCTATTGTCCGGGGCAGAATTATGTACTAGGATCACCTGCCCATGACTCAGTATATGACCTCTGGACTCCTCCCCACTCTGGACCACAGGAACTGTGAACATCACTGTGGACAAAGCTAAGTCTCTGCTGCTTTCAATGTTGATGCCCCCAAGCCTCTTCTCTTCTCACCCTTGCCCATCACCCTGGCCATATCATATATGCCTATGGCTGTACATTCCTTCATAGGGCTATGGCCCCTGAGTCTGTATCTTTAGCCTGGACTTCTCACATGACCTCTGCTGTCTGTTCAACCACTGGGACATCTGGCAGCCCCCCAATTGCACCTGCTCCTATCTGAAATTGGATTGTTCTACCTCCACTTCCCTGCCACAGTGCCTTAGCTCAGGCTGCATAACAAAATAGCATAAAGTGAGTGGCTTGAACAACAGACATTTAATTCTCACAGTTCTGGAGTCTACAAAATCCATGATCAGGGTGCTGGCAGATTCAGCATCTGGCAAGAACCCTCTTTCTGGTGTGGAGACAGCTACCTTCTTGCTATATCCTCCCATGGTGGAGAGAACAAGCTCTGTTTACTCCTCTTCTTATAAGGGCACTAATCCCATCACAGGGGCTCCACTCTCATGACCTTATCTAAGGTCCCACCTTCTAATACCATCACAATCGGAACTAGGGCTTCAACCCAGGAATTTGGGGGACACAAACATCCAGTCCATGCCACACAATGCATGACCCCTTCCTTCCTGTAGGTGCTCAAGCCAGGCACCTAGGAGTCATCCCTGATTTTCTCTCCTTTACCATCTACTTTTTTTTTTTTTGAGATGGAGTTTCACTCATGTTGCCCAGGCTGGAGTGCAGTGGTGCGATCTCAGTTCACTGCAGTCTCTGCCTCCCAGGTTCAAGTGATTCTCCTGCTGCAGCCTCTACCTCCCAGGTTCAAGTGATTCTCCTGCTGCAGCCTCCCGAGTAGCTGGGATTACAGGCATGCACCACCATACCTGGCTAATTTTGTATTTCTAGTAGACATGGGGTTTCACCATGTTGGCCAGGCTGGTCTTGAACTTATGACCTCAGGTGATCCACCCGCCTTGGCCTCCCAAAGTGCTGGGATGACAGGCATGAGCCATCATGCCTGGCCCTTTACCATCTACTTTAAATCCATCATCATCACTCTGGCTTCTCAAATCTCTTGAATGTGTCTAATTTTCTGTATCCTCCTGCTCCCACCCTAGCTCAAATTGCTGCCCTCTTTTCCCAGGCTATAGCCACAGCTGTCAAACTGGTCTTCTTTCCTCTGGTTTTGTCCGTTTTCCATTCCTTCTCCATGCTGTAGCCAGAATAATATTTCTTCAAAAAGCAAACCCAAACATGTCTCTTTTCTGCTTCACACCCTTCACTGACTTCCGCTTGACCTCAGGATAAACTTTAAATTCTTTAACGTGACTTGAGTGACTGACAAGCCTCACCTCCTCAGCCTGCCCCAACACTGTCAAATGCCTTATATGTCTTGTGGTCTCTGTGCTTCAGAGAGCTGAGTCTTCCCATAAGATGTTTCTTCTTAGAACGATTCCTGTGTACTTCAACCAGGCTGTTACCCATCCTTCAGATCTCAGTTAACCCTTACTTCCCACAGGAATTCTGCCTGGATTCCCACTCTTTAACTCCAGATAAAGAGCCATTTCCTGATTCCAAAAGTAGAAGTAATAGCAGGTTCTTTTCTTCTATCTAGGTGTCTTTTATACAGAAGGGAACAGACTCACCAGTTCAGAACAAAGCAGCAGCAAGCTTGAATGCCATCTCTTACTTCTGACTCCCAGCAGGTTGCAGTTGCTCAGAGGGAAGGGTACCTGGCAGGTCCTCAGAGGAGTCATGGGTCCACCTTGTCTGGCTGGGAAAAGTTCAACAGGTTCACTGACAGCTCCTATCAGCTCTGAGTACGGTGTCATGAAGCAGTGTATATCCACCCCAGACAGGAGCAGGCATCCTTCTCAGATGCTGAGCTCTTCCAGAGCAGATAAGATTTATGAACTGAGTTGCCATTGACAGGTAACTACGAATGTTCTAAAATATTATGTTACTAAAAGTTGATCGCACTCACAAATTCAAACTTAGTATTTTGGCATAAGTTCAAGCAACTGCATTTCAACTGAGATACATCATCTTGCTATCTTGCTTATAATTGAAGGCCATAGTTTCTGTTGATTTAGGAATAGTTCTGGTGATCAGAAAAAGTCTCATTATAAGATGACTTTTTCCTAGGACAAAATCCTAAAAAGGGGGGTGATTTTTCTAGGGAATAGGAAAGTCACCCTCCTATGAAATCACCCTCCTGGGTGAAATTAGCTGTACCTTCCTGTTCTGGGATCCCATATACCCTATACTTCCCCTATCATGTCTGTTTCATATGAACAGCATTTCATATTCTAACTCGTGGTGCTTCTTTAAGACTTCTCGTACCTTAAACTCTAGGAAGGTAGGAGCCCTATGTGACTTTTTCAATGCTATGTCTCCTATTCCTGAGACAAAACATATGTTCAGTAAATACTGACCGGAGGAATATCTGCTCGTTTCCTGCTCAACACTCTGGCAGAAATGAGGAACAAGGCCTCTGTGAGTGTAAGGGCTTTTTTGTCAACTGGATTTATCTGCTGCCTTTATTTCTGCCATGGCAGCTACTATCTCCTTGGGTTAAGAGCATTGAACTGGAAGAAGCTTGTCATTTTACCAACTGCAAAATGTGGGGAGGGGGAATAAGGAGAGGTGAGGTGAGGAGCCCATAAACTTAGGAGAACCTTATATGTGGGGTCAGTGTAGCTAGAAGAAGGTCAGCAGCTATTTGATCAGCTTCTCCTTTGTAACCTCAGATCTCACCAGTAATTAAACTGATGGAATATGCTCTAAATCCCTAGGCTTCATGTCCCTGGGGCCCTAGTGGTTTTGATGAATAGCCTCCACTATGAGGCACCCTGAAGGCAGTCCCCTGTGTGAATACAAATCTTGCCTTCTTGCCCCACCCCCATTTATTCTACACCTATCACCCACAAACCCCAACCCCTCCACTTCTTTTGCTCTACAAACTATTAGGAAGACATCCAATAAGTCATCCCAGCTGAAGTAGCATGGCAGGAGAAACACCTCATCCATAACCACCTCAACCACTCCCTTTGTCAAAAGTAGGGTGAGATAAAGACTTTAGTATCCTTTGGAAAAACTCAGCATCTGGACAATACATGCTAGGAAAGAACCTGTTCCTTCATCTCCCAACCCTGGGCAAGGTGGATGACCACACCTTGAGTGGGCAGCGTATAGAGTTGGAGGAATCTTACATTGTTGCTTTCAAATGGCACCCTTGAATATTCCCAAAACACACCATTGTGTTTGGAAGCCCAGGGGAAGGAAAGGAGCCACAAGCAAATTCAAGCATGCCTCAAAATCCTAAAAGTAAATCTCGAGCCAGACTGCCAAAGTTTAAATCCCAACTGAACTACAGGCTAGCAATGTGATTTGGGGAAAGTTTCTTTACCCCTAGTCACCTCTGTTTTCCCTGTAAAATAGGGATAATAATTATACTCAAGTTGGCCAGGAGTGGTGGCTCATGCCTGTACAATCCCAACATTTTGAGAGGCTGAGGCAGGCAGATCACTTGAGGTCTGGAGTTCGAGACCAGCCTGGCCAACATGGTGAAACCCTGTCTCTACTAAACATACAAAAATTAGCCAGTTATGGTGGCTGGTGCCTGTAGTCCCAGCTACTGGGGAGGCTGAGACAGGAGAACTGCTTGAACCCTGGAGGTGGGGGTTGCAGTGAGCCAAGATTGTGCCACTGTACTCCAGCCTGGGCAAGACAGTGAGACTCCGCTTCAAAAACCAACAAACAAAAAATAATAATAATGATACCCAAGTCAAGGGTAATTAGAAATATTAAATAAGCTTATTCAAGAACAGGACTTAGCACAAAGCATAGTACCTGAAAAATCCTCAGTAGAAACTATCTGGTTGTTATTGTTATTATTACTATTAACTGTATTGTTATTATTACTATTAGTTCTCCATAAATTGTTTTACCAAGTAGCATAGTTAAGTAAAACTAAATAGGAAGACATCTACAGAAATATTAAAGGAGGGATTTGAGGCAAGATGGCCAACTAGACTCAGCTAAGTGGAACAGCTGCCACCGAGGTACCTGGATGACTGGCATGCTCCTAACAGATCTTCAGAGGAAAGGCACTGAGAGTGGACAGAGGGAAGACACAGAAGCTGGGCTGAAGGAGAAAGAAGCTGGAAATCCCACATGGGGCTGCTGTACACCAGAACTTGTTCTTGGCCCCCAGTGACTGGGAGAACATGTGAGTTGATCTGGCAAGGAGCAACCTGCTCTCGCCATGGATCTCCTGAATCCTGGCAGAGGGAGACCCCTCTACAACCAGAGACACTTGAGTTGGCAGGGAGAGCTGCCAGAGAAATGGTAGGGACAGTACTCTAGTCCCTGTAGAGCCCAGAGGGTTTGGTGCAGGAGCATCTGTAGCAGAGGTTGGCTGTAGATGCCCATCCCCTTAGGCTTGCCTTCTTCCCATAGAAGATTTTAGCCCTAGGGGAACTGTCAGACCTGAACTGTGAGGGGAGGTTTTGCCCATCAGACAGGGCTCTTGTGCACCCCTTGGTCTGCTGGCCTCTCCCAGAGCCCCAGCTGAACCACACCTGCTTGCAGTGCAGCCTCGGGTGCCCTGGGGGCCTACATCACAGCTCCTGCACTGGTGGACCACACCTGACCAGCAGAGAGCTCCAGCAGAGCAGCCCCCATGGACATGCACCAGCTTGCTCACTCCCTCTGCCCACTGTAGCTTCCCCTGGGCCATGGCCACCCCCCACATATCTTTGCCAGCACGTGTGTGCCTGGGCAGATTTTGCCTTCCCTGACCTGCCAGCATGCGTGTGAGCGTGCATCCTGCCCTGCCGCTGCTGCCAATGTGAGTGCCCCCCAACACCCTAACCCCCACCACCATACTGCCATTGCAGTCTGAGCCTTGGTGGGCACAGAACCCATCAGCCCTGCCCCTACAGAGCCCCGCCCCTGCATCAATGCTGCTGACAAGTGAAACTAGGCACTCAGAACAGAGGACTCTCTGCTGCCCTGAGTGGCCCCCTTTGCCTGCATGAACATGCAAAGAAGGCACACACAGACCTGCAGCTGCCAGAATCCCACATCTATGCTAAGAATACCACCAGTGTGACTGTATGCACAGTCACCATGCACACCATCAAGTCATGCTGCCTCTGTTGCTGCTGTGAACACCTGCAAAAAGGCTGACACTCCAGTGTCTGCTAGCACCTTGCTGCAGCAGACTAGCATGCACCTTGCCACACTGCTGCTGCTGCTGGCATGTGCAAGTGATGATGGATCCTGCTGCCACTGTCATAGAAAACACTTTGGCTGACACCACCTGTTGGAGTGTGCTGACCAGAAGTCTAGAAGTACCTTGACACCCCCACCAGCACAGTGGGTTCCTAACCTTGAAGAGCCAAAGAACAAAGTTGGAGCTCAGTACTAGTCCCTCAGAGTTTGAGCACATAGTCCAGGAGTTAGGAGCTGAGCCTTAGCCACTTAAAATCTTGCAGAAATGAAACCAATAGACTCAATCCACCTTATACCACAATCAAACCCTCAAGGTCATCAAATAGGGTGGAAGAAAAAAAATAACATCCAAAGGACAGCAATTTCAAAGATTGAAGTAACATCAGTTCACAAAGATGAGAAAGAACCACTGCAAGAACTCTTGACAACACAAAAAGTCAGAGTGTCTTCCTTTCTCCAAACAACCGCACTAGCTCTCCAGTAAGGAATCTCAACTGGGCTGAGATGACTGAAATGACAGAAATAAAATTTAGAATATGGATAGGAAGGAAGATCATCAAGATGCAGGAGTATGTTGAAACCCAATCCAAGGAAGCTAAGAATTACAATTAAAAGATATAGGAGCTGACAGACAAAATAGACAGTTTAAAAAAGAACATAACTGATCTTATAGAGCTGAAAAATATAATATGAGAATTTTATAATGCAATCACAAGTATTAATAGCAGAATAGACCAAGCTGAGGAAAGAATCTCAGAGCTTGAAGACTGGCTTTGTAAAATAAGACAGTCAGCCAAGAATAGAGAAAAAAGAATGAAAAGGAATGAACAAACCCCCCAAGAAATATGGGATTATAGAAAGAGACCAAATCTATGACTCACTGGTGTCCCTGAAAGAGATGAAGAGAATGGAAGCAACTTGGAAAACATATTTCAGGATATCATTCAGGAGAACTTCTCTGACCTGGCTAGAGAGGCCCACATTCAAATTCAGGAAATTCAGAGAATGCCAGTAAGATACTTCACAAGAAGATCATCCCCAAAACACATCATTATCAGATTCTCCAAGGTCAAAATAAAAGAAAAAAATGTTAAATGTAACTATAAAGAAAGGTCAGGTCACCTACAAAGGGAAGCCCATCAGACTAACAGCCTCAGAAGAAAACCTAGAAGCTAGAAGAGACTGACGGCCAATATTCAGAAAAAGAAATTCCAACCCAGAATTTTATATCTGGCCAAACTAAGCTTCATAAGTGAAGGAGAAATAAGATATTTTTCAGACAACCAAATGCTGAGGAAATTTGTTACCACCAGACCTGCCTTACAAGAGCTCCTGAAGGAAGCACTAAATCTGAAAAGGAAAGACCATTACCAGGCACTACAAAAGCACACTTACAGACCAGTGGCACTATAAAGCAACCACACAAACAAGTCTGCATAACAACCAGCTAACATCATGATGATAGGATCAAATACACATGTATCAAAATTAACCTTGAATGTAAATGAGTTAAATGCCCCCAGTTAAAAGGCACAGAGTGGCAAACTGAAGAACCAAGACCCAATGATATGCTGTCTTCAAGAGATCCATCTCACATGTAATGACACCCATAGGCTCAAAACAAAGTGATGGAGAAAAAGCTACCAAGCAAATGGAAAACATAAAAAAGCAGGGGTTGCAATTCTAATTTCAGACGAAACATACTTTATGCCAACAAAAATCAAAAAAGTTAAAGAAAGGCATTACATAATGGTAAAGGGTTCAATTCAACAAGAAGACCTAACTATCCTAAATATATATGCACCCAACACAGGAGCACCCAGATTTGTAAAGCAAGTTTTTAGAGACCTTCAAAGAGACATATACTTCCACACAATAATAGTGGGAGACTTCAACACTCCATTGACAATATTAGACAGATCATTCAGGTAAAAAATTAAGAAAGATATTCAGGGTCTGAATTCAACATTTGATCAGGTCTATGGACCTCATGAACATCTAGAGGACAGAACTCTCCACCTCAAAACAACAGAATATATTTACTTCTCATTGCCACATGGCACATACTCTAAAATCAACCACACAATGGGGCTTAAAACAACTATCAGCAAATGCAAAAGAAATGAAATCTTAACAACCATTCTCTCAGACCATGGCACAATAAAATTAGAAATCAAGACTAAGAAAATCACTCAAAACCAGACAATTACGTGGAAATTAGATAACCTGCTCCTGAATGACTTTTTGGTAAATACTGAAATTAAGTCAGAAATCAAGAAGTTTTTTGAAACTGAGGGAAGAAAGATACAACATACCAGAATCTCTGGGACACAGCTAAGGCAGTGTTAAGAGAGAAATTTATAGCATAAACACCTGCATCCAAAAGCTAGAAAGATCTCAATTTAATAACATAATATCACAACTAAAAGAACTAGAGAACCAAGAGTAAAACAACCCCAAAGCTAGCAGAAGACAAAAAAATAACCAAAATCAGAGCAGAACTGAAGGAGATTGAGACACAAACAACCAATCAAAAGATCAATAAATATAGGAGTTGGTTTTTGGAAAAAAATGAAAGAAAAATACATCACTAGGTAGACTAATAAAGAAGAAAAGTGAGAAGATCCAAACAAACACAATTAGAAATGACAAAAGGGATATTACCAGTGACTCCACAGAAATACAAATAACTGTCAGAGAGTATTATGAACACGTCTATGCACACAACCCAGAAAATGTAGAAGATATGAAGAAATTCCTGGACACAAACACCCTCCCAAGACTGAACAAGGAAGAAATTGAATCCCTGAACACACCAATAATGAACTCCAAAATTGAATCAGTGATAAATAGCCTACCAACCAAAAAAAAAAAAAAAAAAAAAAAAAGCACAGGACCTGATGGACTCACTGCCAACTTCGACAGGATGTACAAAAAAGAGCTGATACTGCTCCTACTGAAACTATTCCAAAAAATTGAGGAGGAAGGTCTTCTCCCTAGCTAATTCCGTAAAGCCAGCCTCATCCTGATACCAAAACCTGGCAGAGACACAGCAAAAAAAGAAAACTTCAGGCAAATATCCTTGATGAACATCAATGCAAAAATCCTTAACAAAATACTGACAGACTGAATCCAGCAGCACATCAAAAAGCTTGTCCACTAGATCAAGGCATTTATCTCTGGGATGCAATGTTGGTTCAACAAACACAAATCAATAAAAGTGATTCATCACATAAACAGCTCTGAGACAAAAGCCACATAATTATCTCAATCGATGCAGAAAAGGCTTTCAATAAAATTCAACACCGCTTCAGGTTAAAAACTCTCAATAAACTAGATATTGAAGAAACATACCTCAAAATAATAAGAGCCATCTATGACAAACCCACAGCCAACACTATACTAAATGGGCAAAAGCTGGAAGCATTCCCCTTGAAAACTAGCACAAGACAAAAATGCCCTCTTTCACCACTCCCATTAAACATAGTATTGGAAGTCCTGGCCAGAGTAATTAGGCAAGAGAAAGAAACGAAGGGCACCCAAATTGGAAGAGAGGAAGTCAAACTATCCCTATTTGCAGATGACATGATTCTATATCTGGAAAACCCCATAGTCTCAGCCCAAAAGCTCCTTAAGCTGATAAACAAATTCAGTCAAGTCTCAGGATACAAGATCAACATACAAAATTACTACCATTCTTATACATCAACAACAGTCAAGCTGAGAACCAAATCAGAAATGCAATCACATTCACAATGGCCACAAAAAGAATAAAATACCTAGGAATATAGCTAACCAGGGAGGTGAAAGATCTCTACAGAACTACAAAACACAGCTTAAAGAAATCAGAGATGACACAAACAAATGGCAAAACATTCTATGCTCAAGGATAGAAAGAATCAATATTGTTAAAATGGCCATACCACCAAAAGCAATTTATAGATTCAATGCTATTACTATCAAACAACCAATGACATTCTTCACAGAACTAGAAACAGCTGTTTTAAAATTAATATGGATCCAATTTTAGGAGCAAAGGCAATCCTAACCAAAAATAACAAAGCTGGAGGCATCATGCTATCCAACTTCAAACTATACTACAGAGCTACAGTAGCCAGAACAGCATGGTACTGGTACAAAGATAGACACAGAGACCAATGGAACAGAAGAGAGCCAAGAAATAAGGCCACACACCTACAACCATCTGATCTTTAATAAAGCTGATAAAAACAACCAATAAGGAAAGGACTGTTTATTCAATAAATTGTGCTGAGATAACTGGCTAGCCATATTCAGAAGATTGAAACTGCACCCCTTGTTTACACCATAAACAAAAATTAACTCAGGATGAATTAAAGACTTAAATGTAAAACCCAAAACTGTAAAATCCCTAGAAGATAGCCTAGGCTATACCATCCTGGACATAGGAACAGGAAATGATTTCATGATCAAGATGCCAAAAACAACTGCAAAAAAGCAAAAACTGGCAATAAGACCTAATTAAACTAAAGAGTTTCTGCACAGTAAAAGAAACTATCAACCAAGTAAACGACCTACAGAATGGGAGAAATATTTGTAAACTATGCATCTGACAAAGGTCTAATATCCAGCATCTATAAGGAACTTAAATTTACAAGTGAAAAACAAACAACTCCATTAAAAAGTGGTCAAAGGACAGGAACAGACACTTTTCAAAAGAAGACATACATGTGGCTAACAAGCATACAAAAACAGGTCATCACTGATCATTAGAGAAATGCAGATCAAAACCACAGTGAGATACCATCTCAAACCAGTGAGAATGGCCATTAAAAAGTCAAAAATTAACAGATGCTGGCAAGGTTGTGGCGAAAAGAGAACATTTTATACACTGTTGGTGGGAGTGTAAATTAGTTCAACCCTTGTGGAAAGCAGTGTGGCAATTCCTCAAAGAGTTAAAAACAGAACTACCATCTGACCCAGCAATTCTATTACTGGGCACATACCCAAAGGGTTATAAATTGTTGTATCATAAAGATACATGCACATGTATGTTCACTGCAGCACTATTCACAATAGCAAAGACATGAAGTCAACCTAAATGCCAATCAATAGTAGACTGGATAAAGAAAATGTAGTATATATACATCATGGAATACTATGCAGTCATAAAAAATAATAAGATCATGTCCTTTGCAGGAACATGGATGGAGCTGGAGGCCCTTATCCTTAGCAAACTAACACAGGAACAGAAAATCAAATACCACATGTTCTCACTTATAAGTAGGAGTGAAATGATGAAAACATATGGACACATAGAAGACAAAAACAGACACTGGGGCCTACTGGAAGGTGGAGGGTGGGAGGAGGGAGAGGATCAGGATCAGGAAAAATAACTAGTGTGTACTAGGCTTAATACCTGGGTGACAAAATTATCTGTACAACAAACACTCATGACACGAGTTTACCTAATAAACCTGCGCATGCATCCCTGAAGTTAAAATAAAAGTAAAAAAAAAAAGAAATATTAAAGGAAGACATGGATCTAGGCAGCCTTGTGTCAAATACTCTATCTATTATCTATCATCTCTCTATCTATCTATCTATCATCTATCTATCTACATGACTTAGATAATAAGACTGAAGTCTAGCCAGAATCCAAACCTAGAACCCAGAATTTCTGTTCTCTTATCCATTGCTGTTTACAGTTCACAGTGAACTTTTAAGGCACACAATGAAGGCTGCTCTGTATATGCCATTTCTATTCCTCACTCTGAAATGTGGGAATGGTTATTTCATTCTGCAACCAAGGAACTGGAAACTTGAGAAGTGAACTGGAGCCTGGAAGGTCATAATGGTATGTGTCTTCCATGAGTTGAAGAGGTTCGGTGTACAACTCACCTAAAAAGAGTCTGTGCAACCTTGCATTCTAGCAAGGGAAGGGAGAATGAGAGCAACAGGGGGTCAGGGATTATTGATGGTCTGTCCACAGTGAAGCCCTGTCCAGCTAGAACAGTGCCTACCTAGCACATAACAGGCCGTCCATAAATATTTACTAAATGATGATGGATGAATAAACAAATGAATATTAAACACAGCAACAAGCGGATTGAAATGTTCTTTTTAACTTTTAAAAATCACAAAAGGCATTTACATTGCTAGTTTGTCTCCATTAGCATGTTGTGCTAAATAACCTCGTTTTCTTTAAAAATAACATTTGTATTCTTTCAATATTCCTAGAAGTAATAAAAATTGGTTTAAAAGTATTAAAAATTACACTCACTGCATACCTAAGAGATAATAGTATATTCATTTTTTTCAATGTAGAACATCTCTCCCCTCTTAAGTTTCTGTGTTGTTAGTATTTACATGATTCTGGATAAATCGCCCCTGAATTTATGATGCTTACCATCATCTCTCTCTGTATTTTTTCCATTGGAAGATTCATTTATTGTCATGATTTCCATTACATTCTATATAGGGAGGACTCTTAAGTCTCCAATTTTAGTCTCATCTTTTCTTCAGTGTTCTGGTTCACCATTTTCAACAGGGTGCTGGACATTTCTGCCTTGATAATTTTTTTGCTAATTAGAAGTAGAACATATCATCCTCTCTTCTTCTGGTATGCCTGTTCCAATTAAAGTCCTCACTATCTTCCTAGGCATATCATCTAGAGCCCTCTATCATTAGTGTCTTTTTTCTCTCCTTGGCTCAGCTCATCCAATTAGGCATCAGATCTTAGGAACTGTACCTTCCCATTTCAGTCTCTGTCTCATTCTGAGGCTACGGCAATCACCTTTATTTTCTACACTGTTGCCAGATCACTTGCCTCGAAGCTCAGCTCCATCCACCTCTCTCCACCATCCATGGCTTCACATAGCCTAGAAAATAGAGCACCTTAGCCTGTATTCAAGACTCTCATTATCTGACCTGAGCTAACTTTTTACTAATCTCTCCCAATTTGCCTTCAGACAATGGAATCAATGCTTGTGAACATATCAAAGCTTTTGAACATGCCCAACTCTTCTCTGCCTCTGTGCTTTTTCTGCTCATGTTGTTCTCTCTGCCCAGGTGCTTCCTTTTTGCCCTCTTTCCTCCTGCAATTTTTGAGCTGGGATAGAAAAGGTGGGTAGAATATGCAAATACTCCCACCATGATGCCTCCCCAAATACCCAGAGCAGGAGTTACTTTCTACTCTCTGAGCCCCATAACATTCCATATTTCTCATGTGTCTCTTGCCACAGCCAAAGATGCATCATCATTATAGGTGAATGTGCTGTGTCCAGACGATTAGCTGTGAGCCCCTTACCATCTGCACCTGGCAAAGGTTGGAGTGGCACCAAAGGCCCAGATACAGTACCTGGCACTTGTGAGAGGATATTAGTTTTTACCTTGCCTTCTCTTTTTTTCTGGCTTTGCTATTTCCTGAAGGTGGTCTTTGGTCAGCCTTAGTTGTTGTTTGCATAATCATGCATCAAAATTATTCGTAGAGTCAGGATTGATCAAGCCTGGGGAATAGCTCTAATAGTTCAGTACTTCCAGGGAGGGGCAGGGAGAAGGGAGGCAGGATCATGAAGCTCAAAAAAAAAAAAAAAATTAAGGGGCTCTGTGGGAAACAAGGACATTTCAAGTGAGGTCTGGTGAGTGTAATGTCATCAGTTTAATTTCTAATTATATTCATTGGTGGATGGTTCCCCTATGGATGGGAAAAATCACCTACCAATGGGATATTTCTCCTAATTGTTATGGATTGTTGGCGTTGGGCAACCATCACAGACTGACCTGTATGGTGGTAAAGCTGGAACTGGAATTTTCTTTGAATCATTTAGAAGTGTGTTTACCTACACATCACAGAAATCACAGAAATCTTTTTTTTTTTTTTTTTGAGATGGAGTTTCACTCTTGTTGCCCAGGCTGGAGTGCAATGGCCCGATCTTGGCTCACTGCAACCTCTGCCTCCCAGGTACAAGTGATTCTCCTGTCTCAGCCTCCCAAGTAGCTCAGATTACAGGCATGTGCCACCAAGCCCGGCTAATTTTTTTGTATTTAGTAGAGACAGGGTTTCACTATGTTAGTCAGGCTGGTCGAGAACTTCTGACCTCAGGTGATCCACCCACCTCAGCCTCCCAAAGTGCTGGGATTACAGGTGTGCACCACTGCGCCCAGCCTCATTTATTTCTTAATGATATAAAGATTTACTTTCCTCACATAAGCAAGGAATCCAGAAGTGGGCACACTAGGGCAATAACTCTGGGCTCCATCAGGAATCCAGGCTCTTTCTCTTATTTTCAGCTCCTTCATTTTCAGCATATGGTTTTGCCTTTCTAGTCACAGGGTGGCTGCTGCATCTCCAGGCTCCACATCTAGATTCTAAGCCTCAAAAAGCCTGAGGGTCAAAATCTTATCCTTGAGGCTTTGACTATTTGACTTTTACTTACACTGTGTTGGCCAGATTCGTGTCATGTGGATGATACAGGCTGGAGAATCCAGTAGTTAGCTATCTAGCTTCTTTTACAGAGGAAGGCAAGTGAGAAGTTAGTTACAAATGATTTTTAGGTAAATCAAGTTGTTTTGGCTACTCTACCCTCTGGACTTCGTCTGTCATTATTCTGATCTTCAGAAAGAATAACATACATCTAGATTTTAGTAAAAACTGGGTTCTGAGAAATATATGTACATCTGCGTGTATGTACTTATGTACGCATTTGCATACCTGCTCTAGAGCTAGGGGTTTTCCTTGTGTTGTGAGTCCCTTGATATATGCTGTGATAATTCCATTTCTATTCTTCTTTCCCTTCCTTCCTTCCTTCCTTCCGTCCTCCCTCCCTCCCTCCCTCTCTTTCTCTCTCTCTTTCTCTCTCTTTCTTTCTTTCTCTCTTCCTTCCTTCCTTCCTTTCTTTCTTTCTTTTTCTTTCCTTCTCTCTCTCTTTTTCTCTTTTTTTTAAATTTCTTTTCTAAGAGACAGGGTCTCACTTTGTTGCCCAGGTTGGAGTGCAGTGGCGTGATGATAGCTCACTGCAGCCTCCAACTCCTGGGCTCAAGTGATTCTCCTGCCATAACCTTCCTAGTATCTAGGACTACAGGCACCTGCCACCATGCCTGGTTAATTTTTTAAAAAATTTTTGTAGAGATGGGGTCTTGCTATGTTGTCCAGGCTGGCCCCAAACTCCTCACCTCAAGTGATCCTCATGCCTTGGCTTCCCAAAATGCTGGTATTACAGGTGTGAGCCACTTTGCCTGGCCTCTACTAACTTTACTTACACTTTAGAAATTGGGATACTTGAAAACTTGGCTTTTTAAAATGTTTAATTTAATTTTTATTTTTATGAAAATTTTATATATTTAAGGTGTGCAATGTGATATTTTTGGTATACATACACATAATATACCAAATACTACAGTCAAGCTAATTAACATGTCCATCTCTTCCCATAATTACTTTCTTTTGTGTGTGTGGTGAGAATACTTAGGATCTACTCTCTTAGCAAATTTCAAGTATACAATACAGTATTATTAACTATAGCCCCCATTGCTGACATTAGATCTCCAGAAGTTACTCATCCTGCACATCCGAAATTTTCTACCCTTTGACTAACATGCCTGGTAACCACCATTCCACTCTCTGTTTCTGTGATTTCAACTTTTCTACTTCCACAGATAAGTGAGATCATATAGTATTTTTCCTTCCATGTCTGGCTGATTTTACATAGCATAATGTCCCCCAGGTTTATTTATATTTTTGCCAATGGTAGGATTTTCTTCCTTCTTAAGATTAAATAGGGTTGGGTGAGGTGGCCCACATGTGTAATCCCAGCATTTTGGGAGGCTGAGCTGGGGATTGCTTGAGACAAGGAGTTCGAGGCTGCAGTGAGCTATGATCACAACACTGCACTTCAGCCTGGGCTACAGAATGAGACCTTGTCTCTAAAAATATAAATAAATAAATAAATTAATTAATTAATTAAATAAAATTTTAAAAATAATTAAAAATTTTTGAAAAAGACTAAATATTATTCCATTGTGTGTGTGTGTATATATATATAGTGTGTGTGTATAACTATCCATTCATCTATCAGAAAACACTTAGGAAGTTTCCTTATCTTAGCTATTGTGATTAGAGGTGCAATGAACATGGCTTTGATTAATCCAACTGTGGAGATCCTAAAGGAACCACCCTTATTTCAGTGAGAGGCTATAAATGCAGAAGCCACACTCTATTAAGGAATCTAAAGATCCTTATGTGTGAGACTAAGCAATATTTTTTTACAAATGGAGAAGATATGGCTTTAATTTTTGTAGTCTTTAAGAATGTTGGCCTTTAATTTCTTTAGATTATAATACTAAAAGGGATTTGAATTTTGGACTTGATTGCTCTCTGGGAGTTTAATATTAGGAGATAGTTCAAATTCAAACTTGAGTTATTCTTATTGCACTGACATTGTATTTTAGGTTGTATTGGTATTATTTGGGTGTGGTGTATAACTTCTGATGAATTCTATTGGGCATCTTGGCCAGTGACAATCTGAGATAATATATAGAATAAGGAATACATTTCAAGCCTAGAGTATTTACTTAATACTTAGGTAAATACTTGTCTAAGTATTAAGAGTTTTAAGTATTAGAGTTTACCAGGGCAAAGATTAAACTGTACACCATGATCCAGACAGTATACACAAGGAAGAGGGGGTTGACATGGAGAGAGAAACCTCACAAAGGCAGGAGTAGGACTGCCCTGAGACTACCCAAGGGAACAGCCTAAGCCCTGGTAGACCACTAGTCTAATTACAACCTAATAGTTTAAGAAAACAGAATCTTGAGAGTGTTAGAGGAGACCTTCTGTATTCTTCATGTTTTCAGAAAGGGAGAAGATTTCCACTACTCTACCCAGCAAGAAAAAGTTGGGAAGAACGCGCCTCTCTTTGCCCACCCCATCGTGTTTGTGCGATTGGGTTTCAAGGTTTAGAAACCTGTGGCTCAGTCCCATCTGAGTTGTTGTTTTCCTACATCTGCCCTTGTCCTTTCTTCCCTACTGAGCTCATGGAGGTTAGGGGTCAGTTTTACGTACTTCCTGGAGGCTCTTTAGAGCACTGACTTCTTCTTTCCTGACTCCTGTAGCCTAATGGATATGAGAGAGGGACTCTGGGTTAGAGAGGCTTCTCTGCAGACTCTCTCACTCCCTTGAGAAGAGGCCCCAAGGTCTAAATCTGGGAATTGAGAATTCCTTTCTGGCCATGGGCCCACACCAATAGTTTCAAAAATGGATTTATTTGCCATAATGCTGATATTTTGATTTTCCTATTATCTGACTCCTTGATTCCAAAGTTGAAGTGGTGGTGGTAATGAGAGAGATGAGATGAATTATCACCTCTAAATTCTCAACAAGTATTAGCAAAAGAAACACTCACTGATGCAGTAAAAGTTTCCCCGGAAGGATCTGACAAACCCCGCTTCCAGGGCAAAGCCAGGACTGTTGGGGAAGAACAGAGTTGCAGAAGAGAGTGAGGGATCCTTAGAGAAAGAAAGATGGATTTTACCATGTCCCCTGGGGGTGGATTCTGTACAGACTAATAGATAACTCAATAAGAAAAGCCAACAAACACTTTGGACCACAGTCTGGAGCAACGTGTTTTCTGTAGGTGTCTAATAATAACATTTTCTTCCTGGTGATGTACTGCACCATCACAGCTTCCTAAACATCATGGGAATTATTAAGGGGAGGCATACATATGAGACATTTAGGAAACATCTATTGAATACATACATGACAGCGAGGATTTCTATCTCATAGACTTAATAAGAGATCCAGCACACTAAAGGGACACTTTGAGGAAAAAAGGGCAAAACCAAAATCCTATCTCGTCAATCTGAAAAAATTATACATGGGAGTCACATAAGCACTTAGCAGAAATAAGCAAATGTGGAAGGAAGTACTACCAATAGAAGATCATTGGAAAGGGGGAAAATAAATAAATATATAAAATATATTCATGTATATGTAGTATATAAATATATACATAATATTATATATAATGTCCCTCTTAAATAACTTGATACCTTCATATTAAATGACATATCCATATTAAAGTCTTTTTTCTAAATTGTTTCATCACAATTTTAAACTAAGCCTGAGGAAAATGCCCTAGAATGACCCTGGTGAAACTACAAATAAAGGAAAATTCAAAGTATTTCCCTTGTGTTAAATGGAAAATTGTTAGGGATGAAGATGCCAGATTGAAAGATGAAAAGAGAAAAAAAATCTAATCAGGAAATGCAAAAGCTAAGGTTTTAGCAAATTAGCTCACCCTGATGACTCATCCCAGATGTATTAAGTTCACATTTAACAGCCTCTTCATTGAAGATACAAAATACCATCTGTCTGTTGCCGATGAGTTAATGTTAGTCTCAAAGCCTTAAAGTTCACATTTCCTAATTCTTTTGTTTGGAAATAAATAACCTTTATGTTGCAGTGGGAATGTAATTTTTCTTTCTTTTTTTTTTTTTTTTTTGCCCAATTGAGAGGAATAAATACAAAAATTCCAAAACGAAGCTCTCAGGTTGTGAAATGTTCTGTGGGTCAAAGACGCCTGGCTCTGTGTACAAGCTGCCTCGCCTGGATCCATCCCTGGGATTCTTTTTAGGATTATGTTACTTGCCTCTTTAGCCAAATCTCAATTCTTCATTCAAGTTGGGCCCACATGCAAAGCTGAAATGGGAAATACCTGTCAGGCCTCAACCTTGATTCTCAGAAAATGCCTCCAAGGGCAAAATAATAGCCCTTCCATTTATTCCGACCCTCTTTCCTCAACAGCGTTTTTCTTTTTTAGTAGAAAAATGCTATTTGGCTTGTGCCACAATATTTGGCCTTGCACATTTTGGGCACTTCAAGTAGGAATAGGGAAATAATGAAGACGATTCACCGATAATCTTCTCTATACAAATACAAGAAGAATCATAAAAGGGAGAAAAAACTGGCTGTGCTTTTGAGATCCCAGGGACCAAACTATATATCATAAACACTGGATCTAATCCCAAGATTTGGTTTCAGTTCCAGCCCAGTCACTAAGTCACCAGTGACCATGGGGAAGTGACCTCATACCCTGGGCCCCAGTTTTTCCTTCTTCAAGTGATGGGAGAGGACTGAAATTGTCTAAGGCCATATATCCATTGCATTGATGCAGAATGCTTGGATTTAAAAAAAGAATTTTTTTTTTTTTTTTTTACAGACCCTCATGTTACTTGGTGAGCGTGGTGAGCTCAAGACAAATACTTTGAGAAATTTTGTTCCAGGCTCTCTACACTTAAATTCTTTGCATTCCAGGCCTCCCCAAATTAAGTCTCAATGTAGCTTTTCAATTTCTACTTCCACTTCTTCCCTGCTCCTGGACTTTTAGTTTCCTGCAAATATCTCTTATATTTCTTCTCCTTCTTTGTTCATGCTGTTCTCTCTACTATTCTTGCCTTCTACCTCTGCTTACCAAAATCCTACTTCAACCCGTAATCATGAATGTATTTTTTCAATATGTTCTTCCTGCTGTCCCTGGATTTTTCTTTCCTAGCAATTTAATGTATTAATATGTTCCTCCAATCCTGGGTTTCTTAACCTCAGCACAGTTGACATTTGAACCTGATACCTTTTGTTGGGGGGCGTTGTAGGGAGAGAGGGAGAGGCCTGTCCTGTGCATTGCAGGACATTTAGTGGCATTTCTGGCCTCTACCCATTAGATGCCAGTACTACTTCCCTCTCCCTAAGCAGTGACGAATGAAAATGTCTCCAGAGATTGCCAAATGTCCCCTGATGGGGTAAAATCACCCTTGGTTGAGATTCACTGCTCTAACCCTCTATTCTATCCATAGTATAAATGGGTTCAAAATCAGGCAGTCCTGAGTTTGAATCCTGGTTCCATCACTTGTTACTCTGTGACCTTGAGGAAGTTGCTTAACCTCTCTGAGCTTTAGTTTTCTTATGAATAACGTGAAGTGAACAGTTTCTGGCTAGCAGAATCGTTGTGTGGGTATGAGTTTTAGAAGAGATTCAGACATAGTTGGGATTGTTTGACGATCTTTGAGAAGTTGGTTGCAATGACCCTTAGGAGTTTTTAAGAGATACCTGCTTCTCAAGGAAGGACTTGAATGCTTAGCAACAACCACAACAAAATATTTGTGTAGGGACTACTATGTACCTACCAATGCTCTCAGCACATTGTATACATTACATAAATTAAAGTAACTCATAACAAAACAATGGCTGGAGAGTGAGGAGTGATTCTGATATTTTGGTAATTTATATTCAGTCAACAGTGGTCACAGCTTCTACTCACTCAGGCGTGGGTTGTTAGGAGTGAGAGGACTGTCACTAAATGCTTATAGAACAGTTTAACTAAACACTATATTATTTGTCACCCAACTTTCACTGCCATGGACCCCTCTCCTGCCCCCACACAAAGGGTATGGAATCATATTCTCCTCTACCTCATCAAACTTCTCGGAAAGCTCAAATGGAGAGGGATGGTGAGCAGTGGCTGAGGAGTAGCAGCTCCCAGGAAGAGCACTCTTGGTGTTGCGATCTTTGAATGACGTCTTGGGCTCCATGGCGCAGCTGGACAGACAGATGTGTACAGATGGACGGCCGCAGCGGTGCAGCTGCAATGCCCAGCGGAAGCAGCAATGTTCAGCACTTCAGAAGTAGCACTGCCTTACCTGGGTGGCACTGGTGGCCTCTGGGGCGAAGCCGCTGGGCCTCCTGCAACAGTGATAAAGTCTCCAGCAACCTGTGGGGAAAGGCCTTGCAGAAGACACTCTGGAAACAGAACAATTCAGGAGGCCGGCCAGCAGTGAGAGGTCCCGCATCCACTGAGGTGAACAACAGTGCCGTGGGATGTAAGTTGTTTCAAGTATCAGATCCACAGACATTATGTACTGAGCCACACCACTTTTGGACTCTAGAAAATATATAATACATCTAGTATTGTGGGTTTCTTCCCTTTGTCCTTGAGACAGGTAGAGTGATTCTGAAGCAGCTGAAATCGCCCACCATCTTCACTTGTTCATAGGGCCAATCTTGCTTGAGAGAATTTTGTTCATTATTTCCATTGCCTATCAAGCACATGGCAAAAAACACGTATTTAGAAATGTTAAGTGATTTATACTAAGCAAGGAGGCAAGTGTATACTCTGAGTGTCACTTCACATTGAGCTTTGTTTTGAGTTTCTAACCTTCAGTGCAAAGATGACCTCAGTGACAACACTGTGACTCACGTTCACTCCTGTACTAAAGAAGTTGCCCTGTGGCCTCTAGTTGTTACAGTGTTCCTGAATGGCTTTAGAAAAAGTTAATGACTACCTAATGTCATTAAAATTAATGATCATACTATCAATAAAGTAATTATCAATGTCATTAAAATAAATAACAAAGGCCATGGCAGACTCAGCCATAGCATCTGAGCATTCACATACCTTTTACCCAGGTAGACCAGTGCAATTTTATTCAAATACAATGATGTGTCATGTGGTTGTTATGAATGCAGTTGATTAGATATTTCTGGCTTTCTGCCTTCTGGGTTCACGGTGGGACTGCATTTCTTGCTCGCCTTCTTCAGACTGAGCTGGTACCAGATAACTAGTGTTGGCCAATGAGTTGTGAGTAAAAGTGATGCGTGTTACTACCATACTATCATATTAAATTGCTGGTACAAAACCATTCAAAGATCTCTTTCCTTTTGCCGATAATGACCAGGCAGGGACTGCCTCATTGGGCTAGATCCTTCAGTGAGGGTGATACAGCACAAAACCTACAGCCAAGCCACAAGGGATGTATAGTACAAGTGAGAAATAAATCTTTGTTTTAGGCCACTGATATTTGGGAGGACAGGACTGTCACCGAAGCACAACCTCCCTCGTACTGAATGATGCATGCTAGGAATTACAACCCAGCCACCTCTCTCCTTTCAGTGAAAGCCCCAGAACAGCTCCAAATTCTGTAAAGCAGAATTCAGAATCTTTTATTTTTCACTCTTGCATCTACATCTAATTTCCACTGACCACACTGTACTTGCCTAGATCTTAGGGTCTGGGAAATTTTCCATTCTCAGTTTGTATCTACCCTACATATCCACATGTAAGGGAACATGTGTTTAAAGATGACAGAGACCCTGGAGCACATTCAGACCACTGGTGTTAGGAACCTTGCATTATACCTCCATTTGCATAATGATACCTTGCTAGGACACAGTGACTTCTGTTTACTTCACATAGATTATCTCATTCAATGGGCTGATAGTTTTAATCTGACTGGTTTGGTTTTCATTACAAAGGGAAAGATCACAAAGCCATTTGGTGTAAAAAGGCAGAATCCTTCCAGATCTTTTGTTCCCTCCACATGGTTCCAAGCCCATGCTTAAATGCAGGGTGGAGTAATGATACCAGACACTGCAACCCAGAGCCCCAGCAAGGGATCACTATGTTGTAGTATTTGGAAATCACTGGTGATATACACTCATCCCAAACCTGACCCCAACCTCCTCCTTCTAACCAGGTAGGTAGTCCAATTTAATCTCTCATAACATTCATGATCAAAATGAAAATGTATATACTTTTGTCCCTAAGCTAAAGAGCTCACTTAAGAGATTCATAATACAGGCCGGGTGTGGTGGCTCACGCCTGTAATCCCAGCAATTTGGGATGCCGAGGCAGGCAGATCACCTGAGGTCAGGAGTTTGAGAACAGCCTGGCCAACATGGTGAAACCTCGTCTCTACTAAACATACAAAAATTAGCTGGGCATGGTGGTGGCGCATGCCTGTAATCCCAGCTACTTGGGAGGCTGAGATAGGAGAATCGCTTGAACCTGGGAGGCAGAATTTGCAGGGAGCTGAGGTAGCACCACTGCACTCTAGCCTGGGCAACATAGCAAGATTCTGTCTCAAAAAAAAAAAAAAAAAAAAAAAAAAAAGAGAGAGAGAGATTCATGATATATAGTCCTAGAATTTGGAATTAATCTGATTGAACAGTTTCCAAATACTGATCCACATGCTGCAAGTGCAATTTCTTCTTTCTTTTGCATTCTTCCTTGCTTCCTCCCTCTGTTCTCCAGTAACTATTCACCTCTTCCCTTTCTTGCCTTGCTTCTTCTCTTCATTCCTGTCATTCATATTATGGAATATAGTTTTCTGGGCCACAGCATGATTTGAAACATGGGAGGGTGATCCACTTGCCCACCTAGCACAGTGTCTCTTTCACAGGATTCTTTTTACAAACAATTATTTGGCCTTTGTTTGAAGAGTCCAGTGCTCCTAGGTTTTTAAAGGAGCCCATTCTACTTGATATTTTTAGTAGTTACATAGTTTTCCAGTTTTTAATATTAACAAATTGGCAAAAGCAAGCAGGCTATTCTGTGTGAGACTCATCTGCCAAGTAACCTCAGTATGTCACTTTCCAGGAGCAAATAGTTCATGCATCTCCCACTCCCAAGTAATGATTCTCTGATTTTAAAAACCACAAGGGCTCAATGTCTGAGACTACTGCTAAGGGTTTTAGTATGCATTTTGCATTTCAATAAACTAATAGGAAGTAGGCTCCAAATTGGATGTGGTATGCAAGAGAGGGCAAGTTTTGAAGTTCTAAGAGCAAGACAGTTGGCAGCTGTTCTCTGAAGTTCTCTGCTTCATCTCAGAAAGGGCTTTTGGATGGCCTGTGACCATACAATTCCACCAGATGATCTGCTCACTGGCCTGCAAACAACCTGGCCTCTCCATCCTCAATATTTAGCTCCTGCTATTCCCTGTGCCTACAACTTTCCAGAACTTTTCCTGTATTATTCATCTGGGCTTCCGCCTTATATTAGAATTGTCAGGCCTCTGAGCCCAAGCCTGCACGTATGCATCCAAATGGCCTGAGGCAATCGAAAACAACAAAAGAAGTGAAACAGCCAGCTCCTGTCTTAACTGATTGACCAACCTTAAGACATTCCATTATGACTTGTTCCTGCCCTGCCCCAACTGATCAATCGATCGACCTCATGACATTCTTCTTCTGGACAATGAGTCTTTTATGATCTCCGCACCATGTGCCTTGTGACCCCCCTCCTCCGCCAGCAATAGATAACCACCTTTTACTGTAATTTTCCATTACCCACCCAACTCCTATAAAGCAATCCCTTCCCCACTCCTTCACGGACTCTCTTTTCGGACTCAGCCCACTTGCACCCGAGTGAAATAAACAGCCTTGTTGCTCACACAAAGCCTGTTGGTGGTCTCTTCACATGGATGTGCTTGACAAGAATATCAATATTTTTGCCTTCACTTCCTGCTCAACTTCATAGCAATACTAAATTGTTATCAATATGAAAGCAAGAACTACATGTGACTTATTTTTTAAAAATCTTCATCCAATTTCCAACACAGTGCCTTGGGTTCAAAATGGGCTTTCAGGGCGGGGCACGGTGTCTCATGTCTGTAATCCTGGCACTTTGGGAGGCTGAGGTGAGAAGATCTCTTGAGGCCAGGAGTTTGAGACCCACCTGGGCAACATAGCAAGACCCTGTCTCTACAAATAATTTTTTAAAAAAATACCCACACACCTGTAGTTTTATATACTTGGGAGCCTGAGAAAGGAGGATTGATTGAGCCCAGGAGTTGGAGGCTGCAGTGAGCTATGATCACATCACTGAATTCCAGCCTGGGTAACAGAGCAAGTCCCTGTCTCTTAAAATAAAAATAAATGGGCTTGCAGTACCAGAAAAAAAAGGGCCATTACAGTTTGTGACCTAATTCATTCAAAGGGGAGGTCACTCACAATAGGAATTTCACACAAAAGAAGGAAGCACCCCATCACACATTGTAATTGAAAACTGTGGCTCAAGAATCAGCTGGACAGTTTGCCCTTCTAAAGCAGAAATGTTTAGGCAAAGAGGACAAGCTGATTAAAGAGGCAAAGAGGACAAGCTGACTGAAGAGGCAAAGAGGACAAGCTGATTGAAGAGGCAAAGAGGACTGCTGAGGAGTGATGGAGGAGGAAGATATGTAGGAACTTCCCTGAAGCCCTTATGTCACTGACTTGCCAATAAATTGGTTTAAACAACAATAACAACAACAACAAAAGCAACATGTCCAGGCCTAAATCTGATCCTTCCCTCAGACAGACAGTCACAGCAGCATGTAGGCTGGGAGGCCCATTCTGTGCCCTCTGGTATGACCTTAGAGGGCAGGATCAGCAATGAAATCCTGGCTAGAGGAAACAAAGACCATGTGTAAACAGTTCACCTCCACTCCTGAACTACAACACTGTTTGACATAGTTTAAGAGTGACGTTGACCTTCTTCTGCTGGCTCTGGAGCTAGCCAGGAAAAACAGCAAGAAAGGAATGAGAGGAATGAGAGTTAGCAGGTTACTGGTCTGCAAGATGTCCTCAGGGGGGTTTGGGGTTGGTGCAATGGTGAGGGCAGCCAGGGAAGTTCCTAGGCCTATTGTCTTCTGCCAGTGCCCCTGCTAATCGCTGAGAAAACTCCCCTGAGCCACATGCAACGATGAAGTAGGTAACAAATCATCCACATCTCTGCATAAGGCAGTTTTGCCACTGAAGGTGTTATTTTTTTACAGTTGTCTAGTTTAATATCTCTTTGGTAATGACGGATGTGCAAGGAGTGGCAGGAAACTTTACCTAATGGTGGCAGGACAGGGTGAGTGTGTGTGTGTGTGTGTGTGTGTGTGTGTGTACATATCCACCACCCCCAACACATGGGCCCCTCGAGAGCTTCCTCACCTCTCATTCTCCTTTTCAGAAAGTTCTAGACCTGTGAATAGCACATTATGCTATGTTGCTTTATTGTATCACTGTCTATAATGACATAATTCACATACTAGCTAAATCTTTTAGTAATTCAGGATAAGCCTTTTTCTCCCTAAATAGTTGTTAACATCTGGAAGGCTTTACAGCCTTTTCCAGATCTTTTGTGCCCTTTCATGCATGGCATAGTTCTGGGCATATGGGGACTACTCAGCGGATATTTGTGAATAGGCTCATTAAGCAACTTTATTACCTGATATTGATAGAATTCTATAATTTTCACTACACTATGACGTTGAAATGAATCCTAAGGGCTTATAGCCAAATCGGGAGAGACTGTGCACAGCAGTCCACTTCTTATGGCATTCTGTGTGTGCGTATAAGTGGACACACCAGGCCGCGCTGTTGAGTAGATGCGCAGGGGTGGCTGGATGGACTGCCTGGTGACTTTTTCCTTAAGCACTCAACCGAATTGTCTAACTCCTAAGTGGGTGATGAGGCAGGAGAACAGTGTCTGGAGGCAGGGAACCTAAGGCTGTTTCACGCTGACTTCCTAGAACTAACTTGAAAACCCTAACTTTCCACGCCTAAGTAACAAAAGGACCAGAGGCTACTCCCTTTGACCTTTTCTGCCGGGCAGATGAGAAATTGGCTGTCCACCACAAATCAGACTGATTGCAGGTCTAGTCTTTTTTCGCATAGAAATATAACTTTGTAACTTCACCTTAGCCTCTGATTGGTTGTTTTTTGCAACCAATCGGATGTTTGCACAGGAGTGTGACCTTTGTAACTTCATTTCAGTCTCTGGTTGGCTGCTTTCTGCAGCCAATCAGAGTGATTGCCGGCTACCGCTTCATTTACTTCAGGTGAGCATGAAGTGGCCAATGGGAAACTTCTAGGGGGTATTTGGACCCAAGAAGATTTCTGTGTCTGGGCCCTTGAGCCACTGCATGGGTCCGCTTCCACACTGTGGAGTGTACTTTCGTTTTCGATAAATCCCTGCTTTCGTTCTTTTGTTGCTTCATTCTTTCTTTGCTTTGCTGGGCATTTTGTCCAGTTCTTTGTTTAAAATGCCAAGAACCTGGACAAGTTGAAGTCACAACCCTCTACCGGTGACAGTGGCATATGTTTAATGTAAACACAATGTTAATAAGAACTAACATTTATTGAGCACTTATTATGTGCCAGACACATCCCAGGCTCTTTCCATTAATTAAATCCTTGCCACAAACCCTGTTGTTATCCCTGTGTTAGAGAGAAGAAAGGCTGCCCAGCCCCTGACTTCTTGTGAGGTGCATGCCTGTCTTTGAACCCAGGGAGCCTGGATACCGAGCCCCAGCTTTTAATCCCTGAGCTGTTGAAGAAAAATACATTTGTTCATGTTCGTATGTTATCTCTTGATCTGTCTCGAATAGATATGAAAAAAAATTTTTTTTATTTTGTTGTGCTCTCTGACCATAGTGTCAAGCAAGTATAGGGCCAATGTTGGGCACCGGCTTGGGATGTAGAGCTGTTGTTCAGCAGCTTGAATCTATGCACACAGAAAGCATGCTCAGAAAGGAACATATTACCCATTAAAGATGAAATGAGGCTAATGGACTGCTTTTGGGAAAAGATGAAATGTGGTCACAATGAAAGAATAGGGGCATGACCATAATTAATGAAGTAATAATCACTTTTGAGCTTAAATAAGACCTAGTTCTTTGATTACAAGTGCTACCATTTGAAGAGAGCTGGCAGGGCCCCTTGGCCTGTGGTCAATATTAGTAAAACTGTTTCATCTTAATGTTGCAGTTATGCTTGATCAATTTATCTGCCATTTCCAAAGAACTTATGAGGTTTTCTTCTTCCTGTCTTTGTGCTTTCAATTGGTTTTAATCAGAGGCGAGATGCTGATTCAGCTTCTAGTTTGAATTTATTCAGCTGGTGCAAAGATTCCGTGACAGGATTGCATTTACATTTTTATCACTGTCTCTTAAACCTGAATAATTTATCCTGTTCTTGCCAACCCTCCCCCAGTCATCGTACAAAACCAGAAAGGAGTTCTTGCTTTTATAATCAAACTTATTTTGGATGTGCCTGGGTTTTGTCATGGACTTCTGACACCCTCTCTTTTTCATCAGGGCGAAGTTTACAGGAAAGCATTTTCTTTTCTTCCTGCTGATTAATTCAGCTTAGATTTGTCAGAGGTTTATTTGTATGGACTCCTTGTCAAAGCATGTGGATTCTACAACAAATTAACTGGTTATTAAATTAAAGATTTCTGGTTAAGAATCTGTTGTGTACCATGGAGTCTTCTTTCCTGGACAATTTCACTATTTAAATGTGGGAATGATTGTCTTGATATAACCAACAAATTATGTTCATGGAAAGAAATGTTTCCCGTCATACCAATAACTGAGATGTTACTGGTTATATATACATATACATGCTCAGGCATACACTGGTGTATCAGACCTGAATAAAATTATTCCATCTCTTTGTCTGTTAAGAAAAAACAGAAATGAATAAATGCATGTCCATGCACATGCACAGCTATTCAAGTCAAGGCATTTTAGTGTAGGATGTTAGAAATACATGAGTGTTTCCTCGAACTGGAAAAAACCCCACTTAATTTATTATTTTATGAAAAGATTCACCTTGGGGCCCATTAAAGAGCTCCTTTTGTATATTTAAAATAGATTTTGAATTACCAAAACCTTAAGAATTACTCTGTCTCTTTAAGGGATCTGCTTTAGGGCTAAGGCATATTGGGATTTATGACTCTAAGAGTGGTATTAAAATATTCAACTGAATGTTAGCTGATATGTTTCCTTCCCCACCCCAGGCTGCAACTTTCCCAGGGGATCTGAAGCCTGTAGCACATTGGGCTGTAGAGATTTTAACTTCCCAGTTCTAATAGGTTTCCAGATGGAAAATTATATTTCTTTCTGGGAGAGATTAATGAGCGAACAACAATGGTGTCATGGTTAATTTTATGTGTCAACTTGGTTAGGTTATGATGCCTAGTTGTTTGGTCAAACCCCACTGTGGATGTGGCTATGAATGTATTTGTGGGTGTGATTAACATTTAAATCAGTAGACTTTGACTAAAGCAGATTCCTTTACTCAAATAATGCAGGTTAATGTGGGTAAGTCTCATCCAATCCTTTGAAGGCCTGAAGAACAAAGAGTGAGGTTTCTGGAAGAAGAAAATTTTACCTCAAGCCTGCAATGTAGAAATTCTGCTTGAGTTTCCCGCCTGCTGGCCTGCCCTGTGGAATTCGGAGTCAAGAAGGTAATGTAACTCTTGCCTGCATGTTCAGCCTGCTGACTTATTCTACAGATTTCAGACTTGCCAACTGGCACAGTTGCATGGGGAGTTCCTTAAAATCTCTCTCTCCCTACCTTTTCCCATCCCTCCTTTTGTTCTGTTTCTATGGAGAACCTTGACTAATACAAATGGCAGTCAGTCTTCCTGCTCAGCACCTGCTGAGAAATGATACACCTTGTGCCAGCAAAGAAGGCTGGGGTCTCTCCCCTCAACATACTGTCTTTCCTTTTAATGAAAATGTTTGGTGTACTTTTCTGTTGTCATATCTAAACTGCAATTTGTAGCAGCTGATTTTCAGTGGGAAATTGTGAGATTTTTTGTCATTTCCTAGGACAAATCCTGACATCTTTGAACTCTGTTCCCATACCACCTCTTCCATGAAGCCTTCCCTGAGAACCCTCCCCATCACTTTCCTAAGGCTGCATTGGGTTTCCCTCTTCTATGTTCCCATAGTACCATCTACATGGATGTCCTTATCACTGTGTTTAGCATGCTGTATTATAAATATTTTATGTATGTCTTTTTCTTTCACTAATCTGAGCTCTTTAAGGCTGGGATTAGATTTTATGTTTGTGTCCTTGGTGGATAGCATAGCATCTGCCTAGAGTGAATGAAAGGAAGGTTTTCTATTAATGTTTCCATGTAATCTCTAGAAGATTCTCTCTAAAATCCTGGGATGGATTGGAAAGAGCATAAACATTTAAGTCAGATAGAAAGGTCGGGAGTTGGAGACCAGCCTGGACAACATGGCAAAATCCCATCTCTACTAAAAATATATATATAAATTAGCCAGACATGGTGGCACATGCCTGTAGTCTGAGCTACTTGGGAGGCTGAGACAGGAGAATCACTTGAACCTGGGAGGTGGAGGTTGCAGTGAGCTGAGATTGCACCACTGCACTCCAGCCTGGGTGACAGAGTGAGACTCCATCTCAAAAAAAGAGCAATGTCCTTCTTCCAGTTACCTCACTTTCTAACCAAGAGCTAGTCTTTCAACTTCTTAGGCATTCCTTTTTGATTCTGTAAAATGGAAATGATAAATTCTACCTGACTTATTGGATTATCTTAAGAATTAAGTGATGTAAGTGATCTGATATTCCAGTAAATGAGAGGTGTTATTTCCTCCTTCTACATCACTAAGCATTTGTTCCAGAACACTTATTTTAAGTTCCCTGAAGTTGAATCTGGAAAACAAACCAGTGATCTCTGGCTGTGCCCTAAGTTCCTACATCTTCCTTTTCTTACTAAGAAGAGGGCATGGGCACACTGGGTCCTGACTCAGCTCTTGTTCAGAACAATCTCTCATTCCAACTAAAGAAGGCTCCCTGGGGTCTCTCACTTGGGCCACCCAACTGAGTGCCAGCAGTGTCTAATTTTCAAGGCAGAGCAATTATTTTGTTTGCTCTCAGAGATCCCCTAGATTAGTGATTCTCAATGTGGTAATGATTTTGTCCCCTCAGGGGACATTTGGCAATGTCTGGAGATATTTTTGATGCCACAGCTGGGGTTGGTGAAATGCTACTGGCATCTAGTGTGGAGAGCCAGAGATATTGCTCAATATCCTACAATGCACAGCCCATCCCTAGACAACAAGGAATTGTCTGATCCAAAATGTCAATAGTGTTGGGTTTGAGAAACTCTGCTCTAAGTAATACAAAATTGACACTTTTATCTTCAATACACAAAGGAAGACGAAACAAGTCACAACTATACATCAAAAGAAAATTCCCTAGTAAATGTATTCATCTGCCTTTCTATTTCCAGACTTGACCACTACTTATTTATTCTCACTCTACACTAACATCATTATCTTAAATAATAGAGTTGTGTTACTGTAAAGCTAGGTGATATGAAACAAGGCAGCAGCTGTCTTTGGCAAGTCTGGCTCTGCAACTTTCTAGTCATGTGACCCTGGGCAAGTATTTTAACCCTTTCGATGCTCAAGTGCTGCATCTATAGGATGGAAATACTAATATTATCTATTTCACAGGAGTCTTGTAAGCATTAACTGAGATAGTATATGAAGAGTGCTTTTGCACCGAGTGAACCTTCAATCAACTGTACTAGTTTGTATGCCTGGAAGAGCTGCTATATGGGATCAGAAAGAAAAATAAGGTATGGTGATTGCTCATTAGGTGAAAAGTACAGCCTGGTCAGGGGGCACTCAGTGATCACCTGTGGGTGTCATTGTATGGACTTGCCTCCTATGTCCAACACAGTGAGGATGCGTCATCTCTAGAAAAGGGAGATTTAGTCAGGTGAGAGCCACATCAGTACAGTAATATTTTAAAGGGCTGAGGAAAAAGGTAGAACATGTAGAAAATAATTCCTTTTTCCATTCCTATCACCAGCAGCACACCCACATTCCCGTATTCTAATGATACTCAAAAATCCAGAGTGGGAGATTTGCTTAGTAATAGAGTCAACATGGTGTTGTTATGGAAAAATATTTTGTTCAATCAGCAAAAATCACTTGTCAGTTAAGCCTCTGGAACCATGATCCGGTTACTGATTGACACTGAGTAATGTTTCTCTTGGGCTTCTGGACAAGATCTGAGCTGCAGAGTAGGGCAGTCATGTAAATGTGCCTAATTGGTCAGGGTGAAAAGCTGTGAGCACTCAATCTGTCCTGGGGTTTAGGCTTGCCCAAGGGCAATTATAGGCAAATTAAAGGACAATTTTGTAGATAAATGACATCAGGAGTACATAACACTTGTCTGGTAACACTTGTCTGGTAACACTTGACTAATAACACCTACTCTGTATCAAAGCACAAGATGGATAGGATAAACTCTGGAATTTTATTTTTGCCAAGGGATTATTGTTAATGCTCATCATAATTCACAGATTGTCATGCCTTTCTTTTTGTTTGAGATATGTAAAAACTGTGGGGTGGTGAAAATAATCAGAAAACATCTAAAGTACTTAAAAGAAAAGGAGACTCTAGAAACAGGTTCCAATGCAGAGCCAAATTACACTTCCATATTTCATGCAAAAATCCAGTTTACTTCATTTGGACCTCTCAAACAAAAAACAAAACAAAACAAAAAAACACAAAGAGACTATATGATGGCCAGGCAGATTTGAAAAACATCCAAATAAAAATAAAAACTACAATCGTCAAAGTTAAACACTCAGTGTATTTTAGACACAGATGAAGAGATTATTATTTATCTGAAAGATATGTATGAATAAATTACTCACAATGCAACACAAAGAGACAAGGAAAGCAGGCAAGTGTGTTAAGGAATATGAAGACATAATGAGAATATATAATATACATTCAATAGAATTTCTGAAAGGAGAAGATGGAGAGAATGGAAGAGATTCAGTCTTTGAAGAGATAATAACTAAGAATTTTCCAGGACTGATTAGTGTATTAGTCTGTTCTCACGCTGCTATAAAGACATACGCAAGACTGCATAATTTATAAAGGAAAGAGGCTTAATTGACTCATGGATCAGCATGGCTGGGGAGGCCTCAGGAAACTTACAATCATGATGAAAGGCGAAGCAAACACGTCCTTCTTCACATGGCAGCAGAAAGGAGAAGAATGAGTGCCCAGTGAAGGGGGAAACCCCTTATAAAACCATCAGTTCTTATGAGAACTAGCTCACTGTCAGGAGAACAGGATTAGGGAAACTGCTCCCATGATGATTCAATTATCTCCATCTGATATCTTATTAGTTCTGTCCCTCTGGAGAACCCTGACTAACACAATCAGCAAACAACATTGATAGACAAAGGAAACACAAGAAAGACAAATTTAAAGCATACATAAATGAGATACATTGTATTGAAAATCTAGAACTCCAAGATAAAATCAGCCAGAGAGAAGACACTAAACTAAACTAAAAATGTGGGAAATTTAGACGTCAGAAGACTTCTCACAGCAACAATGGAAAACAATACTCAGCACAAAAATATCTCCAAAGAGCTAAGACAGAAAAAAAAAATTGTCAACCAAAAATAGTGTCCCCATCAATACTGTCTTTCAGAAATTAGGGCACAATAAATGCATTTTATACAAGCAGAAGCAGAATTTGCCACAATAGAACTTCATTTAAAAACTTATGAAAGAGGTATTGCAGGAAACAGAAAAATATTTTTCAGAGGGAATATCTGAGAAGCAAAAAGAAATAGTGAACAAAGAAATTGGCAAACATGTAGAGGTATTTAAACAGTTGATTGCGAACCATTCCTGCCTATTAGATACAATCACCTGAGTATGATTCTGATTTAAACAGCCTGGGTGGATCTCAAACATCAATATTTGTTAAAAGCTTCCCAGGTAAGCGCAATCTAGGATGAAAATCATTGATATTAATAAATCTTGTCTGAATTAAATTATATATATAGTATATATGTAACATATAAATACATATACAATGGTAATAATTACTGATGTGTGGGGTTTTAAAAGGACATATCCAAAATAGTGAATATCAAGCATATAAGTCAGGAAGGGGTTATGGAAGTTAAAATATTCAAAGACCCTTACTTTGTTCACAAGGATATCTAAAGTATAAATAAGCATTTTAAAGCTAACCGGGCATGATACATGTTAAAGGTATCTGCTTTAAAAATATTAAGTTATAAATATAAAGGTAAAATTGGAAAAACAGACGACATAGCTAAGACTAATATTCAATCTAAAAAAAAGACTGGGGAAAAAAACAAAGGTATAAAAAAGGAAACAAATGAGAAGTAAAAAGAAGACGGTAGAAACAATTCCAAATATAGTATGTCAGCAATCTTGCCAATGTGGCTGGACTAAATCCATCATTTAAAAGACAGAGATGGCCAGGCGCAGTGAGCCACACACCTGTGTACTTTGGGAGGCCAAGGTGGGGGAATCACCTGAGCCCAGGCGTTCGAGAGCAGCCTCAGCAGCATAGGGAGATCCTGTCACTACAAAAATAATAAAAAATATTATCCAGGCATGGTAGTGGGGCCCTGTGGTCCCAGCTACTTGGGAGGCTGAGATGGGAGTATTGCCTGAGCCTGAGAGGTCAAGGCTGCAGTGAGCTATAATTGTACCACTGGACTCCAGCCTGGGTGACAGAACAAGACCCTGTCTCCGCAAAATAAATAAATAAATAAGACAGAGACTTTCAATACTAGAGCTTTAAAAATATACAATGATACTCTTTACAAGAAACTCATCAGAAACATAAGGACATGAAATGTGTGAAAATCAAAGAGTGAAAAATGATGTAATGGAGAAAGACATAGCAGAAAAACTAATAACCACAATAAAATTTTGGTATACATCCAAAATAAAAGTAATTATCAGCAATAGAAAGAGTTACTACATAACAATGAAAGGATTAATTCCACTACATAACAATAAAAGGATTAATTCCATAAGAAGATTTAACAATTATGATCTTATATTTAATAAACCATGCTTAAAATAAAATTGATACAAATGTGTCATCATGAGATACTTCATATATCTAAATTATTAATTGGTCAAGAAGTAAAATAATATTAATAAATAATTACTTGTATTTTCAATGTATACCAGAGTTTTCTTTTGGTTATTAGTTTTGCTGCCATGTCTTTTTCCATTATTTCATTTTTCCTTCTTTTATTTTCAGACATTTCATATCTTTAGGTTTCTGATGTGTTTCTTTTCTTGTAAATAGTATTATTGTACATTTTTGAAACTCTAGTAATGAAAGTCTTTGTATTTTTTATGATGGTTATCATAACAAGAAGTATAGAATATTAAAACAAGGTTGATTTAATGGACATTAAAGAAAATTGTATCTAAAAAGTAATAATAAACATTCATTTGAAGCACATGTGAAAAATTTATGAAAATGGACCATATTGCAGGCCATATTAAGAAGTCTCAACAAATGTTTAACACGTAGATATCTATAGTTCATCTTCTCGGATCCAAGTGCAATTAAGATAGAAATGATTGGGGCTGGGCATGGTGGCTCACACCTGTAATCCCAGCACTTTGGGAGGCCAAGGTGAGCAGTGAGGTCAGGAATTCAAGACCAGCCTGGCAAACATGGTGAAACCCCATCTCTACTAAAAATACAAAAAAAAATTAGCTGGACATGGTGGCAGGTGCCTGTAATCCCAGCTACTTGGGAGGCTGAGGCAGGAGAATCGCTTGAGCCCAGGAGGTGGAGGTTGCAGTGAGCCAAGACTGTGCCACTGTCCTCCAGCCTGGGCAACAGAGGGAGACCCTATCTCAAAAAAAAAAAAAAAAAAAGAAATGATTAACAAAAAAAAAATTAAAATATATGCATATATTTATTAATTTTAAAAATTCTAAATAACATGAGTCAAAAAAGAGTAATAATAGCATTTAAAAAATTCTTACAATTAAATCATAAGAAAGCAGGGAAGTGTGTTAAGGAATATCAAGACATAATGACAATATCTAAAATACATCCAATAGAATTTCTGAAAAGAGAAGATGGAGACAATGTAGAATGAAAATACTACATATACAACTTTTAGCATCTAGTGAAAACAGTGCTAAGAAGAAAAATTATAGCTTAATATAATTATATTAGGAAAAAAGGTATAAAGTTACCTTAGGAAAGTTATATTAGGAAAAAGGGTATAAAGTTTTAGCCACTTAAGTAACTGAAATATAAAGAAGAATCCAAAACAAGTCATTATCAAATAAAACAGAATAAATCTCCGCTAGTAGAAGAAAGAAAATAATAAATATAAGAGTAAACTTTATGAAACAAAATTTAATCACACAAATAAATAAACCAACAAAGTACAACTTCTCTTCTATTAATGTTTTCAGAGAAACAACTTCTGCCAAGATTGAGAATGAAAGAGATGGCAGAAATAAAAATATTAGAAATGAAAAAGGAACATAACTATAGACATAGCAGAGGTATAAAAAATAGATAAGAACATGAAAAAGTTTGTGGCAAAACATTTGGAAACTTAGATGTAATGAAAAAAATCCTCAAAAAAAATTATTACAATGGACTCAAGAAGAAATAGAAAGCCTGAACATTTCTATAAAAATTTTTAAAATGCAATCCATTGCTAACAATAATTCTGGGAAGAAAACACAAGCCCAAGTTACTTTCTAAGCAAGTTTTGCAAGGCATAATTTAAAATAATCCTCAATGAGTACAGTGTGCACCCTACCCAATCTGAACAGATGTAAATTTTAAACAGTGGGTACAGGTAGGCTTATGTGTACTGAGTATCAGTTCCAGCATTTCACAACTTCCAAGAAAATGGTCTCTTGTAGGGATTATAAAAGAGAAAATTTTCCTTAATTCACTCTATAATCTTGATTCCAAAATCAGACCAGACAGAAGAAAAAGAAAAAATTACAGATCAATCATGCAAACATTCATATAAAATTGTCTACACAAAACATTAACAAAATAAAGTGAATGGTATATAAACTAAGGTATAGTATAATAAAATTAAGTTTACTTCAGAAAACAAAAGTAGTTGTTTCACACTAGAAATTTAGAAATCTAATTCATCACATGAACTGAACATCAGAAAATTATATATAACCATCTCAATAGAGGCCAAAAAGCATTTGATAAGATTAACACATATTTCATGGGTTTAAATATAATTATACATGTACATATCCTATATATACACATATGTATATATATAATCATGTTATGAGAATATCCTTATATAATTTTATAAGTATATTTTAAGTGTATATAATTTATGTATATAATATTTACTTACATAAATACATGGAGTTAGGTATAAATTATATATACACGCATATATGTATACAAATATACATTATATACTTATATATGGACATAGCTATGTATAATTTTAATTATATATAAATATACATAAGGATATATGGTAGGGCAAGTTCAATTACTGTATGCTTTTATTTGGGGAATGTCTTGGCTATTCCTGGCATTTTGTTCTTCCAAACAAATTTTAGAATAAACTTGATGATAAGTTTTTAAAAAATCATTTAGGACTCTTCTATGAGAATTATACTAAATGTGTAAATCTCTTTGAGGAAAAATTGCATCCTTGTGATATTTAGGTTCTTTATTCATTTAGATTGTTTTTCAGTTAAAAAAATTGAAAACATAAAATATCTTTATTTTTCCTATCCTTGAGATATGGAAGAAACATTTTCTTTCGTTTTTTTTTTTTTTTTTTTTTTTTTTGGTAAGAGACAGGATCTCAATCTGTCACCCAGACTGAAGTGCAGTGGTGCAATGATAGCTCATTGCAGCCTCTAACTCCTGGGCTCAAACAATCCTCCCGCCTCAGTCTCCCAAAGTAAGAATTTCTTAAATAAGACACAGAAAGGTTAACCAGAAAAGAAATGATTGATACACTTCGCTATAATAAAAATAAAATGTCTCTTTATTAAAAGATATAAAGAAAGTGAAAAGCCAGCCATGTATTATAAGAAGCTATTTTATTGATACGAGAATTAACAAAAGTTTAACCATTGAATATATGAAGAACTTCTACAAATATATGAAGGAAAATGTAAACAACAGAGAAATAAACCAGCATCTCACAGAAGAGAAAATACAAATGGAAAATAAGCACATAAAATGTTTAGACTTACTAATATTCAAAAAATACAAAGTAAGATAAAAATAAAATACCCTTTTATAGCTTCTAAATTGGCCATATGAAGAAGTCTGGTTGAGGAGAAAATAGGTTAAAGGAACTCATAAGTTGCTGATAAGAGTTTGCTTTGGAAAACAATTTGTCATTCCTTGTAAAGTTGAATATTTGCATACCCTAAGACTCAGTGATTTTACTTTTAGGTGCATACGCCAGAAAAAAAATACTTGCATATGAGTACTAGGAGATGCATGACAATGTTCACGGCAGCAGTATTCATGGCAGTGAAAAATGAAAAGAACTGAAATGCCCATTGATAAAAACGTCTACTTATTTGTGTCATCTTTGCACAGTGGAATTGTGCGAGTGGAAATGATTGATCTACAGCTAGGAGAAGCAGCAGAGCTCAATCTCAAAAACATAACGTTGTGTGGAAAAAGCTAACCTCAGAACACTTTGCGGTATGTGATGCCATTATTATAGTTCAGAAGTTAGCAATAGCACACCACTCCTTTATTGTTAAATATGTGTGTCACAAAATTATCAAAAAGGCAAATGAATTATAGCAACTGAATGGTTGGTTACCTCTGGGAGGTAGGGGAATGGCATAAGAAGAAATACATAGGTAGATAGAATGGAGTTCATAATGGTTTAGCTCTTAAATTGGAATGAGGGTACCTGAGTTCATTTTATTATTATGTTTCAACGCTTACAGACCTTATTTGGCATGCACTGGACATATATAGATATGTACATAAAGAAATAGCATAAGCCATGTTGTTGATAGCTGAGGCTGTAAGGAGTCTTATCTCCTACCAAGTGGGAGCACTGCTCTTTCTTGTTTAAACAGATTGGCTTTAATATAATGTCACTAGACAGCAGTTTCCAAATAGTTTTAATGAGAGTGGGCTTCAGTCATCTGAAACAAATCATCAAAATGAAAGCTTTGTAAAGAAGTTTCAAAGTAGATAGTGGAGGACATGCTTTAAGGAGACCCCAATAATCCACTCTTGTGTAATCCCCTTGAGTGTGGGTTTGTGACTTACTTGCAACCAACGCAGTGTGGCAAAGTTGTTGGAAGGACACTCCCTTGATTAGGTTGGTTTATGTTATGTAAAGTTATGTAGTTATGTAAAGGTGCTGAAATGTCACTCTTGTGATTATGTTTTATTATATAAGGCTCTATCTTAGCAAACCAGGAGAGAAATTCTCCTGATGGCCTTGAAGAAGCAAACAGCCACCTGGTTAAGCCCCTGTGGATAGTGCCAAGTGGCAGGAAAGTGGGAGCCACCTCTAGGACCTGAGGATTAAAGTCAGTAAGAGCTGGGACCTCACTCATGCAGACTCGAGGACATGAATTCGACCAACAACTTGAATGAGCTTGGAAGTGGATTCTTCCCTAGTCCAGTCTTCAGGTGAGAAAGCAGCCTGTCCAACACCTTGTTTGCAGCCTGGTTGGAGCCTGAGCAGAGGATCCAGGTAAACCGTGCTGGAACTCCTAACACACAGTAACTGTCAGATAGTAGAAGTGTGAGTTGTTTTGAAGTCGCTAGATTGGGGTAATTTGTTACACTGCAATGGATAACTAATACATGGATGTGTCCATTTTCCTACAACACAACACAGTGCTTAACTCATACCACTGTGTAAATGAATTTTGTGTGGTTGTGTGTGGCTAGATGGAGGAATGGAAAAAGTAAAACTAGCCCTCACCTCTTCAAACCCATCCCACCAGGATGCCGACCTAATGTTCCTGATAACAGAGGGAGACTCCTGTCTTGGGAGGTGGGTAAGGACGAAGCTAGATCCACGTCATGCTGTGAATTGCGAGGCATGGAAGAAGAAAGGGTCTGGACCTGGGTTGTTTTCTCAAGCCCTTAACACCTGAAGAAACATATTCTAAACAACAGGCATAGATTTATCAGGAAGTGAATGAATTTAAGCTTCAGAGCATTCACTTACAGCTGTTTCTTCCAGTGCCCTGGGATAGGACCTAACAATTTTCTATGTGTAATTTTGTATTAATTTCCTTGAGAGGGCCCTCATAAGACCCCGTAAGCTGAAGACTCCATAAACCCTGGGTCCATGTGCCGCTGATAAATTATAGGGAACAAGGAGTCTAAGGATTCTCCTTCGGGCCTGCAGAGCATCTAGTATGATGTTTGCTAATAGAGGTGTTAAATAAGTACTTAAATTAGATTGCTGGATTCCTGAGGGTTTCTCTTAAAAAATATTTCAGATCTAAAGATTTTGTTAATTAATACTTAAAAGTAGAATTATTGGTTGTGAACAATCATTTATAAATTGTCACAGTGTATAATTTTTACTTGTTGACTTGTGCATTTTTGTCTGTGTGGTTAAGCCCCCTATATCAAATATGCTATGTGAAATACTCAAGGTTTCCTGTTTCACTTCCGTTTTGTGGTTACTTGCTAATTCCTTTGGGGATATAGCACAGAGGCAGAGACTTAGACTGTGTCATCTACTGAGGTCCCATCCAGATTCAGGATCTTATGATTACTCTAGCCAGTATTTTCAGGGAATAAATTGTTTTGTGGAGGTGCAATATCTCTTCTAGTCCTGTTGGTATCATTTGATGATCTAGAACAAGTTCAAGTAAAAGCCAGAGGAGAAGCCTGAGCCATGAAAAACAGACAGAAATATCAGTCATAGTGGAGGTCCATGTTACTCTTGGTGGGTTTCTTCCCTTCTTGTCTTTGACTTGCTAGCTATTGACTTTGTATGCTTTTGCTAGTCCTTTGAATCCTAGTGTGTGGAAATTCTTTTGGTGGTCTTTATAACTATCTCCTCTTTTGGAGGTGATACACAATTACAGCCATACCTCCTTGACAATAATTTAATGAAAGCATTTAAATAATGTTGATTCCATAAAAATCATCCAGCTATTATTTCCTCTACCTTCTCCTTCAATCTGTCAGCACCAGAAAAAAGATGGGTCTTTGTCAAATCTCTGTTTTGACTTTCTTGCCCACCAAGTCCTTCCTGCTTTCTCATGTCTAAAAGTGTCATTAAAACCTTAATGTCTGGAAAGTGAGCTCCATTTTCTTCAGTATCTCCCAGAATCTCTGATCCCCTGCTGAGACAGGAGAGTTCCTTGACCCCTCGGTGGGACTTGTGACAAGGGTGTGGCTCGTTTACTCGGCTGCCACCCTCCAACCCCTTGTGGGAGCAGGAGTACACACGTGAGTGGGTGCAGCAGCTGGGGTGAGTACCTTTGGGCATTTGGCATAAACAAACCCCGTACCAGCCTGTGGCAGCATCTAGGGTTTGCCTGAGACCTCTGGAGCCCCAGAAAGCATATGTTACAAACAAGGCTCTTTCTTTTAGCTTTGCCATTCCTGGATGGCTTCAGTGTTAAACAACTCACTGAAGAGTCAGTGTGACAGCCTTTCTGGGTTCCTGCACCCAGTGCATCTTGAATTCTTTTCTTGTCCTGTGCCCAGGAAGAATCAGGTCACATGAAAGGATTGAAGGGTGGTGTATGCAGAGGATTTTACTGAGTGATGGGAGTGGCTTCAGCAGGATGGGGAGCTGGAAAGGGGATGCAGTGGGAAGGTAATCTTTCCCTGGAGTTCAACCATCCCCAGCTGAACTCCTCTCCAACTGTCCCTGGCTGAACTTCTCTCGACATTCAGATGCTTCTTCTTTTCTCTCCTTCTCTGTCATGCCACTCTGTTCCTCTGCCAGTGGAGCTTGGACTTTTTGTGCGTACAGGGTAGGGGGCACAGTGGGCCAGGGTGGTTTTGGAAAAGACAACATTTGGGTAGGAAAACAGGAAGGTATGTTGTCATTTAGACCCACAGGTCTAGGCTTGAGAGTGGAGCCCTTGCTAAGGACCCCGCCCTCTTCCTCCCAGTCTTTCCCTGCCTCCTGTCCATATCACTACCCCACCATTCCTTTGAGCTTTTGGGTCACTGCACAGACTACTTACTTAAGGCTTTGCATGCTTAACTTCTACCTGTCAGCCTCAAAGTCAAATCCAGGCTCTTTGTTGGAAACCACTCAGGGCCCTAGAAACTTATGAGCATATCTTGTAGGCACTCGGGCTTTAGTTCCCAGGGCCTCAGGCCATACACTTGTCTCATATGGACTCTTCTGCTACTGCTAGCATTTCTGTAATGTGAATTAATGTATACCATTGACATATGGGTGAATAATATCAGTATAACATGGAACAGTGGGAAGAAGGAAGAAAATAAATTAAAAAGTTTTCACTGCACTCAGGCCTTCTTCCTCAAGAAGTTCACCCCAGACGCTTGCTGGCAAATTGCAGTTGCTCTTTGGCCACCTTAAGAGCAGACCCAACAGCTCAGATCTCCATTATCATCAGCACTGCCCAGCACCCATCAGACCTGCTCTGAATGAAGGGCTGCCAACATGTCCACCAACTGTCATTGTGTATTTTTAATGTCCAGTGACACTGAGCGCCCAGTGATTGCTTTTGTTTGTGCTCTGGTCCCTAGGTAGGCTTTGGATAGAATCTCCTATCCTACTTTTCCATCAATCCTGTTGTTTGTAGTGTACAAGGGTTTTCAAATGCCTATATCATTGCAGAAATGTATCTCCTTGATGCAGAACTGACCCTCCAGCAGTATGCACTGATGCCCACAGGACCTTAGAAACTTTGCCTTGGTGCCCCACCAAACTTTGGTTTTCTAGTACCTTGAAATCATGGTGCCAATTCATGGTCCACATCTTTTGTACCATGTCTGCCACACTTGCACCCATCCACTGAGCCTGATGATCAGAGAACTTCATTTTCCTAATTTCATCGCTTTCTCACCTGTTTCAGGCTTTCCCACAGCTTCTCGACTAATGGGGTCATTGGTGTCTCTCTAGAAATGCCACTGTGCCTGAGTGTCTGGGATTATTGCTATATTTGCTTTATGGGGAGAGGCTGAAAAGCCCAGTACAACTATGCAGCTTGACACTGCCAATTTACCCCTAAATCTGTTAATGCACCCTGGAGCTGAAAGTCACAGGCCACAATTGCTCCACATTGAGTGGATAAACAAACCATAAATAATTCTGTGGACACATCGTAAACGTGGGGCCGACCTGTCTCTTCTAGCCTATCTGTCTCTACAGGCTAAAGGAGTAACGTGAGTGAGGGTGCCTCGTTCCCAAGGGCTTTAGGCAACAGGAAGGGACCAAAACTAAAACCAGAAGCTCCTCTTATGGGTGGAGTAGAGCAGCTGGGCTTCATCTTTGCCAAAGTCAGAACAAGAGGAAGGGGGCTGGTATAACTGAAGGAGGGAAAAGTTAGTTACAGAATTGAAAAAACCTGGACTGGATTCTAAGGGGGATGAGGGCCTCATTTTCTGAAAACACTTTAAAATTAAATCTTCTCGCCAATGTGTTTGTGTATAACAGCATATATGTGTGTGCATGTATATATGTTTACACCCTCCTCCCCTCCCAAACACACAAACACATGCCTGCATGACTAAGAGACTTTTATCCTCATCTGTTTAAAGAAAATTATGGGCAACATAATCTGGTTAAGGCCATAAAAGACTGAAATTGGCCTGAAGATGTGTTCTCTTCAGTCCACAAAGTTTACAAATTATTTTTTATATGAAATGCCTTTAGAAAGCAAGTGTACTGTGCATACTCTGAAGTTTGCTGTAGTCCCCACCACTCCCTAACGTCATACCTCACAATGTCTGTTACCTCTCTGGGATTGATAGCAGGATTTCTCAACCCAGTGCTGATGATTCTTTGTAGTGCTGCTTGTCCGGGCACTGTGGGATGTTTAGCCACACCCCTGGCTTCTACCCACAAGGTGCCAGTAGCACCCGCATTTACTGCCCATGGCTAGAAGTTTTCTGACAACCAGAGAGGTAAAGCAATTTCCTCAAAGTCTCGTACTTGGAGTAGTTCTATGATTTCATACTCCTGGCATAGTGCCCTTTCTTCTATAGTATGGATAGTAAATCCCCACATCACTTATTTTCACATTACATAAAGAATTCCCTGAGCTGCCTAAGCAGCATTTATAAGAGGTAGGTTACTTGCCGTTTTCAACATATAGTTTGTGGTAAAATGGACAGCTGTATAATTCTGAGGTGTTGACCCCCATCTCTAAACTCAGCTTTCTAACCCAGTTAAGTGGGAGAAATAGTGGTACCCGAGATCAAGCCTGTCTATACTTATATGGCTAGAGGATAGTTGAGGCTGGCATTATCTGATTGGTTGGTGCCTGTGACATGCCAGCGGTGAAATACTTTGAATATCACCCTGCCTGTCTTGTTGGGTTGTTGTGATGATTAAGTAAGACAGTCCAATTATGCTTGGCATATTGTAAACTCTCAACAGCTATGAGCTATTGTTCTTATTGTCCCAATTCATAATCAGGTAAAATAAGGAAGTCCCACCTACTGCTTTGACCTTATATGGCACCCCACTCCCCTTCCCTGCCTGTCCTAGGTACAGTGGCACATTCTTGTTTCTCTACCTTGGCAATTTGGGCCAATTCTTGCCTCAGGGCCTTTGCACTTCCTGTACCTTCTGCCTAGAGTGCTCTTACCCCAGGCTTTTATTTTGCTCCTCCTCGTTGTGCAGATTTCCGTTCCAATGTCACTTTCAGAGAGTCCTTTCCTGACTTCCCTCTATAAAAGAATCCCTACCTACCTATCCAATTCTGCATACCCTTGGGCTATCTGGACTAATATTTATTATTATTATTATTTATTATGTGTCTTCCCTCTTCTTCACAAAAGAGGAAGTTTGTCTTCTTTGCACTATAGCTCTAGCATTCTTTCATGTCATGGTAGTAGCAGAGAGCCTAGCGTACAGCTCAAGTGCTCAGTAAATATTTGTGCAAGGAATACATTAAGCATAAACCCTGGTTCTTATTCCAAGTCCAGGGCTGTTTCACTCCATTAGATATAAGCCTATCTAGAAGAAGATGAATAAGATTCATTGACTGAATGATGGATTCATTCATTGATTCACTGATTCATTCTTTAATGTGTTCATTGATTCACTTATCTATTCATTCACGTATTCATTCATTAATTTAGCAAACATATACTAGGTACCCTGTTGGGAATCTACCTACTCTGTAGGGAGAAACTCAAATGAGCGAATTTCAGTTCCTATTATTATTCTTCATTACCATATGCAAGCAAGCAGGAAAAATAGAGGCTCCCACCTATAAAGAATGAAAACATGTTTTTCCACATTAGCATTTCCCCAAAGTCTCTAGAGCCCATTGCCATAGAAAATTTCATACAGAGCCTCTACTCTGTGCCAGGTGCCATCGAGGCACCATGGATTCTGAAATGGATAAGGTCTGGTTCCTAGACCCAAGTTGGTTTTGCATCTCACTGCCTTATTCCATTGCTTATTACCTCTGGCCTGGACTATGGCAGAACTTCATATTAGAAAGCACACACACTTGTCTGTTGTTGGTCAAAACAGTTCAACTACTGGCAGGCCTCTGGGATGCAGTTTGCTGTGTTCTTTTCTATTTAACTACCACCAACTCATTCTAATTCTTAGGATTACCCTCTTTTTCAAGGCCATCTGTGAGCCAGCACACCACCTGCTCAACTCTTCTCTGTTGTGCCTTTTTTTTTTTATTATACTCTAAGTTTTAGGGTACATGTGCACATTGTGCAGGTTAGTTACATATGTATACATGTGCCATGCTGGTGCGCTGCACCCACTAATGTGTCATCTAGCATTAGGTATATCTCCCAATGCTATCCCTCCCCCTTCCCCCGACCCCACCACAGTCCCCAGAGTGTGATATTCCCCTTCCTGTGTCCATGTGATCTCATTGTTCAATTCCCACCTATGAGTGAGAATATGCGGTGTTTGGTTTTTTGTTCTTGCGATAGTTTACTGAGAATGATGGTTTCCAATTTCATCCATGTCCCTACAAAGGATATGAACTCATCATTTTTTATGGCTGCATAGTATTCCATGGTGTATATGTGCCACATTTTCTTAATCCAGTCTATCATTGTTGGACATTTGGGTTGGTTCCAAGTCTTTGCTATTGTGAATAGTGCCGCAATAAACATACGTGTGCATGTGTCTTTATAGCAGCATGATTTATACTCATTTGGGTATATACCCAGTAATGGGATGGCTGGGTCAAATGGTATTTCTAGTTCTAGATCCCTGTTGTGCCTTTTTTAAAGCATATACACCCTTTTCATTGTAAGGATTTTACATCTAAACATTATGTGTAAATAGATAAGAATAATGTAAGTAATGAACCATAGAGAATGCTCTGGATGTCTGTGGATCCTGACACACTTTCTTAGGTGATGCTTTTAAGGTCCTTTGTTTGCGAAGTCAATCTGGTTGACTTTCTCTACTGGGTGCTAAACAGAGGAGTTTTAATTTTGGGTTGGCAGATGGCTGTTTTTGTCAGATTCTCAGCCACTCTTAGAGCTCACATTCCGATGAACTCTCCATCTAAGTGCCTTTGGAGCTGTGCTCGCTTTGGTTTAAGAGGAAAGGGCTATTCCCCTTTTGCCTCCAGAAATGCTTCCCCTATAGTTCGTGCAGCTGTTCAACGACTTTACAGATACTTCCATCACCTTCTCAGCTCCAACTTCTGAAAGTGCACCTCATCTCTCCTGATTATCCCCATTGACCCTTCCGCCTTCTGAGAAGATGCAGATGCTAAAGGATAATTTTGACCAAGGTTTAAATGAGTGTGTGTGGGTAAGAGAGAGCTCAGTGAAGCATTCGGGCCTTGCACATGAAAGAAATATCACCCATCTAGGGCTTTAAACAACAGAATGTCTTGATGCCTGAGTGGAAATGCAACATCAGAGCAAACCCCATTACAGAAACTCAATTTGCCATCTAAAGGGATGACCACCCTTCCCTTTACAAGAGATTTTAGAGCCAATATTTGTTCCTTTACCATTGTACTCTGTGCAGTACACACAGTTTAGCAAGAAAACCAGATTCATGGCTTCCAGAGTGCCTGAGGATATAAGGGCTGAAGAAGTTCGCTGGTTCTCAGTGGTCATTCCAGTGTCACTGTATTGCTTTAATATCCCTAAACCTTGATGCTGTTCCAATATGGTCTTTTGTAAAGAGGGAATTGATTGGTGCTCAATGAAAACACTGAAAGTCCTTCATTTCAGGACTGTAAAAGAGACACACGACAGGACACTACCCGAATCTGCTTTTTTTTCTGTCCTGTTCATACACAGTCTCCACTCCCCAGACAGTTACTGGGGGTTCTCGCTGAAATTCATTCCTGTGTTCACCTATCAGTCAATACCAAGTCACCACTTAGCCTCAGTCATATTTTCTCTTTCCTGCTCTAGTTCTCCTGATCAGCATCTTCAACTTCCAAAGTCATGCAGGGGACTCTTAACCATACTATCACTAAGGTTAACCTCGATTTTAACACCAATATTTATGCCAAGGGGACCATCACCTTAAGGTGTTGGTTAAGGGTCGTGCTATGGCCTGAGCTAATGCAATGAAACCCTTCCCAGTGCTTTGTCACACATTTCAGCCAAACAGCATTCACAGAACCCTTTATGGTGGCAGCTTCCTTCGACTTTGCCTCTAATCCTTCTAGTCTTGGTCCATGAGGCCAGGTAGGATACTAGACACCATTTCCTTTTCTTCATCACCATCCAATGTTCACAAATACTTACTCTGCCCCTTTCAAATAAAAACGGAAGACCTCATGAATGTCAATTCCAGCCACACTCACACATGTCTGAATTTTCTTTAAGCACAGCCAATACCATCTGGACTGTCCTAAGAAAAAGAACACAAGTCTTTACCTTTATGAGATGACAGAATAGAACTGATAAGGGTCATCACCATCTGTCCCGGTGGGATTGACTTTGTCTCCTCGCCCACCATAGCTGTGGTCTTTCTTTTGCTCTTTAGTCCCTGGCCTGTCATCTTGGTTTCTTGAGATTTTACATTAATTCACAGCCTAAGCCCATAAAGAATTAAATGCAGGTCTTGTGTGATTTGGCCCCCACAACAGAGAATGGGCAGGAAGGCATCTATACAACTGTCTCTCCTTGAGACTTGGCTTTGTTCTGTTGTTAGTCTACCAGGAGTTCCCAACCACAGGCCACTGACCAGTACCAGTTAGGAACCAGGCTGCACAGCAGGTGGTGAGCGGCAAGCAAGCAAGCAAAGCTTCATCTGTATTGACAGCTGCTCCCCATTTCACTCATTACTACCTGAGCTCCATCTCCTGTGTCGTTTAAGCGGAGGCATTAGCTTCTCATAGGAGCGTGAACCTCATGGTGAACTGCACATGTGAAGAATCTAGGTTGTGCATTCCTTATGAGAATCTAATGCCTGATGATCTGTCACTGTCTCCCATCACCCCCAGATGGGACCATCTAGTTGCAGGAAAACAAGCTCAGGGCACCCACTGATTCTACATTATGGTGAATTGTATAATTATTTCATTATAGATTACAATGTAATAATATTAGAAATAAAGTGCGCAGTAAATGTAATGCACTTAAATCCTCCTGAAACCATCCTCTCCCTGATCCATGGAAAAATTATCTTCCACAAAACCAGTCCCTGGTGCCAAAGAGGCTGGGGACTGCTGAGTCTATCACTCAGCACTGAGGCAACTAGTGAGGCCAAATGACCTGCTGGCTAACAAGGGATGGTCAAAGAAGCAGGATCAATGCAGGACTGTCAGAAGGCCTCTCTCCATGAGAAAGTACATGGTATTCCCATATGTACACAGTGCTCTTTACTTAAATTCTACCCTTCCTTTCAGACCCAATTAGATGTCCTTTTTTCCCTCATGGCCTCCTTCCCTTCTCCTCTCACATTCATCCTAATATTGTGGATTTGCATTCTTGCTCCACAGTCACCTGCGAAATCAGGTGACTGATTTCACTGTGTCACCTCTAATAAGGTCCACATTTCTTGAGCATAAGCAAGGAGTCCTTTAACCACTGACCTCCTGCCTTGTTCTGTACCTCCTCCTGGTAGAGGCCTCATCATGCTACTGTTCAGTTCCATTTCACAATTTTGTTAGAAAGGACAATTCCTTGAAGCAAATGTGATAAATTAGCCTTATAAGAGTGTTTCACATCATTTTTATTAAACTCTATTGCACCCCAATTCATAAGTAAAAAAAGCAAAAAGGAATCAACTATTATTTTCCAAAGAAAAATGCAGTTATTTTTGTTACAATTTTGAATAGATTACCAACTTTTTTCTTTTTATCACAAAAATCTAATTTGAAGGAATGATCCTCATTCCTTTCCATAAAAAATCAGGATTTTAGTTATAGTCAGGAGCCTAGAATAATCCTAATCTGAACTTTTCTTACATCCCATCCTGCAGCTAGAAATATGATTTTCAAAAAAATACGAAGGCTTCAACGTTCTTTGTGGTGAAGAGACTGGAAGTGACACTATGGGGCTTGCGAGACATGACATCATAATATTAATTGCTTGATCGTATAAAGTGTCCTTAGTGAAGTATACAAGATGAGCTATGTCTGGCTCAAACTAGGGCTGAAAATACTGAGGATGTTCAAATATTGATTAGTTTTCATTTGTGTATTATTTACTTATTGTTCAGCTATTCAAAAAAATGATTTACGGCAAGAGATCGAATTTGGATTTAGTGCATGAGATAAAGACCTATGAGTTTATTTAACCCACAAATTCAGTATGATCCAAAAGTAATCATCTCATGGTGACTTGCCCCAGGAAGGACAAATTCATCTCCAGGTGCAGCATCTTGGAAGGGCAGACAGGGATGGAACAGAGAGGACAGTGACTAGGACAATGGAGGGCTTAGAACTTTTATCATATGAGGAAACCTTGAAGAGCCCAGGAGTCTGATATTAGTCTTGAGAAAAGTGAAGAGTAGGGATGGGTCTGAGAACTCCTGACTAGCAGAAAGGCCTATTGCAAGAGCTTTCACATGGACCAGGCTGCACTGCTATCTAAGGCTGAACCAGGACAGAAGCACAAAAGCTACAGTGAGGCAAATTCTAATGCAATAAAAGAAATAATAACTTCTAAACAAGGTTTTTGAACAGAGCCACACAGTTATCTTGTGATGCAGCATGCTCTTCTCCATCAGCAAGGCTCAGATGGGGGCTCTGTGGCCACCTGCAGAGATGTGCAGAGAGTTTGTTCTTTCCGGTCCTCCTGGCCATGGGCCAAGAAGTGAGTGAAGCCTGGGACTAAGCCAGCCTGAGTAGCACCTACTCCTAGGATAGCAGCCCTAAGAGGTTCTGTGCCAAGAAAAGCGATGCCAGCAGTACAACGTGGAGTGATGCTGAAGGAAGGACCCAGAGCCAGGTGTTTCATGACTAGGTTACCAAATGGGAAGGGCAGAGCAGACGGAAAGTAGGATGAATACGGTAGGGGTAGGTGAAGAGAGTGGGATCTGATTTCATGAACTCAGCACAGCTGCAGTGGCATTGTATCAGCACCTAAGTTGACTTGCTTCACTGAGGCAAGTGTGGTGTATTTTTTAAATCAGAGATCCACACCTGAAACATTCTTCCTTTAGTAGTAGGTCACATTTCTAACTCTAATAATCTGTAAGCCATCGAGTCAATATCCTCTTTGTGTGAATGTCCTATATATATTAATCTCATTATGATCAACAGAGACATGAATAAGCCAATGGCTTCATCCATACCCTTCAATTGTTTGTTTTGTATCTTCTCAACAAAGGAGCACTAGTTAAAGAGATACGTTCTTCAGTTCTTCATTTATTTGCCACTCTCAACTAAGGCAAATTGGCCCACTGTTCTGGTCTTCAGATTCATCATTATCCACAAAAAGAAGGTCTTTCAAGAGAAGAGAAACTTTAATTCCAAATCTAAAGTCCAAAAAAGGGCTACAACTTTCAATTTTCCTCTGTCACTTGCATATACTTTCCCTTACCCAAGGAATCATACTGTATGGTACATATTAGCTAACATTTTTTTCTTGGCCTCCAAGTGTATTCCTCTGGTTCTCAGTTGATGTTACAAGTTGCTGAACCATTTAAAACACAACTGAACTACTTCCCTAGCAGTACTGGCTCTAAATATCATGGGGCTCTGTAACATGGAGGTCAGACAAAGCACAAAGGAGATGATAGGAAAAGGGAGAGAACTTCAGAAATCTCTAGGTATGGAAATATGTCTTCAAGGTGAGAGCAATGTTTAACTCAAAATGACAAATTTTTATTGTGGATTCCCCCAAACAGAGTCTGAAATAAGACAGATGTGTGAGTGGTTTATTCAGGAATGTGATGCTGAGGTGCAGGAGTGAGGGGCGGGGAAAGTGAACTGGAAAGGAGGGAGAGTCAACCCAAGGATGCATCATTGAGTTGGTCACCACTGGAGCAAGTAGGTGCTTGACCTGTGGGACTATTTCAGAAGGCTTATAAAATGCATTTTAGAACCATTCACCTGCGGGGACAAAAAGACAGTAATTTCCATTTCCTGCTGGTCAAGGGTTACACCGTAGGTGTTAATCCTCTAGCTGTTTGGGATCATGCATAAGTGTTGAGGGGTTGCCACAGGCCTGCCATGCTGTGACATCAGGGAGCTTCATAGTATGAAGCAAGGTGAGTTGCTCTCAGGTGATTTATGGCTGAGGATTGATGAAGTCTTCAGAGAACTGGACACCAAAGCCTCGGGGGCATGAGAGGTGAAATAGGATTTGTGATAATACACAAGAGCTGTTAAATACATGTGTAACTCATGTTTCTCAACATTTCACCCTTTGGGGTCTGCAAATTGAGTGACCTCAAATTCACTGCTTCTCACTGCCACTCCAAAATTGTAACGCCAGCTGATAATCTCACATGTGCTCTTGAACAAATCAGATCCACTGGGGATTCCCCTGCTCCTCCTGGGGACTACTGGTCCCTCTGAGCACTGTTACCTCTGCTGGCATCACTTCACCTCCTGCTAAAAATTGCCAACTTGCCCCTGGACACTGTACTGCCTTTCAAATCCTTTCTCCTCTGCAACTTCAGTGCTTGGTTATTTAGCCAAACTTCTTATTGCCAACTCTTCCATTTTGATGAGTCCCTTCTCAAGAGGCTGTTCAGTCCCTCATGGAAATAGAGGTGAAGTCTCTAGGCACCCTGTTGGTGAACCAAACCTTAATTTAATGCCAGGGCTAAGCCTACATAAATATTAGCTTGAACATCTATTGTAAACATACAACAAATGTTGTTTTATGTTTGTTATGAGTTCTATTGGGGGAGGGATTTAAAATAGTTGGAGCTAGAAGTGGAAAATAGAGAGAGAGAGGCAGAGACAGAGAGAGAATTTTGATGCTCAGCTAGAAGGCAAAAGAAGTGAATATTCTAAGTCTCCTAAATTGTTCCTGTATAAATAACTATGATTACTTCATGTCATTTTCATTGCCTTAGGGGAAAAATGGGGTATTCTTGTACTGGACCACATTCTTCAAGTTTCTCCCCCACCTGCCTTTAACTAAGCCATTGTACTTGAGCTTCTAACATTTTCCAGAGAAGGTATTTCAGTGACTTTTCATAATTTATCTAATGCTATTAAACTGTGGTCACTATCTACAATTTCTTACAAATGATTACTCAAAAGCCTATGTGTTTTATCCTAAGCCCATTTCCTAGTCAAAACTCAACTGAGATAGAGAACAGCTGCTATATGCTATGTACCCTGTGAACTTTATAAATATGCTTTGACTCATTAACTAGGTGCTTACTACTCCCTGCATCTCAATTTCTCATATTTTGGAAAGCTAGGGATCAGTTGTTCCAAAGTCATTCCTTCTCAGGTGTAGCTAATCCCATTTCTAATGGAAATATAAGGAAAGGCCATTCACTAGTCATTTAACCTGCAAAAGCTCCTCCTCTCAGTCCCTCTAGTTCTGCACCGAGTGTCCTAAGGATACTGAGGACCTTTGGAGGTCCTCATCCAAAGGTCTTGCTGTATTCCTCATTGGAAGATGTAAGTGAGACAGAGAAAGGACAGAGGCAGGGAGCCATGACAAGGCAACTTCAGGGCCAAGAAGAAACTGTCATGAAAAGAGTGATAGGATGGAGAATATTGGAGGATGAGCTACAGTTCCCAAGTAAGTTCTTTTCCTGTTTCTTCATAAAAACACTGACTCCAGCTTAGCTGTTTTTGTCTGCTGATCCTGGTTGTTGAGCTTGTGGACACTGACAGACAGAAAGGGACCTGCTGGTGTCATTTTATATGGTTTGATGTTTCCAAACAGAACAATCCTTATGCACTTTACATAAAACACAGAAGAGAGGTGGTAGAAATAAAAGGGCTAGAAATAGAAGTCTGTATAATAATAATACCAGCTGACATGCATTGAGCACTTACTGTAGGGCAGAATCTTGCTTACTTGCTCCTTTGTTATCATATTAGTCTGGACCTTTTCAACTGCAAGTGATAGAACCTGATTCAAGCCAGCTTCCAATTTTTCTTGGCCTTGAATCCAGCAATGCCTTGATTTCCAGGTCCAGGTGATTCATGTAATATCAACTGGACTTGTCCTTACTCACCTTCCTTAGACTTCGCTTTCCCCAGTTTTCCTCTGTCTTCTCAGATGCTCTCTTGATGGCAAATTGGACACCAGTTAGTCCAGGCTTATGTCTCATCTCTATGGAAAAGTGGAGCTATTTCTTTGTATGGTTCTGACAAATTTCCCTAACAGGGTTTCATTGGCTGTGATGGTGTCCTGAGTCCATCTCTGAGCCAACTGATGGTCATAGGTGTGTGACATTCAGTTGGCCAGGCCTGAGTCTCATGCCAGTCCGTGGGGCTGAGAAGAGGAAAAGGTGGTGCTGAAGTGAGCCCTACTCAAACCACAAAGTCTGAGAGTGACAGGCCTGCTTCCCAATGCAAATTCAGTTACAGAAGAAGCAGGAGAGGACATATTAATTATTCAATTTGTCTAAGGTTGGAGACCAAGTTTTCAGAATCCATTTCCTCTATGGTACCAGTTTAGAGTTAGCTGAAAGAGGCACTTGTGGGAGATTTGAGATTGTGAGAGTTTCACAGAAGCCACTCCTCTCTAACCACTGTCACGGCCAGACAGTTACGGATGGATGCAGAGGCTCCCAGTTTGTTCCGAGTCCAGTTTGTCTCCTCCACTCTTGTCCCTGCTAAACAGCAGAACCCCAGGCCACCACCAATCACTTAGCTGTGGATCCACTGATGTGGTGGTGTCGGGACCCCCTCCCAAGCTTACCTTCAGTGGTCTCACTTCCACCGCTGTGTTGCTTGCTTTCTCCAGTTCTCCTGTAAGCTTGAACGTGTCCAGCCTCACCACAGACTCAGGATGCAGACTGCATAGTGGGCAATCCTCCAATACCCTCTTCATGCCTCCTTCTACATCTGTGCAGGCTCCAATTCTGAATAAAATCCCTTATTCCCATAATGTTTACAGCAGCTCTGTTTCCCTAACCAAACCCTAACTGACAAGCTGGACAAGTAAAGGTGACATGTTCAGGATACCCACTGCCTCTATTTCATATAGGAGAAAGCAGAAACATGTTTCCCCAGAATGACAGGGCCAGGATTTAAACCCAGGCCTGTCTGACCCCAAAGCCCAAGGTCTTAGCTAGCATCCACTCACCTGATGTGTACTTTTTATTGCTTGCTTCTAAATCATAGCAGATTCTACTCTCGCCTTTGAAGGGCCATAGGTGCATAGTAAGGCAGGATCTTTTGGTTTTCTGAGAAGAAAAGAACACAAAACAAATAATTTTTAAAAGAAGGAAAGAGACAACAGATTTAGATAACCCACTATTAAGTAGAACAAATGAACACACATATTCCACTGCTTGAGATTTGTGGAAAGCAGCCTGGGTGCCTCATGAGTTCTCATTTGCCAGAACGAGCCTTGGTGTATGCCTTTTGGGGCTGTGCTTCCTTCCCTGGTGGTTCTGTCCATCTGTGGACCTCAGCCTGATTTCTGCATATCTAGCTGTCAGTGGGAATGTCTCTAGAAGCTGGCCACAGCCACCCAGCCCAACCATTACACATTTTCTGTCCTGCGTGTACATGTTCCATTCATACTTGCTTCTCATACAGCTGGTTCAACATGTACCCCCCACCCCTGCTGTTTTGGGCTTAAAAACTGGGAAAAGGCAGTAACCTCCTTTCCTTAGACATGCTCATAAGGCCTGAGGTCATTGTGGGGTTTTCACCAAAGCACTCAAAGTCTTATCAGAGTGAATAGAATTGTTATTTCAAATAATATTTAAATCATTTAGTTTTGGGAGATTTGAATGGGAAGAGAAGGAAATTAAAGTGTTCAGGTTAAAAAGTAAAAAATGCAGATGGTTTTCAGAAACTATAAAGTAAGTGAACGAATGGAGTTAGATGTTGAAGAAACCCTCTGACATGCTGGCTCTAGGAGAACATAAATTCCACTACTAGAAGGTGGGCAGGGACTTGGTTCACTGTGTGCCTGTCCCATCAAGGTGCTCAAGGACAATGTTTGTGGAAGGAAGGGGTAAACTGAGTGAGGCTTGGACTCAGGAACTAAACAGAATTAAGAATAAGTAGAGAGGGTGTAAGGGACAGTGAGTAGCTAGGAGTTGGGATGTTCTTGGCAAAACAGTTCAGCCTAGTCAGAATAATGCAGCAAAACTACTGGCATATGGAAGGACTAGACTCTCACATCTTGATTCCCAGGCCTTGGCTAATTCAGGATGACCACAGGAATCTCACTTCTCTGTTTTTCTCTTCAATTAAATAAGATTGAATTAGTTGGTCCCTGAGAACCTTTGAGTTAGTTATGTGATTAGATAGAGTTGAGGAAAACCCAGAAAAGACCAGTACCCAATATGGATGTTGCCAGTGGCTTGAGGAGGTGAGAAGGAGGGCGTGGTACCTTTGCTGGGCTCCCATCTATCAACTCCATCCTGCCCATGCTCTTCCCTTGCTCTCTGCCCTCAAGGGCATGGGCTCTTTCTCTGCTTTCTGCTTTCCCCGTCTTTCTGAACCAGCTCTGCTCAGTGCCCACATTTCCTGGCAGCATAGTTGGCAGGCACCCTTAGGAGCACCTCTGAGCAGAGCAGATGAGGACAAAGGGGCATGGACCTCAACATGAGGCAGTGCTGTGCCAGGCCAGAGTCAGAGGGCAATTTATGCCCCAGCCAGAGCAAGGAGGTGGCACAGGCAAGCAGAATGCACTCCCTGGGTCCCTCTGGATGCCAAACAGCACTGGAAATTTTCACGAATGCTAAATTCACTTGCCACTTTACAGGAAGCGCTGAGCCTTGAGCCATCTTTCCTTCAGCAGTTCCAATTTTTTCCAGTTGCCTTTTTCCTTAGCCATCAGGACCATCTGCCCTTGGGCATGTGGGTCTAAATTGATCATCTTGTTAAATATCCAGAGACTCACACTCACACCTACACACGAGTGAAGTCACATGATCATCACCCACACTCCCCCATAGGCCAAAACACATTTGTGTACTTCCTGGCCTTGCCCCCTAAATAAATTTCTGGTCGTTGAAATTTAGAAAGAACCAAGAAAACTAATGCAGCCTTTCTTGACGTATGAATGCTTAAATTCAAGCCCCATCTTTTTTTTTTTTCTTTTTTTTTTTTGAGACAGAATTTCACTTTTTTGTTGCCCAGGCTGGAGTGCAATGGTGCGATCTTGACTCACCGCAACCTCCACCTCCCAGGTTCAACAATTCTCCTGCCTCAGCCTCCTGAGTAGCTGAGATTACAGGCATATGCCACCATGCCTGGCTAAGTTTTTGTGTTTTTAGTAGAGACGGGTTTTCTCCATGTTGTTTAGGCTGGTCTTGAACTCCCGACCTCATGTGATCCACCCGCCTCAGGCTCTCAAATTGCTGGGATTATAGGCATGAGCCACCACCGCGCTCGGCATTCAAAGCCCCATCTTCACCCAACTTTATCATTATTACTATTATCTTGTAAACTCATTACAGTGTTGTAATGAGTTTACATCTTGTAAGCTCATTTTGGCATTTCAGATTTTATTTTTCAAGAATTTCAGAGGAATCCATTTATAGAATGAAATCACGTGGCAGAGATTAGAAAGACGTGTAGAAGTACCACTCTCTGGATTATCATTGCTATTATTTATGGTTATCAGTGATGACAAATATAAAGATTGTGGACAAACAAGAGGAGTGGTAGAAAGAATATTAGACTTAGATTCAGAAGTCCTGGTCCAAACCCTTATTACTAGCTCTGTGGCCTCAAAGAGATAGTGTAACCTCTTAGAATTTCAATTACCTCTTTGGTAAAACAGGAATAACAGAATGTACCTAAAGGCTATAAGGTTTAAAAGAAATAATAGAGGTAAATATATATGGCATATATAGATACTCAGTAACATTTGAATGAACTTTGATTAATCCGTGCTTGTCCAGAGTTCATTAATCTGGAGGTTTTGAAAGCCTAACTAATCATATTTTCCTTCTTGGTGCTGTTTGATAACTATTGTTCAGAATGACATCTGTGAGGCATTGCAAGATTTTGGTGTGTTCCCTGAATAACCAAATAAAGACAAAACCATATGGTTTTTATGTTACGGGGATTACTGAGTTTCAATAAATTAGCATACAATAAAATAATTTTCATGTGATGCAATGCTCAGATTTCAGATAACAAATGCAGCCATTGAAACCAGAATAATCCAGTCTTACTGACACAATCATTTCCATGTAAGGAGCCACACCTGACAAACTCAGAAAAACAGCTCCTTTGTGACTTTTTGTGGAACTCTAGTGTTGAGGAGCTGCCAGGGGGAAAAGAAATGCCCTTTTCAGTCCTATTTAATTCCTTAGGCTCATATTCATCAAGATTCTGAACATTTTTAGAAGGGGTAGGCTTCTTCCCTCACATTCTCTACCCTAGTCATTTTACTACCTAGAGGCTATTGAATGAGACATGACACAATTGTTTAGTTTTCTCTGAGACAGAAACTGGGCTTTTCGTTGAGTTTAACACCCAACAATGTTTGTAGCCTTCATTCTCCAGCCTCTCATTTAAAGTCATAATTAAAGGAATGTCTTGAGAGGATTTTGTCCCTGGCTGCAGAGGTTTCCGACCAGACAGCCAGTGAGGCACTCAGTGGCTTCATCCTTACTCTCAAGTCTTCCTAGACACGGAGGGAGAGAGAAAATGCTTTTCTCACTGCAGTTTTTCATTTTGGGGGACTGATATGGACATACCTTCCTTTAATAAACATGCATTGAGTCTAATTTCCCAGAAGATAGCACGATTTACCTAAAAGTTTTGAATTCTTAATCAATTCCTCTTTTTATAAAACATTATAATATATTAGATTAAATTTTAAAGCAATACAAACTAGATATAATCAGGCATCTCAGAACTTTTACATATTTACTAAATCTGACTTAGATCAATATCATTTTCCTGGACTTGAATAGTTATAGTTCACCTCCCAACTTTGTAATTCTAGATCAGCTAAGTCAAATATGATAGAACTTAGACCTTCTAAGGTTGGGACTCAACAATATCATTCCTTGTAGTTCTTGTAGCTAAAAATAAACAACTTGCAAATCCATACTGTGTTATCTAGTCTGACAATCTTAATCTTTTACTTGGAGAATATAGCCAACATTTAATGTAATTACTAATATAATCATGTATCACATTGCAATCATGTATATATCTGACCTTCTATTATTTGTTTGCTCTTTGGCTCACCTGTTTTCCTCTATCTTTTTTTAATCCTTTTTTGACTTATAATGGATTAATAACATTTTTATTATTCCATTTTTTCTTCTATGAATATTTTTTAAACTATATTTTAGTGATTATCAGGGAGATTATGACATGTAGCCTTGATTTATTATGGTCAAAACAGACTATCACTTTTACCACTTTCTCCACAGTGCTAGAACCTTTTAATTCTACTTACTTCCCTTTGCAATGCATTACATTTATCATCAGTTTTAGTTTTACATATATAGTTGAACCTTGGACAATGCAGGGACTAGAGACACTGATACCTTGTACAGCCAAAAATCTGCATATGATTTTTGACTTCCCAGAAACTTAACTACTAATAGCTCATTGTTGACTGGAAGCATTACCAACAATATAAACAGTTCATTAACACATATTTTGTATGCTATGTGTTATATACTGTGTTATTCCAATAGAGTAAGCTAGGGAAAAGGAAATGTTATTAAGAAAATTCTGGCCAGGCACAGTGGCTCATGCCTGTAATCCCAGCACTTTGGTAGGCTGAGGCGGGTGGATCACGAGGTCAGGAGATTGAGACCATCCTGGCTAACATGGTGAAACCCCATGTCTACTAAAAATACAAAAAATTAGCCGGGCACAGTGGTGGGTGCCTGTAGTCCCAGCTACTCGGGAGGCTGAGGCAGGAGAATGGCATGAACCCAGGAGGTGGAGCTTGCAGTGAGCCGAGATCGCGCCACTGCACTCCAGCCTGGGCAACAGAGCGAAACTCTGTCTCAAAAAAAAAAAAAAAAAAATCTAAGGAAAAGAAAAGATATTTACTATTCATTAAGTGGAAGTGGATCATCATGAAGTTCTTCATCCTCATCACCTTTGCATTGAATAGGCTAAGGAAGAGGAGGAAGAGAAAGGGTTGGTCTTGCTGTCTCTAGAGTGGCAGAGGCAGAAGAAAATCCATGTATAAGTGAATTTTCATAGTTCAAACCTGTGTTGTTTAAGGGTCAACTGTATTTGAAATGACAAAATATTGCAATTATTGTTTTGAAGAATCAATATTAATTTATATTTGCCCACATAGTTATCTTTTCCAGTGTTTTTTATTCTTTCCTGCATTTTCATGTTCTCTTCTGGAATGATTTTTTTTTTTTCTAAAGAACGTTTTTTGGTCTTTCCTGTAGAGCATGCTTGGTCATGACAAATTCTACTATTTCTTTTCCTGAAAAATATTTTTCTTTCAGTTTAAAGTGTCTTTTCCCTGGGTATAGAATTATGTTTGGTATTTCCTTCTTTCAGTACTTTAACTATGTCCTCTGTCTCCTTGTTCCATTTTCTCCTGGCTTCCATCATTTCTATTGAGAAGTCAGTTATAATTCTTATTGTTGCTGTTTTGAGAATACTTGTCTTTTTTTCTCTGGATGCTATTGAGACGCTCTCTCTGCTCCTGTTTTTTCAGCTGTTTGGCCATCATGTGCTTGGATACGCTTTGGTTTGTATTTATCTTGCTTGAGTTTCATTAAGCTTTGTAAATCTATGTGATCATCACCAGCTTTTGAAAATTCTTAGTCATTATGTCTTCCAATATTGCTTCTAGGCCATTTCCTCTTTCTGCTTTTTCTAAAATGCCAATCATATATACATTAGGCTTTTTGACATGTTCTGCATGCCTCTTACAGCTTTTTGTTCCTTTTTACTTTCTTCCCCTCTCTGTACCTCAGTTTGGAGACAGCAAAATACTTGGATCAAAAACACCTTAACTGTTGCTAAGTCCATTTAATGAGTTCCTAATTTCAAACATTGTACATTTTCTTTCCAGAATATATGTTTAATGCTGTTTTTAAAAATATTCAAATTGCTAACTAAATTTATCCATACTTTAATCTCTTCTGTCCACTTTTTCCTTTGTTTTCTTGAAAATATTAATTGTACTTACTTTAGAATCCTGATCTTCTAACTCCAATATCTGAATTATTTCTGGGTCTGCCTCTATTGTAGAATGTACATTGCTTATAAAAGAACCACAGATGCTCCCGACGAGATGAACTTCTATACCAAGAGTGGTCCCCTTTGTTCTGTTAGGCAGAAAGGGAAAGGGTCAGTCATTAATTACTTCAATATAATCAGGAATTGAACTAAACCTGGCCTGGGTTTCAGTTGTAAAACCCAGTTCTACCATAAAAATAAGGGTTGGGTAAAACTATCTGAAAAATTATAGAATACTTTTGAAGGTTCTAAACTAGATTGCATGAGGGCTCTCTTATTTTTAGCTTATAAAACCATCCTTAGGTGAACAAGTTACAGATGCTGATGCAATAAAGAAAAGAAGGTAACATGATTGTATACATTGATAACATGATTTCATTCCTTTGATTTTCTTCTGTTTGCCAGGTATGGCTCTTAAGTGTGTGATTGAGAGCATTAGTCCTGAAAATGGTGGGAGATTCAGTCCTTACCTTCACAGACTTTCAGTTTAGCTCTTTAGCCTTACTTTCCACGCAAATTCTAAATTTGGGAAATGTCTTGAGGTAGAACCCTGCTCTTATGGGTTTTTCTTAGCACCATGTGTAAAATTTTATGCTTTAAAGATTTCTATCTAGTTCGTTCGGCTTTCTTACACACCCAAAACTAGGTAAGTGTCCCATATGGCCATGCCTTTGAAGTCTTGTAAGTTTTCTAATGGGTAACTTTAAGTCTGTGTGACTGCCAAAAGCTTTACCTGTTTCTCTTTACTTCTGCAGGTGCCCTATGTCTTAGATAAGGCAATTTTCATCCCACATCTAAAATTGTCAAATGCTCCCAACTGGAAAAAAAAAAATGACATGTTCATCAGATCACCTTGAAATGGTTTTCTTTCTATAGCTTTAATTTTTCCAGTTCTCATTGCCTCCAAAGATCTCTGATTCTTCAAAATTGTGACTTTTTTGAGTAATTTGTATGGGCTTGTCTGACTGTGGCTGTGGGAACAATAATCTATTACATCCTACCCAAAAGGTGAAACCATAATTTTTTGAAAAATGTTCTGATTGGTTGACTCTGGTCAGTATACATTTTTTTTTTTTTTTTTTTTTTTTTTTTAGATAGAGTCTCTCTCGCTCTGTCACCCAGGCTGGAGTGCAGTGGTGCAGTCTTGGCTCACTGCAACCTCCACCTCCCAGGATCAAGCAATTCTCTGGCCTCAGCCTCCCCGGTAGCTGGGACTACAGGCATGCGTCACTAAGCCTGGCTGATTTTTGTATTTTTTTGGTAGAGACAGGGTTTTGCCATGTTGGTGAGGCTGGTCTCGAACTCCTGGCCTCAAGTGATCCACCTGTCTCAACCTCCCAAAGTGCTGGAAATACAAGGGTGAGCCGTCACGCCCAGCCAATAATTCTTACTATAATTAAACATTCATATGTTGACTTTAACATACATATGTTGACTTCCAACTCTTTTGGACTTTTAATCTATATTAGACCTGTAACAGATACCGTATATGGGGTAAACTATATAACATAAACTCTTATGTAGTGTTTTTCCATATTGAGTCTGCATCCCTGCACCTTGATACTTCAGAAAAATGAGCGTTGAGTAAAACTATCTGACAAATTATAGAATACTTTTGAGATTGTATTCTGGTCTGTCTTATTTTTAGCTTATAACTTTACTAAGTAAAACCATCCTTAGATGAACACGTTGCAGATGATGCAATAAAGAAAAGAAGGTATACATTGCTACATTGTATACATTGATAATATTGTTTAATTTTTACAAATCAGAGGTGACCTCAACAGTTAGATCTAGCCCTCAGTTAATATGGAAAACAAGTTCAAAACCGAAATGATCATAATTGGCTACAAGTTCCAAGTTTCCACTCGCTTCTGTCAACTTACTTTCAAGTGAAGAGTAAATTAGTTAATTTTGAGATTTGAGGGAGTATATTTTGGCACTATTTCAACCTGATAGATTCCCTAGGAACTGGGACACCCCGCATCGATCATTAAACAGTAGTATTATTAAAGCTTTCATTATGTTTTTTCTTTTAGCAGACAGGTTGAGCAACTGGTTGGAATATTTTTCAATTCTAAATAATCTTGTGCAAAAGCTTCCTAAGAAGCACTTGGTAAATCAGTTGAGACCTTTTCTGTGCTGGAATCTGTCCCAAAGTCCCTAGTATAGAAACCTCTGGTTTGCAGATGGCAGGCAAAAGACCTGGGGGAAGCTACTCAACTTTATCTTTCTATCAGGATTTGGAGCTTATACGTCTGCTCTCAAAAACTTTTGCAAACACCAACTATTCACCAATGAATGCAACTTTGAACTGTTTGCTATTCAAAATCTAACAAAAGCTTGGCTGACAAGGGAGATTCTAAATTCTATGTTTCGTTCAAGTTTGCTTAGCTGAAAGAATGGGCATTCTGAAGCTGTCTTTTTTATTTGTTTACTTAATAATAATTGTGTCACTTTTGCTTTGTAATGCCAAGAAACCCAGGAGTAAATTTGAACTCTTTTATTATATTTATACATCAGTTTTCTTCTTTGTCATGGTCTAGATTTTCTACTTTTCTATTTGTCTTTGTTCTTATTTGGTCTTTATTTTATTGTTTGTTTATATTTGTGCTGTAAGCTACCTCAAGTTCTTCTGAGCATCAGATAGCATATAAATACATACATAAGCTAAATGTAAATTTTCTTGAATCTATGGTGTCTCTGTATCTCTGTGATCCCAGTATGTTTTGAATGTTATTCCAATGGTACAAGTATCTATTTATCCTAATCTGAACTCTAGTAAAAAATGCCTGAAAATTCCCCTCTGAATGATCAAGAAGAGGTTCTACAATTTTGTGAGCTTCTAGCTCTCCTAATTCTTCTTTCTCTATTTCTGCCAGAATTAGTTGTTATGGGAACTGTGGTTTGGGGTTGTTTATAACTACAGCATACTTGGCCTAATCCTATTTAATACAGCGACCAAATTTATACAAATCAAATCTGTGGCCATGATAGATCTGGTGAACTGAAACAGAGATTCGGGGTTATCATGATTAGGGGATTAATTACAAATAGGGCTCAATTTGCAGGAAGATCTCTTTCAATAGCCGCAGAAGGGGAATGGGAAATAAAGGTAATAGTCTAGAATCTGTTAGATGCTAATCTCCTAAGAATCTAAAAGATGAGATTGACCAGATATAGGAGAGGATTTCAGCAGAAATTAAAGATGCTTTTGATGTGAAGCATCTTCCATAATGAAATCTGGACCATAAGGAGTGATCCTTGGAAACCAGATGCCAAGTTTACCCGGAATAAACATAAGGACAAACTTCCCATTTCTGTGCAAGAACCAACAGCAGTGTAAGGAAGAGAGAACCACAGTGGCCTCGCAGAGGATCAGGGGAGGCACCTGCAGCAGCAGATACGGGGAAACTCCTCCCTTGAAAGACTTGTGGGCAACACTTTGCCATGAGGAGACTGAAGCAGAAAGGGACTGGTTTCTGAGCACAAGTGAAACACCACCTATGTCTCACAGGATACTACGTGGGATTGCTCTGAGAAGAGGCTGCGCTGTAGCATCAGCAGCAGGTGTGAAGTCAGTCAGAGTGATGTTACTAATGTCATTGGTAAAGATTAGGTTGAAGGCATCTTCTTTCCTTCCAGGGTTTTTGCCAATCAAATATACACAGAAATACTTGAGTCAAATGGGATGAAAACACCAGCTTTGTTATCCAGATGATAAATCTTCCTGGAAAACTGATTTGGGGACATACATCAAATGGGAGGTCAAAATTGGGATTCCTAATTACTTACCCTTAGAACTGAACTAATTGGCCCCCAGTATGACATGTCTACCCCACTTTCTTACCCAGACACTGGTGGAAAAGCAAAAACAGAAAGAGGGAGGATTTCCTGGCTTGTTCACTTAACATGTAGACACTGTCAGAGTAAAGTGAGTCCTCCACAAATCAGGAAAGCACACTAGAGAATGAATGTTTTGCTTTTGAGGCAAAGTAATCTTACTTAGTAGCACAGACAATACTGTCTAATGGTAACCAGGCCCACCCTCACCAATTAGATACACACTGTATCTATTTTTTTTTTTTTTTTGGACAGCTAGTAAGGAGCAGAAAGAAGGTGTTAACAGGTGACAAGAGTTCATTTCTCTATGGGCCAAGGCAGTCACTTGGTTAGAAAAAGAGAAAGCTTCCTTTGTATATGAGCCATTGGCTGGTGGGCCCTCATAACATCTGGCATATAATTAGAGAAAGGCAAATCTTTTACACAAAGTATTTACAGGCCATGTCTATGGGGACAGTGGCTGTAGGGTATTTACTAAGTCAAGAGGGCAGTAGCTAGCCTAACCATGAGCAATTGCACAAGGGTGCTGATACGGACAGGAGACCGAAATACTGGGTAGAAGAGGGTGGTTCCCGGCAAAGGCCCCACCCTCAAGCCTGAAGACCGTGGCACTAAATGAGGACAGGCATTCCTGTTTTCGTGCCCAAAAAGTTGGCTTTTGGCCTGCCATGTCCCCTATTATGCACCCATATAAACCCCGAAGCCCGGGCTCCAGAAGCAGACCAGCAAACCAGCAGACCAGCAGGTGGACAGCCAAACGATGCGGCAGAGAAAGAAGGAAGAGGAGGAACATCTGAACACCGAGAGGAGTTCAGCTGGGGGTGGTTGGAGAGGAGTCCAGCCACTGGGCAGCCCAACTCCAGGGGAAGATCATCATCCCATTCCATCCCCAGCTTCTGGGTTCCCATCCATCTGACTGAAAGCCAGCTCCACCACTCTATAAAACCTCACATTCATCCTTCAAGACTGTGTGTGACCCAATTTTTCTGGGACACTGGGCAAGAGCTTGGGCTACAGAAAGCTGTCACACTGGCCTTCTGCCCTTGTAAAAAGGCAGAGGGTCCACTGAGCTGGTTAACACTCAAGCTCTCTGTGGACAGCAAAGCTGAAAGAGCTTTGTAACAGTGGGATTGCAGCACCCATCCCTAGACACTACCATGGGGCTGAAGCCCAAAGCACTCACCCCAGCCTCTGCACCTGCCTGCCTGCTCTCCCTCCCACAAGGGGTTTCAGCAGCAGGGCGACTGAACGGGTGGGCCACATCCTTGTCAAACATCTGGTGAGGGGCATCAGGGAACTTTCCCGTTTCAGTGCCACACATCTACCTGGTGTAATCAAAGCCAGAGTGGTCAACGTTGGAAAGTCTGACCTCTGCTTTTCACCTGTTGCCTTCCATCTATGTGCTGTCATTTTTTCGGACTGAGTCAGCCTTTGTGGTGGAACTCTCTGAGTTGTCAACACAGCCATCTCATGGAAGTGGCTCTCAAAGTCACCTGATGGGATTGTTAATGGAGGAAAGCCTTCTGAGGCCACCCTATAAGTGCAAAGCATGGAGCCATAAATAATCCTGGAAAACTGGTTTGGGGACATACATCAAGTGGCCAAAATTGGGATTCCTATTACTTACCCTTAGAAGTGAACCAATTGGCCCCCAGTGTGACATGTCTCCCCTGCTTTCCTACCCAGACACTTTCCTACCCAAAGCAAGCATGGGGATGGGGGCTACACGTACAATACAATAGGTTCTGGATATCTGTGGCAGATATATGGCAGGTTTAAAAAAAAATCACTCAATGTAAGTCAATGAAGTTACATTAAATTGTTTCCATAGCTCTTGTAATAAAGCCCTACTGAGAAGCAACCCCCTCCTCCCAGATTCGGTTCATATATAATAAATGAATACTGTGATACTGGGGTGCAGGAGAGAGCTGTATGGCTATTCAAATTCCTGTCCTAGAAACATTAAAAATTACCCTGTGTCTTTCAGGGTTTCTAGCAAATGGATGCAGCCAGGGATTACAGATCTATGAGTGATAAGAATGGTCTATCAAATCTCCTTATTGAAAGAAAATAAGGAGGCAGGGGGACAGTGGTGACATGACATGGGAGGGTCAGCACAAAGGGGCCCACAAAACAGATATCAATTCATTCCTCTTTCCAGTGCAATGACTGGATCCCAGAGACTATGTGGTTGGTATCAGGGGAGGTCTTGGAGCAGGGCCTCCTGGACAGGGCCAGGTAGATCATCCTCTTGCCTGTGTGAGGGCAGCTCTGAGCTCCACAAGGCAGATATTGCAATGGTGATCAAAGGGAAATGCTTTAGGTGTCTTTATGGCCAAAAATACATACTCCACAATACTTCTTTCTCTTAAGTCATTTACTATTATTGTGTGGACTCCTCACACAATGCCAATCACTTGTTAAAATTTAAACAATAATGATCATTTAGTTGTTTTGTCCACTTGAAACCCAAAGGTAAATCTGGCTAATGCTGCCTCAAAATGGGCCAGGCATTTATTCGGTCGTTGTTGTCTTTGGGATGGCTTTGTTTTCTGTTGATATTTGGTTTCCCTTAGTTTGGTTTGGTTTAGTTGGACCTGGTTTGATGCTGGTATTTGGGTTCACAAAGCCCATTGCTCTGCTGTCCACTCTTTCCACACGGAATCCTTCTGGCTGAGGCCTGTCTGAACTGCCAGTGCAGGCCCTGGAGCCCTGACTCTGTACCTCATAGAATCTGTCTTCTTTTCAGGAGAGCTAAGTGTTAACATTGTCCTGAACACATTTGCCTTTCAAGAAGATTAATGGAGTTCAGTGTGCAGCAGATAAGCTTGCCTGGGAGGAGCAGGCGAGAGCTAAGCTGTGTCAACACAGCCTAAGGGCAGGAGAGAACCAAATTGATTACTCAGATACTCTCCACCTCTCCCTCCTTCCCCCTTCCATTTTCAATTCTAATACAATTTGATGTCTGTGTATAAATGCCAAGATAGATGGGGAATAAGCTTATGAAATGGCTGCTTGAAGTGCTAATCCATAAGAAATGCTAAAATGCACCCAGAAATGCAGCAAAAAGGATAAAATTGGATTTCCCAGGAGGGCATTCCATGAAGTTGTCAAAGATTATGAGGACATGCCACACTGGGGGAAGGGCTGCAGGTGCAAACAGACAATGCGAGACCCCCAGGGGGCCTGTGAGAGGACTGATGACTGCTAAAATTCCTTTCTGAGGAGGGTGAATCTGTTGATGCTATCATTCATTTTCCAAAGAAAAAGTGCAGCAAATTATTTTGCAAGGAGGGAAGTAGAAAGCATCCAGCAAGGGTCACCGTCCTCCACCCTTTCCCCATGTAGCAGTGACTATCACCTTTCAATAAATTAGAAAATAAATATTTAAAGGAGAATACCAAAGTGCTATCCTGCTAAGGGCAGCTGTATTAAATTGCCTCCAGTGTCTTTTCAGCCTGGAGGCCTTCTTGCTTCTGTAGTGGGTGGGGACAGCTTTCAGACAGATCTGTTTTGACCTTTCCTATAACAACAGCCTCTGCAAAGTTATCATGGATTTAAAACTCCTCCTTACTTGGGATGCCTCCAGTTGGTGTCTCTCTGTTTAAATGACCTAGAGATAGCAGACTTCAGGGAGGTTTCTGGTTCTCTTGAATTTAATAAAAATAGAGATAGATAGCCACTTGCTAGCAGTGTGACCTTAAAGAAGTTACTGAACCTCCTGAGGCTCCATGTTCTCGTTCAGAAATGCATTATTATCTCAAGTTAACAAATGTAAATTATCTCAATTACCCATTTTTTCAGGATTGTCAAAGAATATTAGTAATGTCAAATTATTAAACAGATGTTAGCTACTGCGAATACTACTGCTACTACTAATGCTGATAATAATGAGAATAATAGTGGTGAATTTGCCAGCATTGTGGAACTTATCAAAATTGCACAGGACAATGAGCAATAGTCTTAGGCAGGGGTCCCCAGCCCCCAGACCACAGACTGGTAATGGTCTGTGGTGTGCTAGAAACTGGGCAGCACAGCAGGAGGTGAGCAGCAAACAAGCATCATCTGAATTTACAGCCACTCCCCATTACTTGCATTACTGCCTGAGCTCTGGCTCCTGTCAGATCAGTGATGGCATTAGATTTTCAAAGGAGCACAAACCCTATTGTGAACAGTGCATGTGAGGGATCCAGGTCACGTGATCCTTATGAGAATCTAATGCCTGATGATCTGTCATTGTCTCCCATGACCCCCAGATAAGACTACCTAGTTGCAGGAAAACACACTCAGGGCTCCTGCTGATTCTACATGATGATGAATTGTATCGTTATTTCATTATATATTACAATGTAATACTAGAAACAAAGTGCACAACAAATGCAATGTGCTCCAATCATCCTGAAACCATCCCCCACCCCACTGTGTGTGGAAAAAATTGTCTTCCGTGAAACTAGTCCCTGGTGCCAAAAAGGTTGGGGACCACTGGTCTAAGGTATACATTTCCATCAGAAAATGGTTTCAACCCATTCAGATTATAGTGTTTGGGGAAGAAAAAGACAAACAGATGAGAGACCTTGATGACATCGTAGAAGAGAAACTTTGTACAAGACGAATCTGCAGCTGAATAAAGTGTCTATCCCCTACATAGCCCCAGTGCATGAATGGTTGCTATGGACTGAATGTTCATGTCCCTCTCCAAATTCATGGAATTGGATTCCATGAATCCAATTATGTTGAAACTCTAATCCCCAATGTGATGACGGTATTTGTAGATGGGACCTTTAAGTGGTAACTCAGTCATGAAGATAGAGCCCTCATGATGGGATTCATGCCCTATTAAAAGAGACATGAGAGACCTTGCTTCCTCCCTCTGTTCTCTGCCATGTGAAGATACAAGAAGAAGATGGACATCTACAAAGCAGGAAGTGGGCCCTCAACAGACATTGGATTTACCAACACCTTGATCTTGGCCTTTTAGTCTCCAGAACTGTGAAATAAGCTACCCAGTCTATGGTAATTTGTTATAGTCACCTAGACTGACTAAGACAATGATTATGTGCTATAAAATGCCATGCAGTAAAATATTTTGGCTGGTCGTAGGGCCTGCAGCCCAGTTACCATGGCAGAGTCCCTCTCCTCAACTCTTCCTTTCCCACCCTCTGTGATAGATGAGTTTTCCTCTGGGGTTCAAGTGCTTCTGGCCGGTAAACATGGGTGACCCGCCTTCCCTTTTTATCCATGCAGCCATAGGTACAGGAAGAGATGGGCAGTATGAGTATTGCACACCCAGTGTCTAATAAACTAGGATGTTCCCAACTGATGATAAGCCATAGGACAGCAGAACAAGACTCCTGAGAAGGAACTCACTCCAAGGAAAGGGAAAGTCTGGATTTACAAACTAGACTGTACATCACCATGAGAAAGAAGTAATGAAAACAGTGTGCTGCCTGAGCTAAAACTTGCCTGGATCCAAATGGGCATGTATGTCCTGTGAGCAAAGCGTTATCATTATTTCAAAATAAATGCCATGACCCTTCAACATTCAAGTGACACACAGAGGAGCTTCTCACTACACATAGGTCATGAGAGGGGCCTCTGGCTTTGCCAAATCAGGTTCGTCATTTGAAATAGCAGATCCATTAGGAAACCCTGGCAGATCATGTGGTGACAACCAGACTTCTCTTTCTGGGTCTCATCTTGAGGGGAGCATCTGGGCTCCTTTCTTGCTTATAGAAGATTGGCCAAGATTTATTCACAGCCACAGAATATTCTCTGCAATAGCAGGTCAAAGGAACCACAGAAAGGGCCTGGAATTCCAACTATTAAAGATGTGGTTTCAGAGCATTTTAGTTTGGGGCGTAAATACATGTGCAATCTAAATAATAATTAATACTTGCCATTTGAAAAACTCTGCAACACAGGGTGATCTAATGCCCCAGTCTTCTCAGGACTGAGGGTTTCCTGGAATGCAAAACTTTCCATCTTAAAAGTGATAATAAAATATAACTGCAACATAACATATATATAATGTGTGTGCGTGTGTGTGTGTGTAAAACATAGGTAGAGATACGACAATAAAAGTATATAGGTGGAGATACATACATACATAGGTAGAGACAGGACAATAAAAGTCACCAGGTGACCAGACCGTAGGTAACCAGGTAATCAGACCATATATGAAACTGTACAAAACTCATGCCAGTTTGGAAAGCTTCATCTCACTCTGTCACTTGTCATGTGTTGGACCTTATATGTGTTGAGAAAGTACCCACCCATGTTCTCAGGTAGGGTAGTCCAGCGGGTTAACTGCACAAGGAGATGTACTTCTTGTGAGCCAACTTTGAGAAAGATGGATTGCAAATAACAAAGAATAGGACCCATTGTGCAGTGTCCAGCACCTGGACTCGTCCTCCCTGCCTGCACGCTACACCTTTTCTTCTTCTAGCCGGGATAGGGCAGAGTGGATTCTGTCCAAAAAGGAGAAAGCAGAGCCCCCAAGAGTAACAGTTCTCCATTCAGAGAAATAAATGTTTCTTAAAATTTTCTACACTGCCCCATTCAGAAGCTTTCCAAGGGGTGGGCTGATTCTCGCCCTTGTGGAAACAATCACTATGAAGGTTTAAGCGCAGGACTTAAAAAAAAAATCCCATTTCCAAATTGAATAGTTTGTCTTATAGGAGGGATTTTGTTTTCTTTTCATGCTGGACCTAAATTTGGCATCCTATGGAAGTTTTATTGCATGGCATTAACCAAGAACTCAGCCAAATCTCCCGAGTCAGGAATGGCAGCTGGGAAAAGTTGAATGAATGAGCTATTTTTTTCCTTCTTTCCTTCCCTTCACTCCATATGTTTTTCAATTTCTGGCTCATAAATTTAATTAAATAAATATTTTAAAATATGAAAGATGGAGAATGTGAGAACTTGATAAATATGAAACGAGCTTCTAAATCTATGAACACGGCATTTGTGGGGCTAGGCTCTATGTTTAGGTAAAGAGGTATTACGAAGCCTTTATAGGGAAGATGAATTAAGACTTGTCTAAAAGTGAAGAAGGATTTTGGTATCTAAACATGGGGAATGGGGAAGCCATGGGAATGTGGATAGCCCTGGGAGATAAGACTCTTATTATAAGCTCACAAGTGCATTTGTGGAAATGAAGATATTTCTGTCATCTATTTGTTGGATTAGCTTCACAGGAAGGCGGAGTGAGCAAACATGCATTGAATATTTACTTGGTGTTCCAGAGAGACATGTGTTGGCTCCAGCAGCAGCACCAGAGCACCAAAAATGAGGCTTTAGCTTATTTTGGAGATGGCTAAAACAAAGATTCAGGGCATGTCTCAAAGCGATGTTGAAGAGGGGAAATAAGGCTGGTGCTAAAGAAAAACTAACCTGATGCTAAAGAAAGAACTAACTAACTCATGTATTCTTTGACAAGATGTGCTCGGGCCAAAGAATAAAATTCTAAACAATCATTGGTTCTGTGGAGGGAGGCTTGCTTTTCATAGAGGCACAGGATAGCAATTCTGAAACTATTCTGTGTGAATTCTAGTATTGAGCAAATAAGTAAATATATTATAGAAGATGGCAGCCAGTGTTCACCTTATAAGAGAAGGTAGTTACAAACATGGTGAGGGGAAATGTTAGCAACACTTCAGTGGTGTTGGATTGGAATTGGAGCTTTCAGTGAGAACTCATGGCATATACTATCTAGATAGCTACAAAAAGAGATCGACCTATGTGGATATAAATATTGAGATGTATGTGGATGCAGGTGTGTGTGTGTGTGTGTGTGTGTGTGTGTGTACATAAATCTATTTCCTAGCTGTGTATTCTTAGAGGGCCTAAAACCAAGGAATTGCAGTGCAGCGAGACCACCTGGCTTCCCGATCTTGGTTTTTAAATACTATTCTCTACTAAAAGGAATTAGGGCTCTTTGAAAAAAAAATGACTGATTCTGTAGCTAAGGGAGAGAAAGTAAAAGATGAACCTGAAATATATTTTTTTTTTTCAGAAATTAAGAATGTTCCCAAAGAATGATGGAGACATTTCAAAAGGATACGGAAGCCAGATTGTGGGCGCTTCTACTGGCCAACTCTGGGACATCGTGGACATCAAAATAAATTTGTAATAATAAAGGATTATAGCCTATTAGTTAAATCAGAAAAATCTGATTTAACTAAATGAGTAGGAGGAAAAGAAAGCTCTTCCTTATATTAGAAAGTCAATTAATAAATGCAGAAAGGAATGAAAAAATTAGAAAAGCCACCATTTGGCAACCATGGCAGGCAGAATGGGGAGTATGCCTCCAGACAGTAATTCCTTTCAAACTGGTTTATAGGAACTCACTGAGCTTGCTGATCGACCTCTGAGAGGCAAAGTTTCTGAATTATGAAGTACTGATTATATAAACTTAGACAGAGACATGCTTCATTATTTAATAGGACTGTGTCAAAAGCCTACTATTAGGATGATGTGTTGGGTGTGGAACAGGGTCTCTTCCTGCCAGGAACACTGGTGATTTCACTCCGTGTTCAGGCTGATCTTTGAAGTTGAAGACAAGCAGAAGAATCCTTCTAAAATTTAGCCATGCCCATAGGCTGGGAGGGACACTGCTCCATTCAGAGGCAGCAAAGCACATTACTGTATCTCCTATAGAGCTTTGAGCAGTCCAGTGTACATGGAGAAACTTAGTAAATGTTGTTGAATTAGTGAATGAACAAATCAATGGACCAAGTCAGGGGTAAGTCTTACATTTGTCATCTAGGTGATTAAGAAAGGAAAAAGTATCTGTTTCAAGAGGATTACAATCTAACTGTACTCCAATAGTAAAATTTACTCTTTTGGAATCTGAAGACATTCATGAGTCTTTGCATCTTATTTCCTGAATTCTAACTTCCCTTGCCTTTATGAATGACAAAGAAGATGCATACAACCTTTGTAAATGCTTGCTGAATTTGAACATTATGTTGCTTTGTGATTGCCTCCACTTGGGATTCCAAATGACATCATGTGGATTCACTGGAGGCCTCGGGTAGCTGGGGAACTGAGGGGATAAGATGCACACATGGTACACAAGCACACGTACACCAACAACGTAAATAGACACGTAACTAGAAACAGCTGTGCAGAGCCATTTAGTAAAAGGTTGAGTAGCTGGAACCATCAGGAGTGCGTGGGAATGAGTTCAAGCTCCCCCCATGAGGCCTTCCTAAGGCTTTGCAGGAGGGCAAGAACAAGGTCTGGGAAGTGGGGAAATGGGATGGCTCAGTCTGTCCTTAGCATCTCGATCCTGGCTGACTCTCCACCACTCCTCACCCTTGCAAGATTACACACTTTGATTTATGTGACATTTAGGCAGAAAGCAGCCTAGAGCACTCTGGGGGTATTAACCCAGAAGACATACAAATCAGATTGGACCAAAGGGGAAAGAAGCCTCAGACATCCGCAGGGGAATAAGAAGGATATTGTATGCTACTTGACCTGATCTCTTTCCTACTCAGGAAAGTCAGTAGATAAATAATAAAATTGATAGTGCATGGAGAGTTGAGAGGCAAGACTTGCAGCATTGAAGTCTGAATTTCTGTCCTGAATATGATATTTGTACTCCCCCCAACTCCCTGGTCTCCAAAGGAATCTGGTCTGTCACTAAACAGCATCTTCTCAATCTCCTCCATGTCATAAAGTGGGAGAGTGGGGGTAGTGGAAAAGGCATGTCTTTATTTTGAAGATGAGAAATTTACATTCTTTTTCGTTAAAATAATCATTTCTAAGGGGTAATATATTGTAGGATCAGAGATTTCTAGGACTGGAAGGATCTTTTAGAAACCGTAGAACCTAAGCCCCTTATTATACAGAGGAGAAATCTGAAACATGGAAAAAGAGAATTTGCCTGATGTCTCAGAAAGACTAAGCAGCATTGGCTCTATGAACAAGAGCTAAAAATCCCAATTCCAATACTACAAAGATGAAATGGTACACAAAACTTTACAATCTACACAACTGAATCATCTTTCTTTCTCATTACACTTTGGTTGTCATCCAAAAATATATAGCTTGATCACTCACCTTAGTCATCTGAAACACCTGAGCCAAATCCAATTCCCGTGCAGCTGCCACGCAAGGTTATGCCTCTGTCCAGTGGCCTCTGTGTTGCCAAGACTCTGTGGATTTGACAACAGGAATTTAGGTGGAGTTTTGAACAATGGTGTCATGGTTGGAACAGGCATGCAATTCCTAAAATTTATGAGTTGTGATTGTGTGTGATAGTGGTTTAAGTTTGGAGTTTGAATATTGGCTCTTCCACTTTATAGCAGAGTGAATTTGGACCAGATGCTTACAGCCTACCTCATGAGATTAAATGAGATAATATGTGTAAAGCATTGAGTATAGCATCTGCATTAAAATAACCACCATTTGTGTAAAATGTATTAATACCATCTTATCACTTCTGTTTCTAGAATAAGTCTAAGCCAATATTTTTGTAAGTTTGTTTTGTTTTGTTTTGTTTGACATGGAGTCTCACTCTGTTGCCAGGCTGGAGTGCAGTGGTGCAAACTCAGCTCACTGCAACCTCCGACTCCGAGGTTCAAGTGATTCTCCTGCCTCAGCCTCCCGAGTAGCTGGGACTACAGGTGCCTGCCACCACGCCCAGCTAGTTTTTGTATTTTTAGTAGAGATGGGGTTTCACCATGTTGGCCAGGGTGGTCTCCATCTCTTGACCTCATGATCCCGCCTGCCTCGGCCTCCCAAAGTGCTGGGATTACAGGCATGAGCCACCGCCGCTGGCCTATTTTTGTAACTTTTAGAGGCCAATATGCATGGGAGTTTGCCTTCTCTTGCTGCCCTTAGGTCTTCTGCCACCAAAGCATGGGAAGAAAGTTAAGCTGGCTTACTGGAGAATAAGAGACACAAAGTCCTATGTCCCACATTACCCTGACTGACAACTAAGCAATTGCTAGACTGTGTGAGTGGGACCATCCTAAGTCATCCAGCCCCCTGCAGACTCTCCAGCTGTCTGCAAATGCATAAGCAAGTGGGGGAATGATCAGTTGAGAAGTCCTAAACCAGAAGAACTACTCAGCTGACCCAAAGGATTGTCAATTAAATAAACAGTGATTGATTTAACCCATCAGTTTTTGGGGAAGGTTGTTAACCAGCCAAAACTAACGGATGCAGTGTCCTATGTGTTCATGTCCTGAATGAATGAGAGATGATATATGTAAGGAAGAGGCCAAGAACCATCCACCAGCAGGATTCTTCTTTCAGCAGAGAAGATGGTTTTGCATGGAGTTATCCCCACCCTCTCCCTTGGCGCTTCCTTTCTGGGGAAGAGTGAAATTTGTGACCCCTGAAAGGAGACTGCTGGCTGGGTGTGGTGGGAGACCGGGATATGACCTGGCCTCATTAACACCATGCACCCTAACTAGCTGGGCCAATCAGTCTGTCTCTGTCCTCCTGGAAACTCTTACCACCCACTGTCTCCCAGACTACAGCACCCCACCCACCAATCCTCCCTTCGAAACAAAGATGCATGCAAGCACGTAGTGGAAATGCCGGGCCAGAAGCCTGCCTCCAAGACTCTGTTGGGGTTCCAGGAGGCAGAAATGCCAAGTTGGATTCACAGGTGCCAGGAAGGCCTTACTCCTGGGCACAACAGACTGCCATAAGGTGGCTCCAGGAAGAGAAACTCCACGTAGTCCTTCAGAAACTCATTCTCACCTTTCCAATCCTTTCTATGAAAAAGGTTCTTATTCATGTTACTTTAACCTATTTTCTTTCTTTCTTTTTTTTTTTTTTTTTTGAGATAGAGTCTCGCTCTGTCCCCAGACTGGAGTACAGTGGCACGATCTCAGCTCACTGCAACCTCTGACTCCCTGGTTCAAGTGATTCTCCTGCCTCAGCCTCCTGAGTAGCTGGAATTACAGGCATGTGCCACCACGCCCAGCTAATTTTTGTATTTTTAGTAGAGACAGGGTTTCACCATGTTGGTCAGGATGGTCTCGATCTCCTGACCTCAAGATCTCCCTGCCTTGGCCTCCCAAAGTGCTGGGATTACAGGCATGAGCCACCATGCCTGGCCTACCCATTTTCTTTATCTCAATTCCAGGCCATATCAAGTGCCAATTTTATTAGCATTTAATATTTCAAAGACAAGGATGTCTTGTTTGGAAGACACCATTCAAACCCTCCAGTCCTCTTCTTTGTAACAGCATATGAGGGTAAGAAGAGAACAAAAAATTATGTCCTCAGGTAGGTCAGTTTTACATGGTTTTTGATTCACTGTTGCACATTCCATCTATGTCTACCTTTGTTTTTTGAAGACTCCCCAGCTCCTGGGCCCTTAAGAAAACAATATATATCAGGATGGGTTTGGCAACCCTTCCAGAACCACCTTTTCTGCCCTAATATACTTATGCCTCTTTACATTTGTTTTCAGCTCTTTGGTCCTGAACACTCTCCTGCCAATGGCCCTTTTGGCATTATCGACTTCAGCTTTCTAATCTGGTTTTATTCTCTGTTTATCTCTCTGATTTTAGCATTTCCACTTGAACCAGATGAGAACTCCTGCTCCAAAATCAGTGTCCTAGCCTATTATTAATGTCCTCATTTCTACCATTAGATAATCTTTGCTTTAAGTGAGGAGCCAGAAAACTTTTTCTATAAAGATCCAAATAGTAAATATTTTAGTCTTAACAGGCCACATATAGTCTTCATCGCATGTTCTTTCTTCTTTTCTTTTTTAACATTTAACATATAAACATCATTCTTTGCTTGAGAATTGTGCATAAGCAGGTGTGGGCTAGGTTTGGCTTGCAGGCTCATGGCTTGCCTTTAAATCAGAGTCTACTCTTTAAAACACAATTCCTTTAAAGCAGAGTCTATTCTTAAAACACAAATATTCCTGGAAATAGTGAATAACCAGCAACTCAGTATGAATTAGTTCATTCTCCTTTCTAGTTCCAACTGGATGGAACAAGGTTTTAAAGAAGGGATGGGGGAGATAAGGATTTTTCAGGCCATTCCAATTGTACAGTCAACAGGAAGAATAAAACTCCTGGGAGCTTTGGACAAGGAGGAGGAGAGAAAAAGGGTCTGAGTCACAGTGCTCTACCATGTGTTAATGGCTGTGGCCAGGATGATATTCAAAATATTTAACAGCTGGTAAAGCATGTGCATGACCAAATCAGAAGGACAGCAAGTAGCCTTTGTGCTGGATCAGGGACTGGAGGTTTCTGCTGTACCACACATTAATGCTTTTGTTGCTGGATCTTGGGGCAATCCAGATGCAAGCTGGGTACAGGGCTGGAAAGTGAGTGGTCGTGTTTATTACAAGGCCTAAAATTTCATGTGCTGCCTTGACGTGTTTTAGCTTCACAGGACCCAAAAAGGCCTAACTGTGAATTCTCCTGGTCTTGTAACATATACCCCTTCACTCACCTCTCATGTAGACCAGCTGCACACCACGTGGCCTTCAACCTAGTGAATTTTAGTTCCCTGCAAGCCTACAAAAGTATTCAGACAAACCAACTACTTCCTCCAGTGGGAATCAGGGGGCACTTCACCCTCTTGTTACTGCAGAGTCGGCCTCCTACAGCCTCTGCTTGCTCACTCTATTCCCAAGTGCAATCTCCATGTGGCCCTGCAAGGCATTTGGCATCCTCCTCCTGTGAGCTGTGAGTAAATGTGACTACTAAACTGCTGTTAATCTCATCTGTCCATTGTTGGGTATCATGTTCAGCCATCTCATTCTGTGTAGGGTGGGGAATCTCTCCCTCACAAATGGGGTGAACAAGAAGTGATCAAAATGGGGTGTCACCCTGGGTTTTTGAAGCAGTGACTATTTACCAACCAGTAAAGAAGTAGTTCGGTCTTTTAACAATCAGCACATCTGTATTTGAACCAGTATGGTTGTGATGTGATTAGATCATTCATCAGGGTGGATCCCTTCTGAATGGCCTAGTACCATCCCTTTGGTGATAACTGAGTTGTGGCTCTGAGTTCATGCAAGATCTGGTTGTTGTTTAAAAGAGCATGGAACACTTGCCCTCTGACTCCACCCCTGCTTTTGCCATGTGATGCACCTGCACCCCCTTCACCTTCCACCATGATTTTAAACTTCTGGGGGCCCTCACCAGAAAAAGATGCTGGCACCATGCTTCCTATACAGCCTGTGGAACCATGAGCCAATTAAATCTCTTTTCTTTATAAATCACCCAGCCTCAGGTATCCCTTTATAGCCATACAAACAGATTAGCACAGAGCCCAGTAATTTATTCCTTATAGAGATGTCTAGAACAGTGCACTTTTAAACAAATGTGGTAGCCTCCCTAGTTCATTCTGTCCAGGCCACCGCTAAAGCATTGGGATCCGTTCAGCATTCCTAACTGAAGAGTGACAGTTTCCAATCCAAGAAATTTAGAGGAGAGGAGTAGCAGGAACTCCAAATCACATCACAACCATACTGGTTCAAAGAGCAAACTTGTCAAGTGCTTGGCTTCTAGCCCCACTCAGGAGTAATTATTTCAGTAAAAACAAATGGAACTTGCAAATAAAAGACATTGATATCATCATCATGATTAGTAACATTTTCAGATGTACTCACATTAACTCCTTGACATTGTTGTCGACTCTGAGGTAGGCGATGCAATTTTTATTTTTATTAACACACCAGCATCCTGCATTGTGTTACTGTGCCAAGTCACACATCAGAAAGATTCTGACTCCAGGTCTCCCATTAGGTGAATGTCCTCTTTCAACGAGGAAAAGCATCATCCCTGCTGGATGGACCTCTCTTTTTTAAACCAGCAGTCTGCTCAGTTTTAGTGAAATGCAGGGGTTTATACTGAAAGCAGGTGCTGAATTCCAAGTGAAGGCAGACATTGTCAACAGTGCTCTGACTAAGAGCTGGACAATGTGAAGCCTGTCCCAGGCTTTGGCACTAACCAGCTGTGGACACGTCATGCCTCTCACTGTAAAATGAAGAGTCTGCAAAGGATGACGTCTGAGGTGCCTTCCAGCCCTGCCATCCCGAGGTTATGATGGTGTGATGGGGTCAGGGCTGGTCCTGACTTCCCTTCCCAGTCAGCTGGTGAACGGGATGTGAGCTCACAGGGAGGAACACACAGGAAGGCTTTGGGTGGAGTGTGCCTTCTAACATACATTAGAATACAGAATAATCTCACATCTTCCCATAAGTTGTAGTGAGTCACCAGGGCGAGCTGTGGAGCATTTTTCTCTGGTGTCTTCCAAACTGTAGACTATTTCCCACATTTAAGACCTGTGAAAAAATAAAATAAAATAATTTATGTATACACCATGTGGGAAAAGCTGGGTGAAATAGGCACTGCCCACCCACCACTTACGGAAATGTATGCTGGAGCCATCTCATTGAAGGGCAATTGTCAACATCCATCAAAAGGACAAGCACATATTCCTCTGACTCCGCAATTCCTCATTACGATGGACTAAATGTTTACATTGCTTCATAACTCATGTGTTAAAATCCTAACCCCCAGGGTGATGGTGTTAGGAGCTAGGGACTCTGGGAGGTGATTGGGGGCTCTGAGCGAGGAGCCCTAGTGATTTGGATTAGTGCCCTTAATAAAAGAGGCCCCAGGGAGAGTGTCACCCCTCCACCACCTGAGGATACGGCAAGAAGGTTTACCAAACCCTGAATATGCTGGTGCATTGATCTTGAACTTCCCAGCCTCTAGAATTCTGAGGAATACATTTCTATTGTTTACAAGCCACTCAGTTTATGATATTTTGTTACATCAGCCCTAATGGATTAAGACACTCATCCTGGAAATTATCTGACATTATACCAACATACAAATTATGTCACTCAAATAAATGACTGGATAAATAAATAAATGGGGGAGAAAAGACAAATCTCTTATGCAAAAAGTTTTCAAATAATTTGTGCAGTTATTCTTAAGGAGATAGAGCATAAATCCCACTTCTGAAGTGTAGACTGTACCTAGTGCCTTCCTTCCAAAGAGTGTGCAAAGAGAGAAAAAAAAGTAACTTCATAGTGAAGAAACCTAGCAAACACCTTCAGTCAGGTGATCAAGGTTAATATCCAGTGGTAAGTCATACTGACAGCATGTACCTTTGATACGAAAAATGGCAGTTTACCTCTGTGTGAACCCATAACCTTAGTCTAACGGTGTGAAAACCTCAGGACAATCCCAGCCAAGGAGCATTCTACAAAATACCTGACAGCATTCCTCAAATTTGTCAAGGTCATCAAAAACAAGGAAAATCTGATAAACTGTTAGAGCCGAGAGACTCCTAAGGAGACGCAACAACTAAATGAACTGTAGTGTTGTGGAAGTAATCTTGCAACAGGAAAATGACATGAGGTAAATACAAAGAACATCTGAGTAAAGTACAAACTTTCATTAAATATAATGTGTCAATATTGGCTTATTAATTGCAACAAATGCACCTTACTAATGTTAAGCTATTATTATTAGAGGAACGTGGTGTGTGTGTGTGTGTGTGTGTGTGTAGGGGGTTAATAGGAACTCTCTATTCTACTTTTGCAATTTTTTATAAATTTAAAGCTATTCTAAAACAGAAGGTTTACTTAAAACAAAAGCCAGTGTAGAGCAATATGCTTTGCATATTCGCTCTTGTATTTTTTAAAAGGAATAATAAGAGACAGAAAATAAACCTCTCTGGAAAAAATACGCAAAACTAGAAAGGAACTGAATACATAAGGCTTTTTACAGTATTCCCTTTTGTATATTCTGAATATTATTCTGTGGGGATATATTATCTATTGTGTAAAAGTTACATGTGAAAATTAATAAAGATCTCAATTAAAAAACCATCCCTTATACTGGCACAAAGAGAGAGGTAATGACCTCAGAGACTCCGTACAGACTCAGGGTTGTGAACCTAACTGTGGTACTCCAATCCAGTGGACTCTCACAGATGAGAGGGTAACTAGGAAGATGTGTCCATATGGCAGGTGCTTTACGCAAAAGAAAATCAGCACAGAGAGTAAGTTGTCAGAAAAGGTCACAGAGCTTCAGAGCTTTCATGAGATCAAGACATATAGGCCTGAGCATCTGGAGAAGGGAGTTGAGGGACCAGAGGGAAGGAGCAAGGTGAGATTTAAAACAACCAGACTACAGCCAGTGCAGCTGGTCCAGATGGTCCCTACCTGTTCAAGCTTCCTCAGGCTCCTGTCCCCAGGAAGGGATGTGATGAGAGTGTTAATTGAAAATAAGGACTTGGATGCAGAAAAAGAAAATGCCTCAAACCTTTGCTCAGTCCTTAACCCAGGGGGCTGTGAGAGGCATTAAGGGAGTTTCATGGGCTTCTTTTGTTTATTGTTTTATATGTACAGAAAGATTTCTATTCCTTTTGTATTACTATTCTTTCTGTTGAACTAGTTTTCCATTTTATGTGCTCCAGCCTAAGAAGCCCTAGTTTGGAGAATTCTGCAGACAGTCATATTCCTTTCACTATCCACACCGTATATTTGGGCCCTGATTAATTAAGTACTCAACTACATCTGTGCACTTTCCTGCATTGTTCTCTAGAGAAAGCAAAGTGTGAGTCTGGTGCCCTAGACATAATCAACAAACTCCTTGGGGAGGAAGCGTGTCTTGTACATCTCGTACATCCTGCAGCCAGCTCAGGGGTGGGTTAACAACTATTTCATTATTCTAGATCAACCTCTTCTCGGTCGGTTCCCCAACTTCTGTGTTAATGTTGTATCTTATAGCTGAGCAGAGCACACAATTTATTGTCCCCAAACAGGACATTGAAAATGAAAGTGTGATGGTATTAATAATACTGTAGGACATCAGGCATAAACTCGGATTGTCCTAGGACAAACCAGAATGTAGGTCGAGCCCATGTGTAACATTTACTGTGCCCAGGGGAGGAGTACAAAAGGAGGCCCATCTATCACGTCTAAATATGTAAAAGCTCTATAGGAAGCTAAGGAAGTATTAAATAAATATGTACTGTCCTCCTGCCACAATATGGTGGCTTGTGGTAAGCTGGCTGTAGTCCCAGCCTCCGGCCCCATGATCCTGGGTTACCCCCTCTCTTTTTCCTCCCCAGGCATCTTCCCACGTCATGGAGGGCCTGGCAGGCTCATGTGTAGACAAACTGGCTCACATTCCAAGCTCTGTTTTGGCTCCCCTGAAATAGCTGCTCCATGGCCACCCACTGAGTGGGAGGCAGGGTCCTTCCTTGGGAAAGGAATTTTGGGGTACCATGTACCCAGAATATAGTCTAGAAGGTGGAGCGCCAGCTCTGGATGGACATGACCCTATAATCTGGTAGGTTGCTCATGCTCTGGGGAAGGGCATGACCAGAGGAGGGCCAGAGTGGTACCTCCAGATTGTGGGACCCATCAGAGAACTCCTTTTGCCTGATGTTATGAACTTAGTGGTATCCCCCCAAAATCCATAGGTTGAAGCTATAATCCTCAAAGGGGTTATAATAAAAAATAGGGCCTTTAATGGGGTAATTTTAAAAAGTTAAATGAGGTCATAAGAATGGAGCCCTAATCCCATGGGACTGATGTCCTTACAGCAAGAGGAAAAGATACCAGAGATTCATACTCCCTCTCTCTCTTTTTCTCTCTCTACACATGTACAGAGAAAAGGCCATGTTAGGACATAGCCAGAGGTGGCTATTTATGAACCAAGGAGAGAGGTCAGCAGAACCTAACCCTGCTGATACCTTGATCCTGGGCTTCCTTCCAGCCTTCACAACTGTGAGAAAACACATTTCTGTTGTTTAAGGTCCCTTGTGTGTGGTGTTTTGTTATGGCTGCCTAAGGAAATTAATGCAACTGGGAATAAGTATGGTCCTGTGCATCGTCACGTTGATTTTAAATGGGCTCTGAGTGCCTTCCAAGTGTTATGAAACTGAGAGAAAGGGCCCTTGAAAAGGAAGGCATAGATCAAGAAAAGAAGGGTGAGAGGTAAAGAAAAAAGGCCATAGGTTCTGGAGCACAGTACATTGTCAGGAAGATTGGGGCCCATGGAGCCTCCTTCATTCATTCCTGCATTCATTTAACAAGCATGTGCTACATTCCCACTTGTGCCAGGCATTGTGCAGGGCAGTGGAAATGCAGTTTGAAGTATTAGGTTGCTGTTAAAAAAAAAATGGCAAGAACTGAAATTACCTTTGCACCAACCTAATAGAAAAGGCCTCTGCTCTGTATGGACCTGCTTTCTAGTGGGATTCACTGGGTGGTGCGGTCAGGATGGCCCAGTAAGTCCTACAGAGGTGGATGAGCAGTGTCCTTTTGGAAAAGCGTGCTGGTCCAGGATCCCTTAACCTCATTCCCCAAATGTTCATCTCAGAGGGTGACCCAAGGTCGCAGGAGGTCCCTTTGTTGCCTTGGTGATCACTTTTCCCTGGGCACCTGGGGCAGTTGGAGGAGGATGGGTGTGATAAGCCCTTCCAACATCTGAGCTCAGCTGGGCCCCAGATGTGTCTCCGGGTAAAGGAGTAGGACTGGGAGGTCACAGAGAGGTGAGCTCAGACAGGCTGTAATTCTTGGCTCTGGGTGTGAAAAGGTCGGTCAAGGCAGCAGCACCTCAGAGGGCAGGTGTGGGATTCCTGAAGGTCCTGAGGTGGGCATAGCCAGCTCCCAACCCCCTACCTGTCAGAAGGTCACTGGACTAGACATTTCCTGGACTCGCTGGCTACTTAATCCACCTGGGATCAGTTAGCCTTGATTTCCCACCAGCCTAAGAAGGGTGTTTCAGCACTTTCTTGCTTTATTTCAAAAGGAAACAAAGGAAAAATCGGGCTTTCCTCCTCCTCATCCCCCTCTTCACCTCCTCTCCAAACAGAAGTGGATCTAGTTTCTCAAGCTTAGCTCAGTATCTCACACATGGCATTATTCTGAGTCTGGATTTTTGGTACCATGTGGTTCTCAGGGCCTCCAAATAAAGTCAATCTGATTAGCACTGATCACCCAAATAATAAAAAAATTAGTACTTGTTTACTTTTTTAGGGAGGAATTCTCTTTATTTTCCCCCATCCCACATCTTTTTAATTGTCAGCTCTTTTAAAAATTATAAAAGTGCCAGTTGGCCATCTATCAGAACATGCCTCTGGGTTTTCATGGTGTGGAAATTAGAAGTAAAAAACCTAAATATTTTCAACTGCTGCTTCCAAGTGAGGGAACGGAAGAATAATATGTTCCACTCACACCTCAGCCATGAGACCAGCTTTCAGAGGTTCTGGATACTGCTTTGAAATCCTCTTTGAAAATTTTAATCAAGCAAATCTCCCAGTTAAAATGATACGGAAAAAAATTCAAAATACTAAAAGAAGAGTCAATCTTATATTTTACAGTCAACTTTGCCTGGAAGGATGAGTGGCAACCTATGATTCTGAATGGTGTGGTCATCACTTGTGTTCATTTTTATTCTGTCTGTCATCTGTCTGTTGTCCTCAATTCTTTGAGTTTATCAAGTAACAATCGCCTTCCAGTCTTAAAAGGATCAGTGTAAAAAGGGCTATGCAAATGAAGGAAATTCTGCTTCTGAAATGGAGGAAAAGATTGGTGTGAGTTAATATATCAACTTACTAGACTGAAAAGGCCTTTTCCACTTTTCTCAGGAGACTTTCACACTCCTGTGTCCATCACTGCACCCCCTATTTATGTCTGCTCCATGGGACCCACAAAGTCTTTCTCCTGCACGTTCTTGGAGAGTCTTAGGCCCCAACATTTAGCCTTCAATCTTCAAGTGGCCTCCATCCAAGATCCCCACCCTCATATCTGGTCCCCACCCAGTCCCTGGATCTAAAATTAGCCAATGTCCCTGTGTGCACCAGTCTGGTCTTTCTGGCTCTTCACTCACTCATTGGGTTGGGTTCTTGGCTGGTGATGCAGGAAGCCTTTGGGGCAGAAAAAGTGATCACACCAAACAGGCTTTAGTCCTTCCTCAGATTCCTAAGGAGGCCAGGCATGGCACAAATACCAAGTGACTAGAAATGACTGCTAGCAAGATAATGCCAGAACCAGCTTAGCTGGGGGATTCTGGCCCGGTGTCCCTTTCGAGCCCTTAAACGTTTAACTCCTGAAATTCCTCCCCCTCACAGAGCCCTCACGGAAGAACCAAAGGGAAAAAGAGAGTGTGGGACTCCTGTTCTTTAAATGTGCTTACTCTCAAAATATATGGCATGTATCATTGTTGGTTATCTACCCAGTTGGCAAGACTGACTACGTGCTACAAAGCACCAGGGTGAGCAGGATATAAACAAAAAATAGAAAACCTCATCTCTAATGAACTTTTGCAGAATTTTGCAATCAAAACATCTAGGGGGCAACAGTTTATTTTCCCTTTAGTAAAATTTGTAAGTCTAATCTTTTTAAGTTTAATGTTGTATTTATTTTTAATGTTACATCTTTTTTTTCATACCTAGGGTCTCTTAGTGTCTTACTCTAATGCAGTATATCACGAAAACAGCAGTGTCAAAGGTCCTTGCAAAACATGGACTAATACCTAGGTGTTTCAGTTGGTTGTGTGACCTTGGTTACATCATGTAACTTCTCTGGAACTTCATTTCTTTTTGTGTCAAATAAAAATCAGTCTCAACGTTTAAAATTCCTTTCAACTCTAAAGTCCATGATGCTATAATTTTGCAGCAATATGCATTCCTATACATGAACCAGCTGAGGTTTAGGAGTGATAGTCAACTGCTTCTTGCCATCATGGCTGGAAGTCTCAGGAGCCATCATGGCCCATAGGGCAGGGATAAAGCTTTGGCATGTGCCTTTGAATGGGTGCTCCTTTGGGATATGGCACACAATTCCATGGCTTTTAAGTGGGATGGGGAGTTCACCTTCCATGAAACAAAGAACTTTCTAGGGCCTGGATGCTTAATACAAACTTTAAACTCATAAGAGACTACCATGTTTCAATGAAAGAGGCTAATGGAAAACAGATGCTGGGCCCACATTTGCACAATCCTGGAATGCCCAGCTCCTTCTCAGATCACCCCTCTGCTCTGTCAGTCATTGAGAAAACCAAAAGGCCTTTCCTGGCCTCCTTTCCACACCCAATCTGCCCACCCCAAAGGAAATCCTGATCAGAGGCCCTGGGCCGTGACCTCCTGGGGAATGTAGTAAATCCCACCCAGCAGGTGATCTTTAAGGAACCTCCAGGCTTTGGTGCCTTGTGACTCCTGGGAAACCTGGGGTCTCTAGGACAGGCAGGTGATTTCCAGAGAATTTTCCACAGCTCTGTAAGCAACCTGAATGTCCCTCAGCCATCTGCTTTGCTTGGGGTGGAGAAGGTGAGCAGTCCACAGGAGATGCAAGCAAATGGAAGAGGCAGCTGTGACATTGTGTATGTGGTTGGGGAGGAGGAATATAAAGTTTCTGCAAATATTTCAAGAAGGCTCCTAAGAGGAGATGGGAGCCTGGAAGTATTTTAAAGGATGGGGAGGAAGGCAGCTTGGTAGCTTTGAGATTCAAGGGGAAGCTCTCCACAGGCAAAACCAAACTGATTAGATGCCTAAGTGCTAGAGGTTGTGAACTCTGTACTGCCTCCGTGGGTGGTCTCTCTGTTGTGCAAATTACCCATTGACCCCCGAGGAGAAAGCTGTGGGCTGTGCTGCCCAGGTTGTGGCTGCTGTTACTGCTTCCTTTAGCCCAGGGCAGGAGGCAGCCAAAGGCTCAGCCTCACAAGGAGACCAGACAGAGCTGAAGAGGAAGAGGTGGTGACAGACTCTCAGAGGGCTGTGTCAGGTCCAGCAAGGCAGGCGCGCTGTCCACAAGCCTCCATCCTCCTCCCAAAGACCCTCCAGAACCAGCACTTTTCCCGCCAGATGTTTTGAATCTCCTTCCCCTTCCTAATTGAAGACAGCTTTCCTTTCTGCTTGAGAGGGAACGGGAGGAACATGCTCTGCAGCCCTTTCCCTCCTCTCCTCCCCTCTCCTTCCTCTGGAGTGGGAAAGCTCTTCATTTCCAAGCAAAAGGTGGGGTTACATGGCTCATCCAGCCCCTTCCCAGCAGAAAGCAGTTCTCAGAAAGAAGCCAGCCCCTTTTTCCTGGTAGGAGGAATGTGGTCTACGTCTCCCCCACTTCACCTCTCTTCCCTATAGGCACTTACCTCAATACGATGGCAGCAAAGCCCCTTTCCACAGAGGAGCTGCATTTCCCAACAATCAGCAGGGAAGAATGCCTCAGTGCCCCAGATCAAACATCTTTCCCTGGAGAGCACTGTGGCCAGTTAGAGAAAGTATTCACGTTCCTCGCCAAACAGTACTGGGACCACCACATTAGGAATAATCATAATTTAACTCCAGTTAGTCCCAAGGGCAACAAATTAGCATCAGAAATCCTTTCAAGACTCACCAATGGATCTGCACTGCATTTGCCAGCCCTGGTGTTTCTGTCAATGGAGTTTGAAATGCTGTAATTCTGGGAATCATGAGGCAAAGTGAAAGACCCTTGCAGAGCACTGTGGAGTCGCACCCTTCCATCTCATCAGTAACCTACATTTTTCAGACCACCCAAGTCTGAGGGTAAAAATAGGATCTCAAGAGCAAACACAAAATTTCTTCAGGAAGATACACTTCTGTTCTATAGAAATGTAAGCTCTCTCTCGAATTTCATTCAAGTACAGTCCTGGGTTTCTGTCTCCCGTGGTGTCTCCTGGGTATCCTCAGAGGGTTTCTCACATGTGCTCTGCAAACTGCTCCTCTGGGCTGCCATGTGACATCTGCTGCATTTATCCCCTCCGGCCGTGGCACATTGGGGGTAATGACTCCCAGCCACTGCCGACACTGTGACTGGTGTCTGCTCAAGGCATTCAATTCCTGCCAGTGTCCACTGTCAACGTCGTTGATGTCAATGATGGGGCATCCTCATCAATTACTACAGAAGATGCTGGCACCAATTCTCCAGATGACCTGCATACTAATATCCCAGGCCTTTTTGTTTTTACTTTGCTCTCTTGCTGGCACCATAACTTTGTAGTGACCAACATCAAAAGTAAATAGAATCTTCCCTCTGCTCTAGAACCAGTGACTCCCTGATGCTAACCTCACTCTGGGTTCCTCATATAACTAAATGCCTGGCAGACTGACACCATCAGTTCTTCACAGATGTCACATCTCTTCTGAATCCTAGCATCCAGAGAGTTCAAATTCAAGCTGAAACTGATTTATAATTGCTATGATCTTGGTGGTTAAGAACTTGGGTTTGAATCCGGCTCCACCACTTATTATCTCTGAAACTTAGTTTCCTTATCTGTAAAATACAGATTTTATGAGGCTGTTTATGTTACAATAATTCCTATGTCACAGTTGTGTTAAAGGTAATGCATGCAATTTACTTAACCCCATTTTTAGATTACAGTCAGTAAATGTTGACTATTAAAATTATCACTACTTTATTTTTTTTCTTAAAGAAGAGGGAGCTGAGATCAAGAGGAGTGAGGTGACTTATCCAAGATCACATAGCCAGTGAGTGGCAAAGCCAAGACAACGTATCTCCTCCGGGCATCTGATTCAGACTTCAGCCCTGTTGAATAACAGTGTGTTCCCATTGCTCCACAGGTGAGCTTCCACTTGAATTGTATTCGCTTGGTAGTTTTTTAAAATTTAATATCATTGATGAGTCTCCAGCTGAGAGGACTTAGTGACAAATGTAATTGATTGATGAGTTTTTCCTGCATGCTGCACAGATCAAACCATTCACTGAGACCATGGTATTGCAGTAAAGAAAGAGTTTAATTAATACAAGACTGGCCATAGAGAAGAACTGGAGTTTATCACTCAAGTCAATCTCCCCAAGAGCTCAGAGGCTAGGCTTTTTATGGAAAATTTGGTGGGCAGGGAGCTAGGGAATGAGTGCTACTGATTGGTTAGGGATGAGATCACAGAAGTGCGAGGAAAACAGTCCTCATGTGCTGAGTCCACCTCTGGGTGGAGGCCATAGGACTGGTTGAGTCATGAGTCTGGGAGGCATCACTCAGTTGCCAGAATGCAAAAATCTGAAAAACAGCTCAAAAGACCAGCCTTAGGTTCTACAATAGTGATGTTATCCACAGGAGCAATTGAGGAAGTCACAACTCTGTGCCATTTGGCCACATAACTCCTGAGCAGTAAGGAAGTATAGAAATGATGCCTCCATTTGAGCAGGATTCAGGCCCTTTCCATAATCCTAATCTTGTGGCTTTTCATTAGTCTTACAAAGGTGGTTTCAGAACCCGAACAAGGAAGGGATCTGTTTTAGGGATAAAATAGTATCATCTTTGCTTCAAAGTTAAACTATAAACTAAATTCCTCCCATGGTTAGCTTGGCCTATGGCTAGGAATGAGCAAGGGAAGCCAGCCCATGAGGCTAGAAGCAAGATGGAGTTGGCCATGCTAGACTCCCTCTCATAATCTTTGCAAAGGCAGTTTCACAAACACAGCCAAAGCAAAAAAAAAAAGGCAAGAGATGATGAGAGTCAGACTGCAAATTTCAGCGAGGCAGTGGGAATTGTCCATTAGTTATTTGATGATGGCCAGTGTCTTCAGCTCCTTGTTTTAAGTAGCAAGTTAAAAGACAAAGCATGGGTGATTGTTTCTTTATTTAAAGAGGCCAAACTTAAAACCTACAAAGGGAAAAGGATTTTGACATATCCAGATCTTAGAGATGGAACTAGAACCTAGGTCTAATACCCATTTTAATGTGATCCAAATCTAGAATATTTTCCCAAGCTTCCAGAGTTAGCCCTTGAGAAGAGACACATTTTTCCACATCAGTCTCTTACAAGGTGGACTGGAAGAGCAACCCAGGCTTATCACGCTTCAAACCAAACACAGGATGCCACGGGGTAGCCAGGAAGCCTTCACTCTTCAATCCTTCTTACTGTTGAATCTTAAGTGCCAAAGCCTTGAGAGGAAAAACGTTCTTCAGCAGCTGGTTTTACCTTTTAATAAAATAGGTAGTTGATTTTGTGGTGGTAATTTAAGAGAGGCTGGTTAATTCTCTGTATTAGCTAGCTATTGCTGCATAACAAATTTCTCTAAAAATGAGTGGCTTAAAACAACAAACATTTATTATCTAAGTTTCTATGGGTCAGGATTTGAAAGCAGCTCTCAAATTCCAGTTGGGGGTAGTTCTGGCTTGGAGTTTTTTTTTGTTTGTTTGTTTGTTTTTTTTTTTTTTTTTTTTTTTTTAAATTAAAGTCAAGATGTCAGCTGAGACTTCAGTCATCTGAAGGCTTGACTGGGGCTGAGGGGTCTGCTTCCAAGATGGCTTCCTCAGATGGCCATAGGCAGGAGGCTGCTTCCTCAAGACATGGAAGCAAAGAGTCAGAAGAGATGCTGCTGTCCCCTGGAGGAGTTACTGAGAGAGAAATCGAGGAGGAAACTGTAATGCCTTTTATGACCTTGTCTCAGAAGCCACTCACTGTCATTTCTGCCACGTTCTAATCTTTAGGAGCAAGTTACTAAGTTCAGTTCACACTTAAAGAAAGGAGAATTAAGTTCCACCTCTTGAGAAAAGAAATACCAAAGAATTTGTGAACAACATATTAAAATTATCACCTGCTCCATCAACCTAACTTTTATTCATTTGTTAGAAATTACATCATTAGTGAACCCGAGAGCTAACAAAATAACTTATTTTCATATTCAACCAATTTAAATTTTTTAAATTTAAATTTATGTTAAATGTAAATGTATGTATAGCACTGACCAGGAGTCGGAGGCTCAGGATCTATTTTACACTTTGCTTCTGGCACAGCCTTGGGCATGCCACTTCTCTTTCTGGGCCTCAGTTTCCTCTTCTGTAAAATGAGGTGCCTGCCTTTTCAACAAATGGTCCTGGGAGAACTGGGTATCTACATGCAAAAGAATGAAGTTGGACCCTTACCTGCACCATGTACAAAAAATTAACTCAAATGGATCAAAACCTAAATATAAGACCAAAGCTATACAACTCTTAGAAGACAACAACAGGGTAAAAGCTTCATGACACTGGATTTGGCAGTGATTTCTTGGATATGACACTAAGGTCACATGCAACAAAAGAAAAATAGACAAATGGAACTTCATGAAAAAAATTTTAAATTATTCATCAAAAGATAATATCAGCAAAGTAAAATGTCAACTAAAAGAATGAGAGAAAATGTTTGCAAGTCATATGTCTGATAAGGGATTAATATCCAGAATATTTAGAGAGCTTCTAAATCTCAACAACAAAAAACATCCTGATTCCAAAGTGGGCAAAGAACCTGAATAGACATATCTTTAAATAAGATATACAAATGGTTAATAAGCACACGGAAAGATGCTCAACAGCACAAGTCATTAGGGAAATGCAAATCAAATCCACCATGAGGTACCACCTTACATTTATTAGAGTGGCTACTATAAAAACAAAACAAAACAAAACCCAGAAAATAATAAGCATTAGCCAGGATGTGGAGAAATTGGAACCCTTGTGCATTGTTGGTGGGAATGTAAAGTTGTAGAGATGCTGTAGAAAACAGTGTGGCAATTCTACAAACAATTAAAGATAGAATTACCATATGATCCAGCATTTCCACTTCTGGATGTATACCAAAAGAACTAAAAATGGGGTCTTGGCCAGGCACCGTGGCTCACACCTGTAATCCCAGCACTATGGGAAGCCAAGGCGGGTGGATCACTTGAGGTCAGCAGTTCGAAAGCAGCCTGGCCAACATGGTGAAACCCCCTCTCTATAAAAAACACAAAATTTAGCCGGGCATGGTGGTACGTGCCTGTAATCCCAGCTACTCGGGAGGCTGAGGCAGGAGAATCACTTGAACCCAGGAGGCGAAGGTTGCAGTGAGCTGAGACTGCACCACTGCACTCCAGCCTGGGTGACACAGCAAGACTCAGTCTCAAAAACAAAATAAAATAAAATAAAATAAAATAAAATAAAATAAAATATAAAAATAAAAATGAAAGTGGAGTCTTGAAGAGATATTTGCACACCCTTGTTCATAGCAGCATTATTCACAATACCAACCCAAGTGTCCATGGACAGATGAATGGATAAGCAAAATGTGGTGTATACATATAACGGAATATTATTGCCTTAAAAAGGAAGAAAATTCTGACATGTGCTGCAACACGGATGAACCTTAAGGACAGTATGCTCAGAAAAATAAGCCAGTCACAAAAAGAAAAGCAAGATTCCATTTATATAAGGTACTTAGAGTAGTCAAAATCATAGAGATGGAATGTAGAATGGTGATTGATTGGGGCTGGGATTAGTGGGGAATGGGTAGTTACTGTTTAATGGGTATAGTGTTTCAGCTTTAGGAGATGAAAAGGGGTTATAAAGATGGATGGTGGTAATGGTTGCATAACATTGCGAATGTATTAATGCCACAGAACTGTACACTTAAAAATGATTATGATGGTAAATTTTATGTATATTTTACCACAATGAAAATAATTGGGAAAAAAGCCAACAAAATAAAGGTGCCTGGACTGAAAAATTTTTAATGTCCCTTCTGGCTCTGATATTCTCTCTTCTAACATTATTTATTCAATTTTAGAGTTTATAGTCCATTTCTGACAATCCCTATCTATCTATCTATCTATCTATCTATCTATCTATCTATCATCTATCATCTGTCTATCATCTATCTATCTAATCCATCTATCTATCTATCTATCTCTATATCCATATGCTTAACATGTTTTTGCATGTGTCTCTATGTTTCAAAAGCCTATTTAAATAAATCTTTCATGGCCTTTTAGTCTTTAGAGGGAAGGTGAGGCTGTTTATATTACAGGAACATATTTTATTTGCCCACAGCAGCCAGAGCACAGCATGCTATTACTATAAATGGGGCATGATAGTGTTTTGTTATGAAACGTCTTTTGATGTAGGACAGCTACAGCCCAATGACTTCCAAATATATTTCATCCTACTGTAAAAAATAAAATGACAGATCTTCTCATGGCCACGGGGTCTCTGCACACATTTCCAGGAACTTGAGGCCATTTACTAAATCCAAACAGATAAACATTGTTTTAATGGTGATAAATGTGTCCACTCACCTTTGAACAAGGCATGCCTCCTACTCCTAGCCTCTCATGTCTGAAGCCCAGCATGAAGCAGTCGGTCTGGGTAAAAAAGGAGGAACATACTTGAATATCTTCTTGAGACATAACACCAATCCTCCAAGTTGTTCCACAGACCACCCCGATTATTCCTTACCCCACCATCCCATTTGAAAAAAACCCATTAATCTGGTAGTCTCTTTATTTCCCCTCAAAGGCAGCTCAACTTTAGAACAAAATGCTTAGGGGGAAAAAATACTTTCATTTAAAAACAGCAATACTCTCAAGTTTAGGAATTGAAGAAACTGAGATTATTGTTCCAAGTTCTTCCCTAGTCTCTGGGTCTTCCCTTGCAGTCCCTTTGTGCATATACATTTCACACAACTGTTCATGCAGGTCTGGAAGGGGGTCTTGCTGAGGATATTCATGGCAGTGGTATTTGCAGTAGTAGCAGGAGTTAGATTCAGGCAGCAAGCAACCCATCTGCAGGAAGTGGACAAGTAAAATGTGGTAAAAATATGCTATGGACACCATGCAATGATTAGAAGCATATCAGTTATCTATTGCTGTGTAACAAATTACTCCAAGTTTAACATCTTAAAATAACAAACATTTATTATATCATGGTCTCTATGGGCGAGGAGCCAGCATGGTGTAGCTGAGTCCTTTGGCTCAGGGTCTCTTACAATGCTGCAATCAAGTGTTGGCAAGAGCTATGGGTCCTCTCAAGTCTCTACTAGACTAGAATAGGATTTGCTTCCAAGCTCACCCACGAGGCTGTTGGCAGGATTCAATTCCTCACTGCTATTGGACTGAGGGCTTCAATTCCTTGCTGGCTGTTGGCTGGAAGCCTCTCTCCAGTCTTTGCTGTTAGGCTTTCTATAAGGTGGCTCTCAAAATTTCAGCTGGCTTCCACCAGAGTGAGCAAGGGAGGGCACAAGAGAAGAAGACAAAGGCTTTTTATAACTTAGTCTCAAAAGTAACATACTGTCACTTTTTGCCACATTCTGTTCACTAAGTGCAGGTCACTAAGTATAGTCCACAATCAAGGTAAGGTGATTGTACAGGGACATGGGTACCAACAGGGCACCATTATTGGGAGCCACCTTAAGAGCTGCCTACCACAAGAAACAACAGGTCAAAGGACCATGCAGCATTAAACACAATACTTAACAGAAAAAGGCAAGAGTTAGGGTGAAGTCTGCAGCAGAATACAATATGTTTAAATTAAAATACACAGGAACAATGTTATATGCTTTACAAAGATACAAACAAATTCAGAGTATAAAACAATCACATTGTAATGTTTGCCTGCTGGGCATGGAGAGCTGGTGGGGAAATGAGAATAAATAACCACATAAATCCAGAGAAGGGCCTTGTAGATACAGAATTAAATTGTGTACTATAAACTCAAGACCAAGTTCAACTCCTTGCACATGAGGTTCAAAAGAAAGGAAAAGTAAAGTAACAAAACACATACTCTGGGTCTCTCAAACACTCAAGTTCCCATGGAAGGATCTTATCAAGATCGATGTCTGAGGGAGCTCCCCACCCAATGTCACACTGGATTAAAGTCATCTCAAAGTCTCAGAGATTCTTACCGAGTAAAAGTAGCATCCGTGTTAGTGTGGCATACCTTGGGGTCTGTAAGACAGCTCTAAGAATTCAATGTACATAAGACATATCCACTTGGTGACCAAGTGTCTCAGGACTAAAGGCTTTCCTGAATGTGGGACTTTCAATGCTAAAACTTGGATAATTTGGTCACCTTATCACCTGAGGAGTTTGTCTACAAATGCAAATTGAAGCATCCTCACAAGTGATTCTGATTCAGTTTGCCTGAGCAGGACCAGTAATCCGCAGGCGAAGCAGAGCCAGAAGTCCTTCTAATATAGATGGTCCATGGACCACCCTTCTAGAATTCTCTGTTACAGAAGGGCAGTTTTGAAAGCTACTTCTGGTAGCACCAAAGGTGACAGCCACTCTCAAGTCTGTAATCACAAATCTCATGCAGCCAACTGCTGCAGTATCACCATTACCTGTTGATAATCCCAGGGCTCTAGTTCACAGTTCATTGATTCTAGTATTTCTCTTCCACAGAAGGCAGACCTCAAGATCCAGGAGGCAAAGTTCAGGAAGGGGTCAAGACAGGAGTTTGAGAAGCAAGATTTTCCTGACTGGCTGTTAGAAGAAACCACATCCCACGGCTGGATTAGCCATCTCCAGAAAAGTCTGGCGGAAGTTACCCACCCACACGACAATCTGAAGAATGTGCTTGTAAGATTAAAGTGATCTCTAGGTCTTCAGGAAGCAGCTGCGTCAAATGTAATCTCTGTAAAATATTTTTCATATTTAGAAAATATAAAAGGTTACACAAGTACATTAACATGATAAAATAATGATGAGATAATGGCAAGTGTCTCTCAAATCTAGCTAGAGGAGGAGGGGAGTCCTGATGCTGACATCGAGGGGAGGGGATTTTGGGAAGGTGCAGATATATTAGGTAGACATACCACCATTAAAAGGGTGTGTCAAACCATAAAAGTTTGTAAAATATTCTTAGTAACCAATCAATAGTCCTCGCTCTATTTTTATAGTCACAGAGTAATCTTTTGATCTCCCATTATTCTTTGCTCTCTAAATACAGATTGAGTAACTTCTATGTGAGAGGTACTGTGAGAAATATTTGTATTTTGGTCTTAATTTTTTGTTGGATTTTAGGTTTTATGAAGGTAGACTCTAACTAGCAGAAGACGAATGCAAATAAAGCAGTATTTTCATGGTTTCAAAGAAGTCAGCTGTAGTGATAAGAGCAGTTATGGTTTTAGAGTCCTCCAGAAGCCAACCCGGAGACAAGAATCCAAGTAGTTTTGGGAAACGATCCCAGGAAATACATAAAAGAGAGTGGAGAGTAAGTTAGGGAAGGCAAAGGAGCTGACAGAAGGTATCTGCCAAGCCAATTACCATTGCGGGCAACTGATGTTACAGCCTGCTGGGGAAGTCTGGGAGACAATAAGAGATTCTATGCTGTCCACACTCTAGAATAGGGTTCAGAGTTATTCCTAACAAGGGGTATTCATCCACTGACTCTCCATTGGTCATTGTCTGAGTGTCGCTTCTTGGGAGACTGATTACATCTCAGAAACTTCTGCTCTGCCCTGTATGAGAGCTGAGCATGCTATCTTGACTACAGAGAGTCACGAATGTTTTCTATAAACAGGTTGAGAATGTAGAGACAAATACCAAGAGGATGTGGGTGGGCTAGCAACAGCATCTGCCATAATAGCTCGCAGTTGCTGCATGCTTACAGGGTTCCACGGACTAGATTAAATGTATATTATCTCATTTAATATCTGATTAATATTCTTGATTTTCCAGATAAGGAAACAGATGTGAAGTGAAAAGAGACTTGTATATGATCTCACAGTCAGCACATGGTGTGGCTGGGATTTGAACCTTGACAGCTGGGTTTTAGAATCCAAGATTTTAGCCACTATACTCTACTGGCCCCTTGAAGAGTTTGTATCTAGGTGAGGGAATAGAAAGAGATTTCAAGATGTGGGTGTAAAAACCAGCTGTTTCATGAAATATGAACCAGATTTCAGTTTGGGATTCAGCACTGGTATAGAAGTGCAGACATGCAATGAAGTTCAAGATTATAAAGGGTCCATTTTGGCTAAAATATAAATCATAGGTAGTGGAGGATATTGGAGAGGATTCTAAATGCCCAGTTAAGAAGCTCACACACAGTGGGCTTGACCCTAAGGAACTGTTGAGGCTTTTTAAGCAATGACATGATAGAAGATGGGCTTGAATAACATTAAAGAGTGTTAATAACATAAACCATATTATTATAAAATAACATTCAACAGGAAGCCATGAATTGGTTGGATTGATCAAAAAAGAGGGAAAGATGAAAGGGCATGTGAGAACTCAAGAGTTTCAGGACACTTGTCTCAGAGACCCGGAGTTACTGTGGCATGATAGGACAGCTAAGAAGAGCTGCTTCCAGACCAGGTCATGGGTATAGAGTGCTCAGGAACTCTAGTCCCAGATATCAGGGTCTTTAATGGAATACAACAGAGAAAAGGACCAGAGTGGCTAGCTTGGACTTAGGTATGGCTGGACTTTCTAGTTCTACTTCAGCTTATAGTCCTAAGATTTGCTACTCTAAAGAGAATTTAATCTGTTCGCCCAGCATTGATCAGACTCCAAATGAACTGATGGAATTCCTTTTACTAAAAAAAAAAAAAAAAAAAGGCTGGACACCGTGGATCATGCCTGTAATCCCAGCACTTTGGGAGGCCAAGGCAGGTGGATCACAAGGCCAGGAGTTCAAAACCAGCCTGGCCAACATGGTGAAACCCCATCTCTACTGAAGATACAAAAAATTAGTTGGGCGTCATGCTGCATACCTGTAATCCCAGCTACTTGGGAGGCTGAGGCAGGAGAATCACTTGATCCCACGAGGCAGAGTTTGTAGTTAGCCGAGATCACGCCATTGCACTCCAGTCTGGGTGACAGGGTGAGACTCCATCTCAAAAAAAAAAAAAAAAAAGTGAATGATAGTTTGATGACTCAATCAAAGGTGGCTTGACAGATACCTTTTTTTTTTCTTTGAGATGGAATCTCGCTTTGTCACCAGGCTGGAGTGCAGTGGTGTAATCTCAGCTCACTGCAACATCTGACTCCCTGGTTCAAGCGATTCTCCGGCCTCAGCCTCCCGAGTAGCTGGGATTACAGGCACGTGCCACCACGCCCAGGTAATTTTTGTATTTTTAGTAGAGATGGAGTTTCACCACATTGGCCAGGATGGTCTTGATCTCCTGAACTTGTGCCTCCCAAAGTGCTGAGATTACAGGCATGAGCCACCGCACCCAGCCTCCTTTGCCTTCCCTAACTTACTCTCCACTCTCTTTTATGTAGAGCAATGCATTAGTGACATTCATATTGCTGATGAGCCTGAAATACTTACACTGATGGCTGGTTGGTGTATTGTTTTCCTGGAAAGAGACAGTTCTTTTTCTTCTTTTGCTAGGTGGTTCTTTCTATTCTAGAAAGAATTAAGGTTCTATTCTAGAACCTTAAATGCACACCTCGTCCAAGATTCCATATTTACCTTCTCTCTGGACATTTAATCATAACCCTCAACCATGTCTTTTTGCTGATGACATTTCAGTATCTCCAGAATTCATCCTTTCCTTTGAATATAGTTTCCAACTGCTGGATTGATCAAAAAAGAGGGAAAGGTGGAAAAGCAGGTAACAGGTATGGCAATAATTCGGGAGTTTGAGGACACTTGTCTCAGAGATCCAAGATGTTCCTACCAGGATATTCCACTAATGCCTCAAACTCAACATGACCAAAAACAAGCCGGTCACATTCTTCCACAAACAAGTTTGTTTCTTTCTGACTTCCCAGTTGATTCATGACCCCATCATTCCTCAACTTGCTGATACTTGACCCTTGGAACAGCCTCTGACTCGCTCTTATCAACTGTCCACCCTAATTAATGCATGCCAAACCCTTGTTTATTCTACCACCACATCTCTTAAAGTTGGCCAGCCCCTTTATCTTTATTCTAGTATAGTGTATTGTCAAGAGTGAAATTTACAACAAATCTAGTTTAAAGGTCTAGTGGGCTTTTATTTGTGATTCTAGCATAGGGCAACACCTCATTCTATAAAATAGAATAAATGTTCCAAGAAGCTGAGTAGAAAGAGTTGGCTTTATAGGCAGAAAAGGGCTGGAGAAAGCAGAAACAGAACAAAACTTGAATTGATGGTTTCAAATTGCTTTTCTCATAGAGTTAAAGCAGAGAGAACTTCTTTATCATGCAGGCTCAGGTAAATTGAACCCCTTTTGATGGGTTGCTGTGAATTTCCTGTTTTTTTGGAAAACTCTCACATTTTAGAGTTCAGTGGCACCTGAACATTGATTATGTGGCACTTAACATGAGTGACTCCATTCTGGTTTGGTCTGGTCTGCTGGGGCCTAGTGAAAGGGGCTAATCCAAAACAATGGCCTCCCATAAACCTTGTTTAATAACAGTATATAGTATAGTATGGTATAGTATAGTCTAGTTCAGGTTTTTATTGTCTGTTGCTTAGCTTTTTACTTGGAATATAACCACACTCCTTATACTGCCCTCCTCCAAATAAATAGCACCTCATCCTCCTCTGGGTCTGACATGGTTTGGATTTGTGTCCCCACCCAAATCGTATGTTGAATAATCCCCAGTGTTAGAGGAGGGACATGGTGGGAGGTGATTGGATCATGGGGGCGAATTTCTCCCTTGCTGTTCTTGTGTAGTGAGTTCATTCTCCCAAGATCTGGTTGTTTAAAAGTGTGTAGCACCTCCTTCTTCTCTCTGTCCTGCTCTGACCATGTGAAGATGTCCCAGCTTATTCTTTGCCTTCTGCCATGATTGTAAGTTTCCTGAGGCCTCCCTAGTTACGCTTCCTGTATAGCCTATGGAATTGTGAACCAATAAAATCTTTTTTTAAAATAAATTATCCAGTCTTAGATAGTTGTTTATAGCAATATGAGAATGGACTAACACAGCATCTCACAGTATTTTGCTACATATCATTTCTATTTGTAGCTCTCTTATGATAGTAATAGCTAAAAGCAATACTAGGTGCCAGGCATTGTCATACACGCTTTACATATATTATCTCTTTTAATCTTCACAGAAACCTTTTGGGATAATACAATTGTGAGCCACATTTTACACATGAGAAAACTGAGGCACAGAAAGGTTAAGTGGACTTTCCCAGGGCAGGAGCGGAATTTGAATCCAGGCCTCTGCATCTCCTAATAACAAAGTGCCACATTGAACCTCTTGTCTTCTTTTCCAGACTGTAAACTCCTTAAGATGAGGATTTCTCTTTATAACCAAGTGACTCTTGCACAGTGCCTTACTAATTGTAGCGTGAATGAATGACAGTTTTGCTTGATGGTAGAATTCAGGGAAACATCAAGCTGGAAGTCATTTGATCCTGCTATTCCTGTAGAAGTGAGACTGTAGCTAATTCATTCTGGATGATAAACTTTAACCAGATCAGATCATTCAAGTAGGCCCAGCTAGAGTAGAAATGACCCAAGAGAAATCAGGCTGCAACCTGCATGAAATCAGACATTGGGCTCAAATGCGTGTGTTAAGCTCTGCCTCTCCCTTAAGTTCTATTATTTATGGACTCTTTTTCTTTTGCTGCATACCTGAAAACCCACACTCTTCTTAACTAACAAAAGAAGAATCTGAATTACAGACTTAGAAACACAGAGTATGTAGTAAAAGAGTATTTGCAAATGTGGGTGGAGCAGAGGCTCTCTGGGAGGCTCAATATAATTACTTTTTGGCTGAATGAGCTTGCAAACCTCTTCTAGAGGCTGAGCAGTGCTATTTCGTGCCGCTACCACAGGCATTTTCTCTCTGAAAAATCAACGACCCAAGAAAGCAGTTGGTGGTGGGAGGAGGGAGAGTCCCTGAGCTAATCCTTGAGGTTGAGGCAGAAACACAGCTGTTTTGGATTCAGCCTGGGGAGATCAAGGGGAGACAGGACTGCTGTATTTGGAGAGGCTTGTCTTCAGTTGGCATCATTCTGAGCACTCAAGTTCTCTGTCAATAAGCACTTTATGGGAGAGATAAATGGATTTGGAGCTGAGGATAGGGGAGGGTGTCTGGGAAATAATAAACATATTATCTGAGACCTTCCATCAAGCCCCTTCACTGAAGTGCTCAAGGACTCAGACATTGAGTTTAGCAGAGGCAGAGTGGGAAGGAGGGAGACTCTGCAGCCCTTTGGGTGAAGCCGGCTGCAGAAGTCTGGTCTAACAATAATAGACAGCATTAGAGGATCCGGCCTCTGTAGCTTGCTTCACCCACAGTGGTACCAGGTTCCGTGCTGAGGGATTATCAAATGACAGTTTGGTCACCATCTTGACAATGAGACTAGAAACAATTGGCCTCCTATGAAGAGAAAACATGAACATTCATTCTAAAGGGGTATTGGTGAAAACGTAAATTAGTACAACCATTATGGAAAATAGTATGAAGGTTTCTCAAAAACTTAAAATAGAACTGCTATAAGATCCAGCAATCCTGGGTACATATCCAAAGGAAATGAGGTCTGTATGTTGAAGAAATACCTGCACTCCCATGTTCATTGCAGCACTGTTCATAATAGCCAAGATACAGAATCAACCAAAGTGTTTACCAACAGATGGACGAATAGATAAAGAAAATGTGGTTATATAAACAATGGAATACTATTCAGCCTTAACAAAGAAGGAAATCCTGTCATTTGCAACAACACAGATAAACCTGAAGGACATTATGCTAAGAGAAATAAACCAAGCACAGAAAGACAAACACTGCATGATCTCATTTATATGTGGAATCTAAAAAGGACAAACTGGCCAGGTATGGTGGCTCACATCTATAATTCCAGCACTTTGGGAGGCCAAGCTGAGAGAATTCCTTGAGGCCAGGAATTAGAGACCAGCCTGAGCAACATAGCAAGACTCTGTCTCTACAAAAAAATTTAAAAATTAGCTGGATGTGGTGGTGCATACCTGTAGTCCCAGCTACTTGGGAGGCTGAGGCAGGGAGATCACTGGAGCCTAGGAATCTGAGGCTGCAGTGAGCTATGATTGTGCTGCTGCACTCCAGCCTGATCAACACAGTGAGATCCCTTTTCTTAAAAAAAATAAAATAAATAAATAAATAAAAATTAAATAAATAAAAAAGACAAACACACAGAAGCAGAGAGTAGAATGGTGGTTACCAGAGGCTTGGGCAGGGGTGGGGTAAGGTGGTGGGATCAAGGAGATGTTAGCCAAAGGATAAAAAATTTCAGTTAGGAGAAATAAGTTCAAGAGGTTTACTATACAACATGATGACTATAGTTAATAACAATGTTTTATATTCTTGAAAATTACTAAGAGAATAGGTTTTAAGTGTTCTCATAACAAAAAAGTATAACTATATGAGGTAATGCATATATTGATTAGCTTGATTTAGCCATTGCACAATGTATACATATATCAACATATATTGTACACCATGAACACATACAGTTATTGTTATTTAAAAATAAAAATTTACAAAAATTGAACAATAAATTTAAAAACAAAGAGCGGGTGGCAATATTCTGCAAACATGGGAGGTGAAAGTAAATACCTGAGTGAAAGAAAATGCTGCTATCTATTTTGCATAATTACATCCCTTCCCTACATATTTTTAGATCCAAAAAGAACCCTTCCCAAGAAAGTATAGGCTTTGGGAAAGGTAGATGCAGGCACACTCTGGTCTTGAGGTACCAAAGCATTTGTTAATGACTTTATGTTATTAAACATGGCCTTCCCATAGACAGCAGGCCAAGGAATCGGGCATTAGTGTTGAGTTTTGAAGATCATGATTCTGGAAAAATGACATCCTTAGCTCAATTCCCCTTTAGTGCAGCTCAGGTGTTCCTAAATCCTCTAGAAGAGTCTTGTGCTGTTAGTAACTGGCTGATTACACAATCTTCAAACAAGTAAATGCATAGCTCCTATTCTTATTTTACCAGATAGATGCCATGTCCTAATCCTAGTACATTCCCTCTCCCAACGCATTTGCTGATACAGTGAATGCATGCTCCATTTTGTTGCTCCCATTATACCCTTCTTTTATACACTTTCTGATCTGGCAGCTACCCAAAGCTCTACTCTTAACATCTGTTACATTCTTTGCCACACAACCCTCCTCTAGCACCTCAGGATAAAGAAGTTTTTCCCATCTCATGACATAGAGTTCTTTTGCTCTAGAATCAGTTAACTGTTCTCATTGCATTTTCATCGAAGATGTGGATGTCCTCTGTCACACCTCTTTTCCTTTCTTATATTTTCTACGTTTTCATATTTCTATATTTTGGAGTATGCAGCTCTTTCTGCCTAGACTTTATCTCATGCAGCTCCACTGTAATATGCCCCAAACTGAACTCTCTTCTCTTCATTCCCTTGCCTCTTCCTCCACTCTGCCCCTAACACTCCTAGCCTCAGATTTCTCATCTGAGTGATTAACACCATCATGAAATCTCTTCCTGAAATAAAAGTTTAAATATCTTAGATATACCTATTTTTCTTACCCTCCTGTATTTCTCTATCATTTTCACTTTCAAATCTACTTCCTAACTTTCTTTCCTCTCCTTCTTAGCCTTGTTCCCATCATGTCTCAGTGGACTATGGTTATAGCCTCCTAACAGGGTTCCATCAATTTTCTACACTGCCTCTAAAGTGGCTATTCTGAGACAGGATGCTCAGTGGAACTTTTACTGTGGTCTCACAACTAGCGTTCTCACCATCAATACTCTAGGAGGGGTCCATCTCTCCTGCCTGAGCCCAGTTCTATAAAACAGAAGATAAAGGAAGAGTGGTGGGGACAATCATCAGACTAATGACTTGCAGGTCAAGTGGGGAATGAAGTATATTTCTCTTGCCTACATCAAGAAAGGGTCAACCAAGATAATCTCTTTTAGAGACTGCAGATGCTCCAAGAAGTGAACGCTGGAATCCCGTTCCCTTATATAGAGGTTTGCTTGAGTTGCACACTTGATGAACCTGATGAGCTTTCCTGCATGCATTTTCCCCTCAACAGCCTCCACCCCTTCTCACTTCCAGCAGGAAAAAAGACAACTTGATAGAAAAGGGTAACATTCCCTCCTTTTATCTTTGCATGGAGACATGGGATTTCTTTGGGTCAAATGGACACTACAGAATGAAGCTGAGTTTATGCTGTTTTGGAAGATTTTGTCTTCCCTGCTCTCCACCCAAGAGATATGGCCAATGTATCCTAGCACCCAGTAACAATAGGTTGTGACACCATGAAGCAAGGAAAACTCTGTTGGAAAAAAATAAGCTGGGACTTGGTCTCTCCAAATCCGGCAACTGATATGAATCCCTTCTCCCCAAGGGGTCAAGAGGTAGCATTTGTAGAAGGCACTCACCACCAGCCACATTGGTAAGAAAGGCAGAAACAACCACCGGAAAGAAGACTAGGAAGGAAGCTGCTGGAGTGAGATACACGCATCCCTTCTGTCTTGGTGAAGAATTCCCAATGACTCCTTATTCCCTACACTGTAGCATAAAAATATATACTCTTTGCATAACTGATAAGGCATTTGTAATCAAGCACCTTTTCCCCTCATGCTGCTTTTTACTTCTTATTTTCATTTTCGACACTTGCAATTGTCCCAACGTATCAGACACCCCCACCGCTCTGTCTTCGCAAACAGTTTCTTCTACCAGGACAGCACTTCCCTACCTAATCTACAAAAAATTCCTTCAAGTCTTTGTTTAGGCAAGATATCTCTGTAAAGCCTTTCCTAATGTGTGCAGGCAGAATGACTTATTTCTTCTACCATATTCCTCTGGTACATACAATTCAATTATCTTACTGAGTCACTTCTCAAGACACTAGTGCGTCTGTCTTCACTCTAAGCCGTAAGTTCTTTGAAGCCATCTATGGTGCTTTCCTTTGTAATCCCACACTCGGAGGTGGAGGGAAAGGGCTGTTGAAGTACAAATCTAGAGCCTGGACCAATAACATAACCAGATACCATGTGAAACTTTGTTTTCAAGAGATGCCTTAAGTCTGTGTTGTAGTAGACTTTGGGCTGAAGAGACAAAATCCGATTTTATCCACCAAGGTTCTCTCTATTTGAAATATCTTCTTCTCAACATCTGATACTGACTCCTCAATTTCAGCCAGTTCTAAAAGGCCTGTACCTACCCTGATTCAATGTACACCCTCCCTATTCTACCACAGTGGACTCTCAGTTATCTACAGGAAGCCACTTTCTCCACATCTCTGACCAGGGCTGGTATGTGGTATTAGGACACAATGTAAAAAATGCATTTATTATATGCTATTTTAGTTGCTTCTCTCTTAGTATAAATCCAATCTTATTTAGGTTACAAGATTCTAGAAGGCAGGCCTTATATGCTCTGTATTCCACGTAGTGGAAATACTTCTAATTCTGTAAATGATTTCTTAAAAGTCATACTGAGCCAAACACTGTGGAAAGTGGTAGATATTATGGCCTCTGCGCTAAAGGACTTTACAGAGACTGGCCCTTCTCCGTCTTGGAAGATTGTCCTTTTTGACCTTGAGGGAAGCTCCAGAGACGGCCTATGGCATGGTGAGGACAAAGAGGGCAGTCATAGCAGCTGGCCAGGCCATCAGGGAATCCACCTTGCAATCAACAAGGTGACACAAGTCCCATTCAAATTATCCTCACAACCTTTTAGTTTTCTAGCCCTGGAGCTCTCTTCATCTGTCATACTTGGTTTTGACTACATAGTAACTGCCACAAGAATGGGAAATAGTAAAAAGAGATGGACCTCAGAATCAAAAGTGATTGAATTCAAATTTAATTCGGCCTAAATATAGCTAATGAAATGTAGTCACTAATTTTGCAAGGTTGACCAGTCTCATATAGTCCTAATATAAATACAGGAGAGTTGTTTGGATCAGGGGATTGTGTTGCCCTGATCATTTCCTTGGCTTTCTCCCTTCCCTCACTGGCTGCTTCCTCACTGCAGATTTGCCCAACATACATGCATAGACACCACACAGAGGATACCCTTTCTTTCTCCCACTTGTCAGCTAAACCTTCTCCCTTTCCCTGAAGTGATTCTCTACCATCACCATCTCTCAAAAATCATGCTAAGTTGCAACAATTGTTTTTATTTTGTTCCCATAAATGAGATATTAACAGTTCAGGTCTCTAAGGTCTTTCATTTCAATCAATAATACATATTCCTGAAATTCTAAATATAAGTGGCCTCTGACTTTACATTTCTCAAGTCTTAGACAAGTATGCATGCAGTCTATAAACAGACTATGTGTGTGTATGTGTCAGAGAGACTACACGTGTGTATGCATATTATATACATGTATGTATTGAGAGACAATGACACATATGATCAGTCAAGAGTAGAAATATATTTTCTTCTACTCCTTCACTCTCCCACCACTTTTGTCTCTGGGACAAAAGCTTTGCCTCCATCCCCGCTTGCTCACATCCACCCCTCCCTTCTTTCACTCTGACTTCTAACCGTTTTTCTCCCCATTAACGCCCCCCACCTTCATTTTAAACCCAGTTTTATCTGGATCCTCTCAAGGAATTGCACTGTGATAGTCAGTGCAGAGACCCAGCCTCCAGGCTAAACTCTGGTGTGTCATTTAGTTACTAAGGACATTAATCTTCCTCCTTAGTTCTCTCTTAAGGATTATTTAAATTGGGCAGATTGAGAATCCATCTATTTCTTTAAAGTCCAGTCCATGAATAGCTGTTAACACAATGCTAGAGTTTAAGGCATTAAGCATGTACCTGCAAGTACTTTGCAGTTCTTCATTTCCTTCCCTCTGGGAGTGCTTTCCAGTAGACAGGGGGAGGGGAGGGAGCAGAGCCTAAGTAAGCTGATTTATCTGGAAAAGCACTCCTCTCCATCTTTGCCATTTTAATAAAGCTTAGCTTGGGGAAAGATTTGGAGGCCTTCAGGAGCAGGTCCGTTAAAACAATTGAGGAGTGTGTGAAACACAGCTCAGGCTCTGCATCCCAGTCTTCAAACTGACGTCACCTCATAAATCCACAGGCACAGCCTGGACCCATCAGCGAGCTGCTTTTTCAGGAGATTAATTATTTGTTCAGACAGGGGTCAGGTGGAGGGTCTTTGAAAGATTCCTTCAGTGTTTTGCCCCACCCCCCTCTCATGGGGGTGAAAAATGGAACTCTCTGTACAGCCAAGATGTAGAAAGAACACTGCGTGCAGAATCAGAAGGGACGTGTGCAGCGTTTGACCCACACTGCCCAATTAAGACAAGAGGGGACTGAGGGGCCAGAGAAGTGAAGGGGCTGTGCATTGGCTCTCCTTACCTTGCTGTCCTAAGGTTATAGGTTTCCAATTTGTCCCCAGGGCAGACTTCAGTAAGGCTGAAAATGCAATAAATTGAGAAAGGCATGGCGTTAGGGGAAGCCATCTGACAGAAGGACATTTGGACAGTGTCTGCAATCCAAGGGGGTCATGGAGGCTCTGGGAGGCCTCACTGTCAGCCCTGGAGCAGAGGTTTCTTTCCAGGAAGTGCCGGGCTTTGCACATCAACCACCTGGATATGTCTCTGGGGAATCACTTAGACACACTCAAGAACAGCAATCACTTAACAAAAAGCAGAAGAGAGGGAAAAAGGCTGAGGTGCAGCAGTTGTCAAATGCATGAGAGTTTCCAGAAGGAAGATTGCAAAGGCTCTGTACTCTCAGGGCAAGATAATGGGAAGGGAGATTTTCTGAGAAAGGGGGTAGGGATTGATTAAACTGGAGTTAGTCAGAAAGGTACTCAAATTTTGTTCACCCATTTTAGGAAAGTTTTAAACAGTGGTTTGTTAGTAAATGGTTAAAAACTGTTCGTGGCGGAGGTGGGAGGTCGGTGGGGTGGCTGTTCTACTTATCATCTGCTGATTTCTGTGGTGTAAATACTCCCTTTGACCCTGATTTCAAGCACCAATGTGAGGTCACTGAATGTGGAGTTGGGAAGAGATGGGAAAAATAGGCTCTTCTGAGCTGGTGCAAGCTGGCTCCAGCTCACCCCTGGTTGTAATAAATATGCTAACAGGGTTCCTAAAGAATGTTCTCAATTCTCGTGCCCTAAGAGGCTACATGGTCCAGCTAAAGGTGCTGGAAGCCAGTCCTAGTGTCAATTTCTTCCTGCCATCCAATCCCAGCTATCAGTTGACAATTTGTGCACTTTTCTCTATTTCCATAAAAAGTTGAAATATTAAACAGTGCAAAATAAAGAAGTCTTGTTATCCCCTGCAATTACAAATGTATAAAATTTGACATCCTCAATTCTCATCATCATTTCTCTAATAGTTCTTGTCTTTGATAAGGCACAGGATTGGGTTGTGTTGTCAGTGAGCAAAAAGAGGAACTGCAGACTGCAACTGTTGGAACTGCAACTAGTGTGCGGTCCCCTATTTGAAGACATGGAAAGAGAAAGCCTAGCTCTTCTTTCAGCTACAGGGCCTGATCTGCGCAGCCTGATGGGAATCAGAGAGTTCTGGAACGCAGCTCCTTTCATAGCCCTTGGCTCCTCTGCACGCCCCAAATAAACACAGATTGTCAGTAGTGGTTTCAGATGAATACCCCTGCAAATGCTGGCATAGCAGGCTGGGGCAGCCACGGGTCTTACCCTCCAGGGAGGGAGCCCGGAGCAGGACTGCCACGCAGAGATGCAGTTGAAGAGGGGAAGGGGAGGGGGTCTATGAAAGCCAATGGCAGAGCCCTGTGGTTTGGCAGTTGGCCTGGGAGCCCTGGAGCCTTCTGGGAAAAAGCCAGGAGGGGAGGACAGAGTGAGGGAGAAGGGGTGGGGGAACTGCTTCTCAGGGTTGGGCTGGCTGCTGCGCCTGTCAGGGCCAGAATTGTCGGCTCTCTTCTGGAGTGACTTACTACATACAGAGAGGAGGAAAATGAACTAAGGTGCACTGGGCAAGTCACAGCCAGGATTTCCCTCCAATCTCACAATAGGGCTATGAGGCAGATTTTCATCACCATTTCTCAAATGGGGAAACTGAGGCCCCACAGGTAAGAGGATTGGCCTGTGCCACACTAATATTAATGGCTAAAGGTGAGATTTGATTTCACCCTTTCTGCACCCAAGGCCCTGATCTCCCCTTGGTTTTATGCTCCTTTTTGGCACCTCTACATCAAACCCTTTGGCTCCACCAGCCAATCTAGTGTGACACTTATTTGTCTGATTTTAGTTTGTTTCACCGTTTTGTAAACAGGTCCCTTGGTTGTTGAAGGGGCTGTCCAGGCTGACTGTGGTGGCCCCCTGTGAGGACAAGGGAAGGGACTCTTGGCCTCCAGCTTGTCTGTGTGGCCAGGATCGATGTGCTCCTGGAATCCACACCAGAGAATCTTAGCTGTGTCGGCACAGCCAGGACGTAAGTGCCATCCTCCTGCCAGAAGATTGTTAATAACACCAACAATTTCTTCGACTTCTGGCTGTGGATACCAGCAGCCTGTGTTAAGTCAACTGTGTGTCCTCACTAGCATGTTGGCGCGGGTCAGCTGCTCAGTCATAAATCCAGACATGTCTATCTATCTGTCCATCAGTCCTTGTGGCCACACTGCCCTTCAGATCTTTCCTGCACAAACATGAAACTTAACACGAACTCCTCACAAGGGCACTCAGCCCTTGGCTTTCACTTGGAATAAACAGGCAGGTCTCTAGATGCAAACACCCTGCCCAAAGTGAAACGCAGCCAGCACGGCCACCTGCTCCCTCCCCTCTTGCACTCCTCACACTTTCTGGGTCCCTCCCCACTGCCATTTTGTTATTCTCTATTCAAATGTCAAACACTAAAGTTCCTAGTTGTTTTAATAACTTCTGCTGAATTTCTACAGTTTTAATAAAGTATTCTGTTTCCATTATTGATAAGATGATGGCTTTCCTGGCTGGGAGAGTCAGTAAGAGATTTTTCTCTCACTTGAGCAGGTCTATTTTATCATCTTGCAAATAGGAATACTGTACATGGACTTCCATAGATGACAGTGATGCTACCACCCACTAATAATGATAATAAATGTTAGCTGCTACTGCAGCCACTGCTACAGCAGCCACTGCTACAGCTAACGTTTATTGAGCACTTACTATGTGCTGGGCAGTATGTATTAAATGCTTTATAAAGATTAAGTATTTGATCCTCACAATAACCCCATGAAGTAGAGCCCGTTATTTTCTCCATTTTCGTAAGAAGAAAATGAGATTCAGATGAGTTAAGTTGCAACTTACTTAAGTTTCCAAAACTAATAAATAATAAATCTGGTGCCAGAATTTGTTTTTGACCACTTTTCTATAGTGATATGAACCCCAAATATGCATGTGTATGCATGTACAAAATTAAGCTTCACTATATAAAGTGGTCATTTCAAAGGTCAGAAACTGTTCAATATCAGCAATTTCATGATTCAACCTAAAACACTTCGGCCAGAATTTTCTGAATGTGGCCACCAGACTTGATTATCCTTAGACTTTGGTGCCTTTCCTAGAACAGGCCCTCAGTCAGTAAATGTTTTCTGAGCATAAGAGTGAGGAATTGAGTGGGTGCAGGAATGACAGAGAGGGGTGTGAATGATCACAAGCAAAGGCAAGTTTCAGTTGCAGGGGGAATGAGTTTCAGGGGGCACAGCAAAGGGTGTGGGCATGTGCGTGTGTACATGTGTGTCCAAGGACCTGTGCCAGTGGTGGGTGGGTGCAAGCCCCTTTAAAAGCTACACTCTGTTATTATCTTCCCTGTGGAGTGATGTGACTACTCACGTTTCCATCCATCCTATATTTCTCATGGCTGCCACAACATAGTACCTTCAAAAGAAATAATCGAATAGACATTCTTTTGAAGAAAGTGTTATAGGCTTAGCCAACTCCCATAACTCCTTTCTAATACCAGTAACCTAGGTTGAGAGGGTGTTGGTTTCAATTCAATGGGAATTGATTTGAGAGCGAATCATCCCGTGGTCAGAGCCCCCGGAATCAATCTGTCCTCTCATCTCACTTTTGCTTTCTCTTTCTTCTCATTATCTGTTAGGATGAAAGTAGTGTAAACCTGATTCTCCTTTGTAATCTCCACAGCTCAGGGGACCTGGTAGGGAGGGGAGGCCGGAGGTGCTGGAGAAGAGTGTGAGGGAGAACGAGGAGCCTTGGGGTGGGCACCAGGCTCTCTGGGAGGAAGGCGCATCGGGAAGGCAGGTGCAGCCCAACCTTGCCAGATGGGATGTTCAAGGCACCCAAGGAGCAAGGACACCAAACCCTAAGATCCAGAAAGCAGGAAGGCAAAGCTTAGAGCTTCATTTATCTTCCCTGGGACGCCTTTGGACATGATTCAGGAAAGAGAAGGAATAAAGTCAGCACAAAGGTGTGAAAGGTGGGTCAGATACCAAGGGGGAGCAATATGTAACAGAGGACGGAAAACATACCCTCTGCTCACCCCTGCAAAGCAAGGTCACCATATGCTTTAATTTTGTGTCGCACACTTCTGTCTATAAAAATGTTTTTAATACATCTGCAAATAAATGGATGTTAATATTTGAATAATATACACATTTAGTACCATGACGATATACTATGTACATTATGAAACAGACGCAAAAATATAAATTAAAAATTGATAAGATAAAAATAAGTAAGAAAAGAAGTTATATTTTCTTTCCACACTCCCAAGGAATCATCTCATGTACCTCTGAGGTGAACTCACATCGTTCTGCAGGCCTTTGGGTTAGAACAGTGCTGCCAATAGAAATATAATGCAAATTGCATATGTAATTTACATTTTTCTAGTAGTCTCATTTTAAAATGTAAGAAGAAATAAATGAAATTCATTCTAATAATACATTTTAATCTAACCCAATATATCCCAAGTACCATTATCTCAATGGGTAATCAATATAAAATTATTAACGAGAGATTTAAAGTTCTTTATTTTGCAGCAAAGGCCTCTAAATTTGGTGTGTATTGTAAACTTATGTCACATCTTCATTTGGATAGCCCACATTTCAAGGGTTTGTCAACTACATGTGGCTAGTGTCTACTATATTAGATGGTATGGGGTTGAAGGACTATGATACCAGGAGGAATGGGAATCCTAGGGGACACTGAATTTCTGTTTGCGGTCAAGGCTGAGAACGTTAGAATAAGGATGCCTAATGCACCATTGCCAGCACTGGAACTGTAATCTTCCAGTTCCTTTAACCAGATGGCCTTAAAATAAGCACATTACTCAGGTTGCAGAGTAACATGATTCCATGAAAAAGGAACTATACATAAGTACATAAACGTATGAGCATAGCAAAAATATGCATGAACATACATTAACAATGAATACTGATCACCTTGAGGATATGGAATAGGAGGACAGTGAGCAGCAGAGTATTAAAATTGTCTACGTATGTATCTATATAGTTTGAGTTGTCAAAATCTGTATTTATTTTTAAAATATTCTAAAGGACAATAATTTTCAAGCGCGTGTATTTTTTTTTCAGAAAGTATGCAGGCTGAATCCTTATTGATAAAATAATATTTCCTTCAGCTATGGAAACCTAAACCTACTGTAGAGTCAACGTTTTTCTCTTATTGAATGAAAGAGTCTTCTGTCTTTTTTATTCTTTCTTTTTTACATGGAGGAAGAGTTGGGAAAGGGATTTTGGGCTTAGGGTTGCCAGATAAAATACAGGACGCACAGTTAAATTTGAATTTTATAGAAGCAATTATTAATTTCTTCACATAAGCATGCCCCATGCCATATTTCCTTTGAATGATCCAGGGATAACCTAAATATTTGCTCAGAACATACATATTTATTTATTTTATTTATTTTTTATCCTTGCTAGCAGGATGTCAAAGTGCATACATATTTATGCTAAAAAATTATTCACTGTGTATCTGAAATCCAAATTTTACTGGACACTTTTTTTTTTAAATCAAACCCTGCAAGCCTGTTTGGGCTGTCATTATTACAAGTGAACTGCTGTGGTCTTGCATGACTGCTTTTCTCTGCACCTCAGGAAAGTGCTACCTCCAACGGAATTATTCCCATCAGTGGTTCCCAACTGGGATGTGGTAGAGAGGGGCTTCTAATTCCTCCTGCCAGTACAGTAATTATGAAAGTAGATCCACCTTCCTGTCTCTCATCTTCTCAACCTAGTTCCCTTCCAAATAAGTTCTTAGTTTCTTGAATCTGAATTCCTTCTCTAAGGTGTTTTCAAAAACCTGACTGGAGAAAAGACAACATTCTTAAATGTCCCAAATAAGCACATTACTAACTATGGCAGGCAAAGCTACCTATTTTAGTCTCAGCTCTGAAAGAATTTATGCTATTTAACAAGGAATATGCTCCACTGTTTTTTTATATACCTATATGCACCACAGTGCTGGAATCATGGCAAGTGGTATAGCTGTGTGTTGTGTGTGTGTGTGTGTGTGTGTGTGTGTGTGTGTGCGCGTTGTGTGTGTGTTGTGTGGGTGCGTGTTGTGTTGTGTGTGTGTATATGTGTTGTATGTGTGTTCACCCTGTTATTATCTTCAACACACAGTGGTATAGCTGTGTGTTGTGTGTGTGTGTTGTGTGTGCGTGTTGTATGTTATGTGTGTGGTGTGTGTTGTGTGGTGTGTGTGAGTTTTGTGTGTTGTGTGTTTTTTGTGTGTTGTGTGTGTGTTTGTGTGTTGTGTGTATTTTTTTGTGTTTGTTGTGTGTGTTTTTTTGTGTGTGGTGTGGTGTGTGGTGTGTGTGTGTGTTGGGGAAAGGGGGTTAGGAATACCTTACACCCAGGGCATTTCCACTGCCCGTCACTGGTTGCTGGTGATCAGATGGACATTGACTTACATCGGGTTTTCAGAATCCCAAAGAGCATAACATCTCATGCATCTCTATTCACCAAATTCAAGTTTTCAGGTTTATCAGACAAGGTCTTGTTCTTTTCTTTTAATGGTTCAGGGATAACCTTAACCTCAAATAGCTAACTTGTCAATCCACCCCAAAATGCAAATCCTTAAGAAGTTAGCCTGGGCGCTTGTCTCAAGAAACCACAGTACTTTTTCCCCGGCATTTTAATGATACAAGAATTCTTTGATCTGGAGCTTTCTAATGTCTAATCCATTAGCAGAATTGCTTTTTCCATCACAGCCCTCTTTACCAGATTCAATTAGCACTGTCTACAGAGTCATGCGAGAGATTGAAAGACAGATGCTTACTCCAGTCTCCAAAGATCTCTATGTGTATCTTGAGTGCTGTCACTCAAAAAATAAGACATGAATATATAATTTAGAGAAAAAGAAATAAAAAGTATAAATATATAAAAAATCCCAAAGTTATCAGTACTCAAAGAAACTAGTGAAGTTGAAATAATACATTTTAAAGATGCAAAATGTTGGCTCTAGCCTTGGTGTTCTCAACCTAATCAGCTATTCAGTTTCAGCTTTTTTCTTCTTCAACATCAGTCCAGTAATTCCCAAACTTTGGTATATTTAAAATCATGTGATCTCACAGGTTCTTATCATATGAAGTCAGCACAACAATATTAGTAATATGAACAATGCATATTCACATGCAAAATTGGGTAAGAACTCTAAGTATAACCTTTAATGATCTTCTTGTGTGCTTTGTATGTTGAAATTCTACTGTGTTTGAAACAGATATATATGTGACTGATTGAAAGAGTAAAATGTTTTAATAATTGTAATGATTATGAAAGCTATTAATTTCATGAACACACACAATTGCTAAGAATTTCCAATTAGCTAAATAAATAAGAAAATATATTTCCAGTTTTTAATACTAATATTAAAATAATATATTAGTTAGATAAACTTAGAGCATAATATGCTGTTGTTTTTATTTTTTTTTTCAAGATAGAGTTTTGCTCTGTCGCCCAGGCTGGAGTGCAGTGGCAGGATCTTGGCTCACTGCAACCTCCACCTCCTGGGTTTAAGCAATTCTCCAGCCTCAGCCTCCTGAGTAGCTGGGATTATAGGTGTCTGCCACCATGCCCGGCTAATTTTTTTTATTTTAGTAGAGATGGGGTCTCACCATGATGGCCAGTCTGGTCTCAAACTCCTGACCTCAAGCAATCCACCTACCTTGGCCTCCCAAAGTGCTGTGATTACTGGTGGGAGCCACTGTGCCGAGCCCATTATATGCTTTTTAAGGAAACACAATTTATAAAAGTTTCAATGATAAGTTAGCATAATATACATCTTCCTAGATAAGCATATAATAGATCAAAATTTTAATCTTTTGAGAATTTTTTAGGTATAAGCATTTATAAAATAAAATTAACATGAAGCAAAATAACCTTTAAACACTATATTTAATATTTAGTTATTTAATCCCATGTAGATCATGGTTCACTAAAGAAAAATGTACACTTTATTAATTTTCTCTATGTTACGAGAGCAGATTAAAAGCACAATGTTAACTTTGTCATCTCAAGCTGTATTATGGAGAAAAGAACAACATCCTTTATACATTCTATATTGACAAAATAAAGAATATCAAATGCAAATAAAGGAAGAATGTTGGAAAAAAATTAAGTACTTCAAAAATATCTTATTTCCCCACTGATCACAAATGAAAAGTTCTACTTAATATCACAAATGCTCAGATAATGACTGCAAGAGCAATAAAATAGCACACTATTCTGAGAAAATGCTGTTCTTGCACTGTAACTCAAACTTTAAACATTTAACTTAGATATTTTAACAGCAACATTCATAATTCAGCTTTTTTTTTTTTTTTTGAGACGGAGTCTCACTCTGTCACCCAGGCTGGAGTGCAGTGGCGCGATCTGGGCTCACTGCAAGCTCTGCCTCCCGGGTTCACGCCATTCTCCTGCTTCAGCCTCCCGAGTAGCTGGGACTACAGGCGCCCGCCACCACGCCCGGCTAATTGTTTGTATTTTTAGTAGAGACGGGGTTTCACCATGTTAACCAGGATGGTCTCAATCTCCTGACCTCATGATCCGCCCGCCTCGGCCTCCCAAAGTGCTGGGATTATATAATTAAACTTTTAAACAAAATTTCAGGATAGTTTTTGTATGTCCTAATTTTATTTTATGATGATGATATTTGGCTTCATATTTTATTTTAGACAAATAAAATTTTGAGAAAATATTATTTTCCCATTTGTTATCTGGCCAAATGTTCATTCAGTGCATGTCTCATTTACTATTTTGGAAGACTGAATGAGATAAGAGAGCTAGTATCCAGACTAAAATTGACACCCAAAACCACTATCAGAAAGAAAAATGTCTTCTCTAAATGTAGTTGTCCGTTTCTTGTTTTCTAGCGCTGGTGAATAAAGCAAACAAAACAAAACAAAACAAAAAACCCAAAAAACAAAATACCTGTCAAGTATCAAAGCTATAGAAAAAACAGTTTTAAACATGGAGGAGCTCAGAAAATTTTGTACCCATGAGCCCCTTTAGAGAAACCTGCTTGAAGATAAAATTCATCCAACAAGAAATTAATGAGGAAACTTTATCAGTGGTGAATTTTAAATCTATTTTAATTATAGATATAAGACAAAAGAGGAAACAAGAGTGAAAGAATAAGATATTATATAATATATTCAATATATCATGTGTTGTAAGTTTTGACAATGTAAAAATAATGCAAAGTTTACACCAAACATATTAGTCTTATTAAAAATGTGAATAGACTTAATTCACCTATTAAAAAATACTTCCATCATGGCTGAAAATATGAGGCTCAACTGTAAACTGATTATTTTTTAAAAACCTAAAACAAAATAATTTGAAAACAAAATAATTTGGAAAAAAAATGCGGAGAGGGCTGGGTGCGGTGGCTCATGCCTGTAATCCCAGCACTCTGGGAGGCCAAGGCTGGCGGATCATGAGGTCAGGAGATCAAGACTATCCTGGCTAACACGGTGAAACCCCATCTCTACTAAAAATACAAAAATTAGCCGGGCGTAGTGGTGCATGCCTGTAATCCCAGCTACTCTGGAGGCTGAGGCAGGAGAATCGCTTGAGGTTGCAGTGAGCCGAGATTGCACTGCCATTGCACTCTAGCCTGGGCGACAGAGCGAGACTCCGTTTCAAAAACAAAAAAAAAAAGCAGCAAATGGAAACAATTAGAAAGCAGGTATAGTGATATTGATGTCAAACAAAGTAGGCAAATTAAATGAGGCAAATAAGGTGACTTTTTACGGGTTTTGTTTATAGATCTGTATTTTGCAATCAACAAGAGAAAGTTTTAGAGAATAAAATATTTGGTTACAGTTCTACATATCTATAGTAAATACAAAGCCACATGATATTAAATCTGGCTGTAAGTAAGGTAAAGCTGAAAAATTCAACCCATATAAAATTACTTTTTGGAGAGTAAGTATGCTAATGAGTAATTATTTCAATGACCTTTCTTTTTATTACTGTTTGCAAACTGATCCCTTTTCTCTAGTCATTGTGACTCACCAATGTTTCCAACTGCACTCTTTACTTCAGTGTTACCACCCAGGGATTTCTGAGGCAGCATAAGATTGGATTCATAAAAACAGTAGATACTTTAACTTTTCAGTGACTATTTTTAAATCTGTAAACTCAATAATCATATTAGTTAGCCCAGTAACTATAAAAGCATTGAGATTTCAGCATTGCAAGTCATGATCTCTTTGTGCTTTTTAAATTAAGCTGCTTTGGAATCTTTTTGGCATTTATCAGCCATTTGTATTTCCTTTATGCAAATAAAAGAATATATTTAAAATAATTTTTAAGGTTAAATGTCATGGAGGGCTTATCAGTACTTTTTATTTTTAAGACAGCATAAATCAGTTATTATTTTTTCATTCAGTATTTGGAATAGTTCAAATTATTTCTGTTCCCTCCTTACATCAACCAACACCACTTTTTTTCAGGACACTAAAAGTTACAGGCATCCCTGCAAAGTTTTTAAGTATATGAGAGAATCACAGTGGAGTCTCAATCAGTTAACAATGTAGATCCATTAAAAAAAAAAAAAAACCAAAACAAAAACGGAATATTAAAGGAAAATCTTCAAGCTAAAAAAAAAAAAAAAAAAAAAAAAAAGCAAAAACAAAATCCTCCTAAGAACTAAAACTGAGTATGTGTTGTCATTGATTCTATACTTGTATCCCCTGTCCGATTAGACTCCTCTTTCTCATGTTGTAAGATACGTTTGCTGAAATCTTCATGCCAGGTTTTCAGGACATTTAACATGAAAAAGCTATGCTACTACCACATCTAAGGGAATATAAGGGTACTGATTCTTCACTAATAGACTTCATATGCAAAGATGAGCACTGAGTCTCACTCCTCTGCATTCACCTACATCTTCTCAGGAGATAATACTTGCTGTGCAAATAAATGAAAGATCACATTTTAATGATAAGTGCCACAATTCACAATAAAGGTATAATAGTCACAGTTATCTATGCACCAAATAACACAGCAACATATTTTGAAGCAAAAATTGCAGAAATGTAAGGACACATAAATGGAAACACATAAATAATAATAAAGAACATTCAGTGAGTTGCTCTCAGTATAAGATAAATGGAGACCAGGCATGGAGACTCACATCTGTAATCCCAGCACTTTGAAAGGCAGAGGCAGGGGGGATCACAAGAGGTTAGGAGTTCAAGACCAGCCTGGCCAACATGGCAAAACCCCATCTCTACTAAAAATACAAAAATCAGCTGGGGGTGGTTGTGCATGCCTGTAATCCCAACAAAATGGCTCAGAGGTTGCAGTGAGCCAAGATTGAGCCATTGCACTCCAGCCTGGGCAACAGAGTGAGAATCTGCTAAAAACATAAAAATTAAAATTAAAAAAAGATAAATTAAACAGGCAAGATAAGTTAGGATACAAGACAACTTAAATAACATAATTACTAACATAGATCTCATGGATATACATCAAACCTGATACTAGAGAACATATATTCTCAAGTGTGCATGGGGGATTTAGAAAATTAATCATAATTTAGGATATGTTAAGTAACAAAGAAAATATCAATGTTATAGAAATATTATAAAGAACACTCTCTGATTACAGTGTAAAAACACTAGAAATATTAATAAAGTAAGAAAAAGATTATTTCATCTAGAATTTAAAAATATTAAACAACTCTTCAATAAAAGGGATATACAAACAAAATTATAGAATTTTTAAAAGAATGATGATAAGTTATGTAGATACCCTGCACTGATGCAACAAAAGAATAACGCAGAATTTTGAGGATGCATTTAAGCATTGGTCAGAAAAAATTCTTAGCCTAAAAATAAGTGAATTAAATTTCAGCTAAGGATAAAAAAGTTAGACCCAATTGTGTACTGTCTTCAAGAGACCCATCTCACATGTAATGACACCCATAGACTCAAAATAAAGAAATGGAGGAAAATTTACCAAGCAAATGCAAAACAGAAATAAGTAAGAATTGTAATCTTAATTTCAGACAAAACAGGCTTTAAGCCAACAAAGATCAAAAAAGACAAAGAAGGGCCGGGCGCGGTGGCTCACGCCTGTAATCCCAGCACTTTGGGAGGCCGAGGCGGGTGGATCATGAGGTCAGGAGATCGAGACCATCCTGGCTAACAAGGTGAAACCCCGTCTCTACTAAAAATACAAAAAATTAGCCGGGCACGGTGGCGGGCGCCTGTAGTCCCAGCTGCTCGGGAGGCTGAGGCAGGAGAATGGCGTGAACCCGGGAAGCGGAGCTTGCAGTGAGCCGAGATTGCGCCACTGCAGTCCGCAGTCCGGCCTGGGCGACAGAGCAAGACTCCGTCTCAAAAAAAAAAAAAAAAAAAAAAAAGACAAAGAAGGGCATTACCTAATGATAAAGGGTTCAATTCAACAAGAAGACTTAACTATCCTAAATACATATGCACCTAACACAGGAGCACCCAGATTCATAAAGCAAATTCTCAGAGACCTGCAAAGAGACATCGGCTCCTACACAATAATAGTAGGATACCTCAACACTCCACTAACAGTATTAGACAGATCATTGAGGCAGAAAATTAACAAATACATTCAGGATCTGAACTCAACATTGGACCAAATTGTTCTGATAGATCTCTACAGAACTCTCTACCCCAAAACAACAAAATATACATTCTTCTTTTCACAACATGGCACATACTCTAAAATCGACTATGTAATTGGACATAAAACAATCCTCAGAAAATTAAAAAGAATCAAAATCCCAACACACTCTTGGACCTTGGTGCAATATAAATAGAAGTCAAAACTAAGAAAATTGCTCAAAACCATCCAATTACATGGAAATTAAACAACATGCTCCTGAATGACTTTTGGGTAAATAATGAAAGTAAGGCAGAAATCAAGAGGTTCTTTGAAAATAATGAGAACAAAGACACAACATACCAGAATCTCTGGGACACAGCTAAAGCAGTGTTAAAAGGGAAATTCATAGCACTAAATGCCCACATCAAAAAGCTAGAAAGATCTCAAATTAGCAATCTAACATCATGCCTGAGAGAATGAGAGAAGCAAGAACAAATTAACCCCAAAGGTAGCAGAAGACAAGAAATAACCAAAATCAGAGCTGAACCCAAAGAAATTGAGACATGAGAAGCCATTCAAAAGATTAATAAATCCAGGAGTCAGTTATTTGAAAAACTTAATAAGATAGGCCACCAGCTAGATTAATAAGAAAAGAGAGAAGATCCAAATAAACACAGAAATAACAAGGAGGATGTTACCACTGACCCCACAGAAAGAAAAGTAACCATCAAAAACTACTACAAACACCTCTATACACACAAACTAGAAAACCTGGAAGAGATAAATAAGTTCCTGGACACATATACCCTCCTAAGACTGAACCAGGAAGAAACTGATTCCCTCAACAGACCAATAATGAGCTCTGAAATAGAATCGGTAATAAATAGCCTACCAACCAAAAAAAGCCCAGGATCTGAGAGACTCATAGCCAAAATTCTACCAGTTTACAGAGAAGAGCTGGTGGAATTTCTACTCAAACTATTTCAAAAACTGAGGAGGAGAGACTCCTCCCCCAACTCATTCTGTGAGGCCAGCATCATCCTGATACCAAAACCTGACAGAGACACTTACACCTGGCAGAGTAAACATCAGGCCAGTATCCTTAATGAACATCAGTGCAAAAATCCTCAGCAAAATACTTGCATTGAATCCAGCAGCACATCAAAAAATTAATCCACCATGATCAAGTAGGCTTCATCCCCAGGATGCAAGGTTGGTTCAACATATGCAAATCAATAAATGTCGTTCATTAAATAAACATAACTAAAGACAAAAACCACATAATTATTTCAATAGATGCAGAAAAGGTTTTTGATAAAATTCAACACCTCTTCATGTTAAAAACTCTCAATAAAATAGGCATTGAAGGAACATACCTCAAAATAATTGAGACATCTATGACAAGCCCATAGCCAACATCATACTAAATGGGCAAAAGCTGGAAGCATTCTTCTTAAAAACCGGCACAAGACAAGGATGCCCCTCTCACCACTCCCATTCAACACAGTATTGGAAGTCCTAGCCAGAGCAATCAGGCAAGAGAAAGAAATAAATAGGATCCAAACAGGAAAAGGGAAAACCAAACTAATCCTGTTTGCAGAAAACATGATCCATAGTCTTGGCCCAAAAACTTCTTAAGCTGTTAAACAACTTCAACAAAGTTTCAGGATACAAAATCAATTTTCAAAAACCACTAGTACTCCTATACACCAACAGCAGCTAAGCTGAGAGCCAAAGCAGGAAGGTAATCTTATTCACAATTGCCACAAAAAGAATAAAATACAGAGGAATACAGCTAACCAGGGAGGCAAAATATTTCTACAATGCAAAGTATGAAACACTGCTCAAAGAAATCAGAGAAGTCACAAACAAACGGAAAATCATCTCATGCTCATGGATAGGAAGAATCAATACCATTAAAATGGCCATACAGCCCAAAGCAATTTACAAATTCAGTGCTATTCCTATTAAGCTACCAATGACATTCTTCACAGAACTAGAAAACAATATTTTAAAATTCATATGAACAAAAAAGAGCTCAGATAGCCAAGGCAATCCTAAACAAAAAGAACAAAACTGGAAGCATCATGCTACCCAACTTCAAACAATACTACAATGCTACAGTAACCAAAACCACATGGTACTGGTACAAAAACAAGCACATAGACCAAAGGCACAAAATAGAGAGCCAGGAATTAAGGCTACACACCTACAACCACACCAGTGAGAATCTCACACCAGTAAGAATGGCAGATGACAGAGGCTGGTGAGGCGGTGGAGTAAAGGGAACACTTACACAGCGTTGGTGGGAGTATAAATTAGTTCAATCATTGTGGAAAGCAGCACGGTGATCCCTCAAAGAACTAAAAGAAGAACTTCCATTTGATGCAGCAACCCAATTACTGAGTATATGCCCAGAGGAATGTAAGTCATTCTATCATAAAGACATATGCACGTGTATGTTTACTGCGGCACTATTCATAATAGTGAAGACATGGAATCAACCTAAATGCCCATCAGTGACAGATTGGATAAAGAAAATGTGGTATATATGCACCATGCAATGCTATGAAACCATAAAAAAGAATGAGATCATGTCTTTTGCAGGAACATGGATGGAGTTGGTGGCTATTATCCTTAGCAAACTAACACAGGAACAGAAAAGCAAATACAGCATCTTCTCACTTATAAGTGGGAGTTGATGATGAGAACTCATGAACACAAAGAAGGGCAGACAATGGGGTCTATTTGAGTGTGGAGGGTGGAAAGAGGGAGAGGGACAGAAAAAATAACTATTGGGTACTAGTCTTAATACCTAAGTAATGAAATAATCTGTATAACAAACCCCCAAGACATGAGGTAACCTATATAACAAACCTTCACAGGTACCGCCAAACCTAAAATAAAAGTTAAAAATTAATTAAGTAAGTAAATTTTACCTAAAAGATTAGAAAGAACAACAAAGTAAAGCAAAAGAAAGCAGAAGGAAAGAAATAGTAAAACAGTTGTAAAAGAGGCACAGAATAGAAAAACCACAAATCTAATGAAATCCAAAATTCTTTTCTGTTTTTTTGGAGAAATTAATAGCATAGACAAACCACTAGTCAACTAATTCAAGAAAAATGGAGAAAGCAGAAATCAATAAAATAAGAAGTGGGGGAAAAACTACTACTGAAATGAAAGAAATTTTTAAAAATTAAGGGATGACTTTGTAGATCTTTATGAAAATAAATTTGAAAATCTAGATAAAATATGTAATTTTGTAGGCCTACACAATTACACAGTTTACAACAACAACTGAGCCTGTTGGAGATAGAAGGCTTAAACACACTAATTTTTACCGATAAAATGGAATAAATCATACAATAGAGCACCAGGCTCAGATAGTTGATTGGGGAATGGTAGCGGAGGAGGGTGGATTTTACCATGCCTTCAAAGACCAGATACTTAAAATGCTCCATAAATTGTTCCAGAGTTTTCAAAATACAGGAAAACATCTTAATTATTTTTATAAATCAAATATAACATTTACAACTAAACCTGATGAATATGGTACAAATAAAGAAATTTACAGGTCAGTATCACTTAAAACTATCAATATAAAAGTTTGAAATAAAATTTTCACTAACAGAATCTAATACCACATAAGGAAACGTATACTTTAATCAAGTGTATGTTTCAAACATAAAAGAAATTAGGGAATTAGAAGTTAGAAAACCCAAAAATATGTATATTAAAACTTTTAAGAAAAACAATCATATTATAATCTCTATGGGTAGTGAAAAAGCCTTCAATAAAATTTATTACCCTTGCCTAATTTAAAAAAAATCCAAGAAAACAAGAATTGATAGATAGTTTCTTAATGTATTAAAGGTAGATGTAACTTGGTCCTAAAGTCAGCATCTTAATGAAGAAACATTAGAGGTATCTCCATTTATGTCCAGAATAAGGCAAGAATGTACACTGTCTCTACTACTGTTCATCATTGTACTGGATGTATTAGCTAGGGCAATTACACAAGATAAATAAATTTGAGTCCCTTCCCTCCAAAAAAATTGAATAGAAGAAGTAAACCTATCTCTGCTTGCATATTATATAATTATGTACCTGTAAAACCCAAGAGAATCAACAACAAAACTAAACTATAAAAGTATTCATTATATGGATTTGCATATAAAAATCAATAACCTTTATATACACAGAAGAATCAGCCAGAAGTTGATAATGGTAGAAATAATTTATTTACAGTAGCAACAAAGAAAATTAATTTAACAAGAAATATGTAACAATGCAAAATCTTTATGAGAAAAACCTTTAGACATGTTTTAAAGGCACAAAAGTGGACTTGAACAAATTGAAAGACATACCATGCCCTTGGATAAGATGACACCACGTCAGGAATAAAGATCAGTTCTTTCAAAGTTACTTTATACATTTAATGCAATCCCAATTATAACACCATAAAAATTTTTTTATGAAGCTCATCTTCATTTGAAAATGTAAGCACACCAGAATACATGAAAAACCTTGAAAAAGAAAGCAATGGGGAGATACTAATTTTCCTAGATATTAAAACATACAATAAAGCCTCAATAATTAATAATTAATAAAGTCTCCATAAACAGCACTGGCTCATTAGAGAGGATGTCACTTGATACGCCCTCATGAGAGGAATTTGGTAAGATCAAATAAAACTATGTTTATGTTTACCTTTTCGCCTGGCAATATCACTTCTAGAAGTTTCCTTGAGAATTCAAAAGGTTATACCTAGTAGCATTATTTATCATTGCAAACTATTGGAAATAACCTATATGCCCATACATGGAAGAGATGTTGAATAAAATATGTTATGTTATAAACATAATGGAGTCTGTGTAGCTGATAAAGAAGAATGGAGAAAGAAGTCTATCAACGGGTGTTGAAGGATTTCCAGGATATATTGTTAAGTGAAAGAAGAGCAAAATATAAGAGTACAAATAGTTTGTTACCTTTTGTTTAAGAAAGAAAAGTAAAAAACAAAATAAACCGGCATCTGCTCATTTCTGCAAAATTAGTGCAAAAATAAATGCAGTGAGAATTAACCAGAGACTAATAAGATTGGTTACCATTTTAGTCTTCCATGACCACAATTTAGTGGCTTAAAATAAAGCCCATCTATTAGCTAATGATTTTATAGGTCAGAGTCCAGGTAGGCTCAACTGGGTTCTCTGCCAAGAGTCTCATAAGGTCGAAATGAAGGAGTCAGCTGGCCTGGGTTCCTCTCTGTAGGACTCTGGGGGAAGAATTCACTTCCAAGCTTATTGGATTTTTGGCAGAATTCAGACTCTTTCAGTGGTAGGACTAAGGTTCCTGTTTCCTCGCTGGCTGTCAGCTAGGACTGTTCTCAGCTTCTCAGGTCTGCGTTCCTTGCCACATGACCTTCTCCATCTCCAAGCCAGCAGTGGTGCATTCAAGCTCTCTGATTTCCCCTTCTGCTATCAGCCAGAGAAAACTCTCTGCTTTTAAAAACTAATCTCCCTTTTGTCATATAAGGGATATGTAATATATAATATCTCATCATATTCACAGCTTCTACTCACCCTTGAAGGGGAGGGTCAAGGTCACTGGGGACCATTCTTAGAATTCTGACCACCACCATTACCAATAAAGTGTGAGTGAGAGGAAGTGTGAAGAATAGATGGAACAGGGAGAATGACACTTTTTGCATATGTCTATTGTACTGTTGTGACTTTTGGAATTTTTTGTAACATTTCACCAATTAAAAAAAAAAAAACTCAAGAACGAGGAAGAAATTCCAAAAATGTAAATCAAACAAAAGCAAATGAGCTAAGTGAAATACCAAATGAATGATATAACTATACTAAATTGGGAAAGAAACCTAACCTGAATAATTTCTGAGCATAGTATTTAAACTATATGTCCTTAGGCTAAAGGGAAAAACACAACCTCTAAAACATATTGACCTCTAGAGTTAGTAGGCTTCTTTTATTCAAAGAGGCATGGGTTAGAAATTTTGAAAATACTTTTTGTGTGTTGAGTAAATAAGTAAATGTACTGTAGAAAATGGCTGTTGTGTTTCTTTCTGTTGGATAAGGGAGCTCCAACTATGGAAAAGGGGAAGGGTAGCATGAATCCCATGCCACTGAATTAGAACTGAAGGTATCAGTGGAAGTAAGTAGTTTTTACTATACCTGGGTGGTAATGAAATAATATATAGAAATCTATATAATATAATGAAATAATACATAGAAATCTATATCTATAGATTTAGAAATATAGAAATCTGTATCTATATAAATATAGATTATGTACAGGCACATCTCATTTTATTGCCTTTTGCTTTATTGTACTTCACAGACACTGTGTGTTTTATAAATTTGGGGTTTGTGGCAACCCTGCATCCAGCAAGTCTATTGGCCCCATTTTTTCAATACTCTGAACTCACTTCATGTCTCTGTGTCACACTTTGGTAATTCTCACAGTATTTCGAACTCACTTCATGTCTCTGTGTCACACTTTGGTAATTCTCACAGTATTTCAAACTTTATTGTCATTATATCTGTTACGGTGATCTGCGATCAGTGATCTTTGATGTTACTATTGTAATTGTTTTGAGCCACCACTAATTGTGCCCATTTAAGAAGGTGAACTTAATCAATAAACGTTGCATATGTTCTGTTAATAATCAATAAACTTAATCAATAAATATTTGCATATGCAATAAGCATTTGCATATGCAAATGTTGCATATTGCTCCACTGACTGGCCGATCCCCCACCTCTCTCCCTCTCCCAGGGCCTCCTGTTTCTTGAGACACCATGATATTGAAATCAGGACAGTCAATAACCCAACAATGGCCTCTAAGTGTTCAAATGCAAGGAATAGTCAAGGTCTCTCACTTTAAATCAAAAGCTACAAGTGATAACGTTTAGTGAGGAAGGCAATGTCCAAAGCCCAGATAGGCTAAAAGCTAGGCTTCTTATGCCAAACAGTTAAGATACACATGCAAAAGAAAAGTTCTTGAAGGAAATTAAAAGTGCTACTTCACTGAGCACACGAATAATAACAAAGTGAAACAACCTATTGCTGATATGGAGAAAGTTTTAGTGTTCTGGATAGAAGATAGAACCAGCCACAGCACTTCATTAAGTCAAAGCCTAATGCAGAGCAAGGCCCTAACTCTCTTCTATTCTATGAGGGCTGAGAGAAGTGAAGAAGCTACAAAAGAAGCTAGCAGAGGTTGGTTCCTGAAGTTTAAGAAAGAACGTCTCCATAACATAAAAGTACAAGGTGAAGCAGCAAGTGCCGACAGAGAAGCTACACCCAGTTATCTGGAAGATCTTCATTCCTGTCTTATTTTAAGAAGATCTAGCTAAGATCACTGATAAAGGTGGCTACGCTAAACAACAGATTATCAGTGTAGACAAAACAACCTTATATTAGAAGATGCCATCCATCTAAGGCTTTTATAGCCAGAGAGAAGTAAATGCTTCAAAGCTTCAAAAGTTAGTCGGGCATGGTAGCTCATGCCTGTAATCCCAGCACTTTGGTGGGTGGATCACGAGGTCAGGAGTTCAAGACCAGCCTGGCCAAGATGGTGAAACCCCATCTCTACTAAAAATATAAAAATTAGCCGGGTGTGAGTGGCGGGTGCCCGTAATCCCAGCTACTCGGGAGGCTGAGGCAGAGAATTGCTTGAACCCAGGAGGCGGAGGTTGCAGTGAGCTGAGATTGCGCCACTGCATTCCAGCCTGGGCAACAGAGTGAGACTCCATCTCAAAAAAAAAAAAAAAAAAAAAAAAAAGAGAAAAAGAAAAAGACAGGCTGACTCTCTTGTTAGGGGCTAATGCAGCTGGTGACTTAAAGTTGAAGCCAATGCTCATTGACCATTCTGAAAATTCCAGGTCCCTTAAAAGTTATGTTAATCTGCTCTGCCTGTGCTCTATAAATGTAACAACACCACCTGGATGACAACGAGTCTGTTTACAGCATGGTTTACTGTACATTTTAAGCCCACTGTTGAGACTTCCTGCTCAGAAAAAAAAGATTCCTTTCTAAATATTAATGCACACTGAAAATGTACCTGGTCACACAAGAGCTCTGATGGAGATGTAAGAAAAGATTAATGCTGTTTTCATGCCTGCCTACACAACATGCATTCTGCAGCCCATGGCTTAAGGAGTCATTTTAAATTTAAAGATTATTTAAGAAATAATTTTGTAAGGAGATAGCTGAGTCATAGATAGTGATTCCTGTGATGAATCTGGGCAAAGTAAATCAAAAACCTTCTGGCAAAAAGTCGCCATTCTAGATGCCATTAACAACATTTGTGGTTCATGGGAAAAGGTCAAAATAGCAACCTTAACAGGAGTTTGGAAGAACTGATTCCAAACCCTCATGGATGACTTTGAGGAGGAGTTTAAGACTTAGGTGGAGGAAGTAATTGAAGATTTGGTGGAAACAGCAAGAGAACTAGAGTTAGATGTAGAACCTGAAGATTTGAATTGCTGCAATCTCAAACTTGAATGGATCAAGCTTGAATGGATGAGGAGTTGCTTCTTATGGATAAACAAATAAAGTGGTTTATTGATATGACATTTACTCCTGATGAGATGCTGTGAACATTGTTGAAATCAAACAAAGAATTTAGAATATTACATAATCTTAGTTGATAAAGCAGTGTCAGGGTTTGAGAGGCGTGACTCCAATTTTGAAAGAAGTTCTTTTGTGGGTAAAATGCTATCAAACAGTATTGTGTGCTACAGAGAAATCTTTTGTGAAAGGAAGAGTCAGTCAATGTGGCAAACTCCATTGTTACCTTATTTGAAGAAATTGCCACAGCCACCCTATTCTTGCAACAAATCACCCTTACCAGTAAACGGCCATCAACAATGAGGCAAGAATCCCCATTAGCAAAAAGATTGCAACTCACTGAAGACTCAGATGATTGTCAGGATTTTTTAGCAATAAAGTATGGTTTAATTAAGGTATATACTTTTTTTAGACATAATGCTATCACACACTCAAGAGACTATAGTATAGTGTAAAAAATTTTTATATGCATTAGAAAACCAAAAAATTTACGTGACTTGCTTCATAGTAATATTCGCTTTATTGTACAATATCTTTGAGGTATATCTGCAGATATAGACATGGATATTACATACGTATACACATAAATTTGCATATATGAGTGTATGTGTGTATATACATCTACTGTCTATCTCTGCTGACAGGCCCTAGAAACAATGGCACCCTGTAGCAATCAATCAAAATGCCATTTGCCACTAAAAGGAATCAAGCCCTTTTGAGAAATGGCTGATTCTGGAAAAATGCAAGATGAATTGAGAATACGGTGTTGTGCCAGAAAAGTGAGAACGTGTTAAAAGAATGATGTAGATATGTCAAACAGACACAGGAACCAGCTTGAAAGGGCTTAGACTGAACAAACCTGGACAATTTGCAAATCAAAATAAATAAGCATAGTAAAGAAATACAATTCACAGAAAAAGAAATACAATTCACAGAAAAAAATAAAATTCATGACATAAATGGATAAATGAATGAATAAATAAGAAAACAGGTGATAAGGAAATGTTCTTTCTTACAGTAGAAAGCCAACCAATAATCATAGAAATAATTCCAGGGGTCAATTAAAATGTCACTCTTTGGTAACCATTATAATAACAATTGATTTAGGCAAAAATCTTCAACAGATGCTAAAACTAGCAGCTGGAAGTTTAAGGAGTAACAAGATACTTACGTAATCTTAAGGTACCCTTCCACAAGATTCTCATTAATTATTAGCTAACTAACTAGTAATTTTATTATTGAAGAAACTGGGTAGACACCACCTTAATCAAGTGATCAAAATTCCCATCACCAGAAATGAGACAAATAAGATACCATATGTCCCCTGATATCATGCACTGAGAAGAACATATCATGTCTGTGATATTCTTGCCAAAATCTCAGAACCTAAATCTAATCAAGAGGAAACATCAAACAAACCCAACTTGGGTGACCATCTATCAAATAACCAGGGCATGCATTCTTCACAGTTGTCAATGTCATGATAGACAAAAAAGACTGAGGGACTGTACTAAATTAAAGCAGCCTAAACAGGGACAGCAACTGAAAGCAAAGCAGAATTTTCTGTTGCCATTAAATTATTATTAATACATGTGGAAAAAATACAAATAAGCCCTGAGGATTTGAATATAGCTATAATGCATCAATATTACTTTCCTGATTTTGATAATTATCTTGTGGTTATGAAAAAGAATGTGCTTCTTTTTAATAAATATGTATGTAGCATTATAGTGTTTAGGAATAAAGTAGCATCCTGTCAGCAACTTTCAAATTGATCAGAAAAAATTATATATGTATATGAATATACATGCAGTATGTTACATATGTTTGTATTTATATAATAGCCTCAAATTTCACTTCTCAGCATCCATTTCTAGAAATGGTTAGACTGGAGAACCAAGGCCCATATCCAAAGTAGGGGCTTCCTACTCCTTTCTTGCTAAATGTAGCTAATCTGCACAGAAGGGTCAGCTAGAGGCAAAGACATGGGAAATGTCAAGTTCCCCCCCTTAGTGACCTGAGAGATACTACATGAAGCTCAAGCACATCACCCCTGTACCTGATCACAGGGTGGGGTGGGGCTAGGGAGCAAAAGAGACAAGAGGTTGTGCCATGGCTGAGCAGTCAGTGATCTCCAGTGCCTTAGTACTAAGCAACCAGGAAATACAGTCGTCTGAGTTGCAGGCTCCCACACATACCAAAAAAGATGGAGGGTAAGAATTTCCCTTTTAAATGTGTTGGGAGAAAGTTCTACCTCTCTGGACTTACATGGGCACGACATGAAAGGTTCCTCCCTACACCCTAAAAAACCTGACAGTTCTTCACCCCTGCTTCAGGGCAGGATGGAGGAGAAAACTCGGGCCAGTGCCTCACCATCAAAAATGTCACGCTATAGAGACCTGAAGGAGCTTCAAGCCTCAAGGCCTATAGCCATACTTGAGAAACAGCCTGTCTGGGGATGAGCCTTTGCTGGCTCAGTTAACAGTGACACCCTCTCTGCACACAACCAGAAGACTCCGGAGAAGGGAAGCTTCCTCAGTACTCTCAGGTAGACAAAAAACACCCCTTTGACCTCCATCCTCATCAATATCAGATACCTGCTTTCTCAAGTGCCTCTTCCCTAGATGACTCCATTCTTGATAAACCCAATGGTCACTGTCAATACTGCTAAAATCAACAGATAAAATAGCTACTTCAAAATTGCTGGGCCCCAAAGCTGCTAAAGCCAGCCCCAATAACCTGCCCTGTCAATTCCAGCTGTTTCCGAAATAAATCTCCTTTACTTATAATCCAATTTCATCCTTAACCACAATACCATTTGCCTCTTGCCTAGGGGCACAAACTATCCCTGAACAGCCAAACTAGCAGCCCAGACCACCTGCTAAGGACAATGGGGCCAGTCTTTCATGTGGGGCTGTACTTTTTAATGCCAGCCTTTGTGTAGTTACAGTTCACCCCAGCCCCATTTGAGGCACCTCTATGTTGCTAGTTCCTTCATATGCCTCTGCTTCTCTTCCTTCTAATTAACTTCCAAACTCAGGGTGGAGACTTAGCATTGGTACTGTAAGAAAAAGCCAGCCTAAAGCATTCTCCTAAGTGACAAGAAAAAAATAATGTCATGGACAACAAGAAAAAAACACATTTTTGCCTTAGGGCCTGAACTAGTCTAGGCCATTTAGCCTGCCTGATAGGTCAGACTGCCAAATAAGAGAAGCAAGAGTTGGGAGAGATATCTCTGCTTCCTCCCTTTTTAGGGGATGGTAATCTCACCAACTTGTAAAGCATGCCCTACCCCAAAACACCAGACCGAACAACTGTCTTGGTTTGGTCCAGTGCTCTCACCAAGGTCCTCAAGAGGTGATCACAGGAAGTTAGTGGGAAAAGAAAGGGGAGTGAAGTAGAGATGGGGGAAAGCATGCGCAAGGCTGTCTAATTGAGCTGATTTTCACTGCGCATAGCAGCGGGTTACTACTGCTGGGGGCCTGCAAGGAACAGTGGAGAATGTGATTCAAAATTGCTCCTCCAAATGACAAGTGAGGTCTGAGTCTGGCAGAATTGTGGCACAGGGACCTATTTCATTTGCTATGACTCCCACCAATCAGGTGAGCAATTCTTCTCCCTTTGGTGAGCATATGGGGGTGAGAGTGGCATCCAATGTCATTCACCATTTATCAAGGCAAGGAAAGAAGCCCTGGTTTTACTGTACAGTGCCTAAAAAATAAAGCATCTAGAAAAGCTAAATATTATATCGGCCTAATGTGCACTCTATGAGTAGAGGCTTGTCTGCTTTTCATTTTGAGGTCTTCTGAGACTTCCTAACATGGCCAAGAAAACTCTTGGATATACTTTGGTGTTTGGGTTGTACCAAGCTTATAGTCCCGCTTGAAAATAATGGTATATTAGTTATCTATTGCTGCATAACCAATTACCCCTAAGGTTGGAGGCCTAATACAACAAAGATTCATGATCTCAAAGTTTCTGAGTCAGGAATTCAAGAGCAGCTTAGCTGGTGGCTATGGCCTAGGGTCTCTCATGAGGTTGCAGTTAAGACTTGACAACGTTGCAGTTTGCCTGAAGGGCTTAACTGGGGTTAGGGGATCTGTTTGCAAGATGGCTCACTCACATGGCCATTGGCAAGAAGCCTCGGTTCCTCACTGACAACTAGCAGGAGGCCTCAGCTGCTCTGCATGTAGCACCCTCCATGGGATGGTTTTGCGTCCTCATGATACAGCAGATGTCCTCCCTCAGAGCAAGTGATCTAGGAGAGACAGCAAGATGGAAGATGCAGTATCTTCCAGGATCAATTGTTGTAAATCATACTTCATCACTTTTGCCATATAATATTTTTTAGAGGTAAGTCACTAAAAATAGTCCACACTTGAAAGGAATTAAGCTCCATTTTTTAAAGGAAAGTATATTAAATAATTTGTGAGCATATTTTATTTAAAGCTACTCACCACAAGTGGGATGGCCACTGGAGTCTGGAGAGTTTCAAACTGTAACTCCTTGAATTCAGCTGGAGTCAGTATAGCATAGCAGAGCAGGGTGAGATTCAGGTTCCAATGGACTCAAGGGTGCGACCTGGCCAAGACGAGCTCCTGGGAGTGCCACCTGTGCCATCTCGCAAACCCCACACTCAGAACGACTTCATCTTTGGTTTAATACTCTGTTGCCATCTTGAAATTAAAATTCTTGGTAATTCTTAGTAATTTTGTCTTTGTATCTGTGTTTTGTAAGTGAAGTCCAACGATACCATGGAGCATGTGCAGGAGCAGAGGAGATAGCAACAATAAAAGCGTTTACTGCCATTTCTTGCTGTCCTATTTGCATATAGTGTTCATAAAATCCCATGAGCACGGGATTCCGATGAGTCTACATTGCATGGGAGCTCAGAAGGGACTCAAAGCAAGCACACGGTAAGCATGTTATGTGTACAACTAAGGATGTGGGGACCACACCACTGACAGTCCCAGGAGGCCACATTTTCCATTCAAGCCAGAAAGAGGGCAAGGACATTCTAAGAAACAAGAATTAGCAAGGGACTCTGTCATATCCTTTATTACTCATGTTACTTCCTCTATTAGTCAACCACTTGCACTGAAAATGATACCATAGAAGGAAAGAGAAAGATAGGGCAAACCATAGTGCCTTTTCTTTTCAGTCCTCTTACTCATCAGTAAGTCAAAGGTAGAGAGTGTTGATAGAATGTGCATATTATTAAGAAGAAAAGTACAAATACTTGAACTGGTTTCGTGCAGTGTTTACAGTGTTCTGATAAGAGCAAAATATATATGCGTGTACAAGCTATGAAGTATAAATTGTGTGATTTCGGTAATCTCATAGGAATGAAATACTCTTAGTTTGCATTTAAAAGTGTCATTGCACAATATCAAGATGAATGGTAAATCTATGCTAGTAATTTATCATTTCAATTTTTCTTTATTTAGAACATGAAATAGCAAATTGAAAAACAACACGACCATGACAAGTCAAGGGAGACTGTGAAAGAAATAAAAAAGCTTTATATTTTACTACCTCTAATGACAGTTTTCCCCTGCCTTTTATTTCAAAAACACATTCAGTCTGTAGCATAGAATGAGGTTATGTAACCTTGAACAGTAATAGAAATGATCAAAATACAAAGGCATGGTAATTTATAGGGAGCTGAGTGTAAAACATAAAAAACAGCATTCTCAAGTCGTTTTTTCAGAAGTCCATAGGTGTTGCTTATAAAATAGAGACTACAAAGCCTTGAAGAAAACAGGTTCACAGGAGCAAGATATGGTTCAAGCTGAGAGTCCTCTGCCAAATCAGGGGGGTTGGTAAAATCTAGGGAGAGAACGATTCTAATTTCAAGAAGAAAAGCACTAGACAGAAAAAAGGAACTGAGAAACTGAGAAGCAGAAGTATTACGTTGATGCAAAAGTAACTGCGGTTTTTGCGGTTACTTTTAGTGACAAAAATCGCAATTACTTTTGCACCAACCTAATACATATAGTAGGCCCAAGGCAGTGGATCTGGTGTACAGATATTAGAGATGGATTGAAGGGAGAAAGGGGCAGAAAAAGAGACAACCAAATAGCTTAGACACATACTCCTAAGGCCAGAGCCTGGGCACCAGTAGCAGGGCTGAGTGATGTGGCCATGATCTTCAACTCAAAGAATGTTCAAAGTAGGAGGGACCCCAGAACTCATCTAATTCAAACCACTTATTATCAGTGGGATAAAATGAGGCACAAAAAGGGACATGACTTATCCAAAACTATGGAATTTGTAACAGAAGATAATATTTTAATTTATGCCTTTTCTGCTGTATCACAAAGTCAATTTATAGGTCAGATGGGAATACCTAGGATCTATACTAGAATATGTCTTTCTCCCCTAGAAAGAGAAAGTAGAAAGACGATCAGCTCCACTTGGAAATAGCAATTATGGTAAAAGAACTAGCTCAAAATCCCACACCCAAATTAACATCTGGTTCTCCAGCACTCACGAAGTTTAAGGCATGTGCTGGGTACAAGGAAAAAGCTCTAGGCTCCAAGATTGTTTTCCTGCTAGACTGGCCCCTAAGGGTCAGGGACCAAATCTGATTTACCTTTCCATCTCTAACACCTGGATAATAGTCGTCTTTGACTATTTATTTTCAATAAGTAATTATTTTATTCCTAGGGTCCCTTGCATTTCTATTCTCCTAATATTACATATAAATTCGCTGAGATAAGAGAAGTAAAGAGAGAAGTCAGTGATCACAGAGTGAATGAATTAAGAGCAGAATTCAAGTCTACCTTTCTTGGGCTCTTTCTCCTCACCATTGCTGTTGCTATTCCCTCCAAAGGATTAGGACAAAGGAAAGAGATGAAGCAAAAATGGATACAAAATTGAGTAATAATACAACAATTAAATAATCCGAAAATCAAAGTCTAGGAGAAAGATCTATGAACTGGAATATGAATATGTAGTAAGAGCTTCTTTAGAGTCTAAGGCTGGACTGTTCATAGGCACATTGGCATTTGCAGCATCTAAAACAAGGCTTGGCATATACCTCCCATTGCTACTAAAATAATAGATAGTATATCCTGTAGTTAGACTGTTCAGCAGCATATATCAAGTGCCAGCTTAGTGCTTCAAACTTGAGTTACATTGACAGAAGCCTTCAAAACAATATTGTGTGAGATAAACACAATGGTTGCAGTCTATGGTCTGAAATTCTTTTACTGTGGGAAGGCCAGTTTTAAAGATGATTTGAAGGTCAAATGAGGTCACCTTTAACATAATGTAGCATTTACTGGACTGCAGTGGTCAAGGGAAAACAAAGAGGTTTTTGGAGAACTTAGACATTGGAGAATAGTCATGCTCTTGGATGGCATTATCCAAAGACGGTGGCAGTTGAGTGGAATCCAATAACCACGCTACGAAAGAACATAATCTGAGCTATGGGTGAAGTAGGGGAGTGAGGGCCACAGACCAGAGGCCTTTCGGAGTTTCTCAAATCTTTAAATATCTTTCAAGAAGGGGGACCCTATAGCTCTTTCAGTACCATCATATCAGCTTATTTATGATACCAGAACTATAACTGTATTCTAAGTCACCAGAATTGACAGCAATTTATATGGGTTTGATTTTTTTTTAGTGACTAGAGAAAAAAATAAGTATCAGTTACTTTCTTGACCTACCAGGCCAGCCTTTGCAGAAAGAGGGATAAAGCATCCTTGATGAGGAACAAATAAAATTATACTGTGAAGAAATTTCCAACTGGTCAGATCAGGATGTAATTCTCTTGTTTGTGTTTTTCTTAGAAAGCATTTCCATTTTGCCTGGCTCTGGGAACAAAGCCAATGTCTGCTTTAGAGGAACAGAGATTTCCAGTAAGTTGGGCTGGCAATAGTGGCTGGGTGGGTGGGATCACAGGGAGGGTTTATGGGGGGACAGTTCCGAAACCCATGTACAAGCCTAGAAAGGGCGAGATGGTTGGTTTGCCTCATATTCTCAGATCAACAAGGCCTCTGAGACATTTTTATGGGCCAGGGAGGGATGAGACTGAGTCAGAAGACAGAGCCTAGACACCTCCAATACCCTTGCCTCAAATAATTAACAAATCACAAAAGCAGGGTGGGAAAGGAGGGAGGAAAGGAAGCAGAAGTGAAGAGAGACACTGTTCTCCCACTCTCTGCTGGTTAGACCTAACAAGGTTATGCTTCATGCTGGGTTTCACAATAGCATCAACCTCAGCCTCAGAAGCATGTCTTAGAACCAGTCCCCGGAGATCAAGAACCACGTTCTTCTCTTCCTTCTCTCCAAATCACTTCCTTTTATCTATTTTTCCAGCACAGCGAATGAGAAAAAGGACACAGACCCAGGATTCAGAAAGGAAATGAGGACAGAGACTAACACTGTCTAAATACATAAAGGCAGAAGACATTTTCTCAGGTGAGTTATATACCTGCCTTATTCATATGATCTTCACAAGTCAGTCAGAAAACTTCGGTTTCAGTCCTGGTTTTACACTAAAGGGTTGAACGACTGTGAACAAGTCCCATAAGTTCTGCTCTCCTCACTGAGGAGTGCAGAGTGTGTATAAAATGGGAACAATGCTATTTTCCCAGCTACCCTAGAACATTGTTTCAAGAATCAAATGGGATAATACTCAAAGAAGTATTTGGTGAGCTGTGAAATGCTGAACATATGCAAGGAATTATTATTTAGCCAATAAACATCTCTCCAAGACACCAGTCTCTGAGATTGCCCCACTTGAGAGATAGCTCTCTTCTCTATTTACCTCAAACACGTATTCTGACTCCAATCCAAAGTCACTTGGAAATTGGCCTCAAAGATCTAACCATAGCCTTGGCACCAGACAGAAAATCAGATCTCACTTCCTGCCCCTGCTTTTATTTGCAATGTAGCTTCCAAAGCAAGAAACAAAATCTCAAGCTCCATTAATAATGAAACAAGGAGGCTCAAAAGCCTCACATCCTAACATTGGGCTCAATGAAGAAGGAGGAAGCATCAGTGATGATGAGGAAAGGTACAAGTGCAGGGTGAAGGTGGGAGTTGGCCTTAAGAGAGAGCTTATTGTCCTGATTGCGACAGGAAGGTCTTAAAGAATGGTGTCTTCTGGGAGGCATCATTTTCCACAGATGGTCAGGAATGCCAAATCAGTCCTAGACAAAATTAGAGCCTCTAGAGAAGGAAATTAGGAGAGACTGTGGGAAACTGGCATGAAGAAATTTTAAAAGGAGGGGAGAACACCGAATCATCTGATGACCTGCCATGTGCCAGAGGCTGTCTTATGCACGTTTCATACATCTGTGATCTCATGTTCTCCAGCCTGCATCTTGCCTCCTTTGCTGCTGATGTGCTAAGCCATTGGAGAGCAGACAGCTCTGGGTGGTCATGTTCTAGTAGCAGAAACCCTTCAGGAATTCAGACAGTACCCACCCATTGACTATTGGAAGAAAAAAAAATCTGGGTCAAGATGAGAACTGACAGAGAAAAAGGAGGAAAGAAGACAAATGGAGCTCAGGGCAGTGGTGATGGTGGAAGTGCATCTATTAGGACAATTACCCAAGCAGCAACTCTGGATTCCTCCACTTGCTTACACGGTGTCTCCTTCCTTTCCTTCCCTCCCCAGCCCTTGTCTCTACTGAACATCTGTCAACACTGGCCTCAACCACTAGATTCTATCATTGTGGTTAAAAGCTGAGATAAGCTTGGACTCAAGTCCTACTCCCTCCTCTTGCTTGCTAGCTGTGTGGCCCTGCTGTGTCAGTTAACACTAAGTCTCAGTTCCTCTTCTATTAAACAGCGTTAATAATGCTTATTGTTTCCAAAAAATTGAAATACATTTTGTACATAAAGTGTTGAACCCAATGCCTAGTTTAATAATTGGAGTCTTTATAATTACTTTATGATTAATCATCCAGGTGTCATCTCGTAGCTCTCACCACTTTCTCTAGGACATTTATTAAGCGCTTACTACTCACTATTGGATTAGGCACTGAGACTGTGAAGACAAAACAGACACAACTCCTGACCTCAAGGAGCAAATAATCGAATGCAAACAATGGGGTGTGGAGACCACAAGGAGACATACTGGCTGTGGTCCTATATTTGAAGGCTGTCACATGGACAGAGGGGTAAGTTTGTTTCACAGGCTCTGGAGGTGAAGAGCCACTCTGGTGGTGAAAGTCAGGGCAGTTTCAGCTGCTGGCAAGCTGCTGTGAATTCCCATGAGTGGGGCTGAGTCAGGGATCCTGCAGAGGTGACTCCTGTCTTGGGACATGCTGTGTTCTCAGTGGTTTTCAGGCTCTGCTCCATGCTGATTAGACAGGGGCTTTGAGGAGGCATCTCAGAGGCTGTTTGGTGAGGGAAGGAGGGCAGAGGTGACATAGGCCCTCAGCCTCCTTTTTGGGGTATTATCTAGGGCAGCGTTGATTGTATCTGTTTTATAAACTGGAAATCTGAGTTAGACTCAAAGAAAAGATCAAGTTGCTAAAAACGTTCTGAAACTGCCAGGTTAAATTATTTCTAAGATCCTTTCCAAAGATGAGATGTTAGCATTCTCTAGCCTTTCTCAGTGCAGAGGTGTCTGAAACTGACACATTGCAGCATCATATTTGTCCATATTCAGAACCTGAAGCCTCCGTGAACATCTGTGGCTCTTCATCCATAGTTCTTTAATTCCGCCGGGTTTTTTTGCAGTATATTTCCTAATTTCTCTTTATCATCTCAATCCTTCCCTACTTTTTCCATTAACATAGCTCATTCTCACCAATTCAGAAATCAGAGAAGAAGCAGATCCAAAGAGAGGTTTAACCTGCTGAGAATTACTAGAGAAGCAAGTTTTCTGCTTGCAGAAGGACCAAAGGCGAACATAACAATAGGTCAGGCAACTGTTGACTTTATTTAACTTGAACCCTATTACATCAGGCTATAGGTCAGAGGCCAGGCTGCCAGAAATATGCAAAAAATAACCCCTCCGGAGAAATGAGAGGCTGATTGTGCCACTAAGGGGGCCTCTCTCCACTGTGATGTTCCCAAGGGGCCGGAAGGGGACTCTCAGGCTGAAAATAGGGCCTGGTATGAATTTTCTCATTACCGGAGAACTACTCCAAGATGGAATTGAGTTCTACATCCCAATACAATTTGGACGTGAACAGGAATTCAAGGTCATTGTTGCCTTCTTTATCACCTTCTGACAAAGAGCAAAGTTCCTTGTTTAAAAAAGAAAAGAGAAAATGAAAGAGAGGGAAGGAGGGAGACAACAGAAGAAAGAAGAGAAGAGGAATCTTTAGAAAATAAAAATCACACACAGTAAACGAGTTCCAATGTGCTGCCTCAGATGAAGAGCCTGTGACACAATCATGGCCCTAGAGTTTTAAAACTCTAAATATTTTCAGTGGGTTATAAATCTGAAACAGAACATGAAGTTGTCAAGACCTATTTGCACCCCTGCTGGTAGAAACAGCTGACCAGGCACTTTAGTCACTGTATACAAAGGATATACCTCTTCATGTTTCCGTGTTTCTATCCAAAATACACCCATTTTGTCCTATGTCATGGCCACATATTAAGGGAAACACCCATCTCTCTGTGAAAGCAGTCTGAACTAGCAATGTGAAATAATTACTCTGCAAACTCTTCTAATTGCAGTGATCTGTTTCTTGTCAAGAAAATGTCAAAACCTAATTTAATTCATCAACTCACCCATCTCCTTGAGTAAAAATGGGTTGAAGTTATTCTTTTATGATGCTTCCTGTGTTTATAAGAAAGGATCCTAAGACAAATTTTGTCTTATTCCCCTGCTAGGGAATTTGTCTCATATGCGACCTGGATATTTTGCCCATAATTCCAGGATGTCTGCCTGGCTGGAGAGATGTTTGGAGCTCATCTGCCCCAAAGGGAGGGAAGAGTTATGTGGCACTGCACTAACGAGCTGACATGGAACCTTATGTACACAGGAATAACTTAAGGAAAGCATTTCCCCTTTACTTGAGAGTTATCCTCTGCGCGATCCTACAAAAATCTTCAGAGAGGAAGTCTCTGGAATGTAGCTGTCCTGTGCATTGATAGAGCATTGCTTTATTTAGTGGGTTCTCCGACATTTATCTAGGCATGTGTTCACAGCACTTTAAAGTGTCATGTAACAGGCTCAAGATTTAGTTTCTTAGAGCCAGAAGCATGGGCAGAAGCCCACTGTGGGGTGTGAATGGATGAGTTTCAGGCTGATAATACTCACATCCCTGCTCGTCAAAGCTCTGAACTAATTGATACCTAGACCCAGGAATTCACTAGAGATCATCAGCTTAATTGCTTGGGAAACTGAACTGGAGAGCACATTAAAATCTGAAGCCAAAGTAGGTGGCAACCTTATATTTCCTCTTAAGTTGAAACGTTGGGACCCAAGGCTGAATTGCATTTGCAGAGCTGATGCTTACTCAGACACGAGGAAAACTGTGCCTTCTCCTTGTCCAGGGACGGAGAGGCTCTTGGGGCTGGGGGCAGGGTGGAGAGTGAGGCCCCATGTATTCTGACTTTTAACTTCGCTCACTGCAGTCAAGCAGGAACATGGATGAGTGGATGATGATTCTTCTATGTCTCATCAATCAAATAAATCTCCCCCTCCCGTGTGGAGATGTCAACTGGGGTGGAAGGAAGGTCAGAGTTCTCAAGAATGATCCTGTCAGGGTAGAAGTTGCTTTCTTTGGAAACATGATACAGACCAGGGGTAAGAGAGAGCACGGATGCTGAATGCTGGACACTAGCTGCCTGGGTTTCAATTCTCCTTGGGTCATTGACTGGATCACTTTAGAAAGGTTCTTATAACCTCTCTAAGCCTCAGTTTCTTCAAAGTAGAAAAGGGCCAGGTGCAGAGGCTCACACCTATAATCCCAGCACTTTGGGAGGCTTAGGCGGGAGGATGGCTTGAGTGCAGGAGTTTGAGACCAGCCTGGGCAACAAAATGAGACCTCGTCTCTAAAAAAAAAAAAAAAAAAAAAAAAAAAAAAAAAAAAAAAAAATTTTAAGTCAGCTGGGCATAGTGGCACATGCCTGTAGTCTCAGCAACTCACGAGGCTGAAATGGGAGGATGGCCTGAGCCCAGAAGCTCAGGCTGCAGTGAGCTATGATTGCACCACTGCACTCCAGCATGGGCAATAGAGGAAGACTCTGGCTCAAAAAGTAAAAATTTAAAAAAGTAAGTAATTTAAAAAGGAATAATAATAGAGCTTTTAAAAAAAAGTGTGGTTTTTTTTCATACTATTGCTTAAAGAAACAATGAGTTGAAGTCTTCAGCACAATGCATGAGCAGCAGAGAGGGCTAACTATATATTCACTATTCTGAGTTATTTGATTACTTGGGACAGAAGGGATGGTCTTTTTTTAATTTTTTAATTTTTTATTTTTATTTATTTATTTTTTACTTTTTTAATTATTATGTTTTTTTAATAGACCAATCATTATGTTTAATCAGCTTTCATTTCTGAAATATCCTGGTATTTTGGATATACTCCATAGTCTTTTTTTTTTTTTTTTCTTCTAAACAGCTTTATTAAGGTAGGGTTGGTAAACAAAAAAACTGCACCTACTACTGTACAATTTGATGAATTTGGACATATTCAAAGGGTTGGGGTTTGTGAGGAGCCTTCTTTCTTCTTCCTTCTTTCTGCTTTCTGATTTCTGCTTTTGTCTTTAAGTTTCCTGCTTCACACCCATGCTTCTGTGCTTCGGTGATGACACAAGGATAGAAAACTCAAATCTGTTGAGACGGTGTGGTGTAGGCAAGAATAAGCAACTTTCTGCCAAGACTCAATCTTTCAAAAATTGAGCACCCATTTTGTGTAGGGCAAATCAGGACGGTAACATACAGAGTATACTCTTCTGTACCAAGGGAAAGTCCCCTCCCCTGTAATTGGGCTGCATTCACCCAGACGTTGGTCCTGGGGAAAGACCTGATGGTGCATATCTCTTGTCTGAGACCAGCCCTACCATGAAGATGGAGCTCATTGTAAAAGCCTTCCGGTAAAAGCTTTTACTGAAGCTAATCTCCTCGGCAGCCTATTTCCCTTGGAGGCCCTCTGGTAGTCAAACCATGGGGCCAACTTGAAATGCTCTGGTGAATTGGATCAAAGTGGGAAGACCAGAGTTCCTTGAATTATACTGAAGTAGAGACACTGAGAACTTACATGAGTTGAGAGTATGAGAATAATAATTAGGATAGTTGGGAACCAACATTTTAAAAGATTTTTTCAAATTGTATGTGTTAGATTTGTTTTAATCAAAAGATTAAATCTTGGGTTTAATCATTGACTTTATTGGACTTATATTTTGGTTTCCTTGTTCTTGGATTTCTATATTTCCCATTATATATTTCCTCCTGTTTTTTTTCTGTTTCTTTTTCCAAATAATTAAGGTGAATGCTTGGTTCCGTTATTTTTATTCTTTTTTATCAATAAGGAAAACATTTAAGATTATGAATTTGCTTCTAGGTAAGGCTTGGCTACATTGCATAGATTTAGTAATTTCATGTTTTGTAGTAGTGTAGGAATGCAATATTTTCTAACAAATGTTCATTGCAATTTTGATTTCCTCTTACATCCAAGCTTCGCATGACTTTTTTAAATTGCTAGTTGTTGTTTTATACATTTTTAATTTTGATGTCATTTTTAATTGATAGGTCACCGATATGTTAGTGCAAAAATGTTGCCTAAATATTAGCTTTTATAAATTAAGATTTTCTTTCTAATGCAGTATATTAATAGTATTTTCAGAGCATTCTGTGGGCAAGTGGAAAGAAGCTATGGAGTCTGTTTTTCAGATCCCCCCAATCTCCTTCCCCCAAGGAGGGGGAATTATATTAGATACGTAAATATATGTGCATATACACATTATATACTTATGCATACATGTTAATATAACTAATATTGTTGTTTACAGTTTCACTGACTTTATTTTTGATCTATGTTATCTTTTTTTCTTTTACATTTTATTTTAACTTTTAGGTTCGGGGCACATAAACAAGTTTGTTATATAGGTAAACTCGTGTCATGGGGGCTTGTTGTACAGATTATTTTGTCACCCAGGTACTACACCTGGTACCCATTATTTTTTCTGCTCCTTTCCCTCCTTCCACCCTCCGTCCTCAAGGACAAGTCTTTTGTGGGAACATGGATGAAGCTGGAGGCCATTATCCTTAGCAAACTAACACAGGAACGGAAAACCAAATACTGCATATTCTCACTTATAAATGGTATATATATACCATAATCAATATAAATGATCTATATTATCTATCAAAAACTGATATTTGTGTTAGAGTGTCTCACAATACCTTTGTGTTCACTTTTTCTTACATTTTTTTCTTATATTGTATTTCTAATCATTTTAGCGATTTTGATTTTTTTTTTTTTTTTTTTTTTTTTTGAGACAAGGGTTTCACTGTTGTTGCCTAGGCTGGAGCGCAATGGCACGATCTTGGCTCACTGCAACCTCCGCCTCCCAGGTTCAAGCAATTCTCCTGCCTCAGCCTCCTGAGTAGTGGATTACAGGCATGCGCCACCAAGCCTGGCTAATTTTGTATTTTTAGTAGAGACAGGGTTTCTCCATGTTGGTCAGACTGGTCTCAAACTCCCGATTTTGATTTTTATAGTTTGTCATGAAATTTTCAGTCTGTAAAGGTAATTTCCTCATGGATGATATCATTGATCAATATGAAATTTTTCCAATCATGTTAATGTCTTTTAATCCTACATCTTGTTTGAAATTTATATTGACACTGTTGCTTCTGTTCTTTTATATTTACCCAATACACACACACACACATACACACACATACACAGTCACATACACACACACACAGATGGTGTGTATGTATTTTTTATGCCATCTTTAAGGCATTTATTTTATAAGCAACATGTTATATTTTGTACTATGATACAATTTAGGTCTTTGACTTTAAATTGGGGAGTACACAATGGATAGATTTGGTATCTTGCCTCTCACTGTGTTGTGTGCAGGTGGGACAGTGCAGTAACCAAGAATAAGTTTGTGAGGCAGAGAGGTCAGGGTTTAGATCTTGAATCTTCCTTTTACATCTATGTGACGTCAGGAAAGTGCTTTGTTCACTGTTGATTCATTTGTATAATTGAAACAATAATATAGTATTACTATGGTTGCCATAAAGAGTCAGTAAAAAAAGTAATGGGCACAAAGCATCTAACATTAGCTTGACCCATAGTAGCTATGCAATTAAGGTTGGCCAGAATTTTATATATAACAATTAGTATAAATGTATAATTCTATACATATATCCCAGTTTTTAGGCTTTCTGTTTGTCATTTCTTATACTGCATTTTTAATTTCTCTTTTGATATATGGATTAGGTTGTGTTTGATTTTCTGTGCACTAATGATTTGAAAGGCAAAACATTTGTTTTTGGTTTGTTGGTGGTAAACTTTATGTTTTCCAAAGATGTTACTTTAATTATTTTTCTGTGATTATCAAAGTCAAAAACCACTTTTCCGATGCAATATATAATTTAGAATATCTTACTTGCTACCCTCTTTTTCTCTTTCAATTTTGATTCATATAATCTGGGATTTTCAGTGACAATTCCTTTATAATAAATTAGTATTTGTATAAAGTTTATTTTCTACATAAAAGGTAACATTTGCTTGTTTTGTAACCATATTTGTTACCTGGAGATAATTCTGTGTTTAACAGACTTCATACCAACCACCAGTACTAATATACCATTTTTTCCTAAGTTTTAAGTTTTCCTTTTCCATTCATTTCTCAGTTTTCTAGAGTGTGCCATGAAGAAAATTTCTCAAGATGAAAATGTAAATGATGTGTATTTTTAAATCCCTGATGTATCTGAAAAAAACAACAGATTGTGTATGACATCCTCACACTTCAACCGTTTTGTCCAAACTGTGGACTTAGCCCTAGTGTGATCTAGCTTTATAGCATTAAAGATAATTTTGCTGTGGACATCAATAAAGCCTTATGTTTTGTTTTGTGCATTAATAGGGATCAGATGCCTCCCCTGCCTCCCCCACCCTATCACACCAACACAGGAGTGAGGGATAAGAACCCACAAGAGGGACTAAAGTTGAGTTTTTCCTTCTATCATTTCAGCAGAAAGGGGCCTTGCTATAGAAATTCAGCTAAACCTTTACTTTTTATACCAGTTGTATTTCACCTGAGTGGAATGTATGTAATGATATACACAGTTTCTACTGTAAACCAAAAAGTATCTGAGACAGGTCTCAATCAATTTAGAGGTTTATTTTGCCAAGATTAAGGAGCATGGCCCATGACACAGTCTCAGGAGGTCCTGAGAACACGTGCCCAAGGTGGTTGGGTTACAGCTTGGTTTTAATCATTTTAGGGAGACAGAAGTTACAGGTAAAAACAGAAATCAATACATGGAAACTATACCTTTGTTTGGCTCAGAAAGGTGAGATATCTCAAAGATGGGCTGTGGGGAGGCCTCCCAGGTCACAGGGAGATTCAAAGATTTCCTAATTGGCAATTGGTTGAAAGAGTTAAGCTTTGCCTGAAGAGTTTGAAGTTAGAATAAAGAAATGAGATATCATCTCATGCCAGTCAGAATGGTGATTATTAAAATGGCAAGAAACTACAGGTGCTGGCAAGGTTCCAGAGAAATAAAAACGCTTTTACACTGTTGGTGGGAATGCAAATTAGTTCAACAATTGTGGAAGACAATGTGGCAATTCCTTAAAGATCTAGAACCAGAAATACCATCTGACCCAGCAATCCCATTATTAGGTATATATCCAAAGGAATATAAATGATTCTACTATAAAGATACATGCACATGTATGTTCACTGCAGCACTATTCACAATAACAAAGACATGGAATCAATCCAAATGCCCATCAATGATAGACTGGATAAAGAAAATGTGGTATTTATACACCATGGAAAACTATGCAGCCATAAAAAGGAACGAAGCCATTATCCTTGACAAACTAATGCAGGAAAAGAAAACCAAACACTGAATGTTCTCACTTATAAGTGGAAGCTGAACAATGAGAACACATGAACACAGGGAGGGGAACAACACACACTGGGGCCTGTCGGGGGGTGGGGTTGGGAGAGGGAGAGCATCAGGAAAAATAGCTAATGCATGCTGGGCTTAACACCTAGGTGACGGGTTGATAGGTGCAGCAAACTACCTTGGTACATGTTTACCTATATGACAAACCTGCACATCCTGCACATGTATCCCAGAACTTAAAATGAAAATGAAAATTTAAAAAAAAGAAATGCATTAGTTAAGATAAAGATTGTGCAAGCCAAGTTTCTTTTTTTTCTTTTCTTTTTTTTTTTTTTTTTTTTTTTAGACAGAGTCTCGCTCTGTTGCTCAGTCTGGAGTGCAGTGGCGTGATCTCGGCTCGCTGCAACCTCCGCCTCTTGGGTTCAAGCAATTCTCTGCCTCAGCCTCCTGAATAGCTGGGATTGCAGGCGCCCGCCACGACACCCAGCTAATTTTTTTGTATTTTTAGTAGAGACGGGGTTTCACCATCTTGTCCAGGTTGATATTGAAGTCCTGATCTCGTGATCCACCCACCTCAGCCTCCCAAAGTGCTGGGATTACAGGCTTGAGCAACCCCGCCTGGCCCACCAAGGTTCTTATTATACACATGAAGCCTCCAGGTAGCAGGCTTCAGAGAGAATAGATGGTAAATGTCTCTTATCAGTACTTAAAAGTTGTCAGACTCTCCAGAAACGACCTAGTGAAGGAAGGGGATTCTCTACAGAATGCAAATTTCCTCCACAAAAGATAGCTTTGCAGGGCCTCTTCCAAATATGCCAAATAAATATATTTTGGGGTAATACAAATACTTCATGTCCTGCTATCTGTCATGTGATGCTATACCACAGTTAGGTTGGAATTTGTCATATTATTGTTACAAAGAGTCTGTTTTGTCAGTCTTATGAGCTCTATTTTAATGTTAATGCTGGTTAGTTGTGCCTGAGGGAGAAGAGTATAACTAGGCATGTCCAAGCCCCTCTTTCTATCATGGCCTGAACTAGTTTTTCAGGTTTGTTTGGTATCCCCTGAGCCAACAGAGGGTCCATTCAGTCAGTTGTGGCGCTTAGAATTTTATTTTTGGCTCACACTGCATAGACCCTTAGATATAACCAAAGGGGAGAATGGAGAATCTCTTCCTCAACTGGAAGGATCTCAGGAAAAATGTAGGAATCAGCACGTCCAGAGCAAATTGTGAAGTCCAGGAAGAAGTTCAGGTTTTAATCCTTTCCCATGGCTGACTCCATGTATTCAAATAAGAGGGCCTAGGATATGTTGGTTGTTCTTTTCTCGAATAATTAAGTAATTCATTCTGTCACTCAGTCAACAAAAATAAACAAAACACATCCCCTGCCCTCAGGTTGCTTAAACTATACAGAAGAGGAAGAGAACAAATGCATAAAAATTTTGTAACATATGAGCATAGAATATAAAGAGTATTAGAAAGAGGCTGGTGTGCCTGTTGATAGGGAGCAGGGAGAGTAGTGGCTGTTCATGAGCAAGTTCTGAGCAAAGTCTCTGGCCCTGGAGGCAACCACAGGGAGTCTGGAGAGCCATTAGGGTGAATGCGTCTCTAAAGGTCTGGACCACTGGCCTCTAAGGACCTTTCTGTTCTGAGCTTCTGTGAGAAAGAAGGCATTTAAATAACAGCATCTTGGTAACCTGACTTGCACCTCTTCTCAAAACTTGTATATCTTATTCAGTCTTTCTCAGTTCTCCCCAGATTTCCAGCTTTTTCACAGCCTCACTCCACAGAGGTCCTGCCATCTCAGTCACTTATAAAGCCCTTATAAGTATAAAACCTTTATGCTATAATTCTTTACATGCATGTTCTTGCCTCTAAGATGAGTCGGCTCCTAAAAAAATAGGGATAAGTCTTAACATTCTAGATAACAGAAAGATATTGAAGGGTGCCTGTCCTTCCATTAACTTCACTTTCCTCAGAAGGATAGAATGGTGGGGGTGGGGGTATCATTTTTTCTTTATATACCTGCATATAATCTGACTTGTTGTCTCAGGTATGTAATGTTCTACTTTTATTATTAGTAAAGTCAGTAAAGGGAAAGAAAGGACAAGAAAAATAAGGAGAAGAAAAAAATACAAAGGAAAAGAAACTTCTATGTATCTTGCCATAGTAACCTGCCCAGAGAGACACCATAACTATTTGTTAAAACAAATTGGTTCTCTAATCGGCCATCTTGGCTTCCACCCTCTGGGCTCACCTCTCTCGTCTCCTTTCTGGTCATTTTGCTCAAACAAAGTGGAACCATTAGCATCACTGCAACTTAATTTTATTCTGCTTACTCTGGCCCCACAAGACCATGTATACGTCCAAACCCACAGATTACTGGTAATTTTTTTTCCCCTCCACTTCCAGAGCGGGGAAGAACTAAAACCCACAGATAACAGGAAATGTTCCTTTCCGGCTGAGAATCCCCGAATACAAGGCATAGTAGGGCCTCAACCCCTTCACACCAGCTCCTGGACTGCTGCAGAACAGACTTCCCTGGTGGTTTGAGGCTGGGGGCTGAGCTTTTCCTTCAACATGGGATCTTGAAGAACTTCCCAGCTACCCAAAGCCGCAATTTCCTCCACCGCACACAGAAGCAGCTGAGTCAGTACTAGCCCAGGCACAATGATGAAGGGGTTGTTTGCCTTTGGTTCCAGGCCTGTCTCCCTCTCAAGCCCTGTGGCCCTTCCTGGACTATCCTGAGCACTTCATCTGCCTAAACCTGTTTCTTCTTTTCTGCCCAGCAACCCGGGGATAGATCCTTTTCCGTTCCACTGAAGCTTGCAGAGAAAAGCGGGCTGTGAGAAGCAAGGCCCCGGAGGGGAGGCAGACAGACCCTGAGCCGTGCAAATTTGTGCAAATGCCTGGATTTGCCCCGAAGGCAGAGAGGGTGGGGAGCTTCAGAGACCAACAGGGTAAGTTGCCAGAGCATGCTGGACACGCCATGGCCTCTTGCCCATCTGCAAAATGAGCACGAGGATGACGGCTCACAGGGAAGCGTGGAGAGCCGATGAACTGGCGCGTGGTGCACTGGCTGCCCCACATCAGCTCTTCACAGTATTTCATTTCCACCAGGCCTTGCTCCCTAATAATTCCTCCACCTCCCTTTGCTTATGCCTCAAGCTAAACCTGAGGTCTGGCTTAATAGGAGAGTCAGGTAACAGCTGTGCTTTCTTGCCATGATCCCCTTCTGCGACATGAGTCTTGCCTTTGTTATTATCTAACCTTTTAGAGGCTGCGATAGAGAGAGAAGCAAATACTTGTGGATTTGTGGAGACTGCCAGGCACAAGATACCTGATACACAGGAGTCTCCAGCTCTGCTTATAGAGGAATCTCTCATCACCTCCCCACAATCTGATCTTTGTCTCCTCTACGAAAAATGAATGATATCTTACCCAGTCTTTTCACCAAGTCCATTAACAGGCAGCTGCATCTTAAAATCTATCCCCCTGAGCATGGGCCTTCTCCAGTCACACGTCACTTAAGCCGTGTCTGGCAAGTTAGATTCTTCTTGTAAAGAAAGGAACTAAGATGAGAGAAAAATAAACGGAGAACAGAATGTCCCCTGGGAAACTCAAATCTAGCAAAATACAAGATAGGGAATATGTCAGGGTGCTCCCCAGGTGCTTACTAGACAAAGTGATTTGTTACTATTTCTGTCGGGTCTGAGGTTCCCAGGCTGAAAGCTCAAGTTCATTCTTCCTCCTTAGGGGAGTCTCTGCTGTCTCAGCCACCTATGAATGGGGCACGTGGGAGGATGAGAATAGAGGGGAAGAAGAGTACGGCAAGGTCAGCATCATGCTTTCCACGGCTTCCTTCTGAGTTGGGGCTTCCTTCAAGCTGAATCTATTGAGCATGTATTATTTGCCAGGTGCTCAGCTCTTTAAAAGTATTAACTCATCTAATCTTCATAGCAAGCTCATGAGAAAGGCACTGTGGCTATCTCCATTGTAGAGGTGAGGAATGTAGGGCTCGGCCAGGTTATGAGACTAACCCACAGTCACACAACCAGGCAGTGACAGGCTGGAACCTGGAGTCAGGCTCCCACTCTTACCACTCACCACAATGCCTCTTCTGCTGTCAGTCACTGTGTGACCCTGGAGGACTCACTTCCTGGCTCTGGGTCTCACTTTCCTTCTCCATAGCATGAAAGGGTGAATGAAATATTCTCTACATTTCCTTCTTCCTTCGCTTCTTTATAGTTCCTTCAGCTCTTTTCTTTTCCAATGCAAAGGGAGAAGATTAAATAAAGCCCTATTTTCAATTCCCAGGAGAGTTAGTGAAATTCCACTCTCAAAATTAAATACATAAACATTCATTGGCATTCTCAGACTACCACAAAATCAGAACTTTTCCTACAAGTTGTCAACCCACTCCACCCATCCATTTCCCCCTGCCCCTGGTGTTTGGTGTAGACCAAGGCTGTATAATGTTACAGACAGAAAAAGCCTCTTCCTTTCTTTTGTAACTCCCAGCAGGCTATAGACAAATCCGGGATCTCTGAAATACTTTCCCTGGACACTCCTTTTCCATATTTTTTTACCCCCAACATCCCACTTTCCTGATGGCCACAGGCAGACTTGGGCAGAACACCGAGTCATATTTATAAAAATAATATTCATTTCCCCTCTTACATCCCAAATGAAAGAGGAAGGAACTAACTTCATTTAAGCATGGAAAATAAAATTGAACATAACATACACTGGTTCCAAAGCCCCAAACCAGTACCTCACATTCTGCTGTGGTTGCATGGAATTGGAGGGAAAGGAGGGGGAATGCTATTTTAAGATTCTGTAAAGCATTGAAGAAAAGTGCAGAAATACATCCAGACCCTCAAGTTTGTATAAAAGACACCCAATTCCTTTATTCAGTGGAATAGTAGGTTAATATTAGAATCTCTGCCTTAATAAGCAGCTATTTTTTTAAAGCTACTTTATTATAGAGAGGGACTCTCATGTCATTGGTGGGTAACTCCCAGGAAGAATATGGGGAGGAATCTGCAGCCAATATACACAGCCTCAAATGTTACTTTAAATTCAATTTTAAAAGGGGGATTTAGCAGCCGTGATTAAAGTCTCTTGTCTCTGAATCTGCAAACACAAAAATATGCTGAAGAGAAATTTAGACATTTATTACAGGCCATAGATCTTTTAAAGAGGTACGTGTCTGGTTTTCCCCTCCCAAAATATATAGCACTGGATTTAACAAGCAGAGGATGAAGATATTCTGATAGCAGAAAGTTCCTCCTCTATTGGGAGGGTGGGGAATGAGTCAAAAAATAAAATTCTTAGGGCTTCTTGTTTTTTCTTTCTTTGACACAATTATAAGTATAACCCTAATTCTAAATTGCTTAAATAAGAAGAACAATTTATCAAGTTCCCTTCTTATTGAACAAGAAGCTCAAAGTTAACACGGTTTCAAAATTGGTTCCTTCAGTGACTCAGATATATCATCAAGGATCCAAGTTTTTTTTTCCCCTCTTTCTGCTTTACTATCCTCAATCTATCAACATTATCCTTAGGCTCATCCCTCTCATGGTCACAGGATGGCTGCTGAAGTTCCAGACATCACATACAGATGTCACAAGTTCCAGAAAAAGAAAAGGCTTTCTCTTTCTATGTATCTATTTTAAAAGCAAGAAAACTGGCTGGGTGTGGTGGCTCACGCCTGTAATCCTAGCACTTTGGGAGGCCAAGGTGGGCGGGTCACTTGAGGTCAGGAGTTCAAGACCAGCCTGGCCAACATGGCAAAACCCTGTCTCTACTAAAAATACAAAAATTAGCTGGACAAGGTGGTGGGCGCCTGTAATCCCAGCTACTCAGGAGGCTGAGGCAGGAGAATCACTTGAACCCAGGAGGCAGAGGTTGCAGTGAGCCGAGATCATGCCATTGCACTTTAGCCTGGGCTATAGAGTGAGACTTCATCTCAAAAATAAAAATAAAAAAAAGAAGAAGCAAGAAAACCTTGTTTTCCAGCAGTCTCTAACATACTTTCTTCCTGACTCATAGACCAGAGTTTGATCACATTTCTATTACATGAAACCATCATGACCAACTTAGACCAATTAAGAGCCTCCTCTTAAAGCACACGATCTTGCAGTGGGGCTGGATACCCAAAATCACTCATTTATCTAGGCATTTGGGGGTTAGAAAGGAAATAATGCATATTATCAAGATAAACAATAGAGTCTGCCACACTCCATAATGGAAGACTTTCCTCTACATTATTCCACACGTTCAGACAGCTCCAGGGGGAAAGTTTAATCTCTAGGTCCAATGTGTGTTCAAGAATATGTGCTGAACAAAAGAAGGAATCAAAAAATTACTTCTTTTCAATTTTTTCCTGCACTGTATTTTTTTTGGCCAAAGATACATTAAAATCTCTATACTGATTAGTTTTTTAAAGCCACAATTCAAAGAAAAATTAAGCAACGAGATGGACTCCACATTTGTACTAGAAGGAAGACTCCATGTAGGCAGGAGCCATATTCATCTCCTGCACTGATGTATCTTCAGCTACTAGGCACATATCTGGCACAGGCAAGTGCTCAATATATGTTTTGTTTTGTTTTTATAATGAATGAGTGAACATAAAAGCTCCTATTTCCCTCTTAAGACAACTGTAATAGGTATGAACCACAGCACAGGCCAAAGAGAAAATTAGGAAAGTGGAAACATTTTATTCTGGAGAATCTCAATTTTCTTTACTAAAAAGTGCTTTCATTAGTCCTAATGTTTCCAGCACCCCTCTCCATCCTCCATCTTTCCTCAATCCACCCAACTCCCCCACTGAACGTGATGAGCAGATTTACAGAAAAGTGACACTGACAAAAGAAACCTGAATGTCATCTGCTTCTAGCTATAATGGACTATATCCCACTAGAACTACCCTCTGTTATAAGTTGAATTGTGTCCCTTAAAAAGATGCTGAAGTCCTCACCCCCAGGACTTGTGACTGTGACCTTATTGGAAATGGAGTCTTTACAGATGGTCAAGTTAAGATAAGGTGATCAGGGCAGGTCCTAAACTAATACGGTTTTATTTTCTTACAAAAAGGGGAAATTTGTACATAGAGACATGCAGAGAGAGGAGCTGATGTGAAGGCATGGAGAGATTTTCATCTACAAGCCAAGGAATGCCTGAGCTACCAGAAGCCAAGAGAGAGGCAAGGAACAGAGTCTGCCTCACAGCCCTTAAAAGCAAACAACCCTGCTGACATCTTACGTTTGAACTTCCAGCTTCCAGAACTGTGAGACAATAAACTTCTGTTGTTTAAGCAACTCAGTTTGTGGTACCTTGTTATGGCAGGCCTAGCAAATTAATACACCTTCTTACTAAAAACAACCATAAAACTGCCAAAATATATGAGGAAACTGTCTTTAGGTATTTGGACAACATGCGGTACGGGGCTGTGATTCTTGAGAGGAAAGGAAATGTATGAGCTAAATGAAAGTTAAAAGAATCCATCTGTAATACAAGAAATATGAAAAGAGGTTCTGCTTGTGAAATATATGTCAAAGGTGGCAAAAATAGTAGGAAAAAAATACATGTAATTTTGCAATTGTAAGACTTAAATATTTTATGGGTGGTGGTACAATGTCAACTCTAGTCACTGTGATCAGTTAAAGTGTCATATTTTAATCTTTGTGGGAACCATTTAAAAAATACAAATAAGGATAGCTAAAAAGCCAACAGAGGACAGAAAAGGAATACTAAAAATATTTAATGAACTCAAAAGAAGGAATGAAAGGAAGAATGGAGGAACAACAAGATGTCAGGAGAAATAGTAAATAAATACCAGGATGGTAACATTAAATCCCAGTATATCAATAATTATATTAAATGTTAAATTAAATTTATAAGTATAAATAATTGAGTTATGTTTAATTAGATTATAATTTACTTCAATTAAAAGGAAAGATTGCCAGACTGGTTAGAAAAGCAAAAGATGCATTTTATTACTTTTTTAATTTTTAATTTTAAGTTTTAATTTTTGTGTGTACATAGTAGGCATATATATTTATGGGCTACATGAGATATTTTGGTACAGGCATGTAATGCGTAATAATCACAGTATGGAAAATTGGGTGTCCATCCTCTCAAGCATTTTTCCTTTCTGTTACAAAATCCAGTTATAGTCTTTTAGTTATTTTTAATTGTACAATTAAATTATTACTGACTATAGTCTACCTGTTGCGCTATCAAATACTAGGTCTTATTCATTCTTTCCAAGTATTTTTTCTTGTACCCTAACCATGCCTCTACTTTCCCCTCCCGGCTCACTACCCTTCCCAGCCTCTGGTAACCATCCCTCTATTCTCTAAAGAGATGCACTTTAAATATAAAGACAAAGATAGATTGAAAGTAAAATGATGGAGGAAATATTTATCATGCAAAGAATAAGCACATAGCAATAGTATGGCTATATTAATACGACAGAACATACACTTTAACATGGGAGAGTTGCCAAAGATAAAGAGGCAAGTTATCAATTTGAAAATGATAAAAGAGTCAGTTCTCCAGAAAGGTAAAACGATCCTAAATGTATGTGCACCCAATAATGGAGCTTTAAAATACAAGGACCAAAAGTGACAGAATTAAAGGGAGAAACAGAGAAATTCAAATTCAAGATTTTTAACAGTTCTCTGTCATTAATTGATTGATCAATGTATAAAATCAGCATGGATATAGGAGAAATAAACCGTACTATCAACCAACATGACCTTAATTGAAGCATATAAACATGCCACCAAAGAACAATAGAACACATTATTTTCTAGTGCAAATGAAACATTAACCAAGGTAGACCAAATACTGGACAGTAAGTATCAATTAATTTTAAAGGATTTAAATTTTATAGTATATATTCTCTGGGCACAGTACAATTAAATTAGAAATCATATTATATCTATAAATTCCCAAGTATCATGGAAATTAAGCAACATATTTCTGAATAATCCAGGAATAAAAGAGAAATAATAAGGATAATTAAAATATTTTGGGTGGATCAATATTAAAAATATAATATACAAAAATTTATTAAATGCTAAAGCAGTGCTTAGAAGAGAGGTTTAAAATCAATGATTTAACTTTTTATCTTTAAGAAGCTGGAAAAAGTCAACCTCAGTTAAATAGAGGAAATGAAATTTCTTTGAAAAGATCAATTAAACTGGTTTACCTTTAGCAAAACTGATCAAGAGAGAGAAATAACAAGTTACTAATATCAGGAATGCAAGAAAAGAGATCACTAAAAATCCTATAGACATTAAAAGGATAATAAGGGAATATTATGAAAAATATTAGGTCAATATATTCAAAAATCTAGACAAAAATGAATGAATTCATTGAAAAACACAACTTACCAAAACATAAAATGAATTAGAAAAATCCGAATGACCCTAGGTCTATACAAAAATTTAATTCATTGTCAAAATCCTTTCCAAAAAAGACAACTAAGAGCTGGATTATTGTGCTGGTGAATTCTATCAAATGTTCCACACAAAATTCTATCAGACACAACTGGAAAGAAGATATAGGAATAACTAAAAAGCCCTTGAAAAGATGGTTAACATAATTAGTCTTCAGGGAAGTGCAAATCAAAATCCCACAATGAGTACTACATCAAAAATATTTGCAAGGTTAAAATTCAAAAGACCCAGTGACAACACCAAATGCTGTAAAAACTGGAAAGTTCATATGTTGCTTGTGTCCTACCTTTTTGGAAAATGTTCTGGTGCTTTCTTATGAAGTTAAACATAAACTTACTCTATGACCCATCAATATCACTCTTAGGTATTTATCCAAGTGAAAAGAAAACATATGATCATGAAAATACTGGTACAAAATGGTACATAGGTACATAGAAGTTTTATAAAATATTAATACGCCCAAACTGGGGAAAAATACAAATGTCTTTTAGTAGGAAATTAGATAAAATATGGTACTGTATATTAATACAATGGAATACTACTCAGCAATAAAAAAGGAACAAACTACTGATAAATGAATTGATCTCACAGACATCATGTTGATGAAAAGCAAAATACAATATGCAATTCCATTTTCATGGAGTTCAAGGACAGGTAAAACTAAATCTATGATGACTTCCCTCTGTAGGGGGTGGGGGACTGGCTAAAAAGAGGTATGAGCAGGTGTGTGCTGGTCAGCTGGCTCGCTGAAAAAAAAAATGTCCCCGATTTGTTGTAGTGTTTGCTGATTTCCTAGCATGACAGTTTTTAAGCACCAATATGACATCAATGAATGCAAATTTGGGAAGAGATTAGCAGAATTGCCTTGGTAGAAATTGGTTCTAGCACATCATTGGCCCCAAGGGACTTTTCTGGGGTGATGGGAATATTCTGTACCTTGGCTGGGGTGGTAGTCTCATTGGTATACATATTTGTCAAAACTCATTGCACTGAATAATTATGGGTTGCGTATTTCACTGTATATAAATTTTGTCTCAGTAAGAAAGAAAAGACAAGGCACTATCTCCAGAATACAGGTATTTAAGAGAGTAAAATGTCCTCAAACCAAAGAAATAGCCCTCTCTGTAAAATGGCATGCGTAAGAGTGGTGATAGAGGGAGGTGATGAAATTAGAATGTATGAGTTGGGTTGGCATCAGAGGTGGCAGCTTCCACTTGGTGGCTATCCTGTTTATAACTCCCTGCTGCTCTCCCTACAGTTGGCCTGATTATGTACATAAAACAACCCATCCTAAAAATGAAGTCTGTCCCATCTTCCTGCTGGATAAAGAGTCTGAGTTGAAGCCTGAGCTTTTCCAGGCAGGCCCATAATTAGAGGCCATTATCCTGGGACCACTTCCTCCAATTCTTCCTTCTGGTATTATTACATCTTCTTTCTGTTCTCTGGGGTTTTTTAAATTACTTTTTCTATCTAGGTATTTTTGTCTTAGTCTCTGACTTTCAGGAGCATCAAGTTATGTTTAGCCAAATTAATTTACTAATTCTTAAAACTTTTGCTAAATGTCAGCTTTGTTTTTGAACTGCTGTATGAGGCCATGTGCAGTTAGTTAATGCAAACCCTTTGAAGATGGTGTTAGTGACTCCGAGAAACTAAGAGCTTACAGCAAACAATGAAATGCTCATCCTTCACCAGATTCAGGAACAGAACCTAAATCCTGCTTCCATATTGTGAGAGTCTGACTCCTCCCAAACAAATCTCCCCTGTAGACTTCACCAGCTGTGGGACAGAGATCAGCCTCCCCCTCCTTATTAACGGATTTGTTGCTGAGCATTATTTGGTATTTTATTTTATTTTGGGTCAGAGGCTTCAAAGCCTTGCCTCTTTTTTTTTCTTTTTTGGTCTGTAAAACCCCCATTATCTTTCCATATAGATCTGTCATTGATATGGGTCTATAAATACACACGGCTTTGTTTATACAGACATACAATATGTGCACCCGATTGCTATCTGTGTGTGTGAACATCAAGTTTATATTTACTACAGTACAGAGGCAGCTGGTGGTGGGGAGAAAGAGTAATGAGTTACCATTATACCAAAGCCTGGGTGAGCCATGGATACTTTGAATGGCAATTGCTCCCTCTGGACAAAAAGCTGAAGATGCAGGAAAGAAAAGGGGGAAGCGCGCGTGTGTGTGTGTGTGTGTGTGTGTGTGTGTGTGTGTGTTTGAGAGAGAGAGAGAGAGGGGAGAGAGAGAGACAAGTGGGGGCCTGGGGGTGGAGAGAGGGGCAGGGGGCACACATCCATTCAGTCCCTCTTTTGTTTAGCTTTTTCTACCAGTAGGGACATGTTCAAAATCAGAAGTCTCAGTGGAGGGACCTCACAGCATAGCTCTGCCAGACAGTTGTCTGCTGGTGCCTTCAAACTTAGCTGCCTGAGTGAGCCACATGCACCTAAATGAAGCCTGAGGACTAAGGGGGAAAAAAGAGAATAATTAAAATAAATTAGAAGGTGAATGTGGGGGGTGGGAGATCATGTCTGGTCCTGCTGCTCAGCCTGAGGCTCCGAGGCTTGAAAGGAAAGGGATAGGCAGAATTATTCCAAGCAGACTGCCTTCTCCAAACCATGTCCCCCACCAACAGCGACGCTGTCACATCCCCCCAGAGCCACACTAGTGCCCGTGTGGCCTGTGGCCCTTGAACCTGATAGCTTAGTGGGTTAATAGCAACAACTGCCAACCTGCACATATTTTAAACAATTCTACATATTTTTCTCAGTCTTTTCTATTTTCCAAGGGTTTCTATTTATTTTTTTAGGTATATATATGGTCCTCAACTGGGGGTAATTTTGCCTCCCAAGGAGCATTTGGCAAAGTCTGAAGACGTTTTGGTTTGTTGCAATCAGGGGTGAGGGTAGGTGTGTGCTACTGGCATATTGGCACCTGGTGTAAGACTGACACACAAAATACAGGACACTCAGTTTTATTTAAATTCAGGTAAACAAAGAATACTTTTTTTAGCATTAGAAGATCCCAAATATTATAGAGATCATACTTATACTAAAAAAGGATCCATTGTTTTACTGAAATTCAATTACAACTGGGTTTCCTATGTTTGTTTGTTTCTTTCCCTTTTTGAGACAGAGTCTCATTCTGTTGCCCAGGCTGGAGTGCAGTGGTGCAATCTTGGCTCACTGCAACCTCCACCTTCTGGGTTCAAGCGATTCTCCTGCCTCAGCCCTTTGAGTAGCTCAGACTACAGGCATGTGCCACCATACCCAGCTACATTTTGTATTTTTAGTAGAGGTGGGGTTTCACCATGTTGGCCAGGCTGGTCTTGAACTCCTGACCTCAAATGATTCACCCACCTTAGCCTCCCAAAGTGCTGAGATTACAGGTGTGGGCCATGCGCCTGGCCTGGGCTTCCTAGGTTTCTACTTGCTGGATGATGCTAAACATCCTACAATGCACAGAATAGCTCTCCACTCAACCCCAACAAAGAATTATTCAGCCAAAAATATCAAGAATACAGGGGCCGATGATCTACTTCAGTAGATGATAGTAATAGCATAGTTCAGATGCTAGAGAGTAGATGATTTTAAATTCTGAACACATATACTGAATATGACACATGCCAAATGAATATACATCTCTTATTAATACATAGAGTCATTAATATATATTTGTGTGTATAAATGTTTTCAACCCTAACTTGAGATCTTTCGGGAGGAGTGTAGTGAGCCTATTCTCACTCATCTCTCTACAGAATGAGCTGGGAGGCTGTTGTAGTAGGCTGAAAAATGGTTCTCAGAAATATAACATCCTTATTCCTGGAACCTGTAAATGTCATCTTATTTGGTGAAGAAGCTTTTGCCAAAGTGATTAAGGACCTTGAACTGGAGAGATTAGTTTGGATTATCTGGTGGGTCCTAAATGCTATCACTAGTGTCCTTATAAGATGGGGCACAGAGATTTGACACACACACAGGAGAAGAAGATGTAATGGTAGCAGAAAGAGACACAGGGATGCTGGCCTTAGTGTTGGAGTGATGCAGCCACAAGCCAAGGAATGCCAGCAGCCACCAAACACCACAATTGGCAAGGAATGGAGCCTCCCAGAGACCCTGGAGGGAGTGCCACCCTGATGACACCTTGATTTTAGCTCAGTGAAGCTGACTGTGGACTTCTGGCTTCCAGAATTGTGAGAGAATTAATTACTGTTGTTTTAAGCCACCAAGTTCACGGTAATTTATTACAGCACCCACAGGAAACCAATGCAGTGTTCTTCGGAGAAGCAAATTCAGGCAACAGACTTTGCAGAAGAGTGTGTACCAGGGATGGAACAAACGCAACCTCCTGAGGCTCCAAGAGTGGGAATCTCAGAAGCAGCATGGCTTTTGTTGGCAATTCACCTTCATGTCTTGATGCTGGATATTTCTAGTGATGGGTTTTGAGCTTGCTCATGGCCTGTAGTTGAAAAATAAGCAACCCCTTTGATCTATGATTTTAATAGGAAACACATGTGTGTTTCCAACACTGTGAAGCCCACGTCTAGAACTTTGGAAGAAAGTTGCCTAAATGGAGGGTTAGGTGTGCCCGCCTCTCAGTAGCTGAGAGTCAACTCAGCTGGAGCTGGTTCTTGGGGGACAGAAGAGTACCATGTGGTCCCATTAGGGCTTAGGCCACGGGATTGGGAAAAATGAATTTTGGGTTCAGAGTGGAAAATATCTTATTTCATGTGGTGTTTGTGTTTTCTGGAAGGCCAGTCATTTTGAGTCCTTTGAAAATATCTTGTGAAGATATTGAGTCCCAGGGGATTGTTGCAATTTCTTTGAAAGCCCCTGGACATTTGGCTGTGCTCTCAGGATGGGTGGCCAACAGCAGGAAAAGAACAAACTTCCAAATAAAAAAGAGGAAAGCATGTGAAAACGCCAAGAGTGATAAGGAGTTCTTATCTGTTGAGTAACTAGAAAACATCCCGTGATTATTACAGGGGAACAAACAAACAGAGACTTCATGATTTGTTCTAGGTCTGCACCTCTGGACGTCATCCCAACTCTTCTCTTGCCTGTCTCAGTCAAATCTGAGACTTGGATGTTTTTCAAAACAACCCATGGAAATGTGATTGATGGGCACTACCAACTTGGTACTGGGAGATCTGCAGTCATCTCTGTTACAGTAATTTCCAGAGAGAGATGCCAAGCTGCTCACTTTACTAGAATGCCATAGAGAGGACAGTAGTTGTGGTGCTGTGGGGTGGTAGTATGTGCAGATGTGAGGTGGCCAAGGCTCAGACAGCTGGACCCTGCTGGGCCGGAATATTCCTCGAACAACATGAGAACAGCCACAGTTCAGTGGGTGCTTAGCCTTACCTCCGAGGGGCAGGATGCTCAGAGACAAAGTGTGATCCAGGTGGCCTCTTGAAATTACTCATTGCTGTTGACCAGAAAAGGCACGCTCTTGGGGTCAAGTTCAAGAGTCTTGGGAGAGGCTTTCATTCCCAGGTTGAAATTTAGATTCTGCCTTCTACAAGCTTTGCAATGTTGGGACTCCCTCACTAACTTCCTAAATCTCAGTTTTCTTAAATGTAAAATTGGAAGAAAAATACTTTACAGCATTGTGAAGATTGTGTGAGAAAAACATATTTAGCGTGCTTAGCACAGGGCCTGGTGTATGGCGACTGCTCAAGAAATAGTAGCTATTGTTGGATGCTTCATTCAGGCCACTGGGAAGTGATCATGGAGGAGGTGGGTGGGGATCACCATGTTTTCCTGTGCACTAAAGTCTGATATAAAGAGACTTTCCATATATATAATACTATTCTTAATAATAGATACTACTAGTTTTTCCAAATTGGTCTGACAATATGGAACACATTATCATGCTAAGCAGCTGTCCCTTGCTTCATTTATAGGGCCCCACCTGTCACAAAGAATGCAAAACATGCTCCACAAATACATGGGATCATGTCCTGTGTGTGTGTGTAGGGGGTGGGGGGGTATGTGTTTAAAATATCCAGACCCTACCATCTTCTGCTAAAGTTAAGTAACACTTTAATCCTGAATCTTTTACTTAATATGCCTTCAGCTTGAGTGTAACAGAACAGTGAGCCAGACACAAGGTGCAGATGAAAACAGTGATTGTATTTCATTTTCTTTTCAGCTTTCCATCGCTCACTCTGGTGGTGGCCTTTTTATTCGGACTTCCTAAATCAGGATGTGTTTCTCTGGCAGGGCCACTGGCTGAGGAGGTTTTTGAGGTTTATATCCCATCCCTTACCTGTATGGCTGCAATCAATTATTTCACCTAGCTTGGGCTCCTTCTAATTCACTCGGCCCCACCTCTTTGTGTCCAGAGGGAGAGTTATAAATAAATCCGATCTTGCCACCTCTCCTCCTTTAGTGATTCCCACTGTGCTAGAGCAGGGTTTCTCGACCTCGGAATTATTTACATTATGGGCCAAAGGAGTCTGTGTTGTGGGGATGCTGTCTCGTGCATTGCAGGATGTTAAGGAGTGTCCTGGCCTCCACCCATTTGATGCCTGTAGCAACTCTAATTTATGACAACCAAAAATGTTTTTAGACACTGCTGAATGTCCCCTGGAGGGCAAAATCGCCCCTGGTTAAGCTTTCATCTTCTTAACTGGTTTATAGGGCTCCACCTGGTTCAATCCACACTCACAGATTTCTCTCTTAACACCATCCCTCTGCTCTGTGAGGCAGGCAAGTAAAAATTATTTCAGGTTGCTACACATGGCTCTTTTACTCTCTGTTCTATCTGGCTGGAGTATCATATCCCTTCTTCCAACACTGCTGTCCTCTTAGCCTCCTCCTCAATTCTGAGTTAGGGCCTCCATATGCTTCCTGCCGTAGCACACACTTACTTTACCATAATTACGTGTTTATTTTTGTGTCACATGCTCCCTTTTCAATGCACCCTCACCAGCCCATAAGCACTAGGAGGGCAGGGACCCGATCTCTCATGCTCATTTCTATATCCTAGTAGCTAGCATAATGCCTGACATAGCACAGATGGTCAATAAATATTTAATGTACTACATGAAAAATGACCCTCTAAAGGAAAGGCATTTTTCCTTTGGAGGCTTTTAATTTGTGGAGATCAGAAGTAGTCCTCACCAATCTGTTTTGTCCATACATTAGAGGGGCTTAATTATAGGATAGATAGACTGGATTTTGCGGTTTATTTCACCAATTCCCCTGACTCATACGAGTTGATGCTTGAGCATTCTGGGCGGACAATTGTCATTCGTTCTTAACACATGATCATCAAAATGTTTTTAAAGAGGGCCTGGAGCCAGCCAATCCCAGGTGTGGCCTCTAAGCTCCTAGAAGGAGCAAAACCACACTATGGAGTAGGTTGACAATGCACCTAAGTGCAAAAATAGTTAATAAAAGAGCCCAGAGTATGAAAAGCTGCTGACAAAAATCAGGACTATTTAGTCTGGAGGAGAAGATTGAGAAGCAATCTGATAGTGGCGTTTTAAACTACCTGTAGCCTGGGGCCTTGCAAACAATTCAAATGGATGGCCTATTTGAGGAGAGTGGACAGGTCCAAACTCGTGTCTACTGAGAGGAGATTGCTTGTTAAAGGAATTTAAGTAGGCACTTTCCAGGGTGAAATTTTGACTGAGCTTTAGGAACAAGTCTGAGAGTAAAAAGTAAAACAAACTTTGCTTAGGAACTATCCCTAAATTTTCTGACAATAGGCTATTTACCATGGATTTACGTTTAGGACTCAAATGAGACATTTCAGGCACTCTGGTTTCTCCTCTTGGACCCAGAGAAGACAGTATTCAAACTAATGCAGACGTTTACTGCTTTTTAAAACACACACACACACACACACACACACACACCCCTGCCTTTGCACACAGCTTTCCACACTACTTCATGCTATTCTCCAACATACACAACGCTAGATGCAACTTTTCTTTTTAGGTTCATTTCACAATTGGATATTTTACTGTTATTTGTATATCTGATTGCCTTTATCTTTGTTTAGATGAATTACAGAATGTTGGAAGAGAATTCAGAAATCCTAGCTAAATCTCATTCTTGTGTAGAAGATGAAGCTGAGGCACAGAGAGAATAAAGAACTTTTCCGATTCCCAGAGAGATTTAGAATACCTGGGTCCTAGAATCAGTTCTTCAGTCAACTTCCAACAACATTCCCTACATAAGTTTAACCAAGAGCCAGCATAGAGAATCAGAGGTTTCTAGAAACTTAGACAGAAAACAATTGGTGGAACATGTAGGATTTCTCAGGTACAAGCATTCTTTCTTAAGCAATGTTTCATGCAAAAATTTAATCCTACAGAAAATGATTTAATGATGCTCTCAATTCTCCCAAGGGTAGTATTTATCTAGTGCCATTCCAGATGCATAGAAGAGAAATTAATTGATTACTTACAATGAATGTCTTAGGGATTGAGGGTTCACTCTCTACTGCAGGGGTTGGGAAACTTTCTCTGTAAATCTTTTCAGCTTTGCAGACCATATGGTCTCTGTTGCAACTACTCAACTTTGTCTTTGTAGCATAAAAACAGCAGTAGACATTATGTAAATGAATAAGCATGGCTTTGCTTCAATAAAACTTTACATACTAAAATAGGCGGTGACTAAATTTGGACTGCAGGCAGTAGTCCTCTTCCAGTGGAACCCTGATTGAAGAGGGCTGGGTGCAAGCAACAGAAATATACTTACATTGACTGAAGAAGAGAAGTGATTCAAGGGCTCATAGAACGACTCAGAAAGGAAAGGCCCTTGGATCCACTTACAGTTTTCCCACAGTGCCCCAACTAGGAAAAATCAGTAAGTGTTATTAATAAGAGGGAGGCCCATTTGCCTAACTGGGCCACATGCCCACCCTTTGACAGACAGTCCCATCATGAGAACACAGCATATAGGAGAGGTGACACCCCACGTGAAAACTGAGGAACTCTGGCAAGAAGGGAAAATGGATGTGCAGTTACCAGAAAGCAATACATGCTCATTACAGAATTTTTCTGCACATAAAGAGATATGTTCTTTCTGAAGCCTGGCAACAGAGCATTGTAGAAAGTGTTGGAAAACAAACACAACTGTAATTTCAACTACCCTAAATCCTGAAATCTCCAGCACAAGATGAATGAAAGGGGGTCAGGGAAGAGTTGTGGAGAACCTGTCCAAATTGCAAATAGCCACACTGACTTTTCAATCTCCATGAACCAGCAGTAGAGTAGAAGCTCCACAAAAGTAGAAACTGGGTCCCCTTTGCTCACCCTTATAATGCCAGGACCCAGACTGTGTCAGACAGGTATCAGTCCATTAATTCAGTCATTGGTTCATGCATTCATTCACTTAACAAGTATGTGAGAGCCTTCTCTCTACCAGGCATTTTGCTGAACTCTGGGAAGTCCACTGGTGAGCAAAAACAGACAAAATCCTTGCCTTTGTATAACTTAATAAATGAGGGGGTAAGATGAACTTTAATTTAAGCAATTAAATTAATGTAAAATTATAATGTCATAAATGCTGTACAGTAGCAGGAGAGGGATTCATTACATGTGCAAGTAACAGGAGTTGTAGATCTGGTAAGAGAAGCTCAGGGAAGGATTTCCTAAGGAAATGATGCCTTTGCTGAGTCCAGAAGGAAGAGTAAGAGTTAAGGAGAAGAGGGAGGTGAATCATGGGAAAGCGCATCCTCAGCAGAGGGGGCAGCATGTGCAAAGGCTGTGTCTCAGGAGGGAATATAGAAGAAAGCGAAGATGACATGAAACCAAGGGCTAGGTGAGGCTGGGAAATGAGAATGGCCAAAATGTCTAAGACCACGTAGGGCTGGGTTAAAATTCTGCTTTTTATCTTAAGAGTCTTGGGAAGCAGAGTGGGGAGATGTAATTCAGATTTACAAGTCAAAGTTAGATCTACAATTATAAAGAAGACAATGGATTGGAGGGTTGCAGGCATGGATACTGCATGAAGAGAATGGTGAGCAAGCTATCACCAAAGTCTTGATGAGAAGAGGTGGTAATGGGACTGAAGAAAAGTAGATGAATTTGAAAGACATGCAAAGGGTAAAAGAGGTTTGATTGGCCGATGGATTGAATATAGAGAGCAAGAAAGAGAGAGGCATAAATAATAACCCATAGGATTATTGGTGCCCAAAACTGTGTGTTGAATCAATCAATGAATCTCTGCTCCTAAGTCTGAATACAAAAACATCTCTTAAAATGTCTCCCTTTTTTGAATATGAACCTAGTGCTCACTGATCATCTTACCAACTTCCTGTCAAGACTTTGCTTGAGTAACTTATCTTCTGAACAACTCTCATAATTTCACCCACTCCCTCCTCTGTATTCATGTAACCCTTTGTTCACAAAACCAAACCAGTATCTATAAAATGGGTGACTGGTTGTAGGAAGAGAGAGAGATTATGAGTACTTTGAGGGCTATGGCTCAGTCTTATTCCTCCATGTGTTGCTAGCACTGTAGTCGGCCTTCCGTACCTGTAGGTCATGCATCTGCAGATTCAAGCAACCACGGATCAAAAATATTTGGAAAAATAAAACAATAAAAAATAGCAACATAAATGTAAATTCAATACAAACTTTAAAATACAGTATAACAACTATTGACATAGTATTTACATTGTGTTAGGTATTATAAGTAATTGAGATGATTGAATGTATACAACAGGACGTATGTAAATGATATGCAAATACTACGTCATTTTATAAAAGGGATTTTAGCATCCATGGATTTCGGTATTCAATGGGGTCCTGGAACCAAAGCTCCACGGATACCAAGAAACAACTGTACTTGGTACATAAAAGGGGCCAGAAAAATTTGTTAAATTGTGTTGTTGGCCTATACCTTTCCTCTCAGAGCTTCCAGCTGGGTTAGGTAAATAAAAGGCACAAAAAAAGAATAAAAGGAAAAATTAAACTAAGAAAATGAGCCTGATCATGGACTGAGGGGTCTGGCAAAGGATGCATGTGAACCAGTTCTCCCTGGGGTTCAGAGTTAGCTGAGAATACTGTGTGAGCACCTGGTCGAGCGTCACTTGAATAGGACCACTTTGGAAGTGCCTTATAGAACATTTTGAATGGCTTTATACATACCTTGGATTTGTTCTGAAGATTTCTCAGGGTTTGTATTGTGGAGCAGAGCAGGGTAGCCTGAGGGACAGCTTCAGCAAAGGCAGAGAGCAATGAGTAAGCACATAGCAAGGTTGAGAACCTTGGCCTCCTGAGAGCTGGAAGGGGCTGTATGGTGTAGAGGGAAGAACATCAAGAGGCCTCTAGTGTCTTTAATCTTGACTTTGTCTCTCTTTTATCTGGGTGCCCTACAGCAAGTTGATAAACTTTCATCAGCCCCCCAGTTTTCTCATTTGTTAAATGGCAATAATAATGATAATATCTACATCTTGATAGTGTGTGTGTGACTGTGTATGTGAATCAAATGAGAAAATGCACTTGAAGTGTGTATTTTAGAAATGAAAGCAGTGGTGTATATTTCATTTTTCTGGGGCCCTTCCACAGACAATTACTGAATCAGTTTCTGGGAGTAGAGTCACGAAGCTACATTTTTTGAAAGTCCTGGGATTGTTCTGATATGCTGCCAGTTTTGAAAACTGTGCCTCCAAGTCTTTAGGAAAAAAAGAAAGGAATTTGTAACACTGTTGTCAAGAAGTTTAAAAAAAAAATGGTAGAAGTTCATTCCTAGAAGGTTTAGAGATGAAAGTGATGAGATGAAGATTCCCATTATCCCTTTCCTTTCCTTCTCTTTAGATACTCAGCAGAAGCTCCGGGGTAAAGCCCTCATCATTTCATGCTTATCGGTTGGAATCCTGGTTTACGGTCTCTCTCTGCCCACCCGTTTATCACTCTGTTGCAGATCTGGATTCCCAGGAACAGACGAAGGTAGTGAGGAAGGAGTTTATTGTGGAGCATGCTCAGGATCAACATGTGTGGGGAGTGAAGGATTCAGCATGGGACAGAGGAGGAATTTGAGCCATGGTGCAGTCGCAGCCTAGGACCCCACGTGGAGCTCTGACCTAGACGTGCCCCACATTGAGGCAAGGGTACCAGGCCCTGGGAAGGGGACCTGGCCTCAGACAATGAATTATCAGAGGTCAGCTGGTTGCTCTCAGGGACCAACAACTCCTTTTTGTCATTCAGAAACCTCTGTAGTTCCTCCATTATCCACCAAATATGTTGACATTCAACATTCAGGACTATGTCCATCTGGACTATTCTACTAGGCTGATTTTCCACTGCTTCCTTATATATTCCTTTCGTTCCAACCAAACTGAGCTGCTGCCCTTTTCCTATGACTGACCTACACTTTCCCCTGCAACTTAGATCAGTTAAGCCCTCGCTCTCTTTCTCATTAATTTCTCACCATCCTATAAGGTACACGCAGTGGGTAATTTAAACATTTTTGACTGTTTACATCTTGATCTTCTCTTCTGATCAAAAAAAATATATATGTGTATATTTATATACGTGTGTGTATACATATATGTGTATATATGTGTGTGCATATATATATATATATATATATGCTTAATTCTCAACTTCTCTCTCACACACACACACATTTTCCTCTATTTTGTGCATGAAGTATCTTGGCCAGAGGTGCTAGCATATGACAAAGCTCTAACAAATTGCTAAAACAGCAAAAGATGCATTTACTTAAAGGATAAACACTTCCAAATTACTTGCTAAGTCAAAATCCTGTGAAAACAATCAAAAGGTTGCAGATACAAAACTTTAGGTCTTTCAGCTTGATTTCCAGTAAGCTCACACCCCACCATTTTAAACAGATCTCTAGTCTAAGAATGCTAAGTCACACTTTTTATGGCTTCAACGATTCTTTTTTTTTTTTTAAAGGGAAAATTACAAATTACCAGATCATGAAAAGAAAATCAGACTTGGAGCAGGCAATTGAATCCATGTTTATGTAGCATCCCAATTTGAAAATGTACGACTTTGAACAAGTCAACTTCACCCTCTGGTCTTGGATTTCCCAATTTCTTTCTTTTTTCTTCTTCTTCTTTTTTTTTTAATTTGTGATGGAGTCTCACTCTGTTGCCCAGGCTGGAGTGAAATGGTGCAATCTCAGCTCACTGCAACCTTCACCTCTCGGGTTCAAGCAATTCTCATGCCTCAGCCTCCTGAATAGCCGGGACTACAGGCACGCACCACCATGCCAGACTAATTTTTGTATTTTTAGTAGAGACAGGGTTTCATTATGTTGGCCAGGCTGGTCTTGAACTCCTGACCTCAAGTGATCTTCCCACCTCAACTTCCCAAAGTGCTGGGATGGAAGACGTGAGCCACTGCGCCGGGCCTGATTTCCCAGTTTCTAAGAGGAGGGGTTAATGACCACAAATCCCTTTCAGTCCTAACAGTCTATGATTATAAGAAAACGAAAGAGGAAATAAAGCTTATCCATCCGTCCTTTCCTATTCTCCTGCCCTCTTGTCTTACAGTCTTACTGACCATCTTATAGTTCCTTGGATGAGCCATGTCCTCTTGCACCCAGACCTTGAGCACTTTTTCTAAGTTCATTTTCTCTCAGACTGACTGATTTCTATGAGATTCTATGGGTATCAGTTTGTGTGTCACTTTCTCTGAGAAACTTCTTCCCTTGACCCCTTGGCTTAGGTTGGAAGTCCACGTTAGGTACTCTCATACTATTTTGTACTCCTATCAAAGCCTATGGATCATTTTATGCATTTGTCCATTTAATTGTCTGCGTCTCCCACTCACCACCCCCCACCCCAGCACCAGGCTATAAACTTGGAAAAAGCAGGAACACATGACAGAGAATAAAAAATTGACACTTGAACTAATGAATTAGTGGATGAACAAATGTAATATAAACCAATGAAGAAACAGTAAATGACTGATGATCATTGCTTCTGGTCCTAATTTAATTCAGATATTTATTCATCTTTTTCCCACTGTGGGACAGATGTTCACATCTAACCCATGAATCGTCAGTGAAAAAGGTCATTAACTACACGAGGGAGAAAATGATGCTGACTACAGTTTTAACCTCCTTTGACTTTCCAAGAACTGCTTTTAGTACATTCTGTTTTCAAAGATCAGCCCCTCTGCTGCTTCCAAAAACCTGTCCCAATCTGTCCAGCTCATCCCTGGCCTTGATTGCAGGGGGGATATTGAGTCCTGCAGCTTCTGAGCCAGTTCTAGTGGAAAAGCAGAGACTGGGGAAGCTGGAGGAAGCAGGATTTGATATTCTTGGCCTCTGGATGCTCCCTGATTATTATTTTTTAATATCCTGAGAACAGATTAGGATGAAGCAGATTAGGGAAAAGTCATGAGACATAAGCCATAACTGAGCTTCTCTCTGCTGAAAGCATTCCCTGGGGAAAGGAAGCTGGCTGCATCCTTTAGTAAAACAGGGTAGGTCTTGGACCTGCTGAGTGTGGGAGGAACCCAACCAAATGCAGTCCACGAATCAAATTTTCCTGCTTCTCACTCTGTCGCCACTTACTAATAAAAACTGGGCCAAGTGACACATGTAAGAAAAACCCAAACTCAGATGGTAATGTGACCTTGCCATCTCCCCTTCCAACGCATACATTAGTTCTCTTTACATACGTACTTCATATTCTGTTCCAGAATCAGGAAGGAGTCTGCCTTTACCCCTAGTTGGTCTACTAATAACTGTTGAAATTTCAAAACCAAACTTTGAACTTTGGTAGTAGAGCTTGAAGTCCCAACTGTGTCAATTTCTTATATTGCAACATGAGGGATGTCCCTGTCTTGGACTCACATGTCTTGGGTGAGTGCCGAACATGAACACAGCCGGACACCGCCACTGACACAGAGTGGGTTCTCGGGTAAAGTTCATCCACTCGGTCACTGATATGGGTGAGCAGGCACAGTCTCAGTTTATGCCTATTGTCTAACATAACTACTAGTAGTGTCCACTTTCCTTTAAAAGTGTCCTATTTGGATGATCCATTTTATAGTCACCCTAGTTTCAGTAGAATGTAATTTGGAATTGTTCCTTGGAAGGTTCCTCTGAGGCAATGGCATCTATTGCAGACATACATCCCCAAGGGCATGCAGTTATCCCTCACGTTTCTGTCTTCCTTCTCTCCTCCTTTTCTTAAGCCCAGGGGGTCTTAAATTCCTTCTCTTCATTTGTACTGGGAGGAACACTTTTGAGATCAGAAAGAAGTGATAGAGAAACTGCCCTGCCCTGCCTCTATTAGTGGAGGCCGATTAACTTTTATTTTTCCCCACATTTCTTTCTAGAGGAGTCATTTAGATCCCTTAATTTAGAGCCCAGGACATTCCAGAGTGCTCTGGGATAACAAATGAATGCATGGCCCAAGAAGGAAAAGCATGACAAATGGCAGGTTCTTGGAGAATCCAACGTGGCATTTTACACATCATAATTCAGGCATGAATGGTTCATCAGAAACTGCTAAAGGGAGAAATCCCGAAGTTAGAGAAATCTATCCCAGTCCAAAATGGCCAGCAAAACATAGAAAATGCCCTGAAAAAAGCAAAGAGAAGACTCGGTTCACAACACATAATAATGTTTCAGTCCATGATGGACTGCATATATGATGGTGGTCTCATAAGATTATAATGGAGCTGAAAAGTTCCTATTGCCTAGTGACATCGTAGCCATGGTAATATTGTACCCATCATGACGTCACCATCATAGCATCATAATGCAAGACATTACATGTTTGTGGTGATGCTGGTATAAACAAACCCACGATGCTGTCAATTGTATAAAAGTCTAGCACACACTATGATGTACAGTACATAATAATTGATAATGATAATAAACAATGATGTCACTGGTTTTATATTTACTATATGTTACTTTTTATCATTAGAGTATGGTCTTTCTACTTACTAAAAAGAATGTTGGCCAGGCGCGGTGGCTCACACCTAGCCCACCAGGCCAAGGTGGGCGGATCACCTGAGGTCAGGAGTTCAAGACCAGCCTGGCCAACATGGTGAAACCCCGTCTCTACTAAAAATGCTAGCCAGGCATGGAGGTGGGCACCTGTAATCCCAGCTACTCAGGAGGCTGAGACAGGGGAATCACTTGAACCTGGAAGGCAGAGGTTGCAGCGAGCCGAGATTGCGCCACTGCACTCCAGCCTGGGCAATAAAGAGCGAAACTCCATCTCAAAAAAAAAAAAAAAAAAAAAAAAGTGAATTGTAAAACAAGTTCAGATGGGTCCTTCAGGAAGACATGAAGAAGGCATTGTTATCATAGGAAATGACAGCTCCATGCATGCTATTGCCCTTGAAGACCTTCCTGTGGGAGAAGATGTGGAGGTGGAAGACAGTGATTTTGACAATCCTGATCTTAGGTAGGCCTCAGCTAATGTGTGTATTTGTGTCTTCATTTTTAACAAAGAAGCTTAAAAAGTAAAAAAATAAAAAATAAAAAAATAAAAAATTAACATGGTAAAAAAGCTTATAGAATAAGGATATAAAGAAAATATTTTTATTCTGTTGTACAATGTGTTTGTGTTTTCAGCTAAATGTTATTACAGGAGTTAAAAAGTTTAAAAAAGTTATAAAGTAAAAAATTTACAGCAAGCTAAAGTTAATTTATTATTGAAGAAAAAAATAGTTTTTATACTTGTAAGTGTAGCCTAAGTGTCCAGTGTTTATAAAATCTACGGTAGTATATAGTCAGGTCCTAGGCCTTCACAATCACTCATTACTCACTCCTGCCTCACCCAGAGCAACTTCCAGTCCTGGAAGCTCCATTCATGGCATGTAGGTGTACCAGTTTTTATCTTTTATACTGTATTTTTACTGTATCTTTTCTATGTTTAGATCTGCTTAGAGACACAAATACCCATTGTGTTACAATTCCCTAGTTTTCAGTACAGTAACATGCTGTACGGGTTTGTAGTCTAGGAGCAATAGGCTATACCATATAGCCTTGGTGTGTCGTAGGCTACACCATTTAGGTTTGTGTTTGTGTGCTCTATGAAGTTTGCACAATAACAAATCGCCTAACATCACATTTCTCAAACCAGGCCCCTGTCTTTAAGCAATGCACGACTGTGTAACTATCTGCTAGATGACTCCAGCCTGCTCCAGAGGAACTTGGGTATGTTTTTATTATTTGGTTAAAACTGTTTGGTTGAACAGGAGAGCCAAATAATATGTTTTGGTGAGGAAGATGGAGGTTATAATCACTATTGTGTCACTTAAAAATATACAGCTAAATATATGAAACAGTGATATTTTAATATTCAATGTTAGTTCTTTACACGGTGCCTTATATACAAACTCTGATGCCCCTACACCACATGCATACATCCTTCCATCAGAACTTGGCATCTTATCTTCTTGTCATTTTTGATTTGAGCTCAGTTCCATGTGCTCTTGATCTGGCACACTGACATGCAGCCTTTAGTCTCTTTTTCAATGAGCTGCTCTGCACAAAATCAGGTCAGCATATCTTGAGCACTTGGCCCTGGACCATCTCCAGACCAGAGCACAGCAGGTGAAATTCAGAGTGTCCTCTGCCCCCTGAGTCCTTCTTCCCCTGACACCTCCATGAGGTGGGGCCAATCTGCCTGCCTCTCTATACACTTCTCCAAATGCACAAAAGGCACCAGAGCCAACTGCTACCAGAGATTTAAAATACTAATATTAATAATAATAATAACCCCAAAGGAAAGTCTGCAAAGAGCAGGCACTGCTCATGACATGATATGTCTTCTAAGCAAACGTAGATGGGAAAAGAGGGGAGGGGAAATAGATCAGAAACCAAGAATAACCTCGGCTTTGGTGCTGCCAGCACATTCCGTGTCTTGAAAAACAGGAGGCTGTATTCAGGCTGGTTTCTGGGGAAGAAAATGGATCCGTGTATTTGTTTGTAGGTGCAGTAGGAAGCTCATGTCTGCCGTGCAGCAGTGAGCCATGTGTTGATGTTGGATCAACTGGACTTAATGTGCAGCTGTGCTCTCCCCGAGTGGGGAGCTAATTACTGCAGAAAGACACTCATTGCAAATCAGGTGACTTCATGTGGAAACTATAACTTAGAGTGAATGAATAAGGACTCCTGGAGATGAAGGCACAAGCTGCTAAAATAGCAAAGGAGAATCAAGGCCCCTTTCCAAAGATCTGCAGGTTGAACTTCTGCAGTGTGAAAGTGGCTCCAGAATTGCACACATAGCCAGGAAATGATTAGATGGAAGGAAGGAAGAAAGGAAACGCCCACCTTAATGTGCACAAGTCAAAGATCCAACACATATAGTCTCATAGGAAGTGAGACTGCAGACTTTCCCCTATAATATGCATTCATTTCATTCAAAGACTCAACATGCAAAACTTAGATTCAAATGGGACCCTTAAAATTATCGTTTCCCTCTAAACAAGAGTGAAATGACCCTCTCTTTTTCAAGTGATTATTTTCTTTATTTTATTTTTGAGACAGAGTTTCACTCTTTTTGCCCAGGCTGGAGTGCAATGGCAAGATCTCGGCTCACTGCAACCTCCGCCTCCTGGGTTCCAGCGATTCTCCCGTCTCAGCCTCCCGAGTAGCTGGGATTACAGGCATGTGCAACCATGCCCGGCTAATTTTTGTATTTTTAGTAGACACAGGGTTTCACCATGTTGGCCAGGCTGCTCTCGAACTCCAAACCTCAGGTGATCTACCCGCCTTGGCCTCCCAAAGTGCTGGGGTTACAGGTGTGAGGAACTGCACCTGGCCTCAAGTGACTATTTTCAATACTCAAACCTACCAATAGGAAAGGTAGTTACTATAACTTTGATAATCCTCTGTGGAATTTCCTAATTCCCACAAGTTGGAGGTTCTTTTTGATATTTGATCTGTTCACTCAAATAATTGGAAAAAAAAAAAGGAGAACACATTATCATATAACTACTTGTGATTAGGGAAATGTAGTTTAAGAATTATAATAGCTCACCACCAGGCCATGCTTTGCCACTACCATGTTGTGTGACTTCAAGTCAAGTCAGTTAACATCTCTGAAACTCACTTTTCCCATTTACAATGATAACAAGACTGGTTCCACCTACCTTATGTAGCTATTTTGAGAACCAAATATCAAATAATATAAAAGTTATTTAAAAAGTGTACAATGTGTTTGCAAATGCAAGCTTGTGCGGTGATTTAAGAATGGTAAAGATTGGCTTATTGATTTAATCGTTAAAATAAAAGAGACACATTTTTAGAAATTTAAAAATAGTAAAGGAATCTCTTGCATTTCTTTCTTTGCCAAAAAAAAAAAAAAAAAAAAAAGCTTCAAGGGCATTTCCTTAAACTTACATTCCATTTTGCAGACTCTGAAAATTACAAAAAGAAGTTAAATTTCAGTTGTGGGCTAAACATTTTGACTCTATCTGGAAGGGTAAATGTCTGTTTCCATTAAGTGATCCCAATTTCAAGGGCTTCATCTGAGCCATAAGCCATCATTCTCTACTTGGAAGCCAGAGGAATAAATTCTGACACAGGATGGAAACTCAAGAGGTTGGCAACTGACAAAGATTTTTTCATTTTCAAAAACTATGGCAAGAATGAGGTTGGCAAACAACAATTGTGTATGTCTGTGTGTACTTGTGTGTTTTTCCACTTTAGGATAAAAGTAATTAATATTGATATGATACCAGTAAGTTTTAACTTCTCAACATAGTTTAACAAAAGCATGGCTGACTCAGAGAAGGGGACAGCAAGAAAAATAGAAATTATTAAAAAAAAAAAGGAATATATATAGTTTGGGTTCAGTTACTGGCACTGGTGACTGTAGATTTTGTTGGTTGCCTTTTCAGCATTTCACCCCCTTGTTTCTTTCTAACAGAACCCGTGGTAGATTGGGAATTATACCCTTCTCCACGAAACCATATGTTTCACATCACAAGCATGGTGATTCCTTTGCCTGGCCAGCGATTGGTTTTGAGTGGGGATGTGCCCCCACTTTTGGTTAGCACTAATAAATGGAAGGAAGTCTTTTGGGAGGTTTGCGGAAAAGATCCCTCCATTTACTTCATGATGCAGCCTCTTGTTCTGCCAAAAGGTGCCGTGGCTGAAATGAGGCAGCCTTCTTGGCACCCTGAGAGGAGTTAGCTGGAGCATAGCAGGTCAGAAAATACAAAGACTCTTACGATAGAAGTAAAGAGGTCTTTATGATATTATTTAGTGATTGAAGAGCCAACCCTAAAATTGGCCTCCTTCTGGATTTCTTTTCGTATTATCTACAAACATCCTTCAACTTCGGTCAATTTGACTTGGGGGTTTCTATAGTTGACAGGTGATGTTATCCTAACTGATTCATTATCCATCTATGCTTAAAGCTTGGTGCTGACATTGCCAATGGCATTGAAATGATGCTGAATTAATGTGAGACAAATGGCTGAGTTGGTCCTTTAACAAATCACAGTTAAACAAATTGCCAAATGGATTAAATGTGTTCTCCGTCTTAGGTGTCATGCTAGGTGCTTGAGTTAAAGCCCAGTTTAGACAGCCCAAGATACAGTAGCCTTATAATTTCAGGCATATGACATTGCATTCTCACAAGCAATGAAGTACACACATAGTGCTCTAAGTCATAATTTTTCCCAAAAAGAACCTCTGCTTGTGCATCAAATTCCTTATTTGCAATGATGTACTTGCTTGCATATGTATTTTTCTCAACCCATTTAAAGAAAACATGAATGCTTTAGAGTACTACATCTTGGCTCAATTAGGACTTGCTAAATGGATTATTGTTTTCCATAAAGCACCTATTATGTACTAGGCATGAGGCCAGTGGCTTTAGGGGATATAAAAATTGAAAAAGACAAGCCTTGTCTTCAAAAGGCCTACAATTGAAAAGATATGTAAACAGATAGTTACCATATAAGTCAATTTTTACCATATCAATGGTGCAAATGAGAAACTCATATGGAGTAGAAGTGGGGACAAAGCACTTCCCGTTGGTGTTATCAGGCAAGGTTCTATGAAAGACATGGAATTTGAGCTGCACTTTGAAAATACACAGGCTTTCCATAAGAAGTGGGAGTTCAACACATGAGCACTAGAGTGGAGGGAACAGCGTCACCCCAGGATGTCAGAAGGAACCTGCAGGTCATGTTCAGTGATGGGGCAGGTCAGATGTTGAAATGATCCAGAACTGGGAGGGGATGGCTGAAATATTTGGATGACAGAAACCAGATTCCAAAATATCTTGACAGGCTAGAATGATAGACTGAATCTAACATGATGAAAATGAACTGAGCTAAATGTACCATTTTGCATTTGATTATTAAAGGGTAAAACATTTCCAATCACAGCTGCTTATGTGAAAAAGACTTTGTGTTTTTGTTGAATGTAAGCTCCGCATGAATCAACAATGTTATTGCCAGCAAAGCTGAGGCACGCCTAGGTCAGATTCCTCTCCAAAATATAGGATGCCTTAATTATCTTCCTGCTCAAAAGAGATCATGGAGTACGGTATTAGTTTTCTGTTGCTGCCTTAACAAAAGACCACAAATTTAGTGGTTTAAAACGACACAAAATTATTTTTTTTACAGTTCTGAAGGTCAGAAGTCCAGTATAGGTCTCACTGAACTAAAATCCAGGTGTTGGCAGACTGCATTATTTTCTGGAGGCTCTATGGGAGAATTCATTTCCTGCTAGTTCTGGTTGTTGGTGGAATTCCATTCCTTGGGTTTAAAGCACCAAAGTCGCCATTTTCTTGCTGGCTATATGATAAGGACCATTTCAGGCTTCTAAAGGAAGCCGCATTCCTTGGCTCAAGGCCATCTTCCTTCCATCTTCAAAGCCACCAATGGAAGGTGGAGTCTTTCTCACACCATGTCTCTCTGACCCTTCTTCCATCACCACATCTCTCTTTTTGTCACTAGGAAAGATTTTCTGCTTTTAAGAACTCATGTGATTAGACTGTGTCTGCCTAGACTATCCAGGATAACCTGCCTCCTCTTGTGGTCTATAACCTTAATGGCATATGCAAAGTTCTGTTGCTGTATAAGGCCAAAGAGTTATAGGTTCCAGAGATTAGGGCTTGGACATCTTGGGTGGGGGGCATTATTCTGTCTACTACATACTGTCCTTTCATCTTAAACAGTTCTGCTCAGTGCCCAGTGCCAGTCTTTTATTTGGACACTGATAAACTGGGGCAGACTCCATATGAGAATGACCATAGTGATTAGAAAATTTAAAACTGTGTCATGTAAGGTGTGTTTGATAAAACTGGGAACATTTAACGTAGATATTTGGTGGTAAGGGAAGCATCAGAGCTATTTCAAATCATCTGAAAGCCTGTCACATAAAATGGATCTATTCCACGTTACACAGAATGTAGAGAGAATCAAGAGAAAACAAAGACAAATTTTACCTCAATATAGATAATGTGATTTTTAGTTTCCAAAAATGGCCCCAGTGAACCATGCCTTTTGGTATTCATGCTCTTATGTGTTCCACTTCCACACTGAACCTGGGCTGGTCTATGACTTGCTTTAGCCAGTGAAATACAGCAGAAGTGACAATGTAGGACTTCTGAATCTAGCCATTAAGAAGCCCTGGCAGCTTCTATTCTCACACTTTTGCAAACTGTGAGCCATCATGTCAGAAGTCCAACTACCCTGCTGGGGAGACCATGTGGAAAGACCATGTGGAGAGGCCAGATGGAGAGGAGAGGACTTAAGAATATATGGAAAGGAGAAAATTCTCAGTGTCCCAGTTGGGCCTCCATTTGACTGCAACATTGTGAGAGACCCCAAGCAAGACCAGCAGTACTATTCAACTAAGCCCAACACAAATTACCAATGCACAGAATAAAGAGCTAAATAATGGTTGTTGTTTTAAGCCACTAGGTTTTGGGGTGATTTGTTATGTACCAATAGCTAACTGATACACCTGATCAGCTGATTGTATGTGTGTGTTTGTAGCATGTCTACTAAACACATTTTGAGTTTCTCATTGTGCAAACCAGCATTTGTTTTTCTTTACATTTGACTGAAAAACAAACAAAAACGAAAATACCACTGGCTTTCATGAATCCTTTTAGCTTCCTGCCAGGATTGTACTTGATTTAATGTGTTGCTTATAGATTTATGCATATGTATATTTTTTTTCTTAGCCTAGCAATTTCCTTGATAACTCAAATGTGTGGAAAACTGTTAGTTATGTTACTGTCATGATTTATCTACCTTTAAAAATGAAAAAAAATTAAAGTAGATTTGAACTGGAACACAGATCAGTAATTAAAAACAGATGGCTTAAAGGATATGCTTGAAACAAGCAAAAATACACAAGACAGTGAAAGAGAAGCATGGGAATAAGAAACCCCTTGCCTTAGTCAGTTTTATGCTGCTACAACAGACTACCTGAGAGTGGGTAATTTATAAAGATTTGAGATCTATTTCTCATAGTTCTGAAGGCTGAGAAGTCCAAGATTGAGGAGCACCAGCATCTGGTAAGGGCCTTCTTGCTGCATCATGCCATGGCCGAAGGCGGAAAGGAGAGAAAGAGGTAGAGATAGAGATGGTTATGGGGGTGGGCCAAATGCACAGCCTTGGACCCTTTTATAATCCACATTAATTTATTAATGAGGGCAGAACCCTCATGACCCAAACTACCTCCTATTAGGCCCCATCTCTCAACACTGTTTCATTGGGGATTAAGTTGTCAACACATGCTTTCGGGAGGACACATTCAAACCACAGCACCCCCCAAAGGTTTTGATAGGCACAGTATTGTTGCGGAGAACATAATGTTGAACTTGATAGCAAAGTTGACAGCACTTCCCCTGTGAGAACAGTAAACTGGGAATAACCATTGATCATCAATCTAAGCAAACACAGACATAATTGTGTTTTGGGTTTTATTGTTGTGGCAATTCAAACAAGCCTAAACCTGGCACTTCTTTCGCAAAAATAACAAAAGGCATAGCTCATTTTATGGTGCTTCACTTTATTGCACTTGACAGATCTTGAATATTTTACAAGTTGAAGGTTTGTGGCAACCCCACAACCAGCAAATCTATATACCCTGTTTTTTTCCAGGACTACAAACTCGCTTCATATCTTTGTGTCACATTTTGGTAATTCTCATAATATCTCAAACTTTTTCATTATTACTATATCTGTTATGGGTGATCTTTGGTCTTTGGTACTACCACTGGAATTGTTTTGGGGTACCATGAACCATACCCATATAGGACAGTGAACTTAATAAATGTTATGTGTGTTCCAACTGCCTCACCTAAATGCCATTCCCTTATCTCTCTCCCTCTCCTTAGACTTCCTATTCCCTGAGACCCAGCAATATTGAAATTAGGCCAACTAATAACCCTACAATGACCTCTAAGGGTTCCAGTGAAAGGAAGAGTTGCACATCTCTCAGTTCAAATCAAAAGTTAGAAATGATTAAGCTTAATGAGAAGGCATGTCAAAAGCTGACATAAGGGTAAAATTAGGCCTCTTGTACCAAACAATTAGCCAAGTTGTGAATGCAAAGACAAAATTCTTGAAGAAAATTGAAAGTGCTACTCCAGTGAACACAAAATCGTAACAGTGAAACACCCTTATTGCTGATATGGAGAAAGTTTCAGTGGTCTGAATAGAAGATCAAACCAGCCACAACACCCCCTTAAGCCAAAGCCTAATCCAGAGCAAGGCCTAACTCTCTTCAATCTGTGAAGGCTGAGAGAGTTGAGGAAGCTGTAGATGGAAATTGGAAGTAATAAGAGGTTGGCTCATAAGGTTTATGAGGAAAGAAGCCATCTCCATGATATAAAAGAGCAAGGTGAAGCTACAGCAAGTTATCCAGAAGATCTAGCTAAGATAATTGAAGGTAGCAAAACTAAACAAGACATTTTCAATACAGACAAAACAGCCTTATATTGGAAGAAGATCCCATCTAAGACTTCCTTAACTAGAGAAGAGTAGTCCATGCCTGGCTTCAAAACTTCAAAAGACTCTAGCTTATTAGGGACTAATGCAGCTGGTGACTTGAAGTTGAAGCCAGTGCTCACTGACCTTTCTGAAAAGCCTAGGGTCCTTAAAATCTACTGTGTCTATGCTCTATAAATGAAACAACAAAGCCTGGATGATAGCATGGTTTACAGCATGGTTTACTGCATATTTTAAGCCCACTGTTGAGACCTACTGCTCAGAAAAAAACAAACAACCTTTCAAATTATTCGTGCTCATTGCCAATGCACCTGGTCATTCAAGAGCTCTGACAGAGACTGCTAACACAAGATGCATTCTGCAGCCATGGTCTAAGGAGTCATTTTGATTTTCAAGTCTTATTATTTAAGAAATACATTTCATAAGGCTATAGCTGCCATAGATAGTGATTCCTGTGATGAATCTGGGAAAAGGAAATTGAAAACTCCCTGGCAAAAATTCACCATTCTAGATGGTGAATTGTTAATAAATGTGAACTTAATAAATTCATGATTCATGGGAAATGTCAAAATAGCAACCTTAACAGGAGTTCAAAAGAAGCTGATTCCAACCTTCATAGACAACCTTGAGTGGTTCGAGACTTCAGTGGAGGAAGTAACTGAAGGTGTGGTGGAAATAGCAAGAGAATTAGAATCAGAGGTAGAACCTGAAGATGTGACAGAATTGTTGCAATCTCAGGATCAAATTTGAATGAATGAGGAGTTGCTTTTTATGGATGACCAAAGAAAGTTGTTCCTTGAGATGGAATCTACTCCTGGTGAAAACACTATGAATGTTGTTGAAATGACATCAAAGGATTTAGAATATTACATAACATTAGTTTGTAAAGCAGTAGCAGGGTTTAAGAGAATTGACTCTTTGAAATTTTCTTTTCTTTTTTTTTTTTCAACACTCAACCAGTGGATTTGAAACTTTGAAAGAAGTCCTACAGAGGACAAAATGCTATCAAACAGCATTACATATCACAGAGAAATCTTTCATAAAAGCATGAGTCAATTAATGTGGTAAACATCATTGTTGCCTCTTTTTTAGGAAATTACCATAGCCACCTCAACCTTTAGCAACCACTACCCTTACTTAGCAGCCAGCAGCCTCAACATTGAAGCAAGACCCTTCACCAGCAAAAAGTTTAAGATTATGACTTGCTGAAGGTCATAATAGATAATCAGATGATCATAAGCATTTTTAGCCATAAAATATGTTGTAATAAAATTATGCAGCATATAATAGCAATAAACTATGTTTAATGAAGTTATGTACATTGTCTTTTAGACATAATGCTATTCCACACCTAATAGACTACAGTACGGTGTCAACCTAACTTTTATATGCACTAGGAAACCAAAAAATTATGTGACTCACTTTATCGTGATATTCACTTTATTGTGGTGGTCTGGAACTGAGCCCACAATATCTCTGAGGTATGCCTGCCAGTACATGAACCTATAAGCTTTGCAGTGACACTTTTTAAAAAAGCATGCAATAGTGAATAAGTTTTTGATATCTGATAGAGGAGAAGACATAGGGACAAAACAGTATTAATAATGAGTATTTTTGATGGTACTTTTTATGTATTAAGCCCTGTGTGGAGTACTTTACACGTATTACATCTTTTAAAGCTAAAAACAATCTTATAAGTTACATACTATTATTTTCTTTATTTTACAGAAAAGGAAATCACCTTGATATTCTATCCAGCGGCTGCAAAAAAAAAAAAAAAAAAAGAAAAGAAAAGAAAATCACTTGAAGTGATTATTATTACTTTTATTGTTTTTGGGGTTTTTTAACTGACAAATAAAAGCTGTATATATTAAAAGCTGTATATATTTATGGTGTACAACATGATGTTTTAAAATATGCATATATTGTGGGAAGGTAAACCAAGCAAATTAACCTGTCCATTATCTTATACACTTACCTTTTTTTTTTTTTTTTTTTTGGTAAGATTGTTTAATTGCACTGTTGGAAAGCTGTTTAAAGATCTGTTGCAGAATCACCTTGCTCAGAAAAGCTCAAATAATAAGAAAAATGTAGTGACATTCTACACTGTGGTAGGTCAGAATCTATTTGGAATGGAGAAAGAAGTATCTAAGTTGGAAAAACTGTTGTTATCAAATAACACTATTAAATATTGTAAAAAGACATGTTGAATAACCTCTTGAGAGAACAAGTCAGTCTGTGTCCTACAATGTTCAATGAAACATGGATTTTAGTGATTTTGCTGTTTCATTCAGCTACTTTGTGTTGGTTTGTTTATAATGAAGATGTGTGTGAACAAATGAGAAGAAATCTGCAGTGTAAGAAAGTGGAAGAAAGGGATAAGGGTCAGCTCTTTAAGCGCACTGCCCTTTAATCTTCAACAACATCCTCTAAGATCTAAGATAGATGCTATGTTAGGTGCACTTTATGCAGCTGGGAACCATTCCAGATGCAGCCAAATTCTCTTTTATTTATTCTTCACAAGTATCCTGCAAGATGAATAAGATAATTTTTTAATGAATAAATAAAATGAGCTGAGAGGTTATGTTTCACGTTCAAGTTCTTTCAGGTAGAATGAGGTGGAGCTGGCATGATAGTTAACATGTTTCTGAATTTGTACAATTCGCCGCATCCTTTTACCTGCATGCTAGCTAATAAGAGGCACTAGAGGTGATGAAAAGGAAAAAAAGGTGAGCATTGTATTACTCTTAGGATTCCAGAACCTGGAGGACCTTCAACCAAGGACAGGTGATGATCTGTATCTTCCAAGAACAGGGGCATAGGCTCATGCAGGCTCAAATTGCAGCTCTGCCACCATTTTCATGAGGAGTACAGTAAGGCACTGAACAAGACAATCTCTTAGAACTTTAGTAAACACTAGGCTCATTTTCTTAAACTCCATCAGTTCCCCCTGTGGAACTTCCAAAGTGTCTTACACAAAGATGTTAATTAGAATGTCAATTTAAAGAGCAAAGAATTGGAGACAAATAATCATTTAATACATTTCCCTTTGCCAGACATCTTGGCTATATTCATTCAATAAAATAGTATGCACCATTTAGAACTATGCTTACAGGAATTCCCAAATTATATCTCTAAGTGGGAAAAAAGTATAATCATTATATATGAGGAATGATGACAACTAAATAAAAGCTCATGTCAAAAAATAAAGACATACAAAGTGCATCCACTCAAAGACAATCATAATTAGCCTTTTGATGTGTTTCACCAATCTTTTTTCTTTCTACTTTTCAGTATGCCACCTGAAATGCATTGGATCCTATTAGCCCATGAGCCACAGCTCCCACTTCTTGACTCAAGTCTTAAGAGCGTTGCAAAATTTCAGGTGTGCTCACAGTCCTGTCTTTTAGGTACTGTGAACAAAGCCCTTTGTTGATGTCTGATTTCATGAAGCCAATGAGCCATGTCTAATCACGGTTGCTGCTGTTTCTCACCATTGAAAAACAGATGATCAAGCCAAGTGTATTTTCACTTACTTTTCCCAAATCCTTTTCCCCCATCACCTTTAGAAATGCCTGATCAAAGCTGAGTTTCCTGAAGTAGAAATATGCCCCTTTTTCAGCTTCAATTGACTGATCCTTTCTATATACCAGGCACAGGGCCTTGGAGCTCAGGCAAAGAAAGCAGTAGCTGAGAGAGACAACATGGCACCCTCTCCATGGGCCTATGTAGTCACACAACCAGCTGAATGTGTTGAGGTTGTTGCCAACAGTCTAGGAATGATTTGCTCTCCAGTGACTATGTGCTGTCTCTTTTATGATCTCTTAGCTGTATCTTAAGACCTTGCTACCCAAAGTGTACAGTGTAGACTAGTAGATTCATCATAACTTGGAAGCTTGTTGGAAAGGCAAACTTTAGGCCTCAACTTAGACCTACTAAATTAGAATCTACAGGTGATTCCTATGCACCTTAATATTTGATAAATACAATTTTAGACCAGGTTTCTTCAAATCCATGAATTTTTGCAGGGAGTACAGCATGTTTCAAAATTAAATTTTAGACCAACTCTCTTTCCATTCTACCTCACCTCTAAATGACATATCATCTTGATTCAATTAGTGTCTCTATTTTTACACTGATTGCCAACTCATCTTCTTTGTAAGCAGCAGGGACAGAGAGCCCTGGATGCACATTGCAGCTCTGAACTAAGTGTGTGGCCTTGGTACAAGTTACTTACTTAACCTCCTCAAGCTACATTTTTAGAAGTGAGAGAAGCAGAGGGAACTTGAAAAAATGAGGTGCTATAATTTTATCATTCTTTTGCTCCCAAGACAAAATTCCAATAAGAAGCTGTCATTATTTCACATATCAAAGCATCACTTGAGTGAGGGCTCAATTATCAGCACAGCTACATCCTTCTAATAAGGCTGCCATAGAGGGACACCAGCTCCTTGGTACACTAGCTGTTTACCTTCATCTTCCAATGGTATCAATAGGTGAGTGAGTTCATACAACATCAACTATACCTCAGCAATTAATGAGCTCCCAAGGAAGACACCAAATAAAGGCAAAAAAACTAGAAGTGCCACCTCAGAGGATGGACTTAATTCCTCTCTTACCTGCTCTCTACTTTGACTCTGTCTTCCCTATCACGAAGACAGGTAGCAGAAAGTGCTGTCTCCTTCAGGATAGATCGATTTTACGTAACTAGAGATTCTATACCCTCAAAGCTTGATCCAGGAACCCATTTTTCTCTCCCAGTGACCACACACATCTGGTTGGAAGGAGGAGTGGGGAGGAGCCCAGGTGGTGGGGTTCTACAAGATCACAAGCCTAAGCAACTCTGAATAAGGTACAGAGGTGATGACATCCACTCCTGCATCTCAAGGGTTCAACTTTGGTTTTGTGTACTGTTCTGTATCCTTTGCCTTCATAGGTTTTTAATTGGCTGAGCATCAAGACTTCACATTTATATTTAATCATCTAACCCAACCTACTCTCTTGAGGAGCTGAATATAGCCACTAACCCTGATTTAGTGAAAGCCAGACTAATAAAGAAGAAAACAGAGAAGAATCAAATAGATGTAATAAAAAATGATAAAGGGGATATCATCACCAATCCCACAGAAAAGAGGAAGTCAGATTGTCTCTGTTTGCAGATGACATGATTGTATATTTAGAAAATCCCATCATCTCAGCCCCAAATCTCCTTAAACTGATAAGCAACTTCAGCAAAGTCTCAGGATACAAAATCAATGTGCAAAAATCACAACCATTCATATACACCAATAATAGACAAACAGAGCCAAATCATGAGTGAACTCTCATTCACAATTGCTACAAAGAGAATAAAATACCTAGGAATACAACTTACAAGGCATGTGAAGGACCTCTTCAAGGAGAACTACAAACCACTGCTCAAGGAAAAAGAGAAGACACAAACAAATGGAAAAGCATTCCATGCTCATAGACAGGAAAAATCAATATTGTGAAAATGGCTATACTGCCCAAGGTAATTTATAGATTCAATGTTATTCCCATCAAGCTACCATTGACTTTCTCATAGAATTGGAGAAAACTACTTTAAATTTCATATGGAACCAAAAAAGAGCCTGTATAGCCAAGACAATCCTAAGCCAAAAGAACAAAGCTGGAGGCATCATGCTACCTGACTTCAAACTATACTACAAGGGTACAGTAACCAAAACAGCATGGCACTCGTACCAAAACAGATATATAGACCAATGGAACAGAACAGAGTCCTCAGAAATAACACCACACATCTACAACCATCCGATCTTTGACAAACCTGACAAAAACAAACAATGGGTAAAGGATTCCCTATTTAATAAATGGTGTTGGGAAAACTGGCTAGCCACGTGCAGAAAGCTGAAACTGGATCCCTTCCTTACACCTTATACAGAAATTAACTCAAGATGGATTAAAGACTTAAACGTAAGACCTAAAACCATAAAAACCCTAGAAGAAAACCTAGGCGATACCATTCAGGACATAGGCATGGGCAAAGACTTCATGACTAAAACATCAAAAGCAATGGCAACAAAAGCCAAAATTGACAAATGGGATCTAATTAAACTAAAGAGCTTCTGCACAGCAAAAGAAACTATCATCAGAGTGAACGGGTAACCTACAGAATGGGAAAAAATTTTTGCAATTTATCCATCTGACAAAGGGATAATATCCAGAATCTACAAAGAACTCAAACAAATTTACAAGAAAAAAACAACCCCATCAAAAAGTGGTCAAAGGTATGAACAGACACATCTCAAAAGAAGACATTTATGCAGCCAACAAACATATGAAAAAAGCTGATCATCACTGGTCATTAGAGAAATGCAAATCAAAACCACAATGAGATACCATCTCACACCAGTTAGAATGGCAATCATTAAAATGTCAGGAAACAACAGATGCTGGAGAAGATGTGGAGAAATAGGAACGCTTTTACACTGTTGGTGGGAGTGTAAACTAGTTCAACCATTGTGGAAGACAGTGTGGCGATTCCTCAAGGATCTAGAACTAGAAATACCATTTGACCCAGCCATCCCATTACTGGGTATATACCCAAAGGATTATAAATCATTCTACTAAAAAGACACATGCACACATATGTTTATTGCAGCACTATTCACAATAGCAAAGACTTGGAACCAACCCAAATGCCCATCAATGATAGACTGGATAAAGAAAATGTGGCACATATACACCATGGAATACTATGCAGCCATAAAAAAAGGATGAGTTCATGTCTTTTGCAGGGACATGGATGAAGCTGGAAACCATCATTCTCAGCAAACTAACACAAGAACAGAAAACCAAACATGGCGTGTTCTCACTCATAAGTGGGAGATGAACAATCAGAACACGTGGACACAGGGAGGAGAACATCACACACCAGGGCCTGTCAGGGGCTGGGGGGCTGGGGGAGGGATAGCATTAGGAGAAATACCTAATATAGGTGACAGGTTGATGGGTGCAGCAAACCACCATGGCACATGTATACCTATGTAACAAACCTGCACATTCTACACATGTACCTCAGAAGTTAAAGTATACATATATGTAAAGAAAACCCTTAAAAAAAAGAAAGAAAAGAGAAGAGGGTTAAGAGTGAAAAGACCTGGGTAAGAGTCCTATAGGCCACAACACAGACGAGTGCTCTTGAACAAGTCACTTTCCTCTTGAGGCCTCAGTTTTTACATGGTAAATGAGGTGGAAAGGGAGAGGGGGCAATTCATGATCTCCAAGGTCCTTTTCTGCTCTAAAATTTTGCGTTCCAGAGCTGTGCAGCAAGAAGCAGTTAAACGCTGGACTCTTTCCCCAGAACAGCCTTCGGGTATTTTGCTCATTAAAGAGATTAGCTGTCCATTTGCAGGGATGTCTCTCCAATGAGGTAGGGACAAAATAGCCCAACACAGTTTTAGTTTAGATTCACTTTATGAAGTACATATCTAATTCCCTGGCAAGCTAAGTCAAGCACGTCTTCTCATGTGTTTTAAGAACCAAGGCATTTGGCTGAGACTGAGAGCAAATGCCTCTTATTAATGTGTGACAAATCCATATGGGGAAAAACAGTGTTTCTTCTTTCCCATATGGCACAGCTGAGTAAGGCTGGCTTTTCTGGCCTTGAAATGGTTCCATGGACCAGGTGGGTGGTTTATTTCACAGGCTGGTGACAATCCAGTGTGTCTCTCCCACAGAGATGGGAAGGGGCAAGAATTCTTCTGTTGTAGCCCAGGGCTGTCAGCAAGGCTGTGACATAGGCCATTGGCCCTTCTGCCAAGATGAAGGGCAGTGGAACTACTGTGAGGAAGAACAGGAGGAAATCTCAAACCACTTTGGATCCTGGACCTGAACTTTTCTTGAACCCCAAGACCTTTAAAGTTTTAGCCTCATAAGGACAAATCAGCTTTCTCTCTGGAAAACTCTCAAACCACTCCCCACCTCAGTCTCAATGTAATAGGAGTGATGAAGCCACTGGAAGAAAGGGAGAACATGGGGGAGGCAGTTATCTCACCCACCTTCCACCTTCAGGTCCAAAGGCTGAAGACCCAATGGCTTCTGGTTTTAACTTGGTTTTGGACCTCTGCAAGACATGGTGGATTCACTGTTTCCCCTCTAAGGTTTACGGTACAGATTTTTCAAAAAGCATAGAGAAGATTGTATTGACTAAATATGAAAAATAACCAAAACAATAGCAGCAATTGAAATCCAATCAACCCATACCTGTAACATCATTCTACCTCTTTAAAAGAGCAAGAAATTATCCTGGACAGAAGCATAAGTCATCTCCTCTGTCCTGCAGCTTAGGCTGATGTGAACTAAGAGACAGTGGCTTTCATTGTCCCTGCAACTTGGGGTGACAAAACTAAGTTCTTATGTTTCATTAATAACCTCCTGAAATTCAGTCTTTGACTCTTTTTTTTTTGCTGTGCTATGAATGAATAACTGCTTTAATAAATATGTATGAACATACTCATCATATGTCATATAACCAGAATCAAGCAAATATGCATATTTTTCCAGTGTGTAATTGGCCATTATACACAATTAGACATCAATGTGAAAGGCTTGCTGAAAATGAAAAGCAGTTAAGTGACAAAATGTCAGGTTTTGAAGAAAATGTCAAAAGTCCTATTACAATCTAGAAAATCAAAACCAGATAGGTTATAAAAATGGGTTTGGGTAAACATACACCTGTATACACACACACACACACACACACACACACACACACACACACACACAATTTGATTTCCTAGAAATGGAGATGGTAGTTATGAACTTGCAATGTTCATATGGGAAAGTTTCATATTAAACATTAGAGAAGACTTTTTTAAACTTTTAGATTTGGGGGTACATGTGCAGGTTTGTTATATAGGTAAACTCATGTCATAGGGATTTGTTGTACAGATTATTTTGTCACCCAGGTACTATGCCTAGTACCCAACAGTTATTTTTTTCTGCTCCTTACGACTGCTTAGCTGTGGGACTTAATTGACTAGTCAAAGGAAGCTGTGCTTTTTCTTAAATACATTTGTAGACTAAAAATCTAAAACATCTTTATTAAAATCTTAGATTTTTAATAAAAATCAAAATCTTAGATTCTAAAAATCTAAGATTTTTATCAAAGATCAATTAGTCCATGGGAGAAACTTCTCTTTAAAATGTCTATTTCAAAAATTAATACATCCCTGCTAAACTGTTTCAGTGCAATGAGAAGTTTATTCCTAGACATGTTTCAGGGTTCTACAATTGCAGTCACTAAAAAGTTCTTCCTTATATCTAACCAATATCTACAACCTTAATGTGTGTCTCTCTGGAGCCATGTAGGATACTTGATTTGGTCACATTACAGATCTTCAAACTTTTGAGATCACTTGATATATTCCTTATAATTCTCTTGCCTTCAAATTAAACATATCAAATTATTTGAAATCATGTCATTGGAGAAATTGTTGAATGAATAAGTTTAAGAGTGAATGGAAAAACTGGGAGGTATCGCCAATTTGGCAAAGGAATTTCAATTAACATTTATTTGTCATATGCTATGTATCCACAGTATAGTAAGTTCTAAAGGTCTCTATTAAACTCCAGTACCCTGATCTCCACATTCCAAAGTGTTTTTCTTAGCTCAGAGTAGAACATGTCTCCCATCACTGACTGTGCTTTGCAGGAGGTGGGTAGTGTTACTAAGGGAGAGAAGGCAGGACGTAACTTCACAGTGGTCTTCTCAAACTCGTGATTCTACAAATAGCTCTAATTCTACAAAATAGCTCAAGACTCTTAGTTTGAAAGCCACAAGAGGGCACTAGACTACTACATGGACCTAGCTCTACTTAGGGCCCAAAGCACAGAGCAAGGGTCAGTATTGACATTAGTGATGGCCACATCAGTTGCATGTCCTACATCTGTGTCTGAAACACAGTATGCAATCATGGAGGATGTGCAAAGCTATTGGCTATGAAACATGTTCAAATGCTAAGCTTGAGTTATGCTAAATACAGTAGAATCCACATGCAATTTGAAAAAAAAAAAAAGTAAAAAGGAGTAAGGTCCACCCCCAAAGTTCTAAGAAAAGCAAGGTGGTTCTTTAAGCTGTGAGTTCTGAAAACAATATGGACAACATAGTGATAGTCAGGGGAACAGCAGGAGTTAGAAAAACAGGAGCCTTCCACTTCTACTTTTGGAAAGCCTGACATCTGACGAGGCTCATATTGGCCACAAGATTCCCTCCAGACCATGAGATTTACACTGGGCATCACCCAAGGTATTCATTCTCTCTGCTCCTGAAGTGCTCCGTACTTTACAAGGTTTCAGGAACACTAGTCTCAGGCTAATGAAAGCATACTTAAAAACTTCTCAAAAATACAGATTGAGTCTATGTAATCACCACACCATTTGAGAAAGGCAAAAATTTAGTCAATTAAGTTATATGTTAGTCTGAATAAAATCAACAAACAGATTATTTGGGTCAATGAAGAAGTATCTTACGCAATTCCAAAACAGCCAATCAAATTCACTCAGACAAATATGAATCAACACAAGGAAAAACAATCAGTCAAGAATGCTGCTTTGGATCATGAAAATCAAACCCTAAACTGAAGGCTTGAGTTTTTAACTTTTCAATAGTTATGTTTAATATTGTATAGAAGATGACTCCTTTGTTATCATAACTGTGCATGGGATATACTTTTTCCCTAAAGATGATAGACAGATAGAGAAATTGATAGACAGACAGACAGACAGAATAATTCAGATTGAGTGTCATATAAATGACTTACCTAATTGGTTAAACCAGAGGTTCTTGCTGCAGCAGGAAAGATAGGAGAAGGTCATTTTTCTGAGGCAAGGTTTAGCTCTTTGGAGACAATGAACACCTGGGTGGTTTCCTACAGAGCCAGTTGAAATCATTAAGAAAGATGGTCTTTTCTTTCTAGTTTCTTATTAATTTACCTACATTCTGAGTTCTGGATCCATGACCTGCATTTGTTTTTAAATTTTCTTTTTAAAAATAAAATATATATTATATATTCATGAGGTATAAAGTGATTCTCTCTCTCTCTCTCGATGGGATCTCACTATGTTGCCCAGGCTGAACTTTCATTTCTGGGCTCAAGCAATCCTCCTGCTTCAGCCTCCTGAGTAATTGGGAATACAGGAGTGCACCACTGCACCCAGCTTGAAATGTGATGTTTTGATATATGTTTACATTGCATGGCCTCTGTTATTGTACTATGTCAGAACCTTTCTAACTTTGATCATTTTACTTCCATTATCCTTGTCACGTTTGACCCAGCCATTGCTCTGAGACTCTGTCCTTCCCTCGTGGAACAATGAGAGCTCTCACCTTTTGGTTCTGATTCCATCCCAACCCTTCTCCCCAGGAGTCTTGCTTTTTCTGGAATTGATCTATTTATAACATTGCCTCAGTTTTTAGGTTCTTCTCAGTGTCAGCTATGTTGAGTCTGTTAAAGATATCTTGGCTATTTGACTTGGTTTTCATCAAGTTCCTTGGCTTCTACCTTTTAAATGACATTTTTTTTTCACATAATTGTTATTTTTCTGGGCTCTGGCCACTGATTTCTCCATATTCTCTATTTCTTGACTCTTTCATTAGCTTAACAGCATAACTTCCATCTTCACTCCCCCAGTTCTGTTTTCAGAGATCTACTTTTAATGGCTAAGCCCAGCCCAAATTGACAGTGTCCATCCTCTTTGCAAGCCTTGGGCCCTCCCTCACTACCCCCAGCACAGACTTCATCTTCTAGGACAGTCCCCAGTGCTACAGGGGAGGTGAGTTCAAGAGAAAGTGCCCCAGGATCTTCTTAGCATTATTTTCCCCACAGTGGGACTTTGAAGCTGCCTTTCTAGCCTGCCTTCCAGCTGTTAGCAAACACACACTTTTTAAAATTAGGAAATGAACATGATAGTTCTACTCCCAGCCAGGAGCTCATCTAGTATGCTCCAGGAAAAGGATGATTAATGGAGCTAAGGCTTTATGTCTAAGCCAGGGGATGGCAGCTTGTGGGGAATAACTGAGCCACACCAGCCCGCCACAGCCTCAGATCAGGTGAACTGCACATGGCGTTAGGCCCACTGGAGGCCCTTAAAGTTAGCCAGTGGCCTGGCAGAAAGTGCACACACAATAAGTGCCTGGTGGACACACATGGCCCAAAGGAACGGGGCAGTTTTTCAATTCTTCGGTTTATATAGAGAACCAACCTACACAACCTTGGCCTTCAGAATCTTGCCAGCAGTTAGAGTATCCAGACTGGCTGTCCAGACCACCTAAATTACATGGATAAAAGCAAAAGATTTCCTTCACTGAATACCACGTGGACTTGTTTCCAAGTCCTTTTTGGGTTTGAGGCCTTACTTGTAATCATCCCTCACAAGAGGGGGGAAAAATAAAAGAAAGAAAAATGTAGGGAATTTGAGTTCTACTTCACCAAGGGCTTAGGATGGAGAATAGGAAAGTTCTGCAGGATCTTGGCTGAGCAGTGGTTTTCTGCTTCTTTAAACGTCAAAATTAACCTGATTGAGTGAACTATTCAAAAAGCACATCCATCAATTTTTGTTTCATCTGAGGTTTGGAGTGCCAAGGACTTACAACATAAGGCCTCAGACCACTCTGGTTTAATGCCAGGGGATACTTAGGGGTTCCTGGGGATGGTAATTATGATCATAACCCTCTGCCTGCCAAACTCCTATGCACTACACCCAACCCAGATGCTACTCTTCCTGTGAGATCTTACCCAGATCCTCTCTGGTTCCTCTGTGGTCCTCTAACACTTGGTGTGGCTTCTTTGGCTTAACTGGACAAGTCACCACGTTAATTCATTTATTTTCCTTCATTAAAAAAATTGTTCACCCATGACCTCTGCAAAAATAAATAAATAAAATAGAAAGAAATGCGTAAAAACAAAACCTACCCTTTACTCTCTCCTCTCAGAAGAGAGAACCACCGTTTGTAATCAGCACAAGGAAAGTGGGAACACTAAAGAAATCACTATAAGATAGCAGCTGCCCTCAAAACTAAAACCAGTCACTTTAAAATACATGCTCCCGTGTGATCCCTGGATGAGGTTCTTTTCTCTTTAGTAAAACGGAGATTTTCAGGATTCAACCCGGAGAGGTAAAATCACTGAGCTTATAAATGAGGAAACTGGAATCAAAGACCTGAATTTTTGTCTTTTCCTTTTTCCCACCATGTTGTGTCCCAGTGTGCCCCAGCATCCTTAGAGACAAAGGCCTGGAGGAAGCACAAAGAGACTTCTATTTTCATCTTTTGGTTCTAGCAAGATGAGGATCAGCAGGCAGGCAGACACACTTGGGAATAATGGCTCTGCTCTCTCAACCGAGCCCCCGCCCCAGTGCCTTCATCCCCACTTTGGGGTGACCTCGGCAGAACAAGCTCTCTCTGTAATGATCACTTCGTCAGCAGGGGCTGTGTATTTAGTAGCAGGAAATATAAGCTTTTGTGGTCAGTGTGACGTCACCCCACCCACTAAACAGGCCTTTATAATTTGACCACAAAAAGGCTTGAAAGGGATAGACACATACACGCAGGGAAGGAGGCGATAGGACTGTCAACAGTTGTCTGTGTAGTGAAAGGAGCATTGTGTCTTCCAAATGTTTCCCGAAAGCCTGATGTTTGGTCTGCTGTAGACAAAACATCTGGATGATATATGGCGATTTCTCTTTGTATTTGAGTGCCCCAACTCATCTCCTTCCTTTCTCCTCTCTCTTTTCTACCTCTCGTTTTCTCTTTTCCTCATTCCCTTCATCCTCCTGCTTCCCTTTTTTCTCTTTTTACTCTGACTTAATCTAAAATAGACAAGTATATATTTTTAAATCATTGAGTTGTTTTCAAATGTTTTCACATGATGTGCATGTGAGCACACACATACACACACCAATTTTACTGTTATTTTCCTAGATACTTTACTGTTAGAGGGAGAGAAAAAGGAGAAGGGGTGACAGAGAGAGAGTAATTTTAAAAGACATAGCTAACATATCAATGTATCATTAAAAATTGCTTTCCATAAATGTCTTGGTTTTATAACTAATTCTGTAGAGGAGCAGAGCTAAATGGCCCAGTACCTTTTAGTGTCACATTGTGCAAGTTCAAGATAATATACTGCTGGATATTTCACTTTATCTTTTGTTTTCCTTTTTATTTTAAATGAAGAAAGGCACATGCTAGGCATTAATATGAACACTCCCATTAAGTACAAAGAGAAAAATAAAATAAAGATTGATTGACATGGACAAGTAAACAAAAAAAGCAGATAACCTGAAAAAGGAGGGTAGAGAGAAACTGAAAGAAATTGTCTATACGCTACCTCTGTATAAACTTTTTACTAGTTTTTCAGATCTTTGAGCCTAGGAGGGGAGAGAGAGAAAGAGAGAGAAAAGAGACAGAGAGAAAGAGAGAGAGAGAGAGAGAGAGAGAGAGAGCAAGAGAAAGAGAGATGAACATGAGAGGTGATGGCTGACGTGTCTGACCTCTGAATTAGGCTGCTGGAAAAATATGGCTTCCCCTGATTTGTGCCGCTGTGGAAAACCCCCTCCCAGGACTTCAAGCTTTCCTCTGAGGCACAGGCAGCAGGAAACACCTGCTTCACTTCTCCCCTGATGTTTTTTCCCCTTTTAGGGAGTCTGGGTCTCCTCCCCCTCCCTTTCTGCAGTGCACAAATGGACAAGCAGTTTTCCACATGCCCCAATCTTTCCTAAGAAAGGAAGTACGGAATCATCTATTAGCGACTGATGCACTTTGATGGCTTCCTTACCCCCACTTCCTTATTTTCTCTTCCAATTGACCTTTATTATAGCTTCCTCAACCCAGTTCCGCTTCCCAGCTCTTGTACTAATAATATTTTTCTCCAGAATAAATGAAGCATAAGAAGTCTATCCAAAAAAACTGAGAGGCAAGTGTACATACTGTTTGTCATGATTCCTTATTTTGGGTTTTGCCATTCGCCTCCCTGCAACAAAGGGGGAAGCAAATGCAATTCCAGTTTGGAAAGGCATGACAGACAGTTGCAGTATGCATCAGATCAAGATAGCAGCCTTCAAATATCCTCCCAGTGGAGAGGCACTGAGCTATTAGCAACTTTCTTTTTTTTCCTCCTTCTTTTTTTTTTTTTTTTTTTTTTGAGACAAAGACTCTCTCTGTTGCCCAGGCTGAAGTGCAGTGGCATGATCTTGGCTCACTGCGACCTCTGCCTCCCGGGTTCAAGAGATTCTCCTGCCTCAGCCTCAGGAGTAGCTGAGACTACAGGCGTGTACCACCACACCTGACTAATTTTTTGTATTTTTAGTAGAGACGGGGTTTCACCATGTTAGCTAGGATGGTCTCGATCTCCTGACCTGCCTCAGCCTCCCAAAGTGTTGGGATTACAGGCGTGAGCCACCTCGCCTGGCCTATTAGCAACTTTATACAGTAGCTCTCAATCAATACAAAAAAGAGCACCCAAGAAACCCTCCACACAACCATATGAAAAATGTTATAACAAATTTTAGTTAATTAAAATAATTTAGTTAATTAAAATAATTGTGAAGCCCAAGAAGTTTTCATCAGGCTTGCAAAGACCACTGAGGGTTGTTACATGTCTAGTTCCCTTTCTCTAAATAGAAGAACATCTATAGCACTGTTTGTAAAGCTATCTCCTCCCCAGAGCTTCCTTCCTCTGCTGGCTAGTAAAAAGAATCCTTGGGTGGAAAAAGCCGTAAGACAGAGAAGACAAAAATACGTAAAGTGTTATTTTTCATTCTCCACAGGATGGCCTCTATAATAGCAATTCCTGGTCAATTCAAAGTATATTTTGCTTTATGAGAAGAAGGAGGGTAGTATATTAGAAATAGCAGTGGTCAATAAATCTTAATGAGTCACTGAAGAAATCGGGGATATAACCAAGACACCTTGGTGAGTCACCTCCTTTCTCTAGACAGTTTAATAACTCATAAAATGGGAGGATTAAACTAGACAATCTCTGAGGTTACTTGTATCCATGTTTTGCAACATATATGAGAGGACGGAGCCAACTATATTATTTAAGTAGCTCCTAGAAACAAAGAAGAAAATGGGAGACACCCAAATAAGAAAAAATTACAGAAATTAAAAGAGGTAATTCATGAAAGAAATACTATATTACGTCAGTCAACTTACAAACAAATGTTCATCCTTGCTAGTGATCAAAGAAATACAAATTAAAACATAGGCTTTCGTGGTTACCTCATAGCCTGGCCAAAATGGAAAAGATGAACTTTCATAATTTTCCATCATAGCATTGTTTATAATAACAACACATGGGAAACAACACATATGTCTCATTATGGTATATCCATTTATTGGAATCCTACCACCTATTAAAAATGATATGAGTCTAGGGCCGGGTGCGGTGGCTCACGCCTGTAATCCTAACACTTTGAGAGGCTGAGGTGGGTGGATCACGATGTCAGGAGATCGAGACCATCCTGGCTAACACGGTGAAACCCCATCCCTATTAAAAATACAAAAAATTAGCCGGGCATGGTGGCATGCGCCTGTAGTCCCAGCTACTCAGGAGGCTGAGGGAGGAGAATCACTTGAACCCGGGAGGCGGAGGTTGCAGTGAGCCGAGATCATGCCACTGCACTCCAGCCTGGGCGACAGAGTGAGACTCTGTCAAAAAAAAAAAAAAAAAAAAAAAAAAGAAAAAAAAAGATATGAATCCAAATGCCTTAACAATGGAAATATGGCTACCATATATTAAGGAAATAAAGAGAAAGTTACAAAACATGTATGCCATATCTCCACTTAAGGAAAATGTATGTATATATGTATGTATGTGCACAGAAAAACTTCTGAATGGACACCTACCACAATATTAACAATGGATATCTCAAGGTGCTGAAATAATTGTACAGCAGTCTACTTTATTCTTTTCCATATTGTTGAATATTTTACAGTGAACATGTGCTACTTTTATAACCCATAAATTTCATCCCCATTTGGGAATAATACATAATTAAACAAAATGCTATAAGCATGCTGCACATAGAAGAACATTACATTGAAAACGGAAATCAGCCTTACTTAGGCAGCAGATGGTAAAGGGAGCTGTTAACCTGATCTACTCACTCAGAGCCCTGGAGCCTTAGATAAAGCTATGAGTTGACTCTTTGTGGTCCAGATATTTCTCTTTTATAAGTTGCTTGTATTTTCTGAGCCACAGTCTCTTTATCTGTAAAATAACAATGGTAATTTTCGCCTTGCAAAGTAGTTGCAAGAATTCAATAAAATAACACCTACAAATTGCTCAAAATGAGCCCAATAAATATTAGCTCTTGTTATTATACAAAATTAACATATTTATACTATGACAAACAGGCATTACTAAATATCTTAATTGATAGAAACCATACTGGAATAATATCCCTGTATGTCATTTGTAGTTTTTGTGTGTTAACTTCTAAGGCTGGTGGTTAATAGGGTATTCTTCATGGGATAGTGGTGAGCCTTTGGTATGAGGGACTTTACTTCCTTCGATGGATAGTCTCCTGAATTCTCTGATGTGCAGTCTCCCTGCTATCCCCTGCCAGCTGCTCAGGTAGCATCATATATGGAGGTCCTAACAGGAGCACAACCTTGACCTAGACAGAGTCAAGGGATATAACAGAGGAATAGATGAGATGCAAACTCTGCCTTCAAGGTGCTTACAATCTACTGAGAAAAACAAGGCAAGGCTCCCCAAACTGCAGTGTGGTAAACTGTTGTATCTGTAACAACAACAAAAAATACACTAAAAAATGAGAGAAGTTTATCTAATTCACTCTGTAGATGGAGGCTTCAGAGAAGCTGTGACTCAAGACTAATTTTTAAACAGAAATTTTATATGAGAAAGATGGGGGAAGGGTAATCCAGGCAGAGCAGGAAACCTGCAAACGCATTGGAATATTACGCCCAGGACACACTGGGGGTCTTCAGGAAGAGGGTGGCATGGGGAGCGCAAAAGCATGGTAACTGGCAAATGGAATGAGATGAACCTGTAAATGTGGAGTTCTCAACTAGATGTACCATTAACTGGCCATTAGAGCTAGGGCAGGAATCCCTCTATATCCTTGAGCTGTAAAATGGAGGTAGGTGTGGGATGTAGACCTAACCTACAAAGCTCATGTGATTATAGAACTGGGATCTCAAGGTATGGTGAATTTCAGTAAGATTCCATATCTAAGCACTGGGGTAGAGAGGGGGTTAGAAAAGGGGCTGGAGGGACTGAGCTGAGTCTCTTTTCCAGGGGAGGAAAAGCTTTCCTCTCTAGAGAGATACACAGGCACGGCGATTTTAGAGTCCTCAGCGAACTCACTTTTGGTGACCTGAGAAAGGGTCAGTGAGTATGGGGAGGTTCAGTAAGATGAGTTTAAGAACAAGCTGAGAAAATATGATACCACAGGAGAATCCGGGAAAGAGCAGCCACCAGCAGAAAACTCTGGCACCCAGTTCCCACCAGTAAACAGCCAACTTGGAAGCAGGCAGGGCCTTCCGTGCTGAGCTCAAAGCAAGCAAGTGCAATGGGACAAAGAGGTCCTGGGGTACGGGCATGGAAGAGAAGGAGGAGGGGTCCTGCCTGGCCAGCAGCTCTGAAACTGCAGCTCCATCCCACTCACCTTCCCTGACCTGTCCTCCACCCTGCAGCCTGATCTCCTTCTCCCGGGGAAGTAGGGGCTTCTCCTCCCCATCCCCTGCCTGACTGCCCGGGCTGGAGATCAGGGCAGAGGTTTTGCCATGGTTAGGTGAATGTATGACTGTTTAGGCCCTTGGATATTTATCTGTAAAATGGAGATAATCTATGCCTTACCTGGCTTACAGGGTTATGGAAAGGAGCAACAACAAAGTCATGTGAAAATGCCTTATACTCTGTGTTTGAAGCATGATTATCATCACGTCAGACCCTAATTTGTCTTAACTTTCAAGTTCTCTCTCCTGCCAAGATACATTGGGATTTAACACTGAAAAGATCAGGGTATCTTGTTTTACTAGGTTTCCTTATCAATATTCCTTCGACATCTTACCTGGTACTATTTCACAAAACGTAAACATAGTAGGAAAAATTATAAAAGTCTACAAAATGAAAGATCTGCTAGCCCAGAACAAGAAACCAGCCCACAGCTAAAACTGGCTGCACCCTTGTACCCCTTGGCTTTTGTTGTCTGGAAAACTCTGTACAGACCAATCTGATGGCACACAGAGTCCTGTGCTATGAAACAGCAGCCAAGGGCTCTGATGCCAGCCTCACAGCCCTGTGCCTGTCTGAGCTTTGCTTTCCATGGAAAAAGGGTTGGTCTAAAAGATCTACCATACCACCATATTTGGAGCATCTACACTATCAATATCCCTTGAGCACTTTCTGTATTCCTCAAGCTGCCTGGGACTTGGGGTGAGGGTGAGGGAGTAGTTATGAAAAGTGGGTGCATGATGGTCCCTACATCAACAATCCTAGGGTAGTTGAGGGAGTAAGACGCAAACATGTAGATACACAAACAGAAAGTTAGCAACCATTTTCTCCTCTCTTGTTCTCATCAGGTGCTTGGTGCATTTGCATATTATGATATACAAGTTCCAGAAGTAACCTATGAAGAAGGAAGGGACTGGAGGTGCAAGGGAGTGGGTTTGCATAGGCATTTTATAGAGGGAAACACTGAGGACTCCCAGGATGAAGAGAGTCCTGAGCTAGAATAAAGAACCCAGCTCTCATGGCTTCTGCTATAAGCAGATGATCTGGCTTCATAGAAAGCCCATGGACTGTGGAGACAGCCCCACGTTAGAATTTTCCCTAATGTCTAGTGACTTTGGGTGGGACACTACATAATATTGGCATTTTGAAAATGAGCCCCTGGGCTCAGGTGGGGCTGTGAGGATTTTGAAAAGAGATGGTGTGTGTGAAGTCTCTTGCATACAGTAGATAGAAGAAAAGGAGAAACATGTGCCCAGCCTCAGACATGGGGTTAAAGCCTACCAGGGAAGGGAAGCTCTGGCATGGTCTGTCCTGCTCTCCTTTTGGTCATATATATGTCTTGGGCCTCTCATCCTGGAGCCCAGAGTATGTTACTGGTACCTTCAGTGAGCCAGGGCTACCTAAAGTGGCAGTGATGCAGCTTGGCTGCTGGGGATGGTGAGAGCAGGGCAGGTGCAGAGCCTAGCTCTTTGAAGGGACACAGTTGAGCCTGGAGAACATACTGCCTTCTTTAAGGCCCTGAGCTCATTGTTCAGCTCTCATTATCTCCACTGAAGAGAGGAAAAGGGAAGAAGAGGGCAGGGCAAGCATTTTATTCCCTTATTCACCATTCCTGCAAGATAAGGTTTCATCAAGGCACATTTGAATTAAGGTGTATCCTCCTTGTTGCCCAAACAGCCAGCCAGTATTTATTGAGTACCTGCTGAATGCTATGCTATGCTATGCTAAACGTCCAGGGAGTTTACCATGTATATGAGAGAGAAAAAAGAGTGCATGGCATAGTCTGGTACATTGGAACTGAATCTTGGCTCTATTATTTACCGTTTTGGGACAAGCTACTTAACCTATATGAGCTTTAGTTTTTTTAAACTACAAAATGGGGATGATGATTCTTACCTTGCAAGATTAATATGGGTACTGAAATAAAAATATATATGTTTGGAACACAATAAGTGCTGAATAAATGGCAGTTGTTGTTCAGTTATTACTGTTACTGTATGATAGAATTAGAGACTAGCTACAGGCTGAACTATGTAGGTAACTTTGAGTAGAGAAGTTGTTAACAGCAAGAACATATAAATACAGCATGAAGTAATTGCTGGGCAGACTCTCTCTGGATGATGTGTGATTTGAGTTTGGCCTTGAGATCTAGAGTGGATTTGGATTGGCAGAAGGAAGAGAGAAAACATTCTGGAAGAACAGAAGGAACAAAGTCATGGAGGCAAGGATGCACTGAGCACACGTAGAAGGCAGGAAGGGGCCTGAATCAGGACTGAGGCTGTAGCACGCGGGAGCAGACTCTGCACAGGAAAGAGAAACGAGATAGAGGAGTTCATGAACACAGCTCGAAGTCCTGGACTGAAGCTGCAAGCACCCGGGAGGAGCTGTCTCAGATGGAGGAATGAGATGATGAAAACAATCAGAAAGCCACACCCAGTGTCGACTGCAGCAAGGACACATGGCTTAGTAGGGCAATGAAGAGTCTGGTGTAGTGAACTCGGCAAATAATGACAAAGTCACAGGTGACGGAGATGGAGGAGCATGAGGCTAGGTGACAGCTATAAGACCACCTTCCTCTCCCTATCATGGCTGCCAGATCAGGTATGCATGCTCCCACCTTCTTTTTCTTGGGATTCTAATACTTTGAGTGACTGCAAGTGCTGGGCAGCAGTGCTGGTGGTGGTGAGGTGGAAGCTTTCGACTCAGAGTTAGTCGGACGTGAGCCTATATAAGATTTGAGGCAAGGATGAACCACACTTCTATTAAAAAAAAATCATGCATGACTTCTTTCAAAAAATAGATACGGAGTGCCTAGAACACTGGAATATTGTTCAAGGTGCTGGAATGCTGCAGTGAATAAATGAAGGGCGTGACTACCCTTATAGAGTAACTTTCAAGTTGAGGAGATACTAAAAACAAAGTAGTGAAGATATGTTTGATGGTGATAAGTGATTTGGAGAAAGATACAGCAGGGTGCAAGGGATAAAGGCGCTAGGATAGGTAGGTCTTATTATTAATACTTTATATGGGCTGGTTGATATCCTTGCTGTTAATGAAACTTCTTAATTGATTCCTGAAAAGATTGAGGAGACCTTGACCTTGGGGATACCTGGGGAAAGTGTTGCAAGCAGTAGAAGGACTTGAGGCAACAAGGTCAAGGTGGCCGGAATGCAGGGACCCCAAGGGAAGGGTAGTGGGAGATGTAGTGTGGAGATCTGGCTTCTGTGCCACGCTCAACCAGAGGAGGTGGTGTGGGATGGGGTAAAAGGAGTGAGATGGGGTGAAGAACCTGTGTAAAGAGTCTGGCTCCTACTCTGAGTGACATGGAGAATCACTGTAGAGATCTGAGCCAAGGACCAATAAGATCCAATTCATATTTTAGATGACTCATATTCATATTTTAGATGATCCAATTCATATTTTAGATGATTGCTATATTGAGAATCAACAGCTGGGGGCATGTGAAATGATATATCTCATCTGTTTGAAAATCAATAAAGTATCAGGAAAATACTGGGCATTTTTTGAACATTTCCAATATGCCAGGTTTTATCCAAGCACTTTTTAGAGAAGGTCTCAGTAAAAACATACCCCAAAGCTTTGAAGAGAAAATGCAGTTACTCCAAGTTACATTTGAGGAACATGCTTAGTAGGTATAAAAAACTTACCCATAGTTGCACTGCTAGTAAGTGATAAAAGGCAGGTCTGATTTCAAAGTCTATTCTCTAACCAGAAGCCTCTCCCACCGCTGGTTTTGCTTTGCCTTTCAAAGTTGAAATCATCCAGATTCTTAGAAAACAAAAGTTGAATGGACCTTGATAAAAGAGTCCTCTGATAGAGGGTGTCCAATCATCAGCTAGGACTTTTTTCAAAATGCTTTGAAATTGTTGTTAGATAGTGAGAAGTGCGTACTTGGGTAAAGTGTTTATCTGAATAACGCAGAAGGTTGATGATTGATTCTGGCCCAGAAGCCGGATCTCCGGACTCTTCAGCCATGGTGCCATGGACAGAACACTAGGACGTATGCAGGTAACACAGCTGTCCGTACTGCAGCTGACCCCCAAGAATGGGTTGATGTCCTCATCAGGCAGAGGGATTGTTCTTGTCTAATACAAATCAGAAAACCAGTCTGCAATGACTAACTGTGTCATGTAGCCCTTTGAATACGCTTGGCAAAGAAGATTCCTTAAGTGCAAAATAACTGTCTTAATGTCATATTGAACAGATTGGTGTTGGCTATTTGGCAATCAGTCCAGTCGGAGAACTCAGCTATTAAAGTAGAGTTACATCTTGCACAGGGTTTCAGACATTTACTTATAAAACTTTTGCTTTCCTAAAGTTAAAAAAAAAAAAAAGTCCCCCAACTGTGGAAAGTAAAACTAGCATAGAAACTCCTTTGGAAAGTTTCTTCATTGGAGAACAGTGTACCATTGCTCAGTAAATCCAGCACAGTTACTTTCACCCCCAGCTTTAGAGTTAAATGTGCATATGATGCAAATGAACTGTTTAAATATCTACAAGTCTGTGAACTGAAGGAGTTTCTAAAGGAACACAGATGCTTGAGCGTGTATTGACCAGGGAGAGGATACCTGTGAATTTTAAGGGGCATATAACTCAATTGCTTCCTCGCCCCTTCCGTGTCCCACTTATATCTTTGCTTGGAAAACTATGTTCCAGATTTTTGCACATCACTGCCAGCCATTGGAACAATTTCTCCTTTTTATTGCTTTAAAGGCAGCATTTTAACCCTTCTCCTAGGGGATTGAAGAGCTCTCTACTCCTCTCCATGTTTTATTTATTATTAATGCCTTCTCATCTGCCTTGGGTCATTCTGGTAACCCTGAGTTTATCCTACTTCTCTGTGACTCAGTTTCCTTATCCACCACATGATTTTCAAGATGCTTTCAAGTCATTCTAGTTTATGATTCTGATTTATATCTCTTTAGACTTATTTTATTAGATTATCATTAAAGTGTGTCAAGAGAAAAATAAAAAGTCCCCATGCTACACACATTTTGTGAGAGGAAAGGGCCATGACTTGTTTCTTTCCAGTGTAAATGTTTATGTCTTTAGGTCCACGGGGTGTGTGTGTGTGTGTGTGTGTGTGTGTGTGTGTGAATAGCTGCGGTAGGAGCCACATGAACTTGTGTGTAAAGAAATCATACTTTCTTCCCTGAGAAATTCTTTTACTTTTCTCTTTTCAGGAGAATTAAGAGAAAAGAGAAAGACATCTTCAAAACCTTGGTGGAGCAACTTCTAGACCTCCTTCTCAGGATAGGAATGACGTTTAAAATAAACATCTCCAGGCTGGAATGCATGAACCCAGCATCCATTTGTCCATTCTTCTCCCTCTGGGTAGCACCACATTTATATCCTGCCAGACAGATGTGTCTGATGGCCTCCAGAGAAGGGCATGTCACCCCACTTCTCAGAGCACTCGGTCAATGGTCCCAGTGTCCGAGGAACTTGTCAGTTGTGAAATTCATTGTGTACCCTGACTCTCCTTTGCCACATTATTAACCAGTGTTGCCTTGCTCATTCCCCAGTGGACTTGCAGAACAGATGGCTATTATCTTCTGCAGGGCGGAGCATGGGGAAGCAGACGAATCTTTAGACGAAGCTAGTCAGTTACTTCCTTCCGTCCATCATCACTCGTCTTAATAACCTCCTCCATCCCCATCCCATATCCACACCACATAAATTCCCATTAAAATACTAGATAGAATACATGATGAAATAAAACACAGAGCCTGTTAAATCTCTTTAAGGCCTCCTGCCGCCAGCCTTTTGCCTAGGGCAAATGGGCCTTGGTTATCATTGTTTCTAATCTAAGTCTGATTACCTGTGAAACAACAGGTGACTGTATAGTTAAGACCAGCAAAGTGCCAGGTAGATGGCAGCAGCAATTACGTGCATGAATTCGTAAGCAGGGTTCACATGAGAACAAAAAAATTATCTCACTGTGGCAGCCCCCAAAGCTGTCCAGGGTAGATTCATCTAAATTTTTCTGATGAATAATTTTCTCTTGAGGTTAGATGATCCCAAAAGCCTCTAGGGTCCTAAAATATCAGCATGTAAAGGACAGACATTGGTATAACTCAAGTGAAATATATATGCAAATAGGCAAAGTGAATTTTTTACATTTTGTTGAAATCAGTGGTGTACGTTTTGATGGGATGAAGCAGTAAGGGAGGAGTATTATGATACATTTAGATAGGGAAGAACAGGGAGTAATTATTACCTTTTATTGTTCTTATTGGCTTAGGAAAAAGACTTTATGGAAAAGGGCTCTTCTTAAAAGCTTCTGAAAAAAATGAGAGGCCAGACCCTTGAAGAAAAAGGTAGAATAGCCATTTCTCAGGGATGGTATTCTGCCTGGGAAAAGTTTAGGGAGGGGCAAGGAGTGGTAATTTAGTTGGAGAACCAAGCAGAGGAGCCTGAAAAGAACAAGAGAAGAAGAGGCTAGGAGAATGACGAGGGGTGAGTTTATTCAAGGCTGTGTAGGAGTAAAACTTTGTTAGTTCTACTTGAGGTTTTCAAAGCAAAGGCTGAGCATGGGAACCAGATCCCCTGCAGGCCAGTTTCCCATTCAACTCCCACCTCTTATCTTTCGAAGCCAAAAGCAGAATGCAAGAACCTTGAGGTAAAGGAGTGCTAGAAGCTTATTTTCTAGCCTCCTGATAAATATTTCCATCACCTGTACAGTAGTCCTACCACAAGGCTGTCCTGGCTCAACTCAAACATCATCATTTCAGGAGCGATCATTAGCTTCCAGCCTACCGCTCCATAGAAAGATGGCCCTAGCCATTTGAAGACTTCCCTTTCCTTCTTCCACACCTGGGCCACTCTGGATTTGGACTTCAGAGCTGCCCTCAGTTTCAGAGATAATGACCTGGTGAGAAAGTACCCCCTGGTTTCCTTAGTGCTAGGAAGCAATGCCACAGCTGTCCCTTTCCTGTTCCATTCCAAGTCAATGTGCTGGCAATGTAGGGAAGATTCTCCAGGTGTCTGTCTCATTGACGGAGGTTTACTGACTGCAGTTGTTATTACTCCCTCACTTTTGAAAGATATTTTTACTTAATATTGAATTCCAGGCTGATGGTTATTTTCTTTTGGCATTTAAAAATACTATTCCATCTGCTGTTAAGTATTTCCCAATGCCCATGACGTAAGAAGATGAAAAAGATATGTTTGGATTCTCAGCGTATTTCGAAATGCATTTATTTTTAAAGTGAAGATAAGTTAAAGACTTTAATATTTTCCAAAGGAAATGGTTTTCTTGAAGTAATAGGACAACTTTTTTATGCTTTTTTATTTTTGAGATGGAGTCTTGCTCTGTCGCCCAGGCTGGAGTGCAATGGCGCAATCTCGGCTCACTGCAAGCTCCGCCTCCCGGGTTCACGCCATTCTCCTGCCTCAGCCTCCTGAGTAGCTGGGACTACAGGCGCCCGCCACCGCACCCAGCTAATTTTTTGTATTTTTAGTAGAGACGGGGTTTCACCGTGTTAGACAGGATGGTCTCGATCTCCTGACCTCTCGATCTGCCCGCCTCGGCCTCCCAAAGTGCTGGGATTACAGGCTTGAGCCACCGCGCCCGGCCTTTTTTATGCTCTTAATGTTAAAGCAAGAGAAAAAAAATCGGCCGGGCGCGGTGGCTCATGCCTGTGATCCTAGCACTTTGGGAGGCCAAGGCGGGCGGATCATTAGGCTAACAGGGTGTAAACCTCGTCTCTACTAAAAATACAAAAAAATTAGCCGGGCGTGGTGGCGGGCGCCTGTAGTCCCAGCTACTCCGGAGGCTGAGGCAGGAGAATAGTGTGAACCCGGGAGGCGGAGCTTGCAGTGAGCCGAGATCGCGGCACTGCACTCCAGCCTGGGCTACAGACCAAGACTCTGTCTCAAAAAAAAAAAAAAACAAAAACAAAAAACCTTGCAGTCCTATCTCACCTTGGGACCTGAGCTCTCAAAACACTTCCTCCCCTTTAGCTGGGGTTCACACCTTTTTCAAAGGACTGAAATATCTTGTGACCTCACTCCACAGGCAAGCTGATGGGTGTGAGGCTCTCAGCTGCTGCGCGGTTGGTGTGAGGGCTGGACATGCACCCTGGAGCCTCTGTGTGCTCTGGAACAAGGAGGGAAAGTCACTCTAGCCTTGTCTCAGAGTCTAGGAAAGGTCAGAAGCAGTGGCTGGTGAGCAGAACAGCTACTGGAGGTGGAAGCTGCTAGGGATGGTAAAAGGTCATTCTCAGCATACATAATTCAGAAGGTCTGAGCAGAACTTCCCCTTTGTCTAACGACCCCTTGTAGCAAGCTCAACCTAGACAGAGGGCTAGGTCTCTAGATCCTCAAACTATTCAAAAGGAGACCTCCACTATTCTAATATGATACATTTTAGCAGTAAGTGCTGTTTAGTTTTTACTGCAAGATAATTTTTACCATTTAATCTAATTCCTTCTTGTTTTATCCATTCTTGATGACAAGGTTATATCTTTTAGACAGCAATAAGTTGGATAAATGGCTAAGAGGGTGGATTCTAGCCAGTGTCTCACTCTTACACATTTAGCACAGTGTCCTATATTCAAGCTAATGTTCCCCAGTCCTCCCCTGCTACATACACATATACCTCAAGCTCCTAGTGAGAGCTGATTCTTTCTATTATCCACATAAAAAACCTGGAGGCCCAAGAGCGGGAGTCCTAGGCTGCCTGTGAGAGTCTGTGAGTAAGGAGGCCCAGTTCTGCTGCTCAAAAGTGAGAGTCTCTTCAATGAGTAAATCTTCTGAGTTGTATCCTGGCATAAAGTTAAAGGAGAAAAGACATAGGGCTAACCCCAAGCCAGGACGCATATACCCACAAGGGAACACTAAAAACTGGCCACTGCACTATCCCCCTTCCTGGGCCTGCAGACAAATCCAGGCTGACTGGAGTCTCAGGAAGACACGCTGACATAAAGGATTAAAAGAAATTATCGCTAGGAATGAATTACACCATCAAGGGTAAGAATTAGATTGTGGATCATTCAATAATGTGACAAACAACCTAGCTACTGGGGAGGCTGTGGGGGGAGGATCACTTAAGCCTAGGTGTTTGAGGTTACAGTGAGCTGTAACTGTGCCGCTGCACTCCAGCCTGGGAAACTGAGCAAGACCCTGTCTCATAATAATAATAATGTGACAAACAATTACATGAATATTTTTAAAATTTCCGTAATGTTGCACAACTGGAATGGTAAATTAATTGGATTGATTTTCCAGTTTTTACTACGACCATTTTGGGTAAGAGATTCTGACTGGCCCTTTCTCTCTGTGCTCAGCTGTGTGACTTGCTTTGGCCAATGGGGCTTAGCAAACAAGGTGCAAGCAGAATCTTAAGAAACACTTGCACTTGTGAATTGCTGTTTGCTTTCTTGCCATTCTTGTTTGTTTGCCATAAACACGAGATATCCCTGAGCTAACTTGCTGTAGGAATGTGAGAGACACAGAGGAAGGCCAAGTTTCCACAGCTAAGACCATCCTAGACTAGTCAGTCCACTTCTGTTCTGCAGCTGATAGCAAATTCATGAGTAAGCCCAAAGAAGCTTAGCTGAGTCTGGATCAGATAAATAGAACTGCCTATCCAACACGTAGACTCATGATACATAGCAAATGTTTTTTGTTTCAAGTGATTGGTTTTGTGGTGGTTTGTGACATAGCAATAGCTAACTGATACAACTTTTTCTGATGAGATAATATTGAAGAGAAATACTGGGAGAGCAAGCACGTAAGCTAACAAGAGAGCTATCACTGTGTCTCTGTGAGATGCTGGAGTACTAGAGAACATATCTTCTCTCTTTACTTCCCTCCTGCCAGTCCTCCCATCCTATACAGCATGTTTACTGAAGTCAATCTGTGTATATTTTTGTTTATGACTGTTTAAAGGTGATCATGGGCAGAGGTGTGGTGTGTATTCAAGTATGTGCACTTGCATATATGCTGTGAGATCAACTGGGAAGAATCTGAAATTGGATTGTAGAATTTAGCCTGGACTGTCAGCTCTCTTTTATCTTATTTTTGAGTTTATGAGCCTTACGCCCCATTTCAGATAAATCAGCAGGTATTTGGCACATTTCCTCATCATTCACAGGGATGAAAGCTACGAAAGTCAGTGGCAGGCTTTTGTAAAAGACATCAAATGGGTTAGGAAGTAGGATGATTGGGGGAAAGAGGAAGAAGAACAGGGTAAAGATAACAAAGAAAAGTTTATATTTCGGCTATCTGGAGAATCAAATATTTTTCTAGCAATCTCTAAGCAGAATGTATTTGTTGATTTGCCAAGAAAGCTCTTCACAGATTAAAGCACTAGCTGGATGGCGACACAGGAGTTGTCCCAACTGTCCTTCGGATGCAAGGCATGCCTTTGTTAACATCCTGGAGATACTGACGAGAAACACATCCCTCTTGGCCTCATATTTCTCCCACTACATCCAGAGCCCAGAGCCAGTGTGGTAGATGACCAAAATGACCATAATTCTTTGCTGCTGACTCCCATCAAATGGTGGGGCCTATTCTCCACCCCCTTTAAATCAGGATTGTCCCAGTGACTCACTTTCACCAGCGGGACATGAGCAAATGTGACACAAGCAGAGGCTTGGAAAGAACTTCCATATTGGACCTTGCTCTCTTGCTACTCTTGGAACCTGGAGCCACCACATGAACAAGCCTGAGTTACCCTGTTAGAAGGTGAGAGATAAGTAACACAGTTTCCCTCATTTTTCTAATCAATAGCCATCCAAACTCAGAAGCAGATCTACTTAGTTGATCAACTGCTGGTTGAAAACCAAGAGTGAACCAACTTAGATCAACAGAACACCTAACTGAGCTTAACCTAAAGTGCTGAACCACAATTGAGTTAAACTAGTGTTATTGTTTCATGTCATGCAATTTGGGGATGAAATGTTAACTGACTTGGCTTACAGCAGAGTTTTCCTGAGACAATAGATTTTCACAAAAATTAAACTAAAAGACAATTTAATTTTGAACTATAGACTGATATTTATTTGAACTCAATCTGATTTCCTTTAGTGTCCTTCAGATAACATTTAGAAAAGGGTAAGCACTAGAGGCTATTTATAAATACCTTTGGGAAATGTTCCCTCTTTGGAATTATTCCCATCACAGATGATACATACCTGAAATATTTATAATCAGGTTATGTGTTAAATAATAGATACTGGTCAATGAGCTACATAGACAGTGAGGAGCTGCTATGACTCCTGAGGTTAACCATCAGAGAATGATTACTATGTTCCAAACACTTCACACAAGTTATATGCAATTATTATTATCACTATTTTACATACAAGAAAATTGAGGATAAAGAAGTTGAGTGATAGTTTTGAAATGCTGAATCCAAGATCAGAGGACTTTCTGCTATACCACAGCGCTTCCTTATGCCCTAAACCAAAGGAAAAAAAAAAAGGCCAGGCATGGTGGCTCATGCCTGTAATCCCAGCACTTTGGGAGGCCAAGGGAGCGGATCACAAGGCCAAGCAATCAAGAGCATCCTGGCCAACATGGTGAAACCCTGTCTCTACGAAAAATACAAAAATTACCTGGGCGTGGTGATGAGCACCTGTAGTCCCAACTACTTGGGAGGCTGAGGCAGGAGAATCGCTTGAACAGAGAAGGTAGAGGTTGCAGTGAGCCGAGATCATGCCACTGCACTCCAGCCTGGTGACAGAGAGAGACTCCGTTTCAAATTAAAAAAAAAAAAAGAATTTAATATGCCAAACTCAGGTGTGATTTGCACCAGACCGAAAAAACAGTGATTTAGTAAACTCATTCACTGTGGTATGCATAATAAATTAAGACAAAGGAATCCTCCATTCAGTAGGAGAGCAAAAATAAATGAAATAAGTAATGAACAAACAATAGAGAAAGCTAATAAAGCAAAAAGTTTATTCTTTGAAGATATTGATAAAATAATAAATGTCTGGCAAAACAGATGAAGAAAGAAAGAGAAACACAAATTACTCATATCAAGAATGGAAGAAAAGATATCATACAGATGTTTCAGATTTTAAAAGGACAATAAGAATACTATGAAAAAATTTATTCCACTAATTCCCCAATTTAAAACAAATGTACAACTTTCTTTAAAAATACAGCTTGCTAAAATTGACAAAAATTAGAAAATTTTAATAACTCTTTGTCTATTAAAAAATTAAATTCGCAATACAAAATCTTTCCACAAAGAACACCCTAGCCCCAGATGGTTTTACTGGCGAATTCTATCAAACATTTAAATAAGAAACGAAATCAATCACATGGAAACTATTTTAGAAAATAGAAAAGAAGGAAACACTCCTTAATTTATGCTATGAAGGCAGTGTAACTCTAATAACAAGCTATCAAAAGTTCCAAAGACCTTGTAAGAAAAGAAAGTTACTAACCAACATCTCCTCAAACCATAGACAGAAAAATTCTTAAAAATAGATTAATGGCTGGGTGTGGTGGCTCATGCCTGTAATCCCAGCACTTTGGGAAGCCTAGGCAGGTGGATCACAAGGTCAAGAGATCAAGACCACCCTGGCCAACATGGTGAAACCCTGTCTCTATTAAAAATACAAAAATTAGCTAGGCATGGTGGCACGTGCCTGTAGTCTCAGCTACTCAGGAGGCTGAGGCTGGAGAATCGCTTGAACCCGGGAGGCAGAGGTTTCAGTGAGCCGAGATTGCGCCACTGCACTCCAGCCTGGGCAACAGAGTGATACTCCATCTCAAAATAAATAAAAATAAAGAAAGAAAGAAATAATTAGCAAATCAAATTAAGCTGTATATTAAAAGACCAAGTAAGGTTTATCCTAGTAATGCAACCTAGGATATCTAGGAATGCAAGATTGCATTCCTACAATAACTTAACTAATAAAAAAGAACCCAACTATATAATCATCTCAATAGATGGAAAAAAAGACATTTGAAAAAATTATCACTCATTTATGATTATTTTAAAAACTCTGAGAAAACTAACAGAGGGAATTTCCTCAAACTGAAAAAAGCAGCCCTTTCTGCCAAATCCAAAGAAGCAAAACCAAAACTCTACCATTAATACCATATCAATTATTAAATATTATACACCTTCTCCCTAAGATTGAGAACTAATCAAAAATATTTGCTATAGCCATATTTATTCAACATCGTATTAGAGGTCCTAGCCAGTGCGATAAGGCAAGACAAAATGTTAAAAATATACAGATGGAAAAGTAAAAAGTAAAACTGTCTTTATTTGTAGATGACAGAATTGTTTACATAAAAAAACCCTAAGTAATCTATAAAACAACTACTGGAACTAACGAGTAAATTTAGCAAGTTTTCAGGAGGTGTAAACAATACAAAAAAACAATTATGAAAATAAATTTTAAAATGTAATTTTAAAATACTGTTTCGGCAGCATATAAAAGCATAAAGAATTTGGAGATAAGCTTGACAAAAGGCATGTAAGAATACTATATAATACTGTATAATAAGGCTGAGAAAAATTAATGGAGACCTAAATAGAAAGATATGCTGTGTTCACGGATTGAAAGATTTAACATTGTTTGATGTCAATTCTTCCCAAATTGACCTATAGATTAAAAATTCCCTTTGTCCTTTTCAAGAAAGTGATGGTAAATTCTAAAATATATAAACACACAAATAATCTAGACCAAAAATTCTTGAAATAAACAACAAAGTTAGGTAGCTCAGATAACCTTATCCCAAGGTTGACTACATAGCCTTGGTAATTTATCTAATGTAATATTGGTATCGAGGATAGAAAATTAGATTAACAAAACTGATCATTGAGATTCCAGAAATAAAGACCAATAAACATATGTTAATTGATATTAACATAAAACATCAGGAAAATTTAGTGAAGAATGCATAATATTTTTTAGGACAGAGTAATGAAACAAATAAATATATATAATATATATATATAAAATATATATGGGAAACAATAAACCTTTACCCCTACTTCACAACATATATAAAATTATTTGAGCTAGATCATAGACCTAAATGTAAAACCATAAACTATAAAGCTTCTAGCAGGAAAGATAGTAGACTATCTTTGGTATTTTAAGGTAGGAAATTATTTTTTAGATGGAATACAAAAATATCTAAATATAAAACAAATTAATCAATTGGAATTCATAAAAAACCACCAAAAAATGATAAAAAACAAAAAACCTTCACACAAATATCTAACAGACCAAAATAAAACTGATTAACAACACCGAATATTGGTGGAGCAATTGCAACATTCATGCATTGCTTGTGAGAGCGTAAAATAGTACAATCACTTGAAAAAATAGTTGCACATTCCTTTTTAAATAAACTATACAGAGAGTGATGCCAGTGACATGGCAATGTAAGGACCTCTGAAAATTTTCCCTTTCATAAAACAATTTTTAAAACCTACAAAAAAAAGTCAGAATCAACTTTTTTTGAACTCTGGAAATTAACTAAAAGTTTGCATCAATCAGGGAAGATTTAGTCAAGAAAAACAGCTAAATCTTGGTAAGAACAGTGAATTTCTGGTGTTTTAAATTTACCCTATTTTAATTCTTATCTCTCCCACTCCATGAAAGCCTTGAAAATCAATACCTTGCTTTCTGAGTAAAAATCAGCAGGCTGGAGGCCACCAGAGGGCGCAGAAGAGGGTTGGCATTCTTTCAAAACCTAATTCCCAGAGATTATCATAATTTGACCTGTCTGGTGATTCTCTGGAAGATTCCACTTGCAAAGCTGAGAGTATTTGAACTGACTTGGCACTGGCCCAGTATAAAAAGCTTTTTCTTTTAGGGGTGTTTGTTGAAAACAATTATGGACAATTATTTATTTCTGAGGCTGCCTAAGACAGTAGATAACAGTTGGGGCAAACAATGGCTAAGAACAACAACAACAATAAAACTTTAAAATTAAAAGGAAAAGGTGGGAATAAGTTTACATGGGGGCTTTGAAAAGCTCTGACCAATTTTGGGGAACCTAGAAAGTCACATGCATGTATAAAACTATGGATATGCTCAAAGCTGTGTACATGTTCACGAACAACCAAAGAAGACCCTAAACTCTCACCTCCAGCTAGTCTTAAGATTCTGGAAAGCAGGAAATGAAGATAATGCAGAATTTTAAGCTGCCTGGCTGAGTGTCTAAGGGCTATCCAAACATGCACACAGCTGGAAAACACTGAAAGGCTTATTGCTACCCAGCATTTAAAGAAATGTCTGTCAAATCACTAGTTGACCCCTAAGATAACTGAGCAGAGATTTTAGTGGCCACACACAGCAAGAATACGTCTTACAGAGTTAGTTTACAAAAGTCACTGAAGAAACCAAAAACAGTGACATGAGCAAAAATAACAAATCCTGGAGAGAAGTATCTGATTTTCAGAATTTCCAAATTATATTATTTAAAATATTTAATTTTCAACAAAAAATTATGAAGCATGCAAAGAAATGAGAAAGTATTGTTCATACACAGAAAGAAAGTGATTAATAAAATCTGTTCCAAAAGAAACCCAGATATTACTAGAAAGACTTTTATTCAACTATTTGAAATGTGTTTTTTTAAAAAACTAAAAAAAAGTCTAAAAACCCAGAGGATGTCTCACTAAATAGAGAATGTCAATAAAAAGAGAAATATTTAAAAGAACCAAATAAAAATTCGGAGGTTGAAAAATACAATAACTGAAATAAGAATTTCACTATAGGACCTAAACATAACATTTGAGCAGGCAGAGGATGGACTCAGCAAATTTAAAGATAGGTCAACTGAGATTATCCACTCTGTGAAACAGAAACAAAAAAAGAAACAAAAATAAAGAAAACGGAGCAGAACCTTAAAGATCTGTGGGGCACCAATAACAACTATATATAATGGAAACCCCAGGAGGAGAGGAGGAAGAAAAGGGAAAAAAAAATTGAAAAAATAATGGCCAAAATATCTAAATTTAATAAAAACCATTGCTGTAAACATTCAGAAAGCTTAACAAACTCCAAGCTAGATAAAACAAGAAAGATCTATACCTAGACATGTAATTAAATGATTAAAAGCCAAAGTCAATAGAAAGAGAGAAGTGGCTCATCTTGTAAAAGTGACCTTCAATGTAATTATCAACTGGTTTCTCATCAGAAATTATAGAGGCCAGAATACAATAGGATGACATGTTGACACGTTCAAAGCACTAAAAGTTAAAAAAAATGACAACCAAAAATTATATATTCAGCAAAACATTTCTTCAAAAATAAAGGCAAAATTAGGAGACTCAAAATAAACAAAAACTGAGAGAATTTATTGCTAGGAGAACTGACCTACAAGATATATTCAAGTGGGTCCTTCAGGCTAAAATAGAAGAACAGTAGAAAGTAACTTGAATCCACATAAATAAATTAAGAGCACAGAAAAAGACAACTAATAGGTAGATACAAAAGACAGTGTAAATATATTTTTTGTGTATAATGCTTTTGTTTTTCTATCTGATTTAAAAGACAACTGCACAAACCCATAGTTACACACCTGTGTTGATTGGCACACAATGTGTAACATTTAGTTTGTATAAATATAACAGCACAAGGAAAGGTGGGCAGAACAAGGCTATATAGGAACAAAGTTTTTATATACCACTGAAATTAAGATGACATTGATCTGAACTATATTGTTACTAATCAATAACATTAATAAATAATAATTATTATTATTTTTGAGACAGAGTCTCGCTGTGTCACCCAGGCTGGAGTGCAATGGCATGATCTCTGCTCACTGCAACCTCTGCCTCCCAGGTTCAGGCCATTCTCCTGCCTCAGCCTCCTGAGTAACTGGGACTGCAGATGCCTGCCACCATGCCTGCTAATTTCTGTATTTTTAGTAGAGACAGGGTTTCACCATGTTGGCCAGGCTGGTCTCGAACTCCTGACCTCAGTGATCCATCTGCCTCAGCCTCCCAAAGTGCTGGGATTACAGGCGTGAGCTACTGCACCTGGCCATTAATAATAATTATTTATTGTAATCCCCAAAGCAAACACAAAAATATATAATAAAAGGAATGACAAGGAAAAAATTAAATTAGTACACTAGAAAATATATGTATAACACACAGAGACACAAAACAATAATGGAGGAATAGAAGGAGGATAAAGACATAGATATAGAAAATATGTAAAACATGTAGCAAAATGTCAGTCATAAATTCTACCTTATCAGTAATTAAATTAATTGTAAATAGATTAAACACTCCAGAAAAAAGGTAAAGACCAGCAGACAAATTTTTAAAAAATGATTAAACTGTATGCTGTCTTTAAGAGAAGACTTTAGATTCAAATACACAAATTGGTTAATAGTAAGGGAAAGGAAAAAGATATAACATGCAAATAGTGCCTGAAAGAAAACTTAAGTGGTGAGGCTAATATCACACAAAATAGACTTAAAGGTAAAAATTGTTCCTGATGACACAAAGGATATTTTATAGTAAGAAAAGCATCAGAAGTCCTAATCAGAGCAATCAGGCAAGATAAAGAAATAAAAGACATTCCAAATAGGAAAAGAAGAAGTCAAACTATCTGTCTTTGCTGACAGTATAATTCCATACCTAGAAAACCCTAAAGACTCTACCAAAAGGCTCCTGGAATTGATAAACAACTTCAGTAAAGTTTCAGAATACAAAATTAATGTACAAAACTCAGTAATATTTCTATACATGAACGTTCAGGCTGACAGCCAAATCAAGAACTCGATTGCATTTACAATAGCCACAACAAAATGAAATAAAATACCTAGGAATACATATAACCAAGGAGGTAAAAGATCTCTACAAGAAGAACTACAAAACATTGCTGAAAGAAATCACAGACGACACAAACAAATGGAAAAACATTCCATGCTCATGGATCGGAAGAATCAATATTGTTAAAATGGCCACACTGCCCAAAGCAATCTATAGATTCAATGCTATTCTCGTCAAACAGCCAATGTTGTTTTTCACAGAATTAGAACAAACTATTCTAAAATGTATATGGAGCCAAAGAAGAGCCAGAATAGTCAAAGCATTCCTATGCAGAAAGAGCAAAGCTAGAGGCATCATATTGCCTAACTTCAAACTATACTATAACACTACAGTATCCAAAACAGCATGGTATTGGTCCAGAAACAGACACATAGACCAATGGAGCATGATAGAAAACCCAAAAATAAAGCCACACACCTACAACCATCTGATCTTCAACAAAGCTGACAAAAATAAGCAATGAAGAAAAGAGGCCCTATTTAATAAATGGTGCTGGTATAGCTAGCTAGCCATATACAGAAGAATGAAACTGAACTTCTACCTGTCACCATATACAAAAATTAATTTAAGATAGATTAAAGATTTAAATATAAGACCTCAAACAATAAGAATCCTAAAAGAAAACATAAGAAACACCATGCTAGACATCAACCTTGGAAAAGAATTTATGATGAAGTCCTCAGAAGCAATTGCAACAAAAACAAAAATTGGGCCAGGTGCAGTGGCTCATGCCTGTAATGCCAGCATTTTGGGAGGCCGAGGTGGGCAGATCATGAGGTCAAGACTTTTAGAACAGCCTGGCCAATATGGTGAAACCCTGTCTCTACTAAAAATACAAAAATTAACTGGGCATGGTGGCGTGCGCCTGTAGTCCCAGCTACTCAGGGGACTGAGGCAGAAGAATTGCTTGAACCTGGGAGGCAGAGGTTGCAGTGAGCTGAGATTGTGCCGCTGCACTCCAGCCTGGGTGACAGAGTGAGACTCCATCTCAAAAAAAAAAAAAATTGACAAGTAAGACCTAATTACACTAAAGAGCTTGTGCACAGCAAACGAAACTATAAACAAAGTAAGCAGGCAACCTACAGAATCGAGAAAATATTCACAAACTATGCATCTAACAAAGGTCTAATATACAGAATATATAAGGAACTTCAGAATTCCACAAACAAAAAACAGATAACCCTATTTAAAAGTGGGCAAAATACGTGAACAGACGCTTTACAAAAGAAGACATATGAGCAGCCAACAAAAATGTAAAAAATGCTCATCACCAATTATGAGAGAAATAAAAATCAAAACCACAGTGAGATACCATCTCACACCAGTCAGAATGGCAATTACTAAAAAGTCAAACAACAACAACAACAGCAACAGATGCTAGTGAAGCTGCAGAGAAAAGGGGGTGCTTATACACCATTGGTGGGAATGTGAATTAGTTTAGTCACTGTAAAAAGCAGGTTGCAGATTTCTCAAAGAACTTAAAACAACTATCATTCAACCCAGCAATCCGATTACTGGGTATATATCCTAAAGAAAACAAATTGTTCTACCAAAAAGACACATGCAGCCATGTGTTCATTGCAGCACTATTCACAATGGCAAAGACATGGAATCAATCTGGGTGTCTATCAGTGGTGGATTGGATAAAGAAAATGTGGTGCATACACACCATGGAATACTACTATACAGCCATAAAAAAGAACAAAATCATGTCCTTTGCAGCAATATGAATGCAGCTGTAGGCCATTATCCTAAGTAAATTAACACAGGAACAGAAAACCGAATACCACATATTCTCACCTATAAGTGGGAGCAAAACATTAGACAAACATGGACATAAAGATGACAATAATAAACTGGAGACTATGAGAAGTGGGAGGGAGGCAGTGGGGCAAGGTTTGAAAAATTAACTGTTGGGTACTCTGCTCACTACCTGGGTGATGGGATCAATTGTATCCCAAACCTCAGCATCACACAATACATCCAGGTAATGAATCTGCACATGTACCCCCTGAATCTAAAATAAAAGTTGAAATTATAAAAATAAATAAATGAAACAGAAATGGTAAAGAAAAAAGGAAAGGATCAATTCATCAAGAAGATATAACAATTATAACTACGTTTGAACCTAACAACAAAGTCCCAAAATACATAAAAACTTTCAGAATTGAAGGGAGAAATAGACAATTCAACAGTAATAACCGGAGATTTTAATACCTCACTTTCATTAGCAGATAGAAAAATGTATAGATAGGAGATCAAAAGTAAATCAAAAACTTAAACAAAATTATAAACTAATAGGAACTAAAAGATATCTATAAAACACTCCAACCAACAACAGCAGAATGCACATTCTTCTCAAGTACACATGGAATATTCTCTAGATATACCATGTTAGGCCATTTAAAATTTTTTTAAATTTAAGTATTGTTAAGAGGATCAAAATTATTCAAAATATGTTCTTCAACCACAATACAGTGAAATTAGAAATCAATAACAGAAATAAATTTAAAAATTCAAAAATACATAGAAATTAAACAACACAATCTATATAATCAATGGGTAAAGCAATAAAACACAAAAACATTAGATAATAGTTTAAGGTGAATGAGACTGCCACACAATATGCCAAAACTTATGGGATCCAGGAAAAGTGTTCAAAAGGAAATTTATAACTATACATGTCTACATTAAATGGAAGACCTTAAATTTATACATTTAATCTTCCACTTCATAAAACTAACAAAAGAAGTGCAAACTAAACTTAAACAGAAGAAAGGAAATAATGAACATTTGTGTAGAAATAAAATGGAGAATAGAAAATAATGTAGAAAATCAACAAAAGCAAAATTTAGAGTTTTAAAAATGGTCAACAGAATTGATAAAGCCATAGACTGACAAAGGAAAAAAAAAAGAGAGAAGGCTCAAATTACTAAAATCAGGAATGAAAGAAGTTATATTACAGAAATAAAAACAATTATAAGGGAATAATATGAATACTTTTATGCCAACAAGTTAGATAACTTAGATAAAATGAATATACTAAAAGCATTTAAGCTACCAAAACTGACTCAAGAAGAAATATAAAACCCAAATAGACTTACAGCAAGTAAAGATAATGACTAATCAAAAAACTTTCAGCCCAGGACCAGATTGCTTCACTGGTGAATTCTCCCAAATGTGTAAGTATTAACATTAATATTTCCAAATTCATCCAAAAACTAGAAAAGGATAAAATATTTTCCAGCATAGCCTATGAGGTCAGTGTAAACTTGATATTCATCATAAGGAAAGAGACATACACACCACTACTTCTTATGAATACAAAGTACTATAAAACTAAATCTAGAAATATCAAAAAGGATTACACAATATGACCAAATAGGATTTATTGCAAGCATTCAAGCTTGATTTTGAGTCATACAAAATCAATCAATGTAAAACACAATAGTAACAGAAAAAAGGACAAAAACCACATATTAGGTTAGTGCAAAAGTAATTGCAGTTTTGCCATTACGGTAATGGCAAAACCGCAATTACTTTTGCACCAACCTACATTAACAGATGCAGAAAATCATTTAACAAAATCCAACATTTAAACTAATTGACGAAAAGTTACCCTGACCAAGGACATCTATGAGAACTCAGTGCTAACATCATATTTAGTGAAACACTGAAAGCTTCCCTTCTCAGATGAGTAACAAGACAAGGATGTCCCCTTTTGCTGTTTAGCATTGTATTGTAGGTTCCAGATGAAGAAATTAGGCAGAAAAAAGAAGATATCCATATCAGAAAGGAACAAATAAAGCAATGTGTATTTGGAGCTCATATAATCTTGTACCTAGAAACTCCTAAGGAATTCACACATGAATGCACACACATACACACTAAAACAATTAGATATAATTAATGAATTCAAACAGGATATAAGACCAGTATACAAAAATCAATTGCATTCCCATACAGTAACACAAAATAACCTGAAAATTAAATTAAATTAAAAATGCAATTTATGATAGCATCAAAAAAATTCTTAAGAATGGTAAATAATGAAATTAAGGCAGAAATCAAGAAGTTCTTTGAAACCGATGAGAATAAAGAGACAACATGCCAGAATCTCTGGGACACAGCTAAAGCCGCGTTAAGAGGGAAATTTATAGCACTAAATGCCCACATCAGAAAGCTACAAAGATTCCAAATTGACACCCTAACAGCACAATTGAAAGAACTAGATAAGCAAGAGCAAACAAATCCAAAAGCTAGCAGAAGGAAAGAAATAACTAAGATCAGAGCAGAAGTGAAGGAGACAGAGACATGAAAAAGCCTTCAAAAATACCAATGAATCCAGGAGGAGCTTTTTGGAAAAAAATTAACAAAATAGATAGACCACTAGCTAGAATAACAAAGAAGAAAAGAGAGAAGAATCAAATGGACAATAGACACAATAAAAAATGATAAAGGAGATATCACCACGGACCCCATAGAAATACAAACTACCATCAGAGAATACTATAAACACCTCTACACAAATAAGCTAGAAAATCTAGAAGAAATGGATAAATTCCTGGACACATACACCCTCCCAAGACTAAACCAGGAAGAAGTCAAATCCCTGAATAGACCAATGACAAGTTCTGAAATTGCAGCAGCAATTACTAGCCTACCAACCAAAAAAAGCCCAGGACCAGACGGATTCACAGCCAAATTCTACCAGAGGTACAAAGAGGAGTTGGTACCATTCCTTCTGAAACTATTCCAAACAACTGAAAAGAAGGGACTCCACCCTAACTCATTTTATGAGGCCAGCATCATCCTGATACCAAAATCTGGCAGAGACACAAGAAAAAAAAGAAAACTTCGGGCCAATATCCCTGATGAACATTGATGGAAAATTCCTCAATAAAATACTGGCAAACTGAATCCAGCAGCACATCAAAAAGCATATTCACCACAATCAAGCCGGCTTCATCCCTGGGATACAAGGCTGGTTCAACATACACAAACCAATAAACATAATCCATCACATAAACAGAATCAATGACAAAAACCACATGATTATCTCAATAGATGCAGAAAAGACCTTCAATAAAATTCAACACCTCTTCATGCTAAAATCTCTCAATGAACTAGGTATTGATGGAACATATCTCAAAATAATGAAAGCTATTTACAACAAACCCGTAGCCAATATCAGACTGGAAGGACAAAAGCTGACATCATTCCCTTTGAAAACTGACACAAGACAAGGATGCCTTCTCTCACCACTCCTATTCAACATAGTATTGGGAGTTCTGGCCAGGAAAATCAGGCAAGAGAAAGAAATAAATTCAAATAGGAAGAGAGGAAGTAAAAATGTTTCTGTTTGTAGATGACATGATTCTGTATTTAGAAAATCCCATCATCTCAGCCCCAAAACTCCTTAAGCTGATAAGTACCTTCAGCAAAGTCTCAGGATACGAAATCAATGTGCAAAAATCACAAGCATTCCTATACATCAACAATAGACAGGCAGAGAGCCAAATCATGAATGAATTTCCTTTCACAACTGCTACAAAGGGAATAAAATACCTAGGAATACACCTAACAAGGGAGTTGAAGGACCTCTTCAAGGAGAACTACAAACCACTGCTCAAGAAAATAAGAGAAGACATAAACAAATGGAAAAACATTCCATCCTCATGGATAGGAAGAATCAATATCGTGAAAATGGCCATACGGCCCAAGGTAATTTACAGTTTCTATGCTATTCCCATCAAACTACCATTAACATTCTTCAAATAATTAGGAAAAACCACTTTAAATTTCATATGGAACCAAAAAAGAGCCCGTATAGCCAAGACAATACTAAGCAAAAAGAACAAAGCTGGAGGCATCATGCTACCTGACTTGAAACTATACTACAACGCTATGGTAACCAAAACAGCATTGTACGGGTACCAAAGCAGACATACAGACCAATGGAACAAAATAGTGACCTCAAAAATTACACCACATATCTACAACTATCTGATCTTCAACAAAACTGACAAAAACAAGCAATGGGGAAAGGATTCCCTATTTAACGAACAGCACTGCGAAAACTGGCTAGCCATATGCAGGAAACTGGAACTGGATCTCTTCCTTACACCTTATACAAAAATTAACTTAGGATGGATTAAAGACTTATATGTAAAACCCCAAACCATAAAAACCCTAGAAGAAAACCTAGGCAATACCATTCAGGACACAGGCATGGGCAAAGATTTCATGACAAAAACACCACAAGCAATTGTAACAAAAGCTAAAATTGACAAATGGGATCTAATTAAACTAAAGAGCTTCTGCACGGCAAAAAACAAACAAACAAACAAAAATAAACCGAAAAAACTATCATCAGAGAGAACAGGTAACCTACAGAATGGGAGAAAAATTTTGCAATCTACCCATCTGACAACAGTCTAATATCCAGAATCTACAAGGAACTTAAACAAATGTACAAGAAAAAAGAAAACAACCTTATCAAAAAGCGGGCAAAGGATATGAACAGACACTTCTCAAAGGAAGACATTTACATGGCCAACAAACATATGAAAAAAAGCTCAACATCACTGATGATTAAAGAAATGCAAATCAAAACCACAATGAAATACCATCTCACACCAGTCAGAATGGCAATTATTAAAAAGTCCAAAAACAACAGATGCTGGTGAGGCTGTGCAGAAATAGGAACACTTTTATTCTGTTGGTGGGAATGTAAATTAGTTCGACCATTGTGGAAGACAGTGTGGCGATTCCTCAAGGATCTAGAACCAGAAATACCATTTGACCCAGCGATCCCATTACTGGATATATGCCCAAAGGATTATAAATCATTCTACTATAAAGACATATGCACAAGTATGTTTACTGCAGCACTATTTACAAGCAAAGAGTTGGAACCAACCCAAATGCCCATCAATGATAGACTGGATAAAGAAAATGTGGTACATATACACCACAGAATACTATGTAGCCATAAAAAGGAATGAGATTATGTCATTTGCAGGGACATGGATGAAGCTGGAAGCCATCATCCCCAGCAAACTAACACAGGAACAGAAAATAAAACACCACATGTTCTCAATCATAAGTGGGAGATGAACAATGAGAACACATGGACACAGGGAGGGGAACAACACACACTGGGGCCTGTCGGGGGCTGCAGGGAGGGAAGGGAAAGCATCAGGACAAATAACTAACACATGTGGAGCTTAAAACCTAAATGACGGGTTGATAGGTGCAGCATACCACCATGCCACACATATACCTATGTAATAAACCTGCACGTTCAGCACATGTATTCCAGAACTTAACATAAAATTTGAGAAAAAACAAAATTCTTAAGAATAAATTTAACAAAAATGTGCAAGGCTTTTACACTGAAAAAAAAAAAAAAACCATAAAGCTACTTAAATTAAAGAAGAACTAAATGCAAAGACATCTATGCTCATGAAATGGAAGATGTAATATTGTTAGGATGGCAATATTCCCCAAATTGATCTAAAGATTTGATGTAATCCCTATCAAAATCTCAACTGTCTTTTTGCTGAAAATGATAAGTTGATACTAAATTCATATGGAAATAAAAGGACCCAGAATAGCCAAAACAATCTTGAAAAAGAATAAAGTTGAAGGACTGATTAATTTCAAAAATTAGTACGAAGCTACACTAATCAAGACTGTGTGGTATTGGCATAGGATAGACATATTATATTGATCATGAAATAAAATTGAGAGTCCAGAAATAAAGTTATTCATTATCGTCAAGTGATTTTTGATAATGGTACCAAGGCAATTTAATGCAGGAAATAATGTTTTCAACAAAGAATGCTGGAGTAACTAGATATCCAGATGCAAAAGAATAAAGTTGTTGAACCACTTCCTCATAACATACATAAAAATGTACTCAACATGAACTAAAACTTAAGTGTAAGACTAAAAATGAAAAAAATTATTAAATGAAAACACACAAGTAAATATTCATGACCTTAAACTAGGCAATGATTTCATATATATGACACCAAAAGCACAAGCAACAAAATTTAAAATAGATACATTGGACTTAAATCAAAATTTAAAACTTTTGTGCTTCAAATATTATTATTTAAAAACTGTAAATGCAATCTAGATATTGGGAGAAAATTGTTGCAAATCATATATTTGATAAGGGTCCATCATCCAGAATATATAAAGAACACTTAGAGTAACTCAAACGTTATGTAGTTAAATAACCCAATTGAAAATGGGCAAAGTATTTGAACAGATATTTATCCAAATGGCCAGTAAGCACATGAAAGGATGTTTATCATTAATCATTAGAGAAATACAAATCAAAACCACAATGAGATCACTTCACACCTACAATGTTGTCTGTGACCAAAGAGTAGAACGATAGCAAGTATTGGGAGAAATTGGAGCCCATACATTGCTGATGGGGATCTAAAATGGTACAGCTGCTTTGGAAAACAGTTTGGCATTTTCTCAAAAAGTTAAATGTGAAGTCATATTACCCAGCAATTCTAATTCTACTTCCAGTTGCATATCCAAGAAAACTGAAAATACGTTCACACAAAAACTTGTATGTGAAAGTTGACTGCAGCATTCTCTGTAATAGCCAGAAATTGGAAACAACCCAATGTCAATCAACTGAAGAATAGATAAAATGTGATGTATCCATATAATAGATTATTTGGCAATAAAAAGGAATGAAGTACCGATAATATGCTTCAACATGGATGACTCGTGAAAATATTATGGTAAGTAAGAGTACAGATACAAGAGACCACATATTGAATGATTCAATTTATATAAAATGCCCAGGAAAGAAAATACATAGAGGTAGATTAGTAGTTGCCAGGGACTGAAGTTAAAGGGAACTGGGGAGTGACTGACTGATAATGGGTATGTAGCTTCCTTGGGGGATGATGAAAATAGTCTGGAATTGGGGATGATCATTAGACAACTTTGTGAATATAGTAAAAACTACAATTGTCCACTTGAAAAGGGTGACGTATATGAAATAAGAAGAAATATATGTATATTGGTCTCTGTCCTCATTTCCTCAAAAAGAAATCTCCTGAATGATACAGTCGCTGGAGCATCTTTCGTTCTAATATTTGGCCTTTGATGTTTATGTGTAGCACAGAGCTCCTAAATCCCTTGGAATTTCCTGGGATTCCAAGGAGCATCTTTTGTTCTGATGAGGCGACTCTTGCTGAACTCCTGGATGGCTCCAGGATGGGGTCTGATCACCAGAAAGACCAAGCCACAGTGAAAATCTTGGAACTTTCGGCCCCACCCTCCGTCCTCCAGGAGGAGAAAAGGACCCTCCGTCCTCTGGAAATGGAGTTAATAACCGATCTTGTCTATGCAATGAAACCTCCATAAAAATCTCTAAAGTACAAGGTTTTAGGAGCCTCCACTTGGTTGAACACATCCATGTGCCAGAGGGGGGATATTCTAACCCCAAGGGACAGAAATATCTGTACTTGGGACCCCTCCAGACCTCATCCTATGCATGTCTTCATCTGGCTGTTCATCTGTATCCTTCATCATATCCTTTATAATAAACTGATGAACATGAATAAATGTTTCCTTAAGTTGTATGAGCTGTCATAGCAAATTATGAAACTAAGAAGAGGGTCATAGGAAGCCCCAACTTTTAACACAGTAGCACAGAAGTGTGAGTAACCTGGAGATCCACTACTTGAGATTGGTATCTGAACTGGAGGGTAGTCTTTGGGACTGAACCCTTAACCTGTGAGGCTTACACTAATTTCAGTGTCATCATTGAATTGCAGGATACCCAGCTGGTGTTGAAGAATTAGTTGGTATGGAAAAAATCCACACATCTAGTGTCAGAAGTCAAGTATAAGAAAAGGAGGGTTATTTTTCTTTAGTATGTGAATTGTATCTCAAAAGTTAGACATTCATTTTTTTCTATGACTCTGCAATTCCACTCTCATATGTTTACCCAAGAGAAAATACAATATACATCACAAAAAGATGTGTACAAGAATGTTCAGGTAAGCTGTGTTCCTGTCATCTAAAAACTAGAAGCAGTCCAAATGTTCATAAAGAGAGGAATGAATAAATAAATCATAGGTTATTTATACACAGTATACCATGCAGCAATAAAGATAATTAATCACAGCAGCACAAATAAATCTCAAAACCAGTAAGCTGAATGAGAGAGGACAGGCTCACAAGTACTTAATGTATACTTCTATTTTTATTAAGTTTAAGAAACAGGCAAAATTAATACACATGGTGATATAAATCAGAAGTGTTTTCTTATAGGATGTGGAGTTTCATTGGAAGAGGCATGAAGAAAACGTTTACTGTAGTTGAAATGTTCTGTATGAATTGGGATAGTAGCTACATGGACGCATACATTCATCTCAACGAATCTCAATGGATGTAAATTTTATATTATTTTTATAAGTCTCTTAGAAGACTGTGACCCACACAAGACCAGACTAAATAGTCAGAGGTTTTTTAAAAAACTATTGAGATATAATTGACATGCAATAAAGTCAACATATTTAAAGTGTACAGTTTGATAAGTTTTCGGTGGAGGAGAACTCGTGAGCAAGGACATCGAGGGGGATTTCAGAGAAAGGAAAAGACCTGAAGGAAACGAGGAGTTTACATGGGGTCATCACTGGAGACTTGTGACTATTAAATTGCATAAGCATAGAGACCCAAAGGCTACTCTGCAAGACTGTTCTAGAAGGAAAGAGAAATAAATGTTAATGACATGAACATTTTATTTTAACTCTCCCGAACTCTTAAGCTGCGAGACAGCTCAGGCCTCACAGTCTCAACTCATTGATTTTCTTATTTTTAACACAGATGCTTAGAACAACTTAATTTCCTTGTCTTCCATGTTCAGACTTTCTGTTGGTGGCAATGGTGGCAGAGTTAAGGGTGAGTTGGGAGAGGCATAACTTTTTTCCCAAATGACGAGATTTTTCAACCAACCCTAGACAATCAAAGCTGTTTGATACAAAGAGGGTCAATGAGGTCTTCAATCTACATTTCTTTCTGGACTTTCTCCCCACATCTCCTTCACTGTCCAACTCTGAATCCAATATGTTTATTATACACTACATGAAATCATGTATAATAACCACTTATGGCCTGAAAACAGTCCAGCAGCCTGGTTGCCCAGATCTCAAGGCTTACCCACAGGCCTGAGTTTTAGCTTAGACACTATTGTCCTGGGAAGAGGAACAAAGATCCCAAGGTCAGCCTTGCCCTAAGTCCATTGATGAGTCCACAGTACCTCCACCCAACATGGAATATTCTTCTAATAACAACTGTGGCTTCTGGAACTTTAACCTGTCAATGACCAAACAGATCACCTAATTCTATTTTTCTTACCTCGCCACCTCTAGTCACCAACACCAGACTAAAATCCTTGCTTTGTAGCTAGCAAAAGGCACTGCAAAATGCAAACCAACAAGAAGCATAAAACGAAGAGGGATGTGTTACTGCTCTTGGGCTTAGAATTCCACTCTCCCAGCAGCTCCACCCATCACCCCAGCCCCAAACCAACATTTATTCCAATTCTATCCAAGTAGAAGCAAAGAGGACCCTCCCTCTGGAAACTGCCTAGTTTTTGCTGAGGGACTACTCCTACCCCCGGGGAATATCCCCCTGCTCCAGTAGAAGCCATTATGAAATTAACTGGCGATAAAATCAACCACAGGGGGATTGTGGGGCATTTATCTCTTTCAAATGCCTTGTTGTTTTTGTCCATCTGGTTGCATTTAGTCCAGAGGTATAATTTTCAGTGCTGCTCTTTTCTGGTAGACCATACAATTAAGGTATTTGAAAAACAAACAGCTCTTAACCACTGCATGGTGAGGAGCTAGTTTAGCAATCTGTGACCCATTTTCCCTGAGCAAACACAGTTCTATATCCAATATAGAATGCAAGAACTGAAAGTCAGGAATTAATATTAAATGTAATAATAATCTAACCTAGTTTGGCATTCATTGATGAAAAGAAAATGGGATGTGAAAAAGGCAAAGAGAAGAAGCTATTAAATTGTACTCGTTCCTCTCCTCATTATTAAGATTTTCTTTAGGGCTTTCACAATTTGTGTGTACATATATATATGTGTGTGTGTGTGTGTGTGTGTGTGTGTGTATGTGTGTGTGTATATATATACATATATATATATATTTGAAACTCACAGAAAAGGAAGGTTCAATGAGGTAGGCTTACACAGCAAATTTGTTGGTGTCAGAGAAAGAGTGTCTTGGTCCCATTCAAAAGAAGGACGGCACTGGGTGCAGTGGCTCATGCCTGTAATCCTAGCACTTTTGGAGGGTGAGGCGGGCAAATCACTTGAGGCCAGGAGTTCCCATACCAGCCTGGCCAACATGGTGAAACCCCGTCTCTACTAAAAATACAAAAATTAGCAGGGTGCGGTGGCACGTACCTGTAATCCCAGCTACTTGGGAGACTGAAGCACAAGAACTGCTTGAGCCTGGGAGGCAGAGGTTTCAGTGAGCCGAGATCAAACCACTACACTCTAGCCTGGGCGACAGAGTGAGACTCAGTTTCAAAAAAAAAAAAAAAAAATTCATGGTTGTCAATTTCCATGCATGAACATGTAATGTAAGTGGATATGTCTCCATTAAGTGTGCAGAATCATTGATCCTGTGGTCACCCCTGTGGCCTGGTGCTTCTACCTGGGTCATGAGACAAATTTTTCTTTAAATCATGCATTCACCCAAATAAATGCCAAATTTCAATCTCATATGGAAAGCTCTCTCTCTCTCTCTATATATATATGTACTATACACATATATATTTCCTTGGGTGCTATGGCTCAAACTATTTTTCAAAACCTTCCACTAGAGTTAAAAAATGAGTATGTGTGTGCACACATGCACACACACACAGACACACTTTGTTTTTCTCAAAAGTGCCACTCACAGCTCGGTCATTAATATTACTCATCAACTTTGGTTCTTCATGACTTTTTCCGCTCCAAAATCAAATCTCACCCAAAGGAGAGGAAGATATTTCACCAATAAAGAAATTCAAAGGAATTAGCTTCAGATTTTGAAGGCCCTTTGCAAAATAAGAGTCTCTAGAGATGTTTTAAGCTTTGTTTATGTTCTCTGGGGAAAGAGCTCCAAGAATTCCAAATCAGAATTTAGACATGGAAGAAGTCGCAAGGATCTTGTAGAGTCCATCTTTATGCAGTGGTCACTTCCTCAAGGAAATTCCCTACATTCTCTCAGTCCTGTCCTGACTTGCCCTGGAAAGAACCCATCATTCTTTTTTTTTTTTTTTTTTTTGAGATGGAGTACTGCTCTGTCACCCAGGCTGGAGTGCAGTGACGCAGTTTCGGCTCACTGCAACCTGTACCTCCCAAAGAACCCATCATTCTGATTCCGCCTTCGAGTCAACGAGGACAAATGGGTCTCCTGACTCCTCCTCTTCATAGAGAGGTATGCAGTGTTGGCTCTTGACAGCAATACATCCTCCACACTAGGAAGGCATATGGGCAGACTGGGCATTCCACTTCTGAAGGCCAAAAATTGTGATATGTGCAGATTCCTAGTCCTGGCTCGAGTGTTCAGAGGAGGGACTGTGTTATGTTGGGCTTGTTTTCCTCCATTGCATGGATTGCATTTGGAGAATCCAGACAATAGTGATAAATGAGACAATCCTTTTAGAGAGTGGGAATTTGTAGGAAAAAAGGCATTGCAAGCTTAAACATGTGATATCTTTGTTCTCTAACCTCTGATTAACTTCTCTCTTTCTATCTCTCTCTCTCTTCTCTGTCTCTCTCTGCATTCATTCATTTTCCATATAGAATAAAGGCATTAAGCAAAAATGTACTGGGTACTGGGCTCTGTGCAAGGAATACCAAGATGAGAATGGACCCTCCCTACCCTCAAGGGGCCCAGGCTCTAGTCTCTCTTTTTGGCTTCGACTTGCATCCCCGATTTCTATTTGTACTACACATGCCATGAGGAATCAGATATAAACATTTACCTAGAAAAGGGATCTGGGAGAACCTAATAATTTAGCTTCTGTTTTCCAAAGGATATTATCTTGAAGAAGAAATCAAACCAGAATAATTACAGCAGAGAGAATCAGATCTGGTTGAAAATAACAACAACAACGCTGAATTTGTTAAACATCAAAACTTCACATGGAAGCAGAATCACCTTTCTCCCCAAGAACCAGAGCGCCTTCCCCTCCCCTTCCATCTCAGTGAGTTATGGTTAAAGAGATGCACCACAGAATGGCATAAGGAGCCCCTGGAGTTTTCCATTTGACAGTTTTCCACACTTTGCTCATCTTTCTCGCTCACCAGCAATAGCTGCCCTTCCTCTCTCTGAGTAAACAGACAGTTCCAGAGTCCCCTCCTCACTCTTCTAGCCACATGTATAGCTGAGCTCCTCACAACCCTCTGCCAGCTGCTGAGTGAAGTCACAAAGTATTTTGGTCCCAATGACAGAGGTGCAAATGGCAGCTCTCACCTAACTCAGATGAGATCACGCATGGGAATGCTCTTTGCAAATTATTGAACCAAGATTAGACAAATGCAAGAGGTGGCTGCTTTACAACTCTGAATCTCAGTGCTCCATGTGCACAGCATGCATGCCATTGGAAAGGATCACTTCTCCTGCCCACAGTGCGGTCTGTTTGACAAGATTCCCATTTCCTACATCTGTCTCCAGTGCAGTGAATTGAATATAAGAGTTCAGGATACAAAGACAGACATGACTATTTCCTGATCACTGCCTATTGTAAAATGTAAAGATTTGCCCCCTGCTCCTGTGAAGGCATTAGGTGTCACTAAGGATGAGAACAGCAAGCCTTCACATGAGTCCTCTCTGATGACTGAGTTCATTTACTTTGGGAATTTCTACAGGTCATCCCACAAGCTATGTCTACAATGACTATGTAAAGGGAGCATTTAAGCATAAAATGGTATAATTCCTGAGAAACTGAAAAATGAGAAAAATTTGTTATTTGGTTCTGCTAATTCACCAGAATTCTGCTTGCTTTGGCCTGCATAGATACAGGCTTAGAATACCCAACACCAAATAGTCCTCTTGTCTCTAGTCTTTTCCTGAGCTAATCAGTCCTCTACTTCATTAAGCAAATAAAGGCAAATAAGATCACCCACTCCCCTGCTTAAAACTTTTCTCAGTTTCCTATTGTCTAAGCTCAAATCCCAACCACTTACTCAGAGCACAGACCCTCCATCCTGTGATCCCACCATTCCTGCTCCCCAGCCCCAGTGCTTCCCAGCACTCACCTCCCACTCCCTCTCACATGCTCAATCACTTATATATATCTCCTGTGGCTCCTCCAACACTCAGTCTCTGGGCATTTTCTGACTTCCCACTTCCAGTGTAAGCTATACACCTCTTCATTGTTTCCTCCTGTAAAACTCCTATTCATCCTCCAAAACCCAATCAAGACACCACCCATTCTGTAGCTCCTTCCCTCATCACACCTGATCTTTCCCATCTCTCTATTTTCTATTTTCCTTAAATGACTCTATCACTTGGTTTGACCTATGTAATTAAAACATGATAACTTCGTAACTAAATCATGAGCTCTGATGCCAGACTGAAGCCAAATTTGAATCCTGCCTCGGCTGTTTTATTCAGAGTTACTTAATTAACATTGTAGATATGTGAAGACATTTTCTTCTAAGATATGAAGATCCTGTAGATGAAGCTACAGTTCTCTGTGGTCCATCCCTCTCCACACTTGGCTCTAGACACAACTGCTGTGAATATGTGCTTTGAATTTTTCTGGAGACATTTCTGTGCCTTACATTTATGAAAATGTATACAGAGAACATGTGTGTCAGGGAGGTGGATAGTTTTGTGTTTTAAATAAGTTATACAATACCGTATGTATTGCTCTATACATTTTTTTAAGAATTTGTCTTCTCCATCTCTTTGTAAAGCTCTGCCTCAGTAAAAAGAAAAAGCTACATTATACTCTCTCATATGGATGTTCCGTTATTTATTTGGCATTGGCCCTATTGATGGCTTTTACGCTGTTTCAAATTTTGACTGGTGTAAATGTACTGACACGTGGCTCCTGTGTGCTCATATGAGTTTATCTTGAGAAAGACACTGAGACATGAAATGGGGTGAGAAGATATCCGTATTTTAAATTTTCATTGATATTGTGGAATGTCTTCCCAAATTTCTGCACCAATTTCGAATGCGTCCTCTCCTGTTAGGAAGGTGCTCAATCCCCACAACCTGTCAGTTGTTTCTCGCTGGTCCAGGTTTCCCAAATTCTGAACTGGCAGGAGCCACTGGTTATGACTCTCCTCTCATGTGGCGTCTGTTATTTGGTTCCACTAATTCACCAGACATTTACTGACTGACATGCTATCGGGACAGCCCAGGAGGGGGTGGTGTTCATGCGTGACCCCACCGACTCAGTCTATTTCAGAAAGCCATCCTGAGACAAAGGCAGTCAATGGCCTCCCACCTGTGTTTAACTAGTTGGTCCAAATTGACATTAACTTCCATGAGCCTGTTGAGCCATTCTCTGGACAAGCAAATAGCAATTTATTTGAGGTGGATTTATTGCTCCTCTGTCAAGGGCTTGGGGTGACGCTAGCTGCTGTGTGTTTTAGATGTGAATTAAACCTTTATTCTTTGCCTCCAGGAAGTTTGTGACTAGGTTAGGAAGGAAAGGGCTAATTACAAGCATAAGCCGTGTAATAAGGCAAGGCTGTGGTTGATTAAGTGCTGATTGGGTACTAGCAACTCCAAGGGTATAGCAAGGAGAAAAGAGAGCTCTTTGAGGACAGACCGATCCGGAAAGTTTCAAGGAGCAGATAATTGATTTGGGCCCAAACTCATGTGAGAGCTTTTGGTGGGGAAATAAAAAGGGCATTGAAGATCAGGAGAGTTACTTACAGTCTGATTTACAGTCGGGCATGCGGGAGGAGGGAGAGGCTGGCTGCAATGTGGAGTCTGAGCAGAAGAGCTGGGAGAAGTAAGGTTGGATAGGTGGAGTGAGATTAGGCGGGGCAGGAGCATCTTGATAGTAAGTGATTGTCTGCGTCATGTTTTCATTACTTCAGCAAGAATTGAAGACATCAGTTTCCATCACCAGTAGCTCCTGATTTCTGGTGCCATGATAGAATGTTGTCCAAAGAGTAGAGGTGACAACAAGGGGGCAATAGGAAGGCACGTTCAACTGGCCTTCGAAAATATATTGTGAACATGATTAGAAGCAGCCGTGGGAAGTGTTAATGACAGAAGCAAAGACACTTCTGGGAATGAGATAATGAGAAAATTAGATGGCTTTTAAGTAGGGCCACTAAGAGATGCCCTAAAATGACATCAGCTTATAGCCCAGACCTGCTCTGGAAACCTGCGCTGGGTTTATTCCTGTTGATAAATGCTTTTCTAGGCCTGTTCATTATCTCTTTCTCTCTCTCTCTCTTCTCTTCTCCCTTTCTCTCTCACTCACTCACCCTCTCTTACTTGCAGGCTGAGAAAGGATGGGATAGGTTTCCCTCATTTCATGGGATATAAAACATACACATAAATCTCTGTCAACAGGACATGATAGGTACCTACAGTGAGACAACAGGTAGTGGGAAATGCACATCTTTCTAAAATTTGGGTGTGTTACATTTTTATTCCATTCCTTAGGTAGGGATAATCAGATATTTCCAGAAGACACTAAGTAGAATATGGCCTCACTAATCAATTCTCTCCTTCTCCAAAAAAACAGCATGAATGGTGATGGGATAGTTTTCAACAAAAGAATAGCGCCTGTAGCAGTTATGTTCTCACAGCTTTACACTGGAGTCCTGTCATGCACATGAAGGGCTTGCTAGAGAACAGCTTTGATTTGCTTTCTGGTACATGCTTAAAACTTCTGTGTTAAGCAAATCTTAGCCAGAACAGCCCACTTACATTTCAATGTGGAATTTGTACATACATATTGCTCGTCTGTCACAGGCTTGGGGGTGATGTTATATGTGTGTGTGTGTATATATATTATATATACACTCCATGTTGCTAATATATATAATATATAATTATATATATTATATATTATATTATTATATATTATATATTTTATATTATTTTATATATTTTTTATATTTTATATATATTTTTTATATTTTATATATATTTTTATATATTATATATAATATATTTTTATATATAATATATAATATATTTTTATATATTATATATAATATATTTTTATATATTATATAGTTTATATTTTTATATATTATATATAATATATTTTTATATATTATATAGTTTATATTTTGATATATATTTTATATTTTTATATATATTTTATATATATTATATATATTTTATATATAATATTGCTAATATATGTAATATATAATATAATATATATTATATATTATGTTATATTATATATAATATATAATATATAACATATAATATATAAAATATATTGTTATATTATATATAATATATAATATATAACATATAATATATATATTATATATAACAAATATGTATTATATGTTATACATAATATATAATATAGTATATATTATATATATTTATATTATATATTTATATATAATATATTATATATTTATATAAATATATATTATATATTTATATATAATATATATTATATATTAGCATATATATATTAGCATATATATAATATATATTACATATATTAGCATATATATAAAATATATTACATATATTAGCATATATATAATATATATTATAAATATTAGCAACATGGAGTGAGGTTATGGCACAAATGGACTTCAGCTCATAAAATCACTTACCCATTGATTTGAGCCTGGCCTGTCTTCACCGTGGCTGCCATGGTCCTGATTCTTGAATGTCTAACTTTCCTTGAGGAACCTCAGTCTCCCTAAATGGGCTACAGGAAGTGTTTTCCCAAGGAACTAGTGGCACAAGTAAAGCAAATATGATAAGTCATTCTGTACAAATGTTGATTTCCTTCAAAGGAAACTCCATGGCTCTCCCACAACTGTGCCTCTTCCGCTCCCTAAGCTCAGATCTGAGCACGATAACAATGGTCCACAGTACATTTGTCAAACTCTGGCTTATTCGGTCTTAAATAATACCAGCTCTGGGCCAGGTTGAAGGCCTCTCTTACCACCTTCCTATCATGGTATTTTCTCCAGCATGAAATGAAGATGTTCATCTCATCATCTCCCTACTAGTAGTTCGTATCACTACTGCAGTTGTTTAGCCTCCTGTGAGAAACTGCTTAGAAAGAAGGATCTATATTTCACCCAAAATGAACAGCAACTTTCTGGATATTGAAGTTGGGACAAATGAATTTCCTAATGTCCAATATCCAGAAAGCTACTATTTAACAATATATCCAACTTAAATTACTGAACAAAAATTTTTAACATTGGTTGGAAGCATCAGCATTGTGACACTTTGCTGGCTTAGGAGGTAGCTATTCTGGAATAGGAGGTAGGTACTCTCCCAATGTCTGACAAATTAAGTCTTACAAAATGTGTTTCTGCTAAAACAAATGAGGAAAGGCATTATGGACCCACAACCAAATTCCATTATCCATTCTAGAATCCAAACTCTGCTTACAACCCCCCAAATTGCAGCTTTCTAATTTTAAAATTTTTCATATCCAGACTTCATCAAGCCCCCTTACTCCATAATTTTCTCTGGCAGACCTCAAAATTGAGTATAATATAAGATAATCAAGAGAGTAGACACAATGCTTCGGGTAATTAGAGGAAGCCAAGAGACCTGCAGCTGGAGGGCTAGGATGACTGGGAATTGCTCATAGAGTTGGGTGAGAATTCTGAAATCCCTTCTGCCTGACTCCCCTCTCCATAAGCAAGGGAATCCAATCAGCGTAGGTATCAGTTGGTTTCCAGGCAGTGAAGTAGAAATAGAGACATGGAATTATATAATAACTCTGTTGATTCAAAAGTGAGGGTGAGACCCAGCTGAGACCACCAATGGGCAATTATGCTTGTTTCTGTGCATCTGCCCCTGGATGTATGCAGGCACATGTCTTTGGACTCTGGTGAGCACAGGCTTTCTACTGAAGAACAAGTTGAGGCAGTATATTCACCCCAGCTGGAAAGCACAGAAGCCAGGCTGGCTGTGGTGAGGGGTGTGGAGTTGTGGCAGAAGTACCTGGTCTCCCAATTTCCACATGCACAAATGGTACTAAAAGAAAACCAGGAAGTACCACCAGTAGAATTGTCACACAGCTTCCCAAAGAGTCAATCAGCACTTGACTGTGAATCTCATCCCAGCTGAGATGAATCCAAGGTGTCAGAAACACCAAGAGGCCATCAACCTACGTGAGTTAGAATGACCTTCCTTAAAGATTTGAGGAATTAAAGAGCTGTGAGAGTGATTACAGACAACGTAGAGGTTTTACAGGTCTTACAAGTTTTGTAATTCAACCAGTTTCTCCTCTCTGGACCTCTGTGCCTGCCACGTTTCTGTCTTTCGCCTGCATCCTGGGTAATATCATGCACACTCTTTTAGGGGGCACTGTATCATAACTCCTAATCTGCCAGGCGGAAGGACAGAGAAATATTTCTGATGGTTCCCCAGAGTGCAATTGATCATAAAATACATTCAGTCCTATCTTCTCTAACCAGTAATGTACTGCATTTTCAATCCAGATATAGCAGAACTTGTCATGGATGAAGGAAGAATAAAAATGAGCCTTAATTCAGCCTAAATAGTTCATTGGCAAAAAGTAGAGGAAGCAGCAGTGTGATAAAAGGGTAGTAAAAAGAGGAAAAGGTTGTCACATTGTAGCTTACTCATCACTTTGAACCAGCCCAATGAGAAGATGCTGGCAGGCTGACATGGAGCATCCTTATGTGCCGTGGTGGCAGCAGGGCCCAGGCTGCTGGCAATGACAGCAGTACCAGCAGCTGTCACCCTCTGGACAAGCTATGCGCCAAGAGAGCTGGTTGACATGGAGGTGAAGAGACTCACTCTGTCCTAGCCCGGACTTCATAGCACAGATGCTTCCTGGGCCATGTAGCCCACAGGTCCCCTCAGTCCTACTGAGTAAATGGTGGAGAGGGAGGAACTTTTTTCTTATAATTGAAGGATTAATGCCAAGGGCTTTCCCTTCAAAGCAGAGGGTTGACGATGGGGATGAGGGATTATAACTCCGTACCTAATATGATTGGTTAGACCGAAAATATTCAGAAAGATCAGACAAGGACAATCTTCAGCTGATGCCACCAGGTTAAAGCTAAGGACAAGCCACCCAGCTCGACGAGACTGTCGAAAGGAAAGCATCCTAAACTGGCAGGCAGAATGTTAATGAGAAAAGAGAAAAGAGTTAGTTTAAGGGAAACAGTCACACATAAATACCACTCATATGTGTGGACGAAGCCTGATAATTCTTACTGTTGAAAAAAAAATACACATTCTAAAAAGGAGTACAAGGTTAAGAAAAAACATCATAGAAAAAAGAAGCAGAAGAATGTAGTGGACTGGAACTCCAAATGTCCTGCTGAAATATCCAGCAGGATAAAAGGAGAGGAAACTGAAGCTTAGGCTAGGAAGACACAGTGACTGCCAGAATCAATGCGGTGTTTCTCCTGTCCCTCTCCACTTCTGTGGCTGACGGCCATTTGTCTATCAGCCTTCCTGCATCCTATTGGTGGTGAGCTCTCTGTCAGAATCCCTGAACGGAAAGCCTTGGGGGAATTGAAAGCCATTCTCACTTGGCCAGTTGGACAGTGGTAGTTAGTTCATACCTTTTCTCATCAGATTTTGAACATCTGGCCACTGTTGCATCCAGTGAACACCACACTCCTGGTAGATTAAAGAGAAGCTGCCATGGCCTTCAGCTTGCAGTGACTACAATGCAGCATTAGAGTAAGATGAATACCTAACTGGGAGAGGCAAGAGGAAAAAACATGAAGATACAAAGACAGGAAGTCATGTGGCCAATCTCAGTGGTCAGGTGACGCCATGCAGTGAGCAAAGGAACAGATTACACTGAAAAGTAATTTGGGAGAATCCACCACACTTGGTAATAAGGCAGCCATCCCCAAAGCAAGAGGTCAGTTTTGCAGCCACTTCATGCCAATTCCATCATCAGTTCCCTAGAACATAAAACCTACAATTCTTTTAGCCCCCTTTCTGTTGAGCAAAAGCACAATTGGTATTGGGATAACACAGAGCATTATTCCAACCTAAACAAACTTGGAAGATTCTAATTTTCACTGTTGTCCACAAAGAGGTGAGAATCAAAGAAAAAATAGTAACTAACACTATTCAGCCAAGGAATGCCAAGGATTTCCCACAACCCTAGGAAGAGACAAGGCAGGATCCTCCCCTAGAGTGTTGAGAGAGAGCATGGCCCTGACAACACCTTGATTTTGAATTCCCAGAGTTCAGAACTGTGAATGAATACATTTCTGTTTTATTTAGACCTCCCAGTCTAAATCTGGGGCAGCCCTTGGAAACCAATACAAACCCTTCTTCCCCTGCTGCTTGTGGAAATCTCCCAGAAAATGGGGCTGATGCTGGCACCCTCCCGGGAGAAGCACCACAGAAGACTGCAGGTGAATGTGATGAAGAGTGAATGGCGCATAGGCTGGGAGGAAAAAACCTTCTGGAATGTCCATCCTCAGCAAGACACTCGGGCCAGTCTGTGTTTTATGAACCCTGAAATTCCCCATAAAACCTGTACTGCTGATGGGCTAGCCCCTGCTCAGCAAATTAGGAAAGGAAAGACAAGGGTAGATAGAATTAACATTCACTGAGAAATTATTGTATGCCAGAACACTGAGAGCTGTTCTGAGTGCTTCACACGTAATATCCCATCAAATCCCCCAGTAACTCCTATGGTGGGAATGATTAATAGCCCTACTTTACAGATGAAGAAGGTGTCTCAAAGAAGCTATGTAACTTGCATGAGGTCACTCAGCTAATAAGTCATAGAACCAGGATTTGACCCCAGGCAGTCTCTGAATGATTATTACAAGTTCAGAGACTGGGGGATTTAGAAGCTTCCCAATCCAGTTTTGTGTCCAATTAGGAATAAGAATAGCCTCTGTTGGGTCCTGGGAAGATGGCTGTCTAATCCCAATCACAGGGAGCTCACTGCCTCACCTGGTTGTCCTTCTGCCAATGGAAGGATCTGAGCTAGAGATTTTAACTCAAATGCCTTAAGGAGTCCAGCAAAGAATGTTAGGGAGGGAGGTAAGCAGGATGGCTTGTGGCCTGGAGAGTACAGGCCATCTGGATGTGTTGATGATGGAATAAACAAAGAAACAGACACTGGGGGAGACAAATTCAGCCCCTGAATTGGCCTGGGGGTCAGGCTGTCTGACTGAAGCAAGAGCCCTGCACAGGATCCAGAGCTGTGCTAAAAACCCCTAACAGGCTATGCTATTGGGACCAAGACAATATCAGATGGGGGTAGTCAGGAAGTCCAGAGGGGCCTCAGGAAAACAGAAAAAAAGGAAGGATGGATGGGACGAGGGAAGGAGGGGAATGAAGAGATTATGCTGAGTCCCAATCTCTGATCATTTTGGTTTAGGGCAGTTCTTTGTTTTTGATTTGTTTTTTTTCTTCCCCATGCTTGCTTGTTTATCCTCCAAACATTGAGGTATATAATGTGTGGCTATTTTAGGAGAATTTCCTGGCAGAATGTCCATGCTCTTGTTTCTGGAAGTTAAACCAACCGAAGTGGTTTGAGGATAGAGTAGGTAAGGTCATATGCAGAAACGTGGAGAGAGGCGGAGGGATTGTGTTGCCTGAAGTGGTATTCTCTAGGGCAGGAGGGTAGGGGAAGAGTGGGATCTGGGGGTCCTAAAAGCAGAGAGGAGAGGCTGAAGGGACCACCTCTGCCATGAGAGGATGGGCAGCCCACCAAGGCCCACGGGCACCTCTTTAAGCAGCTGGTCGTCTGTGAGACTCTGAAAATTTAGCTCAGTCCTAGAGTGCAGGTTGGCGGTAAACAATAAGATTAGATATCCTGGCATCTCAGGATCAGAATTGAAGCTGGTTTAATTTGTGGAAACTAGAGATGCAATATTTCTTTCATACATGAGCCTGTACGTGGAGGGTGAAACCCACAAAACAGAGTAATGAGTCCAGATTTGCAGCCAGTGGAAACTTCCATTTGGAACCATGCTTGATCACGAGGAGCATAGTTTACTTGGATATTGCAGAAAGACCATCCTGTGTCATGGAGAGAGGGTGCCAGGCACCACAGAGACTATTCAACACCATCTTTGTGCCCTTTGAAACCTGCCTACCTGAGCCAGGCCAGCTGCAGTCCCTTGATTCCCTGTGAGCCCTTAAGACTGTGGACACCTTCTCCACTAGGGCGAGGCCGAGGACCCTCTTCATCAAACCCATGTTTTACTATATGGAGTCAGCAACAGAAACTTCATTTCATTTTATTTGGAAACTGCTGATCAGGGTGACGAGAGCTCTCACAAGGAGGCTAGGAAAGTCTGTTCTGAAGGGGTAGAATATAGGAATGAGCACTGTGCCTCTGGATGGTATGTATTGGACATATTTCACGGACACCAGCTTTACTGAATACACAGGTGTGAAATAAGCTTTAAGGAATCATGGATTCATAACCTAACCTTTGTTTTATCCTTTGCTTTGTAGCTAAATGAAGAGAAATGCAGTCTCTGCTATCCTCAAGGAAGGGAAGAGGGAATTTTGAGCAACTGGCAACATCTAACTTTATTGGTCTGTAAATTCATCTACTCCCCTGGAATCATGTAATCACTTCATTCAGTATATAAAGAAATTAGATATGGGGCTGATTTTTAGAAAGAGAAGGGTGACAGCAATAAAAATTTTTGTACAGAAAACACAAATTTATCAAGGAATGCAGTGAGGACAGCCTTTGTAGGGGATTATTTGAGTATTTGACTTACTCTATATTTTCCAGAAACCTTCTTTTTCTGGTAATTCAAGTGGATCCCACCCTGGCCCCTGAAGAAAGTTAAGGAGAATAAAGCATGCTCATCCCCCACTCCCTTCATGGAGGGTGGCTTGGAATTTGATGGGTGATTTCACAGGTAGGGTCGCCCACAGTGTTCTTTAGAAACTAAGCACCAGCATGCATTCCTTTGTCACTAGTGAAGCTATTAAATTATCATTGAAATAGTCAACTCCTTCTTCATTCTCAAAATCCCAAATTCCCTTTCACTGAAGTTGTGTTACTATTCTTTTCCTTTAATCCGTTGAAGACTAGCACTGATCTGGGTCCAAAGGAGAACAAAATAAGAATCACCCCGTGGTCTTTGGTTGAGCGGAAGAAGTGCTAGGAAAAATGCCTGGATTCTGGAGTCTGCTCTGCCACTACGCTAATCCCTGCACTGGTGAAGTAAGAGGTCAGAAGTCCACCTCTGATATTCAGTGATTCCACAGTTGCACACAGCACCATTCTTGTGACCAAGCCTGGCCTCTTGTGTTAAGACATCCCGCACCCTTCCCAAACTCCTGCCCACACCAACGGATACAGAAGAACCAAAAAAAAGGGACCCATAGCCAGGCAGCAGTCCACTTAGACAGATTAATAACAATACTTCTTAGGGAGGGCATGGTCAATCACCCCTGTGGAATAGATTTTCCAGACCCACGCTTCCTGTGAGAAGGGTTTAATTTTCCTAGTGGGGGGAAGGAACAATCCCTAATTCCCAGAGCAAACCCTTCATGAAACACAATCTAGGCCCAGCAGCAAGCCCTCATAAGGCCCAAACCAAAAGATGCCCAGCCATCAAAACGAGAGGAAATTATACAGGCAAAAATATATTTTTTAACTACTATTGATGCCTGTCATAAAGATTCAGTTGATTGTCATGGCTTATCCTATGTGCTCCAGAGAGCAAATACCACAAGAGCCAAAATCCATGATTTCTGTCAACCACCAAGCGCCAGTTGCAAACCAAGGCACCCAGTTCAGCATGACTGCTCCGCAGAGTGGGCCACTGCTCCCAGGGGTGTATTTGGGTCTGGACCAGGAGTCTGAGTGTGGTAAGTGGGCAGCTGGTTGGTTTGTTTGGCTCCCATTCAGATTCAACACCATGAGCTCCTCCCAAAAGTATGCACGTCGTTGTGATTGGACTCAGCAAGTCTAATTTTCAGTTTTCTGCTGTAATGAGGAAGGTTCTGATTTAGATCAGAGGTCTGGGGTTGTATGTTAGACAGTTTTCTAAATCTCTGGGAAGTAGCCTGGTAGCTGCCATGGAATAGATGCTCTATGACTTGTGACGTGAATACACAAGTATCATTGGTTACATATGTCTCCCGACACACACACACACACACACACACACACTGCCCTCCATCTTACTTAGGACTGGCTCTGATTTGTATTAAAAGCAAAGCACAAAATGGCAGCACCACACAAGAACACACAGTAAAACAACTGTAGTATAACCCCCTGCCCACCCACCTTTCCCAGGAACAGGAGCTTCACCCTCTGGTGAAGGGAGAAAAGGCTTTGTAAAACTAATCTCATTTCCCGCTTGGTCTTTCTTCTAGTTAAAACTTGGACTCTGGGAATATTCTCATTAGGAGGTATCCTTAGCCCCAAGAGGTTAAGTGAGGGCCAGGAGAAAGAGACACAGGTGTGGCAGATTAAGAGCTAGAGCAGAACCTATCCTAAAATAAAAGGATCAAAGAGAAGTGAGAAACCTTCAAGACCTCAGTGCTGTCCAGCCCAGTCTACATGATTTGGGACATAATTCTGCTCATCGAGGGGTGGCATTTTGCTGGAAAGTCCCCTAGGTGTCTCATCTCAGGAGCCCAGCATTGCAGGAGGTAAGAGGACACAGTGCCAGGTGCAAGAGAGTTGAGAGAGAAACTCTATCAGAGTGTAAGGGAGTGTATGAAACTCACACAGGTATTCCCAGCATTCTGAAGGAAAGAAGTGCTGTGAGTCTTACGAAAACCTTGGCATTCACAGGTGCTAATACACAGTGGGAAGAAGACTTTTTAAACAAGATGATCATTGTCCCAGTCTTCTTGGGACCATTCCAGTTTCTACTTATTGTCCTGATGTATTATCCTGTTTAGCATTTGTTTGGGATTTCCCATTTTTTAACAAAGTACCAACCTTCATAGTTATAAAAAATTAAGCCAGAAGGGTTGAATTCCATTGTGTACTCCAGCTTCCTTCATGGTCATCGAATAGTGTGTGAGACACTTTTAATACGTGATTACGTTTGAAAGTGACCAGCAATAGCTCATTTCTATTTTCCCAACTTTCCACATGCAACATAGCAAGTATCTCCCTTTCAACGAGAATACACAGAGTGCCCTCTGATAAAATAAAAGGCTTGGATGTGAGCAGGAGAGGGCAGGTAACTTCCTCAGGTCTCAGGTAGTGGTGGCAGAAGGATTCAGTGGTGGTATCCATGCCCGTTGCTTGGAGTGCCATCAATTTTCTGTGATCTGGGTCATGTACTATAGTAGGCTGCCAGGCAACCAGCTGCTGGGGGCCAATAAGAAATGTGGGAAATTTTAGACTATGTATATATGAGGCATTTGGAGGAAAGAGCCTAGTTCTGCCTTGAAGTGTGGGCTGCACTTAGTGTCTGTCCTCCAAAAGTAGAGTATGGGAAGGGGGTCGGGGAGAAGGATAACTTTATAGCAGACGATCATGGCAAACACTAATCAAGTGACCAAGGTGAACATCACCAGTGTTGTCATGTTGATAGCATATACCCCAGATTTGACATGCCGAAAAGGCACTTCACTTCTATGGAATTCTTCCCCCAAATTTACAACCCCAGTCTCACCATCAGAAATATATCAGGCAAACTCAAATTGAGGGACATTCTACACAATATTTGACCAGTATTCCCAAAACTTTCAGGGTCATGAAAAATAAGGAAAGATTGAGAAATTGTCATAGTCTAGGGGAAGCTAAGAAAACATGACAACTGAATGTAACTGGTATCCTATAATGGAAGGTAGACATTAGTAGAAAAAGTAGTCAAATCTAAATAAAAGAATATGGACTCCTAATAAAGCATAGAGTTCAGTTAATAGTAATGTTGGTTTCTGAGTTGTGGGCATGTGTACCATGGTAATGTTAAGATATTAATAATGGGTAAACAGTGAGGGATATTTGGGAATACCTCATGTACTATCTTTGTAACTTTTTTTCAAATCTAAAATTAGTATAAAATAAGGTCATTAAACATTTTTTGTATCTGTAGTTATTAAATATCTGTAGTATCTGCAGCAGAAAAATTTCAGAAATATTTTAATACACATTTTAATGAACAGAAAAAATTCAACTGCACATTTTGGTAATAAAGTTATATTTACTACAGAACAATAATTCACCATGGCAGGATACACACTTGCTCTTTTCTGCTCCTCATGGGTCGGATTTGTTGAAGAATTACTTTTTAAGTCAACTTAAGGGCCATTAAATTAAGAGTATTTAACATTTTTTAAACAAGTTCTCTAAATTTTGTTTGTTGTTGACTCAAAATAGATTGGAAATTTTTTATTAAAGAACTCAATGAATAGAAAGCCCAATTTATCAGTGTTTGGAAATTTTTTAAATTTGCATTTATTTTATTTTAGATTCAGGGGATACATGTGCAGGTTTGTTACATGGGTACATTGCATAGTGCTTAGTATTATGCTTCTAATGATCCTGTCATCCAAGTAGTTATCATAGTACCCAAGATAGTTTTCCAACGCTCAACCCCTCCCCTTTTTTGGAATCCCCAGTGTTTATTGTTCCCATCTTTGTGCCCATGTGTACCCAATGTTTAGCTCTCACTTCTAAGTGAGAACACGTGGTATTTGGTTTTCTATTTCTGTGCTAATTCCCTTAGGATAGTACCCTCCAGTCCCAACCATGTTGCTGTAAAGGACATGATTTCATTCTTTTTTATGGCTGTGTAGTATTCCATGATGTATATGCACCACATTTTCTTTACGTAGTGCACATTTTCTTTATGTGCCACCATTGAGGGGCACCTTGGTTGATTCCATGTTTTTGCTATTGAGAATAGTACTGTGAACATACGCATGCAGGTGTCTTTTTGTAGAATTATTTATTTTCTTTTGGGTATATGCCCAGTAATGAGATTGCTAGGTCAAATGGTAATTCTACTTTTAGTTATTTGAGAAATCTCCAGTGTTTGAAATTTTCACTGACTATCTGTTGTTGATAACAAAGATTGCAAACAGGAAGATGTTGAAATGTATCCCTTTAAAATAAGAGAACTGGACAAATAATGAGAGAGAGAGAGAGGAGATAATTATTTCTTGTTTATCTAAAATTCAAATTTAATTGGGCTTCCTGTGTCTTTATCTGCTAAATCTGGCAACCCTCATTACAGAAAGAAGCCTGTGTTCCAGCCCAGCTCATTTACTCAATAAACTTTTGTTAGCCTTGCTCTATTAGGTCCTGGGGGTAAAAACATTAAAAGACATAAACTTATCACTGAGGAACTCCTTACTGTCTTACTGCCTTACTGTGAGGTCTTGGAGAAGTTACTTAACTTCTCTGAAATCTATGCCTTCATCTATAACATGGGGATCATTTCAGTCCTACGCCAATTCAATGCACAAATGGAGCTCTGAGTGTGAAGGAATTTTGGTAAAGTCTAAGTTGTTATACAAAACCTATGTTTTAATCACTCTATTAAGCACCTTTGGAAACACTGAAACCAGGGAAGATTTGTGGGCTATGTCTCTTACTTCTGTACTAATAAATTCAATATTTTTGCCAAACTGCCCTACTCTAGGCAGCCAGCCTCCTCTTCATTCTCCTTCCTGAAGTTGCTCTCCCTATCTGAACCCCCTCCCTAGAAAGAGGCATGAGAGATTCAAAGCCATTGGTGGCAGCAGCTTGCACAGTCAGACCCACAGAGACAAGCAAACTCCTCCTTTGTGGAAGCACAAGTTCTCTGATGGGGAGAATTATAGGAACAGGTGGAATAGCATGATTACGTCTGTGATCCTCTCTAATGTCTCCCTTAGGGAGCCCTGAACTGCTCACTCCACATAGCTCAGGTGGTGCTGACATCTTGAGTTAGTATCCCAAGGCCGAAATGACCCCTCAAAGTCGTTGCATGTAAGCTCCAGATGGGACTGTGACAAAACATTGCAACAATCATGGTGGAAACGTGTCCTAATGTCTCTAGGGAGAGACAGACTCATGCACCCCCCCATCACCACCTCCACTCCCCTCCTTCTACCATGATGCTGATGAAGTCCTAGCTCTGCTAGTCAGAAGTTAGATGCTGACAACATTCTACTCCCAAAGAATTCAAAGTCCAGCTGGGGAGGTGGAACCCATGCTATGCTACCTAGTATTGTTTTTTGCTTTAATTATTTTTATGTACGCATGGCAACTGGCAAGTCGATCATTGCCTGACTTAGAAATCTAGGATGATGATTCTGATAGAAAGAAAAAAAAAACACCTGAAATTTTCTTAAGAGGCTTTGCAGAGTAAAGGATGTCGCTTCCCTTGATATTTCTTGTTCTGGTTAGAAAATCTTGATATAATTGGATTCTTTATTAAAGTTAACAAAAGTATTGCTAAAGCATCCATCATAAACATGGAATGAAAACGATTGATAATTATGTCACCACAAAATATCCAATGATGTGACTTCTAGTCACTGGAGATCTGGGAGCCATTCTCCAGCCCCTCCTTACCCAGGATCTGGCGAAAACCCTTGACCAGGGTAGCCATGGGAGGTCACTGCCACAACCACGAGGGACTTCTCTACTTCCAGACCCTGCTGCAGTGGGACCTATGTGTCACACTCTCACTCCTGTCCCCTGCTGTGTGCTGTAGGATGTGACTTTCTTCCTTGTGGGCCCTTATCTGCTCAGGCCTTGCTGATGCAATTGCTCACAGCTCACTAGAGACCAAGATATGTTTCAGTTGACTTCGCTATAAGGTTTTCTTCACTTGAGATACTTACTAAAACGCTTACTCTGTTAACAGGAATGGCTTCTGTTGGATGCCTGGGTCTCACAGGTCCCCATCCTCAGATCTCTGTGCTACATCTGTGCTCTGTGCATGAGAAGCAGGACAAGGCAAGTGGGTTATCCTCTGCCTGCTTTCTGCCTTTTCACTTTCCATGTAGCCAAACAAAATTAACTCTCTCTTACCTCTCTCTCTCATCATCATTTCAAAAGAAAATAACTCGACTGATTCACATCAAATTTGGGTGGATATTTGGGACAGTCTGCTAAAATACAAGCTATGTTAATAACATGAAGTTTGCTTTGGGAGGCCCTGGGGAACTGGGAGATACTGTGCAGTCATCTTCAGAGCAGGTTCCAAGGGCTATGAATTCATAGAGAAATTAAGAGGATATAAACAGAGAAAACAATGCTTTAAAATGTGAGTCACCAAAGAAAAGTCACAGCCCAGGTGCTGATTTACCCATTAGAGCAACTACCCACAGTGCTGGGAGGGGTGCATGTGTCTGTGTGTGTAACATTTATTATGCACCATATTTTAGGCACTGTATAAAGCATGTTATATGAATTGTATCTAAGGAAGTTATATTATTATCAGGCCTATTTTACAGATAGGGGCAAAAAGGTTCAGAGAAGGTAATAGCTGTGTGAGCTTAGAGCAAGTTACTTAGGTAGAAAGCTAAAATTGGAAGCCCTTGCAGTCTGACTACTTCAGAGTCACTTTTTGAAGTTTGTACTAAAAAATATTACATTATGCAGCTCCTCTGCAACCCATCAGATGCTGCCTCAGTGGCAGTGCTAACCAGTCCAGGCTTACATGCTGGAGTCCGTGTTAAATTAACATCACACAGACATTCATTGTCTCTCATCTATACTGTCTACTAAGCCAGGAACACGGGCAAACACTGGGGTGATGGCTCAATATCAGAAGCCTTCCTATCATCTGTAATCTGACCTGTAGGGAGAAACATTCCAAATACAAGGTAGGAGCAATTTTAGTAGAATGAAAAGAGGAACTTTCCTCCCTAGAGGTCTGAGTGACATCAGAATGAATAAGCAAGGGGGATCATATCATCTACTTTCTAGGGGAACTTTAAAAATAGCAGCAGCCTCTTTCTGTGGACATGGTGGTAATACTATATCTGGGCCACTTTTGTATGCAACCCATCAATTCAGGAAGTAAATGCAGTTTACATTTATACTGCACAAAGTCAAAGCAATTTGATAATTTTCAGCTTAACCAGTAAATTTCGATGGCAGATAATTCACATCCTAATCTGGATGGTAGAGCTCTAATTATTTAGTTTAGTTGTCTAGAGTGATCAACCCCAATGTAATGCCACAGTTGCTTTTCCACATTGTCCGAGGCAGTAGAAAGAACGGGGTGACAGCTTACTCATGCATTCATTCATTAGGCACCTTCTACTTTCTAGACATGATGGTAGGCACTGGAATTGCAGGATTAATAAGATGTGTTTCTCATCCTTGAGAAGCTTGCAGCTTAATGGGCTGGGTTCTAGTCCCGGCTGTAATCTGAATAGCTACATGTTCTGTACAGGCGACTTCAAATGACTTGACCTCTTTTCTGGCTCTCACCCCCAGTGTGATACCCGAGGAAATTATATTAAGACTCTTTGTTAGGAATGGGCCCCAGTTTACACTGCCATACACTATTGATGTCATCTGTCGACAAATCTTTGCTAGTATCTTCCATGTACCACATAGTGTGCTTTGCAGAGATAATTTGTCAAGGACATGACCCCTTTATGAAGATTATGGTCCTGTGGGAGAGAAGAACATTAAGGTGGAGAGTAAAATACTATGAGGCCTGCTGTTGCATTGTAGGGTAGACAGGAGGCGCTGTGGTAGGGCCAGGGAATAGTATCCTTGGAGCAAAACTAGGTTGGGTTTTAGAGATTAAGTGGCAGTTAGTCATCCGATTGCGGGAACAGGGGAAAAGATTCCAAGCAAAGGGAAGATCTGAGCAAAGATCAGGAGGCAAGAGGGAAGATTTGTGTTTTAGAGAATTACAACCAGGTTAATATTATTGAAGGTAGAGGTAGGGAAGAAAAGAAGAAGGTGGGAAGAGGAAGGCAGGCAGGGAAAGGGGGTGCAGGGTAGATGGGCAGAATGAGAGAGGAAAGGGAGGGGAGAGGAGAGGAAGGGAGGGAAGAGGAGGGAAGGGAGAAAATGGGAATATGGAAAGGATAGAGAGGCAAAATAGAAAGGAAAAATGGGGACCAGATTATAAAGAACTTTGTGACCCATGCTTAGGAGTTTGGACTTGAACTTGGGGAAATCAGAGGTCACAGAAGGCCTTAAACAACAGAAGAATGCTGAAGTTGGAAGTGAGTTTTACAGTACAACACGTGGAACACCTATTGCAGAGGAATCAGGAAGAGCAGGCCAGAGGTTGGTTGATCTGAGGCTTAATGAAAAGCCTTTCTTCCCTCCCTTCCTTCCTCCCTCCCTCCGTCCCTTCCTTCCTTCCTTCCTCCCATCCTTGCCTCTCTTCTCCCTTCCCCCTCTTTTTCTGTCCCCTCTCTCTCTTCTTCTGTCTTCCCTTTCTTCCGTTTTCCTCTACTCTCCTCTTCCTTTGGGTGTTGGGGAAGCCATGGAAACTTCTGAAGCTTGACAGGCAGGAAGGAATGCTGTGTGGATGCTCCATGGCTCTGAACCCAACAGAAGTGGTTTTGTGACTGTATAAGGAGCTGGTGACATCCATTCCTGCTGAAATTCCTCATGATTAAGACCAAGCTCCAGCCCATAAGAAGGCAGGGACTGCCGGGAAGTGACTCAGCAAGGGTGGCACAGATGATACCAGATTCTAAGAATCTAAACTATGTGGTTTGACGGAGCACCCTTGACTACTAAGCTGTTCTCTTCTTTCCTTCTGTGGCTTTGGCCTAGAAGAGGGTGTCAGGTTTGGTTATATCCATCCTCAAACTCTGTAGAATAGTTGTACAGGGCCCTATGAGCTCCCTGTAACCCTGTAACTCTAAGCCTAAAGGCCTGAGCTAAAGGCATAGTCAAGGTATTTACAATACAAAGCAAGGAGAACCAAGGGGGAGCTAAACACCACAGGCTTTACTTGAATAAATGAGGAGATCTCATTATACAATCTCCCTATATGAGTAAGAAAATTGAGTACCTGAATAATTAAAAGATAAGACCAGGAAGTATCAGTAAGGGTGAGCTTCATCTTGAAGTGATGGTCAAGAATGAAGGATCCCAGGCCAGACTGCCTTGGTTAGAATCCTGATTCCACCACTAATGAGGTGTGCAACTGGGGGGAAGTCATATCATCTCTCCATGCCTTGATTTCCCCATCTGTACAATGGGAATAATAATAGTCCCTATCTCACTGGGTTGCTGAAAGAATTAAATGAGTTAATACTTGAAAAGTACTTCAAAATAGCTCTTGGCACATAACAAATGTTTATAAAGTGTTTTGTTAAATGAACTGAAGAAAATCATCTTTCCCTTTTCAAATAAGTTGTGTAGGCCCTACACTGTAGGGTAACCTGGACATCTTTTCAGTTCTAGGTGAAGGAGGCCTGAAAATAGAGAGCTACATGTGCCCATGGGTAAATATTAATTGTGATCCAGCAGACAGATGTCTTTCTACTATTATGTCTTTGTAATAAAGAATCTGAACAAAGAAACTGAAGACAAAGAGAGAGATTTTTTCTTTAAACCCTTAGACCTCAGGCTGAAATTAATATGTTTAGATTAGCAGATAGTAATGCAATTTCTAAAAGTAAACTTGAGGGGAAAAATATCAAGAGACCTAGCATTGTGTGGTTAAGAGAAGAAAAAGTGAAATAAAAATAACTCCATACCCTCATGCAACCCCACACAGGCAGACAACATTATCCAGACAGGGGATAAGTCTGTCCCTGTGTCAACCCTTTAGAAGTTAAGGCTCTCTCCTAAGCTTGAGCCAACCCAGCCAGGTATCTCTCTGGCTTAGACTTCCATGATAGCTACAGGGAGCGGGATAAGTTGACACTTTTCCTTCAAGTTCTGCTCTGCTGTTCCTTCTAGGAAGACCAAATTCACAGCCAAGCTCCCTAAGATCTAGTCCAAAGCCTGAGCCAGCAGGAAACAATTCTTATTTCAGATTTCCAGCTACTGAAATGGTGTGTCTTCCCTAGGCTCTGTCTATAATCACTTCCTTTCCTCTTTCTCCCAGTATCTTCTCCTTGCTTCAGGATCCTTGGATTTTTTTTTTTTTTTTTTTTTTGAACTGTTGCTATTTGGGACCCAGTCTTTTGGTTTCTAGATGAACCAATTAGACAGTTGCAAGTATGCAGACTCATCAGTCCTTCTTATAACAATGTTATTGATGTCCTTGACATCACTGCCCCAAAGCCATTTGCATGACTCATAGAGATAGACGGCCATCAGGTGAGTGGATGAAAGAGAGAAAAAAACCAGAGGCCCTAAATCCAGCCCCTACTGCCATATACACACTTAGATCTCTCTCTCTCACACACACACACACACACACATGCACACGCTTCCCTCATTTTCTGGGTGTGTAAGCTTAGATAAGTGGGGAAAAAGTTTCTCAATTAAGTAGCTTTGATGAATAAAATGAGAAATTAATTACTAATCAATACTTGTACAGCACTTTATGTTTTATGATTGCTATTCATGCCCAGCAGCTATTAAGCAGCCCATTATAAAGGTGAGGATGTGAAGACAGATGACTTAGTAAAGAGCTGTGTGAAGGCAGGATGCTTTAGGGCTTGACATACCAAGCTGCTGATCCCATCTACAGGAAAAGAGCCCTTGGTATTCTTTACCCCAACTACTTAGGTCATGGTCTGGCAATTGCAAATAATTAAGCAAGATTCAAACCCCAGCCGTGAATAACAATACTGGCTTATAAAAGACAATAGGCAGATATTTTATTTTGCTTTTGTTTCAATGTCTGTCTGAACCACACGTACATGAATATATGCACACATACTACTTCTCATTTCAAATGATAATCTGAAGTGTTCAAGAGAGGTATGGGTACCACAAAACGAGGGTCTAAGGGTAAATAAATAACCTATTTTAAAACCCCAGTTGGAAAAAATTAGGTGTCAGATGAAATTCCAGTAAAATTTCCAGGGAAGTCTTATGATTTGTGGGCTGTACATTGAATAAAAGAATTCCTGATTGTGATGATTATTATACACCAAAATGACTCACTGAAGGAGGCTGAGGATCATTTATTAGAGAGTATTTTTTAATGAATTTTAAACAGAAGTTCTTTTCCCCCTTTACAGTTCTGCAATGAGGATTTCATTCTGCCTGGAAGTTGAGGGATGGATGATGTCAACTTTCAAGGTCTCTTAAACTTGAATTGAGTTTCCCTGTGTTACTCTAAGCATCAAAACAAGGTGTTATGGGCTGAATAATTGTGTCCCTCTAAAATTCCTTTGTTGAAATCCTAACCCCCAAGGTGACGGTATTAAAAGGAGGGGAATTTAAGAGGTGATTAGGTCAGGTCCTGAGGAGAGAGCCCTTATGAATGGGATGAATTTCCTTGTAAGAGACCCTGGAGAGTTCTCTCACCCTTTTTCCCTGTCATATGAGGACACAGTAAGAAGGTGGTTTTCTGCATGCCAGGAAGAGAGCCCTCACCAGAATCTGACCATACTGGCATCATGACCTCAGAATTCCAGCCTCCAGAACAGTGAGAAATAAATTTCTGTTGTTTATGAGCCACCCAGCATGTAGTATTTTGCTAAAGCAACCCAAAGGAACTAAGACAAGAGGTAGAACTGTTCTTATTATAAATGGAGCTGATAATGGAGTACAAAGTCTCAGTTGGTGATGAACCAATGAGTATAGTGTATGTAAAATTCTTGACATGATATCTATCATATAGATGTATTCTGTTTATATTAGCTTTTAATAATCATAATGGTGAAGATAAAACCATCCAGTATACCCCTTGAACAGGGAATATTTTGGCAGAAGAGGTGAGGGCAGGGGAGAGGAGGCAGAAATGTGTTTACAATGAGTACCTGAGGACCTTTCTCACAGCCAATTCCACTTTCTGGAACCTTGAATAAAAACTTTGAGAAAAATCAAGAACCCAAATTTTCCCTACGGCAGAGTTAGTCATCACCAGTCTATGAAAATTAAACAGATTTTATTGACTTAAAGAACTGGTAGCTTGGATGTTGTCAGATATTGACAGTCTGTGAATTAATTCATTAGATTTTTTCCCCATCCTAGGGACATGATTTTGGTCATTCAATATGAAAAAACAAAACCTCAAAGAAAAGCAAAGGGGTAGTAGAAAAGGAGGAGGAAAGCCTATGTATTAGTCTGTTTTCACATTGCTATAAAGAATTACCCAACACTGGGTAATTTATGAAGAAAAGAGGCTTACTTGACTCACAGTTCTGCAGGCTGTACATGAAGCATGGCTGCGGAGGCCTCAGGAGACTTACAATCATGGCAGAAGGTGAAGGGGAAGCAGACACATCTTACCATGGTGGAGCAGGAGAGGGAGAAAGAAAGGGGAAGTGCTATACACTTTCGAACAACCAGATCTCATGAGAACGCATTCACTTTCAGGAGAACAGCAAGGGGGAAATCTGCCTCCTTGATTCAATTACCTCGCACCAGGTGCTTTCCCCAACACTGGGGATTACAATTCAACAGGAGATTTCGATGAGGACACGGAGCCAAACCATATCAACCTAACTTGAAATTTTCATCTGCTAAGACATAAAAAACCAAGTTATAATTGTTCTTAAAAATCAGGGTGGCTGACTGGCATGTGTAGAGAGATGTAAGAAAAGAGACTGGGTGCAGTGGCTCAAGCCTGTAATCCCAGCACTTTGGAAAGCCGAGGCAGGCAGATCACCTGAGGTCGGGAGTTTGAGACCAGCCTGACCAACATGGAGAAACCCCGTCACTACTGAAAATTCAAAAATCAGCTAGGCGTGGTGGTGCATGCCTGTAATCTCAACTACTCAGGAGGCTGAGGCAGGAGAATCGCTTGAACCCGGGAGGCGGAGGTTGCAGTGAGCTGAGATGGCATCATTGCACTCTGGCCTGGGCAAGAAGAGCGAAACTCCATCTGAAAAAAAAAAAAAAAAAAAAAAGAAAGAAAGCAGCTGAAGCTTGAGATGCAAAAACTACTTGTAAAAGGGATTAGGTTTGGAGACACTGGAAAAAACCTACTGGTCCAGGGCTTGCTAACGGATAGGTTGGAAGGACATGGGGTTATAATGGAGACGGCAAACTGGTGGCTCATAGACTGAGCTGAATCTGCTGCTATGGTTAACCCCTCTTTTGTAAAACAAACAAAAACAACTATAGTTTGTTTTTAACAATTAATAATAGGAAGAATTCACAGCACAGCAAACTGTGGAGTTCTGGCTTCTTTTTGAAAAATCAGAAGATAAGGCAGAGCAGAATCTTCCCTCTCCCAGAGCAAACACCACTGTGGTCTCTCTCTCCATGGGTGCTCCCAGCTCACCACGGTCCCTGTTCTACTCCTTTCTGAATTAACGCAGGTGGCTCCGTTACTTTACGTGGTTTACCTGTTCCCTGTAGCCACTGGAGTTTGCAGCTCTCACTTAAAAGGCACTGAGAGCCTAAGGACAAGGCAGCAAGGGCTGTCTGTTGGGACATGGTAAAGAAAGGTGACTTCCAAGTAATGAGTTAGTCAACAGTGCTTCAAAACACCTAGTACCAAACACAAATTACAAATTGTACCCCATAAAAATGCATGATTACAGTGTGTCAATTAAAAAAAAAATATATATATATATATATATATTTATTTATTTAAATAGTACCTAGACTTAGGGGCTTGGAAGGCAGGCAACACACATTTTTATCTTTGTATTCCAGTCCCATTAGGTCTTGTGGACATTTGTTAAAAAAAATAAATAAATGTTGTGAATATTTAAAAATTAGATCAGGCAGTTTCTTCTCCATCAGTAATTATAAATTAAGTGTAAATATGGCATATAGGTGCGACTAAGACCTTCAACTTCAAGATAGTTCTTATAAAAATGTATCTTCCTAGAACAGAACTGTCCAATAGTACTTTCTGTGATGCTGAAAATATTCTTTATCTGTACTGTAGACACTAGCCACATGTCTAGTGTCTAGTTTTAAGTCTAAAATTTAGTCTGAAGAGTTAAATTTTAAAATTTTATTTAAATTGTCATTAATTTAAATTTAGATAGCCACATATGGCTATTGGCTACTACCTTGAACAGTGCAGAATACAGGGCAAGCATGTCTAAGTTTAGAACTATGGAAGTTTAATATTTACTCATTCTATATTGTTAAGGGCAGAAATAATTAAGAACAGATTATCAAAAAAGTCAGATTCTATTGTTATATACCTTTAAAATGTGCACATGAGTAGAATACATCTGAAAAGATAGGTTCAAAATATTAGTAATATGTATTTCTGGAATGGAATTATAGTCTTGTTTTGTTTTTGCTAGGATTTTTATGGCTTTTTATTCTTCTGTATTTTCAATTATCTCTAAAATAAAATAGACAGTTTATTATAAAATTTTTAAGTGATTATTCTCATATTTGTCCACAAACTCCACCCCATCTCCAAGCACAGTGGTTGTAAAAAGTTTTTATTGCATTTAATTGATATACTATCATGTAATTGAGTTTCCTCCCCTTGCCTAGAAATATACACAAATTTGCACAGCAGTAGGAAGAGAGAGAGACGCAAAGGGATTTGGATGTGTGACATGCAGACATAAAGAAAGGTGGAGGCAGAGAGCCCACACCCCTTCTGGCTCTGGGTGGGCAACCTGGAGCATCACTGGGGCCCCAAGGGCCTGGGTACCCAACCTCAACCCATGATTTCAAGAAGCCCTCTAACACAGAGGTGAGTCATGGTCCTGGTGGAATGGGTCCTGATCCTGGGACTAAGCCAGTGGGAAGGCCAGACCCAGCACCACCCTCTAATAACAGACACAGACTCCAGTGGAGGCCAAAACAAATGCATTGCATCATCTTGGGTTGCTATCCTCTATCAAAGCCTCTATCCCTTGGGAATAGAAATTGGGTGGAGACAGAAAGGGAGGAAAAAGAAAGCAGGCTGTAAATATGTTCTGCTGTAGACAGATTAGTCCTCTAGGATCTGAATACCCATGGTGAAAGGGATCTAGAGGGGACATTGCATCCGCTCTCCTGCCTCTACTGCCGGAACCCATATCATCTCAGTTGTAAAGGTACTCTGTGTTTCCAGACCACACAGACAGTGATAGAGATAGGAAGTGATTTCTTGTGTTTAGTGTAAGTATCTCCAGGTGACAGTTCATGATACTTGCTTACTGCTTTGCTAGAGATCTATTGTTCTGTGTATGTACAAGTCTAGTCTCACTCACTTTCCCATACATGGCAAATACCTGTTCATTTTAGGTGTGTGTAATTAAGGTGTCACTCTAGAGATTATTTCTTTCATTCTTTTTCAAGTGGACCAACCAAGATAAGGTGGTAGGGAAAGAAAGAAATTCAAACTCTCAGTGGTATAAATTATATTGGGATAGTCATTTGATAAGTATGCCTTGATGATGGAATTAGAAAAAAGAACCCAACTTCCTTTTTTCCTAGATTGTTTACAAATGTGTGACCAAAGATATACATGACAAAGAAAGAAGATTGGAATATCTCTTCCTATGCTCCAATATTTCCCTTCCACATAGATGACCCCAAGTTGTAGACCCTACTGAAATATTTCCTCACTTAGAGTTGGGAACATTTCTCATGGATTTATAGTCCTCTCCCATGTTTTTTTTTCCTCTCTAATCAAACAAAAAAATCTTCATAGGAAGAAAAACATCAAAAAATTTTCCACTTCACATCTCCCATTTGAGATCCAGTGGATTTCTTTTTTTTTCATACTAAACACACTGAAACTCAAGATCTGGAATTTTACTAATGCAGATAATAAGAGAGACGAAAGTGAGATCGAATCAGGATGAACTAATCAGTCTCCAAGAATAAAGTATACAATCTCCCTCTCAGACACCACCTGCTCCATTTGTAAAATCCCATTACTCTGGTCAGGGCAGCATGCTGTTTTATCTGTACTGTAATACCCCCACTGACCATCAGAAGGTGAAAAAGATAGAGTCGAGGCTCTAGGACTGCAGCTGGGATGGGTCAAATGGATTGGGAATGGAGAAAAGAAAGAGGTAGCATTATCTCAGTAGTAAGAAAGGCTGGGCCTGGTGCAGTGGCTCATGCCACTTTGGGAGGCCGAGGCTGGTGGATCATCCGAAGTCAGGAGTTTGAGGCCAGCCTGGCCAACATGGTGAAACCCCATCTCTAGCAAAAATACAAAAATTAGCTGGACGTAGTGGTGTGTGCCTGTAGTCCCAGCTACTCGTGAGGCTGAGGTAGGAGAATTGCTTGAATCCAGGAGGCGGAGGTTGCAGTGAGCTGAGATCATGCCAGTGACTCCAGCCTGGGTGACAGAGCGAGACTCCATCTCAAAAAAATAAAAAGAAAAAAGAAAAAGGCTTGATACAGGATGGACAAGGCGGCATAAGCTCCCTCAGCTTTGCTGAAGCCAGAGACATACCAACAATGCTGGAGTTGAAGTTCTATGTTGGGTTGTAGTATTAGAAAAGGAGAGCCTGGGATACTAGTCTGAGGAACATTGACTCAGTATAACTGGCAATTTGGAATCATTGGAAGCTCAAGCAAAGGGATACTATGGCAAAAATTGTATTTGAGGAATATTAATATGTCAGGAGTATGCAGGCTTCATTTACAGGACAGAAGAGTGACTGCAGACAGAAACACCAGTAGGAGAATATTGCAAGGATCCTGGCTTGAAGTGATGAGGACTTGGAGAGAAGGCTGGCAAAGGGGATAATAATAAAAATAATGATATAGGTCATTTTAACTTAGCTCTTACTATGTGCTAACCATTGCACTAAGGGTTTTACTTTCATCAGCACATTTAATCATTATAACAATCCTATGAAGTAGGTCTATTATTATTTTCAAGTTTGGAAACTGAGACTTACAGCTGCTAAGTAAAAGCATGAATCGGAGAGGCATTTCCAAGGTACATTCAAAGGATTTGGAGCAGGCAGGGTTAAGGGAGGAAACAGAGAATGTTTTATGAGCCTGGATAACTGGAGGCATGTGGACGTCAGTAATAGAAAAAGAGTTTTGCAGGAGGAGTCCATTTGTGGGGGGAAGGGAGAGAAGCAAAGGGTCTTTTTGTATGAACTTTCCATTTCCTTCAAATTTTCAAATTCTGAGTTTCTAGCACACTTTCTCAATAGAATCTCCTTCCCCCAACATTTCTATGGCTTGGGAAATAGACCTACCTCATGGAGAAAACTGGGATCTGGCAACACTGACCCAACAGTGAACCAGACAGTGAATGAGAATTCTGTGATGAGGGTCTTCGTCCTTCCCCATGTGGGCAGGGGCTGCCCTGGTACCTTCTCGTTGGCCATGGGACTGGCTGAAGGCCCTGCTCCTCCCTAGCTCTTTGCCACGCCCAAACTCCCTCAATCACTGCAGGCTTCTGGGAGCCTGCGGGGACAAAACCGTCTTCATTTCTCCACAAAGGCACCATGTCATTCCTAGCACTTTGATTTCCTAGGGTCTGGGAGAGGGGTAGTTTGTGGGAAGATAAGAGCAGTAAAAACGTCTCTGTGAAGGATGGGACTTCCAAGGGGGTCTGGGAGCAGCATCCACCAAAGGCCAAAGGGAGGTGGGGTGAGCAGTTCTGACGTCAAAGAGCCTCCAGGGTCTTGACACAGAATGAGAGAATGGCTTTTTTTCCTGAGGGAGCAAAGCCCCCCTTGTCCCTAGGGTCTCGTGTAACTTGGGGCACTAGGAGGTCAACCACAGATGAAAGTTCTGTGCTTACATTGAGAATCTTCTCCCTGTTAGGTTTGCCTTAGAATACGTACTTATGTGACACACATATGCTCATAAATGCATGCTCTCTCTGGATAGAATTTAAATGTGACTGGTTTTTACTTCCTTATCTCTTTCTTCTGTACCTCTTCTCTTCAACAACCCCCCTTTTGACCTCCTCTTCCCCTTTTCTTCACCCCAGCAAGTTAGAGAAACCCCAGATTGCATGACTTCTATGAGAAGAGTGAGGGCAGATAATTTCTATTCTCCACTAAATCCATCAAGCTGAAGTCAACTGACCCATAGTCTAGTTGAATAGTTATCTGGGGAGGCATAGGACTCTTCCTAATGGTTTGAAGTATGGGATTCAGGTTCACTGAATGAAAGCCCAAAACAGCCCAGTCCTGAATTATGTCATCCTTACCAGACCTTACAGGTGCTCAGCAAGACCCACCATCCCATCTCCAGGTATCCAGGTAGGACCTCTGAAAATCTATCTTCTGTTGGGGGATCATAAAGGAAATAATCGAATCCATAGCTTTCCAGATTGGGTATTTTCAGAGCAGACAGAGCTTCCCTTTTCTTTCTGTATCAGAAGGTAGGAGTGCTCCTTGCCTCAAGATCTCCACATAATTGCCCTGGTGTGTAATTTCACTTTGCTCACAACATCTATGTCTAAAGTATTCCTTTTCCATTAGCATAAGAGTAGAGCTGTCTGATAATTTTGACCCTAACTTTTTATATAATATGGCAAGAAATCAATCAGTTAACAAATTAGTATTCTGACTAGAATGATGTGCATAGGTGGTAAGGTACTTCATATATTGTGTCCTCCCACAGTCTTTCAGGAAATGTGGGCACATTGCTAATGGTTTAGTCATTTGACTATCCCCACCTCTCTCATGCCCCATAGAACCTTTTGGCATATCAGTGTTGAAAGATAACACCAAACCCGAAAGGAGATGTAAGGAATAAAATCAACTTTTATCATTTTGCCTGGTTAGGAAGGCAGGTTTTTGTTTGCTAACTCGTCCCCCTAAGATTCAATGACGCTCTGACATGCACTTTGATGGGCAGAGGAGTTTCTTTGTAAGTCCTGCCTTCATGAGCTGATAGCTGGAGAGCACAGCAGCGACTTCCATGGGTCCAAGTGCACTTAAATTCCTGTGGCTGCTGCAACACAGTGCCACCAATTAGGTGACTTAAAACAACAAAAGTTTATTCTCCCAGTTTTGGAGGCATGAAGTCTGAAATCAAGGTGTCAGCAGAGCCATGTTCCCTCTGAGACTCCTTCCCTACTTCTTCCTAGCCCTGGAGGTGGCTGTGGAGCCCTGGTGTTCCTTGACTTGCAGCTGCATGGAGTTCCTTGGTTTGCAGATGACACTCGCTGTCATTATCACATGACATTCTTCCTGTGTGTCTCTGTTTCCTTTTTCTTTTTTAAATCATAATTGTATATATCTAAGATGTACAACTGAATACTACAATCAGGCTAAGTAACATATCCATGTCTTCCCATAGGTACCGTGTGTGTGTGTGTGTGTGTGTGTGTGTGTGTGTGTGTGTTAAGAACACAAGATCTACTCTCTTAGCAAATGTCAAGTATATGATACAGCAGGGATCCCCAATCCCTGGACCATGGACCAGTACGGGTCTGTGGCCTGTTAGGACCTGGGCCACATTGCAGAGGCTCCTTCCTTACTTCTTCCTAGCTCTCGTGGTAATGAAGTGGGCGGCGGGTAGGCAAGAGCAAAGCTTCATCTGTATTTACAGCAGCTCCCCATCACTCACATTACCGCCTGAGCTTCACCTCCTGTAAGATCAGTGGTGGCATCAGATTCTCACAGGAGCACAAACCCTATTGTGAACTATACATTTGAGGGATCTAGGTTGCACACTCCTCATGAGAATCTAATGCCTGATGATCTGTCACTGTCTCTTGTCACCTCCAGATGGGACTATCTAGTTGCAGGAAAACAAGCTCAGGGCTCCCACTGATTCTACATTATGGTGAGTTGTATAATTATTTCATTGTATATTACAATGAAATAAGAATAGAAATAAAGTACACAATAAATGTAATGTGCTTGAATTATCCTGAAACCATCCCCCCATCCTGGTCCATGGAAAAGTTGTCTTCCACAGAACCAGTCCCCGGTGTCAAAAACATTGGGGACCACTGCAATACATTATTATTCACTCTAGTCCCCACACTGTACATTAGCTCTCCAGAATTTACACATCCTGCGTAAGTGAAACTTTGTATTCTTTCACCAACCTCTACCCAATTCCCCTATGCCTCCACCCCTGGTAACCACCATTCTACTCTCTGCTTCTATAAATTTAACTCTTTTAGATTCCACATATAAGTCAGATCATGTAGTGTTTTTCTTTCTGTCCATGGCTTATTTTACTTGGCATAATGTCCTCCAGGTTGTCACTAATGGTAGGATTTCCTTCCTTTTTAAGGCTGAATAATTTTCCTATATATATGAATAAAGACATTGTGGCATATATATACCACAATTTATTGTATTTGTCTACCAACAGACATAGGCTGTGTTCATAATTTGGCTATTGTAAATAACAATACAATGAACTTGGGAGGGCAGATATCTCCTTAAAAACTGATTTAATTTCCTTCAGATATATACCCAGAAATGAAATTGCTGGATCATATGGTAGCTCTATTTTTATGGAACCTCCATACTCTTTTCTATAATGGCTATATCAAGCTCCATTCCCACCAACCGTGTATAAGTATCCCCTTTTCTCCACATCCTCACCAACACTTGTTGTCTTTTGTCCTTCTGATGACAGCTATTCTAACAGGTGTGAGGTGATAGCTCATTGTGGTTTTGATTTGCATTTCCATGATGATTAGGGATGTTGAACATCTTTTCTATACCTATTGGCCATCTGTATGTCTTTTTTGGAAAAATATCTATGTCTTTGTAAGTACTTTTTTGCCTATTTTTTAAGCAGGTTATTTATTTCCTGTTGAATTGTATGAGTTTCTTATCTATTTTGGATATGAACTCTGTCAACCCTCCATATCCTTGGGTTCCAGATCTATGGTTTCAACCAACCTTGGAAAAAATATTCAGAAAAACAACATTGTTGCATCTGTAATGAACATGTACAGACTTTTTTCTTGTCATTATTCTCTAAATAATACAGTATAACAACAACTTATATAGCATTTACATTGTATTAGGTATTAAAAGTAATCTAGAGATGATTTAAAGCATACAGGAGGACATGTGTAAGTTAATGTAAATACTATTCCATTTTATATAAGGGACTTGAACATCTGCAAATTTTGGTATCCACAGGGGTCCTGGAATCAATTTTTGTGGATACTAAGGGATGACTATATATGGTTCTGTCTTCTTAGAAGGACATCAGTAATGTTGGATTAGGGCCCACCCTAATGATTTCATCTTTACTTGATTTTATTTGCAAAGACCCTATTTTCAAATAATGTCACATTCACAGGTACCGGGGATTAGGACTTGAACATATTTTTAGGAGACAACACAATTCAGCCCCTAACAGCTACCCGCTTCCCCTTCATCACTTGCAAACTCACATGCAAGCAAGCACACAGCCACACAGCCACACAGCCACACAACCACACAGCCACACAACCACACAGCCACACAACCACACGGCCACACGGCCGCACAGCCGCACAGCCGCACAGCCGCACAGCCGCACGGCCGCACGGCCACACAGTCGCACAGCGGCACGGCCACACGGCCACACGGCCACACAGCCACACAGCCACACAGCCACACAGCCACACATGGCCAAGCCTTGCCTGCTGCAGAGGCAGTGCTGAGAGATAGGCTTGGCCATTAGCCTGCAAGCAGCTTCTGGCTCTGGGCTGATTAGCCATCTGACTGTGAGCAGGCCACATACTAATCCCATTTCTGAACAAACAAGGACACTGAGGCTTTTGAGAGTTTATCTAGCTGACCAAACACACAAGGAAGTTATGAGGATGGAATAAAGTACACTTGTGAAAATAAGCTGTAAAACCTGGGAAGCTGTACAAATGTGATGGAAGTCCTCATTTTCCAGGTCACTGTGACCTTTATGATGAGATAAAATCTTATATTTAAGAAGGTAGAACCAGAAATGTTGATTTTTTTTCCCCAGTGACAGATCACTTCCTTCTTTTCCAGTTTCTTCCAGAATCCAGAACTCTTCCATAAAATCCCAAGCATGTTTTTCCTGGAGCCCTTGTTTCCTCAATCACTGTTCCCTCCTGGGATTCTGAGAATATCCCACCTTCATGCCTGATATGTATGTACAAGGAACTTAGAAGAGCTTTTGCTCCCATTTCTGAGGGATCCATCTAAGTCAGAAAGTGGTTGGACGTTAGCCGCAAAAAAGACCTGTCTATGGAGCTCAGTTCTGACCATTTAGGAAGTCTGGCCACTGGGGAAGGACCAGAGGCACTGCAGTCCTAGAACTTGAGGACAGTTCAGTGTTCAATGCTATGGAATGGAGATGTATCCCTTTTTCCATGCCCTCCTGCCATCCTCTGCTGCACTTGCCACCCTGAAACCAGAATGATTGTTCTCAAACCCAAACCTGATCATGTTTCTCCCCTGCTCAAAAGTCATCAGTGAGTCCCTATGACTTACAGGGTAAAACACACCACTCTTGTCATGACTTGTCAGCCCTTCATGGCTTCGCCTGTCTCCACCATCAAGCCACATCTCTCCCCATGGATTTTCAGTATATCTGTGAAGATCTATTCTCTGTTTTCTGGATATGCCAGCCTCTCACCATTCATTTCCGTTTTATATTCTAGTCTTTCAATTAGAAGGAAAACAAAACATAATCATGTCTGATATTTTACCCCCAGATGCGGATCATGGCCCCATGCAGCCCAGGGGATTTGTGAAACTAAAGGTAAATTTTTTCTTTTTGGTCATTTTCAATCCACTTTCCCATGTTCTGCCTCCATTAGAGCAGGTGTTCAACTCCATCAGCTTCTGGGGTTCCTTCTACATTTTTGCAGCTGTTGTTGTTGTTGTCAGATCATCCCTCAGATTAGAGTCCAGATCACATGGACCTGGGAGAATGGAAAGTGTGTACACCCTGTGTGAACACCCACACAATGACAATAAATCATAGTAAGCGACATCAGCATCCCTGGTCTAAATTTTTCCTATCTGTGGAGGAGGCTCGAATCCTTGCATTTCCTCCCTTCCATTCTCCCTTCCTTCTATCTCCTCCTGTCCCAGGCCCTCACCCTGTCAGAGCAGGGCTGTCACAGGGGAACGTGGCAGGCCTTTCTGGATGCTCCAACTTGGCCTCTCCTCTCTGGGCAGTGCTTTTCCTTTCTCTCTTCTCTCACCTCTCTAAGTTCTCAGATTCTTTGGAAATTCCTGTTTCTTTTGTAACTTTCCCATCGATCTCCTCTTCCCAACCACTTACATTAAAAAACAAACAAACAAAACTCACTGTAGACACTGCAGAGAGGGTCAAGTAGGCAACAGTCTATCCCATACCCTTAGCCATAGGCAGCACTTTACATTCTCAGCTGACTACCGTGACACCCAGACATACCTTCCCAAGGATTACCTGTTTGGGGTTCTCAGCTCCAGGCCTTGCTTTCTGTCAAATAGGAGCCTAAGCATCCAAATCTCTCCACCAAAGCCTATGCCTGACTATACCAAGACTCAGTTGTTTACTCTCTTAAGTAGATAGAAACAAACATCTTTGACTTACCTGAAGCACAAACATAGGTGAGGACATTTCTACATCTCTCCCTTAGATAAATCAAAATTAATAAGGTGTGAGCAAGCAGGATAATCTCACTCAGAACCTCAGGGCAGACCAAGCAAGAGATGAACTATTATGAGTCTGAATCCTAAAGATTCCATTGGTGTATTGCCCTACGGATTCATGTTTTTGTGCGTTTTAATGTGAAGCATTCAGCTGTGACTTGGCCTGAGAGAGGGTGGGGGTGCTCAGAAATAAAGAGAGATACCAAGCTAACATGCCGCAAACTCAGCTTCCCAGTGACTTGCACCCTGAGAAATTCAATTATCACTTCTCAGACACACAGCCCAGAGGGACTCACAGGTCTTGGATAAGGTGCCAAAAATAAGGAAAATAAAAAATATAAAGAAATTTAAAAACTCCTGATCCTGCAAAGCATTTGCTTGATAATGCAAACTGAAAACTTGACGAGCTTCCATGAACTGGGAAGAGCACACAAGCTTACCTTTCTTACCCTCCACAAAAGAAAAGAAAAGCTCAAAACAGAAAAGCAAACAAGCAAGCAGCAACAACTGAAACAAATGTATACACTTTAGTTTTGTAGGGTGAAGTGGAAGGATAAGGCATGGCATAGGGCTTTAAGCAGTAGTTAGGTTCTACTATTAATAGATCATTCTCTTAACCTCTCTGACCATGTGTTTCATTGTCTATGTGTAACCCTAATAAACTCAGAGACCCATGTGCTTCAGTCTCAGAGCAGTTTCAGATTTAAGCAGCAATGTCCCCAAACTGAAAGTAACAAAGATGGAATTCTATTTATTATTCATGCCGCTCTGAAGACACTAAAGGGGATGAAAATATATGGTTCTCAGAAACACTTATGCAAATTCTCTTGCGTCTCCAACCTACTTTCTTATCGTAGCTGCTCTGGTTCTGATCTCCAGGGAGAAAATAAAAGGCTTCCTCTTTCACTCCTTACTCATACAGTTTTCTGCCACTTCCGTCCTCCCTCCCTACCCTCCAGTACTGTTATACGTAGATTTATCTCTTCTATCATCAAAAAGAATCTTTCCTCTTCGAAGACCATAGGAGGTGAAAATTGGACTAGCATTTACAGGATTCTTTTTGGTGAGGTTGGAAAAGGAATAAGTCTATAAGCATTTCTAAATTATTTATTCCTATATTATTAATTTTTGTCCCATAACAGGAAATGTGATCCTCTAATCTCTCCTTGCTTACATCACCAGTTTGTTGTATAGATCAAATAAAATGTTGCACATTCCTTTAGGAAATCATACATCACTATAATCATGTACAGTATTTTTATATGAATCTATGGTAAAAGGATGGGCATAATTTCCCTTTCTTGGATGCCAAGTCAAAAATATGGGGACAGGAAGGGAAGAGTTTCTTTCTAAAATAACTTTAAATAATTATACCTCTGAAACTGGTAAGCATATCCCTGTATTTTTTTAAGATGCCTTTTTGTTACTTTTCCAGATTTGTCACTCCTAAGAATCAGGTTTTGTTTTTGTAATATTGTGCATCTGTAAATTGAATGCTGCATTAATTAAGTAGCTAATCCATCCAACTAATAAAAATTTGTCACTAAATTAGCAATTCCTTCTCACATTAAAAAAAAATGTCTTTCATGAGTCAGGCACTGGTGTTAAATAAATCATAGTCCTTTCCTAAAGGAACTCACAATCTAGTGGCTGAGGTGACAATGTAAGCAGATATTTTAAGTCATTAATTCCTGATGGAGCAAATTCCAAGGAGAAAGGTGGGAATTAAGAGCCCAGACTACTGATGAAGCTACTGTTATTGTTGATACCTAACCCAGGTCCTAATTCTCCTGTGGACTAACACATCCAGAGGGAGCTCAACAGCTGTGGCAGATACTGTCGTTTGGCCATGCTTTAGCTATTTACATCACCTCTTCCTCTGCCCACGTCATACAATAGAGACTGAAATGTACAACTCACAGTTTCTAGCTTCCCTTGAAGTTGAGGTATCTATGGAACTCAGTTCTGGCCATTAGGGAAGTCTATTGAAGAGCTTTGTAAAAAAATTATTCCCGGCCGGGCACGGTGTCTCATGCCTGTAATCCCAGCAGTTCGGGAGGCCGAGGCAGGCGGATCACGAGGTCAGGAGATCGAGACCATCCTGGCTAACATGGTGAAACCCCGTCTCTACTAAAAATACAAAAAACTAGCCGGGTGTGGTGGGAGGTGCCTGTAGTCTCAGCTACTCGGGAAGCTGAGGCAGGAGAATGGCGTGAACCCAGGAGGCGGAGCTTGCAGTGAGCTGAGATTGCGCCACTGCACTCCAGCCTGGGGAACAGAGCGAGACTCCACCTCAAAAAAAAAAAAAAAAAAAAAAAAATTACTCCCTTGCAAAAGAAAAGAGAAGCAGAAGAAGGAAAATTTCCTGCTTGGTACCACTTTTTATTTCCAACCTTTGAAGACATGATGTGCAATTATACAACATGCATTCTGCAAATACATGTGGCAAGTTGGGGAACCTAAATCAATGAGCCTGTGTTCTTGGTGACATCATTGAGCCAACAAATTAACTAGGAGGCCATCTATCTCAGAAGTAAACAATAAATATTCATCCTTTAGGCTACTGCATTGAATGCATTTGGGACTAATTTCAGGCTGAGGGCCTGAGGAAACTCAGCCTGAAATTAGTGCTGTGGTGGAGAGAAAACCACGAGGAACACTGATTCAAGAGAACGTGGATCTGACACTGCCAGCTGCTGATAAGTTGTGTGATCTCAAACTCATCTCTTAAGCTCAATTTCCTCACCTGCACATGAGGAGATGAAAGCAGATGGACTACTCTAGCCACCAACTTGGACATTCATTCTAAGGCCCTCTGTGACTGACCTGATCAACGCAATGGCCACAGTGTTGCCTGATCATGGAGAACGCACACCCAGCTGGTCCCAGAGCTTCTCAGCACCTCATTTCCCATTGTGGCCCAGGGATCCTCGGAACCTCAGCAAAGTGGATCTCAGTCTGCATTTTCTCAGGGGCCTGGTGAGGAATGGCATGGCTCTAGGGCCAAGATAATCACAAATGGTAGTTGTCTTACCTGTTTTGTGTGTCTAGGGAGGATCCCAGCACTGGTGGGGAGAAATCACTCTAAGCATCACTTACAGAATACTGGCCAAACTCCAAACATGATAAAGTCTGTACCTGTAATTATCTGAACACTAATGGTGGAAAATACCCACTCCCTCTATTAGTGAATGCAGGTGTTTGGCACCTGCATGATCTTTTATTCTAGAAGAGGTTAGTGGCATCGACTGTCCACTGAGACAGCCCCTCCCAAACAACAGCCTGCAGGTTCACATGCTGGAGGCCCCAAAATAAGATAGCAGATTGACAACAGTCTAAGCAGGACCAAATCACAGAGAACATTCTGCGGTTATGGAAAGTAAGGGCCAGAGAGGTCACATAACTTGCCAAGCTCATGAAGCAGGGTAGAGACAAAGTCATGGTCAACTTGTAGCAACTCTAGAAGCCAGACTTGTCATCAAAGGATAAACAGCAGAAATAGTTAGAAGAACAGCTTTTAATGCAAATAGAAAGAAGAAATATATACCAGTAGTGAGAAAAATATCATCAAAATATAAACATGGGCTTCCAGAGTGAGTCTTTGTTGGATAAAACACTCATTTACATGTGTCAATCATATATGTTTATTAACAGTTAATTTGCAAAACTATAGTCACAATGCGTACATGACAATTTTTAAGCTCTTTTTGAATGTTTCTGGCTTACAAAAATTGGATTATATCAAAAATTTAACTCACGGCACCTTGCATTTCCCCTATCATTATGTTCATCACATTTGAAACATCAGTTTTCAATGTTTGACTGCTTCCCTGGACTAACGGCTTCTTGAAGACAAGAAACTATGTTTATCTTATTTATTGCTCTACTCTCAGTGCTAAGCCAAGCATATGATATGTGCTTTATATTATGTGACAGATGGATGAATGAATGAAAAGTTCTCCTAACTCCCCATCCAGAGCTCCATACTGCTAGTTAAACTTACTCTATTAAGGAGGTAAATATTTAAGGATTAGGAGAGCCTGGTTCTTTTCCCTTATGCCTAACCTTGTAGCATTTGAATTGTCTTTGAAAGCTGTGGTTTCACACTTGCACGTAATATCCTGACTTGCTGTCCAATTCTAAGATTGGGAGGGTTTCAGGGTCCCCCTTCCTCCATGCAGACTTTACTGCAGCTGAATCACCATTAAATTATATTCGTCAGTTCAACAATTACTGAATATCTATTCAGTATAAGGCAAGACAATCTTCTCTTCAATACCCAAATTAGAGTTAAGGGCAGGTTCCATGATTTTTTTTAGCCCTCAAGGGCCTATCATATATGTGAGTGTTTAATGAATACTTATTACTCCTTCCCCAGTTTAGTTCTTAGCAGCTGGCCTGTACAGAAAGTCCAAGCTGCACCTCACTGCTTCTGCTTGGCAGTTTTAGTTCTTTTGTTGATCCAAATTGGTGGAGAAAGAGATACGTGAGTAACTACTTGCGTAGAACCTGGCTCTGTTAAAGAGCTCCAATCTTCTTCCCCTCCAAACCACTAACCCTTGTGAGATAGAGAGGCCAGGGTTTCCCCTTTACATTTCTCTGTCTTTTTTCCAAGCTGATGACTGCACAACCACAAAGTAGCCAGAACTCTTGGTTCCTAAGTCCTCCCTTTGAGCTTGTTCTCTAAGGCCCTCAGGGTTCTGGGCTGCATAGGACCCTGGGGATAAGTGGTAAGGAGGGGCTTAGTCACTGCAGCAGCACTGGATGAGTTCATGTAATGGGGGATCCACTGGCCAGAAAGACTCTGGGAATTTGTTGACCAAGTCCCCTCTATCAGTCAGTTCCCTTCACAGGCGACACCTGCCCTGAGCCACCCACAGTGCTGCCTTGCAACACATTCAAGCCATCCTATTTATAACACAAGCAGATTATTCATTTTAGTGGTTAAGTGGAGCATGTGTCAGAGAGTCTTCAAAGCAGAACCACACATCTTCCCAAATTTTCAATTTTTATTCAGCTTGACGGCTCCCTCTGCCTAGAGTCAGAAATCTTCAAAAATAGGATGCTGGATCCATCTCAGCCTCCAATCAGGGATCCACAGGACAGCTTCGATGCTGTCCTAGCATACTTGCTGGTGTCAGCTGTCAACCTCATCCCCATCTTCAGCAAAAGTGACAGAGCAAGGAAAATTAGAAGAGGAAAAGGCCAGCCCAGATGGTGAGTTCTTATGTCTAGACAGGCTAATGAGTAAAAAGTGTTCTCAGAGGTCCATGAACCAGGAAAATAACATCAAAGAGTGACTCAATTTTTCCTCCCATCAGCCTATGCCTTCTGTCCTGAGCTCCTCGTCCCAGGCTAAGTGGGGGAAGACTGCCTCCTCTTGGCACTGAGGACTCTGCTCTGACAAGGTGAAGCCCAGCCTCCACCACCCACTCCCCTCCTGCCATGAGGTCCATTCAAGGCCAATGAAAGCAGGCTCACCTTCTTGGGAGTCTGTTCATCAAAACTGTCCTTTCAAAGATACATGGTATGTGGTCCCCAGTAGGACAAAATCTGAGTAGGACTGGGATGCTCCATTTCTTAAGATTTCGCATTACATTCCTTAGTGGTCCCTCAATTCTCTAAAATGCACAGAATCCCTTAATCCCTAAGTTGGCAGGTACCCTGAAACCTAGCCATCCTCTCTTTCTGCAGGATTCTACCCACAGAAAATCATTCAGTCTCTACTCAAAACCTTCTAGATATGGGGAATTCACAATTTCTCATTCCGTCTTTGGTCAACTCTGTTAGAATGGCTCTTCTTTTTAATTCATACCAAATGCCTATATTTTTGTAACAAGTTGACTGGAATTTTAGAACCATGGCACACATAGAAGACCTGGAATGGAATGTAGAGGAAATCTAATTTAGCCCCCTCATTTTCTAAGGAGTCCTATGCAACCAATTCTTGACTGACATCATAGCAGTAAGTCAGTGATACGGGCAAGACCCGAGTCCAAGCTTCTGATCAGTTCCAGGTGACCAGAACAACACACCAGCAGTTCCTCCTTCTCCTGGGACAAAATTCCACCATAGTAATTGTAGTCCTTTGAGTCTTAAAGCCCCAGTGTGTGGCAGACATGACTTTAAGTTGGTTCCTAACTATTGCTCTGGTTAAATGTCAGGTATTTTCCAAAGAAAAGCAAAAAGCTTCAATAAAAAACCCAAGATGGGCACCAGGAGGTGGAATGGATAAGCAGGTGATGGAAGTTTTGAAGGATAAATCTGTGTGCTCCTGTCCAGCCCCTCTGGGGGAGAACAGCACTCCAGGTGGTTCTCCTCTGGTCTGTCATCTCTAGATGCAGCTGGAAGCAGGGGGATGATGTGGGGAAGACATTTGGTCTTCACATTCACATGACAAAGTAGACTAAATTTATTCCTATTTTATAGAAAAAGAAATGGAGGCTTGCAGAAGTTAAATATGATTTAATCAAGTTCAGAGAACTTGTCATTGGCAGAAAAAAAAGACTAGAACCAAGATTTCCAGACTCCCAGTCCAGTGATGTTTTGCTATGAACTATGACCTAGGCAATGAGGAATGAGCTATCCATAAACAGTAAAATAATAGAATAGCGACTATGTATTAAGTATTTATTGTGCCTCATGAATGCTTCTGAGTATTTTTATGTTTCAAAGCATTTCATCTATCACAACCCTGTGATGTGGGTATCAGTTTTATTTCCATCTTAGAAGTGAGAAAACTTAGGCACAGAGATATTAAGGATGCTTAACATCTCTGTTAAACTAGAAAAATACCAAGTCAGGTTCCAAACCCAGGGAGCCACCTCAATGCACTGCCTCTCTGTAGGTGCCCCCAAACTGGCAGCTACGAGCTGCAAAATTCTCTGCTGGAATTTGAAGTGGGGCCCTGCCTTCAGTGAAACACCAGAGAGAGAGTTTAAGGCTCACATGTTTGTGCCAAAGCTCATATTCTCCGTCCTCAACATCCTATCAGTCTGTTGAGGCTGATAGTGTTTGGGCCAACATTGTCCTTCTAGCTGTCAAGCCTTGAAAACTTGACTCTTGGTTGTGAGTCAGTTGATGAGATGGAGGAGAGGTCCAAGTACCCCCCACCAGTGCTCTTAATGTCTATCTTCCCCTCCACTTCTCACCTCCTTCGGAATTGCTTGCCTCTTCTTGCTTGGTTTTCTGTCTTCACTTGTTTGACTGCCAAGAGTCTTTCTTCTTTTCTCCACCCTAACCACCCCTGTCAGAGCAGACATGACACACTGATGCTCTGAAATCTTCAGTGGCTCCCATTGTCTACAGTCTTAATTGTAATACATCATTACGCAGATTTCAAGGATCTCTATCATCTGACCACAGCTTACCTTTCCAGACAGTGAATCAATCTGAATGTTGCTTTCTCCAGAGTGGATCAGTGACCACTGGGGGATTTTCAGGCTCTGCAAATCAGTGAGAGCAGAGAGTGGCTCCGGCCCCTGCCCTACCATACCTAACATCCTGATCTTCCTTCCCTACACTTTTGCATCTACACAGTGAAGATTTAGGCTCATCCATGGGACTCTGAGGTCCCTTCAGCTCTGAAATTCTGAAGGAGTGGAAGGAGCATAAACCTAGACCTGAACTCTATGTGGGATGGAAAGACGAAGCAGGGGGGAGATTACTTAGAGAGAAGCTTAGAAAATGGGGACTTAGCTGCAGGGGAACTAGGACAAAAAGGGAAGATCTTGAAAAACTTCAAAGTTAGAGGTCCCAAGTCAGGGCCTGATACATTGGGGACACATTGAAATCACCTGGGGAACTTTATAAAATTCTGAAGCCTGGACCCCACTTTCCAGAGATTCTGATTTAAATAGTCTATAGCATGCTGTACTCATTGGGATCTTTAAAAGCTCCTTAGATGATTCTAATGTTCTGCAGTTTGAAAGCACAACCCTAAATGAAAGACAGGCATGCAGGGAAAATGACATGACTTTTATAAAAAGGAGATGTTGTCTGCATCAGAGTTCAGGGGAACTGGCCAGAGGAGACAAACAATGCAGCAAAACACCATAGGACCTACAACTCTCCCAGCAAATGCTGAATATTTTCCTAGGACACCCACCTCTTCGGGCCAGCTCAATTAGATTTACTCAGAGAAGTCTCCATGTGAGAGGACTGACCTCATTCTTATTACTAATTCCTGAAGACCTGGTGCCTCCAGCTCCACTGTCTGCAGGCCTGAGTGGCGCTGTAGGTTCTACCTGAGGTGCCAATGTTGATATCATCAACCCTGATGTGGACTCAGGTCTCAGCAAGCTGTGTCTTCCCAGCTCACCTTGAAAGCCTACTTATTTTTAGCCTTGCTGACATCCCATGTAGGTGAAAAGGCCAGGTATCTATCAGGTCAGGTAACTTTTCCCTCCTACACTGTCCCAAGTGAAGTGTTGAGCAGTACTAGAGAAGCCAGGAGACTGGTCTTAGAAACATTCTAGGGAGAGCTTTTGACCAAGGCCTCACCTTCCGGATACAATGAGCTGTGCCCTTTCTCAGTCAAGGGTCAGAACAGCTAACTCTGCTCTGGGACTGGAAGTGTGTGTGGTGCCAAGCAGCTGTCACTGGTCAGAGGATGGGAACTAACCCAGATAGTGGGGTCATCCCGGAGTGGGGGTTCACTTAAAAAGTAGAGTCAGCCTAGAGAGGGAGGGTCAACTGACAGCATAGAGGGTTAACCCAGAGAGTGGGACCAAATCAATGTATTTTTTACCTCACTGCAAAAGTTTCATATTAAAGTCTTTGGACAGAAGTTACCAAACAACTGAGGTTAAACACCTGAGAAAGTAAAGTAGAGATAACAGCAACCTAGGAAAAATTCCTGTTCTTTGCTTCTTTTTGTGCCTTCTGTTCATGCTCTGTAAAACTTTACATGTTTATTTGGGGTATGTGAGATATATCTGCCATTTGCCGTCCACATACACATCCCATTCTTTTCTACCCTGTACAACAGACTGCATGCACTCTCAACGAACTTTATCCGTCATCTCATACTGGCTGACCTCCAGTTGGATTTGACCAATGGGAGCAACAGGAGATGGAAGGGAGGAAAAAGAGTGATACTGGAATGTTTAATGTTGTATACTACTGTGTTTCTCCATTAGAGACGACAATTCCCATCAAACTGTTTTTCCTCTGTTTTCCAGTAATCACTCCCGTCTCTTGCTCCTTCTTGATTCATGGGTGTGACTAGCCTGGAGGATCCTGCACCATCCCTTGTTGTGCTTTTCTTAAACTGTGCCCAAGTCTCCGTAAATAGCTTCTTTCTTAAATTCTGCCTTTATTATACTCTCCTACTTGGACCATGAATGATTCAAGAGGTATATGTGTACGTGTGTGTGTGTGTGTGTGTGTGTGTGTGTGTGTAGTGGTTGGTTGAGGAACACAGGCTTGCTTAGGTTTGATCTTCAAGCCACATTCTTATGACCACTACAGCTGCATTCTGTCATCATGAGGTGGGACTACTGTCACACTGTTACAGGTCTGCAACTTTGTCATTCTGAACGTTTCAGTGCACACCGTCAAAGTCAGTTTTCCTAACATCCTGATTTCCCTGGAGCTATACAAGCAACAAAAGCTAGAGTTAATGGCAATCTTGGTCCTATGTTATCTCTGAATAATAGATAATATCACCTTCATTAAGAAAACTGAAGTTCTGAGAATTGAAGTTCTCATTCACTTCTTGTTTCCTTCCTTCGTTAAAAAGCATGAATTATCTATTATTTCCTCAATACTGTACCAGTTACTGTGACTACCAAAATAAGTGAAAAATTGTTTCCTCCTCTAAGAGTCTTGATATCTAGGATAAAGATGGAAATCATGAAAAAATTGATTTACATATGTGCAGCAAAGTGTTATAAGATTGAATGTCATATAGGTAACTTTTTACACAACAATAGAAAGCCAATAGGTCAACAATGATCCTAATCAAAGTATTTCCAATGTGATGTCTTTAGTTTTTTAGGTGGATTTTATGAGCAGAAATATTATCAGAGGTCATTTTATGATTAATTTTGAATAAGTACTCTATTAATAAAGGTTTTACATCCAAAACTATAGTTCTCCTTTAATCTTTTACTTATCACCTATAAGTCTTATATTTCTGATATGGACCTAGTGAGTTTAACTATCACTTTTTAAAGAACTTTGATTAATGTCTGGCCTCCATTAAAAACTTATTTTAAGGCCCGGCGTGGTGACTCATGCCCGTAATCCCAACACTTTGGGAGGCTGAGGTGGGCAGGTCACGAAGTCAGGAGTTTGAGACCAGCCTGGCCAACGTAGTGAAACCCCATCTCTACTAAAAATACAAAAAATTAGCTGGGCATGGTGGTGGGTGCCTGTAATCCCACCTACTAGGGAGGCTGAGGCAAGAGAATCACTTGAACCCAGGAAATGGAGGTTGCAGTGAGCCAAGATCTCACCATTGCACTCCAGCCCAGGTGACAGTGCAAGACCCCATCTCAAAAAAAAAAAAAAAAAAAAAAAAAAAAAAACTTATTAAAAACAAATCCTGAACTGCTTTAATAAATTTAATATATTTGATTTCATAGAAAAAAATTGTGATCTGATAAATTTTCTCTAGTACTTAAATGATTCCTATAAATTTAATAAATTAACCTCTTAAAATAGCAATTCTTAAGCTTTTGTAATTATTTGAACACAATACAAAAAAGATTTCAACCTAAATTTGTGTCTAAATTAATCAATCAACTACTCACTATAAATTGGAGTTTCAAGACTGATCTGCAGTTATAATAGACTGAATTCTCTTAAACATGGTAAGAACATAAACACCAAAAATTAAACAGATTTCTAAATATAAAATAATAATATAAACTTGTTATATAAATTTTCTATTCTTAATTATAAGAAAGAAATACATCATCCCAAACAATTCTAAAGGAGGAAGATTCCTTCTCAGTTGAGCCTGCATTGTAGCTAGTGATATTGGTCAGGATGGGAGGTCTGGAGCTGCTAGTGTCTAGAGAGATTTCTCACGACCCCTACTACCAAAGGGAGCACCTTTTATCACCCCAATTCCTTGGGCTTCATAAATTGGAAAAGAGAGTTTTCCCTCTGCACACATCCTGTTTTTGAGTCATGTCTTTACCTAATTCTTCCACCAATGCACCCATGGAAGTCTGCAACCCCAGCCCTGGAATCACCTCTATGGCAGAGAATAAAGCTTGGACCAAGGTTATGACCCTCCATCCACTCTACTCCTACTCATCCTTGGCAAGAAGTTTCCTTCCCAACCTGTGCCAGCAACCAGTCCTACGTCCCGGGTGGAGAAGAGGGTCCAGAGAGCTGCAGAGGGGGAGTGTTCACCTGGAAGAAACTTAGTCTGGAAAAGCACATCTAGCTGTGCTGCCCTTTTTCCTTCAGGAGGAGCTACAAATGCAGGGGGCAGCTATATGGATTATTTGCAGACTTAATAGTAGGCCAGGCCCATGGTGACATTCCCAGCCAACCACTCAGCCTCACTCTGAGAAATATTTCCCACTCTGCCCCACTCCTTTCTTTTCTCCATGTGATCTTGCCCAAGTTGGTACAGACACCCTGGGTGGCAAAATCCATTTGCTGTCTGACACACACCACTCAGCCTCTCCCATTGGCAAGAACTTCAGGTTTGCCAGGAGCCAAGTGAGCTTTGGGTAACCCCAGAGATGTGACGGCTCCTTGGAAAATGATCTCTGGTCTTAAAGTACATGTGCTCTCAGCCTTGCCATCTGTTTTTTTTTGACTCTGTCTCTTTCCCTTTCCCTCCTTCTTCTCCTTTTTGTATCTTTTCATCTTCTCTCCTGTATTTCAGTCTCTTCTATCTCTTTCTCTCATCTCTCTTCTTTACTTTTTCTTCCCTTTTGGAGGGAGTCAGTGATATGAATATAAATATTTATGAATTTCATTTTTAAGGGGAATGGTAGAGAGGTGAAATGAATATGTGTTAATGCCAATAAAAATAGTTAAACTTGTGAGCCTTTGCCATATGCCAAGCACTTAGCATGTATTACCATTTGATCTTCAAAACAATCTTCATTGATTGATTGACTGATAAGAGTATTGCTCACGTTTTCCTTATGATGAAGCTTAGGGAGGGTAAGTAATTTCCTCAAAATTAGCAAACGTGGTTTAATCACATGTCCCAGGAGTACCAACTCTAGGATCACTCTGAACCATGTTGCCATGATATGATCCAAGGCCAATTTCCCTCTTCATTTGGCTAGGGGGCTTCAATATCATTTCCCTGAGATCCTTGGATCCAGGGCCTAGCCAGGAGGCCCAGACCTCTGCCTCACACTGAGCTTATGGACAGATCACAGCCACCAATGGTAAACCTAGAAACTACTTTATTTCGAGAAACAAGGTGTGTATTAAATCCACCCTAAAGGGCAAAAGCTTCTCTGTATTCATGATTGCTAATATGTGGTAAGAACTAAGTAACCTGCTCTAGTTCAGAGTAGAGAAAAGTCACCTGAATGTGAACAGATAAAGAAAAAAGGGGGTATTAATGGGAAGGATGAAATTAAAGGAGTCTTGCTAGCTGGGGGAGAAGGTATATGATCTACAAAGCTCCAACCTCTGCCAAAAGAAGTATTTGTTAATCATCTGTGTATGTTAAGTCTGCTACCAGGCCCCCCAATGAATCATGCCTCCTGGTACTCACGCCCTCATGCAGTTCCTTTCACAATGACTCTGGGCTTGGCCATATGTCACTTGCTTTGGTCAAGAGACCTCATCAAATGTGACCCAAGCAGAGGCATAGTAAGCACTTGCACATTGAAGCTTTTCCTTCTAAACTCAACCATCAGATAAAGAAGCTCAGTCTGTGCTGTTGGGAAAAGAGGCCACATGGAGAACTGAGATACCTAAGCCCATAGCCAACACCAAAGCCCCAAACATGTAATTGACCCATTTTATCTTCTAGTCCCAGATGGGCCATCCCAAGGAGCACCATGTGGGACAGAGATAAGCCATCCCACTGAACCTTGCCCAAATTCCTGATCCATGAAACAATAAGTAATAAAGTCATTGTTTCAAGTCACTAAGTTTTGGAGTGGTTTACTAGGCAGTGAAAACAGATCATTGATATGACTTTCCCAAGATATGTGCTGAATGATTGCTCATTAGGTATTTTCCTACTCATTTCCCCACCTCCCTAGGGACAGCTGTGCTCCTGCCTCTCTTCATCCCTCCGTGCCACTGTCTCCTGGAGAATGAGGGCTCAGGAAATGAAAAAGCAGAACAAAGAGGGGCTTCCCCAGTAACTCATGGTACCCCTTGGTCCTTCCAAGCAATTCATGATAACAGGGTAGACATTATAAAACAAGGAGGCCAAATCTTTTTTGAAAGAAAAGGCTCCTTTTCACTGCCAGAGGTTCTGAGCTAATCAAACATGTTGAGAACTGCCCTTGATCATCCTAAGTGGAGAAAGGGCCTTCAGGCCTTGAAGTGAGCAGAGAAGAGGGTGTCTTTTCCAGCTACACGTCCCAGCCGGGGATATTCACAAACCGTAAAGGGAAGTGGGGAACAAGGGAATAGAGCAGTCTGGAGGCGGGAAGGACATGAATTGGTTGGGAGCTAGACCTCCAAGGAGGTGGTGGATTGCTTTTGGAAAGAAGGAAATTTTAATTAAAAGGAAAACATGGGAGGGGTCTAATCAATTAGCAGATAGATGCTTTTCCAGTAAATACAATCAATACATGCTTCTTTATCTTCTGACTTGAACAGCTTAGGACAGGAGCAATATCTTAATCATCTTTGATAGCTGGTACCCAGCACAGGACTGGCACAGTAGGATGCTCAAAGTCACAGTGACCTCAGGCCGGTCATTTCACCTCTTGTCTTTGCTTCCTCAACTGGAAAATGAGGGCACTGAATAGGTGTTCCCCAAAGCTCTCCTGATCATCCACAGAGAAAGGAGCAGGCTGGTGTTTTATTTTATGTGTTATGCTGGCAATGGCCTGGTTTCTCTCCCAGCACACTGACAGGTTGAACTAGAAAGAAGATGGAGGGAAGGCCAAAGATTAACCCCTTCCTTCCTGGTGGCGTCCCCAGGATTGAGGCCCAGGGAGGAAGAGGCTGAGACTGCCGAGCCTTGGCTGGGACCTGTCACCAACAGCATAAAATGTGGGCTCTCCTCAGCGTGGGAGAGGAAAGGAGGCAGGTGGAGCCGGAGCTGGGACAGGGATGTAACACAAATATCCCAAGCAGCTGAGATAACAAGAACCTATTGAGGAAAGAGGCATGTCAGAGGAAATGAAACCAACCAGCCCATAAATGAAAAAGTTCCTAGGAAAAGTCTTTCTGAAAGTGGGGGGGGGGGGCGAGGAATGAGAGGGCAAAATAGTGAGACTCAAAGCCCCCAAAATCAAATGGAAAAACATTGCAAATGCATGGCAAAGAATGTGGGGAGAAATAAATGATTTCACCCAGTGGTGGCAGGTCACAAACCTGTATCAGCAATGGTAGGGAGAGATCAGAAGAAAGCTATGCAGGTGGGCAGGTCCAAGGACTGAAGAGAAACAGGGCAATAGAACCAATGTCTCAGATTTCCTCTGCAGAGTGGTCCTGCAAGGTGAAGGCAGGGCATTCTAGACATAAGAGTTTGAAGTCGCAATTGTGATTTATATTCTGCCTAGTGTTTTATGCTTTATTTCATTTTATTTTTATAGTTGCTTTGGGAAATCAGAAGAGCAGGTGTCAGCACCTCATTTACTGATGAGGGAATGAGATCCTAAAGCGATTAAGGGACTCACTAAGGGCACTGAGCAGCCGGGAACACTGGGGAGTAGAATGTGGAATGACCATCAGGGGACCTCCAGCATCTGCTCTGAGGTCTGCTCACAAATTCACCACTTAAAAAAAAAGCATCATATTTTTGATATACTGAAATAAATCTACTCACACAACCTGCCTTTCCCTAAGAATATAATTTCTCACAAAACTAAAATGTATGTGCAATATTTCTATGAGTGGGAAACAAACTAGATGTTGCGAACCGTCGTGAGAGAGGCCATGATAGAAACACAATTTTAAGGAGAAGAGTTCGAAAACTGTCTTGTGCAATTGAGAAAGAGCAGTTAAAATGAAAACTCCATTCTTTGCTCCCTAAACGACTCCCTCAGAAAGAGTCAGTACATAATTGTGTGCCGGGGAAACTATTTTAATTCCGACCCTATCTTAAATGGTTTCTCTTAGAAGGGCTTATGATAACTGCGCTGTCTCAGAATTGCAGCGATTCCCAGCTCTTCCTTAATTGGGGTTGAGTCTTTATTCAGGCACTCAATCCAGCTGCTTGGCTGGGTTTTCATCAGGAAACAAGCTGCTGTATTTGGGGCTGTAATCCCTATCTGAACACACCAAAGGCAGTGAGCTGTGGTGGCTTTCAGTGTAAGAAAGAGAGCAGAGAAGTAGACTCCACCACCACTCAGCTCGATTTGCAGGAGAGGGAGGGGAGAATTAGGACAGAATTAGAATCAGGACTGCTGAGTCCTTTGGAGTCCAGGACGGGGGCTGCCAGCAAGAGAAGGTGCAAGTCAACATGTGCTAAGGCCCAAATGAGCCTTAGCACTTGGCTGGGCCCCACAAAGGTCCTGACAGCAGGGACTACGTGGTACTTACCATGCAAAGATGACTCACACTACAAGGTCAAATAGGAGGATTTCCACAGCACAGACACTAAGGAACTAAGGGATTCAGAGAGGGCTGCATATCAGAGGGGGCTAGGAAGTGCCCATGGAGAAGTCTGGGCAGTGTCCGCGGAGGAAGGCTGGTTGGACGTGTTCCCTGAACAGGGTAGAGAAAAGCAGGAAGGAAATCCCAAGGTAGAGATGGGACGGAAGAATGCTGGGTGTGTGTGGGAAACACTGGGGAGGTCAGTCCTGCTGATAGTGGTGAGTGCTGATGTAGAAGACATATGCTTAGAAGGGGCCTTTGGAATATATTGTGGGAAGCTCAGGGAGAGAGCACTGCCCTCAAAGCCAGCACTGAATCAGGAAGCTGAAGTGTTTCCAACTTTGTCACCACTGGCCATGTGCTCAGTCAAGCTATTTTTTCTCTCTCTGTCTTTCTGGGCCTCAGTTCTATTATTTCTGTAAGAAGGCGGTTAAGAAGACCATCACAATAGCTAATATGACTTATGTTCTCACAGTGAGCCAGGCCTTGCTCTAACATACGTTCACTCACTCCATCCTTAAACCACTGAGGAGGAGGACCTGGGATTATCCCCATTTTACAGATGAGAAAACTGAGACACAGAGAATTAAGTAACTTCTCCCATGATGCAAAGCTTATCAAGTGGAAGAGCTGGGACACAAAAAATCCTACATTCCTCTAGAGCTTGTGTTTTTCTTAACCACTACTCAATGCTGCCTCTTCAAAGTCCTCCCAAACCAGCATGCAAGTGTAAAGTTAAAATGAGCTGTCATCTGCAAAAGTAGGACACGTGACCCTTTTTCCCAAAATGACAAAGTAATGCCTTCCTCCTGTAGCCTGGGCTCACCCCAGACTCCTAATGACCCAGAAGAAAAAGTCACCTGGCTGAGCCCTGAGGCTGGGCCTGCCAGGGGCAGGTGTGTGTGTGTGTGTGTGTGTGTGTGTGTGTGTGTGGTGGGGGGACATTTAGCGATTGTCACTCCAGCCCCTGCAGCATATCTGTTTCAACAATGGCTGCTTATGACATGCTTGGCTTCTGTCCTTGTCATTATTGTGTGCTCCAGTTATGATATGTGTGCTCCAAGAATGATCTGAGGAATAATAATTGAAAGCTATTATTAATACGAACAAAGGCAATAGTAATAGGGATCATGATTGAAGAGCCCTCCAAGGAAGACATGGGTCACAGAACACAGAATTATAAAACACTGTGGTTGGAAGGTTGCTTAGAGATCATCCATCTCAGCCCCCTGATACTACTGATGAGATTGGACTTGAAGAGGCTAAGTCTGCTGCCTGAAGGCACTCAGCTTGTGGCACCAGCTCTGACCAGGACCCACATTTCCTGAATCTATTTACTAAAGATCGTGCTAGAAAAGGCAGGCGTCTCCTTTTCCAGTTCTAGCAGAGTGATTTTTGCATTCTGGGACACCCGCTACAATTCCTAGGACACACAGGGTTGCTGGGTTGGAAAGTGGGAGGTTTGGAGCTATGGCTCCATAAACTGAGAGGGGCCTCATGCCTTCCTCTTATTCATATTTCAGTCTACAGAAAGTTAAAAGAAGTCAAAGCACCAAGCTTTGAACACTCAATTCTCATGCATTTCTGTCCAGAGTCTAGAGCCGTTTTCAAGTTTTGACCATCACCTAGAAGGGGGGCTACAGCACTCAGAGTCTAAGGGCCTTTCCAGCTCTTGGCCTACCAGGGACCCCAAACTGCACAAGGATGGTTTTCAATGCATTTCTTAAGACTGAAGATCCATTGCTTTGTGCTGGGCCCAGAAAAGACCTTCTCCATCAACAAAAAGACTGCATTTACCCTGGCCCAATCAGTAGTCATGTGGCCTAGGCATATCAGTCCAAATTTCTGTGTCCCACTTTCAACAACTGCACAATAAATGGACTTTAAAAATGAATGCCATCTTCCCCAGGCTCCAGGAAGCGCTCGGGGCCTCACTGCTCTGGGTGCAATCTGTCTCGCTGGGGAGTCCCGATCACCAGCCCCTGCCAGCCAAGGAGGCGCCAGCCCCAGATGAATACCTAGAGAGGGACTAATCCTGAAAACTATATAGCATGTGCTGAAATTTAAGTAACTTCTTCCTAGGTTCCCCAAGATCCCCTCGCTTTTTTTTTTTTTTTTTTTTTTTGAGACAGAGTCTCACTCTGTCGCCAGGCTGGAGTGCAGTGGCACAATCTCGGCTCACTGCAACCTGCAGCTCCTGGGTTTCAGTGATTCTCCTGCCTCAACCTTCCGAGTAGCTGGGACTACAGGCGTGCGTCACCATACCCAGCTAATTTTTGTATTTTTCCTAGAGACAGGGTTTCATCATGTTGGCCAAGATGGTCTCGATCTCTTGACCTTGTGATCTGCCCACATCGGGCTCCCAACCAAGCCTGTTTTTATGTGTTTTTGGTGCCCCCGGTATTCTTGGCAAGTGCTTACTCTGCTAATAGTTTATCCACTTCCCTCTGTGTGCATTTGTTTAAGCTAAGAAGGAGGAAAAAAAGAATCACGAGGAAAGCATATATAGACCAAAGTATCCAGTTGTAGCTACTCAAGCTTGTTATAAACATCTCTGTGAGACAAGAGCATGGAGGCAGTTGGCCTATGACAAATGTACTCTATTCCAGTCTTTTTTTGAGATGGAGTCTCACTCTGTCGCCCAGGCTAGAGTGCAGTGGTGCGATCTCGGCTCACTGCAACCTCGACCTCCCTGGGTCAAGCAATTCTCCTGCTTCAGCCTCCTGAGTAGCTGGGATTACAGGTGCACGCCACCATACCTGGCTAATTTTAGTAGAGACGGGGTTTCACCATGTTGGCCAGACTGGTCACGAACTCCTGACCTCAGGCAATCTGCCCGCCTTGGCCTCCCAAAGTGCTGGGATTACAGGTGTGAGTCACCATGCCCGGCCTCTGCTTACTTCTTTTATACTTGTGGATTTTTTTTTTCATATGTATTCCAACTCCAGTGTTATCCCAAGAGATTGAGGGCCTTGCACTGACATTGGTCGTCCATCCAGAATAGCCCTTATTTCATTCCACTGGTCATGAAGCTCACCCCACTGTGGATTCCTCAAACCTCCTCACCCCCTCAATATCTCTCCAGTCTCCCTGGCCCTCCCTCTTCCATCCAGACATTGGCCAGCTCTCACATAAAATGTTTTACTGTCCTATCTTGAAGAACTTGGCTGTCTGGTCAGCCCATATTGCTTCCCTAAATTAATTAAATCTTATTTTTTTCAATGAATATGCAGAGTCCACTGGCATGAAGACATAATTTGCTTTGTCCTAGAGAGAGAGAGGGCTTACTCCATGCATATCCCTGCCTCTCCCTGCTCAGTGTCTATCCATGAGGGCATGCTGGTCACCACCTCATCCCCTGTTCCATCTTCATCCTCCACTACTTCTTTCCCCCTCACAGAACAATATTGACTGCATTTTATAGAAAAAAATACATTCAAGTCTTTTTCTTATCTGGGTGCAAAAAAAAAAAAAAAAAAGAACGTGCATGGGGCCAGGGGGCAAGATTATTTAGCAATATAGTTTTAAAAGAAATCCACGCAAACACTCATCCACATAGCTCAGCATTGATCACAGAATAAGAATCCTCCGGCGGAAAGGACCTGGGAAGAATGCTTCTTGTTTCAGGGCAAGACATCACTGTGATCACGTCAGACGGCTGGCCTCCCCTTCCTGAAGGTTCTTCAGGGAAGGAGGCTTCGGTAATTTTCCTTTGGTACTACGTTGTATGCTTTCACAATTCTGGTTGCAGGAAATGGTTTCTCAACTTTAATTCCTTTTACATCAACAAGGCTTGATCTCTGATCTTCCTCTGATGGTCACAACTTTCCATCGCTTTCTCATTTGGGAGAATGTCCCCATCAGCTTCATCTAGTAGGTAGGAGCCCTCAGGCTCCCATAAGGGCAAGTCACAAACAGAAGAGGAGCTGGTTAGGTCTGAGACAGTCGGGAGAGTGACAACAGAGGCAGGACAAAGGGTCCATGCCTGGGCTGATGGGGGAGGCTTACTCAGGGCTGTGAGTGGAACAGTGGCCCTAATGGGGCTAGAACTTTAGGGTTTTTATAAGAATCCAGAAATTCTGATTTTTATGCAAAACCTCCACACAGAAGTTCTGGGCCGAGGGCAGCCTGTGAGACTCTCATTTCCACCTCCCCTCCAGACCACAAACTGTATCTATGTGTCCATGTCCGGCATGCCAACTGATGCTTAATTTGCTCACAAACCACTTTTACATGAATTAACGAGCAAATAAGCAAAAGACTATCATGAGGGTCTTAATTGACAGCAGGAGGTCCTTGGCATTTATGTATTGAACATTTTTTGTGGCTTCAAGTTTTCCCAAGACACCCATGAATTCCAAGAATTGTGTAAATTGATCATTTTTGTTTAGGTGAATATTCAAAACAAACACACTTAATCACCATCAAACAATGGCCTTTTGAATGAACCTGGCCAACAACACAAGATCCAAGCGGGAAAGGGCTTTATCATTTGTCTTTACAGTTCTGTGTGCATTGCATGAGGGAAAGTGCAGAGCTAATGAATGAATGCAGTGTTTTTGAAAACACAAAAGCAACACCACAAAATCATAGAGCCCAGGGGTAGGAAAATGATAAAAGTGAGGCCTAGTTTGGAGAAAGCTTGGAAAGAAACCTGAGGTTGTCTGGCATCCCTGGTCCTGGTGGCCTAGTGATCCTTAACCCCAAGTAAAAGCCTGAGCAAATTGCTCTCATCTTTACCTCTGCTGATGTCCTAAAATGTGTTTCCTAGTCGGGGTAGCCTCCAGCGAAATGACCTGTATTGGGATTGGATAACTCTCAGGAGTTAATTTTTATTAGATGAACGGCACACTTTCTAACTCTCCTTTTGAAGAGACTAAGCTATTCTGGCTCCCAGGGAAAAGGAGATCAAAGTGAAATTCTGATACTGCCCAGGGGCTGAGAGCCTTCGGGAAGGAGGAAGGACAAAGCGGACTGGGCTGCCTCAGACGGTGAATGGCCTGGGAAAGTGAATCTGGGTTTGGGGCTAAAAGCAGAAAGCTGAGGACTCCTGGAGGGGGCTGAGGAGGATCCTGAGGACAGGTCGCAGCCCCGGTGGTGGCTGAAGCTGTGTCTCCCGTGGACTTTGCCCTCAGAGTGGCTGCCCAGTAGGTGGGCACTCGCACCTCCCCTAGACGGCCTGCACTCCTGGTTGGTTTCATGACCTCAGGCTGAAGTTGGGGGTAGTTTTTTGCATTCTCAAGGCTGGGGTCGCAGGGATAAAATTGTCAGGAAAAGGCACTGAATCAGAGGTCAGGAGAAGTAGATTCTGCTTGGAAATCTGCCTCTAATTGACTTTAGGCCTGTGGGCCTGTCCTCGCATCTGCTGAAGGAGGGCGCCCAGTGAGGTCATCTCAGCTCCCAGTGAAGTCATCTTCCCTGAGGGCTTCTGCAGCACCTGCTCATGATAAGCACCCTCACTCCCAAGACACACACCACACACATCCATACATGCCACACACCACACACACCACTCCCCACCACAGCACCCCTACCAGTTCACAGACCACACATACCCATACATACCATGGTGCACACACCAATTCACACACCACATACCCCCATACATACCACACACCACAGACACCACATATCACACCACACACACCTCACGCACCCCATACACCCCACACAAACCACATATACCCCTATACCACACACACCACACGCCACACACACACTACATACCGCACACATGCACCACATACACCACACGCCACAAACACACCATATACTGCACACACCACATATACCACATCCAAACCACACCACACATACAAGTTCACATACCACACATCCATATATACCACACACCACACAGCAGTTCACACCAGTTCAAAAACCACACACTTCCATGCACACCACATACCAATTCACACCACATGCACCAGTTTACAAACCACACACACCAATTCACACACCACATACCCCCATACATACCACACATCACAGACACCACACACCCCACCACATATACCCCACGTATCCCACACACCCCACACAAACCACATACACCCCATACACCACATGCCACACACACACCACATACCACACACACCATGCGCACCACACTCTACAAACACCACACCACACACAAACCACATATGCCCCATACACCACACACACCATACGCATACCACATACCAAACACACCACATGCACCACATACACCACACGCCACACTCTCACCACATACTGCACATACCACATGCACCACATCCAAACCACACCACACATACAAGTTCACATACCACACATCCATATATACCACACACCACACACCAATTCACACCAGTTCACAAACCACACATCTCCATGCATACCACACACCAGTTCACACCACATGCACCAGTTTACAAACCATACACACCCATACATACCACACATCACACACCACACCAGTTCATACCAGTTCACAAACCACACATATCAGTTCACACACTACACACACCCATGCATACCATACCACACACACCAGTTCACACATCACATGCACCGATGCATACCACACACCACACACCAGTTCACACACCACCCGCAACACACACCATACGCACTCATACATATCACTTACCAGTTCACATACCACACATACCCATACCTACCATACCCCAGTTATGCCAGTTACCCACATACACACCATATGCCACACACACCAGTTCACAAACTACACACATCCATACATACCACAGACCACACATACCGGTTCACAAACCACACCCACCAGGCAGTACAAATGCAGGTTTGTTACCTGGGTATGTTGTGTGGGTATATCATGCATATATTGGGTATGTTGTTACCTGGGTATGTTACCAGTGTCTATTGTTGCTATCTTTTTTTTTTTTTTTTTTTTTTTTTGGAGACAGAGTCTCACTCTGTTGCCCAGGCTGGAATGCAGTGGCACCTTCTTGGCTTACTGCAATCTCTGCCTCCCAGGTTCAAGAAATTCTCCCACCTCAGCCTCCTGAGTAGCTGGGATTTCAGGTGTGTGCCACCACACCCAGCTAATTTTTATATTTTTAGTAGAGATGGGCTTTCACCATGTTGGCTAGGCTGGTGTCAAACTCCTGACCTCATATGATCCACCCGCCTCAGCCTCCCCAAGTGCTGGGATTACAGGCATCAGCACCGTGCCTGGCCTATTGTTGCCATCTTTATGTCCACGAGTACCTGATGTTTAGTTCCCACTTATAAGTGAGAACATGTGGTATGTGGTTTTCTGTTCCTGTGTTAATTTGCTTTGGATAATGGCCTCCCTCTGCATCCATGTTGCTGTACAGGACGTGATTTCCTTCTTTTTCATGGCTGCATAGTATTCCATGGTATATATGTACCACATTTTCTTTATCCAATCTATTGTTGGTGGGCACCTACGTTGATTCCATGAACCGTGCTATTGTGAATAGTGCTATGATGAACATGTGAGTGCATATGTCTTTTTGGTTGAACAATTTGTTTTCTTTTAGGTACATACCCAGTCACGGGATTGCTGGGTCAAATGGTAGTTCTGTTTAAGTTCTTTGAGAAATCTCCAAACTTCTTTCCACAGTGGCTGAACTAATTTAAATTCTCAAGAATATATAAGTGTTCTCTTTTCTCTGCAGCCTCACCAACATCTGTTGGTTTTGACTTTTTAATAATGGCCATTCTAACTGGTGTGAGATGATATCTCACTGTGATTTTGGTTTGCATTTTTCTGATAATTAGTGATGATGAACATTTTTCCATATGTTTGTTGGCGGCTTGCATGTCTTCTTTTGAGAAGTGTCTATTCATATCTTTTGCCATAGGTACTTTTTAAAAACAGGAATGAAACAAAGTGTGTCAATTTAAAGTTGTTTTAAAGGAAATATTAGGTTAAAAATTCGGTAAATAAAAAAGATTAGGTAAATAAAAGCACGGGTGGTACAGGAATATGGCAAAAACCGAGAGATTGGTATGAAAATGACTGATGCTGGAAAACCCTCCCTGACCTACCAAGACACCCCTAACAACTAGAAGACCTTCCTCACAGGGAGCTGAATTTGCCCCAGATAGCTTCCACCGTCTAAGCTCTGTGTGTTTCTTGGGAGGCAGGGCACAGGTCTGGTCTTCCATAGGCAGTTTCTTCAAATACTCAAAGCCCGAAGAGGCCATGAAATCCCTCCCCTTTCCCATACTCAGCCTTTCCAGCTCCTCTGGCAGTCTGCAGCATGCCAGATGACCAAACCCTCTCTCCATTGTCCCTGCCCCACGTTAATGTTTGACCAGAACAGACTATCATCCTACTTTCGGGTTGTACCAGTCAAATTGTGGGGATGGAGGCAGCTCCCGCCACCTTAGCATCCAGGTCACAGCAAAGTTCAAGGAACTTATGGTAAAGATCAATCACACTTATGGCACTGCCAACAGAAGCACATGCTTGTGGAAAATAGCGTAAAAGAATTTTAAGGAGGAGAGCTGGGCTCTGAATTACACCGGAGGCAGAGCGTCTGGACAGTTTTCATCAGAAGCCACGTCCTAGAGGTAGCGAGCTGTAAACAGTCGTTAAAAGCAACGGAGGAATGTGTTAGGGTGGGCCCAGGAAGGTGTCAGGCCACGGCGGGCACGTGAGGGAATGGGCACAGCCTTCATTGTAGGCACAGAAGCTGGAGCCAGCGGGAGGAGGCAAGCGGGCAACCGAACAGAATGGTGAGTTGTCCTGCCGAGGATCACCAGATCCCGGATCAAGAATCCCTGGCAGGATTTTCATGACTACGGATCCCCAGGTGCCACAGGGACCAGTTGATTCAAAAGAGCTTGTGGAACATTAGTAAACATTTTGCTTGTTTATTGTTTTTTTTTTTTTTCTGTTAACTCCCTTGATGACTTAATGTGTGGTCAGAGTTGAGACTAAGCAGTTACAGAGTGTAGAATGCTGGATATATAATGAAATCTGGGTGAACTAAACAGATGTGATCCCTGCCCTCATAGAGCCTTAGAGCCTGGGCGAAGAGATAAACATTAAACACAAAATAAACACACAATTACACATTGTGGTTTGGGTTACAAAGGAAAAGAATGGGGTGGAGGTCGTGTGTGTTACAGCAAATGGGGCATCTTTCCAATTTCTGGGAGAAGACACTCAACGGCTATAAACACCATAGAATTCAGCTCCATGAAATCAGCTATATAAATTGTGACTAATGCTTCCGTGTGTTGTGCAATGGTATAAACATTGCAAAATATAATCAAGATTAAAAATTTTAAAAATAAAATACCAAGCACTATCTCTGTTTGCCCTCTCTGTGTTGTAGACACACGGTGCTAGAGAAGGTCTCACCCCTAAAGCAAAAAAGGGCATTTTGACTCTAAACTTCAGAGAAGCATGGAGGACTGGGGCAGAAACCATAATGAGGATGTAAGAGAGTCTTTGAGAAAGATGCAGCAGGATCTGGTTCAGCCTGGAGAAGAGGAGGCTGGGAGGGCAGATGGGAGGGGATGTCCAAACATATCCTGAGTTTTCTTATACCGAGAAAGAAAGATGAGTTTCAGCTTCTTCAAGAATTGTACATGGCCATGTGCGGTGGCTCACATCTGTAATCCAAGCACTTTGGGAGGCTGAGGAGAAAGGATCATTTGAGTCCATGAGTTCGAGACCAGCCAGGGCAACGTAGTGAGATCTGTCTTTGCCAAAAATTTTAAAAATTAGCTAGTTGTGGTTGTGCATGCCTGTAGTCCCAACTACTTGGGAGGCTGTGAAGTGGGAGGATCACTTAAGCCTGGGAGGTTGAGGCTGCAGTTAGCTGCGATTGTACCACTGCACTCTAGCCTGGGTGACAGAGCATGGCCCTGACCCAAAAGGAAAAAAAAAATTATACAGTATTTGGGTGAATCGTTTATCATTTAAACCATAGAGTGTTGGGGATTTGGAAATTAGTGTTCAGGGGAGAAACCGGAGGGACAGAATGGGAATTAATATATAGTAATATCAATAGCTATAGACTTTTTAAAAATTACGTGTCCTACCAGGGTACTTTTACCTTCCTTGAACCACAATTTTGTCATCCATAAAATTCAAGCGGTGCTCCTGGCTCCCTGTGGGTATTTTGTGAAGCTGTGTCGCATGCTTGCAGGGTGCCAAGCACTGTGCCTACTTCCCTGGGCCTCACTGGGAAAGGAAGCTGTCACCAGTCAAGCATCTGCCGTGGACCAGGCACTGTGTTTGGAATTTTAGAAACGTTATCTGTTTGATTCCTCACAACAAGCTCAATACTTGGAGCTAGGTATTATTTTTTTCATTTTCAGATGAGAAAAACCGAAGCTCAGGGAACATTTCCAAGACCAAGAGCTGAGAACGCTGCGGAGCTGAAATTTAAATCCAGTTTGTCAGACCCCCCCAATCCGGTTTGTCAGCCGCCCCCCATCCCCAAATGAGAATGTGAGAGGGAACAGAGTGGGTGGGGGGAGTGGAGTGAAGCCAGGAGAGGTGAAGGAGAGGGAGAAAGAGTAAAGAAGAAAGAGAAACAGGATGTGAGAAATCGAGACTGAGAGACAGAGAAACTGCGGGAGAGAAAGAGAGAGCGTGAGATAATGAAGCAGAGAAAGACAAGGGTGAGGAGAGGGTGGGGAGGGGACAGAGGGAGGGAGAGCCTGCCAGTAGGTGATGGGCAAAGTCTGGAATTTCTCTGCTTCACTGAGGCTTTAGTGAAATGACCCCCTTTGTCTGCTGACGCATCTGCTTTTACAGTTCAGGGTGTTCCCCACGTTTCCTGAAGCCACGGCCCTCCCCTGTGGTGTCCTACTTGCTCCTCTGTTCCCAGCCTTTCCCAGGTCCCTAGGTTTGAGCGAAGCTTGCACTCCGGATGCCTCTGGTTTGCTCAGACAATAGCTTAATTGCCATTTAAGAGAACTGATGCAACTGACCTTTAACACGCATTGGTTACATGACATCCGAAAAGAGACAATAGAGACTTCCTTTTGTGAATGACAAATTCTTACAGCAATTACTTCAAGAAGGAACCATGGGCAGATGGGCCTTAGCCACAGGCCGAAGGGATGGGGCCAGCTCTGTGGATTGTCTTCCTCTAGGGGCTGGCTGGAGTTTTTGGGTGATTCCCTGGGGTCCTTAGGGTCCCCTGACCTTGAGTGAATCTTCTCTTACAGAAAAGAAAGTGGCCAGAGACTCCTACATGATTTGCCCTTTTGAAGGTTTCAGAGCAGCCCCCAGGTTACCAGCTCCTGCTTCCTGGAGCTGCCTCTAGAGGAAGATAGCACTCTCTCCACTCCTTATGAGCTGGGTCATGGAAATGGCCCCCTGCATATGGAGAAGTATTTTATCATTGACATCGTTAGAATTGATGACTCTTTTTAAATCCTTTACAGACATTGTCCCCTCGTCCTGCCATGGCCCATATCCCAGGAGGACCTGTCACCATCCTCCACCTTGGTGAGACATTGCCCAAGTTAATGGGCCCAACAATAGGGTCAGACTACATTGCTGCTCCATTTCCAAGAAATTCTCCACGTGCAACATCACATTTCCTGTAACTCCAGTGCCTCAGGTCTCGACTCAAAGGTCACCTCTTCAGAGAGGCCCCTCCTAATGAACTTCCTAAGGTGACCCCATTCATTCCTTTTCCCAGGTTCTCTGAGGCCTGTCGCTCTCTTATATTGTCTTTGCAGCACTCACCCTGACTTGCTGTTCTCTTATTCCCACAGCCCAGGCTATCCTATGGATGCACTCCTCCCACCATCTGCTCTCCCAAGCTCTGCTGAAACCCCCCTGCCTAGAACAATTTGCTTCGTAGCTGACTTTCCATAAACATTCATACAATGGATACAGAAATGACACAGAGGTCAGCATCAGAACCCAGGATCCCCCAAAGCCCTGTTTCTCTCTTTCACAGCCTCTCTCTACCTTATTCCTATCACCAAGGGATTCTTCTCTCTTTCCCTCTTTCTACTATTTGTTAGAATGGAAAGCACTGGGCCGGTAAAGCTGTCACTCAGGATATGATTTTTTCTCTGCCACTTTCTGGCTGTGTGCTTTTCTTAAATCATGGAACTGCAACTGAAAACGCATGGATGACAACACAAGGATTATTTTAAAGATTAAATGAAATAACTAGGATGACTGGGCCTGGCATATATTAAGCATCAATTAACATTAATTGCTTTGCATCCTTCTCTTTGTTTCTCTCCTCTCCCATTGTTCCTTCCTTATAAATTAATTCCCTGCCTTTCTCACAATCTTTACTCCCTACTCATAAAGCTTCTGCCAGGGTTGTCAGCAGGATTTATGTACTTGAATTGAACTGAGTTAGGTAGGCATGAATGAAAGGCAAGTTATCTCTTTCTAGGGGGAGAAAAATTTAAGGCAGAGTGATGTGAGAAGTGTCGACAAGACCCAGGAAAGCCCAGGGAGAGGGGCTGGGGCTAAGGCGTCTGCCCGCTTGGCAGCAGCTGTGATGTTCGGAGTACGTGTTCAGACCAGCAGTCCCTGAGATGCTATTCCACTTATTCTGGAGACCACTCTGCTCTTAGCCCCGCTGGGCAGGTAGATTTGGAAATGTTTATTGCATGAGATGTGGGATGGAAGAAAGAAACCTGAATTGGGAATGAAGAGGCTTGTTCCACCTTCCCTCAATCCTGCCAGTAGCCAGCTACAGAGCTTAGGAAAAGTCTGTTTACCTCCCTGGACCTCAGCCTACCCTCTGACAATTAAAGGGAGATCACAGTTTTGAAGGCATCTACCAGCTCTGACGCGCTCTGGCTAAACCAGACCAAAAATTTTTTTTACAGCCATTTTTGAAAAGGGAGTGAGAGAAGAGAACTGCAGAAGCTTAAAGAAGCACCATTTGCAAAGTTTTTTTTTGTTCTGTTTCCAACAATCTTACTTATTCGCAGCACAGATTCTGTTAGGCTTAGACTTGTGTTTCGGTGGCACTGGATTGATAGACTCATACTAATTGGTGTGGGTGTCTCAATTTTCTCCGTCCAACTTTGCTGGGGTCTCGCCTTCTCTCTATGGAAGCTCTTCTCAGGCTCACAAGAGCTGAGATTTCTCAGAGGCGCCTGTAGATGGATTTGCCTTTTTTCTGCTATATCCATCTGAAGCCACAGCAACTCTCTCTGAGCCAAAACCACTCACTAATTAATACATTTCACAGGGTGAATGAAGCACTGGCACGACCAGCAGCTTGGGGCAGCTCCCAAAGCCATGGCCTTGCCCAGTGCCCAGAAAGTCCTGCCTGGAGACGGCCAGTGCCAGTTTCCTCCATGCCAGCACCTCACCCTTCTCATTTGAACCCAGAAATGTGTTGACTTCCAGTGCCCCCTACCACCCTAGCTGTGTCATTTTCTCCTTCACCTGTTTGCATTTCCAAGGAAGCACAAGTCACAGTCATAGGGGCTCGTGATCTATTTTTTATTCTCCCCTTTTCTGGGCAGAATGATGGATCAACTCTGGAAAACCTATTAGGAAAGGGCTGGGCCATCCTGCGTTTCCGCCAGGCCTGTCCAGGTGACTTTGAGTCAACCCACTGAGAGCTACTTGGCCACAGGCCATCTCTGTGGGGCACCATGTTTATTTGAACCACTGACCCTGGCCCTAGAAGAAAAGATGAAGACTTAGTGATACCCCTTCTCCCCATCTATCCCCACCAGGGGCTTTTTGGAGTGTCTTTAATTTACAGTCTGTTGGAAAGCACTCAGAATCACTCTACCCTACACTCAAGGCAGGACCCTTCATCATCCATCTGCGCCAGGCCAGCCTGCAGGCATATATCCCTGAACTTCCCAGTGAGGTTCTGAAAGAACTGGGAAACTGAGGAAGAGATTGGAAATAGAGGAGGCCCCAGTGATGGCTGTTTGTATCAATCATCACATTGATTTGCTTAGGGAAGTCTTATTCTAACATTACACTGGTTGGTGATCAGGCCTCCAGGCCCACTGGACTCCTAAGATAAGGCTCCAGCTCCACAGAGTTGGAAGACAAAATTGTCCGCTCCCTCCTTGCATTCACCCAGCCCGGGGTCTTATCTGGCAGATGATTGCTTGTTGCTCCAGCTTTCTCTGTCCTAACCTCTACAACCATAGTCACCAATGATTTACTTATTCTTAGACCCAGCCATAACCTCACATTTTCCATGAATCAGCTAGCCCCCTATGGTTTCCTGCAATGTTTCCTTTATTTTCTATTTCCTTATGACATTCTTTAAATGAATCTCCTTCTATAATTACCATTTGACCCCTGGGCTTTTACTCTCCACATTGCTACAAAAAAAAAAAAAAAAAAAAAAGTCCAGTTCTTTTTGCAAGACGCCATTCCTTATATATCTTTCCATCTTCCATAATGCCTACAACAAGGGTGACCACATCATAAATTATTGGTAAAGATTTCCTGGTTATGCCAAGACAGAAATCTAGCCTGCTTGGTAGTTACATTTCTTTAGGCAAAATAACAAATTGACTTTCTGCTTTGAATTAGGCATATTTATGTCAACAGGAGGCCAAATCACTGCTGGGTGAGTGACCCACTGCTAGGAAGATGCCCAGACGCCAACTGGGAAAAGCTTGGCCAAGCCAATCAGGTGCTGCCAGAGCCTTCTTTGTGATAGCAATGCCAACCCATGAACTAATACCCTCCTTTGGGAGAGATGCTGACACGCCAAGGAAACTAATGTTTTTATCTCAGCTGACTCATTTGCTGAGAACAACAGGTTTATAAGGCAACTCTTAGCTTGACCCACTCTACTCCTCCATCAAAATAAAGAAATAAATAAAGTTTTCAAACTAAAGAGCATTAAAGAATGATAACTTTTCTTTTTCTTGGTACTATCTATTGACCTATACCTGGTTTTCACTGTAACACATTTGTGGTATGAAAAATGACAATATGATGTCAGAGAAAATGAGAGAGACATTTTAGAATTTATCAGAATGTGACTATGGTCACTTAAAGTCCAACTTTCTCATGTGGGTTTCAGCCTGTGCTGGAAACAAATAGCCTCTCTTACCTCTAAAGTACTTGGTTCTGTGCTCAAAGTGGCATATTAAGTTCTGCTGATTACATCAGAATTTGGATGGTGTCTCAGGATCTCAGTTTCCTATCAGTGGAATATGGAGTTGGGTTAGGCATTATTTAAGATTCCCTCCAGTTCTACCCTGTTTGTTTTAAGGTTTCCTCTTATATTTTGTAACCTCTCTTCTACTGCTTTTTGGCAAGGTCTGGAAAAGAAAGGCTATGAAGATAGGCTTGAAGATAGGGCCCACGTTACAAGGGAGAAAAAAAAAAAGACGAGGTCTCATCAAATCAACTCCATACACACTAGCAAAATTAGGGAAGGGATGGAAGGGAAGGTGAAATTAGGGTGAAAATTCTGTTCAATGCTTAGCAGAATTGTGAAAGGCCAAAGTTGGCCTAGAACCCTGCCCATACAATTCCAATGCCCCTACCACCAAGAATTGTTTTTCTCCACCCTGGACTAGGCCTATCCCTTGGGAAGAATGACCACAGAAGAGGAAAGGAGGACAATAGACAGAGCTGCGGAAATGCCCCCCAAACTTGGTCTCGGCATTGTAGACCTGCAGGCATCTGTGCAGTGCATGTTGGGGGTAAAGCCAAGTTGAACATTAATTGTTGTCATCCAAGAGTCAATAGCTTGAGAGAGTCTTTCTGCAGCTGCTTTGTACCTCTGAGCCTCCTCTCCCATGGGAGAAAGCATTGTGAGGCAGAGGGCAGCATAGTCTCATAGAACTTCACACCTAAGTTGGACATGAATTGTAAGCTAGGCTCTACCACATTCACATTCTGGGAAGGTCACCTCCCCTCTCTGGCTCTCAGAGCCATATAATACAAGGAGAAGGTGGACTTGATCTTTAACATTCTTCCAAGTCATATACTTTGTTGTGCCACAGATAAATTATCTGTTCAGCTCAGAACTGCAGGGTGGAGCGGAAGCGGAGACAATGCTGACTGTTCTCTGTCATCTCACCTCCAATCCCTGCCCCTGTGCTTAGTCAGACAACCCATCTGACTTATTTCCTGGAAGCCTATTCCCTTATTTTAGCTCTTATGGTAGAAAAATCAGGACAGTGTGAGCCCTTCCATGGGCCGTGCCATTCATAGATACCCCTGTGATTTGTGACTGCTTCTACCCAGAAAGCTCCTGGAGGCATATATTTACCAAGCAAAGGACCCTTGAAGGAAGTAGCTGTTGTCCACACAAACCATTATGGGCCAGGGGGATATTAATAAGAAGGAATGTGTGCCATCAGAAGCACTCAGCATCTGCAGTAAACCAAATCCTCCCTCTGTAGGTATGGGTTGTCTAGAAGAGAAATTTTCATGCATGACTCAGTTGCTTGCCATGCAGTGCCAAAGAAACTTAAGGAACAGTGTTAGAAAAGGCTGAGATCATTGGCAATTAAATTGACCCTTCTACCTGGATGTGTATGGCTTAGAAACCAGAGCATGCTGTAGTTCCAGCCTTGAGAATTTTTGTGAGCATAGCAAATGGTCCCTTCACTTTAAGAAAGATCAGAAAAAGAAGATATGACCTAAATCAAAAGCAAAACAAGGCTATAATAGCATTATATGACTTAGATGCTAGACTCAAGTGACCAAGAGAAATATTTTTCCCAGGAGGAGGGAAAATGCCTCTTTTATAAATTGAGAAGTGCGCTGTTCTCATACGGGTCAGACAGTAGAACATAAGGATTTCTATGCCACTGTTGCCTAAAGGAGAGAATTTTTAATGAGAAATGTTTGTTGAGTCCTGTGATTCCATGAAGACTTCCTTCAGCAAGAGCAGAATGGGACAAGGTCCCATTCCAAATGGAAACAATTTGAGGGGTATTTTAACTATAATCCTAAATGATGATAACAATTGCTTCCACTTAATTAGAATCAGTGCAAGAAAAAAGTGGAATGGAGATCACTTTACACAAGTAAAAAAGAGCTTTGTTAAATTACAGTCCCCAAAGCCACTGCATGGGAAGAACTGACTTGCCTTTCTAGGTGTCAGGTTTTCCTATCAATGCTGTAGCTCCAACTTCTTCCAAGAGGCCTGGCTTCTAGGATCTTCCTTTCAGAAATGGCCAAAATGGGATAAATGGTGTAAAAAGAGTAGATAAAGTACACTTCTTCAGAGTGAGTATAGAAGCTGGGGACACCTGGATCTAAGCTGGAATATCCTAAAATCTTCCTTCATTATGGATAACAGGATGATCTACACCTTGTTTATGCCTCTAAGGAAAAAGAAAGGAGAAAAGAGTGAATGATGGAGAAGTGAATGAGGAGCTGCCAGTGGTTTCTTATCAGTAGCTCTCCTAGGGAAGGATAATGTCTCTGGCATTGCTCCAGGTGTCTGACAACCTCTCTTCACCGAAAGAGGCCATCATCATGACAACACGACCCTGCCGCCACTGTGTGGGGATGAATTTGGTTCTAGGTGAGTCCTGGAGGTCTTAGAGCTGGAAGGAGGTGTAGAGATATGGTGATCAATACTCTTTATTCTTCATGTGAAAGATCTGAAGATTGGAGATATTACTTGATTTCCTTGGGACCAGAGAGGGTACATGTGACAAATGCTGAATTTGAACTCAGATCTCTTCATTTCTAGTTAAGACCATATCCAAGGCGGGGGATCACTTGAGGTCAGGAGTTCGAGACCAGCCTGGCCTATATGGTGAAACCCCGTCTCTACTAAAAATACAAAAATTAGCAGGGTGTAGTGGCGGACATCTGTAATACCAGCTACTAGGGAGGCTGAGGCATGAGAATCGCTTGAACCCGGGAGGCGGAGGCTGCAGTGAGCCAAGATTATGCCAGGGCATTCCAGCCTGGGTGACAGAGTAAGACTCCATCTCAAAAGAAAAGAAAGAAAGAAAAAAGACCATATCCTGCCACAAATATTAATACTTTACTAGAATATTTCATTTTACCTCCCTGCTCTGTCTTCTAGGAACTCTCTACCTTGATTCCCTGTTCTTCAAATGCCTGCATTTTATGAATTCTGACCCTGCCCCCAAAATGTATCTAATTGAACAAGAGTGGACCCCTGAGCCAAGGACAGTCCATCCATCAGTTAGCTGGAGGGAAACCTGTGACCTGACTCAAAGGAATAGGTGGACCAGCCAGAACTTCTGTGTCAGGGTTTATTGTTAAGAGCCACTGAGGGAAGGTGGTGCTGGGCTTCAGAAGTAAGCCAAGCAGACCAGTGAGACATGGGGTAGGGGTCCTCAGGCAAGATGAGTTAGCACAGACACCTGGCAGGAGACAACAGAAAATGAAGCAGAATGAAAAAGAACTAGAACAGTGTGAAAATTGTGGACTCAGTTTCCATTTACTAACATCTAATGAGAGCAATAAGCTCAACACTCCAAGATAATCTACATAATTGCTTAAGTATAAGATTTTAAGATGTTTTTAAAAAACAACTCATTTAATACTGTGTGACATATAAGAGGAAAGAAAAGTTACTTTTGATTAGGGTAACCAGAGAAGGCTTCACAAAGAGGCAATGCATTATCTTAGTAAACTAAGAACCATTTATAATATTGAACCTTACAATATCTTGGAATTCATTATCTCATGAAAACATCCAGACTGAGAAATGACCTTTGGAACATGATCAGTCCCCTAAGTTGGGGGACCTCCTGCACTGCCCTTACTCAGACATCAAGGTAAAGTTCTTTAGGAAAGGTGCACTCTAACAGGTTAATTTAAAACAATATTGTCATCTTGAAATGTGCAGCACAACCAAAAATCACAGCCAAGGCCACCCATTTCTCCCAGTTCAGGGATCATTGATTGGTTCTAGTGTCAACTTAGCCCCTGAAAGATGACAGCAAAAAGAGTTCTGGTGAGAATTGCTTCCATTCAGTGTCTTCAATAGCATTCATAAAAAACCACTGGCCGTCCCTAATCCAGTTACCTGTGTGGCTGTACATTCTGAAACCAGTATTCCAAAGGAACTCTCACAGAGAGTGTACAGGGACCAATCATCCTCCCTTAAACTTACAGATCATTTGAGATCTGAAAATCTCCCTCAGGAGCCACAGTTAAATTGGGGTTTAGAAGGACCTGGATTTCACTTCCTAGATCACAGCCAAAATAAAGTCAGAAAAATCAAGAAAAAATTATAGTCCAACCGTCAGCCACCATATCTCCTGCTCCTTGTTCATTTGCTCTTTTATGTATCCTACAGGTATGGAGCACTTACTATCTGATCAGTCCTATTTGAGAAAAGGAGAACAAGCCTGGGGAAACCAATAGACTATATTAGTGACCTGCACTTAATATAAACACATGTCACTCTTTCAGTTATAAGAGACAAAACTCAACTCTAACATTTAAATGAATAAGGAAATTTACTGGGTCAAGTAATTGAAAAGTTCAGGCATGGCTGGACCCAGGTACACAAATGATATCATCAAGAGTTTACCCTCTACACCTCCCATCACCAAAATTCCAGGGCTAAATGTTCAGTAAACAAATTTGAGTACTTTACTATCCCTAAACCAATTAGTGTAGCCAGTAGCATGAGATGGGCTGATTGGCCAGATCTGGATTATGTGACCTCACTTGATCCTCACAAGCCCTGAGAATGGGAAAGGAATAGTTTCTCAAAGGAAAGTAAAGGTGCTGTTCCATTGCTTGCTGGGAGGCAAGAACAATAGATATCAACTACGAAATAAAACAGAGTGTTTTAGTCATGGCGAGTCCAGGAGCTCTGAACAGGGCCACTTGCCCAGCTGATGTTGGGGTTTCCATCATTTTTATAGGTAAAGAACCCACTGAATCACCCCCTTAGCCTCTCTGCATCATCCTGCTTCATGCCATTGTGACTGGGGACTCCAGGATCTTTCCTGGTCCTGGCCTCAGAGCCTTACTTTTTGAATGAACACACTGGGCTACTCTCTCATATCCCTGGCATCAGATGCTAAAGTAGCCCGCCTGCTTTCACGCCCTTATTCCAACTTCTTTCTGCAAACATGAGCAGTTTTTTCCTTATCCCTCTTGGTACAATTGCATGTTTCCACCCAGAGGAGTGAAGTGGTTTGTTGTTGTTGCCCTTGCTTTTCCCTCTGCCGTTACTTCAACTGCAATTTGATGTCTTCAAGCACTGGGGATGGGAAAGACATATATAATTAGCAAAGTAAATAATGATACAAAAGCCTTATTACTGAGGTTTTCTGGATGACTGTTCAAGTCAGAAAAACAATAGTGCTCAGAGGACGGAAATGAGCCCACACGCTGGAGAGACAAGGAACTGAAATCACGGAGCAGGGCAAAGCCAACTCAAACAGCAGGACCTCATGTCTTGCTTACATGAAAGAGTAAGGCATTCAGATGGGCCAGAAGCCAGGGATGGCATTGCTGGGGACTCTCAGCTCTGTCTCAGAAGCCTCCCTTCCCCCAACACAATCTGTTCAAAAACAAAGCTGGCCTGTGAGCTGTAAGCTGGAGACATGTGCGTTCAGAGACAGCAAAACCTCCTAGGCTGTGCCCCAGTATCAGATCAGTGGCATTAACCCCTAGTGGATCTTGGGAAAGATTTTGAGGACTTGTGTGATGGTGTTCTTGCCTTTGTGAGATTTCTCTGGTTGCTTTGGTGTTTTCGTCATGTCAATTTATTACAGGATCAATTTGCAAGAGGTAAAGTTGAAAAGGGCTGGTCTCATAACTCAACTTTGTAGATAACTAGAGTCAAACTGTCCCCCCAAATCCTCCCCCACCCAGGAAGGACACGAACAAAGCATACCATGAAAACAGTCATCTGCCCACAGACTAGGGACCAAACCTGACTTCAGGAATAGATATTTTAAAGGTCATTATGTTCTTAAAGGTTGTATCTACATGACCCCAACATAGCCAGTTGAATACTGGAAAATTCAGCCAAATCTCCTGACTATTTTATCAGGAAAGTCTAGTTCTAAAGATAGACACAAAGCACTCACTTCAGGAAAATTCCATCTGGGTCAGCAAGGACTTCTTTTGCACTTAGGGGGTGCCTGTACTGTGCTAGTTTCTACAGGCAATACAGAAAATGTCTGTGCTCTGACCCCTACCCTCAAGCTGCTCCTAATTTAGTTGTTTCGATAAAGCACAAATGTTGGGAAGGGTAGGAGTAGTAAGTGCTGCAAATCGGCAGAAATTCCTGAGCCCCTAAATTTAACACAAATCAAGCTCATTGAAGAGACCCTGAAAGGCAAGTTGGGGTTTTTCCTTCTTTTCAACCAAGGAGTCCCTTACACTCTGTTATTAGAGAAGTCACTGTGGACTGAATCCAGCTTTAGGCACTGGGGAAGGAAAAACCCTGACCCTGTACAGGAGGAGTATTCCATTTTTCGGTAGTGGAGGCCAAAGAATGAGTAGGAAAATATAGGCAGGTCAGGAAAAAAGGAAAGAAAATAAATTAGTATGCATAATTAGAAACAAGCATGAGTAAAAGCCGGATGTTGTACATGGGGGTGGAGGAGGGGGCTGTGGGTGGTGAGGAAGAGGTGAGGGGGGATGAGGAAAGGAGATTTGGGAAGATTCCTGGAAAAGTCTAAAGTAAAGCTAAATGTTTGAGTCCTGTGGAGAATGTGGCTTGGCAGAAATGGGAGGCTGGGAGAGTAGCTGTTGAAGAGGCACAGAAGGCCGTGTGGGTCACCCGCGTCCTCACTTCTCTTCTAGGGCCTGTATGGAAGCAGAGGGTTGCTCTGGCCTGTGGTGTCCTTTGTCTCACCCTGCCCTTCACAAAAAGGAAGAACATGGGCTTGGAAGCCAAGCCCCCAATTTCATGCTGATGTCCGGATGGGGGAGGAAATCATGAAACCTAATTGCCTTTCAGAACAGCACTTGTCTGATTTTCCCATGAGGTATCAAAGGGTATGGAGTGCAATTGATCACAGGGTAGCCAGGGTTCAATGTCTGTCCTGGCTCCACTTCCAGCATGACTCTACCCCTGGCAAGTGAGACAGCCTGATCTCAACAAGTAGTTTCAGCCCCATGCCAGACTCAGAGACCAATCTTGGTTTCTGGCAGTGGTCAACTTTTTGTCTACTCTTGCTGTCTTGCTACTGGTCCAGCCTGACTGTGGATCTCTTGTTCCCCAATAATCAGGTTCTTGCCTATTTCTTGACCAAGCCTCTCTTAAGCCCTAGTTTTCTCCTATGTTGTGTTTCAGTCCTCAGTGATTAAGGCCCAGGATTGTTTTTCAGTCTCTCCAGGGAGACTTCCTTGGAGCCCAGTCTCAACAGCAGCTGGGATGCCCTGCCCTTGACCTTGAATGCAGTCTCTGCCAGATTATCCCTGATGCCTTCTTTCTGCCTATTTGGACTTACTGTGTGCCTATCCCTTGAACCTCTGGTAATTAAGGTTTCCTTTCTGCCTGAAATTACTCTCTAGAGCTTGGTATTGGTGTCCGTCTCAGCCAATGGTGCTCCTGTTCTCTTGCTTTTTGGAATAACCTCAGATTCATAAATTAATATATCTGGATGCTGATTCCTGGCCTTATTCCTTATTCATGTCTATTGGGTTTAGCCAATGGAGAATCTGTCTGGCATTCAAACCTTCACTTAGCTTTGCCCATTCCACTGGCTGATGCCTGAGTTATTAATACAACAGAGAAAACACTGTAAGAACATTGTGTTATCCCCTTCTTGGATGCTTGGTCACTATACGACCAAGATCGGGACACCAGGAGAAAAACTTTCATGCCCAATTGACTCAGAATCTATGGTTCCTACTCATGAACATGGCCCTTCTAGTGTCTCCCCAAAAGTCTACCAGAATTTCAGTTCTCAAATTGACTCACTTCTCTCATTTTTTGTGTGTGTGTTGAAATGAGTTGAATTTTTAAAAATTCCTTCATTCCTGTCATTTCTTGGGATTGGACGGTATGACAAGTCCCAAGTCCTTCTGGCTCCTCTAGGTCAGAAAGGAAGTCTAAGAAATATGAAGAAGGAAGGCTCAAGGCATCATCCTAATGGTTGTGTTGCCATGGCAGCACTATGGCTTGTGTAGTCTCTCCCCTTGAGTGTGAGATGGTCTCCTTTAATGACTAGAATACAGCATAGAAGCAGTGACAGGAGGGTCACTCCTGAGATTAGGTTACCAAAACATTGCAGCTTCTGTCTTGCACTGCTTTCCTTTGCTTGTTTGCTCTAATGGAAACCAGATCCCATGTTCGGGGCTGCCCTATGGAGAGGCCCTATGGCAAAGAATGGAAGGAGAGCTCCGGTCAAACAATCAGTGAAGAACTGAGGCCCTCAGTCCAATATAGGGTGAGGAACCGAATCCTGCCAATAACCACATGAATGAATTTGGAGTGGATCCTTCAGATGAGACTGCAGCACCAACTGATATTTCCTTTACAGCCCCATGAGAGTACCAGCTAAGAGGCACTTGAATTCCTGACCTACAGATGTGTGCTATAATAAATGTTTGTTACTTTAAACAGATATGTTTTGGGGGTGATTTGTTATACAGCAATAGGTATCTAACACACACCTCACAGAACTGGAGACAAAGAACACAGCAAAATTTGGCAGCAAACAATTTAGGTAACTTTCACCCACCCTAATATTTCAGTTCTCCATTCAGCTAGACTTAGAGGAAGACACATTTATTTCATCAACATGTACCAAGTGTGGGCCCTCTCTGTGCCCAACTATGTGACCGATGTTATGGAAGATCCAAAAGAAATGAGTTCCCTCAGGGAATTGGGGAAAAGCCAAGAAATAAACAGGAATCTCAGCACCACCATTGTCACTAATTTCCCCGTTCCAAAAATTCCAGAAAAATCCCTCTACATTCCATAAAAAACAATATAAAAGAAAGGCAGAAAAGAAGTTTTGCTTAGGGTGGGCTGTTATGGGGCAGCCCAAATTCCATTAAAGACAAAGGCCAAACATCGGCAGGAAGGATCCTGTCTGCAAGCATTAAAACATGTTTGTTAACTGTATTTGTTAGTTTTTTAATTGATCACCAACCTATAAAATCAGAATATTTCAAATAAATATCAACTTTTTGCCTTTTCTTGACATATCAGAAGGCATGACCACACTAGGCCCCTACTCCTACTTTGGAACCATTGCCTATCACACAGTAGACCCTTTCCTTCCCTCTCACTCAGACACGGGCTATTCATTCTGCCACAGTTCCAGCTTTGCTAATTTAAGCTGGCTGGCATATTTCAGTTTGCAAAAGTTGTTTTAAGCCTCTCTCTGATCCTTTTAGAACTACAAGATTCTTCACCTCTTCAGTGGTTGTTTTCGCCCCCCACCCCCGAAAAAGATGGCCCTGATTATCCACCTCTAAAAGCCCTGCAGGTGAAATCCAAAGAGTCAGAGCGTAGTAGGTACTTAAGCTATATTCCCTTACTTTTCCACCAGAGACAACACATATTTTTTCAGGCTTTGTGAACCTTTTGCAAATAACAAATGCTTTGTTCTATTTTGGGAATCCTGGTGAAGTCCCAGACCTTCCCTCTAAGTCCCAGGCATTGTGCTCAGCTAGGCATATAATAGTGAACCAAAGAACTTGAACCCAGCTCTTACAGTCACCTGACAAACTCAAGAAGATGAATACTCTTTGAGCAAATGCAGTGAACCAGTCAGTATAAGTTTCCTAGTCCCTTCCAGGCACAGGAGTCTATCATGTACTCCCCTCAAGACACCCCTTTTCCTTTTATTTCTTCTCTCTTTCTGCCCTTGCCTTTTATTGTATAGGTCCCACATTAGGGGTATTGGCCCTTTCATGAAGCACAACACCCTGGCTTCTGGATGAATCTAGGGCCCACCTGAGCATTGGGAGGGCAGCAGGGGTAGAGAGTGAACTGATAAACAGTTTGTCTCATCTCTGCTTCTTTGAAGAGGTTCCTCACAACCTGTCCCAGAGAAATTTACTGCCCAAGCTCCCAGAGGTCATGCAAGAAGAAAGAGGGAAAAAGAGGCATTTAGCTTCTTTAAAAAGAAAGACAATGTCTGGATGAACAGGGCCCCCTGGTCTCCAAGGATAATTCATGCTGTCCTCATGCACATTTGGCTCGCTCATGGTCTGGCTCTGGTCTCGAAGGATGGCTCTAGACCAATGGACAACAGAGGAAGCAGAGGCTGCAGCCTGGGAGGACCCTGGCCAGGGATGCAGCCATGACCTCAGACCCTTCAGCTGCACCTGAGTACACATTTCTAGGGGAAATGTGCTCTCCATGGAGGAACGGCAGCTCTGGCCCATGGAGTCCCTGTGAGATCACCCCAGCTGGTCTAAATTAGTGTGTGTGACTCTCTGTCTTAAAGCCTAGAACACAGAATTTCCTTTTTTTTTTTTTTTAATTCTCAATCCCATACTCTGACCTTCTGTTAAAACAACTTTTAAAATATAATTTTCTCTTCTGCTTACATAAAATGTTTCTGTACTAAATTTGCTGAGCAGCCAACACATTCATAAAAGCACAGAGGCAAGCTAAACTCAATTCCTAAGCCAGCTTCACACCTGAGCATAAACAAGGCATCCGGGTCTCAAAACAGAACTGCTTTCCTAACAAAGAAATCGCTTCCCTCTGTGAGGGAGAATGTGCCCAGTCTGATCTCCCACTCCCCTCTCCTTTGTCCCACTCCTTCCCCCTTTCTTCTTTCTCTTACATTTCAGCTTCCAATGAACTCAGATCCCAAAGCCCAAATAAGGGGAGGAGATTTCGTGTCTTCTCAGCTAAATAATCCCAGTTCCCCCAAGCACACAATGTTCACACATCGTGTTTGCACATAGGGTTTGCTGCCTGCTGGGCTGAACTCTCTCTCCCCGCCCCTAGCCTCAAACCCTACAAGCGAAAGGCTGGAGGTAAAAGAAAAGTCTGCAGCATAGTCAGCTCACAGAGCGAGACAGACTGATTGCAAAAGGAGAGCAAACAGGAGACCTAACCATCTTTACTTCTTTTTGTTTTTTTTCTTAAATTTCTTTACTCTTAAAACCTCTTTACTTTTAAAAGACCTTTGGGTATTTTGCTTCATCAAACTCTGGTGTGAAAAAAAGCACACACATGTATACAACTATGTAGCCTTCTGCTCATGAGCTCGCGTTTACTGTGCCGTGTCTTCTAATGATTAAGGGAAAATGAGAACTTACCAAGAGAAAATGCTCACACAGCTTTACTTCTAAGACAAATCCCTCAATATCAGTCAGTGTCCAACCAAGAAGAATGAAAATCACATATGAGTTTCTAAAACAGAAGGATTTCAGTATAGCGAGTTGGTAACCCAGGGGATGGAGGAGCTGAGAGGCCTGACAGGGGACAGCAAGGCAGAGCAGAGGGAGGCAGCAGCAGGACCCAGCTGCATGGAGGAGGAGGAGCTGGAGTCAGGTGAACCAGGGGCCAGCAACACCAGACAGAAGCTGGAGCCACAGCACACCTGTCTAGTGGGGTCTGGAATCCAAGAAGAGAGGCAGCTGCTACTGGAGAAACCTCCCAGGCTGGGAAGGCAAAGGAGAAATAACATGACTTCTCTTGTCCTCTCTCCCTCCCTCCCATCTCCATCCAGTGCCTCCCACAGGCTAAACCCTACTGGAAGCCAGAGCATCCAGGAAGCTAATAAATGCAACCTGAAAATGGGCAGCCCCTGAGGCACACAGCAGAGCCGCAGAGCACGAGATGCTGCTGAAGACAGGAAGGCTTAGGACCCATCCATGCTCCTCTCACCCTGTCTCCACTGCCACCGTCCTCATCCCACCAAACAGAATGCAAATTCTAAAGGCGCTGGAGGCTAGGACTGCAAGAAAAGACACCATGGGGTACAGCTCAAGTTCATATCCAAATTCAGCTCTACCTAGCTCTGATACTGGACACCTTTTCCCCTATTACTAGGGGAAAATGTGGTCCTTTTCCCCTAATTACTAGGGGAAAAGGCAGTAACTCTGTCCAGTATGTATGTCCAACACCAGGACATGGGAAAGGCAGTGAATCCCACGCAGAGTGTGGGTTGTTACTGGAGACTCTCATAGTGAACATTAAACTGAAGCTGGGCTGGAAGTGTGTTCTTACCTTGAGGCACAGGGTGCTAAGTCCCACACGGTACCAAGAGCAATGGCTAACCACAAAAGAGCACACAAAATCAGAGAACAGATCACAGAAGATCTTCCTAGATAGTCCCTGAAGTTTCCTTTTAAGCTTTTTCAGCAACCAGGCCTTGCTAAACATGTATCCTTCACGCGCAATCCTGACCCCACAAAGCTGACACAAAGACTATAGAGACAGCAGGCTCAGAGGACTGCACTGTTCAGGAAGTCTCATGAAAGAGCTTGAATTTGCTCTTAAATAATGCACTCAGGATGGCATTCAACAAATCACAACTAAATCCTCCTTTTGGCAAAATGTTCCCATCTTAATTATAACTCTATTATTGCTTGTATGACTGAACATGTCTTCCTTTGCCCTTAAGAAGTGGGAGGGGGAGCACATGAAGGAGAAGCAAAAATATAAACAGAGGGATGGAAAATTACCCCTGCAAAGTATAATGGCTAAACAATGACTAAGGGGGCTGTGATATGCATCAACACAGACCCACAAGTGTAAACAGTGTGGTGGGAAGGGAGATGACTTGGATGAACTAGACAGAGGGGGAATTTAGGTGGAAAAAGAGTTTCCTCTCCCTAGATGGGGGTTGCGGTGGGTGGGAGGGGAAGGGCACCAGTGGGAGGATGGCAGAGGGGGCCAGATCCTTTTACCTGGTTCTGGGAGGCCCTGACTGGGCAGGGTATGGATAAGGGCACTGCTCAAACAGCCCAAGTGCCTTACGATTCACTGAATGAGGAAGAGAGTGAAGGGTCAGGCAGGATCTGGGACTGCCTTAGCTCATGACTGTGTTCCACCTCTTGCCTGTTGTGTCCCCTGAAGTCAATGATTTACTCCCTTAGAACCTCAGATTCCTTATCTATAAAATGAGATAATTTACACAGCAAATATTTGTTGAACAGCTACTACGTGCCAGGCACTCTTCTTGGTACTGAGAAAACAGCAGGGGAAAATATCATCCTTGCTCTCAAGGAGTTTATATTCCGATGGGAGGGGGAAGATAAAGCACACATTAAGAAATCCATGTACACTATAATTGTGAGCAGGGCTATAAAGACAAATAGAGCAGGTAAGAGGGAGTGTGATAACGTAGAGGTGTGAGCTACTTTATACTGAGCGGTCAGGAAAGAATAACTAAAAATGTGACACCTGAACAGAGATGGGGAAAGTAAAGGGAAGAGGTTCATGAAGGTAGGCATAGGGAGGCATTCCAGACAGAGGGAACGGCAAGTGCAAACCCCCCAATGCTTCAGAAGCAGGTTTTATGGGCATAATATAAAGAATTAGCACAGTTCCTGGCACACAGTAAGTACACAATGTGAGCTATTATTTTAAATCATAAGTGAAGTATCCATAAAGCATTTTTGCTTCAGGCAGAGCAGCAAGAAGCATGAGATAAGCAACTCCCCTCAACTTTGTCTTCATGTTCTTCTCCTACCCTGTGCCACAGCCTTCTGCTTATGAAGACAGACAATGGGCCGGGTGCGGTGGCTCACGCATGGGATTGCAAAGTGCTGTAATCCCAGCACTTTGGGAGGCCGAAGCAGGTGGATCACCTGAGGTCGGGAGTTCGAGACCAGCCTGGCCAACATGGTGAAACCCTGTCTCTACTAAAAATAGAAAAATTAGCCAGGTGTGGTGGCAGGGGCCTGTAATCCCAGCTACCTGGGAGGCTGAGACAGGAGAATCCTTGAACCTGGGAGGTGGAGGTTGCAGTGAGCTGAGATCGCACCACTGCGCTCCAGCCTGGGTGAGAGAGTGAGACTCTGCCTAAATAAATAAATAAATAAATAAGACAATGCTCTTAGCTTTCAGTTATCTACAAAATAAGAAGAGGCATAACCCAAACCAACAAATAACCTAAAATGCCATCCACATTTTTAGCAGATTACTTTGTACAAAATATTTACTTGTCTAGTTATGTTTTATTTACTCTAGTATCACCAGGAGGACACGTGGTACAGAAGCTGGCATCAGATGCCGTGCAGTCAACTCCTGGGTATGTGATATGAGACAAGTTCCTTAGTCTCTCTGAGCTCCCAGGGTTGTTAGGAGGATCAAATGAAATCATGAAGGTGGAGCCCTCTGTGAACCATAAAACTGCATTTGATTATTGTTGCATGCTGAAAGTTGAGTGAATCCTCTGCGTTCACAACCACAGTTAAGGTGGGACATGGCCCACCCACATTTTGGATGACTGCGAGACACAAGCCTGAGACCAACACCAGCCCCAAGGAAGTCACAAAGCCAATCAGAGTCACAAAGGACTCTTCTGTTTTTCATACTCCCTGGGATAAGAGTTGATGGCATTTGTTTAGATTGGCATTGAAAAGGAATCATTCTGTTGTGAATCCAAGTTGCTTAGAAGAGAGTTGGTAACCCTGCCAAGAATCTGACGAGAACAGACACACACTTGGGGGGAAGAAGGGAGGAAGATGTTTCTCTCCGTTTTCTTCAGAGGTATGGACTACAGCATGAAAGCCCTAGGCATGGCGTGGCTTCATGGGATTCAGCCCAGAGCTAAGACTAGCAAGGTTTCCAGTGCTGCAAATCAGATTCTTAACGTAGAGATTCACAGAGACCAATATGTGCCTTTCAGGCACTAAGCTGTAGAGTTGAAAGAAATGAAAAGGTCTCCACAAGTGAATCCTTCTAAGTGCTGGGCTTAAAAAGACCAAATAGAAGTTATAGAAAGTATCATTGTGGCTTCACCCTTTAAGGACGGTAACAACTCAGCAACATTCCAGGCTATTACTGGACTTAGGGTATTGGGGCCAGATACAGCACTGCCCCTGAAATTCAATTTAGTAGTAATTACTGGCAGATCAATTCTGTAATAATTAGTGGAAGAAAAGGAAGATAGAGAAAGATATAGAGGACTCACTTAAAATTCCTGAGACCCTGCCTGTTTATTTCAAAATAGAAAACATGTGATTGGGTTCAGATGGGTCAGGTTGGATGGGGTTGGCCTCCCACATACTTGTTCATTGTCAGAAATTCAAAGAGTGGCTCATGGGTATCTGACAAAGTTGCAAGCGAGCTCTCCACCCAAGCTTGATATCATGCTAGTAGGGTTGGGAGAGGACATGGTGGAGTGGAGAAGGTACATTCAAGCCTTGCAAGAATAGTGCTTTCAGGAATTCTGAAGTCTCACCAGTGCTTCTGAAGATGCATGTTCTCACGTTAAATGCCAGGTCCCATAACTCTCGGGCAAGTACCTATCCCTCATTTCATTGATCAGACAGAAGGGGACTTATGTTACAAAGCTCAAACTCTAATCTAACTTGAAGCAAGCACTGGTCAGCCATTCAGGAGATGAGAGGGAGTATGTGATGCCAGTGAACATGCCACCACATTCGCAAAGACCAGGTACAATCGAGGCTAGTCGTACTCGCCAGGCCATGAGCAATTGGCCAGACTGTGCCTGCCATGAATATTCCATTTGCAGGAAATTAATATCATCTGAATCTTTCTCACTACCTAACATTCCCAGTATCCTGGAACCATACCTGGGAGCCAACAGATGTGCGAATGGCAACTTTAATTTACCTGTGAGGTTGTGGATTATTTACTTACTGAGAAGATATAAGAAAGAGAAGCAAGATGATTAAGGAGAAATAAAGGAGAGAAAGAGGAAGGGGGAGAAAAAGGGATAGGATGAAAGAGGCCAGGGAATGATGAAGAGGCTGTATGGTGTTGCCTAAAAAATGTTAGCTTACAGATCTGAACTGGGTTCAAATTCTATTTTAGTCACTAAATACTTTTTATTGATTCCCACAGTCAAATAAGCCGACAGCCTGGGAAGGGTTGGTACTTTCTCTACCTCTGTCATTGTCTATTCATCTCTTTCCTGTTCTATCTCAAGTCTAAGAGGGACCCGAACATCCATACTGAACCAGACACCAAAGAATTCAGACACTTCCTGGACCTTTGTGCTAAGAACTTTGGAATCCTGAAGACAAGGAGCTTTTGACTTTTATATAAATGGTTAGAATGTGATATCAGAAGGTTCAATGAGAGTCTTGTAGAATACTTCATCATACTGAAAAAAAGGATCAAGAGAAAATGTGTTTGTCAACCTGAGACATGTGCCCCCTGGAGGTCAGTCCCTCCACCTGCCTACATTTGGTGGTCAGCTGGGGAGTCTTAGGGTATTAACACTAAATAGAGGAATGCGACCAGCCGGGGTGGCTCACGCCTGTAATCCCAGCACTTTGGGAGGCCAAGGTGAGTGGATCACTTGAGGTCAGGAGTTCTAGACCAGCCTGACCTACGTAGTGAAACCCCATCTCTACTAAAAATACAAAAATTAGCCGAGCATGGTGGCATGCACCTGTAATCCCAGCTACTCAGGAGGCTGAGGTGGGAGAATCTCTTGAACCTAGGAGGCAGAGGTTGCAGTGAGCCGAGATCGCTCCACTGCAGTCCAGCCTGAGCAAGAGCGAGGCTCCATCTCAAAAAATAAAAACAGAAAAATGGAGGAATGCTCCCAGAAGCTTGGGACAGAGACTTGGAATTTTGAGTTCTATGGAAAGCCCTTTATTGGCAATCAGTATTTTAAAATGTGCTTAACAAGTAGATAGAAAAAAATTGTCTAAAAATGCCTCTACTATACCAGACCTGTTTGCTTTGAGAACTGTGTCTGCAGTTATTATTTTAGGGGGAAAAAGTATAACCTTGGAAAAGGATGACTGACTTATTCAAAGTACCCTGGTCTGTGGGCCTTATCTTTAGAATTTCAAGGGCTTCCTTCTGTGATTATGTCCTCATATTTGCATTATTCAGTGCGCATCACTGAGAACCCCATGGCATCCGGCCCAGAGCAAAGGTGCCATCCTGAGAGACACATGGGAAAGGGCTGGATCCTTATGTATCTAAGGCAGACATGCAGATAGTATAGAATATTTGGGAGCAATAGATTATAGAAAGAAAAGTGTGGGTCGAATTAATATTGGAGTGTCTCATAACTTAAATGTATACAAGAGTCAGTGCTCATTGTTTATAAGTAAATTGAATTAAGCTTGTTTTACATTCAAAATCGTTTGGTTTTTAAATAATCCATCACCTTGGAAACTAAAAAATAAGCATAGACAAATGTCATATAATTTGAGATTCTACTCCAGTCTATGGATTTCAGAAACAAAACAAAACAAACTTGGGTTGGAATTCCTGTTTCACCACTTCTTTATCATATGACTTTGGATGGAGAATCAAACTCCTCATCTGAAAAACCAGGCTAAGAAGCCATTTTTTACAGGTTTGTCATAAAAATGAAAACCTTCTGTCCAGGTACATGCTACCAAGTAGGCATGCAGTAAGTGGGAGGTATAACTATTATTGCTGTGATTCAGGTAAGCAAATAGATAATTGTCTCACAAACAAACCAGGGAGTTCACAGATCTGTTAATATGAGCACACTCCCCTGGTTGAATTAGCCCCCATGAAGTCAGCTCCACCTTATAGCACATAGTGGAGTGGTTAAGGGCACAGCTTCATGGCAAATGCCCAGATTACAATGCTAGCCACCCTACTTGCAGCAGAAACTGGATGAATTCCTTAATCTCACTGTGCCTCAGTTTTCTCTTCTTTAAAATGGGGTAATAAGAGTATTATACTTTAGTGTAAAGATTAAATGGGATAATCCATGTAAAATGTGTTTGGAACAAATGCCTGACACATAGTGAAGCACTGAATGGAGGTTAGCTAGCTATCAGCACATGGTCTATTGTTTTAGAATAGGGCTAAAGGAATGGAGCTGCTGTTTTACACAAAGCCACTACAGTCTGTTTCATCTAATTTTTTTCCCTGGAGGCAAGTGAATTATGGGTATAATAGATTAAGTTGGAGAAACTACTTGTGTCTTATGATTTGTTAGGAAAACTCTGTTGATACAGTGAGAAAAGCTTGATACTGATCACACTGGAGATTTGAGGCCAGATCATCCAGTGCTATAAACTAATTCCTTGATGTAATATTAAGTTTCTTAATCTGTAAAAGGTGGGTAATAACATTTACTTTTAAGAGTGTGTTAGTCTGTTTTCACACTGCTATAAAGAACTAGCTGAGACTGGGTAATGTATAAGGAAGGGGTTTAATTGACACTGTTCTGCATGGCTGGGGAGGCCTCAGGAAACTTATAATCATGGCAGAAGGTGAAGGGGAAGCAAGGCACGTCTTACATGGTGGCAGGAGAGAAAGAGGGAGACAGAGCAAAGGGGGAAGTGCCACAGACTTTCAAACAACCAGATCTCGTGAGTACTCACTCACTATCACAAGAACAGTCCCCCCCCCATGATTCAATCACCTCCTACCAGGCCCCTCCCCTGACACATGGAGATTACAATTAGAGATGAGATTTGGGTGGGGACACAGCATCAAACCATATCAAAGAGCAACCCTCTTTGAAAACCCCACAAAATGATAGAAGAACTACATAAAGGTTTTGTCACCAAGTTGGTACACAATTGAATTGGTTTTATTGGAAACACATGGGCAATTGGGAGTAGTGGAATTCTAGGAAGAAGATAGCCAGGTTGAAATGCTAATGAATGGTAAGAACACCTACCCATTTCATTCTACCCACAGGAGGTATTTTCTAGGGGAGAGAGGTTGTGGGCTACGCATATTTTTGTACTCACTGGCAAAGTTCTGTAAAATAACCAGGTGTTTCTAGCACAATTTCTTTATAGTCCCTACTAAATATGGTACATATTGCTATTGATTAAAAACACACAGAGAAGGCTGGTGTGGTGGCTAACACCTGTAATCCCAGCACTTTGGGAGGCAGAGGTGCGCAGATCACAAGGTCAAGAAATCGAGACCATCCTGGCCAACATGGTGAAACCCCGTCTCTACTAAAAATACAAAAATTAGCTGGGTGTGATGGCATATGCCTGTAGTCCTGGCTACTTGGGAAGCTGAGGCAGGAGAATCACTTGAACCTGGGAGGCAGAGGTTGCAGTGAGCCGAGATCGCACCACTGCATTCCAGTCTGGGTGACAGAGTGAGACTCCATCACAAAAAAAAAAAAAAAAAAAACAAAAAAAACACGGAGCACTCTCAACATCCCTCCCACAGGGAGATCCACTAGTGTGGTGAAGGAAGATTGAAGGAAGATTCGATTCAACAAGGAAATCCTTGGTTTCTGTAGCTTCCATTTGCCTTCTTTCTGTTCTGGTTTAGCTGTTCTTCATGTAGCTATTCACTGCAACAAAACAGGGAGCTAGACATGCTCCTCATTCCCATTTTGAAGAGGAGGGCACCAAAGCTCAGAGCACTTAAGAAATGAACCTGAAACCTCAAAGCTAGCAATCATGAGAGCTGGGATTTGAGCCTATACCTTCGGATGCCAGGTTCCTTTCTGTAACCATAGTAGCCTCAGGTGCTCCAGCCCAGCCTGGGAATACAGATGGCAGACCTGGTCCCAAAAACCTGCACAGGCGGCTATGTCAGAAAAGGTGTGGGTGTGGGCTGGAGTTTTCTCTTCTGTGACTTTTTGTTCATTCCCAAATTTATTCCAAGAGGAGCTGGGATAACAACATTGGGGGCTGCCTGGTTTTGTCTGAATTCTGTAAGTTGTGGTTTTACTTAAAGCATCATTCTTTTTACAAAAGAAAAATTTAAAAGGCAGTTCTAGAGGGACTTAGCACCCTTTGTTGATGTTTTCTTGGATGCTTATAATGAGCTCATAAATGCTAAAGAAGAAGGCTCTGTGGCTCCCCAGCAGTGCTGAGTCAAACCAGCCACGTTAGAGGACAGAATTACACCAGGGTTTGGAATAGTCGTACCCATCCAGCACTGCGGGGCTGGTCATCTGCTCAGGAGGAGTGCTGCCTGCTTTGTCAGCCCTCATGCTTGCCAGCTCGCACCCTTGCCACAGCCGTCTCTTTGACCTAGATTATTTCCCCTGGGACGATGGTTTCAAAGGCCTCGCTTCAAAGTCAGCCTATGAGTTTTCAGCTCTCCATAGGCTTGGTCAGTAGGTATGTGCTGAGTACCCATTCATGTGCCCAGAACTTAGTTAGGAGCTGTGAGAAGTGATTCACCATACGCTGCCTCCTGTCTCATCATCTTGTATCCTCCACAACGTGGCCCTAAAGCATCTGCATCAATGCAATCCCAACACATAAGCAGAGACTCAGCAGAGAGTCTAAGAAAGGGGTTACAAGGCAGAATAGAATTAAGGGAAAATGATGTCTCCTGCTCTGACCATATCTAACATATAGTGCCATCACCACTCTAAAGGGACAGGGAGGAGGGAGCAACTACAAACACCCTGGCTGTAAGACAGGGTTGCTGTCAGGGGTCTTCAGTAGAGAAGCAGCAACTGTACCTGCAGCCCAGCATGGGGACACTATTCCATGACTTCATCCTCCTCCTCCAACCCTGAACAGGAGCCAGCAGTCAAGGGAGCCCATCAGTGCAGCCCAGAGGCAGCCTGTGGAGCACAGAGCTAGGTAGAGAGGAGGTGCAGTTCTAGTCTGAGGGGGGCCAAAGGAGATGATCCAGCAAAGCAGCTCTCCAGCCTCCTCTCCTAAGGCTTAGCTGAAGGAACCTGAAGATTCAGGTGGGCAGGACAAACTGCTCCTGCAACCAGCTATTTCCGCTGCCTGGTGCTTCCTCAGACATATCTATTCACAGATCTACATGTTACTCATTTCCCAAACTCTACAATAAAGGCCCAGTTCTCCTTGAAATGTTCTCCAATTTGGCCTTGGATTGCAGGCATCTTTTGCATTTCTCTAGGGCCGCTATTCATTTCTGTAGATAGTTGAAGAAAAGAACCATGTCCTGCACTTGATGTGTTTTACACAGAGCAGAGCTTTCTCCAATGTATATGAGAAGGGTGGGTCAGGGCTGGATGGGTGGAGGGGTAGAAGTCATCTCTTGCCCTTGAGGCCCTCAGACTATCTATCCATGCAGTTAATGGATTAGGAAGTAGATAATTCTAATTAGGACCAAGATGGACCCATGACAAGTTTATGGCCAAATTTTATCTCCCATCCTCTGCCTGGTAGCTTAAGGGATGAAGGGAATATGGAAGTTGGAAATATGGAAGTTGATCTCAGTTTTTGCAGGTCTGGAAAAACACACTTTGCACACTGACTAGCATAATTTTTTCACTTTGTGGAGTATGTAAACATACCCATGTATTTGCCCTAGAACATTGTTTAAAAATCACTAAAAGTCTTGGTCTACTGCATTTATCTCTCTACAGCCATTGCAGCAGTTATTCAAAGAGGCAGAAGGCATGGGAAGGGAAAGAAATAAATTGTAGATAAAAGCACCTTGCATGGTGCTGGCCCCACAGTATGTTCTATAGAAAAAAAAAAAATGTTGTTTACATTTAATCCTCACAGTCCTGTCCTGTCATGTAATGTTCCCAACTTGAAGAAATTGAGACTCAAGAGAGGTGACTTCTCAAGGTCACTGGTTACCCAGCGAAGGCAAAATGAATGAAGCGTTTGATATCTGATGTGCATGGCACATGTTGAGGATCAGTTTTGGCTCTTCCAGAGATGAGGGCTCTGTTTTCCAAATCTGCAGCTGGATCTTCTATGCTTCCTTATGGTCACTATGCTAGGCCCTGGGCTCAAGAGAGGAGAGCCTCCTCTGCTCCTACAGGAGGGGGAAACCAGCCCTGCTGAGGCCAAGAGGAACACACGGAGGCAATCTAGGGTTTCCAGGGTCTGTGCTGTCACCGGCATTAGGGTCTCTTTACCACTGAGGTGTCCTGAGCTTCTGGAATCCAGGGCTCCTGGAAATGCCCTGACCTGCTTGGGGAACACAGCACCTGGCTTTTGAAGCTGTGTGTACTGGAAAGACCTAGAGATTGTATGTGGCCTTCTGAGAAATCCTCACATTTTCATTACTTTCCTCTACAGCATCCTTGCTTCTGGCAAAGCCTCTCTTGCATAATGGAGTCTGGCAAAGTGAGACTGGATAGACAAAGAAGATACCAAAATAAAAGGTGGAAGAATAAAATAGTCCACATATATTTAACATACTGATAAGCAAATCTAGGCAAAGCATTATACAAGTCTTTGCTTGTAAGGACCTGCTCCCTCTGCCCACTCTCCCACTTCCTGCCACGGAACTTTGACTTGGAAATGGCTTATCCACATAAAACGAGTTTGGCTTGGTCTATTCAGAGTGAAGGTTGAGGCCAAAAATTTTCACAGGAGTGAAGGAGTTAAAGTAATGTACACCATCTGGCCAGAATGAGTTAATTAGATTCTTTGTCTAAAAAGAAAAAAAAAAAAAAACAAAAAAACACAGTGAAGAAGATAAAGGAGAAAGTGGGTGGACACATTTCCAGAAAGAGAGAAATGTGTGTGTGTGAGATGGTGTCTGAAATGTGTGCCTCTCGTTGGGATGAGTGTGTGTGTGTCATGTGTGTGTACATGCATTCACATGCACATGTGTGCACACATGCATTTGTGCACACTGGCAGAGGAGTTGCTAGGGGAGAGCAGTAGGAAGAGCTGACAAACTGAAGCACAAAACTGCTAACACCAAGGAAAGGGGCATCTTCTAAACCCCCTCCTGGCCCACTTCCACTTAACTTTCTTCTAAGTCGTCTTCATTTCTGTCTTAGGTTTCCATAAACACTGCAGTTATTTATTTTATTTTTGTTTGAAATGTTAAACAAGCCCCAAAAGGAAAAGCTGTCGGGGCAACTTGTGGCGTCTCCAGAGAGGAGTTGCACTGCAAGCATTTTCTGCAAGGGCTTGGCAAGGCTGCCTCTTGCCTGCATGCTTGGCCCTGGGTTTTGCAGAAGCCCCATGCACCCCTGCCCTGGCTTCAGGGCACTGAGGCTCCCTGATCTGATCCATTTCTGTTTCCAGGGTTCAGCTCATCTCCCATCCCCCTCCATGGAGAACTTCTCTTCTGGAAGGATCTCTTGGCTGAGAGAATGATGGCTGACACTAATAACAACAGCAATGCCAAGAATAATGGCTAACATTAACGAGCACTTACTGGCAATAGGTCCTGTTGAAAATGAAGGTGAGGCACGTGTAGTAACACATTTCACTCTCAGCACAGGCCTGTGGGGGAGATGCTATTATTATTTCTATTTTACAAGTGAGAAGCCTGAGGAATGAAAAATTTAAAAATTTGAATTTAAGAGACAAGGCCAGCCATGCTGGGCCTAGGATAACATGAGTGAGATGTCTTGGGCACAAAATGTAAGGGGTTAACCAAAAACTCAGTAGTCAAGATAAATACCATTTTAATGCCATATTTTAAAAAAAAAAAAATTGGCCGGGTGTGGTGGCTCACACCTGTAATCCCAGCACTTTGGGAGGCTGAGGCAGGTGGATCATCTGAGGTCGGGAGTTTGAGAACAGGCTGACCAACATGGAGAAACCCCATCTCTACTAAAAATACAAAATTAGCCGGATGTGGTGGCACATGCCTGTAATCCCAGCTACTCAGGAGGCTGAGGCAGGAGAATGGCTTGAACCTGGGAGGCGGAGGTTGCAGTGAGCCGAGATCACGCCATTGCACTCCAGCCTGGGAAACAAGAGTAAAACTCTGTCTCTCAATAAATAAATAAATAAATAAATAAATAAATAGTAAAAATGCAAAAAACCCACGAGGAACAAAATATCAAAACTTCAAACGAAGACAGGACCAGTCAGTCAGTCTGGCTGTAACCCTTCACCATCACACCATGCTGCCTTGTTCAGCATTTGTCTAGGATCTAAGATGTGCCAAGTGGAGGCCCTGCCTTTGTACAAGTTCTCTCTTTTATTCTTGTAGCCTTGTGTGATAGGTGTTGTACTCCTTATTGAAGGGATGGGAAAACTAAGGATTAGTTTATGTCTGTGTCTGCCTTCAACGAATTACAAACCCAAATAGGATTCCAAGCAGGACTTGATGTCAAGTTGTCTCTGAGTCCAATGCTCTTCCCCACTGTCCCTGTCCACGGTGTCCCCAGCTAGAAAAGGAATCTACCAGCTAAGAGGCATACAGCTGTACTCTGAGTGTGGTGCAGAGACAGCAGGGGAGGTTACAATTCCAGGCAGGCCGGTTCCCGACAAGCATTCTTCCACTGCCTCAGCCAAACCCTCCCCTGAGACATCTCATGTCTCAGCCAAGCCAGTCCTCCTTGGCCTGCCCCCACCCTTCCTGCACAGAGTCAGTGCAAATGCACAATAGACCCTCTCCCGTTTCAAGTTCATCACCAGATTGCCCAGGGCTGCCTTGCTGTCCAAGCCTCTCCTTCCTGCCCATTCCTGACTCAGCAACACATAAGAGACAGGCATGCATGTGCACAAGTGCACACACAACCTCCACCCCTACTCCCTGCCCCAGCTCCTCCAAGGAAGGAGCCTGCAGTGGGAGTGGAAGAAAATGAGGAGGGAGGTGGAAGACCTTGGAGCAAGAATCCAGGTCCTGAAGAAAAGAAATGGAACCGCTGCTGTTGCCATCCCAGACTTGACGTCATTGGAACAATCATAGTGTGGCACAAATACTTACTTGAATGTGCTCTCTCTGTTTCCAATGAGCATCATTTTGGGAGATTCTGCAGGGGATCCTAAAGAGCTCAAGGAGGCAGAGTCAGCCAGAAGTCATCTCATCCCATCCTCTGTCTCTAGGAAGCTTGGCTGTCCAGGCTCAGACACAATGGCCTCTCTCTGGCTCCTTAGACCCAATGGTCATGTGTCTCATCTTTCTCCTAGAGATACCCCTCAACTTTTAACTGCCCCATCCCACCCTCATCCATCCTCCAGGGTGAGAGAAAGAACAGGGCTTCGGAGTCAGGCAGCAGTAGGTTCAAATCCAGACTTTCCTCCCTATTCCCTGGGTAGCCTAGGGCAAGTTGCTTGCTCTCTTACCTTCATTTTCAATGTGTAGAATATGATAATGAAGGACCTGGTATGGTCCTCAGCACACAGAGAGATGTTTCACCTCTTCCCTGGCTTCTTTAAGACCTTTTCAACATGGTCTCATCTTGCTTGCCTGTGGAGTGATAGATGCCCCTTCTGGAAACTTTTAGTGACTGTCTTTAGGATTTAGCCTTCACAGCAACTTCCTGGGTCTTCCTACCTCCCATCCCCACCTTTCAGGATCCAACATCGCTTGTCATCAATGCAAGGACAAAGCTAAGTGTAGAGCTGTTTTTAGACTCTTCCCTCCACGTCACTCCGCCTTTGCTTCCCAACTAACTTCTCCTGATGACGGGTAAGGGGTGGAATGGTGGTATCCACTTTTATACTCCCAAAGAAAAGGAAGTCCAAAGTCATAAAGTAAGAAATAGGTTTCAAAGACTCAAGGGAGAGGGTCATATGGCACATGCACTCCACCCACACCACACCCAAGTTATTGAATGCAATGAGGGATGAAGAACTTATGGAGGGCCACATGAGGGTGGGAAGGCATCCCACAAACAGCACCCCTTTTCCCACCAGAATTCTGAACCAATGGGGAAATAAGCAGAAAAGCATAAGGCAGATGGAGAACTCAATATCACTGGAGAACTCAATATCACCTCTGTCATTGTTAAAGCTGGTGAATGTGGCTTAATTATGGGGCAAGTGGGCTTTCTAAATTTGAATCCCAGCACTGTACAGAATTATCTTCCCAGTGACAGGCCTCACTGGAGAAGGACAAGCTCTCTTACAGGGCAAACCCTTCCCCTGAGAACTCGAGACCTACAGGAGCAGGGGAGAGTGTATGTGCTCCAGAGATGGGCTCGCTCCAAGAGAAAGAGGACTGAGAAGCGACTGGGTAACATTTTCCCTTCCGAATCTATCAGATGAAGTCACTCCTCCTCCCCTGATGAAGAGAGCCCAGGGGCGTTATCCTAGTGGAAGGAAATATTAAGAATGAGGAAGACTCACTCAACATCCCCTACTACCACACCACAATTCTATTTCCTTCAATCAGCTAGCAACAATCAAAACAAAAAAGATTTATATTAGGTTATCTAATAAATTAGAGAATAGTAGAGACTAAATATTTTTGTGAATAATAAATGGAATAATGGCACTTTGCACATAGTAAGCCCGTAATAAATGCTAATTATAATAATTAGTATAGCAACTAAATGCTATACTAGGTGCCATGGGATAGGAGAGACTTATTTCATCACGTGTATTCAGAACCTTTACTGGGTACTGGGGTTAAAACCAGTACACATAAATTTAACTTGAGGCTGAGTAAGAGGAGTACCAAAACAGAAGATTCTAGTGGAGGGACAAACAGCATTGATGGAGGTGATAAGGAAAGTTCCTATGGCCAAGATAGCATGAGCTAGGCCTTGAAAGATATTTTCAGGTAAAGACAAGGGATCAAGGAGAGCAGTCCAGTTTGAAGGAGATGCTATATTCTCCAAGGGATTAATGAGAGGCAAAGTTTTCAATTTTTATCCACATCCCAAAAGTCTCTTTGGGTTTGGTGTCCATCCTTACCTATAGGACAAGTAGCAAATGAGATGAGTTTGCCAAACCCTTTGTTGTAGGGAATGGGGTGTCAACGCCCTTCCAAGCCACTTGGCCTCACATCAGTGTTCTTCCTCCTATGTGGGACGCTGTTCAGAGCTGAGAGTTACTCTCTGTCTACTTCTAGCACCCCCTGCTCCCACCCATCCCTTAGGGCACAACCCTGTCTCCTAATTGGTCTATTAGGCAGTTTCCCCCCAGCTTATGTTTTCTTTTGCTCCTCACTAGCCCAGCCCCTCTGGGCTGCAACAACATTCTAGCCCCTTCCCCAGAGCCCACGGCATACCACCAGCTGGCACTCTCCTATCAGGCCACCTCTGGGAACCAGCGATGCAGAGCAAGCTCATGTCAGCGCTTCCACCTCTCCCCCCAAGCGGTCCCTCCGGCCCCATAACCACATGCCATGCCTTCTTTTGACTTTCTTCCCAGCTGTCAGCACATTCCTAGTCTTAAGCTAACCCAGGCCACACTCTCCTGGAGACACATGAGAGCACCACCCTAGCCTAGATGCATGAATTTTCTCCTGGTGCCACAGAAATTGTGGCAACAGAATTGCAGAAGGTTAGAAGCCTGTCAGAGACACCAGAACAAAGCCCTGAGTTACCTGCAGGAGCAAAGAGTATGCAGTCCCTTCTGGGCTCCAGGGCCCCATGGGAGGCTTCTAAGTTGAGCATCCTCATGTTCAAATTAGTTGAAGATTGGCTTCTTAAACCGAATTCCTTTTTTAATTTAGTTGTAGTCTGGCAGAAATTTCAGCAGTCACCTCTGACTCCTCCTTAAACCCAGTTACCAACACTCTCATCTGAGTTCCTTTTGTCAGGTGTAAAATGGAACCAGGCTCAGTTCATCAGCATTTTTCCAATATTGGGGGAGAGCTAGAAACAACCCTGACTTTGCATTTGTTCCAGGACAGGCAGGTGAATACCAAACGCCATTTGAATGAGAAAACACTACATGGTTGCTAGTTGTGTGAAGACCGCTTCTGCTCAGGGGCAATGGTTCTCTGTTCAGAGAGAACCTGACCAAAAACATTCGGAATTCAGTCCTTAGAAATAAGCAATTCTCTATAGTCTTTTAGTGGAAACATCTTTTGCTGGGTACACCCATAAGACATGACAATATTTCCCCTCAGAAGCAGAAGTAAATGTCCGTGTTCAGCTGGACACAGGCTCAGCTTGGCTGCAGTGTCCTTCCTTCCCAGGCACCACCAAGCTCAGACCTTCTCCCTTTGGAATAGCCTCTTCCATTTGCCTCTTCCTTTCTTCCATGTCAACACTCTGAAGCCAGATTTGTTCTCTTGGCTTTAAGTCACTGCTAAATAATTCTAATTGCTCTGTACATCCTACCCAAAAGCAGACTCTTTAGCTGTGCCCAAGGGTCCCCACCTCCCCCTCCAACCGTAGGTGCCTCAGCTCCCTTCCATGGGCTCCAAGACACAATCAATTCTGTGACTCACTATTGCCCAAATTCTACCTTCTGGCACCCTGCCTTTCTTTTTGTAGAACCATCTCATTCTTCACCCCCTCTTCCCCCTATTATCTACCTATTGACTAATACCATCCCATCAGATCTGGCTCACGGCAAGGGAAATTTGTGATATGCTGACCCAGCAACCCTTTAAGGATTTCACTTCTTCCTCCCTCCATTCACATGGGCAGGCCCCTGTCCCAGAATGGCCAGTTCAAGTATTCCATGTCCAAGGAGGAGGAGTTGGTTCCCATTTGGTGCTGAAAGCCTTGCAGTAGCAACCAGGGTCTTCTCGAAGGTTTGATGAATGGGTGCTGGAGAGGAGGAGGTCTGCTGGGTGAGGATGTGGCATCTGAAGAGAGTTGGTCTGTCCCTCCACTCCAGGCTCTGTGCTGTGGTTGGTTTCATTACCAGACAGCGTCCTGATAGCATCACAACTCTGGATATATCTGTATCTGAACCCAGCTCTGTCTTTTAGCTCATGAGTTGTAAGAAGCAATAATCAATTTCCTGTTTGCTTTCAATAAATAATTTCTTTGTGTTTTAAATAAATAATTCCCCTTCTGCTTAAGTTCAATTTGGGTTTCTGCTACTAAGAAAGTTAAAAGAGCCCTGACTTTGACTTTTACATTTTGTTATGAGTACAAAGACATATATATATATTCTGCCTTATGTTGTTTACTGCAGTGTAAGCATTATTCCTAGGTAGTATCTGTAAGCTGCTAGAGGGCAGTTTACATTATGAACATCTGTATCCTCTATGGTACCTGGCACTTAATATGGCTTCAAACATATCGTTTGCTTGGCAAAATGAATGAATCCCATTGACCACCCACATTCATCCATAAACCTTGGAAACATAGGCAAATACATGTTATGTTGCCAAGGAAACTTCTCAATGTGTAAAAATAAAATAAAGTGGCAATATCTTTGTTTCCAGAATTTATGAATATCCTGTAGAAATCTAAGTGTGAAAACATGACTTGGGGCTGGTTAGATAATACTTGCATGGATTCAGCCTTTCCAGCATCTTTCCAGACAGTCTGAGCTGAGTTTCCTGAAGGATGTTGCCATGTGTTCTAGCAATGACCAGGCTTCCCTGGACCTGGGAACCCCAGTACCTGCTGAAAGAGGCTTTAGAAATGAGACGGCAAAGTTCAGACCTCTTGAGGACCAGCTGCAGGAGGATCCCTAAAAAATAGGCTGGAGTCAAAATACCCATGCCAGACAAAGTCTGGCCAGACCCTCCAGGCACAGAGAGCCTGCCTGCCATGTTTCTCCATATGGAGGGCAAAGTCAGACTAATATTCCTTCTCATTCTAGGAGAAGATGATCTAATTATCAAAGGGGTGGTTAAGGAGTGCTTTCATTTAATTAGTAGTTGTATCTTTTGAAATTTCCTGTTTCTTCTTCCCATGTTTAGGATGGGTTGTCCCACTCTTCCAGATAGCGGCTTCTTTGGTACTGGAACTACTGGACCAGCCACGCCTGCATTTGCTTCTGACATTCTTGCCCCACCAGCCCCTGCCCCCACCTACCCCAAACCACTGTTCTTCACTGTTCTTTGGAAAGAACCCAGTGGCCCAGTGAGTAGCTGTTTCCAGTCGGCTGGCCAAATGGAAACTGGGTCAGAGCCCCATCCCACTGTGCCTCTTTTGTGCCCACTGAGGACGATGTGTAGACAACACTCCAATTGCATTTATTTTCTTTGCACATGCTTTGCAGGGCAGCCCCTGATTCCCTCCAGTTAACAGAGCCCCCCACCTTCATTCATTGTGTGCTCATAGGAGATTAGGACATCGATGCCACACCTAACCAAATCTGTCCTGTTGCTTCACGCAGGGGAAAGACGTCCCCTGTTGGGAGTAGACATCATTGGTTTGTAGGTGGGGGCCACATCTTTCTCCCTGAGGTCAGCCTTTTTCCTGTGAGAACGTCCCATCTGCCCCTCAGTAAGGCTTACAATCTGGAAATGCGAAAAAATGTGACTTGAGCTACTAGAGGCTCTACAAGGTGTGTGCACCTGTGCATCCCTCAATGCTTGTGCACACACATGTGTGCACAAAGATGCGCACGTGCCAGCCCTTATTTGACTGTGCCTTGTGTAGAAATACGGGAGAAGACACGAAGTGGAAGAAAAGGATAGGACAATCAATCCAGGACAGACAAAGACAGATAAAGGCAATGAGCAAAAGAGGCATCCCTCTCCCCACCTTATCCTGGCCCTTCTTCCTCCTTGGAATCTCACACTAGGACATTTTTCCTCCCTTTCCTGTGTCTTAAACTTCTAGCTCCACTTTTTCCCTCTACATATAAACACTCTTAGGTTTCATTCTCAAAAGAAGGCAGAAAAAGAAAAGAGAGAAGAAAGGAAGTACCAAACAAAGAAAGAGGGAGGAGGGAAAGAAGGACCGGGAGATGGAAGGAGGGACATGTAAACCTCCCACCCAGATCACTCTCCTCCTGTGGACACAAACATCTCCTGAGCATCACCACTTGGTGACAGGAGGTGGAGCTTAACATGGCCAGCAGCAAATTTCTCATGCCTCCCTCCCACCACCACTTTTCTTCCCCTCCTTTTGCTGTAGCCAGTAGCTTTGTGATTGCCCAAAATGAGGATCCCAGGGTTATCCTAACACTCCATATTCAATCAGTAACCAAATGTTATCTCACTACTTCTCAAATGTCTCTCAAATTGTTTTCTCACCCCCATCAGTATTTCCTTGTCCACTCTATTTATTTATTATGAGACAGAGTTTCACTCTTTTTGCCCAGGCTGGGGTGCAGTGGTGCCAACTCAGCTCACTGCAACCTCCGCCTCCCAGGTTCAAGCGATTCTCCCGCTTCAGCCTCCTGAGTAGGTGGGATTACACGTGTCTGCCACCACACCCAGCTAATTTTGTATTTTTAGTAGAGACGGGGTTTCACCATGTTGGCCAGGCTGGCCTTGAACTCCCGACTACAGGTGATCCGCCCACCTCGTCCTCCCAAATTGCTGGGATTACAGGTGTGAGCCGCCGTGTCCAGCTGCTTGTCCACTTTAGGCTTCTCTCATCTCCTTTTCATCAGACTTCACTAGTCTCTAAACTGGTCCCATGCCTTCACTCTCGCTTCTTTTATTCCCTCCCCACCCTTGAGCCAAAAGACTAAACTTTCTAAAACTTGAAGTGAATCCTAACATTAGGATGCTTCAAAACCTTCAGTGGCTCTGCAAATTCTCCAGAACAGCAGTTAGCCCTTCAGCATGACAGGTAAAGCCCTTTGCAAGCCGGCCCCTGCCTACCTCTCCAGCCATGCCCCAGGCTCTCACAGGTGCTCTGTATTTCTCCCCATACCCAACTCCTCCAAGTGCCTGAACCCTCCATGCTCTACCACATGCTGTCTCACACCTCAAGGCTTCATTCCTCTCTCAGAAGTGTCCTGCCTCCATTGTCTGTCTAGAAAGCCCCTAGTCCTCCGCTAGATCTTAGCCCTAATACCAGTTTCTCTGTGAAGACTTACCTAGCATCCTTGGGACAGACTGAAAGGGTCCCCTTTGATTACCCTTGACAGTTGGCACATTTCTTAATTAACCCTATTTTAATTGTATTGTAACTGTTTGTTTGTCCAGCTTCCAAACAAGACTAGTCTTGGAGGAAGGAATGATGTCTTTCTTCATATACCCCTTGCCAGAGCAGTGTTTGCTACCCACTAAACTTGCACTTCATAGCAAATATTTGTTAAATGAACAAAGATGCGACCAGATAAACAGTGACTGAAACCAAAGATAAAATGGTCACAAACCCAAAAGCATTTGATGCACTATGGCTTTGGGGTAAATGAGTCAGAAAACATAAAAATTAATATGTTGCTGCAGCATCAATACTCAGCATAGTATCTCTGGGGGCAGAGGATGAAATTAAGGAGACAGAAAGCAATGAATTAGACACAAAATTCAGTGTGGGCCAATGATTGGGACAAAAATGGTAGCAGCCTAACTATGATTACAACAGGGAATTGCTGACTGTTAAACTAACTTGATGTAATTTAACTCATTAATTGGTTTTTCAAGTAATGAGAGGCTTGGTTTTTCTGGCTCGGGAGAGTGGAATTAGTTCCAAATGGAAAATAAGGAGAGGCAGATTTCAATGCAACATCAAGATATTTCTAGCAATAAATCTGCTTACATATGGACTAGGTCAGAATGTAGGAGTCTTTGTTCTACCACCTACTGGCTCTGTCACCTTGAGCAAGTTCTTTAACCTCTCTGAGCCTCAATTTCCTTGTCGTAAAATACATACAATCATAGTATACACCTGAACATAAATATTATAATGACATAATATATTTAGCATGCAGTAAGCATACAATGCGTATTGACTTTTATTAGTAGTGGAACTTAGTTCCCTATAATTGAAACTTTTGGAACAATGGTGGAATAATTATTAAGTGCAAACATTTCTTTTTCCTTTTTACTGTCTCTGTAGTATTATACTGATTTCCATATTATCTCTCCTAGTAGATCATAATTTGTCAAGGTCATGGTCCAAAATCTATTTCATTTTAATAACTTCCAGATCCCTTGCACCTAGGAACCATTTGAGCAATATATGTTGAACTGAGAGATAAAGAAGATCTAAGCATCAGAGGGAAGAGAAGACTAAGTCACCTCCAAAGTTTATTTAGACAACAGAATCCTCTGATTCGTTCATGCATGCATTCATTTACTCAACAAAATGGTGTGGGTGGTAACAATGTGTTATGCAATAGCCTGCTGTTGGGGATGAATTATAAAAGCAGGCAGTCTCTGACTACATGGGGCTTAGAGTCTAGTGATTCCAAGACTGCTGAGCTACAAAGTTCTATGTTACCTAAACTACCCTAGAAATATTTTAATGCTAATGGTGTAGTTCTTTGTTTTGTTCCTCTAAATAGATTGCTTATTTTATACTATCCTGGAAAGTCATTTAGGAAAGAGACCAGAAAGGAGCAAAAAGGGAGTGGCTATTGTCAAAAACACACAGCTATTTTTTAGAAGTGCAAATCCAAACCTCATGGATGATACAGGACAGAATCTTTATCAGTAGCAAAAGGCCTATCAAGTTCTCTAATTAGTGCTATCCTTTCCTGCCTCTTCCATTATGCTCTGATAGTCCACCCTCAAATCCCCAGTGCAAGACAGAGTTTGAGAAGTGGACATGTGACCCTAGAAAAGGTACCTTTTTGCTACATAGAATCCAAGAGAGCAGAGTGAAAATGGAAAGGAAGCAGCATCAAACCACATGCTCAGACTTGGGGGTTGGGGGTTGTTCCATCCAAAGCTAATGTAATAAATGCCATGAGTTACCAAAGAATGCCAGACTTTCTCTGGAGATGTCTACTACTCCAGAGGCTGTGAATATTTTCTTTACTTAAAACAAGTCTTTAACCCTGGTGGATCATGAATGGTCTTTGGGGATATGTGAAGTCCTAAAATTACAGACAGAATTAAATATGTAGGTTTTTTAAGGGAGAAGTTTCACAGCTTACATAAGATTCCCAAAGAGATCTGTGGTCCAAAAAATCTGTCATGTTAATTGGAGACATGTTGCTGACTAAGCAGTTATTCTAAATTGGAGGCAAATGGAAGGTTCAGAAAAGCATTCCCATTGTGCTCACAACCAGGTCAATTAAACGCTCACCAGCCTCTGAGCACATCTCCCATTATTCTTCTTCCAGGAAGTTGTCCTCAAAGAACCCTAAAAATTCCATAGCACTCAATGTACACGTATATAGAGAGTACGTGGGTATGAGTGTGCATGCGTGTGTGTATGTGTGTGTGTGTGTGCATGCACATACGTGAGTGAAAGTCCAAGCAGAAAACAGACAGTGCACTGAAATTGGGTTATTTGGGAAAAGCTTAATAAAGGTTCTATTTACTGGGTGTAGTGAAATCATAAGGGATCGTGCAGTCCTCCGTGCTAATAACAGCTGGAGCTATAATCACCCCTAGGCGTTAAGGGTCAAGAAGAGGGAGTGGTGTTGGAACCCAGAGACAGAGAGAACTGTGAGAAAAGTGATGCCTGACAAGAGGGTGACCTTCTGTCAAGGGACGCAGACAGCCCAAGGTGACACACCAGGAGAGAATATCACAGGAATAAATACTACAACTTCTGTCCTCCCTTCAGTGATCTGCCAGGGCTCCCCATTTGCCAAATCTAATAGAAGCCAGAGGACAAGGGAGACCATTGATGTAAGTCATAAGATCAGCTTCCATGAAGTATAGAGTAGACCCGGAGGAACAAACTGAAGAAATTCCAGCCTGGTGTGTGTGTGCACGTGTGTGTGTTCCCCACACATGGGAGGGTAAATAATCTAAATTCAGATCCACTGGTCTTTACCTTCAACAAGTTAAGATAGAGGGGCTGGGAATAAATAAGAGACTCACATTTCTTGCTCACCTCTTTGTCAGTCACTGTAAAAAAAGAATTGCCTCCTGTGTTCACCTAAGACTGCCAACAACTCCAAGTGGTAATATAGGATACAACCAGAAATGGAACGGGAATCTGTTTGACTCCAAACTCATGCATTTTTCACTACACCCTGCAACACCATACTGGAAAAGAGAACTTGAGATATTTGAAGAGCTTGTGCGGAAGGTGTTCTTGAAGTGGATTCTTTTGGTTGAGATGAGGTAAAGAGGTGAGTAAGGGGGGTCACAGACTTCAGGGCCAGTTTTCACAGAATTGAGCCAAGATTAATATGGAGTCTAAGTGTGGGTACTGTTTGAACAGAAACTGTTTTCATATCTATGAGGTATACTGACACAAAACCATGTTTGCGCAAACACACATACACACAGAACCTCACACACACGTAGCCTGCCACAAGAAACTAACTGAGTATGGGTAAAAATAGGGCCAAAAAGAAGAGTGTGATGGACTAGTAGAAAAACTGCAGAGGAAACCGTAGCAGTAAACGACTTCAATAATATTCACCAAAGACAAATGCAAGCATAATAGAATATTTAGTTATCACATAAACATATAGTAATTCAGCCTCTGCAGTTGTGAAGATCAACATGGACAACATCTAGCACAGTGCTGAGCTCTTAAGAAAAGCTCAGTAATTGCATTTTGATGTGGAGAGGGGCACAATGATGGCCTATTTTCTTCTCGGTTGGATTCTTTCAGCCCTTGCCAAGTTAGCAGCCCGGTGGTAGAATATATATTATTTTTATTATTATACTTTAAGTTCTAGGGTACATGTGCAGGTTTGTTACATATGTACACATGTGCCATGTTGGTGTGCTGCACCCATTAACTCGTCATTTACATTAGGTGTATCTCCTAATGCTATCCCTCACTCCTTCCCCCACCCCACGACAGACCCCAGTGTGTGATGTTTCCCACCCTGTGTCCAGGTGTTCTCAATGTTCAATTCCCACCTATGAGTGGGAACATGTGGTCTTTGGTTTTCTGTCCTTGCAATAGTTTGCTCAGAATGATGGTTTCCAGCTTCATCCATGTCCCTACAAAGGACATGAACTCATCCTTTTTTATGGCTGCATGGTATTCCATGGTGTATATGTGCCACATTTTCTTAATCCAGTCTATCACTGATGGACATTTGGATTGGTTCCAAGTCTACTATTATGAATAGTGCCACAATAAACATACGTGTGCATGTGTCTTTATAGCAGCATGATTTATAATCCCTTGGGTATATACCCAGTAATGGGATGGCTGGGTCAAACGGTATTTCTAGTTCTAGATCCTTGAGGAATCGCCACACTGTCTTCCACAATGGTTGAACTAGTTTACAGTCCCAGCCCGGTGGTAGAATATCTCTCTCAAGGCTTTGCTGGATGGAGGGTCTATAGCAGCAGCAACGCTCAAATTTTTTCTATCTCTTGTCTCTTTGTACTGCAATTCCTCCTCAATCCTTGGTGGTAAAAATGGGGTCAGGGCACCTAAAAGGCAACCCTCACTACCCAAACAGGTGTTTCTCTTTGCTTTGCCATAAACTGGTTGTGTAATGTTGGGCCAGGCCAGTCTCACTGTGGGCATCAGTTTCCTCATTTGTAAATGAAAGGGTTGGGCCAACTCTCTCTGGTTCCATGCTTAGCCACGTTACTTCTCATAGTCCTCTCAACATTCTGAATCCTGAATGCCTAGTGCAGTGGCCACAGGTTGTAGGCACTCTATGAACAATGGGGAGCTATAGGGTTCAGTTCAATTCAACAAATACCTCCAAAGTCTAATTCTGACTGTGTTTGGGTCTCACATAACTCTGGTACAGTTTATTCCTAGTAACAATCTTGAATTTTATTATTGCCATGAAAGAGTTAAAGCTTTCTAGTTCTTTCTAGTACTCGTAGCCTCCTGATCACTGTATGCATTTTATATCTCACTCCCACCTTCCAGCCTAAAACAGAGTCTAGGTAACTCCTTGCACAATGACTGAATTATTTCCAAGTTATTGCATGTTCTGGCTCTATGATGGTTAATTATGTATCGACTTGACTGAGGTAAGGGATGACCAGGTAGCTGTTAAAACATTATTTCTGGGTGTGACTGTGAGGGTGTTTCTGCAAGAGATTAACATTTGAATCAGCAGACTGAGTAATGAAGATTACCTTCCCCAGTGAAGGCTGGGTATCATTTAATCCCTCCAGGGCCTGAATAGAACAAAAAGATGAAGGAAGGGCAAATTGACTCTCTGCTTGAGCCAGGCCATCTCTCTTCTCCTGCTCTTGGATGTCTGCACTCCTGGTTCTCAGGCCTTTGGATTTAGGCTGAGACTTACAGTGTTAGAAGAATATTAACCCAGTCTTTCCTTTGACTTCTATAACCTTCGCATTTTGAAGAGTTCAAGCCAATTACTTAATGTGGCTCTCCTTCAATTGGGTTTGTCTTTTCTTTCCTTTTGCTTAGATTTATGTTGTAAAATTGTGATGCTATGCTCTTTTTCATCTGTATATTGGGAAACACATGTCAGATTGTCCCGTTGTTATTGATAACTTGAATCATTTGGTTAAGGTGGTGTCCACCATGCTTCTTACTGTGAAGTTACTATTTTTCCTCTAGAATTAGAAATAGCCTATGAGAAACACTGTGAGGCTATGTAATATCCAGTTCCTCATCAAACAGTCTCCGTAAATGTATCACCCATTCATGATTCTTACCTAAACTAATTATTATTGTAATTGCTGCAAAATGGTAGTGTTCTAACTCTTTTCTAACTCCATTGTTCCTTTTGTATTTGTTAATTGGCATTCTATTGTGAAGAGAAGCTTTCCTTTCTTCTCAATCACCTATTCATTTATTCACTCATTAATTTATATCAGTCTGGACTCATGGATTCTTATTTTGTCAAACATGTTAATGTGTAACTAACCGTTGTTGATTTTGTTGTTCAAATTTCCAAGACTTGCCCAATAAGAGCTGCTCACACTGGATCCTGAGTCTTTTTGATATATCGCCATCATTTTTTCATAGTTTTTTTTTTTTTCTGGTACAATAAGGTAATTCACGATCATGTTAGGCCTTCTTTGCTCCAACCAGCCTATGGCATCAGACATTTCTTCAGGAAATGTCTTTTTGTTGAGGATTCTTTTTGTTGAGGAATGGTACTTAGAAACAAGGTCTTGGGACTAGATGTGCTCGTTTTTATTGAAGTGCCATTGCTTCCTTCAGTGAACACAGCTATTCATAGGACTGAAGGGGTGTACACACACACACACACACACACACACACACACACACAGATGTTATATATAAAAAAGAAATACATATAAGATACATATAGATGTACGTATATATGAAATTATATATTAATACATATTATTTATTAAATGTTAATATATTTAATAAAACCATGAGTTTTTGCTGATGCCAACAATTTTAACCCAAGATTATTACTATTGGTACATTCGAGATTTTCCTCTGTACGTTATTATTTTATTTATTTATTTTTTTGAGACTAAGTCTCACTCTGTTGCCCAGGCTGAAGTGCAATGGCACAATCCTCAGCTCACTGTAACCTCCGCTTCCTGGGTTCAAGTGATTCTCCTTCCTCAGCCTCCTGAATAGCTGGGATTACAGGCACGTGCCACACGGCCGGCTAAATTTTTATACTGTTAGTAGAGATGGAGTTTCACCATGGTGGCAAGGCTGGTCTCGAACTCCTGACCTCAAGAGATCCACCCGCCTCAGCCTCCCAAAGTGCAGGGATTACAGGCATGAGTCACTGTGCCCGGCCCTCTGTACATATTTTTAATTGTCTTCAACAGTCAGAAACCTACTCTCCTTTATCCTTAATATAGTTATGCATTTGCTCACTCACTCATTTCTACGTTTCACATAAAGTGGTTTCTGAATTGCTAACACTATGTGTTAGACAAAAACTGTTAACTACATTTTAATGTTTATGTTTCCTTTTGTATTTAGTCTGATGGTCTATAGTCAAAGAATTGAGTTCAAATGTTACTTGTATTAGTTTTTAAATTTTTTCCCTAGTTCAGTGTGGTAATGTTCTTCATTTATGATATAGTTAGTGCTTTTTCTTGGTAGGTAAAATGTCAGCATGGTTCCAAAACTAAAAATGATACAAAAGGTATATTCAGAGAAGTGCCGTCCCCTACGCCCACCACTCGTCCTTTCCATCCCATTTCCCCACATCCTCTATAGATCACAAATTGTATCCATTTCTGGTTTATTCTTCCTGTGTTTCTGCCAGCAAAATTAGACAGATATTGTAAATATGTCTATTTTCATCTGTCTTCCTCTTCTACAAAACGTAGCATAGCATACATTGTATATATTCTTTTTTACACAAAATGTAGTATAGTATACATTGCAGAAATACTCTTTTGCTCTTTGCTTTTTCCACTCAATAAAATATCCTGAAAATCACTCTGTGTCAAGCATAAAGATCTTCCTCATTTGTTTCACAACTCCATACTACTCCATTGAGTGGATGTATCATTGCACATTCAGTCTAGTACATATGGAAATTTTAGGTTGTTTCTAATATTTTGCAATTATAAACATTGCTGCAGTGAATAACTTTGTGTACATGTATTTTCATATTCATATTGTTAGAGGTATAGCTTCAGAGTAAATTTCTAGAATAGGGATTGCCACCTCAAGAGAGAAACACATATGTATTTGTGTTAGAGATTGCAACTTCCTCTCCAAAGAGTTGCATTATTTTTCATTCCTCCTAACACTGAGAGTATTTCTTCTCACAGCTTTGTCAACAGTGTGTTAAGAGTTTAAAAAAAATTGTTTTACCATTCTGATAGGTGAAAAATGGTATCTCATTATATTTAATTTTCATTCCTCTTATTACAAGAAACATATTTGAATGTATGTTTATATGTTTAAGGATATTTGAAAGTTGAAGATATTTTTATATATTTAGGGACCACTTAAATTATATGAACGTATCTTTTGCCCATTTATATTGGTTTTTGGTTTTCCGCTTATTCTCAATTTCAAAAATTCTTTATACTTTGGGGACATTAACTTTTTATCTCTGATATATATAGAAACATTTTCTACCAGTTCGTCACTTGGCTTTTGACTTTACTGCTGATAATATTTTTGAACATTCAAATTTGTTGTTTCTAAACTTTACCTAGTCAAATTTTATTCTTTATCATCATTTTGATTACTATTATCATTTATTATTACAGGATTCCAAATTATAGTTAGACCCAGGTCAGATCAAGTCAGAAATTAATGATATTTTCTTCTAACTAGAATTGTGGACTTATAAGGTTTTATTTTCTATATATACTATCTTTCATACATTTGAGGTTTATTCTTTTATATGGTTTAAGGTATGGATTTCATTGTATCTCTTTAAAGGAATGACTATCAAGTGATTAGAACTTGCATTTTTATTATATACTAAATTTTCACATGCATATGGGTCTCTTTCAGATCATATTTTATTTCATTAGTTGGTCTTTCCACTTACGCACAAGGTTCTTACTAGTTCAATCACAGAAACTTTAGAATGCCTTTTAAATTTAGGCAGAGTTAATCTTTCATTGTAGCTCTCTTTTAATTTCTTAATATTTCTCTAGTTATTCTTATTTTTTCCATATAACTTCAGTATCAATTTCACTATAAAAAATTTTAATGTGATTATTAGGATTGTAGTCAATTTATAAGTTAGCTAAGAGAACAATGGCAACCTTATGATATTAAAACATCCTAAGCAAAAAAAAAAAAAAAAGCAAAAAGTTGTCTTTCTGTTTGTTCAGGTCTACTTTTGTTTCATTAAGGAAGCTTTAAAGTTCTCCCCTTTGGATTTTAAATGAGGTTTTCCCTATCATATCCTCTAACTGGTGTTCGGTTTTGTATATAAGAACTATTGATTTCTGAGTATTAATTTTAAATTCTCTTATCTTTTCTAAATTTAGCAAAATATTTTATTGTTTGAGTTCATTTTATAATTGATTGAATTTTCCATGTATACTATCATATCATCTGCAAATACTGACAGTTTAACTTATTTGTTTCTAATTTTTATACCTTTAATTTACCTTGTTTAATTGCATTGGCTAATATCTCCAGTACAATGTCAAATAAAGGGGAGAGAGGATATTATTTATTTCTGATCTTAATAAATATGCCCCTAATATTTTCTCATTAGCACAGATACTGGTGTTAAGACCAAACTATATATTTCTTATCTTGTCAAAGAAACAGCCATTAATTTGTATATTCTTGAGTGCTTTTGTTAGGAGTAGGTGTTCAGTTTGCTCAAAGGCTTTTTCACCATCTCTGGAGATAATCACAATATTTTTCCTGAGTTATACTAATGTATATTATTCTAATGTATTTTCTAAAACTGAACAAAATTGGCATTCTTGTAATAGGTCCCACCTTGTCATAGTATATTATTTTCTTAGTGTGGTGTTGGATTTTGTTCCCTACAATTTGTGACAAATCATCTTTACTATCTTCTCATTTTCACCTAAGTCCACTTCTCAGTTATTTTATTCAGACTCATCTTTATCTCAGGTAGAGAAAGAGTCCATGACACACCTGATTTGGAAGTTTCTCATGGTGTTTAACAACTTCCTCTTTACGTTGATTCAAACCTGCTTCTATTTTCAACAAGGGATATGGAAAACAACTATATTCATAAGACCAAGTTGATTCACCTGACCTTGCCGTCAGAACCAGAAGTAGCCATAAATACTTCCGGAGGTGTGTGAATTCAAGTGTATTAAGTTTCCATCCCCACTTCTAGCTAACTGCGAGGGCTAATCTGAACTCCAAAGACTTTGACTGAATCAACCCTTAGCCTCTCCTGTGGACCAAAACCTCCTCTGTTTCAGAGGGAGAAGTGGAAAATTCTGAGATCCTCAGGTTCAGATTCAAAATATCAGCATTATGTAGTTTAAATGTTACCTTCATGGAAAAGACTTCCCTGATCATCCTGTAAGTCCTTGCTACTTTCTGTCTCTGGATCTTGTTTGTTTCTTTAACTACACTTATCTCAAGTAAACGTAATTAGTTAATTGTGCTCCCCTACCTCCAATAAAGTGCAAATTCCAGGAGGACAATGACTATGTCTGTTTTGTTCACCCTGATCACCACATCTCAACACCTAGCACCGTGCCCAGTAGGTAGTATGTTCTCACTAAATATTTATTGAATGAATGAATAATCTTGGATGGAAAAGAAAGCATTAAACCACCAGACTCCTCCAGATGTATAATGCTTTGTTCCAAGTTGAGGGTAGAATTGGCAAAGTTGTTCTTCCAACCCTGAAACTCCTCGGAAAGCTAAGAGTTGTTCTAAGGGTTGAACACCCTTCCAGGCACTTCAGTGCCAGCTTAATAGAAGTTTATTTTCTCATGTCTGGGGAGCTTGCAACAAGTTTCTGAGTTCGGCTCTGAGCAGATTCTTCCTGGGAAATTTTAAGTTCAATTCAAGTCAGTAGCTGCTGTTATATTTTTTCTCTCTTTAATGCTTTTTGGAAAAGCAGCAGTTTGTTTTTTTTGTTGTTTTTTTTGTTTTTAACCTAAAGGGCAAAACTCCAGACCTTGGATTTAATTTCGTGGGGAGGGACAGAGGGAGGAAAGCATTTGACAAGACCAGTACACCAAGCTCTTTGTGTACGTGTGCGTGCGTGTGCGTGTGTGTGTGTGTGTGTGTGTGTTAATATACATATGTGCAAGCCTCCCCACCCCTCACATCTCCCTGACAACCACTTTTAATGAATTCATGCGGACCCAATCAAAGATTCTGTAGACCATTTTCTTTCTCGCTTATTCTGTAACTTGGGCTCAATAATTTGGGAGATTCCTTTTGAAGAAACATCTGGAGCCCTGGATACTGGCCCATTAAAATCAATCCCTGCCTCACCGCCACCCCCTCTCTCAACCTCATCTTCCTTTGAAGAAGTGTTCTGGTTTGAAAATTTCTAACCCAGAATTTCTTGCTCTAAGATGTTTTACTCAGATCTTTGGAGTCATTTGCAAATAAAACTGCCAAACAAAATCTCATTACTAGGAACCCACAGTGGCTCACGTCTGTTTATGGGGATATGGTAGCCTAAGGAACATAATTGGCTCTAAGGAAAGCTTTTGTGGGGGTGAATGGGACTTAAGAATGGAGATGGGCTCAGACAAGAGTCCCACAGTTATATGTTTTATGTATTTCTCTTCTAGCTCCCTCAGGCACACACAGGAATCTAAAGGAATCCTGGGAAGGAGAGGGGAGAGAACATAAGGAATATTTTTCCACTGTTGTGAAAGTAATAACCCTTGGGAGAAAATATGGAAAAACAAAACAAAACAAAACAAACACAACAATGAGACCGAATTTCAAACAAAAACTAAAAGCAGAGACTGAATTTCATGATGGCCTTTTCATCTTCTTCACTGTCTAACACTTTACAGAAGTAAAGAGTTTTGTCATTGGGCCTTAGAGCCAATCAGTCATGATAGAGGTGATGAACTCTGTCTACCTACCTGAGCCCAGCATCCTTTTTTGGAAGCACTGAACCTCTACTGGCCTTCAGAGAACCCTGTCCTGGCAGATCAAGAAACACAGTGTGGAGGATTCGCATTAATGTTCGTAATGGTCACCGCTCCCTGTATCTGTGCCCTCATCATACTTAGAAAACTCCTCCCACAGTAGATGATGCATAAGCCCATCCCTGATGCCACCCATGTGACTTGCTTGGCCAGTAAAAGCAATGGCATACCAATTCCAAGCCTGGGCTTCAAGAAGCCATGTATGTTTTTGCTTGCTCTCTTATGTATCCAGCATCATTTTGAAGAAAGACATGCTTGGGCTGCCCACTAATCCTGGGAGGAGGATGAGAAACATGTGGAGCCATACTAACCCAGCCAGGCCCAACACGGTCAGCCAAACGACACCACCCCCAGATGGAGAAGCAAGCCCAGCCTACATCAGCTCAGCTCCACAGATGTGTGAGAAATAAATGTTTATTGTTGCACGCCTCTGAGAATTCGTGGTTGCCTGCTCCACATCAAAAGTTAACTGATCACAGAGCTAAAAAGTAAAGCTCTTAAGAAGCTCTGTATTTGAATAACAATGCCTTATATTCATGAAGCATTCCAAGGTTTTTAAATATTTTAAACAATATATCTTATCGAGTTTTTATGATGACCCTGTAAAGTGAGTGGGGGAGGACTTATTATTTCCATTTTCTAGCCGAGAATACTAAGGTGCAAAAAGGTGAAGTCTGACCAGGATGGAAGGCCTCTTAAAAAAAAATTTTTTTTTAAGTGAAATCAGTTAGCCCTTAGCAAAAAGCTACAGGGGGAATAAAAGAGATGTGAAAGTCCCACCCTTGTCACTACTGGCTCAGCCCTCTTCTCTCTGCTGGAGGTTGTAGGTGGGGGAGACAGACGAACATCATACAATCCTAAGAGTATGCAGAAAGAAAATTTTAGTGAAAAAACATTCTTATTTAATGGACTGGATTCTTCTGGGAAAAAATTCTGGAAGTGACATTTTGAAAAGAAAAGAATTGTGGGAGATAAAAGAGACAAAAATCTCTGAGTCTGAGAAAGTTACATAGACAGTATATGTTCAGTGTATTGGTGGTTGCAATATGCCAAGAAACCTGCTAGAAATCTGACACACATTATCTCATCAATCTTAATAATATAATAACACCATGAAGAAGATAGTAATATAACACAATATCATGTAACAAAACATAACATGTAACATAACATAATACAATCCCCAAAAATTAGGCAATAGAATAACTTGACAAAGCTCACACAGCAAGGAAGCGGCATTGGGTTCAAGCCCAAATCTGTCTGCCTCCTGCATTGGAGCCTCTCTGTCTTTGGTTGAGGGTGATAGTCATGGGCATAGAAGCCAACTAAAATAAGCCAAGATGAAAAAAGAAGAAAGAAAACTGGAGTGAAGCAGTGACTGGAAGCTGGAAAAGCTTTCTGGAGATAATGAACTTCAAAGAGAACCTATTCTCTGCCCAGGCATTGACCCATGATTGTATTGTTCGAGAATCTGTAGCTCACAGGCCCTGCTCCCCAGACGGTGGACTCTGTGGCATGGTCCTGCAAGAGCAAAAAGCCCAGCATTTAGCTGCATCCCCCTTTCTCTTCTTTGTCTCTCTCTCTGCATGTGACAGCAACGTTCAGTTGGTTTTTCTTTTGCAGTGATGCCACAATTGAGACTTCGCAGTATGATGGAAAGAGCTCAGGCCTCAAATTTAACATCCCTGGGATCAAACGCAGGCCTGATTTAATAGTTGTGTTTCCTGGTAAGTGACTTAACTTCTCTGAGCCTTGGGGGATATTAATAGTGTCTACCTCATAGGATGCTAGGGGAACTCAAAGAGATTCTCATGTTAAACCCTTGCTTGAGGCCTAAGACATTGATGCATTCGATAAATGTTATTTGCCTCCCAAGCTACTTTTCGGAAGGTCCAGCTTTCTTTCTAGGAGGTCCTAAGAAGGAAAGCAGAGGTGGACAGAAGGTGGGCCAGGCTGTGCGGCACGGGCCACCACAGGTAAATCCTGCCTGACAATTCCACATGGGCCACACCTGCTGCTTTGTTTCCTGACCACAGCCCTTCCCATTGCCGGAGCACAGTGCCGCATCAAAACCCCTCGGCAGTGACTCTCGACCTCTTGCACGTTCCTCCAAACCCAAAGTATCTTCTCTGTGTTTTGCCAGGTCACTCTCTTTAAAAATGAAGAGTTTGTTTCCCCACTTCCTTCACCAGACCCCCTAGTCTTCATTCACCCTTCTCCTACCCAGTGTCGGGGACTGAGCTTCACAGCCTTTTGCTGACAGCAGAACCAAAGGCTCAATTTCTGAGAAGTGCTTTGAACTCCTACTGCCTCCCATGTCTGGAGAGTGTGGGAGGAAAGGAGGCTGCTCTGGTCCTCAAAGGACATCTGTAGAACTTGCAGGCCTTGTGCAGTTAACCAGAAAACCACCAGCCTCCTTTAGCTTCTCATGCCCAAAAGAGACTCTTCCTGCAGCTTCTTTCTGCTGCTGGTGCAAGCGGATGAGGCCTCTTACACTTACCAACTGGTGCCCTAAGGAACCCTGCTTGCTCTTGATGGAATTCATAGTCTTAACATTCCTGCCACCTGTTTGGGAAGGAAGAGGGGATAGAGGTGGAGAGCACAGGGAAGGGCAGAAAAGAACAGACAGGAACTCCCCCTTCCCTGCCCCCACCTCCCTCATGGCCCCCGTCTATCTTCTGAGGCTTTGGGAAGGAGACAAAACACCTGGCTTTCAAGGGCTCCCTAACAGCAGAGACAATCATTAAGTGAGAAGTGGGGTGAGGCCCCTGCAGGTGGATGCTGCAATTGAGCATCATCCAACCTTTGAGTGTCCCTGTCTGTGAAGTCCCGGACATGATTCTTGTTCGCTGCAGAATCTCTACCTCTCCTTTCCTGTGTGAGGCTGACTAAAAGCCAGCAGGGCTCCCCTCCTCCCTACATCTGGGGATTGCTGCTTCTTTTCTCAAGAGGCATGGAGAATAAGTTTTATCTTTCTGCCTGGGTAGCGTTTTCCTCAACCCATACACAAGCCAAAGTGGGCTTGAAAACATTTGTTAAATAATAACAACAATACAGTAATGGTAATAATGACAATGATACTATTTCTTGAGCACTTCCTCTGCACGACCCCCTATTAAGCACTTTCTTCACATCCATTATCTCATGTAATGCTCAACTCTTTAACACAGCCCTACACAATCTGACCCCAACTTTGCTCTCTAGCCAAATGTTGATGTTGGAATGTTGATTGGGATTGAATTGAGTCTACACATAAATTTGATAAGAACTGACGTCTTAAAAATACTAAGTGTTCTGTTCAGTGAATATAATGTCTTTTTATGAATTTTGTTTTCTTTTTTCTTTTTCCCAGCAACGTGCTTCAATTTTCATTGTATGTTTTTATAAAGTCTGTTGCTAGTTATTTTATATTTTGGATGTTGTTGTAAATGGATTATTTAAACCCCATTATCCAAACATTCATCACTTATAAGTTGAAATACAATAATTTTTAAATATTGACCCTGTATCCTGAGACATCATTAAATTTTCTTATTAGTTCTAGTAGCTAATTTGTAGATTCCTTAGGATTTTCTACATACATGATTTTGTCTGCAAATAAAGACATTTTTTGCTTTTTCAAATCTGGGTGTCTTTTTTTCTTGCCTTATTATTATTTTATTAAAATAAATTATTTTTTAAGATAGGCATAAGTATATGAGCAAGTTTTGTTGTAATTGGTGACTCAGAAAAACACAAAATGTGGACCCATTTAATCCCATACCTAGAATCTAGACATCAGTAAAATTTCAGGGACAATGCCCAGGAGTTACAGCTTTACAGATGTATTTATATGCCAGCTTCATCCACAGAAACTTACAATGCAGTGGCGAGTACCCCAAGATCTCAGGACCCTGGATCAGGGAACATAGAAAGCCCAGATCACAGCATGTACAGGTTTCCTTCTGTCCATTCCCAGTCTCAACTCCTTTGCTTTCTTCCTCATTCTTCTGCCTACCTACCTGCCTCCCTTCTCTCACTCTCCATCTGTCTCTTCTCCCACTTTTCCTCCTTTTTTCCTTCTTTTTTCCTTTCTTCTTTTTTCTGTGCTTCTGTCTCATTCAGTTTCCCCATTCCTCCCTTTCTCATTCTTGTTTATATCCCGACTTTCATAATATCATCAACACCATTTCTCTCTCCACAGCTGATTGCTTTCCTTTTTGTTGTCACGCCTGGGGACTGCTCAGTCTTTGCCATTGTCATCAATCCTCCATTGCTCCCTTCCAAGTCCTTCTGATCGTTTTTCAACTGTTGGGTAGGCTGGGAGAATAATCTTCCTATTCTGCTGCAAAGTCTTCCATAGGTTTAAGTCCTACTGATGTGAACACAATGAACCTAAAATTCCCTCATCCCATACTCTTAAATCAGAACATTCAAACCAATACAAAAAAGTGATTCTCACATTTAGAGACCATAAGAAATCCATTATGTCTTGGTATGGGGCACAACAATCTACCTGTTTAACAAGCATTTTCCACCACAAGTGATTTTGAGGCAGATTGGGTGTGGATCAAGTGTTCAGAAATACTGATGGGGGAAAGCTGGGGGACGGAGGGAGCTACAGCACCAGCATCACCTGGGAGTCTATTAGAAATGCAAAATCTTAGGTTCCAGCCCACATCCCTGAGCCAAATCTGCCTTTTGCAAGACCCTCAGGTGGTGTGCATGTACATTAGTTTTAGGAGGATTGATACAGCCTGTATGCCATGGTAAGAGGCATGCTATGCCATGTTGACTTTCTTCAGAATTGATAGCTGCCACAACAGCTTTAAAATGAGTTCTGAGCCCTAGTATCTGGTCTCAAAACCATTCCACCTAGCAGAGGACTGATTTTACTTAATCATGCCTCAGATCCTCATGTGGAAAATGTGGCTCCTATTATCTACCTTACGTATTTCATGGAGTTATGACGAGACTCCAATGAGTTATAAAAGCTTTTTGAAAGATATAAACTATTCAATAAATACTAAATTTCAAAGCACACAATAACTTCAGAATTTCTTCAATTACTCAAAAAGGCTTTTGTGGCTACTATAAATTCTTTTTTTTTTTTTTTTTTTTTTTTTTTTTTAGACAGGGACTCACTATGTCACTCTGTCACCCAGGCTGGAGTGCAGTGGTGTGATCTTGGCTCACTGCAACCTCCGCCTCCCAGGTTCAAGCTACTCTCCCATCTCAGCCTCCTGAGTAGCTGGGACTACGGGGGCATACCACCACACCTGGCTAATTTTTGTATTTTTTGGTAAAGGCAGGGTTTTGCCATGTTGGCCAGGCCAGGCTGATCTCCAACTCCTGACCTCAAGTGATGCACCAGCCTCAGCCTCCTAGAATGCTGGGATTACAGGCGTGAGCCACCGGTCCCGGCTGCTACTATAAATTCTAAAGAAAGAAACTCAACATTACATTGCATGCCTCTTACCATGGCATACAGGCTACATCAATCCTCCTAAAATTAATGTACATGTATATCACCTGGGGATCTTGCAAAAGGCAGATTTGGCTCAGGGATGTGGGCTGGAGCCTAAGATTTTGCATTTCTGACAGACTCCCAGGTGATGCTGATGCTGTAGGTCGATGAACCACACTCAGAATAGGGAAGGGATTTATGCTCTTAACTACAGAAATTAAAGAAGGATGGTGTGGGTAGACTGAGATGGTTTGACTCAATTTGCCTTAAGAGAGGGTGGAGGAAGAAAAAGAATAGAGCTCAGTCTCTTGCTAGAATCACATTCTTGAAGGAGTCACGGCATTGGTGTCCCCCCCACCCCAAAAAAAGGGCCTTTTTTAAGGCAAGGCTCTCCAGGAAACCTGGAGCAGTTTAAGAGGTTCTGCTTTTCCACCTTTCTGAGGAGGAGCCAATGGATGAGTTCATGTCCTTTGTAGTGACATGGATGAAGCTGGAAACCATCATTCTGAGCAAACTATCGCAAAGACAGAAAACCAAACACCGCATGTTCTCACTCATAGGTGGGAATTGAACAATGAGAACACTTGGACACAGGGTGGGGAACATCACACACTGGGGCCTGTCGTGGGGTAGGCGGATGGGGGAGGGATACCATTAGGAGACATACCTAATGTAAGTGACGAGTTAACGGGTGCGGCACACCAACATGGCACATGTATACATATGTAACAAACCTGCACGTTGTGCACATGTGCCCTAGAACTTAAAGTATAATTAAACAAACAAACAAACAGAAAAACAATGTTGACAGGGCTGCGAAGTCACCAGACAACACAGCACTGAATACCCAGGGCACTTAGTTCTTAGAAGGGGACAGCTTTGCAGGGGCCAAGCTGTGAGGAAGCTCAAATGTGGCATATGTTTCCTAGTTCATCTTTTACTGAACCTAGAGAAAGAGCCTATAGGCCTTTTTACACATTAAAGTAAGATGTACAGAAAAGTGGTATGAGGTCTCTACATCAGAAAGAAATGTAAACATCGGTGCCGTTGTTTAATTTTTTTGCCTCTCTAGATCCGCTCTCCACCCTTTTCTATAGTACATGTTTCCCAGCAGGCTGAGCTATATGGAAATGCCTCATTAGTTTCCCTTACAGCTGGCTTTGGTTGGGTTCTCTCAATGGGAGGCACCAATAAGAGAGCACAGGAAAGGAAGAGAAAGAGTTTGGGGAATTTATTCTCTGGTTACCTTCCAGCTGAGCCATGGGTTGGCAGTGACCACCTTCTCAACTGAAAGCTATGGCTTCTGCCAGGAACTCCTCTATCACAACTGCTGCTGCTATGTCTGGGTTCCAGAAACCCGAGCTCCTTCAAACCTTGGTGTGGTAAGAGCGCCACTGTTCCTAGCTCTGGGTTGCTTCAACTATCTCATAATGAGTTCCCCTAAACCTTCCACAACTTTGTAAACAGACGCTTTGCTTGGACTCTCCTCTGTTGACTTTGTTGGTGTGTTTCATTTCCAGACCTATTCTGATGCAATATCCATGAGCAGAACATTCCCACAATATTCCTTATGGTGACCAGGAAGTGCCCTGTCCTTAAATGGCTATCATGGGAATGGGAATACTGGAGGTATAGAAAAAACCAAGGCTATCAATGAGAGTGTAAAGAAGGTGAAAGGAGAGAGGCAGATGAAGATTGTTGAGACCTTCAGGATCAGTGTTGGGGGTGTTGGGGGTGCAGAGGACCATGGCACAATGACCTATGGGTATAGCATTAGGAATTCAAGCCCTCCCATCTCCTGCTGTTTTCATAGGTCCCACTCTCCTCTTTCTGGTCAGCTTTAGAGAGCTGAGGATGAGCTCTCTTGAAGGCTGAGGAAATCAACCTCTTGGTTTCTCCATCATTCGCATCAAAAGTCCAAGCTCTGGACCAGAGTTCTGGCAGTTTCAAACCCCTCATTCACGCTCTTTGGGAAGAGGATCACTATGGGACCTTTGAGTATATACCATGTGGGGAGATGCTCTCCAGAAATGGGGGATGCAAAAGTTGGCTGTGGTGAGGGAGGAATCAGTCAGTCAGAGGGTTCTAGAAATAGTAATTAAGAGCTTGAATTTTGGTGTTCAATTGCCTGAGTTTGAATTCTGCTTCTACTATTTCTTACTGCATAAGCTTCAGCACCGTATCCTTCTGAATATTGGCTTCCTCATTTGTGGAAAGCTGACAATCATATAACCTATCTCAAAAGGTCACTAGAGAATTAAATTCTATAATCCTTGTTCAGCACTTAACGGTGGTGTCTGGCACCCAGGAAACACTCAATAGACATCAGCTAATATTCATGTTCTTTCTGTACTATCATCCTCATCATTTTCCATATCAACATCATGGTCATTGAAATGATATTGATAATTACATGAATGAAGACAGATCAGCTCACTACAAGTCCCACAATCCCATTTACCCACTCTGTCAAAATTGGATGTTTCTTCATTATATCCTGCCCCTAGGCCTCCAGGACAATATGGTCATGATTGAACAGTGAAAAGAGGACAGACCCCTTGCCACTTTCCTGCTATGTGACCTTGGCCATATTATTTGTTTAAAGTAAATGAGAGGCATTTACTTTCTTCTTTCTAGGGTTTAAAACATATATTTTTCTCTTGCTAAGATCTCCCATGTGCACCTCTAACAGCTCCCTGGCTTGGACTCATGCCTTGGAGTTTTTGAATTAGACTCCGCACCCCAATGTGAAGACAGCAGGGTAAATAAGTGCAGAGAAATTTCTGCCAGAGACCTTTGCTTTGGGATGAGCATGCTTCCCATGGGCTGAGCCAGCTGACCTGTTTAGCCTTGAATTCATTTTGGCTCATCCACCCAGGCTATACATCTGCACATCTGGAAAGATTAAGGGAGAACTGAAGTGGGACAAGTTGCCAGTGAACTCCAGAAGAATCTATACTGCCAGTGACCTTTTCTTGCCTCTCCCAGTCTGATGAAAATGCTTTCGTCCCTTGGGATCCACAACCTTATATGGGCACAAGGCAGGAAAGCCCTATCTCCTTGAGGATTCTCCTCTGAAAACCCTGGGTTCCAATATAATAATGAGAGTTAACTTTGTACAATGCTTCACACTTTACAGAACTGCCAAGAAGATTAAACAAGATGAAGTATTTGAAAAGTGCTTTTAAAAGTACACATTAGGCTGGGCGCAGTGGCTCACATCTGTAATCCCAGCACTTTGGGAGGCCGAGGCAGGCGGATCACGAGGTCAAGAGATCGAGACCATCCTGGCCAACATGGTGAAACCCCGTCTCTACTAAAAATACAAAAATTGGCTGGACATGGTGGTACACACCTGTAGTTCCAGCTACTCAGGAGGCTGAGGCAGGAGAATTGCTTGAACCCAGGAGGTGGAGGCTGCAGTGAGCCAAGATCGTGCCACTGTACTCCAGCCTGGTGACAGAGTGAGACTCAGTGTCAAAAAAAAATTTAAATTTAAATTTTAAAAAAGTATGCATTAGTGGTATTATTTTACACATCTGAAAACTCAGACTTCATGGGGGTAAAATAACATGGTCAAGTTCATGTAGCAGGAAAGTGGCAGGACCATGATTTGAATCTGTGTGTCCCAACCCCAAATCCTATGCTCTCTCCTCTGCATAGCTTGCATGAAAGGTCCCACCATGAGCTTCTGCTCATCTGCAGGGCTGCACTTTCATTTTCACAATCACCACTTGGGCACTCACTGCATAGAACCTGAAGGTTCTATTTGTCTTTTCCCACAGGCTTTCTCTCTTCATCTAGTTAATAAGCTCCATGAAGAAAAAGACTTCATTTATATTCCTTTCTATTCTCAGCAGAGGCAAATGCATATCTGTGGGCTGATCATTACTTTGACCCATTCAGCCAGGGATACAGGAATATAGAGACACAGGGATACAGGGGTGATATAGTCTCACTGTGTCCCCACCCAAATCTCACCTTGATTTTGTAATAATCCCCATGTGTCAAGGGTAGGGCCAAGTGGAGATAACTGAATCATGGGGAGCGGTTTCCCCCATACTGTTCTCCTGGTAATGAATAAGTCTCATGAGATCTGATGGTTTTATAAAAGGGAATTCCCCTGTACATGCTCTTTCTTGCCTGCCACCATGTAAGAAGTCCCTTTGCTCTTCCTTCGCCTTCTGCCATGATTGTAAGGCCTCACCAGCCATGTGGAACTGTGAGTCCATTAAACCTCTTTCCTTTATAAATTACCCAGTCTCTGGTATGTCTTCATTAGCAATGTGAAAACTAATACGAGGGGCACAGGAATACAGGGAACACAGTGATACAGAGGCACAGGGTCAGAAGCCGCGACATGTCTTTCCATGAGATCAGGAATAACATCCCAGCGGTTCAGGCAGAAGCTCATCCTGCCTTGGCCCATGTATTCAATGAAAGCCAGAGCAAACTCAAGCCACGAGCCAAAAGGAATGGGGAAATAAATAAAATTCTCTGCCTCATGATTAGATTTCTTTTTACCAGCGTAGTCCAAGGACTAGCGTAGTCCTTGGAATATAAAATTATGACAACTTATTTTTTCTTCTCCCCTACCTATTCATCTTATTCTTGACATTTGTTTCCTCTTTTCCTTTGTCTTTCTTCTCTCCCTGTATTTATCATATTGTTTTATTATGTTCCTTCAGCATCATTCCCTCCAACAAGCCATCACCCTCCAAAACCAGGTACTTAAGAATATATAATAAAAGTCATCACCTACTGCCTCTGAATCCACAACACACTGAAAACTTTACAGTGAGCTTAAAGTACACTTGATTCCTGCCATTGTAATGAATTTATTAGAATTAATCTTGGTTTTCACTGTTGCTGTTCTTCTGTCTGCCATTTATGGTTTCAATCAATTATACAATCTTAGGACTGAAATTAATAAACCATTTTGAGAACATCTGCTATTTATTTTAGGGATGATAAAAAAATAAAAACCAAAGAATGTATGTCTATATGAATATTTCTAATTCCACATACAAAAATAATGATCAATTTATGGTTTCCTTGGATACATACCAGATGATTAGAAAGAAACACACCTCTTCTCTAGGCTAGAGATAAGGGTCTGTGCCTGGGTCGTGGTTGGGCAGTGGTTCCTGGCTCTTGGCTGATGTGCACTCAGGCAGAGGTAGCAGTGCAAGAGGCGATGTTGGGTGGGGACACGGAGGCAATTCAAGATATTTTCGTGGTCAAGATTCAGAGGAATGGGACCAATGACGTTCCCTCTTTGTTTCCTCTTATCACAGTGATTAAATGCAGTGGGGCAGGAGGAAAAGCAAGGCAGTGCTGGCAAACAGACCTCCATCTCCACACAGGTAGCAGGTGATGTAAGCCCCCAAATGACCTGAGAAGGGGCTGGGGCTGGGGCCTTGAGAAGGGAGGCACTGTGTGTGCTGGAACATCTACAGGACTCAGTAAGGGAGTGGTCTAGGAGCAGGGGGCTCCTGCTGAGGCTGGGCAGGGAGGGACACGAAGGACACCGTGGACCCTGCAAACCTAGGAGTGTTCAGTGTCCCAGGAGCAGGCATAGACCTAGCACAGAGGAGTTATCCAGGGCTGTGGAATGCCAGCCTTACCTGCAAGGAAGGGGGATGAGAGCTGAAACAAACACTTTCAGACCTATGGCTAAGGATCTTTGAATAATTGTGGAGAATAAGAAAAATGCCCAAAGAAACAAAAGACAGAAATTATATTCTCAATTTTTAAAATAAAAAAGTTGATTCCAGAAAGCAAAATGTGTAAGTTTGACATTAATAATGTTTGCTTTAAATTTGTTTTCCGGAAACCAACAAGTGATTGGTGAACTTTTATAAAAGTAATTGATGATCACTGGGAGCCAGAATGCACTCCCTGAGACAACATGAGCCAGACCACTGCATGTGTTTTCATGGATTTCAGGCAGATTACAAGAATGCCATCAACATGTGGTAATGTGATATTATCACAATTTAATATAGATGATTGAAGTACAGTATATACGTGTGTGTATATATATATGTATATATACATGTCTAGATGTATAGATGCTTTGTATATCTATATATGTGTATATATACATCTTCGAGTATGTTATACTGGATACAATAAAGAAACATGGGCTGAATAATAAAATTCCTTAGGTATGGTTTTTTCACATATACAGAAAGAATGTTAAGTATTTTATGTTATACTTCAGTTCCCTTAGAATGGAGGAATATCTGAATTCAGAGACAGCTTCCTTTTTATTGGATGACTGAAACTCAGTTTTGACAGTATAGTTGGCCACAAAGATACATACCTGGTACAATTCTACCTTACACCAAAATGATGTCTCAGATAATATGCAAAGATTCATTCTTGGAAAAGCAATGCCTCCAAATGAGGCATTAAAATAAACTGCTGATTTATCACAAGCATATTTTTGGGATTGAGAGGAAGGTCACAGAGATTGTTCACTGGTAACTTTCCTTTTCCACAAAAGTAACAACAAAGAAGAAAAACACCATGAAATCCTGTGAGCAGGCATAAGGAAAGTTTTTGAAAACTCCTGAGTTGAAGTAATTGCCTCCCCAGCTGCACCCGATGAGCCCATGCTTGGCATTGGTTAGCGACTCCTTAAATCCTGAAGAACAGGACAGAATCTCAGATCACAACATGACAACTCTGCCCAGCTTGATGCTCAGCATCTCACTTCTCCTTCTCACTTCCTTTAAAAAATACAAATAAATAAAATGTGATACATTTAACAGACATCAGATGCCCAGAGTTAGGATGTCCTTGTTCTATACTTGAAGGATTTTCAGTATTTATCTCAGAAGGTATCATTGATTAAGTAAGACCCAGGACTTCAGAGTTGTAACTTGAATTCTAAAAATAGTTTCAGACGGTTTATAGGAAAACAACTCAAGGCTTTCTTAGCTACAAGCTGCATATGAGCCCAAAACATGACTTGGCTGCTAGAAAGGAAATCTAGTCCCAAGCAGCACTAATAAAAGTATAATGACACATTCGAGGGAAGTGATAAGTTTAGCACTGCTTAGCTCTCATCCAGTGTTAAGTTATGGTTGGCTGATGTCAAGGGGACATCAACAAACCTGGACATATCCACAGAGAGTGGCTGGCCATATAAAGAAGCTAAAGCACATGAACGGAAGTGTTTAAGAGAGGGCCTGATGATATCTTCAAATAATTCAAGGGCAATAATAATTAGATAATAATTAATTATATCTACCATAAATGAGACCAACTGCCTCAGAAGACATGAGTTCCTGTCACTGGCAAATAGGTAACAGATAACTGAGCTCTTAAAATATAACACATTAACTAAAGAGCTTCTGCACAGCAAAAGAAACTACCATCAGAGTGAACAGGAAACCTACAAAATGGGAGAAAATTTTCGCAACCTACTCATCTGACAAAGGGCTAATATCCAGAATCTACCATGAACTCAAACAAATTTACAAGAAAAAAACAAACAACCCCATCAAAAAGTGGGCGAAGGACATGAACAGACACTTCTCAAAAGAAGACATTTATGCAGCCAAAAAACACATGAAAAAAATGCTCACTATCACTGGCCATCAGAGGAATGCAAATCAAAACCACAATGAGATACCATCTCACACCAGTTAGAATGGCAATCATTAAAAAGTCAGGAAACAACAGGTGCTGGAGAGGATGTGGAGAAATAGGAACACTTTGACACTGTTGGTGGGACTGTAAACTAGTTCAACCATTGTGGAAGTCAGTGTGGCCATTCCTCAGGGATCTAGAACTAGAAATACCATTTGACCCAGCCATCCCATTACTGGGTATATACCCAAAGGACTATAAATCATGCTGCTATAAAGACACATGCACATGTATGTTTATTGCGGCACTATTCACAATAGCAAAGACTTGGAACCAACCCAAATGTCCCACAATGATAGACTGGATTAAGAAAATGTGGCACATATACACCATGGAATGCTATGCAGCCATAAAAAATGATGAGTTCATGTCCTTTGTAGGGACATGGATGAAATTGGAAATCATCATTCTCAGTAAACTATCGCAAGGACAAAAAACCAAACACCACATATTCTCACTCATAGGTGGGAATTGAACAATGAGAACACATGGACACAGGAAGGGGAACATCACACTCTGGGGACTGTTGTGGGGTGGGGGGAGGGGGGGAGGGATAGCTTTAGGAGATATACCTAATGCTAAATGACCAGTTAGTGGGTGCAGCACACCAGCATGGCACATGTATACATATGTAACTAACCTGCACATTGTGCACATGTACCCTAAAACTTAAAGTATAATAATAAGAAAAAAATATATATATAACACATTTCCTTTATTCACCATATTATACAACAACAGTAATGGCAATAGCTGATGCCTACTTTGACTCTGGTCAGAGCAGAAGCTGACATCCCACTTTGTAAGGAGGGTGGCTGGCCCAGAGAGCCCACAGAGGGGCTTTCCTCCCCTTGTGAGACTTTATGTCCCCACCGACCCCAGTTATCCTCCACACTGCCACCCAGAAAGAAAGCAACTGCATCTGCGTTAAGAAGAAATAAGCCAAGCCACAACCATACTCCTTGGGCCATTTGCCCATGCAGTGATAAACATCTGGTCAACACTGAAAAGCCCCCTTGATTCCAGAAATGATGTCTTACTCGCATACTAGGTATACCCTGCTTTAGATTCTACAGATTTTAAGGCAAATGTTTATCAGTGAAGTCCAATTAACAAGTCAGCTGATCTCAACCAAATTTCCAATTGAATGTATCAGATATTTCATTATTTAAATTCTGAAATCTTTAAATTACTAAAATTCTTCAGTTATACCCAAATTTTTGACATCATGTATATCGATGATCATTCATTTTACTTTCACCCCATTTTATCATACCTTCTACCCATCCTAACAATCATGTGTAATTTAAGCTGGATTGATACAGTATAATTGTGCTGTTCAGACTTTCTGATGAAAAGTTTTCTCTGACGATGTCAACAGTGGGCTAGGTTAAATGGGTGTGGAAAGCAGAAGGAAAAGACTAGTTTATTTAACAGTGTAAGAGATCATTGATGATGCAGAGAAAAGAAAAAGAATTTAGCTTCTTACTTCACACCATATGCCAAAATAAATCCCCATTAATTCAGGAGGAAAGTAGACAACTATTATATGTGAAAGTATCTGACTAGGAGTGGAAAAGCTACTTTAAAAGTATAACAATAAAGACTCTTTTTAACAATACAAAGACTGATGAATGTAACCTTTCAAAAATATTACTATCTGTAAGTTAAAAGTAATTTATGAGCAAAATTAAAAGGTAAGTCACAAACCGGAAAACAACGTTTGTAAGAAAGGGTTTAAAATATGTGACAAGAAAGAGTTAACATATTTAAATATAAAGAGTGCTTACAAATCATTGAGAAAAAAACCATTCAGGGAAATGGGGCAAAAGATGCAAACAGTCAGTGTATAAGAGATAAAATAGAAGATGCTAATAAACATATGGAGGGAAATTTCAGCCTCATTTAAAGTTACAAGACAGAGAATTGAAATAAAAATGAGATGCTTTGCATGCCATAAAATAGGCCCTCACATACATGGTGGTGAAAATAAAAATCAGTATATGCTTTCTGCATGTTAATTAGACAAACGCTTCAAACGGTTTTAAGATGTGAACGCACTTGACCCAGCAAAGCTAGGTAGGATGGCACGAACTGCTACTAAGACAGAGGTCAGTGACCAAGGATGAGGTTAGGCAGTCACAGAGCCTGCTGGTTGTGCAGGACTATACTTCATGCCCTGCAGGACAAGAATGCTGGCAAGCATTAGCATTCTCAAAACCAGGGGGCTGTGCCTTGCTGTTCTTGTAGCTAGAGGTCAGGAAGAGGGTAGGATAAGACGGATTGAGATCTGGCTTGTAGGAGCCTGCAGGAGCCCTGGAGACCTTCTGCCTTGACATTCTCAGCTGATAGATGAGCAAGGCAGTAGGGAGTGAGGAACAACTTGCCCAGTCACTTGCAATGGATTCATAGCAGAAGTAGGATTCCTGTCCCAGTTTTCTAATTCCAAACCCAGGCTCCTACCATTATTCAACCCTGTATGTTCCATCCCAGCCATTCGACCTCCTGAATGACGTGTTTCTGGCTTTCATTAATAGCAGTTAATTTGATGCTTTGTAATGATCTTTTATAATGACCGTGGCTGTATTATGGGGCCCAGTCATTGCTGTTGCGAGGTAATAGGAAGAGTCCCGACCAGCATTGGTTTGGAGGTGCCACTGCAAGCAATGTGTACTTGGGCATGCCTTCTCCCCAGTCCAGGAATTGTCCAGAATAAGAAGTTCAAAGCAACATTTTGGATATGCTTTCCAAATCTATCTTTTTAATTTAAGTATTTTCTGAAAATTTTACTCTTAAAAATGCATAGCAAACAGGCTCTGTGGTGCAATGGACAGCACATTGGACTTCTAGCCTAAATTGGAAAATGCATAAACTACGCATGTGGGCTTCATAGAACAGAAAGGCATGAAAGAAAATTCAAAGATCCCAAAGTAATTATTGTCGCAATGTAGATTTGAAAGCTAACTCAAGAATAAAACTGGAGATTAATGGATTTTCTTCAGCTGAAGAGTATTCAACTTAAAACCCCTAAACCCTCCTTCTAGGGATAATGCTGACATATTTGTTTACACTTGAAAGTAGTGAAGAAGCAGGGCAATTGCATACCTTAGACTAGCCTTGTTCAGTGCAAGCATAATTCGAGCCATGTTTCTAATTTCAGTGTCCTTGTAGCCACACAAAGTTTAAAAAAAAAAAGGAAAGTTAATTTAAATAATATATATAATTTCACCCAATATATGCAAAATATTATCATTTCAGCATGTAACCAATATAAAAATTTATTAATGAAATAGTTTACATTCATTTTTTTCTTACTAATCTTCAAAATCCACTGTGTGTTTTATACTTAGAGCACATCTCTATTCAAATGCTAAAATACTTTTTCGAAATACTTGATTTAGATTTAGATCTAATAAAACTTACACTTGAAACATGATCAAGTTGTTTCAGACATACTTAGAAGTTCTCCTAAAACAGAAATGCGACTCCATTTTTAAATTAAATTAAAAATTCAGTTCTCAATGGCATTCATCACATTTCAAGTACACAGTAGCCACATGTGGCTAATGTTACCTTATGTGACAGCCTAGACAGGGCCCTATCATAATCTCTGCGTCATTTGACTGCCACCTACCTCCATCGTTAGGAGAATACTTCTTCAGCCCAAAGTACCAGATTATTTTAGCACAGAGAGCTTAGGGAAAGGTCATCAGAGTTGATCAATTAAATGGTAAGTTAAAAGAGTTTCCTTTGGGTGGGACAGATGAAGGGGGCATGTGGAGGTTATTGAAAAGAAGGAATGAGGATTGCATGGTTTTGGAAGGTTGAAAGAGAAGCGAAAGATTAGATATCTCTCGACCCACATTAAAAGCTATTGTCATATCTTCAGAGTAAATATAGATATAAAATATTTGATACATATAGCATTTCTGAAGCCCTAGCTCTCTGTGACTAAGCCATACATTCTTACATTCTTTACCTGTAGGCAATATACAGGAACATGATATGCCCCCACTTCCAAGAAGTTTTAGTCTAAGAAAACCTAATTTTTGAAAATAAAACAAACTATTTTTACCTCTCTAAAAGGACTTTGCAATGAGATCAACTACAGGATTTCTTCAAACATCCAGCCCCCTGTTATATTTAGAATGTGATTAGATTAATGGGAAAAGGAAATATTGACAACCAACTTTTCAAGAACACACCTACTGCCGAAAGCAAAGGGCACCTGTTGTTGATCTTATCTTTTGAATGTCAATTTTAAAAGTTGTTTTCATAGCTGAGGCTTTGCTTATAGAATGGTTCCACCCAATGCTTTTGGGCTTAAGACTATGGAAATGCCAGTTGAGGGCATGATTACTTAAAAGTATTGTGCCTTGGGCCTCAGTGTCTGGATAATTGCCTCCATTCTCTACTCTCTAGACCCATTTTGACATCTGTGAGTATATATTCTGCCAGATAAATAATTTCTTATACCAAATGTTGACATTATATCATTTTGAATTAAGCCTTCTATGTATACTGAAATTTCCCACCCTGTATAATTCTGTCTGAATTTTAAAAGTATCTTATTTGCACATTTCCTTTACATTCATCCACATCTAGACCATCTATTGGGATAAACATGAGACGTTCAAGGACCGAGTTGATGTGCCTCACTTTGGACGCCTGGCACGGAGGGGCTTCAAGAAAGATATCTTTATAGGACAGGAGAGTGAGAGGGAAAGTGCTTAAAAGAAGGCTTGGCATGGCTGAAGTCATTTGTTAAAGAAGTTGAAGAAGGAAACCAGAAGAAAGGCCAATGAATCCAGAAGACAATTATTGGCAAAGCAAGAAGAACACATACTTCCCAATCTACCTACACCCTTAGTTGTCCTTAAGTTAAGGTGTTCAATTTCAGGTCAGCCGAAGATCAGCAGCAAAGCCAGGCATGGTGGGCAAGGTAGAGGGGCCAGGCAGGAAGTAAGATGAGAGGTGAAATTAACCCACTCACTGCCATTCCTTAGGAGAATATCCAGTCATTTAGCCCAAAGCACCAGATTTTTCAGACAGATGTTGCTTGAGGCAAGTTACAAGACACAAACGATTCAGGCAGTGAGTTGTCCATTGATTTCCAGACATGGATACTGTGCATTTTCTCAATCCCCACAGTGTAACCTGGAAAAGCCGTATGTGTTTCTTACAGGGAACTGGGGGCTCTTTCTGCTAAACTCATACAAGCAGATGAATTATGGTGCAGCAGGTGGGGAGAAAATGCAGCAGGTGCCAAAAGTATGGGGCCCATAGTTCCAAATCCTGCTGACATGCTACACCCCACCCCATCCCTTAAGCCTTTGCCAGGCTTCCCTGCATAGATACTGGAAAAAGAATAAAATGATCTGACTGGGGTTGGGAGTCACAATAATTAGAGATGTTTGCTAATCAGGGTAGAGATGGAGAAAGAAGAAAAAGTGGCTTCATGGTGCCTCCCAATCTAGGTAGGGTTTCCATAAGGAGAATATTGCATTGTTGTCTATTAATGTAGGCAACTATACACAAGCAATGGCATTCATTATAACCAGATGAAAGGGGGGTTAGACAGGCAGTTTGGGAAAAAAATAAAAAAGACAATTTATCTGGGAGCGAAAAGAGCTGTTTTTGGTCTTGGCCATGCTGCAGACCAGCTCTGTTGCCTTCAGCAAGTCATTTCCCCTCTTGCCTTCAATAGCCTCACCTTATAATATAATGATATAATAGGCTACATGACATATTTTCTACTTTTTGCAATCATGGGATTTTAGAGACATTTATTAGAGATATTAACTTGGTTCATCTTCATAACAACCCTATGGGGCAAGTAGTATTATTATCCCCATTTTACAGATGAAGAAACAAAAGCACAGAGATTTAGAAAGTTGCCTAGGGTCACTCAGCTAGTAAGTGGCAGAGACATAATTCAAACCCAGTGTGGCTCCAGAGTCCATGCTCTTACCAGTGCACCACTATGCCTGGTTCTCAAGGAAAAGGACAGTCAGTCAGGGGACACACATTCTGCTCATGGTCCGAAGAAGACGCAGCTCAGGGACTACTGTGGAGGGCCAAATGGTCAAAGCATGGAAGAGCCATCTCAGGCTGTTCTGCAGGCAGAGTTCGAGGGATAGAACATATAGTTTCTCAAAGCATCCTGCAAGGGCCACCTCCATCAGAATCACCTGCAGAGCTCCTTTAACATGCAGATTCCTGGGACGTACTGCATCAATCTCTGTGAGGTGGGGCTTAGCATCCTTCATTTAGACGGGTCCTCCAGGGACTTTGGTGCTTCCTTGAGTGTGAGAACCACTGGGGTAGTGTCTAAGAGGAAAATGGACTTCACTTGAAGTCAAAGAGTGAACTCAAAGCCTTGCTTCTCCCAAAAAAGGACCCCGAGGAAATAGTTGAATGTCGAACTTGACTTGCAGCAACTAGGAAGTCTTGGGAATAGAAAGGACAGTGCATAATGATGTTGGTGCTCAGAGAAGCAGTCTGCATAGGCTCTGCAATAGGAAGAAACTAGTAAGTCAGGACTCTGGTGTGGATTAAACCACTCTCGGAGGACCAGGTGTGTAACTCATATCTGCTGCAGCACCAAGGGAACTCAGGTGATAAAGTTATTGTGAACTTCACAGCAGCAGGCTGGGTGCTGGATTTAAAATCCTATCCAAGAAGTGAAAGCAGACAGAGGAGTTCCAAATCAGAGGAGTCCCATCTCCAGGAGAGAACAATTTTCCTCCCCCAGATTATTTTACTTTCCCCAGGAGTTATTGGTTGGCACTTACTTAAAAAAAAAAAAAAATTGCAGCAGGAAGAGTCTGAAGTCTTATCTCCTTGGAGTCATTGACTCTCCATCTCCTGGAGACAAGGCTTCACACCTTGGGGCAGTGAATAGAGGCTTTTGTTTTAACTGGATATGAAGCCCATGTCACAATGTAAGTTGTGACAATGACTGTAGCACCCCAGCAAATCACTCCACCATTTGAGGCCTTTGGTTCTCCATGTATAAAATAAAAGTGTGAGAGGTGGTTCTCTCTAGGTTTCTTCTATCTATAGGACTGTGTGGGTCTAAGTAGTGAGAGCCTCTAGCAGGGATAAAGCAACTGTCCAACTTCAGAGGAATCCAGTTCCACAGATATTCCCTGAGTTGCTACTATGGTAAAGCAATGCCTCTACTAGGCTGACCTTGAGATCCTGAGGGATGTGAGGACAAGAAGACAGCACTGGGCTTTCAGATGTGCCTCTTTCTTCCATATTTCAGAGTAATTGCCTCTAGGACTTTGGGAGGAGAGGGCTGCACTACTGGCAAAGCCTTTCATTCTTATTGGGGCAGAAGTGAAGTCAGACCCTACAGAGTTAGGGGCACCAGAACTCTCAAAGAGAGGTTCCCTAACTTCCACACACAAACCCCCACTGGGATCAGGTCAAGGACCCCATGAGTGTTTCGAAGCACCTACGAAGGGCTAGGGAACCCATGGAGTGTTGGGTCAGGCCTGAGAAACAGAAAGCAAAACTGTGGGATCGCAAACTGTTTAGTCTATTGCTGAGCTTCCTAGCCATGCACAGCACAGTTTAAGGGAAACAAGTTGTGCAAACGGGGAGAAAACAAAACACCTTTCACACGGGAAAATGACAGCCCAAGATATACACTCTTTACTCCAGGCTCCTATGTCCAAAACATCCGGGTGAGGGAGCGAACATGTTCATCTCACAAACATCATTCCACAAATAGCCTGAGGCCCACCAGGGGCAGGAGTCTCTTCTTCCAGCTCTGCTCACCTATTCACGGGCCTTGCCTGCCCCAATATTCTCCAGTGTTTTGGGGTTTGGGGCTGAAAGGGAAAAGGTAGAGGTGTACTTGTTTTGGATCACCATGCCATAGGATGCTGTCTCTGAGTAATGGCTTCAATTCTTGACTTTTTGAGATATTTCTCCATTGGCAGGTTGAGATAGCACCAGAGAAACAACTTCATTTGCCCAATATTTATGTTGTTAAATTTTGACAGAGCCCCTCTGTTATACACTAGAGTTTCTTTTCTTGGAGTGTAATGTCTGAAAAGAAAAGCAGACTGTTTGGAATCTTGAGAGCTTCTGGGTATCTCCTAATGCCCCCCCACCACCACTTTAAAAACCCCACACACTTCACTCCCTTTTCTTGTGCACAAAGTCAGGATTTCTCTCTATGAGGTGTTTTGTTTGTTTGTTTTTTGCCACATCTTTCAACATGTGTGGCGACTCCAACCTCCCAGCTCCTCTTCCTAAAGCAACAACAAATATGTGGACACCCAGAATGCACCATTCCCTCCCCACCCTAAACTTGGACTATCTCCCAAGGGGTCTGCAGCATTGTCTACTGTGTCAGTCTTTCAGCAGTTGACAAAACAGAGAAGACACAATGGTGGAAGCCGTGTTCTTTCAGAACTCTGTTGGAGCCCTGGAGAGAGACCCTGCCCTTTCGAGGATGGGGTTGGAAAGTCCTTTCTCAAAAGTGGGCTAAGAACAGGCAGGGAGGCAGGTCTAGAGCTTTGAAGGAAGAGGAAAAGGTGGATAAACAACGGTAAAATGTAAATGAAAGGAAAGAAGAAGAGACATTTTCAAAAATATACCCAAACAAGGAAAACAGAGGAGTTGACTCTGTTTGCTTAAGTCCTTGGAAAAAGGAGCATGTAGAATTATACACATCCAGGCTCTGGGAAATCTGTCCTCAGCACAGCAGTGTGTCAAGAAACTGCCTAATGCACACAGCTGATCAGTACTCTTCAAGCTAAAATGAACCAACTAGTCAATTAATCAATATAAATCATTTTGTTCCACAATAGCTGGATGTAGAACTGAATGCTCAGGGTGATGGTTACAAGCACCTAGATCATTTTTCACCTGGGTAGACATCATCATAGGCTTGTACCATCTCTCGTGCCACCTCCACTCTTGGCATCCAATTATAGCCAAAGATTCCTCCAAGTCAGCTAACTGCACAGCTGGGCCACCACAGACAGCCTCCAGTTTTTACCTATGACACCCCATAATCAAATCTGACTCCCAGAAATCCTGGCTGAGCCAGGAAAAGGGTTTGTTGACATACATCTGCCTGAAGAGCACGCAACATGTTTCACCAAGTCACAACAGCATCTATCAGCGGATACGCATGATGTGCACCAGGCAGTCTCAAGAAACCTCTGAATGAAAGAAAACTTTTAAAAATGAAAGTAACAAATAAGACAACAAAAAGCAAAACCCAGAGATGCTTCAATGAGAAGATGCAGAAACCGATGAAAGTTTAAAGATGGAAAAGAGGGTTCTTTACCCCGGCGACTGTGGCTGCTGCCTGGAGGAAAAGGTCTGGTTAATGCCTTCCCAAGGTCCCTTCCTGTCCTGGGATTTTCACTCTCTGATTACTTTTCCAGAAGAGAGGCAATACGGACAGCATAACCGGGAAGGGCTCACAAAGAAGGGTGGGTAGAGAAAGTGAAAAGGAAAAAAAGCAATAAAACATTTCCTGATCCGACAAGAAGCACGTGTGCTAGGGTGTGGTGGAGAAGGAGAGAACCTGTCATCTAAGTGCTGAGTAAAGATTCAAGGTCATTTCTGGATTTGTCCAAACAACCTCTCTGGGCACTTCTTGGCCCATGGCAGATTGGGGCCTTTGGGTTTTGGCAAAGACAAAAATATCAGGAATTCAGTAAAAATCTTTCCAGTTTCTGAGAGAGAAAGGAGATGAAGAAGGCTGAATTTCTTGGGGTGGCTGCCAAGGGTGAGGCTCATGAAGAAAAAAGAGAGGAGGAGATCGAGGAGAAGCTGCCTGTGAAAAGCAGGAGGTGGCCCAAGCTCAGGAACGTGCAGACTGGAGCGGCCGGAGCATTTGGTGAGCACTGCGGAGGCAGTAGCCTCACCTGCGAGCAATCAGTCAACCTGGGGCTGAGATCCACCTGTCAGAATAGACATGGACACCAGAGGAGCAGTGGCTTTCACGTTCACTGGTGACTCCATGAGCCCACCAGACAACAGGCCCTGAAGGCTGAGGGTGGTTCAGAATCCAGAAGAAAAGCAGCTCCACTGTACTGCCCTGGACCCTGGTCAGCCTTAACACAGGCTGTGATCATCTCAAACCTTTCGAGACCTTTATCCATAAGAAAATAAGAGGAAATTTTATTTCAAAGTAGCATGAAGTGATATGCCAACTCACTTGAACAGCATGACTATTTTCTGGTTCTGTTTTGTAGTTACTTTTCACGTGGAGGCCCCATCTGCAAAATAGGACAAAGGAAAACTCACTGAGACCAAGTCTGGGATTCTGAACCCCAGACCACTTTCTTCCTCCTTCCCTCAAACACACTCACTCTCTCTCACTCTCTTCTCTTTCTCTCTCTCTTTTTTCTCTTTCTTTCTCTCTCTCTCTCTCAGGTCCTGGGGCACTCTGGACACAGTCTGAAAACCATTGAGGTACAGCAAGTACCACAGAATGGAATTAGACAAGCCTGGGTTTAAGTGACAATGCTACCATTTAATTACCTGTGTGACCTCAGCTTAACTGCTACATCTCTTTGTACTTTAGTTTCCCCATTTGTAAAGTACAGCAGGTAATGCCTACCTCATCAGCTTCTTGTGAAAATTAAGTATTTTTCAAATATGGCTTACATTTTATAAATATGGCTCACAGTAGGTACTTTGACAATCATTCCCCTTTGGGTAAATAATCTTATTATCAATGAAGTCCCAATAATACTGGCTCCAGGTGGCTTATATTTGATGTAAAGATTTATTCTTATTAGCTTTAAATCAGCATAAAAGTTAATTGTTCTGAATATCTTCATGTTTGTGCTATGGATTCTGAAGCTCCATCCCAGAATCCTCTAATCTGTGGTATACAAACCAGTCAAAACGTAGAGAAAAAAATTAATCCCCAATAGTTGATCTATGGATTCAATGCAGTCCCAACCAAAACCCAAGCAGACTTTTTTGGTAGAAATTGAACAAATTGATTCTAAATTTTGTATGTAAACACAAAACAACTTAGAAGCAAAAATAAAGTTGGAGGACTTAAAATATCTGATGTCAAGATTTACTAAAAAGCTACAGTAATCAAGAGAGTAAAGTATTGGCGCAAAGAGAGGCACATAGATTAGCAGAACAGAATGTCAAGTCCCAAAACAGACTCCACGTTTATGGTCTGTTGATTTTCAACAAAGATGGAAAGGCAATTAGGCATAGAAAAGATGTCTTTCTATGAATTTGTTTTGGAATAGATGGAGTTCTGCTAATCAAAAGGACCTCATAATTACTGTACAGCTTAGCCTTTTAATCTGCATGGACCTCAGCTTCCACTGTCTTTGTAATGAAGAGAACTAACCACATTTAGGATCTATCGAGGACTTGAGGGCATTTCTCTAGAACCACGCCCCAGCACTCCAGTGTCCTGCAAGTCAGTGATGCCGCTGTGCTTGATCCTGCACATGGCTCCACTGCCCTGTGGATTCATGCTCTGAGCTGCTCCTCTGGTCAAGGATTTAGAGCTGAACAGATTTGTCCACACCTTATTCCCCCATCCCCACAGAGACCATAACTGTGTGCCGTGTGCATTGTAAGACATCTGGTCAGTACTTAGAGCATGGACTGTGGCCACAGAACAGGGCAAAGCTGAATGGCCACACACAGGGTCTGAGGCCCTGACCATGTCTCCTTAGCTTAAAGAGGGGGCAGCCAAATTAACCACAGCCTGATGTATGCTAATGGTAACCTTGTGCTTCAGAGCAGAAGGCAGAGCCATGGGGGTGACACAAACTCCAACAAGCACCAGGGTCAAGTAGAAGCTAACTGACCCAGGAGAGAAAATAATTCTGTCAAGTTAAGTAATTTGCTGGTGTTCTCTGCTAACTCACATCTGCGTCCTGGGTCTCCTTAGCTCTTCCTTGAAAAAGCAATGAATGTTTTCTAACTGTAGCTACCCCTAGTTCTTCAGCATGTCTGTGGCTGGCTGCTTGCCACCCAGGCATGAGAGGATGCTGTCCTCTGGGAGTCCCAGCCTTGTGGTAAAGAATGCAGGCTGAGAAAGACTGTAAGATTCATATTCAGGATCTTCCACTTGGTGGGCAACCCTAAGAAACTCATTTAATCTTTATTAGCCTCCGTTTCCCCTTCTGTAATAGTACCTGCCTCACAGGGTTATTGTGAGAGATAAGTGAGATAGTTAAAGAAAGCCCATAGCACAGTGTTTGATACATAGTTAACACTCAGATATTATTAATAGTTATCACTATTAATGTTGTTGTTGTTACTATGTGCTTTTATGGTGACAAAATAGCTCATTCTTCAAAACGTAATTATCAGTATAGAAGAGGCTCCTGACCAGGGGCCAGCCTGGCTTGCATCCAAGGCAAAATCAGAGGCACTAAAAACTCTCAAATATGATGAAATCTAGGAGGAGCTGATCTGAAAAAGCAGCTGTATGTCACATGATCACAAAGGAGATGCAGCAAGGAAATGTGACAATTTCCAGATGCTTAAATACAGGAGATAGACACTTACAGCTGGGCAAAGGAGGAGACAGAGATATAGTATCTGTGGGATCATGGCAGAGCAAGAAATAGGGAATAGTGGAACAGAGAGAAGCTCTCAAAATGGAAACAGATGGGCAGTTCAAGGGGAGCAAAGCCCAGGCTCTGAGTTTCCAAAGTGACTGGTTCAGAATGTGAGGGCTGGGAAGAAACGTGATGGAGGAGCCAAAGGCAGGCAAAACGTGGAGGCATAGCCAGCCAGTGCCATCCCTTCTTAACACATCTTTGCTGTTGAGGACCCTCGCAGTCTGTTTTGTGTTACACAAAGGAATGTATGAGGCAGGGTCATTTATAAAGAAGAGAGGTTTATTTGGCTCACAGTTCTGCAGACTGTACAAGAAGCACGGCAGCAGCATCTGCTTCTGATGAGGGCTTCAGAAAGCATCCAATCATTGCAGAAGGGGAAGGGGGGCCCAAGTGTCACATGGAGAGGAAAGGAGCAAAGGGGGAAGGTGCTACACTCTTTTAAACAACCATCTCTTATATAAACTAATAAAGCAAGAACTCAGTCATTACGAGGAAGACAGCACCCACCAAGCCATTCATGAGAAATCCACCCCCATGACCCAAACACCTCCCACCAGGCTCCATCTCCAACACTGGAGATCATTTCAGCATGAGATTTGGAGAGGACAAACATCCAAACTACATCAAGGACCAAAGAGAAAGACATAATAAATCCAAGATTTTGTAGGGCTGAAACCCAAAGTATACCGGATGCATACTAGGTGACTCCCCAAAATAGTGCCAGCTCAATCAAAAACCAAAAAAAAGTGGATTCTGAGGCAAATTGGAAAAACAAAACTATCCAGAATCCAAAACATTTGAAGACAGACCAATTTAGGGCTGACAGACGAAGAAGAGTGGAGAAAACACAGGGAAGTCAGGCAGTTTAGGGAGTGTTTTATACATCTAATTCTTAATAGGGTGGAGAGGGGTTTTGCTTTCACCAGAGAGTCAATAAGAAAACAAGAACATGGATGCTAATTTCACTACTGTACCTATTCTATCCCCCAAATTTTCTAAACTTCAATAATCAACAATCAGTTTGAGCTGGACACAAATAACGCGTGTGTGTGTGTATGTGTGTGTGATTGTATCAGACAACATGGGGGATACAAATGCTACCAGATAGACAAGAAGATGCCTGAGAGAAAGACCATTTCGCTGAATTGCCCATGGTTATGCCTGGAAGATTTCCCTCAAATGTGGGATAAAATGGAGAACCTCTCTTGCTGGGCTGGGTGCTTTAATGCCTCTGTTTTGTTACAGATTATATTATTCTTGCCCTGATAATTTTTCAAAGAAACCAAGAGTTGATTTGAAAACGAACCATTATCTTCTCTAGAGATCATAGCAATGGGTGTTCCAGCCTCATATTTGCACGGTACTTCCTGAAAATAGGAAAATGGGGAAATAACCTTGGAAGGGCCTTCTCAGCATTCTCTGATGTCATGAAAAATCCTATCTGCCTGGGAGATTCCTCAACCCTCAGGCTTATAAAGTTTTAGTTAAACTGCAATCAAACATGAGTAAAGTATATTTGTTGGAGACATAAAAGGAGATTTTATTACAAATCCAAAAGAAAAAGCTTTTTGAATTCTCCATGCATCAGGTTGTACCCTGCTCCCCAGCCCAACTCTCACTTTGATTGACAGGGTGGATGAGACCTTGTGATTCTAGTGAGCATCTCTGGAATGCATGGAGCTTTTCCCTTTTTGCATTCCTTGGCTCCAGACCCACTCTCTCCTTTCCTCCCATGGTCTCTCTGACATTGTACAACAGGATCTCATGTCCCACTTTCCTCCCTTCCCCTCAATTATCTCGTCCACCTTCAAGTTCTCCAACAGGTATGGTTTGTCAGATGGAGACTTAGCTACGAGTAAAAAGCTGTGCAATATTACTCTGTAACCATTTCTGTTCTTCCTCTAAAGTGCCCATGGCCTTGAGTGGATGAGTCCATTTTTTTCTCTTTCTACAGCTCTATTTATTCTCCACACACTCGCTCTACCCTCCATCATATGAGCATTGCACACAAGAACTAACAAAAGAGTCATGGAATTACACCAAGAGTCTGAGCAGCCGCAAGAAGCCCATCCTGTGTGGATCAGAGCAGCCTCTACTGGCCTGTGTGTAATGATGTTTTTCATACAGATGTAAGCTCCTCTATGGCCCTCTGTGGGCAATACCTAAAGACACTCACCAACGGAGGAGGTGTTAAAAATGGACCAGGAGGTCCCTTAATACAGGAAGGATGATCCTGGGGATTAAAAAATGTAGGAAGAGGGAAAAAAGAAATGGCAAGGAGGGGGAAAGGAGGTAGAATAGAAAGAAAAGAAAATGAGAAAAAATAAAGAAAATGGATAGAAAGAAAAAAAAGGGAAATAAGTTAAGAAGTGAATAATGCAATCATCAATAGAAAGCCTACTATTCGTTCATTCATTCCATCATTCATCAACAAGCGTGCTGAGTGCTGCTACGGACAATGTATTCTGTTAGAGACTTTGAGACACCTTATCTCATTTAATTCCCATAACAATCCCATGAGCTAGACATGATTCCCCTTTCACAGGTGATTAAACTGAGATCCAGAGAGTTTAAGAAGTGAGCCTAGTTAATACAGCTACAGGTAATGGAGCAGGTATTGAGACCCAGATCTGCCCAGCTTCACTACTTTGGGTTTTGTGTCACAGAACTTCCATGCCAATCATTCTATTTACCAAATATTTTTAAAATCTCAGGATAATGAACAGTGACAAATCCAGATTTGTTAATCTCTTCCTGATATAAACAAGTGACTCTTGATCCCCCCATCCCCATGATTAAGGTAGCTTTAGATTCTAATTACTAAGACACTTGCCCTCAAGGCCTGAACATATTGCATCTGAGACATTCCGTTATTAGGACTATGCAGGACTACCTGGTCTGTGATTCCAACCTCAAGGATTATTATCAGGAACAGGTGTCTCTCCTGGCCCTCCAAGATCACCCAGTCACTTGAATTCTCTGTCCTCTTTAAATGCAGGAAACTGAAAGAATTCCTTGTTTCCTTCCTCTCTCCTCCTACTTTTCCATCCTCCTCAACCCAGAATCCATTCCCATCTCTCTAAAACCACACCCTGAGCCCAACTTTGTCCCTGCAATCATGTGGAAAGAAAGACTCTACCCCCTAGGGCCTGCCCTTTCACCAAAGCATTCAGAGGATGCCAGAATCAATAAGACGAAATGACCACTGAGTGTGTGCCATGGGCCACGCACCATCTACAGCACTTGACATGGCCCATCTCCTTGAACCCTAATGCTGCAAGGTATTAGTAATCCCATTTTGCATATGAGAAAATTGATACTATTTTCATAAGAAATTGATAGGAAAACAAATACTATTTCCTAAGGTCACATAGATAGTAACTAGTGGAGTTGAGACAGGAACCCAAGTGGTCTGATTTTAAGTTGTTTCCTTTACTGCCAAACCAGACGATATCCAAAAGTAAGCATGAAGATGATGGGAGTGTGGGGGCTGGGAAAACCTAGGCTCAAGAAAGGCTGGCTGTCATTGTTAGGAGAGGCAGTACACAGCAAGTTTGAGAAGGCTCCCAGTAGCCTCTAAGAGGCCTCATGATGACAAAGTGTAGTGACCTCGCATCCTGCAGTCTGTCCCATCTTCTTCCACGATTTGACGAGCCCCAGAGTAGATACCACCCAGCCATTTTGCACATCTCAGGCCAATTTCCACCAAAGGCTAGAAGAAAACCTGTGTGAAAAGAACAACTGTGATGACCTTTTAGCAAGTGGAAACTAAGGAGAGAGCAAACGAGAACAAAAGAAAGAAAGAAAGAGAAAGGGTGTGTGTGTTTTCCTTAAGGCTGGGAAGGGACCCAAGGAACCTTGAGATGTAATGGGATACAGCACAGATTACAAAAGTTTTGTTACAGCTGTAACAGCCTTTCACAAAGGCATGGCCCTCCAGAGAGCCATATTTCATCTCTGCTGTCCCCACCACATAAGACAGAGGGTGAGGAGCTGGAAGGCAAGATTGGAAACTCATGCCGCAGCAGAACAAGCTCTGACATCCCCGTGACACTCCCATCAAACCCAAGTGAACTGGACCCAAATGCTCTTGTCATAACAGGCTTTGGATCTCATCCCTGTCATCTGTTTATTTATTATTTTTCTTCTTCACACTCTCCTTTTTGGAAACACATTGCCTAGCAACCTGCTGTCTTATTCTAAACAACCAGGCACACAACTGTACACACGCACTTAGAGATAGTGCGATAATATTTGAGTGTCTCCGATGGCCTTGCTAGGACCAACAGATCATTTACTTGGAAGAGCTGGTTCCTAGAATTTGGGTTAGTCAGAGCTGCATCTTAGACAGTCCCCGTGACCTGTCATTAGCCCCATGGGAGACGGGCATCTCTCCACCTAATGGTGGGCTGGTAGTGACAGCCCCAGAGGGTTTCATGAGAGGAGGGCACCAGCATTGCTCGGGTGGAGAATCTCACAAGATCCCTCAGGCAGATAAGTCTTTTGGATCAGTGGCCTGTCAGCTACCCGAGAATGTTCTGAAGGCTCTGATTTGCCTCAAAGCTGGAAAAAACTCACTAGGGTCATTTTCCTGTTCAAAGATATAAAGGGCAAGCCTCGCTTCCCTTGGATTCCCTTAATGTTCTATTTGGTTGGTGCAAAAGTAATTACTTTTGTACCAACCTAATACCATGCCTCTTGCAGCTGCTCCTTGAAGAGCTACTCTCTGAATTTAGGGTGGAGAAACTGGTGCCCCGAGCAGAGGCTGCTACTCTGACATGTCTCTGTCAACCGGGAGGGCCGCATGACATGGATCTATATCCTAAAAGATTCAGATCTATAGTAGAAAAGGAGTCTTGCTTTGTTGTCTAGGCTGATCTCAAACTCCTGGCCTCAAGGAATCCTCCTGCCTCAGCCTCCCAAAGTATTTAACCCTTTTATTGCAAAATAAAACACACTTATAGAAAGCCACACAAAATAAACATATAACTTAATGGATTATTATAAGATGCACTGTATTATAGTCAACTCTGGGGCAATGAAATAGATCCCTCTGGTGTCCCATCTCAATCTCAATGCTTCCTCACTCCCTGAAAGTGGACACTCTCCTGACTTACAGAATTGTCCCTTCTTTGCATCTCCTTATAGCTTTGGCACCAGGTGGGCATTTCTGGATGCACAGTGTAGCCTTGACCCTTTTAAAACACGGGATGTTGTTTTTTTTTTATCTCTTTTTATCTGCCTTTTTTGTTTCCTTTACAACTTTTTGTTTCCTTACAACTTCTCTATTGAGGGATCTGGGACATTTGGGCTGAGGATCTGAAATTGGGCAATTGAACAAAAAGACAGACAAATAAATGAACAGGCTGGGTTTCCACTTTGACTTCCCTCAGTTTATTTTCCAGGAGCTACTGGGGCAGGGGAGAGGAAAATTATGTGAATGGAGTGGAGTAGGTATTAGGAGAGTCAACGGGGCATTTGATAAGCATGTGACCGTGGTTTCCAGGCTCACAGGTGTGGCTGAGGGTCACCAGCCCGGCTCCCCGCCCCCGACAGTCCCTGAGCTTGGGCTTTAGCTTGGAGTGGTGGATGGGAAAGCTGCTATAGTCTCCCGGAGTGAAAAGCCCAAAGGCTTTATCCCTGTCAAGAGCAGATCTGACAAGACAAAGGCAGCCTGGTAACCAGAGAGCCAGTGGGGAGTTGGAACACCTGCCTGCCCTTCCGGCTTCTGAAAGCCTCCCTTCCCCACTCTGGGCCTCAGTTTCTCCCCTTGGCAACGTGCAGATGTGAGCATCCAACTTATGGAAGCATGCGGTCACGCATGTTTGCAGATCCCTGGCACCCCTGGGGAGGGAAGGCACCTGTGTAAACAGAGCAGCAAGGCATGATGTGCCTGGCGAATACATTCTATGGAAGGCGTCAGTCCCAGACCGCAGCCCTGAAGCTGCAGGGGGATGATGCGGGCTCTGTTTCTCCAGCTGCAGCTCCCACCTTCCCCTCTGCCACACCATTCTCTGGCCCACCCAGTTTTTTCTGTTGGGGGGCCCAGGCCAAGGACTAGGGCCATAGTAGAAAGCAGCAGTGACTCACTTTGGAAACTCTAATTTTAGTAAAATTCAGGTGAATGGTAAAAAAAATTAAAAATTTAAAAAATAAATTCCTCAAAAACACAAAGTGAGATTTTTTTTTTTTTTTTGAATCTCCAGGACCACTCTCTTCATCTTAAGCTTGTGTGCTTCTCTGGAAGAGGAGAGGGCCTGGGGTAAATATTGGTCCTCCCAATTCTGGGCTGGCTCTGACTTTTTCGGTGGTGCTTAGGAAAGAGTGATTCTAACCTTTTCTTCCAACTGCATACCAGCCAAGGAGCTCACGTCAACAGAGAAGAGTTTCTCAAGCTCTTTTTTCTTTTTTTTTTTTTGAGACTGGGTCTCACTCCATCTCCCAGGCTGGAGTGCAGTGGTGCAATCATAGTTCACTGCATGGTGCAATCATAGTTCACTGCAGCCTTGAACTCCTGGGCACAAGCAATCCTCTGCCAATGCCTCCTGACTAGCTAGGACTACATGCCACCATGCCAAGCTAATTATTTTTATTTTTGTAGAGACAGAGTCTCACTGTGTTGCCCAGGCTGGTCTCCAACTCCCAGCCTCAAGTGATTCTCCTGCCTCAGCCTCTCAAAGTGCTAGGATTATAGATGTTAGACACCACACCTAGCCTCAAGCTCACTTTTAACTTATATATATATTGGTATATATTTTCAGCAAGGAGAAGTAACTGCCCATTGTTTGAGGAAGTAACGTGCAGCTTGGGGTACGTGAGGTGGGAATCTGCATTTCCTTCAGTCAGCTCAAAACTGCTTGCCTTTCAAACTGTGAGTATTTTTGGCCAAGATATTGTTTTGCTCCATGTGATCCCAAACTCAGACTGACATAACATATTTCAGTAAGTTCAGATGACTAGCTTTTCTCTAAAATTGAAGCAGCTCACTGTTCCTTTAGTTGAAACTCTCAAAGTAATGGTCTTCAAAAATGCTGTCTTTGTAAGGAATTTTCAAGAACAATTTTGATGACATACTATCAAGCCAAAGTGTCTTCACCTAAATGTGTCTCTCTGTGCAGCTGACCCTTGGCTAGATTTGCTCTCCACTACAAATTCATTTACCAGATCCATTTATCTAGAGGATCTGGACCCTGGATCCTCTTGGTATCCAGGAGTTCCTAGGTGAATTATTATTATCTATAGACCACATAGGGGTGGAGACAACTGATGTGAATCCTTCAGAGAGTTTATATTATCTGGAAAATGGTTTCCACTTGGTGTTAATGGAAATATACTTAATCAGAGTGAAGAGGGAGAGTGAGGTCCCAAGTTTTTGGAGTAATGAAGGAGAGTAGGCCTGTTGATACTAAACAGGAGAAGATGAAGTGCTGAAAAGGATGGAGGGAATTTCAGCAGAAAAACATGGCCTTTAGAATTTTGCTCTCATCATTTCTCATTCCAGATCAGCTATGCCTCCTGGGGAACCCAGTCAGCTCTAATCTAGGCCACATGGGGAAGTCTACCATTTCCTGGGGACTTCAGGGAAACAGTAAGACCCCTGAACTAAGCATTCTTCTTTGGGAAACTTAAAAGATGCAATGAATTAAAATCCTCCATTCTAGAAATATGGAGCTGAAAGCCAAGGGCTTGGTGGACTTGATTATGAGAATTTTTCAGGACTTGCTCAGTAGGACACATCCAGAAACCCAACACTATAAGCTTCAGAAAAGTTCACTGAGCCAATACCATAGATAAAGAACTTAACCAAATACCACAATGTCTGCCTAGTTCTCCCCCACATTTCAATTCCCTGTCCCAGTTTGTCAGGCCTTTTTGTGTGTCCTGGTTTTTTTTCCCCAGTTTTTCTGGGTTGTCATCTCTGTGCTTTTACTCTACGCGGCCCAAGGCTACCTGCTTGGATTTTCCCGTTCTTCCCCTTCTCATTCCCACCCTTTCTGCTGTTGGTCTTGGCCAGGGCCAGTTGTTGAGTTTCAGAAACTTCACGGCATTTTCCAGTGTTTCCTTCAAGGTGTCATTTTCCCTGCATGCCCTCTCCCCTTTTCAAATCTCTTTCTCAACTCTAGCTCCATCAATTTGAACTGCATGAGCAAGTTAGGCTACAAAGGAGTGACCAGGGTGAGAGTATGCATCAGCACCCATGAGAGAAGCTGAGTTCCTCTAAGCTGGCAATTTAGCAGATTGCCCAAGAGGAGAAATAGAAAAAAAATTTTTTAATTCTTAGAAACTAAACATTAAAGAAAAAACAAAAGACAGATGAGGTAAGAGTAACAGGAGAATGAAGAGAAGAGGCTAGTAAAGGGAGAAATCAAAAGAACTTATGAACCTATAGATCCAGCAGTCAAAAGTTCTCTTAAAAATAATAATAATAATAATAATAATAATAATAATAATAAAAAGATGGGATTCCCAGGCAAGATGGCCAAATAGGAACAGCTCCAGTCTGCAGCTCCCAGAGAGATCAATGCAGAAGGTGGGTGATTTCTGCATTTCCAACTGAGGTACCCAGTTCATCTTATTGGGACTGGTTAGACAGTGGGTGCAGCCCATGGAGGGCGGGCAGAAGCAAGATCGGGCATCGCCTCACTTGGGAAGTGCAAGGGATCAGGGAACTCCCTCCCTTAGCCAAGGGAAGCCATGAGGGACCCTGCCATGAGGGATGGTACTATCCAGCCCAGATACTATGCTTTGCCCATGGTCTTCACAACCCACAGACCAGGAGATTCCCTAGGGTGCCTATGCCACCAGGGCCCTGGATTTCAAGCACAAAACTGGGTGACCGTTTGGGCAGACACCAAGCTAGCTGCAGGAGATTTTTTTCATACCCCAGTGGTGCCTGGAACGCCAGTGAGACAGAACTGTTCACTCCCCTGGAAAGAGGGCTGAAGCCAGGAAACCAAAGGGTCTGGCTCAGTGGATCCCACTCCCAGGGAGCCCAGCAAGCTAAGATCCACTGGCTTGAAATGCCAGCACAGCAGTCTGAAGTGGACCTGGGATGCTCCAGCTTGCTGGGGAGAGGGACGTCCGCCATTACTGAGGCTTGAGTAGGCAGTTTTCCCCTCACAGTGTAAACAAAGTCACTGGGAAGTTCAGACTGGGCGGAGCCCACCACAGCACTGCAAAGCCACTGTAGTCAGACTGCCTCTCTAGATTCCTCGTCTCTGGGCAGGGCATCTCTGAAAGAAAGGCAGCAGCCCCAGTCAGGGGCTTATAGATAAAACTCCCATATCCCTGTGACAGAGCACCTTGGGGAAGGGGCGGCTGTGGGCACAGCTTCAGCAGACGTAAGTGTTCCTGCCTGGCAGCTCTGAAGAGAGCAGCAGATCTCTCAACACAGCACTCAAGCTCTGCTAAGGGGCAGACTGCTTCCTCAAGTGGGTCCCTGATCCCTGTGCCTCCTGATGGGGAGACACCTCCCAGCAGGGGTCGACAGACACCTCTTACGGGAGAGCTCCGGCTGGCATTTGGCAGGAGCCCTTCTGGGACAAAGCTTCCAGAGGAAGGAGCAGGCAGCAATCTTTGCTGTTCTGCAGCATCCGTTGGTGATATCCAGGCCAACAGCGTCTGGAATAGACCCCCAGCAAACTCCAGCAGACCTGTAGAAGAGGGGTCTGACTGTTAGAAGGAAAACTAACAAACAGAAAGCAATAGCATCAATATCAACAATAAGGATGAAAAACTCTATCCGAAGGTCACCAACAGCAAAGACCAAAGGTAGATAAATCCAGCAAGATGAGGAAAAACCAGTGCAAAAAGGCTGAAAATTCAAAAAACCAGAATGCCTCTTCTACTCCAAAGGATCACAACTCCTCTCCAGCAAGGGAACAAAACTGGATGGAGAATGAGTTTGATGAACTGACATAAGTAGGCTTCAGAAGGTGGGTAATAACAAACTCCTTCAAGCTAAAGCAGCATGTTCTAACCCAATGAAAGGAAGCGAAGAACCTTGATAAAAGGTTAGAGGAATTGCTAACTAGAATAACCAGCTTAGAGAAGAATATAAATGACCTGATGGAGCTGGAAAACACAGCACAAGAACTTTGTGAAGCATACACATACATCAATAGCCAAATCAATCAAGTGGAAGAAAAGATATCAGAGATTGAAGATCAACTTAATGAAATAAAGCATAAAGATAAGATTAGAGAAAAAGGAATGAAAATGAACGAACAAAGCCTCCAAGAAATATGGGACTATGTTAAAAGACCAAACCTATGTTTGATTGGTGTACCTGAAAGTGACAGGGAAAATGGAACCAAGTTGGAAAACACACATCAGGATATTATCCAGAACTTCCACAACCTAGCAAGACAGGCCAACATTCAAATTCAGGAAATACAGAGAACACCACAAAGATACTCCTTGGGAAGAGCAACCCCAAGACACATAATCGTCAGATTCACCCAGGTTGAAATAAAGGAAAAAATGTTAAGGGCAGCCAGAGAAAGGTCGGGTTACCCACAAAGGGAAGCCCATCAGACTAACATTGGATCTCTCTGCAGAAACCATACAAGCCAGAAGGGAGTGGAGGCCAGTATTCAACATTGTTAAAGAAAATAATTTTCAACCCAGAATTTCATATCCAGCCAAAGTAAGCTTTATAAGTGAAGGAGAAATAAAATCCTTTAGAGACAAGAAAATGCTGAGGGATTTTGTCACCACCAGGCCTACCTTACAAGAGCTCCTGAAGGAAGCACTAACTATGGAAAGGAAAAACCAGTACCAGCCACTGCAAAAACAAACTCAAATGTAAAGACCATTGATACTACGAAGAAACTGCCTCAACTAATGGGCAAAATAACTAGCTAGCATCATAATGACAGGATCAAATTCACACATAACAATATTAACCTTAAATGTAAATGGGCTAAATGCCCCAATTAAAAGGCACAGACTGGAAAACTGGATAAAGAGTCAAGACCCATCAGTGTGCTGTATTCAGAAGATCCATCTCATGTGCAAAGACACATATGCTCAAAATAAAGGGATGGAGGAAGATTTACCAAGCAAATGGAAAAAGCAGGGGTTGCAATCCTAGTCTCTGATAAAACAGACTTTAAAGCAACAAAGATAAAAAAAGACAAAGAAGGGCATTACATAATGGTAAAGGGATCAATGCAACAAGAAGAGCTAACTATGCTAAATATATATGCACCCAATACAGGAGCACACAGATTCATAAAGCAAGTTCTTGGAGACCTACAAAGAGACTTACACTCCCACAAAATAATAGTGGGAGACTTTAACACCCAACTGTCAATATTAGACTTATCAGTGAGACAGAAAATTAACAAGGATATTCAGGACTTGAATCCAGCTCTGGACCAAGCAGACCTAATAGACATCTACAGAACCCTCCATCCCAAATCAACAGAATGTACATTCTTCTCAGCACCACATAACACTTACTCTAAAATCGACCACATTATTGGAAGTAAAACACTCCTCAGCAAATGCAAAAGAAAGGAAATCATAACAAACAGTCTCTCAGACCACAGTGCAATCAAATTGGAACTCAGGATTAAGAAACTCACTCAAAACCACACAACCACCTGAAAACTAAAAAACCTGCTCCTGACTGACTACTGGGTAAATAACAAAATTAAGGCAGAAATAAATAAGTTCTTTGAAACCAATGAGAACAAAGACACAACGTACCACAGTCTCTGGGACACAGCTAAAACAGTGTTTAGAGGGAAATTTATAGCACTAAATGCCCACAGGAGAAAGTGGGAAAGATCTAAAATCGACACCCTAACAACACAATTAAAAGAACTAGAGAAGCAAGAGTGAACAAATTCAAAAGCTAGCAGAGACAAGAAATAACTAAAATCAGAGCAGAACTGATGGAGATAGAGACATGAAAAACCCTTCAAAAATTCAATAAATCCAGGAGCTGGTTTTTTGAAAAGACTAACAAAGTAGACCACCAGCCAGAATAATAAAGAAGAAAAGAGAGAAGAATCAAATAGACCACAAAAAAAAAAAATGATAAAGGGGAGATCACCACTGATCCCACAGAAATACAAACTACCATCAGAGAATAATATAAACACCTCTACACAAATAAACTAGAAAATCTAGAAGAAATGGATAAATTCCTAGACAAGTATACCCTCCCAAGACTAAACCAGGAAGAAGTTGAATCCCTAAATAGACCAATAACAAGTTCTGAAATTGAGGCAGTAATTAATAGCCTACCAACCAAAAAAGCCCAGGACCAGAAAGATTCACAGCCTAATTCTACCAGAGGTACAAAAAGGAGCTGGTACCATTCCTTCTGAAAATATTCCAAACAATAGAAAAAGAGGGACTCCTTCCTAGCTCATTTTATGAAGCCAGCATCATCCTTATACCAAAACCTGGCAGAGACACAACAACAACAAAAAATTTCAGGCCAATATCCCTGATGAACATCAATGGGGAAATCCTCAATAAAATACTGGCAAACCGAATCCAGCAGCACATCAAAAAGCTTATCCACCACAATCAAGTCGGCTTCATCCCTGGGATGCAAGGCTGGTTCAACATATGCAAATCAATACATGTGATCTATCACATAAACAGAACCAATGACAAAAACCACGTGATTATCTCAATAGGTGCAGAAAAGGCCTTTGATAAAATTCAACAGCCCTTCATGCTAAAAACACTCAATAAACTAGGCATTGGGGGAACATATCTCAAAATAATAAGAGCTATTTATGACAAACCCACAGCCAGTATCACACTGAATGGGCAAAAGCTGGAAGCATTCCCTTTGAAAACTGGCACAAGACAAGGATGCCCTCTCTCACCACTCATATTCAACATAGTATTGGAAGTTCTGGCCAGGGCAATCAGGCAAGAGAAAGAAATAAAGGGTATTCAAATAGGAAGAGAGGAAGTCAAACTGTCTCTGTTTGCAGATGACATGATTGTATATTTAGAAAACCCATCATCTCAGCCCAAAAACTCCTTAAGCTGATAAGCAACTTTAGCAAAGTCTCAGGATACAAAAACAATGTGCAAAAATCACAAGCATTCCTATACACCAATAATAGACAAACAGAGAGCCAAATCATGAATGAATTCCCTTTCATAATTGCTACAAAGAGAATAAAATACCTAGGAATACAACTTACAAAGGATGTGAAGGACCTCTTCAAGGAGAACTACAAACCACTGCTCAAGGAAATAAGAGAGGACACAAACAAATGGAAAAACATTCCATGCTTATAGATAGGAAGAATCAATATCGTGAAAATGGCCATACTGCCCAAAGTAATTTATAGATTCAATGCTATTCCCATCAAGCTACCACTGACTTTCTTCACAGAATTAGAAAAAAACAACTTTAAATTTCATACAGAACAAAAAAAGAGCTCATATAGCCAAGAGAATTTTAAGCAAAAAGAACAAAGTTGGAGGCATCATGCTACCTGACTTCAAACTATATTACAAGGCTATAGTAACCAAAACAGCATGGTGCTGGTACAAAAACAGATGTATAGACCAATGGAACAGAACAGAGGCCTCAGAAATAACACTACACATCTACAACCATCTGATCTTTGATAAAGCTGACAAAAACAAGCAATGGAGAAAGGATTCCCTACTTAATAAGTGGTGTTGAGAAAACTGGCTAGCCATACGCAGAAAACTGAAACTGGACCCCTTCCTTACACCTTATACAAAAATCAACTCGAGATGGATTAAAGATTTAAACTGAAGACCTAAAACCATAAAAACCCTAGAAGAAAACCTAGGCAATACCATTCAGGACATAGGCATGGGCAAAGACTTCATGACTAAAACACCAAAAGCAAGGCTGGGCACAGTGGCTCACGCCTGTAATCCTAGCACTTTGGGAGGCCAAGGCAGGCAGATCACTAGGTCAGGAGTTCAAGACCAGCCTGACCAACATTTTGAAAACTCGTCTCTACTAAAAATACAAAAAATTAGCCAGGCATGACGGTGCATGCTGGCAATCCCAGCTACTCAGGAGGCTGAGGCAGGAAAATCACTTGAACCCGGGAGGTAGAGGTTGTGGTGAGCCAAGATCGCACCATTGCACTCCAGCCTAGGCAACAAGAGCGAAACTCTCTCAAAAAAAAAAAAAAAAAAAAAGCAATTGCAACAAAAGCTAAAATTGACAAATGGGATGTAATTAAACTAAAGAGCTTCTGCACAGCAAAAGAAACTACCATCAGAGTGAACAGGCAACCTACAGAATGGGAGAAATATTTTGCAATCTATTCATCTGACAAAGGGCTAATATCCAGAATCTACAAGGAACTTAAATAAATTTACAAGAAAAAAACAAACAACCCCATCAAATAGTGGGCGATGGATATGAACACACACTTTTCAAAAGAAGACATTTATGAGACCAACAAACATATGAAAAAAAGCTCATCATCACTTGTCATTAGAGAAATGCAAATCAAAACCACAGGGAGATACCATCTCATGCCAGTTAGAATGGCGACCATTAAAAAGTCAGGAAACAGCAGATGCTGGAGAAGATGTGGAGAAACAGGAACGCTTTTACACCGTTGGTGGGAATGTAAATTAGTTCAACCATTGTGGGAGACAGTGTGGTGATTCCTCAAGGACTTAGAACTAGAAATAGCATTTGACCCAGCCATCCCATTACTGGGTATATACCCAAAGGATTATAAATCATTCTACTATAAAGACACAAACACATATGTTTATTGCAGCACTATTTACAATAGCAAAGACATGGAGCCAACCCAAATGCCCATCAATGTTAGACTGGATAAAAAAATGTGGCACATATACACCAAGGAATTCTACGCAGCCATAAAAAAGAATGAGTTCATGTCCTTTGCAGGGACATGGATGAAGCTGGAAACCATCTTTCTCAGCAAACTAACACAGGAACAGAAAAGCAAACACTGCGTGTTCTCACTCATAAGTGGGAGTTGAACAATGAGAACACATGGGCACAGGGAGGGGGACATCACACTCCAGGGCCTGTTGGGGGTTTGGGGCAAGGGAGGGGATAGCATCAGGAGAAATACCTAATGTAGATTATGGGTTGATGGGTGCAGCAAACCACCATGGCACATGTATACCTGTGTAACAAAACTGCACGTTCTGCACATGTGTACCAGAACTTAAAGTGTAATTAAAAAAAAGAAAAAGGGGTTGGGGGGCTGGGAGTGGTGGCTCACGCCTGTAATTCCAGCACTTTGGGAGGCTGAGGTGGGTGGATCACCTGAGGTGAGGAGTTTGAGACCAGCCTGACCAACATGGAGAAACTCTGTATCTACTAAAAATACAGAATTAACCGCGCAAGGTGGCACATGCCTGTAACCCCAGCTACTCGGGAGGCTGAATCACTTGAACCCGGGAGGCGGAGGTTGCCACAAGCCGAGAGTGCCGTGAGCACTCCAGCCTGGACAACAAGAGGGAAAATCCATCTATTTAAAACAAAAAACAAACAAAAAAAAAACAGACAAACAAACAAAAAAAAAGCAGTGGAAAAGAGGCGTCATCTGTCCAAGCTTTAAAGTTATCTTCAAAATTCAGGGTAGATGTTTCTATGCCCTACTCAGCTGACACAGCTCAGACAGAGGTTTGATTTGATCAATCCTATTTGAAATTTGGACCTTCTCCTGTCCACCAAGAATGTAAGTTGTGTATCATCTTTCCTGGAAGTCTTTCAAAAGTGGTGAGACCTCTAGTTTCCTGGGTTATGCTGAGAGGGGGATTAAGCATCTGGACTTCTGAGAGACCTGCCTGTGTGAGGAGCCTGAAGGGAGACTGCAAGACCATCACCCTTCCCATCCGCCTAGAGCCTTTGCTAAACTGGAGAAGGGGTGTAATATTCTGAGTTTAAGAAAGCAGACTTTCTTTTTTAAAAAAAAGCCCCCACTTTTCCATGGCACAGGGTGCATTTGGGGTCTAGACCAGATTGAATATTATCCCCCAAAATCTATATCCACCTAGAACCTGTAACTGTGACCTTATGGAGAAACAGGGGTTTTATAGATGTAATCAAGTCAGGATGAGGCCATACTCTATTAAGGTGGGCGTTAAATCCAATATGGCTGGTATCCTTATAAGAGGGAACTTCAGACAGAGAGATGCAGACACACAGGAGAGACATCCATGTGAAGACAGAGGCAGAGACTGGAGTGATGCAGCTATGAGCCAAGAACACTGAGGATGCCAGCAGCCATGAGAAGCTGGAAGAGACAAGGAAGGATCCTCCCCTGGAGCCTTCAGACAGAGGATGGCTCTGGCAACACCTTTTGATTTTACAGTTCTGACCTCCAGAATTGGGAGAGCATAACTTCTGTTGTTTTAAGCCACTCGGTTTGTGGTACTTTGTTATGGCAGCCCCAGAAAACTAATACAGCTTCTGATGTCTCTGTGTGGGCTGTACTAAGACAGGGGGCATTGAGACTTGCCTGGCCGTTGTCTGTGGACAGCATCCTGGCAGCACCTAAGTCAAGATCCCTGAGGCCCACCGAGCCATCGTTCTGCTCTGGGTCGCCCCTCATGGCCTCACCCCCTACTGTCTTGCCTTTCATTAAACATGCCCTTGTGAGCAATTGCCTGATTTTATGTCTGTTGCCTTTTAGCGCTGTGTTTTATTTTGGTTTCACATAAATATAGAAGCCCATTTGGAGAGAAGCCTGCCTTGGCAAGGAGGCTTTTGGCAGTTCTGACAGCTCTGCATATCTCTCAAATGAGTTATGAGTGGATGGGGACTGGGAACTGGGGTCTGGGCCTCAGCCACCGCGCCCCTGAGCCCCCACGGTCCTCCCAAAGAAAGCGACCCAACAATTCCCCCATCTTCCTTTCTTTTCCAGGAACAGATAGCCACTTGGCCAGAGCATGACGAAGGAGAGGCTGTCATACACATCCCCCTAAGCTCCCTACTCCTCACAAAATATTTCTTAGATGGTGGTGCAGAGTGTTCAAGCTGCTGTTCTTTGTTCATCAGAAGAGTTCTGAGAAATCTGGCACAGCCTGGTTTGGGGCTACTGGTTCATGGCTAGAAGAGAGGCACATGCCAGACACGTGCTGAGAAATTTTCCCAGGAGACTTGAGAGACTACAGGTGAATGCAGGGGAGGGTCCCAGGCAGATGCCTGAACCAGCAGAGCAGGCCTGGCCCACAGAGATACTGACAGAGTCTCCAGTTCTTAGTGGAGTATTTTTAATCTCCCCACAATGGCTGCTATGCTCTCACTCTCCCAGGAACCCAGAAAATTGCTTCTTCTATAAGTAATAAATAAGGCTGGGAAATGCTGGCACTCCAGGCAAGCAGCAGGGCTGGAAAGAACCTGGGGATCCCTGAGGGCCAGTGGTCTCCAAACCAGGGCATGTGCACTTTAGGAATTGAGCAAGACAAGCCACTGGGGTGTGGGAAGGAAACATTAAAACTTCCAGCTATATTTATTTTGTTCTTAAAGGTAAAAATGAGTTTTACTAATAGTTAACACAAGGATAGAGAGTAGTAAGTCTACATGATTTATCAAAATGCTTGTATTGGGTATGAGCCTCTTAATATTAATTTTGGTTAATTTTGCATCCTAATTGTTAAAACTTGTAGAGTCCACCCTTCTAGTCCAGAGGTTTTCAAAAGGTGTGCTGGGCAGCAGAAGGGAGAGGAAGTCCTGAGTAAGTGAGTGGTCTATTTATTCCCTTCTGGGCCTTATCAGTCAATTCAGCTCTGCCTCTATATGTCCTGTATCCTGAACTTCTGCATTATGATTTGTTTGATGAAAGGGTTCTACTGTTTAAAAAGTTGAACAAAATGACTGAACTATTTCAGCTCCCTTACTTTTCAGATGGGAAAACGAAGGCCCAGAGGAAAAGGGATTGCCCCAAGTCACACAAGTCATTAGAGCCAAGACTAAGTCTACAACCACCTTTCCTGACTCCTCATTCATTGTTTTCTGACTGAATCATGTGTTCTTCACAGCATGCACCCTGTTTGAGTGTCCATACATAACCTGAATAAATCAGAGGGAAAGGGGATGGGTGAGGTGGAGTCTCTCTTCCAGCAACAATCTGGAATCCCAAAAGGGGGCCTTGGCCTCTATGACTGTTCAAATGTAATCTTGCTGCCTGCCGAAGACACCTCCTGAGAGATAAGGCAACATGGTGCCCTGTGCTCAACGCCCATGCTAACAGTCTGGACCACTCAGTCAATCCCTATGCCATTCTACATTGTTTCTCACAGGTGAGGCTGGGTCTCATGTTCCTGGATCCCTGGGATATGAGGGGACACAAATCAGTAACTCCTCAGAGGCCTTCCTCATTGATATGCTCATTTTAAACAGGGAAAATAGCCCTCGCCTTTCTGATTTTAGGCTCCAGTAGTCACATGAAGTAATTTGTTTCCTTTTACAGCCATCAAATCACATACGTTGATCCCTTCTCCCACTCTCTGGCCTGTCATGCACTTGTTGCTACCAGCCCACTGCTCTCAAGCACTTCCAAACCCTTTATGCTTCCAGGGAGTTTCGTAACAGCAAGGCTTTAGGGGGAATAAAAAGAACTGGAAAACAGGTTATCTGCCTTTAAAAAAATGTATTTTACAGATTAAAATAAAACAAACAATAGCAGCAGAAAGAGAACATGAAAAATATAACTAGCAATGTAGAGCATGATATTGCTAACGAGTGAGTGCTATAGGAGTTGAGAATTCTCTCCTTCACATCAAACTCCTCGAGCGTAGAAAATGTGTCTTAAATCTATCTACCTAGTCCTTGGCAAATAGTGGATGCTTAATAAGTATGTTCATCCAATGAGTATTAATTCAGCAAATAAATAAATGAATAAATGGGCTGTTAAACAAATGAACATATCAGTGGGAAGAGAAGGGAGCTCATCTTGAGTGATCCAGGAAACTTCATTGTACAGAAAGGCTTTAAAGTATGTCTAAGATCAGAAGAAAAGAAGAGAACATGTTTCAGGTGGTGAAAAAGAACGGAGGCAGAAGGTTATGGAACAAGAGAACTACTCTGCTATTGTTGGGTGCTAGTAGATTTGAAAGTTAAATAGTAGGGCCAGATTGGTAGTCTGAAATGAAAAACTTAGAAGCATGTTTTTTCCTGCAAATCTAAATTACCACAAGTCAGTAAACAAGAGAAACGTATAACAACAGCAGTGTTTTAGGGAAGGTGAGGGCAGTGATGTGAAGAGGGCAGTGATGTGAAGAGTGCACTAGAGAACGGAGGAAGAGATGATGCATCTTCTTCCTTATAAATCCTCTCCCTCCACTAGAGTGTTTTCTCCCTGGTCTTCAGGCTGACTCTAGTCCAAGGTCCAAGGTAAGCCAAGAAGTGCAGTGCTTAAAGCAATGTCCTCTTTCTCTACCACCTGTCCATGGACCATCTTCCTTTTCCCTGTGTTTCCTGTATGGTTCAGTATGATACAGTGGCTAGATCTTCCCACTAAAACTGATCAATTCAATTTTTAAAACAGCCAAATTAGCTAAAAATGCTAGGTTTTTTTCAACTGACTTGCCTTGCCTTCCAATCAAATCAGCTCCAACAATTGGCCGTGGCTAATGCTAGTTGGTATAAGCTGTCCCCACTGCCTCTTCTTCATTCCTTCTGCCTCCGGTGCCATTGTCCAGCTCTGCTTCCATCTTTGCTTGCTTCCCTCTGTTGCTGTACACCTCCCTATCTCCTCTCTTTTGCTCAGAATTATGCCTTGTTTTTAGAATAGGGCTGTGATATGCGTGTTGTGCAACAGCAAGGCCATGTTCCTTAATCCAGCAATCTCACATTCCTCCTGGGAGTCCTTTTGGATATGTCAAAAAATTCTGGTCCAGAAACATGAATTATAACCCCTGTTTTCTCAAGGCCTTTGAGCAATTTTAGTGGAACCCAAGAATCTTGAACATACTCCATCACTTCCAAATAATGTTCTATGAAGGCACTTATACCCACCAGAAGGAATCTCCAGCAAAGTCTATTTACTTTGGCCACTCTGCCCAATATCTTTCTTCTATTTTTGTTAAAAATGATTAATATTTCTTTCTTTTTTTATCTGATACCATGTTAAAGCAGGAGATCTGTGCCAACAACATCATTGTATCTTTGCAGCATTATTTCTGTGTAGTCTTTGGACATAAACTGTAATACTTTGTGTTGAGCATAGTGTATATACAAAGAACTATTTTAGGGGGAACTTGGGGGATCATTTATGCATGAACTACCTAACTTTGAGCACCTAGAAGGCAGGGGCTGTGTCTTATTTATCTTAGTAGTATGAGTGCTTTATATTAATTATGGTCCCAAAAATGTCTATTAAATAAATGAATTAATGAATGAATTATTCCAAGATGTAGCTCATTTAACTCAGTTGTTTTAATTATTCCAGGACTTTTCAACTTCAATATATACCACCCTAGCCCAATTCTTATGTTCATAGATTTAGTCAAATAAACCCTTTTGTCTATTTTCGTTTTGAGGCACTATGCATTCTTTTCCTATGGCTCTTTAGTACATCACTGACTCCCCTCCACTGCCTAGCAGATTAAAGATGGTCACTAATTCTTTGTCACAATTTCCATTAAAAGGTGGGATCTGTTTTCTCTCCTTTTAAATCTGAGATGGGCAGTACTGCTTTGACCCACAGAGTATAGCAGAAGTGACACTGTGCCAGTTTAGGCCTAATTTTGAAAGGACTGATAGCTTTTGTCTTGGTCTCTTGGAGCTGTGAACTGACACTGTGACTACTATTTTGGAGAGACCATGTGAGGAAGTGCCAAGACTGCATGGAGAGGAAAGGGAGGCCAGATGAGCCCTCTAACTGTTCCCATCAAGGTACTAGGCATGTGAGTGAAGCCAACCTGGATCCTCCAGACAACATAGTCACCATGCTGTGAAAAGCCCAAGCCATGTGGGGAAGCTCTATGAGGATGGACCACTTTACAGCCCCCACTGAGCAGCAACTGTCGGCCTTGTGAGTGTGCCATTGCAGATGACTAACTTGCTAGAGCCTTCAAAAAACTGCAGCCCAGCCAATATCTGACTGCAAGAGAGCCCAAGCAAGAACTGCCTCATTGAGCCCAGTCAACACACAGAACTGGGAGCTACAATGATCATTTGTTTTAAGCCACTGAGTTTTGTGGTAGTGTATTACACAGCAGCAGATAACCAGAATGCACTGATACGCAAATAAAAGTTGAATTGAAGGGCAAGAATTATGCTGGCCTTTTCTCTACAGTTTCTACAATGCCTCATAGAGTGCTTTTTCCACAGCTGAGGAAGCAGACAGCTTCTCACTTTACAGACAGAAGGATGAAAAATAAATAGGACCTCCTCTTTATAGGGGCTATGAATAACTTCACCTAAGCATGGATGGGATGCCTCTGCCACCTGCCTACGTGGTATCCTAGTACCAAGAGAGACTGAAGAGTCACCTAATCCATTTGCTTGCCTCTCGATACTACTTCTCCTTAAAATAAATCCTGCCAGAGAGCTCTCTACCGTGCTTTGTTTTCTTTTTAATTCCAAGAAAGGGAGATCTTGCAGCTACCTCTGACAGTGCATTTCAGCAGCCCATACATCTCAATTAGAGTATTCTAACAGGTGTTTCACCTCAATCCCTCCAAATGCAGTCTCACCCTTTTCTTCTTTCTTCTTCATCTTGTTTCTTGCCTTCATTTTTCTAAATTTTGAGGAGTGCTGAAGGAAATGTTACTCACAAACTCTTCTTTACTTTTCTTTCATAGACGTGAAAGGCCACATCACTCCATCCCTCTACTGAAGCTGAAATGTTGTCATTTAGAGATGCCCCAGTTTACCAACCTGAAAAATGCAAGACACAACCAACCATCTGCCCTGCTTACTTGAATGAGTTGATAAAAAGAACAAAACTAAAATGAATGTAGGAAAGCAGTTTCTAGGCTCTATAGCATACCATGCATACATAGCATCCTGGGTTGAGTTGGCTGTTGGATTAAAAAATCTCACAGAGAAAGCATATTGGTTGTTAACTAGGGCTGGGGCAAGGGGGCGATGGGAGTGTTGCAGTGGGGTTGGCTAAGGCATGTAGAGCTCCTTTCTGGGGCAGTGAGAATGTTCTAAACTTGTAATGATACACAACTCTGTGAATATGATTTAAAAAACACTGAATTGTACACTTTAAATGGGAGATTATATGCTATATGAATTATAGCTTAATAAGTCTATGAAAGAGAAGAGAAAAGAAAATGAAAGAAAAGGGAAGGGAAGGGAAAGGAAAGGAAAGGAAGGGAAGGGAAGGGAAGGGGAAGGTAGGACGGAAGGAAGGAGAGAGAGAGAGAAAGGAAGGAGGGAGGGAGGAGGAAGGGAAGAACTTCAAAGACTCCATCTCTTTACTGGTCTTTCTGGCCCTGACATTCGTCTTTCTTCTCAAGACCTTCTGTCACTTGTCGTTCCCTGAGCCCCATCAGCCCTATGCCTCTGGGGAGCCCAGGGGCTTTGTGTCCTGTCTCTAACACTAGGCCCATTTTTGTACTGAGTTCTCTCCATAAAGAGAGCTTGTCCTCTACTAAGAGTAGAGAACAAGAGAAGAAATGGACTAATGTCAAGTGAACAACAAACTTAGATAAGACAAAATGGGTGGTTAGAGTCTGGGATGTGACAGTATGGGGTGGGTTACAGTCTCTAGAATAGGTGTGTGAAATGGAACCTAAAAAAGATATTCAGTTAATGAAGGACTATAGCTCTTACAACTGGCTTACAGGGATTGGAGATGAGAGGCAGTAAGTCCCTCTTCATCTTTACTTTAAAGGCACTCTCTCCTCCTTACTTGCCTCTTTTTCATCTCCTAGAAATGCTGGAGAAGAGGAAGAAAGAGCTTTGAGAACACAGCTCATAGCTTGACCCAGTTTCCCCTGCCTGCTTCCCTAGATCTGCCTTGTTCTGCAGAGAACCTTCTCTGACACCTTCCCATCCAAGCAACCACCATGGAAAATGGGCAAGAAGGAGCAAGTTCAGGAGACCAGAAAGACCTCCAGGTATCAAGGGAGCCCCCAGGTCTCCCACCCCATACCCTGGCTGCAGAGCCGCTGACCCTCTCCTGCCCCAGCCTAGAGCTTTCCAGGGCCAGGACAAAGATGGAGCACTCCTTAAGGAGGCCCTGCCGCAGGACCCAAGCTGACATGCTCTTTTAGGGTGTCTCAGCCTTTCTCAGAACACAAGTTGGTCTAGAATCAGCACTCTGCAAACTATAAGAATAAAAAAAGAATCCCACTTTTGGGGAGCACATGGTGGGAGAACCAGTGCTGTGACTCATGCTGGTCCCAAGAGACAACACCCTGACCCTCAGCAGCCCCCTGCAGCACCTGCTTCCTCCACCGCCTACTGCTCTCAACTCCCATCCAGACCTTCATCCTGCCAGCACAAATCAGCAGAATGGATGTTGGACAGCTGGAATCACCATCAGCTCTCACTATGTCTCTGATTCCTGCAGGGCCTGCCCCATGCCCTCTTCCCCCACCCTCCCATGGCCTCTCACTCAAGTTCATTCTTCTCCTGGCACCAACAGCCATTTTCCACCACCCTGCTGGCCTCTGTCCAGCCAACCCCCCAAGGGGTTTTCACTCTCCACCTCATCTGTCTCCTTCATGCTCCTCCTGCTGGAACTGGGTCTTCCAACTCTATTTCTAGATTCTTTCCATTGCCCTCTCTTTGGCTAGGTGGCTTGCTTCTCCAACCCCCCTTGCATTTCTCTGGCCCCTAATAAGCATCTCCAGGATGGAAGATGGGGAGCTACAGTTTGCAACTATGTTCTTTGTTCCTAATGGAGTCCTCCTTCCCATCCTCCCCAATCCTGCCATAGAAACACAGAGCTTTGATGAAAGGAGGGCTTTGTCACTACCTCCTGTGCCTGGAAGAGGTCCTCAAGTCCTCTCTGTGATGTCCCTGCCACACAGGGAGAAAGAGGGATAATTCCTGTCTGTGCTGGACAGAACCCTGGTTCCATAGCCTCCTCCATCCACTCTTTCACTGACTTTTCATTCCCCACTCTCTTCCTCTGCCCATACCCAGGTAGGAGGAGTATACTCTCAAATTCCACTACTGTAGTTAACATTCACACAGATTATTAGGTGCTAAAACTTTCCATAGGTACTAGTCACTAAGGGCTACTGACTTGTTTCTATCTTTGGGTGATTCTTTAAGCTGGGACAGAGCCCTCTTTTTCTAAACCTGGGAATGTCATTTCTTTCATCTTGGGCCCTCTATTCGATTGGGCTCTCTCCTGCACTCCATGCTGCCTACACCTGGCCCCTTCAATCTCTCAAAGCTCCACTTCTAAGAATCCTGAAAATATCTTTCCTTACATTGGTGAATACCCAGAACAATTTTGCATTCCAAAAATGATTTCTATTGGCTCTCTTTACTTTTAAAAAGACTTAGCCTACATTTACAACTGCAAATATATGTAGATATATGTGTACATATATGTACATGTATGTGTACACACACATGCACACATATATAACATACGTGTGTATGTATGTATACACACACATATATATAATCTTGCCTCTACTCACTCCTCAATCTGCAGTATTTAGTCTTCCTGAGATTGAGATAGAGGAATATTTCAGAGAACATTGTAAAAAAAATTTTCAGAAAAAACTGCAGTGACAAAGCATTAGAGAAACTAAAATACATGACTATGCATCAAGAATAATTATTACTTTGTTCATGTAATTTTAATAAATAATAAATTTAAAGAAGCTTTTTATAATTTTGATTTAATGAGTATATACACATATATTATTTTAGCTTTTTAGAAAGAGTTTTACTTTTGCCCGGGCCATGGTAGCTCACACCTGTAATCCCAGCACTTTGGAAGGCTGAGGTGGGTGGATCACCTGAGGTCAGGGGTTCAAGACCAGCCTGACCAACATGGTGAAACCCCGTCTCTACTAAAAATACAAAAAATTAGCTGGGCATGGTGGTGCATGCCTGTAATCCCAGCTACTCTGGAGGCTGAGGCAGGAGAATTGCTTGAACCCGGGAGGCGGAGGCTGCAGGGAGCCAAGATCACACCATTGCACTCCAGCCTGGGCGACAGAGTGAGACTCTGTCTAAAAAAAAAAAAAAAAAAAAAAAAAAAAAAAAAAAAAAAAAAAAAAAAAACAGAAAGAGCTTTACTTTTGAGAGCAGTTTTGAATAGAACTATTTTAACTATTTTATAAGCTCCACAATATAACAAAACTAATTTTTGGTCAACAAACAAATTAAAAATAATTATTTTATCATCCTCTTTGACTCTTAAGGATGACAATAAGTTCTACGGCAACCCTGAGTGTAGAGGAACACAAGAAAAAGTATCAGCTGGGCGCAGTGGCCCATGCCTGTAATCCCAAAACTTTGGGAGGCCAAGTGGGTGGATCACCTGAGGTCAGCGGTTCGAGATCAGCCTGGCCAACACAGTGAAACCCCATCTCTACTAAAAATACAAAAATTAGTGGGGCATGGTGGCAGGTGCCTATAATCCTAGCTACTCGGGAGGCTGAAGCAGGAGAATTGCTTGAACCCAGGGGAGGGAGGTCGCACTGAGCCGAGATAGTGCCACTTCACTCCAGCCTCAGCAAAAGAGTGAAACTTCATCTCAAAAAAACGAAAAGAAAAAGCATCGTAACTGAAGCTGCTGTTACCTCCAAGCCTAAAAGAGCAAGAGGAAAAAGTGGCATGGAAACCCGGGAAGAATCACGTAGAAATGGCTTCTTGAAAGGACTTTTTGTTCAAAGGACATCAGCTCCTGATGATCTCACAGAGGAGGGACCCAGAAGAATCAACCCTCTTCTCTCTCTCTCTCCTTCCTCTCTCTGTCTCTGATTGTAGCTGGAGATTCCCACTGATTGAACCCAGCTGCAAGAAGGGCACAAGGATCCACTGATGTGACCCATAAAGGTCAGCTGCCCAGGGCAGAGAGCAGAGTGGAGAAATGCAGAGAGCAGGTCTGGAAGGTTAAACAGAAGATACCTGGTCATTCACTAAATGTTCTCCAGGTGTGGCTTTTAAATGATTTTTTTTAACTATGAATCCTTGGCTTGAGTTAAATCTTACAAGGAAGCCAAGTATGTAAAACAAAAAACCACCCAATGAGGAATGAGAGACCTAGAACCCAAAATTCCATCCAGGGAACTCCACTGAGAAAGGCTTAGAAATGCTTAAAAAGCACTGTCCTGCAACGTGAGTTTAAATGGCTACATAGAATTCTAATGATTAATGTACCATTATTTATGAAAACAATCAGAATAAATGCAAAGTTTTTCTCAACATAAGCAGTGTTGTGATAAAACATTAATTACTATCTGAGAAAGATTTCTGAAAGTAGAAAAACTGGCTTGAAAAGTAGGGACACTCTTGTTTCTTGATTTGTGTTGCCTAATTACCCCTCCAAAATACTGTACATTTCAAAACAATTTATAGTGCTTGAAGAGTCTGTTTTTCTACATTCTTGCCAAATTGTGGTATTAATGGTTTTTAATATTTTTGTCATTTTTTAGACACACAAAAATAATATATCATTGTTATTTTCTTTTTGAGTCAGGGTCTTGCTCAGTCACTCAGGCTGGAGTACAGTGGTGCCATCACAGCTCACTGTAACTGCAAACTCCTGGGATCAAGCGATCCTCCCACCTCAGCCCCCAGAGTAGCTGGGACTTCAGGTGTGTGCCGCTATGACTGGCTAATTTTTTAATTTTTTGTAGAGACAGGGTCTCACTATGTTGCCCAGACTGATCTCAAACTACTGGCCTCAAGCAATCCTCCCACCTCAGCATCCCAAAGCCTGGGATTATAGGCATGAGCCACTGCACCTGCCCTGTTATTTTAATTTGAATTTCTTTTGTTATCTTTCAGATCGACCTTTTTTCTATATGTATACATAGATTGGCAATTTAAAATCCTTCATGAGTTATGTATGTTCCTCTGTTACTGATTTGTAAGAGCTCTTTATATAAAGGATATATATAACAAATATTTCCTGTATACTATTTTTAAGTAATATTTTTAGACACATGAAAGTCTTCAGTGTTTATGGAAACACATCTATCAATACAAGCACACCTCAGAGATAGTGCACATTTGGTTCCAGACCACCACAATAAAGTTAATACCGTAATAAAGAAAGTCACACAAATACTTTGCCTTCTCAGTGCAAATCAAAGTTGTGTTTACATTATACGGTAGTCTACTAAGTGTGGAATAGCATTATGTCTAAAAACACAATGTACATACCTTAATTAAAATATACATTATCATTAATAAAAAGTTAAGGGTCATTTAAGCCTTCAACAAGTTGTAATAGTTTTGCTGCTGGAGAGTCGTGAATTGGTGCTGATGGCTACTGACTGGTCAGGCTGGTAGTTGCTAAGGATTGGGGTAGCTGTGGCAATTTCTTAAAATGATACAACAATGAAGTTTGCCATGTGGAATGACTCTTTCGAGAAAGATTTTGGAGCATGTGATGGTGTTTGATATCATTTTATCCACAGTAGAACTTCTTTCAAAATTGAAATCAATCCTTTCAAATCCTGCTGCTGCTTTATCAACTATTTTCATTGAATGTTCCAAATCCTTTATTGTTATTTCAACAACATTGACAGCATCTTCACCAGGAGTAGATTCCACCTTAAGAAACCACTTTTTCTGCTCATCCACAAGAAGCAACTTCTCATCCATTAAAGCTTGATTGTGAGATTGCAGCAATTCAGTCACATCTTCAGGCTCCACTTCTAATTCTAGTTCTCTTGCTACTACCATATCTGCAGTTACTTTCTTCACTGAAGTCTTGAACCCCTCAAAGTCATCCATGAGGGTTGGAATCAACATCTTCCAAACTCCTGCTAGTGTTACTATTTTGATCTCCTTCCATAAATCACAGATGTTTTTAATGGCATCTAGAATGGTGAAATTTTTTCCAGAAGGTTTTCAATTTAGTTTGCCTATAACCATCAGAGGAATCACTACCTATGAAATATATAGCCTTACAAGATGTATATGTTAAATCATGACGTGAAAGTCGAAATGATTCTGTATTAGTCTGTTTTCATGCTGCTGATAAAGATATACCCAAGACTGGGCAATTTACAAAAGAAAGAGGTTTGTTGGACTTACAGTTCCATGTGGCTGGGGAGGCCTCACAATCATGGCAGAAGGTGAAATGCATGTCTCACATGGCGACAGACAAGAGAAGAGTTTGTGCAGGGAAACTCCCCTTTTTAAAACCATCAGATCTTGTGAGACTCATTCACTATCATGAGAACAGTGCAGGAAAGACCCACCCCTATAATTCAATCACCTCCCACCAGGTTCCTCCCAAGACATGTGGAAATCGTGGGAGTTAAAATTCAAGATGAGATTTGGGTGAGAACACAGCCAAACCATATCAGACTCCTTGATCCACTGGCTGCAGATGGATGTTGTGTTAGCAGGCATGAAAACAACATTAATTTCTTCATACATCTCCATCAGAGTTCTTGGTGACCAGGTGCATTATTAATAAACAGTAATATTTCAAAAGAAATTTTTTTTGAGCAGTAGGTCCCAACAGTGGGCTTAAAATATTCATTAAACCATGCTGTAAACAGGTATGCTGTCATCCAGGTTTTGGTTTTCCGTTTATAGAACACAGGCAGAGTAGATTTAGCATAATTCTTAAGGGCCCTGGAATTTTCTGAATGGTCAATAAGCATTGGATTCAACTTCAAGTCACCAGCTGCATTAGCTTCTAACAAAAGAATTAGCCTTTGAAGCTTCGAAGTCAGGCATTGACTTCTCCTCACCAGATATGAAATCTCTAGATAGCATCTTCTTTCAATAGAAGGCTGTTTTATCTACACTGAAAATCTGTTGTCTAGTGTAGCAACCTTCATCAATGATCTTAGCTAGTTCTTTTGGATAACTTGCTGCAGATTCTCCATCAGCACTTGCTGCTTCACGTTGAACTTTCATGTTATGGAGAGAGCTTCTTTTCCTCATGAAACCAACCTCATAAACCAATCTCTGCGAGCTTCAAACTTTTCTTTTGCAGCTTCCTCGCATCTCTAAGCCTTCACAGAATTGAAGAGAGAACCTTGCTCTGGATTAGGTTTTGACTTAAGGGAATGTTGTCGCTGCTTTGCTCTTCTCTAAGATGGCTAAAACTTTCTCCATATCAACAAGAAGTCCATTTCTCCTTCTTCTCATTCATCTGTTCACTGCAGTAGCACTTTTCATTTCCTTTAAGGACTTTTCTTTTGTATCGACAGCTTAGCTGTTTGGCACAAGCGGCCTAGCTTTGGCCTATCTCAGCTTTCAATACACCTTTCTTTCTTAGCATTTCTAGCTTTGGATTTAGAGATGTGCAACTCTTCCTTTCACTTGCGTATGTAGAGGCCATTGTAGGGTTATTAACTGGTCTAATTTCAATATTGTGTCTCATGGAATAGGGAGGCCCAAGGAGGAAAGATATAGGGAACAGCCTACGGGTGGAAGAGTCAGAACGCATACAATATTTGTTGATTGTCTGCCATCTTATATGCATGTAGTTCATGACACCCCAAAACAATTATGATAGTAACATCAAAGATCACAGATTACCATAACAGATCTAATAATAATGAGAAAGTTTGAAATATTATAAGGATTACCAAAATCTAACAGAGACATGAAGTGAGCACATGCTTTTGAGAAAAATGGCACCAAGTGACTTGCTGCAGGCAAGTTTTTCACAAACTTTCAATTTGTAAATAACACAATTTCTGCAAAGCACACTAAAGCAAAGCACAATAAAATTAGGAAAGCCTGTGATTTCTTCGTGGATTCCTTCCCTTGATGCCATGCTTAGAAAGTTCAACACCTCAGGATAGAGCATTCTTCAATGAACCACTCAGACTTCTTTGTTCTTTACTAATAAGTAGACATAAGATGCAGAAAGGAAATAGAAAATACCTCAGAGAACAGGGACCAACAACAGGGATGAGGAGGAGACGCTCAGTGAAGCCAGATGTAGGTAAACTTTAGATATAACTTTGCTGTTAGCATTGAGAGCCAGGAGAAATTGTGATCTTGAGAAATAAAATGTTCTCTTTCTACTGTCCTATCTGAATTAGTTTAGAGCAAGCCTGAGGTATAGACAGGAAACAGGATAAGATGGTTTCCAAGGGATGAGCTCCACAAAGCAGCAGGGTTCTGTCCCCAGACCTGCAAGCTTACCTACCCCAGGAGGCCCTCAGAATCTCTCAGACGCAGATCCTCAAGCAGAATGCAAGAGTCCTACCAGGTTAATATTCAGACAACAGGAGCTGACTACCTGATGCTTAGAAAGAGACAGTTTGACAGAAAAAAAGAAAGAGAAAGAAACTGGGTGGGGCGCAAGGCCATGAGAAGGGAGGGAGGAGAGCCTACCCCTCCCTCTACAAGGACTACACCTGGCCTCCACCCTCAAGGGACTCCTCCTTAACAGCTGGTGTTTTCCATCCCCGCCCCAGCCCTGGCCCCTGGCCACAGACATGCTTCCAGTGATGCCTATTCTGGAAGGATCTTTGCAGATGCTATTTTGATAAAACTCTAATCCCTTTTCTACCCCTTCCCCCGGTTAACCTCTCCACCTCTACACCAAAGCCTCTGTGTTTGTGTGCTGGGGAAGAGTAGGGGATGGAAGACAGTGTAGCTTCATAACCAGCCAACACAGGCTCCAGTTTCATGGGGTGGATTAACGCAGGGAAATGGCTGCCTAGTCTCAGCTGCTGGAGACATATAGAGGCTGTGGAGAGAGATTTCCTTATCTGGCCTTAGTGCCCTCAAAACATAACATGAAACATAACACGAGAAAGGAGGCTGGCTGGAATACCGCTGTGAATGCATCAACATTTTCCCTCTAGGTATAAGTAGAGATTTCATTTTCCTTTCTCTCTTCTCCTCCTACTCCCCATAGAATCGCCAGACAAAACACAGTACCAGTTAAATTTGTATTGCAGATAAATAACAAATAATGCATGGGACATACTTATACTTTAATTTGTTGTTTATCTGAAATTCAAATTAACTCAGAGCCCTGTTGTGTTTTTTGGATTTTTGTTGTTGTTGTTTTGCTAAATCTGTCAATCCTATACCCCCCTTTCACTGTATATATTTCACTTCTCTGGCACAGAAGACATTTTCTTCAATTCCATTTTCTTCCAGAAAGGTCTTAATAAAAGTATTTCTAACAATAGCTCACATTTACTGAGCACATAACTGGGCATTGTTCTATGTGTTTGATATTAACTTATATATACTTACATTTATTAATATCTATACATTTAATAATGCACTTATACTCACAACAATATTGTAAAGTATGACTAATTTTTTTTTTTTTCTGAAACAAAGTTTCACTCTGTTGCCCAGGCTGGAGTACAATGGCATGATCTTGGCTCACTGTAACCTCTGCCTGCAGGTTTCAAGCAATTCTCCTGCCTCAGCCTCCCAAGTAGCTAGGACTACAGGCGTGTGCCACCATGCCCAGCTAATTTTTGTATTCTTAGTAGAGACAGTGTTTCACCATGTTGGCCAGGATGGTCTCAATCTCTTGACCTCGTGATCTGCCCACCTCGGCCTCCCAAAGTGCTGGGATTACAGGCGTGAACCACAGGCGCGCCCAGCCAGGCATGACCTTTTATAAACATTGTACTGATAAGGAAAATGGGGCCAAAAAAAAAAAATTCCTCAATAATAATAATGATGATGATAATGATGTTGTTGAAGAAAAGGTCAAGCAAACACAGCTCCTCAGTGGTGGAGTCAGGATGGGCATCCAGGAAGCCCACACACTCTTGCTCTCTCCCAGTATCCTCAGCTCCCAAGACTCCCTGGTAAACACAATGCCCCTTCCCTACCTGCCTGGCCCATCAAATCCTGCTGGCTCCAGCCTCAGTCCTCTCCACCCCATCTCTTACTCTGCTAATCAGGGTATGAGTCAAGAAGCCTCCCATCTGCGGAGAAGGAACGTTTTTAAAGCTGGCTGCAGCTGCCAGCAAAGAAAACTCTGGCTGCCTGCCCCTGCTCCCACTCCCCTTGCAGATTCCACTCATTCACTCACTCGTGGAACTTTTAAAACCCCAGGTGTAGGGGCTTTGTAGGAGGAAAATCTAAGAGATAAATAAAGCAGAATCCTTTTGGTGTGGCTGTCAATTCTAGCTTTTCAGGAGAGCTGCTAGGACCCACTGCGCATGCTAAGGAGATGAGGCCCTTTCTTATTCCTGAGCCCAAGAATAGGGAAAGGTTGAGGTGGGTGGTATAGGATGATCCCACTCCGTGCATCAACAGGGCCACCAGGCTGATGCCAGAAATAGCCACTGAAGCTAACAATACAGAGAAAGGTAGGCATAGTCATAAACTGGTCAACTCCATGAGGACCCAATATAGCCCTAGGTTAATAGCTCCAATAAGACAATTATAAAGCTTCTTCAAGTTTCACTCTTTTCACCTACAACAAGGGAATATTACTGTATCAAGCTCATAGGGTTTGTGATGAAGATTAAATGAAATAATCTGAATCATCAGCATAGCGCCTAGCACATAGGAACTAAGGTCTAATATTCTTTAGCATTTACTAATAATATGTTTTCGGTTGGACTGTTCTTTCTAATTGCCATTAGGAACAAAAATAAATCCATCTAGAACTATTTGTTCTGAAGTGGAAGTAATATTAATTATTTACTTGAAAGAAAAGTGTCAAAATTTCAATTAACCATGTACTGATTTTTCTTATCATTTTTCAATAAATATTTGTTATGTGCTATGGTCCAGAATTATGTTGGAGAAGTAGAAAAATTGTGTACAAGCATTATTTACATCTCTTTTACTGCTTTTTATCAAGTTTCAGAAGCTCCACAGGAAGATGAGTTAGAATTCACCGAAACTTGTTCCTCAACACTAAGTGATAATTATTGTAGAAAATCACTTGTAGTGAACAATTATTAACCAGTAATCACAATATGATTAAGTAATGGTCATGGTAGATGAAATAATAGCTCCTCAAACATGTCCACATCCTAATCTCTAGAACCTGTGAATATGTTACTTTATTATTTTTTTAATTTATTTTTGAGACAAAGTCTCAACTCTATCCCCCAGGCTGGAGTGCAGAGGCACAATGTCAGCTCACTGTAACCTCCACCTCCCGGATTCAAGCAATTTTCCTGCCTCCACCTCCTGAGTAGCTAGAACTACAGACACACACCACCACCGCCCAGCTAATTTTCTGTATTTTTAGTAGAGACAGGGTTTCACCATGTTGGTCAGTCTGGTCTCGAACTCCTGACCTTAAGTGATCCACCTACCTCAGCCTCCAAATGTTCTGGGATTATAGGCATGAGCCAATTGAATATGTTATTTTACATGGTAAAAGAGACTTTGTAAATTAAAGATCTTGAGATCAGGAGATCATCCTGGATTATCCACATGCACCCAATGTAATGACAAGGGTCTTTATAAGAGAGAACAGGATGATCAGAGTCAGAAGGCTACATGACGATACAGTAGAGGCACAGAGACATTGGAAGACATTGCGGTTTCAAGATTGAAGATAGGGCCATGAGCCAAGGAATGAAGACAGCTTCTAAAGAAGTTATAAAAAGGCAAGGAAAGAGATTCTCTCCTAGAGCCTCCAAGAGGAGCACAGCCCTACTGACACCTTGATTTTAGGACTTCTAACCTCTAGAATTATAACAAAACAAATTTGTGTTGTTATAAACTATATTTGTGTTCATTTTTTACAGCAACATAGGAAATAAAGACAGTGGTAAAATGGGAAAATAGAAAATTGTAATGTTATCAAATTTTATAAAGAAGATGGTATCAAAACACAAGAATTAGAAGTAATGGAAAGAAAATTTTGTTATAACTTGCATAAACACTTCAGATTATTTTATAACATCTTACTAGCATAACAGGATATGCGTGTGCCAATGGTGTTAAGTAAACACCAAGAAGAACTCATTACTCACAAGAAGTATAGGTCGAAATACAGTTTCTTAGAGTTTAAGTCTATGGGTGTTGAACTCAGAATAGCAGAGATGGCATAACTATGGTCTCACCCAATTTGGTGACTCTTGTATAGACTCAGATGGAAAGTTAATGCTCAAACACTCCACATTAGTCATCCTGAGTATCCCTGGGTTCTGTATTAACAGCAAGAAATGTGTGCCCTTAAGAAGTCATCCTGCTCCCCTCCTGCATGGAAAAGAGATGCAAAGTCATGTGAGTGAGTGTAATGGATTGCTGGTCAGTGCAGGGATACTGCAAGAGGACCCTTGGAACAGGTTGTAGATGAATCACAAGCCTCCTGCTGTCCGCGGTGAGGTCACTTGTGCTGCCTGAAAACTTGGGAGTATGCTGCCTGAGTGCTCAGCCCTGGGTACTGCTCTTCATGGCTCCCAGTCAAGCCCCAACAGTCACCGCAAGTGCCACCAAATGACTTTTACTACAGACAGAGATCAACGGGGTACAAACTGTACCTAAACTAAAGCCACAGACACACAGAATAGTCAGCATAAGATGTGAGTCTCCTTGGAAATCACTCTGTATCCCAATTCTCACCACAAAATCTCCAGCTTCTAAAGCTTTCTGGGTTTGTGCCTTGCCAATTAAGAAATCTGTTGACATGTCTCGGTTTCCTTCTGCTCTTCCCTGTAGTCCAAAGCAAATTATTCTCAAATCTCTTGACTACTTCAAGTCTGCAGATTCCTTTTGGTCACTTCCCTTCTTCCAACCCCCTTTTCCTCCTACCCACTTCACTCGAAAAGAAAAGAAAAAATTAAAAAGCCATAGAACTGCAGGCCTGTGTCTGTTTAACAGGAATACCCCAGATACCCCAGGAGCAATGTCGGCCTCCAGCTACCACAGAAAGAGACACTCTCCTCTTCACTATCAACTTGTGTTTGGTCTAGGTAGTGTGTTATTACTGTCCTTTCTACTATCAATCTTTGTCCTCTCATTTCCCCAGTGCCCTTCCACAGGGTCACTCTGAATTTTGACCTAATGCCCCAACCTAAAGTCATGCTTAGAAGTCATGCTTACTGTCAGCCATAACCAAGAAAGTTGCCTAGCTGCAATGTACCTTGGGCTGAGATACAGACCCCTGAAAGGGTGACAAGTTGCTAGAATAGTACTCCAAATACACCAACACAGCAATATATCCCCTCTGGTTATCTGTGTCTATGTGATATGGTTAGGCCTTGTGTCCCCACCCAAATCTCATCTTGAATTGTAGCTCCCATAATTCCCACATTTTGTGGAAGGGATCCAGTGGCAGGTAATTGAATGATGGGGGTGGGTCTTTCCTATGCTGTTCTCATGATAGTGAATAAGTCCCATGAGTTCTGATGGTTTTATAAAGGAGAGCTCCTCTGCACATGCTCTCTTCCCTGCTGCCATGTAAGATGTGCCTTTGCTTCTCCATTGCCTTCCACCATGATTGTGAGGCCTCCCCAGCCATGTGTAACTGTGAGTCCATTAAACCTCTTTCCTTTATAAATTACCAGTCTCAGGTGTGTCCTTATTAGCAGTGTGAGAACAGACTAATACACTATGCAAGCTTCTCTTTTAACCAGCCACTCTTAACATGTGTCTCCTAGGCAATTAGCATATAGTAGCTGATGGAGGCCATCTGCACATCTGGTCACCAAAGGAGATCTCATTTCTACATGGTTTGTGTTCCCCATCTAGATATTCCAGTAATTTTCATTTACTCACGTTTCCATCTATTCAACAAAAAAACCCAAAAGTGATCACATCTTATGCCTGCTTGTAATATCAAGGTAGTACAAGAAATCAGTCACCTGAAATAACTGTTAGCATGGAGCTTATGCCCCCAATTACAACTAAAGAGATTAGGATTAAAGACACCAGTGTTATTCTGTCCTTCTATACCTCCCAGCTTTGTTTATGGCCTTCCCTCTACCTAGGCTTTCTTTTCTCTCTCTGAAATAAGAAAGTCAGAAAAAAATAAAAAAGAATGAAAAGGAACAAGCAAAACCTTTGAGAAATATGAGATTATATAAAAAAGCCAAACCTATGAATCACTTGCACACCTGAAAGGGATGGGGAGAAAGTAAGCAACTCGAAAAACATATTTCAGGATATTGTCCATGAAAACATCCTGAACCTCACTAGAGAGGCCAACAGTCAAATTCAGGAAATGCAGAGAACCCTTGCAAGATTCTACACAAGAAGATCACCCAAAGACACATAATCATTGGATTTGCCAAGGTTGAAATGAAAGAATGTTAAAGGCTGCTATAGAGAAAGGGCACGTCACCTCCAAAGAGAATCCCATCAGGTTAACAGCAGACCTTTCAGCAGAAAGAAGCCTTACAAGCCAGAAGTGAGTGGGGGCCTATATTCAACATTCTTAAAGAAAAAAGTCTTAAACCAAGAATTTCATATCTAGCCAAACTAAGCTTCCTCAACAAAGGAGAAATACGTTCCTTTTCAATAAGCAAATGCTGAGGAAGTTCATTACCCTAGACCCACCTTTGAAGAGATTTTGAGAGGAGCAGTAAACATGGGAAGGAAAGTCCACTAAAAGCCAATACAAAAATATACTTAAGTACACAGACCAGTGACACTATAAAGCAACCACACAAACAAGCCGGTACAATACTGAGCTAACAATAACAGGATCAAATCCACACATATCAATCCTAACCTTAAATGTAAACAGGTTAAATGTCCGATTTAAAGGGCGCGAAGTGTCAAGCTGGATGAAAAAGCAAGACTCAATGGTATGCTGTCTTCAAGAGACCCACCTCACAAGCAATGACACCCATAGGCTCAAAATAAAGGAATGGAGGAAAATCCACCAAGCAAATAGAAATCAGAAAAAAGAAGGAATTGCAATTCTAATTTCAGACAAAACATACTTTAAACCAACAAATATTAAAAAAGACAAAGAAGGGCATGACATAATGGTAAAGGGCTCAATTCAACAAGAAGACCTAACTATCCTAAATATGTATGTACCCAATACAGGAGCACCCAGATTCGTAAAGCAAGTTCTTAGAGACCTACAAAGAGACTTAGACTCCTGCACAATAATAGTGGGAGGTTTCAACACTCCACTGACAGTATTAGACAGATCATTGAGGCAGAAAATCAACAAAGATATTCAGGACTTGAACTCAACATCAGACCAACTGAATTGGATAGATCTCTATAGAACTCTCCATCCAAAAACAAAGAATTTACATTCTTCTTATCAACATATGGCATGTACTTTAAAATTGAACACACAATCAGACATCAAACAATCCTCAGCAAATGCAAAAGAACCAAAATTATATCAAACACACTCTTGGACCACAGCACAATAAAAATAGAAATCAAGACTTAAAAAATTGCTCAAAACCATGCAATTACATGGAAATTAAACAACCAGCCTCTTAATGACTTTTGGGTAAATAATGAAATTAAGGCAGAAATGAAGAAGTTCTTTGAAACTAATGAGAGCAAACATACAACATACCAGAATTACTGGGACACAGTTATGGCAGTGTTAAAAGGGAAACTTACAGCACTAAATGCCCATGTCAAAAGTTATAAAGATCTCAAATTAGCAACATAACATTACAACTAAATGAACTAGATAAGCAAGAGCAAATCAACCTCAGAGCTAGCAGAAGACGAGATAACCAAAATCAGAGTTGAATTGAAGGAGATGGAGACACAGAAAACCATACAAAAGATCAATGAATCCACTAGCTATGTTTTTGAAAAAATTAGTTAGTCCACTAGCTACATCAATAAGGAAGAAAGAGAGAAGATTCAAATAAACACAATCAGAAATGATAACAGGGATGTGACCGCTGACCCCACAGAAATAAAAATAACCATCAGAGACTACTACAAACACCTCTATGGACACAAACCAGAAAACCTAGAAGAGATGGATAAATTCCTGGACACATACACCCTCCCAAGACTGAACCAAAAAGAAATTGATTGCCTGAAAAGACAAATTATGAGTTCCAAAATTGAATCAGTTAGAAATAGCCTACCAATCAAAAAAGGCCCAGGACCAGGCAGATTCACAGCCAAATTTTTTTTTTTTTTTTTTGAGACAGAGTCTTGCTCTGTCACCCAGGCTGGAGGGCAATGACACAATCTTGGCTCACTGCAACCTCTGCCTCCGAGGTTCAAGTGATTCTCCTGCCTCAGCCTCCCGAGTAGCTGTGATTACAGACATGTGCCATCACACCTGGCTAATTTTTGGTATTTTTAGTAGTCATGGGATTTCACCATTTTGTCCAGGCTGGTCTTGAACTCCTGACCTCAAGTGATCCACCCATCTTGGCCTCCCAAAGTTCTGGGATCTTTGGCCTCCCAAAGTTCTGGGATTACAGGCGTGACTGTGCCTAGCCTCACAGCCAAATTCTACCAGATGTACAAAGAAGAGCTGGTACCACTCCTACTGGAACTATTCCAAAAAACTGAGGAGGAGGAACTCCTCTCCAAGTCGTTCTATGAGGCCAACATCATCCTGACACCAAAACCTGGCAGAAACACAACGAAAAAAGAAAACTTCAGGCCAATATTCTTGATTAACATTGATGCAAAAATCCTCAACATACTGGCAAACTGAATCCAGCAGCACATCAAAAAGTTAATCCACCATGATCAAGTAGACTTCATACTTGACATGCAAGGTTGGTTCAACATATGCAAATTAATAAATGGGATTCGTCACATAAAAAGAACTAAAGATGAAAACCACACAATTAACTCAATAGGTGCAGAAGAGGCTTTTGATAAAATTCAACATCACTTCATATTAAAAACTCTCAATAAACTAGGTATTGAAGAACCATACCTCAAAATAATAAGAGCCACCTATGACAAACCCATAGTCAACATCCTACTGAATGAGCAAAAGCTGGAATTCCCTTAGAAAACTGGCACAGGACAAAAATGCCCTCTTTCACTACTCCTCTTCAAAATAGCATTGGAAGTTCTGCCAGAGCATTCAGGCAAGAGGAAGAAATACAAGGCATCCAAATAGGAAGAGAGTAAGTCAAACCACTCCTGTTTGCAGATGACATGATTCTATATCTAGAAAACCTCATAGTCTTGACCTAAATTCTCCATCAGCTAATAAAAAAATTCAGCAAAGTTTCAGGATACAAAATCAAGTTACAAAAATCACTAGCATTCGTATACACAAACAACAGCCAAGCCAGGAGCCGAATCAAGAACACAATCCCATTCACAACTGCCACAAAAAGAACAAAATATCTAGGAATACAGCTAACCAGGGAGGCAAAAGATTTCTACAATGTGAAGTATAAAACACTGCCCAAAGAATTCAGAGATGACACAAACAAATGGAAAAACATTCCATGCTCATAAATAGGAAGAATCAGTATTATTAAAATGGCCATACTGACTAAAGCAATTTACAGATTCAGTGCTATTTCTATCAAACTACCAACAACATTCTTCATGTAACTAGTAAAAAACAAAACTACTTTAAAATTCATGTGGAATCAAAAAGAGTGCAAATAGCCAAGGCAATCCTAAACAAAAAAACAAAGCTGGAGGTACCAAGTAATGACTTCAAACTAGTTACAGGGCTACAGTAACAAAATTTTATGCAGCAAGTTTGCATGTGACAAAAATCTTATATCCAGCATCTATAAGGAAATTAAACAAATTTACAGGAAAAAACAAACAACCCCATTGAAAAATGAGCAAAGGACATGAACAGACACTTCTCAAAAGACACACATGCAGTCAACAAGCTTATGAAAAAAAAGCTCAACATCACTGATCATTGGAGCAATGCAAATCAAAACCACAATGATGTACTATCTCACAACAGTCAGAATAGCTATTATTAAAAAGAAAAAAATAACAGATGTTGGCAAGGTTGTGGAGAAAAGGGAACTCTCATACACTGTTGGTGGGAGTGTAAATTAGTTCAACTGTTGTGGAAAGCAGTGTGGCAATTCCTTAAAGAGCTACAGACAGAACCACCCTTCAACCTAACAATTCCATTACTGGATATATACCCAAAGGAATATAAATAATTCTACCATAAAGACACATGCATGGATATGTTCATTGCAGCAATATTCACAATAACAAAGAAAGGAAATTAACCTAAATGTCCATGAATGGTTGACTGGATAAAGAAAATGTGGTACATAAACACAATGGAATTCTATGCAGCCAAAAAAAGAATGAGATCATGTCCTTTGCAGGAACGTGGATAGAGCCATCATCCTTAGCAAACTAACACAAGAATAGAAAACCAAATATTACGTGTTCTCACGTGTAAGTGGAAGCTAAATGATGACACATGGACACAAAGAGGGGAACAACGGACATTGGGGTCCATTTGATGGTGGAGGGTGGGAGGAGGGAAAGAAACAGAAAAAAATAACTGTTGGGTATTAGGCTTAGTACCTGGGTGATGAAATAGTCTGTACAATAAACCGCCATTACATGAGTTTACCAACCTGCACATTTACTCCTGAACCTAAGATAAAAGTTAAAAAAAAATAGCAATGCTACTGCTTCATTTTATGCCAATATGCTGTTTCTTTTAACTCTAAGCTCTTTATTAAAAGTTAAAAATAACAAGTTTCTTGTCCTGAAGGAATGTAGAGTCTACTTCTGTGTGATTGCTTGTGTTTGCTGTTAACTGACAGAGGTACACTAAAAACAAAATAGAAGAAGATAATAGGTTCCAACTGTCATTGTTCCAGTGCTGGCCATTGGCTGGCCAATGGAGGCTCTAAACCATGATGATGGAGACAGCACGAAGGGACACCTCTGACCTCTGACCACTGGAGGATAAGAACGAGGCTGTGGCAACCCAGTCTGTGACCACAGGATTGCTGAGAACTGGGTGCAGAGCAAGTGGGTTTTATTTTAGAGGGCAAAGTAGGTTCAGCTCCTATTTGTAGTTTCCTGTAACAACTTCCCTTTGCCTGCCTTCTCTCCTGGCCCAAATTTTAGTAGATCTTGACTCTAAAACTCCAAGAGTGATCACATCCTATGCCTGCCTGTATGACTGATTACAGGAGTCTCTAGACCTATGAAGCTCTGGATGAAACTCTGCCTGGGAACACCCTGGGACTTGGGAGCTGACACGTAGAGCATCCAGCCAGAGCATCCAGGACATTCAGGTTGGGTCCATGCCCCTCTCCAGGCTGCCCCCCTCCAGCCTGTCCCCCTCCAGCTTGCCATTGTCAGCACCTGACCGCACAGGCCCAGCCCACTGATCTCTCAGGGGACTGGCCTCCCCGTGACCCCACAAGGGATGCCTATAATAGATGCAGAGTCTTTTCAGTTCGCAGCTGATGGAGATAGTGGAGATGGGTCAGAGAGGGCAGAAAGAAAGGAGTATAAGTGAGGCGAGAGCAGTGGGGGAAACAGACATGGATGGAAGACAACAAAGGGTGCTTTTGAGAAAAATCTCCCCCATCAGCCCTCATTCCCTAGAGACTTTCCATTTAGTCAAAACAGAAATTTGGTTCCAAGGGAGTGCAGGAAACTTGCGGTTATCAAAGAAAAAAAAAGTAAAGTAACTTTCCCATCTTTCTTTCTCTCGTCTCTCTCCCCCAACACTGCCAGATAAAGTTTCACTGCCAGTGCTTCACAGTATGCACCAGGCTGGCAGCCACATTGAATAGCTGCCACTCCCAAAGGCAACACCATGCATCTGTGAAGCCACGAGCAGGGGGAATCAGTCACTCTGTCTGCACACAAGAGAGGCGCCACTACTTTCACACACCTGGCTGGAAGCGCATGGCTTTGCAGGCTGCGTCACTACCGACCTCAGGGTCCTGCTACCAGTTGTTCTTTATATCCAGCAGAGAACAGTTGTGGGAACTTGCAGCGGGAAGGTTCTGGATTAGACATCAAGATGCAGCTGGAGACAAAATGGTTACAAGGACCTGGAGCCTTCTTGCTGGGAGGGAGACAGTGTAGGAGGAAGAATCGCCTTGGAGTCTTTCACACTTGCCATCATGTGTCCCCTTCATAGTCTCAGTTGTTTTTAACTGCAAAATAGGGATCATCATCCTATGTCTAAAGGGTTGCTGGAAGCAGTAGCTGTGGTTAAATTCATCAGGTTGAATATGTGTGTTTGTCCTCAACACTCATTAAAATTATAGTCAAAGAGAAAAGAGAATGGAAGAAGCAGCCACAGATTGAGTGGAATTCTTCATACACCCCACCAGTCCTCACCCCTTCTAGCACTTTTTCTCCAGAGCGTCAGATTACTGAAAGCCAGTATCCACCTCTCAGGCAAGAAGTTGGACAATTCTCTAGAAAATTGAATGGACCCAGAGGAGAGACTTACAGGTATTGGAATTTGGAGGTCTCCCAGTGAAAACTCCAGCTCACAGTCTCATCACCCTAAATTCCAGGGCCCAGTCCAGTAAAGCCTAGTCTTAAAGCTCTGCTACTGCCAGCCGTGAGCTCACCCCTGTAATGCCAGCACTGTGGGAGGCTGAGGGGCGCACATTGCTTGTGCCCAGGAGTTCGAGACTGCCCTGGACAACATAGCAAGACCCTGTCTCTACAAAAAAAAAAATACAAAAATTAGCTGGGCATGGTGGCATATGTCTGTAGTCCCATCTACTCAGGAAGCTGAGGTGGGAGGATAGTTTGAGCCCAGGAAGTCAAGGCTGCAGCAAGCCATGATCATGCCACTGAGCTCCAGCCTGGGCAACAGAGTGAGGCCCTGTCTCAAAGAAGGAAAAAAAAAAAAAAAAAAAAAACCATGCTACTAAACACAAATTCCAATCCATTGTTCTTATACTGTAAAGTATAATATACATAAAAAGAGAATATATAATATACATACATAGCTAAAATAATATTAAAAACACCTGTGCCTCCCGTTTGACTTAGGAAATGGAACCTCACCAATAACCTTAAACCCCATATGTGTTCCTACAATATTGCATTCTTCCCTAACTCAAAGGAACCATTATGCTGAATTTCATTTTAATCAAATTTTTTTGCTTTCTTTGTAATTTTACCACACATGTATATATTTGTAAACAATACATTGTTTAGTTTTACCAGCTTTTGAACTTTACATAAATGGTGCCATACTATATTTATTCTATGACTTGCATTGTTTTTACTAATGTTAGGCTTCTAAGGCTTATCCACATTGAAATGTGTATGAAAATCTAATTTTTTCATTGATATAGGGAATTGCATTATATGAAAATCCTGTAATTTATTTACCCATTCTTTTTTGGGTGGATTTCTGGTTGATTCTCAGATTGTGTGTTGTGAACAATGACAGGTTGGCTGACTTCATATGTGTCTCCTGCTAAAGCTGCACCATGGATCCTGTAGCTTAGATACTTAAAGGCAGACTTGCTGGACATATATTTTACTCATGCTCAACTTTAGTAGATAATGCAAAATAATTCCCATCATAGGCTTTGCCAGTTTACACTCCACCAGCTCTATGAGAATTCCCCAAGCTTTGTAGTTTCACCAGTACCTGATATTATTGAGTAGTTTAATTTCTGCTGGTAGAGAGGATGTAAAATAATATGTGATTGTTTGAAATAATGCACACAAAGGTTGCACATTATTTCAAATATTTATAAGCCATCCTGGGGAGTAAAATGCTTAATCATTTGTCCATTTTTTTAAAGTGGATTGCTAGTCATTTTCTTGTAATTCTTACATATTTGAAATACTAAGCTTTTCTTGAATATATGAGTTGAAAATATCTTCTCTCTTTTACTTATCTTTCTGGTGTATTTCACGAAATACAACTTCTGTGGTCAATTTTATTTTATTTTTTATGGATGGCGTTTTTGTCTTTTACAGAAAAAAAAATGACACAGGAGAATATCTTCGTGACCTACTAGTAGATAATAATTTGTTAAAGTTTTAAAGCTTTGGATTTCACATTTAAGTTCCACATCTATTAGAATTTATTTTGTGACATGTTTTGAAGTTGTTTTTAATCTTTTATTACTACCACATTAAAAGATGATGTTTAGAACCACTCTTGGAGAAGTTTATCCTTCTTCAATGCCCTGTCCTGGCTCTACATTGCTAAAAATCATGCATGTAAGGCATTTAGAAGAGTTCTTGGTACATGTGGAGAACACCGTAAGAGACATTTATCCATTCATTTAATCCTTGTATCATTTTTTTGAGGTAGGTGTTGTTATTTTTCTCATTTTACAGATGAAGAAACCGAGGCACAGCAAGGTTAAGTAATTTTGCCAAGGTTACACACCTAGAACGCAGTGATCCTGGCCGGAGAACAGACACTCTTAACCTTTATACCCTCTAAATGTGCACTACCCAGTACAGTGGCTGCTAGCCACATGTGGTCATCGAGCCCTTGAAATGTGACCAGCATGACAGAGGGGCTGGAATGAAATGTGCTATCAGTGTAAAATATATACTAGATTTCAAAAAGTTTGTCCTAAAATAATGTAAAATCTCTCATTAATAATTCTATATAAATAGCATAATATTCTTGTTATAGTAAGTTAAATAAAACATATCATTAAAATTTAAGTTCATCTGCTTTTTAAAGTTTTGTTAATGTGATTACTAAAAAGTTTCAAATTACATATGTGGCTTATATCACATTTCTAGAAGGTCAGTTCTTTATACTACTGCTCTCAGATTTTAATGTCAGTGGGGCTTATTTTGGGGCTTAATAAATTTATTTAAGTAATTAAGATAGTATATTGTTGACACTATCTTATTGACAACAATATGTTGCAATAAAAATTATTTCCAACCTAGAATTATAGACCTAACTGACATGTCCAGATAAACAAAGGTTTCAAATTTTACCCTCTATTTATTCTTTTTTAAGATGTTACTGGCCGGGCACGGTGGCTCACGCCTGTAATCCCAGCACTTTGGGAGGCTGAGGCAGGTGGATCACCTGAGGTCAAGAGTTCGAGGCCAGCCTGGCCAACCTGGTGAAACCCCTTCTCTACTAAAAATACAAAAGTTAGCTGGGCAGTGGTGGTGGGCACCTGTAATCCCAGCTATTTGGGAGGCTGAGGCAGGTGAATCACTTGGACCCAGGAGGCGGAGGTTGCAGTAAGCTGAGATTGCACCACTGCACTCCAGCTGGGGCGACAGAGCGAGACTCTGCCTCAAAAAAAAAAAAAAAAAAAAAAAAAAAAAAGCTGTTACTGAATACATGATCACAAAAATTAGGGAGTCAACTGATAAATCTATATCTAAGAAATGTGGGACCCAATACAAGAGAGTGGTGAAGGGAAAGAGAGGAAGACGGGAGAAGGAAGTCCCAGAGAGAGAACTCTACAGCAGGCCCTGCTGAGCCTAGGGCAGGACCCAGGACTCCAGAATAAAAATGGAATTGGCAGATTATCAGATGCATTTGCTCACATGGAAGATAGTATTAAGAGATGTTTTAGAGAGCGGAAAAAATAATAAATATCTAAAAACTCAAGACGCAGAAAAAAAGACATGAGAAATGGCTATATACTCTAGAACGCAAAAAGGTATACAAGAAAGGAGCCACAATCACAGTCCACTACTTGGATCATCGATGAACAATATTCATGTAGTTATAATAATGTAACACTGCTCATAATTTAATAAAAAATAATTATAATTAAAGTGGTGGAATGGGGAGGGATGGTGCGTATAAAAGAGCTAAGATCTCACCCAACATAACAGGCATTTAAAAATGAATGCCTAAAATTGATACATTGATGGTATTTACAGCAACAGAGAGACATTGCTAAGAATTAAACTTGCCTGCCTTTGGTAAGTGGGATGATACTGAGCTGGGGCAAGATAGGGGACAGTCATTTTATTATATATCATGTTGTGCTATTTGCCTTCATAAACTATATCTGTGTTGCTTTAATAGAAATAAATATTAATATTAATTTTTAAAAAGCAAGGATATAGACTGGAACATCAATAGTGCTCAAAAAATCTAAGCTGTCGTTCGTGACCAGCCTGACCAACATGGAGAAACCCCGTCTCTACTAAAAATACAAAATTAGCCGGGTGTGGTGGCACATGCCTATCATCCCAGCTACTTGGGAGGCTGAGGCAGGAGAATTGCTTGAACCCTGGAGGCGGAGGTTGCAGTGAGCTGAGATTGTGCCATTGCACTCCAGCCTGGGTGACAAGAGCGAGACTCCATCTCAAAAAAAAAACACACAAAAAAACTAAGCTGTCTACTCATACTCATCTTAAAATGTTGCCATACATCTGAAACATGTTAATTACCCTAACTTTGAATCCTCCAAAATGCAGAGCCTAAAACAAGAACTTGCATGCAAGTGGTTTATTTTGAGGAAGTGACCCCAGAGTACAGAAAAGAACCTGGGAGGATAAAACTGGAAAAGAAGAAAAGCTAATCCAAGGATGGGTTTCTGTTTAGGTTTCTGTGGGCAACTACAGCTAAGCCCTCCTGAAGATCCCCTGGAGAACTATGTGCTTCAGGATTGCCTGAAACCACAAAAGATGAGTATTTATCCCCTAGCTCTGGTCCTTCACTGGTCAAGATTGCCCCAGAAAATGTTACCTCCTGAGCACTTTAGACTGTCTTAGCAGGCTCACCCCAGGATTCCCATACCACAGGACGGAAGCTTGGGGCAGAAGGCGGGAGATAAGTGAGGTACTGGGGGGAATCATGGTCAGGCCACATCTGCACACTGCTGTTCGCTGAAGCAATGGCCAAAGCAGAAACACAGGCTAAGAGGATGTGAGCTGGAGAATAAAAGCTGACCAACACGCATCTATTCCAAGCCACTGCTTGTTTGACCCCCAGATTGGTACCACAGTCCCACTCTCTCCTATACTCCCCAAACCTAAAAAAGCCCTTCATGAATATAAATGCTTTTACATTCTACCATGGCCCATTAAACCCAGTCCTTAGATGTACACCCATCTCTAACACCATCTGGATCTGGGCTGTACTGAAGATATTAGGACCCACATCTGCCTTTGCTTTCTGGTCCAGCATCCACTGGAGGATGGGATGAGAATTACACAACAAAACGTTTATGCTGGGAACATGGAGGAGGTAATGGTGACCTAGACGGGAGCACACTAATCTGCAGGTTAATCTAATCTAATCTAATCCAATCTAATCTGATCTAATTTAATCATCTTTGGCACTGCTTCATCCATCCTGATGTGTATATACAAACAGGCTTCTCTCTGCGTCATCATTTTCACCAGTCATCCCCGAAAAAGTGTTTGGAGGGAGGAGACTTACTACCATCTGTTGCTCTGAATTTCCTAGACTGTCCCTGTCCCTGGAACCACATATAGTAGATTTGGCCACACAGGGTGACTGATAGGAATCAAAGCTCTTGCACAGCAAAAAGGTTCTCAGGGATGCATGGATGGGAAGACTATGGTAGCCTTCCTTTCTCTGTTTTGCAGCATGAGTGCACAGAAGGTGCCTGAGAGAATTACATCATCAATCTCTTTCCTCCCACAGGTAAAATGATAATCAGATTATAAACTTTTCAAAGATAGGAATTACTAATATCACCTTAGGGATGAAGGATCTGAATGAATGTCTAATCTAGGGTTTCCCAAAGTGTAGTGTTTGGACCAGCAGCATGAGCATCATGTGGAAATCTTCAGAAGTACAGAATCCTAGGCCCACCCAGATTTACTGAACCAGAAATTCTGGGGGTAGAACACAGTAATCTGAGTTTTAACAAGCCTTCCAAGTGATTATATTACATATTCAAATTTGAGAACCACTAATCTAAAGCTATTCTGCTCTCTTTCTTTCAGATGAGAAACCCAAAGGCAGAAAAGAGGAGCAACACAGTCAAGGCTACACAGCTGGGAAACAGTGAGTTCCATAAGTACAGCACAATTTTGTGAGTCCCAGGTCAGTGTTTACTTCCACATCTGCCATGATGGCAGCTGTGCCTAGAACAACCAGCTTTTATGTAATTGGTTGGGCCAATTCCTTAGTGAAGGATATTAACGAACCAAGGTCATGAATTTGATCCCCACTGGAAACTGTTTTCATTTTCCATCCCATCTCACAAAGGCATTCCCTCCTGCAAAGGCATTCCCTTGGTCAACAGGAAGAATAGATGTGAAATTATGGAAGGCTTAGTAAAACTTCCATTGCTTCTACTGGGAAATAATACAAAGCATACCCCAGGTGTTGGTTCTGTGACACCATCTTTGTATAGGAAGAGCCACATGGTGCATGTCCCGAAAGTAGAACAATGTAAGCCAGGGGTAACCCAGTATAACCCGAGTAAGCCAAGAGAACATCACACCAGTGACCCAGTTCTGGTGTCTTCAGCCAGAAATGCTCTATCCTTTGCCAGCCTACTTCTGATTCATGCTTTAAGCTAGAGGTTCCTAAACTTTTGAGGTTTCATGGATCAGTAACATTTCTAACAATTTTAGAGGACTGATGCATGATTTCCCCCTCTTAGATCTTATCAAATGAAGATATGGATACAAAGACAGCAACTTTTACCATTATTGTCCTTACCACCTCATATCACCATCATTTTATATAAGACACCAATGTTTGGGAATCACTTTTCCTCTATGCACAACTGCCTTCTGCACAGTCTGGCTTAGGCCACCCCTCATGGGCTCCTACAGCATCTTGTGTATATTTCAATAATTGCAATTTTATATTCATTTATAGTTTCTGCTTTTAAGTATGTTTTTCACACTCTGATCTAAGTTCTAAGAGCAAGAATTGAGACTAATGGAATATTTTATTTTGTTTCTTCAGCATCTATCTGGCATACGAGAGCTAGGCAATAAATAATTGTGGAAAGAGGGAGGAAAGGAAGGAAGGAAGGAAGGAAGGAAGGGAGGGAGGGAGGGAGGGAGGGAAAATGGAAAGGAGGGAGGAAGGGAGGGAGGGGTGGAAAAAGAAACTGGATTTTGCCACAGACAAGATATGCCTAATATCCAGATATTTCTGGCTTTCTTAGAAGGGAAAGGGACCCTTAGAGTCAACAACCTGAGCCAAACAACCTCAACCAGCTAAGGAAGCCGCACCTGGAACCAAGTCAACTGCGCACTGTCAACCTCCATCAGATATCAAGCATGGCTTTTCTCTGGCTGCTCACTCTCTAGAGATGAACTTATGTCAGAACCGTGGCTTCCAGGAGGAAAACAGGGGCAGCAGAAGGCCGGGGGAAGAGAAGTTGCTAAAGAAGATCTCACAGGAGGTGGTCTGAAGAAAGTTATAATTCATTAGAGCTACCAGTCAGGACAGGCAATGGTTTAGACATTGAGCCCTGAGGGCTGTGGGTTGAAGGGATTCCTCATTTGTACTGCATATGAAAGGTCACGTCGGCACTACACAGTTAGGAGTGTGTCTCTGGAACAGAAAATTCTGGAGAATTTAAGAAGCAGTTATGGTTTCTTTGTTCCTGGCTTGAACAAGCTGTTGGTTGGCACCATGACGCAATGGGGTTTGATATTTCAGAAAGGGCCAAAGACAGAACAAAACCACCTCTGTGCCAGGAATGAAGATGGGAGGAAGGGTAGGCAGGCCACGTGATAAAAACCAGAAGGCGAGGCTGTTTTTAGGTTAACATAATCACAGCCAATATGGCAGGAAGGTGTGCCCCCCACCCATCCTTCAATGACGGGACCAGTGACACCATCTCCTCTTACCCCACCCACTTCCTTGCCTCAGTGCCCAGGAAATGGCATCATGGAAGACAGACCAATGCCCTCATGTCTGCATCCCTGGGACTTTCCTAAAGGGAGAAAGAATTCCTGTTTAGGGAATTCTAAAAAATCTTTGTGTTGGATGTCTTCCCCAGGCCCAGCTTCCAAGCTGGAGCACACAGTGAATGAATGTTAGAACTTGCTGGAAATTGGGGAATGGATTAAATGACCCCTACAAGACCTCATCAGCAGAAGAACTCAGGAAAGAGAATAAACAGAGACAAAGGAGGCCACAGAAACAAGAGGCACTGAGTAGCAGAAGCCAGGAGTCGAGTGTTGGATCTGATCTGAAAGTTCATGCAGAGACATTTGAAAGAAGTGGAAAGTGATTATCTGATCCAAGTGATTAACTTACTTATTCATTAAGGAAATATTTATGGAAGTGTTCCTACCTGCCAGGAATCATGCTGAGCCCCTGCCCTCAAGGAGTTTACCATCTACTGGGGGAGAGAAACAAGTACATAGACACCTGCAATTCTATCTAATGTTTATGTAGGATCTGCCAATGCCAGGCATGCTTTCTAAGCATAATATGGTTTGGCTCTGTGTCCCCACCCAAATCTCATCTCAAACTGTAATCCCCAAGTGTAGAGGGAGGGACCTGGTGGGAGGTGATTGGATCATAGGAGTGGTTTCCCCCATGCTATTCTCATGATAGTGAATGAGTTCTCACATGATTTGATGGTTTTATAAGTGGCCGTTTCCCCCTGCTCACCTTTCTGTCACCTGCCGCCATGTAAGACGTACCTGCTTCCCCTTCTGCCATGATTGTAAGTTTCCTGAGGCTTCCCCAACCATGCAGAACTGTGAGTCAATTAAACCTCTCTTCTTTAAAAAGTACCCAGTCTCGGGCAGTCCTTTATTGCTGTGTGTGAACAGATTAATACAAAGCACTATATATTTAATCCTCCAAACAACCTAGGAGGTAGATCCTATCATTAGTATCACTCTCATTTTACAAATGATGCAACTAAAGCACCAGGTGGTTAAGTGACATGCCGTATATTATCCAGGTATAAGTGGCAGAGCTGGGGTGAAAAGCCTGTGCTCTTAACATATTGTGCTAAGAGGCAGTATTGACCTTGAAAACAGAGGACAAGTTCACAGGAGAAAGGAAAAGCAAGGACAGGGTGGTAAGATGACAGAGGAGGTGGCTCAGAAACCCTTTCCTCATATCAAATGAAGCTCTGAAGGATAGTGGACAAAGCATGAAAGAAAACTATTAAGGCTTGAGCTGACTAAGGGAGAGAGAAAAAGAATCAAGAAATTTAAACTAAGAAGTATAGAAATAGATTAGGAGTTAGGATTTGGCACTTCAAAATCAGGAAGATGCAAAAATTCAGCTTGACCAGATGTATTAATCCGTTCTCATGCTGCTATAAGGTCATACCCAAGACTGGGCAATTTATAAAATAAAGAGGTTTAATTGACTCACAGTTCTGTGGGGCTGGGGTGGCCTCAGGAAACTTACAATCATGGTGGAAGGAGAAGCAAACACATCCTTCTTTACAAGGTGGCAGGAGAGAGAAGAATGAGCAAAAGGGGAAAAAGCCCTTGTAAAACCATAAGATCTCATGACAACTCACTCACTATCATGAGAACAGCATGAAGGTAACTGCCCCCATGATTCAATTACCTTCCACAACACGTGGAGATTATGGGAACTACAATTCAGGATGAGATTTGGATGGGGACACAGCCAAACCATATTACCAGACAAAATGTACTGGCCTTGCCTTTCTCTCCAAAAGGTCTCTCCCTACCAACACCTACATCTCTGCCTTTCAATTTCTGCCTTAAAAAGAAAGGGCTGCTTGCCACATGACTCTTCAGACCCTACCTCAAGCCCAGCCTTGTTTAGGACCCAAACTAAGGGGAGGCTGTAAAATAAATTAAAATAAAGGAGGAGATGGTCAAAAGAAATTGGGCATTGGGGCTACAAAAAAAGTCTTATTTAGGTCAAGCCTTGAAAATTTAGGCTACTAGGAACAGAAAAAGCAAAGAAAGAAAAAATGAATTAGACATTTCTTTAGGTTGGTACTTCTCAATAGAATTATCTGAAATAATCAAAATGTTCTGGGCTATCCAATACAATATCTACTAGTCACATGTGGCTACTGAAATTCAATTTTTTAAAATTAAAGAACGTTTCAAATTATTTCCTCAGCAAGCTACATTTCAAGTTCTCAGTACCAGAAGGGGCTAGTGGCTACTGTATTGGACATCACCATTCTAGATTACAAAATTTTGTTGAGGTATAGTATAATTGAAATACATAGAAGGAAATATTTTTTTTGAGACAAGTTCTTGTTCTGTTGCCCAGGCTGGAGGGCAGTAGCACAATCATAGCTCACTGCAGTCTTGAAATGCAATCCTCCCACCTCACCCTCCCAAGTGACTGGAACTACAGGAATGCCCCCCACACCCAGATAATTTTCATATTTTTTGTAGAGGGCAATCTCACTATGTTGCCCAGGCTGGTCTTGAACCCCTGGATTCAAGCAATCCTCTTGCTTCAGCCTCCCAAAGGGTTGGGATTATAGATGTGACTCACCCTGCCCAGTCTTAAAAGGAAAATTTGAGAGATCCAAATTTGGGATGTAGTTTACTAGTTACACGATACATAGGCTTCTTTGAGGAGACAAAAAATTTTTTTCTAATGAAACAAATAAGACATGGAGGAAATGAGAACACTACTTGGCTAATTAGTCCCTTGATAAGTGTGTACATTAGATATTCCTTGTCTGATAGGGAAACTCTGCACCATGAGTTAGAAGACCTGACTTCTAGTTTCTCCTCCTCACCTGATATTTACTTGTTGGGGGAGCTCACTCAAATGATTTATTCTTTCTGATCTTCCCTCTCTTCTCTAATGAAGATTTGATCTTGATGGTAGATGGCATATACACAGCACACATACCACCACTTCCATGCCTGTTCCCATCACAGACATGAGTATTCAAATACAACACTCCTCCCCTCTGAGCTGAGTTCACCCACAGCTCCTTCACATTTAGTACACAAAGTAGTCATCAACAATTGAAAAGAACTGTCATAGGAAACAAAATGTCTTTGCTACCTCAGTTTGAGCTAATCACTAAATTAACTTGTGATTGTTTGATAAATTAGATGACAAAAAAAAATCGAAAGAATGAACTAACACTGGAAAGAACATTACCTGGACAATCATCTTGATGAGCACTGGCCACATCTATCCAACAACGTTTTACAGGCATTAGGTTGTTTGTTGTATTGTTTAAAACACTTTGACGGAATTTAATCCAAGATGGCTACCCCACTGTCATGGTTAGTTTTTGTGTATCAGCTTGGGTAAGTTTTGGTGCCCAGTGTTTGTTCAAACACTATTCTAGATGTTACTAGAGAAGTATTTTTAGATGTAATATTTAAATCAGTAGACTTTTGAAGTAAACTACCCTCCATGTGTGGGTAGATCTCATGTAATCAGTTAAAGGTCTTAAGAGGAAAGAGGAAAGAATTCTACCCTTATACTGCATTTGAACTCAAGGCTGCAGCATCAACTCTTCCCTGAGTCTCTAGTCTCTTGGCCTTCCCTGCAGATTTTGGACTTGCCAGCCATCACAATTGCATGAACCAATTTTTAAAAATAAACTTCTCTCTCTCTCTCTCTCTCCATACGCACATATAAACACACAGACGCATCCTGTTGGTTCTGTTTCTTTGGAGAACCCTGACTAATACACCTGTCAAGAACACAGCACAATACATATTCTACAATCCCATGAGGGTACTAACTGCACGACCAATACTATTTTTTAAAAGTGCAATTTTTTTGACATAAATGTTAATGTGTTTTTGAGTGGAGGGCTTTGGGGGAGCCCTAAGCCCTCTTCTCAACCTTGCCTTTACCTAGAAACTTCAGGTTTCATAATCTAAGAAACCCAGTTACCAGTGTCCTTTTCTGACCCTGTGTGCAAGGGAGAGAGAGGGCAGAAGAAATCCACCCCCTCGAAAACCCAGGAGCAGCCAATGCACATGTGCCCACTGCTCTTGTGTTGACTTGGTCTTTGTGACTAATTTTCCAAGGAGATAATTATCCGGTTAATTGCTCTGGTGCAAACAAGGCTCTGTCTACACTGAAGCAGGAAAACGGTGTCAATGTGGGCACAAACAGGGAGGGGCAACTTCCAGAGATTGGCTCATCTCATTCCTTCCTTTCTTCAACCAGTCAACAAACACATCTTCAGGAATTTGCCAATGTATAAGAAAGAAACAGGAATGTTTTTCACCAAGAGATGAGTTTTATTTGGCCAGCATGCCCTTTTTAAAACTTGGGAAATTTCTACTTAAAATCCAGATTCTAGCTTCTCTTTGCAAAAAAGAGCACCAAACCATTCTGCCTGCGTTTTTGTGTGGTATAGTGTAGTAACGAGCTGGAGATAAGGAGATGAAGCAGGGCTTAAATTCTGCCGATCTCCACTGTTCCCTATGATCTCACAGCAGGCACTTCCATCATCTACTGTGTATCTAGGTATCTGAGGTGGAACCCCTTCAGCTATGCTGCCCTGGAGCTTCTGGAAGGCAGACCTTGCTTATTCACCTGGGGATTCCCTGCAGGGCTCTGCACAGTGACCAGCACACACAAAACTCTCAAGGGAATCTCCTACATGAGTGAAGCGCAGGATTCAGCTAGATCACAGGACCTAGCTGAGGTCACAACCTGACTTCTCTAGTGGCAGGCAGTGCCAGTATCTGCCAGAAAGAAGGGAGTGGAGGCTGCTCCACAGAGATAAATAATACAGTCTGGGAGCGAGAGAAGAGTGGGTGTGTCGGGGCCAAGAATGCTGTCTGGGCAATTTCAGACAACAGCTTGGGCGCCTGGAGACAGGGCAGGGTGGATGTGTCGTTGTGTCCTAGGACATGTTGAAAGTCACACAGGCTTAGCAGAAAATGCCTAATGCACCATCAGCCCCCAGGGACTACTCTGCTGGCTGGTGGAAGGAAGGGAGATGGATCTAACTATTTATATTACAGCCAGCTCAGAAGAGACGTACAGTGTACACTTGATGGAAGCGTAACAGATATTAGACATCTCTCACCCTCACCTTTGGTTACTTTTGGGTTTCCTGCTACCTCCCTTGTTCTTGGAGGAAAATTTCTTAAGTGGGTTTCTAGAAGAGGTTTCAGAAGAATCACACAACATGATGTGCTCCTCCCTCAAATGGGCCTCTTCTCCTATCTGTCTTCATTGTGTCTCTGCCCCCCGGCTGTCTCCCCATCTCTGCCCATCCATAGCCTTCCCTATCCTCCAGACCCATCTCAAATCCTGCCTGCCCCTGGAGCCCTCCTCCATACCCTCAGCCGAAAGCAGCCCTTCTTTTCATGCTACCATCCTCACAGAAGGCCATGGTGTTTCAAACCATGGAATGTCCTTCTAAGAGTGTGTTTGGACACAGCCATGTGACCCCAGTTGAGCTCAGGCAAGCAGAAGCATCCATTCTCAGAGCCAAAGAGGACGTAGGACACATCACTTCCACACTCTACTTTCATACATGAGCCACCTGAGGCCAAAAGTGGAGAAATGACGACCAAGGCCACAGAGCTGACAGGTGGTAGAGGCAGAATTGGAATCTAGTCTTGGGAGTTTGGGTGATATGTGGTGTGCTTGTTAAAGCTCAGCTCTGGAGTCAGGCGGGCCATTCACAAATCCTGTCCCAGCACCAACTAGCTGAGCAACTTTGGGCAAACAATTTAGTCTCCCTGTGTCTCCCCTTCCTCTTCTTTTCTGTAGAATGTGGATGATAACAGTATCTCCATTCAAGGGTTTTGTTGTTGTTGTTGTTGTTGTTGTTGATTAAAAGAAAGAACCTATTTATGGAGTTCTTTACCTGTGCCAGAAAACCGAGCTCTCTGTAAAAAGAACTGAGTAGGCTGGGCACAGTGGCTCACAGCTGTAATCCCAGCACTTTGGGAGGCTGAGGTGGGAAGATCACTTGAGGTCAGGAGTTCAAGACCAGCCTGGTCAACATGGTGAACACTTGTCTCTACTAAAAATACAAAAATTAGCCAGCCATGTTGGCACAACCTGTAATCCCAGTTACTTGGGATGCTGAGACATGAGAATCACTTGAACCTGGGAGGTGGAGGTTGCAGTAAGCCAAGATCGCACCACTGTACTCAAAAAACAAAAAAAAAAAACAAAGAAAGAAAAGAGAGAGAGAGAGAGAAAAAGAAGAGGAAGAAGAGGAAGAAAAGAAAGGAAGGAAGGAAGGAACTGAGTAAAGAGTTTTGTAAAATGTTATTTCAATTAATGGGTTACTACTATTCCCCAAGTTCCCCTAATGTTTTAGAATTGCCCAATATGGCACCCACCAGCCACATGTGGCTATTTAAATTTAAATGACTCAGAATTAAATGAACAACTGAGTTCTTCAGTGGCACTAACCCCATTATAAGCATCCAGTAGCTGCCTGCAGCTAGTGGCTTCTTATTGGACAATGCAGATACAGGACATTTTCCACCACTGCAGAGCCTCCTGTTGGATAGTACAGGTTTAGAATCTAGGAGTCCGGAGGAGTCCTGGAAAAGTAGAAGCAGCTTATCTTTGGGCTCCTTTAAACAAACCCTTTTCTTTTCCTTCTCTTCAGGGCTGCCTCTGGCTTCTTGATTTGGATTGAAAACATGTACGTTCCTGAAGGAAAGGCCTGGAGACTGTGCTGGCTGCACCTGCTCCTGTGGGATGGGGCTCTAGGAAGGAGGACAGACAGAGCAGGAGAGGCTTGAGTCTCAGTAAGAGGGTCTGGGACCACCCTTACTGCTGTCATCACCCTGGCCAGTCTCCTAGAGAAGCAAGGCTTCTAAAGAGGAGAGAAGATAAACAACCTAGCACATTCAACCAATCTGCCCAGACAGCATCCTGGTGTTTTCAGCAGCAGGAAAGGAATGTGCGAGGACCCAGGAATTGCCACACTCCCTTCCAAATAGTAAGGGGGATGGAGAGTGCAGGGGGAAGAACCATCTGTGACCTGGAAAGTAGCCCTGGGGCACTGGAGCTTTCACCTTGGCCTTCTCTAGGCAGAAATTGATCCACTGGCAGACCTTGGCCTCTGCTCCAAGCTAACAGTATTGTTTTCGACACAGCAAGGCCAATGGGTGTTAAGCTGAGGTTTTCACTAAGTGCAGAAAGGGACTCCTTAAACCTGTGGCTCTCTGGCTAGGGATACGTTATGCCAAGAAACAGACCCCTTTGGCCCTCCTATTAACACTGTGGCTACCTTAAGGGTCCTACCTCTAACTTGGGCCCCTCCCTTTCCTAGGGATAGCCAGAAGGACTCTCTTTTTCAAACTCTGCAATGGCTAAAACAAAATAAAGAAAAGGGAGTGGCAGAGAGAACATGGGGAGGGAAAGGGGGAAGGGAGCCAGGAAGACGAAGGAAAGAAGAAAGAAAGGGAAGCAGGCTGGATGATGAAGGGACAGGGGGAGGAGAGGGAGAGCAGGGAACTTTGGGAACAGAACGTCCCAAATTGCAGAGGGTAACATGGCTGGCCGACACGCCCCTCCCAGCCCAGCCTCACACCATCTGCTGGGCTGACTCGCCCCTGGTGGCAGCTGGTCAGTGGGACCCAGCATGGACTTACCGAGAAAGCTGGGGGAAGAGGCCGAGGGGGTAGCTTTCCTTCCTCCCTGTGCTCTTGGAATGTTCATCCCATCCCTTCCTGCCAGAACTTGAGGTTCTGAGATGCAGTGGTCTCCCAGACCAGACAGAACAGGGGCCGGGAGGACTGGTGCTCTGCTCAGCCAGCCCTCACACCATCAGAGCTGCTCAACACACTCTCTAGAAATCCCAACACAGCGTCAAGCAAGCAGGGAGGGGGATGCTGACAGAGAGGGGAGCAGTCGGACAGAGAATTGGAGAAATGTGCTGTGGGGTCCCAGCTCTTTCGTAGCCTATTGAGGATGAAAAGATGACCTTGGAACCCATGTATCTGAGCCTACCCAACCTCTTTCATGCCGCCTGTGTTTACTGGTGGTTTTTCCAAAACAAAACGCAGTCGCTTCTCTGGTCACCTTGCCAATGCCTCACAGCCTTCTTGGCTGCTGAGATCTTTCTGTGCCTCAGCAGACAGTCAGGTTATGTACAGGAAGGCTGCTTCTCCAACCTTTCTCAGCTCTCTCGACCTCTCGCAGAATTCAGTTTTGTTCTTTTACAAATTTAATTAAAAAAAAAAAAAAAAAAGGCTGAGACCCAGAAAAGGAAGATGACCAGGTGAGGAACACAAAGCTTGGGGTACCAGGCCAGGGAACCTGGGAGTCTGCATTCCAGTCTGGCACTTCCTCCTCCATGCCTCCCATTCCCCACTAAATGAGAAACAAATGAAGTTAACAGTCCCACACTCTACCGTGTAACGCAACAGGGTCTCAGACCTCCACCATCTCTTCTTAGATGCCTTTATCTTTTCTGTTACAGCTGGACATTTCCTCTTTATCTCTAAATGACCCAAAGCGGGTCTTGCCGGCTGCTTGGTGTAATCATTTGAGATCCCTGCCTCCCAGGGCTATTGAGAAGCTACGGATAGATTAGGGGGTGAAGGTTTCACGGACTATCCCGTCATGGCCCCTGGGAGGTACAGTCCTATGAGTACAAGGTCCAGGGACTGCCAGTGGCTCCCATTCATTCACCACCCCCAGCAGAGACCTGCTGATGAAAATCACTACGCAGGGCCCTCGAAGTTTCCTGGAAATGGCTGAGGCCACAGGCCTGCTTAATGGGAAGACACCATTTCCAATTTCCAAACAAATGAATTCACAGCTCAATTGCACTGCCTGGATGGTTCCAAATTCCTCCTGCTGAGCCTGATTTCCCTCCTACTTTATTTTTTTAATTATTAAAAATATAGGCCATCTGCCATCCACGTAGGAGGAAGGAGACGGCTGGAGGGCCAAAAACAGATCCTACGTGATGCCAGGCCCATAATGCTCATCTCTGCCAAGCAGCCTCAACTATCCAATCCCAGAAAATGCCTGGAAGAGTCAGACTATTTCTTCCCAAAGGGGCTTTCTGTGTTTTTCTCAGAAGGAAATGAGTTTAGAAGGGCAAATGCAAAGTGCACACAGCTAGGAGGAGGGGTCAGGATGTGGGATTAGGAGAGATGGGAGGCCTAGACAGGAATCCCACATCAGCTTTTTCTTATGAAAGTCTGGACTTTGCATGGCTTCTTGACCCTGCTCACTCAGAGAAGAAAACTCAGATCTCTGATTTCCACATTAAGGTGCTTAGTGCTGCCACACACACCCACTGGATCCTCAAACAAAACTGTTTGACTTTACAACAACAACCCAGGTTTGCAGTAACAAAGCTACAATGTAACTCAGAATTCTTTTTGCTTAATTTGCATATGAGTCCTAGGACACCATGGGAAATGAATAGGTATGCCCAGTCACCCTGACTATAATAGGTAGCTGAAGAAAAGGATTTTTTGTTAGCTCAGAAACCTACAAATTCACAAAAAGAACATTTGGTTTCCTACAGAAAGTCAGTTAACTCAGTAGTGCCGATGATAGACTTGAGAGCCCCCAGCTAATAGCAGTAAACCTCAGGGCTCTTGAGTGTTACAGGGACAATTACTAGTTTTAGCAGGTTATTCCGGCCCCATGGCATCAGGACCCAGGCTGCTTGAGTCTGAATACTGGTTCTTCATTTTGCAGCAGTATGAGCCCAGGCAAGTTGCTTAACCTCTTTGTGTCTGAGTTTCTTCTTTTATAAAATGGGCACAAATGTGGTACTTAAATATAGGGCTGCTGAAAATATTTAGCAAGTTAGTACATGTAACTTTAGAATAAGGCCTAGTATATAAGTAGCGGCTATCATATTTGCTGTTGAGCTTAGTTAGATACCACTTCTGGGGGTGGGTCCCTGTTCTTTGTTACATCCATGTGGTCCGTGGTCCCTGACATTCTGTCCCGTGTCTCTAAACCAGAACACCTGTCTCATGTTCCAGAATATGGCATCCTGTTTCTGGAGGCCCAGCTCAAGACAAGAACTGCAATGCCAGGAGCTAAATGGCCATAACATCTAGCAGTAGGTGGAACAGTTGAGGCTCATATCCTGCAGCCTCTCATAGAGAAGAAAAGACCCTCAAATTCACATCTGCCATGTGAAAAAGTCACTTGACTGGAAAGGATCTGTCATTGATTAAAACTGCCACAATTGAGCAGGAAGGTCTAGTTCTCCTCCCTTGAATCTGGACTGGCCTTAAAGACTTACTTGGCCAATAGAATGTGGCTAAGTGACACTCCAGGGCTTTGGAGACCAGGTCCTTAGAAGCCATGCAGCTTCTTCCTGCGTCACCTGAAACACTCTTAAAGCCATGAGCCACCATATAAGAAATCTGACTAGCCTGCTGCAGACACCACATGGCAAGGCCTGAGACTACATGGAGAGGAAGAGGGGCCCAGGTGAGCCCAGACATCCAGCCAGTCCCACCAAGGCACCAGACTTGTGAGTGGAGCTATCTTGGACCTGCCAAACCAACCCATCTGCCAGCTGTGTGCCAATGAGTGACTCTAGTTGCCACCATGAAGAGTGAAAGAACCATCCAGCTGAGCCCTACTCAAATTCCCAATCATGAAATCATAATATATAAGAAATATGATAAAATATAACAAAATACTTGTTGTATACCATTAAGTTTTGGGATAGTTGGTCATACAGCAATGGACAATAGTATCTGTACTAGATGTAATTAGAACTAAGAGCAGCACAATAGTATCTAATTACTAGATGTAATTAGAACTAAGAGCAGCAAAGTCAGATGAGACTAAAACATCTCATGAGTTAGTTCAGAGGACTTTTTTTTTTTAATCCGCTCTGAACCTTTTTCTTTGGGACTCATCTTCATTCTCTGATAACATTGCTCAGCATTATGACTTGTGGCAGAAATGGCTAGCCATTTAACAAACCTGTGTCCTTTCCTGCCAAGCTCACAGTTAGACTGCATTCCCAGACAGCATTACAATCTGTTCGTGTGACTGAGTTCTGGCCAATGAAAATGTTAGACCTAGTCCCTGAAAGAACCCCATGCATGATGGTCCAGTTTCTCTTCCCCTATTAGGGGGCTGGATACTGATGCTTTTGGTGACCTTGGAAGCCACTTGTTAAAGATGGCAGGACCTCCCTCACCCTGTGTTCTCAAGAAGGTTCTCCCAATATGACTGTGTAAATAACTAAAAGGTAAACTTCCATTGTATTAAGTTACTGAGATTGTCAGGGATTGTTGTTACAGCAGCTAGAACTACTTTGCTAGTCCCTTGTGGCTAGTGACTCTGCCCTTGGCAATCAGAAAATCCCCTCTCCCTGGCCACTGAGATTGTGCCTGTGATGGACATGAGACCCAGGCTGGACTGAGAGTCACTTCCTGAAATGTGCTATGTACTGTCTTTCTCTAGAACCCATGGGGGCATCTTGCTTCCACAAAGAAAGGGAGAGGGAGTTTCAATGACGCCAATGAACTCCTGGGTCCAGCTATACCTGAAGCTAGACCACTCCTTGGAATCCCCAGTAGCATGAGTCATCAGATCTCCTCTGGGCAAAAAGTTATTGCCAGTGTATTTATATTCTTCCCATAGAAAGTGATCTAACCAACACTAGAGGATTATTTTGGATTTAAGAAGAGTCCCTGGAGACCAGTACATCCTAAGTTCATCATCGATGGTGAATGAGGCACTCAGAGCACCCCATCACACAAGGTCCTGCTGGTAAGTCAGTGGGTGCTGGTATTTTACATTAAGGCCATTTTACTGTATTCCTTACACATCAGCTAGGCAGGTAGCTCTGATCTAGGAAATGAATCCAGGATTAGAGACAAGAATCAGCTCTGCCCCCGGGTAAAACAGAATATTTGCCCCAAAATGGTGTCCTTTTAAGAATTTTGAATAATTTTGGAAGTATCTCAATTCCAAAGCATGGTCATATGTAAAAACTTAGGGATGGTGTCTGGGAGGTGGAAGGAGGCAGATAGAAACACATGGTGGGGCAAAGAGGAGGCATCAAGGACTAGACAGAAGGTATAAATAATAGTTTAACATTCCACATTTAAGGGAAATGCCTGAGCATTGATCTGCCACACACTCATCCTTTGCATTTGCTTTTATTCACATCTTTTTATCACCTATACTTTGCATATATTCCCATAGTAGTGGTTTGAATTGTGTCCCCCCAAAATACTTGTTCAACTCCTAACCCCCAATACTTATAAACGTGATTTTATTTAGAAATAGGATTTTTGCAAATGGCCATCAATGATAGACTGGATAAAGAAAATATGGTACATACACGCTATGGAATACTATGCAGCCATAAAAAGGAACGAGATCATGTCCTTTGCAGGGACATGGATGGAGCTGGAAGCCATTATCCTCAGCAAACTAGCACAGGAACAGAAAACCAAACACCACGTGTTCTCACTTACAAGTGGGACCTGAACAATGAGAACACAAGGACACAGGGAGGGGAACAACACACACTGGGGCCTGTCAGGGGTTGTGGGGGGAGGGAAAGCATGAGGATAAATAGCTGATGCATGCAGGGCTTAATACCTAGGTGATGGGTTGATAGGTGCAGCAAACCAACATGGCACATGTTTACCTACGTAACAAACCTGCATGTCCTCCACACGTATCCCAGAACTTAAAAGTTAAAATAAATAAATAAATAAATAAAAGAAATAGGGTTTTTTGCAGATGTAATCTAGTTAAAATAAAGTCATTCTGGATTAGGGTAGGCCCTAAATCCAATGACTGGTTAAAAAAAAGAGAAGAAAATTGGAATACAGAGACAGAGAGGAGACACAAGGAAGTAGTCCATGTGACGACAAAGGCAGAGATTGGAGTGATGCAGCTTCAAACCAAGGGATGTCAAAGATGCTCAAAAAGCCATTGAAAGCCAGGAAAAAGCAAGTAAGGACTCTTCCCTAGAGCCCTCACAGGTAGTGTGGTCCTACCAACACTTTGGATTTCAGATTTTTGGCCTCCAGAACTGTGAGAGAATATATTCATGTTGTTTGTTGTCTTAAACAACTAATTTTGTGATAACTTGTTATGGCAGCCCAGGAAACTAATATATCCATGTTTCTCACATATGCATGATATGGTTTGGCTCTGTGTCCCCACCCAAATCTCACCTTGAATTGTAATAATCCCCATGTGTCAAGGGTGGGACCAGGTAGAAGTTTTTGAATCATGGGGGCAGTTTCCCCCATGCTGTTCTCTTGATAATGAGTGGGTCTCACGAGATCTGACAGTTTTAGAAGCTTCTGGCATTTCCCCTGCTGGCTCCCATTTTGTCTCCTGCTGCCCTGTGAAGTGGTGTCTTCCACCATATAAGTTTCCTGAGGCCTCCCTGGCCATGCAGAACTGTGAATCAATTAAACCTCTTTCCTTTATAAATTACCCAGTCTCGGCAGTTCTTTATAGCGGCACGAGAACAGACTAATACAATGCATAAATGCAAACAGAAAAGAGGCACATGAAGCAGTCAGTTCATTCATGAGCTAAAAGAAAATAAGTCCACCCAACTGGCTAAATGCAGCATATTCCAAAACAAGTGCTTGGAAGAAAGGATACGTTCTTATTTCTTGTTCTGTGTCTCTCTGCCTGTGCCCACATGCAGACAGATTCAGAATTACTCTCTAAGGATGATATTAAGTTTAGGCTGTGCCAACCTACTATAGCCCTGTGCCCAGCAGTGGAATGAGCCAAGCCTGGGAAGACCACTCCCCCAAATTTTACCACTAAGGAGAGTGGAGTGGTTAAGGGTACAAGTGTGAGGACCAGACTTCTCTACTGTGTGACCTTGAGCAAGTTCTGTAAGTTCTCTGAGCCTCACTTTCCTTGCCTGTGAAATGGGCATAATTGCAAGGGCTACCTCCTGAGGTTATGGCAAAGAGTAAATGATCCAATACCTATAAGGCACACAACACAGGACTTGCATACAGAAAGGCCTCAAGGGTTGGCTGTGATTAGCAATTTCAATGAAGACAGACCCTGGCAGATCAGCACAATGGAAAATCTTAGGCAAAATAGCCTTGTCTGGGCCCTCATTTCCCATCTCTCTTTTTCAGCTTCCTTTTCTTTCTCTGTCCTGTTTCTCTCTTATACATTCACATTTTCATGGGTTCTCCCTGCCCCCTCTCAGTCTCTAATTGCACATCTATCTCTTCCTCTTGTCCTTGTCCCCAAATGTTCTACCTGCTTGTCTGTCGGCCTCTCCCACCCTCACACATGGCTTCATGAGGACCTCCTCTGCATCACATCATCTCCCATGACCACCTGCTCCATCGGTACATGACATTATTTATTAGGGATCTGGCTGACTTCATTTAAGGGACAAAACTCCCAGCCCCTCACCCTCCTCCTGCTTCCTCATTTTGAGGTGGAGACATCTGGAAACCGGTTTAATAAGGTGGCTGACAGGCAGCTGGTTCCTGAACTTCTCAGGGAGGCTCCAGGGAGCCATTCCGCAGAGGAAGCCGGAAGCCAATCCAGTGATGGACTGCCGGTCTCAGGGAGAATCAGGTCAGATGCTCCAGGCAGAGAGAGGGCTACCTCCCACCTGCACTCACAGGAGGGGTCCACATCTGTAAAGAGGAAGGGACAAAGGGGTGGAGGCAGTTACAGAGGAAAATGTTCTGTCCCTCCTGCAGTGCCCCCCACTAGCTGTGTAACCTTGGGCAAGACACTAGACCTAGAGGAGTCTCCTCCATTCACACATGGATTTTACCAGATGAGTCTCAGATCCCTTCCTGCCTTAACATTCTAGAATCCTGGGGTGCGGCAAAGCCACCTGGTCAGAAATAAGACAGGAAGAGCGAGCAGTAAAAGGCCGGCCACAGTTTATTGAACTTGACAGAGACACTAGGCTGGGTGTGCTGTGGGACATCAAGATAAATAAAGGAATTTTGCAGGTTAAAAGAAGAGATGAAACATGGATCCCAATAATTCTCAGTGTTCCACATCAGAGCGCCCAAGAGTAGGAGCTTTTCCCAATGCTTTAGTCAGTTCATAACCAGATGGGAGAGACAAAACTTTCATGCACAGAGAAAACAGAGACTAGCAAGGGCTGAGTGTAATTCATGTGACCAAGTACTGAGTGGTATTGGTCAGGCATAGCCCCTATAGAAATTGAGGACACGCAGTTACCCAGAGAGCAGAGAGGAGTCAGGGAAAGCTTTCTGAAGGAGGTAGAACTTCAGCTGAACCTTGAAATATTTGTACTCATGGAAAGGAGAGAATAGGGGTTACCTGGGCCCAGTGAACAATGGAAATGCAAGGCCCCGTGTTCAAAAATGCCAGGACAGTGACAGCAGAGCATTAAACCAAATGCAAGCCCTTTTGAGCATCAGAGAGGTCACACTGCCATGAACCAGGCCCTAACACTGGGGTACCTGTCGGGGTGCTGGAAGCATGCTGCTTTTTCATCTGGATGATGGTTTCATGAGCACATGCCTATGTAAATATCCTCCAAGCTGTACGGTTAAGATTAGTGCACTTTATGCACTTCTACTGTATGTATGCTTTGCCTCAAGGAAAAAGGCTAACACATACAAAAATTAAAAGCAGGACAAGAAACCAAAGGCTGCTCTCACACACGGCCTGGTTAGCCTGTCCCCCTTCCTCCAACTCTGCACACTGCCCAGAGTCTTTAGCGGCATTTATCACTCATAAGCTCCTTTGAAAGGAGCTGCGGTTTGGGGATTGCCACTGTCACATCATACTGCTACCCTTGGTACTCACACTGTTTTCTCCCCACCCCAACCACCATGCTCCCGGCTGAGAGTTTGTTTAAGCTGCTGCTTCTGCAGGGATTTTGCCTTCTCCTGCTGTCTGGGAGGCAGCCACTATCCTCTGTCTCAAGTTAACTAGGGGGGCATGCTGGTATGAATAGTGTCCCCACCAAAATTCATGTCCATTCAGAACATCAGAATGTGACCGTATTTGGAAACAGGGTCTTTGTAGATGTCATTAATGAAATGAGGTCACACTACAGTAGGGAGGGCCTGAAATCCAAACTGATGTTTATTCACTTGAGACGGTGTGGCTCTACTGAAGTCTTCCCATCCTCCCCTAACCAGGTCTGTATTAGGTCCTCTTAAAATCAACAGAGATGGAGCAATGACCTAAATATAAAAGCTGAAACAAAAGCTGTCAGAAGAAAACATAAGGGTAAATCTTCATGACCTTGAATTTGACAGGGGATTCTTAGATTTAACACCAAAAGCACAAGCAATGAAAGAAAAAAATATAAATTGGACTTCAGAAAAATAAAAATTTTGGTGCAACAAAAGATGTTACCCACACAACGGGGGAGGTTTCGTTGTTTAGCAGGTGACAGCCCAATGGCCACAGCCAGGGAGGATTTAGGAGGACATTTTATTACTTGCAACAAGTAAGGAGCACATAGCCGGTAGCTCTCGAAGCAGTGTCCCCCTTAGCTGGGATCTGAGTCAGGTTTTATAAGGATAGGGTAAGGTGGCAGGATCTGATTGGATCTTGGAATGAAGTGATGCCGGGAAGCAGGATCTGACTAGATCCTGCTATGTATGGTTTCCATTTCTTAATTCTATTCCCATTCCTTGGTCCAAGCACTTAGATTCCCCTTGCGGTTGCACACTTGGTTCATCTAGGCATGCTCAGGTTACATGACCTTCAACCTGGGGGGTCCATGGCAACTGAGAAACAATTCACAACTTTGCTACGTAAAAGTTAAACCACATTCATCTGATGCAGTTACAAGGGCGTTAGCAAGAAAGTAAAAAGACTACCTATAGAATGGGAAAAAATATTTGCAAATTATATATCTGATAAGGCTCTAACATCCAGAATATTCAAAGAATTCTTCCAACAGAGCAATAAAAAGATACACAACCCAATTAAAGTACTTAAATGGATATTTCTCCAAAAAAGATATATAAATGAGCAAAAAGCTAATGAAGAGATGTTTTGAGATTTTTTTGTTTGTTTGTTTGTTTGTCTGTTTTTAGAGCCAAAGTCTTGCTGTGTCACCAGACTGGAGTGCAGTGGCACAATCATGGCTCAATACAGCCTCAAACTCAAGGGCTCAAGCAATCCTATGCCTTGGCCTCCCAACGATTACAGGCATGAGCCACTCTGCCCAGCCAATGAAGAGAGGTTTAACATAACTGGTCATTAATGGGATGGAAATCAAAACTGCAATGAGATAACACTTCAAATCCACGGGGTATCTATTAACATATTAAAAGACAAAAACAACATCAAAAAACAAAAAATAACAAGTGTTGGTAATGATGTGGAGAAATATGAGCTAGGCAGGTGAACCCCAAAACTGGGGCTTAGCCTGAGAAGTTTCTTGACTTCACTTAGGAAAGAATTCAAGAGTGAGACGGTGGCAGAAGAAAACAGCTTTATTGAGGAGGCAGTGTGACAACTCCATGACTGCTCCTGCAGAGCAAGCTACCCCACGGGCAATGTGCTGAAAGTAGCAGCTCAGGGGCAGTTCTGCAGTCATATTTAATTACCCACTTCTAATTATATGCAAACTAAGGGGCAGGTTATTCAGATATTTTTAGAAAAGGAGTGGTAACCTCCAGGCCATTGCCATGGAAAGGGGCAGTAATTTCCAAGTGTTGCCATGGAAATGCTGAACTGTCGTGGTGCTGGTGCCTCTTCCCTGTTTCAGTCAGTCTTCAGTCCAGTCCAGAGTCAAATCCTACCTCCTACCTCATTGGGAATGTAAAATGGTGCAGCCACTATGGAAAACAGTTCGGCAGTTCCTCAAAAAGTTAAACATTGAGTACTTTGTGACCCAGCAATTCCACTCCTAGTTATGTACTCAAAAGAATTGAAAATAGATACTCAAACAAGTATTTGTTCATGCATGTTTATATCAGCCCTATTCGCAACAGCCAAAAGGTGGAAACAACCCAAATATTCATCAACAGATAAATGGATAAATGAAATGTAGTATATCCACACAATGGAACATTATTCAGTCACAAAAAAGAACAAAGTATTGATTCATTCTACAACTTAGATGAACCTTTAAAACAAGTTAAATGAAAGAAGCCAGACACAAAAGGTCACATATTATATGATTCTTTTTATATAAAATATTCAGAGAAGCCAAATCACTAGAGACGAAGCAGATTACATTGCCAGTAGGGGGAAGAAGGGACTAGGGAGGGATTACTTAATGGATACGGAATATTCTCCTGGGGTTATTAAAAAAAAAAAGATTGAAACTCAAGAGAAGTGGTGCTTGTACAACATTGTGAATGCGCTAAGTGGCACTGAATTGTATACTTTTTGTTTTAATTTTTCTGTAGAGAGAGTGTCTCACTATTTGCCCAGGCTAGTCTCTAACTCCTGACCTCAGGTTACCCTCCTGCCTCAGCCTCCCAAAATGCTCAGATCACAGGCATGAACCAATGCACCTAGCCTGAATTGTATTCTTTTAAATGTTTGATTTTATATGATGTGAGTTTCACCTCAATAAAAATAATGAGTAAATAAATAAATAAATGAATACATAAATACATGATTTTTGTAAAAAAGGTAATAGAGAAAGAATAGTGAATTGATTCGGACTCCTAGGAAACACTGATATTGCTATCTCGTGGAACGCTGTAGCATGTCATCACAGGTGTACATGTTAGCAGCATGGCTCTGGTGCCGATGACCTGGGTTGGTAACCTAACTCTGCCTCTTGCTAGCTGAATAATCTTGGGCAACTGACTTAGCTCCTGGGCCTCAGTTGTCTCATCTGCAAATGGAAATACTATTATTATAAGATGACTGTGAGAACTGAATCAACTAATACATGCGAGCAGGCCTGGTTTGTGTTAAGTGCCCAGTAGACCTGAGCCATTCTCATTCCTAAAAGTTTAGGAATCTCACTCTAACTTTGTCACCTTCTGCCACACCTAACTCCTGAGTGCCCTGCCATGTTTATGTTTAAGCTCAGGGTATATTTATGAGGTAGGTAAGTGGGGTCACATCCAACCTGGGGGTATTTAAACCCCATAGAAGGATTGCTTACCAAGCAAGAGCGTTTTAAGACAACCACTAGTTCTAGGTACAGAGTTGGCAGTGAAAAGAATATAGGACAAAGGAATAGCAAGGGGAGAAAAAGCAGAACAAGCTCTCGGGAATATCTAAGTGAGCCTCCCACCCTGTTTGGTAACGTTAAATTAAAGGTTTTCTCCCTTCCACCTCCCTCACCCTCACAGCTGTGGCCACAGATGTTACAAGAAACATTAGAACTAACCAACATTAGGAATTTGCATATGGTTTCTATACAGCTATTTAGTTAATACTTTTATTTAAACGGACTTCCTTTTTTCCTCCAATAAAGTTATTTATAGGAAATTTTATGTTATTACTCTAAGTAACAACCTGCCAGCCAAATTCAGACATCCACCTGTTTTTTCAGAGAAAGTTTTATTGTAACACAGCCACGCCCATTCGTTTTGTATTGTCAATGGCTGCCTTTGTGCTACAACCACAGAGTTAAGCAGTTGCAACCAAGCCCTTGAGACTTGCAAAGCCAAAAGTATTTACTAAGTGGCTCTCTGAAGAAGAAAGTTTGTCCCTTCTCTAAGTGAAAACCAGTGCCACTTACCTTAACTAGAAAGAAAAAGCGAAAATATTCAGTAAACAAAATATTTTAAAAATTATTTAAAATATTGAATTCTTAGATTCTCTTACTTCCACTCAAAAAATATTTGTCCATCCTATTCATTCTGTCATTCTCTATCTGGTACTTACTTAAGACATGCTGCAAGGTCCTGGGATGAGGAGATGAACAAAGTAGAAAGACCCCTGCTTTCACAGGATTCATGTTCCAGTGGGAAGAGACAGAGACTGAAAACCTAAGTATCCAAGGTTACCTTTAATTTTTATTGCAACAGAAAATCACCAACAACACAGCACATAGTGGGGTGACTGTGTGTTGAGGAGAGGATCATTTTGATTGGCGGTCTATGAAGACTTGCCTAAGAAGGTGAACTGGGCACAAACTCTAGCATTCCTAAAAGAGAACATGAAGTGCAAAGGCCCTGAGGCCTGAGGCTAGTATGGGCTTGATAGATTTCTTTTTCTAGGCAACTGGATACCATAGCAGCCATCTCTGATGTCGTCCCCCACACACTCTGGTGGCTATGGATTTGACTTGGTCAGAATGGGTTTTCGGAGGGCCGCACATCGGCTTTACTGGTTTTGGGGAAGGACTGGACCTATAGCAAGATTCTGAACCACCCCTGGGGAGAACTGTGAAGTAAGCGTTCTCTGAAAGCAGATGCTGAGATGGACTTTGGATGCATGATGTTTATTAGGGATCACTACTTGTAGGAGGGGATAGAATGAGGATTCGGGGAGGGAGAGATTAAATGCGATGCAGCCTGACAAGGTCTTGGCCAAGCTGGTGGGAAGCTCTGAAGTGAATATTGCTGGTCATCCCACCCTGGGTCAAGCAGAAATGGCCAGGCCTGTGTACTCCATCTTGCCCAGTCACTGGAGGTGGGCTGCCCTGAGAAGGGTGTGACCTTGAGCAAGTTTGTTTTCTGAAGCTGAGGTTCCAAGGGACCTGACAGCTGGAAACCATCTGCTGACCACACCCCCATAGCTGGGCAAGAAGTCCTGCCCTGAACGGGGGTCTGGGCAGCACGCCTGCCGGTCGTCCACATAGAGGAAAGGCCCTGCTGTTGTGCCCTGAACACCTCTCCCATTCTTCCCCAGAACCTCATAGCCAGCTGCCCAGAAGGGTTTGAAAATGACCTGAAAAGTGAACCCTCTCTAAGGCGTCAGCTGGAACAACTTACTGCGCAAGTTTTTTCTCTCAGGACTCAAAGACGGGAAGCCATCAGGACCTAATAAATACGCAAATTTATTCATTCACGCATCTAATAAGAAATGGTGAGTCGTATTACTATGCATCGCAGTGAAAAACTCAGGGGGGATCTGACACTCTGCTAGATTGGGGGTTATGACTATTTTACAGCGCTCCTTGCAGAGCATGAAATAGACGCCCACTTCCTGAAGTGACTTATGGTTCAGCCTATTGTACCACCCAGGACTGTTCAGTCCCCAGCACAGTGAGCCACCAGAGAAAGGGGGAGAGAGCTGTGATTCAGTTACTCACCGAAAACCACTGGACCAGGTCAGCTCAGAAGACACCCTGAAAATTCCCCTGAGGACCCCAGGAATGCCTGGAAGTGAGACAGCGAGTAAGTGTGGCCAGGACTCCTCTTCAGAACGGGCTCCTCTGGGGGATGGCCCAGCAGTGGAAACCTCTGTTCACAGAAAACCATTTGGGAACCCTCAATTTAAGCCAGTCATCTTGTTGAAAATACATGATGTTTTGTGTAACCAGTGCCTGTTAGACTCCAGTCTCTGATATGTCCCCCAGGCAAGCAGAGGCCCATGGAAGGGAGGTACCATGTGGAAGGACACACAGCCAGCTCCTGCAGGCCAGGAGGACAGCCCCAGTCCTGGCCCCTTCGGTCCTGTTTTATCGCTGTCCACTTGGTGTCACACCCTTCCCATGGCTGGTCCTCCCAGCTGCTTGGCTCCCCCATGGACTCGGTGCTGGGTGCCAGCTCCCCTCCACCCTGAGCCCAGCTGGCCTTCTGCACACTGGCAATGCCATGTCTCCCACAATCTGCAGCAGGCTGTTGCCATCTTAGCATCACCTAGCAATGCCTTCATCCACATGCTTCCCTGTACACATCAAAACAGGGGGAGCTTCTCCACACCCACCACTGCCCTGGAAAGCCCTGAGGGGGACAAGCATGGCAGCACACAGCATCCAGAGAGAGCAGCTGTGCAAGCGCAGTGTCTGCTAGAAAGGGAGATGCTGCCCAGAGGGATGAGTTTACATAGGAAGTGAGAGTGGCCCTCAACGTCCCTAGAACCTCTCTACTGGCCTCGAGGAGAGGTGCTGATGGCTCTCACTGCCTCTGTGCCCAGAGGGGCCTCCAAGCCATGTTGGGTGCTCCAAGTTGGGACATGGTCTCCTGCTCCCACCCACTTTGAGAACTCTGGCTTTATCCTCCAGAAAGCTTCAGAAGCTGCTGTTTGAGGAGCCTGAGCCCCAAACTGAGTCCTTTGGAAAATACAAAGTGAATTTACAAAGGTAAACACAGGGAGCTAAGCACCCCCTTAGTAGGATTCAGCAAGAGGAAGATCTAGAGTTTGGTGAAAGAGGGTCAAGAGTCAAACAATCTAGGTGAGTGTCTTTTCACCAGGCCTTCCTCCTCAGAACCCCTTGGCCGTGTGTTTAAGGTCTAGGTTCATCAGGCCCACTGAAGGGGAGCACATTAGGAGGTCTGGAGAGGCCGCCCCACTGAAGGGGAGCACATAAGGAGGTCTAGAGAGGCCACCCCACTGAAGGGGAGCACATTAGGAGGTCTGAAGAGGAGTACATTAGGAGGTCTGAAGGGGAGCACATTAGGAGGTCTGAAGGGGAGCACATTAGGAGGTCTGGAGAGACCACACTTGACTCCACTTCTTGGGTTGCTCTGAGCATCGTGAGCCATGAAAACCACTGACCAGATAGAGCCTGGTCTTGTGTCCACCATAGGACTGGCAAGCTTCTGGGGACCTTGGTTTTCTATATAAATGGATTGCAGAATTTCTTTTACTTTTGGAGATTTTTTTTTTTTTTTTTTTTTTTTTTTTGAGACGGAGTCTTGCTCTGTCACCCAGGCTGGAGTGCAGTGGCGTGATGTGGGCTCACTGCAAGATCCGCCTCTCGGGTTCACGCCATTCTCCTGCCTCAGCCTCCCCAGTAGCTGGGACTACAGGTGCCTGCCACCACGCCTGGCTAATTTTTTTTTTTTTTTTGTATTTTTAGTAGAGATAGGGTTTCACCATGTTAGCCAGGATGGTCTCAATCTCCTGACCTCGTGATCCGCCAGCCTCAGCCTCCCAAAGTGCTGGGATTACAGGTGTGAGCCACTGCGCCCGGCCTACTTTTGGAGATTTTACAGTTTACAACGCACTTCATGTATATGGTCTTGTTTGGTTCTCACAGCACCCTAGGATGTGGAAAGGGACTGTCACTGTCAGGAAAGGCAGGCCAAGCCAAGGAAAGGGGGTGGGGCAGCAAGTGGGGTAGAAGAGGCAGTCAGAGGATGTGGGCATTTGACTGGCTGAAGGGGACTCCTAAGAGCATGTACCCCCCACCCAACCCCACAACCAAATCATTCCAGCAAGAGGAAGAAAGAGTGAGAAGATCTTAAGAGGGGTGGAACTGCACCGAGCAAGAGGGAAGGGGAAAGTCACATTAAGGCACTGGAAGCCAATAGGACTGAGTGGGGTGCATGCAAGGAGAGGAGGGTGCTTGGAGGCTGGTGGAGGGGGAAAGAGCTGGGAGAGAAGACGCCCGGTATTGGAGGGTGTCAGGACCAGGCCTGGTGGCCTTGGGAAAGCCCTAAGAAGAGCTGTTCTCGGCAGAGGCCTGGAAGGGAGTGGCTGCCCCAGGATGGGTGTGAAGATGTCACAGTTCCTGAAGGAGACATCTGTCAGTCTGCATCTGTTTCCAGCCAAGCAGAGCAGGAAAGGCTTTGGGATGGCTGTGAGCCCAGGATCTGAGATGGGAAGTGATGACGGCATGAATCACCGGGGAAGGAGAGAGAGGAGAAGATGACCAAGGCATGATCCTTTCTTCTTCCACTCCACCCCTGCTCATCTCCATTTCTGTACCTCTCTCTACTCTGTCCCAGTGGCTCAGAGCCAAGGGTGGCTCCTCCCCTTACCTGGCAGGATCCTCCTGAAGGCTGACTGCCAGTCCACCCCCCAACTCAATCATCTTCGAGGACAGTGGCAAAACTGCCTTTGACCTTATTTTTTTTTTTTTAAGGCTAAGGAACATGATGTGAAATTAAGAAATAAAGAATGGATTAACATGAATGCCTTAAAGCACGATTTCAATATTGCATGGGAGAAAAACTTTGTATGTAGAAAACAAGGAGGCCCCTCAGAGGCCATCAAATCTGGACAGGATCCTCTTAAAAGCTATAATCTTTCAGTCTCCCAGCTTCCACCTGGCTGTCCCATCTTCCCCCTCGTCTGTCTTCTCTGGGCATGAAGAATACCTAATTCCTGGCCTTAGCATGATAACGCTCGCCCCGTCATAGGAAGGAGGGTCACAGTTTCATTGCACTCGTCCATCTTGCTCTCTTCCCCTCTCCCAGGACTTTCAGAGCAACAGCCTGGCTCTGAAGCTGACCAGTGATTCCAGGAAGTGTGGAAAGAAAAATAAAAAGACCCCAAACCAAGGTTTTAAATGACTATGCCAGGCCAGAAATGCCAAAAGCCAGGACAGGTAGGAGAGCTCAGCCCCCTGTGCAGTTTGCAGTGGGCCCTGGGGGCCTGTGGGCATTGCCACTCTCAGGCCAGACACTCTGAGTCACAGCTTGGCAAGCAATGCAAACACACATTTATACCTTCAACTCTCTAGTCCCCACAAACAAGCGCATTTGGGGGTACCTAATTTATTTTGCTCCCTTCTTTCCTTCTGCATCCAAGACTTGATTGAGAAGTGAATCAGTCTCAAAAAGCAGAAAGAAGGGGAGTGGGAGCACATCCAGACCCTTGCAGGAGATGATGTCTGTGCCAGCCCCTCTTCCCTTCTTCCTCCCTGAAGGTCACCCACAGCCACTCCAACAGCTTCCTACCTCAGCCACCATCATCTCTCTGCCCTGGGGCTTTCTCTGGCCTCAGGAATATGATCTACTTACACATGGAGCGGGTTGAGAGCACAGAGGTGAGCGTCTCAGAAGCAACCCATGAGGAATGGGAGTTGGTAAATAAACACCCAGTTTCCTCCTAGAGGGAGTGCCTCTCCAAATATCCCCATCCAGACTGAGCCCAGGTGCCCACACAAACAACCCACTCATTAACACATCTGCTTCCCACATCCCACTTTCCCTATTTTTTTAAGATGGAATATCGCTCTGTCACGCAGGCTGGAGTGCAGTGGTGCGATCTCAGCTCACTGCAACCTCCACTTCCTAGGTTCAGGCAATTCTCCCATCCCAGCCTCCTGAGTAGCTGAGAGTACAGGCGCACGCCACCATGCCCAGCTAATTTTTATACTTTTAGTAGAGACAGGGTTTCACCATATTGGCCAGGCTGGTCTCGAACTCCTGACCTCAGGTGATCTACCCATCTCGGCCTCCCAGAGTGCTGGGATTGCAGGCATGAGCCACCACATCAGGCCCAACATTCCCTATTTTCTACCATGCTTCCTGGAATCACCTCATGAATAAATCATTGCACCACAATTCTCTCTTCAAGGTATACTCTGAGGGAACCCAAAATGAATTTAGGATGGGGCTTAAAGAATCTAATATGGGGATCATCCACACTCCTGCATGGAGTGTGTCCCTATGCGCCACTATTGGGTCTGCCTGGGTGACAGTCAACCATCTGAGAACCTCAGGCAAGAAGAAAGAAGGAACTGGGCCCCTCACTCCACAGACACTGCCCAGCTCTGAAACTGTTCACTGGAAGCTGGGTCGGGCTGCAGAACTCCCAGGTCCACAGGCAAGTCCTTTCATCTACTTTAAGCCACTTTAACCTGGCATGGAAGGCAGTGGGATTTTGTGTGAGGCAAGTGAGACATACTCTGAAAAGTTGAGGTGACCCCAAGGCATGATTTCTGCTCAGAAGTGCCCGTCCTGGTGAGTTCCGAATTGTCTGTCCCAGCCCCTGCAAAGATGCAGGCGCAATCTCCAGGAAACCCTGGCAACCCGGAAAACACAAATCAGTGAGTACGGATCAAGAGAATTTCATATTGCTTGGAAAGAAAGAAAACATCTTAAACTACTTTCCGAAGAGCCCCAGACCTGAAGCCAGCATGTAGCCGCCAGCACGGGTCCCTCCCGCACACAGCACGTGGCCCATCTCCTGAGCACTTGGGCCGACAACTCCCGGGCCTCTCTTCCCTGTGTCATTCATTTCTCTCAGCAGTTGACCTTTCATCTCTCAGCCCACCCCTGCCACTTGGCCACTAAGCCACAGGAGAGGAGGAATTCCAGGGAGAAGCTGAGAGCAGTCTGGGTGGCCAGAAAGGGAGCAGCCCCATCAGTGAGCCCAGGAGGGGAGGCAAGATCCTAACTCCTGAGCCCAGAGCCAAGGAGGTGGGCAGGGCTGGCGGTAGGGGTGACTCCCCTTGATTCCAAAACCCTTGTGTATTTTCAGGGAAATTGTATCCATATGTTTCTGATTCATTAACACTTAACTCATCAACATGTTATGTGATGAGAGTTATTTGAAGTCCAACACGCCTGTTTAATGAGACTAAAGAGCTTTATTACTCTTATTTTTTGAGAAAGGATGGGATTTTTATTTTCCTCTTTTCTCTCCAGAAAAGCAAGCAGTCACATCCTGTACAGTGATTCAGGCCTACGAAACTGACATCTTTGGAAAGACTACAAGACAAAAAGGCAAAAGTCCATGTATTGGACTTAGATCTGCCTTGACCGAGGTGATCTTCTCTTGACCACTTATCTTCTTGAGCTTCTGCACACATCCAAACTCCTCAAGTGACATAGAAAGATGCTTACGGCCAAAGGATTCGCATGGCATCGAAGTTCCTGAAGTCCCTAACTTATCTGTTTATCGTTGTCACCTCCTCATCATCTATGCCTTGCCCAGACTTTAGTTACATAAATTCTGTTCTTAATGAAAACCTTCAAGATGAAGTCTGAGGAAGTATGAGTGTGGCAGGGGCCAAAAGCAATTCTTTAATGGCTATGAAGATTTAGTCTCCAGAATCAGCTGAACCTCAGACAGAATAAGGTTGCTTGGACAAAAACAGGGAACCGTTGGATGAAAAGAGAAGCAGGAAGAACTGAGCATCCAGGACATGAGGTACCAGATTATTAACTAAGGAAACTGTAGAATCTTCCTTTCTGTACATCCCAAAGTAAAGGGTGATCAGACTCACCTTCTCATTGCATCTTTGACCTACTAAGTTGCTAATTAGCTACCCTTCCCAGAGGCAGAAGAATGGGTAAGATGACCTTCGGGGACCCTTGCTCCCCCAGGGCTTTTACCATTCTCTCCATCAACCCAGCTTAACTCAGCAGAGCCCACTAAGAACAGAGGGCCATTATGTCGTTCTTCTCTTAAGACCACGGACTCCTAGGGATGAAAAGGTCAGATGCCTCCAGTGCCCTCTGGGGCAGCCCATAGTTGCTGGTGCTTTGTCATGCTGGGTGAGGACAAAGCCAGAAAAGTAACCATGGGCTCTCCCAGCTGGTGAATCTAGCCTCCAGTCATCCTCTCTCATTCAGCCAGGGCACAGACTTGGCTGCATGGATTATTCTGGCTCCTGAGCACAGAGTTGAGGTACCATGCATGAAGATGGCAGTTTAGATGCTGGAATGATTTCACACACTGAGAATGGGGGTGGGAAAGAGAAACCATCTGTGTGCAAGTGAGTGTTGATGTCCATAGAATCCCAGATGCAGAGAATGTTGCTTACTGAATACCTCAGTCCAGTTATTCCCGCTGCAGAGATGACATCTAGTCCTACATTGCTTTTTCCTCCGATACCAAGGTTACAACTTATGGATGGAATAATTCCTGTGTCAATCAACATACCTTTATTAAATACCTGGGACAGAGGGGGAGAGAGAGAGAGAGAGAGAGGAGGCACCAAAGACAGAAGCCTCAGTCTTTTTACAACCTAACCTTAGAGGTGATATTCTATTGCTTCTGCTGTATTTTCTCCACTAGAAGCAAGTCTAGTGTAAATAAGACTGACTTACTCTAAGTCCAGCTCATGCTCAACATGAAGGGGTTCCACAAGGGTGTGACTACTTGGAGGCAGGGATCACTGGGGGCCATCTCGGAGGCTGCCTTCCACATACAACCAGGGTGGAAGTCAGAAGATGTGCATTCAACCTGGCTCAGTCTTTGCCACTTTCTGGGCATAAGCCTCATGCCTCTGGGATTTCCATTCTATCAGCAAAGCAAATGAGTTAAGATTTTTTTTCTGTTGGTAAGAGCCATGACATAGTGCCCTTGGAGAGTAGGTGGCAGACCCCTCAGGTGGCTAAATGCCTTGAAAAGTCAACCATCCCTGCCTTTTTTACAGAAAACCTTCTTCCTGGGCCATACACATGAGCCTCTTATTGTCATAGCCCTCCCGGGGAGGACACCTCTTTCCTATTGGGAATGCTTTCTTGGCGTCTAAGCTTCCATTTGTTCCACCGAAGCTTTGCCCCCCCACCTTTTTTTTTTTTTTTTTTTTTGAGATGGAGTCTTGCTCCATCACACAGGCTGGAGTTCAGTGGCACGATCTCAGCTCACTGCAACCTCCGCCTCCTAGGTACAAGCGATTCTTCTGCCTGAGCCTCCTGAGTAGCTGGAACTGCAGGTGTGTGCCACCATACCCGGCTAATTTTGTATTTTTAGTAGAGACGGGGTTTCACCATGTTGGCCAGGATTGTCTCGAACTCCTGACCTCATGATCCGCCCACCTCCGCCTCCCAAAGTGCTGGGATTACAGGCGTGAGCCACCGCACCTGGCCACCTTGCCCCTTCTTATCCGTGCCTGTTCTCATTGGTGCCAGAGACACTTTTGCAGGTTTATCTCTCTAATAATCTTTACATAATTTAAACATGGAGCACCTGGCCCCCTGGGTGTCTGGATGACAGATGACTTCCCACCAATAAGCCAGATCACCAGTGTAGGCACTAATTCAGACAGGAGCAGATTGTGTTCAGCTGCCCTTTTCCACATGGCTTATTCTGGTATTGACTTGTTCTATGGCCCTTTCTTGACCAGGCACCATCAAGTCAGAAAAACACTGAAGAGACAGAGAAAACTACATGAATTAAGGAAAGAAAGGAAGAAGAAGAGGTTATCTGAAATTGAACTTACCAAGACTTAGCACTTGACTGGGAATCTCATTGTCTCTTCCCACAAGATATTTGTGAAGGTCATTATCTTTGTGGTCAGGAGGAAGAGACTTGAGCTTTGTGTCCACAGCCAGTTTGTCAAGATCAGGCCCATATCTGTTTCACGTTAAGCTGTGAACGATTCTTAAACTTTGTTTCACAGTACCTTAGAGTAGTTTTGAGTAAAGCAAATCCTTTCTTTAACCTAGGATTAAATCCTATTAGACTTCAATGAACAAGAGCCACCAGAATTGACTTTCTTTATCCTAGCCCATGGACAGTTACCTTCCCAATGTCTTGTGTGTACCACTGGTTCTCTTCAGGGAGCCAGACTATATTAAAACTGTGGATATCATCAGGAAAATATCACAGGTGAACCTCTAGGTCCCAAAGAGTGCTGGGACTCAGGACCCCATCCAGAGAGTGGATGAATTCTAGCCCTAGCCCTCCTCACCCAGGACCATGTGCTGGAGAAGAATGTGGTTCAGGCCATTGGAGGTAGGCCCGAGTGCTGCACAGGTAGGCTATCAGCCTCACCCTCCACTTCTCTCCTGGCCTCCCCTCTCAGAGCCTCCCAGGACTGGGAGGAGAAGGTGCCCCTCCAGGTGCTGATGCTGAGTTCTTTCTGGAGCATGTACAGCCTGACTAAAAAGGACCAGCTGTGTGAAATGGGAGGCAAAGCTCATAAATGACCTATGAATTTTACTCACTGCCATAAACACATCAGAATCATAAGAACTTGATAGTCCTTCACAACCTCCCCAGATGTCTCCCCCTTGGCATTGAGAAGAGAGCCTGAGAACCATGACCAGGGCCAATTTTGCCTGAGGCTCAGGCACATGCACCTCCTTCTAAGGGGATCTCCTGATGCCCATTAGTGACTCACTGATGAGAGCAGCAGCCCCAGAGTGACTGCAGAATTCTTCCTCCTCCTTCTGCATTGACCCAATGCCCAAACCCTGCCTGCCTGCTGAAGTGCACAGAATGGGTTTATGCATCATTCCTGAAGCCATGGCCCCTTTCAGTGATCAAAGGACTGTAAGTACCAAAAGTCCAATGTATTCACTACGATCACAAAGCACTCACCACTGTGGGCACCGTATTCTGCCTGTGATAAGAATCATCGCATTTAATCCTCAAAATAGCCCTATAAGGATGTTTGCAAATGAGCATGAGGGAGATTAAGAAAGAACGTTACCAAAGGTCCACGGCTAGAATGGTTGAGCTAGGATTTGGACCTGGGCAACCTGACTTAACTGCCACTCCATGAGGCCCCATGATATTTCACAGCTCTCAATAAATGTAGCTGGAGGTAGCTTTTGTCTGTTTGGAAAGACAAAACCATGATTTACACATCATGTTTTTAAGAACAAGCTCTCCCTAGGGAGATTGTGTTTTCCCAAGATCAGGCATCTAATTGGTCTGAGGGCCTAGGAGATGGGGGCCTCTTTGTCACCCCTCTTTTTGGGTAGCACTGCTAGAGAACAGCCTTATACTGAGAAGTCAGCAATCCTCCCCCACAGCCCATGCCCTACCTTCTGGGAGCCCCAGGTTTTACACACTAGGCAGGGTAACATGAAGGACAAAGGGTAAGGACTAGGAAATGGGAGTCCGGCCTCCCCATGTGTCCTTGGGCTCTCCTCAGACCCGGTGCTTAGAGATTGTGATTTGGGAACCAGAAGGAAGGGCAGGGACAGGCATCTGTCATCTTGGCTGTAAAGCTACTATCTCTCATGTTAGGCGTCTGGTACACACAACCTCTAAGGCACTATCCAGATGGGCCCAATCACCTCACTGCAGAAGCTAGATAACCACCACCAACATAGCAAGGGGCAGAATGATCCCTGAAATTAATTTGTGGATGCAGATTTTTGAGTTGTCAGGGGCCTTAGAATCACCCACTACAGCTCTGCCATTTTACAGATGAGGCAAATGAATTCTAGACAGTTGCTTTTGAATTCCTTTGTTAGGATAAATCCAGTCATGAGTAACTGAGTTCACATGTGTTCACTAGAGCTCCCACCACCTGCATCCAGGAACTCATCAGAACTTCTGTGAAGCTTTGAGCTGGCAGTCACAGGAACTCTTTGGCCCAGGAATATATATGTTCAAAGAAGCAGCATTCTAGAAAATGAGACAATCCTAAATAATGAGACCATATGATTTATTATCCAAACTGGCATGCTTTTCAGAGGGTTAGAGTAGGGCAAATCAAAAGAAACGGGGACGTACAGTCCCAAAACCATAAGAAATCTTAGAGTCCTTCTTGGTGGAGAAGGAAGCATTGTATAAGCATTGACTTAGGATGTAGAGGCCTGAGCTGGCTTATTCGTCAATAGATTCTTCCTGGACCCCAGAGCACCAATGGAGACAGCTAAGGGCCTGCACACTCACAGCCTAGATTTTGGTGGTTCAGCTCCTGTTACAATTAGATGTGTCTTTCACAAGCCATTGCCCCTCTCTGGGCCTCATTTTCATCTTCAGAAAATAAAAGCATTGAACCACATCACCTCTCAGGCCCCTCCCTTCAAGCTGTAGCGTCTGGGAATCTATAGGACCCCTGGCTGAGAGAGGGGGTCCCAGCACAGCAGCCTCCCACTTTGTCAGCCCAATGAACTAACAGCAGAACACATGGCTTGGCCCCTCAGGCTCCCCAGGCCCTGCCCTCACGCAGTCTGCCCCAGCTCCCCGCTACAACCTGTTGTTGCTCTTCCTGTTTGATGGATGGGAACATCCCTATGCTGGGGGACCCTGGGAAGGAACTGCAACACATGTGCACGGGCATTCACAAACACACATAAGAACTGGGATAAATATTAAAAGCCACAACATTCAAACAAGTGCAGAGGCCATGCCAAGAATCCTCTGGCACTGCCTCTGTGGAGCACCTGGTCATGTTTAACCCAAGCTGCAAATATGATTTCCAAGTGGGGACTCCCAGCAGGGATGGTGGGAGGCAGACTGGACGTCCTCAGCATGAGCCAGGCTAGTCTGAGTCACCCCATTCTCTCCTAAGGGACAGGTTCCACCCCTGCCAGGCAACATCTGACAAAGAGGGAGAGTGCAATCCCTCCAGGTCTTCACCATGTCCTCACTTTGGATGTGCTCTTTTACCTAAGTTCTGCCACCACCTCCCTGGGAGCCAGCAGATGGGGAAACAGAAGGGAGATGGCTGGTAGAGCCCACTGGCTTCCCTCGGAGCACCTCAGCCTAATAGAAGTTGTCATGTGTCAGCTCAGGACATGAGCAGAGCCCTCCCGGGCAGCAGCTGCTCCAGCAGCTTACAGCCAAAATGGTGCTGATGTGAGGGAGGCCCAGCTCCGAGGCCGGACAGAGGAAGGAGCACAAGACCCGTGGCACAAAAACAACCAAACAACAGGTGAAGGGGAAACGGACTGTGCATACAAAGTTGACCTCCTGCCTTTAGCTGGCTTGGACCTCAGTGTTAAGGATGCCACCTTTCAGATGTGGTGAGCAACAAAAGCAGGAAGGGCCAGATAATTTGGAACCAACTGCTAAGCTTTGTTCAACTTTTCCTGAAAATCCCAGATCTTCAAGTTACAGATCCAGAGGGATCATGGTATCTGACGCTCTCATTCTGCAGATGAGCACCCACACTTATGTAGGTTCCAAGGACCCATCCCGTGTGGTTCAGCTAGCAGAGCCTGAGTCATCCAGCCCAGCATTTTGCTTTGTACTTACTCCTTACCAATAAGAATATAAACATCATAATGGGATCAACTATGGATTTATTCATTTACTCTCTATTCAAAGTATCATAATTCTTTGGTTTTGAATTTTTACAGATCTCAAAATATCACATTTTTGCAAGTAACTGTACTAAATTTTGTAAAGTGGGCTATTCCAATAACAATCTTTAATAGCTAAAGAAAGTTTAGAAGTCCGTTTAAAAACTTAAATTTTAAGGAAACTATAGCATTTTATCAAATGCTGAATTTTCTTTATAACTAGCCAAGACATACTAATTGTTTCTGACCCTCCAGTTCCCCTTAATGAAGCATTTGAATTTAGAGAACATGGGTCTATCTGTGTTTTACATATTCCTCATCCAAGATGTCTTGTGTTCCAGTGAGCTCTTCTGTTGAGAATAATCAGAAAAGGTGGTAAGTCTTTGCAAGAAATAGGTAAAAGAGGTAAAATCGTTAAGAAAAAGTTGAAAGTTTTGCAAAGAAGTCATGAAAGAGAGAAGAGCACCAGTAATCACTATTACAGGAGGAAGGGAATTGATGGGTGCGGGGGTACTGGCTAAGACTTCCAGAGGGCTAAGCCTTTGAAATCACATGTGTTGAGGAGGCTTGAGAAAGGCCCATGCAGTTCTCCAAGCAAGTTCAATAAAAGTTAACCGAAGCATTCAAACATTCCAACTGACCAGGGCCCACTGTGTTTCCACAGACTGCCTTAGCATCCCAGTTGTAAAATCACATTGGCCATTGTGTGGCGAGCAGATGCAGAAAACATGCCTTTTAACTCGCTCATTATAGGAAGCAAAGCAAAATGACCATCTAGCCTGTCATTAAAACAGCAGGGGAGTGAAAGCTTGAAAAGTTCTAGCAAACGGGGAAATAAATGGAAATTGAATGGATAATAGTGGATATACCGTACCAAGAAGATGTGTATCATGTCTTTTAAAAAGGCAGAGCACTAAGTAAGGGTGCCATATTTTTAGTGAATATATTTATTCATTATCTAGTCCCATATAAATTTTCATGTTCCCTCAGAATCCCCCTTTTTTTTGAATTTTTAAGTTTGTTAATAGTAAACTGGTAAATTTTCTTACTCCGTATGTGTTTTTTTTGTTGTTGTTGTTTTTTAAGGAAACTTGCCTTCCTCTTAAGGGAAACAAACACACATACACACACACACAATTAGGACAAATCAGGAGTATGACTGATCAGTAACAAACCTGGATAATTAGGGAATGACAAAGCCTTCATGTGGGGGTTCACATATGCCCACAGTGCAAAGGGAGATGTCTGGGTGACATGGTGACCAGGCAGCTGGTCTAAGGGCTGGTAATTGTTTTAACTAGCTCTCTGGTTTGAAAGACAGCACACTGGAGATACAGACCTGAAACTGATTCTCCTTTCTACACCTCCTTAGCTTTGGAACTTTGGATGAGCTATTTACATTCTGTGAGCTTTCATTCCTTCACTTATAAAGCTAAGAAAATAATGCCTACTTCACAGCACTGTGGTGAGGATTACATGAAGTGATGTTTATAGAAAGCAGCTTGTGTGCTATAAATTGCTTTGCAATTTATAATTGCAATGGCTAAAACTCCAAATCTATGTCAGTTTGGAATCTGAAAAGTGATTAAAAAAAAACAACTTTCTATTAGAAAACAAGAGGACATGTGCAGTGGCTCATGCCTATAATCCCAATACTTTGTGAGGCCAAGGTGAGAGGATAGCTTGAGGCCAGGAATTTGAGACCAGCCTGGGCAACACAGTAAGACCCCGTCTCTACAAAAAAAAAAAAAAAAAAAAAAAAAAAAAAAAAAAAATTAACTAGTTGGATGTAGTGGCATGCACCTGTAGTCCCGGGTACTCAGGAGGCTGAGGCGGGAGAGTAGCTTGGGCCCAGGAGTTAGAGGCTATGGCAATCTACGATCACGCCACTGTGCTCCTGCCTGGGTGACAGAGGGAGACTCTTTCTCAAAACAAAATAAAAGAACACAAGAGAATTCAAATTGGACATCAGAAAGCCCAATCTACCCCCATGAGGCCTGCTGAAAACTAGAAACAAGTTGATAGAAGTTAATCAAGATTCCTTCTGAGGAGAGTTTTCTTTGCACGAGGTTGTTCCACTTCTAAGGAGGGTAAAGAATGCTATTTCTTCCTTTTTTTTTTTTTTTGCTTTGTTCTTTGCATTTTAAAAATTTGTATAAATTCAAGGGGTCCAAGGGCCATTCTGTTACATGGATATATTGCATAGTGGTGAAGCCTGAGGTTTTAGTGTACTCAGTGCCTGAATAATGTGCGTTGTACCCATGAAGTAATTTCACATCCCTAAGCCCCCCACCTTCCCACCCTTTTGAGTTTCCAATGTCTGTCATTCTGTACTCTATGTCCACGTGTACACATTATTTAGCTTCCACTTATAAGTGGGAACATGCAGTATTTGACTTCCTGTTTCTGTGTTGTTAAGATAGTGGCCTCCAGTTCCATCCACGTTGCTGCAAAAGACATGTTTTTATTCTTTTTTATGGCTGAATAGTATTCCACTGTCTCTATATACCACGTTTTCTTGATCCATTCATCAGCTGTTGGACACTTAGGTTCCTTCTATTTGGAAAGAAGGTTGACGAAGTGGAAACTTTTCAATTAAGGGCACCTTCAGAAACACCACTGGTCTTATTTATTATCTACTTCAATACCTATGGTGATCTTAATGATCATTAGAGTAATAGCTTTCAGCTATTGAGAACTTACTGCATTGAACATACCAACAGCAAGCTTATATGTACTTAGCTGTATTCCTCACAATCCCCATCCCACCCATGCAAGGCAAGAGTTATGTTTTTCTGTTTACAGATGAGAAAACTGTTCAGCCATCTTAAATAATTCATCAGTGGTGACACAGCTAGTAGTAGAGCTAGGAATTTGGCCTCGATGTATTTAAGTCCAAAGTTTTTTTTTTCCAATTATGCCAAACACCTGTATTGGTTTTCCATTTGCTCCATAAACAATTACAACAAACTATGCACCTTAAGAAACATATATTTATTATCTCATGGCTTCTGTGGGTCAGGATTCTGGGCACAGCTTATCTGGGTCCCCTGCTCAAGGTCTCACCAGACTGCAGGAAAGATATTGGCCAGGCTGCACTCTCATCTGAGGCTTGACTAGAGGATTTTATCAACTCAGCAAGGAGAATCTCTTACCTTAGCTGGGGCCTAGTCTCTCTTTGAAGAGCTTTTACCTGATTAAGTAATACCCACATAGGATAATTTCCCTTTAGATTAACTTAAAATTAACTGACTTCAGGACCTTCCTTATATCTGCTATGATTATATTGGCTAGAAGAAACTTTCATGTCCCACCTACGCTCACGGGAGGGAATTATGCAATATGTGACCACCAGGGGATAGGAATCATCAGGGCAACCTGAGAATTCTGCCTGCCACATTGTCTCCCTTAAGTTGTGGTTGCAGGAGATGCAATCACAAAGAACACAAACCTGAAGTAGAAAGGGAATTGCCAGTTCGGTTCTGCCTTGACAGTTTGCTGTGGAATTGTGGTTAGTCCAATGCTAAAATGCTAGTTTGTCCTTAATGTCAGCAGCAATAAAATAGTCTAGAATTTGGTCTGGAAGAACAGAGGCTGTCAACCCTGGCTGCTATTAGAATCACCTGGGGGAGGTTTTGAAACATAAGCATGCTCCCCCAGAGATCCTGATTTAGGTGGTGTGGGGTGGTGCCTGAGCATCTTTTGTTGCTTTTGCTTTTAACTTCCTGAGTCCCTAATGTGCAGTCAAATTGAGAATATCTGGAGCAGTGATGGCCAAGGTGGGATGTGTTTATTCCAAGAGTATGTACAAGACAGTCTCCTGGGATGTGAGAATGAAATCTTCAAATTTCTAGAAAAAATGTATTTTTAGGTTTAAAAATAAAAGAGAAAAATACTTTAGACTTCTACTTTCTAGTCTGACACATAAAGAGCTTGAAAGTCATCACTCCCATCCTCACAAACAAGAGCAAAGCAGAACAAACTGAATATCAACAACTTGTTTTAGATTCCCCAAGGAATTGAGTCACAGGGAAAACCACTGCTCCAGCTCTGAAGAGACAGGTGCATACATAAAGTCATGGCTTACTGGAAGCAGAAGCCCAGAAGGAGAAGTCAAAGCTGTCAGCTGCAGCCAATATCAATAGGAATGCTTTAAATTATAATCGATGATTTGCTGGAGGCTCTGTGTAGATTTGCTTGAGAGTTAACATCTCTGAGGGGGCCCAGTCTTAGAAAGGGCCCCATGCTTTTCCTGAGTTTTACCTCACACCACCAGGTTTTTATTGTAAAGGTCAGACAAAAATATCCCCTGGGAGAGAGCGGGACTGGGCAGTAACCATTATGAAATATATTAATAGGCAGAACTTTCTATTCTCCTTAACAAGGCTTACCCTCACCCTCAAGGGAAACAGTGTTACTTAAGCCTAACCAACTGGGGCTTTACCAAAGTCTGACCAACCAGAGGAAAACAATATATATCTGACTTTGACTCATGAAAAGACTGAGACCCAGCCAGAGTGCTATAGACTGTTTCCCTTCCTCCCACATTTTACCATATCAATAATGCATGTTATAATAACAGAGTATTGCAGTTCAAAGAAATGTACGTTTCAAACCCTACTTAAGGGATTTCTAGGAAAACCTAAAGACAACAGGAAAGACAAAAATAAGAACACTAGAGAAAAGTTTGGCCTTTGACACCCAGGAAAGAATCAGTGAACTTGAACAAATGTCAATAAAAACTTTTAAAATTGAAATGCAGGGAAAAAAAGAACAAAAAAATACAACAATGTATTCAGGGACTGTGGGACAATTATAAAAGATACATACACAATGAGAATACCAGTAAGGAAAACAGAAAAAAAGGAAGAAATGAAATATTTCAAGTAATAATGGCTGAGAATTTTTCAAAATTAATGACAGACAGCAAGCCACAGACCCAGGAAGCCCCCCCCACCCCAAAAAAAAACACTAAGCAGAATACAAAAAAATATACAATAGGCATATCATATGTGAACTGCAAAAAATCAAAGACAAAGAGAAAATCTTGAAAGAAGCCAGAGGGGGCAATACAATCTTAACCTACAGGGGAACAGAATAGGAATTAGATTGGACTTCTCTTCAGAAGCTATGCAAGCAAGAAGGTAATGGAGTGAAATATTTAAAGTGTTGAAATAAGAAACCACTGTAAAACCAAAGAAAATGACTGAAGCAAATCTCAGTCAATTTAGAGATTTATATTGTCAAGGTTGAGGACGTGCCTGGGAAAAAAGAACACAAAATCACATGAACATCTGTGATCTGTGCTTTGTCCAGAGGGTTTGGGGACTTCAATATTTCTAGTAGAAAGAATGAGCAGTAGCGGGGAAAGGAAAGGGAAAACAGGGAGGGTAGATAGAAGAGGCAAGTGGTTGCATTCTTTTGAGGCTTTGATCAGTGTTCACTGAATTTACATTTTACATGTGAAAAGAGGGGGTTGATGTGGTTTGGGTGTTTGCTCTCTCCAAATCTTATGTTGTAATGTGGTCCCCACTACTGGAGGTGGAGCCTAGTGGGAGGGGTTTGGGTCATGGGGGCAGATCCTTCGTGGCTTACTGCTGTCCTTGTGATAGTGAGTTCTCTCAAGATTTGGTTGTTTAACAATGTGTGACATCTTGCCCCTCACTCTCTCGCTTGCTCCCACCCTTGCCATGTAATGTTCCTGTTCCCACTTTGCCTTCTGCCATGAGTAAAGCTCCTTGAGGCCTTCCCAGGAGCCTAGCAGATGCCAGTGCCATGCTTTCTATATAGCCTTCAGAACCATGAGCAAATTAAACTGCTTTTCTTTATAAATTACCTAGTCTCAAGTATTGCTTTATAGCATTGTTCTTGAAGTTAGGCTGCAAGAACAGCCTAACACATAAAATTGGTCGTGAGAGTGGGACATTGGTATAAAGATACCTGAAAATGTGGAAGCAACTTTGGAACTTGGTAACAGAGGCTTAACAAGTTCAGAGGACTCAGAAGAAGGCAGGAAGATGAGGGAAAGTTTGGAAACTCTTAGGGACTGGTTAGATGGTGGTGACCAAATTTCTGATACTGATATAAACAGTGAAATCCAGGTTGCTGAGGTCTCAGATGGAAATGAGGAACTTATTGGGAACTGGAGCAAAGGTCACCCATGTTATGTCTTAGCAAAGAACATGGCTGTACTGTGTTCATGTCCTAGGGATCTGTGGAAGTTTGAACTTAAGAGTAATGACTTAAGGTATCTGATGGAAGAAATTGCTCAACAGCAAAGCATTCAAGATACGGCCTGGCTGCTTCTAACAGCCTATCTCAGATGCAGGAGCAAAGAAATGACTTAAAGTTGGAAGTTATATTTAAAGAGAAAGCAGAGTGTAAAAGTTTGAAAAATTGATCAGGACAAATATCCATACCATATTCTGCTCTTAGCCCCACAATCTCATGTCCTTCTTGCATTTCAAAATACAATCATCCCTTCTCAATAGTCCCCCAAAGTCTTAACTCATTCAGCGTTAAGTCAAAAGTCCCAAGTCCTAAGTCCAGAGTCTCATCAGGAAATGAGTTTCTTAAATCTATGTGCCCATAAAATCAATACAAGCTATTTACTTTCAAGATACAATGAGGATACTGACACTGGGTAAACATTCCCATTTTGAAAGGGAGAAATTGACCAAAAGAAAGGAGCTACAGGTCCCATGCTATTCTGAAACCTAGCAGGGCAGTCATTAATTTTTTTTTTTTTTTTTTTTTTTTGAGATGGAGTCTCGCTCTGTTGCCAGGCTGGAGTGCAGTGGCGTCATCTCGGCTATCTGCAACCTCCACCTCCTGGGTTCAGGTTCAAGGTATTTTCCTGCCTCAGCCTCCCGAGTAGCTGGGACTACAGGCGTGTGCCACCACACCCAGCTAATTTTTAAATTTTTAGTAGAGATGGGGTTTCACCTTGTTGGCCAGCATGGTCTCGATCCCTTGACCTCATGATCCACCTGTCTCGGCCTCCCAAAGTGCTGGGATTACAGGCATGAGCCACTGCGCCTGGCCCATTAAATCTTAGAGCTCCAAAATAATCTTTTGATTCCATGTCCCACATCCAGGGCACACTACTGCAAGAAATAGGCTCCCAAAGCCTTGGCAGCTCTGCCTCTGTGTCTTTGTAGGGCACAGTCCCTGTAGATGCCTCATGGGTTGGAGTTGAAAAAGTTGTGCTTTTTCCATGTGCATGATGTGAGCTGCTTGGTAGATCTATCATTCTGGGGTCTGGAGGACAGGGGCCCCTCCCCCTAGCTCCATGAGGAAGTGTGTGGGCTCCGTGTGGAGCCTCCAACCCCATATTTACTCTCAGAACTGTCCTAGTAGAGGTTCTCTGTGAGGGCTACAGCAGGCTTCTGTCTGGACACCCAAGCTTTTCCATACATCCTCTGAAATTTAGATTGAGGCTGCCAAGCCTCCTTTACCCTTGTACCCTGCAAGCCTGCAAATTTAACATCACGTGGAAGCCACAAAGGCTTATGGCTTGCAACCTCTGAAGCAGTGGCTGGAGGTATACCTGAAGCCCTTTTAGCTGAGGCTGGAGCTGGAGCATCCTGGATGCAGGGAGCAGTATTCTAAGGCTGTAAACGGCAGCAGGGCTCTGGGCCTGGCCTACAAAATCATTCTTTCCTCATAGGCCTGTAGCTCTGTGATAGGAGGGTCAGACTGGAAGACTTCTAAAATGCCTTCACGGTCTTTTCCCCATTGCCTTGGCTACCAGCATCTGGCTTTCTTTCAATCATGCAAATATCTCTAACAAGTGGCTGCTTTGCAGCCTGCTTGAATTTCTCTCCTGATAATGCTTTTTTGTGTCTGCCACATGGCCAGGCTGCTCTAGCTCCAGCCTCAGCTCAAAAGGCTCCAGGTACACCTCTAGCCACTGCTTCAGAGGTTGCAAGCCATAAGCCTTTGTGGCTTCCACGTGGTGTTAAATTTGCAAGTTCGCAGGGTGTAAGAGTAAAGGAGGCTTGGCAGCCTCATCCTATATTTCAGAGGATGTATGGAAAAGCCTGGGTGTCCAGGCAGAAGCCTGCTGCAACCCTCACAGAGAACCTCTACTAGGGTAGTTCTGAGGGTAAATATGGGGTTGGAGGCTCCACCCAGAGTTCCCACTGGGGCACTTCCTCGTGGAGCTGAGGGAAGGGGCAACTGTTCTCCAGACCCTGGAATGATAGATCCTCCACGCAGCTCACATCATGTATGTGGAAAAAGCACAAGCACTCAACTCTAATCCGTGAGGCAGCTATGGGGACTTTGCCCTACAAAGACACAGAGGCAGAGCTGCCAAGGCTTTGGGAGCCCATTTCTTGCAGCAGTGTGCCCTGGATGTGGGACATGGAATCAAAGGAGATTTTGGAACTTTAAGATTTAATGACTGCCCTGCTAGGTTTAAGACTTGCATGGGGCCTGTAGCCCCTTTCTTTTGGCCAATTTCTCCCCTTTGGAATGGGAATGTTTACCCAGTGTCAGTACCCTCATTGTATCTTAGAAGTAAATTACTTGTTTTGATTTTACAGGCACATAGATTTAAGGAAATCATTTCCTGATGAAACTTTGGACTTAGGACTTGGGACTTTGGACTTAACACTGGAATGAGTTAAGACTTTGGAGGACTATTGAGATTGTATTTTGAAATGCAAGAAGGACATGAGATTTGTGGGGCTAAGAGCAGAAGATGGTATAGATATTTGTCCTGACCAAATCTCATTTTGAAATGTGGTCCCCAAAGTTGGAGGTGGGGCCTAGTGGGAAGGATTTCAGTAGTAATGGCAGATCCTTCATGGTTTGATGCTGTCCTCATGATAGTGAGCTCTTGCAAGATCTGGTTGTTTAAAAGTGTGTGGCATCTTGCCCCTCACTGTCTCTCTTGCTCCCACTGCTGCCATGTAACATGCCTGCTCCTGCTTCACCTTCTGCCATGAGTAAAAGCTCCCTGAGCCTTCCCAGAAGCCTAGAAATTGCCAGCACCATGTTTCCTGTCCAGCCTGCAGACGTGAGCCAGTTAAACCTCTTTTCTTTATAAATTACCCAGTCTCAGGTATTTCTTTATAGCAGTGCAAAAATAGCCTAACAGAGGGTTAGAGGAACAGAAAACTATGCATTCATCTGTCATTCAGTGAATCTGAATTTTCACATCAAAGAATCAAACATAGAGCAGAGGAAGTAGTGAAATACACATTTATCTCAGGTGAATGGAGGAATGACTTCTAGTCCTGTCTGTCCTGTACCTGTGAGGATAAGCTGTTGATTTACATTGTCAGGGTGAAATTCAACAGAACTCTGTTTTAGGGTAAAGATCTTCGGCCCCTAAAAAAGTTTTCTTGTGAGCAAATTGTGAGGGAGCCCCCTGACCCCAGGGGGGTATGTGGCCTTTCTATTTTTGCAGCTATCTATATTTAGGAACAAAATAGGAGGCAGTTTGCACCACTCAGTTCCAAGCTTAACTTTGCCCTATGGCATAGTGAGTTCGGGGTTCTGAAATTTTATTTTCCATTTATACCACCAACCTAAAATTTTATATTCAGCAAAAATATCCTTCAAAACAAAGGTAAAATAAAGACTGGGCTTTCTTAGACAAATGAAAATTGAGGGAATTTGTCATCAATAGACCTGCAATTAATGTTAAGTTCTTCAGAGAAAAGGAAAATTATATAGGTCAGAAACGTGGATCTACATAAAGAAAGAGTATTAGAGAGGATTAAATGAAGGTAAAATAAAATGCTTTATTTTTCTTATCTTAATCTAACAGATAACAATTTGTTCAAAATAATGTTACCAAAAATGTATTTGATAATTATAGCTTATGGGTAAGTGCAATGAGTGACAGCAACGTTGTAAGGGACAAGAGGAAGAATTAAGAATACTTTGTTGTTAAAAGGTATTTGCACCACCCATAAAATGGTATAGTGTCATTTGATAGTAGTCTTGAATTTGTTGTAAATATACACCACAAACTCTAGGGCAGCCACTTTTTAAAAAGTGTAATTTATACACTAAGGGGAGAAAATGGAATTATATTAAATATTCAATTAAAATAAGAGAAGGCAGAAAAAAAGTAGAAGACAAAAAAGAAACAAAGAATGAGGCAAATGAGTGGAAAATTGTTGTAAATATGATAGATGTTAATACAACTATGTTAATAATCACTTTAAGTGTAAGAGACTGTCAGAACGAATAAAAAAGAAGTCCCAACTATATATTGTCTACAAGAAGCTTTAATGATATGCAATATTAATAGAAAAGCAACTACACAATTCATAAGTACACATATTAGGCTATATACTCAAAATCTTTTTTTAAAGGTGGGAGCAAGTGATCCAAACTGTTTAAAAGCTACTTATCTAGAGTAGAACACTTCTCAAATTTCATTGTGCATAGGAATCACCTGGAGACATTGTTACAATGCAGATTTTGGATCACTGAGCTTAAGATGGAGCTGAAATTCTGCACTTCAAAAGAGAACCCCACGGATTTGGATGCTGGCCTTCCTCAGACCTCACTTTGAGTGGCAAGGGTGTAGAAGATGTATTTCAAACCCCAATAACTGTCACTGCATCTAAGAAAGAAACCTAAGATCTGTATTAGTGACAGTTTTCCCTTCCCTGCAATGATACTGCATTCATATACTACTGGTGAACTTTTTTTTTTAATATTTTAGGGCAAACAGAAATAAGACTGTATCTAAATGGTAAGAAAAAAAGAAAAAAAGAAGAATAGAGGAAGGGAAGGAGAAAGAAAGAAGAGAATAAGGAATGAAAAGAGGAGGTGCTATGATATGAATATTTCTTTTTGTCAGAACTCATGTTGAAATTTAATTGCCCCATTGTGACAATTTTGGGAGGTAGGATCTTTAAGAGGTGTTTGGGTCATGAGGTCACCACACTCATGATGGACTAACACTATTATCACAGAAGTGGATTTCTTATCTCAGGAGTGGGCTCACTCCATCTTTTGCTCTCTTTCACTATCTCTCTGCCTTCTCTTTGGCCACCATGTGATGCCTTCTGCCATGCTATGATGCAGCAAAAAAGCCCTAGCAAGGTGCCAGCACCTTGATATTGGACTTCCCAGCCTCCAGAGCTGTGAGCCAACAAATTTCTGTTCTTCATAACTTACCCAGTCTCAAGCATTCTGTTATAGCAGCACAAAATGGACTAAGACAGGAAGTAATGAGTTAGAATACAGGAAAACATTACTCTGTCTTTGAGGTCATGAATCAAAGTTATACAGAAAGTAAAACTTATAAAGATTTAAAAAATCAAGATTTTACTTTTATGACTCATTCAGACCATTTTAAGACTTATGATTACACTATAAGGAATATTTTGAAATAGGGGTCTAGGGAACAGGCTTTAATTGTTCACTTTCAGCTTTTATGGCTACCGAAGGAAATCTTGTGATGGGACCTCTATGAAGGAGAGGTGGCAGAGAGCCAAGTCCTATCCAGCAGCCTTAATTCTTGGGAGAGTGTTTTGGGAGAAAATCTTGATTGTCTAATAGTAACCAAAAGCCAGAACAAGCAGGTCGGAGTTCAAGACCAGCCTGTAGGGAGGGAAAGGAAGCACTGCAGGCCCAGATGCTTTGCCATCCCTTTGGCAAATGCAAATTCTGAAGATCCTCAACAGGTGGACTTAAGGGGGATATAAATTATTGTGAGAAGAGAGGATAAAGTTACAGATTTAGAAATGATTATAGAGGTTACTTGAACCACTTCTACGCTTCTGATATACTCCTCAATATGGCTTCTGCTCTCTCTACCCCCTTTATGTCCTTTCTACCAAAAGTTCTAAGTTCACCTGTGACCTCTTAGTTTCAAAATCTAAAGAACATTTCTCAGTATTTCCAACAGAACATTTGGCAGCATCTGCCACTAGTATAATCAAAACAATAAATAAATAAATCATACATACATTAAAAAAAAAAACAGACAAATACATAGGCTTTGAGAAGGAAGGGACTGGTTCACCAGCTAAGGGTTTCTTCCCACATCCCTGATAACAGGTTAGATTACTCTTTTGGCTCCTCTTCTAACCAGTTTTTTAGTGTCTGAATGTGTCTCTCTTAAAATGTGGTCCCCAGAGGTAAAATATATTTTTCATATGAGGTTTGACCAAGGGAGAATACAACAGAAATCTTCCTATTTTTCCTGTTGACTTTTCTAAGAAAGAAGTGCAAGAGCTAAAAAGAAGAGTGTCACAGTGGCCACCCTAATGTTGATCTTGTAGACTGCCTCCTTTAAGTTCTTCAGACAAATGGATCTAAGTTTCCTTTCCAAAAGCCAAACCTATCCAATACAGGATGGAAATAAAATAATATGTCTCATTAATAATAATAAAATATATACAATTAATTTATAATAATTTTTTTCAACAAGTGGTTCCCTTTTCTGAAAACAAAACACTGGCTATATAGGAAAATAATATGTTATTGTTTGCAAAGAATCTTATAATTTCTTGGCAACTTCTGTTAATAAATTACTGTCCCATTAAAGTAAAAACTAAAACCATTATCAATTATTCCCTATCTTGTAGAGTTGATTCTGAAATCATTAAGTGGCTTGAATATTAATGAAGCTAGCGAATGCAGTTGATGAGACTACAGTAAGCAATTGATTGCTTACGGCATCCATCTCTGTTACTGACTCTGATATTTGGCCTTGAGAAAATCATTTCCCTACTTGTCCTCCTTTCCTTATCTGTAAAATGGGCCTGTTGGATTTCTAAGTTCTATTTTGCCTGGGCTGATCCGCCTGGCCACATTCCATCTTTTCTGCTCAAAACATCCCATGGCTTCTACAATCACCTTTGTCTCTTTAGCCCTACCTCCCGAAATCAAATTCATTCTCCTACGAGATCCTCATCTCTCCTCCATTTGATCCTCTTCTGGGCACCAGTCCCACGGCTTGCACAAACCACCCCTGCAACAATGCACCAATGTGCAAGGAAAAAAAACCGCATTCACAAACCCTAACAGATTTGTCACATTACAGTGCATCTAAAACACAGATATGTAATTGGGGATGAGATTAGTTTTTGTATTGCTGACTTCCATTGGATTCCTTGGGACAGTAATAAATACAGCCCATGGGAATAGTCCCTGAGGAAAGTGACCTGTCACTAGACCTCTCTTCGGGGCAGGAGACCTGCAGTGTTAACTTGGCTCCACCTCCACTTTACAAATAGACTCAGCCCTATTTCTGGGCTCCTTTTTTTCCCAAGCTGCCTGGGGAGATTCAGCTTATCTCCTCCACCTTTCCAGTGGCCTTGGAGAGTGGCGAAACTGGTTTTTCCTGAGGGTCTTTGAGGCACCTTTGACTTTGCTCTTGGTTCTTTCCTTCCTCAGGACCCCCTTTATTAGAGGTCAGGGTTATCTTGCTTTCCACTTAAACTCTCCATTTTCAGGTTTTTCTACTGAGGAAGGACCTGCAGGTCACAGTATAAAGAATGGTACGGAAAAGAATGCGGGTTCTCATTCTCTAAGCAGTGGCCCATTGGATGGATGCTGTGGGTTTATCCCCCTCTCTGTCTCCACATCCATAAAGTCCAATCCATGGAGATTGCACTTCAATCTGTTTATACCACTCTCTGGAGAGAGGGCTTTTACCACCTCCTTCAACCTCCCATCTCTGCACCCAGTACTGGGAATTAATATGTTTACCTGCTAGAATTTACCCAAGTAGCCCTTTTCTGAGGATAAGCAGCATTTAAAGAGAACTACTTATGGGGGACGCGGGCGGGAAACCAATGGGTTTCTTGTATTTTCAAGCTGATAATGAAAGAAGGAAGCCAGAGAGGAAAGTCATCTGCATATCCAAAATTTTATCCCATTTATTAAAATCTTTGTAGAACTCAGATTAGCATGAAAATCTATTTTCTGAAAAGTTCAAGAATTATATGCTTTGACATAAACCCCTCCTGCATTCGGGAAATGATTGTGTCGTAGCTTTAAGGGCAACCCTATCCTTGTTCTCACACCAAATTGCACTCCACATTCAGAGGCCTAGAGCAGCTAAGCTGGGGCAAGTAAGTGCTGAGGGTACTGTGCAGCAGGTAACTCCTGGAGTCCTGCCAGGCAGACATGGCAGAGTACAGCCTTGCACACACATGCTCACCCACACTGAGGTCGCTGTTTGGTGTGACAGCTGCACCCACTGAGCAGCCATTCTCAACATGGGGATGATTTTTCCCTCCCTGGGACATGCCGCAACGTCTGAGACAATTTTTAGTTATCACAACTGGTATGAGGGTGGGGTGGGACATGGCGGGTTGTTATTAGCATCTAGAGGGTAGAAGCCAAGGATGCTGCTACACTTTCTACAATGCCCAAAACAGCTCCCATCCCAAGGTATTGTCCAGCCCAAGATGTCAATTGTGCCAAGATTAAGAAACGCTACCTTTAGAGTAACCAATTTGGGAAAAGAGTCGTTTCTCCTATGTATTTTCAGATCTACCATCTCCCAAGCTCCAATTCTGAATGCATTCATTCATTCTCTCATTCATTTATTCATTCATTCATTCTATATGCATATATTGAACTCCTACTACTGTATACCAAACCCTGTGTAGGTGCTGAGTAAAGTGGCAAGAGGAAGTAGCCATGATCCCTGTCCTTAAAGAGAATGCAATCATACAGGGAGAGATCAACATTAAGAGTATATACTTGACAGCAGAAACCGTTCTAAGCACTTTGTTTATTCATTTAATTCTTACAATAGTCCTATGGGATAGGTACTATTATTATTCCTGGGTGGGTCATCAGTGAGATCACTGAGGCAATATTCATTTAATTCTTACAATAGTCCTATGGGAAGGTACTATTATTCCTGGGTCATCAGTGAGATCATTGAGGCAATATGTAGAGAGGTTAAGTAACTTGCACAAGATCACACAGACAACAGGTAGTGGAGGCAGGATTCAGGCATAAGCCACCGGGCTACGGGGCCCATCTATGCTTTTAACCAGCATGCCATGCTGCCTGTCATATAAACAAACACATAGCTGGAATGATAGCAAATTATTTTAAAAGGAGAGGAAAATAAAGCTTTGAATGGCTATTATAAAAGAAAGTATAATACAGTCAGGAGGCCCTGAAGAGAACTCCTTGAGGAAATGGCACTTGGGCTAAGATCTGAGGAGTTGACAACCAAGACAGAGAAGGGTCTTCCAGGCAGAGGGACAGCATGTGTATTTGTTTTATGTTGTTGCTGTAACAAATCACCACAAACATAGTGGCTTAAGACAACACACATTTATTCTCTTACAGTTCTATAGTTTAGACACATGATGCTAGTCTCACTGAGCTAAAAATCAAGATGTTGGCAGAAGTGCATTCCTTTCTGAAGGCTCTAGGGGGAATCTGTTTCCTTGCCTTTTCCAGCTTCTAGGGGCTGCCTGCATTCTTTGGCTTTCGGCTCCATTCCATCTTCAGAGCCAGTGATGTCTGATTGAGTCCATCTCTCATCAAATCATTTCAGCCTTTTATTCTGCTCCCTCTGCTACTCTTAAGGGCCCTTGTGATTACACTGGGCCCACCCAGATAATCCAGAATGATCTCTCTATGTTAAGGTCAGTTGATTGACAACCTTAATTCCATCTGCAACCTTATTTCCCCTTTGCCATGCGATGAAACATATTCACAGGTTCTGAGGATTAAGCTGTGGACATCTTTGGGAGGTCATTATTCTGCCTATTACAGACAGCATGTCAAAAGCCTTGTAGAAGAAAAGAGACAAGTATGAGAGGTGGAGGAAGGTCCACGTGGTTGAAACAGCGGAAAGGAAGGGAGAAGTGGACAGGAGGTTAGGTCACAGGGCCAGACATGATGGACCTTGGAAGCTACATTAGAAATGTGGTCTTCCTGAGAGCAAGGGTGAGCTCTGAAGCATGTTAACCAGGGCATTGGTGTGATTGGATTAGCATTCTGACACCTCTACGGTAGGTGTGTAACAAGGAGAGAGTAGAGGCCAGAGTGGGGCAGGCAGACACGTTGTAGAGAGGAGAGGGTGCAGATGGGAAGTGATGGCAGTCTAGAATGGAATTTAAGATGGAGAGAGACAGGAAGATGAAGATTCAAGAGGTGTTTCAGAGATGAAATCAATGTAACTTGGGTTTGGGTGAGTAGGAAATGGAGAATGGGAGAGAGGGAGAAGTCAGGGAGGCTCCTGGGCTTGGGTAACCAGTGGTGCCACAGAGAATGAGAACAGTTGAGGAGGAGCTCATAGAGGTGGGGGGAAATTGGCTTTGAATGCATTAAATTTGAAATGTCCAAAAGGAAATTCCAGCTAGGCTGGTGGATCTGTGAGTCCAGAGCCCAGAGGAAAGGCCTTATTCATGGTTGCTACAGTGACTGTTGGATAATTCCAGCTCCATGTCTGGCTATCTCAAAACCAATGTATCTCAGCCCAAATCTGTTACCTTCCCGCAAACCAATTTCGACACCTGCATCCTTTTCCCTGTTAAGGCGCCATCCTACAAGGTCAGAAGTCTTATCTGACTTATCTTACCAGGCTCCATACAGTGCAGCAATGTGTCTGGACTCTCATAATAAACATAGTAGAATAAATAACTGATTAAACCAATGAATTAATCAATTACCTCTAGGTCTCTTTCTCTGGGTCCCTCTGCCCTACTCCCTGCACCACACTCTCTTATTCTGTTTCTTTTGGGCAAAAAGTCAGGTCTGTTTAGTTTACAAAGATCTGGGGTCAAATTGTGTTTTGACCCTAGCACCTGTAGCCACAGGACCTTTGACCTTAAAACTGCAAAGGGCTCTGTTTCTTTAAGCAGCTCAGCCAGACACTCAGAGAGAAACTTAACAAAACTGACAACGATTGCTGGATTTTATTATTTGTTTGGGTGTCTAAAATCATAGTTATTTCCCATAAGAGATATGCTTCATAAAGCATTGCTATAAATTGATTCATTTAAATATAAAATTGTAGCTTTTTCAATCAGATAAATATATTCCCATGTATATATTATTTTGTGAATTCATGTTCTTTGTCCTTTAAAGTTTCCAGGAACTCTACGCTCATTCACCACACAGAACTGCAGTAGGGAAACAACTGCTCACAAAGGAATGGTCCACTGGGTCAGAGCCTCCCTGAGCTTACACCTTAATTAATCAATCACTCAGAAAAGCAGCCATTAAGCTCTCTGTATTCATCACTGTAAAAAAAAAAAAGAATTACAGACATGGTGCTTTAAAAGCTTGTGGGCTGAGACTATTTTCTGCCTTTTGCTTTTGCACCATGCTTGTTAGACGGTTAAACGAGAAACTGAACAAAAACACAGCAAAATGTTAAAAAGAGTTCTGGGGTTCTCTTTAGATCAAATGTTAGCTCATTCTATCACAACAAAACTCTAGTCAGATAATTTTCCTTTTCTTCATTCACCAAATGAACTTTATTGAATATCTGTTATTTGCCAGGCAAAGGGAATACAGCAGGGAAGAGTCTGCTCCAGTTCCCTGTGGGACTCACATTCAAGAAGGAGGAGATAGTCAATCAGCAATAGATAAACAAAAAAATACTAAGTCTTCATGATTGCAGTAGGACTGTGTGAAATGAAGAGGTACTGCAGGCTGTACTTTTAGGAAACGCCTGTCACCATAGTTAATATTTAAGCTAAAATATGAATAATAGGAAAAAAGCGGGGGCATAATACAAAAATCTGGGGGAAGATCCCAAATATTTCTTGACTAAAAACTACATAAAACAGGGACTGAGCCCTGTTTAACATTACAGTCACTGGAGTTACTACCACAGTGTGTTAGCGCTGGGTACTCAAAAAGGAGCAGGTATTTACGGTCTTTAAAATATATATAATCACCTCCAGGACCTACCTAACCTCTTGACACTTTGCAAGCCTCCCTAAACCAGTACCGTAATCACTACAAAGCTGTGCTTAGAGGCTTTGAGCCAGCAGATCCAGCCCTTACCCCCATATCTGGGCACAAAGACTTTTTTCTTAGGCTAGAAATTTTCTAACCTTGACTCCTTCTAACATTTTTCATCTCCCATTTATCTTTTACTGGGTTCAAGGCTTTGCCCAGTTTCCTGGTGGGTCCTGCTTTGGCACCTTAGGAGTAACTGCAGAAAAACCCCTCCCTTCACTTCCGAACCACAGTAAATGTTTGAGCTAGAAAAAACGGGAACCACCTTCCCCCTCTCTCCCTACTCCCCAAAAGACTCCTTGTAGCGGACTTAGAGCACAGATTCCCTCAGTCTTCTCTTCTAGGACATCACATCCTCCACCATAGGAAGTTATTTCTCATGACCAGTTCCTCCAGCTACAACTTTATTCCATGTATGGAGCTGGTTCTTGCTGCTAAAACCAGTGGCTGACTCTTCACAGACTCAACACAGCTGAGGAAAAAATTGGTGAACTTGAAGATGGGTCAATAGAAATTAAACAAACTGAAGCGCAAAGGCAAAAAAGGGTAGAAAACACAACAAAGTGAAACAAAAACAGAATACAGCATCCAAGAGCTATGGGATGATAAAAAGCTAATGGCTGGACATGCCGTCATCACATAAACTGGAAGGGTCCTAGGGTTATTAGTTCAACCTGTCCCCACCTAACCCCTAGTTATACAGCATTAACTTCAAAGTCACCCTGAAAGTCAGCTCCCAACCTTAATTTCTCAGTCATCTTCCTTGGCTAGCAAATTCTAATATTCTAATATAGAGTGGTCTTAGCAGTGATGAAAATGACGTTCTCATGGCATAGTTTGGGGGGTCATTAAAATAGGATTGCCAGATAAAATACAGAACATCCAGTTCAATTTGAATTTCATATTTTTAATCTAAAGCATGTCTTACGCAATATTTGGGACATACTTATACTAAAAAAGTATTCACTGATTACCTGAAATTCAAATTGAACTGGGCATCCATATTTTCATTTGCTAAATCTGCTAACTCTATATTAAAAGTCACCATGCAATCCACTCAAAAGTCTCTCCTTTTTGACCATCCACATTACCTATTCCTAATAAAACAATGGATTGGTTTATCAGGTCTACCAGGCATTAACCTAAGCCATGGGCACTTCGTGAAGCATGGGGCATAACATGGAGGAGTGGCAGGAGGAAACCTGCCACAGAGGAGAAAAACTCTGAGTCCAGAATCAGAACATCCTGTTCTAGAACGAGCTCTGCCTCTTACAAATTGGGCACCTCACTGAACTTCTGTGTCTCACCTTCCTAGCGCATAAAATGACAATTACAGTCCCACTTAGTCCCCTCTCCCAAGCTCTCAGGTGATCCTCAGCACAGCTCTCCAAGGAAACATAATTTGAAAACCATATAGGAAGACATGCCCATCTGGCAATGGTATTATTGTTCCTTATGGGAAGAAATGAGAAAAAGACTGAGCCGCCAGGTAGAGGGTGCTGGGCAAGGGAAGGAAAGTCCTCAGATGGCCTTTGCCCATCTATCTTGCCCCTCACTGCCATTAGCAACACCTGCTGTCATCAGACCTGCCCACTTCCACCCTGACAAATTGCATTTCAAACCATTATCGGTCAATAGCGTTTATTTTTGGACATTGCCATCATGAGTACCCCAGGCACCACCAGGCTCTGTGATGTCAGCGTGGCTGAGCTTGGCCTGGTCAATTCTCAAAGGAGAAACTGCCAAGGGGATCGTGGGAGGGCACAGTGATATGAGACCCTGTCCTCTGAGCCAACTCCAATGACAGCCGGGGAAGTAAGTCTCCGTCAGGGACACCATTCGCCTGCTGGCTTCTGGCCTCTCTCTGGCAATGATCAGCACCCAGCAAACTGGCTTAGGCATGAGTAATAAGACAGGTTTATTTCACATGGCTCCTGGCGAGGGAGCAGTGGCCTGGATTCCATACATCAATAAGAGCACAGACAGCAAGCTGGCACTGGCCTGGAATTAGTACTCCCAACCTGGTTCTCCAGGGCTGCTCTGCCATCTCTTGAGACTCCAGACTCTGAATCCAAGGCTCAACTGCCCCATTTTAGATGCCTCATGAGCCTAAATGACCTGCCTGCAAGGCCAGATCCACCCCTCCCCTGCTGTCTCTCCCTTGCCAACATCCACAGCAGTCCCCACGTTCAGGAGAAAGAAGCGTTAGGTATTTCCCATGAATCTGAAAAAGAAAATTTGCATGAGCAGCAGGAAGCTCCCCTGGGTTCAGAGGCTCTTTAGTTATAAGAGGGAATGTGTTGTAGTCACAGCTAGAGATACTTGAACTAGACAAAAGGATTTTGTACACTGCCACTGCAGCATGAGAACACAGATTGGAGGTAGTGGGACATGTTACCAAAGCGCGTTATAGACAACCCTACTCTCACGTTTTCTGATCCAGAAACAGGGGACTGTGGCAGACCCAGAAAGAAAACTCCAGAGATGGAAAACTATGATCCTTTGCACTATGAAATAAGCTAGAGCACAACTGAATGTCTGCTTGGAACACACGACATCCACAGAAACATCTTTAAACACAGAAGGTCTTCTCCAAGCTCATCTCTGGTGATAGGACAACAGTGGGCCTCAAGCTTCTCCAGCCAGTAGCAGGTGAGTTGCACCCAGGCCTGTCAATTTCATGCACACTTGACCCAGTGGCTCATGCTGCCCTCCAAACCTCCCTTAACTGCCATGTTGACCCTGGGCACTACAGGTCTAGGAATGTGCACAAGAATTAGACAGCTGCACGCTCTTACACACATGTAGCCCATCAATGTCTCAAAAGTCCAGTCAAGGGGAGGCTAAGAGGGGCTCCTGGGGAAAGTGTAGAAGGTCCCACCGGGAAACTGCCTCTTGGGCTCCTTTCTGAGCAGGAGCACCTATCTGGCCTGAGGCCTGTCCCTCCTGGCTCTCTCTGAAATGGCTTCTCTCTGTCCCTCCAGACCAGATCTGGTTTCAACAAACTTGGAACTCTCCAAGCCCTTTCCTGCTGTGAACTGATTTATTTGGATCCATCTGTCAGAGCGTGACTGAAGAGTGTCCGGCCAGCTAGCAGCCCAGCTGCAGCAGATGTTGTCTCAGAATGCCCTGCGAGGTGAGGCTCATATGGATTTTACCTGCCCGTTCCACTTGTTCTCCTTTTGCCCTCCTGGGAAAGAGTTGGAAAGGGGTTGAGAACATCTGCATGACCCATGAGAACCAGGAAAGTTAACAGGGCATCTTGGGGGCCACAGAGCACTAAGGAGGCAGGCGTGCTGGTGCAGCAAATGGCGGTGACCCTGGCTCTAGCCTATGATTGTACATATAAAATAAATGTTGCTGATACAAGGGCATGTACAATTTATTAATAATAAAATAAGCAACACTCTATTGTAAGTTCCGTATGACCAATGGATTCTCACAGAACGCTTTTGTGAATTTTTGCCAAACTCTTGTGTCTATAGTGAGTTTATCATTGCAGTTCAACTATGATTTGACAAACGGCTGTGTTTGGCAACAGCTTGTGAAACTTTAGACAATTTAAAAATTGGGACCCAGTAGAAGCTGGGTCCCGTATCCCACTGAGGCAGTACCTTGAGTGGACCCACAAGGGTAGGGGCTGTGCTTGTCTATCTGTGTCTGCAGCACTCATCACAGAACAACACAGTCAGCCAGTCACAGTTCAGCATTCAAGCTGTTCCCTGAATTGGACCTGCTCGCCTTAAATCACCCAAAGAAGAAAGCCAAGCAAGCAGGATCTGATAAAGTAAGAGTAGGTGTCCACAGGGAGCAGGGCCAGGGACTGATGGTGGCAGGTGGTGGGTAGCCAGTAAGACTCCATAGACTGGTTCAGAGTTTGGAGAGAAGCAGCAGGCATGGAATGGGGAGAGCAGGAGCCAGGGAGGGCATTCCTGGTGAGAGGGATGGCACGAGGAAAGGCACGGGACAAACGGCTGCCTTTCCCAGCACGCAGATCACTTAGATACCGTCACTAAACCAATGTTTATCGTCCACTGTGTGCAAAGCACTGTTCTAAATTAAGCAAAGTCCCTGCTCTCGTGGAGATTAAATTCTACCAGGAAAGAGACCCAACATACAGCAAACAAGAACCCTCCATGGTGGAGAATGCTACGAGACAACAGCTTTTATTTCAATATAAGGAAGAACTTGATGTGGAGCCTAATCGCCAGGAATGTTAAACAGGTGCTTCTCAAAGAAAAGTCAAGTACGGCTAAGCAAAGAAAACCAGGTACCTTTCAAACACGGCTTCTCAGGGTCCTGGTGCTCATGGCCGTCAGGAGTCACCAGCAGGAGCTGATGGGCTGTAGTGCTTGTCAAACTTGCTTCACGGATGGAAGAAAACAAAAACATGAGTTGGGCTCCCAGGTGGAGAGCCAGAAAGTCTGACATCCTGGGCAGCCAGTGTAGGGATGTTAGAGCAAGTAGTCAGGCAGATACAAGCAGGGCTGGAGAGGGGTCCCTCCGACCAGCAATGTCCAGTGACCATCAGGTGATTGTCAGGCAGTTGCTACACTGTCTCTCTAAGATAATAACTGGTCACAGCTGGTGCCAAGAAAAGGCAGTCTCCCCATAGATAGAAAACACCTGAAGCTGGTGATCAGCAGCAGCTTCCTCATAAGATCTCAGGAGTTAGGCGAGTGGGCCCACGCATGAGCTCTCAGAGGCAAAATGGCCAACTTTAACTGATCTATGACCCTCCTCTAGGAACACTCGCCTGGTAAGGGAAAAATGCCTCAAATGAGCAAGTACACAACTTCAGTAAACTCACTGCACATACGACCCCTCTTAGGTGCTGGCAGGCCACTGTGCATCCTAATATGTCCGGAATTGGTGGGTTCTTAGTCTCACTGACTTCGAGAATGAAGCCAAGGACCCTCACGGTGAGTGTTACAATTCTTAAAAGGCAGCGTGTCTGGACTTTCTTCCTTCTGGTGGGTTTAGTGGCCTTGTTGGCTTCAGGAGTGAAACTACAGATCTTCGCAGTGAGTGTTACAGCTCTTAATGCCGCGCGTCTGGAGTTGTTCGTTCCTCCCAATTGGTCTTGATGGCTTCAGGAGTGAAGCTGCAGACTTTCACGGTGAGTTCTTACAGCTCATAAGGGAAGTATGGACCCAAACAGCCAGCAACAATGAGTTATTACAAAGAAAGAAAGAACAAACCCTCCACAGTGTGGAAGAGAACCCGAGCAGGTTACCACTGCTGGCTTGGCAGCCTGCTTTTATGCTCTTATCTGGCCCCACCCACATCCTGCTGATTGGTCCATTTTACAGAGAGCCGATTGGTCTGTTTTACAGAGAGGTGATTGGTCCGTTTTGACAGGGTGCTGATTGGTGCGTTTACAATCCCTGAGCTAGGCACAGAAGTTCTCCACTTCCCCACTAGATTAGCTTGATACAGAGTGCTGATTGGTGTATTTACAAACCTTGAGCTAGACAGAGAGTGCTGATTGGTGCATTTACAAACCTTCAGCTAGCTACAGAGTGCCAATTGGTGTATTCACAATCCCTTAGCTAGACATAAAGATTCTCCAAGTCCCCACCATACTCAGGAACCCAGCTGGCTTCACCCAGTGGATACCACACTGGGGCTGCAGGTGGAGCTGCCTGCTAGTCCTGCACCATGTACCCGCACTCCTCAGCCCTTGGGCTGTCAATGGGACTGGGCACCCTGGAGCAGGGAGCAGCGGCCCTAGGGGAGGCTCAGGCGCGCAGGAGCCCACGGTGGGGGCGGGGGCGTGGGCGGGGTCGGGGAGGCTTAGGCATGGCCTGCTGTAGGTCCGGATCCCTGCCCGGCAGGGAGGTAGCTAAGGCCCGGCGAGAAATTGAGCACAACAGCTGCTGGCCCACGTGCTAAGCTCCTCACTGCCCAGGGCCCGCGGGGCCAGCCGGCAGCTCCGAGTGCGGGCCCCCCAAGCCCACGCCCACCCGGAACTCGCACTGGCCCGCAAGTACCACACGCAGCCCCGGTTCCCGCCTGCGCCTCTCCCTCCACACCTCCCAGCAAGCTGAGGGAGCCGGCTCCGGCCTTGGCCAGTCCAGAAAGGGGCTCCCACAGTGCAGCCGCAGGCTGAAGGGCTCCTCAAGCACGGCCAGAGTGGGCGCCAAGGCCGAGGAGGTGCCAAGGGCTGCGACAGCTGCCAGTAGGCTGTCACCTCTCACTAACAGCCCACCCCAAGGGAAGAATCAGGGGAGAAGAAGTGCAAACTCTGGAACCTTCCAAGGTATAAAACCCCAAGTCAAGGACAGAACAGGGCACTTGGACCTCTAAAGTTGCTTGTTGGCCCTCTAACAAGTGTACTTTACTTCTTTTCATTCCTGCTCTAAAACTTTTTAATAAACTTTCACTCCTGCTCTAAAACTTGCCTCAGTCTCTCCCTCTGCCTTATGCCCCTCAGTCGAGTTATTTCCTCTGGAAAGGCAAGAATCGAGTTGCTCCAAACTGGTATGATTTCGCCACTGCTCACAAGAATATTACTTCAACGTCTGGGTTCCTGAGACCTGAATAGGGGAAATCAGAGGAGGGGGAAGGCTGATCCAGAAATGTAGCTACTCCTGTCAGCCCAGCTGCTGCTTCTCTGCATTGGCCACAACCCCCAAGTCCCAAAGAGAAATTAATCCCCCAGTGGCACTTGCATGGGGTAAGAGCTCCTGCCTGGGTTTCTCTTGTCACAGGGGCCAAGCCCAGTGCTGTGGAGCAATAGCCCAGGCTCCGCAAACAAGCAGGCCCTGGACAACTTGTTTCTGGCCAGGCTCCTGAGAGAGCGGTTGGAGCCTCCAGAGAGCTCACAATGAGACACAGCTCCTGGACTCCAGATGACCTAAGAACTGGCAGATTAATTAGCCTTCTCCAGGGACTTCTAAACTGTCCCACTGGGCCACCAGGGATCCTCCAAGGTGCCTTGGGAGGTACTGAGAGAGGTGTCAAGCAGCTGAGGGATAGGGCTTCAGCAACTGCTGGCCTCAGCCACAGAAGGCCCCTCTGCTCTCTACTGAGGCTCTGCCCAGAAAGGTTCATCTGATCCATAAGAAGAAAAACATATTTGCCACACACAGAGGGCTCCAGCCTTTGCCTCTGGCCCCTCCAGACGTACAACCATCTCCTAAACTACTCTTCCCTAATAATAGTCCTCTGGCTTCTCCATGAACTTGGCAGTTGCCAGATACTCTTCACACACTCAGGTCTGCCTGCCTCCCAGTTCTGGAGAAGGGAGGCAGATGAAGGAGAAAACTGAGACCCAGCAAGGAAAAGGAACCACAGCTGGTAGCAGAGCAGGGGTGGCCCAGAACAAGCACTGTGTTAGTGGCTACGCAATCTGAACGTCCCCTCTGACAGCCCCTGCCATCCCTTGCTCCCAGCCCACAATTCCACCTCACCTCAGAGCTGCTGCCCAAGAGCTCATGAAAACCCCTCTGTGCTTTTTGGCCCTGTGGCTTAGTTCCACACACAGCACACTTTACCAGTTTTTGAGCCAGCCCTGAATGACAGTCATTTTCCCCAGGATTAAAAATCCCTTTAACCCATCCTTCATGCCACACAGGCTGAGCCTGGGAAAAACATCCGGGAGGCACGTCTGGTCCACCAGCCGACCTCCCTCGCAGATGGGCCTTCATGGGCATGAGCCCTGGTTCCTGCCACACCACCAGGAATGTGGCTTTGGGTCCCAGCCCCAGCCAAGAAGCTTACTCCACTGAGTAATTCTAATGCCTGGAGAAAGTCAGCAAACGTCTCTGAGCCCGTTTCTGCTTCTTTGTAATGTGGGGAAAACGCACCCTATTAACTCACTTAACCATCCATTATAACAAGCAAGGCAGTAGCCAAAAGCCAGTCAGAATCCTTAGTGAAGGCAGATCATCTGCAGCAATTCCAAGTGTCTGTTCTCTTGCAAGATTGTTGAGAGGTGCAAATGCATATTGTTAAGTTTGGGGGCAGGCTCAATTCCTCTTTCTTTCCTTCAGCAGCCGCCCAGAAGACAGCCTGATCTTGACAGAGGCTTTGACCATGGTGATTTTTACAGAAGCCCTAGATAGTCACCCCTTATCTGTCTTGGGAATAAAGTTGCTGAGGGTTGATTAGCAAAGGAGGGAAAGTGCAACCGAGGCCTGGCATTTCCTAGACGAGAGATGGCGGTGGCGACAGGGCCTATGGGGTGGGGAAGGGGGTCAGCCGTGTGAGTGGCTCCATTCCTGTTAGTGGCACCACCAGCAGACCTCCCTGGAGCCAGCCAGTCCAGCCAGACTGATTAGGCCAATTCACTGTTTATCTGGGACAAGCAGATAAGGCTGTGGCCCAAGAGGGGTGGCTATGGGATGTGCCCAGCTGGAAGGAGACCCAAGAACACTGTAGCTGATGGAGAGGGAAGGGAAGAACAGAAAGAGTTCACTCAGGAGCCTCCTTTGTGGGTTTCAAATGGTCTCCAGTCAAGACGGCACTGAGCCTCCTGACATGCCCCACCTGAGTACCCGAGGCTGGCAGTTCTCCAACTCTAGAGAGCATCAGAATCACCTGGGGGTGATTCTAAAACACAGGTGGCGGGCCCCCACCCCAGGTCCTGCTTTAGCAGGTCAGGAAGGGACTAAGAATTTGTATGTCTAACAAATTTCCTGGTGATGTTGATGCCACTGGTTCGAGCACCACACTTTGAGAACTGCTGCCGTAGGCCCTTGATGAAACCTACCTGTCCAGCCCCTCCCCAGCCTCATCCTTAGGCTATTCCTCAAATCCATCTCCTTCATTACTCCAGAGAACCTAATTCCAAGAAATCCCCTAATGAGGAGTGATGGCCACCTCTCTCCCCACAGTCTAGGGGGGTATAGGCACTGAGGTATGGGACCTCCTGGGCTCCACTTTCCTCATTTTAGGGTGGACTAAGTGATATCTCTTTTTCTTTTTTTCTTTTTATTTTTATTTTGAGATGGAGTCTCACTCTGTCGCCCAGGTTGGAGTTCAGTGGTACGATCTCAACTCACTACAATCTCCACCTCCCAGGTTCAAGCAATTCTGCTTCAGCCTCTCGAGTAGCTGGGATTACAGGTGTGCGCCACCACACTCGGCTGACTTTTTGCATTTTTAGTAGAGATAGGGTTTCACCATGTTGGCCAGGCTGGTCTCAAACTTCTGGCCTCAAATGATCCACCCACCTCAGCCTCCCAAAGTGCTGGGATTACAGGCGTGAGCCGCCACACCCGCCCTAAGCAATTTTTCAGCTAGCCCGTTTTCTCAGTGAAGTTCCCTGAATCCATGGAAGGGAAAAGAACACCAGGCTTTACCTGGGAACCTAGCTGGTGCCAGCTCTGTTCTTCCCATTCATCTGGACACTGGATTACACAGATGACTTCATTTTGAACATCCACTTACATCTAAACCCCTAAATACATGTCTGAAGACTTTTTTAGTTGTCAACTTTCCCTCATTTTCCTCCTGTCTGCTTTCTTCTCTTTGCCTCTTCCCCAGACTTAAGATTTAAGCAGAATTTTATTTCTGTAGATGTTTGATCCATTTTTTTAATACCTCAGCTGGCCACCTTTCGCCTGGGACACTCTGGTGTCCTCCCAGAATAGAATCTTGTCCACAACCATCTCCCCGACAGGTTTCTAGATGCTGCCCTGGCCAGAATCAGTCACCCAGGCTGCACCGGAAGCCACCTGTTGCCTGATCCCAGCCTTGGCCTAAATCATAGTGGGGAGCCCTGGCTAGAGGCTCAGTGCCTGCCCTCTGAATTGCTAGCAAGATCTCTGGCACCCACACCAAGGCTTTGTAAAACTCCACAAATTTTTCTGAGAAAGAAGTGTCCCTGCAAGCAGAAGGCCTACACCGCATCACTATTTCTGCTGTCAAATGACAGCCTCAGGGTCCCACAAGTGAGAGATGGGCAGACCCCTGCCTGGGCTAGAATTCTCGGGGTCTTGGGTCTCCACACAGAAGTTGCTCAGTCAGAACCCCCCTCTGTCCTCCAGGTGTCCTGCCAGACACATGTGCTTTCTCCCACTTGACCGTCACCAATAAATCTTGGAGCTGGCCAAAGGCAGGTTCTCCTAACATTGCAGGTGAGAAAAGCTGAGATCCCCAGAGGAAAAATAACATGCCCAGCGTTGCACAGATAAATTCTTGGTGGAGCGGGAAAAGGTCCAGGGTCCCCCAGACTTGAAGGGCTCACTTTGCTTTGCCACAATTTGGCCCTGGGTGCTGTTGCCTGACTCAGATCTGACTGCATGTGCCAGGGCCAGCCTGCCCTGGCCGGTCCCTACTCTGTAACCGGACACAGCCATGAAGGACACCAAGGAGGGGGCGAGGGAGCAGAAAAGATATACAAAGGGATTTGAGCGGATTTGGTTACAAAGTTGCACCAGCCATTTCCTGGAATCTAATGGGAGCCAGTTCTGAGAACTTGAAGGGGTGGGGAAGCAGAAGGGGGAGGGAAAAAAAGGCAGATGACTGGCTTGTGGGGTGTGCAGTGGGGAGGGGAAATGGGCCCTGCTCTTGTGGCCAGCAGCCAGGCAGGCCAGGCTCCTGGAGGCAGGAAGGGGCCTGAGACCTATCTTTCCCCAGCCCTCAAATGATTTCTGCAGCCTAGGGAAAGCCCCCAGGCCTTCCAATAAATCTCCTTCCAAGCCTTCTTCCCAAAGCCCACTCTGGGCCTGGACAGCCTGGGGGGTTGATGTGCTTCTCCAGGGCTGGTAAGGACAAAAGGGAGCAAAGGTTCCTGGTCCACCCCGGATGTCTTTGCCCCGGGAGGCAGGGAACCAAGGCCCTCTGGTGCTGGCCTTGTCTTCCAGGCCTCCTGCCCCTTTCCTCTTGCCTCCTGAACCCTCTCTTCTCTTCCTGCTGTCCCTCTGCTTCTGCCTTCACGTTCTTCTTTCTGTAGAACTTCTCCACCTCCACCTTCCTCTACCCCTTTGGTAGTTACACATTCCGTAATGCCCAGTTGAGGACAGATGCAGAATCTCATCCTGAACCCTTGTCCACGCTGAGCAAGTGGGGTTTGGAGATAAGAGTCACAGTGGGGACTTCACTTCTCCCAAGTGATTCAGCAGCCTCCTGCACACCTGCTTTCACTCTCTAAGCCTCATTCCTTCCAGGAGGGCCATGCCTGCTAGGTCCAATCACCAACAGGGGGAAACCAGCAAACCTCCTATTTTTCCAATCAGTCCCCCCATCATCACACACTTTATTTGCCCTCTTCCCTTCCTTTCCCCTTTACCCACAGGACCAAAGGAAAGATGGGGATCGCTCACCTGTTCCTACCTCTATGATAGCTGCCTACATTGGCGTGCAAAACACCAAATCATAAGGCAAGACAAGGAAGCTTCACCCACTAAACCACAGGCTCCTTGAGGGAAGAACCTGTGCCTTTTGATGTTGTGCAACAAAGCCACTGTGACTTTGTGGCTGAATATATTTACTACTTTTATTTGGAGCTGCACCAATTTTCTTGGCTTTTAAGGCCAATGTATTACTTCTATTATTTAAAAGTTGAGAGAGCCATATTGTTAATACTGAGGCATGAATTAGCAGCTCTTGCATACGTGGATACTCTGAAACCAACATATTTTCAATTGGGACCATCCTGGAAAATCTATTATGTAAAGGAGATGATGCATACTATCCCCAGCTGGGTCTGGGAGAGATATGGAGTAGGCATTCAGACAAGGTGTGTCCAATTGCTTAGTTGTTTCACTAAAGAAATCAAGACAGCATGGGTGGAAAGCCAAAGGGGATGGAAAGCCAAATGTCATGACCAGCACTCTGCAGATCACCCATCAACACTCCTCCTACTGTCTGACATCCTATTATCAACTGCAGATTTCGCTAAAATTTAAACCAAGTCAGATGTCTCTTCTCGGAAAAGCCCACAGACAGGGTGCCATCTCAGGATCATCTAAAGCTAGTGCGGGAAAGGCGAGTCCCTTTCTTTAGCAAACAAATCTTTTTGTCTCAACCCTGACTTATTCCTGGGGCCTTCTGGGTGGTGTACACAGTGACTGAATCATATATATAGTATGATTTTTGAGGGCAATATCATGGTAAGATGCCCACACAGAAGCAAAGCCAAGTTCCTTGGCCTTGTGTATGAGGCTCCCTAAAGTGATCTGTGCCCCTGGAATTGCCTTGACCATGCTTGTGACTAGTTTTCCAGCCTGAAAAGCCCTATCTTTCCAGCATAACCTCCTCTGAGCAACTTTCTGATTTTCCTTAATTTTATTGACATTTCCCTTCCTGGAACTCCCAAAGCACCATGCCTGAATCACCCATCTGGCCCTTGCAGCCTGTCGGTTGGTAAGTTGGCTTTTTATATGTTCACATAGCTGAAACCACCATCTCTGTGCAGATCCCCCAGGAGGTTCTTTGCACACTCCTCCAGTTTTGTTGCACTTTCTCTTCCCAAGCGACCCCTATGGGTGACTCTTCTTTGGAGGGCTAACTTTGGCCTGCTAGAGCCACTTCACTTGCATATAAGCAGAAAAACTGATATGCCCAGGAACCTATGACCTCATGGGGTAACCCCTGGCTCCCTTGTTCCAGGGCATATATCAGTCAGGATCTAGTCTTAGGCAACAAACCACACCAGTTATTTTAACAGAGAGAATTTAATATAAAGAATTATTAACAGTATTAGGAACAGAAAAGGCTAAAGGGGATATTATTAAGGTATTGAAGAGGTAGCAATTATAAGGGAGCTATTATAAGGTAGCAATTATAAGGGAGCATTAGAATTATAAAACTTAAAAGCTTGAAGGCAGACACTCACAGAGCTGACCTGCAGCCCTTAGAAAAGGAGCTGCTTCTCTGCTGGTGCTGAAGGGGAGGGCTCACCATGCTGGGACCCAAACCCCTGAACCAGATGATGGCCGATGGTGTTTCCGGGGGAGAACAATGGACCTAGTTCTACAAGTGTTGACAAAATTGCAAACTGGTATCCCTGGCTGTTACTGGAAGGAACTGCCACTGCCAAGGTGAGGAAGCATTGCTAAGTGATACTGATAGGAGTGGAAAGCATAATGAGGAACAGAAAGCAAACAGAAAGGAACACCGGCCAGGCCAAACTAGAGGCTGCCTTACAGAGATGGGATTAAGTTTATTCACCTACGGAAACACTAGAACCATATTACCGCCATGTATATGAATTTCAGGGACAGCTTGAAATTAACAGAGGGCAAAGCCAAAATTGAAAGAGATCTATTTTGATTCAACTTGCTCATACTCTGATGCCCATACTCAGGAATGGAACTGTTCTCTTTCCTATATGGGTTAGTTTATTCTGGGAAACAGTAAAGAAGATACCTACTTAAGTCACTTAACCAACTAGGACCTTGAAAATGGAAACCACGCACCATCCCAAATAGAAAGGATCTCAGGGACTGGCTATTACAACCTTCCCCTCTCCTCTCACCCACTATCAGACATTAACAGATGAGGAAACGAAATCACAGAGGGACCAAGTGATCAAAGAGTGGCCAGGACTAGCCCTGGAACTGGAGCCATTCTTTTGTTCAACACGTATTTATTGATCATCTATTGTTCTGGCCACGGGTCTAGGTTCTTGGAAAATATCAGTGAATAAAACTCCCAGGAGATTGGGAAACCTGAAATGTAAGCCATACTGCGGCAAAGAGGTTTTGTCTGTGTCTCTTCTTCCTAAGGTGCTCCCTCTTTATTACTTTAGGAGGGCTTCATTTTTCACTTATTTTATCTGCAGACCTCATCATGAAACAAAACACTTTCAGCGAGTTGTTGTGCTTAAAAGGAGAAGCCTGGGGAGGCAACGGAACACAGTGCAATGGACACTGCATTTTTCCCCCATGCTCCACTGGCCCCCATAGTTCTGGAAACCCTAAGACCATACCAATTTCAAACATCCTGCTCTTGTGACTGGTACGAACTAAGAACCTTGTTTCTGGATGGTTGGGTATATATGTCCATATTCATATTCTTCTTGGAAAGAGACTGGTGCCAGGACTGAGTAGCACAACAGCCCCACCTGGTGCTCTGGAGGAATGGCCTGTCTTGGACACTGGTGGTGATCAACTGGTTTGGAAATTAGTTCACCTAACTCTTCCATGAAAACAACAAACTTTTATTTTATCTTTTTGCTTTAAGTTCTGAGATGCATGTGCAGAACGTGCAGGTTTATTACATGGGTATACATGTGCATAGTGGTTTGCTGCACCTATCAACCTGTCATCTAGGTTTCAAGCCCCACATGACTTAGGTATTTGTCCTAATGATCTCCCTCCCCTTGCTCCCCACCCTACAACTGGCCCCAGTGTGTGATGTGTTCGCATTGGAAAACAACAAACTTTTAAGAGATCTTATGGGAAACCTCAGAGATAATGGAGGAGCCAGGGTTTACTTGGGGGGTTGAAAGTTCTTACGTTCTATTTTTCACGTTTCCAATGATACCAGGCCCATTTATTGTTGATAATAGATATGAAGGTGCGTTGAGCCTATAAAATAAAACAAGCAAAGAGACCAAAAAGGAAGACAGATAAGGCATTGGAAAATATAGATGTGGCTGCATTTCACCCTTCACCTGAGCTCGAATCAAGAAGCATGGCTTGTGCTCACTAATCCAGGGGATGAATAGAAATTATGTTTATTCTGGTCTTTGTTTTTCCCTCTTTCTCTTGATCTCCATTTTTTAATCTTTTCCTGTGATTTTCTAGTTTAACTCCTGGGAAACAAAAGGGACAAAGGGAAACTGGGCTCCAATTCTGTCAATCAACTGTCAGAACTTCTACAAGGTGCTTGGTCATGTAAATTAAAATTCCAAGAGTTCTAATATGTATCTGGGTTATCATTTCCCACATAATCTTAGAAATTTGAACATGGAACACCTGGTAACCCATTTAGTACATGGATACACAGAAAATAAGGGTGTAATGATGGGATGGTAAATTCAGAAGCTTTGAAAACTCTATTAAATATCTCAAATTGGAATTATCTTTGAAGAATCTATTTTATGTGTTTTGTATATGCTTATTTCAGCTGATACTATAAAGAAGTACTTTTAGAATCCAGGGAAGACAAGGAATCCAGAATGAATGTCCTTCATACATTTTCTATTCACATAGAATAGTGCTCTAACCTACCCCAAATAAATAGAGGCCTCCACTGTGCTAAAAGTCCTCTAAGCAATAAGAGTTTACAATCTCTCTTAGTCACCCATGCCAGGTCATTGCCAAAGTTCACCTTTAATGCTCTCTCGCACTACTGATGGGACTACAGGTCAATGAAACCTCTCTGAAAAGCAATTTAGAAAAAACCTAACCCCTTTGACCCTATAAATCCACTTTTATAAGCTGTATCCTAAGAAAATATAAAAAACACAAACAATACTGAATAAAAATGTAAATTTTCATATACGTTTTAATAAAAATAGAACTACAGTAAATATAAGATGTTGGTTCATAGATTATATAAAACAAAATGATAGAATATTATGTAGTCATACACATACATACAACAATGTTAGCATGATGCATTTTGTGTCTCCGTTTTGGCTGAGGCCCTAAAAAAGCAGAGAATAATACATCAGGGACCAAGTATTCCTACCTATCAAAGGTGCTAGGCAGCCCAGGAAGGGGGCAGTTAACATTCCTAGAGGAAACCTTCAACTAGTAGAGGATGGAAATCCATTACATGTCCCAGCCTCCCAGCATCGGGAGAGATAATTCCAAGGTGCATTCCACAGTTTCTTAGAGGGTCTCCAGCAGGATTGAACCCCCGTTGCTGATGACAATACTCAGCTCAGTAACATACTCTTTATTTTCTTCCTTCCCTGTCCCACATGGCCTGTCCCCTCCCTTCTGCTTCCTATAATCTACCTCCCATTACAAAGCCCAGACACAAGTTCTTATCTCAGGCTGTATTGGAAGGTGAGATAAAATTAAGTTGCCCCCAAAACATAATACCAATAATATCAAAAACTCAGCAAGGGAATTATGGATTTTGGATACCAAAAATCAGGACGGGAATTATGTACAAAGAGCTCATTTCATCCCCCACCCAAAGCAAAAAAACACAAAATCAAAATGTGGCTCTCTGCTTCAAAGAAGGGAGGGGAAATATATTGAGAATATACACAAACTAATAATCCAGTGAGTTATCCTGCTCCAACATTATCATCTCATCACTGCCATTGTTATTGTCACACACCAACAATACAGGTAGAGGTCAGTCAGGGTCCCCGCCCTTCAGGGAATCACAAAACTGGAAAAAGATTCACAGGTCTAGGACCTGTTTAAGGCAATTCCTCTGCCTAACACAATGTTCTTGCTGTCCCAGCTATCAAGAAAGCTTTAGAGAACACAGTGTTATACACACCAAAAAATAATAATGAGTGTCAGGGGCAGGAGATAATGTGTTATGAGTCTTCTGTCCCAATTTGGAGCCCAAGTCACATCCAGACAGACAACTGATTCTCTTCTCTGTGGTTATAATTCCTTTAATTTCCTCATGGATTTCAAACTATTCTTCAGGAAAAAGAAGGGATTCTGAGGCTAGCAACAAGGTAGGCTTGATAATGTGTGGTCCCAGCGATCTGAATAAAGATCCAAAAAGAAGGTTGCCCTGTATACAATTCCAGATGCTTGTCCTTGGATCCCCTGCCTAGAATATCAAACTGTCCTCTTTACTGTTTGATAACTGTGGGCAAGAGAGCAATGGAACCAACAGAGTTGGTAGTGCTAGCTACCAAAAGTTTAGGACAGAGGTTACAAAATCAAATGTCTTCAGAGCTCAGGCAGGTAGTATAAAGTAAGGATTTGTGGAGATAGACAAATTGACGTGTACGTGCCTCTTCCGAAAGATGCTTCTGAGCTCAAGCCAGTTAAAATCCAGTATTGATAGACATTGCACATTTTTAAGAGCAACCAAGATGTCAAATATCTAGATTTTACATGAAAGCTCTTTTCCATGGTGGCAACTAATCCAAATGTTTTCTGCTCACTCCATATTGGCCTGCATAGGATGTCAAAGAAAACATATTTGTGGGCCGTTTTGGCTCTTGAGCCACCAGTTTGGACATAAGTTATGAGAGTTATCTTCTGTTATTGGAGAATGTATTGGAAGTGCACCATAATGGGCAACTATAAAATTTTGAAAAGCAGAAAGACTAGAGAAAAGTGTTAGGTCATGAGCTGTAAGTGAGCAAGAGGGACTGTACTCAAATTCACAAACTTATGCTCTCTAATTTGGGACCAGTTTCAGCACCTGATATGATGAGGTATAAAGGATAATGGTGGCTGTAACATTATGACCCTTACTGCATCATACAAAGCACTGACCCAATAGCTGCCTCCTCCTGTCACTGACTTAACTGCCTGAGTAGCATCTGGCTTAGAACTAGTGGTTCTGTCCTCTAGCCCTACTTCCCTATGCTCCTTAAAAGACCCTTTTACCAGAAATCTAAAATTACCAGTCCCATCAAGACAAGTATAAAGATAGCCTACTGCAGAAAGGCATCCAGAAAGAGGAAGAAGGCCCTGAGTAGAAGGAACAAGGTACCACAAAGGGTGAATGAACCTCTTAGGAAAAGGAAGCATAATGCTGACACTTAGATGAGACCCAAAGAAGGAGGATTTAACCTCCCAGGGGCTGGAGGAATATGAGGGTAGATAGAACCCTGCCGGCCAGCTCTACCTACCTCTTCCTTTGTGTGACTTTTTTGAAGGTATAATAGCACCACTCTGACTTGGGTCTTAACTCAAGCACATCCTAAGCTGTATGATCTTAAGCAGGTTAATCATTCCACCTGTTTCAATTATGAAATCAGGACCCTGATTACCTCGATGCTGCAACTGAGATAAATGAAATGATGATTCCACAATCTGTAGTGCAGGGCCTGACAAACTGCAGTCTGCAGGCCAAATCCAGCAAAGTTAACAAGCCAGAGCTATTCACTTACTATGGCTGCTTTCACCTGCAAAGAATAAAACATCTGCTATCTGGCCCTATAACTCTGTAGGGGCTCTCTCAAGTGGCCCTATCACCTCGCATAACTCACAAAAGCTGCTGTAAGTTATAACTTGGGTCATGGTTACTTACCTCATACAAGACTTTCATCAATAAATATTGAACGCCCTAGACAGAAGATTCAAATATTTCACATCCTGAAGTTCTCCACAATTATCAATTTCAAAATTTTCTTCTAAGTTTCAAGTTTGAACATGTGATGGATCTCCTGGCACTGTTAAATTTATTCTGGTTTTCTCCTGGACTATATGTCTTAGACTATATTTACTATATGTACATTTCTTGGAGTACATGGACATGTGAACAGGACCTGGCACATGGGCATTTATTCAATAGTAAAACATTTCCTATGTAAATGTAGCAAATATAGTGAGGGTGTCATGGAGGACAGCACCAGAATGACACAGGGAAGGCTATTGACCTCTTTGCCTTTGCCTTCTCCCTGAGATTATGCCAGTGTATGCACAACATTATTACAGCCTACTACTGCCAGACACACTTATAACCCATTAACTGTAGCCTGTTACTACCAGAGGTGCCTGTAACCCGTTACCACGGCCTACTACCATAATACATGCTTATATCCAATGATATAGCTATATTACTACAGCCTGCTACCACAAGAGCGACTTGTATTATTACTACATACACTACCTCAGGACACTCTGCTCTTGCGCCCAGGAACACCTGCTATAACATCTTTAAGCAATAAATTGCCACCTCTCCACACCCCTACACTGAGTAAGGCCAAATGTGACCACTGAAGAGCAAAAGCAATCATCAAAGAAACCCAAGAAGCTCATCAACATCTAGGAAATAGGACAAAACCCTGGGGCCCACCTAAGTCAGATGAACAATAAAAAGGCAGTTTCTGCATCTTTCATGTTCCAAAGGAAATAGAGAATTGAGTTTTGAGGCCCCAACCTTACAGATTAGCTTTGGTCTTGCTGGTAAATGGTTTTTAAAGATTGCATTTATGATTCTCAGGGGGAGGCAAGCTGTGAGTAAGAGATGATTTGGTACCTTTACATAAGTTATACAAGGTTCAAGTTTAATTACACAAGGGATTCTATAAAGCTGTAAGAATTATTTGATCCCAAATTGCCCAAACACTACGTTATATCTAGAGTATACTACCAGGAGAAGCTCGAGGATGTTGTCCTTTAAAGAATTCCAAATGCACATATGCCTTTGTAAGTGTACGTTGTGTCTTTGCACTTCCTCACATTTACAATTCCTGGACTTCATGATGGATGACCTGGGCTTGTTTCTAGGAAAACAAGCATCTTCATTTCTGCTAACAAATGAATGAGAAGTGTGAGCTGATGGTGATCTGGTGGTTCACCTGGCTCAGCCTGCACTGGCCTTGTTTAGACGGTCTATCAAACCAAATAAGCCCTTATCATATCCAGAAAGCATCTCAATTTATCCCAAACAAAAGCCCAACCATGAACATCATAGTAAATCTTTCAAACAGGAAAAAAAGGGTAAACTACATATTTCCTCCTGACTCACATGGTTCTCCCTCTGCTTACAACACCCATCTGATTACATGAAGGGCTAGGGTACTAAGGTCACTCAACGTCACTCTTCAGCTAAACAGTAACACTCAAAAACACCTTTGTCAGAGAAAGAAGAGAAAGTTTATTTAGAGACACTGGCGTGGAGAGGAATAATCAATGATGATTATGGTGGTCTTGGGCCTGCACCAAAAGCCCTTCTTTGTGCTGGCCCTGGGAGAACACATGGCACAGAAAAGCCCAGATTCAAGCAGCTTCTTCAACCAAAACATTGACATATTCTGCTGACTAAAGAGACAAATAAGAAAATTAAAGATGTACACTCCAAGAACCCACGTGTTTTTCATATAGGGACCTTCCCAACTCAGTTTCCCAGAGATTCCATCAAATACAGACCTTCAAAGAGTTTGAGAGTACCACCTCAAAGAGGTAGGTCCAGGGTTTGTGTGATCTCTCTTTACTGCATGGACAAGATTAGAGGGAGGCTCTACAGCACAAAGAAGACAAGCCATGAGCACAGAAAGCCTGGCTCTTCACAGGACTTGTGGGGAAGCAGGGAGAGAGTTGGGTGGTTGTTTTTTATTGGTGGGTGGGTGTCGGTGAGGGAAGGGATTGTTAGAGAAGTACTGGGGCCAGTCTTTAGAAGGTGAGAGGTGATCTTTGCTTTTGCCAGAGGCATGACAGTTTGGGAGATTGGCCAAGCATGGGTGACAATTCCTCAGTCCTGAGAGTCTCCTCTGTAATCAGAAAATGTCATCAATACCTTGTCCTCCCATTCCTTTTCAGAGATAATTTCCTTTCTTTTTGCCTCTGTGGGGAATATTTCAGATGACATGCTGAACACCTATACCTGCAGGCCTTCACCATCTTCTTCTGTTCCTCAACTCTGGTCAGCATGAGGTTTTGGTTGAAACAGCAAGATCTGCCTGCTCCTACTGTTGTCCCTCTCTCCTACCGCAGGTCCATTTGTCCAAAGCAGTCCACCCATCATTCCCTTTATATAGTGGCTTATGACACGGGCCCTCCTGGTAAAGGGACATGATGATTGATGGTGCCTTGTCACAATGGCTGAAAGTCAACATGAGAGCTTGGTTGAGTGGTTGGGGCAGTACTGAAATGTTGGATAAAATTAAGAAAATGCCTAGTAGGACTCCTTAAATCAGCTGGCTGCCTATCAGCCAGCCCATAGGAACCCCCAAGAATTACAGAAACCAAGCAAAATTCTCTATGCCTTTCAAACCCAAGTCTAGCTTTTTTTTTTTTTTAAAGAATAACCATTTATTAAAGTAGATACAGAACACTTGTTTGGCCAAATTTTAATACTGCTTTACATGTTTTGTTTGTGAAACAATTCGTATTACATTTATAACCAAAAATTTCAACTGGTAACATATTTAATATTCACTGTCAAACACACAGTTGATAATCTTGAGGGGAAAATACATGAAAGGCATATATACAATTATAGAAGCTCTTATTGTACATGTAGCATATTTTGATCTCCAAGTCTAGCATTTTTAAAGCCTTTGTCTGCTGACACATTTAGGCATACATTCCTGGTTTCATTGCCTTACTTCTAGAAAGAGATCTTGAGGGAGGATTTGAACAATGTACACTTTTTAAGTGAATTTATTGAAGTATAATTGATAAACAATAACCTGCACATATTTTAAGTGTACAATTTGATAAGTTTTGACCTAGGTATACACCCATAAACCATTACTACAAATCAAGATAAAAAGTACAATTAAAGCTCTAGTCCAGTTCATTTTTTAAATCTACTACCCCTGCCCTATCCCCTAGAGCCCCACAGAAATATAGCTTCAACTTCAAGAAGCTTGATATCTGGCCAGAGAAGCCATCTTCTACTGGTAGATATAAAATGTGACCAAATGAAGAAGTAACCATAGAGTATAGGGCCTTTGTTTTGAGTCTTGAAGCACATTTGGAAGTTTAATAGGTGAAGATGAAAAAAATAGTACAAATCACTGAATTTCCTATGAAGACCTGTACTTTTTCTACTTTTTAAATAACCCAGTTTGGTTAGAACAGAGGTTGCCTGAAGGAAATAATGAAGGACATGGCTAAAAAGCCAGGTTGGGGTTGGGGATGGGGATATGGAAATTGAAATGCTGTAGTCAAAATGTCTACATCTTGTTTCACTGGGCAGCAGTTTGCATGAAAAAAGAGACTCCAGCCACCTCCACAGTGATGTAGTCCAAAGGCTGATGAAGGGCTGCCACCTGGCATCATGGAAACATGGGCCTCATAAAGGGGGAAGAGCCCAACAACACACCTGGGCTTCAGGCCTAAGTAATGAAGCTCTGGGTGGTGCCAACCAGAAGGGTCAGGTTGGCAGGAAGGTCCCAAGAAATGTCGTCTCCTCTCTTCCTTAAAAGCCTGGTTTCAAACACACTTCCTGAACAAGGGCTGTAGTGATTCACCCACTTCAAGAAGGCCAACTTCATGTTGAGGCCATAGTGGGTGGAGGGGTGGAGGTGATCATCCAAGCATCCCCCAGTGTCCCTCTAATATCCCACCTCTTGCAGATGCCCAAGAGGCAGAGAATGCTACAGTTCTCTTGTCATTCTTTTAACATAAGACCTAAGGTTTTAATCCTGGGTAGGGCAACAAAGGCAGGAAAGAAGAGAAAGAAAGAGAAGGAGGTGGAGTTGTATTCAAACTACATATGTGATGCTGAGCTTAATGTATTCTAACTCTTCTCTGATTGTCAGGTGCTCTGCAGGAGTCACCTAAGGTAAGGACAGAGAAATGAGATGAGGTTCCCTCAAGCGGTCACACAGTGCCTGGCGCTTAGTAGGTCCCCTAAAAGTGCTCTGACCACCTCAAGTGTCGCAGCTTCCAGTTTTGCATGCCTTACTTTCAACCCCATTCTTTCCTGAGTTTTCTTCTGTTCTCTCGGTCTCCTTGCCCTGCTCTCTCCTCTGAAACACCCAATGGCTGATAAATCCCATAACTTTGTCTCTAGAGCATCTTACCTGCCCCTGGAGATTCAACCACACAAAACTCTACCTTGCCAGTGCCCAAAACTACATCCCCAGCCTCAATTGCTCTTCTGAGCTACAGATGCCTCTATCCAATTTGTCTACAGGGCATCCTTGGGGACCTCTCTGGTAGACATTCAACCTATGCAAAACTAAAACCAGTTTTTTTCTGTTCACATCTATTTCCTGCTCCTGCATCTACTCAGCAGTCATTCACTATTCACTTAGGACAGAAGACTAGGATTAAAACTTTACCCCTCCACATAAATCACGTCAGTATTTTATAACTTATCCCTTCTTCAACTCCATTGCTGGCTTGGGTTAAATGGCTTAATATCACTAAAGAACTTACCATATTGCAGGCACTTTCCTGCAATAGATAACAAGTTAGAATTCAAGTCTTTTGTTGATAGCTGTCTTTATGGTGAACATTAAGTCAAAGATATCACCCTCTGGGTAACTGACCGTCTTCCTCTGCATCCCTTCTGTGGCAGCAGTTAGAGCATACGCACTAAAATTAAGTAGATGTGGATCTAAATCCCAGCTCTACTGTTTAGTATTTGCACATCCTTGAGCTATTTCCTGAAGCTCTGAGCCAGTAAGGAGGTGATCTCCAACTAGGTGTTTAGTCTCCTCATTGGTAAGATAACAGGATTGCCATTAAGCCTGAGTCCTCTCTTTAACTTATTGAAGATTTTTAAGGCTGGGAGCAATATAATGATTTGCCCACATTTGGTAAGTTGAGAAACTTGGATCCAGAAAATCAGTCTGACTAAATATTGGAGAAAATCATCTCAGGTCCCCTGCTCAGCCCTTCTCTTGTAGATTGGTTCACTGACCTCATATGGCCTTTGTGATATCCCAGAGAGGGGAAGACCAAGTCACAGTGGCCTAGATTCTCTGCAGCTGGGCTCCTTCTGTCTCAGAGCTGGGAATACAATCTTCAGGCAAATGACTGGAAAGCCTCCTTCAGGCCCCTAACATCTCCCAGCAGTAAGTATGAGCACTAAGTGTGTGCATTCAGCCACACTAGGATACAGCAGAGCTGCATGTACCCCAGGACTCAGCCAGTTTCCTACGGGAGCATAGAAGAAAGTACCACTAAAGGAGAGCAAGGAGAAGGAAGAGGAAGAGGGCAGTGATTGGCAAGGCTTGAGGGTAAGAGTAGGAGGAGTGAAGACAGGAGTAGTACCAGCTACGGATGGAGGATGTATGTGAGGAGGGGAGAGGGGAGATGGTCATGGAGCCAGTAATGAAGAGACTAAGTCCATTCTCAGGCAAATGGCACAGCCTCAGTATGAAGTAAGTCATTTGCAAGTATTCATGAATCTCCCATTATGAATAGGAGATCTGACCAGCTTTCCTGGATTATAAAGGTAAACAAGATAGGGATTTTTCAATTTAGTTATCTGGTATTTGCCATAAGTAGTGTCTTAAGTGAGGCAGGAGAGACAGAGTGGGCTTCATAGTCACGGGACCTGTGCATCACAAACGGTCTTGTGCCCACTTACCCACACTGATTCCAGATTTATGCTCTTCTGTCACCATCTTGAAATTCTTAATAATTTTTTAGCAAGAGGCTAGCATATTCATTTTGCATTGGACTTCACAAATTATGTAGCTGGTTCTGGGGAGACATAATTTTTTTTATCTGGAGCATGTGGAGTCCTAATAAGCAACAACAAGGAAAGGGCGCAAGATGGGGGGAGGGCCGGCCCCAAGTTGGAGGAGAACAGTAAACAATTGTTCTGAGAAATGGCTAAACACAAAAAACCTGTGGGCATAATGACCTCCTTCCCCAGATAGACCCAGCAGCACAACCTCATTCTGCACATAAATCCTATAAAACTCCCCTCTAGCCCCTGCCTCTTTGCAGACAGCCCCTTCTCTGCTGTGCTGCCCATTGCTTTCTTGCAACATACCTTCATACTTTGTCTAATAAATCTGCCTTTCTTTACCTATGATTGTCTTGGTAAATTCCTTTACTGCCCACAACACCAGCCCCAGCTAGTCACACCCACAAGAAAGCAGATGTCACAGGAAGTAGCAAGTAAGCTAGGCCAAACCAGAGCTAAAGAGGTAACAAAATCATAAGGGAAAATTTGGAAAATGTCACGTTAGCCTTGTGTGCCCATCTGAAGAACTTCCTGAGGTTCTCCTGCTCTAACCAGGGACTTTTAAACCTCAGTTTTGTCTTTCCTCTCTTGCAGCATGAAGAAAGTGCACTTTCACTGTTGCAGTAGTCTTAGAAAACAAATATTTCTGCATGGTGACACGGTTCTTACTAGAACCCCAGAACATCTCCATGGTATGACCTACCACATTTCCTCCCCACCAAAATAATAATAATAATAAGGCTACACAGTATCTGGAATTTCTTGCTCATTAAAATCTGATTACTACCACACTCAAAAGCATCTGGGTCTTTCTTTGGTCCTTACTAAAAACAAAGGCTTTGCTTTGAACATTTCTCCAGGCAAGTCCCATCTGCTCCCCCAGAACAAGAATGTAATGAAGAAGGAAGTGTTACTAAACCTTTGTGCTTTGGACCACAGAACTTTAGAATTAGAAAAAGCAGCAAAAGATCTACTTTTTTCTTTTTATTTAGTATAAATACAACTAAATCTACTTTTTGAGATCCCCAAATATGAGTATTCTGCCCCAAAGAACAATGCGGAAAACTGACAGCGACACTGTCAAGCAAGCCTTCATTGCCAGCTCTGTCTCTCAAGAGTTTCAGGACATGTAGTAAAATTATGTTTTGAATCTGCCTGTTCTTCTCCCTCAATCGCCACTAAGACTAGGAAGTAGAGGCTTGGCAAGCCAAGTCAAAGAGGCAGGGCTGATTGTGATGCTCTCTCTTGGCCCAGCCTTGGTCAGTAGAGTTAGTCAGAGCTCCTGTATGCAATGCACTCTACCAGCCTGATGGTCACAATGCTATGAAATCATCAATTATGAAGCCATTGACCTTCACGTGTGGCAACCTCAACCTGTCTCTGTGGTCCTTTTCCACCCTTGATGGCAACTCTTTCCCCCCTTTCAAAGGGTCAGGTGCCCTAAAACTCAGTGAACTGATGGCCCTTGGCAGGTGGGATGATTTTAAGAGGGCCAAGGCCCCTGCACATGGCTCTTAGCACACAAGAGGAAAAAAGAAAAGCAGACCAAATGCACAGAAAATAACAAGAGGCCAGAAATTATAATTGTGGTGCATCATTGTATAGTGGCATGAAGCCTGGACTGGAGATTAAGAGATCTAGGTTTGAGATCTCACTTTGCCTATGATTTGTGACTTTGTCTGTTACCCTTCATCTCAAGGCCTATTTATTATAAAATTGTTCTCTAGCAATGCTCCAACTCAAAGTTCCTTACTCCCGTTGGTGGATGGATTAAAACATATTATTCTTGACCACATGAGGCCAAATGATTTTAATATGTGTGATATTTTTGTACCATAACACCCTTTTCTAACACCCTGGGATGCAGCCCTACTTTTATCTTAACAGCTGAATGGAACTATATTTCCAGTGTATTCTGGAAAAGGATATCTTTTTTGTTACTATGTTATAGATGGGGATAAAGGAAGGCAGCAAAGTGGCTAGTGGTCAATGTGAAAACTTTATTTAGAACCCTCTGAAGCACACAATTTGAATTTTCTTTATGCACCATTATACCATGTAGTTTTATTGTTAGTGAGACTTGGAAAGACAAAGGGAACAGAAATAGTCAATTTTCAGAAATCCAAAAATAATTAAAAGCAAACGAAAAGTTTGAGTGCTCTCAGAATGAGAACTTGAAAGTTGTCCAGAGGTCCTCCAAATTCATGCCCTGCCTCTAAGGACTACTTTTTTCCAGTTCTCCCTCTTTAATATTAGGTTCCTTCACTGTGATCATAGCAGGCATGCATGAAAGAAAAGGCTAATAGAGTGGAGACTCAAGGACAGGTTTGTTTTTAAGTTGAGTAGGGAAGGCACTGTGGTGCAGCAGGCAGTCCTTGGCCTGGGGTCGGCAAACTTGTCGCTATCCTGGCTCTTCCACTGCCCAGGTGTGGCTCCCGAGATAAGCCTCTTGGCTCCCAAAGGAGCAGGACAAGGTACACCTTAAGAGCCTCCCATGACCACTGCTCTTGTGATAAATCTCCCACTTTAAGCACCCCAATCTCTCTCCCCCTGAAAAAAACAGAAACTGTTTACTGAAAAACAATTTGAGAATGCAGCAGAAAGAATAGGAGAGAAGCCTGACGGAAAAATGGGAAAGAACACCACCAAATCTTCAGGCAGACTCCAGGCCATTCTCAGAACCAGGATGCTCCCTGTACCTCCAGAACTGGATGAAAAAAGACGAACGGAGGTAAGATCCTTCCTCCCTTTTGCTCTGCAAACCACCCCTTGGCCTTGGTCTCTGGCCTCTTCTTATTCCCTACTGAAGACAGTGAATGTGTTCTGAGTTCAGAGAGCTCTGCCCCTTGGTGAGGCACCTCTCTCAGCCACTTTCCCCTCCTCCAGCCTGTCCCCAAGCCCCTTTGGCCTGTTTGAACAGCAGCAATAACAACAGTAGAGAAGACAGGGTGTGCATGTGAACTGGGTAAAAGGTCCCCACTTCCCAGCCGAGGTCAGCATCTGGAGAGACTTAGATTTCAGAGAGGGATTCAGACTGAGTCATCGACAGGTATAAGGACTGTCAGCAACTTTTCCATGTTCCCTCTTCATAAGCCCCAAGTCTCAGCCTGCTGGGAAGATCCGGCCCTATGAAGGCATCCACTGGACTCCCCGGGAAAATTAATGGAGTGAGTTTGAATTGGAGAAGTGACATGGAATCTAACTAGAGATCTGACTTCCAAAACAGTGACACCCTAAGGCTACCCCTCCTAGCCTAGGAAAGGGACCAGTGAGAGCACTGGCCTCCAAGCCCTTTCCTGCACTGTAACCCTAGCTACCCGTCTAGGAGATACAGACACCATCCTGTCCATTTACCTTTCTCCAGGCAAGAACTCACTGAGCCCCAAGAAAAGAAAAGGCTGATAGTGTCTCTTCTCAAAAGGCCAGGAATTTAGCTCTCTCTCTTTCTGTGCCAAAAATGTTCAGAACATAGTCGTTTCCTTTCATTAAGGGAAAAAAAAGCTGAGTCCCACCAGGGAAGCTAAGGTGTAAAGGAAACAGGTTTATGGGGCTGTCCCTGTTAGTCCTATGCTGAGTTATTTGAAGTCACTCATATGTCCTCTCTGTGCAAAGATAGCAGAAAAAAACAAAATGGTGAGACAGGGAGCAGACTGGATTAACAGATGATTCTCAAGGAAGGGCCTCATCCTGGACCTGCTAAAGGTTAGAAGTAGCTCACTAGGCTCTATCTAAATTGCTGCTAGCTTGAGCAACACTGGGGCAGAAATGGGAAGAGAAACAGAGACAGGCAGCAGAGACCAACGCTCAGCCCTGCTCCATCCTCACTCCAGGAGGTCCGATACAGGAGCCAACCCAAACACCCCCCACACCCCACTCTTGAGTGGCCTGTGAATCGCCTTCCCCGTCCCCCACTGGGTTTTCTGCTGCTTAAGTTTCTCAGCATGGGTGTCTGGAACCAGAACTGCTCCTCAACTCTAGGCAAAGGGGACTTTTTTGTTTGTTTCTTCATCAGTTCCCGAGTCTGGCTGCCTTCTTCCCTGTGATCTCAGCTTCTCCTTGGCAGAGCAGATCTTTTGGGGGTGGGAGGGATTGGGGAGAGAAATAGTATCCAGCCTTCAGGACCATCCAGAAAAATGTCTCTCAAACCAAAGAGGCCAGTTCCTCTGTAAACATTTTAGCCAATGGTTTCAGGCATGAGAGGTGGACACAGAGCACCAGAGGACCTGTTGTGAGGACAATGTCTTCTCTCTTCCCTGCCTTGAAATGGCCCCACTTATGCAAAGTCACTGTGATTGTGTTGAACTGTCTGTCCTCATAATATACCAAAGCAGCTAGACTGAACAAATATTTACTGACCACCTAGTGTGGGCCATGCTAGTACCTGCGGAAAATGCAGTAGAAATAAAAGGTACAGTCCCTAACGAGAAGGAGGCTATCGCCAAAGTCAGATCATTTCAGAGATCACCTAGCCCAATCTGCTTATTTTTAGAATAAGGGAGCTAACGACCAGAGAAGTCCAGTCAGGACCAGAATGAAGACACACCACCTCCTGTTGAAACCAGTCTAACACACATGGCTGGCAATGCAGGCATAAAACATGATTTCACACAATTAGGGTTGGTTGTCTAGACTTTAAAGCCAATATTATACAGACAATAAACTTTGAAGAAGTTTCAAAGGACAGTGAAAATTTGATAAGTTGGGAAGTCTTCCTTAGAGATGTGGGGCAAAATGGGAAGGAACAGGATAGTTAGAAAAATAAAAGAAGGACTTTTTATTCATTGACCAAATGTATTTCACAAATACTTACTGAGCTTCTATTCTGTGGCAGGACTGATGAACTCCCAGGGAATATTCAGTAGTGAGCCCAATTTCTCAATTCCTGCTTTCACAGAGGTCCCTGCTTTCATGGGGGCATGTTTGTAGGAGAAACAACCAGCCTTGAGTGGACGCAGAAGGTCTGGACTACCAACAAGCAAGCCAGCAGCCTGTTTTATAGAACTTCTTCATGTGAATAAAAGTCACCAACAAGTCACCAATAGAAGGTCTCCAGAGAGACCTGCCCAGAAGCAGGAAAATGGAAAGTGTCACATATGGTGGCTATACAAGGAATCTGGGTTTCAAAACTCAATTTGCCATCTATAGATATCAGAAAACCAGGGAGTGGGACTTGAACTACTTTCGCTCTTCTATTCAACCAACTTTTGCTAAGGATCTCCTGCATACAAGATGCTCAGTTCTTGAATGAGGGTAATGACAATGGAGAGAGGAGAGACAAATGGAAGAAATAGCAAACAAGTTCTATAGAAATCCGAATGAGGCGGGCACAGTGGCTCACGTCTGTAATCCCAGCACTCTGGGAGGCCAAGGTGGGCAGATCACCTGAGATCAGGAGTTCAAGACTAGCCTGGCCAACATGGCGAAACGCTGTCTGTACTAAAAATACAAAAATTAGCTAGGCATGGTGGCACACGCCTGTAATCCCAGCTACTCAGAAGGCTGAGGCAGGAGAATTGCTGGAACACAGGAGGCAGATGTTGCAGTGAACCAAGATTGTGCCACTGCACTCCAGCCTGAGCAAAAGAGAAGACTCGGTCTCAAAAAAAAAAAAAGAAAGAAACATTTTCAAAAGCAAAGCATTTACTATGAGGTGTAATGGAGGAAAAAGGAAAGGCTGGATGACTTATACACCAATAATCATTCAATATATCTATTTGTAAGTGTCAAAGGCACTTCAAAGCTGGTATGTCTTATACCAAGTACATGATCATCACTCTCCCCATGTCTGGCCTTTATCCCCATGAATGGCACCAGCATCCAGATAACTGCATTATACAGAAACAAAAGCCACACCCTTGACACCATCTGCTTTCACCTCCCAAATTCAATCCGTCACCAAGCCTTGGTCTCTTGTCTACTTTAGATCTCAATCAACACCTTTCCTGGCCAGACCTAAACCATCATCAAATCTTTCTCTCTGCTGAACCATTGATGTTGACAGTAGCATCTCCCTTTACACAGCTCCTCCAGTCAATACATCACCCACTTGGCACCCTCTAATCTCACATGCCATCCTCTTAACATTTTTAAAGGCTTCCCAATGTACTTGATCATGGTTTGATCTCTGTCTCTCCCTCCAGCCTCATCCTGTACCATGTAGGGAGTTTCCCTCTGCCCTTCTCCAGCCAAAATGACTCCGTAAGTACTTACTCACTGATTTATGTAGACATCTGATGAATGGCTTTCTCCCCAGTGGGCTGAGAGTTCCATGAGCACAGTATCTACGTGTGTTTATCCTCCACTAATTTTCTACCACCTAAATGTATGGCATATGCTATGTGATCAATATCTGTGACTGAATTTTAAAAAATGATTAGGTTAATTGTTCTGAACCAGAGCCATTTTTTCCCTCACTTCCCCAGCCTCCCAAAGAAACAGGTGGCAATGTTTGGGAATATTTTGGGTTGTCATAGCTGCCAGGCTTCTCTGGTGTCCAGTGGGTAATGGCCAGGGATGTTGCCAAACATCCTAGGGTGCACAAGACAGCCCACTGAAAGTTACCCTGCCCATTGTGTCAACAGTGCCAAGACTGAGAAATCCTGACCTAGATGAAAAAGAAGGAATATTTCTATTTTGATCATATTGAATTGGGTTCTGTAGAGTCAAGTCCTTACAGAAATAAATTTATTATCTCTGGATGCTGTGAGAGACTTAAACAGTCATGCATACACACACACTCAATGACTGTTACATTTCCTACAGGCAGGAGAAGCATATCTGAATGGTCTCTTGTACTCATCCAATGCCTGGCACAGGGCTGGGATTCAGTTTCTCAATAACACCTCTCTGGGAAAGCCTCACTTAACATAAAAAGGACCTCAAAACTGAGGGCAGCCCTTGAGCTGCACGAAAAGGACCACCTTATTTCACAAATGTGACCAAAGTGCAGCAAAGGTGAGTGACAGCACAGTAGAGCCCCGCCCACCTGCTGAGCCATGCCCCTTCCCTGTCACAATGGCCAAGGCCTTAAATACCCAGACTCCTGGCCCCCGGGCCTTGCAAAGCCCCTCATTTTGGCAGAACTTACCATGTCGACCAGCCGCAAATTAAAGAGTCATGGCATGAGGAGGAGCAAGAGCCGATCTCCTCACAAGGGAGTCAAGAGAGGTGGCAGCAAAAGAAAATACCGTAAGGGCAACCTGAAAAGTAGGAAACGGGGCGATGACGGTGAGTGAGGGATGGGGAGGAGATTGCCAAACTTAGGCACACATTGCTGCCAGGCCCTCCCTCTTGGAGGCAGCTCTCACAGGACCCTGAAATCTTGGCCTGAGATTATTTCCAATAACTAAATGCAGATTTGAGCAACAAGAGTCTTGATGGGAATGTTCTAATTCGTGTCTCTGTTGCAAACCTGTCCTTTCCCACAGCCAATCGCAATTACCGCTCCCACTTGTGAGCCCCCAGCGGGCTCTGCCCTGGTGCGCTTCACACAGCACCAAGCAGCAACAAGAACAGCAGAAGGGGAACTGCCAAGGAGACCTGATGTTAGATCAAAGCCAGAGAGGAGCCTATGGAATGTGGATCAAATGCCAGTTGTGACGAAATGAGGAATGTATATGTTGGCTGTTTTTCCCCAACATCTCAATAAAACTTTGAAAGCAGAAATGTTTACTTTGATCTTTTGGTTGGAAAGACTTGAGTTCCTGAGCTAGGTGGGTTTGGGGAAGAATTGGCCAGTATGAAACCATTAAATGTGACTTGGAAAATATCAAAAGTAATTTGTCCTCCAATTCCCTCCCACCACCGTGGGAGGTGGTCCTACTCTGGCCACACACTATTGCCGTATTTGTCTTCATCCCAGTGTGCTGTCTCTCTCCTCAACATGGAAAGGGAGAAGAGATAAAAAAGGGAGAAATGCATTCATTAGCATTAACCAAAGGATTCAAGCTGTTTTTGTTAGAGCTTAAACCAAAGGATGCAAGCTGTTTTCGTCAGAGCTTATAGCATAGAGGTGTTGAAAGCTAAACTAAATCTAAAGACTTGGCCCGGAGATAGAGATCACCTGGAGGAGCTCTTAGAAGCTCTTAATTCATTGATCATATGGGCAGTATTAGCAGGCTAAGAGATGGGAACACCTTCTGAACAGAGACCAACATGTTCTTTGTAAAGGATCCTATTGGTAACAGTGGAAGTGATGAGAGTTTAGATTTCTTTAGGTTATTTTGGTAGCTATGTTGGGCTTGAGGTGGGCAAGACTGAAGAGTGGGATATTGCCTCGTAGCATGCCATAAGCCTTAGTCCAGTGTGCCTAGAAGTAGGAATTGTCTCAATCTGAGTATTGATCATTTGACAGAGAGAGAGAGAGAGAACTGACTTTAGGGATAGAGCTGGTTCTGCTCATTTAGGAAATTCCTAAGCCCTCACTTTACCTTGTCCCTGAGTTGTAACACAATTTATGATGTCTCTGGTCAAGGATATGACATTCACCCACTCAGAGGTGGATCGTATTTTTCTTGTTTCCTGTTGCCTCAGAGGTAGCTCCAGGGTAGAAATGAGACTCATATTTAAACTCAAGAACCAACCACCCACGTGGTTTCTGGGGAAGTAACCAGGAAAGGGTATAAGCAGGAAGGAATGAGGGGGCATGAGGTTAGACACGAAGTTTCCAGCAGTCAGGGGTGTGAGACATGGGAAGAGGACACTATTAAGTCTGAGCCTCATGCAAATGTGTGGGTACCAGGATGTTGGTCCTATAAGGGGTGGCAAGGGGTGTTCCTGTGGGTCAGAATCTAGAAATGCAATAAAAAAAAGCATGTTCATTTTTCAGATAAGTTATTTCACTTGTTGGGGTAAAATATTTCAAGTCCTCACTCTTCCATAACCCTAAGAATGAGCATGCTGATTCAGAGCTGTTTTCAAGTTCATGTGAAAAACATCTCTCCTTACCATCAGGCACACAGATACTTCAAAGTTTTCCATTGTCAGTTTCCCTTTTTGTTAAATGGAGGATAGGGATAGGGAAAATGCTTCATAACCCTCATCCTCCATGGTTGTGTATATTTTACCTCCTAAATGTGACTTTTGTTTGTCTTTGCTTCTCTAACCAAACTCAGATTAGTCTCAAATAATCCTATATGTGTCCGTAGTGTCACTGAACGAAGCTCTAACTTCTTAGAAGTTTGCACACATATCTGATCTGGATTCCCTCCTTCAAATCTCTGAAAGAACTCATCAGCCATGGCTCTCACCCTGCTCTCATGCCTCCTGGGACTTCCTCTGCCTCTGTATAAAATATAAACACACTTTGCAACACATGAAATCTAGAAAATAAATCCAAAAAGTAAAAATTGTTTAATTATTTTAATGTGCTTTTGCTGCTCTTGCTGTAAATTCTTTTAAACTTAGCCTCATAGGTTGGGTTCTCAGGGAGTGGAGATGGAGCTTGAATGCAAGATGTTTATTAGAGGTCAGTACTTGAAGAGGGAGGCTGCAGGGTCGTACAGAAGAAGGAGCTGCACAAACCATCAGGCAGTATAGCCAGGCCTTTATACCATTTATACCCCCCCTGGCTGGGCTGCGCCAGTAAGACATGGCATTTCCCTGCTGAGGCAGACTCAGAAGGGAGCATCAGCTGGAGGTTCCTTGGTGGACCACACACCCACAATCTGAGCAGCTCACCTCGGTGTCTATTACAATTGCTCTCTGGATGATCTGTATCTTTTCTCAGCCTCTGGTCCCCATCTTCCCCTTAAGCCTCTTCACAGCTTGCTGCCTTGCCACTTCCTGCTATGACTGTGTGTCATGAGTCTTCAAATGCTCTTGTGCACAGCTCACTTCTTGTGGATTGCCAATTTGCACAAAGATGACCTCTCCCATAGGACAAAGTCAACAGTCAGGAACAAACTAGAATACCGTGATGCTGAGTGTGCAACATTTACTTCCCTCAGGAAACTTGTTATGATTAGGGAGCCACAGATCCCTGCAGATGGTCCAAATGAAGACTTTGTCAAAGGGATTATTTACAGAGGAGAGACACCTAGAGCCTACCAATGAGGTCTTCAGACCCTTAGGACTGAGAAGGCAAAAGGGCAAAATAGCACAACAGGAGCCCATTGACAGCCAAAACTGTGTGTGGGAAGGAATGGTTGTGAATGGACCTCCTGGTAAAATCTGTACTAGGAGGATCGCAGCTGTTGTCAGGCTCAGACACAGGGAAGAAACATTCCATCATTTATCTAATCTCCTGCTGCTGCTCTCATTGGCGAAATTCAGAAGTCAGCAGACAAGAGACCCCAGGTGACACAGAGCATAAGGGCCAGCCCCCTGGGGCATCAAAGAGCAGAGAATGTTGGATAAAATCTCCAAAATCCAACAGTGATATCTGACACAACTTTGTAGACAAAATTCTTCTTTCCCTGGACTCCTTAGAAGTTTGCCACTTTATCAACCTGCTTATCTCCTCCCTTATGTTGTCATGGACCGAAGTCCCTTCAGAAGCAAATTGTAGAGAGATAGAGTGAGGAGAGAGTTACACAGGGCTCCTGAACCCTCACCTTAAAAAGCTTGTTTTCATGTTATTTGCATGACAGTATTATCCCCAAACCAATACAACGCAATGTTCTAATGTAGTGCTATATCTTCACAATACTCTAAACACTGAAACAATCTAATTAATCATCAGGACAGGCCTGTGGTGAACAGCCCAAGACTAGCCACGGCAGACAGATCTTCGCCTGGTGACTTCAGCCTCTGCCCTCTTAGACAGGTTGTGAAGGAATGGTAGCCGCCCGGAAAACTCTGCTTTGCACTGGGAACTTTTTCCAGACCCACATATTGGAAGTTTTTCAACACTGGCATTGATGTAGTCTCTGTACCCCAGGAATATTCATTCTGTCCCTCTGTTTACAGTTCCTGTAGGCCCAGCACCTGCAAGGCACGTGTAGGGGTCTTTGACCATGGGGACTCTCTTTCAGAAAACCCAAAGGCCTCACCCCCTGTGTGCTTTTTCTCCATCTCCCTAACCAAGGAGGACTTTGTTTCCCTCCCCAGTTTTCTCCAGAACGCTATGTCCTAAAGTCATCACTTGTTTGGAAAAGTGAAAAATCAAAAAAAAAAAAAATGAAGGATCTTGGCCACAAGCCCTTTTGGGTCACCTTGACCTTCATGTGAGCTGACTTGGATATGGGGCCTCTGCTCCACTGGCCTCAGAGCCCGATGGGAGTGGCGAAGCCCAGGGGACCCACATGTGGGTGGAGAAAACCCCAAGGAGCTATGGAGAACACAGCCAACTCCCAACTTTCACCCAGCCTCCTCCGGATGACCCTTGGGTGGGACCTGCATCTGTGCAGCTGCAGGCAAACAGGAAGTTCTGGAGAAATGCTCAGGGCTATGTTTAGGAGGTGAAGGCCCAGAAATGGCAGCAGGGAGGAGACTTTGTGCTCTGGGGGTAGCTGGTGCAAGCCAGACATGGCCTGGGGCTTGGCTGTTGGGGTCACCCAAAGGTTCTGTCCTTTGAAACAAGAGAACAGCAGCAGCCTGAAAACTCTCTCACTTTCTGGCTTTGCAATCTGAGCACTCGCTTCCAGGCCTATGCTGGGAGAAGAACCCAAACAGGGAAGGGTCTTAATCCTTGACCTCTAGGAGCAGTGGGCCTTGGTTCCAGGTTGATCTGCCTCACTGGGCTGTACATGAGGAAGCTGGCTATTTCAACAAAGCCTGCCTCTCCTCATGGCTGGCCTCACCAAGCCTCTCTCCATTCTCTCCCCAATCCCTCCCACGGCACTCCAAACATGAGCTTTCTACTGCAGCTGAGCCCTCCAGCCATTCCTAAACTCAGTGTTCCAGAAGTAGTTAGCATCATAATACAAGAGGGTTGAGAATCAAAACCCAGGGGCCCGACTCCTTCTGAGCCAACTCCTCTTGCTTTGTGACCTCAATTGACCTATTAGTCCTGCCTCATTTTAAGCTTTGCACACCTCCTCTCCTGCAACTGGGGCCATTTCATCTCTTTCAATGGCCCGGCATCATCATCGCTGTATGCAGGCCTGACCTCAGGCAGAAGGGAGTGAGGCAGCATGACATAGGATGAAGCAGAAAGGCACTGGGGTGAGTGGGCCGGCGTCTGAATGCCCACTCTCTAGCTGTGTGATCTTAGGTGAATTTTATAACCTCCATTAACTTCATCTTCCTTATCTGTAGGATGCCAGTCATAAAATCTACCTCTCAGGTGGCTTGTAAGAATCTAAAATGCTGTAAATTATAGGCCCTGAGTACATTGCATAACCCCTCATTTCTCTGTCTGGACTGGTCTTTTAGGGATCATGACTGCTTCCCAGACCTTAGTCTCAGGATGCCACACCGGAAGAGCTGGACCCCACATTTGAAGACAGATGTCCCTGGCGGTGCCCGCCTGCTCTGTAAAGAGCTAGTCCCAGGCTCCCATTGTGACCTAGCACCTCAACCTCTCCTGACCCTTTTGCCTAGGCCAGATCCTGAGATCGGAGAGTACATACATCTCCCTGGGGCTTGCTTTCCTCTCCCATAAAATTTAGGAGTTGGGGATGATCTTATCCCTCTACCTAGACTGTAGACTCCTGGGAGCGGGAGGCAAGGCACTCACAAGCAAGGGCATCAGAGTGACATCAAGACACAAACAGCCATGGAATCTTGGGAACAGATCAAGGAGTCCACCTCTTAAAATATTGTAAAAAATAAAATCTGAGTACGAATGTTGGTGAAAAGGACCAAGGATGGATCAATAAACTCACCAATTAGCAACATACTTATTTTTTTCCATTAGCACTGGCAAGTATCTTTAAAATTAATTAGGTATGAAGTCCCTGGGTCTAACACACAGGAGGTTTTTACTAAAAAGATGTAAAGAGCTTGAATTTCACAATCAGCAGGGATCATCCTCAAAAATGCTTTAGAACAAAAACTTTTCTAAAAGTTGAAGGAAGGATACAGCCTTCAACAGTCCTAGAAACTGGACCTTTATTTGTTGAAGTTCCCTTCAGGAACACAGAGGAGCAACACTACACCAGCTATACAATAATACTTCTGCAACTGTATGTGATAGAATCACCAGGAGATCCTGATAAGATACACACTCTGATTCTGTAGGTCCAGGGTGGGCCCAAGATTCTGCATTTCTGAGAAGCTCCCAGCTGGGGCTGATGTTGCTGGTCCAAAGACCAGAGTGAGTAGCAAGGACATAAGAATACTCAATTGGAAGCTCTCTCCAAACTTCTACAACTATTCATTACCCCTATCTGAATCTGAGCTTACTTCCCAGGGATATCAGACAAAAAAATGAAAGAAGAGATAAGAGAGTGCTGTGAAACAGTTAGGCTTCTCCCACCATGGCCACCACTGGACTCTTGAAAGGGGATGTCTGGGTTGTCTGTTTGTTTGTTTGTTTGTTTGTTTCGAGTCGGAGTATTGCTCTATCACCCAGACTGGAGTGCAGTGGCGCGATCTTGCCTCACTGTAACCTCCGCCTCCCAGGTTCAAGTAATTCTCATGCCTCAGCCTCCTGAGTAGCTGGGACTACAGGTGCATGCCACCACCCCCAGCTAATGTTTGTATTTTTAATAGAGACAGGGTTTTGCCATGTTAGCCAGGCTGGTCTCAAACTCCTGACTCAGGTGATCCACCCAACTTGGCCTCACAAAGTGCTGGGATTACAGGCATAAACCACCGCATCCAGTCGGGATCTCTGTTTTGACCACGTAACCCTTTCTTTTTTTTTCTTTTATGTGCTCCCCTATGCTGCAGATCATGAGCCATATCACCCCCAACCTGCTGCCCGAAATGTGCATTCGTTTGCATTTGGTTGAGATCAGCAGAAACAGATTCCAGGTCACTTAGAAGTGGGGTGGGGTGGGGAGAGGATGAAATCTATTAGTAGAATGTGGAAGAGCTTAGGGAATAGGAGGAAAAGCTGAACAACTGGGCCTCACAATGGGAACCAGGCAGGCATCAGATGGGGCCTCAAGGGCACCCTGCTTTGATTGAAATGACTGATTGTTTCTCATTCTTACATCACTTAACGCTAAAAATTCAGAGTCCCAGGAGAGAGAAAATGATGACCACGCTTGTGTTGCTGTGGGGACAACAAGGGCTGGTCCTAAAAGGAAAATTGAGAGACTAATACCAAAGATGGTTATATGCATGCTGATCAGCCAGACACGATGATATCCTCTACAGATGTAAGAAACTACTTCCCTGCAATGCAAAGAATTCCAAGGTACCAGCAGCATAGCATAAAAACAGCACACAACAGCCACTTTCTTGAACCCCTAAATCTGTGAACACACTTATGCAGTTTTTTTCTGTAAAATGGCTATCTTAGCACAAATAATTTGTTTAGAATATATAACATATATTTCACTTTTCACCAGCAGAACCAGAAGGTAGCTTCATTCTCAACTCCATTACTTTCCCTGCCTAGAAAGTTTTACCACATTAGGAGAGGTAACAGAAAATGGGGTACGAAGGAGGGAGTCATAGAACACTGCACTGCAGTTCTACATGCTGGAAGGCTCATTTGCTAGTGAGCATGTTTTATATTCATGCCACAGCAAAAGGAAATGTTCCTGGGAGTCATAGACTCTCTGAAAGAGTCCAGGATAAAGGCGGTGATGTCCTTGAAAGCCAAGAGTACAATGACATAAAGGTGTGGTGGTTGGAGGGGACCCTGGCCTCAGGGCACTCCATCTGCCCCTGCCTAACTCCTAGCAAGAATAGACCCCTCTTCCTCTCCTTTTACTCCGAACAGCCAGGAAGCAAGACATGCTCTGGCTGATTCAGCAGACAGAAGCTCCTTGGGGTTGTGGTCTGTGGCTCTCCAGCCTGGGATCCACTGGGCTCATGCAGCTACCAAGCACTGGAAAGAGGGCGCGTTTGAATGTCGACGTGCTCCTATGATCACAGACACACCAGCCACCAAAGACATCATGCGAGAAAAAGAGTGTAAAATATCTCATTCATAATTTTTTACATTGATTACATGTTAAAATAATATTTTAACTGTATTAAGTTAAATCAAATAATGAAAATTAATATTTACATGTTTCTTCTTTGCTTTTTAAAATGTGCCTGCTAGAAAAAATGAAATTACAAATATGACTTGCATTATATCTATTTCCATATTTGGATAGAGTTGGCCTAGGCTGCCCTGGGTGTTAACTCCTCATTCCTCATACTTTCTGCACTTTGCACTTAGAGCAATGCCTACTAGCCAGGCCCTGTGCTACACAGAGCCCATTATCTCCCCCACACCTTTCTTCTCTCTCTGTCTCCTGTCTTAGTTTAATCCTATAGGTCTAGAGGTGTAGAGGTGATTGCTGAGGCACTGTTGTGATGTTCTTGTTGCTCTCATGCTCATTCTTGTTGCCTTTGATGGACCTATATGATCACCTTATCTGGAAGTCTGGAGGCAAAATTGTTCACCACTGTATATCTGTATCTTTTCTACCCAGACAACTCTTAGCTCCTTATGAATGGGCTCAAAGCTGATTGGTTTATAACCATATAAAGTGAAAACAGAAAATGTATTCTTTCTGATATATGAGGAAGTTTTCTATGTCACACACGGAGGAAAGGATAACTTGACATCTAATTTTCACCATGATCTACTCACACCTCTGCCTGCTAACTCTCTCTCTCACACACACACACAAACACACACACACACAGGCAAAAAGTAGAGAAGCAAATATCAAGGGAGTGGCACTCAGCTTTAAATTCTGTGTTATTTCCCATATATTTATTTGAAAATACTAGAATTTCATTAATTACACATTTAAGGAGAATAATGACAGCAATACTCGTAAAACACCTACACCAGACACTCTCCTAAGAGTGTTATGTGTATTAACTTCTTTCACTCTCATCACAGTCCCATGAAGTAGATATTATGATGATCTGTATTTTAGAGATGAGAAATGTTTCCAAGGTCACAGGGCTAGTGAGCAGCAGAGTTGGGGTAGAGCCAGTCTGTCTTTTGTCTGTCTGCTTAACAACTAAGCTATGCATCTGTGTTTTACAGGCAGAAAAAATGAAGCCTGGAGATTGGGAAAGATGCACTCAACATGGCTCAGTTAGTGACAGAGGCAAAACTAGAAATCTGTTCTTCTGTACTCTATTGCCCTCCCTCCACCCCCACAAATGCTGCTCCCCCACCTCCCCCGTCTCGCTACCCGCAAAACCAGACTACGTCATTGTCTGAAGTGAACGGGAGTTTTGATAGCAGACCTAGGATGCTTAGGGGTAGAAGACAAGGAGAAGAAGACAGATGATGTTCCTCATATCTCTTGATCTGATAGAGACAGGGCCAGTTGATTCAAACCCTAAGTAACAAACTATAACAGAAAAACCCAACAGCCTGATTCAAACCCTAAGTAACAAACCATATCAGAAAAACTCAGGCTTTCCCAACAGCCTGTTCTAGACTCAAATCTTACAACAATAACTTAGCAGTTACATAACCTTGAACAAGTTGTCTAGCTTCTCTGATTGCTGTCATTTGCTCTGTAAAATTGAGTTAAGAACACCTTCTAGGATCAACATGCAGATTTACATGGAATCCACGTACAAAACAATTCACATCATACCCAGTATATCCTGGGTACTTGATAAACATCAGCTCCTCCCCAGACCACCCTGACCCTTCTCAAGGTTAGCTGGAACCAAACGGGGACCCTTGAAATCTCTGCAAATGGGTCTATCATGGAGGACAGTAAGTGTGTAGGTCTACAGAGTTGCCCCAGGAGCAGAGAAGGAGCAACCTACACACCGGTCACTGCATAGCAAGTCGGGCAAGGGTTACCACCGAGAAATCCACCCCACAGCCTCACTCTGTGTTGCTAGAAAGAAAGAGAAGGATTGTGAGCTTTTGCTTGAGTCACAGAAGCCTTTTGTGTCTCCCCGGAGAGGGGAGGGTGGGACCTCAGGCTAACGGAACAGTAGTGGGCGGGGTGATCTGGCAGCCTCGATTTCATCGAAGACAGGCTGGCTTGATGCCCAGCCTGGCGCGTTGCAAGGCCAAGGGTGGAGGTGCCCTGTGAGGTGGAGACAGGTGTGGGGGAAAAGCAATGACTTGGAAAAAGGAGATGCCTCATTCTTATTTCTTTTAGATCGCATTTTAACTAAGTAAATTCCATTTTTAAGACTTTTTGTGCTTAAAAGGAGCCCATTTTCCATGCCCCAGTTTCCTCAACAAAAACATAGGAACTCAAAACATTGTGGAGCTCAGAGGACACTCCCAGGCCCATCTTTTCTATCTCTTCTATCTCCCAGTACACACCACAGACGGCTCTCGCCCCTACTGAGCAGATGGAAAACAAATGGGTGAGACCCCCAAGACTCCCAGAGACTAGAAAGCACCTTCTCTTTCTAGGCCAACTTGACCTACCATGGTTTTGGTTGGAAGGGAACTAGGCCAAAGACCAAAAGGAGGCTCCCTTCTGGAAAGTGGCCTCTTCTGTTTCTCACTATCACCTTTCTCTTTGAAATTCCTCCCAAATGTTAAAACCCAGCTCCAAGGATCTTTTCCTAATTAACCCAGGCAAAAATGAATAGGCTTTATCACCTCTCAATTCCTGGCTCACTGTGCATGCCCTTCTAGAAGTCCTCACTTTCTAAGAATGCAATGATATTATAGCTGCTAGGGTCTCTGTTCCTAATGGAGCATAATTTCCCTGAAGACAGAACCATTATCAGCTCTGTCTCATCCACATGGCTCACAACAGGGCTTCTCAGGCTGGGATAGTATCCTCCCTACTAACTCAGGATTTATTGAATGTCTACCCTATACCCAGACTGTATTTATAGTTTCCCACATTCATCCAGGATGACAGCCACTGTTCTGTAAATGTCTGTGGAGTAAAAGCCCCTTACACCGTAGACTGGTGCTTGTGTAGAATGAGTGGTCCAGGTACCAATTTCACCCTTCAAGTTATATGCCTCTAAGGTGAGCAGGGCATCAAGATCCACACGAAAGAGACAGGTTTTACCATGGCTGTGCTGAGAATCTGAAAGATGAAAAATATTGTCCTGGGTCCCTCAGAGTACACACCAGGAGTTCCCAATTTTGTCCATTCCACAACGCCTCAATTCTAAATGTAATTATTTGGCCAAATAGGGTAGAAGAGGGCTCCATTAACCCAAACTGCTACTCCAGGCCTGGACATCCCATGAGGACAGGTAGCATGACATTTTGTACTCTACTGTCTCTAGCCTCTGGTAAAGTGCCTGGAACATGATAGTTGCTCAACAAATATGTGTTGAATAGATGGACAGATGGAGGTGATGCTGCTGACAAGCGACCACATACATCTTAGGAGGAGGATAAGAATGAAGAACATCGCAGTTAGAAGGGACTCTGAAGTATTGCAAGACCAGCCTCTTATGTTTAGATTAGGAAATGAGGGCCAAGTTCACATGATGGAGTAGAAAGAGCACTGAACCAGAGTTTGGGAGACCTGGAAGCCTCAACTCTGACAAAAAAACAAAACAAAAAAACAAAACAAAACAAAACAAAAAACAACTCAGAAAAAAGAATAGTCAGCAGGGGTGCTGCTGGGGAAGCAGTCCTTGCCATATTACCACCACCACCCCTCCACTGACCAGGTCATGTGCTCTTAACACATGTATGTTTATGCTCTCCAAAATCACATTTCACATTCTCAATTCTGTTCCTATGTATTCTCTAATTCTAAGCTCCATGAAGCTTGGGGCGGGGGTCATGGTTTTGGTTTGTTCTTTTCTCACTGGCCATGGTATCCCTATCATCCACCACCACAACTGAATTACATATTAAATATTTGTTAAACACAAGAAGTTATTAATTATACATTCCTTCTCAATTGCATGCTAAATTTTTCATGCAGTCTAGAGTGGCTCTCATTGCAAATGTAGCCACCCTCGTAACTGTAAAGTTGCACTTGAGAAAGCTGATGAGAACAGAAGCGGGTTGAATTCGGCCCTAGAGAGCTGGTAAAAAAAAAACAGAAAAATGTATGGCTATTGGAGCAAAATCGATTCTGCCTTCAAGATGGATGGGGTGTCTTTCAAAACTCAGACTAACGCTAATCTGAGCTGGGCTTGAGAGACTTGCTCCAGGGTGGTAGGTCTGGGGAACATGGGAATGCAGAAGATTCTGCTAGTGGAACTGAGAGAATAAGCAACCAGCAGCAGTAGCCAAGTGGCAGCTGGGAGAAAAGTTTGGACCTCAATTTGAGAAGGTTCGTACCTACAACACTGTTGGCAAGAACTGGGTATCCTCCAAACTCAGGACCAAGAGAGGTAGAAGAGTTAGCCAAAGACTGATGCATACGCCTGTCATTTTTTATTCTGTTCTGTGTTAAGTTGACCCAGTTATGTGCCTATAAACCGTCCTTCCATATATAAACTGTGTATTAAGATGTTGAGCTCCATTTCATGAAGCTGGTTTATCATCCAGAAAGACTTTAGATTTAGAACATGAGTGACAAGGTAGATCATGGTTCTAATGTCTGGTCTGAGCAAGAAAAATGTGGCAAACTAAATGAGGCAGCCACCAAGTCCCATAAACTGTGAGAGAGGAACCCTGGGGCTATGTCTGGGGTGTCCAGGAAGAAATTTCAGCTCTAAGATTTTTGAAACCTTGGTGTGTAGAAGTTGAAATAAAAAAAAAATTTAAAAAAAGTTCAAGAGCAGATCTATTAAAAATACAAACGAGGCTGGGTGTGGTGGCTCACGCCTGTAATCCTAACACTTTGGGAGGCCAAGGTGGCTCGGTCACTTGAGGTCAGGAATTCAAAATCAGCCTGGCCAACAGGATAAAACCCTGTATCTTCTAAAAATACAAAAAAAATTAGCCAGGTGTGGTGATGGGTGCCTGTAATCCCAGCTACTCCAGAGGCTGAGGCATGAGAATCACTTGAACCCAAGAAGTGGAGGTTGCAGTGAGCAGAGATCGTGCCACTGCCCTCCAGCCTGGATGACAGAGTGAGACTCTGTCTCAAAAAAAAAACAAACAAAAAAAGCAAACAAGCAAAACATCGGGCTCAGAAATTTCACCTCTAGGCATCTGCTATGGTTTGAACATTTGTGGCTCCTCCAAAATTCATGTTGGAACTCAATCCCCAATGCAACAGTATTAAGAGGCAAGCCTTTCAGGAGGTGATTAGGCCATTAGGAATCCACCCTTATGGATACAATTAGTGCCTTATAAAAGGGCTGGAGGGAACTAGATAGGTCCCTTTTTGCCCTTCTACCTTCTCCCATATGATGACTCAGTGTTCATCTCATCCAGAGGACACAGCATTCAAGACACCATTTTGGAAGCAGAGACTGGATCTACTAAACACCAAATCTTCTGGGGCCTTGATCTTGGACTTCACAGTCTCCAGAACTGTGAGAAATAAATTTCTGTTATTTATATATTGCCCAATGTCAGATTTTTTTTATAGTAATATTTGTTCTAAGCCCAATGTTTTGCTTGTTTGCTTTTGTTTTGTTTTGTTTATTTATTCATTTATTTTTTGAGACAGAGTCTCACTTTGTCATCCAGACTGGAAGGCAGTGGCACAATCTCAGCTTACTGCAACCTCCACCACCTGGGTTCAAGTGATTCTCGTGCCTCACCCCCTCGAGTAGATGGGATTACAGGCGCCCGTCACCACACCTGGCTAAGACAGCATCTATTCTAGAGAAATTGTTACATCTCTGCACAAAAAGTGTTCCATAATAGTCATGGCAGGATTTAATGTTAACAAGACTCTTAACATAGTTATTTAACTAATAAAAATATGCCTGCTGCAAAGTCTAATATGGACTTCTCCACTGAAGTACACCCTAAGGGACTAGTCAAATCAATTAAATTACATCTGTACCATGATACATTCTATAGCAGTTTAAAAGTAGATATGTGTATGTGTGTGTGTACGCATACACACACACATATACATATGCTCTGATATGGATAGACTTCTAAGTCATATTACTAGGTAAGCAAAAAAATGTAAGAAGCAAAACAATACATATAGTATGATCTTGCTTAAATTTAAGAGGATAAAACTTTTTATGTTTAAAAATAAAGTGAATGAGTGTGTGTCTATGTGGTGTGTATATCTATATGTGTATGTGTGTACATATATTTACAAACGAACATACACACACACAATTTTGTACTTTTTTTATGTTTGCACCAAGCTGTTGACAGTGATCATTTCTGGGGGAGAAGAGTGAAATTAAGTGGTGAACAAAGAAGACTTTTGATCTGTCTGTATTGTTTGAGTTTTATTACACATTACTTCTATAATTAACTTTTTTAATTTCTTCAAGCTGCAAGCAATTTTTATCTGGCAATAAATGGGAACACCACCAGTCTTTTAGCATAGAGAGTCTCTTTGTTCTGCGGAAATTTCCCAAATGAGGCTTTTGATGATATAAAAGGACTTTCTTCCATGCTCAAGATGTGGTTTCCAGAAGAAAAGGTTATTTTGGGGGATTAATATTCCCTGTGTTAACATGTCCCTGAGTTGGAGCAGGGCAGACTGGACTAGGAGGTTTATAAGGACATGTGCCCTAGCTGAGAAAGGAACGAAGACCCAGAGGGATGGCAGGTCACTTATGTCTCACTCAACAGCAGCATGCTGGGAGTTGGGGCCCTTGTGGTTAGAAGTTTGAGGATGAGAGGCTTGAAATATTTTCATTCTATCTTTCATGCAACTCTGGCTGCAAGCTGTGCTCTTTCTGTGCCCAGATGACCAAGTAAAGCCCCAAGTCACAAGACACCCTCTCTCTCTCTCTGCCCTGTGTGGAAACACTCCTGCAGACCAAGCATCGGTGGTTATTGTGAATGGCATTGTTTCCATTGTATTTTTCAGTAGGCCATTACTGATATGCAATAAAGCACTAAGCCTTTTTAAATATTTATTTTGTATCTGGCTACCTTAATAATCTCTTATTAGTTCTCCTGCATTTTCAGCTCATTCTCTCCATTTTTTTTCGGTATGCCATCTGTTATGGTTGAATTGTGTTCTCTAAAAGGTATATGTTGGAGCTGTAACCCCCAGTACTTCAGAATGTGACTGTATTTAGAGTTAGGACCTTGAAAGAGGGGATTAAATTCAAACGAGGCTGTTAGAGTTGGCCTTAATCCAATCTGACTGATGCTGTTATAAGAAGAGGAAATTTGGGCACATGGGGACAATCATATGCAGAGGCAACAAGAGGTGGACATCTGCAAGCCAACAAGAAAAACCTCAGAACAAACTCAACCTGCTGTCTCCTTGATCTTGGACTTCCAGCCTCCAGAACTGTAAGAAACCCAGTTGTTGCTTAAGCCACCCATTATGTGGTATTTTGTTATGATAGCCCTAGCAAACCAATACACCATCATACAATCAGAAAATACTCAGAATTTTGGCTGCTCTTCCCCATAGTTCTGCCACTTATTTCTGTTTCCTGCCTTATCCTATTGGCTACCATATCCACTCTTTTCAAGTTTAGGATGAGTGCAAGAGGGGAAGTCCTCATTTGACATCCCAGTAGGCCTGTTTTTATTAACTAAGTCACTCAATATGAAAGAGCTAACTTTAAAAGACGTTAATGTTATTCAATTAATCCTACAAAGTTGACACTGTCATCCTGGTGAGTAGATCAGCGGATTGAGGTTTCATGAGGGTAAGTGACTTGTTTTGGTTGAAATTCAGACTCCAGCTTTCTCTAGTTTCTAAATTGAATTCCTTGCTTACTCTATCTTATCACCAAACAATTGACCAGCAATGAAAAAAAGAAATTTTAAGTATTTATTAATCAATGTGATGATTGCTTCTTTCAAGGGCTTAAATTGTCCTTGCTGCCACTAATTCTTGCTTCCCCTTCCTTGTGGGAAGAGTGTTTTCTCCAAAGGAAAGGTGGGGCCGAATAGCTGTAGAACAAAACACACACTTCTTAGGGCTGCCTTCCCAGCCCTCTCTGCTATATGGCTCAGAGAGGCAGCAAATATTAGCAGGAAGTATTTGGTATGGTGGCAGCTTCTAAGAAGATGGCTCCTGCCTCTACTGTTCAGGAGTGTGGGCTATAGAGAGTGGCTTACTTCAGTGAATGAGATACAGCAAAAGTGATGATATGTCATTTCCAAGGTGAGGTTAGAAAAAGACTGGCTTCAATCTTGCTCACTCTCTTTTGCACCCTGACTTATCAAACTGATGGAAGCCAGCTGCCACAATGTGAGGGGCCACATGGAGAGTGATGCATGGCAGGGGACTTAGAGAGGCCTCTGGCCAACAGCCAATGGAGAACAGAAAACCCATTCCAACAGCCTGCAAGGAACAGCATTCTGACAACAAGTGAGCTGGTTGAGTGGACTTTGAAGCAGACCCTCTCCCAATTAGGCCTTCAAATGAGCACACAGCCCCTCCTAACACCTTGAGTGCAGCATCCTGAGAGTTTGTGAGGACCCAGCTAAGACACACTCATTTTTCTATCCCATAGAAACTGTGAAATAATATGTGTTTATAGTTTTAAAACCACTAATTTTGGGGTTAATTGCTTGCACCGCAATAGATAATGAATAAGTTCAGTCTGGAAGTGAAAAGACCTGGATTCCAGTCTCACCTCCACCAATAGTTTACGATGAACCCTTAGGCTAGTACTTTTCTCTCTCTGAGAATCTGACAGCTCCTCTCCTGTGAAATGAGGAATGTGAGAGATAGCTCTAAAAATCTCTTCCAGCTTTCAAACTTTATAAGCCTCTTGACACAACATCCTAAATCTTTTCCTATGTCCCCTCCCACTCTTTTTCTCCTCTTTCATGTGCCCCCTTCCTTCCAGGCCCCCTGGCCTCTACTTGGGCTCTGTCATCCCTGCTCTTTTCAATCCTGCAGTGAAATAGAGAAGATCTTCCTGGGGGAAGAGGCCCAGCCCCCATGGCCCAGCCCAGGACTTTAATGGAACTTCAGAAGCTAAAGACAAAAGGAAGGGATGCCACTCTACTCTGTGAATTTCTCAGCAACTCAGACATTCACAGGCTGCTGCTAACTGCACACCTCAGCCCTTAGCCCTCAGCCCTCAGTCCCCTCTTCAACTTTTAGGAGACTCATGTCACATGTCCTTCCATGTTCCCCCAAAGGAAGCTCCAAGAGGCTCTCAAAGCCTGTCACCTGACTTCGGACAACACCTGGGCCTCAAGTCAGCCCAGCATAGTAAGTTCAGCAAATGGCATCTCCGGAGACCGGCGCCTTCCGCGGAGAATGCTGACCTGGTGCTTTCTCCAGAACATCTGGTCTGGTTCCAGGGGAAGCAATTCACAGGCCTGAGGAGGAGGCAAACCGGCCATCTGGAGGGTGGGGCCTGGTTTGGGAGCAAGCGCTCTGGAGTTCAACTCTCTGTAATGCCACCGGATTGCCTGGTTGACAAGGAACAGGTTCCCAGCGTTAAGCCTCAGTTTATATTTCTATAAAATAGAGAGAAATCCCTGAAAGATTTCTACCTCTCCTAACACATCTGCACCCACACTTTACAAACCTCTCCTCATAGACTTCTCTTCAATACCCCCAATCCTTCCTTAGAGGGTCCCCAACCTCCAAGAGACAGTACTAGGGGAGAGTGCCTGTTTCCTTAAAGACAGAAAGCATGGCAAAGTAAAGCCACTAGTGAAATTTAAATACAGAATCTCTCCCTCTATTGCCTTCTGGTTCTGTTCTCTTGAGAACAACCATCCATGCAGCCCAGCGTAATAATGAGCAGGTCCTGGCAGCTGTGATAATGGCCCTTGTGTTCTCTAGAAGGGGAAAATGAGGTACAGAAAAAGAATTAACTTTTTTAATACATTTTAATTATTTTTTTACTACACCTGCATCTGTGAAAGGAATCTAAAAGGCTGGGTGATTCATTCAAGTTCAGAAGAGTGCGTGCCAGAGAGGCAATGCACCTACCTGCTGTCTCTTTCGACGGCGTGTAAAAAAGAAAAAACATCTGACTCAAATAGCTTAAACTTTAAAAGGGGCTTATTAGCTCACCTAATTTTAAAAGATGAAAGGTATGCTGGCTTCAATAGTTCCACTTAGAATTTTTTCTCTTCCTTTATCTCTGTTCTAACTTCAACTTCATCTTAACACTGGTTCCCCTACTGTTCTTCAGATAGCTGCCAGCAGCCCCCAAGGTCACGAGCTTCCTCGTTCACATGGAGAAGGAATGTAGGAGCTTCTTTGCTCCAGCATTCACAACGAAAGTCATGAAGTTCACTGGGACATGACTAGCTGAAGCCACCCAGAGGTCATCATTATTGGAGACTGGATATGCTATCTGACTGAGCTCCCCACTGAGCCAACAGCAAAAGCAGCTTCCCTGAACCACTTGAATTCCCAAATAAAATTGGAGGCCTCTGGGGAAAAGAAAGGCAAAATGGATACTGGTAAGATAACCAACAAGAATCTGCTATAGATACAAAGAGGTTTTTCAAGTTCAGAGCCGCAGGGTTTTAAAGTGAATAATAGCCATACTACCCACCCTTCTTGGACCTCTGGATGATGACAGAATGTCATGTCCCACCCAGACAAGTGTGCCCATGCACACACGTAGACACTTATCCTCTTTGGAACCCAATTCCTCATCTGGAAAATGAAATGTTAGAGTAGATCATCTCTAAGTGGTGGTCCACTTCTAAGATTCCATGACTATTTATGAAGCAGATGTGTCCCTGGGCTCTCTGAATCCACATACAGACCTATGCTGGTTAGTTCTTACTACAGACCTATCTCTGCTCTTCTTGGGCCCAGGGGTGCTCCTAGAACCTACCTCTATGAACTCTGTATAAGGGCACTCTTGCCAACTGGCTCTGGTTCGGTTTGGCCAACAGAAGACATCAGCTTGAGATGATGAGTTGGGAGGAAAGACATTTGGGGTGTCTTTCTTGCTCCATTCCTAATTTTGGCCTCCTTTTAATAGTGTCTATTCCTCTAAAGCCAGGCAGCACCTCCTCTACTATTCCAGCTCTCACTGGGATTCTTGTAACACTGATCCCTCCCCTTCCCCTCTAAGGCCAAAGTGTGTCCATGGTGTTCCACTGTTGCTAGTCTCTAGGTGCCTTGGCATTTCTTATTGGTTTCTTTAAACCTGTCCACACCTTTGAAAGTAGTGCTTTGTTGTTTCTTTCATTCTTTTTTTTTTAAATTTGAACCATTTGAGTTGAATTCTGGAACCTGACTGATACATATTTTATCAGTCAGTGAAACACTCTTGCATTCCTCTTCAAACATGCTTCCAGGCAAAAACAAACAAACAAAAAAATAAATAACTACTGAGGATTCCTTATTCTTACACATAGGCGCACACACATGGACATGGAAATAAATGGGTACTACCCTAGGGATACAAATAGATTTTAATTTCTATGACAATACTGCCAAATTGGTAGCACCTGTCAGGAACACTGAGTTGAGAAGGATTCTGTCTGTGCAGTAGGCTGAATAGTGGCCCTAAAAATGATACGCCCACATCCTAAAGCCCAGAACCTATGAATGTGACCTTATTTGAAAATAGGGTATTTGCAGATAATTAAGGATCAAGATGATAGCTCCCAGGATTTAGGGTGTACCCTAAACCCAATGACTGATCATTGAGAGAAAGGCCAACAGAGATTTGAGACACAGAGAGAAGTTCGTGTGAAGATGAAGCACAGATTGGAGTGATTCATCTACCAGTCAAAGGCTCCCAGCAGCCCCAGAAGCTAGGAGAGAGGCATGGAAGAGAGTTGCCCTCAGAGTCTTCCCGAAGGAACCAATCCTGCAAACATCTTGATTTCAAACCACTGGCCACTGGCCTTCAGAACTAAGAGAATAAATTTCTGTTGTTTTAAACCAGCAAGTCTGTGATAATTTGCCCAGCAGCCCTGGGAAACTAATCCAGTCTGCACCTTAACTCAGCTGAACAAAGTCCCATGCAGAGTCCGGGGCAGGACTCTACCGTCACTAGGCTATCCAGTTTGGACAGCTGGAAGAGCCACTGGCCTGTATGAGCATCTGTGCTCCGATGGGCTTCCTTATGAAAATGTGTGTATGTGGGCATTCTAGACTCCGGGAAACCAGTGAAATGCAGCACATACGGCACTCCAGAGAATACTAAAAGATGACCCGAAAGAATATGCAGACAGTTACAGTTAGAGTCTCAGGTTTCCTTGTGAGTATATGCATGTGCACACACACCCACAGCCTGAAGGCAGAGATGATATCTGTTTCATTTAGTGTTCTTTTTCTCCACCTGTCCTTGTGCCATATGGTGCTTTGCACACACTAGGCATGGGATCACAGTTTGATGAATGAAGGAAGGAGAGAAGAAAATGAATTCATTAGTTAGTGAATTCCCAGGATATGGACTGGAGCCAAAAGAAGCAGGTTGCTCTTGGATACACCAATAAATCCCTGTGCTGATCTATCCTTCCAAATAGGTGCAAAATGCTAAATTAAGAATCATAAATCTGTGGGAAAGTCAGAATATGAATCAAATTGATTTACCTGTGCCAAGAATTAGTTCAAACCTGTGCAGGCTCTTGCCTACAACCCTCAGACACACTCTTTTCTAGCACACTTGGGTATATAAGAAGGACTAAGTGACCCTGCTAGGTTAAACGTCTCAGTTTGATGACCAATTAAGGCAGCATGGCCAGAAGTCAGGGATGCAGACTCTGAAGCAAGCCTTCCTGGACTCACATCCCAGCTCTGCCACTGACTATTGGTGTGACCAAGGGAAGATGAGGTAACCTCTCTTTACCTCAGTTCCTGCATCTGTAAAATGGGGATAATCGTTGTACAACTTCATAGAGTTACTGTGAGGATTACATGACTTACTATTTATAGACTCCTTAAAACACTGGCTAATATAAAGAGCACCACAAATATGTTTACTGTTGTTATTCTTCCTTTTTGCATTCAGGTATAGCTTGACCAATGGACAAATTAGAGCTCTCAGCCAAGCGTGCTGGCTCACGCCTGTAATCCCAGCACTTTGGGAGGCGGAGGCAGGAGGATCACCTGAGCCCAAGAGTTCAAGGCCAGACATAATGAGACCCTTATCTGTACAAAAATACAAAAAAATAAAAATTAGCCAGGCATAGTGGTGCATGCCTATAGTCCTAGCTACTTGGGAGGCTGAGGTGAGAGGATCCTTGAGCTTGGGAAGTTGAGGTTGCATTGAGCCAAGACCCTGCCACTGCACTCCAGCCTGTGACTGAGAGACCCTGTCTCCAACAACAACCAAAAAAGAAAAGAAAAGAAAAGAAAAAAGCACGAAAAACCAAACAAACAAACAAACCGAACAACAACAAAAACAACACATCTGAGCTCACAAAACTTAACTCTGGACCTCAGAATATTCTAGCATCAGATGAAGGACTGAAGGATGGTATAGACAATGACTCATGCCGGGGAGCCCATAGTAGCCCATCAGCGAAGTGCGAGAAGTTAGTGGGACAGGCTAAGTCACAGATGAGAAGGCAGTAGAGGCAGGAAAAATGCCCTCCATTCTCCAATATGGACAGAAGTATTGCAGGAAGCTGGAGGCCTTGTATAAAATGCATTCTTTGCTTTGCATGGTCCTCAACCCTCTTTTCTTCTTTTCTGAGCTGAGAACACTGTCATTTTATGAAAAGAATAACAAAGATGCATATATGCCTATAAATGGAAGATGAAGTGGTGACTGAGGGCTTCCTCCTGCCAAGGAAAACAAGTGCAAGGCAGCTGGAGAGAGAGGAGCCACGGAAGTCTACAGAACCAGAAGCGCTCCATCTCCCTGGGACCTGGCTCTGGTCTGTGCAGGCTTGGCCGTCTGGGAACGGCAGCTCCATGGTCCTGCGGGAGAGACCTGCCAGGAACCTTGGGGCCACAAATCAGGAGTTGCTGGGAGCTGAATGCTGCAATTTGCCATGGGAAAAGAAAGAGACAATTGGAGGCTGGTGGCCCAGAGAAACCACTGCTGAATTTGAGAGACATCGACTGAAAGATTGCTGTGTGTGAGGCATGGAACCATGGGGCAGAATAAGCAAGGCTGGCATGCTTTCTGTCCTTGAAGACCTAGAGTCAATGGGGAGGAGACCTGTGAAAGTGAGAGTAAGACACATACAGATGTGACTGCACCTTCCGAAGCATCAGCTCTGCTTTGAATCCGGAAGAACTAGGTTTCTGAGCCGCAGGGGGCTCGCTCAGTTTAAGGAAGTGACATTGGAGAAGTTGTGAAGGAAGGGCAGGATTTAGACAAGGGGAGACGGGGCCATAGGAGGGCAAGTGACTGATGTGACCCGGTATGGAGGCAGGGAGAAAATGGCACCTTTTGGTGGGGGGATGAGGAGGAGCAAGGGATCCAATTTGACAGGTTGGGCAAAAATGTGACAAAAAATGTGTAAGTGCACAACTTGGTAGAGTGCTCTTGAAACCAGGCTGGGCAATCTGTGCCTGGTTCTGGAAGCAACGGAAACTCACTGAAGGGGTGGGAGGCTAGAGAGCATGTGACCAGCACTGGAGCCCAGGCTCTAGGATAACTTATGGGCAGCAAGTGAAGATGGACTGGAACAGAAAGAAAGAAGACTCCTTATGGCTGTCAGCCCTTGGAAAGAAGGAAACCTAAGGCTTTTGTGCGACTTAAAAAACAAAAAAAATCTAGCCAGGTATGGTGACTCACACCTGTAATCCCAGCACTTTTGGAGGCCAAGGGAGGCTGATTGCTTGAGGCCAAGAGTTTGAGATGAGCCTGGGCAACACAGGAAGACCCCATCTCTACAAAAGCTAGAAAAATTAGCCACGTGTGGTGGCGTGCACTGGTAGTCCCAGCTACCCGGGAGGCTGAGGTGAGAGGATCACTTGAACCCAGGGAGGTCGAGGCTGCCGTGAGCCATGATTGTGCCACTGCACTCCAGCCTGGGTGACAGAGAGAGACCCCATTTCAAAGTAATAATAATAATAAATAAATAATCAAAATTCCCTACCACAATTTACCTATGAGGACACCACTCTGCCCATCCTTCCTGCCTCATCTTGTGCCACCTTCCTGTGCTCCAGCAGCACTGGCTGGCTTTCTGGTCCTCTGACACACCAAGCCTTTTTGATCTCAAAGCCTTAGCTTGTCTCCAAGATGGTCACCATCCCTTCCCTCCTTGACGACACCAGCCATTTTCCCTTTGAGAAGGAGAGTCTAATTCTCCATGTCCTACAGTCTGGACTGTGACTTCCTTGATCAACAGGATACTGCAGAAGTGATACTAGCCCAGCCTAGGTCTAGTCTTTAAAAAGACAAGTGGTTTCCTCTTCCTTGCTCACTCTGGACAAAGCCAGGCTCCACAGAAGAAATTCAACCATCCCGAGCCCTCCATGCCATTAGAAAGCCCAAACTAGCCATGTGGAGAAGCTACATGGAGAGAGAGCGTTGATAGCAACCTCCACCTATTCCAGCCAGCCTAACCCAAAGGCCAGGCAAGGGAGTGAAGGGACTATCTTGAATATCCATTCAGCCAAGTCCAGCCTTCTGATGACTCCAGCCCCAGCAGCTGTCTGACTACCACTGCGTGAGAGACTCCGGTGGGAATTGACACCCAGCAGAGGCCAATCAATCCACAGGTCTGTGGGAAATAATAATAATAATACCTTTTTGTTCTAAGCCACTAAATTTTGGGGTAGTTTTGTCTTCTCTCTAGAATATTCTGTCTCCCTCACCCATAAGCTGACATCCCCCATGGCTGGTCATTGTCAAACTTCAGGCCCCAGCCCACTTTAGGGCCTTCCTTTCCCACCCTACCTACATACCCCGGGTCCCCACCACCCTGAATGTCATTGTGTTACTCATACTCCTTGCACCCTTCCTGATGTGTCTCATAAATGACTTATTCTGTTAGTGACTGCTACCTCTCTCCCTTCACTAAACATGGGCCCTCTGAGGTTAGAAGCCATGAATACTTGAACCACTATTTCATTACCATACCTAGCAGACAGTATGTGTTCAATAAATATTTGTCAAATGGGTGAATAAGTCATAATCTCTCTACATAGCACAGAGCCACCAACAGGATGATGATAAATTTCCAGAGCCCCAGTGGTCTAACAAGCAAATAAGTGAGTAATTACATTTAGCTGTGACATTAGTCTTGCTCCAAGGGGTTCATAAGCTACTTTAAAAGTCTTTAAAGTATGTTCCTTCTGTATCCCCCAAAGCAGCTCATCTAAGAAGGGCTGCATAGAAGCTGTTCATTACATAGTCACTGATTTATTGATAGAAAATTGAATCAAAAAGCAAGTCTGGTCAACAGAGCAAGATCCCATCTCTACAAAAAATTAAAAATAAATTAGCTGGCATGGTAGCATGTGCCTGTAGTCTCAGCCACTCAGGGTGTTGAGGCAGAGGATGGCTTAAGCCCAGGAGGTCAAGGCTACAGTGAGCGGTGATTGTGCCACTCCACTCCAGCCTAGGCAACAGAGTGAGACCCTGTCTCAAAAAAAAAAAAAAAAAAAAAAAAAAAAAGGAATAAAATTGATCAAAAAAACCCAATGATTTAATGGATGGGTTATAATAGTAGAGTCAATTCTAGGAGGTCTGACACCAAAGGGATCCCCCTAAGACTGAAAGAGATCATTTAAAAGACAATCAAGAGAGACTGAGGTTGTTTTCTTCTCTTTTAACAACTCTCCTCAATGCAGAGAAATGTACAGAGTATGTCCATCTCCATCTCCATGGTAGCAGGAGGCAGGCATGATTATTATTCGTCACATAATTATAAAGAGCCTCCACGTGGTTATTCAATTATCAGATGAAGAAACTGAGGTTCATGGGGGAACCTCAGGGAATTCTAGGAAATTGTAGGAGCCGGCCACAAGGCTACTATTTCTTATTTCCAGTGGCCCAGGGGTTAGTGAGGAGGAATCCAATCAGAAGTCTGATTGGAATTTAAGGAATTCAAGGATGATGTCAGGCAGTCAAACACTGTGGATCGCCAGCCCTAATCAAATCACAGATGGGATTTATAACTCCCTTGCCCATCAGTGGTCCAAGTCGCGTTGTGTGTATCAACACCTCCCTTACCATGACAGCTAGTTTTGGTCCACACTAGGTGTGTCCATTTTTATGTTGAAGGGTGTCAAAATTATTACAAAGCTCCATTCTTTCTTACCAGACCAGTCTTATGCTGCTTTCTTCTCCCATTTCTCCAGTACCCCTCACCTCTTTCTATGTCAGCCAATCTTTCCTGGTTTGTTTCTGTTGGCCCTCTCCTAATGGTCTCTGAGTTTCTGCCTCTTTCCTGTATCCTGATGGTACTGCAGCATACTACCGAGATGGCCTGGGGTATCTTCTCAGTCATCTTTGACCACAGGCCACAAGGGAGCCATAGAGGAGAGAGAAGGCTCTTCTATGAGAAGTGGCTGGTACAGGTGAGGAGATCCGTGTTACAGGTGATTGGGAGTCAGAAGACCAAAGTCCTTATCCCAGTTTTGCTGCCTCCAGCCATGTGACTTTTATTCAAATGCTTAACCTTGTGAACCTCAGTTTCTCCATCTGAAAAATGAATAACCACGTGGAGGCTCTTCATAATTATGTGAATAATAATAACCATGCCTGCCTCCTGTTACCATGGAGATGGACATAGACATACTGTGTACATTTTAACTGCTAAATCTATGTATGGAAATACACTTTTGGCTGTCTGGTCTCACCTAGCTTGAAAGGTCTTGTGTTCCTGTCTTGGCTCTGCCCTTAATGATGTCACCTTAGATAAGTCACTGTCCCACTTTGAGCCTCAGAATCTTCAACCACAAAATAAGAGAGTGGAGTGACCTTGGAGGCATGAAATAGGACCAATATTCTGGGTCTATTTCACCCACTTTTTTATCCCCACCATTGTGTTTGGTGTGTGGTAGGCACTCAACAAATGTTTGCTGAATGAATGCATGTGAAACGTGATATTTATGAATAAGCCCTAAAAATACATGTTAAGAGTGGCTGAAGGAAATCTGGCTAGGAGCAAGGTGCCACATACAGGAGGCTTCCAATGAAACCCAGCTGGCCAAGGGCACATCCCCCTCTCCCTCCACATCTCCACACTGTCTGTCCACATTCCCTGAGAACCTGGCCTGGGTTGCCGCCCCTACATGAGCTCTGGGCAGATGCTGAGCATCTCTAAGCCAGATCACAGTGGAAGAGGCAGAAGTAGAAGAAGAGAGATGAGATGGATATGGAAAAGATGGGAGACCCTAGGAAAAGAAGGCAGGATGCTTCAAACTTTAGACTCTGACAGCAGAAAAAAAACCTTTGCAATCAGGTGATCAGGTAATGAAATTTCTCATTGTCTACACAAGGAACTTGGAGGACAACAAGATCACCTGGTTCATTGGTGATTAGGCAAGTTTGAATTTTAAAGGAGAACAAAAGTGTTGCTCCGTAGGATGTCCTAACTACTTCATGTAATTTCCACCTCGCCAGACTTTCCAGAACCTGGAAGCAGGAACCATACCACCTCCCTCATCTTTCTGTCCTCTTTCCTCCAGGCTCCATTCCCCACCCCACCCTCAGCCCCACATCTCTGTAGCACACAACAAAGGGAACAAATGTGGAGCAGATGCCCTGTAAATCATGAGGCCCATGGGCTGGGAGCAATTTCCTACTCACTGGAGAGCCCCTCTTCTACCTCAATGCAGCCACATCTGTTTCCCTACATCACAGAGGGACCTGTTGGTCTCAAAGGAGGAATTCACAGGGCTTCTCTATCACCTGCCTGGGAATGGGTAGGAGCTGGAGGAGGACTGCCGTTGCCAGAGACCACATGAGCACTGACCTCTGGCCCTGGCAGCAGCAGTAGCTGCTGTTGCAATGGGTCTCTGCCATGCCCCAGTCCTCGGGGAACATCTGCAGATCAGTGGTTGTCTTGGAATAGGCCATGGGAAAGTCAAGAGAAGCCACGGCTCTTGAAAACCATCCCAGAATCCCACTGGAACGCTGTGCCAGAATACACTGAGCCCTAAAGGTCTTGGGTTTTATGCTATTTTACTCATTTTTATTTTTTGGCTGCAGTTTTAGTTGGAAATTCAGAACACTAAAGTTATCCCAGGGCATTGGTTCCAAGCAAGTCACATAGCTCTCCTGCAGCTGATAACTACGGGACCTGTGTTCAGGATCCACAGCAAATGATGCAAATCAGCCTAGCCACCAAGAACAACCAGTCTCTAAAAGAGACCCAAGTCCAAGGAAGCAAAGACTGAGACCAAAACCCAAATCTTGTCTCCACTCCTTAAATCTTCCTGCCATGGCCAGGGGAACGTAAGTTACTTGAGGGCAGGCACTTGCCTCATTCATTTCTGAATTCCCAGTACCTGGAGCAGCCCCTAACACACAGTAGGTCCTCAGTAAGCATTTGACTAAAGAAATGGATAGGCCGGGCACGGTGGCTCACGCCTGTAATCCCAGCAGTTTGGGAGGCCGAGGGAGGTGGATCACCTGAGGTCAGGGGTTCAAGACCAGCCTGGCCAACATGGTGAAACCCTGTCTCTACAAAAACACAAAACAACAACAAAAAAAAAGTAGCTGGGCATGATGCTGGGTGCCTGTAATCCCAGCCACTAGGGAGGCTAAGGTGGGAGAATCACTTGAACCTGGGAAGAAGAGGCTGCACTGAACCAAGATCACACCACTCATGGCACTCCAGCCTGGATGACAGAGCAAGACCCCATCTCAAAAAAAAAAAGTAGATAAACTACTAGGCCATACAAAAGAATCTCTAGGCAGAGTGACCTCATCCCACAGCACCGCTCATCTTAGAATGTGATAGGAGAGGTGATAGGAAGGCAAAGGTTAGCAAACTGGCCCATAGAATTCTGTTTTTGTACAGTCCGTGAGCTAAGAATCCTTTTCACATTTTTAATGGCTGGAAAAAATGCAAAGAAAAATAATATTTTATGACACATGAAATACATGAAATTCTAATTTTGGTATCTATAAATAAAGGTTTATTGGAACACAACCACTCCCATTCACTTATTGGTATTTTCTGTGGCTGCTTTTGAAGAACAGCAACAGAGCTGACTAGTTGCAATAGAGACTGCATCACCCACAAAGCTGAATGTATTTGTTATCTAGCCATTTACAGTAAGAGTTTTCCAACCCCTGGCCTAAAGAATCTCCCCAGTTAGGTACATGTGGTCTAGATCCCCAGCGTTAACTGTTTGGAGTTAAGCATTGTTCTCTCAGCTCTTCCTTTTTTCATTTTTATTTATTTTTATTTTATTGCAAATTGACAATTTGTAATTGTATCTATTTATGGGCACAAAGTAGTGTTATGATTTATTAATACAATGTGGAGTCATTAAATCAAGCTAATTAACATATCCATCACCTCATGGCTCTTTCTTTTAAATAGAAGCCTTTCTAGGGTGGTTTAAATTACTCTTAGTAGTATAAATTTTTTGACAATTTCTCTCCCTGAAAAAAGGGACGTGATCAAGGATAAGGAGAAACAAGGGAAGACATATTTTTAAAAGGGTAAAGGACACAAAAAGGGGAACTTCCACCAAGAAAAACTGGGTGCACTTTATAATGTTCCTAATGGCCGGCACTATACCAGGGCTTTGGGAAAGGACACAAAACAGGAAACTTCTCTGAGTTCACAGAAGGACCCCTTACCTTGCCCTGAAACAGCCACAGCCCTGCCCAGGCTGGCTCCTCCAATCTGGCCTCCTTCAGTACCTCATCCGTCCTGAGCAGTGTGAGCGATGCTGTCTTTGGACGTCTCACCTGCACCATCCACAGGGCACCACACACAACTCTCCTGAGCAGTGGAAATCATGGTATTGTTTATTTAGATCCAGACATACCAAATGACATCCATCCCTTCCTCCCCGCAGAAAACACTCATCACAGCAATCCAGTCAGCAAACAAAATGACTACCACTTGCCATTTCTGATTCCATGCTTGCCTCGAGACAGAGAACTCCTTGCAAGTACAAATTCTGCCTTAGTGATTTTTATTTCCCTGCACCTAACACAACATCTAACTTGTGGTACGTATAATATTCAACTAAAACTAGTCCTCTCCTCTTTTTCCTTTTCTTTCCCTGTCATGCAGCTAGGAGATGCATGGAATCCAATGCTCTTTCCACTGAAGTGGAAAGTAGGCTGCTAACAACCTCCCCAGAATCCTTGTAAGTAACTCCTCCCCAGGGGAGAACACACATCTACAACTTGAGCCTGGAATTCAGGTCAGCTTGGTATCAACACTCATCCAGGGTCTCCCCATGGCCAGTATGGCTTTTGTCCCCCTTAGATATGCTGGAGGAGGAGTCATCTAAGTTTGTTTTTCCTCTCTAGTCTTCTGATCAGCTAGGAGGATCCAAGGTTCCAACTGAGTTCTCTTGCTTCACCTTGGGCAAGAGGAGAAAAAACAGTCACTTGTACACCTAACCACAAACCCCTGACCCTCTTCAAGGCAGAGGAAAGTAACTTTCCAAACTCTTCTTGAATAAGAAGAAAAGAACCTCTCCTCTTTCAACAGGTATTTCTGGCTGCTGGGGAGGGTGTTATTAATACAAGAATCTAAACACAATAGCCTGTCTCCTGGCAGCTGCCATTCCCATGGCAACCTCTGACTTTCACGGACTCCTTTGGATACTAAGGGCCTCAGAGACAGACTTCTAAAACAACCAAATTTTTCAAAAGTGAATTCTCAGGGAACTTATTCCTCTGTCAGAACAGACCCCTCCTAAACTTCCATTTAAAGAGAAAACCTAAAATCTGCTGTTTTAAAAAAAAAATAACAGAAACCCCCATTAAGTGCTGTTATCACACCAACCCTCAAAGCTATGGAAATGGACAATATAGAATTTAAATTTCACAGGTGAAAAAAAAAGTGTACTAAGTGTGAGTTGAGGATGGGAGATGGAGATCTGGTGGACTACCAGCAAATGGAGATAGCCATGAAGAGGCATATTTGGGAAGGTAGTTCACAAACCTGAACCAGAAGAGACTCACCTGGAGAACATGTTCAAATACCGATTCCCAGGCCCTGTCCCCAGGGATTCTGATTCTGTAGGTCTGGAATGAAACCTGGATCACTTTTGAAAGCTCTTCCAGTGTCCAGATGAACATTCAAATTGGGAAACCAGCAATCTGAAGCCTATTCCTTGCCCCTTCCCCACCATGGTCCAAGGGTCTCCTGGCTCTTAGCTCCCTCAATTCCTGCCAGCCCTCAATTCTAGAACCAGAGTAAAAGAAACTCATTTTCTTTAAAATAAAAGGAAGAAGTCGCAGCCCTGAAGTGCACGTGTGCTCTGTTAGGCGCTGTACCCAGGGAACCTTGGAGCTGGAAGCCGACTCCAGCCCTGAGCTGTGGGAAGGTTATGTCATGCTCTTGGCTTGCTGCCTGGTTTCCACTGGGGTTGCTGCCTGGTATATTTTAGGTGCTGGGTTTGCAGGCTAGTACTCTGACCTTCCTTGGCTCTCCCCCAGGGAGCAGCCACCAGGCTCCTGCTGTATCAAGAGCTACAAGGTACAATTTCCATGGCATCCAGGTAACAGGAACCAACTGGCAGCAATAGCTGGGACCTGCATTAGACCTGGGGAGGCAGCCTGCTGGAGAAGAAAGGTTCCCGGATGTGAGCCTTTGCACGTGGTATTAGCACGGCTATTCACAGCTGTGGGATTCGGGGCTAGCCACTGTCCTTCCATGGGCCTCAGTTTCTCAGCTATGAAACTAGGGGCTCAACAAGGGGTTCAGCATAGAATAGTGGAAGGAATGTGGATTCTGGGGCCAGAAGACTGAGGCTCAAATCCTAGCTTCATCACTGACTTGCTTGGTGATGTTGGGCAAGTGCCTGAACCTCGTCGTGCATCAGTTCTGTCATCTACAAAATGAGTGTAATGGTACCTCTCCCACAAGGCTGATGTGTCAAGTAAAGATGATGTGTGCCAAGTGCTTGGCTTACACACCACTGGAGATCCAAGACACCCACACACACACACTCACTTCTTAACCGGGAACCTGATGAAGTGGGTGCCAAATCTGGATAGAGATGGTCTGGAGGGGGTTTAGAAGACGGAGAAGTTTCTCTGTGCATAGCACATAGGAAGAAAGGGAAACATGAATTTCTGAAGGAAACGAAGTTTGAGTTAGGATTTTGACAAATTGAGAAAATATGAATAAGCAACTACAGGACAAAAAACTGAAGAATAGAAGAAAAAACAATCTGGAATCCGGATTGGGAAATTTGGATTCTAATCCCAGCCCTTTCACTGTCCAGCTTTGTGGTCTGCTGATATGTTGCCTCTGTTGCAGGAAAAAAAAACAGGTTCTTTTCACACTACTCGGAAAATTTAGGCTCACGGACACATTGTAGGGTGAGATGCGAGGAAGGGTTTATTGGGTGAAAAAGGAAAAAGGAAAGAGGAACTCTCAGCAAAGCGAGAGAGTCCTGCTAGCAGGCCCGCACCTTGCAGACTGAATCCCAGGCCACTACATAGGAACTGAAGAGGCCAGACTCCTCCTCCCTGCTCCACCTGCTTCCTTTGGTGCGCATTATTCAGACAGAACCAATCAGGAAAGGGTGGACTTCATCCAGGACCAGCAGTCCGGTTTTTCAGCCTTCAGGATTGTTTTAGGTTTTAGGTGGGTTTTCGCCAGGGACCCTTGTCTGTCTCCTGTCTCTATCACCTCTTTATCTATGGAATGGGGCTGTGGCAAAAATTAACAAGATGACTTAGGAGAAAGCACCTTGTATAGTGCCTGGAACACAGTAGATGTTTACTGGATGGATGGACGGATCTATGGACAGACAGAGGATGGATTCCAGATGGAGAAAGTGGGGTGGGCAAAGGAATAGAAAGAGGAATGCCCAAGGCATCTTTATAGGTCAGTGGGTATATCTGCACAGTTCAGCAATTTCTGAAGAGTGTTCTTGGAACTCTAGCCCCTAAGATACTCCTAAGGGGAAAAAAAAACATATTCCCTGGTCAATTAAACTTAGGAATGACAGTTTGATACACCACTCTCCTGATGATTTGCAATAAATGTCAACGTATAAATGATTCTGCAAAGTTCTTTCTAGTTTTATTTATACCCAGTAGTCCACAATCCATTTCACTTCTAAACCAGTTTTTCACATTAAATTTGTTAATTTCACACTGAACTTGGCAGAGGTCTTCCTGAAGTAAACTAAGGAGGTGGCGGCAGAGACCCTCGGAAGAATTACTTGGGGTTTTCTTTGTGCTCCTGCTGCACGCAGCTTTAGGAGCTGCCTGTGCAGCACTGTGTAGAAGCACCCTGGACAAGACAGGCAAGCATATTGAAAACAGGGTCCTGTGCTTCTATGCAGCCGCCGCTGCTGAGCCATATGACCTTGGGCAAGTTCCTCAACTTTCCTTTGCCTCCATTTCCTCACCTATAAAGTCACAGTACTTACCTCACAAGGTGATTGCAAGAATCAAATGAGCTAAGGTACCTAGGGAGGTTAGCATGCTGCCTGGCACTTAGCAATCTGTCAGTAAAAATGGTGCCGGTATGATTAGGTCACCATCTGAATATTCTCAACCAGTCATTCTCTAATATCCAGCAGGACTTGGACGCTGAGTCCTGAGGGTAGTAATCATACCAATTTCTGCCTCCCTCTTCCTTGTGGGGGTCAGCCTAGAGCCACACACCAAGAGGAGGTGAGTCAGGCCATTGCAAAGGAGGCAATGATGGTGATGTCTGCTTCGTGCTTTCTCTGAACACAGAGCAAAAGAAGGGCCCTCTTTCAGAAAAGCATCAAGTCTCGCAGGCTGGCAGCTGGCTACCAGGAGATGGAGAATCTGCTTAGTCATTTCTTAACAGCAAGAACAAGTGGCTTAGAGAAGAAGCCAGCTATACCCCCTGGGAGGTCAGCCAAGTACCGCCTAAAAAGAGAAAAGCAGAGAAGCACAGAACCCCAAGTGCCTGGATCTGATCAGAGCCATGGGGCAGAGACAACTGGCTCGCAGTGTCAGAGACCCATGCCCTGCACAAATGCCTGCACTCCAGGCTGGAGGGGGATGGGCCAGCTTCACCTCTGGCCAGAAAACCAAGTCCCCAGCTCTCCTCCATTTGTGGAAGAATGTTTGCTGCTCTGCAGAGGCCCTATGGTCAGTTTCTCCTCCTTGATTCATTCACTCATTTAGTTAACATTTATTGAATGCTTACAAGACGTCACAAGGGATACAGTTGTACACAAGACAGGAAAAGTTTCTGCACTGATGGAGTTCACATCTTAGTGGAGAGAGACAGAAAATACGCAAATAAAGAAATAAAATAATGTCAGGGAGTGATAAGTGCCTTAAGGAGAAATAAGTCAGGGTGAGGGTGAGAGAGAGAGATCAATAGATTAGGAGCTAGAGAAGGATGGAGAACTAGAGGTCAATGGATTAGGAGCTAGAGAAGGAAGCCTCCTGAAAGAAGGGACCTCTGAATTGAGATGGGAATGGAGCAAAGGAAGGAACCGGAAGAAGATCTGGAAGGAAAGTGCCCCAAACACAGCAAGTGCAATGGCCGTGAGACCAAACTGAGCCCCACATGCTGAAAAGCAGCCAAACTGGCTACGGCCAAAGCGGGGGTGGTCAGGAGAAGCAGGAGAGAGCTACAAGTGAGGTCAAGAACCTGCGCAGGCCAAGGCAAGGATTTTGATTTTATTCCCAATGCGACGAGAAGCCATTGGGAGATTTTGAATGAAGGAAAGGATAAAGAGCTCACCCTGACGACTGAGTGAGGAACAGATGGAGAGCGGTGAGAGTGGGCTCAAGGAGAGCCCTTGTGAGGCAGGTGCACAGCACAGGTGCGAGCTGATGGCAGGAAGGAGGTGAGATTTGAAGGCGGAGTGACGGGACATGCTGGTTGATGGATTGCAGGCTGTGTGCGGCACTGAGGATAAAGGCGGACCCCCAGAGTAGCCGCCCTTTTCCTGAAGTGTGGAAGGCTGTGCCGCAGGAGGAACCTTCTGGGAAAGGAAGACAACCTAAGGCTTTGGATGCACATGAGAGGCTGGAGATGCCTTTTGGACATCCATGTTGAAATGCCAGCCTGGCAATTGACTGTGTCTTAAAGCCTTTTGGATCCTTGAATCCAGACAGGATTGAGCGCACAATCAGAAGTATAACATTTGAGAATGAGACCCTAGCAAGATTATTTAGTTCAATGCTTTTGTTTCACAAAGGGGAAACTGAAGCCCCAAGAGGGGAAGAGACTCAGTCAAGGTCAAACAGCAATCTGCGTGTAGTGCCAGAACCACAGTCCACGTCTCCTGTGCTGACCCCCACAAGCTATCTTTCCAGTTGGAGTTTTCTTTCCACTCTTGTCAAAATTGTTTCCCACTGATTTCTTGAAGTTATTTGCACATTCTCTAAAAATTTTCCCTGTTTCACTATGGGGAAAGTTGTTTCTTTTTTCCTTACCCAATTTAATTTTCTCCATCTGCAATTTAAACTCATTCTCTATTTTAATCATTGTTTTGTTTTTACAAAATGTGCATGATGTTGCTATACCTGACTTTTAAAACAATTCTGTTAGGTAGTTAGAGTATGCATTTTGGTTACCATTGACAGATGAGGAAACTGTAAGCACAATGGTCAGATAAATTATATTCAGTCCCATAGCTAGTTTGAGACAACCAAACTAGAATCTAGTGCATCTTGAGTCTTTGCTCATGGCTCTTCCTTGTGGGCCAGAAAACATTTTTAAGCCCAGGCCCTGCCATCCTTCAGCAGCTGAGGACTTCTAGCTCTTCAGAAAGAGGAAGATAATTAACATTACCTCAATCTTACTCTTCTTCAATTCACATAATACTTTCTCCTTTAAACTCTCCTCTCTATGGCACAGATTGATTCCTATTGGCTAAATCCATTTCCTCTTTTTCCTGGGCACGGAGCTGAACTACCTTTCCCAGGCTCTCCTGTATTTAGATGTTTCTATGTGAGTGATTTCTCACCAGTGGAATTTGACCGGAAATAATGCACACCCTTCCTAGTCAGTCCTTAAAAATCTCTCAGGCTCAATTGCCTAGTGCTTTTTCCTCTTCCACCAGCTCGATGTAAATGAGCATGGCTCCCTTGGAGCCAAGTACCTAAGATGTAAGAACCTCAAACAGGAAAGATCCTGCTTCCCTGTATCACCACTTGGAGGAAAATGGCGTGCTCATTAGGGAAACACATTTTAGACCTTTTGTGAACAAGAAGTAAATTTCTACCATGCATGGGCCATTGTATGTTTTGAGATTTGTTTGCTACAGCAGCTAGTATATCGACCTGGGTTACAGACAACTGATTCAGGCTTAGGAAGACACTCAAGAGTATCTACATTCCAACACTTAGACTTAGCATAGAACCAGTGGTTGAAGTAGAAGGAAGAAGCTCAGAGACCATAAACCATGACCTTCCTTATTTAAAAAAGAGAAGAAAATGAGATCCATAAATGGACACATCTGGCATGTCTAAGGTCATGGCAGCTAAAAGGTCTCTACAGGACTCCGGGGTTCCTTGCCCAGTGCTCTTTCTAGACCACGTTGCCACTCTACTAACAGATGGGGGGTACAGTGTCCAAGACAGGCTGGAGAACAGGACTCAGATGAAGCTCACTATGTCTTCCATGACTGTAACCTAAGTCTCATTTGTAGAGGTTCACATCCATCTCTTCATGCTCTGAGCTCAGGGAGGAGTAGCTTGTCACCTTCCTTCCCATAATAACCTTCCTGACACTTAAGGATGAATATTAAATTACTTCTCAGTCCTGGCTTCTCTAGCACAGCTGTATTCTCACAGGTATATCTCAGTATTATGAGAAGTAAAAGGCAAATGTGATCATAACAGCCCCAAACCTTCATCATGGTGGTTGAAATGTAGGTCCGCACTGAACTGGCCCCCGGCCCAGTTGTCTCTTCTATCGCTCAAAGATGTCTGAGTTTTTGCTCATAGGACTGTACTCTGGTGGAAGAAAAAGGGGATGGTTTGGGTTGAGCCAATGTTTTTTATAGACACACTGCCCAGTCTCACACTTTCTGAGGTCCCTTGAGCACCAAGCTGGAGACTACAGCTTTAGCCCTGTCTCAAGTAGGGGATGTGCAAATATACGCTTTTCAAAGACCATTCCAGGGGTCTAGGGGTCTTTCCTTTCTTTCTTTCTTTTTTTTTTTTTGAGACAGGGTCTAGCTCTGTCACCCAGGCTGGAGTGCAGTGGTGTGACCACGGCTTACTGCAGTCTCACTCTCCTAGGCTCAAGTGATCTTCCCACCTCAGCCTCCTTAGTAGCTGGGAATACAGGTGCATGCCACCATGCCCGGCTAATTTTTATATTTCTTTTATTAGAGACTGGGTTTCACTATATTGTTCAGGCCGGTCTCAAACTCCTGGGCTCAAACAATCCGCTCACCTCAGCCTCCTGAAGTGCTGAAATTACAGGAGTGAGCTACCATGCCTGGCCTATTCCAGGGTTCTTGAACCCTTCTGCTCCACACCCTTATCGATAAAAGTACTTTGATCACTTATCCCCAATATATATAAGTAATGTCTTTAAATATTTAAGTGATATGCCTGTGCTATATATGAGTCAGTTATGTAGCATTCACAAAAATGAAATTTTTTAAAGGATGAGATTAAAAAACAAATGGGATTAGAAGTGTCAACAATTTTTTCCCTGGCCCTGCTGGACCATTCTACTCCCCTCTTCAGAAAACATTTGGTCCAGGCTGGGCACGGTGGCTCATGCCTGTAATTCTAGCACTTTGGGAGGCCAAGGCAGGCCGATGAACTAAGGTCAGTAGTTCAAGACCAACCTGGCCAACATGGTGAAACCCTATGTCTACTAGAAATACAAAAAAATTTAAAAATTAGCTGGGCATGGTGGCAGGTGCCTGAATCCTGGCACTTTGGGAGGCTGAGGTGAGTGGATCACTTGAGGTCAGGAGTTTAAGACCAGCCTAGCCAACCTGATGAAACCCCATCTCTACTAAAAATACAAAAATTAGCCAAGCATGGTGGTGGGCACCTGTAATCCCAGCTACTCGGGAGACTGAGGCAGGAGAATCACTTGAACCCAGGAGGCGGAGGTGGCAGTGAGCCAAGATTGCACCACTGCATTCCAGCCTGGGCAACAGAGCAAGACTCTATCTCAAACAAACAACAAAAAATTTAGTCCATCAGAACTTTTGGACGCCACAAACTGACAACCTACAGGTCAAATGTGGCCCACAGATGTGTTTTGTTGGACCTGAAAAATGTTTTCTAAACTTTCTGTTAGTTCCCAATACTTAAAAATTGGAAAAGTTCACATGAAAATCTAGAGATTTTTATCAATTTCATTCACTGCTTTAACCCCAGTGTCTGATACACAGTAGGCACCCAATAAATATTTGTTCAATTGAATTTCTAGCTTCTCTCCAAAAAAAAAAAATTCAAGCTGGCATTTCTTCCTGGCAGTAATCGCCTGGAGCTGAGTAGTGATTACTCCCTTTAGCAGGGTGTTGGCCTACCAGTCCTGAACCACAGTCCCCTCCACTCCCTGTTGTCCTATATCCAAACAGCTTCATACTGGTGATTTGCCCAGCCCCCATCAGCATCTGAACAATTGTTTTCATCTCAGGGTTTTCTGGCTGTGTGATGGCCTCAGTCACCCTCCATGAGTTAAACAAAAACAATATTCCACCTAGAGTCCAAAGACACAGGTTTGAGCCTGATTCTGCCAATTGCCGTCCTTGGGAAATTTGCTTTCTGAGCCAATTCTCCTAATCTGGAAAATGGGGATGGCAATACCTTCTTCACAGGTTGTTTGACAATCAAAACAAACAAGACAATATCTGTGGGCTGCTTTATAAATTGTAAAGTATTATGGAAATGTGAACACTTTTCATTGTTGCAGTTGCATTCATCCCTTAAAAGTATCCACTGTGGTGATAGTGATGGAGATTCCTAATGCCAAGCTCTTGAGCTCACTACACTTCCCTACATCAGCCATGTCTCTCTCTATACACACCCCTTTCCCAGCCCTCCCCTCTCATCTACCACTTTGGATTTCAGGGTTGAATGGGAAGACAAATGAAGGAACAGGCTGAAGAGTAAAGAAGAAGCCACAACACTCAAGGTTGGGTTCCATTTTTTCTACTAATATTGACTCCTTTATTTCACTCTTTCTCATTTCTAAGTCACTACACCCTTGTGACTTAATTCACTGTCACTGTACCCAGTGTCTCCACTCTGCGTCCTGAGAGCCAGTCACTGCCTCCTCCCTATGTCCCTGAATCCAGACCCCTCACGGACTGCTAATCTGGGTATTCACCCCCTGGAAATATGCCAAAGAGAGCTTTCGTCTTCCACCTTTTTATCAGCAGGGAGACTATTTTTGTCACATATAAGCCTAACTTAACAGCAACACCCTCACCTCTCTCTCTCTCTCTCTCTCTCTCTCTCTCTCTCTCTCTCTCTCTCTCTATATATATATATATATATATATATATATCCTCCCTTCTGATGCTCCCATAAATGTTTTGCCAGCTATAGGTTGGACCATATGAAATTACCAGTGTTTAACAATTTCCGATGTTTAAAAAATGGCAACTTTTTGTGGTTCAACTTGATACATTTACTCCAGTGGCCCAGCCTTGGGGTTTCTGTGATCTCCACCTCTTCCCATGTTAGGCCACAGCCAGTTGTCTTGTCCATTTTTTGTGATGATTGCACGGTAGCCCTGAGAAAAATGCTTCAGCATTTCAAATATGGCAGGGGGTTTCCTCCCTCCCAGACCTGAGCTACAGTTGCCAGACAACTCTGTGAACTAGAAACCCTAGTAAAAAGTTACATTCAGGATGAAACAGATTCCTGTCTCTTCAGTTTCTTTCCTGCTCCTTATGGGAAAAAATTATAAAATATGCATTGCTGGTCTGTGGCTTGGGAAGTGGAAGCCTTTTTAAGGAAGGGGGACCTCCCCTCAGAATCACCCATGTGTCACCACCTTGGAAGTTTCATGTTTTTCCTCCATGTGTTTGTTCTTTCAGCCCTTTGTGAAAGAAGTTCCCAAATCCCCTGCCTCTTGTTTATTTTGCTCTGTTGATCAGCAGGAACTAACCCTACTAACTGCCTCTTACCGGAAGCCCTCTCTCAACTTCCCTCTTAAGCCCAATGGGGAAAAGCGGACATTCTGAGGCTGTTGGAAGAATTCCCCCAACTGCCCACTGATAACTGAAATTCTGTATGGTAGCATGTCTCAGTCCATTGAGGCTGCTATAACAAAATGTCTTAGTCTGGGTGGCTTACAAACAGAAATTGATTTCTTTATAGTTCTAGAGTCTGGGAAACCCAAGATCATGGCACCCGCAGGTTTGGTGTCTAGTGAGAGCCTCTTTCTGGCTCATATATAGCCCCTTCTCATGTATCTTCACATGGTGGAAGGGGCTAGCTAGCTCTCTGTGGCCTCTTTTATAAAGGCACTAATATTCATGAGAGCTCCAGACCCATGACTTAATCACCTCCCAAAGGCCCCACCTTCTAATACCATCACTTTGAGGATTAGGATTTCAACATAGAAACTGGGGGGACACAAACATTGAAACCATAGCATGGCATAAATCCTGTAGCAGTAAACATTACTCCCTTCTTGTGGGGAGTCCTCTTTGAAAGGCAAATCCCCCACATATTAACAGTTTACAAAATGATTCCTGGGAATCCTAGTGTTCTAAGACATATTCTTGGTTGTTCATAAAAAATGGGTTTTTAGGTCCAATAAGTTTGAAAATTTCTTCATGCCATAGCCCCTCAAGTGAGTGCGTAATACACAGCATCAAACTAAAGACTCAGAGAGACCCTGCAGTGAGGAACCATTTAACTTTGTTTAATCTAGTCTTTCCTTAATTTATTTATCAAAATAATGATTTTTTCATGGAATTTTTTTTTATCACTTCTTGATCCTTTATGCCTCACAGAACACACTTTGTGAAACCCTGAGCTACCCCATGAGGGAGAACAGATGAGTCTAACACTTCCTCTTCCCCTTGGGTATGTGGAGAGAGCAGAGAGAGTGAGGACACCACACCTCTTATCCATCATCCTGCCCACCCCACACCCCCACTCCTGGAAAGGAACGCCACTCACACAGGCTTGCATATGGCTCTCCTCCTCCGCCCAGGACACACGCAGTATCTGCAAAGAGCAAGACATTCCCAAGTGTCTGTTCAGCCTATCATCCGTCATCAGTCTGGGCCCTGGGAAGCCCTGTGTGAGCCTGCAAAACTCAGTTAAGACAGGGAGATCCAAAAGGACCCCACCCAAAAAGAAGAAATTAGAAGGCCAAATATGATACGTTCTCTTTAGTTCCGTTGCCCAATTTCGATTAGACACACCCTTGTCTCCAAATTCATGCGAACTAGTCCCACCCAGGTGGGAGCCCCTGGAGCACCCTGTAGAAACCACAGACTTGGAGGTGATGCTTCTTGGCTTGGCCAAATTCCTTACGATTCATCTGGATCCCACACTTTCACATTTCAATTCTTTCTACTTTTTATTATTCTGTGTCATCTATGGAAATATCTCCCCACCTTGAATGTAAAATCCAAGAGGTTTGAGGTACTTCCTGTTTTTCTCCTTACACATCTAGTTTTCAGTGATAGGTATGGAGGAAGTACTTCATAAACGATACGAATTTGTGTTTAACAGAATCTCTTCTGTTCTTACCCATTCCAGGAAAGAAGGGAGGTAAGATAGAAAATCTCTCTTAACCCACCTCCTCTAACTGCCTCACAGATTCAACCAGTACCATCAATTTCCACTAAGAAACACACCCGAGAAGCTCCTGGCACACTCCTTGCTCACAGCACTGGGCCACTGACTCTCTCATGCCCTATGCACTTCTGTTCTCTCTAATCGAGTTATTTGCTTATCAAAGGTCATGTGTTCCCCAATTTGTTCATGCCAGTTGTATGTGTTACTGTAGTTGTGTATTTTAAATGAAGTTACCGGGACAGACACTCATGTTCCACTACACTAGATATTCTCCATTCACCCTCCAGGTCTGTTCTCCCCTGCCCTCTTCCTCTCTCCTGCTCTGTGTCCCAGGAGGCTGACCTAGATGGACTGCACTAGTCAGGCTTCCTTGCCCTCTGGCTTCTGGTTGGATTCAGCCACTGGAAGGTACCAGTGGGAGATAGAAAGTAGGAGATAGAGGGGTTGAGCTATTTCTTTCCCTGACTCCCTCCTTGCAGGTCTTCAGCTTGCTGGTGACTGAGTCCTCTGCCAAAAATCCTAACCCCAACCAGGAAGCTGTCTCTTGTGCTACCTGATGATGTTAGATCTAGCAAGGATAGCAGCTAGTCACTGTTGCTAGTTGCTAATCACTAAGTGCTTTGCTACCCGCTGTTGTTTTCCCTCAACTCCATCCACACTTTATAGTTCCTTTGTTAAACTCTTGTCAACATTCCTTTTGAGTGTACCGTCTCTTTCCTGCCCCCTTTACCTTGACTGGTCCACACACCCATAACTATTCTTCTCTCTCTTATTTTCTAAAAGAGCCCCAGTTTATTCTGATACCAGGATCCCAAGTGCTTCAGGTAGCATATCTCTCCTGCCAAAGGGTGAAAAAAACAAGTAAGACTTAAAGAGATTAAGTAATTGACCTAAAATCACACAGCTCCAAAGTGGCAAAAGCTGGGGATGGTATCAAACCACCTTAGCCTGGGTTGCTCTGAGAAATCAGAGCATCAGACGTCTTGTGGGTGGGTGGTTTATTCAGGAAAGTGATGTCATGGAGCAGGTGTGAGGGACAAGGGAATTGAAACAGTAATGAAGGGGGAACCAATATTAGAATATGTTATCAAATTGGTCATTGTTAAGAGAACTGCATGCTGCTTGCACCTGCATCCACCTGAAAAATCTTATGAATTCTATCTTTTTGTCCATCTGAAGCAAGAAAAGAGAGGTGCATTTATCCATCAGCTCCCATGCCCCATTGGCCAAGCATTGCCCCCCTCTGGAGTATTAACTGCTCTGCACTTCCAGGTGGCATATGGGGGAGAGCCTAGTGGTTTCCCACAGGTATTCCATACTGTGCCGTCAGAAAAACCCAGAACAGATCACAGGAGGCACTCTATACCAGTGTGAGGTGAGGCAATTGTAGGTTACATCTTTGTAAAGTGGGTCAAAACCTCTGTGGAAGTGGTCAGTGCAGCAGAGGCTGGAAGGGGTGAGCCCAAGAAGGTATAAAATGATGCCCGAAAAATGACTGATATAGTCTACCTCTTCTACTACTCAGATCCACTCACATCCTTCATCCTACAAGCCCCATCTACACAGAGACCCCTAGAGTGGTGACTGGCCACAATCTCCACAAAGACTTAATGCAAGAGAATTAGTGGAACCAGCTGGAGTCCCTACATCTGCATCTGTCCAGAAGCCATAATTAATATTCATCATCTCCTTCCTCCACCACCCTTTCTGGGTTCCCCTCCTCTCAGTCAGCACTTTGGTTTGTCTGGGTTGCTTTCCAGGTGGGGCATCACAGGCTCTTTGTTGCCTTGACCTTTTTAGTGTGGTGAAATTGCTTATTCACCAATATCACTGGGCAAGGATGCCCAATGCACCCCATGAGCTCCAATAGACTCCTCTCTGCCGTTCCTTGTATGGAAGCCACCATGGTTCCTCGTATCAGTCTAGGTCAATTACCCCCACCCCCTACCCCAAGTAGCATAACTCCTTTCTTTGCCTGCTAGTCCATTGGCACGTGGGGCCTAAAATGACCTAGTAGTAAGGAAATGGTAGTGGATCCAAAGTACAACAACTTGTCATTCATCTCAGAGGTGTGTTTCGGTGTGCTCTAAAGCAGTGGACCCCTGAAAACCCATTTGAAGTAGTAGATCTTTGGATCTTTGTGGAGCTTATCTCCCACTTTCTGGCATGCATGTGTCTTAATAGGGCCACTTCTGCCTACCAGATCCAATTAGCGTGATTTCCTCACTATTGTGAGCAGAGAGTAGGAGAGATTGTTCTGAGGATTAAACTCTCATCACAGAGAAAGCATTTACCATCTTTGGCCTTTCTTCCTTCTCTCGCATCATTCATTTCTTCTGTTCTCCCTAGTGCAGGTGCTTTCTTAAAGGTTATAGGGTCCTCATTTCAAGTGTCTGGTGTCATGAATTAGGTCCATGCCTCCCTTCTCAGGAGACTTATCTTTGTGATCTACAGGACCATGGTCTTCTGCAAGCATGAACCAAATTACAAACCTTGTTAAGAACTCTTCAGACTTAAGAAGTTCCAGACACAAAAATCTGTGAAATTGAACTAAATTATTTGAGTTGGGTTGATCCAAGGAGACTCAAAGCAATTCCCTAGAAGCAATGCTGCCTTTGTCCAAAATCCCTGTCTCTGGTGTCAAAATTGAAGAACAAGTGTTTCCACTAAGAGTTTTCATTGGGTCCCTTTTCCCAAAGATCTGCCTTTCTTGGATGGTCTGTACATGTCTAGAATTCCCTTGAATGATCTGTGCACATCAGAACCCACAAGAGCAACACCAAGTGGAGAGAGCCATAAGCCTGAAGGCAGAGACTTGCCACAGAGACATATGGAAATATTTTGCACCATATCACAGCTGACCTTTATCCATTCCTCTCCCTGTATTATTTTATCCTGACATTTACCATGCACCTGCTGTGTGTTAAGCACTGTGCTTTTCTATAGATTCGTTCACTTTACAAGAAGCAGAAATTTCAGATTATCCATGGGCTAGAAGGGTTGGAAGATGGTCTTAGGAAAGTCTCTGGCCTGTCCCAGATCTGCTAAATGTATGGGTGTGCTACATAATCTCTCAGGGTTCTTCCAGCCCAAATTTGCTAAAATTCTATGCAGCTCTGAGATCTAGTTTCTCCTTCTAACAGAAGCCCCAGTGGAGCTTCCAAGCCTCTCTTAACCTTGAGTTTCTCCCCAGAAAGCCAAGCTTGAGACAAGGGCTTGAGTACAGCTTTTTTGAAGCGACTCCAGGAAATAGAAGTGGGGAAAGAGCAGGAAAGAAGGAAGAAAGGAAAGAAGGGAGGGAAGCAGAGACAGAGCATGAGGAAGACAGGAAGGGAGGAGAGCTTGAGGGAGGGAAGAAGAGAAGGAGGATGGAGGGAGGGAAGGAGTCTAACATAAGAATGCATTATGAACTAGTCACCACTGTAGGAAATTGAGCTCAATCCCACTGGTATCCTCTACAGAGCCATATGGAATGCACCTTATAATTGTCCACTGGAAAGATGAAAAGAGAAATGTTTGTCCGCCTACTTCCCTTCTCCATTGATGAGGGGTTGTACCATGGTTGTTAAATCCCTCCCAGTTTGCAATTATGCCAGTGTCCAGAATTTCCACACAGTAATATCAGAGAAGCGCCAGGGCAAAACAAGAGATACAAGACACAGCTTAGACACTGACTGTCAGGGGCTCCAAGCTGGTTATCACAGCAATGATGTAAAAAGTGGGCCATTAGGGTTTGTAAGATTTACCAAACATACAGTATACTCTGTTAAATTTGAATTTCAGGTAAATAATAAATACGTATAAGAATGCCCTCATGCAATATTTGAGACATACTTATACTAAAGTTTTTCATTGTGCATCTGAAATTCGAATTTGACTAGGCATCTCGTATTTTATCTGGCAACCCAAGTGCAATGTACAGGTGGGTACAGGACGAATGCAATACAAAGCCCCAGCCCGTATCTACCATCTCCTTTAAGGACTTTATCTATCTACCTTGAGGATCTTTAAATTTCCCATTTCACCAAGCCTTGAGTATAGAACTGGCTTGATCATGAGTGATGAGCTGTGATTCCTTTGTACAAGGACAGGAGAGGTAACAGAAGAAAATGCAGCAGGGTGAGGTGAAATGGGACACAGAATTTCCCATTCTTTGGGGACTCAAAGCCCAGGGAGGGACTCTTGTGCTTGATACTGCCAAGACCCCATGCTGAGCAAACCCAGGCTCGTCCTGGACTTGCCCTTCATGCCCCTTGCTAGCTGAGGATAGTATATAACAATGTCAAGATATGAAGCCCCTACAGGGAATGAAGAAACAGAAATGCTCATTAGCACTACAAATGAGGATGCCAATATTTAAAAACAGTGGGTTTTGCCGACAAATTCTTCTGTTGTTTTCAGGAAGACTTCTCATCTCAAAATATAACAAATGTAATTGTTTTAAGAGCATTTAGAGCTGGGAGATGTTTCCTATTTTAAGTTTAAAAATTGAAAAAAAAATAAGATGCTTAAAAATTACATTGCTTCCATTTTTCCATATACTGCCTATACTTCCATTTTTCCATATACTGCCTATACTTCCTTTAGCTTCAAAATTTCCAGAACTTTCACATCTGTCCCTTGGTGAGGACTCCTCAGTCCCTGTGCCACCAGAAGCCTGCCTTTCCCCTGCCCAGTTCCCTCATCTAGACAGAATGACAGCTCCATTTGAGTCTCCTGTGAGGATAAGGCTAAACTATATTGAAGCTGCATTTTCTTTCTTTCTTTTTTTTTTTTTTTTTTTTTTTTTTTTTTGAGATGGAGTTTCCCTCTTGTTGCCCAGGCTGGAGTGTAATGGCGTGATCTTGTCTTACTGCAACCTTCACCTCCTGGGTTCAAGCGATTCTCCTGCCTCAGACTCCCGAGTAGCTGGGATTACAGGTGCACGCCACCACCCCCAGCTAATTTTTGTACTTTTAGTAGAGATGGGGTTTCACCATGTTGGCCAGGCTGGTCTTGAACTCCTGACCTCAGGTGATTCACCTGCCTCAAGCTCCCAAAGTACTGGGATTACAGGCATGAGCCACCGCACCTGGCCTGAAGCTTCATTTTCTATGTTGGAACCTTGAATCTGCTTCCCCTGCAAGGCCTCTGGAAAAAAAGGCTGAAGTTGCTCAAACACCTTCGCCTAGGATCAGCCTCTTCAGCACCGGTCTGATTCCAGAGCCTGGTTCCCACTGAGTCTCAGTTCCCCAAAGTGAGATGGAAAGGACAACAGTGTCCCCTCCTCCAGCCTCCTTATTCCATGGGTGACAATACTCAATCCTGAAGGTGGAAGGTGACTGGCCCAAAGTCCACAGCTGGATTTTGCCATTTGATGGAGCCAAGAGAGGAGTCCAATATTCCTTCTGTTACCCCAGCCACAGTCTCACCCCACTCCCCCATTCTTCTGTCTGATTGTGGGGACAAGCGGAGCCCCATATGTAGGGACCAGTGTTCAAAGAAAACTATAGTGAACATTTCACCGTAATGACTCAGAAGACAGATGAGAGCCCCAGACAGTAACCATGAACAGCTTGTAGAGGAAACTAGATGAAGACCCTGTTTCTGTCACTTAATCATCATGTAACTCTAGCAAGTCATGTAGTCTTCCAGAACCCCAGCTCATCTGAAAAGTGGGCAGGTGACCTCTGCTCAACTCTGAGTAATTGTGAGGAACAAAGGACTTCTCAGACATGATGGTGCAGAGAGATGTACATGTAAGTTATTGTGATAGAAGGGTATTCTGAAAAAATATGCCAATTATGGAAGCTTTTACACTATATTCTGTATGAATGACCTCATACCACATGCTATGGATTGAACCGTATTCCCCCAAAAGACACTGAAGTCCTAACCCCCAGTACCTGTGAAGGTGGCATAATTTAGAAATAAAGCCTCTGCAGATAATAAAGTTAAGTTGAGGTTATTAGAGTGGATCCTAACCCAATATGATCCATGTTAAAAAGGAGACATTTGGACACAGAGACACACAGAGGGAAGACAGTGTGAAGACACGGGGAGAATTCTATCTACAAGCCAAAGCATGGCTGAGGATACATGAAGCTAAGAGAGAGGCAGACAGCAGAATCCGTCTCAGCACTTGGAAGGAACCAACTCTGCTGACACCTTGATCTTGGACTTCCAGCCTCCAGAACTAGGAGGAAATAAATTTCTGTTGTTTAAGACAACCAGTTGGTGGTACTTTATTATAGTAGCTCCAAGAAACAAATACATTGTACAAAGATAGTTACTAGTTCTATGTTTTTCATTACAACAACCACACACCTGTACTGGCCCTGTTTCCCATCTAAGCAGCTCCTTGTTGCCCAGAGCTGTGCTGTCCCATACAGTAACTGCTAGTCACATGTGGCTATTAAAACTTAAATATCGATTTCAGTGAAAATTCAGCTCCTCAGCCACATGAGCCACATTTTAGGTGCTCAGTAGCCACACGCGGCTGTTGGCTACCATATTGGACAGTGCAGATATAGGCATGTCCATCACCACAGACAGTTTCATTGGGCAGTGCTGCTGGAAGATGGTAGCAACTCACATGAGCCACAAGGTAATTCACAGTTGGGTCCCAGCCACACTTGTTCAGCCTCATTGACTGCCACACCCAGACCATGTGTTCTTCCTGCGCTGGTGCCTCCACCTGTCCCTGCCTTTTTTTTTTTTTTTTGAGACAGAGTCTCGCTCTGTCACCCAGGCTGGGGTGCAGTGGCGTGATCTCAGCTCACTGCAACCTCCACCTTCTGGGCTCAAGCAATTCTCCTGCCTCAGCCTCCTGAGTAGCTGGGATTACAGGCGTGTGCCACCACACCTGGCTAATTTTTGTATTTTTAGATAGAGACGAGATTTCACCATGTTGGTCAGGCTGGTCTCGAACTCCTGACCTTGTGATCCACCCACATGACTTTTTTTTTGTGGTGTCCTTTGGCAAGAATGCCCTCCCTACCCTGTACCCCTCCCTATCCACTGTTCCTGTCTGCCGAGAAAGCCCTGTTCACTATTCAGACCCAGTGTCAAAAGTACCGTGCAGTGCTCCATGACCCTTCCAGGAAGAACCAATCCTCTGGCTCCACAATTGCTGTCTCATTACATCTGTGCCATGATGTGTGTTTCGCATGAGGCTCTCTATTAAGCCCTTGAGGGCAGGGACTTTTATATATATATATATATATTTGAGACAGGGGCAGTCTCTGTCACCCAGGCTCTGGAGTGCAGTGGTGTGGTCGTGGCTCACTGCAGCCTCAAACTCCTCAGGCTCAAGCAATCCTCCCACCCCAGCCTCCCAAGTACCTGGGACTATAAAGGTGCACACCACCATGCCTGGCTAATTATTGTATTTTTTGTGCAAAAATTAGTCAGGAGTTTCACCACATTGCTTAAGCTGGTCTCAAACTCCTAGGCTCAAGTGATCTGCCCGCCTCGACCTCCCAAAGTGCTGGGATTACAGGCGTGAGTCACTGCGCCCTGCCAATATTTTATCTTTAATTGACAAATCATCACTGTGTATAGGTATGGGGTGCAAGGTAGTTTTTTGATATACATACACATTATGGAATGATTAAATCAAGCTAATTAACATATCCATCAGTTTACATACTTATTTTTTTGTGTGTGGTGATAGTGGACATTTAAAATCTACTCTCGGCCAGGTGCGGTGGCTCACACCTGTAATCCCAGCACTTTGGGAGGCCGAGGCAGGTGGATCACGAGGTCAGGAGATTGAGACCATCCTGGCTAACACAGTGAAACCCCATCTCTACTAAAAAACATACCAAAAAAAAAAAATAGCCAGGTGTGGTGGCAGGCACCTGTAGTCCCAGCTACTCGGGAGGCCGAGGCAGGAGAATGGCATGAACCCGGGAGGCAGAGCTTGCAGTGAGCCGAGATCACGCCACTGCACTCCAGCCTGGGAGACAGAGCGACATTCCATCAAAAAAAAAAATCTACTCTTTCAGCAATTTTGAAATATATACTACATTATTAACTATAGTCATCATGCTGTGTAATGGGTCCCCAAAATGCATTTCTCTAACTGAAACTTTATACCCTCTGAACAACACCATTTCCCCCCACCCACCACCCCACCCTCACACTTGCTCCCTCTCCCCAGCCTCTGGTAACCACTATTCTACTCTCTACTTCAATGAGTTGGACTTTTTTAGATTCCACACAGAAGTGAGATCGTGGGGTATTTGTTGTTCTGTGCCTGGTTTATTTCACTTAGCTTCATGTCCTACAGATTCACCCATGTTGTCACAACCGACAGGATTTCCCTCTTTTGTAAGACTGAATACTATTCCGTTGTGCATAATACCACATTTTATTTTTGTACACCTGGGGCTGAGCCCAGTGCTTGGCAGAGAGGAGACACCTGATCGATGTCTAGTTCATTTCCGTTCGGGTTTAGGACGGGCTCCAGCTGCCTTGCTTCCCCATCACAGTGGTTCTCAGCTCTGGCTCAGCCTCAGTTGTTCTCCCCAGAGGGCGGGACTTCCCCACAGGCCCCTAGTTCCTTCCAGAGTCAGCGAAGATGTGGGGAGATCCCAGATCGGAGGCAGGAGCTCAGACCTTGGTGGCTCTGGGGAAGCCGTCAGCTGAACAGAGCATACCCTGAACCCTTCTCCACGGCGCAAGAGATGCCCAAGCAGGGAGGTGGCGCCCAGGGGCCGTCTCCGCACACACACTGGCCGTTCTCTTCCAGTGGAATATTCTGGCTGACCGCTCTGGCGTCCAGCACTGGCAGCTCTCCTGGCCTCCCACGAGGGCATTCTCCTCAGGGCACTGACCCACGTGCCTGCCCTGGCGAGCCCCAGGGTGACAGAGCCTCCCGTGGCTGAGAGTCCCCTGCCTGTTCCCCGAGCTCCCTTCCAAACTAGCCCACCCCGGTGCGTTCCTCGCCGCCCCTCCGGCCATGTCTCCCGCTCCTGGGCCCCATGTTGGGTTACCGGCCCCACCATCCTTCCAGCTTCCCTGCAGAAAGCTCCCTGCCGGTCTGGGCCTCCCGCCCGTCTCCCCCACAGCCACCTCCGGCCGTAGAGAGCCCTACCCACTGGACTCCGGCGGTGGCCTGAACTCCCCGCCATGATTTACTGAAACCCCATCACCTCTCGGGCTGCCCACACCAGAGCGTCGCTCCTCTGCTCTTTAACCTTTTCCATCCACCCCATCATCTTCCTAAAATTCAAATCATCCTTCTGCTCTAGGCTTCAGCTCCTCCCAAAGTTCACGGGACAAAACAAAAGCCAAACTCCTTCTGCAAGCATTGAGGTGGCTCCCAGATCTGACCCTTACTGACCCGGGCTGCCTCCCTTTTCAGGGCCATGCCACACGCTGTCCCACTCGTCTGCCTTTTGTCCACCTCCCGTGCCCCCCATGTCACCACCCCACACACTGTCTTCAGGTTCAGCTCACACACACACCCTCTGTGTGACGGGGGCACAGGGAGCTGCCTGCCATACTCACCTAGACGGCCTGGCTCATACATGACACCCAGGCATACAAGCCGAGGAACCTCCTTGCGCCTCAGTTTCTTCGTCTGCAACACGGGGTCGTACGATGCCTGCTGGTCGTTGAGCAGATTGGTTGAGATGTGTTACATGCGCACAGTGCCGTCCCTGGCACATAGCTGTTCATTTCTGTCACTGGTATTGCTGCGTGGTCTCCCGGGAAGATTTCGCCAAAACTGCCTCCTCCCTTTTCACCACATTTTGCCTGAACTCTACATTGGGGCTTTACAGCAGGCTTGGTTTTGCCCATGGCTGCCTCGCTCCAAAGACACTGGGGTGGAGTCTGGTTTGCCTGGCACCTCCCCAAAACAAGCACAGATGAGGCCCCGTGAATGTCAAATCCCTCCTGCTCCTGTCTCCTGAGCTCCTGCCACCGCCAGCCACTCCGAGCGAAGGCCCATTTCACTCTGACTCCACAGAAGGCATGTGTCAGACACTGTGTGAGTGTGTGACAGACGTGCGTGAGTGTGTGTGAGCATGAGTGTGAGGGTGTCTATGTGGGTGAATGTGAGAGAGTGAGTGTGTGAGAAATGCATGTGTGTGAGGGCATAAGTGTGAGTGTGTCTTTGTGGGCGTGTGAGTGTGTCTGTGGGAGAGTGTGAGAGAGTGTGTGACAAATGAGTGTGTGTGAGGGTATGAGTGTGTGTCCATGTGGAGCACTTGCTGTGTGTGAGTGTGAGAGTGTGAGTGTGTGACAAATGAGCGTGTGTGAGAGTGTGAGTGCGAGTGTGTCTAGTGGGTGTGAGTGTATGACAAATGTGTCTGTGTATGAGTGTGTGAGAGTATGAGTGCGAGTATATCTATGTGGATAAGTATCAGGGAGTGTGTGACAAATGTGTGTGCGAGTGTGTGTGGCCATGAGTATGAGGCGTCTATGTGGGTGTGTGGGTGTGAGAGTGAGCGTGTGACAAATGCGTGCTCGAGTGTGTGAGGGCATGAGCATGAGTGTAGCTATGTGGGCATGAGAGTGTGAGATGTGTGAGCGGGGGTGTGGTATATGAAAGTGAGTCTATGTGTGCATGTCTATGTCAGAGTATGCGAGTGTGAGTATAAGAATGTGTTGGAGAATGTGTATTGTGAGAATGTGTGCGAGAGTACTGTGAGTGTACATATGCCTGTATGAGAATGTACAGGTGAGTGTGAGAGAGTATGTGTGAGTGCACAGGTGTGTGTGAGGTGTATTGCGGGATTATGTGTGAGAGAGTATGTGCGTGTGTTTATATGCACATATAAAAGGTGTATGTGAGTGTGTGAGTGCACGGTGTGTACATGTGAGTGCACATATGCATGTATGAGAAGGTGTGTGTGAGAGAATATGTGTGAGTTGCATACCCATGTTTGAGGTGTATGTGTGTGTGTGAGTGCATGTATGTGTGTATGTGTGTAGCTCATGTTTATTGAGCACTTGCTGTGTGCCAGGCATTTTACTTATCAGCAACAAGTAAACTCACAGAGGTACTCATTATTTCCATTTTTTCAGAAAAGATAATAATTAGGTAACAAAGAGATTAACTTGCCAAGGGAGCTCAGATTCAACCCAGAAAGTGTTACAGTAATAGTAATGCCTGCATGTGCAACTACCAGATTTACTGCTAGAAATGGCTGCTTCAAGATTCCGTCTCACCCCCATGTCCCTGAGATCTGAAATCAAGGAGTGTGTGTGTTTATGTGAGTGTGAATGACTCCGTAACCAGGAAATGAAAACTGGGCAACTTGGGCAGGGGCCAGAAAGCAGAGTAGAAGAATGGGAACCACACAGAGGTCTTGCGGTTCTCAAGCATTCAAACAAGCTGGTCTCTGCAGAGCGCCCCTCTTGAGTTGGGGCTGAGTGGTTTCCAGGCCTAGAAATCAGCCTGATACCAGGTGAGTGCCAGTTGGCCTGTAAGCAGCAGCCATTTGTTCCTGGTTGAAGCCAAGCCACTTGGAGTTGTCGGATCAGCAGATGTCAGGGCAGGGGTGGGGCTGCGGGAACCCATGTGAGCAATCATCCCATTATTGGTTGCTCACGCTTCCAGGGGAGCTACAGTGGTTGTTCTCAAAATGAGGCCCCAGGACCACAGACAGCAGGATTCACACGGAGAGCTTGCTAAATTGCAGATTCCTGAGACCCATTCTCCTGGATCACAGTCTCTGGGATATGACCTTACAATCTGCATTTCTAACAAGAACCTCTGGTAATTCTGATTTGCTCTCAAATCAGAGAATCACCAATCTACAGACATGCATAACTGTCTGTCTTAGAGCATTAAGAATGATGGGCTGGGTGTGGTAGCTCACACCTGTAATCCCAGCACCTTGGGAGACCGAAGCAGGCAGATGACTTGAGCCCAGGAGTTCGAGACCAGCCTGGGCAATATAGTGAGACCCTGCCTCTATTTAAAAACAGGAAAAAAAAAGAGCGATGAAAATAAATTCTTTTTGTGAAATTAATGATATTCACAATATGTACATTGGCCAAAACAGTTTAGAAACACTCTGGATGTGAACCCATGGAGACCTAGGCTGCACCTAGGATGGCTTCTGGAACTCGACCCACCAGCAGTCCTGTGTCCAGTCATTGGTCAAGAGAATCTTTAATTGCCTAATGCCAATAATCAGGGTAACCAGCTCCTGCCTTTGGAATTGTGTTGTTTCTGCCTTGAATAAACTGGTGGAAGGTAAGAGGATCTACAAGGACAGAGATCAGGGACTTATTTAAGCTATCAAAGCAGGTGCCTGTTTGATCATGAATGCTTATTTAATCATCGTAGGTATGAATCTGGTCTGAGACTTATTTTCATTAGAAGATGCTGGCAGGGATGAGAAGGAACAGCTAACCTCACCCAACTCAAGCTTCCTTGGCTCTATCATTAACCACTAAAAAGTACCCAACAATTGTGCTCAAACAGATTGACTCAGGTTGGCTTGTAACAAGGCAGACGACCCAGTAGTGACTCACTTATTATGGGACAAGCAGAAGACACATTTTCAAGTGTTCACAATTGTGGTTGGGGTACCCTAGACCACCTGCCTTGGTTCACCTAAGGAGCTAAGGTGCAAATTTCTTAGCCCCTTTCCAGACCTATTGAATCAGAATCAACTGGGGTAGGGGGAGCTTTTCTAGAAATGACATTTTTTAGAAAGCACTCCAGTGATTTTCTGCACACTAACATTTGAGAACCACTGCTAAGAAAATCTTTTCTCGCTTCTCCACTCCCAAGGTCAAAGCTCATCACTGGTAAGGCCGACCTCCAGAGAACAAGCATTAACCACTTATCTTTCTTCCTTAATTGCATCTCCTGGTCTACTTCTGGGAAGAGGAGAGCCATCCAGGAGGCCAAAGTAGAAATAAGTCAGAAATAAGGAGGCTGTGGTTTGTGAACTCCACTATTAAGCATTTAACAGGGCAGGGTGCGGTGGCTCACGCCTGTAATCCCAGCACTTTGGGAGGCCAAGGCAGGCGGATCGCAAGGTCAAGAAATCAAGACCATCCTGGCCAACATGGTGAAACCCCGTCTCTACTAAAAATACAAAAATTAGCTGGGTAAGGTGGCACATGCCTGTAGTCCCAGCTACTCGGGAGGCTGATGCAGGAGAATCACTTGAACCTCGGAGGCGGAGGTTGCAGTGAGCCGAGATGGCGCCAATGCACTCCAGCCTGGTGACAGAACGAGACTCTGTCTCAAAAAAAAAAAAAAGAATTCAAACAGGAGAGTATACCTCCTCGACTCTGACCACCTTGCAAGGCCATCTGCCAACCATAGTCACCACTCAGCAGCTGCTAGGAAGATGGCGCCCAGCAGAGAGGAAATACCTCAAAGAAACAGGGATGAGAATGGCCCTGCAAAATTGGTGCAATGACTAAACCAGATGGTGCCATCTCTGATGGCAAAAGCTTCACTATAAAAACCAAGAGCACTCTGAAAACAACACGGTTTTCTTCTAAACTTGGAGAGAAGTATGAAAGAACTACAGGTGATGGCAGAAAAAACTCAGACTATTTGTCTGCAACTTTACAAAGCGTGCATTGGTTCAACACTGGGAATGGGATGAGGAAAGAAAAACGCAAGAAGAAGAAAAGTGGGAGACAAAAAAGCAGGGATGGAATGCATTATGAACAATGTCACCTGTACTCAGATCTGTGAAAATAAAAAAAGCAGAATAAAAATTTCCTTACTGCTTTGGAGAGCAATTAGCTGAGAGAAGGAACAATTTCAGTTCAATGAACATATCTCCATCCTGCTTGTTTTTGTTTTTATTTTTTTCATTACTGTGTTTAATTATCTTCATCACAAATATTTTACATGCAGCTATTTTAAAGTGTTGGCTTAGATTAGGATCAGCCTTTGGTTAGTAAATAAATGTGTGTTTTTGCTCAAAATAAAATAAAATAAGGAATTCGAGCAAGAGGCAAACACCCAACAGAGTTTCTAGCTATTATCCCAACAGGGAAGTTATCATTCAGGTGTATGCTTGTAGGACCTGATGAAGTTCTAAAATTTTTATAATTATTCCTTCATTTAGTAAAACAAAGATGTGGGCAGGCGGGGTGGGGAGGTGACAGGCTTGTCTTTGGAGGCAGCGAGGAAATAGGAGCCAGGAAGAGAGTGTTCCACTCTGCCTTTATTGGCGGAGAAGCAGGTTAAAGAACAGAAAGGATGGTGGCAGTTCCCAAGAAGAGAGAGAGAAGGAGGGACCTACCATGATGAACCAAAATCACAGGAGCTGCTGTCCCTGGGGCAGGGACTCAGAGCCAGGCCTTGGACTCAGTACTTGCCTTATCCAATCCCAACTCTCCCAGTCAGCCAAAGGTTATGTCTAGTTTTTATCTTTACAGATAAAGACACTGAAACTCAGAGGGGTTCAGTGACCTACCTGGAACACTCAACTTGAAAGTGGCAGAGTCCTGGAGGTGACCTGCATCAAAAAGTGTTCCAGGCACAGGGGAGACATGGCAAAGGACTGGGAGTGGGAGGGAGCAGGAGAAATTCAAGAACGAGAACCTGAAGGGCGAGCCGTGAGAATGAGTCACAGAGCAATTGGGAGCAGGGGAGCGGGGACTAGGCCTCTCTCCATGCTGAGTTCTCAGGAGCACAACCAGCACTGATGAAGCAACTGTCATGTGCGAGGTGTCAGGGGATGTGCTCCCTCTGCTCTCGGAGACTCTGATCAATGGGAAGAAAATAGACAAAAGAGCTCATCACTGAGTGACCAAGTGCAAAGACCCAGCGAATCCTGGGGCCAGAACCTGCAGACTCAGCAGCCTCTAAGTCTAGTTTGCTTCAGATTTCAGTGCTTGAAAAGACAGGAGCCCCAGAAAGTTCTGCCCTCCCTCCTTTCCTCCCTTCCTTCCTCCCTCCCTTCCTTCCTTCCTTCTCTCCTTCCTTCCTTCTCTCCTTCCTTCCTTCTCTCCTTCCTTCCTTCTCTCCTTCCTTCCTTCTCTCCTTCCTTCCTTCCTTCTCTCCTTCCTTCCTTCTCTCCTTTCCTTCTCTACTTCCTTCCTTCTCTCCTTCCTTCCTTTCTTCTTTCATTTTTGCCAATACAAACTATGAGCCAGACCCTAAGAAAACAATTTGACAAGCATCTTCCCCCTGCCCTGATGTCCATGATTCTGACATCCACTCCAAGAAGCGTGAATTTTCATCATTCCCATTTTAAATTATGAAGAAACTGAGTTCTCACAGCTGGTTGGTGACCATGCATGGACTTGAACTCTAATCTCCAAACCTCTACGCCTTGCTTTGTGTTGTTTTCCCCAAACCCTCTAGTCTCACCCTCGCCTTTTCCTTTCTGAGGCAGCTGTTGAACAAACCCAGCCAACCCCATGAGCTCCACCCCCACTCCTGCCACGGCTGCCATCAGAAAGCGGACAGGCCAGGACAGTAAAAGGGCGCACTGGCATGCTGCCCTGAGAGCAGCGGGTCACAGGCTGTGCCAGGGCTGGGCTCCAGCATGAGCTAAATCTGCCTCTCCCTTCCTGCCCGCCCGCGCCCCCACCCCCCCCCCCCGCCACAACCCCGACCCTGGCCAAAGTGGCGGGGAGCGGGAAACTAAAGGAAAGAACATGTTAACCATCTGCAAATATCATGAGAGGTGTGAACATAGAGAGCCAGGATACGATGTATACCCACTCTCCAGGGCACCCACGACTGGGGGCTGGGCAGGGGCAGGAGCAGCTGCTACAGGACCAATTTATGAAAGACACAAAAGAAAGATGAAGGTGGAGGGAGCCTGACCCAAAAGGATTAGGATATGAAATTGCAGAGGCATAGAGGGTCGGGACACAGCTGTAGAAAGGCCTGTAAGATGGCCTGGCTTGAAGAATTTTCAGCCTCACCAGACCCTAGCGGTGGGGTTCACTGCCCCAGCCTCCTGGCTGGGAGTCCAGGCTGGGCTGAGTGGAGGGAGGTCCCTGCTACTGCCTCCCAGAGCTGAGGGGAAGAAAGAAAGGCTGACCTTTGAGGAGAAGCTTGGGGTTGGGATGAGGAAACAAGCACTCTACCCTTGTAAGATGTGTCTGGCAGCAGAATCTAGAATCCTGGCTGACCCAGAGCCTCATCATGTGTTCTTTTTGTTTTCTGTAATGACAAAGATAAAGAGTGGGAAAAATAAACCAATGAAACATGCAGAACTCCTCTTTCACCTGCCTTGACCCTGAAGAAAGCAATCCCATTGGCAGACTAGGGGCTGGAGGGAGCACACAAGCTCAATAGCAGGCTCCAAGGTCCCGCCACCATGAGCACTAACTGGTAGCCTGCTCCACCTTTTCCCACTCCCATCCCCTGGCTTGAGAAGATTGTCAGGCTAAGCTGCCCCTGAGATGGACACCAGCACGCGTCACTCAATCTCTGGAAGTGTTGGTCCATCCCCTTACATCTGCAGCTGTCAGGCAGCCTCTTTGAGAACAGGCTCTGGTTACAGGGTATAAACAGGCCACAGAATCAGCTGGCCCTGGTCTGGCCCATGCTGCTGGTGCTTCTAACTTGAGGGGTGGGGAGCAGTGACAAAGCTGGAGGAGGGATTTGCAAAGTGGGATGGCCCCTCTCTCTGCATGCCACCTCCTCCTCTCCTTCCCCACTCATGTGAATTTTCGCCAGAGAATACAGATCTTCCTTCCCTGCAGTGGTCATGTGTCCCCGTGACCTTGGCATGGGCCGCAATGCAAGAGCAGCCCATCTTCCAAGTCAATCGGGTCAGAAACGTGCTGTTTGAGACCAAACACCATTCCCTGTCATCGCTGTGCAGACACAGAGATCCCTTTCATCGGAACAACAGAATCTTCTGTGTATTTGTCTTCCTTCCAACCCTAACCAGTGGGATTGAAAGTTTGTATCTTTTTGGCTCCAGGAGACCCTTGTTGTACCCAATATGGTATTCTGAATCTCTAAATGCTCAGCCAAGACCTGCAGATGATTAGGGTAAGCGTGCAGTGGGGGCTTCCAGAGTAAATGTTGCAAACCCAACAGAAGGGGCCACTGTCATTCTGGAGGGAAAAACAGAAATTCAGACTGATTTTCTTACTGAAGGGCCTCCCTATATCCTTCAGAACAAAGGATTGCTGGGGCTGGAATTCTGCCTGGTGATTGAGAACTTCAGAAAGCAGATGACATCTGGTGGGCCCATCCAGGTCTATAAATTCCTAATACAGTGTGAATATCCCAAACAGAGTAGAAGAAATCACTAGAAGCTGAAGCAAATAGTATAGATCCAAGGGGAGTGACCAGCTATCAAAAGGGCAGAAAGATTGGCTTGACTCAGCCTCAAGGCCACCTCAAGTCTCCTAATTGGCAGGCTTGTGGAATTGTATCTGTAGCTCTCACTTGAGAATTATAGATCAATTTCAGATCAGAACAATGGGCTAGATTGCTGCTATTCAATAGCTGTGTGATCTTGGGAGTCTCTTCGCCTCTCTGTTAGTCTGTTACCTTCCAATAACATGCAAGGATCTCTAAATCAAATTCATCCACATGTGCAGATCAATCCGCACATATGAATGACACACAGCCTTTGTTATTTTTAAGATGGGAAAAGACAGGGGTGACTAGGAGAACAGGGGGCTTTCAGAAACTGAGAATGTGGAAGATGACCACCCCTGAATGGAAAGATCAGAAAGAAGAGGAGGCAAGGAACAAAAGAAGAACTTCAAAAGACTGAGCTATGGGATCTAGAGTAGGCTCTGTGCACTTCCAACAAGGCCAGGCCAAACCAGGCAAAATTCTGTGGTTTTAGCTATGCAGCTACCAAGGTCCTCCGCTTTCTATCATTTAAGAAGTAGGTTTGTGTAGGTTTGGAGTGTAGCGTGTATGTGTGTTTTAACTTGGCTAACTTGAAACTTCCTTCCCCCAGATTAATCAAAGAATCAGCATATGACTTACTCAGAATATAGGTCACAGAATTATAGAATGTTATTGCAGGAAGAAGCCTTTGAGGATACACACTTGTACACACCCAAAGAGTGGCTTAATAAATGCATGTTGAATGAGGACACTTCATTACAGGGTTAAAGAATTATCCATCTATTCAACAATTATTACATACCTATTATGTGTTGGATCCTGTATTAAAATTAGGCCAGTTGCACAAATTCATCTGCTAGAGCAGCAAAAAAAATATTTTATTCAAGGCTGTTTAGCAGTTTAATCAAAAAGCTAAACTATTTTTTAAAGCCCTGAATGATATTTTTTTCCCCTATACTTGGACAATCAGGCATATGGGCCTTGGCATAAAAATGTTCCAGATCCCAGTTGGGGTAAGGCATGTGGCTAAAAAGACCTTCGAGCACTTCCAGTCCTTTCCACACTCCTGGAAGGTTTTTAAGAAAAAAAGAAGAAAAAGAAACACCCTTTGGTTTCAGTATGCACTCTCTGTACTTGCATCTGTCTCTTTGGACGTGGTTGGCCAAAGAGTCTGCTAAAAATATAACGAAAGAAGGTGGGTGGGAAGTGAGGAATATAGGGAGAAAATTGAAAAAACTAACCCTGTTCCTTGCTGGCTGCCTCCCCCCACAAATTCACCACAATGTTTAAGCATGTCACTATTTATCCCTCTTTTTAGCCATATTTTTGACACTTGACATGGGTATATACTGTCTTTTAAATAAAAGGTAAAAGTGCTCTCATTTTTATTCTTCCTGTTGGGCTCAAGAGTCTCTGAGACTGAGAAAAACTCTCTAGCTTCAAGCAGGTCTTTGTTCTGATTTTGCTGCCTCCCAATGGCTGGAAGGCAGGCTGGGGAGTGGTGGGAAGGGTGTTTGAGCCAATACCCATTGTATGGGTAGCAGAATCCGCCAAGATCCTGAAGGTATACGGGAACCAGTTTAATAGACTTCCAAGGACCAGCCAGCTGGGAGTACCCAAGTCTCTGGTTTCTCAGTTTCCAGGATCTGTTCATCCATGTCATGGTTGGAGTTTGCCCAAAGGGAACAGAGGAAGGGAGCTCAGCAGGAGCTAGTCCGGGAGCTGGGTGGTTGGATCATTGGGCTTCTTGGAGTTTGCTTCAACTCTTCCCTTTCAGCAAAGGTTACTGGAGCAGGCTGGGCCTACTTGGGCTAGGAGAGCTGAGTCATGCATGGGAAGGGACACCAGCAACTATAAATTATCTTGTGTGTAAGGCTGGCTTTCGAAAACTCTGGCTTTGGGCTTAGAGGCTTTATTTATATCTCTCACAGGAATATTTTTCAAACTCATGACCATGCACTCTGTATTGCTTTGGGGACACTCCAAGCACCTGGTCTCCTCTATGATGAGTCCTGCAGGTGACAGTCCCCAGAGGCCCTGGGCCTGGACTCTGAGTCTGCTGTCACTCACACCCACACGTACACCCCCTTGTTGCCAAGGCCAGGACCCCATCCCACACATAGATGCATGTCCAACTTCATTGGCACAATGTTGCGTGCAGACACACAGATGACATTCAGCCACACATCCACACACACACACACACACACACACACAGAGTCTCTCTCTCTTTCTCTCCCTTTCTCCCCATATGCAAACTACTACAACCCACTGGTTCTCTGCCCATTTCAGAGACAGCCTCTGCTCACTGTGAAACCTGCAACACACAAGAATACTCCACAGGCTGAAGGGCCCCTCCAGGAGTCAGATGCCCACTTCTCTGGCTGAGGAGCATTTTGTAACTGACTGAACACATTTTTTTTTGTGCTTTGGTAATTTGGTTTGCTTGTTGTTGTTGTTACTCGTACCTTACAAAGTGGATAGCGAGGTACCATAAAATAGTAGCTGCCACCTAATTCACACTCTTGAGAACAGTTTCTCTGGCCAAATCCTCGCAAATCAGAGTGAGGTGCCATGGAGATGCTTCTCCTCCGTCTTGGATTATCTGGCAAAGAGAAGCAAAATTTCCTGAGCACAAGTGCAAGAGGGGGCAAGGTTATCTCTTCTGATAAATGTGAATGCTTTTGTCTCTTCTTAGCCCACTGACATTGTTTCTGTATCTTCCACCTCCCTAGCCTTTTCTTTTCTCTTCCCTGCTTTGTAATTAGATGATTTTTGAAAATTTAATAAATTAGTGATTGTTATTTATTTCCCCTGGCTTATTTACCATTATTTGTTTTTATCAAAGTCTCTTCAAGATAGATAGAAAGTATCTCATTGTGGCCACTTTCCTGAGAGAGACACAGGAAAAACAAAACACTTTTCCTAGGATCTCATAGGACAGTGGCTGTGATGGGTTTGAGTCCAACACCTCCAGACCCTGCCTAGCAAATTGCTTCTAGAATGATGACCACAGGTCCCTGTAATTCATCCAGCCCAACTTCTATCCTCTGAGCCCTGTGTCTTCTTATTCAAAGGACATAGGACTGACTTCAACACTCACTCACTACCTTTCTGGGAAGCAGTACTCCTAGACTTTGAGGCTAGATCTTATGGGGCTGTCCTCGCCTGTCAGTAGAAGGGATAGTTAGGGCTCTACATGGGGCAGCAGTGACCCTATTGTTGATTGCCACAATGCCAGAAATTTGAAAAAAATGTCATAGTTCTACTTGAGGTTAGTGTTCCCCAGTTCCTCCCTCTTCCCACCTGATTTCCCCAACATCATAAGCACATGCTGTTCACACATATCTAATACTCTTATCCCACCATCATCTCTAGCTATCTTCCAAGCACAAATATATACATATATAAGGAATCACTTTCTCATCCCTGGATCATCCAACCATCTTTCTCCCGCTACTCAAACATTACTTAACTTTCTACTTCTTCCACCAGCTTTTTCAGACAATTTATTTTCCTCTTGACTACACAAAGCACTAATTCCTGCCACATATATCTCATGGAAATGTTTGCACCTCATCCTTCCATGGCTGTTCAATGCTAACAGTTCAGTTGTGCTTTTCGGGCAATGGGGGGCATGCCAGACAGTTCCACCTGTCCCTCCAAGTCCAACCTTCTCCATCCTACTGAGCCTCAGGAGGCCAACCCCTAGGGGCCCTATCAAGGGGAGTCCCTTGCCCTACAGTTTTCATTTGGATTTGGCCAGTGGGAGGCACTATCTGGAAGTCAGAGAGAATGAAGAAAGGGGAAGCTGGGAATTGATTCCCTCATTCTCTCCTTGCAGCATTGTTCCAGGTTGTCTGGGCTCCTTACAGCTCCTGGCATATCGTCCTCTCTATGGACCTATACATTAGTTTCCTGTGGCTGCTATAATAAATTCCTGCAAACTTGGTGGGTTAAAAACAACAGTAATATGTTCTCTCATAGTTCCAGGAGGACAGAAGTCTGGAATCAAGGTATTGGCAGGGTCACGCTCCCTCTGGAGGCTCTGGGATCAACAGGATCAGTTCTCTGCCTCTCCCAGCTTCTGGTGGCTGTCAGCATTCCTTGTCTTGTGGCCTCATCACACCAATCTCTATCTCTGTGGTCACATTGCCTCCTCCTCTTCTGTCTTCTCTTCTGTCTAAAATCCCTCTCTTTCATTTACGAAGACATTTGTCATTAGATTTAAGGCCCACTTGGATAAACCAGAGTAATCTCCTGATCTCAAGATCCTTAACTTAATGATATCTGCAAAGACCCCTTTTCCGAATAAGGTCACGTTCGCAGGTTCCAGGGATGGCCACCAGGCTCAACTAATTTTTTGTGTGTTTTTAGTAGAGACGGGGTTTCACCATGTTGGCCAGGCTGGTCTCGATCTTCTGACCTCATGATCCACCCGCCTCGGCCTCCCAAAGTACTGAGATTACAGGTGTGAGCCATCACACCTGTCCCGTGAACAATCTTTTTATTACTTTCATTAAGCTCACTTCTAATCACCCAGTTTGTTTCCTAACTGGTACAGGCATCTTGAGGTCAAAGGCATCAGGTAAAGCATCTGTGGGACTCACCCTATGCACTCTATGCAGAAAGTAAAGATTTATTGATGATAATGATAAAAATGAGAATAAGAACTTCAAGAGAGAAAGGGCCCAGCCCTCAGGAGCAGCATCATAGCAAACATCGCATACAGTTCCTCCCTAAACTCAGTCACGGGTACGAAATGAAGGGGTAGAATTGGAATGATTCTAGATTCTTTCCAGACCCTTTCTGTTAAGACTATTCCACTTAGAATATTTCAGCAGCAAGTAAACAGAATCAAATCCTCCTCCAATCTTGACTCCAATGGCTTAAATGGTGGCTCTCAAACTTTAGCATGTACCTGAAGGGCTTGTTAAAAGGCAAACAGCTGAGCCCCCCTCCCAGAGATTTTAATTAAGTAGTTCTGGGTAAGACTCAAGAATTTGCATTTCTAACAAGTTCCCAGGGGATGCTGATTGGCGTTTCTGGTCCAGAGACCAGACTTTGAAAACCACTGGCTTAAAATAGGTGAAAAATTTACTCTCTCATATTAAAAAAAAAAAAATGCCCTGGAGATGGTGGCTTCAGGGTTGGTTAACTCAACAGCTCAACCAGGTCCTCAAGGACCTGGCTCCACTCTGCTGTGCCATCCTCAGCATGTCAACCTTGACCTTGACCAGGTCCTTACAGCTGCAGGCTGGGTCCGACAGTTCCAGGCATCCCTTACAGGCTGGATAGTGGCCAGCAAAAGAGATTAAGCTTCTTAAGGATTGAGAACTCTTCTAGTTGTTATCTCCTTACATCATATTGGCCAGGATCACATCACATGCTTGTACCTAAACCAATCACTGTCAATGAGAAGAGGAACAGCAATGATTGGCTTATACCCATCAGCCATAGGAAGGAAGAGTAGACACCAACTATGCTGATGGGCTCTGGAGATAATAGAAAAAAGGATTACATCACCTGCTTAGGTTTTAGGCCTGCTAGAGTACTTCTTGGGTGTTGTCTGTTCGGCAAACATTCCCATCGTCTTTCTTCTGCTACTTGGAGGAGTGGGCGTAGGACTAAGGACGAACAAAGCCTAGTGGTCTGTGTTCAGGCAGCAGTGACACGTAGCCCAAGTAGGGAAACTGAGAATCCTTCCCTGAGTTGCAGCGAAGAATACGGTAGGGGGAAAAGGCACTCTCTTTCTGCAGAAGTTGCTAAGCAGGGACAGCTGGTGGTTATGTGCCTCCTAGGAGACGAAAGCCTCTGGGAAGTACTCAAAATTAACTAGCAGTCAGAGAAGCACAGATAAGCAGAGATGAGCAAACAGTGATTGCTGCAGCTCTTCCCCTATTTCTGTGAGGCATCTCAGTGCCCTTCGTATCTCTGGAAGAAATGTCTCATTTGTCTACACTAATCGGAATTATGTTTCTGTTCTCTGCAACCAAACAAGTTCAGATTTAGACACTGGTTCTGTCATGAAGGACAGAGGGGAGGAAGGTCTGAGGATTACATAAGGGTGGAGGTGGCTCGCACCACCTCAGCTCCCATCTAGAACCTCCACTCTTGGCCACATCTTCCAGACTGGGAACGAACAAAACAGAATCCCTACCCAAAACCCCAGGCCCCAGCCTACTCCATGATTGGCATGTAAGAAATGCACAAGGGCCCTAGGACCTTCAAAGACAGGGCAGAGACAGAGAAAAGACAAACCAGGTTTAGTGGGGCACCACCCCTTTCTTGGCAAAAGGAGTACTCCTGGCCACAGAGACTGGGGAGCATAAGAAAACAGTCTGCACTCTCAGCGCTTCCCTCATCTTCTCCAACAGCTGCTAGGGTGAGGGCAGGGTTAGGGCATCCTCCCTCAGGTGGAGATGTGGACAGAGGATTTCTCCAAGGGTAGATTTCACAGGGAGGAGGACCAACCCCAGACCCACTCTAGGTTTCCTCCTGGGACTTTTTTTCCCCTAGGGAAGAGAGTTCCTCATGCATGTGCTAAAATAGAAAGTTGCTTGTTTGTTTTAATTTTTTTTTTTTTTTTGAGACCAAGTTTCACTCTTATTGCTCAGTCTGGAGTGCAATGGCACGATCTTGGCTCACTGCAACCTCTGCCTCCCAGGTTCAAGTGATTCTCCTGCCTAAGCCTCCCAAGTAGCTGGGATTACAGGCATGCACTACCATGCCCGGCTAAGTTTTTTAATATTTAGTAGAGACGGGGTTTCGCCATGTTGACCAGGCTGGTCTTGAACTCCTGACCTCAGGTGATCCACCCACCTTGGCCTTCCAAAGTGCTGGGATTACAGGTGTGAGCCACCATGCCTGGCCCTAAACTTTTTTTAATGAAACATAACAACCTACATATGCAAGGAGCACATGTGATGTGTTGATACATGCATAATAATGTGTAATGATCAAATCAGGGTACGTAGGACATTCATCACCTCAAACATTTACATTTCTTTGACATTGGAAACATTTCAGATCTTCTCATCTAGCTATTTTGAATTGTACAACATATTACTGCTAACTGTGGTCACTCTGCTGTGCTATCAAGCACCGCAACATATTCTTCTAGCTGTATGTTTGTACCCATTAACCACCCTCTCTTCCTCCAACTCCCCACCCTTCCCAAACTCTGGTAATTAGCATTCTACTCCCTACCTCCATGAGATCCACCTTTTAGCTCCCACATATGAGTGAGAACATGCAATATTTGTCTTTCTGTATCTAGCTTATTTCAGTTAACATAATGACCTCCAGTTCCAGCCATTTTGCTGCAAATGAGGACATTTCATTTTTATGGCTGAATAGTATTCTACATGTGTATGTGTTACATTACTTTTAATGGCAAAAATCGCAATTACTTTTGCACCAACTTTATATATATATGTGTATATATATGTGTGTGTATATATATATATAAAATACACATACAGATATATATATATATACATCTCACATTTTCTTTTCTTTTCTTTTTTTTTTTTTGAGACAGAGTCTTGCACTGTTGCCCAGTCTGGAGTGCAGTGGTGCGATCTCCGCTCACTGCAAACTCCGCCTCTTGGGTTCACACCATTCTCCTGTCTCAGCCTCACGAGTAGCTGGGACTACATGCACCCACCACCGCACCTGGCTAATTTTTTTTTTTTTTTGTATTTTTAGTAAAGACGAGGTTTCACCATGTTAGCCAAGATGGTCTTGACCTCCTGACCTCGTGATCCACCCGCCTTGGCCTCCCAAAGTGCTGGGATTACAGGCGTGAGCCACTGCACCCAGCCATGTCTCACATTTTCTTTTTCCATTCATTTGTTGATGGACACAGGTTGATTTCATATCTTGGCTATTTTGAATAGTGCTTCAGTAAACCTTGGGATGTAGGTATTCCTTTGATATACTGATTTCCTTTGGATAAATACCTAATAGTGAGACTGCTGGATCATAGAAAAAACAATTCTAAAATTTGAATATTTGTTTTTAATGATCTTACTAGTAAAGGATGCTAGCAAATCAGCAAATTCTGCTAAGGCAGTAGAAGTCTGCTCAAATAATGTTTCCATTTCCAATGACTCATTAAGTACAATAATTACAACAATTACCATCACTTCTGTTGCCTTCATGCTGTCTATTGATCCACACACTCTGCCCCCAAAACTGCACTAAGCACTTAACAAGGAATTCACATACTAATGAGTGGGGTATCTGCATGACCCCTCCACAGAGTAAGATAAATAAATTGATCTTTTCTTCCATTGGCAATGGAATAATAACAATTTTTACTTTTCTTTTTCCTTGTTGCCATCCATAGATCTATACCCATTAGAAATCACAGCGAGAAAAAGAGCGGCAGGGGAGGAGCTCAAGAAGAGACGAGAGATAGGAAAGAAGCATTATAATTTGGCAAAAATGTGAGTCAGGGAACCTCCCTTTTTCTAACCCCTGGAAGCTCTAGCTGGAGCTCATCTTGCCTCCAGATGCAGAAAGCATATTCTACGCCATAGGGTCACCGTCTACGGCCATATCACCCTGAATGCACCCAATCTCAGAAGCTAAGCAGGGCCTGACCTGGTTTATACTTGGATGGGAGCCACCACAGCATCGCTGATGGAATCTCTAGATTAAGTGGTAGCTGGGTCCAATGTGGGTTTTTGGCAAGAGGAAAATAATAGAAAAGGAAGAGAAAGAGGTGTGTGTTTCTGCTTCTGTTGAAATACTATTTGTCCTTTAAGGCTGCCTGCTCTGTGAAGTTTTCCTCAAATTCTGTCCCATCCCACTCACCCCTGTCAGACTTAACTACTCTTCCTCCATCCTGCCATAAGCATGTGTGATAAGAGAAATCAAAGAGGACTATCAGTCTTCTGTGCATAGTGAGGGTGCGTGTGTCTAAAGCAGAGTGCAGAAATGTCTGCATTTCTTTTCCCCTACTCTCATCAAGAGCTGGAGCTCTTCCCCACTGCCGGCTTTGGCCCTGTAACTTGCTGTGGCCAACAGAACATGTTACATGTATTCTAAGCCTGTCTTCTAGAGGCTTTGCAGGCTGCCCCTTGCCTCCTTGGAACCCTGCCTCTGCCACCTGAGCAAGCTCAAGTCTGCCTGGGAGAGGATGAGAGAGTATGCAGAGAAAGGCTCCAGTCATCCAGGCTATCACTGACCAGCCTGGCCCATCAGCCAGCCTACAAACACTTAAGCAAGTGCAGCCAAGAGCCACAGAGCCCAATCTGATTCAGCAGGCCTGCCCTGCTGGTTTGCAGACTCCGCAGCAGTGATGAAGGAATGTTGTCAGACATCGCTAACGCTAGGGGTAGCTCATCATGCAAAAGCTAACTGATGCAGGTTGCTGGCCCCCTCTAAAAGGGAATGCCAAGAGGGCTGTTAATCTTAGATCTCTCTATATCACTCCTCCACTAATATATTCTTGGGACATTCCTGATTCTCAACCAAAGCTCACAGACTGGAGAGGCATAGGGTGCAATGGAATGGAACTGAAATGTTGATAAAGGGCGGAGCACCCACAGAGCACGCCATGCATGCACTAATGGAACTGTCTGGCTCTTCTCCACATCCCCAGGGCATGAGCTTGGGAAAAAGGTTACCTGATCTCCAATGCCTTTGTCTATTAATTCATTCAGGGCTGGATTAATCCCTGCTCAGCTTCTCCTCCACCTCCCCACCACCCCTGTCCCCAGTCTGGCTGCTCAGATGATGTAAGCAGTAACCAATCTTGCAGTCGGGGCAGTCAGCTGGCTGGCTCACTTCCGTATCCATTAAGGGAAGGCAGACACTTTAGAAAGAACTGGAAAATATTACCAACCACCCACTCCACTCAACTCCCCACCCCTTGCCCCAGTCTCCTCTCCCCGTCACATACACCCTAACCTCAAGAGACTGGAGCTGGAAAGTACTGAAGCCAAAGAAAGAAGAAACTGGAATTGTAGCCCCACAGATCTCATGGGTTGAGACACAAGAATCCTTTGGCATGAGAACTAGTCTTGGGAGAGACGAACCAGGGCTATCTCGAGAGCCCCATCAGCTACCCTCCCCCTCATCCCAGGCATCCTCCCCTCCAGGGGCTTTTCCATTTGGTACCAATGAAATGGGTATTCAGGGGCCAGAATGTCAGCATCAATGGTGGGAAAGGAGCCACACAGAAAATGCCCATCCCTTATTAGAAGTTGCTAGACTCCCTTACAGGGGCACAGTGGGGACCCAAAGTTGATGACTTGAATAGACATGGGCAGACTGAACGTGGTCTGTTTGCTGAGTTCAGGGTTTTCAAAACCTGTCAATAGTTACACTATTTCTCTCAATATCTACTATGAAAGGAGAATTCTACCATTGAAGAGCCAGCCCTTCCTGCTTTGGAAACTTCTGCTCTTTGAAAGTGCCCAGGAAAATGCACAGTAACACCCCCAGATTGGCTCCTCAAAAGCTGTGAGGTCTTGGGCAAGCCCCTTTACCTTTCTAGGCCTCAGTTTCCCTATCTGAAATGTGCAGATAAAAATGCATCCCTACTTCACAGAGTTTTTGAGTAAAACAAAAAAAATGTCAATAAAAGCTGGTTGCACAATAGTTTGTGAAAAATATGTGCTGGACGGGATCTCTGTACTTTCCACTCAATTTTGCTGTGAACCTAAAATTGCTCCAAAAAACAGTTTACTAATTTTTTGTAAATGCTGGACAAATGAGTGTGGAATGGATAATAGATGGTTGGGCCTCTTTTTTTCAGTGCTTACAGGCTGTAGAAAGGAAGATCAACGTTGATGGTGGGACTTCTAGACTATAAAGTCTGTTAAAAAGGTGGGTTTGTTTTGTTTTGTTTTGTTTTGTTTTGTTTTGTTTTGTTTTGTTTTTTGAGACGGAGTCTCCCTCTGTCACCCAGGCCAGAGTGCAGTGGCATGATCTCAGCTCACTGCAACCTCCACCTCCTGGATTCAAGCCATTCCCCTGCCTAAGCCTCCCAAGTAGCTGGGACTACAGGTGGATGCCACCATGCCCAGCTAATTTTTGTATTTTTAATAGAGACAGGGTTTCACCATGGTGGCCAGGATGGTCTCCATCTCTTGACCTCGTGATCTGTCCACCTCGGCCTCCCAAGCAGCTGGGATTACAGGCATGAGCCACCATGCCTGGCCAAAAGGTGGGTTCTTAATCCATCAGGGTAAGGGGATGTATCTACCCTGGAAAAAATTATCGGCAGCCCCAAACTGGAGATAAATTTGCATAAGGGATGAGAGGCAGCACTTTAAAAGGAAAATGGCTCTCGTCGTTCATGTGTGTTTCTGCCCAGCTTAGGGCTAACCACTGAGAAAGGGCTATTCAAGAAAGGAAGACACTGAATGCATGTCTCTTACTCTGTCTGCCTGTCACATGTTCTTCTGCTTCTAAGAAATGCATCCCCCTTCCTCTGGGATGTCTTCCTTCCACCCCATGCCAGTTTTATTCTACTAGAAGCTTCCAGTTGTGAAAATATACCTCCCTGATCTCAGGTGGAGCACAGGACCCACGGAAAGCCAATGTTTCCCTAAGAGTTTTTAAGTTAGACCTCGGGAGGTGGGAGGCGGGAGGCGGGGGGCAGGAGGTAAGGCAGCTCCTCTTCACGGTAAAAATGGCAGGTCGTGAAACCTGGCCATTGCTGGCACCCTTGATTCCAAAAGAGAATCAGTCTGAGTGAACAGAACTAGTACGTGGGCAGAAACCAAGATGGAGGACAGTGAGTCCTATCCGCTTGTCTTTTCCCTGTTCCCTGTTGACCCTGAGGCCAGCTGCACTCTGCCCTCCCTTGGTTCAGTTACAGGAACCAACAAATCCCCCTTCTAGCCTAGGCTGGATATGGAAATTCTGCCATTTGTGACTAGTATAATCCTGGCTACTACAACTCTGCCTTTCTCCCTCAAAAACAGTATAAGTCACTGGGAGAGAAGACATGATAAATAAAGCAATTAGAAAGCACTCAAAATAGCACTAGATTGGGCAATTTTGAATTAACTCAAACTTGCATCTATTTTTTTCTTTTCTTTTTCTTTCTTTTTTTTTTTTTTGCTTTTTTTTTCTTTCTCTTCTTTATCTATCTCTCTCCCTCTTTCTTTCTTCGCATTTTTCCCCAGCTAGCCGCTGAAAATGTAAAGATGAGGAAAACATATACATGAAAACTTTGCAGTGAGGAAGCCATAAATATAACGCGATATTATGCAATTTATACCTGATGGAGGTGTATAGCAGCACCAGGAAAGCATAGAGGAGGGTTAATTTATCCTGAATGCCAAGGAAAGGTACTGTTGAGGCAGGATTACTAACGGTGAGCTCTAATGGGTTTGGCAAGAGAGCCAAGATTGGGAGTTTACAAGAATGTAGATGGCATAAAGGAGACATAAATCCCAGAAGATTCCAGGGATGACTAAAAAGAGCAGGAATCATAGTAGAGGTGGAGCCTGAGGTTGCTTAGAGCCCTAGGCAACACAAAGAACCAGATGTCTTGCTCCTACCTCCTCCGCCACCTTAGCATCCATATTCAGATACTCTGCTGTTAAAGAGACCCTATGCCTGGCCCACAATCTTCTTTCTACTGCCAACCACCATATCACCTCCACACTGAAGATTCTGTCCCTCTTCTGCTCGGTTTCACTTACAACTTCAGCTTAGGCCCATTAGGGAACTTCTTGCCATAAACTGGCACATTCTCTGTGCTTTACCATCTGGTAGGGAAAAGCAGAGAGTGCTAAGCAGGCTAAAGCTCTACACACCAGGGGTTGGCAAAACCTGGCCCGCGGGCCAAATCTAGCCCACCACCTGTTTTTGTAAATAAAGTTTTCTTGGATCACAGCCCGGGTCATTCATTTACATATTATCTATAGCTGCTTCTGTGCTACCGCAGCAGAGTTGAATAGTTGCAGCCAAGACCACATGGCTGGCAAAGCCTGTAAGATTTACTATCTAGCTCTTTCCAGATAAAGTTCCCAATTCCCACTCTATAATACTGCTTCCTCTGAACTTTAGTTCCAGACTCCCCAGTACCGACTTTTATAGTTGGATTAAACTTTTTTTTTTTTTTTTTTGAGACAGAGTCTTACTCTATCACCCAGGCTAGAGTGTAATGGTGTAATCACAGCTCACTATAGCCTTGAACTCCTAGGCCCAAGGGATCCTCCCACCTCAACCTCCCAAGTAGCTGGGACTACAGGCACATACCACCATACCTGGCTAATTTTTTTTCTTTTTTTTTTTTATTGTGGAGACGGGACCCTCCCTCTGCTGCCCAGGCTGGTCTTAAGCTTCTGGGCTCAAGTGATCCTCCCGCCTCAGCCCCCCAAAATGCTGGAATTACAAGTGTGACCCACTGCACCTGGCTGACTAAACATTTTAATGCATCTTTAAAAAATTGTCACTTGGGAATAATGGAACCTTCTTAGACCCTTGTCAGAGAGGACTAAGTAGAAAATGTAGTCACTAAACTGGCTCAAGCCATAAGAATATTTTTTACACAACTAAAAAATATGGAAAAGTAACTTTTGAAATTTTTTTCCCTTAGAGCTTTTTAGGGGAACTCTTTGGTACCCTTTTTCTTTTTAAGGTATGACCTATGACTTAGGTCAGTCATAGGACATTTTTTTCAGAAGCTTGAAAGATCACTGCATCACCTGCTACCCTTGAGTCCTGCACAAATTCTGTTGCAGCCTGTTCCAGAGTAGCAAAGCTGATTCAGTTTCTAAAGATCTCCCCCAAAGAGCATTTCCCAGCCTTCCTCCTCTTAGACGCATCCTCCCCCTTGCTCACCCCACCCCCTTCCTGAGCACCTGTTGTTACAACAAAGAGAAGCTCAGGGTTGAAGTTTCTGGGCTTGTCCAGGTGATAAACTGAGGCCATTCAGAGGAGATAATGCCATTTGATGGTTGAGCTCTTTTCAATCATCAGGGAAAGCGCTGGGTGGAGAGAGGCATTCAAAAAAGCTCCGTGGATATAAAAAGGTGATTACATCTAAATGGAAGACCTGTCACTAGGCAAAGCACTCTGCCAGCTGATGTGCAGGCAACTTCAATGGCTAAACGGCGGCAGGCAGGGTGGGATTTTTGTGGCTCTGGACTTAGACAGCTGCAGCTCTGCTAAGGGGACAGGCCTTCCTGGGTCCCTCAGATCTAGTGAGAGAGGCCGCAGGCTGCCAGCCAAGGACTCTGCTGGGGGCTCTGTCATCCTTGCCTAAGCCATGAGCAACCGAGGCCAATGCTCTAACACTCCTGGAAGACAGGTCTGTATGAACTCCTCAAAGACCCAAAGATTTGAGGACTGTGGACATAGCCAGTTTGAATGCTTAAAGATCCAGGTTTAGCTCAGCATTTTTATTCGCCTGGTTTTGTTATTCTAGATCAGGAGTCAGGCACCATTTTATGTAAAAGACCAGATGGTAAATATTTTGTCCTTTGCGGGCTGTCTGGTCTCTGTTGCAGCTATTCAGCTCTGCTGTTGTCATCTGCAAGCAGCCGTAGGCATAAATAAATGAACATGGCTACATTCTGATGAAGCTTTATTTATGGACACAGGAATTTGAATTTTATATAATTCTCATGTCACAAAATATTATTCTTTTGATTTTTTCAACCATTTAAAAATGTAAAAGTGATTCTTAGTGCATAGCCTGTACAGAAATGAGCAGCAAGATGGATTTGGCCCATAAGCCACAGTTTGAAGACCCTTATTTTAGGGGGTTCTATTTGGGAGAGAAAGAATTACAGGGAGAGATTGTCTGATTTAGCTCTATGCAGAGTCCTAAATGTATCAACTGTGATTAATAACTTGCATACACACAGCACTTTAATGTTAACAAAATGCATCTGTGCTGTTATTCAATACCCACTGCAAGCCTGTGAGTTAGATATTATTATGCCAATGTCTAGATGAGGAAACTGAGAGTTGAAACAGACGCAGCCAAGATCAAACAGTAAATGGAAAGACCCAAGTTCAAATACAGTATTCCACCTCCAAAGGCAGAGCTTTTCCCACTGCATCTTTGGGGAGCTTAGATTGTCCATTTCACCAAGTGTTTATTAGGGCTTGATGGGGATGAACACCTGGGCAAAGGCACAGAAGCAGGGGAGTCAGAACCTCCTGGCTGCTTCATGTTTTCCTTAAGGCCGTGGACACTCAGGAAATTGACAGCTACTGTTCTCATTAGGAGCAGAGCTGACCGTTGTTCCCACAGACACAGAGTAAGCCAAGTTCTCCGATGTGGTGTAATCACTCAGCCTGGTCACCGTGGCTGTTGCTTGGATCCGTAAACCTCCAGCAGGTCAGCAGGTGTCGCAGAGGACTCAGAGGTCAGCCCAAGGCCTTTCTCCGATGCCTGACCAGGAGCATTCCATGACGGAGTAGGCACCCATCTACATGGAATGATATCCGGGACCCCTAAGAGAAAGCCCTACCCCCAAACACTCTTCCTTCCACCTAAGTCTCTTCAGCTTTATGCCATATTTTTGGAGAAGGCACTGGACATAGGGCACTGGGTATGGCTTCTTGTCTCCACTATGGTGCCACATTGTGATCTGACCTTTGCCCGGTCACTTCCTATCTCCACATATCGGCTTTCACCTGTGAAATGGGGGAGTAATGGCAACGTGGGGAGGGTTCAATGCTGGTTTTTATGTGATATCTAACATGGTGCCAGCAACACAGTAGGATCCCAAGAGGTGTCAGTTTCTTTTTGTCCTGAATCTTCGTCTTCATGTCTTCTTGTCTGCACTGGTCTGCCTGCCTGGAATGCCTCTTGTTCCACTTCATTTTCCTGGTAAGCCTTCCCCAACATTCTGCCCATTATATACAAACACCTTGAGTAGTCACTCCCTCACTGGGCGATGTTATGGGTTGACTTGTGTCCCCCCCAAAAAGATATGTTGAGATCCTAATCCCCAATAATCAGAATGTGGCCTTATTTGAAAATAAGATTGGTGCTCTTCCTTTCCAACTTGGGCCCAGCAGAATGGCGCTGCAAAGATGGGTGACAAGAAGAAAAAGGGCCGTTCTGCCATCAATGAGGTGGTGACTGAAGAATACATCATCGACATTCACAAGTGCATCCATGGAGGGGCTTCAAGAAGCGTGTCTCTCAGGCACTCAGAGAGATCCAGAAATTTGCCACGAAGGAGATGGCAATTCCAGATATGCACACTGATGCCAGTCTTAACAAAGCTGTCCGAGCCAAAGGAATAAGGAATATCCATACTGTATCTGTGTGTGGTTGTCCAGAAAACATAATGAGGATAAAGATTCACCAAATAAGCTCTATACTTTGGTTACCTATGTACCTGTTACCACTTTCAAAAATCTACAGTCAATGTGGATGAGAACTAACTGCTGATCATCAAATACATCAAATAAAGTTATAAACTTTAAAAAAAAAAAAAAGTGAGCCGGGCACAGTGGCTCACGCCTGTAATCCCAGCACTTTGGGAGCCCAAGGTGGGCAGATTACCTGAGGTCAGGAGTTTGAGACCAGCCTGGCCAACATGGTGAAACCCCATCTCTACTAAAAATACAAAAATTAGTTGGGCATGGTGGCAGGCACCTGTAATCCCAGCTACTCAGGAGGCTGAGGCAGGAGAATCGCTTGAACCCGGGAGGCGGAGGTTGCAGTGAGCCAAGATTGTGCCACTGCATTCCAGCCTGGGTGGTAAAGCGAGACTCCATCTCAAAAAAAAAGAATGAAGGAAGGAAGGAAGGAGGGAAGGAAGGAGAAAGAAAGAAAGAAAGAAAGAAAGAAAGAAAGAAAGAAAGAAAGAAAGAAAGAAAGAAAGAAAGAAAGAGAAAGAAAGAAAGAAAGAAAGAAAGAAAGAAAGAAAGAAAGAAAGAAAGAAAGAAAGAAAGAAAGAAAGAAAAGAAAGAAAACAGGGTCTTTGCAGAGGTAATCAAGTTAAAATGATGTCATTAAGGTGGGTCTTAGTCCAATATGAACAGAGTATTTATAAAATGGGGATACATGGTTACAGGGACAGATACGCACAGAGGGAAGACCACGTGAAAACACACAGAAAGAAGATGGCCATGTGACTGGAGTGATGCAGCCACAAGCCAGTGAACACCACGGATGCCGGAAAACACAGAGGCTTAGAAGAGCAAGGAAAGATTCTCCCTGAGGCCCCTCAGAGAGAGTATGGCCCTGCTGACACCTTTTTGACTGGCCTCCAGAACATCAATCAATTTCTGCTGTTTGAAGCCACTCAGATTTTGGTTTTTTGTTAGAGCAATCCTGGAAAATGAATACAGGCAACCTCAGTATCTCATTCGACACTTGCCCCGTTGCACCAAACTTTAGTTGATATGCCTGGCTCCTCTCCTGAGTTGCAGGCTTACCTCTGTATTCCCCAGGGTCTAGACGCTGCTGGGAGGTGATCTGTACTTGCTCCATATCCTGAATTAAAGTTCCATTGCCCTGCACACTCTGAGTCTGTGCCTGTGTGACTGCCTGTGTGTAACCACTTTGTTGATCCAGTGACATTACATCAGTAGGAGGCCAAGGATGAGCTATTTTTTTCTGCCTGTATATTCTGTGAATTAAAGACTCAACTAGGAAAGGCTCAGTGGTCAGGCCAGCAGTTCTGCCCCCTCCTGAGTTTATGAATATCTGCTCCCAGTTCCTTTGCCTCTCATGCTGGGCTGGCTGCTGTCTTGCCACGTGAAGCCTTCACCCTCTCTTCCCCAGCTGGCACCATCATCGGCAATTCCTCTTCTCCTTAGAAAAGGAATTTCTCATGCCTCTAATCCCATCACTTTGGGAGGCCGAGATGGGTAGACCACCTGAGGTCAGGAGTTTGAGACCAGCATGGCCAACACGGTGAAACCCCGTCTCTACTAAAAATACAAAAATTAGCTGGGCATGGTGGCTGGTGCCTGTGATTCCAGCTACTCGGAGGCTGAGGCAGGAGAATTGCTTGAACCCGGGAGGTGGAAGTTGCAGTGAGCCAAGATTGTGCCATTGCACTCCAGCCTGGGTGACTCTGAGAAAATAAGACCCTGTCTCAGAAAAAAAAAAGAAAGAAAGAAAAGAAAAGGAATTTCTCAACCAAGAAGAAGTTGGAATGCTCTAAAGTAACTTCAATCAAAAGAAAAAAGAAGCCAAGGGAAGAGAAAGTAACATGCTAATGCCTAGAAGCAGTAGGTCACATGGCCCAGAATTCTACCACCCTGTAGCCCAAGATCACACACAGGGCTCTCAGTTCTCATTCTCACCTGCGAACCAGGTGGGACATTAAACCAAGCTGCTCATCTTTCTAGCCCAAGAGAAAAGTGGGCCCTCTCTGCTCCACCAAGGCTGGTGGAGGTTCCAGACTCTGCTAGAACCTGCTTTCTTGATCTCTGTCTGTATGTGGCTCCCCAGCCTTTGTCTCTGGCTTTGGACTTCCTTGCAGAGCACTCTGTCGCTGCCCTGGCCCCTCCAGGTTCCTCCGAGCCCTGCCCTGGTCTCTGCTTTGCTGAGTGAGGGCACCTGCACTGCAACCTGGCTGCAGAGAGTCCCTACCTTGATTCCCTTCTGCAGTCTCAGCCACACCAGCTCCAGGGAGCCACCTCTCTCCCTTGGTCCCTTCTCTGTCCTCTGCAGATGCTGTCCCATGTTCAACAATGGTATATCAAGATGATGTCTACCTTCAAATGGCCTATTTTCTTCCTAAGGAAGTGACCTTATTGTTTATTCAACAAATATTTATTGAGTACTATTATGGGTTACATTGTGTCCCCCAAAAACATATTGAGATCCTAACCCCCAGGACCTGTGAATGTGACTTTATTTGGAAATAGGGTCTTTGCAGGTGACCAAGTTAAAATGAAGTCATTAGTGTGGGCCCTAATCCAATATGACTGACCTCCTTATAAAACAGGGAAAATCTGGACACAGAGACATGCAGAGGGCAGATGATGTGAAGACACAGGAAGAACGCCAAATATAAGCCAAGGTATGTCTGAGGCTACTCGGGGTTAGGAGAGAAGCCTAGGATAGATTCTCCCTCTCAGCCCTGAGAAGGAACCAAACCTGTCAACCCCTTATTTTCAGACTTCTAGCCACCAGAACTGGGAGACAACACACTTCTGTTGTTTAACTTGTGATACTTGGTTACAGTAGCCCTAGGAAACTATGAGCCAAGTGCCTTCATTCTAGTATCAAAACTCCATGTCTTCACGGAGTTCACATTCTAGAAGGGGATAACACACAAGAAACAATTAAATGAACAAAGCATGTCAAATGCGGGTGGCCATAAGTGCAATGGAGAAAAATAAAGCTGAGAATGGAGTTAGAGAGTACAGGCGAATGGGAAGCACTGCAATTTAAAATAGAAGAGTCCTGTAATCCCAGCACTTTGGGAGGCCAAAGCGGGCAGATCACCTGAGGTCAGGAGTTTGAGACCAGCCTGGCCAACATGGTGAAATCCCGTCTCTAGTAAAAAAAAATACCAAAATATATATATATATATTAGCCAGGCGTGGTGGCAGGCGCCTGTAATCTCAGCTACTTGGGAGGCTGAGGCAGGAAAATCGCTTGAACCTTGGAGGCAGAGGTTGCAGTGAGCTGAGATTGCACCACTACACTCCAGCCTGGGTGACAGAGCAAGACTCTGTCTCAAAAAAATTAATAAATAAAATAAATAAAGTAGAAGAGTCAGGGAAGGACACTCCAAAGAGGGAACATTCGAGCAAAGACCTAAAAAAGGTGAAAGAGACATCCGAGGAGATATCCATGAATAATATGGTTCAAGTCAAGGAAGCAGCACACATATTGAGCACCCTTTGTATGCCACCCTGTTCAGCTGGGGGCCCGGCAGGGTTGCGAGGGATGATTGGAAAGGCTGCTGCAGCGAGAGGGCTGCTGGCCTCCACGTCACAGCACTACCAGCCTCAGACGTATGTGCCAACATCATCTCCTGGTGTGATTTTGCACAGCCACACAGATCAGCAGAAGTGAAAGAAGACTCTTCACTGCAAATAAGTTTTTTTCCATAAACCTGTAATTACGAATAGCACAAATATGTTTCATTTTTGTGAAAGTGAAGTAAGACTGTTAACTTATTCCAGTTATCATTTGAATTATATTGTGATTGTTATAACCTTGTTTTGTCCTTGGGTCCGTTTTCAACCAATGTCAGAGTCCTCGAAAATGGAAGAGGCCCTGACCTCTCCTGACCTCTGAGAGGCCCTGGCACACCAGGTCTGGTGCTGGATTCTGGCAATCTAAGAACAATAAGGTGCAGTCCCTGCCCTGGAGAACATGAGGCCTTGCTAAGAAAGAAGGGTATGTAAACATGCCATTTCAACAGAATGTTGTAAATACTCTGACGGGAGCATATGAGAGTTCTTTGGAGGGCTTTTTAAAGTTCTTTTTTTTCTTCAGTACAAGGGAATCTTGAGGCAAAATTCTATACGGACTGGTTGTCTGCAGATACAATCTTACATTAACTGCTTGGCCAGGCACGGATTTAAAGAACAAATCCGTCCAAGAACAGTGGCTCAGGCCTGTAATCCCAATACCTTGAGAGGCCGAGGCAGGAGGATCGCTTGAGCCCAGGAGTTTGAGACCAGCCTGGGCAACAAAGTGAGACCCTATCTCTACAAAAAATCAAAAAGTTAGCCAGGCTTGGTGACACATGCCTGTGGTCCCAGGTAGGTGGTAGGCTGAAGCAAGAGGTTCACTTGGGCCTAGGAGGTGAGGCTGCAGTGAGTTGTGTTCACACCACTGCACTCCAGCCTGGGCAACAGAGACAGACTGTTGAAAGCAAGGGAAGCGGAGGGGAGGGGAGCAGAGGGGAGGGGAGGGCAGGGGAGAAGAGGGGGAAGGGGAAGGGAAAGGGGAAGAGAGGGGAGGGGAGGGGAGGGGAGGGGAAGGGGAATAGAGGGAAGGGAAGGGGAGGGGAGGGGAGGAGAGGAGATGGGAGGGGAGGGGAAGGGGAAGAGAGGGAGGGGAGGGGAGGGGGAAGAGAGGGGAGGAGACAGGAACAGAGAGGAAGGGAGGGGAAGGAGAAGGTGGGGGAAGGGAAGGGGGAGGAGAGAGAGGGGAAAGAAAAGAAAAGAAAAAGCAAGCACAAATCAACCCCTTCTGAGTGCATTTCCCTCCAGCTATGAAGTTTTCCTAACCATGACCCTTTGGGGTCTCCATCTTAAAAATAAGCAGGGAGCTCTTTAACCAAAAGAAGATGCCAAAGTCGTAAAGAAATTGACCTCAACAAAGCCTCGCTCCTTCTCCAGCAGTTTCCAGCTCCATTGTCTTAATCTTCCCGTGAGAGTCATGCGTCAAAATCTTGACCAGTCTCCCCATGACTTTGCCATCTCCTCTTTCACCTCATCACTTGCTTCCTCCTCCCACTACCAAAGTCATCCAGTCACTTCCATCACCTCCTTCCACATCCTCACCATCCTCTCCACCCTAACTTACTCTTTTTGCCTCTTTCTGTCTGCAGAACCCTGGGAAAAATCCTTCACCAAGCCATCAAGCCTCACAGGCCTTCTTTCAGGACTAGCTCTTCCTGCCCTGGTTGCCATACATGGCACTGTGGACCTCCCCCTCCTGAAATGTCTTCATCTTCGGACTTTCCAGATGAACTCTGCCCTAATTCTTCTGTCCCAGACCACTTTCGTCATCCCCTTCTTTGCCTTCCCTTCCTCCTCTTTCCCCTTAAATACGTGCATGTGCTAAAGTCCAGTCCCTTCTGAATCTCCTGCTTTCTCTTCCTTGCAAACCTAACTCCTCATGGCTTCCACCCTCAGTTTTACATCTGTTACTCCAAAAGCTATAGCTCTACCCCTTACTTGGTCAGATAAGCCAACTGTCTACCCAGATTTCTGCTACTTTATATCACAACTGCCTGAGATTCAACATCCCTCAGCCTGAACACAATTTCTTTCTCACCAAATCACCCTCTTTTTGACTTCTTGACCCCAGTTCATGGTAGCACTATCCTCCTTGTTATCCTGATCTGACACCTCACAAGAACATCTTATCCTTCACCTCTCCTAAGTCCCCCATATTCAGTCAGCTGGTACTTTCTTCAAAATTTCTCTCTCACTTCTCCATGGCTATTTATTCTCATTGCCACTGTCCTCCCTCATCAGGGCTATACAAATAGTCATCACATGCACCTTCTCCCTCCTGCCATGGGATCTTTGAATGGAGAACCCTCTTCCTTCATAATCTACTTACTCCACGTCTATCATCCTTAGTTCTTCACCCTAACATCACTTCCTCAGGGAAACATTTCCTTCCGTGTCTGACTCTAAAATCCACACTCCTCCATCTGACAAGGGATACAATAATCAGAATATGTAAGGAGCTCAAACAACTCAACAGGAAAAAAATCTATTAATCACATTAAAAAAAATGGGCCAAAAACTGAATAGACATTTCTCAAAAGAAGACAAACAAATGGCAAACAGGTATATGAAAAGGAGCTTCACATCATTGGTCATCAGAGAAATGCAAATCAAAACTACAATGAGATATCCTCTAACCCCAGTTAAAATGGCTTTTATCCAAAAGACAGGCAATAATGAATGCTGGTGAGAATGTGGAGAAAGGGGAACCCTCATACACTGTTGGTGTACATTAGTACAGTCACTATGGTGATCCAGCAATCCCACTGCTAAGCATATGCTAAAAAGAAAGGAAATCAGTATATCAAAGAAATATCTGCACTCCCACGCTTATTGCGGCAATATTCACAATAGCCAAGATTTGGAAGCAACCTAAGTGTCCATCTACAGACAAACAGATAAAGAAAATGCGATACCTATGTACAATGGAGTACTAGTCAGCCATAAAAAGAATGAGATCCTGTCATTTGTAACAACATGGATGGAACTGGAGGACATTATGTTACATGAAATAAGCCAGGCACAGAAAGACAAATGTCAAATATTCTCACTCATACATGGGAGCGAAAAATTAAAACAACTGAACTCATGGACATAGAGAATAGAACGATGGTTACCAGAGGCTGGGAAGGGTAATGGATGGGTGGGGTAAGGGGTGAGGATGGTTAATGAGTACAAAAATATAGTAATATAAACTGAATAAATCTAGCATTTAATAGCACAAGAGGTGACTACAGTCAACAATAATTTTTTGTACATCTTAAAATAACAGAGTATAATTGGAATGTGTATAACACAAAGAAAGGATAAATGCCTGAGGCGATGGATACCCCATTTACCCTGATAGGATTATTACACATTGTATACCTTTATCAAAATATCTCATGTATCCCATCAATATATACACCTACTATGTACCCATAAAAATTAAAAACAAAAAAATAAAAAACATACCCTGTTATAGGAACTCATAGTCCCATGTTCCTCTCCAGGACTTACCATAGTTGAAATTTTATATTTTTTACGTGATGATTTGATGCAAGTTGGCCTCCTTACCAGGCTGTCACCTCTAGGACTTGGAATCATGTTTGTTTTTTCTCATCACTATCTCCCCAGGCTCTTGCAGGGGCAGGGTACCTAACACATAACAGATGCTCAATACATATGTGTTTTGTTTGTTTATTTGTTTGTTTGTTTTTAAGTGAAAGCAAGTTTATCAAGAAAGTAAAGGAATAAAGAATGGCTACTCCATAGCCAGAGCAGCCTCAATACATATTTGTTTTGAATTAATGGCTTTTTCCATGACACTGTCTGTCACAGATTGTATTTTGCAAAGGTGACCACAGCAGTATTTCTGGTTCCACCTGCTGTTCCTCCACCAAGAGGGGGATTTTACTTCCCCTCCCCTTGAACTTGGGCAAGATTTTGTGACTGTCTTGATGAGCGGAGCCAGGACATGACTTCTGAAACTCTGTTGGAAAAGGCATTACAGTTTCCTAGGTCTCTCAAAATGCTTGCCCTTGGAACCCAGCCTCCATGTTACGGGGAAGCCCAGCCTACATGGAGATGCCATGGACATGTGTCTGGGAGACAGATACAGCGGAGGACTCAGCCGACTGCAGTGTGAACTGCAAACAAGTGAGTAAACAAGCCTTCAGATGACACCAGCCACAGCCATCAAGTCGTCACCAACTTTCGAGTCTTCTAGCTGGAGCCCCAGACATTGGAGAGTGGAGACAAATCATTCCTGCTATACCCAGTCCAAATATCTGACTCACAGAATTTGTGAGCATGACAAAAGATTGTTTCATGCCACTGCATACAGTGCAAAAGATAACCCAGCCACTTTCTCATTTACACCTGCAGTGCCTCCCACTGCCTGTAGGACACAGTGTATGATCCTTGGCTTGGCCTTCCAGTTCCAACCTCTTTGTCTCTATTTATCGCCCTCTAGAGGAAACTGCTTCTCCAGCGCAACTGATCTACTCATTGTTTACCACTATCCTCTGTCCCTTCCTGCCTTCACCCTGCCCTCACTGTTGCCTATAACTGCAATGGCCTCACCTCTAGCCTCACCAAATTCTCCCCATCGCCCAACGCTTGGCCTTTTCCCCAAAGCCTCTAAAACAATCCCAGGTAAACAACACTCTCACTCTTCTTGCAAGCTAGACTTTCATTATTTAGTAATATCATTTTCTAAATGGAAAAATCAGAATCCATGGTCTGAATTATTTTTATAATTTGTGCTTTTACTTTCAAGGAGAATTTCACACAGAAATTAAAACTTACTTCCACTTAGTGATGTACTCGACCAATAGCCTTCACTGCAAAGTATGAGATTAAAAACCTCGTAAAGTAGGCGTGGTTATTATTTTTACAGATGAGGGAACTGAGGTTTAGAAAGATTAAATAAATTAACTACAGTCATATACTTAATATTTGGTGTAACTAGGATTCAAACCTGCATCCTCTAAGACAGAACGTAATCACTGCTTAATCTAGTAATTAAATATGTACAATATTATAGTATGCTTTCCTTTTATAAATTAATTCTTTATTATAAAAAGTAATACATGCACATAATAAAAAATGTCAATAGAACTCAAGAATGCAATATAAAAGTAGGTCTGTCTCCAAATCCAGACTCTATTCCAGACTCCATCCAGTTCTTTTGTGTATTTCCAGAAATATTATGTGCACAGGTAAGCATCTCTTTGTTACACACAGAGGGCATACTATTTACAGCACTTTCTCTTTACAATATCTCTTGGAAAGCATTACATGTGGACGTGTATAGAGTTCCTATATTCTTTCTATGGCTGCATAATATTTCATGGTTGCCTGTTAATAATCTTGGAGTAGCCAGAAGCTAGAGAGAGATGGAGAGAGAGAGAGAAGGAGGGAGCTGGATGGAAAACTACAGTAAAATGAGAAGGGATGAGGGGAGGCCAGTAGGCCTGGAGGAGGAAACACCTGATTTCCAGGCACACCGCAAAGAGAAAGCAAGCCTGGCTGGGAACAGAAGTGAAAACAGAGGAGGCTCTGAATACATTGTATAAAAGTGGGCCCCAGAGGTGGGGGAAAGGAGTTATTGAGCTCCACGGGGTGAACATTTGCCTCTAACCTGTTTCCTGATGACTTCATCATCCCTCCTGAGGACCTCCCCACTTTTGCCAACCCCACCATTTTTTAAAAAGTGCCCCACCCAAAAGAAAACAAACACGTTACTATTTATTCATGCAAGAAGGCCCAGGAGACACAATAGACAGCAGCACCAGCCTAATTAAATGAAACGGGGTAGGTGTAACTCAAACCACCTTGGGAAAATATAATCTGCCACCAAAACAAAATTCCCACCGTTCAGACCACAGGGAAATCAGACCAGCCTCCTCGCCAGGTTCTCAAGCAAAGGCTGACTCCGCAGGCAGCAAGATAAGAGAAGGTCGGCTTCTCGCCAGTAGCCTTCCTCCCTCCGCTGTCAACTCTGTGCACCCCCACGGCCCCCCACCTCTCTGAGCTTGTTCACCGACATATCAGAGCTGCTCCCTTTGTGGGCTGGATTGTTTAGCTAATTTGCCCATGGAAAACAGTTCAGGTTCAGATTCCAGGCCAAGGCAACCAGACACCAATTGCAAATCCAAGCTTGGGGATTGTATCTCTTTCACCACTTTGAGACACGTAAACTGCATCTCTCCTCCCCCACATAGCTTTTCTCTCCACCTAGGGAAACCTCAGGGATGCTCCAAGTTGGACCCTCCAAAGCTAAGACATGGGAGGGGTACTGGAGAATCTCTGAACTGGCCTTCTCTAAATTTAGATGTGGACTCTGAGAGTCAGAAGGTGAGCTTGACCTAAGGATGTGCTCCTGGGCACCTTTGTCTGAAGAGTTCTGGGGCCAGATGAAAAATCTGACTATGTCTCTAGATTTCCCTCATCAACTGCAAGTGGGCTCTGGAATTAGACCTGCCTGGTCAGGTCTCAACTGTACCACTCCAATTGTAACTAGGTGAGTTTGGGTACAAGCTTAATCTCTTTTTGCTTGATCTCCTAATCTGTAAAATGGAAAGAACAGTTTGTCTCTTCCTTCCCCGACAGGATTATTGTAAAAATTAAATGAGGCTACCCACGTAAAGTTCTTGGCACACGGAAGGTGCCGCAGAAGTATGAGTTAGTTTCTTCCTCCTGAGAAAGTCTATACCCACCCACTCCAACCTCATTCCAGTCCTCCTTTCATGGGTCCAGTGTAAAAATGAGGGGCTTCAGACTGGGCGCAATCGCTCACACCTGGAATCCCAGCTACTCAGAGCCTGAGTTGGGAGGATTACTTGAGCTCAAGAGTTCAAGGCTGCAGTGAGCTGTGATCGCACCACTGCCCTGTAGCCTGGGCAACAGACTGAGAGTGATTGATGCGTACCAGGCATGTGTCCCAACTGTTCAAACCTGTGTCCACCCCCAGCCAGGCCAGCTGTCTGAAACACCATTCATGAGTCATTCTTCCAGGCCACAAGGGCTTTAGGGATCTGTGAGCTGCAATGGCTGTAAGTGTTAGTCACTCTCAATTACAGAAGGGGGTGATCGTGCTGATAATCTGAAAACGTAGCTCCCCCTTGCTATAGGGTTTCTAAAGCTCCAGGAACTCAGTCCATCCTCAAGAGCAAAGCTGCACTGTGACCCTAATTCCATCCTCAGCAAGGCCAGAGAAGAGCCAGGGCCTGAGCACCGGGGGGCAGGGCTCTTCCCTAACCCCTCACTCAAACCTCCCTCTCTTCTCCAGGTAGAGCCAGTCCCAGTCCCTTGACCTGGCCACCGAGCTCTAGTTTCCAGCCATTTCATCACCTCTGGGTCCCTTCTCTGAATCCTCTCCAGGTTCCCCTTGTCCCTCTCAAGCTGCCCATCCATCAACACCCGTTCCTAAGCTCCTGCCCTATTCAGATGACTGTACTCAGAGCTGGCCCTGGGGCTGCGGTCAGAGTCTGGCCAGGGTAGACAGAGTATCCTGGGGAGATGACCTCATAAGCCCTCCCTCATGGAGTATTTTTAGGCATCACTTTCCTCCCCCTCCCACTCAGCTTCCATGCACTTCCAGTGCAGTCCAGAACTCTCCGGAATCTCTAGGGTTGCTGCGACTCTTGTTGTTTTCCCAGTGTTTAAGGGGTGGAAACTGTAACTGCCCCTCCAAACACTCAACTCGTCATCCTTTGAATGATTCTTTTTCATTTCTACTCTGCTTCTTTTCGGAAAATAAAGATAGACTCTTGTCAAATATTGAGGGACTCCAACCATCACCCCCGAGGCAGGCAATTCCAGCTCCGTGGCTGCATTCCCTCCTCTGTGTGGCTATGATGTGGTTTCCTTTGTTGCCAATCTAGTTACATGTCACATAGACTAAAATCCTGTGAGTCTGCCTCCTCCCCAATGTGGGGAGAGTCCCAGATCCTCTCCAAGAATTCCAAGAGTGGCATCCAGAGATCTCAGAGTCCAAGAAGCAACAGCGTGTGACCACGAGAACCTGAGGCTGGATCTCAAGGTATCAAGGTCTCTGTTTAGTCTCACCTTCATCTTGCCCGTCTTTCTGGAGAAGTTGTTTTAATGTTCTAGTTTCTCTGTATGGTCTTTGATTATTTATTTTTTTTCTTTTTGGCCACCAATGAACTTGGCCACCAATGCATCCACAAGTATCCACATACCTCTCAGGACCTTGAGATAGAAGAGATTCTGATGCTACCAGGCACAGAGACCCAACTCCTTCTCACCTTCATGCTCTGCCCCATCATTGCCAAGCACCTAATCTAAAGTGGGCCCTGGAAAACCAGCTCCAGGCCATATCTGGCCATGGCTACCAGTCACTCACTGGATGCTAAAAAATGAGGAAAACCTTCCCAGCCTGGGACAAGGGGAGAGGGAGGCTTAAAGGCTCAATCAGGAGGCTTGGAGGGTCCTGTCCCATCTCCATCTCACCCAACTTCAATGAACCCAGAAAGTATGGAGAGAAAGTATCTCAATCCACGCCAGATGGAGAACAGTGCTGGCAAACAGCTGGCCTCAACAAATAGTTGTTGCTTTTTTTTGCATGATAAATGCTGCTGACAGCCAGAATGGCTGGAGAGAAAGGAGGCAGAGTTTCTCCTGGGCCCTGTATATTCAGGTAGGATTTGAATCGAAGGCAATCTAGGGTCAGCTCCAGCTGAGTTTGGGGCTTCGTACTGAACACAGTTCAGTCTCAAATCTCTTTGTGTGTCTCACCAATGAGGTTCTCCTTGCCCAGAATAGCCTCTGCTCACCCCACCCCTGCCCCCTGCCCTCACCACCTGACATGCTCCAGATCAAAGGCTTCCCTTCATGAGCAGTCCCCAATGCCCAAATCCAAAAGCCTCTCTCCCATCTCGGAGGGCCCTCTCCAAGCACTTTGCTCAGAGCTCTGAAAGTATCCTTATCTCCTACCACCACAGAGCAGGCAGGCGCCCGTGGTGGCATCCCATTTGGGCAGCCGTTGGGAACATAGCTGCCTCTTGCAGCATTTGCAAAGTCAGAGGCACACTGGCAGGGAGCCAAGACAGGCGGCTAGAAGCGAATGGCTTTCAGGGGAGATGGTCAAGAGAACTAATTTGTGTCGCATACATGAGGCATTCTAAAGAGGTTCCCAAGCCTATCAGCGAGAAACTAGATGGAAGACTGGATAGAGTTCCCAAAGATACACCAGCCAGCACACAGAAATCATGGTCAGGGGCTTTCTGTGGCCCAGGTTTTCCCCGGTAATATATAACCCAGGAAGGTTGGATTACATGGAATGGTGGGAGGCTCCTCCAGGATTATGGGCTGCCTCTGTCATCCTCAGATTATCTGAATTTCATCACCCGCAACAGGGATGGGGGGTGGAGCACAGCCCAGAAGCAGGAGCCCCTCAGCTGCAAGTCTATAGAATATTGAAATCAAAAAGCAAATGAAGACAAACACCATAGAGGCTGAGCTGCTGGGCTCCAGAGCTGAACTGCCTGTTTGACATCCCCCTCTACTGCTCACCTCTCTGCTGGGACCTCACTATGCCTCAGTCTCCTCTTTCATAAAGTGGGGATAATATTATCTACCTTATAATTTTGTTGCATGGATTAAACAGGTTTATATATGTAGAATGCTATATGTTTGCTACGTCATTGTTGCTGTTGTTCAGATAAATTGCCAAAAATGAAGAAGTCACAGGTAGAGGTTGAATGTGGAGTTCAGTGTGGAGATCAAAGAAAGAAGTGCCAGGGGAAGGAAAAAGAAAAGTTGTGTGTGTGTGTGTGTGTGTGTGTGCGTGTGTGTGTGTGTTTGATATAGGGTCTCACTGTGTTGTCCAGGCTAGAGTGCAGTGGTGTGATCAAGGCTCACTGCAGTCTCAACCCAGGAGGTCTCAACCTCCTGGGCTGAAGTGATCCTCCCACCTCAGCCTCCCGAATAGCTGTGAGTACAGGCACATGCCACCATGCCTGGCTAATTTTTTAATTTTTATAGAGACAGGAGTCTCACTATGTTGCCCAGGTTGGTTTCAAATTCCTGGGCTCAAACCAAAGTGCTAGGATTACAGATGTGAGCCTCCACACCCAACCAAGAAAAGTGGCTTGAGAGATGTGGGGAAATACCCAAGACATATTGTTAAATGAAAAACAGCAAGGTAACAGTACACATTTTATGATACCACTTTAGAAAAATAAATAAAAAACAAGGATTTACATAGAATACTTCTCATGCAAAGAGTATTTGTGGACGCATACCCTACAAACTGGAAAGAGGAACTGGGGAGATAAGGATGAGCAGGAAAAGAGAAAGTTGCTTGTCACTATAAGCTTTGCTATGTTGTATAAAATTTTGGCCAGTCTCAGTGGCTCACGCCTGTAATCCCAGCACTTTGGGAGGCTGAAGTGGGAGGATCCCTTGAGCTCAGGAGTTTGAGACCAGCCTGACCAACATAGCGAAACCCTGTCTCTACAAAAAATATAAAAATTAGCCAGCGTCTGGGCATGGTGGCTCACACCTGTAATCCCAGCACTTTGGGAGGCTGAGGCAGGCAGATCACTTGAGGTCAGGAGTTCAAGACCAGCCTGGCCAACACGTTGAAACCATCTGTACTAAAAATACAAAAGTTAGCCAGGTGTGGTGGCACACACCTGTAGTCCCAGCTACTTGGGAGGCTGAGGCCACAGAAACGGTTGAACCTGGGAGGCAAAGCATGCAGTGAACCGAGGTCACCCCCACTACACTTCAGCCTGGGAGACAAAGCAAGACAGACAGGAAGGAAGGAAGGAAAGAAGGAAGGAAGGAAAGAAGGAAGGAAACAAGGAAGGAAGTAAGGGAAGTGGTTTTTAACCTGTGTTTTGTGGTGTTTGCTCATCATGACCCTGTCACATATGTGCTTCCAAAGTTGCAAAGCATAACGTTATGTTATGCCTGGCCAGGCATTGTGGTGCACTCCTATAATCCTAGCTATTTGGGAGGCTGAGGTTGGGGGATCGCTTGAGCCTGGGAGGTTGAGGCTGCAGTGAGCCATGATCATACCACTGCACTCCAGCCTGGGCAACAGAGTGAGACTCTGTCTTTAAAAAAAAAAAAAAAAAGTCACAGATATATGTTTTTATGTAAAATAAACTAATAGGCAGGTAGATGAATGACCAGGTGGATGAAAGGATGGGTGGGGCGGGTGGATAGATGGATGAACAGATGGATGGATACATGGATAGGTTGGTGGATAGGTAGGTGGACGAGTGGATAGATGGGTGCATGGAAAAACTGATGGATTAATGAATGGCAAAAATGAGGAACAATGTAAGGCAATTGCTGAAACCCATGATTGTGGTTGGCTTTAGTGTGCCAGCCACCATATAGTGAGAGGGTGAGTCAACCTTGTTTTCAATGCCAGGAATGAGCAGATACCACTTTCTTTCTGCTTAGTAAATAAAAAATAGGAACCACCAAAAGTTTACATTTGAATTTGTTAAAAACTATATACTCAATCAGGCCAACTCCTTCCTCACCCTCACATGTCAGACCACTTATAAAGAGGGAAAGGACAGGGTGGGGGGACCTGTTCACCTCCAAAGAGATGAGAAGCAGCACCAGGGGGTGGAATAGAAACAAGGCAGCAATGAGCAGGCCAGGAGCAGAAACAATGTGCTTGTAAATTGTTTCCCAACTGTGAGCTCCCTCAAGGCTCAACCTTAGCTCATTCTACCATTGTGACAGACACTGCAAGTGGCCCCAGTGAAGCAACTTCCATGGGGATTTCGTTTTAAAGTCAGTGTCTAAGGGAAAAGTCTTATGTGGTCAAGCTTTGAATTCCCTCCATTGCAGAGTACACAACACTTCTCAATAGATCCGGCAAGGTCTGCTTTAATTCCGACCTTGTAGAAAGAGATCAGTTTCTTCAATTGTGCAGCCGGTGAAGTAGTTGAACTGTGTTTAGGGGCCATGTTGTAAACACCATAGTCATCCCCCACCTAATGAGCTGCTCACACTGGGGGAGGTACTTGAGGATAGAGAGGCTGGGAGGTGATGGCAGATTGACAGCACCTATCTCAGGCTCACATCATCACACACACCCTTTCAACTTGTTCATTCTGTCCTCTGTCTCTTTGAATTACATACATTTGAATTCACATTATTAAATGTGACTCCATTTCCATGGATGCTCACTTTATAATGACTGAAATAAAGCATCTAACATAAAGAGGTTGGCCACCCAGAACCATCACCCCCTAAGAAATTAAAAAAAGCCAAGGCAAAAAAAGGAGGTATTAACACTTGTGCTGTACCTGGAATTCTACCATTGGAGGCCATTTGGAGCTAGAGGATCATGATAAGCTGCACCAGGGTAGAGGGAACTCATGAGACATTGTCTTCATATCACTAGCTTTAAGGAGTAGCTGTCTCACTGAAGTGCTGGAGAGGTGGGCAAGTGCCAACACCATGCTTTAATGCATAGTGCAACAAACAGAAGTGCCAGGAAGAGGCAGAGACTGTCTTTTGAAAGGACAGCCCAGGGAAGTGGCATTTTGTTCAACCCAGCTTGGCTTCTTAAGAGCACCCACTTCCAGGATACACCCTGGGTACCATTGAAAAGCCATTTCTAGACTAGTAAGAAAACTGGAAGCTGACCCTTTACCCTCTCAGCTATCCTGGTCACAGGTTCTCCACTTTGTCTCAGGTCCCATATTTGCCCATCCTCTGTCTTTAATGCACATGTGGTTAAATTATACCAGACCTCTGTTCCGCCTTTCTTCCAGGCAAGAGCACCTCCCTTAATGCTCTGTAGGGATCCCTATACTCCCCGAGCCCTTCAACCCGATTCTCCTCCCCTCCCACGAAAACACATCTAGCTGGTCCTCAACACTGAATAGGAGTTTACTAAATGGAGAAGAGACATGGCTTTCCAGATAAGGGGTGGGGGGCTTGGAGAGGGGCCAAGGTATAAAATGTCATGGGTGTTTGGGGGAGAGGGAACTAGTGTGGTTGGTATACAGGGTGGAGGGTAGGGACTGCAAGGAGATATAACTAGAGAGATAAAGTTATCTAAAGAGAAAATGTGACAGCCCTGTTCATTGGATTTACTCGAATAAGCTACCCATTCCTCTTCTAATCTCTCCCCACTCTAACTCTGCTTATATTTCTCTGCCAAATAAAGCTTTGAAGTTTCCTAAAACACTGCTTCCATCAAATTACCCAAGAAACTTCAGCGTCCCCTGCTTGTGAGGAGTCAAGTCCAGGGTCCTGTTTGGGACTTCAGGGCCTTCCTATCAGTTCCAGCTCACCTGCTTATCATTCTGCAGAAATCCTCCAGTGCACGCTCTCCTCCAGCCAGGGAGACAGTCTCATTGCCCCCATGCAGGCCAAGGCCACCCCTGCCTCTGAGCCTCTGCTAATTAACTCTCCCATCAAGCCTGGAAGGACCTTAAGGGCCTTCTCCACAATCAACCCTACCTCTTCTTCATGGCCCAGCAGGAATTCCACCTCCTCTGGGAAGCCAGGCTTGACAAATCCAGTGTTCTTCTCTAACCACCACTGCAATGAGTTTAGCACTTACCTTTTTTCTTTCTGTAACAACTTTATTAAAATGTAATTCACATGTGATTCGTCCATTTAAGAAATATACATTGAAATATACATTTCAATGGTTTTGGGTATATTCAACACTGTGCAACCAGCACCACAATATGTTTTAAAACATTTTGCTACCCAAAAAGAAACCCCAAGCCAGTTCCCCCCACCCACTCCTCCATTCCTTCCCACCCTCCAGCCCCAGCCAACCACTAGTCAATTTCTTCTTCTTCTTTTTTTTTTTTCAGATGGAGTCTCACTTTGTCACCCAGGCTGGAGTGCAGTGGCACGATCTCAGCTCACTGCAACCTCTGCCTCCCAGGTTCAAACGATTCTCCGGCCTTGGCCTCCCAGTCAATTTCTGTCTCTACATATTTGCCTGTTTTCTGCCTGGCTGCTTTCACTTGGCATAATGTTTTCAAGGTTCAGCCATGTGGTAGCATGTATCAGTACTTTATTCATTTTTATTGCCAAATAATAGTCCATTGTATAGTTATATCACATTTTGCTTATCTATTCATCAGTTGATAGACATTTGGGTTGTTTCCATTTTTTGTCTCTCAGGAATAATGCTGCTATAAACTTTAGTGCATTATTGTGTGGACATATGTTTTCAGCTCTCTTGGGTTTATATACCTAGAAGTGGAAATGCTGGGTCTTACGGTAAGTCTATATTTAACCTTTTGAGGAGCTACCACACCATTTTCCACAGAGGCTACACCATTTCACATTCCCACCAGCAATGCATGAGGGATCCAGTTTCTCTACATCCTCACCAATATTTATTGTTATTATTATAATCATTAGCAACAGTTAAATGCAATAGGTTTTCTTGAAATTAAATGAACTCTACATGGTAAACACCAGTTATCTTACACATTAATGGCTAGTTATGTTTTTGATATTGGAGATTTGAAATGTAGAATACTGTCTGTAAAGATTTTAATTGTAAATATTTCACAATATGAAATTCATGTGATAATAAAAGAAATCATAAGATCTTCAGTAGTGGAGGGAAAAACTAGAGAAGCTATCATTTAATCCAAACTCATAACTTTTCAGAGCAAACTCTTAACTTTAATCCAACCTCTTAATTTTAATCAGAGTCACCAGAAGACTTGTAAGCTAAGGATCCCACAACCCTTATTCAATTTCCTGCTAAGGTAGAGTGATTAGAATAGGCGTTAGATCTGATACACCTTCAGGGTATAAGAATACTTCCCTGGATGGATTATGAATCTGGTCAAATGTGGAAATTCCCGAGTATTTTTTATCTTTTAAATTTGATTTGATGTTAAGCAAAACAACCAGGTAAAATATTACAGGTCTGCCCTGACCCACCACTGTCAAAGTCAGAAGGCATTTACTAATGATCATGTACTGACACTGCGCTGGGTTCTGTGCAGAGGGAATGCCCGACTCCCTGATCCCTGGAACTGACAAGCTCAGGCAAGGCTGGCTGAGCTACTTCTAGGCAGCCAGGAAGAATGGGAATGAAGGAGAGAAGAGGAGGCAAAGGAGGTAGACACAAGACACAGAGTGGAGACACAGTATGGTGAGTACCTGATAAGGATCAAGCTGGGCTGCATGGAGGTGAGGACAATTCATGAACTGTAATGGAAGAGTTAGCAACTTATGAATTAGAGTCTTGTTTACCCTTCTCCTTTAATGCTAATCATTTGTTGGTTTAAGTGCAGCTTGCATCTAGACCAACTATGTTCCATGCTGGAGCTCATGTTGAGCTCATGGATTTCTCCCTGGGGAGAAATCCATCAAATCCTAAAACCACATTATTTTTCTTAGGCACTAATAGTGGTCTGATAAGTCTGAACCTTTTGAAAGCATTAGCTTTCTAAATGGTCGCTTAAACAAAAGAACATCGCCACACCTCCCACCCTGGATTTGCAAATTGTTCTTCTCTGATATAGACCATATCACTGATCTCCAGGGTTATATAGGCAAGCCCAAGGTGAATTAATTGAAAGAAACAGAGCTTGGTGTACAAAGACAAGGTGACCTGGAGCCTTCCTGTAGGAGGTGTGGTTTAACAGGAGCAAATCGCAAGTCCCAAGCCCTGCCTTATTTGTGAATGTAACTGTGGACTCAAGAAGTATAGGTATTCTTCTAGAAGAGGGACTTTCTAGTGTCTTATGATATTGGATGGAGGAGGGCTTGATAATTCTTTTTCCTCATCCCTTTACCATTCTCTTCATCTACATATTTTCTAGATCAATACCTCATTTGGGAGTGGGAAGGGGGGTGTCATGGTTCTTCCTGAAGCTTCTCATACCCAGTTCTCCATCCTCCATCATCCCCAAAGCTTCTCTAGGTGAAAGCCCCGGAGCTCAAAAACCAGGAAGTGCATGAAGTAAGCCAGCCCCTGAAGTAGGAAAGGCTGTTGTGAGCCCAGAGGACACCTGCTCCCCACCCCCAAAGCCCAGGCCCCGCTTCTCCCCAGGGCTGGGCCCCCAGCCTCACTCCTGCCACCCGCCTTGGGGAGCTAAAACAAACAGTCCTTTGGAAATGCAGTGAAAAGAAACGGCTGAGTCAGGCCTTCTGTTTAAACAGTCCCCACCTGTTCCCTCGGCACTCGCCTCCCCCCACTGCCCACCCTGTGCTTCCCCCACTTCCCTTTCTTTTTTCTTTTCTTTTTCCCTTTGTTGCTCATTTTCAAAAGGGCAGAGTTGACAGCTCTCGCCTTGAGCAAAGCCAACCCCAGAGCCAGCCAGGAGTGGCCTCGGGCTGTGACCCAGCGCCTTCCTGCCCCTCCCGCCTGGCTCCCCGGCCTCCCACCCTCAGCCTGCAGTGGCTGTGTCTGGTCAACAGGGAGTGAGAGAGAAGGGAGGAGGGACTTAGTTACCAAGAAAGAGAATCCCACCCAGAAAGGAGAGAGGACCGGAGAGGACATGAGAAGGGACAAAGGGAGACAGATAAGGTTCAGCCTCACGGAGGGATGTGCCTTCTCATTGGCTGGAACCCTCAATCACCCCATACACTTGTTGCTATGTGTAAAAATAATTTCTTGGCATTGGAGGAAATGAATTAGTTGCCCATATTAAAAATTAAGGAAAAGAAATGTTTCCAAAGTGACACAGGTTAAGTTAGAGACATTCCCCCGACCAGCTAACAGCTCCTTTCCAAACAGGTGAAGCCTTTTAGAACTCCCCTGTAGGAAGAGTAACAATCTCTCCAAGTCCACTGCTGGCTCTCTGAAATCAAAAGCCTTTTTTTAAAATTGCATTTTCTATTTTGAGAAAATTGTAGATTCATATGCAGTTGTAAGGAATAATGCAGAGATCTCCTGTACTCTCTACCCAGTTACCCCAATAGCAACATCCTGCAAAACTTTTGTACAATAGCAAACTAGGATGTAGATTTTTATAGTCAAGATACAGAACATTTCCAAGACCAGAATCCCTCATGTTGCCCTTACGTAGCCATACCCACTTCCTACCTATGCTAACCCCTACCCTTAACCCCCGGCAAATGCTAATCTCTTCTCCGTTTCTATGTTTCTATTTTGAGAATGTTCTATAACTTCAATCATACACTATGTGACTTTTTCAGATTGCCTTTTTTCATTCAGCATAATTCTCTAGAGACTGGACCAAGTAGTTGTGTGTATCAATAGTTCATTTTTGTGGCTAAGTAATATTCTATGGTATGGCTTGACCACAGTTTGTTTAATGCACTCACCTGTTGAAGGACACTTGGATTGTTTCCAGGTTTGGCTATTACAAATAAACGTCCATTCATTTTCATGTCAAGATAAGTCTTCATTTCTCTGGCATAAATGTTCAAGAATCACTTGCTGGTTCCTACGAAAATTGCAGGTTTAGTAGAACACCTTTTAAAATTATTCTTTAAAATTACTCCATACATATGTCTAGAGGTGTTCCAGGCTGGGAGGTGAACAGAAGAGGAAGCTGGAAGTAGAAGGAGGGGGTCTTGGGGACCTTGATTCTTGGAGCTGACTTGCTACCAGTATACCCCCTGTGCCTGTACCCCACGGTGAAGGTGATCCAGCAGCAAACCAATTGTGGTGGGTAGAAGAATGACCTCCCGCCTAAAGATGGCTATGCCCTCATCCCCAGAACCTGTGAATATGTTAAGTTACATGGCAAAGACAAATGAAGGCTGCAGATGGAATTGGGGTTGCTAATCAGATGACCTTGAGATGGAAGATTATCCTGTGTGGTCCAGGTGGCCCCAATGTCATTACAGAAGCCTTAAAAGTAGAAAGAGGCAGAAGAGGAGAGTCAGAGAAAGAGCGATGTGACTATGGAAGAACACCCCAAACACACGACGTGGCTCGTTTCAAAGATGGAGAGGAAAGGGGGGACGCGAGCAAAGGAATGTGAGCAGCTTCTAGAAGCTGGAACAAAGAAAAAAAGCAGGTTCTCCCCTAGAGCCTTCAGAAAGGAACACAGTCCTGATTTAGCCCAGTGATACCTGGGTCAGACCTCTGACCTCCAGAAGTGTCAGATAATAACATTCCTGTTGCTCCAAGCCACCAGCTTCATGGTTAGGTTTTATCTTGATGCTCTCACAGATAAGCTCTCAAGGCAGTGATCCTCACTGTGTTACAGCCGCTGATAGAAAACAAATGTACCAAGTGACCTCTATGTGGGTTTCAGCCTTCAGAGTTGACCACCGCTGCTCTGAATGAGCAGACTGCAGCTGCCTGCCATTATGAAGGAAAGACCAGAGACTTCATACATGGCACTTCTCTCAGCTCGCTTGGCTGAAGACACCCTGGTCTGTCTTTGTGTGTCTAGATACTTTCCAATACAGCCATAGGCTTCCCACCCACTGGACCTGCTGCCTGTGCTGTCTTTCCCGTGTACCCCAGCCTGTCTGGGCCTTGTCTCATCCCTTTCCAAGGTACCATCTTCAGCATCAAGGACCCTTGGAGTCTTAGTCCAGCACACCCACACACCAGCCCAGTCTTACTCATTCTAAAGGCTTAGAGTGAGAGTTAGGATTTGGAATTTTTCTATGGGGATTCAGTACTTAATTAATACAAACCCATGTAGCCTGCATCTCTTACAGCCAGAGATTGCTCTGCAAATGCAGGCAGTGGATGGTTCATTAGCATATTAATGATCTGGGTTTTTTTTCCCCCTGATAATGACCCTAGGGAGTAGTGAGCCTTGGGTGCAGATGAAGAAGATCCAGAGAAATAATGCCAAAAGGACCCTTTCATGAGGAAGCAGAAGTGAGATGATGATTCCCTCAGTGAGTAGTTCTCAAGGGAGGTGGGAATCAGAATTACCTAGGGAATTTTTTCAACACAGCACACACATATACACATTCTACTCTACCTGAATTATTATAATTCTGTGAGGATCACTGCCTTGAGAGCTTATCTGTGAGAGCATCAAGATACAACCTAACCAATAAGCAAATAATACCTATGAACCACTCCTCTCAACACTTTTCCCAGCACACACAGACACACACACACACACACACACACTTTTAATTTGATCAATTGTTTTACATCTAGTTAGGCTTTGGCCTAAAGCCAAGACTAAGAAGCTGTTCTAGGCCACAAGACCCCTCTAATTAGCAACCTCTCCCCAACCAAGTCCTCCCTCTCACCTTCATGTGGCATTCTGCACCTAGCCTACTTTCTCATTTGATACATGGGCTTGGGCAAGAGGAGCTGGAAAGGAAAATGGATAGATTGTCACTCCTCCAAAGATTTCCAGAGATACAACCAAAGAAAATATCCCACTGACAATGAGACCTCTGAAACAGCAAGAATACCTCACTCACTTATTTAACAAATATTTGTTCTGCAAAAACACAAGAGGTATCACCCAGGGTCAGGCCAAAAGTGTGTGTAGCCCACTGCTGCAAGCTCTCTGACCACGTGCTGGAGCAGGCCATCAACAAGGGCAGCAGCCCTCAACCAACCACCCCGACCCTCACAGGACAGCCAACAAATGAGGTGGTAGATATCCTAATTACCCTGATTTGATCATTATCTCTTACATGCATGTATCAAAATATCACATATATCCCATACATATGTACAATTATAATGTATCAATAAAAACTAAAAAAACAAATGAGGTGGTAGATATCCTGAATGTGAACAAGGATGCTCTTTATTTTTGCTGCACCTGAGTACACACACTGTTAGGGCAGTGGTGGTCCTGTGTCCTTTTGAGGTGACTGTACCACGTAACTCAGTTGAGAGCAGGTGCTCCTTGCAGTGAGTAAAGGGGCAGGGTGCCTTCCAAAGAAGGAGCACGTGCTCAGTGGAATGTTCGAGCACCACAGGTGACAATGTATGGGAGCATGGTCAGGGTCATACAGAGTTCTGCTCACCAGGAGTTCAACAACAACCTGGGCAATATAATGAGACCCCAGTCTCTAAAAAAAAAAATTTTTTTAATTAGCTGGGTGTGGTGGTGTGCACCTGTTGTCCCAGCTACTCAGGAGGCTGAGGTGGGGAGATCACTTGAGTCCAGGAAGACAAGGCTGTAGTGAGCCATGATCGTGCCACTGCACTCCAACCTGGGTGGTAGGCCAAGACCTTGTCTCATTTGAAAAAAAAGAGAGAGAAGGAGAGAGTTCTGCTCATAAGGACCATGGCACTGAAAGGAACCCAAACGAATTATGAGGTGACTGAATGCTTTCTTGGATACTAAAACACACCATTGATTGTATTGTAATAATCACTGACTCATCAATTGCTATCTTCAGTTCTTTCATCATATCAAGCGTGTTTCCAATGTAAGTACAAAATGATTGGAAACCACTGGGTTAGACACAGTCCTGAATCCCATTAATTTCACTGAAGTTTTTCTGTGACCCACCTGTACCCCCTTTGGAAGGTAATAATCTCACCAAAATGCATTCATGGCTCTATAAAATTTAAGTTCTGTTTTTGTCTTTTTTTAGTTTTTATTGATACATTATAATTGTACATATGTATGTAGGGGATATATGTGATATTTTGATACATGCATACAAGAGATAATGATCAAATCAGGGTAATTAGGATATCTACCACCTCAAACATGTATTATTTCTGTATCTTGGGTGTGTGCTCTTAAACCGTCTTCTAAAATTACCCATTTCATGCTTCTAGGGATGCTCCCTTCTTCTCACAGGGAAGGAGTTTAAAATCATATCCAGGTTCACCATATTTCAACCCTGAATGGCTTCATAAAAATGTGCTATAGGCCTCCATACTTTCAGGATGAAAAATCCTCTTTAAAAGCAGATGGAAGGTCTTCCATGAGCCAGATCTATTATTTTTAGATAATAGCCTCTCTATTGTTTTCATTTGAGACCAGGCAACTAGAATGTGTTTGCACCAAGGTTTGTATGAGGAGCAGAACAAACACTTCTGGTTTCAATATCCTTTTTGACAAAGTTCAACACCGTGCTGGCTTGCTTTCTGCTACAGCTAACAACCCTGTCTTCAGGAAACAGTCTGCAAAGGACTCTTAGTTTCTGTTTTTAGGGCTGCAAAATTCCAATAAAAGTTTAAAAAGTCTTGCTTGACCCTAAAAAGTCAGGGTGAAGAATTTCCCACCTCTCACATATGTCTAGTAAACTTAACATATTTTTTATTATAAAAGCAATATAAGTTCACTGCAGAAAGTTGAAAAATAGAGATAAAGCACAAAGAAAATAAAACTCACCCATATTCTCTCTGTTATTTGTATATAAATATTTTAACATAAACAGGATCATAGTGTATCTAACTGTATCTAACCTGCTTTTTGGACGTATTAATAAGACATGAACACTTTGACAAAAATGCTTGATCAAACTTTAGTAAGGATACTCTAAGGCCTTGAGGTCTCAAACTTGACATCCGTCTTTGTCAGGCCTGTATTGCCCAGTTGTAGCAATAATCTTGCGAAGTGGGTTTAGAACAACTCCTCCAACCCTGATATCAAGTACCTCATCCTCCCTCCTTGGTGTCTGACCACCCTGGCCTGCCTTCAGCAAGAATCCCATCAAGTCTGTTTAGCCAGAACCCCCTCCCTTATCCCTGATGTTTCCTCTTAGCAATTTTCCATCCATTGACTCCCACCCTGCACCTGGGCCATAAACGCCCCAACTGGTCCATGCTGTATTCAGAGTTGAGCCCAGTTCTCTACTGAAGTCTCTCTCCCCCTATTGCAATGGTTCCAGAATAAAATCTGTTTTTAGTGCCTTAATGACTGTATGTCGGGTGTGTCCTCTTAAATTGTTTTCTAAAATTACCCATTTCATGCTTGTAGGGATGCTCTGGTTTTCTTTAATAATTTTCTCTTGTTATTTATGTAGATCTTTTTCAACATAATTTTTCATGGCAGATGGCATTCTATCCTATGGGTGCATCATGATTTATTAAACCTATCCTTCATTGTGGGCTAGTTAGTCCATTCTTAATTTTTCACTACTTCAAGCTATCCTTTTAAAAAGTATTGCATATTGAATCCTAACTTACAGCTCCACAGAGAAAAAGGATATCAAATCTAAAGTGAATCTTCAGAATGCTAATTTTGTGACTGTGTGACAATTAGCTAATGGCCACTCATTTAGGCTGATGACTTTGACAGGAGCAAAGATAGAAACAAACCAAAACTCCTTACAGAAATTTATATGACAGCCTGAAGATGGTAGTTGCTTTGGTAGGTTTGGAAAATAAGTACATCAACCAACTAAATGATAGTTCATTGAATGTAAAAGGCATTCATTCGTTCAATCTAAAATAGTAAGATGTACCATTTAGTTTAGGTTCTATTAAGAAAGGGGCGGGAACGCTGCTAAGAATCACATGATCCTGTCATTTGTAAACAGCATCCAAGGTGTTCCAAAGACCAAAGGCCCCAGGAAGAAAGTCTTGCTAAAGAGATGCTGGGCCAGAATTGGGTCTGGGTTGGAAGGGAATCAGCAAGCAGCCAAGTCTAAGGCAGTTTCACCCTAAACCCAAGGCCTGTATTTAGAACATTTCAAATAGACACTCTGTGACTTTGATGAAAATCAAGCTGGCAGCTCCAGAGAAAATCAGCCTGGGATTGCCAAATCACATGATTATTTTATTAGATTGCATGCTATCTTGAAATGGTAAAATAGGCTGGGCGCAGTGGCTCACACCTATAATCCCAGCACTTTGGGAGGCCGAGGCAGGTGGGTCACCTGAGGTCAGGAGTTCAAGACCAGCCTGGCCAGCATGGTGAAACCCCATCTCTACTAAAAATACAAAAATTAGCCGGGCTTGATGGCACACGCCTGTAATCCCAGCTGCTCAGGAGGCTGAGGCAGGAGAATCACTTGAACCCAGGAGGTGGAGGTTGCAGTGAGCCGATATAGCACCCCTGCATTCCAGTCTGGGCAACAGGTGGGACTCTGTCTCAAAAAAAAGAAAAAAAAAAAAAGAAAGAAAGAAACAAATGGTAAAATAAGCCTGTGACTTGCCACGTGGTGGTTTAGTCCCTCTCACCAACTCACAGTTCACAGCTACCTGACTTTACCAGGCTACTTAGCTCTTCTGTATACTTTCCAAAATAGTTCTCACTGCCTGAAACATCCTTGTTCATCCAGAAAATACACCTCAAGGCTCACCATCTTGGGGAGACTTTCCCTGACCTCCTCACCAAGGAAGAGCTGGAGCCGCCAGCCCCCCGAAATAGACCACTCCTTCCTTAGACCTACCACTGACTATACAACCCACTTCTGGGTAAACTAGGCCCGCTCAGACCAAAACAGCTTGACAAAGACAAAAACCTGGCACAGGGCTCTTCGCTTGGTGTTGCTGACTCCAATAGCCAGAATCTTGCCTGGTTGTCAAGCAAGATTGTCACGGTCTGGTAACAATAAGCTTACCCTGCAGGCTCTTTAATTCTGAATGTTTTGAAGATCCTGAAAGGATTTGATGAGAAAGGCAGAGCCCAAATGAGTTCTACATACATTTTACTAAAAAGCTCACTTTATCCTATTCAATGCAACCACCAGGCTAGGGAGTGTCCTCAGATCAGCTGTCAGTTTCCCTCCCTCTGAAGCAGTAAAGAGCCTTCACCTTAGGGAGTGGGCTGTTCAGGCATGGCCTTCTCTCCTCCAGCTGGCACTCACAGTTCCTCCAGTCCTCACCTGTGCATGCCACATCTTATTCTGCATTGCCAGTTCTCAGTTACTGAATCTCTGAATTGTTGAGTTTGTTTTTAAAACTGTTCTTAAAACTCAACAAAAACCTTTACTAACAAGCCATGCAAGGAGCTTGGGTCTGTTTGTACAGCCCAGCAGCTTTCTCTCTAATCTGGGCATTAGGATCTCAGACTCCCGGTGTTCTCTCTGTCTGGGAGGATCATTTCAAATTACTTTTGGCGGGAAAGGGAAGTCCCTACTTGGAGACTTGATGAGAAATGATCAATTCGTTCATTCCTCAGCACCCACAGCAACTCAACAGCTTTGCTGTTTAACCACTTTATGCCCATTCATTTGTAGGCACCAGTAATCTTAATCACACTGTGTTTTAATTAAGGATTCCCATATATACCTGTCTGGAAGTCCTTGGAAACCTGAAACCATGTCTTAATTATCTTTGAATTCACAGCATTGAGCACAGTGCCTGCAACCCTCAATAAGTATTAGTTTCAATGAATAACTGAATGAGAAAATGAGGTGGATTCAAACTGGATCTGCTTTTTGGAGAGATCTGGAGCACTGAAGGTCGAGCTGATCACACTCCCAGACTCTTGTCTCCATTGTACACCATCCTGTGTGATCACCAGTTGCTGAAAACATGCTCCTCTTTGTCCGTTGGTTTCTTTCTCTGTTCCCTTTTCTCACTGTTCCCCATTTCCATCTTCTCCCCAGCCCCCAAAAAGCACATAAGATTTAAATGAACAAATCATCTACCCACATAAAGTTTGTCGGAGATGGCATCACACCCTAGTAAAATTGCTTGGCACGGTTAAACAACTGAAGTGAGATTGTGCAGACGGTGCAGGAATGCAGGAAATAAACAAAGAAAAAAAGCAAAGGCCTCCAGGTTGAGGTCTTTGGGAGACGGCCCATCATCAGCTGCCTCTGCCACCACATTTTTTTGGACAGGATCTCCCAACATTATCCAGAGCATACATGAGGAAGCCTCCTCTGTTGGGGTGCCAGAGCAGCTTCTCACTGTCACCACCACAGTCATCTTTCTCAACAGAAAGCATCCCATGGTACACAGCAATCTGGGCTTTTACCCTGGGAGGATGGACAACTTCTATCTGTGATGAATCCTACCAAGCCCCAATTACCAGATGTATCAGTCAGAGCGGACAGGCAAGGTATGCTTTATAACAACCCCCAAATCTAAGAGGCTTAAAACAACACAGGTTTGTTTTATATCACATGTGCATTGCAGACATGCTGCCATGCACGTCTTCTCCCTCCAGGATCCAGGCTGTTGGGGTCAATCATCATCAGTGTCAGGGACAGAGGGCAAAAGGGGAAGAGTGCAGTGAATCCCACAACAGCTCTTAAAGCTTCAGACAGGAAATGACAACCATCACTTCCACTAACATTCCATTGGCCAAAGCAAGTCACTGGCCGCATCTGTATTCAAGTGGGTAAGGAAAGGTATAATAAAACTATCCCATGCCTATGTGAGCCCCAATGACCAGCACACACTGTGTCTTCCATGATGTTGGAGCTCAATTAATCTATGTTTAACAGGAGAAAAAAAAACTATTTATGTCCCCCTAGCGTAAAGGTAAAGAAAGGAAATGAAGCAGGAATATGCAAGATGAGAAGGGAAATAAGTACAGAGATGCTCTATGTAAAAGAAAGACTGACCCAGGGGAAGAGCCCAGGAGTCCTGAGTGGGTGGAGGTAGCTTGTTCCCTGTCTAGAGATAGGGAAATGAAAATGAAAAGGACAGAATTATGGAAAGAGACAAAAAGAATATGGTAGCAGCCAGAGGTAGAGCAGAGATGGTTAAAGAGGACATTTAGAAAGTCTTGTTACATGGGATATGCTATGCCTTCTTCCGGCAGCTCCCCCTGCTTTAGGAGCATGATTTATGGGTTTTGAAAGTGACAGCATGCTGAGGCTGGTCTCAGGGCAGGCACCAGGCAAGGCCAGAGTCTGCCAAGGAGGCCCAATTACTGTCTACAGGCCAGAGTCAAGTTTCATTTTGTTTTGTTTTCCTGATCTGGCTCCAGTGGATCCATCCCTTATCCTCTGCTGTGTCCCAGCCCCAACCCAGGTGCATGCACTGTGCCCTACCCCAGGGCCACACCGGGCCTGCTCAGCACTCCCCTCCTTTTGTGTCTTGGTGCTTATTGTCTTAGCCACCTCCTCAGCCCCAGCCTCAATGTCTCCTACATTTTCTTCCACCTCTTCCACCCTTGAAGTCCTCCCTGCTCATCAAGCTCCATCTCAGAGACCACCAGTTCCATTGAATCACCAAGTCGAGCTGCTCGTCCCTCTCTGTGCTACAGCCATCCCCCTCCTGGAGGAATGCCACCATACTAGAATGACTGTTGACATGCTGTCTCCCCTGAAAGACCATGAGACCCTGGAAGGCAGGGGATAATTTCTACTCAGCTTCAGTTTTTGTCCCCAGCTCCCAAGACAGGATTGCATAATGACCACAATGATGCTAATAGGAACGATCATGACAGATGAGGTTGGTGTTGGGCCCTCTTTGAAAGGCTCAGGTCCATCCTCATTTTATCTGTACAACCACTCTGGCGAGTGTGATTAGCCTCATTCTCCAGATGAAAACCTGGAGGCCCAGAGAGTAAGTGACAAGTCCCAAATCCCACAGCTCTGGAGTCAAACCAACCTCTGTGGGAACACCTTCCTCAGTACTTACCTATGTGTGTGCCATTAACACAAGTGGCCAGTTGCTTCTCCAGAGTTCTGAGCACACACAACTCAGTGGTGGGCTGGGATTTCAGCTCAAGTCTTGCTGACGCCAGAGATTATGTTTTGTGGCAGAGACCACGAGAGGCTCACCAAGCCATCATCCTTTACCCCCAGGCACTACATTTCCTTCCTGCAATGTGAGGTGTGGCCATGTGGGCTGGAGTGATGAACACCACCTATTGACCAGGCCATGGAAATTTCCCATACAGGCCCCCACGGCCTCTCCTCCTCAACCCCTGCTGCCCTGTAGATGCAAGGCTCCAATGGAGGACACTGAGCTAGATGGCTGGTGACTTCATGAAGCAGAGTTCCCTACCCTCCGCCCCTGACCAAGGGTCCCCACCTCCAACAATGCACCCCTCCACCCTGGAGATGTGAGCAAGAAATCAACATTTATTGTGTTAAGCCATTGAGGTTTGGATGCTGACTGTTAAAACCACACTAACCTAAACAGCTTTCCCTAGATTGTTGACTGTAAAGCAATATTTGGGGCAAATGGCAAGACCGCAGCAGTTGTATTCTCTTAGCAAGAACCAGGAGAGGGGCCACAGGCGTGCTTAGAAGATTTGACGTCCATTCATCCATTTGAGGCTACACACCTTGAGGGCAGGCCACAGACTAGAGTCCTAAGAATGAGCTGGACAAAGGTTGAAGGGAGGTGGAGAAAGCTGAGCCAAGCCCCTGAAAGCAAGGACAGTCGGAGAAACGTGTGACTCAGAGGGTGCCTTGGAGAGTCTTCAGGGCAGAGCAGGGCGAATTCTGTTTACGAGGACAAACTGGTGCAGCTGAGGGCAGCTCCAAAAAGGAAAGGAGTTAAGGCTCCCTCCTGCCCCGCATGCTTGCCAGGTGTGAGAGGAGCCTGCATGGCTGCCATACTGGATGGGCAGCCTGGGCCACCCAGCTGAGATCTGGCCGAGGTCCTTCCCAGGTGGCCCCCTGAAACACGAGCTGGCATTATCTCCAGGAAGCCTGCTTTCCATTGCCACTCTCTTTCTTTCTCTTTTTCTTTCTCTGCAATCTCCTCTCCCTGCCACCTCCCTCCTACACATAAGTCAATGCATTAGGGAGAGATTGACAGTCCCCTGGGGCAGAGAACACCCTAAACCTACATCCCTCTGCCCACCCACATATTGTGCCCTGAGTATTTGCATGTCAACACCCAAGATGCCCTGCCTGCCGATGCCAGAGCCATTAAACAGCCGATGCCAGCATCTGGATCTGAGAGCTGGCAGAGCTAGGTGTGCCTCCGAAGGCAATATGTTTGCTTTCAGAGCAGCTTGAATGGGGAAGGAGCTGCTTTGCTGGCAGCCTTGGTCCCCATGACAGAGCTCTTCTAGCTTGGCTCAAACTGGCATAAGGCATAATGCATGCATTAAGAAGCCATTTCTGAAGCCATCTGGCCAGGCTTCAAGGTCCCCATACTACCCACCAAGTCCTATCACCAACACAGTCTTCCAGATTCTAGTGCAGTCCAGCCCTCAACCCAAGACTGGGCTGCTAGAGAACTTTCTCAAAACCCAGATTTGGGGAGTATTTCTGCACCCCCATCCCATAATTTCAGCATGCAACAGCTTTCTCTTTGGGTTCAGAGAGGGGAAGCAACTTAACAAAAACCACACAGTTGTGATGAGACCCCAGGCTTGGTCCCAGTGTCTTGGAGTTCCCCCAGTCAGCTGAGAGGTATCAGTTCACAGTTCCAGAGAACAGCTTGAGAAAAGCCAACTTCTCTAGGTCAGGAAGGAAGGGGGAGTCATACATGGAGTGGAAATAAGCACCAGGCAAATATCTGAGAGAACAAACGTAAGGAATGATGATATATGTTAGGGAAGGGAGTGGATGGATCTAAAGAAGAAAATGCAAAAACAGCAAGCAGGACATGACCTCCATGCTCAGCATTATCCAAGGAGGGTTCCTTTTGTGCCGAGTAAATAAGACTGGTCTGCTTCTGCCCCTATAGGACTATTAAGCACCATCCCTGATTCAGGCAGTTATTTAATAGCTCAGTAATTCATTCATTCATTCAGTTAAAACTTTTGTGCTCATTGTGTGTCTGACATCATGGTGGCAACTGAAAGAATAAAGATGTGGCCTCTGTAAGGTGGTGCTTTCCTATGCTCGAGTGTCCAGCGAGCCCCTTTCCTCCCTGCCATATTCAGATGACAGCTTTCCAGGTGGCAAGGATGTGTCCCCCTGAGTTATCCGTGCTCCCTTGCCACTTTCACCCCTACCCAATAGCATAGGGGTAAAAGTGAACTCTGGAGCCACACTGCTTGTTTTCAAAAGTAGGCTCTGTTCCTTCCCAGCTTGGGGATCTTGGGCAAGCTCCTTAGCTCTGTGCCTCAGCTGCTTCATCTGCGAAGTGGAGTTAATAACAGAACTCCCCTCATAGAGTTGAGGACTGAATGAGTTAACACAAGCACCACTCTTAGCACAGTGTCGGATGCATAACAAGCATTCCATAAACATCAGCTGTTGACATCATTGAACTGGCCACACAACAAAAATCACTGCCAAACATAAGGAAGCAGTAGTCAATGGTCACAGACCTGAGCAAAGCTGAAAGTTTTGCACAGGAAACCAGACAATGAATCTGGCCTCCTTGCATGGACTCTAATCAGATAAGTACAGGAAATCAAGCATTTATACATCTACAGGCCAAGAGATAAATGGATTATTGGAATGGTGATTGGCTAGTAAGTTTGGAGAATTTCCTATTTAAGCCTACATATGAAAGACCCACTCCTGCTCTCTGGCTCTCAGCCATGGCACTGTTGTAGGAGAAAAGATAGGTGAAGTGGGATGGGAGTCCCAGACAGACTTCTGAGAGGGTGCTATGGCTCAGAACCAGGAAAGGCAGGGGTCCTAACAGGAGATCAATGTAAATCCAGCTCCTTGAGAAAGGTGATGGGTGGCCATGGCTAAAGGTTTTCACAATTTTGACACCACACTCTCCCTGGTGTCTTCTCACCTGCCCTCCCTCATCCCAACCCAGGGTGGGGTCAAAGACAGAAGGATTTGGAAGGCTGGGCCCCAAGTCCCAGGAAAACTCCTTTCTCTGTTCCCCTGGATTAGAAGATTAGGAGAACAAAGGAGCAATTCACCAGTGGATTCTGCAATTCTTCCGTATTAGACTCAGCCACCACTGAGTTCCCACCATCTCAAGTGGCTGGAGAGGGGGTTGAGACCAGCTCTCTGGCCTTAAGCAGTGTCTTTGCACAGATGCTTCTCCCAGAGATGCTGCTCTGCCTTCCTATGCATGCAGTGTGGAGAAGGGAGTGAGTGTGTAAGTGTGGACATGTGTACATGTGTATATGGGTTGCTTAGCGGAAAATCAGGGGCAAGGGAGATAGGTACTGAGTCAGAAAATCTTCCACAGATCTTCTGTTCAGAAAAATACCTGGTTCCCACCCAGTTTTCTTAAATCAAGAAGATGGAAAATGACCATGGAGGGACAGCTGAATAACTGATACAACTGAACTGACTTCCAACAGAAACACACTCTGCAAAAGAGAGACAATTGGAAACTTGTGGAAAATTGATGAAGAAAGAAACATGCCCACAATTTCATCATGGGCAGAATTTGGGTATATTTCTTCCAGTTTCTTTCCCCTTATGTTTCTTTTAAAATACATATACTTATTATCATGCAGTTCAAACTTTCCTGGGTCCTGTGATGTCTTCTTTTTCTTAACACTATACCACAAGCATTTTTCCATGTTCCACACATTTTTATCCATCTAGCTTTCTTATACAATGAAACCCAATTGGAGGATTGATTGTTTTTGTTTCTCTTTTTTAATTTTTATTATTTTATTTTTCCATAAGTTATTGGGATACAGGTAGTATTTGGTTACATGAGTAAGTTCTTTAGTGGTGATTTGTGAGATTTTGGTGCACCCATCACCGAAGCAGTGTACACTGCACCATACTTGTTGTCTTTTATCCCTCACTCCCCTCCGATTCTTCCCCTCAAGTCCCCAGAATCCATTGTATCATTCTTAGCCCTTGCATCCTCATAGCTTAGTTCCCACATATCACTGAGAACATATGATGTTTGGTTTTCCATTCCTGACTTACTTCACTTAGAATAATAGTCTCCAATCTCATCCAGGTCACTGCAAATGCTGTTAATTCATTCCTTTTTATGGATGAGTAGTATTCCATCATATATATATACCACAGTTTCTTTATCCACTCATTGTTTGATGGGCATTTGGGTTGGTTCCACGAATTTGCAATTGTGAATTGTGCTGCTATAAACATGTGTGTACAAGTATCTTTTTCTAATAATGACTTCTTTTCCTCTGGGTAGATAGCAAGTAGTGGGATTGCTGGATCAAATTGTAGTTCTATTTTTAGTACTTTAAGGAATCTGCACACTGTTTTCCACAGTGGCTGTACTAGTTTACATTCCCACCAGCAGTGTAGAAGGGTTTCCTGATCACTGCATCCACACCAACATCTACTGTTTTTTTATTTTTTTATTATGGCCATACTTGCGGGAGTAAGGTGATATTGCATTGTGGTTTTGATTTGCATTTCCCTGATCATTAGTGTTGTTGAGCATTTTTTCATATGTTTGTTGGCCATTTGTGTATCCTCTTTTGAGAATTGTCTATTCATGTCCTCAGCCCACTTTTTGATGGGATTGTTTGTTTTTTTTCTTACTGATTTGTTTGAGTTCATTGTAGATTCTAAATATTAGTCCTCTGTGAGATGTATAGATTGTGAAGGTTTTCTCTCACTCTGTGGGTTGTCTGTTTACTCTGCTGACTGTTCCTTTTGCCATGTAAAAGCTCTTTAGTTTAATTAGGTCCCAGCTATTTACCTTTGTTTTTATTGCATTTGCTTTTGGGTTCTTGGTCATGAAATTCTTGTCTAAGCCAATGTCTAGAAGGGTTTTTCCAATGTTATCTTCTAGAAGTTTTATAGTTTCAGGTCTTAGGTTTAAGTCCTTAATCAATCTTGAGTTGACTTTTGTATAAGGTGAGAGAGGAGGATCCAGTTTCATTCTCCTACACATGTCTAGCCAATTATCCCAGCACCATTTGCTGAAAAGGGTGTCCTTTCCCCACTTTATGTTTTTGTTTGCTTTATTGAAGATCAGTTGGCTGTAGTATTTGGGTTTATTTCTGGGTTCTCTATTCTGTTCCATTGGTCTATGTGTTTATTTTTATACAAGTACCACGCTGTTTTGGTGACTACGGCCTCATAGTAGGGTTTGAAATCAGGTAGTGTAATGCCTCCAGATTTGTCCTTTTTGCTTAGTCTTGCTTTGGCTATGCAGGCTCTTTTTTGGTTCCATATGAACTTTAGAATTGTTTTTTCTAAGTCTTGAAGAATGATGGTGGTATTTTTATGGGGATTATGTTGAACTTGTAGATTGCTTTTGGTAGTATGGTCATTTTCACAATATTGATTCTACCCATCCATGAGCATGAGGTGTGTTTCCATTTGTTCATGTTGTCTGTGATTTCTTTCAGCAGTGTTTTGTAGTTTTCCTTGTAGAGGGCTTTCTACTCCTTGGTTAGGTATATTCCTAAGTTTTTTTTTTTTTTTTGTGGCTATTGTAAAAGGGGTTGAGTTCTTGATTTGATTCTCCAGTTGGTCGCTATTGGTGTATAGAAAAGGTACTGATTTGTGTACATTAATCTTGTATCCAGAAACTTTGCTGAATTCTTTTATCAGTTCTAGGACTCTGGAGGAGTCCTTAGGGTTTTCAAGGTAAACGATCATATCTCCACCAAACAGTGACAGTTTGAATTCCTCTTTGTAGATTTGGATGTCCTTTATTTCTTTCCCTTGTCTGATTGCTCTGGCTAGGAGTTCCAGAACTATATTGAAGAGGAATGGTGAGAGTGGGCATCCTTGTCTTATTCTCAGAGGGAATGTTTTCAACTTTTCTCCGTTCAGTATTTTGTTGGCTGTGGGTTTGTCATAGATGGCTTTTATTACATTAAGATATGTCCCTTGTATGCCGATTTTGCTGAGGGTTTTAATCATAAAGGGATGCTGGATTTTGTTGAATGCTTTTACTGCATCTATTGAGATGATCATGTGATTTTTGTTTTTAATTCTGTTTATATGGTGTAGCACATTTATTGACTTGCACATGTTAAAACATCCCTGCATCCCTGGTATGAAACCCAATTGATCATGGTGGAGTATCTTTTTGATATGTTGTTGGATTCAGTTAGCTAGTATGTTGTTAAGGATTTTAGTATCTATGTTCATTAAGGATATCAGTCTGTAGATTTTTTTGGTTGTGTCCTTTCCTGGTTTTGGTATTAGGGTGATGTTGGCTTCATAGAATGAATTAGGGAGGGTTTCTTCTTCTCTGGCTTCATAGAATGAATTAGGGAGGGTTTCTTCTTCTCTATCTTGTAGAATGGTGTCAAAAGGATTGGTACCAATTCTTCTTTGAATGTCTGATAGAATTCTGCTGTGAATCCATCTGGTCCTGGAATTTTTTTATTGCTGTTGGAAATTTTTTAGTTACTGTTTCAATCTCACTGCTTGTTATTGGTCTGTTCAGGGTATCTAATTCTTCCTGATTTAAGCTAGGAGGGTTGTATTTTCCATAAATTTATCCATCTCTTCTAGGTTTTCTAGTTTATATGCATAAAGGTATTCATAGTAGCCTGAATGATCTTTTTTATTTCAGTGGTGTCAGTTGTAATATCTTCTGTTTCATTTCTTAGTGAGGTTATTTGGGTTTTCTCTCTTCTTTACTTGCTTAATCTTGGTAATGGTCTATCAATTTTATTTACCTTTTCAAATAACCAGCTTTTTGTTTCATTTGTCTTTTTTAATTTTTTTATTTCAATTTCATTTAGTTCTGCTCTGATCTTGGTTATTTCCTTTCTTCTTCTCGGTTTGGGTTTGGTTTGTTTTTGTTTCTCTAGTTCCTTGAGGTGTGACCTTAGATTGTCTGTTTGTGCTCTTTCAGACTTTTTGATGTAGACGTTTGGGGCTATGAACTTTCCTTTTAGAACTGCCTTAGCTGTATCCCAGAGGTTTTGATAGGTTGTGTGATTATTGTCATTCAGCTCAAATAATTTTTTTAATTTCCACTATGATTTCATTTTTGACCCAGTGATCTTTCAGGAGCAGGTTATATAATTTCCATGTATTTGCATGGTTTTGAAGGTTCCTTTTGAAATTGGTTTCCAGTTTCATTCCGCTGTGGTCTGAGAGAGTGTTTGATATAATTTCAACTTTCTTAAATTTATTGAGGCTCGTTTTATGGCCTATCACATGGTCCATCTTGGGGAAAGTTCCATGCGCTGTTGCATAGCATGTGTATGCTGTGGTTGTTGGATGAAATGTTCTGTATATATCTGTTAAGCCCATTTGTTCTAAGGTATACTTTAAATCCATTGTTTCTTTTTTGACTTTCTGTCTTGATGACCTGTCTAGTGCTGTCAGTGGAGTATTGAAGTCCCCCACTATTATTGTGTTGCCATCTATCTCATTTCTTAGGTCTATTAGTAATTGTTTTATAAATTTGGGAGCTCCAGTGTTAGATGCATATATGTTTACAATCATGATATTTTCCTATTGGACTAGGCCTTTTACCATTATATACTGTCCCTCTTTGTCTCTTTTAACTGCTGTTGCTTTAAAGTTTGCTTTGTCTGATGTAAGAATAGCCACTCCTGCTTGCTTTTAGCGTCCATTTGCATGAAATGCCTTTTTCCACCCCTTTACTTTATGTGAGTCCTTATGTGTTGGGTGAGTCTCCCGAAGGCAGCAGATAGTTGGTTGGAGAGTTTTTATCCATTCTGCAGTTCTGTATCTTTTAAGTTGAGCATTTAGGCCATTTACATTCAATGTTAGTATTGAAATGTGAGGTACCATTGCATTCCCCATGCTCTTTGTTGCCTGTGTACTTTATTTTTTTGTTTTTTGTTTTTGCTTTTTAACTTGTGTTTTTGTTCTATAGGTCCTGTGTGATCTATGCTTTAAAGAGGTTCTGTTCTGAGGTGTTTCCAAGATTTGTTTCAAGATTTGGAGCTCCTTTTAACAGTTCTTGTAGTGGTGGTTTGGTAATGGCAAATTCTCTCAGCATTTGTTTGTCTGAAAATGACTGTATCTTTCCTTCACATATGATGCTTAATTTCACTGGATACAAAATTATTGGCTGATAATTGCTTTCTTTGAGGAAGCTGAAGATAGGGCCCCAATCCCTTCTAGCTTGTAGGGTTTCTGCTGAGAAATCTGCTGTTAATCTCATAGGTTTTCCTTTATAGGTTACCTGGTACTTCTGTCTCACAGCTCTTAAGTTTCTTTCCTTCAGCTTAACTTTGGATAACCTGATGACAATGTGCCTAGGCGAAGATCTTTTTGTGATGAATTTCCCAGGTGTTCTTTGTGCTTCTTGTATTTGCACGTCTAGGTCTCTGGCAAGGCTGGGGAAGTTTTCCTCTATTATTCCCCCAGATATGTTTACCAAGCTTTTAGAATTGTCTTCTTCCTCAGGAACACCGATAATTCTTAGAGTTGCTCGTTTAACATAATCCCAGACTTCTTGGAGGTTTTGTTTGTATTTTCTTATTCTTTTTCCTTTGTCTTTGTTGGATTGGGTTAATTTGAGACCTTATCTTTGAGCTCTGAATTTCTTTCTTCTACTTGTTCAACTGTATTGCTGAGACTTTCCAGAGCATTTCACATTTCTGAAAGTGTGTCCAAAGTTACCTGGATTTTTTGTTGTTTTTTCTTTAAGCTATATCTATTTCTTTGAATATTTCTCCCTTCACTTCTTCTATCATTTTTTGGATTTCCTTGCATTGGATTTCCTTGCATTGGGCTTTGCCTTTCTCTGGTCCCTCCCTGATTGGCTTAATGACTAACCTCCTAAATTCTTTTTCAGGTAAATCAAGGGTTTCTTATTGGTTTGGAACCATTGCTGGTGAACTAGTGTGATTTTGGGGGGGTGTTGACGAGCCTTGTTTTGTCATATTACCAGGGTTGGTTTTCTGGTTCCTTCACATTTAGGTAGGTCCTGTCAGAAGGAACATCTAGAGATAAAGGCTACTGTTCAGATTTTTTTGTCTCACAGCATGTTCCCTTTATGTAGTACTCTCCCCCTTTCCCTGTGGATGTGGCTTCCTGTGAGCCAAACTGCCGTGATTGTCTCTCTCCAGAGTCTAGCCACCCAGCAAATCTACCTGACTCTGGGCTGGTACTGGGGGTTGTCTGCACAGAGCCCTGTGATGTGAACCATCTATGGGTCTCTCAGCTGTGTAGATACCAGCACCTGTTCCAGTGGAGGTGGCAGGAGGGTGCAATAGACTCCGTGAGGGTCCTTAGCTTTGGTGGTTTAATGCTGTATTTTTGTGCTAGTTGGCCTCCTGCCAGGAGGTGGCGCTTTCCAGAAAGCATCAGCTGTAGTAGTGTGGAGAGGGAACAGCGGCAGATGGGGCCCTAGAACTCCCAATATTGTATGCGCTTTGTCTTCCACTACCAGGGTGGGTAGGGAAGGACCATCAGGTGGGGGCAGGGCCAGGCGTGTCTGAGCACAGACTCTCCTTGGGTAGGTCTTGCTGTGGCTGCTATGGGACATGGGGGTGAAATTCCCAGGTCACTGGAGTTGTGTACCTAGGAGGATTATGGCTGCCTCTGCTGAGTCATGCAGGTTGTCAGGGAAGTGGGGGAAAGCCAGCAGTCACAGGCCTCACCCAGCTCCCACGCAAACCAAAGGGCTGGTCTCACTCTCACCGTGCCCCCCACAATAGCCCTGAGTCTGTTTCCAGGCAGAGGGCGAGATTGGGCTTGAAAACTTGCCCGAGGCTTTCCACCTCCCAGAGTATTTGGGGTGTCTCCTGGGTCCTGTGGGAGCAGTCTGCTTCCTTCAGAGGGTCTGTGGGTCCTCTCAGGACTGCTGGTTTGTTCTTGCAGTCAATCTGAAGCTAAAATTCACAATACAAGCCTCCACGTGGTGCTCTGTCCAGAGCTGCAATCTAGTCCTGCCTCCCATCTACCATGATCCCAAAATCCTCGGAGGATTGATTGTTGAAGGTGTCCAACATGATTCACAGCAGAGAAGGAAAGACCAAAGTCACCATATTGAAGCTCATCCAAGGCTACTTCTAAATACACTATGGGAAGCACAATCTTTTCGGTTGCTTTATGATCCAAATGAAATAAGAGAAAAGCAATGAAAACTGAAGGAAAATTTTGCTGACTATAAAGATAATTGTACCCTAACATGGATTAGGAGTTCCTTAGATCTTTCTGTCCGGGGTGAATTGTGGTCAGTTCTTCCTAGATGCCAAGAGATGCACCAAATATGGTTCCTCTTACCAAAAGGGTTTAGTATTTGATAATTCTTAATGGATCACTTTCTTCAATTTCTGCTTTCCTCTATAAAGCAAATTGACACACATTCCCATTTTCTAGAACCACAGCAGCCTCCCAAGTTAAACATAAACAGCCTTCTTCTTCACTTTCTCCAGGCTGGGCATGCTCATTAGTGGCATTGAGGAGATCCTAAAAAATATTCCTTTACAATGAATTGGGGGTTCATAGTAAAATGGAACTTTTAACAAGTACTGGTAGATCCTGTGATCCTGTTTCTGATAGTACTTAGTGTCTACCTTCCTATTTTCTAAAAAGCAATGCCAGGATGGGTCTTTAATACAATCTCTAAAGCAGAAGTATGTTGGCTAAACAAGGAAAAGGTGGTTCTTAGATGGGCAGGTATTGCGTTATTGAGGGAATGACCTTTGGAGAAGTAAAGACCCTTGTGTGAGCAGAAGTCTATGTGGAGCAGAGAAGCTTCCAACCTGAGTGTGGAGAGTTAACACATCCTGCCACTCAACTCCCCTCCTCTGGTCCATGGGGCAGGGAAGAAGTCATTCAGACCAAGAGGGAGAGGAATCCACCCTTCCTCACTCTCTAGCTCCCATAGAGACATCAGCTGCACTCAGCTGAGTCTAAAAAGACTAAAGACCCAGCTCTATGGGGTCTTCAAGGAGCAACCCACCAATCACTTTGACACAGTCTTGTCATGGCCCACAGAAGTTAGGAAAGAATAAAGATGTGAGTGGACCAGAAAGGCAAAAGTTAGTGGTCATAATTGGAAGGAAAAGAGGTTCTCCTCTTTGAGGTCATTTGCCTGAAGTGCTGGGAGGAAAATGGAAAACTTTTTCATGGCAATTATATTTGAGGAATCAACCGATGCCATTACTAACTGGTGCCCTTCCTGTACCTTCTTTGGAGAGCCCTTCCTAGCTGCTTCAGCTTCCAGCATCTGAGTTCTCAGGCTCCCCACCCAACTGTCCATAGAGGAGTATCTTCCTAACTAGGAATGAACAGGTGATGGGGAAGGGGTGAAGAAGGATAGAATCATTATAACGAAGTCTCTGGACAAAATTAAAGTGGAAAACCAATGTCATCTCTAGCTCACAGGACAACTAAGGCCCCAATTTGGAAAGATACATGATTCCAAGTCCTAAGTGGAGATGAGATTACGAAGTGAGACATGGATGCTAGGGGGAGAAGGAGTTGATGATTCTTACAATTAATTCTTTAAAAGCTATAACATATCAACAATTGGAAAAGGGAGCTAAAATGTCATCTTGAAAACCCCATTTTGCAAGTGAAGACACCCAGGTTCAGTTCACCCAGATGGCCTGCCAGAAGTAACATGGCAAGTCAGGGCCAGAGCCAGAGCTGTGGCCACAGGATTCTGAATCCAGATCCAGGGTTCTTTGCATTGTTCCATGTTCATATTCACTCCACATGTAAGCCCCTGCTAAGCCTCACTGGGACATTCCCCTCTCCCACAAACATCCCGCCTTGAGTGTGGATTATTTCTCATCAAGGCTATGCTTGATGCTATTGTACAGCCTGAGGTCATGCAATAGGGAGAGAAGCATGCACAGGGCAGGGAGTCAACCACAGAGGACTCTAGGGAAAGTCTTAGAGGAAGGGTGAATGGCTGAGAAATAGAGAAGGAGCAAAGACCTCAAAACATTCAGAGTGGAAAAGTTGAAAAGCTTACAGTGTTACTGGAAGAAAAGCTAAGAAAGATTCTGCTTTAGGCAGAGCTATAAAATGTAAACATTTGTGTTCTGTGCCCCAACCCTCCTTTTCTTTGCCTTTTCCTCTCTCTAACATTGAGTTTCTCTTCTTCAGGAGCAAAGTTTTCTGCCAAGAAGAATCTAATGAGCACCTCTGAAAATTCTATCAGGCAGATTACATAGGATGTCAGAACTAGAAGGGACCAGGACATAACATTGCCAACCCAGCCTGGAAAAATTTTTTTAATCTAGACGCTCAATAATAGGGATCATCATCACCTTTTGTTGAAGGCCACGAATGTAAATCTAAACCTTTAATAGCCTGCCTGGCATATTGCAAGCCCTCAGCAAAAAGGAATGAAACTATGGAGTTTCTCCCAGACTCTGCATCCCACCTCAGGAGAGTGTGGCCTCAGTAGGTATTTGCAGGGCGTGATCAAATGCTATTGCTTGCATATGTCCTTTCAGGGTACTCTGCCACAGGTTTCACCCGGGGGCTCCCCTCTGGTCACCCCAGGTATTTGGAACCGTATTCCTTCCAAGAGGTCATTATCCCTTCTCTACTTGAACTCAGGAGAAGTGGAGATGAGACAACACCTCCCCCTCCTTTTCCTTGGCCATCACAAGACTCACACACCAAGTTGCAGTTATATGCAAATTTCCTTGTTGAAGAATTAGGAAAAACTGGCCAGACACCGTGGCTCACGCCTGTAATCCCAGCACTTTGGGAGGCCAAGACGGGCAGATTATCTGAGCTCAGGAGTTCGAGACCAGCCTGGCTAACATGGTGAAACTCCATTTTTACTAAAAATACAAAAAATTAGTCGGGAGAGGTGGTGCACGCCTGTAATCCCAGCTACTTGGGAGGCTGAGGCAGTAGAATCACTTGAATCTGGGAGGCAGAGATTGCAGTGAGCCAAGATCGCACCATTGCACTCCAGCTTGGGCAACAAGAGCAAAACTCCGTCTCAAAACACAAACAAACAAAAAAAAGAATTAGGGAAAACTGAAAAGAATGATCATTTAGTCTGGACAAACTTCTGGTGAACTGTGAATAAAAACTCTCTCTCTCAGCTCCCAAGGGAAGGCATCTAAGGCCTAGGCTTTCTCAAGGAACACATCATCTGTGCAGGGCTGCCATATTGCACAACTCAGGGAAGCGCCATTCACATAACAGTCTGTGTGAAGGCTCCCCTGGCCCTGTGTGGGGCTTGACCTACCCATAGCTATCAAGGCAGTCTTGCGTCACTCCTAAGTTGACCCACTTGCACTCAGATCATTCACACGCCCTGAAGTTCCTGCTTCTTTAAGTCTCTGGGTCCTAAATACCACTCTCCTTCAGGAATCCTCTTCTCCTTTCCACACAAAAAGGTCTGTGTTCCCTAAATCATTCCTATGTTTTACTGACTCATGTAGACCTATCCGTGCAGCTATGTTGAGCATTGGTGTGTTGGCCTCTCTCAGTCTCAAAAGTACCAGTAGAAGAATGGCCTCCAGTCCCATAAGCAAGAGTCAATGTGGATCCTCTCATTCTCCTATCAGTGGTAGCTGTCCCAAAGACAAATGTTAAATGGGAGCGGGAGTGAAAAGGGTGCAGCGTGTACCACAATGGGAAAAAGCTCTGGCCCCACCCTTATGGTCAATGGGTATCCATTACTGTATGACAAGCATTTGGTTTCCTTGGGGCTCTCTTTTATAGACAGTCATCCCCACCAAAGGGCTACTCTGGGGTTTACTTGTTAACTCCATCTAACCAAAAGACTTTGATAATAACCTGCATGATCCCCAGATAGCAGAGCTCCTCCAAGTACATGCGTCTCAAGAGGGGCCATATTGTTGGGAAATTGGATCTTGGGGGATAAAAAAAAAATCTTAGCTATCGTGATGATTCATAGTCTCTAAAAGGTCACACTATATTAACAGATATAGAGTATATAGGGGAGAAGGGGAAATGATAAGGGAATCAATGACTTAAAAGACTCCTTAGGGGAGTGATAATTTTAAAAAGTTGAGAAACACTGCTCTAATAGAGGAGGGAAACAGGGATAGAGGGAAGTTGTCATTTTTAGTGCTATCATAGTTAGTGTTATTATTGATTACCACCATCGTTATTATCATAATTAGAAACATTTCATACCCATGCCCTAAGTTAATCCTGCTGACCATCTGAAGGTGTAGATACTATTATTCTCATTTAAGATGTTGAAACTGAGTTTTAGAGGTATTGTCCAAGGTCACACAGCTAGTAGTTGGCAAAGACATGATTTCAACCCAATTCTGTCCGACTCCAAAGCTCATGGTCTCAGCCATCCTAGAATATTGACTGTAAAAGGGAGAGTAGCAACAGAACAGCACATCCCTAAATCCTACCATCTACTCTACCAATCTAAGTCTAGCTTTCAGACCATGGAAAGCAGTCGGGTTGTAAGAAAGGAGACAGTCATATCCTGGAAAAACTCTAGGTTGGGTTGAGCATGGGGTGGAAGGAAGATGATCCTGCTCTTTCCTGAGTGTGCCCCTTCTTCCTGCCCTAGGAAGCACCAGCCTTTGGGACCAGGAGCCTGGAACCCAGGGCAGAGAGAGAAATAAGAAGTCCCTGGTGTGTTTTCAGCTACTGCTGCCGAAACCCCAGCTGGGGCTGCAGCCAAGCCCAAGAGATGAGATGACCTCTATACAAACAAAACTTCCCCAGGCAGTGCTTCTGCAATTATAAACATGGACTCACCACGTGATGGGTTCAACCAGTTCACATAAACACCAAAGAGAGAAAAAAAAAAAATCCAAGGGAAAAAGTACGCTTTAAAGGGACTGAGCAGGGTATGTAGTTTTGTGACTCAAAGAGGGGAAGATCAGGAGCCAAAGGGCCCTGAGTCTAGTGGGCCTGATATCAAGTCACAGGGGCTCTTCCAAACCTGTACACAGGAAGCCTGCACCCCTTCCCAGTGTGGGAATCCTTTGTCAGGGGCAGCAGATCCATGTATGGTTGGCTTTTCCTCTGTATCTGAAGCACATTGTGCTGAACATCCATGAAAAACACAAAGGGTAGTCCTGAAGCAGGAGGGCCAGCTGTTAAATATCAGAAGGACTGCCCCACTGCCAGGTGCTTTCGCAAAGGAAGGGTACCGCAAGAGGTTCATTTAAGCTTGGGAACTATTTAAGCTGAACTATTTGGATGTGGGGAATGGATGGGGTGAACTCTGAAGAAACAGCACACCCTTCCTCTCTGCCCCTACGTCCCCCACCCTGTTGCCTGTGCTGGCAAAGAGGACGTTTTCCTCTGCAGCCCTGTGTTATCTGTGGGAATGCTAGCAGAGTCTCTGTTGTTTTTGCAAATAATCCACACCACTCCTGCGAGAAGGGCCAGCTCTGCAGAGCATTTGCAAAGACCATGCTCTCCTGGACCGGAAGAGCCTTGACAGCACCATGACCCAAAATAAAGTGGCCTAGAAGAAGGTTAGCCACTGGACCTGGTGGGCTGTGGGGATGGGATGCTCGGTGCTGCTGTTATGGTCTCCCCAGTGTTTCCAGAAGAAACCACAGAGCTCTGAGAAGCCACAGCAGCCAGGGCAGTCAGACGTCTCCAATTCTGAACTGAAACAAGAGGACTGTGGATGCTGCTTGCAACCCCACCCCTGCATTGGGATTCATTCTGCAGGCGCAGCCTCCTGGCGGCTCAGCAGGGCACCAGAGAGGCCCACCTCACCTGCTTGGCTGCAAAAATAGCACTGAAACCCAGTCCAGCACAGGAATGGGAAATGGACAAGGGGAAAGACACATGAGCAGGCATAGCCTGCGGGAGACTGGAAGAAACTGGGAGGCAGTATAAAGGGGGAATAAGGACGGGTGGATTGCAATGTATCAACACTAGCAAACCGTACCTACATTGTTGCACCCATTTACTTTCATAATATCACACGCAGGCACTCAGGCCCCTCCACATGTGCCGAACCAGTAATAGGTAAGTCCTGTAACAACAGAAGATATTGGAGGCAACCCAGGCCAGTAGACTCCTAACTCTACCACGTATCTGTGTAACTTTGGGCGAGTAACATGACTCCTCTGTATGTCAGTTTTTAAATGGGATAAACAATAGTACATATCTCATAGACAAACTATGAGAATTAAATGAGTTAATATTTGCGAAGCACTTAGGACAGTGCCTGGCACACATCAAGCATTATTAGTATTTGTTCAACAAACATAGGCTCAAATGAACTTACCTCATATTTAATGTCAAAAAGCCCCTCACCCTATTCTTTTATTCATTCATTTATTTACTTAATAAATATTTATTGGATGCCTTCTATATGTCAAGCTCTATGTTAGCACTGCAGCCGTAAAAATGAGCAAAAACTACCATGGTCTGCTCACACTTGGGGCTGAGAGTCTAAATGGTATCTTTTTTGATTAGCTTTTTCTCCAAGTAGCTATGACCTCTGTCCAGTGAAACCAGCCCTACCTAAATCAAATCTTGCCTAGGGGCACACACTCCTGAATGCAGGATCTGAAAAAGAAAGCTGCTTGTAGTTGTACAGCTGTCCCAATCTTGGCATACAGAAGCAAAAACTGCCGCAGTCACTGAATGAGCCCCAGTGTCAGAACGCAGGTGGTGTAAACCCTGGCTTAGTTGAAGTGGCCGGTTCTGCAGATTGCCTGGCTCAGACCCCATTCCAGTTCTAGTAGGCTTTCCTCTACTGCAGAGGCTAGAAACCCAAAAACTACATTGCTAAGATGCCCAACCAGTTAAACTTTTGGATGTGATCTGAGACCTATTAACAAGATACATTCCTTCAAGACTCTGATTTGGAATCAAGCTATGAGGGAAGAGAGGACCCACGTGGGATGTCCATTTCACTGGAGCTGACCGGAGTGCAGGCAGGTACATGGAGCAGCCGCTGTGGCTCTGGCTTCCTGATTCAACAGGCATCTTCCTGATCATGGCAGAGGCAGTGACTCCTTTAGGGGCCCAATCCTGTAGTGTGGTTTTGGGAGTCATCCTGGAAGCTTAGCCTAGACTCTTTTTCTTCAGCCCTCCCAGTTGGTCCGTGATACATCTATACCTCTTTATACATCTCCTTCATCCTATACTAGCTGGACTGGATTCCACTGTCTGCAACTAGAAGAAGTGGAAGAACCCCCCAAGAAGAGCTGATCACCCTTAACAATGTAATTATTGTTAAACAAAGGCCTAAACCTAATCAAAAAACCAGATCCCCTATGGTGCTAGGAAGGAGGAGTCACCAGTTTCTTTACTATCTGGCCAGAACCAACAGCACAACCAGCTAGGAGATTCAACAAATCCCTGCTTGACATTTTTCTTAACAGTAAGCTTCTCCTGTTTACCAGGTGGAGAAAAAGTGTGGAAAGTTTTGGCTACATAGCCCTTGATGAAGTATTATAGATTCTGCCCCACTTTAGCCCTCAGGCATGAAGGACTGCTGGTCTCTCTCTCAAACACAAATGTATCCCCCACCCCAAGGCATTTGCCCTTACTGTGTCCTGCCTGCTGGGAATTGACTTTCTATCACATTTCCCTGTCATATAATATCCTCTTTGTGGCACTTACCAGTTATTTTATTGGTTTATTTGCTTATATGTTTATTATCTGTTTTCCCCCATTAAAACATAAGCTTTGGGATATCAGGAGCTCTGATTTGTTCACCCCGAATCCTTAGACTATAGAACATGCCTGGTAAATAGTAGGGGCTCAAAACAAATGTGTTGACTGACTAACTTGTTCACTGACTCTAATTCCTCAAACCTATTTCCTAAGGTCAGAGGCTTTTGAGTCAACCAAAAAGACCCAGCAGGCAGACAGGTTATGAATTAATCCCTAGTACATCTTGAGAACAGAAGGGGCTTATGGGTTAAAACATAAAGGTCAATGGCAGGGAAAGCCTTCTCCCCTGAGAAATTAATAAGTTAAATCAGACGGAAATAAATTTAATCTTCTCCTTCTCCCCTTATTATCCTAATTGGTTTAATTTTGTGGCAACTTCTCAGCATTCTCACAATGGAAAGCAACTCATGTTGCGTTGGTAGCCCAGAAAGTAATTACCCCGTGGTTTTATTCTAATTCACTAACAGACACTTTGGCTTTAAAGGCCGCTGAGAGTGAAGTAAATAATGAAGATTAGAAAATACTTTACCTTCCCTTATGCTTTTTCAAAATTTTGAACCATGATTTGAAATAATCAGGTATGACAATTATATGTTTTTTGAAATTAAAGTACATGATTTAGAGTACAATGTAAAATATAAATAGATGCAAACACTGAAAAACAACTGGGCATCTCAGTTGCTGACCTTAACTGGTTTTGAGTATTGCTGAATATAGGCTTGGTTTTATTCCAGAACTGAGTAAATTAAACGCTTTCTGATTATCCTAACCTGGACATAAAGTCTCCCCAGGGCTTATCCCAAGTCTGGTGTGCTTTGTATCTTTGTAGCAGTTTTTGTTTAGCAAAAAAAAAAAAAAAAGAAGAAGAAAAGTTCAAGGAGCGTCTATCCAACTTTGGTCTCTAACAAGAGAGACCTTGAATGTCCTACTTGCAATTTATCAGAGAAAAGTCTAAGTTGTCCTCTCAAGTTCCCAGCTCTCTTCCTGTTTCCTCCCCATCTTGCTGCCCACCAAGAAGAAAGTAAAAAAAATCAGACAAAAGTTTTCCACCTTCTTGAGATTTTCAACCCAACACAATCACTTCAGGTTTCCCAGGACATCCCTGCCATGGACACAGACTATCTTGTAGAAAGAAAAGAAAAGAGAAAAAAAGAAAAGAAAAGAGAGAGAAGAAAGGGAAGGGAAAGAAAAGGAAGGGAAGGAAAGGGAGAAAGAGAGAGAGAGAAAGAAAAGAAAGAAGAAAGAAAAAGAAAGAAAAGAAAGAAAGAGAAGGAAAGAGACAGAGAGAGAGAGAAAGGGAGGGAGGAAGGAAAGGAGGGAAGGGGTGGGGGGGAGGGAGGGAACCAGTCATTGTTCCTTTGCCCCATACTTATCTTAACAGGCAAGAGCACTACTTAAAAAGGGAAGGATGCTATTTTCAAAAGATGTGCAAAGTGATTTCTCTACCATGGGCATCACCCACATTGCACCCAAATTTATATGCAAGATCCTTTGAAAGTCCTGAACAAAGTGGCAAAACAGAGACAAGCACAATCACAGTCAGAAGGAATGGAAGGTCCCGGGAAGAGGCCCCAGATGCCTCAGGCTCCCTGCCCACCCCAGCCCCCCTTCCTTCTCAATTTGGTGACATGAATCTCTGGTGTAGGAGCCTCTCCTCAAGTTTAATCTGCCACTTGTCAAGCAGTGGGTCAAATTCTCCCAGCTGTCACCATGAGTCTGCTCATCCAAACAGATGTTGACACTTTGGTTTACAAAGAAGGAAGCTAGAGAAGTGGAGGAGTGGGGTCTGGAAACATGGGAGGGAATGAGATGTGGCTGTCAGAGGACTTAGCAGGCCTGTTAATTCCATGGCATCCTTATTTTCTAAGAGTTTTTCGCTCTGTCTGCATAGCCTAACTCCTTCTACTGCGTCTCCATCTCGGCCCCTTTCTTCCTTCTTGGTGGTTCCTCATGATTGGAAACCTCCAAGGATCATTTAATGTGGTGGCTCACAGATTACAGATAACAGTAAAATGTCTCCCAAAGTTTGAGTCCTACATGGGAATGCCAACTCATTTTCCAAATGCTCACTCAGGGGAGCTTCTGGGGCAAGCAATGGAGCCCCCAACTCAAGCTGAATTCAACAATAAGAAGACAAATCTTCTCATGTCACTGGAAGAGCAAAGGTAGAGTGACTCTATACAATGTCACATTAGCAGTCTAGTGACATTCTCTAGGCCCCAGAATGTCACCTTCCCCTCTCTCCACACTGCTATCCACAGCCCCTGTATGGTCCCTCCTGGCTACAAAAGGCTACCAGGAGCAATGCAAACTAAAAGCTTTCACATTCAACAAGAGAAAGCAGAGGAACTTCTGCCCCAAGCATGCACTATAAATCCTTCCACCATCTAATCTGAGTGGGCTAATTTGGGTCACTTACATGAACAATAGCTGTCACCAGCTTAAACCAGTAGTTCTCAAACTTTTCTGACATGGAACCATTTTAAAACTCTAAAAATTATTGAGGACTCCAGAGAGCTTTTTTTTTGGGTGAGTTACATCTATAGATATGTGTTATATTAGGAATTAATACTGGGAATTTTAAAAGATATTTATTTATCAATTCATTTAAAAATAACAATAACAACTGCATTACATGTTAACATCAATAACATATTTGTTATTTTTTTGAAACTATGGCCTTTAAGAATTCAGTGAGAAGTGTAGCATTGTTCCACATCTTTGCAAATCCCTTTTATTTCCAGTTTAATAGAAGACAGCTGGCCTCTCCTATCTGCCTCTGCATTCAATCTGTTGCAATATCACATGACAGCTCGCCTCTGGAAAACTTCAGTGTATACTTGTGAGAGAATGAAAGTGAAAAAGGCAAATAATGGCTTAGTATAAAAATAGTTCTGACCTCCCAGACCCCCTGAAAGGGTCTTATGGCCACGGTCTGAGGACCGCTGGCTTAGCCTCACCAGGCCTGCCCTCCGAATCAGGGGGTGGGGTGGACGCCTGAACAAAACAGCTCCTGTTGGAGGTGGAAAGGGGCGCTGAGTTTCAGTAGCAACAAGCAGTGTCCCTTCACTGTATGAAATACACACAAACAGACAACATCTGCCATCTACCATCTCCAACATTTCATTTAAAAAGAGCATTTTGTGGAGTTTTTGTTTGTTTGTTTGTTTGTTTGTTTGAGACAGAGTCTCGCTCTGCTGCCCAGGCTGGAGTGCAGTGGCACGATCTCAGCTCACTGCAAGCTCTGCCTCCTGGGTTCACGCTATTCTCCTGCCTCAGCCTCCTGAGTAGCTGGGACTACAGGTGCCCGCCACCACACCAGGCTAATTTTTTGTATTTTTAGTAGAGACAGGGTTTACTGTGTTAGCCAGGATGGTCTCGATCTCCTGACCTCGTGATCTGCCTGCCTCAGCATCTCAAAGTGCTGGGATTACAGGCATGAGCCACCGCACCCGGCCTAAAAGGAGCACTTTGATATCAAAGACATAGGATGAACCCAATTTCATGATAAAGGGTGGGGGTTTTGATTGAATGCCTATAGTTTTATGAAAAACTTACTACACAGGCCGGGCATGGTGGCTTATGCCTGTAATCCCAGAACCTTGGGAGGCCGAGATGGGCGGATCACCTGAGCTCAGGAGTTTGAGACCAGCCTGGCCAACATGGTGAAACCCTGTCTCTATTAAAAACACAAAATTAGCTGGGTGTGGTGGCACATGCCTGTAATCCCAGCTGCTCGGGAAGCTCAGGCAGGGGAATCACTTGAACCCAGGAGACAGGTTGCAGTAAGCTGAGATTGCGCCACTGCACTCCCGCCTGGGTGACAAAAGCAAACTCCATCTGAATGAATGAACGAATAAAGCATTTTGATATCAAAGACATAGGACGAACACAATTTCATGATAAAGAGTGGGGGTTTTGATTGAATGCCCATAGTTTTATGAAAAACTTACTACACTGATTGGAAATGGAAAGAGAGGAAGAAGACAGTGGATGCATGGTCTCTGGCTTGAGAAGAGGTGAGAAAAGGTGACAGAGGAGGGCATTTACTCAAACAAAGAAACAGAGAGGAGCAAGTTTGGGGTAGAAACTTGAATTCCACTTTGGACAGGTTGAGCTTGACCAGGACCTGGAAGACAGCCAGGTCAGACAACTGAGTATGGAGATCTGGGGCTCAGACAGCTCCAAAATTCTAAAATTTGGGCTACATAGAAATGCATAAAGAAGGAAATAAAAATCACCCAAATTCTCATAACCCAGAGACAACTGTGATTAAGACATCGTTCTAGTTTCTAACAGACATATTCCTTGGTTTACTGAGACGCAGAGCAGTGCGAAGGTTAAAAGCAAAATCTCAGAGCCAGGAGCTAAGCCAGTTACTAGCTCTGTGACCTTATACCCTTATACAAGTGATGGCCTTCTGTCTACTTCAGCCGCTTCATCTGTAAAATGTAGATCATGGTACCTATGCTAGAAAGAGGGAATCTCAGGAAAGGTGACCCCCTTTAAGTCCCTGCCTTGTTCATCTCAGTAACCCCTTAATTTAGTACAGTTACATGGTGAGTGTTCGATAAATATTTAACTAATAAATGTGATTTTTCACAGATGGACTATAAGGAAGGAAGGAAGGAATTAAAACTGACCCAAAGAGGAAGTTTAGGAGGATTTCCTAACTCACAACCATGAAAAACCAAAGCGCATATTCCCTGGGGATATTTCCCAACATGATAGACTTCGGTCAGCTTCAGATGGGAGCAGAGGCAGAGGAATGGCCACAGTGACCCGTAACGACTCTAAGGGCCTGAGCAGAGGCAGCATGTCCTAGTTAAAAAACAAACATTAAAAAAATCATCTGGGTTTGAGTCCCGGCTTGTAGAGATTTATAGAACGTGGGGGTTTATGGGACTTCAGGGACCTTCCCCGTTTCTTCCATAGCCCACATGCAAATCCCTCCCACACTCTCACCATCTTGCAGTCTGACCTCTAATCCCCATCTGACCACATCCATGACGAGGGGACTTATTCTCCAAAAAGCCCATTTTAGTAACATGTCCTTGGAAAGATCTGAAGCAAACCTCTTTGAAAATATCATTGACATGACATTTTCTGTCCTAGGATGGCGAACCTGGTTGATATCCAAGCCGGAATGTTTATGAGACTAACTCTGCCTCTTCTCTTGCCTACGGGGGATACCACCTCTCGTAAGAACAAACAAATCCACCTCAGCCGATGCCATTTTAGAACACTTGATGCATTTCTCCAAGTAGTTTTTTCAAATAAGAGAAACCTCTGCTAACTCTGTGAACTTGATTAAATTTCTAACCTTTCTTAGCCCTCCATTTCCTCATCTGTAAAATGAGAAAATTAGATTAGACAACTTCTCACTGAAATTTAATCTCAGATTAACACTGCAAACCTGTGATTACTCTTGCTGGTGAACTGGCAGGTGGGGAGAGAACAGGTACACAGGATTTATGTGGAAGTCAAACCTGAGCTCCAGGTATAAACCAGCCGTGGCAATTAGCAAAGGCTGGAAACATGGAAAAGGGGTGTATTTGCACTTGAGAGTCAATGGCTGCCCAGGGCTCCAGGTGCACAGAGAAGGCCGGGGTCTCGAGCTGCTTGAGGACACGCCCACCTGAAGGGAAGGCCCCACCCGCCCAACAGCTGTCAGGGCTGTGGAGGAGGGTGCTCGGAGCTCCACCCCGAAGCCAGAACTTCAGAAAGTGCCCCCCTTCCCAGGTACAGCTCTTGGACTGCAAGGTGACTGGGAGGCAGGTGACTATCTGGGGAAGACTTGGCAGGGTCTTTTCTAGGTGAGGTTTCCAAAAGTTCTTAACAAGGCTTGGGAAACCACTGGGCAGATTATAACTGAGGAGGGATTAATACTGAGCATAAGCAGTAAGACATCACGGAAGTGCAGGCAAACATAGGAAGTTAAACATTCAAGGTCACAGCCCAGAAAATGCCAACCCATAGTACGGATGAGATGGGGATGGCACTGAAATGCCGCTTCTGTGTTCCCATTCCAGCGCAGTGCCTGGGCAGGAGGGGTGCTGCCATGGACAGGGTGGGCTCTAGCAGAGATCATGGAGCTCAAGTCCCACCACACTCTGATTCACAGCTGTGTAACTTGGACCAAAAACTTAACCTTTCTAAGTTCAATTTCCTCATCTGTATTATGGGCGTAATTATAGTATCTACCTCATAAGTTCCTTATGGGGATTAAGTGAGATAATTTTCCAAAGCAAAAACCTAAGATGCACCCAATAACGTGAGTAGCAGTGGTAGTCAGAGCAGACGTCATTGTCATCTTACAGACCAGCCCTCGCCCAGCCCTGTGCCAACAATGGAGCTCCTGCTCATTCTCAAAGTTCCAGAGTTTGGAGGAGATGATGGAAGGGAGGAGGCAGGAAGGAAAAATCAACCCCAATGATAAGCCCGAAGAAAGAGTCCTTTTCCTCTCTGCAGACCACACCTCACCCCCACCCCAAAACCCAGCTATGTCTCTCATAGCTCCTGGTGAGGAGCCTGCAGAGAACAGTGGCAGGGGGCCCACAGGCCACCTGGACTCCCACAGGGGCTGCTGGAGTGCTGGAGAGGCTAACGCCATAGGTGACAGACAGGGAGCCTATGGGACAGCAGGGGACCGCACACTCAATGGAGAGACAGGAAAAGAAATGTTTTGCAGTGATGTGAAAGGGGAGAAATGGCAAAACGTTGGATAAAACAGTGTGGAAAGTAGGATTGTCAGATAAAATGCAGGACACCCAATTAAATCTGAATTTCAGATAAGGAATAATTTGTAATACAAGTATGTCCCAAATAGTGCATAGGATATATTTTTTAAAAATTGTTGGTTATCTAAATATCAAACTTAACTGGACGTCCTGTATTTGTATTTGTTAAATCTAGCAACCTTGGCAAGAAGTACCACTACAGCAGGCAGAAGAGGGTTCTCTGCGGGCAGGAAGAGGGGAGCTGGACTCAACCTGGCAGAGGAGGGGAGGGGACAGGGTCAGACCAGGTGTGCAGAGGAGTTGACAGGGAACCCAACGCATAAGCCGTGAAAGATGACAGAGGCTGGTCAGCCAGAAGAGGAAAGGGAGAGCTCTACAGACCTCATGTACAAAGGCCCAGGTTCTGCAATAGCTGGGAGTTTTTGGAGAACCACTGGCACCCAGTGTGGCTGGAGCAGAAGGCATGAAGCAGAGAGGGCTGAGGCAGGACACCTAGCAGGTCCTCTTGGAAAGGGTCTGGGCGAGGTGACCCTGGTTCAGGACATGTTTGTGCAGAACGTTTTTAGCATCACCATGTGCTGGACTTTCTTCCTGAGGCTACAGTAGTGAACAGACAGACAAGCTCTGCTCTTACCGTGCCACTTATTCTAGCAGGAAGTGAGGGCATTCCAGACAATAAACTAGCAAATAAGATCATGACAGAAAGAGACCACCAGAACTGGCCACCACTCCCATGCACATCTGGTTAATTCTAATTCACCTTTAGGTTCTTTCCAGATATTGTGTCCTTGAGGAAGCCTTTCCTAAACCCCATAGCGAGGGTTAGGTGCCCTCCTTGGTTTTCCCAGCACCTCCTGGACTTCTGCCAGCACAGCACTCAGTAACCTTGTTGAAATAGGGTCCTTACTTCTCTATGCCACACACTAGACCCCAATACACAGGTGCTCCTTATAATTATGAAGCTTTACCAAACTCAGAATGCAAAGTGCTACAACAGGGGACCCAAGGATGCTCAAAGTCTCCTATGGTAATTTCCTTAGGAGATTTCTCCTAAGGAAACCCCTCCTCCTAGGTAACCCCTGTCTCAGATTATTTCAAGGGAACATTGACTGAAAGTAGAAGAATATGCTGCAGAATATCTTTAGTTGTTCTTTCTAGACCTATAAGAATCAACATTCCAGGAGAACCTGAATGGTTTGATGTCATTGTTAGTGTGTTTTACTGTGTGGGATAGTATGAAATCATGCTGTTTCATTTTTGGTGTGGTAAGGGCACAGTGGGGTGAGTGGTTGGAATAACCAACTTCAGGTTTAGTGGGTGATGTCTAATTTATGTATAGATGTGTGTTCAGTGTGCAGGTGCATATGTCAAGATAGACATCTAGACATGCTTGTATGCTGCAGGCAAGCTGCCCTCCTGTTGGAGCACCTGGGATGTACAGATTTGGAAAAGGCTTCCCCATGCAAGCAACTGTCAAGAATGATGGATACTGAAACCTCAGGGAGGAGGAAGGCACAAACAAGAGGCCTGAGCTCTGGGAACCTGTTGGAACTTAGTTCCATTCTCTCCATCCTTGACTATCAAGGACCAGTGATTGGTGGTTCTTTCTAGTTTGCCTAGAGGACATCTGAGCCTAGAAACCAGCGAAGTGATTAGAGAGGTGATAAGAACAGCTACTTGAGGGAGAGGGGTGCAGTGGAGGAGGGTGATCATGGGATGGGGAGGCAATGGGGCAGAGACCCAGTGGGGAACACCAAGAGATGATTTTGCATGTCAGAAAGAAAACTGGGATGATTTTCCTTTAAAACTATTGTTTTGGATAGGAAATCCTATTCTCCAGCTGTAATACTGAGTATCTTTCTCCTAATTTTCAAAGCTCGAGAGCCTTTTCATGGCCTTCCCAAATTTCCCTGCCCAATTTATCTTTCCTTTCACTTCCCATTCCTTTGTTTCCCACTTCACATCTAAAGGAGACTGGAAAATAAGCAGTGAAAATGTTAAAGCCAGCAGGCACTATTTCCCCACGTTTTAAAATAGCAGCAGTCGGCCGGGCATGGTGGCTCACGCTTGTAATCCCAGCACTTTGGGAGGCCAAGATGGGCAGATCACTGAAGGTGGGGAGATCGAGACCAGCCTGGCCAACATGGTGAAACCTCATTTCTACTAAAAATAAAAAAATTAGCCAGGCATGGTGGTGGGTGCCTGTAATCTCAGCTACTCAGGAGGCTGAGGCAGGAGAATCGCTTGAACCTGGGAGGCAGAGGTTGCAGTGAGCCGAGATCGTGCCACTGCACTCCAGCCTGGGTGACAGAGTGAGACTGTCAATAAATAAATAAATAGCAGCAGTCCTTTTCATGGGTATGGTAATTACCAGATTGAAAAGCATTTTCATGTATGCAATCCCATCTGATTGTCACATCAGCCCTCTGAAATAAGAAAGGCAGTCATTATTTTTCTTCAAAGAAGAAAACAGTAATGGAGAAATAAAGACAAGTGTTTAAGATGGTGTGTCTGGAAAGGAGCAAAGTGGAGAGAGGTGAATCCCAATCTTCTTAGCAAATTCAGAGTTATTTCCATAACACCACACTGCCTGAAACCTATGCTCTTTACTGCTTACTAGAGGGGAGTGTGATTTACTCTGGACAACAGGAAAGGAGTAGAAAATAACATCAAAGCTTCTGGGAATGGGAGCCCACTTCAAATGCTCCTCTGAGAGGGAGATACTGCCTGATCCATCCATTCTGAAACTATGCACAGAACCACTGATACATAGCAGGTAGCTGCCCCTCCTCCTTTACCTTGTAGGTTGGGTGGAGTGTGACCCACCCCAACTCCAAAGACAGGCCCCGATTGGTCTAAACCAGTCAGATAATCCCTTTCAATTTACCATAAAAGTTGATCCAGGAATAAGCAATAATCCAAATTTAAGTGAAGCAGCCCATGGCATTCCCCTGGGAATCACAGTGATGGGTTCAAGTTGGCCCAATGGGAGTGAAGCTCAGGACCAGCCCCAACCTCATGGGTACGTGACCTTTGAGGTCAAGGCCCCATACTTACTGGGTCCCAGAGTTGGTTTAATACTCTGGTTTTGCCTTCTTGAAATTCTTAATAATTGTTGAACAAGGGGTCCCACATTTTCCTTTCACACTAAACTCACAAATTATGTAGCCTGTCCTGCACAGGACTTTGGTCTGTTGGAGAAGGGAGGACAAGAACAAGAAGCATGCAGCCATGGTCACGGCAGGCTGCCATCTTCAGCCATGGGGCAAGTCAGCCTGAGGATGCAATCAACATTTAGAGGAGGACAGAGCTCAGAGAATCACAGTGAGCTGTGGTCCTGATGGAGCCGGACCTAAAGCAGCTGCCACTCAGTCGGACTTCTTGATTTTACCAACTAAAACATCCCCTTCTTGGTTTAAGCAAATTTCAGGGAAATTTTCTATTACTTGCAATTGAACACATCCTAACTGATACAATGACTAAGGATGACTGTCAGTGCAGTAACTTAGCACACCTCCAGGGCAGGATGCAGCGGCCTCAGCCACTTCCACTACATATTCACACTCGGTTCTCATTCCCTCCATAAAATCTGTCCTGTCCACTCACTCCAGCCCCCAAAGGAGCCCCCACTCCTCCATACTCCCAAAGCAATTCAACCACATCAATACATGTTCCTTGATCATTTGGCATAGGATGTGCTAAGGACCAAGCTGGGCTGAGCCATTCATGTGCCTTATAGTGAGTATTTACACAAAAAGCATTAGAAGTGTAACATTTAGAGCTGGACATGATCTATGAGGTCGAGTCCAACACCACTGCATTTTTCAGAAGGAAGAAAGCCCACTGAGAAAGTGGCTTGTTTTCGGGCACACGGTGAGTCAGAGGCTGAGCCAGGCCTGAGTCTCCACCCCTTACCCCCAGCTTTCTCCACCGCACTCTGCCTCTGGAACTGTCCAGGTATTTCTACACATAAGTTGAAAGATTGAGTTTAGTCCCACTAAAGTTGAAGAAGTTGCAGTAACCCTGCCAGTCATAAAGAGCTTGATTCACAAAATCCCTTCTACCTTCTCCAAGACTTAGACTCCACCATTTACAAATGTCAAAAATCTTCCCAATATCTGATCATAATAAAAATTGTTTTTTCTCCCTATTGCAATTTATTTATTTTTTAGTTTATTTTATTTGAGATGGGGTCTCGCTCTGTCGCCCATGCTGGAGTGCAGTGGTGCAATCTCAGCTCACTGCAACCTCCACCTCCCGGGTTCAAGCAATTCTCCTGCCTCAGCCTCCCAAGTAGCTGGGATTACAGGCGTGCGCCACCATGCCTGGTTAATTTTTTGTATTTTTAGTAGAGACGGGGTTTCACCGTGTTAGCCAGGATAGTCTCGATCTCCTGACCTCGTGATCCGCCCACCTCACCCTCCCAAAGTGCTAGGATTACAGGAGTGAGCCACCACCCCTGGCTCCTATTGCAATTTAATTATTCATCTTCTGGTATTAAATTATCTGGGTTGACCTCGTGAAATCTTGCACTTACTAACCCTGTGATCCTAGGCAAATTTTTCCACATCTCTACGACTCAGTTTCCTTCTCTGTAAAATGAGATAATAGTTCCACCTCAGAAGAGAAAAATAGGGATGAAATAAACTAATGAATATGAAGCACTTAGAGCAGGCCTTGCATATAGTAAGTGCTTAGTAAAAGTTAGCTATTATTACTATGATTATTATTATACCCTCCCTAGTGATATGGCACATGGCTGTCTTGCGTAGACATTTAACCCTTAAGTTGATGTTTAGCTTTTCATAGATATGCACTTTGCCCTCTCCCAAAAGCACCTTCAGGACAAAGGCCATGCCATAATTGATTTATTTCTCCTATAATACTTGACCTACCTCTTCCTCCTCTACTAGTTGGGATCCAAGAACTTCCTCTCCATAAGCTTTAGAAAAGCCTAGCTTTGCAAGATGGGGATCCAACCAATGAACTTTAAAAACTGGCCAGTTCAGAGAAGGATCCATGGGCTCCTTGAAGTGGTGGGGATAAGATACCTGTCCTTTATGCCAAGGTAGACAGGATCAAAAACAAGAGGACTCCACTGCAGCTGAAGAAATTTGAGTTAGGTATCAGGAAGAATTTCTTCATGGTACTGGGCTCTGATAAACTTTCAAAAAGGATCATGGTGTTTTCTTTTCTGGATATTTTTAGAAAAGGCAGAGACTGCTTTATTTCTAGCATGATTCGCATGAGGTCCTCCCACAGCGACACATAGACATCTAGTGTTCTTTTGTGCGCCTGGGATGAAGGCAGAATAAAGACACCAGAGCCCTGGTCCCCAAGTCCTGAAAGCCTAACATCCCAGCAGATCCCCTGGAACATCCATCCTGGACACAGAAGCTGGGGTGTCTCTGGGTTGGGATGGGAGAGAATGGTTTGGGGACAAGGAAAGCTGGGATGAGGTTGAGAGGAATGAATGACATCATCTCCCTACGGTATTCTGAGCTCCTTGGGAGAAAGGTGTGGTGTAAATACCAGGTATTATTATTATGAATCAGAATTTCTTCTTTTTAAATCCCTTGTGTACCTTAATTCTCTTAACAATGGACCATTTCTAGGAAAGAGAACAAAAGACTTGCAAGGTGGTTTTCCAAAGAGTGGAGCGTTTGGGGTCCCTTCCACCAGGCTTCCCAGGCTTTTTTTTCTCTCAGGGATCAAATGTTGCCAAGTGACCAGACACCATTCTGTCTAAACAGGAAATTCTCTGTTCCTGACCCCAACCTTCCCTTCCCAACCCCCATTTTATTTACCCTTTGACCTGAACATAACATAAATATTTAATGTCATTTGTTACCTGAAAATTATCTGTATTTATCCTGTTTATTTACTGGCAGTTCCTTAAAAACAAAACAAAAACTACAGGATTGGGTCAGACAACACCAGTTTGTCTGATTTTTCCACTGAAGTCGTCATTTCTGTATTTGATTTAAGTCAGTGACTAGTTGCTCCCCAAACACACCATAGATTTTCCCAGCCTTCTTGCTCTGGGCCTTCCTCCCCGCCATATCTTTTCTCTGCCTGGCAAAATCCTTCTCACTTTTCAAAACCTATTTCAAGTGCCCCCTCCTCTGCAGGGCCTTCCCTGAGAGACCCCTCCACCCTCTGCAGGTTGGAGCCACTGCTATCCCCTCTGTGTTCCTGCAGTGCTTTGTGTGTCCTGTATCATAGGTGTGGGAGGCAAGAAGGTGGAGGTGTCCAAGCAGGACTCTGGAATCACACTGCGTGGCTTCAAACACAGGCTCTACAGGTCCCTGGTTTTGAGGCCCAATGCAGGTGTCTTAGCTTTGGGCCAGGGATCCCATCTTGTTAGTTTCTTTTTTTTTTTTTTTTTTCCGAGATGGAGTCTTGCTCTGTTGCCTGTGCTGGAGTGCAGTGGCACAATCTCGGCTCACTGCAACCTCTGCCTACCCGGTTCAAGCGATTCTCCTGCCTCAACTTACTGAGTAGTTCAGACTACAGGCGCCCACCACCACGCCCAGCTAATTTTTGTATTTGGACTTGAGACGGGGTTTCACTGTGTTGCCAGGCTGGTCTCGAACTCCTGACCTCAAGTGATCCATCTGCCTCGGCCTCCCAAAGTGCTGGGATTACAGGCGCGAGGCACAGCACCCAATCCAATCTTGTTCGTTTCTGCTTGACAAACTTCTGACTTTTAGGAGATACTATGCAATCCTTGGAGGATGGATCATAAGGGAAAAAAAGGAAATTAAGCAGAAGAATAAATAAAGATGGGGCTGGGAGAATTAGAAGGAAAGGGGAAGAAAAGAGGAACAAGTTTTTAAAGAGGGAAGAATCTATCATTTGGGAGTGGTTGAGATATCCAACATCTAACTCCTAAGTTAGTATCCCACACCCTAACCTGACAGCTACTCTGGGCTTCTGGTTTGGGGGCCGCAGCCAATTTGTCAGCTAGCTCTGCATTCCTGCACCCCAGTGAGGTCTTGAGCTGAGGCTTGCCTGCAGCGACAGGATGAGACGTGAGCAGGCAGGTTACAACAGTCCATCCTGGCACCGTGTGCAAAGTCTGCCTGTAGGGAAGGACCTGGCTTTGGGACTATCCTGCCGCCTCCCATACTAAGCCAGATCTGCTTAGCCTTGAGCTGGAAGAAGGCTATAGCTGTAGAACTTGGGAATCAACTCATCCTTTTAACACACAATCCAGACCATGCCACTCCCTTGTTCTCATGGCTCTCATGGCATCCTCAGTCCCTTAGGAAACAATCCAAGGTCCTTACCATGGCCCCAGCTCCTGGCTACTTCTCTGCACCCTGTCCCCACCTGGCCTCCTTGCTGTTTCTCAAATACACCAAACAGGTTCCCTTCTAATGGCCTTGCATTTGCAGTTCCTTTGATGAGGATCCACTCCTCCAGATATACGTGTGGCCTGCTCCCTCCTTTCCTTCAGTCTCTATCCAAATGTCACCTCTTGGGAGACATCTTCTCTAAGGTGGGCCCACCCCACTCACCTGCCGAGTTTACCTTCGTGACACTCATCTCATCTGATATTACATCCATTACCTATTGCTCACTGCTTTATTTGGTTTTCGCCTGCCTCTGCTCTAAATGTGCCCCGTGACTGTAGAAGCTAAATCATTGAAGTGCCTGGCACATAGTAGGTACTCAGGGAACAACTGTTGAGGACAGAATGAAGGAATCCATCTGCCTCACTCTTGGTGAGAATCTTGGGACCCAGAGTGGGAAGAACTTGTTCAATGTCACCTTTGCTAGCTTATGTGTAGCAGACCTAAGTTCACCCACATCCCCTGGCTCCCAGATGGAGGTTTTGGTGCCCGTTCACACAGACTGTGACCTAGGAAGGGCCGCCTACCCTCACCAGTCACCTACACAGACCCCAAGGTGGACTCAAGCACAGACAGCCCAGTGCATGAGGGCACCTTGCACCCAGGTCTCCTTCTGTGCTGTGCCTGAGTCTCTTCTCATCGCTTACTCATTCTGAATCTGCATGAAAAGGTGCTTTTAGACACCAGATCAAGATGATCATGGGCTGGGGATCACCAGTCCTAGACTAGGTCCACAGAGGATAGGACAAGAGCCCACTGGATTTAGCTGGAGTGGGGTTAGAGGGCAGAAGGAATCCCTGACAACACAGGACAGCCAAGTCTGAAGTTGGTGTCCAAGACAGGGTGAAATATTTTGAGAGTCCTTCAGAGACAGGGGAAAGCCACTGCTATCCATTTATGTAAACTCCTCTTGGTCCCTCAGCATATATGTATTGAGTGACTACTACAGCATTCTGGTGTGTGCAAGGTCAGGTGTGTGGGCAGGTGACCTGTGGGGCCTCTCACAAGCCCAAAGAGACTGAACCTGTGTGACATGGTCCTCAAAGAACCTCCTTCTAGAGCAGCTTGTTCATCAGTGAAGTGCCAGCCCTCAGGGACAGGAAGTGCCCAACAGAGAAAGTGACACAATCTCCCCACTCTGCTTCAGCAACAAGGATAACAATGACACCCCCATCGCTGAGTCATGGACGCTGGGCTACCTGGGCCCTCCATGGCTCATTTTGACCATCACCCTGCCCCTAAGAATAAGTAACACTACCTTTCTCCCAGACAAGTGTGGGTCATTCTTGGAGCTTCCCCAGCCTCATTAATTCCACAGCCTCCTTTTTTCAAACTTCAGTGACCAGTGGTCCTTTCCGTTGTAAAGTTTTTTCTGAAGTCTGCCTTTATACCTCCCTGCTACTCTTTTTAAAGTTCTTTCTTAAGGTTAGTTTCGGTTATTCATCCTAAACAACTCTCTAGACACCTGGACGTTTTTGCACTGTTTATTGAAGAATACATTAAAAAAATTAAACAATTGGTCCTCCACAAATATGTACTGGGTATCAATTATATGCAAGAATCTATGGTAGCTTTAGGGAGAGGAACAAAGAGAAGGCAGAAGGGAGAGCAGTGGATCTGGAAACAGATCTAGGTTAGAAATGCTAGCTCTGATACTTGTCTCCATGAGAACAAATCCTGTTTCTCATGCCAGGTTTATTATCTGTGAAAAGGGATGAGGAACTCTTGCTCCATCTATCTCATTGGGCTGCTGTGAGGCTCAATAAAAATTAACAACAATCAGAGGCTTTACAAACTGTAAAATTCCATAGACGTGTAAGTGACATGCAATATGGTGCAGTAGAAAAATAACTTAAAACCACAGGTTAAGCAGGGCCCAAGGACTGACTATGTCATTTGCTTCCCTTGGGACTTTGGGAAAGTCATTTAACCTCAGTTTCCTTATCTGTAAAAATAGCTTTTGGTGAACATTGAGATGTTGCCTGCAGAAGCATCCGTCATTGGCTGCTGGTACCTAACAGATCCTCAGTCTGTATTTGTTCATTCATTGACAGCCGACTAAGGGAGAGCTGTGCTTGCAAGTGGAAAAAGAAGAGAGGCAGGCAGCAGTGAGCACCTTGGTCTGACCAGGCTTGAAGGGTCTGCCAAGGAGCAATGAGAAATGCAACTGGAAGGACTGTGAAGGCGGTGTGGGGGCAAGGGCAAATGCCAGACTAAGGAGTTTGCACCATAGAGAGTCATTCATGGGCATTAAGGAGCCATTGATGGTTTTAGAGCAGGAGGGAGTAACAAATGAAAAGTTCTCTGGGGGAAGTGGCTCCGGAATGGGGAATGCTCTGGAATTGTCAGGTTCTCCATTCCAGGGCTGCAAAGCTGGAATGGAATGTGGGCTTCAGAGGGTCAAGGCCTGACTAGCACCTCCTTTGACACAGCCAAACCAGAACAAAACCTGTTCAGACTTATGGAACTTAAGCCTTGTATTAGTCTTCTATGAGTGAATAACAAATTGCTTTAATAATTAGTGACTAAAAAGAAAATCAACACTTGTTATCTCACATATTCTACGGGTCAGAAATTTGGGAGTGCACTTGTTGGGTAGTTTGGACTCTGGGTCTCTCATGAAGTTACAGTCAAGATAGCAGCTGGGGCTGCAGTCACCTGAGGGCCTGACTAAGCTGGGATCCACTTTCCAAGATGGTTCACTCACAATTGGCCCATGGGTGATGGCTGTTGGCAGGAGGCTTCAGTGACTCACCATGTGAACCCCTCCACAGGGCTGTTTGAAAGTCCTTAGGGCATGGCATCTAGACCCCAGGGCAAGTGTCCAAGAGAACAAGGCAAAAGCTACAATGTCTTTGCAACCCAGCCTCAGAAGACACACACCATCACTTTCCTGGTATCCCATTCATCACACTGACCCACCCTGATAGAGTGTGGGAAGGGTCTCCATAGGAGAGTGATCAGGGTCATTGGAGCCTGGCTACCATGACAGGGAGAGTGTCATATTGAACGGAATGATCTTGGAATCAAATAGACCAGGGTTCAAATCTCAGGTCCTTGACTTACTCCTTGTATGACCTCAAGCAAGTTGCTTAAATGCTCAGTGTTTATAGAGTTTCTTCTTTATAAGACAGGAACAAATGTAATGGTGCCAGCATCATGGAAAGGTTGTAAAACGTCAGCAAGATGACGCCCGCACATAGAGTGCCAGTCCAGCTGCAGCTACAGAGTCCATGCTGTTGTTTACTGGTATAATGGACAGGCAGGTTGAAAGAAGGCAATTCTAGATGCACAAACCATCCCTGTGGTCAATTGAAAAATGCCTCCCAAAGATGTCCATGTCCTAATCCTAGAAACTGTGAATACATTACCTTATATGGCAAAAGGGACTGTGCAGATGTAAACAAAGAATTTGGAGATGGGGAAATTGTCCTGGATTATCTGAATGGGCCCAGTGATATAATTACATAGGTCTTATGATAAGATAGGCAGGCACTGCATATAGAGAAAGGAAAGGGTGATGTGATGACAAACAGAGGCAGAGATTGGAGTGATGCAGCCATAAGCCAAGAAGCTAAGGTGTGCCAACAGCTAGAAACTGGAAGAGGCAAGGAATAGATTTTCCCCTGGAGCCTCCAGAAGAAACCAGCCCTACAACATCCTGACTTTAGCCTCCTAAGGCTCATTTCTGACTTGTGACTTTCAGGACTATAAAAGAATAAATTTGTGCTGTTTTAATTCACTAACTTTGGAGTAACTTGGTATAGCAGCAAGAGGACACTACTACAATCCTTCAAGGGTACCTAACTGACACCTGCAGCCTAGGGAGGTAGATGAATGGGAAAAGAAAGGATGGCAGAGGAGGAGAGATAGGTGCACGTTACTGAACTGCCTCCAGGGAAACCCATCACCCTCTTGCAAGGCAGAGTGAAAACCCTAATTCTGAAGGCTCTGGAGCTACCTAAGTGAGAGGAATGGGTTCAGAACCCAAAGATGGATGAAGATAGAAAGCAAAGGTTGACAGCTGTTTTGAAGTTGACTGGTCAGGCTTGTGGCCTTAAAGTGCCTCTTGCTTTGCAAGAAATAAAGCGTGTTGGTGGGTTCCTGATGGCCTCAGTGGCCCTGCTCCAAGATGGGCATTCTGCAAACGTCTTTTGCAGAATGAGATTAGGAAAAACCATCTCCAGAAACCATGGGGAAGGGGAAAGAAGGAGGCTCTAGTGAGGAGGGTACTGTAGACACTTGTAAAGAAAAACGCACAGGATTTAAAGGCAGAAAATTTTCTTTTGTCTCCAACTCTACCACTTGCTGCTTAGGGACACCGAAAAGGTTCATTTCACCTCTCCAGGTCTCAGTTTCTTCATCTGTCAAATGAGATTGTTTCGAGGATTACACAGGGGAATGCATACGGTATAGTCTACAGAACAGACATACAGTAAGCAGTTAATGTTAGCTATTATTATGGTGACCAATTTCATTTAGAGAGCAACTGTTAAGTGTTTACTATGCATAAGGCAGTGTAGATGCCAAGTGAGTAAGCACAGTCTCAACTTTTAATGCATTAATGGTCTAGTGGGGGACAGAGGCAGTTGCCTGTGGGGCCCTAGAGTGTGAAGTCCAGGACAGGCTGTAGAATTCTAAGACTTACGGGGCTCCCTGGTAGGTAAACAGAGGGCTACCACTGGAGCAAAACAGACTTCCACAGTCACTTTAAGCATACTAGCCAGACTAAAGAAGACAATCCAAGAAAGTCTGGTCTTAGCTCCCCTACACCACAATGTCCTCATCCATAAAAGAACAACTGTTCTATTGTCGGTGCAAACATTTCAGTAAAACAATGCACATAGCAATGGCTCCATTAACGTCAATTACCTTAATATTATGAGGAACCCAAGCTTTGGAACCATATATTAATAATTTTTCATTCCAACCCCTACCGCGAACCTGTACTGTACTTGCAAACTGTCCGACCTTGGGCATGTAGCTTAAATTCACTAAGTACGGCCAGGTGTGGTGGCTCACGCCTGTAATCCCAGAACTTTGAGGGGCCAAGCTGGGTGGATCACCTAAGGTCAGAAGTTTGAGACCAACCTGGACAACATGATGAAACCCCGTCTCTAGTAAAAATACAAAAAATTAGCCAGGCGTGGTGGTGGGCGCCTGTAATCCCAGCTACTTGGGAGGCTGAGGCTGGAGAATCACTTGAATCCAGAAGGCAGAGGTTGCAGTGAGCCGAGATCACGCCATTGCACTCCAGCCTGGGCAACAAGAGTGAAACTCCATCTCAAAAAAAAAAAAAAAAAATTCACTAAGTATCACGTAATTTTCCAGGAAATGGGAGTGATTATCCTTACTTGCAGAGTTGCTGTGAAGATGAGAAATATTCCATGTCGTGTGACTGGAACATCCTAGACTCTCAGTAAAAGACAGCTAATAGCACAGTGCTTGGCCGGGCCAACCTGCAGGGAGAAGTACCTCATATCAGATGGATGACACCAAAGAATCCCTCTGCTCTCCTGTGACCTGTGCTGCTCACCTGGGGGCCACTGCACAGGAATGATGGCAAAAGGTGAGAACTCAGCTCTAGGCACGGCTGATTGGATAGGGACAGGAGAGGAGTGATCGCCCAGCCAGGAGCTGCACCAGCCACAGGGCCCTCTGTTGCACGCACGGCCACCTCCATGCAGCCTCGCCAGGGGACCAGCTCTGGTTCAATGCAAAGGCAACACCTCTGCCTCCAGGGGCCATATCAACTGTTTACAGATGGAAGTTCTCCCTGGCACGGAATCTCAGTCCTTTCTGCTGCAGCAAACTCTTGAGTGGGACAAGAAGGCAGGAGTGTCCTGTTCACAGGCAAAACCCATGTGGTCTCCCACTATAGCAATAACAGAAGCTGATACCTATGCTCACCATGTGCCAGGAGCTATGCCGAGCAGCCTTCTTAAGGAGGTATATTACCATTGTACCCATTTGCCAGATGAGTAAACTGGGGGACAGAGAGAAATTGAGTAACTTGCTGCAGCTTATGCAGACAGTAAGCAGAGACTCAGGTTTCAAATATAGTCATCTGACTTTGAAGGCCCTGCCCCCTCACCACCAGGCCATGCAGGGACACTGTCCCTGGGACCCATGATACAAGGAAATTACCCTCATTGATGGCCATGGCTGCTCCCATGCCGAAAGGCAGCAGATGCCCACCTGGAAATTCTGGGATTTTAAGAGGCTCCCTGCCTGGAGAGATCCAACCAGACTGCACTTGCCCCTGCAGGATCCTGGCCCTCCCCATTCCTCCTTCAGGACCTTCCCCACAACATCCCCCAGGCCCTTTTAGGAGCTGGCTCCTGAGTCACTGCAGAAGGAAGACTGCCTCGACCACCTCCTTCCCCGCATCTCCAGGCCAGCCCTGTAGGAAAGGCTTCCTGGCTGAGGACACTAAAATGTTTCAAACGCCTCACAAGCCCCTCCCAGGCAGGGAATTAAAACGAAAAGACAGAGAGGGAGGAGGAGCCATCTGAGAACTGAGTCTTCTGCCCAAACACTGTGCCAGTCTTACACATCCTGAGGGCTGGAGCCCAACAAGTTGCAACTCACCCAGGGTTCTTCCCTCCAGCTGCGTCCACTAATTATAAGGGAAAAGTTGAAAGGAAGGTTTCAAACTTTTCGTGATAGTGCAGTTTTCTCTTTTGCTCTTCTTTCTCTCTCCTCCAGTCTCCTTTTCCCATTCCCTCTCCTTCTCTTCTCCTCTTCTGGTTCCTGGCGACAGGCTCCCCCAGACAAGTGCAGGAAAGGACTGTGCGCATAGAGCACAGAATGGTGTACTGCAAGGTCCTTCCAGAGGTCATGGAACTGAATCTCTGCCTCCTTACACAAAACCATTGCTCACCCCTTAGCACCCTTGAGAAGCAGGTGAACAAGTGACTGGGACCTCTCCCTCTCATAACAGTCTTTAAAAGTTTACTTTAAAGTCTTTACAGTTTATTTCTCACTGTACCAAAAAAAAAATGCATATCCATAAAGATTCAAAGAAGACTCTTCAGATCATCCACTGTCGCAGAACACAAGACAACACACTATCAATGTTTTAATGTACAGTAAACTCTTGACATTCCCAAGGATTATATCTCAAGATCTTCATGAATCCCCAAATTTAAGAAAATGGGAATATCAGAGACAAACCCGAGAGCCTTTACGAAGAGGTTCTTAACTCTAAGTCTGATCTACATCAGCATAGGCTTAAGGAAGGGATGTCCTAGTTTGAGGCTGAGTTATGGGTGAAGTGCCACCCACTTTACAGATGAGGAAACTGAGGCTAAAGGGGTATATGGTTTTGTCTGTGACCCTGAGCTAAATGAGAGTTCAAGGTGTGGCAAAAAGAAGAAAAATGCCTTGGCAGGGTCAGCAGGGGACTGGTTGGTGCCTGCACTGGCCAATAAATTGGAGGGACAGGGAAAACAGCAGAAATCCTGCCCTCCCATGTGCACTAACACGTTGAGTCCTCCCATTTGACCAGACCCAGCTTTTCCAGGAGCTGGAGTCAGGCACATTGTCTGGGTTTAGAGAATGAGATACTGGTGGGCTGAACAGCCTGCCCTGGCCCAGGAGGCCCCTCACTCACTGCGGTAAAGTGTGGGCTTCCAGGCATTAGAGCTGGGACCCAAATGTCTCCCAAGAAGGTAGCCAAGAAGCCAAGGAGCAGACGTTTACCCTGGATGCCACAGGAACCACTTGGTTCCAGAGGACTCGTCCTACCAGGCAAACAGGAGAGCTTGCCAGAGCTGGAAACCTGGAACCAGCTTGCTTCCTCACCTCTGTCCCACACTTAACACTATTTAATATTGGTCAAGTCTTCTGACAAACTAGCATCAAACAGTGGCAAATCTGTCCTGAACAAAAAGATTCAGACATCCCAGCCTGGCAATGGCACTTACACTGCTATTCCAGGGCAACCAGAGTGCTCCGGGCAATCTCTTTTTTTCTTTTTTTTTAAGACAGTCTCACTGTGTCACCAGGCTGTAGTACAGTGGCACAATCTCAGCTCACTGCGACCTCCGCCTCCCGGGTTCAAGCGATTCTCCTGCCTCAGCCTTCCAAGTAGCTGGGACTACAAGCGCGCAACACCAAGCCCAGCTGATTTTTGTATTTTTAGTAGAGATGGGGTTTCACTGTGTTGACCAGGATGATCTCGATCTCTTGACCTCGTGATCCGCCCACCTCGGCCTCCCAAAATGCTGGGATTACAGGCATGAGCCACTGCTCCCGGCCTGGGCAATCTTTTTGGAGTTTGTTGCAACCTGTGATGCCTGGCTCCAGGATCGAGCCAGGGGCTAACAGCCCTCACCTGCCACTCCCTTTGCACAGCCCGGAGCCAGCTGTGTGGAGTCTGCCATTCCTAGACCGGCAGAGGACTGATTCAACTCCTGCCAGAGTTCCCTGAGTCCTAGCCCCAAGCTTTTTCTCGCCGCGCCCACAAAGCCCTTGCTGGATACCCCTCTCTCATGCACTCAAACCTCTCTAAGATTTATTTTTCCCCACCACGCCTAAGCTCTTAGGGCTTCTGGCTTCATATTTTATCTCCTTGGTGGCTCGCCAGAGAGAAGAAAGAGGAGTGCAGGACAGCGATCTGAAATAATGACAGAAAGAAAGGGGGAAGATCACATATGACTCTAAGACTCCCAGCTAGCTCCTTCTTCCCAGTGACCTACTGGAGAAATTTAATTAAGAAGATCTATCGGTCAAGTTTCTGGAGGGCCTCTGGAATTCTCCAAGGATCTCCAAGGACTTGAGAAATGTTTTGAAATAGAAAATTAACAATTACGGAATCATTCAAAAAACAAAACAAAACAAACACTGAAATGACCTCTGGCCTAGATATTTCTATTTGCCTTGGTACCCCAAATGTCCTACATGCAGATGTGCGTGCACACCAGCTCCACAAAAACCTGAAGATGCCAGGGACTGGGCCCACCCAAGTGGAGTTGCCAGAGTTAACAAATAAAAATATAGCACACTCAATTAAATTTGAATTTTAGACAAATAATTTTTGCGGGCATCTGTAATCCCAGCTACTCAGGAGGCTGAGGCAGGAGAATCACTTGAACTTAGGAGGCAGAGGTTGCAGTGAGCTGAGATCGTGCCACTGCACTCCAGCCTGGGCAAAAAGAACAGAACTCTGTCTCAAATAATAATAATAATAATGTTTAATATAAATGTGTCTACTATGGAGTGGGACACATTTTTACTGCAATTTATTAGTTGTTTATCTGAAATTCAAATTTAACTGGACTCCCTAGATTTTATCAGGCTTCCCTAACCCTCAGGCCTCTGCCTCTAGGTTCTCCACAGAGGTACTCTCACCTAGGCCCACATAAACATTCTGTCCACTAATGTGAACCTCGATCCATTGTGAATTCTCCCTATTTGCATGTAGTCATCTAAAATATTACCCAGGGCTGGGGGGCTGGGGAGTAGTGCATTTTTTTCATGCCTCTTACCACCTGCCTGACCCCTGATCTCACTCAGGAATGTCATCCATGAGTCGAAATCTAGTCATCTAATTTTGGAGGCCCTTCCCCCTCACCAGGCCACGCAGAGACACTGTCCCTGGGACCTGTGGTGCAAGGAAATTGCCCTCATTGATGGCCATGGCCCATGCAATGCTGAAAGGAAGGAGGTGCCCACCTGGAAATTCTGGGGTTTTAAAAGGCTCCCTACCTGGAGAGATCCAACCAGACTGCACTTGCCCTTGAGTACTAGGAGTACTCAAACTCACCAAATGTCAAAGACCTTTGGCATCTCGGAAGGTTCTTAGCTCACCCGTTCTAAATTCTCCCTCCACAGCAGTCCTGGGAGAGGAAGTTTGGGTTAAGAAAAAGGCTAAAAGTATTGGCTCGTGTAAAAAGTTTAATTTCCAGATGCTAGAGAAAATCAAAGAAGTGGCTTAGATTGCTTTTTCTGGTTTCTAAGGTAACATCACAGAGATGTCCAGGTCAGTGGGGGTGCTGTCATAGCAGCTCTCTTGCTAAAGGGCCAGAGGAGTGTTTTGTGCCTGTTATGAATGGTCCCGACCCTGTACTCCATAGAGACAGACCATGGCCCTGGAGCCAGGGTCTCAGGACCTCTCTTATTCTTTTCTTGGCACTCAGTCTGGAGAGCTGGGCATCCGCCAAGTGGGTGGGCTGTCTCTTCCAATAGAGAAGAGAAAAGATCTCCCGAGTCTCTGGTAGGACTCCTTGAAACATCTCCCTTGGGGCTTTTCCCTTGGTCGGCATGTGTGAACAAGACTCCCTCATGTTTCTGACTCACTCTGAAATGAGTTCTGCCCAGAGCTCGGGTCTCTAGCTGGCAGCTTGGCAATGAGCCTGGGATAGTGGGGAAAGGAGGCATTCTTCCCAGGTTTCCAAAGCTGACTTGCCTCAGAGATGCAAGCCCCCAGCCAGCCTTCTTCTAGGCTTCTATTTCCAGGTTGGGAGAATGGGTTCACTGAGCCAGCCAGATATTGTGGGAAGGAACAAAGAGATGATGTCTGTGAACGTATGGTGAATTCTCAAAAAAATAGGGCTGAGATCCAAAACATCAGGCATCTTGCAAAGGTAAGATATAGTTTAAAACTTTCAAAACAGATTTTATGTCTCCAGAATCTCTCCCTTGAGAAATTCAGAGTCTGATCTCTGGTCTCCTTGAAACCAATCAATTAAAAAAAAAATTGAGCTACAAGGCTTCCAAAGGAGCGGGGGCCGGGGGAAAGGCCAGGTGCAGTGGCTCACGCATATAATCCCAGCACGTTGGGAGGCCAAGGTGGGCAGATCACCTGAGGTCAGGAGTTCGAGACCAGCCTGGCCAACATGGCAAAACCCAGTCTCTACTAAAAATACAAAAATTAGCTGGGTGTGGTGGCAGGCGCCTGTAATCCCAGCTACTCAGGAGGCTGAGGCAGGAGAATCGCCTGAACCCAGGAGGCCAAGTTTGTATTGAACCGAGATCACACCATTGCACCACAGCCTGGGCAACAACAGCGAAACTCCATCTCAAAAAAGAAGAAGAACAATGAGAAGAAGAGTTCAAACTGCAGCAAGAGGAACATTGTTGGATGCTACAGGAGTTTCCTAAGCATGAAAGTTGTCTAGCTTGAAAACTGATGGAAGAATGAACTCCTGTCGTGCAGCACCTTGCAGAGTTGACATTCCATGAAGACACAGAATGCCCAAACCCTTCGAGGTGAGAGAAGAAGAGGACTTCTGTGACAGCCAAGCAGCACTCACAATCAGAAAATCCATGGCGGTGTTCTCATAAAGGCTCTTTGGGTTGCAAGGAACAGAAACCCCCTCCAACTAGTTCAAGGGAATAGAGGCGTGGTTGAAAAGGTACCAGGAATGTCATGGGAAAATGGGGAAGATGTCATGGGTCCCTGGAACGGGAGAACCAAAAGCCTTTGTGATCCAGGGCCATTGTCTCTTGATTCCATCCTCCTCGCCTGCTGCTATTTGTTCCTCTTATCCTTCTTCCAATATTCCATCCTCCTAAGGCTTCTCACCTCCCATGACTGCCCCTAACTGATCCTTCCTCCTGTGTGCCTTTCATTCTTTCATTTATGAAAGAGAGAATCGAATTGTCCCAGACTCACCCGTGGGTGGATTCCGATAGGATCAGGTGTCCTGCCTTGAGCAGTCACTGTGATGGAGCAGGAGGCGTTCAAAGCACTGAGGCTCGCTCCCTGTGAACAGAGGCAGGACAGGCAATTATCACTAGGCCTGGTACAGAAGGAAAGGGGAATACATTAAGAGGAGAAGCCAAGGCTATCTTAAAAAGAGAGAACACTCTTTGCTATCCACAGTGAATGTGAAGAGTTGGAACTTCAGGTCGAAAGCCCATTTACTTATTGAACAGTATGCTTAAGAAGGTTATGTATATTATCCTGTTTTGCATTCCCACCATTGTGGGTTAAATTATTTCCGTTTTACAAGTGAGGAGCACTGAAGCTCAAAATGGCACACACCAAGGTCACTCAGCTGAGGGAGGCATCGTGGTCCAACTCAGTTTTGTGTGACTCCCAGCTGGTATGTTTTCGGACAGAGTCAGACTCTGAACAAGGGTGTCCCTCTGAAACTTGAGTCAAATGAGATGCAGACAATTAAAGTCAAGCTACTCTCCAAATCACACTACATGAGGAGGAATGGGATGAGAGAGGAAGGCCAGGGGGAGGTAAATGGATTTTGCTTTCTGAGAAATAGGAAGGATGTAGGGGTAGAAAGATGGAAGATGTGTGGCCTGTCTGAGAACTCTGGGGGTGAGGCACGGGGTGGCAAAGAAAAATGAAATCCAAGGCCATAGAAAAGTACATACTTTAAAGGAGTGGGTTTTTCTGTTGTTGTTCTTTGTTCCTATACCAGAAGTGCCTATTAAAAAAAAAACAAAAAAAAAAAAACAAAAAAAAACAACAACAAAAAAAAACTCTGCTGTTGCTCCAGCAACGAACAGAGCCAGAGCCCTGCAAGGCCTTTGCCAGGTCAAGAGCTTTTTCTATTCCCGCTACCCCCAACATTTCTATTGTCAAGGAGGAAGAGCCGAGGCCGCCGAGACACACCACTCAGAAGACTCAGCAGAAACCCGGACCTTGCTTGAAATAGAAGGGAAGTTAAAGACAGGTATAGGGAAGTGGGTGGGGTGAGAGGGATACTACGGGCTCTGCCCAGTGATACCTGAAGACAGTGACTGAGGCAGAGACCAAAATCAAGCCCTGACGTGGATCTATATGGAAAGTAAAAGCACAGGGAACAGAGAAAAATGCTCAAAGCTAAAAGACACACACACACACACACTCCCAGAGACCCAGAAACAGACACACACACAAAGCGAGAAACACGGGCCAGAGAAAGAAAGGAGGGCTGCCTTGTTTATTCTCGTGAAAGACATCTGGATTTCTCAGTGAGGTCTCCACTTGGTCCTTCCCTCATTTTCCAGCTGGACTGGCTGGCGGAATGCTGGCTGCAGAGGTGCCGTTGAGTCAGCACCAGATCCTAGCTTAGTCCCGCTGCCCCTCTGCTCTGCCCTGTGCCAGACCACACAGCCTTCCGCCCCTTCCTGCCAAGCATGGCTCAGCTCCCTGTCCAGGTAACACACTTCAAAGGCACTGGGTTGAGATGGGGCAGGCTGGGCCAGCCTCAGGATGGGAGCAGTTTCCAAAAGGCCCCAGCCCAAACACTCCTCATCAATTTTCTAGAATGTCTTCCCTCCGCCACTCCCTGCCCCACTTCCCTGACACTTTGAATAACCCCTGGAAGTTAGAACTGGAGAACTCAGTTTTTCACTGGGGCTGTCAGCCTCTTCTGCACTGCGAGTCTGTGCAGTTTTAGTATTGTAGGGTTGGCCAGATGTCAGCCAGTGTCGAAGCACAGCCCTGTAATAACACAATCGGTATGTTCTTCCCTGAAGCTGGTCATGCTCTCTGGGAGAGTCAAAAAGACAAGGGGGTGCTTAAATGGCTAGGAAAAATAGGACATCTATTAAGGTGTGTGTACTATAGAGATGCCCCTGGGAGTGAATCTTAATCCCCAGCCCCCAGGCTGGTTGCCTGCATCTCTCTGAAGATAATACCTGTATGCGCTTTGTACTAACTGTATGTGTCCAGTCTTCCACAGAAAACCGTAAAGATCTCTGCAATCAGGAAACATACTCAACTTTGTGTTCCTGGTAACACAAAATAAAGCACAGTGCCTGGTGCTGAAGTACTCTCATGAAACATCAGCTGACTTGGGTTCATTTGCTGGTGGCTTCTTCTGACTTTTTAAAAATACAACAGAACTTTAGAACCATGAAAACAACTTAATGTTTCTTCCTCTTGTAAGTCCTTTCTCTCTTGTCAATTAGGTTCATGCTTGAGATCTAGCACTGATCCAAGGACTCAGAGCCTAAGGATGATGTATGACCCATATGTCATCTTGGACATGTAACTTAGCCTCTATAACAACATCCAGTAAAACTTTTTGCATTTATGGGAATAGTCTATATTTGCACTGTCCAATACAGTAGCCACTAGGCACATGTGGCTATAGAGCCCTTGAAATATAGGTTGCAGTGAGCCGAGATCACGCTGCTGCACTCCAGCCTGGGTGACAAAGCAAGACTCCATCTTATAAAAAAAAAATAAAATAAAAAGCAATGGATCTGAATAGACATCTCTCCAAAGAAGATATACAAATGGCCAATTAGTACATAGAAAGATGCTTAATATCATTAGTCATCAGGCAAATCAAAATGACAATGGATACCACTTTATACCCAGTAGGATGATTATAATCAAAGAGTCAGATAATAATAAGTGTTGACAAGACTGTGGACAATTGGGACTCTCATACATTGCCCCAGAGAATGGAAAAAGATGAAGCTACTTTGGAAAACAGCCAGTCATTTCCTCAAAAAGTTAAGCATAGAGTTACCATATGACCCAGCAATCTCAATTCTAGGTACATCACCCAAGAGAAATAAAAACATGTGTTCACACAAAAACTTGCATACAAGTGTTCATAGAAGCATTATTCTTAATAGCCAAAAACTAGAAACAACTAAAATGTCCATCGACTGATAAATCAATAAACAAACTATGGTATATCCATACCTTGGAATATTATTCAGCCATAAAAAAGAATGAAGTACTGATACATGCTGAAACATGGTTGAACCTTGAAACCATTATACTAAGTGAAAGAAGCCAGACACAAAAGACCACTTATTATATGATTCCATTTATATGAAACATCCAGAATAGGCAAATCTATAGACAGAAAGTAGATGAGTAGTTGCTTAGGGGTAGAGGATGTTGGGGAGATTATAGAGTAATAGCTAAATGGCTCAGGGTTTCTTTCAAGGTGGTAAAATATTTTTAAATTAATTGTGGTGATAGTTGCACAGCTCTATGAATATACTAAAAATCATTGAATTGTACACTTTAAATGGTTGAATTGTATGGTGTGTGAATAATTATATTTCAATAAAGCTGTTACTAAAAAGGTACCCCAGATTTCTCAACTAGCATTGATCCTGCTCACATTTCCCAATGGGCTTTAACGAGGCCGCATCTTTCTCTTCCTGTTGCTGTCGCAACGTATGGCTAAGAGAGACCAACCTTCTTATAGCCAATGCCTGTGGCAGAGCCCCATCCGTGTAAGTCTAGAAAAGAGATGGAAGCTTTACTCATGTTTCTTTGGGCCTGCTGGGTAATTGGACTTGGGTTAGGAGTTGGGGGCACTGGCCACTACCCCAGGAGTTCAGGGGGAAATTCGCTCTACAGTAGTTGGGTGCCTGCTCTGAATCAGGCCACCTGAGTCAACCTCCTCACTCCTGAGCTCACTGCAGTGCTGCCGGGGTGGTGGCAGGAGGTAGGGTAAGTAGTTCTTACTCTGGGGACAGGGACCACTCTGAGAATCTGAACCTTGGGCATAAATGGCCATCCTGCTAAACAGTGAGGCTGAAAGCATGGAGTTCCTAAGCATGCCCCACACCTCCCAGGAGCTGGTGGGAAAGGAGTGTGCTGAGGCGTGTGAGATCACCATGCTCCTGCCAGCCACCTCTCTCTGAAATCTGGTTGGAGAGATGGCTTGGCCAGCCCTGGAGCTGGGCAGCAACCTGCTCTAAGAGGAGACTCTCAGTCACCTGAGTCAGCCTTCTCATCCTGGAGCTCACTGCAGTGCTGCCCAGGTGGTGGCAGGAGGTAGGGTAAGGCAGGGATGCGGGCTCCCTGCCTCCTGCTTCCAAACCACCTCTCTTCTTTCCCATCCTGCATGCCAGGCACAGAGCTGGCAGAAGCAGGGTGAAGGCACTGAGGAGCAAGTTTGATCTGATTTCCAGGCCTCCATCTGCCTTAACCAATCTCTGCAATGCTGGCACTCTGTGATCAAGTTAAGCCACTACCAAGAAAACTCGAGAAGTATAACTGCACACTTCTCTGGGACTCAGGATAAGCAACTTCCTGGCAATCTCAAGAGTCTGCCATCCTACCCAGTTTATCCCAGCTGTTTCACACACTCATTTCTCTCCATAGGTTCCAGTCTCTTCCCACCTTGACATGATGACAAGCTCTTGACTTCCTTCACCATGGTCAAATCAAACAGGTGCCCTTCATCCCTCCTTCCTTCCTGGAATCACCTCTCTGCCTTCATTGCCTGCACAGAAACCAAGCCCCTCCACCCACACCAAAAAGTATCTATTCCAGCTGTCTTCCTATGTCCACTCCCTGCCTTCGCCTCTTGTCTCCCTTGTCACCAGCTTCTCCACTTCCCCCTCTATTTTGCAGAAAACCAGGGTTTTCCTAGGGCCATTGTACTAGTCAGAGTTCTCCAGAGAAGCAAAACCAATAGGATGGATGAATGGTTGGGTGGTTGGTTGGATGAATGGATGGATGGATGGATGGATGGATGGATTGCTAATACATAGATATACAGATACATAGAGAAATACATAGATACACAGATGAAAGGACATTTTTTTATTGGATTGGTTCATGCAATTATGGAGCCTAGGAAAGCCAATAGTGTAATTCAGTTTGAGTCCCAAGGCCTAAGAACAAGCGGAGCCTCTGGTGTAACTCCCAGTCCAAAGGCCTGAGAATTGGAGGGGATTGGGGGTGAGATTCAGGGGAACTTTGAACCAGGAGCTCTGATGTCCAAGGGCAGGAGAAAATGGATGTCCCAGCTCAGGAAAAGACAGAGCCAGTTCACCCAATCGTCCTTGCCTTTTTATTCTATTTGGGCCCTCAGTGAATTGGCTGATGCCAGCCCATGTTGGTAAGGGTGAATCTGCTTTACTCAGTTCTCTGACTGAAATGCTGGTCTGTTCCAGAAACACCCTCACAGACACACCCAGAAATAATGTTTTACCAGCTGTCTGGGTGTCCCTTAACCCAGTTAAGTTGACACATAAGTTAACCATCACAGTCATCAATCTAGCCACTACCTCTCTCTTCCCTCTTCCAAGAAAGATCTCTTAGACTGACTGCTTGGTCTGTACTGATGACTCCATGTGGTGGCTCTCATCGACTTCTACTCTCGGCAACCCACCACCCTTTCCCTTAATTCAGGCTTCAGTGGCAGTTCTTTATCATGCGAAACCAACCATGGCTTCCCCAGGCAGGCAGGTTGGCATGGTTAAGTGTGGAGACTGCCAGCTCAAACTTCCTGAGCTCGTAGCCCAACTCTTCTATCTAGTAGCTGTGTGGTCTTGGGCTTGTTTTTTAAGCCATTCAGTGCCTCCAGTCTCAATTATAAAGTAAGTTAATAAATGTGCTCTCCCTTATAAGGCTGTAGTGAAGATTAAGTAAAATAATGCATGTCAGGTGGCTCGCATGTAAGAAGGCTTCTATGAAAGTTGGCTAATGGTGTTATTATGGTGATTTTCTTCTTTCTCTTAGAGCATTCCTAGTTCAAGAAGGCAGAGACTGATGCCTCAGTTGCTCCTTTTATTTCCAGACTGTTCTTTCTCTGTTCCTCTTTTCCTCTCAAGCAATAACTCGGGCTCTTCTCCTAAGCTCAGACCAGGTGCTCTCTTCTGCCCAGTGATTCTCTGTGGGAGGTCATGTTCATATTGCCACAGTTTTGCGGATGATCCCTAGATAGGTACCACCAGCCTCACTTGTTCCAGTCCTGTGGGCTCCCCTATACTCAGGACGCTTCACCTGGATGTGCCCTCTCCACCCCCTTTTCTCCACCTCTTGCTTCACTGCTTTCTCTGCCCAGATCATCTGCCCCCAACCCCATCCTCTTGTATGTCCAGACTCTGGAACCTCACCTGCATCCTCCACTGACCCACTTTCCCCAAACACTCACTTCTATAGATCACCAAATTTTCTTCTCCAATAGAGAGAGGAATCACCCCCCTCCCTACTTACTAGTCAGGAAATGCAGGTGAGTGTTCAGGGTGTAAGAAGAAAGATGCCCCATAAACATAATACTGTGCCTGGACTGAAGGGCCATGTTTTCATTCTATTTTAAAATCCAGTCAATGGGAATGGGGGGAGCAGATGGAGCTGTGTATATGGGACAGGGTGGCCATGGAGTAATGGGAGAGCCATCTTTTGTGTCTGTTTGAAATTCTCTACAATGAAATGATTTGTGTTAATATAATTAAATAACCAGTCAAATCTTTGGGAATAAAGAAGGTGGGGGAGGGTGAGCCAATGCTGTTTTCAGAGACCCAAATGGTGACAACAGGCAAAAAGTGAATTGCAACTGTCCCCCTTAAACCCACATCTCCCAGTCCCCAGCCAGCCAGTATCCTTCCTGTTTCTTTCTAGGGCAGTGTGCATAGGTAACCTCTGTTTTACAGCTGTGAGAAAAAGGTAGGTAGGTGGATAAATACATATGTACACAGATGATGACAGTTAATCAGTAATGATTAGTGTGTCTGCAGTTTTCAGTCATTTCTGTTTTTGGGGAGTAGGAGATGGGGTCCAGAGACCACTCCAGAGAAGCTTAGCATATGACAGTTTATCTCAGGATTTCTAGAATACAGAGTGTTTTCTCCCTGTATTTCATATTCCGGGTTCTGCCTGAGTCCAAGATTTTACAACTCCCTATGTGTTTGCAGGCCAGAAACCATCTGATGCAGGTGACCAAATCTTTGGGGCCTTTACTGGTGGTGCCTCATTTAAACTTTGACTTTGAACCTCTAGGGTCAATATTGACCTCATTTATTTCTTCCCAGACTATTGAGTAGAATTAAGTCCCATTCATTCCAGACTCCCAGCCCTGGCCCATATCAACCCCTAGGAAATGCCCCAAGTGGACTCCAGCTCTCTCCAACACAGGCATCTCTCCCCACCCCCTACTCTCCCAGGCCCTTTCCCATCTGGTTGGGTTTCTAACTGGTTGCAGAGAGCAAGTGATTAGGGAGGATTTAGTAATTATCAACAAAGAAAATTAAAATTTGTTTGGTTTTATTTTTTTTGCCTTTAATACTTTAGCAACGTAAAAAAGATAACAAGAAAGAGAAGCTGGCTATTGAGTAATCAAAAGAAAAAATAGAAAGAGGAAAGGAGGAAAGAAATAGACTTCATTCATTTACTCACAAATATTTGAGCATCTACTATATGTCGGTTGCTCTTGTAGGCCCTGGGCAATGCAATGGTGAACACAGCCGTCAAACTGCCTGCTTTCATGGCACTTTTTTCTAGGCAAAATTAAGGCCTAGAAGGACTATGAGAAGAGAGATGCAGTTCTGAAAATTTTGTATATAAAAATATTCACAGAGGCCAGGTGTGGTGGCTCACACCCGTAATCCCAGCACTTTGGGAGGCCAAGGCAGGTGGATCATCTGAAGTCAGGAGTTCGAGACCAGCCTGGCCAACATGGTGAAGCCCTGTTTCTACTAAAATACAAAAATTAGCTGGGTGTGGTGGCAGGTGCCTGTAATCCCAGCTACTCAGGAGGCTGAGGCAGGAGAATCGCTTGAACCCGGGAGGTGGAGGTTGCAGTAAGCCAAGATCGTGTCATTGCACTCCAGCCTGGGTGACAAGAGGGAGACAGTCTCAAAAACAAAACAAAACAAAACAAAAAAACCAAAAGGTAATTTTAAAAGACATTGTGAATAATAATTACCACTTGAGTGTGTTACGGATTGAATTGTGTCCCCCAAAATTCATATGTTCAGTCTGAACCTCCAGTACCTCCAAATGTGCCCTTATTTGGAAATAGGGTCCTTGCACATGTAATTAGTTAAGATGAGGTCATACTGGAGTAGAGTGGACCCTTAATCCAAAATGGCTGGTGTCCTTCTAAAAAGGGAAAATTTGGACACAGATACACCACAGGGAGAAAACAATATGAAGATGGAAGTCTGCCACAAACTAACGACCTACTAGAAGCTGAGAGAGAAGCCTGGAATAGATTCTTCCAGAAGTGGTGCCTTCAGAGGGAGCACGGCCCTGTTGATAGCTTGATCTTGGACTTCTAGCCTCCAGGACTGTGAGACAACAAGTTTCTGTTGTTTAAGTCATTCCATTTGTAGTACTTTGTTAAGGCAGCTTTAGCAAACTAATATACTTTGTAGTAGGTGCTGTGCTAAGTGATTTACATAGATGATCTTATTTAGTCCTCACAACACCCCACTGATACGTACCATAATCCACTTTACAGAAGAATAAATTGAACCAGAAAAAGTTATGCAACTTGCTGAAGGATGAGCTGCTTTAATAAAAATAAACGTGATATTCAACATTTGGGTCTCAGAGAAACCCACCCTCCACATTTAATCTATGCCAATTGGGTAAATCCCACATCTCTGTCGACTCAGTCTTTTTTTTTTTTTTTTTTTTTTTTTTTTTGAGAGAGAGAGTTTCGCTGTTGTTGCCCAACCCGGAGTGCAGTAGCGCGCTCCCGGCTCACTGCAATCTCCACCTCCCAGGTTCAAGAGATTCTCCTGCCTCAGTCTCCTGAGTAGCTGGGATTTCAGGCACTTGCCACCACTCCTGGCTACTTTTTTGTATTTTTAGTAGAAACAGGGTTTCACCATTTAACCAGGCTGGTCTTGAACTCCTGACCTCAGAAGATCTACCTGCCTAGGCCTCCCAAAGCGTTGGGATAACAGGCATGAGCCACTGTGCCCAGCCTGGTCTTTCAATCCTTGCTTTAAATAGATGTTCTCTTGGTTGGCTTGAGGTTAAGATGTTTTTGTTCTCTGCTTGGTAATCGAATTGGTGCATTAACCTGTTGTAAGTCTACACAAGGCGAAGGACCTATTAAGTCATGATGTTTATGCTGTAAACAGTATCTCCTCCTTCCTCATTCACCAACAAATTGGTAGCCAACTCTCCTGGCCCCATGACATCTCTGTATGTAGCTTCCAATATACCCCCCATCACACATACACACATGAGCCATAATACTAGAGACTGTTCATGTTGTTTATATTTAAAGTGTGGTTTTGTCCAAGATTTGTCATTTGGTTGTGTGTAGATTTTTTGTCCCAGCTGGTCAAGTGTGTCTGGCCTAGAAAGGAGCTCTCAGAGGATAAGTCCTGAGTCTATTTAAAACCCAATAATTGCCTAGTTAAACTGAGTGACTTCACAGCCTTGCCAGCAGACCAAAAGTTGGAACAGAATCTCTGCAGACCAGCTTCCTGGAGTTCTAGTCAGCTCAAGAGTCTGTGAAACTGTGAACCCAGCTTTCGGTTCATGGTCAAGTGTCTGTGTTCCTTGTATTGATGAGGAGGTAACTCCTTGGGCCTGGACCAAAGAAGCAGTCACTGAATACCATTTATGCTCTCCTTGAGTACAGAGCCATCTTGGATGAGAGTGAAAAAGACAGTGAAGGAGTACACCAGTATTTCTCAAACTGGAGTGATCTAGAGATATATTCTATGCTAATTGTTTTGCAATATATGTGTGTATGTGTCATTTTGCTAATAATCTCGAAAATAAACATATTTTAGGTCATCTGGATGACCACCTAATTCAGCTCTAGAAGACTTTTTTCATTTTCTAAGGCATAGAAGCCAAGTAACACCACTTTCATTGTCATTTGCTGATGGGCTAAAGAGCAGAAGCAGACATGGTCCTGAGATAATGTGTGGAAGCTGAGTGAAGGCTGAGTGACATGGTGCCATGTTACAAAAAGTGAAGATTTGGCAGTACCATTTTGTTTTGTAAGTAATTTAAGGACTTTTCATGGGGAATCTTGATTATACTCAATTTTTGTATTTCAAGATGACTTTAAAACTAACCACTATGCAAGACATGACTCCACTGTTGTTTTTTTTTAAAAAAAAAAAAAAAGTAGTGGGAGAGTTAAATCATCAAACAAAATATCAAATGTGCATGCCAAGCTCAAAAAAACTTGCACTGTCACAGTTAAACCATAATCACAACATGAGTAGTGATTTATTTTCAGCAAAACATCAACCAAACACCAATCAACACACAAATTAATGTCGTCATTTTGCACTTTGTTGAGTTTGTAACTTTAGTTGGGTTTATTTACATATTAGTTGGATTTTACAGTGAGGTTAGCATACAGAGCATACACCTTAAAATGTTTGTACATATTTAAGTTACATTACAATTAACATATTTTAAGTCCAACAATAGGGCTCTATTGGAATTTTTGTAAAGAGTTTATAAGCTACATTTGCAATATACAGGATTGACCAGACTAGTATATGAAAGAACATAATAGAAACACATCAACATAGACATTACCAACAGTCCGGCAAAATGATGCAAAGATAAACTCAGGCGTTTAGGAAGATGTTGGAAGACGCTGGAATAATTCAGGGGTGGTAAATATTTTTCTTTCTTTTTGTTTTTTTAAGACAGGGTCAAACTCTGTCACCCAAGATGGAGTGCAGTGACGCAATCACGGCTCACTGCAGCCTTGACCTCCCTAGGCTTGGGTGATCATCCCACCCCAGCCTCCTGAGCAGCTGGGACTACAGGCGTGGGCTACCATGCCCAGCTAATTTTTGTATTTTTTGTAGAGACAGGGTTTTACCATGTTGCCTAGGCTGGTCTTGAACTCCTGGCCTCAGGTGATCTCCCCACCTCGGCTTCTCAAAGTGCTGAGATAATAGGCAAGAGCCACCACACTCAATGTTTTTCAGTTAAAAATAATGTATTAAGTGCCTTCTGTGCTAGAAACTATACTAAGGGCTCATGTCCAAAAGGTAAGGATAGGAGGAAAACCAAGATGAATAAAACCTGGGGCCCTTCAAGATCCTCAGTTTAATGGGGAAGATGGGACTACAGCAGGTAATATTGATTAAGCACTAACAAGATATACACGGACTGCCTCACTCAAGTCCCACGACAACCCTTTGAAGCAGACAATATTTTCCCCCTATTTTACTAAAGAAGACACAGAGGATTCCAGGGGCACTAGCAAGATGCACTTAGGAAATCACACACGAGAGTCAGCAAAATCTTCCAAAGTAGATGTGATTTCATCCAGGTTTTTAATGACAATTAGCAGCTCACCAGTTAGCAGTGAAGAAGAAAAGTGTTCCTGTCAGAATGAAGAGTTTGTGCACAGGTGTGGAGGCATGGAAAAGCTTGATTTCTCTAAGGAAAGAAGGGCATAGGGGTTTAGATTGACCCAGCTGGGAACACGGCCAGAGGCAGCTGCTTTAAATGTTTCAGGACTATCCCTTAGCCCCAGTAACGGATCAAATCACGTCACTGGACCCATGCTTTCCACACTAGTAGAAAAGCAGTGTTTCCTGCTAGTTTAGATATGAAGTTTAGCTCTTCCAACCAGGGCCATTGCATAGAGCTGTGCAGATTGTGTACGACACAGCAAGAACCCCGTTTAAGTGGTGCTATTCACAGAGCAGACACAGACAGGTACATTCATTATGACAATTTCCTGGAAGAGGCAGTAAAGTTTCCTGTCCTAACAGAATCTGTATTTTATAACAATATTCTGATGAATAGAAGTAAAGTATCTTGAGGAAGGTCATCTTTTCCTAATTTACACAAATTTACCCTCTGCACTAACAGTGGTAAGCTAGCTCTTACCACTTCTCCCTCCCAAACTGTGTGAAATCTCAGTTGCTAACCATGCACTGTGATTTTACTTGGCCTTTTCACGGTTCATATGAATCATATTAAACCTGCTTCAAGTAGTTAACACTCTCTCTCTCTCTCTCCTCTTTTTCCATGTGATTCCATTTTTTCTACCTACCCTATCTCTCTCCCACCTAGATCTGGTGCTACCAACACTGTCTCTAAGTCACAACAGATCACTTTTCCTGGTTAATCTCATTTTCCAAAATTGAAACAGCTTCTGAGCGGTCCATTGTAGGAACATGCCAGATCCCATGATCCAAGAAGACAGAAGGGCTCCAACCAGAAACAGTATTTATGGAGCCTGCCCTGCTCTGCCCTATCTGTCTGGAACTGCTCCAGAAGCCTCCTTAACATCAATTCGTGCAGCTATTAACTTATATGCGGCTCACATCGGGATATAAATCACTCTGCGTCACAGCTGGCTCCGGCTCCTTTAACAGCCAGCCTCAGGGTCAATTTAGACTCTAGTTAAATTGCCACCACTGCAAGCACCACTACAAAATTAACTCTAAAGTAGCACATGGTTTTACCCTCAAAAATCACTATAATTCTGTTCTATGAGAAACTACACATAAAACCTAGAAAAATATTGTGCAGAAAGGATACAGAGCTATTTCAGGACACTGACTACCTCTGTCCAGGGAAGAGGATGCGGGGATGGCATGCATGGGAGGTGAGCTGTTATCTGTCCCACTCTACTTCTCTTTTAACAAAATCTTCAGCTGGGCGCGGTGGCTCATGACTGTAATCCCAGCACTTTGGGGGGCCAAGGTGGGTGGATCACAAGGTCAGGATTTCAAGACCAGCCTGGCCAACATGGTGAAACCCTGTCTGTACTAAAAATACAAAAATTAGCCAAGCACAGTGGTGCGCACCTGTAGTCCCAACTACTAGGGATGTTGAGGCAGAAGAATCGCTTGAACCTGGGAGGTGGAGGTAGCAGTGAACCAAGACCGTGCCACTGCACTCCAGCCTGGGAGACAGAGCAAGACTCCATCTCAAAAATAAAAAAAAATAAAAATCTTCAACAACAACGGCAAAAAGTGAACATGTGTCAAATAAGTGTAGGGAGTGGAGGGCACATGCTCTATTATCTTCTGTTCTTTGAATGTTTGAAATGTGCCATAATTACCTTTTTTTAATTTAACAGGGGGAATTTTTATGAATTGTGGCTGAAGATCACTTCTGATTATTCCTCAGAGAAGGTTTAGGACACCCTTTGATGAACCCAAAGTCATCAAGTTCCTACCCTGGCCATACCTTTTCTCCAAAGAAAAGTAATCATGAACACAGCATCTGGTGGGACACAGAGGGTTTTGCACCTCAGGCTGGCCTGGTGCTATTGGGGCAACAGTGCAGTGCCGATGCTGGGGTGGCCTATAAGTGGACCCACAGGGTGTCCGTACCTGTCCTTCCATCCATGCTTTTTCTTCTCCCGTTGCCCCATCCCCATTGTTAAACACCTCTACCAGTATCTGCTTCTTTCCCTTCGTGAAAGGAGGCGTGTTTCTAATGATGTATCTATCCTGCCACCTAGCCTTCAGCAATATCACTACAACAAAGTTGCCTCATGCTGCTCTTTAACACAGACTTCAGTCTTGCTGAACCTCCCAGAGCTAGGGAAGGACCTGAACAAGGGGGCACTTTCTTTATTGAACATCACTGTACCTTAGTTTGGGACCAGGACAACATGGCCGCAGCATTAGTATTCTTGATGTGTGTTGGCCTCTGGGAGAGACTGAAGTCAATGTCATGAGGTCTTTAAAAATTGAATAAATTATATAAATAAGCCTGTCTGAGAGTGGTGAGAGTGACACAGAAAAGAGAATGAAGACAAGATCCTTAGCTAACATTTTTCCATTCTAACCAGTAGAATCCACAATACTTTGTGTCCTACTAAAAAGTCTAGCTTTCCCAAACTGTGTTATCAGGCATCATCCTTGAAAATCACTTAGAAACTCACAGGAAATGACCACAGGCAAGGCATCCGAAGCTTTATAAAATAAAAACACTATCTATCCTTTGAAAAGTTATCCAGATAAAAGATCATAAATCTTTCACTCCGCTGCATTTCTTGAAAGCTGGCTTTGATAAGCAGTTAATCTTTTAAAGGAAAGAGGAGGAGTGATCTCCGGGGAAACGGGACACAAGTGGTTGATATTTAAATACTACTTCCCCGAAAAAGATGCAGTTGACAGGTATAGAAGCTAGTCTATGCCAGAGTTGGGAAGCCCATGACAGCGAAAGCAAGCCGGCAGCACAGGGGGGTCTCTAGGAAGGGAACATTTGTATCTGGCAGGAATTAATGATCCCCTCCCAATTACCCTGGTTGATGCAAACTATTTTTTTTTTCTACAAGCAATTTTCTAAAGGTGATTGTGAACAGATCTAGACCTCCAGAATGGAGGGAAGGGGAAAATGGAATCAAGTAAGGCTCATAGGCATCCTCCATAATCCCGTATCCTGCAGTAACAACACCAACACCTTCCCACTCCATTGTCATATGTTAATTATGGACTCAGAAACAACACCCATCTGGCCAGTCCTCCATCTTTGGATGAAATTACTATAGACAATCCCAGGCTACTGAGAATTCTTCTTTCTCTCATGCCCTCTCGGGAAGCCTATCCCAGGGTCTCTTGGACAACAGCTCCAGTGTCTGAATCCCTTATAACCTAAGCCCATTTCTAAGTGGAGATAAAGAATGGCTGCTTAGCACACCAACACAGCACATGTATACATATGTAACAAACCTGCACATTGTGCACATGTACCCTAGAACTTAAAGTATTAAAAAAAAAAAAAAAGAATAGCTGCTTAACATTTACAGTCTTGCAGAGTAACCTCTCTCCATGGCCCCTGTACTGCTCTGCCCCAGGGTCCGGCTCCCACCACATTCTCCTCCCCCCTTCTCTCTACCCTTTTTATCTTTTCTGTGAATGATCCCCCCTCCTTTTACCTGTCTTCACATATTGTATTATCCAGCCATTGGAAGTCGGCTACACAAAAAGAGGTGTCACTAGAGGCCATCTCTCTCAGAATACAGGGTGACTGGAACGAGGCAACTCATGTTTCTTTGGAAGGAGTACCACAATTTCCCCCAATCATCTTAAAAGCTACCAGTGTGCCTGAGGCAGGCTGAGCTGCTAAGGGTGTGCAGAAAGAAATAGGAGCAGGGAAGAGAACATACTGCACACATTCTGCTGCCACTCTTGTAGTCTGAACTTGACACAAATGACAAAATAACACATGATTTCCCTCACTTCTAAAATATTTCCACCAAAGTTTTGAATATTGATTTGTTCCTACCTTACCAAGCCCTCAGACTGAGAAAAGAAGAAATTAAGATGAGCCTTGCTGCTATTTTTTGTTTTAATCATTACACACAATGCTCCTCCCTCTCCCAGCCACCACGTGGCTAAACCCCCTTTGGCAATACAGGCAAAGACATAACTTTAGACGTTAACCTTGTTTTAAAATGTGCCTTTCGGCAAATAGATAAGTGAGAAGAGAGATCAGGATCTGGGGGTGTTAACGGCATAAAGTGAGATGCTCCTGAACTGAACGAGCAAGAAAAAATATTTTCTTGAAAGCAGTCCTCCAGAAAGAATTCTTATCATAGATAAGGGTGCAGTCTAGTGGCAAACTTCATGAAATGCAGCCCCTTCTCCAAAGGAAAGTTAGAATACTTCTCAAGGGAGGAAGCACAATGTAAAAGGTGTAACAGCCCACACCAAGTCCACCCAGCAGGGGCAGTGACATTGGTCATTTCTCTCTGACTTGCCTGTGAGGCTCATGGCTCACTCAGGTCAATTTCAGAAAAAGCTAAAACCACCACCTTCCTATTTCAAGGCCTTAGTTTTCTTTCATTTTATTAAAGAGGTTCTAGTGGCATGATTCGGTTCCTGGTCAGGACCTCTTCCAAGCAGGTCCTGTGGCCCTGTCAGCTCATATTCCTGGGATGTGCCTATAAGCACCAACTAACCTGTCAACCTATCACAAGGTCTCCTCCAGCTACTCTGCCACCCACTCCCTCCAGGGATGTGGCCCTGCCCAATAGAAATACCTCTGCAAAGTGACAGAGAGGGAAGTGTCACTCCAATCCACCTTTCTTCCCTCTAAGAACCCCACACACAAGGACACTTTAGGCCACCATGCAAGGTTTTCAGACTTAGCATTTCCTCCAAAGTGTCCATCTCTGCAACTCACTGCTCTCAATAATGCTGTTGTATGAATGTCCATTCCTGCAGATACACAACACACACACATACACACACACACACAGAGAGAGAGAAAGAGAGAGAGAACCTCCCTGGCCAACGCAGCTGAAGGCAACTGGTCACCTCTTCATCATGAGTACTGAAACCCCCTGATTAAATCCTCTTCTCCAGACTTTTAGGGGAGAAATTCAATTTTTTCTTCTTTTTTAAATTTAGCTCACCAGACATCACTGGCCATTCTACACTACCTGTCCCCCAAACACACACACACACACACCCCACATGGAAACAGACACCAGCATACAGTCAATTGCAGAAGCTTAGGAAGATTTCTTGGGCACGGTATATCCAGTTGGCTAATAAGAAAATACGTCTCCCTTCAGCCTGTGCCTTGACTACTTAAAGGATAGGAGGGAAGGGGAGACGAAGTTACTCTCCTCATTGTGTTCACCCTGCTCCGAAGAACTCTGTCTTCCACTGGCCCCTCCACCTCCTCCCCATTCTCGGTAGCCCCAGCCTGTCCCCCTTGCCCCTTTCTTACATTCCGGGGGGAGGAGGGCGCTGTTCAGAGGGGAGGAGGGCGCTGTTCAGGGAGCGAAGGGGAGCCCCCTTGTGTCTAGAAGGCCTCTCCCCACCCCCACCCCGTGTGAGTTTGTACTGCAAAGCTCCTTGGCATCCTTGCCTGAGTTGGGTGTTGGGAAGCTCAAATTGCAGCTACAAACTGGCTGGCAGCCAGGGGCCGGCTATTTAAAAGCGCCTGCTCTCCCGGAGCCCCGTAGTCTCTTTGGAAACTTCTGCAGGGGAAAAGAGCTAGGAAAGAGCTGCAAAGCAGTGTGGGCTTTTTCCCTTTTTTGCTCCTTTTCATTACCCCTCCTCCGTTTTCACCCTTCTCCGGACTTCGCGTAGAACCTGCGAATTTCGAAGAGGAGGTGGCAAAGTGGGAGAAAAGAGGTGTTAGGGTTTGGGGTTTTTTTGTTTTTGTTTTTGTTTTTTAATTTCTTGATTTCAACATTTTCTCCCACCCTCTCGGCTGCAGCCAACGCCTCTTACCTGTTCTGCGGCGCCGCGCACCGCTGGCAGCTGAGGGTTAGAAAGCGGGGTGTATTTTAGATTTTAAGCAAAAATTTTAAAGATAAATCCATTTTTCTCTCCCACCCCCAACGCCATCTCCACTGCATCCGATCTCATTATTTCGGTGGTTGCTTGGGGGTGAACAATTTTGTGGCTTTTTTTCCCCTATAATTCTGACCCGCTCAGGCTTGAGGGTTTCTCCGGCCTCCGCTCACTGCGTGCACCTGGCGCTGCCCTGCTTCCCCCAACCTGTTGCAAGGCTTTAATTCTTGCAACTGGGACCTGCTCGCAGGCACCCCAGCCCTCCACCTCTCTCTACATTTTTGCAAGTGTCTGGGGGAGGGCACCTGCTCTACCTGCCAGAAATTTTAAAACAAAAACAAAAACAAAAAAATCTCCGGGGGCCCTCTTGGCCCCTTTATCCCTGCACTCTCGCTCTCCTGCCCCACCCCGAGGTAAAGGGGGCGACTAAGAGAAGATGGTGTTGCTCACCGCGGTCCTCCTGCTGCTGGCCGCCTATGCGGGGCCGGCCCAGAGCCTGGGCTCCTTCGTGCACTGCGAGCCCTGCGACGAGAAAGCCCTCTCCATGTGCCCCCCCAGCCCCCTGGGCTGCGAGCTGGTCAAGGAGCCGGGCTGCGGCTGCTGCATGACCTGCGCCCTGGCCGAGGGGCAGTCGTGCGGCGTCTACACCGAGCGCTGCGCCCAGGGGCTGCGCTGCCTCCCCCGGCAGGACGAGGAGAAGCCGCTGCACGCCCTGCTGCACGGCCGCGGGGTTTGCCTCAACGAAAAGAGCTACCGCGAGCAAGTCAAGATCGGTGAGCGCGCTCAGTGTGCCAGTCAGTTACGCGGCGCACGGGCGGGGGACACGAGACCGGCTGGGCCCGCGCGCTTTGCGCAGCAAGTGGCTTCGAGCTGGGGTGCAGCTCGGGAGTAGTCGGGGAGGGTCCTTGCACCCCGGAATTGGAGCCCTGGAGGATCCTGCTACCCGGGGGAACTGTCTAGCCGAGTCTATCCCAGCTTTCGCTCTTTCTCCTTCCTCCTACCCACACGTTGCCCGCCCCCTCCCCCTACTCTGTCCGAATACTGATTCTGAGCTCTTATTCGGTCACAAGGTCCAAATCCCCTGGTACCCTATCTACAGTCTGAAAGAGTGTATGTTACATTATCAACTCCCTCCTCCACCCCCCTCGCGCCCCGCATAGGTTTTTTTCTGAACTTGGAAAAAAAATCTCTTTTGTTAAAATATTATTTTAATTGCGGCCTGGAGAGAGAGGCATTACCTATCTTCTGAGCTAATTCCACCTTTGTCCCTCTTGGCCCCTCCACCCCCGTGCCTCCAGACGTTTCTATCCCTCCACCCCTACACACACACCACAAACACCCCACATCCTTGGTAGCTAATGCCTTTCGGGTGGGAGCCCTGAAGCCCCTCCCATGTGCATAACCATTGCTTTTTATTGAAGATGATTGCCTGTGGTAGATGGTAAAACATATTTAACTGCAAAATGACTTTTATTTTATCCCAGGAAGGGAAAAAAATACTTTAGGAGTGCGGGGGTGCGGGGTGGGGGTGGGGAAGAGTAGAAAGGAAGGGTTTGGTATTCTGTGCCTGGTGTTCGTTTCTGAATCTAATTCCTTTTCCCCCTCTCCAATTCAGATTTTACCTAGGATGAAAGGTGGACATAGGGCTGGGAGGCAAAAGGGGATGTGAGATTCAGAGCTTTCAACTTCCTCGCCTATGCAGATTCCTGGCACCACCACCACCTCCACCCCCGCCCCGCAATTCCTCCCTCCGCAATCCCCCCACCCCGCCCTCCCCAATCTCTTAAACCAGATCACAAGTGGGTGTGGATTAAGTGCATGAGGGGCCCTGGAAACGCAGAATGCAAAATTCAGGGGGCGGAGACAGAAAAGCCACGCACTGGGAGCCTCGCCTCCGCTTGCCCCGCCCCCGGGTTGCGCCGCCCCCAAATTCTCGGCGCCAGGAGTCTAGGGTTGAAATGATTGACACAGCTACTTGTTCAATCAGAACAGTTCTACCCCCTTAGACTGAGTTTCTTTTTGGAAAGAGTTACCTGATCTTTAGTTAAAAAAAAAAAAAGTTAAATAAACTACATAAAAGTCTGGGTTCTAAGACGTCAAACTGGCTATTGATTCTCTCCAAAAGGGGTTAAAACTTGGCTAAACAATGTTTATTTGGCGTAGTTTAGTTACGGAGACAGTTTAGTTACGGGGGCAATCCCCTTCTCCCTCCCTGTCCCTTTCCGTTACTCACGAGCACCCTAACATGAGTTTTCTGAAGTGCAAATTTCAGTCACTATAGTGCAGGAGAGGAGTGCGTCCGCGCTTGCCAGGAGGCCGGAGAGCTTCCTGTGTTCAGCCTCAGTCCCCGCAAACCCTGCAGGGTTTGAGTGGCGCAGGGGCCAGCCCCTCTAGCTTTGCAAGAGGTAGTCGATCTCCAAACCTGCAAAAAGTCGATCTTTTTGCAGGTTGCAGCCTGCAAAAAGAGGAAAAGGGGAGGATGTGCAGGCTCTGGGAACCCCAGAGACCGGCTTGTGAGATTATTTTTATTAAGATCCACTTTTCAAAGGCGGTCCTGCCCGCCTTCATCTTGGGGGATGTGGATTTGGAAAAGCCTAGCGGAGAAGGAAAACATTAATTGATTTCCCGGCTTGGGAGCCACCGCCCTGGGTAACAATCCAGTCACACCGAAAGAACGTAAGGTGTCACTCAGCCGCATCCTGGCTCCACTTATTATTTACCAAGCGTGTAGTGTGATGTGGCTAGTGTGAAGGGTGTACACGCAGAGCGCACGCGCGCGCAATTGCTAGGCGAGCACGGAGGGCGCATCACACACACACACACACACACACACACACACACACACACACGACACTTCAGTCCCAAGCAAGATCCCCTGTAGAATTCCCTGCCGCCCCTTGCTCAACCCCCACCTTCTGAGTGCCTTTGGGCCAACCCGAAGCCGCCTCTTCTACCCGCCCCCTCCCCAGCACTCCTCTCCGACTCCACCCCGCCGAAGGCAGGTGCCCGGCCGGCTGCTGTTGCGGGTTGGCGGCGCTCCACCGCTGCTGGTGCCGACATCTTCTTCCCGAACAGATGGGATGGGAGTGGGCGCTCCTGGAAAGGGCGTTTTAGCCGGACAACCACTGGGCGGGTCCCCAAAAAGTTGGAGATGGTGTAGAGACCGTTCTTAAGGAGAGAGAAATGGACAGAGAGAGGGAGAGTGCCCTTTTGGTCCTTTAGCCAAAATTCCTGCTTCCCAACACACCTCCTACCTCCCTCCTCTCCCCCACCCCCGCCAAAATCTGAGCTTGCAGATATGGATTTGCCCCCTCCCTCCCGCAGTTGCAGCATACACACACACACACACACACACACACACACACACACACACACGACATATTATATCTATATAATTATATATTGTATATATGGTATATACTATATTATATATATTTATATGTAACCAAACATGTAGAACCCAAAAAAGGTGCATTTCTGGAATCAGAAATGGGGAGCAGAAGAGAGTGAGGTGGCAGGCAGCCAAAGCCTCTGGGAGGGAAAGGAGAGGGCGGAGGAGAGGGTGTTTTGCTAGGCTGTTGCTGAGCAACTGGAGAGGGAGTGGGCCCGAGAGCAGGGTGCTGAGAGCGAGCCTGGCTCTGCATTTCATTCTGGCCAGTTCAGGAGCAGAGATAGATACGGAAAAAAGAATGTGTGTGAGGCTGGAGGGAGATGAAAGACGGGAGTTATTTGATGGGCAAAGCTCAGTAAATAGCGGTGAGTGGAGGGAGTCAAGGAAGTACTGGGTTTGCTTTCGGGCATTTTTGGTGGGGAATGAGGTTTGATGGGCTGGTCCCCAGCATAGATACCGGGGTTCGGGTAGGTCTCCTCTGTGCTGGTGAGACATTCAGTTTAAGATGTAGGGAGCCGTGGGTTCTGGCTTTCGGTTCTGTCATTAAGAAATGAGACACCGTGGGACAAAAAATAGGCTTCTGGAAAAGAAAGCAAAAGCATTACCTAAATAAAAGTGAATTCAGCCTTTGCTTCTTTGAGGGGTTTGGCCTCCATCACCCTGGCTTCAACTCCAAGCCTGGTCTAAAATGCCATGTTGAAGTCGAGTTCCAGAGTTAGGTTTATTGGCCAAATTTATGTCTGGGTTGAGCAAGATCATGGAAAACTGAAGGAGCCAAATTCCTTTCCCACCCGCACCCCCTCCCTCTGAAACAAGTCTTTGAGAGGATGGCGTGCCCTGAGCCAACCAAAACGGGAGTTGGGAAAACGAGATGGGGCTTTAACTGGACTTTTCTCGCCACCTCCGCCCACCGCCCCCGCCCCCGCCCACCCCGCCCCCCCTCCCCCACCTTTCTGCTGTGTCAGCTCAGACTGGAAGAACAAGCAGAGTTAGCCCTAGTGAGAGCTCATATTCTTTCCATTTCTCTTTTTCCCCTTTCTCACCCCTCCCTCCTACTCTTCCCTCCGACCTTCTCCATCCACCCCCCGACCCCCCACCCCAACTCTAAGGCATCCCCTGAGGGCTTGAGTTTTAAGTCAGAGCAGCTGTGAGTTAGTCCCGGGGCTTGGGCTGGATTTGAGCAGGCAGGTGGGCCTGCAGCTGCAGAGGGTGGACCAGCCTGACCCTAGGAGCCAGAGGTCATCGTGAGGGTTACAGCAAAGGGCATGGGAGCAGGAATTCCCTGCAGAAGCCCTGGCCCCCTTAATGGAGCGAAGAAGCCAGCGGGAAGGGAAGGTAATACTTGTCTAAAGTTTCTACTTTGTACCTGAGCAATGCCTATGAAACTTTTAAGATATTTAGTGTGTGGAAAATAAAACTCTGGAGAAGAGATCACCACACTCCAGACCCACTACATCCAGAAACTGGAAGAAGATCATAAAGAGCAGGTACCAACCAGGGGCCAGAGCAGAAGGGAAGAGGGTGGGAGAATGGCTGCGTTGAGTCAAGCAGGCGATTTGGAGGGGTTTGTTTAGTTTTACATTTGCTTTTTCTCTACAGTTGGTCCAAAAGCTGCAATTCCCAGAGACTATCCTTAAATTGCAATCAGGACATGTTATTCAAAACAGTAAGACTGATTACACATTGATTACATACTTGCAAAAATAAATAATAAAATAAACAAGGATGGCAGTGTAGGCTTCTACTCCCCTCCCCCAATACCAGTGAAATCCCCCCCTTTTATTTCCAGTTTCATTTCTTTCCATAAATTCTGTTATGATGTCATTTCTCTCTCTCTCTCTCTTTTTAAAAAATATAAATCCAGAGGAGTGACTGAAAATCTCTGTGAGGAGGAGAGGTTATATTCCCACCTTGGCCACTATGCTGTTGGTTTAGAGCACCTAACCAGGTTAGTTAGTTAGTGCCTGGCCACTCAGCTTAGCTCAGTCCTAGTGTCTCTCCAGGAATTGTCTGGGTATTGGCCAAATAATGTTAAAGCTGGAAGGAACCCATAGCCATCATCACAGTCAAGGTCCTAGTTTTAGAATGAGGATACTGAGGCCCTGAGTGGGAAGTCACTTGCCCAAGATGTGGCAGCAGGGTTAGAGACAGACAAGGGGCTGGGACTCAGCTCTTTCCCGCAGGGGCTCCAGCACTGCATTCAGCCATTCCTGGCTTTCTCGCTAGTCACTGGGGCTCATGCCTGGACCTGGGCTAACCTGCAGTAAGGCCTTTGGCAAACACTGCCAGATGCTATCACTCCATGACATAAGAACCCATAATCTGAAGGCACTCTGTTTTAGGGGCAGTAGGAAAAGGAGTGAAGCGGCCCCAAAGTGGAGAGGGCCACACTCTCTTATTTTCACACTCACTTCTGTCCCTTTTTCTACACAGTCTTGCATACAAGCCTGGCTTAGGCTAGTGGTTTGGTCAGAGAAAGAGGACCAAGAGGGTGTGAAGGAGGGGTGTTCACCCCAGCTTTCAGGTCCATGCGCCAAACCTCATTTTCTACATGACAGGAAGCTCTCCTGATGTGGAGAGGCAGGCAGGCCTGGCTGCCTCTGAGCTGTGCAGCGGCCTGTAGTCTTGAAGAACATGGTGCAGAAGTGGCCCGCTTCCAACAGCACAGTCCTCACGTGGTGCCAACAGAAAGCAGAGATCGAGAGAGGGTGTGGTTGGATGGGGTGAGTGCAGTAACTAGGAAGTTCTGCATCCGAAGGAGAGAAGGAAAACCATATACCACCAAAGCTGATAAGGAAGAGAGCATGAGGGCCCCCTGGCTTTCTTTCATAGGCAGATGTGTCTCAGATCTTTCAGCAGGAGAGGAGAGATGTGCTTCCAGAGGGCAGCTGGGGACTTCTGGTTGTGCTGCAGGAAGTGCTGAGACCCATTCTAATACATCCTGGAGGCCGTGGCAGCTCCTCCTTCTGGGATGCTTAGGAAGGAGGCAGATAAGATAGGCCCCTTTTTCCGGTAAGTCAGACCTGCCAGGTGAACTATAGGAACATTTTAAACGAACTCAGTTATCTCATGTTTGATCCCTCAACCTAAACCATCAGGCCCCTTTCCCTGGCCTAAAATAAGGTCCCACTGAATCTGCACTCAGAGCCAGGCCTCAGATGACCTCTGCTGATTCTCTGAGTTGTTTAATGTGGGTTCCAGTTATCCCGAACTGGGACTGCGACACCCCTCTGTCACCTCAGCCAGGATGACTCTTCTTCCAGATCATTTAGAACAGCACTTCCAATTGAAACATAATACAAGCCATATTTGTCATTTTTAATTTTCTGGTAGCCACATCTTTTTTAAAAAGGTAAAAAAAACAGGGAAATTAATTGTAATAATACATTTTAACTGAATATATCCAAAATATCCTTTCACCACACGCTCAAAATAAAACAATTATAATGAGATATTTTACATTCTTTCCTTCATATTTAGCCTTTGAAATCCGGTGTTTTTTACACTTACAGCTCATCTCAATTCAGACACTAAATTTTCATTGGAAATACTTGATCTGTATTTAGATTTCATAAAATTTACAGTTGAAAAAGCAGAGTCACATACCTGAGGCATTCCAAACATACTTTAAAATCTTTCCAATAACTGAGTTGAGTATCTGTTTTTAAATTTAAACTAATTAAAATTAAATAAATATTAAATAAATTTTAAAATGTGGTTCCTCAGTTCCCCGGGCCACATTTCAGATGTTCCGTATGTATCTGCACATGGTTAATGGCTACCAGCAAACCCCTCTCTCACCTGAGAAGGCAACTGCTGTCCCCACTCTTTCCTTTTGCTCCCAAAGACTCAAAAAAGGGGAGTCTCAGCTTTCGTTGACAGACAGGGCTCCCTTGTTTGGTCCCTAGCAGAGCCTGGGCACCTTCTTCGGGGCCTCAGGAGAGAAGCGTAAACCCTACTTCCTCCCTGCCGCCCCCTTCTGGTCATGCAGAACTTTGGGGGGATGTGGCTGTGGCTGGCAATGTTCTGAACTGGCTGTGATGGGTCATGATGGGAAAGTGGCCAGGAGAAAAGCTGCCCAGTGCTTCCTCCAGAGGCTGCTCCCCACCTATCCCCCCACCATTACCTTCTCATTTGGGGAATGTATGAGGAACAGACAGACACTTCTACTAAGCATGCTCCCCCTTCCCCAACTCCAAAAGAAGCTTGGCTGGAGATTCTCAGCCAGGGACTTGTGCATCAGTGTGTATTTCCTATGTGTACAGTTATCGCCAGCTGCTTCCCAGGGACCAAGAAATGTGAACCAGAGTCACAACCCCAAATCCTAGTTTGGCATCAGAAAACAACAAGGAGCCTCTCTTTACCTCTGGTCCCTGGACAGTGGGGCAGATGTAAGGGGGACCTCAGCCCCTTACTCTGTGAGGTGTCACCTTCCCACCTGTGGCATCTACACTGTGGAGGGCGGTGGGCCCCCTTTTCTCTATATATCTTCAGGGAAGGAGGCTAAGTGCCCTTAACGCAGCATGAAGGAATGGGGTTAGGCAGAGGAAGGACTCCCAGGGGGAGCTCTCTAAGTGGAGACGGGTCCGGAGAGCACCTGTGCCAAGTCCTCACCTGGTGTTGGCCAACAGACCCCCAGAGACAAAGGTCGAGCCAACACTTTCTGGCAGACCTTCCTGCAGTCCAAGGAGCCTCAGATCTTGTGGTCTACAAGTAGGCGTCTGTCAACCAGGTGTCACAGCAACCAAATTTTTAGTTGATGATTCGAACTAGGGAGGTGGTAGGAAACAGCACTACAAAGGCAGAGACCTGTTCTGAGAGTGAATTAGCATGCATCACCCTGATTAATCCTCAGAATATAATGGAGAAGGGGCCATTGCCATCCTCCCCATAACACAGGTGAGAAAACTGAATTGGAAAGAGGAAGAAGAAAGTAAGGTCTTTGGGAGGCTGAGGTGGGTGGATCACGAGCTCAAGAGATCAAGACCATCCTGGGCGTGGTGCTGCATGCCTTTAGTCCCAGCTACTCAAGAGGCTGAGGCAGGAGAATCATTTGAACCTGGGAGGAGAGGGTTGCAGTGAGCCAAGATCATGCCACTGCACTCCAGCCTGGCGACAGAGTGAGACTCCGTCTCAAAAAAAAAAAAAAAAAAAGAAAGGTCAAAGTAAATCTGTACCAAGGTTTGTTTATTTATTTATTTTTAGAAACAAGGTCTCACTCTGTCACCCAGGCTGGAGTGCAGTGGCACAATCATGGCTCACTGCAGCCTCCAACTCCTGGGTTCAAGCCATCCTCCCTTCTCAGACTCCCCATTGCTAGGACTATAGGTGCACACTGCCACGCCCGGCTAATATTTCATTTTATGTAGAGATGGGGTCTTGCTGTGTTGCCAAAGCTGCATCAAGGTTTACTGAGCTATTGTCAACAGCTTCATCTTCCTCCCAGAAAGGACAGCTGAAGGTTTAGGGTGGCACAGTTTGCTGTACCTATTCAGTAGTGGAGCTGGGATTTGAACCCAGGTGGTCTGGTTCCTGATTCTGAATGGTTATCCACTATACTACATGGTGTCTGTATTTCTCTGGTAAGGATAGAGATATATTCCCAGCTTGGCCAGCTTTGCTGTTGGTTTAGAGTACCTAACCATGCTATTTCTCCCGGCCTAAAATGGGGTAGGGGGGCTCAGCTGGGTACACCTATAGCCCTCATCATCCAGTCAGTAGTTCTCTAAGTCTGCTCAACTCCCCTCCGGGGTCTTCCTCCTGGCTTTCCTCCATTCTTACAGCTGCTTTTTAGGATGACAGCTTTGGGTTTTTTTTTTTTCTTAAAAGGTTAGTGCTCATTTCCTCCTCAGCCCATAATTCAGGTTAAAAAGAACCCGGAACATGCATGCCTATTTCTGACGATCAAGTAAAAACAAAAACAAACAAACAAAAAACAAAAACAAAAAAAAATGTCTTCTGAGAGAGACTGGCGCCAGGCAGCTGCTGGTCAGAGATGGGATGGGTAGGAAAAGAAATGATGTTGCCACTTCCCTGGAAGTGTCCACAGCACCTTCCCCCTGCCACAACCACTGTGGCCTTTCTCCTTCTGCAAATGCACACACACAAGCGCAGAAAAGCCATTTGACATCCACAGCTGGGAAACAGACTTCAAGAGACTGAGACATGTCTTACATTTTTTCAAACAGTGAACAGCCAATCCCTCATGCTTCCACCAGCCTTGTGTTGTAGGGAGGGGCTGGTGGCTGCAAGTTGGCTAGGGACCTAGGGTTGGCAAGGGAGGAGGGGGACTGCAGAACATTCTAGACTGGGCCTCAGTATTTTCATCCATACCCAGGCACAAGTCAGTGCCGTCAGGCCAGCACTGACCAGGACTTTCTGCAATGATGGAAGCGTTGCAGGTCTGCAATGTCCATATGTGGCCACGAAGTCCTTGAAATATGGCTAGAGTGACTGAGGAGCTGAATTTTTCATTTTATTTAATATTTATTTAAATAGCCACATTGGCTAGTGGCTACCATATTAAATATATACTTTTTTTTTTTTTTTTGTCACACTATTGCCCAGGGGGGAATGTAGTGGCACGATCTTGGCTCACTGCAACCTCCGCCTCCCAGGTTCAAGTGATTCTCCTGCCTCAGCTTCCCGAGCAGCTGGGATTACAGGCACACACCACCATGCCTGGCTGATTTTTTATTTTTAGTAGAGACAGGGTTTTACCATGTTGGCCAGGCTGGTCTCGAACTCCTGACCTTGTGATCCAACCTCCTTGGCCTCCCAAAGTGCTGGGATTACAGGCGTGAGCCACCATGCCTGGCCTAAGTAGTACATTAATATATAGTAGCCTTAGGCCAAAGAGAAGCCCAGTGAATCCAGGAGCACCCCTGCTGTTTCTCACACCCATGACGCTCATCTGTCTGCTTCCCTGTGCCCTGCGGCAGGGTTATCTTGCTCCAGGGCAGGAGCATGGATGAGATAACCTCCCAAGGCATGCACTGGGCTCTAAGCCCCAGCTTATATTACAGAAATACTTCCAGACCTACTTCTCTTTGCCTCTTGGGCAGATTTACACATCTCTCCATTTAAAGGTTATTTATTGAATACTATATGCTGGTGAGACAAAGAGAAATGACAAAGCTCTGCCCGTAAGAAGTTGGCTGTTTAAATTCCACAGGGGGGACTAGAATGAAACCCAGAACAAATTCAGCTCCCTTTTTCATTCTTTGTAGAGAGATTCTAGGCGTCCTCATCTTATCTTCTGTCTAGAAAAGGAGATGGGAGAATCTCCCCAGGTCTGGGTGGCCTGGCAAAGCCCGACACTCTTCCTGGACTGTGAATTTCAAGGATGCCTCTGTTTCTTCGATTTTTGTAAGCTAAGGCACAATATCTGGGTCACCTAGTTTTCTCTTACAATTGATTATTAGGTCAAGTGAGATAGAGTGATAAACTAACACCAGCCCAGGAACAGGCTGTTAATAGCACCGGGGTGTGGCTAAGAGGTCCGGGGGCGGGGGGTTTAGATTTTAGGCAGGCAGGTCTCCTGGATCCATCCATTGCTGTGACCAGCAAGCAAGGTGGAGTCAGAACCCTTCAGACTCTACTGGAAGAGAACAGCCGTGGCAAAAGGGCAGGTTTGGAGAAAGTGGTTGAGCTTGGGCAGGGTACATGCGTTGTGCAATTGTGCAGCATGGAGTATTTCTCACCCTAAGATGCCTCTGGGTCTGTAGCAGCTGGGCTTGCATCATGACACTCTCTGTGTTTGCCAGGACATAGAGGATGGTGCAATCCTCAAACACGTGTTCATGTTACCATGGGGAGAGGCTGATGTACTGTGTGTGCCTCTGTGGATGCTGCTGCACTGGGGTGTATGGGGAACTCCTTATGAATGAAAGAGGACTGAGTTGGCCACCCAAATGTGGCAGGGGCCAGAGGCATTGGAGAGCCAGTGGGAAGGACTGGAGGTATTATATAGAAGCCAGAGATTTAGATCCCACCCCAAAGGTAAATACTGTATCCAGATAATATTATCATCATCCCCTCCCTTAGTCATTGAATAGGGTTATGAAGGTAAGGTCTGGCCTCCATAGATCCCAGCAGGAGAAATGGATGCTGAGCATTCCACATTTCCCATCCTCTGCAAAAACCTCTCAGAACAGCATCTCATGGGCGGGGAAGTCTGGAATATGTCTCTCTTCCTTCCTGGATCATTTTCCAGTTGGAGGTTACAGAAACAGCAGAATGCCATGCACAAACAAGCCCTGTTCCCCTCTCCCTCACCTGCCTTCACTCTCCCACACATGGGTTCTCTCCGGGCCTCGCTTGTTTGTCTCCCTGACTCTTTAAATATATCCTGCAGACACACAAACAGAAGGAAGGGATTTATTTGAATGATTATTGCAGAAGTAGGAGAGGGAGGCACCCAAATTCCAGATTTATTTTTTCTTTGAGACAGGGTCTCACTCTGTCCCCCAGGCTAGAGTGCAGTGGAGCTATCAAAGTGGAGCAATCATGGCTCACCTCAGCCTCAGCCTCAACCTCCAATCTCCAACCTCCTACCTCCAACCTCCCACCTTCCGGGCTCAAGCAATCCTCCGGTCTCAGCCTCCTGAGTTTCTCAGACTAGAGGCGCACGCCTCTATGCCCAGCTAATTTTTGTGTTTTTTTTGTAGAGACGGGGTTTCACTATGTTGTCCAGGCTGGTCTCGAACTCCTGGGCTCAGGCAATCCACTCACCTTGGCCTCCCAAAGTGCTGGGATTAGAGATATGAGCCACCGCTCTCAATTCCAAATTCCAGATTTTAAAAACACTTCCAGGCCGGGCTTGGTGGCTCACGCCTGTAATCCCAGCTCTTTGGGAGGCCAAGGCGGGCGGATCACGAGGTCAGGAGATCGAGACCATCCTGGCTAACACGGTGAAACCCCATCTCTACTAAAAATACAAAAAATTAGCCGGGCATGGTGGCGGGCGCCTGTAGTCCCAGCTACTCGGGAGGATGAGGCAGGAGAATGGCGTAAACCCAGGAGGCGGAGCTTACAGTGAGCCGAGATCGCGCCACTGCACTCCAGCCTGGGCGACAGAAGGAGACTCTGTCTCAAAAAAAAAAAACAAAAAACGCTTCCAGTCCCTAGAAGTGTGCCCATGCTGTGTGGGTGTCAGTCTCCCACGCCCTCTGCTGGCCACATGGAGATATTGACCTGTTTGTCAAACAGGTTCCAGAGCAGACTGTTGAGTTCTTTTGCTGTTCACGTGCAGAACAATCTTCACCAGGAAGTCCTCCCGGGTATCCTGCCTAGATCCCTTCTGCAACCTCAGTTCATTTTCTCTTGATGAAATAGCTCCAGAGTAGCCAGTCTACTTGTTCCTTCTTGTTTTATCTAAAACGCAAAGCCTTCCACAATTGAAAGCCTATTTATGACTCAGCCACAGAGCAGCTGAGTCGGGCTGGCTGCTTCTGGCACTCAGCTCCAGTCTTACTTTCCAGCCCTTTAATCTCCATGGCTCTGCCCTGGCTCCCCTCCAAGTTTCCGCTGTCTCTCTGGAGCCTACAGGTGACCACAAGACCCTGATTAGTATCTTCGACACTGGACTCTGCTGCTGCCTAAGGAATAGGTCCCATGGGGTTAAGTGGCACCAGAAACCAGGAGGCACATCAAAATGTTAAGCCTGCTCTTCAGAAGCAGCCAAAAAGCTTGCAAAGCTGGGGAAGGTGTGCCCTCAGGAGACTTGCCTTGGGGAGGCTGGGAAAAGGAGAGAGTTTGCAAAAGCATTTTGAGTTCCTTAAATGAAGAGAGATACAAGAATCTACATTTTGTATGCCAGTATCATGGTTGCTTGGCCCCGGGGCAGTACTTGAACACTTTCAAAGAAAAGAGTAAGAGAGGTCAAAATAAATTTACCCCAAGGTTTATCAAACCGTTGTCAACAGCCCCATCCCCCTCCCAGAAAGGGTGACTCAAGGTTAAGGACAGCCCACAGCACTTCTTAGAAAAAGTCCCAAAAGGTGAAAGGTCTTGAGAAGAGCTGTTGAGGGAAGGCTGTGGGCCACCATGCTTCTGTGTCCCCCAAGGCCAAAGAGAGAATAAGCTAAAATGACAGCTGGAAAAGGGCACCCTCTGACCAAATGGACAGAGCCTCCCCCAACAGGTAGCCAGAGGAGGATGGAATGGCACCCCCATTTCAGATGTCCTTAAGAACTAGAGAGATAGATGCTTATTTCTGCTTGGACACAGGGGGATGGACTAAATGGCCTACGGAAAGGATTCCAGGAACTGCTACACCAGCCACAGGAGAGAAGCCAGCTTCCCAGGCTGTCTCCCCTTGAAGAGGTGACAATGTGTTGGCTCTCCAGGCCAGGCTGGGGCAGCCCACTGAAGGAGACGCATAGACGCATGCGCTGGTCAGCAGCCAGCCCACTCCCCCACCTGCCCTCACTTTATCCAGTTACAATCTTGATTGAGGAAGGGGTCCAGGCTTCTCCAATCTGAACCCCCTCCAGGCTTTCAGTAGCCACCATATCCTGTCTGCCCCTCCCCCTACAGTAGTCAACTACTTTTTGAGGATTAAAATGCGTGGTGATGCTGAGGTTGAGTGGCACGGCTCCAGTCCCTCCATAAGACGTGCCCAAAAGCCCTTCTGTGCAATGGTTAGCACTCCCTCTCCCTACTCCCTCTTCTCCAAGATCTGAGCCTTGGCGTGAGGCCTGTGTTACTAGATAACGGAGCCCCAGCCTTTCAATTTGTACAAAGTCCCCAAACCAGCCATGCTTCTCCCTTCCTCCTGCCAATCTCACTTGCGCTACAACCAAGAAAAGTCAATTTACCCCAGAACATGACCCTTTTAACTAATCCCTAGAATCCTGCATTCCACCTACCAGAGATGTCACCCTATTGATGAGTCGTCACAGCAGGGTCTGATAGAGCAGAATCGAGGTACTGGGACATCAAGACATGACTGGGAAGAGGGGGTGAGAGTCCAGAAGGGGTACCAGGATTCTCAGGTTGAATTTTATTTAGGGAGAGCCCACCCACCACCTTGCTATTTGCTTTCCCCAAGTCATCATCTTCCTCTCCAGTAATTACGTCCCTTCCTTTCCTGTGAATAAATACCCAAAGCAACTCACCACCAGGAACGCTGCGAACCTTTGGAGGCTTCTTTAGGGCAGGGACCTTCTCTGCCAAGGCCTTAAAGACCAGATACCTATTTCATTAGACTTGACAAATCCTGAGCCAAGAGAGAAACAGATGCTTGGGTGCTTCCTGCCACCTGCCATCCTGCCCAGGTTAGGCCAGGTGTCCAAATGCCTTTCCTAACTCACACCTGGAACTTGCCCAGGGCTGCAAGCTCAGAAGTCAGGTTCTATACCTGCCCAGAGGCATAAAACAGCGTCTTCTCAAAAAAGCTTCTCTTTCCTTGCACCCCACCCCCACTTCCTGGAATTCTACCCACTTCTTCTGTTCCCCATCCCAGATGTCTGGCGGTCACTGTTCCTGGACATCCCAGTGATCATGGAGTAGATGGAGAACAGAATTTTCTTTCACCTCATTTCAGTTATTTAAGGTCACTCAAAGCTCTATTTTCTCTTTCCAGTATTTGAAAAAAGAGGGAGGCAATGAAGACAGGGCCCCCCACCTCCACTCACCCCTGCATCTGGTCCCACTGTGAGGCATCCTGGCCACACGCTGCCCGCCTGGAAACAACAATCTAAAGTTCCCCCATTCTGGTTCCTCTGAGGCTGGGGGAGGTCAAGGATCTGAGAGGAGAAGGGGACCCAGGGATGGATGCCTATGAGATCAGAATTTAGGGGAAAACTGCGCACCAAGAAAAGGCCGGACGGGTGGAATTAAGGATCAACAAATACATCAACAAAGTCTGACTTCTCTAAAGGTCAAAAGCCAGCTAAGTATAGACTGTCAGCAAGCCACTCCTATATATAACTGTCCCGGTCTCAGCCAGCTGTCGGCCTCTCTCAGTCCAGAGCTGAGTAACGTCCCAGCCTCCCAGGCCCCCGAGCACCGCGCCAGTTCTGAGCCAGAGCAGGAGCAAGGCCTCCGACTTCCACTTGGCCCCACGCCGGTCCCCTCCGGGCCTACATTTCTGGCTCTCCCCTCCCCTCCTCCTGCCGCTTATGAAGGTCCTCACCACCCTGCTGCTCCAGACCCCAGGACCCCCTCCTCCTAGGTTCCCCAGGTCCAAAGAGACCTCAACATCCAGCAGCTCTGAAAGTGCAAAGATCTCACTAACAGGACAGCCTTTGCCCTTCTCGTCCACGCCCTGACTGTGTCATCTGCCTCCATGGGCCCAGATTCCCGGGTTCCTACTTCTCAGCCCCACCTCCAGCCATGTCCCATCTACTTGGCCATCCCCCAGCAAGCAAACCGCTCGCTGCCACCTTCATCCTTGCAGAGGCCATTTTCCTTGCCCTTCCTCCTTACTGCCCCCAGAAGGCCTGCTCCGTCCTCACCCATCAGTCTGTCAGTCTCTCGATTCTCCTCCTCTGTGAAGCCTCCCTGCCTGCACTCTCTGCTTGACTCCAAGCATGCCAGAAACTTCCTGCCACTTAAATGAGCATTCCCTCTGCTTCCTGGTTCTTATCCCCCTGCTTTCAGGGTGTGCTCCAGGAGGGCAGAGACACATCTGCTTCAGCCTTTATTACTCCCCTCACCCCAAACTGCCCAGCCCTGGGCTCTGGCCGTGTGCACCTTGGCCCACGGGGGCTGACCCTCCGGCTCCTTCTCCTGCAGAGAGAGACTCCCGTGAGCACGAGGAGCCCACCACCTCTGAGATGGCCGAGGAGACCTACTCCCCCAAGATCTTCCGGCCCAAACACACCCGCATCTCCGAGCTGAAGGCTGAAGCAGTGAAGAAGGACCGCAGAAAGAAGCTGACCCAGTCCAAGTTTGTCGGGGGAGCCGAGAACACTGCCCACCCCCGGATCATCTCTGCACCTGAGATGAGACAGGAGTCTGAGCAGGTGCATCTCGGGGATTCCCTCATTCCCTCCCAGCTTTTGACCTTTTCCTGCATCTAAATGGACATTCATGGCGGCAGGAGGTGCTAGACTAGACCCAGCAGAGGACCTACAGCCCACCATGTGGCTCAGCTTAGGACGTGGGAGTAGAGTTTCCAGAGCATACACTTGTCAGGGCCAAGGGCTTGTGCAAGTAAGTGGGAATAGAGGCGGTGCTCATTTGAGGAGAGTGTGTGCCAGCCCAGCGGCCACGTACCAGGTACCTGGGCCCTGCAGCTGTGTCCAGTCCAAGGCAGAGACTGAATATTCTCCTAGAGCATCTAGAAATGGGCACCTCTGGACATTGTTACTCAGCAGAAGAGAAAAGCTGCAGGGGAGGGGGTGGACTGGAACACAAAAGAGAAAGTATGACTCCGTACCTGGCCAAAGGCAGGCTTTGTATGATCCCAGCGCACGTGACAGGTGACAGGGAGGAAAGATCTTTGGTAGCAGATGATTAGAACCAAAGGTGGTGACTTTCCTCCAGAGACCCTTCAGCCCCCACCCCCTGGGCCATTCGTCAGCGCAGCTGGGTGGTTTTCCCTTGGTCTCGCCACGCCTCTCACCCTCCTGTCCACACAGGGCCCCTGCCGCAGACACATGGAGGCTTCCCTGCAGGAGCTCAAAGCCAGCCCACGCATGGTGCCCCGTGCTGTGTACCTGCCCAATTGTGACCGCAAAGGATTCTACAAGAGAAAGCAGGTACGTCCCCTGCCCTGAGCTCCAGGCTCAGACTGCTCCAAAAATGGCACCTGCCAGGAAACTCCACCTTGGGCAAGTGCCTAAGGTTTCCACCGTTAACCACTTAGTGTTTCCTGGGCCTCAGATACCCATTCATATACCACGATCATGACTTTCCACATTCCCTACTATGCTGTAATCCATTTCCTCATTCTCTCCTATGCGGTAATCCACTATGCTTTCCACAGGTCGCCTTAGCTACATGAATTCCTTGCAAAAGGTAACTCTGTAACACTATCGCACAGCACGTATCATTGGTGCACCGCACACTCAGGAATTTAAACCATATTTTCTCTGTGAACCACCTGAAATCAGTTCATGTCCCTTCACAGCCAGGCTCTCCTTTGGGCAATGGTTCTTAGATTTCCAAGGGCATCCTATCCCTGGAGGGCATGGCTGATGGCTGGGCCCCACCCCTGCAGTTTCTGATTGGTAGACCTGGGGTGGACTCCGGGGTGGACACGTGACCCTGATGCTGCTTTAAGGGCACCAATAATCTAAATGTAAGAGCCAGGCCACACTGGGGCAAATCTTGGCTCTGCCACTTACTAGCTGTGTCCTGTTACTCACCATTTAATGTCTCTGTGCCTCCAGACCCTTGTGTAAAATGGTGAATGAGGAGTGAGTGATTGGTCTTTGTAAAGCACTTAGAACAGTACCTACTGCCTACCAAACGTTGAGTGGTGTCTACTACATGATAACACCACAAATCATGCCTCCTTCTGTTATTATTATTACCATCATCATTATTATTGGATCATAACTCTCTTGAGAATCCCTGCAGAGTTTCACGTTGGGGGAACTCAAATGGGTAATATTTAAAACGGGACTATAAGCCAGGCACAGTGGCTCACGCCTGTAATCCCAGCTACTCCAGAGGCTGAGGCAGGAAGATCACTTGGGCTCAGGAGTTTTAGACCAACCTGGGCAACATAACGGGACCCCATGTCTGAAAAAAAAAAAAGGAAAGAAAGGGATTGAAGGAGCTTGCCAAGGGTAGGCTGCCTAAATTCACATTTTCCCTGGGTCTTTCCGTGAAATGGGGACACCAGAAACCCAAGGGTCGGGTCTAGTGCCCTCAACTCTCTGGGGATGAGAGTCTTGCCTTGGGGTAGACAAGAGGCAGGGCAGGGAGGAGCAGAGCCCTGGGGTGCGGCCGTCCTCACCGCCTGTTGCTCTACTCACCCCAGTGCAAACCTTCCCGTGGCCGCAAACGTGGCATCTGCTGGTGCGTGGACAAGTACGGGATGAAGCTGCCAGGCATGGAGTACGTTGACGGGGACTTTCAGTGCCACACCTTCGACAGCAGCAACGTTGAGTGATGCGTCCCCCCCCAACCTTTCCCTCACCCCCTCCCACCCCCAGCCCCGACTCCAGCCAGCGCCTCCCTCCACCCCAGGACGCCACTCATTTCATCTCATTTAAGGGAAAAATATATATCTATCTATTTGAGGAAACTGAGGACCTCGGAATCTCTAGCAAGGGCTCAACTTCGAAAATGGCAACAACAGAGATGCAAAAAGCTAAAAAGACACCCCCCCCCTTTAAATGGTTTTCTTTTTGAGGCAAGTTGGATGAACAGAGAAGGGAAGAGAGGAAGAACGAGAGGAAGAGAAGGGAAGGAAGTGTTTGTGTAGAAGAGAGAGAAAGACGAATAGAGTTAGGAAAAGGAAGACAAGCAGGTGGGCAGGAAGGACATGCACCGAGACCAGGCAGGGGCCCAACTTTCACGTCCAGCCCTGGCCTGGGGTCGGGAGAGGTGGGCGCTAGAAGATGCAGCCCAGGATGTGGCAATCAATGACACTATTGGGGTTTCCCAGGATGGATTGGTCAGGGGGAGAAAGGAAAAGGCAAAACACTCCAGGACCTCTCCCGGATCTGTCTCCTCCTCTAGCCAGCAGTATGGACAGCTGGACCCCTGAACTTCCTCTCCTCTTACCTGGGCAGAGTGTTGTCTCTCCCCAAATTTATAAAAACTAAAATGCATTCCATTCCTCTGAAAGCAAAACAAATTCATAATTGAGTGATATTAAATAGAGAGGTTTTCGGAAGCAGATCTGTGAATATGAAATACATGTGCATATTTCATTCCCCAGGCAGACATTTTTTAGAAATCAATACATGCCCCAATATTGGAAAGACTTGTTCTTCCACGGTGACTACAGTACATGCTGAAGCGTGCCGTTTCAGCCCTCATTTAATTCAATTTGTAAGTAGCGCAGCAGCCTCTGTGGGGGAGGATAGGCTGAAAAAAAAAAGTGGGCTCGTATTTATCTACAGGACTCCATATAGTCATATATAGGCATATAAATCTATTCTTTTTCTTTGTTTTTTTCTTTCTTCCTTTCTTTCAAAGGTTTGCATTAACTTTTCAAAGTAGTTCCTATAGGGGCATTGAGGAGCTTCCTCATTCTGGGAAAACTGAGAAAACCCATATTCTCCTAATACAACCCGTAATAGCATTTTTGCCTGCCTCGAGGCAGAGTTTCCCGTGAGCAATAAACTCAGCTTTTTTGTGGGGCACAGTACTGGATTTGACAGTGATTCCCCACGTGTGTTCATCTGCACCCACCGAGCCAGGCAGAGGCCAGCCCTCCGTGGTGCACACAGCACGCGCCTCAGTCCATCCCATTTTAGTCTTTAAACCCTCAGGAAGTCACAGTCTCCGGACACCACACCACATGAGCCCAACAGGTCCACGATGGATCCACCAGTCCCACCCCAGCCTTTTCCTTTCATCTGAACAGAATGTGCATTTTTGGAAGCCTCCCTCACTCTCCATGCTGGCAGAGCAGGAGGGAGACTGAAGTAAGAGATGGCAGAGGGAGATGGTGGCAAAAAGGTTTAGATGCAGGAGAACAGTAAGATGGATGGTTCCGGCCAGAGTCGATGTGGGGAGGAACAGAGGGCTGAAGGGAGAGGGGGCTGACTGTTCCATTCTAGCTTTGGCACAAAGCAGCAGAAAGGGGGAAAAGCCAATAGAAATTTCCTTAGCTTCCCCACCATATGTATTTTCTAGGATTTGAGAGGAAAGAGAGGAAAATGGGGGAATGGGTTGCAAAATAGAAATGAGCTTAATCCAGGCCGCAGAGCCAGGGAAGGTGAGTAACTTTAGGAGGGTGCTAGACTTTAGAAGCCAGATAGGAAGAATCAGTCTAAACTGGCCATGCTTTGGAAGGGACAAGACTATGTGCTCCGCTGCCCACCTTCAGCCTGCAATGAGGGACTGAGGCCCACGAGTCTTTCCAGCTCTTCCTCCATTCTGGCCAGTCCCTGCATCCTCCCTGGGGTGGAGGATGGAAGGAAAGCTGGGACAAGCAGGGAACGCATGATTCAGGGATGCTGTCACTCGGCAGCCAGATTCCGAAACTCCCATTCTCCAATGACTTCCTCAACCAATGGGTGGCCTTGTGACTGTTCTTTAAGGCTGAAGATATCCAGGAAAGGGGGCTTGGACACTGGCCAAGGAGACCCCTTCGTGCTGTGGACACAGCTCTCTTCACTCTTTGCTCATGGCATGACACAGCGGAGACCGCCTCCAACAACGAATTTGGGGCTACGAAGAGGAATAGCGAAAAAGCAAATCTGTTTCAACTGATGGGAACCCTATAGCTATAGAACTTGGGGGCTATCTCCTATGCCCCTGGACAGGACAGTTGGCTGGGGACAGGAGAAGTGCTCAATCTTCATGAGACAAAGGGGCCCGATAGGGCCAGCAGCCACAAGGCCTTGACCTGCCGAGTCAGCATGCCCCATCTCTCTGCACAGCTGTCCCCTAAACCCAACTCACGTTTCTGTATGTCTTAGGCCAGTATCCCAAACCTCTTCCACGTCACTGTTCTTTCCACCCATTCTCCCTTTGCATCTTGAGCAGTTATCCAACTAGGATCTGCCAAGTGGATACTGGGGTGCCACTCCCCTGAGAAAAGACTGAGCCAGGAACTACAAGCTCCCCCCACATTCCTCCCAGCCTGGACCTAATTCTTGAGAGGGGCTCTCTCTTCACGGACTGTGTCTGGACTTTGAGCAGGCTTCTGCCCCTTGCGTTGGCTCTTTGCTGCCAGCCATCAGGTGGGGGATTAGAGCCTGGTGTAAGTGCGCCAGACTCTTCCGGTTTCCAAAGTTCGTGCCTGCGAACCCAAACCTGTGAGTCTCTTCTGCATGCAGGAGTTTCTCCTGGGCAGCTGGTCACTCCCCAGAGAAGCTGGGCCTTCATGGACACATGGAACTAAGCCTCCCAAATGGGAGTTCTGGCTGAGCCCAGGGTGGGGAGATCCTGGGAAGGGAGGCACTGGAGGAAGACGGCACCTCTTCCCCCATGGCAGGGTGTGAGGGAGGCAGGTTTGGAATGGTGCGAGTATGGCAATCTAAGCAGGGGTCTGGTCTCTTTGACTCCAGGCTGGCCTTTGGCCGACTGTCTGCTCACCCAGAGACCTTGGACTCCGGACTATCCATGGCTCCGAATCTAAGTGCTGCCCACTCCCATGCTCACACCCACAGAAGGTCTTCCCATCCCCTTTAGATTCGTGCCTCACTCCACCAGTGAGGAAGATGCCTCTGTCTTTCCCACGACTGCCAGGAGATAGGGAAGCCCAGCCAGGACTGACCCTCCTTCCTCCAGCCTGCCCTGACCCACCTGGCAAAGCAGGGCACATGGGGAGGAAGAGACTGGAACCTTTCTTTGACAGCCAGGCCTAGACAGACAGGCCTGGGGACACTGGCCCCATGAGGGGAGGAAGGCAGGCGCACGAGGTCCAGGGAGGCCCTTTTCTGATCATGCCCCTTCTCTCCCACCCCATCTCCCCACCACCACCTCTGTGGCCTCCATGGTACCCCCACAGGGCTGGCCTCCCCTAGAGGGTGGGCCTCAACCACCTGCTCCCGCCACGCACCGGTTAGTGAGACAGGGCTGCCACGGCAACCGCCAAGCCCCCCTCAAGGTGGGACAGTACCCCGGACCCATCCACTCACTCCTGAGAGGGCTCCGGCCCAGAATGGGAACCTCAGAGAAGAGCTCTAAGGAGAAGAAACCCCATAGCGTCAGAGAGGATATGTCTGGCTTCCAAGAGAAAGGAGGCTCCGTTTTGCAAAGTGGAGGAGGGACGAGGGACAGGGGTTTCACCAGCCAGCAACCTGGGCCTTGTACTGTCTGTGTTTTTAAAACCACTAAAGTGCAAGAATTACATTGCACTGTTTCTCCACTTTTTATTTTCTCTTAGGCTTTTGTTTCTATTTCAAACATACTTTCTTGGTTTTCTAATGGAGTATATAGTTTAGTCATTTCACAGACTCTGGCCTCCTCTCCTGAAATCCTTTTGGATGGGGAAAGGGAAGGTGGGGAGGGTCCGAGGGGAAGGGGACCCCAGCTTCCCTGTGCCCGCTCACCCCACTCCACCAGTCCCCGGTCGCCAGCCGGAGTCTCCTCTCTACCGCCACTGTCACACCGTAGCCCACATGGATAGCACAGTTGTCAGACAAGATTCCTTCAGATTCCGAGTTGCCTACCGGTTGTTTTCGTTGTTGTTGTTGTTGTTTTTCTTTTTCTTTTTTTTTTTGAAGACAGCAATAACCACAGTACATATTACTGTAGTTCTCTATAGTTTTACATACATTCATACCATAACTCTGTTCTCTCCTCTTTTTTGTTTTCAACTTTAAAAACAAAAATAAACGATGATAATCTTTACTGGTGAAAAGGATGGAAAAATAAATCAACAAATGCAACCAGTTTGTGAGAAAAAAAAAAAAAAGCCGAAAAAAAAAAAAAAAACACCTGAATGCGGAAGAGCTCGGCTCCCGTTTAGCATTTTGTACTTAAGGAAATAAAAAACCAACAAAGGATCTCACATTTTCTTAAAAAGTGAAGATTGCTGTATACTATTTATTCAACTTATAATTTATGTTACTCCTTGATCTTTGTCTTTTGTCATGACAAAGCATTTATTTAATAAAGTTATGCATTCAGTTAGCCTGCGTCGGCTTCCTCCGAGGGCTCAGGGAAGGCAGGCAGAGGGAGAGGCAAGTCCCTGATTCTCCTCAGGCCACAGCCGAGAGGGGATGGAGAAAGGCCCCCGGTGGGATCAGGGCTGAGCGGCCACATGGTCCAGAGAGAACCCCTCATCCCCCAAGACAAGCACTCCCACTGGAGCTCCAGCGGCCCCTTCCCCATCTGTTGGAAAGCCACCACAGTCGTGGAACCCAAGGCAACCTACATAACCTCCTCAGGCCTCCATTTCCTTGTGGGTAAAACCTCATGGAGCTGCTGTGAGGATTCAACCAGTTAATGTCCCCAAAGCCCTGAGAACTGGGAATATTCAGCACCTGTTCCCCTACTGTTCTATTAATGATTATTACCATCTTTTCATCTCAGCCCTTGCTATGAAGTAAAGTGGCCTTCATCCACCCTTAGACAAATGAGAAGTTTCTGCTCCTTGGAGAAGATTTTAAGGAAGCCATTTCTAGAATGTTCCTTATTCCCTCCTCCCACTGCCTTGTAAGCTCATAACTCCTGGGAACCTCTGGCCAAGATAAAGTCTCCCTCTGGTTCCTACCCAACCTCCACCGCTGTCTGTGCCCAGTGAAGAGGAAAACCCAAGATGGCACCCCTGATGTCAACCCCTGGGCACTGAAGAGCACAGTTCTTACACCCTCCGACCTTCTGCCGCCTCACTGTGTTGCTTTCCTCCCTCCTAGGCCCCTTCGTCCCCAGGCTCTTCCCCTACGGCCCCTCCTGTGTTTCACAGAGCTGCACAGCACACTGCCCCTTAGGCACCCCACTGACCGCACACCCCAGAGTCTCAGGCCCAGGAGCAGAGCAGGGAGACAGAAGCGGTGGCATCCTCACTCTGCTCAGCTCAATGGCTGAGGCCACCAGGAAGCCATGTGTCCCGTCCTGTCCTAGTCACGGGGCAAGAGGAGTCACTGGGGCGTCCCTGCCTTGCCGATGGCCTGATTCGTCACCAGGCACACCTCCTTCTGGGGTGGCTGAGCCGCTTCCCTGACACCTGTGAGCACCAGGTCCCTCAAGTTCACAGAGTAATCTATCCAGCCAAAGAGCACAGGATTCGGATGCCTGTCACTCAGCCTGCCCTGCAGTCACCTGGGTAGCCAGGGAGGCTCCCACATGGCTCTCTCAGGCTACCGGGGCCCAGCAGTGGAGGTAGAGGAGGAGGAGGTGGAGGATGCATTAGGAGGTGCACAGAGGGAAAAGGCACCTTCTCTGCTTTCCTTTCCAGAGGTGCCTCAAGTCGGGGGACAGGAAAAGGAACTACGGGAAGGCCTCCCACGTGGCACCTCCTGCCCCCAGAGTGTCTCCTGGCTTATCCGGGGGAAGCTGCTCACCCTACCATTGCAGGCACACTGCCTGGAGCAGGTGCCAGCTGGGATCCTTCTCCCCAGTGCTCCTCCCCAGAGGCTCTCACGCCCGCCCCCCACACAACTGTATCCCCCACCACTGTGGTCCTTTCCTCCCCTTTCATCTCCTCCGACCCATATAACCCACATCTGTGAATCCCTGCTCACAGCCCGTGACCACCGATGATTCCGGCTCTGGACGGACTACTCCACTCCTGTCTCCCCACCACCCTGTACTGCCCGTGCTCAGTGGGACAACCCATACAGCCCCTTAGCGATAGCACCATTCCCCTGGGGTCCCCGCGGTTCAGCAGCCCAGAAACTGTGTCTCCCACCCTCTCCCCAGTGGTATGCTGCTGGTCCAAGCTCTGCCACACACCATCTGCCTTCCCCTCCATCCACTTAAGCCACACTCTGAGCCATGGGACCCCCAAGATTCCACATCTAAAATCTGAAAACCCCACTCTCCCACTCTAATCGTAGTCTACTATGAGAGTGAGAAGAATGAGGCAAGAGAGCAGAGACGATTTTACGACAGAGAGCCTTTGCTCACCCCGCTTGAGTTTTCAATCCATCAGCCCTCTCTGGCTCTGATGCTTTGCCTAAGGAGACCGAAGCCCATAGCTCCATGCTTGGCATCAGCTTGTCTGGGGCTCCCCTGCCCTGCAGCACCTCAGCCCTGTCCAGTCAGCACTGTCCCTCCTGCATGGCACTGCTGAGCCCCACAGGGAAAAGTGCCACTATTGAGTGAGCTGACATCACACCAGAATCCCCAGGCTCCGAGGGCCCCACATCCTGCCTGGGAAACTTATTAGGGGCCCCTAATCGGATTATTTCCCCCACATTACCCTCATTTCTCCAATGCATGGTACCACCTTCCCTCACTCCTAGCAAACACCCTTACCTTCTCCCTATCAGAGAAAACCAAGGCCAGCAGGTGAGAACCTTCCCATCTCCCCATCCCAACCCCTACAAAGCTATCCACAAAACCGCCCGCCACACTCTTGTCTCCTCCCCTGCCAGTCCTCCTCTGTTCCCAAAACAGCCCCTTCCTGCACGCTCCCCACCTGCTTGTCGGCCCCCCACGCATCAACCATCCCATCTCCCTCTGTGTTGGTGACAGAGGAAATGGGGAGGACGGAATAGAGAGGAACCGCGGCCTGCAGACAGAACTGATGGACCTTGCTCAAGAATTGACATCAGGATGAGAATGAGGGAAAGTCAGGGATGTCTTCTCCACCCAGTGTCCCTCAAGCAACTCAAATACAATGTGTTCCACGTTGAACTCATCCTGTAAGCTCAGGCTCTTGGCCTCTCTTATGATTTTATCTAATGCTTTACAAAGTACAAGTTCAATAACAACACAATTTGAACTCATCATCTTCCCCACTAAGCCATCCCTCTTCCTTCTCTTAATCCTTCTTTAGCCCCCTCCTCTTATTCCCCATTCCTCCTCCTCCTCCTGTTTGCTGTCTCAGAGAATGGCACTGCATCCACCCAGCTGTCCAAGCCCAACCCCCGGCCTCAGTCCTGACTCTTCATTTACCCCTTCCATCCAATAAGCCACCAGGTGCTAGGAATCAGTGACCTCATGGACCACCCTCACCCTCGGCCCTTCTCTCCATCTCCCCAGCCCTGGTTCATTCAGATCATGCTCACTTCTACCCTGGATCCTTGCAATTCCTGCTGCAGGGATGTTCCACCCAATCCCACACCATGTATTGTCCTCCACGCTGGACATCACAGTTGCAGTTCATGTTTTTTTGTTTTGTTTTGTTTTGTTTTTGAGATGGAGTTTTGCGCTGGGATGCCATGGTGCAATCTCAGTTCACAGCAACTTCCGCTTCCCGGGTTCAAGCAATTCTCCTGCCTCAGCCTCCAGAGTAGCTGGGATTACAGGCGAGCGCCCCCATGCCCAGCTAATTTTGTAATTTTAGTAGAGATGGGGTTCCACCATGTTGGTCAGGCTGGTCTTGAACTCCTGACCTCAGGTGATCCACCCGTCTTGGCCTCCCAAAGTGCTGGGATTATAGGCATGACCCACTGTGCCTGGCCCAGTTCACTTTCTAAACACCAAACCAATCATGCCCATCCTCTGCCTAACTTCTTTCCTTGGTACTTAACTTTTGGTCCAGAGTTCAAATCCCTCAGCAACACACCCCAAGTCGTTCCTGATGTGCCCTGGCTTCCTCTTCCTCTCGTTCCTCTTCCACCTGCCGCCTCCCTTCACCACATGTATCCCCAACCATGCGCCGGTGTCCAGGCTCATTGTCCAGCTCGTGACTTAAAGGTTTTGCCGGCCAGGCATGGTGATGCACTCCTGTAATCCCAGCATTTTAGGAGGCCAAAGTGGGAGGATCACTTGAGTCCAGGAGTTCAAGACCAGCCTGGGCAACATAGTGAGATCGCTGTCTCTACAAAATAAAAATTAGCCAGGCATGGTGGTGCACACCTGTAGTCCTAGCTACTTGGGAGGATGAGGTAGGTGGGAGGATTGCTTGATCCCAGGAGCTCAAAGCTGCAGTGAGCTATGATCATGCCACTGCACTCTAGCCTGGGCAACAGAGTAAGACACTGTCTCTAAAAATAAATAAATACAGACATAAAAATAAGATAAAGTCTCTGCGCATGCTGCTCCCTCTGTCTGAACCCCAGCCCCCAACACCCGCACCTGCACATACATGCATGCATGAGGCACGTACATCCTCCCGCTCCTCTCCCCAATCTCAGCTTCTTCCTTCCAACTCTGCCTTCACCCTCTCTGAGACACCTTCCCTGACACCAGACTTAACTATTTCTCCTAACTTGCCCAACATCCCCTACTGGAGGGGTACCGCCATCCATGGAGGGCCATCTTTGGGTGTCGGGGCTGTTTCCTTCCACAAGAATCTCAGCCCTTCAGGACAAAGGCTGTAATCTTCTTCATCTTCATCATCTTCATAGCCTGACATCCTAATACCGAGCCTGGGATATAGTGAGAGCTATTTTTTTTTTCTTTTTTTTATGACGGAGTCTCACTCTGTTGCCCAGGCTCGTGCAATCTCAGCTCACTGCAACCTCCACCTCCCAGGTTCAAGTGATTCTCCTGCCTCAGCCTCCCAAGTAGCTGGGATTACAGGCACCCGCCACCGAGTCCGGCTAATTTTTGTATTTTTTAGTAGAGACGGGGTTTCACCACGTTGGCCAGGCTGGTCTTGAACTCCTGACCTCGGTTGATCCACCCGCCTTGGCCTCCCAAAGTGCCAGGATTACAGGCGTAAGCCACCATGCAAGGCCGAGAGCTACATTTAGGCAGCACTTACCGTGTGACAGAAATGATTTTATATTCTCAAAGCAAGTCTTTTAAGATAGAAACTATCCCAATATTTAAAGAGGAAGTAAATGAGATTCACAGAGGTTAGAAATATGTCCAAAGGCACATAACTCAAGAGTCTGATTCTGTTCAAAGACTACCTCACCTCCATGGTTACGCTTTTAACCACCACATCTTATTATGTAGTTAGTATTCAAGACACATCAAACAGATTCAGGGATGACAGTGGTGACTGTCCAAATGTAGAGAGCATAAGAAGAGGGATAGCCCCGTGGGCATGACCCATGCAGTCATACAAGGCTGACACTTAGTTTAATGTTCTGCTATTTCTGTCTTGACATTCTTAATAATTTCTGAATAAGGGACTCCATATTTTTATTTTGCCCTGGATCCTATAAATGAAGTCAACCAGTCCTCCATAAGAACCACACAGGAAGCAAGTTTCAATGCAGACTCCCAGGCCCCTCCCCGAGCTTCTAACTCAGGGGATCTGGGATAGGGCCAGTGGTAACAACGTCTCCAGCTGACTCCTTCTGGACCACTCCTCTTCAATGCAACAGACTCTCCAAGGGCCCGATGTAGGCTCAGCTGCAGTTCTGCATGCTGCCACACAGTGGCAGTATAGCCCCGGTGTTTGCTTAACGTTCAAAGAGGCACAGTTAGTTCCAGGTGAGAGATGTGCTTGACATCTTCAAGATCCCTGCCCAGCCAGCCATCTTCCCACGTGGATGCAATGATGCTTCCTCTCGGCAAAGGTTTCTAGGTTGCACTGCACATCAGTGAGTGTGGTTCCTGCAGCTAGAGCCACAGCGGAGGTGCTGCTCACCCACTCACCCATAAAAGCTACCTCTTCAGAGGGTTGGGTACAAGAGCACTAAGGGTAATGGAGGGGAAATGGGCAAGGAGATTGTGGCATCCTCAGAAGCCCTCTGGAAAAGTTCAAAGAATGGACAAGGTGGCAGCCCTGGGGCGTGAGGTCTGGCAAACACCTGACCCAACAATGGCCCCATAGTAACCCCTCCCGTTTTATACAGTCCTAGTTTTCAAAGCACCTTCACATCTAGTCTCACACTAATACCACCCTGCTATTTGAGGCTGATAACATCCCCAATAGACAGATGAGGAAAACAGGCTCAGAGAAGGTGGACAGCATAGCCCCAGGCAATGGAAAACGAAGTGGTGGGAAAGGATCCAAGCCCAGGTGTCCTGACTCCGGCCTTTTTCTTGCCTTATCCCTCCCTGGTTCACAATCACCATGGAACCTAAGAAAGGAAAAAGACCCTGCCTGGGCTCCATGGCAAACCAGTTACATCAGAATGTCTGAAGCTGAGGTACTGGCATCAGTTTTTGTTTTAAGTGCCGCCGTCGAGTCAAATGTTCACCGAGGTTGAGAAACACCAGGCTTCCCAGGAGGGCAGGCACGGGCTGCTCCACCCAGGGATAGCAGCTCCACCTGGGGACAGCAGCCCCGGGGCTGACTGCTCTTTGCAGCAACTCAGAGGGCAGGGGGAAGGGCCAGCTGCAGCACGCATGCGCCGAATGAAAGACAATCAGACCCCATGCAGGGACTGCTGAGCTTCAAGCTCCAGGTCCATCCAGTGCCCAGAGCCCTCTAGGCCCTCTCCAAGCGTCTCACCTGCTTCCATCCACGGGGCCAGTATAACTCAGGGGTGGGTGGCTGCCACACGCTGGAGTTAGGGGTCCCCAGACCCAGGGCAGGAGAGTTTGGGCACTTCTAGTTACACTTTTCCTCATCTGTAAAGTGTAACTAACAATAGTGCCTGTTTCACGGATGCACAAGGATCCGCTGAATGAATACTTTTGGGGCTGTGGCCAAGTGCTGGCCTTGGCCCGGTGCAGCCTAGAACACACCCTCCTGGCATGGCTCCATCTATTCTTGGGGATCTGGTTTTCCTGCACTCCAAGAAAGCTCATCTTGTGCCATTTCCAAAAGCTGTCTTGCATTCCAGCTACACTTATGTCACACCTGGTAAAGGGCCCGCCATCCCTCCGCCTCCCTACACTCACCAGATGGAAGGTCTGGAAGGTAGTGGATTGGGCCAGGCCCCTAGGGAGCCCCTCCTCTGTGGGAAGGGATCAGACTCCAGCCACAGGAGAGGGGAGTGACAGGAGAGGCCAGGCCCTGGGCCACGTACCGAGGAAGGTTAGGGGGGCAGGGACTGTGGGCCTCAAATGGTGAGCTTTCTCCCCCCATGGCCCATTGCAAAGGCAGGGGTCGGGGTGCATAAGCCCCCTGGAATTCACTGGAGTTGAGAGGCCAGCAGAACAGAATGGCAGATGTAGGTGAGCTCTGATGTGGAACTCTGCTAAGAAAGGCCACATTCTGTGCCTCCTTCCACAGTCCCTCAGCCTGCACACCTTGACACACTCATAGCCCTTTGTTTCAATTGATATTTGCTGGTCTGGACACCAAATCCCTTGGGCCCCTTAGAGAGCAGCATCTGAATTCTCAGTGGTGTCATCCTTATGAATAAGCCAGTTAACCACAGCCCTACTCCCTTTCTTTGGGGGCTGAGTGGAAATGTCTCACCCTGGGCAGGAGGGAGCCTCCTTTATTTCAGGGGCCAGACAACCCCAATCCCAACGTTTCCTGTTCCTTATCTCCCACTGCAGTGTTATCTGAATGTGCGAGGGAGGAAGCCGGACCCACGCTCCACATCTCCCCATCCCCAGCCCGTGACTCATCCTGCCCCTGTACAGCGCCAGGCAGGGGCCACATGGGGGCAGAAGCCTCACCTGGGAGTCCTGGGGCTGCACTGGAGGGTTTGATCTGGATTCAGGAGGTTCCCATTCCTTCTTATTGCCATTTCATGAATGGGAAACGGAAACGGCCTTTCCCATTTTCCTAGGAGCCAGGGGCAAAGCTGGATGATGGCGGGTAGGCCAACCTAGGCCAGGCTCTGCATCTCTCCCTGGAAGACCCCAAAGACTCAGGCAAAAGACACACACTTTACTTTTCCTTCCTTTAATCTTATGCAAAAGGGACACAGGGGTTCAAAAATAAAAATTTCTCTTCCCCCTCCCCAAACCTGTACCCCAGCTCCCCGACCACAACCCCCTTCCTCCCCCGGGGAAAGCAAGAAGGAGCAGGTGTGGCATCTGCAGCTGGGAAGAGAGAGGCCGGGGAGGTGCCGAGCTCGGTGCTGGTCTCTTTCCAAATATAAATACGTGTGTCAGAACTGGAAAATCCTCCAGCACCCACCACCCAAGCACTCTCCGTTTTCTGCCGGTGTTTGGAGAGGGGCGGGGGGCAGGGGCGCCAGGCACCGGCTGGCTGCGGTCTACTGCATCCGCTGGGTGTGCACCCCGCGAGCCTCCTGCTGCTCATTGTAGAAGAGATGACACTCGGGGTCCCCCCGGATGGTGGGGGCTCCCTGGATCAGCTTCCCGGTGTTGGGGTTCACACACCAGCACTCCCCACGCTGCCCGTTCAGAGACATCTTGCACTGGGGAGAGAGGAGAAGAGCATGGAGGAGCCCGCAGCCAGCAACTTTCCTTCTGTCCCTCAACCCGGCGTCCACTGAGCAGCCACCCCTTGCAGCTACCCATGCGCTGCCGGGTGGAGCTTCGCAACTTCAAATATGCGCCAGGAAACCTTGATAAAATGCAGATTCCCATGCAGTAGGTCCCTGGAGAGCTGGAAATTCTGCATCGCTAGCGAGCTCCAACGTGATGCTGATGCTGCCCGCCCAGGGACCCCTCTGATTAGCAAGGCCATTCAGGACACCCGAAGATGAAAAGACTCAGTCCCCAGCCTCAAAGAGGTCCCATCCAGTGGGGGGGACCCAGCATACTGAAGCTTAGTCATAGCGTCAGGTGTAAAACCTCATGTTGCAATCAAAATCAGTGTGTGCCAGGCACTGTGTGTGCAAGACACACTGCTAGTTCAGTTTCTAACAAATATAGTCATTTAATCCTCACAACCACTTTGTGAATTAGATGCCATTATTATCCCTGGTTTACAGATGATAAAACTGAAGCACAGATGGGCTAAGCAACTTGCCCAAGGTCACACAGCTGGTAAGAAGCACAGCTGAGATGGAAGCCAGGCATTCCCACTCCAAGGTCTCTGTTTTATGCATAAGCTAACTACTCCTGCAAATCACTTTAGTTACCCAAAGGTGCAGCAGACAGCCTGTTTCCCATGAGAAGTGATCGAGACTTTTTCTTCTGAGCTCCAAATGGAGTTAGCCAGCTTACATTTAGAGGGCATGTACACAAATAGCTTTTAATACTAAACTAATATTTAGAGGGTCAAGGTGCCTGGGTGAAGGGGGTGGAGAGGTGAGACCCCTAAGCCATCAGCAGAGCCCTGTTCCCATCTCCTGGCTTCACACATCCACACTTTAGGTCAGCCCAGACTGCCATTAGAACCACCAGGGTAGCTTTATAAAAATCCCAATGCCCAGCCAGGTGTGGTGGCTCATGCCTGTAATCCCAGCACTTTGGGAGGTCGAGGTGGGGGGATCATCTGAGGTTAGGAGTTCAAGACCAGCCTGGCCAACATGGTAAACCCCATCTCTACTAAAAATACAAAAATTAGCCAGGCATGGTGGCAGGCACCTGTAATCCCAGCTACTCAGGAGGCTGAGGCAGGAGAATTGCTTGAACACGGCAGGCGGAGGTTGCAGTGAGCTGAGATCACGCCACTGCACTCCAGCCTGGGAGACAAGAGCGAGACTCCGTCTCAAAAAAAAAAAAAAAAAAAGTATGTTACAGGGAAAATATTGCATATGCACAGTGACTGTTAAAATGCATATGAACAGAAGGTGGATAGAGGAGGGAGAAGGGCTCCTGAGTGGTTTACTTAAACTTCATTTTCTCCAATGTATTTACAATGGTGTTCTAGATGGCTTTTCAGAATCTTTCCAACGGCATTTCTCCATGCCTGACTCTTCATTCCCTGAGATACTTCGAAACCATGAAGACAACTCGGCCAGTGGTTGAAATCAATGATGGTGGGAGTGTGGCTCACAGATTATGAGCCTCACCTGAGGCTTGTTAGAGCTGTAAACCTGACCTACCACATGGCAATTTGGGGGCGGGCCCAGGAAGAGCTCCAGGTGATGTCAATGTCCGATCAAAGCAAAGATGCTTGGTTTAAGCCACTTCCCTTCTCCAAGAGCCTCCTCCCAACCTGGACTCCAAGTGAGGCCGGTGGGCAGCTGGGCAAGTGGAGCCAGCAACTGACCCGTCGGAGGCAGGGAGAAGAGCTGCACCCTCCCCGGCCTGGCAGCTGGCATCCCAATCCCCATGGTGACAGGAGTCTGAGTCTCTCACTCAGCTCAGACCTCAGAGGATCATAGGCGGGTGGGGCAGAAACAAGGCACATCTGGGGCCCAGGGCTGAGGAGGAGCTGCTCTGGCCCAGGCTGGCACCATGCTCACCTGTTTGAGGTTGTACAGGCCATGCTTGTCACAGTTGGGGATGTGCAGGGAGTAGAGGTGCTCCAGAGGGCCCCGCTCATCCGGAAGGCGCATGGTGGAGATCCGCTCCAGGACCTGGTCCAGTTCCTGTTGGCAGGGAGTCTGCACGCACAGACAGCAGGGGACGCCCGGAGTGAGGACAGCAGGCCCACGAAGCACGCGCCAGACGCAAGCTCAGCGAGAAGCTGCTGCACAGGGAGGGGACTTTCCCATGGTCACACAGCCAGCAGGGGGCACAGGGACTTCTGACAGCCTGCCCGGGGATCTCCCTGCCATGCTGGGTGCCCAACCCCAGCCCCTAAAGAAAATTGTATGGATGGGAATGTTCACTCCTCTCCTTGTTCTGTGACCGTGGCTTTCATGTGTCAGAATGGGCTCTGCCTCCAAATATCCATCTAAGTGGCCGTCTCGAGTCTCCATGCCCCCACCCCATGCCCAAGCTCCACTTCTTTCCATAAAACCAACCAGGGCCAGGACCCAAGATGGCAGAGCTGGGCAGGAAAGAGGGGAGGGGTAGCTCAGTGAGAGAAGCATATGGCAACAAGACTGAGTTTCAGGCCAGGCGCAGTGGCTGGCGCCTGTAATCCCAGCGCTTCGGGAGGCCGAGGTGGGAGGATTGCTTGAGTCCAGGAGTTTGAGACCAGCCTGGACAACATAGTGAGACCCACATTTCCACCAAAAAATACAAAACTGGCCAGGTGTGGTGGTGCATGCCTATAGTCCCAGCTGTTCAGGAGGCTGAGGAAGGAGGATCACTTGAGCCCAGGAGTTGGAGGCAGCAGTGAGGTGTGATGGCACCATTACACTCCAGCCTGGGCAACAGAGTGAGACCCCATCTCAGGGGGAGGAAAAAAAAAAGAGTAAGCAAGTTTCAGGGACTCTGTCTTCATCTCTGGGATTCATTTTCTGTGTCTATGTTCCAAAACCATACAGAAATGTGAAGGTTTTAGAAGGAAAGAACATCAAGAAACCACATGTCCAGTCTATTTCACAGCCAGAGATACTGACTGCCCCAAAGGTCACTAACTATGTTCCACAACTATGTTTGTGGAAAGAAAAGTGCTTTGCCTACAGGTCACACCAGATGAGGGTCTTATTAGGATGCCCTCCTCCAGCTGAGACCCCACTTTCCTTGTCCTCCCACCCCTTCCACCAGACCTGACCCTCACTGACCCTGGCAGGGGGTGGTCGCAGCTTCTTGGGCTCCTCCAGGCCAAGGTGATGCTTGCCACCCTTGCCCATCTGCCGGTGCTGCTCAGTGACCTTCTCCCGGAACACGGCCAGCTCCTTCATACCCGACTTGAGGGGCTTCCGGCCAGCACTGCCTCCCCCGCCCAACATGTTCATGGTGCTGTCCACGTGGTTCTCCACCAGGCCTCCTTCTGAGTGGTCATCGCCATTGTCTGCCAAGAGAGGAAGGGAAGAAAAGCTCCAGGTCCAGTTTCCCAGAGAGACGTGCCCTCCGGGAGCCACCTGGACCGTAATGATGATGAGGGTGGAGATGACGCGCGGCTAATGAGTGCTGATGGCCTGTCAGGGCCCGTGCTGAGCAATTTATATGGATGATCAATTTCAGCTTCACCCTAACTCTTAGGTGGGTACTACTAGCACCCTCCCCAACTTTCAGAGATGGAGAATTTGAGGCTCACAGAGGTCAGTTACTTGACCAAGATCACAAATCTGAAAAGCGATGGATTCAGGATTTGAAATCAGGCTGTCTGGCTCTAGAAGAATGACAGGGACCCTCTTACAAGGCTGGGGCAGAACAGAGGCACACAGAGGGATGAATGCATTTGAAAGGCCCTGACCATGGAATGGGTTTAAGTCCTTTCTGGGACCCCCCCAAATTCTCCCACTATAACCCCCAGTTTAAAGTTCTTCATTTGTGGTCTGGAAGAGCACCAATTAGTTGAGTTTTTTAAAACTCGTGCCACAGACATCACCGGGCTGCAGCATATATGGCAAAGGAGTGAGAAGGTGGAAGGCCACGTCGCCACCCAGAACCTGGTCCCAGCATCCCCCTGCTGTCACTGTGTACCTGCCCACCTGGCCCTGCCTAAGGTCCCATAGTGCTGCTCCGAGGCAGCTACAGCTCTGCCACACTGACATTCCCTCGTTCCCAAGTCTGTCTGTGCAGCCCACCCCAACCCCATTATACTGAGAGCCCCAAGAACAGGAACTATGACTCCTTCGACTTCATAGCTTCAGCTTACTGCAGGGCATGAAGCTTCGTGATGTCTGTCCAACAAGCGTCCATTAAGTCTCCTTATACTTTCTTCAACCTTTTGTATGCACAGCCTAGGTGAAGGAGGCCTTGAAAACAGCTCCAGCCTGCCACAGTCTCACTCTGGCTGAGGCACGTCCAGCCAAAGGAGGCAGAGAGGATCTGAATCGCACGGCAGAGCTGTAACCAGGAGACAAGCCCCAGCAAGCTCCAGAAGGGCAGGGCCTCACACCGCCGAGCCCCAGCCCCAACCCCTTGGAGACACGGCAAACAGCCCCAGACCCTCCCACCCAGAGCTGCTCTCCTGCAGGTCCCAACAAGATCTGGGTGGGTGCAGAGGGGTGTTTTTCAACCAATCTTGCACATTTTTTCTTCCCCATTAATGCACCTTCAAAAACTTACAGCCCTTAGAACACAAATGAATAATTCTTAGAGTAACTCTATACAAGAGTATTCACTCACTCACCAACTAAGGGAGGGGGCACCTCTTCCATGCCAGGGACAGCACCGGGTGCTGGCACTCCAGCAGCACCTGCTGTCAAGGCGTGCCCAGCATAGGCCCCAGCATACGGAACATTTGATGGGGGTCTGTCCCTGTCCTTTCCCCTCCCTCCAAGCCTGAGAACTAGTCACTCTTCACTTGCCATGCAGCAGCTTCCTTTAGAAGCCAGCACGCCGTCCCCAGGGTAGCAGCTCTGGTTAAAGGGGTGTAGCCGGGTTAAAGTCCAGCTCTGCCATTTTCTATATCAGCTGCACGTGTTCTCCCCACACAGACCCTCTCTGTGCCTCTACTTTCTTAACTGTAAGTTGCTGGATAATAACAGTTCTTTCTTCATAGAGCTGTTGAGAGTATGACGAAAGAAAAGCAGTTAAAAGATGACTTAGGCCGGGTGTGGTGGCTCATGCCTATAATCCCAGCACTTTGGGAGGCTGAGGCATGTGGATCACTTGAGGTCAGGAATTCAAGACCAGCCTGGCCAACATGGTGAAACCCCATCTCTGCTAAAAATACAAAAAAATTAGCCGGGTGTGGTGGCACACACCTGTAATCCCAGCTACTCAGAAGGGTGACACAGGACAATTGCTTGAACCCAGGAGGTGGAGGTTGCAGTGAGCTGAGATCGCACCATTGTACTCCAGCCTGGGCGACAGAGCAAGACACTGCCTCAAAAATAAATAAATAAATAAATAAATAAATAAATAAATAAAAGACGACCTGGAGCACAGAAATTCTATATCCATGTTGCTGCTGGTTATTACACTGATGATGATGACAATGACGAATGCCCCAGTTATCTACTACTTCAGCAGCATGGAACCCAACCGAGAACAGGGAAACCAAGGAAAATAAGCTCTGAACATCCTAATAGCTGTTACCACGGCTGAGCATGTTCAAATGTTGGCACTTTCCACTCAAGATGAGGGGAGAATCATCTCGTGAGGAGCCTCGAGACAGTTCACAACAGTGCTGCTCCAGGAAGCCTGGCTTCTGGATGTCTGGTTTCCAAGGCCACCGCAGAAGAAAGTCAACAAAATTGAAGGGACAAAGAAGGAATGCATGTGGACAGTAGCAAGAAGGATCAAATGGCAGAGAGGAAAGAGGACACTAAGAAAACAAAACATACAAACTCCGGGTACATTTTGTGTGTGGCAAACAATGAATGCCCCTCAATGAACCCTGGGGATTTCCATGTCTTACAGCCCAAAACAAGAATTACGTTGATGACGATGATCTTGGGACATCAAAAAGGGGAGGGAATTAAAATTCTACCTATTCATCATTTTAAAAGACTTTTATCCAAAATTGTTGAACTCCAGGAAAAAAAAAATTTAAATGTTAAATGTATAAACCTGAAACCTGGAAAAATATTTTATTTAGAATGGTTATTCCCACAGGGGCTCTGGGGAGCCTGGGTTGTACCATAAATGAAGCCAGCACAGATTAAATTGTTCCAGCAGCCCGGCAGCCCAGCACCACCGGCAGGAAAAGGCCGATTTAGCGTGCGCCTCCAGGCTAGGTTGGAGTCCTGCTCCACCATGTCTAATCAGACCCAGGCACCAGCCCACAGCTTTCCTCATCCATCCTGCCCTGCCCTCTGTGCTCCTCCACATGGAGAGCAGCAGACACCCAGGGACCCAGAGAGGCAGGCTGAGTGAGTGCCCCTGCTCAGCTGCCTGCCAGGTTCCCAAGAACAGGGACGCTGAGTCACCCCACCGTGCGGCAGATTTCTTCAGCGCCACCAGGTCCACACCCTCCTAGAAGAGCCCCCCTTCCCTCTTCAGATGGACCCCAGAGGTCAGAAACAAAAGGGTGAAAGAGAAAGGCCGGGGAAAGTCTGAGATCAGACAAACCTGGACAACAAACAGAAGAGATCAGGTTCAGTCAACTTTCCATCTCAACACTGACCTCTAACGCAGCACACAGATGCCGTGCAGCGCACGCACTCATCCCCAGCCTCCCTGCCTCCGCCCCGCTGCCCTTCCCAGACAGGCCTCTCTGTCCCCAGACCTGAGTGGGACCATCTCAAGCTCCCTGCCCCTGCCCTCTGCAGACACCAAAAACACAGGAGGAGAGCAAAGTAGCTAGAAAGTCTCCCCACTCCCACCACCTGCATTGGAACATAGAGAAGAGCCCTTTGACTCCCTCCCAGCTACTCAGGATCAAAATGAGAAAGACAAAATGAAGTGGGAACCTCCAGTTCGCCCTCACCCGAACCCTTGGTACCTGAGATCACCCTTGGCATCACCCTGCTTACCGCACCCTACCCAGCTTTGTGCCCACAGAGGCAGGAAGGGTTTCTGGAGACCTCGACACCGCATTCTGCTCACAGGGTGTTAGAGAAGACAGGAGCTCTGGGAGTCTGCTGGTACTGCACCCTGCCACCATTTCTGGAACTCTCCAATCTGTGGACATGAAGTCTGTGATGCTCAGAGGCTCACCTGGCTCTGCCCTCTTGGGAAGTGGCTTGGGTGAAGGCAGACAGTCTCTATTATGGCTATAACAACACGTTGTCTGGTTGGAGACGGGAAAGGCAGCTCATGTGTACCTCTATCCATGAGCTTCTGGGAAGGAGCCGCTCACCCGAACTCAATGCCTGGAACATCCAGTGTACTCCAGATGTTGGGCAGCATTCCTGGCCTCTACCCACCAGAAACCAGTAGCACCCTCCCCAGGTTGGAACAACAAAAAATGTGTCTTCATTCGTTGCCAAATGGCCCCGGAGAGGCAAAACTGCCCAGGGTGAGAATCACTCTTCTGGAGTCAGGCTTTTAGCCCAAGACCTGTAAGCTGATAGCCCATTGCTGAAATGGCTCCAGGCCCCATATAAAGCAAATCTAGCTCCACTATATTCCGCATCCACGGCTAAGACCCCTCCGCTACCCTTCCATCTGCAGCCACAATAGTCCACAGTTTCTTGGGGGCAGGGCACAGGATCTTCCCTGGGCTTCCTAGAGGACTTTCAGCCTGCAGCTCCCCATCTTCACGAAGCCCTCTTGTACCACAGACAGTGGCCAAAGAACCATCCCTTGGCTGCGTCCCAGAGGTCAATCCAACATTAATCCTCAGAAGAAGGCCCTCTGCAATCTCTGGAAACACATTTGAAAAAGGAGAGGGGCACACACAGATAAATGTGCATTCGGGCCTGAAGGCGCCAGGCAGGGCCAACTTGTCCATTGGGCTCTGGAGGCACAGTGCCTAGGACATATTTTTATTTCTATTAACATCAGAAAAAAAAAATAACTTTTAGGTTAAAAAGTCTTACTATATAATATTAATACATTTGCATTTATTAAACAAGTTATAAAATATGGTTTTTTGATTTTTTTTTTTTGTTTTTTTGAGACAGAGTATCGCTCTGTCACCCAGGCTGGAGTACAGTGGCACGATCTTGGCTCACTGCAACCTCCGCCTCCTGGGTTTGAGCAATTCTCCTGCCTCAGCTTCTCGAGTAGCTGGAACTACAGGCATGTGTCACCACGCCTGGTTAATATTTGTATTTTTAGTACAGACAGGATTTCACCATGTTGGCCAGGCTGGTCTTGAACTCCTTGCCACAGGAGGCCCACCTCGGTCTCCCAAAGTGCTGGGATTATAGGCATGAGCCACCACGCCTGACTGTATTAGTCCATTTTCACACTGCTATAAAAAACTGCCTGAGACTGGGTAATTTATAAAGGAAAGAGCTTTAATTGACTCACAGTTCAGCATGGCGGGGAGGCCTCAGGAAACTCACAATCGTGGTAGAAGCCAAAGGTCCGGGAAGCAAGGCACCTTCTTCACAAGGTGGCAGGAAGAAGTGCCAGGTGAAGCGGGGAAGAGCTCCTTATAAAACCATCAGATCTCAGGAGAACTCACTCGCTATCACGAGAACAACATGGGGGACCCACCCCCATGATTCAGTTACCTCCACCTGATCTCTCCATCAACACCTGGGGATTATGGGGATTACAATTCAAGATGACATTTGGGTGGCGACACAAAGCCTAACTATATCACCTTGTCTCTGCTAAAAATAAAAAAATAGCCAGGCATGGTGATGCACACCTGTGGTCCCAGCTACCTGGGAGGCTGAGGTGGGAAATTACTTGAGCCCAGGGGTTAGAGGCTGCAGTGAGCCATGATCATGCCACTGCACTCCAGCCTGGGTGACAGAGTGAGCCCCTGTCTCAAAAACGAAAAATAATAATTTTTAAATTTTAAAAATATATGTTTTTATAGAAGGGCCCACAGAGGCAGTGTCCAGGGCCCACAGATGTCATATGCAACCCTGGCTCCAGGTCCCAGGAGGCTGGGGTCAACTTGGCAGTGTTCCTCCAGGAGGACAAAGTTGATTTCCTGCCCTGAGATGTCCCAAACTCTCTGAGGTGAAGGTCAAGTTTGTCCACCCTCACAGAGGCCACCTGGATTCAAGGGTATGTTTCATTCCATTTCTTTATTGATCTCAGCAGTGCCAACGAACATGCCAATAAGATGAAGAAATCCACAGGCCTGGTTTGCTGATGCAAGGTCTTTTAAAGATGGTTTAACAAGACCATGCATCAGCATCTGTTTCTTTCTCAGGAAGAGGCTTCTGGACTCAAATCCCGTAGCCAGATCTGAACTCCACATCTTGAAGTAGAAGCCCAGGGAAGGGAAATGAAAGAGTTGACCAGGCAGAGATCAGAAAGCATTGTAGGCTGAGAAAAGCCTGCATTCCTTGTTACTGTTCCCAGCCAAAGAGATTCAAACCCCAAAATCTAACTGCCTGAGTTGGAATTCAAGCTTTTACTACTGAGCTGTGCAGCACCAGACAACTTTCTTAAGCTCTCTGTGCTTCCATTGTTCATCTGTAAAAGGACAAACAGTATGCACCTCCTATGGGCAACTGGGAGGATCCAAAGAGATGCTGCCTGCATCTACAGAGAGGGCCTGGCACACAGTAGGCACACATGGGGTTAGCTCTTAGCCACTTCCATTTCCTGCCTACCAGGAAGTACCCACATAGCGCCCCTCCTCCCCTCAGTCAGACAAGGGCATTATCACATGTTACCAAGTTCTTCCCATATATCCTCTTATAGGCTGCAAGAACAATCCACAGGAAAACATTCCAGATGTCGAACTCCAGCTAGAGATGGAATTTGCCCTCAGAACAAAAATACCAAGTTGTATTTTTTTTCTGCCTAAGAGAGTTAAGTTCAGAATAATATTTATTAAGCAACCACTTATGTATGCAACTCCATGGGCTATGGTGCAAAGGTCACTATAAGAAATGGTTCTTAGCAACCCCAAATGACATCAATGGAAAAGGCTCATGGGCTTAGAAATGGTTGATAGAAACCTCCAAGGCCCCTGAAGAGACTTTCCCTGTAGATTAGTAAGCATTAGCTCTTCTTCCCTACATAGCACCTAGGGAAATGGGTCAACACAGAAGCAAGGGATTTCACATATAGAAGGTCAAGCTTTTCCAAAGAGAAGTCAGGGAGATGACAGACAACCCCAGAGCCATTAGTCGGGGGCTTGAAGGGCAGGGGAGAACTCCCACCCCTGCCTTGGGTAGACTGCCACACCTTTCTACCTAAGACCCCTAGAGGAGAGCTGGAGATGAGGAAGGCAGATGGGATGAAAAGAAATGGATCGTTGTCCCATTTTACAGATGGCAAACCTGAGCCCAGATGGACTACCATTTGAATTCACAGGAGCAAACAACCTCTCTGCCATTCTTCACAATTATCATGGGGTCCCTACATTGTCTTTTGGCCCACCCTTACTAATTTAGCCAAGGAGAGCAGCTGGAAGCTGACAGCCCAAGAGAAAGAGCCTTTATTGTTCACTTCTATGCATTCATACCCAGGTTTTCAGACCTAATTTTGGCACAGCTCATTTTTCCAATGTAATCCTGTTTGTTGCATCAATGATCTTACTCAACAAATCAAACTCTTGTGTTTGATAGAAACGGACTCCCACAAAATCTCATTTTCTCCTAGCACAATGTTCTGACCTCAGTGCTCTATTTGGAAATTGGTGATTCCTGATCTAAGAGAGACCTTAAAAAGCTTTCTTAGGAAACTAAGCCCCAAGAATCTAAAAGCACCTCCCTGGTCCTTCCTCCTCAGAGTGTGTGGCCCCGGTCCTTATCCAGACCTGGTGAGGAAATAAGACCTTTTCCCTACCTAGAACAATCACATCTTCCTAACAGCTCATGTGTCTCTCTTCTTTCTTCTTTTCTTTATTCTGAAGAAAGACTTACCATTTTCCAGCCTTCTCCTCCTATCTCATGATTATCTTAAAATCTAAGAGCAGGGTTGGGAAAGAGGAGTACCACAGAGATGATCTAAGCCAACCCTGAACTTATCATTCCTCCAATGAACTCACCTCTTGCAACAGGTAATAGCATTCCAAGCCTTTCAAGAGTTAATTCTGAGTAATGGGCCAGGGGAATGAAGGCTGGCCGCAGCTTCCTGGTTCCACCCTAGCTGGGCAGAAAACTCACATGGCTCCGTCTTTGTTAATTTCTCCCAAAAGGCACTTAGCCTTGACATATGTTGGGCAACAGAATAAATACTAACCACCATCCTCCTCCCCCTGCTCTCTAGACGACTCCATTAATATCCATAGCAGTGGACGATTCATTAACAAACTGGAATGAGCAATGAACCCAGCAGTCAAGAACCCTGAATGCCAGCTTTGCCCTTTGAGATTCACTCACGAGTCAGAACCTTTAACCTCTCTGAGCTCTAATTTCTCAAGTCTGAAAAATGATATTAACAATTCTGCTAAGGGGCGGGGCGCGGTGGCTCACGCCTGTAATCCCAGCATTTTGGGAGGCCGAGGCGGGCAGATCACCTGAGGTCAGGAGTTCGAGACCAGTCTGACCAACATGGAGTAACACCGTCTCTACTAAAAATACATAAAAATTAGCCAGGCATGGTGGCGCATGCCTGTAATCTCAGCTACTCAGGAGGCTGAGGCAGGAGAATCACTTGAACCCGGGAAGCGGAGGTTGCAGTGAGCCAAGATCGCGCCATTGCGCTCCAGCCTGGGCAACAAGAGCAAAGCTCAGTCTCAAAAAAAAAAAAAAAAAAAATTCTGCTAAAATGATGGCTGCTGTTAAACAAGACATGGTATTTTTACCCCTGACAGCCCAAGAAACTCTCACTGTGGCCAAAACCAAGCTTTAGAAAAAAATGTGTGGTGGCCAGGCATGGTGGCTCATGCCTGTAATCCCAGCACTTTGGGAGGCTGAGGTGGGCGGGTCATTTGAGGCCAGGAGTTCAAGACCAGCCTGGCCAACATAGCAAAAACCTGTCTCTACCAAAAATACAAAAATTAGCTGGGCATGGTGGCACATGCCTGAGGTCCCAGCTACTTGAGAGGCTGAGGCACAAGAATCGCTTGAACCCAGCAGGCGGAGTTCACTTCTTGCAGTGAGCCAAGATTACACCACTACACTCCAGCCTGGGCGACAAAGCAAGACCTTGTTTCAAAGAAAAAGGAATGTGTGAACAATCAATTTCTTGAATGGGTAAATAAAAGTTATATCTGCCATGTGAGGGGAAGGCTAGGTAATGTCTGATTTGTAGAATGGCCAAATGCATGGAAAAAATGAGTCATGAGAGTTCTGCAATATGATCTATTGCATATTTCTTCTAAAGCTTGGTTTTGATTGTACAAATTTTATACATTGCTAAATATCAAAGCTCTCTGCCATTTAATAGAAGTCCTTAAGCAAGAATGAATTTGCCTAAATTACTTTAACTTTGTTTACAGAATTTAGCGGGAGGGACAAAGGGAAGGAGGTCAGGCAGTAGCTCATAATCACCACGCATGCTCAGTTGAGACAGGGCTCATAAACACGCCAGCACATACAAGAAACAGCTTTTGTTGGAGAGAATTTGAAGCCAGTCCTCTTTGGATGGCTGATGGTGGTCACCAAACTCCATCTAGCATGTGGCCACTATGTTCAATAGCACAGCCCACCAACAGGCTGGGATTAGTAATTCAGGCCATGCTGGTGGGAGGGAGGGAGGCAGAAGTTAGGAAAGAGGAAGGTAAAATGGGGGTTCTATTTGTTACTTCTTTAGCTAAAGTTTAACCTGAGGTCCTGAGACTTTGTGGGTGAGTGACACTGTTTATGTGTCTTCCCCTGACTTTTTTTTTCAAAAGGTCAGAGGGGGCAGTGGCCTCTCACACTGGAATTCTGAATAGTGTGCACAGATGTCTGTCGCGGTATAGGCTGGCACTCAGGACACATTCCAGCTTAGTTAATGACATCACCCCAACTGGTCCATCTATCTCCTGAGGACACCCAGCTTCATTCATTGTAAACTCCCTTCCTATTCCTTCTCACCCCCTGAGCCCTTCCTTCCTGCAAGGGAGCCAGCCATGCAACACCTGATATCCTTCCATCCTTCAGCAACAGACCAGTCACTTCTGAGCATGGTTTTCCAACAGGTGGTCCCTCCTCTCCCAGTTTCCTTTGTGGTAGTAAATAACTGCAAACAGCCTTCTCAGATGTTTCAGATCCACAAGTCCCCTAGGTTATAAGATCACACGACTGCAAGAACTGGCCTTTCTCTTCTGAGAATCATCTCCCTCCACCTGCAGCTACCACAGGCCAATCACCCAGCTGAGTGCGGAAGAGCTCAGTGACCTCTGTTGAGTGGCAAGCCCAACAGGCACAGGCTACTGCCCTTCCACGGTGACAAAACACCTACAGGAGATGATGCACCACCAAGGGAGGGCAGAGAGCCCCCACCTGGCCGATGAATCCCCTCCACGTCAAACCACTCTGCAAACTCTTTTTGGATTTCCTTTGGAGCACCAGCTTTTGGGTTCGAAGCCTTGGCCAAGCAGTCCCAGTGTGGGAGGAAGGACTGAGGTTCGATCCTGACTTCACCACCACCCCTGGGATTCTGAGTGACGCTAAGCAGGGTGTTCAACTTGCGCAGGTGTCAGTGTACTCATCTGTAAATTCAGGGAATTAGACCCAGTCAGAAGTTCCCAAACATAGCTCTTCATCAGAAATCATCTGATGAGCTTGCTAAAAATAAGAGCCCTGGACCCCAGCCCCAGAAAGTCAGAGGCAAGGACTAAGGAATCTGTATGTTGAATGATACCTCTCCTCTCAAGCTCTGGCATTGCCAGGCCCCCATGCCTTTGTGATTCTCTCTGTTCTGTCTGTTTCCTGAAGAACTTCCTGGTGAGGCGAGAACAATGCCTCTTCTTTTCAAGAGAGGTGGTCTCGGGTATAAGCTTTGCAGAGACACAGCCTTGTAAGCTCATCCACTCATGGGTTTGTAAACAGACACATATGCTTGCTTGGATACATGCAGAGGGGCCTCTCCTGGCCTGGCGTCATGGAGGTTTCTAGAGTATGCCCTCATGCTGCCATCTCATCTCGGGCTCCCCCCGAGTGAACAGAAACAGCACAGCCTCTCCAGAGCCTCCCTGCCTGTGCACTCTCCAAAGGGCTCCTTTATAAACATCAGGGTCATTCCTGGAATTGCAAAGACCTGGGGAGGGTCAGGGCTGAGGCAGACAGTTTGAGAAAACAAAAACATGCTCAAATTCAGCCAAGGTCCTCTGGGGCCCCGTGAGCCAAGCTGTCCTTGAAGAGCCAGAGAAACTGATATCAAGATGGCAAACAGCACTATCAGCTTTCACTCCTTTCCACGGGTCCCAAACATTTCTCCTTGGGTTCAACTAAAGCCATCCAGGAACCTGGCAAGGTGACCTAGTTGCTGAGGCCCAAGTGAGTAGACTGTGCTTTGATTCAAACTTGAACCAGGGACTATGGGAATGGGAAGAATGTGCCTGACCCAGCAATTCTTCTCTCTACATGTGCACAGGGACACATGTACAAAAATGGTCATTACAGCATTACTTGTAGTTGTAAAAACACTATTAGCAACCAGATCCAAAAGTGTTTCAACAGGTGAATGGATAAATAAAACCAGTAGGGTAATACAAAGGAACAATATATAGCAGTTAAAAAGAATATTTCTGACCTATGGATGTCAACATTAGATCTCAGACACCTAATGTTAAGAGGGAAAATAAAACCTTTATGTGCATTTTCAATTTATTTTCACAAAACAATTTGGACAATATTGGTCATCTATCATATATATGCATATAGATGCAATATATGCAAACATAGGCATATTAGTCATCTATCACATATATGCAAGTCTGCTTAGCTAAGAAAGATAAACACTAAGTAAGTACTGCGTGCTAGTGGACAAAATATCAACCGCCCACGGTTCTGGGTGGTAGACTTGTGTTATTACATTGTTCTTTGTACTTTTCTGCATTTTTTAAATATTCTTTTAAAAAAGTCACCTCTCAGGGCTGGGCGCGGTGGCTCATGCCTGTAATCCCAGCACTTTGGGAGGCCAAGACAGGTGGATCACGAGGTCAGGAGTTCGAGACCAGCCTGGCCAATATGGTGAAACCCCGTCTCTAGTAAAAATACAAAAATTAGCCAGGCATGGTGGTGCATGCCTGTAATCCCAGCTACTCAGGAGGCTGAGGCAGAAGAATCGCTTGAACCCGGGAGGCGAAGGTTGCAGTGAGCCAAGATCGCGCCACTGACTCCAGCCTGGGTGACAGAGTGAGAGGCTCTGTCTCAAAAATAAAAACAAAAACAAAAAAGTCACCTCTCACACCAACCACCCCTCATCTTCCTCATCAAGCAGAGCTATCAGTAACCTCAAGTGTCCCTGAAGCCCTACTGGAAGAGGACCAAACGATAGTGACATGGCGGACTTCACCACCACTCTCACTGGCCAGGGCAATGATGTTACCAGGGTCACTTGTCCACCAGTCAGAACCTAGCCCTGGGCTCCTGGCCTGTTCTCTATGCCATGAAGAACTCGGAAATGAGTCAGAAAGAAGACCCAAAGGTAGTAGAAGAGGGTCACAGAATTAAGAAGGGGAAGATGAAGTAATCAAGATGACTCAGGCCTGAGAACTGAAAGCCAAGGGACAAATCCATCCTGGTGCTGCCAGAGGGTGCTGAGTGGTGGAGGTGTCCAAGGGCCAGGAAAACCCAAGGGAAGGGAAGGAGCCGTTCTGTCTCCCCAAGGACCAGAGAGAAAACAGCCTTAAACTAAAACAGGAGAGATCCAAGTTAGAAGCCATCCAAGAATTTCATAAGAAAGAACAAAACAAATCTGATAAATTGCAGATGGGAAGAAATTGCACAGACTCCCTCTGGTATAACTTAGGAGAAACCTTTTGAGAAGGAAGAAGGATGAACAATATGGCCTCCAAGTGTCCAAAGGTCACTTGATTGCATTGATGAAAAGCACTGCCATAGCTGGGAGGATGGCTTGAGCCCGGGAGGTGGAGGTTGCAGTGAGCTGAGATCGTGCAATTGCATTCCAGCCTAGGTGACAGAGCCAGAGCTTGTCTCAAAAAAACAAATAAATAAGGGCCGGGCGCAGTGGCTCACCCCTGTAATCCCAGCACTTTGGGAGGCCAAGGCGGGCAGATCACGAGGTCAGCAAATCGAGACCATCCTGGCTAACATGGTGAAACCCCGTCTCTACTAAAAAATACAAAAAATTAGCCAGGCGTGGTGGTGGGCGCCTGTAGTCCCAGCTACTCAGGAGGCTGAGGCAGGAGAATGGTGCAAACCCGGGAGGCGGAGCTTGCGGTAAGCCGAGATCACGCCACTGCACTCCAGCCTGGGCATAACAGGGGGACTCTGTCTCAAAATAAATAAAATAAATAAATAAATAAAAATTTTACAAAATTTTAAAAAAGAAAAGCACTGCTGGGTAAAGTCTTCTGGTAATTTGACCCAACTTTCTTCACAGCACTCTAGCCTGAGTCCATTGCCAAAAAGCTGTAGGTCTGTGCATTTTCTTAGTCCTCCTAAGGACAGAAGCTTCCTGAAGACATAAACTTGGTCTTAGCTTCCGTACAGCTTTCCATACTTAGTGAATGAAGGACAGGTGAGAAGACATTCTGTGTCCTCAATTAACATTTTAGGAAGGAAGACACTGCTTTTTTTTTTCTTCCAAGACTGAAGAAGTAGAAGCCTGTCCAACTTGATTCTCTTACTTTCATAACTTTATTTACCATGAAGGGACTTCATTATTTAACATCAAGCTCTTCCCAAGAGACTTGGTTAAGCTCTTTTAGTGACCAAGAGCTACCTGTTTATTTGCATAGGATGTATATACATCTCTGCTGCCTTGGTTTCTTCTTTATTCACCTTTCTAAAATGCTTTTCTTGTCCCCCTCCAGCATGAAAAAGCATGTGTTACAGGTGGTATGACAACTGCTTTTTCATATGGTCTCCTAGCTGACACACAGCATGTGCTCAATTAATGTTTACACATTAGAAAAGGTGACCATCTGATATGGTTTGGCTGTGTCCCCACCCAAATCTCACCATGAATTGTAGCTCCCACAATTCCTACATGTTGTAGGAGGGACCCAGTGGGAGGTAATTGAATCATCGGGGTAGGTCTTTCCCATGCTGTTCTCGTGATAGTGAACAAGTCTCATGAGATCTGATGGTTTTATAAAGGGGAGTTTCCCTGCACAAGCTCTCTTGTCTGCCACCATGTGAGACGTGCCTTCACCTCCCACCATGATTGTGAGGCCTCCCCAGCCACATGGAACTGTGAGTCTATTAAACCTCTTTCTTTTGTAAATTACCCAGTCTTGGGTATGTCTTTATCAGCAGCGTGAAAACAGACTAATACACTATCAAAGAGCATCTAGCACTTGCCCAAGAGTACCCTGTTACATTAACTCTTTTTCTCATTCTTCTGGCCTTTGCCTCATCTAGAGCCCGTATCAGCAAGAGTGGTTAAGAGTCAAGAAAGGCAGTGAGCAAGTCAAGAAAGGCAGTGAGCAAGTGGAACCATGAGATGGGATGGGAAGGACACATGCCTGTCCTAAGACCCACATTCAAACAATTCAGTTTCGATGATGCAATCCCACAGCCCCACTCCCATAGTGTAACAAAGGCTGAATCCTACCAACCTTTCCCACCACCCTCCCCTTCCACTGTCCTCTTCTCCATCCCCATAACTCTGCTCTCAGATATTCCAGGCCTGACAAATTGAACCCACAGGATGCAAAAAGAAATTTAAAACCTGCAAAGATGTCCAGGATTGCCGGCCACTCTCAAACCAGCACAAGAAGTGTCTTGAATATAAATAAGTGTCTTTAAATAGGTCACCATGCTTTTCTCTGTCTTCAACTAAAGTTCACTAATTTTGTCTGATAGTATATCACATCAATTACCTTCCTTGGCTATGCTCTCAAGGTTTAAGAGGCAGTGAACCAAACCAGAGACAACCAGCAGAGCCTCAAGTGGGAGTCCTAACTTCTGGGGCATAAATGGGACATGGTTGGTCATTAAGCTGTTGGTAGAACCACAGGCACAATGGCATCGAGGGTCATGACTGCCCCCTGGAAAACTCTCAACCATTGACTCCTCTCTGGACTCACTGGAGGCTTTCCAAAGCAAAGTGGCAGCTGTCCAGGTAAGCCACACTCAAGGGAATAAGTCACACCTGCTAACAGGATTCTTGAAATGACCAATCAGAAAACGTCCAAAAGCGGTGTCTGCCATTCTCCTGTTCTCCTGTATTGCAAGAATCAGAACCTGCACTACCTCATTTGATTATCTGAGTTTCTGTGCTACGTGGCTTGCATGTTTACCTTTGTTATCAAGCAGGCACATGAGGTTGGTAATTTCTTATCCCCCTCACACTTGATAAATGAACTATAGAGCTGGAGGCCAACTGCACAAAGTCATGTAGCCAGTGGCCAAAACCAAGCCCAGGTTGTTAACCAACCAGATGGCACCTGGTCACTTGGCATCACCTAAGGAAAGACTCTCAAGCAAGACCTTTTAGCCCCAGGGCTTCATTTCTTCCCCTCCCCATCTCTATGGGACCCCCATCTTTCCCTAGAAGTAGGCTATCAGTCATGTCAGCAGCCCTACTCAACCGCAAAAGCCTCTTTGATCCAGTAAACCTGTCCTACCCCCACCCCCTTTATCCTGCCTGACACACCTCCCACCACTGTTGCTATAGCAACTGCTCAGCATTATCAGGAAGTCACGGGGCAGGGCACAGGGCACAAGGGAATTGCCATTTTCATTTTGTTCTTGGCCTCGGGCATTTTAGAAAACAAGTTCACCACCCAGAGGCAACTTGGCACCTCCATCCAGAAGTAAAGACAATAGACCTAAAAGAAACTTCCTAGAGAGTTGCATAAAGGAACATTTTTGAGAAGATATGCCTTAATTACTACTTCCCAGGGAAAAGGAGCTCTTCCAAGAAGCAGTATATAATTCACTGCTTTTCTGCATGTGTGAGTCTGGTGAAATGGAGAGCTGGAAGAATCTAGAGACCCAGACTACAATCTGGTCTGTGCTTGCCTTGGCAGTTGAACCTGAATGTAGCCTTGATTTCTTCATTTGTTAAGTGGAGAGAATCTCGAGGCTAAAACAGAGCTGGGGCAGGAAGTGGGAGAGGGGAAGAATATAAAACAAACAAAAAAAACAAAATGAGCTTTCTGGTAGAAGCAGGCAATGTCTAGAACAAAGCCATTTTGTTTATCACTGTTATATCACTTATTCTTTGAGGTGGCTCCCTTTGCTTAGTGCCAATGACTGACTCTCTGCACCCCCAGAGTCCAACCTGAATCACTCCAGCTGAAACACCCCCCTCTTCTCAACTTCTAATAGGATGGAACACACTGAGTAGGTACAACTTCCTCCCCACCTACCAAGGCCTTCCGGGACTCAGTCCCCCTCTTCCCTTTGACTTCCTGGCTCAGAGAGCTCAGTTCCTTGAATGAACACAGGCTGCCACACCTTCACCGTCCTCCACTAATTAGAAACCTCCCCAGGCTTCACTAGAGGCCAACTCCACCAGGGCCTATGGACGAATTCCACTGCCCAGCAGCTGGGTGTTTGCCAGCCCCTGCCCCCTTCTCCCCAATCTTCCCTCCTGCCCTGCCTCCCAACAGCCAGGAAGAGATGTGGGGCTGGCAGCCAGAAGGGCCCCAAAGACTGCCAAGTGTCCCTCCCCCCGCCCACAGAAAAAAGGAAAGGGAAAAATTCCTGACTACAGTTGCTCTGTATTTCTTTCCGGGAGGGCTGGCTTTTTGAGCAAAGTCTCCCTCTGAGTCTTGACTGACACCCAGGGGCTGAGCCAGCCCAGATCTTCCCTGGCTTTGTTCAGGAACAGGAGTGGCCAGAGAAGGGGGAGGGAAAAGTCAGGGGTTAGTAGCCAAGGAGGAGGAGAGGCATAGGGAGATGGTCCATTCTCCAGAAGAAAAAAAAATCGACATCCCACCCAGCCTGCTCTTTGTGAGTGTGGAGGGTGGGAGCAGGTGAAATTACTCTGGAACTGAAAACCAACACATTTCTCTGGACCTACTATCCCATCTGTAAAAGGGGCTTTTCCTTTCCTGCCTCCACCATGAAAGCCCTCCAAGAGTCTACGCCAAGCTTGTCCAACCTGCAGCCCAGGAGAGCTTTGAATGTGGCCCAACACAATTTCGTAAACTTTCTTAAAACATTATGAGATTTTTTTGCAATTTTTTTTTTTTTAGCTCATCAGCTATGGTTAGTGTTAGTGTATTTTATGTGTGACCCACGACAATTCTTCTTCCAAGTGGCCCAGGGAAGCCAAAAGATTGGACACCCCTGGTCTAACATGACCATCCACCCCGGATTCCCAATGGCAGTACTTTGCCTTGTCCCCAGTTCTGATTTCACCATAAGCGTATTCTGACCCTCAGAGACTCAAGCATCCGCCTTCTCTGCTTTCCTGGGGCCATGCCTCATTAGATGCTGGAAAAGAAAGTCTTCGGCATCATTGTGCACAGACAGGCTGCCATTCAGAGGGCTTTTTGGTACCACAGATGGAATCAGACATTAGGTAGAGCCCCAGTACTCAGAAGACACTCCCCCAACCCAGCGTTTCTATGGAGAATCCAACAGCCCCTTGCAAAATGAGATGCTGCTCCCCAACTCAGGAGTAAACTCTGGAGACAATGTAGCAAGAACATATCACTTTTTTGGAAACAGCTTCCAATTTATTTGCCAGGATCAAGTTCAGTGCATTCTGGCATCCCAGGTTCAGAGACGTGAAAGGTCCATTTTCCTGGTGCAGGAAATGGGTGGCATCGGGTGCCCTCACTGGCTTTGATGACTGCACAATTGCACACCCTTGAGCATGCCATATGTGCTAAATGTGCTAGGACCACTTGGATTAGTTAATACTTAACTCTATTATTCTGAAGTCTGGATCCTTGCAGACTTCCCCTGGAGGGCCATCTATACAGAGAGGACCTTCCCCCACCCAGAGATGTAGCCTCAGGGATTCTCCAGAGCTCTGGACACTGACAGCCAGAAGGCTAGGTCTTCCAGGTTGGCTGGCCAGGCAAAGGAGGAACTCAACCCTGTGTTACCTGCTTATGAGCAGCAAGGCCAGCATGAGAACCCAGATGTCCAAGCTCTGGGGCCACCTCTGTTCCCCATAGTCCCTCCAACCCCCATTCTAGACACTGCAGACAGAAGCTCCCATACCAAAAACAGTCAGTCCTAGACATCAGCACATCGGATCCAAAGAGCACTGCCCAACTAATCCATTAAAAATGCAAGCCTAGGCCAGGCGTGGTAGCTCACGCCTGCAATCCCAGCACTTTGGGAGGCCGAGGCGGGCGGATCACAAGGTCAGGAGATCGAGACCATCCTGGCTAACACGGTGAAACCCCGTCTCTACTAAAAATACAAAAAATTAGCCGAGCGTGGCGGCGTGCGCCTGTAGTCCCAGCTGCTGGGGAGGCTGAGGCAGGAAAATGGCATCAACCCCAGGAGGCGGGCTTGCAGTGAGCCGAGATCGCGCCACTGCACTCCAGCCTGGGTGACAGAGCAAGACTCCGTCTCAAAAAAAAAAAAAAAAAATGCAAGCCTAGCCAGACGGGGTGGCTCACACCTGTAATCCCAGCACTTTGGGAGGCCGAGGTGGGCGGATCATGAGGTCAAGAGATCGAGACCATCCTGGCTAACACTGTGAAACCCCATCTCTACTAAAAATGCAAAAAATTAGCTGGGCGTGGTGGCAAGTGCCTATAGTCCAGCTACTCAGGAGGCTGAGGCAGGAGAATGGCATGAACCCGGGAGATGGAGCTTGCAGTGAGCCGAGATCGTGCCACTGAACTCCAGCCTGGGCGACACAGCGAGACTCCGTCTCACGAAAAAAAAAAAAAAATGTAAGCCTGGTCGGGCACCATGGCTCACGCCTGTAATCATCAGCACTTTGGGAGGCTGAGGTAGGCGGATCATGAGGTCAGGAGATCGAGACCATCCTGGCTAACACTGTGAAACCCCGTCTCTACTAAAAAATACAAAAAATTAGCCGGGCGTGGTGGCGGGTGCCTGTAGTCCCAGCTACTCGGGAGGCTGAGGCAGGAGAATGGCGTGAACCCAGGAGGTGGAGCTTGCAGTGAGCTGAGATCGCGCCACTGCACTCCAGCCTGGGCGACAGAGCAAGACTCTGTCTAAAAAAAAAAAAAAAAAAAATGCAAGCCCGATGGTCTCCAACCGTTTATGCACTGCATTTATAATGCACTTATCAGTTGCATTTATATTGCATTTATCAATTGCATTTGTATTGCATTTAAAGTACAGTTTCATTGCCCTTTCCATAAACCACCTCACTACAGCCCTGTGAAAGTAGGTTGGAGAGGTATGGATATTTCCATTCATAGGTGAAGAGATGGAAATCAAGTGACTCATCACCAAAATGCAAGAGCTTAGGTTTTATATATAGTTTATATCTTTACACACATCTGTGTAGTTGACCCAATGAAATACTATCAATTTCTGATTTGCAAATAAGAAAACTGAGGCTTAGCAAGAAATCTCTTACCTTGGGTGATTAGTACATGGTAGACCACCTGGGATTTGAACCTCCAGAGAGGAGTGGCCTGCCTGACCTTTCCAGTTTGGCCTTCATTTTAAAGGCCAGCTAATTGTCAAGGAGGAGATGTCACTTGCCAAGATTAAGGCAGCTAACATGTACAAGAACATACTATGTGCCAGGTACTTGCCATTATCACAGCCACCCCAACACGCACCCTGGGAAAGAGGTAAAATCATTGCTATTTTACCAACAGGGAACTGGCATTGGAGGAAGAGCCTTACTAACTACTGAAGTATTAAGAGACAGGGTTGCAATGGAACCAACCCCGGTCAATATGACAGCAAAGGCCAGGCTGCCTGCACCATCATCTGCTACCCAGCAGCTCTTCTCTCAAGAGGCCCACCCTGTGACCTTCTTGTCCCTCTTGACTGACCTCTGTATGCTGGCTACTTACAACTGTGAGGTCCCCAAACTCCAGGACTTGTAACTGTCCATGGAGTCAAGGGAATCTACATAATTGAAATCTGGCAGAAATTTACTGTGCCCCATACATCACCTGCACATGGCAGCTGTCCAGGAACAAAACTGCTGGTTGATACGGTCAAAAGCTTTTCTCTACCAACAGCCCAACTCCTTACCCGGCCACGGAGGTAGAGGGGTGCAGTGGGAAGGTACCCAGGTTAGCCTCTCAGCATTTTCGTATCGCTGAGTCACCCAGTGTCCACACCTGCAAAATGGAGGTAGAACGGCCTCCCTCGCAGGGAGGTGGAAGACAGGAGACAAAGCAGGCACAGAAGCCAGTTCATAATAGGGTGAGGACAGATGCGAGCACCACCAATCTCCTGGCGGCTGCCTGCCATCTCAGTGAATTGCTGGCCAGAGACAGGATAAGCAGAGGGATCTAGAATATCTGCCAACCACGTTACCAGCTTCCCTCATGAATTCAAACATCATCTCCCGCTTCTATGCCTTGGTTTCAGCAGAAGCAGCGCTAGTGCTAACTCTTATAGGAGAGAATCCCATTCCCTGGCCTATAGAAGTCCTTTCCCTCAAAGCCCAGTCAACCACCCTCCTCATTTAAGGATTCTAGTTTTTTCAAGCATTATAGTCTCCAGTCACCTACATAATATCCCTCTGATTGGATGGATCTCTGAGGCTGAGACCACTATATTTTCCACACCATTTTTGAGCCCCACCCACCTACCTAGCAAGCAGGTGTTCTAGCTGAGCCGGAGTAGGAAAGGCATGGAAGGGAGAAGTGTGGGAAAGGAAAGAATGGTCTGCAGGGACAAAGAGGACAGCATGGAGAAGGCAGGAGGAGGAAGAGGGAGTCGGGAACATACAGAGAAAGGCTGAGACGAAATGCACTCCCTGGATACAGAGTTCCTTAAAAAATTAAAATAGGCCAGGTGCAGTGGTTCACGCCTGTACTCACAGCACTTTGGGAGGCCAAGGCGGGAGGATCACCTGAGGTCCAGAGTTCGAGACCAGCCTGGCCAACATGGTGAAAACCTGTCTCTACTAAAAATACAAAAATTAGCCAGGCATGGTGGCAGGTGTCTATAATTCCAGCTACTTGGGGGGCTGAGGCAGGAGAATTGCTTGAACTCGGGAGGCAGAGGTTGCCGTGAACCGAGATTGCGCCACTGCACTCCAGCCTGGGTGACAGAGCAAAACTCGGTCTTGAAATAAATAAATGAATAAAAATAATAATACAAATAAAAATAACAATTCCCAGATACACAGACTCTTTGTAAAAACAAAAAAACAAACAAAAAAAAAACAAGCTTTTTTCTTTTCTTTTGGGTACAGTCTTCTAGTACGCGGGAAGGACCAACAACAAAAGCAGATGTGGATGTGGCCTCACAGCCCCTTTTTGTTCTGCTCCTCCTTCATTCCTTTCAGCAGCCCCCTGTCCTATCCTGCCAGGCATCATAGGTATTTACCTGTTCTCCATTCCCTTTGGTGCAGAATTTTCAGAACTTCCTCATATCAATATCGAACAGTTGTGGCCAGGTGCGGTAGCTCATGCCTGTAATCCCAGCACTTTGGGAGGCCAAGGCGGGCAGATCACTTGAGGTTCACGAGTTTGAGACCAACCTGGCCAACATGGTAAAACCCTGCCTCTACTAAAAATACAAAAATATTAACCGTGTATGGTGGTGCATGCGTGAATTCCCAACTACTCGGGAGGCTGAGGCAGGACAATGGCGTGAACCCAGGAAGCAGAGCTTGCAGTGAGCCAAGATCACGCCACTGCACTCCAGGCTGGGCGACTGCACTCCAGCCTGGGCGACGGAGCAAGACTCCGTCTCAAAAAAAAAAAAAAAAAAAAAAATTAGCCTGGTCGGGCACCGTGGCTCATGCCTGTAATCCCCAGCACTTTGGGAGGCCGAGGTGGGCGGATCATGAGGTCAGGAGATCGAGACCATCCTGGCTAACACTGTGAAACCCCGTCTCTACTAAAAAATACAAAAAGTTAGCCGGGCGTGGTGGCAGGTGCCTGTAGTCCCAACTACTCGGGAGGCTGAGGCAGGAGAATGGCGTGAACCCAGGAGACGGAGCTTGCAGTGAGCCGAGATCGCACCACTGCACTCCAGCCTGGGCAAGAGAGCGAGTCTCCGTCTCAAAAAAAAAAAGAAATTGAACAGTCGTACCTCCCATTTTCTATGGGTGTGAACAGCCCAGCTGAGAACCAACTGGAAGCCACCTGATGACTGGGCCAGAGAACAGTTCTCTCCAAGTCAGCCCTCAAAGGTCAGATAATGAGTGAATGGATATGCTCCTACTTTCAGGTAACCCATGGCTTTTTATTTTTATTTTTATTTTATTTTATTTTTGAGACGGAGTTTCACTCTTGTTGCCCAGGCTGGAGTGGAGTGGCGCCATCTCGGCTCACTGCAACCTCCAGTTCCCAGGTTCAAGCGATTCTCCTACCTCAGAGTCCCGAGCAGCTGGGACTACAGGCAGGTGCCACCATGCCCAACTAATTTTTGCATTTTTAGTAGAGATGGGGTTTCACTATGTTAGCCAGGCTGGTCTTGAACTCCTGGCCTTAGGTGATCTGCCCACCTCAGCCTCCCTAAGTGCTGGAATTACAGGCGTGAGCCACCGCGCCTGGCCAACCCGTGGCATTTTTATTTTATTTATTTTTTGAGACGGAGTTTTTTTGCTCTGTTGCCCGGGCTGGAGAGCAGTGATGCAATCCCAGCTCACTGCAAGCTCCACCTCCCGGGTTCAAGCAATTCTCCTGCCTCAGCCTCCCAAGCAGCTGGGACTACAGGCATGCTCCACCATGCCCAGCTAATTTTTGTATTTGTAGCAGAGAAGAGGTTTCACTATACTGGCCAGGCTGGTCTCCAAACTCCTGACCTTGTGATCCACCTGCCTCGGCCTCCCAAAGTGCTGGGATTACAGGCATGAGCCAATGCGACCGGCCCCATGGCATTTTTATAGAACTAATTTCCAGCCTCTGAGCCTGAAGGAATGATTTGCCTGAAAGTCTTGAAGCTCAGTGCTGAAGTAGGCCAACAGTGAGAACTATCTAAGCCTCCCTCTTCCCTCTGCCTGACAGGAAGCTCAACAGTCCACTTGGCCAAGAGCCATTGTGTGGGCAGACCCTCGGGAATACAACAGATGGGTTCTTCTCTCCTTCCAGGCTCTACCACCTATTCTAACCTAGAGACTCCTGTGCCCCACTTTTCTCAGATTCCTTAACATTGTTAAGTAGAATTTTTCTGTTCTCGAACCTTCCTCAAATATCTTGTCTAAAGAAGTGGGTCATTACCACCACACAAAGGGACTTATCACAGTAAATGTTTTGGACATATGTGGAAGCTGAGTAGGGAAATTTCAAACAAAGAAGACCCGGATTCTGCAGCTTCCTCAAACTGCAGCCCACCATGGGCAACGGCAGCCCCAGGCGTCAGAAAGAACACCACTTGCCTCACTGGTCCAGAATCTGTCGGGCCACACCCTTCAGAGAGGCCCTGCCTCCGAGGCCAGGGTGCACACTGCCACACCCTGCTTGGTCTCCTAGACAGGCGCTTCCCCATCTCCTTCTTTCATGAACAGTGGTGACTGGTGACTCAGGCAGCGCTGCTTAGCAGAACTAGTGCCGGGAGTTCTGTCCAGATGGGGGGAGGGGAGGTGGAAGGTAGTGGTGTTAACAATCAGTGACAGTAGATCCCACTCATTTCCCTAGTCTATTTTACGACTTTGAACTCAGTATGCAAATTTATGCAAGACGAGATGCAAAGCAGTACTCTGAGCCAGAAGTCCCATTGCTTTTTCCCCCTTTTTTTTTGAAGCTGCACTGAACCACTGTAAATCAGTGCTTGCCTCTTCCCCCCTTTATTCTTCCCCGGCAACTGCAGATGCAGAGCCTCCCCAGGCCCGCCCGCCCGCCCGCCCGCCCGCCTGCCTGCCTGCCTGTCTGCCCGCCCTGGGACTTTGAACGACTACACATTTCTGTAGCACCTTTATACGTGCAGCGGGCCAAACGGCCACTCGGGCGGCCCCGCCCCTCAGCATAATCCCCTGCATTGTACACGGTAGGGAAGGAGGCTGGGGAGATACTGAAGGAACCGGTCTAGCCCAGCCTTAATTCTGAAAGGGCCTGGACTGGCCCAACCCTGTTCCCTCCTCGACCCTGACATTTCTAGGCACTTCTATCCACTCCACCACCAAACACATACACACGCTTTTAGAGTCCCAACTTCAAGCAGATCTCAGGGTCTCCTTTCGGTTTTTCTTCTAGGCCTACCCACCCCTTCCCCCAAGACTGACTTCTCAGTTTCTTTGAACCAACAAGCCCCAGCCCATCGTCCCCGTGGGATACAGGCTCACCACCACCCACTCCTTCCACCCACTGATGTGCCCACCCCCACCCCTGCATCCTTGCCATCCCCAGGAAGCCAGCAGCAACACAGCCCCTGAGTCCCGGGAACAAAGACAAAAGAGCTAACAGCAAAGCCGGAACTGCTGAGGTTCGCTGCCTCGAAATAAGAGGGTATGTTTAAAATTCTCAAAAGCAACCTGCTCAAAGAGGAATGCAGGCTGGAGGGGGGGTGCTCATTCTTCGGAGAGGAGAGAAGACGGGACGGGAGATGGAGTGGGAGGCAGAGGATTCAGTGCTAAGATCTCCGTCTGGGCCAGGCCCCACCCAACTCGGACCCAGCACTCTCCATCCAGTGACTCCAGTCTCTGCCCCAGCCTAAGACCCTCTCCCACACAAAAGCCTCCAACCTTGACCCCTTTTTCTCCTGCACCCTTGCAAGCTCAGGCTCCTTCCCAAAGTGCTCCCCTCCCCCAGCCCGACTCTTTCTCAGGCACCCCTGACATTGGTCACTTCTTTTGAGTGCACCCACTCAGCTTCCAGCCCCACCCCCCACCTTCCACCCCTGCTTAACATCCCCTCTTCCCAGGCCGGTGCACAAAAATGCGGAAGGCGTCTGGGCACTGGGGAGGAGAACGCAGCTGGGGCAAGCTGGCGGAAGGGAGTCCCATAACCAGGCAGAAAATCCAGAGTGACATTCTTCCCATGAACTCACCCCATTGTCCCTGGCCTCCCCTGACAACTACCCCCCACCCCCTTCAGGCTCCAGGGAAAAGTGAATGGGAGAAAATCTGCCGCATCTGTTCCTGGCTAAAGACCCTAACCGGCTTCAGGGATTTGGGAAGTAGAATTGGTTTTCAGGCTTAGAATAAGACGAATGAAGAGTAGGAAAAAAAAAAAAGTAAAACGTTAAAGAAGGAAAGGCATCACACACTTTATTAAAACAGTCAGCAGCCAAACCATCCTATGAACTTAGAGGCCTTTCAAAAAGTTCACCCTGCTGAGGAAGATGTTTAGTTTGTCAGAGTTCAGCTCAGAAACTGCACAGCACCTCCCCGGTGGACCACGAGGGGTGATGAGGAGGAACGCATGACTGGGGGACAGGCACCCCGCAGTGAAAGGATTTCGTGGGGGCTTTTTCCTTTTATTGTTACTTTCTAAGAGAAGCAGGAGGGAAGGGTTAACTTCCAGGCAGGCTAGGGAAGGAAGCGAGCCGAGGGAGAAGAAAGGGACTGAGAGGCTCCACTCAGAGGAAGCCCTAACTTGCTCTGTACTCCAGAGCAAAATGTGCTAGAGAAACAGAAGAAAGATTTCAACTCTGACCCCTAATTCCATTCTCAAGGAGAACAGGGAAAAAAACAATAGCCGACCAGGAGAAGGGAGGCGGGTTGGTGCATGGGGTGGGGGGCTTACGAAGACCTCAGAAGCTAAAAAGCAAGCATTCTTCTTTTCACTTTTTCTTTTTAAGTTTGAGAAACTTAAGACTCACTTGCTTTTTCAACAACAGCAGCAGGCAGTGGACACATTTCACCACTGTCTCCAAGAGGAAAGAAAATAATTACAGCTTCCTCCCGACCACTGGGGCAGGAGGCTTTCGTAATTAAAAAAAAAAAAAAGTAACCTCCTTAGAGCCTGGTTGTGTCCCTCAAATAACTTTTTGGGAGGGATGAGGGCCCCTGAACAAAGAATATCGGGTCCTCATTCTATCCTACAGGAAAGGGTCCCTCAATTTAAGATAGGGGCGGGGGTGGGGGGTGGCAACGCATCTCTCCTGCCTTTCGATCTGGGGCCCAGATGCGAAACCGCACAGCCTGGCTGCCCCCGTCCAGGGAATGCAGCCGGCGATCGGGCTTAAGTTACATTGATTCAGCTGCTAGGAGACCCCTCGCCTACCAAATGCCTCCCTTTTATTTTTCCATTCAACGTGGTAGCAAGAGCCCTGCTCGTTCCCTATGGAGAAATAGTAGTGGTGGTTTTCATTTTTCTCCTAAGCGACTCATCCTACAAAGTACCAAGTCCTTTCTTTCCAACTCACAACCCCAGTAGAAGGAAGGGCCCCTTGGGACGCCGGTGCCTCCTCCTAGCTCCCTCTCCTCTTCCAAGGTTCCTGGTGTCACTGGCACCCCGCAGCCTCCGCCTCCCAGCAGCGATCCCACCAGGACCCTTGGGTCCTCAAGCAGTGCCCCAAATAAGATTCGAGTTCCTACTCCCATGGATCTGACCACCGGCCCCCTTCTCAGCAAATCCCTCCTCCAGAATAGAAGTCTGGGTCCGTTCCACGCGGGTAAAACTATGGCAGCAGGGATGCCTTTCCTCTCCCCATTCATCCCCACCAAATGAGTCGCCAGGGCTCTTCCACTTGCTCTAACTCCAGTTCCCCTCCCCGGGCCTGACTTCCGCGTCCCGCTAGCAACAGTCCCCCTTGATTTGGTCCAAGGTCTCGGCTCTGCCGCCCCTAAAACCGTCCGTAAGGTCCAGCCGCCCGTCGGGCTTCTCCGCTGCCCTCCAAGTTTCTCCCAACTACTTGTTCCAGACCGCGTTACCTGCAACCTGCTCCGGGCTGGCGCCATACTCGGCGTCCCGGCGCTTCTCACAAGTGCCCTCGCCCATGACCAGCGCCTGCAGGGGCAGCTCGGAGCCCGGGTGGGGATAGCAGCGCAGCCCCTGGCCGCAGCGCGGGGTGTAGACGCCGCACGCCTCGCCCTCCAGCCGGGCGCACACCGAGCAGCAGCCGCAGCCCGGCTCCCGGACGAGCTCCGCGCATGGCATGCGGGCGCCTCCGGCCACTGCGGCCACCGCGGCGGGCGGCGCAACCGGCGGGGGCCCGCAGGCGGCCAGGCGCTCGGGTGTGCAGGGCGGGCAGCGGAACAGCACCTCCGCGCGCGCCCCGCCGCCGCCGCCACTCGCGCCCAGTAGCAGCAGCAGCAGCGGCAGCAGCGGCGGCGGCGGCAGCGGCAGCGCGGGGCAGCCCACTCTCGGCAGCATGCTGGCGGTCGGCAGCGCGGCGCGGCGGGCGAGCGAGCGAGCGGGCGGGCGGGCAGGTGGCACGGCCCTGCGAGCGCGGGAGCCGCCTCCTCCGCTTCTTCCTCCTCCCTCGCCGCCGCAGCCGGGTCCTAAAGGGCCGGCTTCTCCCCGCCCCCTGCCTTCTCCCCTCCCCCTTTTGGAGACCACTCCCTTCCCCCCCGACACTCCCTCGCGCCGGCAAGTGAGTGCGCGCACGCCCGCTCGCCCACCTCCGCGTTGGCTGCGGGCTCTGGGGGTTCCCTGCTCTTCCCGGGCCCCGTCCCTCCGCACTCTTCTGGCCTGACTATGACTCCTGAAGGAGAATACGGATAACTCGCGGGTTTGGGTAGGACCGGCGTGGCGGTGGAGAAGAGCGCGTGCTTTTGTCTGCTCTCAGTTCAGTTCGCGAGGACTTCGTTTGCGCGCTTCCCCTGTGGCCGGCACTGGGCTAACCGCTGGGGAACACAAAAGACATAAGGCTCCGTTTTGACCTTCAAGTAGATTTCAGTCGGCTCATACCAACTCCTTCCATCCTGGGGTATCACCCACCACTGACACGTGGCTTGGAACAATGACTTCTTGTTGGGTGGGTCCTGCGGAGTTTCAGACCCGTCTAGACCAAGCTAGACCCAAACAGCCCCGAATGGTCTTAGTGACTATTGCAGTTTTCCAAACCTGGGAGCTCGTGACTACAACCTATGAGAACCCTAAGTGCCCCGCAAAACCTGCCCCCTTCGTCTGCAGACCCCCTCCCTTCTCCGCCCGCTAAAATAATCCCTTAGCACCCTGGGCCCCCACCTACAAATCTCGAGGCACTTGTTGCAGGACAGATCCCAGAACACTCAGTTGCAGGGGTCTTGGAGAGGTCAGATCAGCTCTCCAGGTGTGACAGACCCGCTCTGGGGTAAGGCCATTTATGGCTGTCTTCAATAATGCAGATGGACAAGCATGACCTCCTTTCATTGTTCTGTTTGATTTACTGAGTCATCTACCCAAGCTGCCCCCAACCCCCATCATTCCAGGCTGGACTCAGCCATAATCAACCATCTCCTGGGGTGTGACCCTAACAAAGACCCCTGTCAGAGAGATTCCTTGGGTGACAGGTGGACCATTAAGCTGCCTCCACCGCAGGTTTCATCTCCCTATACCTCAGCGCCCCTCTTCCCCCCAGACCCCTCCACTCTGGCTCTTTCTGACTTCAAGGCTCAGAGCCTGTTTGATTCAGTTCAACAGCTAGTTAACCCAATGGCCACCTGGCTCTGAAGGTGACCTAGATGCCTCCAGGAAGGCAAGTACCTGGTCTTAAGACGCCAAGCTGGGAAGAGTTATCGGGAAAGACTTTGGTAAGATAAAAAATAAATAAATAAATGTTTATCAGAGGCTTTGAAGAAAAGAAATATTTTGGTAGAGAGGTGATGTGGTGGTTGAGGAAAGGGGAGTTTCTTGGGTGAGTCGGAGCTGAAATTGAAGCTTGTAATTCTACCAGAGGAAATGGGCGGTTAGCAAGGGCACAGGCAGAGGGACCACCTGAAGCAAAAACACAGAAATGGGGCCGGGCGCGGTGGCTCACACCTGTAATTCCAGCACTTTGGGAGGCCGAGGCAGGTGGATCACCTGAGATCAGGAGTTCAAGACCAGCCTGGCCAACCGTGGCCAACATGGTGAAATCCCATCTCTACTAAAAATACAAAAAATAGCCAGGCACGGTGATGCACGCCTGTAGTCCCAGCAACTTGGGAGGCTGAGGCAGGAGAATCGCTTGAACCCAGGAGGTGGAAGTTGCAGTGAGCCAAGATCGCACCACTGCACTCCAGCCTGGGTGACAGAGTAAGAATCAGTCTCAAAACACACACACACACACACACACACACACACAGAGAGAGAGAGAGAGAGAGAGAGAGAGAGAGAGAGAGAGAGAAATGGGAAAATGAGTTTGGGGATCAGAAAGTCCACTTCAGCCAGAGTGCAGGATGCTTGCAGAGAGCAGCAGGGGAGGCAGGAAATCCAGTTGACTGTGGCGCTTTGGCTTAATATGCTGGGCAGTAAGGATACAGCATCCATGTTTGAGCAGAGGAAGAGATGGACAGAGCTGGACTTCTGGAAATCATTAGCACTATGTAGAGTGCCGATCTGAAAAAAAAGTAAAAAAAAAAAAAAATCGTTAGCACTATGTAGGGTGCCGATCTGAAAAAAAAAAAAAAAAGAAGTAAAAAGCACTATGTACAGTGCCAATCTAAAAAAAATAAAAATAAGACACAGGAAGGATCATGGTCATTCCACCTTCATTCTCCCTGGTGTCTCCTGCCTGCTTTGTAACGTGTTTCTGTTGGTCCCACCCACTGAGCTCCTACAGAGTAGGCACAGGGTCTAGCACAACGCTGTCCAATAGAAATCTACTGCAAATCGCAAACGTGAGCACATGTGCAATTGTAAATTTCTAGTAGCCATATTAAAATATAGTAAAAAGAAATAGATGACATTTATTTTAATAATATTCTTAATTTGGCGGTATATCCAAAATACTATCATTTCAATGGGTAATCAACACTAAAATTAATGAGAGAGTTAACATTCCTTTTCTTATACTAAATCCTCAAGTTCTGATGTGTATGCTATACAGCACATTTCAGTTTGAAGTAGCCAAAATTCAAATGTTTGATAGCCATGTGTGGCTAGGTAGCTATCAAATTGGACAGCCCACAGGTCTAAATACTGCCTGGCACCAGGTAAGCACTCAATAAATATTTGTTGAGTGAATGAAAAGTACAGTCTCTCAAAATATTCCTGGCAGGGCCCCTCATTCTCTTTCTGTCTTAATTGCAATGCCCAGGAGCTGGGAATGAAAGGCTGTGATGAGTCTATTAAGAGGCTAAGAGTGGCATTGATTCATTCATTCCCATGCAGCTACTCACTTATCTTTTGGGATTCATTCTCTTTCCACCTCCTTTTAAAGTTCTTGATCTTTCAGCCAAGAGCAGTGGAGATGAGCAGGCAAAGTGATGCTGACTTGACAAATGCAAAGTACTCAATGATATTTCACTTTCTAATGAGCCTGAAGGCCACACCCAATTCTTTTCTCCTAGTTCCCAGGTTAATGGCCAATTTTACCCTTCCCCACCCTAAATACACGCAAACACATAACAAAATAATCCCATATTTTTAAGGCTTTTCCTAACCTCTCCTGAGCCTCACTCAGAATCCCACTCCCCAAAGGCCAGCTGCTACAGAGGCTTGAATCACAGAGCATCCTCAATCCATTGAAGCCTAGAGAAGTAGGGGGACTCAGCCCAGAACCCAGAGCTGGTTACTGGCTGGCCTACAACTTAACCATTTTGCTTATTACTGTAGGCCCAGGGCTAGAACGGTGCCTGCACAGAGATACTCAAAGAATATTTGTTGAGTGAATCCAGGTTCTCCGCTTGTTGTCTCTGGCTTTGCCCATCCCATTGTTCCTGGAGCATTCTTCACTTTAGATTTCTCATGAGTCCTCTGCAAAGGTATGTCCTCAGGCTTGAGAGCCTGTCTGTGCCCAGCAGTGAGGATTGGTTGAGAGATGGGGACAGGCTAAGACTGGTTTTCTCCCTTCCCCTTAATCCCTGCCTTTTTCCATCTCAACCACGTTTTATAAACCCCACCCTTACATGGTTTACCGTAACTAGGTACCACCTGTACTATTATTTACATAATTTTTTTAAAGTAAGGCAATTCACTCTTTTTTTTTTTTGCTTACGATCATTTTTAAAAGAAATTGTATATCACTACCATAAATGGAAATGTAGTATTGATGGCCATCTATAGATGGTAACCATAAAACACAATGAAAACAAGACAATGTTATTTGATTCGAGCTGGATACTGTTGCCTGCTGAAGCTTCTGAAGCTGGCACACTCTTCCCAAGTTAAGAAAGATGAGACAATTTAGAAGAAGCATTCAAGTTAAGTCAAACCCAAGCTGAGATTTTCTCCACTAAGTCATCAGGAGAGGAATGTTTTTTAAAAATATTTTATTGAAATATACATGCAAAAAAAAGTAGATAAACCAGATAAATATCCACAAATTGACCGCACCGTATAACCAGCTCCCAGATCAAGAAGAACATTGGCCAGGCACAGTGGCTTACGCCTGTAATCTCAACACTTTGGGTGGCTGATGCAAGAAGATCACTGGAGCCCAAGAGTTCAAGACCAGCCTAGGCAATATGGTGAAACCCCGTCTCTACAAAAAATAAAAAAATAAGCCAGGTGTTGCGCATGCCTGTAGTCGCATGCCTGTAGTCGCAGCTACTCAGGAGGCTGAGGTGGGAAAATCATTTGAGCCCAGGAGGTAGAGGCTGCAGTGAGCTGTAATTATGCCACTGCACTCCAGCCTGGATGACAGAGTGAAATGCTGTGTAAATAAATAAATAATAAAGAAAAGAACGTTGACAGCATATGGAAAACCTTTCATGCCCCTACTGGTTATTATCCCCATGCTCTGCAAGGGTAAACATTGTCCTGACTTCTGCTGGCGTGGATGAGTTTTCACATAAATGAAAACTTACAATAAGCAGTTGTTTTTGTTTTTTTGTTTTTTGGAGACAGAGTCTCGCTCTGTTGCCCAGGCTGTAGTGCAATGGTGTGATCTCAACTCCCTGTAACCTCCACCTCCCAGGCTCAAGCGATTCTCCTGCCTGAGCTTCCAGAGTAGCTAGGATTACAAGTGTCCACCATCATGCCTGGCTAATTGTTGTATTTTTCGTATGGAACCAAAAAACAGTGCAAATAGACAAAGCAATCCTAAGCAAAAAGAACAGAGTCAGAGGCATCACATTACCTGACTTCAAACTATACTATAAGGCTACAGGAACAAAAACAGCATGACATTGGTACAAAAACAGACACATAGACCAATGGAACAGAATAGAGAACCCAGACATAATGTTACAAAGTTGAGAAAATAAGCAATGGGGAAAGTACCTAGTCAATAAATAGTGCTGGGATAGCTTGCTAGCCATATGCAGAAGAAAGAAACTGGACCCCTACCTCTCACCATATACAAAACTGAACTCAAGATGGATTAAAGATTTAAGTGTAAGACCTCAAACTATAAGAATTATAGAAGAAAACCTAGGAAACACCATTCTGGACATCATCCTTGGGAAAGAATTTGTGACTAAGGCCTCAAAAGCAATAGCAACAAAAACAAAAATTGACAAGTGGGACCTAATTAAACTAAAAAGCTTGTGCACAGCAAAATAATCTATCAGCAGAGTAACAGACAACCTACAGAATGGGAGAAAATATTTGCAAACTATGCATCTGATAAAAGTTTAATATCCAGAAACAATTCAACAAGGAAAAAAGCAAATAACCCCATTAAAAAGTGGGCAAAGCCACTTCTCAAAAGAAGACAGACAAGTGGCCAATAAACATATGAAAAAATGCTTAACAACACTAATCATCAGAGAAATGCAAATCAAAACCATAATGAGATACCATCTCACACTAGTCAGAATAGCTATTATTAAAAAGTCAAAAAACAACAGATGTTGGCAGGGCTGCAGAGGAAAGGGAACGCTTATACACTGTTGGTGGGAATGTAAATTAGTTCAGCTACTGTAGAAAGCAGTTTGGAGATTTCACAGGGTACTCAGAACTATCACATTACTCGGTATATAGCTAAAAGAAAATAAATTATCTTACTAAAAAAGACACATGTGCTCATATGTTCACTGCAGCACTATTCACCATAGCAAAGACATGGAGTCAACCTAGGTGCCCATCAATGGTGGACTGAATAAATAAAATGTGGTATATATACACCATGGAATACTACACAGCCATAAAATAAAGGATGAAATGATGTCCTTTGCAGCAACATGGATGCGGCTGGAGGCCATTATCCCAAGCGAATTAACACAGGAAGAAAAAACCAAATACCACATGTTCTCACTTATAAGTGGGAGCTAAACACTGGGTACTCATAGATGTAAAGATGGCAACAACAGACGATGAGGGCTACTAGATGGAGAGGGACAGAGGGGGCAAGGGTTGAAAAACTAACTGTTGGCTACTAGGCTCACTACCTGGGTGATGGGATCGTTCATACCTCAAGCCTCAGCATCACGCCACAAACCCATATAATAAACCTGCACATGCACCCCCTGAATCTAAAATAAAAGTTGAAATCATATTTTAAAAATTCCTCCTATTTTATCATACATATATTAACCCCACTGTGAATAGCCCACGGTGAATAAAGAAGGTGTTCAACCAGAACTGGTAAATTGAGAAAAGATGGAAATTGCCAATTGTTGGCAAGGATAGGAAGCAAGTGGAACCTCCAGGTACTGCTGATAGGAGTATACGTTCATACATTTACTTGGCAAAACTTTTTGGCTCTGTCTACTGAAGCTGAACAAATGTGTACCCTATGACCCAGAAATTCCAGGTCTAGGTATGATTACAGGTATGAGCCACCATGCCCGGCCATCACAGTTTTTTTTTAAAGATGGGGTCACTATGTGTCACCCTGGCTGGAGTGCAGTGGTTATTCACAGGCACAGTCATAGCACTTTGTAGCCTCAACCTCCTAGGCTCAAGTGATCCCCCTGCCTCAGCCTCCCAAGTAGCTAGGATGACAGGCACATGCCACCATGGATGGCTCATATACTTTTTTTTCATGGAGGAGTTTTGAGTTTGAGTTTTAGTTGTTGTTTCGAGAGGAAGGGAAGAAGCACAAAAGGATAAGAGCATTGCTTGAGTGGAGGAAATGTCCTCTAGTTTTTATACATTCCCCTGGGATTTGCCAGAGACCAGCACAGCCTCCTCCTTGGTGAACCCTGAAACAGAATGAACAGGGGTGAGGACCTCTGGCTTTTCTGACCCAGTTCCTTGGTAAGAAACTCCCTAAGGGAAATCTGGGGAACATCATTATGGAAAAGATGAAGAATGGAAAAATGTGCTGTGGTGAAACTGAGGCTGGGGCTGCATGCTCCGTGGTGATTTCCTGAACAAGCAACAAGTGCCAGGTCAACAACTCGATCGATCGCTGTCATCATCTTTGTCTTCAGAAAATCTTAACCAAGCGCCTCCTCCCAGATGATAGATTAGGCTTTGTATAGCCGTGCCATCTAGAAGTTGCTGATCAGGTTGGATGACTCCACAGTGACCAAATGGAAAGGACACAAAAGAAAAGAATCAGAATCAGAATGTGGGCCCTGGAGGCAGGTAGGAGTTAAGCAAAAAAGGGCCTTGGGACCAAGCTGCCTGGATTCATGTCCACCCACTCTGCTTACTGGCTATGTAATTTGGGGCCAGTTTTTTAACTTCTCTCAGCCTCAGTTTCCTCATCTGTAATAAGGGGATGATAATAGTACCTGTTTCAGAGACTTGTTGCAAAGAGTAAATTAGGCTGGGCACTGTGTGGTTCATGCCTGTAATCCCAGCACTTTGGGAGGCCGAGGCAGGTGGATCACTTGAGGTCATGAGTTCAAGAGCAGCCTGACCAACATGGTAAAACCCCGTCTCTACTAAAAATACAAAATTAGCGGGGAGTGGTGGTGCACGCCTGTAATCCCAGCTACTGGGGAGGCCGAGGCAGGACAATCACTTGAACCCTGGAGGCAGAGGTTGCAGTGAGCCAAGATCGTGCCACTACACTCCAGCCTGGTAAATAAGAGTGAAACTCCGTCTCAAAACAACAACAACAAAACAGAGTAAATTAGGCTGGGCACAGCGGCTCATGCCAATAATCTCAACACTCCGGGAGGCCAAGGCAGAATTGCTTGAGACCAGGAGTTCGAGACCAGCCTGGGCAACACAGCAAGACCCCATCTCTACAAAAAATTAAAATTAAAAAATTTTCCAGGGATGGCAGGGGGTGCCTGTAGTCCTAGCCACTCAGGAGGCTGAGGTAGGAGGATGCTTGAGCCCAGGGATTCAAGGTTACAGTGAGCTAGGATCGCAGCACTGCACTCCATCCTGGGTAACAGAGTGTGACTCTGTCTCTAATTTTTAAAAATAACAAAAATTTTAAGAGTAAATAAAACAAGGTGAAATCCTTAACCCACTGCCTGGTATGCAACCCTCAGCCAAAGATAGTCCTGCCATTATGATTGCATTAGGCACGTGGGAGGCACCCATGTCTTTTGGCATGGTGCAGGAGTAGGTATGATGTTTAGAGTTCCTCAGTGTGAGGTCAGAAAGCACCACGTCCCCCCCTCTGTAAAGCTGGGAAGATGTTTGCAGAGGAAGGAGAAATTCAAAGGGACTACTTGGTTGGAAGGGATTGGAGTTGTTCTGCAAAGTGTAATGAGGCAAGAGAGGGAGAACTGGATGCATATTGCTTCCAGCAAGTGTGCTCAAGAGTAACAGAAAAGTAATAGAAAAGAAATAGAAGAAACCAGAGCACAGGGTCCTCAGAAGCCTGGAAGAAAGCATGGAAACCAGCCGTGGAGATTTGGAATCTTATCCGCACTGTAAGTCGAAGGCCTGGCTGGTCTGCATGGCCTGGGTAACAGGCAGGGAAGTGCAGTGACAACAGGAAGAAAGGAACAAAACTAACAGCAGTAAGTCCGTGCAGACACTTTTACAGGTGCTATTTCATTTAATTCTTACAAGGGTCAAACGATGCTTAGACAATTTAAGTGACCTGCCCGTGGTCATCCAACTAGTATGTCAAAACCTTACCTTTCCACTACTACCAGGGGAGCCAAGAAATGACAACTCTAACTCAGGACCTACTGCCAACCTCAGGGTGTGTGGCCTTGGGCATGCTGTGGCACTCTACTCAATTTCTCTGAGTTCACTCAAGTTCTTCTGAAGGATGAGGGCATTGGACTGCATGTTCTTAGGCACTGGATGAAGGAAAGATGACTTACAGAGGCTGTTTAGTGTGATTAAGAGCAAAGATTCTGAAGCCACATGACCTAGGCTCAAGTCTTGGTTCAAACTACTGTGGTAGAGCCTGCTGATGTTCACCTTTATCCCATTCTCTTTTCCTTCCTTCACACACAGAAGCTTAACTCGCACAGTCACAAGTGACTAGTTGTGGGCAGTGAGCTGTGAGTGAGATGAAGTGACCTGTCACTCCTAGCCTGAGGCAACGGAACAAAACCTACATGACTCCTCACTTTCTATCTTCTTCATGTTTTAAATGGTGAGGCTACAATATGGCAGGGTCTCCACCAGCCTGGATCCTGAGTGACTGTATGGATTAGAGAATAGAGCCTCCTGCCTTGAACAGCTAATGAGTATAAATTAAACCTCTGTTGTTTTAAGCCATTAGGATTTGAGAGGGTTGTTATTGTAATATAGGCTAGCTGTCCTGACTAATGCAACCATTTACTAGCTGTGTAAACTCGGGCAAGTTTCTTTTCTATTTTTTTCTTTTTAGAGACGGAGTCCTGCTCTGTCACCGAGGCTGGAGTGCAGTGGTATGATCTCGACTCACTGCAACCTTCACCGCCTGGGTTCAAGTGATTCTCCTGCCTCAGCCTCCCGAGTAGCTGGGACTACAGGCGTGCACCACCACGCCTGACTAATTTTTGTATTTCTGGTAGAGACAGGGTTTCACCATGTTGGTCAGGCTGGTCTTGAACTCCTGACCTAAGGTGATCTGCCTGCCTTGGCCTCCCAAAGTGCTGGGATTATAGGCGTGAGCCACCCCGCCCGGCCTACCCGGCCAAGATTCTTAACCTCTCTGTGTGTCAGTTTCCTCATCTACAAAATGGAGACACTGATAATACCTACCTCATAGGGTTGTTGTGAGCATATGAATAACAATATTTTAGGCACTTAAGACTTAAAAACAACAGCTAAAACATTTAAGTACTATGTAAGTATTATTTATCACATTTATTTTGTAGGATGTTTTTCCAGGAGCAATAGAAATTGTCAGTTTCAATTAATATTCAAACATGCAACAATAGATCCGAGTTTGCATCCTGACATTGCCACTTGCTTGTTGGATGACTTCGAGCCAGTCATCTGACTTTTCTGAGCCTCTGTTTCCTTATCTTTAATGCGAACAATAATGTCTACTTCAAAGGGTAGTTGTGAGGATCCTGTGAGCTCAGCACCTGGCATGTTGTAGGCTCAAAAAAAAAAAAACAATTCCGGCCGGGCGCGGTGGCTCACGCCTGTAATCTCAGAACTTTGGGAGGCTGAGGTCAGGAGATCGAGACCATCCTGGCTAACACGGTGAAACCCCATCTCTACTAAAAAAAATACAAAAAATTAGCCAGGCTTGGTGGTGGATGCCTGTAGTCTCAGCTACTTGGGAGGCTGAGGCAGGAGAATGGCATGAACCCGGGAGGCGGAGATTGCAGTGAGCCGAGATTTGCCACTACACTCCAGCCTGGGCAACAGAGCAAGACTCTGTCACAAAAAAAAAAAAAAAAAAATCCTTTCTTGATTTATATTTTGTAGGTAGGGAGTTTGGTGATTCTCCTCTAAAAAAAGAGATATCAAGGCACAGAAGGGAAAAGTCCAAATCTTCTACTACTAGAGGAAGCTTTCCAGACCAAAGCAATGGAACCCCACCTGGGACTAACCAGATGGCCACCCTCATCCCCTATTCCCCTCACAGCCCACACTGCCATTGCATTGTTCTCATGACCTTTCCCGTATAACAAACCATCCCAAAGTTTAAGTCTTGAAACAGCCATTTATCTTACTTCTCGTGGTTCTGTGGGTTGACTGGATTCAGCTGGGCAGTTCTCATGTGGGCTGTTTCATGTAGTTATAGCAGACGGTGTCTGGGACTGGAGTCATCATCTGAAAGCCCAGCTCAACTGACACCCAAGAGGGCTGCACACTCCCCTGGGGGCAGTGGGTGCCGGCTGCTGGCTGTCAGCTGAGCTGGCTGGTCAACAACAGCACCTGCATCTGGCTTCTCCTGTGGCTCAGGTGGCTCAGAGTATGGTGGCTGGGTCTGGGTTTTGAGAGGGAGTGTCCCAAGAGTGAGTGCTCCAAGAGACCAGATGGAAGTTGCAAGTCTTTTTTTTTTTTATTTTTTCAGACGGAGTCTCACCCAGGCTGGAGTGGAGTGGCATAATCTCGGCTCACTGCAACCTCTGCCTCCCGGGTTCAAGCGATTCTCCTGCCTCAGCCTCCTGAGTAGCTGGGATTACAGGTATGCGCCATCATGCCCAGCTAATTTTTGTATTTTTAGTAGAGACAGGTTTTCGCCACATTGACCAGGCTGGCCTTGAACACCTGACCTCAGGTGATCCACCCGCCTCGGCCTCCCAAGTTGTTGGGATTACAGGCGTGAGCCACCGCGCTTGGGCCCAGAAGTTGCAAGTCTTTTTGGCATTGAGAAGTCCCGCAGCATCACTTCCCCAACATCCTATTAGACACACGGAAGGTCAGCCCATGTTCAAGGGGGTGGAGAAATAACGAGTGGGAAAGAGATATTGTGGAGACCAGCTATGGAAAGCGTAATTGGCACAGCATCCACACCTCCTCACTGATGGGACATCTGCATAGAAGCCAAGCCTTGTTCCAAGGAGTTGAGGGGCAACCCCACTCACCCTTGTCTCCTCCGACTGCTGGTCATTCCCTGGGAAGCAAGGGACAACTGCTGCTCTCCAGAGGCAGGCCAATTTGGATAAATGAGTCAACCCTCTACCAGGCCAGGAGTCCTGCCCAGCTTCTGGGGCTTACAGTTTTACAAAGAGCACTATAGACAGAGCTCCAAGCCTTGGGTAGAGGCGCTTCCCATTAAACACATTACAAACAAATAGAAGTTTTTTCCCTCCCCTCTTGGAAGTTTGTATTGGGGTAAAGGAGTTGTGGAAATCCTTGATAGCTCAGGACAGGGGCCTTTTGCATCTGACGGAAAGGGGTGTTGAGCAAAGCATCCCTCAGCCAGAATTTTCTAGATTAGAAGTTGGCAAACTTTTGCTGTAAAGGGCGCTGTGGTAAATATTTTAAGCTTTGCAGGCTTCATGGGGTTGCAAGCACTCAGCTCTGCCATTATATCCCAAAAGCAGCCAAGGGCAATATTTAAACAAATGAGCAGGCTGTGTTCCAATAAAATTTTATTTACAAGAACAGATGGCGGCCAGAATTGGCTTACAGGCTGTAGCTGGTCCACCCCTGCTCAAGGGCTTCCTCAGTTTTAGAGAGCAGATTTTCAAAGGCTTCCGTGCCCAGGAGATAACATAGGGCCTGAAGTATCACTTCCCAGCCTGCATCCAACCAACCCCCATTAGAGCAGCCATCCATGTAACCCCAAGAAAGCCCTAGAATGCCTGTGAGAAAGGCCAGCTCCACAAATGTCAAGTTCTTTATGAGGGTCCCCACTCCCTCCCAGGATTCCAGGGTGAGGTGTTCCCAGTCCCCAGTGTCCCCAGAGGAGAATCTCAACCCAGCTGTGGCCGGGCCCTGGCAGCCCCTCTCTGTTCAGTCAGGACAAGATTCAGACGTGCACCCTGAGACGTCTTGGAGAAAGGAAGAGAGACAGGCAACAGAAGGAAGCAAAGCAGATGCCGCGAGAACGGGCCTGGGAAAGGTTTCAAGCAGAGTGCGGCATCTGTGGACAATGTGAGCTGCGCTGCGGCCTCCACTGGACAGCCCACCCCCTGCTTCCTGCTGCAGCTTTTCTTTCGAGGAACAAGACTACATCTGTTTGGCGATATTCTATTTGGAATCATTAAATAAAACTTTCAGGCCTGGCAAACAACAGCCCATCTTATTCCAATGGGGGAGCTCCTGAAACGCAGCAGACTTCTAAATCCTAAATCTGTCTGCTGGCTCCCCCCTCCCCTCCAAGCAAATCCCTGCTCGCCCCATCCCCTAGCCAGCTACTTGGAGAAAGACAGCATACTTGCCACCTTCGGCTCCTCTCAACACTAACAGATCCTTGTTTTGGAGTCTTCATGTTTACTTTTTTTTTTTTTTTTTTTTGAGATGGAGTGTCACTCTGTTGCCCAGGCTGGGGTGCAGGGGCACAATCTTGGCTCACTGCACCCTCCGCCTCCCAGGTTCAAGCAATCCTCCTACCTCAGCCCCCCTAATAGCTGGGATTACAGGCACATGCCACCACGCCTGGCTAATGTTTGTATTTTTAGTAGAGACAGGGTTTCACCGTGTTGGCCAGGCTGGTCTCGAACTCCTGACCTCAGGTGATCCACCCACCTCGGCCTCAAAGTGCTGGGATTACAGGCATGAGCCACTGTGCCCGACCTTCATGTTTACTTTTAGTATTATTGTACTTGGTTTCTCTCTCTCTTTCAGTAGCTCAATAGTCTTAGCCACACAATACTGTCTGAGCAAACTTGTCTAGGCCCCCACAATTATCTCATCTCCCTGTTACCCCCACCCTCACCCTCCTGAGGCCACTGAGAAGCAGGCAAAGCTAAACAAATAAAGGATGGAAAGCGACCCAGCCAGCATTTCCAAGGGCCTGGCAATGGGAAATTACAAGCTCACTGATCAGCTTGTCTTTACACCCCACAGACACCAGCCTGCCCCACAGACACACTACAGACACACACACACACACACACACACACACGCACACACACACACACACCCCGCAGAGGCATACTGCAATGCAGGCTACAGACCCTGTGTGCCCAGCTGCGCACACAGCCCTCTCCCCTTCCCCCGTCTCCTCACTCCCTTCCCTCAATGCAGCAGACACTCATTGCCCTAACTCCCCTTTCCAGGAAATCTCTTGCCTCAGCAGAGAGTCATGACATGGAAAGCAAGAAGTTGCTGTAGGCACATTTGATTTCTGATGAAATTGCTGCTGGGTGGTGGTGAGAAATGAGTTTGAACTGCACCCTTCCACCTCCCCAACTCTTTCCGGCCTGGGAGAGGGATGTATAGACCACATGCTGCAATTTCACAGACAGGCCTTGTTTCTCTGTTGCTCTGTGATTAAACCGCTGCCTCGCTTTTCTAATCAGAAGCCAGGTGGTGAGCCTGTTACTGCTCTACCAAGACAGAGGGGGAATGGGGGGAGGAATAGGAGGAAATGATGAAATAATCCAATTTGGAAACAGCCATTGCGGGGTGGAGGTAGCAAAGAATCACTCCCCAGGGGAAAAGTAGAACCCTCAATTTGGAGACTCTTTACAGGGCAGTTTGGGGATTGGAAACGTTCTTTGTAGGAGGAAGACTCTCTTCTAAAATGATTCCTGATTCAGTCCTTGCAGAGCACCTTCCTGAAGGTGAGGCAAACTTCATCTAGCCTGTTCCTCCCTCCTAACACCAGGCGTGGAGCCCCCCTCAAAGCTGTCCTAAGATCTGAGTTTAGGTGGCTTTGTGTTTCTTTTTGTGCCCTACCTCCATCTCCCTGATGACATTGAAAGCTCAGTGAGGGCAGAGACTGGTATTCTCTGATTCCTGTGCCCCCGTCCCCTCACCCGTCTCCCCACAACCCTCCTGCCTGGCTTTGCCTATGGTAGAGAGGTTACTCCATTCTCATTCTCCTGCTATGCCTTCAAGTGAGCAGCCTCGGTGATTCTCTTTTGCATAGGTGGAAGAATCGCAGCCTGAGGAAAAGAAGCTCACCCCTCAGGGCAATTGGATGATCCTGTAACTCCCAAAGCAACAGCCGTTCTACTTGGCATTCCTGCCTTTTCATCCTGACTGTGGCCAGGCAGGAAAACACAACTTATTCAGCACCACTGGGTTCAGAGCTCACATCAAGCAGTATTTCCCAAACATCAGCCATTCAAGAACTTCTTCCTACTCTGTGCGTTATCTTTGAACCATGTCGATTATTATTTCTCTAATATTTATGTTTAAATCAACTCATTTAATTTATTTATTTAGAGACAAAGTCTTGCTCTGTCACCCAAGCTGGAGTGTAGTGGCGTGATCTTGGCTCACTGCAACCTCTGCCTCCAGTGTTCAAGCGATTCTCCTGTCTCAGCCTCCCAAGTAAATGAGATTACAGGCGCCTGCCACCATGCCTGGCTAATTGTTTTTTTTTTTTTCCTGAGACTGAGTCTCGCACTGTCACCCGGGCTGGAGTACAGTGGCACGATCTCGGCTCTCTGCAATCTCCACCTCCCAGATTCAAGTGATTCTCCTGCCTTAACCTACCAAGTAGCTAGGATTACAGGCGCCTGCCACCACGCCCGACTAATTTTTTGTATTTTTAGTAGAGACAGGGTTTCACCATGTTAGCCAGGCTGGTCTCGAACTTCTGACCTCAAGTGATCTGCCCACCTCGGACTCCCAAAGTGTTGGGATTACAGGTGTGAGCCACCACACCAGGTCACACTTATTTTATTGAAATAAAAACACTGCAAGGAATAATATGCCCCAAAACACAGCTTTAATATATTATTTTCCTATTACACATAAAGACAAAATACATAAATAAGAGATCTTCCTTCTAATACCACCTAAAATCAGCTTGTATGCTGTATATTGCTACACAATGTAGAAGATATTTTAATCTTTTGGCCAAGTTAAGTAATAGACATGTCTCTGAGACTCAGTCCATTCATCTTTAAAAGAGGAATAATAACTTCTGCTCTGCCTTCATGAGATAATAAACACCTCATGGAGGGCAACGGACAGTATAAAGAGCTATCAAGTAGGAAGGGGATTTTTAACAAAGGACATGGCCAGGAGAATGGCATAAGATGTAATAAGCTAGGAATTTCATAAAAGAATAAATTGCTAAAGGGGAAGAAGTAAAGTGTTATACATACCCAAAAGAACAGAAGCCCTGCACCAAATACTGCAAAGGAGATAGAAATAGTAGAGAAATGTACAGACTATTAAAAGAAACAATACACGCCCACAGGAAAAACACAAATAAAAAAGGCCTATAGAGAATTATAACCCTAATTATAATTCTACAGAGCTATGAAGGCAACGCAAAGGGACGATGAGCCTCTAGATGAATCATGGGGAACTCTGCAGTTCTGCAGCCTAAATTGTGGGCTGGGAGGACTTCCTGGAGGTGGTGTTAGAAATCAGAGCTCTGTCTCCTCAGTCGTGAAGGTGTTTCTGGGATCCTTTTTCTCTCTGCCACATCTGAACTCCACATTCCCCTTGGGCTTCAGCCGTGGACAAAGGTGCCTGCTGGAAACGACTTTTCTGGAGGCTGCTGGTGGTTGGCAGGGCCTCGGGGCCACGGGTAGCAGCAGCACCGTGTCTCTGTGGTGTCCCACAGTGCCCAGCACCCACCATCTCTCCGAGTCCTCTCTACGGCGGTCCATCACCCCCTCTCATCCACAGCTCTCCATGTGCACCAACTTCCCACTTGAAATCTTTCCCACTGCCGCCTCCAGTGAAACTTCTCTTGCTCACTTTCTGTAAAGTGTTTCTCCCTCTCCTCTCAGCAACTTGTCACAGTGCAACTATTTCTATCTCTTACATTGCTGTTTCTCTCTGTCACATTGTAGCTTATCTTGGGGTTGGTCTCTCTCTCTCTCTTTCTCTGTGTTCTATGACTCTTTTTCCTCCATTGTTATTATCTTCATCCTCCCACCACCTCCTGATCCCCTGAAGGCCTGATCCACTAAAGGCCTCCTTCTGTGACCCAGCCCTTTCTTTCTATAGAGCAGAGTCCAAGGTGACTCTGCTATAATATAATAATAATCAGTGGCCAAGGGACTCTAAGGCAGGGGTGTCCAATCTTTTGGCTTCCCTGGGCCACATTGGAAGAAGAATTGTCTTTAGCCACACATAAAATACACTAACACTAATGATAGCTGGTGAACTAAAAAAAAAAAAATTGCAAACAAATATCATAACGTTTTAAGAAAATTTACGAATTTATGTTGGACTGCATTCAAAGTCATCCTGGGCCGCAGGTTGGACAAGCTTGCTCTTGCTGTAAGGTATCATTGTCTGGGGGTTGGGCAGAAGGGAGGTTTTAGAGGGTCACAATGAAACCTCTACCACAATTGCACTAGACACACACACACACACCTACACACCCACCCACACACACAGGAACACACACTGCATGGCTAGGGTGCAGCATTGGGCATCTTGCCGATACTTTCAAAACTGTGCCTTCTGCCCAAGAGCCAGAATGCAGAATCAATAATTATTTCTATCCACATCTTTACAAAATAGTAAACAACCCTGAGGCTTAGCCAATCAATGACCTCAGTTCCTGCTCTTTGTCCAGAATCCTGCTCTCTGGACTTTCACTGTGTAAGGGGCATTTGAGTTGTAACCCAGAAGAACTCAGAGCTCGAAACAACCAGAACAAGCACAGCACACTTTAGAGGCACTTACTGGGGAGTCCTTATCCCAGCTCTGCCAGATAACCTACAATGTGACCTGTTTTGCAAGTCATCAAACTGTTAGGAGCCTCAGTTTTTGCATCTGCAAAATGGAGTAAGAACACCTAGTTCATGAGGCTTTTGTAAGGATTGTGTGGAATCGTTCTTGGAGGTTTCTGGGAGGATGTCTGACCCAAAGAAGGGATTCAGGTCAATGTTTGCCAAACCTGGAGTCGGATCTTTGCTGTGGACATTTGCCTCTTGGAGCAATCTCTTGACTTTGAGAACTCTGATCCACGATATGGGATGCCCTGTGTTCTTTAAGACCACCTGATGGCACCCTGAGTCTGGTCTCTCCTTCCCTGGGCATAGCAGTTCCAAGGGGACCTACCACGTGAGAGCATCACCCTTGCATGGAGACCTTCACCTTGCATTGTGCCATCTGTCACTGCCTGCCCATCCGACTTGATCCTGGCTGTCTGGAACAAGACCTTCTCTCTGGGGAAAATATTATTGTTTTTTTTGGCCACTTGTTTGATCCTCCAGAGTCAATATTTGCAGCGATAAGCACAGTGTGATGTAGCCAGTGGAGTTGTTTATAACTCTGCCCCTCTCCTATTGGGTTCTGGTTCCTTCTGGGCCACACTGTGAGGTGAGTGGGTGTGCATTTCAACAGCAGTGGGTCCTGGTACTCACCAAAACTGCTTTGGAAGAATATGGAAGAGGAGCTGGAGTCTGTTTGCTCCTGTCTCCTGAAGGTGTGCCCTCAGCCTACGCTGAATGCTAAGCAGGAATTTATGTGACCTTCCCAGGAAGCTGGCCTAGACGCCTTTCCCTCCTAAGCCTTTCTTGTAACACAAACCTCAGGGCTGCCCCAGTCTTCTCTACTAGATAGTGAGATCCCAGAGGAGTCTTTCTATAAAAATAAGATTTTCTGTTTCCACTTCACATAAAAATGCCTAGGGAGGTTTTCCACCCAGTTTGGAGGGCTTATTTCAAATGATTTGACTTAAAATACAGGCTATGAGGAGTGGGCAAAACTCCCTTTGAAGTGGCCCATAGGAGAGTACCCCAAGGGCTGGAGGGGTGGCCATTCTCTGGAGAGTGTGACTACTCGGGATACCATGAGAGGCCACAGTGACATCTGATTAGGAGAGACAGGCTGCACATATTAATCCATGGAGGACAGAGGCGACAAACATGGTTTCAACTGTGAGCTCCAAACCAAAAGTGATGAGGCCATGCATTCAACAATCGTAATTGAGCTGCTTCTCATATGGGCAACTCTATATGCCTCTAAGAGAGTAGAAGCAAGGATGGATATTTTTTCTTTTCTCTCTTTTTTGTTTTTTTGAGACAGAGTCTCACTCTGTCACCCAGGCTGGAGTGCAGTGGGGCGATCTCGGCTCACTGCAAGCTCCGCCTCCCAGGTTCACGCCATTCTCCTGCCTCAGCCTCCCGAGTAGTTGGGACTACAGGCGTGCAGCACCACGCCCGGCTAATTTTTTTTTGTATTTTTAGTAGAGACGGGATTTCACTGTGTTAGCCAGGATGGTCTTGATCTCCTGACTTCCTGATCCGCCCACCTCGACCTCCCAAAGTGCTGGGATTACAGGCGTGAGCCACCGCACCTGGCCAAGGGTGGATTTTTTAAACCATGGGTAATGGTTTTCTGGAGAAATACAGGCAGCCTGGCTAGCTAGTAATAATAATAATAATAATAATAGTAATAGCAACAACAAGAGAGGAAGTGGAGGAGGAATAGGAAGGAGGAGAAAGAAGAAGGAGGAACGGAACAGTGGCATGGCTGGGTAGTCCACTATGTGCCAGCCCCTTAGCAAAGTGATATCCAAAAGTGATCTCATTTAATCTTCAAAAAACCCCTACAAATCAGCTCTTATCATCTCCACTTTTCAGGTGAGGAAAGTGATGCTCTGAGAAGTTAAAGCTACTTGCCCAAGGTCATGCAGCTTACCAAAAGCAGATACTGATACGGTTTAGCTGTGTCCCCATTCAAATCTCAACTTCAATTGTATCTCCCAGAATTCCCACGTGTTGTGGGAGGAACTCAGGGGGAGGTAATTGAATCATAGGCCTCATCTTTCCCCTGCTATTCTCGTGATAGTGAATAAGTCTCACGAAATCTGAGGGGTTTATCAGGGGTTTCCGCTTTTGCGTCTTCCTCATTGTCTCTTGCTGCCGCCATGTTAGAAGTACCTTTTGCCCCAGCACTTTGGGAGGCTGGGGTGGGCGGATCACAAGGTCAGGAGATCAAGACCATCCTGGCTAACACAGTGAAACCCCGTCTCTCCTTAAAAAAAAAAAATACAAAAAATTAGCCAGGCATGGTGGCGGGCGCCTGTAGTCCCAGCTACTCGGGAGGCTGAGGCAGGAGAATGGCGTGAACCCGGGAGGCGGAGCTTGCAGTGAGCCGAGATCGCGCCACCGCACTCCAGCCTGGGCGACAAAGTGAGATTCCGTCTCAAAAAAAATAAATAAATAAAAAGAAGTACCTTTTGCCTCCCGCCATGATTCTGAGGCCTCCCCAGCCATGTGGAACTGTAAGTCCAATTAAACCTATTTTTCTTCCCAGTCTCGGGTATGTCTTTATCAGCAGCATGAAAACGAAGTAGTACAGATACTGAGTGAGATTTTCCTGACCTTGATCAAGAAACGTTCAGCAAATCCATTTTTGATGAACTCATTATTGTGCGCTGTGGACAGTTGAGCCCTTATTGTTATCCCGCACTTGCCACTTCCTTGATTGTTGTCTCTGCCCTTTGAGGCAATGAGATCCTTTGTATCCTCCACTTGACACATGCTAGGTCCCGGTACAAGTTGGTCAAATGAATCAAGATGACTGATGCCTTACTTAGTCAATCAAGGATCTGAGATTGACATAAACCTGCCCTGAAGCTCTTGGGAATTTTTGAAGCATGCATGCATTTTGGAAGCAATTGCTACATGCCAGGCACAATTTTAGTTGCTTGGGATACATCAGTGAACCAAACGGACAATTCCTCATGCTCTGGTTTAGCTTACAGGGGGAGGGAAGCAGCAGAAATGACTGGCGAACACTCTAAGAGGTTTCTGCTCACTGCCTTCTTATTGAGAAAGCAAGACTTTTCCCCAATCTGCTTTCCACATAGTAACCAGAGAAGATTCGTTTCCAAACATAAATGTGATCAACTCATACCCCTGCTTAAAACTCTCAGTGGCTTCCCATGGCTCTTAAGATAAAGCCCCCACACCTTAGACCTGCCTTCAAGGTCTTGCATAGGATCTCTGCTCCTGGCAAGCCTCATTCCACAGCCAGTTCCCCCATCATAAGCTCTTCCAGCCCCTCCCCTTTTACTATTCAACTCCTCCTTCAACTGTCTTTCCATGGAAGACCTGTCCTCCCTGCATCAAACTCTCCCTACCAACTCCATGGATCTGTCACACTTCTCATAGTTACAGCTTCACACTGATTTGGGCGAGTTTCTGATGAATGTGTGTCTTCTGTACTGAACTGTAAGCTCCTTGCACATAAGGAATGAGTCTGCTGCACTCCCCATCGTGTGTCCAGAACCTCACCAGGGCCTGGTACAACACAATGTGCTGAATAAATGTCTGACACGCCATCATTCTCTCCACCCCATACTGCCCATGGCCTTCTCATCTGATCTGTGCAAATCTCCTTTTTCCAAAGAATCAAAAGGGCTGGGAATCCAGAGCTGTGGGCAGGGTAGCCACAGCACCTAAACCTTCAATCAGGACTGTGGTCTCACAATGCGGGTGCATATAACAGGGCCAAAGACAGAATGGTTGACCTCAGACAGTCCAGGTCATATGGTTACTGCAACTGTGATGAGAAACAGAACCTAGGCCAGGCACTGTGGATCACGCCTATAATCCCAGCACTTTGGGAGGCCGAGGTGGGTAGATTACCTGAGGTCAGGAGCTTAATGCCAGCCTGTCAAACATGGTGAAACCCCGTCTCTACTAATAATACAAAAATTAGCCAGGTGTGGTGGTGCATGCCTGTAATCCCAGCTACTTGGGAGGCTGAGGCAGAAGAATCACTTGAACCTGGGAGGCAGAGGTTGCAGTGAGCCAAGATTGCGCCATTGCACTCAAACCCGGATGACAAGAATGAAACTCCATCTCCAAAAAAAAAAAAGAAAAGAAAGAAAAATAGAAGCCACTTCAGTGTGAAATGCTGGAGAAGGAATGGGACAAAATGAGTTTCTAGCCAAGCCTATCCCTAGGAAAACAGTGAGCAGAAGCCCTCCAGCTTCACAAAGCTTGGAGTTGCACAGCTAAGAGCTCTGTTCAATTTCACCTACTCATCTCTTTTTTAGAAGGGTATAGTACCGGACCAGGAAAGTTACTTTCTAATTGGAGACGTGATTTATTTATTCATCAGCATTGATTAAGCTCCTACTGTGGGCTGAGTTTTGAGGATGTAAAAGTGAGCTAGATTGATGCAGTTCTTGTTTTCAAAAATCTGACACCCCAACAAAGCAGGCAGGCCATGCAGGATTAGAGGGCATGGGCAGTGCTAAGGATGCCCAGGGCAGTGTGGCAGGGCACCTACTCAGCATGGGACGTGGTAGAGACTCAGGAACTGAGTTTAGAGGAAGACATTGCACAGGCTGGGAAGGGCTTTCCAGGCCATCAGAATGGCACAGCCAAGGGCATGGAGGCAACAGAGCTCGGGGTGCTGTGGCAACCACTAGTAGTTTGTGTTCCTGGAAAACTCCAGGGTAAAACTGGGAATGGCAGGCAATGGAGCTGGAGCAGTAGGGAGGGGGTGAGTCACAGAGAAATCTTAAGTCCTACTGAGAATCTCAAACTCTCTCATGTTGAAACAATAGAGCAGCATCGGAGGTTTTCAGCAAAAGAGTAAGATGGACAAAATTGCATTTCAGGGAGATCACCATGCTGGCAGAAAGGATCTAAAGGAAACCAAGGAGGGTCAGAGAAGCCAGTTAGAAAGCGGTGGCCATGTCCATGGAAGAGTGACAAGAACACGATCTCGAGTTGTAGAGGAGACATCATCAGAAAAGAGATGTTCAGGAAAGGTTTAGAAGCCGGCCCTTGGAAGAACTAGAGTATGGTGCAAACAATAACAACACTTTCCATTTATTTAACTTCTTTCACCTCCCAGACATTCTGGAGAACTTTTCTCTGTTATTGTAAATATTAATATTCATCCAAGTAGGTAGGGGATGCAGGATGAGTAAAGGCCTGGAATCTCAGGACCCTCTATGTAGAGTCTAAATGTCAGAAATGATGGGCAGGAGTGAAGGCTAGACCCGGTTTACTGGAATTGCTCCGGCAATGGAGGGGTCCTCGTATACCACACAATCATGTCTATTATGTCCTATAACGGAGGAGCCATCATGGCCATGAAGGGGAAGAACCGTGTGGCCATCGCTGCAGACAGGCACTTCGGGATCCAGGCCCAGATGGTGACCACGGACTTCCAGGAGATCTTTCCCATGGGTGGTTGGTTGTACATCGGTCTGGCCGGGCTTGCCACTGACGTCCAGAGAGTTGCCCAGTGCCTCAAGTTCCAGCTGAACCTATATGAGTTGAAGGAAGGTCAGCAGATCAAACCTTATACCTTCACGAGCATGGTGGCCAACTTCTTGTATGAGAAACATTTTGGCCCCTACTACACTGATCCAGTCATTGCTGGTTTGGACCTGAAGACCTTTAAGCCCTTCAGTTGCTCTCTAGACCTCATCGGCTTCCCCATGGTGACTGATGACTTTGTGGTCAATGGCAGCTATGCCGAACAAATGTACGGAATGTGTGAGTCCCTCTGGGAACCCAACATGGATCCAGAACACCCGTTTGAAACCATCTCCCCAGCCATGCTGAATGCTGTGGACTGGGGTGCAGGGTCAGGCATGGGAGTCATCATCCACATCACCAAGAAGGACAAAATCACCACCAGGACACTGAAGGCCCAAATGGACTAACCCTGTTCCCAGAGCACACTTTTTTTTTTTTTTGAAATAAAATTGCCTTTCTTTCAAAAAAAAAAAAAAAAGAAAGAAAGAAAAGAAAAGAAAAATGTTGGGCAGATGCTAATGCCAGCTGAGCTGAGATTGGGGCAGAGGAATGGAGTAGGGGCTGAAGTAGAGGATGGAAATGAAAAAAAGCATATCCCAACAGCCAGTTAAGAGAAGAATTGTGTTAGGGACTTTTTTTCTTTTTTTTTTTTTGAGATGGAGTTTCACTATTGTCACCCAGGCTGGAGTGCGATGGCACGATCTCAGCTTACTGCAATCTCTGCCTCCTGGGGTCAAGCGATATTCCTGCCTCAGCCTCCTGAGTAGCTGGGATTACAGGCGCCCGCCACCACACCCAGCTAATTTTTGTATTTTTAGTAGAGATGGTGTTTCACCATGTTGGCCAGCTGGTCTTGAACTCCTGACCTCAGGTGATCCACCTGCCTCGGCTTCCCAAAGTGTTGGGATTACAGGCGTGAGCCACTGCGCCTGGCTCTAGGGACTTCTTAAGAGTCCAAAATTTAGACAAGGGTTTGCAAACTCAGATGTCTATATGTACCAGAAAGGGAACATTAATCAGTTAGATAAGCAGAGAGCTGTGAGGATTCGTACATAGATGCTTCTTGACCATCAGGAATGGTGGGGACTGTGCCAAGGGGAGAGCTCTTGTGCCTCTGAAGGGGTCAGCTGCCACTCAGCTCCAGCTGATTGTGGCCTGGCAGGAATGAAGGTCCAAGGTAGCTAAAGGGGCTCATTTCAAAGCAAAATTAGTTCTCAGACTTTTCCATGAATTCTCTCAATTTGAAAGTCTTGGCAAGTAATTCGAAATTCAAAAAAGAAAAGAAAAACGTAGTACAAAGCACACCCAGCATGCTGATAAGCTAGATGTGAATATAGGATTGGTACTGAGTCCTCTGGCATAGACCTTTTTTTAACAGTAGAGGTATACGAAGGAAAGGGAGACACAGGCAGGGCACACCAGTGCAACCAGAACCACAGCTGCCTACCGGCTGACAAAGTGTGGTGTTGTCTGCTGTCCACCACGTGACAGGGTCTGCAACAACATCCCCTCCTAGAGTGAGGGAGATGTGTTAAGGTGTGAATAGTGGTTATCAGACATCAGAGAACATCTTCAGCTTTCCAGAAGCATATCAGGAAGGAGCATGTCCTACACTTTAAAGGATGCTGTAGCCCAGGTGTGGTGGCTCATGCCTGTAATACTAGCACTTTGGGAGGCCGAGGCAGGCAGATGACCCAAGGTCAGGAGTTTGAAACCAGCCTGGCCAACATGGCAAAACCCCATCTCTACTAAAAATACAAAAATTAGCAGGGTGAGGTGGCACATGCCTATAATCCCAGCTACTCGGGAGGCTGAGGCAGGAGAATCGTTTGAACCCGGGAGGTGGAGGTTGCAGTGAGCCGAGATTGCGCCACTGTGCTCCAGCCTGGGTGACAGAGCAAGATTCCATCTCAAAAAAATCAATAAATAAACATATTTTTTTTTTTAAAAAAGGATGCTATGAATAAGCCAAAAGCTTGCTGCAATTGTCAGAGGCATTCGAACAAGAGTGACTCCATCTTGAGTGGGGGCTGGGTAAAATAATGCTGAGACCTACTGAGAGGTCTCAAGAGGTTAGGCATTCTTAGTCACAGGATGAGATAGGAGGTTGACAGGACTGGTATCACAAGATACAGGTTATAAAGACCCCACTGATAAAACAGGATGCTGTAAAGAAGCCAGCCAAAACCCACTGAATCCAAGATGGCAAGGAAAGTGACCTATGGTTGTCCTCACTGCTCATTATATGTGGAAGTTACTCTATTTGGTCTAAAAAGGGGAGGAATCCTCAGTTTCAGGAATTGCCCACCTTTCCCAGAAAACTCATAAACAATCCACCCCTTGTTTAGCATATGATCAAGAAATAATCATAAAAATAGCCAACCAGCAGCCCTTGCGGCTACTCTGCCTATGGAGTAGCCATTCTTTTGTTTCTTACTTCTCTAATAAACTTGCTTTCATTTTACTCTATGGACTCACCCTGAATTCTTTCTTGCATGAGATCCAAGAACCCTCTGTTGAGGTCTGGATTGGGACTCCTTTACAGTAACACAATGACGCCCCACTGTCCCACATTTCTTTCTAATGGTCTGCCTTCTGCTGCCCTTGTGGAGTCCCGATTTTAGTGCCTATTTTGTGATTCTGGTTTTGTGGCCTTTCCCTCTCATGGCTTAACACCTTCTCTTCAGACCCCCATAACTGCCCTTGGCTTCCCTCATCAGCTCCAAGGGGGCCTCAGGGTGGACCCAGTGCTCGGGTCCAATGCAGAGATCCCAGGTTTCATCTTGTAGGTCCCGTGAGTCAAGACAGAGGATGGGATGGAAATGTCACCATGGAAAGAAGCGAACTTTAAGATCAGTAATTATTATAACAGCCATCAAAGAGTGGGAATAGAAGCTACGTCCTCAGAGATTCCCAGAAAGAGAGTCAGTGGACAATGATCTTGGTGGTTTGGTCAACTCAAGTCAAGAAGCGTCTACAAATAATCACACACCCTCCCCACTGTGTGCCTGGTGCCCCACGGTGCTTATGTCATGTACTTGTAGAATTCTTGCAACAGTCCCATGAGGTAGGAGTCAAGATTGTCCCCATATTACAGAGGAGAAACTCAGATCCATAGAGGTTAAGTCACTTGCCTCCAGACATTTATCCTCTTTCCAAAACTGGACCCAACTCCTGAGTGTGGCTCCGAAAGAGTGCTTTTCAAATCACCTCTGGCAAAGCACCCGTTTTTGCACCTTAGTTCATCACAGACTGACACTTAATACAATCATAAAGTGAATGACTAGCAAAACGATTAGGCGTTGGAAGGTGCAGAGATGTCAAATAGTTCCCGAAGTTTCTGAGTGTTCTCCGTCTCTATCGCTATCACGTTGTGGTGCAGCAACACACACTGCCCCAGCAGCACAGGCCACACGCACCTGGCGTAGCGCTGTGCCAATCCATCTCACTACACACTCAGGCTCTCAGGATGTAAAGTACTTTTGGGAACCACTTGTCTATATTCCAGCAGCTGAACTGTTCACCTCCATGGGTTCATGACTCTCCTGCCGCGTTTCTGGTTTTCGTGATTTTGGGAGAGGCACCCCGTATTGTACAGGAATGAGATTAATTCGCCCCTCAAGTCCCTTTCAAAACCAAAATGCTAGGATTCCATCTCCTTTTACAGCACCCCAGTTCAGCAGGACGTCTGCAGGGCCAGCTGATTTTGTTCTTGCATTCATTAATAAAAGTAGTGAATGCAACAAGAGCCACCCTTTTCTTTTCTTTGTCTTGTCTGAAAGAGGGCAGGGAGGGAGCAGGAGAGCCCGCAGACGCAGGGGACGTGTCAGACGTGCGACAGGAAGGGCTCAGCGAGGCGAGAGCGAAGCTGTGAGGAAGGAAGGCAGGTGGGCGGAAGGCGGGTAAGGGGGGCCAGGAGGGGGCCGGGTGGCCCCGCAGACAGACACATGGAACCAATCACCCCAGGCAGGGGGTGGGGGTGCACCTGAGAATTACAGAGACACCTGGCCTGCTTTCTGGAGTTGGGGAGGATTGAGAGCTGATGAGGAAGGGGGTTGATGATGGAGCAGGCTGGGCGGGAGGGAAGCACATGGGAGCTCACTCCGGGACCTTATTGTGATATCTGGACTCTTGGTGATTGGAGGGTGGGTACTTCTCATTGTTTGTACAGTCAAGGTCCAGCCAGGGAAGCAGGAGGGAGGGAGTTCGCTAAGTCTTATTCAGAGACTTTAATGAAGGTAATTGGTTACAGAGGTGCTAGAAAAACCTCCTTGGACTGGAGGGGTGACAACAAGAGGTGCTTTTTCAGAGCCCAGGAGCAACGGTCACCCTATTACAATACAATACAATTCCCTACTACAATTGTATTAACAATAACAGTTATTGTATTTAACACTAGTTAAATCTGAATTTCAAATAAATAACAAATAATTGCTAGTATTTTAAGTCAGTATAGAGTGCATTAAATGCCACAGAATTGTATACTTTAAAAAGGTTAAAATGGTAAGATTTATGTTATGTGTACTTTATCATAATCAAAAATGTAATATAAAAATGTATCCAGTTGGACCAGGCACGGTGACTCACGCCTGTAATCCCAGCACTTTGGGAGGCAGAGGCGGGTGGATCTCCTGAGGTTAGGAGTTCGAGACTAGCCTGGCCAACATTGTGAAACCCTGTCTCTACTAAAAATACAAAAAATTAGCCAGGTGTGATGGCACACGCCTGTTGTCCCAGCTACTAGGGAGGCTGAGACAGGAGAATCGCTTGAATCTGGGAAGCAGAGGTTGCAGTGAGCCGAGATCGCTCTACTGCACTCCAGCCTGGGCGACAGAGTGAGACTCCATCTCCAAAAAAAAAGTATCCAGTTTATCTGCAATTCACATTTAACTGGTGGCCTGTATTTTATTTTAAAAATTTAGTACTGTACATCTAGCAGGTACTAGAATGATGGTGGGGGCTGCCCCCAAGGGAGCTGCGGCCACACAGGAGTCAACTGCTGCCCAAGAAGGCAGGAAGTAGAGGGACTGGAGAAGGAGGAATGGCCGGCTTCTCCCCTCCTTCTGGTGGCCCTCCAGTGATTTACCAGTTCCTCCAATCAGCCACAGCTACCTGGAAGCCAGAGGGCAAAGGCACCTCAGAAATGCAGGTGCAAGGAAAGGACTGAAGAGCAAGCATGCAGTCATTTTAGATGACCCAGGAAGGCTTGACCTGCCTGGCTCAATAGCCACAGTTGTATTTTCTCTGCAGGCTGAAATGAAGCTGCAGGTTCAGTGGTGTTATCCCTGAGGTTCTTGTTCTCCCTACCCTGATCCATGGATAAGTAGTTACTGCTTGCTGCCAAGGATGAAGGACATGAACTCATGTGTGGAGCAACTTCTATGTACAAAGCTGCCCACTAGGAATCCAGGAGAAGTGCTTCAGTTGGGAAGTTCAGGATATGGTTCCCCAATGCCCATTCATTTATTCATTTATTCAGCATCTGCTTATGAGATAGGCATGGTCCACGGCAATTGAGTAGATGGTAGTATAGAAGGCAGACACATTCCACATTCTTAACGTACTTATGGATCTAGTCTGTTGGGAAGATTTCAAATGCAATGAGAATTAACTAAAATATAAGATGAAATGGTAAATGTAAGAAGAGTCTAGCAGAGCAGTGATGAGGGTGCACATGACCAAAAGAAAATGGACAGTATAAGTGATGCTCACAGAAGGTAGCTAGTGTCCGGCATGGTGCCAGGTGCTGAGGAACAGCAGGGCAGAACTGGGCATTTGCTCACCTCTCTTTCCAGGAGATCATGATGTTGCCCAAAAGAATCTCCAGATGGCAACTACAAATATCTCTTTACCATCTTGGCTTCTCATAATCCTGCAGGGAGGCCCTTGAAGGGAAGAGAACAGATTTGGTTGCCTAGAGCTCTTGGGTTCATGCCAGGTTCAGCCTCTAGCTCTGGGGGTCCTGGGGCCTCAGTTTCCCATCTGTGAAGTGAGGGGTGGCCTTGATGATCTCTGCCCCCACTCTGTGATTCCTCAGGTTCTGTGATGTCAGTACTTCTGTGTTCCAGATCTGCTTCCCTCTTACTGCTGACAGCTATCCAAGTGGCAGGAGCTACCATCAGTCATTTGTCACTCTGGAGCACCAAGCTCAAAGCTCCAAATGAATGACTGGATGAATGTATACAGGTCACCTTGTGCAGTGACAAAGATTCTTTGCTTGGACAAACTTCAGTTAGGCTTCTGAATCTCCTCTGAGATTCTTTCTTGTAAAATCCAGTTTTAGCAAAGAGCCCTGCTAAATCAGTCTAGCAAGAAGCTCCCTGATCCTTGAGATCTGGACACTGTTTCTAGCTGATCAGGTTCCTCATCCTCTACCATCCCCCAGGTGCTGTCTGATCACCCTGGCCTGTCTTCAGCAAGAATCCTGTTAGCTCTGTTTGGCCAGAATCCCCCTTACCTCTAATGTTTACTCTCAGTAATTTTCCATCCACTGACCCCCACCCTGCTCCTTGGCTACAAATCCCCACTTGCCCAGGTGAGCCCAGTCTCTCTCCCCTGCTGTGAGACCTCATTGCAGTGGTCCCTAAATGTATAGGGATAGTCCTGAGTAAAGTCTTCCTTACTCTGGTTTAGCAAATGTCATTGAATAATGTCTTTAACAGCAGGAATGTCTGAATATTGGACTGTGGCTGTTGCGTCAGGCTGGAAGGGTTGAATCCTGGTTCTGCCACTTACCATCTTGAGCAAAGTTATTTGAACTCTCGGGCGTGTCTGTTCCTTCATTTGTAAAATGGGAATAATAATAGTACCTAATAGATTTATAAGACTGAATAAAATCATGCATGTAAAACTGCTGAGAACTATGTCTATTTGCTATCATTATTTATAAATATCATTATTTATTAATCACCCTTCATAGATTTAGGAGCCAGTAATAAATTCACTCTCACTGCCTATATTTATCGTTTTTTCAATCTGTGGTTTATGAATCACTAGTGGATTATGAAATCACTTTAATAGGTATAATAGTATCCTTGTTTAATGACTACTTATTATAATTATATACAAAAGATAAGCATATGGAAAAAAGAATATAATAGAAATATTAGTGTATCGCATGTAGTAAGCATAAGTATCCTCATGTGAAATTTGATTTTTCAGGATGTATGGTGTATGTGTGGACACGTGTGCACACACATAGTGTAGTTTGCTGGGTTGTGATGTAAAATGTGTTTCTTACCGGGTGTCATAGTCCAAGAAATTTGAAACCACTGCTTTAGGTTAAATCACCATCCCCATAATTCTGCCCTTCATGCTTTTCAACACTCCAGTTCCCCTCTGACCTTCAAGCAAACACCACTTCCCCCTCCTCCACCTCCTCCTCCCCTCCCCTTCCTCTCCTCCCCTTCCTCACACTGTATTCACCCCTTCCTTCATCCTCCCTGCCTCTGAGAATCAAAACTGCCCAGCCTTTCTCTCCCTGGAAGCCCAGCTCCTCCTCCCCCACCCTCCCAGTGTAGGGTGCCAGAAAGGTGCTCTGGGTGCCAGACAAGCTGGGAGCCCGGGAGCTGCCACAGATGCTGGTGGTGCTGGGGCTGGCAGGAAAAGAGCCGGCGACCAAGGGATGCGGTTTGGCATTTTATCATCAGAGCATGCTCCAGGTTATGTACAAAGCAAAGTCAGAGGCCTGGGGTCAATTGTGAGGGAAAGACGTTTCTGAGGGGAGAGAGGGATTAAGCTGGAGGGAGGATGAAGAGGAGAGAAAGAACTGAAAGACTACCTGGAGAGAAGTCCCTGAAACAGGAGGCAAGGAATGTTCTTCAGGAGCCAGCTGGGGAAGAGAAGCAGCCTGGGTGCAGGTGAAGGAAAGACTGGGGAAGGCTGGAAGTGATGTCTGGGGCAAGCAGGGGCTCAGCCCAGCAACACCACTGGCTCAGTCTGCGGAAGATGTTTTCCTGGAGGGCTGTTTTGCCCTGCAAGGCCCTCCTCCTCCTCGCTGAGGGAACTCTCTGGAACCTCGCAAAGTCAGGAACGGTTTGCTCAGGATTAAGCCAACCTAGCTATGGCCACCATCACTGTAGCCAGGGGACCCCTTGGCTTCGTACTTTGCAGCTTCTGCCCTAGCAGTGTCTGGGGGATGCTTGCTTTGCAGGAGAAAGCCCAGTGTCTGAGCGGGGCCTTGCAGACAGCCAGGACCCTCTGTACAGAGCACCCCCTCTGCCCTTCTGTCAGGTTGCGAGCTGGGAAAATGAACAGACCTCTCCACCAGCTCACTGGCCCTCTCCTCACACCCAAACTCCATGACAAAAGGGAAATTTTCTGCATCCTCCAGAGTCTTATCCTTGAAAGTATCTCAGTGTCTTCACACTGGAGTCCTGGGCAGGGTTGGCAGGACTGGGTCCCTGAGAGGCTCTAATGCCTCTGCCCATCTTGGCCTCAGTTCCCTCGAGAGAGCAGATCTGGGCGTCACTTGGCTCTGAGTTCTGTCTGGAATTGGCCATGACGGGCAACAAAGCCACCTCCCTAGTGGGGATTTTGCTTCCTCATCTGTGCAATGAAGGGTTTCTATGGAATGGCATTGACCTTGATGATAAACAGTTCCGTAACAGGTGTTGCAGGGGCCAGACAGGTAAAGGGAACAAATAAACCTTGCTAGGTATAACAACAGGCCGTAGTAGGGATACGGCAAACTGGAGAATCCTTGCTGTGTCTCAAGGGGCAGCTACTACTCCATTCCAGCCAAAGAAGCTGAAAATCTGTGATTTTATGTGAAATCTCCAAAATTGTAAATGTGGACAGGTAATTTCAAAATGTCCAACCATCATGCAGGACAAGCAAAAATGTCTGTGAGTCTGACTCAACCTGTAGGTACCAGTTTTCTACCTTATCCAAGTGGTTCTCAAACGTGAGTGTGCATCAGAACCAGCCAAAAGGGCTTGTTGAAACAGATTGCTGGTGGCCGGGCGCCATGTCTCATGCCTGTAATCTCAGCACTTTGGGAGGCCGAGGCAGATGGATCACTTGAGGTCAGGAGTTCGTGACTAGCTTGGCCAACATGGTGGAACCCTGTCTCTACTAAAAATACAAAATTAGCCAGACGTGGTAGCATGTGCCTGTTATCCCAGCTACTTGAGAGGCTGAGACAGGAGAATCGCTTGAACCCTGGAGGCAGAGGTTGCAGTGAGCCAAGATCACACCATTGCACTCCAGCCTGGGTGACAGAGTGAAACTCTGTCTAAAAACAAAAAAACAAACAGACAAACAAACAAACAAAACCAGATTGCTGGGCCCACCCAGAGTTTCTGCTTGATGGAGTTTCAGCTTCTGATGGAGCTGACCTAGGAAACATACTTTCAGAACCACTGCCTTGTACTATAGGAATACCAACACCACCGCCATGTTATTCCTTACATGCTGCCAAAGCCACTTCTCATGAGGCATTATTGAGATTCTAGGCCCCTATTTTGAAAGAGTGATGATGATGATGACAATAAATGAATGAAGTAGGCACTATAAATAGCACCTTATTTTAGATGAAAATAGCTATTACGTGGTGAATCTGAAGCCAGGTAGACAGACCCCAGAAACCACCTCCCCTGTGCAAGCCTTCTTCTTACACCCTATATCTGTCTTAGTCCATTTGTGCTACTTCAACAAAATATCTGAGGATGGGCAACTTTTACGGAATAGGAATCTATTTCTTGCAGTTTTGGAAGCTGGGAAGTCCAAGATCAAGGTGCTGGCAGATTCAGTGCCTGGTGAGGGCCAAGTTTGTGCTTCCAAGATGGTACCTTGTTGCTGCATCCTCCAAGGGGACAAACGTGATGTCCTCACATGGTGAAAGGGACAAACTTACCCCCTCAAGCCCTTTTACAAGGTACATATGGCAGAGCCCTCATGGCCTAACCATCTCCAAAAGTCCTCACCTCTTAATATTGTTGCACTGGGGATGAAGTTTTAACATGAGTGTTGGAGGGGACACGAACATTGACATGAACATCCTAAGCATAGCACTGTCACATATTCAGATCCTTCAGGTCACACTTTTTTTTTTTTTTGAGATGGAGTTTTTTTGCTCTATTGCCCAGGCTGGAGTGCAATAGCGTGATCTTGGCTCACTGCAACCTCTGCCTTCTTGGTTCAAGAAATTCTCCTGCCTCTACCTCCTGAGTACCTGGGATGGGATTACAGGTACCCACCACCATGCCAGGCTAATTTTTGTATTTTTGGTAGAGATGAGGGCTCACCATGTTGGCCAGGCTGGTCTCAAACTCTTGACCTCAGGTGATCCACCCACCTTGGCCTCCCAAAGTACTAGGATTACAGGCATGAGCCACCTCACCCAGCTGGGTCACGCTTTTTAATGGGTGTATCTTCATAAGTCAAAGCAAATTGTGTGTTAACCAATTATTCATTCATTCAATGAATGTTGAGCTTATGATATAACTGCAGATCCTGCTACAAAAAGGAACATAGCAAGCAAGGCAAATGGGTGGGGAGTGATGGTGGAGGAGGGCTAGGCCATGCTAAGACAGAGTAGTGTGGGGAGAAAAAGTAATAGCTTTTCCTTACCTGCTCCAAGGTTCATGGCTGACTCCCCTATAACAAAGAACGATTAACAAGGGAAAAACTGTACCGATTTAATATGTTTATGTGATACAGGAGTCTTCAGAAGTGAAGACCCAAAGAGAGAAAAAACTGTGTATTTTTATGTTTAGGTTTGATGAAGAATGGACAGTTATGTAAATTATGATTGGACAAAGGTAGTGTGGTCTAATGGTGAGAAAGTGGGGGAAACTTAGCAAGGCCTGTTTGTTTAGATTCTTCTTGGCATCTCTCTGTCTTCATTCCTTTTCTCTGGGTATAGGGCAGGATACCTATCACATGAGGGTCTTATGACCTACTTTCAGGGGTGGTAAGTCAGGGAACTATTTAAAGGCCAGCTCTCACACAGAAAGATGGCAGAGGCTGCGCACGGTGGCTCATTCCTGTAATCCCAGCACTTTGTGAAGCCAAGGCGGGCAGATCATGAGGTCAGAAGTTCGAGACCATCCTGGCCAACATGGTGAAATCCCATCTCTACTAAAAATACAAAAATTAGTCAGGCGTGGTCGTGGGCACCTCTAGTCCCAGCTACTTGGAAGGCTGAGGCAGGATAATCGCCTGGACCTGGGAGGCGGAGGTTGCAGTGAGCCGAGATCGCGCCACTGCGCTCCAACTTGGGTGACAGAGTGAAACTCCATCTCCAAAAAAAAAAAAAGGGAGTGGGAGAAGGTCAGAGAGTGAATTCCAAGGTGCTACATTTGTAGCATGGGGGTGAAGGTGTACAAGGTGTAGCATTTGTAGCTACCCCGTATTTCCCACAAGGGTAGCATGTCCTGCACTCCATCAGTAGCCAAGGAAGGCCTCCCCAAGGAGGTGACATTTGAGCAGAGACCAGTGAAATGAGAAAGTAAGTAAATGAGGGAGAGCAGCAAGTGCAAAGGCTGTGGGGTGAAAACAAATGTGGCATGTTCTAGGACCTGCAAGTAGACCCTCGTGACAGGGAAAGTGAACAGAGAAGAGAGTGCTAGCAGATGAGGTTGGATGACTGGGCAGGTATCTTGAAGGTCATGCCAAGGAGTCTGCATTTTATGCTAGGTGGGATGGGAAGCCATGGGAGAGCTTTGAGCAGGGGAGCGACAGGCTCTGATTAGGTTTGGACTAGGCTCCTTCTGGTTGCAGGGTAGAGACCAGAATCGAGGAAGATCGGAGTGGAAGAAAATGGAGCTGGTGTCTCAGTGAAGACATGCCCAGAGATGCCCAAAGATGCCCAATGGATGAGCTGCTGCAACCTGTCTCAGCCATGGGGGATGGGAGAGGAAAGTGGAGAAAGGACAAAAAAAAAAAAAAACGAGTAGAGAGAAAAGAAGTGAATATGTAATGCAAAAATTAAAATTACCTGATAAGTCAGGACATGGGAAGTTCTGCCTCCCTAATGGGGACCCAGGAAGATGTAGGAAGAGAAGTAAAGCCACTTTCTAAGGACATGGAGAAATTCAGAACACCAAGCCGCCCAGGTTTCCTGGCTCCCAGTCTTGGCACACAGTGCTCCACCTTGCTGGGTAATTCAGGTATGAATCTGCAGAAAGATGGTTTTAGCTCACAGGGCGCTCTTCTATTAAGCTTATCTAAAATGCTTAAATTTAAAAATTTTCCCATTAGGAGGCATGGAAATATTTGAAAACTAAATTGTGGTGATGGTTGCACAAATGTATCAATTTATTATACGAAAAGTCAGCCAGGCACAAGGGCTCATGTCTGTAATCCTAGCACTTTGTTTTTTGTTCGTTTGTTTGTTTGTTTGTTTGTTTGAAATGGAGTCTCACTCTGCTGCCCAGGCTAGAGTGCAGTGGCATAATCTCAGCTCACTGCAACCTCCACCTCCTGGGGCAAGCCATTCTCCTTCCTCAGCCTCCTGAGTAGCTGGGACTGCAGGCACGTGCCACCACCCCCAGCTAATTTTTGTATTTTTAGTAGAGACAGGGTTTTGTCATGTTGGCCAGGCTGGTCTCAAACTCCTGACTTCATGATCCGCCCGCCTTGGCCTCCCAAAGCTCTGGAATTGCAGGCGCGAGCCCTGGCGCCCAGCCAATCCCAGCACTTTGGGGTCACTTGAGGCCAGGAGTTTGAGACCAGCCTTGGCAACATAGTGAGATGCTGTCTACAAAAAAAAAAATTAAAAATTAGCCAGGCGTGGAGGTATGAGCCTATAGTCCCAGCTACTCAGGAGGCTGAGTGGAAGGATCACTGGAGTCCAGGAGTTTGATGCTGCAGTGAGCTATGATTGCATCACTGCACTCCAGCCTGGGTGACAGAGTGAGACGCTGTCTCAAAAATAAATAAATAAATAATCAAAGTCATCAAACTGAATACTCCCTAAGGGTGAATGTAATGGTATGTAAGTCCACCTCCATAAAGTTATTCTAAAAAGAAAAAGCATTTGCTTATAAGGGAATCGTTCTTTGAACCTCGAGCCTGTAAGAGTTTGCCTATCATTAAAGAGAAGTAGAAAGAAAGAAACTAAGGTGTTAACAACGGAATCATTGGCAATTTCAACATTTTCTTCTTTGCTTATCTATATTTTCTCATTTTTCTACCATGGACATATATTATTTGCCTAATGAAAAGGAGGCATCAAATCTTATAAATCATTGGCACTGTGATGCTACAGATTACTTTCTGCCTTTTCATGGACTATTTCATTCCTGTTTTTCCACTGTGAATATTTAATTTAGCTCAAAAATTCCACAACTATTTATGGAATGCTTATTTTGTGCCAAGCACTGTCCTAGGCACGGCAGGAAATGGAAAAATTAATAAGACATGATCAGATCTCTTCTGTCCTGTTGGAGAGACAGATATCCACACAAAGAATTGTACTGCCAGATGGTGTGGATTACAGGCGCAGAGACGGAAGTAGAAGGTGCAAGGGGAGTTCAGTTAATTAATTAGTCAGCAAAACTGCTTTTTAAAGGAATCCCTGTTACTATTGCAAACACTTGTGCAGAATTAATCCCTCTGGCCTTACAAGCTTGCCAGATCTCTGGTGGCCTGAGCTATGTGGGTAGGTGGGACTTTTTTGGTAAAGAGCTAATGGTTACTGGGCATTCACTATGTGATGGGCATTGTGGTTTACATTCATTTAACCTTCACAACTGCCCGAGGCTAATTTAGTGCTTAATCGTAAGGAGGGGAGTACAGAATACTGGTTAGAAGACCAGTCTCTGCAGCCAAGCCACCTGGATTCCAATGCAGTTCTACTGCTCACTAGTTATATAACCTCCAACAAGTTTCTTAACCTCTCTGTGCCCCAATTTCTTTATCCATAAAATGGGGATAATAATAGTACACACCTTGTAGGATTTGTGGCCAGAACTGAACACATCATTACACACTCACAGTCCCTGACAAACAGAAAGCTCTCTAGGATGTTACTATCTTATATTTACATTCCACCAAATACATATTCATGCTACTTTGCATTTCCTTTTTCATGTACTGCTTCCATTATTTTTCCTAAAAAGCCAATTATGACAATGATTCAGCACACATTTTTGATCGCCCACTATGTACCTGATACTGTTTGCCTGCTGGGAAAGCAAAGATAAATAGCCATGACTCCACCCTGAGGGTGCTCGTAGGTTAGTGCAGGAGAGAAGCACAAACACAAATAACACGACAGAGCTGGTAATTAGGAACAGTGGTTGCCTAAGTTGCCCTAAAGTCCCAGAAAACGTTTCTCTCTCTCTGTCTGTCTCTCGTTGTTAAAATGTGTTTCCCATTATCCTGTTTATAGTATTTGCTCGCAAAGGAAACCGGAAACTAACATTCTCTGGAAGTCTGCCATGCGCCTGACATAGTGTGATCATCCATAAGAGCAGAAGTTTCCCCATGTGCCAGGCACCCTGCTGAGCACTGGCTACACATTATCTCCTTTATTCCTATAAATGAAGTACAGTTATTATTATCCTCATTTTACGTATAAGGAAACTGAGGTCTTTCTCTCAGAAGTCAAATAATTCCCCCTAGGTTATACCACCAAGAAATTACAAAGCCAAGGTTCAAACCCAAGCCCGTCTTCTCAACAAAATGCCATACCTCCTCCCAATGTAAAATTCTATATGCCATCTAATTTAATTCTCACAATAACTCTTTGAGATAGATGGTATTATGCCCACTTTTATGCCTGAGGAAACTGGGATTTGAAAAATTAAATTATTACCCCAAGGTCAAAGAGTTAGTAAGTGACAGGCCCAGCTGCCTCCAAAGCTGTAGTCTTTGCCTAGATAATGCAAAGACTCCTGTTGCCTCCTGCACAGGGTGAAGTTGAATTTTCACCCAGGCCTGGGAAAAAGCCCCCTGGATTGGGATAGAGGAGAGGAGAATTCCAGTCTTGACTCTGCCACTTATTAGCACATGGCCTTGGACAAATTTCTTTCCCTTTCGGGGTGTTGGGGTATATCTATCAAAAGATAATTTGGGGCTAGACACGGTGGCTTACACCTGTAATTCCAGCATTTTGAGAGGTCGAGGTGGGTGAATCACTTGAGGCCAGGAGTTCGAGACCAGCCTGGCCAACATGGTGAAACCTTATCTCTACTAAAAACATAAAAAAATTAGCTGGGCATGGAGGTGGGCGCCTTTAATCCCAGCTACTCAGGAGGTTGAGGCACGAGAATTGCTTGAACCTGGGAGGCAGAGGCTGCAGTGAGCCGAGATCGCATCACTGCATTCCAGCCTGGGCAACAGAATGAGACTCGGCCTCAAAAAATAAAAATAAAAATAAAGTCTTTAATAAGATAATTTGGGTGTCACCCTTCCCAAAAGTCTCCAAAGAGATGTCATAAACAATAGGCTGAGACCAGGCTCTGCTGGAGTAAACCTAGGGGGGAGCCTGGTGTGATGCCCATGGAGGGAAAAGGGAGGAGGCTCCAAAGATAACACCCTCACAACTGTGTTCCAGCCACCTCTGATGGGAGAAGCTCTTCAGTCTTCCATCTGCCAGAGGCTAAGCTGCAGGAGGGCAAGTATATGACTTTTTTTTTCTTTCTTTCTTTCTTTCTTTCTTTTTTTTTTTTTTTTGAGTGGGAGTCTCACTCTGTCACCCAGGCTGGAGTGCAGTGGCATGATCTCAGCTCACTGCAACCTCTGCCTCCTGGGTTCAAGCGATTCTCCTACCTCAGCCTCCCAAATAGCTGGGATTACAGGCACCCACCACCACACCTGGCTAATTTTTGTATTTTTAGTGGAGTCGGGGTTTCACCATATTGGTCAGGCTGGTCTCAAACTCCTGACCTCATGATCCACCCACCTCAGCCTCCCAAAGTGCTGGGATTACAGGTGTGAGCCACCGCACCCAGCAGTATGTGACTTCTTTGACACTGACTTAGACATTCTATTTTATCTTTGTCATCATCAGCAAACATACATGGAATGCCATGGATCAGGTTCTAGGGTTATAAACAGTCCCTGTCTTATTGAAGAGAAAGGGCACACACTTGACGAAGGAAATAGGAAAGTACGAAAGAATAGGCCAAGGCAATGAATGCCCATGAGGGCTTAGATAAGGAAGCAGGGCTGGGAGAAAATGGGAAAGACTTTGTAAATCAGGATAAAATTGCCCTGGGTGGGGACATGAAAAAAAGTAAGAAGGAGAAATGAGGGCATTTTGGCTTAAGGTATCTCTGGGAGGCAAAAATGGATATTGGATAGTTGGAGGCTCATTAGTAGACCAATTACCTGTAGTGGAGGGCTTGCAAGATGAGCTGAAAAGCTAGAGTTCATCCATGGAAGATGAAATGTGTGAATTAAGAAAACAGCTTTAATCCCTTTACCAGTAGGCACCCTCAAAAACTTGTAACCAGGAGAGTGATGTGATTGCAATGGGGTTTCACAATATTACCCAACGCCAAGTATAACAAACAGGTTAAAGTGAGGCAAAAGATAAACAGTCAAGGAAAATATGATGAGGATAAGAAAAGGCTAGTGGATTTGGAAAATGAGGTGGCAGTGATGATCTTGCCATGGCACTACCAGAGTGACCTGGATGGAAACCAGGTCACAAAGGAAGGAGGAATGGGTAGGTCATGCCAAGGTGAAGAGCCTTCACAATTCCAGGGAGATGCTTCTGAGGGGAGGGAAGGTCGGTAGGTTATGGAACAGGTTCAAGGAAAGGTGTATTTTCCTTCCCAACAGGTTAAAGACAGAAAGAAACATGCCAGTAGAGAAAAGAAATAAAGGCGATTAAAAAAAAAAAAAAAAAGCTGAGTGGTGGGGAGAGTGGTTAAGCAAGACCCTACAAAGTTTTAAGGTTTGGATACAGAGGCACATGAGTAAGGCTATACAGCTCTCCCCATAAACTCAACCAGCCTTATGTCCCCACAAAATAGGATATGAGGTTATTGGCTATGAGAGATAGAGATGGAAGAGAGATGGTGTTTTGGTTTGGGTATCCCAAAACAGACTCCAGGATGAGGATTTGGGACAATTAGTTTACGTGGGAATTGATTCCAGAAGCAACCGTAAGGGAGTGGAGAGATGAGATGGAAGGGAAGGTGCTCAGCAAAGGATGCCCTCTCAGGCCAGTGTCTGCCATGGTGTCTGCAGCTTTGTCCAGTGGAGAACTCCAGAAACCAGCACAGAACACACCTCTCAAAAGTATCCTTCTAGAAAGGTGAGAAAGCCGGCTCATTGATCCGCCAGCTCCCACCAGTGTTTGGTTTGGGGGTGCTTCTAAGGGTCACATTAGGGGGCAGTGCCATGGACACAGCCGCTCTGGCAGCCAGGCGCAGGTGGTTGGAAGCATGCCTGGACAGAGCACAAGCTGAGAAGGTATGGATCCAGCTTGAGAGCATCTGCTAGAGATGGGAAGTTGGGTTAAAAAATGTTCGCAATAGACAAGCTGAGGTGTGTAATAATGGTTCTTCAGGGATACGTAAAAGGGGTCCTTAGCAACAGTGAGAGTCAGCTTAGATTAAAGGGCATGATTTGTAACAACAAAACAGAGCAAAACTTAGGACCCAATCAGATTCCAGAACCACTTTGCCATCTGAGAGACGAGTCCAGGGAATGGCAGATTCCACGTGCGGATGATCAAGATGAGCTATGATTAAGCATGGGCAAAAAAGAGCAAAGCAGGAAGTCAGGGGATGAAAACGTCCCAATGGCTGGAGACCCAACAATGGGCTGGTTGTTGTGGCATTTGGACACATTATGGAGGTATCAAAGCAACACCACCATGGACCTATAGACCTGGAATTGGAAGATTATTGGTTCCAGTGGCCTCATTCAACTATGAAAGAGCTGAGAGGAACAGAGAGGGAAAGTGACTTGGACAATGTGGCATGGCTAGTGAATTTCAGTTCCAGTATTTATACTCCATGTGCCCCACCATTGCCTTGGGCTGCTTTATCTTGGGGCACATCCCAAGGATCATGAAAGGTTGACTCAAGGGAGGGAAGCAGGTAAAGAGGGTAAAGAGGGTGCAATCAGAGCATGACTGAAGCTGACACAGCTGCCTGGTGGGCTCTGATGCAAAGTTACAGCCTTAAGTAGCAGTTGATGGTATGGCTGCGCCTTTAGGGTAGCAGTGCATCCAGTACTCAGAGAGGAGAGGGGGCAGTCTGGTGGGAAGATCATCCTGTGGATGTATCTCGAAGCTATGTTTGCTAAGAAGACAATTGTCTTATCTTCGATTTTGGGAGAATTCACTTAGGGAAGGTATTGATGGAGATTATAGGGAGTGAGCTAGAGCCCACTCCTGAATTGCAACAAACATCCCTTTGTGGTGCTTTCAGGGATCCAAACAATAGACGGATCATTGATACGGATGTCCAGAAGAATAGCGTGTAGAGGAAATGTTTGGTTTCAGTAGTTTAGCCCTAAGGAGTGAGGAATTTGTTTGGTTAGACATACTGAAGATAAAAACTATACTTCTGAGAATAAGCCTAAAGCCTGTGAGTCTCGAAAGCCAATCTTCTGAGCTTCACTGAACCCCAGAACCCCATGTGCCCCTTTTCCCCATTTCCCACATTGGTAAGACATCGTGAGGGGTAGACGCTCACTCTCTGATGGTTTGTCACTTGCCTGGGGCTGGGGCAGAGTTTAGGGATGGGGTAGAGTGAGGCATTGCCCATGTGGGATCATGCTCAGAAATGGTATATCAATTCAATGTTGTCTCTATGAACCAGTCCTCTACAACCAGGACTGAGGCTCTGTTGGTCTCCTGCCTATAGCCTCTGTGATATTTGTGGAGTGAGCATGCCATTAACCCAAGTTAATGGCTATTGCAACTTATTTTTATGGTATGCGTATCTTTACCAAAATAAACAACAACCAAGAAAAGGCATTTAGTTGATGGTAGACGAACAATAATACAGAATTGGGACCACAGAGGAGCCATAAGCTGGCTGCCCTCCTGTCTCAGGGGACGGGGAGGTGAAGTTTTCCAAGGAAGAACAGCTCCTGGTGCACAGGTATTCGGGGTAAGCGGAAGGATAGATGGGCCTGAGCGTGCATGGGAAAGGAACCAGCTGCAGGAGAGTCTTTGCTTAGAAAAAAAAGAAACAAATGAAACCTCAAGATGTCAGCAATGGAAGGGATTAGAGAGAATGGGGGAAAACCATGGGAGGGAGCAGTGGGAAGGGGCTCAGTTGGACGAGATATGCATTGGGGTGGAGCTGGCATGGGGGATGTTACCAAGAGAGTGAGTGAGTGAGTTTATTTATTTATTTATTTATTTATTTATTTATTTGAGATAGAGCCTCACTCTGTCACCCAGGCTGTAATGCAGTGGCGCGATCTCGGCTCACTGCAACCTCTGCCTCCCAGGCTCAAATGACTCTCCTCTCTCAGCCTCCCAAGCAGCTGGGATTACAGGCGCGTGCCACCACGCCTGGCTAATTTTTGTATTTTTAGTAGAGACAGGGTTTCACCACGTTGGCCAAGCCAGTCTTGAACTCCTGACTGCAAGTGATCTGCCCGCCTCAGCCTCCCAAAGTGCTGGGATTACAGGAGTGAGCCACTATGCCTTGCCAGGAGATTATTATTTTTTAAGCAAATAGTTTAGAGAAGGCATTGAGACCTAATTCTCATTTTAAGTATCGTCTCTGCTGTGCTCCGCAGTACGTGGCCATAAGAAACCCGTGACACCCTCCCCTGGAACTGTACCCACGTCCCACACGGACAGATGCTTCACTCCTCCACTTCTTGGCAGTACTTCCTACAGCCCCTGGGTGAACTTCTCCAGCTGGCTGTGATCGACCTCCAGAGGGCATGACCGTGGCTGAGACTCAGCTTTTCATGTTCCCAGCTCTGGCTTAGGGAGTCACCCCAAGGAAGCAGCAGATTAAGGAGAAATGTGGACGCATCCTTCCTGAGTGTTGGTTCCCCCAGAGAGATGACAGACCCCATGGCCAGCACTTCAACATATATTGAGCTGTGGGAATTAGAATCTAGGACAATTTGGGAGAAAAAAGGCTTTTGTCTTTAAGGCGTTTACAGCTTAAGGAGAGGATATCATATTCCATAGCTGTGACAAATCAAAAAATTAAAAGTAGTCTTTCCAAGGATGGTTTCAGTAGTTTAGCCCTAAGGAGTGAGGAATTTGTTTGGTTAGACATACTGAAGATGGAGACTATACTTCTGAGAATAAGCCTAAAGACTGTGAGTCTCGAAAGCCAATTTACACACCACGCAGAAAACTGACGGGTCTCAGGAAAACTAAAATGAGGAAAGCCAGCAGAGGCCCAGGCAGACGTCAAATTAATCTCTAGAAACAGAGGACAATCTGCTTTGGCTTGGCAAAAATTAAAATAGAACTTAGTTGAGCTTCAGTGTGAATGGAGGTGGGGAGAGTTCCTTCCTTTCTGTTGATGGGATGTAAAACCCTCACTAGCCAACAAGCTCCCCCAGGAAAGACAATGCCACATGCCTTCATTGCCCTGGTGAGTTGTGGGATGTCTGTCCCTCAGCAGGGTCTCAGTTACTGTGTGTTGAATGAATGATGGATCCAATAGAAGAAAAAAGAAGTGAAAAGAATGACTGGATAAAGCCCCATTCCAGCCCATGTTCCCCTGATAACAGTAATAAAATGAAGGACAGACTGGACTGAATTATTACGGTACTTTAACTTTGTTTAACTTTGTGAAAACACTATGTTTAGCTAGGATAATGGGAGTACTTGGACTGGTAATAAACAAATAAATGAGCAAAGCAATAATGTCTTACATTTGAAGTTATTTACAGCTTACAAAGCTATTACACACACATTTTTTCCATAAGAGCCTGTAAACCACCCTGTGGCACAGGCATGACAAATATTACTTTCCCCTTTTGAAGAACAATGAAACTGCAATTTAAATAACTTAAATAACTACAATCACAGTGCTCAGGGTGGCAGAGGACAGATTTAAACCCAGGGCTGAGTCCAAACACTCTTCCCGACCTGTGGTTCTGGCTCTCACGGGGGCCTACACTCTGGAAAAAATAATTCCACTCCTGTGTTCAGCCTGGTCCACTCCTCGCAGAATCTTCTTTTTCAATCTAGGTATCCGGGAATAACATTTGGTCCTGTTTTGTGTGAGTTTTAAATTTTGTGCAAATTATGCAATTAAATTACAAAACATGTAACACAAGCCTTCGTGTCTTCTCCCACAAACAAAAACATCCACTTATCACATCTCTGTGAATATCAGAAATTCCCCCGATTTTCCCTTTGGGCCTTCTCATGTTGTGTCTGGTCATTTACTTGCTCATTTCCCCAGACACTGGGCTTCCTTTTTTGAATTTAAACATTTTGTTATGCCATTTGTTGCTGCACTCACTTCAAATCTCTATTCTATGCTACTTTACCCCAGGGCCCTGGAGTGACTTTCTTTGAAGCTGGTGTCCACTCACTCTTTCTCTCCAGAGCTTTGGCCAGCTAGCCCCAGAAATCTTCCAGTGGCCCATCAGAGAGCAAGCTGGCAGAGCTGTCACTCCCGCCATGGAAGTCAGGTAAGGTCCCCAGGGACTGTTAGTGCACACATCTCATGAGACAGCTTTGCTAACCTGTCACTTTCTACTCTATGGAGATGGACTTTTTCTTTGTCTGTCCTCATTTTCTTTCTTTTTAATTGACTGCCTCATTTCCCAGGGGGATTTTATAACCGTCACACTGCACCATCTTCATTACTCTGCTCTTTTCACGGGTCTCACTAAGGCTTTCTCTTCTGTTGCAGTTGGTGCCTTTACACTTCAGCCCGCCTCCCACCCACTCAGCCTTCTTAGGTTGCTTGCTTCTTCCTGCCCGGTTGGATGTCAGGAGGAACATCAGAGACTCTCCAGTCCCGGGATTCCTAACCTGGAGCCCCTGGGGCCCATCAGTGAGTTTCACAGGCACATAGTGGGGCAGCTATGATGGTTTGAAGTCCCATGTAACATCCCCATTTTTCTGGGGAGAGAATCCATAGATTCCCATTTCCATCCCATTCCCAGACCCTTCATTTTGCAGATGCATAAACAGAGGCCCATAGCAAGTTGCTGGATTGGAGAGGAGAGCTGCCTTTTGGGACATCAGTCCTGTGTGCTTGGCTATATCTCTGTGGATTCCCCTGCCCTGGAGGTTTCCCAAGGGAAGAGAAGGCTTTTCCTTTCTCCTGAGCTTTTCTCTTTGTCTTCTTGCTTTTCCACATGGACACACACAACACACACAGGGACACACACATTAGGCACTTCCTTATACTTGTACTGCATTCAGGGCCGACTACATCATTTGTGAGGCCAAAAGCAAAATGGGACGTGGAGACTGGCAGGGGGCGGGGAAGTGGATCTCCCCTTCCTGTAGATGAGCCACTGCCTCAGCCTGTAGAGGACAGGCTATCTCCCCAGGAGTTGCAACCTTGATGCCAGGGTGCCAGGGTGCCTGGGTGCCAGGTTCCCTGGAATGAGGGTGAATGAGAGGCTCATACTCAGTTGTCCACTGCAAAAGCCACAGCACTGCAACCCTGAGGAGGGACATAACCTTGCCCCATGTGAGATACTGCGGAACGTGCCCAACTCCAGCCCTGTCTGTGGCTGCATCCAGGCCAGGACGACTAATAGTGGAACGTGGCCCATCAACACACTGGGCAGAAGGTAGCCACCACTATGGAGTTGGGGGTGGGGAGGGGGAGGCCAGATTGGGCTGTAGAGAACCCATCCCAGGGAGACAGTCGGGGGTGGGCCGCAGGTGAGACGAGGTGTCAAGCCTCCTGTGCATTATCCCACCAGACTTGAAATACAAACACAGCTAAAGAAAAAGTATTAAGATTCTCAAGGAGGCAATAGCAGAGCATCAGACCCAAGCACTGATCCTTCTGCACTAGCATGTGCCATGAAGCCACTCTGACATGTTTCAAAGCACGACAGCATCCTTGCCTTATGTGCCCCCCTAGGCAGCTCTTTGAAGTCATTAGCTCAGGTGTGCCTTAAGACTCATCTTACAGACAAGACTTCAGACATTACACATCGCCTAGGCACAGGAGTCTCGGATCAGAGAGTTCAAACGTGGGCTCAGCCACTCACATCGCCCCTCTGGGCCTCAGTTTCCTAATTTGCCAAAGGGGACTAATCATCCCTTCTTCAGGGTTGTTGTGTGATTACAACAAATTGCATATAGAATGCCTTCTATAGTGCCAGTGGCAGTCAGAGTGCTCAATAAATGTAGGTATCAGCTTTTCCCAAAATCCCATTCATGAATGCCCTTCACTAATTTTCAGTATTCATATGCCATGTGTACCATTATTGGCTTAATACTTTAAATTTAAATCTACCTAATTTTTACACTTTAATAAATTTACTTTATAGGGTAGCTTTATTCTACTGTCAAAAATGAAAGACAAATATTATTCATCTTAAGTATAAATTAATCATAAAAATAAGTGCATGGGCCAGGCACAGTGGCTCACGCCTATAATCCTAGCACTTTGAAAGACCAAGGCGGTACCGGGTGTAGTGGTTCACACCTGTAATCCCAGCACTTTGGGAGGCCAAGGCAGGTAGATCATCTGAGGTCGGGAGTTTGAGACCAGCCTGACCAACATGGAGAAACCCCGTCTGTACTAAAAATATGAAATTAGCTGGGTGTGGTGGCACATGCCTGTAATCCTAGCTACTCAGGAGGCTGAGGCAAGGGAATCACTTGAACCTGGGAGGCGGAGGTTATGGTGAGCTGAGATCGCCCCATTGCACACTAGCCTGGGCAACAAGAGCGAAACTCCGTCTTAAAAAAAAAGAAAAAGAAAAAGAAAGGTGGGTGGATCAATAATTTAGGCCAGGAGATCAAGACAAACCTGGCCAACTACTAAAAATATAAAAATTAGCCAGGTGTGGTGGCAGGTACATGTAGCCCCAGTGACTCGGAAGGCTGAGGCAAGAGAATTATTTGAATTGGGAGGTGGATGTTACAGTGAGCCAAGATAGCACCACTGCACTCCAGCCTGGGCAACAGAGCAAGACTCTGTCTCAAAAAATAAGTAAACAAATACATAAACACATGGAAAATGACAATGGTATGAAAATCTAGCCAGATAACTTGGCTAGCTTAGAGTCTGTACTTCCTCTTTGTTAAGGAAGGAAATTAGCAAGTGTTTAATACTTAGTCCCCCTGAGACTTAATCTGCAGGGAATAATATGTCCTTATTCAATTCAATGTTTTTTTGTCTGTTTGTTTGTTTGGAGACAGGGTCTCACCCCGTCACCCAGGCTGGAGTGCAGAGGGTGATCATGGCTGACTATAACCTCCAGCTCCTAGGCTCCAGCAATCCTCCCACCTCAGCCTCCTGAGTAGTTGAGACTACAGGCACATGCCACCATACCCGGCTAATTTTTGTGTTTTTGTAGAGGTGTAGTCTCCCTTTGTTGCCTAGGCTGGTCTTGGACTCCTAGCCTCAAGTGATCTTCCCACCTCGGTCTCTCAAAGTGCTGGGATTACAGGCGTGAGCCACCGCGCCTGACCCATTCAATGTTCTTTAATGCCTTACTAGTCATGTACCAGTTAACATCTCTCGTACCATGATTTGCCTGCTAGACTTTGGGAAGTAGCAAACATGAAGTTTGGAAGTGATAGAGTCAAAATTCACAACACATGTATCGTGAATGCAAAAAAATAAAACCCACACAAACTAATACTACATGCTATTCATGGACACATGGATTGAAAGAATTCACATCAGTTCCTTGATAGTGACTGCCTCTGAAGAAAGAGAGAAGAGGAAAGGGCTGAGGGTTGTGTCAAATTTTAACTATCATCGAAATGTTTAATTATTTTATCAAGAAAGTTTGAAACAAATGAAAAAAATTTTTTACAGTTGTTTATTCTGCATAACAAGGACATCTATATTTAATAATCTTTATATGCATTTTTAAAAGAAAATAAAATTTAAATTTTCTTTTAAAAGAATAAATTTTAATATGTAAAAGAAAATAAAGAGAAAGAAGAAAAAGTTTGATCAGGCAAAATGCTCCCAGAAATAGTTGCTGGGAAGAATTCAACATACGCTGATAAGTAAGGGACTGTATCAGTCAGCTTGGGCTGCTGTAACAAACAGCACAGACCAAGGTCAGGAGACTGTTCTATAAACAACAGAAATTAATTTTTACAGTTCTGGAAGCTGAAAGTCCAAGGTCAAGGTATCAGTGGAGTTGTTGTCTTCTGAGGTCTCTCTCCTTGGCTTGTAGATGGTCCTTGGCTTGTAGATACCATCTTCTTCCTGTGTCCTCACAGCTTCTTCCCTCTGTACATTATTTCTGTGTCCCCATTTTCTCTTCTCTTTTTTTTCTGAGATAGAGTCTCACTCTGTTACCAGGCTGGAGCACAATGGTGCAATCTCATCTCACTGCAACCTCCACCTCCCGGGTTCAAGCAATTCTCCTGCCTCAGACTCATGAGTAACTGGGATTAGAGGAGCACACCACCACACCCAGCTAACTTTTGTATTTTTAGTAGACACGGGGTTTCACCATGTTGGCCAGGCTCCTCATTTCTTCTTCTTATAAAGAAACCAGTCAAATTGGATTAGGGCTCACCTTAATCACCTCTTTAAAGGTTTTTGTCTCTAAGTACAGTGACATTCTAAGGTACTGGGGTTAGGTCTTTAGCATATGAATTTCGGGGGGAGACAAGTCAGCCCATAACCGGGACTTTCACTGGTGCCCCCTGCTGACTTCCCTCTTCATCCAGGAGCCTCTCACCTCTCCTTACTGACTCTGCTGCTCTTCCCTCCTCTTTCCAACATTCAGGCAGGATCTTCTGACTGCTCCACTGCCTGCTCCTTGCTGACCCTTCCTGGCTTCACCCCTGCTTCCTCTAGCCAATCTGCTGAGGACCTCCCTCCTCACCCAGCTCAGCCCTGACTGCTGCCCGAGTCCACTCCCATCTGTGGAGCCTCCACTCAGGAGCCCATGAATCAGCTTCCACCCAAGCTCCACTCTACAGCTCCATGCAGCTCAAACTACCTGCTCATGAACAACAACCAGAAGATGTTCCTCCCGTCTCAGATCAAGCCATCAATGCCCTTTCTCCTCTCTCTGGTCTCACTTCTTGAGATATGTCTGCCACGGGTATGTCTGTGGCATTCCTCTGCCCATGTTCTCTCTGTACCTCTTATCATTTTGAAGTCACAGGTTGTATCAGTCAGCATCCAATTAGGAAAGCAGAAAGCTCTCTAGACACTTACACAGGGGAACTGTAACACAGGGAACTCTTTACGTGGAGAGGGAGAGCTGAGAGGGCGGAGGACGGTGAGGAGCATGAAGGTGGTAGGTCATGCGCACCAGGGCAGCACCCTAGAGAAGGTTCAGCAACCAGACAGAGGGAACCCTGTTCATGGAGCTGCCACGCTGACTCTGACTTGTGTAAGCCCCGGCTGTTAAGTGGAAGAACAATGACCTTCTACTACATCTAAGCCACTGTTACTTGCAGTCTCTGTTAGGGCAGCCAAGCTCATACATAATGAATGCGTCTTTTTTTTTTTTGAGACAGAATCTCACTGTTGGCCAGGCTGGAGTGCAGTGGCACAATCTCAGCTCACTGCAAACTTCACCCCCCGGATTCAAGCAATTCTCCTGCCTCAGTCCCCCAGCTAGCTGGGATTACAAGCACATGCCGGGCTAATTTTTTGTGTTTTTAATAGATGTGGGATTTCACCATGTTGGCCTAGCTGGTCTCAAACTCTTGAGCTAAAGTGATCTGCCAGCCTCAGCCTCCCAAAAGTGCTGGGATTACAGACGTGAGCCACCACGCCCAGCTGCATCATTTTTTATATTGCTTGTTTTGGGGCAATTTGCAAAGACAAATTGCCTTTCCTTCCCATTCAGCTTGGCGACAGAGCCATGGCCATGGCCTTGCCATGTGAAATAGACTTGAGGCATTCATTATATTCAAATGAGTACTGGAGCTACAGTGACCAGCTGTGTCTGTTTGTCAAGGAAAAAGGGGTTTCCTGGGACATAGAATTTTCAGTGCTTACACAGGGAAAGTCCCCGGCAAACTACAGTGGGTTGGTGATCCTACCTGCTCCTTGTGCTTGTAGCAAGCATGTTTCTCAAACAGAAAAGCACCTGTCGGCATCCCTGGCCCTGGCCCTGTCCCCTCCCTCCCCGACACACAAACACACACACACACACATATACACCAGGGTCCAAACCACTGTGCAGGCGGCCACCTTCATCGAGCCTGGTTACCTCCCAGTGTCTCTGTGCTTGAGACACAGTGAGTTTTTCCCTGCCCACTGCTTCATTTCTGAAGAGAGTAAACATCGACTCAGCTGCGGCCTGCCCAGAGTCACCATCCCAGTGCTCTTCCAGCAGCTTTGGCCCTTTGCACCTGAGTCATTCTCCAAGATAAATTACGTTTCTCTGGATCTGAAGCTCACGTCACATTCCTTGCTTCTAGGAACTTGCTTGACCACAAATATGATTCTCTGGTCCCACGGTCTCTGCTGAGCTTCTGTGCTCCTCCTCTCTGCAGGAAAAACTCTGGGTGAGGGCGTCCTTCTTAGCAGAGTATGTCTCTCATCCTGCTTTCAAAGGTGTGCAGCTATTAATACATGGACTGGAAGGAACCGTGGACTGAGCTCTGTCCCCTGTGTTCGGAAACCTGCCTCTGCCTCTGTTCTCTCCATAACATTGGGTGGGTTGTTTCATCCTGCAGAGCCTCAGTTTTGGGGGGCTGAAAAATGGCCCCCCCAAAGGATATCCAAATCCAAATTTCTGGAGCATGCAAATGTTACCTTATTTGGAAAAAAGGTCTCTACGGATATAACTAAGTTAAGGATCTTGAGATAAAAAGATTATCCTGGTGAACCCCAAATGCCATCACAAATGTCCTTGTAAGAGGGAGGTAGAATGAGATTACACAGACAGAAGAGGGAGTCAAAGTGGCCCTTGAGACAGAGATTGGAGTGATGTGGCCACAAGTCAAAGAATGCCAGCAGTCACCAGAGTATGGAAGAAGCAGGACTGATTTTCCCTCAGGGCCTCCCAAGGGAACATGGTCCTGCTGTTATGTGCTGAATTGTGTCACCACCCCGAAAGTAATATGTTGAAGTCCCAACCCCCAGTGCCTCAGAATGTAGGTATATTTGGAGATAAGGTCTTTAAAGAGGTGTGTGAGTTAAAATGAGGCTGCTAGGGTGGGGTCCTGATACAATAGGACTGATGTCCTTATAAAAAGAGGAAGAGACTGGAGGCTGAGGCAGGAGAATCGCTTGAACCCAGGAGGCTGAGGTTGCAGTGAGCCGAGATAGCACCACTGCACTCCAGCCTGGGTGACAGAGCAAGATTCCATCTCAAGAAAAAAAAAAAAAAAAAAAAAAGAAAGAAAGAAAAGGAAGAGACAGCAGGGATGTGTATACACAGAGGAAAGACCATGTGAGGACAAAGAAGTGAGCAAGAGCCCCCTGCAAGTCCAGGAGACAAGCCTCAGGAGAAAAGTCCTGCCAACACCTTGATCTTGGACTTCCAGCCTCAGGAACTGTGAGAAAGTAAATTTCTGTCTTTTAAGCTGCCCAGTCTGTGTTTCTTTGTTATAGCAACCTTAACAAACAGATACACCTGCCAACACCTTGATTTCAGCCCAGCAATACTGATTTCAGACCTCTGGGCTTTAGAACTGCAAGAAAATATATCTCTGTTGTTTGAAGCCCCCCAGTTTGTGGTATTTGTTGCAGCAGCCCCAGGAAGCTAGTACAGGTGGTAGATAGTACCTACCTCACAGGCTTCTTTGAAAGATAGAGGGAGGTCACAGGTAGACCTGCTTGGCTTTGTGTGAGTACCCTCTACATTTTCGTGGCATCTGAATTCTCCTCTCATGGGGATTTTTCTATATGTTTATTTTTCTGCCCAAGTAGAAGCCAAAAAATAAAAATAAAAAATAAAAGCAAGACACACATGCCATGGTGGCATTTTGGGTCATCTTCTCTCCTTTCTTTTTTCGTGCCTGTTTCCTGCCTGAATGTTCCAGCTTCCTTCAATGGGCTCCATCTACCAGGGCTCCAGGTCAGCTAACAGTGAATTATTGACATATCTGCCTCATCACTTAATAGTAACACAATAGCTGACACTTATGGAATACTGATTCTGTGCCATGCCTTATGCTAAGTGCTTTACCTTCCTCTGAGCATCCCTTTAATATGGACTGCTATTATTCCAATTTTACACATAGGGAAATTGAGTCACACAGAGGTTAAAGAGTTTACCCAAAGAAGTGACAGACCTGGAAGACAAACTCAGGTTTTTGATACCCAAACCTACACCCTTACCCACTCTGACACCTTAGGAGGGGAGGGATCCACCTTATCTTAGTTAACTTTAACTCTTCACTGTGTGCTTGGAGCACAGTTTGGACTCAGTGAAGGCTTAATGGATGGACGGATGGATGAATGAGTAAATGGCACTTTGCATAGACCAAAGGAAAGTCAAGAAAATGTTCTTCAGCGCTTTGCTCTGTCCAGCTTCTCTTTAGCTTGACTCTGCTGCTATTGCTACCATGACAGTCCCGATCTATCCACCGTCATGCATGGCCCATACCCACACCACACCCTCTTTGTTCTCTGCCTCTTCTACTCTGGGGCAGGGAGAGTCTGAGTTGAGCAGCAGCACCTGCACACCCTCACCCTCCATCCACTCACCAATGGCCTCATAGCTCCTTGTGAATGGAAGAGACTAGAATTCTTAGGAGCCTAGTGAGAGAAGTCTAGATCCAGTGAGATTATGGAAATTGTGAGGGGCTGTGGACACGCCAGACATTATTGCTATCCCAATTTACAGAAGAGGACTTAGGTCCTCCTTTAACATCTCTAGACTTAGGTCTAGAGATGTTAAAGCCACAGAGAACTTGATGTTAAAAACATTTTTAAAAGAATGTAAAGTTAGTATAATAACTAGAATCTGGGAAAAAAATGTAACAAACTATTTTTTACTTCTCCAGAATAAACTAAGGGCTGATATAGTCAATGTGGGAGGAAGGAAGGGCAGGAGGAAGGAAGGGAGGAAGGAAGGAAGGAAGGAAGGAAGGAGGGAAGGAAAGAAAAGGGAAGGAGAAGGGAAGGGAAGGAAAGGAAAGGGAAGGGAAGGGAGAAAAGAAAAGAAAACTTGATGCTATTTTTGTTTCCCAATCAAGTGCCCTTTTCAACGTACCAAGTCAATAAGAAAGCAATCCAATCTAGAAGAGAGAAGATGGGACTTCAGAGCCTGGTTCCAATTCTTACCAGTTGTGTGTTTTTAGGCAAGTTATGTAAATTCCCTGAGCCTGAGTCCCTTTGCTCATGCAACACAAGAAGACTATCTACCCACCACCTGGCCAGGCTTTCCATCACTGAGAGACTTCTGGGAGAGAGGTTTTGATTTCAGAACTACATACATGAGAAATTGACAAGTTCCAATCTTGTCTGGGCTCACTGTACCTGCCAGTCTCGGCCCTTTGGGGGAAGAGGGTAGTTTCCTATTAGTGACGAGGAAAGGTCCTGAAAACCTTGGCTCTACATCAGTGACAGCTGCATCTGTCTCCAGATCAGAACTGGAAAAATGAAGAAAAATTAGCGACTAATTGGAACGCCTCCTTCTCTGAGTAATACCCTATAACATCACTTTGTAGTCAAGAAAATATTTACCTGGCAATTATATTTTAACATAGTCAGCTGTCCCTCCTTTGTGATGAATGCCTCATCGCTATGGAAAATAATCTCTTCTCTAAACTGTGTATTTCACGACTTAACCCCTGCCAAAAATGTGCTCCCATGTCCCTTTTCTTCTCTATAGTTTAAAACACACTTGAATGGAATGTGTTTTTAGACAGGATCTCGCTCTGTTGCTCAGGCTGGAGTGCAGTGGCACAATCTCAGCTCACTGCAACATCAACCTCCTGGACTCAAGCTGTCCTCCAACCTCAGCCTCCTGAGTAGCTGGGACCACAGGCATGTACCACCACGCCTGGATAATTTTTGTATTTTTTGTAGAAATGAGGTTTCGCCATATTGCCAAGGCTGATCTCAGACCCCTAAGCTCAGGGAATCCACCCGCCCCAGCCTCCCAAAATGTTGGGATTCCAGGCGTGAGCCCCTGCACCCAGCCCAAATGACGATTTAAATAGAAATCTGCAACATTTTCATTGAACATAAAATATTCCAGCCCCGATGTCATAATTACAAGCTCCTAGAGCAAGTTTCTCAACAGTGGCACTAGTGACATTTTGGGCTAGATCATTCTTCATTTTGGGGGCTGTCCCATGCATTGTAGGATGTTTGGCAGCATCACTGACCTCTACCCACTGGATGCCTGTAGTACCTCTCCTCCATGACAATAAAAGGTGCTGCAGACATTGACAAATGTCCCCAAAGATGTGGGGTGGGGGTGGGGAGACAAAACCATCCCCAGTAGAAAACTACTCTCCTAGAGGGAGAGCCTGGGCCTGGGGGCTTCTCTTTGCCCTGCCTCACCTGAAATTAAGTACTTTATAGAAATGCTTTTATGGCAGTGCAGCTGAATTAAGTATAGGAGTAAAGGTTGGGTGAACATGGAGGAAAATATATATATTATATGCCTCAAATACACAAAATGTACACATCTGAAAAGACTGTTTGCAAAGCTAGTTTCTGGAACATGATGCACAGTGAGTTTTTCCCGGGATTTCAATATTTAGTTAGGCATGTATGGCGATGCTGCAAAGTAGATCAGCTGCGACTGTTTGTGACTTAATGTGCTCTTCTTTAAAATGGCTGCTCTCCCAGACAAGTCCTCCTCCAATGTTGTTTGCTGTTATTCCATTCTGCTGCAAAAGGAAAAAGAGTTTCACTGTAGAAATTCCTCATCAACTTGTTAAAATTTACGGAGAATGTTTTGAGTCTATGGAATGTATAAAAATGGTGTGGGAAGCAAGGGGAAGGGTGGGAAGAAGCCAGGCTTGCTTAGGGCAGAAGGTGGTTCTCCACATTTGACTGAGCTGGTGCTGGAAGCCACATCTAGCAGCATGATGTGCTTGAATCTCCTGGCAGTTGAGAGAGAGCTAAGTATTGCTTGGAATAACTGGCTTAGTGGGAAGAGGCTTGGACTGGAAGTCAAGAGTCCTGGGTTCCTGTCCTGGTTGGTCCCTTTTGGTTCCAACATTCTAATATCTGACAACTGCTTCATGTGATATGTTGTTATGATAATGACCACTGATGAGTCATGCTTCCCCTGTGCCCTCCTCTCTTCACTCTGTCAGTTTATAGATGTACTGAGAGATGGAATCCATTTTTCCATCCCTTGGACATGGGTTGCCCTTGTGACTGGCTTTGATCAATAGAATATGGCGGAAATGTCCCAGTGTGAATCTCTGAGCTGATCTTTAAGGGATCTTGCATTGTAGATGTTACTTTCACTCTCTTGGGACACTGTCATTGCCATGTTTAGAGGCAAGGTCTAGCCTCTTTCAGGATAAAGGAGACAGAGGCCCAGCCGGCTGCACAAACCTGCCTGCTGCATGCAGCTGGACAGGGAGCCCCATGAGGCCAACAGAAGACCTGCTCGGTAAACCCACAGAACTGGAAAAACTAATAAATCGTGCTTGTTTGATGCCACTAAGTTTTGCAGTGGCTTGTTACGCAGCAATAGATAGATGAGCAGCTTGTTGAAAGATCGCTTTTAAGAAACACCTTATAAACAACCTTCTGCATGTTCACCACACCCCAGCAAAACCCCCTCCTTTTCCCTACTGTTAACTCTTTTTCTCTCAAACTAGAACAAACTTTCAGCCTTTTTTCTCTCTTTTTTTTCTATCCAAGGGAAAATGTCTACATTCATTTGCTCTCTTCCATCCTTGGGGCTGGGACCTGTGGGGATGCAATAAAGGCATGAGCAAAGTCACCTTCAGCCTCTAGTGTGTGTGTGTTGGGGTGTGTCTCCTGAGAAAAACAGAACTTTCATCTCAGGAAAAATTTCAGTTTGTCCAGGCTGCTAAGGAAGACGTCTTCAAGAAGGAGGATGCCTGTCTTGACCGCATGGTCAACAAAAGAAAATGACCAGGCATGGTGAGTCACTCCTGCAGTCCAGCTATTTGGGAGGGTGAAGTGGAAATATCATTTGAGTGCACTTGAGCCCAGAGGTTGAGGCTGCAGTAAGCCATAGTCGTGCCACTTCACTCCAGCCCGAGCAATAAAGTAAGACTGTGTCAGAAAGAAAGAAAGAAAGAAAGAAAGAAAGAAAGAAAGAAAGAAAGAGAGAGAGAGAGAGAGAGAGAGAGAAAGAAGGAAGGAAGGAAAGAAAGAAAAAAGAAAGAAAGAAAGAAAGAAGGAAAGAAAGAGAGAGAGAAAGAGAGAAAGAGAGAGAAAGAAAGAAAGAAAGAGAAAGAAAGAAAGAAAGAAAGAAAAAGAAAAAAAGGAAGGAAGGAAAGAAAGAAAGAGAAAGAAAGAAAAAGAAAGGAAGGAAAGAAAATTGTAGATACTGAATAGTGACATGTGTGATCTGCCTGTTGCTAAGATATCAACTGTATCTTGGTCTTTTTCTGCTTCCCTTCTTTTCCTTCTCTGTTTTATCCCTAATCTCTATTCTATGACGTTTAGAATGTAGTTATTCTAGCACTCTCTATTTCCTAAGGACCCACAAAAGGAAACAGAATAGAGTCCATGAAGACTGTCTGAGGAGTTCATCTACTGACAGTCTATCTCCAGTCCACTGAAAGTAAGAAGGCCTGTGTGGATGACCTTGGTATGTCTTGATATGACCTTGATATGTTCCTGATTGTATTATTCTTTTTCCACAGCACATAAAACATTCTACTGTGGAAATCAGAAAAAGCAAGATTATCTTAGGAGAAACACAATCTCTCGTCTTAAAGATGAAAGGACTGCACCTTGAGAGGCCCTTCCTGTTGAGTTGTCATCTGAACAAATCAGAGTGGTGGTTGAGGACACCAGATGTATTATTTCCTGCCACAGCAAATTGGAGGGCTCGCACTGTTCCACCGCCATCAACTTAGGAAGCAATTGAATTTGTTGATTATCTTTGCAAGAGGGAGAAGCTTAGCATCAATGAAGACATTGGTATTTGGTAGGTATTCATTTAATCTCTGATCGATCTTATATAATGAGTTATATTATTCTCTCCCTTGGGGCTGCATTTTGCAGTTTTTGTCATAAAGGCAATTCAAACAGGGTAGATCCTGAAAAAAGAAAATCAGAATTGTAAGAAATAGCACTATAGAAGCTATAATAAAATTTTTTCTCGGCTGGGCGCGGTAGCTCATGCCTTTAATCCCAGCACTCTGGGAGGCTGAGGCGGGCGGATCACGAGGTCAGGAGTTCCAGACCATCCTGGCTAACACGGTGAAACCCCGTCTCTACTAAAAATACAAAAATTAGCCGGGCGTGGTGGCATGCACCTGTAGTCCCAGCTACTCGGGAGGCTGAGGCAGGAGAATCGCTTGAACCCAGGCGGTGGAGGTTGCAGTGAGCCAAGATTGCACCACTGCACTCCAGCCTGGGCGACAGAGTGAGACTCTGTCTCAAAAAAAAAAAAAAAGTTTTCAGGAGTGAACAGGTGATAACAGATAACAGCTGGTCTAATAAAGTTTCAGATTAAAGTAGTTTTTTAATATTATGTGGAATTGAACACGGTAGTTTCAATCTACCAATAATACAAGAGTTACAACAGTTTTCAACATTGAGTGTGTGTGTGTGTGTGTGTGTGTGTGTGTGTGTGTGTGTGTGACTCTGTTGACATCCCAGTGTGTTCCTCCTTATGCCAGTGTATGCCAGCTATATGTGTGGGCAAGAGGAAGGGCTGGCTCTGAAACTTCCCCAGTATGATAACGCTACTCTTTGGCATTTGCTACAGAGAGCACACAACCCTTCTTTTGCCCTATGTAATCTATTAGCACCACTGGTATTAGCTAGACAGTGTTTCTAGCCAACAAGAACCTAATGTGTGATGAGTGCTTATTCCCACCTCCTGACACCACACATGCACACTCACACATGCCCAATCTTCTCTGAGCCCCATTTTGGACATGTGGGGATGTTTGTTACTCATCCAAGTTGAGATGTTGAATAGGAAGTAGGATTTGCAAGTCAGAAATTCTGGGTAGAGGAGTAGAGGACAGATCTAGGGGTAAAAATGGATGAGTCATCAGCATATTGAGGCTCTACTGAGTGTGCAGTGCAACTACACAGCTTGGTGAAGTGGTCAGAGGATTCGAGGCTCTGGAGTTGGCTCTGCCACCATGAAACTGGTGACCATAAATGTGATCCTTCCCTATGTGAGCCTATGTCTTCCCATTTGTAGAATAAAGGGATGGGAGAATGGCGTTTCTAAGGTTCCTTCCAGCTAAAACATGTTTGTGATTTTAGGATTCTAATTGCTAAAGTGTCCCCTACCCTCAAAGAACTCACTATCCCCTGGGTTCAGCAGGCTACAAGCCAATCAGTCATAAGAGCAATGGGGCAACACAGCAGAAGCCTGCCACACTAGTCACCCAGCAGTGGGAACAACCATCGTGCACTGGAGTTGTCAGGAAATCGTGTGGATTGGAGGCCACCAGATCCACAGAAACTTTTGGCTGAGTCTCATTCTCAGTCCTTTGTGGTGCTGTTCGCTGCCTTGCAATTCTAATAATCTGTAGGTCTAGTCAAAATTTCACCCTTTCTCCAGGACTTGGTGCTTTGATCTGTCAAAAGAAGAGATTAGGCCAGATGATTTCTGTTTCCATAGAAGAGTCTAGCCCAAATATTTTGAGTCTGTGGTTGCCTGCAGACTAGCAAGAACTTTAAAACTGGTTTCATGATTTTGGGTATTCTGGAAGTTTCAATAGTTTTCAAGAAAGTTAGAGGTTCTGGGATCTGCGTAATTTTTCTTCCGAGCTACCACCCTATCTATCTTTGGACGGAAGCTACACAGTTTTCTTTCCACCAGGTAAACTTCCAGATACACAAACACTGCAGAGGCTGTGGGTCAGAGAGCAAGAGTTAATTGTTGCACTGGAGTCTGAGTGTAAGGGCTGACTTGGGTCCCTAACAGGAGCTATCAAACCCTTTGGCCATCAAAAAAATATATACCTACTTGATAAGAAACTGAACCTGAATAACATTAATAATAATCACAATAATAGCAACTATTTCTTGAATGCTTACAATACACCAGATATAATGCTAAGCACCCAATAAGAATCTCACTTAATATTTGCAACCTTCTGAGGTTGGTATTATTTCCTAATACAGATGGCAAAGTAAAGTTTAAAGGCTTAAGTAATTTGCCCCAAGCCCCTCAGCTAATAAGTGACAGATCTGGATCTGAGAATGAAATCCAGGTCTGTCCTACTCCGAGATGCCTGAGTAACCATCCTGCTACACTCTCAGAGTCCCCAGCTTTGAGAGAAGCTTTTACTCATCATGCCTGCATTAGCAGGATTGCTCAGTTAGACCACAGTGTTCCAGATTTACAGGCCCCCAGGGATAAACTCTACAGATTTTCTGTATTCATTACCCTATCTCTGCCTGTGTTCATGTCTCATCCAGCACCCTCTTTCCCCACCCCTGGAGGTCTCTGAGCCATGTTGACATGCCTGGTTTATAAACTCACTGGCTCTACATTCTCTAGCCCTTTCATTCGTTGTCCTAAATTTTTTTTTTTTTTTTGAGACAGAGTTTTGCTCTTGTTGCCCAGGCTGGAGTGCAAAGGCATGATCTTGGCTCACTGCAACCCCTGCCTCCGGGTTCAAGTGATTCTCCTGCCTCAACCTCCTGAGTAGCTGGGATTACAGGGATGCATCACCACGCCCAGCTAATTTTGTATTTTTAGTAGAGATGAGGTTTCTCCATGTTGGTCAGGTCTCGAACTCCCGACCTCAGATGATCCGCCCGCCTCGGCCTCCCAAAGTGCTGGGATTGTAGGCGTGAGCCACCGCACCCAGCCCAGTGTCCTAAACTCTTTAGGAGGCTGCAGGAGGGGGAGAGAAAGCAAGGTGGGCTGAAGGTTAAAGACTGGGCAGAGGGCTATCAAAAAATGTGATATGCAAGCTCTTTATGTGACCCTAGGACTTTTAAAAACCCAATTATAGTGCCCTTGGTCATCCTGATATGGAGATTATTAACTTGCGCTTTGGCATCAGCTAGACCTGGGTTCTAATCATAGTTCTAAAGCCTTTTCCAAGTTACTTCCCTTCTCTACATCTCAGTTCCCTCATCTGTACCATGAGTAGGAATAAGTCCATCCAAGTTTGTTTTTAGCATTCCCGGAGATCACACATCTGCAGGGTTCAGCACAGGAAATGTTCCAAACTTGTAGCGGCTATTTGTAGTACACCCTCATTGGCCGCCAGCCTAGTTCCTTCTCACTTTTTCCATGCTGGGCGAGGTGGTGCACTGCCCTTTCTGATAGGTCAAAAGCTGGCCTGCCTCTGGAACTCGCTTTGATGTGGCTCCCCTACCCATTTTATGAGCAGGAATGGGTGGAATGACCTTGAAAAGAAGCATGATTGAGCACTTTTAACTAAGCACCCACTGTGTACAGAACACAAAATTAGGCGTAGGGGAACTGTGTTCTTACAGAGTAGAGCATCCAGTTGAAGAGTTAAGACCAATACTCCAAAAGGATGAGGCTATAAGAATACAGGACTGTGCATAACTAAGTGCTATGTGGGCACAGAGGACAATTGCTAAAGCTGCTTAAAACTCTAAGCCAATGGTTCATCCAAATCCCTGACAGAATGATCTCAGAGGCCTAGGAACCTGAGGAATCTCATAGCGGGTTATAAACGCACATTATCTGTAAGAGTCAGGATTGTATTGCTGGCACCCTGGGTGGGTACATGGGCAGTGGCAACGATTTGTGTGTGGGCTGCTGTTTCCATTCCCAGAGGGCAGAGCTCATGTTTGGGCTTGGGAGGGTGTTTCCTACTCAATAAACAAAAAGTGGCCGCAACAGGACTGGGGCAAAACAGTGAGGGGAAAGAGCACGGAACTAGATGTCCAGAAACCTGGGTCTTAATTCCATCCTGAGCACTATCTCCTCGTACAACCTTGAGCAAGTCCTTTGCCCTTCTGTTTATAAAATGAGGTGGGTGGATCAGGAGTTCTCAAACTGTGCTCCATGCTACCCTGGGGTTCTAGAAATTCTGGAGCTCAAGGGCATCAGTGGGTCAAGAGGACAGGTGAGTGGTGGGTCGGAACTCCAGGCTGCCTCTCTCTCTACTTTCTCTGCCTTCAACCAGAGCAGTCCCACCTATATCTTTTTACATATTAAGGTTCTTTTCTTGGAAAATCACCCAATTTATCTCCCTCCACATCACTTACACTTACACATAGGTCAAATGAGTCCCAGAGAGCCGAAGCAACTTGGTCAAAGTCACCCAGTGAGTGGCAGAGACGGTACTAAAGTCTCCTTTGTGAAAATGCTGACAATTATTTATTGTCCAGGGAAAAACGTCAGTCCCCATCTCTTATAGATATGGAAGGAAATCATGATTCCTAAATTCTGAAATGGGGCAAGGTAGGGGAGAGAGGAGGGGCTGAGCCCTTGCTTGTTACAAAGCACACCTGAGCACCAGTTCTGACAAAGACCACCTGAAGTTTAGGCAGTGCCCAAAGGAGAAGCCAGCGTGCAACTGAGGCCTTGAAACTCCACTCCCTGTTGACAAAGAAGGGGGCTAAAGCCCAGGAAAAAGCCCCATGAGTCATTCTGAGGACTTTCTAGAATGGCTGTCACTTTCACCACCATCAGCCTCTTAGTCACTCCCAAAAGTCAATACACTATGGGACAAAGATTCCTTTTCCCTTTTTTAAAAAAATTAATAGACTATTTTTTACAGAAAAATTGAGCAGATAATACAGAGAGCTCCCATATACCTCCCTCCTTTTTTGCACTGGTGTGGTACATTCGTTACCATGAGTGAGCCAATATTGACACACTATTTTTAACAAAGTTCACAATTTACATTGTTTGCACTGTCTTCCAAAGTGGCTGTACCATTTGGCATTGAGCAGAAAATACAGAGTTCCTTGTCCGCTGAGTCAGGGTTCACTCTTTGTGGTGTACATTGTACAGGTTTTGACAAACACATAATGTCATGTGCCCATCATTTTACAGAATGATTTCACTGCCCTACAAACCTCCCATGCTCCACCTATCCATTTCTCTCTCCTTCCTCTACTCCCAGGCTCCTGGAAACCACTGATCTTATAACTTACTCTATGGTTTTGCCTTTTGCAGAATGTCATCAAATTGGAATCATACAGATTTCAGATTGGCTTCTTTCACTAAGCAATATGCATGTAAGTTTCCTCCCTATATTTTCACTGTTTTGATAGCTCACTTTTTATCGCTGAATAATATTCCATTGTATGGATATACCACAGTTTGTTTATTCATTCACAAATAGATGCTGAAGGTCATCTTGGTTACTTCTAAATTCTGGCAATGATGAATAAACCTGCTATAAACATTCATGTTTATAGCACATGTTTGTGTGGACATAAGTTTTCTACTAATTTAGGTAAATACTTAGGAGTGTGATTGCTGGATCATGTGTTAAGACTATGTTTAGCTTTGTAAGAAACTGCCAAACTGTCTTCCAAAGTAGTTGTACCATTTTGCATTCTCACTGTCATAGTGGGTTTGTTTGTTTGTTTGTCTATCTGTCTGTCTTAAAACAGAGTCTTGCTCTGTTGCCCAGGCGACAGTGCAGTGCCGTGATCTCGGCTCACTGCAACCTCTGCCTCCTGGGCTCAGCGATTCTTGTGCCTCAGCCTCTTGAGTAGCTGGGATTATAGATGTGCATCACCACACCTGGCTAATTTTCGTATTTTCAGTAGAGATAGCATTTCACCATGTTTCCTAGGTTTGTTTTGAAATCCTGGCCTCAAGTGATCCACCTGCCTCGGCCTCCCAAAGTGCTGGGATTACTGGCATGAGCCACCACACCAGGCCTGTCATAGTGTTTTTATTTGCTAAAAATGTCATTAAGTGGCCTTCTAAGTAAAGAAAAATTAAAACTAAATTATTAGCATGAATTTTGCTGTTTATATTGTGAAATACAAACATAAGAACATTAACTCAAGGCTGGGTACTGTGCTATGATCCTAGCACTTTGGGGGCCAAGGCAGGAGAATTGCTTGAGTACAGGAATTCGAGACCAGCCTGGGCAACATAGCAAGACCCCATCTCTACCCACCTCAAAAAAAAATAGCTGGAGGTGATGGTGGCATGCAGATATAGTCCTAGCTACTTGGGAGGCTAAGACAGAAGGTTCACTTGAGCCCAGGAGTTCAAGGTTTCAGTGAACTATGACTGCACCACTGCACTCCAGCCTGGACAACAAAGCAAGACTCTGTCTCTGAAAAAAAAAAAAAAAAAAAAAAAAAAAGAATCACTGAAATTACACAATTTGTATTTTGTAGCTTATACATGCATAGGTATTTCATTCTTGCCAGAAAAGTAGAAACACTGCACAGACTTAAGTGTGCATTCTACCAATGTTCTCTACTTTCCATTTATTTTTTCTGTTTCTTAAAATTCCATATTTTATTTCAAATTCTACCTTCAATTTAATGAGAAGTAAGGAAGGACTCAGAGGACAAGAAACTACACATTGCCCTGTGTTTTTCTTTCCTTCTATATCATCAGTTTCAGCAAAAGTGGTTGGCTGACACAGGGAAGTAACAGGAGTAAGGAAGCTTCCTTGGTCGTTCTGTTCTTAAGAAGATCACCATTGCCTTCTTTCTGCATTTGAAACAAGCTCTTATTTGAATGGAAAGCACAGCCTTGCGGCACAGTCAGCACCCACTTACTCAGTCATAGTCACGCTAATAGGGAACAGGAGTAGGAAATCTCTCTGTTCAGTGAGACTCAAAGCCATCAGCTTCTAGACCATGCTTATCTTATACCTGCTTGAGTCTCTCTGAGCCACCATGCGTGGTATGTCCACTGGAATTGGGTGTTCACGAGGCATCCCAAATGCTCTATCTGAATGGGGCAGCAAGGAATGGAGGACACACACATCGCAAACGCCTCCTCTGCTCATGACCATGCCCCATTGTTCTACCACTCTTCACTTACAAAACACACATTCAAAGATAAATGTATTACAGATTTCAAGATGGCCAGCAAAGCATGCACTGGGCCCTTCTGAATGCAGTCCCCATTAGACAGCACAGGTTGAAAAGCTGTGAAGCTGGCCCTAAGTTTCCTTAAACTTTATCTGTTCTGCTCCACTGCAGGTTACAACTCTCTCTTGACATAGGAGAGAACTTCTTCCTATCATCTGCCTAATGGTCAAACCAGGACCCTGAACATGATCCTGAGTCCTCACTCTCTCTCAAAGTCCACATTCAATCACCAACTCCTACCAATTCCCCTGCGGAAGCACCTCTTTAATTTTCCCACTTTCCACTTCACCCCTGTCACCTTGTTCTGCCTGCAACTGCTGCAAAAGCCATATGATGGATTTCCCTGCCTCCTGTTTCTCTCCTCTAATGGAATCCCCAGACAACAGCCAGAGTGAGTTTTCTAAAAAGAAAATCTAATCAGGTTACTTTCCTGTGTAAAACTTTTCAATGCCCCCAAAGTCCTCGAGATCAAGGCTTATTCTGCATGGCTTACAGGATTCCTTCTGGTCTGGCTCCTGCCTGACTTTCCAGCAACATTTCTCATGGTTCACTCTCATTTTCGTGCTCCATAAAAATTGAACAATGTACACTTCTTTGAATATCCTTTTCTCAGCAACTCTTACTTTATTCTTCACAAGCCTCAGATATTACTTCTCCCCATTGCTATGTTTATAAGTGCCATTACATAATACTTTCAGAGCTGTATCATAATTACTTATCTGCATCTTGCACTAGATTCTAAGCTCCAGAGAGTAGGATTACTGTAGTGTCCCCAGTGCACTGAGTACAGTGACTGCCACATCGTCATCACTCAATAAAAAATGTATTGCAAGAACAAGCTCTCTCTGAATCTCCCTGAGCCAGATGTGTCCTCATGTCACAGGCCAGTGAGATCATAGCTTCTTGGTGGGCGGTGGGGTGAATTGGGTGGTACCCAGCCCATCTCCTCATTTCCCTGGGCCAGCCTTTGCTAATTCACTCACATTTCTTGGCAGGCTGTGTATGACGCTTTATTGGGACTTCTTGGGCAAATGTTTTTCAACTTTCCATTTGTCAACAACAGCTCAGGAAAATGGAGAATACATAAAAATACCAACCTGTATATAAAATCAGAGTTTTCAGGGACATTCTTTCAGCCCAAAGAATACCCTTGTTTGGCCCAATCTGAAGTTTTTCCAAGTAGGGTCAGTCTCACCAAGCAACAGAGAAGGCAAACGAAGTGGGATAATTTATGCCATTTCCAGAATATATGTCCACATTGCACACAGCCTGGTTAATCTGCAGTGAAATAGCAAGCATTTGCACAAACTAATTTAACACTTTTCTCAAACACCTCAGATTGTTGCAAAACCTCTCTGTGCTATTAAAGAGAGGTTAAGAAAGGAAAGAACAAACAAAACACACAAAAAATAGCAGTTTGAAGTTGAAAACAAAGAGTCTCAGAATAGCTTCATTTCCACACCATAGTCACTGCGAAATCATCCTTTGAAAATTGCTTTTTAGTTAACAAGCCTATTTATCTTGTCTCATTGGATCCTTGTAACAATGCAAGAGGTCCTTGAAGTTTTCTGTACCAAGTCCAAATCCTCCATCTGCTTTTAAAGTCATCCTTGATCTCAGCCTCTGCCTGAGCCCCTACCTGTGTCGCATTCAATCGGCCACAGGTTTCTCATTATGCAGGCCCCACACCTAGGTCACAGATCCTGGGAACACTCCCATTCATGTGATCTCCATGGCTTCTCCCTTGGCATGCTCCACTGTAGTAGAGCTCAGTCTTTTCTCTCTGGCTTCTTTTATAAAATATATAGAGTGTGTATCTTTATAAAGTGTATATCTAAAAGAGCATTTGGTTTTATTTATCTATTTTGGGGTTCATCATTGTGACTCCTGAATCTAAATTTTTTTTTTTTTTTTGAGACAGAGTCTTGCTGTATCACACAGGCTGGAGTGCAGTGGCATGATCATAGCTCACTGCAACCTCAGCTCCTGAGCTCAAGCGATCCTCCTACCTCAGCATCCCAAGTAGCTAGGACTACAGGCACACTCCACCATGCCTAGCTAATTTTTAAAATTTTTTTAAAGATGGGGTCTCTTTTTGTTGCCCAGGCAGTCTGGAGCTCCTAGACTCAAGCGATCCTCCCACCATAGCCACCCATAGTGCTGCGATTACAGACATGAGCCACCACACCCAGCCTGAATCTAAATGTTCTTATCTTTCATCGGTTCTCAGCCACCTTCACTTCAAACATTGCCTCACCCCATTCTCTCAGTTTTCTCTCCTGGAAGTCCTCTTGAATATCTGTTAGACTTTCTCATTTTATTCTCCATGTCTCCTAATATCTCTTTCAGAGTTTTCATCTCCGGTCTCCATCCAGATACTTTCCCACATTTAGCTCCAAGTTTTCTAATTGTTTCTCAACTATGCCTAATCTACTATTTAATCTGTTCATTGAGTTTTAAAGTTTAATGAATATTTTTCTTATTTCCAAGAAATGGTAGTATTTGTTTTACTTTTAAAGCCTGCCTGATTTTATTCATTTACGTTTTTCAAGCTTTATTTTATATTATTCATCATTTTAACATACTTAATTATCTCCTCTGATGGTTGTGTAATCTACGGCTCTTGAAAGTCTAATCCTGTTGTTTGTTGCGTCTGCAGACTTTTTTGTTTTCTGTTTTGTTTTGTTTTGTTTTGTTTTTGAGACGGAGTCTCGCTCTGTCGCCCAGGCTGGAGTGCAGTGGCGCGATCTCAGCTCACTGCAAACTCCGCCTCCCGGATTCACGCCATCCTCCTGCCTCAGCCTCCCGAGTAGCTGGGACTACAGGCGCCCACCACCACGCCTGGCTAATTTCTTCTTTTGTATTTTTGGTAGAGACGGAGTTTCACCATGTTAGCCAGTATGGTCTCGATCTCCTGGCCTCGTGATCCGCCCGCCTCGGCCTCCCAAAGTGCTGGGATTACAGGCGTGAGCCACCGCGCCCAGCCGGGTCTGCAGACTTTTGCTTATGTTTTTTCCTTCAGTGTTGTATGATTTCAGATTGTGAGCTCATCTTCAGCAGGACTTTAATCTGGAGAAACCAGTGTAATCAAACTGCTTGCTTCTAACAGAGTATAATTGGCCCATACCAAATTTTATGTTATTTCTTAGCCCAGGGGTTTCTAGGTTGTGCAGGAACTATTTATTTAAACCCCAAACCCATGAAAGGCTCATGCCAGTGGTTCTGAATTCTTAAGGGAGACATTTCCCCCTCCTGAGCTAAAGCTCAGTTCAAGATAAACATACTTTCGTCTCATTTCTTTCTGCTAGAGATTGACTTTTTTATGCAATTTTTAAAAGGACGTTGTCCTTCCAGGGTCCTGGCTTTAGGTTGACATCTCAGTGCCAACACGCCACCTCCCACAGGCTCAAGAATTTGTTTCCTGTCCCTGAACAGTATTAAAGCCTAAGCCTCTGTGCAAATAAGACCAGCTCGAATACCAATACCACTCTCATCTGTGGTAACTGTAAGAGACAGCCAATGTGCTCGCTTTTCTAGTTTTCAGTTCTCTCTTTATTTCTAGCTCCTGGGAATTTTTGTGCACTCAGCTTTGTTAATAACGGGTAGTATTTCTTGTTTATAAGCACCAGGCGCCATGCTAAGTTCTTATTGTATGCCTTAAGCCATTTAACTCGTGTTGCACCCCTTGAGGTAAGTGCCATTACTATCAGTCCTGTTTTCATATAAGGAAATTGAGGCATAGATAGGTAAAGTAACTGCCCAAGGTCTTAAGGCTGTTAAGGGAATAAGCTCAGATTGGAAGCTTAGGCCAAATGACCTCAGAGCCCATGCTCTTAACTCATACTTTTTACTGCCTTAATTATGTTAGATATAGTGAACTCCAAGTTTTTCTTCAAAGAATTAATATGTCAGTATGTTCAGCTCTCTTATTCTTTGATTCTCCATTTTTAAGTTTAACTTTCTGGTTCTCTTCGCCCCCTTGCCTCTAGTTTCAGTAAACAACTTTCTCACCAGTTCTAATTAGTAGTTCACATCTGTTCCCGCAGTCACCTGCTTTGACCTGAGCCATCCTGAGTCACCTGTTCTTTAAACACTCTTCCCGCCATACTACTTACCCTGCCACTCCGGCTCGTACTCCTACTCTCTCTACTAAAAAATAACAAAAAATTAGCTGGGCATGGTGGCCTGTAGTCCCAGCTACTAGGGAGGCTGAGACAGGAGAATGGCGTGAACCCAGGAGGCAGAGGTTGCAGTGAGCTGAGATCGCGCCACTGCACTCCAGCCTGGGCGACAGAGCGAGACTCCGTCTCAAAAACAAACAAACAAACAAACAAACAAACAAACAAAACCACAAAAAAAAAACCAGCCAACAGGAATTAGTTTAGACTGTATGGTCCAACCCTAGCCGATAGGGGAACGACGCAGCAGTACAGGCTACCTGCATCAGGAATAAGAACCCCTTCCCCTCCCCATGCAGGTGTGCTCTCACCATTACTCCATCTGTGAGTTGCACCCTTCTATAGAAGTAAAGAATTGCCTTACTGAGAAAATTAAATTTATGTTCAAGTGCTATTTCTTTGCAGCACCGAGGAACAAGCATTTGCTCCTAACTATTAGGATATTTAGGTGTTTTTCTAACAGGAAACAATTTAGACTCCATATTGTAGTTTCACTCTATTTCTCCCCAAACATCTGAATCAAGAATAACTGCATGAATAGGTGGGCTTTCTGTCAAACTGACAGCCTGACAATTATTTTGGCTGGTAACACAGAGAAAAAGTTGAAGCCTGCAATTTGGGGAAGAAGCCAAAATCCAGGCTCCATCATGAATGCTCCTTCTGCTAACTCAAAGAAAATGACTTTACAGCTGAAGAAATTGGAGTACCCTCGAGTTGTCAGGGACTTTACAGACAGTGCTTATCAAAGTGTGGTCTATGGACCATCTGCATCAGAATCAGCCCAAGGCACTTCTTTAAAATGCAGATTACCCCGAACCTAATAAATCTAAATTCCTGAAGTCAGGTCCAGGAATCTACCTTTTAAAATAAGCTCTCCACCAGGCTCTAATTAGAATGTGCAGTGGGGTTGGAGAACCACTCACCGCTCAGTGTTTGCTTTGGAGCCCAACCTGGGACCACAACAGGCACACCAAAGCCTCCCTACCTTCCTTTCATGATGTGGCACCACACGCTCTTATGCACAGATGAGGGAGCAAGCCCATGAATGTGGCCTTCTGCTGGGGTTCCATGGATCCTGGGTTCCTCCCATCATACCACTACTACTAATTACATTACCATACTGCCATTAACTGCACTATGCTGTAAGTAATGGTCTTGACTGCTGTCTATCTCCCCATATAGTCTGTGAAGGTAGAAAATGCTCTTTGGCTAGCTTTACATCCTTGATACATAGCATGGGGCCTGACATGCAGTAATCACTCAATGCTTGTTGAATGAATGAATAAATTATTTGAACTGCTTAAGAGCCCCCAACTAACCAATGATGTGAATGAATAAATTGATTTGAACTGCTCAAGAGCCCCCTACTAATCAATGATGTGGTGAGGGCTAGAACCTCAGTCTTTATCCCAAGAAGCCTTTAAATCTTCCAACTCTGCTATTCCAGCAGTCATTTTTCTCCCACTCTTTTGGGAGCAGATGGAATTTCCTTTTTGCCAAGAGAAGGTTCGAGTTATGGGATAGCAATGCATTCCTTCTTACCCCGCTGAATCCCACTGAGACACTGGAATTGCTATCCAGTAGCTAACTGGGTGGGGGGTGGGTAGGCGGGGGAGCGAGGTTAGGGCGAGGGCAGACATTGAGAAGCTGTAATGTGAGAATCATCTGGAAGTGTTGTAGTCTGGACAGCGATGAAAAGGGCCCAGCAGCTCCAAGACAGAGTTCATCGTTGTTGGTCCTTGAAGTCAGGGAAGCTGGGCCTCTGATGCTACTAGGCTCCTAACAATCTTTCCTTTCCAAACATGGCCCTTTAACTTGCAGGTGTGTCTCCATCCCTGCAGCACAGTGAAGCATGGCAAGAGGACCCTATGACAGGGAAGCCAACCCCTATTCCCTGCCAACACTACTCAGTGGAAGGGACAGTCCAGCAGGCCGATATCTCTCCAAGGATCCACCTCGCTTCTTCAAACCAGGGTTTGAACCAGCTCCTGGGTCCCAAGTTTACCCACTCTTCCAGTTTGTTATTTATGAAACACGTTTGATTCCAGCTCTTTCTATGTGCCAGATCCTCTGAAGGTTACTGAGATGAGTAGGACTTGGGCCCCGTCCTGACGGTTTAGGCTGGAAGACAGGCATTCACACTCACTTGCCAGGTCATCATTCAGGGAACAGCTTCAGGCTCGCAGTGAGGCCTCACCTTCTCGTGCCTGAACAGCTTCAACCCCTTTGATGTTTCTCTGCAGGTGCCACACGATGGAGATTGTTATTTTAATGCTCACAGGGCCTACGTGATGTGGGGCACCCAGTTCCAGCAGCAACCCACATGCTTGAGTGCCATGTAATCGCAGGCCTTCCAGCAGAGTTTTCCTGCACAGGAATCTAGAAACAGCACCCACCTCCCACCTCCCTCACACCGTCTCATTCCTGCCTGTCTCTCTCTGCAGCCTCTTTGTCTCCTTTTCTTTTACCTTTGGCTCACACTCCACTATATGTCTAAGTTTTCACTAGTCTGGAAGCCTCTTGTGTTGTTGATTCAGGGCCGTTGTAGGCAGGCTAAGAATTCTCAGCAGTTAACCATCACGTTACCTCCCGCCCTCACAGGGTCTCCAAGGGGATTAAGGAAGCTGGTGCTTCTTAGGACACCAGGACACCAGACACGAGGTGGCCTGCTTAGCAGGTGCCTGGGTTGTGTCCATGAATACTTGTGTTCACCCATTTGTTTGTTTACATGCATTTATCCAAGACAAGAGGGAACATACTGGCTTGCGTGTAAACAGAAAACTTTAGGAATGGAGTGGAGGCATGATGCGGCGACATTCTTTCACCAGGCCCTGCTTTTCTCTGCTCATCTCAGTTCTGCTCACTCTGCTTGGCTCCACCTCAGACCTGTTCTCCCTGGGGGCAGCAAGATGGCCCCGGTTCCCACTCCCAGCCCCATTCCAATTCCAATGAAAGTGTCAGAATTGAAGTCTTTTTTTTCTTCTTCTTCTTTTTCTTTTGAGACAGAGTTTCACTATTGTTGCCCAGGCTGGAGTGCAATGGCACCATCTCGGCTCACTGCAACCTCCACCTCCAGGGTTCAAGGGAGTCTCCTGCCTCAGCCTCCCAAGTAGGTGGGATTACAGGCATGTGCCACCATGCCTGGCTAATTTTGTATTTTTGGTAGAGACAGGGTTTCTCCATGCTGGTCTCGAACTCCTGATCTCAGGCGATCCGCCCTCCTCAGCCTCCCAAAATGCTGGGACTACAGGCGTAAGCCACCACGCGCCCAGTCTAAAATGAAGCTTTTTTTTTTTTTTTTTTTTTTTGAGACGGAGTCTTACTCTGTCGCCCAGGCTGGAGTGCAGTGGCGCCATCTCGGCTTACTGCAAGCTCTACCTCCCGGGTTCATGCCGTTCTCCTGCCTCAGCCTCCCGAGTCGCTGGGACTACAGGCGCCTGCCACCATGCCCAGCTAATTTTTTGTATTTTTAGTAGAGATGGGGTTTCACCATGTTATCCAGGATGGTCTCCATCTCCTAACCTTGTGATCCGCCCGCCTCGGCCTCCCAAAGTGCTGGGATTACAGGCGTGAGCCACCACACCGGGCAAAATGAAGCTTTTAATGGCAAAGGACAAAACGTGATATCAGAAAGTTTTCAGATGGCTCTTGCTGCACTTGCCACACTACACCAACTTGGTGCTTTGCTTCTACCTCTTTCACCAGACAGCATGTTCCATTGAGGCAAGAATCTAACTTTCTTATTTATCATTGCATCCTTGGCATCTAGCACCATGCAGGGAACATAGCATCAAAAACAGTTGCTGAGGCCAGGTGCAGTGGCTCACGCCTGTAATCCCAGCACTTTAGGAGGCCGAGGTGGGCAGATCACAAGGTCAGGAGATTGAGACCATCCTGGCTAACACGGTGAAACCCCATCTCTACTAAAAACACAAAAAATTAGCCAGGCATGGTGGCATGCTCCTGTAGTCCCAGCTACTCGGGAGGCTGAGGCAGGAGAATCGCTTTAACCAGGAGGCAGAGGTTGCAGTGAGCCGAGATCACACCACTGCACTCCAGCCTGGGCGACAGAGTGAGACTCCGTCTCAAAAACAACAACAACAACAACAACAACAAAACAGTTGTTGAAGGAAGAGAAAAAGGAAAGAAGGGTTAACTTGAATAGGGGCTGGGCTCTGGGTATTCTGACCCCAGAGAAGTCTTGCTCACCCAAAGGCTCCCATTATATGACCTCATAGAATAAGAAATCATCAGGCTTAGTCCAGGCCCGGTGGCTCATGCCTAGAATTCCAGCACTTTGTGAGACAGAGGAGGGAGTTTCGCTTGAGCCTAGGAGTTGGAGACCAGCCCAGGCAACATAGCAAAATCCTGTTTCTATTAGAAAAAAGAAAAAAAGAAAAGTTAAAAGAAATTAAAAAATAATCAGGCTCTCAAAATGTCTCCAAAGTACACCGGGGGAAAAATAAGAGTAACTCTGGCCCAGGGTCCAGGCATAGGAGAGCAAGTGTGCTTCTTTCTGAAACAAGCAGCCTTACTGGATGCACTCTCCTGGGTGGGCTGGATGACCATGTAGTGGAAGTCAGCCTCTCTCTATTCCAGGAAGGGAAAAGTTGAGCTGGAGATAGAACGATGGTCCATCTAGGGGAAAAGATAATCAACTCTCTGGCCGTATTTTAGTTTTAACTAGATCTCCATTTGCTCTCCACCTTGGCAGAACAATGTTAACAAATGCCTTTCTTTTTCATCCAGATATTCCCCAGATGGTTTCATGAGTCCCTGAATGGTGTATGTTTTGGCATAAATCTACCCACAGGACCTTTAAAAGGTCATATCCCTAAGCAAATTCAATAAAACAAAATGAACAAGTCCTTGGGACAAACTGGAATTGTCTCCAAATCTAATATTGAGGCCTGATACACTTTTTCAAAATGGAAGCTGCCCCAGTAGCCGCTGCAGAAAATGTGTTGAATTTATTCATCCATGAAGGCAGAGGGCTGGAAGTGCAGGAAAACTAAGGGTTGGAGAAACTCTTTTCTCCCAAGCCAACAAAACCAAGCAAGTTTGAGAGAAGGAAAGAGTTATTCTTGACTGAGAAGAGGTGGATGAACGTGGGAGGGAAGCAGAAGAGAGATGAGAAAAGTTTCCTACCCCCTGGTTCAGTGAGATGGAGAGAAGGGAGGAGAGGGGAGGGGGAGGGAGGGGGAGGGGAGGGGAGGGGAGGGGGAGGACAGAGGGAGGAGAGGGGAGGGGGAGGGGAGGGGGAAGGGAGAAGGAAGGGGAAGGGGAATGGGAAGGGAGGCGAAAGGGATGGGGAAGAGAGGGGAGGGGAAGGTGATGGGGAAGAGAGGGGAGGGGAAGGGGATGGGGAAGAGAGGGGAGGGGAAGGGGATGGGGAAGAGAGGGGAGGGGAAGGGGAAAGGAAGAGGAAGATGGGTACACAGAAAGACCTGCAGGGCCACTAGAACACCTTCTCCTGGGCCTAGGAGGAGAGCTTGCCTAAATCCCCCTGAATCCCCTTCATGCAAAAGGTCAGTCTTCCTGGGGGAAGACCACGGGAGTCCACAAGAGGCTGCCTCCTGGGAGATTATGGAAACAGGGGCTGTGGGCAGGCAGACTACAGAGGCATTTCAGCAATGGTTTGACCTGGTATGTGAAAATTTTTTCCTGCTTAGATAGTTGGCAAATATTTTAAAGGCAAAATGGAATTTATTAACAGAAGATATTTGTCAAGGATTGTTCTCTCCCCCAGCAATGGCCCCCCGCCACCCCATTCTTCATTTTTTATTTTATTTTTGAAACTTCTTCTTCCCAGGATAGAGGACTTCATCAACAAGGTTCTTTCATCTTCCTTAGTTGTTTGGATCCTTAAGCCTGCCTTGAAAGAAGAGGGAGAAGGCTTCAGGGGAAATGCTCCCCGCGCTGACCCACAGGATGGCTTCCTTCAACAAATGCAGGTATCAGCTTTCTATCCTGGGAAGAGCCTGGGCTGATAATGAATTGTCATTCCAGAGGAATTCATTTTGTTCACCCTGGCATAGGCTTTGGGGCCCCAAAGACCTTAGTCTGAATCCGTAATCCACTAATTATTAGCCATGTGGCTTTCATCTTAGTGAGCCTCCATCCCTTTCCGTAGGAGTAGAACAAGAGAAGAATAGGTGTTGGCTTTTGCCATTGTTAGGAGGATTCGGTGAGATGGTACATGTTCAGTGTCTGGTACAAGGTCTGACCCAGAGCGAAACCTCAGTGCACGTCAGTTCTGTTCCTTCTAATACAGGATAGAGACCCTGATGGGAGCCTGCTCATGGGCTACTCAACTAAGGATTAGAATATGGTATCACTTAATACAGGTAAGATTCCAGCCTTCACAAAACCTACGGATAACCAGAGGCAGCAACAATAGGTAATATTCATTGAGGGTTTACTAAGGGCCAAGTGTTCTAAACACTTTACCTGTGTGAACTTATTTAACCTTCACTAGAATCCTATTATTATGCCCAAAGCTAGAGAGTGGCTGAACTAGCATTGGAAGCCAGCCTACCTGGCTCTCCAGCCAACTTTCTTAACATCACTGCAGCAATGGAAGGGAACCACTGGATTAAATCATTTCAGAAACTGAACAGGGGTTGAGGGATTGGCTCTTTCAAGACCTTGTTTTACAGAGAAGGAAAGCAAAGCTCAGAGAGGGAAATTCTCACCCAAGGCCTTGTAGCTGCTGGTGGTGGAGTAGCTCCTGGTCTATCAGGCCAGTGTCTTGCCACTGTCAAGGAGAAGAATGGTCAAACCACTGGAGAAAGAAACTGTGTTGTTGACCACACTGTCTATGAGAATGGCAATTCTCTAATGGAATTTTATGCAAATTTAACCCATACAAAAAGCCAATCATTTTTTTTCAGCCACCTTTGATTGGCTGCCTGCTACAAGAGAAACATCAGGAGGTACGTATTGCCATGGGGGGAACTGAAGATGGAGGACCCCTCATTTGTGGAATTGGGAACGGGCTTTGGGTCACATGAGGCTCATCCCTGATGAGCTAGAACGTGGAAGTTACCTGAATCCAGAAACCGATATTAGGCTCTGTAATGGACATGCAGAGGAAGAAGGACCTGTTGCCACGTCTACAGAGGGGTCAGGAAAGACACACTTGGAATGACCCTAAGAAACCATGGGCAAGTCTCCATTTTTTTCCCTCAGCCAAATCTGTATGCACTGGTACAGCCATACCAATTATTAAAATATTGAAAAACTTCTGTGTCCCTTGGGAAACAGCCACTACCATGAGCCCCACTACTGCCCTTCTCTCCTGGCATGTTCAGACCTCCCTGAGTCCAGCAATGAAAGGGTTAACACTTGCCCCAGCAGAGGGCCTCTGGGAGCCAGCTCCTGCCTTCAGAGCTGTCTGTTAAGACTGGTCTAGGACTAGATTCATTCTTACTGTTTTTAAATAGCTTGAATGTCACCTCCAGATGAAGCTCCCCAAACGGAATGAGACATCTAAATAGAGCCACATGGGGTCCATCTGGGGTGGCTCCCCAGAGGACAAATTTTGCAAAGGAAATCTGATGGGGTAAGAGATGCAATTTAGTGGCTAGGAGAGTGAGGGTTTGGACAAAGCTCTGATTAAGGAGCAATCCTCCTGTGGCATGCTAGGGTTTAAACACAGGGTTCAGAGTGGCATGCACATCCCTCTGCCCTCGGCTGCCCTCTGCGCACTACTCCTGTCATAGACTCTGAGGACAGGCCTAGCATCCAGTGGCCACATTATTAATACTGCTTGATCTGCCGCACTCCCTCCCCTCGTCACACAGGCTGGGAGCTTATGGCCCTAGACAACACGTGCTGGAAGAATGCAGGTCAGAGCAGCACAGAGGACTCCCCGGCAACCCTCGAATCCTCTGCCCAGCAGGGTTGCCAAAGGTCATCCAAGCAGGGTTGAGGGATGTAGGAGGCTTCACTCAGATTCAGACATTTGCAGAGAAAGAAAGGTTCAATAACTTCTGGGGTATGATGTCCCACATTGTGTGACAGCTGGGAAAGGGCTCCTTGTCTTCATGTCATCCCTCCTATTCAAATGGAGAAAGAGCAAACAGGGAGGCAGAAAGAATAAGGGCGAGACAGGGCCCACTCACTTTCCCCTACACTGCAGTGGAAATGCAGGGCCAGGCCGGAGTGTGTTTTGCTGGCTCTGAAGCCAGACAGTCCTGGGTCCACACCCAGGCTCCATCCTTCCCAGCTATCAGACCCTGGGCAGGTTATTTAACCTCTCAGAGCCCAAAGTTTCCTTGTCAATAGAACAGGGATAATAATAACTCAGGGGCCCTGTTGAGTGAAGTCATATATGGAAGGCATCTACCCATGTGACTATTGCTGGTTCTCTTCCTTCATCTTATTAGGTTAGGAAACAAAAACTGTCTCCTGAGCCATTCAAAGGTTATAAACTAAGTTTAGGAGTTTTTTTCTTCCATCTACATACTTTCTCCCGTATCTTCACCTGGTTTTATCTTCCCTTGAACTTCCCAACCCTTGGCCCTTTCCTAGGAATAAAAGGGCGAGAGATACCCAGGCAATAAGGAGATGGTTCCTGCAGCCAGGTAGATATTTCAGAAGGGATGGCTTCTACCATCTTGTACTGTATATCAAGAACCTCCCAGAAGTTCGTAGGGTTTAACCTGGAACTTTGACTTCTAGGAATCAAGGTGAAAACATTCAAGAATTTCAAGGTTCAAAGATTTAGAAGTTTATATACAAAGCTGTGACACACATACATATATATGCACACTAACACGTGTGTGAATATATATATACACACACACATATATCACAATCTAAATGTCACATACATTTTGCTAAATGAATTAAAAGAATTATTTATTTATGGTAGAACATTATAAAGAACACTACGTATGACAGGGCACTGTAAAGCCATTAAAAATCAGGTTTGAGAAAGTATTTGTTGAGAGAGATTCTTGAAATACATAGCACAGTGAAAAGTCAAGACCCAGAACTGTATTTATGGGATGATCTCAAACACCCAACAGATGTCTGAGTATAGACAAAAGCCTGGAAAGAAATTTGCCAGGATGTGAGTTCTGGTCAACTGTCACTGTTGGCATTGGAAGTGAGTTTTATTTTCCTCATTACAAAAGCAATTCATGTCCATTGTAGAAAATTTGAAAAACACAAAATTATATAACACGAAAAAGTGGATTTTAGTTTTAAAATATCTTAAAAGAGGAATGATTAGTCTCCAACTGACCCACAAAAAAAATGTCAGCAATTGAAACCTTCAGCTGCTTGACTACCAGCTGCAATGTTTGCAACACTATGCCCTGTACACACCTATGCACACGCACACACATGCACATGCGCACTCTGAGATTCCACTAAGACACGCAGTGAAGTCCCTTGGTGGGGTTGCAGGAGCTGAGGCTGAGATGAAGGTGTCCATTGGAAGAGAAAATACACGAAAATAGGAGGAGAGGATTGTGAGGAGAAATGAAATGAGAAAAGTGGCGAGTGGGCTTCTAGGAATAAAATTCCTGCTAATCACCATCTTCATTTAGAGAGATGGGCTGAGAGTCTTTTGCCAAAGAAAGAAGAGTCTACAGGATGGCTGGGATAGGTGCTATTTTAAGAAAAATATATGCAACCATCTGGAGGCTGAAGGGCTTGCTCGCCAGAGCCAGGTGGGCCCGTTTTCTATTGCAAATAACAAACCACCCTGAGACATGGTGGCTTATGGGGCAGTGGTCATTCTTGCATCTGCAGCCTGGGGAGGGCTTGGTGGGGCAGCTCACCTCTGCTCCATGTGCTGTCAGATGGGACGACGTGACTGGGGGTGCCCAGGACAGCGGCCCCCAGGCCTGGCACACTGGTGCTAATCAGCTGGGAGCACAGCCAGGGCCGTGGGCTCCTTTCCACGTGGGCCTCTCCTCCCCAAGGGCTGCTTTGGCTTCTTGTGGGCACAGTGGCTGGGTTCCAAGAGTAAGTGTCCCAAGAGACAGGAAGTGAGAGCTGCCAGCGTCTGAAGGCCTGGGCCCAGAAGTTGGCACAGCACTGCATTCATTTGTCAAGTAGTCACAAGGCCAGATTCTGGGCAAGGGAAGACAGATCCCAATTCTTGATGGAAGGAGGGTCAAAGAATTTGGGGGCCACATTTTAAAACTGCCACAGAGGGGGACACACAAGATCAATTCTTGGGGGGCTGCTCCAGCCCAAACCGTTTACAACATTGTGGTGCTCAGGAAGGACAGATGGGATGAGAAGTTTGAGGCGTGAGCAACATCGCACCACATCCATATAAAACTGCCTGCTATGGCAGGGACTGGGAGGAGAAGCCCAGTTCCTCTCTGGCCCACCTGGCCAGCCCCCACAGCATGGCTCCCTTCAGCCTCTGGGCTCTTCTCCTTCCACCTGTTCTGTCCTTAACAACCCTGAACAACCTCCAGTTCCCACAGGTCCCCAGGGCCTTTGTGAGCAAATGGAACATCCTGCCACTCCTCAGAGCCAGCTATAAACGCCAAATGATGTCAGGGAGCACTCAGGTGTTTCTGGCAAGAGAATTTGCCACTTTCTCTCCATGGGACTGATGAAGCAGAGGTGGGAGCTAGTCATGCTTTGTCTGGCCAGTGTGCAGCTCTGCCAGGACTGGTCTTCTCCTGGGACTTTAAGGCCCATAAACTCCTGAGAGGGGACCTCACAGATGGAGTCCAGCCATGGAGGGGTAGGAGGCTCAGCGCAGGGAAGTGGCTGTCTCAGAAAAGATGGGACTAGAACCCAGTTCTCCCAACTCGAAGTCAGGTGTTCCCTCCACCAGCCCATCTCCTAGGGTGCATTCTTTCCCTACTAGCCATGGAGCTTCTACTGTGAGCGAGGCTCTTACACACAGGGGAGCTCATATTTGATGAGAAAATGTTTCCAGTCCAACACCTCCACCCACAAAACCCTAATAGGGCATCTAAACATTTCCTGCAAAGAAGCCACAGCTCAGCAGGGCAGATCTGTGAAGCCAAGGTACACTGGGTCCTGTTCCAGAGCTCAACACCTCTCACCCACCCCACCAAAGGTGAAACTTCTCCAAAGTCCTCAGTGTCACCTTCTGTAAAGGATGGGAACCATGCTTTCTATGGTGTGATATATTCGAGGTTGATTTTCTGTAACAATGATGCTTCAAGTGAATTACCATTAAGTAAAAAGGATGATCCGGGAAGTCACGGTGTCCTGTGCCCCATACCACCCACTATGCCCCAAGCCCAGGATAAAAAGCACAGCCCAGTGTGGGGGTTTTGCTATAGCATTTGAGTTTTGAGACCAGATGGCCCCTGAATCCAGGGATCTGGGCAGGAGAGCCTGGAGCATTAGGGTTCTCCTACAGCCATAGAGCACGCCTTTCCAGGGTCACCCCAAACAGATGGACAAGCATCAGGGTGCCCAGGCAAAGGCACAAGTGAAGGCTGAAATTCTGCTTGGGGCCGAATGGCCAAAACATGTCCCTGCAGGCAGCAGGGACCTGTGCCCCTCATCCTTTTCCACCAGCAAACAGAATTCACCCTCCCAGTGTTCCTGGTGTATGATCTTTTAACAAATGTTTATTGAATACCAACTACGTACCTAAGACTGTTATAGACACTTGGAAAAAAGAGAAAAACAAACAAACAAAATCCCTGCCTCTGTGAAACTGATGTGCTAATGGAAGAGGCAATATGATGTCAGGGGTAATAAATTCTCTCAAGAAAAACAGAGTGGGGAGAGGATGGAAGACAGGGAGGCCGCCCTGGACACACTGGTCTGGGAGAGTCTCTGAGGCGGTGATGTCTACGCAGAGGCCTGAGTGGGGTAAAGGAACCCGAGGAGACACCGTGGCAGTAAGATCCCAGCCAAGGGCACATCAAGACTCAGCGCCCTAGTGGGAGCGCATTTGTATTTGAGACTGGAACAAGTGAGCAAGGGAAGAGAAGTAGGAAATGAACCAGGGGCTCCTGCTCTCTGCACTGCATGGAACCTAAAACCAGGAAGATAGAACTAGCATTTGTTTAAGTGCTGAGTATACATCAGGCACCTCTCTTATTCAATTGCTAAAACCACCCTAGGAAGGAATATATAGGCTCAGAGGAACTACCAGATCACAATACTGAGTGACTAACTTGGAATTTGAACCCAGGAATGTGTGACTACACAGCCTGTTCTGTTTTCACTGTAGCCTCCTGGAGACAGGCTTTCTTTCAGGGTCCTGAGGCACTTTTATCTAAGCAGTCACTGTATGGGGCACATTGACCCACTGTCTGAGCCCAGGAGAAAACTGCGACAAGTGTCTGCCCTTTTGGCCATCAGCCTTAACAAAGGCAGATCACAAAGACTCACTCTTACCCATGTCCCGATCCCCCACCTGCCCCTCTTCCCAAGCCCCAAAAGGGCTATGGTTTGTGTACCCATGAGATATCCTGAGGCCAGAACAGAGAGAAACAGGACTGCTAGACAGACCTAGATTCCCAGGCTTCGAGTTCCCTCTTTCTTGGAACCAAAGGAAGATCAACTGCGAAGTCACATGAAGAGACACAGATGGGCTGAGCCAAAGCACAGCAAGCATGGTGCCCCCTTTTTTTTTTTTTTTTTTTTGGATGGAGTTTTGCTCTTGTCACCCAGGCTAGAGTGCAATGGTGTGATCTCAGCTCACTGCAACCTCCACCTACCAGGTTCAAGCAATTCTCCTGCCTCGGCCTCCCGAGTAGCTGGGATTACAGGCGTGCACCACCACACCCGGCTAATTGTTTGTATTTTTAGTAGAGATGGGGTTTCATTATGTTGGCCAGGCTGGTCTCGAACTCCTGACCTCAGGTGATCCACCCACCTCGGCCTCCCAAAGTGCTGGGATTACAGGTGTCAGCCACCGCATCTGGCCGTATGGTGCCATCTTTAGAACTGCAGAGAGCTCTGTGTCAATTCCATGGTTAGTGGCCTAGAAACCTTTGTTTTCTAGACTAAGGACTCTTGGGAATCACAGTCAGGGAACCAGAAGTGACTGAGATGAGATTAGTCAACGACATCGTCTCTCTTCCTCCTGCAGTGGAAGGACCAAGGAATCAGCCAGAGTACATAGGCACCAGCCAGGAGGAGTCCAGGACTTGGACTATTAGTCAGCAAGTTCCACCATGGTAAGCAGAAAGCACAGGCCAAGCGGCTTTAATTCAGCTGAAATCCCAAACCACCAGGCTGTGTATTCACCTCACTAGGGTATGAAAAAAGATTCGGGCGAGAGTTAGTGCTTAAGACAAAAGTCACTTTCCCTTCCAGTTCTGATGATTCAAGATGTATCCAACCATTATTTTCCAACCACTTACTAGAGGAAACCTTTTACCAGTCTTCCTCTATTTTTCTTTATTTTATTTTATTTTTTGAGGTGGGGTCTCATTGTGTCCCACAGGCTGGAGTGCAGTGGCACAATCTCAACTCACTGCAACCTCCGCCTCCCAAGCTTAAGTGATCCTTCCATCTCAGCTTCCCGAGTTGCTGGAACCACAGACTACTCAGACTGGCCCGAACATGCCCCTGCAGGCAGCAAGGACCTGTGTCCCTCACCCTTCTCCACCAGCAAGCAGAATTCACCCTCCCAATGTTCCTGGTTTACAATCTTTTAACAAATATTTATAGAATACCAACTATGTATCTAGGACTGTTATAGACACTTGCAATAAAGAGAAAAACAAACAAAAGCCCTGCCCCTGTGAAACTTAAGTGCTATGTTTTTGCACACCACGCCTGGCTAATTTTTTGTATTTTTGGTAGAGATGGGGTTTACCATGTTGCCCAGGCTGGTCTTGAACTTCTGGGCTCATGTGATTCTCCCACCTCGGCCTCCCAAAGTGCTGGGATTATAGGTGTGAGCCACGGTGCCTGGCCTATTCCTCTTTATTTCCTTTTTCCTTTATATATTCTCCTCATCCATGCTTGAGTGTTCTATTTCTCTCTCGTCTAATGTAATCTAATACAATGGAATATTTTTCTTTGGGATCATGGGGGAGGTTCTCACGTCTGGGAGCCTGGCCAAGGTATATGTATTTACAACATCTGAGTTCCATTTCAAAAGTTTGTTTCATGACCCTGTTCCTTTGATTACAATCTAATCCTATGTATGGGCAGGAACATTTTCTGCTGCAGCACCAGCCTTGAAAGAGACATATTACCAGCTATCACAACCTCCTCCCTGGTCACCCAGTTCAAAGACAACACACACACCCCTAGGCCTCTTCCTACCAAGCAAAATTTTTAGATGAACCACGCTTGCAGAAAAATAAATAAGACATTTTCAAAGAGACATCAATCTTAAAACTTGCTCTTAGCTTCTTTAAAAAAGAAAAAAGAGTGTTAGAGTAGATCGGTCTGAGATTTAAGCTTTCAGGTTGTGATATAAAAAAACATGTATGAGTTCAGTGCTAGCAATGATATTAAACATATATCAGCTTTGTGTGTCTAATTTTTTTTCTGATTCAATGCAATTTATGAGCAGCCTACACCCCACTTTGGAATAGAGGCATGGAATAGTGAAAGATGCTTCACCATAAGCAGCCCTACTTTCAAATCCTAACTCAGCGACTTAGTGGCTGTGTATGCAAAACTATTTCTCCAAGCTTCAGTTTCCTCATCTATAAAATAGAGACAAAAAATATCCAACTCTTAGGGTTGAAAGAATTCAATGAGATAAAGTCTTAAAGCTCTCAACAAATGTTAATTTCTCCCATACGCACATCCTTGCATTGTGTGCAGTTAAGAGAGGCTGCAAACAGGCATTACCAGACCCTTACCATCAAAAAGATCACAACCTGTGGAAAGATAACATTTAGCAGTATATAATAAACTGCAGAATTGGTGCTAGGTTGGAAATAGTCAACACGGAAACAGTCAGGGCATAAAGGAGATAGCCCCTATCAGCAGGGCTTCTGGGAAGCCTATCAGGAAGGCTGCACAGAGATGGCCGTGAAGGGTGGGGAGGCTGGCACTTCAGGCTCAGGTGTGGAGGGAGAAATAGATTCCCATGCTTGTGGGAGCATAGGAAGATCAGAAAAGACTGACCCTAAAAGGTGGGGATGATGTGACAGGGAAGGGCCAGCGTCATGGCGTGGGGACACTGGAAAGCCAGGCAGAGGCAGGTGGCCATGATTTCATTTGAAATGGTATTCATTGTCAGCTTTGACACCGTAAGATCAGAGCTTTATGGAATGGAATGCTAAAGGCCTCCCCGCTCCCCAGACAAGAGGCAACCAGTGGGAGAAGGAGGAGCCAGTGGGAGGGGCATCCACAAAAGAGGGAGGGTGGTGGAGTCCACCCACTGCTCAGATGCAGCGGATAAAAGGGGAGAGGAATCACAGATGCCTCTTGGTTTGCGTCAGGAAAGCAAGCAAAATATGCCAACAACACTGGAGGCCCAGAAGTTAGAAAAGGGAGTTGCCTGAAGAAGAAAGAGCCATTTGGTCCATTTTGGACAAGTTTATGTGAGATGCCTGAACAAGAGCGCTGCGTGTGTGTGTCCTCTGGAGAGTGTGTACCCCTTAGCGGGAGGGCCTGCTTCCCCTTCTATTCCATTATACCCACTCCTCTCACTGTATTCCAGATTCATGTTTCTTAAAAACTCAGCTGAATTCATAGCTAGGTGTGCCTGGAAGGAGGAGATTATGCAAGCTGTCCCGAGGAAGCCAGAGGTGTGTTCGACCCCTGTGTTTCCTGAGTGTTAGTTGGATTCCTGAAGCCATCAGTTAGTGGTTCCCGAATGTTGTGTTCAGGTTCTCCCACCTTTTTTGAAGGAGAATAAGAGTTTCTAGAAAGGATCTGACTCCAAACCAGGCAAAGTCTCATGTCTTAGATGGAGTCAATACCTTAGAGAATATTAAAATTATTGGGCCCAAAGGTAACTTGGAGATATTCTTTAGATGCTCTTAAGAATACTGTTCTTGGATTATGTATATTCCAAATATCTTCTGTGATTCGTCTCTTCACTTTCTTTAAGGAACTCTTTGATAAATCGTCATAGGTACCATGGATGGGTCCTCCTGCGCATGCATTCTGACTCCAAGGAAGCCCACCCTTCTCTGCTGATGCAGTTCAGCATGGCTTTGGCTGGCAAAGTTGTGTTGGCTTCTGGGCACCAGAATAGCAAGCAGGCCCCGAGGCAGCCAACATCAGGAATCGAGAAAGGGAGTTCCAGATGGAAGCGGCAGAGTGTGAAGATGCTTGACTGCAGGCCAGCCCCATGGCGGGGGGAGAGGTGTGGGGGTTTGGAATGCCCTAAAAGGTTCCAGACCAGTGGCAAAGCTGCTAGAAAAGGCTGAGCCCAGACCCAAAGGAAAGCCTTGTGTCCAACCCCTATGTTAAGATATGGGGAATTACAGAACCCCCAGGACTGAAATCACCCTCCCTCTAAGAACATCATGTCCACTGTTCAGCCGTCTGCCAAGATTACCAAAGCAGAATTGTTTTTAACAGAGATGGTAATCCACCACAACTCCTGTGGGTCATTCATTCAGACCCCCTGCCTTCCACTGCCTTCTATGCAATGTTAAGAAGGGAAAGAAGTCCAACTTCACATTTTTCTGGACAATTTGAAGAAACAAACACAGAGGAAATGGTTTACATCAATGAAATGGATAAAAGCTGGAGAACAGAAAGAACTTCTCAGGAGTATGAGAAAGTGTGAGAGAACAATCACAGTCTGAACAGTGAGTCTCGGTATTCTTTTGTGAAAGAGCCAACTACACTAGGCCTCAGTTTCCCCACCTATAAAATGGAAAGACCATTCGCTGCTTTGCCTTACTTGACATTGAAAAGAGTAAAGCCCATTTGAGATGTTAAAGGCCTTGGCATGTTGAAAGGAAGTGTCTGCAGGGATCTATGAACTGAGAGGTTATCCAGCCATGGAGATGGGAAAATGAGGACTGTTCACCCTAGAACATCTTCCAGGGGGACCTAATGAGTAATGGGGCCAGAGTCATTTGTAATGTGCCACCGGACTGTGCTCATCCTCTTGGCTGCCAACACTCCTGCTTTCAGATGATAGCCCACTTTTTTCCATCAAAGGAACCACGACTTGACTACTCCCAAGGCTTGGTGATCCCAAGCATTCCAAGACCACCTGCTACAAGCCTCCATCAGAGCTATCAAGCAGCAACTGCAGACTCCTCCTGGAGGCAGGAAACAGTCACAGGCCCAAAGGGAGGTGAAGAGAGATCACTGAGGTGCTAGCTTAAAGCCTGGGAAGTGTGAAGCACCATCTCAACATGTAGGTTTCAACTGCAGTCTCAGTGAGCCCTGGAATCCCACTGGGGTGTCTTGGTCAGAGATTGGAGGAGGCCAGAACTGGTTCCGCATCTCCCACCCCTGCCTCAACCACAGCATCTCTGATGTTATTGGTCTTAAATATTGGGATGTTTTGTTTGCAAAAAGAGTTCTATGACTCTAAAAATGTTTATGAAACACTTGTCTGCACTAGTAAATTTTATTTTTAAAAAAAAGCATACAGAAGAAAAACTAATTGCACTTAAGACTTTAGAATCATATATCACATCCAACAGAAGAATTCTACTAGGAAAAATGCCCAAGCTGTTGCCCCCAAACTAACGTAACATGCTCATAAATGGCATCTGCCTTTATATTCTTGCTATTTCTTTATTTAGCTTTCCCCATTCTCTCAATTCCTAAGTACTAGAACAGGTAGAGATGCTGCTATTTAGGAAAATATTCCCTGAGTATCCTCCTCTAGGCCACTGCAGACCCTTCTCGCAGCTCTGTTTTGTGCATCTTCCATACTTAACACTTAGTACTGCAGGTAGATCTAGACTATGAACACCTTGAGGACAGGGATCATGTCTAATTCCATCAATCTATGTGGCCCATGTTTAAGCACAGTGCCAGTAACTCAGGAGGAGTTTGAGAGACCTGAATGAATGAATGAATGAATGCATGAATGAAGACACTTCTGCACAAATGTATAATTTCCTGGTTTCTCTTCTGTAAGTAAGTTAACATCTTCTATGTTTTGTTTTGTTTTTTCTTCTAGGTCACAGAGGGCTAATGCTGTAAATTCTCTCTCAGGGGAAAGCTGGGCAGACACACTTGGGAACATTTAAAAAACTAGGTTGGCATTGGAGAGGAAACAGCCAATATATTTAGCCACCCATGGCATGCCAAGGCCTTATCGAGACAGAAATAGGCACTGTAGGAGGAATCTCAATTAAATATTTTTCTAAGCAGTCAGCTCTGGGCTTTGCCTGAACATGGATAGAGAGCTGGGGTGAAGCACAGGACAGAAAGCCAAGAAGATCTCAGTGGGGCTTCTGAATCATCCTGGGGCTTAACTGCTAGCAATGTAAAACTGGTGACCCCAGGGGGCAGGGGTGCTGGCCTACCTTCCATGTCCAAGGAGCAGGACAACCTCCCTGCAGGCACTTTCCAGAATCCCACACATTTGGGGGACCCATCCTCTCCGCCATACCTACTCTTAAGTGGCAGCAAGTATCCGGAATATTCTTCCTATGAGCTTTACCCAACTGTTTCCAATAGTCAACACTCCCTAAGAATCGGTCTTATCCAGAAAGTACTCCTGGAATGACTTGAGGAGAAACACAATGACGCTTTGGGCATAGAATTCCACCCTGCAGCCTAGTTATCTTTTCTTTGTTAAAATATGCAGCACTTCAATCCAGAGACATAGGGACAACTGCCCTGAATTGACTGGGGTATGAGGATGGGCTCCAGTGCTGGGCAGGGTGAGAGTGGGAGGGGGTACCTGGCGGGGGTGCAGACAGTCCGGTGCAGAATGCACGTATGAATAATAACAAATCTCTCTTTTTTTTCATATGTGGGCTTTTCCAAATATGGAAAACAGCTTTTCCCACTTAAAAATGTATCATCAACTTTTTCCCATGTCATTGCATGTTCTTTTACAATGTGATTGTTAACATCTATATAGCATGCCCTCATTTGGAAGTCATTTTATTTAGCCCATCTCCAGCTGTTAAGCATTTAGATTGTTTCCTGTTATTATCACACTATGATGAACACGCTCAGGGTGACCGTTGTGTTAATTTCTAATCATTTCAAGAAGCAGGCTAGCTGGGGGTTAAGAACAAGGGTCTTGCAGCTGTTCTTCCCAATCTCAATCCCAGTGTCATAACTTGTTCCTTGTTAGACCTTGCTCACATGACTTGGTCTCCACATGCCTCATTTTCTTCATAGTAAAAAGTATCTATTAATACTTACTTTATAGGGTTGTCTTAGGGATTAAATATGTTAATAAATATAAGTGCTTAAAACAATGCCACTTTTAACGCTGTGTATGGTTGAGAAAGTACTCAGTAAACTTTAATTATGATATCTTTGGATTATATTCCTTGAATAATTTCTGGGTCAGCAAATTTGCATATTTTAAGGCCTTTGAAACATATTGCCCAACTGGATTAGGCCAATTTACATTCCCGTAAGCAATCTATAAACACATCGGGTTGTTCACAGTCTTCTAAACCTCTTCTTTTAAAATACCCAAAACATTTACCGTAAGCAACCTGGACTTCTCTGTAGTGGTAGGATTTAGCACTATTGATCCCTTTTTCTTGAAATTCTCGACTCCCTAGTTTTCTTCCCCTGCCTTCTGAGTTCCCCTTTTACATCTCTGATCTTCCCTCCACTTCATTGCCTCCCCTTTCCTGAGACCTCAAGATGCTGGATGTTTCCTGAGGTCCAGACCGCAGCGGTCTTCTCTCCTTTGTCTACATCCCATTTCTCAGAGGTCTTATCTACTCCAGCCATCCCCTCAGCTTCCTGACACCTCCAGTTCTCATTCGTCACAAGTGTTGCAACCCTAGTCTCCAATTACTAATTAATTCCATGTGACTGTCCCATGGTTTCAAATCTCCAAATCCAACACCAAATCTACCACATCTGGTTCCCTCCCCTCCACCTTCACAGGCAAGCTCCCAGTTTCCGTATTTCTATTACCAAAGCTTGAAACTTCAAAGTCACCTTGGATGCCACTCTCTGACATCTAAGCAGTCATCAGATCCAACATGTTATTTTTTCTCAGTATCTCCTGGACTGTCTCTTCCTTTCCATTTCTAATACTGTCGCCCTTATTCACACTTTTATCATAAGGTAAGTCCTCTTGCCAACCAGCTCTCCCTGGCACACTCCTTCCTTTGATGGGCTTGAAGATGGATCTCTATAAATGCCCCACCACTTCCCTACTCAAGGCTCCTCTGCAGACCTCATCACCTGAACAAAGCCCATACTCCTCCCTCTGGCATCAAGAACTTCAAAGACCTGACCCCATTCTATATTTCCAGCCCTATCTTCTGGACCTGACCTGTATTTCTCTTAGCCTGTAATGTCCATTCGCTCTAAATCCTATCTATTCTCCAAATAATTCTCCTCCCAGAAGGTTTTTCTGGCCACTCCCACTTACAATAACCAGTTGTACTTAGGACAGTTGGGCTACAAATAATAGTTTGAGAAACACTCAAATTGGCCTCAACCATAGGGATATTTGTTAGCTCGCATCACAGAAAATCTACACACAGAAGAGCTGAAGGGCGAGGCTACAGCAAACACTGCTGCTCAACAGCATTTATTTTCCCCTTCCTCTTTCCTAACGGAAGTTCAGTTTTGCTCAAATCTCCCACTCCTCTTTTTGTTCAAGTCTACATAGTCTCGTGCTTCTGGGAGACTGACCTCATTCTTAGCTCTAGTGAGTACTTAAGGGCTTGGGTGCTGGAGCCTGAGTTCAAAACTTAGTTCTGCCGCTTCCTAGCTGTGTGGTCCCTGAGCAAATTATTTAAACTCTGTGCATCCCAGCACTTTGGGAGGCCAAGGCAGGAAGGTCACTTGAGCTCAGGAGTTCAAGACCAGCCTGGGCAACATAGTGAAACCTCATCTGTGCTAAAAAAATTTTTTTAATTAGTCAGGTGTAGCGGTGCACACCTGTAGTCCCAGCTACTCTGGAGGCTGAGGTGAGAGGATTGCTTGAGCTGGAGAGATCAAGGCTGCAGTGAGCTATGATCGCACCACTGCACTCCAGCCTGGGTGACAGAGTGAGACCTTGTCTCTCTAAAAAAGCAAGCAAACGGCTGGGCACAATGGCTCACACCTGTAATCCCAGCACTTTGGGAGGCCAAGGTAGGTGGATCACTTAAGCTCTGCAGTTCAAGACCAGCCTGGGCAATGTGGTAAAACTCCGTCCCTACTAAAAATAGAAAAATTAGCCAGGTGTGGTGGTGCACTCCTGTAATTGCAACTACTCAGGAAGCTGAGGCACAAGAATCACTTGAGGCCAGGCGCGGTGGCTCACGCCTGTAATTCCAGCACTTTGGGAGGCCGAGATGGGCGGATCACGAGGTCAGGAGATGGAGACCATCCTGGCTAGCGTGGTGAAATCCCGTCTCTACTAAAAATACAAAAAAAAAAGAAAGAAAAATTAGCCGGGCGTGGTGGCGGGTGCCTGTGGTCCCAACTACTCAGGAGGCTAAGGCAGGAGAATGGCGTGAACCTGGGAGGCGGAGCATGCAGTGAGCCGAGATTGCGCCCCTGCGCTCCAGCCCGAGACACAGAGTGAGACTCCGTCTCCAAAAAAAAAAAAAAAAAAAAAGAATCACTTGAACCCAGGAGGAAGTGGTCGCAGTGAGCCGAGATCACGCCACTGCACTCCAGCCTGGGTGACAGAGTGAGGCTCCATCTCAAACAAACAAAAACTGTGCTTCAATTTTCTCATGTATAAAATGAGGATATTAGCAGTACTCTTAGAGCGTTAAGGTTGTTAAGCGAGATAATACATGTAAAGCACTTAGAACAGTGCCTGTCACATAATAACAGTTGTGTTTACAGAGCACTTGCTGTTTTCACCCTGACTGGGGTAAAACAATAATGGCACTCCCATGCTCTTCGCTATTGCCTGGTTTGGAGTAGCCATGGGATCCAGAGCTGGCCAGAAAGCCATGAGGGGAGTCCACTGAGGACCCTCTGAGGATATTGTCTTAACTCTTAAGGAGGAGACTTGAGATTGTCTGACCCTTTTATTTTCCATACCGCGCCATGTCGGAAGTCTGAGCATGCTGCCTGGCCCGTGCAGCCTGGGCAGCTGGGGCCTCAGTGTTGGCTGGGTGATGCCGTCAGAGACCTGGACGCTCATCTCCTTGTGCATCCCTCTTCCGTGTGCTGGCTTCTTCCAAGTGGCAAGTTGGCGACAGCAGTCCCAGTCCTCATGTTCTAGGCACAACAATCAGAGAAGTAGAGACTGCCTTTTCCTGTGGCTCTCTTTAGGAGCGAGAGAGGCTTTCCCATAGGCTCTTCAGCAGACCCCATTCCTACCTTATCAGATAGAACTGTGTCATGTGGCCTTTCTTAAAATGAGTGCCGAAGTAAATAGAGTTTTGTATAGTCCAGTCAGGGCAAGCCTAGAGTTGTGATGGGGTCACATCCCCGGAGACAACAAGGCAACTTCTAGCAGCACCTCTACTGGTTCCTTTGTCCATGGACAGTTGTGTCAAGATAAAGGATTTCCATGTAGGACTCAAGAGACCTAGGTTCCGGCCTTGGCCCTGCTGCTAGCCAGCTGGGTGACTTTGAGCAAGTCACTTAACTTCTCTGAGTCAGTGTTTTCATCTAAAGTGAGAATGATAACTTTGCCTTCATATTGTAAGAATCCAATGAGAAGACGAGGTAGCACCTTGCAAGCTGGAAGTTGCTGTCAAATGGAAGATGCTATGGATTTTAAGGGCTGCTTTCCTCCTTTAGGAATCCACTTTTAGGCAAGTGAACTCTAAAGCCAGCAGCCAACCAGCAAAGTGAGTCAAGAATCTTCATCTCCTTCCTCTGGACTGCTCTTTTGGGCTGCCGCATCTCAAAGCCTACTCTTGGGTTAGCAGCCCCACCACAGGTCCTCTGTCCACCCCGTAACCACACCCCGTAACCACAGGCCTCTTTTGGACTGAAGAATTTTCAGGGAAGAAAAATGCCTCACTTCCTTGAGATGCCCACACCTACCTGCCTCAAGTCTCACTGTCAGGAGAGCTGGGATGTTGCATTTTTATCTAGAAATTCAAGGCCATTTATCTATCTATCTTTTTTTTTTTTTAAGATAGAGTCTCACTCTCTTGCCCAGGCTGGAGTGCAGTGGCATGATATCAGCTCACTGCAACCTCCGCCTCCCAGGTTCAAGCGATTTTCCTGCCTCAGCCTCCTGAGCAGCTGGGATTACAGGCGTATGACACCACACCTGGCTCATTTTTGTATTTTTGGTAGAGACAGGGTTTCACCATGTTTGCCAGGCTGATCTTGAACTCCTGACCTCAGGTGATCCACCTGCCTTGGCCTCCCAAAGTGCTGGGTAACAGGCGTGAGCCACCGTGCCTGGCCAAGGCCATCTATCTTTTGACCTAGACTCTTGAGATCTGTAAAGGCCAGGTAAGACAGGTTTCAGAAAATCATTGTTAAAAGCTTGAGCTCCAGAATGAGTCTCTGAATTAGAATCTGGGCCTCATTGCTCAGTGGCTGGTTGATCCAAGGCAAATCATTTAGCCTCTGAACCTCGGTTTCCCCATCATTAAGGTGGAGATAAGGATGTCTACTTCATAAGGCTACTCTGAGATAAGATAAACCATGTAAACTACTTAACGTTATGCCTGACATAGAGCAAGAACACCAAGCAGAAGTTAGGCAATCTATTACATTTATAACACCTGTTGGGTGTTATGAAATTGGCCTAATTCTAGCTCCTCTCCAGCCCTTGAGGGGCTGAGAGCCTTGGAAAGAGAACAGGAGACCTGGGTTCCAGTCCTGGTGCTATCACCATGAGCTGTGTGGTCTTGGTCACCTCTAAGATTCCGCTTTCTTGTCTATAAAGTGGTAAGGCTGCATAAGGTGGTTTCTGAGGCCCCTCCCTATACTAACAAGCTCATGTTTGTGGTGTCCTAGTTCTTCCATGACAAGACTTCCAGAGTCTCCTCCTGTCTATCTGCTTTGCAGAAGTGGCTCCTGGAACTGTTCATGTCCAGGCATTTACTCCAGGGGACTCCTGGTCATTTTCAGGCATAGACACTGCATCTCCACGTCTGTCCTGCTGCTGCCCTTTCTCTTTCATCTGGGGGTCCTCCTGGACTTCTGGGAATGCCATCCCTCCCTGCCCCCATCGTATTCCCCCAAGGCGTCTGTGTCCTCTCACTTTCTTGTCTTCTACCCAAATTCCTAGCTCCCTAAGCCAGGTAAAAAAGCAGTTTAGTTCGACCTACACTGGCACTTTCTCAAAACCTCCCCTGCCTCTGGCACATTCCTTGTGTCTCGGCAGGACCCAGAGAGCTGGAGAATTCCTCTCCCTCCTTAGCGTGGGTCCCCGTGTTGGCATGCCAACAGCCCCAATATTTAAAGCAATCATGAAAATGAGCTCAGAGTCCCATGCCAGAGCCTTGAAAGGAATTAGGCTAAAAACAGGACAAAGGAAGAGGTGAGGCCAAACAGAAAATGCCATGAAAGGCACTGCCCAGCATGGCTGGATCCCAGAGCCCTCCTCTCTGGCTTCACTCACCTATAGCCAGGCACTGTGCTAGGCACTGGGGATGCAAAGTTGAATGAATCATCCCTGCCCTTGAGGAGCTCCCAGGCCAGCTGAGAAAGCTATACAAATGGACAATCACAGTACAGTATGGTAAGCACAGACAAGATGCCACCGAAGGCACAAGGGAGCCATCAAAGCAGAGGGTCCTGGCTGTGCCTGGGGTCCATGACGCATCTCCTAGAGCCTTGATCTAGGCCTTAGGACAGGCATTCACACAGGGACAAGGCAGAAGAGGTGCTTCCAGAGAAATGCAGATGCAAAGGCACAGAAGCATGAAACAGGATGAAGGAGGGAGAGAAAGTGCACAAGTGTGACTGCTTGGTAAACTTGGTAATGATCCAGCCTCTCCATTGGGCATGTTTATGTACATGTAATGTATGGAGAATGAAATTAGACTCAGCCTTATAATTGAAGATTTTTTAAAAATGTTAAACTAGATGGACACATGGATGCTTGTGTGTGCAAGGAAATTACTGGGCAGAATGCCTTTATCAGAAGGTGCCTGGAGTGCATGCCGAGCACGGATGTGTATAGCGAGAGGGTGACATAGCTATGTGCCCACAGCACCTTTCCTGTGATCAGTCCCGGGAGACTCCCTGCTGGAGGGGAGATGAGGTTTCCCCAGTCATTTGAGTGAAGGAAGAGAATCAGCTTGGCAGGCTGGGAGAGCTGGCAGTGCCCCAGACACCTGGCACAATGCAGGGGAAGGTGTCAAGGTCAAAAACGATGCCTGAGTGAGTTGTGACTAAGCGAGCCCCAGGGCTTCCTGGTTACCAAGAGGAGATGGGAGTGGTGGGCAGGCCCAGGGCCTCTCCTGCCACAGTGCTTTCAAATCCTCACAGCAGGCACAGAGAGTAGCTTTGGCTTGAGTCTTGGGGAGCTGGGCAGCCGCACTCAAGCCTCTTTTGGAAAGAAAGAAGTAAAATGAAAGTGACACAAGCAAAATGATCATCAGGTGCTATTAAAAGAAATTCGTTATGACTAAGACATCTGCAAATAATAATGGTGCTCATTTTCATCATCATCACCATCATTATCATCACCATTTTTATTTACTTAAGTGGTTCTAACATTTACTAAGCACTTATGAGCCAGGCTATATTAAACTTCACATGCACTTAACCTTCATAACAATCGGAAGAGATCAGTATTCTTGCTCACATGTTACTGAAGAGGAAATATCCCCTAGGAAGGCTATATTAAGGTTCAGGGTGCCCTAAAACCAGGCAGTGTGTATTTAAAAAGCAGAAAATGTTATGGGCTGAACTGTGTTTTCCCCCAAAAATTCTTATGTTGAAGTTCTAACCTCCAACACTTCAGAATGTGAATGTATTTAGAGATAGGGTCTTTAAAGAGGTGATTAAGTTAAAATGACATCATCAGGGTGGCTTTTAACCCACTATGACTGGTGTCCTTGAAAGAAGAGGGAATTTGGACACAGACATGTATAGAGGAAAAGACCATGTGAAGACACAGGGAGAAGACAGCCATCTATAAGGCAGGGAGGGAGGCCTCAGAAGAAACCAACCCTGCTGACACCTTGATCTCGGACTTCCAGCCTCCAGAACTGTGAGAAAATAAATTTCTGTTGTTCAGCCCCCAGTCCATGGTGCTTTATTATGGCAGCCCTCCCAAATAAATCGAGAGAGCAATGACCCAGGAGTACCTTAGAGAAACTAGGAGAAACAAGGCTGCAGGGACCGCATGGCACCCATGCAGGGGAGCTGACTGCCTGCACGCCTTTGCCTTGCCCTCAGCTGTAGGACACCTGAGGACCCCTTAGCATCCTCAGCTCAGCTCTGAGAGTGATAAGCCCCAGAAGGTTTGGAGTTGTACAACAACAGTGCAATTGATGGTGTCTTCCTTGACAAGATCAGGACTTGAAAGCAATAGGATTAAAAACTGGGGTTTAAAGAGATTAAAACACAAAACCTAAAACAAAGCAAAGCCAGCATAATCTTTCTACTCTATAGACCTTTAACCACCAAACCACTATGAGAAGTAGGGTCAAGGGGGTAGGCCAATATTTCCACCTGGCTTCAGAAGCAAAACCAGTGCCCAATAGGAGTTCACTTTCTCACACGAAATGGGCCAGAGCCCGGAGGATGAACCTCTGGGAGAGGCGTCATTAGGATGGGTCAGTAACTAGGTCAGCAGTCACTGTGTCTGGGTTCTCTTGGATTCCTCGAAGCAAGTTAATTATTAAAGGGAACAGGTGAAAATATAGTCTTGAGGTTTGATTAAACTAAAATTGGTCTAGTCAGAGAGTGGGGTGGGGAAGAGGGTTTCAAGAATTCCAATCGGCCCCCAATGATACTGCAGAGACCCAAGTTGCCTTGGAATCTGCAATCAATGCGGAAATCACCAGAAGTATAGAGGAGTGACGGCTCCGGGCTCCAGTGCAGCAGGGCCTAGAGAACGAGAAAGGCATCCTGAAACTTTAAAAAAGTTGCATCTCTGTGTTGACAGCAGACTTTAAAACAGGTACAGGCCACTAGGGCAAATAGAAGCCTGACCAAAGATGGGGAAAATAAGGAGGACTTTCTGGAGGAGGTGCTCTGGAAACTGGGCTCTGGAGGAGGAAGGAGATAGAGCTCAAAGGACAGAGGAAGGTGCTTTGTCCCATGGAAAGTATGAAAGAGAAACTCCAGTGGCTGGGTGCGGTGGCTCATGCTTGTAATCCCAGCACTTTGGGGGGCAGAGGTGGGTGGATCACCTGAGGTCAGGAGTTCGAGACCAGCCTGGCCAACATGGTGAAAACCCATCTCTACTAAATACACAAAAATTAGCCAGGCGTGGTGGCACTCACCTGTAATCCCAGCTACTCAGGAGGCTAAGGCAGAAGAATCGCTTGAACCTGGGAGGCGGAGGTTGCAGTGAGCCAAGATAACACCACTGTGCTCCAGCCTGGGTGGCAGAGCAAGACTCAGTCTCAAAAAAAAAAAAGAAAGAAAAGAAAGAGAAACTCTAAAGGTTCAGTGGACAGCAGAAAGTTCTCCATGAAGAGTTTAAAGCTAGAAGGGGAGTCCTGGGTAGCACCTAAAAGGCATGTGTGTTTGTGTGTGGGGATGTATGTGTGGTGTGTGTGTGTGTGCATACATGCAGGTATGATGTATGTATGTGTGGTATGTGTGCATGCATGTGTGTGGTGTGTGATGCATGTAATTTTGTATGTGCATGCATGTATATGGTGTGTGGTGTGTGATGTATGGTATGCATGTGGTATATGCTTATGTGTATGCATGTGTGTGCGTGCAGTGTGTGCATGTACAGGTGTGGCATGTGCATATGTGCACACGTGTGGTGCATGTGTGTGGTATGTGTGCACATATGTGATGTGTGGTGTGTGCACTTATGTGCACGCATGTGTGTGGTGCATATGTGGTGTGTGTGTGTGTGTGTGTGTGCTCATGCACACACATCCTGGGACTTTAATGGTAAGGATCATCTGGCCGAATATCTCTGGTGAGGAGAAAGCAGGTGGCCCAGGCCAGAGCTAACAATAGCAGGATTTAGGGAGAACTGGGCAAGTTTGTCAGGGGCCTCCTGAAGCAAACGAGGAGCCACAGTAAAGGGTCTTGAAAGAGGCCTGCTGGATTTTCAATCAGACCTGCAGTGTCAAGTTTCAGCTCAAGTGATATCCAAATGTCTCATATTTCTATTTTATCATTTCCATATTTTCAGTGAGCAGAGCTTACCATCTGCACAATGTTGAGCCAAAGAAATAAAAACCAAGAGGAAATTGCACTACAGTGCGGCATAATCAGTCTGATCCGCCTGGGATGTTAGTGGAGACATGTGTGTCTTCACTCATCTGAGTATTAATGTCCTGACTGTTTCTAAGCAGGAAGTTTCCCATTTGGCCAGGCTGAAAGGCAGCTCCAAAATGGAGCAGCAGTTTTCTGTTCTCCACGAGCTCCCCTCCCCTGCTCCTGAATCACGTCACTCCCCAGTCGCTGCAAATGATTCTCATGTGTTGACAGGTTACACAGTTCAAGACAAGACATCAGCAGGAGTCTGGGTTGCAGCAAGAACCAGATAGCAGAGCAGGGAAGCCATGTGAGCTGGCTATTAGGTGACAGGGGCAGGCAGTGATCTGCCCGCTCTTTCCAGCCTCTCCCTCCTGGGCCCTGCTGATGTGTCTGGTTGTCCTCTGCAGCCTAGTCCATGGCACATCTCAGAAAAGGCATGTCAACTCTTCAATCCTTCATTTCTTCATACGAAAAGCAGGCTCATAACACCTACCTTGTAAGGCAGTAGGGAAGAGTGCTATGTTTCATAGAAAAAGATGCTAACAGAGCATCCAGCACACACTATTACTTAAAACATGCTTCAAACATAACAATAATAGTACACACTTATATCATGCTTACTACATGCCATGAGTGGTTTTAAGCACTTGATATTTTATTTATGTGTGTGTGTGTGCACACATGAACCAATTTAATCCTCACAACCCTGTAAGGCAGATTCTACTGTTATCCCTGTCTTACAGAAGAAGAAACTAAGGCACAGAGAGGTTCTGTAACTTAACCATGGTCACAGAGCTAGTAGAGCCAGGATTCAAACTCAGGCAGTCTGGCTCCAGGGACTAGGTGTAGATAAATAAATGAATTAATTAAAAGTTGATGTGTTGGTGGATGGATGGGCAAAGAACATGGATTCCCATGAACTCCAGTAAGGAGCAAGTTATCTAAGCAGCACATTGACAAGTTAAAGGCTCGAAATTCTAATCCCAGCCCCCATCAAGTCCAGGAACTGCAGTTGTTTAATGTTGCTACAAAGTGGCATCACCTACTCCAAGCTAGAGGTGAAGGCTGCTTCCCTTACTGAGACAGGCTTAGTATGCCATAATTTGGAAGGTTATCACTGGAAAGCACTCAGGTTATCACCTAACTCCTAATTTTATGTTTGCAGGAACTGAGGCAAGAGAGGGAAAGTGACCAGCCTAGGGTCACACAGTGCCTGTTCAGACGCGTGCCACTTCTATGCCCAGCACTGTTTTTATGACATAATTTGGCATCTCCTTCACACTAGGAAAGCAGAATCCGGAAGTTGGGGGAGGAGTTATGGACAGAAAAGCAAGATTGAAGAGTGGAATACACTGCCTGGCAAATTGTTTTAAAATGAGAAGGTCATACTTTGTTGCAAGGAAGTTCCTGTTTATGTAAGTCTGGTGAAGTCATCAGACCTTTTGCCTCTCCCCCGCCCCTCCCTGAGGCATCCGGAGGTCCACGGAGGGAAAGGACACTGGTACGGAATGCACCCTACACTCCCACGCTGCTTGCTGTTCCCCCAACACGCCTGAGAGCATTCCACATTCCCACTGCAGCATATTTGCTCACGCTGTTCTGGGACTGAATCCTCCCATCCCTACTCCCATCCATGCCTGGAGTAAACCTCCCCAGGCTTCAGGGACAGCTCGAAAGCCCCCTCTGTGACTCTTTCCCAGCCGTCAGAGCCAGGATGGACTTCCTGAGCTCCAGGGGCACTTGAAGCCAGTGGGGAAAGTTCTGGCTCCTGCATCAGCCAGGTCTGGATCTCTGTTCTGATTCTCTGTTCTCTGCTCACTTAAGTGTGACCTTTGGCAAGGACCTTCATGATCTCCCTGTCTCCATTCTCCCACTTATCAAATGGGAATAATAACAGTCCCCTCCTCATGAGGTTATATAATAAGATCAACATATATAAAGAAAGCATTTAGTACAGTGCCTGGTACTTAGTAAATGGGAGACATGATTGCCACTCTTGGAGGTCTTATTCCACATGCTTTTTTGATTTATGGTTGTTTGGATTTGTATCTTATGTCCCCTTCTAGAGAGATACCTATCTTTTGGCAGGAACTGTGTCAAGTTCAACTTTCCAATCCTGCTGCACTCTGAGCCTTGTGCAAAGTTGTGCTTTGTGAGCATGTGTTAAGTTGAAGTGAATTGGAACAAAAAAGATGAGTTAATTGTGGCAAAAAGCAGGGCGTTATAGTTTTTGTAAAAAGCCTATGATGACTGCCTTTATAAATAGACTTCAGAGGTTCTGGGTAGATGTGCAGAGTAGAATATTGCTTTCAGCTCTCATTACTAGTGTTCTTAAGGATGAGGTTGAGAGAAGCAATAATAATAACATCCTCCTATCAAGGACTTCAAATGGTCCATGTTAGGTTCTTTGTAACTTCACTTATTGCCCACTAACAACCTCTAAGGTAGACGTTATTATCCCTATATATGGATAGGAAATTGTCCCTATATATGGATAGATTCAGAGAGATTAAGTCACCCAACAAGGTTGGAGAGCAAGCATAGAGCTGAGGCCGGGTTTGAATCCAAGCCTGTCTGACTCCCAAGGCCATGCTGTACCCTGAACAGGTCTGCAGACCGCCTTCTGCCATCTGACCTAGGGCTTGTTTTGGTATGGCCATCAAGCCAAGGTGGGTTTTTACACTTCTAAATAGTTGAAAAAAATGAAAAGATTAATATTTTGTGACACATGAAAGTTATATGGAATTTAAATTTTAGTGTCCATAAATAAAGTTCTACTGGAACACAGCCACATCTGTTCATCTATACATTATATAATGTATAGTCCTGCCAACTATACATTGGCTGCTATAACAGAAGTGTTGAAATATTTGCAGGAGACACTGCATGCCCCTTAAAGCCTATATTCCCTATCTAATTTTTTCAGAAAAAGTTTGCTAGCCCCTGCTCTAGGTCATACTGACTCTTACAGACAAACTTAATGCAAAGAAAACTGCCCTTTCCATAAAAGTCATGCTACAAAAAGGGCACCCATCTCTGCAGCAATAAATCTTGGTCTCCAGATTCTGACTTGCCTTTATGCGTGCTGAGCCGCCTTGGTTCTTGCTTTCATCCAGCTCGCAATATGATGTGAAATGAGAGCAGCCACCAGACTCTGCCGGGCAGAGACAACAGGCCACAGCAAGCCTGGAAGCAAAGGGAAAGGAATTTAGAGCCAGAAGTCAGCTCAGCTTCATTAATGCCTTCACCCCCTTGATTCAGGGTTTCCTGCCGCATCTTGTTCAGCTGTGAACGTGCCCAGGCCCCAAGCAGGGGCAGGAGGCTGGAAATGATGAAAGCACAGGGGCTTCAGGCTCCCTGATTCTTTATCCAGTCTCCACCCTGACCACTGGGCAGAGGCCTGGCTCAGCATATCTCTCCCTGGGAAGCCTCAGGCAATCCCTCTCCCTGAAGAGTACTCAGTCTGAATGTAGAATGAGCGCTTGGCCCAGCTGTTCCATCGCCCATCTGCCTCACTCACCTGTTTTCCTTCTCCTTCACACTGCACAAACACCTTTTGCCCCTCCATTGTCTCCCTATGGGGTGAGCTTTGTGGCATTCCTTCATCCAGCAAGGGCTTTTGAACACCTGTTGTGTGTCCAGTTTTGTAGAGACACAAAGGAAGTAAAAGTAACCCAGGAGGTTTCTATTTGTTTCAGGATACCAGGTATACACATGGGAAGCCACAGAATGATCCTTGAAGAAATGCTGAGCACCAGTTATGTGCTTGGTATGCTCCAGGTGCCTTCATAACCATGCTTTTGCTTAAGCCATAAAACACACCTGTGGCCCAGGCATCCTTATGCCCATTTTACAGATAAGAAAACTGAGAATCTGAGAGATTGCCTGGAGATCAGATGGCTGTTAAGGGATGGAGCTAGGCTTTCAATTCAGGTCTCACTGGTCCAAAATGCATGCATCTTTGAAAAACTGGGCTGCTCCCTCTACCAGGATGTCATTGGGTGCCTCGGGGTTACAGGATGGGGATTTTAAGACAAATTTCTTAGGGAAAACAATCTTAAGTCCTTACACCGCAGCAGAAAGCACACTGGAACACCAATAAAGAGATTCTAGACACAGCCTGGCCGATCCTATAGTTAAAAAAAAAAAATTCTTCTAGACCCAACTCTTCCTTTAATGAGTTATATGAGTTATATGTCTCTGGGTATGATTTCTTCCCTTCCCTGGGTCTTAGTTTCCACATCTGTAAAACTAGATAGTCTGGACAAAGTGATCTCAAAGCATCGCCCACCTTCACTGCTTCTCTCTGTTCCTGCTGCTTCACAAATACAGTGCTTGGGCACAGGATTCAAAGTTCAGCTCTGGCCGTGAGTCACAAAACTCAATCCAGGTGCTTCCATCTGAATCTTGGAAAGACAAAAAAAAAAAAAAAAAAAAAAGCCCTAATAAAACTGATAGTCTGGCTATCTGGGTTCAAACCACAAAACTAAATTTTAAAAAAATAGAGGCAAAAGATATTATATAGCTGCTATATTCCTTTCTAAATTCCTTCCTGCTTGGTTTTCATGGAACTGTTTCCAAGAATAAATCAGGCTTCTGTTGCATTTGCATTGCTGGAGCCTCCTGAAGCAGGAGATAAGAGGCAGCAATGTCAAAAAGGAAACTGGGTGGTAGGGTGGGAGGTGGTGGCAGAAGGAGGCCTAAAGCTTGAAGGACAGGAAGGATTTAAACAAAGTGAGGACAAATCTTAAAAAACAAACAAACAAAAAGAGTAAAACCCCAAAGGCTTTTGGGGAAACTGTGAGGCGACCAGTTAGTTTTAATAGGAATTATCAGGGAATTAAGGAGAGACTAGAAATATAGGCAATCTTAAATGCTTTCAGCAAATTAAAAATGTGACTTAACATCCCAGTAGCTATAAGTACACTTAGCATCCAGATCTTGGTTTCTAGTAACACTGTCCAATATAAAAAGAACTAGCGTTCTTTGAAGAAATGTCTGATTCTAGTAGGACTGTAGCAAGAAATATACAAAATGAGTTTGGAATATCTTGAAATACCAGAAAATAAAGAAGTGATCAACAACGAATTTTTTAAAAAACCTACAATACAGCTGGGCACGGTGGCACATGCCTGTAATCCCAGCACTTTGGGAGGCCAAGGTGGGAAGACCACTTGAGCCCAGGAGTTCAAGATCTGCTGGGCAACATAGCAAGACCACACTAAATTATGTATAATTCTCCCCCTGCAATTTTCTTTTTTCTTTTTCTTTTCTTTGTTTTTGTTTTTGAGACAGGGTCTCACTCTGTTACCCAGGCTGGAGGGCAGTGACTCAATCTCAGCTCACTGCAACATCTGCCTCCTAAGCTCAAGCAATCTTCCCACCTCAGCCTCCCAAGTAGCTGGTACTATAGGGATGTGCCACCACGCCCGGCTAATTTTTTTGTATTTTGGGTAGAGACAAGGTTTTGTCATGTTGCCCAGGCTGGTCTCAAATTCCTGGTCTCAAGCGATCCATCTTCTTTGGCCTCCCAAAGTGCTGGGATTACAGGCATAAGCCACCATGCCCGGCCCCCAATTTTTTTTTAATTAGCCAGGTGCGGTGGTGCATGCCTGTAGTCCCAGCTACTCAGGAGGCTGAGGAAGGAGGGTTCACTTGAGCACAGGAGTTTGAGGTTGCAGTGAGCTATGATTGTGCCACTGCATTTCAGCCTGGGCAACAGATGTATGCTGTCTTAAAAAACAAAACAAAATGGGCCGGGCGCTGTGGCTCACGCCTATAATCCCAACACTTTGGGAGACCGAGGCGGGCGGATCATGATGTCAGGAGATCGAGACCATCCTGGCTAACACGGTGAAACCCCTTCTCTACTAAAAACACAAAAAATTAGCCAGGCGTGGTGGCAGGCGCCTGTAGTCCCAGCTATTCCGGAGGCTGAGGCAGGAGAATGGCATGAACCCAGGAGGCGGAGCTTGCAGTGAGCCAAGATCGAGCCACTGCACTCCAGCCTGGGCGACAGAGCGAGACTCTGCCTCAAAAAAAAAAAAATCGTACCATAATGGGGATATGTCAAAGGGATGCAGGAGCCAACTGAAAGAGCTACCAATGAACAAAGCTGGAAAAAATTAAGCAATAAAATGAAGTAGTGTTGATTTGTAACCCAAAAATAATGTAAAATAAATATCCATACTGATATAAGTAACTGAATAAATGGAAAGAGAAAAAAAAATCCTATAGGAGAATCCTAAATAATTGATGTAGATATTGTACCCTCCAGAAGAGGGAACATAACTCTCCATTCCTTACATGTGGGCTGGGCAGAGTGACTTCCTTCTAAAGAGTAGGAAAGTGGGGAAAGAGTACCTTAACAGTGGAGAAACCAGATAAACACTGCTGAACCAGGTGATCAAGGTCAACGTAAAAGTGATAAATCATGTTGGTAACATGTGCCTTTGATATGATGTCATTAGAATGGCACTTTACCTGAGGTCCTCTTCCCAAAAACCCAAAACCCCAGGCTAATCATGAAACAAAACATCAGACTAATTCCCATAAAGGGGCTTCCTACAAAATACCCAGCCAGTGCTACTCAAAACTGTCAAGATCATTAAAACCAAGAAAAGTCTGAGAAACTGTCACAGCCAAGAGGAATCTGAGGAGGCACCACAAGTCAATGTACTGTGGTACCCTGGATGAGATCCTCAAATAGAAATAGACATCAGGTAGAAACTATCGACTTTAGTACATAATAATGTATCAATATTGGTTCATTGATTATAACAAATAGAGCACACAAATGTAAAATGTTAATAATACAGAACATTATGTATATATGGAGGGCACATGGGAACTCTCTGTGCTATCTGCTCAAATTTTCCTTAAATCTAAAACTATTCTAAAAAATAAAGTCTACTAAATTTTAAAAAGTCTAAAAAATGTGACTTAGGAAACTACCATTAGCAGGCACTTGGTCAGAAACTAGGGTAAAACTCCTGCTCCAGAACCTTCCTCCCTGGGAAAGTGCAAGAGGCAGGCACTTTTCTCCTTACTGGGACAAGGCCAACATGTGGTGAGCCTCAGGGACCTGCTCACTTTTACCCAGTGAGCCTGTAAGCAGGATCAAGCCTTCCTTGTGCCCATCCAGACAGCTATGTGTGTTACCAAACTGAACTGGGTCTGTTTGACTGCATGCAATGAAAAGCCAAACATGGCTGGGCGTGGTAGCTCACGCCTGTAATCCCAGCACTTTGGCAGGCCAAGGTGAGAGAACTGACCAAGGTGGAGTTCAAGACCAGCCTGGGCAACATAGTGAGACTCTGTCTTCCCAAAAGAATTTTTTAAAATTAGCCAGGCCCAGTGGCATGCACCTGTAGTCCCAGCTACTTGGGAGGCTGAGGCAGGAGGATTGCTTGAGCCCCAGAGTTCAAGACTACAGTGAGCCGTGATCGTGCCACTGCCTAGGTTACAGAGCAAGACCCTGTATTTAAAAAAAAAAAAAAAAATCCAAACACCAAAGCACTGGGTTTTTGTAGAAAGAAAAGTTTATTGCAAGGCTGCAGAGAAAGACAGGAGCCTGGCTCAAATCTGTCTCCTGGAGCTGGGGGCTGGGGCAGGTTTTACAGGCAGAAGGTAATGAGGCATGATCTTGGATCTTGCAATGAGGTGATGCCAGGAAGTGTAATCTAACTGGATCTTGCCATGGGATGATCTTTCCAGGGCTCAATCTGATTGGATCATGCCATGTGGTGTCCACTGTTATTTCAGTCCCCGTTCCTTGGTCTGAGCACTTAGATTCCATCAGCGTTGCATTTGGTCCATTTGGGTTTGCTTAGGTTACCTGCAACATGGAGGTAACTGAAATGTAACCATTTTATAACACAAAGTTGAACCAGATTGGGCTGGTTTTGCAGTTATGCATGTAGAACCACCTAGCTGATGGCTCCCTTGGCTTATCTAACACAACATAGCCTCAGCTACACAACAGCAGATTGGGCGGGATGGCAGAAGGTAAGAGAGTGTGGGACCACAGTCAGACTGATTTCCACTGTTGGATTACATCAACAAGAAGCCTCAGTTTCAACCTGTCATTAACATCCCTTTAAACTTCCTGATTTCTCTTTTTAACAAGAAAGAACACATCTCAGACTCAGACCTTTCTATAGGCAACAACATTCAGCACAAATTTAATAGTATTTTTTGTTTTTATTCTGACAGTTACATTCTATATGTGAAAATATGCTAGCATTCAATTTACAATAGTAATAGAGTTATTTCCTTGGTAAATAAACTAGGTTAAGAATATAAAATAATCACTTTCACCTTTCAGTTTAGGGGAAAAAACTAAGTTTGAAAACAACTTGATGGTGAAGCTGTGGGTAAACATGCACTACTGTATACTGCTGAAGGGAATTAAAGTGGGTATCCCTTTCATTCAGTAATTCGGCAACACCTATCAAATTTGTAAATGCACTCACCTCTTGACCTAGTGATTACATGTTTCTATTTCTGGCAATTTTAGCCTTCAGATATGCTTACTGTACTAGTAAGCTCAGGCTGCCATAACAAAATACCAAAGACTGGGTGACTTAAACAACATAAATTTATTCCTTATAGTTCTGGATGCCAGGAAGTTCAAGATGAAGGTGCTGGCTGATTTGGTTCCTGGTAAAGGATGTCTTCCTGGCTTACAGACAGCCACTTTCTCACTGTGTCCTCACATGGCAGAGAAAGATCTCTGATGTCTCTTGCTTTTCTTATAAGGGTACCAGGCCTAATGGGTCAGGGCCTCACCATTATGCCCTCATTTAACCTTTATTACCTCCTCACGGGCCCTATCTCCCAATAGAGTCATACTGGGAGTTAAGGCTTCAGCGTATTTGATGGGGGAACACAAATACTCAATCTATAACACATGTATAAACAAAATGACATATGTTCAATCTTATAGACTGAAAAATTAAATCATAAAAGAAAACAGCAAGATTATTCACACTTTTATATATATATCATATATAAATCATATTTTATATATATATAATAGCACTATTTGTAATAGCAAAGATGTGCAGGTTAAAGCAACTCCATCTTACATGCTAATCCACCATGTTGACTTCTGATTAATCCCAGTTCCGGGAATACCTCTAAGATTTCTATTTTATCTACTGTTCCTTGTGTAAGAGCATGTACTTACCATAAATTCTGCACTTAGATCAAAACAACCTTGACCATAAATCCTGCCCTTAGGCAGATTCACATAGCATTCTTGCCTTTCCCTAAGGGGCCAACTTCAATTATCCTACACATTCCTTCTCTAGGGTATAGAAGCCCTGGGTCTGGGGGGTAATGGCCCAGGATCTACTATCTCCTGCTGAGATGATGGTTTCTGTTCATAAATCCCTATTAAATGTGAGACACTGGATTTATCAGCCTCTTTGGTCTGTCAGCTTCCTCAGCCTTTAGGAATACATTTACATAAGATCTGCCCACTGTGCAACAAAATAATAGGAACAAACCTAAATATTCATTAATAGAATGTCTGGTTTAAATAAATTCTGGTAGATGCATACAATGAAAACTGTGGCCGAGTACAGTGGCTACACCTGTAATACCAGCACTTTGGGAGGCTGAGGCAGGCGGATTGGTTTGCTTGAACCCAGGAGTTCAAGACCAGCCTGGGCAATGTGGTGAAACCCTGTCTCTAAAAAAAAGAGAAAAAATTAGCCAGGTGTGGTGGCGCATACCTATCCTATAGTCCCAGCTCCTCGGGGGCCGGGCTGAGGTGGGAGGATGGCTTGAGTGTAGGAGGTAGAGGCTGCAGTGCAGTGAGCTGTGATCACACCATGGCACTGTACCCTGGGTGACCAAGTGAGGAGGAAAGAAAGAGAGAAAAAGAGAGAGAGAGAGAGAGAGAGAGGAAAGGAAAGGAAAGGAGAGGAGAGGAAAGGAAAGGAAAGGAAAGGAAAGGAAAGGAAAGGAAAAGAAAAGAAAGGAAAGGAAAGGGGCAAGAGGAAAGAAAGAGAGAGAGGGAGGGAGCAAGGGATGGAGGGAGGGAGGGAGGACAAAACAAAGAAACAAAAGGAAAAAAATTCTATGTAGCTAGTAAAAACCAAGAATGAACATGCTCTGTATGGAATACTATGGAAATATCTCCAAGGTATATGGTTAAGTAAAACAAGTAGGTCCATATCTATTTAACCTGCAAAACTTTTGTGTAAAGAAAGGTGGGAGCTGGAGATAAGAATATTTGCATGGACCAGGAGTAGTGGCCCTTTGGGAGGCCAAGGCAGAAGGATTGCTTGAGTCTAGGAGTTTAAGATCAGCATGGTAACATAGTGAGACCACTTCTCTACAAAAAAATTTTAAAAGTAGCCAGGTATGGTGGTGCACACCTGTAGTCCCAGCTACTCTGGAGGCTGAGCGGGGAGCATCACTTGAGCCCAGGAACTGCAAGCTGTTGCCAACTGGACCTGTTTTCAATAAAACAGCACAGCAGCTTTCCTGCAGCCTCATTTTCATTTAAGATTAAGGTGGGGGAGGAGGAGCACATTGGAGTAGGGGTTTGGTGCTGAGAATATACATACACTTCCAGGACTGGAAGTGGCCACATGGCCAGTATGAAAAGCTTTACAGTCAGAGTCACTCCTCTTTCCCTTGAGGGACCCGAGAGAGGACTGTGAGGCAAAACAGGGTCTAATTCTGTCTGTTTTACAGGACATGGCAGCACATGGACTCTTGTGTGACTGGCCCTACCCCTACATCACAGAGAGCACACAGAAACAGAACAATCCAATCAGACATGCATTTGCCTGTCTATGGTATGTACAAGTGTCAATGCATTATTCATTGATTCCATCGGTTTATCAACTTAATTAATTCTTCCACTTGCTCAGTGCCTAGCCTGTGCCTTTCAGGCCCCGCCAGCACAGGCCCTGTGACCACCCAGAAAAGCACTGACCTCAGCTTAGTCCATGCAGTCAAATATAGTAACAAAAACAGCAGCTAACACTCATGGACTTCTTTCTTGTGTCACGTATTTTGCTAAGCACTCCACTCTTGTCTTATTTAATTTTCAGAGAAATTTCTTGAGATAGATAGTTATTATCTCCATTTTACAAACGGGGAAACTGAGGTTTGGAGAAGTTAAATGTCTTCCCAGAGTCACATAGCTAGGGAGAGCCAGAGTCAAGAAGACCGAGGTAGTCTGGCTCAAGCCCACCCTCTGAACTGGTCCCCTCTACTGCCTTATTAGCTTCTGACGGCTATGACAGCTTAGCTGGTGACCCTTGCTCATGTTCATGGCAGGATGATCCAGTGAAAATCCTCCATTGGACTCAGGGCTGTCACTCATAAAGACCTGTCCTCAGGGGCTGCACACCTCCATTCTGACTCTGCACAAGTCCCCCAGGAATCTTCCATGCTGTGCAGCTTGCACTAATTCACCCCTGCACAGCTTCTCCTTTGAGTATCATAGACACCCTCAGAGGTGGACAGGGTGGGCCTTTCTATAGCCACTCAACAAATGGGGGAACAAATGGGCCTAACAGGGGTAAAGAGACTTGTCAAGGTCACTGCACGTGTTTGGTGGAGCTGGGATGCTAGCCCAGCTTTCTAAAGCCAAAGCCATCTTCTATTGCTGGTACCACAACAAAGAACTAACACAGAAAGTACGTAACAAAGAAAAGGAAGGAGACTCTCTAGGGTCTTTGGTTTTTTTCCTCCTTTCACCAGAGGTCTGAAAATAGTTCTCTGGAATTCTCCCTGCTATGGTCAGAATGTTTGTGGCCCTGCAAAATTTCTGTGTTGAAATCCTAAACTGCAAGGTGATGGTATTTGGAGGTAGGGACTTCGGGAGGGGAATTAGGTCATGAGAATGGAGCCATCATTAATGGAGTTAGTGCCCTTATAAGAGGCCCTAGAGCCAGGCACAGTGGCTCATGCCTGTAATCCCAACACTTTGGGAGGCCGAGGTGGGCGGATCACGAGGTCAAGAGATCGAGACCATCCTGGCCAACATAGTGAAACCCCCGTCTCTACTAAAAATACAAAAATTAGCTGGGCGTGAGTGGCGCATGCCTGTAGTCCCGGCTACTCAGGAGGCTGAGGCAAGAGAATCGCTTGAATCCAAGAGATGAAGGTTGCAGTGAGCCAAGATCGTGCCATTGCACTCCAGCCTGGCAACAGAGTGAGACTCCATCTCAAAAAACCAAAAAAAAAAAAAAAGAGAAAAAGAGGCCCTAGAGAGCTAGCTGACCATTTCCATCATGTGAGAACATAGCTAGAAGGCACCATCTATGAGCCAGAAAACAGGCCCTCACTAGGCATCAAATCTGCCTTGTTCTTGAACTTCCCAGCCTCCAGAGCTGTAAGAAATACATTTCTGTTGTTTATGAGCACCTAGTTTATGATATTTTGTTATGGCAGCCTGAATGGACTAAGACACTCCCTAATGACAGACAACAGAGAGATTCCTTCCCAGCCAAGACTCTCCTCCTAATCATCTGTTCCTTAGGGTTATACAGCTCCCAAAATTGGCCTTGTGTTCAAAGCAAAAATATGCCCGTGTAACACATAAGCTCCCTAATTTTTTCACTTTGAGAGAGTTCACAGTCCCATTGGGACAGAAAGAACACCAAGCTAAAAGTTAGGCAAGGGGCCAGAGGTGAAGGACAGTTGAGAGGAGATGAAGAGGACTGCAAACCACAAGAAACTTCTTTTTGGTTTTCCTAAAGTTCATCTCATGGGCTATAGACAGCCTGCTGGGTTTAGGGAGTGAGAGGAGGCCTCCATCTTCTGACCCTTCGTTTGGTCTTTTCTGCATTCTCTCCCTCACACTCATCTGGACCACCACAGTGTTAAGGGATGCCAGAATCCAAGGGCGGGGGATGAAGTGATAGGTGTGGGATTCATGGAGCTTTTTCGTAGGAGTGAATTCTCTGCCAGAGGCAGTCTGGGTATAAATGAGGCCAATTGCTCATTCAGAGTTATTAGAGATGATGGAATAGTCCCAAAGACAGTTCTCAACAAAGCCCATCTCAGCATGGCTAGTCTATCAGTCACCTTACGTGACCTTGGGTAGGTTGCCTATCCTCTCCAAATCCAGTTTCCTCAACTGAAAAATGAAGCTAATAAGAACATCTATCCCCATGGTATTGGTAAATCAAATGAGACAGGCTGGGTGCTGTGCCTCACAACTATAGTCCCAGCATTTTGGGAGACCAAGGCAGAAGGATTCCTTGAGGCCAAGAGTTCAAGACCAGCCTGGGCAACATAGCAAGATCCCATCTCTACAAAAATTTAAAATACTAGCCAGGCATGATGTTATGCATCAGTAGTCCTAGCTACTCATGAGGCTGAGTAGAAGGATTGCTTAAGCTCAGGAGTTTGAGGATGCAGTGAGCTATGATTGTGCCACTGCCCTCCAGCCTGAGCAACAGAGGGAGACCCTCTTAAAAAAAAAAAAGATGGAGACCAATCTAAGTTATGTGTAAACTGTAAGCCAACAGAGAGATGTCATTAGTCCTTTATTTATTCATTAATCACCTTTACCTCTAATTGGCTGTTGTACACAAAGTGGGTACCAGATTCTGCCATAAAATTGTTTTATTGGAAGAGATAAAAGGCAACATAATTAAAAAAAAAAAAAAAGAAACATGTTAGCACAAGAAAGCAGTTTTGAAGAGATGGTCCTGAACTGAAGTCAACAGCAGCCTTGCAAAAGAAATGCCAAGTTCTCTAACCTTTACACCACACTTCAAAGGGCATTGGCCTCTGATTCACAGGTAACACAAATATTTTTTACTCCAATGTATTTCTTTGTTCAATAAGCTCAACCCATTTTTCCCTGGGCCCTCTCTACATGCATCAATATTATGGCTGTCTTTTGAGCAGTAACCTTCAAACTTCAAGTATGATCAAAGTATCACAGGCACTTGTTTGAAATGTCAATTTCTGGGTTCCACATCCAGAAAATCTAGGGTAGAACCCACAAGTCTGCATTATGAACAAGCTCCCTGGGAGATTCACCTTTTCTTTAAGACTTATTCTGGTCTTCAAGAAAGACCTATTCTTTGAGACCCTCTGCTTACTTAAGTCCCAAAAGGCATGGACTGTGTCATTTAACTGCCTAGCACATTGCCAATGCCCAACACTCAGAAAAGATGCTCGATAATAAATAAGAAATACTAGGAACCCTAAATACTTGCTTCTACAAAGATGTAAATGTTCGTCTCCAACATCATCATGATGATGACCAGTTGCATAATTCTCACACCTTCTTAAGAATGAAATTCCAGCAACCTCAGCTTTCCCCTGCCAAACTTTTCTGACATTCCCAGGCTAGATTAAGTGACTCTCCTTTGTGGTTCCACAGCCTTCAGCCCATACCAGCACTTACAATATATTCTATGTATTGACTTTACTATTAGTCTCCCCCCACTGGAGGGAAGTTTTCCTCCTTCCTTAAAGATAAGTGCCCCCTTCTCTTGTGTTTCTACCATCTAGACCAGTAATTAGCACCAAACCATCAGATGTTAATGGAATGAAATGCAAAAGGGAATGAAATAGGATGAGATAGGTTGGAAACACTTTAAGAGGTGAGAGGGGAGGTGAACCCTCTGTGATGTTCTGGTATAAGGACATCCTAGGGTGAGCCACATGACAGTGTGATTAATATTCAGTAAGTGGAAGTTTTTATTTTGTCCATGGTTTGGGGATTTTGAGAAATTTTTTCAAGGAGTGGGCATCAATAGATGTTCCTGTTAATGCTGCAGAAGGGTCTTCTAGTTTCGCATACCAATTTTGACATCTTGGGGCAGGTGTTTCAATTGGTTAATGCCAGGGGATAGCTCATACTAAGATCATCTTTGCTTAGATAGCAGATGGTCATAAATTATATTATTCTTCACCAATATCTGTTTACCTCCCTGTAAGAAGATTATGCTTACCCATACTGTTGAACTCCCATAAGCTATGTGGCTTGCTTTGTTCATGAAATGTAGGCAGAAGTGATCTGAGTCACTTCCAAAGGGCTGGCCGTGTACTTCATCTACCTTGGTCCTGAAACAAGGACAGTAATAGGACCTAGTAGAGCCTACAGCTGACCCACAGTGGACATGGAATGTAGGCAGGAAGTGGACATTTGGGAGTTATTACTGAAACATAACCTGGCCTTTCCTGGCTTATGTCCCCTTATTTCCAATCAGTGGAAATGTTCATATACAATTAGTTTGCCTTTGTGACTTTAAGAAACATTACCTCTTAGGGCCTTAGTTTCAATGTCTATGAAGTGAAGACGATAACATAGTGATAAAAAATATCAAACATAAATTGATTGCTTATCATGTGTCTGGCTAAGCATTTTAGAAAAATTATCTCATTTTATCCTTATAACAACCTATGAGGTTGGTATTATTATTATCCTCATTTTATAGACCAGGAAACAGAGGCCTCGAGAGGTTAGGAAACTTACCCAGTGGGTACTAAGAGTACTTAGATACTAAGAATAATTACTGATAGAATACAAATGGCCTGACACCAGAGCCCAGCCTCTTAATCTCCGTGTTGCACCAGGTCATCTCTAAGACCTCATCTGTCTGGGATACACCAAGAATCTGTGATATCACCATGTGGTAACGATTGCTCTAGTCTTCAATTTTTAAACCAAGACCTGTTTTCACCACTGCCCTATTCTTGAGGGGTGAAGACAACTCCTTCCTCAGCCTCTCAAGTAGCTGGGACTACAGGTATGAGCTACTGTGCCTGGCTAAGTTGGACTCTTGAGCTTCATTCCCAAGAGATAGATCATCAAGAGAGGGCCAAGGAGAATGAGAATGTCCCCTTGAAAATATTTTGGGCCTCTGTCTACCAAAAGAAGGGCAATAATATGGAAGGACGCATGAGGGTCTGTTGGCTGCATGGTCTTTGTTGCGTGGTCTACCTGGGCACAGGATATGGGAAGCCTGGGTGTGTTCCACCAATGCTGTTCTATAAAAGGCGTAGGACTTCCATTCCTGGGACCATTATTGTTCCTTGCTCCTGTCTTAGGGGGCTGACGGGCTCCTGTTGTGAGGCTTAGTAGGATAAAATGAACAAAATTCCCTGGGACCATGGCCTGCAAATCTGAGTATAGAGCCACATCATGAGCCCAGCTTTACCTACCTTCCAGCAATATCCAACTCTCCTCCTGTCCACACTACTAGTGTGTACAACCTGTGGATGAGCAAATACAGAAGGAGGGCAGCCGATGCCATCAGCCACTGAGGATGAAAACTCAGCAGCTCCAGCAAAAGGACAGTGTTGAACTGCTGTTGGGATGTATCTGAGAATTTCACTTACCTGCCTTTTCCTCGTCTTCCATTAGCAGAGTTCATGGAGATTTGGTTCCATTTTGGCATCTCTAGAAGAGTAGAGTTGAAGCACAAAAGACACAAGACTGGGGTTTTTTTTAGGGCCCTAGGCAATGACTTGAGTAAGCTCTTGTGTTTTACTACAGGAAAGTGCTCCATCAAGAGCCAATGGTCAACAACATCAGCAGGTCAGAGAGGGTCCTCCTCTGACCACCTCCCCCAGTGCCATCCCTTCAGATGCTCCTGGCTATACCTTCCTTTAGGGCCACTAAATTCTTACTCCAACCCCACAATTTCCTGCAGTACTCCCCACTCCCTGCAGCTGATTTTGGCCCTGACTCATTGGTGCTGACTCAACAAAGAAAAGCAGACCCCTTAGGCAGCTGGACAGTGGACCAGGGCCAGAGCCTGCAGGAGTGGGCGAGAGGGCAGGCAAGGCGAGAATCCATCAATCAGCCTGTCACCAAGTCTTTGCTGAGCCCCCCCTGAAGACTTGGACCCATGCCGAGCTACGCAGTGGGGGTCCCAGAAAAAGGAGAGAAGACAGGAGTCTTTATTTTGTGGCAACTATGGATGTGGAATTGGAGCTCCTTCAATTTGAGGGTCTCTAAGCACATACAGCCTGGCCCAACCCACCATCACTCACCAGAGGGAGGCTGAGTGCTGCCAGGAAAGGCCAGCCACAGTGGAGCTTAGGGAAGGTTGGGAGGTGGCAGCCAGGAAGGGTTTTGAAGCTGTATTTGCAAAGCTTTTGACATAAAATTCAGATAATGTCAGTTTTTTATAAGAGACCAGGTAGGGGTGGTGGTAAATGGAAATTATGGGGGTATTTTAAAGCCCCCATATCCACATCCTGGATACTGCCATTGCCACCAGCCTCCACATTTCTTTTCCCACAAGCCTGCTGGGTGTGGGGTACCTCCCTTGAGTTAATACATTGTGTTTCTGAAATGTCCCTGCTAAAATGAACCTACTATGTTACTCTGAGAGTGTCTTTCTAACCCCCTTTGCATTTGCAGAGGGGGGAAAACGACCATAGATGTGAGGGCACAGAACAGTGACTTTGGCATGAGGATTCACTTAGAATCCCAGAGCCCTAAGAATTGGAATCCTGACTCAATTATGTACCAGTTGTGTAACTCAACTTGGGGCAGTTCTCTGAGCCTTACTTTCTTCATATTGTGAAGAGGAAGGAATAGAGCAGCACGCTCACAGAGAATTGTGAGGACAGGCATAATTGCTAGCACATCATGGCCACTTCTGTTAGGAAATAATATACAACCATTATTGTAAAGAAGTAAAGATAGAGTGGGGAGAAATAAGCTCATGGTCTGAGAGCACCAGGGAAAATGTCACTCCCTCCGTCTTCTTACCTTGATGGTCAAAACTCATCAAGGGCTCCCTCTGCTGTCCATTCTCTGCACTCATTTTCCTATATAGAAAGTGACACACTCATACTCCTGTTTGGGGCACAGAATGTGCACATGTCCTAATTTAATCAGTGGAATCCTGTTTGTTCTTTATTAACATCATCTTTCAAAAACATTCTTTCCAGGCTGGGCAAAGTGGCTCATGCCCATAATCCCAACACTTTCAGGGACCAAGGTGGAGGATCACCTGAGATCAGGAATTCGAGACCAGACTGGGAAAGAGTAAGACCTTGTCTCTACTAAAAAATAAAAAATTATAAAACAGCCGAGTGTGGTGGTATATGCCTATTGTCTCAGCTACTCAGGAGGGCTGAGGCAGGAGGATCGTTTGAGCCCAGGAAGTTGAGGCTGTGGTGAGCCATGATCACACCGCTTCACTCCAGCCTGGGAAACAGAGCAAGGCTCTGTCTCAAAAAATAAATAAATAAATAAATAAATAAATAAATAAATAAATAAATAAATAAAGTAAAAGACAAAAGAGAAAACATTCTTTCCTTTCCATTCTGTTGTTCTTCCCTTAATTTTATCCCTTTGTCTCATGCCTGGGTTGGCCCTCCCAATCACCAAAATCTGTCGCAATATGCCACTCTGCATCTGTTTCTTATACTCTCTGAGGTTTTTTGTTTGTTTTTGAGACAGAGTCTTGCTCTGTTGTCCAGGCTGGAGTGCAATGGCGTGGTATCGGCTCACTGCAAACTCTGCCTCCCGGGTTCAAGCGATTCTCCTGCCTCAGCTTCCTGAGTAGCTGGGATTACAGGCACGCACCACCACGCCCAGCTAATTTTTGTATTTTTAGTAGAGACGGGGTTTCACCATGTTGATCAGGCTGGTCTCGAACTCCTGACCTTGTGATCCCCCTGCCTCAGCCTCCCAAATTGCTGGGATTACAGGCGTGAGCCACCACACCTGTCCTCTCTGAGGTTTAAGCGAGTAAATGGCAGAGCTGAAGTTGGATAACATAACTTCTAGGTCCAAAGCTCATCCTTTCCCCACATTATTATCCCTCTCTGAAGTGTATAATCTAGACATGACATTTAACTTATCTAAGCTTCTTTTCCTCATCTGTAAAATGGGGGAAACAATAATATTAATCCATGAGTTTGAGGAAAAGAGAAGGGGAGACAGTGCAGGGGGAGACACACTTGCCAACAGAAAGAGTACGATAAATACTAGCTACAGTATTCAGGCATGGTTTGTTCAAGTAACTCAAAGAAGTTCAGTACTGCTGGTGCTTAGAGTGGAAACAGGACCTGACAATAGATGCAGCTGGCAAGGCAAGCAGGGGTCAAGTCATTAAGAGCTTTGTAAAATACGGTCCCACAATACCCAGGGCAGAGCTGTCATGAGGATTAAATGAGTTTATATAGTTCAAGTCCTTGGAATGCAGCCTGGCTCACAGCAAGGTGCATGTGTTAGGTATTCCTGATAAAGCCCTCCCAATGCTAATCATGACTTAGAGACCAAAGAAGAGAAGCATATAAGCAGAACAGCCTTGAGTTGAAAGAATAGTTATTTTGGGGAGAAGTGTGCAAAAGACTTTCAGAAGAACATCAGGAAAGAGAAGAGCCAATCACCCCTATAATATTGGTCTTCACCCTTAACAAATTACATCATTTCATGTGTGAAGGTGTGAAGGTGAGGCATGCACCTTAAGAGTGCCCACTTGACAGAAAGGAATGCCTCTCCTCCTGGCTCCCCTCCAAGTTTCCAAGTTATGCTTCCACTGAGCATCCCATTGGCTCTGCCCTGTGGCAGTGCTGTCAGGGTGTCTCCCTCCATCAGTGTAACCTTTTGACCCACTTGCCAGGGTCTGGGCTCTCACTTAGCTTCCCTCGTCAGTTCATGTCTTCATTGGTCTACTCAACTACAAAGTCCAGTGTTTACGATGGTGTATTTAATACTGTCCTCCTATGCCAGTTTTCCTTTTTAAAGGAAAAAAATTCTTGAAGACCCTGAAAATGAGGCCAGAGACCTAAACACTGTAATTTAAGAAACACCTGATAAAGTCTTAGTCAATGAAATATACTTTAATGATATATTATCACTGAAGTTTTGCTTTTGTATCTGATAATTTTTAATATAATCAACAAAATAAAAACACTAAATTCAACTTTTCTAATGAGCAGATCATAGAAAATATACCCAAGTTCATCTTCATTATGTATTTGTGGGTGGTTTGTCCCAGAAGACCTATACTTATTAACTCCTTTTGGTCTTTTTTTAAAAGCTTGGTCATATTATGTTAATTTAAAAAGAACTTGGTATTTACTAAACTGTAATTTTACACAGGCTCGTATCCATTTTATATATGCCCTCAAGATGGATCTTCCAAACCTTACATTTAATTCTTGCCAGGCTATTTTCCTTCCTCTGGCTATGTTCTATCACCCCCTAGTGTTATATATGATGCTTACAGCCAATACATGTTGACAAATTTCTCCACTTTGTTGAAGGAATGAGTATCTGCAGATAAGTACTTTCTTGGTTTACAGATTAGGTTCCCCAAAAATGTATGAAAATGAACTAAGTTCCAAGGCTAAAGTGCACTATGTAAATCTTCAAAAACTAGAGGACCTATTGACTATACTGTGACACCTACGTCAGTACACAAAACAAATAGTGAATATGGTGATATACATGCAACAGTAACGATTGTATTTCCCTCTTGACATTGTTATGAATAGCCAGGCACGGTAGCTCATGTCTGTAATCCCAGCACTTTGGAAGGCTGAGGCAGGAGGATCGCTTAAGCTCAGGAGTTTGAGACCAGCTTGGGAATCATAGTGAGACTTTGTCTCTACTAAAAATAAAAAAATTAGCCAGGTATGTTGGTGCATGCCTGTAGTCCCAGTTACTCAGAAAGCCAAGGCAGGAGGATCACTTGAGACCAGGAGTTTGAGACTGCAATAAGCCGTGATCATGCCACTGCACTCCAGCCTGGGCAACAGAGCAAAGCCCTGTTTCAAAAACAGAAGAGACATTTTAAGGAATACATCAATGTTTAATGCCAGCTCAGGAAACAAAATGGAACAGGCAGGCTTCAGGAACAGAAAACAAATCACAAAGGTGTTGGTTCTTGTACAGTGTGAAAAGTCTATTTTTTTAAAAAAAGATGAGCATTGGACAGGCGTGGTGGCTCATGCCTGTAATACCAGCACTTTGGGAGGCCAAGGCAGATGGATCACTTGAGGTCAGGAGTTCAAGACCAGCCTGACCAACATGATGAAACCTCATCTCTACTAAAAATACAACAACAAAAAAAAATTAGCTGGGTATAGTGGTGCACGCCTGTAATCTCCTGTAACTGAGAGGCTGAGACAGGAGAATCACTTGAACCCGGGAGGCAAACATTATAGTGAGCCGAGATCATGCCACTGCACTCCAGCCTGGGCGACAGAGCAAGACTCCATCTCAAAAAAAAAAAAAAAAGATGGTTAGCATCTATTACTGCTACCTCTTGAGTGCTGAAACATTTCTTAACATTTTAAGTTTTGCTTGATAGAGATTTCTATTATTTAGAAATTAACAAATTCACGTTTTCCAGCTTATGATGATTCCAACTTGCTGGGTCGTCTTGTTCATTGCCATTGCTTTTTTTTTTTTTTTTTTTTTTTTTTTTTTTTTTTTCAGATAGGATCTGGCTCTGTCGCCCAGGCTGGAGTGCAGTGGTGCAATCTCGGCTCAGCTCACTCCAACCTTTGCCTCATGGGCTCAAGCCATTCTCCCACCTCAGCCTCCCAAGTAGCTGGGACCACAGGCGCATGCCAGCACACCTGGTTAATTTTTCTATTTTTTGTACAGACAGGGTTTCGCCATGTTGCCCAAGCTGGTTTTGAACTCCTGGGCTCAAGCAATCTGCCCACCTCCGCCTCTCAAAGTGCTGGGATTACAGGTGTGAGCCACCATAGCCAGCCCCTTGATTTTCTCTAGTCAGTGTTTCTCTAAGTTCTTCAATTAATTGTTCAATTTGCACCTCAAGAATATTTTCAGAGCCATTGCCACCTACTTATCTAGTGTTTCATATCAATGCCCCAGAATTGCTGAAAAATCATGCACGTTTTCCATATGTTTAACAATATATATGTCCTTCTTTGTCTCTAGTAATGCTTTTTTGCCTTTAAGTCCACATTGTCAGATATTAACACAGCTTTCATTTCATGGATCATTATTTCTTAAATGCCTGTTATATCTTTTTCCATCCTTTTACTTTCACTCTTTCGGTATCTTTATAACTTTGGTGAGTCTGTTTCCTTATATTTTATTTTTATATCTGATTCCTTGTGCTTTAGGTTTTTCTTTAATCCTTATACTTTGGGTATGTAATCCAATTTGACTATATCTTTAATTGACACACTTAGTCTATTTGTATGCAAAGTTATTACTGGCACATTTATATATATAATATGTATATTATATACGTGTGTATATATACATGTGTACACAGGCATATGTTACATACAATATGTAATATTGTAATACACATGTAATATGTACTATATTATATATATTACAAATGTATAAATTTAGATATAAATATATATAAATGTGCCTATATATATATGTGTGTGTGTGTATGTATATACATGTGTGCACAGGTACGTTTAAATCTACCTTACTAGGTACTACTTGTCTTACAAATTCTTTTTCTCTCTCCTCTGTTTTTCAATTCTATTTCCATTGTATTGTTATATATTACTTTCTATTCTTTTCATGATTATCAGAGATTGCAACATATACTAACTTTGTAGTTTGACTTCTTCCAGAACAATGCAAGAACCTTCGAATATTTTAACACTATTTACCCTTTCCCAATTTATATGCTGCTGTAATACATTTTCGTTTCACTCCCCAAAGTTGTTGCTGCTACTATTCATGTGGTCTAAATTCACTTGTATTTACTGACATAGTTCCCGTTTGTTGACTGCCACTCCTTCCTTCAAGTCTCATCCATGGATTATTTGCCTTCTGTGTGATGTGTGGGTGTGCTAGTGATCAATTCCGTCAGTATTTTATTGGTGGTGGTGGCAGAGGTAACTGTCTTTGTTTCACCTTCATATTCTGATGTTATAATTGCTGAGTACAGAACTTGAAGCACTTTCAAAGTATAACTCTATTTTCTTCTAGATTCTATGGTTGTTAAGAAGTTAACTGTTAGTGTTACACCTTTTTTGCTACTAGCTGCTTTTATTATGCTCTTTTTCTCTGGGATTCAGTAATACTATGACATTCTTAGGTGTAACTTTTAAATTTTTATTTTGTGTAAGTTTACAGGGATACTTTAAACTGTGGCTTGGTATCTTTCATTGGTTTTGGGGGAAAAAAAGCCATTATCATCTCTCCTTTCTCCTGTGGGACTCCAATTATATACTATAACTGAGGCCAGGCATGGTGGCTCACACCTGTAATCCCGGCACTTTGGGAGGCTGAGGAGGATCGCTTTAGGCCAGGAATTTGAAACCAGCCTGGGCAATATAGCAAGAAACCAGCCCGGGCAACATGGCAAGATCCAATCTCTACTACTATTACTACTAATAATAATAACAATAAGCCGGGCATAACACACAGTAGCTTCTGGCCTAGCTACTCGGGGGGCTGAGGCCAGAAGACCACTTGAGCCCAGGAGTCCCAGGCTGCATTGAGCTATGATTGTGTCACTGTACTCTTGCCTGGGCAACAGAGGAGACTGTCTCTAAAAAGAAAAGAACTCTTAACTAGCTCCTATGTCTTGTACACGTATTTGTTCTTTTCCTTTTTTGGTGCTTCTTTCTGGATATTTTCTTTTGATATGGCAAGGTATCTGAAGCACAGAGCTGAAATTATTGGATGGTAAAGGTGATAATCTGGAGAGACCACCTTTTCTGCCTGCTGGTTCAGCAGTAGAATGAGCTCAAAGTGATCAGAGAACTGACTCAAGATTTCAATTTAAATGGAACCAAGGTTGAATTCCCTGAGAGAAACATTACTTCCTTAGGAACTAGGACCTCCAAAGTCACCAAACTCAAAAGCAGGTCAAAAGCGGGGGAAATAAAAATGCTTTCAGTGGGTTAACTGGCAGAATTTTCAATGTAGTAAGTTCCACCTCCATCACTTGATTTCTTGACCTATCCATTCTGGCTATGGAAGAGGTAGCACTATATACTGATAGATTTAAGGTATAAACTACATCTTGTAGGACAGTACCTTAAACTCTATATGGTATGGGATATCACACTGATGGATAAGGCATTCTGCAAGCCCATGAATGGTAATGCTGGCAGATACACTGTAGGCAAGAGACAACTCCATACCCATAATACATGTCTATCCCTGGGATGACAAACTGCTGCCCTTTGCATGATGGGAGACATCTAATGTACACTTAGGGAATAGTGTCACATTAGCTGCTCAGCATAGGCCTCTTTTGTTGCAGTTCTATCCACATATCTATGCTTGAAACATCCTTGTGTTCAACCTTGAAGAAGTATCCAGCCTTCCATTCTTGTTCCTTCCAAATCTCTGGCCAGCTTGTACGAACCCATTAGCCATTTCAAGGTAATGTGAGTATCTGGAGACACCACCCTTTTCTGCCTGCTCATCAATCAATATAAGTCTCTACTTCAGACCATCTCTTCTTGCATGCAAAGGGGATACTATCTTAAGTTCTGCCCACTGGGAGGACTTCCCTTTACCACTGTCCTCCCTCTACCTCTGTCCGCTTTCAGCTGATGCCAGTACAGGATGTAGTTCTATCCATGATGCACTTTTCCCTCTTCCATTAGCTGACATAACAAACTCCCCAAGAAGACAACTGATTCCAGGAGAAACAGTGAGGCAGTAGGAGAATACACCTAAATATATTCCATGGGAATCTAAGAGTCCATGGGAATCTAAGCTTCATGCTTAAAACAGCATACTTGTATTTTCTGGATATTCTCTGGTACAATTTTGTATAAACCATTTCCATTTTGGAATGGAATGCTGTTGCACACATCTAATTTTATAATTTTATAGATCAGATAACATCAAGTTTATAATAAACAGATTCAGTTGCAAAGAAACGTGATGTTCCATGCTCAGGTATTCTACCAGGGTCTAGTAGCAAACCAGACCTAATTTTTAAATAGATAACAGATGTCAGCAGAAGAGGTCATTAATTTCAAATCCCTAGTGCACTACAATTTTTCTTTTGCAGCATCATAGGACATCTCTATCTGCCACTAACACCTCGAATCTACTTAGATTTGCTAGGTCATACAGACCAAGTGCCAGAACAACTTGGGACTACAACTTGGATCTGCTGCCAAGTCTGTTTTTTCTCCAGGCTCTACTGAAAACTCTGACAGACTCCACTCAAGTCTTACAGGTTACTCAGTAAATGGGACAGAGAAGCACACTCAATGTGACTTACTTTGCAACCATCCCCCTCAATCCAAACGGACCCAGTAAAGATTATGTCTCTTAGTTGGGAATAGTCTACAGTGCAGCAACTTGTCTATCACTTCAGGTAGGAAATCCCCAAGATAACCTAAACACCATATTCATATCGTACTGGGTATATCATTCTCAACACTTCCTGATCTCTTTAGGTCCACTTGTTACGTCATCAGTGTAATGGATCAGTATCTTCCCTAAGACACCAAAATGATCAAGATCTTTCTGGATTATATTATAATAGTATATGATGCCGGGCACAGTGGCTCATGCCTGTAATCCCAGCACTTTGGGAGGCTGAGGCAGGCAGATCACCTGAGGTCAGGAGTTTGAGACCAGCCTGGTCCACATGGTGAAACCCTGTCTCTACTAAAAATACAAAAAAATTAGTCGGGCATGGTGGTGCATGCCTGTAATCCCAGCTACTCAGGAAGCCGAGGCAATAGAATTGCTTGAACCCAGGAGGCAGAGGTTGCAGAGCCGAGATCGCACCATTGCACTCCAGCCTGGGCACAGAGTGAAACTCTGTCTCAAAAACACAAAAAGGAATTAATACTGGGAATTTTAAAAAAAAACATTTGTTTACCAATTCATTTAAAAATAACAGTAACACCATTACGTTAACATCAATAACATATGAGTTGTATATGAGTATATGAGTTGATAGCCCTGAAGTAAAACAGTGAAAGTATACTGCTGTCCCTGCAAGTGAAGATAAACTAGTTTTGACTACTTTGCAGATAGGGATGAAAGGAAAAAATACATTTGTTAGGTTAATAGGAGCAGTATGTCATGGCCAGAAGATATGTTGATTTCCTCCAATATAGATTTATACCCAGAATCATAGCTGAGGTTAGTTATGATCATAAGATCATTATTCATGAAAATTTCAGATGTTTGGATAAGCCATTTATCTGTGATTCACCCAGGGATTCCTTTTGTTTTACTGTGTGTAGGAGAGGCAACCCTAGAGGTTTGCACTTGATTTTCCAACCCTAACAGCCCTCCCTCCATGGGCCATGGGTCAAATAAAGGAGTTTCACCATTCTGGAAATAGGGTAAAAAACAAAGGATGGAGCCACCATTCCACATTATCCACTGTGAGATATTCAATCCAAGACATCATCTGCCATCTGACCTCCAAAAGCTCCTACTCTGACCACAGTGAGTGGTCTCAGGTCCCCATGGGGAAGAGTTGGGGGGACTTTGCCCCCCAACTTGTATACTTGTGGCTCTGTTGTAGTGTTCTTCCATCAGTTGAGGGACAAAATCCAAGGGGCATTACCTTATAATTAGATGGTTTATAAAAGAGTAAGTAGTACAAATACAACCTAAATGGTAATTCAAGCTTGATGTGAAGAACATTTGCCCTCCTAAAATTATGGATAATCTCTAATTTCCTATTAGAGATTTATCTCTCCTATGTTATCTGTAGTCTTGGTGGGACCGCCAACTAAGGTGCCAAGGGCCAGAAGTATGGCCCCCAACTAGGCCACTGGACTCTTCTGTTCAGGTTTTTGACTTCTGAATAGTGTCAAGACATAAAACAGACCAGAAGCTCAGCTCCCTACTGGGGATTCTTCTTTCACTCCTCCCTTTGATATCTGTGAGAACGTCCTATTTTATTCCCCTTATAAACCTGATTCTTTAGGTTTTTTTCAATCCTGTGAAGCACTCTATTACCCTCCAATAAATACTTTTTCTGCTTTAGTTACCTGCAGTCAGTCTTTATTGCATGCAACCAAACACTCTGGCTGGGAATTGGGGCAGTGTTGTGATCCTGGCAGCAGGAGTCATGAGCTTTTCCCAAAGCTTAATGCTCTGCCTTAGTTTAACTCAGCTGCTGTGTCATTTGATCCAAATTCTCTAAAGATAATTGATTGGTTCCATTTACTCTATCAGTTGTCCATCCCGGGTCCAATCAACTGAGCATATTGAGAGTGTTCAGTTATGAGAAACAAGAGTACCAAAGGCTGTAGATGACAGTAGTTTTTATTTTTTTTTAAGACAGAGTCTCACTCCGTCGCCCAGGCTGCAGTGCAATGAAGCGATCTCAGCTCACTGAAACCTCCACCTCCTGCCTCAGCCTCCTGAGCAGCTGGGATTACAGGCACGTGCCACCACGCCCGGGTAAATATTGTAATTTTTTAGTAGAGACAGGATTTCACCATGTTGGTCAGGCTGGTCACAAACTCCTGACCTCAGGTGATCCACCCGCCTTGGCCTCCCAAAGTGCTGGGATTACAGGTGTGAGCCACCACGCCCAGACATGATTATGATGGAATCTCTAATGCATTCTACATGCCCCTCTTTCCTTACATGCAATTCCAAAGATGCCCCTAAGTATCACATGTGGAACCAAAAAAGCATTCATCCCTTCACTAATCAACCCAAATTCCCAATTAGCTACCATACCAAGATGCGATACCTTTGTAAGCTGCTTCTCAATCAGAGACTGGTAATGACTATCCTCACAATTCTGCAAAATATGGAGAGTTGATTGGCCCAAGGATACGCAAAACTTCATGTATCAAAAGGAGTAGGTAATCTGATCATCAGAAAAGTATCAAGACTAGCTAACAGAAATAGGATGTATGATGTTACTAAACGGAGAACATGAACAAGTCACTAAACATTTACCAGGTAACAGGCAAAATGAGGAGAGACAGTAGTTTACATTCTTGTGACCATAAAATTGAAATGAGCCAAGACAAAAGTTGGAATATGACACAGATGGCTCAACATACCCCTTTCAGTAGTACCAGCAATTGTGCTTCCTCTGAATGCCTAAGACATTATAATAAAAGTTTTACAAATACTTAAAAATAAGTAGGCTGGGGGCAGTGGCTCATGCCTGTAATCTCAGTACTTTAGGAGGCCAAGGTAGGTGTATCACTTGAGCCCAGGAGTTCAAGATCAGCCTGGGCAACCTGGCAAGACCCCATCCCTACAAAAAATACAAAAAAATTAGCTGGGCATGGTGGCACCTGCCTATAGTCTCAGTTACTCAGGAGGCTGAGGTGGGAGGATCGCTCGAGCCTAGGAGGCAGAGGTTGCTGTGAGCCCAGATCATGCCGCTGCACTCCAACCTGGGTGAGTGAGAGCCCATCTAAATTAATCACCAAAAAAGTAAATTGTAATAGGATATGGGGACCACAAAATGGTCAGACCTTTTCAGGACATTTAAAATCTCCTTTCTAGTACTGTCATTTATTAAATCATAAAATAACAGAGGACCCATTTTATCCCAGACTCTATTATGGGGAGTAGATTGCAAAAATGGCCATAATTCTGTATCTACATGCTTTGTAATTTGTAGCTTGTTGCATCAAGAAATAGAGTATATCTTCTTACTCCTTAAATCTGGATTCGCCTTGAGACTGACTTCTTTGTACTATACTGCACAAGTAATGATGTGTGAGCTTCAATTACCCTGCCACTGCCCTGTGAGCCAACCCAGGATAGCTGCTGACAGACACATGACCCAGGCACACTTACTGCTCCAAATGCCACCCATCAGCCAAATATGAGTGAGGCCATGCTAGACCAATCAGTTCCCCACTGACCTAACAGCTGACCACAGATGCAAGAGCAAGCCAAGCCCAGAATGACCCAGATTATCAGAATGACTTTTGAGTAATATTAATGCTTATTATTTTCAGTTCTTGAGTTCTGAGGTGGTTTGGATTTAGCAGTAGCTAATACAAGAGGACATAAAGAACTAAACCTAGTCCCTACCCACAAGGACTGCACAATGACAACCTATTGAAGTTTAAAATCTTCAACAGATCAACCTCTGATCTTAATAGAATGTAGAGTCCTAACAGAGGGCAGGCTTGACATTTTTCACATGTCTCTCTGGTGCCATCCTCCTCTCTTCTCTATCTTGATCTCTGCTCCAGGAGGCTGACCTCTATGTACTATGTGAATGGGTTCTTTTGCCTACTGGTTGGGCTTGGTCACTGGAGAACAGTAGCAGATAAGGAGAATGAGGCTGGGATATTCATCCCCTTGGGTCACTCTCTGCATGGCCGTATTTCATTGGTTGAATCACTCTAAGGTCACCCTTTCCACCGGACTTTCCTTAACAATTTCCAGTAACTACTCACTCTCCTCCCTTTCAGGCCACTCTACTATCTCCTATGGTTTTTCCAACATCCTGCACACACTTTTGTAAATGTCTTTATAAATACCTTGTATTTTTGTAATTTGAATGTGTCATCTGTTCCCTGCTACGACACTGACTGATATATTACCCAACCAGGAAAATAGCTGGGGAGTCTGGGAGTTCGGGTATGCCAAAAATAATATCATAAAAAGAAACTTTAGTTGTTGATATGGTTTGGATCTGTGTCCCCACTCAAATCTGATGTTCAATTGAAATCTCCAATGTTGGAGGTTGGGCCTGGTGGAAGGTAAATGGATCATGGGGACAGTTTCTCATGGTTTAGCACCACCCCACTAGTGCTGTTCTTGTGGCAGTTCTCACAAGATCTGGTTGTTTTTAGTGTGTGGTACCCCCTCCTACCCACTCCCCCGTCCCTACTCTTCCCCCTGCTCTAGGCTCCAGCCATGTGAATTCCTGCTCTGGCTTTGCCTACCACAGTAAAAGCTCCCTGAGGCCTCCCCAGCCATGATCCTGTGTAGTCTGTGGAACTGTAAGCAATTAAATCTCTTTATAAATTATCCAGTCTCAGGTATTTCTTTATAGCAATTCAAGAATGGACCAATACGGTTGTGTATAAAAGTATTGGCTGGCTGTGGTGGCTCATGCCTGTAATCTTAACACCCTGTGAGGCCACTCGCTTTATGTCAGGCGTTCGAGACCAGCCTGGCCAAGATGGTGAAACCCAGTCTCTGCACAAAACTTAGCTGGGCGTGGTGCCACATGCTTGTAATCCCAGCTACTCAGGAGGCTGAGGAGGATCACTTGAACCCAGGAGGCAGAGGTTATAACGAGCTAAGATCACACCACTGCACTCCAGCCTGGGCAAGAGTGAGACTCCATCTCAAAAAAAAAAAAAAAAAAAAAAAAAGTGTTTCCCTTTTACTTGCATGCCCCAAACTTCAGCTTACTCTGGTCTAGTGGGTGTAGACAATAAACCATGTAGCTGTAGATCCATGTGGTCAGTCTCCTACTTTTTTCACTGATTATTGCCTGGAAGGAACCATGAGGCACAGAGGTAGAAACTCGCTCTTCTAATGCTCTTGTAAATGGGCCTAAGATGGAAGTGATGTTGGCATCTTGCTGCTTACAGCATTCTCCCAGTCACTGCAGGTCCCAACCTTCTGTATCTGGAAAGACTGGGTGCAGCCAACTCAATGGGAAAGCAGAACAGAGAAGCTACAGGAACCAGCTCTCAGCCACCAGGAATTAAACCTGTCCTCAGTTCTTGTGGTTTCCGTTTTTTCAGAATGGCTTTTTCTATCTCCAGTCAATGCCCTCTAAGCAAATGACACCATCCTTTTCCCATAGTGCTTGGAACAATCCTTTTATGGTTCCTGTGCAAATGCAGCCAATACATCTCATTTTCTCTACAGCCTGAAGTAAGCCAGAGACTAAGTAATCAAAAATTACACTAAAATACTTAAGAGAAGCCCCTGAGAAAATAGGGTATTATTTGATCCTTAGCACAAATGTGCTACAATTTAACCCATGACAAACAGGCCCATACAACAATTTCCCATAGACAATATAAACAGGAAAGGCAGATCCTATGGAAAAGAGGAAAATAAGCCTTCCTCTTACAAGGAATATCCTAAGATTCCAAAGAGATTTGAACCTCAAAAGTGTTTCATATTCTGGGCACGGTGGCTCATGCCAGTAATCTCAGTACTATGGGAGGCTGTGGCAGGTGGATTGCTTGAGCTCAGGAGTCTGAGACCAGCATGGGTAACATGGTGAAACCATGTCTCTATGAAAAATACAAAAGGTAGCCAAGCGAGGTGGTGCACACCTGTAGTCCCAGCTACTGGGGAGGATGAGGTGGGAGGACGGCTTGAGCCTGGGAGGCAGAGGTTGCAGTGAGCTGAGACCACACCACTGCACTCTAGCCTGGACGACAGAGCCAGACCCTAACTCAAAAAATAAAAATAAAAAATAAAACAAATCAGGTGTGTATGCACATACACACACACAAAATGACTTCAAAGTATTTTCAAAGATCTTATTGACGCTCCTTGGGCCAAAAACAGAAAGGCTTCCTTGGCCTGAACCCTGTTGTCTCCCTTCCCCTGACATCGTAACTCATGCTTTTGCCATAGGCAGTTTCCCTCCTGATTCCTTCTCCTTTGGCCTGATAGCACCCTCTAACACCCACCAACACCCACCCACCACCCCATCTTTGAAAAACAGCATTATGTCCAAAGTGTTATTCGTCTTTCCAAGATCTACAGTTCCTGAACCTATAAGTGTTCTAGATCCAAATTTAACTAATTTGTTCTGTTTGAGAGGAAAACTACTATATCCATCTTACAGATGAAAAGATTAGGCGGCACGGTGGCTCATGCCTGTAATCCCCACACTTTGGGAGGCCGAAGCGGGTGGATCACCTGAAGCCAGGGGTTCAAGACCAGACTGGCCAACATGGCCAGAGAAACCCCATCTCTACTAAAAATTAGCCGGGCGTGGTGGCATACACCTGTAATCCCAGCTACTTGGGAGGCTGAGGAAGGAGAATCGCTTGAATTCAGGAGGCAGAAGTTGCAGTGAGCCCAAGATCATGACACTGCACTCCAGCCTGGCGACAGAGCAAGACTCTATCTCGGGGGAAAAAAAAAAAAGATTGAAGTTCAGGAGAGGATTAAATAATTCCTCCAAGGTCACACAACTAGTATAGCAGAACAACCAAATAACTCCTGCTTGACTCTAGAATCCACATTATTATTATTTTTTTTTTTTTTGGTTAAGACGGAGTCTTGCTCTGTCGCCCAGGCTGCAGTGCAGTCTCAGCTCATACCATTGTCCTGCCTCAGCCTCCACATTCTTAACCATTATGCTGGAGACAGTTCTTGTCCTTTCCAACTGTTGTTTATGTTCCTGAATAAATTTGAGAAACATTTTGCACAGCTCTGGGGTTAAAAAGAAAAATTAGCATTCTGATTGGAATTGGCATGTATATATACATAATTACTTCAGGAGGAAATAACACTTTCACCAGTTTTCTAACTCAAAGAGTTTATAATTAAGCTTAATTAAGCATACTGTTTCCCCCCTGCTATAGTGGGACTTAAGGATGGTGATCATGTCCTGTCCATACTGCAGGGAGTGGTCAACAAAGGCTGGTTTAATGAACAGTCTCTACCCTCAACTAAGCCCCTGCTTCATTAAGTGAACCCATAAAAATACCTGTGGGTCTTTGTGTCAACCATACCACCCACTCTCCCGACACTACTCTGCTCTCAAGGGCCCTGACATACAGGGTTGATTGTGGCATGACATTAACTTGACCCTCAACTTATCTTGATGTACCCCAAAGCATATAAACAATGTTTCCATTCCCTGTTGATGAATTCTGACCTGAAGTGCTATCAACAAAATGGCTTTTAGTTTCCCAGAGGAAGACAGCCAACAGTAAAAACGTTGTACAGATTGCTTGGTTCTAGTTGCTTACATTCCCAAGTTGATGTATTTTTTCCAATCTTAAACAGATCCTCCCCAAACCCCTTCAGTCCCAGTTCTCCACCTCACCTGTTGCTGACAAAACAAAGCTCAAGCTTCCCCATGTCTCAACTTCATACCCAAAAGAAAACTTGGAATTAGACGTGATTCTGTATTGGCTAATCTGTACATTTATCACAGCCACCCGCCTAGTTAGGATACAATGAAATGGCCTGGTGAAAAACACAAGCCTAACTTACTTTTTATATCACAACACAATGTTCAATTAGATGACTTAGAGTCAAAGGCTCAGAAAACCACTGTGAAAACAAGCCAGGGGATGAAGTTGCTTAAATAACAAAACGAAGGTGGGCCATCTTTAGCATGGGAAGAGGCAGGTAAGGAATACTGAGCCCATAAAATAGAAGGCAGACTGGTACAGCAGAAAATCACAGATAGGAGCCAGAAATCTAATCTTCAGCCCTATCTACATCACCTGCCTCCCTATCATCTTGGGAAAATCACTATTTCCTTAGGTATAAAAATATTTATCTCAGCACTTTCACTGGTCTGTAAACTGTCCCCCGCCCTTTCCTCTTTTAACTGTCATAAAAAAGCAATACATGGCTGGGTGAGGTGGCTTACAGAATCCCAGCACTTTGGGAGGCCAAGGCAGACGTTATCAGTTGAGCCTGGGAGTTTGAGACCAGCCTGGTCAACATGGCGAAAGCCCATCTCTACTAAAAATAAAAAATACAAAAACTAGCTGAGCTTTGTGGCATAAGCCTGTAATCCCAGCTACTTCGGAGGCTGAGGCACGAGAACTGCTTGAACCCGGGAGGTAGAGGCTGCAGTGAACTGAGATCATGCCACTGCACTTCAGCCTGGGTGACAGACACTCTCTCAGAAAACAAACAAAAAGCAGTACTTCACTGATTATAAAAACCGAAGTTTTCCATGCCTAATCATGTAACATAGCAGCTTTGTAAGACTCCAAATTAATAATCCAAACACCCAGCATATACTCCATTCTACTACCAAGAATTATACAGGAAACTGAAGCAGAGAGGTTAAGTCACTTAACCCAAGTCACCCAACTATCTAGGCAGTTTGGCTAAGTTGGTGTTCTTAACCGCAGCATTAGACCATCTAATGCTCATTCAATTCCCTATGCTTACATGAAATCCTGGTCACTCACCTGGAGATCCTATGGAGAATTCTCCAGGAGATTCACCTGGAGAGCTGTGTCATTCCTATGAAGCCTGAAAATCCTGACTTGTCACTCCTGGTCCTACCCCTACTGACCCACAGTACTTGCTTCACATTACAAAATCAGTAGGAGTACCATTTTGTGACACAAATGAGATCCACAGATGAGTTACTGCTATGGATCTAGCAAATGCCTGACCCAGTGAAGTATTCTCCTGGGGTAGCGATGTTTCTGCCAGAGGCAATGCAGGAGGTACAGGTGAAGGGAGACATCCGTGCAAAGGCCAGTAATGAGCAAAAAAACAAGTTATAGAAGATAGGGGTCAGACCAAGTGAAATAAAGGTTTTTACTCTGTCCTAAAGATGAAGTAAATCCACATTCTTATCGAATTAAATTTGCATCCTTAAAGGACTACTGACTCTGGGATAGATAAAAGACATACCAATTAGGAGGACTGAGAAGTCCATACCACAGATGGTTGAGGAGTTAGACTAAATTGGCAGTGAATTAAGTGCATAAAAGTGTCAAAGGCAGGCCTAAAATAACTCGAATTCTCCAAGGCAATTCATTTTTTTGTTACTACAACCATCTGTCAATCTGAAATCAATCCTACGAATCCTTACGTGCAAACTAAAAACTGGAGAATTGCAGACGTTTGCAACATTTAATGTGAAATTAGTTTCATACTGTTTCCTGAAGATGCTGATGGTGTAGGTCAAATGAAACATCATAGAAGAGGCAGTATATGTATATCCTTTAGTATATCTTTTACCTTCAGAAACTTTTTTTTGGAGACAGAGTGTTGTCCTGGCTAAATAAAGTGCAGTGGCACGATCCTGGCCCACTGCAACCTCCGCCTCGTAGGTTCAAGTGATTCTTGTGCCTGAGCCTCCAAAGTAGCTGGGATTACAGGCATGTGCCACCATACCAAGCTATTTTTTGTATTTTTCGTCGAGACGGGTTTTTGCTATGTTGGCCACACTGGTCTCAATCTCCTGGCCTCAAGTAATCCACCTGCCTCAGCCACCCAAAGTGCTGGGATTTCAGGCGTGAGTCACCGCACCCAGCCTAGACACATTATAAAAATATTAAATGCAAGGCTGGGCGTGGTGGCTCACACCTGTAATCCCAGCACTCTGGAAGGCCAAGGCAGGTGGATCGCTTGAGGTCAGTTCAAGAACAGCCTGGCCAATGTGGTGAAAACTCCATCTCTACTCAAAATACAAAAATTAGCCAGGTATGGTGGTGCGTGCCTGTAATCCCAGCTACTCAGGAGGCTGAGGCAGGAGAATCGCTTGAACCTAAGAAGTGGAGGTTGAAGTGGGCCAAGACTGGTATACTGCACTCCAGCCTGGGTAACAGAGACTCCGCCTCAAAAACAAACAAAAAAACTAACTGTAATTTAAAAACTAAAGTTTACAGTTGGCTCCAATGTATCTCAAAGTCAAACTGGCAGGAGCAGACTTATAAAAAGCTAACACTCATATCTAACTTGGAAGACTTATATTCTTATGCTGCATTTTACCATTTGACTACTAAAAAAGACACTGAATTACAATAATCCATCTTGGCATGCTTTTCCAATACAACAGTATTTACACAATGCAAACATCAGAATGTCTAATAAAGTTAACAAGCCAAGGCAATTTTGTTACATAAATTAACCCATTTATTATAGGCCAGTGATGTCTCAAAGAGTAGAGGAGCGTCTACTGGTCTTTCAACTCCTTCAGTCTTCTGATGGCGGACTTTACCGTGACAGCGGAAGTGGTACTGGAAAGAAAGATTCAGTTTCCAACATAATTAAGCATGTTAACATAGAAAATGGCAAATAAGTAAATCTGCCTCGTTTTTGTGTTAAAGTCGCTTCCCAAATTTTCCTAGAAAGAATTATACTGAGATAGACTGCTCTACCAATACTTTGCTGCAGTCAATCCAAAGATCTAACCAACATTAGATTACTCCTCGGAAATTAGTGGCTTCTAAACTACATGATGGCATCCTTTAAGAGCCATGCCTTCAGGATCTTGCAGAATTAGACATACAATCTCATGCATCTGATTTCTCAACCAGAGTTGCTTTTTTTTTTATAAGTAACTCAGTTGTGGACAAGCAAGCTTTAACTCCCCCTACCCCATCCCATGAAAAAGAAATGGTTCTAAGAGGCTGACCTAAACTTATTAAAAGGGAATGGACAGATTACAAGAAATGAATAAATTACAAGATGATACAGTGAGAACAATGATTAAGGAAATAAGAGCGGACACTAAAGTGCCTTTGGGAAAGACAGCTATTGAAATGACTACAAAAGTTTTACCATAAAATTCAGGAACTATACCTGAAAATCACCATCCTGTATTGTAAGTATATAAATAATTCACTTTCCTATCAGAACCAAGAAAGCACTCTAGTTCCCATTTTCCATTCTGCCCTAATAAAAACCCCCACAAGGAATATATATATATTTCAACATTTTCCACTGCTTCGGTTTAAGTTTAAATTGACTGAAACTTTAAAATCCAATTCTTTAATTACACTAGCCATATATGTGCTTAGTGTATTGGACAACACAGGTCTAGATGCTAGTTTGTAGTATAGTGTTTGTAGTATCGCCCTGTCAGGTGATACTGAGTTGCAGATTCACAAACCTGCAGCAGTCTAATACTGTTCAGAAAGACGAAACTGTGGTGGTCCTGATGGCCTCAAGTTCCAAATACAGTTTTGAACTAACTGACCCCTTCACCTATTTTTATCAAAACTTGCAGTGCAAATCAACGTTCAGTAGATTCAGCCCCACTAATGGACCTGCACAGTATCATGACAATGTTCACAACAATGTGCCCAGTGACCATCAAATTCTAAAGTAGTCTGTGAATTAGATTTCCGACTTCTATTTTGGTAGTTTTGTGTTTACTCTTTCAATAACTGAAAATAAACCACCACGGAAGAATCCTGAAAATACAAAGGCATCCTTATTCTCTCAGTCCTGAGAAAGTGTTAAAACTAGCCCATCCAGCAGCAACCTGGAATTTGGGCCTATGTGGTCCACACACTTCCAAATACCACAAGGAACTAGACTCACTTGTACGTCCAGGCACCGCCAGCCACTGTCTTCATGCAGGAACCACAGTGCCAGATCCCCACAGCTCGTCTCTTCATCTTGGTCTATAAAAGAGAACCAATTTTCACTATGAACCAAGTAAGTATTTTCTCTTACAAGCATCCAGAAGTCTAAATTTGGATTCACCTTATTGTCAGGGATGTGAAAGCCTCCCTTTCTCCCTCAAAAACAAAACAGGGATTGCTGTAATGCAGTATTTTGCACATAAACGTTCAAACCTTTATCAAACAAAAATCCCTCGCAGAACAAGTAGAATGGTATTAGATGCACAGACATCTTGGGAGTTGGTGCAGAAACATCAGTAGACAAAACTGATGGAATCATTTCCCACAAAGCAGGTTTGGCTTAGGCTGGGGGCACTCTGTCAAATGATTATTTTACCCATTAACGTTTAAGCGGTTTTCTTTAAATGAAAAACGTCTCACAAAATCTGAAGTTACCATCAACACTTTTATCTTAAAACTCATAATCAACGGTATGAGTAATTCCAACTGCCCACCAGCACACGGCTTATAAAATACCTTGAAGTCAGGCCTCACTTGGGTAAGAAACCTGCCCTCCCTCTCCTCTCACCAGAGACTTTGCCTTACTTACTTTGCCACAGAAAGAGCAAGTGTACTTGGCGTGCTGGCTGATTTCAATTTTCTTCACCATTTTCCGGAGGGAGGCCCCATAGCGGGTCCCGTATTTACCGACGATCCCGACTTTCTTGGTACGTTTGGCCTGTTTAGAGTGAAGGGAGAAACCAGTGATAGACCTGGAACCCAGGCAGGCCCTGGAGCCTCCACACACCGTTCCTCCACCTCACTGACGTGTGACCGACATGTGAATTACATATGACCTAGTTTTCCCTAAATTCAACCCAACGAAACCAGTGCCCAGGGCTGGCCGCGCGCTCCGAAGGCCCGGCGTTAACCCGGCTGGAGCGCGCCAGGCCCAGCCAAGGCGCCCCCGCCCCTCCGCCTTGGGGAGCTTCCGACAATGGTGTCTCCTGCAAAGGCATGGAGACAGGAGAGAACACGGGGTAAGGCAGGAGAGGAGATGGGTGCGGGAGAAGAAAACAAGGACAGATGCAGGCAGATAGAGTTCTAGGCCGCACAGAGACCCACACTCACCATGTCGCCGCGACCTAGGTCCGAGCCCAGAAAGGAAGAGACGCGGTGCGCAGGCGCGGTATTAGGCGGACGAGCGGAAGTGGCTGGTAGAGGCCTAGCTAGGAACTGAGCTCTATGGTTTGGGCGTTTTCAGGCGGCCTCCTGAGAAATGTTTGCAATTGTAAGGCGTCTCTCTCATCCAGGTTTACCCAGATTCGCAAACTATGGCGACAAACAACCATAGCAGAAGCATGTCCGGATTATTTCACATATATCACAAAATCCTGCAAAGGTACGAGTTCCTCCATTCGATGCACAGCACTTGGCTTGGAGAAGTGCATAAATCTTACATTTGTGGGGCCGGGCGCGGTGGCTCACGCTTGTGATTCTAACACTTTGGGAGGCGGGGTGGGTCAGGAGTTCGAGACCAGCCTGGCCAGCAGGGTGAAACCCCGTCTCTATTCCAAATCTCATTTATTTCCCCCTCTGCATTATGCTCTCTAAAAGTGGCTGACTGTGCAGGATGCTAGCGACAGTGGTGACTAAAATCCAAGGTTCCATTCCCAGAACAAGTTGCAGGCCAGCTGCAAACGATCATATAGCCACATTAAGAAGTTAGACAGTTTCAAACTGGTCAGAGTTCTGAAGGAAAGGACGATGGTTCTGCTCGCGACTAATTCAGAAGAGCCTGGTGTTTCCTGAGGAAAGTCTGAGATTGGAAGGCTGGGGAAAAGTTAACAGTCACCTTGGAGTTTTGTGTTCCAGCTGCTGCATCTCAGTGCGGATGGCCTGCCTTCCACTTCATTTCAGAACTCACTTCCATGGCCCCACACTAGGCTGTTAAGACAGCTTCCTGGTCCAGGCCTGAACCCTTAAACTCCAACATCTTACCCTTTACCCACCGTCAATTCTCTGTCCCTCCAGGTCTCTCAAAGGGGTCAGCAGGGAAGAATTGGATTTCTGGTTGAGGCCGGGGGTGGGGAGGGTGTGTTCTGGAACTAGACACATGATCTTCTTTCTTCACGTAGAACACACACACTAGGAAGTTTGGTTGCCTTTTTTCAGGGGATGGCTAATCCAGAGAATAAGAAGCTCAGAAAACTACTGGAATAAGAGTGTAAGAGAGAATCCATGATTAGAGGGCCAAGAAAGACCATGGGAGCTGAAAGGCATTGTGTGGCCCTGATTCCAATCAGAAGTCCGGTAACAAGTAGCTTCCGTTCCCAAAGCTTAATATTAACTGTCTCAAATAATTTTGCACCTGTTCACTTTTCCTCACAATTGTATTAAAGTCAACTTGCATACCTGGGCTGAGGTGGGAAGATCATTTGAGCCTGGGAGGTTGAGGCTGCAGTAAGCTGTCATCACGCCACTGCAGTCCAGCCTGGACAACAGAGTGAGACTCTGTCTCAAAAAATATATATGAATCAAATCAAATCAAAGCAACTTGCAAACAGCTATGTACTTCATATGGTTACAATTGTTGGAGGGTAACACATGGTAGGCACTGAGTATTTTATGTGGATGTTCTCATTTAATTTTCCATTATCCTTTATGATAGGAATGATTATTATCTTCATTACTAAGAAAAAGAGAGGAAGTCTCATGTAATGATTAGGAACTTAGAGGCTCTGGATTCAGTATGGGTTCAAAACAGAACTCTGCTATTTACCAGCTGTGGGACCTCTGACAAGTTATTATATACTTTTCTTTCTTTTTTCTTTTTCTTTTTTTTTTTTTTTTTTTTTTTTTTTTGAGACAGAGTCTCTCTTGGAAAAGATTCTTTGAGACCAGGAGTTCTAGGCAGCCTGGACAATATAGCGAGACCCCATCTCCACACACACAAAAAAATAATAGGCCAGGTATGGTGACACACATCTGTGGTTCTAGCTGCTCAAAAGGCTGAAACGTGAGGATTGCTTGAGCCCAGGAGTTCAGAGGTTACAGTGAGCTATGATCACACCATTTCACTCCAACCTGGACAACAGAGTGAGATCCTTTCTCAAAACAAAAACAAAAAAAGAAAGAAAAAAGAAACTCATCTCAGGGAAGTTAAGAAACTTGCTCAATGTCACACAGCAATTAGAACTCAAATCTGGTCTGTCTGATCCCAAAGTTAGTTCTCCTAATTGCTAGCTTGTACTACGCCAAATCATAATATTTAGTGCACTGAAAAAGCACATCAGAAAACATAGTTGAATTAAAATCAGGTCCCTGGCACTCAGTCTGGGCCAGGATCTGTAACTACCTTGTGGTTTGACTTTAGGTAAGCCACAGTCCCCACATGGAGAACCACCTCCCCACCTCCCAGCAGCCACCATCTTTATTTACAAGGAGCTGGACCAGGTGGTCTTCAAGGTCCTGTCCAGTTCTTCCCTCCTATGATTCCAGGAAGAGCTTCCAGACTTTGAGTGCCACTGGGGCAGTGACCCACCATGTGCTTTATGTCAGCACATCTTGCACAATTTTGTGGAATAAAGGTAGTTGTCTCTTTATCCTCCCCAATCTGTTATTCCAGCTCTGGCTGTGTAAATTCAAGGAGGAGAAAAAGCAAAAAGTAGTGGATAGTGGGAATAGTCAAATTGATTTTTGCATACATTTTTTGCATTTTCTAATTATCTTTTATAATGAGCATGTGTTTCTTTTATAATCTAAAAAAACTACCATTAAAAAAAAAACCCCAAACATCTCCAGTAACGACGAGTATACCTACTGCCCCAGATCTCAGGGTTTGTTTTTATTTGTTTTGTTTTGTTTTGAGACAGGGTCTTGCTCTGTTCCCCAGGCTGGTGTGCAGTGGTGTGATCACAGCTCACTATAGCCTTGACCTCCCCAGGCTCAAGCAGTCCTTTCACCACAGTCTCCTGAGTAGTGCCCAAATAATTTTTTTATTTTTGTAGAGACAGTCTTGCCATGTTGCCCAGGCTGGTCTGGAACTCCTGGGTTCAAGCAATCCTCCAGCCTCAGTCTTCCAGAGTGCTGGCATTTCAGGCATGAGCCACCATGCCCAGACCCCAGATCTTGGTTTATAATATCATTCTTTAATAAAAGGAACCAGGGCCCCTTAGAGAAGTGACTCATTCTAGGACTGCAGCAGGAAATATACAAGGCGAGCCTGCAGTATCTTGTGCCAGAAAGTAAGGAAATGTTCAGAAAACCCTACACTGATGGGGATATGTCAGAGAGACACAGGAGTCAACTGAAAGAACTCCGAATGGCCAAAGCTAGAAAATTTTGAGCAATAAATAAGGTAGTATTGATTTAACCCAAGTGTAAAATAAATATCCATGGGTCCATGTGGATATAAATAAATGATAGACTAAATAAATGAAAGACAAGAGGCAACTCTCTTTTGCAGAAGAATTTATTTTTTCTTTTTTTGAGACCGAGTCTTGCTCTGTCGCCCAGGCTGGAGTGCAGTGGTATGATCTGGGCGCACTGCAACCTCTGCCTCCTGGGTTCAAGCAAGTCTCCTGCCTCAGCCTGCTGAGCAGCTGGGACTACAGGCATGCACCACCACACCCAGCTAATTTTTGTATTTTTAGTAGAGACGGGGCTTCACCATAACGGCCAGGCTGGTCTTGAACTCCTGACCTCGTGATCCACCCTCCTCGACCTCCCAAAGTGCTGGGATTACAGGTGTGAGCCACTGCACCCGGCCAAGAAGAATTTCAAATAATTTATGTGGATATTCTGCTCTCAAGGAGGGTGAGCATAACTCCCCACTCCCTAAGTGTGGGCTGCACAGAATGACTTCCTTCCAAAGAGCACAGTATAGAAAGGGGAAAAAAGAGTAACTTTATAGCCAACACGACCTCAGCCAAGGTGATGAAGGTCAACATCAACAGTGATAATCTTGTTACTATGTCCCCTTGATGTGGAATGAAAATGGCACTTTGCCTCTGTGATCTTTCTCCCAAAACCCATAACCTCAGTCTAATCATGAGAACAATAGACAAATTCCAAAAGAGGGACATCCTTCAATATACCTGACCAGGGCTCCTTAAAACTGTCAAACCAGGAAAGCCTGAGTAACTGTCACAGCCAAGAGGAGCGTAAGGTGACATGATGACTAAATGTAACATGAAATCTTAGAACAAAAAAAAGACAATACGTTAAAAACTAGGAAGATCCGAATAAACTACAGACTTTAGGTCATAATAATGTATTAATCTTGCTTTATGAATTGTAACCAATTTACCATACTAATGTTAAGATGTTGCCGGGCGCGGTGGGTCACGCCTGTAATCCCAGCACTTTGAGAAGCTGAGGCAGGCAGATCTCGAGGTCAGGAGATTGAGACCATCCTGGCTAACACAGTGAAACCCTATCTCTACTAAAAATACAAAAAATTAGCCAGGCATGGTGGCACATGCCTATAATCCCAGCTACTCGGGAGGCTGAGGCAGGAGAATTGCTTGAACCTGGGAGGTGGAGGTGGAGTGAGTTGAGATCGTGCCACTGCACTCCAGCCTGGGCGACAGAGCAAGACTTCATCTCAAAAAAAAAAAAAAAAAAAAAAAAGTTAACAATAGAGAAAATTGGGTAAGGGTATACAAAAATACTCTCTCCTCAATTTTTTTATATAACTATAAAACTGTTCTACAAAATAAAGTCTATTTTAAAACAACCACCACCACCACCCAAGGAGGTCACCACAAGTCAATTCCATGAGGACAGGGCTTGTGTTGTTCACCTCTGCATCCCAGGACCTATACAAGAGCCTGACGTGTCAGCAGTAATGTCTGTTGAATGGGGGATTGTTACCTTGCATGGTATAATGGTGATGGGTATATGAAGCGTTTCATGTGTTTGGGTTTCTCTGCTTTGTAAAGTCAGTCCAGTTATGTCAGAACTGAAAAAGGCTTTAGAGATAATGTAGCCCAAACTGGAAACTGAGGCCCGGGGGGTCAAATGACTTGCCCAAGGTCACATAGCCATTAAGTGACACATAAACGTGTGTTCGCTCCACTGTATCACATGATTCAAGTCTCTAAGTCTCTTTCCGCAGCTGCAAAATGAGTATACTGTACAATAAAGGGTCTCAGGAAGATAAAATAACTTCCATGAAGTGTCTAGTGAACATTTTAAAATAGTGGCCAGTATGTTTGTTGAGATGCTGCTGCTGCTGCTGCTGCTACCTGATTTCAACATCTCTTTCTGCCTTTTCAATCCTCTCTCCTCTTCTGCCATACTCAAGGAAGTACAGAAGATCTGCCTTCTTCTTTCCCTTAAAAATATGCCCATCTCTTTTCTCCTTAATTTCTTTAGCTTGGACACAATGAAACCACTACAGTCATGGTAACTGATGCCGCTTGAGGCCCACAAAGGGAGTGAGATGTGCCCAAGATGTTTCTCTTCCACCACAGGCCTCATGCACCCTCTGCCCCCATAGGTTAGGGTGGAAGATGGCAAGGGGCCAAGGGAACAAGTCCCTCTTCCCTCAGAAGGGAAATGCACTGCATTTCAGGGATGTTATCTGGAAAGCTCTCCACCCAAGCAATGCCTGCCTCCAGAAAACTATAAATTAAAACAAAAATATATCCATGTTGATACAAACAAAGGAGACTAGTGGAAGGAGTCTTAAACAAATGCTCACCATGATCCTCCCTTTTCAGACTGTGCCTCTTGGCCACACAGGATGGTGCTCAATTGAGCTGGGGAGTGGGTGAGTCAGCTTCATGCTGGGGCAGTCCAGGCAGAGCTGAGGTGAGCCATCCTGGGCTGGCACTAGAGCCTAATTCAGATCATCATTTAGCAAATGTGCTGCCTCCCCCACGCCCTCCGCTGCAGAGCCTCCTACGTCTCTGGCCTTCAGGGGGGTCTGAGAGAGAGAGCAAGAGAAGAGGGAATGCATGAGTAGGAATGCAGTAAGCGGCTGAAAATGAGACACTCCATAATAGGAGGAAATTGTTCATGTTCAGAGCAATTTTGTCAAAACTGAACAATTATCTTTAAATAGCAAGCTTGAGGATGTACAAATAGCACTCATGAAATCAGCTCTGAGTGACTTCAGAGAATCGGCCCTCTCCTAAAGTCTCAATTTGTCTTTTCTGTGGGCTCATAAATTTCCATCCCTATTAGAGTACCATCCGGTGTGGAGAATGTTAACTATAATGTGTCCCCATAAAAGACTCAGTAAAAATCACTGCTGGCTCACCTCTGCTCTTAAGGAGCCCTCAACATTCACTCTTTGCCTTTAGAAAAATAAATAAGTTAAAAGTCACCTCCAGAGAGGAGTTCTTGTAGCTGTTAACCAGTTCTCTTGGGGCATATGGAACATTTTATTCTTGAAAGAAATCTGAGGTGCAAGCATCATTCCAAATTCATCTTGTGCTGGAGACAGAAAGGGTTTATTGGGGCGTGGTTCCTTCACTTCATGCCTCAAGAGAGCCTGCTCTCCACAAAGCCCCTGGGGGCCACAGACAAGAGTGGGGCCTGCACAGCATTGTTGAGAGTCCCGTGAGGCCAGAGCCACAGGCAAGAGCTGACCCAGCAGGAAAGGTGAGGCCCTCCAAGGCAGTCCTGGATGCCCCGAAAGAATAAGAGTGTGGGAAATTGACTCAGGCAACCCCTCTTTCCTTTCCTCCTTCTCCCCTCAAATTCCATTTAAACTCGTTCTAGTTATTAATGGACCCGTCACAGAGCATTTACACAGGAAGTGCACACATAAAGACTGGAGTAGTTACTTGGCAACTCTTAAGTGGGATAAGGTATGTTAAAAGGAAAACTTTCAACAAATTAAATTTAACAGAGTTTAATTAAGCAAAGAATGATTTGTGAATTGGACAGCCCCCACAACCAGAAGAGGTCCGGAGCAGCTCCAGGGTTGCCACATGGTTGGTTCACATTTATGGACAGAACAAAGAAAGTAACATACAGAAAAGGGAAGTGAGGACAGAAAGAGCTGGATTGGTTGCATATTTGCCTTATTTGAACACAGTGTGAACGGTTGGCCACCTGTGATTGGCTGACATATGGCTGCGGTAATTGCCTGAGACTTGGCTACTTGTTACAAGAGTGGGTCCCAGTCTGTTTACCAATCTAGTTAGGTTATAGTTCACTCTGCACAGAGAAACCTTTAGGCGGACTTTAAAATATGTAACAAGGCAGCACTGGGTTAAGCTTAATTTAACGAGTAGCAGGAGGCGGAGGTTGCAATGAGCTGAGATCGCACCATTGCACTCAAGCCTGGGCGACAGAGACAGACTCTGTCTCAATAAATAAATAAATAAATAAATAAATCATAATTTAATGGGTAGATCAATATGAAACAATGGCCAAGTACATCATGTGAAGTGAGTCATTTTCAGTATGAAGAATTTGATACAGTTTTTGTAAAAACAGATTCTATGTGTATTTTACATATATTTGTATGCATAGAGATAAATTACAAATGGCTTTATCTCAAATTATTTAGTTATTACTTCTAGGAGGTAGGGCTGAGGGAGGGAGGGAGGAGAATGCAGGACTCTTATTTTTGAGCTTATACTTTTCTAGATGAATTTTTTTTTTTAGACAGAGTCTCTGTCTGTTGCCCAGGTTGGAGTACAGTGTCACGATCTCGGCTCACTGCAACCTCCGCCTCCCGGGTTCAAGCAATTCTCCTGCCTCAGCCTCCTGAGTAGCTGGGATTACAGGCGCCCGTCACCATGCCCAGCTAATTTTTTTGCATGTTTAGTAGAGATGGGTTTTCACCATGTTGGCCAGGCTGGTCTCAAACTCCTGACCTCAGTTCATCTGCCGCCTTGGCCTCCCAAAGTGCTGGGATTACAGGCGTGAGCCACTGCGCCCAGCCTTAGATGTATTTTTACATCCAGTTCATAATATTGGAAAGAAGGCACTGCAGAGCAGTAGGTGGAAGGACCGTCTTTTCCATAAGTGGTGCCGAGCTAACTGCATATTCATATGGAAAAAATTAACCTTGGCCTTACCTCACCCCATATACAAAAATAAACTGCAGGTGGATTGTAGATCTAAACATTAACGGCAAAACACAAAAGCTTCTGCAACATACTATTTTCTTTTTCTTTTTTTCTTTCTTTCTTTCTTTTTTTTTTTTTTGAGACGGAGTCTTGCTCTGTTGCCCAGGCAGTCTCGCCCTGTCGCCCAGGCTAGAGTGCAGTGGCACGATCTCGGCTCACTGCAACCTCTGCCTCCCGGGTTCAAGTGATTCTTCTGCCTCAGCCTCCCAAGTAGCTGGGACTATAGGCATGCACCACCACACCCAGCTAATTTTTGTATTTTTTTTTTTTTTTAGTGGAGATGGGGTTTCACCGTGTTGGTCAGGTTGGTCTCGAACTCCCGACCTCAGGTGATCCACTTGCCTCGGCCTCCCAAAGTGCTGGGATTACAGGCGTGAGCCACCACACCCGGCCTCACAACATACTATTTTCATAACCTTGGGGTCATGGTTACATGGATGTGTATTTTAAAATATTTTGTTAAACTAAATTGTTTTATGAACTGTTCTGTATATTATATTTTGCCCCCAAAAAAAGGAGTTAAAAAAGAGAAAAAGAGCCTCAAAATCTGTTGAATAGGGGGTGGGAGAGAAATGTGTGCAGAGGATCTTGCAAAATCAGATAACTGTTGATTGTCATAATGCCCAAAAGACTGTGACTCACAGGCTTCTTAATGCTTTCTGCTATGGTCAGGAATTCATTTCCTTCACTGAGACTGCACAGGAAAACACAAAACCAAAACAAAACACAGGTAGAAGAGACTTCTCCAATTAACCCTCTTTAAACTTCCGAGCCACTTTTTATGTTGATAATTCTGAACTTGGTGAGAAGTGGGAGGATGGAGTAAATATAAGGTTGGACTTCATTCTCTCCCCTTTGCAAAAAAGAGGATAGAACTTCAAAAAGCGTTGAGGTTCTAACAGACGAGAACGAACAGACAAGACAACACCTCAGAGCCAGTGGTGTGGGGATGACACCTCCTGCTCAATTTCTCAGCTCTCCCACTGATCTAGAAAAAGGCTCCTCTGAAGCCAAGAAGGAAAAAGACATGATTAATTCAAGCACAAGTGGATCAAGACTAACAGGATTCTTTGCTGCCTCTTAGAGGTTTCCTTGATGCCAGCCCTAGAGGCAGAAATCAACCAGGATCACTCAGGAAACAAGATACCACTTAGTGACCCTGGTGAGGGAAGGCAGAGACCAGCTCCATGGGCCAGAGGGGACTTCTAGTAAAATCCTGTAAGGGTACAATTGATGGCAGGGACAAGAGTGGGAGGAGATGGGCCTAGATTTTCTTCATTTCAGTTGACGCTTCCAGAAAACACAGTTCTGGGGGTCTGGACTGTGCTGTGAAATGAAGGAGGAAAAGGAGTTAGTGTGGAAATATTAATACCACTTTAAACCCAGTGGTATTCACTCTCTATATAAATAAGTCCAAGTGTCTTTTGCTGAATTATACAGAACTGGTTAGGTGACTCTTAACAAATTTCAGAGTACATATGGGATGGTCTAACTTAAAATAGGCTACATGGTATAAATAAAATTTGCTTTGGAGGACCTCAGGGACATCTCAAAGAGAGAGTTCGTTTTTCTCCAGAACAGCTAAAACTGAGGTTCAACTAGAGGCCTCAGATGGAGGCCATATTTACTAAGACTACAGACAAATAATGGTTTTAAATATGAGCACCAGGCGGGGTGTGGTGGCTCACGCCTGTAATCCCAGCACTTTGGGAGGCCGAGGTGGGTGGATCACCTAGGGTTAGGACTTCAAAACCACCCTGGCCAACATGGTGAAACCCCATCTCTACCAAAAATACAAAAATTAGCCAGACGTGGTGGCGGGTGCCTGTAATCCCAGCTACTCGGGAGGCTGAGGCAGGAGAATTCCTTGAACCCAGGGGGTGGAGATTGCACTGAGCCAAGATTGCCCCACTGCACTCCAGCCTGGGTGACAGAGTGAGATTCTGCCTCAAATAAATAAATAAATAAGAGCACCAAATTGCAAGGAACGAGAGCAAGGCCTCCCATTGGCAGCCACTAACCTGACTTCTTGCAGTATCATGAGGGCCATTCTGTGCTGCAGGTCCTGGGGTGAATACGACAGGAATTTAGTAATTTAATGATGATCAGTGATTCTCCATAGCAACACTGGGTATGAATGTCTCTAAAATCACCTGTACATTCACTTTTATTTTCAAAGCATAACCATTGTATTACACCCCATATACCCATTGTATCCTAACCACCTTCCTAGAGGAGAAACTGTTAATGGAAATAGAGAATGAGATCCTAAGAGATCCAAGTCCATAGAGCCCACAGAAAAGCTGCACCAAAACTCTGGTGGGGGCTGAGTGAATAGCAGACAGGTGGAAGCATCTTGGGAGATGTCCACAGGGCCCGGGTGAGGGCTCCTTCATGTTTCTCAAGTCATGTGATTCAGATACACAGAGCAGAGGCTTTGGATGGGCACTGGGGCAGGTGAGGAAGAAATATTCCTTCCTGAAGTTCTCTCAAGATCTGCCTGTGATCCAAAATCCTTTCTGCTTCCTGGGCCTTGACTTATTCCAAAGATTTTTCCCTAATGAAGTGACTGTGTTGTTTCGATTGACAAGACCCCTAAGACTGCAAAAATCCATGCAAACAACATGTGGGCAAAATTTATGTACAATTTTAGCATTTCTTTTCATACAGGGTCTGTCCCCATTGGATCACCTCCCATCACGCCACACACGACGTGAATGACTTCGTGCTTCTCCATACCTGCATTGATCTCTGGGTCCATTGCCAGTTATAAACCTCCAAGGGCAATAGCCATGAGGTGATGTACAGTCAAGCATCACTTAATAACCAGGATACATTCTGAGAAATTTGTCGTTAGGCAATTTTTTCATTGCACGAACCTCACAGAGTGTACTTACACTAACCTAGATAGTAGCATCCAGTAAACACCTGGGCTATATGGTCTAGCCTATTGCTCCTAGGCTACAAACCTGTATAGCATGTTACTGTACTGAATATGTAGGCACTTGTAACACAATGGTAAGTGTTTTTGTATCTAAACATATCTAAACATAGGAGAGGTAATGCATTGTGCTACAGCATTACAATGGCTATGACAGACACTAGGCAATAGGAATTTTCCAGCTCCATTATAATCTTAAGGGACCACCATGGCACATGCAGCCCATTGTTGACCAAAAGTTGTTATGTGGTGAATGACTATAATTGGCTTTTCAGAGCAACCACTCACAAGGGGGTGTAGTATAGCTTACTAGACAAAACTGCAGCCGCTGCTCTGTTTTTTGCTCTTAGAAAACTGAGTACCTGATTTGGACAAAATCATAATAAAATTTAGATAGAGCCAACATTTGTCCTCTGGAAGTTTCTGACAAGATACAAGTCACCGTTATAATAGTCAAATGTCAAAGTGGTATATCTAACAAAATTAAAACAGACAGCTAGGAGTGAGAAGATTTAAGAAAATTCAGGTGGCCCAAAGGAAAGCCAAGACAAGACATTCTCTCCCGGCCTTTGGGCCTGGATTTTCATTTCAGCAGGTAACGAGGAGACCAAAGGCCTAGTTATTTATGGAGATCTGGGGCCACAGCAGAGCTCCTCATGGCAGGATAAGGCAGTGGAAAGCAGACTCAACGGTTAACCCACAGTCCTCCTCAGCAAGCTGGGAGAAGCAACTGATGCCACTTAGATGCTTAGACCGGGCCTTCTGGGAGAGATCTGGCCCAAGGAGCAGCCGGCAGCTTGACACAGTGACCAATTGGAAGCACAGCAGCCACACGCCATGAAACAAGGTGATCATCTTCACTCATTTCCTGAGGCCAGAGCCTTCCTTACGCAGGACATGGATACCCCAGTCCCAGCTGTGCTGAAGCGTCAGGAAGCCTCCCCCGACCCCACCCTGAACAACAGTGAGGGGGGTTAGGTGTCCTCAAAAGATCTACTCTGTCAACTGGAGTTGTTGAGAAACTCAGGAAAGGGAACTAAAAAGGATAAGAAAGTGGTGCATTCCAGTGTCTTCCTGTTCTCTGTTGCAGAGAGCCAGCTGGTGGACCGCAGAGACAGACTTCCAGCCAGGGCCAAGCCCTTCAGGAAGGGAGTCATGCACCAAACTCAGCTAACAGACCACCAGGGCACCACTGGGTCTCCTGCTGGGGAACAGCACACCTATGGGTGGGCTCTAGGGGTGGGGTGGCCTGGTTGCTGGTTCTGCTCTGCCACTTCTTAGCTGGACTTGAGCAATTTGTAACATTTCTTGGCTCAGTTTCTCCACCTGCACAATCAAAATATCACTACCTTCCTCCAAGATTGCATTAAGTGTGACAATTTATGTAAAGCACTTAGTCCAGTGCCTGGCACCTAGTAAGTACTGAATAGTGAAAACAATTTAAGTCTAACAAATCCACACACCATGACGTCAGACAAATTAGGCATCTTTCATTGCTGTTGTGAAAATTGCGCTAACTCTAAACTCTAACGTACATCTGGCTCACTGTCTTTCTGTAAGACCAGTCAGAGCAGCAGCTCCTTCCTTGGTAAAATACTTTAAAAAACTCCCATTCCTGGCTGGGCACCGGGGCTCACGCCTGTAATCCCAGTAGATTGGGAGGCTGAGGCGGGTGAATCACTTGAGGTCAGGAGTTCGAGACTAGCCTGGCCAACATGGTGAAACCCCATCTCTACTAAAAATACAAAATTAGCTGAGGGTGGTGGCAGACACCTGTAATCCCAGCTACTCTGGAGGCTGAGGCAGAAGAATCGCCTGGAGGCGGAGGATGCCATGAGCCGAGATCGTGCCACTGCACTCCAGCCTGTGCAACAGAGTGAGACTCTGTCTCAAAAAGCAAACAAACAAGAAACCCCAAAAACTCCCATTCCTGGGCACCCATTCTGATTTTCTTCCTCATTTACTTCCCTGCCCAATCGTTGTCTCTATGTTGCAATTTGTGGGGGTCAGTCAGAACTGCTTTTCTTCAGAAGCCACTCTTACCCGTTCAGTGACCTCATTCAGCTCATGCTAGGGCAGAATCCACAGCTCTTTCTCTGACGTTTCCACAGTGTGAAGACTCACACATCTAACTGCCTGCAGAACATCTCCACTTGGATCTTGTTAGATTGTGTGGGTTTCCCAGAAACAGACACCAAGACAGAGTTTGGGGCACAAGATAATCTATTAGGGATTAACACCTGTGAAAGGAAGGGGCTGGAGGCCTATTTGGCAGGGGGAAGAGGTGAACTGTGATATAGGCCTGTGGGAACCTTAGACAATCCAGCAGGGAGCAGGGGGAAGGGAGCAGGGAGCTCTGCAGCGAATACTGCCCAGGACATAGTTCCTGGGCTATATGGCCTAGCCTATTGCTCCTAGGCTACAAACCTGTATAGCATGTTACTGTACTGAATATGCAGGCACTTGTAACACAATGTTAAGTATTTCATCAGAGGTGCCCCGCATCAGGCCAAAGTGGCCCAGCCTTTGTGCCCCGACTTGCTCAGTCATGGATGCAAGCTGCCTTAAGAAGGGTGTGACCTCAGACAAAGTGGCTTTCTGCAGGCCAGTTGTGGCCAGGTGGAAGCCATCTACCAACTTCACTCCCCACAGCTGAGCAAGTCCCTCCTTGAAGGGGATCTGGGTGGGGTGTCTCCAAGTTTGCTAGATTATCTCCCAGCCATTTCAAATTCAACAAGTCCATAACCAAACCCTTGATTTTACCTGGCTCCCCAGTGTCCCCTTCCCACTCTTTCTTCTCTTACCACTTTGCTCAGGCCAAAACCAAAGTCCCAGCCTCTCTTCCACAAATGCCCCTTGGTCAATCTATCTACACATATCCTTCCATCGCTCCCTTCAGAATACGTCCAGAACCCAACCACTTCTCATCTCCTCCATGGTTCGACCCATACTCAGCCACACCCCAGCACCAACCCCACGGATAATCGCAGTAGCTCCATAGCTTCCTACCTAAGCGTTACCCCTGCCCACTTTTCTTGCTCTATTTTCTGCACATGCATTGGCGTGAAATATTTTTTATTTTATTTTATTAAATAGAGACAGGGTGTTGCTATGTTGGGCCTGATTATATTTTTAAAAAATAAAAAAGGGCCAGGTGCAGTGGCTCACACCTGTAGTCCCAGCACTTTGGGAGGCCAAGGCAGTAGGATCACTTGAGGCCAGGAATTTGAGACCAGTCTGGGCAACATAATGAGATGCTGTGTCTCTGTTTAAAAGATACATATAAGTTTAAAAAATATTTTCATTTATATACAATCAGATCGCCTCATATGTCTGCTCAAAGCCATTTGGTGGCTCCCATTCATACTCAGAATTAAACCCAGATTCCTTACTGTGGCCTATCAGCCCTGCATCATTCTGTCCCTCTCCTCAACATGATCAACTATTGCTCTTCCCCACATGACATCCTACTCCCTCATCACTCTCTAAACCAGAGCTGCCCAATACAGGAGCCACCAGTCTCATATGGCTACTGAGCAGGTGAAACCTGTGGCTAGTCCAAATTGAGATGCTGCCTGTATCAAATACATTGTTTCAGACTTAGTTCAGAAAAGAGAATGTAAAATTTCTTTTCTGTTTTTTTGAGACAATCTTCCTCTGTTGCCCAGGCTGGATTGCAGTGGCACGATCTTGGCTCACTGCAACCTCCGCCTCCTAGGTTCAAGTGATTCTTATGCCTCAGCCTCCTGAGTAACTGGGATTATAGGCATGTGCCACCACACCTGGCTAATTTTTGTATTTTTAGTAGAAATGGGGTTTCTCCATGTTGGTCAGGCTGCTCTCGAACTCCTTACCTCAAGTGATCCACTCACCTTGGCCTCTCAAAGTGCTGGGATTACAGGCATGAGCCACTGTGCCCAGTCCAAGAATCTAAAATTTCCCATTAATAATTTTTAAATATTGTTTGTAAATTGAAATAATATATTTAATATATTGGGTTAAATGCATTATTAATCTTTTCTTTTTTTTTTTTGAGACGGAGTTTCGCTCTTGGCTGGAGTGCAATGTCGCAATCTGGGCTCACCACAACCTCCACCTCCCGGGTTCAAGTGATTCTCCTGCCTCAGCCTCCCAAGTAGCTGGGATTACAGGCATGCACCACCATACCAGACTAATTTTGTAATTTTAGTAGAAACGGGGTTTTTCCATGTTGGTCAGGCTGGTCCTGAACTCCCGACCTCGGGTGATCCTCCCACCTCAGCCTCCCTATATTATTAATCTTAAGTCTAAATGTTCTATTAGAAAAGTTACAATCACATATGCAGCTTGCATTACATTGCTAATGGAACACGCTGCTCTAAACCAGGGATTGGCAAACTATGGGCAGTGGACAACTTCCAGCCCACTGTCTGTTTCTGTACAGCTGGTAAACAAGGAATGGTTTTCACATTTTTAAATGGCAGAAAAAAAATAATTTGTGATACGTGAACATTAATAAAATTCAAATTTCAGTGTCCATGAAGAGTTATATTGGAAAAGAGAACCTACAACCATTGCCTCTCCCGCTGCGTAAGTTCGGCAAAGGCTCACGCTTTTGTCTTTTGTTGGATGAATGACTACCAACACCTAGGACAGTGCCTGCACAAATTAGGTGCCCTATAAATATTTGTTGAGTCACTAAATTTTAAAATTCTAGATTATGGGGACTGTGTAGGAAGGACCTCATTCTTTAGAGAACATGAATTACCCACTACTACAACTCGCTGTGTCCATCCCTAAGCCAGAAGAGCGGAGGTTAAGACCCCAAGCAAGCCCACACGTAATGACACAGGAATGGAAAGCTGATGCTCGGCCTGGTCTCCTGCTGAGCCTGGACACAGGCATAGGCACTGCTGCAATGGCAAGAGAAGCTCAAAAAGTTTTAAAACAAAATACATTATTTTATTTCAATTCCATGATTTTAAAATGCTTTTTATTTTTTTCTTTTTGCCCCTTTTACAGGGGAGACGTAAAGCTGTCCCAGTTATCAAAAAATTCAAATCTCCTTTTCTTCTGTGGACTGGCTGTCAATGAGCTTTCATCCAGGGTGTCTCCCATGTTCTGGGAACTACTTCCAGATGTTCCTGAAGCACTTCCTGGGTCAAAGGACTCTGCTGCTTCCAGGAGCTCCATATCACTTCCTTCTTTCTCAAAGGACTTCTGGAATAGGTCGTAGATCTTCTGCTGCTTTGGGTCCTTCATCAGAGAAAGAAAACAAAAGATAAAAGGAAGAGCCCAGGCTCCAACACTGACTCTCCTCCACTAGGGCTGATGAGAGAATATAAAGATGAGAGACCACACATTTCATGGTGTCAGGGAGCTACACGATGGCAAGTGTGCATCATCTCAGCAAACCATCACTAAAGCAGCCTCACTGTTTTAGTGTCTGACATCTTACCCTCTCTGTGCTCATTGAGTTAGGAAAAAGAAATGGTTGTGAGTGCAACAAAGAAGCTGCTCTCACGCTATAATTTACATTGGAAATGTTTTCTCCCTTTGAACTTTCCAAATCATTATTTCAATACTGAAATAGCACCCAAGATCTCACTTCCTCCAAAGCCTTTCTCTACTAAGGGTCAGTTAAGGTATAATTCAACTTCTAAATCTCTATTTTTAAATTTATTTTTATTTTTATAATTTTTTAAGAGATGGGATCTCACTAAATGTTGCCCAGGCTGGTCTCGAACTCCTGAGCTCAAATGATCTGCCCACCTCAGCTACCCAAAATGTTGGGATTACAGGTGTGAGCCACCATGTGCCCAGCCCCCCAACTTCCAAATCTCTGTGTTCAGCCATGGCTTATACCTAATTTTCAAAGTAGTTGAAAAAACATACACACATTTAACATATTCATAAGTAGATATGTGTACCTATTCTGATTACCTTAAATTACAAATAATCAAAATACCCACCAACTGCATCTATACATTGATGACAATGGTGTAGTGTTAAAACCATGCCCAGTGGATACAACCACAACACACGATCACTATCACCCCTCTGCCGATTTTTCCTACATCTAAATTTCCAACTTTGACCATTTTTCAATTTAGAGGTATATTTTCCATATCTCCACTGACATCCCACAGTTTCATAAAACTAAACTGGTTTAAAATCAAATGATCTTTTGGCTGGGCTCAGTGGCTCTCACCTGTAATCCCAGCACTTTAGGAGGCCGAGGCGGATGGATCGCCTGAGGTCAGGAGTTCGAGACCAGCCTGGCCAACGTGGTGAAACCCCATCTCTACTAAAAATACAAAAAATTAGCCAGACATGGTGGTGCGTGCCTGTAGTCCCAGCTATTTGGGAGGCTGAGGCACAAGAATCGCTTGAACCCACAAGGCAGAGGTTGCAGTGAGCCATCATCACGCCACTGCACTCCAGCCTGGGTGACAGAGTGAGACTCTGTCTCAAAAAAAAAATAAATACATAAAAATAAGGCTGCTGCAAGGGCTCACGCCTGTAATCCCAGCACTTTGGGAGGCCGAGGCGGGGGGATCATCTAAGCTCAGGAATTAGAGACCAGCCTGGGCAACATGGCAAAACCCCATCTCTATCAAAAATACAGAAAATTGGCCGGGTGTTGGCAGCATGCGCCTGTAGTTCCAGCTACTCGGGAGGCTGAGATGGGGGGAATCACTTGAGCCTGGGAGGCGGAGGTTGCAGTGAGCCAGCATAGTGCCACTGTACTCCAGCCTGGGTGACAGAGTGAGACCCTGTCTCTAAATAAATAAATAAATAAATAAATATAAAAAATCAAATGATCTCTCATCTCCTATATTCTCAAAGCAGCTTCTCTTCCCATAAGTCTAGTTTTTATAGTCTACCTGCATTCTCGTAGTCTCCCAGGTGGAAATCATCCAGGCAAACAGAGTCCTCGGCTTATGCAAGTTTGTTCCCCCCATTAGTTCCCTCCTCTCTCCTTCAGGCACCATCTTTACTTGGGCCACATCACTTGGTACTGCATGGATTTGCAACAGCTCAACTGCGCTTCCTGCCTCAGGCTTCTTCCCATTTCAAACAGCCTACAGATCTTTGCCAGCTGATTTTTACCCCCAGGCTCTCCTTTAAAGATTTTTTTGGTCATGTCTTTGGGCTCCGCTGTCCCTACCTCATCAAGTCTACAGTTGCTCCCCTGGCTTTTCAGGCCTTTATAGAATTAGGTCTCAACGTACCTGGCCACTGTTCCTCACTATTCCTTAACCAAATCCCTCCACATTGGTGAAGTAGAGTTCCTTGAAAATTGATCATGACAGCCTGTCATGTAAGAACTCCAGATTATTCAATTAACCTGCACCCGAAATCTCCTAGCCTTTCAGGATCCCAGCCTTGCAGAGAGGGAAATGATATGAAAGATCATCAAGGCTGACCCCCAAATAACCCACATGTCCTCCTCCAGGATGCCCTCATCAGCCTCTTTCTGAATGACTGCAATGTCAAGGAAACGCCACCCTGCAAGGCAGCCTATTCCAAGTAGAAAAAGCTGCTAATGTGCATTTGATTATGATGATGGCAACACTGTATGCTGACTCGGGGCATGCATAATTAATTGGAAGCGAGTTCCAAGATCAGATTAATATTTCATTTCCCCTCTCAGAAGGAAGGCTATCTCAGTGAGATATAACCTCTTCTGCTTTTGTCTCCTATATTGGAAGCAACATTTTCTTTTTCTAGTAGTTGATAAAATTTTCAGCCCCATCTTAATTAAAAAATAAATTGATATAGTTATTGATCAAAATATTGATAAAACTCATTTATATTACCTTGTACTTATATTTTAGGTAGAAATGCTTAACCAATTTAGAGTAAGAGAAAGGCAAGGAGGAATAAATGAGTTCAAGTGAGAATCCTTTAAAAATAGGCTTTCTTTTTTTTCTTTTTTGAGACAAGGTCTGTCTCTGTTGCCTAGGCTGAAATGCAGTGGTGTGATCTTGGCCCACTGCAACCTCTGCCTCCCAGGTTCAGGGAATCCTCCTGCCTCAGTCTCCTGAGTAGCTGGGAATACAGGCATGTGCCATCATGCCTGGCTAATTTTTGTATTTTTTGTAGAGATGGGGGTTTCACCATGTTGCCCAGGCTGGTCTCAAACTCCTGGGCTCAAGTCATCTGTCCGCCTCAGTGTGGGATTAGAGGCTTGAGCCACTATGCCTGCTCAGACTATTTCTTTTCAAAAGGCTTGTAATAACCTAGGCTCTGTTACCATTTACCATTCAGCTGAACTGGAGAGTTCTTTAAAAAGCTTAAAAATAAGGTTGTTTTAAAATTGGCTTATTAACTATATATGTCTGAAAGGATAATTTGCAGTCTGCATTTAAAAATATGATCTGAGTCTTATTTATCCCAATATTTAGCAAATAAATCCTTGCAAAGAAAGAATTTATTTGCTAAATAAATGTAAGTGAATGAGCAGATCCACAGAGTCTTAAGTCTTGGTGTCAACGATAAGATTTAACTCAACTTCTTATTTATTTAAACTTTTTTCTTTCTCTTTTTTTTTTTTTGAGGCAGGCTCTTGCTCTGTTGCCCAGTTTAGAGTACAGTGACCATCATGGCTAACTACAGCCTTGACCTCCTAGGCTCAAGTGATCCTCACCTTTTCCTCTGGAGTAGCTGGGACTACAGGTGTGCACCACCATGTGTGGCCTAACTCAATATTCTGATGGTGATTTCACAGGAAGGAGGAGGTGCTTCACTTTCCTGATAAGCTACCGTAAGGCCCCTTTCTGCATGAGGCTCAGACCTGGTTCAAACTCTCCTGGCAGAAACAATTCAACCATGAGCTGTGCTCGAGGAGGGCATACTCCTGGTTTTCACCTTCTGGCCAACAATCCAAGCTGGGGAAGGAAAACAAGCTTTTGGAAGGCTCTGGGTCTCTTGCTCACTCCACTGTGTTTCACTGAAATGGGGGAGGAAGAGTCTGTGGCAGCCACTGGGCTGCAGCACTGAAACCAGGCAGGCATGATGGGCCCAGGGCTGTCCTGTTCAGAGGCAACAGCCTTCCCCCTCAGCACCTTTGACAAGGCCTGCCTGGTCATGGAGGGATGCCTCTTATACTCCTTTACAACAAGGGCTGAGCTCAAAGGAGGAATGCTGGGCCAAGTCAGGAAGCCTTCTTCCTTGGGCTGGCTTCACATGCCCTGTGACTTTGTGCAAACCTACTATACTGCCATGTCTCAGTTTACCCCTCTATCAAGTGGGGAGACACTGAGAATAAATAAAATGACAGAAGGGAAAATATATTCTATGAAGCCAGTACCCTATTTTAAACACTCCCCATTCTGTGCTGGGGATGCATTCCTGTGGCAGCCCTATGTGTGGTGTTGCTGTGTACTTTTTGAAACAATTCAACATTTGCCATGGGGAGTTTTGTCAGTTTCTAATGGCCTGCTGGAAGAGGCAGCATTCAGAGCCTGTGCGGGAATGTCAGCAGCTGTAGGAGCTAATGCCATCATTTCCCCATAAAGCGATGCATGCATGGTTCAACTGAGAATGACTGCAGGCCATTGTTTTCAGCTCTAGGCTGGGGGAGGTCCCTAGGAGTGATTCACATCCTCCTACTCAGGACCCAAAGACTTGGCAGACAGCTTAATGCCTCCCTCTGCTCCAGGGGTGAAGAGCCATGTGCTGGCATTACCTTGTAGAGGTAATCAGTGGATTCTGTCATTTCTGAAAAATTGGTCTCAGAAAGCCCGGCTTCTGCCAGAACTTTAATCTTCTCTTGAATCAGGGGCCTGTTGGGGAGAAATGAGCTGCAGTGAATACAACCTGCACAGAACCACCAGACTAATGAAAATGAGGCCACCCTCCTTGTTCTTATGGGACAACGGCTTGTTTACGGTTTCACATCTCTGCATCTCTCAAGGTGCAAACACCCATCTTGAAAAATTTGCCCCCTCTCATTTGTAAAAACTCCAATTTAGGGCTAAGAATATCATCAGGTTCAATATTCTTTCTAATGGAAGATGTGTAGGAAATAAATGCTGCCTCATTTCAACACAATTTTGAATCTGGTGGTATTATGAGCTGCCCAATTAACAAATCCACTAAAAAGGGGGAAGTAGGAGTGACCCACACACATTGCAAAGGGAAGACTCCTTAGTCATAAGGCTGGAAACAGAGACAAGCAGTGGAAACAAATGAGATAATCAAGAAATTTTGTATCAGGAAGGGGGAGATAAGGGGAAGAAGCTTTTTGAGATTTTTCACTTAGGTAACAGACAGAAAACCCTAGGGTTGAAAATCTTACTCCAGCTCTGCTAACGAAGTACACTACACAGTCCAGGGTAAGCCACTTTCTCCCTGTGGTCCAGCAGCAGCAATGTAAGATGTGCCCACCAGATAAATGCACATCATAAAAGGTAAAAGACTGTCACCCTGTCCTAACAAATGCCTTCACAGCTGGGAACAGGGTGTTTTACAAACTAAATTCCATCTATATTTTGTCATAATCAGCACTTCTCCCTGCCTCAGACCAGCAGCAAAAGGAGCCACAACCCCTTATTGCTATAAGATTCAGCATGCACCCTGCAAGCCACCAGTGAACGCTAGTGAGGGAGGCCAAATATGGTCATGATGAAAGCAGGAGGGCATCACTAGTCAATTTTCTATAGATCCTTAAAGACCTTACTTAGCAAAAGCAGAAGCACTTTGGGAGCAAAGTAAACATATCATCAGTTTCCACCCTTGCTCGACTCCAACTGCCAGGCCACCCAACCAAGCCATACCAAAGGTAGTCATCAGCTGTGCCCTTTGCCACGAGGTAGTGAATGCCCACGGAGCTGGTCTGTCCAATGCGGTGCACGCGGTCCTCAGCCTGGATCAGCACCTGTGTGTCCAGGAATTGAGACAGGCAGGTAAAGGCCTGAAGCAGTTCCATCCACCATAGCAGGTATGGTTCCTCTCCACCCCATTTCCAGTCCCACCACAACCCTCCCTCCTCAAAGCACTTCACTGTCTCAGACCTAGAAATAACCTGCACTTTACCATCTCAGACCTACAAATGACCTGCCACTTTAACAAAAGAGAGAACCCAAAACAGCCCTGGCTGGGGAACTGGAATCTGAAGCAGAAGATCTGCAGGTGGCTGTTCAGTGCTGGGCACTGAGCTAGGTGCTGCAAATGAAGAGGCACAGGCTCTGCCATCAGGCTGCATGGGGAGGGGCTGGTGATGGAGGCCTGCACACTTCCATTTCTTCACTGTATGAAATAAAAAGTTATCTTCTAAATAAATAAAAACATCACACACAAGGGAGAGGCTATCCATGATTTGGGCATAGGGTGGTGGTTTAATATAGTGGTAAGCCTTATAATAAATACTTAAGGGCTGGATGTGGTGGCTCACGCCTGTAATCCCAGCACTTTGGGAGGCTGAGGCAGGCAGATTGCTTGAGCCCAGGAGTTCCAGAACAGCTTGAGCAACATGGTGAAACCCCATCTCTACAAAAAATACAAAAATTAGGCATGGAGGCGTGCACCTGTAGTCCCCTGCTACTCAGGAGGCTGAGGTGGGAGGATCACCTGAGCTCGGGAAATCAAGGCTGCAGTGAGCCAGTAAGTCCCTGCAGTCCAGCCTGGGTGACAGAGCAAGACCCTGTCTCAAAAAAGCAAAAGAAAAAAAAAACCACCTAACATCATGAGCATTATTTCTTGTATAAAATGGCTACACCCTCAAGGTCTACCCATTATTAATGTAGTCTCTTATGTGTAGCCAATAAAAACCACAATATTATTAAATATTATATAAATATTAAAGGGGATATAACTTTTCTGGAGATTACCAGAAAAATTTAAGAGTTCAAACAAATGTCTTATCTCTGTCCTCAGTTGGTCAGGTGAGGCCAGTGGTGGTGTCCAGGAAACCCTCACTGCTGTCACTCTGTGTGAGGTCCATTGTTAAAGCAGCTCACAATGATGGCTACTAAAGGGGGCACAGGCTGGAACGTGAGGCCTGGGCTGCAACCTGGTGCCACCAAGTGCCCTCTTCAGTTATGGCAGTGCAGTCCTGCCTCACCCCTTGAGCTCTCGGTGCCCTAACTTCCTCCTATGAGACATGAAGTCAAGATTCCTTCTAGCCCTGGAAGACTTCAACCTTCCCGTTGATAAAATGGAGTCGATAATCCTACAGGTTGCTGTGAAAATCTAGAAAACAGCCAATCGCCTGGCGTGGTGGCTCACACCTGTAATCCTAGCTACTCGGGAGGCTGAGGCAGGGGAATCGCTTGAACCCAGGAGGCGGAGGTTGCAGTGAGCCAAGATCATGCCACTGCACTCCAGCCTGGGTGATAAGAGACTCTGTCTCAAAAAAAGAAAAAAAGAGACTAGTCAATCAACATAGAAGTGCTTAAAGGAAGTGAAAACTGACTTGTGGGAAGTATAATGAATGGATAAAAGGGAAACCACACTTTCCCCGACCGACACTCACTGCTTCCTGCCCACAGCCATGAGCATGCCTGGGGAGTATCTGAGTCTTCTGCGTCTCTTACCCCTGGGTTCCAAAACAGCTCAGCAAACACCACCAGGTCAGCCGAGGAGAAGGTGAGGCCCATATTGGCAGCGGTGATGGACAGCACGGCCACAGCATGCCTCTCCGACAGTTGGAACTGCTGGCACAGGTCCTCCCGCTCAGCTGATGAGGTGGAGCCATCGATGCGGATGTGCTGCACGTGCTGCAGGAACAAGGGGCAGAAGCAAGGTGGGCAACAGCCCCGGGGGCTTCTCAGCAAACCACACCCAGCCACAGCTCCAGCACAGAACCAGGTTCCAGCTCAGCAGAGGCCCCTGCCTTCAGAGCTTTTCTTTTCAAATTGACATTGGTATTGAGATGACTGCTTATACTCAGGTGCCATTGTAAGAAATAATAGAGATCCCTCTTAGGCCTTTGCCCAGTTTCCTGCAGTGGTAACATTCTATAAAAACTATAGTATAATACCACAGCCAGGATGCTGACTTCTATACAATCCACTGATCTTCAGATTTCTTGTTTTACTGTATGTGTGTGTTCTACACAATTTTATCACCTGTGTAGGTTTTCATATATTCACCTCCAATGTTAAGATACTCAACAACTCCAACATTGCAAGGATCCTTTTACCTCCCTCCTCTTTCCACGGTCCTTAGCTCCTGATAGCCACTAATCTGACCTGAATTTCTAAAAACATTTTTTTTCTTTTTCTTTTTTAAGATGAAGTTTCACTCTTGTCACTCAGGCTGGAGTGCAGTGGCACGATCTTGGCTCACGGCAACCTCCGCCCCCTGGGGTTCAAGTGATTCTCCTGCCTCAGCCTCCCAACTAGGTGGGATTACAGGCGCACACCACCACATCTGGCTAATTTCTGTATTTTTAGTAGAGGCGTGGTTCCACTATGTTGGCCAGGCTGGTCTCAAACTCCTGATCTCAGGTGATCCGCCTGCCTCGGCCTCCCAAAGTGCTGGGATTACAGGCGTGAGCCACTGCACCTGGCCAATTTTTTTTTTTTTTTTCAAGAATGCACTATAGGCCAGGCACAGTGGCTCATGCCTGTAATCCCAACACTCTGGGAGGCCAAGGCAGGTAGATCACCTGAGGTCAGGAGTTTGAGACCAGCCTGGCCAACATGGCGGAACCCCGCCTCTACTAAAAATACAAAAATTAGCCAGATGTGCTGGTGTGCGCCTGTAATCCCAGCTACTCAGGAGGCCAAGGCAGGAGAATCACTTGAATCCGGGAGGCAGAGGTTGCAGTGAGCCAAGATGGCACCACTGCACTCCTGCCTGGGTGACAGAGCGAGACTCTGTCTCAAAAAAAAAAAAAAAAAAAAAAAAAAAAAGAATGCTATACAAATGTTATATAAATTGCACAGCATATAACCTTTTGGAATGGGCCTTTGCATTCAGCACTCTCTGGAGATTCATCCAAGTTGTTACCTGTATCAATAATTTTCTTCTTTTTATTGTTGAGAAATAGCCCACAGTATGGATATACCATAGTTTCACCATCCATCTGTTGAAGGACATCTGAGTTGATTCCAGTTTGGGGCTACTACAAATAAAGCTGCTATGAACATGTGTGTACAAGTTTTTCTGTTAACCTAAGTTTTCATTTCCCAAAGAAAAATGCTCAAAAGTCAATTGTTGTGTTGTATGGTAACTGCATGTTTAGTTTAGTTATTTTCTTTTAAATGGCATTTATTTATTCTTGCTAGTGATAAACATGATAAGGAAAATAAAAACATTTAGTAATCTAACCAATCTACTTTTTCCTGTCTCTTTTTTTGATGTGTATGGTATATATATCTTTTAAATAAAAAGTTTTATATCCTGTTTTCCCCCAATAAAACACATTATAAGTAAAACTGTATTGTTAAGTGTTCTAAAATATCATTTTTAATGGCCCTTTGTCATTATGCAGCAACAGCATAATTTAACCCTTCTATTTCTGCAGATTTAGGGGTCTCAAATTTTTCCTAAAAGGATATGTTGGTAAATGTCCATCAACAAGTGAACAGATGATGTACAATGGGATGTTATTTAGCACTAAAAGGGAGTGAACATCTGCAGGTCTAGATAACCAAAAAAGAAAAAAAAAAAAAAGGAAAACCAAGGAGTGAACACTAAAAAGGAACGAGACACACAACAACATGGATAAATCTCAAAAAAAAAAAGTACATCCTGAATGTCCTTTTCTCCACATTTATATTCCATTATATTCCATATTTATATAAAATTCTAAAAATCCGCAAACTAATCCTTAGTGACAGACCGTAGACCAGAGGTTGCTTGAGGATGGGAGGGTGAGGGAAGGGGCAGGAGGGCGTGATTACAAAGGAAAACTCTGGGGGTGGGGGCAGCGGGTGGCAGATATGTTTCCTATCTTGATTCTCATTAATTGTACACATTATGTGCAGTTTACTGCATGTCAATTATACCTCAAGAATGCTATTAAAATGGAAAGTTTTTAAGAGGATGCCAATTTTTGGTGATTTTCTTAGATTGGACTACAAACCAAAGTACGATAGCAAAAAGAAAAAACTTAATTTAAGGCTCCTGATATTATTGCCAAATTGCTTTCCAATAACTAATGTATTAGCATGTCCATCTTCGTACACTTTCATCAACAGTGAGCACCGCACATTTTTAAAACCTCTACTGACTTGATGGGGTAAAAAAAAAAATTTTATTTTTCACTAACTTGATTACTAGTGAAATTGGGTGTTTTCGTTATCTTTTAATTGGCTACTGGTGTCATTTCTTTGATGAACTATCTATTTATACAGGTTGCCCCCTTTTTTTTTTTCCTACTGGGAGTTAGGAAATACCTTTACATGTAAAAACCATTATTTGTATGTCACAGAGGTGGCTAATAGTTTCCCTAGCTTATTTCCTTCTATTACTTTTCTGTTGTTTTCTAAATTCTCCTTTATTTTTAAAAATGTAATTTTTCTTATTATAAAAATAATACACACTCATTGCAAAAATACAGAAAAACTAAAAAGATAATGATGACTACTTAGAGATAATCATCATTAATGTACTGGTATATATTAATCAGGCTTTTTTCTATGGATGACTATTTTATTTATTTTATTTTATTTATCTTATTTTTGAGATAGAGTCTTGTCTCTCACCCAGGCTGCAGTACAGTGGCAGGATCTCGGCTCACTGCAGCCGCTGCTTCCCAGGTTCAAGCAATTCTCGTGTCTCAGCCTCCTGACTAGCTGGGATTACAGGCATGCACCACTATGCCCAGCTAATTTTTGTATTCTTAGTAGAGATGGGGTTCCGCCATGTTGTCCAGGCTGATCTAGAATTCCTAACCTCGGGTGATCTGCCTGCCTCAGTCTCCCAAAGTGCTGGGATTACAGGCGTGAGCCACTGCGCCTGGACAACATGACAATTTTTAAAAATTATTATACATACAACAGCTTTTTGTCCATAGTATGGACATCTTCCGATAGCAATATATACTAACCAGATACCAAGACCTTCAATTTTGGAGTTTCTTCAGGTTCTTATAGGGTTCAATGATCTCCAAAGTTAGGAACCACTGATCAACATTATATTTTATGGCTGAATGGACTATAATTTATTTAATAGTATATCTGTTGATAAAAACTTAGATTTTTAATTATTGAATATTATAAACAGCATGACTAATATTCTCATTTATAAATCTGACTAGTCTGATGATTTCCTTAGGATAAATTCCTAGAAGTAAAATTTGAAAAATTGAGTGCACGCCTTAATTTACTGTCAAACTGCCCTCCAAAAATGTACAAATGTACAAGAGAATCATAGCCACTGTGGGCTGGGCATGGTGGCTCACGCCTGTAATCTTAGCACTTTGGGAGGCCAAGGTGGGTGGATCACCAGAGGCCAAGAGTTTGAGACCAGCCTGGCCAACACAGTGAAAGCTTGTCTCTAATAAAAATACAAACATTAGCTGGGCATGGTAGCAGGCACCTGTATTCCCAGCTACTTGGGAGGCTGAGGCAGAAATGCTTGAAGCCAGGAGGCGAAGGTTGCAGTCAGCTGAGATTGCACCATTGCACTCCAGCCTGAGCGACAGAGCAAAAACTCCACCTCAAAAAAAAAAAAAAAAATTTAATCACTGTGTATGTGTCACAGAAAAAATACATGTGTTTAGGTAATTCAAATCAATTTTTCCTTTGTAATTTCTTGGTTTTTATGCTTAGAAAGTCATTCTCCACCCAGTGATCAGCTATTGTTCATTGGTATTTTCTTCTAATACTTTATGGTTTCAAGGATCTTTGATTCACCTGCAATTTAATATAGTAAACAGTGAGTTAAAGTTTCATCTACCCTCCCACCCCCCAATTATTTAGGCAATTACCCAAACTTTGTTGAAGAAATTGAAAACGGATTTGTGACAATTCCTTGATCATGTATTTGCTTTCCATTTATGGTAAAGGGCCATGTATTCTATTCCACCATCTGGCCATCTCTCTGGGGCCAGCATGGCTGAATTTTAATTATTGGTATTTTATAACAGATTTTAATATTTAATGTCTGAAGGGACAAGTCTTCCAACATTGCTCTTCTTTTTCATAGTTGTTTAGATATCGCTCCTGCTTTTTTTTTTTTTTTTTTTTTTTTTTTTGAGATGTTCTTGGGAGTAACAGTATAAAGTTCCCTTTAAAAAATCCAACTGGAGGCTGGGTGCGGTGGCTAATGCCTGTAATCCCAGCACTTTGGTAGGCTGAGGCAAAAGAATTGCTTGAGCCCAGTTCTAGACAAGCCTGGGCAACATGGCAAGACCCTGTCTCTACAGAAAAATTTAAAAATTTGCAAGGCGTGGTGGTACATTCCTGAGGTCCCAGCTACTGGGAAGGCTCAGGCAGGAGGATCACTTGAGCCTAGGAGGTTTAGGCTTCAGTGAGCAGCATTCGTGCCACTGAACTCCAGTGTGGGAGATACAGTGAGACTCTGCTTCAAAAAAAAAAAAAAGATCTAGTTGGAGTTTTTATTAGAATTCAATTAAACCAGCTGGGCCTGGTGGCTCACATCTGTAATCCCAGCATTTTGAGAGGCTGAAGCAGGTGGATCACTTGAGGCCTAGAGTTTGAGACTAACCTGGCCAACATGGTGGAACCCCGTCTCTACTAAAAAAATGCAAAAAAATTAGCTGGGCGTGGTGGTGTGCACCAGTAATCCCAGCTATTCAGGAGGCTGAGGCATGAGAATCTCTTGAACCCAGGAGGCGGAGGCTATAGTGAGCTAAGATGAAGCCACTGCACTCCAGCCCGGGCAACGGAGCGAGACCCCCCTCCCCAACAAAATAAATTTAAAAGATAAAAAGATAACTGATAAAACATTAATATCCAGAATTTATAAAGAATTTTCCTAAATCAGTAAGAAAAAAACAATCCAACAGAAAAACAGGCAAAGGATACAAACAGAATATTCACAGGAGACAGCTAAAATGGCCATAAATAAATAAATAAATAAAATGATACACATTTTACTGGTAGTCAGGGAAATGCAAATTAGAGCAAGAATGAGATGATATTTCATTTCTCTGGATTGGTAAAATTAAAAAGTTGGATAATACCAGTGTTAATGGGCACACAGAACAGCAGGAACCCTTATATGTTGTTAGTGAGATTATAAATGTGAATGACCACCTTGGAGAGCAATTTGACAACATTTAGTATGAAGATGAACCTATTTAATAACCATGCAAGAGCATGCCTGAATATGCCTCCCCTACACAAAGCACATACACAAGCCATAAAGAAATGCATAGATACAAACATACACCTACTATAATATTCACACGATAGCAACCATCAGCAGGAGAATGGATAAACTGCAGTATAGCTATCCAATGAGATACAATTCCACAGTTACAGTGAATGAACTATACGTGTAATGCAGTATAAAGAAATCTCCATTGGGAGGCCGAGGCGGGCGGATCATGAGGTCAGGAGATCGAGACCATCCTGGCTAACACACGGTGAAACCCTGTCTCTACTAAAAATACAAAAAAATTAGCCAGGCATGGTGGCGGGCACCTGTAGTCCCAGCTTCTCGGGAGGCTGAGACAGGAGAATAGCTTGAACCCGGGAGGTGGAGCTTGCAGTGAGCCAAGGTCGTGCTACTGCACTCCAGCCTGGGGGACAGAGCAAGACTGTTTCAAAAAAAAAAAAAAAAAAAAAAGAAATCTCTAAAACAATGCTGAGAAAAAAGTAAGTTGCAGGATAATTACACCGTGCTGTCATTTATTTTAAATTTTTAAAAATAAGCAAAAAGGAGACGATAAATTGCTTATGGATACGTACTCCTAGAATATAGTATGACAACATGGAGGGCAAGGATACCCATTGCCTTCGTAATAGTGATGTTATTGCTGGAGAGATGGAAGGGGAATAAAGTTAGAATACTGAGGGGACCTAAGTATTTTATTATTAAAAAAATAAACCTTCAGGCTGGGTGTGGTGGCTCATGCCTGTAATCCAAGCACTCTGGGAGGCCGAGGTAGGTGGATCACTTGAGGCCAGGAGTTCAAGACCAGCCTGGGCAACATGGTGAAACCCCGTCTCTACTAAAAATACAAAAATTAGCCAGGTGAGGTGGTGTAGTCCCAGCTACTTGGAAGGCTGAGGCACGAGAATCACTTGAACCTGAGAAGCGGAGGCTACAGTGAGCTGAGATCCTGCCACTGCACTCCAGCATGGGCAACACAGCAAGACTCTGCCTCAAAATAAAAAAACCTTGAAATAAATTCATTTATTAAATCTGGGTGGGAGATACATGGGTATTTGCTGTATATTTCTCTGTACTCTTAAAGTACATTCAAATGTTATATAAATATAAACGATGAGGGAAGACAAAGAGCAATTTACAGCCTTAAATTTAACCAAAAATGAAAAGGGGATGAAATGTGTTCAGTTTTCATAAACATCCTTGGAAATCCTTCTAGATCCCTTTCGTTCAATTTCAGGAGAGCCATAAAACTCTCTACTAATGTCTGCACACTGCCATGTGGAATTAATAAAAGTGCTTTGACAGTGCTGAGGAGGAATGAAAGGAAGGAAAAGAGGAAAACATTCACATAAATACTTGTCTCCATACAAAAGGACAATTTTGCTATCTCCTCTCTTGCCAACTTTGTAATTATTTATGCAGAATAATGGAACAGCCCCTGGGAGATGTTCCTAAAGCAAGACTCCTGGGATATCTATTTGGAGCATGGAGGAAGTTAAAATGACATGGCTGGGGAAACATTTTGACCCCACTGTGGTTCTACAAGCAAGAACTCTTCTTCAGAAAGTCTTCAGCAATGCTTCCGGAAGCCATCGGTCTCACTTTGCTTGGATCTGACCTAAGCCTGCTTAGAACAACTTGGGACATGGCAAAAGTAGCCCATGGTGAATTTCAAAGGGAGCTCACCTTTCTCTCAAGCTCTTGCGTAATTGCGTCCAGGACCACCTTATGGTGTGCAAATACTAAAAACTTCTCTCTTCCACTTTCCAGTAGGTCCAAGATATATTCACTGCATTTGACAATGACAACAAAACAGATTAAACATATACTCCTTATGTTTTATGTGTCTCTGGTATGTTACTGAAACATTCTTATTATCTGGGATCATAGAAGATGATCAACAGTTTTCACTTTACCTCCGACTATCATTATAATGTGTTTTAAATACAAATTAGAGTGTCCTCTGTAGATCTGAAAGCATTTAGGGAGGGGACTAAGGAATTAATGACAGTACACAAATTTCTAGAAGCTAAATATTGAGACATACATAATACTAAAGAGACATTCCAAGAAGGATCTCCAGCTCCTCCCACTTTAGACCTCAAATGACAGGGCCAGTAGTTAAGTCAGTTAATTCTCTTCCAAGGCAGAGGACTATGGAGAGAAGGTTCTCATTTGTTTGGCCTCCCTTAATTTACATCTCTCTTCCAGCCACTGTGTTTTTTCTTAGCTTCCCACCCTTTTTTTTTTTTTTTTTTTTTTGAGACTGAGTTTCGCTCTGTCGCCCAGGCTGGAGTGCAGTGCTGAAATCTCAGCTCACTGCAACCTCCACCTCCTGGGTTCAAGCAATTCTCTTGCCTCAGCCTCCTGAGTAGCTGGGATTACAGGTGTGTACCACAACGCCCAGCTAATTTTTGTATTTTTAGTAGGGATGGGGTTTCACCATGTTGGCCAGGCTGGTCTCAAACTCCTGACCTCAAGTGATTTGCCCACCTTGGCCTCCCAAAGTGCTGAGATTACAGGCGTGAGCCACCGCACCCGGCAAGCTTCCCACCTCTTATCTTTCGCTTGGCCTTAAGGTGGCTACCCTCAGGGAGCAGTGGGGTGGGAAGTCACCAGGTTAACAGACCCTGGCTAGGTGCCCCCTCCCCTGGTAGCTCCCTGAAGAGGGATCACAATCCCAAAGAAGAGGTAAGCCCAGTACAGGCAAGTGAGCTCCTTTGCTGAGGCCATTGCCAGCCATGGGTGCGTCTGGACAGGGAACAGACTCTGCCTTCCTTAAAGAAGGATATGTCTCAGGTGAGGGAAAGGTACGTGGACTGCCCTGTAAACATCCAAGAGTCATTTCAAACAACACTATGACTGACCAGGGCACCAGATTTGAGTTCAATTTGTGAATTGTTGATACTAATAGAATTTACTTTAATTATTTTGAGAGACATAAAATTTGCCATGATATAAGCAAAAAAGTTTACGGCTACAGCATCAAAAAGTCACAAGGCCACAAAATCCACTTGGTGAGCTCATAAAAACCACAGGCCCCAATTTTCCTAATGCGTCTTTCCCCTCTATATCTCATACACAGCTTTGTTGTTCTATAACCTTCTACAAGTTCCTAGGCTGGAAATATCTGCCTACCACAATAACCTTGGCTTTTATATTAAAAGATGCCCATTAAAATGAAAAAACAAACAACAGCAAAAAAAGAAAAGAAAAACAACTAGCTGAGGAAATTGGGGTTTTGAAGACATACAATCTAATTTCCACTTACTAGCTGTGTGACTCTGAGGTCCAGAGAGTCATAGATTTACTCAGTGTTTGCATTTTTAAAAATGGAGCCAGTGTGACTTACATGATCTCACAAAGATGCTGTAAATGTGAAATGAGTTCACAGGTGTAAAAAATGTTTGGAAACTACAAAGCACTATACAATTTATTGTATAATAGAAATTTGAGAAAGTATGTATAAGGTATGACCAAAGTTTATTTATGAGGTGGTAGAAAGACTTAAAATTTCTAAGGGAAATGGGTGGCTCTGGGCACAGTATCTGAAGAGAGAGGCACCTGGTGGACTCTGAATTTTGCAGGTCCTGAGCTGAGGGAGCAAGGGAGAAACGCACACCCTTGCCATCTGTTATTCCACAGCACATGAGAAATGGGTCAGCGGGGGCAACTCAGATGTGTTTCTGGGAGAAAAGTTTCCAGGCCATAAAAACCACATCTGGAGTTCATTAGCAGGGTCATAAATGAAAAGGGCAGTGCCCAGGAGGTGAAGGGGAGGAGGCCAGCACTGGGCAGTCTTTCCAGGGGGCATTGCAGATCGAGTGGTGTGGGGAGCTCTCTTGCCACAGTGGAGGGTGTGGAGAGGTAGGTGGGCCAAGTACGAGGATGGGGCAGATATATTTCTTAATTTATCCCCAGATCTCAGTCCCCACAGCCAGTCTGGCACCACTCAGCCCTACGGAATCCATTCTCATTGTAATTTCATCAGTTGGACCATTATCCTGCCAGAGCATCACATGAATGTTAAACAAAAAAAAAAATCAGGCAAACTGCACATCATTAGAATTGCCAGGTTTCTACCCCAGTGATATTTAAATAGGAGTGGGTTTTTCTTTAAGAAAGGCATACAATTGAGATTTTGTCATGAATAATTGTAAGAATAGAAATTATTACTTTAGCTTTAATTTATAAGGTGGAAATAGAACTAGGCGTGACAACGGCCATATGCCCATATCTTTTGAACAAACTTTGACATTTGTCTTTTTATTTAGGTAAGTAATGGATGACAATTCCTGACCTTGGGGAAGACCCAAGTATCCCCATAAGGCAGCTTTTCCTTCTAATTTTTTTTTCCCTAAAGGCAAATGATCACAGTCCTCCTAGAAAAACTCTCCCCTTTGGTGCTGGGGACAACCCCACCCTCCTTTTAACGAGCAGCAGCTCCAGCCTACTTGGCTCAAGACAGGATCTCTTAGAGACCCAGGTACATCCTAGTAGTCGCTCCAGTTACCGGCCAACTTATGCCTTGTGTGTAATTAACAGCAGGGTGCCCTAAACTTTTACTTTTTTCATTTTTCCCTTGAGACAGGGTTTTAGTCTCTTGCTTAGGCTGGAGTGCAGTGGCACCACCTTAGCTCACTGCAGCCTCGACCGTCCTCCCTCCCAAGCAATCCTCCCTCCTCAGCCTCCTGAGTAGTTGGGACCACAGGTGCATGCCACCATGCCCAGCTAATTCTGTTCATTTTTTGTATAAATGGGGTCTCACTATGTTGTCCAGGCTGGTCTCAAACTCCTGGACTCAAGCAATCCTCCCACCTTGGCCTCCCAAAGTGCTGGGATTACAGGCATTGAGCCTGGCCCCTAAACTTTATTTTCAAGGCAGCTATAATTCTACTCTCTGATCATCTGTTTTATTTTTTCCTTCCTCAACAAAAGGCACATTTAATAATCTCTGGTCATTTCTTAGACGCAGTAAAATCATTCAGGCAGAATAAAGTAATAAGTTGTTTTTTTTTTTTTTGAAGATGAGAGAGAGAGAGGTCGACACTTAGTGACCACTTACATGACAGATGGGATTTTAGCTTCAGCTGTTCTGTTGAAGAAGAGAATGAGGGCATCTTTCTGCTGCTGTTTCTGTTGAAAGATAAGTTAAGAATGTTAAGTGCCCCAGTCTGAGAACTCTGGGATGAGTGGATCTAATTATTGCTCCTATGCGCTTTACAAATCTCAACCACCCGTCACCAGAGTCAGGAGACCCTGGTGCTGACAATGATTCCCCTTTCACTTTGGCCAAGTCAGAAGAACTGCCTGGGTCGGGTTTTGTCCTCAGAGACGGCATTAGAGCTACTCTGCCATTGTCCAAGAACCATTGCAAGAATCCAAGAGGCAAGGAACACAAAAGCTCTTTGGAGACGCATTTCAGGTAGGGCTTCACCATACACACCAGACCCATGTGAACCACTGAAATGTGGCCTTGGCTAAGCATACCTATTTACTACAGCCTGGTGACAACTTACATGTGACATTTCCCCAACTTGCTTTTTGCTTCCCTCTTTTCTTCTGCCAAGCTGTGACTATACCTGACTTACAGAGCTTACCTCTGTCCAAGATTTACTGAATCAATTCCAATGGACCCTGACTAGTCTATTTTACTATCATTTTATTTTATCTTATTTTTTATTTTTTTGAGACAAAGTCTCGCTCTGTCTCGCCCAGGCTGGAGTGCAGTGGCGCGATCTCGGCTCACTGCAGCCTCTGCCTCCCAGGTTCAAGCGATTCTCCCGTCTCAGCCTCCGAGTAGCTGGGACTTACAGGCATGTGCCACCACGTCCAGCTAATTTTGTATTTTTAGTAGAGACAGGGTTTCACCATGTTGGCCAGGCTGGTCTCGAACTTCTGACCTCCGGTGTTCCACCCACCTCAGCCTCCCAAAGTGCTGGGATTACAGGCATGAGTCACCGCACCTGGCCCATTTTAGTATCATTTTAAAACCATTATTCAGGTGTTCTTGGTATACCTCCCACATAAGGTAATTAACTTCCCAGAAGAAGAAACGGTGTTTTCTTTATGGTTTACATTTAAGTGACTCCTAATAAAGAATGCTAACACAGGAGATGCTCAAATCATTTCATAATAATGTGAGATAACATTTACTATCGCTCTGGCCTCCCAGAGATCATACTCTTACCATCATTGGTAAGAGTGTCCCCCCAAAATTCATAATCTGAAACTTAATTTCCAGTGCAGTGGTGGTGGGAAGTGGGGCATCTGGGAGATGCTTAGATCATAAGGACAGAGAGCCTCTTTGTTCCTTCCGCCCTCTTTGAAACAGAAACTGGGCCCTCACTAGACACTGAATCTGCTGGCCACTTGATCTTGAACTTCCCAGCCCCTAAAACCATGAGCAATACATTTCTGTTTATAGATGGCTCAGTCTAAAGTATTTTGTTACAGCACAAAAGGACCAAGACAGGTGGCCATCTCCTTTCACCAGCAAGCATAGTACAGGTGCACCCCCCTTCTTGTGCCTGGCCTCTGTAAGATCTGTGACTGACAGGACAGCTTCCCCAGGGAACAAAGACGTGATTCAACAGCAATAACATCTATAGCCTTGAACCTGTCATTCTTGAGATCTTGATAACTCAGGAAAGCAACCACAGCCAGACTGTACCTAAAACTAATAACCATGGATGGAGGAAAAAGCTGTCTGGTTAAAACAGCTTCTTGGCTTTGGGGTTGTTTTTGTTTTTGAGACAGGGTCATGCTCTGTCACCCAGGCTGGACTCGATCATGGCTCACTGCAGCCTCAGCGTCTTGGGCTCAAGCAATCCTCCCACCTCAGCCTCCCAAGTAACTGGGACTAAAGGTATGCACCACCACACCAGCTTTTTTTTTTTTTTTATTTTTTGTAGAGACAGGATCTCACTATGTTGTCCAGGTCCGTCTCAAACTCTTAGGCTCAAGTAATCCTCCCATCTTGGCCTCCTACAGTGCTGGGATTACAGGCATGAGCCACTGCATCTGGCCAGCTTCTTAGCTTTGAATGGTATCTTTCCTCCAGGACTTTACGGGAAAAAAGAAAGATGCTGAGGAACCCAGGAAGCTGTGGGGTCACTGATTAGACTGTAAATCCCTTTCATATCCTACATGTGTCTTGGCAGTGGCAGCCACCTACCCTCCTATTTTGTATCACGCTCTGGAAACATACACAACTTTTCACCTGTGGCTAGTGAGCTCAGACTTCATGAAATCCATTCATGGACGTCTAACGGTCCCCAGGAGCAGGCTAGGCCCTCCAACCCAATGCAGTTTCTAGTAGCCAAAGGGGCAGGGCAGGCTTACATGTGATGACCTCACTCGCAGCATGTGTGCCTCCATCAGACTGCACCCCAGTTGGCCCCCATCTTCAGTTTTACTCGTGTCCTTCAGAGAGAGCCTACCCCTCCCACCTACACTCACTCATGCCATACTCCCTAATAAGAAAGAAAGAGGGCAAAACAAACAGATGGAAAACTGCTGAGAAGCACTTTCAGGAATCTTGCTCTAACATTTAGCACCTAGAGTTGATGAGAGTATGAAGAAACAAACACTTTTATTATACTTGACTGGTGGGATGGTACACTGGGCTAGCCCTTTTGGGGATGATGCAGCAAAACGTACCAACCCCCTTTAAATATGCCAAAACCCTACCATCCAGCAACTTACTCCTTAAAACTAATTCTCATTATAAAATTGCATGTGCACAAATTTCTATGTAAGCTACTTTTTCAGTACAGTATTACTCAGAATAGTGAGCAATTGAAAGTAACTTAAAGGCCCAACAAAACGATTAGCAAAATTATAGCCGTGTGAGAAAACACTATGCAGTCTTTAAATATTATGGTTTGTTTTTTTTTTTTTTGAGACAAGGTCTCTGTCTGTCACACTGGAATGCAGTGGCACAATCACAGCTCACCTCAGCCCCAAACTCCCAGACTCAGGTGATCTTCCCACCTCAGCCTCCTACCCAAGTAGCTGGGACTACAGGTACACACTACCACGCCCAGCTAATTTTTTTGGATTTTTTGTAGAGACAGGGTTTTGCCATGTTGTCCAGGCTGGTATCAATCTCCTGGGCTCAAGTGATCCTCCTGCCTTGGCCTCCCAAAATGTTGGGATTACAGGAGTGAGCCAGCACACCTGGCTAAATATTATGTTTTAAGAGAATATTTAACAACATGGAAAAGTCTTCATAAGACAGTAACCTGTTTTCCTTCCCACTTGACGTGTTTGTATGATCCCAGTTCTGCTTTTAAAATACACATATTGCTTATTGCATATATAATATTTTATATATATTTATATGCAGATACATAAAAATATATCTTAAAGCAACATATACACACATAATTATAGAAAAATACTCAAATTATATATGCCAAAATTATGGTTGTATAAAAGATGATTCTTTTTTTTTAAATTGGTTAACTTTTTATTATCTTGTTTGTACTTTTAAAAAGTATAGTTACAGAAGCAGCACATGTGCACTATAGGAAATTTTTGAATTTAATTAAATCAATTTAATTACCATCAGTGTCCACCAATGCTCATTACCTTAATGTTTACCTTTCCAGGTCTTTATACACATACACACACACATACACACACACACACACACACACACACACACACACACCTCTTTCTAGTTTTACATCAATATAAAATTTTATTGTACATACCATTCCTTAATCTGGTTTTGTTTTTTTAGTAACTTTCTCTTTCAGTACATTTTATCTCATCTACTACTGAGACTATGTTCAAAATTCCCCCAGTTGACCCAAAAATATTACATACAGTTCATTTGTCCATTCAAATATCAAATGTAAGGATGATTCTTTTTTTAAATATATTTTTTTATTACACTTTAAGTTCTAGGGTACATGTGCACAACGTGCAGGTTTGTTACATATGTATACATGTGCCATGTTGGTGTGCTGCACCCATTAACTCATCATTTACATTAGGTATATCTCCTAATGCTATCCCTCCCCCCTCCCCCCACCCCACAACAGGCCCTGGTGTGTGATGTTCCCCTTCCTGTGTCCAAGTGTTCTCATTGTTCAATTCCCACCTATGAGTGAGAACATGCAGTGTTTGGTTTTTTGTCCTTGCGATAGTTTGCTGAGAATGGTGGTTTCCAGCTTCATCCATGTCCCTACAAAGGACATGAACTCATCATTTCTCATAGCTGCATAGTATTCCATGGTGTATATGTGCCACATTTTCTTAATCCAGTCTATCATTGTTGGACATTTGGGTTGGTTCCAAGTGTTTGCTATTGTGAATAGTGCTGCAATAAACATACATATGCATGTGTCTTTACAGCAGCATGATTTATAATCCTTTGGGTATATACCCAGTAATGGGATGGCTGGGTCAAATGGTATTTCTAGTTCTACATCCCTGAGGAATCGCCACACTGACTTCCACAGTGGTTGAACTAGTTTACAGTCCCATCAACAGTGTAAAAGTGCTCCTATTTCTCCACATCCTCTCTAGCACCTGTTGTTTCCTGACTTTTTAATGATCGCCATTCTAACTGGTGTGAGATGGTATCTCATTGTGGTTTTGATTTGCATTTCTCTGATGGCCAGTGATGATGAGCATTTTTTCATGTGTCTGTTGGCTGAATAAATGTCTTCTTTTGAGAAGTGTCTGTTCATATCCTTTGCCCGCTTGTTGATGGGGTTGTTCGTTTTTTTCTTGCAAATTTGTTTGAGTTCTTTGTAGATTCTGGATATTAGCCCTTTGTCAGATGAGTAGATTGCAAAACTTTTCTCCCATTCTGTAGGTTTCCTGTTCACTCTGATGGTAGTTTCTTTTGCTGTGCAGAAGCTCTTTAGTTTAATTAGATCCCATTTGTCAATTTTGGCTTTTGTTGCCATTGCTTTTGGTGTTTTAGACATGAAGTCCTTGCCCATGCCTATGTCCTGAATGGTATTGCCTAGGTTTTCTTCTAGGGTTTTTATGGTTTTAGGTCTAACATTTAAGTCTTTAATCCATCTTGAATTAATTTTTGTATAAGGTGTAAGGAAGGGATCCAGTTTCAGCTTTCTACATATGGCTAGCCAGTTTTCCCAGCACCATTTGTTAAATAGGGAATCCTTTCCCCATTTCTTGTTTTTGTCAGGTTTGTCAAGGATCAGATAGTTGTAGATGTGTGGTATTGTTTCTGAGGGCTCTGTTCTGTTCCATTGGTCTAGATCTCTGTTTTGGTACCAGTACCATGCTGTTTTGGTTACTGTAGCCTTGTAGTATAGTTTGAAGTCAGGTAGTGTGATGACTCCAGCTTTGTTCTTTTGGCTTAGGATTGACTTGGCAATGTGGGCTCTTTTTTGGTTCCATATGAACTTTAAAGTAATTTTTTCCAATTCTGTGAAGAAAGTCATTGGTAGCTTGATGGGGACGGCATTGAATCTATAAATTACCCTGGGCAGTATGGCCATTTTCATGATATCGATTCCTCCTATTCAGGAGTATGGAATGTTCTTCCATTTGTCTGTATCCTCTTTTATTTCGTTGAGCCAGTGGTTTTTAGTTCTCCTTGAAGAGGTCCTTCACATCCCTTGTAAGTTGGATTCCTAGGTATTTTATTCTCTTTGAAGCAATTGTGAATGGGAGTTCACTCAAGATTTGGCTCTCTGTTTGTCTGTTATTGGTGTATAAGAATGCTTGTGATTTTTGCACATTGATTTTGTATCCTGAGACTTTGCTGAAGTTGCTTATCAGCTTAAGGAGATTTGGGGCTGAGACGATGGGGCTTTCTAGATATACAATCATGTCATCTGCAAACAGGGACAATTTGACTTCCTCTTTTCCTAATTGAATACCCTTTATTTCTTTCTCCTGCCTGATTGCCCTGGCCAGAACTTCCAACACTATGCTGAATAGGAGTGGTGAGAGAGGGCATCCCTGTCTTGTGCCAGTTTTCAAAGGGAATGCTTCCAGTTTTTGCCAATTCAGTATGATATTGGCTGTGGGTTTGTCATAAATAGCTCTTATTATTTTGAGATATGTCCTATCAATACCTAATTTATTGAGAGTTTTTAGCATGAAGGGCTGTTAAATTTTGTTAAAGGCCTTTTCTGCATCTATTGAGATAATCATGTGGTTTTTGTCTTTGGTTCTGTTTATATGCTGGATTATGTTTATTGATTTGCGTATGTTGAACCAGCCTTGCATCCCAGGGATGAAGCCCACTTGATTATGGTGGATAAGCTTTTTGATGTGTTGCTGGATTCGGTTTGCCAGTATTTTATTGAGGATTTTTGCATTGATGTTCATCAGGGATATTGGTCTAAAATTCTTTTTTTGTTGTGTCTCTGCCAGGCTTTGGTATCAGTATGATGCTGGCCTCACAAAATGAGTTAGGGAGGATTCCCTCTTTTTCTATTGATTGGAATAGTTTCAGAAGGAATGGTACCAGTTCCTCCTTGTACCTCTGGTAGAATTAGGCTGTGAATCCGTCTGGTCCTGGATTTTTTTTGGTTGGTAAGCTATTAATTATTGCCTCAATTTCAGAGCCTGTTATTGGTCTATTCAGAGATTCAACTTCTTCCTGGTTTAGTCTTGGGAGAGTGTATGTGTCAAGGAATTTATCCATTTCTTCTAGATTTTCTAGTTTACTTGCGTAGAGGTGTTTATAATATCTCTGATGGTAGTTTGTATTTCTGTGGGATCAGTGGTGATACCCCTTTATCATTTTTTGTTGCATCTATTTGATTCTTCTCTCTTTTCTCCTTTATTAATCTTGCTAGTGGTCTATCAATTTTGTTGATCTTTTCAAAAAACCAGCTCCTGGATTCATTGATTTTTTGAAGGGTTTTTTGTGTCTCTATCTCCTTCAGTTCTTCTTTGATCTTAGTTATTTCTTGCCTTCTGCTGTCTTTTGAATGTTTGCTCTTGCTTCTCTAGTTCTTTTAATTGTGATGTTAGGGTGTCAATTTTAGATCTTTCCTGCTTTCTCTTGTGGGCATTTAGTGCTATAAATTTCCCTCTACACACTGCTTTAAATGTGTCCCAGAGATTCTGGTATGTTCTGTCTTTGTTCTCATTGGTTTCAAGGAACACCTTTATTTCTGCCTTCATTTCGTTATGTACCCAGTAGTCATTCAGGAGCAGGTTGTTCAGTTTCCATGTAGTTGAGCAGTTTTGAGTGAGTTTCTTAATCCTGAGTTCTAGTTTGATTGCACTGTGGTCTGAGAGACAGTTTGTTATAATTTGTTCTTCTACATTTGCTGAGGAGTGCTTTACTTCCAACTATGTGGTCAATTTTGGAATAAGTACGGTGTGGTGCTGAGAAGAATGTATATTCTGTTGATTTGGGGTGGAGAGTTCTGTAGATGTCTATTAGGTCCGCTTGGTGCAGAGCTGAGCTCAATTCCAGGATATCCTTGTTAACTTTCTGTCTCGTTGATCTGTCTAATGTTGACAGTGGGGTGTTAAAGTCTCCCATTATTATTGTGTGGGAGTCTAAGTCTCTTTGTAGGTCTCTAAGGACTTGCTTTATGACTCTGGGTGCTCCTGTATTGGGTGCATATATATTTAGGATAGTTAGCTCTTCTTGTTGAATTGATCCCTTTACCATTATGTAACGGCCTTGTCTCTTTTGATCTTTGTTGGTTTAAAGTCTGTTTTATTAGAGACTAGGATTGCAACCCCTGCCTTTTTTTGTTTTCTATTTGCTTGGTAGATCTTCCTCCATCCCTTTATTTTGAGCCTATGTGTCTCTGCACATGAGATGGGTTTCCTGAATATAGCACACTGATGGGTCTTGACTCTCTATCCAATTTGCCAGTCTGTGTCTTTCAATTGGAGCATTTAGCCCATCTACATTTAAGGTTAATATTGTTATGTGTGAATTTGATCCTGTCATTATGATGTTAGCTGGTTATTTTGCTCGTTAGTTGATGCAGTTTCTTCCTAGCATTGATGGTCTTTACAATTTGGCATGTTTTTGCAGTGGCTGATACTGGTTGTTCCTTTCCATGTTTAGTGCTTCCTTCAGGAGCCCTTGTAGGGCAGGCCTGGTGGTGACAAAATCTCTCAGCATTTGCTTGTCTGTAAAGGATTTTATTTCTCCTTCACTTATGAAGCTTAGTTTGGCTGGATATGAAATTCTGGGTTGAAAATTCTTTTCTTAAGAATGTTGAATATTGGCCCCCACTCTCTTCTGGCTTGTAGAGTTTCTGCCGAGAGATCAACTGTTAGTCTGATGGGCTTCCCTTTGTGGGTAACCCAACCTTTCTCTCTGGCTGCCTTTAACATTTTTTCCTTCATTTCAACTTTGGTGAATCTGACAATTATGTGTCTTGGAGTTGCTCTTCTCAAGGAGTATCTTTGTGGCGTTCTCTGTATTTACTGAATTTGAATGTTGGCCTGCCTTGCTAGGTTGGGGAAGTTCTCCTGGATAATATCCTGCAGAGTGTTTTCCAACTTGGTTCCATTCTCCCCGTCACTTTCAGGTACACCAATCAGATGTAGATTTGGTCTTTTCACATAGTCCCATATTTCTTGGAGGCTTTGTTCTTTTTATTCTTTTTTCTCTAAACTTCTCTTCTTGCTTCATTTCATTCATTTGATCTTCAATCACTGATACCCTTTCTTCCAGTTGATCAAATCGGCTACTGAAGCTTATGCATTCGTCACGTAGTTCTCGTGCCATGGTTTTAAGCTCCATCAGGTCCTTTAAGGACTTCTCTGCATTGGTTATTCTAGTTAGCCATTCGTCTAATCTTTTTTCAAGGTTTTTAACTTCTTTGCGATGGGTTCAAACTTCCTCCTTTAGCTCAGAGAAATCTGATCATCTGAAGCCTTCTTCTCTCAACTCGTCAAAGTCATTCTCCGTCCAGCTTTGTTCCATTGCTGGTGAGGAGCTGCATTCCTTTGGAGGAGGAGAGGCACTCTGATTTTTAGAATTTTCAGTTTTTCTGCTCTGTTTTTTCCCCATCTTTGTGGTTTTATCTACCTTTGCTCTTTGATGATGGTGACGTACAGATGGGGTTTTGGTGTGCACGTCCTTTCTGTTTGTTAGTTTTCCTTCTAACAGTCAGGACTCTCAGCTGCAGGTCTGTTGGAGTTTGCTGGAGGACCACTCCAGACCCTGTTTGGCTCGGTATCAGCAGCGGAGGCTGCAGAACAACGAATATTGCTGAAGAGCAGATGTTGCTGCCTGATCGTTCTTCTGGAAGTTTCATTTCAGAGGGGTACCTGGCCGTGTGAGGTGTCAGTCTGCCCCTACTCAGGGGTGTGTCCCAGTTAGGCAACTCAGGGGTCAGGGACCCACTTGAGGAGGCAGTCTATCCGTTCTCAGATCTCAAACTCCATGCTGGAAGAACCACTACTCTCTTCAAAGCTGTCAGACAGGGACATTTAAGTCTGCAGAGGTTTCTGCTGCCTTTTGTTTGGCTATGCCCTGCCTCCAGAGGTGGAGTCTACAGAGGCAGGCAGGCCTCCTTGAGCTGCGGTGGGCTCCACCCAGTTCGAGCTTCCCAGCTGCTTTGTTTACCTACTCAAGCCTCAGCAATGGCGGGCACCCCTCCCCCAGCCTCGCTGCTGCCTTGCAGTTCGATCTCAGACTGCTGTGCTAGCAATGAGCGAGCCTCCGTGGGCGTGGGACCATGCGAGCCAGGCACGGGATACAATCTCCTGGTGTGCAGTTTGCTAAGACCATTGGAAAAGCGCAGTATTAGGGTGGGAGTGACCCGATTTTCCAGGTGCCATCTGTCACAGCTTTGCTTGGCTAGCAAAAGGAATTCCCTGACCCCTTGCGCTTCCTGGGTGAGGCGATGCCTCGCCCTGCTTCCGCTCACGCTCGGTGTGCTGCACCCACTGTCCTGCAAACACTGTCCAACAAGCCCCAGTGAGATGAACCCAGTACCTCAGTTGGAAGTGCAGAAATCACCCATCTTCTGTGTCGCTCACGCTGGGAGCTGTAGACTGGAGCTGTTCCTATTCGGCCATCTTGGAACCGCCCCAAGATGATTCTTTTTTATAGTATAGTAATAAAAATAACAACTAACTCTCATATACCACTTATTACGGGCCAAGCAGTGTTCTAAGAACTAAATATGCATTAACTCATTTAATAATCAGCATTGCTATGAGGGAGGCACTACTTTACCACTGTGCAGATTAGGAAACTGAGGCAAAAAAAGTCAAATGAGTATACTTGTCACACTGCTACTAAACGGTAGAACCAGAATTTGTAGCACTTAAAAGTGCAGGCTCTGAGGCTCAAATATCTGGGCTGATGGTGAGAATTTAATGACGCAATACACGTAAAGCACCATGCCCAGCACAGAGCAAGTATTCAATAAATGTTACTGATTGTAAGTATTTTTCTTTATTTTTCAGATTTTATACAATAGATATCTATTTTAATGTGGGAGAAATCAATAGTTTCAGCTTTAAAAAAACTCCCCCAAACTGTGCAGACCTAATACTCTCTATTAATGATCTTACTTCTTTTGCCAGCTACTGGCCAGGAAATTTTAAATAACCTGCATTCTTTGTTCCTGACTAGACCTTAATTAAATTAGATCCAATGGAGTTTTTAAATTTTTCTACATTGGAAATTTGAGTGGATTGTCAAATGGCAAGGGTGAACTGATATTGTTACCAGGAAATCTGTATGGACTTGTTCCATTTCTCTGTTACTGGTCTTGAGGATGAAAAAATGGCTTTAGACAAAAGATGATTACAGTCAGCTTTCCTTTGCCTGTGAAGCGATATCCATTATTTCAGCTGAAAAAATGAGAAAAGTCTTTGATTATACATTACATTCTATAAATTGGCTCCTTCACCTTGGCTCCTGTGATATAAAGCTTTTTAAGAAATGTATTCTTCCAGATGGAAAGGTGTGAAGGAACAAAGAATCAATTCTTGACAGGCAGGTCAGCAGTGCTTGGCTGGAGTCACCATGATTTGCAAAATTGCAAGGAAACTTGGGACTAAAAAGTAACTTAAAAAACTGGTGGCAGTGGAGAGAGGGGACTTTCTATAGATCCACAGGGCCTCCTTATTCAACTAAAACCATAAAAAAAATAAGTCCCCATTTTAACCCTTCCAACTCAGGATTTCATAGCTGGCCAGGGTCTGGAAGACATGCCTATGGTCATCTAGTCCAGCCTCCAGCTGATGCTGGCTCCCTTCCTGAATTAAGTTAGAGCAATGATCCTGATCAGATCCATGGTTTAGAAATGCACTAAATCAATGGCTTTAGAAATCCAAAGGTTCTGATGGCCCAAAGCACAAACACACAAATCTGTTTTCTACTTGGATTTTCCATTATAAAAATTGATTTCTATTAAGACACAAAAAGGCATCAAGTTCTTAAGGAATTATTATCTGAAAGAATTTAGTGTCTGGCTTCAGCCATCACACTGATGGTAATCTGTACCAACTCAATCTCTATCTTTCAGGGATAAACGTTTAACTTTCCTAAGACTCCAAGGAAGCAGACAGCAACTCTCAGGTGCTGGACTGAGAAGAGCTCCGGGCTCTTTCTCAGCTGGATTCTTGAAGAATGACACTGCAATTTAGGCTTCATTTTCATCATCTGCAAAATGGAGTTAACACTGTGGTGTTTACAAAGCAAAGAGGATAATCACCCAGTAGGCAGGATTCTGGGCAACTGGCACTATCCTTATGTACTTTTCCACAACCAAAAGGGAGTTGTGGCTCCGTTTCTAAGCAAGAAAATATAAAAATATCCTCAAAAATACTGGATTTGTATAGCTACCTAAAGTTATAAAACACCCAACATTCCTAAATTCCATAGTACCTCCTAGTTAATTTCATAGCATCACCAACAAGCTCAGAAATCAAACTCTCAGGTGACATCTGAAATCATCTTTGAAAAGAGCCACTCCCTTTACTTGAAGAACTATACAAGTTGGCAGAAGTTTACAAAATGCTTTCAGATCTTGTTGCACTAAGCACAAAATTTCTACTGCTTTTCTTTTTTTCTTTTTGGCCATACTACACAATTCACAGTTGTGTTTCAACAAGTTAATGTGCTTTTCCTCCTTAATTCAAATGCCCACTAATTGCTTTTTCAGGTGTCTACCTTGGCTGTTCTCAAACTGGTTCAGGAGGTGAACCAGGTATTGGTGAGGGTGTTCTCTGGGGAATCTCACGAAACACTAACAGACTTACTTCCATCTCACACACACAAGGAACAACTTTGCTGGCAAAAAAAATAACATTTTATAAATATTCAGCTCTTTGCATCTAAAAATATTGCATGTCTGAATTTTTCCATTAATATTATATTTGCTATACCAGTTCACTGGTTTTCTTGTCTGGTAGAGTTCACCAGTAGACGAAAGTTATTAAGAAAAAGTTATAAGAAAAAACTTCAAATTGAGAAAAAATAATCTACTCATTGCATTTTTATCTCTAAAAATAAACAAAAGACCACCAAGATTGATTTTAGTGACAAAGCTTCCTGGTTTTACTCATGATTCCACTGAAATATAATCTGAGAACACTGGTCTATATGTCTACATCGATGTTGTTTAAGTTTGAAAACTCCACAATAAAGAGATGATGCCTGCTCACTTACTCCAGACCATCCAGATTATTATATGTAATACAGCATAAATTCAATACAGCTTGAAAATTTGCCAGTGCATCCTCTATCCTGTCATTTCTTAAAAGTTATCAATGAATCTTGCTCATCACATGGTAAAATAACATGAAAAACATGCATTCTGTCTCTTGTCATTCTTATTTATTTTGTAACCTCCCAGAAGGCTGAGATCTACATCTAAATATCTTTATACAGGGTAATATCAAGCCCAGATAATGCTTCATGATGTTGAAAAATATCAATGACTGTTATTTTCTTAGTAATGGGAATTACAAGGTTTTATCTAAGAGGACAGAAACAGAGCTGGTGTAGATTATAGCACTTAGCACAGTATGACACTAAAGACAGAAATAAAAGTGTTTGAAAAGATAAAACCATCATAGTGAAAACAGTCCTAAAATATAGGGGCAAGAGGCTTGGTTCTAGCCTCAGCTCTGTGGTGGAGCAGCTAAGAGACCCTGGGCAAACTGCAATCTCTGTGAGCCTCAGTTTCCCTCTCTGTAAAAAGGGGGATGCCAACTTCCTGCCAACCATAAATGCCTGTAATAGGGATTTAAAAGGTTAGGAGGATTTGAAAACTCTATTTTGTTATAAGAATGTCGGCTTGTTATTTTGACTAACACAAATGACACAGTATGGTTAAAGGATTAACATATGTATCAAACATGTTAGGACTAATTTTCTAACAACTGTTACTAGACTGATGCATTCTCAAAATATAGTAGACATAATTTCCACATTCTTTGAGGGATTCGGAATATTGATCACCACCCTGCTGTTGCCTGTGCTTATCTTTATGGCCATCCATCAACAGCGATCTATACAAGTATAAAACCACAACTTAATATGAGATTTTTCAAAACTGACTAGGTAGGCTGAGGAATGAAATGGACTTGCTGTTCTTGCCTAGGGAAGAGGGAAAAGGTTACAGAAAGGAAAGCTGAGAGAATGCCAGGTCATTTTCAAGGGCCTCTCATGGAAAGGAACACCTAGACATGTCTGCTTCCAAATCTGTCTCCAGCCCTGGACTCACAGTTTTGTCCTTGGTGGTCATTTCCTTGGCTGCAGCATCCAGGGCAGCTCTGGTCCTGGCATTGATCCGTCCTGGGGCAATCACCACTATCTTGCGCTGCTTGGCAGGCAGCTGGGAAAGGACGTCGGACTTGAGGCGCCGCAGCATGACTGCTTCCTCCAGCAGGAGCTTCAGCTCTCCCAGGTTGGAGGAACCTGAGTAGTCCCACCCCCAAGGCATCTGCAGAGAACAAGACAGCGACAGCCCCATGAGGCTCCTTTCAGGCCCAGTCCAACAGGGACTTGGGATCCCGGGAGGTCCCTCTTCTCACAACCACCCCTGGCTTAGCTCAGAAAACTTCAAGTGACTTACAGGGACAAATAAACCCCCAATAAAACAAATGAGAAATGGAAAGGAAAAGAGAGAAAAAAGTCAGGAATGAGATGAATAAAAAACACCTATCATGGCATTCTACAATTTGGCAGTGAGCTTTCTTTTCCAGCAGCAAATGCCAGAAGTCAAGCAATTGGGTGTCCATTTTATTAAAAAACAAACAAAAAACTTGGCTTGTCAGACTATTCCTGTACACTAAATACTAAATCTTCCCTATGGCTTATCCTACAGAGTCTGTTGCACAATGTAATAAAATAATGTCAGTAACATCTTTATTTGATGAGACTTACAGGGATTTTAAAAACTGTTGTTCTGCAGTATGGATTACACCAGCACAAACAAGTACAATATAATAAAAGTAACTGCAGTGTTGTTGTAGATGGCAGCTGGGGTTGGCAGGAGGAGCCCACCACATAGGCTTCTGGCAGTCTGGCTAAGGGCCTAGGCAGTCCTTCATAAACATGGCTCCCTCGTTGAGGAGCTCACGGGAGGCAGTGATCTCAAATGTTCATTCCCCATCACACAGCTAGAGAAGCCATTACTGGCCAGACGCAGTGGCTCACGCCTGTAATCCCAGCACTTTGGGAGGCGGAGGCAGGAGGATCACTTGAGGTCAGGAGTTAGAGACCAGTTGAGGTCAGGAGTTTTGCCAGCATGACAAAACCCTATCTCTACTAAACATACAAAAATTAGCCGGCGTGGTAGCATGCACCTGTAATCCCAGCTACTAGGGAGGCTGAGGCAGGACAATTGCTTGAACCTGGGAGGCAGAGGTTGCAGTGAGCCGAGATGGTGTCACTGCACTCCAACCTGGGCAACAGAGCAAGACTCTGTCTCAAAAAAAAAAAGAAGCCATTACCATTAAAAACCCTATCCCTCACCAACAATCTTACTGGAAATGGAACTGATTTCTACAGTCTAGTAGAAAATCAGGGAGCCAGTGTGCCTGCTACTTTGTCTTTTAAGGAGCTCATCTCCCCTCCTGGCTGATGAGCTAGCTACCTGAGGGTAGGGGCTAGGTTTTCCCATTATAGAGGGCTAGAGAGCCTAGCATAATAGTGGAGACAGAATAGGTGTCTCATAAACCTTTGCTAAATTGAGAGAAGGAAGAGATGGTCAAAGGTGGAGGAATAAAATGTTGTAAAGCTGTTTCTTCTTTTTAAAAAATACTCTGAAATCAACTGGAAGTTCTCAGCAAATGCCTTCAGATAGTTAGTGGTTTGCAAATGAGCTCAGCATGAGGTTCTCTTTTCAGTGGTTTCTTAATGCATGAAGCTGGCAAAAAGAAAAAGAAAAAGAAAAAGAAAAAAAAAAGGCAGCCCTGGCTTATGGATTGTATTAAATAAAAACCATGCTGAGAACAAGTGGATATCATAATTAATTTGGATATTGCTATGGCTTAAATGTGTCCCCCAAATTTCACACATTAGAAAAGTAATCCCCAAATTCATTATGTTGATTGAAGGTGGGGCCTTTGGGAGGTAGATAAGGTCATCATGGTGGGTCCCCCATGTTGGGACTGGTAGCTTTATAAGAAAAGGACCAGAGACCTGAGCTGACACATATGCTCTTGCCCTCTTCTCCATATGATGCCTTCTGCCATGTTATGAAGAGCAAGAAGGCCCTCACTAGATGCCAGTGCCATGCTCTTGAACTTCCCAGTCTCCAGAACCATGAGCTAAATAAACCTCTATTCTTTGTAAGTTACTTAGTCTGTGGTATTTAGTTACAGCAACAGAAAACAGACTAAGACAGATAGCATGCTCCTATGTTCTAATATTGTTAGCTCTTAACCTTGTAGGTTAAAACTTAGTAACACCAAAATACCAAGTAATTTGTTACTTTTTTCTTTTTTTTTTTTGAGACAGAGTCTTACTCTGTCGCCCAGGCTGGAGTGCAGTGGCATGACCTTGGCTCACTACAACCTCTGCCTCCTGGGTTGAAGCGATTCTCGTGCCTCAGCCTGCAGAGTAGCTGGGACTACATGTGTGTACCGCTGCATGCGGCAAAAATTTTAAACTTGACCTTGGGATAGTCACAATCCAACAAGCTTTAATTGAAAAATTACCACATATCAGGCACTGGGTTAGGTGGAAAGAAAGATGTGAAGATGAGGAAGGCATTCTTTGTTGTATTGGGGAGGTGTATCAAGAAGGCAGGAAAAGGAGAATTCAAAGATAATGCCTTAGTTTCTGGCAGGAGAAACTACTGAGATGCTGGCCTAAGATGGGGAACATAGGAAGGGACAGTTTGGGGAAGAAAGGCAATCAATTTTATCTTTAGCCCCTTTCATCACTAGCTGAACATTATTATGCCATGGGCCCATATAGTCAAGAAAGAGAAGATCCTTTTTAGAAAGTGGACTGTTTGCGAATAGGACAGAAATCCAAATCATACATGAAGAGTTTTGAGGGACCATGAAAACTATATAGCATCAGTCTAATCTGGATTGATCTACAGGGAAAATGAACTAAATATATGATTAAAGAAGTGTACGGCTTTTAAATACATTTAATAATTGGGAAATTTCCTGCCTCAATAACCAGCTAAAAATGGTTTGCAATTAACTATGCTAAGGACTACAATTTCCATTATAAGTACTTCGTTTGAATGTAAGTGGATATTTTTAAAGTACTTGAAAACTTTTTTTCTTCTTTTAAAAATTTAAAAAATAAGGCAGACACTCTTATTTATATCATGTACTTGCACAGCAAGGCTTTTCCCTCATAGATGGCTTGTAGGGTAAGTTGCAGCTATTTCTCCAAAGTGCCAGTACCTTTGTGACTTGATCACAAAACAAGAATCCCTAAGGTCTGAATTAATGTGGTTTTAAAAACAAGGGTTCCATGGCAATGCATTGGTGTTTACAGGGCTTCCCTGCCATTTTGGGAGAGCATTTCTGGAGTGCCGACTGTAGGTCCTGAGGTGCCTGCGCCATTGGCACTGCACTCACAGAGCCCACCCAAGGCAGTTTGGGATCAGGCTCCTCAATCTACCTTTATCTTTTTTTTTCTTTTTTTTTTGCACAGGGAGGAATTTCCCACCTTTACTTCATATTCCTCCCATGCCAGGAGGAAGCCCTTACCCCCTCACCTACTTCTTCCCTCTGCCTGGGGCCTCAGCCTCACTCCTAGCTCACCTCAGTGCCAGCATCTTCTCTAGGGCCAGCACTTGACAAGGACTTTCCTTTTATAGCTCCAGCACTGTGCCTCATGCAGAGCTGTGACCCTGGGCAAGAGGGAAGCCGGCTCTCAGAGCTCCACATACCTACACATCAGCCACTAGTCCCCTTACTGGAAAACGATGACTTCGGATAACCATAACCATTAAAACTAGATTTAAAGGGTAAGATGACCATTTTCATCTTACCCCTGAGGTCATTCCAAGGCCATAGTAAGAAACAGAAAGACTAAAATCCATTCCCCTGGCCAGTGCTCTTCTGACCATATCATGGCCAGAGAGAAGGAAGAGAAAGATAAGTGTCAAAATCAGGGTGAGAAATGGGTGGGCTGGGAGGGAAGAGATAATACATACCCGTTTGGCATCACAGTAGCGAAGTCCAAAGGCATGAAACTGGGGGAAGAAAGTTGGCTTGACTGCGATGATCTGCGTGTAGAGCTCTGCGGGCCGGGACATGGCTGGTGTGCCCGACAACAGGATCACCCTCTTGGCAACCTAAAAGACAAACAGCCAAAGGTGCTCTGAACACAGGGAGGAGCACACAGGAAATGTTCAAAATGCCCCAGTGAGGGAGGAGCTGGATGCCCCCAGAAAAAGACCGCGTGCGTGTCGCGAGAACCTAATGGCATTGCCAATGCAAGCAGTTAGATGGCATCTCCTTTTCTTTAAATCCTCCCTGCCTGCCCTCTGCTGAGCTCTATCCTAGTACTTAACATATTACATTGAATTATAACTTTTCTGTCTCCCTTGTTAGACTGCAAGCCTCTTGAGATCAAGGACTGGGCTGTATTCACCTTTATTTTCTGTAGCATATGCCTGACGCCAAGTAACCAATAAATGTTCACCGTATGCTGCAAAAAATTCACAAGGAAGCTAATTAGTATCCTGGAGAACACAGAGTAAACTCAAAGAATCCAGCATTGGACAGGAAGTGGGAGAAGACAGTGGCAGGTCTGAACTTCCTCCAGAGTGGATCTGTGACATGCAAGTTGAACTCAGATAATGACAATTACAATCAGCCCTCTCCCATTCCCAAGAGGAAGTGTCAGGGGTTGCCAATGTATATGTCTCCATGTGACTTTCTTTAAAGGAAAATAAGGCCTTTACTAACTCAGCTTCACAATGCTTCAAGCCTACAGATCCTGACTCAGGCTCATTTTGCAGTTATTAACAATAAGAACCTTAATAGGTGATACCTGGTTCCATTTTCCCTAAACTCAGCCCAGATGTGCAGCAGCCTGCTTAGCATGGGCAAGATGGGAAAAAATAGTTGGTCAACAGCAATGACAGATTCCAAGTTCCTCACTACCCAGACACCAACCTGACCCATGGGCATCAGACCCAAAGATCCCACCTCCTATTATTAAGATGGGAAAGAGGGTGAGAAAAAAAAAAAGAGACTCTTCCTACTGTATTAGAACACAGAATCACTACAAATTACTGGACGTAAAATTCACTTCAGCTCTGGGAACGGACCCTACCATGGAGCTCAGTTGTCTAGAAACAGCTTGTTAACCACTGTAACCTTGAGTTAATGACAGTAATACAAGGCAATTGCATGTAATAAATCACCTAGGAGAATAAATTAGGTTTACAGATGGATACACTGCCTCATAAAAATAAATAAATAAAGGTGCAACAGTGAAAAGAAAAATCATTCTTTATAAATATACAATATACACAATTATCTAAACGCATTTGTGCCCTCACAGCAATCGCCAATATCTAATTCCATTATGATGGGAGAGCTATGAATGTCTCCAGCTATAATTTTCCACAGTTCAATTACCTAGGCCTTCTAACTTCCTGCACGGTTTAATGCAGACTCATTAAAATAACAATGAGCTGACGTTGGTAGCATCGCTTGCCTTGGCTTTAAGATCATTTCAATGAAAAAGGGGAAAATGAAAAGTTTTATCAAAAAGAGAAAATCTCCCCATCACCCCAAACCTATTCTTCATGTCACTGTGCTGGCCTGGGGATGGAGCCAGGGCAAAAACAGTTCATGAATCAGATGATGGAAATTAACTCCAGGGTCTTCTGTCAGATACTTATAGGATGTAGTTAGTATTAAATCGCTTCTCCCATACACTCCCTAGACTAGAGAGTGATGGGAGCGTTGCCAATGGGTGTTTGTGGGCATCAAAAAGGCAGAGGCAGCATTACAAAAAAAGAAAAAGTCCAGCTTTGAAAAAGAAACCAGAATGGCATCTCGTCTGTAATGGGGTGATTTGGCCTGCTCCCAGCTCAGCCCCAACATGTGTGTATGTCATCACGATCACCCACAAGGGCTTTTAACACATGCCCAGCTGCAAAGGTGTCATATGTCACCCTCCACTTCTGAAAACTTCCAAATCTAGGAAAACAGAAATCTATAAAACTACATAAATCAACACCAAATTGAACAGTTTACAGTGAACTCCCCCACCTAAGGGAGAAAAGCAACACCCAAGAAATCGAAGATAGAACAATGTAAAAAAATACTTTCTGTGTGGTGTTAGAAAGATAACATGATTCACATGTGCAGACACTGTTGGGATCAGATGACCCTCAAAGATAGGCTTAGTTTCTTCGTGGGTTGGGGGTGGGAAAACCCTGCAGAATAGGCTGAGTTCGTGTATACATAATTCGCCACAGAGAATTCAATGTCGTAATTGAAAGTGGATAATCTATACATAGTTTTAAAATTAAGAGTTGACCGGGCATGATGGCTCACGCCTGCAATCTCAGCATTTTGGGAGGCTGAGGCAGGCGGATCACCTGAGGTCAGGAGTTCGAGACCAACCTGGCCAACATGGTGAAACCCTGCCTCTACTAAAAATACAAAATTAGCCAGGTGCAGTGCTGCACACCTGTAATCCCACTACTCAGGAGGCTGACGCAGGGAATCACTTGAACAGGGGAGGCAGAGGTTGCAGTGAGCTGAGATCATGATCATACCATTGCACTCCAGCCTGGGTGACAAGAGTGAAACTCTGTCTCAAAAAAATAAAATTAAATAAAAAATAAAATTAAGAGCCAAGAGAATGTTCTACTGTAGAAAAAAGAGCTGAAGTCTTAAGTTTATATAAGAAGCAGTCCAGAAATTCTTCATCACTTTATGTGATCTCTTTTTTTTTTCCAATTGAGCCAGTAACTTGCTTTACTGAATTATTCTGATGGGCTGTAACATATTTTGCCAAAACCCTAGACTAGGAAAAAAATCATGTTCTCCAAAGCTCAGTCCAGTCTTATACCCAGAATTATTCCTAATGGTACTCTAAATAAATTTATACAATACCATATATTCAATTTAGAAATAAGACATGAAGAAGGCAGGTAATATCAAAGAGAAGGTCAAGTCCACACCGCTGGAAAGTCTCCATACTCAGTAACCCTGATGTGGCAGGGACATTGAAGCTGTGTTTTAATTAGTTCAGAGGTCATGATACAATCTTCAGAAATAAGGATAGTGGCAAGCATAGCTTGAGGACAAGTGACCAAAAGTACACAGATCAAGAATAAATGTGGGATCACAGTCACTATACAAGGAGCTACAAAAGAGACACCTGTAGTTAAATCGAAAGCCTAAGGGCAAAAAGAAAAGCTTGACATTCAGAAGAAAGCCAGTGCTTGGAGTCGGGGAGGGAGACCACGGGTGTATTCTTTACTCTGCTCCTGAGTGGTGCCCCCCAAAACAAACCAGGACAAACCAAGAAAGCAGCATAATTATGGCCACTGCTGACCAGAGGCTGCCCTAAGTATTGGCAGAAGGCCACCTACCACTCAGTGATACTTTATACATGGCCTCTGAATCTCTGGTTAGGTCAGCTTATTTCACATAAATGGTTCCCTCTAGGTTCTAGCCTATGTTCCAAAAAAAACAAAGTTCCAGTCACAAATCTGAATAGTACTAACCTTAACTAAACTGATTTGCTATGATAACCATAATGCCTTCAAGCTAAGTGAGCATTGCTGCTGTAACATAAATGAAATTATCATGCCACATATAAGGCAGTTCTTGGGTAAGAACAGACAGAATGAAGACAGTGACTGCATGTATATTGGACCAAAAATACCAAAATATTATAATGAGAATATATCAAATGGTATAATTATAGCTGATTAAAGCTATGCCATTCCAAGCTTTTTTTTTTTTTTTTTTTTGAGACAGAGTGTCACTCTGTCACCCAGGTTGGAGTGCAGTGACATGATCTCGGCTCACTGCAACCTCCACCTCCCAGGTTTAAGTGACCCTCCTCCCTCAGTCTCCCATATAGCTGGGATTATAGGCGCAGACCACCAATCCCAGTTAATTTTGTAGAGGTGGGTTTCACCATGTTGGCCAGCCAGTCTGCAACTCTTGACCTCAAGTGATCTGCCCACCTCAGCTTCCCAAAGTGGTAGGATTACAGACATGAGCCACTGCGCCCGGCCTAAGGTAGATTTTTTTACTCTGGAAAAGACAATCCATTTTACTATAGGTTTCAAACTCTAATAATTTCCTTTTTAAGTCTGATTATGTAATGAAAGTGAGGAAATAAATGAGAATGGCCGGACCTCAGGGGACTTCTATAGCCTCATCACACTAGGGAAGAAAACAGAATCTGCCAGCTGACACTGCTCTCCCCTCTGGCCTGATAGGCAAAAAGCCATCTCAGACACACAGGGATTGCATTTTCTACTCCCCACTTCTCTAACATATGAAAAAATGGTCATTGCAGTGTTGCATGTAATAGCTGCAATTTGGTTACAAATCCATCAAAAGAGAACAGATAATACATATTATGATAAATTTATCCAATAGAATGCTATTTGCAAGAATGCGGTAGAAGTCATTTGGAACAACATGGAATGATTTTCAAGATACATTATTAAGGGGATAAAGGCAAGTGTAAAACAATGGTTGTAAAACACTCTAAGGAGGCAGAAAGGAAACACACACACTCGTACTTCCATAGGTGCAGGTTATTTTATGGAAGTAAACCTGAAAACTGGTAACTATAGCTGCCTTTGAGGAAAGAGACTGGGGACTAGGGAACCTAGAGGGGTTGAAAGACTTATTTTTCACTGTCCATCCTTTTGTATTGTTTGAATTTTTTTTTTTTTTTTTTTTTGAGACAGAGTCTAGCTGTGTTGCTCAGGCTGGAGTGCAGTGGTGCGATCTCCGCTCAGGGCAACCTCCGCCTCTCAGGTTCAAGTGATTCTCCCACCTCAGCCTCCCAAGTAGCTGGGATTACAGGTGTGTGCCACCATGCCTGGCTAATTTTTGTATTTTTAGTAGAGATGGGGTTTCGCCATTTTGGCCAGGCTGGTCTCAAACTCCTGACCTCGGGTGATCCTCCTGCTTCAGGCCTCCCAAAGTGTTAGGATTACAGGCATGAGCCACTGCGCCCGGCCCCATTTGAATTTATCATCTATTTAAACTACTTTAATAACAAAGGAAAAAGAAAAAAACCTTATACCTTTTAGCCACTATCTCATCCAGCCAATCAACAGAGATATAAAAAGTACTCTCTACTTACAGAAAAAGAGAAACAGCTGCTTCTTAGGAAAGAATGGTAGGACTCTAGGGGCCTTTCCCTTTGAAAAATTTTTAATTTTGTTATTACACTAGTTTAACAATAAAAGCCAGTGTAGACAAAAGACAACTAAACTAAACCAAAAAACCCCAAACACACACCTCACTGTTTAAAAGAGTGCCAGTAATCCTGAGGGCGGAGTCATGTGGGAAAAAAAAGCCTCTGATTGAAGACTGAATGGGAGTGAAGATTGTTATGCCTGGCCAGACTGGACTTCAGAGGCCTCCCCTAAAAAGGTCAAATGAAAACTGACCTGGCAATTCTGATTGTAGGAATTTGTCCTAATAGGATAAATATGCAAGGTACATATAGATGATGTTCACTTGCAGAATTATTTATAATAGCAAAAATGGAAAACAACCGCATGTCTGATACTGAGGATTAAATTATGGGATGTGTCTCCACTATGTAAATGCTCCATAGTTATTGAAAAATGATGATCTTGCTCAATAATTGACATGCTGGAAAAATAAGCTGTTAACAGTGGCTTTTTCTGTTGGAGGGATTAAAGGTAATTTTAACTTTGTTCTTTTTAGCTTCTATCTGGTCTACTTTCATATATTTATATATAAAAATAGATTTACCTCATTTAGGATTAGTAGCCCCAGCCAATAGTGCTGTGGGGGAAGAAAAATGTCACGTTTCCCAGGGGACAGTGACACCAATTTCTTACAATCTAACACACCTTCTCTCTGCTGACTGCTATTGCTATTTACAAAATCCACATTTTTCTGGACACGATCTGGCCCTGCTATCCAACGAACTGTATGATTTAATCTAAATACCTCATTATGCCTATTTGCTGAAAATATGCTTGTAATATTAATTATCAGAATATAGTTCTAAGAGATGTTCATATTAGAGGAACAATCAAGTGGTATTAAATTAGGTCCTTATATGGCTTTTCAAAGACATACTTTACTTTTTCCCAACTATCTTATTATTCCAAAAACATTTAGATTCATTTCCTTATTTAGATTGGTGGTTCTCCATGGGGTTGGAGAAGGGCAAGGTGAGTAGAGAGTGATTTGTCCTCCCTCAGAGGACATTCGGTGGCATCTGGAGACAATTTTGGTTGTCATGACTGGGGAGGAACTGCTGGCATCTAGTGGGTAGAGGCCACGGATGCTGCTAAACATCCTAAAATGCACACAACAGCCCCCCAACAACAGAGTCATCCAGCCCAAAATGTCAACAGTACCATGGTTGAGAGACTCCAATCTAGACGAAAATACAATAAGACAGAGATGAAAGGTTCGGTTAACAGAATAGCACAGAATGCTCCATCCCACTCCTTCAGCCCAATCCTGCCACAGTCCAGCATTATATGAAGTCAACGTTGCGGAAGAGCGTGGCCCCAAGACACCTTCATAAACACAGGCCATGTTCATGAGGCTTATTTTAAAATATTAATTCATCCAAGTTCTACAGCAAATGCAGAGTAGTACATATTAGTTAGCAGTTTAGAGATTTCTTTTAAACATGTCACTTTGAAACACACTCAAGATATTAAAGAGGTATATGCTGCTTCCAAAGGTCTGGCTGAGAGGCACACATTTCAGAAACCACTATCTGGCTCAGCTTGCCCAGCCAGGCAATGACTACATTAACAAGTGGTTGCTAGAAGCTTTCACATTGTATCTTTAATGATAGAATCTATCTATTGTGCATTTTCTTTTGTCTAAACAATCAGGAGTAAAGATTTAATTTAGTTATGGCTGAAATACTGAAACCAAAATACCTAACCCTATTGTTTTCCTATGGAAAGCATATTAAGGCCTCCCAAAAGAAGGGTCATCAACCTAGGAAAAACATTTTATTTAAATGTGTCCATCAATGGCTATTGACATATAAATATTTATAGGTAATACTGGCAGAGAATCAAGCTTTTTTTTTTTTTTTCTTTTTTTGAGACAGAGTCTCACTCTGTCACCCAGGCTGGAGTGCAGTGGCACAATCTCGGCTCACTGCAATCTCTGCCTCCCAGGTTCAAGCGATTCTCCTGCCTCAGCTTGGTGTGCACCACCATGCCTGGCTCATTTTTGTATTTTTAGTACAGACGGGATTTCGTCATGTTGCTCAGACTGGTCTCAAACTCCTGGTCTCAAGTGACCCACATGCCTCGGCCTCCCAAAGTGCTGGGATTACAGGCGTGAGCCACCACCCCAGCAAAACCAAGCTTTTGCAGTAAAAGACTTTTATTCTTTGGTTTGGCACATGACATGACCCTGCCTTGGAAGATGTATCATATTCCGTTATTCCTAAACACATGAAAACTTGAAATGAGTGGACACTTACGTGTGTTTTGTGAGGAAATGTTAAGATTAATGTTCAAATGCTAAGCTTCATTAACATTCAGCGTATTTGTTTTCCCTAGTTTAGGTAAAAGTTAAAGCTTCTTTTAATCAATAAAAGCCATAGTTTTAAAATGCTGGTACAACACAAAGGTTGCTTTGAGCACAAGAAAAACACACACTTTGGTTTGCTCAGTCTACACAAACCAAAGTGGATACCTCCAAAGTAATCTGTGAGAAACTTCTAACTTGTTACAAGAGAAAAGGCTACTTTTCTAATTGTACTTCTCCTTCCCTCTTACAATAATAGGAAAAAAATCATCCCCCCCCCCCATAATGGAAGGAAATTTGGAGGACTACCCTCTGTTGGGATGGGGGACTAAGAAACCAAACACAGAAGAGAGAGACAGATGAAATACAGAGCCTATATTGCACATCAGAACATGCTTAAAGACTAGAATCTGCATCACATACCCACGCCTGCTTGCTGTGAAGCCAGAACTCACACCCGCCAAAGCACTCAGAAATGAGTTTAGGCCACCACAGGGAGGAAGGGGGATGGCTGCCCCTTCTGTCAACCAAAGAGGCTCAGGGTAGCCACAGAAAACAGTATCAGCTTTTAAGGCCCATCTTAGCTTTGCCAGTGTATCTCGCTGACCCCGCCAGCCCTTGCTCAGTTCTGTTTGTATTAGGTTGATGCAAAAGTAATTGCGTTTTTTTGCCATTACTTTCATTAATACAACTCGTCTTCCCTGATTTCCAGCATCTAGGCAGCTTTGCCACTACAAGTGACTTAGAAGACAGGCAGTTTTTTCTAAGCTAATTAGTGGACAAGCTGCTAGAGGCTCTCTCTTATCTAAGTAGGAAGCCAGAGGAGGATTCTGGAGTCCAATGCCCACCCAGCCTCAACAGTCTTGACCTTCGAGAGACAAAGGCAGCACTACTGACTACTAGTACTGCCTACTAGTTCCTTAGCAGGATGTTAGGAAGAAAGATGAAATTGGTACCACAGCCCTAAGGAGAGAGACAGATGCCCTAAGTCAATGCCAAGTCATGACCATGGCCCACAGGTCTATACTTGCAACCCCTGCTGGACTAGGACGACATGCAAGCCTGAGCAAAATATTATGGGATGCCAATGCTCAGTGGGCTCAGTTCTCAGAAGTACTCACCTTTAGGACCGGCATAGCTGCTCGACAGCGGGCAGTCCTACTGTTTTTGAGGAAGTGAGATTCATCCTGAAAAGAAGTAGCCACATAAGTGTACAAGATCCAATCCTGAGTGGACAGAAATATGGGTCACTTTAGGCTTGACCCTGGCATGGCAAGTGCAAGGTGGATGCTCCCTTAGCACTTTCTCATTCAAGGAGATGGCTCACTGGGCCTAGGTCAGGACCCAGGGGTCTGGTGGCAGCTTCTCTACTGCATTCTGAGCAAGTTGCTTCAGCTCTCTGGGGACAATTTTCCATCTATAAAGTGGGATTCATGAATCCCTGCTCCGCCCACCTCAGAGGCTGCTCAAAGAAACCACTAGAAGGTGGTTTGCTGCTTTGTAAGAGGCACCTCCCACCTGTGGAGCACTAGACCAAGTGCCCCATAATGGGCCCTGCACTGGTGCAAAGCTCTGGGGTGTCCAGCCCCTGCCCTCAGGGGCTCAGGGTGCAGGAAGGATGCCAGACACACTGACAACCGATCAGGCTGTATTATCAGTACTGTCACTGAGGCGAGTGTAAACAAAGTGCTGGGGAAACTGAGAGACGGAAAGAAGACGATATGATTCCTATTCTCAAGGAACTGCTATGTTTAGAACATGAAGTCTGATTAACCACTCTGTATCTGTGCATAAGCAAATACATACATATATATATATATAGTTTGTTTTTCTTTATTCTTTTTTTCTTTTTGTTGCATAAGCAAATATAGAGTTGATCATATTTTCTAAAGCCAAATGAGTAACTAATACATGAGTATTTAAGTGGAAATTTTCTAGTTTGGTACAGAGTCAAATTCCTTGCTGTGTGACTCTGAGCAACCACCTCTCTGTAATGCCAGTTTTGCTGTCTGTAAAATGGGTATCATAATTCCTTATGTATTAGGTTGCTGTGAGTCTGAAATGAGCTAACACATGTGAAGTCCTTAGCACAGCCCTGTTACTCAGTAAGCACTCAATGGTATCAGCCTTCCTATAGCTGGGATACCAGTGAGATCCCAACGCTGTCCTTAAAGATGATCTATAAGAAATCCCCTATTCCATTTCAGCTATCATGAGCAAAAAGGGCCACAAAAGCACAGCAGAGGGGAGTGTGAAATAACCCTCAAAATATCAAGAAAGTATCCTGTCCAGAAAGCTGGAGTGTTACGGTCATATGCCTTTCTGATCATGAGACCTCATTACAGTCAAGTAAAATGTATTTATGGAGAAAAAACACAGAAAGTACAGAGGATATGGAAGAGAATGGGCCCTTTCAACCAATGGGTAAAAATGTGCCAATACTGGAACAAATCTCAAAGAATGGTTTAAACTGAAGCCTCTTCTGAAAAGTGTGACACTTCAGAGCCATCACTCTATTCTTTCTTACAACATTTCTCTGAAAGAAAGAGGACAGAGCTCTTACTTAACTGAAGAACAAACCAACAATGGTGGTAAGTGGCTTGCCAAAAATCATACAGCAGGTTAAGTGATGGGCCAGAAAGAGAAGAACATGAATTCTGAAGGCAGACGCAACCCAGCTTTATTCAATAACCTCCAACTTGCTAGCTTTGTGCCTATGGGCAAATTTATGTACCCACTCTCACTGCCAGTTTCATCAGCTGTGAAATGGATAATTCACAAGGATAAAAGATAAAGCCTACTCAGGGGCCACTGGGAAAATAGATGATTATATGTCAGTACCTAACACAAGGCAACACTCAAGAATTGAAAGCATTATTCTTCCCACACACTGTAGAGCCATCCCCATCATCCTGGGAAACTTCTTGGAATGTTTTCATTTCACATGTATGCTGACATCTTTTCAAAGCCACACTTGAATTTGTGCCGAACCAAAAATGACTCCCCCAAAGACTCATTACCTATATCACTTTGCAAAACTATCAACACTCAAGTTTGCTTATGCTAAGAACACAGTGTGGTTCTCATGTCCAAAACAGAATAATAGATCCCCTGAGGTCAGTAACGGTATCTTCTCCTTCCTTTCTCTAAGCTCCCACAATATTTGTGTGAGTTATGTAAATATACTCAGTACTGACAGAGATGGCTGGGTACCAAGTCTGTCTAGACTTTCCTTAGGAAGTATGTGAGGAGTTAAAAGTAGGAAAGCCTGCAATTGAAAGATATGTTGTCAAATCTGGAAGCAGGTCCAGTCAGACCTTCTTTAAAAAACAATTAGAGGCCGGGCAAGGTGGCTCATGCCTGTAATCCCAGCACTTTGGGAGGCCAAGGTGGGTGGATCACCTGAGGTCAGGAGTTCGAGACTAGCTTGGCCAACATGGTGAAACCCCGTCTCTACTAAAAATACAAAACTTAGCTGGGCGTGGTGGCAAGTGCCTGTAATCCCAGCTACTTGGGGAGCTGAGGCAAGAGAATTGCTTGAACCCGGGAGGCAGAGGTTGCAGTGAGCCGAGATCACGCCACTGCACTCCAGCCTGGGTGACAAGAGTGAAACTCTGTCTCAAAAAAAACAACACAGAAAAACCTCCAAAAAACAGTTAGAGTAAAAAGTGCTTTTGTGGGGTGGGGGTGTATCTTCACATTGGCTGGAAGAAAACTCAATTGTTTGAGTAAGATGGCACCAGATGTAGGCACACCCCCTTGCCGTCCAGGTTGTAGTACCCAGAGCCCCCAGGTGGCCTGGGGTCCACATGCTGGCCTCCATCCATGAGTCACGCTGGGAAAGAGATGAGCTAGAAATCCCCAGCAAAGACTAATTAAATCACAATTTCAAAAAAAGCTCCCTAAGAGATTCTAGTACGTAGCCAGAGTTGAGAATGGCTATTTGAGGGGAATGAATTTCCAGTTCCCCACAAAATAAAGACAGTGATTTCTATTCTTCTAGAAACTAAATGGGGCTCAAGGAGATTACAGACATGAAAGTTCTCAGAGCTTTTACAAAGAAAGTTTCCAGAGAGATAAAGTACTTAAAGACTTTGCCAAGTTTCTTACAATGATGACAACTTTAAAAGGGGTTTTTAGCTGTTTTTCCAACTTGCTAAGAAGGTCAAAGCTGACAATGTTGATCAGGCCAGCTGTCAGGCGGTCCTTCCCAGTCACCACGACGTTGATGCAATCTGGGCTCAGAGATGGCAGCCACCGAAGGAAGGCCTGTGGATGACAGGAGGGAACAAAGCTACAATGACCACCCAGCACAGCAGCTGTTGGTTGTGACAGCAGCAGTCTCATGCCCATCAACAGCCATCACCTCTACCTTCCTCTCACCTACCTGTGCCCCTTCACTTGCCACTAACAGGACACTCCCTTTTTTGTTTTTTTAAGAGTTGGGGGAGACGGGTGCGGTCGCTCACACCTGTAATCCCAGCACTTTGGGAGGCTGAGGAGGGCGGATCACCTGAGATCGGGAGTTTGAGACCAGGCTGACCAACACGGAGAAATCCCATCTCTACTAAAAATACAAAATTAGCTGGGCATGGTGGTGCATGCCTGTAATCCCAGCTACTCGGAAGGCTGAGGCAGGAGAATCGCTTGAACCCGGGAAGTGGAGGTTGTGGTGAGACGAGATCGCGCCATTGCACTCCGGCCTGGGCAACAAGAGAGAAACCTCGGGTCTCAGAAAAAAAAAAAAAAAAAAAATAGAGAGTTGTGTTGGTCTCACTTTGTTGCCCAGGCTGGAGTACAGTGGCACCATCACAGCTTACTGCAGCCTCAAACTCCTAGGCTCAAGTGATCCTCCCGCCTCAGCCTCCCAAGTTGCTGGGACTACAGGTGCACACCACCATACTTGGCTAATTTCTTTCTTTCTTTTTTTTTTTCAAAGAGATGGGTCTCAGTATGTTGTTCAGACTGGTCTTGAAGTACTGGCCTCAAGCAATCCTCCTGCCACAGCTTCCCAAGTTGCTGAGACTACAGGCCTGAACCACCATGCCTCGCTATCTCCCTGCCTTTGTCAACAGTCACTTCACAGTGTCTGGGTTTCATTTCTGTGATCTCTAACTAGATGGTAAGTTTCTGCAGGGAAAGAATGCGACTCTTTTTAAGAGGAATTTTATGAACGATGTAGCAGAGCCTGGTACACTGAAGGCAAATCATAAACATTTATTGATGATGACGAGACTACTTATGTCGATATTTCTACAAATCTACCTTCTCTCTCTGGCAATCTGAGCATCTCTAGCCAAACCCACCCAGGCATCTGGGTGCTCACCTGCCTCACATGGGGTGACACTGTTCAATACAGGGAGGGCTGGCCTTTTCTCTAACCTCAGGCTGGTCACCGTCTGGCTGACTCTTCCTAGAATTTCTGAGGGTGCTGTGGGAACCTAACGCACACAAAATATGTTCTGAAGATTACTTTCTACAGGCACTGGCAGAATTCACAAGACTTGGGAGGCCAAGGCAGAAGGATCACTTGACCTCAGGAGTTCAAGACCAGCCTGGGCAACATAATGAGACCCTGTCTCATTAAAAAATAAAATAAAAAATTAAAATTAAAAAAAAAAAGAACTCAGATCACCAGGACAGAAAAAAAACAAGGTGCACATTTTTTAGTGTTTTTTTTTTTTGCCATCTCTTCGGTCAGAATAGCACATCTGGGCCTTGGACTGACCGGCAGTAGGAGGAGCTGCCTCTTCTGCATGAATGGCTCATGGAGGCCTCAGGAAGAAGTCCCAGGCTGACGTCAGTGGCATAAAGCTAGAAAAAGCTGTGGACGATGGACCAGGTCTTCCTTCTTCACTGAGTTTGTTCATGGGCTTTTTATTCATTTCACAAAAGCACTCTGATTCCTGGATTTACAGCAAAAAAAGCTCAAGGGTGAGTGATACAGTTTTCTTGTCAGGCTCTGGATCCATAAAGCTACCTGGCAGACAGTGAACATCCCACTCACTCCCCCCTCTACAGAGTGCAAAACCCCTGAGTTGGGAAGTCAGAAGATGCCACATCAAGATCCGCCAGGGCTCCTCATTAAGAGGAAGCATGGAGCTTAACCTCTGAGATTCCATTTTCTCATCTATAAATGGGGTTACTATCTATTGTACCTACTGCACAGGACTGTCATGGGATTGAGGAAAATACAGGAGGTAAAAATATTTTAAAAATTAAGTGTGGGCCGGGCACAGTGGCTCCTGTAATCCCAGCACTTTGGGAGGCCAAGACAGGTGGATCACTTGAACCCAGGAGTTTGGGACCAGCCTGGGCAACATGGCAAAACCTCATCTTTACAAAAAGTACAAAAACTAGCCAGTCTCATAATCCAGTTTCAAAATAAATAAAAATTTTAAAAAACAATAAAAAAGAAAAATAAAAAAAAATTAAGTGTGGTACAGATGAAAAGTATTATTAGCAGGGCACAGAGGTCCCAGAAGTGCCTGCTGACAGATGAACACAAGTCTCTAAGCCGGTTTCTCCTTGGCTTTCTTCCCTCAAGGTGTAACCTGATTCTAATCCAGAAAACCCCCAGCCTGCCCTCAGGTGGCATCTCATCTCTCTTCCTGCCTTTGCCTTTACTTGAGACAGGATCCTTAAAGATCCCTAGGCCCTGTCTGCAAACCATTATTTTATGACTCTAACACTGAAGAAAACCTTCTCTGTGAAAACTGCAATTTGAAGACCATTAACCTGCTCCCAGGTGAAGCGCACGGAGGATGGCACCACCACCAGGAGCGGCCACTCCTTCCGGTAAAAGGCTGCGATGCAGATGGCTTGGATGGTCTTCCCCAGGCCCATGTCGTCAGCGAGCAGCAGGCGGCCTCCTTTGGCTATGGCAAAACTGAAGGCAGACAAGGTGAGGATGGCACATTTCCCGGGGCATGAGTTCATCTGCCCTCATGTCCGGTGGGTCAGCACTGCTGGGTGAAGGCCACTTCACTGGCCAGCCCGGGCCCAGCCCACCACCAGACTTGCTCCCCAGAAGGAAAGGTACATAGGCCAAATAGGGAGCAGAATAAAAAAGAGAGAGAGAGAGAGAGAAAGCCCAAAAAGGAAAAATGTGGAATGTGGTCAAAAGGGAGAAGATCTGGAAGATGATTAGGTCGTGGAGGCCAAAGAAGGAAGTTTCCAGTGAGAGGAGTTGCCTCGGCCCACTGTAGGCAGGGCACAGGGGACGTACATGGAGGAGGGTGGTGGGAGTCCAGGACTAGCACTGAGGAGGGCATGCTTACTCACTCCAGAGTCTGCCTTGAAAGGAAGGAAAGGGTCGGGCGCGGTGGCTCATGCCTGTAATCCCAGCACTTTGAGAGGCTGAGTGGGGCGGATCACCTGAGGTCAGGAGTTTGACACCAGCCTGACCAACATGGTGAAACCCCATCTCTACAGGCACATGCCCGTAGTCCCAGCTACTTGGGAGGCTGAGGCAGGAGAATCGCTTGAACCCGGGAGGCAGAGGTTGCAATGAACCGAGATCACACCATTGCACTCCAGCCTGGGCAACAAAAGCGAAACTCCATCTGAAAAAAAAGAAAAAAAGAAAGGAAGGAAGGAAAGAAGAGCTGGTAGGGTGAAAAGAAGGCTTTCTGAAGATCAGAGAGTACTCAGTATGCATAAAGGCAGAGAAAGGGGCTGGCAAAGACAGAAGATGCTGCTAATGAGGACAGAGGCGAGAAAAGGATGGGAGGAAGGGTGCTTGTCCAACAGGAAGCACCAACCTCAGCACTGAGTTTTTCACTATGGCAGCCTCCAGGACCCTAAAGCCCTTAAGTGCAGCATCCCTTGCTAATAGTTCATGAATAAAGGTGTATTCCACTATTTCAGAGCCAGATTGGCTGGGGTTGGAGTCCCAATTCCATCACTCAGCAGCTGTACACCTTCATGCACATGATTTAACCTCCCTATGCCTCAGCCCCCTCAGCAGTAAGAAGGGAGTAATAACAGTACCTATCTCATGGAGCTGTGGGAGGGTTAATAAAGCTAATACTGAAAACAGTGGTTGGCAACATCATAAGTGCTAAGGAAGTGCTTCTATCATAACTACTATTCCACAAAAAGAAAAAGAATCAAAACACAAACAGTAAAAATGACTTGCTCGTGTCGCATGATGAAACAGTGAAAAGCTAAAAGGATCCCAAGTGCCAGATGTCTGGTCCTCTGTGCCAAATACTAGTCTTCTTTCATCTAATCTCTGAAAAATAGATCATTTGCTCAGAATCCTGATAATAAGCCGCTGGGATAGTTCTTTCTCTTTCCTTCTCACACAGTGAAAACAGAGAATGTCACCTCTTCTAATCAGCAGCTAGCAGGGCGGACAAGAAGTCTAGGCTGCACTTGCCCTTTCTGAATTGCCTGGAAACACCGTTTCCAAAGATGGAAAACTGGGCAGCAAATCCCCAGGCAGCCCGAAGCCAGTAGAGTGTGGGGACAACAGGCATCATGGCGTGGCACCCTTCTGTTCTCCCTGCAGCCTGGGCGGGGGCCTGCCTAGGAGAGGGGGCAGCCCTTCCCAAAGCCCAGCTTTGGCGGCCTCACCCTCCACTGGGGAGGAACGGAGCCGAGCAGTGGGCTGCCTCACCTCTCCAGAACAGGCGCAGCCTCCTCCCTGTACACCCACCTCTATGAAATCTTCTGGACCATTTCTGGGATCAACCCACAACACAGACAGATGGGGGGAGGGCAGGTGTGAAAAGATGTATTTTTTACCTCACTTTCTGATTTACAAAATTGGTGGCCAGCGAGGACAGGCAGTACCTAAGCAACGGAATCCATGGAGAGCCCCACGCCCTTTGAGCGTCTTTTGTTTCAGCCTTCTCAGCTTTACCATCTATAATTTCCAGAAGTTTGGTCTATCCGCATCCTTAGAGCAGAATGGACCCCCTGAATTTCACATTCTCTCCTTTTTCCCCTGCCTAGAGGGAGCCCAACTAAGGAACAAAGTGGCCAAAAAATGACAACAAAGACAGAAAAAGCCTGGATAACAGAGGAACAATAACATAAGTAAATGTCATCCTCCACAGGGCAGTTGAATACAATAGAAAAAAATGTCATACTCAGAAATTAATCAATCAGAAAACACAGATTTAAGCCCCAACTCCACTTCTGACTGCTGAATAACTTTAGGCAACTGACTGCCTTTCTAAGCCTCAATTCATTCACCTGCTGAAGAGGGTGACTTGGATATTAGAAGATGCTGATATTTCTAAGAGATTTTGCTTTATAAATTAATGGGTGTGTTCAATTGTAGTTCTTGCATTAAAGAAAACAAAACAAAACATAGAATTGACAGCCCTCCTCCCCCAATGCCAAACCCCCACCTCTTCAGACTATGAAAGTTAAAATCTGAGTTTATTTAGAAAATTCTGAAGAAAGATTACAAGTACTTTAGAGCCACAGAGAGAGAAACAGATCTGCCCTGGGGCGCCTCACACACAGAGCCTCTCTCAGGGGTAATGGGGTAACTGGTAAAACCAGCACCCAACACGTGGGCCCAAGGATGGCTAACAGTGCCACGAAGAACTTGGATGCTGAAGGCAGGGGCTGCCCAGGGGGTGGGGCTGGGCAACCTCTACTGCAGCTTTAATAAAGAGGCCCAGAGAAAGAAAGATGAAAGGAAAAAACCACCCTGAGCCTGGTTAAAACAAGGCCCAAAGGACATCTCACCAGCTGGAGCATTGGAATGGCAATGCCAGAGGAGGTTTTGCAGAGTGTGCTATGTAAGAGAGATGGAAGGAAATGAAGAAAAGAATTAGGGGGAAGGGCTGGGGCCAGGTAACATAATAAAGTGCACTGTGCCCAAACGGCACACCGAGACCCAAATCCTGCCAGAGACGGTAGCCAAGCTTTCACCAAAATACCACAATCAGGCTTCGAGCAGGCAGGCTGTTGTGGTTTGTCAGTGCCATTGTTAATTTAGGTTCCTTCCCTTGCACAGGGCTCTATGTTCAACTACACTGTCTAATAACAGCTTCTTATTTCTAGACAGACTATCAAGACTTCCTCTTTCTTCTCCTTGAACTCCCATATTTTTAAGAGAAGGCTAGTTCAAATACGGCATTTTGCTTCTCCCAAGAAACTCTGGAAAAAAAGGAAAGATCAGGATGTAGGTTTATCTTTTTTCTTCCTCTAATAAGAGCACCTTGACTTTCTTTTGGAGAACTGCCACCTCCCACTTTCAATCCCAGTAATTTAGGTGGGCAGGCCTTACCCTCTGGTTCTAGGGACAGGCCTATCACCAAGTCTAATCAACAAGACCTCAAGCCTCCAAGGCCACAAAGACTGGCTCCAACATTGGTACCAGACTTAAGCCATTGCAGTGTTAGCCCCATTAGAAAAATGGTGCTTCTGTGTGTTGCTAAGCTGAGAATGCAAGCTGGAAGCCCCTGGCGGCCCGAGCTGCCACACTTGAGTAACACCTGCTTGGGAACAGAGCAAACAAACAGAAAGCAGATCTGAGAGAGGAGAGCAGCCTGATGAGATCTTTAGAGATGCTGGATTTTCTCTTACAGGCACTGAGAAATCTCTTTCCTTAAGCTAATTTGAATTGGGTTTCTGCATAGCTGCAATTCAGAGTCTTGATTAACCCATGGAATTTGAAATCAATGGTTACAATAAAGCTTTGGTAACAGCACACCTGGCTGTTTAATGCCTAGACTCTTCTAAATTTTCATCTATCCATGGTAAATAAAAGTTCATAAAACAGGAAGCATCTGAATGCAGTCTGTGGTGAGTAATGAAATTTGAGCAACAGAGGAAGAGAGAGGAAGATCAAGAACCTACTTGACTCCAGCTCTCTGAAAGGGCATCAGATTAGACACGAGCTTGGGGTCCACTTCAGAAAGGTCTGCCTCTGGGACATCTGGCGTGAGACTGAGAGATGTCTTCTTGAGCTGAGAAGCAAACGCCAGGGTGAGAGTCGTGGGCAGAGGGTCCAGCTGAACTTGTGGGAGGCAGCGCACCTTTGCAACTGAAAAGAAGAACAGAAGCATATGAGCTGGAGTGTTCATGCCCAAAAGATTTGGAGAAAGAGGAGCTTTGGGATATATATATTTCCTTCCAGTGATGCTGGTCCTAGGTCCCTATATAATGGGTGGAGAAATCTCTTCTAGTCAGGACCATTAACCCAAATGGGAAAAATAAATTACTTGGGATCTACATGGAAATGAAAGCAAATGAATTGCACTGACCTTGCTTTTTGAAAGAATGTAGTCTCACCTGATTTTAAACTTCAAAAAAGAGGGGAAAAAACCCCTTTATTCAATAGAGAAACAGAAAAAGAATAAACCGGAGAGATAAATAAAACACATAATTCTTGGGAGAAGGAGGCTGAATTACAAATTAAAAATGCAGAGAAAAAATGACAGACCTAGAGACCTCTGGCAGTGGAACTACAGTTAAATCACTAACCATAGCCTGCTGTCCTGCAGGCTATCACTTTCAGGATGTTCTTCCCTTTTATAATTTTCCTTTGAAAAATCTAATTAGAAGAGTAGCCATTATTTACAGATCATCAATTGCTCTTTATCCTTTACCTTTTCAAGGGCACTCTGGGAGTCAGAGTAACCCACCAAAAGGCTAATCGTCCTCCGGTATCCAGTAAAGGAAACTACAAAGAGAAACTGGGTATTATTTTACTTCTATCCAATATTATTTGAAATCCTAAGGCTGGTTCTCTATTTCATACACGTACATAAAACATGTGTGATCATATGTTTTCTGAATACCCTCACAAGTGATTCCAAAAGTCTTTTGCCACAACCATCAATTGGTTACCACTGTAAATACTGATGTGAACGTGCAGGGCTGAGCCATCTACTGCTACCTCCAATTGCTTTGTATTTTCAATATATTTAAGTCCATTTCTCTCCTCCACTAAATATAAGTACCAGTTATTTCTGGAAATAGTTTCCACAAAAATAATCACCATGAGAAGAAATTAGGGAAGGTTGATGGCATTAATACAAAACAGACTGTCCATATTGATGCAGAAATACATTTTATACCTCCAAATTAAATCTGAGTATGTTGATTTCTACACACTTCAGGAGGCTGAGCACTCCTTGTGCTTTCAGAAACCATTTTCATTTTAATTCTAGTGATCTTCAGAACTCAAATACCTGATGAAAGCTAAGAAAGGGCTGATGAACTGGCTGGTAGAAAAGGCAGGGCTTTGTAAGCGTTATGTTCCTTCGGCCATTTAAGAGGAATAAAACCAACATCTACTCTGTCTCCTACCAACTACTGTCTCCAAAATCCTATGCTGCTAGTTCAGCCATCTCAGTGTTCCTGAGAAAGACACCATTCCCTGACAACGACTGTCTCTACTGTCCTTTCCCTGGTACTAGGAGATGACAGACGTGTTGTCGGCTTCGTGAGTCATCTAGAAGTCATTTCTGTAAAATAGCTCTTTGCCAGAATGCTACTAGCCACATAGCAGAGATGCTAATGTTTTCAAATAGCAGCTAACAAGACAAGATTGTTGAGAACCCTTCTGGACTGACAGCAAGGGGAAAACAAAAGGACTTATGCCAATTTCACTGGGGGCAAAAGGCCTGAGTCACTTAGAAAAGAGAGAGGAGGAAAGCTTAGATTCTCCTTACTAAAGAAAATAACTCCCACTGCTTCACCAATGAGCATTCACGTACTCAGGTCTTATTGTCATTTCTTCATCAGTTTCCTATGCACACGTTCACTAACTCAGGGTCATCGATCTAATTTCACTCATGAGGAAGGACAGCATGGGGTGAGGAAGGAGGTGCGCATTCCCCAGGTTCACAGTACTGGCGGAGAAATCAGAACTAAATTGGAACTGGGCTCTATTCTCACTGCTTCCACTCCCAGCTTCTTAGTTTAGCTGGCTTCTAAATTCCATAATGGGTCATTTTACAAAGGCAGATGGCAATTTTACTCTTATTTCTGTCACTGACTTTACTGTAACCTTGCAATGCTCCCAGTAAGGAAAGCCACTGTTTCCCTTCTCTGGGCCCAACCTTTTCTCAGTCTTATCTTCCGTGAGACACTGTCATGATGAGATAGCAGGTAAAAACTCTAAATCTAGAATCTTCACTCAGGATCTATGGAATCATCTTTATCAAGTGCAAAATCTTATTTGTGGCCATTATGTGCATTTTTTTCTGGGTGAAGAATCCATTCTTTTCATCAGATATTTCAAGGAGTCTGTTGTCTGCAAAAGATCAGGAACCACTCTACAATGCTATGTGAGTCACAAGTCATGGTTTTTCAACACTACATTTATCTACTAATGCTGTAAATGTCCTGCTTTTTGTCATTCCATAAAAGTCAAAGACTTTATAGCTAACATGTGTGTGTTTCCTGGTTGAAAGACAAAAGCGAGAAGGAAAGAACTCACTTCTATTTTTCTTAAAAAATTCAGCTTTTGTGGCTGGGCACGGTGGCTCACGCCTGTAATCCCAGCACTTTGGGAGGCCAAGGTGGGAGGATCACTTGAGGCCAGGAGTTCAAGACCAGCCTGGCCAACATGGCAAAACCCCATCTCTACTAAAAATACAAAAATTAGCCGGCCATGGGGATATGCGCCTATAATTCCAGCTGATAACAGCAGGAGGCAGACAACTTCCTAGGCAGACAGGGGTGGGTCCACAGTGAAACCCAACCTTTAAGCCAAAGACAGACTGAAACCTGAAAACCAGGCTGTCAGTTCCAGGTGGAGTCCACAACCCAGAATAAGAACTTCCTCAATGCCTTTTAGCCAATCGAATGGTGCTTTTTCCAGGCCTGCCTATGGACCAATCAGCACACACACCCCCATTCTGAGCCCATAAAAACCCTGGACTCAGCCACATGTTGGGACTACCCACTTTGGGTCCCCTCTCCACTAAGAGCTGTTCTGTTGCTCAATAAAACCCTTCTCTGCCTTGCTCACTCTCCAGTTGTTCATGTAACCTCATTCTTCTTGGACGCAGGACAAGAATCTGGGACCCGCTGAATGGCAGGTGAGAAAAGGGCTATAACACATTCTTGGTCTGCTCGCCAAGCTGCAGGCAGTGACATGCTCCTGTCTGCCGAACCACAGGAGTGAAGAGTGGCAACCTTTCTGGGAGCCCAGACCTTGGGACTCCCTCGGCCAGAGCTGTAACATGCTGTAACACCCCCTTAGGGCTCCATGGTTGCTGGTGTCTTCAAGTTTTCAGGCACCAGCACATTCCCATCATCCAGCCGCTGGTGCCCAAGGCAGAAGCTGCTTGTGGTATGCCTAGTCCAGCTGCAGCCTCATACAGAGCTGGTGCCTGTGCCACAGTCTGGAGCTGCCCGCTCTGCTGCAGCAGCTGGCGCACCTGGCTATGTGCTGTGGCCAGACTCTACACTCACTTGCTCACAAACCCTCTGCTGCTCCATGCCTAGCTCGCCCTCAGTGGGTGTGGAATCTGGACTGGTAGCGTGAGCCGAGCGCAGCCTGCCAGGTCGAGTGGGCAAAGCAAGCCCAGTGGCAAGCCCAGCTGGCAAAGTGGCACCAAAAGGATTCTGTGTACAGCTACTTGGGAGGCTGAAACAGGACAATCGCTTGAGCCTGGGAGGCAGAGGTTGCAGTGAGCTGAGATCATGCCACTGCACTCCAGCCTGGGTGACAGCGAGACCCTGCCTCAAAAAGAAAAAAAAATTCAGATTTTGCCAAATAATTCCCTCTAAATCACAAGTTCCAAATAGTAGCAGCCAGAGAGTCTCAAGATCACCGTGAGCCATTCTTTCTGCTTCAGCCAGCATTTATTAAGTTACCATCTCATATTCAAACGTAATCATGTAGTTCACAGCAAGTTTTGCTCAAGGAACCAAAGGCTCTTCCTTTATATTTAATTCCTATGTCAGGAGAGCAGATAGAGATTAAAGACCACCGCTTTTTTTACTAAAGGGACAATGGGACCCAGAATGTTTAATTATTTACCCAATGTCACATAGTAAGTCACATAAGAAGGAGACAAAAGGAAGGAACCCAGTTTTTCCCTCACATTGAAGCCCTAGCCTGCCAGGGAAGATGGCCAATGACTCAGAGCTCCCAGGGTTGGCTCGTGTCTGTCCTGGCCTGATTGGTACCCACAAATGACTCCTTCCTTGGTTTGGGAGGCCCAACAGGCCATCAGGATTAGGAGAAAAGCAGAGGAACATAAGCCATGCTAGCTGCAAACCCAATGCAGAATTGTTACAGCCAGATAGATAAGGGACTGGTATTCTGGTACAGTCTGAGATATGACCATATTTCCTTTTTCCAGGCATATTAGAATTTATTGCCCCATCTAAGCAAAACACAGAGAAGAAAAATGATAAACCCAAAATGGCTTCCTCTTCTTGCACTTATGCTATCTGTACACATATCCCTTTTCCTTGGTCAGTCTGTAAAGTGCTTGTTAAAATGCCTAAGTCCCTGGCCTTGACTTCTGCCCCAAACAGAACTCTATTATGAAGTCCATTCCCAGTGATACTCTCCTATCTTTCTTGATCATCCCATCCAGTTCTAGAAGTACACTGAGAGCCTATTCTTAGAAGTAATCTATGGTCACTTCCACCTAAGCTAAGCAATCCTAGCTCACTTCTGATTCCTAAAGTCTATGTACCCATGCTTCTAGCACTTCTATGACAGCAGGAAGATTTCACAGGCCTGGGAAATTTCACTACTGCCACCTCACCCTTATGATAGAAGAGGCCCGGCATTTGTCTGGGCTGTCATAAAGCCACCATCTCAGTGGATGTGGACAAGGCTGCATCCTCACCTTTACTTACCCTGTACTCAAGCATCCCACCACAGCAAAGGGAGGAGAAGATTCTTCAAAAATACATCAAATTTAAGGTGAATTATTAAAGCTTAACAATAGCATGATATAAAACAAGTAAGGAAGGCTTCTCACTTAGTTTACTGTGCTCTTCCAAGAGAAAGCTCCACTTCCTGGTCTTGACATCTGCAATGACAAGAAATAAATAAGCAAATAGGACACCCTGCCCTTCTGCTACGTGATCACACTTACTCATTTATTCCTTGGTTTCATAAACTTCCATTCAGCTTAGACAATGTGGCAGCTGGTCCTGTACCTAGCACTGCGGATACAGAAATTAGGAGAGTACTTTCCCTGGAGGCTTCCCCAGTATACTGGGAGGAAAAAGAGGCAGAGATGCTGACAACACTGGGTTGTAAGGGTTGTGATAAAAGGTGCCACAGGATACATGGCTGGGGAGGGTCTAGCAGGTCAGAAATGCCCTGAGTGACAGGGATGGTAACTGTAGCTCACACCTATGCAGCATTCGCATTCAGCCCGGCACTGTGCCAACACTCAGTGGCACCCTCTCATCTGCCCCTCCCAAGTCTGTAAGGTGGGCTGTTGTTAACTCCATTTTACACATGGGAAACAAGTTGCATGTGGTCAGTGGTCAAACTGCCAAAGTTTCAATTTTGGCTCTGCCTCTTGCTAGCTATGTCACCTTGGGCAAGTCACTGTAACACCTCTCCCTCAGTTTCCACATCTGAAAAATAAAGATATTACAACCCCTACCTCACAGGTTACTGTTTACATGAAATTAAAGGAAAATGCTTATAAAAGTATGACTGGAAAACAATGAGCACCCCAAAGCCAGTTATTATGAATTATTGTTAGTGGGATTATTACATCATCTGCTAATCAGCATCGTGTAGTATAAATTACACACAATATCAACTAAGAAAGGTGAGCATCTTTCTACCCAATGGTGGCTGATTCTTTAAATAGAGGAATTTCTCTACTAATCTATCTTTTGAAAAATCAAGAAAGCTTGGTCTCAGTAAATGCTATCTGGGCAGCAAAAGTTCATTCTTCACTGTATGATTCCTTCAAAAGCAAGGTGGTCAGAAAAAGGCATCATGGACACAGAGTCAGTTTCAGGAAAAAGCGAGGTCGTCCAGGTACAACCTGATGGAAGGAACAAAGCAGACAGACTAATCGTAAATGCAGAACTAGAAGGGGAAGGCCCTTTCTGACAACTTGATTCTCACAGTGGCACAGCAGCAAACAGGAAAAGATGTGAACAACAGCTAAGGCAAAGGAACCAATCACGGTTTTTGGACACCTGGGTGTGAGCAGGATCAGTATCCATACCTTCATGGTACCCACTCCCAGAATGCAGACCATGTCAGGAGTGTGATCTCACAGGCTGGTGATAGACACATATCACTGTATTTGCCTTTTTTATTTTTGAGATTGTCACCCAGGCTGGAGTGCAGTGGTGCGATCTAGGCTCACTGCAACCTCTGCATCCCAGGCTCAAGGGATTCTCCTGCCTCAGCCTCCTGAGTAGTTGGGATTACAGGATGGCACCACCACGCCTGGCTAGTTTTTGTATTTTTAGTAGACAGGGTTTCACCATGTTGGCCAGGCTGGTCTCGAACTCCTGTGACCTCAGGTGATCCACCCACCTTGGCCTCCCAAACTGCTGGGATTACAGGCCACAACACCCGGCCCGTAGTTGCCTTTTAAGGGCCACCCCAAGCTGAAGCCAAACACCTGAGGGGGCAGGAAAGGCAAAGGATCTAGACTGTCGTGGAGCAGCTCATCTCACGACCTGCCTGGGCCTCGCACAACTCCCCTGTGCCCTGCTCACCCGTCTGCCCTCATCAGTCCAAACTGCATCCATCTAAGGATGATGACGTAGCAACCAGCATCAGCCTCCTCCGGAACCCAAACCCTGATGAAAGCTCTTGTTAAGCAAGCAATTCTAGAGGCTTCTTCCAGGACAATGCTTGAATGTGAGGTCTCAAAGGCATGAGGTTTTAAGTATTTGAGTTCTACTTGATTAAGAACAAGATTAAACCAATTCAAGAATGGGGAAACACTGATCCATAAAAACTACATCGTTTTTAAAAAACAATGTGGCCCAAGCTGAGAATGACACCCAGGAGTCCAGAATCTATAGCTGCTTCTCCCCTATTCTGAAGGGGGAGCTTATGAAGAACCTCATGAAAAACTAAAGCAAAACGGCCAGGCACGGTGGCTCATGCCTGTAATTAATCCCAGCATTTTGGGAGGCCAAGGTGGGCGAAGAAGTTCGAGACAAGCCTGGCCAACATGATGAAACCTTACTTCTACTAAAAATACAAAAATTAGCCCAGTGTGGTGGCAGGTGCCTGTAGTCCCTGCTACTCGGGAGGCTGAGGCAGGAAAATCACTTGAACCCGGGAGGCAGAGGTTGCGGTGAGCCAAGATTGCGCCACTGCACTCCAGCCTGGGCAACAGAGTGAAACTTCATCTCAAAAATAAATAAAATAAAATACAGCAAAACTATTCTGTTGTGGCCAGTAGATTTCAAGACTGGCTTATAATTAGGCTTATCGGAAGATTAAAAAAACCAAAACAAACAAAAAACACCCCGACAATGTCCAAGCCCCACCTCCGACAAAATAAACATCTCTGGGTAAGAACCAGGCATCGGTGCTTTTGAAGTGGCCCTGTGATGCTGATGGGCAGGCCGAGAGCAGAACCACCAGCATTTTCAAACTGTGGCACCATCACCAGCAGCAGCACCAGCTCAGGGAACTTGTGAGAAACGCAAAAGTTTGGCTCCATGCTCAAGTTCCAGAATCAGAAACTCCAGTAGTGGGGCCCAGCTAGCTGCGTTTTAACAACCCCTGCAGGCAGTTCCCTGCAGGCTCAAGTTTGAAAACTACTAAGTTTGCATATGGAAAAGCATTTATTTTTATGGCAACCACCTGTTTTTCTGCTCTGCAAAGGCCAAAATAAAAACAGATGGGTTTTAAATGGCTGAAGCAGGAATTTACCTGCTTCTACCAAGAAGATATTGACCAGGGGGATATTATGAGGTCTTCTCTTTGGGAGGCCTTATGACAAAACAGCCACCACTGTATGTTTACTATCTGGAACAATTAACGTGTCATCTTTCTATAGGAAGAGGAGCAGAACAGGAAGTCTTTCCCAAGAAAGTAATTTTTGAATATTCGAGGTAGAGAAAAACACCCTATGTTGAGATCACAGACCACTACACATTCTGGGAATCAGACAAAGACCAATTACTTGCCATATCTTCTGGAATCCATCTGTTTAAAAAGCGCAATAAGGTCCTGTGAATAACTGATGTCTGCCTCGAAGTAGGCCCTGGAGATGAGCATGCATCGCCCTTTGACAAATGAAAGGGATGGAGCTGATGGAAGGCCGGCCTGTCCCTCACTGCTGGTGGAGGGTGACTCGCTGCTGCCATAGGCCCATTCCAGAGGCTGCAGGTTGACCGTGGGGAGGCTCTGGGCTGCTTTCACTGCCAAAGAAGAAGAATCGAACAGAAGTGATAAAGCAGGGGACTATGATGTGGCTTTGAAATACAGGCAAGGGAAGAGGGAGAAAGTGGGGAAGGGACATGGTCAAGAGGCACTAGGTTTGGCAGGAAGGCAAGAAAAGGCACTGTTAGATTAGGAAGACTTGAAAGTGTTTTTTAGTTGGGGCTTTGGGAATTTCAATATTTGCTGAATGTAACTTTCCATCTCCGTAAGTTTTTCTTTTTTTTTTTTCTTTTTTTTTTTTTTTTTTTGAGACGGGGTCTTGCTCTGTCACCTAGGCTGGAGTGCAGTGCCGTGATCATGGCTCACTGCAGCCTCAACCTCCCTGGCTCAAGTTATCCTCCACCTCAGACTCCCCAGTAGCTGGGACTACAGGCGTGCACCACCACATGCGGTTAGTTTTCGTATTTTTTGTAGAGTCAGGGTTTCGCTATGTTGCCCAGGCTGGTATCAAATCCCTAAGCTCAAACCATCTACGCACCTTAGCCTCCCGAAGTGCTGGTATTACAGGCATCAGGCACCATACCTGGCCTCCCTACATTTTTCACATCAAAACATTTAAAATTCAGAAATTAACAAGGGGAAGAGGAAGCTCGCCAGGATGAATAAACTTATTAGATAATTTCTGGCACGGTGTCGGAGAAGCCACTGAAGTCAGCACACCACAAATCACCCAGTTAAGCCCACTCCTAGGTCGCTACTCTGTCTACTGCTCAGAGAACAAAGGAGTGAGGACCAGGATCACCAGGTCACAAACACACAGTTCTGAACATTATTTCATCTACTACAGATGCATTTTATAATGAACAAATTCAGCTGTGTAACACTAAGCTGTCAACAGACACACACTGGAGTGAAAGGAAAAAAACCCTGAGTAAAGAAATATAAAAAGAACCCATGCTTTAAAAAAGTACTAAGACCACAAAAGAAGAGGGTAGTGTAGCCAATTCAAAACAGGAGGAAAAAGACTAAGAAACATTTGAAGAAATGTTCACCTTCACAAATAATCAGAAAAATAAGATACTTTTTTACTTCTCAAACTTGCAGGATGAGAAACAATTAGATATCCATATTGCTAGTTGGGAATAAAACCTGCTGGAAAACAATTTGGCAATTATAGCAAGAGCTCTAAGAATAATGATTCAACTTCTGGGAATCTATCCCAACTACCAGTTGAAAATACAGACAAAAACTTAGGTACGAAGGTGTTCCTCTACAGCTTTAAAACTGGAAAAACTGGCAGCCAATTAAAATCAAGCAGGAAAAAATAAACAACAACAATTTAAGCAATGTATGACACATTCATAAGACAGAATGTTATACAGCTATCAAAATTTATTTTGTATTAAAAATTCTGGAAAAGACAAAAGTAGTTCAACAACACGAAACCATTTCTTGAAGGTCAAAATGGCCCATTATGATAATGGACACATTTTCATCACTTAGAATTAACTGTTAACATTCAGTAAAGTAAATATGCTTTATGCTGGAGTATTAAATTAAAAGGGCAAAATACAAATTATATGCATATATAAAACTTTATATTTTAACGCATAGAAAAAAGGCTGGAGGGAATGAAACCAAAATGTTAATAATGGTTAGTTGAGTGGGGAGATTACGGGGGATGGTTTTTCTTCTTCACACGTCAAAATATGTTCTACAGTGAGTATGTGGTAGGGTTAATGAAGCCAAATCCAGAGATATACCTAAAGCAAAATGACAGAAAGACTGACACAGAGACAATTTTATATGTTATACCAATAAAAAGCCAATCATGAGACACAATCATGAACCTATCTGAAACTTAGAAATACAAGGAGAAATTCACAAATCCATAATTATGGCAAGGAATTTCAAGGTTTATCTCAGCAGGCAAAAGCTCAAGTGTGTAACACATTGGTAAAGATGCAGAGGAGCCAAACAATTAGAAAAATTCATCTGAAAGCTATATGGAGAATTTTTTTTCTCTTCTATGAGCTTCATTGAGAAGTATATATGGAGAATTTTGTATCCAATAAACATGGTTTTCAAAACATGTGGAGCATTACACAAAGCAATGATAGTCGGGCACAGTGTCTCACATCTATAATCCCAACAGTTTTAGAGGCTGAGGCAGGTAGATCACCTGAGGTCAGGGGTTCAAGACCAGCCTGGCCAACATGGAGGAAGCCCCATCTCTACTAAAAATATAAAAATTAGCCAGGCATGGTACACGCCTGAAATCCCAGCTACTCAGGAGGCTGAGGCAGGAGAATCACTTGAACCCGGAAGCCAGAGGTTGCAGGGAGCCAAGATCGCACCACTGCACTCCAGCCTGGGCGACAGAGTGAGACTCTGTCTCAAAAAAAAAGTAACGATATCACACAAAAAACCTAAATGAATCTGCAAAAGCAGAAGTCATCTAAGTCACCATGCACCGTGGTCAGAACAAGAGTAAAAAGACAAAACAACCGCAACAGGGGAAACCACTGGTTTAAGATCACCAGCAATGAGAATACCAGGTGTCAAAATCTGCAATCTTTATCCAGAGCCTTGGGTCTCCCCGTTCCAACACCAAATAAATCGATTAAAAAATGAGCCCTCACTAGACGGAGCTAGCAGCAGCAGCGTTATGGGTTGAATTGTGTCCCTCCAAAATTCATGTTAAACACACAGCCCAGGACCTCAGAATGTGATTGTATATGGAGATAGGGCCTTTAAAGAGGTTAATAAGTTAAATGAGGTCACCAAGGTGGGCGATAATCCAATGACTGGTGTTCTTCTAAGAAAAGGGAGAGACCCTAGGGATTTGCACACACAAAGGAAAATCCAAACAAGGACACAGAGAGAAGACAGCCACCTGCAGGGCATGGAGAGAGGCCTCTGAAGAAACCAACCCTACCAATCTCAGGCTTCCAGCCTCCAGGACTGTAAAAAATAAATTTGTATTGTTTAAGCCACCCAGTCAGTGGTACTTTGTCACGGCAGCCCTCGCAAACTAACAACACTAGCAGCTACCAAAGAAAGATATCGCCTAATGTACACATTTCAAGAATTGGAGGCCAAGGAGAAAACCAGGAAATTCTGCAGGGAGCTGTCCCATCACTGGCCCAAACCACCTTTCCCAGAAACTGTACTGGTGCCTCCAGATAATCCTACCTCATACCCCAAATCTGCAAAGTGACCTAAGCATACATCCTTATCTTTTCCTTTCTTAAGCTAGGGGGAGGAAGAGACGGTGTAGAAATGGCAGCTGGGGGAGAAGAGTAAAATAAATGGAAGATGAAAACACACAGGGCTGACGCTTTGACACAGGTGTGCAAGCTCCATGTACCAGGATCAAGTGACAAAAACTTTAGTGTATGACAGTTTTCTCAGAAGACAGAGGGACGTAACCAGGTGCTGACTATGACCAGACACTGCATTAGCTGGAACTTGCCTGGCCAATGCCCCCTCCTTGCATTTTTGAGTAGTTAGCTGCACAGAGAGTACTCTGAGGATCTGTGCTGTTTGCTGAACTGTTACCTTCCTGGGAGCAGGGGCTGGCAGGCTGCCTGAGCTGCCTGTCACTGCTGGGGCCAGCATAGTCTGGTGGGAACGTGTAGTCTGAAGTCAGACTGTCAGGGTTTGAATCCCAGTTGTACAACTTATTGGCTATGTGACCCTGTGTTACTGACTCATCGTCCCTGGGCCTCAGTTTCCCCATCTGTAAAAAAGTCATTATAAGGAATAAAAGTTAGCATAAGGGGCTTAGAATAGCCTAATGCAAAGCAAGCATCATTTAATGCTAGCTTTTGTTAATACTACTAACGGCCTTCACCCACAGAGCTGCCTCATTAGGCTAGACAGAGTGGGAAGGAGTGTTGGGGGGGGTGCCCTGAAAGCTTTCACCACCTGTAAAGCCATGCACTCCATAAGCTGGACTACATGTGATACTCTAAAGATTTTCAGCACCAGTGCCACCCTCCATGAGACAACCATGTGTCTACTTACTCAGGGCACTATAGTCATTCATGCTGAAGTTCCACGTCTTGGTGTCAGGATCTGAAACAAAACAGAGGACTGATGACTGTTGACAATTTGTACTTAGGCACTCAACACAAGCTTGTCTTCTAAATGAATGAATGAAGGACGCCAAGTTCAAAACAGCTGACCAGCAAGCCCCCACTGATCTATAAAAATCTCTGTAGAGGACAAATAGTAAATATAGATAATTCTTTTATTCCATGTAGTGGAATCCAACTCAGGCCCTGGGAAGTTATGAACTTCACCTAAGAGGACTGAGGGCAGAGTTAGGACTAGAATCCAAGTTCTCCAGGTCGTAGTGTGGTCAGGCAAAGCAGTATGAGGAGTAATGGCTCTGGCCTGTAATTGAGCTAGTCACATCCTGACGCTGCCTTTCCAGACCAATGAAACTGGGCCTGTCACTTAATCTTGCTGGGCCAGTTCCATCACCTTAAAAACTAAAATAACATCTACTTATTTCAAAAAAACTGCTGTTCAGCTTAAGTGCTACAATGCATATAAAGCACCTGGCAGAGGAAGCGTCTTCTCAGTAACATTCAACTGTTCTCCAGATGGCCACGTGACAACCATCAAGTTTGGCAGCTGTTTAAGGGAATGACTATTATGAAGGGAAACAAGCTAAAATTGAAAAATTTTTAACAACTGGATGGACAGCATGTGCCAATGCACTCTCTTAATATTTATGAGAAACTGTTAGATTAAAAGAGACTCCAAAAATAAGAAAAAAAAAAAAAAACAGCTGAAAAATGAAGACATTACCATAATTCTTGCTGGGCAGGGTCTTAAACACTGCAATGAGTTCCGCATTGTACCCAATCAACACCTGGAAACGATCGCCGTTCCTTACGCACTTTCCCTTCTGAGAGTTCACTCCTTTTTGGACTGAGGACCCTGACTTCTGCTGGAGTCTTCCTTCTGTCCTGGGCGTTACACTCTCTGAGCTAGAATGGATGTAAGAAATGTTCTGCCCCGAAGGGGAGGCTTTTGCTGTCTTGGCCTCTAACTTAGCATCCCTGGGAGGCTGTCCAGAGGAATGAGCTGGTGTCTCTTGGGAACTCTTTGGTTTGGCCAGAGGCTTATGAGTTGGGTTAGCAAAGGGTGTGAACCTGATCTCAGGTGAAGCCTGAGCATGACCTTGACCTAACTCATAACTCAAGAGCTGTTGTTTAGGGACCTCTGGAGGACTTTGTGCCAAGGGAGGAGAGATTCCAGTGAGAGCCATTTGACTACGTGGACTGTGGCCTGGGCAGGCTGTGGGCATTTCTTCTGGCTTTTTCCATATTCCCTTTGCCTGAAAACTGTGGGAATCATGAGGTCTTTGGTCAGCATTAGATGAGCTACTGAGATTCTGTTGCTTGAAAATGACACCATGGCTCACTGGCTTACAAGACTCCCTTGGGAAATTTTGGGATGGGCCTTGCTTGGCCTGGAATGGGTTGCCAGCAATGGAGGTGCCCGAGCTAGTCCTCTGATGCTGTTCTGCCAATAACTTCTCAGCTCTGCGGGCCAGAGCCTTTTGTCGATTCTCTTCAATCTTTTTCCTCTGCTCCTCTGTAAGAGGCAAGGACATTTTCACAGAGAAATGCTTATGCAGGAATGTCAACCTTTAATTGGAAAGTTGGCAAAAGCTGTGGAAGAAAGTAAGAAGAATGAAATGAACATTACATGTATTAATTGTCATACTCCAACCATGATTTTAACAAGCTTTTGTCCCAGAAAATGCATAATGAGCACAACTAAAGGATGTATTAAAGTTTCTTTTATAATTGCACACACACTGAAATAGTAGGCAGCATATGCTGAAATAAAGACCCTGATCAAAAAGCAAAAAGCAGGTCGGGTGTAATCCCAGCACTTTGGGAAGCTGAGGCAGGTGGATCACTTGAGGTCAGGAGTTTGAGACCAGCCTGGCCAACATGGTGAAACCCCATCTCTACTAAAAATACAAAATTAGCCAGGCGTGGTGGTGCACGCCTGTAATCCCAGCTACTTGGGAGGCTGAGGCAGGAGAATTGCTTGAACCTGGGAGGCAGAGGTTGCAGTAAGCCAAGATCGTGCCACCGCACTCCAGCCTGGGCAACAAGAACAAAACTCTCAAAGAAAAAAAAAAAAGCAAAAAGCAAATCCAAAGCTAAAAAGGCATTTCAGAGGCAATATTTCTCTCCTTCTCACATGGTAACTCACATGGTAACTCAATGGTTCGAAGCACTGCCAAAATGGTGAGTAACTCTTCTGATAACTCACATGGCCCAGCCAAGGTGAGTTATCAGAACCTAAGAAAGTTATGCATTGCAACGTAAATCCATCAGATAATGAGAAAGGTGACATTTTTAACCAGAAAGCATAATAGATTAGACTGAAATAGACCAACCAACCACATACCATGGCGTGACACTTGCTAACATAGTCTTTTTCCAACCTAGAAGAAGGAAAAAAGCATTAGCCTCCCATAGCCTGCACACTGAATTCTCCCCTCACATTCACCCCTTTTTATCATTCCTGGCAAATCAGTCTGCCTGTGGCTCAGTGCAAGCCAGAGCAGCTGGCCTTAGGACCTGACTTCCAACACAACACACGGAGCAACTGACTGACTCTCCTGGGAAAATAAGGAGCAGAAAAAAAAAAATTATGTGTTCACTGTGCAAATTAAGATGCTACATAAAGATGTAAACAAAAAAGAATAAAATTACTCTGTAATCTTACCAGCCATCAATAACCACAGTTGAAATTAATAATTTAGAGTATATAGTTCGGATTTTTTTTCATCCATAACAAAATGGCACATATTTAGGAGATATAAGAATTTATTATAAAGTAGGATCATTGTAAACATTCCATATTGCACCCTGATTATTTTTTTCCATGAATTTACCCGGAACATTTATTTTCCTATGAGCTGAGACATGTTTACAATATTTTAGAAGCAGCGGGCAGGACACACCAATTTGTCTGGCTTGGTTCAGACTAAATAGGCTGCATCTAATGTAATGCTGTGTAACGGTTACAATGATGATGTAGGGGTACTCCAGTAGCATTGCTTAGGCCTCTGGGCAGCTATAGGGTTCAAAGCCTTCCTTCCCTGCTGGGGCTCCCTTTGGCCAGAACCCAACCCCCCTCCCCCCTCCCCCACCACGAAGTATCTATCCCCAGAGAACTTCCACCTTCTCCAACCATTAGCAGTTAGGAAGGGGTGAAGAGGTTAGGAAAAGGTTTTGGAGGTGCACAGCAGAAGCCCTCAGTCTCTCTGGGTAACACACTCCTGCCTAAGTTTCCAACCAGGGATCTCCTGCACCTCCAAACTCCCCAGATCCCAGGCCTGGTAAGCTGTCTCCACTAACCAGAGAGACTCGGCCATAAGACCCACTGATCAGCCCCAAACCATAAATCCATTCCGCCACATGGACGCCCCTCTTCCCCTCTAGGCAGGGACCTCTGCCCCCCGCCCCCCACGCCCCGCATTTCGGGGCGAGCCTCACCCAGCCTCAAGGTAAGCGGGCGCCACGCCCCACTCCCACCCCTACGATCTCCACTTGGATTCACCCTTCCCATTGGCCCACTTCCTCCTCCAGGCTGGCATTGGTCTCGTCCGCCTCCGCCGCCTTCCTGCCAGTCTACCACTTTCTCACCCAGGGAGGCCTAGAACGCGAGCCACATTCGCCCCCGGCCCTGACCCCAGGCGCGACTGCAGAGCCTCCCGAGCGGGACCGGTCTTCCGAGTGGACGGTTAGGCCACGGGTATTCAAGCGCTGCGAGTTCGCCAGCCTTATTGTAGCGGCCAGGCCTGAAGGGCTAGGCCACCGCTGAACTACATTTCCCAGCAGGCAACGCGGCCGCAGTTTCGCTTCCAAAAGTAAGAATGATGAGACGAGAACGCGAGCGGGGCTGCAGTGTCTTCTGGGATTTGTAGTTCGGGCCGGGAGCCTGGCGAGAAACGGGAGCTGCAACGTCATGGGCGGGGCGAAAGTGGTGCACCCTGGAAGTTGTAGTTCTCCAGAGGTTTAGCCAAACACTAGGTCCTGAAAGCCTAGGACGTTGAGGTTTCCAAACCCGGAGTCGGCTGTCTCCAGAGGACATCCCAGACAGCCATACTAACTTGGCAGCTCTTAATAAAAAGTATCTCCCCGGGGCATCCATTCCTGGTATTGCTATACTTGCCATTTAAGCCCCACCCGCTGCGCCCGGCTGCCATCATCGTCATCATTGTAGTCATCAGTCATTGTGTTTAGCATAAATATGAGTTACCTCATTTAACCGCACTACAACCTATGGAACACATTCTTGTCCCCCTTTTACAGAGGGGGAAACTAAGACAGCTATTTGATAATATTTCTCAAGGCTTTATTAAGCTAGCTTGTGATTCTGATTCCATAGCCCCTCCTCTTGAGAGAAGATTAGTCATGAGACTTAAAGAGTCACTTTACCCCATCCTGAGCACCAACATCCTGAGCCATCCTGAGCACCATTGGTGATAAATATAACATTTCTCTATCAGTGTGCATATGAATGTTGCTATTGTTCTATTTTCAAACATGGCTCATTTAAAAACAAACAAGTCTACTAAAGGATTTGAAAAAATGGACCAGACATGCTAAGAAAAAGGAAGCACAGCAATGTGTGTAGTTTGATTTTTTTTTTTTTCATCCTTACCTGTACATGTATGTAAACTCATAAAGGTCTGGGAAGGAAACTTAAAAAGTCACCAAACTGTTCAGGAGCAGAGTGGCATGAAATACACTTTTCAGCTTTTTAATCTCTATTTTTCAGAATGATTTGAATTTTCTAAAATAATAATGTAGAATTTGTGTGACTTTTGAAACAATAAATAATCTCCCTTCTTCCTTCCTTCCTTTTTTTTTTTTTTTTTTTTTTTTTTTTTTTTTTTGAGACAGAGTCTCACTCTGTTGCCTAGACTGAGTGTGGTGGTGTAATCTTGGCTCACTTCAGCCTCTGACTCCTGGGTTCAAATGATTCTCCTGCCTCAGCCTCCCAAATAGCTGGGATTATGGGTGCATGCCGCCATGCCTGGCTGATTTTAGTAATTTTAGTAGAGACAGAGTTTTACCATGTTGGCCAGGCTGGTCTCAAACTCCTGACCTCAAGTGATCCACCTGCCTCAGCCTCCCAAAGTGCTGGGATTACAGGTGTGAGCCACTGCGCCCAGCCCATTTGTCTTAAATGACAAAGACATTGCCTGTCTTAGGGGATCTGTGTGAGGTTTAGTAGTAGAAAGTATTCAAATCTCAGCTCTACCCCTTTTATTGACCTGACATACCCAGTGATTGTGCCTCCATTTTCTCATCTGTAAAGTAAATGTAGAAAACAATACCACCTTGGTAAATCTTGTTATTAGAATCAAAGCAAGGTATTATGAGGGGAAGTGCTTAGTGAACTGTGAAATCCCAGAACAGGTAAGAGAGGGATGTTGTTATTATTTGAGGTAAATCTCTTATATCGTCCGTTTCTCTATACCTAGCGCTCATTTCCTACTGTATAGTGTGAACAGAAACTAGTTAATGAACACCTGTCCCTGCCCTTCCTGTCTCCCAACAGTCAGTTAATTTACTAAGAAAGCTGGGTGCCGTGCACTTGACTCATGTCTGTCACCGATTCATATGACCATCACTTCGCTTTCCTGGGCCTCAGTCGTCTCACCTGTAAAATGATACCCTGCTTTGACATATGCTAAGAGGGCCTGTGGACCAGTGGATCCTCATGTTAGATACTAGAATTCTTATAGATTCACAGATCTTACCCCAGAAATTCCAATTCAGTAAGTCTGGAATTGAGTTAGAAGATGTGATTACCTTTCTAGCTCTAACATTCTAAAATTCTAAGAATAGGAAATTAAAATATGCCTTTGAGGCCGGGTGTGGTGGCTCATGTCTATAATCCCAGCACTTTGGGAGGCCAAAGCAGGCAGATCACCTGAGGTCAGGAGTTCGAGACTAGCCTAGCCAATATGGTGAAACCTCATCTCTACAAAACCCCATCTAATACAAAAAGTAGCTGGGCGTGGTGGTGCATGCCTGTAATTCCAGCTACTCAGGAAGCTGAGGCAGGAGAATCGCTTGAACCCTGGAGGCGGAGGTTGCAGTGAGCTGAGATCATGCCATTGCACTTCAGCCTGGGCAACAAGAGTGAAACTCCATCTCAACAACAAAAAAAAATGCATTTGGGGGGAATAATCATCTTCAGAAAGTAAACTAATTAGACCCCACTCAATAGTTGCATCTTTGCTTTGTCAGTAGCATCGTTTACTGAGGTCTTACTGTATGCAAGGCTTTTTAAAAAACTGTATTTCACCAGTTCTTAAGGTAGATTATAATGAAACTTCATTTAGTAAAAAAAGTTTAAAGGCCTGGAAGAAAACACAGGAAACAAGGAGTGAAAGGAGAGGAGAAGACAGCTGTAGCGGTCAAGCTGCAATTTGACTTTGAGCTTCCTAGCAGATAAGCAAAAATGTCCAGAAGTCATATAAGACCTTCAACCAAACACAGCACAGCTGAAGCTCCCAAACACTGGTCACCTGAGCAGTGCCAAAATGGTTCAGAGCATCACCTGGTTGCCTCAGAAACAAGCAAACAAAAGGATAATGTAATGAATATGTTGTAAAACTAAATTTTTACAATTAATTATAAAATCCTGAGAGTCTATTTAATAGGTTTTAAAGTTTAACTGGTTTTTCTTTAGTAAAGTGATGATTATTATAAATACCTTTATTGGGCAAAATAAAAATTTGTTTTTTCTTCCAAAACTTAATCCAATAATGTTTAGTCAGTGAAATCCAAAAAGCTGGCAGACACCACCATAAGGGAATCCAAAGATGAGTAAGGTCCAGTTTTTCTCCCTCCAAAAGGTTACAGTATTTGGAGAACAGAAGACAAATAACTAGAACAGCCAGATTTAACAAATGTCTCAAATATTTGTCCCAAATATTGTGTGGGACATACTTACACTAAAAATGGATTTAAACATATCTGAAATTCAAATGTAACTGGGCATACTGTATTTTACTCGACAGCCTCCTATTATTTGTAGCTCAGGACTTAGTTGAGCAGCAAGCAAATATGCATTGATAGATGATTCATGGATATATTGACACATTGCATTTTAAAGCTAGAAGGAGCTTTAGAGACCATCTGGTTTCATAGGTGAGGGAATAGAGGCCAGATCGGCTGCCAGTCCATATGGCACCTGTGTTAGTCTGCTCAGGCTACAAAAAAAAAAACAAAAAAAAAAAAACACCACTATAGACCGGGTGGCTTAAACAACAGAAATTTATCTTCTCACAATTCAGGAGGCTGCAAAGTCCAAGATCGAGGTGCCAGCCATTGATTTCTGGTGAGGACCCTCTTCCTCTCTATGTCCTTATGCAGTGGAGAGGGAGAGAGCACAGCCCCCTCTTGTGTCCCTTCTTAGGACGCTGATCCTGTCATATCAGAGTCTTGCCCTTAGGACCTCACTGAACCGTCATTCCCTCCTTGCAGGTCTTGTCTCCAAATATGGTCACAGTAGGGGTTAGGCCTTCAATATGTGAATCTCGGGAGGACACAGTTCAGTCCATAGCAGCACCTTTGTGTGTTGTAAAAACACACCCCTTTCTCCCAGGAAAGGAGCCTGGCTCCAGGACCCACTGCAAGCAGAGCATTGCCAGCCCCCAGCGGGGTGCCCCGGCCAAGTGGCAGTCTTGCTGCTTCCCCAGAAGAATACTTCGATTTTGCCAAAGCTACTTCCTCAGGTGGAAGAAATTGATTTCCCATCTCTCTGGAGTAATCATCCCTCCCCAATTCATGCAGACTTGGAAGAGTGTTAATCAGGGGGCCTCATCCTCGGGGAAGTCAGTGGATGCAAGATACGAGGGAAAACACCAGACCCCCTCCTTCTGGGAACTTAATCTGCAAGGATATGATACAATGAGAAAAAGACAACTGAACCGATATAGCCCAGCAGTGGCTTTGAATGGAGCCTGTTCCTTAGTTCCTGTCACCCAGCTTCGAGAGTCACCCTGACCCTGTTATTCCTGAGCCTTGATTTTGATTTTGCTATTCTGTGAACTGCCCTTAGCCTTCCAGTGAACTCTTTATTTTTATTTTTGGAGTGGGGAGACTCTAATTAACCAAAGTCAGTCTTTGTTGCTTGCATCCAAAGAACCCTGACTTCTTTTTTTTTTTTTTTTTTTTTTGAGACGGAGTCTCGCTCTGTCACCCAGGCTGGAGTGCAGTGGCGCGATCTTGGTTCACTGCAACCTCTGCCTCCTGGATTCAAGCAATTCTCCTGCCTCAGCCTCCTGAGTAGCTGGGATTCTAGATGCAAACCACCATGCCCAGCTAAATTTTGTATTTTTAGTAGAGATGGGGTGTCACCATGTTGGACAGGCTGGTCTTGAACTCCTGGGCTCAAGTTATCCACCTGCCTCAGCCTCCCAAACTGCTAGGATTACAGGAGTGAGCCACTGTGCCTGGCCAAGAACCCTGACTTCTAACTCTCAAGTCAAAGGAGTTTTATCATCCCTCCCTCCATTTTCCTTCCTTCTTTTCATCCTCCCCTGAAATATGCTGAACTCTCAATAAGCTGAAAATTTACTGTAAAATACAGGTGCAAAAGGCAACATTTACAAAAGGATCCAAATTATGTGAATTTGTCATTCTCAGGTTCAACCAAAGTCCCTTAGGATTCCACAACATCATCTCTAGGTTATCTTGGATTTATGGTCCCTTGAGGACAAGAGTTGCATCTAAGACATATTCTTTCCAGTCTATAACTCTTAATTATCCACCTTGTGTACTCTAGGGTCCTCAAAGTTTAATAGCAGCGCTACGAATACATTTCAAGAGAATCTGTCTCATTTTCTTTCCTTAACCCATAAAGTGAGATTTAGAAAGGACCTTAGAGAGCATTAATCTCTCTTTAGAACTAAAGAAATGGAAGCATAGAGAAGTTAGCTATGCCTGATGTCATAGACCTGGCACAGGCCAGGCTGGAATGAGGCACCTCAGTCCCCTAGTAGGGCTCTTTCTAGATGCTAATTAAATATACAGATAGTGATTGCATGCTTGCCCTTGCCTGACAGTGTATGTCTGGGCACCTAAAGTAGTTTCAAGTCCCTCTCTGTGGAGCTTACCTGATAGTGATGTAAGTACAGGGCTTCCCTCTTCCCTCAGCAAGGATTCCCTAGAGAGCACTTGACAGCCCTTTGGGGAGAGCTTTTTTGACAGCCACCCCTAGGGCATGTCATCGCTCAGGTTAATTACACCTAGAGTGCTGTGATGAGATTCAGGAGCAGATGCAATGCTTTGGGTGGAAAAGGAAGCTATTCCCTCTCAGATGCTGCCAGTTGGCAAAGACATTTGCATATCCAAAGCACAGAGGAGTAATGTAAAGGTTTATAAGCCAAGAAATTCACCTTCCTTAACGGTTGTTCCGTTCTGATGGACTTAATTGCTTGGAGTCTGACAGTTCCGTTTTTCTTCCTCCTCTTGTCTGCCTTCCTCTAGCCCTCCTTCTCCCTCGACTCTAAATGTCTTATGAAGACAGAATCTTCGTGTAATTTCTTTACACCACGCATTCCATGGCTTGGTATGAGGGTTCTCCTAGTGTCTTAATTTCTCTAACTGGTCTTGGTGGCTGTGATTAGTTCACAAGCCTCTCTCTCAAACCTGGCACATTTTCTGCTGGGATGGCTTTGTCTGTCCTTTGCTAAAAGCACCCACCTAGACACCCTGCTCCAGTGTTTTTAGACTTAGGAAATTTTACTTTTTTCTGTTTCTTCAATATTGCAAATTCCACTTTGTTCATATTCATCCATTCATTCTTTTTTCAACCATTCATTCTTTTTCTTTTCTTTTCTTTTCTTTTTAGACAGGGTCTGAGTCTGTCACTCAGTTTGGAGTGCAGTGGTGCAACCTTGTCTCACTGCAAACTCTACCTCCCTGGCTCATATGATCCTCCCACCTCAGCCTCCCAAGTAGCTAGGACTACAGTTGTGCACCAGTATGCCCGGCTACTTTTTGTATTTTTAGTAGAGACAGGCTTTTGCCATATTGCCCAGGCTTGTCTCGAACTCCTGGCCTTAAGCAATCTACCCGCTCAGCCTCCCAAAGTGATCCCCCAAAGGGATTACACGTGTGAGCCACCACGCCCGGCCTTCATCCATTGATTCTTATATTCACTTAACAAAAATTCAAGGACCTACTATGGGCTGCACGGTGTGCAGAAGCACCAGGGCTGCATTACTGATGTCACCCTTTTTAAATAAAGCTTACAGTTTAGTTAGGGAGGCAGATCCCCCCCACACAAAAGAAACAAAAAGAAACAAATCAGCTAAATGATAAGTGCTGTGAGGGACCTAAACAGAGAGCCCAAGAGGACACTTAAGAGGGAACTATTTCAGAGTGGTCAGGAAAGGTGTCCCCAGGGGAGACCTGAAGGAGGAGAGGAGGCAGCCATGCGGAGCTCAGAGGGAAGCGGGTTCTGAATGAGCTGTAGGGGCAAGCAACATCGAGCCCAGGCAAGGAAGAGCTGAGCTGGGCATGTTTGAGAAGTGGAAGTGAGGCCGGCTTGGCTGGAGGAGGTGCGAGAGGATGAAAAGGACACAAGATGGGGCTGGGGAGAGAAATAGGACAGATAACGTCCAGGTTCTTCAGTACCACGCAAAGACATTGGGAATTTGTTCTGAGAGCAGCAGGAGGCCCCTAATGAGATGCAAACCAGAGTGGAGTAACTTGTGTGTCTCAGGAAGCTACTTGCTGTTGTGTGCAGAAAGCCCCACAGAAGGGCAGAGTGGGGATAGGAGGACCTCTTAGGAAGCCGTTGCAGGAGTCTAGGGAAGAGATGATGGTGATGGAACTGGATGGACAGGTCAGAAAGCTATTTGGAGGTAGCTCCAGCACCATCTCTCTATCTCACAAAGCCTGAATGTCTGAGTCTAGCACATGCACATAAAGTGATGTGGCACATAAAGTGATGCACATGCACGTGCAGGGCTCTACTGCTCACCCCCTGTTGGCCACAATAGACATGAAGTTGGCTTAGAAATTCAAGTTCGGCTAGACGTGGTGGCTCACGCCTGTAATCCCAGCACTTTAGGAGGTGAGGCGGGCAGATCACTTGAGGTCAGGAGTTTGAGACCAGCCTGGCCAACATGGTGAAACCCTATCTCTACTAAAAATACAAATAAAATTAACTGGGTGTGGTGGCGCATGCCTGTAATCCCAGCTACTCAGGAGGCGGAGGCAGGAAGATCGCTTGAACTTGGGAAGTAGAGGTTGCAGTGAGCCGAGATCGTGCCACTGCACTCCAGCCTGGGTGACAGAGTGAGATTCCCCCCAACCCCCCCAAAAAAAAGAAAGAAAAGAAAAGAAAAAGAAATTCAAGGTCATACACTAAACTTTCTTTTTCTTTTTTATTTTTTTGAGACACGGTCTTGCTCTATCACCCCAGGCTGGAATGCAGTGACATGATCGTAGCTCACTGCAACCTTGAACTTCTCAGCTCAAGGGATCCTCTCACGTCAGCCTGTTGAGTATCTGAAATTACAGGCACACGCCACCAAGCCCGACTAACTTTTAAAATTATTTTTTGTAGAGATGGGGTCTCACTATGTTGCCCAGGCTGGTCTTGAACTCCTGAGCTCAAGTGATCCTCCTGCCTTGGCCTCTCAAATTGCTGAGATTTCAGGTGTGAGCCATCACATTGGGCTGAGCTTTCTTATGGACCATTTCTTCCTGCATATGAGGTAGCTTCTTTACAGAGACATAGATTGGAAAAATTATGTTCTTTCATGATTATTAAGGGAGAATGAAGGCAAAGGGAAGCCAAGTAGCTTGTGCAAGGATATAGAGAACGCTGGAGCCCAAACTTGATCTCAGGCATCCTAGTTTCTTCTACTCATCCAGCAGGCCACTCTGTAGCTCCAGCAAGTGGAGCACCATAAGCCTTTGATCAGTAGTCTACTCTTAATATATATAATTGTATCCACCACACTGGAAATTGCCTAAGTGTTCAAAGTGCATTTTTGTCTACAGATGTTAAATGTTAAGGTTGGATTAGAATTGGCTGTCTGCAATGTCCCTGAGGACCACAAGGGGGCGAATAGATAGGCTGCCTGTGTCCCTCTGTCCCTCTGTCTCACCTGCCCCTCTGTACTCCTTAATTTTTTTTATTTATTTATTTTTTTGAGAGGGAGTCTCTCTCTGTCGCCCAGGCTGGAGTCCAGTGGTACAATCTCGGCTCACTGCAACCTCTGCCTCCTGGGTTCAAACGATTCTCCTGCCTCAGCCTCCCAAGTAGCTGGGATTACAGGCACTCGCCACCACGCCCGGCTAATTTTTGTATTTTTAGTAGAGACAGGGTTCCACCATGTTGGCCAGGCTGGTCTCAAACTCCTGACCTCAGGTGATCCACCCGCCTCGGCCGCTGAAAGTGCTAGGATTATAGGCATGAGCCACCGCACCTGGCCTACTCCTTAATTCTACATGTGTATGCTTTGTCTCTTTGTGTCATTCTTTTTCATTTTATTATAGTAAATTATATCTATTTACTTTTTATCTTTCTCTTTCTCTCTCTCTCTCTCTTTTTTTTTTTTTCTGTGCTCCTCTAACCCCACATCCAGCTGCCCATAGCATGGAGCTAAAGCTTATTTCGCCCAGTTTGCCGTATGTGTTAAATTGCTCCTGGTTTTCAGTTCTCAAAGGGTACAAGTGAAACATTTCATATTTCCCTCCTCTAGCCTTTCCTCACGCTGATTTGATGTTTTCTTATATGGCCACCAATTGCCTTCCTCTTTTCTAGCTGAGTGGTCTTCAATAGAAAAAGAAAGAGGGGTCTACCCCTGACTGAAATAAAATAGCACACACACAAACAAAAGGCCAATCAGTTCTTAAGGAATTTCCTGAGTAGGGGAAAGGAAGGCTTTGAGGCCTGCATCCTGTCTCTACTGTAACTAAGATGGCACCAAAATAACCATCCAAAGTGTGGGATTCCTGTGGATCTGGGCAAAAGGCAATTCCTTCCTTCCCTTTCTCCAGCATTTCACATTTCTTATTGTCAGATTATTCTTTTTAATGTTTGCTCCAAATTATCTGCAAATTCTGTCCAAATTCTCTGCAAATTTGTTCTGTCCATGGGGGAAAGATAAATGGAGGGGCTGCTAGCTATTTTGTGTTCCTGTTGACTTGGAGGACTTACAATCAGCCCCTTGCACAGAGCCAGGCTACAAGCTGCGGGTTCAGACCTCAGGGTGGGGAGGATACAAGGCTGGCTTTCTGCCCCAAACAGACCTATTTATATCTGCATTCGATGGAGGCACAGCCCAGACTAAATCAGGGAGAAGGAACGGTCCCATTCATCGCAAGGATAAATTACCCTAATTGAGTGGTTAAGAGCCTGACTGATTTCTAGATACTTTACAGTAAGGGACCTGCTACTCCTAGATGCAATAATAGAAAACCACGGGCCATCAGAGCCATTTGGGAAAGAGCATTAGCATCCCGTCTGCTCACATCCTTGGTCCTCAGCACTGGTTTCCAGGAAATTAGCTCCCTTTTAACAATCAGTGCAATATTATTTGAGTTTTTACCTTAATTTTCTCTTGTACGTTTCTGAAAAAGCAGGGTCTCTTTTTCTTATCCCTACATGTATACATGTGCAGTATATGCCTTTTATTTTTAATTTTTTTCATTTTTCCATGTTACGACAGTATATGCCTTTTACATTTGACACAAATCTCTACTCTGAATTACGAAGGTAAATCCCCACGTCCCTCTACCCTGCCTCCGTAAAACAGGCAACTCTGGAATTCCTCCTCCGCACCCCCTCCAGCTTGCTATAGGCACAGACACCTCTGCTTCTGGAAAAAATGAAAACTTAGTTATTTACTTTTTGAAAAATGTAAAAGTCCTGCTTTATGCAGTCAGTTGGAGAACTGGCTTTTAAAAATATTATTATTATTATTTTTGAGACAGAGTCTTACTGTGTCACCCAGGCTGGAGTGCAATGGCATGATCTTGGCTCACTGCAACCTCTGCCCCCCGGGTTCAAGCGATTCTCCTGCCTCAGCTTCCTGAGTAGCTGGGCTTAAGGCATGTGCCACCATGCCCAGCTATTTTTTGTGTTTTTAGTAGAGACAAGCTTTCACCATGTTGGCCAAGCTGGTCTTGAACTGCTGACTTCAAGTTATCTGCCGGCCTCAGCCTCCTAAAGTGCTGGGATTATAGGCATGAGCCACTGTGCCTGGCAAAACAAAAAATATAAATTTTTTAAAAACTGTATCTTTTTGAATAGACAATGCATTTACATGATTAAAGCTCCATATATTTAATATATACAAAAGTATATATAGTGGAATGTCTCCTTTCTGCTGAGGGCAGATTTAAAAAGTAACCTATGGCATCAGAGATCCTCATTGGCATATATCCCTTCTAAGGCTCTGTATCTAATTTTGTATTTTTTTGGTAAAAGTGCTCCCCCCAAATTGTATGAGCTTCAGCACACCCAAAACTTGATTCTGCTCTTCTTCCATTCTTAACTCCCGCATCCCATTCCCTTCCCAGCAGGCAGCCAATGTCATCCATTTCTTTTTTTAAAAAATTGTTTATTTTTAATTGACTTATAATAATCATGGATATAATTATTATATTTCAATTACATAATCAATTTCTTGCATATTTTTCTGGATATATTCTATGCACATTTAAGTAAAAACATTTATTTATCTTCCCTTTCATACAGATGGCAGTGTGCTATATACACTGTTCTGCACTTTTTGCATTTGTCTTGGAGTAAATTCATCTCTTTAAATTTTGTTTTTTCCATCTGTAATATGGAAATAATTGTACCTATCCCATAGACTTCCTGTTAGGATTACCTGAGATCATGTAAAGCACTTAGCTCATTGCCTGGAATACATTAAGTAATCAATAAATGTAAGTTATTATTCTATTAATGTTTAAAATATACTACAAAGCTACAATAATAAAACTAGTGTGATATTGATAACATATTAGCAGACTGATGAAACAAAGTAAGAAGCCTCTTCAACTTGGTCTTTATGATTTGTGTGCAAGATACTGTTGCCAACAGATGAAATACAAACACTAAAAAGAAAGTTTGTCTCAAGGAACTTAAAGACTAGGAGAAGAGAGAATACCTGTGTGGAAAATATAATAAAAAAAGAATTGTGGATAAGATCAGTGCAGTGGTGTGTGCCTGTAGTCCCAGCTGCTTAGGAGGCTGAGTCAAGAGGGTTGCTTGAGCCCAGGAATTCAAGGCCTTAGTGGGCTATGATTATGCCTGTGAATAGACACTGTGCTCTAGCCTGGGAAACATAGTGAGACTCCGTCTCTAAAAAGAAATCAATCAATCAATCACAGATAAATGGCCTTGGGGGTTTAGTGAGGAGCTCTGATGATGGAGACACAGGGAATACAGAATCAGGAAGGTTAAGCGGATGAAGTGGTGTCTGAACTGGCTAAGTAGAAATTTGGAATCCAGCAATAATAGGAAGATGGTGGTTATGGCAAGGATGATCCAATCTGATGGAAGCACAAATGCTGAGAAAAATCTAGTTAACCAAAATAATGTGTAAAAGAGTTTATTCTTTAACATAGAGTTATAGATTGGCAGGATGTTTTCCTATATGACACGATCTCTGGGGTCCTTTCTACAAGTCTGAACAAGTAAAAGAGAGCCAGAAGTCCCTTGGCGGGGGATAAGATGTGCATTTTGATTGAATTTGGCATCTCAATCTAACTCCTAACTGCATTAAAGGGGGAAAACATTATCAATATTAACAAAACTGATCCCTCATGAACAGACTCAAAGTCTAAATCTTTAGCTAGCACTTTATCAATAACATGTTCTAATTACATGTGAGGCTTTGAAAATATACCTCTGTGTGATAATTGCTGGAAAGCAGATTTTAATCCCAGGAACTTATAAATTGCAGTTGTAAAGATGCAATAGAGAGCTTATCCATTGACACTATCTAGTGTCATTTGCTTGCAACTGCAGATATTGACAGGACGCTGCTTGGAACAATGGGTGCCCTGTCCCCCTCTATGACCACCACCCCAGTTGATCAAGTGTATAAGTGACAGTTTATATGCAAAATGGTCCAAAGGCTACCTGATCACCCCCCAAGGCCACATGGGGCTTTGAGGAAACTGAATGCAAAGCCACGTGTTAGATAAAATAAAGCTTATATCTTCATCCCAGAAATTAAAAAGCCCCCTGGCAAAGTCAGCTTCCAGAAAAGCTGAGGCCTGAAAGAAGAACCAGTCCCCCAAAGCTCTATCATTGGATTGAATTGTTTCAGACCTGAGGAGGAGGGAGCTCCTGAAGCTGGGCCCACCCTGGGACATGGAGGGTGGGCTTCTTCTGCCATCTGCCACCTCTTTATTCCAATGCCTTCTCCTCTCAGTCTAGATTTCCCTGGGCCCCCAGTCCTCGCCCAACTAGTGTGTGCTGTTTGTGTGATCAGCAAATCATTTAGGGAAAAGCCTTTTAATTAAGAGGAGAGCAACAAATTATTAAGTCAGAGTCATTTATTACCCTGCCATCTGGCCAGACTTCCTTCTGGCCCCCCTTCTTCCTCAACCAAGCCTGCACAGACATATAAAGTAACAAAGAGAATGGAAAAAGAGGAGACTTCTTTCTGCCTGGACTTGGAAAGAACTGTCCAGCTCCTCCTGGAAGCAGGGTAAGGGTTCTAGGAGGACTTTTCCACACCCTTTGTATACTGTAGTAGCCAAGTCTTGGTTTTCCTCTCCTGTAGAACAGGGATGATGAGGTCTACCTTAGGGCTTCTGGATGCCTGGCCCAATGGCTGGTATAGTGGAGGCACTCAGGAAACAGAAGCTGAATCTGAAGCCTGCAAATTGGAAGCTTTGTTATGGATGGTGGCGTCAGCAGTAGTGGAGACAGTGATGGCTGGAGGGAGCCTACTAAATGTTTCCATCCTGCAAGCTCAGCTGGCTCTCCCTCTGTTGTGACCCACAGAGGTATTCCCTTGCTGTCTCCCTGCAAATGCCAGGGAAGCTCAGGAAATTCATGCCCACCCCTTGCTCCCGTCCCCAACCAAACCTAAATGCTGGGACATTATTCTAAGAGAAAGACAGCTGGAGACCACAGTATCTGGTTCAGGCATGATGAGAAGGACTGAGCAACACTTAGAGTAGGAAGAAGCTAAGGAATCACACATAGGGGTGTATTTCAATAGCCAACAACTCAGAGAGGACTATGCGGGATACATGATAAGACAGGCACTATTTCCTAAAAGCAAAACACCACAGTTATGACAGCTATGAATGAAAACTAATACAGGCATATTGGAGACTCAATTACCATGAGTGGTGTGGCAGTCAATGATGTGATTTTCCAAAAGAGTGAGCAAATCTGGTAAAGAAATTAACAACACAAACTCTAATCTTCCCTTAATTTACAGAGTAGTTTCATTCTTAGCATACAGTTAGTGCATATTAAAAATCATTTTTAAAAAGTCTCTCTGTTTACATATAAAATTGTTACTTTTTAAAGCTCAGATAGTTATAAGCAAGTTATAAACAACTCTGTAAATATCTAGTAGAACATTTGAAAATTGTGTGGAGCATAGGGTAAGTATATATGAGATGGTGAGATTGTCTCACAGATAGTAAAAGATTGAGCTGCCTGGGGTCCCAGCCTCTACTTGCCAGAAGTAAGCCCCTTACCCATCATTGGGGCAACCAAAAACACTCCACACTTTTTCAAAATGCTCCCTCGTGGGTGATCCTGTGCTAGACTAAAAATTGAAATGTGAATCAAACTAAATTAATGTTTAAAAAAACCTTACTTCGACACAATCAAGAAATTTTGAATTTGAATGGATACATGATGATTTGAAAGAATTTTTGTTTTGTTAGATATGATAATTGTCTTAGTCCATTTGTATTGCTGTAACAGACTACCACAGACTAGGTAATTTGTAAACCATAGAAATTTATCTGGCTCAGGGATCTGGAGGCTGGGAAGTCCAACATGGAGGAGATGCATCTGGCGAGGGCCTTCTTGCTGTGTCGTAACCTGGCAGAGGGCATCACATGGTGAGAAACCTCTCCAGAGCAAGACAGCAAGAGGGGGCTGGATTGCTTTTATAACTATCCCACCCTGGAGACAACTAACCACTTCTGCAATAATGATTTTAATCCATTCTTGAGGGCAGAGCCTCCTGATCTAATCACCTCTTATTAGGCCGTGCCTCCCAACACTTTTGCCTTGGTGAGTAAGTTTCCAAAACACCAACTTTGGGGGACACATTCAAATCATAGCAATAATGAAATGGTTTTACATAAAAACACATTCAAACATGCATATACTCATATCAAAAAATCAGGCTCACAATAAAATTTCAGTAGTGACCATGTGAGTACAATATATCTTTGCATTTTATAGAAAGTATATCTTGGGGTGGCTACTCAGCTCCCAAAGACTCACTCATCTTGTGGAACTTCTTTAATACAATACTCAAGGGGACCTTAGTAGTGGAGTTTGTGTCCCTTACTCCCCTGTCTGTAGGTGATGAGTCTATGTGGGGCTGGAGCACCCCTGACCTAATTGAAGCCCATCAGATTGCACAGGAATCTGGCCATTCTGAAAAGAGAGGGCCTGGGGTGTGGGAGCTGAGTCACAGTGGTGGCAACTCCTAGAGAAGAGCCTTGTCCTGCAGGAACCGAAGTCTCCAAAACCACCCTGTTCCCTGTCCTTGTTGAGGCTTAGTAATCTGGTCCTTCCAAGGTTTCTGTGAGACACCACAGAATCTTTCCCCCAGATTCCCTTCATTTGTGTCCAAGACAGCTAAAGTTGGTGCTTGCTGTTTATTACCAAATAATTTTAGCAAGATTATTTCATTCTGGAGGCAAATAATATTTCAGGAGATGATTTACAGATAAAAGATGGATTACTTAAGACTAGGTCCTTTGGAAGTCAAAATTAGAGAATTGTTATGTTCCTGAATTTGTTTGTTTTTTTAGATAAACACTACAAAGGGGGATGCAGTTGAACTTGGCAAATCGTCTGTCTTTTGATATATTGGAAATTCTCATTTAAATAGAATAGCTGTGATAGCCAGTTTCCAAAAGGGCCCCCAGTATTGTTTGCTGCTTGGTATTCAGATTCTTGTTTAGTCCCCTCCCACACGGAATAAGGCTGACCTGTGCAAGCAATAAAATACTATGAAATATTATGTGTGGAGTCATAAAAAATGGAGGCTTCTGCTTTGTCTCTTGGATCACTCACTAGGGAGGAAGCTATTCCCCATGTCATGAAGACCCCATGGAGACAGCCATGTGTTGAGGAACACAGCGTCCTGCCAGCAGCCAGCACCCACTTGCCAGCCTTGTGAGTATGTGAGCCACCTTGGAAGAGGGTCCTCCAGCCCTGGTTAAGAGGCTTTAGATGAATACAGTATGTGGCGACCATCTTGATTACAATCTCATGAGTGTCCCTGAGCCACTGAAACTGTGAGGGAATCAATGTTTGCTGTTGTTTTAAGCCACTGTGTTTTAAGTTTTGTTATATTCCAATAGATACTTAGCCCAAAAATCAAATCAAACTCCTCACAAACTGTGGGTGGCCTTCCCACTTTCTTCTCCCAGCTACATTTTTTTTTTTTTTTTTTAAGACCAAGTCTTACTTTGCCGCCCTGGCTGGAGTAGTGACGTAATCTCCGTTCACTGCAACCTCTGCCTCCTGGGTTCAAGCGATTCTCCTGCCTCAGCCTCCCAAGTAAATGGGACTATAGATGCACACCATCATGCCTGGCTAATTTTTGTATTTTTAGTAGAGATGGGGTTTCTCCATGTTGCCTGGGTTGGTCTTGAACTCCTGATCTCAGGTGATCCACCCACCTTGGGCTCCCAAAGTACTGGGATTACAGGCATGAGCCACCACACCTGGCCTTTCCCAGCTACATCTTTATTTTTTTCTTTTGTTTTCTTTTCAACTTCTTTTGGTTTTTCCTCCCCCAACTACATCTTTGACCTTATCTTCTGGTCCTTTCCCTCTCTCTCATTCTGCTTCAGATACCCTGGTCACCTGCTTTTCTTGGAACTTGCCTGGCATACATCTGCCTCACACACTTTGTATCTGTGGGCCTCTCTGCCCAAACCACCCTTCTCCCAGATACTTAAGTGGCTCGTTCCCCTCGCCTCCTTCAACACTTGGTTTAAATCTCCCTTTCTCAGTGATGCCTTCCCTGGTCAACATATTTAAAATGAAAATCTTTCTCCTTACCTGGCAATTCCAACCTCCTCTCCTGTTTTATTTTCTCCATCACTCTTATCACCATTTCACATTCCATATGTTTTACTTGTCCATCTTCTTTATCATCAGCTCCAGGAGGCAAGGATTTAAGTGCATTTTGTACGTGACGTCCTTAGGGTCCAAAACAATGCTTTGCATGAAGGAAGCGCCAATAATTATTTGCCAAGTGAATGAATAAATGAATTAATCTAGTTAGCTTAAGATATTAAACACATTATAGGGGTTCTCTGTAGGAAAATTAGAAACTTTGATAACCCTTGGGAATGAAATAAGAACCACCATCTGGAAATATCCAATACTAACATTTTTCTACATATTCTTCTTGGCTGCTCTCATTCATGCCCTTAGATTTGCAAGGAATGGAAATCCACTCTGGCTAACCCAGACAAATTAAAGGCTGCAGAGGACTCTAGGGAAATGGACAAGGCACAAGGCACCTCTGGGGGTTAAGAGAACCAAAACTCCAACCACCGTGCTGCTCTCTCTGGCTTGTGGGGCCTTAGGACCTCCCTCCCATGGCATCTCTGCTTCCTCTCCTTACCTGCTCCAATCTGCTCACTCATTAATTCACATATGGTTTTCATGGCTGTCCTGGGACTGCCATGCTTTTCGGTCTTGCTGGCTTAGTCCCTCTTTGTCCCAGTTCCCAAGTTCCAGGAAAACTCTTAGTATGCCAGCTTGGGCCAGGCATCCTCGTCGGGTAGACGAGGTCATAAATCTGTATTTGTTTGCTGGAGCTGCCATAATGAAGTACTACAAACCGGGCGGCTCAAGCCATGGAAATCTGCTGTCTCGCGGTTCTGGAGGCCAGAAATCTGAGATCAAGGGGTTGGCGGGTTGGTTCCTTCTGAGGGCTGTGAGGAAGCATCTGCTCCATGCCTCTTGTCAAGCTTCTGGTGGTTTGCTGCAAATCATTAGCACTTCCTGCCTTCCTCTGCATCATGTGATCTCTGCCTTCATCTTCACATGACATTCCCCCTGTGTCTATCTCTTTGTTTCAAAATTTCCCCTTTTTATAAGGACACTAGTCATATTGGATTATGGTGCACCCTAATGACCTCTTCTTAACTTAATCATCCACAAAGACCTTATTTCCAAATGAAGTCACATTCTCTGGAATTGGGGGTTAGGGCTTCAGCATAGACCCCGTGATGGTCACACTGAAACACAAACGCTCCCCAACTTACAATGGCTGCAGGACTCACCTCCTTTTCTCTGCTTCTGAGTGAGGGTGATGCTCTGATATCAACTTGCAAAAAGGACAGGTCTAGATGCCCTTTTCCCCAACAGATTGTATTATATATATGTCTCAACATCTGCCAAAATGGAGACTTGGGCCAGATAATCTCAAACCTCTCTTTGAGATCTTAAAAACCTGTGGTCCCTAAACCTGAGCCATTGGCCTGGCAATATGGGCAATGTACAGGAAAATGAGTGGTCCTGTTTAGCCAGGACTCAGGGTGCCTTTTCTTATAGAGGGTCCTGTGGTTCCAGGCACCTGGAGAGACAGGGTAAAGTCACTTAAGTGGGAAGGTCATATTGAATTCATCCCTGTATCCTTAGAGCCCAACACAATGCTGGGTCTTGCAGGACATGTTTGATGTCTAAGATAAAACCCCTCAAATGCCAGTGGCTGAGCTGAAGCCCCAGTCCTCAGAGACCCCCAAACTGTTTCTGAGAGTTTCCCAGAGTGCTGCCTTGCATGTGTCCAGAAAGAAATCCAGGAGATGATTACTCTTGCCTTATCTCTGAGCCACTGCCTCCTTCACTGACCTTCACCGTGTTTCGACTGGATATGATTGCCCTGCTACTACCACTGATTTGACTTCCCTGGTCTCAAGGGAGGGGACACTGCCCACTGCTCTGCTCTTTGGTCCCAAATGGGTACCAGACTCTTCCCTCAGCCTCTACAGCATCACTGAGACCAGGCTGCAAATCTTAAAGAGACTTTTCTGTAAGTCGGAGATTAATGGAAGGAAATATAAAAACTGAAAATTACCAAAACTCTTGCCCGATATCAGGTTCTTCCCTAGGATCTGTTTCCTTGTTTGGCTCCTGGGCTGCCTACATTTGGCAAAGGGTAGCCTTCCTTCTGCCCCAAAATGCACTCACTGGGAATATCCCACTCCTCTCTTGGGACGCCAGATAAAGACATACCCTGCTCTGGGGAAAACGAACACTTTTTTTTCTTTCCACTCTCTGTCTCTCCTCTTTATATCCTTATAGCCAGCGTCAAATCAAATTCTTGCCAGGATGATGGACAATGAGAGCATCCATTAGCTTCAAGGGCAAGCCCTCCCCGTTCCTCCACCAGGGTGTGTCTGGCCTAGATAAGACAACCACAGAATGGCCTGACATTAATGAATTTTTTCACTTGGGTTTGCTAGTCTTATTCCTGTGCACCTTATTGATGAAGCAATGAATGATGTGACCTAAGTCAAGGTACCCACCCTAATTCCAACCAACAAGGCCTACACCAAGCATCTTCTTAAGTATTCAGACAGCTTCCTCTTCACACCAGAGCTTATAAATTCCCAGCACAACCTCCAGCACGGATCAACACTATCTTCCCCTCCTCTGGCCATCGTCAGTTCTCCAAGCCCAGGATCATTAATCACTCTGCCACCACCAGGCCCTTTCTGTCAGCCATGGTCCCCTCTGACCTGTCCTGTCAGTCCCCCTCCCTTGCCTCAGCCTCTGACAGCAGAGCTGAGGCTCACACATGTCAGAATGGAATGGGCAAAACCAATCAACAGGGGTGTGAATCTCCCCTACTGCCCACCCTGCCTCCCACCCTTTCATTCCTCTACTTCTCAATAGCACGCCATGACCTGACACATTTAGATTTTTTTTTTCCTTTGAGAAGGGGTCTCACTCTTTTGCCTAGGCTGGAGTGCGGCGGTGCGATCTCAGCTCACAGCAGCCTTGACCTCCCTGGCTCAAGCGATCCTCCCACCCTAGCCTCCTTAGTAGCTGGGACTACAAGCGTGCTCCACCACAGCCAGCTAATTTTTGTACTTTTTGTAGGAACAGGGTTTCGCCATGCTGTCCAGGCTTGTCTGGAACTCCTGGGCTCAAGCAACCCGCCCACCTTGGCCTCCCAAAGTGCTGAGATTAAAGGAGTTAGCCATTGCGCCCAGCCCACACTTGGATTTTTAATTTTTTCCTGGGATTAGCCAAGGGGAAGTGGTGATGAGAAGAAGTGGGGAAGAACTTAGGGAGAACAACAAACTCTGGGGGGTCCTGTGGGGCTTTGGGTGCACCCTAATGCCTGGCTGCCCCGAGCACATAAAAAAGTTCTCCAACTTGGACCCAGATTCCCGTGAGGAGAAAATGCAAAACCTAAATGGAACTGCAAAGGAGAAGCAGAATATGATGCTTTACTTGTGGGCCCATTGTCTTATTTTCTTTACAGCCTGCTTCCTAATTTCTTCAGGGCCCTGGTCATATGGGCATGAATGAATTAAGTGACTGGCATCTCAGTAGGAGGCAAAATTGTAAAGTAGGCCACTCCTGCCTCCTCTGAGCTTCTGGCCGTATTAGCTCTTTGTGCTAAAAGGAGCAGACTCAAGGGCCTCCCTTCCACTCCCAGGAAGCCTGCTTTAATGGTGACCTGCTGGGAAACATGCCCCGTTCTTTGTCATCTAAACCCTTAGCAACTCTAATGGTAGGAATTTCAGGCTTGATAAGAAGGGACGGTGTCCCAGGCAGGTGGGTAGAGGAGATATTTTTAGGCAGGCAGAGCCTCTGAGAACCCGTCAAATCACAGTGGCCCGCCCACTCCACCTGTGTTGTCAGCTTTAAATTTGGATGGTATTTTTGGTGGCACAGAAGAGTCTATGCCTCCTGCCACTGGGAGGGCCCATTCTCCCACCCTGCCATTCTCTGGATGTTCCATCCTTCTCCTCCCCGCTGACCCCAGCACCCAGCTGGCTCCACTCAGCTTGAAGGACAGCAGGCTGCCAGACCAGCCTTGCTAGACTGGCCATCTGTCCCAGAGGAGGGTGGCAGTCCCACCTATCCCAAGGCCTCCCAGGGCTGCTGATACAACTGCTCCAAGAAGAAGATTTTATTTTATTTTAATTAATTAATTAATTAATTTTGAGACAGTGTCTCACTCTGTTGCCCAGGCTGGAGTGCAGCGGCGCGATTTCCACTCCTGGCTCACTGCAGCCTCTGCCTCCTGGGCTCAAGCGATTTTTGTGCCCCAGCCTCCTGTGTAGCTGGGACTACAGGCGTGTACCACCATGCCCAGCCTAATTTTTGTATTTTTAGTAGAACGGGGTTTTGCCATGTTGGCCAGGCTGGTCTTAAACTCCTGGCCTCGGGTGATCTGCCCTCCTCTGCCTTCCAAAGTGCTGGGATTATGGGTGTGAGTCACCATATCCGGCCAAGAGAGATTTGAAAGCATGTTTTCTCATAGGTGCCACCGACTGAGATTGGGTTGCAGGGATAGTGACTTCTAGCACTTCAGGCCAAATCCTCAATCTCTACATGGATCATTTCAGAAAATGGGACCTACTATCAGATAGAGTTGGTGAGGGAAAATGAGCTGGGGTAGAATAGTGAGGAGATGTGGCTTCTGGTCCTGACTCTGCCTCTCAGTAACTGAGTGACCTTAGTGATTATTTCCTTCTCTAGGCCTCCATTTCCTCCTCTGTAAAATGAGAAGGCTAGATAGGTTGTATCTATTTCCTTTTAACGCTTCCTTTTTACGGATTTAATATGATTCTTATGACCAAATATCTGTATGAAGCATCCAGGCAGTATCTGCAATGATTCGGTGGCATTTGAAATTGTGACAAGTGTCCAAACTTGAGGCCTATACTTTCCTTAATTTTATTAATATTTTAAGGAGAAGTATTTTGTTATATTTGGGAAAGGTATGGGGTGGGAGGGGGCTGGGTAGTGCTTCATTCTACTTTATTTGCTGGTATAGATTAGATTTATTTGTTGGGTTCAGATTAATTTGAAAATACTTATATCTGTTGTCTCACTGGGGTGACTTTTGGGTACTGGAAACTCTATTCCTATTCCATCTGTATCAGTCAAATCACTCTGTTGCAAGCAACAGAAACCCCAACCCTAATGGACTAAAGCCAAGCAAAGAAAACGTATTGTCTCATAAATCTAAACCATTTGTCACTAAGATCCACTTCTTCCCTGTCCTCAGCTCTGCATCCTCGAGTCTTAGATAGGGCCTTTCTTCATGATTAGAAGAAAACTTCCAGGCCGGGCACGGTGGCTCATGCCTGTAATCCCAGCACTTTGGGAGGCTGAGGTGGGCAGATCACCAGGTCAGGAGTTCAAGACCAGCCTGGCCAACGTGGTGAAACCCATCTCTACTAAAAATACAAAAATTAGCTGGGTCTGGTGGCACGAGCCTGTAATCCCAGCTACTCGGGAGGCTGAGGCAGGAGAATTGCTTGAACCGAGACACAGGAGGTGGAGGTTGCATTGAGCCAAGATGGTGCCACTGCACTCCAGCCTGGGCTGCAGAGCAAGACTCCTTCTCAAAAAGAAAAAAAAAAAAAGAGAGAGAACTTCCAGTAACTCCCAGGGCCACATATGTCCTTATTGAAGTCTATGTCAGTTAGGATAATTTGAGCTGCAAACAGGAGAAAATCTGACCCCAAAGTAGCTTAGATGATAAAGCAATTTTTTTTTTTTTTTTTTTTTTTGAGACAGAGTCTCGCTTTGTTGCCCAGGCTGGAGTCCAGTGGCGCGATCTCGGCTCACTGCAAGCTCCGCCTCCCGGGTTCACACAATTCTCCTGCCTCAGCCTCCAGAGTAGGTGGGACTCCAGGCGCCTGCCACCACTCCCGGCTAATTTTTTTGTATTTTTAGTAGAGACGGGGTTTCACTGTGTTAGCCAGGATGGTCTCGATCTCCTGACCTCGTGATCCACCCGCCTCAGCCTCCCAAAGTGCTGGGATTACAGGCGTGAGCCACTGCGCCCGGCCAAGAAATTTTTCTCTGTGCACAAGAAATATAAAGATGTGGTGAGATCCAGAATGGTTGATTAAGCACCTCAACAATGTAGCTGAGATGCCAGGTTTTTCCCACCCCTTCATTTTCAGTGTCAATTCTCTCAGGATGGCTTCCCTCATGGTTACACAATGGCTGTTAAATTTTTAAGTGTCATATTCAGACACTGCAATGTGCAGAAAAAGAAGTGAAACTACCTCTCCCTTCTGCTCTTTTGTCAGAAAAAGGAAATGTTTCCCAGAATCTCGTAGAAGGCTTTTTACATCTTATGGGACAGAATTGCATCACATGCCCATTCCTCACCCAGCCACTGATAAGTAGGATAAAATGTTCACAGTTAGCTTAGACTAGTGGTTCTCAATCAGGGGAGATGTTGCCCCATTGGGGCCATTTGACAAAGTCTGGAGTCATTTTGGGTTGTCACTGAGTGGGGTGGGGTGGGGTGCTCCCGCAGTCTAGTAGGTAGATGACAGAAATGCTGCTAAACATTCCAGATTGCACAAGACAATTCTTCTACAACAAAAAATTCTCTTGTCCAAAGTGTCAATAGTGTAATGTTGAGAATCCTGGCTTAGACGATCACCTAGGGTGGAATGGCTGGTGGAAAGTCAACCAGCCATAATGTCTTCTGCAGTGTCTGCTCTAGGAAAAGTCTTTGTTCCAGAATTTCTAGCAAAATTTCACTACATTTTATTGGCTCTGACTGCATCACATATCCACCCCTGAAACAATTTCTGTGTATAGGAAAATGGGACGCAATTATTGGATTAAGCCTAGGTCACATGTTCCACCTCTGAGCCAGGCTCAAGTCAACTCTACCTGAAACACATGAGCTGAGACTTGGGGAGGAAAGGATGATACCCTAGAGAGAAGCAAGAATGTCATCAAGATAAGATAAATATATGATGAGCACCAATAAACAAACAAACAAACAAACACAAACAAACAAACAAAACCCCAGATGTCCACTACCCCAGTCCTCTTACTGAGAAACTGTGGGCAAAAATTGTGCATGTGCTTTGACTTGGATAGCAGCAGCATCAGCAGCAACAGCATGCTAATGGGACTGTCCAGGAACTCTCTGGGCTGACTCCATGGATTTCTCACTCCGCATGGTAGATAGAAGTACTGACTTTAATTATCACCATCCAGGAAGTACTTTTCACCTGAGGAGATGCTCAGTCAACCTAGCAAAGTGAAAGTGGGAGGAGCAGAGAAGGAAGAAGGAGAGGAGGAGGCAGCAGCTAAGAAGAGTGCAGAGAGAGGGAGAGTTGGAGCACAGGTATACTGTTTGTCCCCAACCCCAGGTGACTTCTCTGGGCTGGGGGCCATTTCTATGACCCAGAAACCCAGGCTTCCCTGTCTTGTGGCTTTCAGTTGGGTTTGGTCAATGGGTGGCATTATCAGGGGATGAAAGGGAGGAGGAATGAGAGATTGGGATATTTGTTCCTCTTGTTTCCTCCCCTACTTGTCACAGTTCTGGCAGTCGCTACATCCAGCTTTGACTAGTGCTTCTGTTGGGTGGTTCCCCATAACACCACTTCCTCCCTTTGCTCCTTTAGGTCTAAAGGTGACATTACATTACTGATGGTACCTTCCTAGATGAGTCAGTGTTGGTTTTCTTAATTCTACCTATACATCTGTAAATAGTACCTTCATTAGAAAGTCTGAGTGTGTTGTCTGGTTCCTATAAGGATCCTGACTAACAGGCAGGTGGGAGGCACAAGAGCCTCTCGTGCGAGACTGTTGTGCCCGGGTACCACATGCTTTGATCACACCCAGTGCTCTGTGAGCCTAAAGAACATCTACTCATACCTGTTTTTAGGACCTAGCCTTCTTGAGAAGCCTAGTAGTTAAAATGATGGATTTGCAGGTTATTCTCTCTCTCTCCTTCCAATCTCTGCCAACCTCTTCTCCCTATTTTCTAAGCAAGTAAAAAGTATACTAACCATGATACATTTGATGAAGGTGCCTCCCATTTCTTGAACACATTATGTGCCAGACTCTATGGTAAACACTTAAGATGCTTTACTTCATTTAATCTTCACAACAACTTATATGTTAGATACTCTTGTTTTTCACATTTTACAGTTGAGGGAACTGAGGCTCAGAGAATTAAGTCTTGCCCAAGATCAAACAGCTGGTAAGTGGCTGTGGTAGCTAATACCAGTGGTCACCAATATTTTCAATTCTCTTCCTCTTCCTAGATACATGGAAAACTTTGTTTTCCATCTTTCTTGGCAATTGGGTAGGGTCTTGTGACTAGTTTTGCCAATGTGTTGTGACTTTGAGTGATAAGGTGCTTCTAGGCTGACACATGTAAGAGCTCTCATGTGGGCTTTAATGCTTTATTCCTCTGCTCCAGCAGTCATGGAGGCATTTGTTGAAATGGAGGTGCCAAAAGATTGAAGAGATGTGGATTGCTGACCCACTGCATGAAGGTGGTTGCCCTACAGAGTCACCTGGACCTGCACTGACTTGGTATAAAGGTAAAATAAGCTTTTATTGTGTTCAGAAACTGAAAATTTGGTGCTGCTTGTTACTGCAGCGTAACCTAACCTATCCGACTGAAACAGTGAAGGAGCCAGGATCAAATCAAAAGTCAGTGTCTTTAACCACTGGATAATACTTCTTCTCCCTACCTCTTAATCCATGGAAATTTCTTGAAGGTTATGGTTTTGGAAGGATGAGTGAAAGGGGACAAAAGAAAAGAAAGTGATACTCATGAGGACTATTATTGAAGGAATAAAAATGTTAGAAAAGGGATTAGCAAAAAATCATGCTTGTCTTTCCTTTACTCCCCATGTCAATAAAAAAATTAAAGAAAATAAAAGAGAGGAATCTTTAGAAAAATGTTTATACATAAGGCCTCCAGGATTTTTGCTCTTGGCCAGGGAATTAATTGTGGCTGCTTCTTACTGAAAATAACTTGCAGCCCATCTCTAGGGAAGTAGAAGTGGAAATTCTGTCTGCTTTAGAAGAGAAGCTTCAAGCAACAGCCCCTTTGCCGGAAAGCAGGACGGAAACTCCATTCGGGTCATTGTCTCCCTGTGTGGTTTATCTCTTTTTTTGGTTCAATAAAGACAATTTGCTGGTTTAACACTGTTTATTAATCTTAACCACCTCCTCCTTTCAGCCCTTCATCACCTACTGCTCTCAAATCCCAAGGATCGACAGGCCGTGTCTTCGTATCTAAGTTTGGAAAGAACCCAGGTAATGAGGCCAGTGTTCATGGATCTAAAGGCACTTTGTATAATAAATCACAGTCCCCCAAGGTTACTAGAAAACCTGAGTTTAAAGGGATTACATAGGAAACCAAGATGCTAAAATGACCTCTTTTTCTGGAGTGAAAAAGATAATACTTTCTATAGAAAGGAAAAAAAAAAGATTTGACAAAGAAGGTGGTACTTATTGCCCACATCTTTATATACCTATGGATGAGAACATAGAATGGTGACCCATCTTATCCATATTTCAGGGCATGTGTACACGTGTCCCCAAGCTGGAAGCAGCTATGAGACAATTTGCTAATTAGCATCATGTTTACACATTTATTGTCAACTGTAATTACTTGTTTATTAGAACAGAGGTTTCCCTGTTTATTACAGTCATTATAGTCTGTCAGCAAGAGACAGTGTGCTTGAATTTCACAAGTATATGTACATTGCACAAATCCTGCCAGCTCTAGCTGGGACGAACTCAGAGTGAAAATGCTCAGAGAGGTAATTCTCAAGGAGGTATGGGGATTTAATTTTAGCTAATAAGGAGTTATCCTGCCCAATAGAACTGCAAATCTTCTCCTAAGTAAGGAATTTGCAGCAAGCTCCTTCTTATTTAGCATGAACATGTTTATCTTCAGTAGTGTTAATGCCAGGCATTGTGCTAGGCACTTACTTGATATGTGTGTTTTCATTCCATCCTCACAACAACCCTTCAATGTGGAAGTGAATAGCCTCATTTTCTAGATGAGGAAACCAAGGCTCTGAGAGGTCAGGAGACTTGCACTGAGGGATGCATCTGGCATCTATTACACACACACACACACACGCGTGCACATGCATACACACTCTGCTCACTCATGCTCTCGTACCCCACGTAAATGAATTACAAGATAACACTGATTGGGCTAATTTTTCTGGGGTACATAACTGCAGGGGTGTATAAGAAGGGGAATTGCTGGGAAGGACAGGACGGGGAGGTAGAGTCTCTAGGTTAGGAAAGGCAAGCAGAGGTGTGGCAACGTGTTAAGATGGGGAAGCTGGTGATGGAACAAGGTTGTGCTGTTTGCTGAGGAAGTTAGAAAACATGATGACTCATCAAGGAATTGGGAGATCAACTGTTGTGGATGGAGTTGGACAACCAGGACATTAAGAATCATTAGGTCTCTGATTATGTGTAATCCTTTTTTGCTTTCACAGATTCTTCAGGGCAGAGGTTGTGTCCCATAAATAGTGCTATGCATTGAGTGTCTTCTGGCTCTGTCAGTGTGAGGAGTAAGGGGTGGTCATGATCATCTTGGAAAGAGCCCACTGTTGCTGAGAGTTACTATGTGCCAGACACCATGCAAAGTGCTTTACGTTAATTTTTTTCATTTGATTTTTCTGCAGCTCTATGAGGTTTGATCTGTTTTGTTTGTGGATGAGGAAGCAAGCACAAGGAGTAAAGTGGCCAAGGTGACATGACCATGAATTATCAGAATCCAGACTCAATGCTCCACCTTATCTGAACTAACAGAGTTCTGAGAAGTGCCCCATGTAGTAAGTTCCAGCATCCCTCTGAGATGTTGCGGATTCAGTTTTAGGCCACCATAGTAAAATGAATATTGCAACAAAGCAGGTTACACACACTTTTGTTTTCCCAATGTAATAGAAGTTATGTTTACATTATCTTGTAGTCTATTAAGTGTGCAATAACATTGTGTCTAAAAAACAATGTACACATCTTAATTAAAAAATACTTTATTGCCAGAAATGCAAGTGATCATCTGAGCCTTCAGCTAGTCATAATCTTATTGCCGGTGGAGGGCCTTGTCTCTATGTTGACAGTGGCTGGTGGATCAGGCTGGTGGTTGTTGAAGGTTGGAGTGGCAGTGGGTTTTGTTTTTGTTTTTTTTTTCCTTGAGACAGGGTCTTACTCTGTCACACCTAGGTTGTAGTGCAGAGGTGCAATCACAGCTCACTGCAGCCTTTCAAGTAGCTGGGACACCAGGCACGTGCCACCACACCTGGCTAGTTTTTAAAAATTATTTGTAGAGACAGGATCTTGCTATGTTGCCCAGGCTGGTCTTGAACTCCTGGGCTCAAGCAATCCTCAGCCTCCCAAAGTGCTGGGATTACAGGCATGAGTCACGCACCTGGCATGTGGTTATTTATTAAAATAAGACAATAAAGAAGTTGGCTGCATTGATTGACTCTTTTGTGTTTGTTTGTTTTTTGAGACAGAGTTTTGCTCTGTTGCCAGGCTGAAGTGTGGTGGCATGATATCAGTTCACTGCAGCCTCTGCCTCCCAGGTTGATTCTCCTGCCTCAGCCTCCAGAGTAGCTGGGATTGCAGATGCCCACCACCATGCCTGGCTAATTTTTATATTTTTAGTAGAGACGGCGTTTTACCATGTTGGCCAGGCTGGTCTCAAACTCCTGACCTCAAGGGATTTGCCTGCCTTGGCCTCCCAAAGTGCTGGGATTACAGGCACAAGCCACCGTTCCTGGCCCAACTGGCTCTTTTAAGAAAGATTTCTCTGTAGCATGTGATGCTGTTTGATAGCATATCACCCACAGTAGAACTTCTTTCAAAACGGAGTCACTCCTCTTAAGCCCTGCAGCTGCTTGATCAACTAAGTGTATGGAATGCTCTAAATCCTTTGTTGTCATTTCAACAATGTTCACAGCATCTTCACCAGGAGTAGATTCCATCTCAAGAAATTACTTTCTTTGCTCATCCATAAGAAGCAACTCCTCATTCATTTAAGTTTTATCATAAAATTACAGCAACTCAGCAGCATCTTTAGGCTGTAATTTCTAATTATGATTATCTTGCTATTTCCACCACATCTGCAGTGACCTCCTCCCCTGAAGTCTTGAACCCCTTAAAGTCATCCATGAGGGTTGAAATCAACTTCTTCCAAACTCATGTTTAAAGTTGATATTTTGACCTCCTCCCATGAAACACAAATGTGCTGAATGACATCTAGAATGATGAATCTTTTCCAGAAGGTTTTCAAGGTACTTTACCCAGATCCATCAGAAGAATCACTATGTATGGCTGCTATAGCCTTACAAAATGTATTTCTTAAACAACAAGACAGGAAAGTTAAAATGACTCCTTGATCCATGGGCTATGGAGTGGACGTTGGGTTAACAGGGCAGGAAAACAGCATTAATCTTCTGGTGCATCTCTATCAGAGCTCTTGGGTGGCCAGGTGCATTGTTAATGAGCAGTAATATTTTGAAAGGAATCTTTTTTTTCTTTGCAGTAGTTCTCAACAGTGAGCTTAAAATATTCAGTAAACCAGCCAGGTATGGTGACTCATGCCTGTAATCCAGCACTTTGGGAGGCCAAGGTGGGCAGATCACCTGAGGTCAGGAGTTCAAGACTAGGCTGGCAACATGGTGAAACCCCATCTCTACTTAAAAAAAAAATTAGCCAGGTGTGATGGTAGGCTCCTGTAGTCCCAGCTACTCAGGAGGCTGAGGCAGGAGAATCACTTGACCCCAGGAGGCGGAGGTTGCAGTGAGCTGAGATCACACCACTGCACTCCAGCCTGGGCAACAGAGTAAGACTCTTTCTCAAAAAATATATATATATATGTGTGTGTGTGTATGTGTATATATACATATACATATATATGTACATATATGTATATGTATATATGTATATGTATATATACATGTACAAATATATGTATGCATATGTATATATGTATGTATGTGTGTGTATCTAAGACAATGACAAATAATGTATACATATATGTATACATACACACATATGTATACATATGTACACACATATGTATACATACACACCTGTGTATACATATGTACACACATATGTATACATATACACATATGTATACATATACACATATGTATACATATGTACACATATATGCATACATATGTACACATATATGCATACATATGTACACATATATGCATACATATGTACACATATATGTATACATATGTACACAAATGTATACACACATACACATATATGTATACATATACACACATATATGTATACACACATATATGTATACATATACACACATATATATGTATATTTGTGTGTGTGTATATATATACATCAAATATTCAGTAAACCTTGCTATAAACAAATGTCTTGTCATCCAGGCTTTGTTGTTACATTTATAGTGCACAGGCAGAGTAGATTTAGCATAATTCTTACGGGCCCCAGGATTTTTGGAATGGTCAATGAGTATTAGTCTCAACTTAAAGTCATCAGCTGCATTAGCTTCTGACAAGACAGTCAGCCTGTCCTTTAAAGCATCAAAGCTGGGCAATTACTTCTCTAGCTGTGAAAGTCCTAGATAGTATCTTCTTCCAATATAAGTCTGTTTTGTCTACACTGAAAATGTGTTATTTAGTGTGGCCACCTTCATTTATTGTCTTAGCTAGATCTTCTGGGTAACTTGCTGCCCCTTCTCCACGAGCACTTGCTGCTTCGCCTTGTATTTTCATGTTATGAAGACAGGATCATGAACCAACCTTTGCTAGCTTCCAGCTTTTCTTGTGCAGCTTCCTCACCTCTCTCAGCCTTCATAGAATTGAAGAGAGTTAGGTCCTTGCTCTGGATTAGTCTTTGGCTTAAAAGACTGTTGTGTCTGGTTTGACCTTCCATTCAGACCACTAAAACTTTCTCCATATCAGCAATGAGGCAGTTTTGCTTTCTTATCATTCATGTGTTCACTGTAGTACTTTTAAATTCCTTCAAGAACTTTTTCTCTGTATTCATAACTTTGCTGTTTGGCTCAAGAGGTCTAGCTTTTGGCCTATCTCTACTTGCAAAATGGCTTCCTCACTAAGCATAATCATTTCTAGTTTCCAATTTAACATAAGAGACATGCAACTCTGCTTTTCACTTGCACCCTTAGAGGTCATTGTAGTGTTATTAATTGACCTAATTACAGTATGGTTTGGTCTCAGGGAATAGGAAGGCCTGAGAAGCAGGAAAGAGATGTGGGAATGGCCGGTCAGTGGAGCAATCAAGACATACACAATATTTATCAATTAAATGTATTGTTTTATATGGGCATGGCTTATGACACCTCAAAACAATTACTATAGTAACATCTAAGACCACTCATTACAGATCCCCATAACAGATATAATAATAATGAAAAAGTTTGAAGTATTGTGAGAATTACCAGAATGGGACATAGAGACATGAAATGAGCACAGGTTATTGTGAAAATGTCACCGATAGACTTGCTCCATGTAGGGTTGCCACAGACCTTCAATTTGTAAGAAATGCAAGATCTGTGAAGTGCAATACAGTGACATGTAATAAAACGAGGTATGCCTATACTCTTTATTACCCTGGCCCCAGGTTATGAGACAGCATCCTGGATTTCAAGAGGCAACTTTGTTTTTTCTCACTTTTTAATATTGAGGTATTTACCTATATATAGCAAATTGCACGAATCTTAAGTGAATCACTTAATGGATTTTTACCCAATTATCTAATCATGTAATAGTGTTCTATATCAATAACTATACCTAATCTGAAAAGGCAGAAATGAAAATGCACTTACAAAGGTTTTTTTAATCTCCAGGTAATGTTACTTAGGACATAGTCACATAGCATGCATGTGTATGGTATTACATACAAATTCTTGTTATAATTTATATTTTGGATGGTGTGTGAATTCAGATACTTAGGGTGCATGTGGTGCATAGGTAGCATTAACTAGAATGTCATAGGACTTTCTCTGTGTTTATATTAATTCTGCTTCACATCTCATGCAGAGATAAACTTTTAGACTCTCCACATAGGGGAGAAGTGACACATCCTGCAGATTCCCCAGGAGAAGGACGTGTATAAATTAAAGGTTTTATTGTTGTTATGTCTGTATCTAAAAATCAATATTTCTATTTGTCTGACTATCAAGCTACATGTGCCCATTGGGCAGCCATTTAAAACAGGCTGTTTTTAAAGCCACATTGTTTTAAGTGGGCCCTGTGTTAAAATGGGTTACGTGTACATGGCTAACATTTGCAGAATGTGGGTATCACTGTACACATATGAGCTGGGGGAATTTGAGGTAAATACAGATTACATTTCTGTTTAGAACTATATATGTACACACATACATCTCAGACACCTATAATTCCATATATTGTCACATGTCACTTGAACAAGATGATATGTCACCAATGAGGAATGGTCTGTGGAGGGACTTGTCCCCATGAAGGGTAAAAGCCCTCATGTCTGGGACCACATGTAGGGTGGACACATCAGAGAAGCCCCGGGAAGCATGGGCTGAGACCACACCTCCTTTGTCCCAGCCTCACTCTGAGTAGGCAGCTGCCCTCTCAGCACAATTGAAAAGCAGGTTCCGTCTATCATGTCCACTGCCTCTTTGCAGGCATATTGAATATTTAATAATGCCATTTGCCTTCCCAGAAAAAGAGCTCCAAGAAGCCTGCACAGGCTGGCGGTAGGCAGCAGGGTGGTGCTGGGGGTGGGTAGCAGGGCCGGTGATGCTACAGAGCAGGCTGGCCAGTTATTTCCCCCCAGGAGCATCCCCAGACTGGAAACCCCGGCAGATGGCTCTGGGCTGGGATGCGACAGGCAAGGAGGCCATCTGTGTGGTTTCAGGCACTAGTCAGGAGCCTTGGAGAAGAAGAGGAAGTGCTGAGCTGATATCAAGTGACCATGCCATGCAGTGAGATGGAAACCAGAGACTTATTTTCCACTCACATATAAGAGCTTGGCTCAAATTCAGGCTACCACGGTGTATTCATGGAATAGTGAAGCTAGAAGGAACCATACTGCTCCCTTGGTGCCAAGCAAACATTTTACTGATTGGGAAACTGAGGCCCCAAGTGTACTCAATCTCTGGAGTCATACAGCTGATTAGTGGCCAAGCTGTTTCCACTCTTGCCTACTTCCAGTCCACTCCCTACTCAGCAACCAAAGGGATGTTTTACAAAATAAAAATCCATTACTTAAAATCTTTCAGTGGCTTTCCAGCTCAGTTAGAATTAAATGCAATCTCTTTTCCCATTGTTACAGGAGCCTACATAACATGATTCCTGCCCTCCTCTCTCATTTCATCTTCCATTACCCCGCCTCTCGTTGCCTTGCCTCCAACTGGCCTTTTTTTCTGTTCCCCTAATGTGCCACATCAGTCTCACCTCAGGCTCTGTGCTTGCTGACTTCTCTGATTGAAAACAGCCTCAGATCTTCACATCATTAGTTCCTTCTCTTTGAGGTCTAAATTCAGGAAAGCCATCGCAGCCCTTACCATCTATTTTCCTCTCATCAACACACATTCTAGTGGGTCATTCTCTATCACATTACTGTGTTTAGTCTACTTATAGCACTTATCAACACAGGAAATTAACTTATTTCATTTGCTTACTTTTCTGTCTTTCACACTAGGCTAACTTTGTGAGGGCGTGGACATGATCTGTCTTGCTCCCTACTGTACACCTATCACTGGGAGGGTCTAGGGCTCCAGTGCCAAATGATCAAATCTCTGTTCAGCATCTTTTCTGTTTCACTATGTTGCTTCTTTTTGACATTGATCCAGAAATTGCTCTTTACTCACTCATGTCTACAGAGTAATATTAACTCATGGCAGGCAGTGGCTAGCTCTGCTCTCACAGTAGCTGATAACTTTGAAGGGTGGGGTCCTGGCTCTGGGCTTTACCTTTTAAGTCAGTGTTCTTCACAAGGGAGCTCAAGGATCACCTGTCTCAGAATTGCCCAAGGAACTAATCCAAAGTGCATAACCTAAATCCTACACTGTACTAAATTGGAATCTCTGGAGGCGAGAGTCTACCAAGGAATCTGCCCCTTTAATGAGCACCACAGGTGATCCTTAAGATAATCTTAGGGCATGAATTCATGCTCACCAATTAAGCATATCAAAATACTTCCCCCTCCCCACCCCCATGAGCTCTCACATTTATACTTTCAATGCCTTATGAATGATCAAACTCTGTCTGAGGTTAGGGTAGCATACCTTGAGATACAGGAAGTATGGGCATAATGGTTGGTGTTCTAAGTGCCCTTATTTATGGGTTATCAATTGCTGTGTAACAAATTACCCCACAACGTAGTGTGCTCCTCTCAGCTCACCAGAAACTCCTTGAGAAGTATGGAGCAGAGTAACATAGGTCAGGAGCAGAAATAGGAGAGGAAATTAAAATCCATTTCAAATTACCCCCTTGTCAATGGTTTAGTGAAAGGCTTGGATAAGAGGCTGGGGATATTGGTGAAGATGAGGCTGCAATATTGCTCTGGATTCTTATGATCTATAAGTCAAAGAGAACTAGGCTTAGAATTATGCTGACTACAGTGATGATGGACACAACCCATTCAACACATTTTTACTGAGCGCCTGCTATGTCCCGTCACTGATCTAGGCACATGGGATCAAAATGGATCCCCTCTAGAATACTTGCCCCATGGAGTCTAAATTTCAGAAAAGGAAACAGAAGATGGTTCTGGGATTCCCCTTCCATGTTTGGAACATTTCATTCTTGAGTTCTTAGTCATTAGAGACTTGGTCTACACCAAGTAAATAAGTCTCTAGTTCCCATCCCACCACATGCCATGGTCACTTGATATCTACACTGTGTTCCGAAGCTCAATGAGGGATTCTGAAAACTTTATCTCTTCCAAGGCTTGCAGATTGATATCTGTCCAAAATGTTTTTATGCAGGGAAGCGGACTCTTGTTGACAGGCAATTATCTCTGTGTACGTGTTTTGGAGGTGGCAGCTGTGATCACATATAGAGGGCTTAAGACAACCACATCTATCTAATAGTTTCTGACAGTTAGGAATTCAGGCACAGCTTTTCTGGGACCCCTGGCTCAGGGCTTTCATAAGGCTGCAATCAAGGTGTCAGCCAATACTGTAGTCATCTCAAGGCTCAACTGGGGAAGGATCCACTTCCAAGCTCACTCACAGGGCTGTTGGCAAGATTTAGTTCCTCATGGGCTGTTGAACTAAGGGCCTTGGTTCCTTGCTCGCTGTTGGCTGGAGTCTGTTCTCAGTTCCTCACCACATGGGAGAGCCTCCATAGGACAGCTCACACTATGGCACCTGGTCTCCATCACAGTGAACAAGTGAGAAGAGCCAGAGAGAGCAAGGGCAAGCAGGGTGCAAGTCACAGCTCTCCCCCTCCCCCTCCCCCTCCTCCTCCTCTTCTTCCTCTTCTTCCTCCTCCTCCTCCTTCTCCTCCTCCTCCTCCTCTTCTTCCTCTTCTTCTTCTTCTCCTTCTCCTTCTCCTTCTCCTCTTTCTCCTTCTCCTTCTCCTTCTCCTTCTCCTTCTTCTTCTTCTTCTTATATATTTTTGAGACAGGGTCTCACTCTGTCACCCAGGCTACAGTGCTGTGGCACAATCTCAGCTCACTGTAACCTCCCTCCACCTCCTGGATTCAAGTGATTCTCAAGCCTCAGCCTCCTAAGTAGCTGGGACTACAGGTGCACACCACAATACCTCGCTAATTTTTGTATTTTTAGTTGTATTTTGTATTTTCACCATGTTGGCAAGGCTGGTCTTGAACTCCTGACTTCAAGTGATCTGTCTTCTTTGGCCTCCCAAAGTGCTGGGATTACAAGTGTAAGCCACCGCACCCAGCCAAATCACAGTCTTTTGTATCCTGATCTCTGAAGTGACATCCCATCACTTTCACTGTATTCTAATTATTAGAATCAAATAAGGCATGGATGCCAGGAGACAGGGATCACTGGGGCCATTTAAGAAGCTCCCTACCACACTTTACCTTGAATTTGAACTATCTTTTGACATGGGACATGTATGGCAGACAGATAACTATGTGGGGATTCCATGTGGCACCTGGAGATCTAATTAAAAAGGCAGTATTTCATAGTAAGAAGAGCATAGACTTCAGGTTCAGAGAGGCCTCTGTTAGAATCTCAGCTTTAGTATTTACCAACTGCATGACCTTAGACTTAGTTTCCCCAAGACTCAGTTTTCTTACCTCAAAAATGTGAAAAATAACACCTATCATCTAAGGCATTTTGAGGTTTAAAAAAATCACTTGGGTAAGGCACTTGTCAAAAAGTGAATTTCCAGGTTGTTTCCCAAGAAATTCTTACTCAGTAGACTTGCAGTGGCACCTAAGAATTTATATTTTTAATAAGTGTCCAGGTGCTTCTAAGTACATATGAAAAGTACATGGTAGCTGTTAATTTGCCTATTAACCATAATTCTACACCTATTCTTGAGGCGCTATATGTTTGAAGAAAGTCAAATGTGATATAGTAGAAAGCAAATTGTATTGAGGATTAGAAGAGGAGGTATGTGAGTTCTGGCCTCTATCTGACACTTACTTTGCAATGAGATCTTAGTCATAGAGCTGTCCAATTTTTCTAAACCTCTTTTTTTAAAGGGTCTGTAAAATCTCCTCTAGCCTGGGTTACTGTCTGTCTCGGTAAAGAAGAAATAATAACAACTAACATGGAGTCCCTTTAGAGCTCTCTGTTGGAGAAACAAGTACAATGGTCTCCATAATGCATCTCTTCTGAATCTCTGGGTCTTCTAATATTTCTCCCTGAAGACCATTTTTTGGTGCCTTTCATTCCTCTATTCCTCTTCTAATTCTTATGACCTCAGCATCCCTGTATGTAATGAAATATATCTGAAAACAACCTCGTTTAAAAGAATAAATCTATTAAGGAGCTGAGAACTTTCTGGCGTGAAATGAAAAATATTGATTGCTTCCCACCTGTTAGCAATGAAATCCCATCCAGTTAATTAACCTGCTCAGAGATAAAGTTTATTTTTGCCCTTCACTTTCAGCTCCAAATCTTTAAAACCATTAAAACAAGTACCTGGTCAATGAATAAATCTTCTCCCAGAGCGACATCCAGGGTCTTCTGGAATCTGGCTCCAGCCTACCTTTCTGACATTTCCTCTAGCTACTTACCTTTGAGTACCTTCCACCACAGCCTAATGGAAAAGCTAAAGTATTCAGCGCTCCCACTGCCAGGAATATGCCTCCCTCCTCTAAATTCCACATATTTTAACTCAGTTCAAATGTCACTTCTTGAAAAAGGCTTTCAAAGCTTTCCCAGAGCTGTGGCAACTATCTCCACCTCCCCCCTCTTCCCACCTCTCCTAATTGCTGCCAAGCTGTAAGCATTATCTCCCTATTTTGAACACTCCCCAAACTTTGTATGCTTTTGTAACACTTACTATTTTATGCTTTATATTATGACTACATACATATTTATAGTACTAGACCCTTGAGGATGCAATTCCAACCAGTTTGTGCTCCCCACATCTTTCAACACAATTCAATGCCTTACCGATGATGGGTGTTCAGTAAATATTTTTTGAATGTCTAAATAGGAACCCATTGATTTAATATGGTCTTTATGGTTGTTTTTACTCTGGAACTCATTAGACAATAATGGGGATTTTACTTTTGGGCTCATGATTAGGCAGTTAGTAAGAAGAATCTAACTCAGTGAAGTGTTTTACAAGATTTACATTATATTCAAAACAGGCCTCTTAGGCTTCTCAATCTTTTTTTTTTTTTTTTTTTTTTTTGAGACGGAGTCTCACTCTGTCACCCAGGCTGGAGTACAGTGGTGCAATCTCAGCTCATTGCAACCTGCACCTCCCTGGTTCAAGCAATTCCCCTGCCTCAGCCTCCTGAGTAGCTGGGATTACAGGTGCACACCACCATGCCTGGCTAATTTTTAATATTTTTAGTAGAGACGGGGTTTCACCATGTTGGCCAGGCCAGTCTCGATCTCCTGACCTCTGGCAATCCACCTGCCTAGGCCTCCCAAAGTGCTGGGATTACAGGTGTTAGCCACCACGCCCGGCCACTTCTCAATCTTTCTAAAGGCAGTCCTGTTGTTGCTTCCTGTCCTTAGCAGTTCTCTGTTTCTAGAAATCTTTTCACTTTCAGTGGAAGGGTTGGGAAAGGCAGTCTTGTTATGGACATCATCCCTTTCTTTCTTTCTTTCTTTCTTTCTTTCTTTCTTTCTTTCTTTCTTTCTCTTTCTTTTCCTCTTTCTTTTTTTTTTTTTTTTTTTTGACAGAGTTTCCCTCTTGTTGCCCAGGCTGGAGTGCAATGGTGCAATGTTGGCTCACGGCAACCTCCACCTCCCAGGTTCAAGCGATTCTTCTACCTCAGCCTCCCGAGTAGCTGGGATTACAGGCATGTGCCACCACACCTGGCTAATTTTGTATTTTTAGTAGAGACGGGGTTTCTCCATGTTAGTCAGGGTGGTCTTCAACTCCCAACCTCAGATGATCCACCCGCCTCAGCCTCCCAAAGTGTTGGGATTACAGGCATGAGCCACCATGCCTGGCCGGACATCATCCATTTCTATGACTCTGGATATAGGTCTCATATGGCATTTCTATCTCCTGCCCTAATTTACTTGCACAACACACTTGGAGCTAGAATTTAATGAGCACAAAACCCTAAAACTCAATTTTAGGTAAAGCAGATATTCAGTCATATGTGGGAGCACTCACATGTATGTGTCCAGGCTGAAGGGGAGAAATATGGTAGCTTCACTGAAATAAAAAAGCCACTTATTTATTCAGAGTCCATTTTCTTGAACACCTACTTAACTTCAGGTGCTGCATTATGTGCTGGTGATACAAATATAGATACTGATCCCAGCCTTAAAGAAGCTCTGAGTCAGACAAAGGGAGATGAATGTATGGTGAGATAATTATTATATAGACTATGATTTCTGCAATACCAGAAACAGATACAGAGTGATGTGGAACACAAAATATTTTCTTGAAGAACAAATAGAATTTTTGAAATAAAGAGGTTTTTTGTTGCTGCACAGTATTTGTGCTGATATTAATCAATAAATATTATTTTGTAGTTATTAAAAATATTAGTATCATCTTTAAATGAGCACCTTGGGCTGGGTCTCAGCATCCATGGTGAGTCCTGGGGCATGATTCAGACAAGTAGCCATGCTGGGTTAACCAAGACTGAGATGTAGGTCCTTTCTCCTTAGAGCTTGTAGGAATGAATCATTTCATAGAGATGGCAGCAAAGGGGTAGTTTTCTTATGACTCATTGGACTGAACTTCGTTCCAATGATATTTTGCTGCAGAAATTTTGCATGCTACTCTGTCTATGGCTCCAATATTTGTAAAGGCATTACCATGGCTGTTTGGATGAATCACTGGCATATCTTCTCTATGGCCCTAGAGGGGTGTGTGTGTGTGTGTGTGTGTGTGTGTGAGAGAGAGAGAGAGAGAGAGAGAGCGGGGTGGGGGAGAGAGGTTTATAAGGAAAGGCAAAAAAAGCAATCCTAAGTTTTCAGTGACCAAAGTCTACAGCTGCAAACACTGAGGTTTTATATAGACCACTTTAAGTTTCCTTCTTTTTCTTGCTCTTCACATTTAGGGGCACTTTGCTGCTCAAGAAACTCCTTGAGAAAAATAGGGTAGGGTGACATGAGTCAGTAGCAGAAATAGGAGAGGAAATTAAAATCCATTTCAAATTACCTCTTGTCAGCGGCTCAGTGAAAGGCTTGAATAGGGAGGAGGCTGGGGATGTTGGTGAAGACGAAGCTGAAATATTGCTCTGGATTCTTATGACTCACAATTGAAAGAGCACTGTGACTTATAGTAATGATGACTGTGGTGATGGTGGCCACAAGCCATTCAACAAATATGCATTGAACATTTACTAGATGCCATCTCTGACTTAGGCACACGGGATCAAATGAATTAAAAAAATTATCTCTGTCAATTGGAGCTTAAATTCTAGGCGAAGAAGCTGACAAAAAAATGGTACTAGCAACCTCCTCCCTGTTTGAAAATTTGAAGCATTTCCTTCTCATGTCTCAAGCCTCAATGAAACATTTCCTTCTCATGTCTCATGTCTCAAGCATTTCCTTAGTCATGAGGAATTTAATCTCCATCAAGTCCCAGCTTCATTGTGGAAGTCACAAAACTTTATCTCCTCGAAAGCTTGCAGACTGAGATCTACTTTAAATGTTTATGTGAACAGAGAAACGGTCTCTGGTTGACAGGTGTCTGTGTCTTGTATGTGCAATGAGAGGAGCTGTGATAGTGGACAGTGGGCAGAGAGTCTACAACCAGACCTTCCACACCGACACGTTCCTGCTGAGGTGAAATGCAAGAGTTAGTGCCTGAATCGCTCCCCTCCCTCCCCGTGGCCTTTCTCCTTCTTTCTTTTACTCTTCACTTCGCTCCCTCCTCCTTCCCTTCCTAAATCCCTCCCTCTCCTGGTTACCTCCCTTTCCCTTGGTCCCTCCCCATCCCCTTCCCTCGCACAGTTCTCTCCTCCTCTTGCTCCCTCTCCCTCCAGCTTCTTTTCCTCTCATCCCCTTTCCCTCCTCCATCCCTCCGCGGCGTCTGCGTCAGGCCCCCACGAGCGTGACGCGCGGGGTCTGGGTGGGAGCTGTCCACTCGCCCGGGGTGCTGAATGCAGCAGCGGCGGCCGCGGCGCCGGCGGCGGAGATAGCCGAGAGCCTCCCTCGCTGCAAGAACCTTGTTTCCAGTTCTCGGACGGTCAGCTCGCCGCCCCGCCACCTCCCTTCCAGCACCACCCCTTTGGGAATCGAGCCAGTGGGGGCAGCGGCGGGTGCTGAGCAACGGCGGAAGACGAGACAACACCTGGCAGCAGCCTGGAATCTGATTTGCTTCCTCTCGGCTTTTATAAGAGATATATTTATATACGGTTTTGGGGAGTCGCGAGGACCAAGCTGGAGCCAAGTGCCGGCTGCCTCCCACCTCGGCCACACTGCTTCGCTCCCCCCTCCCCACCTTCAGCTGGCACCGCAAACAAGCCTTACCTCGTTGCATCTGCGAGGAGAGGTAGCAACAGCGAGCCTAGCCAGCCAGAGGCGGTGGAGAGGAGGAAGGGGCGGGGTGGGGGGGCAGAGAGCGGGCCGAGGCCGCCCTTGGTGGGGGTAGCGGGGGCAGAGCTGCCGAGCAGACCCGGCAGCCGCCCTCCTCCGCCCCCACCCTCCAGAAGCACTCTTGCCTGAGAACCGAATTATTCCACTAGTATTATTTCATTTTTTATTACTCCCCCTCCTCACTCCCCAGCCGCCCCCACCCCCACGCCGGCCTCGCCTCTGGTTGCATGGCAGCGCTGCCCGGGCGCGGGGGCTCAGGGCTGGCCCCCAGGGAAGGGGGAGGAGGAGGAGGATCATGAAGGCCGGAGTCGCGACCGCGCCGGACGGCGGGCAGCAGCCAGAGGACGAGCCGGAGCAGCCCCCGCCCCGGAGACACCCGGACGCCGAGCAGCAGTCGCCTCCGCCGCCGCAGCAGCAGCTGCGGGCGCGGGCCGACCCGGAGCCGGAGGAGGAGGGCGACCGCGACCCAGAGGAGGAAGAGGAGGAGAAGGCGAGGCCACTCGCCCGCCCGGACCTGCCCTTCTCTCGGCTCTTGCCCCTCGACCGAAGGGACCTTTGATGGAACCGAGGGGAGGGCGCCACGGATTTGCCGACTGCAGCAGGGGTGGGCTGGGGGCTGAGATAATGTAACCACTCCTTTCTCCTGTTCTCTCCCACACGCCCCTCTCCTCTACCCCTATTCTCTGCTCCACTGCCCTCTCACCCCGGTACACACACCCTTCCTCTAGCCAGGATCTTCATGCTCAGGAAGGAGGCGCCTCTGCAAGGGTTAAACGATCTTTTCTTTTTCTCCCATCCTTTTTCCTTCCCAAACCTCTATTTTACCTCCCTTCTCCTAATTGGCTTTCCCCTCTTCGGTGTAACCCTTTGGCTGCGGAGGCAAAGCACAAGCCCCTAGCCCAGTTTCACCTGCAACACCCCTCCCCCACCCAACTGCTCTCTTAAAAGCAACTCTGGTGCTTCTGGGGGTTAATTGCCCCAGTTTTCTGCCCAGGAGAATTAAAACTTCTCCCAATCTTCTCTCCTCCCCTACCTTGACTCCCCCAACCCCTACCACCTGAGAAAAACGATCTTTTCTCTCTCACACATGCAGTCCTCAATTCTTCATTGAGCTAGTTTTCTCTAAGCCCAGCTCAATCCACTCCAGATTTGATTTACAATTGTCCCCACCCTTTTATATAAAAGAAAGATTTCTCACTGCGTAGGAATTTGAGAAGAACCCAATAATCCTTTCCTGGGGAACTTTTAAACAATTCGACATTGATTTAAACAATTCGACAGAGGCTCTAGTGGCCCCTCCACCACGCTTCTTCAATCCCTCTGCTCCTACCAGTGTCCTCAGGTCAAAAGCAGAAAGGAGACACACTGAACAAAGTTGGAGGTTGGGGTGGGTGTGTGAGGGCAAGAAAAACTTTTTTGTTATTGGGCTTTCCAGGTGGAGTTCAGAACCAGTGACTCACACTTCTCAGTCCTGGGAGCAATTTATTTGCTACTTGGAGGGGTTGTAAGAAAAGCCAGTGAGAAAGCAGACTCCCCCCACAACACAGATCCACTGTGGACCCCCAAAACCTGTCCTGTCCCCCTCTTTTAAGACTCCAGCCACCCCTCTTGGGCTCTCTACTTCCACGGGGCACATGCTGATGCCCCTGTGTGGGCTGCTCTGGTGGTGGTGGTGCTGCTGCTCCGGCTGGTACTGCTATGGATTGTGTGCCCCAGCCCCCCAGATGTTGCGCCACCAGGGTCTCCTCAAGTGCCGCTGCCGCATGCTCTTCAATGACCTGAAGGTTTTCTTACTGCGGCGCCCTCCTCAAGCGCCCCTGCCCATGCACGGCGACCCCCAGCCCCCCGGTTTGGCGGCCAACAACACCCTTCCGGCTCTGGGCGCCGGGGGGTGGGCAGGCTGGAGGGGCCCCCGAGAAGTGGTGGGCAGGGAGCCCCCTCCTGTGCCACCTCCACCCCCCTTGCCACCTTCTTCTGTGGAAGATGACTGGGGTGGCCCAGCCACAGAGCCACCTGCCTCGCTGCTCAGCAGTGCCTCCTCAGATGACTTCTGTAAGGAGAAGACCGAGGATCGCTACTCACTGGGCAGCAGCTTGGACAGTGGTATGAGGACCCCACTCTGCCGCATCTGCTTCCAGGGGCCAGAACAGGTGAGTCCCCTTTTCTCTTCTCCTGCTTCCTGTGGTATTTTCAGGTCTTGCAGATTGCTACTCGCCTGCTTGCCCTGGGGAACGGTTATATTGTCTTTAGTATGAGGACTCTATGTTTAAGAGCCCTCATTGATGTTTCTTGTGGTTAAGTTTGCCCAATGAGTGTCTGGTTCCTGGTGGAGCCTGTTTGGTGGTTCGTTTGTGTTCTAGGTTTTGCATTTTCCTTCCAATGCTAGTGTCTCCAATTCCAACTCCAAATTTTACAAACATCCTCAGAATAGAAGATCTAGAAACAACGGAGTGAAGAAACTTGGTGGTACATTCACACTGGTTGCCAAGATATCCTTTTATCTAACTTGTTGTTAGTAACATTTCGTCTAGCCCATCTTCAGTCCCATATCCCAACTTCTTCCTGCTCTGAGAGTATGCCGAGATCTTGTTCTCTTTTCCTTTTCTCATAGGTTGAAATCCAGTAAGCTTGTTCTTTTACTTTGGACAACTTCCTTTCATATCACGTTGACATCCTCAGCATTATGTTCTAGCAACTGAGGAGGAAATGGAGAGGGATTCTAGGTCCAAGACTATATGATTTGCTGAGACACTTCTTGGCAGACTCAAATTTTTCTATGTTGAAAACAGGCAGGTAAATGGGAATGAGAATGAGTTTAAGAGACTGACGTAGGCAATAAGGTATCTTGCTATTTCCCTTTTCAGACCTAAAAAGTGTGTTGACTTAGAAAATCCCTTAAATGCTCCCCATCCAGGATAGGGATGCCAACTCTCATATGCACCAGGGCTTTTCCAAGTCTGGCAGGTTTTCCCTACCCTATTCATTCAGATTTTCACAGACACCCCTCCCAAGTTCACCTACAATCTAGTATCAGCAATGCTGGATAGCATGTGTACATTCTTCAGGAACTATAGAATGTGGCAACACTCTCCAAAGAATCACAGATAGAAAGGCTCACGCAGTTAGTGATGCTGGAGAAGGAGTATTCAATTGCAAGGTGGGCAAGGTTATGTGTTCCTATCAGCCACTTCTTCAATAGTTTCCTGAAGTGCAGGGAGGATTTCTGGATACTCCTTGAGGAAGTGGCAGTGCAGTAGGATGCCATGCCAGGCTTTGACTGGCTCTGGTTCTTGCTGAGGGTGTGCTCTGTAAGATGCAGGCTTAGCTGGCATTTTCATTCATTTTCTTGCTTTGCTCTCAATGGACAAAGAACTCTGGGGACCAGTGATCCCTGGAGCTACAGCTTGGAATTATGAGGGGAAGTGATATAGATCTTAGTGTGAATAAATGTCTCTGAGAGGCTGGGGGCTGGGTTCTTCCATCTTAAGATTACCTAAGTATCCAATAAAGTGTTGTCCAGAGTTGAAAACTCCTGTTAGGAAAAATCCTCCAGAGTGCCTTCCCTTCATTCTTTCTCTCTACTTCCAGCACCAGGCTCTGGCAGAGCTATGGGGTAGAGTGGCTCGGCTGACAACAAGAGGGTGCCTCACTTTGATATCAGGATCTTGCCACCATCAAGTACTTCATACTCTCCAAAAGAAAGAATTATTTGGCTTCCTAAATTCCTAAGGCATTTCTTTTTTCTCCCATATGGGCTCAGGTCTGCATGTCACAGGGGCTTCTGAGAGTGTGGCTTCTGGCAAGAGCATTCTTGTCTCTAGAAAACAGCAGGACTTGGAGGTGCCCTGGGATAATATTTCCCCCACTGTGTGAACTTTTTCAAATAGCTTCATGCCTCTGGGCTGCTTTTCCAACTTACGTGATTTGGAGACACCTTTTCATGCCCCCCCCTCCTTTCCTCAGAGGTGTGTTGGGAGAATCCAGGAGAAAAGAAGTGTAAAAATATCTTGGAAGGAATTTATATATAATGAGCATGTATTTTGATAACAGAAAGCTGTATTTTATTGAAAAAAGAAAAAGAAAAAAATCATTGGCAATATTGTGAAATACCCTCATGTGATACAAGATCTGGTCAGAGGTTAGAAGCTTTCCTTTCTTGTTCATTATTTTGATGGGGTGTCATAAATAAAGCATTGAATAAAAAAGCTAACACCAGTAAAGGAATGGGCTCTATTATGTGGGAGGATTAGGGGGCCCTGTCTGCATTAAGACTGGATCAAATTAAGCACTTCCTGCATATGATTATTTTGTTTTGGGGGTTTACCTTATCTGTGCAGGAGCCAAGAGGCTTTAATGGGATTGTGTTATAGTAGTAATAACAGCAATGTGAGTACTGCATTAGATGTGGAGAACACAGTTTCCCAGTTTCTTCTCATTTTTTTTTTCACAGCATTTCTATGAAGGAGACAAAGGAGGGGAGATAAGGGAAACTCTAGAAAAGGAAGAGAGAGATAGAGAGGCAACAGCAGTGAAGGGGAGGGAGAAAGAGAGGGATAGAGAGAGAAGGAGGAGGAGGAGGGAGGGGGAGAGAGAAAGAGAGAGAGACACGCTAAAATTTCTGTGTTTTAATTTCTGTTCAGGGAGAGAGCTGTCCAGCAATTGTCTACACATGGCCCTGGAGGAAATGTGGGCTGCAATCTTAGTAGCTGAATGTCTTGGTGTTATCTCTGCCCAAACAAAGGAATTAAGCAGACCCCCACCTCCCTGCTCCCCATCACCCCAATCATTTACTACTGCTATAGGGGCTAAACGACTGCCAAAAAATGAGTATTTGATCTTTTCCTGCCAACAGCTTGCAATATTTGTGGTGAGGAACAGCAAGAGAATCCAGCTAGTTTCACCTTTGTACCTATCTACAAAGGACTTTGCATCCATTCATTGGTGCATGCGTTTATTTAACAAATTTTTCGGGGCACCTGCAGTGTGCCCGTTGCTGTTCCAGGCATGAGTATTCAGGAGTGAACAAAATAGATGAGATTTCTGCTCTCCTGAAGCTGACATTCTAGTAGAGACACATAAATAGACAAGTAAACTAGTAAGTAAATAAGGTGATTTAAGCTCTGTGATGAAATTTAAAAAGGAAAATGAGTTAGAAAGGAATGAAAGGGAGGCAGTGGGAAAGGTACCACCACATTAGATAGGGTAATCAGGAAAAGTCTTCCTAAGAATGTGTCATCTGAGCTGACACCTAAATGATGAGAAGGGCCCAGCAATGCATAGGTCTAGGGGAAGAGAATTTCAGGTGAAGGAAATAGCAAGTTCAAAAGCGTGAATGTGAACGAGCTTAGCATGTTGGAAAAACAGAAGAGAAGAAAGGAAGAGAGAGAGAGAGAGATAGATGTGAACACTTGCTTTGAGAACCTACTTGGCTCCATCCTAGAAAGCTACTGAGTAGCCTCTCTCCTCTCCACCATTCATTCATGTTGAGCAGGGGTCAGGGCCCATGAGACTGTAGAACCAGAGTCCAGCTCACAACCTCCTCACTCTCCGTTTTTGGTTGAAGCTGCACTAGCCCACTTTGTGGGACAATGTACCATTGTGAGTAATCTGAACTCTCTGAAGCCAGATGGACCCAGTTGGAGGCCTGAACAAGTTATATAGCCTGCCTGTGTCTTGGATTCCTCATTTGTAAAGATGGAATAATAATAATAGTCCCCATGTCATAAGATTATTCTGAGCATCAAATCAGTCAATACTATAAGAGCAGTGCCATCGTAGCATTTTGTTATTGTTATTACTATCTCAGATGCAAGAGAGTGCTGTTCCTGCCTTGTTTAAAAGAAAAGGTGTGCCCCAGCCCAGAGGCTGTCAGGAAGCCACTATGATTGTGGCATGGATGTGGACTGTTTCTTGCAGATTTATAATGCTCTAGGCACAGAGCAGAGCTTGTCCGTTTCCATCATCAAAGTCTTTATTAAGCACCTACCTTTTGCCTGCTGTTCTGCTGGACAAGGTCCAGAGACATAGGGTAGATGTGGTCCTGCCCTCTGGGAGTCTCACAATCTAACCCAGACATCACAGGGGCTGATAGAGATCAAGAACACACAGACAGTGAGGCTGAGTGAATTACAGTAATATCAGGTACAAGAAGGAGATGCATGTTTAAAAGCAGCTAGTGGGCGGGGTGCCTACTCAAAAAGACAAGTCGGGGAATTTGCCACTTTATCTACAGTTAGTTAGAGAAGGCTTCTCTATTGCTTCTGAAGACCAAGTGAGAAGAAATAGATTTAGGCTGCAAGACTGAGGTTAGACAGATGGAAGCAGAAGAGATGTGTCCCCCACCCCCACACCTGACTGCCATGGTGGATTTTATCTTTGTGGAGCAACCTCCAGGCACTCCACACATGGATACCTTGAAAAGAGGTGAATCCACCTCCCAGCTAGGCAGCTGTGGAGTGCCTAGCAGTGGGTACAAAGATGAAATCCACCATGGCAGTCAGAAGCTAGGGTGGGAGGCCACCTGTTCTGGCCCTAATGGAAAGTAGGACGTGTATCTGGAAAAGTTTAGCAGGCTTAATCTGCCTTTTTATTCTTTCTGGGGTTGGCTTCCCTGGAGTTCTGCATTCAGAAGGGGCAATAATTGTATAGAGTAGTCTAGTCAGTGTTTTGGTTAGTTGTGAATAAGATATGGCTTTTCAGGGCTTGGGGAATCTGGAGATCCTAAGATGCAATGAGAACCTGGGAATGGAGCTCAAGTAGAGCATTTTAGAAGAGACTTAAATGGTGTACTTACTCGTCTTAGTGCTATGGTTTGATTTTACATTTCTTTGTGTGGTTATTTAGTATCTGTCTTCCACAAAGAAGAGACCCATCCCTAACATTTACAGGCCCTATGGCAGGAGTATAAATGGAAGCTCACATACCATGCTCCAAAATATTTAAAAGTAGTAAATCCAGCTAACAAACTGTTAAACAAAATATATTTTATCCTCCTTTCCTGAAAAATGCTCCTTCAAAGCAACCTGGAAGACAGGTTTGAATTTAGAACTTTTAGATGTCTCTGGATTCTGTACTAGCCAAATGGGGATAACTGTCCTTTGGTCTACAGGACATTCTGATTCTCTTTCCAACGCTGACTCTAGCCTGTACTAATGAGCCTTGGACCAACGTGTATGGACAGTCCTGCTGGCTTGTCCAAGCTCTGTCCATATCATCCCCAAAACAGTGGTGCCTTGCCCCAATCCCTGCCCTTAGGCCAAGGAGGGAACAGTTTATGGATCCAAAGAAGAGAGTCCTGCAGGTCCTGGGAGCAAGTTCATGGCTGTCTGGACAGGAATTCCAGGGTTCTGGGTAACTGGAGCATATTCCAGAAGAGAGGTGAGGTTCCTTGACCCCGCAGACTCCTCACACTGTGGGGAGAGGTGCAGCTGAATGGGGAGCAGAGTGGGGTCCTCTAGAGCTAGGGGTTCTCTTGCCTGGGTCTAAGGGGAGCACTGCAAAGGGACTATAAGATCCCTGGAAGAAGTGAACTGTGTGTGTTCATTCATTGTTAGATCATTGGCTCTCAACCCAGTACCTGGCACCCGCTTCATGCTCTATGAGTATTTCTTGAAAGGACAACCTCTGGAGCTCATCTAGTGGGCAGCTTCATAGGTAGGAGAACTGGGGAAAAGAGAACATTTAGGAAAAAAGCGGTGTCAAATGCCAAAGGTGTGCTCTGCAGAAGAAAGGGTCCACAGGGCAGTACCTTCGATAGTGATAGAATTTCCAGGGAAGTAAACTTGGGTTTCACTATTATACAAACTTTCTATCAAAGCTGTCCCAAGATCTTATAGGCTACCTTAGAAGGAGGATCTTATGGGGACTGGAGACTAGATAATCCTCAAGATCCTTTCTGAGCTCGGGAGTTGGAATTCATAAATAAGGTCACTTTGGGGTCCAGGAGATTTTTAATCTGAGCAAAAAGGGATGATCCCCTCAGCCTCTCCAATTCAAGGGGTCATCTCATCTCAGGACATCCAGGCCCAGTAAACATGTTACATGGCATATACAAATATATCTTCAGCAAAGATTGGAGAGAACAGTCTCTGTCCTGTGTTCATAGAAATCCTAAGGTGTTGCCAGCCACATTGTTGCTGCAATTGTAAATTTTCACCATGCACACACCATGATGGGAGAGCAAGCCCTTCATGGCCAATAGGCAACAGACACCATTATGGACCCAAGGATACAAAACCATCCTGGGAAAGGGGGAGCACAGTTACCTCCAAGAGTTTTGAGCTTTCAGTTCCTACTTCTGTCAGTCCTGATCCTACTTAAATTGGAAGCTCCAAGAACCTTTTCTTCACTCAAGGCTCTTACCAAAGCTCTAATTCTCTATTGGGAGATAAGGTAAGGATGTTAAAACCCCACCACAGGGTTACAGGCTCTTTCACAGGTATAGCTATCTTACATGTACAAACTTGCTCACGCATAAGCACGGATACAACATTGAATGCATCTGTCTCACTTTCACGGGCAGAACTGGGAATGAGAGGAGGGGAGATGCCTGTGTTTTGACAGTTGTGAAGCAGTTCTCTAATCAATTGTTTGTGAGGTTCTCTACACAGTGTTGTTTGTAGTAATCCTTCACTTACCAGTATCAGCTTGGGGTGAGCTGACCAATTTATTGGATGTGGCTTCTAGCTGAGGCCCCCATTGAGAAAGTTACTTAAGGCTAGCAGGGCAGGAAGTTATGAAATATGGATTTCAGAAGAGGCTGGGAGAGAAAAAGGAGAGATACTGGGACTCTCTCTTTCTCCTCTCTTTCTGCCCCCTTTTCCAGCTGGTATGCTGGAAAAGCCCAGCTGTGGCCTGTGAGATGGGGGAGGGAGAGGAGGTTGGAGGGAGAGGAGACACTTAAAGGAGTGTGGGAATGAGCGAGCTGCTGCTTGTTTGCTGGGAAGGAAGCCAAGTTGGAAGTGAGCCTGGATGTAAAGGAGCTGGCAAGAAAATACTGTATGGCCCAAGCTGCATACCATCCCCCTCCTGAGATGCATCAGGTATAAGCCAGAGTTTACATGTGCATATAGTACACATTTGATACCTCCTTCTGTGTATGGTAAAAGCAAAGGTGAGGTGTACCCAGGGCTGACTGTCTCATGACGAAATAGCACAATTGAGTAAGTTACAATTTGAAATCCAGGTAGATGCAAATTGTCAGGGAAAGAAAGGGGGGAGTTTCCAAATATAGGTTCTATCCAACTCTGTAATCCAAGAATGACCTCATGCCCCACAAGGGGGACACAAGGGCCCCAGTCCTGAACCCAGCGAATTGTACTCATGAGGATTTTTGCAGGACCTGTCCATAGAGGGGTTGAGAAGGACAGATCAAATTATTTTTCTCCTTCATGGAAAGATTGTTTTGGATGTGATTGAATAGAATCAACATCAATGTCTGAAAGAACCCTCTTGAAGCCACCCCAGTGGCTAGCATAGGGCTCTGCATACAGTAGGTACTCATTATTTGCTAATCGTTTCCCCTGCTACTTGCACATGTTCATTCCAGATTAATAGTGCTATCTTTGGTCCCTAGTATATGTGTGGTAGAAGACATATTTGTGTGTGTGTGTATAAACGAAAAGGCCAAGCAATGAGGGTATGGATGACCCCTTGCAATCTCATCCAACCTCATTTTCTGTTTCTATAATGAGAAATAGCAATGATTCTTGTCCTGGTAATCATAGTGATCATTATCTTGGCTTGAGACCATTTGGCCAGCATGCATTTCCTTATACTATTGCAGAATGATGGGAAGAACATGGGCTTTGAAGTCCAAAATACATGGATTTCATTCCCATTTGGGGCCCTTCCCAGCAGAGTGGTCTTGGGCAACTTATTTAACCTCCCTGGACCTAGATTTTATTGTTTATAAAACAGAGATAAAATACTGAATTTGAACATTTGTAAGGAATTGACATGATGCATTAAAGATCTAGGCACACAACAACTGCTAATTGAATGAGAGTGATATTTACCCCATCCCACCAGTGTGTCTCAGAGACCTGGAATGGAGCCCTCAGATCACACTGTTGCTTTTCCTACTACCCTCTCTCACTGGAGTCTTTAAAAAATCAGATGTCTAAGGCTATGCTTCCATCACAGTAAACCCCAAGCTGTTTTTGTGACTGACAATCAGGGATACATGTTTTGGACCAGCCTCTGTTTAGCACATTTTCTGCCTCTGTGTTGTCTGATTCAGCTGAACTCTGTCCTCTCTTCCTTGGATCCCTCACTCCCAACATAGTTGTCTTTATCCATCTCCATCATCACCAGGTCCCTGACAGATCTTTATTAAGCAGCACTCTCTGCTTGGCAGGAACTATGTAGAAAGACACTTTCCTGGACTTTGAGTACCTAGAGGTCAGGGGCAGACCATGCATGCAGACAAGCATGCAGAAGAAGTTGCAGAGGAAACAGTTGCCCAATATGTAACAGCAAGGGATTTGCATTGAGGGTCCTCCTTGGACGAGTGTTTCTGAAAGCCTGGGATGGGATGGACAGCCCCAGACAGACATGATTTTAAATAACGTTGATCCCCAGGTAAGAATGTTGTTCCCTTTTCAGTTTGCTCTTATGCTTCATGATTATATCTAGGAGAAAATCTCACCATAGTGATAATATATCTTTAACACCTTTCTAGTGGTGTCAGTCTGCTTTATAAACAAAGAAAGAAGGCATTAGACTCAGAGTCTTTGGACATGCACTATTTTAGCTAGAATTTCTCACCTTGTTTTGTTTATATTTGTATGTGTCTATTCTTTTTTTTAATGGGCTTAATTTTTTTAGAGCAGCTTTAGGTTCACAGCAAAATTGAACAGAAAGTACAGAGTTCCCATGTACTCCCTGCAACCCCACCATCAACATCCCATACTTTGGCCAGGTACAGTGGCTCATGCCTGTAATCCCAGCACTTTGGGAGGCTGAAGTGGGAGGATCGTTTGAGCCCTGGAATTTGAGACGAGCCCTGGAATTTGAGACCAGCCTGGGCAACATAGTAAGACTCCATCTCTACAAAACAAAACAAAAGCAAAAAAAATCCCACCAGGGTGGAACATTTGTTACAACTGACCCTACACTGACACATCATTATCACCCAAAGTCCATAGATTACATGAGGGTTCACTGTTGATATCGTACATTCTAAGGGTTTTGACCAATATATAGTGACATGTATCTACCATTATGGTATCATACAGAATGGTTTTACTGCCCTAAAAACCCACTGTGCCCCACCACCTATTCATCTCCCTGCTTCCACTCCCGATCTCCCGGCAAAATATTTGGCCTTTTCCAGGATGTCAGATAGTTGGAATTATACAGTGTGTAGCCTTTTCAGATTGGCTTTTTCACTTAGTAATATACATTTAAACTTCCTCCATGTCTCGGTGTCTTTTTGTAGTTGATAGCACATTTCTTCTTAGCGCTGAATAATATTCCATCACATGGATGTCCCAGAGTTTGTCTATTCTTTTTATGGCAAATGGTACCAGTTTTTTCATTTATGGCAGTGACAAAAAGTCTCCCTTAGAAATAAATTTATTGAAATAGAAATGTGAGACATTTAAAGGCAAATGTTAAGTTTGAAGAAAATAATAGTATAAATGGTACATGAATACATCAAAAAGTATAAGTGACTGAAGTTATTCTGACCTGGCTACAATTTAAAATAGTTTTGAAACATCTGTGGACATCAAGAAGTGCCTCAGGAAGGGGATGATACATGGAGTCCCAGGCTGTGATCCCAGGGTAGTGCCCTGGGATCTGCATTTTCAATCTCTGACTTTGAGAATTCCAAAGTAGGTGATTACTTCAGGAATACCGTGTATTAGTAGGAAATCAAGTGGGGAGAAGAAATGTGTCCACCAGACCTGAGGTTCTGGAACAAGGAACAGAGGTGTGGGCCCTGGAGGAGGAGAGGAGAGTTAATTGGGAGGGTATGATATAATCAAAAGTGCAAGTTCAGTCATTCAGTGCTGGCAGAGTTCAATTAATAAGAGCAAGATCTGCTATGAAGAAAGTGACTTTTTATTCCAAAGCTAACTTAGGGGAAGAAGTACAGGTTTCTTGCTTTAAGGGTACTACTTCGTTTTTAGAGCAGAAAGCAGGTGCTTTTAGAAGGGGTCTCAGCGTGAAAGGCACACAGTGGAGGAAGCAAGCAGGTGGAGGTCTGCATAACTCATTTCAGTGCCTTATCTACTGGATAGTCAAGCTGGTGACTGCTGGCACCTTCATGAGCAGAACTAGACTGCAAATGCGACTGAAGCTTTCCAGGTGGGAGAGAGTTTTGTAGTGGGCATACTTGGGGTTGTAGATTGACTGTTGTCTCTTGAGGCAACCTCCTGGTGGGTGAGTTCCACTCAAGCTTCTAAACACATAGTTAGGTGAACTTGCCCTGTAGGGAGAGCCTGATGAAGAAGAGGTAAAAAGCTGTAATTGCCTTTCTACAGGACTAAGTAGGAAGTGGCTAATAGGGGGAAACAGAGAAAAGAGAAAAGAAGAGGAAAAAATAATAAAAATAATAATTCATTCTCTTCTTTGTAGAAAAATGGGGGTGCTTGGCTACAACAGGACCATGTGACTAGGAAAGAAGAGGCATGTGTCACCCATGGCAGAGGTAGGAAGGGATGCCTCTTACATCTCTCTTCTCCCCTGCCTCAGGGATCTGAGAACTATGAGTCCTATATGGGATAGCTGCAAGATGGGAAAGTCTGACCAACATGGGCTCTGACATGAAGGAAATGCTAACTTTGATTGTGTTAAGACACTGAAGCTTGGGGGTTTGTCTGTTACCCAGCTAATGTTAATTTCCCTGACTAATACAACCATAAATTCCCACTCCTGAATTATGTTCTGAGGGTATTCTTGAGTGAAGCCAAATCTGGGGCTTGCTTCCCATTTCTCCCCATTTGGTTTCCTTCCCCTAGGTCCCAGAGCAGGGCAACAGATGGTACACAGCTCTATCCCTCACAGCTCACTAAGTCCCAACAATGAAGTGTTTTAGCTCAGGAATGACGTATCACTTTTGCCTACAAATGCCTGGCTGCATCTAGGAACATGGCTCTGCCTAACAGCAATAGGGGTGGGGAGTATAATCCTTCTGGGTACTGTCAAAAAGATGAAGGCTTTTTTTCCAGAGATGGGTGAGTTCTAGAAGTCTCTACCTCAATAAAGGTAGAGGGAGTGAATGAATGAGAAAACACATGGCAAGCTTTTAGAACACCACTTGACCCACATTAAGCATGCAATAAGTATTCCTAGTGATTGTTCTTATTTGCTCTTTTATAAAAAGAGGAGGTTGTGCTCTGGAATATCCACGCTGCTTCTACTTCTGCTGTCCTTGTTTATGCCTTATCATGCCCCAGTCACACCTGGGGCTGATATAAATCCAATTCCTCCTTCTATCTATAGCAGATGCCTCCCTAGAAGAATGTTCTAAAAACTGGACATTAAAGGCTGAAAAGGGAAAAGAATTTGGGAAATAGAAAATGAAGACTGTTCCTGGCATAAGGACAATGAAAGCAAGGAGTCAGAGATGCTTTTGGAGAAAATTAGCAAGGTTGATAAGAACACGGGCTTGTAGAGTCAGGCAGAACTGCTTTCAGATCCCATTGTTACTGTGCAGTAGATGTGTGTCCTTGGGCAAGTCACTTATAGACTCAGAATCTTAATTTCCTCCACTGTAGAATGGCAATGATAATAATAGTACCTGTCCCAGAGGTTGTTGTGAGGTTAACTGATACAATGAATGCAAAAATCTTAGCATAGTGCAGAATACAAACATACAATAAAATCACAAACATACATTAAACATTAGGGCTTGGTGTTTTTGTCTGACCTCACAAGCTCGCTATTGTTTTCTTCAAACTTTGAAAATTTCTGCCTTGGACTGTGTATGATTGCGGGCTGCTGACCTCAGAAGGAGCTGCCATAATATCATCTGTCAGGAGTCGATGAAACTAAATATACCCAACCATTGCCTGTAGCTAAATAAAATGATCTCACAGATATACTTACTATTTTTCAAAAGTATATGGAACAAACTCAAAAGCATCCTTCAATTTACTGTAGCTTGTCAATAAATATATTCTCAAAGAGATACTTGAAGTATAACTACAGTCATTTGAGGGTTTGTGATACTTTTTGAATATTAAAAATAGTCTAATTAGAGAGATTTTATAAAATAACTGGCCAGTACTTTCCAAAGTCTCAACATCACGAAAGATATAGAATGAAGGCTGGACATGGTGGCTCATGCCTTTAATCCCAGCCCTTTGGCTGACTAAGGCGGGAAGATTGCTTGAGCCCAGGAGTTTGTGACCAGACTAGGCAGTATAGTGAAACTTTGTTTCTACAAAAAATTTAAAAATTAGCCAAGCATGGTGGTACAAGCCTGTGGTCCCAGCTACTCAGGGGACTGAGGTGGGAGGATTGCTTGAACCCAGAGGCAGAGGCTGCAGGGAGCCATGATGTACTACTGCACTCCAGCCTGGGTGACAGAGCAAGACCATGTCAAAAAATTGTGTGTGTGTGTGTGTATAAAAGTGTACATACAGAATGATGGGGAACTATCTCAGATTGGAAGAGTCTAAGGTGATATAACAATTAAATACAATGTATAATCTGGATTGTATTCTGGACCACATAAAGGACATTAGTGGGACCCTTGGTGAAATTCAAATAAGATATGTAGATTAGTTAATAGTCTTGTATCAATGTTGAGTTCCTAGTTTGGGTCATTGTACTATGGTTACATGAGATTTAACCTTTGGGGAACTTGGGTGAAAGTCATATGAGAAATCTTTGTGCTATCTTTATAATTTTTTTTTTTTTTGAGACAGAGTCTCGCTTTGTTGCCCAGGCTGGAGTGCAGTGGCACGATCTCAGCTCACTGCAACCTCCGCCTCCCAGGTTTAAGTAATTCTCCTCCATCAGCCTCCCTAGTAGCTGGGATTACAGGGGCCTGCCACCACGCCCAGCTAATTTTTATATTTTTAGTAGAGACGGGGTTTCACCATGTTGGCCAGGCTGGTCTCAAACTCCTGACCTCAAGTGATCCACCCACCTCGGCCTCTCAAAGTGCTGGGATTACAGAAGTGAGCCACTACGCCCGGCCTATTTTTATAATTTTTAAAATAAGTTTAATGTTATTTCAAAATGAAAAGTTAAAAAATAAAAATAACTTAAAAGGGAAGAGGCTTTTCAGACTTGGAATAATTGTGAATTACCAGTATAGCAAAAAGAGCATAGATTTGCTGATTAGAAAAACCTGTATTAGAATCCAGGCTCTAGCATTTACTAGCTGTGTGGCTTTAGGCAAATCAATTAAATCCTCCGAACTTCAGTGTCCTCTATCTGTCACAGGGGGCTAATGAAAATAAATATCTCATAGAACTGTGTGGAATTTAAGAAGACAATACGTAGCACCGTGCATGAAATGGGCTCTTGAGAAGTATTAGTTCCCTTTCTGGTCTTTCCTTCCCCGTCTGTCCAAAGCGGATGATAAACATGCTTCGCGCAGTTCCTCAGGTATAAGTATACTGCATGCTTTGAGATTGACAAGAGGGACACCTGAGCAGTGCAGTGTTGAGGGGCCAGGAAAGTTTCCCCAATATGGGCCCTTCAGCATCTAAACAGAGTTAAGGATCATCAGCACAAACAGCATTGGCCATTATGCAGTGTTCTTGAACACTTCTTAACCTGACACCGCCAAAAAAGTGCCTTCGCACACTGAAGGAATGTGGGTTGTATATTTTTATTTATCCCATGGTGATCCCTCTAGGAGCCACAGATTTAAGCCTCTATGGAGCAATAAGAGCTTTCTAGTCCTGGGGCTGTGAGTTCTTTGACTGGTTTGGAAAACAAGTGCCAAAACCAGCCAGCGGCAGGTGAATGAGTGTAGGCAGCTGGTGAGGGTGTAGAGGCGTCCCTTCTGTTGTATGTGTGCTTGTGGGTAGGAGGGAGGGAGAAGATTGAGGGGTTGGGGGAATAGGCTGGGTCTGCATGAAATGCAACTTTTTAACACAGAAGAAAAAAGGCACTCCAGGGGTTGGCCCATTTGGCTGCTCCAGCCTTTTGTGCATCTTTGTTCCAGGGAGAACCCAGAGGGTCTGGTCTTTGCAAAGTCAATGCAGACATTCTGTGCAATACTTGCTGCCTTATTTCTGGATTTTGACATCCATTACGCATTTGCCTGCAAAAAAATAAAAAATCAGTTTGAGTATCAGAAAGAGTACGTGATGTGATTTCAAGGACTTTCCACCCCCAACCAAAGACCAAACAACAACAAAAAATCCACTTATTGGGAAGTGACCCTAGAGAAAGGTTCCTCCTAATTTAAATTAATTTTTATTCTTTCTACAAATGCAATTCAAGTAAAAAAGTGTGTCTTTGACATGAGGCTGGAATTTGCTTCAAAATAATCCAGTGACTATAAGTAAAACAAGACTGATTTTGCATGTCATTGCTGAAGGTGGGTGCTGGGTACATGGGGGGTTTATTCTGATTTTCTCTCTACTTTTATATGTGCTTGAAAGTTTCCATATTGTTTGGTTAATAAAAAGATTATAAAAATACAAGTATTAGGGCCGGGCGCAGTGGCTCACGTCTGTAATCCCAGCGCTTTGGGAGGCCAAGGCAAGTGGATCACTTGAGGTCAGGAGTTCAAGACCAGCCTGACCAACATAGTGAAACCCCGTCTCTACTAAAAATACAAAAATGAGCCAGGTGTGGTGGCACATGCCTGTAATCCCAACTACTCGGGAGTCTGAGGCAGGAGAATCACTTGAACCTGGGAGGTGGAGGTTGCAGTGAGCCAAGATCGCACCACTGCACTCTAGCCTGGGTGACAAAGTTAGACTCTGTCTCAAAAAAGAAAGAAAGAAAGAAAGAAAGAAAGAAAGAAAGAAAGAAAGAAAGAAAGAAAGAAAGAAAGAAAGAAAGAAAGAAAGAAAGAAAGAAAGAAAACAATTATTAAATAAGTTTCATGAACAGGCAGGAATTAACTGAGAGTAGACAAGACAGCTTTGGGCACAATTATGCTGAGGACCAGAGTCAAAGACAGAGAGGACCTGAGTGAGTCCCACCAGGTATTCACCAGTCTTGCTCAATGAGGGGAATCAACTTGATGACCTCTTAAGGGATCCTCCATCCCCCAAGGTCATGATTTAGAGATGAAAATGTCCTGTCGTCCATTTCCTTTCTGGTTCCCCTGGTCTAGTGGCAGCAAAAAGATCAGTGACCACTCAGTACAGGTTGAGTGAACACCACTGGGTGTCAGGCCCCAGGAGTGCAGAGATAAGATGGAGAGCTTGGAGTCTAGTGCAAGAAACTGGCGTGCTGAGAACAACCACAAAACATAATGAGTGCCGTGGACCAGGGTTGCATATGTTGTGCTAAAAAACCACACAGGAGGGGTGACTAGTGATGCCTGGGAAAGCTGGAGAAGGACCCCACGTGGACTTGCCTTTTAGTGGTTGAGTAAGAATGAGTAGGTGGAGTCAAGGCAGTTAAGAGAATTCTCCATGTGGAAATGTATGCCAAAATATGGCAATAAGAGATTAACCCTGATTCTCCTCATCAGAAATGTGTTCCTTCCTACTCAGCCTAATCCTGTCTCTCTCTCACCGCATTTCAAATTGCCCTCTGTGCTTTAAGACCCAGAATGCGGGGTAGGGTGCAGAGATGGGAGAGATGTGCTTACTCCTCTTTAGCAACTAGTCCTCTTAAGCCCAGCCTTTCTGTGGTTGGTCCTAATGACCTTTCTGTAATAGCAGCCTAGAAGTCTGGATGTGTTTGGAGGCACCTGCCTGGGAACAGTAACTCCACAAAGCCATCTTGGTTGATTGAATGGAGTTTTTCTCTGGAAGCCACCAGAGGGTCTGGAAGAAACTTTGTGGGTTCAGAAGCTTCCTTATCTTCCAACACATGCACAGCCACTAGCTCATGTTTCTATGGTGGGAGGGAAGAGTAGGCATTGTTTTCCTGATCTTTAGAAGTGAGAAACTGGAGGCCAGGCATGGTCGCTCATGCCTGTAATCCCAGCATTTTGGGAGGCCGAGGTGGGCACATCACTTGAGGTCAGGAGTTTGAGACCTGTCTGGCCAACATGGCAAAACCCTGTCTCTACTAAAAATACAATAATTAGCTGGGCATGGTGGCAGGCACCTGTAATCCCAGCTACTCAGGAGGCTGAGGCAAGAGAATCATTTGAACCTGGGAGGTGGAGGTTGCAGTGAGCTGAGATCACGCCACTGCACTCCAGCCTGGACAACAGAGTAAGACTCCATCGCAGAAAAAAAGAAGAAGAAGAAGAAACAAGGACCCAGAGAGGTGAGGGGACATGTTCAAGGTGGAAGGCAAATCCCTAAGCTGATATTTCCTATTCTTAGACTAGAAAATATCAGTGAATACATCTGCACCTTTCAGGAGAAATAAATTCTTCCTTTTTTCACCCCCTTTCCTGCCTCAGAGCTATTCATCTATTCACTTCCTACATATTAATATATTGCAGTAAAGGACTAATTTACCAGAATGTTTAGAGAATGGAAGCGATCAAAGAGAATGGGTGGGAGTTTATGGTTAATTTGATTTTCTAGTGAATTTGGGGCTAACCCCTGTAAGTTTTATTTCAGTTTTATTGTTGAAAGTCTTTATAAAATGTGAGGCTACTTGGCAGTGCATTTGAACATCGCCTCAATTTTTTTTTTTATGTTGAAGTGTTGTCATTTGAAGTTAGGCTCCGTGGTTAGAAAAGGCACAGGAAATGAAGTTCTAGCTTCACAGACCACAGGATATCTTGTAGAAGCTGGTGGGTGGCTTTTATTTAAACTGTGATATCAACTTGTTTTATCTTTCTCCCACACAAGGGGAATAAAATCTCTAGTTCATCCATTCTGCAAATATTTATTGAGCAGCTGCTTTGTGCCAGAACCGCATGAGGATTCTGGGTACCATGGTGAATTGGAACACAGCTCCTGTCTTCTTGGTGCTTTGCCAGTCTTGTGACTGCAGGGCAGGAATTAAGATATAGTATGGTAAGGACTGAGAACTGCTCAAGGTGCTGTGGGAGGGCAGGCTTGAGGAGGGTCAGGGATGGCTTCTCACAAGATGAGATATCTATGGTAGACCTGAATTTAGCCAAGATAAGAGAGTGGAACACGCTCCAGGTCGAAGGAGGAGCTTTTCCAAAAGCACAGAGGGGCTGGGCATGGAGGTTTATGTCTGTAATCCTAGCACTTGGGGAGGCCAAGGTGGGAGGCTGGCTTGAGCCCAGGAGTTCAGGACCAGCCTGGGCAACATAGTGGGACCCTGTCTCTATTAAAAAAACAACAACAAAAAAAGCAAAAGCTCAGAGAGAGGAAAGAAATGTCACCCCTGGGAGGAAGGGAAAGGCCCACTTTGCTTCCATACACAAGCACTCACTCATCCTCCTTTCTCTGCACACTCACCCTGGGCAGTAGAGTTGTGTCGACCTCCCTGGAGCATCTGCTGGGGCAGCTGAGTTTCCCTTGACTTGGGAGCTCCATCTGTGCAGGCCCTGGCCTAACCCAGCCTGGCTTCCACCAGGAGGCTGCCTTACTTAGCCCACTTGAGGAAGGGGGACACAGGAGTACCTCCATTTGGGGTGATCACTATGGTAACAATCACATCAGGTTGCTGGGGACTAAAACAGGTGGACAAAGGGGAGTACAGAAGCCCCAAACCCCTGGACGTGCCAAGGTCCCTCCAATGTGGTTGGCAAATCGGATCTCTTTCAAGACTCATGCATACTTTCATTCCAGATCTTTTACCTAGAGGCCATTTTCTGGACAGAGAGCCAAAAAAAAGTCAGAAATGCAGCACATACCCCATAGTTTTCTCAGCACTTGGAATTATCTAGTCCTTCCCATTATTCTGCATTTGCTCATACCTGTAGGGATCTGGTAGACGCACAACCAAGGAACTACATTTGCCTTTTTTTGTCCTTTTAAAATTAATCCCCAGGTGCCATCAGCATTATTACCACCTACCCTCATGTTGGAAAGGGTTAACAGGTTCTGTTATTTATAGAATAATGCACTTTGAGAAAGGGACCTTCCTTCATCTTTGAGATGAGTCAGTCAAGGTCTAGAGAGGTTAAGTGAGGTGTTTGTGTTACTGTCAGGCATAGATGCTGTGCTAGCCATAGCCATATCGTCATAAACAAAACGGACAAGGCCTCCACTCTCATGGAGCTTACCCTAGAAGTGAAGTCCAGCAGAACTGTGGGTCCTCAGCTCATGATAGTGGTCCTGGTGGCCTTGGCCCCTTGGCTGAACTGCACCAGCTTCTTCTTTTTATTATTTTAAAATTTATTTTATTTATTTATTTTTTAAAGGCTAGTCAAGTGAAGGAGTGGGGGTGGAAAAGGAACAAAGAAATTTGTAACTGGTTGTGGTCAGTTATTTGTAAATACCACTGCACTTGGACCAGCCAAGCTTCTTGGCATAGTTCTGCTTGTAGCTCTTGCATTCCCTCTGCTGATAAGCCTTCAGCCTCTCGAAAAGGGTTGACAATTTCTTGATCAACTTTCATGTCCTTTCTCCACTACATTTCTGCTTCAAATATCCAAGATGTTCTTTTCCTTGCGCGTGGTGATGCCTGGCATGCAGTGGGACTCCCAGTGGCAGTAATGTCTGTTCTTTGCATGTTTCCACTCTAGAAACTATTCACTCTGAATAAACAATTACAGTTGAGGTAAGTGCAATGGGCAGAAGTACAGCTATTATGCTCCAGAAATATAATAGGGTCCTTCAGGAGAAAACTATGAAATTGAGATTATTATCCCTTTCCCCTCCTATGGATTAGAGGCAGACTTGGAGGGTTGGGTAACTTGTTTGTTTGTTGTAAGACTGGGGTTTGGGTTCTGGGCTCCTGGCTCCAAGTTCAATGCTCTTTCTACGGTTTAATTAAGCATAATTAAATTTAGCAGCTATTTTTCAAGTACCTGTGATGTGCCAAGCATAGTGCTAGCCCTAGGAACTCAACAAATAAATATGGTTCCGTCTCAATAACTTTTCGGTTTAACAAGAGAGATAAGTGTGTGAGCAAATGATTGTCATAAAAAACCATGATGATGAGATGTTCCAATAACATCAGGGGCAGAAAACAGGGAGGGGCATGCTTAGATTGCATGAGTCAGAGGCCAGTGGCTTCCTAGACAACAGAACCTCTAGCTGGTGGTAGGAGCATGTGCAACAGCAGACCAGAGAGGTGGGGGAGAAGGGGCCCGCAGGCACCTGTCAAACAAGGTGGTCTGGTGTCACAGTGAGGTGGTGTGGCACAGTGTGGTGGTGTGGCACAGTGTGGTGGTGTGGCACAGTGGTGATGGTGTGGCATGATGAGGTTATGTGGCTCACATGATGGTGTGGGTAAGCAAGGTAGTGTGGCATAGTGTGCAGTTCTGGCATAGTGAGGGGGTGTGGCATGGTGAGGGGTTGTGGCATGGTGAGGGATGTGGCATAGTGAGGGAGTGTGGCGTAATGAAGGAGTGTGGCATGGTGAGGGGGTGTGGCACAGTGAGGGGTGTGGCACAGTGAGGGGGTGTAGCACAGTGAGGGGGTATGGCAGAGTGAGGGGGAGTGGCAGAGTGAGGGGGAGTAGCATAGCGAGGGGGTGTGGCATGATGAGACAGTGGCGTAGCATGTTTGTGTTGTGGCACAGTGTAATGCCATGGCATAGCATGGTCGTGGTGGTGTGGCATGGCGTGGCATCGTGTGGCATAGCATGGTTGTGTTGTGGCATAGTGAGGTCATGTTGTATCACATTATGGTGTGGCAAAGCAAGGTGGTGTGGCAGGTGAAAGAAATCCACTTGATGAGTGTCAGAAGACAGGAGGGCAAGGCCCAGAGGCCCCTGAGCATGTTAGTTTTTTGCCTCCACCCAGCTGTCCCTTGCAGTGAGATTGGGAGGAAAGCATCAGGCCACGACCTGACCCAGTGACCCTACATAATAAAGATTTTGAGCAGTTCACTCTGCTGCTTCTCACTGTTGAGAAAAATGTTAAATGCCCAGTGACAACCAGGCACTCCTGAGGTCTGACCCTAACCTTTTGGTCGAGCCTCCAGCCTTGTCACTTTAACCTCCCACCAGATACTCTGGCTAATCCCCACTGCCTGCATCTCCATATAGACTCCATAGCTCTCTGCCTTTCATTTCCATTCAAAGGCATTCTTCCCCCCTGAGGCCTCTTTTCCATCACCATTCCAAGCCCAGCCTCCTCCAAGCCCTAGCCTGTCACATGTCACCTTCTCCATAAAGCCTCCTTCCTGCACTTCACATCATCCCCAGCTGTGCTTCTGCAGCACACAGTGCAGGCCGCCTGCTCTGTTATCACTATGTACCTGTGAAACCTCCATTTCCTCCTCCCAGGTGAACGATGAGCTCAAGGGAGCTTGTTCCATGTGTCTAGTTCACCTTTATACAGAACCTTGTGCCTAGCAATCGCAGAGGCTCAGAAAGGTAATGTAATTACCACAATCGAAGCCAATTAGGCACTTAGATACTTTGATGGATCCACTGAAGAAAAACTTGTTTTTGTTTTCCTAACCAGTATTCTCCCCTTTCTGCTAAGACAGGAGAGGAGAGATCCCTGAAACTTATGTTTTTAACCATCTTGTGGTTAGTACATCATTCTCTCAGCCCTTTCTTCAGCACATTGCACGTGCACACTGAATTTGTTACTGCTCACCACACTGGGAATTAGTCACTGAACAATGACTAATTGCTCTCAAGGAGCTTACCTTCTTGCTCTCAGATGCAGAAACCTAAAGACACCAGACAAGCCCAAACTGACCGATAGTTGGCAAAATCACTGATGTCTTCTCGGTGTCAAAATCCTGAAAGACAAGAAAGACTGAAGGACTGTGATATATGGCAGCAGGCCAAGGATAAACAACAATGAAGTGCAATGTGGAATTCTGGAACCAAACCAAAAAAATAGGATGTTAGTGGAAAATTGATCAAGTTTGAATGGAGTCTTTAGTGTGTACCATAATTTCCTGATTCTGATCATTGTGCAGTGAATATGTCTAATGTTAATGTTACAGGCAAAGGGTCCTGATCCAGACCCCAAAAGAGGGTTCTTGGATTTCTAGCAAGAAATAATTCAGGGCAAGTCCATAGAGTAAAGTGAAAGCAAGTTTATTAGGAAAGTAAAAGAATAAAGAATGGCTACTCCATAGAGCAGCCCCCAGGGCTGCTGGTTGCCCATTTTTATGGTTATTTCTTGATGATATACTAAACAGGGGTGGATTATTCATGCCTCCCCTTTTTAGACCACATAGGGGGACTTCCTGACATCACATGGCATCCGTAAACTGTCATGGCACTGGTAGGAGGGTAGCAGTGAGGACAACCAGAGGTCACTCTCATCACCTTCTTGGTTTTGGTGGGTTTTGGCCAGCTTCTTTACTGCCACCTATTTTATCAGCAAGGTCTTTATGACCTGTATCTTGTGCTGACTTCCTATCTCATTATGTTACTAAGAATGCCTTAACCGGCCAGGCACGGTGGCTCATGCCTGTAATCCCAGCACTTTAAGAGGCCGATCAAAGGGTGGATCACCTGATGTCAGGAGTTTGAGACCAGGCTGACCAACATGGAGAAACCCCATTTCTACTAAAAATACAAAATTAGCCTGGTGTGGTGATGCATGCTTGTAATCCCAGCTACTCGGGAGGCTGAGGCAGGAGAATCACTTGAACCGGGGAGGCGGAGGTTTCAGTGAGCTGAGATCACGCCATTGCACTCCAGCCTGGGCAACAAAAGCGAAACTCTGTCTAAAAAAAAAAAAAAAAAAAAAAAGAATGCCTTAACCTCCTGAGAATGCAGCCCAGTGAGTCTCAGCCTCATTTTACCCAGCCCCTATTCAAGATGGAGTTGCTCTGGTTAAAATGCCTCTGACATTAACATTAGAAAAGACTCAATGAGGGATGTATGAAAACTGTATTTTTGCAACTTTTTGGTAAGTCTGGAAGTAGTTCAAAATAAAAAGTTAAAAAAAAAAAAAAAAGAACCCTGTGCCTAATCCCCAATTCTTCTCTGTCTTTACCGTCACCCTATCTCCATCAAGGGCATTTTTCTTTTTTCTTTTTTTTCCCCTTTTTTTTTGAGACGGAGTCTTGCTCTGTTGCCCAGGCTGGAGTGCAGTGGCACCATCTCAGCTCACTGCAACTTCCGCCTCCCGGGTTTAAGCAATTCCCTGCCTCAGCCTCCTGAGTAACTGGGATTACAGGCGCCCACCACCACGCCCGGCTAATTTTTGTATTTTTAGTAGAGATGGGGTTTCATCATCTTTGCCAGGCTGGTCGGCATTTTTCAAACACCGTGTTCTTCTATGGCTTCTACTCTCTGGATAAAGAGAAACGGATGGATTCAAGAGATGTTTATACTGCCACCATCTCAGTTCAAGCTACCCTCCTCTCTTGCTCCTGGATTACTAAGCCTTTGTTTTGACTTCCTGCTTTCATTTTTATTTTCTCCATTCTATTTTCTACAGAATTGCAGAGTGATTGATCATTTTTCACCCAAGTCTGCTTCTCAAAATTGGCTTTAAATTCTTCTGTGGATCCCCTTCTCTTAGAATGATGCCACCGTTCTTTGACTTGTTTTACAGGGTCATTCATAGGCTGCTGTATTAGACCATTCTTACACTGCTATCAAGAAATACCTGAGACTGGGTAATTCACAAAGAAAATAGGTTTAGTTGGCTCATGGTTCCACAGGCTGTGCAGGAAACGTGGCTGAGGAGGCCTCAGGAAACTGACAATCATGGCAGAAGGTGAAGGGGAAGCAGGCACATCCTTACATAGCCAGAACAGGAGGAAGAGAGAAAAGGGGTGGTTGCTATACACTTTTAAACAACCAGACCCCGCAATAACTCACTCACTACCACGAGAGCAGCACCAAAGGGGAAATCCCCCCCATGATCTAATCACCTCCCTCCAGGCCCCACCTCTAACACTGGGGATTACAATTTGACATGAGATTTGAATGGGGACACAGACTCAAACCCTATCAACTGCCCTCTGCCTACCTCTCTAAACTCATGGCCTACCCTTACCTCCCACCTCTCATTGTATCTTCCTTAGGAATATTGAACTTCTTTCAGGTTCAAAGGAGCCATGCTCTCTTTTGCCCCAACCTATGGACCACTATTCCCTCTGCTTAGAAGCTTTCATCTCCTTACTTATGCCCTTTGCCCCCACCTGGTTAATTTCTCCCATCCTTCAGACCTTTCTGGCACACATGTGTGGTGTTCCTCCTATAAGCTTCAGCAGATCCCTACACTCAGACAGTGATCACAGCGCTCACTCCACTGCATATCATCACTCTGTATTCCCCTCTAAACTGTAATCCCCATAAGGGCAGGTGTTGTGTCTACTTCAGTATTTTGCAGAGGCTGGCACACTGAGGACACTCAATGAATTTTTGTTGAATGAATGAACCAACATTTTAAAGCATTAACTATATGCACAAAAACACCCAAGTTCCTAGCTATGTGTGTTCATGAGGGGGTGGTGGGTACCAAAGAAGCAGAGCTTGCCTTTGATGGGGTGTCTGTGCGTGTGTGGGTGGGTGGGGGTGGAGGGCTTAAAATCGATTCAAAATGTTGCTTGACATAGAATGACCAACTATTCTAGTTTGCCCAGAACTGACAGATTTCCCAAGATGTGAGACTTACAATGCTAAAATTGGGACAGTCCCTAACAAACCAGGACAGTTGGTCATCTTACAAGAATGCTCCAGCTAACTACACTGTAGACTGTTAAGCCCGAGAGACAACACTCAAATACTGAGTGTCTGCTTGCTGAGATGTCAGGAAGCACTTGTTCATGATTGGTTGATAGGTGCCTGTTTTCACACTCTAGGGAAAAGCAGACATCAGCTCTTTGCCAGGCTGCTCAGAGATAAGGAGGTGTGATCTCGGAGACCCTCCTATTTGATTTTACATGGGGTGGGTGGATTTAAGAGGTTAGTTCTCTAGCATAGAGCTTCTCAGGCTTCAGTGGAGAACAAGGCTGGAGTCCTTGTTGAATTGCAGATTCTGATTTCTCAGATCTGGGGTAGAGCCCGAAATTCTGCATTTCAAACAGGAATCCAGGCTCATGCAGGTACTTCTAATTCACAGATCACACTTTGAGCAGCAAAGGGGTCAGTGGTTCTCATTCTTAGCTGGCATATTAGAATTATCTGGGAGGGTTTTCCCAATGCCCAGCCACAAAACCAGACCAATTAAGTCAATCCCTAGGGGTGGGACCAGGCATTGGTATTTTTAACTTTCCCTAGGTTATTCCAATGTGCAGACAGGGTTGCAAATCCCAGGAAGGGGGAAGTGGAGAAAAATATAGCTTGATGATAAAGGCTGATTGATTGGTCCAGATGGGCTAGGCTGTGCTGTCAAGAGATTTATTGGAAGTAGAATCAGAAATCTAAAAGAAGTAGCTTATTTTGGAAAGCCTCGAGGCAAGATTCTTAAAAAAAAAAAAAAATCAGGGTATAATAGTTTGTGTTCTTTGGCCTTTTAGCAGGGAATCAACAACATCCCCTGAACCCTTGCTCGATGTGTAACCTTGGGGAGAAGAAGGGGCCGTGCTTTTACAGTATTCGTGGGGAGAAAGCAGAGGCCCTCCAAACCAGCAAACCACAGGTTTCACAGACCAAGGGATCTACACTGGACCTCCCACTATTCAGCCTTTCTTTTGTTTCTTTACTTGTTGATGTTTCCTAGCAGCTGTTCCCAACTTTTCTCATTCACATGAAGTTGCCATCCTCATTCTCAGCAGATGACCTTGCCTTCTACATTGCTGAGAAAATTGGGTTCAGCCGTTCACATTCCAACATCTTTCCCCTTCTGCTTGCCATCACTGCCTCTTCACTCCTGTAAATATCTATTTTTACCTAGACTCTCCCCTTTCCTATCTGAGAGAAAGAAGCACCCGGCCTCCTTCCCAGAGTGCTCTTTGTCCCAGCTCATTCCAGGATTTTCCATCTCCACGTGGACTTGGCTCCATCCATTACCACCTCCGCTCGCACCCACACAGCTCACTGTGGGACACCTTCAATCACTTCCTCTTTGCTGGCTCCCTCCCCTCTGCATGCAGGCAAGCCTTTAACACCCCTCCCTCTTTCATCTCCTTATGCCTACTCCTATTTTCCAATCTTGCTTCCACCTCCCTCACTGACTGAAACAGTTCCTTGGAAGGTCCCTGATGCCCTCATTGTAAAAATAAGGGGCCTTTTAGAAGCCCTGCCCTCCTTGATTCCCCTGAACATTAAGTATTCTCAATTTCCCATTCTTGCCAATATCAATTCCTCTCTTGGTTCTGTCTTTCATAAAGTCCGTGTGTGGTGACCATGAGGACTGGCTGCTCCACTCCACCCTGCTTCTGGTGAAGTCTTAGCCAAACTTTGGGCCCTTCCCCATTTGTGAGTCATGAAATCAATTCTACGAGAGGCAGCCGGCGTTCTCCTTCTCCACCCACGCCCCCACCATGAAATTCAGTAGAATAGGATAGGAAAAGTCAGAGTACATTATGTAGAGGAAGAGCAAGTATTGTCACATGTTTTTTTGTTTGTTTGTTTGTTTGTTTCTGTTTTTGTTTTGCTGTGGATGAGTTAAAAAGTTGGGAAGTTTCTGTTTTAGTTTGTCTTTCTGTACTGCCAAGCTGGGAAGTAAAAATGCCACTTCCCATTCCTCTATAACTAACACAACATTTCCAAAATCATAGTAAGACTATCTTCTGAAAACTGAGCTCTCTCCCAAATTCTCTACATTGCTAATGGTTTTGCCAGGGTTCCCATCAGTCCCCTCTCCCCTGCCCCATCCTCTGTGGCTTCTTCCTCTGGCCCCATCCATACTGGATCAATTCTCACTAGGTCCCACTCTGAGATCTCCAGCATTCATTCCCTCTCGTGATTCTCCTGCCTCAATTGCAGTTACAGATATTACTATTCATATCCAGATAGTACTTCTAGCTACTCTTCTGGCCTCTAGTTTCACAAAGTCCCCCGACTTCAGTTACAATCCTGATCTGTCATTTACCAGCAGCTATATGACCTCAGGAATGTTGTTGGACATTTCTGAGCTGCAATATCCCTATGTGCAAAGTGAAACTATTTAATATTTTTCTCACAGGGCTGTTCTCAGAATCAGAGGAATATGGAGATAAATATATATATACACATATAAAGCTGGATAAAGGATACACAAAGGGACTAGCACAAGTTAGGAGCTCAGATATTAGCTTCCAGCCTCACAATGTGTCTGACGCTATTATGGACTAAATGTTTGTGCACCGCCCCCAGCACCCGGATCATATGCTGAAATCCTAACCTCCGATGTGATGGTATTAGGAAGGGTGGGGACTTTAGGAGGTAATTGAGTTTAGATGAGGTCATGTGAGTAGATTCTCCATGATGGGATTAGTGTCCTTATGAGAAAAGCAAGAGACTAAAGCTCTCTCGGCCATGTAAGAATACAGCAAGAGGGAAGCTGTCTGCAAGCTAGAAAGACAGGTCTCACCAGAACCCAATCATGCTGGCACCCTGATCTCAGATTTTCCAGCCTCCAGAACTGGGAGAAATAAATATCTGTTATTTAAGCCACTCAGTCTATGATATTTTGTTATAGCAGCCCAAACTAAGACAGATACCCCACTAGCAAATCTTCCATGGCTCTCTATTGCCTGCTGAATGAAATATCTCAACTCTGGTCCTTGTCCTTTAAGAATCCCTCAACTTGGTCACAGCCTGCCATTTAAGCCTTCACTTTCCACCAGTCCCAGTCCTTTGGGACAGGGGGACAGTTCACCATTCTTCCTACAGACATGTATGCTCCTGTCCCCATGCTTCTTCCTCAGTCAGTCCTTTCTGCCTGCCCCACCCTCCCCACAGCCCCACCTTGCTCTCATGCTTGTCACTACAGCACAGTCTTGCTGAAGGTGATCACAAGAGCCCACCTACCAGCTGGTGGCCCCACCCAGGGCCTGGGAAGGAACTAGACTGGAACCCAGGAGCAGCAGGCATCCTGGAAGGGAGGGTGTACCGTGCGGCCACACTTGGCAATCAGTTCCCTGGGCCAGGGCAGAGAAGGTGGCATGTGGGCCTTTCTGCAGGATCATAGAAAACAAAACCTCAGCCCCTCCTAGGGGGTCTCTGAGTCCTCACTAAGACCCAAGTCCACTCATTCCTCCCACAAGAATGAACTCCAGAATCTCTCTAACATACCTACCCCATTCCCACTTCTCCATGCAGGTTCACACCCCTTCCCACCATTCCTGCAGGCATCCTAGGCCCATCTCAGCCACCCCTAGCAACCTTGCCAGTCCCTCTGCAGACCTGTCCTCAGCCCCAGCCCAACCATCAACAGGACACATGCCGACTGGAGCACAGAAACATTTTTGCACCCAAGAGGGTCTTCTCTCCTCCTTGGAGACAGGCAGATTTGGGTTCAACCAGCTGCCTTCTCTTGTTCCAGATGAGTTCTCCTGTTGGCTCCCATCACCCCATAGAAAACTGATTTTCAGTTTTCTCCTCTTTCAAGTGGAGAGAATAACAAGAACCTGGTGGGTCGTTGTGAGGAATTAACTGCAGTTAAAGTTCAGCACAGTTCCTGGTACCCTAAGGCCAGAGGGCTCAAACTGGGGGCTCTCAGAGGGCATATGGGCAAAGATACATTTTCTTTGGCCTAGTCTGGCTATGTAAACAAATGTTTTAAAATAAAAAGTTCTACACACACATACACACTTCAGATCGGACTCCTCTTGAAAAATGGGAAGATCCAGAATCAATGGGCTGCTTCCTCCCATGAGGCAATTATGGGCCACTGCTGAATAGTGGTTGCCCCTAATGATGAGTTTGCCACAGTCATCTCCAACCTTCTCATCTGACCCTCTGGGCATATGGCTGATATTTAATATTGCCGTAATATTGCAGTCCTTCTGTGCTGGTTGGTGAGCAGCTGCTATCTGGGATTCCACCATCCTGGCTGCTCCAGTCCCTCCCTGGGACCCCCAAGACCTAATTAGGATTCAGCACCTAAAGGGTTAATTCCCAGCCCAGTAGGGGAGACCCTGGGACTGTGCTACTTGGTGGCTGATGGATTGGTGTCTATGCAGGTCCAGTTGTTAAAGATTTAGAGTAAGATTCCCATCGGGAGGCACCGGTGTTGCTGTCCTCCATTCACTGCTTCAGTCCTCAGCTTTGAGAACAGGATCTGGTGCACAGTAGGTACTAAGCCTACTAGGACTTTGACTTTGTGGACTGAGTTTTGCCTTATGCCCTTAAAACCATTAGTTTCCTCTCCTTGGCCTTGCCCTCCCCTTCCTTTGAGGCTAACAGAAGAGGGCCCTCCCAGATGCTACCCTTTGCACAGCTCTGCCTCTCCCCAGGCTCAGTCTGCATCAGCAGTGAATGTGGGTGGGGTCTGGGCGGCTCCCTTGGCTCAGGCTCAAGCCCCTGTGGAATAGGCAAGCAGGCCTCTTCTAGGAGCCATGGTTGAGGGATGCAGCTGGTGCCTTTTGCCTTGTGGGTAGCCAAAGTACAGTCATTCACGAGAGACCGTGGGTGTAATCAAAACCATTTTATTTCTCAGACAATGGAAACAAACAGAACAGCCATCTCAGTCAGGACATGGAAGGACCAGCAGGGAGCAGGCAGATTGGAGGAGCTGCAAAATGGTATAAACTAATGGAAATGATTCTGCTGGCACTGCTCACTGCCTCCTCCGAATAGTTCCAGTGACTGCTTTCCTGGGGCCCAGCCACTCAGAGAGGGTAAACGCTGGGGGATCCGAGGAGAGTGAGGGGAGGAGGAGGAAGAGGGACTGACTGACAACTGGGCGTAGTTCACAACCTGGACATTTAACTTTCCAAGCCAGGGGGCTTCGGTGTGAGTCTTGTGCTGCCCCTGACTGGCTGTGTGACCTTGGACAAGGTGCCTCACTTCTCTGGGCCTCAGTTTTCATATCACTGAGTAGACTGGGGTAGTGCAGCATCCAAGGCCCTGCCAGCCTCTATTCTGTGGCCCCCACATATTGTTTTATATACTATACTTCCCTTGTCCCTACCCCAACACTGTATTTTCTCTGTTGAAATACTTGGCTCATAGACAGCTCTGTCTCCTACAGCCAGGAGCTCATCCTCAAGGGTAGGGACCACTTCCTTTCCCTTTTTGTCCATGAAGTCCTAGGGGCATGGGAGATGCTCTGTCAACCCTGGGAGGCTGGACCAAGGGTAGGCTAAGACTGTTGCAGGTGGCAGCCCTGGGGGGCTACTGACAAAGGCCAAAGGAAGAGTAGGTGCTGGTGGAATTAGGTGAAATTGCTGGCTTGACTGGATTTGGATGGGGTTTGTTGACTCAAGCCTGGAACACCCCAGGCCTCTTCCTCTCCCTTCTCTAAAGATAGCCTCAGAAGGCTGCAGGAGGAGAGCCAGGGAGGCCTGTGTGAATTCCTGGTGAAACCGAACTGCCAGCCCTTCAAAATCACTATGGGGTTTATATTCTTGTGTCACCCTAAATTCAACAACAAACAACACTCAGATGGGGAATTCCACCCCCACTCCCTCCCAGCCCACTCCGAGGTCCCTCATTCTGGCCAGGAGAGCTAAGACTGGTTCCAAGCACCCAGGCTGTAAAAGGAATCTGGCAGCAGGCTTTGTGGAAAAGCTCCAGGGATTGGATGGGTCTGAACAGCAGCCCCACCCTCTCAACTTCCTGTTTCTTTTGTTTGGGGCGAGGGCTTGGGAAGAAAGGCTGCAGGGGAGGTTTGGGAAAGGGAGAGGCGGATAACGGCTGGAAATTCAGCTTCTCCAACCCAGGGACTTGAGGGAAAGGGGGTGGGTGCTGGGGAGGAGAGCCCAGCAGGGAGGGAGCCAGCTGCTGCTTGATTTAAGGAGTTGTTTTCCAGTCACCCCAGCAGGAGGCCCAGAGAGATGGTGGAAATTAAGTGCTTAAGTCCCCCGAGGCTCCATGGTACCTTATTGCCCTGGCTGGGTCCTGGGTGATAATGGGATCTCCTGGAGGGTCTCTATGGGATCCTTGCTGATGCCAGCCTTATACTTGAGAGGCCCCAATAAAACCCAAAGCCCTAAGTCAGTGCCTGCCCCATAGAAGGCACATGAATGAACGAATGAACAGATGGATGAATGACCAGGAGGGCAGATGAGGATTTGAAAAGGATTGTAAAACTGCCAGACTCCCTGTGTTAATGCCACTTTCACTCTTGCTGAAGAAAAACACTTCTCCACTGAGCAGCCAAGAGAGAAAAGCGTGTTTTACAAGAGGAGGGGAAGGGTAGAGGAGAGGAAAGAATGAATGGATTTTGTGTTTTGACATATTTACTAAAAAATGTGGAAACTGCTCAGCACCTGCTAATTAGAGTCAGAGCAACCTGCACTCCCTGTGATGTGCAAATGCCAAGGCAGTGGGAGCCTGAAGGATGGGTGGATTTCCCAAGGGGATTATGGGCTTTTTCCCAATGGAGGAGAGAGGACCATGGGAAGTAGGAGGGTGGAGATGAGGAGCAGAGGGAGGTGCAGAGAAGGGCATGGCCATTGAACACTACACCTTGGATTTCTTGGCATATTTCATTTACTGTCTTCTCCCATAGATGCCTAGAATGACAAGACTGCTGTTGGGTGCCAGGAAAGGGGGGATTGGTGACTAGGTCTGTCCTCTCAAACTACAGATCAGGAACTGCAATCCTGAGGTCAAAGACTGGTCCAAGGCTCCCCTTGCCTTTTTTCTAACTCTCACCTCTCTTAGGAATCTCTCCCATCTCCCCGCTCCTTTCTGTCCAACCTGGGACAGCCAAGAGGTAGGAACACAGGTCCTGGATTCAAACAGCCTGGGTCTCACTCTTCTTTCTCCAACTTGCTTGCTGTGCCTTTTGGGAAAGTTTCTTGGCTTTGGCTTTTTCTCTTGTAAATGGGAGATAATAAGAGCACTCACTTGGTAGGGTTGTGGTGAGGATTAAATGAGATGATACGTTTGAAGACCTTGACACTCAGTAACTATTCAATGACTGTGGGCTACCATCTTTGAAGACTTTGGAGTTCAAGAGCCATGAGTATCCTAGTTCAGCCACTGATTAGCTGTGTGACTATATGGGTCAGGATCTGTTCAGGAACACAGGCCATGCTAGATGGTTCATGTGGGGATTTTAACATCAGGAACTAATTATAGAGGTGGCAGTGGAGCTGCAAGTCCACGCAGGAGAGGCTGAGGCGGAGCAGAGATGGAATGTAGGAAGGCAGTGCCTAAGCTGGAGGGACAAAAGGAGGAGGTAGGTTACTAGAACCTGGGAATCCAGGGTTGATGGGAACTGCGACCACTGAGGAAGGGCTGTCAAGGTTTATGGGGGCTGGAACCAAGGAGGCAAACAGCCACTGTTGAAGCTACTACCTGCAGTTGCTACGTGGAGCTGGGAGGAAGGCGGCAGAAACTTCTGTGGTTTCTCCCTAACTCCCATCCTCCAGACTCCCACTTGGCTGAACCAGTTGGCAATGGTGTCTAGGTAGTGTAGATTGCCGGGGTCAGTGCTCTGGGAGAGACAGCAGAAGAGGACAAGGCAAGGAGTGACCACACAGCACCTGGGCAAGTTACTTACCCTCTTACACTACAGTGTTCTAAACTGCTTAAGAAAAAGTTGGGAAGGGGAGAGGATGCTTGGTATGATTGCTGGGAGAATTATATGACATAAGGCACATAAAGTCTATACCACAGGGCCTGGTCATAGCCAATAACTGTGGGCTCATCATGTTCCCTCCTCCAGGATCCAACTCCAGTCTTACCTCTTCAAGAAGTCACTGCTGACCTCTGTGATCTTAGACCACTTTGCTCATACTTTTATGAGTGTGTTTTTCCACATTGCAGTGCCATTTCTGATCAAATATCTGTCTCTTCCACTAGAGTCTGAACTTCTAGGAGTGTCTTCCTCCTTTTGGTGTCCTTTGCTCCTTGAGTGCCTGCCACTCAACAGTTAGAGGATGCAAACCCTGTATGTCAGCATACAACATGTAAGTGTTAAAAAACAGTCTCCAAGCAATGCTGTAGTTCGTGGGGTATGAATTTCTAGAAGTAGTAGGTCGCTAACCAAATTTAAAGAAGGGAAGGGAAAGACCACGAAAGAGATGTGAAGGTCAAGGAAAATGAGAAACACGAAGACTTGGAGAGAGGCACAGTGGCTTATATAAGGCCATATACCTTGGAAGCGTGTCCTGGCTTCTAAGCTAATGAGTGATTAAAAACTCTTTTTTCTTTTTATAAAGAATAACACATTTTCAGTGTGGAAATTTTAGAAAATTCAGGTAAACAAAAAGAAGAAAATAAAAATTATCCATAATGCCAACCCCAAAATAACTAAATATTTTGGAGTTTATCCACTCAGTCACATGCATATGGCATTTTTTTGTGTGTTTACTAAAGTAGTATCAGTCTGTTTCACAGCTTTTTAAAAACAGTAATGCTTGAAGAACTTTTCAAGACATCAAATGTGCTTTCACAGCACAAATTTTAAAGCTTCATAACAGTCCGCTGATCCATTTAACCAACACCTGTTATTGAAATTTTTACTTGTCTTTAATATTTTACTGTATTAGATAATTCTGGTACAAAATCCATGTAGCCTGATCTTTTTGCACATTGTCATTCATTCTTTTTTAACCTTTCTTTTTTTTTTTTTTCAAGAGGGAGTCTTGCTCTGTCACCCAGGCTGGAGTGCAGTGGCATGATCTCAGCTCACTGCAACCTCCGTCTCCCAGGTTCCAGCGATTCTCCTGCCTCAGCCTCCTGAGTAGCTGGGACTACAGCCATGCACTACCATACCTGGCTAATTTTTGTATTTTTAGTAGAGACGGGGTTTCACCTTGTTGGCCAGGCTGGTCTCAAACTGTTGACCTCAGGTGATCTGCCTGCCTCAGCCTCCCAAAATGCTGGGATTACAGGTGTGAGCCACTGTGCCTGGACTGTTTTAAAAATAATTTATTTGAAGCAGAATTGTTGGTCAATGAATCCCATTCACATTTTTACAGTTTCTAACAAGGGTTGCCAAATTGCTTTCCAGAAAGCTTTTTTTTTTTTTTTTTTTTTTTTTAAATCTATTTGCCTTTCCCATTTGCCATGGAGGAAGTGGTTTTGGGTGAATTTACCAACACTGAATCGATCTAAAGCCATTTTTCCAAAAACCAATTCATCAAATAACCAATTCACAAAATAGCCAGTTAGGAAGATAGAGTGACAGACAGACAGATAGAACAAGCCAAAGACAGACAGAACAGACAGAACAAGCCAAAGCCAATTCTTCAAACTACCAATTAACAGAGTAAATAATTTAACAAATGTACTGATTAACATAGTTGTAAAGATTTCTACTGCGCAAGAAGGTTTTCATGTGGTTTTTGGAGATCACCAACAAGTCTGAGTGGATGGGTTTTCATTTTGTTCTTAAGCAGGCATTACGGATTACTCAGTTTGTTGAAATGATGGGGCTTTGTGTGTGGGTATCTTTAATATTCAAAAAGTGTATTTCCTCATTAGACACCAGAATGTTGTCATTTTAAACAAAAATCTTTCGGTTTTTACTGATTTGTTTTGAATTCTTTTTTAATGTCATTTTCTGTTGCCACACTTAAAATTTTTATGAGTGTTCAGTGTTCAGCTACTTTCTCCATAGTTTCTCAGCTTAGCAATTGTCTAGCATTTTTTGGATTAATAACCAATTGACTTGTTACCTTTCCTTAGATACCTTTTTTTTTTTTTTTTTTTTTTTTAGACAGAGTCTCACTCTGTCACTCAGGCTAGAGTGCAGTGGTGCAATCTCGGCTCACTGCAACCTCCACCTCACTGGTTCAAGTGATTCTCCTGCCTCAGCCTCCTAAGTAGCTGGAATTACAGGTTTGTGCCACCATGCCCAGCTAATTTTTGTATTTTTAGTAGAGATGGGGTTTCAACATGTTGGCCAGGCTGGTCTTGAACTCCTGACCTCAAGTGATCCACCTGCCTCGGCTTCCCAAAGTTCTGGGATTACAGGCATGAGCCACTGTGCTTGGCTTTCCTTAATATTTTTGTATTTTATATATTTCTATTGTATATTGATCATTAATGTCTGTCATATTCAAGGCACTCATTGTACTGCTCATTAAAGTAATCTCTCCTAGATTTCTGTACTCTTTTTTGGCTGCCTGGAACAGTTTACTCTTTTTTGTCAACTCTTCTGCAAACTGCTACTAAGTCCTCAGATCCCAAGTATTCCTTGCTAGACATCAAAATGTCAGAATTTCATATTAGATGGTATTGTTTCCTCTGATCTCTTTAGTGTGCTGGTGAATGTCTCTTACATTTATTCAATTACATGCATTTTTAGCATTCATTTGCTAATTCCTCAGATTGTGTGTTAACCTCAATGCATTTCTAGCCATTAAATTGTTAAATTTTTATCATTTCTCCTGTAAAGAATTCACAGGATTGTTTTGGACTCCTGCGTGCCATTTTCTATCATTCCCATTTTTAGTCATTTGGGGCTTTCTTTTGTCAATTTCTCAATGGCATATCAGTTTCTATTTTAAATCCTTCTGATGGTTTCTGCCCTTTTCTTGCTTGGCGCATCTTCTGGGCTACTATTTGGAGCCAATTAGTGTTTGACTCTCTTAGTTAATTTCATATTTATAGCGAATCTGTATCCAGATTTGGTGATTCTAGTCTGTCACTGATACCTTCTTTTTTATATTTTGACCAGTTTTGTCTTGATTGTGAGCTATATAGATTTTCTGAAAATTGCTACCAAGTTGATATTATTATTTTTTTACAACATATAAATCATCTATGATTACTGGAAGTAGCACATAGCCATTTGAACAGTGGGAGTAGTTCTGAAGGTTCCCTTCCTACATCATCCCTCACAGTACTCCAGAATCCACAGGCTACTTTCAGTGTTGTTGTAAATCAGTAAATTTGGTACATTTATTGACTTATTCCATTAACGGGCTATTTGGAGAATCCATGTTTTAGTGAATTCTTTTCTGATAAAACAGCCTGCTTTCTTATGAAAGTCCTATTTTCTTGCCTCCTTGACAACTATCTCAGTTTTCCATTGCTGCTGTACTATTATAAATAGCTATAAACCAGGCAGCTTTAGGCCAGGCGCACTGGTGGCTCATGCCTGAAATCCCAGTGCTTTGGGAGGCTGAGGTGGGAGGATTGCTTGAGGCCAGGAGTTTGAGACCAGGCTGGGCAAGGAAGCAAGACCTCATCTCTACAAAAAATTTAAAAACTAGCTGGGCATGGTGGCCTGCAACTGTAGTCTTAGCTACATGGGAGGCTAAGGCAGGAGGATCACTTGAGTTCAGGAGTTGGAGGCTACAGTGAGCTGTGATTATATCACTGCACTCCACCCTGGGCAACAGAGCAAGACCCCAAAAAAAAAAGATGTTAGCATATCACCTTACTTTCTGGAGGCCCTAGGGAAAAATTCATTTTTTGCTCATTCGGGTTGCTGGCAGAACTCAATTCCCTGTGATTGAAGGAAGAAGTCTCTGTTTTCTTGCTGGCTAGCGGCTACCACATTCCTTGGCTCAAGGCCTTCTTCCTCCATCTTCAAATCCAGCAACAGCAGTCAGTCCTCCTCACATCACATCTTTCTGATCCACTCTCCTGCCTTCTTCCACTTTTAAGGGCCTGTGTCATTAGATCAGATCCACCTGGATGATCTAGGACAATCTTCCTACACTCAGCTGATTAGCAACCTCAGTTCCCCTTTGTCATGCAGTGTAACATATTCACAAGTTCCATGGTTTAGGATACGGGCATCTTTGGGGGGTCATGTTCTATTCTGCCTATCAAGCCAACATTAGGTATCATTCTTAAAAAAAAAAAAAAAATTACTTCAGCCAGGCTGTTTCAGGCCTCGATTTAGGAGAGTGACACAGGAGGCCCAATGATTGCTTTGGCACCATGTCACAAAAGTTTCCCCCACATTCTACGCCACGGTGGCTCCAGGCTGTGGTCAGTTCCTAAGGGTGTTGAGATGTGTCCTAGGGACGGGTCTCTTTCCAGGAGCTGCTAAATATAGGAGGATAGAAGCCCTCGTCACGCTCCTGAGGGAGAAAAGGTGAGAAGAAACTTGGAAGATTTTAAGAGAAAATGGGCTCAAAAGAGATTATTTTAGTGCAGGGAGACATGAGTAAACCTGGAGCAAGTGAGGAGCTGATTTTATGATTCCTATACTGCAGCTGCTGGGACGTGGGGCATGCATGTGTGATTTTCGTGGCACCTACCACATAGATTTCCATATATGTTGTGCAATTTCCATTCCCACTAGCAATGAAGAGTCTCCACAGCTTCTGCAACAATGGTATTTTCCATCATTTTAATGTGAGTCAATCCAGTGCGGTCATATGACATCTCATTTTGGTTTTAAATTCATTTTTTACGAGCACTGAAACTGAACACTTTTTCATAAATTTATTCGCCCTTTGGCCATCTTCTTTTGTGAAGTACCTGTTCAAGCCTTTTACTCATTTTTCTACAGGGTTAGCTGTCTCTTTTTGGTTTTTAAGAGTTCTTTATATGTTTTGAATTTCAGTTCTTTGGCATATATGCGTTTTGCAAATATCTTCTTCTATTCTGGGGCTTGCCCCTTTACTCTCTAAATTAAATCTTTGGCTGAGCTAATGTTCTTAATTTTATCAATTTTTCCCTTTATATAATTAATGGTATTTGTGTGTATGTAAGAAAATTTTGCCTGTCCCAAAGATCATGAAAACATTCTTCTTTGTTTTCTTCTAGAAGAGTTATGGATTTTCCTTTCACATTTAATCCATCTAGAACTGGTTTTTGTGTATGGGATTGGGTGGGTTCAAGATGCACTTTTTTTGGTATGGATATGCAATTTACACAGCAACTATTTATTAAGAAGACTAACTTTCCCTCACCACCCTACCATTTCACACTTGTCATAAATCAAGTAATTGTGTATCCGTGTATGTGGATCTATGTCTGTACCCTTCTCTATTCCACTAATCTCCTTCAATTTAATTCAATACCACACTGAATTAATTACTATGGCTATATCATTAGTCTTAATATCTGGTAGTTCAGACAGCTTTGTTAATCCATAGATGCATTTGGGGAGACGACCGTCTTTATATTTTATTAAATTTCTCTCAGCAAAGTTTTATAGTTTTCAGTATAAAGGTCTTGCACATCTTTTATAACACCTAGTTTTAAGTATTTTAAACTTTTGATGCTATTGTAAATGAAATTAATTAAAATTTTTTTCCTTTCTGTTTGCACTGATAATATAAATTGACCTTTTTTTTTGCACTGGCACGTATACAGAGCAGTGATTTTTATATTGGCCTTAAAATCAATAAATCTTGCCAAATTTGGGGGGTTTCGGGTTTTTAGTTTTTTTCTTTTTTCTTTTCTTTCTTTCTTTTTTTTTTTTTTAGACAGAGTCTTGCTCTGTCACTCAGGCTGGAGTGCAGTGGCTCAATCTCGGCGCACTGCAACTTCCACCTCCCGGGTTCAAGCGATTCTTGTGCCTCAGCGTCCTGGGTAGCTGGGATTACAGGTGTGTGCCACCATGCCCGGCTAATTCTTTGTATTTTTAATAGAGACAGGGTTTTGCCATGTTGCCCAGGCTGATCTCAAATTCCTGGGCTCAAGTGATCCTTTCGCCTTGGCCTCCCAAAGTGCTGGGATTACAGGCATGAGCCACTGTGCCCGGCCCCAAATTCAGTTTTTGATCACAATTTGTAGATTATTTTTTTCTATGTATATAATGTACTGACTACAAATAATGCAAATTTTATTCTTTTCTTTCCAATTCTTATAACAAGTTACATATTTGTTTTTATTGTTTTATTGAAGTGGCTTAAGACTCCTAGTATAATACGAATAGAAATCGTGATGTGTGCTGAGCATCTTTTCATTTCTGATTTCATGGGAAAATTTTCACTATTTCTCAAGTATTATTTTTACCTTAAGAGTTTTGTGGATACTCTAAAAGATCTAGAAATTCTCTTTTAGTCTGAGTTCACTAATAACTTTTTCATTCATGGGTGTTAAAATATTAAACCTTTTTCTCATTTATTTAGATGACCATATTGATTTTTCTCAGTTATTTTGTTTAGGGCATGAACTACGTTGATCGGTTTTCATTTGTTAGATAATTCTTGTGTTTTTGAACAAATCCGCTTAGTCCTGATCTATTGTCTATTTTATGTATCATTGGATTCAATTTGCTGATATTTTGTTTGTAAGTTTTGTGCTACATTCTTGGAAGAGATTGGCCAAAATCTTCTCTCCTTTTCATGTGTATGTCAGATTTTGATATCCAAATTATATTGGCTTCATAGAATGTAATATTCTCTATTTTTTGAGTTTGCACAGTATTGATATTATTTATTTCTGAAATATTTGGGATAATTCATCAGTGAAGCCATTTGTGCCTAGAGTTTTCTTTGTGTGAAGATTTTTAATTATATATTTAATTGATTTAGTAGATATACAGCTATTCAGATTTTTATTTTTTAATTGTTTTTTTTAAATTGTGCTTTTCTAGAAAGTTTTCCATTTACCTAAATTTTCTAAAATGTTTGGCATAAGGATATGTAATAGTCTATTAACTTCTTAGTGTCTGAAAGGTTTGCGGTGAATTTAATTTCTGATATAGGTAATTTGTGCTTTTCCTCTTTTTGTCTTGACGAGTCTTGTTAGAGATCAATTCATTTTTATTAGTCTTTTCAAAGACCAAAATTTGGCGTTGTTGACTTTCTCTAAGGTGCATTTGTTTTCTATTTCATTACTTTCTTTTTTTGTTGTTTTGTTTTGTTTTCTAATTCATTAATTTCTGATCTTATTTTTATGATTCCCTTCCTTCTTCTCACTTTGAGTTTAATTTGCCGTTCTTTTAAAACATTATTCAATGAATACTTAGATTCTTGAATTTCAGCCTTGTTCTTTCCTAATATAAATGTATAAAGCTATAAGTAAAGCTTTAATTGCATCACACATTTTTGATTTGTCATATTTTATTATTAAGGATGAAATTTTTCCACTGTGATTTCTTCTTTAACCCATGGATTACTTAGAATTTTATTAATATTCGGTGATATTTTAGGGTTTTTTTGTTATTGATTTCTAGTTTAAGTTAACATACTCAGAAAATTCTGACTGATTTCAGTTCTTGGGATTTTCTTAGAACTTGGTTTTTGCCACAATATATGTTCAAATTTTAGAAACATTTCACGTAGACTTGGAAAGAATGTATTAATACTTTTGTCATCATTGTGAACAGTGTTTTGTATGCATCTGTAGGTCAAGTTTGTGTCAATTTTGTTTTTCAGATCTTTCATATCCTCGTTAATTTTTTTGTCTGATCATTCTGTCAGTTATCAAGAGAGATGTGGTAAAGTTTCCCTCTGTGACTGTGGCTTTATCTGTTTCTCCTTTAGTTCTGTTCATCTTTGTTTTATATACTTTTAGTGATATGAAAGTTATATATAAGCCAATAATTGTTATATTTTCCTGACACATTGACCATACTGTCATTATAAAATCATTATCAATGAAAAAATTGACCACACTATCACACTATCATTATAAAATGGATGACCATATTCATTCATTACAGCATTAATCTCTCTGGTAGTGCTTCATGCTATAAATCTACTTTGCCTGGTATCAGTATAGCTACACAGTTTTCTTTTGATTGGTGTATACTAGGCATTTTTTTTTTTTAATGAGGCAGATTCTCATTCTGTTGCCCAGGCTAGAGTACAGTGATCAGAGCTCACTGCAGCCTCAAAATCCTGGGCTGCAGGAATTTGAGGCAAGGAATCCTCTTGCCTCAGCCTCCCAAGTAGCTAGGACGACAGGTGTGCATCACCACACCAGCTAATGTTTTATTTTTGTAGAAACAGGGGTGTCACAATGCTACCCAGGCTGGTCTCAAACTCCGGCCCCAAGCGATCCTCCCACCTTGGCTTCCCAAAGTGCTGAGATTACAGGTGTGAGCCACTCAACCCAGCCCTTTTCTTTCTACCTTTTGTGTCCTTATACTTAAGGGACATACAGTTGGGTTTTTATATTTTATCTAGCATGACCGTATTCGTATTTTCATTGAAGTAGTCCGTTTACATTTAATGTAATTACTGATATAGTTAGGTTTATATTTACTATCTTTCTATTTGTTTTCTGATTTTTTATTTGTCCTACCTGTTTTATGTCATTTTCTCTCCTTTCTTGCCTTCTTTTATATTAATCCAGTATTTTTCCCTGTATTAGCTTCTCAGTTATATGTTCTTCTATTCTTCTTATAGTGGCCACTCTTTCTTACTATGGTCCAATATAAGTTGATATTTTTCCCATTTCTGAAATAATCCAAAGACCTTAGAAAGTTTAAACCTGTCAACTACCTCAGGGTGTTTTTTGTTTGTTTGTTTGTTTGTTTTTTGAGACTGAGTCTCGCTCTGTCACCCAGGCTGGAGTCCAGTGGCGCCATCTCGGCTCACTGCAAGCTCTGCCTCCCAGGTTCACGCCATTCTCCTGCCTCCGCCTCCCGAGTAGCTGGGACTACAGGTGCCCGCCACCAAGCCTGGCTAATTTCTTTGTATTTTTAGTAGAGACGGGGTTTCACCATGTTAGCCGGGATGGTCTCGATCTCCTGACCTCGTGATCCACCCGCCTTGGCCTCCCAAAGTGCTGGGATTACAGGCGTGAGCCACCGCGCCCGGCCGGGTGTTTTTATTTTTATCATAGCATTTATTTATTTGTTTATCTTTGTTTTGTTTTCTTGTTTGTTGTTTTTCTGAGACGGAATTTCGTTCTTGTTGCTCAGGCAAAATCTCAGCTCACTGCAACCTCCACCTCACCGGTTCAAGTGATTCTTGTGCCTCAGCCTCCAGAGTAGCTGGAATTACAGGCACCCACCACCATGCCTGGCTAATTTTTGTATGTTTAGTAGAGACAGGGTTTCACCTTGCTGGCCAGGCTGGTCTCAAACTCCTGACCTCAGGTGATACAACTGCCTCAGCCTCCCAAAGTGCTGGGATTACAGGTGTGAGCCTCTGCACCCGGCCTATCATAGCTTTTAATTCTACAAATATTTAATCCCCCATAAGATGTCATTGTTATTGCTCTTTGCAACCAATATTCTATTGCATTTATACCAGATTTACTCTTTGAGTTGCCCTTCATTTTTTCCTGCATTTTCCACAAACAACTAGTAAACTCTGGGTGATGTCTCCACTCACTAAGAAGTGAACAAGGGCTCTAACGGCCCCTGGAGGGCAAAGCTGGGATGTAGCAGGAGTCACAGTGAAATAGAACCATAAGTCCTAGGTTCTGCCAGATGTGTGGTTTGAACAACTTATTTCATATTTCTAAGCCTCAGTTTCTTCTCTTAACAAGCCTCAGGATTGTTGGGCGAATCACGAGGTTAGGAGATCGAGACCATTCTGGCCAACATGGTGAAACCCCGTCTCTACTAAAACAAAAATTAGCCGGGCATGGTGGTGCACACTTGTAATCTCAGCTACTTGGGAGGCTGAGGCAGGAGAATCACTTGAACCCAGGAGGTGGAGGTTGCAGTGAGCCAAGATCGCGCCATTGCACTCTAGCCTGGCGTCAGAGCGAGACTCCGTCTCAAAAAAAACCAAAACAAAACAAAATAAATCAGGATTGTACGCCCCCTTGCCTTTCCTGTCTTGCAGGTATACTCAAGATTAAATGAGGTAGTAGATGTAAAAGCACTGTATGAACTACAACAGGGATTATAAGCTGATCTATGGGCTATGTGCAGGCAGCAGACATGTTTTCTTGACCTACAGAGAGCTTTCTTTCTTTTCTCTTTCTTTTTCTTTTCTTTTTTTTTTTTTGCAAGCTAATATTAAAAAAAAATATTTCACATAAAAATACAAATTTCTGCCTTTTTCCCTGGAAGGAAAATCTGAAGATCTGGTGACTGTAGAAAACCTGTAGATCTGGTTTCACACCTGTAGAACAATGAGGTAGAGCTGAATAGTGCTTACCCTCTGCCTGGGCACAATCTCAGTTGGGTCAAATCCTGCCATTCTCAACAAGGACAAACATGCACTCATTTATGTGGCCAGGTTTACTCCACTCTGCCTCCTTTCTTATCTCATTTCATGGCTCTTGCTAAAGCATTATATCAACATTAGTGGTTATTACCCATTTAAAAGCTAGGGACACACAGAGACAGAGCTTTCTAATGTTAAGTGTTGCTAAGCGCTGAAACAGGTGACTGAGAGAGGTTGCAGAAAAGCTTTCCCTGGAGATCTAAAAATAAAACCAACTGGTTTTTATCTATAGACTTTCCAGGATGCAGGAAAGTGGCAAAATGACTGTACCAAGGTCCTTCTAGGTTTTAAATTGGCTGGGGGTGGGGAGGAGCTATTTTAAAACCTATAGAAGCAGACCTTAAGATGAGGGGAAAAAAATAGAATCTGTATGCTGGTGGTGGGGGGGTGAAGATTTTTCATGGATAGATTATATATTGTAATATAATTCAGCATTTGGAAAACAAAAAACTTTAGAATATAGGGAATAGAAAGGGCATGGGGCTTTTATCAAAAAGAGGCATGGATTTGTCAAAATGTATTGAACTGTCCAGTTAAAATCTGTGAATTTCACTGTGTGTAAATTATATCTCAATTTAAAAAAAAAATACAAAGTAAAAACAAAATTTAAAAAGGGAGGCAGGGAGTAAAGTCTCATTCTAACCTGTATCAGTCACTTAGTATATGCCAAACACTGTGACTAACATGGATTAATTGGATTATTTTATCCTCACAGTAACTTATACGGTAGATACTATTATTTTTTGTTATTTATTTATTTATTTATTTTTTATTATTATACTTTAAGTTTTAGGGTGCATGTGCACAATGTGCAGGTTAGTTACGTATGTATACATGTGTCATGCTGGTGTGCTGCACCCACTAACTCGTCATCTAGCATTAGGTATATCTCCCAATGCTATCCCTCCCCCCTCCCTCCACCCCACAACAGTCCTCAGAGTGTGATGTTCCCCTTCCTGTGTCCATGTGTTCTCATTGTTCAATTCCCACCTATGAGTGAGAATATGCGGTGTTTGGTTTTTTGTTCTTGCGATAGTTTACTGAGAATGATGATTTCCAGTTTCATCTATGTCCCTACAAAGGACATGAACTCATCATTTTTTACGGCTGCATAGTATTCCACGGTGTATATGTGCCACATTTTCTTAATCCAGTCTATCATTGTTGGACATTTGGGTTGGTTCCAAGTCTTTGCTATTGTGAATAATGCCGCAATAAACATACGTGTGCATGTGTCTTTAAAGCAGCATGATTTATAGTCCTTTGGGTATATACCCAGTAATGGGATGGCTGGGTCAAATGGTATTTCTAGTTCTAGATCCCTGAGGAATGGCCACACTGACTTCCACAATGGTTGAACTAGTTTACAGTCCCACCAACAGTGTAAAAGTGTTCCTATTTCTCCACATCCTCTCCAGCACTTGTTGTTTCCTGACTTTTTAATGATCGCCATTCTAACTGGTGTGAGATGGTATCTCATTGTGGTTTTGATTTGCATTTCTCTGATGGCCAGTGATGGGGAGCATTTTTTCATGTGGTTTTTGGCTGCATAAATGTCTTCTTTTGAGAAGTGTCTGTTCATGTCCTTCGCCCACTTTTTGATGGGGTTGTTTGTTTTTTTCTTGTAAATTTGTTTGAGTTCATTGTAGATTCTGGATATTAGCCCTTTGTCAGATGAGTAGGTTGCGAAAATTTTCTCCCATTTTGTAGGTTGCCTGTTCACTCTGATGGTAGTTTCTTTTGCTGTGCAGAAGCTCTTTAGTTTAATTAGATCCCATTTGTCAATTCTGGCTTTTGTTGCCATTGCTTTTGGTGTTTTAGACATGAAGTCCTTGCCCATGCCTATGTCCTGAATGGTAATGCCTAGGTTTTCTTCTAGGGTTTTTATGGTTTTAGGTCTAACGTTTAAGTCTTTAATCCATCTTGAATTGATTTTTGTATAAGGTGTAAGGAAGGGATCCAGTTTCAGCTTTCTACATGTGGCTAGCCAGTTTTCCCAGCACCATTTATTAAATAGGGAATCCTTTCCCCATTGCTTGTTTTTCTCAGGTTTGTCAAAGATCAGATAGTTGTAGATATGTGGCGTTATTTCTGAGGGCTCTGTTCTGTTCCATTGATCTATATCTATATACCAGTACCCTGCTGTTTTGGTTACTGTAGCCTTGTAGTATAGTTTGAAGTCAGGTAGTGTGATGCCTCCAGCTTTGTTCTTTTGGCTTAGGATTGACTTGGCAATGCGGGCTCTTTTTTGGTTCCATATGAACTTTAAAGTAGTTTTTTCCAATTCTGTGAAGAAAGTCATTGGTAGCTTGATGGAGATAGCATTGAATCTGTAAATTACCTTGGGCAGTATGGCCATTTTCACAATATTGATTCTTCCTACCCATGAGCATGGAATATTCTTCCATTTGTTTGTATCCTCTTTTATTTCATTGAGCAGTGGTTTGTAGTTCTCCTTGAAGAGGTCTTTCACATCCCTTTTAAGTTGGATTCCTAGGTATTTTATTCTCTTTGAAGCAATTGTGAATGGGAGTTCACTCATGATCTGGCTCTCTGTTTGTCTCTTGTTGGTGTATAAGAATGCTTGTGATTTTTGTACATTGATTTTGTATCCTGAGACTTTGATGAGGTTGCTTATCAGCTTAAGAAGATTTTGGGCTGAGACAATGGGGTTTTCTAGATATACAGTCATGTCGTCTGCAAACAGGGACAATTTGACTTCCTCTTCTCCTAATTGAATACCCTTTATTTCCTTCTCCTGCCTAATTGCCCTGGCCAGAACTTCCAACACTATGTTGAATAGGAGTGGTGAGAGAGGGCATCCCTGTCTTGTGCCCGTTTTCAAAGGGAATGCTTCCAGTTTTTGCCCATTCAGTATGATATTGGCTGTGGGTTTGTCATAGATAGCTCTTATTATTTTGAGATACGACCCATCAATACCTAATTTATTGAGAGTTTTTAGCATGAATGTTGTTGAATTTTGTCAAAGGCCTTTTCTGCATCTATTGAGATAATCATGTGGTTTTTGTCTTTGGTTCTGTTTATATGCTGGATTACATTTATTGATTTGCATATATTGAACCAGCCTTGCATCCCAGGGATGAAGCCCACTTGATCATGGTAGATAAGCTTTTTGATGTGCTGCTGGATTCGGTTTGCCAGTATTTTATTGAGGATTTTTGCATCGATGTTCATCAAGGATATTGGTCTAAAATTCTCTTTTTTGGTTGTGTCTCTGCCCGGCTTTTGTATCAGGATGATGCTGGCCTCATAAAATGAGTTAGGGAGGGTTCCCTCTTTTTCTATTGATTGGAATAGTTTCAGAAGGAATGGTACCAGTTCCTCCTTGTACCTCTGGTAGAATTCGGCTGTGAATCCATCTGGTCCTGGACTCTTTTTGGTTGGTAAGCTATTGATTATTGCCACAATTTCAGCTCCTGTTATTGGTCTATTCAGAGATTCAACTTCTTCCTGGTTTAGTCTTGGGAGAGTGTATGTGTCGAGGAATTTATCCATTTCTTCTAGATTTTCTAGTTTATTTGCATAGAGGTGTTTGTAGTATTCTCTGATGGTAGTTTGTATTTCTGTGGGATCGGTGGTGATATCCCCTTTATCATTTTTTATTGCGTCTATTTGATTCTTCTCTCTTTTTTTCTTTATTAGTCTTGCTAGCGGTCTATCAATTTTGTTGATCCTTTCAAAAAACCAGCTCCTGGATTCATTAATTTTTTGAAGGGTTTTTTTGTGTGTCTATTTCCTTCAGTTCTGCTCTGATTTTAGTTATTTCTTGCCTTCTGCTGTCTTTTGAATGTGTTTGCTCTTGCTTTTCTAGTTCTTTTAATTGTGATGTTAGGGTGTCAATTTTAGATCTTTCCTGCTTTCTCTTGTGGGCATTTAGTGCTATAAATTTCCTTCTACACACTGCTTTGAATGCGTCCCAGAGTTTCTGGTATGTTGTGTCTTTGTTCTCGTTGGTTTCAAAGAACATCTTTATTTCTGCCTTTATTTCATTATGTACCCAGTAGTCATTCAGGAGCAGGTTGTTCAGTTTCCATGTAGTTGAGTGGTTTTGAGTGAGTTTCTTAATCCTGAGTTCTAGTTTGATTGCACTGTGGTCTGAGAGATAGTTTGTTATAATTTGTGTTCTTTTACATTTGCTGAGGAGTGCTTTACTTCCCAGTATGTGGTCAATTTTGGAATAGGTGTGGTGTGATGCTGAAAAAAATGTATATTCTGTTGATTTGGGGTGGAGAGTTCTGTAGATGTCTATTAGGTCTGCTTGGCGCAGAGCTGAGTTCAATTCCTGGGTATCCTTGTTGACTTTCTGTCTCGTTGATCTGTCTAATGTTGACAGTGCAGTAGATACTATTATTATCTCCATTTTACCAAGTGCTGAAACTGAAATTCAGGGTGATAAAATTACATACAAACCTCTCCAACTGGTATCTGGAAGAGCCATATCTTGCATTTCAGATTGAAGGACTCCAGGGCCCAGATTCTTACCCACTCATTTGGATGATTGCAAAAAAGGAGAAAATTAATTACTATAAGCTTAAGGAGGTTGAGAGAATGTAAATATAACTTACTAGGGTATCAGTTTGAACATCTAATGAGGAACACACTTTGCTTATTCAATATTAGGTACACTCATTCAGAAAACCCAAGCCTCTCAGAGAATTACCATTGGATTCTTATGGGCAAGGTGATCAAACTCCATACAAGAGGAAAAAGGTTCTTCTGAGGCATTAGTAGCTTCTTTCCAAGAAAAATTACAACTTTCTTGGCCTTAATAGTAAATAGCTTTGTTTTCTAACAGGACATCTTATGGTATAATGTTTCCATGTTCAACAAAATGCACTCTGACCCACCCAGCTGGGTCACCTGTGTATCTTGAGACCGGTTCTTTTTTTTGAGACGGAGTCTCGCTCTGTCGCCCAGGTGACAGTAGTGCAATGGCAGGATCTTGGCTCACTGCAACCTCCACCTTCTGGGTTCAAATTATTCTCCCACCTCAGCCTCCCTAGTAGCTGGGACTACAGGCACCCACCACCGCACCCGGCTAATTTTTGTATTTTTAGTAGAGATGGGGTTTCGCCATGTTGGCCAGGCTGGTTTCGAACTCCTGATCTCAGGTGATCCGCCTGCCTCGGCCTCCCAAAGTGTTGAGATTACAGGCGTGAGCCACCGTGCCTGGCCGAGACCAGTTCTTAATCCGATAATCTGATGACTGCTAAGACCCTCCACAGCAAAAGTGTGTATGCACACATACATGCAAAATAATACTGTAATTTCAGGAGGTTCACAGGTCCCCTGAAGGTCACTGATGGACCCCCTAGTTAACAACATTTGCTATAAACCAGAATTGGGCCAGATTCCAGGGATAACCAAGCCAGCCTTCAAATTCTCTGATTATTCCAGGCAACTTATCACCAGTGGGCCAATCGTCTGGTTTTAATTTTCTTCTCTCCTAATGACTTGAGGTCCACCTCTTGCTTTTTCATTATCTCCTGGTAAGTTGGTCCTGCTAAACACATTTTAGGAGATGCTGCCTTTGTTGGTTCTCATTCTTGTTACCCACCTTGGACTTCTGTAGACATCTTTGGCAATTCAGTTATTTACCAGGACACACACACACACACATCCCCTTAAGTATACCTCATTGTGCACAATGCTTGCGGTCAGTTTAGTCCTCATTTCACAGCCATTTCAGTCACAGCAACTTGTAAAACAAAGGTCTATTCACAGGTCCACCATGTGTGGATGTTCAGGTTGTTCATTGGAGAAGAGTAGCTGGTTTGGGTTGGAGAAGCTAGTCACTGCAATAGAAATTGAGCCCATGCTCTCCTCCTCAAGCAAGATGCCCAAGGCTGATTCTTCCTGGAGGAATGGGCTTCTTTTTCTGAGTCATACAAATGCAGTATATGGGACAACAGCACTCCCGCCTGATTAGTAGTATCACCAAGAAGTCCAGAAGACATATTGGAAGATAAAATACCAATATCCCTATTCTGATTTTGTATCACCAGTCACCAGTCACTTTGTCTCTTCTTTCTTTTCAATGAAAGTGTTCCCAGGGCTACATTTGCTTGGAAGAAGGAGACCTGAAGGATCCATTGCCTGTATTGCCCATCTCCATTTAACAAGATTCAGGTTTCCGCTATGGCAAGCTGAGAGGGAGAAAGGACAGAATGGGTGGATTATTCCATTAGCATTTTCCCTCCCCTCTTTGCCAACTCAGTTCCTAGCCATCATTCATATCTTGGCTCAAGCATCATTCCTTCAAGGACCGACCAATCCCCTCTTACAGCACCACATTTCTGTCTTGCATTGAACTTAACCACCATTGCAATTTCATGTTATTTTAGATATTATGGATATACATATGTTAATTGTATATATATCCATACACCTCAAAATGATGAGCTTCATGAGAGTGGGGGCCATTCTATTTGTATTTACCATTGCATTCCTATTGCCTGGCACATAGTCGGTATCTAATTTAATATTTGTTTGACTGAATGAATGGATGGGAGGTAATTAGTCCAGATTGTGAGAAGCCCTGGAGTCTTGACTGAAGAGTTAAGAGTTTCCTACAGACAGTAGGAAGCCTATTTTCTGGGCTAAAAGAACTTCTTGTCTCGCTCCAAAGTTCTAGTTTTGAACTGTGTATTATAGCTCTGGCATTCCAACATCATTATTCTTCACTCTTACTCAACTTCAGAGAAATTTTGCAAAATCTTACTTAAAGAAAAAGAGGCATCTGGGTGCGGTGGCTCTGCTTGTAATCCCAGCACTTTGGGAGGCCGAGGCAGGTGTATCACGAGGTCAGGAGTTCGAGACCAGACTGACCAACATGGTGAAACCCCGTCTCTACTAAAAATACAAAAAAAAAAAAAAAAAAGCCAGGCATGGTAGTGCATGCCTGTAATCCCAGCTACTCAGGAGGCTGAGGCAGGAGAATCATTTGAACCTGGGAGGCAGAGGTTGCAGTGAGCCGAGATCGCGCCATTGCACTCCAGCCTGGGTGACAGAGTGGGACTCCATCTCAAAAAAAAAAAAAGAAAGAAAGAAAGAAAGAAAGAAAGAAAGAAAGAAAGAAAGAAAGAAAGAAAGAAAGAAAGAAAGAAAAAGAGGCTATAGCTCTACAACCTTATCTGCTATGAGAGGCTGCATAATAGGGTAGTGGCTTAAAACATGGGCCTTGGAATTGGGTAGACATTGGTTTTAAACCTGGGTTGCCCATTTGCTGGCTGTGTGATTTTAAGTAAATGATTTCATGCCTCAAAGCCTCAGTTGCTTCAATCTGTAAATGGGGATAATAATATCTTCCCCAAAGGATTGAATGAGTTAAGCAATGTGAAATGCTTATTAGAGAACCTGGCCTTTAGTAAGGACTCAATCACTGGAAGTGTTTATTATTCACTAAACTGGATCCTCATAAGAGAGGCAGGGAATAAAGCACCCATAGGAACTGGGTCAAAAAGAGTTAATACATGGCATCCTTCTTTCTTATTTGCTTCTCAGAAAATATGGAAGGAGTAATACCTTAACAGCTGATATAGTTTACGGGTTTGTTTAATAATGAGTCCCTTATGTTCCCTAAATATATCTTTGTGTCTTACAGTAATCTTAGTTCTGTGGCAGATTTTTTACTTTCCCTTTAACACCACCCATCACACTGGGGAGAGGAAGAAACACTCAACCAAGGCATTGACTAATGATTCAGCTTCTAAACTCACAGAAACATCCAGATTGGAGGAGCATGTCAAGGACCAGCCAGGCAGCAAGTGAAGGCTCTGGTGAGGAATGTGGCTTTCTAGATGACAATGGCAAGTGCTGTTTGTGAGGGCAGGCCAAGCAGTTGGGGGTATTAGTTCTATCATCCTGAGAGTAGTGAGCCTGGGAAGTTTGGCATCTCAGTCCTTGTGGAAGGAGGCAGTTTGAGTGACGGGCTGGGGATGTAAATCCCAGCATCTAGTGTAGATTTCCTTATTCAATCCTGTTTCTCCCATTACCAGTTTCAGCAGAAAATCCAGAGCCTGAAGTCAAAGAAGAGGCTTATTATGTTTCCCAAGAGACCAATAAAAGTTTCTATAGCTTCTGTGCTCAAAATCATAGTATTTCTTTAATTATCAAACTCTCTATAGGGCATGAATAATTTGAAAATTGCAAAACTCTAAGAATGAGGTAAAGAAATTAGGATTATATTGACTTGCTTCAGGTAGGGCCTGGATAGTTTCTTATTCTCTTGCTCTAGACAGGACATGTAACCTGTCTCAAGAGGTTCATTTCATTGATTCCACGAGCATTTATGAGTGTCTGCCGTGCACTGGGTACAATTCCAAACACTGGGGATACAGAAGCACCCCCTGTCCATTGCCCCTGTGGTGGTAGATTTGTGTTTGTTTTGTTTTGTTTTGTTTTGTTTTAGATGGAATCTCACTCTGTTGCCCAGGCTGGAATGCAGTGGCACGATTTCGGCTCACTGCAATCTCTGCTTCTTGGGTTTAAGCGATTCTCCTGCCTCATCCTCCCAAATAGCTGGGATTACAGGCACCCGCCACCACACTGGGCTAATTTTTGTATTTTTAGTAGAAACAGGGTTTCACCGTGTTGGCCAGGCTGGTTTTGAACTCCTGACCTCAAGTGATCCGCCTGCCTCAGCCCCGCAAAGTGCCGGCATTACAGATGTGAGCCACCGCACCCGGCAGGTAGATTTGTTTTAAGGTAAATATATTTCATATTCCAGAATTATTTCAGCAATCACAAATTCTTTTCTTTTTTGAAAAAAGAAAAGAAAATCCATAATCCTACCTCCCCTACATAGACTGCTTTCATTTTTGTGTGTCCCTTTTCTGAAATCTGTGTCTTTAAAATCCCCTAAAGAAGTAGCTTTGATGATTTTTTCTTAGTCACATCATTAAAGTTTGGGGGTGAGGAAAATCTCTTTAGCTGTAAGCGCTTTCTGTGTGTTAACCCAAAGTCCCATCATGACAGCAAGGCCCTGGGCAGTGGAGCCCCTGGCACCTCTCTGATTTCATTTCCTGCCATTCTCATTCACGGCAGCCTCTTTTCTCACATCAGCCTGCTCCTACCTCAGGGCCTGTGAACTTGCCCTCCTCCCTGTCTGGTCTTCCCTCTGATATTCACACAGTTCACTCCCTCACTTCCTTCCAGTCTCTGCTCAAATTTCATCACCTAAGGCTTTCCCTGAACCCCTCTGGTACTTTCCATTGCTCTCCATCCCTTTATTGAGATTTAATTATCTTCATAGCACTTATGACCCCCTCCCATATATATTTTGAAATTACCTGTTTATTAAAGTCTATCTTGTCCTGCTGGAATGAGTCCCCTGAGAGCAAGGGCTTTGTTTGATTTGTTCACTGCTACATCCCCGTCCCCTACAGCAGTTGGCTGGCCTGGGAGGGGCGTTCGTTTGCCCGCTTAAGGATGCTTTCTGCTTCGGCTCCCTTTCCCTTACATTTTGCTCAACAGAGGTGGTGAGGAACTGCCTGCTTCCCTTGCTGTAACATTCATTTAAGGATGACCTGTGCCAAGGTAAGGAAAACTTAGATCGAGGCACTAACCTGCAGAACCTTGAGAGTAAAGACATGAAGGCAACTCTGTTTTCTGCTGGTGACTTGAATCGAGCTTCCTGCTGTAAGAAGGAAAGATTCTGCAATGAGCAACATGCTTTCATTTCCACAGCTTGTATCTAAGATCAGCCTCGGAAGCGCTGGTTGCATTTGCTTGGAAGAACTCTTGTTTTCCTAGTAATCTTCACACCTACTCCCTTTACCTTCTCAGTGTCAGACAGCTGGCACAATGGCTGAGATCTTTCTATTGTCCTCCATCAGCACAAACTGTCCTGGAATTGCAGAATTCTCTGATAGTCAATGTGTCCACTGTTTACTCTTCCATTCATATCCTTCACGCCATCACCACACGACCCGGTCATATGCTTTCTCTACTTTACCCGCTTATAGAGAGGTGTAAAAAAAGCTTGCTTTAAAAGGATTAGGGGCTGGGCATGGTGGCTCATGCCTGTAATCCCAGCACTTTGGGAGGCCAAGGGGGGTGGATCACTTGAGGTCAGGAGTTCGAGACCAGTGTGGCCAACATGGCGAAACCCCATCTCTACTAAAAATACAAAAATTAGCCAGGCGTTGTGGCTTGTACCTGTAATCTCAGCTACTTGAGAGGCTGAGACATGAGATCACTTGAACCCAGGAGGTGGAAGGTTGCAGTGAGCCAAGATCACACCACTGCACTCCAGCCTGGGCGACAGAGTGAGACCCTGTTTCTAAAAAAAAACAAAAAAGGATTAGGAAGCTGATGTTGCATGTGGGCACCCAAATTGGCTCCTCATGGGAGGAGAGGGGGTTTAGTTGGATTTAATGTTTTAGAGCCCAACCTTCCTGCTGCATTTCCCTGACAAGATATGATAAAAGCTAAATACACATAAAAATATTCCCATTACCCCAGAAACTTCTATGAGATAAGAAAATAACACTACCAACCAATGGCTCTGCCATAAGATAATTGTCCAGCAATGTATCACTGGAGAGCAGGTCCTCTATAAAGACGCCAATGAAAGAGTATGGCTTTGGGGGGTGGGGGCACTCATATCAGGCTTGGACTTGACAGGTTCAGAAGCCCCTTCCAGACCAGCTTGGGCTGAAGAGGTTAGAAGGTTGGAGAAGGTTGGAGAGTGCTCATCCTTTCCCTCCCTTGCAGGCAGTCCCCCTCTCCCACCTCATCCCATGCTGGTCATGCTTAGATTACTCAGACGTCCGTAGCCACTCCTGTTGAGCAAAATGTAAGGAATTCCCCCTTGGAGTCCTCTGATGTGCCCAGTGACTAGTCTCTCCTCATCCCTTATGCCAGGATTCTCAAAGTAAAGTGCACAGATCACCTGCTTCTCAATGACCTGGGGTACCTTTTTCAAAATGCAGATTTCTGGACAACACCTTGGACCTGCAGAATCAGAAGTTCTGGGGGTGGGGCAAGAAGTACATAGCAATTTAGGAACTTCTGTCTCAGTGTTCAGTTTTTACTTAGTACCTTGACACTACTCTTAGTTCCTGGCTCTACTGGTATAATTTTGGGATTTGGGGGTGTATCTATTTTTTTGTGCCTCAGTTCTTCTGACCCTGTCCCCGCACCCCTCTCCCGCCCCCCATTTCCCAGGACTGTGGACCTATTTCATTTCTTCAAGAATGAAATTTCCTTCTTCCACTATGCAATACCCCGTTCTAGAAATTTGCCTTTCATCTCTTTCCTTGAATCAGAGAGCTGCCCTGTTTTTGCAAGATTTTGCAGTCCTCAGCAATTTTCCCACATGTTCAAGAGGGACTAGGAGGAAGATAGGGCCTCCGTTTTAGAAAGGGGCGTGAGCAGGCAGGGACCCCACAGCAGGAAGCACAATTAAGAATGTTCTCAGCAGGAAGGCTGCTCTCCGGGAAGCACAGAGAGCTATCAGGACAAGTGACCTTTCTAATCATGCCTGACATTTCACAGCCTCGAAGGCGGAAGGACTGCCCTTATTCCGGAGGCGCAGTGTCGCGCTGTGTCACCCCCAGACACCTGCGTCTGAGCTGTGGTGACTCGGCCTCCAACCAGGCGATGAATCAGAGCAGCAAAGGGCTTTGTTTCCCTGGGAAAAGAGAAAACATTGAGCAGAGGGCTTATGTGGATGGTGACTGTGTCTAAACCAGGGATAGAAAGACCCTGATGGAGGATGTCGCCTCCCTTAGGGATTAGCCCTGCTCTGGAGGGCTCCAGTGATGCAGATCAGACAGACCTGCTCCCAGGAAGCGAAATAGATGGGATCCTCTTCCAGTTCCTTCTGGCCTAAGGCGACTGGGATGACTCACTTTTTACCCATCTCAGTAAGAAAACAGCTTAATTTTTTCTTAGTATAAACGGTAATGCACACTCATTCTAAAAAGGTCATATAAAATATAAAGATATAAAAAGTAAAAGTTACATGTAATCTCATCGCTTAGAGAAATCCATTGTTAACATTTTACGGACATTTCTATGCATATATATGGTATTTTAAAACGAAATACAGTCCCATTGAAAGTGCTGTTTTGTAAGCTGCACTTTTCTACTCAACATCTTGAAGGCATTTTCATGTCAGTAAAATATAAATTTAACAAAATTCTTCTTAATAACTTCACTGTATTCCATTGTATGAATATAGTCTCCTGAGGTTGTCTCTGATTTTAAATCATAATAGAATATAGTATAATGAACATCCTGATAGTTAAATTTTTCTGCAGAACTGAGGGTGCTTCCTTACAACAAATTCCTAGCAGCAGACTTGCTGAGTTGAAGAATATGTGTATTTTTAAAGCCTTTACTCTCTGTTTTCTAGAAAGGGTTATACCAATGCACATTCCCACCGACTAGCAGAGAATAGAATACTTGCTTCTCCATACTCTCCTTGATTCTGTGAATTACCATTCTTTTAAATCTCTGCCACTATCAGGAGTAAACAATAGCATGTCATTATTGTTCTAAGGTTTATGTCTCTATTTACTAAAGAAGATTTCCAATATTTATTGATTATTTGTGTTTCTTGTTTTGTGAATTTGCTTGACCTTTTTCCCCTTCTTTGGGAGTATTAAATTTTCTGATATTTAGTTTTAAGTACTTTCAATCTAGTAAGGACAATAATATATTGACATTCAAGTTATAATGATTTTTACCAGTTTACCATTTGTCTTTAGCTTTATGTGGTCTCTGCCATGAAGAATTTAAAAATTCTGATGTCGTCTGACTACTGTGGTTCCAGCTTTTTTTGGAGTCACATTTAGAAAGGGCTTCTCTGTTCCATGGTTGTAAAAATATTTATCTGTGTTTTCTTTCTAGCTCTGTCACCTCTCATGCTCTTCTTACCACTTGCCCTCTCTGCCTGGAATGATCTTCCTTTGCTCTTCAACCGAGTGGCTCCTTCTTATTCCTCAAATCTCAAATTAAATACCATCTGCTTAGAGAAGTCTTTCCTGGTTACATAACCTAAAGGAGGTTTCCCTAACCCTGGTCTTCTTTCTTTTAGCATCCTATTATTTTCCTTTTTAACTTTTATCAATAATTGTAGTTACAGGCCAAGCACGGTGGCTCTTGCCTGTAACCCCAGCACTTTGGGAGGCTGAGGCAGGTGGATCACTTAAGGCCAGGAGTTCAGGACCAGCCTGGCTAACATGGTGAAAACCCATCTCTACAAAAATACAAAAATTAGCTGGGCGTGGTGGCGTGTGCCTGTAATCCCAGCTACTCAGGAGACTGCAGTGGGAGAATTGCTTGAACCCTAGAGGCAGAGGTTGCAGTTAGCTGAGATTGCACCACTGCACTCCAGCCTGGGCAGTGGAGTGAGACTGTCTCAAAAAAAAAAAAAAAAAGTAGTTACATCATTTGTCTACTTATTTAATATATGCACCCCTAATTAGATTGTAAACTCTATGGAGGGCAGAAACCATATCTGTTTTTCATTTTAAGAACCTAACCTAGCAACTGGTACACAGTAGATGTACAAAAGACATTTGTTAAAAGTCATTGCATGCTAAATCCATCTAGAATTTATTCTGGTATAGGGGTAAACTAGAGATCTAATTTAAGTCTTTCCAAACAGTATCTTGTGATTATAACATACAACTACAATGCAGACTAGCTGTCTTATAATCCCCTTTCACCTGGCACTGAGAAGTTAGACCTAGGATGCAAGAGGGAAATAGAATCAATGGCTCTTCTTATTGCTGTTCTCCAGCCCCACTGTCTCTTCTCTCTGCAGTGACTTCCCTTTCTCCATTATTGCCTTAGCCCTAAGTGCTTCCCATAATGCTTATTTCAGGGCTTAGCCTAGAGTGGATCCTTAATTAATGGTATTTACTGGCTGACTCAAATCATTTAAATGGCAGGAGAATCAGATATCTTTAATGTGTTTCATACAATATTCACATCAGCCTTTGAAAGCCCTGAAAAAATCTATGCTCCTTTCACAATTCTGAGAAAGCAGATCTCTCTACACCCTTTCCTTTTCTAGGGATCATGTCTAATAGTTGTGAACAAGGTTGAAAGAGATGGAGAGCTGTCAGAGACAGAAAGAGGAAGATAGGGACACTTGCTTACATGTGATAGTAAAGTTTCAAGTGCCACCTCATGTTACATGCCATTTGCTCCTTCAAAACTGACCTGTGAAGTAGGTACGGGAGCTTTACAATCAGGCCTAGGGAAGCCATAACGTTTAGTCTTTAGAATTTAATATCAGTAATTTTTTCTAATTTGTGAAAGTAGCACACTAGGAATAAAATAGTAAAAGAATCAATTTTACTCCATTTAAAACCTGTTTTAATGAACTAGAAATGTTCAACTTTACTAATAATCAAAGGAATGCAACTTAAAAGAGAAATTAGATGCCATTTGCCTCTAAAATCAATGGAAGTCACATAGAGGAACCAAATTTATTCAATTTAAAAATTGTTTTATCAACATAGATCAATGGAACAGAATAGAGAACCCAGAAAAAAAGCCACATACCTACAACAAATTGACCTTTCACAAACTTGACAAAAATAAACAATGGGGAAAGGACACCCTATTCAGTTAATGGTGCTGGGATAATTGGCTAACAAGGTGCAGAAGAATGAAACTGGACCCCTCTCTCTCACCATACACAAAAATTAACTCAAGGTGGATTAAAGACTAAATGTAAGACTTGAAACTATAAAAATCCTAGAAGAAAGCCAAGAAAAAACTCCCTGGACATTGGTCTAGGCAGAGAATTTACAATGAAGATCCCAAAAGCAAAGCAACAAAACCAAAAACAGACAAATGGGACTTAGTTAAACCAAAAAAGCTTCTGCACAGCAAAATAAAATAATCAACAGAGCAAACAGACAACCTATAGAATGGGAGAAAATAATTGCAAATTATGCCTCTGACAAATGACTAATGTCCAGAACCTACAGGGAACTCAAATAACTCAACAAGAAAAACTCCATTAAAAACTGGGCAAAGGGCATGAATAGACATTTCTCGAAAGAAGACATCCAAGCAGCTAACAAACACACCAAAAAATGCTCAACATCATTAACCATCAGAGGAATGCAAATTAAAACCACAATGAGATATCATATTATACTAGTCAGAAAGGCTATTAGTAAAAAGTCAGAAAACAACAGATGGCATGGATATGGAGAAAAGGGAATGCTTATACACTGTTGGTGAGAATGAAGTTAGTTCAACCTCCACACTGTGTATCTACCCAAAGGAAAAGAAATCATTATGTTAAAAAAGACACCTGTACTTGTTTGTTCATCACAGCACTATTCACAATGTCAGAGTCATAGAACCAACCTAAGTGACTATCAGCAGCTGACTGGATAAAGAAAATGTGGTATATATACACCTTGGAATATTACATAGACATAAAAAGAATGAAATCATGTTCTTTGTAGCAACATGGATGAAGCCGGAAGCCATTATCCTAAGTAAAGGAACCCAGACACAGAAAACTACATGTTCCCAATTATAAATGGGAGTTAAACAATGGACACAAGTGGACATAAAGGTGGAAATAATAAGCACTGGGGACTCCAGAAGGTGGATAAGGGTTGAAAAATTATCTGATGGACACAATGTTCACTATTTGAGAAACAGATATGCTGGAAACTCAATCCCCACCAGTACACAATATACCCATGTAACAAACATGCGTATGTATTCTTGAATCTAAGTTAAAATAAAATTTAATAAAAAATTATTTCATCAAACCTAAAAACAAATCAACCTTATAATCAATGTATACAACTTAAAACAGCAATTGGATACCATTTGCTCCTAATACACTGATTACAATATAAAAATTATAATACCTAATCCTGAGCAGAAAGTGATAAGACAAGTGCTTCATACACTATGGATGGGAGAATAAATGGCTAAGTCGTTTCTGGGCTAGAATTTGCTAAGAAGATGCAAGAACCTTACAGAAGTCCTTACTCTTATGCAAGCCCATGGTCTGGTAATTTAAAATAATAATAAAAAAGGTTCTTACCCTACTGATTTCTAATCTTATTTCTATAAATTTTTACTAAAAATGTTCAAACTGTGGTTGTCTATTAAAGCAAAAATGTGAGGAAACCTAAGTGTTTAACAATAAAGACATGATTTACGGCCGAGTGCAGTGGCTCACACCTGTAATCCCAGCACTTTGGGAGGCCAAGGCAGGTGGGTCACTTGAGGCCATGAGTTTGAGACCAGCCTGCCCAACATGGTGAAACCCCATCTCTACTAAAAACACAAAAATTAACCAGGTGTGGTGACGCATGACTGTAATCCCAGCTACTCAGGAGGATGAGGCAGGAGAATCACTTGAACTTGGGAGGCGGAGGTTGCAGTGAGCTGAGATGGTGCCACTACACTCCAGCCTGGATGACAGAGTGAGACTCTGACAAAGTGAGATCCCCCCCACCCAAAAAAAAAGACATGATTTAAAAATTCAGACATGGACTATTATGGAGCCCTCACCAATAATATTTCCATGAATTACTTAATGGCATGGGATATGCTCCTGAATCTAATAAGTATTCAGAATTTGATTCTAAAGTTTATTTGAAAATTATGTTTATATTTGTATAGAGAAAAGATTAGAGGAGAGATAATAAGGTGCTAGCAGTGCTTATCTCTAGATGGTAGGATTGTAGGTAATATTTGGCTTCCTTCTTAATGTATTTGACTTCTTTATAATCCAATATATTACTATTTAATTTAAAATAATCCTTCCCCCACTCCTTCCCATCACTTGTGATGTTAATGTGGTCCTAGTCTATCCTCACTGAAGTATGGAATCCAGGAAAGGGGAGTAACAGACCTCCCATACTCCTATTTTGTCAGCCTAACACCTCTCTTGTGCAGGATGAAGCCCTGAATGCCACATGCCCCCAAAAGTAGATTAATAAAAACGTGACTGTAAGAAGAGACTTAAAACCATGTGACATGAAGAGTAGCTGGAATACATGGCAGGACCAGAAAGCCAGACTGGCTACCCACCACTACTTTGAAGGTTATCATGCAGCAGAGAGCAAGCTTACCCTGCATCACCCCAGAAGAGAGGGCCAGTGGCTAGAAATAACAGACAACTAGATTTTGATTCAGTTTAAGGAAGAACTGGCTGGGTATGATGGCTCACACCTGTAATCTTAATACTTTCAGAGGCTGAGGCAGGAGGATCGCTTGAGCCCAGGAGCTCAAGGCCAGTCCAGGCAACATAAGGAGAATGTCTATATAAATAATTTAGAAAAATTAGCTGGGCTTGGTGTCATGCACCTGTAGTCCCAGCTACTCGGGAGGCTGAGGGGGGAGGATTGCTTGAGCCCAGAAGGTTGAGGCTGCGGTGAGCTATGATCATGCCACTGCACTCCAGCCTGGGTGACAGAGTGAGACCCTACCTCAAAAAAAGAAAAGAAAAGAAAGAACTATCTAATGATTAGTACTGCCCCAAAGTGAAAGAGCAGCCTCAGCAAGGATGGAGACTCATCACTGGAGTCAAGGCTAGGTGACCACTTGGTAGCAAAGTTGAGAGGCGCCTGGCACCACTTGAGTGATTGCACTGGGTAGGTGCCTCCAGGGTCTCATCTAGGCCCAGTGGTTCTATACTTTGCCTATCATAAAATGGGAAGGATAATCCTAGAGTTATTAGTTTGTCATCATCCCCTCTTCTTGCCAGCTCCTCAGTTTTGAGCCAGAAGGCACCAAAGCCATTCTAGATAGGTGGTGTGTGTTTGTAGCTAGGATGGGATTGGGCTTCGGAATCAGGGAAATGGAGCTATATCAGTTAGAGCTCTTTTGGTTGAAAGGGGGCAGAAAGCCAAGTGGAACTACATCATGCAAAATAATAATTAAAAAAAGGAATTATACGAAAACAGGGAAGCTGAAGTGAATGGCTGCATGTGGTTACAGCTGAGGCCTCTCTTTCTATTTTCATCCCTTGGTCTGTGTAGCTGGGTCTAGCTCAGGTCTCTCCATGTGGAAGCAAGATGGTTTCCAAGTTTATCTTGTACTTGTAGCTCATAAACTCAGCTCAGACTAAAATAGTTTTTTCCAATAAAGCTTAAGTAAAATCCCTGGGAAGCCCTCCTCAGATGGTTTGGGTCATGTAACCCATTTCTAAACCAATCACTGTGTCCCAGGGTAGGAGTCTTCTGATTAGTTAGGCTGGGGTTATATGTACACCCTAGGAACTTGGATGTGGTAGGTGCAATTTAGCTTCACGTGGACCACGTGAGTTGAACAGGATAAGCAAAGGAAAGTGTCCTATGTCCACTATAGGGAGATCGTGCCTGTGTTAAAAATATTTTGGAAAAAGAGTTATACCAGCTGCCATGGTAATCTATTTCATGTCCATACCATCTGGTAATTCTACCTCTCTTCTAGCTTGAATTTCTCCTGCTATAATTTTCACCTGTCTTATTCTGTTCCAGCTTCAGGGTAGATGCAGATCAAAACCTCTTCCCTGAAAGACACACTGTGAGGATTAATTAGGTTTTTCCAGAAACCGTCTTTAAAGTGTCATGGGATCTTCAGAACCAAATGCTTTGTGAAGATATGTTGCCACTAGAATCAATTCTCCAGTTTTTATGCTTATAGGGGATTGGTGGTTGGGGTGAAGATTGACCAAAAGGCAAGGAGATGGAAATCTATAGCTAGTCCCAAGACTTCATTTTGACCATGATAACCATTCTCTTCCCTCTCCAAGTACTTTGCTTCTGCCGTTCACAAGGAGCAAACATGAAAACCATGAATAGGTTTGAATATCCACACCCTTCTTCGAAAAGAATAGGAAAAAAAGGGGAACAGGGGACCAGGAGTTGCTAAGCAGGTTGTATAATTAGAATCAAACCAGGATCAGACCCTGGAGGATTCACAGCTGGCTATGGCAGTGGCTTTCTATTTTTAGCTCAGGTTAATGAGCTATGAATGATATATAACTGTCTGGGCAGCACGCATACGTCATAGTCTGGGTTCCTGTATCAGTTTGCAAGATGTCTTTCTGAGGACTCTCAGGGGCAAATGCTGAGAAGCACAAGCAAGTTAGTGGAAGGATCACAACTCAGAGTTCCGGAAGCAGAGTGCAGGCCTGGCTTACAAGCCACACCTTAGGCAGTACCAGGCACACTGTAGGGCTCTTCTGTGCCATCTGCCTATATGGATTGCACAGGCCTATCATCAGCATTCAGCGTGGGTGATACAGGAAACAGATTCTAGGGAGTAAGGCCTGGAGTTCAGGATAGAGCTCCATGTGCCTGACTTTTTTTCTTTTCTCTTTTTGAGAGAGGGTCTGGCTCTGTTGCCCAGGCTGGAGTGCAGTGGCACCATCATGGCTCACTGGAAACTCTGCCTCCTTGGCTCAAGCCATCCTCTGAACAGCTTCTCAGCTAGCTGGGACTACAGTCACATACCACCAACCCCAGCTAATTTTTGTATTTTTGAGAGTTAGAGACAGGTTTTCACCATGTTACCCAGGATGCTCTCAAACTCCTGAGCTCAAGCGATCTGCCTGCCTCAGCCTCCCAAAGTGTTGGGATTATAGGCATGAACTACCGCACCCAGCCTTTTTGTCTTGTCTAAACACATATTTTCTCCAACTTTGAGGGTTTTCTTTGTTTTTGTTTTCTTGAGATAGGGTCTCGCTTTGTTACTCAGGCTGGAGTGCAGTGGCTCAATCATAGCTCACTGCAGCCTTGAACTCCTGGGCTCAAGCAATCCTCCCATGTCAGCCTTCTGGACAGCTGGGACTATAGATGCATGCCACCATGCCTAGCTAAGTTTTTTAAATTTTAAATTTTTCTGTAGAGATAGGGGTCTTGCCATGTTGCCCAGGCTAGTCTCAAAATCCTGGCCTCAAGCGCTCTTCCCACCTCAGCACCTAGGCATCAATAAGTATTTCATGAACGAATGAATGAATACATGGAAATGTGATCCTTTTCCCTTACCCTGCTCAACAAGTGGTTTCAACCTGTATTCAGTCGAGCTGTCACGGGGGCCTCCATGTGCTCTGGGAGAAGCCAAGCGGGCAGGGCTCAGGAAGCTGCCTATGTCCATGGAGATAAACAGCTCTCCTTTTATTTATTTTTCATATTGGCATTTATTCATAGGATACCTTTGGAGAAAAGATTCCAGTTCCAAAAAAAAACGTTGATTTGAAAATCACTTCCCTAGACCTTACCCCTCCCACCAGTTACCCCTTGCTCACTCCCATCTTTTCTTCCTACTTCCTTCCTCACAGAAACTTCCACAGAACTAATGCCTAGCAAGGGTTTAAAAATAGAAACCCCTCTCCCTCCCTCTATTCCTCCATTTCCTTTCCTTCCCACCCCCCTTGTAATTTGTTGTAAAAAAGGAAACTGTCTGGATGTGCTCCACTGAGAAACCATGCTCTTCCTTTCTAGATAAAACAACACTGATGGACTCCCTCAGCCAGCGGTTGAGCCCCTGTGAGTCCCTGCGGGGCTGCCTCCTTCAGGTTTCCCAGTTGGAACTCAGAGAGAGGCACACCTGAGAGGGCCCATCTAACGTGCTGGCCATGGGAGCTCCTTCCAGGTGGTTCCTGGGGCCGCTGTGGGACTCACCTACCAGGGCGGGAGGAGAGAGGAAGTCGTGCTGCTCCCAGGGTGAGGCCTGGAGCACAGTGGCAGTCTGTTGTGCTTTATTGGGAGCACAAAGGGGATGTGTGTGTGTATGTGTGTGTGTGTGAGAGAGAGAGAGAGGACAGGAGGTAGGCAAAAACAAGGCAAAATGTGTTATGAGATGCATGTACAGCCAGTGAACACAGTATACTTATGAATGAATTGAGAGACACTGGAAAAAATAGTACAGTAGGGGAAAAAAAAGGAGATTTTAACACCCAAAGTCCTGGTTTTTAATTCCCAGGTGTATCACAGAGTCTCTGTATGAGATTGGGCAAGTGACCTCATTTCTAGCCTCAGTTCACTTATCTATAAAATGGGGATAATAATATCCACCCCTCAACACTGCTGTAGGATTAAATGAGATAATGTTTACTTGATGCCCATATATACTGAGCAGTTAGTAACGTACCCTTGCTATAATATGGCAGGACACCTTCACTCTGATGATATTTAGAAGTATTCAATATAAGATAAAACTGATAGTGATCAAAACCACCCTCAGTTAAATGTATGGTTTATTAAAATCTGGCAGAAGATTATAATGTCTTGACAAAATTCAGATCTGCAAACTTTGATCTAGAAAAAAATAGATTTGGAAAGATTATAAAGACACACAATAAAGTCTTCATTGACAGAACTATAATTAGTAAATTTTGATACGGATCCAAAACTGATCAACTTATCAAGTGGTTAATGCCTATTTTACTTATAAAATGATTTATCCTGAGGAAAGTTTCAATAACATTAAATTAGAAATGGGAAAAAATGGAAACAATTTAACTGTTCTATATTTTAAAAGATTGATCAAAAATTAAATTGGCTAAAGAGAATTCTCTTTGGAGAATAGATTGTCAATGAGAGTTTATCAATGCAGATAAATTTCAATTAAAACTTTGCATGTATAATTTCAATTAAAACTTTGCATGTATAAATACAGAATCAAAATGTCCTTGGAGTTGAAATGGTGAACTCAGACAGTCTCTACAATGATGATAATTATGGTAATGATGATGACAATAATGATAATGACAACTATTATAAAAAAATGTTTTGGTGCAGGAGGGGTGGGGTGTGGTTAGGTAATGTGTTGGGATGTCCTGGTGAGAACAGAGAATGTTTAGATTAGATATGTGGGATGCCAAGGCAAGATGTGTGCCGTCCTTATGCCTCTTTATGTTTGAGGATTTATGTAATGTCATTCCTCCGACGGGCTGAGTACAGGGAGACGGTTGGCAAGGACAATCAGCCCTTGATTTCTTTTATATGACCAGGATGATGCAAGTTGCTCCATCTCCATATGGGCCTGTGATAAAAACCAGTCTGATTAGTGGAAGGCCAAAAACATGGATTCAGTGCTCTTGGCCATAGAGTCTGAGTCTGTGGGTGTGAACAGGTGCTGGCTTGGCTCAGGCAGTGAGGGCCTGCCCACCCATTCTGCTACTTTGAGTCTTTTGGCAGCTCCTTAGCACCCCAGGCTGGCTCTTTTGTCTCATGTTCTCTTCTTCTCTTCCTCTCTTCCATTCTTCTTGCCTCTGAAATTTTTGTCTTAGCGTTAGAGCCGGAGCAAGAAAGGTGATACTTAAGGTGAATAGGAATAAGGATTTATCCCAGAAGACAGAGGTGGGACAGGTGATGGAGGAAATCGCTGCAAAAGAGCATTCAAACTATAGACCATGACCACATGCACATTCAGACAGACCTGGTACACTTGAACCTTGAACTATACCTTATAACCTTGAACTTATACCCACCTATCTCCTTTCCTGGCTCCACATGCATACCGGACTCACCAATACAGACACACATCACCAGATATCCTGATTATCTTCACATTTTTAATAATGCCTCTTTGCCATGCCTTACACATAGTCCTGCCCTCCTGCAGCTTGTAATCTAATATTTATTCATTTCTCCAGCAAGCATTTGTTGATTGGAACAATTTTTTTTTTAATGCAGTGGGTACCCTTGTGAGGTAGTAAGCTTCCTGTCACTGAGAGGCTAGTGAATGATTAGGAATAGGATGCATGGGATGCTTGCATGCTGAATTGAATGACTTCCATGCAGTCTATGAATGTTTTCTTTTTTTTTTGAGACGGAGTCTCACTGTGTTGCCCAGACTGGAGTACAATGGCGTGATCTCGGCTCACTGCAACCTCCACCTCCTGGGTTCAAGCGATTCTCCTGCCTCAGCCTTCTGAGTAGTTGGGACTACAAACACATGCCACCATGCCTGGATCATTTTTGTATTTTCAGTAGAGATGGGGTTTCTCCATGTTAGCCAGGCTGGTCTCAAACTCCGGACCTCAGGTGATCCGCCCACCTCAGCCTCCCTATGAATGTTTTCTACATTGCCCTAGGGTCTCAGACAGACTTGACTGATGGAGATTTATAGAGCAAAAACAAAAATGGAATAAAAACAAAAATACATTATGTTGGCCTTATATACATTTTAGGAATGATGCATCTCCTATTTGGATGAGAGTGCAAGGAGAATTAGGACAAGAAGAGAAGAGGTGATCAACCTTAGGAGAAATTTTGGCCTGAGGGAAACCATTCAATTTGTCCTCGGTCATTACAAACAGCTTCTCTTTCCTCTATTGAGGGATCTAGGTGTCAGTTTTGCAAGTCTGGCACCTTGATTTAGTGGCCCTTTATCCCTGGGTATTCATATCCTGTGAAGTCATAATTCAAGCCAAGAAAACTAATAAGAAATCAAGATAGAGACCAGAAAGATGATTTATAGCTACAATTGAAGATGCTCCTTTTCAATACCTAGAATACTTATGTCCCCATGTCAAGGAAACTCATTCTAGAATCTATATGTATATATGAGAAGCCAAGTAAAAGTTAAGATGCATGAGGAAGTGAATCAGAAGCTCTTTATACATGATTTGGGGTGAGCAATAGAAATCTACCTTTTTCTACTCTAGGCAGCAAATCTTTCCAGTAACCTGAGTACCCCCATGACATGTCTCACCCTCTGTTGTGGTGCAGACACACAACCCTAAATTTCTCTTTCCAAGTTCCCTGTTTCAGGGTCCTGGGGTGGGTAGGAGGTTTCCAGTAGCTGTTGGTGCCATTTCCAGGTGACCTCTTGACCTGCCCATGAAGTGTGCTGCTCCCTTCCTTTACAAAGAACTCCTGCTTCTATGCCTTTGGCCTACCTCACCTTTAAGCAATTCCTGGAATCTGGTGTTGCTTTTCATCTACAGAACCTTTGTATAATTTATAAAATCTTTAAATATAAAAAACTGTCAGACTAGTAGAGATGATTTATCCAACATCCCATTTAACCAACGAGAAAAACAGCAGCTCACTTGGCAAGAGGAACAGACTTGCTCACTTGGCAGGTGGAGGGGACAGACTGAAAGCCAGGAACTTACCTAACCTTCCTCAGAGCTTGTTCTTCATCCTTTACACCATCAGAGATGCACCCACTTTGGGCATTGCGCTCTCTGCAGCACCAGCATTGGCTTCTGTAACTGCACTCCCAGTCAAGTGGCCCAGCCATACTTCATTTCAGGACCCTGGACATCAGGGAAAAAGCCAGCTCTGTCTCCAACAGCCCTGACCTATTACAGAACCAGAAAGTGTGAGAAAATTTATCCCTTGAAGGGATGAGCTGATTTGTGCAGTCAATTATCTCTTTAAATTGTTATCCTGCCCATTTCCCAAGCACTGATGATCCAGTTAAGAAAGATTAAGCACAGGAGCCTGGGCACCCAAGCATGATCTGAGGACCAGGTGTGGAAGGGAATGAGCTGTTTTCAATAGTGGGAGGCCTGTTCTGCCTTTTAAGGACAATGAACCAATGTCATCTTCCGCAAGCTCTTTTTTCCCAAAGGCCAAGGACTTCTGAGTGCTTTTCTAGGAGATGACGTTCTTGCCATTTTGGAGAGAACACTGTGCATTGTTCACATATTTTCTTCCCTATTTTCATTCCTATGTTCTGAGCTTAAACCAGGATGTTTTATTCCTCAATGAAGAGACAGGAAGTATGAATGGAGAAAGGAGCTGTGAGAGAAGAAATGGAATTGAGGTGTGATTTTGGGGGGATTACAAATTAGGATCCTTTATATCTTTATAAATACATCTTTATAATTACAAAATGCCATTTTCTTTTTTTTTTTTTTTTTTTTTTTTTTGATACAGAGTCTCACCTTGTCACCCAGGCTGGAGTGCAGTGGTGCTATCTTGGCTCACTGCAACCTCCACCTCCCAGGTTCAAGCGATTCTCCTGCCACAGCCTCTCAAGTAACTGTGATTACAGGCACCCACCACCACACCTGGTTAATTTTTGTGTTTTTAGTGGAGACGGGGTTTCATTGTGTTGGCCAGGCTGGTCTTGAACTCCTGACCTCAAGTGATCCGCCCACCTCAGCCTCCCAAAGTGTTGAGATTACAGGAATAAACCACCACACCCGGCCTAAAATTCCATTTTCAATGGTCCTCTTCAATGTATTGCTCACCTTCCTTACTGAGTTTGTGATGAACTTTCAATAAAAATTTGAAAATAGCCAGGCGCAGTGGCTCATGCCTGTAATCCCAGCACTTTGGGAGGCAGAGGCGGGTGGATCACGAGGTCAGGAGATAAATACCATCCTGGCTAACATGGTGAAACCCCGTCTCTACTAAAAATACAAAAAAAAAAAAAAAATTAGATGGGCGTGGTGGCAGGCGCCTGTAGTCCCAGCTACTTGGGAGGCTGAGGCAGGAGAATGGAGTGAACCCAGGAGGCGGAGCTTGCAGTGAGCCGAGATCACACCACTGCACTCCAGCCTGGGTGACAGAGCGAGACTCCGTCTCAAAAAAAAAATTTTTTTTTGAAAATAAATATCAAAATGCACAATAAAAACAAAACTGCTTACTTGTTCTAAGTAATGGTTTATTGCTGTGAGTTTTAAAGTATTAATGAAGTAGAGTTTACTGCAAATTTTGAATTTTTATCAAGCTTCTGTCTCACAAAATAGTTTCCTGAAAGCAATGATTTTGCTTGCGTTTTTTTGTTGTTCTGCTTTGCTTTTTGCCAACAGATTTACTATACCACTAGGTTGACAGAGCTTGGGTGGGTCAATGACTGGTCCCACTTCTCTATGTCACTTCACTAGAAGGAATCACGAAGACATGTTTATTAAGACTCTGCACTATTCTAAGCTCTTTACATCTCATTATTCTTTCCAAAAGCCTTATTAGATCAGCAATACTGTTGCCCTCATTTTAATAATTAGAAAACTAAGGCACCAAGAGGTTAAGTAATTTGTCCAACATTCTCCAAAAACCACATGCATCATTGTACATTTATGCTAAAAAGCTATATTGTCTTGTTTTTCATAGTCTCATCTATTGACCTTCACATGTCATTCTTTTCTATATTTGTGTTCCAGAAATTGCCATGGCAGAAAGGACATACTCATTACCATGAGAACAACTTTTCCCTAAGCATAGTTAGATTAATTTATTTGAGTGAAATAAATTCACATTGCTCTGAAACAACAGTACAGGAATGCTGTGCCATTGCTTCAAACCATACAGATGGACAAATGGCACACACACAGTACACTGGGGAGTTGAGCTTATATTTGGAGACCTCTCTGAAGTCGAAGATTGACAATACAAGTGACAGTAACTATGTGGTGCTTCTCTCATGGAAGTTGGGGGAAGCACAGAGATGAGAAGATTCACAGGCTCCGTGCTCCAGTACTAATCGCCCAAGTGTGAGAAGGTCCTTCACCTAGGCTGGAGTCCAGCCCTGGAATTGGAACTGTGGTGTTGCAGCTGGGAAGGCCCCTGAGCATGGGAGGTTCTTGCTGCCATGCACCTGTTTGAGTCCTTTCCCTTGGAGCTTCCCTAACCTGCTTTGGGGGAGCAGACCAACTCTTCCCTGTACCTCCTACCATGATGCTTTCACAGCCAATTAAAATTCTATTCCATTCTCAGCAAGGGAGCTGGCAGCCTTGGGTCTCCCCAGCAGGATGCGCTGGCTGCAATTAATGTCCCTTCTGGAGCCTGATTAGCTAAGGAGCGGCCAGGATACTTATCCTATCCCCAAAGCCACATTTAAATTAGGAAATGGGGGTTTCTCATTTTATTGCCTCTATTAAGAATCATCAGTTAATGCAAATGTGTTAACTCCTTTCTATTTCATTTGTGGTAGTGGACCCAGATCAGAAAGCCAAGAGGTCATTTCACAACTTGATGGTCCCAGGAACAAAGGGAAGAGATACCCTTTGATTCCTTTAGTCTTCAAATTCCAGACCATTGGAATGAATTGAGGGCACACTTGATTAGGCACAGGCTAGGAGTTGGGGATTCAACAGAAGCCGTGGGAATAATGTTTATTATTATTATCTTCGAGCTTTGTATGTATAAAGTAATGTATAAGAATGATGCATTTAAGGGCCAGGCATGGTGGCTCATGCCTGTAATCCCAATACTTTGCGAGGTCAAGGTGGGTGGATTGCTTGAACCCAGGAGTTAAAGACCAGCCTCAGCAACATAATGAAACCCTTCTCTATAAAATATACAAAAAAATTTAGCTGGGTGTGGTGGCACACATCTGTAGTTCCAGCTACCTGGGAGGCTGAGGTGGGACGATCACTCGAGCCTGGGAGGTCGAGGCTGCAGTGAGCTGTGATCATGCCACTGCACTCTCACCTGGATGACAGAGTAAGTCATATATATATATATATATACATATATATATATCGAGATGGACATATATATATGCACATATATATATGCATTTAAGAAAAAATTCAAATGATGAAAAGGAGGAGAAAAGAAAATTAATAAATATGGCATGTTTATTGTGTAGCAGACATTTTACATACATTATAGCAAAGAATCCCAAAAAAATTCTGCACTTTTATAGATTATAGAGTTAAAGCTCAGAGAGGCTAAGGGAATTGCCCAAGGTCACAAAGTTAATGTGGTAGATTGATTGTACTAATGGCTCTAGATCTTCATGCTTCCCTATAGCCACTTTCTTTGGGTAATGCCTACCCACACTGACTCCGAAGTAAGCCACATGATTTGCTTTGGTCAGCGGGACATTAGCAAACTTGATGCAAATAGAGGCTTGAAAGGTGCTTGTGCATTGAAAAGTGCTTGCCCTCTCCTGCTAGTGGGAACTCTTCTGCCTTCAGGCAAGCAAGCCTGGGCAATTCTACTGGATGATAAGAGACATGAGGCAGAGGACAGTCAACCTATGCTGAATCAGACAGTGTCCAGCCAAGATTAACCAAGTCAGATCAGCAGAACCATTCAGCCAACTTTTAGGCTTGTGAAAAGTAATAAGTAGTTGTTATTTTAAGACACTAATTTTGGAATGCATATGCAGAAGTGAAGTCAGCAGCTGGTGTTAACTGATACAGCTAGTAAATGACGGAGCCAGAAGTTGTCTGATCTGAAAGCCTGTGTGGTGTTCATTCACCATGAAAAGATAGGAAAAGGCTGAAATTGCAGCAGGGAAAATACAGGTTAGATTAAGATATGTTTTTAACCACAAAGTCTTTCAGTCATACAAGAGTCTTATTGGGGAAGAGTGTGGGGTTCCCATATCTAGGTATCTTACAGAGGGTGGTGGTGGGCAGTTATCTGACTGACAAGTTTTAAATGTGGGACCTTTCAGCCCAGGTGTCTTTGCCCTAAAGTTTGCCATCTCAGAGACTGACTATGCTGAGACGCTTGATGAGAATACTCCACGTCATTCCTGTCATCTGTCAGTTCCACGGAGAAGGCAAAACACCCAAGCTAAGATTCTGCAGCCTCCAGCTGGCAAGGCACCCCCTGGTTCTCTTTCATGGCTGAGACCCCCCTCCAAGATTGCCACAGTTGCACTGCTGCTCATTTCTGACTTAGCTATTCCCCAATCCTGCAGCCACATCTCACTCCTTCCCTACAGTGCAAAGAAAGGTAGGGAAAAAAAAAAATCCCAGACTGTCTATGTCTTCTGAGCCTTTCTTTTCAGGATCACAGTGGTGGTGATGTTGACAGTTGCCCATGAGAATGAGGAGAAAGGACAAAACCTCAAACATGGGGCAATAGCAGCAGATAGTGGCACGCTCAGATGACATAGGTGGAAATTTGTGTCATCCTCCTGAAGGCCGATTTGGCAGTATGTGTAACAGCCTTAAAAATGCCTTTTGAATTAGTAATTCCATTCCAGGACTGTCTTCTCAGGAAACACATGGACAGGACCTGTGAAATCATGGATCACCATGAGAATTTTTTTGTGACATAGTGTGAATGGAAAAATACAAGTTAAAAACAGGCTGTACATTATGTTCCTGATTTAGGGGGAATTTTATGTGTGGGAAGGGGCTGTAGTTATGAGGAAAATTTTGATTTACAATAAATCTGTACATATTTTTAAGATATTTTAAGATGGGAATAATTTTTCCTTCCCAGCCTCTGGGCACATACATCCATGGCTATCTCAAATGTAGCAGGAAAACATACCTTAAAAACCTAACAGAGGCTGTGCATAGTGGCTCACGCCTGTAATCCCAGCACTCTGGGAGGCCAAAGCAGGTGAATCTCTTGAGCCCAGGAGTTTGAGACCAGCCTGGGAAACATGGTGAAACCCCATTTCTACAAAAAATACAAAAATGAGCTGAGCGTGGTGGCACACACCTGTAGTCCCAGCTACCCAGGAGGCTGAGGTTGGAGAATCACTTGAGCCTGCGAGGTCAAGGCTGCAGTGAGCCATACTGTGCCACTGTACTCTCCAGTCTGGACAACAGAGTCAGACCCTGTAAAAAAAAAAAAAAAAAAAAAAAAAAAAACCTAAAAGACTGGTAAAAGTAGTCTGGAAAAAAAGTGGTTGTTGAAATGATCAATGACATGAGAATAGAATTTAAAAATAGAACTTTTCAGGGTGGATGGAGGATGGTTGAGCAGAAGATGAATGAAGATTAAATAATTGTGAAGCATAAGAGGATGGGGAACATGAAGTTGGGTCACCAAATCCCAGAAAATAACTGAGAACAGCAGGTCCTGATTGCTTGTTTAACTATCTAGTCATCTGAAATAAAAAAGGTAATATGTTATATACCAGCTATTAATTAAGTGAAATATAGGCCTAAAAAGCATGGCAAAAGCTGAGAATCCATCTGGATTTGAGAGAGTGTGTCCTCGTTTGTGACTGTCTCTTGGGCAGGTGCCCTCTTGAGTTCTCAACACCAGGGCTAAGAGTCAGTGCTCAACCAATGCCGCTGAATGGCTCCTAAAAGAAGACCATAGGGGAGGGGTGTGGTGGCTTACTTTGGGATGCCGAGCCGAGTGGATCACCTGAGGTGGGGAGTTCGAGATCAGCCTGACCAACATGGAGAAACCCTGTCTCTACTAAAAATACAAAAACATTAGGCGGGTGTGGTGGCACATGCCTGTAATCCCAGCTACGTGGGAGGCTAAGGCAAAAGAATTGCTTGAACCCAGGGGAGGCGGACGTTGCGGTGAGCTGAGATTGTGCCACTGCACTCCAGCCTGGGCAACAAGAGGGAAATGCCATCTCAAAAAACAAAACAAAACCAAGAAGAAGACCATGGGCTATGGCCTCTCTCCTTTGGACGGAAACAGTGCTGGTCCATAAATATCCCCCTGATCCCTGAGTGCAGAGGTGTGGGCTGTTCTATGAGCTTTGGCCCTGTCTCATGTTGGTTTTCACATATGGATCGGAATGGGAAAACTGGAAGGCACTGGTGAGCAAGGAAGACCCCAGAGCTCCCTTCCATCTGCCAGGACTGGGGGTAGGCAGTCTGACCAGATGCTGGGGGAGGAGAGGAGGACCTTTGATGACCAGGCCCTTCCCAGCTCTAGAAGTAAGGAATGTAGAATTCTTTGAAACAGAAAATAAAATTGCCAAGATGACAGAAGCTACAGCCACTTGGAGCAGCTTAGCAGAAGCTTGGAGTCAACAGACCGAAGTCTATTCACACGCCATAGTAATTCAGATTCTACTTAGCATGCTTATTCCTGACAGGGAACTGGAGCCAAGATTTCAGGAATAGTACGTTTCCTTGAGAGGTGTGAAAAGAACTGGGCCAGGTTTCCAGCAGACTCTGGCACGGCTATCACCTGGTGAGAACGACGAGGCATCAATCTCCCAGGGGCGCAGGACCCACCCTTTGGTGCTCTGAGCCCAGAGTAGGGTTTGGTCTTCAATTTTTTCCTAGTTCAGTGCTGCCCCATTACGCCACCCTCAGAAAGGCCAGTGCCCTCTCTGGGTGGCAGGTTTTTCAGTTTAAATTGAGTATAATGATGAAGCTGATAATGAAGAAGAAATACAAGTCCCACATAGAGAAAGAATTGAAAAACAATTTAAATGTTTACTGCAATGTCTTTATAAAGTGGGCAGAGAAAATGATAGGGCAGAGGTTTCTTTTTCTTTCTCCCATTCCCCTTTCCTTGCTAAGCTCTTAAAATGCAGATCATTTTACCCTCTGGACCCTGCTTTCACTTTCTGCAGACAAAACAAAACCCCCAGTTGCTCCTAGAAACACACAAGCTCACAGCCCTACCTGAAAGCCAGGAAGTAAGGAGAGGAGATGCTGTTTGTTTCCTCTGGTCACAGGAGGTAGAAACACACACATGTGCAGGAAGAAGGCTTGGGGAGGGGTGAGTCCTTAGGAAGAGACATGGAGGCCGGCAGGTGCAGAAAGGGCTGGGGTATCTGATTTTTTTGTTTTGTTTTGTTTGAGATGGAGTCTCGCTCTGTCGCCCAGACTGGAGTGCAGTGGCACGATCTCAGCCCACTGCAACCTCTGCCTCCCGGGTGCAAGCGATTCTCCTGCCTCAGCCTCCCAAGTAGCTGGGACTACAGGCACATGCCACCAGGCTCGAGTAATTTTTTTTGTACTTTTATTTTTATTTATTTTTGTTTGTTTGTTTATTTATTGAGATGGAGTCTTGCTCTGTTGCCCAGGCTGGAGTGCAGTGGCACGATCTTGGCTCACTGCAACCTCCACCTCCCAGGTTCAATCGATCCTCCTGCCTCAACCCCCCTAGTAGCTGGGATTACAGGCATTTGCCACCATGCCCGGCTAATTTTTCTATTTTTAGTAGAAACAGGGTTTCGCCATGTTGGCCAGGCTGGTCTCGAACTCCTGACCACGTGATCCACCTGCCTCGGCCTCCCACAGTGCTGGAATTACAGGCGTGAGCCACCGCACCCAGTCATGGGGTATCTGTTTTGTTCTTTCCTCCCCTTGACACAACAGGGCTGTTAGCCACACCTGGAGACAACTGGCTTTCAGCATAGTTATTACCCACACACATGATCTAGGCTCCCAGGCAAATACACACTCTCAGATTTCAGACTGATGAACTTCATTTACAAGGCAGTAAAGTGAGGTGCCTGGGAAGGCCATACACAGAAGGCACCCCTTGTCCACAAGCAAAGAAAGCAGTGTCCTCTCCCTACCTCTTTTTGTTAGCATGTGAAGGGATGAAGTATGGATAGGTGGGTACATGAAAGCCAACAATGACACCACAATAAACACTCCCTAGGTTTCAGACAGGGTCCTAAGAACATCTCACAGCCGGGTGCAGTGGCTCACGCCTGTAATCCCAACATGGCAACATGGCGAGACCCCATCTCTACAAAAAATAAACAGAATTAGGGCACGGTGGTGCAGGCCTGTAATCCCAGCAACTCAGGAGGCTGAGGCGGGAGGATAGCTTAAGCCCAGAAAGTTGAGGGCTGAAGTAAGTTGAGATCACGCCACTACACTCCAGCCTGGGTGACAGGGCAAGACCCTGTCTCAAAAAACAAAACAAAACAAAAAACAAAAACCCTCACCTTGTGTTATCCCATTGAATCCTCATGAGCACCTGGGAGGCAGGAAGTATCTTTGATCCTACTTTACCCCTGAGAAAACTCACTACAGGTCAGCAAGGATTCAACCCAGCCAGCCTCGGTCTGCAGGCCCCGCTAACCATGCTGTATCACCCCATGCATATCAGGTGCTCAGGACAATACCTAGCCTCTAGTACATGTTCAAAGGCGTGAGCTACCAAGAGAGGCTGCAACAATAGCAGAAGCACTGGCAAAGCGGTATAGCTGCAGATGGTGTGGATGGGGTTTGGAGTAGGTAAGTACCTTGCACAACATCCCTCACCAAGCAAGTGGAAGAACTGGGATTTGAACCCAGCAGTCAATGCTTGCATACAGGGTTGGGCACCTGATAAGTGCTCAGTAAGTTTCAGCTATTAGTATTTATTTTTATCTTTGTATACATAAGAGTCTTAATGTAGGAGACAAGGTTTGCTGAAGAGTATCTGGTCCAGCGCTTCACAAAATGAGTCTCAGCCAACCTTACTTCAAGAGAAGAAGAGAGGGTCTTCATGGAATCAGAATCTCTGGAGTGAAGCCTGAGCTTCTGAATGCGTAACAAGCCTCCCAGGTGATTCTTACACATGCCAAACTCTGAGAACCAAGAAATCAAGGCTTAGATTGCTTAAGCCCATGGCTGCCAGCCTGAGAGGGTGGCAGAGCTGGAATTGATTCTTAGGAAAGATCTTGCTTTTCTTGCTTTGTAAGAGTCAGTGATACACAGAAGTGTTTCTAAGTGCCTGGGGCCATGATCCGGAACATTAGTGAAGTGTAACTTGTCATCACAGCTCATTTGCACTTGCAACATCTGCTGTTTCCCCTGAATACACTGAATATTAATTACAGTGACTGAAAATTAATTTTTGAAGAATTTCACCATAGCTCCTACAAAGAACACCATGAGGGTTTTGCACAGCTGAGGCTGGGATCCCTCTGCCTGTGTACGGAAGGCTGCTCGTAAGAGGCAAGAGTATTTGCCACTTAACTTGCCAGGGGGCCTGTGCCTTTGCCTTGGCTTGATTTCTGGGAAAGAAAGAGAACATGGTGACCTGGCATCCCTGAAATTTCAGGGTAGTGGCCTGGACCTTGAAAACAGGCCCAGCCCAACATATGCAAATAGCGCAATTCTGGTCATGCAAGATTTATCTAAATTATGCTTTTCTATTTAGCCAGGGGGAGAACTGAGAGCAGGTCAGTCTTTAACTGTAGCTGTTTGGTAACAATGGTGATGGTAATGATGAGTTATGCAGAAAGACAAACGGACAGTATATTACACATTTAGGTCATTAGAAATACAGATATGATTATAAATGTACACATTAAACGTGACCTTTTTTTCCGCCAGACCCCATATAGCTTGGTTTGTTTATTATGCAGATCATGTTTGACTTCATAGAATTGGATGTTATTTAAATTCAATTATTGTGAGGCTAAGTTCTTCTTTCTAGTACTGGTTGAGTAAATTTAGAGGCAGTTAGAGGAAATAGGTACATTTGTCTTATACCAGTAAAATTATAGGGAGAAAAGCACTGTAGGAACAAAATAATTATTGTGAAAATGAAAAACATAGTTTGGAGGGTTTGGCTTGGATCTGTTTGTTTTCCTTGTCTCTTTTTACATTGTTTTTTTTTTTTTTTTTACATTGAAATGATGAGCAGAAAGGCTGGAAAATATTCCATGAAGACGGAAGCAGATTAAACGTGTGTATGTGTGTTTGTGTGAAAGTAAGCTGCTGGTAGGAGAGTAGAACTAGAAATAATTATGTGGTTAATTGGATTTAGTGTAGATAACTACAGCTCATTAAGGCCTTAAATCTTTTTTCCCTAGTAATAGAGTTCTTTCTTTTTTTAATCAAATTATCTTGCAACAATGCCTTATTTCCTCTTGCCAGTGTCAACACACTGTTAGTCTCCTGAAGCCAAGACTTGGCCTTGGTGCCATCAGGAGGGAAGCGAGAAGCCCAGCATGAGCTGGCTGGGAAGGGAGCATGTGAAATGCCATGGACGGGTGGTGCAGCTAAAGGATTGGCTGGGACGGACTCCAGCCAGAAAACAAAGAGCTGCTCACACGCTATCAGACACCACATGAGGAGAATTCAGATTGGCTGGTCTGTGAACAGCAATGGATTCTAGGGCCATAGAGGATCTTTGAAGGTCATCTTGCCAATCGGCCTGTCTCCCACAGATAAGGGGGAAACTCACTTAACTCACTTAATCATTCTCTAGGGCAGCAGGAGTCAAACCCTTCTCCATTCATCTCTCCTCCACAATCTTTGTTGGAAAGAAGGTCTTCATGATAGGTCATTTTTCTTGATCCTGATACCAGGATACATTGACCTCCCACAGGTCTGTAGAGTGAAGAAATTACTGCCTGGTGTCCTGAAGGAAGAAGACACTGGAATCTTCTGGTTTCTCCTAGCTTATTTCTATTCGCTGGCCCCATTGGTGATCCTCTTTTGTCTCCTCCCCCGCCGAACCCTTTCCACCAACCCGGATCACAGACACAAATAGTTGGTCAATATCACACACAGTTTGGTTGTGCCAATAAAGTTGGTTGTGTGTGTGTTACTGACAAGCCTTATTGTTAGCTGGTTCCTCAAATGTAGAGTCCAAGAAGTGTTACAAAACAGTACTTTCTGTCTCAAGTCTATCATCATAGAGATGATCTAATACGGACACTGGAGAATTCCTACTTTCTCTGTCATCTCTCCTTATTCTTCTCCACAAATCCAGTGAATTTTTCTGCTCCTATACCCATTCCTCCCCACACTAATACACATGGGCTCCACCTCCACCCTGGAGGGGAAATTCTGATTTTAAGGCTTTAGATTCTCTAGATTCTCTGAGTCTTCACAGTGGAACAACTACAAGGCAACTGGACATTTCCTGCTAATGTGGACTCCATCTCAGAGCAAATTTTAATGGGTTGCTATGCTTCCAAAAACCTCTGTCCCTTAACTTTCTCTTAACAGATATCTCCCCCTCACCAAGGGTGGGGTTGTAAATAAAGTGTGAAGGGGAAGTAAAACCCCATGTTGTCCCACCCCCTAACATAAACACACATCAAATAATCCCCAGTAAATACTACCAACCAGGAACTGGTTTAGAGGAAAGGGACTCAGAGGAAAACACAATATGGTTTCTGTCTTGGTGTTAATATGATAACAGGGGAGCCAGCAAGGGCATCTCTTACATAGGGACAAGGAAGGTAAGGGTCTGATGGACAGGCTGCTGTGGGTGGGAGAAGAGACAGAAGGCAAGAGTCACTGCAATGGGCAGAGAGGATGTGGGTAAATTTGGTGGACAGACGGGTTCCAGAGCCCTCCTTTTCCATTTTCTTGAGCAAGTAACAACCTCTCTATCTTCATCTATAAAGTGAAGGAAATTGTTATTAGCTTCACTTAGCTTTTGAGGTAGTAGTTGGTATAATGTCTGTGAAAGTGTTTGTATGTAGAACTGTGAAATATTTATAACAATAGAATTATTAATAAGAAAATGTTACAGAGAGGAGAAAGAAAGGAAGCCAGAAAATTGATCAACATTTGAAGTGGGTGAGAAGGTAGGCTTAGAAGTGAGGAGATCTGCTATAAACTCTTACCTATTAGCCAGCATTTACTGAGAGCTTACTGTGTGCCAGGCATGGAGCTAAACAGAGTCTCTTACTACCCTCCTCCCTCAGTTTCACAGATGAGCCATTTTATTTTAATAGAAAGGACACTTCATGCTGCCCATAAGCATACTTTATTTCTCTAGTCTAATTGCCCTAGAACTCTCCTGGATGACTATTTTATACCAGTCCTCAGACATCCAGGACCTCCCCCGCCAATCTTCACTCTCAGCGTATGCCTTTTCTTCATATTGCACTAAGAAAATAGAAGAAACCAGAAAGAAAACTTGCCAGGTCCACGGTTAATGCTTGGTTCCCATCAGCAGCACTTGACAAGGTCCATTACTCCCTGTTTTCTTGAAACAGTGTCGTCTTCTTGGCTTTTGGAAAAATGTCCTCTTGCCATCTCATTGAGCTTCCCTTCTCAGTCTCTTCTGCTGGTTCTTCTACATCTCCTGACCTCTAAACATTGGCATCCTCTAGCGATCACCTCTGGCACCCCTTCCTTTTCCTACCTATACTCACTGCTTTGGTTGTCTCATTCAGACTCAGCTTTTAACACCATCTGTACACCAAATGACTCTCAAATTTATATCTTGAGCCTGGACCTTCCCCTAAACTCCAGATTAACATGTATCTCAGTACTTACGTGACATCGCCTCCTGGATATCTAACAGGCATCTCAAAGTTGACACTTTGAAACTGAGCTCCCAATCTTTCCTCCAAACCTGCAACTCCTTCAGTCTTTCTCATCTCAATTAAAGGTAACTCCCCATCCTTCTCATTGTGCAGGTAAAAATTAGCATCATTCTTGACTTTTCTACTTCTCTCCTTACCACATCCAATCCATCAGCAAATCTTAACATCTACATCCTCAAAATGTATCCTGAAACTGACCATTTCTCAGGACTTCCTCTGCTACAATAGTGGTCCAAAACACCATCGTGACTCACCTGGATGAACACAACACCAGCCCTTATTTCCCTCCAGTCTGTTTACAATAGAGCAGCCAGTGATCCTGTCAAATATGATCAGATCATGCCACTCTCCTCTGCTCAAAACACTCATGATTGCCCATCTCACTCACAAATGCCAAGTCCTTAAAATGATTCACAAGCCTGGCCTGATCTGTCCCCTGACTCTTGATCCCTGTTATATCTCTAACTTCATTTTCGGCTCCTCTTCCTCTAAACTACTCTACCCCAGAGACACCAGCCTTTTTGGTTCCCCTAGAACATACCAGGCATGTTTCTGCCTCAGGGCCTTTGCACTTGATATTCCCTCTGTCTGGAATGCTCAGCCCCCAAATAACTGTATGGCTTGCTCCCTTACTTTCCTCAGCTCTTCACTCAAATACCTCCATTGAGTGAAGCCTTCATACACAGTCACCCTATGTAGGATTTCAACTCACCCCCTCCTTTCTATTCCATTTCCCTTTTCCCTGCTTATTTTTCTCCATAGCACATAACAGTCTCTTAGGTATATATGGTTTACTTTTTAATCATATTTATTGTCTGTCTTGACTAGAGAATTTTAGTCAGTTCCATTCACTGCAGTATCCTTATCACCTAAAACAAAACCTGGAACATAGTAGATAAATATTTAATGAATAAATGATAATTGAGCAAGGCCCAGAGACGTTAAGCAACTTGCCCAGGGTCACACAGATTGTAACAGCTTGGATATACCCAAGTCTTCCTGAGATTAGAGCCCAAGCTTTTCACCACCATATTAGTCTTATTAAAGGATTATGCCCCTAAACTGCACCCCAAGGCTGGTGTTCCTATTGTCTCCTTTTTCTATTCTCTCTGATTTCCAAACTACAGCATGGTACACGACTGCCTTTGCTACACTAGACTGTATTTATTTCTTTCTACTTAGTGGCAGGGATGCCTGACACCTGTGTGGGCAGAAAAGGAAGTCTTTGGTTTACCTGTCACTACCATGGCAACCAGGTAAGCTAGGGACTCCAGAAGCAAGACCTTCAGACTGAAAGATGTGAAAAATGAAACAAGCTCAAAATAAACAGAAAGAAATCTATAAATGGAGAAACAACTGGAGACTGGCGTCTGCAGCTTGCTGTGTTATTGGCAGTGTTGGGAGGGAAACAATTTCTCCTCAACCATCACAAGTTTCTAGTTGGGACAGACCCTTGTAACAAAAGACAGATAAACAAGAGAAAAACGAGCAAGTTTATTAGGGTATGCAGTGTGTATCATGTGGGAGAAACTTCAATGAAAGGCAATTCACTGGCTTAGAACTCTGGCTAATACAGCATCTTCAACAAAAACAATATATTTTTAGAGAAGTGGCAAGACAAAGGAAAAGGACTTTGAGTCTCTATGGGCAGCAACTTGGGTGGGGGGCGGGTGGGGAAGAAAACAAAGGGCAAAAGAACTTCAGTGAGTAAAGCTCGTTAATATAAATTCCTCTATTGCAGTAAGCCTTGCAGTGAGCTGAGATCGTGCCACTGCACTCCAGCCTGGGTGACAGAGCGAGACTCTGTCTCCAAAAAAAATAAATAAATAAAAATAAATATATATATATATATGTTTATATATATATAAATTTTTATATATTTTCATATATAGATATATATAAATTCCTCTGGTGTCATCTGGAGGCTGATGAGGGTCTAAAGCTGTCTTCAGTGTTTACCTTTGTTCTCCTGATGGAGAGGGAGAGGCAGGATAACTTTTGTCTTTGTAAATCTATGTCCTGCTTTTATGCAAATAGAGAAAGAGCAGAGAGCTCTCCTAAATCTGCTGCTTCTTAATTGTCTTAGCTCAACACGCCTTCGTATTTTGGGGAGGCATATTATTGTCTCCCACTGCAGTGAGCGGAATACATCTGTTCTCCCTCCCACCACCTCCATCACAACCAAGGCTAAAAGGGTCACCTCCTGCCTCCTGCCTCCTGCCTCTAGCACGACCCCACTTAACCCATGCAAGAGGCCTGCACTCTTCTTCTGTTTGGCATCCCCTGAAAAGAAGCTTCCCCAGATGCTCCCAGTGTCCCCAAGGTGACATAAGGAACAATCTTGGGCTAGAAGTCAGGGTCCCTTATCCATCCCAGGAGGGCAGAGTCTCTTAGAAAATTCTTTAATCTTTACTGCTCTTGGTGACTCAACTGACTCTTTTCTTTAGGCGGTCGTTCCCTTCCTTATCTATTTCACCTGTCTTAGAGTGACAGTAGGAAATAGAGTTGCAGAAGAAAAAACTATGAAATTAAAGTTCTTACAGAAATGTGAGTTAGAATTGTAATAGTTTAACAGGAGGACTTACTTGTGCCATGCACTGTGTCAAACTCTTGCATATATGATCTCATTTAACCCTTACAGGCCAGGCACAATGGCTCACGCCTGTAATCCCTACACTTTGGGAGGCTGAGGCCGGAGGATCATTTAAGCCTAGGAGTTTGAGATCAGCCTGGGCTACGTGGTGAAATCTCACCTCTACAAAAAGTACAATACATGTTGCTGGGCATGGTGGCATGTGCCTGTAGTCCCAGCTACTCAAGAGGCTGAGGTGGGAGGATCACTTGAGCCTGGGGAGCTCAAGGCTGCAGTGAGCCATGATCATGCTACTCTGCACCCCAGCCTGGGCAACAGAGTGAAATCGTGTCTCAAAGGAAAAAAAAAATCCTTACAATTACCCTTGAGGAGGTAAGAGTTACTTGCAACGGAAAGATGAAGAAATGGAGCCTCAGAGAGGTTAAGAGACTTGGCTAAATTTGCACAGCTGGTGAACAGACACTCAAAAACAAAGCGGCTGTTTCCCAAAACCATGTTCTTTTTTTTTTTTAATTTTATTATTATTATACTTTAAGTTTTAGGGTACATGTGCACAACCTGCAGGTTTGTTACATATGTATACGTGTGCCATGTTGGTGTACTGCACCCATTAACTCGTCGTTTAGCATTAGGTATATCTCCTAATGCTATCCCTCCCCCCTCCCCCCACCCCACAACAGTCCCGGGTGTGTGATGTTCCCCTTCCTGTGTCCACGTGTTCTCATTGGGAATTGAACAATGAAACCATGTTCTTCACCACTCCCCCACAGTGTGTCCCTTGGGGGCCAGATGATTAGAGAAGATCCCATTTTTCTTGTTTTAGTCATTCCCAGGGCAGTCTCTGGCCCCAGCACTCTGAGCAGATCATTGAGGAAGTGTCTGGTGCCCTTTGCATTTAATGAGTCCCTTTGATCTGTGGAGTTTGCTGAGCTCTGCAAACAAGATCACAGTAATCCTCCCAGCCCAAATGCTGGAGCCGCAGTAGCTGGACCAGAGGGGCTTTTCCTTTCCCATACCCTAGGGCCTGTTCAATTAGTAAGCACGCCTTAATTGTACATCGCTGATGTGCTCAGTTCTAGGGGGTATGTAGGAGCAGCTCTAATCCCAGAGCATTTGAAAATGGTGAAGTACCAAACTGTGGATGATGGTGGGAGACTTGGCTGAGGGTCTGAGCTGGGCCAGGAATTGGGGTGGGACCTGGAGAAGGGGAGACTTACAGGCACAGGTGCAGGTGGGGCAGCAGGATCCAGAGGATGGAAGGTGGATGAGCACAGCGGGTGGTGAAGCTCAGCGTCTGACGCCCGTGTGACCTTGAGTGAGTCATTTAACCTTTCTCCTCAATCAGAGATATCTCTTATATTGAGAGAATTTTACTAGGGTAGAGGGGGCGAGAATTCATCTCAGTGTCCATGTAGCTTTTAACAGAGCTTACTGCAAAGAGCGTCTTCCTAAGTTTAGCTTGAATCCATCTGGCTCATTTCCACTTCTGTTGTTCTTGGAGACATACAGGTCTGACCAGTAGTTGGCAAAGAGTCCCTGTGAAAGCTTTTTAGAAGCCCTAAACACTAAAAAGATGATGGGCTTTCCCCGAAATGTATATAGAAATACACTAAATCATAACCTACAAAATTTGCCTGAATGCAAGAGTTAAAATAGCTCGTTTCTCTGGATTCCACCCAACCCCCACAGCAAATACCCAATCATCACTTCCTTTTTCCTTTATCAAAGTTAAACTTTTCTAACAGTTTGTTGTCCTTGCTTTATTTTCTTCTTCTTCTTTTTTTTTTTTTTAGATGGAGTTGCACTCTGTCGCCCAGGCTGGCACTGCAACCTCTGCCTCTGCCTCCTTGGTTCAAGTAATTCTCCTGCCTCAGCCTCCCGAGTAGCTGGCGTTTTAGGAGCATGCCACCATGGCCAGCTAATTTTTATATTTTTTGTAGAGATGGGGTTTCGCCATGTTGGCCAGGCTGGTCTTGAACCCCTGACCTCAAGTGATTCACCTGCCTCGGCCTCCCAAAGTGTGGCATTACAGGCGTGAGCCACTGCACCTGGACCATCCTTGCTTTCTAATATTTGTAATGCCAGAAGCAAGTCCCTATGCTGTCTTTTGGGGTTTTCTTCTCCCTAAAGGAAAATGAATGGTTCGCTGGAGGGGAAGCAGCATAGTCCTGGCCTCTTGTCCCTTAGCCAGGCACTGGGATTAGGCCAGGTCACGCTCCTCCTTTCTCCACCCAGATTAGCATGCTGAGGCTCAGGGGGCTCCCATGAGCCCCAATGGTCCCACAACCAGAGCCCGGGTCTTGTTATCAGCTGTGCCCCAGGCAGCAGCTCTTCCTGCCTTGTCTCTTGGCTGCTGCTTGGGAAGCAAGGCGTGGAGACTTCACTGTCATTCAGCACCGTTGCCAGGGACCAGAAGTAATGTCTCTTACCTGATGGGCAATTTGACGTGGCTGCTTAACAATCCGATTAATCAAACCCAGCTCATCCTGTTAGAATTAATGAGCCTAGGAAATGCTGCCACGAATAATGAGGAATTCCACCCCTCCCCCAGCATGTCTCTCCACTCATCCCCTCCTGTTTCCTTTTCAGAGTCATATAGCAGCTCCTCAGTACAAGGGCCCTTAGGCCGTGATGGGTGTGCCAAATACCCAGCAACGTGGGCATCTCCAGCCTCTTCTTCTCCTCTCCAGGAGGTGGCTGCCTACCTGTAGTCAAAGGCTGGCCATGTCCTAGAGAAGCAAAACTTCTCGTTCATAAAACAGATATGCGTGCATTCAGCTCTCAAAATTGGATTGAGTATCAAACTTTACCAGGCCCTTTACTAGATGTTAGGGCTGCAAAGATGGATAAGATATTGTCCCTGTGAGGAGCAAATGGGGGCATGCTATAACAGAGGGTATGGGAAGGGCCTGGAGCCACAGCAAAGAGGGCCTGTTGTTATTGGAGGAGCAGAGTGGGGAACCAAGGAGGGTTTCATGGGGATGAGCACCTGAGCATTTCTGCCAAGTTCATTTATTGCGCAAATACAGAGTGCCAGGCACTGAGCAAGATGTTTGTTCCCAGAGTTAACAAAATGGATGTGGTTCCCATTCTCACGGAGTGGGCATTCTCATTCCTGTTCCTCAAGGCAGTGCAGGCAACCTGAGAAGACACTTGATTTATTTTTTCATGTACTTATTCAAACATGAAAACTTATTTAGGGCTTGGCACTGGAGGAAAGGGGTGCAAAGATGAATACCTCACCCTGCCTTCTGGGGCTCCTCTCGTGGGTAGACAGGGATATGCATAGATCCTCATAATGATGTGCCAAGTGTGCTAACAGGGATGAGCCCAAGTCACTCAGCATAAGGCACTCAGAGCTCAAAGCACTGTGCTCAACCTGGAGAAGTCAGGGACCACTCCCAGTAGGAGGCGGCATTCGAATCATCTTGAAGACAGTAACAGCTGACAGGTAGACCAGGTGTTAAAGGACATTCCAAACCTCAGCCAGGCCACAATGAGATCCTTGAATGATAGGAGTTGAAATGGAAAAGAAATATGATTCCAGGAATCTTAGAAGGAAGAGCTGATTCTATAGTCTGCAGCCAAGTGCATGATTACAGAGGCAGATGGAAATCCGTAATTTCAAGACCAGCCTGGGCAACATGAAGAGACCCCATCTCACAAAAAAAATAAAAAATTAGTCGGGCATGGTGGTGCATGCCTGTAGTTTCAGCTACTTGGGAGGCCGAGGCCAGAGGATCACTTGAGCTCAGAAGATCAAGGTTGCAGTTAGCCGCAATCGTGCCACTGCACTCCAGACTGGGCAGCAGAGTGAGATCCTGTTCCAAAAACAACAAACAAACAAAAAACACAGGTTTCAGCCATGGCCATCTGACATATGGTCATGGGAAGTTCTGGAGAGTGAGCCCAATGCTGCCGTCCACTCAAAGGAAGTTTCAAATCCTCACACCATCTTGCTCAGTTGAGTCCTCTGCCTCTCTGATTCCAACTCCTCCAAACTGGGCTTCCTAGCTACCCCCAGCCAGACCCAAGGGTGACTGGAGGGACCCAGGCCTTCAGTGAGGGCATTTGTCCAACCTCCTAGATCCCCACATCTACACTGGCTAGAGCTGATGGTGGCTTTCCCTTTAGCTTGGGTCTGATCCTTCCAATTCAGTCTCCACTAGCTAGCTTTTGTTATCTCTGTTGCCTGTCTGTCCTTGAGGGCATTTGAGTTTGCAACTCTTGGCTGAGCCTTTACGGAGACACTTCTGCAGCCTGACACCCCACTGTGAACAGCAGAGGCTTCCGCAGAAACCAGCCCGCTCATGTTCGTAGAACCTTAGTAATTAATAGTACTGTGCTGTATCAAGCAGTAGCAGGGGCTCAGAGCCGTTTGTTGTGCTGACCAACATGGTTTGGCTCTCATGGTGGGGGTGCAGGAGCCCAGGCCTCCTCCATGGAGTCTGGTGCCCCCAAACAAAGCCTGTGGCCTACTTGGGTGGCTCAAACCAGGCTGCAGCTGCCACCCTCCCGCCCATCACTCACCCACCAGCCACTGTAGGTCTCAGCCTCATCACCCTGTGCTCTCTCCCTGCAGGGGGAGCTGCTGAGCCCATGCCGCTGTGATGGCTCGGTCAAGTGCACACACCAGCCTTGCCTCATCAAGTGGATCAGCGAGCGGGGCTGCTGGAGCTGCGAGCTGTGCTACTACAAGTACCACGTCATCGCCATAAGCACAAAAAATCCTCTGCAGGTACAACCCAGGGCTGCCTGGTGGGGTTGCTGGGCCTGGGGCTTCCACACCACCTGCTTTAGCAGGAGGCTTACTTCACCTTAGATTCAGGGCAGTTTGAGGAAAAGGAAGAAGATGGGCTGGGTGGGCAAGCACGGTGGGCGGCGTGGGGCAGGAGGGGATGAAAGGACATTTGTGTTTTCTCTTAAGCTTCAGCAAGAAGAAGAGGAAGAGATGGGGCAAAGAGAGGGAAATAGATACAGAAGGAAAGAAGTGTGGAGAATCAGAGGGAAAAGGGAGAATAAGTAAGTGAAAGGATGAATAAATGAATGCAGAAAGGAGAGGAAGAAAGAAGGAAAGGAAAGGAAGAAACGAAGGAGGCAGGGAAGAAGAAGAAAAAGAGAGAAAGGCCAGAGGGCAGAAGAGAACAGGAAACAAAAAGACAGAAGGTGGGAGGGGTGAGGAGAAGGACTGAGATCAAGCTATGGGCTGGTAAAGAAGAAATAAGAAGAATAGACTCAATGGCCCTTCTCATACATCAATGTGCATGTAATTGATCTGCAGTCTTCTCAAAATGCAGGCTATTCTATAGGTCTGGAGCAGGGATGTTGTATTCGGTAGGTCTGGAGCATCTGTTGATGCTTCTGGTTCAGAGACCACACTTCCAATGGCAAGGGACAGAGGGAAAAACAGAAGAAACAGGAGAGGGAGGCAGAGAAAAATGGGAATAAGAGCAATAAGAAATAGAAGAAGGGGAGAGAATATTAAAAAGCTACTGTGGAAAGGCAGGCAGGGCCAGGGTGGAATGAGGGCCTGCCACACAGATTCAGACAGAACTTAGGGATCCTCTGCCTGCTCCCACCACTCTATCCCTGCCCTGACACATCCATTGTCCCCAGGGGAGCTGGCAGGCCTGTGCCACCCTCACAAATGCCCCAAATCAAGCAGCTCTCCTTTGAGGAGCACACACATACAAAGAGCATTTTGCTTCTGAAAATACCTCCACATATCCATGATCAACAAATTAAGCTGCCACATAATCAATTAGTGAGCACGAGAGTGAGGATGGGGACTTCAGCTCCTGGCACAGTCTCACTCCTCCTCTCTGGGGTGGTGGTGGAGGGGGGAGTCCTGAAAGCCCAGGAGGGGTAATGGGGGTTGGGAGGGATGGTGGCGGTGGGGTCTTTGCATGGAGGAGCAGCTGGAAGCACCCACAGCTATGGTGTCCAGGGTGTTTTATTTTACACCCCATAGAGTTTTACATGGGGCAATCCCAGGAATGAGTGTGTGTGTATGTGTGTGTGTGTTGCACACACACAAGTGTGCTGGGGTTGCAGGGCATTTCTGGAAGGTGGCACTAAAAGCCCCAGGCACCTTAGCCCTCTTAGTAGTATACCAAGGGGCCATAAAGAGGTGCCTTTCCCTGCTGCTGGTTCCATCTTCAATTCATTTCAAAATCTCAAAGTGTCTTAAAATAGCAGTGTCACGAGACAGCTGACTCCACGTCCTCTGGGTTCCAGCAGGGGTCTGAATGCATTAACCCTCCCCTTCCTTTTCAGCCAGCTCAAGCCTCAAGAAAGGATCAGATTCCAAACTCATGAGCCCACCCCAAAGTACCCTTCCTTGGCTCCACCCTTGGCTCATAAAGTGAAAATGCATTTAGGGATAACTTTTTCCTGGGGGTAAAAAATGAAAAGGTTATTCTAATCTCCCAAGTCAGGTAAGCAAGTGGCAGTGTTAGCAATATGGATCTATAAGGATCCATATGGATATATTCCTGAGTCCCTACCCTGTCTTCCACTGTGAGTTTCTTGACACTCACTGCTGGGGGCTCCCTCTGATTCTGTTGCTCCTGGAAATGCAATTGTGTGTGCTCAGTAAATGCCATCTCACTTCTGGATAGCACTGGAAGAAGGAAGTAGTTTGGATTAGAAGCAATTTTGTGTGGTTGTGGTCCAAATTGTCCCAATTGTATGTCCTGTGCTCCTCAGGCCCAGCAACATGTGAGACAGCTGCCTGCTCAGTACAGTGGGCAACTTCTGGGCTACTATGCCCCAGCCCAGCTGGATCATTTGCAGTGTAGGATGGAGCTGGCAGGCCCCACCACAAGTGGGCGGAGCAATGGATGGGAATCCCAGGCCTGCCTCTGCTATCAGAGAGGGGAAGCTCCTTCCAGGTCTCCTGGTTCTCTTACCTCCTGGTTCATGCCCCAGACAGAGTCATGAGAAATAGGCCAGGCATGGTGGCTCACATTTGTGATCCCAGCACTGATGGGAGGCTGAGGCTGGAGGATCACTTGAGGCCAGGAGTTCAACACCAGCCTGGGCAACATAATGAGACCCTGTCTCTACAAAAGAAATTAGCTGGGAGTAGTAGCCCATGACTGTAGTCCCAGCTACTCGGGAGGCTGAGGTGGGAGGATTATTTGAGCACAAGAGGTCTAGGTTGTAGTGAGCTATGATTATGCCAGTGCACCACTCCAGCCTGGGTGGCAGAGCGAGATCCTGTCTCAAAAAAAAAAAAAAAAAAAAAAAAAGTTGTGAGAAATAATACACTGTTTCCTGTGTCACATGGGGCATCATCTCAGCGACCCTCCAGAAGCAATATTTCCAGCCAGAAGAACCACTGAGAAAGGAGGCACAGCATGGCCCTGAGAGTCTAAAGGTTTCATGGCTGCTTCCTACTGTCTCTTTGTTACATGTGAATTGCAATTATTAATGAACATTTAGTTAGTGCTTATTAGGGGCCAGTCAGTGTTCTAAATATTCACATATATTGTATAATTTAGTCCTGGAAACAACCCAGTGAAGTGGGCACTATTATTTTTCCTAAACTACAGATGAGACAATGGAGGCACAGAAGGGTTCACCAACATGCCCAGGGTGACACAGCTACCGAGTGGTGGCGTAGATGTGGGGGTCTGACTCCTGGGTCCAGGTCTTAACTTCTGCACAGGCACGTTTGGGAATATCCCCTCCTTGACAGGCTGATCTGTATTTTTGCTGAAACATCATTAAGAATGCCCTTCAAAGCACTGGTTTAAGAGTGATTTCATTTAACATAACACTCTAGGAAGCAGGAAAGACCAATTATTTCTATTTTACAGAAAGGAAAGTTGAGGGTCCTCATGATTGATTGACTTCTCCTAGGTCACACTCAGTGCGTAGGAGCGGAACCCAATCAGGATCGGGTCATCTGATCCCTCAGTTGGTGCCCCTTCCTGTTCTAAGGCACACAGCATTCAGTCTCTGTGCTCTTCCGCTTGTCTCTCCATTCATTGGTGCTGCAGGATGGGAGTTCAGGGTATGGAGAAACCTCATGATACTGAGATCAGAGTGGGGATCTGGTGGCAGCCTGGTACCCTGGGTGTCCTTCTCCCCCTCCCAGCCCTCCTGTGAGTTTTCAGAGCTCGCTCACTCTCTGCTTTCTCCCTCATCTCTGTGGAGCCTCATATGGGACAGACAGGAGGAGAGTGCCTTGTCCATAGAACCCCACCCTGCTCCTTCGTCACGCTTCACACTGCAGTCAGGAGCCCCATTTAGGTTCCACAGCTGGCTTCAGAGGTGGTAGAAGGGGTTTTAGGGATGAAGAGAAGCTTTCTGGGCCTCTATATTTGGCATTTTTGAAGTCTAGAGGAGCAGGAGAAAGTGAGGATGATGGATGCCTCAATGGTAGAAACAAAAACTCAGCCAGAAGCCCTCTTTCCAGGCAGGAGGGCAGGCCCTGGAAAAAGCATTTGTTGTGCATGAAAGAAGTCTGTATGATGAAGTCATCTTCTGGAAAATCCTTTCATTATGTGTAACCCTAGGCGGGGGGAAACAGTGGAAAATGTAAAGGCCCAATTACCTGTAATGGAGGCTATCTGTTTAATTAAATGTAGACGCTGATGTCCTATGTCTGGACCAGCAAGTGAAATGTTTCCCAACAGTTAAAATTCCCTGGAGGCCACTGGCCAGGCCAATCCCAGCTGCAGCCAGAATGAATCAAATGCTTCCATCCGGGTCTCCCTGTTGGCAGAGGGAAAGTAGTCTGCCTTTCCTCAGAGTTCAGTGAAATGCTTTCTGGGGGTGTTCTTTGCAGAGTGCTATGCAAATCTGTCCAGTCAAAAGATGTCCTCCCCCTACCTTCCCAAATTTGATCCTGTCAGTCCTCTGCTTAAAACCATTCATATCATCACATCTACACTTAGGACAAAGCACAAAGTCTCTGCATATTCTACAAGGTTCTGTGTGATCTCTCATTCTTCCTTTTCCAGTTGTCTCACCCCACAAGCTCTTTTGCTGTCTCCACTCCACCCACTTGTATCTTCTCCCAGGCTTTTATCCTTCCCATGCTTTCTTCTGGCACAGGCCTTTCTACATGCTCTTCCCTCTGCCGGGAGCAGTCTTCCCTCCTTTCTTTGCCTAGTAACCGCTTAGTCAGCTCAAGTATTGCTTCCTCTGGGAAGTCGAATCCCCCTATCACCGGCTCTCACTGTGCCATGTTCCTCCCTGATTTACCCTTGATAAATTGCAGGTTCGAATAATTATATTGTTGTCTAAGTTCCCTAGACTATAAGCTCCACAGGGGCAGGCACCTTGTCTGTTTTCGCCTAGGGCTTCATTGCCAACACCTAGCATAGTGGCCAGCACATAGAAAATACTCAATATATATTCCTTGAGTAAGTGCATGAATAAACCCCAAGTTAAAAATCTAACTCCTGGCTCCTTCAGACCTGTACTGCCCGGATCAGCCATAGAATCATAGACTTTCAGAGTTGAAACTCACCCACACCCTAGCCTTTAACCCATCTGTCAATACTGGTATAAGCACAGGGCTTTTTCTGTTAAAAAATGAAATAATAGTGTTGATATGCATTCAGTAAATTATAAGCTGCCTTTCTTCTCTCTCCCCACATCTCATTCTCTCGTCTAGTGAACTGGTAATCTCTAGCATATAAATTAAGAGGCATGCAAGGTGATGTTGTAGAAAGCAAGAAAAAAAAATCAAAAACAAAAAAGCCTGTGCACTCTCAGCACCTGTTAGTGAGAAAATAGACTGTGTTTCTCTGAAAAGAATGATCTGGGGGCAGGCTGGGCATGGTGGCTCACACCTGTAATCCCAGCACTTTGGGAGGCCGAGGTGGGCGGATCACGAGGTCAGGAGATCGAGACCATCCTGGCTAACACAGTGAAACCCTGTCTCTACTAAAAAATACAAAAAAATTAGCCACGCATGGTGTTGGGTGCCTGTAGTCCCAGCTACTTGGGAGGCTGAGGCAAGAGAATGGTGTGAACCCGGGAGGTGGAGCTTGCAATGAGCCGAGATCGTGCCACTGCACTCCAGCCGGCGACAGAGCAAAGACTCCATCTCAAAATAAATAAATAAATAAATAAAAGAATCATCTGGGGGCCTAGAACACCACCCTCACTAGCTCTGCATTTTCATTGTTCCCTCCATTTCTCTGTGTATATCATTATCAAGTCTAAGGGTCTTCCTTTCCAGCCATGCCCACCTAGAGCCCCCTCCTTACAATGAACTGTGATCATTTGGTGTGACAGAGATTTCCTCTGCATCAAAAGTTCAATGTGAAATTCAGAAACCTGCAAAATGCTCATTGTACCACAGGTTGGAAAGCCCTGGCTTAAATCCTAAATCAGAGGTGAGCTGTTGGAGCAGCAGACAGAAGAGGGGTGGGAATGGGATAAGGGCATCCAAGCAACTGCTAACTGGCCACTCTCTCCCCTGCAGTGGCAGGCCATCTCTCTGACGGTCATTGAGAAGGTTCAGGTTGCAGCCGCCATCCTGGGCTCCCTCTTCCTCATCGCCAGTATTTCTTGGCTCATCTGGTCAACTTTCAGCCCCTCGGCAAGATGGCAGCGCCAAGACCTTCTCTTCCAGATCTGCTACGGGATGTATGGCTTCATGGACGTGGTGTGCATAGGTGGGTCTGGGGGTTTGTCTCCATGGGAAGTGGGGAACCATGTGCTCGTGGGATGGACAGATCCCTCAGGATCCCCCACTGTGGGAGGCTGAAGCAGATATGGCCCCAGGCTTGAGAACTGGGAGCTCAGGAGAGGCCAGAGGCTTGGATTCAAGGGGTGGATGGGAAGGGGGAGGAGGCAGGGAAAAGAAGGAAGATCTAGATCTTTCCCAAACAAACCTGTCTTGCACAGTTGAAGATAAAGATGAGGCCTGCCTCTAGGAGGATTTGGGAAAAATTGTTAGTCTATGTACTTCAAGCAGGATGTGCATGGCCTCCTCTCCACTGTGCACCCTATACTGCCAAGCATGACAAGGGATGCCTGCCCATTTCATTCCATTCTCTTCACAGCAAACTACCTAGAGACAGCCATGGTTGAATCTGCCCCCACTCCCTGCCTTATTCCAGCTTTCTCTAAGCCTGTTTCAATGCTCTGAGTTTCTCTAGTCCAGTGGTTTTCCAGCTTTGTGTAGTACTGGGGCCTCACACACAGCTCCAGGCTCTCCCATCCCACCAGGGAATGGAAAAGGAATGCCGCACAGAGAGGCTTCAAATCCTCACTCCTGTTTCATCATGGCTTCTGTTCTTTTATCTATTTACATGTGTTTCTGTTCCAGATAAGGTTTCGTTTAAAAGGTTTCAGTGTTTTAGAAAAAAAAAATTGGAACCTACTGCTATAGATCCTGCTCCTTCTCTGACCCCATCCCCAAGTTTATATTCTTCCTTTCTTCCACCATGTAGTTTGGGTGGTTGCGGGCTGGGTCTTTCCCCTCCCTCCCCCAACAGATGATTGTGGCTGTTGACTCTGAAGATATGGTCCAAGCAGCTAAGGAGGTGGGGAAGCGCTGGTCAGACATCCCACCCTAGAACTCTCAGGTTATCCCCTAAGTCACAGTCCTGGGAGCATTAGAGTTCCACAGTTATCCTCTCCCGGTGTTGTTAGTATGTATATTGTATTAAATAAGCTACACTTCTCTGTTTGGCAGAAAAATATCTATTAGCTAGAATTTGGCTGGGATGACGTTTGTGTGAATTTCTTTGGAGTTCTTTAATATTAGGGATCAGAAAAGCCTGGAGACTTACATACTGGTTGCAGCAGCCAGAGACCAGGGATGCTGGAACTTGTAAACTTCTCTAAGCCATCTTGCTGTCTCTCCACATTAGCTAAACCAATATTTCAACTCCAAGTTCAAGAGTCTTTTAATTATAGCACCTAGTCAGTGAGAGAAGCAGATAGCCCAGGTTTGGAGGACTATGAACAGGGAACAATTTGACATTGATGCATTCTAATTTCTTTCCCCCTCCCACCAAACTCCCTTCCTACTCCTGCTGAGCCCTGGATTATTGATGCCAAAAGCCAGGTGTGTCTCCATATGGAGGTTTACAGCAGCTCTGGCATGGAAGGGGGAAACAGTGGAGGGGCCCCTCTAGCTGCCCTTCATTCTCCTTCAGACAGGCTTTAGATCAGTCTCTGATGTGTCCTATAAGACATGCTTTCCTGTCACATGATGTATTAGTCAGCTAGTCAGCATTGGCTACAGTAACAAACAATTCCACAGATCGCAGTGCCTTACAACAAACATTGATTTCCCATTCAGGGGTTTGGGAGATGGCTTTGGTTCTGCTGAGGTTGGCTGGGCTTAACTTCTGGTTGTGCATTGGGTTCAGGCCTGCTCTGAGTGTCTCCTCATGCTGGGACCCAGGCTAACGGAGCAGGGACTACTGGGTGTGCTATTTTCCTAGATGAATGCAGGAGCACAAGGGGGCTTGGTGGAAACTTGCAATGCATCTCAAAACGCCTGCTCAGAACTAGTGCACTCTCCCTTCTGCCCACAGCCTATTGGCTAACACAAGTAGTCAGTAAGCTCAACATCAATAGGGTAACAGAGCAGGGAAATAAGTTCCTTCCCTGGAGGGAGCACGGACAAAAGAGAGGAGCATAAATGCCTGCTACCACCAATGGCTCTACAGATTTGAAGACCGAATTGAATATAGAAGAGACCACCATGTCATCGACCAGTCTGGCTTGCTTGCTTTGCAGCTGAGAGAACTGAGGCTCAGAGAGAGGAAATAATCTGCTCAAGGTTCTTATCTGGGATTAAAAGTGAGGTCTCCTGACTCACAACCCAGTGCTCATTCCATTAGCTGTCTTGCACCAGATAGCAGGAGTCCCATGGTGTGACCTATGGAAAACCTACAGATGCCACCTGTGACTTTGAGTGCACCTGGGCCCACTCACAAGGGGGCTGTCATGCATAGGTCTGTTCCCCATGGCTCTGAGCCTCCCAGCACTCCCGCTCAGCCTGGCCTGGTGCTCTGGTCTCTTCTTCTCATGGTGTTTCTCTCTGAGTAGGGCTCTGTGCCACCTCTCCTCCTCCTCCTGTTTCTTGGCTTTTTTCTAGCTGCCTGCCTTTTCCCTGGCACACTTCTATCTCTCTAATTCTTTTTCTTATACACATGTGGCACTCAGTCCTTCAATTTATTGGGAGAAGCAGAGTGGGCTGAATATTGAGAGTTTTCATTGTTTCCCTTTCTTCGGAAAACATAATAGCCCAAGATGCAAAAGCACACCATAATTTATCCATTCTGTGCTGACAAGCCAGTGACTGCTTGGAGACAGCTATGGGATGGGAGAGGGAATGCAGAGGGACCCTACTTGCTTTCAGTGTCATCCAAAAGTGGTGAGATCTATTGACATTTAGACCATCTCACCTTTAAGGAGTGAGTTCAGACAGCTCTATCATTGTATTGATTATAATAAGAACCTATACCATTTCAGAGCATGACTGCGGGGGCAAGGATTCGTCTTCCCATTTTTCAGATTGTGAAATTCTGAAACAGAGGCATTTGTCTTAGGCTGACTCCCACAGCAGAGTAGAAGTCTCAGTTCAGGGTTTTCATAGGAAAGGCTGTCCACAGGGGAAAATGCTAGGAGAAGAAATAAAAAGGAGTAATATGTGATCTTGCAAGAGAGTGGGAGGTGCAAGGCAATGGTGGGAATCCACAAACAGGTTCTTGGGGTTGCAATGATGGGGATTTTACTGATGGTAAAATGATGATAACCAGTAGTGATGACAGTGGTTTGAGGGTGAAATTCAACTTCTCCTTCTGTGCAGTATTCTGTCCAGTAGAGGGAAAACGCATCACACTGCACAATTTGGTGCAAAAATATCTGCTTTTTAAGGGCTCTCTGGAGGGAGAATCGGGTAGAGCCTGCAATGCCTGCCAGGGATATCTTTATTTTTAGGCTCAACTAGACATTCTGACTCATGGGGACTTCCAGAGAGCACATTTGGCATTAGATTCACTCAGGGCAATGTAGGACAGGAACCACAGCCTCTGGGATGGCAAGTCGGGCTTACCTCTGCAGGGAGTCCTCACTGCACTCCACATCCTAGTCCCTAGCTATTCTCTTGGCTCCCAAACAGTACCTCAGGAGCAAGAAGATGAGACCCACAACCATGGGTATAGGGTCCACCTGAGCATCATTTCCAGGGTTCCCGCAGAAGTCATACTCAGTTCAGGTCACTGTGCTCGGGGAAGCCCAAAGCCACAGGCTCCCAGCAGGCATCCCCAATAAAACACCCATTAACCAGGGGTTGCCCCCAACTCAAGTGATGCTGTAACACAACCGACACTCCAACTTCATCAAATTTCCAGAATGCCAACCCAGGGTGCAGTTTGCTTTGAGAGAAGGAGAAAATGTCCCCATCACCCCTCTCCCACCACCTCCTGCCTCCACCCATGAACCTGGACCTCTGGCCACCCAAACCAGATTTACTGAACCAATGAGAGACAGAGAAGCTAGAACAGGGAACAGAGACCTGGCTGGGACTGCCAGAAGGAGGCTCAGCGTGGTCTTCTTGCTGCACGAAGGCGGAAACAAAGGCAGGAGCCACGGGAGGCATCTATCTTACATCTGAGGCATTCTACAGTTTCAAAACCTGATAGGTTAGTTTGCTTCCATGAAAAAGGGGGAAGCTTCCCTTCCAGAAGTCCTGAGAGAGTGGAAGAAGAGAATGTGAATGGGAAGAGGAAGAGAAGGCTCCCTGGCAGAGAGTGGGTGGAAGGGATTTCAGCAGAGGGGCATCTTCTCAAGAAATGCTGGTTGAGGAAAACATTGACAAAAAAGCATCAATATCCATAAGCCCAAGCTCCTCGGATGGGTGGAGCAATTCAGCACCTGAGATAAAAATGTTATCATCAGGAGAAAAGAAAATGAGTCTAGCCCTGTGTTGGCTCAAAAAGCCGAGTAAGAGAAGAGGAACAAAACCATCTGCTGCGATGAGTCTCTAGACTTTCTTTATATTTCAGATACCAAGGACAATTTGTTTATTCCCTAAGACTGTTAAATGGCCACAGATAGTAAAGAATATGAGTAAACATAAAATGGATGGTTTTAACAAATCGTTAACAATGTATTTACCTTTCCTTTTGGAGCGGTGTGCTGAGGGACAGCTCATGAAAGTAGGAGGGACTCCAAGGAGAAGCTTCACGAAAGCCAACTGCAGCTCTGCAGATACGCCCTGCCAGGAACCCAGGAGGATGCTGTGCAGGACACTGCCTGCTTGCTGCCCATGGAGCTGCTTCAACCCCATCCACAGCTGTATCCATCCAACTGGCTCTTAGCAGTCAATGAGAAGACTCCAGAGCAGTGACTCTCGGAGAATGGCTCAGTGCTTACCAAAGGATTTTGCCTGAAATGACTGCCAGGAAAGTCTGAGCTCCCTATTTGATACAGCACAGTTCCAGAGTTGAGGATGATGTCTTTAGACTTGGTTATACCAGAGGGTTGTACAATTACTGACACAAGCTGCCTCGACAGACAAAGCATCTCTTAGCTTAGGGTCCTAACTTTCTAGACTAATGCATGCCACTGTGAAAGCCAAACGTACGTTGCTTTGGATGGAACAAACTGTGACATCCCTGCAAGAACAGAGAGAAACCGATTAGCCCCAAAAGATAAGCAGGATAAGCATTAGGATGCATATTTAACAGATGAGGAAAGGCTTAAAGCAACTGTGCTCCAAGTCACACAGCTAAGAAAATGGTGGAGCAGAGGATTGGACCAAGAACTTCTGGCTGTAATTCCAGGGCTCTTTCTACTATCTATTTCTTCTCTGATTGCTCTGTAAAATTGCAAATGCAGAGCTTGGTTGGGGAGGCAGGTTGGGGGGAAATTAGTCCAGTAATATTTTGACCCTCATGATAACTGCTGGTAACAATCAGAAATTCAGTGAGCCCCAGCTGCTCCTGTCCTATATTCAGGGTTTGGGAGGTTAGCCATTGTTGCATCTCCTTTTTGATTGTGCTATTTTGACATCAATTGAGAGAGAAGCCTGAGAAATTGAGATGAAATTTTATGGTTTATCTCCCTATAAGACACTCTGGTGAAAGGTTCTTCAGGTGAGAGAAGCTAAATCTAGTTAACATGAACTTGGGGAATCCATTTATTCATTAATTTAAAAATACTTATTCAGGCCAGACACAGTAGCTCATACCTGTAATCTTGGCACTTTGGGAGGCCAAACTGGGAGGATTGCTTGATACAGCCTAGGCAACATAGGGTGTTTTTTTAGAGATCTCTAAGCCTCCCAAAATGCTGGGATTACAGGCATTAGCCACCATGTCTGGCCTACCAGAGATCTCTAAAAAAAAAAAAAAAAAAAAAAAAATTAGCCAGGTGTGGTGGTGTGCACCTGTAGTCCCAGCTACTTGGGAGGCTTAGATAGGAGGATCGCTTGAGCACAGGAGGCCAAGGCTGCAGTGAGTTATGATGGTGCCACTGTACTCCAGTCTGGGTGACACAGTAAGACCATGTCTCAAAAAAAAAAGAAAGAAATATTCAGAGGAACCTGGGTATATACACTCAAATGAGAGAGTCACCTGCTTTCAAGAATCTTTCTTCTTGTTGGGGAGGGAGACAAGGTAATCACTGAACCCCATATAATAAGAGCTGGGACTGAGGTCTGAACATAAGAATGAGTGTGAGCCCAGGAAAGAGGAACTTGAGTCAGAGCGGGTCATATCCATTCCTTCAGTAGCTTTTGTTGGCTGCCTTGTTTTGTTCCCAAAACTAGAGAACATTCACAAAAAGATGAATAAGACACAATTCCTTGCCCTCAAGGAGCTCATAGTCTACAGATAAGTCACAATCCAGGATGGGCTGTACATGGTACAGAGGAAGGTAGAGCAGAGCAGAGAGCAATTGACTCTCTTGGGGGAGTCCAGGAAGGCTTATTGAAGGAAGAAACCCTATCCTTGAGCTAGTTTCCAAAGACAAATCAAAGTTCATCCAGAAGAGGGGGAAAGAGTATTTCAGGCAAAGGAACTAGCATTGTATGGAGGTGCAGAGACATGAGTGAGCCAGGTATGCTTAGGAAATATTGGTGAGTCTGTATGGCTCAATGCAAATAGTCAGGCTGGGAGGTGGGTGATGGGCAAGGGGCTTGGAGCAGTTGGCCATGCCAAATCCCACAGAGTCATGGGTCATATGCTAAGCCACTCAGATTTGACCCCACTGGTGGTGGGGAGGCATTGATAAAATTTCGAATGGGGAAATATGATCAGATTTGCATTTTAAATTGAACTCTAGTTCAAATGGGGAAATATGAACAGATGTGCATTTTAAATTGAACTCTAGCAACTATGGAGAGAATGGGTCAGAGGTGGACAGAATAGGGAAGGGAAGGACTTCGCTGGAAAATGCTTGTAATAGGCTAAGCAAGAAATAGAGTTGCAACACAGTGGCAGTAGGGAAGAAGTGTAGGGATGACCTTGAGAGGTACTTAGGATGTAGATTTGATAGGGTTGTTTGGGTCCCTCTTAGGAGAGTGAGAGTCCCAGAGTGTGGCTTGAGTGGGGAATGGGCACCATTGTGGAGCCTGAGAATGGGATGGGCAATGGATAGAACAAAGGACAACAAAAGGGTATGTCCTTGGCAAAGGCATCACAACAAAAGGACTAACCTTAAGCCTAAAATCCAGGCAGAGAGGCAAGAGCCTCTCTAAGCCAAGAGTTTGTAGTAGAAGATAAACAAGACACATGGAGTACATTATGGAATACAAGGAGGAGAAGGCAGTACTAAGAAGAGGTTTTTTTGTCAGGGTAGAAAGAGGGAGAGGCCTTTTATAGCACACAGGTAGTCCCCTCCTGTGACGTAGAGGAAGATGTTGAGGGCATTGGTCCTGTTCTGACAAGGGTTGGTGACTGATGGGGTTGGGGCGGGTGATAAAAGAGGGTTAAAAATCTCTGGTAGGCCAGACATGGTGGCTAATGCCTATAATCCCAGCATTTTGGGAGGCTAAGGCAGGAGGATCACTTGAAACAAGGAGTTCAAGACCAGCCTAGGCAACATAGTGAGTCCTCATCTCTACAAAAATTTAAAAAATTAGCCAGGCATGGTGGTGCACACCTGCAGTCCCAGTTACTCAGGAGGCTGAGACAGGAGGATCACTTGAGCTCAGGAGTTTGAGGTTATAGTGAGCTATGATTATGCCACTGCACTCCAGCCTGGGTGACAAAGTGAAACCTGTCTCAAAAAAAAAAAAATTTCTGGTGGATGCCTAGATTTCTGTAGGCAATTGGATAATGAGGCTTGAAGACAGATTTGGAAGTGAACAGTAAAAGGTGTTTGAAGCTGTGGGTTTTGATGAGAAAATGCAGTGCTCAGAGAGTATGTGGCTGAGGACAGAGGACTAGGGGACACTAACCAAGTAAGGGACAGTTGAAGATAGAGAATGAGAAAACAATAGGAAGGACTGAGTCACAAAGGCCAGAGTGGTGGGTTTCCCAAGTGGCAGCTGTACTACAGAATGGCCCAGGGCTCAGCTTCTTACTAACCTTGTGACCTTGAGGAACTGGCACTTCTCTCTGCTTCCCTTTCCTTGTCTATGAAATAGGATAATAACACCATCATCAGAGGGTGGTTCAGAGGTTTGAGCACTGTGGCAAATGTAAAGTAGTGTGTCCTTGTAATCATCAGGGACCAGGTAGGAAGCGCTTGATCAGGGTGGATTCCCCTCAGAGGGAACACTCAAGAAAGGTTTGCCGAAACTGTTATAATCAGAATGCAGCTACAGCCTAGATATAGAGATCGCCTGAACCTGTGTCCTCACGTCATTAAAAGTCTGCTCTTATTTGGAGTAGTGCTTTTTCTTGAAGGTTCTTTGTTCCCTCACCTATGTCCCCTCAATGAGAAGATCTGATTATATCTAATGTCCTCGTTCCACCTGCCTCCTCTTCTGTCATCTCTAATGACGCTGTCCTCTGCTGCAGAGAAGCTGACAGAGCCTCCCAGCAAACAAATGGGGTATTCTCTGCTCCACTGGGTCAAGTTATTAGGATTTAACAAGAGCAAATTAATTAAGGGCTTTGGCACCAAAAAAACATTTTTTTAACTCCACAGATGTAAGAGATTGGACATCAAATAGTCAACTCTGCAAAAATGAGGCTCTCTTCTTCATCATGTTTGTTTTTAACTTGTGATTGATATGGGGTCAGGGGAAGGAAGGAAAGGAATGTTCCTGAGATTATTTCCAAAGCTTTAAAACAGTAGAATATGGTAATCAGCAAAATTATAGAAAGTTTTGTTTTTTTTTAAGCTTCCTCTGTGTGTGGTCCCCTGAGGTTCTTTTCAGTGATTTAAAGATGCCTGGCCCCTGTCCTCTGAGATGAAGGAATTTAAATCTCATTTTATAGCAAATAGGCAGAGGATGGGGGCAGCAGGATTGTACAAACATTTTTCTTTCAAACCTAATTTTAACCCACGTTAACTACAAAACATACATATGCCACAAAAATTCCTTCCTCTCCTCCTAGCTAGAAATGACTCTACCTGTAAAACCTTTTAATTTCCTGATTAGGAAACTTGGAACATTTGTTGGAGGCAGCCTAGTGCAGTACGAGAAACTAGGAAGCAGATCTAGGTCTGAAGACCAGAATAGCTACTATATTAGTCCATTTTCACACTGCTATAAAGGACTTCCCTGATACTGGGTAATTTATAAAGGAAAGAGATTTAATTGACTCAGTTCCACATGGCTTGGGAGGCCCCAGGAAACTTACAATCATGGCAGAAGTGGAAGGAGGCACCTTCTTCACAAGGCAGCAGGAGAGAGAAGAATGAAGGAGGAACTTCCAAACACAGATCTTGTGAGAATTCACTCACTATCACAAGAACAGCATGGGGGAAACCGCCTCCATGATCCAATCACCTCCCTCCCTTGACATGTAGGGATTATAGGTCCCTTTCTTGATACACGGGGATTACAATTCAAGATGAGACTTGGGTGGGAACACACAGCCAAACCATATCGGCTACTAATCACCTCTATGGCCTTGGACAAGTTACTCCCTCTCTCTACAGTTAGTTCCTCATCTATAAATGAGAGGGGTGAAACCGACAACCTCCAGGTTCCTTCCAGGTCTGACATCCCAGGATTTTGATGTCACCTCCACACTGAGATGCCAGGGCTTGCAAAGGCTGACACTTGTGACCGTGGGGCATCCCCAGCAATATTGGGCTGGGCCACAAAACTGACATGAGAAGCAGCAGCTGTAGAAACTGGCGAGATGATGCCCATCCACGTTCTGTTACTTGCATGTAGCTTATCTGGTTTTCTAGATTCCGTGTTAACTCCTTCCCACCCACCCGGGGCCTCCTGTGACGGCCACCAATCTCCACAGCCAAGTGGCTGGTTGCTTAGAGATGAAGATGACTGATTTAGAAGCAGATGCACTGTCCTTTTCCAAAGAGACCCCTCGAGAGGCATTTCATTTATCCCAGTTGTTCTGACAAAGCTCAACATATTTTAGGAATATTTCTTGGGAACTGTCTTTGGCACAGAACAGATTCAGGAGTGGCCTGTCTGTTGGCAGTGGGTTTGTGACTAGAAATAGCCCCAATTTGATAAATAAGGTGGAAGCTCAAGCCAGCTAATACATTTTGGGGACAATATGAAACACGCCATCAAGCCACAAACTTCTTTTCTTGTGTGGTCCCTAACCTAGAGCTATAGGTATGTTAGTTAGGGTAACTTCAGCAGATAGAAAAAAATAAGCCCCTATGTGTCAGTGGTTTAACCCAATAGAAGTTCCTGAGCAGTAGGAGATTCTCTTCCACACAGCAATTTGGAGTCCCAAACTCCTTCCATCTCTGGGCTCCACAGGCCCCTTGGGCTGCTGAGTCTTTTGCCTCCAGCTAATAGAAAATTAAACAGAGCATGAAGAAGTCGTCTTCTGCCCCAGCCTTGCACAAGTTTTCTCTCAATACCCATTTCTTTTTTCTTTGTTTTTATTTTTATTGGGCAAACCTCATTCTATAAAATCAAATGGAATGAGTGTTCCCTAGACCCATTTCTTAAATGCTGGCCTGGCTTGTGGTCACATTCAGTACTAGTCACCTGGTCTCACCTTGGTGCAAAAAGCTAGAAAATGTAACTTCTCAGTGGCAACTTTATACCAAGGAAAGGGAGTGTGGATTTTAGTGGACCGTTAGCCATCTCTGTCACAGAAGGCCAACCCCACTGAGCAATTTCCAGAAATGTTCTGAACTGGGATAGCCCAATAGGAGTAAATACCCTATTTCCAAAGGGCAATCCTTGGGATTTTAAAAGACAAAACTCTGATTCGATATAGAAAGGTGTTGGCATGTTTACTTAAATAAACTACTTTTGTAACTTTATGGTAACTTTATAATAAGCTTTGTAATTTTATAATAGCTCATGTGACGTGTAGCCTGGCCATACCTGTGTCCAGTATAAAGCTGCACCCTGGAGAATACTGGGCAGGCAGTGATGTTGTCAACCTGGCCTTTCCCAGCAGTACCCCCTGAACTCACCCAAAATAGCCGGTTATATTCATTTCTTTCAACCGTTCCCTGATATGTGCTTTGGTCCAGGTTCTTAACAGGGCTGGGCACTGGAGGAGTGGAATCTGGAAGATGGGTGGTTGGCAATGGTAGGGCTTCAGAGTGAGACACTACTAAGCCTCACCCCATAGCTGTCTGACAGTGGGGAATTCTGCAGGGAAGGAGAGTGCCTCTCTGTGGTTGGAGAGGAGGCACCAGTATGAGAATCATTTGGTCTCTAGAGTGCTTTTTACCTCTGGCATGTCATTCATCTATAAACAATGACTTGACTGAGGGCTGGGGAGTCAGGAGATGAAAGAGCAGGTACTTGTGTTGGGGACAAGGTTGCCAATGAAGAAGGAGGAAGAGAGATGAGTGGGCTTTTCTTGTGTCCTGTAATCTCCCCCACGATAATCAATATCATGTGGCATTGAGTGTTACATGTGTCCCAGGCACAGTACCAGGTATTGGCACGCAGGACTCATTACTTTATTTAATCTCAAAACAACCCTATGAGGAAGGGTTTACTGATGAGAAAACTGAGTCTCAGAGAGAGGAAGTCCCTTACCTAAAGCCGCAAGGTGAGTAAGTGGCAAACACTCTGAAAGCTTAATATTAATACATACTCACTGGTAAGTTAACTCTTAGTTGTGGGGCACAAAGGTCTTTGGGTCTAGGAGAGGAAGTATTTATTTCTTCCGTTTCTTCCCATTTCCATGTCTATGACATCTGGAAGTAGATTACTTTTTAAAATTACTTATAATAAGTTTTGTGATCAAAATTTAGAACCTTCTATGAGGAATAAAAACCATGTCCTAGCCTAGCAGTCCACACACAGGCAGCATCAGCCTCACCTGAGGTTTCTTAGGAATGCATATTCTCAGGCCTCAGCCCAGAGCTACTAAGCCAGTAGGCCTCCAAGATTGCAGCCTGGGAATCTGTCTTAACAAGCTCTTTGGGTGATTCTAATGCACAGTAGAAGTGTGAAAGGCAGCTGGGCTCAGTGGTTCATGCCTGTAATCCCAGCGGTTTGGGAGGCTGAGGCAAGAGGATCGCTTGAGTTCAGGAGTTGAGATCAGTCTGCAACATGGCAAAACCCTGTATCTATAAAAAATGCAGAAATTAGCCAGGCATGGTGGTGTGTGCCTGAAGTCCCAGCTACTTGGGAGGCTGAGGCGGGAGAATCACTTGAACCAGGAGGTCGAGGCTGTAGTGAGCCATGATCGCACCACTGCACTCCAGCCTGGGCAACAGAGAGAGACCCTGTCAAAAAAAAAAAAGTGTAAAAAGCACTGTTCTAGAGTGTCAGTAACTTTTATATCACTTAACCCAGGCCATTAGCAGGACATGGAGTGGGGGTGGGATTCTGATGACCCGTGGAGCTTGCAGCTTTATGAGGAAGAGGAGCCCCGGAAGGTGGAGAGACATTGGAAAGACAAAGGAGACAATTCTTCTAGAACTGGATTTCCCACAAATACAGCCCAGGGTTGGGTACATTGTAGGTGACCACTAGAACACCATTACATTAAGTATTTAAAAACCAGAAAGGACTTAATCAAAACTTGTTGGGTTTCTGATGTTACTATGCCCCCTCATTTCCCATTTTCTCCTCCTATGACTTTTCTGCCTCTGTTCACCAGCAGCCTTTCTTCCCAATCGAATCCAGTCTATTTCTCTATCCACTGCCACTTCCCATCCCCCTTCCCTTTTTCCCACCTCTTCAACCTTGGCCACGTCACCTGCTCCTATCAGATGAGCCCCAGTCATCTTCCCCTGTTTCTTCGGTACGCTGCCACCCAAGAAATCAATAAGAAATTTGTAGAGCAGGGAGCAGAGGAAGGGCTGTGAAGAGTGGATTTGAATGAGGTAGTTTGTGCTTTTCCCTCTTTTCCCAAACAAGCATTATCTAGAAAAACAGGTCCACCTTCTTCACCTTCAGCCAACTATCCATTAAAATGGTTTAACTACTTCCTGAACACTAGACAGTTAGATAATTGGAAGGCAGCATTCACACCAGGAATTTAAGTCACACTCTTCAATCAGGACAAAATTGCCTGATCAAGAAGCTAATTGAGAATCAAATGTAATGTCCCTTACTGGAAAGAGTGAATTTGGGGCTTCAGAAGATCCCACTTCTCTCTCTCCACACCCCATCTCTTCCACTGTACCATTACACTCCTTGTGCTGTGTTAGCTGCCGGAGATTAACCAGACCTGGCTCTGTCCTCGAGGGGATTACAGTCTGGAGAAAAGAGCATACCAATGTTCAAACAAGGTTTGTGGGATAAATGGACAGATGAATGGCTTCAGTGCCAAGGGTGCATAGGTACACATTCAAAAGATTGGCAGAGATGATGGGAGTTGGTACAACTGGGAGAGGGTGAGAGAGTGGGACAGAAAAGAAGTCTCTTTGTTCAGCATCTCTCAGGCCAGAGCAGAGGGTCCACCAGTGATCTTCAGGAGATTTAGTACAAGGACAGTTTGAGTGTCTGTTTTCTTTCCCCTCCAGAGAGATGGTCCTTCCCTTCGTTAGATCCTCAAAGGGGTGTGATCCAAACAAAGGGCTAGAAACCCCTGAGACTACCTCTTTTTCGATGAACCTTGAAGACTTGTTGAGCGAGGCATGATTTCAGACACAGTTTGAACACCGGAGGAGAAAGTGGCCTTGTGGGTGGCTCTGGTCTCCGAGATTTGCAACCTGTTGGAGACTGAAGAGGCTCTGAGGTTTTGCACCAGGAGGCTGGGGTGACTCATTACTGTTTGCTCCAAGCCGGCTGCTCCCCTGGATCCTCAGTAGCTGTGGGATGAAGCCCACCGTGTGATCATCTCACCCACCATCACAGGGCCCAGCTCCTGGCAGCCTCACTCTCTGCACCAGCATCCCTTTCCTGCTCAGCTCATCCCTACATCTGAGCCGGTCTTCCCAGCCCTTCACCGTGCCCCCCTGCACTTCATGGTCCATCATTAGCAGCCTCCTCTCTGTGTGTTCCCTCCATCTTTCCTACCTGAAGCATGGCTGTGTCCTGAGAACACCGTTTCCCTCACACTGGTGGCGGCTGTTCTTTCCCCCACACACACTGTGTCTTGTGGGGTCTGGAGGTGGGGCCCATGTCCTTCTTGATTTCCATTACCACTCGCAACTACTTCTCTTCCTTCATGCTTCAGAAGCCTCAGCCCCTTTGAAGTCTTTCCTTCTCTCTTTCTTTCTCTTTCTTTCTTTCTTTTTCTTCTTTCTCTCTCTCTCTTTCTCTCTCTCTCTCTCTCTCTCTCTCTCTCTCTCTCTCTCTCTCTTTCTCTCTCCTTCTTTCTCTCTTTCTCTTTCTTTCTCTCTCTCTCTCTCTCTCTCTCTTTCTCTTTCAGGCAGAGTCCTGATTTTGGCACCCAGGCTGGAGTGCAGTGGCATGATCTCGGCTCACTGCAACCTTCACCTCCTGGGTTCAAGCAATTTTCCTGTCTCAGCCTCCTGAATAGTTGGGATTACAGGCGCGTGTCACCATAGCTGACTAATTTTTGAATTTTTAGTAGAGATGGGGTTTCACCATGTTGGCCTGGCTGGTCTTGAATTCCTGACCTCAGGTGATCCACCTGCCGCGGCCTCCCAAAGTGCTGGGATTTCAGGCATGAGCCACTGCGCCTAGGCGAAGTGCATCTTTCTTTACCACCCATTTTCCCTTCTGGATGCTGTTGGATACTGGCTGCCTACTCAGTCCTCAGATACCCTCACGCACCTGCTCATACACTCCCCCTACTCCTGTCCTCAGCACTACATAGATCAGTGCTTGGCAGAGATGGGCCTGTACCCCGGAGGCATTTGGAAATATCTGGGGTTTGTTCATTTGTTTGTCCGTTTCCTAATGTAGTTGTACCATAGCATTTTCACTGAAATGTATATTGTTTTGTTATAAAAGATTTCCCTTTATTATTTTTATTTTATATTCTCTTTTAGGGCATTATATTAATTTAAAAGACATAGTAGCTATGAATTTCATTTCAGGATGGGAATGATGATGTTAAAATATATTTGTTATAAAAAGGGGATGTTTGGTGTGATAGCATTGAGGATGGCTGATGCAGATAGTCTTTCCAATTCCCTGCTCCAAAGATCTTTTCCTCCAGCACACTCCAGCCCCAATCAAATAGTCACATCCTAGATTCATAATTGCTAGTAACCACACCACCTCCAAAATCTGGATTTAAACATCCCACTCTCCGACCATCACCCCCCATTCACTGACTCCAATAATCCTCTAACCTCATAAAGACTTGGCCTTGACTCTCTCACTTTCCACTTTTCATTATTCCTTATACCTTTCGTATTCTCATCCCCAGCCTGGGCTCCATGGTCCAGCCTGATAATCACTCTCTTGCAAGTACATATAATTCTCATGTCTGTTTGCCCAGGGAAACCGTTTACCCTGATTAAGCCCAGGTTTCTTCTTCTTCCACATGTGCACCTGAGCAAGCAGTTTGAAGGGGTGGAGAAAAATCACACAACCAGTAACTAGATTCACTTCAGATTTATGGCTACAAATCTCAAATGGATACTTAACACAGTGAGCTAATTCTACCACATCTCCCTTGTAAATTCACACTCCTACTTTCCGAGATAATTATTTCCCACCTTCTCCTCTCTCCACAAATCTTTAACACTTCCTCTCTTATCTCTTCTATCTTAGCTGATGACTTCATGGGAAAAAAAATATATGTGTACTTGGATGAGAACTACCTGATTTTCTTGCTGTCATTTCTATCATTCTCCCTCCTTCTGTGCCCATGGAACTGGTGGTCATTTCCCATTTTACTCAAGCTGACCTCTTGATAACATTGTAAAGAGTCACTGCACTCTTTCTGAATCCTTCCCTAGGCTTTTGGGTCTCCACACTTGCTGGTCTTGCTTCTACCCCATTGGTTGCTTCTTTTGAGCCTCATTCATTGGCCCTATCTCCACCAAAGCCTCCACCAAGCCTCTAAACACCTGAAGTCCAGGGCTCTGTCTTTGGCCTTCTTCTCTTCCCTAAGAGGTCTCAGCCATTTCCAAGTCTTCAAGTTCTACCTCTACAATGATGGCTTCTATCTCCAGGCCAGACCTCTCCCTAAGCTTCAGACTCATATGTCCAGTTGCCCATCTGACCCTTCTAGTTAGATTTCTATCAGACACCTTAAACTAACCATGACCAAAATGTAGCTAGTAATCACTCTGATAGGCTTGAATCATGGGCCCCAAAGACATCCAGGTCCTAATCCCTGAACCTGTCAATGTTACCTTATATGGAAAAGGACTTCGCCAATGTGATTAATTTAAGGAACTTGAAATGGGGACAGTATCCTGGATTATTCAGGTGGGCCCTAAATGTAGCCACAAGTGTTCTTACAAGAAGGAGAGGGAGATCTGATGACAGAAGAGTAGTAGGAGAGGTGAGAACAGAAGAAAGAGGCTGGAGTGATGCAAGAACGAGGCAGAAATTGCAATTTCTAGAAGCTGAAAAAAGGCAAGAAGACAGATTCTTCCCCCTCAAAGCCTCCAGAAAGAACCAGAAGGTGCCCTGCTGACACTTTCACGTCAGCCCAGTGGGACTGATTTTAGACTTCTGATCTCCAGAACTGTAAGAGAAACATGCATCCCATTTTAAGCTACTAGATGTGTGGTATTTTGTCACTGCAGCAATAGGAAATGAATCCGGTCACCGCAGCCACCACACAAATCCATAGCCCGCCTCTGGTGCCCTCCACTTCTCAGGAAATGGCTTCCCATTCATGCAGCTGCTGAGGCCAAGAGCTTCGAAGTTGTCCAGATCTTTCTCTTCACTCCCACCCTGCGAGTCAGCAAGTCTTCAGCTCTACTTCCAGCACACAGCCTGACTCCAGCAGTTTCTCACTGCTCCACCACCATGACCCTAGTCAATGCTATCACCATTTCCAACCCGCATGACATCACTGCTTCCTGCTTGGCTTTCCACTCATTCTCTTGGCCCTCTTCACAGGTGCCACAGGTGGCTTTATGAAGGGTGAATCAGATCACATCATTCCCCCTACTGAAACCGTCAATAGCTTCCCATTATACTCAGGATAGAATGCAAATCCCTAGCCATGGCCTATAAGACCCTACCATCCATTGGCCTCTGCTCAACTTACCTCCCTCCACTTCCTCACTGCTGCACTGTATTGGTCACACTGACCTTCTCTCTGACCTTGTTCATTCCATTCCCAGCTCCTGGCCTTTGCACTTGGAGTTCCTTCCACCGAAGTGCTCTCTCTCCAGATCTTTGCATGGATCTCTCCTGTTCATCACTTAAGTCTCAACTCAGATATGATCTCCTCCAAAAGGCCTTTCCCACCACCCTTGCTAAAACAGGATCTCAGTGCCTGCAGCCAGTGGATATTTAACCCCAGTTATCTTCCTTAAGGCAATTGTCAGCACCTGAAATTGTCACTTTGGTTTGTTTGTCTATTGTGTGTCTCCATGAAGATGTAAGCTCTCAGAGGGTGTCCTGCCGACTGCAGTATCCCCAGTGCTTGGCACACAATAGGCACACAATGATTATTTATTTGCCTTGCTGCCTGGTGTAACTTGTTTCCAACTCTATCACTGCCTCTGGCAGATATAACTGCATCAAAGGGCTGTTTGTATCTCAGTAGTACTGGGGTATCCATGCAAAGAGTTAACCAGTGGGATTTCTAGCAACCTTTAGCAGGTGTGGAGAAACCATGGGTTTTCTTTTGTGGTGCTTTAAAAGCACACAATTCATTCAACATCTGCTAAGGACTGGGTGCCATGGATACATAATAGAGGGAGGAAAAGATATTTATATTATGCCTTAGTGGATGAATTTGGATTTTGTCGAGGCAGGAAGGGGGTGGGGTGGTGTAGAAGTGGGCGAAGGCACTGCCTGAAGGTGCTCAACTATTTCATGGACTCGGTCTGGTGGCCCCTCCACCTTCTGCCTACTGGAACTTGCTGAGCCTGGGAATCTAGGGATGGTCCTCCCATGGCTCAGCACTGGAGCCATTGCCCATACCTTGCATAGATTCAGAGAGACTGTGGTCTCCTGGCCGTGACCCACTTCCTCTCATTTGGCCTCTGTTTCTCCTCTCCCTGCTGCCTCAGGTCTCATCATCCATGAAGGACCCTCGGTGTACCGCATCTTTAAACGGTGGCAGGCTGTCAACCAGCAGTGGAAAGTGCTGAACTATGACAAGACAAAAGACCTGGAGGATCAAAAGGCAGGAGGCAGGACCAACCCCCGGACCTCCTCATCCACCCAGGCCAATATCCCCTCCTCGGAAGAGGAGACCGCAGGCACCCCTGCCCCTGAGCAGGGCCCTGCCCAGGCTGCCGGCCACCCCTCAGGCCCTCTGTCCCATCACCACTGTGCTTATACCATCCTGCACATCCTGAGTCACTTGAGACCTCATGAACAGCGAAGTCCCCCAGGCAGCAGCCGAGAGCTGGTCATGAGAGTCACGACAGTGTGAGAGCAGAGGCCCGGAAGGAAGGCCATGACCACCACTGAGGGCCCGGAGCAGGGTGGGGAGGTGCAGTGGCACCCCCAGAGCCAACAGAGGGAGCAGGCAGAGGGTGGGGGACCTGGCGGGAGCCCTGGGGTAGTGTCAGAGCGGGAGTGAGGCTGGTGCAGGAGCAGTTCTGCTATTTCCAATCAGTCAATGCCACTCTCCACAACAACAATGAAAACCAACACCAACTCAACAACAAAGTGCAATACAGGCTGAACCTGGCCCAACAGAAAAACCCTGCCCCAATGCACCTGCAGGCAAGGTACCCGAAGAAGCAGAGGCTGAGGGCAGGCAAAGCCTGTGTGACTGTGGCAGTGCCGGAGGCCAAGGGGGCCAAGAGGAAAAGCATCTGTGGTCTGCTCTGCTCTCACCCTGTTTGGTTTTGTTTCTCCTGGGGCTGTGTTCTGCAGGCAGCCAGAAAAGGAGGAGGCACGGGTGAGCTGGCAGGGACACACTGCCTTTGGGGCTCCTGGGCTCATTTGGATGGGCAAGATTCGCTGACAAATGGCTGTGGGGATGGTGGGGTGGATGGTCAGGGAGGGATGCTCAGGGAGGGATATGCTGGTGTGAGCAGCCAGAGGGAGAGTGTGTCTCCTTCCTGAAGGAACTTCCAAATGGAACTCCCGATTTCAGGTGGGCTAAAAGAGGGCTTAGGTTTGGAAAAGGGTGTCCTTCTGTGCCCTTGTTAATTTATTTTATAGTGATTTGGTTCAAAGATGTTTACAGGACACACACACACACACACACACACACACACACACACACCCCTAGAGAAAAGTACAGATTTCCAGTGGATATTTCAAGCACAGTTCTGCTGCTGTGGCTTCAGCTTTGGAAGCTGTCAATCCCGGAGCAACTTTCCCAACTACCCAACCCCACCATGGCCAGGACATGTGCAATGCCAGCCCCTTCTTGTCTTGGCACATGCACAGACCCAGTCCCCTCACGGTAGGGCACCCCTGACCTACGGGCTTCCAAGAGAGCAGCTGCAGTGGTTGGGAGGAGCTTGACCAGTGTGCCCCAAGGAGTGGAGTAGAGCCCAATCTAAGTATTCCTTGCTGCTTGGAACCCTCCCTGTTTGGAACCCTCCCCAAAGAGGCAGTCAGGCTGATGCTCAGTGCTTTGTGCTCCCTGCTCCTTCCCGCGTAGCCAGGTGGGCCCAAGGGTGCCTGGCAGGGAGCACTACCCCTGGACCCCTCCTGCTCGCTCTGGGGACCCTGCCAGGGAAGGCCACTGGGTGTTCACCTGCAAAGTTTCTGGTTGTCACTGCACAGTGGTCGCGTCATCCATGGGTATTAAAAGGACACTGTCAAGTACTTTTTTAAACTAGTTTTTAGGGTTTTTTAAAACTCTCTGTTGTTTGTAATATTCTCTTAAAAGCTTGAAAATAAAACTTCTTTCCCTACCATTAGTGTCCCTTTCCATATGCGAGTTTTTCTTCCTCTTCCCTATCCTCCCTCTGTGGTGTAAACAGCCTTCTTTCTCCCTGTGTCTGCTCCATCCCTTGGAGCATTCTCCAAGGGATAGATTCTCCCCCATCACAAGAAATCAGGCACGTTTTCATTTCTCCTCTGAGGGCACGGACAGGGCAGGATAGGCAGGGATGTTCCCTTCTGTGTGCCTGTGTGTGAATCTGCAGTAAACTCCTGGCCTCTTCTTGGCATCCTAGCAGACAGAGTCCTTCAGGCCCCAGGCTCTCCCAAGGATTCTGCCCAGGAATCCTAGAAGCAGAGACCATGGGTGCTGGGGGCAGTTTGGAGAGCTCCACTTCATCTGGTCATTTCACAGAGGCTGGGAAAGCCACACACAGGAGAGGAGTGTTAGGACCTCATTGCCCTGACAGTGTCCTTTGACTATCAGAGGACAGCACCCACGTTAAGACCTCATGAGAAGGCTTGGACATATTATGAGGCAGCAGACAAGATCTTTTTTTCCCTTCAACTTAATCTGGCCCTCCCACCCTGGGGCTGGCTGTGGGTCAGGCAATGACATCAGTCGGGTGTGCATAGGCTTAGAAAGCTTCCTCCCTGATGAAGCTCAAAATCCAGAGAATTAAGAAAGACACACTTGGAGAGAGACCGAAGGACACATACAAGGAAAACATACAAACAAATGAAAACCAATCACACTGTGCAAATAAACCATGTAGAGGAAGCATGTTTATTTTTCAATATGGTCTAGGAACAGGGCTTTCAGTTTAAATAAACATTTATGGAGGCTATAGATGTGTTATATGGACTATCTGTTTTCAAAAAAGTATTACAGAGTGGGTTGCAGTGGCACATGCTTTAGTCCTAGCTACTTGGGAGGCTAAGGCAGGAAAATCACTTGAGCCCAGGAGTTTGAGGCCAGCCTGGGCAACATAGCAAGACCCCAATTCTAAAAAGAAAAAAAGGCTGGGCACAGTGGCTCATGCCCGTAATCCCAGCACTTTGGGAGGCCAAGGCAGGTGGATTGCTTGAGGCCAGGAGTTCGAGACCAGCCTGGCCAATGTAGTGAAACGCCATCTCTACTGAAAATACAAAGTTAGCCAGGCATGGTGGCACACACCTGTAATCCCAGCTACTTGGGAGGCTGAGGCAGAAGAATCACTTGAACCCAGGAGGCGGAGGTTACAGTGAGCCGAGATTGCACCACTGCACTCCAGCCTGGGTGACAGAACAAGATTCGGTCTCAAAAAAAAAGAAAAGAAAAAAAGGTATTATAATACAACAAAATATGCATATCATCAAAACTATAGTGGCCATGATGTTGTTTTTCTTTGGTGGTTCACAAGGCTCTTTAGACTCTTGCAGCCATTGAAGGTCATCATTTGAATATGTTGTACTGAAGAAGAAGAGGCAATTAATAATAAACTCTTGTAGGATGCTGGAGTTTATTGGATCTTGATAATGCAAGCTCCAAGAGAACAAAGACCTCATCTGCCTTGTTTACTGCTGTATTTTCAGGACCCACAGCAGTACCTGGCACACAGTAGGTTCTCAATGAATATTTTTGAATGAGTAAGACACTCTTGGAAGAGTGCAAGAGTACGTTCAGCATCTAGGAGACACGCCTCCTCTTCTTTCAACTTATGCTCTAACACACAAGGTCAATCACAGAGTAGAAAAGAAAGGTCAAGTTCTGACTTCTCCACCCAACAGGATGGTAATTTCCCAGTGCCTTGGGGAGTTGAATTTATGGGTACAGAAATGAATGAATTGGGGTTTTATATTTTGTATGCGTCTCTGGGAAGCAAGGTAAAAGTACACACTGATGACCAGAGATCACTGCCCTCTATCAGATGTGCAGATCATCTTTCATACCATGAGGCAAATGTCTATATTTCCTGTGGAATTATTTAATGCAGAGTAATGAAAAGTAGCGCAGAGTTCACTTGCACATCATCTGCAAGTATGACCCATGTATGGGGCAATATACTAGCTAACATCTGAAGTTCTTACTATGTGCAAGGCACCAAATGGAATGCTTTATATGTATTAATTCACTTAACAGTCCAGCAACCTGATGAAACAGATACCATTCTTATCTTCATTTTGCAGATGTGGACGCTGAGGCCAAGAGGTTAAGTAACGTGCCTACAGTCACCAGCCAGGATCCCATCCCCTGCAATCTGGCTTGCTTATTTATTTATTTATTTATTTTTGAGACAGAGTTTCACTCTTGTTGCCCAGGCTGGAGTGCAATGGCACAATCTTGGCTCACTGCAACCTCTGCCTCTTGGGTTCAAGCGATTCTCCAGTCTCAGCCTCCCAAGTAGCTGGGATTACAGGCACCCACCACCATGCCCGACTAATTTTTGTATTTTTAGTACAGACGGGGTTTTGCCATGTTGGCCAGGCTAGTCTCGAACTCCTGACCTCAGGTGATATGCCCACCTCGGCCTCCCAAAGTGCTGAGATTACAGGTGTGAGCCACCGTGCCTGGCCAGCAATCTGGCTTTCAGCATAACCACTCTGTCACATTTCCTCAAGACAACCAGCCAATTTAAGGAAAATCTGGATCAGGTCAACCAGGGAGATTAGAATGTGAGAGATCTACAGGAAAGCTTTGGAGATTGGGGTAAATACAAATAAATGATTTATGTCCCCTACAGAAAAAAAAGCTGAGTTTACATGACAATTCTTGCTGTTATATCCAGATAATATCATGGTTGAATGAAGCCTATATAATAGCGGGTTGGTTATATTTGAGAACAATGGAATTCTGAAAGGGCAATAGGAATAGTTCAATCATATTTTTATGGGGAAAGAGCCAAGATTCATATAGGTTCACAGAGGCCTCTCCTCCCAATTAAAAAATAAAAATAAAAAATTATCCTCTTTGGATATTAGACTTTTGGCACTGGTTCCAAATGAGTGGTGTGGAGTGGCAGGTTGGGGGTTCTAGTCACAGTCCACAGCATTTAGGAGAACCCCACAAATATGAGGTCTTGTCCCTACCTCTCAGGAAAATCAGGTGTCACCATCTTAGAACATAGAAACTCCAAAATCATAGAATTGTTTTAGTCTCTATGAGATAACTGTTATTTGTTTTGCCTGTGAGATCCGGATGTATGGCAGAGGGTAGGGGCATGGTTTGATAGGACCATAACCAATTTCTAAGGATAATTGTGTGTTCGTAAGCAGAATTTCTTGTATTGTGGAGGTGAGAGGGCAGCGGGGGTGGGAGGAAAAACGCATATTGTATTGTTCCTCGCTACCTTTCCTCAAATTATCCTGCCACAGCATTGATGCAGTAGTCCCAAAACCTTCTCCCCACACTTTCTCACCCCCCTTATTGGTAGAATAGAATATGGAAACTAGGCAATCCTTGGGGTGCTGTGGACAGTAGAGTGAAACTCCGGAATGACTCCAAGTGTGAGGAACTGGCCTCGTTCAGGGTCTGGGCTGCCTTGGCTGGTGGTCAGTGGGCTAGCTCAGTACCTACTCATCCCACCATGGGCCCCCATCATGGGTCCTCCCTCCTCCCACATCTACTCCTCACACAGCCCATCACAGCGCTGAGAATCCACTGGCTTTCTTCCTGCCCAAGCCAACCAGTTGAGGACTGCAGCATTCAATATCCTCCTGGCTCCCAACCACAGTTGGTCGAGGTGAGTCCCTCTTCTTTAAGTGTGTTACCCATAACACGTACCAAAACGTCTCCCCATCGTGCTCAGGTCCAGCCCACGGGCTCAGTAGATGTTTAGGGAGGAGGAGGAGCCGTGGCTCAGGAGGGTTTAGGGTTATGGATGAAAAGAGAAGCAGGCTCACCCGGTGCCCATGCTGTCATACCTTTCGAGAAGGAAAAGTCCTAAACACAGCAACCTCAGTGCCCTTGGCATTGGCCAAAGTCTGGCGCTCTGCCATTTTCTGAAGTCCAGCCCAGCAAGGAAAGCACCGTGCCGGATGCTGTTGGCACCTTGGCATAGAACACCTCCAAGGTGCCCATGGGTCTGAGGGGCCCTCTCCCACAGAGAGGGGACAATCCACTAAATGAAAAAGTAGAATGCTTGGGCTCTGCATCTAATAATACAGAGGTGGATTTATTTTATTTTATTATTTATTAATTATTTGTCCAAGGTGGTTGGGTTTTTCCAACCCCATAAGTTGGAAACTACTGTTATTCCCATTTTTCAGGGGAGGAAACTGAGGCCTGAAAGGTTAAGCACGATGCCTAAGGTCATACAGCTATAGACGGTGGCACGGGAATCTATACCTCAGCTGTCTGAGGCCATACATTGGGCTGCTAACCTCTGCGTTTTACTGCCTCTCAGCAAAGTGGAAATGCATTTAAAAGGTTTATCTGATTCAAGAGGCAAAGAAGGAAGTGTATGAGGCCCCCATCAGCCAGATGTAACCGAGATGTCTGTATGTCACATGTCCTTCAATGTCCGCTAAGGTCAGCTCCAACCTCTCCATCCCTCCTTCTGTGGGAAGATTGATACCTTCAGCAGTTTTTCTAATAATTCAGACCCTAAAATTTTTCCTGGTTGCCTCCTACTCCGAAATCCAGACTCCTGAACTCCGGGTTTCCGTTTTCTGTCTTAGAGCTATTTCTTTATTTCAACCCTGTGTTAAACCCAAATGTTGGACATGATTCCTCCTCCTTGATTTTCCATTCCATCTTAAATAGTATCACTTACAGTTGTGTATAATTTAGTTTTATCAGGAAGTCAGAGGTAACTAGAAGTTTATTCATATAAGAACCTGTGGTGAGAAACTGCAATATGGAAGTTCTTGCCAGTTGGGTACCTCAAATGTAAATTAGATAAAACCACCTTCAAAAACCCCGCTGCCTATTTATTAGACTCTGTTACGAAGCTCAGCATTTTTCATAAAAAATATTTCTCATGAAAGAGCTTGGCAAGCTTATGCTTATTAACCATAAATAAGCAAGCGAACAGTATTTTCTCTTCTGGGAAATTTGCATTTTTAAGAGGAGGTAATTCTTAAGCAAGGGGAGTAATCCCATAAGTGGTGGACTTTCAATCATCAGCGGGCAGGTGGACAATTGTATGGTGTTCTTTTAGCCAGGAGGACCACAGCCATGTATCTGCATTTGACACACGGGTACACACACAGAAAGACATAAGCACAGAGAGTAACAAATGCATTCTCCAAAAGGTGACATGGAGTCAAGGCCTGTTGACTGAGCAGCCTGTTGGTTTTCTCCTGGAGGATCACGACTCCCAGGCAATAGATGGAGAGGGGCAGGAAGAGGCCTGTCTGTATCAGGCCCTCTAAGCTTGGTAATGTTACGTGGCTGGAGCAGCCCCTTTTTCCACAGGTTAGAGTTGGGATACCAGCTCTTATGTCCCAGGCAGTGATCCTTCCAAAGGGTGACTTGTTGAGAGGGGAACCCTCTGCACCCTCCAACACAGGCTGCTATCCCTCTTCCAAGAAGAAATGCAGAAATCGTAGAGCTGCCACTGCCCTGAGCATGCTGAGAGGATACACCTGTCTGCTGAATTATGGTGACTTTATTGTAAGTCCTAGTCCCAGCCTCAAAAGCCTCAAGGCTGAGACATTAGCTCACGTTGTCCATCGCTCCTCAAATCATTTCAGTGGACACTGTTGCTTTTGTCTATTCAGCACACAGTGACCCACCCTCTTTCCTATGGGAAACTCATGCCATATGGTTTTGGTAGGGCTGAACCACTAAAACCACTGTAGCCATAGAAATGAGACTGTGATCCAGGCTGGATAGTCAAACGTCTCTTATTTCTGTGTCCACAGGGGTTGATTCAGAAATTGGTGTGTGAGGCCGGGCGCGGTGGCTCTCGCCTGTAATCCCAGTACTTTGGGAGGCTGAGGCAGGCAGATCATGAGGTCAAGAGATGGAGACCATCTTGGCTAACAAGGTGAAAGCTCGTCTCTACTCAAAAAAAAAAAAAAAAAAAAAATAGCCTGGCGGGCGCCTGTAGTCCCAGCTACTGGGGAGGCTGAGGCGGAAGAATAGCGTGAACCAGGGAGGTGGAGCTTGCAGTGAACCGAGATTGCACTACTGCACTTCAGCCTGGGCGACAGAGCGATACTCCGCCTCAAAAAAAAAAAAAAAAAGACGTTGTCCTCCCTGGGACTTATCCATCAGGGCTAGTGGGAGACACAGTTTCCCTCCACTAGGGTTGCTAGCTGCACATCTGTGTGTCAGGGAAAATAAAAGATCCCATCTTCTGCCACCAAGAAAGCATCTACCTTCTGAATGTGGTCAAGACATGGAGACAAACAAAGCAAAGAGCAAGAGAGAGATGGTCCTGCCTCTCCTGGACCCACTCATGACTAAGCCAGCTTCTCCACTAGATTTCCCAGGACATTAGGCAATCAATTTCATTTTGCTTATATTAGTCTGAGCTGCATGCATATCACTTGTAACCAAAATTTTTTCAAATTATGAATACAAAGCTTTCCTTATATCCCCATGACAAAACTTTGTGTTAAATCCATGGTGCATTGGTTGGGAGACCAAAGACTGTAACAGGTTGCCTCCCTTTACTATTGAGTAGGGCTCAAGGTGGCTTCCTGGCAGCATTCACAACTGTTATTCTCCTTTAATTCTTTCTTTCTTTCTTTCTTTTTTTCGTGAAAGTCTTGCTCTGTTGCCCAGGCTGGAGTGCAGTGGTGTGATCTCAGCTAACTGCAACCTCCACCTCCCGGGTTCAAGTGATTCTTGTGCCTCAGCCTCCCAAGTAGCTGGGACAACAGGCACACGACATCACACCTGGCTAATTTTTGTATTTTTAGTAGAGATGGGGTTTGTCCGTGTTGCCCAGGCTGGTCTGGAACTCCTGATCTCAGGTGATCCACCTGCTTCGGCCTCCCAAAGTGCTGGGATTACAGGCATAATCCACTACACACCTTGCCTCCCTTAATTCTCTTTGTGAATCTGTTCAGTTATCAAATGATAAAATAGAAAGACAATATGCACAGACACACACGCAGAGAGTGTTCTCTTAAAACATTTCTTTAGATTACACTGGGGAGACAAAGAAGGGACCTAAAGTGAAAAATAGGTAGATCTCTCATCAGAACTCTGATCTAAGGGCTTAGGAAGGGGCAGGATCCAATTATGAGGGCTTCAGGACACCAGGATTCAGAATGGAAGATATGAGGCAAAGCACAGTGCAAGACCTTGATCCACTGGCCACAGTCAAAGGGGTTCTCCATTACCCCTGGTATTGCCCATGATACAGCCCCCCAACATGTGCCACCTTACTGCTACTATTATTGTTTTTCCTGGATTAAATAAGCTACCATGGGTGTCTGACTTTAAAAATGGGGACCTATGGAAGCAGTCAGAACCAGGTCAGAATCCCTTGTGAACATGGGCAAGTATCTTAGCTTTTTTGGTCTGTGGTTTCCTCATCTTTAAAATAAAGATAATTGGCCTCTGAAGACCTTTGTAATATCAGAGATAATGCATATAAAGTAGGCAGTAAATAAATAATTGCTATTATCATTTTTTATTGTTCAACAGAGTAATAGGAAAGTTGTATCATTACCATAGCATATAAAAAGCAAGGTTACCTTTCTTTTGGGTATATACCTGGCAGTGAGATTGATGAATCTTATGGGGTTAGTTCTATTTTTAGTTTTTCAAGGAACCTCCAAACTGTTCTCCATAGTGATTTGTACTAATTTACATTCTCACCAACAGTGTACAATGGTTTCCTTTTCTCTGCATCCTTGCCTGCCTTTGTTATTGCCTGTCTTTTGGATAAAAGTCATTTTAACCAGTGAGATGATAGCTCCTTATAGTTTTGATTTGCATTTCTCTGATAATCAATGGTGTTGAGCACCTTTTCATATATATGTTTGGCATTTGTATGTCTTCTTTTGAAAAATCTCTATTCAGATCTTTTGCCCATTTTGATGAAATTATTAGATATTTTCCTATTGAATTGTTTGAGCTCCTTATATATTCTGGTTATTAGTTCCCTGTCAGATGGATAGTTTGCAAATATTTTCTCCCACTCTGTGGGCTGTCTCTTTACTTTGTTTATTGTTTCCTTTGCTGTGCAGAAGCTTTTTAACTTGATGTAATCCCATTTGTCCATTTTTGCTTTGGTTGCCTGTGCATGTGGGGGTATTAGTCAAGAAATCTTTGCCCAGACCAATGTCCTGGAGCGTTTCTCCAATGCTTTCTTGTAGTGTGATAGGGTTTGGCTCTGTGTCCCCACCCAAATCTCATCTTGAATCAGAATCCCTACAATTCCCGTTTGTCAAGGCAGGGACCTGGTGGGAGGTGATTGGATCATGGCAGCAGTTTCCCCCATGCTGCTTTTGTGATACTGAGTGAGTGAGATCTGAGGGGTTTATAAGTGTTTGATGGTTCCTCCTTTACACTGTCTCACCTACCACCATGTAAGATGTGCCTGCTTCCCCTTCTGCCATGATTGTAAGTTTCCTGAGGCCTTCCCAGCCATGCAGAACTGTAAGTCAATTAAACTTCTTTCCTTTATAAATTACCGAGTCCCAGCTATCCCTTTATAGCAGTGTGAAAACTGACTAATACATAGTAGTTTCAAAGTCTGGGTTCTTAGATTTAAGTCTTTAACCCATTTTGATTGGATTTTTGTATATGGTGAGAAATTGGGGTCTAGTTTCATTCTTCTGTATATGGATATCCAGTTTTTCCCAGTGCCATTTATTGAAGATACTGTCCTTTCCCCAATGTATGTTCTTGGCACCTTTGTCAAAAATGAGTTCACTGTAGATGGACAGACTTATTTCTGTGTTCTCTGTTCTGTTTCATTAGTCTATGTGTCAGTTTTTATGCCTATACCATGTTGTTTTTTTATTATAGCTCTGTAGTATAATTTGAAGTTAGATAATGTTATTCTTCCAGTTTAGTTCTTTTTGGTCAGAATAGCTTTGGCTATTCTGGGCCTTTTGTGGTTTCATATACATTTTATGATTTTTTTTTCTATTTCTGTGAAAAATATCACTGGTATTTTGATAGGGATTGCACTGAATCTGTAGGTTGCTTTGAGTAGTATGGACATTTTAATAATATTGACTTTTCCTATTCATGAACATGGAATATCTTTCCATTTTTTTTGTATCCTCTTCAATCACCACTAGGCATATACCCTAAAGAAAGGAAATCAGTATATTGAAGAGATATCTGCACTCTCATGTTTATTTCAGTAATATTCACAATAGCAAAGATTTGGAAGCAACCTAAGTGTCCATCAACAGATGAACGGATAAAGAAAATGTGGTACATCATACACAATGGAGTACTATTCAGCCATAAAAAAGAATGAGATCCTGTCATTGCAACAACATGGATGGAACTGGAGGACATGAAGTGAAATAAGCCAGGCAAAGAAAGACAAACTTCTCATGTTCTCATTTATTTGTGGGAGCTAAAAATTTAAAAAATTGAACTCATGGAGATAGAGAGTAGAAGGATGGTAAGCCTGGAAAGGGTAGTGGGAGACGGGGAAAGTGGGGATGATTAATGAGTACAAAAATGTAGTTAGATAGAATGAATAAAGTCTAGTATTTGATAACAGAACAGGTGACTAGAGTCAACAATAACTTATTGTACATTTAAAAATAACCAAAAGGGTATATAATTAGATGGTTTGTAACATAAAAAAGGATAAATTCTTGAGGCAATGGATACCACATTTACCCTGATGTGATTATTATGTATTGTATGACTGTATCAAAATATCTCATGTACCCCATAAATATATATGCCTATTATGTACCCACAACATTTTTTTAAAAAAGCAAGGTTGAATCAAAGCAAAATGGGTACCTGGAATCAGTACTCTGTCCCATTTAAGTTTTTCTTCAGTTACAAGTAACATACCCAACTAGCAGGAGTTTAAACAATTAAGGGTGTGTTTTCCTTTTGTAATAAGATGTCCAGTGTACATGGCTGCTGGCATCAGTCCAGTTGCTTGGTGATGCCACTAGCAACTCAGGTTCTTTCTATCGTCTGCTCTGGCACCCTTAAAATGTTGATTTGTCACCTGTGACTCTAACCTCATAGTCTCAATATGATAGCTCATCTTGAGATGAGATAAGAGAAGGGGGGGCCCAGTCACATCTCTCCTTTATGTCAAGAAAAGTTGGCCTGGCACAGTGGCTCAGGCCTGTAATCCCAGCGCTTTGGGAGCCTGAGGCAGGTGTATCACCGGAGGTCAGGAGTTCAAGACCAGCCTGGCCAATATGGTGAAACCCTGTCTCTACTAAAATTACAAAAAAAAAAAAAAAAAATTAGCCAGGCATGGTGGCATGCTCCTGTAATCCCAACTACTCAGGAGGCTGAGGCAGAAGAATCACCTGAACCCGGGAGGTGGAGGTGGCAGTGAGCCAAAATCACGCCATTGCACTCCAGCCTGGGCAACATGAGCAAAACTCTGTCTCAAAAAACAAACAAACAAAAAAACTGAAAAGGTAAAGAACTATGTTTCTGCTCCTAGATGCTTCCATGTGTAGCATTGTGGCCAAAAATGTGTCTTATAGCCACACTTAGCTGCTGGAGGGGTGGGCTAGGAAAGTGATTATTTACCCTTTTTTATTTATTTACCAGCTACTACTATGGAATGCACCAAGGGAAAAGGAGATGGGACTGGATGCTGGGTAGGCCAGCTGGGGGCATCTGCCCCACCCTGAGGGTAGGAGGATAAATTAGTAGGCTGTTTTCGAGGGCTATTTGGTAGTATTCTACTGAATTTTAAATATACATGTCCTTCAACCCAGGGATTCCATTTCTTTGGAACTCTCCTAGAGCGAGAGTAGCAGATGTTGCATTTGCAAAGAGCTTGGGAAATGAGAGCAATATGAGTGTAATAATGAGACAAATTGGAAAGAACCTAAATGTCTGTCACATGGGAGTGATGCAGTATGAGATATTGAAACCATGCAATACCATCAGCATCAGAGAATGTCATAGGCATGGAAGGACTGACAGGGAAAGTTCTCAAAATCATATCGTTAATTGAAAACTGAAATCTGCAGGACAAGATGCATAATGATCACATACTTGGAGAAAAACCACCACAACAAAACCACACCTTCATCTCATATTTTAAGATGCCACATCCAAAAGAATATGGAGTGATACTACCAAACTGATTAGAGCGATTTTTGCGGGGAGAGGATGTGGTTGAGGAATATGAAGGGGGAACTTTCTCTCTGCTTATATTGTTTGCATTTTAATTATAAAAATGAATTCATGTGATATTTGTGTAATGTTTTAAATTATGGTGCATATATGCAGTAGAATATTAAGTAACTATTAAAAACAATGAGTAGGCCGGGTGTGGTGGCTCACGCCTGTAATCCCAGCACTTTGGGAGGCCAAGGCAGGTGGATCATCTGAGGTCAGGAGTTCAAGACCAGCCTGGCCAACTTGGAGAAACCCCATCTCTACTGAAAATACAAACAGTAGCCAGGTGTGGTGACGCACACCTGTAATCCCAGCTACTCAGGAGGCTGAGGCACAAGAATTGCTTGAACCTGGAAGGCGGAGGCTGAAGTGAGCTGAGATTGTGCCACTGCACTCCAGCCTGGGCGACAGAGCAAGACTCTGTCTCAAACAACAACAACAATGAGTAAAATCTTTTTTAGAAAATAGGTACCTTGTACTTGGATAAAGTCCTGGGTCATCTTTCCTGAGAACTTGCAGCAGGGTGGGCCCTAAAGGGTTTGGGGTAGAGGACTCCTGAGGCTTCCCACTGCCTGTGTTTCTATGGTTCTGTGATAAGGAAAGTTTGAGAGCAAGGAAATCTGCACTTCAGACTTTATTTGGTAATTTAATGAAGGGCAGGGGCAGGGAAGAGACCTTGGGTTGGACAGCAGGAGTGGCCTCCCCTACCTTTAGTTAGGCCTTGGTCCTCCAGACCAGAGGTTTTTCTAGAACAGCCTTTGGAGCGACCAGAGATCTGGAGTTTTTGCTGCCGGCACGCAGTTGAGAGGAGTCCGCTTGGCTGAGAGGCACCGCACACAGATGCAGCCAGCCATCTTTGAGAGTGGCTGCCTGCTAGCCCAGCTCCCTCTGTGCCCAATAGAAGCTGCAAGCAAGGCTGGCAAGCACAGAAGCAGGATCATCCAGACTGCAGGCAGTTGGTTCTTTTCCTTCTCTCCCCTAAGTCTTTCTCCCACCTTCCAAATCCTTCCTAGGCCAGGGTTTTCCTTCCAACAGAAGATGATGGCAGACAAAGTGTATGATGCCCTGTGCCCACTCCAGGTTCCAGTCCTCAGGGGCCAGTCAGTCCTCTGCCCAGGGACTGACTGAGGATATTCGCTGAAGGTTTCTGCTTGTCCAGCCAAATGCCTGAAGCCTCACAGACATCAGTCCTGGTCACAGAGCCTGCCAGATGTGACTTGGGAAAGTCAGTCAAGGAGATTGACAATATGGAGCTACTGAAACAAACAAGGTGAAGGCTGCTTTCTGAGTTCCAAGGCAGATGGAGACCCTAGAGAATCAGACAGAGTAAACAAACATCAAATAAATAAAGCCCCTGTAATCCCAGCACTTTGGGAGGCTGAGGCGGGTGGATTGCTTGAGGTCAGGAGTTCAAGACCAGCCTGACCAACATAGTGAAACCTGTCTCTACTAAAAATACAAAAATTAACCAGGTGTGGTGGTAGGTGCCTATAATCCCAGCTACTCGGGAGGCTGAGGCAGGAGAATCACTTGAACCTGGGAGGTGGAGGTCACAGTGAGCTGAGATTGAGCCAGTGCACTGCAGCCTGGGCAACAGAGCGAGACTTTGTCTCAAAAATAAATAAATAAATAAATAAAGCCTTATTTAGCTAAAACAACAAAACAAGAAGGTAAAACAAACGCATTACCTTCTTTTTTGTGTGTGTATTTGAAAATTTTCATGACAGAAATTAACAAAATGGCCCTCGTCACAACACACTTTGGTGCCCTTGTTTACGTAGTTTCTCTGGCCTGGAAGGCCCTTTGTGTCCTACACCCCTTGTATAAATCTTACAGATCCCACATGGCCCAATCCAAATGCTGTCTCTAGGAAGCCTTCGCTGATTCCTCCTCCATCCTCCATTCCCAGTGAGAGCAATTATACCTTCCTCTGGTTTCTTATTTCATTTTGCTTATACCATTTTGAAAGAAGCTATTCCATTCTCACTTTTAATGTCATTATCTGCATGCTAATCCCACTGATCAGCCTAAGAGTATATTAAAGTCAGGGATTCTGGTTCATTAATCTCCCTATTCTCAGTACCTGACACATAGTCCAGGGTGATGAGAACTGATAAATGAATAAATAGATCAATTATTCATCCATTTCATAAACATTTATGGTGCATCTGAATATAACAGGCATTGTACTAGGCAGTGATGTTAGTAAGACAAATAAGACAGTAAACTCCTTGGCCTCATGGAGTCTGCAGTCTGGGTGACAGGGACAGCCATATAAGCAGATAATTACCGTAAAGAACCATTGGTATAATCATGAAAGTACATGAAGGTAGAGGGGACAGTGTGAAAGAGAGTTCAATTCTACTTGAGGGAGGTTAAGAAGGTTTTTAAGAAATAAGTGATGTTAACTTTGTACATTAGTTCAGGTTCACAGAAAAGCAGATGCAAAGAGAGGGTGCTATGGTTTGAATGTGTCCTCCAAAGTTCATGTGTTGCAAACTTGATCTCAATGCCAAAGTGGTGTTGGGATGTGGGACCTAAAGGGAAGGGTTTGGGTCATTGGGGCACTGCCCTCGTGACTGGATTAATGCCATTATCTTGGGCTTGTTATCTCAGGAGTGTGTTCCTTATTAAAAAGATGACTTCACCCTCCCATCTCTCACCCATGTGATGCTTTCTGCCATGTTATGGTGTGACAAGAAGGCCCTTACCAGATGTTGGTACCTAGATCTTGGACTTCCCATGCTCCAGAACTGTAAGAAAATAAATTTCTGTTCTTTATAAATTACCCAGCCTGTGGTAATTTGTTATAGCAGCACAAAATGGACTAAGACAGAGGGTTACATACAAGAGATTCATTGAGGGAGGGAGCAGAAGGCAGGAAGAGCCTTCAGACCATAATGCAGGCCTGATTCCTATCAAGGAAGAGAGGGGTAAAGGAGGATAGGGTTGGCGAAGTCTCAGTTTGCAGAGGAGCAGTTCCAGGTAAGATTTGGCTAGACCAACGGAGAACTCTTAAGCCAAAGTCTCCTCCTGGAGGAATCTCATGTCTTGTTGGATGGGGCTGCCTTAGTACCCTGTTGTACTCAGTCATTGGCTGGGAGCAGCCCACTGGCACCATGGCCTTCATGTGAACATGGCAGCAAAACCAGAAGGGCAACAACTGGAGGCACTGACAGTTATGCTTTCTGCAGCAAGTGGTCTGAGTGGCACACTTTCATGGCCACTACACTTGGTCTTTATACTTAAGTATATATCAGTGGGCATATAGGTGAGAAAATGTGAGAGAAGACAAAAAGGAAACATTCCAGGGTGAGGGACCTGCATTAGAAAACACACCAAAGCATGAGTCCATGTAGCTCCTTAATGGACCTGGAAGTAATTCTGCATGAATGGAGTGATAGGGGGGGACAATGCAGCAGGTTGTGGCCGGTTGGCAGAAGCTTGGCTATGGTGGGCATTGCGTGTGAGCAGTGGAGGGACATTAAAAGGCTAACATCAGGAAAGTGTAGCAGGTTTGGGCTTGGAAAATAGGCTCTGGAGGCATGTGGAGGAGGGCTCAGAGGAAGGCAGCCCGGAGAGGAGGCCCCAGCAAGCATTTGGAGTGATGTGCTGTGGAGTGGACTAGATCAGTGGTGGTGGAAACGGAGAGGAAGAGAGGGATGGATGAATGGAAGGATGGATAAGTGAAGGAATGAATGAGTAAATGCAAGCGGTCAGATGCAAACCAGCTGTACCTCTCTCAGGGACAGTTCCATTGTATTCAAATCTCTGAATTCTGCTCTGTGTGTTGATGAAACTCATAACTCATTCCTGTTAGAGTTTCATTAGGTAAAAAATATACCCCGATATATTGTCAAGGGAAAAAAGCACCTGTCCCAAACATCTTGCTCTGCAAAAACACATCAGCACTTGCTGCCAACCCAGGCTTATCTCAGGCAGGCATGAATGTAACTCTGCCTGGTTGGAGCAGGAATCCCCAGGAGGCAAGGCCTCCTTTTGTGCTCCATTCATTTTCAGGGCCAGATGGTGTTTGCCTCATTGATTTTCATTGCTGATTTAGTCTTGTTTGCTGGTTTTTTACAGGTTGCTTCATTTCCTTATTTCAATTCATTTTTTCACTTGCCCCAGTTTTGCGCTCTGCAGCACGTTCATCACGATGGCAGGGAGACAACTGGAGCTCTCAGCAGGTGGAAGTTTTCAGGGAGCTGGCCAAACCTAGTTCCCACAGCTCAGCGCCCTGGCTCTGGGAAAACACGGTGCGGAGGGAGCTCTGAGAAAAAGCAGTAAATACAGTTTCACTGAAAAACACTGTCGATTGAGCAAGATGGCAGAGCCACCAGTAACAGCCATGACTGAAAGGATGATTCCTCGTCCAAACTACTTCCTTTCTCTGGCCTTTCTGTTACCATCTTGCATAAAGACTAAGTCTAAACAGCAGTTTCAGGGATGCTTACCATCCAGGTGCTCTCTGATACTGCAGCATCCTTGTTGGGTCACCAGCAAGGACAATCAGCTTATTCGTCTGCTCACACCAAGCCTCCAGTCCTCAGATGCTTACCCCCAAATCAAAAGCTCCATCCTTTCTAGTCAAATGATATCCCCTTCCACCTTTTTTTTTTTTTTTTTTGAGACGGAGTCTCGCTCTGTCGCCCAGGCTGGAGTGCAGTGGCGCAATCTTGGCTCGCTGCAAGCTCCGCCTCCTGGGTTCATGCCATTCTCCTGCCTCAGTCTCCCAAGTAGCTGGGACTACAGGCACCCGCCGCCATGCCTGGCTAATTTTTTGTATTTTTAGTAGAGACAGGGTTTCACCGTGTTAGCTAGGATGGTCTCGATCTCCTGACCTCGTGATCCACCCACCTCGGCCTCCCAAAGTGCTGGGATTACAGACATGAGCCACTGCTCCCGGGGCCCCCTTTCACCTTTAAAATTCAGTTCTACTTCCTGCTAGGATGAGTGTTTCCAGCATTCTCTGTTACTTATATCTACAGTCCCATCTGGTTGTGGCTAATTGTTGACTTTGTTTTGGTCTGAGTTCTTTTGAAAATTAGGTGTTTTGTTCTGTCTTCCTCACTAGACTGTCAGACCCTCAAGAATGAGAATGAATCAAGTTGACAGATGAGCCATTTGAAAAAGCAAACAAATTTTTAAAAATAAAAATAAAAAGAATGGGAATGAAGCCTCCTCCCTCTTTTCAGGCCTCCAAGTCTCTGGGGGAATGGCCTGTCACCATCGTGCACTTGAGTGATGTGTGTCTCTGACTTGCAAGGCTTGGCTTCTAGTTCCATCTTAGCTATGCTGTGAGTTTCAGGCCACCACTTGTCCCTGTCTACTCAATGGAAAGACCAGCTTCTGCTCACCTACTGCATTATCTGGGTTTGGGTGCAATGAGTGTGACCTAGAAAGTCTGAGATTTTACAAACAGATAGGACAAAGAGACTAATGGCTGTTTTAGAAAGTGATCAATACTTTAACATTTTAAACAATATCGATAGCCTAACATTTTAAAAACGTATTATCACCATTCTTATGGACCTTGGTCCTTCTTATTTGGCTCTGCCATGTGCCTTTCTTGCTCCTCCTCCTTGAATGTTTTTATGATGTTGTGTAACTGCCTCACATTTGTATTTAATTGACTCTAAGTGTATTGTTCCAAAATCTTTTACTGACTAGCACGTGGCTCCCTGGGCACTGACTCTGCACTTGTGTGGTAGCGGTGATTGTGTGTGTGTGTGTGTGTGTGTGTGTGTGTGTGTGTGTGTGTAACTGAGAGAAAGAAAGCAACTCAGCAAGTGCCAACTGGCAGCCTCTCTGGATCAATAATATTAACTATTTCAGAGACTTCCAAGGAGATATTGCCAACTCTTTTGTTTTTTTTCAATACTATTATCGCTATTACAAGGGCACCCCAAGGCCCTTTTACTTAAATACATGACAGAATGACCCAAATGAGAGTACTATTGGTTTCTGCCTTCAAGAGCTGCAACTTCAATGGCTCGTACAAGATGGGTGGTTGGGGTTAGGCTTAATCTTAATTTTGAGGTCAAGGTTTCACAAGGAGGGATGGCAGGATCTCCTGGGAGCTCATTGTGTGACTGCTACCCTTGTGACCACTTGCTCAGCCTTACTCTGAGAGTTTCCATCTGCCTTTATGAAGACATGTTTATAGAAATCTAGGACCACATTGGCAAAACAAAGTAGTGTTTAAGTGCATAGGCTTTGGAAAAGGCATTCTGGTTCTACCCTCTGCTCTGTCATTTATGGATGTGTGATCTTCTCAAGGCCCTCCATCTCTCGAGGCTCCATTCCCTATTCTGTGGACTGTGGGACCGAGAAGTTGTCTAGTGGTGAATGACAACTGAGATTCTGTGATGGTCATTCATTGCAGGGGTTGGAGAGCCAGAGGGAGGGCATGTAGCTCAAGTGAGAAGACAAAGGCCTGAGAACTCCATGGAAGTCTTTATTAATTAATGTACTTATTTATTTATGTTAAAATATTTTTAAATTGACACATACTAATTGTACATATTAGTGAGGTACGTAGTAATGTTGCCATATGATATGGTTTGGCCGTGTCCCCACCCAAATCTCATCTTGAATTCCCAAGTGTTGTGAAAGGAACCCAGTGGGAGGTGATTGAATTATGGGGTTGGGTCTTTCCTGCGCTGTTCTCACTATGGTGAATAAGTCTCACGAGATCTGATGGTTTTAAAAAGGGGAGTTTCCTTGCACAAGCTCTCTTCTCTTGTCTGCTGCCATGTGAGACGTGCCTTTCACCTTCTGCCATGATTGTGAGGCCTTCCCAGCCATGTGGAACCATAAGTCCAATAAACCTCTTTCTTTTGTAAATTGCCCAGTCTCAGGTATGTCTTTTTCAGCAGCGTGAAAACAGACTAATATACCATACATGTAATGCATAGTGATCAGAACAGGCTAATTAGCATATCCATCCTCTCAAACATTTATTATTTCTTTGTGTTGGGAACATTAAATATCCTTCTAGCTGTTCATTCACTTATTCAACATATGTTTCTGAAAGGCCTACTCTGTGTCAGGCAATGCTCTAGATTCTAGATAAGTGCTGTCCAATTGAAATTTAATGCAAGCCACATAAGTACTTTTAAACTTACTTTCTTTCTTTCTTTCTTTTTTCTTTCTTTCTTTCTTTTTTTTTTTTTTTTTGAGGCAGAGTCTTGCTCTGTCACCCAGGCTGGAGTGCAGTGGTACAATCATGACTTACTGCAGCATTGACCTCCTGGGCTCAAGATATCCTCCTGCCTCAGTCTCCTGAGTACCTATATTGCCTAGGTTGGTCTCAAACCCCCAGGCTCAAGCAATCCTCCCACCATGGCTTCTCAAAATGCCTGAATTGCAGGTGTGAGCCATAGTGCCCAGCTGTAATTTTAAACTTTCTAGTAGCCACATTTAAAAAGTAAAACAGGTGAAATTAATTTTAATGATACTTTATTTAATCCAATATATCCAAAATATTATCATTTCATTGTGTAATCAATATATAAAGTACCAATAAGATATGATATGCTCCCTTGTTTATACCAAGACTTTGAAATCCAGTGTGTATTTCAGTAATACAACTTACAGCACATCTCAATTCCAGCCCCACACTGAGTGCTCGGTAGTCGCAGCAGCTAGTGGCGATTGTATTGGACAACACCACTCCTGAACATTTCCTAGTGGGAATGGTGTTGATGAGGGAGGCTGTTTGAAAGGCCGAATGGTAATGATGAGAGTGAGGAGCAGTGAAGGCACAGCACTCAAATAATAGCTACCTAGGCTTAAGCAGGGACTTGGATAACAGTTGTTATGGCTAACATTTATGAGAGTGTTCATTAGGAGAGAGGCATTACTCTAAGCACTTTTCAGACATTAACTAATTTTAACCTACAACACATCTAATAGGCGTTGCTTTTACACTTATTTTATGAGATGAGGAAACAGAGGCCTAGAAACTCTAAGCTGCTCCAGACCATATGGCGGCTGAGTTGGTGAGCCAAGGAACCCGGTTTGCCTGATTCCATGCACTTGGGGATGTATTTATCATCCCGTTTACGGTGCCCCTTTGGGCAAGTCAGCCCATCTGAATCTGTTAACAGCATGTGGTTGCTTTTAGCTCGCAAGACTGTGGCGAGGGATAAAACGAAACTTGTAAATGGAATGAATTCTTTACCTACCTCACCTAGAAAGCCAGGAATGGTCACATCCCTTTATTTCTTTCTATTTAGGTTAAAGCTACCCATAAGCAAATCGGCAGGAAGTTCAATGTCACATTTTTGTGGTCCTCCTTGTCCTTGAGACTTACAGGGTCTTAAAAAAAACATCTGCCTGGCCAGGCGCAGTGGCTCATGACTGTAGTCCCAGCACTTTGGGAGGCTGAGGCGGGCGGATCACAAGATCAGAAGTTCAAGACCAGCCTGACCAACATGGTGAAATCCCATCTCTACTAAAGATACAAAAAATTAGCCAAGAGTGGTGGTGCATGCCTATAATCCCAGCTACTTGAGAGGCTGAGGCAGGAGAATCATTTGAACCTGGGAGGCGGAGGTTGCAGATCACACCACTGCACTCCAGCATGGGCGACGGGGTGAGACTCTGTCTCAAAACACACACACACACACACACACACACACACACACACACACACACACACACACATCTACCTGGCTCCATGACCACCTGCCACTGTTCCTGTGTGCCATGCAGGGCCATGTGGGGCACTGGGCCTCTCCCAGCTAAAGCTGTTGGTTTACACTGAAGTTGACTGGAAGTAAAACCACAGGACACCATCCTCCCACAGTGGGTTCATCCTCCCACAGTGGGTTCATCCTCCCACAGTGGGTTCTTCAAGCCACCCCAAATCTAATCTAAAATATTGAGCATTGAGCCCACATTTTAAAAAAAGGGACATTTCACATAAAATCTGGATATATGGCTTCCCTAAAGAAAAATTTTTTTGAGACACGGTCTCATTCTGTCAACCAGGCTGGAGTGCAGTGGTATGATCATGACTCACTGCAGCCTCAACCTCTCAGGCTTAAGTGATCCTCCCACCTCAGGCTCCCACATAGGTGAGACTACAGGCACACACCACCACACCGGCTAATTTTTTTTAATTAATATTTTTTGTAGAGACAGGGTTTTGCCATGTTGCTCAGGCTGGTCTCAAACCCCTGGGCTCAACTGATCCACCACCTTGGACTTCCAAAGTGCTGGAACTACAGGCATGAACCACCGTGTGTGGCCTACAAAAAAAATTTTTATCTGATGATATTAAATGCATTATTCCCACATGGCTACCAAAAGCTGGCACTGAACAGCAGTTGTCTCTTCTAGAGTGGGCACAAACTAAAGCTGGCCACAGTCCTCACCACACCCCACTGCACCCTGGGCACTAAAGAAGATTACAGTTTCTGGCTGGGCGCAGTGGCGCACGCCTGTAATCCCAGCACTTCAGGAGGCCAAGGTGGGTGGATCATTTGAGGTCAGGAGTTCAAGACGAGCCTAACATGGTAAAACCCTGTCTCTACTAAAAATACAAAAATTAGCAGGGCGTGGTGGTGCACGCCTGTAGTCCCAGCTACTTGGGAGGCCGAGGCACAAGAATCACTTGAACCGTGGAGGCGGAAGTTGCAGTGAGCTGAAATTGGGCCACTGCAGTCCAGCCTGGGCGACAGAGCGAGACTCCATCTCAAAATAAATAAATAAATAATACAGTTTCTGTCTATCATCACATGTGTGCCATTGCTTTTCATTGTAGAGACCTATCTCTCTGTGTTCAAGTCTCCTGAAGTCAGACCACACACAGTCAGGCTGTGTATTTCCTTGAGGCCAGCAGCTTTACTCTACTTACCTGGCACCTTGAAAGGCCTGCCCAGTGCTCAGGGTCCACTCCTTCAGCCATACACACAGTCCTTCTCCTCTGAAGATCCACCTTTGCAAAGGCATGGTGCCACAGCAGGTTTTGGCACCCATCCTGCTGATCCTGCGGCCTCTGTGCCTCTTTTCAGTTCTGGAGAGCCTTTGAAACCTTAAGTATTCATTCTGTTTTCCAACAACACAGTTTGAGTGTGTGAATGTGCTTTTAAGGAGGCAAACCTTAAAAATGCTGGGGGTCCATTTTACCTTTGCTAAGGCTTGGGGAAACATCAACCACACCTCACTGACAAGCTGTCTTTCTAAGCAGACCATGAAGTGAAGTGGCTAAGTGTATAGATTTAGAAGCCAGACTATCTAAGCATATAAATCTGGCTTCTATCACCCACTACTTGTGTGAACTTGGAAAAGTTACTTGGTCTCCCTGTGTGCTTCATTTTCCCAAATGGGAATGCTAATCTATAGAGTTGACCCTTGAACAACATGAGTTTGAACTGTGTGGGTCCACTTCTATGCAGATTTTTTTCAACCAAACACAGTATTCACTGGATGTGAAACCTGCATATATAGAGGCTACTTTTTGAATCCACAGGTTCCATTTCTGCAGGTTCCACATGGCCTACTGTGGGACTTGAGTATGTGGCAATACACAGAGGTCCGAGAACCAATCCCCTGCACATACCAAGAGACAGCTGTATAAAGTGCTTATGTCAGTGTCTGGCACAGTTAGTGCTATTTAAGTGATGGCTATTATTCTTATGAAAAGACAAACCAAGTTTTCAGCAGGTCATCTCACTGGCCCATAGTAGACAGAAAAATTGTCTATTTTCTCTCTTAGTGCTATTGGTACAAAGTGTCAACTATGAAACATACTTACTTCTTGTCTTAGAGAGTTTCTGATTTCATAGTAGGGACTAAGGGATCCTCACCACTTTTCTACACCAGTAAATATTCATGATGATATGCTACCAGGAAATTAGGCCCAACAAAACAGCCCCTGTTTACTCTGCCTGCTCTTCAACAAAGAGGGAGATGTGTCCCACAGAGTATAGCAGCCATCTAGAACTTTTCACACATGAGGAGGCCGAAGCCTCCTCCCTTGTGTGAACACACTTCAAGTGGGCAGCCTGGCTCCAGGCCCAATTACAGCCTGTGGCTCATGCTACACAGCAGGAGATCGGGGTCTGGGCAAAGATATTCTCTCCATCCTCCCCACATCTATAGAAGGAAAAAAGAGGGATTCTGCTCTGTAGAATAAAATGCAAATGCCAACCCAAAGGATGGGATTGGTACAGCAGGGAAGCAAGGCCAACTGGACACAGTGGAGGCTGCTTTCAGGGACCTGGGTGAGCAGGATGTAGACAGGGTTTTAGGCAGCCTGGAGACATGGAATGAACAGGAGGCCTTGGCCCCAGGTCCACCTGTGCTGCTGACCAGCTGAGTAGCCTTAGGCAAGGCCTTCACTCTGCTGATCCTCAGAATCCTCAAGGAGGGGACAGGATCAGATATCCTCCACCGTCTCTTCTAGCTGTGATGCCCTTTGGCCATTGCCTGCCTCATACTTGAGTGACCATGCTTGTGATTGGTTCTGTTTGTTCCAGTGCTGTTAGAGACATACTGCAATCCTCCAAAGGAAGAACTCAGTGCTGTCAGAGGCATATTGCATCCTCCAAAGCAAGGATTTTGTCTATAACAAGATCTAGGTTCCTGTATCAGATGCTGCTTAGAATCTCCGTCCCAAATTGGGCTCAATAAAAGCTTTTTGATTCACAGTGATGGCTTCCATGCTGGGCATTCATACTTATGCATTCATTCATCCATTCTTTCAATCACTGAGCAACATTTATGAAACACTTATCAAACAGAACATGGTGTTGGCTCTGGGAAGAATGAATGAGACAACCCAGGAACATAAAATCCAGCAACTTGGCTCTGGAGAGGGGCTTCAAGATGGCTGACTAGATGCATCTGGTACTTGCCTCTTCCACAGAGGAACCAAAATAGTGCGTAGAAAATCACACTTTGAATAGATCATCTAAGAGAGAACACTGGAATTCAGCAGGGAAGTGATGGGAGGCACCAAAAGCAAAGAAAGAGAGAGAAGCGAGGCAGCCTGCTCAGCCAGGACTGGTAGGGAGGCTGGAGGCTCCTTAATGCAGGGAAAGAGTAGACAAGACACCTTCAGTGGTCCACATTCTCGTCATGGGCTTCTACAATCCTAGCCACTAGAAAGCCCCTCAACCCTCACAGGCCCTGTGACTAACATAGGGAGCTGCCTGGAGACCCTGCAATGGCATTACTCCATGGAGGGAGCTCACATTGAATCCCACAACCCTCCAAGTCCTAAGCAGCTACAGCCTGGCACCATTTTGAGAGCCTACCCTTCAACAGGCTGCATCCTGCCCTGGGGCCCAAAGTCCCTGCATCTCCACATCCTCTCTGGAGCCCCACTGACATTCCCTGCCGGTAGTGGCAGCCTCCAGGGCCAACGCAGGAACCACTAGCAATGACCATCCCCGCAATAGAGGGGGGTGCTGAGGACAAATTCCATTGCCCACAACCACCACTGTGAGTTGCTGTGGGGCCAAGGCATGAGCAAAGTGCATGCCCCCCAGACACCTACCTATGGCTACTCCCACTGAAAGCAACCCCATACTCTCCAGTAGCAAGGCCACTGCTCCACAGCCTAAGCATTTCCCTGGTGGCCTGGAGATCACCCTGCCCCCGCCTACCACAGCCAGTGCCTGCGTGCACCACTGGGGTCCTGAGAGCAAGACCACCTAGCCCAGCTTTGCCCTTCCCCAGTACCTGAGCACGAGCCTAGGAGGCTGGGAATCACTCAGCCTAGTCCACTGTTGTTAGTACCTGAGCATTCCTTCCAGGGTCTGAGGTTAGGCCCACCCGACCTGCCACTACCACCACAGTTGAAACCCACCCTCATGCACCACCTGTAATGCAGGCCTGGGACCTGGCCAGCCCAGCCTGTCACAGCCAATAACAACATCAGTTTGGACTGCTTGGGGCTCAAAGGGCTGTCCCACCACTGCTATTGCCATCATCCATACCATAACTGCTTCTCAGGGGATCAAGAACTGCCAACTCACCTAGCCCACTGCTGCCATTCCTGAGACCTGAGCAAGCCACCTCAAGGCCCAAGAATTGACCTGCCTGAACCTGCTCACACTGGTGCCAGTGTATGACACTCTGGGACTCAAGGACAGCTGTGTGCATCCCACTGCGGGCACCACTGGGTCCTGAAGACTAGCCTACCGGGCATCCCAATCCCCAGCAAAATTTCACCACAGTGTCTACTAAAAACCACACCCTAAGCCACCAAGGAAATCACAGCACCACTAATGCTATTTATAGCTAAAGAAAACATAAGAGACTATACTACTGCATGTACCCAAAAGCAAAGGCAAAGTGCCTTTCCCAGTCAATACCATAGTTACATCTTCAAGAAAAAGTCTTCCCCTACAATAGCAAATTCAAAAAATGGGAAGAGTGACTGTTACATGCAGATATCAATGTAAGGACACAGGAAATATGAAAAAGCAAGGAAATAAAAACACCTCCAAAGTAACACAATAAGTCTTCAGTAACAGATCCCAATCAAAAAGAAATTTGTGAAAGCCCAGAAAAAGAATTTTAAAAATACTGATTAAAGAAGTTCAGGAAAATACAAAAGAATACTGAAAAATAATACAAAGACATCAGAAAAACAATTCAGGATATGGATGAGAAGTTTATCAAAGATAGATATCATAATAAAGAACTAAACAGAAATTCTAAACTGAAGAACTTACTGAATGAAATACAAAATGCATTTGAAAGCTCCAACAACAGACTAGATCAAGCAGAAGAAAGGATCTCAGAACTTGAAGACAGGTCTTTTGGAAAATGCAGACAAAAATAAGAAGAACAAAAAAAGAATAAACAAAGCCTACAATGACATATGAAACACGATAAAGCAACCAAATTTTTGAATTTTTGATGTCCCAGAGGGCAAAGAGAGAATGAAAGGGCTGGAAAACCTATTTAATGAAATAATAGATAAAAACTTCCCAAGTAGGCCAGGCACAGTGGCTCACGCCTGTAATCCCAGCACTTTGGGAGGCCGAGGTGGGAGGATCACGAGGTCAGGAGTTGAAGACCAGCCTGGCCAACATAATGAAACCCCATCTCTACTAAAAATACAAAGAATTAGCCAGGTGTGGTGGCAGGTGCCTGTAATCCCAGCTACTTGGGAGGCTGAGGCAGAAGAATCGCTTGAACCCAGGAGGCAGAGGTTGCAGTGAGCGGAGATCGCGCCACTGCACTCCAGCCTGGGTGACAGTGCGAGACTCCATCTCAAAAAAAAAAAAAAAAAAAACACAACAAAACAAAACAAAAAAACGTCCCAAGTATAGCAGGAAATTTAGACATCCAGATACTGGAGGCCTAGAGATTCCCAAATAGAGACAATTCAAAAAGGTCTTCTCCACAGCACATTATAGTTAAAATGTAAAACATCAAAGGCAAAGACAGAATTCTAAAAACAGCAAGTAACCTAGTCACTAATACAGGAAACCCCCATTGGACTACAGTGGATTTCTCAGCAGAAACCTTATAGGCCAGGAGAGAATGAAATACTATATTCAAAGTGCTGAAAGAAAAATAAACAAACAAAGAAAAAAAAAAAAAAACCTGTTATCCAAGAATACTATACCCAGCAAAGTTATCCTTCAGAAACAAAAGAGTAAATATTTCACAGACAAGCAAAAGCTGAGAGAATTCATCACCACTAAATTGGCCCTAAAAGAAATGCTTAAGGGAGTCTTATACCCAGAAGTAAAAGAACAATATCTACCCTTATGAAAATACACAAAAATATAAAAGCCACTGGTAGAGGAAACGCACAAACAAGGAAAAGACCAGACTCAAATGTTACCACTACAGAAAACCACCAAACCACTTTCTTTCTCTCATTAAACAATAAGAGAAAGAAAGAACAGACCAGACACAGTGGCTTACTTACACCTGTAATCCTACCACTTTAGGAGGCCAAGGTGGGTGGATCACCTAAGGTCAGGAGCTTGAGACCAGCCTAGCCAACATGGTGAAACCCTGTCTCTACTCAAAATACAAAAATTAGCTGGGTGTGGTGGCAGGCACCTATAGTCCCAGCTACTAGGGAGGCTGAGGCAGGAGAATTGCTCCAACCTGGGAGGCGGAGATTGCAGTGAGCCAAGATGACGCCACTGCACTCCAGCCTAAGTGACAGAGTGTGACCCTGTCTCAAAATAATAATAACAATAATAATAATAATAATAATAATAATAATAATAATAATAATGGAAAGAATAAAAGACATGCAAAGCAATCAGAAATCAATTAATGAAATGAGAGGAATAAGCCTCACATATCAATAAAAACCTTGAATGTAAATGGATTAAACTTTCCACTTAAAAGATATAGACTGGCTGAATATATACAAAAAAATAAAAAAACACATAAGACATGGCCCATATATATGCCACTTACAAGAAACTTGTCTCACCTGTAAAGACACTATATAGACTGAAAGTAAAGGGATAGCAAAAGATATTCCATGCAAACAAAAACCAAAAGCAAGCAGGAGTAGCTACCTTTATATCAGGTAAACAGATTTTAAGTCAAAAATAGTAAAAAGAAAAGAAGGTCATTCTATAATGATAAAGGAATCAATTCAGCAAGAGGATATAACAATACTAAATATATATGCACTCAACACTGGAGTATCCAGATATATAAAGCAAATATTATTAGATCTAAAGGGAGACATAGATTCCAATACAATAATAATTGGGGACTTCATCTCTCAGCATTAGATAGATCATCTAGGCAGAAAATTAACAAAGAAATGTTGAATTTAAACTATACATTAGACCAATGAACCTAATAGAAATTTACAGACCATTTTATCCAACAGCTGCAGAATACATATTTTTCTCATCAGCACATAGAACATTCTCTAGGATAGACCACATGTTAGGACACAAAACAAGTCTCAATTTAAAAAAAAAAATTGAAGTCATATCTTCTCAGACCATAGTGGAATAAAACTTTGGAAACTATACAAATACATGGAAATTAAAATACCTTCTTTTGAATGACCACTGGGTTAAGAAAGAAACTTAAGGAGGAAATTAAAAACATTTCTTGAAACAAATGAAAATGGGGACATGATATACCAAAACCTATGGGATACAGAAAAAGCAGTGCTAAGAGGGAAGTTTATAGCAATAAATGTTTACATCAATAAAGTAGAAAGATTTCAAGTAAACAATCTAACAATGCATCTCAAGGAACTGAAAAAGCAAGAATAAACCAAACAAAATTTGTTGAAGGAAAGAAACGTATAAGATAATGGCAGAACTAAATGAAATAGAGACTAAAAAAAGACAAAGATCAATGAAATGAAAAGTTTTTTTAAAAGATAGATAAAATTGATAAACCACTTACTAACCCAGAAAAAAAGAGAAAAACCCAAATAAATAAAATCAGAAATGAAAAATAAGACATTATGACTGACATCATAGAAATATAAAAGATCACTAGCAACTATTATATACAGTTGTTCATAATGTGCTAGAAACAAATTGGAAAACCGAGAGGAAACAGATACATTCCTGGACACATAGAACCACTAAGATTGACTCAAGAAGAAACAGAAGGCCTGAATAGACCAATAACAAGTCAAGAAATTGAATCAGTAATAAAGTCTCCCAACAAAGAAAAGTGCAGGACTAGAAGGCTTTTCTGCCAAATTCTACCAAACTTTCAAAGAAGAACTAACACCAATTCTCCTCAAATTATTCCAAAAACTGAGGAGGAGGAGGAAATTCTTCCTAACTCATTCCATGAGGCCAACATTACCCTGCTTTCAAAACCAGATGAGGACACAACAACAAAAAAGAAAATGACAGGCTAATTGTCTCAATAAACATAGATGCAGAAGTCCTCAACAAAATATTAGCAAACCAAATCCAACAGCAAAAAAAAAAAAAAAAACCCATCATGACCAAGCAGGATTTATCTCAGGGATGCAAGAGATACACAACGCAATAAACATAATATATCATATTGACAGAATGAAAGGAAAAAACCATATCATCTCGATAGACACAGAAAAAGCATTTGATAAACTCCAACATCCCTTCCTGATAAAAAGTCTCAACAAACTAGGTATAAAAGGAACATACCTCAACATAATAAAGGCTCTATATGACAAACCCACAGTTAGCATTACGCTGAATGAGGAAATGCTGAAAGCCTCTAAGAATTCGAACAAGGATGCCTGCTTTCACCACTCCCATTCCTAGCCAGAGGAGCCAGGCAAGAGAAGGAAATAAAAGGAATCTAAATTTAAAAAATAAAAAAGAAAAGGAAAAAAATTGTCCCTTTTTACTTACGGTATTATCTTATATCTAGAAACACCTAAAGGCTCCACACACACACACACACACACACACAAACCCACACAAACTCTTATAGATCTGCTAAATAAATTCAGTAAAGTTGCAGGATGCAAAATAAACTTACAAAAAGTATTATCACTTCAGTATGCCAATAATGAGCTAGCTGAGAAAGATATCAAGGAGGCAATTCCATTTAAGTAGCTACCAAAAAATATATAAGAATAAATTTAACCAAGGAGGTGAAAGATCTCTACATGGAAAAATCATAAAAACACTGATGAAATAAATTGAAGAGGACACAAACAAATGGAAAGATATCCCATGCTTATGGATCAGAAGAATATTATTTAAATGACCATCCTACCCAAAACAATGTAGATTCAATGCAATCCTTAACAAAATATTAATACTATTTTTCAAATAAATAGAAAAACCATCTCTAAAATTAATATGGAACCAAAAAAGAGCCCAAATAACCAAAGCAATCCTGAACAAAAAGAACAAAGCTGAAGGCACCACACTATCTCACTTCAAAATATATTATAAGGCTATTGTAACCAAACCAGCATGGTATTGGTATAGAAACAGACACATAGACCAAAGCAACAGAGTAGAGAATCCAGAAATAAATCCACATATTTACAGCTAAATGATTTTTGACAAAGGCATCAAGAACATACATTGTGGAAAGAATACTCTCTTCAATAAACAGTGCTGAGAAAATTGGATATTTTCTCAGTGCAGAAACATGAAACAGTGCAGAAAAATGAAAATGGATCCCAATCTCTTCCCACATACAAAACTCGAGATGAATTAAAGACGTAAATGTAAGACACCAAACTATAAAACTACTAGACAAGAAAAATACACAAATTGGGCTCAACAAATTAAAAAGCTATCTTCTGCATTCCATATCATCTAGTGGTTAGAAAGAAAGAAAGAGGCCGGGCGCGGTGGCTCACGCCTGTAATCCCAGCACTTTGGGAGGCCGAGGCGGGCGGATCACGAGGTCAGGAGATCGAGACCATCTTGGCTAACACGGTGAAACCCCGTCTCTACTAAAAATACAAAAAATTAGCCGGGCGTGGTAGCGGGCGCCTGTAGTCCCAGCTACTCGGGAGGCTGAGGCAGGAGAATGGCGTGAACCCGGGAGGCGGAGCTTGCAGTGAGCCGAGATCGCGCCACTGCACTCCAGCCTGGGCGACAGAGCGAGACTCCGTCTCAAAAAAAAAAAAAAAAAAAAAAGAAAGAAAGAAAGAAAGAAAGAAAGAAAGAAAGAAAGAAAGAAAGAAAGAAAGAAAAAGCTTCTGCATAGCAAAGGAAACAACAGAGTGAAGAGATGACTTAATAAATACTCAAGGTGATGGATACCCTAAATATCCTGACTTGATCATTCTACACTCTATGCATGTAACAAAACAAGTGTACCCCATAAATACATAAAATATCATATCAATTTTAAAAACCAACAACTTTGCATAGGGCATGACGCATCACCTCTGTGAACTGATGAGTCCAAGCATCTTGCCATGCATCTGCTTTAAGAACACATGGCGCTCCCGTCTCCCTCTCCCTCTCCCGTCTCCCTCTCCCTCTCCCGTCTCCCTCTCCCTCTCCCGTCTCCCTCTCCCTCTCCCGTCTCCCTCTCCCTCTCCCGTCTCCCTCTCCCTCTCCCGTCTCCCTCTCCCTCTCCCGTCTCCCTCTCCCGTCTCCCTCTCCCTCTCCCGTCTCCCTCTCCCTCTCCCGTCTCCCTCTCCCTCTCCCGTCTCCCTCTCCCTCTCCCGTCTCCCTCTCCCTCTCATGCCGAGCCAAAGCTGGACGGTACTGCTGCCATCTCGGCTCACTGCAACCTCCCTGCCTGATTCTCCTGCCTCAGCCTGCCGAGTGCCTGCGATTGCAGGCGCGCGCCGCCACGCCTGACTGGTTTTCGTTTTTTTTTTGGTGGAGATGGGGTTTCGCTGTGTTGGCCGGGCTGGTCTCCAGCTCCTAACCGCGAGTGATCCGCCAGCCTCGGCCTCCCGAGGTGCCGGGATTGCAGATGGAGTCTCGTTCACTCAGTGCTCAATGGTGCCCAGGCTGGAGTGCAGTGGCGTGATCTCGGCTCGCTACAACCACCTCCCAGCCGCCTGCCTTGGCCTCCCAAAGAGCCGAGATTGCAGCCTCTGCCCGGCCGCCACCCCGTCTGGGAAGTGAGGAGCGTCTCTGCTTGGCCACCCATCGTCTGGGATATGAGGAGCCCCTCTGCCTGGCTGCCCAGTGTGGAAAGTGAGGAGCGTCTCTGCCCGGCCGCCATCCCATCTAGGAAGCGAGAAGCGCCTCTTCCCCGCCGCCATCCCATCTAGGAAGTGAGGAGCGTCTCTGCCCGGCTGCCCATCGTCTGAGATGTGGGGAGCACCTCTGCCCCACCGCCCTGTCTGGGATGTGAGGAGCGCCTCTGCTGGGCCGCAACCCTGTCTGGGAGGTGAGGAGTGTCTCTGCCCGGCCGCTCCGTCTGAGAAGTGAGGAAACCCTCTGCCTGGCAACCGCCCCGTCTGAGAAGTGAGGAGCCCCTCCGTCTGGCAACCACCCCGTCTGGGAAGTGAGGAGCGTCTCCGCCCGGCAGCCACCCCGTCCGGGAGGGAGGTGGGGGGGGTCAGCCCCCCGCCCGGCCAGCCGCCCCGTCCGGGAGGTGAGGGGCTCCTCTGCCCGGCCGCCCCTACTGGGAAGTGAGGAGCCCCTCTGCCCGGCCAGCCGCCCCGTCCGGGAGGGAGGCGGGGGGGGGGGGGTTGGCCAGCCGCCCCGTCCGGGAGGTGAGGGGCGCCTCTGCCCGGCCGCCCCTACTGGGAAGTGAGGAGCCCCTCTGCCCGGCCAGCCGCCCCGCCCAGGAGGGAGGTGGGGGGGTCAGCCCCCCGCCTGGCCAGCCGCCCCATCCGGGAGGGAGGTGGGGGGGTCAGCCCCCCGCCCGGCCAGCCGCCCCGTCCGGGAGGGAGGTGGGGGGGGTCAGCCCCCCGCCCGGCCAGCCGCCCCGTCCGGGAGGGAAGTGGGGGGATCAGCCCCCTGCCTGGCCAGCCGCCCCGTCCGGGAGGTGAGGGGCGCCTCTGCCCGGCCGCCCCTACTGGGAAGTGAGGACCCCTCTGCCCGGCCAGCCGCCCCGTCCGGGAGGGAGGTGGGGGGGGTCAGCCCCCCGCCCGGCCAGCCGCCCCGTCCGGGAGGGAGGTGGGGGGATCAGCCCCCTTCCTGGCCAGCCGCCCCGTCCGGGAGGTGAGGGGCGCCTCTGCCCGGCCGCCCCTACTGGGAAGTGAGGACCCCTCTGCCCGGCCAGCCGCCCCGTCCGGGAGGGAGGTGGGGGGGTCAGCCCCCCTTCCGGCCGGCCGCCCCGTCCGGGAGGTGAGGGGCGCCTCTGCCCGGCCGCCCCTACTGGGAAGTGAGGACCCCTCTGCCCGGCCAGCCGCCCCGTCCGGGAGGGAGGTGGGGGGGACAGCCCCCCGCCCGGCCAGCCGCCCTATCCAGGAGGTGAGGGGCGCCTCTGCCCGGCCGCCCCTACTGGGAAGTGAGGAGCCCCTCTGCCCGGCCACGACCCCGTCTGGGAGGTGTGCCCAGCGGCTCATTGGTGATGGGCCATGATGACAATGGCGGTTTTGTGGAATAGAAAGGCGGGAAGGGTGGGGAAAGAATTGAGAAATCGGATGGTTACCGGGTCTGTGTGGATGGAAGTAGACATGGGAGACTTTTCATTTTGTTCTGTACTAGGAAAAATTCTTCTGCCTTGGGATCCTGTTGATCTGTGACCTTATCCCCAACCCTGTGCTCTCTGAAACATGTGCTGTGTCCACTCAGGGTTAAATGGATTAAGGGCGGTGCAAGATGTGCTTTGTTAAACAGATGCTTGAAGGCAGCATGCTCGTTAAGAGTCATCACCACTCCCTAATCTTTAAGTACCCAGGGACACAAACACTGTGGAAGGCCGCAGGGTCCTCTGCCTAGGAAAACCGGAGACCTTTGTTCACTTGTTTATCTGCTGACCTTCCCTCCACTATTGTCCTATGACCCTGCCAAATCCCCCTCTGCGAGAAACACCCAAGAATGATCAATAAAAATAAAAAATAAAAAAAAAAAAAAAAAAAAAAAAAAAAGAACACATGGCATGGGCTGGGCGCGGTGGCTCACACTTGTAATCCTAGCACTTTGGGAGGCCTAGGTGGGTGGATCACGAGGTCAGGAGTTCGAGACCATCCTGGCCAAGGCGGTGAAACCCCATCTCTACTAAAAATACAAAAAAACTAGCCGGGTGTGGTGGCGAGCACCTGTAATCCCAGCTACTCAGGAGGCTAGGGCAGAGAATTGCTTGAACCCAGGAGGCGGATGTTGCTGTGAGCCGAGACTGTGCCATTACACTCCAGCCTGGGGGACAGAGCGAGACTCCATCTCAAAAAAAAAAAAAAGAATACATGCCATGTGTTACCCTAACTTCATGAGTCAGGTGGGTGCCAGGGGTACCAGAGAGCCAGGCTATCTCTAGCACCATCTAAGAAACTGTGATATCAAGACCTCTTCTTCCAGCCTGAGCCACAATCTTTTTCCACACCTTCCCTCCTTTCTTAAGGACCAATGAAAGGTATAAAGTCAAGGTATTTCCAGAGATTTTCCCAAACTGCACATATCCTGGGCTCTGGCATCAGGAGTCTCTTCTTTTCCCAGAAGCCTGGACAACCTCCCACTGACAGAGCTGATAATAAATGAGTTCATTATCAGGCTGCTGGGGCCCATGACAGCCCATCTGCTGGCATGATTAATTAAAACTTTGACTGGCGATGGGGGTGCCATCTCAGGGTCAGAAAGCAATTAATTGGAGCATCATCCAGGCCATTATTTCTGTTGGATTCTAGAATGACCAATGCCAGAGAGCAAGGTCTATGTGAGTCAGTCTCAGTCTCATTGCCTTACTCTCCTTTTTTTGTTTGCTTGTTTGTTTTTAAGACAGAGCCTCACTCTGTTGCCCAGGCTGGAGTGCAGTGGAACGGTCACAGCTCACTGCAGTCTCGACCTCCTGGGCTCAATCAATCCTCCCATCTCAGCCTCCTGGGTAGTTGGGACTACAACTGTGCACCACCATTGTGCAGCTCATTTTCGTATTATTATTATTATCGTAGAGACAGGATTTCGCCATGTTGTCCAGGCTGGTCTCCAACTCCTGGGCTCAAGCAATCCGCCTACCTTGGCTTCCCAAAGTGCTGGGATTATAGGGATGCCATTTTTCACAGAAATAGAAAAACCATTTCTAAAATTAATATGGAACCGAAGAAGAGCCCAAATCACCACCATACCTGGCCTCCTTACTCTCCTTTATATTTCTTGCAGTCTCTTCCCCAGGCAAGCCCACCCTAATGAAGCAGAGACAGATTGGTGGGAATCGGATCCTCAAATCCTCTAAGTGGAGCAGGAGGATCATCCTCTTAGGGCTTTCTACTCCTCCCAGGAGTGGGGAGTATTGGGATTCAAAAGAGGGTTTCACTCTGTTTTCTTGACTCTTGTGCTCAAGCACAGCAAACTCATCATTTTACATCCTTGTATTTGTCAGGTTTCCCCAGAAATAGGATATATATATATATAAAATAGGAACTGGCTCACATGATTATGGAGGCTGAGAAGACCCATGATATGCTATCTGCAAGTTGGAGAACCAGGAAAGCCAGTGGTGTAATTATCTGAAAGCCTGAGAACCAGGAGTGCCAATGTCTGAGGGCAGAAGATGGATGCCTCAGCTCCAAGAGGGAGAACAAATTCACCCTTCCTCTGCCTTTTGTTCTGTCCAGGCTCTCAACAGATTGGATGATGGCCACCCACATGGGTGAGGGTAAATCTTCATTACTACTGATACAAATGCTCATCTCTTCCAGACACACCCTCACAGTTACTCTGAGAAGGTTTTATAGCTATCCGGACATCACTTAACCCAGTCAATAATTATGGATATATAATTAACCATCACAGTCTTAATATAGCGATGTTCCCATCACTCTCTGTGTTCTGCTAATGAGCTGCAAAGCTGCTAGGTAAGGCCTCAGGCCCAAGCAGAGATCTTCAGCCCATAGAACCAGAAGCCCTGCATTTGGGGAAAAGCTAGGGGATTTCCTGGCCATAAATAAGGTTGTGGTTTTGGTCCCCAACTGGCTATGATCATGGTTTGCTTATCTCTGTAGTGAGAACACAGAGGGGAAAGAAGGACTCAGACTCTGGGAATAAACCCTGCCACCTCTGGAAACACACAGGAGAGGCACCACACTTCTTTTTTGTGCAGCCCACAGCTCCTGGCACATCACAGTGAGTTCCAACGTGGATGTCTCACTGGAATGAAGTCACAGGAAATGATTAGGTACTTTACTGTGCCCTCACAACCCAGAAAAGCTGTCAGGTTTGCCTTTGGTCAAACAAATTCTGTGTCTGTTTCTATATCACCTCTTCTGACTGTCTCAGTCCCCATGCTCTTCTACTACTCTTGAAACAAAACTTAATCCGGATCCATCATTCACCCCAAGATATAAATAGCTGATTACAGTTAAACTATTACTCTTATTAGGAGCATCGCATCTTCTCCTTTTCTAAGACAGCATCTCCCCCTGTTGACCAGGCTGGAGTGCAGTGGTGCAATCTCAGCTCATAGCAGCCTTGACCTCCAGGGCTCAAGTGATGATGCTCCCACCTCAGCCTCCTGAGTAGCTGGGACTACAGGTGCACACCCCACATGCCTGGTTAATTTTTCTATTTTTTGTAGAGATGGGTTTTGCTGTGTTGCCAAGGCTGGTCTCAAACTTCTGGGCTCAAGCAATCTGCCTGCCTTGGCCTCCCAAAGTGCTGGGATTACAGGCATTAGCCCCCAAACGTGGCCAAGGAGCATCTCCATTTTAACAAGGATCACAGCCTTGAGCTATGGGAATGAGATAGGTGCATTTTTAGAACAATGAGTGAAGGGAGCTTTGCAGTCTTTGGGACCTCCTAGAAATGACCTTTTGTACTATCATGTTAGCCAGTCCTCTTTTTCTGTATCCCCAATATTACCCCTTATTGAAGTTAGCATGATTTCACCATGTTATCACCAGGAAGAAAGTGAGGTGCAGCATTCCTCATCTGGCTGGGCTTGTCACATGAGACTCATAATCATAGGAATAAAGATGGAGAAGTCTTGGATTAAGTAGGACCTTGAATTAACTCATGTGCATATTCTAGTTAGGCTTTTGTGCTTCTGATAGGTGATTGTGCTTTTTGGTACCATGAAGGAAAGAGGAAATGACTCAGAGGCAAAAGAGGAGGAGTCTGGCTGCAGGAGTATGGCACAAGTATAGCTAAGAGAGGAGAGGCCAGGCAGGACATTGGGGCCATCCCTGTAGGACACTGACTCACACCAAGAGATGGCTAAAGAGGTCAAGTTCAAGGGAGACTAAAGGAAGACCTTCTGACTTGTCCCCTCGAGCCCTGAGCTGTATAGAGTCCATTTGCCTCCAAGCTATACAGGAAGGAGCATCCAGACAGCCTTTCTGCCAGTCTCACTCCACACAGATATGTAGAGCTACATATTAGCAAGAGTAGGAGGGAAACACCAGGACACGGTTCCTAAACTTGGCTGTACACTGGAATCAGCTGGGGATATTTCAGCGCTATTTATTGTTGCCTGGCTCCTACATTCTGATTTAATTAGCAGGGCCTGTGACCTGGGTGCTAGTTTCCACAGGTCCTCAGGTGAGGTGAATGTGCAGCAAAGATTACATCAGGAGCAGGTCTGAAGCCCTGCATGCGCCTGCCAGTGGCCAGCTTCTGTGATGCTTACCCCACTTCTCACAAAGCATGGCTTCTGGGGACAGGACAGAGTTGCAGGATGCTCAGTCAGTGCTCCTTGAGTGCATGAAGGTGGGGGCCAGCACGCCTGCAGCCCTGGGAAGACAGCGCTTACTTTGTTTTCCTTCTCCATAGGGCACACAGGCAAAGATGACACAAGGTGAGAGCTTTGCGGAAGGAGGCTGCAAAGAATGGGAGGTAGCAAACTGCAAGCACTTTCCTGAAAAGGGGGAAATGGTCAGAGGGGGACGTGGCTGAGGCAGGACAGGTGTATCATGGTGGAGCAGTGAGTAGGGCAGGTGGCTTGCTCTGAGAGGAGAGGAGAGAGCTGGGGTGGGGTGGGGGACAAGCTGACCCAGCCTGACAAGTGGGCTGAGGGAGCTTATGGGCACATGCTGTTGATACTGGGGCACCTTTTCCCAAGAATCTCAGGACAGGGCTCTCCACTCTCTTGGGGCTGTCCTGGATAGTACCTCATTCTCTCCCAAGCGATGTCAACTGCGTCTGAATTGTTCTCCTTGCATCCTGCCTCTTCAGTGCCTCTCCATCCTATTTGCACATTGCTGTCAGAATAATGCTGCTGAAGTGCCCATCTGACTGTATCTTTCTTCAAAAACAGGGTTTCTCCCACCATAACTGCCCTAACCTATCTTTGTCATCTAACTGCTCACCATTTTCCATCATGCACCTGACCTCACAGCAAACCAAACCACTTACCCTTTCCTGCATCTGGTCTGAACTCTGCTGTGTCCTCTATTTGAACGTCCTGGTCCTTTCCTCTTCATTAAATTCCTGCTCCATTTGTGGTTCATCTTAAATGCCACCAACTCCAGAAAGCTTCCCGTTACCAAGACTAAAATGAGTATCTTCTCAGTGGCTCTGAAACTCTTCTCAGCTCTCTTTTATAGCCCCTCTCATCTTGTAGATTCTGGCTGTTTGTGACCTTCTCTCCCTACTGGACCATGAACTTCTGGAGGACAACGAATGTGTGTTCTTCAAACTCTAATCTTCCAGAGTGCCCAGCAGAGCTCTGGATATAGCAGGTGCTCAATACATTATTTATTAAGCGGAATTTTACAGTCAAGAAACCTAGGACACATGTCAGAGAATGAGTAGGCACATACCTGCTTGTGGGGCAGCTGGAATATCAATAGAGAGGCATCTCTTCCTGCTAGGCATGATTTTGGGTAAGATCCCTGTGGCCCACATGATGCCCATGAGGACAAACATAAAAAGACAAGGCTGCATGCCTGGGACCCAGTGTTGTGCTGAACCCCTATTAACTTCAATAGGGAAGGCATAAGGTTCAAGACGCCAAAGAGACCCAGAGCCAGCAAAAGAGACGTGGGGTTTTATTGAGGGCTTACATACAGGGGAGGGAGTCCAGAGGTGGCGGGCTGGATAGAATTGTCTTACATACAGAAATGGTCCTGTGGTGTTGGGCTGGACAACATATCCGCATGGCCCGGTGGTGGCAGGCTGGGCAGGAAAACCACAACTGCCTGCAAACATCATGCAGTTTATACAGCATTTTCACTTAACCCCTTTCCCTAATGAGCGACACCTGGCAACTGTCATTTAACCCAAAACTTAAGGCCTCAATCCTCTCTACAGCCTGGGTTTCATGGGATGGGCCAGGGGCTCAGATGTCTATTATAGATAAGAAACGAATCTCCGATTGGCCACTCCCGGATTTTCTAGCTCGAAACACACATTCAGGAGCATCTGCCATATAGGGTCATTATAAAGGTGTGCTTAAGTTATTGCTATCAGGTGCATTTACCCTACACCGGGTAAGACACTGACCACATGGACTCTTTCTTCATAATGTGCAAGAATTCATGAATAAAAGGACACAAAGACATACAATATCTAATAACAGTGAACATTTATAGAATACTTGCAGCTTGTTTCATATTCACATTCTCAATAAATGCAGACAGATGATGTCTTCACAATTTAGTAGTCTGACCCTTTCCACCTATATAACATGGACAAATGTTTATCACCTCCTAACACAGCAAGAACATCTAGCACACATATCCGCACACACACACTTATAGAAAGAAGGGGACTAAAATGATTGAGTCCCATATTTCAGGTGCTGTTCTAGGCATCTGACAGATATAAAACACACTCCCCAAAGTCCTGCTCATGTGTCTGTGTCTAGTTCAATCCCCTCCCTCCCCTTTTACCCTTGCCTTACCACCCCTTGTACCACATGTATCTTCCTTTTAACTCCACACATTTATTCTCTGGAGATATAATAATCTCAGTGGCTGTCATGGGTTGAATTATGATCCCCCAAAAAGCTGTGTTGAAGTCCCAACCCTCAGTACTACTGAATGTGACCTTACTAGGAAATACAGTCTTTCCTAATGTAATTGGTTGATAAGCTCAGATGAGTGGGGTGGGCTCCTTATACGACTGGTGTCTTATAAGAAGATGCCCTAGGAAAGCAATACAGTGGCCTAGGAAGGGAATGTGTGCGTGTATGCATGTGCACTGGACACTGGGATTATGCCTTGTGTGTGGAATAACAATGTATATGTGTATGTGTGTGAGAGAGGGTTTGAGTCTGTGTGCCCATGCATTATGCATGAGAAGCCAAGGGATGATTTTTGCCCATTTACCATCACACACATGTATACTCTTCAGTCCTGAAATTCTGAGTGTCCTCTCTGCCTGGACCATTAATTAGAATCATGTATTTCCCCTGCCTCCCTTTGCCAGTGGGCAGAAGGCAGTTTCTGAGCAGTGATTAAGCCTCTATCAGGACACTAATGCAAGTGGCCCATAAAAGGCATCTAACCCTGACACTGTTGGAGGATCCAGGACCCAGGGAGTTGGAAAGAGGGAAGGAAAATCTTTAAAAGAGGGAGCCAGGTGAAGCGACACACTGCAATGTGACTGACCTGCTGAGATTCCAAGACCTGAAACACAAACATACATGTGCACGCACACCTCCTCCCATCTAGAACCCAACTGTTTTTGACTTCTGTTCTCTTAGCGGGCTTCCCATTCCTCCTATGCCCCCAACATTATCTGAGAGGCAGCTGTCTGTTTTGTAGGAGAAAAGAGATAGTCTGTTTGAGTGATGCACACTGGATCACAGAGCAAGTTATGGACAAAGATGGAACTGTCTCTGAGTGTCATTACTTAACTTGCTAATCCACATAGGGCTGGGGGTATCCACTCATAAAAAGCAGGGCAGGACATTTTAAAGCCAGACAGGGGCTGTGTAGAGAAGGAAGAAAAATAGAATTGCAGGGACTGATAATGGAAGTATTTACTGTACACTTACTATACACCAAACATTTTATGTGGTTCATGCTCATTTAATCCTGACAGCCCTGAAAGTTAGGTTAACATAAACCCTATTTGACAGGTGCAGAAACTGAGACTGAGAATAGTCAAGCAACTTGGCTGAGGTCACAAAGCCAGGATATAGTGGCAGGTTTTGAAAGAGGCAGTTTGATTCCAGGCTCGGCTCTGATAATATTAAGCGGGCATTAAAAAGCAGGCTTCTGGGAGATGGAAAAGGAGTGGTGGAATCATCAAATGGCATGGATGTTGTACATAACTGAAGCCCTGGATTACAGAATTAAAATTCCATGTCTGTACTCCTCCCTCCCGCTCCAGCTCCACAGTTGGCGTGGGCCAGCCCAAGGCTACTGGTGGTGGGAGGAATAGCTTCATGTCCTCAAAGCACTCACCTAAATTCTGGTGTAGGGAGAGCTTAAAGTCTGTGGAAGAGACCCAGCATGCCTTTCCAAGTAGGTCCTGGGTTAGAAAGATCTGGGAGGCCTGTGTGTTAAAAGAGATGGCAGGAAATGATTCAGCTCTATATCTGTAAAATCTCTGACAATGACAGGATGTGAGGAATGACAGGAGGATCAGGAGGGCTGGGCGGGGGTGACTGAAATGTACTGACCCTGGCTGCAAACTAAAAATAAAATCCTAAGTCCCCTCCACCAACTGAATAGAAACGCTCTTGGCAAAGAGGACCCCAGAAAAACCTTAGAAACTGAGTTCCCAGCCATGACAGGACAAGAGGTCAGACACACCTCATTATACTCCCCTCCCTTTTATGGTTTAGACACAACCAACCAGCATTAATGTCAAAATAGAGGTCATAAGACTGACCAAACACACTCTTTGTGGCAACAAGATACCAAATTACAAACAGGACCTAAGGCCATGCCAAACAAGGGTTAAGTCATGCAGCCCTACACTTAAAAGAATAAACTATGTTCTAACTGCCACAAGTTTTCCTTTTCTCTAGCAGCTAAATAAGCACTGGCCTCTAAATAAACAATACTAAAACACTTGCAGCTCCACCAGATGCTGACTAACTGAACTCCACCAGCCATAACTACAGCTTTGATTGGACAAGAGTGATTTCGGTAATTTTCTCCTGGTAAGGAGCCCACCGACCATGACTGGTTCTAGCGGGTTTACAGAGATTGCATACTTGAGTGCCTTCATGTCCTGAATAGACCTTTTGATGTATAGGGCCTGATTGCAATATTTAAATATTAAGTCTCCACCCCAAGGTGAACATGTGTCATATGTAAGATGCATGTTTAATATGCATGCATCAGGACCACTTTCATTAATATTCATAGCTCCTCCTGTAACCTGTTGAATATGTGTTAAGCCAACCCATTCAGCATAAAAGCATAAAACTCCTACCCCAACCCCTCCTCCTTGGAGGTGCCTGTCTCTGGGCTTCTGCTGGAGGAGGCTGTGCTTCCTGGCCTGCAGGATGGCCACCTGGCAGGCTGTCACCCTTAAGAAATAGTGTCTCCATTTTTCTAAATTTGTATCTTATGATTTTTTTTTTAAAGTTAACGTATCTGGCAAAGATGGGATTCTGAAGCAGCCCCTGAATTCCTTTTCCTGTGTCACCCAGGACACCAGGTACAGCCAAGGTCCCTTTGAAAAAGTCCAGTTGTTCCTGACTATGCTGGGAAAGGATCTGGGTAAGTGCTATCAAAATCCAAGATCTCCCACTTTTAGGTTGCAGACTTGATTTCTTCTTTTAGGCCTCCTCCATCTGTGGAACTCCGGAGGAGACCCTCCTGCTGGCCTTGGGTTTGGGAGGGCATTCCTAGTTCTTCTCAGTCCTTTCTGTTCTCCTCCCTGGACCCCGGAGGGAACATCTCTCCTAGCCTTGGGTTTGGAGGAGGCCTTCCTGATTCCCTCCATCCAAGGGCCCTGGAGAAAATGCATTTGTGGGCTCCGGGCTTATGGAGAGGCATTCAGGTTGGATTCAACTGGTTCATAAGGTTTGTGGGGATGCTCACACTAAGGGCACTGGAAGAGATATCTTCATAAAGTCAGTGCAATAGGTAACTTACCCACTAGGGGCAGGAACTCCTGTAGAAGTTCAAAGGCATGCCAGGTTTTCCAGCACTTCAGCTAGCTGCATATTGTGGCCTGTTCTTGTGCACATTTTAAAACTGAACGGGCAAATTACAGCAAGGAAAATTCAGAGCTCAAATGCCCAACCTGCAACTATACAATTAAAATGTAGAGTTTTCTAAAGCTATCTCTTTTTTGTTTTCGGCCTGCTTTGAATTTGCTGTTATTAAGCTACTGCTGTTAAGATAAAACTCATTGTTTATGATACTACTAATTCAAGGCTACTTGGAGCTTTCTTTACAGTTCAGCCAATTGTAGCTAAAATGTAAACACTGAAAACTCATTTGAAACTTCAGGAAAAAAAAAAGGGGTAAAAGGTTTTTAAAAATAAAACTGCCATGAAAACTACTTTTCCCAAGACTTTGGTCCATAGCCTTCATTGGATTACCTACTGGGACAAATAAAGTTTAGCCATGTGAACAGGTCCCAATTTTGTCAGAAATAATTTGGATCCAGCTGTCTTTTGTTAAGTGGTGAGTCTGTATTACCATCTCATGGCTAAGGTTCCAGAGTAAAAGCTGTAAGATCTTTGTGTGTATGTGTTTAAATGTTTGTATATGAACATGTATTATGTTGTGTTGTATCTAGCATGGTACCAAACTGGTTTATAAGTAAATTATACTCATAAATTAAGTAAGTCCAAATACTTTTCAGATTCATGTGAACTTAGTAATCTGGTAAATAAAATGGTTTTAAAATTATTGGTAAAATAAAACTAGAAATGTCTTCAGAATTGTCAGCATACATTTTTTTTTTAGTCTGGGTTTACTGATTATTTTATATTTGCCTCCGCTAGGTGTTTTAAGGTATCAGGATTTGGCACAAAAGATTATAAGACTATAAACCCAGTCAAAAAGAGAATGATCTTTGTGTGAATTTTTTGACAAATAAGACTAATTTAATATTGTTGGTTCAATGAAAACAGCTAAGTTGTTAGCTGTTTTGTTAGCTTCTGAGTTGTTGGCAAAAATATCCACATGTTTAAGGTTCTGACTTAAATGAACATCTGATATTCACAGGCTACAAAAATGGTTAACAGGTCATACAGGTTACTAAACAGCTGATGACTCGTCACATAGAACTTACAGGTAAGTCACTGTTGTAACCTTGCTTTTTGGCTCTTCTGTTGCTCAAAAGGTTTTTAAGGGTTAATGAGTGCCTGTTCACCTCCATCCTCATCTGGCCTAGAATGTTTAATTGGCTCCAAGTCCCTTGGCCATAAGGATCCCACCAAAGAACAGAATGAACCTGCAGCAGGTAGCCACACCACCCCGGCAAAGATATGGGAAAAAATAAATGTTTGGTCACCAATGTCATCTCTGGCACATCTTGGCTAAAAGGGGAGAATGTAAACTCAGCCTCCCAAAGTGCTGGGATTACAGACATGAGCTACCATGCTTGGCCAGAAACACGTTTCTAAAAATTGTGACGTGATTCTCATCTTTAAAGTGCTGATAGAGAACAGACAATTCAATATTTCTTGCCTCCTAGGTTTTCACTAAAATTTAAGGTTACTAAGAGTAAGAATTTTAGTTAATATAGAATTCTATATATAAAATGTGCCAAATAAATGTGTTCTTATGGAGAAAAAGAATAATTTTATTTAATTTGGATGTTATTTAAAGGTTAGTTATGAAAGAAGGTAGAAAACCAGTAAGTAGGAGAGATGTGAAAAAAGTTAGCTATGAAGATGTATTTTTGGTAAGGAAGGTTCAAAAGAGAATAATTTCATATATGAAAGTATCTTGCAGGGTAAATTTCTGTCCTAAAGTAAAATGACTGGTTATTAAGGAAAGGGGAAATTTAGTACAAATCAGAAAGTACAAGCATGTTATAGATGGTCTAAGTTGTGATAAGGTTTGTGAGAGAATACTTATGAAAAGCATTTTGTGTGGGATTAAGTTGGCTATAATTAAAATTATTTATAAAAGTCTTTCTAAATTTTGGTCCCTTGTTTTAAAAGAAAGTTGTCTTAAAATATGATTTACTCTTAATACAATTAAAAGAGGTTTTGATTTTTAATTCTAAACCTGTTTCTTGTTGAAAACTTCTCAGATTAGTATCTTGGAAGTTCCACTTTTGCTGCGTCTTGCTACTTTGTTTTTCTCCCCCTTTGAGAAGGCCTGAGATGATAACTTTTCCCTTCAACTGTTTTGCCAGCTCCTGTAACTTTTTCCCTCTGGTTCTAACTGCCACTGTGGCCTGATGCTAAAATGTTTTATCTTGAAGGTCTCGAAGAGCAATGTTTTCCTACAGTATACCTTGATTCTGTACTCTTGGCTTTTCCTGATATCCGAATTGTTCCATATAACCAGAAAACTTCCCATGCTGTTATTAAGAGTCATGTATTCCCCGGCTCAAGGTACAGTTTTCTAGTTTCCTGTTTCCTCCATAACATAAAGTTCATTCATGACCCCAGACACACTCTTCTTGTGTCTGATTAATTCAAGTAAACTTTTTACAGTTTGATTTCCAAGTTATCTAAATGGGCTTCTCATAGGAGAAGCAACCACACTGTAGGTTTTTCTTTGCCTTTTTGGTAACTGGCCTAAGAACCAAAGATTTTACATTTTATCAAGATAATTCCCATGTTTTCTTTATTAGATTTTTTATTACTTAGGAAAACTAAGCTTTAAAAGGGTTAAGGTTTTTACATCCATGTGACTTTCCATATTGCATTTAAAGTCTTTTGATTATTACTCTTGGTTTAATGAATAACTATTACAATGACCTGTAATTCCATTTTGATTAAAAGCTTTGAGCCTTTGAACATCTTTGACAAATGTCCTCAAAATCAAATAAACATTGCTAATTCTTCATGTTTTGCTTTTCAGAGTCAATAAAACCTTTTTTCTTTTAAACTATTTACAGCTTACAGAAATTGGGTAAAACATTGAAGATTACCTTTCTCTCTACCTAGTATCTCTAGAATTTGAAAACTATTCAATCCCCCTAGGCCAATCTGCTTTCCATTGCCAAGGCACTACTGCTAAAGCAATACAGTATCAAGCACCCTCCCAGTAGGCCCATGGACTATCACAGAAGGGGTGGGCACATGAGATTGTAAGGGCCAGTTTCAACAGATAAAATTAGTTCAGACCCTCCAAATTAAAGATGGGCATACAGATTACCAAACAGCTCATGGCTCAACACACAGAACTCATAGACAAGTCACTTTTGTAACACTGCTTTTTGGTTATGTTGCTCAAAAGGTTTTTAAGGGTTAATGCGTGCCTGTGAACCTCCATCTTCATCTGGCCTCCAATGTTTAATTAGTTTTAAGTCTTTTGGTTCCAAGTCCCTTGGCCACAGGGATCCCACCAAAGAACAAAATGAGCCTGGGGCAGGTAACGACACCACCCTGGCAGTGACATGAGACAAAATAAATGTTTGGTCATCAGTGTTGCCTCTGGCACATCTTGGCTAAAAGGGGAGAATGTAAACTAAAAATAAAATCCTAAGACTCCTCCCCTACAGATTGAATGGACCCCCTCTTGGCCAAGGGGACCCCAGAAAATTCTTAAAAACGGAGTTCCCAGCCATGACAGGACAGCAGGTTAGACACGACTTGTTATACTCCCCTCCCTTTTCTGGTTTACAGACAATTGACCCGCATTAAAGTTAAAATAGAGATCCTAAGATTGACAGAACAGATTCTTTGTGGCAGCAACATAACAAATTACCATGCCAGGCAAGGGTTAAGTTATGCACCCCTACGCTTAAAGAATAAACTAGGTTCTAACTGCAACAAGGATTCTCTTTCTCTCTAGCAGCTAAACAAGCAGTGGCCTCACCATAAACACTAATAAAACACTTGCAGCCCTACCAGATGCTGACTAACTGAACTCTACCAGCCATAACTATAGCTTTGACTGGACAAGAGAGTGATTTCAGTAACTTTCTCCTGTTAAGAAGCCCACCGACCATGGACTGGTTCTAGTGGGTTTACAGAGATTGCGTACTTGAGTGCCTTCCTGTCCTGAAAAACCTTTTGATGTACTGGGCCTGATTGTAATATTTAAATGTCGAGTCTTCTCTGTGAGATGAACATGGGTCATATGTAACATACTTGTTTAATATGCATTCATCAGGACCACCTTTATGAACATTCACAGCTCTTCCTGTAACCTACTGAATATGCATATTTAGATAACTTTTTCAGCATAAAGCTCCAAGCCAACCCCTCCTCCTTTGAAGTGCCTGTCTCTGGGCTTCTGCTAGAGGAGGCTGTGCTTCCCAGCTTGCAAGATAACCTGACAGGCTATAACTCTTAAGAAGTAATAGTTTCCTCTCTCCTTTTCCAAACTTACAGATTTGTGATTTTAAAAAGTTAACATGACTTACTCCATTGGGAGTGTTACTTAAATGAACTGATTTTAAATCTCAAACATACCAATTACCATACATATGGTAAAACTGAAGTCTGTGAGGGTAAAGCAATTTCTCTGAGTTTCCACAGTAAGTGAAGGCTCTTCAAAGTGCCATGCTGTTCATCAACTTCGGATGCTCTGCAAGTGGAGATCTCTCCCTCAGGCAGTGGCAGGAAGAGACTCTGCCCATCTCACTTCTGCCCACTTGATACAATGCTTTGGGATTATTTCTCCCCTCTTTCCACAGAAGAACATCAGGAGTGGATTGTTATGTTTCTATATTACTTTGCATGGGTCTCATTCCTCAGCTTTTTCTGGTACAAGGTAGACTCTAATCTTGAGGTGAGCACATTCTATTCTATTCATCTCCTCTAGGACACAAGCCACAGGAATTCAGTGTTGACAAAGATAGTTCTTGGTGTTGCTAAAGCTGCAGAAATGACAGGAAGGACTCAGGAGAGATTCTGCTTTTTTTTTTTTCCCCCAGCTCCTATCAGACATTCCCAGGTGGGGCTGGGGTATTATACCATCTGGCTTCAGAAATGCTCTAAGACTCCCTTTTACCCCTACCATCTGCCAACTTCTGTCAACACAAACTGCTAAGAAAGGGAACCTATTTTTCAGCCTAGTATTCTTACTATGGCAGAGATAGAGAAAAGTCATGCACATATTACATAAGATTGTCAAGATCTGCCAGGGATTCACCCTCTGCCTCTGAGCAAGACTGTTTCTAACACGAATAGGAAGACTACCAGAGAAGGGAGAGAGAAATCTGTTTCCTGTTTTCAAAATCTCCAGAGGAGATCCCTCAGCCAAGGAGAAGAGTCTTAACCCTAGTAACACACACAGCATCCTTGAAACAAACAACAAAAGCGATGTGGCCACAAGGATATGTGTGTAATTCTTTGATGGTGTGTTTGATCTCGCCCCAGTTTGGCCTCACTTAAACTCAAATCCAACAGCTTGGAATGCAATTTTAAAATTCTGAGCAATGACAAATGTCTCACACATGCTACCTTTTGTGCTTTCCTGGCCAAGCTGTTATCTGCAGTTATTTTCAAGAACAGAGTTCATTTTTGTTCTTATTTCTGAATGGGGAATTATATAAGGCTTGATTTTGGCCACAGTGGAGGCATGGAAGTTCAACCTAAGGAGGAGCAGAGTTTGCTATCGCCTACATTTGATTGATTTCAGGTTTAAACAGCAAGGCATGAAGATAATCCAGAGATGACCAGACTCTCTCTGGACAGCCTGTTTTCACCCTTGCCCTCCTTGAAACAGGTCACATTCACAGCACTTACATGCATCCCCTAAAAATACCAACTCCAAGCACATTAGTGAAATGGATGTTGCACTGAATACTCAGTGGGGAGATGAAAATTCACTCAACCCCACAGGATAACTTAAGACTAGGATGCCTATGGACACTTGTGCTTCCCCAAGCCCCTAAAGCTGCCCTCCCCTGCAGCTGTCCATCGCTGTTGTCTTTACCCACCTCCATCTCTAAAACTCTCCCCTTATTTAAAGATAATCTTTATCAACACCAAAGCCAGTAACCAGCCAGAACACCTCCCCTACCACCAAGTTTCCCCAGGGTGCCATCTTCCTTCTGCTTTCCTCTCCTATCTCAGTGCCACTGCAATCCCTGAAGTAGTTCATCAACGTATTTATCCAACAAACTAGATCTGTTCCTAAGGGGAATTCTGCTGCAAAATAAATTTTAGTTTTCATCCTATTTTACCAAGCCATTAATATATGCTGTTAGCAGTATGTGCTCATTAATCTTAACAATAACCCTGTAAGCTGTTATAATTCCCAGCATACTGAAAAGGTAACAGGGAGGGGCGTAGAGAAATTCAGAGACTTACCCATGCTAAGACTCCCGTTCCAGGTCTGCCAGGGTCCTTACCCACACAAGCTGCAGTGCAAAGGTGGGTGGCCCTGGGCAATGTAAAATGGGAGGATGTGGATAGGGCTTGGGTCTGGAGCTGCTTTCTCAACACTCCAAGCAGTACCCGTTCGCATATTCAAGCAGCTCCTGTGAGTTCCCTTTGGCTGAGAAGTTTCTGTCCTCTCCTGGGCCACCCTGCCCACAGATAAAATGCAAGTGATTTATTTTGTTGCTTACAAAGGTTAAGGGACTTGTGAAGGCCACATAACTGTTAAATGCTATTGACACCTGGACTTAATAAACCTAATAGTATCTAACATCCAGGTGGCTATTTGAAGCATTATGCCATTATGCCTCTTGAAAGGAAGTCTAGTCCTGGGTTATGTTTAAAGGAGCATTTCTTTCCTTTCCAAAATGACTGCAGAAAGCCAACTATCTAAGCAGGGATTAGCAATTCTACTTCTGATCAGGGGAACTGACCTATATGGGGTAAAAGTGTGGGATGGGGGAAGTCCCATTTCCCCATCACCCTCCTAATATTCCCCTGCCTGCTATAGGGAGGACTTAGAAAAATGGCTGGAGACTGAGCTATATTTATTAGGGGTCATTAAAACCCCTAAAAGGTTGTTTAAACATCATATGCATTTCCACTTCCTGCTCCATGCTGTCAACCAGGCACAAGTACCAGGGCCTACTTTTTTTTTTTTTTGAGATGGAGTCTTGCTCTCTCGCCCAGGCTGGAGTGCAGTGGTGTGATATCGGCTCACCGCAACCTCTGCCTCCCAGGGTCAAGTGATTCTCCTGCCTCAGGTTCCTGAGTAGCGGGTATTACAGGCGCCCACCACCACACCCGGCTAATTTTTTGTATTTTTAGTAGAGATGGGGTTTCGCCATGTTGGCCAGGCTGTTCTGAACTCCTGACCTCTAGTGATCCGCCTGCCTCTGCCTCCCAAAGTGCTGGGATTACAGGCGTAAGCCACTGCGCCCAAGGGCCTACTCTTTCCAAGCAGGCCCAATGAGACGTTCTTCCCTGTCTCAGGCTTGGAAGCCAGATGGTGGTAAGATCTGGATGTAGGAGGCAGAGGACAAACCTAAGCCATGAGCCACAACCTAGCTGTTCCAAAGATCTCTGAAATAAGCTAATACAAAGCAGTATGTTGATTTCCATTTTGCTGTCTGCTCCTTGTGCATTTAGCTCCAGGAGGGAGTTAATAGGAGAGGGGTGAGTGGCAAGGCAGGATATGGTCATTCCTTGGGCCCTGGTTGTGATACTAACTTAATATAATCAAAACCTAGGGTGACCATATATCTATAATCCATACCAGGACAATTCTGAGAACAAAAAAGAGCACTATTAATTATGCTAAGACAACAATCCATCCTCCATAGCTGGAATGCATGGTCACCCTGTTAAAAAGTAAGAAAACCTACCCTGGGTCCTACCCTTACCTTTGATCACATGGAGACTTTAATTTTTATGTATAACTAGATGAGAAAACCTAAGTCCAATAACAATAGATCATTACAAAGAAAACAGCACTGGAATACTCAAGGTCTTAGAAGAAATAAGGTTAAAATAAAAAAACAGCAGCAGACCTATTTAAAAGTTGTTTTGTGGCTGGGCGCAGTGGCTCATGCCTGTAATCCAAGCACTTGGGGAGGCCGAGGTGGGGAGATCATTTAAGGCCAGGAGTTCGAGTCCAGCCTGGCCAACATGGAGAAACCCCGTCTCTACTAAAAACACAAAAATAAGCCAGGGGTAGCGGTGCATGCCTGTAATCCTAGGTATTCGGGAGGCTGAGGCAGGAGAATCACTTGAACCTGGTCAGTGGAAGTTGCGGTGAGCCAAGATTGAGCCACTGTACTCCAGCCTCGGTGACAGAGTGAAACTCTGTCTCAAAAAAAAAAAAAGGTTATGTTCTGCCCAGGCCCTCTATTTGAAGTTTTCATGAAACCATCTCATTTGTGGAAAGCATTTTAGTTTAGAGTACTTCTACGGGCATGCTCTAAGCCTGTGAGGCAGGTCACAGGTTTAGCACCATGACAGAAGCTGTGCAGCAAGCAGCAGAGGCAAGACTCAAGTCCAGTATCTGGGTTAGCCCAGTGTTTCCTCCCGTACCCATGCTGTGACCCCTCATGGCCTCTGCTCTGCATGGGCCACAAGCTTGTGTCCTGAACTTAGAATATCTGGGGGAAGGCAGAGGACAACATGAAATGACGCCCATGGGAGACAGGGAACCAAAAGGAACATCTGTTGCCTGAATCAAAATTAACTGCAAAGCCAGTCATTAGCACTGCACATCATCAAAACAGGAGAGATCTGTGTCCATTTATTTTCAAAGCCATCCTGGACTTGGCGGGAAAAAAAAATGCTGCCTAATCCCAACACGATTTTTCAAATAGTTTTCCAAGATTCTAAATCTTATATGTAAATTAACTGGCAAAGGATTAAAACCCAACATTTAAAATAGTGGTACTTAATGAGGGGCAGCACATACCTTCAAGGGGGCATTTGGAAATGCGTATGGTCATTTGAGTTGTGACTTGGGTGGGGGGGTCACAAAGAGGATGACTCCTCTTCAAGTCAATAAATTTCAGTGACATAGAAGAAAAAGGTGACCGGGTCCATAGTCAGTGACTTGCAATCACAGACAAGCCTATCATTTGTGGGATTACTGGGCTTCTGAGAAGCAGCCCATGGTGGATTGACGACAATACAGCACTTGCTGTCCTCCAGGGCTACACTCAGCAGAACACCTGGGAGTTCTGTAGATCTGCCAATCTCATTTCACGGAAATGGGACTGTGATGTGTTCATGCAAAACACGCTGTCCCTACTCAAAACAGTACGCTCTGATGAAGTCTACATAGCACATATACTTCACCTGTATGAAATGGATTTGGAAATTACATGACTCATTTAGTTCTTCCTCTCCTTAGCCTGTGAAACTAATTTCTTCCTTGAGGTATTGAGATTTAGGTAAAACAGGGTTAGAGAAGCACAAATAATCCTGCTGCATTCAAACTAAGTCAAAAAGTATCAGAAGATCTAAAGGACTAACTTGATTTAAACTTTTCCTGGCATGACAAAAAGACTGACGTTTCCCAAAAGAAATTCCCCAAACTGCCAAAGACAGGGGCTGCTGATGGAGCCATACTTACTGAGCTGATTCATATTGCTGGGAGGATCTGATGAGAATAATGAAGATTTCAGAGATCAAAGTTTCCACTCTCTGTGGTTCTAAGAATGTCTCAGTTTTGTCCAAGTCACAAACAACCCCTGGGCTTTAACTATCTAACCAGAAACTATATGTCATCCTCTGTTGGGGTTACTTTAAATGAGCACCTGTATGTCAAGTTTGATGCAAGTGTGTATAGTATTGAGAGGATGTCCTAGAAGCCCAAAGTAAAGCACTCCTTTCTCTCCTCAGCTAAATGAATGATGTTCTATCTTGCAGATCCATTTTCAATCAATGGATAAGGGTGTTCAATTCTCAGCAGAGCACTGAAGAAGTCTTTTGCAGACAATAATTAGCAGCAATTCACAGAGAGATGAGTCATTTATGCCTTTAATGTTACATGTACAAAACTGTGTATTAGTGACGACTTATGAGGGTGCTGAAGACAGAGGTGACTGGGTACCAAGAAGTCTGTACACCAAAGAGGAACTGGAACTCAAGGCAAGAATGAGGACAAGAAAAAAAGAGAATAAGGGCTTTGTTATTTTCTTATTTAGTAAAGGAGACACCATCCACAAAGATGAAAGCTGACTTAGGTAGAAATGGGAAAGACCGAAAAGTTACCTAAGTGTTTTAATATAACGAAACTTTCTCTCTTTGAGGCTTGCAAGTAGAGAACAGTGAAGTGATATAATTCTAACTACTGTAGTAAATTTCTCAGTTTTTGAGTTTCTAAAGGTTCACTGATATGGCAGAGATTGGGCCAAAAGGTCTTTTCTTCATGAGACCACCACCATAACTCACTGCTTAAAAGGAGTATGAAGGGAAATTGTGCTCCCCTTCCCACCCCACTTAAAGAAAACCACCTATATACAGAGGCAGAGTAATGTGGTAACTAGAAGGCCTCAACTAAAAAGAGAAGTGAGTCCGTCCTTACCCATGGTTTTCCTAACCCAGCTGCTTGTTGGGAGGAAGCAAATGCTACTGCTTGCTCAACACAAGTTGTGACAGCTGTTGGAGGATCAGGCAAAGGAGGACTCTGGAAAGGGTTAAGAAACTCATCAATAACCATGCCATGGTTCCACATGAGACACTAATCACATCACAAGGGCTGCAACTGTCACTGATATACTAGGTCAAGAAAAGATCTACTTTCCAGAAACTTCAAAGCATGTATGTAATATACAAAGATCAGTAAGACCACAGAAAAAATAATACACCAACCAGAAAATAACAATGACTCTTTATAAACTTGTATGGGGTCTAAATTATCCCTTGTAATATATATGTGTGTATTCATTCCACAGAGAATTAGATGATCCGCCTCCAGGTAACCTGCTGGGAATTTCTTGAGATTTTGGCTCCCCTTGAATGGCCGCATCCAACTTGTTTTGTTAGAACTCCCAGCATCACAGCGATGGCAGCTCTCTTAGATTCCCCATACATCCACGACCTATATCATGTCCAACTGTGAACAAGAACAACACACTTAGAAAGGAATCAGGCCAATTTCATACCACTGCTTCTCTGGTGAGAGAGGGTTTAATGAAAATGACTCTACATTGGAAGGCATGCATGTACTTGCTCATTTATTCACCGCTCATTATTTTAGGAGTTAAACATTCAAGTATCCACTCATTTTAGTAATGAGAATGTCTCTAAAAAAGATTGACATCATAGTACGTAGTGTTTGTTGGTCAGTTGTCATATGAAGCTTAAAGGCGGGAAGTTTCCAAACATTAAGGATAGATACAAAAGACATTTACTACACAGCTTCCCAGACATCAACAACATGGTGTAATGGGGTCCAGAAATCCTCAAATGCCTATCGGTCTATTTTGTTTACATTAAGTTAATTGAGAACATTTAAGAAGTAGCCCTTTTAAGGGCTGTTTCATTTGTCAACCCACACAAACTGCATGTTGTATTACTTATTTTTGGTTAACAGCAATTTCAGTGAATTACAACATTTTGCTACTAATGGAATAGCCTCCCTAGCTCTTTTTCAGCCCTTCAAGGGAGAGGATTAATCTGAATGAACAATATAGCCGACACCATGAAACACAGGAATTTCTATTATGAAATTACCTATCTGATTGAATTTATAATGGCAATATATAATGGTGTAGGAAGCTTCTGGTGTATTGGAAATTAAAACACAAATAAGCAACAAGTGTAAGATAATCAGCCTTTGTGGCTGTATTTACAGCTCAGGTGACTTCAATCATAGAACACCAGGTGCATATTAAAAGTACTTACTAAATCGTCCACATCACCACCTTCTTCAAATACAGCTGCTGTGTCTCCACTTGGTTTGTCTTTGGGGGCCAGAAACTGTAAATAGAAAGTCAGTTATCATACCAAAATGATATTTTTGCCCCTTTGAAAGAGGGAACAATCTGCTAGCATTGCCACAGCAAAACCTAAGGCAGCCTGCTTAGCAGTCTCACTGCCAACGGCCCAAAAGAAACATCATCCTGGCATACGCTACTTCATTTGGCTTTGGGTGAGAGGCCCAGTTTTGAGGTTCAAGTAGTCCATACTAACTCATCACCAGAGAAAGTGCTCACGAAGAGGGAGGAAAGAACATGGCTTGTCGAGACAGTGTGTAGTGTCCTGTATAAGCATGGTGGACATCTGCTGTTTCCAGTTCTGCTTCCATAGGAAATAAGCTGGCTTGCTAAGGTTAAGAAAATAACCAACCACCCCAAACTAGTATGCTCTTTTGAAAGGAGCATGAGAATCAAATCAAGATTAGAATAATCTCAAGTTGAATGATGAAGAATCAGGAAAAAAAAAAAAAAAAAGCTTAGAATAATCTACTCTTAAATTCCACTGTGGACAAAAGCAGTAAAAGGGGGACTTCTCATAAGAAACGTGAAATGCAAAAATGAGTGAGCTTGGAAGGTTGTTTGATTCCTTTTATGGAAATCTTTCAATTTGTGTTAGAAATTGTTTGAAAACAGGCAGATGAGAAATGGATGAGAAAACCATTCAGCATCACTGTTCTAGATCTGGAGCTTCTGAAAGGCAGATACATAGTAATACAGCAAAGTCCAGGAAGTGAAGTCTGTGAGGATCTAGGAATGACACTCAGATTTTAAAAGGGTAGTGAGGTGAGTGCCCTTGAAAATTATCTGAACACTCTTTTTCCATCCTGTCCCTCCAAGGGATAGCAGTGGGGAGCCTTTTCCTTCAAGGCATGTGGCAGCTGCCTCTAAGAGCTGGGTTCTAGCAATGCATATCTATCTAGCAATGCCTATCTATCCTAACACGAGAAGGTGATTTTCTGGTAGCATGCCTGCCTGTAGGAGTGAGTGTTTTAGAGAGGGCAGTGGAAAGTGGGGCACTTCTACTTTTCCTTTGGGGGCCAGAAACAGTAAATAGAGAATCAGTTATGGTACCACAACTGACTGGCCCCTAGAGGCATTCTGGCATTCTTCAGGCTGAGAGTGCATGGAGCAGGCACGCGGTGAGAGAGCCTTCCAGCCCACTTATGCTCTCCTGTAGTTGCTTCCACCCAAGAGGAAAAAGTATAATTATACTTTCCTCACTCTCAACATGAAAAAATGGTAAGAGCTGCCATTCTCTACATTCCTGTTACTTTTATGGTACAATGGACACAATCATGACCTCTGAAACCTAAGACCTATAAATAAACTAAAATATGTCTCTTTAAAAAGTCAAACCAAAGTCAACCATGAAATATGAGGCTGCATGTGGCAAGTTTCAGGAAGCAAGAAAGCTCTGCCTGTTCTTCTAGTCCTCATATACAAAAACACACACAGGTAACAAAGTGATAACAGTGGAGGCTGTGTCTGCCTTAAGGTGCAGTGCCTTTGTCAGCACCATGGACATAATTGTTTGTTGACTCAACCACTCTCTTGGACTTTTTTTCCCTCAGTTAAGACCACCTCACTATTCATTAACTTCTTTTATGACTGAGCGAATAAGGAATTTATCTTCTTTTAAGGACATTTATGGATCTTTCCATAGCTCTTTGTTGACCCTAAACTGGGCCATGTGCAAGACTGAGAATCAATGGTATAAGAGAGAGGAAATCCCAGCAATGGAGGCAGACAGTCTGTAACAGAATTGTGATGAAGCTTCTGTTTCATTCATTCTGTTTATTCTGGGTGATTATGAATAAAGATATCTGACAGCCAAATACAGATAAATGAATAAAAAATCTATACATTTACTAGCATATGATTTATCTGTAAAGGTTAAATAAACTACTCTATCCTAGATTCTCAAATGGGTTTTTATTTGGGGTTTTCCGGGTTATTATCATACTTTTTATGTTGTACCTCTCCTCTCCTACTCATTGTCATTAACCCCTGCATGATTTTCGTGATATCAGGACTATATGGCTACAGGATAAGACTTATCCAGTTGGGGCAAGAGAATAAACAGTAGAGCTGCATCCTGCCATAAATCTCTGTAGGGCCACAAATGACTGGTATCTTCCAAACATCTGAAAAACTCCATAGGCTTAATGGTTCTGTAGTCCACTACATCTTGTATGACCCCTTAGATAAGGACTTATTGTTGGCACAGTATGACCATGGTATATATACTTAAGCACAAATGGCACATCTCTGAGACTAGGCCAAATTCCTAGGAAGAAATGAGCAGCAACAAAAATCCTACATTTTCATTAAGTGCTAAGTATCGTCTGCAACTGATTTTCCTGACAGATCTGCTTCACATTTCTGTGTAAGCAAATTATGTTTAAAAGCTGGGCTGCCATCCATTATCCTTCCCAATGCCCCAGGCAAGGCTGATCTCTTCCACATATCACTCCTCATCATTAATGTTTGTAACTGCAAGTAATTCTAGCCCATGCAGTGACAGGGAAGCAAGATAGAGCAGAGAACTCAATGACTGGCCTGCTTTCTCAATAAAAGCAAGAGATTCTCCGAATCTCTTCTGCAGAAAGGGGTAGGAGTCAATTCTCATCTTTTCTCATGTGTTCTTTCCCTCTGCAATATGCTGAGAAAGTAGAGAACAGATAGAAAGGGCATGTGTGTGAGTGACATATTCCTTCTTCCTCAAACCACCATCACTTACCTGGGGTTACCATAAAAGTGCCTCCTTACCTGGAGAACTTTATGAAATGGATAACCTACTACTTTTCAAGTACACTGAAATATAATCCTGGCCACAAGCAGAGTAATGAAATCAATAACCTCTATATAGAAACTGCCAGTCCTATACCACCATAAGACTAAAAGACTATCATCTTGTGCTCAGACCCTTACTGACCCCCAAAGTAAAAACACATGACTTCCACTGGGTTGTTTCCAACACCATCAGGTGATTCCAAAGGATTACTGACAATCTAGATGTGTAAAAAAGCATCAAAAAGAATAAAAGTCAGTTTGCATGTACTTTGCCTAAAATGACATATATTTGGGTTTCATTAATGCCACTTGTAGCTTAATGGATGCTATAAACACTAACATGGTGCAAGAGGGAAATCCTGCAGCCTAGTGTGGAGAACACAACTATAACCCTGTCAGTTTCTCAGGAACCTTACGCAAGCCACCTGACCTTTTCATAACTAATTTCGCTCAAAAACAAAATGTGAATACTACTACTTACCATACCTATCTTAGGGGTTGTTGAGTCTCAGATAAACTAAAGTATGAAAAAATTCATTATGGTATTGTAAGTTTCATGTTCTAATTCCTAGGAATACACTTAACATATGTCCACCAAGTGGTATGTACAAGAATATCCACAGCATCTTTATTCATAACTGCCAAAGGACAAACAAGCAAATGTCCATCATTAGGAGAATGGATGAATAAATTGTGGTAAAATCATAAAAGGGATTACTACATAGCTATAATCACATAATTGATGAAAAAAAGGCATGATTCCAATTATATGAAGGTCAAAAACAGGCCAGATGACTCTCAAGTGACAGAAGTCAGAATAGTGGTTACCTCAAGGGATGGGGGCTTCTGACTAGGAAGGTACCAGGGAGGCTTATGTGGTGATGGAAATGTTCTATTATTTTGATCTGGGTGGTGAGCACCCAGGTACATGAATGTGTAAGAATTCATCAAGTTGCACAGTTAAGATCTGTGCATTTACTGTACACATGTTCTACCTCAATAAAAAATTTAATATCATATCTTAAATGTATCAAGCCTTAAATAAATATTGGGTAACACTGTGATATTTTCATTATTACTTTTCTTGTACTAGCAAACTACACCAGAGAATTAAGGCAGAAAATGAAAGCAGAAAAAAGCAAAGAAAAATGTCACAGGTTCCAACAGGGGCCAGCAGTTTGACAAAACTGCTCTCAAGAAATGATTCTTAACCTTTGTCTTCAATCCTTCACTAAGCTTTGGAGAATTCCTGTGCACTCTCACACACAGAACCAGATGTACTCTTGAAAAAGGGAGCATGAGCATCCTTTCTCTAGGTAGATGTGGTTGGCGGCATTATAAGGTGAAGGCGTGAAGAGCTGGTGCCATGGTGTGGTGATAAGGCGACTACAGCGGGCATCTGGGGGTCTGGATTCCAGTCAATTCTGCTGGCCACTAGCTTGCTGTGAGGCACAGAAAACTTTACCTCTCTAGACAGGGGTGTTGGTAAAATGGCCAACACCAATTGGTAAAATGGCCAATTGCTATCTATGAATGTCTGTGATACTAAGGTGGAAAATCCATAAATGTCAACAACAATAAAGAAGGATAAATTAGGCAGTTACAAGAAAAATAAGTGCTAAAATAATGATTTTTTTTTCACAGAGCTTACATCAAATGATTATTTAGATATAGCTCAGCCTCTTGGAATCTGGTAAAAAAAAAAAAAAAAAAAAAAAAGATCCCAATGCCATGGGGATAAATCCTCTTTCTTCACTGCTTTCTCAATACTAAAGGAGAATGAAGGACTAGGGCAGTGCTAGAACTAGATTCCTGGCCGGTGACTTACTGTGAGCTCTCAGACACATCACTTTACCTCTTCCACCCACTACAGAGCCAGGAGAACTGACAGATGAAGAGCACACAAAGGCTATACAAAGATTCTACCAAACATCAAATGCTAATGGCATATCTAATCATATAAACTAGAAACAGAAAAAGTGGAAGAACTGACAGGTTATAATGATAATAAAAATGAACATTAAAGAATGATTTATGCCTAGGTTTCAAAATGAAATGAGAGGTACCAGGAAACTTAAAAGAAAGTGACTGTCTAAACTCACGCCATGCAAAAACTTTCTATTTCTGTAGCAGAGCTGACTTCCTTCTATTTCTCAAAGAATCATACAATCCACATATTTCTAGAAAAACTGGAGGGTAATAGCTCTTAAGATGTTATACAAATGTAAAGTTATAATTTTCATTTAAAATGAACATCCCTGGATAATTATTTCCTTTCAAATGTCAACATTTAATAGCAAGAATTTGACAGCTTGCTAACTTTAAATAACTTATGGGAAACACCTCAAAAGAATTTAAATAGACTGTGAGGATTGTTCTTTAACCTCAGTGATTATAGTCAAGTTTCCTTAAATGATTATTTGGGAAGTGACCAAATTGAACATTTGAAGGCAATATAAATGAATATTTCAGTGCATGGTCAAAAGTGATAATACTTCTCTCACTTGGCTAAGAGAAATAGCTAAAGCATGTCTCTTCTATTAAAACCAAAAGAAATCAGCTTCCTTGAGCCAGAATCTTCCTCTGCAATTCTCCCCATTATCATTTACATGTACACTCTCCCTTCTACACTTCTCTCCAAAAATCAACAGATGCCATTTAAAAGCATTTTCAGGCCAGGCATGGCTGGGATTACACGCCTGCAATCCCAGCACTTTGGGAAGCCAAGGTGGGCGGACCACTTGAGGTCAGGAGTTTGAGAACAGCCTTGCCAACATGGTAAAACCCCATCTCTACTAAAAATACAAAAATTAGCTGGGTGGGGTGGTGCGCACTTGTAATCCCAGCTACTCGGGAGGCTGAGGCACAACTGCTTGAACCTGGGAGGCAGAGGTTGCAGTGAGCTGAGACCGTGCCACTACACTCCAGCTTGGGCAACAGAGGGAGACTCTGTCTCTAAATAAATAAATAAATAAATAAATAAATAAATAAATAAAAGCATTTTTCATACAAAGGATCAAGTTTTCACTCTGGAAAACAAAATAAAGGGTTCATGTGATATTAAAGCAGACACAAAAGCATAATCTCACAGTCAGGCATGATACAGTGACAGGTGGGGGTACTCACCACTATACTAATGAGAACTGACAGATATAACACAGCGTACACTGAAGGTGAGTCAAAATTACAGGGTCTACTCTATGACTTCCAGGTTATTCTAACCACCACCTGGCTCTAGGCCAGAAAGTCATTTGTTGAGATGAAGCAGACAGGGAGTACTGTATTTTAGAAATGATTGGTCCAAGATTCCATTCACAAAACTTAATCCACTTGAAAACGAAGGTCTGGTGTGGTGCAAAGGAACGTGCATTTTAATCCTCTTGCTACCTCGGTGAGCTCAAAGTGTAACCCCACTTTACCTTTCTGGGGATTGGCTTCCCAGTGGTAACAGGGATGGTAGTTCCTGCTCTTGCCAATTCTTAGCAGATCATTGTGAAGATTACAGAGATAATACTGGGCTCTTTGGTTCGGGAGTTGGATACAAGTAAAATTCTACTACTCTTATTTTCTACCATTATCTAGATATGATGTATATAGTGTTGTAGACAAACACCATACAATGTGAATGGTTCTTTAGCAGTCAAAGTGTTATCTAAATATCTGGTATACATACTACATTGGCTAAAGCACTGATAAATGTGGGGAAAAAAAGGAAATGGCATTTTCTAGATGTGAAAGAGTCTGCTAGGTGAATGTGCAATGTACTTTTTTTGGAGGCTATGAGATAATATATATCAAAGTGCCTGGCATAGAGCTGGTGGTACTCAATACATTTTATGTTGAATTTCCTAACTTCTTATCTGCCATGACAGTGAAGTTCAGTTTTGCTGGTAGTACTGGAAGCACACTCTCTGTGCCTTGACTATGGAAACACTATGCTCTAAAAGGAAGAAGATGCCAGTCAGAGCCAGGCAACCCGTGGCTGAAGTAGAAGAGATTCTCTCCACTTGTTTTTTATGATGTTCTCTCTATTCAAAGATGGTGAAGTTTTGAGAGTTGTCTTTTTTTTTTTTTTTTTTTTCCTGGGACAGAGTTTCGCTTTCGTTGTCCAGGCTGGAGTGCAATGGCGCGATCTCGGCTCACCCCAACCTCTGCCTCCCGGGTTCAAGCGGTTCTCCTGTCTCAGGAGAGTTGTCTTAAACTACAACTAACATCAGTTCTGATATCAGAATTATCTAAGGACACCATCTTATACCTACCTGGTCATTAACTGAAATTTCTCTCTATAGCTTCATCATTAGACATTAAAATTCCTCATGCTTAGGCTCAGTGCCTTTACATTTCAAAGAAGACATCCTATTTGCATTACAGAACAAGCCTTGCACAATTTGCAAGTGCATCATCTGTTTTCAGATTTCTTTCCTGTCTAATATTCTGGGTTAACTTAGCTGGAACATCTTTGGTTAAGATGTGCTGCTGGCAGGAAACACAAGCTTTTTTAGGTCATGGCTCCTCACTTCTTCCAAAAACTCTAGTATGTACTGTCACCTGGATAATAAATTTTCTTAATGTAATAATGACAAAAAATATTTTTCCTGATTTACTTGTTTAACAAAAATTGATTGATAGGTCTTCACACCATGTGACAATGAATATTATGTGTCAACTTGGCTGGGCTATGGTCCCCAGTTGTTCCATCAAACACTACTCTAGATGTTGCTGTGAGGGTATTTTGTAGATGTGATTAACATCTAAAATTACCTGATTTTAAGTAAAGATTAATCTTAGTAATATTCGTAGATCTCATCCAATCAAGTGAAGACCTTAAGAGCAAAAGCTGAGGTTTCTGCTTCAGGACTGTAACACAGAAATCCTGCCTGAGTTTCCAGCCTGCTAGCCTGTCCTACAAATTTCAGACTTGCCAAGCCCTACAATCACACAAGCCAATTTCTGAAATTCAGCCAATAAATCTCTCTCTCTATATATATGTGTGTGTGTATGTGCATACACACACACAGACACACGCACACATGTACGTTCTCTTGGTTCTGTTTCTCTGGAGAACCTTGACTGAAATAGCCCAGTTCAATGAGGAGATATTATCAAACATTGTATAAAGTGACAAACAGAAACAAAACCAAACAGTTAAATGGCATACTCAAGCCTATGGTGCTCAGTATTGCCTGTGGCAGAGAGGGTACAGACACCACGGAACCCCTTCTGAGATATAATCACCATCTTACAGTATGCTTCAAAAATTCCAGGATTCTACTCCCTGAAAGTAGGGATGACAAGTTTTTTTTTTTTTTTTAACAAAAATCTTTTGCTAGGCAAAGTGCTTAATAAAAATTCTTGTAAATTTTAATTTCTTTTCCAAACATGGTTTCTGCCAAATGCCTTTCTTGAGTTGAAAATTGAAGATATTTAAATTTTGGCCTGAATTTAGCCATCTGATTAACATTTCCAGCTTTGCATCTGTCACTTCCCTAACAGATTCCTATTCACCAGCCCCAGACCAAGCTCTCCCTTAGTGTGTATAGTTATTTTCTGAGTCTCCGTTGCTTCCCTCTGCTCCATTTTAACTGCCCGAGCTTCTAGAGGGCAGGGGTGCTGTCTTATCATCCAGCACAGTGCCTAGCATATCGCAGAAGCTTAGTAACTGAGAGCTGTCAGGTGCCAGCAGAACTACATCAGTCAGTGACTGTAACTGAAACTGAGTGTTACGAAGTATATACTTTTGAGCTATTCAACTTAATTCATTAAAATTTCATCACAACCTTGAGGTACAATGAAGGACTACTGAACTAAATAACCACATGTATCTGACTCATGGCTGAATCAGATTCAATACACACCAAACAAGGAGGCCTAGGCCTAACAATGTGTGTGAATAAGAAGCTCATGGGGACTGCATGGGGTCTTTTACTGAAAATACTTGGATGTCCCTTATGCTAGAATACTAGTGTTTCTCTATTCACTATACAATACAATCACCTGAGGGGTTTTAAAATGCAAACAAACCAACTGTGCCCAGGACCCATCTCAGACTAACAGAATCTCTAGGGTAATTCTGATTTTTAATCAGTATTAACAAAAAAAAAAAAGAAAGAAAGAAACAGAGAGAGAGAGAAAAGAAAGAGAAAAGAAAAGAAAAGAAAAGAAAAGAAAAGAAAAGAAAAGAAAAAAAAGAAAAACAAGCTCACCAAGTAACTAATGTGTGGCCAGGGTGGGAATCACTGTGGATTTCATAGCCTTTACCAGGGCCGAGGCTAAGTTTGCGCACTATGGGGTTCAACAGCATGCTCTAGGGGTACTGAAGCTGGGATTACAGGTGAGTTCCAGAAATATAACCACAGCCTACAGGAAACTGAGTAAGATTATAATTTCTCCCATGGGGATGCTGTGGTTGAAGCAATTTACATATTGAATACAAAATGAGTACACTAATTTAGTTACCCATAAAATTTAACTTCTTCGAGGGTATCAAGAAAATAAAGTCCACTATAATAATTCAACTAAAGACAAAGGTTTACCCCTCAATACCTTTTTGGCTTCCTCAGCTGTGACAGAACTTCCAGAGGCTTCCTCTTTGGTGATCAGAGTAATTCCATCTAAAAAGTAATTCAGAGAGTAAAATCAAAACACAAAGAATCAACCCCAATCCCATTTTCGTTTCCATCACACCTCCTCCCACCTTTGAGCTGAAGATTTCTTTTTTTTAAATAGAGACAGGGTCCCACTATGTTGCCCAGGCTGGTCTCAGACTCCTGGGCTCAAGTGATCCTCCCGTCTCGGCCTCCCAAAGTGCTGGGATTACAAGCATGCGCCACTGTGCCCAGCCTGAGCTGGAGATTTTTAAAACTATAAAGGTGCTCTGTTCTACAAAAAATATAAAACTATAAAGGCAACCAATTAACAATGACCATCTTAAATTATCTTTTCTCCAGTTTTTGCCTGTGTAATAAGCAATAAAGGCCGCATGTCAAATGCCACGTGTTCCATGAAGCCTTCCTTGATCAACTCTAGATAAGTCTCCCCTTCTTTAGAAATCTCAGATCACTTTGTTTATTCCTTTGAAATGGCTCTTGTCGTATTTTATGTAACTATTTGTACACATGTTCTCTCTCCTAAGAATATATTTTCTCAAGGGCAGACACTAAGTCTTATAAGTCTTTATATTCCCCTCAATGTACAGTATGTCCTTACTTAACTATCATCAATAGGTTGTTGGAAACTGTGACTTTAAGTGAAACAAAAGTAGGTACTTAAATAATATTGTTTCATTATAACACTGATGAGAAAAAAATGGTTTCATTATGTGTCATTTTGCTTAAAGTCACAATTTTCAAGAACCTATGGACGTTAAGAGAGGACTTACTGTAGAACATAGCAGAAGCTCAATAAATAAATGATAATTAAATGACTGTATGCTTTTGTCCAAGACATCCGGTGCCCAATATGGAACTACGCCATGCATTTTGTCTTGTGGCCATGTTACTGGCTATTGATAGAGTGGCCAGAGGACTAGGGAGGAAGAAAACATGGTCTTCACCAAGGGGCATGTCTATCATTTAGGACAGTTAATCAATTTTAGCTCAGTAAGAGCAAATCAAGGGTAGAAAATCTACTCTTTAGTTTGCTCTTCTTCCTATTTTCCTACATCAAATGGCTGATACCTGATAAACTGTTCAAAAAGCACATGTATTTAACACCCATGTGTACCTATGAATGGCCTTGGTCATCTGTATTCTCTCAGTGGCATATAAGCTATCAGAAAATATGGATTTTGCATATGACCTGTAAGTTTCTTTTCAGCAAATAATACGCTATAGGCATTCAATAAATACCAAAACCAATCTCCTTCATTTACGGGGTCAACAGCAGAGACACAAAAGTGATTTGAGTAAGCCCCCTTCACTACCCATTCCAATTCCTTTTGTTCTCCAGTGCAGAAGTTAAAGGGCTGAAAAATTAACTGTCAGGAAAACAGTTACCTGTGTGATGAAGAGTTGCCCATTAGAAGGCGGATAGATAGGTATGCAATTCTTTTTATATAGAATTCACACAGAAAGAGATTGAAACAAATTTTGCATCTCTAGTATAAGTGAAAAGTTTATCTCATAAACATAATCATTTTCATAATATGTATTTTAAACAAGTAATATCTTATACTTGGGTTCTAAAAGAAAATCAGGTCATGTTTTAAAAAAGGTGGGGCAAAGGGCATGAAAAAAAGCAAAGATCAAGCCTAACACTGAAAGAATGTGTGCTGTCTTCTTTCTGGGTTTAACTTGCATTGGTTGCTGTGCAAGTGAAGAACTGAATGGTTTTGGTACATGAAGATGCTGGTCTGTTGAAACGGAAAGTCCAAGAACATGGTAAATGAAAAGTAGCAGGGAGATAAAACCTGGGTGAGGTCAACCAAAGGGCTGTGGAACCAGCAGGACTGAAATGGCCTAAGGATCTGAGAAAGGGGACAATGTTCGCCCACACAGCTGCTCCATTCAACAAACAGAAAGGCACAGCCATGAAATAGGTCATGCTGCGTAAAGAGTCTAAGATGGAACTTACATGTTTATTTATTATTTATCACTCTGTATTTATGCTTATTAAGGGAGAGTTTGAGTTCACCGAACACTGAGCATTTCCCAAAGCCATGTAGAAAGTCATCATGTTTCCCACATAACTCATTATACAATACAGTTTATATTTAGAATTTATATGTATATTTAGAATAAAATAGCATAAGTATTTTAAAAATACTTTTTAAAAAAAAAGGCAAATGACAACTTACCCTGGACAACAATTTCCCAGAAATGATTTAATTGTTTAATTTCCACTTTCTCTTGAAGGGCTTTCAGGAAGTTGTTAAAGCGCTGCTCTTCTGAAAACTGTGGTAGCAAGTTGGGGTAGAGGAGGCAGCAAGTCAGAGCAAACACAAAAACAAATTCACCCCAGACCAAACAAAGTTTGGTCTGAATCACCTTATTTATTACAAAAAAATAAAATGTTCTTCTTTGGTACATGGGAAGCTGGCATTCCAAACTGAGGTGTGTTCACTGGGGACCAGAAATCCTTCCATCTGTGGAAGGCACAGAGCTTCCCAGAGTCAGTTTTTCTGCGGTGGCCTAGCCCTTTGTTTTTAACATTTAATGTAGAAAATCCCAAACAAAAACAGAGAACAATTTAGTGAGTGCTCGCACACTCATAACCCAGCTTCAATAATTATCAACTCAGGCCGAGCATGTTGACTCATGCCTGTAATCCCAGCACTTTGGGAGGCTGAGCTGGGCAGATCACCTGAGGTCAGGAGTTCGAGATCAGCCTGGCCAACATGGGTCCATCTCTACTAAAAATACAAAAATTAGCTGGATGCGGTGGCAGGCGCATGTATTCCCAGCTACTTGGAAGGCTGAGGCAGGAGAATTGCTTGAACCCGGGAGGCGGAGGTTGCAGTGAGCCGAGATCATGCCACTGCACTCCAGCCTGGGAAACAAGAGTAAAACTCCTTCTCAAAGATAAAAAATAAAATAAAGAAATAATTATCAACCAAACCAATTTTGCTTCCTCTATACTATGACCTTCTTCTCCCATAACCCTCCAATTATATTGAAGCAAATTTCAGTCAAATTATTTCATTTATGAATATTCTTGTATGAAATATAGAAAATATAGTCTTTTAAAACAAACACTCACATGCCATTAACACCACATAAAAAATTAGTAACTTCTTAATAGAACCAAATAACTAGCCAGTATTCTCATTTTCCTAATTGTTCCATAAAACTTAATCTTTTTACAGTTCAAAAAATATCCCTTGGCCGGGCGCAGTGGCTCACCCCTGTAATCCCAGCACTCTGGGAGGCCAAGGTGGGCGAATAACCTGTGGTCAGGAGTTCGAGACCAGCCTGGCCAACATGGTGAAACCCCATCTTTACTAAAAATACAAAAATTAGCTGGGCGTGGTGGCATGCGCCTGTAATGCCAGCTACTCGGGAGGCTGAGGCAGGAGAATCGCTTGAGCCTGGGAGGCAGAGGTTGCAGTGAGCCGAGATCCGCCACTGCACTCCAGCCTGGGCGACAAGAGTGAAAGTCCGTCTCAAGAAAAAAAAAAAAGGAAAAGAAAAAATAATAATCTCTCCATTAAGACTGAATGATATGTCACTGAAGTCTCTTCTGCTTCTCTTGTCTCTCTTTTATTTTTTTTAAGAGATATAATGTGACCTAGTATTTTTAAGGACACTGGGTGGCAACCATGCACAGAGGTGTTATAAGACACTCCACCTAGCCTGGGTAGTGCTTTAAAAAAGCAATACACTTTTACTATCTCTTTCCATTGAACCAAATCTTTCTCCATCCAACTGAATCATCTGCAGTCTTGTCCTGACTCTACTTTTCTAAAATTTGTCTTTTATCTAAGAGTATTCAGGTTATCTACTTCTGAATCTGTTATTGAATCTAATTTTAATGATTTTTCCATTTTCTTGTCACTCTTTGTAAGCACCTAAATTATTTAAGCATTAATTCATTCATACGTTCGCCAAGTATTTAATAAGCACCCACACAAGAACATATACTACAACTGTGCCCACTTAAAAAATATGCTTTCTAATTTAAACTTGCTCACTTCTTACCTAGAGATATAAAAGCCTATACATAATTTGGAAAAGTTTTAGAAATATTTTCTAAGAATTCCTAATAAAACAATCAAACAGACAAAACCCACACAAAAGGCATGGGAGGAACTTATTGTCAGTGTTCTTTTTTTTCTGACATTTAGATCCCTACTCCTGTCTTCATAAAATCTTTCTCAATAATTATACCAATATATATTTCCCATCCATTTCCCTAAAATAGCCCATCCTTTACAATAGTGAGTGGGCCACCAGAGGTTATAATGGAAATTTCCTTGGTTCCCTAAATAGGAACAGAAAGCAAAGGCCAGGTCTTCAGTACAATAAAAAGCCAACTTTCAGGGATAAAACACCCTACCTACTCATCTTTATCCCATCTCAGAAATGACAGTGATAGTAACATGAATTTAAGTCATTTTTAGCTCCACTGGCATACACTGCTATTCATATTGAGAATGATAATTTCCACGGCCCAGACTCATTTCCAGGATGCTGTATGCCTCTTTCCCTGTGATAGTCGCCAACTGTTTAGGAAGAAAAGAGATGCTAGGATAGCATTACCTTAATGGCTTCTTCCCGGAAGGCTCGGATGCAGTCTATGCTCTTCATAAAATACGGTGTTTCATTAGTATCCAAAAACTGTTCGATGTGATTTATGAGCTGGTTACTCGCTAAAACATAAGACAACAAATTTTCTTAGATTTGAGTGATGCCTGAGAGAGGGTATGCTTCTGTGTTTGTGCCTATAAGTATGTATTATAGTTCACAAGCCTCATGGTCAGCAAGCACAATTGCCATACTTCTTTTAGGGGAGAGATGAGATGCAAAATTCTGATTTCAAAACTCTGTATTTGCAAAGTCTGAATGATACCTATTGATATTTGTCAAGAAATTAATTTCTAAAATGCTGAGAATTATAGTTGAAATATTCCTTTTTGGGATGTCAGAACCTAGGTTGTAGTTATTTTTAAAACTGCTGTTGTTGTTATTTTATTTTCCCCCAGAATTTAGGGGCCATTTGGATAATTCAAAACTGCCTTTCCTATTGTATTCACAGAAAACAGATCCTCTAGTCCCTCCCCTAATTCTACTCAGGATAATTGTCGAACAGTGCTGGGCAGTGAAAAATAATGAGCCAGGGACACCCCATCTTCTACCAATCCAAGGTTAAATTAGAAAAGATCAGCCCTAGTCTTAACAAAATATCCCTTTCGAATGAGAAATCATTGCTATCTACCTTATGCCCTTAGCTGGACCTGAATATTCTCCCTATTGCTCACTACTCCAAAAGCCACAAATACTTAATAAACAGTAACTGTCAGCAAGCAATGTCATAAATGCTACAGAAAGAGAAAATGCATTCATAGTGTTATCATTTCCAAAGTAGATTACACCTTACAAAGAAACAAAAAATTCTTCAGTATGAATAAAAAGCAGAGGAAAAAGGAAATCTAAAAGTCATGAGGAAACTTAATGCTGTGCAGATCAAAACTGACCCTTAAGATCTGTGTGTGGAAGAACAAATCAGGGAGATGTGGGTAATCATGCCTAAAGGCTCCTCTCCCTTGTCCCCTGAAACCATTCACTAGCTGTGGCTGTTTGGCAATTTATGCTGAATGTTCAAGATATTCTATGACTGCCTGTTTCCCCAAATCACAGCCTCCTGTGAGCATTCTAGCAGCTACCTGTGTATGCACAATGCTAAAGAAAACTACTTTCAAGCTTTACCAATAAAGGCCCCAGGCCACTAACTCTGTGAATCACAGTGACCTGAACATTACTCAATGCCTTCCTTATTAAAAACATGAAATCGGTGCTAAGAATCTACTTATTTCCTAAGGACCATACAGCATGTGGAAAGGATTAAAAAACTGGATGAAGTATTTTTTAATACAGCAATTTTCTAACAAGGGAAAAATATCCCCAGTAACCGTTTCATCCCTTCTACCAACTCGGAGATTATGATCTCCATTATAAGAAAGCACTTAACAAACTTGAGGGATTAAAGAAACATTTCCCTGCAATTTCAAAAATCTTTACCAACGTATCCCGCAGCAGTGAATTAATATCCAATTACAATTCAAAATAGAGAGAGAATGTTCAGATGAACCTTTTTAAACAAGGTAAATAATACAACCCTGATTAGTAGGCAGAGCAGAAAACCATCAACAAAAGCTCAAAGCAAACAGAAGTTATCTCCCCTTTTCAGCTTGAAAAGCAAAGTAACAGAAATGTTTGATAACAGAAAGCGGTGTACTTTCCCAGATCATCTGATACAAAGTTCACTCGAGGTTACATATTTGGGCACAAATAAAAACCTTTACAGGCCAAGGGCAATAATCCTAGAGACTCTAAATTCTCCATTTCTTTTGAAATGAGAATAGGAAATCTTAGGAAGCTATAATATAAATGTTTCTCTTTGTTTGATAGTATATACTTATTGTGCAACTACTATGTAGAAGATACTATGTTATGTTCTGTGGGAGACAGAATTAAGTTGAAGACAAGGCCCTTGCCTTTGAGGAGTTTGCAGTTGAATAGGGAATATAATGCATATACATAAAATTAACACTGGGAAATAATGTGAAGAGGGCTATGAGTTTTAAGGAAATATATTAATTGGTTTGAATTTTTAAAAAATCTTTGGTGATTACAGAAAGCTTCACAAATCAACATGGCTTTTTAGCTAGGCAATGAAAAACAGAATTTGGCAATTACACAGCAGGAAACACAATTAGCCTAAGTATGAAGAAGAAAGCACAAGCTGTGTTTGGAGAAAAGCAAATGGCCTCATACATGGACAGAAATAGGGGAAGAAAAAAGAGTGAGGATTAGACAGCAAATGGCTGGAGGAAAGGGAGTTCCAAGAAGAGAAAGTGTGTGTGAGAGTCCTGAGGTAGGGGTACAGCGTGGCTCCTTAGAAAGTGTAGAAGAAAGAAGAAATTTTAGCGGTTGGATAGTGGAAAGGGAGCTGAAGAAGGAGGCTAAGAAGGATTAGTCAGAGAGAGAGAGAGGGAGAGACAGGGAGACGGGGAGAGAGAGAGAGAGAGAGAGAGAGAGAGAGAGAGAGAGAGTGTGTGTGTGTGTGTGTGTGTGTGTGTGTGTGTGTCAGGAGTTCATGGCATCACAGATACTAAGAGAAGAGATTATTTAAAGGAAAGAGTTGTCTGCTGTGTCCAAACTACTGCATAAAGACTACACGGAAAAGAGTAAAAAGAGCATAGGCAATTAAGGATAGAAACGTAGGGAATCCTAAGAGCTGGGAGCCCATGAAACAACTACACAGGTACTAAATTGCTTTGCGAAAAAACAAAGCAAAACAAAAAACCAAAACAACCAGCTTCCTGACTCATTTTATCCTGAAATATGATAGAACACACACACACACACACACACACACACACACACACACACACACACACACACACAGTTGCTATCTTACAGAGAAAAATATTCAAAAGAAACAAAAATAAATACCCAAGCCAACAATCCATTTGCAACGATACAGGAAAGAAGGCAGTCCAGTCTACCATAAATTCTTTGTAAAAGGAAGTAGCAGGAGTCTCAATACCCAGTTTCTTTGTAAAAAAAAAAATGAAGTCCTAATGTATCTGTGGGCCTATGTGGATTTAGTTTTTCTTATTTACATGTTAGACTGTTGTGCTCTTTCCTCCAGAGGGTTCAGAAACACAGATGGATAAACATATCCAAACTTCCAATAAACCCAAAGAATACAAACAACCAGATTTTGGCCTTCTAGGAATACTCAGTTACGTGGCTTGTAAATCTGGTCCATGATTCTAAATTCTGTCCCTCTACCCAGACTACTTTTGTGGTTCACTGACTATAACGAACCATTTAACACCAGGGAATAGCTGTGATGGATGACGCTTGAATATACTGAGTATCAAAAGGGATGTAAACAAGAGACTTCCTTTCCAAAGTTTTGTGGCACTTCACATTTCCCTGCCATTTTTAATAAAAGTAAAATGCAGAAATGGCTGAAAAAATAATATTCTATAATATTTGGCTGGAATATGCTTTTGACTCCCCTGCCCCACATAAAGGAAATGCTGATCATCAGGGTGCTTTTCTCTGCTTCTACATTAATTACAGGGCTGAGGAATGGCTTATCAGTCTTCAAACTCAGTAAATCACAGCCCCAATTATAATTCACCAAAATGCTTTTCGAAATTAGTTAGTGACTCAATAATACTCATTAGTAGCTAAAATAAAAAATGGCCATTGGAAGGGCCATCCATCTTAGGATACTAAGTCAGGCAAATGGCTGTCATTTATTTCCAGGATTACTTCAAATGTCTGTTTTGGATTTTGAGGTTTTAGAAAATGCAAAACCTTTAGATATGGGCATCATATACTAACCCAGTATCTTAAATGAGTACAGATGTTGACACCCAAAATTAATCTCAATACAATACTTCAGTATCATATTCAAAATGTTATCCAGATTTAGAAATGTTACAGAAGAGGAAAATGGCGAAGTTTTCTTGTTTAATCTGAAATACACATTCTGCTTCTCTACTGAATACATTCAACACCACCCAAAGTCCTATAAAATGGACTACACCTCCCCTCTCATTGCACAGTCACCAAGGTCAAAACACCCAGGGCCATGTGCATGTCTGCCTCTGACTTTACATTTACTCACTACCTCTGTTCTTTGCAAAGATGTTTCCAACAAAGTGAAAGGAAGTCATTTATTGTGGGATTTTCTCCTCCATCTGACAGAGCCCAAAAAGCAGTAGGTTCCCTCATCTGTCACACATTATATATAAAAGACTGTGAAGACACCTCAAATGATTTGGCTGAACTCAGCCATCATTTAGGATATTTCCCAATTTAATTCTTCTCACTTTCTCAATGCCTCATGTAAATGTTACTTATTGAAATGCTGTACATTTTGCAAATGTCAGCAGTTAAATAAATTTTAAATGTTAAGAACAAATTTATGGCCAGTCGCAATGGCTCACGCCTGTAACCCTAGCACCTTGGGAGGCCAAGGAGGACGGATCACTTGAGGTCAGGAGTTCGAGACCAGCCTGGCCAACATTGTGAAACCCTGTCTCTACTAAAAATACAAAAATTAGCCAGAAACCACTTGAACCCAGGAGGTGGAGGGTGCAGTGAGCCGAGATCATGCCACTGCACTCCAACCTGGGCAACAGAGTGAGATTCCATCTCAAAAAAAAAAAAGAAAAAGAAAAGAAAAAAACAAATTTATGTAGCCAATGACAATTGCATCTTTATAACACAAAATTAAAAGTGACAATAAAAATCAAGCACTTAAATCAAAATAAGTATAAGGTCAGGTAATTCATTATTAAGAGAATAAAAAGGAGTAATGCCCATCAGCAAATAAAAGTCTAGGCAAGCAGTCCAGTCTACCATAAATTAAATCCACCTGTAAATTATAATCATTGTTTAAGCCAGAAACTTATAAAAGATATTTGCCTGATAAGAAAGTCTGTTTTAACAGAGGCAATTTAAGAAACGTATCAAAAGCGGGCTTTCTTTATGCCTCTTTACTATCGGATATAAATTGGCCATTGTGGGTAGAGGCGGTGTGTGTATCAGTCAGGGACCAACACAAGGAATATAAACCACTCCAAATATTTAACACAGGAGACTTAAGACAGGAAATTGTTTTGCAGGTTACGAAGTGTGTTAAAGCCAACTGAGAATGGTGCTGTAACCCCGGGATTGGTAACAGCAAGAAACCCTTAGCATCCCTTGGTACTCAGGAAAAAGAAAAGGGTATAAATAGAGTTCAGGGATCTGTCCTATGGGAGCTGAAGACACTGAGGACCAAAGATGCTACCCAACATAGAAAGGGAAGAAGAGATACACCGGTTTCTCCCTCCCTACTTCCCACCAGTATCTCTCATGCCGAACCCAGTAGGAAGTCTTTAGACACAGGAGCCTGGGAAATGCAACCTACAAGAGCCAGCTCTGCCCACACCTCCCTCAGATGCAGGGCATACAGAAGAAGGGAGGGTGAGGAGGGGATCTAAGGGCACAGTGTGTTATGAACTCACAAGGGGATGGCCTCTTTTAAGAATTGGGTATTTCCAGGAGACAGAAATGCAAGGCATCAGGCTGGGCCCAGCGGCTCAAGCCTGTAATCACAGCACTTTGGGAGGCCGAGACGGGCGGATCACCTGAGGTCAGGAGTTCAAGACCAGCCTGGCCAATATGGCGAAACCCCGTCTACTAAAAATACAAAAGTTAGCTGGGTGTGGTAGCATATGCCTGTAATCCCAGCTACTCAGGAGGCTGAGGCGGAGGCAGGAGAATCATCTGAGCCTGGGAGGCAGAAGTTGCAGTGGGCCAAGATCTCACCACTGCACTCCAGCCTGGGTGACAGGGTGAGACTCCATCTCAAAAACACAGAAATTAGCAAGGCATCATTTAAATTATAAGGGAAGCTAAAATTTGCAGGTTTCTTTCTTTCTAGTGAGGTAGGATACAATGAAATTCAATTAAAAGTTACTGAAGAAGTTCAAAAGCATATTTAAAGCTTCTCCCAGACATTTGATAAAAGCTGTATTTCTATAAAAAACAAATTATGTAAAAAAATATTGTTTTCACTTCTACTTGAAACGTCTTTAGAGTTACATACATTTCCTTTCCTTCAGTTCTAACACGGTTGTGACATGCAACCGTGTGGACCATGACAATAAACAACAGGTACTGGATGCAACTGAGCACTTCCCATGGCATTCTGGTCCTCTCAGAAGTCAAACGTACTTATGAAATTTTAAGTACAAAAAGAAGGTATCTTAAATATTTTTTCTCTAAATCACACACACACACACACACACACACACACACACACACACACAGTGCTGACTTATTTCTTAAACACCCTTCTTTCTGCTTCCACTTCTAAAAGAGTTCGGACTGAAGAGTGCTCTTTGCTCTTGGTATTCTTGTTTTCTAGTTGCATGGTCTTTAATGAAATATTCTTATTGAGGAAAAATAAATCACTGGATGGCAACAAAAGAAACAGAGAACTAGGAAAAAAGCATAAGCTTGAGTAACCTGAAAATGACATTGAAATTTGTCATCTTTTTTAAGCAGCTGGACTGAGAAGCAGACATAGCTCTGCTCTTTGCCTTAGCCTACAGTTCTTCCACCTTCTAGAAACTGTTCTGCTAGCTCTTTGCCCCAAACTTCCTCAATCTAACAAAAAAGAAGTTCCCTGCTTCCCTTTCAGAACAGAAAAATCAGTAGATACGACAGAGAGAACACCACAGCCATAATATTATGCATGACCAGTGGCACAGGAAATTGGACTAAGATATGCAAAGTGCTGACCACCTCAACACACAGATGCAGTCCTGTATTTTTAAATTATTATTATTATTCTTACCAATAACTAAAAAACTCAATTAAAACCTCACCATTTAAGTTCCACAAGTTCAGTCAGAGCCCATTTTTTCATGCTTAATGATTTTCTCATTAAGTGCAGTAATTTCTTACAAATTGCACTAATAAAAGTAAGTCCTGCTGGGTGTTTCCCCCCTTTTTTAAATGGTGCCTTTTCATTGATGTGTTAAATTAAAAACCCCAGGCACAAGGAACAGAGTAAATGCAAGGTCTTTATTGTCAGAATCCATTCCTGCAGACTATGAGATCTCTCTCCTTTTATTTCTGTTTTTATTTGAGCTAGCTGTGAATCCTAGTTTGTAGCCACAGGAAGAATGATATGGAAGGTCTCTTGGCCTTAGTTCACTCTGTGTAACAAATATGGTAGTGGGAGCTAACAAGAAACCAGAAAAATGATATCCAGTTAGCCCACTGGCTGTAAGCTCATTTTATGTAAGAGAGCATTATGATATAACATTTTTATTCTGATGAATAATATTCCTCTTCTTAAATAGCTTGGGTATATGACCAGATCTGTTCCCAGGTCAGCTGGCAAATTTTAAGTTTCCTGGTAAGTGGAATGGTTCTGTGGCATTCTATGGTCTTGTAATTTTTTATTAAAAATATTCAGTTTAACCATTAAAAAACCACTAAACATATCCCATAAAGCCTGAAGGTCATCAATTAATATTTATAGGGCATACAGCAGTTAACTAAAGACCAAAGAACATGCACTGCCTAGTGTAACTAATTTTCCCCAATTCTACAACGGAGTACACTTAAAGTAGAATATTGAGACATTATGCTAACATAAGAAAGAAACTAAAGGAAGACTTTCTAATTAAATGAGGAAATGATATCTTTCAGCTTTTTAGGAAATATATATGCCATATGCCTGAAAGAATGTGTTGTGGTGGGGGGTGAAGACTAGGGAGGGCAGAGGAAGAGGGTCTCCACAATTTTCCAAGGTCCTAGAATTCTAAAACTTGCCAATGCTTACTAAAATTGATAGAGAAGAATTAAGAACCTTATCACCATGCTTGATTCCATTCCAAATGAGCAGTAGGGGAAAGGAAAAATGTAAGATAATAGTGATTGGTACTGTAGCAATTTTATAGTATCTATCTAGCTTCATACCTGACTAGATGTCATCAAACTAATATAGGAAGTAAGTAGAAGATACCAAGTAGTCATAGTAACAGTGCAGCCAAGAGGGAACAGGAACACAAAATCAATCTGGCAATGGGATCCAATTAAAAGTTGGTAATTGAATGGAACTGAAACGCAGGTATCAGTTGAAAAGACAGAGTGAATGATGAGTCAGACTCCTCACCAAGGAGAGAAACAGGCAGCCATTGTTGAATGTGCTTTTGGGGAGGGTGGACAAGGGGGAGGCAGCACACAAGTCTTCTAGGATGCCTCAAGAATTTGAGTCTTTTTTGAAAGGAAATATTAGGTACCAGAAATTTTAGAAAGACCACATTCTATGTGATAACTCCTTCTAAAAACTGATAAATAATGCCTTGGTTTATACGGTATTTTTCCTTAGGGACCTCTCAGATTCTTCTTTTTCTTTTCATTTTCCCCCCTCTATCCTTTCTAATTTTATGAAGAAAGTTTTACAGTATTCTAGAGGTCAAAATACAGACACGTTAGATTCTGCACTTCTTCTTTGATGGGGCTAAGACTTAGGAATTGATCCAAAGAACCAGAGAAGTAAATCTGCTACAATTCAAAAATTCAAATTCTTATTACTCCCAAGCACTGTTTTATTAAAGTCGCAATGAAAACCAAAAAAGCCAGATGGAGGTCATTTTGTCTCACTGATGGTAAAGCAGCAGCAGTATCTAATGAGTCATACTACAATAAAACTACGGGCGGCATTGGGATCCAAAGATATACCGGTTCTCAAATCACAAGCATCTCTTTAGAGTAGGATTTGGGGGTAAAGATAAGAATGGCCATTTTTTTAAAAGAGTTAATCAGCTTTAGAAAGCCGATGCTGCAAGGGCATTAGCAGGAACATGGTTTGAATACAAGGTTCACAGAGGGAATCTGTATAAGAATGGGTCGGGAGTGGCAGAATGGGACCAGATTGTGGCAAGCCTTGAATGGGGGACTGAATGGGAGTAATTAATAAGGGCTGACCCAGAATAAAATCTGTGCTATAAGAACTTAAATCTGTACAAACATATGGGCAGGAATGAAGGAGAACTTTGAAGGTTATTAATGAAGGATGCTGGAACTGTCCAATGATAAAATAATGAAAGCCTGAATTCGGATAGTGATAAGATGGAAAGGAAAAGACAGACCTGAGAAGTAAATTAGAAGATGATTAGAAAGCAGAAGAGAAATGGATACAAAGTTGTCAGAAATGCCAATGAAGAAACTCAAGGCCGGGCGCAGTGGTTCGTGCCTGTATTCCCAGCACTTTGGGAGGCCGAGGCGGGTGGATGATCTGAGGTCGGGAGTTCGAGACCAGCCTGACCAATACAGAGAAACCCCGTCTCTACTAAAAATACAAAATTAGCTGGGTGTGGTGGTGCATGCCTGTAATCCCAGCTACTCAGGAAGGCTGAGACAGGAGAATTGTTTGAACCTGGGAAGTAGAGGTTGCAGTGAGCCGAGATCGCGCCATTGCACTCCAGCCCGGGCAACGACAGCGAAACTCCATCTCGGAAAAAAAAAAAAAAAGATACTCAAGGGGCAAAACAACAGTTAACAACACTGCTTATTTCTGGAGAAAGTCCCATTAATAACATCAGGACACGCCATCACTTAGGTGGTTGCCTTCCTTAGAATGCCCTTCTTTGGGCCCTCTCCTATCCACCTTTACCATAATGGACCAGGTTATGCCAACCTCCTCCAGGAATTCTTTTTAAGACAGAGTCTTGCTCTGTTGCCCAGGCTGGAGTGCACTGGCATGATCACAGCTCACTGCAACCTCCCGCCTCCCAGGTTCAAGCAATTCTTGTGCCTCAGCCTCCTGAGTAGCTGGGACTACAGGCCCAAGCCATCATGCACGACTGATTTTTGTATTTTTAGTAGAGATGGGGTTTTGCCATGTTGGCTAGGCTGGTCTTGAATTCCTGGCTTCAAGTGATCCACCCGCCTTGGCCTCCCAAAGTGCTGGGATTACAGGCGTGAACCACTGTACCCGGCCCCTCCACGAATTATTCTTCAAAGTAGTCACCTACCTGCATCTGCACCCATATAGTCTGCCTTCCATCCTATTGCCTTTGCTGAACTGTCTGTGTGTTATCTAAGTTACCCCTTCCACCTGTGCCCTAGATCCCATGCCTCTCCGTTACTCAAGGATCTCTTCCAGTCTCATGTCTTAAAGTCTCTATGGCTCCTTCTCCACGATTTATACATACAACTCAGACCTTTTTCCTGAAGTCCAGACCTGCATGACCATCTTCTCCTTCTCAGCAAATGGCAATTCGTCCAGTTGCTCAGACTAAAAATCTTGGGAGTTATTTTTAAACTTTTTCTCTCTCACACACTCTACATTCAAATGATCAGCAAAACTTGACAATTCTACTTTCAAAACAGATCAAAAATCGGACCTCTTCTTACTACCTCCGGTCACGTGGATTAACGCCGAAGCCTTCTAACTCATCTGCCTACCTCAACCTTGCCCTTTTCCTCAACATGGTATGAAATATAAAACCAGATCATTCGCTACTTCAAACTCTTCAATGGTTTCACATTTCACTCAGAGAAAAGCAAAAGGTCTAGGAGGCCTTATGTGATATGTACCCCAGCCAGCTCTCTGACTTCTCAGCTCCTACTTTCTTTGCTCCAGTCACACGGACCTCCCTGATGCTTCTAGCCAAGCATAGTCATCTTGAGCTTCTCAAGAACATGCTGCTCCCTCTGTCTGCAAAGCTCTCCTCCCAGATATCCACTAGGTTCTCTCTCTCACTATCCTCAATTCTCAGTTCAACAGTGAGGACTTCCCTGATCCTCTACATAAAATTATAAGCCCATCTCAACCCAGCATTCCCTATCCCACTATCCTGCTTTAACTTTTCTCTATAGTGCTGTCATGGGCTGAATAGTATCCCCACCCCGCCCCCACATTCCTGTCCTTACCAAAACCTCACAACGTGACCTTACTTGGAAAGAGAGTCCTTGCAGATGTGTGATCAAATTAAGATGAGGTCACTAGGAAAGGCCCTAATCCAATAGGACTGACATCCTTATAAGAAGAGGCAAACTTGGATACAGACATACAAGAACTCCCCTGTTAAGAGAGAAGGAGAGATTACAGTAATGGATCTATAAGTCAAGGGATGCAAGAATTGCCAGCTGTCACCAAAGGCTACAAGAGAGCATTGAACAGATTCTCCCCCATACCTCTCAGAAGGAAGCAGTCCTGTGATTTTGGACTTTAGTCTCCAGAACTGCAAGGATAAACTTCCACTGCTTTAAGGCACTCAGTTTGTGGAACTCCATTACTGCAGCACTAGGACACTAACACAAATGCTTATCACCATTTGACATATATTTTCTTATTTGTTTACTGTCTGTATCTTGGTATGACTGGCACACAGTAGGCATTCAACAAATAATTGTTGAATGGATGAATAAATGGTGTAGGCCTCACTGGTTTATTCCTCTAAAAGCCTAAGGAATGAACATGTCTTTTTGTTGTTCGTTCAGTTTAAACCCATAAGCTGTGTATTTAGCACTGGCTGCCACTTAGGGGAGTAGACAGTCTAGAACTCTCTTTTATCCCCTCCCTCCCTTAATTTTACAGAGATGGAAATGGTTACAATAAAGCTCTATTGAAGGGGGAAATGCAGAAAGAATAACATGCTATATAAGATATATATGCAGATGTACAGGGATGAGATATCACATCCAACATTGTCATGATTATATGCATGAAGACATCTTGACGTTTTATTATTGCTTACTAAGTATGCCTCATCTCATCTTGGTGTACACCTTTTTCTTTTCTTTGATCAAGCTGCTTGATGCCACTGGGAATGGAGGGTTCTCCCAAAATGTACTGTCTCTGACTATATCCCCAATTTATTATACCCTAAAACAATTAACCATCTTGATCACAATACAGGGCATCAGTAGGGATGAACAGGGTTATTCCTATGAAGACACAGAATGTGGGTATGGGCAGAGTTTCAAAGGGAGGGAGACAATAAAGAAGGAGATGTCCACTTTTTAACTTTATATGCTATTATATTACTATTTGCATTTTCCCCCATATAAGCATGTGCTTATTTTTAATGGAAGCCTAAGAAGCAAGTAAATCATCTCGAAACAGTTAAGAGATTGTCATACAAGGAGATAAAAAACAATTGTTTCTATTTCTAGTGAGCTCTCAACAGGAAGACAATTTTCATGGGGTGACACAATACTTCTATTTCATTGATCCTTTTCTTTCTTTTTTGTTTTATTCCTTCTGAACCACATACTTTGTTCTTTTTGTTTATTACTCATATACTTAAAGAGCAGTGGTGAAAAAGGCCCTTAGAAATAATTTCATCTACTGCCCTCAGGAAATCTGAAGCAGATCTGCAGGCATATCTTATCTTTGGTTTGTAGCTTCTACCCTCCTTACAATCCCATACATTTAAAATTCCAATGTATAAGTCTTGCTGGCTTCATTACAATCCACCTCAGAATAATTAGACACAGAGCAAATTGTGGGATAATCCAACCTTAGTTATATTTTCTTCTCAGTCCATGAGACAAAAAAGGATTCAAACAAAATAAATACATGCTTGACAAAAATGGGACAAAAGAAGAAACAAATGAAAGGAATAATGAACCTATAAATTTTCAAAATCTATAAACATTGAACTAAGACTTGATGTACTTGATATACCTGCTGCCACTAAAATTGACTTTCATTTCTCACAATTAATCGCCTTTCTGCTCCAACAAGTTCCTAAAATCTACACAATTTTTCCAGTACTGAGTAAACTTATCCTCTACTAATATGATTTTTCCCTCGAAGCAGAGGATTCAGAAACACATACAGTCTTGCAGCACACATAGCTAAGTTTATTTTTCCTAAAATGCCAATACCTGAAGACTTTTATTTAACATATACTCTATTACCTGAATTGACAGTGTTTTCTTTAGTGTCACCCTGTAAAAATTCACTAGGATCTCATGACCCAAGCTGGTTTAGCTAGGTGAGACCAAAATCATAAAGGTCTCACTAGCACACAAGGTCTCAAGGTGAATAACTTTCAATACTCAAAACGTCACGGAAAACAACTAGATAGAAAGTCAAAAGACAGATTTGAACAAACTATCAACCAAATTGCCCTGACATTTCCAGCACACTTGTCCTAGTAACAGGTGAATACATGTACTTTTTAAGGCCATAGAGAACAACTGGCAGAACAGACTATATGTGAGACCACATAAGAACAAGTCTGAATAAATTCAGACGGACTGAAGCCACTCAAAGTATGATCTCCAATCATAACAGAATTAAAAATCAACAACAGGAAGAAATTGGGAAATCTTCAATATTTGGAATTTAAGAACACATTTAAATAACCCAAGAGTCAAAGAAACAATCATGAAAGACATTAGAATATATTTAAACTAAATGAAAACAAAATCATAACACATCGCAATTTATGGTGTGAAGCTAAAAAACTGCTTAGCAGGAAATGTATAGCTTTAAATGCCTATATTAGAAAAGAGGTTTCAAATCAATCATCTAAGCTTCCACCTTAAGAAACAAGAAAATGAAAAGTGAATTACAGCCAAAGTAAGAAGAAGGAATGGAATAATAAAGATCAGAGCAGAAATTAATTAAATGAGAATAATGGAGAAAATCAATAAAACTAACTAAAAGCTGGGATCTTAAAAAGATAAAATCCATAAGCCTTTACCTAGACTGACCAAGAAAAAGGGAAGATACAAAATCCCCAAATCAGAAATAAAGAACAGATCTCAAAAATATTATTATAAGGGAATAATAATCAATGTTATACTAAAAAATTAGACAAAAGGAACAAATTCTTATAAAGACATATTACTAAAACTGATTCAATAAGAAATTTTAAAACTGACCAGATTTATTAGCTTAAAAATTGGGCCCGGTGCAGTGGCTCACGCCTGTAATCCCAGCACTTTGGGAGGCCAAGGTGGGTGGATCACTTGAGGTCAGGAGTTCGAGACCAACCTAGCCAATATGGTGAAATCCCGTCTCCACTAAAAATACAAAAGTTTGCCGGGTGTGGTGGCGGGCGCCTGTCATCCCAGCTGCTTGGGAGGCTGAGGCAGGAGAATGGCTTGAACCCGGGAGACAGAGGTTGCAGTGAGTCAAGATCACACCACTACACTCCAGCCTGGGCAACAGAGTGAGACCCCGTATCCAAAAAAAAGAAAAAAATTGAATTAGTATTAAAAAGCTTCCCACAGCCTCTTCCTCACAGTTCCATGTTGAACTTGAGTTGGAGGAGGCAAGTCTAGTCTTAAAATGGAGGTAAAACCACTACCCGGTTGCCCCTAGGCTGACTCTGGCCGTTGTCATTGCCACTGCCGCCAAGAGGAGGAAGGCCATGATCCAAAGGAATCCAGCGCGGCTGAGAAAATTGTTTATTGGTGGTCTGAGCTTTAAAACTACAGATGATGGGTTAAGAGAACATTTTGAGAAAGGGGGCACACTCACAGATTGTGTGGTAATGACAGAACCCCAAGCAAACATTCCAGGGGCTTTGGTTTTATGGCTTTCTCTTGTGTTGAAGAGGTGGACACAGCAATGTGTGCTTGACCACACAAGGTTGATGGGTGTGGAGTGGAACCAAAGACAGTTGTTTCTAGAGAGGATTCTGTAAAGCCTGGTGCCCACCTAACAGTGAAGAACATTTTTGCTGGTGGTATTAAAGTAGATACAGTTTCAGAAATTACTCTGAAAACTATAGCAAGACTGAAACCATACAAGTTATGGATGACAGAGTGGAAAAAGAGAGAATGTGCACTTTTAACTTTTGATGATCATGATACAATTGATAAAACTGTTGTTTAGAAACACCACACTATTAACAAGCACAACTGTAAAGTGAAAAAGGCCCTTTCTAAACAAGAGATGCAGTCTGCAGGATCACAGAGGTGATGGAGGTGGATCTGACAACTTTATGGGTTGTGGAGGAAACTCTGGAAGTGGTGCAAGTAATTTTGGCTGTGGTGGAAACTTTGGTGGAAGAGGAGGCTCTGGTGGTAGAAGTAGAGGTGGTGGCAGCAGAGGTGGTTATGGAGGGTGTAATGGTGGATATAATGGATGTGGAGGTGACGGTGGGCAACAATGGTGGTGGGCCTGCCTACAGCAGTAGTGGGGGCTATGGAGATGGTGAACCAGGATATGAAAACCACAATGGCGGGTATGGGGATAGTGGTGAAGGATATGATGGTTACAATGAAGGAGGAAATTTTGGCAGTGGTAACTATGGTGGTGGTGGGAACTATAATGATTCTGGAAATTTTAGCAGACAAAAACAATCAAATTATGAACCCATTAAAGGGTGCAGTTTTGGTGGAAGAAGCTCGGGGAGTTCCTGTGGTGGTGGTGGTTACGGATCTGGCGGTAGACGTGACGGATATGGTAGCAGAAGGTTCTAAAAACAGCAGAGAGGGGCTACAATTCTTAGCAGGAGAAAGAACAAGGAGTTGTCACAAAAGTTGCAGGTTATTTGAGATAGTCATCCCAAATGCATTAGAGGAACTGTAAAAATCTGCCACAGAAGGAATGGTGATCCATGGTCAGAAAAGTTATTGCAGCTTAAACAGAAAACCCTTCTTGTGCAGGACTATCATAGCCACAGTTTGCAAAAGTGCAGCTATTAATGAATGCAATATAGTGTCGATTAGACGTACATTCCTGAGCTCTTTTATCTGTTGTAGCTTTGTCTGTTTCTTTTTCATTACATCAAGTATATTGCCCTGTAAATTGTGGTAGTGATAACAGGAATAAAAAAATTAAAGAACTTTCAACTTTTCAATATTTGTGTAGTTTTTCTGTATTTTAGTACAGAAACTTAAAATGCAGTTTTGAAGGTATTTTCTTTTGAGTTAACAAATAAAGAAGATTATTGTTAATTACTATTTTGTATAAATTTTGCTAAAGTTAACTATAAAGAAACATATGCTGACTTGCAGCTCAAGGGGAATCTACTGTCCCCATTTCCAAACCATGACATGAATGGGCACTGACATGTGAAGAGAAGAGATATTTGTATGTTTGCAATGTGTGTTTTAGATTAATAGGATTTGGTATTTAAATTAGCATATTTTTGAATTTAAGAGCATTAAGGTGACCTTCAAATGAAACAATCTCAAAATTCAAAAAACAAAACAAAACAAAAGCTCCCCACAAAGAACTCAGATGGCTTCACTGGTAAATTATATGAAATATGTAAAGAATAAATAATAGAAATCTTGAAGAGAAGGAAACTTCCTAACTCATTCTATGAGTCCAGTATTTTCCTGTTACCAAAACCAAAGACATCACACAAAACAAGAAAACTACAAACAATTTCCCAACAAAATATTAGCTGTCTTAGTGTATTTTGTGCTGCTATAACAGAATACCCAAGACTGGGTAATTTATAAAGAACAGATATTTATTTAGCTCACAGTTCTGGAGGCTGGGAAGTCTAAGAGCATGACACCGGCAGCTGGAGGAGACCACCCCACATCAGAAGGCAGAAGCAAGCCAGAGACAGAGAAGAAATCAGGCCGAACTCATCCTTTTTATAACTAACCCACTCAAGTGATAATGGCCTGAATCCTTTCATGAGAATGATGCCTCCATGACCTAATTACTTCTTAAAGGTCCCACCTCTCAACACCGTTAGAATGGGGATTAAGTTTCCAACACATAAACTTTGGGTGACATTATTCAAACTGTAGCATTAGCTAAATGAATTCAGTACATATAAAAAGGATTTTATAGAACGACTGGATTTTATACTTGGAATGCAAGGTTGATTTAACAACTATAAGTCAATTAATATATTAGCAGAAGAATAAAAATCACAGTCATCTCAATAGAGGCAGAAAATGCATCTAACAAAACTCAACATCCATTCATAATAAAAACTTTCAACCAATTAGAAATAGAAGGAAACTTTCTCAAGCTGACAAAGGAAATCTGGGTAAAACTTACAACTAACATCATACTAATAGTGAAAGACAAAGGTTTTTCCTTAAGATCAGGAACAGGGCAAGGATGTTCACTCTTATTTCTATTCAACACTGTGCCAGAAGTTCCAGCCAGTACAATAATTAAAAAAAAAGAAAGAAAAACTTACAAGTTATAAAAGAAGAAGTAAAGCTTTCTTTATTTGCAGACAATATGATCCTGTATGTAGAGAATCCTAAGAAGTATATTTAAAAAACCACAAGAACTAATAAGTTTAATAAGGTTGCAAGATATAATAAATAAATAATTTCATTTCTATATACCAGCAACAAATAATCCAAAAATAAAATTAAAAAACAATTCCACTCACAACATCATCAAAAAGAATACTTGGCAATAAATTTAATAAAAGAGCTGTATAGCTTGTACACTAAAAACTATAAAACATTATGGAGAAAAAATAAGATCTAAATAAATGAGTAACTATTCCATGTTCATGGATAACTCAGTATTATTAAAATGGCAATTTTCCCTTAACTCTTCTATAGACTCAATAAAATCCCTATCAAAATACCAGTGGGTTTTTCATATAAATTGAAAAGCTGGGCCAGGCACGGCAGCTCACGCATGTAATCCCAAAACTTGGAGGCCAAGGCAGGTTGATCACCTCAGGTCAGGAGTTCAACCAGCCTGGTCAACATGGCGAAACCCTGTCTCTATTAAAAAAATACAAACATGAGCCAGGCGTAGTACCTCATGCCTGTAATCCCAGCTACTCAGGAGGCTGAGGCACGAGAATCACTTGAACCCGGGAGGTGGAGGCTACAGTGAGCTAGGATCGCACCACTGTGCTCCAGCCTGGGTGACAGAGTGAGACTTTGTCTCAAAAAAAAAAAAAAAAAGAAAAGAAAAGCTGATGCTAAAGTTTCCATGGAAACGCAAATGACATAGAGTAGTTAAAACATTTTTAGAAAAGAACAAAGTTGGAGTGTATCCGAGTATTCTATTTTTTAGTCTTTTTTTCTTAAACTTTTCCTTCTGAGGCCCTTTGTATTAACTTTTTAGTTATGAAATAACAACCTTTACTCTCCTCCTTTCCACCAGACACTCCACTGCATTGCTAGCTTGTCTAATTATGTTTGCTTAGAAGTTCCAGAGACAATCCAGGTATCTATAGAATGTTCCACCACCGGGTTATTACTTGAAGGCTGCAGCTAATTTACAACTCGTCAGGCCCAAGATGGCGCCAGCCCATTCAACAGATGGTGCAATAACTCAGGATTATCAGAACAAGTCATGTAGGCCAGCATCACCTTGCAACCTCCCACCACCTGTGTGCACTCCAGACCCAAACTGACTATGAACAGGTCCCAGGAATTTTTGGGTGTGAGAGAAATGTTCTTTGAACTGTGGTGATAATTTCACAACTCTATAATTTACAAAAGATCATCAAATTATACTTACCAGTATATTTTATAGTAGAAGATTTTACTTCAATAAAGCTATTTTAAAAAGTAGAATTAATAAGTGCAATTTATCTAAGAGACTTGTAGAGATTTACCACAGACAGAAGAGAGAAACTAGATGTTTCTATCACAGAATAAGTATGAAAACTTAGACAGTGTATCTTACTCTCAATGCCCCAAGAAAACATTATTGGATTCCAAGAGCAAGGGAATTGTAAAAAAGTAGTTCTTATATGAGCAATGGCTCCTGACTTCAAATGGCTACCAATGAAATACCATATTATCCTGAGTGTTATGGCTGAGCCTCATTACCACTGAGAGACATGAACAGATAACTACAGATTTCAGTAGTTTAATCTGACAGAGGAAAATAAAAACGGGCCTTTAATTATGACTATTAACTGAAGATTTTTCTCCAACCTCTAAAACATAAGGAACCTCTAAAAACAAGTTAAATTTTCTCCCATTTCCAAAGACATCTAAGCTGGTAATATTCTCCAGCCCTGCTGAAACTGTTCTATAAAGGAATTAAACTCCCTTCCCTTTTCTGGCCAAAGAAGCAAGCACGACATTTTTCTAGGTTTTATGTAGACACGCATGGATCTGACAGGCTAACTGTACCAAATTACACTTGCCACTTCTTTCTGTGTCAGCATATTTTTTGCCTTGGGCATGCAATTTGAAAGGGGAGGACCCAAACACTTTTATTGCATTTAAGTGGAACTCCTAGCTGTTTCTTGGCTCCTCTTAACACATTTCAGTTCATTAGTGACTATTTTAACAAAAGCCTAACATCCTTTCCTAAATATCTTAATTGGTTAAGAGCGTCTGTTGTTTGCCACCAGCAGTCACTTCAAGTCATTGATTAAAGCAGTTTGCACATCAGCACAATCTGAAACCGGTTTCCTTTTTCAACCAGCTGGGCTTAAGGAGCAATCTTGAAGACAGCCCAATTCAAGGAGAACCAAGTACAATACCCTACATGACATGACAATGACCTACCATGGAAGGAAGAACTGCAGAATTTAACAGGAGGTGGAAAGAAAGAACCAAATTGCCATGAGTAAATCCTTGAACTGCTCTCTGTCTCACAAATCATACTCATTAGCACTTACTGCAAGGGTGAATTCTAAGAGCAAGCTGCAGGCCCTTTCTCCTAAGCACCCAAGAGTTCTGCATTTCCATCGGAACCAATTGTGAGCACCTGCCTTGTTGCACTGATGGCCCAAGTCATTGATGCAAGCTGAAATGATATGGTTTGGATTTGTGTCCCGCCCAAATCTCATATCAAATTAGAGGAGGAGCCTGGTAGGAGGTGAATGAATCACGGCAGAGGACTTCCCCTTTGCTGTTCTTGTGACAGTGAGTTCTTTTGATATCTCATGGTTTAAAAGTGTCTCTCTCTCTCTCTCTCTCCTTCATAGAAGACTGGTATCAGGAGTGATTTAGTATATTAAGTAAAGGCTTGAATGGACTCTGGGCTCATCTAGTTATGATGCTGAGAAAGCCTTCATGAATTCCATTTTCAGCCAGATGGGAAATTATTCTTTCCATTTTTAATATAAAAAGAGAAAAATTACTCAGCACATTTAAGGGAAGCAACTTTCCTATGTAGCATGAGAAAACAAAACACTGGGAGAAAACAGGAACACTGTCATATATTTCATAAGGACTTTTTAAAAAGCTCTCAGGAAGAAATTCAGGTGCTCACTGAGAAATGTAAACTAGAAATCCTAAGCTCCCCACTGATGAAATGGACCCCCTCTTGACAAAGGGGATCCCAGAAAACCTTAACTGAGTTTTTGGTCATGACACGACAAGGGGTCAAGTGCATCTTTTTTTTTTTTTTTTTTTTTTTTTTTTTTTTTGAGACACAGTCTTGCTCTGTCGCCAGGCTGGAGTGCAGTGGCACGATTTCAGCTCACTGCAACCTCCGCCTCCCGGGTTCAAGCAATTTTCCTGCCTCAGCCTCCCAAGTAGCTGAGACTACAGGTGCGCACCACCATGCCCACCTAAGTTTGTTTTTTTTTTTTTTAGTTTCACCATGTTGCCCAGGATGGTCTCAATCTCTTGACCTCCTGATCTGCCCACCTCAGCCTCCCAAAGTGCTGGGATTATAGCCATGAGCCACTGCGCCCGGCCAGGTGCATTTCATTATACCCCTCCTTTTTGCAATTTAGACACAACCTTCCAGCATTAATTTTAAAATAGGTATCATAAGACTGAGAGAACAAACTGTAGTAAACAGGACCTAAGGCCATGCCAGGCAAGGGTTAAGTCGCACCCCTTAAACTTAAAGAATAAACTATGTTCTAACTGCCAAAAGGTTTTTCTTTTTCTTAAGCAGCTAAAAAAGCACTGGCCTTGGGATAAGCAATATTGTTTTTAAAACAATTTGCAGCTCTACCAGATGCTGACTTACTGAACTCTTGTTCCACCAGCCATAACTACAGCTTTGATTGGACAAGAGAGTGATTTCGGTAACTTTCTCCTGATAAGAAGACCACCAACCACGGACTGGTTCTAGTGGGTTTTACAAAGATGGCACATTTGCATGCTGTGTCCTGAAAAGACCTTTTGATGTACAGGGTCTAACTGTAATATTTAAATGTCAAGTCTTCCCTGCAAGGTGAACATGGGTATTACGTAACATGCATGTTTAATACTCATGCATCAGGACCACCTTCATGAATATTCATAGCTCCTCCTGTAACCTGCTGAATATGTATGTTTAGTCAATCAGGTCAGCAATAATGCTCTTACCCCAAACCCTCCTTCATAGTGCCTGTCTCTGGGCTTTGGCTGGAGGCCATGTTTCCCAGCCTTTGAATAGACTAGGAATAGCCTTTCCCAGGCTTTCATCAAAAGTCCTATCAACAGGCACAAGGTTTCAGATATGTGACCCTATAATGTTGTTTTAAAAAGTGTAGGAAAAGAAGGCATTAGGAATCAAAAGAAACAGTATGGCTAAGTAAAAAATCCAGTATTTGAAAGAGACATGCGTTTGAATTCCTATGTGATCTTTGGGGAAAATGTATCTCCTCCAATTTTAGTTTATCTATCAGTAGAATGGGGATAATAATACTTACTGTAACTTATATGCGATCTAGGGTCCACTTGGCCTTGCTATTTCCACCTTGCAAGCTGTAACCCTTTATAAGAAATAAAGCTCTCTTTTTCTAAATTTATAGATCTTGTGATTTTTTTCAGTTAACAGAATGTAACTACAGCAAACATGCTTTCATTTTTATGCTACCACACATTTCTCTTTCTTAATGGATAGCCAGGCTACATTTTACAAGAGCTATATCCTGTAATTAGGGATATTCTGATACAGATTGACAGGAACTTAAAAGGATTTTAAAGGCTGGGTAAGAATAGATGAAAGCCTTTTAGGAAGAGTCGCTGAAAAATGAAAATACTTAAAATGATTATGTGTGCATAATGGTCTTTAGTTTCTACGTCATGTGCTTTTTATTTTTTCTTTTCATCTCTATTTCAATGATTTCATCTAAATTATTTGGCTGCTGAGTTTCATTATATTAAGATGTAAACTTCAGGGTGGTGCTGTGCCATCCAATGAAATATACACAACCAGTAAAAAGGTTTAAGCCACAGAGGCCAAGAATTGGCTCTCTGGAATTTGATCCAGAGTCTTTCACATATTTGCAATTATCTGTGAAAAGTCATCCTAACTACTCTGGGCCTCAGTCCGCCCACATGAAAGATGAACAACACCTTAAAGGCCAATGGTGCATAATTACGATGTCAGATAACACACCCTTTCAGCAAGTATTCTCTACAATTCCAAACACACTGATTTTTGTGTTACAATGAGACCACTTGTCCTGATAAATGAGGCATAAAATAAGCCTGGATTGTCAGGTTCTGAGGTTTAATAATTTAAAATGAGTCAAAAAGAAAACCAGTGAAAAACAAGTGAGATATTTAATAAAAATACAAAGTACAGACTAAACCTCTGGAATCCTTAATCATGAATTTTCTCATGATTAGATGTATCAATGCTATTTGGAGAAAGGACTAAAAAAGTATGTCAAATTCTTTAAGAAAAAAACTTTTATAGGGCTAAAGATGTTTAAAATTTTAGTGACTGTTTGTATTTAGCATCTTTAAGATGCTCAAGGTATTTGAAAGAGCTTATTTTTCTTAAATTTACCAGCGCTGTGTAGAAAAACGCCATATTTTTATCTTCTTATCTATCTGGGCAGAGTATAATTCATTATATAATTCATACCCAAGATTACATGAATCAGGATCAATTAAAAAAAATCACACACACACACACACACACACACACACACACACACACACACAAACCCACACACACACACGAGAGAGATTTCTGCTAGATCACAATTCTCGAAGGTTCACTGTTTAGGGCTTGACTCCTGGCAGAAAATCACATAATGTATGTAAGTAAACAGCTATGCAAATGGGATAGTGCTATACCATACAAAACCAACACTGAAAACTATTTGGCTTTGATGAATATCATATTATTACTAATTGTACCATATTCTATCTAGTGCTGAAATTGCTTGGAAAAAGTGAATTTTAGGAAATATCTTTTAAAAATGAAAGGATGTTTCTAGTAAGTGAGATTAAAGAAGGTTGAAGAACAAAGGCAAAAAGACTCTAGGATGAGACGTAATCCAAACAAAGTGAAAGGGGAAAAAAATGAAGTGATCACCTTCTAATCAAATGGACAAGTACATATTACTGCTCTCTTGTACATGAGTCAAATGTTAAGGCTGTTTGGGGTCTGTATTATTTCTACTTAGGTCTTCTCTTGACAGACTTTTTTTAAACCAGTCAGGCTCAAGTGAATTCAATTTGGTAACATGGAGCTCTGCCACCCTGTCACTACACACAAGCCTAATACAGAAACTACAATCTCAGTGGCAAAAACAAGGTCCCTGAAAGAGAATCGTCTCATTATAAAGTTAAGTTACATTCCATCCTTTTATCTGTCCCCATATATCCATCCTTTCTGGCTCTTAAGATCCTCACAAAACCTGTTTTTGACACACCAAGAACATTCAAGCTATTTTACATTATCTCCCATACTCAGTGGGAATTTATAAATTCAGACATAATCGCGCAGGAATTGTCCGGAGGAAAGAAGTAATGTGGCTTTTCCTTCTTGAACCTGCTGTCTATCTTTTGACATTTTATTATTTTATTTTATTTTAGCATTCTTCCTAAGTTGGGAAAGCGCAAGGAGCTGAAAATCATGGCATTCCTCCTTAGCAACTCTGTTGATTAGCTGGGTGGAAGATATCCAAACAAGTGGATAAACTCAATGTAAAGAGCCTCTGGAGACTCTGAAACCCACAACGACAGGTAACAAATCCCAGATGATGGCAATGATGTGCTTATGAATAGTGTATGTAGGGAAACAACCCTACTTTCATAACTGATAGATGATTATTATATATACAGCTGTGGTCAAAATTTTTTCTGAGCTGGACTTGGTGGCTCACACCTGTAATCCCAGCACTTTGGGAGGCCAAGGCAGGCAGATCGCTTGAACTCAGGAGTTCAGGACCAGCCTGGATAACATGGCGAAACCTCATCTCTACAAAAACTACAAAAATTAGCCTGGTGTGGTAGTGTGTGCCTGTAGCTCCAGGTACTTGGCGGGGTGGAGGTGGTAGAATCACTTGAGCCCAGGAGGTAGAGGCTGCAGTGAGCTGTGATCATGCTACTGCACTCCAGTCTGGGCGACAGACTGAGACCCCTTCACAAAAAAGGAAAAGAGAAAAAAAATTGTTTTCTATTCTAACTCTGTGGTGATAGAATGGTGATGGGTAGGGAGAATGGAGGAAAGGGACTGGGAAAAGGGCAGCCAGAAAGAACATGCTTCCTGGGGTTCAGGGCATTGGTTATCTCCTCTCTGCCAGTAAGCTTAGAACAAGATACATCCCTCACACTGAAAACCAGAAGTTAAGAAAATGTGTAGCTGCCTACTATATATAGACTGCTGATGTCGGGGACAGAATCACAAGACTCTCAGTTTGATTATGCTACTATCAGGCCTGAGAAAAAGTAACTACACCCATATTTTAATTTATAATGATAGGTAAAACAGCCGAGTTCTACCTAAGGGTCAAACAATCTTACCAACTATCTATCGCTGATCGCCCTTTTGACAACTGAATTTTAAAAAATAAATTTACTGGAGAAAAGGGGAAGGGATTCCTGTCTCCCGACTCTGGACAGAAATCTCTCTAAAAGAAGACCACTACTAGGGAGGGAGAACTCTTTGGGCCTGCAAGAGAAGTGAGTCTTGGCTTATAAAGGGCGTTAGTAAAAAGATGCCCTAGCGGAAAAACAAACAAACAAGATGCCCAAAACAAAGAACAGGACATCAATTCTGGAGCTGGCACCAAGAACGGCAGAAGGGATAAAACGGAAGCCAAGTTAAAATCACGAGAACTAGTTGCTAATAAGCAATCCATTTTCCGACAGCTCTGTGGAGAGTCTGGTTTTGTGACATCACTAGAGGGCTCTGATTCACCAAGTCTTAGACGGAGGTCAGAGGGACATCTTTTGTCGAAATACTAGCAACATGCTGGGTCTCAAAGTCAAATTCAATATAAAAGAACAATCTATTCATCAAAAGTCCTATCAGTAGGTACAAGGTTTCAGATACACGACCTTAAAATGTTGTTTTAAAAAGCGTAGGAAAGGAAGTCATTAGGAATCAAAAGAAACAATATGGCTACGTAAAAAATCCAGTATTTGAAAGAGACATGTGTTTGAATTCCTATGTGATCTTTGGGAAAATGCATCTCCTCCAATTTTACAGTTTATCCATCAGTAAAATGGAGATAATAATACTAATTGTTAACTTACATGCTATCTAGGGTCCGCTTGCCCTTGCTATTTTCACAAGACTGCTCTGAATCCCCAATCCCATGGCCAGGGGTAAGACATATTTTCCTAAGATGTGAGTAGATTCTCAGTAACTGACTCTCTCCTGGTCTTTTCAGACTCTGGCCTCCTGTGTGCTCAGGTGCTTTCTCTGCTCTGCATGAAATAATGCCAGATACCAAACTGCCAGTTTCCCCAAATACAGCACTTAAACCTGGCATTTCCAGAGTTGTACTGACACTGAGTAATTTGTGGTCATGAGTTTGAAACGTATTGTAGAAGGCCGTGACTGTGCGTAAATTCACCCACTTTGTCTCCCTGCCTCTCCCCTCTTCTTCTAAGCCCCTCCTCTCCTAAACCAGCTCCAGTTTTTCTACTTCTATGATGCTGAGGAGCTTCCTTTCCTCCGAAGCCTCTGGACTAGCCAACCAAGTCTGGGGATGGAGACTCATTCTCTACCCTAAGCACTTATCAAAGTTATTTTCCCAAGTAAAGCAATCCTCTCAGAAAATTCTGGCAAAAGCTGTTAAAGCTCTAACATTTTCTTCATTTCTTCACAAGATTTTGCAGAACTGCTAATGCAGGGTAATTAAAATAACATAAAAGTGCTAGCACAATGCCTTGAACATAGTAAATATGAAACCGCTAGTGGCTACCATATAATGGTGATGACAGCTAGATTCAGTCCCTGAAAAGACCATGCCTACACCAACCACAGAGTCCAATCACTTCCAAACGGGGGACCTTGGACTTTGACTGGCTGAGGTAATTGACGACATACAATTGAAAGCTAGGAAAGTCTCAATTTTCCTTCAAAAACACAATAGTCTTGATAGACAAGAGTTCATTGACTTGTCACAGCAGCATCTCCGCCACTTTCCGAGCACCCTGTAACAATATACAGCTGAACAGACAACAGGTATAATACTGTGAAAGTGTCTTGATCACTCCAATACATTAAAGAGAGAAATTCTGAAGTACTGTTTTCACCAATCCTAGAAAACTGTCACTTAGAACTTCAGATCTCCTTCTATTTACATGAGGTTTTGTTTTGTGTTAAAACTCAAAGTTTTTCTCCTATATGGCAACTTTTAGCAGGACAAAAAGCTCTTCTTCCATCTCAAAACCAAAAACATATACACCCCACTTAAGAGACTGCAGATTACTGTGATAACGAAGCTGTTCTTCCTCTGGAGATTCTCATGGTTTGGCCTTTGGCATTCCTGCTGACAGGATTTAAGCCTGGTAGACTGTAAGCTCTCTCTGAGGCTCAGCTGCTCATGCTTGCCTCTGGACAACAGCACAGTAGATCTGGGGATCTTGCCAGGATTCCTAGACTGCAAGTAGTAAGATGCATTAGACCTACTGCAGGCAGTAGTGCTTCTAGGCATTTAACTCTCATTTTTGGGCCGGGCACGGTGGCTCATGCCACCGTGGCTCACAGTAATCCCAGCACTTTGGGAGACCAAGGTGGGCAGATCACTTGAGGTCAAGAGTTCAAGACCAGCCTGGCCAACATAACGAAACCCCGTCTGTGCTAAAAATACAAAAATTAGCCGGGCGTGGGGGTATGCAACTGTAGTTCCAGCTACTCAGGAGGCCAGGGTGAAGGCTGCAGTAAGCTGAGATCTCACCACTGCACTCCAGCCTGGGCAACAGAGCAAGATTCTGTCCCCCCAAAAAAAAGAAAAAGAAAAAAAGTAATTTTTGGCCAGGCATGGTGACTTACACATGTAATCTCAGAGCTTTGGGAGGCCGAAGTGGGAGGATCACTTGAGCCCAGAGGTCCAACGTTATAGTGAGCTATGATCCTGCCACTGCACTCCAGCCTGGGTGACACAGCGAGACCCTGTCACTAAAAAAAAAAAAGTGATTCCCCTGCTCCCTGCAGGATGTTGGAAGAGAAAGTTCTATACACACATGAACAAACATAAACACTCACATACGTAGAAGTCAGCTCGCAGACAGGCCAGACTTGGACCAGCAATAATGAATATAATAGTTTATATATAAACCTGCAGGATTAACAACTGCCAGTTGCCACCATTTAAAGGGTAAATGAACAGAAACCTGAATGCAATCAAGTGAATGAATGTTAGTTCCAGGCCCTCTGTGCATCCCTGAAAGCTATTTTTATGTTAGCCACAGCCTAAATGAGATTCTAGGTACTACCTGATAAGGAAAAGTGACCATGCAGCCATTTTGAGAAGGATTAAATTTAGGGGCAGCATCAAGGTCTTTCTAGGTCTACTATAAATGGGCCACAAACTCTTAGGACTGGAACAAGAATTATGTGTCTCTGAAAATAGGAAGATGTGGCCGGGCACGATGGCTCACACCTGTTATCCCAGCACTTTGGGAGGCTGAGGCTGGCAGATCACCTGAGGTCAGGAGTTCAAGACCAGCCTGACCAACATGGAGAAACCCCGTCTAAACAAAATTAGCTGGGCATGGTGGTGCACGCCTGTAATCCCAGCTACTCGGGAGGCTGAGGTAGGAGAATCGCTTCAACTCGGGAGGCAGAGGTTGTGGTGTGCTGAAATCATGCCATTGCACTCCAGCCTGGGCAACAAGAGAGAAACTCCATCTCAAAAAAAAAAAGAAAAAAAAGGAAGAAAATAAAATAGGAAGATGTGACATAAAAGTGTTTTATTTATAGCTCACGACAAAATCCTAAAAAACTTCAATGAAGTGGAGCTATAAGCGCCAAGGTGTTGGCCCAAAGTTTTTCTGTAGGGAGACCTACAAATTAGTTCCTTTTGAGAAAATCTGTGCTGAGTTCACTTTCATGTGCTCATAATGTTGCCTCAGTGAGCTCCCTAACAAGGGAAAACCACAAAGATCCGCCAGTAAAGAAAAATGCTAAAGTGTTACAACAAAAGGCTACAGTTCTTAATCTAGACTTTAAATTAGTTAGCTTAACTAAACAGCTTCTCCTAAATGCAAAGTCAACCACTCACCTTCCTCAAAGCTGGCCTTCTTCTGTTTCACTAGAACACGGAAGTTTTCAGCAGGATTCACACTTCCAACCTAAAATATACCAACAGATGATAAACCTACAGGTTATTTCTCTTTTTAGCAGCACCCCAGGCAATACAAGATGGCTTAATGTAATAAGTGTGCTCTTATAAAATAAAACCAAAGACAAAGAGAAGGGCTTTTCTATTCATTTTCATTTCTAGGGCTCTGTGAAAGGCCGGCAGATTTCAGTGGTCCAAGAGCTGCCCTCTGTGCTTTCACTCACCTTGCTTTATGAAAGCTGATTTCTTTCCAGAAGGGTCAAAAAAGTATTACAACTCAAGCCACCAGCCAGCCCAGCTGGAAGGCTTTGTGTAGCACAGACTGCCTGTATATCCTGTCACCCAACCAATTAGAAAGCCGAGGATTCTGCAGTGTGGGGTCGGTTTCGAATAGATTTGCCCCACTAAGATAACATGAGAAATACAGCTTAATGCCTGATTCACCGAAGTGCCCATTAGTGGGACTGCTGCTGACCCTTTGGCACTGAAGTTTTGGTAGAATATACAAAGCATACCCAGGTTGAACATGTCCTCAGAAAGTAAAAGCAGATTATGTACAAAGATGTACTGCAGTGCTGGGTGAGGAAGTTTGAAAGACGAAACTGCCATATTATATGGAACTTTCTGATTATACCTATGTTTTTAATCTGCTGGCCCCAACCCTCACAGGGCCTAAGAACCACTCAGCTCATAAGAAAGAAAACAATGGGGTTCCAAAATATACTAAAGCTTCCAGTTTGCTTGGATATAGGAAGCAGAAAAGCTCTCAGAACAAGATCATGACTTTTTCCTTTACTATTATATATAAAACATCTAAATGAAATCTAAATCATTTTTCACACATTCAATTTTTCTGAGTTTCTGTTTGAGGTGAGAATAAAGGCATGCCCTTTATTCCCTGACTATCCTTCCTAGTACATTGTGTTAAAAAGTTATCGGCCAATTTTTAAGATTTGTTGATTCACACTAATGCTGCTTAGAACAAGGCACTATTTGGCTGGGTGCAGTGACTCATGACTATAATCCCAGTGCTTCGGGAGGCTGAAGCGGGAGGATTGCTTGAGCCCAGGAGTAACATACTGAGACCCCACCTCTATGAAAAATAGCCGGGTATGGTGGCATGTACCCTTAGTCCTAGCTACACAGGAGGCTGAGGCAGGAGGACCACTTGAGCTCAGGATTTCAAGGCTGCAGTGAGCTAAAATCACACTACTGTACTCCGGCGTGGGTGACAGTGACAACCTATCTCTAAAATTAAATAAAATATTCTTCCTCCTGGCTGACCAAGATATAAAAATTAATTAATTAATTAATTAATTAATTAAGGTAGTATTTTCAAGTTCCAAAAAATTTCTCATTCAATAAAAATCTCATGTATCAAAGGATACATTCTTGGGGAAATCCTAAACTTGTGAATCCTGTTCTAAAGTTGCATGTTAGAAAATAGGAAAGTTATACTAACTTAAATTGTGTGTACTTGAAGATTAAGGCTCGTATCACTAACCCCCACTTATCCTATCATTTTGACTAGTTGAAAAGCTGCAAAATAATGCCAACAGCAAAATCTCAACACTGAGATGTTCCACGTTCTATAAAGAGCTCTATATACCTTATATCATATAGATAATTCTGTAGGCAATTCATGATAATAATTACTTAAAGAAGTATGGAATGGGTCTTTTTGGCTTCTATAGAGCAAGGACCAGAGAAAGTGATCATGATCTTAACTTGAAAGTGGTAAGAACGGACTAACAAAAATTGATGCACTCTCCCTCAAGCCCCAACCTTCCTGCAAAGGGGGAAGCGCACTTGAAAAGCTTAGCTTACAGAGGTGACACTGCCTTCAGCCAGACTGGAGACGCTGAAGTGGGCTCCCCCTTGCTCAGTCTTTAATTTTTTAGCTGTAGGTCCATCTTCATGGCTAGAAAAGAAAAAAAAAATTTCTCTTAGAACAAACAATACAAAACCAGATTGCTATTGTGAAACTTATTTTCCAAGCACCAAAAAAAAAAAAGAAAAAAGAAGAAGAAGAAAAGAAAAATAATGAAGAAGAAAAAGAAAAGAAAAACAATAGCTACATGTAGTCCTTCTACAAACAAGCTGCCTCCCTTTCCTAGCCACCGGGCTCCTAAGGGCCTAACTTGAGGCAGCCCTGGCTTTGTTTCACAGCAGTATGAGAATCAGAATTAAGCAATCACATCATAAGGTCCTTGGAAAAGATGAAACTGCAAGCACAGATAATGGAAATTTAACATTTAAGTAAGAAATCCATTTACTCTTCAGATATTATTTTCTAGTTCCTGTCTCAGAATTGACAGCTATTAGCTTTCCATGTACACAGAAGACCTTTGTGTCTAACAACCCGTTTTCTCTATCATGTATGTTAGAGCTTTATAAGCCTCTGTTTACAACTGTCAAAACTTACTAGACAATCCTTAATTAACTATGCAAGAGCTTTCCCTCTTAAAGAAGTCGTAAACTATAAAAAAAAAACTTCCCCGAAAACTTTTTAATTTGTTCTTTTATAAACCTAATTCTGTTTTGTGCAATATGCTAACAGTCCAGTAGCATCTGTGTGCTAAGGAAAAGTATATCAAACATCTTGCCTCAAGCAACATGCTGGCTTTAACAGCCTGTCTTAAAGTCAAGAGGAGGTCAAGTTAATTGCAAAAGAGAAGAAAATCAAATCCAAAGACTCTGCCTGTAATCTCCCTTAAGCTGCTGAACATAAAGAAATTAAGATTTTTTTCTCCCAGAGAGAAATGCAATCTAGGGCAAAAGCAGCCATCAGAAATGGCTAAATGATAAGAGAATTAGTAACCAAGATCTAGAAATTTTAAAAATTCATTTATTTTAACATAAAAATTGTATATATTATCATGTACAAAATGTTTTAAAATATGCATTTATTGTGAAATAGCTAAATTAAGCTAATTATCATATGCATTATTTCATTTACTTATTTTATTATGAGAACAGTTAAAATTTCTCAGCAATTTTCAGGACTAGAATTTCTAAATGTGTTGTTTTTTTGCTCAAAGCCTCAACCTTCAGACAATGAGGCTTGAAAATGAAGTTATTTTAAAAATGAAGCAAAAATAAATTTTAAAAATAAAATGAAGCCAAGAGAAAATAAAACATATATGGGCTTCCTCAATTTCAATAATGAATTTCCTCTTAGAGGTAGGTAAAAGAACTAAAGTAATCATCACAGCCATACATCCATGAATTAAAATTTTCACTATTTGGCATCTTTCCCATTCACCACTAAATGTTTTCCCTTTGAGAAGTAGACAAGAGCAAAGTAGAAGACAGAAGGGTGGGAACCAGGAAACATTACAAGGGGTAAGTCACCCAGAACTCTTTTCTTGCAAGTAGAATAAAAAATAAACACACAGCCTTCGTGGAAAAATGAAAGAAAAAAAGGAGAAATCCAAGGTAGAATGAAATTCCATTAGAAGTTGAGTCTGTTTTAAAAAAAAAGGTCAGAGCCAGTCATTTCAATTAACCTTTGCCAGTTCTTCCCAAGAGACAAGCCAACAACATTAAACTACTGAAGAGTTGGAGTCAAAAGACCTGGATTCTAGTCTCGATTTTGCCACTGACTAGCCCTGAAATCTTACACCTTCTTGATGGCGTTCACTGTGTACTAATTTTTATCTATCTAGAGTTTAGAGTCTAGTAAGCTACAAACCTCTCTGAGCTTCAGTCTGCTCCTTAGGAAAGCACTATGATGAAAACTACCATCAGTATATCAACTATTCTCTTCCACAAATACAGATTAGCTTATATAGTAGTATTAAGAAGGATTACACATAAAAAGCTAAGTTGTGGGGGAATATGAAGTTGAATCACATGAAGAATTTCTTCAACCCTCCAAAATGAGGTTCTAGGGAAAGAAGGGTAAACAGACACATACACAATTTTCCCGTACCAGGCAAGTAAAAGTAGCCCCAGTCATATGCACAACACAGTAAAATTTAGTATGGTTAATATTCTCCAGGCCAAATCATTTAACAGCATTATTAGGAATTTTGCATACACTAAATTCATAATCTCTATGTGAAGTGGGAAAGGGTAATGACTCTCTTCCCTAAATTATCTATGAAGGCGCTAAGCTCTAGAAAGTAGAAATTTATACACACAAGATCACAGTAGACATATAAATGTCAGCAGTTGGTGCATCTGGATGATGAGACCATGGGTAATTTGTTCTTTCTCCTTTCTTATTTTCTTTCACAAACATGTATGAATTTTGCAATTCACTTATTTAGCCTAATATTTACTGAATATGTACTATATATCAGCCACTAAGCTAGACTCTAAACTCTCAATATACAAAAATTAATATACCATCAACACCTTCAGCCAAATAAAAATTGAAGTATACATATAGACAATTAACAAAATACTGTGATAGGCCTATCTCTTTCAGAGGATAGAAAATAGTTGTATTGGCCGGGCGTGGTGGCTCATGCCTGTAATCCCAGCACTTCGGGAGGCTGAGGCAGGCGGATCACGAGGTCAGGAGATCGAGATCATCCTGGCTAACACGGTGAAACCCCACCTCTATTAAAAGTACAAAACATTAGCCGGGCATGGTGGCGGGCACCTGTAGTCCCAGCTACTCGAAAGGCTGAGGCAGGAGAATGGCGTGAACCCGGGAGGCAGAGCTTGCAGTGAGCCACAATGGCGCCACTGCACTCCAGCCTGGGTGACAGAGTGACACTCCGTCTCAAAAAACAACAACAAAAAAAAAACAAAAAAAAAAGAAAATAGTTGTATTGGGTTAAAGCATAAGGTGCAAAAGCTGGGACGTAGTGAGAGAAGGAGCTAGAAAACACATTAATTAGGAGCATTAAAAAACGTGAGGAAAGAAAATGGTTTTCTCTAGGCAGCGTGCGTGCTGTCTGTCCTCAGTCTGGTGGCTTTGTTGCTGGGCACACTGCTCTCGGCTGATCCCTGCTGAACTGTGGGGACGGTCGCCTGGGCAGGATCCTTCACGACCCCTTCTCTGTTCCTCTGTCATCACGGGGAATAAATCTCTCGAAACTCTCCCCAGAAAGGCGAAAAGATATTCAAAAGCCCTTCTTCCATTTTCCTTCCAGTGGGCACCGAGCCCAGCATTTGCGGCACCCACTGCTGGCAGTCTGGCCAGGTGTCTGTTACCTTGAAAAATGGCTACTGGACAGGATTGTGTGGTTACTCTCATGGACATAGACTTTGTTCCAATGGAGCAGCGGCAAAATCCTCATTTGAGGAATAAATCTTGTGCAGCTGTGTAGTACAAATCATGGAAGGTGGTAGAATAATTGCAGTGAGTTATGAAGCTCTTGCATTTGGGGTCACTATATGTAGGCAGATGATGCAAAGAAGTTAAGTCCAGGTCTTCTACTGGCACAAGTTCGTGAGTACCATGGGAAAGCTAACCTCACCAAGTACCGGGAAGCCAGTGTTGAAGTGATGGAGGAAGTCTTGTTTTGCTGTGATTGAATGCGTCAGCATCGATGAGGCTTATGTAGATCTGACCAGTGCTGTACGATAGAGACTACAAAAGCTACAAGGTCAGCCTATCTCAGCAGACTTGTTGCCAAGCACTTAAATTGAAGGGTTGCCCAAAGACCCCACAACAGCAGAAGAGACTGTTTCAGAAAGGTACCTCCACAGCATCATATTGCTTCTGCTTCCTGCCTTTGGAACCTGCTTTGCTTGGTCATGCTGATTCTCCTTGGAATGACTGAAAGGAAACTTAACCTATGGCCTCAACGAATCACAAGGACTCATATGGAAGGATATACAAATGTTCTTATCTTTCCAGATATATGGATGTTGAAAAGCTGTGAAATCTGTATGAAAGTATATTTTTCTTTAGATATAACTAGGGCAGATTAGTGTTATCAACACAAGGCAGAAGGTTGACTGAGCACTTTGTCATTGGTAGCTTAATTTATATCATTGTAACTTAGTGTCTTCGCTTCTTCGTCTATAAGAAGGGTGAGCTTTTTAAAGGGGGACCTCAGGTATAGGGAATTCAGTCATTCAAAATTTCTAATGACTTCTTAGCACATTATCAAATATGGGCTGTGCCAGGCCCTTCTCGTTGTATTTTAGTACCTTTCCCCTTCATAGTTATTTTCCCACTCCCTCTGCACCCCACTTACCCTCTTGTACCCACCGATATATCAGATACATCTTAGATGTGTATATATTTTTATTAAGTTACACAGTACTGCTTTATGTATGTGCTTTTTAAGTACAAGATGATATAGGCTATTATAGATCTTATTCTTTTTCTTAATTTTCCTTCAGTGGTGACCTTAGAGATCTGTCCATGTGGCTGTTACTTGCAGCATAATCCATGATATGGATCTACCATGTTTACAGACCATTTTCCCCTAGTGACGAGTACACTGGTTGCTTCTAATGTCCTACTGTAACAGTTTACATTCCCCCTTAGCAGTACACAGAAGTTCCTGTTTCTCCCATATTCTCACCAACAACTGGTATCATCTAATGTTTAAAAATATTTGCCAATGTTTTTTTTTGCTTTGATTTACATTTCTGATTACTAATTGAGATTGAAGATCTCTTCATACACTTGTAAGCCAGCTGAGTTTCTGCTCCTGTGATTTGCTTTTTTATAATCTTTGACCATTTTTCCATGGAAAAATTGAAAAATTATTTTTTGATTTGCCAAGAGGTCCTTGTATATCCTAATTATTAGTTCCTTGTCTTTTTTTTTTTTTTTTTTTGAGATGGGAGTCTCACTATGTTGCCCAAGCTGGAGTGCAGTGGCTATTCACAGGTGTAATAATGGCTCACTGCCACCTTGAACCCTGGGCTCAAATGATCCTCCTGCCTCAGCCTCCAGAGTAGCTGGGACTACAGGTGTGTGCCATCATGCCTAGCTAATTTTTATATTTTTTGTAGAGATGAGGTCTCACTATGTTGCCCAGGCTTTTATATATTTTTTTATTTTCTACTTGGTTATTGATGTGTTGTGAAATGATAAATGGTTTTTTTTAATAAGTTCATTTTTATTTACTTTAAAAAAAGAAAATGGTTTTCTCTAGATAGTTGGATTATGAATAGATGCCTCTTTTCTTTCTGCTTATCTGGATTCTCTTATCTGTGTAAAAGAGTTTGACCTTATGCTGGGGATAATGGGAGGCCATTAGAGCAAGCGTTTTTTAATTGGGGGTCCAAAGATGACATCAAGGAATCTGTGAACTACCAGAAATTATATCCAAACTTCAAAACTTAGTATGTTAAAGCATTTTTCTGGGAAGACAGTTCATAGATTTTGTATCAAGTGAGTTCACTGCACTCTCTGTCTTTCACACATGATTAAGAATCACTACTTTTAAGAATTTTAAGCAAGACAGTGATGGGATCAGGTTTGTTTTTTAAACTCACTCAGGTAGCAGCATGAATTGGAAAGGGGTAAGACAAATTAGGGAAATTAGTGAAGAGCTTATGTCAGTGAGGCAGGCTAAAATGAGAAGGCCTACATAAAAGCAGTGGCAGTGGGCGATGCTATTAAGAGCTTACGTTTCTTTTTAATGCTTACCATGTGCTAGTCACTATGTTACACACATTTAAATTATCTCAGTTAAATTTTGCAACAACCCTATGAGTTAGCTATTATCAGCATCCTTTTACAGATGAGCAAACTAAGCCTGAAGAAAGTTTGATCCCTTGTTTAAAGCACACAGTAAAGGGAAAGAACTAATCCTGTACTCACCCATTCTCCTAACCAACCTCCTGGAAGGCAGGCATTTGTTATTGCCACTTGACACTGAGCAACTTGCCAATTTCAACTGCTTTTAAGGGGAAATGCTTGAGTTTAGCTCCAAATTCGACCCCAAAATCAATGCCATTAGCCACCAGACTAACCTTAAGTGAAAGCGTTAGATTTGAGGTAAATATAATACAACTTGGTAAACCAATTACATATAGAATGTAAAAGAAAAGGAAGACTCCCAAGAAATTAGGTGTCATTCACTGAAATAGAGAATAATAGCATGAAGAGGGGTTGGAAAGGAGCAGGAAGAAGAAAGCAGATAACAAAGCCATTTCTGGCTTACTGAACTGGAGGGGCCTACAGGCACCTAAGCTATTTAGTTGATGGGATAGAAATCCGAGCTGAAGATAGGTATTTAGTAGTTTTTGAGGCTCTGAAATAAAAAAGAGGTCTTGGGACATGCATTGCTAAGGCAAAGTGGCATTACAGTTTGAAGTACAAGCTCTGGAGTCAGACTGCCTACACTTAAATCCTTACTCCAACACCTACCAACTACAATCTTGGGCAAGTTTCTCATCTTCTCTAATCCTGAGTCTCCTGAGCTTTAAGTTGGGGGTCAACAGAAGAATCTACTTCATAGGATGGCAACGTGGGTCCAAACAGATAATGTGTGTAAAGCACTTAGCATCATGTAAAGCACTTAACATATTAAGTTTTGAAGTCTGAATGTAATTTCAGGTAGTTCACAGATTCCTTGATATCAATCTTTGGAACCCTGATTAAAAACCCTTGCTTTAATGGCTTCCCATTATCTTCAGCATAAGGTTCAATAAATGTTTGCTGTTTCTGAGGACAAATTCTACAGAATATCAACACAAAAACACACAAAAGCAGCCCCCACAGGAATCTGAGAGGGAGCTGCCAAAGATTGAAAAAGAAAAATTTGGAGAAGCTGAAGTTAAGACAGATACATGAGTCTCAAGAAAGCAGGAATAACTGACAGTGTCAAGTGCTTCAAAGAGGTCAAGAAAGCAAAGAACCACAAAGCCGAAGTGAATTTAGCAGTTAGTGTCTTTTGAAAGATGAGTTTCAAGGATGTGGTGGGGGCAAAAGCTGGTGAGAATGAGAGCTGAGAAAGGTTGCAGAATAGACTATTCTTCCAAGAGCCTGGCTTCTGGAAGGAAAGATAATAATTAGATTAGTAATTAGTAACAGGTAGTAATTAGAGGGAAGAAGCTAGGGGGACTATTTTGTGTTAAATGAAAGAAATTTAACATGAGAGAAGAAAGGAGTTAGTGGTAGCGAGGGAGAAGCTAAAAATACAGAAAGAGAGAAGAAATTATTAGTGGCCTAAGGTACCAGATGAAGCAGAAAAAGGAATCCATCCTAGGGAACAAAGTAAGACTCTATCTCGACAAAATATAAAAAACTTAGCCGGCGTGAGTTACTCAGGAGGCTACTGAGGATCCTCAAGTTGGGAGATCACTTGAGCCCAGGAGGTCTAGGCTGCAGTGAGCTGTGACCCTGCCACTGCACTCCAGCCTGGGTGACAGAGAGACACCCTGTCTCAAAAACTAAAATTAAAAAAAAAAAAACAAGAAAAAAAAGGATCCAGGGCACAGGTAAAGGAATTCACTTTAGGCAGGATGAAATAAATACCCTATTTCACTGAGACAGGAAAAGAAGGGAGGTACATGCAAAAACAGGTATGTTTTGAGATAAGATGGGCCACAAAACTGCGGAGTTCTCACCTGATACGGTTACGCTTTGTGTTCCCACCCAAATTTTTTTCTCTCTTTTTTTTTTAAGACAGTCTCACTCTGTTGCCTAGGCTGGAGTGTAATGGTGTGATCTCAGCCCACTGCAAACCTCCGCCTCCTAGGTTCAAGCAATTTTCGTGCCTCAGCCTCCCGAGTGGCTGGATTACAGGCTTGTGCCACCACAGCCAACCAATTTTTGTATTTTTTTTGTGTGGAGACAGGGTTTCACCATGTTGGCCAGGCTGGTCTGGAACTCCTGACCTCAAGTAATCCACCTGCCTTGGCCTCCCAAAGTGCTGGGATTACAGGCATGAGCCACTGAGCCGAGCCCCAAATCTCATTTTGAATTGTAATCCCCAGGTGTTTAGGGAGAGAGCGGGTGGGAAGTGAATGGATTATGGGGGCGGTTCCCTCATGCTAATCTTGTGATAGTGAGTGAATTCTCATGAGATCTGATGGTTTTATATAAGGTAGTTTCTTCTGTGCTGATATACACTCGATCTTGCCTGCTGCCACATAAGATGCACCTTTGCTTCTCCCTCGCCTTCTGCCATGATTGTAAGTTTCCCAAGGCCTCCCCAGCCATGTGGAACTGTGAGTCAATCAAACCTCTTTCCTTTAGAAATTACCCAGTCTTGGGTATTTCTTTATAGCAGCATGAGTGATGCTAATACACCACCTATTGGCCTCTACTGTCATTGTCACTACTAACATGCCAGGCATATTACTAGGATTTTTAAAATCATTTACTCCAAACACTGTGTTCTTACTATTTGCTAGGCACTTTGCCAGGTCCTAGGGATACAAGAGTGAACAGCATACACTGCTCGCATTAACCCCCATGACAACTCTATAAGACAGATATTCCTATTATCCCTATTTTACCCATGAGGAAACTGAGGCTTTGAGAGGATATGTAACCTATGCCTAAGGCCACACTGCAGAGCAAGGGGTCTGACTCATATTGGCTGACTCTGGAGTCTGAAGTCTTAACCATTAACCAAGTGAGGATGTCTGCTGAGAGTAAGTGAGAAGGAGTCTTCGTGGACCTGAAAAGAGCAGAAAGCTTTAGACCACCTGCATAAACAGAAATCAAGATCACGTATACATCAGCTGCACAAGCAGGATTAGACCTGAGATGTCCGAATTCTCATGCAAGTTCCCCGTCCAAGAGATGACATTTTCATTTCAAGGGTGTACAGCAACATAAATGGAAGCAATGCTTTTATATGATGAGGGTAATATTTAGTATATTTTGGGTCTACAGTGTCAAATGGTGCTCTTATCCTCTTGAAATGAAATCACTTCTAACACTAGGTATTCAACAAGTCCAAGACAAATATCAGATCTTCTCAAAGGTTCAATGTTTTTATAGATAATGATACTATTATTGCTTTAGGTTTTGACTATTGCCTTCCCTCCAAATACATTCCTGGGCCACGGAATGACGTTTTGGTCAATGATGAGCCACATATACAATGGTGGTCTCATAAGATTATAATGAAACTGAAAAATTCTTATCGCCTTGTGACATCAGGGCTGTCATGACATCATAGCGCAAAGCATTACGTTTTCTTTTATTTTTCTTTTTTAATTAAGATGGAGTCTCGCTCTGTTGCCCAGGCTGGAGTGCAGTGGCATGATCTCAGCTCACTGCAACCTCTGCCTCCCAGGTTCAAGAGATTCTCCTGTCTCAGCCTCACAAGTAGCTGGGACTATAGGCACACACCACCACGCCCAGTTCATTTTTGTATTTTTAGTAGAGATGGGGATTCTCTACTAAAAATGTTGGCCAGACTGTCTCGAACTCCTGACCTCGGTTATCTGCCCACCTCAGCCTCCCTAGGCATCTATCATTAGATACGTTTATATATGCAAATACCTCTTTGTTACAAATGCCTACAGTATTCAGTATAGTAACACACTGCACGGGTTTGTACCTTGAGGACAAAAGGCCATACCACATAGCCTAGATGTGTAGTAGATTCTACCATGTGGGCTCGTGTAAGTACACTCTGTGACATTCGCACAACGAAATTGCCTAATGACACGGTTCTCAGAATGTATCCCTGTCGTTAAGTGAAGGATGTCAGTTGCTCAAAGTGCTTTAATATCTTTGTTCATTGTTATAGTATCTCTTGAGATTTTTCTTTAGGTGAAGAAAATCTCATAAAGGTAAAATTATTTCACCAAAATCATATCAAGTGAAAAAACTGGAATGATTCCCAGCTCTTAAGATGATTAAACTTCCTGAACAGACATTTGTCCACTCCTGATCTTAGCCCCTCTCCCCTCCACTAGAAATATGTACCCTGGATCCAGAGATGATGAATATATACAAAAACATTGCGAATTGTTGGCAATTTTTTCTTTCCTTGGAAAAACTACCTCTAGAACTGACTGGAGCTTTATCATCAAAATTGAGGGGTTTTAGAACCTTGTAGAAAGGACTGAACCATTCTTCTTGAATACAGGTGGTACTCAATATTTGCTAAATGAATCATTTCCACAATTCTTAAAAACTAAGCTTTCTCAGAAGAGAGAGAGAATAGGAGCGTGAGCAAGCGTGTGTGAGTAAGATACTTCTCAGGCCCCTGCAAGATTAACTTAGCTATGCTGCGAGCCATTATGGGAGCAAAGAACAAGAAGCTCAGCACACCCAAGCTTCCAGAAGAGTGCCCAGCAGGACCAGAGCCAAAGGTGTGATCATAGCAGGGATCAAACGACAGAACTGCATCCTTCTGGGTCTGGGTGGTGTGCTTTTTTAACTAGCTAATTTACATTTTAATCAAAGGGAAGAGCAGAAAATGGCCCATTTCTTTCCCACAACACCAGAAGGTAATCAAGATCACGGACTGGAGATTTAACACACAGAGAGAGAATAGCCCTGTGATTGCAGTGAGACTTCAGCAAGGTGTCATAGAAAGAAAAGGCTGCAGACTTTTATTGAACTGTTTTAAAATACAAATCCAGAAGGTAGATAAGGATAGCAGGGGGAAAGTGAATTTTTAGGGACAGTCTTCTTGTGTAGAACGATAGACTAAACAGAAATGAAAACCTCTCCAGGATGTGTAAGAAATGCACATCATAAAATCTATCAAGAAACAATCTATCAATTTCCTTGAGAGATGGTCTTATGGGGGGCGGGCAGTTGGTGCGGCGGAACCAAGTACATGATTTTTTTTTTCAATTCTGACAAAGCTTGGATGTTAACCTTTAGAAAGTCACAGAATGTGCACAACTTTCTATTCAATTTAGACAGTAATTCTCTAAATCAATGATTTATAGAAACCTGTGAAGACTTCCGGAAATTACTCAATACTTCTCCACTGGGGTATTTATAAATAAGAAGCTTTGTCAATAAAGATAGTTGTGGAGAGAAAAATCAAATAAAAAAGGGGAAAAGATTCATGGTTTAAAATCAGATTTCAAAATACAGCCAAAAGAAATGTATAGATTATTCCAGCTTGAGAAAAAAAAGTCACCAATAACTGGTTGACCTAAACCTGGTAAAAATCAATTTTACATACTCAAATAATTCTGGATAAGCAACAACAATTTCTTCTTGTTTTATTTTTGTTTTGTTTTGAATGGAAGCTGACACAGATTGTGAACAGAAGAGGGAAAAAACTTAATAGCCAGTTGTAAGCTTGATTTAAGTGTATATGAAAAGCATTTTGCAATACTTAAAACTACAAACACCTCCCCAATAGCACAACCAAATACATCACTGATACACTAATAGAACGGCTGAAGAATTGATAGTTTTTCACTCTTGTTCCCACTTTTCCTCCAAAAATCTCATTGACATCCCCAACATCTAATCTCCTCCCAACCCAAAAAACCTATGATCTTCAACACACTCATTCTCAGTACTTTACTTTAAAAAGGGTGACATTTAGCCTTAGATATTCAGAAACTTATCTGAATTATACATTATATATAATTCACCAAGAATCTGATGCTGATCAAAAAGTCATCAGCCCAGAAGGTAGCTCTAAATCCAAAGTGAACAGCAAGGATAAAATATGATCACAGCAGACAGATATAAGAAATCAATATTTCAATATAAGGGCCAAATAGCAAAAGGCTTCTTCCTCTCACCTTTTAAATTCCATAGACCCCTATGTGACACTTCCAGAGCCACTCTAAAATGACCACAACTCTTATGTACCCCAATGTTAAATGCAACTATACCAAGTACTTACTTGTCTTGGAAAATTTCCTGAGCAGTCACTTGATCCTTTTTCTTGGCTTCAATCAGAGGAAAAAGGGTCTTTATTTTAGAGAGAGGAATCTGACTTTTTGTTGTCACCTCAGCGGGAGGATTCAGCATATTCCAAATATGCTGCTGAATTGGGGGTAGAGGCTCCCGGGGATGTAAAGCTCTGTGCAGCAGACACTGTTGGAAAAAGTAAGGATTTTAAAACACAGATGGAGACATATATGGCTTCTTTATATTTTCTGATCAGGGATCCTCCATCTTTAGTGTGGGAGGGCTAAGTGATTCATACCACATGTAAAAAACAATCAAGAGGATTCACCTAGAACCACCTTTGTTGGCAGGATATTGGTCAATACCTAAAACCAATTGTAAAAATAGATCCAAGCCTAGCAACAGTATCTTCTGCTCTGGACCTCCTGGAAAGGAGCCTCACCTTATAAATCAAAGCTGTTGTTTTTACTACTTGGGGAATATACAAGATTCCCTAAAATACCTGATTCTAAGACCTGATAATCTGGGATTATAACTTTCTTGTTATAATCCTTTTATCTCTCTTAATCATGCTGTGCTTTCTCCCTCACTTAATCTCAGAGAATGCCATGTGGTGGATGAAACAGGTGGCTACAGGGAAGCTGCCCATGCTCAGTGAGTCCCAGAGAGAGGTCTGCAAAAGAGATGAGAATACTGAGTTGTCCCTGAGTGCTGAGTTTGCACTTTTCAGCACAAGTCCATCCACCTTTCTCTCTCCCCACTGCTACCATTCTTGCCCAAGCCCTATCACCTCATCCCTGGCCTACCAGTCACCTTCTAACTGGTTTCCCAGCTTCTCTTTCCACTGTCTGACTGGAAGTGGTCCGAGAATGAACTGCTCACCATACCCTAGGGTCCTATGATGCAGCCCTGCTTGCCTCCTCGATCGCATCACCAGCCACTTGTTCTCCTCACTCACAACCCCAATAGGCTGGGCTCCTGCTTCGCTCATACACCAAGCTCATCCTAACTTTGGGGCCTGGGCTTAACACTACCTCTGCCTCCTCTGTCTTTCCCTAAACCTCAAGAGTCAGCTCCACCCTTGCCCTTTTTTTAAAAATCATTTTAGTCTTTGCTGAAATACTATCTCCGCAGAGAGGCCTTCCCTGACACTCTATATGAAGTAGCCCCTCCACCCCATTCTACCACCCCAGTCATTTTCTGTCACTTCCCTTATTTTATATTTTTTATAGGCTCCATCATTATCTAAAATTATCAATTTTTTAGTTTACTTGTTTATTATCTAACCCTCCTCCTTACAAGTAGGGCTCTTCTCTTCTTTACTGCTGAATGAATTCTAAGCACCAAAAATACTACCTGGCACATAATAAGCACCTGGCCGATAACAGCTGAAGGAATAAAGTGCTCTTTTCCAGGGCTCTAGTTGTTGACAGCGGTGTCAAGAAGCAACACCAAGGGGGAGGGGCGCCAAGATCAAGGCCAGGGCAAATTCTCCACTGCCCATGTGAGTGAAGTTCTACACAGCATGCCACCTCATTCAACCACCTATCCTGCCTCAAGTCTACTGGGCCAGGCCTTGGCCTGCCCAGAAAAGGAAATGCTCTAAAAGGAGTATAGAAAGCAGTAAGATTAGATGTCATTAAAAAACAAAGAAAGAAATGAAACTATCAGTTTATTGATGTTTTCCTTCCTTCGATGAAGATTAATTCCAAAATTAAGGTATAACTATTCCCACTTTTAAACAACTTATAAATTGGTAATTCTAAAAAAAACAAACAAAACACCAGGGAGCTGAAGAGCTCCTGTAATTTCAAAATACTGCTCCTATCACAAAGCATGTGATTTATACTATCCCCTGGTCCCCTGGACTCCTTTCCTACACTGAAGAAAATGTAAGCTGAAAGTTTCTATTCTAAAAAAATAAAAGATGCTTAGGTTTAATAGTATCATCCAAGAGTCAATGTCCTGTAAGTTTCGAAAACCCTGAAGTAGGAATTAAGTACCAATTTCCTCCAGAAATTCCATGCGCTTCTCCCTGCTCCCTTCCCCATTTCAACCACCAACCACAACTATTCCTTCTCCATAGTATATTCATTTGTTTGTCTGAGTTTGATGCCTGCTTTCTTCTTTCCTAATTACTTGACTTTCCCTTGAGCATCAGTAACATCAGGCCTATTCAATGTAAAGCAAGGTAATCCCCAAACTGTTTAAGCAAATCCAAAAGATCCCAAACTCTGTGAATCTACCCCCTCACCACCTTCTTATTATGCATAATCCTTTATTCACAGTGCTCTCCCTTGGTTCATTAAAATACCTGAACAGCTTAGAAAGTCCTAAAGATGTAAAGCAGTAATCAAACACCCAACATAGCAGACTACCTCTCATAAACTCCTGAAGATTCTATCTGTGATATCCAATTGACATTTCTTGGAAAAGGGCTAGAACAACCAATGGACAAGTATCCTACCCAACCTTCCTACTGTAAAACATTCCAGATTTTCAGCATAAACCCCAGGCAATCTTTTCAGTGTCATCATCCGTTAAGTCAATAATAAAGGATCTACAAGAGATGTTCTGAGGTACCAACCTCCCTCTCATATTTTCTGAAAGGTCACATTTTAGGCAAATTAAGCTAAGCGAGATACTTACAAAATTCATTCAGGTAAAAATTCCCAATGCACTAAAAAAATGGGATTATGAGAAAGTGACATTTCTGAGTAGATGGGAAGCTGAGATCACCTATTTATTTCTCTTTTAAGCAACTGTTACTGGATGTGATTTTTACAATTTGAAAAAGATTAGAGGAAAAACCTACAGACCACAATAGCTCAAAAGTTACCAATATACTGATTTTAGCACCATTGTATCAATTATTTAAAAAGTGGTTTTAACTGTATACTTGACAAGATATATTTTCAGCATTTCTTTCCAAAACTAGAATTAAATTAACCTCTTGATAACAAATTAATTATTAATCTCTCTCTCCTTCTCCAAGCTCATTTACCCTTAACTGTAGGTATTTCAAAAAGAAAAAAGTGGCCTTCCTGGATCCCACAACCTCCTATAGATTACTGTGTCCTCTCTTTCTCTCTCCCTTCATCAGAAAGTCTTTCTCATCTAGGCATTGTAACCTGGCTTGCACACCATTACTCAACTGATTCTGTGTCCCCAAAGTCCTCAAACTGGACTACAAATTCCTAAAGACCCTTTGCTAAGCTCACCTCTACTCCCCATTGTGCATCTGACTTGCGATTCCTTCCTTTCCAACTCGTCTCTTCCTGTGCCTTCCAAGATGCATTTCTCCTAGTTTTCTACCTCGCTGATTTTTATTGGGGTATGGAGGTAGGAGCATTTGGTTTGGTTTTGTAACAACCCTTTTTTATATGTCTAATTGTTCACTCACGTGTTGCAGTTCTCTACTTTGTTCTCTCTCCTACTCACCCAGTGTGCTCTCCCAGACAATCTTACTCACTTGTCTTTCTGCCTCAATGAGGAGGACTCTCAAATCTGTGTTTAGACCTGACTTGTCTTCTAGGCTCTGCAACCCTGTTTGTAACTTCCCAATGAGTGTCTGTACCAGGATATCCAATAGATTTTCTCAAATTTAACACTTGTGAAAATAAATGAATTATCTTTTCCACCTGCTCATTCTGTATTCCTTATCATATTGAATGGTGACATCATCTTTTCAGTCACCCAAGCTAGGATCCTGTTATCTTCAAGTCCTCTTTATTTTCCATCAATCACTCAAGTTCTATCTATACCTTCTAAATGCCTTAAGAATTGATTCTCGTCTCCACTCTCTCCATCACTGCTTTAACTCTTAAGCCTTCAAGTGGGCCACTGAAAATTCTTTAATTACCCACTGCTGTAAAATCCAAATGACTGAGTATGGCATACAAGGTATTCACAACCTACTTACTACTTACCTTCTCTGTCACGTTTTCCATCATTTCCCCATACAGAACTTATTCTGCAGCCAAAGGGATCCACATCCTGGCTCTTCATATTTTCATGCTTTTCCATGTTATTTATTTTGCATGGCATGCCCTCCTTACCACATGCACCGCCTTTGTTCTTTTAGAACTCTGTCCAAATGCTAATTCCTCAGCAAAGCCTTCCCTAAGTCACCCACTTGCAAAAATCTTTTTCTTCTTATTCTCATGGTGTTTTCCCACCACTGTTTTAACAACTGGTTTTTTCTCTCTCTACTTTTCTCATTCTTCTAGAGGGGTCCATAAAAGAAGTAAGCTTGGCCGGGTGCAGTGGCTCACGCCTGCAATCCCAGCACTTTGGGGAGGCCGAGGCGGGCGGATCACAAGGTCAGGAGATCGAGACTATCCTGGCTAACACAGCGAAACCCCGTCTCTACTAAAAATACAAAAAAAAAAAAAATTAGCCGGGCGTGGTGGCGGGCATCTGTAGTCCCAGCTACTCGGGAGGCTGAGGCAGGAGAATGGTGTGAACCAGGAGACAGAGCTCACAGTGAGCCAAGATCACGCCACTGCACTCCAGCCTGGGTGACAGAGTGAGACTCCGTCTCAAAATAAAAATAAAAAAAAAAAAAGCAGCTTATAGTATCTTTCGCACGTGGTTCATTGTTAGTACTCAATAAATAAGTTTTTTTTAAGTTTATGTATCCTAGTGAAGATACTTCTTTATATAGATAAGCCACATTAAAAACTCTCCCCCACAAAACAAACTAATAAAAATCAAAGCCCGTGCTTGCAGCAGCTTTGGAATATAAAAATGCCTGCATTTATGGCTTGTATCTGTTTGTTATTCCAATAAGCATTTATTAAAGATAAATACAACCTACTGTAGATAAGTGTGCAAAATAGTATTAATAGAAGTTTCTCTTTTTCTCCACAGTGAACCATTTTGGTAAGCTTTGAACTGGTCTGCTCCTACCTTTCCTACAAATGGCACAAGGCTTTAGGTCTTCAAGTACATTTGCCAAAAAAACACCAAAGGATTTTTATATCTGTAATTTATACTTCATTACACTTAGCATGCTAGAGTACAGATGGTCCCTGGTTTATGATGGTTCAATTTACAATTTTTCCACTTTACAACAGTGTGAAAGCGATACTCATTCAGTAGAACTCAGTAGGACACTTACAATGCTGGGCAGTGATATCAAGCTGCAGCTCCCAAGGGTAGACAACCTTTACAGTGCATGATATTGTCAGATGATTCTGCCCAACTGTAGGCTAATGTGAAGTGTTTTGAGCACATTTAAAGTAGGTGAGGCTAAGCTATGATGATTGGTAGGTTAGGTGTAGTAAATGCATTTTCAACTTATATTCTCAACTTAGATGGGTTTATAGGCGTGTATCCCCATCATAAACTGAGGGGCATGAGTATTCAGAGTCAAGTCTTCACATGTTAAGCTTCACATCTCTAATTTTAGAACAAAAGATTTTTTTCACTACTTAAAAGAATTACAAGCATCAAAAAAACAGGCAGTTTCTTTCAAGTAGAGGATCCCTCAAATCACAAGCCCCAATATGGACTTAAGTTAGTTACAGATGTTTCATGAAGTGAGTCATAAGGGAGAATCTGTGGTCTCTGCAGCACATGCCCTGTTACCCCCAACCTGCAGAAAAGGGCCCTCTACTCCTCTGTGAGCAACAGCTTGCCTTAAAAAGCTGCTTATATAATTTTTTTTTCAGTTTTGTGGGGGTCAGAGAAGCCTATGTCCTGCTGTCATCAACTGAATCCAGGACTGGAATATTCCTTTCTCCTTCAACCTTGGTCTAGCCCTCCCCTTCCTCAGCATAAGTCAGCTCTCTTGTCAACTTCCCCAATTTACCTTAATCCAATCTCTGCCTTCCAATTCCTTTGGACTCAGATTCAGAAGATTTTTTATATTTTCTGTATTTTAATTATTCTTTAATAATTTCACAATATAACCTTTTTATCTGACCCCTATGCTCCCTTTAATTATGAAATTTTTGAGAAATGTGACATTAGAACACTTCTTCTCTAACAATGTTATATTATTATAGAGTTCATATAAGCTCTCCTACTATTTTGATATAGAAAACAAAGAAAAGTGTTATTTACATACAATACAGGAGAAAAGCCTGAAAAAATATAAAAGAGGCATCTGGCTGGGGGCAATGGTATACACCTGGAGTCCCATCTACTCAGAATGCTTGAGCCTAGGAGTTAAAGACCAGCCTAGGAACCTTTTTTTTTCTTTTTTTTTAAAGACTCGGTCTCATTCTGCCGCCCAGGCTGGAGTACAGGGTCGTGATCTCGGCTAACTCCACTCTCCATCTCCCAGGTTCAAGCAATTCTCCCACTTCAGCCTCCTGAGAAGCTCGGATTACAGGCACGTGCTACCATGCCCGGCTAATTTTTTTATTTTTTGGTAGAGACAGGGTTTCACCATGTTAGCCAGGCTGGTCTTGAACTCCTGACCTCAAGTGATGCACCTGCCTCAGCCTCCCAAAGTGCTGGGATTACAGGCATGAACCACCGCACGTGGCCAAGACTTGTCTTCACAAAAATTTTTACAAATGAGCCAGGCATGGTGGCATGTGCCTGCAATCCCAGCTGTTCAGGAGACTGAGGCGGGAAGAGTGCTTGAGCACAGGAGTTTGAGGCTATAGTGAGCTATGATCACAACACTGCACTCCAGCATAGGCAACTGGCCTTCCTGTATTTTTTTTGTTAAAGTAAGCTTCTTCCAGGAAAAAAAAAAAAAAAAAAAAAAAAAAGAAAAGAAAGAAAGCATTCCAACTTTATTTTTCTTTTTAAGAGCTCAGAATATTTTTACCTTCTGAAGTAGGAGAGGAAGATGTTATTCTTCCATTAAATAGAGCAAATGGGGCCTTCAGAGAAAAAAGACATTTATTTAGGACTGGCCAATTACCGCAACTTTGCACTTAGCTCTCTTTCATTTAAAAGAAATATGACTTGTTCATCCTTCTTCTCTTACCTGAAATAATCTCTGAAATCGAGGATTTGGGATTTTGGTGGTTGGAAACAAGTCTTCAAGGGTGTCTGTCTTCTCATCTTTCTTTGCCAAGCTCATGGAGTCAATCAAAGCATCAACAGCATTCAACTGTGCCTCTTAAACAGAGAAGCCGAAAGAAAAATGATTATTTCCATTATTCTCCACTAAAACAAATGCTTTCTACGTAGAGATATCCACGGCAATATTGGCAGGTTATACAGTCCTGGCCCTGCCAAAGTATTCTCTAGCTATGCACGTATTTAACCCAAGTCTTGGTTTTCTTATCCATGAAAAGATCGATTTAGAGTGACTGACTGATTAGGTTCCAGTTCTACCATTCAGTGAGCCTCTGACAATGGAGTATCAGATCAAAAGCAAGAAAGTTTGTTTCAGAGGAATACAGCCATATAAAAACCAATCCCTATAAGGAGACTGGAACAAAATATTTAGTATCCATTGAGCTAATATTTTAAAAACTAGTAATTAGCTAAAGAAGAAAAACATTAAAAAGAAAAAACCTCTCTGGTAATGAAGCATAAGCATTTTAATGACTTTAATATAACTTTTATCAGAGTACAGCACCTTAACAGGAAGACACCATTGGATCAGGGTGAGCTGATTCCTTCACAATCTACTGAGGCTGAATAAGCTCTCTCCTCTCTTAATGCCTCCATGACACTACTCACACCTGCGTACATGTCTTGCCCTACTCCATTCAAACTCTCAAGTTCCATGAGAGCAGAAATACGACATCCTCTTTCCTTAGGTCTCTCCTAATACTAATAAAAAACAAGTGCTCCTCAATAAAAATCTACTCAGTCAATAAAAATGGTACAGCCCAAAGCAATATGGACGAAAGGCAATTCTCCCAAAAATACTTCTGCCTAAACTACTGTGTGTAACTTTCATTTTACTGATTCATACAGCAGTTCAGCTGTTGAACCTGAGGCACTATTTCTGGAACATTCACAGTCACCAGGCAAAAGGTGGAAAAGAGTAAGTAGTTCCTAAAAAGTACATTATACTTCTATTCTGCACCTTTTCAAATATCCCTTTTGTACAGCTACAACAAAATAAAAGAGCATACAGATATTTATCATCAGATATTTCTTTTTTACCCATTTATGGACTTTTCATGGTGAAACCATGGAGGTTTCAGGCAATGGCACAGCCAACACCATCTTGAACTTGCTAATTCAAGGCCCTCCCAGCAACAGGTAGGGGGCAGTACTTGTACATGTGAACATTCAGTGATTTTCACCTACTACTACAAGGTAGCAGGAGGCCAGATCATCCTGGCATTGCATTCCTACATAGACATCTACTGGGAAATACATGAAATAACTTTAATGTTCCATTTTTCCAATGGAGAAAATGTAAACAAATGTTAACTCACAGAAAATAGATAACAGAAGATATTTAATGTTTCAGATCCTGAGTGATTTATGTCGACAAAATAAATTATCAATAAACTGGGTTTTTAAAAATATTCTGGGCTGGACGTGATGGCTTACACCCATAATTCCAACAGTTTGGGAGGCTGAGATGTGAGGATTGTTTGAACCCAGGAGTTTAAGACCAGCCACAACAACATAGTGAGATTCCATCTCTACAAACAATTTTAAAAATGAGCCAGCCACGGTGGCGCGTACCTGTAGTCCCAACTACTTAGGAGGCCGAGGCAAGAGGATTGCTTGAGCCAGAATTGGCTGTGTCCCCACCCAAATCTCAACTTGAATTGTATCTCCCAGAATTCCCACATGTTGTGGGAGAGACCCAGGGGGAGGTAAATGAATCAGAGGGGCTGGTCTTTCTTGTGCTATTCTCATGATAGTGAATAAGTCTATAGATTTATTCACTCCAGATCTGATGGGTTTATCAGGGGTTTCTACTTTTGCTTCTTCCTCATTTTCTCTTGCTGCCACCATGTAAGTGCCTTTCGCCTCCCACCAAGATTCTGAGGCTTCCCCAGCCATGTGGAACTGTAAGTCCAATTAAACCTCTTTTTCTTCCCAGTCTCGGGTATGTCTTTATCAGCAGTATGAAAATGAACTAATACACAGGGAGTTTGAGGCTCCAGTAAGCTATGATCACGCCGCTGCACTCCAGCCAGGTGACAGAGTGAGACCCTGTCTCAAATAAATAAATAATTAAATATTCTACTCATTTAAATTTTGGAATTATCAGGAAATAGAGACAGAGTAATACTGTAATACAGTGGCAACTTCCATATAATCAGGTCCATGCCTGCCTCCACCGTGATGCAGACAGACTCATTTCTAGAAGGAAGATAAAGATACAGGCCCTAGGGACCCATCTGATTCTTGGCCTTTCTATAGCACACTACTTCCAAAGGGTCTAGCCAAAATAACAGAAAGAATTGAGTTCCGAGACTCACCTCACAATTCCCTAATCTTAACACAGACACAGACATTATATATAAACTTGTAACCTAAAACATCTACTCATCATTTGTTGTTCTTTTTGGTATGTTTTCTACTTCTGCCCCCTATTATATTTTATTACAATTGTTTTAAATGACAGGCTCTCTGGAAGACTGGACCTGTGGCTCTAAGAATAATTCTATATAGGACCCTGACATTTGCAGCCAGATGCTCAATCAGGAGCTTTCACATCAAGCCTGAAGTAACTCCTAAAAGCCAGAAATAAGTAACAATGAGACTTGGACTGTTGGTGCAAACTACAAAAACAGGGCAAAGAGAAAAGTTAATCTTCAGCACTGTCACTTTTCATTTCAAAGCTACATCAGACTTTACACAGAACACTAAAGTCACAGGTTTGATACTGCTCAGATTCACTTCGGCAGGGGCAAACTCTGCTCACAACTAGAGATGGACATCCATTACCATCAAGCTTTCCCCTAGGTACATGCTCCAAGGCAAAAACTAGACAGTGTTGGGTGAGTTTAAGGCAAACCTATCCCTACTACTGGAAAAACACCAAGTAAACCACCTTCATCATTACTGTGTCTAAGTGTATGATTGGAAATCCAACTAATTGCACCCTATAAATACCTAGCCCCAACCAACAACTAGCAGACAGGTGATTTCCCAAGAACAGTGTGTGTAGTCAATGAGTGATCTAAATGAAAACAAACTCACCGGTGGGAGCATATTTCTTACTGTTTTTCAAGGATGAAAACATGTATTGCCGCAAGTCTTCCATGAAAGGCAGCTGCACATACACTAAACACTAATGAGAAAGAAAGGGGGTAAAAGCAGAAACGATGAAATTAATGAAAAAATATAAAACTGATCCCAAATTCTGTGAAAGTAGCATAACAGAAATATTTCAAAAATCGGACAGCCCAACTCTGGCATATGAAAAGTGAAGTGTTTTGACTTCTGCTACTGGCTGTTCACAACTGCAAACAGTATAAAGAATATTAAGCATAAGAGAAATGTATAAAAGAATACTAAAGGACTGCTATCAAATGCATGACCAATACAACAAATGAGAAGACTAGGGTGACCAGAAGGTTGACCTGGAAGTCAAGATATGTGCCTTCTCTTTCCAGTTCGGCCACAGTAAGTTCTCTGAGACAGAGGAAATGATAAGGAATTTAGAACTGTATTTTACACAAGAGAGCCCTAAATAAACCGTTTCACAAAGATCACAACAAAATCATATCCTCAGCCTTTATTCATAGTTCTCATTTGTAAAAATGGAGGTAATTTCTCTATTTGGTTCCAATAAGTCAAGAAGGATGAGAACCAAGAAAAGGCCATGGTGAACCTTTATTGATTATTCTTTTAATCTAAAACGATTTTCATAATACTTAATAAAAAGATTCTTATGATACTTTATAATTAAAAGATTCTTATATTATTTTTATAACGTATACTTTTTCCTCCAACCGAAAGTGTGGTTCACAGACCAGTATCAGCATTTCTCGAGAGAAACAGAGAATCTGGGCCCTGCCCCAGAACTACACAATGAGGATCTGCATTTTAACAAGATCCCCAAGTAATTGTCATGAACATTAACAGCTGAGAAACACTGCTTAGAATAAAGGAACTGAAGAAAAAAAATAACATTAAGACTTTGGGTTTTACCTCATAGTTATGCTTGATATGAGGAAAAGCCACGCCGACTTGAGGATTAGCTCTTTTGTCATAAGCATATCGAACTATGGCCACCATGTCTAAGTCATCCAAAGCATGAATCAGGGAGGAAAGTGCAACTGCAGCTGCCTGGTAAGAAAGATGGATGTATTAACACATATTCAACATGTGAGAGTTTTCACAACAGAACTCAATACTTTAAGACTGTTATCACTTTCTTTCTATTTTACATTTTTTAGGGTGCCCCCTGACTTGAAGGACGAAGTGCACACATTTGCTTTTGATTACATTTACTGTAGCTCTTCTGGGACTTAACCTCATTAACTAAATCCGTCTTACTGCTTCAACCTTCCTTCTCTAAATTTTTATCTTTACCCTAAAAATAAACTCATGTCAGCCCTCCTAAACAAATCTTTTGTTTGTCCTTCCCTCTCCACAAATTGCTATCAGTATCTTTCCTGTCTTTACCTCTGAATTTCTTAAAATAATAGGCATGCTGTTTCCACTGCTTAGTGCATTATTATTCTTCAGTCTAGTCCAGCTACTGCCCCCACTTCCTTAATGAAATTATCCTCTGAAGTCACCCATCACCTTCTAATTGCCAACTCCTTGGTTCTCGATTTTTTTGTTTGACAGTAGCATCTCACCATTCCACTGTCTCTATATACTTTCTCCTTCATGGCTTCAAAAACAACATTCTCCCCTGATTATTCTCTTTTCTCCACCAATTTGTAAATTCTACTTTAGACCTTTCCCTCCTCCTCTCACTCTAAAATTCTACTTGGGGATTATTTCATCCAGTCCCATGAGTTGATGAATCAAAAATCTGTACATTCTTTTATTTCTTTTTTTTTTTTTTTGAGACACAGTTTCGCTCTTGTTGCCCAGGCTGGAATGCAATGGCGTGATCTCAGCTCACCGCAACCTCCACCTCCCAGGTTCAAGCGATCTTCCTGCCTCAGCCTCCCAAGTAGCTGGGATTACAAGTATGTGCCACCACGCCCGGCTAATTTTGTATTTTTAGTAGAGACGAGGTTTCTCCATGTTGGTCAGGCTGGTCTCAAACTCCCAACTTCAGGTGATCCGCCTGCCTCGGCCTCCCAAAGTGCTGGGATTACAGGCGTGAGCCACCGCACCAGGCCTGTACATTCATTTTTAAAACTCTCCTAAGATCTAGACTTAGACTGCCTGCTAGCTGGTGGATATCTGACATGGCATCTTCAGTTATCTCAAACTGTTCAGTATGAACTGTTCACATTCACCACGACAAGACTAAAACCTAAACTTACTATCTTTCCCCCTCATTCTCCTCCTGGATTCCCTATTTCCATTAACATCATTGCCTAATCAACCACACTGGAAACCCCGGTCTTTGATAATGCCACCGCACCATTCTCATCCTTCACTTTTTTTTTTTTGAGACAGAGTCTCACTCTGTCCCCCAGGCTGGAGTGCAGTGGCACAATCTCGGCTCACTGCAGCTTCTGTGTCCCCCGTTCAAGCAATGTTTGTGCCTCAGCCTCCCGAGTAGCTGGAATTATAGGCACGCGCCACCATGCCCAGCTAACTTTTTGTATTTTTAGTAGAGATGGGGTTTTGCCATGTTGCCCAGACTGGTCTCGAACTCCTGACCTCAAGTGATCCACCTACCTTGGCCTCTCAAAGTGCTGGGCCTCATCCCTCACCTTTTAAGTGTTCACGAAACTACCAATTCTACCTCTATACTGTCTCTCAAATCCATCTCTTCCCTGACAGCCACCTCTGTTCCCAGAGCTCATCACGTCACTCCCTTCCAGTCGTTCCTCTATTCTGGCATCACTGAGCTGATCACTGACTGGGGGCAGGTCTCATACTTGGCCTTTGCTCATACCATTACCTCCTAGCTAGAATGCCCCTTTACTAATCTCTGGCTCTCCAGCTTCTAACCTTTTCTCTAGGCTTAGTAAATTGATACCCTCTCCATTCCAGATTTACCTTAGTCAGCTCTCTCTCTCTCTCTGCAGAAACTCCCCAAACACTATGTACTTCTCTCACTATCACGGTTAACCTTATCAAAGTTAAAAACCTATGACCTCCCAGCCATGCTGTTGTAAAAACAAAACAAACAAACAAACAAACAAAAAAACTATGACCCCAAGACCTGGCCATTAGAATCCTGTACAGATTTCATAACAGAATCATTACTTTTTCAGTTCAATTCAAAGGCTACTTTACTCAGTGCCTGTTCTTTGCCAGGCACTGTCTTGAGCCCTGTGAAAAAACAAAGCCAAGTCCTTGACCTCACTTACCTAATACATTCTTTATTAGCAGAAATGAGATATGTAGCAAATATGAAACATGTATGTTCTAATAGTTAAGTCCCATAAGAAAGGGCTAGATAAGCACAATGAGAATCTGAGGAAGAGATTACTTCCAATTTGTTTGAAGTTTTTATTTATATGTCTTTGACAGGACCAATTAGGATGTTTAAAAGAAGGAAGGGGCTGGGCACGGTGGCTCACAACTGTAATCCCAACACTTTGGGAGGCCGAGGAGGGGGGGGGGTGGATCACCTGAGGTCAGGAGTTCAAGACCAGCCTAGCCAACATCGTGAAACCCCCTTCTCTACAAAAAATACAAAAATTAGCCGGGCGTTGTGGCAGGCATCTGTAATCCCAGCTACTCGGGAGGCTGAGACAGGAGAATCACTTGAACCCGGGAGGCAGGGGTTACAGTGAACCGAGAACGTACCACTGTACTCCAGCATGGGCTACAAAAAGCCAAACTCCGTCTCAAAAAAAAAAAACAAAAAAAAAAACAAGAAGGAAGGATGGGGCTGTGAATGACTGCTACATGGTGAAACAGTACTACAGCTGTGTATAACTTAACTAAAGCTCCATTTCCTTCCTTTCTTTTCCCTCCTTGTTTTCTACACACAGTGCAAATCAGCACATGAAAGTATAGATTCTCAATACAAAAAATTATATGCTAATGACCAGAGAAAACTTTTTAAAGAGGGAATTATCCAAAGAATCAGAATATTTGAGCTAAAAAACAACAGTATTCATCTAGTTTAACAATCCACATGTACATCTGACTAGTGGTGATAAAGACTTTTATTGTAAACTTACAGAAATGGGGATCTGATCATCTTACAAGAAAACAATCCAGTGGGGACAGTAATCCTTGTTGACAAAATAATTCTTCATCTTGAACAAAAAGCACCACCTGCTGTTTCCAGTTCACCCCTCTGATACGAAGCAGAGTTTAATTTCTATTCTACAAGATAATTCTCCAAATGCATGAAGAGTGCTATTATGTCTGCCATCCCTCCTACACCCCTGCCTACCTACACAAGTCTTCTCCAGGCATTCTTTTGTTTTGTTTTACTGGAAGTCCTCATATGACATTGTTTCCTTACTCCCTTGCTTATCTCAGAAGCTCCAATTAGATATTATCATTTTTTGACTACCTCAAAAACTGACACTAGAGAGTATCCCTTTGCCATTAGGAGATAAATCTGTTTTTCTTGAGTTATCTCAAAGTGATCCTATGATATACAGAAATTAGTGTTGTATAAGGCCAGATTTGAATTACACAATCCACAAGGCTGCCCTTAGCTAGCAAGCCTACATCATTACCCAACATGTGTGTCTCAACACAACTTTGTGATTCCTCACTGCATACCCAGCAAGTCTCATGAAGTGATCAGAATGTTCTTTGCATAAAGAGACAGTAAGTGGAAGTTAAAACTTCAGCAGAAGCAAGGAATGGTGGCGCACACCTATAGTCCCAGCTATCTGGGAAACAGAGGTAGGAGAATCGCTTGAGCCCAGAGGTTCCAGGCCAGCCTGGGAAACATATGAGATCTTGTCTCTTAAAAAAACAAAACAAAATAAAACTTCAGCTAAGTTGTGGTTTGACAGTATATACTAGACTTCCATGATTCCCAACAGGATTTGATTCAAGAGAAATCCATGAAGTAGGATTCTCAAATTTGAAGATTCATGTATGCTAATATTGTGCTCTAATAATTCATTCAGAACAGGGTAGAAGCCAAACATTTTCTTCCCTTAACTGTTCTGAGATAATAATGGCATACCCATCCACTATATCAGCAACCAGCTACCTTCCAGAAGTGAGGAGAAAAAGAGAACTATACTAGTTATACCACCACCCTACCCCCACCCCAAACAAGCCTTCTACATCCAGTTTATTAATTACAAATGCAAATACTTCAGGAACTTGGAAACCTGCTTGAGCTGCCTTAAACAGATAGTAGATTGCAATCTTCCAGTTAAAATCAGTATCTCCAACAAAGTTAGTTCTAACTTGGAGATCAAACAGTAAATATTTACAGAAAGGGCAGATGTGAGTATAGAATGCAGCAGTCATAGGCTGTTAGCTAGAGAAAAACCAGCCTGAAAACAGAGTATCTTGGGGAGGCAGGAAGAGTACCAAGAGAGAGGAATAGAGAAAAGACACATTTCCTCAATGACAAAAGCAGTCTAGTGAGTCACTGAAGTGCACATCCAGGATGCTTATGACAACACAAAATGTCAACCTGACCCCAACCCTCCTTAACATTTGACTGTGAAATTCCCATTCCTAAATGCAGTGGTTCAAAATGTTTTTAATACTTCCTTGGTCTCCATGTCCTCGGGTCTTGTGCTCATGCTAACACAAATCCATTTACCACATCTCCATTTTCAGTTAAACATCAGTGGATTTCCCCACTCCTATTGCAAGAATTCATGTCATTTTAAACTATAAAAGCCCCAAACAACTTGCTTTCATAGACTTACAATTCAATTCTGTAGCACTACCTCAAAGACCTGCTGCCAACTCACCTCATCATCTCTTGCTGCAAAGACCTTTAGAACTTGATTTCCCATGAAGAATCTTCTCTGAACCTACAAGAGAGGAAAAGAATTGCTTTTGATCCAAAATAAGTAACATGTATAACCATGACACACATTGCCAAGAAATTCCATTCAAAATCCTCTTACTGAAAAACATTCAGATACTAAAAACACCTTATTACCTGAAGTTTAATTCAATACAACACAACAAATATCTGAGCACCCAGCATGCGTTCAAGATTATCTGAGCACTGTAAACACAACAGTGAACAAAACATAATCTTGCCCTTGAGGAGCTTCAATAGATAAATATGAAATTAACTGCAGTGTAGTATTATGGTCCAGGGTTACATGGTGCTTTAAGAGCACATAAGGAGGGCACCAAGCCTGGTCATGAGGGATCAGGGAAGGTTTCTGCAAACGGTGACACCTAAGTCGAGACTTAAAAGGACAAATAGGAACTAAGAGAAAAGTCTGGGCACAAGCGTTCCAGGCAGAGAAAACAGTATCAATAGAAGTCTGGAGTGCTGTAAAAGCATGGTACATTTGGAGAACTGCTCTTGGAGTAGTACAGTGCCACTGTGTGAGAGGAAAGGTGAAAAATTAGATTACAGAGATTAACAAAGATCAGATGATGAAGTCTCCTAAAAACAAAGCTAAGTGGTTTGCATTTCCTCCTAAGAGTAACACTGAGGCACTGATGAACAGTAGAGGCTTGAGTGAAGACTTAGAGGGGAAGGGTTGAAAGAAAGAGAAATTAAATCAAAAATAAGTACTGCATGTCTCTCCCCCCACCCCCTTAAATTCAATTAACTTATCTAGCACAGTATCAAGAGGGGTCAAGACAGCTCTACTAATACCAGATTAGAAAATGAGTATTGAAGAGTTCTGAAAATCATAACCACCTGCACTTATCTACCAAGATCAACTTTGTCTGATCTATGAAATCTGGAGCCTGCGGTTTATTTTCAAGAACATGCAATGTGCTGTATTGGGCAATGTTTCTCATGCATTTTTATGCCCTCCCACCTCTAGAGTTGAGACATTATGAGCACTTTCACCATAATACCAGCTCAAGAAGACTGAACCTCAAAGGGATGAGGGTTAGGCCCACATAATTCAAATACCCCTCATCTCCGCTTCCATTCCCCATTCAAAAACCATCCTGTATTTTTAGTTTGCTATGCTCATATAGATTTACTTAACGGCTCTGAACCTCAGTTTCCCAATGTATAAAATACATACCATGGCAACATTAACCCCCAGACTACATTTTAGAAAAATTAAAAGTGAAATAAATATACCTTATAAATAAAATGACCAATCAAAAGCATACCATTTCAAATAACAGCTAGGAAAAAGCTCATTTAGTTTGTTCACAATCATACCTGAGAAGATTTACAAAATCCCAAAACAGAGAAGCACTTCCCCTCCGATTTATATTTCATTTGTTCCTCATCCACTTTAGAGAAAGGAACTATATCACTTCCATAGCGGAACCCTGGAGAAAAAGAGAAGAGCATCTGTTAAGCATATGGGGCCTCATTTTCTACAAGCTGAAATTAGTTCCATGCATACATTAACAACACACGCACACGCCAGAGCAAGCCTCCATCTTCTATTCCCTGGAATCAGATGACTGCCCCTTGTGATCAATGGTGAAAAAGCAGCAGCAGATACACAAACCACACATACAATATAGAGATGATTAAAATCTAATTACATTTTTTAAAGTAGCATATTTTGCAATCTAGTTAGCTCAATGATTACCCAGCCTAAAAGAAAAAATCTGGCAAATGTTAACGTACTAGTTATCCTCCAAAGATAAACCATGGTTGACTAAAGTACAGCATGATTTGTAAACATAAGAACACATTATTCAGAAACCTAGAGACCCACAGAGAAAAATGCCAACAGGAAATTTTCAGAACAAAATGTTCTCAAAAACGTATGCTGGAGATATGCAATGCCTGACAGAAGCTAAAACTCTTCTGTTTGGAAACATTCAATTGATAAGTTATATATTTTTCTATATTTAAATTTCTTTTATTTCTGGGATTTAACTGTATTTTTCTTTTTAATTACATAGGATATTTATATAAACATAGGCTCTCGGCTTCTTAAAAAAAAAAAAAAAAAGTCCAGCCCTGTTCTGTAGCCTATATTCTATGAAAAATCACACCCTTTCAATACACAGTATCTTCTATGTTTTGTGGGAAGAAGGAGCATCAAAATCCAAGGATTCTGGCCTTGGACAAATGCAAAGGAAAAGCACATGCATCTTTACCCCAAGACACAATAAAACTTTCATATCCAGGGACAGATTCTGTGATCTAGTGTTTATTTGTTCCTGTTAGTCTGTTGATGACATTTATTTTATTAAAAAGAAACACACTTTTAGGCCAGGCACAGTGGCTCACACCTGTAATCCTAGCACTTGGGGAGGCCGAGGCAGGTGGATCACAAGGTCAGGAGATTGAGACCATCCTGGCTAACACAGTGAAACTCTGTCTCTACTAAAAATACAAAAAAAAATTAGCCAGGCATGGTGGCACGCGCCTGTAGTCCCAGCTACTCAGGAGGCTGAGGCAGGAGAATCACTTGAACCTGGGAGGTGGAGGTTGCAGTGAGCTGAGATCACACCACTGTACTCCAGTCTGGGCGACAGAGCAAGACTCCGTCTCAAAATAGAAACACATTTTTATTTCCATGTATGTCTTTTTTAAAAAGCTAGTGACAAAACCAAACTTTCCAACAAAAAATTAACAGGGAAATGTATGGCACATGATTAAGACTGGTACCTAAACCAAATGTTTGTCTTAATCTCTGTCATCAGTCATCATCTTACTTGAATCGTGTGAATTGTGTAACTTGTAATGAACATTCTAACTAAAACTGTTTCATGTTTTCTGGTTCATCTACTGAAATGGCATATAACTCCAACTTTTGTACATTGTATACTTACAATAGACTACAACATTTAACCAGATTCCTTTGCCCACATGTGTATACTGGTCCCTTAGTTCAAGAAAAAACAAAAAACAAAAAGCAAAAACCTCTAGCTGATTAGGGGCTGGAAACTGGAGGACAGGAGAAAAGATGCACTTCTACGCTCTTTGAACCCAAGCAGTTTTTAACTCTTCCCTCTCCATTGCCCCAGCAATAAATTTCCTTTTTGCCTAAGATAACCAGGGATGCCTTCCTTGCTGACAACCAAAAGAACTGGCATCCATCCTTATCACTAGATCCTTCTCCTTCCAATCCATCCTACAACCAGTTGTCATATTAATCTTCTTAAAATATAGCCCCAGTGACATTCTCTTCCTCAAAACTGTAAGTGGCTCCACGTTGTTTTCAAGGTTATGCATAAACTCTTAGCCTATTATCCAAAGCCCTTCATTACTCAGTCCAAATTCAGAATAGAATGCAGGCACAGACTCTGAAGCAGTACAGGCCTAGATCCAAGTCCTGCTAGTTGAGAACTGTGGGGCTTTGAATATGTGAACGAGTGTCTTTCAGCCTCAGTTCCCTTATCTATAAAATGGAAATAACAAAGAGTGCCTGCTTTATAAGATGGTCGCTGATGATTAAAAGAGAAAATGCAGGCTGTCCATTAGATGTTACCCTCAAGTACTAACCTGTATATGCTCAATACACCAACCCAAGTGGACTACTTAGTATCTCTGAGAAGTCCCCCTACTTTCCAGGTCTTGTGGCTTTAATCATGCTATTCTTCCTACTATGAGCCAGTCATTATACTAGGATCAAATGATTAACCAATGATGGAACCATGATTCTAACCCAGGTTTGATTCCAAAATTCATGTTCTATGCTACAGAATTGAATTCAAGAACTGGTAGAAATTGTAGGGTATTAATTATATTCTACATATAATCCATCAGGAGAAAGGAAGGAATCATAACCACCACCACCTTTAAACAACCCCCTCCTCCAACACACACAAATATATACACTGTAAGATGAAATACAGTGTCACAGAGGAAAAGAATTCTTTTCAAGACTTGCAAATCAAAACTATACTGGGTAGTGAATAGCCTGGCAAAACATTTATCTAAGGACTCTTGTTTCTATCTTAACCATCATTTGGTATCTTAATAATTTTAGGTCTTGAACATACAGATATCCTCAGCTAGTTTCTAAGTCCTCTGGATAAAGATGCCATCTAGACACACTATTCAATCCAAATGGGTATAACATAGGAGTACAACTTTTAAAAAATCCTATTTAATATGAAGCAATATAATAAATACAAATAATTTTCAGCCCCTAAATTAAGGAAGCATATCTGGTAGGACATAAAACCTGAAGTTGGCCCTTAGAAGAATAATCACCATGAAAGTCAAAAATAAAACAAACAAAAAAACCTTAGTTCAACCATATTAAACATGCTCCTAGCTAGTGAGTTTCAAACTTTAAAATAAAGCCAAGTATTGAGTACTATCACTTAAGACATTTAAAACTCACAGAGATGGAACACCCAAGTGTACTCCTGAGAAGCAACCTGCCTAAGACCCAACAAATGAGCTAAAGGACCTAGGGTCTCATTATCCTTTCAAACTGTTATATTTCTATAACTCAAAGAAATAACTTTAAACAAAGAATAATACAAACCCCAGCCTGCATCACATCATGTTGAAGAAAATGTCTTTTAGGCAACAGTGAAAACTCTTACTGACATACCTTGAATAATATCCTCTTTTAAAACTTCAGTTTCATCATCATCATTTAAGCAATAAACTGTTTCTTTTTGTATATCTTCTTTTTTTAGGGTTTTTGCATCCACAACTGTCCAAGTCTTTTTAACTCTCTCCTGTAGAATCTTACATTCCAAAACACAAAGGGAAAACAAGGAAAGTTAGGATTCCAATTGATAGAAGATGAAAACCTAATACACTCTCTGGCACAGACAAAAATCCAGAACAATTACTCTAGCTCCATTATTTTGTTTGCTCATGCCTATTATGAAAATTTTAGTTTATTTCATAACAAAATATACTGGATAACCTTCTCTACATTTCATTTTCTCCCAAAAGTAATCCACAAATATTTACATTCACACTTTCTATACAAAACCTCAGACTGTCTAATATTTTTATTTATTTATTTTTATTTTTTGAGACAGAGTCTTGCTCTATCGCTCAGGTTGGAGTGCAGTGGTGCAATCCTGGCTCACTGCAACCTCCGCCTCCCGGGATTAAGTGATACTCATGCCTCAGACACCCAAGTAGCTGGGACTACAGACGCACATCACCATGCCTGGCTATTTTTGTGTTTTTAGTAGAGACAGGTTGACCAGGCTGGTTTCGAACTCCTGGCCTAAAGTGATCTGCTCACCTCAGCCTCTGAAAGTGCTGGAATTACAGGCATGAGTCACTGCACCCAGCCAGACTGTTTAATAAAAAGAGGACTATACATTTTATCATAGTTTCCAATAGAAAAAAAAAAAAGAAGCAATATATCTGTGTCAGAAATCAACAAAGAAATTTGAAAAGCAGGCCAAAATAAAAGAGGAGGGAGACTATATTCACATTCCTAGGGACACTATTCTAGGCTTTGATGGAAGCTGAAATAAATAAAGAACTGCCCCAAGGTTCTCACAGATATATCATGTATTTTGGAATTAAGTTCTTTAATATACAAAGAAAAAAACTAAATACATAAAAACATGTTTTTGTATATTTATTTTATATGTCTAAAATGTTCCTATTTATTTTGAACACTTAAAGGAAAAAGGCAAGGAGGCTTATATGAAGGCACGCATCAGATTCCTACTCAAACTAGAATTTCATCAAATAATCACCAAAAGCAACTCATTTTTTAAAGTGTGCTATTGTATATAAATGTACATATATTATAAAATGCAATTTTACAGTAACAAAACATTTTTTTACATTTCACAGATGTTGTTACTATCAGATCATTCATAATTGAATTAGGTGTCACTGAGCTCCAAAACTGAACTTAACTTTGGTGCATTATCTACATTTCTGCTATGATACTACAATAACACAGCTTAATGCATTTCATTTTCTTTCTTTTAAAAAAAAGAGACAGGCCTAGAACTTATGATTAACAATCAATTACCAATGGAGAGAAAGTAAAAGAGGAGGAAATCAAACTCTATTATAGACAATTCTTTAAACTTCCTCTCCTAGCCTGCCTTTTACACAAAAAGCTAAACAGAGATTAAATGAGCAGGGAGAACAACTAGAAAAGCAGTAATTATGGTTCCGAGTAACACACACATGAATTGTCTGTTCCTTATATACACATATTTATCTGCCTGGTAACATTTCTGTTAAAAATGTGTACCTGCCACTTACCGATTTATAGGCTGCAATCCTTATAGACAAATTGGAGCCAATGGTCAGTCGGCAGGGCCAGTGAATGGAATGCCTCTCAATTTTCTTGAAGACGCACAGTTTTCTCAGACTCTCACTTAATAAAGAAAAATATAAAATGAAAGCAACAATTTTTAAATGTTAACTTGTGCTGGATGATGCATTTGATTTTCTACAATGAGAAGTGAGCTAATGTTAATTATAAAGAGAGAAACAGCAGGAGATGGCCGGAAAACAACAACCACAAGTTGGGAGATATAGCCAGGGCAAGAGTGAGTTGGCTTAGAAGGGAAGAGGAGCTGAATTACTTTACTAACAGGTGAAAATGAACAGCTCTATTTTCCTCTTATTCAATACTTTATTTCAACTCTGCCAGAGGTTCTTAACATTTTTTCAGGACCAGCACACCTTTGAGGATGTGATAAAAGCACATTCATGAATGAGTCTGCACACAATATAAAGGATTCACTACCAACTCCCTGAAAACCACGGACCTGAGGATAAGAACTTCTGCTCAGGGCCGGCATAGTGACTTACACCTGTAATCCTAGCACTTTGGGAGGCCAAGGCAGGCGGATCACCTGAGGTCGGGAGCTCAAGATCAGCCTGACCAACATGGAGAAACCCCATCTCTAGTAAAAATACAAAATTAGCCAGGTGTGGTGGCGCATGGCTGTAATCCCAGCTACTAGGGAGGCTGAGGTAGGAGAATCACTTGAACCTGGGAGGCGGAGGTTGCGGTGAGCTGAGATCGCGCCATTGCACTCCAGCCTGGCCAACAAGAATGAAACTTTGTCTCAAAAAAAAAAAAGAAAAAAGGAAAAAAAAAAGAACCTCTGTTCTAGAGTATCAAAGGGAGGGCACCATCCTATAATTATCATCACTGTTTACAACTCTATAATTCATTAATTCCAATTCTGAATATTAAAGATACACATTTTTATATGTATATAATAGTGAGAGTTAAAGACTATCCAAGGAATAAAGGAATTTAGTTCATATTTAGTCTCAAGGTAAAGCACGTTAACTCTAGGTTTCTTACTGGTGGGAAAAGCTGGGGAGAGGTGCAAACAGTGTTGTGGAGTGCTGCTTCATTTAAACAAAAGTGAAAATCAATCATATTTTCATCTGGCCCATAATCAAACACAACAGGGAAGATGATAGGAGATAGGTGGAATTTGTGGTATTCACTAAAATAAGCAGCAAAGAAATTAATGACAAAATACACTCAAAGCATACAGTCCAGACTTTCTGGCTGAACTCCTTGGTACAGATAAAAAACAGATCTACAAAGTGGTAAAGAGAATTATTTTACATTATCCACAGAGTTATGGACAGACAGGTCGCAAGAGACTCCAATTTTCAGAAATAATTTACAACGAATAGTAGATATCTTACCTGACACCCAGCTTCCAAAGCCTATGGTGCACAATGGCTTTGGATTTGCTGAGGAATGAATGGGTCTGAACCAGGTCTAACGTGTCTCATACAACATTACTAGTCAAACAGAATATAAACCTCATGGCCTAAAATCACCATGAGATTTAGATTCTATTTCAGGGAAAATTCTAAAGACGGGCATCCAATATATAAGATCTGAGTAGCTGGGCATGGTGTCGCATGCCTGTAATCCCAGCTACTTGGGAGGCTGAGGCATGAGAATTGCTAGAACCTGGGAGGCAGAGGTTGCAGTGAGCTGAGATCACGTCACTGCATTCCAGCCTGGATGACAGAGCTAGACCCTGTCTCAAAAAAAATCTAAGAACAACTGACTCAGTTCTGCAGTAGAGCTCAATCTCCTCAGGTAGATGTCAAGTTCTCTTCCTAAGATCTATATGGAGATAATCTAGTCCAGTGCTGTCCAGTACAACTTTCTGCAATGATGGTAATGTTCTATTTCTAACCATGCTAGCCCAATAGACACTTCAAACACAGATAATATGACTAAGGGACTCAATTTTAAAATGTATTTAATTTTAACTAACTTGAATTTAAATAGCCACATGTAGCTAATGGCTACTGTACTGGATGGCAAAGTTCTGGTCTACACCTTCATGGCAGACCTAAAATCAAAGTAGCGTCGAAATGCTAAAACAATGCATAGTCAGTAATTTCCCTATCTGATATGCTACAGAAAAATTTAAAAAACAAACAAAAACACTTTTTAAAGAGTAATCTATATTGGCCTCTAATTTTTCTTTTCTTTTTGAGACGGAGTCTCGCTCTGTCACCCAGGCTGGAGTGCAGTGGCATGATCTTGGCTCATTGCAACCTCCGCCTCCTAGGTTCAAGTGATTCACTTGCCTCAGCCTCTCAAGTAGCTAGGACTACAGGCATGCACCACCATGCCCAGCTAATTTTTTTATTTTTAGTAGAGACGGGGTTTCGCCACGCTGGCTGGGCTGGTCTCGAACTCCTGACCTCAAGTGATCTGCCCACCTCAGCCTCCCAAAGTGCTGGAATTACAAGCATAAGCCACCGTGTCCAGCCTAATTTTTCTTTGTGATATCATGGGTAATATGTTTAGCTTAAGGCATTTATTCCAAAATTTGAAAGAGAAACAACTTAGGAACACATATCTGTAAATATTGTGACAAGAACACATTACGCCAAGAAACTTCACCTCACAGGATTCCTCACTGATTCCTAGGGCAATCCCGTGGGCAATTCTGTTTCCTAAATTTACCTATCATTTTTCAAGGCTGTCTGTATTTAGAAAATCAGAACATAATTTTTGTCAATTATAGCTCATCAGAAATATTAAAAATGGTCGTTTAGAAAAAATATTAAGGAGATATACACTGTAGCTACTTAAAAAAATTCTAGTTGTTCAATCACTACTTCAATGTGCTTAAACAGCCAGTATTTTGTGTACAGACTGATAAGCTGGAAATAATTCAAGAATATCAAGCAGTATTACCCCTGAGAATTTGAACCACCCAAGCCATACTGCTATGTAAAGTACTCTATTGCCACTTTTACCAAATTGAACCCCATAGGACACACACTATTCTAGATGCCACCGATTCTTCTTAGGTTCTTTGCTCAAAATGCATGTATGTCCAATTCCAACCAAGAATAAGATGGATAAAGGAGATGGTCTCTTCCATAGTCTCTAGCTGGATGGTTGAAAAAGCAGTTTGCTTTATTGTTATACGGTACTTCAAGGAATTCACTTTTCTTAAATCATTTTGCCTTTCCAACGCCCACGTAAAGTAAGTAGGCTATGAACTCTTTACATTGCAGGTTTTTTTTTTTTTCACTCAATCAAACTGCTTTGTGATCAAAAGTTTAAAAAAAAAATCACTATACCATAGTATGCTACTTTCTAAAACCTTAATAGGATGATAAGAAGATACTGACTATCTCAGATCTGAGACCACTTTCTATAATTAATAATGTTTTTTGTAGATGTGTAAAAAAAAAAGGGCCCAAAAAATGTATCCCAAGCTTGGCATAATGAAGAAATCTACTATTTCATCTTTTGCAATTTGACTTGTTAATTTCTCATGGTATCTATATATTCCTGAACTTCACTGACACAGGTCCTGGAAATAAATGAGAAACATGTGCCAAGAACACAAACTTTAAAAAGGGTGATTAAGGGTGGGTGTACTATTTCTTTAATAAAACTCAGAATATTAAGCAATGACTAATTAGAGAGTGGCCCAGAAAAAGGAAACATTTGGGAGACCTCTAATCAAAAGAGAAATTTACGTGGGTACAATTAAAAATTCCCATCAATGTTTTCAATTCTTACCTGAATGAATAAATTTCATCCAACCCATCTTCACCTTCTAAAGATATCATCACCATTTTCACTATCTCAAGACCTTCTTTTTGCTGTTCGGTAATTCCTTTTAGTGGAAAGGAAGGCCCATGGCCACCTAAGCGAAAGGGGCCATCTCCTCTGTCCCCACTTCCATCTTCCTTGCCAAGTGAGAAAGGCAAGCTATTAAGAAAGATCAACAGTAGTTAGTGTTCTAATCCTGTAACTGTAACTCATCAGCTATGAGAAAATGAGCACATCAGTCAACCTTTTCAAGTTTCAAATTTCTCATCTGTCAAACGACTCTTACCTACCTTAGCCAATATTCTCCCAGTTTCAAGTGACTGAAACCTCTTTGGTTTGTAAAAGGGGAAAATCACTGGCTACTACATAACCAAGTAACTGAAAGGGCAGGGTGGCACAAGGCCTTAGGAAGTCCAGACCCAGGGTCTCAACTGTGGCAAGGATTACTCTCTCTGTCTCTATTTTACCTTCATTTGCCTTTATGCTGGCTTCACTCTCTCCGACTGGCCTCTTCCACACTGTAATGGTCTACACGTGTCCCCCAAAATCATTATTTTGAAACCTAATCACCAATATGATACTATTAAGACAGAGGCCCTTTAGGAGGTAATGAAGTCCTGAGGGTGGGGAACTCATAAATGGAATTAGCGACCTTAAAAAAAATGGTTGAAGGGAGAGGCTTTTTGCCATTTTTGCCTTTTATGTCCTTCCACCACGTGAGAACAGTGTTAGCCCTTTTGACATGGGATGACACAGCAATAAGGCACCATCTTGAGAGCAAAGATCTCTCAGCAGACACCAAATCTGTTAGTGCTGTGATCTTGGACTTCCCGGCCTCCAGAACTGTGAGAAATAAATTTGTTTTTAAGGTGATTTCTCATTTTATTTGCTACACTTAAAATAAGGCTGTTTACAATTTTTCTTCATATACTTAGCAAATACAGCATGATGTAATTTGCATGTCCTGCATTTATCAGGTAAAAAGTTTCCAGGGAGGAAAGTGTGAGACACAGGGTTTGCATCAGGTTACTCCTGTTTTCAAAGCAATAACCAGAAAAGGACAAATGTCGTAAAAGTGAAGAGAAAGGAAGTTATCCTGGAAAAAGAAATAATAACTGTTCTGTCTATTCTGCGTTAGATCAGAAATAAGCTTCCTCAGTAGTCAGTAGAAGAAACTAAAAACTGTGCCAGGCACAGTGGCTCACGCCTGTAATCCCAGCACTTTGGGAGGGCGAGGCAGGTGGATCACTTGAGGTCCGGAGTTCAAGACCAGCCTGGCCAACATGGTAAAACCCCATCTCTACTAAAAATACAAATATTAGCCGGGCGTGGTGGCACACACCTGAAATCCCAGCTACTAGGGAGGCTGAGATAGGAGAACTGCTTGAGCCTGGGAGGCGGAGGTTGCAGTGAGCCGAGATTGCACCACTGCACTCCAGCCTGGGCAACAGTGCGAGACTCCATCTCAAAAACAAACAACAACCAAGAAAAACTAAAAACTGCTGGGTGTGGTAACATGCATCTATAGTCTCAGCTATACAGAAGGCTCCGGTAGGAGGTTCACTTGAACCCAAGAGTTTTAGGCTGCAGTGAGCTATAACTATGCCACTACAGAAGACGTTTCTAAAAAAAAAAATTAAAAATAAATTAAAAACAGAACACAGGGCTTCTCTGAGCTGCTGGTATTTTTTTAGTCCAATTACAACAATCAGCTGTACATGGAATACACCAAACAGTAAAACTATGAACTCTACTTTGTATGCTGGAGGTTTGTAGCACAGGAAGAAAGCATATTACCAAGAAAAAAATACAACCAAATAAAAAGCAAATAGAAGCAAAGGCTATGCTTCCTCTTCTGCACTTTTCTGTATTGCTCATGGAAAAAAAGAGTAGCTCTTTCGAATGACATTCACTGAAATGCAGTCTGCTTCTAACATGTAAAGGCATCCTGAGATTATGAAAAAGGACCAGAAGCTGTGCTGGGCTTCTGAAGTACTGAGAAAAACCTCAACTCAGTAAGAAGTGTCACTTAAAAGCACTTAATTTCTCTGAAGTACCATCTTAACAAGTATTGGTTTGATGGGTTATTCTGAACTCTTTTTCCACAGTCGTACAGAAAGGAGATGTCGCTCTGTAGTCTTAAGAGAAGACTACTCACACATGCAAAACAAGTTCTTAATACCCCCAGGCAGGCATTTTATGAAGCCAAAGGCTTACCACTCTAACCTAGAGGCTTCTTGGCATAGCTCTCAATTTGAAAAACGAGTATTCCCAGAAGATTAATAATTCAACATTCTATACCATCACTCAACTTTCACCAAAAATAGGACAAGAAAAAATATGTTTCAAATGCAGCAAGAAGGGTTAGTGTAGTGAAAAGAAATTTTTGTTAGGGATATAACACAGAGAAAGTAAATCCCGGAGGGAATATTCAAGTTACTTTTTGAGGAGGAATTCTCTCCCTAATAAATTGTGAAATACATATTTTTCCCCTGAAGTTTTATACTCCATCTCTGAATTAACAGAAGCAAATTAAATTTTATATATGTGTCCACAACTTTTGGATCTGAAAAGAGTTAAACATAAACATGTTATGTATTTAGAATGATTCCCAAGTTGGCATTCCTGTCTACCCTAAAACATGCACTCTGTATAGGACACAGTTCTCTAGAGCTGTTTAAGAAAAAAAAAAATCCATCAATCTGCTAATTGTTTGGGTAAAGCCTTCTATGCAGGAAGGAGACAAATTGAATATCCTCAAAGGGTTCTTCTAATCCTCAATTCTTTGAGTCTAAGAACACTAAACAATGATCTGCCACTAAGCTCAATTCTTCTGGATCACTGACTTTCATCTTTTTGTCACGACCACTCAGAACAGTTCCTAGAACACAGAGAGTAACCAGCAAATGTTTGCTGAGTAGTCAGTCATCTGACAGATTCAGCCTTGGAGCAGAAAGCGAAAATTCCCATAAACCAAGTACTCTATACAGAGGGCCCATTCACTATATTAGGAAATCATAGGATTTGTCTACATGCATTATTCTTAGGATCTTACAAGAATTGCAGGGAGATGTCACATTTCTTCAAGCTATGAATTATAATATCCAGCTGACTTTTGCTGAATCGGCTGCTGAGGTCAGTGAATATTTCAATATGCCTCTTCTCAAACTTCTTTCCTCTAAAAGAGAGAGTTATCATATTAAGAAATCATTCTCCTGAATTATTTTTCTACAAATTCAAATACACTTGGTCACTGAGGAGAGAAGCTTAGAAATGGATCTAGAGTTAATAAATGTGATTACATTCTAGTAGTCCAATTAAGTTCTTATTAAATTCATAATCAACCCTGATACACTTTATACTTTGAACATCTTGGCCAAAATGTCTGGGTATTATGGAAATGTTATGTTTCTGGATTCCGAACTCAAATGTGATGAAAAAATATCCCTTCCCAGCCTCCACATAGGCAGAATGTAAACAAAGAATTCTCCCAGCATACTCTAACTTCAGCCTTGCTCAGGTTCACTTTCTAAATATCCTGCTCTGACTCCATGCACAGATTTTGTGTGGCAAGATTTGGCAGAGGATGTACAGAGATTGAGAAATGATTACACAGATTTAGGTCTGGGATTTTAGTGCAAATGATTTTCCTGACAGGCAAGAGGTATGTGTACATGCACATATATGTCTCCAGAGATACACTTCCAAGGCACAATAATTAAATAAATACTGAATTAGGAAGCAGGCCAGGCATGGTGGTTCATGCCTGTAATCCTAACACTTTGGGAGGCCAAGATAGGAGGACTGCTTGAAGCCAAGAGTCTGAGAAAACCTGGGCAAAATAGTGAGACCGTCTCTGCAAAAATAAAAATTTTAAAATTAGCTGGACTTGGGTGTGCACCTGTAGTCCCAGCTACTCAGGAGGCTGAGATGCAAGGATCTCTTGAGCCCAGGAGATCAAGCTGAGGTTGCTGTGAGCTATATTGGCACCACTGCACTCTAGTCTGGGTGACAGAACAAGACCCCAACTCAAAAAAAAAAAAACAACAAAAAACATACACACACACAACAAAAAAGGGAAGTTGGCCAGAGTTACCATGCACTTAATATCAATGACATATGGCTTATACCACTTAGTGTTTTTTAAAATTCCTGGTAATCAGCTTAAGTCTAATAGGAAGTAAACTGAAATAAGCCAAATGTTTTATTTCTTCCAGAGAAATAATCACCGAGTACAGCCCTTCCCCTTTTAAAACTTTTAAAAAACAGAGAGGTTGGACTGAACCATTCAATTCTATAAAATGTTTCTCTTGTCACACAAACATGCAGCTTGATTAACAATGAATCACAAAATACATTCAATACATTAACCCATACAATTTTTGCAAAAAGATTCTCTTCCAGCTCTCTTCCTTGGAACACTTACATTGTTTCATGTTGAATCACATCCATGCTCACGATTAGTGCATCCAGGACTCAGCTAGTTAAGGATAGGGATATCACCAAACAGTCTCTTCATGTGAACACGCAACTCTTTCCAATGAAGTCCACCGTGCTGGAAATTGTGGACACTGAACTATGTGATGACTTAAAGTACTTGCCTGAGTGCCCTTCTTCCAAAGTTCACTAACATATATTCATACATTCTATATATCAAACTATATATTCTGCCAAAAACAACCAAGAAATATAAACAAAAGGTAATCTAACACATTGCATTCATTTAACCAAAAATTATGTCATTTAATAGTATCTAGAACCCATTCTTGGTGGCCACAGTCCATTCTTAAATATGAAGCGAACCATAATGTAGCATTTGCAAGTCACTCCTAACACAACAGCACTTCCCAGTGATCAGGAATAGCACTACTAACTGATTAGAAAAAGAACAAGAGTGATGATCCCTTAAAATTAGGGGACCTGTGGAGTAAACTGGAAATCTCACTTTGGGTATCAATCTGATTTCTGGCACAAAAACATCTTCCATCCAGAAAAAAAGGAGAGAACATTGGGAGGATGCTCTTCTAAAAATATTTTCTATCCGCCTCCAAACATTTCTAACGAGCACCACTAAAACCCTCTGCATATAGTCAATGCTCACATATACTCCCTAGGATCTTCCCCCTTCCTATGCCTCCCAACCTCTCAGTATCACCCATGCAGAGAACAGGGAAGTGAGTGGAGGGCTGGGAGCCCAGGCACTGTTTTAAACTGATTAATTTCACATTAAACCCTATTAACACATTACCTCCCCCTCCTCAGAGCAAAATATACCCATATACTCATAGCTGAAACTCTGGGGGTGTCTCATCAAACTGCTGTACGATTCCCAGAATAAAGGAAATTTCTTAAAGTCTTCTCTGGCAGAAAAAGGATACAGTCAGCCTGTTGAGAACCTGGTTGGATTTTGCTTTCAATGTCCTCCAGCAAATCAAAATCTGGTAGCATCAGATGTCTGTGCACTGTGATGTTCTGATACTGATCCCCACCAGAAAGGGGATTGTCAGTGCCATCTGTACCAAACAGGACTAAAGCAATCTCATCCTTGTTCTCAGCAAACACCTAGAAAAAAATGTCAGATGGCTGAAAACCATATTAGAACAATCTGGAAGCAATAAAATACCTAACCTTCAGGGAGCAGGACAACCAGACCTCCCTATGGCAGGTCCCTGGGGCCATATAGTATTGGGCGGGATGAAACATGAGACTTACAGACAATGACAATTCTTAGGTTCTGAACAGATGTTTTTCATTGACCATAAGTCTCACCCTTCATTTCAGCAGAAGTTGAGGTGTGGAAATAGGAGGGTAGTAAGTGTTCTTGATGATTTCCAGCGAAATCAAACTCTAATTCTCAATGAGAGAACCAAAAATGGGTAATGTGAAAAGATTTTAGTATGTCTTTATGGAATGTCTAAGGTTTAAATTTTCCAGAGGTTAAAAAAAAAAGTGCAGGATAGCCTATATCCCAGCAATTTCAGGGGCAGGCATATACAGTATACCCTAGAAAAATTATGTACAGATAGGAAGTTTACACTTCAGCACTGTTTATGATAGGGCAAAAACTGGAAGCAAACTATCAAACAGGAGAATGCAAAAATACATTGCAGAATATTTATACAACGAAATATCATACTCCAGTAAAAATGAATAAATTTGTGCAACACGTATCAACATGAATAGATCTAAAATAAGTTGATAAAAGATATGCTGCAGAATTACATGTAGCATATAAAACCATTTACACTTTTGACAGCTTTATACAATACTAAGTATTTATGAATATATACTTATGTCCAAGTATAAAATATACATGGTAATAACTACCAAAATCCTGAGAAAAGGAGAAGAGAAAAAAAGGGTAAGGAAGGGCCTCCAGGTTTATCTGTAACACTTTATTAAAAAAAAAATCAAACAAATATGAAACATTAGGATTTACAGCATAAGACAATGGGAAAATTGGTTACCTGTATATTCTCCATATTTGCCTATTTTATGAAATATTTCATAATGAAATATAAAAACAAAAAATAGTATCTGACACAAAAGACAGTCCTGTCTAATTATTAACATAAGCCTTTTTACATTGATGGGGAAGAGTGCTGTATGGAGAGATAATGGAATTCTGTCATTCTTCATTTTTGTAGGGTCTGTTTAATCCTTTAGTCTGTAAACAACACAACAATTCCCAGTTGTACATGGACTAACGGTGTCTGGGTGCCTGCTGCTGGATTCAAGCATGCGTAGCATACTGGCTGGGCAGGTATCTGCCGCCTAGACAAGCATCCATCTTAAGGCAAGGTAATCTTGCCCTAGACAAAATCTCAGTCATGGGAGGGGAGGAAATTCTGAATGTAGTATGGGACTGGCACTAAGTTCCTGATTCTGACTTCCTGATTCTGACTCTTTCTCTCTACAACAAAAACAAACAAACAAAAAAACACCTATACTCTTGTTACTGGGGTGTAAGTCGGCAGTTATCCAGAGAAACTCCGGAGTGGCGACTCCGCAGTAATCTCGGTTCTTGGTCTTCTCGAAGTAAACAATTGAAACGACAGACATAAGCAAGGTTTAAAGCAGGAGGAAAAATTTATTTTAAGCAAAGTGAGAGTTTACTGGAGAAAGCAGAGTACACTTGGAAGAGAACCAAGAGGGCCACGTGAAAAATCAAGTGCCCTGCGCCCTTCTTTGTTTAGTTTTTAGACCGCCCCGCCCCCCAACCACCGGCGCCATCTTTTCCCGGGCTTCCAGTCTCCTTTGTTCCTCCCTTGAGCAGCCCGAATTAATCAACGCATGCGCACTAGCCCTGCTACTGCTTAAGAGGGGGCCGCATGCGTAGTGTGGTTACTAGTCATGCGCATGCTCAGTAGCGGCAACTCGGCATTATTGGTCGAGCGCCCCCAGAGGCAGCTTTTATACCAGTTAAAGTTCACCATCTTGCTCTTTTACTGCGCATGCTCGAAACCTTAAGGATTATAGCTTGCTAACTCCAGGTGTTTTCTGTCTGTTAAGATTCCTGTAATTCCTGACACCAATCATGGCCACTTATTACCTTACAGTGATAGTTTTATGCCCGCCTGTCTTCCCCTCGATGATAACCTGACAGCTTTGGGGCCCCTCCCTTGCCCTGCTCATCACTTCAGAGGGACGGATTTCTAATTGCCTAACCATGGCTTCACAAATGCCCAACATTCTCGGGGGCCCTCTCTCCTGCCCTGCTCATGTCTACTTACCTTCTCTAACAGCATACCAGGGGACAGCCACACTACTTGAATTCCACCAACACAACTATAACCAAGAACAGGGTTAGAGCACCTTCCTTGACACAACACCTCAAGGACTCCAGGTCATCAAGATTTTTAAAAATCTAGAATGACAGGTGGGAAGTACTAGTGCCCAACGGAAGTGTAAACACACAGAAGAAACAGAAGTGTCCAGGAGGAGCAGCAGTAGACAATGAAAGAAGCAGGAACTCATGGACTTAGCAAAAGTGGCAGTCATACCAAGTAGAAGGGGCAGAAATAAAAACAGCTGATGCTTACATAGTGTTTACAATATTCCAAGCACTATTCTAAGCACTTTATCTACATTAATTCTTTTATTCTTCAAAACTACCCTATGTGACAGGTATCATTATTCTCATTTTACACATGGGACACTGAGGCACTGTAGTAGCTAACCTCCAAGATAGCCACCATCCGTTCTTTCTCTCCTTGTATTTGCAGGCTACTCTTTTTATCAAGAGAGGGAGTCTAATTCTCCTCCCTTAAATGTGACCTAACCTTAGTGTCTTGCTTGACTAACAGAAAACAGAAATGACTTTCTGGGGCTTCTAAAAATAGGTCTTAAGAAGCCACATAGGCAGGGTCTCATAGAAAACCCATTCTTGGGATACTCCTTAGAACCAGCTGCTTCATGTGAAAATTGAAACTATACAGAAACCACATGTAGAGATTCTAACGGACAGCCCCAACTGAGCTCACAGCCACTAGAAAGCATCGTCTTCCAGCCATGTGAGTGAGCCATTTTGGACATCTGGTCCAGTTGAGCCTTTGGGTGACTCCAGCCCCAGCTGCCATCTGATTGCAACTGCGTAAGAGGCCTCAATAGAGAATCACCCAACTGAGCAACCCAGTCATCCCACAGAACCATGAATGATGAATTTTTAAAATGTTACTTGAGACACTACATTTTGGGGTAGTTTATTACACAGCAAAAGATAACTGAACTAGTCACAAACAAGTTGAGGGACTTGTTCAACATCAGAAGGTTAGTAAATGACATGGCAGAGCAAGGATACAAACCCAAGCCATCTGTCTCTAGAGATTGTGCTTTTAAACATTACTTTTTACTGCCTCTTGTTTCCGATAAAAACTGTAATATCTAGTGAAGGGGCCAAAACGAGGGAAGAAAAAATATCAGACTCTAGTGGTAGGTGAAGTTGTATGTGAGTACATGTAAGGAAACTCCCCAGAATCCCCCCAAACAGAGGGGCTGGACACTATAAGGAGGCTGGTATCTTGCATTAGTAGGTAGAGGCAACAAGCAGTTCAAACATGGGTTACAAGCTCAGTGTCAATCTGAAACTTACCTGTCGCTGTACAAACATGGTTATCACCTTCTTTGCTTGTTCAAATGGGGATTCTATACCAGGAATGGAGTTACTCATGGTAAAGCCCACGTCCATACACAGCACAACAGCTGCCTGGAAACAAAGTTCCAAAGAGTGTTTGAGAAAATAAGTCGTAAGAAAAGACTGTAAGAATGTCCCTTGCTTATTGTATTCATGAACCTGTATCAGTATTTAGGAAAGGTGTGAAAAAGGGATGTGTTCTACATAAGAATGTGTGTAAGACATATAAATTTTCACTATGGAAAACCCTTAAATAGTCCTGATACTTTCTAAAAGCTACAGAAGTTTCTACCAGGAGAGGAACATGCTCCAGATAGCTGCCACTTCTTTGGCCTAAGCCCCAGAATAAACCCATGATGAGTACATATGATGCCAACCTGCAGGCCAGAGTTAAACCCATTTATGCCCAATATACATCAGACAAACTGCAGCTGACCTGCAGACCTACAAACATGAGAACAGATGCTTTCACTGTAAGTCACTGATTCGGGGCATAATTTGTTATGAAGCATTTTTGTCACAAGAAGTGACTGCTAGAATCTATATATATGCTAAGAGGTATACCCTGACAATTTGAGTCAGTTTGTAAACTGATGATCTAAAATAAAGACACCAAATCTATTCTAGTAGAGGACACAGACAGATAACAAATAATACCAGAACAATGTTCCATGATAGAAGTATGCACTGGGCACTGAGAGACACAGGAGGAGCATCCACTCAAGACTGGTGGAGGGGATACCAGAGCGGTGAAGGGGCAGAAAAGGCTTCCTGAATGTGGATTTCCTTGGGTGAGTCTTAATGAGTAGGAGTCAATCATGTGAACAAGTAAGTGACAGACGGAATCACATAAGCTAAGGCACAAGCCATTACATAGCAATCACGTATGTAGGAGACTAAGAAAATAAGAGAAACATAACCTAAAAGGAATACATGTAAAGTTATTTATACCTGGCTTCCAAATTTTACCTGAACACAAGCTGGAAGAGACCTGGATTGATGGCAACTCACAATTTCAGTGTGAATTATAAAATCAATCAACAACGTGAAATGTCTTTTGCACCACATTCCCCACACCTATCTTACTTCATCGCCTAAATATGTTGGTCTGTATCAACAGTGTAGTGAATTCAAGAAGAGAAAAGAAGGGTCTTCTGGTGAAAAAAGATAATAGCAATCGGGAGACCTGGGATCTAGTCCCATCTCTCCTACCCATTAGTTCTGAGTCCTTGGGAATGTCACTTAATCTCACTGTTAATAATACTAAAAGGTAGGAAACTGTTGGACTAGATGAGGTTTAAGGTCCTTTCTGGAGTTCACATTCCTTGACTCTGACTGATAGTCTCGCAGTGCTTTGTACCGATCAAACAAACTGTGAGCAGTTCTGGGCTAACATCTTACCAGGAAAATTAATTACAAATGAACATGAAATGAGCAGCTTAGGGAAGAATCTGAAGAATACATGATGTAAAGAACAGTTGGAAATAACTAGATATTTAAGTCAGATGAGAAGATTAAAGGGAACATAACAGTTTTCCTCCCCACCATTTTTTTTTCCTTTTTTTTGAGACATGGTCTCACTGTCACCCAGGCTGGAGTACAGTGGCATGATCATGGCTCACTACTGCCTCCATCTCCCGGGCTCAAGTGATCCCGCTACCTCAGCCTTCCAAATAGCTGGGACCACAGTTGCACCCCACCATGCCCAGCTAATTCTTAAATTTTTTTTGTAGAGTTGGGGTCTCACTGTGTTGCCCAGGCTGGTCTCAAACTCCTTGGCTTAAGCAATCCTCCCACCTCCGCCTCCCAAAGTGCTAGGATTACAGGTATAGGCCACCGTGTCTGGCCTCCCCCCAGATATTTGACAACTGTTGTATAAAAGGATTGGTCTGCCAAGAAAGACAACGGGATCAACAGATGGAAGTTACAGGGAGACTGATGCGACTCCATACGAGGGATAAAAAATAACATTTAGAAGTGATCAATAAAGAAACTACTCTTTTTTAAGTGATCTCTTGACCCTAGAAATGTTTTAAAAACCTGAATGAATTCCTATCAGGGAAGTTATAGATGATTTCTAAATGTGGTTATATCTCAGGCAACACATGAAAAGAAAAGATTATTTTTCACTAGTTTACAAACAACACAATGCACTAAGAGATTTCTGAAGTAAAATTAGATTATTTGAAAAAAAAAACGTGCTAATAAACCACAAAATTCCTTTGAGAACAGTAAAATGCACATCCCAGTTTCAATGCCTGGGGCATGATAACCTAAAAAAACTTAAGAGTCACAAAATATGCTGCTGCACTTATTTGATACACACCCACAAAAGCTACTTTTAAACCAGAAAACTCTAGAGGACTAAAGCACTTTTGTCATGAATTAGGTATCCAGTAAGTGCCATCAAAGGGTTTCAAATATGGAACTTATTGTCTGGAAGCAGAATGGTCTATATTTCTGAGTTCCTATCTGGCAGCAGTAAGAAAACTGAGAAAGAGAAACCGGGTAGCATAGCAACTCTTCATTTCTATACCGAAGCAATACAGGCTGTTAGAATTTTACTTCCAGTTCATCTGCAACAAACAGCTCCTCCACTAGAGCTACAAAGTTTTCAGCAGCTGAAAGAGGACGAAAAAAGGAGGTGAGTGGCATTATTAAAAGTTCATGATCGTTTTAATCAACATTTCTCAATGAGGAGTTGAGGGAACTAGGGATCAGTTGCTCAAACTCGTATCTTGTTTATCTGTATTGAATAAATTCATTAATCCCTGGAACCACATCTCCCTCTAGTGACCCTTCAGAGACAACTACCACTCTTTTATGTTGAAAAAAAAAAATCACTTTAAAATTCATTGTAATTTCTGTTACTGATCTGGGACACCAATGGTCATAGATTTCTAGCAACACAGGGGTTCTCCAGGGCCCTGAAACCAGACAGCTTGGATTCAAATCCGGATTTCACCAGGAAAAGCCCACAGTTCTTTATTCCTCGGTTTTCCCACTTGCAAAATGGGGATAAATAGTTTTCACTTCAAGGGGTTGTGAAGATTAAATGAGATAAGAATAAAAGGTTTAGATCCGTCCCTCACAGAGTGGGCTTTCAATAAATGCGGGATACTACGTTATTATAAAGCTAATAATACGACGCTTTACAGTTTAAGTTATTTTAGTCACAGATAGTCCCTCTCTTAAGTTTTACAACAAGCCCTGTGGGATAGTTGCTTTATCACAGCTAATTTTCATTCTCATAGAGATCTTAAGAACCCAGGCTCGGAAGTAATAGAGGAAGTGGGGCTAGGGAGTGGAATGGGATAAAGAGAGAGAGAGGGGAGGCGGGTGGGGAGGCAGGTGAGACAAAGAGCAGGTAGAGAGGGAGAAGAGGGATGGGATGGGTGGGTAATGGAAGAGGTGGAGTCAGCGAGGCTCAAATTCAGGTCTTGGAGCCCCAAATCTCCAGCTTTTCTCATAGCGCATCCCTCGGTCCCGGCCCTCCTGACTGAGCCCACCACCATGATCTTCTCTTGCCCCATTCTTTGTCTTGACCGCGATCCCACGATTCCTGCTTCCGAACCACCCTCTCCGGATCCCCAGTCCGGGTAAAGCCCAAGTCCATGGCTTTCTTTATACCTTATTCCCCGACCGCACCATGTTGCCGGTCCTCAGGCGCTTTGGTCGCTTCTTCCGGGCGGGAACCTGCCGTGTCGCAACTCGCTTCCGGTGGACAAGCGGCAGATAGCGGAAAGAGCCGCTTCGTTTCCTGCTAGGCCTGAAAGGGGCGGGGAAACCGTGCCCCGGAACTCTGAGCATGCGCAGATTCCCGCCGAGCTTGCGCAGATTCCCGCCGAGCTCGCGCAGATTCCGGCCGAGCATGCGCAGATTCTCTCCGAGCATGCGCAGATTCCCGCCGAGCATGCGCAGATTCCCGCCGAGCATGCGCACATTCTCTCCATTCCGCCGTAGTCGGGAGCGTGTGGTGTTTGAGCCGCCTGAAACGCTAGTACGACAGATTTACTTAAAGATTCACTTAATCACTTAAAGATTCACGTCCCTTTTCTCTCATTGAGAATAACACCTAAGGCATTTTGTGTCAGAGCTCTGGAGTTAGATTTCTTTTCTTTTTTTTACTTTTTTAAAAAATCTTTTTTCCTTTAATTTCATTTTTTCATTTATTTTTTATAACTTTTGATTTTTTTTTTTCTCATCACTTGTGGGTTTTTTTCTACTTTTTATTTTTGGTTATTGTGGAGTTAGATTTTCTTGAGTATGAGTATGAATGCAGAAAGTCACTTAACTTCTCTAAAAGACTCAGTTTCTTCTAAAAAGTGATAATGAAACACTTCACCGATGTGATAACCTTAGAGCCAACTGGGGAAGAAGAGTAGGACGTCCCCAGGAGCACAAAAGTAGAAGGGAGATTCTACTCTGCAGAGAAAATGGGATGCACAAACGCCTGGAGGCATGAGACTTTATCTGCTAAGGCTCTCCCAGTAGTTAGCAGTGGCTCCAGCTTGGAAGGGAGGAGTCAAGGTTTAATTTAGAAGACAAGTCTAGGGAGATATAGAAATAGCAGCTGTCATCACAGTGCTTTACTTGATCACGAGCCCTTTGTCCAGCCCGCATCCCCTACCCCTTTGAGGGAGGCAGGCCCAAGCAGTACCTTGCATAGAAATGACTGCTTTCTATACCATATGACCCCCAGCTGACAGGTGGCTGGACGAAGGGTCTGGCAACCTGCAAAGTGTCTGCAAACCTCTGCCCAAACTGAGAAAATCAAGTCCAATCAATATTCTCTCCTGCTTGAAAATTGTTTCTGGGAAAAGCAAGAATTGAAGCTGAAAAGATGTGGAGAATCTATGAGCCAAAATTATAAATACATTGAAGCCTCTAGAATGTAGAGTCAGACATATTCAGAGGTGCTCATAGAGCCCAGGAGGTTCTTCCAGCTTTTGATTCAAACTCAAGGAGTTACTTAAAAGCTGAAATATTATTTTTAATAATACTTTAAAGGAACAGCAGCGCCCTGGCCGCTCAGCTTTGCGCGGGCTGCAGCAGGCAGGCAGGCAGGCACGGACACTCGCCCTTCCCTGCGGGTAAGATTTCCAAGAGAAAGATCAGCTCGGCAGAAGGGGCGGGGAAGATCTGTGAGGTTGTCAGCTAAATCTCCTCCAGCAAAGGTGGAAACGAAGCCCAGCGGAGGCAGCAGGACAGCATAAATTTTCAGACAAAGAAGCAAACAAGGAAAAATGGGAGCAAAGGGCAAACAGGCCAAGTGGCTATCCGGGAAACAAAAGATTTATCTGTGGAAAGCGGAGAAACTGAAACAAGGAGAGTCCAGCCTCTGGTGAAGCAGGACAGAAAGAAGCCAAATCTGATTAGTATCACATACCATATCTTGTCAGTGGTCCTTGTCTCCCTTCTTGTACGATCCAGAGCTAGAGAGAGAGAGAAAAGGAAAGAAACAGACAGGGTGTCGCTCGGCCGAGGCTGGAGTCCAGTAGCACAATCATAGCTCTCTGCACCCTGGAACCCCTGGGCTCAAGCGATTCACTTACCTCAGCCTCCCAGGTAGCTGGGACCACAGGTGTGTGCCACCAAGCCCAGCTAATTTTTGTGGGGTTTCTGTGTGTGTGTGGAGGCGGGGTCTTCCTATGTTGCCCAGCCTGGTCTTGAACTCCTGGGATCAAGCGATCCTCCCGCTTCAGCCTCCCAAAGTGCTGGGATGACAGGTGTGAGCAACTGCACTTGGCCTCAGAGGAATATTTTTATCAACTATTTTGATAAGGAATATTTTTATCAACTATTTTTAAATGCAAGTTTTTTAGTAGCTGTAGAAACTTTTTTTTTTTTTTTTTTTTTTGAGACAGAGTTTCCCTCTTGTTGCCCAGGCTGGAGTGTAGTGGCGCGAATTCTGCTTACGGCAACCTCCGCCTGCCGGGTTCAAGCGATTCTCCTGCTTCAGCCTCCCAAGTAGCTGGGATTACAGGCATGTGCCACCACACCCAGCTAATTTTGTATTTTTAGTAGAGATGGGGTTTCTCCATCTTGGTCAGGCTGGTCTCGAACTCCCGACCTCAGGTAATCCGCCCACCTTGACCTCCCAAAGTACTGGGATTACAGGCGTGAGCCTGTGCCTGGCTGAAACATTTTTAGGAAGGAGGGAATCCCACTTTATCCCATTTTTAAAGTGTAGCTTTTAAAAGGTGAAATAATTCACTTGTTTGTTGTTTGGTACAACCAGGAAACACTGAAATAGTGAATAATGGGAGGCTTTCACTGTCTTCGAAGTCAGTTTAACATTCCCTAGGGAGAGGGTATTTTATTTCCTACAGTACAGCGCATACTAAATGGCAATATAGAGCCACAGTCATGCATTTAATGTGTCTTGAAAATTTTAAATTACTTTTATTTTCATGGGTTTTTTTAGTAGAATTGTTTCCTGAAGAAAACCACTCCTTGGTCACGTTGCTATCCGTGTCAAAATTGTGTGCAGTCTGTAACATCTTTGGTTGTGCTAGTCCCATTTTCCTGATAACTTTGTTAATGTGCTTTGAAAGACTGAAAATTTGAGTGGGTAGAGTATATGATATTAAATTGTGAATTGGTGGGACTTATGTAACAACTTATCAGCATGTGGAGATAATGTACCCTGATACCCTCTTTTTTTTTGAGAACAGTCTCACTCTGCGCCCAGGCTGGAGTGCAGTGGCACGATCTCGGCTCACTACAAACCTCCGCCGCTCCCACCCGCCACCAGGCTCAAGCGATTTTCCTGCGTCAGCCTACCAAGTAGCTGGGATTATAGGCACCCACCACTGTGCCGGCTAATTTTTGTATTTTTAGTAGAGACGGGATTTTGCCATGTTGGCCAGGCTGGTCTCGAACTCCTGACCTCAGGTGATCCGCCCACCTCAGCCTCCCAAAGTGCTGGGATTACAGATGTGATCCACCGCGCTCAGCCTAAAAAATATTTTTAATAAGACTGGTAAAGAGAATTACTGGAGACTCAGTACAGTGAAGGAAATTTGCATGCTTTATGTCCATGTTTTTATCTTGTATATGGTCTCTATTTTTCCTCTTCCTTTCTCTCTCTCTCTCCCTTCCTCCTTCCCTCCCTCCCTCTTGCTTTTCCCCTTCCTCTTCCTCCTGCTCCTCCTCCTCCCCCTTCTTCTCCTTCTCCCTGTCCCCACTCTCTGTCTTCCATACACCCTTCAGTACAGGTCTGTTTCTTGGAAGAAATAAAAGAGGTTCTAGTAGCTGTGCTTGTTTGCATCTCAGCTGTTTTTATAGAAGTCTTTAGAACCAGCCACCTCTGTGCAGCTAGGCATCTGTGACGCTGAAAAGGGATATGGACTTTAAGCATTGCTTCCCCTGGCAAAGGGCCTTCATTAATCAAGGGTCAAGGGATAAACATTATTAATGATGTGACAGCATATATGGCTACTCCCTTCCTCCTCCACAACAAAAGGATTCTGGCTTTGTTCGTTCTGTTTCTGTCAGTGCAAGGTCCTTTTGGATTTAAATGATACAGAATTGGGAATAAAGGGGGACAGGAGGTTGATGGGCTATGACTAGTGGTGGTGATGGTATGTGTGTTGGGGGACAGAAGGGGGAGTTAGAGAGAAATGTGTAAAAGCCACTGTGGCATATGAGGGAAATAAATGGGATAGGAAAGGGGGAATGGCAAAATGTCATTTTGGTGATGCGTGTGAGCCATGCCTCTCAGCATTCACACCCTTATGTAGTTCCTTCCCCGTGAATCTGGACAGGCCTCATGACCTGCTATAACCAGTAAAATGTGTAGGCATTTACAGAACAGTAGGTAGTTCTGGGCTGAAGCCTTTAGAATACCTGGCAGATTTGTCTTTTGCACCCTGGTGAACCCAGATACCATGTATGAAGACTGCCATGCTGTGAAAGCCCAACATAGCCACATGAAGGAGCCCTATTATGGACTGAGTGTGTCTCCCCAAAATTCATATGTTGAGATTCTAACCCCCAATGTGATGATATTTGGAGATGAGGCCTTTGGGAGGTGATCAGATTTAGGTAAAGTCATGAGGGTGGCCCTCCTGATGGAATTAGTGCTTCTGTGAAAAGAAACAAGAGACAAAGGGACGCTAGAGAGCTCGCTCGCTCTCTCTCTCTCTCCCCCTCCCTCCCTCCCCATCTCTCCCTCTCTCCCTCTCTCCCCACTCACACAAAGAGATCATGTGAACACAGAGTGAGAAGACAGCCACTTGCAACCCAAGAAGAGATCCCTCCAGCCTCTAGAACTGTGAGAAAACTAATTTCTGTCATTTAAGCTACCTAGTCTATGGTATTATCTGTTATGACAGCCCAAGTCTGTTATGGTAGCCCAAGTGGACTAATACAAGCACTGAGCACCAACAGCCCCAACAGTAACCTGGATGTCACCCAGCACCAACTTGGCAGCCACGCAAGTGAGGCTGTCTAGGGAGAAGATCCTCCTTAGGAAGCTATCTCAGCACTAGAAACATTGAGCAGACTAGTAGTCTCCACCAAGCTCTGCACAAATTGCAAAACTGTGAGCAAAGGAATTGAGTGACTATTTTGGTGGGGTTTATTTGGTTTTGCTTTTGTTTTGAGAGAGGATCTCACTCTGTCACCCAGGCTGGAGTGTAGTAGCGCTATCTTAGCTCATTGCAACCTCCACCTCCCGGGCTCAAGCCATCCTTCCACCTCAGCCTCCCGAGGGGCTGGGACCATAGGTGCACACCAAGCTGTTATTTTAAGCCATTGTGTTTTAGATGTTACAGCAGCAATAGATAACTGAAACAGCAGAGATTTTTTTGAACTATTGCTACAATGTAGACCATGTGTTCCCCTTCAGGTAGTTAATAAAGGCAAATAAAAATTTTATTTTGTAATTATAATTTAAGTTGCTGGAATATGTTTGCATTTGGTATTACCTTGAACGTGAACTATGAGTAATGACTTCCTGACCACTATAAAAATTAAAATATACAGGCTTTGTGTTCTGACAGAGAGCTGTTACAATGGTTATATGGGTAACTGAGAAAATAAGTAGAATATTAACAGAGTACAGATATGAAATAAAAGTTTATGTCCTGGCTGGGCTTGGTGGCTCATGCCTGTAATCCCAGCACTTTGGGAGGCTGAGGCGGGTGGATCACCTGAGGTCAAGAGATCGAGACCATCCTGGCCAACATGGTGAAACCTCATCTCTACTAAAAATACAAAAATTAGCCAGGCATGGTGGTGGCGCATCTGTAATCCCAGCTGCTGGAGAATCACTTGAACCCAGGAAGCGGAGGTTACAGTGAGCGGAGATTGCACCATTGCACTCCAGCTTGGGCGACAAGAGCGAAACTCCATCTCAAAAAAAAAAGTTTATATCCCAAACAGATGTGAGTAGTAAGATGTCCACTAATATTTTTCAACACTGCACAAATTAAGCTCTGGGTGGCCATTCCAAAATGGCAGAATGAAACTTTCACATCATCTGAAATTGGTTATTTTTAAGATTTAGAATCTTGTTTTATAGAAAATCATGGGTTTTATTCTTCTTGGATGTGAAGTGAAATGAAGGGTGCTACCTAATGTCAATAGACAAGATGACTTGGAAACACATCAGTGTCACCCTATGGGCCAGACATGGTTTATCCAGCTCAGCACATTATGGCTGCTAAGCAACTGGAAAATATAGTCATCTTCCTTGATATTCACCACGATGATTAGGCAACTATGAGCCAAAAGAATTGTTCAAATATGGTATTGAACTCTCCAGTTTCTCCTCTGATGGTCTCTGTGGTGTTTGCTGAGAGCAAAAATGAGATGCTTTGGTTCTGTTTGGTTCTGTTTTTCCTTCCTCTAGTCTAGGCTTTTACATACCTCTATAGAACCCCTTTGAAATGGTTTTAATTTACAAGCCTATTTCTTCCACTAGATGATGAGCCCAACTAGGATGAAGGCCATGTCAACTTTATCTAGGTATCTCTTGGGTATGATCTCATCATCATCCCACACTCTTCCATGGCACCACAGCCACTTTACCTGTGTCCTAATCACAACTTTTTGGCTTTTCCCATTGGTTTCCCCAACCCCAGAAAAATGGGACAAATGTGGTTGCAAGTTTCTAGTGTGGTTTGTGAAAACAGTCCACCTAAATAGAATTCCCCAAAATTAGTGAAGCATGGAAAGAGTCCAGACACAAGGATTCATATTAAAATCATTACATACATATAGGACAGCCATCATGCTCACCCTTTTTCTGCAAACCATAGCATTCAAAGCAATTTTGAAGAGCCTCAAAGACAAAATGAGCAAAAGTTAATCAGACTTTATTTTTATTTTCTTTGTCTTCATTTAATTGTTCATATCTCTGCTAATGCACCATAGAGCACCAAGATTAACACTAAAACTGTTGGGCACTTTTTTTTTCTTGTCAAGCTAATAATAGTTATTTAAAAAAAAAAAAAAGAGAGAGTTCCTCTGAAGGTGGAGCTCAGCACCATACATCAGGCAAATGTCCTGGGCTCTCTGTGGGGAGCATGACAAACTCCTCTGGTTTGATTCATCGCAGCAGTTCTCTCAACAGCTTTGTTTTGAGACATGAACAAGAAAAGAGCACCAGCTATTCTTATAAGGACCCAAATCTCCAAATTCTGCTGACCTCTTAGGAGTTGATATTTTGAAATTAGAAGGACACCCTTAGGAGTGATTTTTTTTTTTAAGTTCAGAGTCTGTTAATCTGTATTAATCTAGTTTACACTCCCTACAGGCCAGGTAGACACAAGTTTCTCAGCACAGCAAAGATCATGTCTGTGGTTAAACTCAGAAAGGTCTGAGGGAGTAAAGCTCTGAGTGAGGTTTTGCCAAACAACAGAAGGCTAAATCTGGCTTCTTTGTACTTAGGGCTACTGATCGCTGTTGGAGGAAACTTTGGCAGATGCAATTCCTCCCTTCCTGGTCTTTAATCTAGGTTAAATATCACCACCTCGTCCCACCTCCACCACCAGGACAAAGAGTTATGCTACTATTATAAATTGTACTCTCCTGTCCACTATTCCTTTCCAAAAACAAATCACATGACATTACAGAAGCTTAATTGCAAAGTACGTGAGGTGCTAATATCGATGTATAGCATATTCAAAGTATATGTAGCTAATATCTATATATAAATTCTCTGTGTAAGATTCAGGCCTAAATAAATAAATGAATAAACAAATGAATGAATAAATAAATAAATAAAACCATATTAGCAGTTTGGGGGTTCTGAATGTATTTAAATGATCATTGTGAGGCAAAGATTCTGACTTGCCTACCAAGATAACCATTCTTGCCTACAATCCCAGCATTTTGGGAGGCCGAGGCAGGCGGATCACCTGAGGTCAGGAGTTCAAGACCAGCCTGGGCACATGGTGAAACCCCATCTCTACTAAAAAAAAAATACAAAAATTAGCCGGGTATGGTGGCACGCACCTGTAATCCCAGCTACTGGGGAGGCCAAGGCACAAGAATTGCTTGAACCCAGGAGGCGAAGGTTGCAGTGAGCCGAGATAGTGCCACTGCACTCCAGCCTCGGCAACAGAGTGAGACTCCGTCTCTAAAGCGAAACAAAACAAAACAAAACAAAACCCAAATAACCATTCTTCCTTTTTCTTGCCAATTAGCGTGAACCCAGTATTTAGCTGAGAATATAGCTACCCAGCCAAACAACTACATTTCCAGCCTCTTTTGCTCATGACATCATGTGACTGAGGTCTTGCCAATGAGATATAAGAAGAATCGAGTGGGACTTCTGGGAAGTCTCCTTGAACAGGAAGGGTGTGTGCTTCTCTGCCCTTTCCTCTATTTTATCAGAAACATGGATGTGATGGCTGAAGATGTAATCAGCACTGGGATGTTGGGGATAAGGGTGAGAAGGGTCACATCCTACTAATGGTAGAGAAATAGAAGAAGCCTGGGACCTGGATTACTTCACAGGGTCCCAGGATGGTCTGCCTCCAGACTTCTTCTGCACAAGAAAGAAATACACTTCTATCTTGTTTAAGCCACTGATATTTTAGGGTTTTAATTCTATGCAGCTAAATCTAAATCTAAATGATACACACAAATCTTTACCTTCTGCTACACTGTGGTAGTCCAGCTTCCTAAATGTCTCACTCCATCCCTGTCTATTATCTTGGTGGATTTGGTTACCCCGAGGTTCTTTATTCTCCCTGACACATTTAGTCACATACTCCCCTCAGTTCCAGGCACCAGTAACACTTCCAGGCTCCCAAAACGACACACAGCAGAGTTCCATTGTCCTAAATAAATGGTGATTTTAGGGCAGGGAATCAAAAAGAGTTTGTCCATTGGGTGAACTGCTTTGGCACAATTGCTTGTCTGCTCCATGCCCTCCTGGAACCCTCAAGATGGTAAAACTGATCAGTATGGACTCTGATTTCCCAGAAGAACTGCGGAGAGTAGGGGGTAATTTAAAGAAATAATCTGCTGGAATTTTAAGATGATATATAGGCTACTGGGGCCAGAGGAGGGAGTAAGTTGTTGGGAGTTTAGACCGTGGAGGTTTCTACTTCTTGGATGGGGTCCTTGTTGGAGAGAGTGCTTGAGATATTGTCGGATTCAAGCAACTCCACAATGCTGTAGGGAGAACAGTCCTCCAGACCCAGCTTGCTGCAGAGCCAGCCACAGAAGCCTTTCTCCATGTCCCGGGCAGCTTGCCACCATGCTTCCCAGGACCACGAGAGCTGGACCACAGCAGCGTAGAGGCCGAGGGAAGAAGCCATGGCCATGATGAGCACTGGATAGAAGAGAACGAGGCAAGGGCAATACGAGATCTTGTGCCAGAAGGTCCTTTCCTCATTATACACGAGGAAGATGTTGTACCAGGTGATAGTGCCGTAGTAGAAAGAGACAACAAAAGAAAGGATGAAAACCACAGGCAGGCAGATCAGCGTCCAGAGGACCACATGGGGCCCACGGTCAGCTCCCATCTGGCAGGCCATTCTTCCTTCAGGCGTCGTTTCCCTTGATGACTCTTTAGGTTTGGTCAGTTCCTGCAGCTCTTTCTCTGTCAATGTGACATGGATGTCCACCATCTGACCCTTTTTCTTCCCTCGTGTGATGGTCCCAGTTAAGGTGACGTAGCGGCTGTCCAGAGGCAGGTTCCACATATCTGCAGGGTACAAAGGAGGTGAGAGTCAAGATCAGAAGAGTGGGCATTGCATCTCCATGTTGCACCCTCCCAGGCTGGGCATGAGGACAAGAGTAGCCTTTTTTACACCATCTGGCACAGTCCTGAGTCAGTGATTCAATGGCGGACTGAGTGGGTCTCCCTCGGGAGAGTGACCACTGGTGTTATTGCTCCCACATGAACTCTCAGTCCTTGTGCCTGGGCCCTGATAAAATTGTGAGGCAGGTTAAGCTTTTCACCTACTCTCTCCGCTTTTTGGGGCCTCAATCTTGGCACAATCTCTGTGGCACGGAGGAGTGTGACGAACTTTGATACAGACATGATGCAAATGATGATCCTATTTCTAGGTAACAAGTGCTGTGAAGATACTGGACTGATGGACGGCCACCACCTTCCCTTCTCATGCCTAGTTCTGTGCTTTCTGAGAGGGGGCCCCTCACATGCCTGATCCAGCCCTCACATCCAGGGGCTGCACGCATACACACATGCATCCCACATATACCATACACATACACCCTCTCACATACTACATACACACCATACACACACATACACATGCCACCTCCCAATCACGTACCACATACACACACTACACTATCCCATACACACACCACACACCACACACCATGCACATCACACATACCACATACACACCACATACCCACACCACATATACCAAACACCATACATAACACATACACCACACACATGCCACACACAACCTCCCCACACATACCACATACAACACATACACATACCATATACACACCACATACCCATACATATCACACATACATGCAACATACACACATAACACACCACACACACACATACACATCACACACACCACACATACACACAGCATACATGCACACAAATGCTGCCCCCCACACATTCCACATATATACACTACACATACCCACCCACATGCCGTATGCACACACCACATATATACACATTCTACACACACACCACATACCCATACATACCACACTACACATACCACATACATACCACGCACACATACGTACACCATATACTCCCCCATACCATACCACCCACGCCTATCCACACACACACCACACATTACACACACACACCATACGACACACACAAACAGCGCACACACCCCCACATACACCACACCCACACCGCACACCACACATACACACACACACACACACACAACGCACCCACACAGAACCAAATAGCTATCTGCTGGCCACCCTAGAAGTCTGGGTGGGGATGGGAAAATACAGCCTTTAGGCAGGCATGGACCTTGGGCCCTGTGGACTCCTTGCCCCACAACTGAGAGATAAGATGAAGCCACCTAAAGAGCAGGGCCCTGGATAGTGGCAGGGACTCTGTTTACCCAGAGAAAAGGAATGTGCAGTCTCCCAAGCCCTGTCTTTTCACAGTCTTCATCACAGCAAACACCACCACCATCTATCCTCCCTGTCATTCCAGTCAATCACCCAGGAGTCATTATTGATTCCTCTCTTTCCCTCACTCCCTGCCTCTGATCAATCAGCAAGTTCAGATTGCATCCTGAATCCAGCTTCTCTTCTCCAGCTTTCTCCTGCTATCACCCGAACTTCTCCATTAGTGCTACTGAGGCTGCAGGGACACAATAGTCTCCCATCAGCATCCAGTCTTAACCCTTATAATTCATTCTTTATAGAGAAGCCAGAGTGATCTTTTACAAATATAAACAAGATGATGTCTCTTTGCTTAAAAGTCCTCCATTGACTTCCTCTTGCACTTGAAACAAATATCAAACTCTTTACCGAGACCTGCAAGGGCCACCATGATCCAGCCTCTGCCTACCTTCCTGTCCTCCTCTCACCATCCTCCCTCTTATCTCCTACACTCCCTACACTGAAATAACTCCTTTCCATAAATGGGCCAAAGCTGCTCTCACCTCAGAGGCTTTGCCCTTGCTGTTCCACCTCCTCCAAAAACTCTGCCCTAGAACTTTTCATGGTGGCTCCCTCATGTCATTTGGATCAATTCAAATGTCACCTCCTCAGAGAAGCCTTTCACAACCATGCAGTCTCTCCCCCACCACCTTCCACCCTCCACCAGTACTCATCTTCCCATCAGCATGGTTTTGTCATCTTTAGAACTCATACTACTACCTGAAAGTATCTTTTATTTGTTGACTTGTTCACTATCTGTCTTTCCCTGAAGGTCAACTGCAGGAGAGCAGAGAAATTGCTTATCTTGTTCACTGTGAGCATATGTCTTAGAGATCTATCCATCTACACAAATAGATCTGCCTCATCTCTCTACGGCTGCACAATAATAATAATTATTATTATTTTTTCGAGATGTTGTCTTGCTCTGTCACCCAGGCTGGAGTGCAGTGGCAGGATTTCGACTTGCTGCAACCTCTGCATTCTAGAAACACAGATTCTCCACCTCCCAGGTTAAAGCAATTCTTGTGCCTCGGCCTTTGAAGTAGCTGGGACCTCAGGCATGCCCCAGCACACCCTGCTAATTTTTGTATTTTTAGTAGAGACGGGGTTTCACCATGTTGGCCAGTCTCAAACTCCTGTTGTTGGTCTCAAAGTCCTGACCCCACGTGATCTGCCTGCCTTGGCCTCACAAAGTGCTGGGATTATAGGTGTGAGCCACCGTGCCCAGCCTCCACAATAATTCTTAATACAAACACATCATGGTTGCATTAGCTTCAACAAATGTTCTTATATATGCCTCCTTATACAAGGATAACATGGGCATAAGTTTCATGGAGTAGATATTGAGAATTTCTGGGTCATGAGGTATGCATGTTTTGAACTGTGAATTTTACTAAATATTTAATAAACGTTGACAAGTTTCCTCCACAAAGTGGTTGAAGCGGCTTCCACTTTCACTAAGGTGCATGAAGTATATCCATTTGCTCATATTGATGTAATCACATTTTACCCAATTTTTGGCAAGCCTACATGTGAAGGAATACTATATCTCATTGTTGTCATAATTTGCCATATGATTTTCTTCTGGCAAATTTTCTCATAATTTTCTTTATTCATATGAAAGTCAACAATTATTGTTTATTTTACATACATTAAGTAGTTAGCATAGTCTGCTTGTGTTACCAGTTTTTGCGTATAAATCAGCCTCTTCCATTTCATTAGGAATTCTGAAAGGGTGGAGATTTCTGTATCATCTAGAAAAAAATGTAATAGGTGCTCAGTAAATACTGACCATTTGTTGAATGAAGACTGTAATATTGCACCAGGTCAGTGGCTCATGCCTATAATCCCAGCACTTTGGGAGGCTGAGGCAGGTGGATCACTTGAGGCCAGGAGTTCGAGACCAACCTGGACAACATGGTGAAACCCAGTCTCTACTAAAAATACAAAAACTAGCCCGGCATGGTGGCACATGCCTGTAGTCCCAGCTACTCAGGAGGCTGAGGCAGGAAAGTCACTTGAACCCAGAAGGTGGAAGTTGCAGTGAGGCGACATCATGCCACTGCACTCCAGCCTGGGTGACAGAACAAGACTCTGTCTCAAAATAAATAAATAAAAGGTGGTAATATTGCAAGAAGAAATGTATCACCAAGAAGAAATAGGACAGTGAGCATATGCCTGTCTGTTCTGGAAGATGCCCTTTTGGTTTCCTTCCCATGGCTTTAAACAAGTGGGCTAGAGAGACTTACCATCATCCACAGGATAGTCTAGGAAATCATCTCCCTCCTCCTCTTTAGGCTGATCTCCACCTTCTGATTCTCCGGGCTCCTCATCTGTTTTCTCATTGTCTGAGCGGTAGATGATGATGGATTCTGGGCGTGACTCTTTCCTCTTCTTTTTCCTGTGCCCCATTGTGGATTCCCCATCCAGCGCCAGGGCAGCAGCCACAGCCTTCCTGAGAGAGCCCTGGTGGGGGCTTGGAAGCTGGACCTGGCCTTCTACTGCTGTTGGCTCTTCCATTCCAGACCTGACGTCTACCTATGTCTTATAAAGAGTTGGACTTGTTTGAGTAAACTCACAGTTCACACATCACAGAACTTCTTCCTAGATGGGGCTATGCAAAGATGTCCCAAGGATGCATTCCACCTGAAAGATAGGAAAGCAAAGCCATCAACAGGAAGCAAATGGGGTGAGATGGACAGGAATGTGGGAAACGATCCTCAACTTAGCAGAAGCCTTCCTCTCCCTTTACTTCTTGCAATACTTTATTTTGGGAATGCAATCTAAATCTCTTATAATAGACAGTGAATAAACTTTTGCTACAGTAATATTTTTGTCATTTATACAAACATATAATATTTGGCAAAACCCATGTGAAGGAATACTATATCTCATTGTTGTCATAATTTGCATTTTCCTTATTCATATGAAAGTCAACAATTATTGTTTCTTTATTTTATATACATAAGTAGTTAGCATAGTCTGCTTGTGTTACCGATTTTTGTGTATAAATCAGCCTCTAGTTGGAGCATGCAGAGTATAAGGAAGTTGGGTGAGGAAGCCTTACCAGTAGGTGAGAGTTAAGAACCACAGGTAGGCTGGGCACAGTGGTTCACGCATATAATCCCAGCACTTTGAGAGGCCGAGGCGGGTGGATCACCTGAGGTCAGGAGTTTGAGACCAGCCTGGCCAACATGGCAAAACCCCATCTCTACTAAAAATACAAAAATTAGCTGGTTGTAGTGGTGGGTGCCTGTAATCCCAGCTACTTAGGAGGCTGAGGCAGGAAAATTGCTTGAGCCTGGTGAGCTGAGATTGTACCACTGCACTCCAGCCTGGGTGACGGAGCGAGACTCTGTCAAAAAAAAAAAAAAGAAAGAAAAAAGAACCATAGGTGGCTGGGACCAGTATTCCAGACTTCTGGCTATTGAATCATACATTAAAACTATACTCAAATGGATAAATACAACATTAAGCAAGCCACTCAAATGGTACAACCTCACCAACTGTGTCTACCTTGCTATTCTGTAAAGGAAATCTGTCTCCTGGCTTCTTGTCAGCCCACAATCTCAAAAAGTTACTGGGATGTGTCCTATCACGTGCTGCAAGAGCGGTGGAGAGGCTTCACTTTCCCCCTTAAAATAACAGTGTCTCTCCACTTTCTGTTCTGGACAGTGCAGGTCTGTATATCTGTCCTTCATTTTTTTTTCCTGGTAACTTATTTGTTAAAGAAAGCGGGTCATTTATCTTGCAGATTCTCATAGCCTGGGTTTTGCTGATTGCATCCCCACAGTGTGTTCCTCTGAACTCTGTGTTATGAGTTGATAGCTAAATAGAAAGTCTTGATCAATTTCACATTGAAATTTTTTTGGTTGATGGTTTGTTTTGTTTGGCAGGACAATTTTAGAGGTGGTGTTTGTACTTCCATTAGAAGTCCCCTAATGTCTGGTTGACTCTTTTTGTGAAGTTAACAGCCCGTTAATGGCCATTGACTATACCCATTAAATCATGGGGGTTACAAAATGATATTCCATTTCTCTGACTTCTTCATTTATTAGCTAGAATACTCTCATGCACTTTTAACATACCCAGTTTTAATCCTAGTGAAAGAGGCAAATGGTCCTGCTGTTATGCAATATTATTGGCATTTATACTGTGAAAAATAACTTATGAACTATAGTGGTACCCGCTATGGATATAAAAAGTTTCCAAGCGATTTACCAAAAAATTCCCCACTTTTCAAATAACTGTGCATATTATTCAGAATCGCAAGCTTCTACTCACAACCCTGCCGCCCCACACTCCTCGAGGCTGTACACTCTTCAGCAACTCCAGGTTACTGGCTGTTACTTTTGTTCCCAACTCCCAAATCCCTCACTGTATTTCAGTGCTCTCTGAGCCTTATTTTACTGCCACATGTACACCATTTGCCATCCCTTTATTTCCAATAATAAAGCTTCTTCTCTCATGTGTATTCAAATGTTCCCAATGTCTAGTGTTCTGGCCCAGTGGATGGGAGTGGGGCAGTGGAGAGAAGAAAGAAGCAAAAATTCCACTAGGCTCTAGAATTCCACTAGGCTCCATTCATTTTGAAGCAAATTTATATATCTTTGGTAATTACCATGTGACAGGAAGTACTGTATAGCATATCTCTTAAAATGCCAGAATACATATTTTTTTTTCTCATTTCAATGTTTCTAAAATTTAGGTAAATTTTAAGCTCAATGGAATGGCTTTTTCTCCCCCTCCAGGCAGGGGAGTTCTCCTCTGCTGCCCTCTCACCCAGTATTTCCTCTAGCCTCTGTTGATTTTCTTTGTCTTTCCATTGGATTGGCAGATGTTGGATCTAAATTAACTTTATAACTGGGCACTTAACCCAATGCCTGGAATAAATCAGGCACCCAGCGACACAATTGAGAATCTTAGTGGTAGGATCCACAGGATGAAATGGGCAGGTTTCACTACGTCCTCACTGCCTGACTTTGTCTAGGGGGTGTACTAGGGGCAGAATGAAAGCCATTATCTTTAAATTCTTATCCATGGAGCTTTCTGGACCAGGAGATTCATTTGGCTGAGGTGTCTAAAAGTACAAGGATGTACACAGGAAGAAGCAGGGGAGAGAGCCCTCCCAAGGTAAATAGCTCCAGAGGACAATTAATCCAACCATTAGAATGCTGAGCAGGCCTTGGGCATTGATGAGCTTGACCAGGGCTCTTCTACCAAAGTGGCTTCTACACAGAGGACAGTGGACCTCTACCCAGAGGAAACTGAATGGGGAGGCTGAATGCAATCCACCCCCAGGTGAAGATTTTATATGTATACACACACACACACACACACACACACACACACACACACTTCATTATTACGTTAAGTTCCAGGATATACATATATATGTATATCTATATATGTACTTATACATATGTATATTTATATACAAATGTGTATATACATACATTTGTAATTCTACTCTCTAAGTGTCTATGTTTAATACAAAAATGTTTTCCCTGGTCCAAGTCCTCTTATACACTGACACTCAGAAAGCTGCATCATGGTAATTCTATGGTAGGAATGACCTCTGAACAAACCACTTTGTACTTACTTGAAGGTGCAATGATCACAGCTTGGGAGGCCACCCTAATCCACCGTGTTTTCCTACTTAGATCATCTGTTTCTCTCTGTTGTTTTCTGAGGCAGCTTGTGAAGGGCCTTCTTTGGCCCTTCTATACAGCATGAATTTTCAAACTAGGGGTTGAGACCCCGAGGAGATTAAAGGACCAGAGCTTCAGAGCTGGGAGAAGGTTTATGTTCTGTACTCCTTACTCCTTCTTTAAAGATGTACCAAGATGTTCAGAAGGGAGACAGAAATGTTAAAGAGTACACGTGAGAAGGCAAGTTGCAAATCTCATACTTCTTGTTCCCTTTTCCTCTCTCTTTGTTGAGGGGGTGGTGCTCTAGGAAGATGTGGCAGGGCAAAGTGAACACATGCATGGAGATGATGACCCTTATTAATGGGCCTTATAAACATTAAAAAGTGGCCAAGTGCGGTGGCTCATGCCTGTAATCCCAGCACTTTGGGAGATCAAGGCGGGCGAATCACTCAAAAAAAGAATTAATTTAATTAAAAAAAAACATAAAAAGGTGTAGTGTTCGACACTCTTGATTTGGTTGGGCACAATGGGAGAGGCCAATGTTAGATAACAGGAAGAGCTTCCTGAGCCCAGGGACAGACTAGTACAGAAAATAGTAGCTAAGAGAAGCTTTGGAGTCTCTTGGGGATATAAAAGATAAACATGGTCATCTTGTTGGCTGATGGAGGAGAGGGACAATCCTATCAGAGGCAAAAAGAGAGATGACTTTTGAACATCCCATTAAAACCTTAGACAAGAAATATGAAATGTAAAGGGTGAGCTCCTGGCTATTCACCTTAGGGGGGCTATTTTTGCTTCAGGCACAGCTCATTTTAGAAAGGTGCCCAGCCAATGTCTACTTACAGTAGTCACAGGACAGAGACACTGTCCTTGATTTACCTTGAAACATGATTTCCTCATCTCCCTACAATTAGAACACTATCCTTTGAGACTACAAAACATTCCCACAAACTTAGGAAAAGATGGGTTATTTTGTAGTCATGGTAAGTAGACAATAGAACCAGTTTTAAACCTGTTCAATTGATCAACAACAATCTCCCTCAGTGTCTTAGTGCATTTGGGCTGCCATAAGAAAATACCATAGACTAGGTAGCTTATAAACAACAAGAATTTATTTTGTACAGTTCTGGGAGCAAAAAATCCAAGATCAAGTTTAGGGGTTTGGTAGGACTCACTTTCTGGTTCATAGATGGTGCCTTCTCACTGTGTTTTCACGTGGCTGAAGGAGCTGACTAGCTCTCTGGGTCTCTCTCTTTTTTTTTTTTTTTTTTTTTTTGAGATGGAGTCTCACTCTGTCGCATAGGCTGGAGTGCAGTGGCGCAATCTTGGCTCACTGCAACCTCTGCCTCCCAAGTTCAAGCAATTCTCCTGCCTCAGCCTCCCAATTAGCTGGGACTACAGGCACACGCCACCATGCCCAGCTAATTTTTGTATTTTTAGTAGAGATGGGGTTTCGCCATATTGGCCAGGCTGCTCTCAAACTCATGATCCGCCCGCCTTGGCCTTCCAAAGTGCTGGGATTACAGGTGTGAGCCACTGAGCCTAGCCTCTGGGTCTCTTTTATGGGGGCACTAATCCCATTCCTGAGGACTCCACCGTCATGACATAAAGCCTCACCTAATGCCATCACTTTGGGGGCTGAAATTTCAACATATGGATTTGGGGGGAAAACAAACCATACCATAACACTCAGCAAACATGTTTTTGGAAATTAACCCATCCAGTCAGTCCTTTGTTTCTGAAAGTCAATCAGGTGAGTGGCTCTGTCCCTGTTTGGCTGACTTTCACACTAGTGTGAGTTGACTTTTGGCCAATCAGGGTCTGGCACTCTGATGATGGCTTTCAAAAATGTATTCACTTAGGCAGTTGTTGATTGAACATGTTTAAAACTAGTTCTGGTGGCTACTTGTTATCAAGGCTACTGTAAAAACAGTGTTTTCCTAAATTTGGGGATCCTTTTTACTGTTAGTTTCCTGCAAGTCTGGAATATATCAGATGTCACAGTACAAGAATATGAATTATCTGTTGTGATGTAACAAATTACCCAAGAAGTAAAGGTTTAAAACAATAAAAAAGTTATTATCTCACACAATTATGTGCGTCAATAAACTGGGAGTGCCTTAGCTGGGTGGTGAGTAGTCTTCTCTACCTGCTTCCTGCCTATAGAATTTGGAGGTCCAAAAGTGTTTTTTTGTTTTTATGGTTTCTGAACCTTTTAGTATTCTGTGAATAGAATTTTCTCAACATTTCTGTGGGATTCCTATAAATAGTTTCTCTGAGTCAGAAGTGTGAGAGTGGCTTAGCTGGTTTTGTTTCAAGATCTCTAAAGATGTCAGGGCTGCAGTCATCTGAAGGCTTGAATGAGGCTAGATCTGCTTCCAAGATGGTTCACTCATGTAATGCTGACTCAGTTTCTCTCCACATGGGCCTCTCCATGGGCCATCTGAGTGTCCTTACAACAGTGGCTGGCCTTCCCCAGCATGAGTGGTCTGAAAACAGGTATTTTCTTTGACCACCCCAACTTGACTCTTGATCCCCATCTCTTCCTCATCTTTGATTTCCTCCTTCTCCAATAGCTCCAACTTCCTTCTACTGGCTCTTTCCCCTTTGCCTTCAAACTCAGAGTTCCTTATCTAGAAAAAAATAACTTTACCTTGCCACTTTACTCTCTCTGATAATCTCATTTTTCTCCAACCAAGCTTTTCTATCAAATAGTTTATAGCCACTCATATCCAGTTCATCCTGCAATCTTCTGCCCTTTCTCCCCACTCCCAACCTCTGTACACACACAGACACACACACATGCACGCACGCACACGCGCAAGTCACTTGCAAAGATGAGAAATAGGCCAGGAAATTAGCATTTATTGAGCCTTATGTGTCAGGCTGTAAGGTAAACTCTTTATAGATGTTCTCTTACTTGCATCTCTCAACAAGCTTGACAGGTAGGTCTTATTTTCCACACTTGACCTATTAGGTTCAATGCGTTAAATATAGCAGTGAGAGAACTTGGGTTTAATTCTATACTTGCATAACTCTAAAGTCCAGGATTTCCCCACCAAGATTTAGAAGAAGTCAAGGCCAGGTGTGGTGGCTCATGCCCGTAATCCCAGCATTTTGGAAGGGCAAGATGGGCGGATCACTTGAGGTCAGGAATTCAAGACCAGCCTGGCCAACATGGTGAAACCCTGTCTCTACTAAAAATACAAGTAGCTTGGCGTGGTTGTGCACGCCTGTAATCCCAGCTACTCAGGAGGCTGAGGCAGGAGAATCGCTTGAACCTGGGAGGTGGAGGTTGCAGTGAGCTGAGATCGTGCCACTGCATCCAGTCTGGGCGAGAGAGTGAGACTCTGTCTCAAAAATAAAATCAGTAAAATAAAATAAAATGAAAATTAAAAATAGAAGTAGTCAAGTGGTAGTAGCTGCAGTGAACAGCTGATGGTTTTTGGTTTTTTGGTTCTGTTGTTTGCTGTCCAAAACCCTATTTCTCCTTCATTTGATGACAGATCCACTCATTTTGGTGAGAAACAGTCTTGAAAGTCCCTGATGTGATCACAGTGACCACTTCACCATTCTTATTCTCCTTGTCACACCAAAGCTGTTGATTCCACTAATTCCCAAATCTTTCTTGAACCTTCCCTCACCTCCTTTAACTTTCTACTCTCATTCTCTTTTACCTCTCAAACCTTCCTTCTGTTTCTTTTGCTCCCTTATCTGCTTTCTCCAACCCATAATTGCCAGTGTTTTCTAGGCCCGATTCTTAATTCATTGTCCTCTATTCTCAACAGCACACTCTGTTCCTCTTGTTAAAATATACAGCCTTCCTGCACACAGCTGTAGGACCACTTCTATGCCAAGAACGCCCAAATGTAGATCTCAAGATTGTATCTCCAATAGCCTGGCGAATATTTTCTAATTGAATTATTTAGCAAAGCATGTTCAAACCAAACTCATCTTTATTTACAGCAGAGAACCTCTCAGTGTTACCGAGAAAAAAGGAGAAGGGGGAAAGGAAAGGAGAAAGGGATAAAGAAGGAAACACCACAACATTTATGGAATTTACCGATTGTGTAATTTGGTAGGTTCTGTGTTGATTATACAGTACATGCATTATCTCACTGAATTACACATTCAAAAAATATTTACGTATTCATTTATTTTTAGAGATGGGGTCTTTCTATGTTGCCCAGGCTTGACTTGAACTCCTAGGCTCAAGCAATCCTCTCACCTCAGCCTCCTGAGTAGCTGGGACTACAGTCATGTGCAACTGTGCCCAGCTTCAGTAAATATTTATTAAGCAACACTATGTGCTATATATTGCATAGTTGTTCTAGGTACAACAATTTTTGTCTGTTTGTTTGTTTGTTTTGAGACGGAGTCTCGCTCTGTCGCCCAAGCTGGAGTGTAGTGGCGTGATCTCAGCCCACTGCAAGCTCCGCCTCCCGGGTTCACGCCATTCTCCTGCCTCAGCCTCTTGAGTAGCTGGGACTACAGGCGCCCACCACCACGCCCGGCTAATTTTTTGTATTTCTTTTTTAGTAGAGACGGGGTTTCACCGTGTTAGCCAGGATGGTCTCGATCTCCTGACCTTGTGATCTGCCCGCCTCGGTCTCCCAAAGTGCTGGGATTACAGGCGTGAGCCACTGCACCCGGCCTGTTTGTTTTTTTTTTTTTTGAGACAGAGTCTCGCTTGGTCACCCAGGCTGGAGTGCAGTTGTGCAATGTCAGCTCACTGCAACCTCAGCCTCCAGGTTCAAGCGATTTTCGTGCCTCTGCCTCCTGAGTAGCTGGGACCACAGGCATACACCACCATGTGCAATTAATTTTTGTACTTTTAGTACAGACAGGGTTTCACCATGTTGGCCAGGCTAGTCTCCAACTCCTGACCTCAAGTGATCCATCTGCCTCGGCCTCCCAAAGTGCTGGGATTACAGGTGTGAGCCACCATACCAGCCTAGGTACAACAATTTTATGAAGCAAGTATTATTTTGCAGAAGAGGACACTTGGACTGAATAATAGTAACAACAGAAACTTATTGGATGTTTATTGTGTGCCAAGTGCTGCTCTAAGTACTTTACAATAATCGTATTGTTCAATATTCACAGCAAACCAGTGAAGTAGGTACCTTTATTATTCCCATTTAGAGGAGAAATTTGCTCAAGCTTACATAGCTAGTATAGTGGTGGGACTGGAACTGACACCCAGGTTTGCTAATTTCAAAGCCCATGTTATTTTCATTGTGCCATACTACCCGCCAACATTTATGCAAAGATCTATAAACTTCTAGAATGTTCTTTGATGAACCCATTTCCTATATTAAGGACATATTTCCATATACCTAATAATAATTAGTCTCTAAGTCCTGCTAGTCATTCCTATGAAATCTTTTTGTTAATTTGTTCATTTGAATTTCTACTACCACCATATGCCAGAATACAGCCTTCATACTACTTCCTCTAAACTGGAAGACATTCTAAAATGGAAGACATTCCTCTACCATTTTTTACCATATTAATGGTGATTAATAAACAAAACAAAACAATATTTTTATTTTGTCTTGCCATTACTGACTAAAATATATCTGAAGGCCTGTCTGGTGTTTGAGGCTCTCCGTATTTGCACCCCACCCTAGGATTCAGTAGCAATTTTCCCCTTCCCTTTCCTGCAACGTGACTACTCAACACATGTGCTTATGTTGGTTTCTTCATCTTTGTCACGCTTCTCCACATCTTTCAAGCCTGGCTCAAGACAGACTCATTCGCTCACGTCCCCTTCTGTGACTACCCCAGCCCCCACGTCCTCTCCTCCCACCCTAACCCTGTGTTGCAGGTGTGTGGTGAGAATTCAATGAATGGCCCAGTATAAAATGCCTAATATGTGACTGACACTTCATAAATATTAGTTTCTATTCCCTTTCTTTTGCCTCCTTCTATTTGTAATTTAATAGCATTTGCCATCTGAACCATACACTTAATACTTAATTATGCAGCATTTCATATCATTGTATAGATTATAGATGGCATCATGAGTTTTCATTCATCTTTCTAGGTAGATAACAAACTTCTAGAGTTTAGGAACTGTCTTACTCTTCTTCTTAACCACCAATGGGAAAACCCCAGGGCTGGACATGTAGTACAAAGTCAGTATGTACTTGTTGACTTCATAGGACACAGAAGAGAAAATGTCTTACCAGAAATATGACATAAACAACTGTTAAGAAAGAAAGGCTTGATTCTCTTCCCCATTTTTGTATACTTTATTATGCTGTAAGTATTTGATCTGAGAAGCAGGTTCTAAACATTTCTCCTTCCTTTTAGATTTCACAAGAGAGAGGTTAAAAGAAAATTTTACCCAATTTCCAAGGCTTTAATCAATAGACTTGAGAGAAGAGAGAGGACTTTGTTCTTTTCTCTGGCAGTTAAGCTGTGCCCATCTTCCACTTCCACTTCCAGTCTAAAGATTATTAACAGGCTGGTCACGGTGGCTCATGCCTGTAATTCCAGCACTTAGGGAGGCCGAGGCAGGTGGATCACTTGAGATCAGGAGTTTGAGACCAACTTGGCCAACATGGTGAAACCCCCTCTACTAAAAATACAAAAATTAGCCAGGCATGGTGGCACACACCTGTAATCTCAGCTACTCCGGAGGCTGAGGTAGGAGAATCGCTTGAACCCGGGAGGCAGAGGTTGCAGTGAGCCAAGATCACACCACCGCACTCCAGCCGGGGCAACAGAGTGAGACTCTGCCTCAGAAAAAAAAAAAGATTCTTACAAATGTGATATTACAGAGTGTTAGCTTCAATCAACCATTAGCTCTGTACTCTTGGTCATTGTAGGAGGGAAAACAGGTTTTTAAGAACATGCTCATACTCTGGAACTCGTGCTTAGAATAACTGCTTTTAAGCCACTCTTGAAAAAAATTATCCAGATAATTCTTTTTTTGTTTTTGTTTTTTTTTTTTGAGATGGAGTTTCACTCTTGTTGCCTTGGCTGGAGTGCAATGGCGTGATCTCAGCTCACCACAACTTCTGCCTCCTGGGTTTAAGCGATTCTCCTGCCTCAGCCTTCTGAGAAGCTGGGATTACAGGCATGCACAACCATGCCCAGTTAATTTTGTATTTTTTAGTAGAGAAGGGGTTTCTCCATGTTGGTCAGGCTGGTCTCGAACTCCCAACCTCAGGTGATCCGCCCGCCTTGGCCTCCCAAAGTGCTGGGATTACAGGCGTGAGCCACTGCTCCCGGCCCAGATAATTCTTAAATTCATCCACCCAACTTTCCCATCTCCACTGCTTCCCCTCTGGTCTAGGAGGCCACTGTCTCTTAACTGTGGTTCTAAAAAAAATGCTCCTATCTTCCAGCTTCCACTCTTGCTGCCTTCCAATCAATTCCTCACTCAGCAGTAAGCAACATCTTTTACTTAATTTTTTTAATTTTTTGAGACAGAGTCTCACTCTGTCACCCAGGCTGGACTGCAGTGGCACAATCTCAGCTTCCTGCAACCCCCACCTCCCCCACCTGATTCTCCTACCGAGTAGATGAGATTACAGGCGTGTGCCACCACACCCGGCTAATTTTTGTATTTTTAGTAGAGATGGGGTTTCACCTCCCAAAGTGCTGGGATTCCAGGCATGAGCCACCCAGCCAGAAACATCTTTTTAAAACATAAAGAAAATCAGATGGTCAGGCGTGGCAGCGCGCACCTGTCGTCTCAGCTTCTCGGAAGGCTGAGGCAGGAGAATTGTTTGAACCTGGGAGGCAGAGGCTGCAGTGAGCCGAGATCGCTGCCACTGCACTCCAGCCTGGGATACAGAGCCAGACTCCATGTCAAATAAATAAATAAAAATAAAAAAGAAAATCAGGCTGTTTTCTGCTTAAAATCCTCCTGTAACTTCCTACTGTTATACATGTGGAAGTCCATGTGGCCTAAGGACCTCCCCATCCTGCCACCCCATCTGTACCACCATAGTAGGGGTACTATGCTCCAATCACACTGGCTGTGTATTTCTTCCTCAAGAGCACCAAATGCTTCCAAATGCTTGAGGTCTTCTTAACTGCTGTCTATCTTGCTGCTCTGCTGCTCCACCCCGCCTCTTCCTGTGCCCGTTTTTGTTTTTTTGAGTCCTTGTTCAAATGTTTCCTCCTCTGAGCCCTTCTTGACACCCGAACTAAAAACTTGACTCCCTGCTCTGCCTCTCATTATTCTTTATCACAACAGCTTGTTTCCTGTGTAAGGCTTACCAACATTTGTCATTATTTATTTTTCTTTTACTTATTTATTGCATAGCTCTTCTACTAGACTTCAAGCCCTATGAAGTGGTACCATAGAAGTAGGCCAACAAATAGATGCTCGATAAATCTTTTTAAGTGACTGGGTGAAGTGGTAGCAACTCAGGAGTAGCTTATTTTTTGTGAAAGCCTGAGACTAAGGAGAAGTTTAATAAAAAGACATCAATAAGCTCCTTTATATGCCTTGTTATGGCACAATTGCTAGGTAGTTTTGCTTCAAGGTAGGGGCAGGACCAGATGCTTCACTGACATTCTCTCAGCACTGAGATTCTGGGAGTCTAAATGTCGAGAATCCCACAAGCCCCTGTCAGTCTGAGCTAGCAGCTGCTTTGCAGAGGGGAGAAAATAAAGTTACCAGGCAGATGGGGTGGGGGAGGGGTGGGAAGCTGAAGGCAGTCATTGCTAATGGGGTATGACAGAGCTGTGGGGAGAGGTTCGGGGGTGTGGGAGGACCTTGGCCACAGGAATGCCTTTTTCCCCAGGACAAAGAGGGCAGTGACGCAGAGCACAGGGAAGAGCAGCATTTGATTCAACCAAAGGAGTGGTCAGTGCAGCATGGCGTGGTTGCCTTCGGAAGAGATGCCTCAACCAGAGGCAGAACTAAAATTTCAAAACAAAGAGCTTCCAAGCAGCAGATCTATTGCTCTGCTTCCAGGCCTTTTGGCCTGGAACTTAGCGGATTAGTGGACTTTCAAACCCTGACAGAGGTCAGAGGCAGAGGCAAAGAGATCATGCCTCCTAATTTTAAACAAAAGATCGCTTGAAGAGACCCCAAAGCTCTCTTAATTGCAGGTTCTGCCTGGATCATGAAAAATCGCCTTCTGACTGTTCATCCTGCAACTTCCTTGCAGCTGAGGAATGGCACCTTGTCATCCTCAGTAGGCATAACCGGTTTGCAGGCCCCAGTCCCTGTTTCACTGGAAGACATCAGAATCCCACTCTCAGTCCGCTCAGCAGCCACACGGAAGCTGCAGCACAGCCAGCTTCCCACTGACCCACCCTGGCACACCTCTAAGAATCTATAGGTCCAGACCAGGGCATAAATCATGTTAAGTTATATCTTCAATAAAGTTATCATTTAAAAGAATTTAAAGTGTCCCCACCCACAAGAAAGAAAGTCTGGACTTCTCTTGAATAAGATACCCCTCAGAACTGAATCAATATTTCTTTTCCTTAAAAAAAAACACCTTGTCATTGGGATCAAACCAAGAGGAGTTATATGTTTCTGCAACAACACTTTGAGCTTTCCTGTTTGAATTTACTTTGTTTTAAAGGAGGTGATGGCGTTGTAATTTTAAAAATTTGGTCCTAACTACAGAATTGACTTAAGTAGTAGAGTTAAGTGATTCCTGGATAAACTATCTAGCAAATGGTAACCAGGAGATTTATTCCTTTCTTTAACGAGTGTAGATTTGAATCTGTCAGCAACAAAGATAGAGGGAGAAGTGATTCTAAAAAGAGATCAGAGAAGGACAAGAGGATGGAGCAACAGGGAAGTGTAGCTGTCCAACAAGAACTGCAGCCTCGCTGGTGGGTGGGACCTGGTGGAGGAAGTGATGGTCTGATTCCTCTGTCAACCAGACCCATTTCCAATTGGCTTTGTGAATCCTAGGTGGTAGGTCCAACAAAAGGATGATGGCATTTATTTGCCTTTATATTATTTTAATACCTGTCCGGGGAAAATGCAACACTCTGACAACAGCCTTAGAAATAGCATCCCATCTGGATTGTTAAGACCACAGCAACTGGCACATTCGACCAAGTTCTTAGGGTGAAGTCTCAGTAGGCCAGTCCAGGTGTAATCTCACTCTGGTGGGTTCAGAGCGGGAAGCAAGATGAAAAATAAGGAGCAGATCTGAATAATAAATCACTGTTACTGGGCACCATAACACAGACGAGAAATTTTCCCCATCCTCAGCGGGCTCACCCTCCTGCACAAGGAATGAACTACAGGACATGATCTCAAACACCTACAGATGCATCTTGCAGGAAGCGTGCACCCTTCAAGGAAAGATCCTCTTCTGGACTCGCTATGCAGCTCAGCTGAAATGGATCAGGTCTCAAACCTGGTAAAGATGATCTTTCCCCTTGATTCTTGGGTGGGGAGTGGGAGGTGAGACGGAGGTGGGCCTGAGTTTATTTTTTCAAATCGTTTATTCTCTTGGTTCTGTGGAAAACTGCAACCGCATCTCCTCTTCCCCTTCACTCTCTTTCCCGGGCTCCCTCCCGAAGGATGAAAGGATCTGAAAGCCGCATTTCTCCCCCTCAGCTAAGCCTGCCCTTTCTCCCCTTCCCAGCCAGCGGCACACAGCACCTGGAGCCACAGCATCGCCGACGTCCGACCCCGGCAGGCGGGCGCAGCGAGGGCGCCGAGCAGCAGCCTTTCTTTTTCCAGCTGCACTGGAGATTTAATTTTAATTAATCGTGAGAGCTTCAGCCCTGAGGATTGAATTTTTGAAATAGAGCACACCCTGCTTGTTTCTTTCTTCTTCTTTTTTTTTTTTTGCATTTCCCTTCCACCCTCCCCAATGGCATCGAAATTTAAAGAAACGAACGAGCAGTCTCACCCACACCTGCCCAGGGACCGACGCTGGCGGAGGTTGCGGACAGCCGGCGGGGAGCGGTTCTGCTCCGGGAGGATGCGGCTTTGCCGCGGCCGGCGGGCGGGGCGGGGCCGGGCCGGGGAGGGTGCGGGGTTCTGGTGGTCACGTGGGCTCGAGCACCGCCCTGTCCGCCCGCCCGCCTCGAATGTCCCTGAGACCCAGAAGGGCCTGCGCTCAGCTGCTCTGGCACCCCGCTGCAGGGATGGCCTCCTGGGCTAAGGGCAGGAGCTACCTGGCGCCTGGTTTGCTGCAGGGCCAAGTGGCCATCGTCACCGGCGGGGCCACGGGCATCGGAAAAGCCATCGTGAAGGAGCTCCTGGAGCTGGGTACGTGAGCGGGCCGCTGGTGCAGAGAGGTGGCTGTGGTGACCTGGGGTAACCTGGAGACGGGAGCCAGGAGCTCTCGGCGGGGCTGAGGGAGTGTGGAGCTGCAGAGCAAAGACGGGGCAGGTGTGGGCGAAATTACGACCACCAGGGAGACAGAAGAGAGCAGCTCTTCCTAAGGAATTGTGGAGCCACTCGTTAAAAACTGAAGAGACCACTCAGGCCAAAGAGACTGTGCCCCAGGTAGGCAGTAAGAAGAGCAGTGAAACATGCTGTGCAATTAGTTTTATATTCAGATTTAAAATTAATCCATTCTATATGCTTAATGTGAGTGATTAGGAAACGTGGGAAGACTTCATTTAACTGGAAAAAGTTGTGAACATAGTGAGTCTCTCATAGTATCTTCTCACATCTCTTAACCACAGCAAGGAAATATGCTGAATATTTACCTTAACTTGGGTGAAGGAAGGCCTTTGTAAACACATAAGTGAGGGAATAAACCACAAAGGAGAACATAAATCAATCTACCTGTATGAAAGTGTAAATCCTCATTGAATTAAAAAAATATATAAAGTTTAAAGGCATATGAAGAAAAATATTTGCAACATAAGATAAATTGTTTGTTGGTTTTGAGATAGGGTCTCACTCTGTTGCCTACGCTGGTCTCGAACACCTGGGTTCAAGGGATCCTCCTGCCTTGCCTCTGAGTCCTAAAGTTTTGGGATTACAGGCTGAGCCACTAGATTCGGCCAACAGCCTTATACATAAAGAGCTCTTACAAATAAAGAAAAAATCCAACACACTGATAGAAAAATTAGACTAATGGTATGGACTAAGCGTTCCAAAAGAAGAACTACAGACAGGCAAGAAACATATGAAAAAATAATCAACTTTATTGGTAATAAAATATGAAACAGTAAGATTTAACTTTTCTAACAAAATTTTGAAATGTTGGGAAAAATTAAAGTGTTGATGCAGGAATGAGAAGGCAGGAATGTAAATTATTACAAACTTTCTGGAAGGCAATTTGGAAAAAAAGATCCAAAAACCTTCACAATGTTTATGCTCTATGACAGTAATTCCTTTTTCAGGAATTTAAGGAAACGGAGTCAAGCAAAGATTTTCATGCAAGGATGTAGTCTTGAGTAGTGAAAAAATGGAAATTACCTAAAAATCCAATATAAGGAAAATAGTTAAATCAATAACAATGAAATATAATGCTTCCGTTTAAATATCTTGCTATTGGTCCTGGCGCAGTGGCTCACGCCTGTAATTCCAGCACTTTGAGAGGCCGAGGCGGGCAGATAACCTGAGGTCAGGAGTTTGAGACCAGCCTGGCCAACATGGTGAAACTCCATTTCTACTAAAAATACAAACCAGGCATGGTGGCGTACACCTGTAGTCCCAGCTACTTGGGAGGTTGAGGCGCAAGAATCGCTTGAACCTGGGAGGCAGAGGTTGCAATGAGCTGACGTCAAGCCACTGCACTCCAGCCTGGGCAACAGAGCGAGATTCCATCTCAATAAATAAATAAATATCTTGCTATTGAAGACTTACTTGGAGAAATGCATACCATATTATTGGGAAAAGTAGAATTCTAAACCTAATAGCATTCCAATTTTACTTTTTTTTTTTTTTTGAGATGGAGTTTCGCTCTTGTTGCCCAGGCTGGAGTGCAGTGGCGCCATCTTGGCTCACTGCAACCTCCGCCTCCTGGGTTCAAGCGATTCTCCTGCCTCAGCCTCCCGAGTAGTTGGGATTACAGGCACGCACTACCTTGCTAGGCTAATTTTGTATTTTTAGTAGAGATGGGGTTTCTATATGTTGGTCAGGCTGGTCTCCAACTCCCGACCTCAGGTGATCCGCCCGCCTCGGCCTCCCAAAGTACTGGGATTACAGGCGTAAGCCACCGTGCCCGGCCCAATTTTACTTTTAATAAAATATATACATGCAGGGCCGGGCACGGTGGCTCATGCCTGTAATCCCAGCACTTTGGGAGGCCGAGGCGGGCAGAGCACAAGGTCAAGAGTTCGAGACTAGCCTGGGAAAACATGGTGAAACCTCGTCTCTACTAAGAATACAAAAATTAGCCAGGCATGGTGGCGTGTGCCTGTAATCCCAGCTACTCAGGAGGCTGAGGCAGGAGAATGGCGTGAACCCGGGAGGCAGAGGTTTCAGTGAGCCAAGATCGTGCCGCTGCACTCCAGCCTGGGCGACAGAGCAAGACTCAGTATCAAAAAAAAAAAAAAGTATTACATATGCAAAAATGGACTGGAAGGAAGTTTATAAGATTTTTAGCCATTTTTCTGAAAATAATGTTAATTATGAGTAATTAAAATTGTCTTCGTCTTTTAAATATTTTTTAATGAACATCTAAATTATCTTTGGTTACGACTGTGTTTCCAACATCTGGCACAGTATGAACTAAAAAAAAAAAATCTATGTTTTTAGTTAAAAAAAAAAAAAAAAGCAAAAACATTTCCTAGTAAGGCCATGATGTAACCTCATCACCATTACTGCCCAGTTTATTCTCAACACCAAGCTCTATCCTCTTTCAGGAATATCTGTAAGAAAATCAGAATCAGTTATCAATTCATGCATAGGTCAGATACTAGGCTTCTCAGCAGATTCGTAGGACCCTAGTCCACTTTGAAGGATTTTTAATAGATTTTTATGTATTTGAACTTTCATCCTGTTGCATAAGTGTGCTATTTGAACTTTCATCCTGTTGCATAAGTGTGCTATTTGAACTTTCATCCTGTTGCATAAATATGCATTGGCCAAAAACTACACCCCTGGAATAAGGTGATAGACTATATTTTTCTTACCACAAACTAAAACATTAGGACATTGGTCTTGTAATCTTTTGGAAGACATGAATCTGTCTGAGATTCTGATGAAAGTGGTGGCGTGTCTTTTGAGAAAAAGACATCATATACTTAAAAATATATATACACAATTATTTTGTTGTATTGGAAATGGATTTCCTTCAGTGAAAGAATATTAAAAATCTTTTTCTTTTTTTTTTTTTTTGAGATGGAGTTTCGCTCTGTCGCCCAGGCTGGAGTACAGTGGCGCAATCTCGGCTCACTGCAACCTCCACCTCCCAGGTTCAAGCAATTCTCTGCCTCAGCCTCCTGAGCAGTATTTTTAATAGAGACGGGGTTTTACCACGTTGGCCAGGCTGGTCTTGAACTCCTGACCTTATGATCCATCCCCCTTGACCTCCCAAAGTGCTGTGAGCCACCGGGCCTGGCCATAAAAATCATTTTTATAATTACTTTTTCCTCTTTATTTTTTTATGCCAGAATCAATGGCTATTTCCACGACATTGTCATATTTTTACTAGAGATGGGGTTTTGGCATGTTGGCCAGGCTGGTCTTGAACTCGGACCTCCAGTGATCTGCCCGCCTCAGCCTCCCTAAGTGCTAGGATTACAGGCATGGAGGCCCCGCGCCTAGCCTCCAGTTTTCTTTCTAGTCAGAAGGCCACTGTTTTTTGTTTTTGGTTTTGGTTTTTTGGTGTGAACTATGTCTTTTTGGCATGAACTTTGAGGCATGGTTTTTAAAATGATGATATTTTTGCTTTTTTTTTTTTTTAACGAAAAATACAGGTGTTTTCTTTTTTACTTCATACTATGCCAGATGGTAACCAAAGATAATTTAGATGTTCATTAAAAAATATTTAAAAGACGAAGACAATTTTAATTACTCATAATTAACATTATTTTCAGAAAAATGGCTAAAAATCTTACAAACTTCCTTCCAGTCCATTTTTGCATGTATAATCCATATTTTTTTTTTTTTTTTTTTTGAGACGGAGTCTTGCTCTGTAGCCCAGGCTGGAGTACAGTGGCACGATCTTGGCTCACTGCAACCTCTGCCTCCCAGGTTCAAGCGATTCTTCTGCCTCAGCCTCCTGAGTAGCTGGGATTACAGGCACATGCCACCATGCCTGGCTAATTTTTGTATTCTTAGTAGAGACAAGGTTTCACCATGTTTGCCCAGGCTAGTCTCGAACTCTTGACCTTGTGCTCTGCCCGCCTCAGCCTCCCAAAGTGCTGGGATTACAGGCGTGAGCCACTGCACCCGGCCCTGCATGTATTTTTTTTTGAGATGGAGGTCTTGCTCTGTCACCCAGGCTGGAGTGCGGTGGCGCGATCTTGGCTCACTGCAAGCTCCGCCTCCCGGGTTCAAGCCATTCTCCTGCCTCAGCCTCCCTAGTAGCTGGGACTACAGGCACCCACCACCACACCCGGCTAAGTTTTTGTATTTTTAGTAGAGACGGGGGTTTCACCGTGTTAGCCAGGATGGTCTCGATCTCTTGACCTTGTGCTCCGCCTGCCTTGGCCTCCCAAAGTGCTGGGATTACAGGCGTGAGCCTCGGCACCCCGGCAAATATTTTTTATTAAAAGTAAAATTGGGCCAGGCGCGGTGGCTCATGCCTGTAATCCCAGCACTTTGGGAGGCCGAGGTGGGCGGCCACCTGAGGTTGGGAGTTCGAGATCAGCCTGACCAACATATAGAAACCCCATCTCTACTAAAAATACAAAATTAGCCAGGCGAGGTGGTGCGTGCGTGTAATCCCAATTACTCGGAGGCTGAGGCAGGAGAATCGCTGAACCCGGGAGGCAGAGGTTGCAGTGAGCTGAGATGGTGCCATTGCACTCCAGCCTGGGCAACAAGAGCGAAACTCCATCTCAAAAAAAAAAAAAAAAGTAAAATTGGAATGCTGTTAGGTTTAGAATTCTATTTTTCCCAATAATATGGTATGCATTTCTCCAAGTAAGTCTTCAATAGCAAGATATTTATTTATTTATTGAGATGGAATCTTGCTTTGTTGCCCAGGCTGGAGTGCAGTGGCTTGACAGCAGCTCACTGCAACCTCTGCCTCCCAGGTTCAAGTGATTCTTGTGCCTCAGCCTGCCACGTAGCTGGGACTACAGGTGTGTGCCACCATGCCTGGCTAATTTTTGTGTTTTTAGTAGAGATGGAGTTTTACTATGTTGGCCAGGCTGGTCTCGAACTCCTGACCTCAAGTTATCTGCCGGCCTCGGCCTCCCAAAGTGCTGGAATTACAGGCGTGAGCCACTGCACCAGGAACAATAGCAAGATATTTAAATGGAAGCATGTATATTTCATTGTTATTGATTTAACTATTTCCCTCATATTGAATTTTTAGGTAATTTCCATTTTTTCACTTCTCAAGACTACATCCTTGCATGAAAATCTTTGCTTGACTCTGTTTCCAAACATTGTGGCACATGTGGTGGCATGGCACATGCTTGTAGTCCCAGCTACTTGGGAGGCTGACACATGAGAATTGCTTGAACTCTGAAGGCGGAGGTTGCAGTGAGCCGAGATCACGCCACTGCAATCTGGCCTGGGTGACAGAGTGAGATTCCATCTCAAAAGAAAAGAGAAGAAAAAAATTGGCTAACATTTTCTTTTTTGCTCAATTTGGGTTTATATAACAATGTCTTTCACTTCCACAGGATTTTGACTTTTCCTTTTTCTGAGAGGACACAGAAAGCTTTAGCTCACAAAAGCAGGATATTGTAGGCAGAATTAGATCTCCTTTATACCTTTGACAGGTGCTGTTAGGCAGAGAGAAACCTGATTTCATCAAGGAAAACCTAGCATCGTCAAGTTGAATTCATATCAGATGTTTTTTTATCTTCAAGTTAATCATTCACTTTCTGTTACTACAGTAGAACATAAATTAGGTATAGTAGATAAAATGCAATTAGGAAATGCCGGTGGAAATTATGACCCAAGACAACATTTTTTCTTGCTCTAGTCTAGTCTAACTAGCCTGTTACCAACACCAGGGACCAAGAAGGTGCTGAATAAATGTAGTATTCTGAGTTGAAGATGGAAAGGGATCAGTATCAGCCTAAGCAGGAACGCAGCATACTGGGGCTACAAGCCTCTGATGTTGAAAGAACTCCTTATCCACAAGCTACTTCTATACCTATTCTAAGCAGGTCAGTTGAGCTTTCTGCATCTCTCTAGCTACATATAAACAAAAATAAAGTCTATTGAAATGATTTAGCATGAAAGGCAAGGATTATATATAATATTTTTCTAGTTTATTATAAGGTAGCATAAGAGGTTTGCAATAAATTAAAACAGTATAGAAGTGTATAAAAGAAAAAAATGAGCTTTACCCATTCTGCCCTTTTTCTAAATTCCCTTCCTGGTGATTTTCTACAAATTTAATGTGCACATGTATACACACGTATATATATTTTGTTTTCTACAAAATTGGGATCACAGTATTCTTACTGCTCTGTAATGGTTTTTTTTCCTACTTAAATATCTTGTTTTTTCTTTGTTTTGTTTTGTTTTTTAGAGACAGGATCTTGCTCTGTCACCCAGGCTAGAGTACAGTAGTGTCATCATAGCTCACTGCAGCCTCGAACTCCTGTCTGAAATGATTCTCCTGCCTCAACCTCCCAAGTATCTAAACTATAGGCATGTGCCACAATGTTTGGCAATAAAAAAATTTTTTTAGAGACAAGGTCTCATCCAGGATGGTCTTGAACTCACCACAAGCGACTCTCCAACCTTAGCCTCCCAAATTGCTGGGATTACAAGCATGAGTCACCATGCCTGGCCCATATCTTGTGTTTTTCAATGGTAGTATTGTAGTCATATCTCATTCATTTTAAAGCTGCATAGTATTCCATTGTGTGGGTCTGTAATAACTTATTTAACCATTTCCTGAATGGCCATTTAGGTTTTTATTTTACCCAGCATTGCATTGTTTTTCCCTGTAATATGTTTGCACCCTAGTTCAAGTTTGTCTATAGTGGAAAGTTCTAGCAGTGAAAGTAAATGGACTTGTAAAGTTGTATTTCAGTGCATCTTTACTTGTAGTAGACAACTGTCCTGAAGTCTTGAGGTTTCAGATAGTAACTAGTTATAATTTAGTAAACTTCTATTTAGATAATCCATGTGAATCATCCTATTTATATTCTCAACATATTTTTTACTCGAGGTCTTGGACAAAGTTAGGCATTAATCACCTTGGTGTTCTTGTTTTCTCTCTCTCTCTCTTCCTTCCTTCCTTCCTTTCTTCCTTCCTTCCTTCCTTCCTTCCTTCCTTCCTTCCTTCCTTCCTTTTTTTCTTTCTTTCTCTCTCTCTTTCTTTCTTTTCTTTCTTTTCTTTCTTTTTCTTTCTTTCTTGACACAGTCTCACTCTGTCACCCAGGCACAATCTTGCCTCACTGCAACCTCTGCCCCCAGGTTCAAGCAATTCTCGTGGCTTAGTCTCCTGAGTAGCTGGGATTACAGGCGTGTGCCTCCATGCTCAGCTAATTTTTTTGTATTTTTAGTAGAGGTGGGGTTTCACCATGATGCCCAGGCTGGTCTTGAAGTCCTGAATACAAGCGATCCACCGGCCTTGGCCTCCCAAAGTGTTGGGATTACAGGCATGAGCCACTGCACCCAGCCTAGGTAAAGTTTTTCATCCCTGCCCTATAGAGCCTATGCCCTACTCTGGGAACTAGAGCAAAAAATGTGTATGTTGAAGGCAGAAATATCAAAGAAAGAAGTGGGTGGAGGAAGTGGTGGCTTGTCCTGGGGTGCTTATTTCTCTCCTTTCCATCTCACTGATAAGCTCAGCTATTTCTCCTAAGTGACAGAAACCTAACTGAGTGTTGGATTAGTCTAGAAGTATATACAGTCATGTGTCACTTAACACAGGGAAATCTTCTGAGAAATACATCCTTAAGTGATTTCATCATAGTGTGAACATCATAGAGTGGTAGGCAAACCTAGATGGTATAGCCTACTATATACATGGTTTATATGGTCAATAGCCTATTGCTTCTAGGCTCCAAACCTGTACGGGAGGTTACTATGCTGAAGGCTGCAGGAAATAGTAACACAAAGGTAAATATCTGTGGTCTAAACATATCTAAACATACAAAAGATATAATAAAAATATGGTATTTTTATTATAAAATTATATAAAAACATACAAAAGATATAATAAAAATAAAAGATATAGTAAAAATATGGTATAAAATATAAAAAATGGTACACCTGTATAGAGCACTGTATAGGACACAGGAGCTTACGGGACTGGAAGTTGCTCTGGGTGAGTTAGTGAGGGAGTGATAAGTGAATGTGAAGGCCTAAGACATTATTGTTTACTATTGTAGAATTTATAAACACTGTACACACAGGCTAAACTAAATTTATAAAAAAATAAAGTAATTGCAGCTATGACATTACAGTGGCTACAGCACCACTGGATGATAAGAATGTTTAACTTCCACTTTAATCTTATGAGGCCACTGCCATACATGTGGTCTATCATTGACCAAAACATTGTTATGGGGTGTGTGACTGTGTTTCAGTTATTTTTCCTGCTGGAAGAAGAGGGCCCTCCTGGAAACAAAAGGAGAAAGGAGTAAGCTTCTCCTAACAGTATAACGTATGTTTTTGTTGCACATTATATATTTTGATAAATTAAATTCCATTTTAAAGTTAGGCAAGGCTTACAAGGAACTTATGGTGAATCTTTCCAATTTTTGCTTTATAAAACCCTCAGATTGCACACGAGAATTTCCAAAAGTTGTTACCATTTTTAGTTTACTAAATTATAACCTAAACTTTAAACATAGTTTTTAAAATTGTCTTATTTTGTACAAGCTCTATGGAAAACAGTATGGAGATTTCTCAAAGAATTAAAAATAGAATTGCCATTCAATTCAGCAAACCCACTACTGGGTGTTTACAAAGGAAAATAAATCACTATATGAAGAAGACACCTGCTCTAGTATGTTTATCACAGCACTATTCATAGTAGCAAGTTAAGAATCAACCTAAGTGTCCATCAGTGGATGATTGGATAAAGAAAATATGTTATATATACCATGGAATACTACTCAGCCATGAAAAAGAATGAAATCTTGTCTTTTGCAGGAACATGGATAGAACTGGAGGCCTTTATCCTAACTAAAATAATTCAGAAACAAGGTCAAATGGTGCATGTTCTCACTTATAAGTGGGAGCTAAAGAGTGGGTACACATGGACATACAGAGTAGAATAACAGACATTGGAGACTCTAAAAGGTGGGAGGGTAGAAGCAGGGGAGTGAGGGTTGAAAAATTACCTGTTGGGTACAGTGGCCACTATTCAGGTGATGGATACACTAAAAGCCCCATGTAACAAAACTACACTTGTCCCCCCTACATCTATAAAGATAAGAAATAAAATAAAGTGCCTTATTTTCATATGCAGTAGCTAGCTTATCTTATACAACTAAAATAGTTCAGGCCAAATGGAGAGCCTTTGTACTCTGTGCCTTTGTGAACTTTATTTATTCCACCTGTATATGCTGGACTGTGTGTTAGCCTAACAAATAGAGCAATTACAGGGTCCCTACCTCCCAGGGGATGACAGTGAGTGGAGCAGACTGTTAAATTAACAGGTAATTATGATACAGTGAAATGCTGTATTAGGGTGAAAACAGCCTATAACTGTATCACCTCACATAGAATTTAACACTGAAAAACCACTGCAATCCAGCCTGGGCAACACAGTGAGACCTCATCTTTAAAATATATATGTAAAAGAACCACTTAACAGTTCATAGGTAGTCTTTGCTTTTGCATGGCATTGTGGCATTGTAACAATGATCATGCAAGCTGAAACCATTCAAAGCAAAAATAGTCAATGGGAAAAAGTACAATTATTTCATGACCTTCAAAAATTTTTGTCAAAGTGGCACCCAAACGGGACTTTCAGGGACAAACAGAGACCTGAAGGGACCTAAAGAGGCCTGCAGGGACAAATAGAGATAAGTAGGGATAAATAGAAATAGAGGTAGAGTTAAATAGAGACAAATAGAGAGTTTTGGGCAAAAGTCATCTTAACTTGCAGGGCGTTACTGTAGCCCCAGGAGTTGTTGATTTTGATTGTGAAGAGGAAATTCCAGTAGTGGTAATGTCACAAGAACTTTGGGTTTTTGAACCAGGAGAATATATTGCACAACTATTGCTTGTTCCCTGTAAGTTGCACCCTTCTCCACGAAGGGAGAAGCGAGGGAATCAAGGATTTGAAAGTACAACTAGGAGAGAGATTTATCTATCACAACCCATAACATTTAATGGACTCACCTGTACAGTACAAATTGAAGGCTTAATGATTTTTTTTCTTTGCTATACTGTTGCACGAGAAGGATGAGCTTCAATTTGCTTTCCATGTGCCTTCTGTTAATCAGAGAGAGCCTGCCTCTCCTTATCAATGAGAAGTTTACCCCGTGGTAATTAACCAAAGAGGCAGAAGCTGAGTTACAGCTTGTGGAGCAGATGCTTTGGCAACGGCATGCCTCCTGGCCACAGCCACAAAAGCCTTTGCTTCTGTTTTGGTAGATTTACTGACGTGGGGATAAGGGTACGCTTGCGTTTTTGCAGGAGATGAACAAACTGTGTGGGTGCCCTCAAGGTGTGTGCGACCACAGAACGGGAGACTAGAGCGACCCATGGATCCCAACCATGGGCCCGGTTCCCCCAGTATGAGCTGAATGCGAAGACGGAATGAACCACCAAGGCTGCACATTTTGCAATTACCTGTCTCAATTAATTCAAAAACAAAAAGGGAGAGATGTTGCAGGCTGAAAGAGTGAGGGTCGTGATCAACTCAGTATACCGCTGGAGGGTATATGAGCAAACAGCAAACTGTTCTCATAAATGCAGAATGTTGGCAAATGACAAACTGCGTCTGCCACCCTTGAAGGAATGCTGAGGGCAGTCACGACCCAGGCGCAAGTGTTTCTTGTGATGAGGCACATCTGAAGCCTGTTAGCAATAATGTGAACCTGTGATCAGTTAAGCAGCTGACCAAATGTTACCTGCTCCTCCCTGCTCTTTCTACCCAATAAATACAAAAGGCCGTAGGAGCTCAAGGTTGCTGCCTTTACTCAGTAGAAGCAGGGAACCCTCTTCTTCTTCCCCTGGCCCCTTCCTTTAAAACAGTTTCTTTTGTTTTAAGTTTTCATTTCTGCGTTCATCCTCCTTCGTTCAGTGTCGTAATGACCGTCTCAAATAGTAAGTAGTAACAGTAGTAACTGTCGTAGTGACGGTCTCAAGTAGTAACCATGGCAGTCTGCCACAGAGGGACATGAAAAAAATAATAAAAGTAGACCAGTTTCACTGGGGAGATGTTGGTCAAAGAGTACAAAGTTTCATTTAGACAGGAGGAATAAGTTCTGATGATCTATTGCACAGCATGATGGCTATAGTTAGTAATGCATTGTGTATTTCAAAATTCCGAGAATAGTGGATTTAGCTCAAAGTGGTTCTTAGCTCAAAGAAATGATAAGAGGTGATAGATACATTAGCCTGATTTCATCATTCCACAATATATTTATATATCAAAATATCACATTTTACCCCATAGATGTATAGTTATTTGTCAGTTAAAAATAAAAATTTAAAAACCTCAGTATTGAAAATTAAACTGTTTTATTTTCATGTGAAGTGTGTCGAGTCATTCGATTAGTGCTTGCCTTCTCATTGTATACCTTATGATATAGAGCAAGCATTTTTTTCTGTACCTTGTTAAATTATTGTACTCCTTTCTATGTTTCGATCAGCTTCCAACATTTTATCCTTTATACTTTCAATGTCATGAAATATTTCCAAAAGTTTCTTTTTTTTTTTTTTTTTTGACAGAGTCTTGCTCTTGTCACCCAGGCTGGGGTGCAATGGCACGATCTCAGCTCACTACAACCTCTGCCTCCTGGGTTCAAGCAATTTTCCTGCCTCAGCCTCCGGAGTAGCTGGGATTACAGGCGCCCACCACCACACCTGGCTAATTTTTGTATTTTTAGTAGAAAAGGGGTTTTGCCATGTTGGTCAAGCTGGTCTCGAACTGCTGACCTTGTGATCCGCCCACCTCGACCTCCCAAAGTGCTGGGATTACAGAAGTGAGCCACCATGCCTGGCCCCAAAAGTGTCTTTAATCTGAAGTTTTTTGTGGGCATCACTTCCTCTGGGATATCTTCATCTTCTTTGTCACAGGCACTTTCCTCATGATGTTAAGTTTGCCTTCAGTAAGATCTTTTGGCTTTCTGTAGTTTCTAGACTGGCAGCAGTGTCACGCATTCCCCTTTTATAATTCCCCTGACATGCATTCTAATTTCGCTTCCAGTGTTACAAATTTTCATTTCTTGGTCTCACTTTTCATGTTTGTTGGCCAGTCCCCCCTTAGATCATGTGTTTTTATAAAATGTCACTTGGGTTTCTTGTTGAAAGACCAGGAGGTGACACAGCTATATTATTTGCTGTCTGAGCTCTTCTGAACTGAAGAAGAGATGCACAGTGGGCATTCACTGATAGACGCTGGAAGAAATGACATGATTAATCACTGATCTTGATGTGCATCTGTTATTTATGATTTGTGGGTTGAAAAGCTAGCAGTAAAGTTTGCATTTTATGCAGTTACAGTTAATATACCATGGTTGTTGAAATTTGAACCATGTTGTTGAGAGACTGGTGTCTTTAAGCTAAGCTAACTGAAATCAGAGCATATTGGAGCAGAGCAAAAGAAGGACCGTCTCTACTTCCATTTCCCCTTCTTAGCCATTGTGCTATTATTCTCAAGGAGAAGGAGGGAATCATTTTATTTCTACATATGTTATAAATCTTACAATATGTTGTTATTATTTTTGCTTTGAACTATACCTTTAAAGAGATCTGAATAGAAACAAGAAAAGTCTTTATATTTACTCACATAATTACTATTTCTGCAACATAGACCTCATCTCTACTAAAAAAAAAAAAAAAAAAAAAAAAAAATTGGCCAGATATGGTGGTGTATGTCTGTGGTCCCAGCTACTCGGGAGGCTGGGGTGGGAGGATCAGTGGATCCTGGAAGGTCAAGGCTGCAGTGTGCCAAGATCGCCACTGCACACCAGCCTAGGCAACAGAGTAAGACCCTGTCTCAAAAACAAACACACGAACCATTTTTAGTTCTCTTTCTTCTTCTGTATATTTTTAGATTTTTATCTGGCATCATTTTCCTTCTACTTGAAGGACTTCCTTTCATCTTTTTTGTAGTGCAGATCACCTTGATGAATTCTTCCAGCTTTCATATGTGTGAAAAAGTCTTTATTTTGCCATCATTTTTGAGAGATATTTTCACTGGGTTAAGATTTCTAGGTTCACCATCTTTTTCATTGCTTTCCATACCGTAAAGATGTTTCAGTGTCTTCTGGCTTGCATTGTTTCTGAAAGAAGTCTTTATCTTTCTTGTTGTATACTTAATGTGTTGTTTTTCTCTGGCTGCTTTTAAGATTTTTCTCTTCATCACTGGTCTATTTAATTATATCATCAGTGTCATTTCTGGTTCCGGTTTTTTTTTTTTTTTTTTTTTTTGATATGGAGTCTTGCTCTGTCACTCAGGCTGGAGTGCAGTGGGGCGATCTCAGCTCCTGTAACATCTGCCTCCCGGGTTCAAGCAATTATCCTGCCTCAGCCTCCTGAGTAGCTGAGATTACAGGCACATGCCACCAGGACTGGCTACTTTTTGTATTTTTAGTAGAGACAGGGTTTCACCATGTTGGTCAGGCTGGTCTCAAACTCCTGACCTCATGATCGGCCCGCCTCAGCCTCCCAAAGTGCTGGGATTACAGGTGTGAGCCACTGCGTCCGGCCTGGGTCTGTTTTTATTAATTGACTTTTCTCCTAATTATGTGCTGCTATTTTCCTGTTCCTTGGCATGCCTGGTAGTTCTTTTTGTTGGATGCCATATACTGAATTTGACCTTGATGGATGTTGGCTATTTTTATATTCTTATAAATATTCTTAGACAGGCGCAAGAGATTGGGACCACCCTGGCCAACATGGTGAAACCCCATCTCTACTAAAAATACAAAAATTAGCCAGGCCTGGTGGTGCACGCCTGTAGTCGCAGCTACTTGGGGGGCTGAGGCAGGAGAATCACTTGAACCCGGGAGGTGGAGGTTGCAGTGAGCTGAGATCATGCCACTGCACCCCAGTCTGGCGACAGAGTGAGACTCCGTCTCAAAAAAAAAAAAGAAAAAGAAAAAATATGTATATATTCTTGAGCTTTGTTCTGGGATACAGTTAGGTCACTTGAAAACAATTTGATACTCTAAAAGAGGCTTGATCTGAGCAGCCTTTAGTCTATGGTGAATTTTGCCTCACTGCAGAAGCCATCTGCTTCTGCATATTTTACCGAATGCCCCGTGAAAGGTTTTTTTCTGGTGGGCACACTAACCATTCCCAGTGCTGTGTGAGTGCCAGGGTTTGATCTCCCTGCCCATTTTTGGTAGTTCTTTCCTCTTTGATTTATTCCCAAGCATCGATTGGTACTCAGGTGAAGATTCCAGAGAGACTCTGCAGATCTCTGGAGTTCTCGCTCTCTGTATATCTTTTCTCCCTATCCCCTGGGCAATCTCACTGCCTTGGCTCCCTAGACTCCCAACTTCATCTCTTCCGCCAGGGAGACTTTGGTCTCTGAATGTGTTCCCCTCCCTTGCTGCAGTGTAGAACCTTTCTCCAGGCAGCAAGCTGGGGCAATCCAAGGGCTCATGTTTGATTTCACTGTCCCAGAGATGACCATCCAGTGCTACTAGATGTCCAGTGCCAGAAAACCATCATTTCATATATTTTGTCCAATTTTTTAGTTATTTCAGGATGGAGGGCAAATTCAGTTTCTACTACTCCATCTTGTCCAGAAGCAAAAATCCTAATTCAGCTTTTTTTTAAGACATAGGAACACGCATGGCCAGGTGCAGTGACTTGTGCCTGTAGTCCCAGAACTTTGGGAGGCCAGGTGGGAGGATTGCTTTAGCCCGGGAGAAGTTCAAGGTTACAGTGAGCTATGATCAAGCCACTGCACTCTAGCCTGAGCAACAGGGTGAGACCTTGACTCTAAAATAAAAAATACTTTAAAAAATGGAACACATGATATATTTTTTCAATATTATTATTGTTGGAATTTGGACAACTCATGAAGGCATATTTATTTGTTCCCTGGCGGTTTACTTTTCAAGGTGTAATGTGGTCATTGCATCCCATGAAGGCATATTTATTTGTTCTCTGGCTGTTTCTCCTCAGGGAGTAATGTGGTCATTGCATCCCGTAAGTTGGAGAGATTGAAGTCTGCGGCAGATGAACTGCAGGCCAACCTACCTCCCACAAAGCAGGCACGAGTCATTCCCATACAATGCAACATCCGGAATGAGGAGGAGGTAATGGAGATATATCTGTATCATTTATTCATTCATTGTAATTTGCAGTAGTGTTTCTTAAACCTGGCTATGCTTCAGGTTCTCCTATTGTAGCTGTCTTAGATGAGGCTCACTAGAAGCAGAGGCTGTGAAAGAGATTCTCATGTTAATGATTTACTGAGCCGGCGAATCCTGGAGAAGGAGAGGAAGGGAGGCAAGAATGTGGTCCAGCTAAAGATGGCCTTTTGTCCTTTAAGTCTTCATTTTTATTTTTATTTTTTTGAGACAAAGTCTTCCTCTGTTGCCCAGGCTGAAAGGCAGTGGCACTATATCGGCTCACTGCAACCTACACCTCCCAGGTTCAAGCAATTCTCCTGACTCAGCCTCCTGAGTAGCTGGGACTATAGGTGCATGCCACCATGCCCAGCTAATTTTTGTATTTTTCATAAAGACGGGTTTCACCGTGTTGGCCAGGCTGGTCTCAAACTTCTGACCTCAGGTGATCTGCCTGCCTCGGCCTCCCGAAGTGCTAGGATTACAGGTGTGAGCCACCGTGCCTTGCCCTTTAAGTCATTTTTTAATGTTCATTTTAATCTGATTTCATCACTGTTTATTCTGGGTTGGTAGCTGTCAAATTAATATATGACAGAGGCCTGCCCTACTCAAGGGTGTTCCAGGCCCTTGGATATATCTTGTCGTCAAAATTACAGTTTTAGCTTTGTGATCTGTGGGTATTGGGTGCTGGTACATTACTCATTGGTGTAGGATTTTTAGTCTTATTCATTGCTGCATGTTCATTCATTGTGGCACTTGGAGTGACTGTTCACTGTGAGAGATTGCAAACTCTGTCTAGAGCAATCAATCAGGCGAGGTAGCAAGTTAGGCTATTAAACTTTTCCTTTTAGTAACTTCTACTGTTCTTCTTTAGGTGAATAATTTGGTCAAATCTACCTTAGATACTTTTGGTAAGATCAATTTCTTGGTGAACAATGGAGGAGGCCAGTTTCTTTCCCCTGCTGAACACATCAGTTCTAAGGGATGGCACGCTGTGCTTGAGACCAACCTGACGGGTACCTTCTACATGTGCAAAGCAGGCAAGTACCATCAGTATCCACAAGTCAACATGTCTTTATTTAGAGATCTCAGGATTCCTATTAGGGACTCAGAAGCCCCATGTCATTAACATTTATTGGCTGGATTTTCTCACTTACAACATAGGAATGTAAATTGGTACATTTCAGTATAGTAATTTGGCAATATTTATAAAATGTGGATATCCTTCAATCTCATCATTTTATTTCTTGGAATTTATTATGAGAAAATTATTAATGATCTGTACATAGATTTAGCTATTAATTTGTTCATAAAATTGGAGAAAACTCTCACACTTACTCTGTTTTTAAGAATGAATCTATTAAATCTTTTAGCAGAACCAATTAATAAATTCAGGGAGAATACCAGAGACAGAGTCTGTATGCTCTCTAACAACTAATTAGCATGCATACATAGTCTTTGGATTAAAGGTCATGTTTCGTGGGTGGTTAGTACTGAACTCCTGAGTTGGGTAACTCAAGAGATTTTGTAAAAACTACCCAAATCTTCTTATGATGAAAAATACAGAACAAGTACAACCCTATCTCAAAGGGTCTTCATGCCAACATGAATTAGGCTTTATATTCTTAGTATCTACAAGTCAGAGGTCTTGCAGACATCTCTACCTAACTAGCAGAATCAACCTCTGTCTAAGTCGTGATACAAGTTGGGTTGTTCCAGTGGAAAAACCCAGAAACAACAGGGCTTGAATATGAGTTTATTTTTCTCACATAAAAAGTCCAGGTAGGTAGTGTAAGGATTATATGGTAGTTTCATAATCATTAGGAACTGAAGATCCTTCTTATTGCTCCACTGTTCTTGACCTGTGGTTTCCATTTCATGATTCAAGAGGGCTGCTCCAGTTCTTGCTATCAAATCTGCATTCCAGACAACAGGAATGGGGAAAAAGGGTAGTGCTCACCCATTCCTTTTATGGGCACCATCTGGAAGTAGCACCATGATGTTTGCTCACATTCGTCAGCTAGAATTCAGTTAAATGATCATACCTAGCTGTAAAAGAAACTGGGAAATAGAGTCCTTAGGTGGGCAGCTATGTGCCTAAAACAAATTCTATTTCTATGGAAGAAAGGGAGAATGAGTATTGGGAGACATCTAGTGGTCTCTAACCCAAGCTTTGTAACTCTGTGCTTTCACTCCTTCTAACAGGCAAATCAGCAATGTCTTACCAATCCAAGATACCTTGCTAACAACTGTCAATTAAAAGTCTACAGAATTGAAATTCAGCCATGATTTTTATTAGCCAAAACTGAATTAAAGAATACAAGGCTGGCCGGGCATGGTGGCTCATGCCTGTAATCCCAGCACTTTGGGAGGCCGAGGCGGGCGGATTACCTGAGCTCAGGAGTTTGAGACCAGCCTGGGCAACACGGTGAAACCCCGTCTCTACTAAGATACAAAAAAAAAGAAAAAAAATTAGCCAGGCAGCGTGCATCTGTAGTCCCAGCTACTTGGGAGGCTGAGGCAGGAGAATCTCTTGAACCCGAGAGGCGGAGGTTGTAGTGAGCCGAGATCGTGCCACTGTACTTGAGCCTGGGTGACAAGAGTGAGACTCTGTTTCAAATAAATAAATAAAAAAAAAGTAAAACAAATACAAGGCCTATTATTTTTGCTTTTACTTATTTGGGGCTTTTAGTTTTTACTTTTCATAAGTTATATTTTTCTTTTTTTTCTTTTTGAGACAGAGTCTCGCTCTGTCACACAGGCTGGAGTGCAGTGGCGTGATCTCTGCTCACTGCAACCTCCACCTCCTGGGTTCAAGCAATTTTCCTGCCTCAGCCTCCCAAGTAGTTGGGACTACAGGCATTCACCACCACATCTGGCTAATTTTTATATTTTTAGTAGAGACGGGGTTTCACCATGTTGGCCAGGATGGTCTCCATCTCCTGACCTTGTGATCCACCCACCTCGGCCTCCCAAAATGCTGGGATTACAGGCATGAGCCACTGTGCCCAGCCATATTTTTCTGTATCTTGAAAATAATAGTGAAAAACTGAAAACCATGTAAATATTCTGGAGTAAAATATTAGTTGAGTGAAGTTTTATACATCTATATGATAAAGAACTATGCGGCCCTTAAAAATATTGACATAAAAATGTACTCATTAACATGAAAAAATATTGCCAGATATCACTGCCAGAAAAGCAAGTTATGAAATATTTTATCCAACATGTTCACATTTCTGTTAAAAAAAAGTATGTATTTATGTGTGCATATATATGAATAGAAATGATTCTGAAAAAATTTATACCAAAATACAGTCGTGTTGTTTAACAACAGGGATTTGTTCTGAGAAATGTGTCATTAGGCAATTTCATTGTTGTATGAACATCATGGAGTGTACCTACACAAACCTAGATGGTATAGCCTGCTACACACCTAGGCTACAAACCTGTATAGCATGTTGCTGTACTGAATACTGTAGGCAATTGTAACACATCAAGTATTTGTGTATCTCGACATAGAAAAAGTACAGTAAAAATGTGGTATTATAATCTTATGGGACCACTGTTATATATGCAATCTGTTTTTGACCGAAACATTGTTGTGACACATGACTGTATTGACATGTATCACCTCCAGGAGGCAAAATTACATATTATTTTTATTTTTTTCTTTGTGCTTCTCTGCCCTTTCTACTTTTTCTAATATGACCATATATTACTTATGCAATTAAAATGATTTAAAAGATGACTGCCCTAAAGTCCCGACCCAGTCTGTTTCAGCTTGTACCCTGGGACACAATATGCTATTGTTAAAGAATTGTGAAGAAAATCCACATATAAATTATTGGTGAATTTGGACTTTCCTATAGACTTTTATTGTTCATTTTACTGATACAGGAATTTTTACCCCAATTTACTTTTGGAAAAATGTTGGATCTGTGGGAAAGTTGAAGAAATAATACAATGGATTTCTGTATACCTATCATTTAGATTCATGAAGCATTGCCAGGCGTGATGGCTCATGCCTGTAATCTCAGCACTTTGGAAGGCCGAGGTGGGCGGATCACTTGAGGTCAGGAGTTCGAAACCAGCCTGGCCAACATGGGGAAACCCTGTCTCCACTAAAAATACAAACATTAGCCGGGAGTGGTGGTGCATGGCTATAGTCCCAGCTACTTGGGAGGCTGAGGCAGGAGAATTGCTTGAACCTGGGAGATGGAGGTTGCAGTGAGCTGGGATGGCGCCTCCAGGCTGGGTGACAGAGTGAGACTCTGTCTCAAAAAAAAAAAAAAAAAATTCACCACGCACTAACATTCCCATTTACATGATCTCTCTTTCTCTCTCTCTCCCTCTCTACAATCATGCACACACACACACATACTCACACACACTCGTTTTAAATAAACAATTTGAAAGGAAATTACAGATACAAAGGTACTTTGTTTATATATCTCTTAAATATAAACACATGTTTTCTATATAATTACAATACCATTATTACACCTAAGAAAATTCACAGTAATTCAATAAAATCACTCATTATATAGTCCTTATTGAAATTTCCCTAATTGTTTTCCCAGCTTTTAAAATCCAAGATGTTTTCAAATTCATGTATTGCATTTTTTTATGTCTCTTTAGTTTCTTGTACTCTAAAAAAAATCCATACTTTTTATATTTCATAACAGTGACTTATAGAATGTTCCAAATTCTGGATTTCTCTAATTGTTTTGTGGTGATTATATTCACTTAAATATTTCTGGCAAGACCCCTTCATATATGGTATATATACTTCTTACTGCATTACACCTGTAAGTCTGTTGTTAAGGTGATTTTACTATTGGTCATCTTAAATTTTTTCGCTTGTCTAAGATTCTGACCACCAAACCTTTCTGTTGTAAAGATACATTTTTCTATTTGTAAACTATAAGTAATCTGTGGATAATACTTTGAGACCATGTGAAGATACTGTTTTCCTATGTACTTTTATCCAATGGGTTTAGGTTCCTTTTTTTTTTTTTTTTTTTTTTTTTTTTTTTTGAGACAGGGTTTCACTCTGTCACCTGGGTTGGAGTGCAGTGATGTGATCGTGGCTCACTGCAGCCTCCACCCCCTGGGCTCAATCGATTCTTCCACCTCCTGAGTAGCTGGAGGTACAGGTGCATACTAGGCTACTAACCACCATGCTCAGCTAATTTTTTTTTTTTTTTTTTTTTTTTTTTGGTAGAGCCGGGGTCTCCCCTTGTTGCCGAGGCTGGTCTCAAACTCCTGGGCTGAAGCCATCCATCCGCCTCTGCCTCTCAAAGTGCTGGGATATAGGTGTGAGGCACTGCTCCCGGCTCATTCCATTTTTGATTCTTGCCCGATTCAGTTTCAGAATTGGAAGATGCAAAATGATGATTTTAAAAATTTATGCCTTATTTATTTATTAATTGGCATTCTTTTATAAAGATGAGTTTTTCCTTTTTTTCTCACCTCCTAAGCCTTACTATTGATGAATGGAATTTATTTTTATTCAGTATTTCTAACCCATTATTGTCATTTTCTCTCTGATGTTCTAGTTGACCAGCTAATCTGGCTTCTGTGTCTTTTTGAAATGGCTCAGACCTGTTTCTCCAAGAAGACCTAGTTCCCTTTAGTAGGTAATAATAATTATTGTTTGCTTATTTATTTATTTACTTTTTGGAGAGAGAGTCTTGCTCTGTCACCCAGGCTGGAGAGTAGTGGTTCAAGGCTGCATAGCCCACTGCAACCTTGAACTCCTGGGGTCAAGCAATCCTCCCCGCTTCAGCCTACCGAGCAGCTGCTACTATAGGCACATGACACCATGCCAGGCTAATTTTTTAATTTTTCATAGAGACAGAGTTTTTCTCTGTTGCCCAGGCTGGTCTTGAACTCCTGGCCTTAAGTGATCCTCTCACCTTGACCTGCCAAAGTGCTGGGATTACGGGTGTGAGCCACCACTCCTAGCCGGGAATGATTTTTAGAAGGCGAGATTTGGGTACTACATGTGTTCACTACTACTGGGTTATCATTACTTGTAGACATTTTCAGAACTAGGAAATAAATAAATATATGTATATGGTGGTATTTATCCAGAAGCGGAAGGTGTGTGTAGAATAATTTAAATGGTTATTCTCCTTTCTTGTGCTAAAATCAAATGGTTTTATATGTTTTCATATATTTTTCATATATGTTTTCAAGCATATATAAATAATAAAATATTTAACAATGAGGTTAACAAAAAAGTGTAAGACTTGTATGCCACAAACTGCCAGACATTGCTGAGAGAAATCAAAGAAGATTTAAATAATGTAAAAATATTCAGTGTTTATGGGTTAGAAGGTCCAATATTGTTAATGTGTTAGTTCTTCCCAAATTGATCTGTAGATTCAGAGCAATCCCTGTCAATTTTTGTAGAAATTAACAAACTGATCCTAAACTACATATGGAGATGCAGAGGGCCCAGAATAGCCAAAACAATTTTGCAAAAGAAGAAAGTTGGAGGACTTAATGCTTCTTGATTGCAAAGCTATTTCTTGATTTTAAGACAGTGTGGTACTGACATAGGCTAGATATATAGATCAACATGATTATAGTCATTAGGGAAATGCAAATAAAAACTCCAGTGTGATACCACTTCACACCCACTAGATGGCTATTATCAAAAAATCAGACAGCAGTGGCGTGTAGAAACTACATCCCCCATGCATTTCTGAGAACAATGTAAAATGGGGAGGGACACTTTGGAAAACCATTTGGCAGTTTCTTTAAAAGCTAAACAGAGTTAACATATGACCACACAAAGATTTGTATTCATAATTGCTCCAAAGTGGAACTATCCAAATGTTTATCAGCTGATAAGTGGATAAATAAAACATGGCATATCCACATAATGGAATACTACTCGGCAATCAAAAAGGAACTATTAACACATTACAACGTGGATGAACCTCACAAACATGATTCTAAGTGGAAGAAGTTAGACACAAAAGACCACGTATTGTGTGATTCACTTTACATTAGATTTTCGAAAAGGTAAAGGCAAATCTAGAGAAACAGAAAGATGAGTGTTTACCTGGGGATGGGTTAAGCTGCAGATGGGTGTGAAGGAACTTTTTGGGGTGATGGAAAGGTTCTCAAGCTGGATTGTGGTAATGGTTGCATAACTCCGTATATTTATTAAAAGTCATTACATTGCACACTTAAAGTAGATGAATTTTATGATGTATAAATTTTACCTCAGTCAGGCTTTTTATAAGGAAATGTAAATGGACGTGTAAAACATATCAAACAGGCAGTGTGCTGAAACAAGGTATCAGGAGGGCCAGGATACTTTAAAAATTTAATGATTGAGTTTGCCTCTATCCTGCAGTTTACAGCTCCTGGATGAAAGAGCATGGAGGATCTATCGTCAATATCATTGTCCCTACTAAAGCTGGATTTCCATTAGCTGTGTAAGCGTTTTTATATAGTTTTCTTTCTAAGTCTTTGAGTTTTGTCTTCTGATTGGGGGAAGCATGTTAGGGAACATTTCTTAAATCAAGATCATTAATACCTTTAATGAGCTGTGATTCTAACAGTTAACATTTTATTTTATTTGAACTTAAAATTCAAAGTACTTCTAAAACATTTTCATCCAGATGCGGACTGCCAGATTTACCAAGGAAAGGGAAAATAGTATTTGTTTTTTGTCTGATGTTCAGATTAAACTGGATGTCTTGTGTTTTCTTGGGCAACTCTAATCCCGATGTGACTAAACTGGCCATCACTGTCTAGGAATAGCTTATTTGTTAAAGTATAGAAATGAAACTAATCTGTGTTAATTTAGATTTGAATACCATTAATATAGCTACTTGATTTTACACAGGACTGCTAAGTTGTTCCTCCTAACAGATAATCCAGGATTTTTTCTCCAAAAGTTTCTAAGGTTTTGTGCCTCTGATTAGCCACTCTGTACACAGACAGCATGCCTCCTTTATGCAAATTTTAGTACCCTGCTCATTTCCTGGATTATGCAGAACTCCCAAACATGTATAGGATAAAAATAAAATTCAACTTGGCTTAAGTAAAAATCTAGGGCAGTGGTTCTCCAAAAGTGGCTTCCAGACCAGCCACATCCCCATCACTTGGGAGAAGTTGTTAGCACAGCAAATTATCCAGCCCCACACCAGATCTGCTGCAAGAGAAACTCTGGGGGCAGAGCGCAGCCGTCGTGCAAGCCCTGGAGGGGATCCTGGTACCTGCAGAGCCACTGCGGAAAGGGCATGTTAGGTTCAGCCACAATGTTAGCAGGAAGCTGCCTCTCCTTTTGGTTTTGCTTTCTTCATGTCTGCGTACATTCTCAGGCAGGCTGTCTCTAGGTGTGGCAAAAGGCGAGTACTAGCAAGAGTTACAGGTCAACACTCTAGCTGTTCTTAACTCTCCAGTGAGAGAGTGCCTCTCAAGTCATGCCAGCAAAAACAATATTAATGGTGCCAGCAGGTCCCAGAGAGGATACTCATTAACTGACCCTGCCTGGTTATGTGTTCAGTCATTAACCAAAAACTGTAGAAATGAGGTTGCTCTGCTATGCATGGTCAGCCTGAGGAATGAGGAACTGTGGTCATCATCGCTCAGACATGGACTGAGAACAGGCAAGAGGTACTTCCTCAAGTGGAAATCAATGTGATGTTACTAAAAACAGAGTAAAAAATGGTGTGCAGGCCATTGATACCACTCTACCTTCTTTTCCTGCTCATTATTCTTTACTAAATGTATTTACCTATTTTAGCATCTTGGAAGAAATAATTCAGATTGTAGGTTCTTTCTGGCATTTCCCATCCTCACAGGCAACTAGTGTTAATAGTTTTGGGGGCATATCTTTTTCCTACATTTTAACCACAAATTTAGGATGCTATAAACACTATTCTGTATCTTGATGTTCTCAAATGAAGCAAATATCCTGGAGATATTTTCTTAACAGAGTCTAAAGAGATTTCTTCTTATTTTTTTATGGCTAATATGCCACTTTTATAAACCATAAGTAAGGAATGATTTGTGTAACCATTTTCCAGTTGGTGAGCATTTGGGTTGTTTCCAACCTTTTGTTATTACCAAAACCAAACTAAACACCTGCAGTAAGTAACATTTTCTGTACATCAGATAGTGTGTAGCCTAAATTGCAAGAGGTATAATTGCTAAGTCCAAAGCCAAATGCCTTTGTAATTTTAAGAGATATTGCCAAACTGCCCTTTAGAAAAGTTGTAGTTCCTTTATGAGTGAAATGTGTCCTCTTTCATGCATATGTAAGAAGTAATGAGAGTTTCTTTTCTTAAAATACATTTTTGAAATGAAATCACTGGCTTTTCTGATATTCGGTTGGCTAGAAAAAAAACACAGCTTGTCTTTAACATGGAAAAGAAGTGTTTCAGATACTTCTTGCTTTTGTTCTCTTAAGAATCGTTTCCTTTTCCAGTGGCCTTCACACTTTGGACCATGACTCATAGTAAGAAATTTTACATCTTGACCTAGTAAACACATATGTGTATATGTGTCTATAGGCAAAACAAAATTCGTGAAGCAAACATTCTTACTATGTATTGTGCACTCTGATTTTTCTTTCTTTCCTTTTTTTTTTTTTTTTTTTCTGAGATGGAGTTTTGCTCCTGTTGCCCAGGCTGAAGTGCAATGGGGCGATCTTGGCTCACTGCAACCTCTGCCTCCTGGGTTCAAGTGATTCTTATGCCTCAGCCTCCTGAGTAGCTGGGGTTGTAGGCACCCACCACCACGTCCAGTAGTTTTTTGTATTTTTAGTAGAGACGGGGTTTCACCATGTTGGTCAGGCTGGTCTCGAACTCCTGACCTCAGGTGATCCACCTGCCTCAGCCTCCCAAAGTGCTGGGATTACAGGCATGAGCCACCACACCCGGCTGATATTTTCAATTTTATTGTGGTCTACTCTGTTGTATTTTCTTTTTTTACACTTGCTGCTTATTACTTGCTAATTTTATTTCACTATTAGCATTGTGTTGTAATTTACAATTTGAAAGACATGGCTTTAGGTATCCTCTACAATAGAAGAGGAGGATGAATGTCAGAGATTGAGCACTCCTTTTTTTTAAATTTTAGCTCTCTTAAGAGACAAATTGAAACTGTTGGCTGTCGCTTGTTTACTTGACCAGTACAGGTACATGTGCAAGATACATCTGGAAATACTAAAATGAATCAGATACCATCCACACTCTGAGGGAGTCTACAACTAGTAGGGGAGCAAAGCATGAAAATAATCAGCTAGAGAGAGAAGGTGTTGGATATTCCAGTAAAGGTATTTGCAAGTGTGCAAGATAAAAGGAGCACAGAGGAGGGCAGCATCCAGGCGACATGTCTCAAAGGTGAACTCGAGTTTGGTGACATATGAGGAGGAGAAAGGAAGGCAAGTCAATGAGACATTTACTGTGTAAAGACACAGAAATTTGAGACACTGTGGCACTTTTGGGAACTACAAATAATTCTTTGTGATGATGGGTGGTACGGCTAAATGGAAATTAATACCTTGGAATGGAGTGGGAGTCACAAAAGGCCTTAACTACCAGGGAGAGGAGTTTGAAGTGCATCAGGGGTTCCTACACTAGAGCCTGTGGCCCTGGGGCTCTGGGGCTGTGCATCCAGGAGGGCGCTTAAATCTGCAGGGTTATCACAACTAAGGCATTTCTTTGGAGGATCTTTTTACTCTTAATGGTTGAGAAGGAAAACATTTATATTCAAGTATGTATTACAAAGAAAAGCTCAAGAATGATGAGGATTTGGGAGTCATAGTTTGGGGGAGCATTATCTAGTTGTCCTTTTTTGGGAATATTTATGTACTAGGTTTAGTCCTATTACAAGTGTTTTTTTTTGTTTGTTTGTTTTTTTGTTTTTTTGTTTTTTTTTTTTGAGATGGAATTTTGTTCTTGTTGCCCAGGCTGGAGTGCAATGGCACTATCGCAGCTCACCACAACCTCCGCCTCCTGGGTTCAGGCGATTCTCCTGCCTCAGCTTCCTGAGTAGCTGGGATTACAGGCATGCGTCACCATGCCCGGCTAATTTAGTATTTTTAATAGAGACGGGGTTTCTCTGTGTTGCTCAGGGTGGTCTCGAACCCCCGACCTCAGGTGATGTGCCCACCTTGGCCTCTCAATGTGCTGAGATTACAGGCGTGAGCCACTGTGCCTGGCCTACAAGTTGTTTTTACATTAAGTGTCTTTTTTTTTTTTTTTTGTAAGACACAGTCTCGCTCTATCACCCAGGCTGGAGTGCAGTGGTGCAATTTCTGCTCACTGCAGCCTCCGCCTCCCGGGTTCAAGCAATTCTCCTGACTCAGCCTCCCATGTAGCTGGGATTACAGGTGCACGCCACTATGCCCGGCTAACTTTTTGTATTTTTAGTAGTGACGGGGTTTCACTGTGCTGGCCAGGCTGGTCTTGAACTCCTGACCTTGTGATCCGCCTGCCTCGGCCTCCCAGAGTGCTGGGATTACAGGCGTGAGCCACCACGCCTGGCCTACATTAAGTATCTTTGAATAACCCCAAATTCATTTTTTAACTAATGACCAATTTACAACATCTATGACTGTAGAATTTGGAATAACTTGTGAAGTTCACCGTAATGGAATTTGACATATTTGACTCATATTCTGATTTTGATTAATTTTTCCATGGGCAATAGATATTTATTTTTTCAGAAAAGAAGTCAGTGGGGCTGGATGCAGTGGCTCACGCCTGTAATCCCAGCACTTTGGGAGGCTGAGGTGGGTAGATCACCTGAGGTCAGGAGTTCGAGACCAGCATGGGCAACATGGTGAAACCCCATCTCTACTAAAAATACAAAATTTAGCTAGGTGTGGTGTCACACACCTGTAATCTTAGCTACTCGGGGGGCTGAGGTATGAGAATCACTTGAATCTGGGAGGTAGAGGTTGGAGTGAGACTCTGTACCCCCTCCAAAAAAAAAAAAAAAAAAAGAAAGAAAAAAGAACTTAGTGACCTTATTTAACCTACTATCTCAGTTATTTCCTACTTTTCTTTTTTTTTTTTCTTTTTTTTTTGAGATGGAGTTTCACTCTTGTTGCCCAAGTTGGAGTGCAATGGTGCGATCTCGGCTCACTGCAACCTCCACCTCCTGGGTTCCAGTGATTCTCCTGTCTCAGCCTCCTGAGTAGCTGGGATTACAGGCACCTGCCACCATGCCCAGCTAAAATTTTTGTATTTTTAGTAGAAACGGGGTTTCACCATGTTGGCCAGGCTGGTCTCGAACTCCTGACCTCATGTGATCCACCTGCCTCAACCTCCCAAAGTGCTGGGATTACAGGCATGAGCCACTGCACCCAGCCTATCTCAGTCATTTCTTTCATAAGAGTCTAAAGGTCATCCAAATAGAACTGGGAGAAAAACAATACACCAGGAAGTAACTTGAAAAACACAAGTTTACCAGTTGAAAAGTGTGGATTAAAAAAATATATATTTTTGCTGATTTCTTTAGTATCTTTTCAACATTCTGATTCCTTCCATTTTTTAGGGAAGCTAGAGATTGCATTTTTAAGAGGCAATAGAGAAGGTCTTTTTCTACAACCTTAGATAACAGGCACTGAAAAAGAAAAATTACACAAATATAGGTTGAGCATCCTGATCTGAAAACTCAAAATCCAGAATGCTCCAAAATCTGAAAATTTTTGAGCACCAATAGGATGCTCAAAGGAAATGCTTTTTGGAGCATTTCAGATTTTGGATTTTCAGATTAGGGATGCTAAACCAGGTAGTATATGCAAATATTCCAAAATCTGAACAGATTTGGCCAGGCCCGGTGGCTCACGTCTGTAATCCCAGCACTTTGGGAGGCCGAGGCAGGCAGATCACGAGGTCAGGAGATCGAGACCATCCTGGCTAACACGGTGAAACCCCCGTCTCTACTAAAAATACAAAAAACTAGCTGGGCACGGTGGCGGGTGCCTGTAGTCCCAGCTACTCGGGAGGCTGAGGCAGGAGAATGGCGTGAACCCAGGAGGTGGAGCTTGCAGTGAGCCGAGATCATGCCACTGCACTCCAGCCTGGGTGACAGAGTGAGACTCCCATCTCAAAACAAAACAAAACAAAACAAAATCAGAACAGATTTGAAATCCAAAGCACTTCTGGTTCCAAGCATTTTGAATAAGGCATACTCAATTTGTAAAATGTTCAGTTGAGGCTGGGTGTGCTGGATCATGCCTGTAATCCCAGCACTTTGGGAGGCTGAGGCGGGCAGATCATCTGAGGTCAGGAGTTTGAGACCAGCCTGGCCAACATGCTGAAACCCCATCTCTACTAAAAATACAAAAATTAGCCAGGCGTGATGGCGCACTCCTATAAACCCAGCTATTCGGGAGGCTGAGGCAGGAGAATCACTTGAACCCAGGAAGCAGAGGTTGCAGTGAGCCGAGATCATGCCACTGCATTCCAGCCTGGGTGACAGAGCGAGACTCTGTCTGAAAAACACAAAAAACAAAAACAGAGCATTCGTGAACTGTGAGACAGTTGGAGTCTCTGAAAGAGACATGAGAAACAGGGACGGAAAAAAATTTGAAGACACTGGGTGAAAATTTTCCAAATTTGATAAAAACTGTAAACCTATAGATCGAAGAAGCTCAACAAACCCCAGTACAAGAAACATGAAGAAAAGTGTACAAGGCACATCATAATCATATTGCTGAGAACCAGTGCTAAAGAGAAAGTCTTAAAAGCAGCTGGAGGAAAAAGACACATTGTATACAGAAGCAGATTTCTCATCAGCACCAATGCAAGTTAAAAGTTAGTGGTGTAACATCTTTAAAGTGCCAACAGAAAAAACCATGCCAACCTGGAATTCTTTATCCATTGAAATATCTTTCAAAAACAAAGATGAATTAAAGACTTTTTCAAACATATAAAATCTGCAAGAATTATCACCAGCAGACCTATGCTAAAATAAATGTTAAAGGAAGTCCATTATTTACTAAATAATCTGTTTTTTACCAGCTGATTTCAAATACCTTTGATTGAAAGAGTTTTCCTAATTAGTTGTATAAGTTAATTTTCTCACATTAAATTATCCTATATTTGGTTTTGAGGATCTTGTCATTAGAAATTCTAAGCCATGGTGTCTATCTACACAAGACCCCATACTTCATTTATTTTTGAGATGGAGTCTCATTCTGTTGCCCAGGCTGGAGTGCAGTGGTGTGATAACAGCTTACTGCAAACTCCATCTCCCAGGGTCAAGCGATTCTCCTGCCTCAGCCTCCTGAACAGCTGGGATTACAGATACCTGCCACCATGCCCGGTAATTTTTGTATTTTTAGTAGAGATGGGGTTTCACCATGTTGGCCAGGCTGGTCTTGAACTCTTGACCTCAGGTGATCCGCCCGCCTTGGCCTCCCAAAGTGCTAGGATTATAGGTGTGAGCCACTGCACCTGGCCTCCTTTGTTATTTAAAATCGATGTTAAAAATAACCACAGGCTTGAAATCCTTAAAATTACCAATGTGTTTTCCTTTGTAATCAAAGTTCTTTAAAGTATTCCTCTTACGTAGTGATTTGGGGAGCCTTATCTGGGTCTATGCCATGTGAGATTTGCTTGATCATCAGCTGTGGCTTGGATTTAATATTGAAGGACATAGTTTTTTCTTCGTTGTTTAGACAGAAGCTCAACAAGACAGACTCCATAGCAAGAAGTCTCTTGTGGAATTCTGTCAGGTAGTTGGCACACTTGTGAGCTTGATGAACAAGAGAAATATTCAACAGAAGCTGATTGTCATGTTTATGTTTTGTCTTTCAAAGGCATTCTGGAGCTGCAAGAGCAGGTGTTTACAACCTCACCAAATCTTTAGCTTTGGAATGGGCCTGCAGTGGAATACGGATCAATTGTGTTGCCCCTGTAGGTAAACGATCTATATTGAAATTTATTGACAAATTATGCTTTCTGATTCCATTTGTGATGTTGATAGAGGTATTTGGTAATAAGCAAGTATAGCATAAAAGATTGACTTTAAAACATAGATAAAATGGAAAGCCTAATTTTCTTTTTTTTTTTTTTTTTTTTTTGAGATGGAGTCTCTGTCGCCCAGGCCGGAGTGCAGTGGCATGATCGTGGCTCACTATAACTTCCACCTCCAAGGCTCAAGTGATTCTTGTGCCTCAGCCTCCTAAGTAGCTGGGACTACAGGCACAAGCCACCATGCCCAGCTAATTTTTTGGATTTTAGTAGAGATGGGTTTTCACCATATTGCCCTGGGTGGTCTCGAACTCCTGAGCTCAGGAGATCTGTTCGCCATGGCCTCTCAAAGTGCTGGGATTACAGATGTGAGCCACCGCACCCGGCCCAGAAGGTCTAATTATCATTATGGAAGTACTCTTTGATTTACAGCCAGATTGTCAAGAATGTTAAACCAGTGATTCTTGATTCTGGCTTTTTTTTTTTTTTTTTAGAAGGAGTCTTGCTCTGTTGCCCAGGCTGGAGAGCAGTGGCGTGATCTTGGCTCACTGCAACCTCTGCCTCCTGGGTTCAAGTGATTCTCCTGCCTCAGCCTCCCAAGTAGCTGGGACTACAGGCACCTGCCACCACCCCTGGCTAATTTTTGTATTTTTAGTAGAGACGGGGTTTCACTGTGTTAGCCAGCGTGGTCTCGATCTCCTGACTTCGTGATCCACCCACGTCTGCCTCCCAAAGTACTGGGATTACAGGCGTGAGCCACTGCGCCCAGCCTATCTATAGATCTTATCTCTGTAATATCAGTAGGTGTTATCTGTGCCACTCAATGAAGACTATGCATGACTGACTTCAAGCATGAAGTTAGTAATCTCATCTCTGACAAAGGTGTTGCTACTAATATTAATTCATGTTTGCCTTCCAGAGACTTTTTTGGTTAAATGATCAAATTTTAATACTTCTAGATTTTATCCTCTTTAAATAAAAGGCAACATATTATGTAATTGGAAACCAATATATCTCTCCAGTATCAGTATCATTTGAAGTTATTAAAACTGCCACATTTTCTAATTTTATTTTAACTTCTCTTTCCGCCCCTTCTCTCCATAATTCAACAGTTTGAATCCATTACAAATAGCTGTATCCTGTGAGATACAATTTTTTTTTTAAATGTTTGAGACAAGGTCTTGCTGTGTTGCCTAGGCTGAAGTGCGGTAGTGCGATCACGGCTCACTGCAGCCTCGAACTCCTGGGCGCAAGCGATCCTCCCAACTCAGCCTCCTGAGTAGCTGGGACCACAGGCAGGTACCACCATGCCCAGCTAATTCTTTTTTATATTTTTTGTAGAGACATAGTCTCCCTATTTTGCCCAGGCTGGTCTCAAACTCCTAGGCTCACACAATCCTCCAGCTTCACCCTCGCAAAGTGCTGGGATTACAGGCATGAGCCACTGCACCTGGCCTGGGATACAGTTTTTGAGTAATTTTCCTGACCTTAGAAAGCCAGTGAAAGATACATTTAAAAATTCCTAAACAATGAAAAATTTAGTTTATTGGTATTGGACTCAAATGCTTTATTTGCGATTTCAATCTAGGTAAAAAGCCAAGAAAATATTGCATTTTTCTAAGTCTCACGTAGCCATTGCCCAGTCTTCTCTTGTAAAGCAGAGAAGCCAAATGGAAACTAAAATAGACAGAGTCCCCTGTCCCATTGTTCCCAGTTAAGTGCCTCTTTCATTTACTTACACAATCATGACCTTCAGAAAACAAGTCTTTCATGAAAAAATCCAGGGCATGGTTAGGAGGAAGAGGAGGTCACAAAATAACTATTCAGATCATCCATTTGTGGATGGTGGGGACTGTACTTCTTTGACAACATGGAGGAAATTTAATATCAGCACTGTTAACTTTTTTTTGACTTAAGCTACTTAATGTTTGAAATGCCAGTAGAGTATCTTGATATCTTTATAATTAAAATTTAATATAATACACTTTATTTTGTCCCTGTTTTATTTTTAAACACAGGGAGTTATTTATTCCCAGACTGCTGTGGAGAACTATGGTTCCTGGGGACAAAGCTTCTTTGAAGGGTCTTTTCAGAAAATCCCCGCTAAACGAATTGGTGTTCCTGAGGAGGTAAGGTATATTTCCAGCATTGATTAGAATTGCTGTGTGTTATACTTTGGAATTTGTAATTCAGTGTCATTTTTATGCGGTCTGGACGACATTATTTCTCCCACTGCCAGCAGAACATTTCCCCTGTTCTTTCTGGCTGTCAGGGATATTCTGGTTGTGCTTTGGCTACTGACAGCAATCTGTACTTGAGAGTGAATGTGGTATAAATTAATAACAGCATTTTTTTTGTTAGTTTGTTTTACTGTATTTTCAGCTACATTATTTTATTACATGGCATTTGTTGGTACACAGGACCCTAAGCAAATTAGACAACTATGGCCATATGAAGTTCCACATGAGATTTCGGTTAAGGTTGAAGTCTGTAAAATCAGCAGCTTTCCAAACTGCCAGCAGCGGTTTTTTTTTTTTTTTTTTTTTTTGCTTGAGACAGTGTTTCACTCTGTTACAGGCTAAGTATAGTGTCACGATCATAGCTCACTGCAGGCTTGAACTCCCACCTTGGCCTCCCAAAGTGCTGGGATGATGATGATGACGATGATGAAGACGATGACTTTTTTGACAGAGTCTCTTTGTTGCCCAGGCTGGAGTGCAGTGGCGCGATCTTGGCCCACTGGAACTTCCACCTCCTGGGTTCAAGCAATTCTCCTGCCCCAGCCTCCCGAGTAGCTGGAATTACAGATGTATGCCACCACACCTGACTGATTTTTGTGTTTTTAGTAGAGGCGAAGTTTCACCATGTTGGCTAGGCTAGTCTCGAACTACTGACCTTAAGTGATACGCCCACCTCAGCCTCCTAAAGTGCTGGGATTACATGTGTGAGCCGCCACACCTAGCTTTGCATCAGTCTTGAAATGCAATTTTTTTTTTTTTTTTTTTTTAAGAAAACAAGGCCAGGCGCAGTGGCTCATGCCTGTAATCCCAGCACTTTGGGAGGCCGAGGCAGGCGGATCACGAGTTCAGAAGATCGAGACCATCCTGGCTAACACGGTGAAACCCCGCCTCTACTAAAAATACAAAAAAATTACCCGGGTGTGGTGGCGGACACCTGTAGTCCCAGCTACTGGGGAGGCTGAGGCAGGAGAATGGTGTGAACCCGGGAGGCGGAGCTTGCAGTGAGCTGAGATTGCACCACTGCACTCCAGCCTGGGCGACAGAGCAAGACTCTATCTCAAAAAATAAAATAAAATAAAATAAAGAAAAGAAAAGGATGTCTTTCCCACAATAATAAAAATGAAAATAACTAGTAGTAAACTTACCTCTAAATGAAAAAAAAAAAAAATCACCTGCCTCCTTAGGGCAGTAGGCAGTGCATCAGTTTCATAAATGAAAAAAACAAAACAAAACAAAAAAACCCCTTTTTCTGTGAAGCAGCAAAAAGACCAGATTAGGGGCATATAATATTCCTTGATGGGGAGAACCAATTTTATTAAAAAGTCAGGTTTCCCTAAATTATAAATTTAATATCTTTTGGGAATTTAACACGCTGATTCTATCAAAAATATGTATGCAAAAATTGCCAAAAATGTTTTGAAAATGAATAATGGGAGGATTACCCTTCATGGTATAATGAAACCATGAAGCTATATTTATTTATGTACTGTGTATTTACATACTATGAAGCTGTATTTATTTACAGCATCTGGTGCTGGTAATGAAACATATTAAAAATAGTAGAACAGAACAGATTCTTGAATTGGAACCATATGTGGGAGTTTATGGAGTCAAAGTAGCATTTCAATCTGTAAGGAAAGGATAAAACACTCAGCAAAGTGTTGGGGGCATTTGGCCGTTTAGTAATAAATTAGACTCCCTATCCTGTATTATATACAAAATAACTTTCAGATTTATTGAAGTGATAATTATAAAAGCAAGCCCATGAAACTCTTTAAAAGAGTTATCATGCTTAGAACTAGCTTTTATTATCAGTTTGGTGAATGTCTTTCCAGAAATGTACTTTGCATGCATTAAAAATTTGTATTTGTTGACTTTTTTTTTTTTTTTCCTGAGACGAAGTTACACTCTTCTTGCCCAGGCTGGAGTGCGGTGGCACGATCTCGGCTCACCACAACCTCTACCTCCTGGGTTTAAGCGATTCTCCTGCCTCAGCCTTCAGAGTAGCTGGGATTACAGGCATGCGCCACCACACCTGGCTAGTTTTGTAGAGACAGGGTTTCTTCATGCTGGTCAGGCTGGTCTTGAACTCCTGACCTCAGGTGATCCACCTGCCTCAACCTCCCAAAGTGCTGGGATTATAGGCGTGAACTACCACGCCTGGCCTATTTATTGACTTTTTTACGAAAACAGAATTTACTCTGTGTTATTTTCTGAAACTTGTTATGGGTATACTATAATATCATCAAATCCCATTATGATTTGGATTTTATTTATATTTTTGTTCTTGCAGTAATTCTGCAATGAACATTATGAATATAATCATGTACTCTTGGGTGAGGGGATATGTTTCTAGAAACAGAGTTCCTGAACCAAAATAGACTTGCATTGTATTTTGGAAGATACTGTTAAATCAAACATTTGATGAGCCATGTTAACCAAGGTCTTTGGATTTGTATTCTGAAAACTAAGAGTAATATTTAATGAATTTTAATCAAGGCAATTATATTACATTTTTATTTTTGATAGAATACTTTGGGAGGCTAGGCACAGTGGCTCACACCTGTAATCCCAACACTTTGGAAGCCTAAGGCAGGTGGATCACTTGAGGTAGGAGTTCAAGATCAGCCTGGCCAACATGGCGAAACCCCGTCTATACTAAAAAATACAAAAATTAGCCAAGCATGGTGGCATATGCCTGTAGTCCCAGTTACCTGGGAGGCTGAAGCAGGACAATTGCTTGAACCCGGGACACGGAGGTTGCAGTGAGCAGAGATTGCGCCACTGCACTCCAGCCTGGGTGACAGTGAGACGCCTTCTCAAAAAAAAAAAAAAAAAAAATATATATATATATATATGTATGTATATATATATACTTTATGTGGTTTACATTATCTATATTTGCTGTATTAGAAATTAAAACCAAAATTTAAGAAATATTATTAATTCATTTTAAAATAGTAATAAAGGAGTACATGTTAACATAAATAACATTTACTTTAAAATAGCTACATTTAAAAAAAGAAACAAAAACTTTTTTTTTTTTTTTTGGTTCAAGCGATTCTCCTGCCTCAGCCTCCTGAGTAGCTGGGATTAACAGTCATGCACCAGCATGCCCAGCTAATTTTTGTATTTTTAGTAGAGACAGTGTTTCACTAAGCTGGCCATGCTGGTTCGAATTCCTGGCCTCAGGTGATCCACCTGCCTCGGCCTCCCAAAATGCTGGGATTACAGGCGTGAGCCACCGCGTCTGGCCGGTTTTTTGTGTTTTTGAGGGAGTGTGGTTTACAGATTGTTAGAGGTTGTGACTACTTGGGTGGGATGGTTGTTGTCTGGATGGCATTTCAGAAAGGAGCTCATTGGAGCAAGTCTCTTTTTGATGCGCTGACTTTAACAAACATGTTCATTGGCTGAGTTGTCACTACTGGATCAAACAGGGTTAAAACCAGCTCTGTTGCTTGTTACCATGTCTCAGTACAATCTGCCTTTTCACAGTAATGTGGGACCTTTTAAATAGTGAATTCTATACCAGCCCTGTCCAGTAGAAATATACTAATAGTCACATTTGTAATTTTAAACTTACCAGGAGCCACATAAAGTAAAAAGAGGTGAAATTAATTTTAATAATATATTTGACTTAGCCTAATACATCCAAAACATCGTCATTTCAACATGTAATCAACATGGAAAATTGAGATGATTTTCTTCATCCCTCGGAGCATCCAGGATTAATGAGATATTTTACATTATTTTTCCCATACTCAGTCTTCAAAATCCAGTGTGTGTTCTATACTTACAGCACGTCTCAATTTGGACCAGTCATACTGAAAGTGTTTGAGTAGGCGACTATGTCTAATGGCCTCGTTTTAGATAGTGCAGCACTGTACTAGCTGCTGGGAATACAAGGATGGAGAGAAGGCTTGGCTGCTCTCCAAGCTCTTAGAGTCTCAAGGAGGTATAGCCTTGTGAATATAGGACCAGGACTGGGATGAGGCAAGCAAGGCATGGACACAAAATTTAAGGACCCACTCCCTCTGAGGGAAGATTTTGCACTTGTGCAAACCTGAGAGTGAATACCTCCTTAAATCTTGCACCCTCGACACCTTATTTGCCTCACCCTAGTCCTGGCCCTGCCTGGGGGCCTTTTAAACTGCAGATTCTGGGACCCCAACCCCAGAGCTTACAATTGCAATGATCCTGGAAGGATCTAGGAATCTGAAGTCTCAGTAAGCATCCCTAGTGATTCTAATGCAGGTGTTTTGGATCATCACCCTTTGAGAAACTCTGCTTCTTCCCACAGCCTCAAGTGAGAGCTCCTTTACAAGTCAGTGAAATAACTTCCTTCTGTTTGGGTTGGGAGTAGATGTTGCTGAACTCATCAGTTCCCTATTTGAATTTTTAAGGAGTACAGTGGGAGTCTGAAGTGCCTTTGGTTTATTTTTATTTTTATTTTTTTGAAATGGAGTCTCACTCTGCCACCCAAGCTGGAATGTAGTGGTGCAGTCTTGGCTCACTGCAACCTCTTAGGCCCACGCAATGCTCCCACCTCAGCCTCCTAAGGAGCTGGGACCACAGGTGCCCGCCACTGTGCCTGGCTAAGTTTTTGAAGTTCCTCTTGTAGAGAGCTCCTTTGAATGTGTGTTGCTGGGCTTTTGGCCTGACAGGACCGCAGACTGAACAAACCAGAATGCTAGTTTATTGCTAAACAGACACATTGACTATTTCAGGGACCAAAACATAAAAGGCACGAGGTAGTGATGGAAAATGGGGTTGTGGAGGACAATGAAAGGCATGGAAGGAAGTGAATTGTTTGAAATGGGAAAGAGCAGAGCTGAAGCACTGAGTTCACTTATGGCTTCTTGACGTCATGTAGCTTGCTTGACATCGTCTAAGGCTCCCTCATACCTTGCCACCTTTACCCTAGTCACCTACCTGATTTCGGTGATGCTCAGGTAGAAAGGGAAATTGTAGGAAAAGGAAGTTGTCTATGTACTGTGAGGTTGTGGTGCACATGCACACACTGTTGGATTCATGTTACAATCATGGGCTTTGAGATGCCTTTACTGGGGAATGTGAGGCGGTTAGAAATGGGGAGTATTTGCTTTTACCTATGCACATGTGTGTTTCTGTTTCCAGGTCTCCTCTGTGGTCTGCTTCCTACTGTCTCCTGCAGCTTCCTTCATCACTGGACAGTCGGTGGATGTGGATGGGGGCCGGAGTCTCTATACTCACTCGTATGAGGTACCAGGTGAGCAGCTGAGGAATGAGCAGTCACCAGCTTTATGCTGTGTCATGTTCAGGGGTTTAAAATTTATTATAAGTAGTTACTTAAGAGATGAGGGTGCTCTCTTATAGAACATCAAAATGTACAAAATGTTTATATTCATGATGTGATTTTTTTAATGAAATATTCCTAGTCACAGAAAATATCTAACTATCTATATTATGGAACTGAGCTTTTTGTGCATGCATAGGTTGGTGGAATTTGAACCCTGAAAAATATTCTCAGTATATGTTTCGAAAGAGGAGACAGAAAAGAGGCAAGAGCATGCTATAGTTTTAAAGATTTAATTCCATTTTGTTCCTCCAGTAAATGGCTTACATATCTGAGCAGAAGAATCAGGCCTGCTAGGTGGGGTGGGGTGCTATGGTGCTATTTTGTGCTCTCTTTGAGATATATATTGAATGAAGGCATATGAAATTTCTGTATTCATCATTTTTGATGTACAAAAACAGAAATTTGGCCGGGTATGGTGGCTCATGCCTGTAATCCCAGCACTTTGGGAGGCTGAGGCAAGTGGATCACTTGAGGTCAGGAGATAGAGACCAGCCTGGTTAACACAGTGAAACCCCGTCTCTACTAAAAATACAAAAAAATTAGCCAGGCTTGGTGGCGGGTGCCTGTAGTCCCAGCTACTTGGGAGGCTGAGGCAGGAGAATGGTGTGAACCCGGGAGGCGGAGGTTGCAGTGAGCCGAGATTGTGCCACTGCACTCTAGCCTGGGCGACAGAGTGAGACTCTTATCTCAAAAAAAAATATATATATATACGCATACATATATATGTATGTGTATATATATACATACATATATACGTATGTGTATATATATATACACATACATATATACGTATGTGTATATATATATACACATATACGTATGTATATATATATACACATATACGTATGTGTATATATATATACACATATACGTATGTATATATATAACAGTTAGTCGGGTGTGGTGGCGGGCACCTGTAGTCTCAGCTACTTGGGAGGCTGAGGTAGGAGAATCACGTAAACCCAGGAGGCGGAGATTGCAGTGAGCCAAGATCATGCCACTGCACTCCAGCTTGGGAGATAAACCAAGACTCTGTCTCAAGAAAAAAAACCAGAAGTTTTATAAGTTTAAATCAAATATTGATATTACATGCAAATGCCTTTATGTGTGTGTGTGTCTCATGACTAGATAACAGAACTTTGCGGTTTGAAGGGTCCTAAAAGATCACAAAGTCCAGTATCCTAGTTTTATAAACAACAAAACAAATCCACAGACGTTAAAAGGTTTATCTAAGCTAATAACTCTAAATCACTCCAAAAATGTAGTAAAGGGTATAAAATGCAAATGTATTGAATTTCTGTTGTTAAAGATAATTAAGTGGCTACTAGCAAATTAATAGATGGTTGATGTAACCCAGGTGAATCTGAATTTCATATCAAGGACCCAGGGTCTACGTACTCTTTCAGGTGCTGACAGTCTGATCAAGGCTTAAGGCCTTTTTTGCGTTAATAAATGATTGGTGTATGTGAGAGGCGAGCAAAAACTCAAACTGGTTTTCCTCTGCTCTCACAACACAACAACCATTAGCACGGAAGACTTCTGTGACCAGTTGTTTGGGGTTACTTCCCCCGCACAGCAACCAAGCAAGCAGTTCTGCAGCAGACCCCAGCTGGGCGTCCTCTCATTCAGTTCTGACACTGGAGATAGGATCAGATCCCACAGGCTGAGGGCTCAGTCCCACAGGATGCCCCCTGCTTTGGACACCATCACAAGTCTGGGCCTCTAAAACTTCTGACTGACTAGCTTCAAGTTGGGGTTCCCACGACCCCCTCTTTGGGTTGGAGTAATTTGCTAGAGCAGCTCACACAACTCAGGAAAACACTTCGATTTACTGGTTTATGATAAAGGATATTACAGGAGATACAGCCGAAGGGGTGCACAGGGCAAGGCATGTGAGAAGGGGCACGTAGCTTCTGTGTCCTTTTTGGCCCCACCACCTGCCAGGAACCTTCATGTGTTCAGCTATCTGGAAGCTCTTGAACCCAGTCCTTTGGGTTTTTATGGAGGCTTCATTACATAGGCATGGTTGATTAAACCATCAGCCACTGGTGATCAACTTAACCTTCAGCCCCTCTTACCTCCCCAGAGGTTGTGGGGTGGGTATGGGCTGAAGGTCCCAACCCTGTAATCATGCCTTGGTCTGTCTGGTGACCAGCCCCTATACTGAAGCTAACTAGGGGCTGCCAGCCATCAGTCAATCATTAACATATAAGAACACATCACTTTGGCGAGTCTAGGATATTAGGAGTTGTATGCGGGAGATGGGGTTGAAGACCAAATATATGTTTCACAATATCACAGTATAGAACTTTAATTTTACTTATTATTTTCCCCTCCCACATGTATTTCATTACTAATAACATCAATGTGGTGATGTCCATAGGATACTGTAGTTTTAAGGGTCTTGGTTGGAAAGAAGAAATACCTACATGGTTTTGCCATATTGTTTTCTGAAAAAAATTCCAAGTAGTGAGGGTGGAGAGAATCTTTCCACTTCTCTCACAGTAGACTTCAGTCACTATTTCTTATCGCAGGTTGCACTGTTTTACCTTTAGAAGGGAAAGAAATTTCAAATAGCTTCTTCCTTAGGCCTTCAGTGACATGATTTTCTTTTGTAATTCTAACACTTTTTATCATTAAAAATATTTTTTTCAGTTTTTGAGGAAAGCGGGTACATCTATCTTTTAAGAATATACTGCCCCCCGAATAATGAGATTATTCAGCCTTTCACTATGGTGTTTTCTTTTAAGATTGGCAGCTCCAAGGTGAGAATGCCTAAGATGGAAACTTGGCTCTACCCTTATTAGCCGTATGATTGTGAGAAAGTTAATTTCTATAAGCCTCTATTTTGTTCCTGTATGCAGGGACACATACAGTATTTATTTCATAGAGCTGTTGGGAGGATTAAATTAGATAAGGGACTTTTTCTTTTCTTTTTTTTTGAGACAGAGTCTCACTCTTGTTGCCCAGGCTGGAGTGCAGTGACATGATTTCGGCTCACTGCAATCTCTGCCTCCCAGGTTCAAGCAATTCTCCTGCCTCAGGATCCAGAGTAGCTGGGATTACAGGTGCCCGACACTATGCCCCACTAATTTTTTTGTAGTTTTAGTAGAGATGGAGTTTCACTATGTTGGCCAGGCTAGTCTCGAACTCCTGACCTCAGGTGATCCGCCTGCCTCGGCCTCCCAAAGTGCTGGGATTACAGGCATGAGCCACTGTGCCTGGCCTTAGATAATGCACATTTAAATCCCTATGTCAGGGGCTGGGCACCATGGCTCACACCTGTAATCTCAGCACTTTGGGAGGCAAAGGTGGGCCAATTGCTTGATCCCAGGAATTCAAGACCAGCCTGGGCAACCTGGCAAAACTCCGTCTCAACAAAACATTTAAAAAATTAGCCTGGCATGGTGGCATGTGCCTGTACTTGGGAGGCTTAGGTGGGAGGATCACTGGAGCCCGGGAAGTCGAGGTTGCAGTGAGCCATGATTGCACAACTGCACTCCAGCCTGGCTGACAGAGCAAGACCCTGTCTCAAAAAATAAAAATTAAAAAAATAAAGTCATTTGTCGAATTGGATGCTTTTAGTCACAACTCAAAATGGGCTCATCAGTAAAGGAATTCGCTGGCACATAACTGAAAAACAGGTAAGACTTGACTTAGTAGCTCACTGATCTCATCAAGGACAAGTTTTTCCCCTGTTTCCTGTTTTTGCCTCCATGGTGTTGGCTCTATCTTAAGGCAGGCTCTCCTCATTGCAGGATGGCTGCCTGCTGTTTCTATGTGTAAGGCTGATACTTCTGTGTTCATACCCAGATGCACAGAGAGAGGGCTGGAGGAGTGACTTTGTTCCAGAATTTCTAACAAAATTCTGAGATCCACTCTATATTCGATCAACTTATGCAAATGTCCATTTCCAACCAATAACTGTGGCGGGGTTATAGTGCACTGACTGACTTAGCTTAGACCACATGCCTTGGTGCCAAGCTTCCCTGGCACCTTCTAGATCGTTAAATGGAAACAAGCTGTTGGAAAGAAGAGATGGGGACCTGGATGCTGGAGAGGCAAGTAGCAGTGCCTGGTACAAAGTAAGGACACTATTTTTAAATTGTGATTATTAAGGAGACACTATTTATTGACGATCCACAGTATGCGAAGCACTGCACACATGGTGTCATATTTAACCCTCACAACTTTAAAAGGTAGATATTGTTGTATCCTTTAATAGAGGAGGAAACTGAGGCTCAGGAAGAGACATGTGCCCAAATTCAGGAAAGCTAACGTGTGGCAGACCTGAGATTCAAATTGAAGTCTTTTCTCAAATGTTTGCCCTAAGGATTTATTTTTTGGTGCTGAGAAAATGTGTGAACCAGGGAAATTAACAAGAGGATTTGGTGGGAGTGAAGAGGGCAAATGAGATTTGCAAGTGACAGGAGGCTTTCCACTTCTTTAACAGATCATGACAACTGGCCCAAGGGAGCAGGGGACCTTTCTGTTGTCAAAAAGATGAAGGAGACCTTTAAGGAGAAAGCTAAGCTCTGAGCTGAGGAAACAAGGTGTCCTCCATCCCCCAGTGCCTTCACATCTTGAGGATATGCTTCTGTACTTTTTAAAAGCTTATAGTTGGTATGGAAAACATTTTTCTTATTTTTAAGTGTTATTAATTATATCTATGGAAAAACTATTCCTGAAATATATACAGTCTTATGTCCCAATCAGAGTCTTTTAACCTATGATTTAAAAATGTATAAGTAACAGAAATTAACATATTTTAATGACTTTACTTTTTATTTCTAAGAAAAGTATTTGAAAAATGGAATAATTTTAAATCAATGATAATTCTAGGGATCATGAACTCCCAGAAGATTTTATTATTTAATTGTAAAGGTAGAGGCCAGACGCAGTGGCTCACGCCTGTAATTCCAGCACTTTGGGAGGCCGAGGTAGGCGGGTCAGTTGAGGTCAGGAGTTCAAGACCAGGCTGGCCAACATGGTAAAACCCTGTCTCTACTGAAAAACAACAAAAACAAAAACACAAATTAGTCGGGTGTGGTGGCACACACCTGTAGTCCCAGGTACTTGGGAGGCTGAGGCAGGAGGATCGCTTGAACCCAGGAAGCAGAGGTTGCAGTGAGCTGAGATCATGCTACTGCAGTCCAGCCTGGGCTACAGAGTGAGACTGCATCTCAAAAAAAACCCAAAAAACAAAAACAAACAACAACAACAAAATTATAAAGGTAGAAAATAAACCTAAATTGTGTCGTAATTAAGATTATTAAAATTAGAATTATACAATGACTTATTTTTGGTGGCAAATACTTTAGGAGCAATAATGCCTTATGGTAATTATTGATGTATAGTTTCTTTTGTTTATGAAGTCAAATTTGTATAAATTCTCTTAATTCAAAGAAAAAGTTTTATGTGATTTATTTTTGGCAGTGCCTGATTTGTGTCTTGATTTTCTGTCCAAAGTATTCCCTTTTTTCCATGTATCTCCTTTTGTAGGCAAAAACAAAATTTCAGTTGCATGCAAATGTATTAGGGTTCCATATTCTGCCTTCCGTGGCTCCAGTCTGATAGTTAGACCCTTATTGAAGAAATGCCTTTAGCAGATTGAATATGTTCATTCTTTGTCTTAATCAAAGTTCTTTCAAGTATCTGAGGTGAAGTAGCTATTTTCTTTTTTTTATCATTAACACTCACTTTATTTATTTATTTATTTATTTATTTTTAAGATGGAGTCTCACTCTGTCACCCAGGCTGGAGTGCAGTAGCATAATCTCGGCTCACCACAACCTCCACCTCCTGGGTTCAAGTGATTCTGCTGCTTCAGCCTCCTGCGTAGCTGGGATGACAGGTGTGCACCACCACGCCCGGCCAATTTTTGTATTTTTAGTAGAGATGGTGTTTCACCATATTGGCCAGGCTGGTCTTGATCTCCTGACCTTAAGTGATCTGCCCGCTTTGGCCTCCCAAATTGCTGGGATTACAGGTGAGAGCCACCACGCCCGGCCTGTCATTTACCCTCATTTTAAAGTGTGTGAGTTACCAAGCTCTGGGGTTTGGGACCCAGAATCTGCAGCTTTCTCATGCTCCCAAGCAGGGCTAGCACGAGGGAGAGGCTAATGAGGTGCCCAGGGTGCAGCATTTAAGGAGCTATTCTCCATTGTCAGGTTTGTGCCAGTGCAGAATTGCCCCTGAGAGTGAGTGTGTCCTTCAATTTTGTGCTCATACTAATAATGTGGGAAGATCAGAAAGCTTCATTTTCCTCCCAGATAGCCCTTTAACAGTGGCCTTCTGGAACTGATAATATCATAACAACTGAGAATTACAAACCATGTTAGAGGGAAAAGTGGCCCTAATACAGGTTGGTGGAGAAGATGGAAAAGGCAGGGCTTGCTTTCACATGACCTGTGTTAATGACTGCCATCGACTCCTTAAATCTCCATAGCGTTGCCAGTTATTTCTGCTTAAGGGACAGAACCTGCCTATGTAGCACTAAACTTAGGTACAACTGCTTATTAGAGCTTCTTCTTAGACTATCACTGGACAGCTGGTCATTATCTATATTTTTAGAATTATGAATTTATTATCCAGGACTCTTATGTACATCATAATAGTATCCTGTCAATAATGTACTTTTGCAACTACGCTTAGTAAATTTTGTTGTAGAGTGACTGTTCTTGAATAGGCTTAATAATTTGGAGCACCTACTATGTATTTAGCATTATGCTAGGAGTCAGACATGCAATGGTGAAAAAATACACATGTATCTTGTCCTTACTGAGCTTACAGTAGGGAGAGATTGAGAGAAAGAGAGAGAACACGAGTGCTATAAAGGATAAGGCCATGATGTCCACGGCATATAACTGAAAGACAGGAAACAAAATGAAAATTCTATATTTATGTAAAAAGAGTTTGTTGATAAAGATGACCCTTGTGAACATTATACCTCCCCCACACTAATCTTATGCTTTGTGGCTTATGTTCAGGTCCTCTGAAAAGCAGGTGCCCAGACATAATGAGATTTGCATGACACTTATTGGGTACCAGGCCCATGAAGGATAAGGGCAGGGAGCCAGAGAAGGCAGCGATGGCCTTCAGACCATGCTGCAAGGCTGACCCCTGTAAAAGAGAGGGGAGAGAGGATTGGGCAGGAGGCATCTCAGATTGCAGCAAAGTGATGCTTTCTTAAGACAGGCTTGCTGAAAGTATGCATTGACATTTACAGTGGCCCACAGGAATACCAGCAGGCGCTCAGTGGGTCATGTGGATTCTCTACAGTGTAAAAGTAACTCTCTCTCCTCCTGCTGGTGCCTGGACAAAGGGAGTTCAGAGATCAGTTCCAGCATCAGTCATAGTTTGTAGCTCACTGGGACCTTATGTCCCCTGGCAAGAGCCTCCCTCTTTGGCACCAGGATTTCCAGTGCTGCTATTCTCCTTAAATCCTGCAGCAGATCATTGGGAATGATGGAATGCAGGGCCACTCCCAGTTTCATCTACCGGATCCCAGACATGGTCCCAAACCTACTGGGGACATGCATCTTTGAAGACAGCAAGCACTCCATCCTGGCCCTTCAGCTGGGTCTTGGTTGTTCAAGCCCTCTATGAGGCTGGCTGCCTATGGATGGTGCGGGGTGTGGATACACAGTGGTTCCACAACCAGGGGCTCACTCTTTCGTCTCCTTCACTGGGAGGTGAGTCACCTGATTGGATGCTATGCCCCATGGGATTCCATGCCTATGGTTCAGGCTTTCTATAGCCCCCAGATAGTCATGGTGTCTGAGTCCCTGCAGGCAGGAAAGACAAACTCTTGCCTGGAAGAGGTATCTGTCACTATGAGGAGTGACGCAGAAACCACACAGCAATTTGAACAGGGCAAGTTAAAAGTGAAGAGTGATTATCACAGCAGATTGGAGTAGTGAAGGACTGGCTAGTAGGAAGTAAAAAGAACTTGAACATGAGAATAGCAGATATCAGGAGTAGCCTGCACCACTAGGACTAAGACTGAGAGCTCAAAGAAGAACCTTGGCTGGGCGCAGTGACTCATGCCTGGAATCCCGGCACTTTGGGAGGCTGAGGTGGGCAGATCATCTGAGATCAGGAGTTTGAGACCAGCCTGGCCAACATGGTGAAACCCCGTCTCTATGAAAAATACAAAAAATTAGCCGGCCTGGTGGCGGGCGTCTGTAGTCCCAGCTACTAGTGAAGCTAAGGCAGGAGAATCACTTGAACCTGAGGGCGGAGATTGCAGTGAGCCAAGATTGCACCATTGCACTCCAGCCTAGGTGACAGAGTAAGACCCTGTCTCGAAAAAAAAAAAAAAAAGAAGAGCCCTCCATAGCACCCCTGGGGCTGACACCCAGATTGAGTAGGGAGGGCATGGCTGTGAATCAGTGGAGGGCAGAGAAGTCACTGTGGTGCTCTGCTGGTGGAACTTGCTAGAAACCTGCCCTCTGGCATCCTGGGGAAAACTGTACAGAGAAGTGTCCTACCAGAGGCCTCTGATGCAAAACCCCCTGAGGGAGGTGCTGGGAAGCTGGTGCTCCTTAGCACTCCTGTGAAGCAGTCTGCACTGCACGGGTCAGGAAGCAAAACCCTCTTCCTCCTCCAATGTCTCTCCATCACCCTCTCCCAACAAAGCTTCAGAGCCCGCTGGCTCAGGGGAACAACTTAGAGGACCCAGATCCATTTTCTCAGAACAGAGGAGCAATTACATCTGGAGCCTGCCACTTGTCGACTGGCCGTCCTGTGGCCCATTGGTCTCCTTAAAGAGCAATGCCACTTCAGGGCTCAGCAATGATCTGTGTTGCAGGAAGGTTGGACATGCAGGGGCAGTGACAGCTCCGTTGACCTTGGTTAACAGGGAGTCCATGCTAATGGGCCGTCTACAGCCTGCCTCCATCACTGTGCCTGTCACACCAGTTCTGGGCTGGCCGGTGATGAAGTCCAGCTATCAACTGGCTGAGTTTTCTTGACTGCTTGGTTGTTCTACACCTCTTCCATGAGGATTGCATTCTGGGGACATTAACGTGGGAGGCGGAAATGACACTCCCCTGGAGCGCCCACTCCCCTGGGCTCATCCGTAATCCTCTACCCCAGACCTTGTTTCCTGGCCACTGTATATATTCTCATCTCGGGCCACTTTTCATTCCATTGTAGATACCAGTTGCACTCTCACACGCTGCCCATTAGAAAGATTTTCCATCTCCACCATCACGGGGCCACTCCTGAATAGAGCTATAATGAAGTTCTGACAACTGTGAAGGAGAGAGAGGAGGAAGGGAATTGGGTAGGAAAAAAAAATATCACAGACTGCAGTACAGTCCAAGAAAGAGAGGGCCAGGCAGATGGGAAGTCCTCAAGGCAAAGTCACCCATGGGAACCACCCTTGTCCCAAGGGAATAGCCTAGATGGACAGCAGGGCTGTGCTTGTCACAGGCCAGGAGCAGCCCGAGGGGAAGGCAGTGATGGATGGAGAGGGGCAGCAGCTGGGACCCACAGCCAATCAATTTTGTTTCCTGTAGCAGGAGGTCTAAGGGGTTTCTTTTCATGGCTGCCATTTGGCTATTCTGCAACTGTAAAACTTCACCATTGATCTCATTCATTTTTTAACATGACCTGGGGCTTGGCTCAAAGCAGTGCCACCTTGTGGTTAGTTTTGGAACACCAGCCTGTCTGGGCAGTGGCTTCTTAGGATGCAAGACCTGCTTGCAAAGCTTCAACTTGAGCTTTAGTTTCTTCCTTTGGTATTTCTTCTGCACTCCTTGTTTACAAGGATTTCATTTCAGCAAAGGAGCCATCTATTGAAATAAGATCAACCAGCGGGAAGATTCTAAACCATATTCAGGAAAGGTATGCTACGTCAAAACTAGCGATTACTGAGCCCATGTTTTAAGACAGCCAAATCTCTAGGCTATTTTGGATCTTATCCTGGACAACACTATTTCTGATTTGTATGGTAACCAAGGCCCTCTGTGGGTTAGTTTCAGCTTTCAAGCAGCCGTGGCTCAGTCTAGTGAGAGGCAGTCCTGCGTTCTGCCTGGTGGGAGTCAGAGTCTTAAGATTTGCCAAGTCCTGATGCCATCAGCATTCACATTGCCTTACAGAGGTCTCCTCCCCACTCCAAGATAGGTAGGCCCACCACCTGTTCTTGTCTGCAGCCTTCAGACTTGTTCTCCTTGAGGTCTTCAGTTCCGCAATAGGAAATATCTTGAAATCCCCTTCTTGACTGAGGCCACCCTTTGCTGAGGTTACTGACCTTTCTGCTTGCTGCTTCCTGGCATCCTGTTTCTCTCTGCTTATTTTGCCCTTTTCTGCCAGTTCCTTCAGGGCTCTTGTTGGATTCTCTCTTTCCATGAAGTACAGATTTTAGAGTGCACTGGAGTCCAACTGCTTGGGTTCGAATCCCAGCTTCTACCACTTACTCGCTCTTGTGAAGGCATTGAGACAGCGGAGGAATTTGTATGCAAAATTACTGGTCATTTTATTCAACGTGATAATGGCATGGCAGTTGTTATTATTTTTTATTTAAGAAATGTTGATTTCTAGGATTTACTTTAAAATATTCCAACTTAAAAAAATGGAGGAAGGGGGGTTGGTGAAATGAGATTGGCAACATGGTAATAATTGTCTAAGCTGGGTGGCAGATACATTATACATTATCTGTCTGCAGCTATATTATACATTATATGGTTAATTCTACTAGTCTCTCAATCTTGGGTAAGTTTAGAAGTTCCCCAACTAAAAGGTGTAAAGGTTTAAAATGTGTAAAATGAAAATGGCCTCATGAATTATGAATGAATTATTTGTATTCAAATAATTGTGGTTGGTTGTGGAACACCAGCCCGTCTGAGCAGTGCCTTCTTAGGATTCAAGACCTGGTTGCAAAGCTTCAACTTGAGCTTTAGTTTTTTGCTTTGGTATTTCTTCTGCACTCCTTGTTTACAAGGATTTCATTTCAGCAAAGAAGGCATCTATTGAAATAAGACCAACCAGCAGGAAGATTCTAAACCGTATTCAAGAAAGGTATGCTACATCAAAACTAGCAATTATTGAGCCCAAAATGAATTATTTGGATGGGGGTAACATGGGGAAGAGTGAGCTGACTACATATAAAATTTACTGGGGAGAAACAGGAGGGAGTTTGCACTGAGCCTCCTGTAGTTTATGGTGGTTCATGAGTGTGGCAGAGAGAGTGGAAGACCAGGTCCCAAATAGAATATATGTTTGATGGTGTAAAGCTATTGCCTTCTGACCTGGATTCTGCTCTGCAGGCCCTAGGAAGACCCCTGTACCCCTGGTCAGCCTCCCATGCTGGGTTAGCATTACCAGTTAGTCAGCTCTAGCATAAGCCAACTGGGTCAACGGAGGGTTGCAAGAAATGGACAATGTCATCCAATTATTCTATAGCATTGTTGTACCTGAGTTCATATGCTTTGAGTGGGGAAATTATATCCAGTTGGTAAATTTGGAAAAAAACTCAAACAAATCAGCAAAGTAAAAACAATATTCCTTGTTTCTCTTGCATATTTTGGACCATTTGGCTTTTGTTTTCATTTCTCTGGACTGAGTTACAAGTTTAGTCAGAGTTTGTAGTTCTAAGTATGACTCAACAGAGTCAGCTTTTTCAAATGCAAATGATTATCATGGACTTAAATAGCAAGGATTTGAAGAAAAAGAGTCATTTCTGTAAGTGATTCACAGTAGATGTAAGTTAGAATTTCTTACCCTGTAATTTTACCTTCTGCATGAAAAGCTGTCTATCAAAGGCTATTTTGTTAGATGTCTGGCTTCCTGTTCTCAGATGAACCAAGAAGAGAGGAACAGCCTATTTCTGGTTTTACTGAAGCCTTTTAAAAATCCTTGATGATTTAAGAAATACAAAAATACGGAGAAGTAGAGAGGTTCAATTAGAGTTTATAGTAAAAGATGAGGAGGAAGATAAAGTCCTCAGGTAGGTAAGACTTGCTGCGAGATTTAGCTGTGAGACATTGAATCTGGATTAGTTTCAATGGGATTGATTGTGAAGTGGAGGTAGGCTGGTATGGACATTAGGGGAATTGGGGTAAATGGATGCTTTTATCCAATTCTTTTCATTTCCCTTTCTTTCTTTCTTTCTTTCTCTTTCTTTCTTTCTTTCTTTCTTTCTTTCTTTCTTTCTTTCTTTTCTTCTTCCTTCCTTCCTTGTTCCTTTCTTTCTTTTCTTCCTTCTTTCCTTCTTTTCTTTCCTTCTTTCTTTCCTTCCTTCCTTCCCTCCCTCCCTCTTTCCTTCCTTCCTTCTTTCTTTTCTTTTCCCTTCCTTCCTTTCTCTCTTTCTTTCTCTTTCTTTCTTTCTTTCTCTTTCTTTCTTTCTTTCTCTCTTTCTTTCTTTTTCTTTCTTTCTTTTCTTTCTTTCTTCCTTTCTTCCTTTCTTCCTTTCTCACTCTGTTGCCCAGGCTGCAGTGCAGTGGTACAATCTCAGCTCACTGCAACCTCTGCCTCTTGGCTTGAAGCAATTCTCCTGTCTCAGCCTCCCAAGTAGCTGGGTTTACAGGCGCCCACCACCATGCCCAGCTAATTTTTGTATTTTTAGTAGAGATGAGGTTTCACCGTGTTGGCCAGGCTGGTCTCGAACTCCTGACCTCAGGTGATCTGCCTGCCTCAGCCTCCCAAACTGCTGGGATTATAGGCGTGAACCACCATGTCTGGCCTATGCAACTCTTTCTAACGCGTTGTTACCATTTTACTTGGAGGAATGAAACAGAAGACAGATATTTCAGTGAGATACAGAGCAGATGTTTTGATGAGCAAGCAAATGAGAGAGAGAGAGCAGGGACAGAGTGTGTGTGTGTGTGTGTGTGTGTGTGTGTGTGTGTGTGAGAGAGAGAGAGAGAGAGAGAGAGAGAGAATGGGCCTCATAGTGGGCTTGTGTGTTCAAATTGGAATGCCGAAATAAATTGCCCACAGAATTAATTAAACTATGGAATCAAAACATCTGTAATCCTAGCACTTTGGAAGGCCAAGGCAGGCAGATCACCTGAGGTCAAGAGTTCAAGACCAGCCTGGCCAACATGGTGAAACCTTCTCTCTACTAAAAAAAAAAAAAGAAAGAAAGAAATACAAAAATTAGCCAGTTGTGGTGGTGCATGCTAATAATCCCAGCTACTTAGCAGGCTGAGGCACAAGAATCGCTTGAACCTGGGGGCGGAGGTTGCAGTGAGCTGAGATTGTGCCACTACACTCCAGCTTGGGTGACAGGGCGAGACCCCGTCTCAAAAAAAAAAATTGCAAAATATTTTGGGTAACAATAGCTAGCATTTATTAGGTGATTACTATATGCCTGACACTGCTAAGCCCTTTCCATGCATTATCTCATTTTAGCCTTACAAAAACTCTGTGAGGTAGTTTCATTATTACCAGCATTTTACAGTTGAGGAAACTGGCATGAACAGGTCAAGAAACTTGTTCAAGATCTCAGCACATGGCAGAAGTGGCATTGGAACCAAAGGAGTTTGGCTTCAGAGCCCCGACCCCTGCCCTGTACTGAGAGAGACAGACCAGCACCAAGGACAATGAAGAGATTATTTTGAAAATTTTTAATGGAATTTCTCAAACACAGGCTAAAGAGAATAGTGTAATAGTACCCATCACCCCCAATAATCTATATTTTTACAAATTTGTCTATCTGTCCCCCTTGATTTATAAGTATTTTAGAACAAATTTGAAACCTAAATCTTCTTTATAACCTTTTAACCTGTCATTTCAGAGCAAGCAGTAATTTTAAGGTGGTTGAAAATATGAATGTGAACACAAAGATGGGGCTCACAGTGGGAGACTGGTCCACCATGATAGCATATGAGAAGCCCATGTGACCACCATGAGCATGTGCACCGACCACAGGCCATAAGAGATACGACTCAGCCATAGGCTACAAACATTTGGTTTGCTTGGCATGCACATTCCTCTCTTGTAAAATGATGCATGAGACTCTCAGAGCTAAATTCATTAAACCATCTCCTTTTCCTCTGAATCCCTGTCAAAAACAAATCTAAAACTTTGATTTGCTGTGCAACTTTGCCTGAAGGGAAATACTGGACTATTCTGGCCCTAGGCATTTTCAGCCATGCTGGGAGTTTTGTGTTAGTCTAGGCTGTGTATTTCAGCTTCTGGCGAGTTTGTGAGCATGACTTAGCATCCTTGTATTTTGAGAACTCTGGAAAGAGGGATAACAAGTTTGTGTTTCTAGTTCTTCAAGCCCAAGGGCCAGCCTGGAGGCAGGGGGAGGTGCATAAGCACCTTCTGCCTTGTGTTTATCATTTTGCCTTTGTCGTCCTAACTCAGCAGCCTCAATCCTTCTTTTGAGATGGAGTCTCACTCTCTCGCCAGGCGGAGTGCAGTGGCGTGATCTCAGCTCACTGCAACCTCTACCTCCCAGGTTCAAGCAATTCGCCTGCCTCAGCCTCCTGAGTAGCTGGGACTACAGAAGCGCGCCACCACGCCCAGCTAATTTTTGTATTTTTAATAGAGACAGGGTTTCACCATGTTGGCGACGATGGTCTCAATCTCTTGACCTCGTGATCTGCCTGCCTCAGCCTCCCAAAGTGCTGGGATTACAGGCGTGAGCCACCACGCCTGGCCAGCCTCAATCCTTCTTTACATCTGCTGCCATCAAGCTGCTTTCATCCTTTTATTTTACAGGAAATTATTTATTTCCTTTTAAATAAATAAATAAAGATGAATATAACATCTTTTTTATTGTACTGGTATTTATTTTGGAATTGCTACTTGTAAGTGCTCTGGTCAGAAATTTGTGTATCTTGAGTGGTCTGCACTTAACTCCATATTCCAATGGGGGGAAAACCAAAACTGTGTCTCTCTTTTTCTCTCTCAGAGAAAAAGCCTTATTTTTTTCTTCCTTTTTATGTTCTTTTTCTTTATTGTGGTGTAACTAATATATATAACATAAATTTTGCCATTTTAATGATTTTAAGTGTGCAATTCCTACTGTTGTTATAGACAATTACAGAATTGTCTGTAATTGGTAGAATTCAAATTTCTCAAACAGCAAGATAAATTCAAATATGCATTACCTTAACACTATACAAATTCGAATTCCCAAAATCCAAGTATGTTTGAGAAAATATCTAGAGTACAGTGAGAAAAAATGGAATTAAATAAATACACAATTACTGGAAATCTATGTCAGCTATCACACATTAAAATCCTGCCTAGAAATATCAAATGGAATTTTTTCCATTGATCTGTATATATTTTCAGATTATCTGGGTTTTTTTTTTTTTTTTTTTTTGAGATGGAGTCTTGCTGTGTTGCCCAGGCTGGAGTGCAGTGGCGCGATCTCGGCTCACTGCAAGCTCCGCCTCCCGGGTTCATGACATTCTCCTGCCTCCGCCTCCCGAGTAGCTGGGACTACAGGTGCCCGCCACCACGCCCAGCTAATTTTTTGTATTTTTAGTAGTGACGGGCTTTCACCGTGTTAGCCAGGATCTCCTGACCTCGTGATCTCGATCTCCTGACCTCGTGATCCATCTGCCTCAGCCTCCCAAAGTGCTGGGATTACAGGCGTGAGCCACCGTGCCCGGCCTATCTGGGTATTTTGAGCAAGTTCGTGAAAGACATCTCTTTCAATGGTTTGCAACCATACCACACTATACATGTCATTTATTTCCACTTAAAGCCTATGTTTTACATTATATTTACATGAAGCATTATTTGGTTTTAGTGTAGAAGTCCAAACTCTTGTATGGAAGTCAAAATGCCCTGCCTCAAATTCTAAAATTTTCCTTGTGAAGTAACTGTATTTACATAGAAAAATCAGAAAACTATAATGTTGAGAATTAAACATTAAAATTTCAAGTTTTATTAAATAATTGACTTTAAGTGTATTTTGAAATTTAGTGTCTTTGAAAATTTATTCGACATTTTCAGATTTAGAATGCTTTCAGAAAAACAATGCAACTTGTGAATGACTTTTTATCACAGAGGGTGGGGGAAGGGAGAGTTGGCTTGACTCTTGTTCAGAATGGACATTTTTGATATTAGGCAAATTTTAAACTGACACTTTCTGTTTCTTTCCTTCTTTCAAGGTCCTAGTGTCTTAACTACCTCATGCCTTTTTCTTTTTTGAGACAGATTCTTGTTCTGTCACCGAGGCTGGAATGCAGTGGTGTGATCTTGGCTCACTGCAACCTCTGCTTCCTAGGTTCAAGTGACTCTCATGCCTCAACCTCCCAAGTAGCTGGGATTACAGGCATGTGCCACCATGCCCAGCTAATTTTTGTATTTTTAGTAGAGATGGGGGTTTCACCATGTTGGCCAGGCTGGTCTCGAACTCCTGGCCTCGAATGATCTTCCCACCTTGGCTTCCCAAAGTGCTGGGATTATAGGGGTGAGCCACTGCACCTGGGTACCTTGTGGCTTTTAGACTATTATTCTTACTTCAAAGTTAAATTTCTCTTAGAGAGCTTCGAACTCTACTGGGTAATGGTGGTGAAATGGTGGTGGCACAGCATTATCTGTTTAAAGATAGTTCAATTCACATATTTTTTAGCTTCCAACAAGTATATTCACACCATTGTTTTGTCTTTCTGTCACCAAACACCAAATGTATTACAGCAAAATATTCCTATACCACCGTTCACATTTTACCAATAAGAGATGATTGATTTCATCAAGTATCTTTGAATTGTTTGGAGGGTGTCTTTGCAAACGGATAATTATTTTGGAGACCCTGAAATCTCTAAACATCATTTTTATTTCAAGAAACTTTAAAGAGTATATGATCATAACACTTCAAACTTCTTTTGAAGGAAAATATTCTTTACATGTAGACAGAAGTTATCTCTCATGTTTAAAGTACAGATTTACATAATTTGGCTATCCAGAGCCTACTACATGGATAGGATGCTTGATTTTAAGTACAGATAGTTTTACCTGATTTGCCTTATGTGATGTAAGTTTACTCTGAAGACAGAGTAACATTTTAGTAATTCCTAGTTATTAAAAAATTAAGGTTCTTACAGTAGAGCATTAATTTTCATAAAGTGGGCTGTTCCCAGGGAAGAGATTTTTTGTGTTTGAGTGTGTGTGTGTGTGTATGTTTTACCCCATTTTATTTAATTGAGGTGAAATTGACATAATATAAAATTAACCAGTTTAGCCAGTTGTGGTGGCTCAAGCCTGTAATCCCAGCACTTTGTGAGGCAGAGGCGGGTGGATTGCTGGAGCTCAGGAGTTCAAGACCAGCCTGGGCAACATGGTGAAACCCCATGTCTACAAAAAATAAAAAAATTAGCTGGGCATGGTGGCGCATGCCTGTAGTCACAGCTACTCAGGAAGCTGAGACGGGAGGATCGCTGGACCCTGGGAAGGTTGCAATGAGCCTAGATGGTGCCACTGCACTCCAGCCTGGGCAACAGAGTGAGACACTGTCTCCAAAAATAAATAAATAAATAAATAAATAAACACAATGGAAGTAACCATTTTAAAATGAATGATCCAGTGGCATTCAGCACATTCACAATGTTGTGTAATCATCATCTTTGTCCAGTTTCAAAACGTTTTCATCATCCCAGAAAGAAACTTTATATACATTAAGCAGTTGTTCTTCATATTCTGTCCCCCACCCCTGTCCCCAGCAGCCATCAGCTGGAGTTATGTCTCTCTATGGATATTTAATGTATATTGAATCATATAATGTGTGACCTTTTGTGTCTGGCTTTTTTCACTTATCATAATGTTTTTGAGGGTCATCCACATTGTAGCATATGTCAGTACTTCTAGGGAAGAGTTTTCATCATGTTTATGTGGGTGAGACTGCTTCTACTTGTGGACAATTTCCTGAACCTTATTTCTAGAATGTTCCCTCCAAAGGGCTGAAGGCTTAAGTGTTCATGCCTGGAGGACTTCATCTTATGTTAAAGAAATCTGATAAAAGAATTCCTGGCATTTTGAGAGGAAGGAAATCCTGAGCTTGTGTGACTGCCCACACGGATGGATTTCGGTGCAGGGATTGCCGAGCAGTGGCTGCTGAGATTCACGGGCTCTAGATCCTCCCTCCGGAAGGAAGGAGCTGCTGGAAGTGTTGCCCGACACGGCCCTAGCTGTCAGCCCATTTCTGGGACAGCCTCTGCTGAAGAGGGCTGCCTCGGCTAAGGCCATGTTCCTTTCCCAGGTAGGCCTCATCCAAAGACTGATTGTCATGGAGGGGACAGAAAGGGCCAGTTCTCGCTTACTGACTGACTCAGAGCAGCTCTGAATTTTCATTCTGTCTTTAGAACTCCCCATAGGGTTGACTGAGGCCCAATCAGTTCCTTTGTGCCCTTCTTTTCCACAGGTGTTGGTTCTATGCACACTCATAATAAATCTCCTGTATGCTAAATTCCATCTCAGAGTTAGCTTTCCTGGGAAGCTAATTGGCAGTACCAGATTTTCTGCCAGTTAGAAGGAAGGAAGGTCTGCACCTCCTCTAAGTTGAGAAGCTTTGCTTTTGAGCTACTGGGCTGTCTGTGGGTAGTAGAGGTCTTCTTTCTTAGTTTTACAATTTTTGTCCTGTCGAGATCTTTAAATCAACCTCTTCTGGGTATCAGTGGGGTGGCAGCTAAGGATTTTGCCTTTATTAATGAGTTTTGCATTACTACAAAACCATTCTCCTATGTTGCCATAGAGAAAACATAAACATTAAAATGAGATGTGCATTTTCATGCATTCTCATGCTTTTCAGGGATGTCACAGTGCCAGGAATCATGAAAGGGATACAAACTGTTATGCCAGTTCATCTTTATAATACATTTTCTTTCTTTCTTCCTTTCCTTTCCTTTTCCTTTCCTTTTCCTTTTCCTTTTTCCTTTCCTTTCCTTTCCTTTCCCTTCCTTTCCCTTCCTTTCCGTTCCTTTTTTTTTTCCTTTCCCTTCCTTTCCCTTCCTTTTTTTTTTTTGAGACAGAGTCTTGCTCCGTCGCCCAGGCTGGAGTGCAATGGCGTGATCTCGGCTTACTGCAACTTCTGCCTCCCTGGTTCAAGCAATTCTTCTGCCTCGGCCTCCCAAGTAGTTGGGATTACAGGGGTGAGCCACCATGCCCAGCTGATTTTTTTTTCTTTTGAATTTTTAGTAGAGATGGGGTTTCACCATGTTGGCCAACCTGGTCTTGAACTCCTAACCTCAGGTGATCCACCCGCCTCGGCCTCCCAAAATGCTGGGATTATAGGCATGAGCCACCACACCCAGCCAATATATTTTCTATAGGCAAGAAACCGTATTTGTTTAACAACAATTGGACAGGTTCTGCTCTCCCTTGGACTGAGGAGTACTTTGATAAGTCATTTGGCTTAGGGACAAAAGAGAGGGCACGGGGCGTCCTTTTTTTTTTTTGAGACTGAGTCTCACTCTGTCACCCAGGTTGGAGTGCAGTGGTGTGATCTATGCCTGGCTAATTTTTGTATTTTTAGTTGAGATGGGATTTTGCCATGTTGACCAGGCTGGTCTTGAACTTCTGACTTCAGGTGATCTGCCTGCCTCAGTCTCCCAAAGTGCTGGGATTACAAGTCTGAGCTACCGTGCCTGGCCAGCACCTGGTCTTCTTATGGGGTACATAGGAAAGATGTGAGTGATAGGGAGGGGTGGCCCAGTTTAAATTCCCTACCTGAAGTGACAAGACCTTTCTAAATTGAAAAGAGCTCAAGGAGAGAAGACCCTGAAAGGCTCGGCATGGCAAGGGAGAGTGGAGCTTAGAGGCATCCAGTTTCAGCTCCACAAAGTGATTCAAAGGGGTACTCATGGCATATACTTGAAAGGGCCCTCTACTTTGGTCAAGCAAAATATTTAATATTAAGCATTTATCAGTTGGAGAGGCTGGCCAGGTGTGGTGGCTCACACCTGTAATCCCAGCACTTTGGCAGGCCAAGATGGGCAGATCACTTCAGGTCAGGAGTTTGAGACCAGCCTGGCCAACATGGTGAAACCGTGTCTCTACTAAATGTATAAAAATTAACTGGGCATGGTCGTGGGTGCCTGTAATCCCAGCTACTCAGGAGGCTGGGGCAGGAGAATCGCTTCAACCCTGGAGGCAGAGGTTGCAGTGAGACAAGGTTGTGCCACTGCACTCCAGCCTGGGCAACAGAGTGAGACTCTAACACACACACACACTCAGAGAAATAAAATGTAAAAACAAGAAGTTTTAATGCTTCATTTAAATTGCTTCCCTTATATTATTTAAGAAATATATCTAGTGGCCTATACACTTTCCATGGTTTTCAGGCTAATAAATCAAATACCAATGCTTAATAAGATGAAATGAAATAGTAATACAATAATCAAAGCTATTTGGCACATGGTAGCCAAGAAAAGAGAGGATTTACTTATTGCTCAATTTAGCAGTGCCCTAACAGGTTTAGAGTTTAGTTTACAGCTAGTTTAAATCTCCCACTTAAATATTACTATGTCCCTTTAAGCTCTAGGTTCATACAGGCATTGTGGCTACAGCAGCTTTCCATCTGTTGAGTAAAAGAAAGCTTTAGAACCTATTTGAGATCCTTAGCCCCATCTCCAAAGAGACTGCAGTGAATTTACAATTGGATGCCAGGAGGTGGCAGCACAGAGGATTATAGGAAGGTTTGTATATAACCTTTGTGGGGAAGTCTAAGGTTTGTATATAACCTTTGTCGGGGAGGTCCACCTGCTGTCTTTACTTTGGTAGAACTTGTCCGGGAGAGTTGCAGGGTTCTGGCCTGTCGATGTATCTCTTGAGTGTTGTGGAGAAAGAAACCATATAAAGGAATGGTGAACTAAAAACACGAATTTAAAGGCATAAATTCGGTTATCTTTAACACTCAGATGGGTAGGATCTGGGCTTAAAGTTGAGGCAAGCCTCCGGTCGCCTTTCATAGCAAATGTGAATGATGCTCAGGTTTTCTCCTACTACAGTTTTTGATGCATATTTTCTCCTATTTTGCAACTTCGAGTCACCTTGCATATAGCAAGTGCTTAATAAATGCTTCTTAGAAACTCTGCTTCTGCTTCTTAGAGTTTAATTGAATTAGGAAGCACACCGATGATAGCTGGGTCTAGGCTTATGTTTAATTTTGGTTAGGTATAATATGGAGAGACTTTGGAGAACACAGAAAACTTGGAATAGTAGGGGGCTTGTCTTCCGGAGGTAGGAAGAGGTTGAATTCCAAATCTCATCTCTGGGGCTGAGAATTGAGACTGTTCTGGGCATCTGGAAAGTGTTTGTTATGGCAGGAGAATTAGCTGTGACAACAGAGTTCAATATAGGAGTATAGTTAGAGATGGAGATATAATTAAAGTGGGAATATTGTTAGACGTAGCAGTATAATTAACTATGGGAGACTAGAGATGACAACATAGTTAGCTATAAGAATCTACTTAGAGATTGCAGCATAGTTAATCATGGGAAATATGGGGGTGAGGTAGGGAAGAGCACATGGTAGGAACTGAAGGATGGGTGACTCGAGGCATAGATGAATACAGAACATTTGAGTTCCATAATTTTCTATTTTTGGCTCTGGATAGTACTCTGAGGATGAGTACTGTTATTATTATTATTTTTTGAGACAGAGTTTTGCTCTTGTCACCCAGGCTGGAACACAGTGGCACTATCTCAGCTCACTGCAACCTCCACCTCCCAAGTTCAAGTGATTCTCCTGTCTCAGCCTCCCAAGTAGTTGGGATTACAGGTGCCAGCCAGCCACCACACCCAGCTAATTTTTCTAATTTTTGTCTTTTTAGCAGAGACGGAGTTTCACCATGTTGGCCAGGCTGGCCTTGAACTCCTGACCTCAGGTGATCCACCTGCCTCAGCCTCCCAATGTGTTGGGAGTATAGGCCTGAGGCACCACAGCCGGCCAAGTACTGTTTGTTTTTCATCTTTGCATTCCACAAGAGGTTGAGCTCAGTGCCATGCTTACACAGTTGATAATAAATACTTGTTGAGTTGAATCCTTTCAGATGGTCACAGTTGGCAATGGAAGGTGATGGGGTCGGATCTGACTAAAGTATGAATACTTAACAATAATTGCAGCTAACGTTTACGCAGTGCTTCCCATTTCCCATGAAATTGTACTAAGGGCTTTCTGTGTTATTTCACCCAATCCTGACAGCAGCCACAGGGAAGCACTGTTATGCCAAAGACCATACTCTAAACAACCCTGCCAGTGGTTCATAAATTTGACGTGCCTCAGAATTCCCAAGCCTCTGGAAAAGGGGTGACTAGGGTGAGAGGGGAGTGAGGGGCCTATGGAACAACATTAAAGGAGGCACTCACATTTGGGGTTGTACAGTTGCAGGGTGGGCCCCAAAAGCGAGTGTCTCTTTATATGTTGCACTCTAAGCTCCTCATTTGTCTCATTTTAGTCCCTTCCCTTCTCATCCTAGTCCCTATAAAAGGCTTGGGAGCCTTTTAAAAATGCAGATTTAGCCGGGTACAGTGGCTCACGCCTGTAATCCCAGCACTTTGGGAGGCCGAGGCGGGTGGATAACCCCAAAATATTAGCTGGGTGTGGTTGTGCATGCCTGTGGTCCCAGCTACTCGGGAGGCTGAGATTGGAGAATTGCTTGAGCCCAGGAGGTGGAGGTTGCAATGAGCCGAGATTGCATCACTGCACTCCAACCTGGGTGACAGAGTGAGACCACATCTCAGAAAAGCCTAAAAAGCCCGACAAATACTAAAAACATGGATTCTTGGGCCCCTACTGAAGAACATCAATTCAGATGATGTCAAATAGGGTCCAAGAATCTGGAGTTTCCGTAAGCATCCCTAGGGATTCTAGTGCAGGTGTTTAGGATCATCGCTCTGTGAGAAACTCTGCTTCTGCCGACGGTCTCAGATGAGAGTCCCTTTACATTCAGTGAAATAATTTCTCTCTGTCTGTTTGGTTTGGGGGTAGATGTTGGTGAGGTCACCAGTTTTCTATCTGAATTTTTAAGGGACGCAGTGGGAGTCTGACGTTCCTCTTGCAGAGAGCTCCTGTAGTGTGTTTTGCGGGGCTTTGGCCCAACAGGACTATTCCTTGTGGGGTCCTTTCTGTCCATTCTAGATGGCGGTCCTCCTTGGATACACACACCATGCTTGAAACAGTGCATCGCTAGCTGTTATTACCAAGTGCAATGGATGTTTTCTCTGGCCCTGCCAGTATCCATTCCCCTTTTTGTGTTTCCAGTTGATTTTCCTTTGGAAATGACAACTTTCCCACTCTTAGCCCTTTCCTGTCTCCTCAGCTCCTCTTCACTTGAGCTCTGCAAGGGTGTGCATGAGACTAGAACCTGCTAGGTAGATGTATTTTCTCCCTCCGAGCACAGCAATTGGTTCCATTTGGGTCAAGGAGAGTCAAGCCTGGGCCTGTTGATCAACTGTCTGGGAAGGAGCTATCCTCTTTCTGCTAAGATCACTAACAGGAAAGACGGTGCAATTCAGGCCTAGTGGGGACCTGAGAATGCCATAACTCAGAGCTCAGAGATGAAAAGAGACCAATCTTTATTTTATCTTTGGAGGGCCTGGATCCAGTTATGTCTAAAGCTAGCATAATGTCTGAAGTTTCCAGTTACTTGAGGCAGTACATTTCTTCTTAAACTAGTTTGAGTGATGTTTTTTGTCCTTAATAATTAGAAGATGATTAATATCCAGCAGATAAAGGTCATAATAGCTATACAAAAAGGTGTTGGACACGCAACAGGGTTAGAATCCCTTCATGGAAGGGCTGAAAGAGCCAAACTTTCTTGAAGAAAAACATCTTACCGTGCTCTACTCCTCTTCCAGCCCAGCGTATGTGTTTTTTTTTCCTCCCTGGGAAAAATTATTCTCTTTTTAAAAGGGCAGAATTATTCCCGAGTATGAAGTTGCCTAGAGAGTAATCTCTACTGAATTTTGAGGAGAAGTTATAATATGTTTGTTGCTTGGAACTGAAGAATAAGCAAAGACTATGACTATTAAGGTTTTCTAGAGTATATATTTTGGGGAAGGGAGGGAACCAACAAACTGCACCCAATAAAAATAGTTTGAGGCTGGAAGCGGTGACTCAAGCCTGTAATCCCAGCACTTTGGGAGGCCTAGGCGGGCTGATCACGTGGTCAGGAGATTGAGACCATCCTGGTAACATGGTGAAACCCTGTCTCTACTAAAAATACAAAAACAATTAGCCGGGCATGGTGGCGGGCGCCTATAGTCCCAGCTACTCGGGAGGCTGAGGCAGGATAATGGTGTGAACCCTGGAGGTGGAGCTTGCAGTGAGCCGAGATTGCGTCACTGCACTCCAGCCTGGGCGACAGAGCAAGACTCTGTCTCAAAAAAAAAAAAAAAGGTTTGAAAATTTAGAAAGTCCTTTGCATTATGGGAAACGACAGAGTGATAGGACAGACAGAAACAGATAGATAGTGTCTGTTTCTCTTCAGGGAGGCAAAGCCAAGCAGAGAAACAGAAATAAAAATCTCACCTGACTAAATCAAACTTTGGTGTGTTGTACCCTGCCTAAAAGAGAGTTGTGTTTTTTCAGGATTAGCTCGCTCTCTCATCACAATTACCCTTTTCCTGCCTCTTAACCCAGTTCAGGGGACTATATGGGGTTAGTTCTGAAAGCAACAGACTCTAACACTGGTTAACTTAAGCCAAAAAAGAAAAAAAAATTAGTATTGATTGACAAGTTATGGAGTAACCCATAGAATGATGGGAGTACTAAAGAGCTAGAATAATAGATCTTGTTTCGGAAATGCAAGAGCAGGAAAGCTCTAAGCATCTAAAGCCTAGAGCAATTGTGGTTGGGTCTGCTCTTCAAGATGCTACCCTTAAAATAATTCATGCCTCAACTCCAGCTGTTTTCCAACTTTGAGTCTTTGCCGTTAAGAAGCAAATTATAGAAAGAGTGTTTGATTGGCTCATCTTGGTCACATGTCAATTTCTTGGTCACATGTCCATTTCCTGTTGAGGGTTAGGGGTGAGGGATGGAAGGTACCTTCATTGTTATAGCCAGCCTATTGAATTGGGGGCATGTTCTTCAAAGGAAAACAAAACACTGTTACCAAAAGGCAGAGTGAGGGATACTACACAGGTAGAAACAACAGACTCTATAAGGACCCTTGGCGGATTTTACTTTGGTAACATTAGTCATGCCACTCCCTAATGTGACTTCTCTGGAGAGGTGAGGCATGTTGCTTCTCTATCTTGGATCACTTGGGGTGAGTGATGATGCTTGGCTCAGAGTACTGGTTTGTTTCAGAAACCCTATTTTTTCTTTAAGGAAGACGCTACTTGTTCGTTTTTCTCTGCTGGATGTGGGCAGCTCATAAATAGACTCCTCAGAATTAAACATAACCTTCCATGCCAACACTAAATAGCTCTTTTTCTGTTTTCTTGTGTTTATTCAGCACATTTGTTAAGTGCCCACTATGTGCGTGCATTGTTCTAGATGTTGTCGTATGGCAAGGTCTGCACTGTTCTAGGCGTTGGGGATATTGCAAAGAACAAAACAAAATCCCTGCCTCCATGAATGGACCCTACATTCTAGTTCACCATTGTATTCCCAGTTCCTGACTTAATAAATTTTTGTAGAACAAATAACTGAATGATACCAGCTCATGCTATGTTGTCTAAGCACAACTTTTTGGTGGAATGTGTTCATGATGTGGCATTGGAGCTTAATTTTTTTTTTGAGGTGGAGTCTCGTTCTGTCGCCCAGACTGGAGTGCAGTGGTGCGATCTCAGCTCACTGCAACCTCTGCCTCCTGGGTTCAAGTGATTCTCCTGCCTCAGCCTCCCGAGTAGCTGGGATTACAGGCATGCACCACCACTCATGGCTAATTTTTTTTTTTTTTTTTGTATTTTTAGTAGAGATGGGGTTTCACCATGTTGGCCAGGCTGGTCTCAAACTCCTGACCTCAGGTTATTCGCCCACCTTGGCCTCTCAAAGTGCTAGGATTACAGGCATGAGCCACCGTGCCTGGGCGGAGCTTCAGTGTTTTGAATTTCTAATTTTTCCTCCCTGCCTGTGCTTTTTCCTCTAACTCCCAGAAGTCGTAAAAAAATTCTTAAAGAGAGGGGCCTCCAAATTCTACTAGTTGTTTTCAAACCAGACTGTAGAGTTTCCCCTGCTATGGGGAAATCTGAAAATAGGAGCCAGCAGGTCTGCCTTGGAAACAAGCAGCTGATGGGTCTGTGAGTCACTGATGGCAGGGGACTGCCTACTTCCCGGACATCAGGTGCCCAGAGGGCTCTTGGTAAAAGTCAGATGCTGCTGCATGTGGTTGGCGGTGTTGGCTTCAACTCAGGCAGTAGGAACCATCTAGCGCCACTCTAAAAAAGGGGAAACTTGCTGCTGCCCTGTGAATGATATCTGAAATAGGATTGTCAAAATGTGATCTCAGCTACCATATTTGAATGTGAAACTGGAGAGTTTGGTCACGTTTTTATTCCCATCAAAGTTGTAATTTATCAAGGAAATAGTGAAGGCATTAAAATTCCGGGAAGAGGAATGCTAAGAAAAACTGATCTAAAAATCCCTAAAAACCTAGTAAACAGAAGACTCACATCAGTTAATAAGAATGAGGTAGTATTAGTATACTAACAAGGATTGCTCTCCAAGACATATTATTAAATAGAAAAAGCTTGCAAATAGATGCTGCACGCCTTTTAGATAAACAAAACAAAACAAAACTCACTAACAATAACAGCACACACAATGATGCTACATCACAAGTACACATATGTGTTTATGTGTCCAGAAAAAGGTTTGTACCATATTGATAATAATGGTTACCCGGGGGGATGTGGAGGGTGGAGGTAGAAAGGGGATTAGGTTGTGGATAGTCAACAGAGGGAATCTGAGCTGTAATATTCCAATTTTTTAGAAGACTATTTCATTTAGAAGTTTTAGAACTTAAAATTAATTTTAAAAATGTTAGTAACTGTTACAGTTGGCAAACATTTGATGTGATCCTTAGCAAGGCAGGACATTAACCTCTTGATCAAGTTTGTTAAATAGATGTAGTTCTGTGGCTTTCTATAAATATCCTGTCTGAAACAAACCACATAAAAGATGCCTGTATATTGCAGAGGTACAAATGTCATATGCAAGCCAAGTAGTGCTGGAGCTGACATTTCCCCAAACGGGCCTATATTATTTGAATTTGTTTAATAATATTGAATTCTGATATTTCTTCAGGGCTTTATAAAGGTTTTAAGACTGTCTCATTTGAGTCTCACAACTGTGTTAAATAGGGTAAGACTTGTCACCTCTATTTCATAGATTAGAAAACTGAGGTTCAGAAAAATTAAGTGACATGTTTAAAAATCAAAGTTAGTAATGGGGCACAGCACTTATATTTTCCAGGAGCTGAATGCTCCAATTTCTCCATTCTCAGCAAATCCAACTCAAATAGTTACTAGTAGCTGTCAGTCCCTAGTTTTCATTTTCTTGCTAGCTGAGTTCACATTTTGGGACCCTCCTTTACCCACTTTCTATTTGAACCTAGGTGGATTATCTCAAAATCCAAAATCCAATTTCAGAATACAGTCATTTTTACCAGGGGATTTTCCAGCCAGTAGGAAGTGTGCTTTGTAAAACCACACTCAGCCTCCATCTTGGCACCAGGTGCAAGTGGTAAGCGACATGGTGTGGGCATGACAACACAGTCCTGTGCTGTCTGGTGACAGCTGGTTCTCTGTCACATCCTGTTAATGTTTCATGATGGGTCCATATCCTGTCTCCCCAGCTAAGCCAGAGGCTGCAGGGACCTTCTGTTATTTTTCTTTATCCCTTCGTAGCCTTTCAATGAATTATGTACTTGATAAGTCCCTTCAGCCTCACACTGTAGCTGGAACAGGACAAACCTATGTGTAGTAAGACACTTTTAAAAATAATACACCGCCCATGAGGATTGACACTTTCATAAGCTCTTGCTCCTCCTCCTCACCCTCCAAACCGGCTCCTCCCACACTCCTCTATCTCAGCCAGTGGAGATTCAGCCTCCAAGTTTATAAATCCAAAACTTGGGACTCACTTTTTTCTTTTCTTTTCACACCCTATTTACAATCCTTCAGCATATCCTGTTGGCTCTACCTTCAAATTCCAGCTAGAGTCCAGCCGTTCCTTACCACCTCGACTGCTACCACCCACCACCCTGGTGTAAACCACTGTCATCTGTCACCTGGACCTTTAGGATGGCCTCCATATACATCTCCCTTGACACTTAGGTTTTTCTCAAGACAGCAGCCATTGGATCCTATTACCATCTCAGTTAGACCATATCGTTCCCTCTACTCAAAAACCTCTGAAGATTTTCTCAGCTCATGTGGAGCAAAATCCAGAGTCCTTGCAATCAATGTCCTGCAACGTCCCGTGTTCCGCTATCTCCTATAACTCTTCCCTTTCCATGGCCCCCTTCTCTCTAGGGCCCCTAGAGTCCATATTCTCCCACAGGTACCCTATAGTTCATTCTCCCTCCTCTGGGGTTTTGCCCATATTCACTCCGCCTGAAATACTCTTCCTGGCGATATCATGGCTAGCTTGCTCACCTCCTTCAAGTTTTTCTTACATGTCACAGTCTCAGCGAGGCCTTCCCTGACCACCTCATTTAAAAGTGCAGGCATCACTCCCCTCCACCCAACACACACACGCACACGCACACATACACGAACACACACGCACGCGCGCGCGCACACGTACGCACGCACAGACGCACGCGCGCACACACACGCGTGCACACACACACCCCGCTCTCCCTGGCACTTCTTATTCCCTTCCCTGCCTTATTTTTCTCCATAGTACATATGGACTCCTAACATATTGAATAATACTTTGTCTGACTTCCCACTAGAACGTTTGCTCCATTAGAGTAAAGATTTGTATTTGTTTCATTCACTGCTTTATTCCCGGCTCTTAGAAAATACCCAGCACATAACAGATGAGATGCTCCATAAATATTTGTTGAATAAATCAGACTGGAAAAGACAAAACTTTAGATTGAACCTTGCATTTGGCGAGGGTATAGGGAAGTAGATACTTTCATATGTTGCTGGTCAGAGAGTAAATTCGGATTATTTCTTTGGGGAGCAATTTGGCAAGATCCATCAAAATTAAAAAGGCACCTGACCAATGACCCAGCAATTCAACTGCCAAACATTTATCCAATAGATATATATATCTTTAATTTTATTTTTTTTTTTTTGAGACGGAGTCTTGCTCTGTCACCCAGGCTGGAGTGCAGTGGCGTGATCTCGGCTCACTGCAACCTCCGCCTCTCGGGTTCGAGCAATTCTCCTGCCTCAGCCTCTTGAGTAGATGGGACTACAGGCGCCCGCCACCATGCCCGGCTAATTTTTGTATTTTTAGTAGAGACGGGGCTTCACCATGTTGGCCAGGATGGTCTCAATCTCTTGACCTCATGATCCGCCCGCGTCGGCCTCCCAACTTGCTGGGATTACAGGCTTGAGCTACCGCGCCCGGCCTATCCAATAGACATTCTTGCAGACGTGTTCAAATACTTTGGTTCAAGAATGTTCACTGCAGCATTATCTTAATAATGAAAGGCCGGAATCCACCCATATGTCCATCAATAGGGGTCTGAGTAAGTAACATGTGGGCATCCTTAAAACTGCTTAGCATGCAACTGTTAAAATGAGAGGAGGATATCCACGCGCTGACAAGGGACAGCCTCCATGATACACTGAGTCAAAAAAGCCAGGTGCAGAAATGTGTGGAGTATGCCGCTGTTTGGGTCAAAGGGATGAGGACAGGCACATATATTAACAAGTTTGTACAAGCACAAATAAATACAACTATATATAAATAGCTCTGGAAACTCACAAGTGGTTGCCTCACAAATAGGGGCTATTTAAGGACTAGGAGGTTTGAAAACAATTTTTCAAATCATTGTAAATATATTATTTAAAAAAAAACCCTACGCCGATATGCATCAATCCATGCTCTTTTGGTAACTTTTACTCTGTGTGGAGCTGACATCAAAAACATGCCCAAAACTCTGCTTTGAAGGCCTGTAGGGGTGGGGGAGGATCTTTAATTTCCTCGCGCAGTGAAGCCAATAAAAGGTACGAATAGATTCAGCCCAACCTCGTGCTCTGTGGCTCCAGGGCTTTCCCCTCCCCGCCCTCCCCCAGCCCGGCTGCCAGCCTCCGGTGCCCTGGGATTTTGAGGACTGGCTGGAGTCCCTGCTTCACCCTTAGAGGGCGGTAGCGGGGCGTCTCGTGGACGCATGCGCCCCAAATTGCGCTCGGGGAATTAAAAGAGGGGAAAAAAAGCCCGAAGAAAACTCACGCCCCAAACAAAACGCAAGGAGAGGAGGGCGCGCGGCCTGCAGCCCTCGCCCGCGTCCCCGGCCGCGGCGTGATGCGCGCGGACCAGCCCGCGACGCCCGGGCTGCCGCTGTCCCCGCACCTGGACGCTGGCGCGGTGGCCGCGCCCCAGCCTCGATCGCTCGCCGCGGCGACTCGGCCCCAGGCTTCCGGCGCCGGTGGGGGCCCTCGCTCTCCATGGGGCTGAGGGACTGGCTGAGAACCGTGTGCTGCTGCTGCGGGTGCGAGTGCTTGGAGGAGCGCGCCCTGCCTGAGAAGGAGCCCCTCGTCAGGTGGGTGCGCCGCCCGGGCCGGGATCTGGGCTTACCTGGGCCGTAGCCGGGCGCCGAGAGTGTGGACACCTGTGTGCTTGTGTGAGTTGGGGAGGTGGGCTTGCTGGAAGGGCACGCGGAGGCGCCATCTCAGCCCCTTGGTTCCTTATGGGATGTTTTGGGTTTGTTCCTTGAGTAAGATTTTTGCCGAAAAGCACAAATCTTCGGAGACACCTGAGACCCAGCTGGATGTCTGTGCAAAGTGCCAAGAATTCGGGTGTCCTACCTGGGCAGGGAAGTAAGGGAGAGAAGTTGATCAGAAGTTTCCATAGGGGTCTGATAAAATACAACTGTGACTGGGTATTTGATCGGTATATTACAGTGAAACGGGCGACTGTGGATTTCTGTGCCACTCAGCAAAAAAGTTGTCTATTTCTCATTCAATTTTATTACCCAACGAAGACGATTCCAGTGACTGAGTATAAGGAAATATTTTTCACATGAAAAAAATGCATGTTTCATCAAGGGGCAGCCTATTCACTAGGATGTTGATTCATTACAGGTTAAGCTATGAAGTGTGAGGAAATGTAATGCTCATTAGCAATAAGCTAAGAGGCTTTGTGAAGAGACCATACCAGCCCAGTTTTGTTCAGGGCTGTGATTTTAAGCAATCATTTTCTATCTTGAGTTTGCTGAAATCGAGGCTGGACTAGGTCATGCCTCAGGGGTAGACATGACAGAAACAGAATATTTAAAATGGAATTAGGAAACAGTATTTCAGGTGGAATTCCAGGGTTGAGTAAGCAAATACTAAAGCCAGGGTTTCTTTCTTTTGAAGTATGAAACTCACGTAATACAGCTTGCACAACTTTTTCTAAGGAATGATTTACCTTTTCTTACTCTATCAAGTCCAAACACCCCCTTGACTTTGGAGATCTTACATAACCCCTTCCTGCCTGTCCACTCTGATTTTCCAGTACATTAAACAGTGTACACTCCTTGCGGCCGTGGGAATAATCCACTCATTGGCTCCAACCCTCCCTCAAGTGGTGACCTTTATCCTTGCTCCTCCTTCCCAAAAGCTATTTTCAAGGCCTTCTCAAGCAATCTTCTTTGATTACTTTGCCCTTATCCATCTTCCTCTTCTAGGATGTAGTACTTAGAAATTACCATCTACTCCTCGCTGTTTGGTAAGCACACATGTATATAAACATGTAACTCATGTATATTATATATATAAAGTCATACACACAATATACAGTGATTTTGATTGCTCTTGTCAATGACACTCCCACTTAGATTTTTAGATTATTGTGTGTAGGGAGAAATGGAATAATCTATCTCTAATCTAATAGGTAGTGGGTAACTGCAATCTAGAATTTTATGCTTAGGTTATACACTGAACTTGTCAGGGCTCTTAGTAACATGAAATACAGACTTGAGCTTAGTTTCAACCTCAGAGGCTTGAGTATTTCCAGTTTTCTGTCCAGGATTGCTGTTTCAGTTAATAGTTCTGGTTGTTTTAAAATCTTAGATGCTCTCCTGTCTTAGCTTCTATCCAGTGAATACAAGTCAGTGAATTTTGCATGTGATTTTAAGAAGCCCCAGGGTCAATTGGAGCGGAGTAGCATAGGGCTTGTGAATCAGGTTGCCTGGAATGAGTCTGCTCACCCAACTAGGTAACCTGGCACAAGTTATTAAAATTATTTGTGCCTCAATTTCATCATCTGTAAAATGGGGATGATAATAGTACATACTTCAAAGGTTTGCCACGAGAGATGAAAGGAGATAATACATATAAAGTGCTTAGTATAGAGTGTGACACATAGTTAACACTCAATAAATTGTAGTTATTAATTATCATTGTTATTCTGAGCATGTGGGTATGAGTGGACTGGTCTCATGTGGTTTGGTGTCATTCTGGCACCATTTCCATATAACAATATTTGGGAAGAACAGCTTATTAATGGATACGTGGAACAGTGGCGTGTGTGTATATGGGTACCTGCAGGTTCTTTCCTATACAAGGCATCTGAAGATTGGTTCTGAAAACTTTTTTTTAGTTGATTTAAAAATTTTTTAAAGTATGCAATTCAGTAGTTTTTAGTACATTCACAAAGTTAAGCAACAATCACCACTATTTTTTTTTTTTTTTTTTGAGACGGAGTCTTGCTCTGTTGCCCAGGCTGGAGTGCAGTGGCATGATCTCGGCTCACTGCAAGCTCCGCCTCCCAGGCTGACACCATTCTCCTGCCTCAGCCTCCCGAGTAGCTGGGACTACAGGTGCCGGCCACTGCGCCCGGCTAATTTTTTGTATTTTTAGTAGAGACGGGGTTTCACCGTGTTATCCAGGATGGTCTCTATCTCCTGACCTCGTGATCTGCCTGCCTCGGTCTCCCCAAAGTGCTGGGATTACAGGCGTGAGCCACTGCGCCTGGCCGATCATTGATCATTTGTCTGTAAAATAGTGAGTGACTTTTGGTTCAAAATTTCATCTTATTAATTAAAAGAAATACTTGGAGTATGTAATCACTGGTTTTCTGTGGTTGCCACCACCACTTCCCATAAACGTAGTGGCTTTTAAAACAAGAGAAATCTGCCGGGCACGGTGGCTCACGCCTGTAATCCCAGCACTTTGGGAGGCCGAGGCGGCCGGATCACAAGGTCAGGAGATCAAGACCATCCTGGCTAACACGGTGAAACCCCGTCTCTACTAAAAATACAAAAAATTAGCCGGGTGTAGTGGCGGGCGCCTGTAGTCCCAGCTACTCGGGAGGTTGAGGCAGGAGAATGGCGTGAACCCGGGAGGCGGAGCTTGCAGTGAATGGAGATCGCGCCACTGCACTCCAGCCTGGGCGACAGAGCGAGACTCCGTCTCAAAAAAAAAAAAAAAAAAAAAGAGAAATCTTTTCTTTCACAGTTCTAGAAGCCAAAAGTCTGAAATCAAGGTTTCCGCAGGGCCACAGTCCTTCCAAAGGGTGTAGGGGAGAATCATTTTTCACTGATTCCAGCTTCTGGTTGCTCCCAATGTTCCTTGACTTGTGGCCACACAGCTTCAGTCTTTGCCTCCCTTCATCTTTGATGTGTCTCTCCTCTGTGTCTCAAATCTCCCTTTCTTTTCTCTTATGAGGACACCAGTGATTGGATTTAGGGTCTGTCCTAAAACCTAGGATGATTTCATCTCAAGATCCTTGACTTAATTACATCTGCAAAGACCTTGTTTTCAAATAAGGTCATAATTATAGTGACTGGGGATTAGGACTTGGACATATCTTTTGGGGGGAAACTATTCAGCCCATTACAGAGTACTTTTGAAAGATGTGTGAGCCCAAAGCATTGGTAATTATTTCACTTTTGCAGCATGGCTTTCTTCCATCAGTGATAAGAGCATGCTCTTGCCATATAAAAATCTACCTGAGGCCAGGTGCAGTGGGTCACACCTGTAATCCCAGCACTTTGGGAGGCCGAGGCAGGCGAATCACCTGAGGTCAGGAGTTCGAGACCAGGCTGGCCAACATGGTGAACCCTGTCTCTATTAAAAATAAAAAAAATTAGCCGGGTGTGGTGGCGGGCACCTGTAATCCCAACTACTTGGGAGGCTGAGGCAGGAGAATCGCTTGAACATGTGATTCTCCTGAGCATGTTTGTGTTCCTGGAGGCACAGCTGCAGTCACCTTTAAGGAGAAAGACGCTCAGGTCTTTTGGCACCATGGAGCCTACTGCCATGTAGGATCTAATACAGACATCAGAGGCCTGGGAGATGCTGAATCAGAACACAGAGAAGCTGGCTGTGGTGTAAATGTCATGCACCGAAGGATCTTTCACAAGGGTTGCTTTGAACTTTTTCAGTGCTGGGATTACAGGTGTGAGCCACTGCACCCAACCCCCACTTAGCAGCATTTTTTTTTTTGCATTTTTGTACTTTAGCTGGCAATTTCACTGTTTAGAATATCTCCCAAAGTGTAGTGCTGAAGTGCTAACATACATGTTGGATAAGCTTCACTCCAACCTGAGATATAGGGTGTTGGCCATGAGTTCAATGTTGATAGAGCAACAATATATATTAAATAAGGTGTCTTTAGGCAGAAACACATAAAACAAAGTTATGTATTGATTGGTTGACAGGGATCTAATCCTGCCATCGGCTCACAGGAACCTAACTCTGTATTTCCCCTAGGAACAATGGTTCAGTATTCACTAATTCAGTGTTCAAGCGACTTTACAGAACCTAACTACCACAGACAACAAGAATCAGCTGTGCTTCATAGGGCTATGGTGGGGATTTCATTAACAGATATAGCAGAAATGGTTTAGTTTGAGTCACGCCGCTTGGGGCAGAGACTGAGTTGAAGAGGAAAGTGTCTCTGACAAGGAAGTTCATCTTCCCTGCCCTCATGCTCCTGATCCTGTACAGATTGGGCTTAGTGCTTGTGACAGACTAGGCACTGTTGTAAATGCTTTGTATCTGTGGGCCATTCAGGAAAATTCAATTTGTTTTGAATTTGGCCCACACCCGAAGGTCCTGATCAATTCCTTTTTAGAATGGTCCTTTGTGTGGGCACAAAACAGTCATCTAGAGCAAACTGAGATTTTATTTTACTTTCCCTCCCAGGAATTCAGGCACTGTAGAAAAATAAAACAGTGACGTCTGTCCATTCATTGCCTGCAGAGGGCATCAAGTTTGTTATCATGAATGGAAGCTGCAGGTGGGCATCCAGATGAACAAGGAGCAAAACAGATTTGGAAGCTCATTATATGGTCCACTTGGGTGGCTTAAGAGAGAGCCACACATAAAATCATAGCTATTGTTGTTCATTCTTTCCATTTCTTCTTTTGCTGTTGAAAAATCAGACAGATGTAACGATGTTTGATTATCAGTTATTAACAGCTAATAGAAATTAGAGAGTAACAATTGTTACAAATTGAATTTTCCTGAATGGCCCACAGATACAAAGCATTTACAACAGTGCCTAGTCTGTCACAAGCACTAAGCCCAATCTGTACAGGATCAGGAGCATGAGGGCAGGGAAGATGAACTTCCTTGTCAGAGACACTTTCCTCTTCAACTCAGTCTCTGCCCCAAGCGGCGTGACTCAAACTAAACCATTTCTTCTATATCTGTTAATGAAATCCCCACCATAGCCCTATGAAGCACAGCTGATTCTTGTTGTCTGTGGTAGTTAGGTTCTGTAAAGTCGCTTGAACACTGAATTAGTGAATACTGAACCATTGTTCCTAGGGGAAATACAGAGTTAGGTTCCTGTGAGCCGATGGCAGGATTAGATCCCTGTCAACCAATCAATGCATAACTTTTTTTATGTGTTTCTGCCTAAAGACACCTTATTTAATATATATTGTTGCTCTATCAACATTGAACTCATGGCCAACACCCTATATCTCAGGTTGGAGTGAAGCTTATCCAACATGTATGTTAGCACTTCAGCACTACACTTTGGGAGATATTCTAAACAGTGAAATTGCCAGCTAAAAGTACAAAAATGCAAAAAAAAAGCCGCTAAGTGGGGGTTGGGTGCAGTGGCTCACACCTGTAATCCCAGCACTTCGGAAGACCAAGACAGGTGGATCACTTGAGGTCAGCAGTATGAGACCAGCCTGGCCAACGTGGTGAAACCCCATCTCTACTAAAAATACAAAAATTAGCTGGGCGTGGTGGCACATGCCTGTAATCCCAGCTACTCTGGAGGCTGAGACAGGAGAATCACTCGAATCTGGGAGGCGGAGGTTGCAGTGAGCCAAGATTGAGATACTGCACTCCAGCCTGGGTGACAGAGCGAGACTCCATCTCAAAATAAATAAATAAATAAATAAATAAATAAATAAATAAATAAAATGTTGCTAAGTGATCACAAAAAGGACGCTTGTTTCCAATCTGAGAGCTGAACCAAGAAGCCTGAGTGTTGCCTTTTGACCTCGGCTGGGGCTGTGCGTCTCAGGCAACTCTAAATTTTTTGTCACTCTAGGCATGTTCATGAATGTCCTTGGAAACATCACTAGTATTGATTTTGGGGTTACAGGTAAATTTTGACGAGTGGGCGAATTTGCAAATGCAGAATCTCCAAATAATGAAGATTGGCTGTAATTATGTCCACCATCCCCAGTTGGCCATTGAGGAGACTGAGACACAGAGAACTTCAGTAACTTGCTTAGAGGCACACGTGGTCGAACTGGGATTCATATGCTAGTAGATTTCAATGCCATAGAAAGAGCAGAGCCCTTCTGGTGTGCAGAGAGGTATGGAACTAGCTGCTTACGTGGTGTGTGTTAGAAGTTGTGTTTGGAGTTTGAATCTTTCCCTGAATTGTTATAGCCCAGGGTCCAGAAACACTGGGTCTTTTCCTGCATTGAAGCTAGGGAAACCAGGTGCCAGTGGGAAAGAAGGGTGGGGGTAAGGGAGGGCTCACAACATGTAAAAGGGAATCACCACCAACTCTAGAAGTATAATAATCTTTTACATTTGTAGGGTTTTTCATTTTACGGTGTGGACTCACATGACCTTGGAGCTGACCAAATCATCTTCTCCCCATTGGAAGGGCTTTTAGAAAGTTGACGAGTACGTTTATGTCAGTGAGATTTCTCAGACCGGGGCCCAGATGGCCTGACTTTTTTCCCAGCACATACTATTGGGTTTTCCGGAGCCAGGTCTCTGAGCAGATTGGGCAGATTGGCACACCTCATCTGTGGCTTCCTGCAGAAACCTGCAGTTTGCAAAGCCGGTAGCTCCGGGGCCGGACAATGATTCACAGGAAGTGCCTGCAGGGGCACAAAGGGTTTTTACTGAAGGAAAGTGCCCTGGCTGGAAGATTCCCATTGCAAGGCTGGTGCTTTTGCCTTCTTGAAAGACAGGGGAGTGATAGGGGAGGGCCAGAGGTGCATGAGTGCTGTCCCAGGGACTGGGCTTTAGGCCCAACGCGTAGGAGGGAAGCTCTTTATAAGAAGTCAGCTGTCCAAAATTCACAAGGATGACTTTTAAAGGTTTTCTTCCCCGGCAAGCCACAGCGTCCCTCTTCTCTTTTTGTGACTTGCATTAGTCATAGTGCCATTGGAAGTTCCCGAGAAGATGAAATTTCTTTCTCCTACACATCATGTGAGAGTTTCTTGCAACTTTTTATTCTCTAGACTCTTGAAGTGATTTTATCACTACACCACCTATGTTTAAAAAGTATAAACTCTGCTTAAATGCTGGGTAAAATAGTTTATTCTGTTAGCACCTGAAGTCATTTTAGTCTGGTTAATAAATCTTTGTTTTGTGACAGTTATATACCATGCACTCTATTCTTTTGTGCCCTTTTAGGAAATAATTTTGGTGACATAGTGTGCAACAAAAGAACCCCTGAACTGTTTGACACTGTCCTGAATTGGCTCTTACTTAGCTTTTTTTTTTTTTTTTTTTACAAAAATCTTTTAAAAACTTGTGTTCCAATGTGTGATATTACAGACAAAAAACATACACAAATATGTTCAGTATAAAGAATAACTATAGGCTGGGCATGGTTGGCTCACACCTGTAATCCCAACACTTTGGGAGGCCGAGGCAGGTGCATCACTTGAGGTCAGGGGTTTGAGACCAGCCTGGCCAACATGGTGAAACCCTGTGTCTACTCAAACTACAAAAAAATTAGCTTGGTGTGGTGGCGGCACTTATAATCCCAGCTACTCTGGAGGCTGAGGAAGAAGAATCACTTGAAGCTGGGAAGCAGAGGCTGCAGTGAGCCAAGACTGTGCCACTGCACTCCAGCCTGGGTGACAGAGCTAGAACCTGTCTCAAAAAAAAAAAAAAAAAAAAAAAAAGAATAACTAGAAAGTGAATACTCGTGTAACCACCTCCATGGCAAGAGATAGCTATTGCCAGCCCCTTATCTCCTCCTTGATCATGTCTAGACTTCTAGCTTTCCCACCTATGTGTGCACCTTAAAGATGTACTTTTGTTTTGCCTGCCTTTAAACTTTGCATAAATGGGATCAAACTGTGTGTTCTCATAGAACTCACTTTGTTGGTGGAGCTTTGTGAGATTCCTCCGTGTTGTTGTATGTAGCCTTGTTCATGGTCCTTATTGCTTTAGACTGTATTCCATTTTGTTCCCCTATTCTACTCTTGGTGGACTTTTGGGTGGTTTCCAGTTTTGGGCTATTAAGTATGGTTTAAAGTCAGCATATAAGGTGAAATTAATTATTCATCTCTCAGTCATACTGGCTTCCCCTGGTTCCTCAAATATACCACCCACACCCCTGCCTCAGCGCCTCTGCACTTTCTGCCTGCCCTGCCTTGAAGACTCTTTCTCTAGTTTTCTGTGTGGATAACTCCTTCACTTTATTTAGATCTCTTCTCAAAGTCATTTTATCAGAACATTCTACCCTGACCACTCTCTTAAAACAGTGCCCCACCCTTCACTGTGTCCCTTACTCACTATGTATTTCTTTACAGTTCTGAATGTCACATGGCGTAAACATATGTGCTTATCATCTGCTTCCTCCCACAAGACTGTAAGGCCAATTTTCATAAATTTAAACAGCTAAAAAAAATGTTAGGAGCTTGTCTGTGAGCTTGAAGACACAGAGTCATACTCATCTCTACAGTTTAGAGCCCTGTGAACTTGGGAAACAAGAGTGCATTGGTTCAGCAAATATTTATTGAGCATTTACTATGTGCCAGGCACAGGTTTTTTTTTTTTGTTTGTTTTTTTGTTTTTTTTGAGGCAGAGTCTAACTCTGTCGTTTAGGCTGGAGTGCATTGGCATTATCTCTGCTCACTGCAACCTCCGCCTCCCGGGTTCAAGTGATTCTCCTGTTAGGCACTGTTTTAAGTACTTGAGATACATCACTGAGCAAAGTAGATACAGATCCCTGTCCTCGTGGCTTTTGTTCTAGTGGTGGTGGCGGTAGTGTTGGGGAGCCCAATAAACAGGAAACATAATAAGTAAACTAGGAGATAAATAAGTGTGTAGGAAACAAAAGTAGAGCAAGGGAGGGAGCATGTTTGCAATTTTAAATAGGTTGGTCAGGGCAGGCCTTGTTGAGGAGGTGGTGTTTAAACAAAGACTTGAAGGAGAGGGAGGAGTGAGGACGTGGCTGTCAGGAGAAAAACATTCTAGGTAGATGGAGATCAGCCAGTGCAAGGGCCCTGAGGTCAAAGTGTGACTTGACTAATGGGTTCAGGGAACTGAAGAGGGCAGGGTGGTGGACTGTCACTGCAGGCCTGGGGACCACTGCAGGACTTTGGCTTATCCTCTAGGCCAAATGGGTTAGCCACTGGCAGGTTTTGAGCTGAGGGATGACATGATCTGATTTACATATTAAAAGGATCACTTTGGCTGTTGTGTTAAGAATAGAAAGAAATAACTGGGTAAAAGAGACAACAGTAGAAATTCTTATGCAAAACATAAAAAGCCTTGGCTCAGGGTGTAGTGGTAGAGGTGGATATTTTTTGAATGTGGACCAATAGGATTTTCTGATGGATAGATATAGGGGATGAGGGAGTGGGGGATGCCGTCAAGGGTCTTGGCCTGAGCAATGGGAAGGATGGAGTTGCCATCATCTGAGTGGGGAGCCTGTGGATGGGTTTAGCGGGAAGATCAGGTGCTTGGTCGGGACCACACTGAGCTTGTGTTGTCTGTGAGACATCCCAGCGGAGATGGGAAATTTGAAATTTGGGAGAGAGTACTGAGCTGGGGATTCCGATTCGGGAATCTTCCTCATGTAGATGATGTTTAAAGGCATGGCACTAGATGAAGTGACCAGGTGTGAATGAAAGCAGAGGAGACACCAAGGACTGGGTCTTCCTCCTGAGCCCTCGTGTTTCCTTAGCTGGATGACACAACAGTGCTGGCTTCACAGGGTGCCTGTCAGGACCGTCTTCGAGCCTTGAAAGCAGGGCACAGATGTGTGAAGCAGCATCATATGGGGCTCTGCCTCAGCGTGAGAATAGAAAGCCCAAATGGTAGGAGCACATCAGAGTGGGATGCCAGGAAAGGGGTGCCCAGGGCTTTTCTTCCTTCACACTGAGGCAGGTCACATCTCTGGGGCTGAAGGAGGTCATGAGTGTAGGTGGCGAGTGCTGAGGAAAGCGCTGGAACTAATGGAACAATCGCCCCCCGACACCCCAGCTTGGGCAACACAGCAAGACTCTGTTTCAAAAAATAAAAAATAAATTAAAAACATAAGAAATAAACTTGGGGATAAGACATGTTTAAACACTGGATCGACTAGGTAAGAGAAAACCAGTATCAGAAAGAACAAAGGAAGGAGAGACAGAAAGAGAGAAAAGAGAGAGAGAAGGAAAGAGAGAATGAGAGAGAAGGAAAAAGGAGAGAGGAGGAGAGGGAGAGAAAGAGAGAAGAGAGACAGAAAGAGAAGGACAGGGAGAGAGAAAAACAAAGAAAGGGGAGGAAGAGAGAGGGGGAAGAAAGAAAAAAGAAAGAAAAGAGGAGAGGGAGAAAGGAGGGACTGAAGGAAAGACAAAGAAGGAGAATGGGGAGGGAAGCAAGGCGAGGATGGAGAGGGAGAAGATCTTAGGTTCACCTGCTCCATCCCAGGGAGGTCTCAATAGAGGGAAGAAGGGAAAGGTCTTGAAGCCAGGGGGGTAGCAGGCCAGCGACTTCCTAGCAGGAAATCAAACCAAAAGTCTGTGAGTGTCAAGGGTGTGGACCTGGCAGCCTGTTTTTCTGGACCGTTGGTTGCTGTTGACTGGAGATTTTCTTTCTTTGCTGTTTTCAGAGTTTCAGTCTTAAGCTAGTGGCCACTGCCACATGGCCTGTGGGGAGAGCAGTAAAGTCACTGGAACTGCCGGTGTCAGAGGCCAGCCTGTGTGCACTGTATTTCGTGGAGCCTTCCAAGGTCTTTTACATGCAGCCCTTGTTAGTAGTGAGGAATCCTGAGGAACTCTCGGTAAATAGCTTCAATGCTGACTAGCACTTTGCAGCCATATCCCCAGGCAGAAGTTAGTACTTACAAACATTTGTCTCTTTTTTATATCATGTTGAAAGAAAAGACTCTGGATTGATTGGGTCTTGAGCCCCTGGGTGGGATTAAGGGTGAAATCTTACCCTACCTTTTGAGAGTAAAAGCAGCTTAGTGTGTAATATCAGAGCCACCTCTCAAATGCCTGATGTTAATAAAATATTTATCATCAGCAGGTGGTGGCCAGGGGAAACACAACCACTCTCACTTTCTTTAGAGCCTTTTAGAACTCATGATATGGGGGAGGGAGAGAAAGGGAACCTTCTGACTTATGGTCTGTTTCCCGCCATCTGTCCTCCCAGGGGTTTTCAGGCCCAGACCCCCAGGCCTTTGCACTAAATTCTGTTGACACAGGCCCCAGAGCCCTTCGTGGTCTGGGATACATAGAGGTTCCAAAGGTGCTTCTCTTTAGGCCATTTGCTGTAGGCTTCTCTCTGTTCTAGTTTCTCTGTCCAAAGGGTTAAAAGTTTTAAAACAATGTGGCTTGATACCTTGACCTGGTGGCTGTGCAGGAGTGAAAGGGGCAGGCCCAGAGAACGGGACCCAGGATCTGGTGAGCCAGGCCAACTCTCACAGATGCTTCTGATGCTGCTGAATGAGCTCACAGCCCCTGCGCATTTTCACTAATATTTTGAAAAAAGTTCTTTGTTTATTTATTTAACAGTGGCACCCCACCTTTCCTATGCCCCAAAGAAAGCTTGCAATTACTGAATAAGAACAAAGCAGGAGCCAGGTCTGGGTCTGGAGAGGCAGAGGGGCAGAGTGGAGGAGGCTGCTTCGTAGCCACGAGCAGGTCAGATCCTGCTGGGGAGGGCCCAGGAGCTCGCAGAGAATACCACTGCTGGGAGGCATTGCCGGTCCAGGGGCACAGCGGTTGGTTCTCTTTCCTGATTTACATCATCCCCTGAATATCAGTGGCTAGGCAGAGTTGGAGGCTTGTTAGGGGAATACTGCTTCTAATTAGGGCAGGGCTAGATATGGTGAGAACCCAGGAGGCACTCACCTTCTGGAGACATGGGCACTTCTAAACAGGCTGGGGTTGACCTTCCTATAGAGCTTTACTTGGGCTTGTGGATTAAGGACGAGAGGCTGGTGTTTTATGCTGGCTGAAGTCATGCATGTATGTGTGTGGATGGATGTGATAAGCGAGAAAAAGAGAGGAAAGACAGAGATGCAGAGACAGCTAGAGAGAGGAGAGGAGAAATAAAGAGGAAAAGAAGTGATAGTGAGAGAGAGCAAGAGACAGGAAAGAGAGACAGAGACAGCTAGAGAGAGGAGGGACAGAGAGACAGAGAGAGAGGTTGTGAGAGGGTTGGGAATTGGCCAGGGAGGCAGCTGAGATCGTCATTTTAAAATAGGAAAATAAATTGTGGCTTAGTAAAGTAAAAGGTGGCTAGATTATTCATGGTCTAACGTTATTTTTACTGATTTTTCAGGTACATACTGGCTCCTTTCTAAAGCTCCTGCTTTAGGGAAATTTTTAAAAGGCGGTAACCATGAGTTATGTCTGGGATTTCCTTCAGCAGATTGGGATCACAGCACAGTTTGTTGCGTTCAACAAGTACTTTTAAGGCAACTGCTGTGTCCTAGGACCCTGCTAGGTGATGTGGGGAAGAAATGTAGAAATGTAGAAGAAATACTGGATACAACCCCTGCCCTAGAGGAACTGACCCACCTGTTGAGGAGACAAGACATAGAAATGAAACACATCTGGGGGAAGATGGAAGACCAATGCCAGGAAAAGTACCAGGGTTTCATTGCTCCAGAGGTGCAGTTATTGTGATGTTGGAAGCCATGGTTGCAGCTCTTGGTGGAAGCTCTGTGCCAGGTCTGGGTGACTCAAGGAGAGTGCATCCTGGGGACAAGCCACAGGGGAACCTGCTGGTTTGTACAGGGAGCATCCACACAGGTAGTTATTATCTGAGCTACTTCACTGTGAGTGCATCCCTGTCACAGCATTTGGATGTTGAGTTATATAACAGTGGCTCCTCCGAGATCCCCACCCAGGAACTCATGTTGGGGGGACTGTCAGCTGGCTGTCTGGCCCAGAAGAAGTCAAGCACTGCAGTATTCTTGTCCCTATCTGCAAAGTAGGCCAATGCCACCCATCCTTCTTACCTTAGATGCTTGTGTAACGTGAGGGGTGGAATGCAGGAGCCCTTGGCTCAAGCCCTGAATATATTATGCAGTGGTTGCATATCATTGGCTGCAGAAAGAAATTGGAGTCAGCATCTTTCATGTTATCGACACTTCTCCGGTGTCCACCTGCTGTTTGTCCTGCCTGATCTCTCTTTCTTGACTCACCTATTCTCTTCCTTCTCCAAATCCCGTAAGACCATTCTTCTGATTCTCTGACCTGCTTCTGTGATGCCATGAAATGCTGCGTATTGCTCCCACATCTAGATCTCTACCCTGTCCTTGCTCCTAAACCCAGATCCCTGACATCTCCCTGAACATCCTGCAGGCTCATCATGTCAGCCGTGGCTTCTGCCCCATGTGTTACAGTTGAAGGCGTCACCTTCGCTGGTACCTCTGTGCCTCCCACCATGGGCTGCTGTCACCCGCTCTCTGATGCTGCTGGAATCGGTCCTCATTTCCACTCTCACTGCTATTTCCCTCGCTCTCAACCTCGCTTACTTTTATCTCAATCATAATTTCAGAATGTTCAAAATTATGTATTTGTTTAGCAGTAGAACCCCATTTTTCCTGTACCTCAAACAATCTTCCTTCTAGCTCTAACAAAGACTATTTGAATGGAGAAGCTGCTCTGGTTGTGGTTGGTTCATGGGCTTCTTTCTATCTCTTCCAGAGAAGCCCTGCCCATCTCTTTCTCTACTTCTGCCCCACTGTGGTCCCAAGGCCCCCTGACACCAGGACCTCAAAGAGCATGGCTTGAAAATTACACCTACTCCCGTGTGACAGTTGATTGTGACACCCTCCTAAGCCATCTTCTTGTTCTTCCTTCACCCAGAGTTATTTCTCTAAAATCCAGACCTGACAGGGCTCAAAATCCTGTTGATAATGTTGCAGTTCACAGAATGAAGCTTGGACACCAGCACTACTTTTAGTCTGACCCCACGTTACCTTTTCTTCTTCATGTCTCTCCATTTTCCTTGCTCCGCACACCACGTGCTGCAGTCATGCAGGAATACTTCGATTCCCCAACCCCGTGGGCTCCTGAAGCCTCCATATACTGCTTTGGCTTGAGCTGATCCTTCTACAAGGAATAACTCTGCCCTTGTTTCTCTTCCTGGTGGAAGCCTGTTCAGTCCTCAGGTCTGGTTAGTTCTTGAACTTCCTTCTCATCATACATAACGTATCACTTCTTCCTGTTTGTTCCTACAACAATCTGTGTAGACTTTTTTTAAAAAAATGTACTGATCTCATTGCATTATAGTTATGTTAAGGGCAGAGACAATGTCCTATTTATCTTCATGTCCCCATGGCACCCAGCCCGGTACTCAGTATACAGCAGGCATTTATTCCACATTTGTTGAATAAACAAACAATGGAATGAATGAAATGAATGAATTTGACATGCTCATAAAAGTTCACATGGGCAGGGCCCAAAGGCATCATTTTCCTCCTCTTTCACTGGTTCATCATTCTTAGGAAGAGTCAGGCTGTGGGGCTGCCTGTGTTCTAGCTTTTGTGGTATTAATCAGTAAAAACAGCGTGGTTCTGAGCATAGTGTGCCTGAGCTGTGTCTGATTTCCCATCATCTGCACCTTTCCCCATAGGGCCAGGTACTTTGTTCAGTCCCAGACCCTAAACTTCTGACCTGCAGCCACAAGGATTTCAGGAGCACTGTTCAATATTCAGTCTCTAAACCCCATGCTGATTCAGGTAGCTGGTCTCCTGCTAGCCTTGGTTCCAAGATTCTGTCCCACCTTTTGCCCTAGTTTTTGTAAGTGGGCCCTGGTTGTTGTCCCAATTATTATTATTATTATTATTATTATTTTTTTTTTTTTTTGTGAGATGGAGTTTTGCTCTTGTCGCCCAGACTGGAGTACAATGGCGCGATCTCAGCTCACTGCAACCTCTGCCTCCCCGGTTCAAGCGATTTTCCTGCCTCAGCCTCCCGAGTAGCTGGGATTACAGGCATGTATCACCACACCTGGCTAATTTTTGTATTTTTAGTAGAGATGGGGTTTTGCCATGTTGGCCATGCTGGTCTTGAACTCCTGACTTCAGGTGATCCACCTGCCTCAGCCTCCCAAAGTGTTGGGATCACAGGCGTGAGCCACCGTGCCCGGCCCTGTCTTCCAAAATTTGAGGCGGTGATTGGCAGTCTGACCTGTACCTCATCACTCTAGGGCTGGAGCCCCTCCCTAGCTGGGTGGGTTCCTGCTGCTGAACCCCAATCTGGGGACTGGCACTCTGCTTCCTGTTGCAAAATTTCCTTAGTGCCAACTTCTGAGCATCCCATATTGACATCTTAACATTTCCTGTTTCCTTCCACCCCAGGCCTTTGAAGATGCTGTTTCCTCTGCCTGCAACTCTGTTCTTGTTTTTCCACTTAAAGCTCCAGCACCTCTTCTTCATGACACCTACCTGACGCCTGCCTTCATAAGGATTTTCTCTTAGCAGCTTGCATATGTTCTCATGGCCTCCTGAGCTCCCACTTAATGGCACTTATCACAATTTTTATTTTATAGTCATGTGATCATTCATTAATGTGTTTCCCATGCTAGACTCTAGTGAGGTCCAAGGACAGGGATGATGTCTGTTTTGCTCACAATTTTATTGAGCCCTGTGATTAGCATGTAGTCAGTGCTTTATACATATTACTAGATGAAGTGAATAGCTTCTGTATGACCCTACCAGTCCTTCCCACAGAAGTCAACTGGGGGTTACAGAAGTTAACTGGGGCTGTGTGCAGGCATGCCCCAGATGTGATGCTCTGTCACTAATCTTCTCTGTAAGTCCACACCCAGGTACCACCTTATAAGGCATAAATCATAAAACAAATGTACAGAATGGGACTACTGAAATTCTCACTCAACATTCTGCCTTGTTTATTGAAAGTCTTTGGGTACGCATGTTTATTACTTAATTTTCCTGGCATAAGGAATTTGATAGCTATTATATATCATTGTACTCCAAGTTTACTATGCTTCCTTGAACTCAGAGCCAGTCAAACATTCATCCCTTCATGTTAATTGTTTTCTTCTTTTAATCACACAAGAATTCTATTCCTGGCTGGGCGCGGTGGCTCACACCTATAATCCCAGCACTTCGGGAGGCCAAGGTGGACAGATCACTTGAGGCCAAGAGTTCAAGACCAGCCTGACCAACATGGCAAAACCCTGTCTTTATGAAAAATAAAAGAATTATCCGGGCGTGGTGGCAGGCGCCTGTAATCCCAGGTACTCGGTAGGCTGAGGCAGGAGAATCACTTGAACCTGAGAGGTGGAGGCTGTAGTGAGCTGAGGTCGTGCCACTGCACTCCAGCCTGGGTGATGCTGGGTGATGAAGCGAGACTCTGTCTCAAAAAAAAAAAGAATTGAATTTCCTTTGTTGTCTTAGCTTCTGGGGTACTCAGTGCTGAATTTCATATTTAACTGTAGTAATTACCTCTGCTCAGGTACGTCTGTTCTCTGTTCTTTTTAAAGTGATTTATTTATATTTTTGGTTTGTTTTTACTGCTCTGTTGTGTTATGCTTAATTATTAAAGACAATTCAGACCTTTTTGACAATATATTTATATATTACATAGTATAAGTTTTAATTGATATTGTATGTTGCATGCATATGACATATAACATTTTATGTATATTATAAAACCCCAATCTTTCCTTTTTTTATACAACAGTGATAACAATCCATATTCCTCATTTGGAGCAACTCTGGTGAGGGATGATGAGAAGAATTTATGGAGTATGCCCCATGATGTGTCCCACACAGAGGCAGACGACGACAGAACCCTGTACAATTTGATAGTCATTCGTAATCAGCAGGCCAAAGACTCAGAGGTGAGCACCTTTTGATGTCTTGCTGTGCGCGGATGATGCTATATAGTAAAAAATAGTAATTCCTGAGAAGATCCCCTTGAAATAACAAAAAGAATGAAGGATGAAATGTTTGAAATGAAGGGCAGGTATTTTAGCAGCATATATTATCACTGGTTGCTAATTATAGCTAGTCTTGATTGACCTGCTTGATATAGAGATAAGGCTCATTTCTAATTCCTACCTTAATGGCACAAATTACACGCAAGGCAATGCTGTTGAAGAGTGTGAAGATAGTTTGTCATCTTAAATGGCTTAAACCGTCCATCTCTAATCTTTCCAGTTGTTTAGTAAGCCACACTTACTTGATTCAGACTGAAGTTTGAAGGGTACTTTGCATTATCACTAATTTTGAATTAGTGAAGCCTGAATTAGTTTTTTTTTTTCCTGTTTAAAGGTCCTTAAATTATGCATACTGATCAGACAGCAGTGGATCCACTATTTATTTGAGATACTTCTTGTGATAAGCCTTGAACCCTCACAATAACTCTAAATCCAAAGTGATTGATTTAAGAACACTAGAATATTAAAAAGGAGAGAACTCTGTAAGTTAAGAAAACAACAGCAAAGACAATCATACTTTTTTTCTCCTTTCTTTGGAAAGTCATGTTTGAGTTAGGTTTTCTGACTTCTGTGTTCATCAGCTACCTCTGAGGAGAAACCTGTATTAAATATACACTGCATGCTTCTTTGTGTAGAGGAATTGAGCAGGGTAGGGAAACTTATAGTTGGGTTTAGTGTGTATATTGGTGGCGGGGGGTGGGGTGGGTGGAGGTGCTGTGGAGCTTGTCTTTTCCTTAACGAGGTTTCTTTATTTTTGGTAATTGGTAACTTTTCTTTTCCCAAAAAAACATATTTTAGCAGGAGGTGATAACTTTTAGAAGTGTCATGTGTCCCGGTCCTTTTATTCTGATGTGAGTTGGATGCTTTGGAGGGGTTAGAGATGTGGATCACAGGATGGGGGAAGGGCCGGCAGTTGCCTCTGCTCTTGAGGCCTGGGGAAGGGTGGACTGGGACTCCTTCAGTGGCTGCTGTGTAGCATCCCACTAGTGACCGAGCACCCACTACCTCTGGCTGCCCATGTCCCCAGCAAAATCCCCTCTGTGATGGGCAATGCTGAAGGCAAGTCATAAATCCTGCTGCTGCCAAGAACTGCACTCCCTGGCTGCCCTTTGTGAGCATATAATTGGGAATGCGTGGCCTTGTTTTCTCTTTAGTGGAAAGAACAAATTCTTACACTCCTGTATTACATTAACCAGTTAAGGTTTCTGCTGGTGAGAACAGAGTCATTTCTTCTCTTTTCTTCCTCTTCTCCCCTGACTCTGCCCAAAACAGTAACAGCAATACGGAAATAATGTATAGTGTCTCTCTCTCTCTCTTTCTCTCTCTCTCACCAGGGCCCCATGCAAATGTGAAAGGGGCTGGAAAAGTATCTGGAGCTGAATTTGGCAGCTCTCCCTGGAGGAGCTCCCACCTTTCTTCCCACTTATCTTTACTTTTCAGAAGACAGCAGAGGAACATGGACGACAAAGCCCTCTTGGAAAGCACAGCTTCTAAAGTGGCCCATTGTGTCTTTTTTGTGCTGGTCCTTGGGCTTGGTGTGATGGGTCCTCCAGAAGCTTCCTCCTCCTCCTCCCCCTCCTTCTTCTCTTCTTCTTCCTCTTCTTCTCCTTCTTCTTCCCCTTCTCCCTCTTCTCCCTCTTTTTTTTTAAAATTATACTTTAAGTTCTGGGATACATCTGCAGAATGTGCAGGTTACATAGGTATACACGTGCCATGGTGGTTTGCTCACCCATCAACCTGTCATCTACAATAGGTATTTCTCCGAATGCCATCCCTCCCCTAGGCCCCCACCCCCTGACAGGCCCAAGTGTGTGACGTTCCCCTCCCCGTGTCCCTGTGTTCTCATTTTTCAGCTCCCACTTATGAGTGAGAACATGTGGTGTTTGGTTTTCTGTTCCTGTGTTAGTTTGCTGAGAATGATGGTTTTCAGCTTCATCCATGTCCCTGCAAAGGACATGAACTCATCCATTTTTATGGCTGCATAGTATTCCATGGAGTATATGTGCCACATTTTCTTTATGCAGTCTATCATTGATGGGCATTTGGGTTGGTTCCAAATCTTTGCTTTTGTGAACAGTGTTGCGATAAACATACATGTGCATGTGCCTTTATAGTAGAATGATTTATAATCCTTTGGGTATATACCCAGTAATGGGATTGCTGGGTCAAATGGTATTTCTGGTTCTAGATCCTTGAGGAATCGCCACACTGTCTTCCACAATGGTTGAACTAATTTACACTCCCACCAACAGTGTAAAAGTGTTCCTATTTCTCCACATCTCTCCAGCATCTGTTGTTTCCTGACTTTTTAGTGATCGCCATTCTAACTGGCATGAGATGGTATCTCATTGTAGTTTTGATTTGCATTTCTCTAATGACCAGTGATGATGAGCTTTTTTCATATGTTTGTTGGCCGCACAAATGTCTTCTTTTGAGAAGTGTCTGTTCATATCCTTTGCTCACTTTTTGATGGAGTTGTTTTCTTTCTCATAAATTTATTTAAGTTCCTTGTAGATTCTGGATATTAGCCCTTTGTCAGATAGATAGATTGCAAAAATTTTCTCTCATTCTGTAGGTTGCCTGTTCACTCTGGTGATAGTTTCTTTTGCTGTGCAGAAGCTCTTTAGTTTAATCCCATTTGTCAATTTTGGCTTTTGTTGCCATTGTTTTTGGTGTTTTATTCATGAAGTCTTTGCCCATGCCTATGTCCTGAATGGTATTGCCTAAGTTTTCTCCTAGGGTTTTTATGGTTTTAGGTCTTATGTTTAAGTCTTTAATCCATCTTGAGTTAATTTTTGTGTAAGGTATAAGGAAGGGGTCCAGTTTCAGTTTTCTGCATATGGCTAGCCAGTTTTCCCAACACCATTTATTAAATAGCAGATCCTTTCCCCATTGCTTGTTTTTGTCAAGTTTGTCAAAGATCAGATGGTTTTAGATGTGTGGCGTTACTTCTGAGGCCTCTGTTCTGTTCTATTGGTCTGCATTATCTGCTTTGGTACTAGTACTGTGTTGTTTTGGTTACTGTAGCCTTGTAATATAGTTTGAAGTCAGGTAGCATAGCATGATGTCTCCAGCTTTGTTCTTTTTGCCTAGGATTGTCTTGGCTATACGGGCTCTTATTTGGTTCCATATGAAATTTAAAGTAGTTTTTTCTAATTCTGTGAAGAAAGTCAGTGGTAGCTTGATGGGGATAGCATTGAATCTATAAATTACTTTGGGCAGTATGGCCATTTTCATGATATTGATTTTTCCTATCCATGAGCATGGAATGTTTTTCTGTTTGTTTGTGTCCTCTCTTATTTCCTTGAGCAGTGGTTTGTAGTTCTCCCTGAAGAGGTCTTTCACATCCCTTGTAAGTTGTATTCCTAGGTATTTAATTCTCTTTGTGGCAATTGTGAATGGGAGTTCATTTATGATTTGGCTCTCTGTTTACCTATTATTGGTGTACAGGAATGCTTGTGATTTTTGCACATTGATTTTGTATCCTGAGACTTTGCTGAAGTTGCTTATCAGCTTAAGGAGATTTTGGGCTGAGACAATGGGGTTTTCTAAATATACCATTATGTCATCTGCAAACAGAGACAATTTGACTTCCTCTCTTCCTATTTGAATACCTTTATTCCTTTCTCTTGCCTGATTGCCCTGGCCAGAACTTCCAATACTATGTTGAATAGGAGTCGTGAGAGAGGGCATCCTTGTCTTGTGCCGGTTTTCAAAGGGAATGCTTCCAGCTTTTGCCCATTCAGTGTGATACTGGCCGTGGGTTTGTCATAAACAGCTCTTTTGAGATACGTTCCATCAATTATTTTGAGATACATTCCATCAATACCTAGTTTATTGAGAGTTTTTAGCATGAAGGGCTGTTGAATTTTATTGAAGACCTTTTCTGCTTCTATTAAGATAATCATGTGGTTTTTGTTATTGGTTCTGTTTATGTGAGGGATTACGTTTATTGATTTGCATATGTTGAACCAGCCTTGCATCCCAGGGATGAAGCTGACTTGATTGTGGTGGATAAGCTTTTTGATGTGCTGCTGGATTCAGTTTGCCAGTATTTTATTGAGGATTTTCACATTGATGTTCATCAGGGAGATTGGCCTGAAATTTTCTTTTTTTGTTGTGTCTCTGCCAGGTTTTGGTATCAGGATGAGGCTGGCCTCATAAAATGAGTTAGGGCAGAGTCCCTCTTTTTCTGTGGTTTCTAATAGTTTCAGAAGGAATGGTACCAGCTCCTCTTTGTACCTCTGGTAGAATTTGGCTGTGAATCCGTCTGGTCCTGGGCTTTTTTTGGTTGGTAGGCTATTAATTACTGCCTCAATTTCAGAACTTGTTATTGGTCTATTCAGGGATTCAAATTCCTCCTGGTTTAGTCTTAGGAGTGTGTATGTGTCCGGGAATTTATCCATTTCTTCCAGATTTTCTAGTTTATTTGCATAGAGGTGTTTATAGTATTTTCTGACGGGTAGTTTGTATTTCTGTGGGATCGGTGGTGATCTCACCTTTATCATTTTTCATTGCATCTGTTTGGTTATTCTCTCTTTTCTTCATTAGTCTTGCTAGTTGTCTATCTGTTTTGTTAATCTTTTCAAAAAGCCAGCTCCTGGATTCATTGATTTTTTTTTTTTGAACGGTTTTTCGTGTCTCTACCTCCTTCAATTCTGCTCTGATCTTAGTTATTTCTTGTCCTCTGCTAGCTTTTGAATTTGTTTGCTCTTGCTTCTCTAGTTCTTTTAATTGTGATGTTAGGGTGTCAATTTTAGGTCTTTCCTGCTTTCTCCTATGCACATTTAGTGCTATAAATTTCCCTCTAAACACTGCTTTAGCTGAGTGCCAGAGATTCTGGTACATTGTGTCTTTGTTTTCATTGGTTTCAGAGAACTTATTTATCTCTGCCTTAATTTTGTTATTTACCCAGTAGTCATTAAACAACAGGTTGTTCAGTTTCCATGTAGTTTTGTGGTTTTCAGTGAGTTTCTTAATCCTGAGTTCTAATTTGATTGCACTGTGGTCTGAGAGACCGTTACGATTTCTGTTCTTTTGCATTTGCTGAGGAGTGTTTTACTTCCAATTATGTGGTCAATTTTAGAATAAGTGTGATGTGGTGCTGAGAAGAATGTATATTCTGTTGATTTGGGTTGGAGAGTTCTGTACATGTCTATTAGGTCTGCTTGTTCCAGAGCTGAGTTTAACTCCTGTATATCCTTGTTAATTTTCTGTCTCGTTGATCTATCTAATATTGACAGTGGGGTGTTAAAGTCTCCCGCTATTATTGTGTGGGAATCTAAGTCTCTTTGTATGTTTCTAGGAATTTGCTTTATGAATCTGGGTGCTCCTGTATTGGGTACATACATATTTAGGATAGTTAGCTCTTTTTGTTGCGTTGATCCCTTTACCATTATGTAATGCCCTTCTTCGTCTTTTTTGATCTTTTTTGGCTTAAAGTCCATTTTATCAGAGACAAGGATCACAATCCCTGCTTTTTTTGCTTTCCATTTGCTTGGTAAATATTCCTCCAACCCTTTGTTTTGAGCCTATATGTGTCTTTGCATGTAAGATGGGTCTCTTGAATATAGCACACTGATGGGTCTTGACTCTTTATCCAATTTGCCAGTCTGTGTCTTTTAATTGGGGCATTTAGCCTATTTACGTTTAAGGTTAATATTGCTTTGTGTGAATTTGATCCCATCATTATGATGCTAGCTGGTTATTTTTCCCGTTAGTTGAGGCAGTTTCTTCATAGTGTCGATGGTCTTTACAATTTGGTATGTTTTTGCAGTGGCTGGTACCGGTTTTTCCTTTCATATTTAGTGCTTCCTTCAGGAGCTCTTGTAAGGCAGGCCTGGTGATGACAAAATCTCTCAGTATTTGCTTGTCTGTACAGGGTTGTATTTCTCTTTCACTTATGAAGCTTATTTTGGCTGGATATGAAATTCTGGGTTGAAAATTCTTTTCTTCAAGAATGTTGAATATTGGCCCCCACTCTCTTCTGGCTTGTGGGGTTTCTGCAGAGAGATCCGCTGTTAGTCTGATGGTCTTCCCTTTGTGGGTAACCCGACCTTTCTCTCTGGCTGCCCTTAACATCTTTTCCTTCATTTCAACCTTGGTGAATCTTATAATTATGTGTCTTGGAGTTGCTCTTCTCGAGGAGTAGCTTTGTGGTGTTCTCTGTATTTCCTGAATTTGAATGTTGGCCTGTCTTGCTAAGTTGGAGAAGTTCTTGTGGATAATATCCTGAAGAGTGTTTTCCAACTTGGTTCCACTCTCCCCATCACTTTCAGGTATACCAATCAAACATAGATTTGGTATTTTCACATAGTCCCATATTTCTTGGAGGTTTTCTTTACTCCTTTTCATTCTTTTTTCTCTAATCTTGTCTTCATGCTTTATTTCATTAAGTTGATCTTCAATCTCTGATATCCTTTCTTCTGCTTGATCGATTTGGCTATTGATACTTGCGAATGCTTCATGAAGTTCTCCTGCTGTATTTTTCACCTCCATTAGGTCATTTACGTTCTTCTCTAAACTGGTTACTGTAGTTAGCAATTCCTCTAACCTTTTTTCAAGGTTCTTAGCTTCCTTGCATTGGGTTAGAACATGCTCCTTTAGGTCGGAGCAGTTTGTTATTACCCACTTTCTGAGGTCTACGTCTGTCAATTTGTCAAACTCATTCTCTGTCCAGTTTCGTTCCCTGCTGGTAAAGAGTTGTGATCCTTTGGAGGAGAAGAGGCATTCTGGTTTTTGGACTTTCCAGCCTTTTTGCACTGGTCTTCCTCATCTTCGGGGATTTATCTACCTTCGGTCTTTGATATTGGTGACCTGTGGATGGGGTTTCTGTGTGGATGCTCTTTTTGTTCATGTTGATGCTATTCCTTTCTGTTTGTTAGTTTTCCTTCTAACAGTCAGGCCTCTCTGCTGCAGGTCTGCTGGATTTTGCTGGAGGTACACTCCAGACCCTGTTTGCCTGGGTATCACCAGCGGAGGCTGTAGAACAGCAAGGATTGCTGCCTGTTCCTTCCTCTGGAAGTTTTGTCCCAGAGGGGCACCCACCAGATACCAGCAGGAGCTCTCCTGTATGAGGTATCTGTTGACCCCTGCTGGGAGGTGTCTCCTGGTCAGGAGGCATAGGGGTCAGGGACCCACTTGAGGAGGCAGTCTGTCCCTTAGCAGAGCTTGAGGGCCATCCTGGGAGATCCACTGCTCTCTTCAGAGCCGGCAGGCAGGAACATTTAAGTCTGCTGAAGCTGTGCCCACAGCCACCCCTTCCCCCAGGTGCTCTGTCCCAGGGAGATGGGAGTTTTATCTATAAGCCCCTGACTGGGGCTGCTGCCTTTCTTTCTGATATGCCCTGCCCAGAGAGGAGGAATCTAGAGAGGCAGTCTTGCCATAGTGGCTTTGCTGAACTGCAGTGGCTCCACCCAGTTCAAACTTCCCAGCGGCTTTGTGTACACTGTGAGGGGAAAAACTGCCTGCCCAAGCCTCAGGAATGGCGGATGCCCCTCCCCCAACCAAGCTCGAGCATCCCAGGTCAACTTCAGACTGCTGTGCTGGCAGCGAGAATTTCAAGCCAGTGGATCTTAGCTTGCTGGGCTCCATGGGAGTGGGATCTGCTGAGCCAGCCCCTTTGGTTTCTTGGCTTCAGCCCCTTTCCAGGGGAGTAAATGATTCTGTGTCGCTGGTGTTCCACTGCCACTGGGGTATGAAAAAAAACTCTTGTAGCTAGCTCGGTGTCTGGTGAACCGGCCACTTCGTTTTATGCTTGAAACCCAGGGCCCTGGTGGCATAGGCACCCAAGAGAATCTCCTGGTCTGCAGCTTGCATAGTCCATGTTAAAAGCATAGTATCTAGGCTGGAGTGCACCATTACTCACAGCACGATCCCTCACAGCTTCCCTTGGCTAAGAGAGGGAATTCTCTGACCCCTTGCTTTTCTCTGTGAGGCAACGCCCCACCCTGCTTCAGCTTGCCCTCTGTGGGCTGCACCAACTGTCTAACCAGTCCCAATGAGATAAGCCAGGTACCTCAGGTGGAAATGCAGAAATCACCCGTCTTCTGCGTTGATCTCACCGTGAGCTGCAGACTGGAGCTGTTCCTATTCAGCCATCTTGGAATAACCTCTTCCTCTTGCCTAAGAAATAAAATCAGGCTCGACTGTAGAGGAACAGGAACTCTGTTACCAAGACAGGCAGTCAAATAAATAACATGAAGACGTGATGATAATTATGCATGAAATGATTTGAAATAAACCTTTTCATAGTGCTTCCTTCTTCTTTTTTATTTTTTAAATTTTTTTATTTTTTTTATTTTGAGACGGAGTTTCACTCTTGTTGCCCAGGCTGGAGTGCAATGGTGTGATCTCAGCTCACTGCAACCTCCGTCTCCTGGTTTCAAGTGATTCTCCTGCCTCAGCCTCCAGAGTAACTAGGATTACAGGCATGCGCCACCACACCCGGCTAATTTTTAATTAACTACCTGGTAAATTTTGTATTTTTAGTGGAGACGGGGTTTCACCATGTTGGTCTGTCTGGTCTCGAGCTCCTGACCTCAGGTGATCCACCTGCCTAGGCCTCCTAAAGTGCTGGAATTACAGATGTGAGCCACTGCGCCCTTCCACTTTCTTCTTTTAAAAGTATAAAAGTAATGTAGTTTTTAAAAGTTGCTTATGTTGCCGGGTATGGTGGCTAACGCCTGTAATCCCAGCACTTTGGGAGGCTGAGGTGGGTGGCTCACGAGATCCAGAGTTTGAGACTAGCCTGACCAACATGGTGAAACCCGGTCTTTACTAAAAATGCAAAAATTAGCCGGGCGTGATGGCACTTACCTGTAATTCCAGCTACTCAGGAGGCTGAGGCAGGAGAATCGCTTTGAACCTGGGAGGCAGAGTTTGCAGTGAGCCAAGATCACGCCACTGCACTCTGGCCTGGGTGACAGAGCAAGACTTCATCTAAAAAAAAAAAAAGTTGCTTATGTTTTCTTCTAAAATGTTGAAATTCATTTTCCCTACAGATTGGATCGCATATTATGTACTGTTCTGTACTTTGCTTTTTTCCCACTTAATATATTTTGGACATATTTCCATTTTAATATGCTTAGATTTACTTTTTTGCTTCAGGGAACTCTCTAGTATTCTCTTGCACGGATTCACCATCACTTATTCAACCAGTTCCTATTGATATTTACGTTGATTTATTTTTTTTCCTGTTGGAAGCAATATTGTAGTGGACATCCATATATATTTGTATGACCTTTCGTAGTTTTTTCAGTAGAATTGTTGGATCAAAGTATGTGCATTTGAAATGTTGGAATTGTGACAGTGCTTCATGTATTAGTCTGTTCTCATGCTGCTAATAAAGACATACCCAAGACTGGGTAATTTATAAAGCAAAGAGGTTTAATTGATTCACAGTTCCTCATGGCTGGGGAGGCCTCACAATCATGGCAGAAGGCAAAGGAGGAGCAAAGTCATGTCTTACATGGTGGCAGGCAAGAGAACTTGTGCAGGGGAACTCGTATGTATGAAACCATCAGATCTTGTGAGACTTCGAGAACAGAATGGGGGAAACTGCTCCCATGATTCAGTTATCTCCACCTGACCCTGCCCTTAACATGTAGGGATAATTAAAATTCAAAGTGAGATTTGTGGGGACACAGCCAAACTATATCACTTCATTCTTGGGAAACTAGGAAAAACACTTCAAGGTGGAGAACAGAGGTTGCAATCTCAGATCTCTCCAGGAACTAGGCAATAACATCAGTGAGGGAAGTGGGTACCCCCTGCCCTTCACCCCACATATTGAATGGCATTGGAAACTCATACTGCTTTTAATGGGAGCAGCTGTTAAGCTCTAGATAGCTGCTTGCCATGTTGAGAATGTGAACCCACTCGCCATGTTGAGAATGTGGACCCACAAATACTGGAATTTTTAATTTTTCAAAAGAAGCTGAAAATCCAGATTTTCATATAAAATGTCCAGATTTTCAAATAACTCAATTAAAAAATATGCCAGCTAAATAAATATGTTTTCTTTCCAGTAGGAGATAGCTTAAAATAAAATAAAATATGCCTATGAGCTATTGATATGTAAAGACGTTTATAGCAAGGACTACTACTAGTTATGATTATTGTTGTTTTGTCCAAGATAATTGAAAAATGAACTCACCATTGATTTAGAAGGTGAAAGAGGGAAGCTAGACGGGGATTGTTTTAACTTTGAATGAGTTCCATATTTACTACTATTGCTTATTTTCTTTTCCACACAGGATAAAATTGGTACAGATTTTAATTAAAAAAAAAGTATTCTGGTTTTGGAAGAAAACCAAATTTCACTTACTAAGGAACAAGGAACCCTAGATATTTTTTGTATGATACAATTTAGAAGCTCAAGAAAGGTATTAAGAAAAATGGAACATAATGTTTTTCCTTGAGTAGAAATAGCACAAAAGACCTAGGAATGTCCATATTTGGAATTCTCTGAATGATAACAAATAAATTCAAGACAGTGTATGTACAATCTGCATTCTCCTTGGAATCTGAAGCTGGTAGAGGAAGGACCACAAATAATTAAGGCTAAATTTACAGTGTTCCAAACTGAAAAAAAGTCAGGAAAAAAATATATATAGAAGAGCAAATAATGAAACAAAGGCATTAGCTTAAAGTCATTTGGTGTCAAAAAAATACAAAACAACATTATTTAAATCTCATAGACAGAATCCACCTTCATTTACATAAGGCTTCTGGAGCTGATGGAAAACAGACCTTCAGCAGAAGAAATGATGCATTTGCAAACCTCTAAGTAGTGGAAAAATTATTGCTCTTGTCTTTGAATGATGCCATAAAGTACATTATGTTTGCCTAAGAAGTAGTAAACAGCCTCAATGTTCCTAAATCATTATCCTTATGTTCATTTTCATTAAAGTAGTTGTGCTTTACATAACGTGCTCTGCTCTAGGGAGCTTAATAATTGTTAATGAAATATGGATACAACTTATTATTTAATAATTGTAATACTGAGTGAACTTATTCTCTAAGATATTAATAATAATGAAAATAGTGCCAGGCACTGTTCTAACCACTTTGCATATGTTAACTGTGTCCTCTTTAACAACAACTCACTGAAGCAGGCACCATTATTATTTCCATTTTAAGCAACTTATCCAAGGGCACACAGCTGTTGAGTTTGGATGCAGGATTTGAATCTGGCTTTATGGCTCCAGAGATATATAATGAGTATCAGGATTGAAATGGAGAGAAAGGAACAGATATTGTTTGTGATTCAATATAGATTTCAAAATGTATAAGCAAAGTCTGCTCATAAGCCTGTCTCTGTGTCTTGTTGGTGCCAATGAGTACGAAAGGGATTTTCATATCAGTGGGATGACAGCTACATTTGGTCTGAGGATGGTGACCACGTTTCAGAAAGTGTTTCCAGGCACAACACACATTTTTCCCAAGTTATGCTTTTCCATGGTGATTGCAGCTTGTTAAGACTTATTTCCTGGGCTTCTGTTTTATTACCTCCAAAATATTTCATTCTACTCTGTTCCATCCCTTCTTCACTTTGTTTAGTGTTCTCTGACCTGTTTTAGTGCCTCTTTCTATGGTTTGGCAGTTCCTTTAGGAGTTTGTACATAGCTTTCACATTTTGACTCTCCTAAAAAAGCCTTAATTTTTTTTTTTTTTTTTTTTTTTTTTGGTGACAAGGTCTTATTCTGTTGCCCAGGCTTCAGTACAGAGGTGCAATCATAGCTCATGATAGCCTCGACCTCCTGGGCTCCAGCAATTCTTCTGCCTTGGCCTCCCAAAGCATTGGATTGCAGGCATGAGCCATTGTGACTGGCTGCTCTTACATTTTTGGTTAAGGAGATGTATGCTAACTGATATGGTTTGGCTGTGTCCCCACTCAAATCTCACCTTGAATTCCCACATGTTGTGGGATGGACATGGGGGGAGGTAATTCAATCATGGGGGCAAGTCTTTCCCATGCTGTTCTCTTGATAGTGAATAAGTGTCATGAGATCTGATGGTTTTTAAAAAGAGGAGTTTTCCTGCACAAGTTCTCTCTCTTTGCCTGCTGCCATCCATGTAAGATGTGACTTGCTCCTCCTTGCCTTCTGCCATGATTGTGAGGCTTCCCCAGCCACGTGGAACTGTAAGTCCAATTAAACCTCTTTCTTTTGTAAATTTCTCAGTCTGGGGTATGTCTTTATCAGCAGCATGAAAATAGACTAATACACTAACTATCAGATCATTCTCATAAACTCTTTCAAGTACTGTTTTGGTTCAAAAACTGGTGATGTTTATTTGGCATAATGAGTGACAGAAATTCTACGCTTATCCTTTAAGGCTATTAAGTAATTGTATGCTGACAAATGCATATACCTCTCATGACATGTGTCTGCCTGCCTGTCACTCATCAGCAGGAACCACATGGTCACCAGATGCTTGTGTGGCTGGAGTGATCTCTGAAAACCACACTTGGCCAAACCCCCTGGGAGCAGCTAAATTTTATTTTTTTAAAACTACAGAGGCAATACTTCATAAATACATACAATTACTACATGTCAACTAAAAATAAAAGCAAAAAATTAAAACTACAGAGGCAGACACATAAATGATCCTCATTTATAATTTATTTGCCCCCAGTACGTGAAGACTACCTGCTAGGGTATTGCCAGACATTGTAAACACTTCCTTAAAAATGTTTAAGATAGGAACAGACCTTCCCCCAGGGGCTGTCTCCAATGTCTGGGTCATACACTTAGCCTATCATATCCCTAATACAAAAAGGGACAACAAAACAGAGTTGATTGGAATATTGGGTGGGAGAAACAGGGAAAGGGGGGTTGAACTGATCGTGGACCAGCCACATAATGCTTAAGCACTCAGAAACTGAGATACTCCAGTCTGGCTCTGCATTACTGTGTCTCAATATGTCCCCAAGAATTGGACAAAGCCCACTCTTTCGGGGCCATCTGATTTTTCCAGAAGTGGGTGAACATTGGCTACATTTGGAGATAGGACTGCAAGTTTTACCCCAACCACGGAGGAGCAAAATAACTGGAAAAGGGAAGCGATTTTCTAGATAATTTTGGGATCCTCCGAAGGCTTCTTTCTTTGAGGTCCAGATTATCTGGATTCTTGAATGCATTTATTCTTTCTTTTACTTTGCTAGTGACTATTTGGGTTTAGAGGATTTGGGGCAGGGTGGAGGGAGAGAATAAACAAGCTTACTAGGATCTGAGAATCAAGGGTTCTTGCACTCTATTTTCTAGGTAATAATATTTATAGAATATTACCCTGTATGCTAAGCAACATGCTTCATGTTCTCCAGACAAATACTGAATCCTCACGGTAACCCTATGAAAGAGGCATTTTGACTCAGATGATTAGAGACTTTGTCACTGGTACAAAGTGTTGGAGGAAGTGACTGGGAGCATTGGGATCCCAGCTCAGGTCGGTGTGACCCAGAAACCTGCATGACTAGAAACATTACTCCAGGCTCTCCAGTGAGTTTAGAAAGAGCGTCAGTGGAACCTCTTTGGTCAAAGACAAAGTTCCCAAGCAGTTATTGGCTTCCTGCCTCGAGTAGACACTCCGGTCTATGTTTGCTGATCATTACTCACCCTGTGTCAACTGAGTCATGGAGTGACTGGTTTTGGTGTTGGTTTTGTATCCACCTGCTTTTGGCCCTGATGCTATTGCACCATTCGATTACTAAAACCCATGGATTATACCAGAAGATGTTCTGTTCATCGGTCTGTGATGTTTCTATTCTTTGCTCATCCCCGTTCTCCTTTTTAAAAAATATATAAGCATTTCTTTTGATTAGCATTAAGAGAATCAATGTTTCTTTTTTCTTTTCTTTTTTTTTTTTTGACGGAGTTTTGCTGTGACAGAATTTTGCTCCTGTCACCCAGGCTGGAGTGCAATGGCGTGATCTTGGCTCACTGCAACCTCTGCTTCCCAGGTTCAAGTGATTCTCCTGTCTCAGCCTCCCAACTAGCTGGAATTACAGGCATGCACCACCACATCCGGCTAATTTTTGTATTTTCAGTAGAGACAGGGTTTCGCAGTGTTGGTCAGGCTGGTCTTGAACTCCTGACCTCAGGTGATCCACCCACCTCAGCCTCCCAAAGTGTTGGGATTACAGGTGTGAGCCACCGTGCCCGGCCAGTGTTTCTTACTAAGTAGGTAGCACCTCAGTGCTCCATGTAAGTCAGCAGAGTTGACACAATAAATAGTGGCAAACCTGATGTAGGCCAGCGAGCAGCATCATTAGCAATTCTGCAGGATGTGTGGTGGTGAAGAACATGGGCTCTGGAATCAGACAGATTTGAGGATAAGAAGCATACCTCTGCCATATTCTAATGAGATGATACTGAATAGTTATTTAATCTTAGAGTGATTATACTATCTGTTGTCCAGTTTGGGACATAGTCACTTAAGTTCTTAAGTAAGAGGAGAGGGGCTGCTAATATTAAGTATTCCAGGCCAAAAATATAAACTGGGACTGCCCTAGACAAGGATCACCTTTCTTTTTAAATTTAAAATATATATAACAAAAATTTCCTCTTGTAATCATTTTTCAGTTAAGTGGTACAGTTTGGTGGCATTGAGTACGTTCATATTTTTTGGCAACAATCACCATTATGCATCTCCAGAACTTTTTTATCTTCTCAAACTAAAACTCTGTGCCCACTAGACAATAACTCCCCAGCTCCTGGCAACTTTCTACTTTCTTTCTCTATGAATTTGGCTACTTTAGGTACGTACTGTAAGTGGAATCATGCAGTATTTGTCCTTTCATAGCTAGCTTGCTTCACTTAGCGTAATGTTTCCAAAGTTCATTCACACTGCAGCAGCCGTCAGCATTTCCTTCCTTTTTCAAGCGGAATAATATTCCATAGTGTGTATATGCCACATTCGGTTTACTCACTCATCCATTGATGGACACTCGGGTTGCTTCTATGTTTTGGCTCTTGTGAGTAATGCTGTTGCAAACACGGGTGTACAAATATCTGCTTGAGTCCCTGTTTTCAGTTCTTTTGGGCATATACCTAGAAGTGGAATTGTTGGATCATAGAGTAATTTATTTAATGAGTTATTAATTATTTAATTTATTTAAGTTATTTAATTTGTTAAATTTTTTAAGGAACTGCGGTACTGTTTCCCACAGTATCTGTACCATTTTACATTTTCACCAGCAAGGTACAAGAGTTCCAGTTCCTCTACATCTTTGCCAACACTTGTTATTAATATTTCCCTTCTCTTCCGTTCCCTTCCCTTCCCTTCCCTTCCCTGCCCTTCCCTGCCCTGCCCTGTCCTGCCCTGCCCTGCCCTGCCCTCCCCTCCCCTCCCCTCCCCTCCTCTCTGCTTCTCTTCCCTTTTCTTCTTTCTTTAAGCCAGAGCCTTGCTTTGTTGCCCAGGCTGGAGGGCAGTGGCGTGATCTCTGCTCACTGCAACTTCCACCTCCTGGGTTCAAGTGATTCTCCTGCCTCAGCCTCCCGAGTACCTTGGCCTCCCCAAGTGCTGGGATTACAGGCATGAGCCACTGCGCCCAGCCTCTATCACTTTTCTTAACCTCCAAATTGCTCAATAAAAAAATAGCTGACAGCTTCGTACTGATCAGTTTTCACACCTGCATAAAGTAGATGCACTGAAACTGTGGGCCAGTCACAACCACTCAATATCATCCTGAGGGATGTAAACCTGGAAGAGGCTGATGCCTGGTGGAGCCTCCCTCGAAGCTGCTTGGCCGTGGAAGGTAAAGGAAAGAACAGGAGACTGGGGAGCTTTTTGTAACTGAATTCTACTCTGTTTTCTGGGCATTTATATTCTAGGTTGTGATGACCAGGCCTCCTTGTTTTACTCTTCTTTAGAGTTTGTCCTCATTGACCTCACTGCCCTGGAGCCCCAGAAAGATATATGAAGGCCAAGGGTAACGTACCTTGTGAGTCCTGACAGTTCAGTGAAATAGGAAGGATGGACAACAAGTTGGGGCCCTCCAGGAGAAAGCAGTGCCTGGAGGAAAAGGGCAGATGCTGGCCAACTTTCTCCATATCCAGAACCTTGCTGTCACAGCAACGCATTGCTGCACCTCTGCATTTCCTGCGTATTGTGCTTGTGATGGTCAAAATTTCTGGAAGGCCACATATTAATTGGCAGGCATGTGCAGGATAATTTACTGACAGAAATGGGCTCTTTCCATTAGTTTTTTTTGTTTTTTTTTTTTGTTTGTTTGTTTTTTTCACATCTTGCATAAAACAGGGCCTGAAAGGAAACTGAAACCATAAAGCTGCCTCAAAGCTTTTATCTTTAAAAAATCACAGTCGATGACATATACATTTTGAAACACCAGGGGTTAATACCAAGTCAAGCCTCCAGTGACCTACTCAGTATTGACTTTGGTTTTTCTTAGAGTGTCTGAGATCATCAGAGATACCTCCCTGTCGTACAGTCAAGGCACCTCCTATAAGCACTTGCTGGCTTCTCAAGGCAGTCTTTTGAGATAAATAAACTATTTATTTTAAAAAAGAGTGAGTGAGAGACCCAAGAGGTTAAGTGACTTTTCTCAGTAGTGCCCAAACAGAAATGCACTTCTTACTTGGTGTCAATGCTGTTTACTATAAAGTGGAGAAGGAAAGCTACAAGGTTCAGTGAATTTAGGGCAGATAATTGAATAACTTTGTTTACCTTTTATTATTATTATTATTATTATTATTATTATTATTATTATTATTATTTTTTGAGATGGAGTTTCACTCTTGTTGCCCAGGCTGGACTGCAGTGGCGCGATCTCGGCTCACTGCAATCTCCGCCTCCCGGGTTCAAGTGATTCTTCTGCCTCAGCCTCCCGAGTAGCTGGGATTACAGGCATGCGCCACCATGCCCGGCTAATTTTGTATTTTTAGTAGAGATGGGGTTTCTCCATGTTGGTCAGGCTGGTCTTGAACTTCCGACCTCAGATGATCCACCCACCTCGGCCTTCCAAAGTGCTGGGATTACAGGCGTGAGCCACCGTGCCCGACCTATCTTTTATTTTAAATGTTAACAGGAATAAGCTTGTAGACATAGAACTTTGTAGAAAAAAATGTAAGATAGCATCCAGCTTATTTCCCTCTTATGAAAACTCCAATGTGTGATTGTTATTTCAAAGACATCTAGGCTATTGTCATACACAGGGCATGCTTTAACAGAAGCTCAAATTCTACCCGATGTGTCCATTCATCAGTTAATTTTATTCAAAATGATGTGTCTCACATTAAATCAGGAAGCTTTGATTAGTAATTAAGCTGTGGGTTTGTCATAAATAGCTCTTATTATTTTGAGATATGTTCCATCAATACCTAGTTTATTGAGAGTTTTTAGCATGAAGTGCTGTTGAATTTTGTCAAAGGCCTTTTCTGCATCTGTTGAGATAATCATGTGGTTTTTGCTGATGGTTCTGTTTATGTGATAGATTATGTTTATTGATTTGAGTATGCTGAACCAGGCTTGCATCCCAGGGATGAAGCTGACTTGATCGTGGTGGATAACCTTTTTGATGTGCTGCTGGATTCGGTTTGCCAGTATTTTATTGAGAATTTTTGCATCGATATTCATCAGAGATATTGGTCTAAAATTCTCTTTTTTTGTTGTGTCTGTGCCAGGTTTTGGTTTCAGGATGATGCTGGCCTCATAAAACGAGTTAGGGAGGATTCCTTCTTTTTCTGTTGATTGGTATAGTTTCAGAAGGAATGGTACCAGCTCCTCTTTGTACCTCTGGTAGAATTCGGCTGTGAATCTATCTGGTTCTGGACTTTTTTCAGTTGGTAAGCTATTAATGATTGCCTCAATTTCAGAGCCTGTTAGTGGTCTATTCAGAGATTCAGTTTCTTCCTGGTTTAGTCTTGGGAGGGTGTATGTGTCCAGGAATTTATTCATTTCTTCTAGATTTTCTAGTTTATTTGCATAGAGGTGTTTATAGTATTCTCTGATGGTAGTTTGTATTTCTGTGGGATCGGTGGTGATATCCCCTTTATCATTTTTTATTGCATCTATTTGATTCTTCTCTCTTTTCTTCTTTATTAGTCTTACTAGTGGTCTATCAATTTTGTTGATCTTTTCAAAAAACCAGTTCCTGGATTCATTGATTTTTTGAAGGGTTTTTTTGTTTCTCTATCTCCTTCAATTCTGCTCTGATTTTAAGTGATTTCTTGCCTTCTGCTAGCTTTTGAATTTGTTTGCTCTTGTTTCTCTAGTTCTTTTAATTGTGATGTTAGGGTATCGATTTTAGATCTTTCCTGCTTTCTTTTGTGGGCATTTAGTGCTATAAATTTCCCTCTACTCACTGCTTTAAATGTGTCCCAGAGATTCTGGAACCTTGTGTCTTTGTCCTCATTGGTTTCAAATAATATATTTATTTCTGCCTTCATTTCATTATTTACCCAGGAGTCATTCAGGAGCAGGTTGTTCAGTTTCCATGTAGTTGTGCAGTTTTGAGTGAGTTTCTTAATCCTGAGTTCTAGTTTGATTACACTGTGGTCTGAGAGACAGTTTGTTATAATTTCTGTTCTTTCACATTTGCTAAGGAGTGCTTTACGTCCAACTATGTGGTCAATTTTGGAATAAGTGCAATGTGGTGCTGAGAAGAATGTATATTCTGTTGATTTGGGGTGGAGAGTTCTGTAGATGTCTATTAGGTCAGCTTGCTGCAAAGCTGAGTTCAAGTCCTAGATATCCTTGTTAATTTTCTGTCTCGTTGATCTGTCTAATATCGACAGTGGGGTGTTAAAATCTCCCATTATTGTTGTGTGGGAGTCTAAGTCTCTTTGTAGGTCTCTAAGGACTTGCTTTATGAATCTGGGTGCTCCTGTATTGGGTGCATATATATTTAGGATAGTTAGTTCTTCTTGTTGAATAGATCCCTTTACCATTATGTAATAGCCTTCTTTGTCTCTTTTGATCTTTGTTGGTTTAAAGTCTGTTTTATCAGAGACTAGGGTTGCAACCCCTGCTTTTTGTTGGTTTCCATTTGCTTTGTAGATCTTCCTCCATCCCTTTATTTTGAGCCTATGTGTGTCTCTGCAAGTGAGATGAGTCTCCTGAATACAGCACCCTGATGGGTCATGACTCTTTATCCAGTTTGCCAGTCTGTGTCTTTTAGTTGGGGCATCTAGCCCATTTACATTTAAGGTTAATATTGTTATATGTGAATTTGGTCCTGTCATTATGATGTTAGCTGGTTATTTTGCCCGTTAGTTGATGCAGTTCCTTCCTAGCATCCTTGGTCTTTACAATTTGGCGTGTTTTTGCAGAGGCTGGTACCAGTCGTTCCTTTCCATGCTTAGTGCTTCCTTCAGGAGCTCTTGTAAGGCAGGCCTGGTGGTGACAAAAGCTCTCAGCCTTTGCTTGTCTGTAAAGGATTTTATTTCACCTTCACTTATGAAGCTTAGTTTGGCTGGATATGAAATTCTGGGTTGAAAATTCTTTTCTTTAAGAATGTTGAATATTGGCCCCCACTCTCTTCTGGCTTGTAGAGTTTCTGCTGAGAGATCCGCTGTTAGTCTGATGGGCTTCCCGACAACTGACACTTATGGAGCACTCCCTGTACTCCAGATGTTGCTCTAAATACGTTACCTATACCACACCAACTACCGTTGTCCTCAAGGTATGATAACTCGGTGCTTTCCTCTCCAGTATAAAGTTATTCATGTCATTTGGCCAGAACCTCCTGTCCTTTGATGGTGGTAGATGGTGATTTCTGAATGTCATCCCCAGATGAGTAGTAGCCTTAAGCACTGGGTACAGGCAGAAATTTGGGAAGGCAGGTAGCAGAATGTGGAATCAAAGCAAATCTAGAATAATGTAATATTGTGTGAATATGGGGCTAAGAGCAAGGGATGTATTTCAAATAAAGGCTCTAGTTGAAGAGGCTGGGCAGATACCCAGACAGAACCAACAGATTTGGAATAGAAGGCAAGATGCATGGGATAGAATGGAAGGTAGAGTTTCAAGAAATTGTAGTCCGAGTGAAACACGCAGATTGTTGCAAGTGGAACTTAATGCACTGCCAAGGCTCAGTGAGGAAATGACATCCTACTGTCCCATTTTTTTTTTTTTTTGAGACGGAGTCCTGCTTTATCACTTGGGCTGGAGGGCAGTGGTGCGATCTTGGCTCACTGCAACCCCTGCCTCCTGGGTTCAAGCGACTCTCCTGCCTCAGCCCAGCTCCCCCATACCACGCCCCCCGCGAGTAGCTGGGATTACAGGTGCACACCACCATGCCCGGCTACTTTTTGTATTTTTAGTAGAGACAGTGTTTCACCGTGTTGGCCAGGCTGGTCTTGAACTCCTGACCTCAGGCAATCTGCCCGCCTCAACCTCCCAAAGTGCTGGGATTACAGGTGTGAGCCACGGCGCCCGGCCCTATGAGACTTCTTGACTGTCTTCCTGTCAAATAATGATATCATCTCTGTTGCCCATTGATAGTTACACTTTCCCAACTGAAGGCTTATTCATTTTCTTGATGCATTATTTAATATATAAAGCTGACTGAAGGTACAGAAACCTATGAGGTTATTAAGCTTTGGAAAATCTCTGCCCGAATGGACTGTGGCAGTGTCTAGTAAAGATTTACATTTTTCTCTTGGCTGAGCCCATGGGATGTGGCTGCCCCCAAATGGTATTCCTTGTGATCAAAACAGCTCCTTGGCTTCTGTGGCAGTCATTTAGGTTGCACTGACTAGCTCTTTTTAAGGTAGAATAGCCTACATATTGCAACTAAATTAAGTCAACTCATCCAGCAGTTTTGCTGTCAATCTAGCCTATGGTCAGTGGGCACCATTCTCACACTGCTAAACAAAGTTATGGTTATGAAAGGCAAAAGTATAGAAATAAAACTACCCAATGAAAGTACTGGTTAAGTACATCTTAAGTAGCTTCACTAATGAATGCTATATACCTTGAAAAATAATGAGATAGGATTTATAGATAGTGACTTAGAAAGACGGTTATGATCTATTGCTAAATGGGTATGTATAATGTTATCCCATTTGTGTAAAAGCATGTATATGCTAATGTACAATGATAAGATTTGTGGACTGTTACCTGCAGTAGAAGTAGGTGGAGGGAAGGAGGCTTTTACTTTCCTTTAACTTTATAGTTTTCTGTACAGTTTGAATACAATTCAGAGGTATTATTTCATATATATATATATATATAATTCATATAAAATAAAATTCTCTCCCTGTTATTTCCTAACACATTTTGTGGTGGCTGTTTCCCTGGATCTTTCTAAACTGTTTTGCTTTGATTTACTGTGGGTGTGCTGGAGAAAGTGGGAGGTGGAGAGAGGGAGAGAGAGAGAGAGAGAGAGAGTGTGTGTGTGTGTGTGTGTGTGTGTGTCTGTGTGTGTGTCTGTGTCTGTGTTTAGGAACTGGAGCAGGCTTTGAGGAATTTCACCAGAGTAGATAAAGCAGAAAGGCGATGAAGCCATTGGTCAGCATTTATCTTTCCAAGGGTCTAAGATTCTTCCTTTACATCAGTACCTTTCTTTGCAGCTGTCTTCCCCTCCCCTGCCTGTAAAGTCACATGCTAATTAATAGATCTTTGTGTGTTGCCTTTTTCACCACTGTGCCCTCACCACCACTCCTAGCCCTGCCTCTTCCCTTGGTTGGTCTGGCTCCTCTTACAGTAAAAATGGCTCTTAATTGCATGGAGCCCAGGAGAGTCCCAGATACAGACGCAGTGGAACCTCCTGACATGCTTGGGCTCAGGTGGGGCATCGAGGAGGGTTCTGAGGAGCCCTCCATAAGAACACTGGGCTTGCTTTCTGGCTTTAATTGAATATGTGGGGAAATGGGAGCACCTGCCCAGTTCTGATGTGGGCTGAGACCTGCTGCTTCTCAGACTTAAATCCAGTGTTCTGGAAAGAGACCGTATTTTTCTTGACCTGAAACAGTCCTTTCCTTTGGGTGCCAGGTCCCCGGATACTTGTTGTTACATAATCCTTACACATGGTCATGCTATTTACAGCCCAGGAGTGAGATGTGTCATTTTATGGTTTTGCAATCTAGGAGGCAGGCCACACAGCAAATGAATACAAGCTGGGCACACCCTCTTGAAATAATTGCTATGTCGAATTACAATCTAGGTGAGGAAAAGTCACACCCAAGCTCTTTTACCAATATGCTGTTGTCTTTGTTGTTAATAAAGCACTTAACATGGGGTGATTTTCAATGGACCCGAGTGCAAATTAACCTAGTTTCTTCTTCCATAAAAAACATGTTTTGCAGCAGGAGGCCACAAGCATGCAAGAAGTGTGTTGGAGCCACAGATTGCCAGACCTGGCTGTGGAGTTGCATTTTTCAACTAAGAAGTAGAAGGTTCAGGTGCCTTTGATGGTTAACCAGGCCCAGGTATTAGGCTGTCCTCAGAGAGGGCTGTGATGGGAGTCAGCCTGTTGCAGCACAACCAAAATATTTTTTGTTCCAGTGTACAACTGAATGTACTTTAATCTGTTCTAGTTTCTTTTCTTTTCTTTTTTGCCAGCGTTGGTGAGTGTACCAGAAAGTTTGGAAAACAGGTTGAAGTGGTAGAGATAAAAATCTACTGCAGTTGAATTTGTTGAAAAGCCCAGGACATGCCTCAGGGACCTGCGTTTATCCATTTGCTCCAATCTCTTTCCCAGCAATCACTTAACATTTGGGGGAGTTGGAGGATAGCTGGGAGTGGGCATGCAACAGCTTGTAAGGAGGGAGAGGCCTGTGGACTGTGGACTGGACAGGGTGTCCACTCTTTGAATCCGGCCTCGGCAGTCTGCAAAAATAAATTCAAAAATGCTCTTTGTCATCTTATGCTGCATGTGGTGTTATCTGTTTAATGTTAATGAGGTTTCAGCGTTGCTTTCAATGGGGAGTGACTGCAGTACATGCTCTTGAGCCGTTATCTCTTTGCTTGTCCAGGCAGAAGTTTGGAGGGAATGGGCTTTGGAGTAGGACGAAGCTACCCAAAGAGGTATTTGTAACCAGCAAGGTGGGCTGCCTTTGCATGCAAGGTCATTCCCTCTGTTGTCCTGGGCTCTCCTTTTAACTCTCGAAGGGCCCCTTCTCCAGGGTCATCCAGCCTCCAGGGTTCTTGCCCTATCATCCTCTGGCTGTGCCCCTTTTGGTTGCTCCTTACCAAGTCTGGCTCACCCCCAAAGGACCCCAACACTCATATTTTTTTCTCCCTTCTTTTCACCCAGTTACATGTCCATTCACTCTACCTAGGCTTAGCTCACCTGGGAATTGTTAAAAAGCAGGTATTAGGAGACAACCAGAGGAATTCAGTGAGGGGTGTGAATGGCGGATGAATTTAACCTGCTCTCCAATTTTGGAAGAGGAACCTGTAAACCCCAATTCATCGTAATTGGTGAAATTGAGGGAATTGTTGTTGTTGTTGTTTTTTAAAAAACAATTTTATTGAGGTATAATGGACATACAATAAACTGCATATATTTAAAATGTACAATTAGATAATTTTTGCACCCATTAAATCATCACCACAATCAAGGTCATGAACATATCCATATCCCAAAATGCTTCCTCTATCCTTTTTTTTTTTTTTTTTTTTCTGGGAGAGAGTCTCACTCTATTGGCTAGACTGAAGTGCAGTGGCACAATCTCGGCTCACCGCAACCTCGCCTCAGACTCCCAGGTAGCTGGGATTACAGGCAAGCACCACCAGGCCTGGCTAGTTTTTGTACATCTAGTAGAAATGGGTTTTCACCATGTTGGCTAGGCTGGTCTCTAACTCCTGGCCTCAAGTGATCCACTTGCCTCGGCCTCCCAAAGTGCTGGGATTACAGGTGTGAGCCACTGCACCTGGCCTCACAGCTCTTTTTAATCCTATCTTCTTATTCCTCCTTTTCTTTTTAAATTTTTTATGGAGAGGAGAGGTTTTCTAAATAGGCCAGTTCAGTGCTTTCTTGCTGGAGTTCCAGATAACCTTTGGATAATGCTGCTGAAGTTTTTGGTCTTTCCCACGTTGGAGTTGGAGCAGCCTCATCATCTGAGAAATACTGCCAGAGGCTTGGGATCCAGGATTCCTAGGAAGGAGACAGGGTCCTGAAGGTAGAGGACACGGCACTGGACCATCCAGGTGGTTTCCTGTCCAAAACGATCTTGTGGAGCCCAAGGACTGAATGGTCTAGAGGGGGTGATCCCTGGCATGAGCTGGCAATCAGCACCTGGCATATCTTGGAGTTGCACCATCGGGCAACTAACTGCGGGTGCCGGGAATGTCTTTCCCATCTGATGGGTTAGGTAAGGCAGTGCGTTTGAGAAATGATCTCCCTTCTCGCTGGCAGATCCTTGGTTGATGTTGAAACACAGACTGTCCTTCATATACTCACTCTACCTGTTCCTCTGCCCTAGTTTTGAAAGGTCTTTTCTTGCTCTTTTGTCTCTGCTGCTTTGGACTCTTCTCCCAGCTACAGTAAGTTGAGAGCAGGGCCCTGTAACACACACAGGAAAGGAAGCAGGCAGGACCTCTGCTCCTTTGATCCATGTTTTTCTACATTCAGCTTGTCCAGGATATTCTACCTTATTCTGCCTGTACCTTTCTTTATGCGAACTTCTCATCTGACACAGGGCAAGATCCAGTCATCTGGAGGAACTGGCTCAGGACCAGATAGATCTAGGCTTTTGATTGCTAGGTGTCCAAAAACATAGAATTTCATTGACTTCTTAATATTTTGATCCATGACATAGTATTTACCGCTTACCTGTTTTGAAGTGATGGTTGGGGAATAAAAAGCACCTTAGGGTACATGGAAACTAGAGAGAGGGCAAATGCTGACATGTGTCAGAATGATGATTTTCTATTGAACTCCTACCTCCAAGCGTGGATAGCAGTTGTCACTATTTTATTCTTATTTTTTAAATTTTGCTTTAAGTTCTGGGATGCATGTGCAGAATGTGCAGGTTTGTTACATAGACATACATGTGCCATGGTGGTTTGCTGCCCGTATCAACCCGTCATCTAGGTTTTAAGCCCTGCATGCATTAGGTATTTGTCCTAATGCTCTCCCTCTCCTTGCGCCCCATCCCCTGACAGGCCCCAGTGTGTGATGTCCTCCCCACCCCCATGTTCGTGTATTCTCATTGTTCAACTCCCACTTATGAGTCAGAACATGTGGTGTTTGGTTTTCTGTTCCTGTGTTAGTTTGCTGAGAATTATGGCTTCCAGCTTCATCCATGTCCCTACTAAGGACATGGATGAACTCATTCTTTTTTATGGCTGCATAGTATTCCATAGTGTATATGTGCCACATTTTCTTTATCCAGTCTATCATTGATGGGCATTTGGGCTGGTTCCAAGTCTTTGCTATTGTAAATATCAGTATTATTTTTAACCCACTGTAGCAGCTGAAGCTGTGATCATCTTATCCTAATAATTAACATTCGTACAGCACTTTTCTTTGCAGCGTGCTTTCTCGTGTAACGTTTGAGCTTTACAAGCCTGTGGCATTGGCAGGCAAGTGTCTTCCACTCTACAGTTCGTAAAACTGAGGTCACAGAGGCTGAATGACTTGCTAGTCAGGGGTGAAGCTCAGACTCAGACCCAGAGCTCATGCTGTTTCCCTGCTGCCCTTGTGCATGTATGGCTGTGCAGATGAGTAAGAGACTCTTGTTAGAGAGGCTTGAGTCACAGTCCTTTGATGCAGAAGTCTCAAAGTAGAAAAACTCATATTTCATGGATGGCTCTGTTTATTTGATTCATCTTGTGAATTCAAAATGGAAAATACATTCATTTGGTGGGTGTATTGGTTTGCTGGGGCTGCTGTTCCAAAGTACCATAAACTGGGTGGCTTAAACAACAGAAATTTGTTCTCTCACAGTTCTGGGGGCAAGAAGTCTGAGATGAAGGGTTGGTTCCTGCTGAGGGCTCTGAGGGAAGGATGTTCTCCAGGCCCCCATCCTTGGCTTGGAGGTGGCTGTCTTCTCCCTGTATCTTTGTTGTCTTCCTGTGCATGTGTCTCTATCTAAATTTCCCCTTCTTATTGGGAAAGCAGTTGTACTGGATTAGGGCCCACCAGAATAACCTCATTTTAACTCGATTACTTCTGTAAAGAGATTGTGTCTAAATAAGGTCACATTCTGAGGTACTGGGGCTTAGGATTCAACATACCAATTTTGCGGGGAGTCAATTTAACCCATAATGATAGGCATGCAATTGATAAAATAAAAAATGTAGGCCATGGTGAGAATTTTTAACTCTATCCTAAGAGGGATGGTGAATGCTTTCTAACTAAATGAGTAGAAAACACTTCTTTGTCCCTTTGCAAGGTTTTTTCTTTCCCTCTGAACCCGCTAACTCCCAGCCTGGGAAGCTTACAAAGGGAGTCCTAAGTAGGCCTAGCTTTAACTGCCCCCCACCCCTCCATGACCTCCATATTGGGAGACAGTTCTCCCTGGGTCTGCTGGTCTCTGCACATGTTGTAAGTAGAGTCATCGTCTGCCCTTTGTTCTGGACTGTCTTTTCAAGGATGCTTATATAATGCGTGGCCTTGGGAGGTGGACATACTGTCTCCCTCTGGCACAAAGGGCAGGCAGGATTATTGCCCGTTATAAAAGATTCAGGTTCCCTAAGTTCAGGGTTTCTCCTCTGTAATGCAACCTACTGTATACACATCATTTGTTTTTCTCTGCCTTACAATATGGAAACGGGCACTCAAGAGAAATGGCATAAAAATGCTGATCCAGGAATCTCGTTTCTTTTGCCAGCACCCATGAAATTGGCAGGAGAACTTGTTAGCTTGTAAAGGGGGTGAAATCTCAGATGCTTTACAGTTCTTGACACACTTAAAATAACTTCTGTACTGGCATTGTGGTTCAGATGTTGATCATGGGTCAGTGCTTTGGCATAAGTCTGTGGTTTTTAAGCTTTTTTATGTTATCTCTGGAACTCTTCCCTCAAATGAAATCCACCAGGAAACTAATACAATTAAAGCTTCTCTGGGTGAATGACATAGGGGTAGAAGCCTAGATTTCTCCATCTTAGGCAGCTCCCGAGACATCTTTGGAGAAGCTGCCCAATTTCAAAAACATTGTGTTGGGCTACTAAAGGCCCCTTTAAAACTCAAATCTGATGTCTGGGAAGAATAACACATTAAATTCTTATCAGACAATGCCAGGTGCAGTGGCTCACGCCTGTAATCCCAGCACTTTGGGAGGCTAAGGCAGGAGGATTGCTTGAGCTCAGGAGTTTGAGACCAGTCTGAGCAACATAGCAAGACCTCATCTCTACTAAAAATAAAAACAAAATTAGCCAGGCGTGGTGGTGTGCACCCTTAGCTCCAGCTACTCTGGAGGCTGAGGCGGGAAGATTGCTTGAGCTTCAGAGGTTGAGGCTGCAGTGAGCCATGATTGCACCACTGTACTCTAGCCTGGGTGACAGAGTGAGGCCCTGTCTCAAAGAAAAAGTTCTAATGAGACAGATTAATTATGTTTAGCAAAAAATTAAGTTACCAATTACTCATAGGTCAGCACAAATTAGTTTTTCAAAGGACTGGGCTCCAGGACTAGTAAGTTTTGATTGTAGGCTACAGAGGGGAAGCTTGTAAGAGGGAACACTGCATCAGTAGGCCCTGGGCGTAGGGCAGGGCTGAGAGGTAGAGGAGGGGAGTGCTAGAACTGAGAGGTGCTAAGAGATAGTAGATGGTAATGAAAATCACTTTCGAACTACTTGATTTCTGTGATCATCAGGATCCCTTCAAGCTGTCCCATGAGCTTTGGGTGGGGCCAGGCAGAGGGAGAGAGGCACCTTTCTTTCATGTGTATTTTATGTTGGGGTTCTGTTGTGAGGCAACATTTGAAAAAATCACTATCCTGCCGAAGCAAGATTAAAAGCTCATCTTTTTTACTCTGTTACCTGATGCTGTGGTAATGAGTGGTGAAAAGTAAAACAGATGCTTGTTCCCTAGAGCACAAGAGGAAGGTGACTCAGCAGAAGGGGTTCCTGGGGTTTGGGCCTAACTCTACTACTGTCTTCTGACTCTACTGTGAATTTGCTGTGTGACCTTTGGCTGACCACTCAACCTCTCTGGGCCTGTTTTCTCATCTAACAGAAGGGATACCTCCTTCTGGAGACATGATTTCAAAAAGTCCTCATATTTAAAGGCTGATGTGCTGTGAAGAGGTGATGTAGCTTTTAACCCCCAAAACATTAAATATTGGATTCTTATGTGTTTGCATCTTAAGCTGCTAGACCTCATTCATGCCAGACCTCATTCATGCCCTTTGAGGAAGATGCATGCACTGGGCCTGAAGTGGAAGTTGTGGGCATTTTTGAGAGTAAAATGGGTGGATTTGATTCCTCCTGCTACATTTCCCTTCACACTTAGGACTCACTATGACACATGGGCCAAATCCAGTTTGCTGCCTATTTATAAATAAAGTTTTATTGGAACACAGTCGTGCCCATGAGGTTACATACTGACTATGGCTGCTTTTTTGCTACTAATGATGTCTCACACAGAACCCCAACATAAAATACACATAAAAAGTTTGCTGGCCTCTACTTAAGGCCACTTGGTGCTCAGTAGGCTTGGCGCAAATGACTGTGTGGATTTAATTTTTCATACAAAAAGGACACATGAGCAGCCTCTTTAAGGAAGACTTCTTATACCCCCTGATTTATGATACTTTGGAAGAAGAGATTCTCTTTAGAGATTGAGAGAATCTTCTAGCTTTTTCATTTATGGGTATAAAACATTTTTCATTTACTGGTGATTTCTTTCTTTTGAAAAATGGCTAAACAGTGCTCTATTATGTGAGATTAGTCTAAGTGAAAAAATGCACTATAATTTTCAAATATATTAAAATGCACCCTGTCTTGGACTAGTGCCACTCTGCTATTTTCCTTTCATATTCTGGGGTTTTAAATTCACAGGAAATGTTTTAATGGCTTTATCTGAAGCCTATCATGTTGACAAAGAGGCAGGCAGATGACTGACAAGGTAAAGGTCTCAGAAACTGGGAATGGCTGCAGAATTCATGATCCAAAAGGCAGCTTCGTGACTGGCTTGGTGAGGAGTCATTCATATGTCTATAATAACGAGGAAAGACTGGGGTAATTATAAACAAATATGTTAACCAGTTTTTCCAGACAATCCCAGGACTGCTTCAGTTTAAGTGATTATTTTGCCTGAGGCTTTTGGCATCAGCGTTTGTAAGAGTAAACCCCAACACTTGAGTCAGGGAGGCAGAATCTGTAGGCTCAGTTAAAGATTATGGGGGTGTAAAAATGGACAGTGAATGGGATACTAGAATTGTAATGGAAAATGTTTGCCAGGTGCAGTGGCTCATGCCTGTAATCCCAGCATTTTGGGAGGCCAAGGTGGTAGGATCACGAGGTCAGGAGTTCGAGACCAGCCTGACCAACATGGCGAAACCTCGTCTCTACTAAAAATACAAAAATTAGCCAGGCGTGGTGGCACACGCCTATAATCCCAGCTACTTGGGAGGCTGAGGCAGGAGAATTGCTTGAACCTGGGAGGCAGAGGTTGCAGTGAGCCGAGATCGTGCCACTGCACTCCAGCCAGGATGACAGAGTGAGACTCCATCTCAAAAAAAAAAAAAAAAAAGGGAAAATGTTTTACAAGGCTTGAACTTAAGTAATAATTCTCAGCTGTTAAAGGAACCCTATTGCCATTGACAAGCACAACATACTGCCCCTTTTATTAAAGTGTCAGTGTGACCAGGTTTGTTTGTGGGGACACAGTGTGCTCTAGATGTGCTTGGGGTGATTAGGGAAGTGGTTTAGTTTGTGGCTGTAAGTCTTAAAAAAAGAATATAGGTAATTTGAGAAGAACTGGGGTAGGTCATGAAAAATATGGAAAAATTAGAAAGTAGAAATCAAGCTATGGAAGTGGGGCGGGATGAGCAAAACCCATTGTCAAATCAGATCCACGCGGATCATGAATTTTACCCATCATTAAGCTTTACTAATAATTCCGAAGAGGCAGGCTATTGAGAGGCTCAGATAAAGCAGAGAGAGGTCTGGGGCATTGAGGATGTCTCCCTGGGACCCCCTCTCCCTCCCTAGACCTGTCCCTCTGATTCACAATACTAAATGGGTCTAAGTAAGGTGTACAGTGCAAAGCTTTTAAGTTTTAAAAGAACTCCATTTGATACCCCTCATTATTTTGTTGGCTACATGACATTTTCCAGGGAGCCACGCCTCAAAGATTTTGGGTATTGCAATTCTAAGAAATCCTCTGGCCAGAGACATCCTTCTAAGGGCATTCAGTAGACAAGGTTTTTCCTCCTAGCAAAGATCATTCCTCTCATTACCTGGAGGTGCAATTGATGAGAAATTAGATTGGTTCACCTGCCTTCATTCCTTTTTTCCTGGGATCATTCATCTCTTCTCACCACCAAGTCCCCTACTCCCTTTAGGTCAATGAATGGATCACAGCCCTGCTGCTTAAACTTCTTCCTCCTAGGGAGTAAAGGTAAAAAAGGACTGTAATTGTTCAGTGTCAAGCAGAGATAAACAACTTGACAGCTTGCAAACAAAGGAAGAGCAAATGTAAGGTAGGGTTCATGGTGATAGGTATCCTGGAGGAATAATTAGGAAAGGGTTGACCACTACAACAAGAAGCTTTTGGGCTAAAGAATGAGAAACTGTCAGATTTCTAGGATTGTTGGTTTTTCTAAAAAAGCACATTTTAACTTTCTAATTTCTTCTCTTCCTTCCTCCCTCTGTATCCCCTGCCTATCTCTGCTGAATGTTCTCCCCTATCCCACAAGATGACCTCAACTCTGCTGGGGCTCCTGTCCTTGTCGTCACCTTGTTCTTGCTGTCGCCATGCTCCCTGTCTGCCTTCTCCCCTTTGAGGCTGGCGAGATCCTGGAATACAGAGTCAATGCCCCACAGAAGCAACAGTGTTTTCAGCTGAATACTGGGACATGCACAGGAACCTGCAAATGTATCAATAGGATTTTCAATTTAACAAAATTCTTTGAAATCAGATGAGTTATGGCCTGTGAGTTGCCATCTGAAACATAGCAAATACCTTTTAAAATAAATTTAAGTTATAGTCATACTCAGACCTAGACTTTTCCATTTTTGAGCTAATTAGATGCTAGATTAGGTTTACAAAGGAAGCTTTAAAAATAATCATTCTTAGGGATTTTAAAGTTTCTGTTCTGATTATAAAAGAAGTATGTGAGCATTGTGGAAAATTTGAAAAGTACAGGAGAAAAAAAGTCACTCACATGTAATCCTAGCCAAGATAAATACTATCGTACTATTTTATTGCATTTTGCTTCTGGTATTTTAAAAAGAGATATCTGTCTGTCTATCTATCTATCTATCTATCTATCTATCTATCTATCTATCTGTCTGTCTGTCTAGATTCTTAGAACTGGAATTCTTGGGTTAAAGATTTTGCCCATTTTTATATGCTTTGATACATCCTGACAAATAGTTTTCACAGAAAGTGACAGAAATTTTATAACTCAATCATAATACAAAATAGCCCCTTTCACTAGACCCTCTCCAGCACTGGACAATTTCATTTTATTTTTGATAGATAATTTGGCTAGACAACAATAGCAACACAGTGTTCATTGTTTGAGAATTTCTTTGGTTATTATAGGGTGGATATTATGCCTTAATTGATTTTTTTGTGAATTATCTCAATGTCTTTTGCTCATTAGTGTGATTTTCTGTTCTTTTCTTTCTTTCTTTCTTTTTTTTGAGACAGAGTCTTACTGTCATCCAGGCTAGCGTGCGGTGGTGTAATCTTGGCTCACTGCAACCTCCACTTCCTGGGTTCAAGCGATTCTGGTGCCTCGGCCTCCTGAGTAGCTGGGACTACAGATGTGTGCCTCCATGCCAAGCTAATTTTTGTATTTTTAGTAGAGACAGGGTTTCACCATGTTGGCCAGGCTGGTCTTGAACTCTTGACCTCTAGTGATCCACCTGCCTCTGCCTCCCAAAGTGCTGAGATTACAGGTGTGGGCCACCACACCTGGCCTGACTTTCTTTCTATATTAACCCCTTGGTATATTTGTATCAAATGCTTTTTCTGGTATATTGCTTGCCATTTTATTGTGGTTTTTTCCCCTAACTGTATAAAGGCTTCAAAATTTTACTAGTGAAGTTTATTTTTTCTGTTGTCTTGGAAGTCTTTTAAAAGTAATGAGACGTGTCTAAGTGTAGCTATCAGTTAAGTGAGATTATGGGTGTGAAAACATTTTTGTAAACTGAAAGGCACTATTATTTCCTTCCCGTCACATATAAAAGTTTCAAATTTGTATTTAGTCAAATGTATTTATCTTTTTTCTTGTCTTAGAGGTCTTTTCAAAGCAATGATGTTTGTCTAGGTGTAGTTATCAGTTAATGAATTATGGGTATGAAAGCATTTTTGTAAACTGAAAGACACGCTTCAAATAAAGGACTAAAAGGGGGATGAATCTTCACCTCCACTACCACCTGGAGGATCTACACAAGAGTGTTTTCTGGTGGTATTAGGCTAAAAAGACATTCCTTTGCAAGTTTTGCCATACTTTAAAATTAAACAATTGAGTATAATGTTGTGTGGATCAGCACTGCCCAATAAAAATACAATGCAAGTCATATAAGTCATTTTAAATTTTCTAGTAGCCACATTAAAAAAGTAAAAATAAATAGGTGAAATTAAATTTAATAGTCTTATTTAATCAGTTATATAACAAAATTATCATTTCAACACGTAATCAATATAAAAACTCTGTTTTTTTGTTTTTTTTTTTTTTTTTTTTGAGATGGGTTCTCACTCTATCACTCAGGCTGGAGTACAGTGGCATGATCACGATCTCGGCCTACTGCAATCTCCGCCTCCCAGGCTCAAGCCATCCTCACACCTCAGCCTCCTGAGTAGCTGGGACTACAGTATTTTTGGTAGAGGCGGGGTTTTCACCATGTTGCCCAGGCTGGTCTGAACTCCTGAGATCAAGTGATCCATCCGCCTCGGCCTTCCACAGTGCTGGGATTACAGGTGCAAGCCACGTCACCTGGCCAATATAAAAACTCTTAATGACAAATTGTACATTCTTTTTCTTTTTCTTTTGAGACAGGGTCTCGCTCTGTCACCCAGACTGGAGTGCAGTGGCGTGATCACAGCTCACTGCAGCCTTGACCTCCCAGCCTCAAGCAATCCTCCTACCTCAGCCACCTGAGAAGCTGGGGCTACAGGTGTGCACAACTATGCCTTTTGTATATTTTGTAGGGACAAAGTTTTGCCACATTTCCCAGGCTGGTCTCAAACTCCTGGGCTCAAGCAATCCATCTGCTTTGGCCTCCCAAATTGCTGGGATTACAAGCGTGAGCCACCATGCTTGGCCCTTTTTTCTTAAGTCTTCAAAAATCTGATGTGTATTTTACCCTTACCGCCCATCTCAGTTTGGATCAGCTACGTTGAGGTGCTCAGTAGCCACGTGTGGCTATTGGCTGCTGTATTGGACAACACAGGTCTGGATGTGGAGGGATAGCAAGATCTTTGAGATGTTTTCTCTACTCTGGATTCAGAGTTCAGTCTAAATTTGGGTCACGACTTTGAAGAAGTGGCCTTTCTCAATGGTACATGCTTAAACTAATTGAACGAATTGGCTATTTCTGCCTTGTTAGAAATGTAAGTCTTCTTTTTCTATCCACGGGCAGGAATTTAGTCATATTATCCTTTGTCTTTGCTGTGACTAATTATCTTTCTTCCTTGCAGAGCCCCAGAACTCGGAGGTGGTTCCAACTAGTTGATTAGGAATAACAATATCACATGGAAAATGGCAAGCCCCACCCCTCCCCTGACAGCATTAGCAAAATCTCATCCTGAGTTTTGCTCTTTTAACCCTAAACTGTACGTGAGGTGGGAGCCCCCAAATTAAACAAAACTAGCTCGAATCTTATTGCTTAGTGGCACCTTCCTGTGGCTTTGCAGACTTACTTGGGCAGCAGGAGCTGTGAGCTCTCCCTTGGCTTAATCTGGTTAAAACCAGGATAAAGAATTAGGTCAGGGGCCTCTGGCTGCAAAGCAGTCTGTTTCCAGAACTCAAGTGGAGCCGTGGAATAAAAATAAATAGAATTGGAAAAGCATTACTCAGCCTTCGCATTTGACCTGTTCTAGGTCAAAACTCTAGCTCGGATTCAGAGTCAAAACAGTTGAGCATTGCAAAGAGTGGTGGGACTGCATTAGTAACCAGGCTATGGATGTGCCTGTCTAAGGTGCTCTAAGCAGTAACTCCAAGGTGTGATTTGGGGTTTGAGGCTCCGCATGGTATATAGAGATGAACTGACCCCAAATTTCACTTTATTAATCTTTTAAGTATCAGAGCATCTGGGGTGGGAACTTAGGGCCTGGTGATGGGAGCAGCAGGTGGTCCTAGGCCTAGGGGGATCGTGAACTTGACTAAGACCCAGTTTTTCCTGGGATTCAGTGAAAGGGCAAGTAGATAGCTCTGGGTCAAAAAGGAGGAGAGGCTGGGTGTGGTGGCTTATGCCTGTAATCCCCGCACTTTGGGAGGCTGAGGCAGGCAGATCATTTGAGGTCAGGAGTTCAAGACCAGCCTGGCCAACGTGATGAAACCCCATCTCTATTATAAAATACAAAAATTAGACGGGCATGGTGGTGGGCACCTGTAATCTCAGCTACTAGGGAGGCTGAGGCAGGCGAATCGCTTGAACCCGGGAGACGGAGGTTGCGGTGAGCCAACATTGCGCCACTGCACTCCAGCCTGGGCGACAGAGCAAGACACTGTCTCAAAAAAAACAAAAAAGGCGGGGGGCCTGCATGTGAATCTGATACCTAGAAGCTAGTTCTCATCTCACTGAATGGGTAGGTCTAATGAGGCATGGAGAGAGATACCTACATCCGAGTTTGACCTGCCCAGCCAAAAAGGCTCATTTTCATCAGCTCTGTTTACCAACAGACAAACCTTTCTTAAAGGGAGTGCTCCAGAGTGGTGAGACATCCAAGCTAAAGCATAAAGCCAACCATTGTTGGGAGTTATTGACGGCCCCTCTAAGTCTTGAAGGTGCCAGACCGCTGGGCACAGGCCTCTCCTGGCCTCCACCCCCTGCCAACCGCTACTCCAAGGTTAGTCCAGTCTTTTGCCTATCCTCTCAGTCACTATGTTTCTTTGCTGTGTCATTTGATCCTTTTCCATTTGGGCTGAGGTTAGGGCAGACAGTTAATGAGTGCACCAGCTGTCTAGGAACAGTGAAATACAGTCTTCTCTTTTTCGCTTGCATACCATGCCTGGTAGATGCAGAGAGTCAGCTTTTGTAGTGCCGGAAGAGGGTGCCCTCCTTGACACCGTCCAGGCCCAGGTGCTTTTTTAATTTTATTTTATTATTATTTTTTATTTTTTTGTGATGGAGTCTCGCCCTGTCGCCCAGGCTGGAGTGCAGTGGCCCGATCTCAACTCACTGCAAGCTCTGCCTTCCAGGTTCACGCCATTCTCCTGCCTCAGCCTCCCAAGTAGGTGGGACTACAGGTGCCCGCCACCATGCCTGGCTAATTTTTGTATTTTTAGTAGAGACGGGGTTTCACCATGTTAGCCAGAATGGTCTCGATCTCCTGACCTTGTGATCCGCCCGCCTCAGCCTCCCAAAGTGCTGGGATTACAGGCATGAGCCACCGTGCCCAGCCCAAATATCTTAATTATATAAACCTGCCTTGTTCAGAATTCACATGGATTATAGCCCAAGTGGCTTTTTCCAGTAAAATTTAGTGCAGCTTTCTATATTCACAATAGGCACTCGAGCACAGCCAGAACTTGGCTTTTACATGCATCATCATGTGCAGTGCAGTTCAGCAGCCCCACTGGAGGACCTGCTGTGTACAAAGCACTGGTTAGGACCTGGGCGAATCCCGGTTCTTGTGGTCAGGTAGCCTATACTCTGGTGATAAAGGAGACATTATAGATACCTATTGTATAAGAGTATCTTGGCTGGGCACGGTGGCTTACGCCTGTAATCCCAGCACTTTGGGAGGCCAAGGCGGGCGGATCGTGAGGTCAGGAGTTCGAGATCATCCTGGCTAACATGGTGAAACCACATCTCTACTAAAAATACAAAAAATTAGCTGGGCATGGTGGCATGCACCTGTAGTCCCAACTACTCGGGAGGCTGAGGCAGGAGAACAGCATGAACCCAGGAAGCAGAGCTTGCAGTGAGCCGAGATCACGCCACTGCACTCCAGCCTGTGCGACAGAGCGAGACTCCGTCTCAAAAAAAAAAAAGGAGTATCTATACAGTCAGTAACTCTACAACAATTTTCGTAAAGGAACTGAGGAAGTTCAAAGGAAGCAGCAGTTTACTTTCAATTGGTAAGAACAGCAGACTTCTCAGAGGTGGTGGCATTTGAGCTGAGCCTTGAAGGGTGAGTAGGATTTAGATCACAGAGGAAGGAGGCCATGAATGAACATGGTCGAGGCATGCAGGTTCATTCAAGGTGTGCCGGAGGATAGAGTGGTGTTCCCAAGTGTCAGAGGCAGACTCTGTGTGGAGGGCTGTCATTGGGAACAAGACCAGAAAGGTCAGATCATGGGTAACCTTCTTGGGATTGAAACTGTATTCAGTAAGCGGTATGGAACAACTGAAGTTTTCAGGGAGGGAAGTGACCCAATCTCATCTTTGGAAGACAGCAGGTTGGGAGAAGATTGGAGAATTTAGCTTGTGGAAGCAGAGGAACAAGTTTCTGCAGGCATTCAGGCCAATTAAGGCAGAAAAGAGTAAGAATCTTGTGCAGAGGGAAAATCAACAAGCTGAGGTGGCTGGCTTAGATTTGGAAGATGGGATTAAGGGAGTGAGCAGCAGTTGACAAAGTTGGGAACATAAGGTGGAAGGGTGACTTAGGATGATGGAGTCTGATTGGGCTCATCCACATGTCAGCAGCCCGTCCACTTGGACACATCCAGCAGAAAGGTGGAAACTGAGACCTGGAGCCAAGGCTTGAGGTGACGACTAAAGTAAGAGACTTAGGAGTCACTAGAGAGAAGTAATGACAAGAGAAATTGAGGCATTAGGGGAAATTATCTAGGGAGATAGAGGTGAGAAAAAGACCTAAGACAGAGACTTAGGAAAGGACTGCAAAGGAAGAGATGAAGGAAGAGGAACCAGCAGAGGGAAGAGAGCTGAGAGTGAGGGGGATCAGCTGGAGGATGTGCTTTAGAGGCAGCAGATCCTGAATCCCAGAGCTCCTCTTGACTTAGACTCTAGGCAGGATATTGTTGCTTTCCTCCCCAGAATAGGGATACTAATACCCACCTCACAGGGTGGTGGGGGACTTACTACCCATGGCACTCAGTGGGCACTTAATAAATGCTCATCTCCTTTTCCCTTTCCCATAGAAACCTAGAAAGCATGTTAAGAAGGGTATGGCCATCAGGATTAAATGCTTTAGAGGCGGTGAGGATCTTTGGAAAGGACTATAAGACTCCCCTAAATCAGGTCACTAGTGGGATGGGGAGGAAGTATTAATACCTTAGCCCTTTCCCTAGAGAGCAGGCCTGAAGAAGGCAGATTGCTGGGGGCTGGTGATCAGGGGATAGGAGGAAGTGAGAAGAGCAATGGAGGCTCCCAGTCTAAGCCATTTGTCAGTGAAGGGAGGGATGCAGAATGAACTGGAGCTTGAGGAGGTCAAGGAGTTCATTAAGGGCAGAGCGCTGTGGCTGCTTGCATCAGTGCAGCCAGCTGCCCTATGAAGAGACGTGAGCTCGTTTCTTGCAGAATCCTTTTTCTCTTGGGTTTGGCAAATACAGTCATACATTTGGATGTTTGTTAAAATGTGCAGCTAATTAACTCTGGGAGGAAGAGGCCCATCATGTGAGTGAGTGAAACTGGTTTGCTGCACGAACTCTGAAGAGGACTTGGCTGGGTTCTGAATCAGGAGTTCTTTTATTTTATTTATTTATTTATTTATTTATTTATTTTTATTTTATTATTATTATACTTTAAGTTTTAGGGTACATGTGCACAACGTGCAGGTTTGTTACATATGTATACATGTGCCATGTTGGTGTGCTGCACCCATTAACTTGTCATTTAGCATTAGGTATATCTCCTAATGCTATCCCTCCCCCCTCCCTCCACCCCACAACAGTCCCCGGTGTGTGATGTCCCCCTTCCTGTGTCCATGTGTTCTCATTGTTCATTTCCCACCTACGAGTGAGAACGTGCGGTGTTTGGTTTTTTGTCCTTGCGATAGTTTGCTGAGAATGATGGTTTCCAGCTTCAGCCATGTCCCTACAAAGGACATGAGCTCATCATTTTTTATGGCTGCGTAGTATTCCATGGTGTATATATGCCACATTTTCTTAATCCAGTCTATCATTGTTGGACATTTGGGTTGGTTCCAAGTCTTTGCTATTGTGAATAGTTTTAAAGCTGTAATCTCACAAGCATGGGGGAAGAAGGGGGCACGCTGTCCAGGGAAGTTTCCAAGGAGAGGCTTCCTTTTGAGATGAGAGCTGGGGGAAGGAAGTGGGAAGAGCCAAGGAGGTACCTTAGGTAAGTCTTCCTGGGGATTTCTCAGTCCGGAAGCCTGAAACCTCCTTTCAGAAAAGTATCAGGGAGTCTCACAGCCCTCCCTGCTGCAGACAAGCACAGCTCAGCCCCAAATATTTACCTTCTCTCCTCAGTCCTTAGAATCTCAGACCTCTGTGGCTCCTGCCCGCCTCCTCTCTTTCTTCCTCTTGAGGGGAATGGTTTACCTTCGTCAAACTCCTTGAGAGATGAAGTGGGGACAAAGTGGAGAGGAGAGTGTGGGGGAGGGAGGGATGGGAAAAGTAGGAGGGGCTGGAGGGTCCTGCCACTGGCTCTGAGGAGGAAGAGGAGCACTGAAGTACCCAGAGGAAGCACCAAGGTGGTGTGTCCTGTGAATCCACCCTTCGGAAAAAGAACATCTTTGGGTTTGGCAGCATCCTGTGCTGGATGTGGGGAATCCTCTGCTTCTAGAAAAGTTCTGTTTTCTCCCCAGATTTCAATTGTGTTTTCCTAGTTCCTCCTCAGGCATAGCTGCTGTGGCTTCAGGTTGGTCTTTTCTTGAATGGGTTGCTTTTTCTCTATTTTTTCTACTTTTTTTCCTTCCTTCCTCCCTTGCCCACCCTCTCCCGTCCTGTTCTAACAGGCAGTGTGGATGGTGGCTCAATGTGTCAGCCGCACAACCAGACTGTCTGGGTTTCAAATCCCAGCTTTTCACTTACCTGCTGTGTGTGCTTGGGGAAGTTACTTCAGTCTCAGTTTCCTCATCTTAAGATGGATTATAAGGGTATCCGTCTCATAGGGTAACACAGCCCTCCCCAACTGGAACACTGAAGTATAATTTCTATACTTTATACAGAAACACACTGTATGATTTTTAGACCATGTATGGTGGCTCATCCCTGTAATCCCAACACTTTGGGAGGCCAAGGCGGGAGGATCACTTGATCCCAGGAGTTTGAGACTAGCCTGGGTAACATAGTGAGACCTCATCTCTACAAAAAATAAACAAAATTAGCTGGATGTGGTGATGCACACCTGTAGTCCTAACAACTCGGGAGGCTGAAGCAGGAGGATTGCTTGAGTTTGGGAGGTCGAGGCTGCAGTGAGCCATGATCATGCCACTGCACTCCAGCCTGGGCAACAGAGTGAGATACTATCTCAAAAACAACAACAAACAACACCAAAAGAAATGTACTATAAAATTTTTAATTTCTAGAAATTTAATTTCTACAGGCTCTTTTGATATATATATTATTTTCTGTATCACCTACCTGACAAAACCCAAAAAGGATTTAAAGGCATCTGCAAAAAAGGGCAGATAGATCATTGATAGATTAGATAGGTAGGTAGGAAGGTAGGTAGGTAGATAGATAGATAGATGTAATATTTACAGAGTATTTACTATTTTCTAGGTACCACTCTTATCTCTTTACATATATTAACTCAGTTAATCCTCAGGAATGCCACATTTTGGGTAGATTTGGAACATTTGGTTTTCCAAGGCCTCAGCCTTTCTTTCACATGAACTGCTGTGTAGGCTGATCCCTGGATCTGCTGCTTTGGCTGTGTTGATTTTTTTCGACCTAAAAGTAGGATGTATTTTTATTTATTCCTAATAAATTTTGGCCTTTATATTGTACCTCACAGGCTTTATTTGTTATACGTTTGACATTATGATTCCATGTACTAGTAATCCTTTCTACTTTTGTGATCTTTGACTTCATCGAGTCACTGATAAAAATCAGCTCCAAAATTGAGCCCCACGGTGCATTACTGGAGACCTTTCTCCAGACTGACATCAACAGTTCTGTGTACTCTTCAGTAGCGGCAGAACTATCCTAGTCTGTATTATCTATTTCACATTTCTCTGTGAAAGACAAACGTGAGAGGATTTCTTAGATGCTGGTGATAATCCAGATTCCCACCGTGTATTATATGTCTTTCTCCACCTTATCTGATATTTCCTACTACCTACAAAATGACAGAAAACTAAACTGGAGAAGCAGTCAATACATTTTTTTCTATCTTTTAGATAATCCCTCTTCATTTTAAGTAGAAGCAGCATAAGATGATGTCAATTGGTGCGAACTGAAAGGAAAGAGACAACAGTCATCGTATTCAAAGAATTCATTTTGCCAAGAAGCTGCCACTTCCAAGGAAAAGTATTTAACTACTCTAATTTTTAGTCTGTGATTTAGATGTATTTAATTTTTGTAATGCAGTGTTGTCATTGTCCTAGCAGCATGGCATATTCTTTTAGTTTGCTGTTTGAGTTGAAATGAAAATTCCCAAAGGGTGGTATATAGTGCATGAATCCACGTGGGAGCTTAATGCTTTTCAACAGTGATATTGGAAAGAATGACTAGGAAGCGAAAAATCTTAAGGAATGTTCAAGTTTTAAGGCACATGCAGGAATATATTGTAATATGGGGGGGCATTTTCTACAAAACAAATATGTTTATTATTCCATTTCTGTCTATACTAAATGGTAAAAAAGTCAAAGAGCCCAAATCTTACATTTTTGACACAGGCTGATTGCTAAAACATATTATTAAGTGAAAAGTGCAAGGTATAATATGCTACTGTTTATAGGGAAAATGCTGATAAAATTGGTAACATTAATTACCTGTGGAGAGAACACTAGTGACTGGGGGACAGAGCCTTTAGTACTTTTTGAATCATATAAATGTATTACCTTAACAAATAATGAATGTGGCCAGGTGAGGTGGCTCACGCCTGTAATCCTAGAACTTGGGGAGGCCAAGGTGGGCGGATCACCTGAGGTCAGGCGTTCGAGACCAGCCTGACCAACATGATGAGACTGCATCTCTACTAAAAATACAAAATTAGCTGGGCATTGTGGTGCGTGCCTGTAATCCCAGCTACTCAGGAGGCTGAGGCAGGAGAATTGCTTGAACCCGGGAGGCGGAGGTTGCAGTGAGCAGAGATCGTGCCATTGCACCCCAGCCTGGGCAACAAGAGTGAAACTCCTTCTCTAAAAAAAAAAAAATAAAATAGTGAATGCATAAGAAAAAAGAAGCATAATTTGAGGAAACAACAATAGTCATTCTTTTCTGTTTCTTCTTTTTTATAGAGTCTGTGGGCTTTGGAATTCGATGCACTTAGATTTGAGTTCTGGCTTAGCTGCTGTTTGCGGTTGGGCATGGGGCAAGTTACATAACTTCACCAGAGTGTCATCTATAACATTTGAGCAATACTCTTCTGGTTGTTTTGTGTGTGTGTGTGTGTGTGTGTGTGTGTGTGTGTGTGTTGTACACAGATCAAATACAATAAGGATCATTTTAGCCTGAGTATGAACATCTTCCTCTGAAGATGGTTTTTCACCATCCAAGAAAGACAAAAGACAAGGTCATCTTAATGGTTGGTCTTCAGATTGTGAAAAGATTTTAGCTCAAAGTTTTTAATCAAAAGTGAACTTTGAACTGGTCATTAGATCCAGCCAAAAGGATTCAACCTGTCTTCATAAGAGAGTTGAATGGTTAAGCCAATCATAGTTAGACACTTCTTGCTTGGATCTTTGGAAGAAATTAGCCAATTAGATGTAAGCCACCTCTTTCCTTTGTTATAGCAACATCTCATGAGAGTCAGAGGCTTTGCTCTGCTGGACAGAATTCAGGGGAGGCACCATAAAGTAAGCCCTGGCTACAGACAAGGGCTGCTGTTATATCTGTGTCATTGCCTAAGACACTTCTGGGACAGAAAGATTGGGATCTGGGCAGAGCCATTAACACTGCATCCACTGTAAGCCCTATCTATTCCCTGCTAGATAAATCTATGCACTGAAAATTTTTCCTGGAGGCAAGGGTGGGAAAATATGAAACTAATATTTTGTGTGGTATCTATATTGTCCTTTATATACTCAATGAGTGGGCTTTACAACATGAGTGTTTCCAATGCAAGGGCCAGAAAAAGAACTCCAGTTGTTTAAACCCAAATGGAATTGGCTAAGACAACAGAGTTCCTGAAGTAGGTCTGACTTCAGATGAGAATTGACCCAGAGTCTCAGGATATCCATAGGCTCTATATCTCTGTGATTCTTTCAACTTTGTTCTCTGTTACTTATTGCTTAATCTGGCTCTTCTCAGGCTAGTCAAAGTGATGAGAGCATTTCCAGATTTTGCACCTTCATATCACATTGTGCAGGAGAAGAGAAAACACCATTCCTGATTGCTCCAGAAGCTTCATGGATTTCACTGCCTCTCTTTTGGCTTGAGTTGGGTAATGTGCCCATCGCTGAACCAATAGGTTATGCTAGTTGGCTTAGGTCATTGGATCACAAACCTGGAACCCCTTCAAGGGATTCTGATGTCATTGGTCTGGGAAGTGGATCCCATGCATGGCTATTTTAAAACACTCCCTGGGTGATTCTAATATACAGCCAAAAATGAGTTTATTGGCATAAGCCAATCAGTGTCCACTCTGAGAGCTAAGACTATAACTGTTCTGCAAGGGAAAGTCTGAGTGTACTTAATAGATTGATGGGAGAAGGGGATAACAGATGTTGGCAAAGAAAACATCATATTACTTGTGGCAAACATATTAGCTGCCCCGGTGTTCATGCCCTTTGTTTCTTCCTTGCCATCAGAATCCAGCTTTTGTTTGGGCAGCAAGGTGCCAACCTTAAGGGATGAATCATGGTTGGTCCAAAGTGCTATTGATAATCTGCTTCCTCACTTTTCCAGCCTCCCTTGCAATGAGATAGGAGAGAGAGAGGGGGAGAGAGAGAAAGAGAGAGCACACGTGTGCACAGAGGAAAAGCTAAGTTACTCTTTATTCATAGAGGGAGTACAAGGAAGTTTAAAGTTAACATATGAGAAATTGGAAGTATAAGCGTATTCTTGGAGTTATGGAAGTAGCTATCAGAAAAAGAAGAGGAAATGTTCAACAATAGCTATCTCTGAGGAATTAGACTGGAAGAAGAGGATTAAATGAAAAATGAAAACCTCTGGTTTTCATTTTGTATCTTTCTGTTCTCTTTGATATTTTATTTCTATGTGATTATATTATTTTTATAATTAAAAATAAATTGATCTCTTTTGAAGTTGTTGCTAAGAGTTTAAGATGGTTTAAAATATATGTAAATTATTGTTAGAACATATTTCTTTAAGTGTATAAGTCCCCTTTTTTATAAGAAATAAAAAGTACTTTTAAACAATCCCATTTATCTACAAACTCAGTAATACAGATGAGAATCAGATGTTGTGTTTTAATTTTAAAATATTTAATTGACAAGTGAAAATTATATATATTCAAGATATACAACATGAAGCTTTGATATACATATACATTGTGTGGTGATTGCCGCAGTCAAATTAATTAACACATCCATTACCGTCTGTGTGTGTGTGTGCGCGTTCACGTGTGCAGTAACGACACTTAAAATCATATTGAATTCCAAGTAAGCAATACAGTATTATTAACTATAGTCACCATATATACACTATGGGGATGTATATCTGTACCCCCATGTTCATTGCAGCATGATTCACAATAGCCAAGATATGGAAACAACTTAAGTGTTTATGGATGAATGAATGGATAAAGATAATTTGGTAAATATATTGCAATGGAATGCTATTCAGTCTTAACAAAGAAGGAAATCCTGCCACTTGTGACGACATGGATGAACCTAGAGGTCATTGTGTTGAGTGCAATAAGCCAAGCGCAGAGAGACAATTACTGCATGATCTCACTTATATGTGGAATCTAAAAAAGTCAAACCCGTAGAAGCAGAGTAGAACAGTCGTTGCCAGGGGATAGAGGGTGGGGGAAATGGGGAAATGCTGGTTAAAGAATCAAATGTTGTTTTAGTTTTATGCATGAGAAAGTGATCTGAGGAGCTTAAATCAGGACTCAAGGTCAAGGTCAGCTCCCGGGGATTGAAAGCTGGAGGAGAATTAGCCATTGATGGTGGCAGGACATTGAGTTCTTTCTGCCTTTCATCTTGTTGCCTCAACCTTCTTATCTAGCAGCCCTAATCTGATTTGGCCAACAACTGACGAGGAAAAAAACCCCAAGAATTCAGCTATAAACATCTTCAGTTATTGATTTCAGTTTTGACTTGTTCTCAGGTATCTTATGAAATTAGCTCAGTATGTTTTCTTTTGCTACACCTTTGCTAATTGACCCATTGTTAAAGTTCAGGGCCACGGCATCACATTGACCACAATATATTATTTCAGAAATTAAGGAAAAACAAATAAAATATTACTTTAGAAAATAAGACTTTAACTTTTGATGTCTGGTAGAATTGCATTGAAGTCACTTGGGAAGAATATGTAATTGACTTTTAACTGTTGTTTTCAAATTATTTGTTTCAAGCTTAAAAGATAAATCATTACAATTTAAAAATTGGAGAGGGACATCGGAAGACTTGCTCTAACGCCAGGGAGTAGCGGAGTTAGTTTCTTTAGTTATGGAGAGATGTAATTGGATAACATTTTTTACATCACTATTTTTCATTTGCTGCATTTCGATCTGTATTAGCTTGTTCTCACACTGCTATAAAGAACCACCTGAGGCTGGGTAATTTATGAAGAAAAGAGGTTTAATTGACTCACAGTTCCACAGGCTGTACAGGAAGCATGGCTGGGAGGCCTCAGGAAACTTACACTCATGGCAAAAGGGCGAAGGGGAAGAAAGCACCTTCTTCACACGGTGGCAGGAGAGAGAGAGAGAGAAAGAGACAGAGAGAGAGAGAGAGAAGGGGGAAGCGCTACATGCTTTCAAACAACCAGATCTTGTGAAAACTCTATCACGAGACAGCACCAGGTGGATGGTGCTAAACCATTAGAAACCACCTCTATGATCCAGTCACCTCCCACCAGGCCCCTCCTTCAACACATGGGGATTACAATTCGACATGAGATTTGGGTGGGGACACAGAGCCAAACCATATCAAGATCCAATTCTTTGGAGTCACATGTTTAAGAGGAATCCAGATTCTCCTCTTACCAATTATGTAATCAAGTGTCTATTCTTAGTTAAAACCCTGTCAATGCTTCTACTGGTTTTAGAGCTTTAAATTTTGCATAAAATTTCCAGATACTTTCATGTATAATTATTCATGACTATTCTGTCAAAAGAAGACAGTAATAATATGGAAGTATGACATCCATAGTTTCATTGAACTAATTTTAACAACCACCTGTCATGTGCAAGCTGTCCCCAAACCATGGTAGGGGAAGGTGGGATCCAAAGATGCATCAACTATGGATCCATCCTTAGCAGATCTTTAATCTCATATTGATTATTAGTTATGTGTTGCTTCCCCATTAAATGTTTTATCAGAGTAACAGACACTGAAACTGAATGAATTCGTATAACATTCATTGTAGATATTTAGGAATAGCAAAATGACTAATCGATGGACAGCAGGAAGGGAAGGATGTTTTAAAAGTCCAAAGCCTGGATGATCCAATGATGAATGAGTCTCTGAAAAACAGAGATTTGGCTGCATTTAGAACAAGGCCTAAGACATCAGCCTAAGGAGCTAAAAAAAATTGTCAGAGACCTTTAATTGCAAGTTGGAGAAGCCACCTAGTGGTTTGTTTCATAAGTTAAAGTTGTGTGAACATACGAGGCAACTCATCCTTGGATTGATTGAGTGGGTCTCTAATCAAGTGTGACTAACAATCTGGTCACTTTTCATGAAGTCCAGAAAGCAGGGTCATTTTCACTGAGAATAAGCACAGTGTAGCTCTGCCTAATATTTTGTTTATTTTATTGTCATCTTTTTATCTAAAAGGAGTTAAGGCAACTTACATAAAAGTATAGTGAGATAAGATAAACTAGAATAAGACAGGAAAGAAAGAGGAAAATATGAATAAAGTCATAACAAGTAGCCAGAAATTGAAGTAATTCAAAAATGCTTGTGAAATCCTGTATGTATATATTTTTTCATGAAAGGACTTGAAATTTTCAGGCACAAGTGGAAATGGATCAGTTATAAAATTTACAACATCCAGAAAGATGAAATAATTTTTAGGAAAGATAAAACCATCTAGTACTTAGAGCAGAGCAATTTTTCTTCTGGAGGTCCTCACAAATTGCATACTGCATAATGTAATGTATCATGGCCTCCATGCTCATAGTAGAAATAATTCTGAGTCCTGGAGGATTTTTTTTTTTTTTTTGAGACAGAGTCTTGCTCTGTTGCCCAGGCTGGAGTGCACAGGCGTGATCTCGGCTCACTGCAACCTCTGCCTCCCGGGTTCAAGCAATTCTCCTGCCTCAGCCTCCTGAGTAGCTGGGACCACAGGCACACACCACCACACCCGGCAAATTTTTTGTATTTTTAGTAGAGACGGGGTTTCACCGTAGTGACTAGGCTGGTCTCAAACTCCTGACCTCAAGTGATCCACCCGCCTCAGCCTCCCAAAGTGCTGGGATTATAGGCATGAGCCAGCATGCCTGGCCCTCTTTTTTTTTTTTTTAAGACAAAGTCTCACTCTCACCCAGGCCGAAGTGCAGTGGTGCGATCTCTGCGCACTGCAACCTCTGCCTCCTGAGTTGAAGTGATTCTCCTGCCTCAGCCTCCTGAGTAGCTGGGATTACAGGTGTGTGCCACCACCTCCAGCTAATTTTTGTATTATTATTATTATTATTAGTAGTAGTAGTAGTAGTAGTAGTAGTAGTAGTAGTAGTAGTAGTAGTAGTAGAGACAGGGTTTTGCCATGCTGGCCAGGCTGGTATCGAACTCCTGACCTCAAGTGATCTGCTCACCTCTGTGTTCCAAAATGCTGGGATTAGAGGTGTGAGCCAGCGTCCTTGACCTAGGATTGTTTCTTAATTGTGCTACACTGATTTGGAGGAGCATGTGGACCAACCTCCATTTTAAGGACTTGTATTAACTCATTTGATCCTCACAATAAGCCAATGAGGTAGGTAGGTAGTTTTATTATCCCCATATTGCAGATGAGGCAATTGAGGAACAGTGAGGTTAAGAACTTCCCTGAAGTCAGGCTGTTAGTAAATAACAGAGCTGGGATTCAAACCCAGACACTCAGGCTCAGCACCCACAGTATTTTCCAATATGCTATACTGAGTGGCCAAGTAAGTATAATAAGGCCCTTCCAATGAAGACAGCAGTACTTGAGTTTTTTCCCTTACAACTTATATAGTCTGTGAGGGATTAGATAGGTATGCCTTAACATGATGCTAAAGATGTGGCTAGGGTTGCATATTTCTTATATGACTTAGTTAACTTTGCCCTCTTCCAAGGTCACAGATTTTGTCCCTGACCCCAATCACCATGCACATGTGCACATGCACGTTCAACATGCCTTTGGTAAAATAAAAGAGGACCAGGAGAAATTGTTCAAACTTGCCACTTCCTGACTTCTAGAAAATAGCTGAAAGCCCATGCCCTGCTGATGGCATATCCTCAGATTCAAGATCTAAAATGCCGTCGTAACAAAACACAGTTTGTTTTGCTAGCTTTTCTTTTTCCAAGTGGTATCTATAAACATTTGCGAATGGCAGCTAAATTGGTTTTTCTTAAACAGTCATGAGTTGATTGCCAATCAACAAGGCAAGCCTTGTACAGAACTTAGTAGAGAAATAATGGCATCATTGAAACATTTTCAGTTAGAGGAGTCAAAATATCATATAACTTGAGTCCTAAATTGAGCATTTAGAATGATGTTCTTTTGGGCTGTGCATTAGGATAGCTGTGTGGTTAATGTCTTTGCTAAGAAACAGTAAAAGGTATACTCTATAAAATGACTGCTCTATAGTGACAAGCCTCCTTAAAGACAAATTTCTATGACATTTTAAAGGCACACTTATCTCAATAAAGACCCCAATGCTCCTAAAAGATTCAAGTTCTGTATTGGAACAACATGATGGCCTCCTTTACATAGGACTGATAAAGAACTTTAATCAGTTGATAAAGTTGAATTTGTGACAGATTCATCCTATCAAAGGAAAATGAATAAAAAAGAATGTTGCTGAGATATGGTGGTGAAGGAGACATTGCCCAGGAATCAAGAAACTTGGGATTTTCAGGTCTACTTTATTCTGACTACAAAGGGAGACATAGATTTTTTTGTGTGTGTCTGTTTCTTATGAACTTTTGAGCCAGACTTGGCTTCCAATATCTATTCTGATACCTATTAGCTGATGACATTGGATTAGCCAAGGAAGCTCTTTGGGCCTCAGTTACTGTATCTATAAAATGGCTTTAATAATATATAGATTTTATTAGATGCTCACTGTGTGCAGATATTGTACTTTCTGTATGCCATCAATCTTTATAACATTCTTAAATGGAATATTTATCATTGTTAACTCCACTTTACAGGTGAGATCACTAAATTGAGAGAATATGTAATATGAAGAGTTTCAGTAAGATAATTTATGCAAGGTGCCATATCACCTGGTGCAGAGCAGATTCTCCAGCAGTGGTAGCTGATAGTATTCCTATCAACTTTATCTCATCCATCTCCTTCTCTTCTTTTAGGCTTGCTTTGAAGATTAATAAAAGAGAAGAGCCAGGTGTTTAGGCAACATGAAGTTTGGGAATGAGATAGAGGTTTAAGCCAAGGGGTATAAATAAAACTAAACTTTTATTTTCCTGCAGGAGTGGCAGAAGCTCAACTATGATATCCATACCCTGCGGCAGGTTCGAAGGGAAGTAAGAAACAGATGGAAGTGCATCTTAGAAGATTTAGGTAAGTCTAAAAGAGATTGTGAAATGGTAAAAATAACTCGTTGTGATCATTATTCTTCAATTTCTCCACCATGGTTTTTATAAAAGGAATGTCAATAATTGCCTAATTAAGACTACTGTGTACTAATTATTCTCCCAATCTTGCTCTTATATCCTCAAGCATAAATGCCTGATGTTTCTGTTGTCACCAGTCCATGTCTTCAGGACACACTCTGCCATGTGTTACTCCATCTGTCCCTAGTATAGGGTACGCATGCCAGTGCAGTCATGTGGGCACTAACATTTACTTTTTTGGCATTGTACATTAATTTAATTAGATGGGGTGTTGGCCAATTAGTCATAGCTTTGTAAGATGAAGCAGGTTGGGAGAAATATTGTTTGCAAGACAGACAGCAAAACTCAGTGTAGAATTTCGGAAGAAATATGGAAGAAAAGCTTCGAGGTTGGGAAAAACACTTGTGGCATTAGGGTAGATACCTGCCCTCATCACTAATGGTTAATGATAATGATTTTTCTCAATTCTCCCGGGATTGTGATACAATAAATGTGGCCCCCACATTATATAATCCTGCTTCAATGTTTAAAAAGTGAATTTATCAGTTCTGAAGTCCTTGATCCTTTTGCTTTGAAAGAGAGCATGACATCTTGGCATCATCACTTTTCAAGCGTGGGGGGCCATGTGACCGATCTCTATGGCTTTGGTTGGCATGCAATGGGATGGGATGGGATCTCTGCCCTCTTTGCATATCTAGTATTGTTGTGAGCTAATAGCCTTTTTTTTTTTTTAAACAATGAAAGTTACTCCAAGTAGGTTTAAGTCTTTGAATCCTTTATACTTTTGGGTGAGTGATTTTTACCAGCTAATCATATTACCCTGAGGAAGAAAATCCAGGTTTGGAGAAGGACAGCCTGGAGGGAACCACTTTGCAGGCTGGGAGGCAGGTAGGAATTCTGGGGACAGGGGAGAAGCTAAAGAGTAGGGAGGACAGGAAAGAGGGCTTCAAACCAGAAACAAGGTGGCAAGCAACCAGTGGATGAGTATCTGAGGCTCTGAGGGAAAAGTTAACAAAGAGAAAAAAAATACCGAAAGAATTGTAATTAAATATCCTGCCAATCACATGGATCTGGGAGGCAGCACATGGAATAGTACCTTTGGCTTCAGTTTTCTGATGCTTTATGCTTGTACAGAATCCACATGGGTCTGTTCGTAATCTCCTGCAGGGACCGTATTGCGGAACACTTGTTAACTTGGGACTACTTTACATGAGTGGTCCATTTTTCTACCTTAGGTTTTCAAAAGGAAGCTGACTCTTTGTTGTCAGTGACTAAACTCAGCACCATCAGTGATTCTAAAAACACAAGGAAAGCTCGAGAGATGTTGTTAAAACTGGCTGAAGAAACCAATATTTTCCCAACAAGTTGGGAGCTCTCAGAGAGATATCTCTTTGTTGTGGTAAGTGGATGCTTTTTTTCATTTGCCCTAATTTTGCTTTAATTGCTTGGCTTTTTAAAACTATTCACTATCCTCCGTATTCCAACACCACCATCACTATCACATATGAGGTGGCAGATGCTGGCATTATATGCTGTGGTCCCCAGTGGCCCGCAGCATCAGAATCACCTAAAGAGTTTTAAAAGTTCAGATTTCTGTATCACACGTAGACCTACTGAGGCTTGGGTTCCAGCTCAAGAGTTTGTATTTTTCAGTGAATTCTACTGTGTAGTCTATTTTCTGAACCATTTGTAGGTCAAAGAGATGTGAGAAGTATTGTTTATTTAACCTATAAGACTAAGAAATAATCTGAAAGGAGAAAGGACGCTAAGGAGTGGGGAAATGTTTCTTGGATAATGTAACTAAAGGATTAAGGCGTGTCTCTACATTTGTTAGGAAAAAATTAATAAACGTCTTACTTGCTCATTGTCATTTCCAGGGTGGGTTTTGTTGTTGTTAGATTGCTTTTTCCCATCGACATGTCTTGGTTCCTATCTTGCCAGCAGTTTTTTGGTTTGTTGTTTGTTTTTGCAGGACCGTCTCATTGCACTTGATGCTGCAGAAGAGTTCTTTAAGCTTGCTCGTCGAACTTACCCCAAGAAGCCTGGGGTTCCATGCCTGGCAGATGGCCAGAAAGAACTGCACTACCTTCCGTTTCCAAGTCCCTAAAGGAGAGGCTCAGGGGCAGAATGGGAATTCTTCCATGAGGACTCAGCAGTCAACCAAAGTTGGACAATTACATGTAGAAGAGAGTGAGCAAATAGAGTTTGCTTAGTGAAAAATGATACTGAATTCTACATAAATGTAAAGTCTTTAATCTGAGGACCCTGCCCCATGAATTGTGCAGGCTGCATTGAAACGCCTTGGTGATCTCATATTTAGGAAGAAAGTTAAAGAGTTGGTCAGATGGATAGTTCATAATGGGTGGTTCCATTCTGAGAGCCCATTGCCCCAGCTTTGGTTTTAGTTGTGTCATAATCTCTGATCATTAATCCTACTGACTGAGTGGACTATTTCAGTTAATAAAACAATATGATTAATAGAGAGAGCTGTCATTGAGTCCCAAAATGGATTGCCAGTTTTAAAATAATTATTATAAAATGTATGCTAACCCCAAAATAATACTAGGCATGAGGTGACCTCTCTGATTTGGTCACCTTGTAGAACCTTGGAGGGTGTCAGGGCATCTCTTTGAGTATCAGTTATGATTATTCAGAAGTATAGATGTATCAAATGATAGAAATGACAAGGAATGGCTGGGCGTGGTGGCTCATGCCTGTAATCCCAGCACTTTGGGAGGCCAAGGTGGGTGGATCATGAGGTCAGGAGTTCAAGACCAGCCTGACCAACATGGTGAAACCCTGTCTCTACTAAAAATACAAAAATTAGCCAGGTGTGATGGCACGCGCTTGTAATCCCAGCTACCCAGGAGGCTGAGGTAGGAGAATCGCTTGAGCCCGGGCAGTGGAGGTTACAGTGAGCCGAGATTGCACCATTGCACTCCAGCCTGGGCGACAGAGCGAGACTCCGTCTCAAAAAAAAAAAAAAAAAAAAAAAAAAAGAGTTATGTATTCATGTGTTGTACTTGCATTTTAAATTCCCAACATTATTGATATCTGGTTCTCTCATCTTTGTATATTGTCCATTTCTATTCCAAAAGCCTTTCGCTCTTTTTTTTTTTTTTTTTTTTTTTGATGGACTCTCGCTCTGTCGCCCAGGCTGGAGTACAGTGGTGCGATCTCGGCTCACTGCAACCTCCGCCTTCCGGTTTCAAGTGATTCCCCTGCCTCAGCCTCTGGAGTAGCTGGAACTACAGGCGCGTGCCACCACACCTGGCTAATTTTTTGTATTTTTAGTAGAGACGGGGTTTCACCATGTTAGCCACGATGGTCTCGATCTCCTGACCTCGTCATCCGCCTGCCCCAGCCTCCCAAAGTGCTGGGATTACAGGCGTGAGTCACCGCGCCCGGCCAAGCCCTTGGCATTTTATCTGGAATAGCATCTGTAAACTGAAGTGTTTGACCTCTGTTTTCTTCTCTCCTCTTTCATCTGTTTCTGATTCGTTGGCTGGCAGCTGCACCTGTGGGGGGACCTCTCATGCAGACTTGCACATATGCAGGGAGTATTGCACTGAAGATCTTTGCTGGACCTTCTTCTCTTCAGAAGATAATTTTCAAAAGGGAGCAATGCTGTGAATGCAGCTTGCTTCTCTCTACAGATTGAGAAGTCCAGCTTCAAAAGTTACTTGCCACTTAAGCAAGGAACTTGTCAAGAGATCATGGTTCATGTTACTGAAAAGACTTTAAGGATTTGTAAGGTTAATCCATAGATTGCTGAGAAAAATGGAAATATTTTTATTTTTACAGATTTTGCACTTCTGAATTCAGGTTAAAAACTAACTTGTATTTAGTCTGCTTAGAGGACTGTGACTTGAAAATTTTTATATACCAATGAGCTTTTTGGTAGCGTCCACAATGTTTAAAATATTTCATAGGCGAGATCCGTGTTCTCCATTTATTAATGCATTGTAGACCAATTTAACTGCTGTGTTTCAGGAAAATTCTTCCTAGTTTAATAAGCAAGCTAAAAGTTTTATTTTTTATATTTAGTGCTTAATCTTTGCCTCATGTTATGTAAAATTAGCCTGCAGATATTTTCTCTCAATTCTGTAGACTCTCGCAAGATAAACATTCAAACAGTGAAACAAACAATAAAATAAATAAACCTAAGGATGTCGTATTGTTTTACTCTCGGTCTCAGAATTTGTATTTTGCCTTTCTGCCTTTTTTATGTCAAAATAGATGAGATTGTGTGCATCTATAAATTGTTACCACAGTATTTTTGATAATGAATAAGGATAGGACTATCTCTGTGATTATTAAAATACATGGAATTATCCAGGAAATTTTCCTTACAAGGAATTAAAAGACTCCTGTATTTACTTTTCAGCTGGATGTGTGTTATATTTCTGACATAAGAAGGGATAGATATTCTTTCCATAATCCCTTTAAATTAAAGGGCAGAGAGGCTGAAACACTCATGGGTTTAAGGACCTCCCATCATCCTAAAGCCAGTCAAGGATTAGATGTGTGTTAAGTCCAGTGGACATGGCAGTGCATGAGAGGGGCGCAGGGGTGCCTCAGGTGGCCACTGTAGATGTCACAGTGTGCTCGGCAGGACCAGTAGCCACAGAAGTGTGGGAGGCCAGAGAGTTTCCCACTTTTTGTCTCCCTGTCGACTACTTTAGTACTCCTTTTTCATTTTTTTTTATATTCTTACTTTAGTACTTCTTAAAGGCTCATCTGTGTATGCAGGTTGATTTGGGGTGGTAGATGGATGGAAGTTTTTATATTAATATTTATTTTAAAATGCACCAGGAGAAAACCCTCTAACCAGTAGATCAAACACCTGGTTTTACAGTTCATGGATGTGTTGCACAGAATATTATTTATGCTTTCTTAAAGGCAAAGGGACACCCAAGAAGGCACAGAGGACACATGTACTAAAGGGATAAGGAATGCATTGGTGAGAGGGCACCAGCATCCCTGAGAAGCTCAGTGGCAGTTCTGAAGGCCAGATGCTGTTACAGAAGTGAGCTCACTGACAGCAATGGACATGGAAGAACAGAGGCCCAATGGCAGTGAGTCACTATCAGAAGACAAATGGATACAATTATCACAATGAGTGGCCAGGTTGAAGGATTCCTGCAGAGAGCTTTGGAGACAGTTAATGGAACATGCCATCTTTAGGAGCAAAATAAGTCTAAAATGAGTATTGCTCAAACGATACCTTCAAAAGACCTCAAGGATGGGTGATCAGGAGATAGGACACAGCCACCTTAATAAAAGGTTATAATCTTTTGCCAAATTTTCAGACCTTTGTTATTTTCCAAATGCAGAAACTGCTGATTGAAGGAAAGTCTAGGTCTCCAAGAAGGTCTTTGTAAAACCACTGCAAGTGTGTATGGCAATGATGTCCCTATGGTTATTTACTTGGATAACTGTACACTGGGGAAGGGGAGTACATGAATAATCTGAGGGCGCTGAGACACAAGGTCCAAGCTGACAGTGATACTTCAGGACCAGAGTATCACTACAGTCCACCTTTTGGAGTGAGGGGCATATGGGATTCAGGTAATAAATGGAGTTCTTTTCCAGGTATTACTTAACACTAGGTCCACTGAATTCATGGCTCTACCCAATGGTAGTCTGCCTGTCGACTACTACTTTCAGAATAATCATCCCCCTACTTAGACTCCCTGTCCCTGTCATCTCCTTACTTTCAGAATAAATAATCAGACTGAACATACTTGGGAGTTGACAGAACCGCCATTCCTTTCTTGGCTTGTGTGTTAGAATTTTCTTAAAGGGAAAGCCATGTGGAAGCGGGAATGTTGAGCCTTATCATAATTCCATTTAATTCACCACTCTGACCTCTGTAAAAACCAGACACTGGAGAATGAAAGTGGACTATTGAAAACTCAGCCAAGTAGTAACCGTAACTGCAGCGTCTGTACCAGATGTGAAACCTTGGCTAGAATAGACTAAGACAAGGTCAGCTACATGGTTTGTGGCCACTGATCTGTCAAATGTTTTCTTCCCCCACCCATCAGAATGGTAGATCAAAAACTGTATTCCCTTGAGATAGAAAATATTTATGATGGACACACACACACGCGCGCACACACACAACACACATACACTTACATTGCTCCAGAGTTCCCTATTAGGTTGGCTGAGGCTTTTGTTGTGACTGCATCTTAGTAAAATCTCTCCCTTTCCCCAAGCCTGTCTTCCTTCTCTCCTCCACAGGAATTTGCTAATAGACTTCTTTCATGCCAATCTCCATTTCAAAATAATTTCCCTCAGGGAACCCAACTGTGACAGTATCTGAGTTGCCAATACAATCACTATCACATATTTTCCAATGTGATGGTTTTTCAAGACCATCATCAAGTGTCCTTTCTTTAGTGAAGACATTAAATGTTAAGTTTCCCTAGGAGTTATCCGACTAATGGCAGTAACTTTTGGAAAAGAACTGCAGTGGTAGCAGCAGAAACCAATTTATCTGACTATTTTCCAATGCCCAGAGAGGGATCATGGCACAACCCTGGCTTCCTTTCCATTGAATTAATGTATTTATTCATTTCCTCGGATCACTTTCTATTACTAATATCACAAGAAATATTTTGCAGTGAAGGGAGTATACTCTCATAACTTCTAAATCACAACTACGTACAGGATGAAAATGGGTAGCCACTTTGAACTTGCTATTTACAATGTTTCAGCAAGTGTTATTAACTTCTAGAATATTCTTCCATCTTCTGTTTTGACACACTATGGATGGACATTTGGGTATCCAGTTTTCAAGTCACTTAAACATATGGATTTAGAACACTGGGTTGTGGAGAACTAAGTCAGGCAACCAGATTTTAGCTTGAGTCTCATCATTTAATCACTTATTAGCTATAGCGGATTTATTTGATATTGTTTCTCACCTATGTTCTAAGTATTTAAAGATAATAAATTTGGAGAGAATAGAATTAGAAATACAGAAATAAAATAATGACATAATAGCTAGAGGAAGCTTAGGCCTATAGATCATTACTTTTTAAAAAAACATCTGTAGTTTTTATGCAGCAATTTATTTTAAACATTTTTAAACATGTAGTGTGAATTATGCATATGTGTAACTGAACTTTATCATATATTCTAGAGACATATAGTTAGCATTTGAAGTATCTTAATCAGGAATCCACTTTCTAGAGATGGTTGCTTAATCATTTCAATTATCTTCATCAAAATTTGTATCCGAAAGTTTATTAAGCTGTGTAAATGATACTAGGAATACTTTTCTGTCTGGTTTCCATCACCTTTTTTAGGAAGAAGATACTAAAAATCTGTCAAACCCAGCAGTACTCAAGGCCTAGAGCTCCATTTGTTTTTTATCTGCCTACTTCACACACCTGACGATATGTTGTCGGATCTTATTATTGGAATATTGTTGTGTCTGCCTAAGAATGAAACTTTCACTGCCATTTTTATTTCAATATTTGTGGCTGAGAACAGAAAGGAGGACTTATTTGGGATTACAGGAAGCAAAGGTAGAATTTCTGGCCAATAACAATTGTACGTTTAGAAGAATTTGGGGCAACACTTGCTTTCATTGTAACACGCCACCTGGTCACAAGATTATGGGGAAATAAATATATCGTCTTCACTTTATTTTTTTTGTTGCTGGAGATTATTGGTATTTACTAAAAGACTGGACATTTACTGAGAGGTCACATTGGCTCAGGTTTCTAATTTCTAATTTCTAACCCATTTTCCAAATAAAAGAGAAGTGCAGAAAATTAAAAAAAAAATCAACTATAATATCAGAACTGTAAGACAACCAAGCATTCGTAGCAATTTGGGATATTTCATTCTTTTTTATGTGCATATTTAAAATTTATATGTATAATAATAATTTTTTTTTTTTTTGAGATGAAGTCTCGCTCTGTCGCCAAGGGTAGAGTGCAGTGGCGCAATCTTGGCTCACTGCAACCTCTGCCTCCCGGGTTCAAGCAATTCTCCTGCCTCAGCCTCTCAAGTAGTTGGGATTACAGGCACCTGCCACCACGGCTGGTTAATTTTTGTATTTTCAGTAGAGACGGGGTTTCACCATGTTGGCCAGGCTGGTCTCAAACTCCTGACCTCAGGTGATCCGCCCACCTCAGCCTCCCAAAGTGCTGGGATTACAGGTAAGAGCCACGTGCCTGGCCTATATGTATAATTTTAAACCCTGATTTTTAAATTTAGGTCAGGGATTATGAACTCAAATGCTTCCACGAGCCATTGGATTGGGACTGTAGATCAAAGGGGGTTATATATTTTTTGTCCTAAAGGGAAGAGTTACTACTCAGCTGCAAATAATTGTCATGTACGAGGGCTCAGTTTTGCCAGTTATTCTGATTTTTTGAGTAGAGCCAAACAAACATATTTTTGTGTAAATTTTCTCAGTATGGAAATGTTCACTAAATTAAAATTTTAAAAACATTGCATAAGCCAAAGATATATATATATATGTGTGTGTATATATATGATCTGGTAGTTTACCACATTTCACAAGTCATAAACATTTTATGTTACTAAATAGCCTCTGAGAACATCATTTTTACAAAGCTATATAATATTTGAGTAGATGTAACAAAGTTTACAATCTTTCATCTATTTCTGGACTTTTAGAGGCTGTTTCCAATTTTTCTCTGCAGTGAACATCTTCATGCATATTGCTTTGTCCTGTGTTCTTAGTGAAATTGCAGAATCAAAGGTCATGAATATATAAATCATTCTTTATGCTTATCATTACATATTTTCCAAAAGACCTGTACAAATTTATGCTATCACTTACCAGTGATGTATGAGAATATAGTTTCACTATATCTTTGTCATCACAGAAAAATACACTAGTAAAAAAATTGGTAAGAAAAAAATTGGTACCTCCTTGTTGATTTAATTTGCATGTTTATTAGTTAGGTTGAACATTATTCCATATGCTTGTTTACCATTTTTATTTCTTTTGTGACTTGTCTATTTGTTTTCATTGTCCCTTGTCTGTGGGGGAGAAACTCTACTTTGAAATTTTAAGAATGTCAATCTATGCAGCAGCCAGGTATAAATAAACATCAACACCTGCTTCATGTTTAAAACATCTGTTTTATGGGGCTTTTCTGTTCTCTACTACTTGTCAGCTTTTATCCTTGGGTCTCTGTCTCACATGGCAGCATTTGTAATAGAGGCAAAATGGATTGAAAGGCATCTTTGAATGCCTTTGATACTGGCTGAGTTCATGTTGTGGGACATAATTCTCAAGGACAAAGATGCTCAAGTTTTACATTTACCTTTTATCATTAGTTTCTGAATTATGTTCTAAATTATTTTGAGTTTACAAATCCAAGTTTTAGCACTGTGATATTGGGTGCAAGACTAACTCCTGGCTTTGAGATTCCATAGTGAAAACTCCAGAGCTCAAATGGATCTTACAAGTCTTCTATTCCAAACTGATCGTTTTGCTAATGTGGGTTCAGGTAACTCCTCAGAAGCCACAAAGCTGGTAACTGCAACATGGTCTACTACCTGTGACTATGATCTCAAGTTTAATTGTCTTTCCGCTTCATCATGTTCTGTTTGCATGTTGCTGCATGTTACTGCTACATTTTGCAATATAATTTGGTCCTGATGTATCTTAATTCAAGTAAGGAATGGCAGTATTTTCGTTATATTCATGTCAGAAATCTGTTACAGAGGAGTAGTTACTTAGCTCTTTCAAGCCTGATGAAAAATTTCCAGAGCCATGGACAACTTTTATAAATATTGGTTTTGTTACTCTTTTTTTTTTTTGAGACGGAGTCTCACTCTGTTGCCCAGGCTGGAGTGCAGTGGCGCAATCTCGGCTCACTGCAAGCTCTGCCTCCCGGGTTCACACCATTCTCCTGCCTCAGCCTCCTGAGTAGCTGGGACTACAGGTGCCCGCCACCAGGCCTGGCTAATTTTTTGTATTTTTAGTAGAGCCGGGGTTTCACTGTGTTATCCAGGATGGTCTCGATCTCCTGACCTTGTGATCTGCCCGCCTCGGCCTCCCAAAGTGCTGGGATTACAGGCATGAGCCACCTTGCCCGGCTGGTTTTGTTACTCTTTGAGAGATACAGTGGTGAGCCAAGATGCAGGACAAATTAACCATTAAGTGTTTTACTTTGTTAATGGCAGAGTGCAAAAATGCAGTTTAGATATCTTATTAGAGGTAATTTTATTAGCATCATTACTGCAAGAGGTTCAAATCCAATTTTGGGGCAAAAATTGAACTGATGATTTCTATTCAGAGGCATTTGATGGCAATATAATACACGAGACAAAGGAACTGGCTGCTGTGTTCTAGAAGCTAAGTATCTACTCTTTAGTATCCTGAACTTCGTCTCTGTTGAAGCTTCTGCACCTTTCTTTTGGGCAGCTGAGCAGGTGGCTGCAAGGGTGTTGCCTTCTGAGTGTAGTAGGAGTTCCAGCTAATCCTAAATTAGTTTTCAGACCTGGGGGTCTTGTTAGATATGTAGGTGTCTGCATCCCACTCAGGATAGTGTAATTCTGAAGGACTAGCATGAGGCCTGAAAATAGGCATTTTTAATAGACTTTTTATTTTAGAATAGTTTTACATTTATAGAAATTTGCAAAGATTGTGCAGAAAGTTTTCATGAGCTGGGTGCAGTGGCTCATGCCTGCAATCCCAGCACTTCGGTAGGTCGAGGCAGGTAGATCACCTAAAGTCAGGAGTTCGAGACAAGCCTGGCCAACATGGTGAAACCCCATCTCTACTAAAAATACAAAAAATTAGCTGGGTGTAGTGGCGGGGTCCTGTATTCCCAGCTACTAGGGAGGCTGAGGCAGGAGAATCGCTTGAATGAGGGAGGCAGAGGTTGCAGTGAGCGGAGATCATGTCATTGTACCGCAGTCTAGGCAACAAGAGCAAAACTGTGTCAAAAAAAAAAAAAAAAGAAAGTTTTCATATACCCCACAACCAGTTTTCCATGTTATTAACATCTCACATGAGTATGGTTAGTCATATCTAGTGAACCAATATTGATACATTATTATTAATTAAAGGCTCTACTCCATTCCTATTTCCTTGGTTTTTACCTAATGCCACATTACATTTAGTTGTCATGCCTCCTTAGGTTCCTCCTCTTGGGCATGATAGTGTCTTGGACTGTCCATGTTTTTGAAGAGTATTGGCCAAATATTTTGTAAAAATATACCTCAATTGGGATTTGTCTGATATTTTTCTTGTGATTAGATTGGGGGGAGGCCACAGAGATGAAGTGTCATTTTCATCACATCATATAAAGGTTACACATTAACAAGGCAACTTAGTATGATGGTGTTGACCTTGATCACCTGCCTGAGAAACTAGACAGCTTTCATGCTTCCTGCTCCAGGATAGTTTGATGCAGGTGATCTCTGGAGCACCTTTGGAGAAAGACTGGATGTTGTGTCCACTCAAGGATTCAGGCATGTCTGAAGATGTCTTAGGGGCTTATATCCAAAAGACAGGCAATGACAAATGCTGGCAAGGATGTGAAGAAAAGGGAACCCTCATACACTGTTGGTGGGAGTGTAAATTAGTACAACCATTATGGAGAACAGTTTGGAGTTTCTTCGAAAAGGTAAAAATAGAGCTGCCACATGATCTGGCAATCCCACTGTTGAGTATATACTCAAAAGAAAGGAAATCAGTGTATCAAAAAGAGATAGCTGCGCTCCTATGTTTGTTGCAGCACTGTTCACAATGGCCAAGATTTGGAAGCAAGCTAAGTGTCCATCAACAGATGGATGGATAATGAAAATGTGGTGCATATATACAAGAATGAGATCCTGTCATTTGCACAACATGGATGAACTGGAGGTCATTATGTTAAGTGAAATAAGCCAGGCACAGAAAGATAAACATTGAATGTTCTTACTTATTTGTGGGATCTAAAAATCAAAACAATTGAACTCATGGAGGTAGAGAGTGGAAGAATGGTTATCAGAGACTGGGAAGGGTAGTGGAGAAGGGGTTTGAGGGGAAGGTAGGGCTGGTTAATGGGTACAAAATAAATTAGAAAGAATGAATAAGATCTAGTATTTGATGGCACAACAGGGTGACTATAGGCAATAATAGTTTAATTGTACATTTTAATGTAACTAAAAGAGTGTAATTGGATTGTTTGTAACACGAAAGATAAATGCTTGAAAGATGGATACCCCATTTTCCATGATGTGACTATTATGCATTGCATACCTGTATCAAAATGTCTTATGGACCCTAGATAGATGGACAGATAGATAGATGGACAGATAGATAGATAGACAGATAGATAGATAGATAGATAGATAGATTTCTCATTTTGATTATGTTTCTTGGAAGAATACTGACTAATAATGTGAGTGACTTTGGGCAAGTTATTTAATCACTTTAATCCTTAGTTTCCCCTATAGTTAAATGGGTAAAATACTTGTTATAAAGTTTAAATGAGCTAGTGCATGGGAATTGATCAATTCACACGGCACCCACTAAGATCCCACTTGAAGTGGTTCCAGCTGTGGTTTCTGAGTAAATCAGGGGCCCAAAGATTTTGGAAGGAATTTAAAGGTGGTGAGGGTGGCCACAGTGAGTTGAGATGAAACTGGAGAAATTTTGTTTTGTGATGGCTCTTGAAACTTTATAGTAACTTCTTAGCTGAGATGTCCTGAGAAATGTAGTTTCACACATGAGGGCAAGGTTGAAAAGATCTGATTTAACTCTTGTTTTTCTTTTTACTGTCCAGGCCTCTGGAAGAGGCAGCACATCCACCCAAGACAGTGATGGTGCCAGGGAAATTACCAGCTCTTCTGAGAGTTCTGCTGATTCTGGTTAATAAACTGGGGCTTGGAATTTAGAGGAGAATGGAACAGAGTGGTGGAGAGCATAGGCTCTGGAGCTGGAGTGCTCATCTAAGATGAGTTTAGTTGTGTACAGTTGGGAAAGTTATACAACCTTTTGTGCTTTGGTTTTGTCAACTTAAAACAGGAGAAATAAAACCATCTAATCTGTATAGATTTTTGCATGAATTATATAATTAATTTATAAGGCAGTGACTTTTTTTTTTTTTTTTTGAGACAGGGTCTTGCTCTGCCACCCAGGCTGGAGTGCAGTGGCACCATCAGGGCTCACTGCAGCCTCAACCTCCCAGGCTCAAGCAATCCTCCTAACTCAGCCCCCCTGAGTAGCTGGAACTACAAGCATGTGCCACCATGCCCAGCTAATGTTCTGTATTTTTTAGTAGAGATGGGGTTTCACTATGTTGGTCTCGAACTCCTGAACTCAAGCAATCCCCCTGCCTTGGCCTCCCAAAGTGCTGGGATTACAAGCATAAGCCACTGCACCTGGTCAAGGTAATGATTCTTATATAACAGGGGAGGGGAGCAATTTTGCTCCCCAGGGGACATTTGGCCATATCTGGAGACATTCTTAGCTGTCACAACTGGTGCAGGGGTTGGGGGAAGCAATTCTCATGTGGTGGATGGCCGGGGATGTTGCTAAACATCCTACAATGCTTAATACAGGCCCCCATCACAAAGAACTGTACATCCCAAAATACTAGTCATGCTGAGATTGAGAAATCCCGAGATGAAGTATTGAGAAGAAAGCCCGTCTTGTGGCAATTGCTCAGTGTTACCTATCATTAATAAGCTTTGAGTAAGAATGACATACATCTGACACATAGTTTACTGAGTGAAAGAGATGGAGAGGAATCTTCATTTTATTCTCTGATAAGCCATACAAATGACATTTCAGCCATAAGGGCTGGCTTCCAGGCTTTTTGTTGTTTAGAAGATGCTGTTATTATTACTATTATTTTGAGATGGAGTTTCACTCTTGTTGCCCAAGCTGGAGTGCAATGGCACGATCTTGGCTCACTGCAACTTCCTCCGCCTCCCGGATTAGAGTGTTTCTCCTGCCTCCACCTCCTGAGTAGCTGGGATTACAGGCGCTCACCACCATGCCCAGCTAATTTTTTGTATTTTTAGTAGAGACGGGTTTCACCATGTTGGCCAGGCTGGTCGTGAACTCCTGACCTCAGGTGATCCACCTGCCTCGGCCTCCCAAAGTGCTGGGATTACAGGCATGAGCCACTGTGCCCGGGCTTATTATTTTTATAATCTAGGTAAACAAGTAGTTTCCAACCATAACAAATGCTGGCCTTTTGGTTGGGGTAGTTTGGAATATACCCAATTATGCTTTCTCAGTGAATGAAGTGAATGAATGAATAATTATAGAGGAAGCTCCAAGGCACATGGTGTTAGGAAGATACTGCCCACTGACTCTCCTTTCAGTAAACCTTCAGATTTTTGCTGGCACTGTCACCAGTAACTTGCATCTATGGGCAGACAGGTGGGCAGCCCCCGGGAGGGCTCAGGAGGGTATAAAATCTCTCAGAATGGCAAGGAGAATTTCCCAAAGGATCTGATGGCATCCTCAGCCAAAGACATAATGCCATCAGCAAAGTGGTGAGGATGAAGGCAGGGCACCTTGGTGGGTATAGAAAACAAGGGAAGCTTGTCTTTCCAACTGCCAAAATGCTGCTAAGCCTCCCCCTTTTTGTAGCTCTCTGTGTCCGCTAGGTTACATCTTAACCTGTATTAATGTACCTTGTATCCTTTGCCCAGGTCTGTTGGGTGCCTTTCTGTCACTTTTCTCCTAAAGAAAACAGATCCAAGTTTAAAAGGCTTCTGTTATTCTAGGAGGACCTAGGTCTCTGCAGATAAGCCTCAGCAGCTGGGAGTGGCACGGGGCTGGGGCCAATAGGGTGGGGGGCCAAGGAGAGTGGGGTGAGGAGAGGCAAGGGAAGGGTGGGAGTTCTGGATGGCTGAGTGCCTGTAGGTCTGGTTTTTCTACACCAACCCCCCTTTAAAGAGATCAGCTATAGATTATGTATATGTATCTATTCTTTGTAACATTGTCATTCCAAATATCTCATGTTTTTCCCTTAAATCATTTCATTGCTGGGGAAAAATGGTGAAAATCACTGGCATACACAGATCCAAAATCACCCCTTATTTATAGATTGTAGCCGATTAAATAGTTTCCCCAGAATTCACTATTCACTGAAGAGTTCAGGGTGTCCAGAAAAAAGTTAAGGCAAAAGCAGGATTATTTCCAACAATTAACACAATCTATTCCGTTTACTCCAGAGAAGGCTGATAAACCACCTTAGAGGGCTTCTGCCCTTCAGGGACTCTCAGGCACATAGTCCTGTCTTTGAGTTTGAGTCTGAGGGGAAGCTGAGATGAGGCTGAGATGCAGGTGAGATGCATGCCAAGGCTGTGTGATGTTCCGTCTCTCTGGAATTAGGACAACCTGCGTCCTTCTCCTGTGAACATCTATGGAAGCAGCACCATAAACACTCGGGTGAGTGCTTCTCAATGATTTCCACGAGTGGATAAATGTAACTGATTTGCCTCTTACAATAACACACAGATCCTCCCATCTCCAACGAGGGGCTTTGCAGGATTCTGATTGAACACTAGATGCCGCTGTTGACTCACTCTGTGTTCTGTGAGCTTCAAGATCTCATCCCTCAGTCCCCATCAGGAGAGACAATTTTTAAAAGCCTGAGTCAATTAACGAAGTTCTGTCTATTTTTCCTCATTTAGTGATTGATTTAGAGGGTTTTTATTTATTCATTTTTTGGTGAATTTCAGAGGTTGTCTTTTTCTTGGAGAACATTTGGAAATTGGCAGAAAATGAAACAACGAAAGGGCATCGATGTCTTTTAAAGAAGAAAGGTCAACTCAGACTAAAGGCTTGTAAATAAGATCATTTTTGGATTTCTGAGTTTCTGCCCCAGAAAAAATTCAAGTAACTCTCAGGCCTACCTGTTTCTCTAGTTCTGTAGCATGCCAAATTGTGTTTGTCTTCGGCATGTATTTGAATATTATAATCTGAGATATGCCGGATAGCTGCCTCTACTGCATTCCAGGTTGCTAGTGTCATTATTGGTTTTCTACTTTCTAAAGCAACTTTTTACTTTGGCAAATTTTTAAAACAAAAGGGGAAAGACTAGTGAAGTGTGCTCCAAATACCCATTCCTTTGAAACCTACCAAATTTTAAATAATTATCGAATTAATTTTCCTCTTAGGCAGGGTGGTAAAGGGGATGCCTCTCTCAAAAGGCAGATTACTAAAAGTGATTTGGAAACACAGAACATTGCAAATAAAACCGGAGAGCCCTTGCTTCATTTTTCTGTCTTCAAAATTCCTTGATTCTTCCAGAACAAATATGACTCAGACTTGGAGAGAGCTTTATCTCTGTGCTTCAATAGCAAAAGTACTCAGAACATTTATCATATTGCATTGAAATACACGTTTACATTACTGTGTCCCTGTCCCCCAGAAAAGAAGACCTCTTTTAGGGTAGCACCAAATCCTGGTCAACTACAAATCCTGGTCGTCTTTGTATCCCTGTGACCTGATCTTTTCATAGTGATCGCGCCACTGCACTCCATCTTGGGCAACAGAGTGAGACCCTGTCTCAAACAAAAACAAAAACAAAAAGCAAATATTTATAGAAGGTGTTTGAATAAAAAGAAAAGATTGGATCCAGTTTCTAGTGGGTAAGGCAGATGAGAACAGAGTAGACAAACAAACAAGGTAACTACAATTTGCAAGCAGTGCTGTAACAGGAACACTGGATGAGATAAGGTGGAACTGAGTGGGGCCCCTCTGCACAGGGTGGTCAGGGGCCTCTTCTCTGAGAGAGGTCTGAGTTGGGACCCTTAAAGGATGAGTCACAGCCAGTCAGTCATGCAAAGATGTGAAGGAAGAGGGGCCCAGGCAGAGGGAACAGCAAGTGCAAAGGGCTGGAGGCGATAAAGGCTTTGGCATAGCTGAGGGCGAAAGGGAGCAGAGCATGTCTGGAGTAGCTTAGGGGGTCATGATGAGCAGAGCGCTGGAGGCACGAGGAAGGGTGGATCTTCAGTTCCTGCCTTGTGCGACCAGAGAAGGGTGTCTGCCTTGGAGAGCCAGGAGCTGACTTATGTTGTGAAACAATAACTTGCCATGCATTGCGAATGGATCAGAGGATGGCAAGAATGGGAACAAGATGTGTCAGAATTGAGAGAGGGTGATGGTTTGGACTAGGTTGGTGGCATTGAGGAGGAGCATAAATGGGTGAAGTGTGAGGTGTATTTTGGAGAGGTAATGGACAGGAGTTGCTGATGCATTTGAATTTGGGGGATGGTGCAGGAAGAGGAGAAATCAAGGATGACTCATAGCTTTCTAGCTGTGGCAGAGTGTGGGGCCATTTGCTGAGTTAAGGATGTCTGGGAGAAGAGGCTAGATCAGAACAGAATCAATTTTGGATCATTTTGATGAAACACCATGAGTTCCTCCCCAGACCCCCAACAATTGGAGAACTTATTTTGTTTCTAAGCACAATATTCTAAGTAGAATATTGTGGGGGTTTTTTTGGTAACAGCTTCATTGAGGTATAATTCACATACTATGCAATTCACCTATTTTAAGTATATAATTCAATGGTTTTCAGCATATCCACAGAGTTGCAATCAATTTTAGAATATTTTCATTACCCTAAAAGAAACTGTACCCTATTGCAGTCACACCTCCTTCATTCTTCACATCTACCCTCCTCATCCTAAACCCTAGGCAGCCACTAACGTAGTTTCTGTTTCTAGATTTATGTGTTGTGGACGTTTGTGTAAGTGGAACCTATGGTTATATGGGACCCTTGTTCCTGACTTCTTTCACTTAGTATAATGTCTTGAAGATTCAACCGTATTGTCGCATGAATCATAATTGTATTCCTTTGTATTGTGGAATAATTTCCTTCATTTTTATGAAATAATATTGCATACAATATTATAACATTTTATGCATCCATTTATCAGTTAATGGGCATTTGGGTTTGTCTTAGTCTGTTTGGCTGCCACAACACTCGCTTCAGCCTGAGTGGCTTAAACAACAGACGTTTATTTCTCACAGTTCTGGAGTCTGGAAGTCTGTGATCAAGCGGCTGGCTGATTCAGTGCTCAGTGAGGGAGCTCTTGCAGGACGCCATCTTTATGCTGGATCCTCCTGTGGCAGAGAGAGATGATCTCTCTCCTGTCTCTTCTTCTAACGGCATCAATTCCATTCGCAAAGGCTCCTCCTTCTCCCTAATTACCTCCCCAAAGCCCCACCTTCAAATATCATCACAATGGAGATTAAGACTTCAACATATGAATTTTGGAGACACTCCGTTCATAGTGAGGTGGTTTCCACTTTTGGGGTATTATGAGTAATGTTGCTAGGAATATTTGTGTGCAGATTTTTGTGTAGATATCCAGGAGTTTTGTTTCAACATGAGAATTTTGCAGTGTTTTTAGGACAGTGTTTGTAGGACAAAACAAGCTGCTGCCCTTGATTCCCTGCTCTCTTCTCACAGCTGACCATCCTGTGACCTTTGCCATTGAGTTTAGGAGACTCCATTCCACTGTAGACAAACCAGCCTGAACCCTCGTGTCTCCACCTCGTGTCTCTTTCTGTTCTGTATCCAGCTGCTACATATTTCGGGATGAAATGCCCTGCAGTTGGTCTGTTGGTCGGCATTTTATGTGGGAGTTGGCTCACATTGTTGATGTGTGAAGAATGGTATTGTTGGCTCACGAGAACGTGGGGTGACTTCCTGGAGGAAGTAGGACAGCCTAACATGTATCACGAGAGAGAAGCTATGAGGGCAAGAGAAGCTGCATCCACGAGGCAGTCCTGGGTGGGACCTCCAGCTCTCCACTTCCTAACTTGGGCAGATTGCTGAAACTTCCTGGCCTTCATCTGTAAAATGGCAATGCCAAGTTTCATGCGCGTCCGTGTGAAGAGACCACCAAACAGGCTTTGTGTGAGCAACATGGCTGTTTATTTCACCTGGGTGCAGGCAGGCTGAGTCCGAAAAGAGAGTCAGCGAAGGGAGATAAGGGTGGGGCCGTTTTATAGGATTTGGGTAGGTAAAGGAAAATTACAGTCAAAGGGGGTTTGTTCTCTGGCAGGCAGGAGTGGGGGTCACAAGGTGCTCAGTGGGGGTTCTTTTTGAGCCAGGATGAGCCAGGAAAAGGACTTTCACAAGGTAATGTCATCAGTTAAGGCAAGGACCGGCCATTTACACTTCTTTTGTGGTGGAATGTCATCAGTTAAGGTGAGGCAGGGCATATTCACTTCTTTTGTGATTCTTCAGTTACTTCAGGCCATCTGGGCGTATATACGTGCAAGTCACAGGGGATGCGATGGCTTGGCTTGGGCTCAGAGGCCTGACATTCCTGCCTTCTTATATTAATAAGAAAAATAAAACAAAATAGTGTTGAAGTGTTGGGGCGGCGAAAATTTTTGGGGGGTGGTATGGAGGGAGAATGGGCGATGTTTCTCAGGGCTGCTTCAAGCGGGATTAGGGGCGGCGTGGGAACCTAGAGTGGGAGAGATTAAGCTGAAGGCAGATCTTGTGGTAAGGGGTGATATTGTGGGGACGTTAGAAGAAACATTTGTTGTATAGAATGATTGGTGATGGCCTGGATATGGTTTTGTATGAATTGAAAAACTAAATGGAATAACAGAAGGAGAAAAACAGGTATAAAAGGTCTAAGAATTGGGACAACTCAGGATATCTGATTAGAGAGTGCTTAAGGAGATTCGGCAGAGTCCTGCCGGCAAAGATTATTTATTTACTTCAAGAGTTAAGAGTGGCAGTTTGGGGATAGCACCAGGAGATATCAGCTGTGATGGCTTGGAAAAACAGTGTAAACAAGAGCAGGGCATGTATGAGTAGTTGAGAACGGTGAATAGGAGTATGACTAGACAGAAAATAGTAGGGATGACAAGTTTTTTTTTTGGTGGGGGGCACAGTCTAAGTTGGTCTGGTGTCTGGAATGAGACTGGGGCCTAATAAAAAGGAGCGTCTATACAGGAGCTTAAATGGGCTGTACCGTGTAGCATTCCGAGGACAGGCCTGAATTCTGAGAAGGGAAAGTGGTAGAAGTATTGTCCAGTCCTTTTTAAGTTGGTGGCTGAGCTTGGTGAGGTGTGTTTTTAAAAGACCTTTAGTCCGTTCTACTTTTCTTGAAGACGGAGGACCGTAAGGGATATAAAGGTTTCACTGAATACTAAGAGCCTGAAAAACTGCTTGGCTGATTTGACTAATAAAGGCTGGTCTGTTATCAGACTGTATAGAGGTGGGAAGGCTAAACTGAGGAATTATGTCTGACAGAAGGGAAGAAATGACTGCAGTGGCCTTCTCAGACCCTGTAGGAAAGGCCTTTACTTATTCAGTGAAAGTGTCTATTTAGACTAAGAGGTATTTTAGTTTCCTGACTCGGGGCATGTTGAGTAAAGCTAATTTGCCAGTCCTGGGTGGGGCAAATCCTCGAGCTTGATGTGTAGGGAAGGGAGGGGGCCTGAATAATCCTTGAGGAGTAGTAGAATAGCAGATGGAACACTGAGAAGTTATTTCCTTGAGGATAGATTTCCACAATGGAAAGGAAATGAGAGGTTCTAAGAGGCGGGCTAGTGGCTTGTACTATAGCATAACCTGCCTTTGCTGGTGTGTGGCGATTAGGCCTGGTGGAACTGCCATCAATAAATCAAGTGTGATCAGGGTAAGGAACAGGAAAGAAGGAAATTTGGGGAAATGGGGTGAATGTCAGGTGGATCAGAGAGATACAGTCATGGGGGTCAGGTGTGGTATCAGGAATAATGTGGGAGGCCGGATTGAAGTCTGGGCGAGGAACAACGGTAATTGTGGGAGACTCAACGAAGAGTGAGTATAGCTGAAGGCGCCGGGAAGCAGAAAGTATATGTGTCAGGTGTGAGGAAGAAAATAGATTTTGGAAGTTATGAGAACTGTAGGGAGTGAGTTGAGCATAGTTTGTGATTTTGAGGGCCTCTAAAAGTATTAAAGCAGCGGCAGCTGCTGCACGCAGACATGAGGGCTAGGCTAAAACAGTAAGGTCAAGTTGTTTGCACAGAAAGGCTACAGGGTGTGGTCCTGGCTCTTGTGTAAGAATTCTGACCGCGCTAACCATGCCTAGGAAGGAAAGGAGTTGTTGTTTTGTAGAAGGTGCTTGGGTTTGAGAGATCAGTCGGACACAATTGGCAGGGAGAGCACGTGTGTTTTTATGAGAATTATGCCGAGATAGGTAACAGATGAGGAAGAAATTTGGGCTTGATTGAAGTAATGGGGGCTGTCTGTGAAGCTTTGCGGCAGTACAGCCTAGGTAATTTGCTGAGCTTGATGGGTGTCAGGGTCAGTCCAAGTGAAAGCGAAGAGAGGCTGGGATGACGGGTGCAAAGGAATAGTAAAGAAAGCACGTTTGAGATCCAAAACAGAATAATGGATTGTGGAGGGAGGTATTGAGGATAGGAGAGTATATGGGTTTGGCACCACAGGGTGGATAGGCAAAACAGTTTTGTTGATAAGGCGCAGATCCTGAACTAACTTGTAAGGCTTGTCTGGTTTTAGGACAGGTAAAATGGGGGAATTGTAAGGAGAGTTTATAGGTTTTAAAAGGCCATGCTGTAGCAGGCGAGTGATAACGGGCTTTAATCTTTTTAAAGCGTGCTGTGGGATGGGATATTGGCGTTGAGTGGGGTAAGGGTGATTAGATTTTAATGAGATGGTAAGGGGTGCATGATCGGTTGCAAAGGAGGGAGTAGAGGTATCTTATACTTGTGGGTTAAGGTGGGGGGTTACAAGAGGAGGACGCAAAGGAGGCTTTGGATTGGGAAGAAGGGCGGCAATGAGATATAGCTGTAGTCCAGGAATAGTCAGGGAAGCAGATAATTTAGTTAAAGTGTCTCAGCCTAATAAGGGAACTGGGCAGGTGGGGATAACTAAAAAGGAGCACTTTAAAGAGTATTGTCTAAGTTGGCACCAGAGTTGGGGGGTTTTAAGAGGTTTAGAAGCCTGGCCGTCAATACCCACAACAGTTATGGAGGCAAAGGAACAAGGCCCTTGAAAAGAAGGTAATGTGGAGTGGGTAGCCTCCGTATTGATTACGAAGGGGACGGGCTTACCTTCCACTGTGAGAGTTACCCGAAGCTCGGTGTCCCTGATGGTTTAGGGGGCTTCCGAGGCGATCGGGCAGTGTCAGTCTTCAGCCGCTAAGCCGAGAAGATCTGGGAAGGAGTCAGTCAGAGAGCCTTGGGCCAGAGTTCCAGAGGCTCTGGGAGTGGCTGCCAGGTGAGTTGAACAGTCCGATTTTCAGTGGGGTCCCACACAGATGGGACGTGGCTTAGGAGGAATCCCGGGCTGCGGGCATTCCTTGGCCCAGTGGCCAGATTTCCGGCAAGTGTAGCAAGCTCCTGGGGGAGGAGGTTCTGGAGGAACGCCTGGCCGCTGCGGTTCAGGCGTTTGGAAGTTCTTGTGTGCTGGAGATGTGGCTGGGGTTTGTCTCACAGTGGAGGCAAGGAATTGCAACTTTTTTCTGTTATTGTACACCTTGAAGGTGAGGTTAATTAAGTCCTGTTGTGGGGTTTGAGGGCCAGATTCCAATTTTTGGAGTTTTATTTAATGTCGGGAGCAGATTGGGTAATAAAATGCATATTGAGAATAAGACGGCCTTTTGACCTTTTAGGGTCTAGGGCTGTAAAGCGTCTCAGGGTTGCTGCCAAACAAGTCATGAACTGGGCTGGGTTTTTATATTTGATGAAAAAGAGCCTAAACGCTTCTGATTTGGGATAAAGAAAAAGGAGCATTAACCTTGACTATGTCTTTAGCTCCAGCCACCTTTTTAGGAGTAAATTGCTGGGCAGGAGGGGCAGGGCTAGTTAGGGAACGAAACTGTAAGCCGGACCAGGTGTGAGGAGGGGAGGTGATAGAAAGATTATAGGGTGGAGGAGCGGAGGCTGAGGAAGAATTGGGACCTAGCTCGGCCTGGTGAGGAGCAGCCTGGGGAGGAAGGGAGAGGTCAGATGGGCCTGTAGAAAAGGAAGATTAGAAAGACTCAGCGACGCTTGGGGTTGGTGCTGAGGGGACAGGCGGGAGGGAAAGAAGGAAGATTTGGGACGAGTTGCATTGGGCACAGAGACTAGGAAGGGACTGATGTGTGAAAGAATGCCTGGACGTCAGGCACCTTAGACCGTTTGCCTATTTTATGACAAGAATTATTTAGATTTTGCAGGATGGAAAAATTCAAAGTGCCAGTTTCTGGCTATTTGGAACTACTGTCGAGTTTGTACTGGGGTCAAGCGGCATTGCAGAAGAAAATAAGGCATTTAGGTTTTAGGTCAGGTGTGAGTTGAAGAGGTTTTAAGTTTTTGAGAACAGAGGCCAAGGGAGTAGAAGGAGGAATGGAGGGTGGAAGGTTGCCCATAGTGAAGGAAGCAAGCCTAGAGAAAAGAGAGAGTAGAGAAATGGTGGGAAGGGGTTCGGGGGTTCTTACCTTCCAGAAAAGTGGGAAAAGGGGTTGGGGCACAGAGATAAGAGGTCGGGGTGCAGAAATAAGGGATTGGGGCGCGGAGACATAAGAGGTTGGGGCGCGGAAACAGGATTGGGGCACAGAGATACAAGGTTGGGGCACGGAAATAAGGGATTGGGGCACAGAGATAAGAGGTTGGGGTGTGGAAATAAGGGATTGGGGGTTCTTGCCCCATAGAAAAGCGGGACTTGCCGCTAAGGGTGAAGGAGAAGGGGTTGAGGGGTACTTGCCCCTCTCCCAGAAAAGCAGAGAAGGGGTAGAGACAAGGAGAGAAGGGGTTGGGGTACTTGCCCCTTCCCCAGAAAAGCAGGACTTGCCGCTAAGGGTGAAGGACCAAGGCAGGCGTCCTTGCGTGGTCTGACACCCTTGAAACATGAGTGTATAATCAGAGAGGCTTCTCTGCAATGATTAAACACCAAGGGAAGGCTGCCTTCCTAGTCTGTGACCGGCGCCGGAGTTTTTGGTCCACGGATAAAACGTGTCCGTGTCTCCTTTGTCTCTCCCAGAAAATGAAAGGAATTGAAATTAAGAGAAGGGAGAGATTGAAGAGTGGGAAGGAGAAAGTGGTTGAGGGACAGTGAGAGAGGTTGGAGAAGAGAGTAAGAAGAGGCCGCTTACCTGATTTAAAATTGGTGAGATATTCCTTGGGCTGGTCGGTCTGAGGACCTGAGGTCATAGGTGGATCTTTGTCATGGAGCAAAGAACAGGAGTACAGGTGAATGATCTCCCAAGGGAGGTCCCCCGATCCGAGTCACGGCACCAGATTTCGTGCACGTCTGTGTGAAGAGACCACCAAACAGGCTTTGTGTGAGCAACATGGCTGTTTATTTCACCTGGGTGCAGGCGGGCTGAGTCCAAAAAGAGAGTCAGTGAAGGGAGATAATGGTGGGGCCGTTTTATAGGATTTGGGTAGGTAAAGGAAAATTACAGTCAAAGTGGGTTTGTTCTCTGGCAGGCAGGAGTGGGGGTCACAAGGTGCTCAGTGGGGGTGCTTTTTGAGCCAGGATGAGCCAGGAAAAGGACTTTCACAAGGTAATGTCATCAGTTAAGGCAAGGACCGGCCATTTACACTTCTTTTGTGGTGGAATGTCATCAGTTAAGGTGAGGCAGGGCATATTCACTTCTTTTGTGATTCTTCAGTTACTTCAGGCCATCTGGGCGTATATACGTGCAAGTCACAGGGGATGCGATGGCTTGGCTTGGGCTCAGAGGCCTGACACCAAGTAAGATTTATTTCATCAAGCTTTTCCTAGGAGTAAATAAGATCATGCTAAGCACCGTCCTGGTGTATAGTAATTTCTCAATAATGGAGGTTTATTATTATTTTTATGTAGCCACCTCTTCATGGGCTATAGCTTATTCAACTCAACATAAATTCATTCCTCTCTGGCCAGTCTGGCCATCTGCCAAGTCTGGTGATTCACTCTCCATCAAAAACACATGGAGGTCAGCAATGTGGCTCATGCTTGCAATCCCAGTGTTTTGGAAAGCTGAGGCGGAAGGATCAATTGAGCCCAGGAGTTCGAGACCAGCCAGAGCACCACAGTGAGACCTCATCTCTACAAAAAATTTAAAAAATAACTGAGTGTGGTGGCATGTGCCTGTGGTTCCAGCTACTCAGGAGGCTGAGATGGCAGGATTGCTTGGGCCTGGGAGGTCGAGGGTGCGGTGAGCCATGACTGCGCTACTGCACTCCAGCCTGAGTGATAGACGGAGACCTGTCTCAAAAAAAAAAAAAAAAAACACCAAAAAACAAAAAACAACACCACCAACAACAAAAAAAACAAAAAAAAACAAGCAACACCACCAACAAAAAACAAAAACAAACAACACCACCAACAAAAAACAAAAAAAAACACCACCACCAACAACAAAAAACAAAAAAAAACAAACAACATCACCAACAACAAAAAACAAAAAAAAACAAACAACACCACCAACAAAAAACAAACAACACCACCAACAACAAAAAACAAAAAACAACACCAACAACAACAAAAAACAAAAAAAAACACCACCAACAACAAAAAACAAAAAAAAACAACACCACCAACAACAAAAAACAAAAAAAAAACACCACCACCAACAACAAAAAACAAAAAAAACCCAACACATGGATAATAAGACATGCTTCATAGGTTACTATAGATGTTAAATTAGATAAGAACTGTAAAGGATTTAGCATAAAATACATCATCAGTCAATGATAGCTATGACTGCCCCTTTGTTAAGAATGTATCTTTTTTTTTTTTTTTTTTTTTTACTGTAAGTTCTGGGATGCATGTGCAGAACGTGCAGGTTTGTTACATAAGTATACATGTGCCATGGTGGTTTGCTGCACCCATCAACCCGTCATCTACATTAGGTATTTCTTCTAATGCTATCCCTCCCCTAGCCCCCACACTCCCCGACAGGCCCCGGTGTGCGATGCCCTCTGCCCTGTGTCCGTGTGTTCTCATTGTTCAACTCCCACTTATGAGTGATAACATGCAGTGTTTGGTTTTCTGTTCTTGTGTTAGTTTGCTGAGAATGATGGTTTCCAGCTTCATCCATGTCTCTGCAAGAAACGTATCTTTGGAATGTCTACTATGAATTGCTGTTCTAGTCATGGGAATGCAGCAGTGAATAGAATGAGGTTTCTACCCTTGAGGAATCCACATTATCACCATCATTGTTATTATTGCCAATCTGGTCTGTGCTTTTAGGAACAAAAGGGAAAGGAGAACTAGGCATGTCTCAGGTGATGCCTAAGTAGGAACATTGGCTGTATTTCTACTTTACCCAGAAAAGCAGACTCAGAGCTTTGGTCTTTTTTCCCCTCATAGGAACAGACAAACAAAAATTCCAAAAGAATTTGAGCTGTTAGGATCACAGCCTGTTGACTCTTCCCTTGGACTTTCCCATAGTCCTTGCCTGGGTCCCTGAAGAGTCCCACTGTTCAGTCAAGGCTGTCTGCTCACAGACTACAGTGAGGAATTCTGCTCCATGTGTACTGTTTTAAGTTGAATTGCCTGCAAACTTAAAAATTATTATTGATGTTCTCAACTGTTTACTAGTGTGGCAGCGACTATGATTTGTGCTTTAATATTGTTTTCAAAGCCCATTTACTTTGTAAGTTCAATTCTAAAGTGCTCAGAGGGATTCCCAAGTGGCAGACGCTAATGGATGGCTGTGCTGGATGGCTCGTCAGAAGATGGCAGTAGAGACACGTGTATGCAGACCCGGATCTCTTAGGCAGGGTTTGTCATACTGCACAGTATTCAAAAAACAAATTTATTGTTGCTCTTGTTTGGTTTTTCATGTAGGCCTCATAGATAATCCACTTAGGTGCTTCTTCTAGAGCCCTGAGAGGTCCGCATCCTTCCAGTAACAGGACATTTTAAGGGATCCATTTGTAAAAGTGAACAAGATTGTTTGCAGATAGGGTCTTCCATCCCTTCACAATTGCTCAGTAAATTGTTGCTGATTGACTTGTGGTAGTAGATTAAAAGTGATTAACAAGAAGCAAAGTGATGGTTCCTGCCTTGCAGGTTTTTAATAGGTTTTAAGCTTATTCATAGGTTTGTGAACAATCCAGAACATTGAATGAAAAAGGACTGGCAAGAAGAGGATGGACATGAAAGTAGATTTTATTAGATTACAGATATTAAGATTCTTGTCCTGGATCATTTTTGTCATCTCTGCAAGGACGATCAGAGCAGAGCCCTGCTGCCCTTGCAGGAAAGAAAAGCCTCTGCAGCTTCTTTCCAGCGTCTTTGAGAAAATTTTTATGTCGCACGATCTGCTGACTGCCACTTGGTGCCCTGTATGGATTTTCTAGAGAGTTTGATGGGCAAGAAGAAAATATGCAGACGCTTCAGAATCCATGACACACGTCTATTTTCCAGCGTTGGCTCTGCCATAACCCAAAGAGAGGTTTCAAAAACAGAATGAAAGCATGCACTACTATAATAAAGTGGAATGTTAGGGGAGAAAAAAGAGGGTAGTGGAGAACATATGGTTCTACTGCATGAAATGCTGAGTGTCTCTTGCACAGGCATTTGCATGCAGGGCCAGATACGTAATGTGCAGGGCCCAGGGCAAAAGGAAAATATGGGGCCTCTCATGCAAAATTATTGAGAATTTCAAGATAGTGAAGCAGAGGATTACATCAAGTACAGGAACTGTTCTGAGTATGGGACCCTGCTCATGTGCATAGGTTTCACCCCTATGAAGCCGGCAGTGTGTTTGTGTGTGTGTGTGTGTGTGAGAGAGAGAGATGGAAACAGAGACATACACAAATATACACATGAGAGAGGGAGGAGCTTTCTTAACGTTCTGTTTTTACTGCTTTACATTTTAAGGCAGAGATTCTCAACCTTTGCACTAACTACATCTTGGAACAGATAAATCTTAGTTGTGGGGGTCATCATGTGCCTCACAGGGTGCTCAGCCTTCTCCTTCTTATTTACCCACTACATGCCAGCAACACCTCCCAGTGCCAGTTTTGACCATCAAAAATATCTTCAGACACTTGCCACATGTTTCTTTGTGGGGCAAAATCACCCTGGTTGAGAATAACTAAGATAAGATTTCCCACATTCCCAAAGAGAGCTTAATGGCCTTTCTTTCTTTCTTTCTTTCTTTCTTTCTTTCTTTCTTTCTTTCTTTCTTTCTTTCTTTCTTTCTTTCTTTCTTTTTCTCTTTCTTTCTTTCTTTCTTTCTTTTTCTTTCTTTCTTTCTTTCTTCTTTCTTTTTTTCCTTACCCAAGCATGAATAAAATATGAAAGACTCGAGCCCAGTGGGTGCAAAATACCGACTATCCATACAAGGCTCATCTGGTTTGGGGTGAAGGCCCATCCCGGTTCTTCATATGCGCACCTTGTTCTGGCTGCCTTGGGTGAATATGCATTTCACAGATTGTCTGTTCTCTGAGCCCTGAAAATGTATCCTTTAATCTTCAACTCAGAAAACCCCTTGACTCTGGAATGAGACACCAAAGGCCTTCCAGTGACAGGCTGGGAGAGAGCTGTTTGGATTGCTAATTTGTTTTCACTCTTTAGTCTGTTTTTCCTTCGTGCTGATGTTCCTCTTTAGACCTTGAGTATGAATAATTCTGCATAGCCTGAGGGGAGAAGCAGGAGGCCTGCTTGTAGAGTTGTTTGTACTGTAACGAAATAGAAAGTTTAAAAGCTTACTGAGCCTGAGCAGTTGAAAAGGGAGGGAGGTCTAGTAAGCACTTTCAAAATTACTCATAAAACATGACAAATTCTGGATGTCTCTTGGTGGTCAGGGAAATGAATTGCCCATTTCACTTAACAAAGGCACCCCCAAGCAGAACAGCTCCCCGAATGTCCAAGGCAGAGAAAAGTCCAAAGGCAGAGAGGTCCAATGAAGAATGCTCATCAAGATAGCCTTCCTAACTCTGTATTTCATGGAACTGTGAACTTGAAAGCCAAAGTAAGCCCTGACATTTTCTGGCTTGTGAGTAGTAACTTGATAGCTACTGTGTGAGATATCTCACTTCTCCTATTTCATATTCAGAGGGGTTCTGGTCTGGAGATGGTTGGACTTATTAAAACTTAATGACTCCTGGCTAACACACGGTGAAACCCCGTCTCTACTAAAAATATAAAAAAATTAGCCGGGCGTGGTGGCGGGCGCCTGTAGTCCCAGCTACTCGGGAGGCTGAGGCAGGAGAATGGCGTGAACCTGGGAGGCGGAGCTTGCAGTGAGCCCTGATGGCACCACTGCACTCCAGCCTGGGCGACAGAGCGAGACTCCATCTCAAAAACAAAAACAAAAAAACAAAAACTTAATGAGAAAAACTTTAAGGACCTTACGCTTGAGTGCTTTGCTGAAACTTTAGTTGCGTTAACTAGCCACAGGCTGGACGTCTCCTGCAGAACAGTTGTCCTGAAAATGTACAGGTTTATTATGTGCTGCATGGCTACATTGTATTATAAATACTCATTTATGTGAAAGTGACCCTTTCAAACTGTGAGCTCTTTGAGGTCTATGAATTCCCAGCAAATAAAACAATGCCTACCCTATAGTAAATGCTCAATTAATGACCTGAACTCATTTCAAGCCATAAAATAGATGAGATGAAAGAGTGGGGATCAGTTAAAAACATCCTCATTAGTTCGCACCACTGCACTCCAGCCTGGGCAACAGAGCGAGACCCTGTCTCAAAACAAACAAACAAACAAAAAACATTCTCATTAATGGAAGGACAAATTAGCAACCTGTCATTTTAATAAAAGATGAAAGGCAATACAGAGTGGCAGAATAGAGTTTTAACTGCTCTTCCTCCCCTTTCACCGAAGGGATCTTTGACTACTGGAAATAGCATAACACACTCGAATTTTGGACTGATGGATCACGAATACTAGCACTGGGAAGATTTATTTAATTTTTGTAGCTGTAATATGCTGAGGGAACAAAAGAATTAAAATATTCTCCTCTTCTCCTTTCAGATAGAATTGGCTGCCTAAGAATCTGCCCTAAGTGTTACAGGAAAGGGGTCCCGACCTGTACCCCAAGAGAAGGTTCTTGGATCTCGTGCAAGAAAGAATTCAGGGTGAGTCCATAGAGTTAAGTGAAAGCAAGTTTATTAGGAAAGTAAAGGAATAAAGAATGGCTACTCCATAGAGCAGCCTCGAGGGCTGCTGGTTGCCCATTTTTATGGTTATTTCTTGATGATATGCTAAACAAGGGGTGGATTATTCATGCCATATAGGCATGTAGATAACCAGTAGTGATACAAACAGTTCTTTGTCCATAGACATGCAAGTAAATTTTGTTTTCTGTAAATACACCATTGGTATTTCTCCATAACCTATTTTAGACCACATAGGGTAACTTCCTGAAGTTGCCATGGCATTTGTAAACTGTCATTGTAAACTGTCATGCGCTGGTGGGAGTGTAGCAGTGAGGACAACCAGAGGCCTCTCTCTTGGTTTTGGTGGGTTTTGAGGTCTCTCTCCCTCTTGGTTTTGGTGGGTTTTGCCAGCTTCTTTACTGCAACCTGTTTTTATCAGCAAGGTCTTTATACCCTGTATATTGTGCTGACCTGCTATCTCATCCTGTGACTTAAGAATGCCTTAACTGTCTGGGAATGCAGCCCAGTAGGTCTCAGCCTCATTTTACCCACCTCCTATTCAAGATGGAGTTATACTGGTTGAAATACCTCTGACATAAGGGTAAATGGCTAAAAAGACTGAGAAGACTTTAGGAGTGGAAGTGAGGAGAGAACAAGGTAGAGACCAGACAGGAGGGGTTCTTTGACCGCCTGAGGTGGACTCCATGGATTCTTCAATGAGGAAAGTAAAGAACAATTTTGTACTGTTCTCTGGGTTTTATAATTTCCAAAATAGAATAGAATCACAAATCTCAAATATAAAATCAATACACATTAGAGATTTTATTTAAATCATTAATTAATGAAAGAACTAGTAAGATGTTACAACTAGTTCAAAGGAAAATTTAAAGAACCAGCAAACGACGTTGCAATAAATTTACAAATAGATGCAAAACTGTCTCATTCCACAGTGGGGGAGGAAAACCAATGGTGTATTTTCAGAGAACAAAATTGACTTGCATGTTTATGGACAAAGAACTGTTTGTGTCACTACCAATTATCCACAACTTAAAGAGTTGTAAAACACTGAAAGTCAAGGAAAGGCACAGAGGCCTCATAGAATCACATAACTTGAAATGATGTATTTAGACAATGTCTAGTTCTCCACTGAAGACACCTTACAATAACTTTGGTCCATTTCAAAGTATTTTACATTTTTTTGCTTTATTTATATATGTTTGATTGTCTGATAGTCACACTTTGTTTGAGGTAACAGACTGTACTTTCAGGAAAAGAAACTGATCTGTAACTTCCTCTTCGAACAACTTCAGCAAGCCAGGATGAAACGTTTGTGGGTAGTGTCTTAGTCCATTTAGAGTTTCTATACAGATATACCTGAGGCTGGGTAATTTATGAAGAAAAAAATGCTTATTTGGTTCACGATTCCGATGGCTGGAAGATTGGGTATCTGCTGAAAGCCTCAGGCTGCTTCTGCTCCCGGTGGAAGATGAAGGGAAGCTGGCGTGTGCAGAAATCACATGGGTGAGAAAGGACGTGAGAGAGAAAGGAGCGGTACCAGGCTCTTTTAAACAACCAGCTCTCGCTGGTACTAATAGAGCGAGAGCTTATTCATGACCATGAAGACAGTGTCAAGCCATTCATAAAAAATCCATCCTGGCTGGGCATGGTGGCTCACGCCTGTAATCCCAGCACTTTGGGAGGCCAAGGTGGGCAGATCATGAGGTCAGGAGATCAAGACCATCTTGGCTAACATGGTGAAACCCTGTCTCTACCAAAAATCCAAAAAAAAAAAAAAAAAAGAAAAAGAAAAAAATTAGCCAGGTGTGGTGGCAGGCACCTGTAGTCCCAGCTACTCAAAAGGCTGAGGTAGGAAAATTACTTGAACCTGGGAGGCGGAGGTTCCAGTGAGCCGAGACCACACCACTTCACTCTAGCCTGGCAACAGAGCGAGACTCGGTCAAAAAAAAAAATCCATCCCCATGACTCAAACACTTCCTACTTCCTATTAGGTTCTGTCTCCCACAATGGGGATAATTTTAATATGAGGCTTGGGGGGACAAACATGTAATCTATAGTGGGTAGCTTTCAGGTTAAGGGGGAAGGGTGAGCAGAAGTCCATTTTGTGTGGCCATAGGGTGTGCATAGGTATACCTCTTCTGAGACAACAGTTACAGTTAAGTTTTGGACCAAATATTAACCTAAGTTGTTGCATCTAGTGTAGTCTCTGCTCTAACTTGAGCTACATCCTGTGGGCACATGAAAATCTTGAAAGGTTACAATTTGGAGTTCCTTCAAGAGCAGAAAAGCATAGCATCCCTCTTCCACAATTTTTTTTTTTTAAGTGGTCCTGTGGGTAGGCTCTGCTAGGTATTAGGGAAAGAAGAAGTGTCTGTCAGAACAGTGCTTAATGCAAAAAGGGCTTGGATACATGGAGAGGAGGTCTTTGAAGTGAAAGGAACATCATGAGAGGAGAGCACTCAGAAACCTCCACAGTAATGGTTTTCTGAGAACATGTATTCTTTCTTTTTGTTAAAATAATTAATTAGGAGGCTATTAGACTGGCTACTATGTAAGCAAATGGAAACCCAAGTCAGCGTAAACGGTCATATTCTAGGAGAATGAAACTTAAGCTTAACCAACCAGAACTGCCAATTAATTTCTAATTAGGGACTTTCCACTGGAATAGTCCAAATTAAACTTCTGCTCCATTTTAACCAATTATATTTTCTTTACCTTGCTTCTGAGAGTCACCCTATGAAAGTTTCACCCTATGAAAGTCTTCCTCTCATGCCCTATTGGTGGAGCCCAAAACACCTGCGATCTGGAGCTTCCTGATTCATGAATTGCTGTCTGCTCAAATAAAATTTCAATGTGGCTAACTTTATCTTTTAACACTTTCATCAGAGTATTGTCGCAAGGATGTAAAAATATGTATAGCTGAAAACTCAGTTCTGACTGGTTTTTTTTTGACCTCATAGCTCAGACCAAAAGAGGCCATTTAAAGTTGAGTAGTGAAAACAGAAAAGAAACTTAAACTTTTTTTTTTTTTTTTTGAGACAGGGTCTCACTCTATCACCCAGGCTGGAGTGCAGCAGCACAATCATGGCTCACTGCAGCCTTGAACTCTTGGGCTCAAGCGATCCTCCTGCCTCAGCCTCCCCAGTAGCTGGGACTACAGGCATGCACCATCATGCCAAGCCAATTTTTAAAAATTTTTGTAGAGATGGGGTCTTGCTATGTTGCTCAGGCTGGTCTCAAACTCCTGTGCTCAAACAATCCTCCCATCTCGGTTTCCCAAAGTGCTGGGATTACAGGCATGAGAGGAATTTAAACTTTTTAAAGATGGAGACATGGATATTTAGTTAGGAAAACCAATGTGCCTGAAGTGGCTCAGTATTTCTGAGTCACGAGATCATGGATGACATTAGTGGTGAATACAAAATCATCCTCCAGGTTTGGATTTGAAAGGTGACTCCTGAGAATTTACTTTTTGATGGGGGCATTTAGTGCAAGCTATTGCTTTAAATCACAAAGCTCTATCTGCATACTCATTTTTTTTTTTTTTTTTGCGCTTTCTCCAGTAAGTAAACATTGGTGGAGAGGTTTATCTTCTCCTTGCATTAGAATTTTTGAAACTCCATTATGAATAATAGTAGTTAACTGAACTCCAAGTCTTAGCACTTGGTCTGAAAAGAAAGGAAGAAGACACCAACCTTCCTTTAAAACCTTTAAGTTTTTTTTTTTTTTAAAATACAACGTGTTTGCTACATTACATCTGTGCATTACAGATAGCTTGAAAGCCAGACGTAATTTGTGATTCTAACTAATTTTCATGATTTTAGCTTTAATGCAAAATAGCTGGGGTTTTTGGATTGGGTTAGGATCTTGCTGTAAAAGTATGAAAATGAAACTGTAGACTTTATCTCCTTTCTGAGTAAACATACAGACAAAAATATGTCTGTGAAGCTTGAGAGCATATGATAATTTTTTTTTCTTATGGGAATACTTAGCACAATAATGAAGTTAACCCAGAATGGAGAATTACTTCTTTCTGCATTGTATTTATATCAAGTCCAATATCTCAAAAAGAAGTTGGCTCAGAATCGTTGATTTAAAATAGGTCATTGGTGAATTAATGAAACATAACACCCCAAATTCTCAGCTGAATTAAATAAATAAGCCAGATAGAACCCCTGGTAGATACAAATGTCTAGTTTATATCTCCCAAGTTACTAAGAGAGTGATTACTGAATCGGGGAAGAAGGGCAGAGTTTGACATATGGAGTGATTTATGAGTCCCTGTTCCACGGGAAAACATCAGGCTAAAATCAATTCAGGTTTTACTTGCATTGTATTCTCTTTCAAACTGGATAAGGATTCAGGAATAGTCGGTATGTTAGGTGTGTAAAGATACAAATTCACATCGTGTGCTTGGAAGTGTTTCTCCTCCTGTAGGTGCGTCTCAGTAGTGCATGAATAAGATTGAGGAGGACAGATGAGGTGGTCTCCACTTCTTAATCAATACTAGAAGCTGAAGTTGAAATGAGAGAATGGATAATTGAAGATATTTTAACATTCTCTTTGGCACCTAGAAAAAGTGGGAGTTATGGTTTTTGAGAATTGTGCATTCAGATTTACCACACCTATAGGACAGCTGGAAAGAAGACAAGTGAGAAAAACAGAGACACAGAGAAGGGCTTCAATTCCTTAGTGGTCGCACATTCCTAGGCTACCCGGCAATGGCCAGGTCCCTGGCTGTCATTTGGTCTTCAAGTCCTCTGCTGCTTGTAAAAGAGATTAAGGGCTAAAGTGCTCCCTGGTGAGGTAGAAACATCAACTTTTGCTTGACCTGATAGAACTGTAAGGCTGGAATATCCCTGGATGGTTGTTCCAGAAGAGCCAGCTTATCCGTCCATTGCTGTTATTCTTATTACTAAAAATGTATTTCCACTTGACAACAGTGGCTGCTGTAAAATCGCCTCTCCAGTGACAGTTGTTTCAAGGAGCAGAACTGCCTGAAGTCCCAGAGTGTCTGCTAATGGTTGTCTTCTGGGTGCCTCCCAGATGGCTGGAGGATTATGGCCTCTGGGATTTCCCCTTCTTGCCTGGGGTGTGAGGTTGACGGTAGAGAGGATGCCAGATCCAAGGAGCTCCTGAGGGACGATAGCACAGAAATTCCGAGTGGGAAATGGAAGGGCTAGAATCGCAGTGGTGCCATAAACTTGAAATTGAGTGTTGAGAATAGAGAGGTTGAGAAGAGAGCTGAAATGATTGAATAATATTAACAGTGTACCAACCTTCAGATATCTCCTTCTAACTACATATAGGAACAACTGGGCTGTGACTCGTGAGGTCATTCCTTATATTTTGAGACCTAGAATCTGTAAGACAGAAAAATATGTCACAGAGCAGTGAGATTGTCCCTTGCAGCATCAGCCGGGTATAATTGATGGCCATGGTATGACCTAAGAGGTGTGAGTGTGAGCTAATGAGACTGGCTCTTGTGTGAGGATTAAGTAATTTGTGCCTTCTTCATGGTAACACTTCATTTAATGTTCTGAAAACAGTGAAACACAAAACCAGTGGGAGGCAAGAGAAAACCCTCTTTCATCCTAAATCAGTGGCTGAAATATCTCAATTCAGAGCGGGTCCACCCATACCTCTCAAATCTTACGGTAACTCTTTAAACTGGGGGAAAAAAGGGATTCAAATTCACCCCATCTTTAAGCAAATTATTTTTCTTTAAAAATAATTTAAAAAATACTTTAATAGGGTTCAGAACACATTACCCCAAGTCATCCCAAAATATGCCTCTTTGGCATAAGGATTATTTTGAGCTGGTTATTTTGAGAACCTGCAGACACAGCAGACACTTTGAAAACAGAAGTTACCCTTTTGTAAGAGAAATTTATACCTATGAAGGAAATCTTCACTTTTAAGGATATCTCCCTCTCCATACCAGGAAGATAGGGCTGACTGAATCACTAGAGACTCTTATCAATGGAGAAAGTGTGGACTTACATCTGCAAAATAAACCTGGTTCTTGTTTATTGCACTTTTCCTGAACACCTCCCCATAACCATGTCTTTCTCCACACTCCTCTTTCTTTGTTTCAGGGGACAATAGTATTTAAGTCTGAAGTCTAAGACAATTCTTTATCTAGCCTTGAGATTTAATCTTTGAGATTTCCCAAAGTTATTGCTCGTGTATACAGGAGGTATACATATTAATAAACTTCTGTTTATTTTTCTCTTGTTAATCTGTCTTTTGCTGCAGGGAATCCCAGCTAAGAACCATGGAGGGTAGAGAGGAAATTATTTTTCCTCTCTTATACTTACTTGCACAGGGCAAAACTTTTAAGTTAGCACATAGAAATGTAGAGGAAAAGTAAATTTCCATCCCCAACCCCTAATTCTTCTTCTCAAAGACAATAGCTGAGGGTATTTTCTGGTATAAGCTACCAGAGGCAGTCTTTCCAAATTCAAATGTGTATGTGTGTGTTTATGGATCTATCATCTTTTTGATACACACACTTATGTAAGTACATGTGTGCATATATGTATTTGTGTGTTTCCCTACCCTCATAACTATTAGCATATTATACATACTGTTCAGCACTTTGCTTTTTTACATATCTTGAATAGCATTTCCTATGTTTGTCTCATTTTTTAATGCCACAGTGAATATTTTAATACACATTTCTTTTTACATAAATATAAATAAATCTGTGGGATCAGTTCCAAAAGAGTAGAATTTCTGTGTCAAAGAGTATATACATTTTTAATTTTGATATATATTGACAAAATTTCCTCCAATTCACACTTGCAGGGGAGAAAAGAGATTGTTTGCCGTATACCCATCTAGGTTCTATGGCTAAGACCCATGAATCAAACTGATAAAAGACAGATTGATAAGAGAAAAAGGTTTTAATTACAGATGTATGCATGGGAGTTCATAAAGAGAATGATGGCTCAAGGAGGTGGCTAGAAGATGGAGGCTTATATACTATTTTTGGGTAACCAAAGAAAAAACGATTTGGGGCTTTTGGACAGGGCAGCAAATTATGGAAAGGTGAAGATGTAACCGCCCAGTGGGTTCACTTTGCCCACTGCCTAGAGATAGCTGATTTATCAACACAGGGAAATTGCCGTGGAGAAAGAGTAATTCACACAGAGCCACCGGAGTTTTATTATTACTCATATGAGTCTCCCCAAGTGTTTGGAGTTCAGAGTTTTTAAAGATAATTTGGTGAGTAGGGGGCTTTGGAAGTGGGTAGTGCCGACTGGTCAGGTTGGAGATGGAATCGTAGGGGGCTGAAGTGAGTTTTTCTTGCTGTTTTCTGTTTCTGGGTGATGGTTGAGCCAGATTACCAATCTGGGTGGTGTCAGCTGATCCATCAAGTGCAGGGTCTGAAAAATATCTTAAGCACTGATCTTAGGTTTTATAACAGTGATGTTATCCCCAGGGGCAATTTGGGAAGGTTCATACTCTTGGACCCTAAACTGTAAATTCTAATCTTGTAGCTGATTGGTTAGTACTGCAAAGGCAGACTGGTCCCCAGGCAAGAAGGGGGTCTTTTCGGGAAAAGACTTTTATCAATTTTGTTTCAAAGTCAAACCATGAACTGAATTTCTTCCCAAAGTTAGTTCGGCCTGTGCCAGGAATGAACAAGAACAGCTTAAAAGTTAGAAGCAAGATGGAGTTGGTAAGGTCTGATTTCTTTCACTGTCATAATTTCCTTGGTTATAATTTTGCAAAGGCGGTTTCAAGGAGAGAAAATGTTTGGTAAATAAAGATCATCTTTTATTCAGATAAGAGTCTCTCATGTGATAAGAATTGTCTCTGGAAATAGCTCTCTTCCTGGTTAAGAGACATCTTTACAAATGGAAATTCCTTTAAAAATGTATATTTCCTTTATGCAAGGAGAAATTTATACACTGTTTTTAGGCATTTTGACGGGGGATAAAGAGGTTTTTCTGTATCTGCTGGTTCTCAGTTGTCTTTAGCTCAGAATATTCTCTATGCCAAAGTGGCGTATTTGGGGCCACATATTCTTCACACTCACACCAGCAATGCCTCAAAGTTGTTTTTCCCTTAAACTCCTGCTCACACAGTCCAGGTTTTTGATAGAGCTAACAACAATTTAATTTCTTCTTTCTGTCTCTCTCTTCCATCTATCCAAAGTGGGGTTTTTATGTAATATTAGCAACTTTCAAAAAACAAGTTGTTACCTAGATAATGCAGCTCTTCTTACATACTGTTCCTGTTGTCTGAAGTTACGGGAGCTGCAGTATTAACAGAATAAATGCAGTTGATTTGATTTGGTAGAAATGGCTTGAATTTAATCTAATATTTGATTCTAATTTAATTATACAATTGTCCTAAGTCCCACTACTGAAAGCAAGAGGACATAGTTCTTACTTCCAGGTAGCTTAAATTGTTCAGCAATTAAAAGGAAAACAAAAGACCTGGAAGAATTGTTAGTAAGATGCTTTGAAATATTTGTGGACAAAAGTGTATATCTGGATATAAATCTCTTTATGGCATACACAATTGCATGAACATCAGCATATACTTGTTTGCCTGAGGCCTGAATGGAATCTGAATGTGATAAAAAATAAAGGAATAGACCAGCAGTGAATTGAAGCTGTCCTTTTGGTGGTCAATTCCAAGGGAGTGAGGAGCAGATTGGAATTGAGCAATGGGAAGAGTATAGTTGGCTTTTCAGGAATTTGGCTATGATAGGAAAAGAGAAGGAAAGGAGGATAGGAAAGGAGAGTCATTGGAAAAGAGAAAATACAAGACTCAGAGGAAAAAGGTTGTGGTGCAGCTCAGAGAGGCTGGGCTCCCAGGTATGAGAGGAAAGAAGGGAGGACACTGCTGATAAAGGGAAGTGGGCAATTAGTTATGCCCATTGAGATAGCTCAGAGCGGAGGTAAGAGAATTTGGTTTGTTTAATAGAGGGGATACAGGACTCGGATGTCAGCCAGGTGTAAACCCTGGGTCAACCACCCCTAGGTTTATGACCTTTACATGTCTGGGTTTTCTTGCTTATAATGGAGGTGTCATGGTTATCATAAGGCTGAAGGTTTGAGGCACAGGAAGATGTCTGGTTCCATTAGCTTGGGAACACAGAGCACAGTATCAAAGATGATGGCTTTGGGAGATGTGGATGGACAGGGAACAATGATATAGGAGTTAAAAAGGAATTATTTAGGCAGATGGTGAGTGTATGAGAGTCCTCGGTAAGGTTTTCTTTTGAATAAAAGGCAGCCCCCACATCATTTTCTTTTCTAACAAAGAGCAGCCTGTAAAATCAAGCTGCAGACATAGACAAGCAAGCTGGAAGCTTGCATGGGTGAATGCCGGCAATTGTGCCAATACGAAAAGGCTATGTGGGACTAGGTGTGTTCAAAATGCTGGTTCCATCTCCTCTTCTCTTTGCCAGCCACGTGTACAGTAAGAAGCAGGCGACATGGCGCAGGCCAGGCAAAAACCTCATTTGCATAATAAGATTAGGGTGGGGCAGCCAGTTTCCCCGTGCATTATGTAAACATCACACCTGGCCCAACCAATCTTTGGGCCCTATTTAAATCAGACACCGCTTCCTCAAGCCTGTCGGTAAAATCTGGTGTGCTCCGCTATGGGTCAGAAGTCCCATTGGGGTGCCCCCTCTGTCCCAGGAGAGAGAGCTGTTCTCCTTTCTCTTTCTTTTGCTTATTAAACCTCTGCTCCTAAACCCACTTCTTGCGTCGGTATGCTTGATTCTCTTGGCCTGAGACAATGAACTTCAGGTATTTACCCCAGATGACACCACTTCAACATTGTAAAGCCCATCTTTAAAATACAGGTGTTTAAATACATCTCTGCATTAAAGGAATGGTTGAAGGGAAAAATCCCAAGTAGCCACGTGAATATGGCTATTTAGAGACAACCATGACCACTGTTTAAAAAGTGATCTATGCCTGTTCAATAGGCAGTGGAGGTAGCTTAGGAAAACTACTGGCAGGACTGGACTATAAGCACAGAGATATGTCAAACAGGACCGCATGTGCAAATCTCCTTTCAGAAAGAACGTAAACTTATGCTTTTGGTCCATTTTCCATTTTTACTGTCATGCTCTGAGGTGTTACTGAGCCTTGAAAAACCCCCATGTTATTAAATACAAAAGCAGTGAAGGGCAACACTTGGGCTATCAGTATATTGGTGCAGTTGCAACAGATTTTGAATCATTTCCTTGATGAGATCTGGTCTCCAAAATACAGCCTGTATTGTTTCAGGAAAAGAGTTGCTTTCTTCCCATGTTAGGAGACTCTGGTTTGGCCAGCAGAGGTACAGAGATAAGCCATGTGGGATTCAGGAGATGCTTCCTCTGCATCAGGAGGTGTTTATTTATCTTGCCTTTCCTCTCACAATAGCCAGTTATCAGATAATGTTATCTCTTACATGAGATGTATTCTCCAAGGTGAAAAGTGGTACAGGGCTCAAAAGACATCCTCTGACACTGAAGGGTGTTAGAATCAGGTAAGAGTCCCCGAAAGCCATCTCCATTGTAAGGGTTTCACTTATGTATTACGGATTACTGTTCCTGCAAGGATATCAAAACACTGTACAAGCATTATGTTATTTATTCTCATTTTAAATTGATAACGAAGAGAAGCAGAAATAAGCTGAGATTAGATGCTTGCCCACACTCACAGGATCAGTCAAGAAAACACATTACCCCCAGGGTAAGGACTCGAGGCGTTTTCACGTTGGAGGAGCTCCCAAAAAGGCAAAACAAAAGATCCCTCATCAAGGTTTATATTCATACCCATCTTTCCAGATGGCCACAGCTTCAACCTGGCTGAAAATTTGAGAATGCAACCTTCGGCCCTGCCTGCTACCTTGAAAAAAAAAGTCGTGGCCATTGATTGAGTGTAATGACGCCCAGCTGCGGGGTTTCCTCACCACTAGCTCTTGCAGGGGAAATAGGGCTATAAACTCAGACCCCTCTTGAGGCATGGAGGGAAGAAACTGTCTGAGTCCTTGCTTGACACCTGGACCTCACTGTGGTGCAAAGTGAAACTCGTCAACTCAGGTGGCCAAGAAAAGCAGATGTTTAGCACACCTAAGTGTAAAGTGTGGGGGAAATGGCTTTATGGGCCTTTGGCTGAGATGCTCACATTGAATGTTCTGCATAGGAAGTCATCAGGTACTGGAATAGTATAAACAGACCTTACTTCATGCAGTAATTTACTTTGGATTGGTGGCAACAGCAACAATATCTAGCACAAAGGAACATAAGGATCTACTTTTTATTGGAAAGATTTTCCAACCAGCAAGGGCTGCTTGTAATGAAAACTAGGGGCATTGCTTCCTTAATTTTAAGTGGTTATTCATCATCAGAGGGGATAATGTTGACTTGTGGTGACAGTATTTCCCAAAGCAGTTTCCATGGTATGATTGCCTTAGTCTCTCCAACCACCCATGGGAGGCGTAGGGATTATTGTCACTAGTAAACCCGTGGGGAAACCGAGGCTTAGACGGCTTGAGAAATTTGCTCAAGGGCGCACAGCCAGTAAATAGTGAGAAAGAAACTGAAGTTAAGTCTAAGTTCACAGCTCCTTTTACTCAACTGGTGTTTCTCAAAGTGTGGTATATGCCACTGGTAGGACATGAGATAATTTCAGGTAATGCATGAATGGAAATAGAAACATTTTAATATTTAGGCTTTTATTTTAATCTAATTTAAAAGGGGGACAAGAAGAATAGCATAGGGGTTAACTCAGGTGAACTCAGGCTAAACTCAAGTTCCAGAGCCATCCTACCTGGATTCTAATTCCAATTTATGACTTATGATATGATTATTTCCTCATTAGTTTAAGTCTCAATTTCCTAATCTGTAAATTGGGGATAATAGTAGCCCTACCTCACAGGGTTATTGCAAAGATTCAATGAGTTAATATTTGTAATGAGTTAATATTTGGTTACATTATGAGAGTTCTATAGGTGTTTATTAAGGAAATACAAAATACATGGAACTTATGATTGCATTGGATATTTTGAACTTAGAGTAAAATAGGCATTTAAGGAAAAGAAAAAGAGCGGAATAATTTGAAGTAAAATAGGTAACTAATAGCACAGGTAATGGTCATCTATGAAGACAATGACTAGTCTATATCAGGTAGGACAGTAGCACAAAGAAGCCTGAGCCCACTGGGAGGCACCGGGGGCTGGACTGCATTGCCTCGCTTCTGGAGGGAAAGATGGCAGTGGAAGTCTCAGCCTGTATCAGGACATTTGCTTATGTTTTGTATCCATTTACCCTCTCCTCTATTCTGAAGAAGTCATCTTCCCAGGCAATGTTCCTTAGACCCAGTGCATGAAGACTCACTTTAGCAAGGAGTACAGTTCCAATCACTCTACCAGGCTCCAGGACAAGAAAACCAAGAAAAGCCACCTTGGTTCCTTGCTCTGAACGCTTTAGTCGGAGTGTCGGAGGCAGAAAGGTGGAAGCCAGGCCAGACCCAGCGTGCTGGAGGCAGGGGACTTGGGGGAACTGGGACAAGGAAAGGAACTATCAATTCAGAAAACCAGACACCATGACCCTAAGAAGGAGACGGGAGGAGAAATGCTTTAAAGTGAGTCATCCTGTTTCAACACCAGACAGTTACCTCAGTGAAATGAAGGGGAACAAAATTTGCTGATACCATCATTCCCATTCACCAATAGCAGAAGAAAGAAATGAATATGCCATTTGTAGTGATTCCCCTTTAGGCACAGATTTACCATAACCTGCTCCTCCCTGGCTTGAGGTCTTTGCTCTGGCCAAGGATCATACAAGGATAAAAGCATCCCTGTCTTGTTTACTTGAGTTTGACACCCTGCTCCCTAATTAGCTGCTTCTCTGAGACCACTCTCTACTTGAACCTGTGTACACTGACAACATTCTTCCCACAAGTCGCTAATAAACACAGCAACCTAAAATCACAGAGTGAAGTAAGTGGAGCAACAGGGCTTCTTCCTTGATGGCAGTCACCGAAGGCTCTGGGCTGGAAGCCACATAGGCTTCAGGTCACTTGTCACTCTGGGCCAGTGGGATGTTGGAAGTTTTCAGACTCTCAGTAACTTGAGAAATCTGAGCTTCAGCAAAAGTCCTATAGTCAGGTAGGTTTAGACTACCTGGTTCAGATGGGTTCTTTCTCCTCTGGCTACTCCAAGGTAATTCAAATTGATAAATTGTAGTAGAAAGGTACTGATCAACGTAAGCAAAGGTTCAGTTTACTGGAAGGATTGGTGGTAGCTAAGAGAACTGAAGAAATAACTGGATCATCAGATCTTGTAAGGCAGAGAAAATACAGACTATCCCAGAAATATCCAATAACAATAACTAACATTTATTGAGAGCTTCCTATGTTCCAGCCCTTGTTCTAAGCCCTTGGCATGCACTAATTCATCTGCTTCTTGATACAGTGCTATAAGTTGGGTATACTTGTTATGCTGTGGGTAAAAGAGTTACAAAACCTAATTGACCTTTCGTTAACTGCCTGTTCTCTGGAAACCAGTTATGATGCTATGTGTCAACCATGATGCTAGGAGACATTGCTCATGGTAAAAATGACCCTTGATTGGGAAATTGCTCCTAGACTGACAGAACTATAAATACCTGTTAGGAAGCTGTAGTTTTGGGCTTCTCTGACTTTTACAACTTACATGTCCTTATGGGAGGACCTGAAAGCTATGCCTCTGGAATTGTTGCAAGAACTACCAGCTATTGGAGAAGAAGAGGGTGAAGGGGGAGGAGAGGTCATGAGGTTTTTAATCTGGAGCAATTCCCACCTGATGTGGATCTTAAGCCTAATTTTTATTGTGTGGACTATTGAAAGGACTCTTGTGCTGAAGAACATCTGATATGCTTCTCAATAAACTGATGCCAAATGTGGAGCTTTTGGTGCTTATTGCTGTCTTGTGAGTCTTAATGTTTATTTGAACCTAAGAAGACCCCAATGGGCAGTGCATATTGCTTTTCTGCAGAAAAAAATGAGGCAGAGAGAAGTAAACCTAAGTAATCCACAGTCACATGGACAATAAATAGTAGAGCCATGTTCAGTCTTGGGCCAGCTGGTTCTAGTACTCATGTGGTGCCACATGTTGCCTCTCAAACAATTGTCCAGTCTCTGTAGGGCACAGCCTTCTGGAGCTCAAACAATTGTCCAGTCTCTGTAAGGCACAGCCTTCTGGAGGAATTTGCTCCTGTTAGTTCCAGTTTTGGGTCTGTCAGCTCAAGATGCAAATTCCTGGGGAAGAGAGGTGGCCTCACTGTGCCGTGAACCCATTTCTGGCCAGGAGAGGGACAAGTGATTTGAATGAAAATTCCAAAAGGCAAATCAGAAGAGAGTGAGTGTGAATTTGACACAAGCAATAAATGCCCACTTCCACTGGGGTTGGATTGGGCTCTAGGACAGGTCCATACTGAGCATTCGTCTGCAATATATTTGTCATTGCTATTGCCATTGGTGTTAATGTTGAACACATATCAGGGGAACCTCTATTTGGTAGATTCTCACAATACCCTCTGTATTTAGAGACAGTATTTAGAGAGCCCTGAGAAGGCAAGTATTCCACAGCGTGGTTTTGCAATATTAGGCAGGAAAGGTGTCCCTGGGTGAAACTGTGAAGTAGCTAAACTCCTTCAGAGGCTGGAAACACAGCTAATAATTGACAGTTGGAGGCAAGTGGGAGAAGAAAAAGGCTTGTTGTGGGGAGAGGCTTTGGAGGGCCAGAGCTTGCTGGATCATGGGAACACATTACGCTGGGTTGGGAAACAGGTTCTTTTCCCCTCCAGGAGACGAAAGGGTAGCAGTTGGGTAGGCTTGGAGAGGGTGAGGTTTGGGATAGAAGAGAGCTGGGTGACAGGATAGGTGAGGTATTTGGAATCAAGTGATAAGTTCCAGTGGGGTCATTAAACCAGAGAGGAGTTAGTGAGTTTTCTGTGTCAGGAGTGTTTGTTGAGGATGTGCCCTCAGGGGATACATCATTCCAAAAATACGTCTGGGACCACAGTGTCCACTGACAGTGACAGCTCAAGGCTTCTGGGATGGCTGTGTCTGGTGGTTCAAGGCCTGTTCCTCTGAGGGCTGTGGGTTGGGCAGGGGTCTCCATCACTGTCTGTCTTTGAATCTGCCCTTTCTTCAGGCTCTAGCCCCTCCTCCCACTTCGTTGTGACTCTCTCTGGGCCTTGCCTCCTGGTCACTTCATACTTTGGAAGTTTTTCCTTCTTCACTCCTAACCCAAGGTCTCGAGGTATCACTGGTTGCCTGGCTAGCTAACGTGAGAAATAAATTCAAAGAATAAGGCTGGTGTTAGTGACTGAAGAGTTTACTTGTTTTAGAAAATATATTTATATTTAACTAGTCCTTGAGAACACAATGTGGGAATCTCAGACATTGAGACATTTCTTCTGATTGACAGAAAGAAATATTTTTAAGCAGAAGGACTTTTGGCCAGACCTCAAACCTTATGAAAAATTGGCCAGGGAAGAACTTGAAAAAAATGAAACCTGGCTAACACGTATGCATGTTGCTTTGTAAAGTAATGCCCTCCTTGTCACTGGGGGTGTAGAGGCAGAATGATTACCAGTTAGAATTTTCTCAGAGATGCCAATTAGGAAGATTAGATTAGTGATATCCTTTTACAAATGATTTTTTTCTGTGGGACTTCAATGCAATGAGGTAGAAATGACTACCGTATTAGGATTCACAGACTTCTTTCATTTTCCCTGCCTACCAAGAGTTCATATGGGCTACAGCAGCACCTGGGCTTTGCTGTGTGGGGCAGACTCAGGGCAAACAACGGGAAAATAAAAACTCAACTGGTGAAGTCAGACAGGCTAAGTTGAGCTACATAAAGGGGAACTGAGCCAGACAAGGGAGGAAAGAGAGGTGGAGGAACCTCACAGGTTGGTTGTCGTGGAAAGTTTTTGTTCTGGCTGTGAAAGTAAGAAGGAACATAAGATTTCAGGAAGCACCTGCCATCTGGATGAAGGAGATTGAGAATGGCAGCAATTGGGAGTAATGGATTTTAAAGATATCTTGGTGTGCATTAAATGCACTCTTCACCCCTTGGGCTTTTTCTTTAGAGACTGAGTATAGATTTGAATTGCTTTAGATTATATATTTTTTGAATGACAGCTGTTTCTTTGAATGTGACTCCACACCAAGATTGGACCACAAAGCTGCCTGGCATTTACAGAAGAAGCCAAATATAACATGGATCAATGGTAAACCACTCTTGATAAATACAGAGCGGGCATCTCAGAGACCCCGTTAGCTTCACCCTTGTGTCCTGAGATGCTGGCTCTGACCCTGGGGGCTCTGTGAAGTCCAGTCTGAAATCACCCTCTAGATCCACCCACAGTCCCTTCCAACTCTAAAAGTCATTGTGCAATGCCAGCCTTGCCTCACTTTTAGTCACAGACACTGACCACAGGGAAATGTAGACTCTTTCTGATTACACATCTGAGTTGCCACATTTTGGAAAAGATGCCCTTGGCATGGAGCCTCTACCGGCTCTGGGCCATGGGGTGTGGTTTTGTGAATGGGACCCACTGTGGTGCCATGGAGTCCAGGTAACATGACCCAGTTCTCTGCCTTGCCTCAGAGCGGACGTCTAGTTACCACCGCCAGCCTCTGCAAGACTGCTCTGATTACCCAATATTTTCCTCTTGTCTGCAGACATGACTTCTCATAAATCCCTTTGCTGTATCCCCTTTGGAACAGGGCTCGAGGGTTTAAACCAATTTGTTCAGCGGGACCCTGGGCATCAGGCAAACAAGGGATCGTTTGAAATAGTCTGGGAGTGGCCCTGGTCTCAGGCAGGCAGTCTTGCAGGGAACACTGCAGACCGCCTTCCGGAGCAGAATGTTGATGAAGCGAACACTTGCTCCATCGAGGCTAAAGGAACACAAGAGAAGCCCAGGTGTGAAGCCCCCTCTGAGAGGCTGAACGCTGGGTCCTGAGAAGACGTGGCATTGGTGACGACCAGCTGGATGAGATTCCTGTTTTTCCTTGCTTCCCACTGGAGCAAGCTGCAATTGTCTGTCATTGAGAATTTCCATATAGTCATCTGTCTGAGGAACCTACTTTTATCCTCCACAGAACCCTTAACAAAAGACTCATGATTGACTTCTTAAATTACAAAAGTAATACATGCTTGTTTTGACAGATTATAAAATCCCAAAGTGCATGAATTTAAAAGTATCTCCTGCTTTCCCCTACAATTTCCTCCCGAGAGGTAGCTGCTGTGAATGAGCTGGTGTATGCCTTTCCAGAATTTTTTCCACGAGAGGCTTCCATCTCAGTAGACAGAGGATGCAAAATGCCGATGCTATCATTTTAGACTTTGGGAGACAAGCAGGATTTGAGCGATGGGGGCTGGTGAAGGCCTGGTGAGATGCAACGGCCAAACCCCTTGTTCTGGGCCAGTGATTTTTCCAGCAGCCAGCTCCCATCTCATGGGCTACATTTGCTCATATATATATTTTAATGCAATTTTAATAGCCCACACATGGGTTTGATTTATCTACTTTTATGGCATGAGTTGTGTCTGTGGTCTGGCGCAGAGTCCTCAGTGGGGTGTTTGGCAACTCCCTAGTGCTTCCTGATGAAGAGCTACTTTTAGTTTCTAAAAATCCTTAACATTTTTGTAATGAACTGGGGATGAAGTGGTGAAGGGAATCACATGGGACGTAAGTCCTTGACCAGGCAGTATTTCTTTTTCCCTGTAGGAATTTCCAGAAGTCTTGGGAACAAGGTAAATTCTACCTCTCCTATTGAATGCCACCCAGGCTGGGCTTTAGCATGGACTGTTAGGTTGAGACTTGTTGGTTAAAGGTCTGTGTTTTCGAACCTCTGTGAGGAATGAGCAGTACTGTGTTAATAAATATAAATGCCTGTGCAGGGCCTAGCAGAGAGTAGGTCCTTCTTTCCCTTTTACCTCTCCTTCAGTTAACAACTGGGCTTCTTAAATACACTGATTAGCCATTGATAACATATATTCATTCAACAAGTATTTATGGAGCATCAGGCACACTTCTAGGCACTTGGCGTACATTGGTAAACAAACTAAATATTCCTGACACCAAGAAGCTTACAATCAGTGGAAGAAGAAACAAGCAAACCATAGGTGAAGTAAGTAAGTAGATTTTATAGCATCTTAGATGGTGATAAATGTTATGGTAGGAAGAAAAGGGAGAGTGTGGGCATGAGGTGAGGAGGAGGTGTGGTTTTCAACAGGGTTGTTCAGGATGGAGACCCTGAGGAGGTGGGATTTGAGGAAGCTATGAAAAAAAATAAGGGAATTAGGGAAATGCCCAAGGGAAAATCTTTGGCTATTGTCCCAGACAAGGACTTATACTCTCAGTGCTTCCCTTCTGCATGCCAGCCCGATCCTTTATGACATTCTTAATAATTTTAGGAAACTAAAAGTTGTTCTTGATTAGGAAATGACTGAGGAGCAGAGGTGAGGAGTGCCCAGGGAAGAGGGTGAGTTTTGGCTCTCCCCGAAGAAAGAAATGACCACAGCTGTTACTCCAGACACCAACAATGGCAGAGCCATGCACCGCTGTGTGGCACTTGAGAGTGGCTGAGCACTAAGCATGGCCAGAGAGTGAAATGGGCAACAGCATGGCAGAGAGGTGTAGGCTTGGAGGCAGAGGCACCCACAGATGTGATTGGCAGACCCAAAATGATCTCTCTCCTGCTCCTAGACATTCCTGCCTGAAACCATCATCAGGAATATATTCTTTGGGTTTCCTCTTTAAAAGTGCACACAGCATTATGGGGGTAACACATAACTAAAATCAAAATCGTGTTAGTGATTTATCAGTGTTCTCCTTCTGCTGGGAGAGACTCGGAATACAGGGCTTTCAGGAAGGGGCAGAGGAAGGGTAGAGACAAGATACAGAGAGGGTTGGCCAGGCGCGGTGGCTCACGCCTGTAATCCCAGCACTTTGGGAGGCCAAGGCGGGCAGATCACGAGGTCAGGAGTTTGAGACCAGCCTGGCCAACATGGTGAAACCCTGACTCTACTAAAAATACAAAAATTAGCCGGGTGTGATAGCACAGGCTTGTAACCCCAGCTACTCGGGAGACTGACGCATGAGAATCGGTTGAACCCAGGAGGTGGAGGTTGCAGTGAGCCGAGATCACGCCACTGCACTCCAGGCCTGGCAACAGAGTAAGACTGTCTAAAAAAAAAAAAAAAAAATTAGGTACAGAGAGGGGGCAGACAGGTGCCCTCACTGGCACCTTGGAGTCCTCCCAGCTGAGTTATGTCCATTTACTGATGGAGAGCAACAGGAAAGTCACACTACTCACATTGATTGCTTCCTGATAAATAGAAATACTGCTCAGTCAGTTTTTGACAAGTCTAGCAAAATCTGCCAATTGAGAACTGATGGGGAGAGAGTGGTTGATTTCTTTTAAATTGCTAAATCAGAGAGAGAAATATACTCCATCATCTCTTCTAACTGCTTGCTAATTTCAAAGCTGCATCCCTACAAGTCTCTACAAGTAGAGATCTTGGCCCAGAATTTCTCATAGAATTCTCAGAGTCCTACAGTAAGGGATTTCAGTTGACTGATTATCCTGTATTGACTGTCCTCCCCGTAGTATATACAACAAATAATTTTTAGTGTGTCCCACTCCCTGCTCAATAATTCTCCCCAGTTCCCTTTTCAAAGACTCCTTTTACAGGCAGAACCCCTCCCTACCTGTCGTAGTCATGTAAGTATTATGTTTGTTCTATTTGCATAATAATGCCATGGTAACAGCCCAGGTAATACCATGGTAATAGCCCAGTGTCTACCAGTGTAGTGTCTGCATCTAGTAGGTGCTCGGTAGTGGTTACATGGCTGAATGCTGTTGGGCAAATAAATAATTATAACAATTTATGCTCAATTTTTGCACAGAAGATTTCAAAAGGCTTTTTAAAAACATACACTAGGCTGTTGTCGGAATGTTTATGTTCCCCCAAATTCATATGTTGAAATCCTTACCCCCACAGTGATGGTATTAGGAGGTGGGGCCTTTGGAAGGTGATTAGGTCATGGGGGCAGAGCACTCATGAATGGGATTAATACCTTTATAAAAGGGACTAAGACCCTTAACCCCTTGCACTGTGTGAAGTTAGAGTGAGAAGATGGCTGTCTATGAGGAAGTGGACCCTTGCCAGACATGGAATCGATCTCAGCCTTGATCTTGGACTTCCCAACCCCCAGAACTGTGAGAAATAAATTTCTATTGTTTATCAGGAAACCAGACTAAGGTATTTTATTAAAGCAGCTTGAATGAATTAAGACGTAGTACTCCATTTGATCCTCCCAGTATCCTGGGAGACATTATCATTGTTCTCAGTTTAAATATGAAGAACATGGTTAGAAAGGTTAGGTGAATGAGCTAAAGTCACAGCTGATAAGTGGAATTTGAACCCAGCTCTAAGCTTTTGCTCGAGATTTGCTTTCCATACATAGTAGGCAACACGAATATGTCTTTGTCCTAGATGCCTAAATATACTCTATACCATAGGTAATCAACAAAAATAATGGGTCAGTCTCTTCCGTCATGAAGCTAATTCTTTTTTTTTTTTCATGAACACTAAACCTATATAACTCAAAAGAGTAAAAAAATAAGAATTCTAGCCAGAGTTAAAATCTCTGACACTGAATATCCTCCAACCCTTACCTCCATCCTCCTGCCAAGTTTTGTAGACATGAGACAGGCAATTTAAAAATGATTTTACTTGCACTTTATGTAAAGCAAAAATAATAAGCATTTGCTTCTGCTGTGGGGCATTTTGAGATCTTCTGATAACCTTCACTGTTCGGGCCTGGTTCTCCAATTTGTACAATGGTTCTCAAATTTGAGTGGGCATACATACCAGCTAGGGGGCTTAAAAATTTGGAGTCCTTAGTCACACTTGCCATTTTAATTTAGGAGGTCCGCATTCAGCAACACCTCAGGGTGGTTCTGGCGCAGATGGCATGGTGGACACATTTACGAAGATATTGGCTTACAGCCACTCAGAAAGCTGCTCCTTAAGTGTCTTGAAGCTTTGAGGACATCAACTAGAAACTCCAAAAATCAACACCTTGTTGATCTCACCTGAAGTCCGAATTCAACCACTTTTCAGGCTTTACTTGTGTTACTTACTTTGACTGATGGCTGAGGTTTTTCACCACCGCCTTGCCATGTGTTTTTATTTGGTTGGAACTCTGGGGCTGGGGAGCAAGGATGATTCCCCTCTTAAAATACCTTCTATTTTTTATAAAGATCAAAAGCACTAGTTGTGTCTGGAGGTCACTGACCTAAATGTCCCACCGATGACTCTCTCAATGATGCCAGGAGTCGTTTCCAATTGCTCAAATACTGCACCTGCTTCTCTTCTTTCCTTGTTAAATATTTGCTGTCTGTCTGAATTGGGAAAGTTTATTTTGCACCAAATGCAAATGAGGATGGTTTTGACTGATGCTTCATTGTACTTCTATGTGGCTTCCTTTTCTTGAGAATGTGCCGTGGATAGAAGTGCTGTGTATCCCTCTTCCTAATGGGCTATTCATAAATGTGCCCCTCTGGTCAATCAGCTTATTTTGTCTGTTCTGTGGCTTTATGGAGGCTTTGTTTGCTCACCTGTAGCAGATGTATTTGGACTCCAGATGTTTTAAAGAATCTTTCCAGGTGGGCCTATATTATGTTATACAGCAGCAATAACTGTTTTACAGGGGTGGCTTTTTAAGAAGTTCTGATTGCTTATTGTTTGGGAAGGTTTGTGGTTCCTAATTAAGCATTTCGTTAGAAGCTGCCCAGGTCTTTTGGTCTACAAAGTGACTCTATTAAGTTGATTTTCTTTCTAATTCCATGTAGTTTTATGTCTACGCTTTGGCGACATGTGAATTTTGTTAAATCGAGGCCCACATATGAGATACTTAGTAAATGACTTTTAGTAGATGATGATGGTAGTAAAAAAAAAACCCATAGAAACTTAGTAAAAAATATGCTTATATTGAAAAAACTTAGAGGAAGCAAAATCTAGCAGGCATGGGAGTGTAGGAATTTTAATATTAAAACAAATTTTGTTAAAAAAATTTTCAACATGTACAAAAGTAGACAAATAATATGTTGATCTCCCTTATATCTGTCACTACATTTTGACAATGTTCAGCTTATGACCAATTGCATTTTTCTGTGGCTCTTCTTCTTCCCCCTTCCCTGGATGATACTAGGCAAATCCCAGCCATGTTATATCATTAATATAATTTCATATGTAAATATTTCAGGATGCATTTGTAAAAGACAAGGACTATGCTATTACAATGTAACCACAATACACACAACAGACAATAATCATATCCTCAAAATTGACAGAAATTCCATAAAAACATCAGATATCCAATTAGTCTTCACATTTCCTTAATTGTCTTAGGAATGCTCCCTTTTTCTCACATGCTTTCTCTTTCTCCACAACTTAAAAAAACTCAGGATTCATACAATGAAATTAGTTAAATATCTTTTAAGTCTCATTTAATCAATAGAGACTCTCCTCCATTACATTTTATTTTTCTTATGATTTTGTAGTTGTTTTGGTTGGATAAATTATGTAGTTTGTCCTAGAGCTTCCAGTTTGGGTTTTGCTAATTCTATTCCCATGATTATGTTAGATAAAATAATTACATCGTGTGTGCATACTGATCCTTCCAGTTGGAATTCAAGACTAAGAAGGGCTTTTACCATTTATATCTTCTTTCTCTCACTCTCCAAAATCCCAGTTCTTATCAAGAGCTACATAATTACTTATTTGTTTATCCTATACTATGCACAAAACAATTTCAGAATAACAATTCCGACACTACTACGAAGACTATGATTATTGAAGCTAATTTGTGGTAATTTTGCTTTGTAATTACTTTTGTCATTGGGTATGTAGAGTTAAATTCAGTGGTGTTCTGGTAAATGTTTAACAATCAGTATGGCGCAAACAAATAATACAAGAAAGGAACCAAAGTAAATGAAAACCTGATTTGTAGAATTTGCTAATTTCCATGGCATAAATACCCCCACTGTGGCCACCTTCAAGCTATGATCTTGAAGTCACTGAATGCAGAGGTGAGAAGACATGCCCAAAATCAGCTCCTGAGAGCCCCTGCTGACTGGCTCCAGTACACCATTGGGAAATTCCTCTGTTTTGAAGCCACTTACTTGAAAGAATTCTTCACTGTGTGGTTATGTCACCAATTGGACATTGGTTTCACTTCATTTTAAAGTTTTGGAGATTACTTTTCAAATTTAAATATTTTATAATTTTGCAAAGTATTTATGTGGTTTCAAAGTTAAATCTACAAATATTCAAAGAAGGTTAGCTTCTATCCCTGTCATCTTCATGCTATGCCTCTCCTTCCTCCATAGGTTTTAAAAATTATGGGTTTAAACCATCTATTTTAAATTATTATGGTATTCTTCCATTACTTTCTTTTTAAAAAATTTACATATATACGGGATCTCTCTCTCTGTCTCTATGTATATATGTATATTCCCATTCTTAGATAAACAGTAGCAGTTTTACCTAAGCACATTTTTTTTAAACCTTGCTTTTTCACTTAATAACATATCCTGGAGATAATCTCATAGCAATAAATTATACACACACACACACACACACACACACACACACACACACACACTTCATTCCCCATTTAGCTGAATAGGACTACTCCACTTTTTAGATGGAACATACTTGATTTAACCAGTCTTCTATTGATGAAAAGCTGAGTTGTTCCAATAATTTTAATTAATTATTATTATTATTTTTTGAGATGGAGTTTCGCTCTTGTTGCCCAGGATGGAGTGCAATGGTGCAATCTTGGCTCGCTGCAATCTCCGCCTCCTGGGTGCAAGCGATTCTCCTGCCTCAGCCTCCTGAGTAGCTGGGATTACAGGCATGCACCACCATGCCAGGCTAATTTTGTGTTTTTAGTGGAGACGAGGTTTCTCCATGTTGGTCAGGCTGGTCTCGAACTCCCGACCTCAGGTGATCTTCCTGCGTCTGCCTCCCAAAGTGCTGGGATGTTTATTAGATGATACATTCAATAGTTTAAAATCCAGATGATATAGAAGAGTATACAGTGAAAATACCCTTCTCACCTCTTTTCCCAGATAGCTAGTTCCTGTCCTCAGAGGCAATTTGTTGTTTGTGTCTTTAGCTTACAGGCATTCCTATTTGTGCTTGTAAGGTGAAGACACTTGTTGTCAATCTTACTTAGGCAAGGAGGGTAAATAAGAGCTAGAGCATCCAAGTGTCTCAATCAGTCTTAGTCAATGCCGTATCACTGGATATGGGACTAGGGATCAGGTCTCTAGATAGCAGCAGTTAGCTTTTTTACTCTATGAGTATGCATGCCCCCTTTCAGCTCCCACAGCAGAATGATGGTTACAAAGGTATTACTTGTTACATTATCTTTGTCTCAGTTGAAATCAGTTAGTAGTGATCTATGAGGAGTAACCACTCCCATGATCATTGTGATGATCAAGTGATGAATTTCTTTTAATTATTATGTTCTAATGTGAACAAAAATGGCATCGTGGTGAGAGTTAGAGAAAGCAAATTAAACAGGAAACCATTATCTAAAGTAAATGACATTGACACAGACTCATCTTTGAAAATATACAAAAGACACACATTTTCTTCTATCAGAGGCAGTGTAACAAGAGCCCAGTATCTAAAAAGAAAAAAATAGACATATCACAATTAGCAACTGCCAGTATTAGAAATAGTGGCGGGAGGCCGGGTGCGGTGGCTCACGCCTGTAATCCCAACACTTTGGGAGGCCGAGGCGGGTGGATCACTAGGTCAGGAGTTCGAGACCATCCTGGCTAACAAGGTGAAACCCCATCTCTACTAAAAATACAAAAAGAAATTAGCCGGGCGTGGTGGCGAGTGCCTGTAGTCCCAGCTACTCGGGAGGCTGAGGCAGGAGAATGGCGTGAACCCGGAAGGCGGAGCTTGCAGTGAGCCGAGATCGCGCCACTGCACTCCAGCCTGGGCGATTGATCAAGACCCTATCTCAAAAAAAAAAAAGAAAGAAAGAAAGAAAGAAATAGTGGCGAGAGTTTATGGGTGTCCTGTGAGGAGAAAGGTGGAAGTGAGAGTTCTTAGTCGGTGGTAGCCTCTCAAATGCTCCAGTGCTCCAGTCTTCCGTCCCTTGTGTGGTCTGCTCTCACAGTGAATTAGGGCTGACTCTCTGTGACCAATAAAATAGGGTGGAAGTAACAAACACTCTGTGACTTCCAAGGCTGGGTCCTAAGAGGCTTGCAGCTTCTGCTTTGGTCTCTTGGATTCTTGCCCAGGGGAAAACCAGCCACATCTGGGAGGATACTTAAGAACCTCCACAAAGAAGAGAAGCTGAGGCACCCAACCAACAGCCAGACCAGCTTGCCAGCCATGTGAGTGAGCTGCCTTGGAAGTGGATCCTCTATCTCCAGTCAGTAGATTGCAGGTGACTGCAGCCCTGGTGGCATCTGACTGCAACCTCATGAGAGACTTGAGCCAGGACGACCTGCTGTGCCACTCCTGAATTCCAGAGCCACAGAGAAATCATGAAGATTGTTGTTTTAAGTTACCAAGTTTTGGAGCTTCTTACCCAGCATAGATAATTAATATGGTATCTGAATTGCAAATTAGTAGATAATAAGAATCTTCATGACAACTTTGAGGCAGGCATTTTCTAAAATAATATTTATTGCTCTTTCCTGATTATAACAGTAGGAAAATTGGAAAGTACAATAAAGTTGTAAGGAAAAATAGTGAGCACTTTTAACTATAAGATAAGCTCTATTATCCTTATTATACAGCTTAGAAACCCAAGATGCAGAGAAGGAAGAAACATTCCCAAGTTACACAGTCACTAAGTGGTTCAATAGTATTTGAATATAAGCCCGTTTAACTCAATAGTGTAATATTTATCTGTATTTAATCTTTAAAAAGTGGAATTAAATACTAGTGCCTTTTAAATGAAAACTGTCTGTATAGCAAAAGGTATCCCTAAGCCATGATTTCTGCTCATCTATTCATTCACAGATTCCGCAAATAGGTATTGAGCACCTACTATGTGTTAGATATTGTGCTAGGTGCTAAGGAAACTGAGGTAAACCAGAAAGACACACCTAGTGTCTGCTCTGTGGATATTACAGCATAGTGGAAGACATTGACATTAAAAAGATAAGCACACAATGAATGTAGGACATTCAAATTGGGTAAGTGCCAAGGAGAAGCTCAGTACACATAAGTGTATTAAGAGTGCCATAATTTAGATTAATGGGCCAGGAAAAGCTGGATATTTTAGTCTAGTTACTTTTTTTTTTTTTTTTTTTTTTGAGACGGAGTCTCATTCTCCTGCCCAGGCTGGAGTGCAGTGACACAATCTTAGCTCACTGCAACCTCTGCCTCCTGGGTTCAAGCAATTCTCATGCCTCAGCCTCCCTAGTAGCTGGGACTACAGGTTTGTGCCACCATGCCTGGCTAATTTTTGTATATTTAGTAGAGATGGGGTTTCACCATGTTGACCAGGCTGGTCTCGAACTCCTAACCTCAAGTGATCCTCCACACTCAGCTTCCTAAAGTGTTGAGATTATAGGCGTCAGCCACCACACTCAGCCCTAATTTATTATCTTCTGTAAGATGTAGAAGTTAGTCAATAAAGACCAGGGACTAGAGAATTCCAGGCAAAGAGAACAGCATGGGCTAAAACCTGAGGTGGGAAATTGATTGTCATATTTATGGAATCAAAGGTAGTGTCTCTGCAGAGTAATGCATGCAGGGAAGAGAAGCATGAGATTAACTGGAGAAGGGCTGGGGTCAGATCACATGTAAGACTTAGCATAGGACATGCTACAGAATATGTATTTTCTTTTAGGAGCAAAGGAACACCTGTGAGAGACTTTTAATTTCTAATTTGCATTTAAAGATTATTCCAGCTCCCGTGTGGAAAAAGGTAGAAAAGGTAAGAATAGAATAGGGAGGAAATAGCAATGAGGCACTTGATATGTTGACATTGCTAGTGAATGAGGGTGATGGGAGTGCTTTGAAATTTCTAGATGGATTGAGACTTGGTAATGGATTGAGTGTGAAGATGAAGGGACATTTACAGAAATGAGTACCAGGGTGAGTCACAGTGACACTTCTAAAGGTGAGAAAGACTAGAGGAAGAACAAATTTGGCTGGGGCATTAAGAATTCACTTTAGTTCTAGATCCTTGAGGAATCACCATACTGTCTTCCACAATGTTTGAACTAATTTACACTAAATCATTCTGCTATAAAGACACATGCACATGTTTGTTTACTGCAGCACTATTTACAATAGCAAAGACTTAGAACCAACCCAAATGCCCATCAATGATAGACTGGATACAGAAAATGTGGTACATATACACCATGGAATACTATGCAGCCATAAAAAAGAACAAGTTCATGTCCTTTCCAGGGACGTGGATGAAGCTCAGCAAACTAACACAGGAGCAGAAAACCAGATACCACATGTTCTCACTCATAAGTGGGAGTTGAACAATGAGAACACATGGACACAGGGAGGGGAACAACACGCATTGGGGCCTGTTGTGGGGAGGGAGGCAAGGGAAGGGAGAGCATTAGGACAAATACCTAACGCATGTGGGGCTTAAAACCTAGATGATGGGTTGATAGGTGCAGCAAACCACCATGGCACATGTATACCTACGTAACAAACCTGCACATTCTGCACATGTATCATATGTATCCTAGAACTTAAAGTAAAATTAAAATAAATAAATAAATAAAAATAAAAAAAAATTCACTTTAGTATATTCTGATTGTCAATTCCATAGTGCTTGGGCAAGATCAAAGAATTTGGCCAGTCCTTGGGAAAGGATTTATATCCTGGTTCTAGTCTGACAGCAACCAGCTGCTTACAGATACCATCTCTCAACTGTTACCCAAGTACCTCGTGCTTTTCCTTCCCTTATGATCTTATGATTAAGAATCTCAAACTGTGGATAAGGAAACATGTCACTAGTTAGCACAGCTCTGGCCGGATACCCCTCTAGGAGTCAATGAGTTGCTGCTAACCACATTACAGCAGTCACCTGGAAGTCTCCTTTGAAGAAAATGCCCCTGTGCTTTTTCTTTTTGGTCACTGCCAAGGGAGTAGGGGATTTTCTTCTTCAAAGATCATGGGTTTGCTATAAAAATCTTTACTGTTCCCTCCTCCTTGGCATGTTGTCTCTGGATGTTTTCAGCATAAAACATACTCAGTTAAGTGGCTGAACACAGAACTCTTTCATTACAGCGTATGTGAATTTTAGGTAGATAGAACACTTATTACTGTATTTAGCTTCTTAACATTGCTTGTTCCAAAGAGATACAGGTATGCAGATTTCTGAATTCAAGGGGCTAATTCACTTTTATGTATCTCTGAGATACATAAAATATCTTACTTCTCCCAAGTAACATAATTCTCTAAATCATATCTCTGGGTAAAAATAGGCCCTATTAAAATACAGAAAAGAAAATACAAAATAATAAAATATTTCAAAACAATAAAAAACCCTCAGATAAGATTGGATCTTTCATGTAATTTTAAAAGTTATTTAACTGTTCTAAAAATGGCTCTCAGAGCAGTACTATTTTTCTGGCCAACAGAAAGAACTATTCTTTCCTTGAGAATTCCTCTTCCTTGACTTAGTCGCTTTGCCAGTGGGATTTCTCTCAAATCACATGTACTTTTTCTGAGTATAGTTATCAGCTTTGCAAAACAGAAGCTCATCAGTGTCAGGCGTGGTGGTACAGTGGGAAAGTGCAGGCTGGGGTGTGTAGTCTTTCTTGGGGGGAGCTTCGTACCTCTGATCAACCACCTGGAACCCATTCCTTCTTCTAGAAGTAAAGCACTATTGACTTTACTTGACTTGGTGGGTTTGTGTGAAGATTAATTGAGCTGGATATGAGTTTGGAAACCATCAAATCTCTTTTTAAGGTAAAATGTTTTGATTCCTCTTGCTTAGAGGAAGTTTTTCTTTTTTTTGTAGTCCACTCCTCTCCATCCCCTTGTCACTGCCTTAGCAAAGACCTCTTTCCTCTCTTCCCTGGACAGTTGAGCAGACCCCATCTCTAGCCTTGTTCTCCTCAGTCTTTCCTTCACCATGCTGCTCTTGCAATCTTTCCTAAACTCAAATCTCAGGAGACGGAGTTGCCACTTAAACCTGATGGTGACTTCCTGTGACTTAGAGAAAAGTCAGGGCCTGTGGAATGGGTTTGAGGGCTCCCTCCAGATGCCCTCTCCTCTCTTCAGCCGCCACCTCAGCAGCTACATGGACCCACCTTCCAATCTCCAAACTCACTCTGTGGTTTTGTTGCTCTGGGCCTTTGCAACTTCCCCCTAGTCAGCCTGATGAGCTACTCCTGCTTCTCTTTCTTGCCCCCACTTAAGGCTGATCTCCTCTTAAGCCTTACCTGACTCTCCCAAACCCTTGTCCTCATCACCTCCTGTTTCTCTTTTGTTTTCTAGTTGTTTGAGCCCTATCCCAACAACAGCCCCCTTTATACTGTTTTGCCATTACTTGTGAAACCCAAGTGTTCCAGGCTTCAGCAGTCTAAGGAAAAATGCAGCCACCTTCAGCCCAGGGCACATCCAAAGGGCTCCTTTCCCTCATCTGCTCACAAGGAGCCGCCTTGCACAGCTTCCCTGTGCAAGGGAAGAGTTTCTCCGAGTTTCAAAGAGGGTCACAGTGGGTCTGTGAACCCAAAAGTATCTGAGACAGGTATCAGTCCATTTAGAAAGTTTATTTTACCAAAGTTAAGGACAGGCCCATGACACAGCCTCAGGAACTCTTGACAACATGTGCCCAAGGTAGTTGGGGCACAGCTTGGTTTTATACATTTTATGGAGACAAGAGACATCAGTCAATATGTGTAAGATGTACATTGGTATGGTCTGGAAAGACGGGACAATTTGAAGGGTGGGGGTGTGGGGGCTTTCAGGTCATAGATAGTTAAGAGACAAACAGTTGCATTCTCTGATTAGCCTCTCACTGAATACACAATTTACACGTGAGAGGGAGGTAGAGGAATAGTCACTTATGCCTTAGTCTGGCTTAGTGAATCTGCATTTTTACAGAAACAGTAGGGCAGAGGAAAGAATCCAAATTACATCTGTCTCAGGTGAGCAGAGGGAAGACTTTGAGCTCTATCTGTCCTTTGGCACCTGTGAAGATAAGCTATCAATTTACATTGCCAAGGTGAAATTCAACAGAACCGTTTTAGGCTAAAGATCTCGAGGCCCACAAGGAATTTCCTTGTAGACAAATATGAGGGAGGTGTGTAGCTTTTTAAATCTTTGTGGCTTTCTTATTTAGGAATAAAATGGGAGGCAGGCTTTGCCTGACTAGCAGTTCTCAGCTTAACTTTTCCCTTTGGCTTGGTGATTTTAGGGTTGTGAGATCTATTTTCCTTTTACAGGTCCATTTGAGTCCTTGCTCCCTTTTGCTATTGTGGCCAGGGAGGCAGCTGGTGGCTGATTGATCCCCTTTCCCTCTGGAGCTTCAACTGGGACTGTCCTGGAGATTGGCTACCATCATGTCCATCAGGGAAGAGGCCTGAGGTGAGTCGTGTGGCTCCCGCTGCACCCACCAGCCGAGGTATGACGTCCTCCCGGCTCTCCTTTGGTGGTTTTTTGAGTTAGAAGAATGTTTCTTCCCTTCATGGAATGTCCATGGGGGAATAGAAGCCTCAGGGTGTTACAGAGATCATGATGACTTCAGTTTACTCCACACTCTGCCCGTCTTTCTAGACGTACAATACCATGGATCTGAGTTGGGGTATGTTCCAGAGAAAAGCAATATTGATGGCCCCCCATAAAAGACGTGACATGAAATGGTTAATATGAATAAAAGAATCTTGACTTGTCTGAAATATACATTTCCAGGGAGGAAATGCAGAACCTGTTGAGTATCATTTGTACATTTATGCTTGTTTTTAAATCCCAGGGACTGTGAATACTGGCATCCTGGAATTTCCAGGAGTCATAGTCTAGACTGGAGATAAGACACTCTGGTCTCTCTGAGCCAGTCTTCCTCCCTTCTATCCACACTAGGGGAGGAACTCGTTTTACAGCACTGAGGTGTCTGGGGACATTATTCTGCCTATGGTAAAGAAGAATTCCTTAGATGAAAGAAAAAAAGATGACTATTTCAGATGAAGAATTAGGGACGTGTCTGAAAATTTCTGGCATAGATGGAGGAAGAATCCCAGTATGTTTTTGTGGTTATACAGCCAAAAATTATGTTAACTACATGAATGATATGACTTGACTGGGAAAAGGCAACCTGAGAGTATTTTAAGATTCCTTGGTTATGTAATTATATATCCAGAAGGTACCATATCCAGCAGAGTGCTAGATTAAAAATTATAATCAGTGTTCTTAAGCACATAATTAGCATATTGAACATTGACAGTTCAGACCTTAATTAAGTACATAGCCTGCTAACAGAGGGAGTTCTGATTTTAGAGTTACATTGGAGCCTTGCTCCCAGTGGGGGAAATTTTTAACTAATCACGTAAAGTTTCTCTTCCACATCTCTTGTAGCAATAAATCAAAACTACCCTTTCTAATATGATTCCTTATGTTGCCCTGATGTCTGGGTAGGGGATTGAGGGTGGGGAGTGTAGGGAGGAATTTGGTGGTTCTGTCAAAGGTAAATTGAATGTGTTCGTCATTACAATTTCCTTCTGTATCTGAAATAATTTCATATGTGACTTTTTGGAGCTTTATGAGCAGCCTTTAAAATGCTTAGGCTGCTTTCTTCTAGCACTGAAACCAGAAATCTTTTTTTTAATGTCATGATCTATTTAGAAGTAATTTTGCCTTATAGCCAATGGTAATGTCATCACTGAGTAATGCTTCTATTTATATAAGTCTGTCTCTCAGAGCCTGTTCGTATCTTGAAGAAATCCGCAATACAGGAGGCAAGATACAAAATTGAATACCATCATGTAATATCCCCAAAGGGACTTGTTTAGTGTTTTCTTATCCAGTTACCCATGGCTACAGGGAAAGATTTTTCAAAATTCAATACAAATTGCGTTAGCTTGTTTTTCTTCTTGACACCCTTAAGTCTTCTTTGATCACAGTAGATTTTAGAGGAAAGAAAAAGAAATTCCTTTAGATCTCTCAATGTCAAGGGGCACCCAGACAGTTATTCCATTGCCCTTCCACAGAGCTGCTAATTGTTTAGAAGGACAAAGATATCTCAGAGTAAGCATTCTGGGACCTCAGTAAAAGCTGTTTGCTCTGCTCAGTGTCAGGAGGGTCTTGGGCCTTAGCCAAGGGGCTTTAATTATTGAAGGATTTTATTATGAGCTTCTTTTATCTAAAAGACGAATTCCATTTGTCATATCACCAGTCAAGTATCAATTCATCATCAGGTATTTAATTATTGATAAACTATTATGTTTTGTGTACTTTCACCTATTTTGTAAAACAACATTCGTCAAAAGCTTGGCTTTCACTGTGTTCACAAACTCTAGTCACTCCATAAGGAGCCAGACATTCCAGAATTTGAAGGAAAGGGCAGAAAATGGCATCCTTATGGTTCACTGGGCTATGGAATTCCCCAAATCTCACTGCAGACTTTAAAATGCAGTTAATATGAAAGAATATGTGCTCTAATTTGTTTTACTTTCCCTGAAGTAGTTTTATAAGAGGAGGGATTAGTCTCTATGCTGTTTAGAAAAAGAAGGCCAAAAAAAGTGGGTAGTGCTAGTGTTTATCTGGCTGAGGCCTCCTTGCCTTTAGTACACCTAGAGAGGTCAGCCTCTTAGTGAAGCATATGTCATCTCCCCAAATGCAGCAGCCTGAGGGATGTTTGTCACAGACCATCTAGTTCCCTTGGCTGTGATTGTGGTCACCACACAGAAGTGTGAATGCAAATTTCTCTTCTCAAGGACAGGGGAACCACAGTGTGTCAGGATCTGCCAAAATTAGTGACCCCTCCCATGCCTTCCTTAGAACATATTCTGATTCTTTAAATTTCCATAAGGAGAATATTTCAGGATGTAAGGACATATGAATGGATTGAAAGATTGTATAGGCTCTTTTATTCTCTTTCAAATTCAATGCCCCAATTTATAATGCCCACAGTGCTTTCAACCCTGTGGCTAAAGGTCATCCCCGTGTCCCAGGTGTCTGAAGCTCTGAACTAGCCTGGTCCACTTGTGTTTGTAGGTAGACATAGATCGACGTCCAGAGCCAGCAACAAAGCCTTTGTAGGGATTTCTGAGCTAGAACTGCAGAAGAAGGAGGAGGAATCCTGATGCTTTTCCAAACCTTTCTCTGAATAAGTGGTTGCTGTCTACCCGTCCCTTACTTCCATTAATCACCCCCCATTGCAAGGTTGCAGTTGATCCCATCCAGAGTCCATTTGAATTTGAACCAAATGGCAATGGCAAGTCTTCTCCAAAATATTACACAGATTAGAATTTTTAAACATAGGCAATTCAGGTAGAAAATGTGTTATTCATCTTTCTTCTGCTAGGAGAATACATTCCTTTTTGATGTTGGATATATTGCGTTATAGACTGTACATTGTGTCCCCCACCCTGTTGAAGCCTTAACCCCCGGTGTGATGGTATTTGGAGAGAGGACTTTGGGAAATAATTAGGGTTAGATTAGGTCATGAGGGTGGGGCCCTTGTGAGTGGTTTCTTAGGAGGAGGAAGAGAGAGCTCTCCCTCTCCAAGTGCAGGCAGCAAAGAAAGGCCATGTGGGAACACAATGAGAAGGTGGCCACCTGCAAGCCAGCAAGACAGTCCTCATAGAACCCAACCCTGCTGAAACGTTGATCTTGGACTTCCAGCCTCCAGAGCTGTGAGAAAATAAAAATTTCTATTGTTTAAGCCACCCAGTCTATGGTATTTTATTATGACAACTCATCAAGCAGACTAATACATGTTGTCAATAGTTTTGTGAAAAAAATCTTCTGGTTTAATGAGTGTGACTCAGTTCTCTGGGATTTGCTCAATCATGGATGAACTGGCAGCCTGATAAAACTCAGATCGTAGATTTGCCTATTCTGGACCTACATACAAATGACATCATACAGTATAGGGCCTTTCATGGCTGGCTTCTTTCATTGAGCATGTTTTTCAAGATCCATCCATGATGTAGCATGTATCAGGACTTCATTTTTTTAAAAATGTAATTTAATATAGTTAATTTTAAGTTGTGGGATACATGTGCAGGATGTGCAGGTTTGTTACATAGGTAAACGTGTGCCATGGTGGTCTGCTGCACCTGTAACCCATCACCTAGGTATTAAGCCCCCTATCTCAATAAAGCTGTTATTAAAAAAAAAAACAAACCCAGATAATCAGGTGGCAAAGTTAGGGACTAAGCAAACCAATGACAAATCCAATGAAAATATCACCAAGGGATAGATGTCCCACGAGGTCCATCCTGCACAGCCAGCCTGCGGCATGTGTGCACCGTTTCCATCTTGTTCTTGTCATAGTCTCTTTCTCTCTATCCCCTTGCCATGTTGTAAACTACAACAAAATTTGGGGAAGGGAGGACATAAAATTGAAACACATGAAATAGAAACAACACAAAGCTAAATATAATTGATGATAATTTTACTCTTCTGCTTAACACTTCTCAGCACCCTACGTAAGAGTTTCATAAGAAATTCCCACCCCCCCGCACCTCTCCTGACTCCTGTAAAAAAAAAAAAAAAAGAAGGAAAAAAAAGAGTTTCATCAAAGTTATTTTCATATGAGAGGGCAGAGAATATGGCAAGAACTGACCAAATCAATCAGGAAATCTATTTGAAACCTTATTTTTTATTTAAAAAACTGTGGAAATTTTGTATTCTACTGCAGAATACTGCCATGTTGTTTTAATCTTAAAAAAAAGTCCTTCTCTTCTAATCTTTATGTAAAATTTATGTTTCAAAAAGATGAGCCTCATTTATTTGCATTTTTTTCTTTAAGTCCTGGCCTACCACATTTACTGCAGTGGGTAGATGTGAACTCGTTGACAAGCAGGAGCTTCTACAATGAAAGCCAAGCTCTGCAGCATGGCATATAAAGCCCTGAGTCATCTCTCTTTTCTTTTTTTGAAGTTCCATACTCCAGATTCACTGGAGTTTTTGGCACAGTTTCTATTATTCCTTAGGCCTTACATGCTATTCCCTTGGGCCGGGATGCATTTTTATTCCACCTGCTCTATCTCTGTACACCTATATATCTCCTACCCCTCCTCCAATTCCCAGCTCAGTGTCTTTTTCCTCTCTGAAGCACTTTCTTGAGTTTCCCAAGCAAAGATGATCATATTTTCTTTTGCGAAAGTATAAACTGGATATTCCAAAGCCCTCCAGTTTTCTGAGTATAATCCTTTCCTTTAGTAGCCAAATACATTGAATAGCTCCCCATCCCACATGCAGTACAAGATTCAGTGCCCTTTCCAGTATTTCCAAGGTTCTCAGGGAGGTTCATAATTTCCTGCCTTTTGAATTTTTCAACTATCCAGCTTGCTTCCCTGCTTCTCTGTGGGCAGGGACTAGCTTTTACTATAGTTCTCCAAAGCTTCACTAACAAAGACGTGCTGTGTGGCAGACATTTACTGAAGTTTTCAGAGGGGGATCACCAACCAAACAGAATATTAGAATAGCGAACAACCTATATTTAAATATTTGATGACTCATGGCCAGCCTCACGTGGGAGCCTTTCACAGGCAATCCATGCCCCCAGCTGTCACCTGCTGCTTGTTGCTGGGGCTTTTCTCCTCCTCTTCTTTGAGTCTTCAGGGCCCTTACAACCTCCAAAGCTTCCAGGGGCCAGTCCCACAGCCCTGCTTCTGTTATGTGGGGCAATTTGGCGCTTTCTTTGTGTTCTTTTTCATTTATGTAAGTTTAGAGGGGCCTCCCTTTTCATAACCAAAGAGGCTGTTCTAAACAAAAAATAACAATTTTCTTCCTAACAGCAATTCTTTAACATCCTAGAGCAACAGACTTAAACTTCAGTTAGCTCCTTGTGGTGGTTGCCAGATGCACTGCCCAGGTCCCACTGCAGGAGTGAAGGATATATTTTCTCAGCTGCTGGGAGTGGTAGAAACCTCTCAGCTGCCAATCCCCTTCAGGAATTGCCTTAGCTGAAGAGATCAGTCTTGCTCAAGGCCATTTAGCCTTCCTGGGGTAGCCTCTATCCAACTACCAGTCGCAACGCTTCCTGGCCCAAACTCAAGTGATTCTGCAGGGGCCATCCCAGCCACAGAGCTGCCCATGGGGTTGGCAGAAGGCTTTGCTGAGGCTCCACCCAGCTCATCTTTTCTTTCTTCCCCATCTGTCTTCCTCAGGGATGGAGCCTAAGAATACTCTACTCCCTGATAACCTCCTTCATGCTAATCACTGCAGTCTGCTTCTTGGGAAACAAAACTTGTGACACTCTGCTTCACACATTGTTTATCCTATCTAAGCTTGCGGTTTTGTTTGTTTGTAAAATGAGAATCCTAATAGTATCCCCCACATAGAATTGGGATGCGTATTATAATAGATGAAACACTTAAAGTGCTTAGCTGAATGCTAGGTACATTAAAATATAGTAAGTAAGCCTTACCTACCGTGATTACTGTGGACAGGTTCTGGTCCGTGGCCTGTTAGGAACTGGGCTGCACAGCAGGAAGTGAGCAGTGGGTGAGTGAGCGAAGCTTCATCTGTATTTACAGCCGCTCCCCATCACTCACATTCCTGCCTCAGCTCTGCCTCCTGTCAGATCAGTGGGGGCAATTAGATTCTCATGGGAACATGAACCCTATTGTGAACTGTGCATGTGAGGGATCTAGGTTATGAACTCCTTATGATAATCTAATGCCTGATGATCTGTCACTGTCTCCCATTGCCCCCAGATGGGACCATCTAGTTGCAGGAAAACAAGCTCAGGGCTCCCACTGATTCTACATTATGGTGAGTTGTATAATTATTTCATTATATATTACAATGTAATGGTAATAGAAATAAAGTGCACAATAAATGTAATGCGCTTGAATCATACCCAAAATGTCCCCTCCACCATCTGTGGAAAAATAGTCTTCCATGAAACTGGTCCCTGGTACCAAAAAGTTGAGGACAGCTGTTCTAGGGTATTCAGTGAGGAGGAGCTTAAACTTCCTCTTTTTGTTTTTTTTGAGAAACAATTGATAAATGTGACTTGAAATTTGCTGGGGCAGGGGTAGACACTTTAAGGAGGCTGGAGTCCTTCTGGGAAGAAAGGGATCAAGACTTTGTATTTTCCTCCCAAGATTCCACGTTGGTTTTATGTATCTGTTGACTGAAGTGTGCTGACAAAGCCTAGAGCACAGAAGAGTAATAAGGTGTCTGAGATAAAAACCATCATGGCCCAGTCATTGTCAAAAACAAACACACAAACAAGCATTTCCAGACTCACTCTGGGCTGCTGCTGGTGGTGGTGGAAAAGTCCCAGATGAGAAGTTCTGCAGAAAAATGAACCCCATTATTACATTTCATCCATCAATAGAACTGTTTGCATCTTTCATTTATGGAACCAAAGAAAATTTGTTTATCAGCCCGATTCCATTATGTCTGTCAATCCAATTTAGTTATGTATGAGAAGCATAGTAAAAAGTTACGGCAAAGAACACAAAAAGGGGGAATATGAGTTTTTGTGTATCTCCTGAGTATCATTTCTCTTGCTATTGAAGCAGGTAGTGCAAGCACATGATATGATTTTGAAATTGTTTTCTGAGCTTATAACCTTGCAGCTTTTCTACCCCATGAGGGACCCGGTCCTTTCTTATAAAAACCTGGTTTCAGAGGAGTCTAAAATGAAACAACTGACTCATATACTCAGATAAAGAGGTAAATTGATAACCTTGTATCTGAGTTACTTCCCTCAGATAGTTTCATTTTAAATGTGGACAAGGCCATGATAATTAAAGCCAAAATAGGTGGTATTAGCTTGGTGCAAAAGTAATTGCGATTTTTGCCCTTACTTTCAATGGCAAAAACCGCAATTACTTTTGCACCAAATTAATAATTATGAATACAAGTACCCTACCTACTCTCTGAACCAGAATTCCCAGACACTGAGAGTTTCTCCCTATACCTAAAGGAGAGGAATGAAGACACGGAGGCACCAAGAAGAATCTGAACAAACAGGCCTTGCTAAATTCCTCCCCTTAGAAATAAAATGCTAAGTCATTTCACAAGTATGTAGTAACTTATGTTTACAGCAAATAGTGGGTACCATGGATATTTCCAAAAAGAGAAATGAGTGCTTGTATTAGTTATCTATTGTTGTGTAATGTAGGAGAGAAGAGGTTTCTTTTCTCACCCATTGCAAAGTTTATGGCTGACACCCCTATAACAAAAAACAGATTAATAAGAGAAAGGCGTACAACCTAGTGCTGACCCTCCCTGCAAGTTCAGCTGAAGCAGAACGTGGCTTTAGTCAGAAGAAACAGACCAAGTCACATATGCATGCTGAAATCAAGGCTGAAAGTATGATGGATGTCCTGATCTTTCAGTTGAATTCTCCAGACATTAATAATTTTGACCCTAGGAAAGGTATCCATTTATGGAATACAAGAACACTATCTTCAACTGGTAACACAAGACCTAATTCAGATTGCTCGTTAAACTCAGAAAGCCATTGTGAAAGTGATTAGTAATATGACAAATGTTGACGTTGTTGCATGGTAAAAATAAAATAAATGGTTTACAGAAACCTGAAAAAAAGAGAAAAGCATACAGGCTTAATTACATAAGTTTTATATGATACAAGCGACTTTAGAAATGTAGACCCAAAGAAACAGGGAAATCTGTGTATTTTTACGGAGAGTTGTATGACTGGAGGGCAAAAGTGTGAGACTGAATGGTAATAAACTTGAGGGACAGGGAACTTAGCATGACCTGTTTATTGAGATTCTTCTCGGCACCTCTGTGTCTTCATTCCTTTCCTTTAGGTATAGGGAGGACCTCTCTGGAATGAGGGTCTTATGAACTACTTTAGAAAAAGGTCAGAAAATTCTTGTATGGCCTGTGTCAGGGGAGAAGTGAGAGATCAGAGAGACCTTCTTATTTCTGCTGTTGTCTCAAATTCCTCCTGCTTAAAATACTCAATATGCCAAGGTGCCACATTTTGGGGTAGCATGTTCTGAGGCTCATGATGAATAAATTATTTTAAAACTTAATGACTTAAAACAACATATATTTATTGCCTTACAGGTTCTTTGGGTCAAGAATCTGGGCATGGTTTAGCTGGATTCTCTGCTTCATGGTCTTTTGCAAGGTTGCAATCAAAGGGTCTCTTTGTGCTGGGGTCTCACTTGAAAGCTCAACTGGGGAAGGATTTACTTCCAAGCTCATTTATGTGATTGTTGGCAAGATTCAGTTGCTTGAACATAAGTGCCTCAGTTCCTACGTGGCTGTTGGCCAGTGGCCACCCTCAATTCCTTGCAATGTGGGCTTCTCTAACATGGCTGGCCACTTCATCAAAGCCAGCTACAGAGAAAGTCTGTAAGCCAGAGGCAAGTCACAGTCTTGTATAACCTAATTACAGAAGTGATATCTGTGCAACATTGCTGTATTCTATTGTTTAGGAACAAGTTACTCAAGAGGAGGAGGTCACCTGGGAAATACCAAAGAAGTAGGGATTCCTGGGGTTATTTTAGAGGCTGCCTGCCATAATAATGATAAATGGGCAAAGTATATGCAAAGATACTATGGAAAAGACAAAATATTTCATTTAATAGCATAACTACTTTGGGAACTGCAATTGCATCAACATGTTTAACGGAGAAATCTTTCCTAAATCAAATAAAATTTCCTTAATTAATGCACTGCTTTATTCTTCAAATGTTCAGCAAGCTTCCTAATCTTATCTCCTAAATCTTTGAAACTATTATCAGGTTTTCAAACTTTTGCCAAATATTTTCCTCTCTTTTATACCCCGACATGAAATTTCCCTTCTAGATCATGAAAGAGAAAGCTCTTCAGAAAGACCACTGTGAGTATGTGTACTTTTCTTTGTGGGCAAGTTACAATGTTTATGAAGGTAAATAAAACAGTGTCTGAACTCTTATGAACAAGGGCCAGCCTTCAGTTAAGCTAAACAGATTGTATTCCATCTGCAATTCTTAATAGTAACCGTTGATGATGACTGAGAAAAGAGCTCTTTATTTTGAAAACATACAGAGGTAGAAAAACTCCTATGTGGAAAAAACAAAGGAGAGGAAAAGATAGCATGGGTTGAGTTGAGATGGTTTATTTGTGAAGATTTATTAAAATATGTCACAAAGCTTATCTTAAGCTTCCTAGTTGCCAGCTGTGGGCCATGATAAATGTGAGATGGGTCTTCATTTCCATGTTGTGGGATTTTCTTTACAGCTGTCTTGATTGCCTGGTTTGCAATATGAATGCATTCTTTCAAAAGTGAGATCTTTTTTTTTTCTTTTTTTCTTTTTTCTTTTTTTTTTGTTTTTTGAGACAGGGTCTGGCTCTGTTGCCCAGGCTGGAGTGCAGTGGCATGATCATGGCTTACTGCAACCTCTGCCTCCCAGGCTTGAGCAATACTCCCATCTCAGCCTTCTGAGTAGCTGGGACTACAGGCACATGCCACCATATCTGGCTGATTTTTGCATTTTTTGTAGAGATGAGCTTTTGCCATGTTGCTCAGGCTGGTCTGGAATTCCTGGGTTCAAGCAATCCTCCTGCCTCCGCCTCCAAAGTACTGGGATTACAGGTGTGAGCCACCACAACCAGCCTCTGCTCTTGAATTCTTAACAAAATCAGAACACTCTCTTTTCTATCTATTTGTAGCAATAGAAGAAGCAAATGGAAGGTGAGGGGAAGGAGAAAGCTTACAAATAGACTCAGTGGTGATATTTGCAGCATCACGAATGTCTGAAGTCCCCTGTGTTACACAAAAGGTGCTTTTGTAAAATTTTAGTGTGATTTTTGATTTTCTGATTTAAGTCACAACTAGTGGTAGAAGAAACCTAGTCGTAACACAATAGAGAAGGAACTGGGTCATATCCTGGTTAGTTTAACAGCTCAGTGAGTAGTTAAGAACCAGAAAGAAGAGATGCTTCGTGAAGAAGGGCTGAGGAGACCAAAAGGAGAAGCAAATGAGCCCCAAGATGAACCTTAATCAAGTCCCAAGTTTGTCTATAATTGATTCTGTAGAGGATGGTTAGTTTTTTAGAATGGTTATACTCATGGAAATATGCTTTGTCCTCTAAACTCAAATGACTAAAGGATTATTTTAAAGGGCATTCATTAATTTGTTCCAAATACAGAAATAATGTATGCACAGTATAGAAAATTGGAATGGACATGAAGCTGAATGTTTGATGAAGACAGAATTTTAAATTGTCTTTTATTGAGATAACTGTCCTTCGGAGCGTCCTTCATTTTTAGTTACTGGAGGCAGTGGAGTTACTAGTTCACACCTGGAGCAAATTTGGTTTGGCTTCATCATCAGAATGAGTGTAAAGCAAGTGCTCACCTAGAGTTCTTGACGAAAACTTGAAGTCACTATGGATCTGACTTCAGAGGATATAATGGAAGATTTTAAGAGTTCAATTTAGTACTATGAATTTAATGTATTTTGAGATGGACAGTTATATGCTTGAAGAGTTAAAGAAATGTTTTTCCTAAATATCGATTAAAATGAGCTATTAATAACTTTCACACAATGCTGATCAACAGATTTTGAGAAATATACCATCAACTATTGTGATTTTGTCTACTGAGAAAGAGTTAATCTTCCCACTGTCAGTCATCCTGAGGCTTGAAATGAGTGTCCCTCAGACTGGAGTAAGGGAGGCCCTCCTGGGGTTGAGGCTGAAGCTTTTATGGAGCTTAGGATGGGAGAGACCTAGAGATTCTGGATTATGAGGGGCAAGCTGGCCTCTGTCTCATGGAAGACATTTAAGAGTAAGATGGGAATTTAGGAGTAGGGTCAAATGGGAGTAACCATGTTTTGTAGCAGCTAAAATTACTCTCCAAATTCTATCTATACTACTCCTCAATCACTCATGAAGTTTTGTTCAACAGCACATTCTGGTCTTAGCTGCCCTTTGGGTTGAAAAGGAAAGGAACTGAATTCATGCTTGGAGTGAAGAGATAAAGGGAAGATAAACCAACCCAGAGGAGCCACTTATGTGAGGGATAGAAATGACTCGAGAAATGGAGAGTATGAGGTGCCTCTTTCTCCACTCTTGGTAGTACTGGTAGTACTTGGTAGTACTGGGTAGATCAAGCTCTCTAGTATTTGCTCACTGGACTGGTGAATCATTATGATTCATTTAACATGCATTTCTTTATTTATCAATGAGGTTGAACATCTTTTCAAACAGTTTATTGGCTGTTTATGTATTTTTGGTAAACTTCGTATATATACATATCTCCAGTTTTCTATTGCATTGCTGATCTTCTGCTTTTAAAATTTTGTCTTAGTCCTTTTTCTTTTCTTTCTTTGGTATGAATTCTTTTTAAACAAAGTAAATTAACTCTCGTATACATATGCTTTCCAATGTTTACTGTGGGTCTTTCAACTTTGTTTATTATATATTTTTTTCTATTAAAAAGTTTTCTATGTTAATGTAGTCATTTTTTATTAGTCTTTTCTTTTTTGGCTTCTAGGTTTTCTGTCCTGTGCTTTAAGGTCTTCCTCAAATGTGTTTCAACATCATTTTTAAAATCCACTTTTCTTTACTGAATTGAAATTCCACTTTTACCTTAAAATTCCCATATATATTTAGATCTGTTTCTCAAGCGTTTTCTTGCATTGATTAGGTTTTTCTCCAATACTAAACAGATTTGATTTTTGTAATTTTATTATATGTTTTAACATCTTGTTAGTCAGATGCCCCTCTTCTTTTTGAAATTTTTCCTGACTATTCTTACATTTTAATTTTTCTAGTGGAACTGTATTAGTACATTTATTGACAACTCTCCCCACCTCCCTGAAATTCTGTTGGTATTTGGGATTGTGTTAAACTGAAATACTAGATGTGATCGACATCTCTATAACATGGAGTTTATTTATTTATTTATTTATTTATTTATTTATTGAAACAGAGTCTCACTCTGTTGCCCAGGCTGGAGTATAGTAGTGCCAACTTGGTTCACTGCAACCTCCTCCTCCCGGGTTCAAGCGATTCTCCTGCCTCAGCCTCCCAAGTAGCTGGGATTACAGGTGCACCCCACGATGCCCAGCTGATTCTTTTTGTGCTTTTGGTAGAGACAGGGTTTCACCATGTTGACCAGGCTGGTCTTGAACTACTGACCTTGGGTGATCTGCCCACCTTGGCCTCCCAAAGTGCTGGAGTCATGAGCCACTGTGCCCGGCAGGGAAATCTTTTTATTTTAAGAGCCCAAGATGTCTTCCGGTAGAAGGTTTTCATGTCCAATTGGCTGTTTTCCAGAATCCCCCTCCCTGTGTAGTTTCAGGTTGAAGTTGGCAAAAGGGAAATGTATCTGGGACATGGAAGGCACATTTGCAGCAATAGCCATTGTCTCTGAAGGTGGTCATGGTTAGAAGCCACGAGGGGTGCCAGTGGTGTCTAGTTTGTTTCCAGTGAGTTCTTGCTCTTCCCCACTCTATGTTCTGCTCTTCTTTTTGACTCTGGCCCTGCTGACCAAGAGCAAACCCAGTCCCACCATCAGATATTTGGCTGTGAGCTCACAGATGGGACAGCTATGTGGAAGCAATGGCCTTCTGGAGGCTAAGACACTAGTCTCCCTTCCTGATACCACTTTCAGCAGCTGTATGTATCTTGCCTCTCAATTCCTCTGAATGCTCTGACTTTCCATCCGGGATACTGCTTCAGGATAGCTGGGGAGTGACATTTTCTGGTCCTAAAATTTCCTGTTTTGAGTCTTTACTTCTCCAGCTCCTTCCACCAGTGAGTAAAGTTTCACTCTATAATCAAGTCTTCATTTCATAGTAAAACAGCTCTTCTTCCTTTATCTAACCCTGGTGGATACACTTTTCATTTGCTTAGCTTTTGTTTCTCTACACAATATACACAGTACTGTTTTCTTCTTAAAGATCCTAGACATTTCTTTTAGTATTTACTCCTAGGTATTTTATTTTTTTCTTGTTTGTTGTGGATGGAATAGTCCTTCCATAATATTTCTAACTGGGCCCAGCTCAGAGCCTTTGCAATTGCTGTACCTTCTGCCTGGTGCCCTCATCCAGCAGATACAGCCATAGCTTGCTGGCCTTTGCACAGTGTCATCTTCTCAATGAAACCTTCCTTAGTCACCTATATGTAATTATAATTCCTCTCATACCCTATAGTCTCCTTCCTTATTCTATTTTATCCTAAACATGAATTCCTATTTAATTGTATATATAACTTTTGCATGTTATGTATTGTATGCTTTTCCTCACTAGAAGATAAACTCCTTATTAAGGGCAAGGATGCTTTATCTGGCTTGTTTATTTTGCTGTATCCTTAATGCCTAGAATGTTGCATGGCAAATAATGAGTATTTGGAAAATATTTTCTGAATGTATGAACATATAGAAAAGTCATTGGCTCTAAAAATAATTTTGTAATTCATCACCTTACTAATTCTGGTATTGCTTCGAGTACCTGTTACATCAATTTTCTTGGTGTTTCTTGTCTTTAAACTCATATCATCTACAAAGAGTGATGATTCTGACTTCTTCCTAATACTCATACCCCATTAGCTTCTATTGCCTAATTGCATTGATTAGTTAATTCATAATGATGTTAAATTGTGTTGCTGATAATGAACATAATTTTCTCCTCCAGATTTAATGTTTTACTATTAAAATCTTTTGAATCAAGGTCACTAATCCTAGACTTTTTTTTTTTTTTTGGATGTACCTTCTTTAAAAGCTACTTATTTTGATACTTAGAGTTACTTATAAAGAGGTCACCAATTTAATTAATGGATTATATTATAAAAATGTTACTGTTAAATCAGTTGTTTGGATCCCAGAATTTATTTTCCTATGCAAGCAATGGTGTAAATAATGACTACACTTCCTAACCAGCCCATACCTTATAAAGTTTCAAGTGTGGTATTGTTCTTCAAAGAGAAGTGTCAAGGTCCAGTCCCCTATATAAGTTCTCACACACAGAAATGAATGTTCCATCCAGTTAATTGCCATTGTCTTTGTTGTCTGGATCACTTCTTGGCATCAACATTCCACACTGCATAAAGTGATTTGTGTTAAACACCGTCTCTCCTGCCACAGTTTAGCCTGAGTTCACAAGCTCCAATAAGGATAAAGGTGCAAGCACATCCTACACATGTTTGGAATTGATCAAGCGAGTTGCACAACAGGCAATGGTGGGGACTGGTGGGTCACTGGAGAGACCACTGTTTGTCAAAAGGGCATAGATGCCAGCTGCTTGGGAATATGGACCCAGCATTCCAGATATTCTGATCTTTAAAGATGAGTGTGATAATTCTAACCTTTTTGGGAAATTTCACATTTTAAAAAGGTTGGTGTATTGTTCAGCCCTGGTAGGGAATACATGGCACATTCAAGCCAAGTCATTAACAAATAAAATAAGTATTTAAAAAGGTGTGAGTAGGGTTTCCCTCATCTGCTGAGGAATGGTGAAGCACCCCGGGATTAGCAACAGCAGGAAGCATTACCGCTCCTCAGCCCTAGGGGGCCAGCTGTGGCTATGGGAGAGAGCTAGGTGGGCTGCCTGACCAGAGCATAGTCTTGGGTGAAGAGAAGTAGCCAATCCATGGTAGGGAAGGAGCCAATAGTAGAGGTACCTTCATCTTATTCCTCTCTCACTCTCTGGTCTCCTGCATGCTCTTCCATTGGCTGAAACCAAGAGAAAGCCAGAGGGCAGAGGGGCATATAGATTCAGTCCCCAAAGGCCAGCATCAAAGTACAAACTAAGGTAGAAAAGAAAAGAATGGATCTTAAAGGTCTAATGGAAAATGTACAGCCTAGATAGCTATTAACTTGGGTTAAATAAAATGCAAATGAATGCTGAGAATGAAAACAAAAAACCTGCTGCAAGATGTCGGTCTCAGACTTTTGGTTTAAGCATTTTGAAGATATTACCACTTCTTTATATTTCTATCATTTTATCCTAATAGAATGTATATACAAGGTCCTTGATAACTGGGTGGATAAAAGTGATTTGAAAACTGAATATAATGTGGCTGGAATATGCATTTTACATCCTCACAATAAGATGAAGAGATTTCTTTTCAGTTTTTTTTTTCTCCCAAAGAACAAATATAACATTATCATCAAGGAGTTTATGTTCTAAATTTCTCAGATGTTGCATTTTAACTTATTGTATTAGTTACCTATTGTTACATAGCAAATTGCCCCCAAATTTAGTGGCTTAAAACAAACATTTATTCTCCCACAGTTTCTGAGAGTCAGGAATCTAGGCGTGGTTTCACTGGGTGTTTCTGGTTCAGCATCTGGGTTGCATCATCTGAAGCCTTGACTGAAACTGCAGGATCAATTTCCAGGAAGGCCCACTCACATGGCTGTTGACGGGAAGTCTCAGTTCCTTGCTAATGGCTTTTCCTTGGGGCTAAGTGTCCTCAAGTCATGGTAGCTGGCTTCTTCCAGGATGAGTGTTCTAAGGAAGATAGAGAACAAGAGGACAACCAAGACAAAAGCTGCAATGTCATGTAGAATCTAATGTTGGAAGTGACACATCATTGCTTCTGTCATATTCTCTGGTCATACAGACCAACCTGGTACAATGTGGAAAGGGTCTAAACCAGGCTGTGAACACCGGGAGACAGGAATCACAGAGCCACTTTGGAGACTGGCTACTAGGCATATTCTGCCTGATTTCCACAGAGTGTCATACTTCCATATCTTTCCCAAAGTCAGATCTTTCCCATGGTTGGTCTGAGTCTGCCAACTTCAGGAGAAATCTCTTTACCTACAATTCTTGTACCATGTGATGTGGACCTACGCTGCTTCTACCAAGTGATGTCACAAACTCATTGGGGTTCTGTATTTCCTTTCCTACCCAACACACACACACACACACACACACACACACACACACACACACACACACACACACACACACACACACATTCTCAGGGTGTGGGCTTCTAATGAGAATCATAATTGTGATTCTTTCTTACCAGGTGTAAAATGTTAGGACTGCATTTGATACCGCAGAGTCTCAGTGATAAAGCAATGATAAAACCCTGAAGTTCTATATCTTTTTATATGTTCCCAGTCTCCCACTCCTGACTTGATCTGCTCTAGGCATGGACTCTTTCATAGATGTACAAAATATTCCTTATCTCCCCGCATCTTAGTTTCATATTTTTTCCTTTAGCGTCACGTCACTTCCATCCAAAATGAAGGTAACTTTTCGTTTTTATTAAATTCTTCTTGTAGTTAGAGAATTGGAATGATTCAGCTTTCTTGCATGTTTTCTTCTTCTTTTCTCCATATTTTGAGAATGCTGCAGAAGCCCCAAGGAATTTAAGGACTTCCAGAACCAAGTGATAGGTGTTCCAAATGAGATACGAGCATTTACAAAGAATGTTGCTAAGCAACTATTTACAAATAAAGGCATTTTTCCAATAGAAAGGAATTAAAAAACAAATGTTATCATTAAATGCTGAATAGTCAGGGAGACTACCTTTACTGTATAAACATTTATTCTTGATCTCATTTTTTAGAGTGCAGATAATGGTTGCTTGAAGAAGGAAGGAAATGTGTCAAGGGACTTTTATGAGAGAGAGAGAAAAATGTAAGACTGTATGTTGGTTTGAAATGATGACCAAACAATGATTTCATTTCACTATAGTCCAGCAATAAATCTGTAACTCTTCTCTCACCAGTGACACTGGAAACTATAGGGAATCCAGGCCAACTAATTCCAGGCACTAATCTTTCATGCTGGGAAATGCATCTGCTAGGTGTACAGGACCCAGAAAGTCTGACAAGCTAGTTTTTGTATGAATTTGCTATTAATCCTGACCACTCTTGCCTCCAGTTCATCACATGGGGGGCTACAGTCCCATAGTGCCGAGTTCTGGGACACTTATATTCAGTTATCTTAGCACGTCACAGAGCATGAGAAAACAGCTACTCGGATGCTTGCACTTTTTTTAGAGAGAGAGAGAGAAAAAAAAAATGACAGAGAATAAAGAGATGCGTCTTGGACTCATGTCTTGGCTTTGTACCCACTAACTGAACTTTAGCTCACTGAAGCTTGAGTTTGCATCTATAAAATGGGGTGATTGAGTTACAACAATGGTTACCATTTTATTATTTTTCCTCTCTAGACGTCCTGTTTTGAGAGATTTAGATTATAGTATTTACATCATAATAATTAATTTGCTCCACTTTCATTGTGTTTCCATTTTAAAGTTATCCATATTTTAAGCAACAATGTATAATTATCAATGGTTTATAAAAACCTTATGAAATTACATAAATCAAAGCCTTAGTTGAGATGCTAACAAACATCTCATGGTTCTTTCTACTGCTATTGTTCGCTACATTTTGTATACTCAGTGTTACTAAGTGTCACTTTCACCTTCTATATAGAGCCTTGGGACATAGGTCACTTTAAAAAATGGTACTGGGTGGATAGGATCCAAAAGAGAGATGTCAGATCCAAAATCCAAGGTCATGTGTCCTAGGACCTGCATATGGCTCTTTCTGTACTATGACTACTTCATATGTGGATTTAGTGTCAATGTCTAATTTGCTTCTCATCCCAACATTCCTCTGAGGACATTAGAAGCCAATGAGAATGAGTGGAAAGTAGAAGATGGCTGGTACTTTAGCCATCTTCTAAAGCCTCATCTTAGAAAGTGGGGCTTATTTGGTCCAGGAAAGAGAGTCATGGTCTTGGTCATTCTTTGGGGGTGGCTTCCTCTGAGATGGCTCCTGCTTCAAGCCCATAGGTCTATTCAAAGGTGGGTGGCTCTGCCAACATATTGAGGTGATCTATCTTTAGTAAAAAGCAAAGACAAATGTGTATGGTATTACCAGAAGTATTTGTATGTTTCCTTAGGTTATTATTTTTGGATGAAAATATTATAAAAGCTCTAAGTATGTAGAAAAGTTTCATAATTCTGGAATTCTTGTACAACAGTGGTTGTACTGCCTTCACTGTTTTGTGGATAATTAAAATTTGGGTTTGGCTGGCTAAGTTGGTTTGAGCCGAGTGCTAACAACATCAGAGGTTTCGTTCTGTTTGTAGCCATAGGTTTCCCTGCTAATATCTGCCAGCTGTGTGATCAATGCCTGCTGTTTGTCACAAGGGAGTCACTAAAAGTCCCTTGGCCTACTTTGATTGCCAAGGAAGACATGAATTTTAAAGACGGATTTCCTTTTAGTGTCTTGGAAAGCATTAACTCTGTGCCTCCACTGCTTAGAACAAAGACCTTCTCTTTGTTTCTTCTCTGTTGTCATCTGGTGCATGAGGTGGGGGTTCAGTAGAGTGAGTTTATGCATCAGAGAATGAGTAGACTTTCATTTAAGATGGTGGTGAGAAGAGGCATGTGAGCTTTGCAGACAGGGCTCCTGTGACAAGCAGAATAATGAGACCCCAAAGGTGCCCGTGTCCTAATTCCTGGAACCTGTGAATATGTTATGTTACATGGCAAAGAGAAATTAAGGCTGTTGATGGAATTAAGGTTGCTAATCAGCTGACCTCAAAATGAGATTATTCTGTGTTATCTGAGTGGCCCAATATAATCACAAGGGTCCTTGCAAGTGGGAGGCAGGGGTCAGAGAAGGAGAAGATGGGACTGTGGCAGAAGAGGTGAGAGGGGTGCAATTGCTGGCTTAGAAGCTGGAAGGAGGCTGTGAACCCAGGAAAATGGGGTCTCTAAAAGAGGCTAGAAAGAGGATTCTTCCCTGGAGCCTCCAGAAAGGAACACAGCCCAGCAACTCCTTGATTTTAGCCCCGTGAGTCCTATTGCAGACTTCTGACCTTCAGAATTGTAAAGTGATACATTTGTGTTGTTTTAAACCAGTAAGTTGGTGGTAATTTATTAGAGTGGCAATAGGAGACTAATAGCACCCAATAAAACTGACAAGAGAAATGTTCCAGGTAGTAGCTTTGTGGCTCTGCCCTGCTTTCTGTCGTCCCACTGAGAGTCCTTCCTGTTTGGAGTGCCTCAGAGGAGGGGCTTGGGATCAAGTTGAAATGAGAAGCCTTCCTCAATCTTTCAGGCAGAAATAATCACTCCTTTAACCCATTGTATCTAACCCATTGTATTTTATCCAGTGGTTTATATAGAATTGTATGAATTGTTTAATGACTATTTGGGTACAAGAAATGCCGATTTCTTTAGTTTTCTATATCAAATGAAATCCACTTTGTTCTTTCCTCATGCGGGTTTGTGAAAAGTAATAATTGATATTTTGGCTGATGGGGTGAAAAGAACTCCCTCTTTTCTTCTTAGATGCTGTGAGAAGCTTGGGGCTTATATGGTCTGGGAAAGTGGGGCATAGTCTTGGTCATTCTTCAGGGGTGACTTCCTCTGAGGTGGTTCCTGGTTCAAGCCCGTAAGTCTACTCAAAGGTAGATGGCTCTGTTAACAACTCCATCTCTTCCGTGGGGCCGTTCCATGGTGCTATGCCATGCTAAACCACAGAAACCTTTGCTGAACTTCCCAAGACATAGCACCTGGTGCTACTTCTTCAGTCACAAGACACCTGTCCCCATCCAAGAGCCTGGCCCTTCAGGTGCACTACCCTGAGCAGGCTCTCACCACCACTTCACTAAATTACATCTGTCCCAGGCTGGGTGCGGTTGTTCACACCTGTAATCCCAGCACTTTGGAGGCTGAAGTGGGCGGATCACCTGAGATCAGGAGTTTTAGACCAGCTTGGGCAACATGGTGAATCCCCATCGCTACAAAAAAAACACAAAAATTAGCTGGGCGTGGTGGTGCACATCTGTAATCTCAGCTACTTGGGGGGCTGAGGCAGGAGAATTGCTTGAACCTGGGAGGCAGAGGTTGCAGTGAGCCGAGATTGCACCACTGCACTCCAGCCTGGGCAACAGAGTGAGACTCCATCTCAGAAAATAAATAAATAAATAATATGTGTCCCTTCTCCTTCCCTTTTACAGGGGTCCTGGCTGTGCTCAGGACATTTGGCTACTCCCATCTCCACCCTTCCTCTCTTCGATGGGCACTTAATTCTCTCAATGCACCTAGTACCAAAGGTGGAAAACTAGCACTTGGGTTGTATTCAGCCTCATACCCTCTTGCTGTTTTTCCTTGGTGTGTGCTGTGGCATCCTGCACAGAGTTTTAAATCTGAATGAATTGCTATCATTTACAAATGAAGATTTTATTTGAATGTGTCCAGGTGTTATTGAGAATTCAGCAAATCTAGCATGGTGGGATCTCTATTTCTCCTGGCAGCAGCCAGCTGGCACTGAGCAAATGGTTGGCATTTGCTCTACACATCTATACATTCTTCACCTCTTTCTGTTGTGTCCTCATCACTGAAGCGGAGAGCAGTTGTTATTTGTCATCTTATACCAGGCTTACTTTACTCACATTATGTTTCTGGCCTTTACAGATCTGGGAATTTGTAAACCCTGGGCTTGACTTTCTAGGTATCTGATAACTTGCATGTGTGTGTTTTTCTTTAAAGCTAAGAAATATAGAAAAAGCTCTATCTTCTCTATGGGGTGTGCAGAGAACTTAGATCTCGTAAACAAAGACCTAGTTACCAACGTGGTGAGAAATAGGCAACGGGAACAGGAGAAGCTGGATTGCTTTCCATGGACTGTTTAGCAGCACAAACAAAACACAAAATATTTTCTCAGTTGTTCACCATGCTACACGATGTTATCAATAGCTCATCTCCTACCAGATTGTGACTTCCCTGATGCTAGGGATAATGTCTAACCTATTGCATGGCTTATTGAGACACTAGAGGCATGTTTGTTTGGTGAATGAATGGAGAGAGTCAATATGGTAGCTTTCTGCCACTGTATGGTGGAAAAACATGGTGTGGGTGTCTTGACTGTTGTGGAAAATGATCTATCTAAAGGGGTAAAAATAGGGCCAGTGATGCCAAATTGATTCTGAATTCCATAAAACAGATCTCACGGGGTTGTATAGTAGTCTGCACCTAAAAAAGCAAGGTATAGCTGGGCATGGTGGCTCATGCCTGTAATCCCAGCACTTTGGGAGGCCAAGGTGGGCGGCTTACGAGGTCAGGAGTTTAAGACCAGCCTGACCAACATGGTGAAACCCTGTCTCTACTAAAAATACAAAAATTAGCCAGGAGTAGTGACACGCGCCTGTCAGTTACTCAGGAGGCTGAGGCGAGAGAATCGCTTGAACCTGGGAGGCAGAGGTTGTAGTGAGCCGAGATCACGCCACTTCAGCCTGGGTGACAGAGCGAGACTCTGTCTAAAAAAAAAAAGCAAGGTATAGCATGATTTAATTGATTTATAAAATCAGGATACCAGGGAACTTTCTATACATTGAGGCCAACTTCCCTGGTTTGGTCCTGTGGTGTGGTATTGGCGGTGGGTGGTGGGGTGGCGGAGGGGTGGTGGAGAGGAGCAGGGGCATTCAGAGGGGCTGAAAACAATGGCATGTTGCCAGCACAGATCTTCTCTGCAGCACCTTTGCCCCAAGTTGCCCCATATGACTGATCCACACTTGCCTTTTATGCATCATAATTACAATGTTCGTGGTAATGGTATAAAAAGACAGTGTTTGTCTTCATCAATTCTAGTTGATCAAACCTTAGTTTGCTTGAAATAGTCCTGTTTGAGACTCCTTCCTAGATTCTTTACTGTCTGTTACCAAAAGCTGTAAACCAAAGGGAGTTAACAGCTTTCCATGGACTGTTTAGCAGCACAAAAAAAACACAGAATATTTTCTCAGTTGTGGAGAGCTGCCACAATTACCTGGATATTTAAAGCAAACACCTTGGTGGGGAGTTGGGACCAATGCTACAGGAGAGGATTATGTCATCTTAATGACGTGTGAGTCATAAAATATGGGGCAGTGGAACTAAGAGGGACCTCAGTGACAGTCTAGTCTAATAACTGCAGCTTGCAGATGAACATGTGAAGCCTTGAGAAGGTCAGTGCATCAACAAAGAACAAGTTCTTCATTAAACTAGCAAAACTCTGGCTTTGAAAACCAGGACTTCTAGATCTCGATTTCCTATCACATGTTTTTCTTACTGTTTTAGTTTTTTTTTTGGAAGTTTGAGGAGGAGAGGTTATTATTTTTGTAACTCAGTCTTTTATTCTGAGTTTTCAAAGGTTTTTATTATTATTATTCTATAATTCTGTTTCCCTGTGATCAGGCTAAGTGATTTATTTCAGAATTTTCTCAAAGAAAAACTTCTTTATTCATAAAATTCCCATATCTTAGGTTTGATATTTTCACAGTTGTAGACAGATGCATAACCACCACACTAAACAAGATAGAACATTTTTATCACTACAAAGTGTTTTTTGTGCCCCTTTCCAGTCAATGCTCCCTCTCCACCTGTGAGGGTTGATCGGATGTGTCAACTTGACTGGTTTAGGGATGCCCAAAGAGCTGGTAAAACATGATGTTTGGGGGTGTCTGTGAGATTGTTTTTGGAAGAGACTCGTATTTGACTCAGTAGATTGAGTCAAGAAGATTCACCTTTACCAACATGGGCAGCAATGCTCAATCCATTGAGAGCCCAGATAGAACAAAAGGCACAGGAAGAGCCAACTCTCTTTCTTTCTCTTTGAACTGGGACCCCATTGTTTCTCCCGCCTTCAGACATTCTTGTTTCTGGTTCTTGGCCCTTTGACTCTGGGATTCACACCAGTCCCCATCCCCACTTCATTCCTGGGCTTTAGGACTTGGACTGAATTACATCCCCAGCTTTCCTGGCTCTCCAGTTTGCAGATGGTAGATTATGGGACTTCTTGGTCTTCATAATCATGTGAGCCAATTCCTGTAACAAATCTCCTGTATATCTCTATATATCCCGTTGGTTCAGGTTCTCAGGAGAACCCTAACTAATACACCCCATAATCACCGTAGATTGGTTCTGGTCTGTTCTTGTATTTCATATAAATGAAATCATATAGTATATACATTTTTTTTGCTTGGCTTTGATCCCTTAATGCAGAGATTGGAAAACTTTTTCTGTAAAGGACCCAATAGTAAATACTTTTGGCTTTGCAATTCATTTGGTCTTGTCTCTGCTACTCAAGTCTGCTGTTAGACCAAAGCAGCCATGGACAATATGGAAATAAATGCATGTGGCTGGGTTCCAATAGCACATTATTTACAAAAATAGAGGGTGGGTTAGATTTGGCCTTTGGACTGCAGTTTGCCAACACTTGGCTTAACAATATTTTTGAGAGTTGTCGGTGTTGTTGCGTATATTAGTATTTCATTCTTTTTATTACTGAGGGTCATTTTATAGTATGAATACACCACAATTTGTTTATCCATTATCCTGTTGATGGATATTTGGGCTGTTTCCAGTTTTTGGCTGTTACGAGTATGACTGCAATAAACATTTCTATGTAAGTCTTTTTGAGAACATATGTTTTCATTTCTCTCGCATAAATGCCTAGGAGAGGAATTGTTGGGTCACAGGATAGATGAATGTTTAACCTTAACAATACTGCCAAAGTGGCTGTGCCATTTGATACCCTTATCAGCGATGTATAAGAGTAATATTTGCTCCTTATCTTTGCCAACATTTGGTGTGGTTAGTCTTCTGATGCTAGCCATTCTGGTGAGCATAACTCAGTGTCTCTTTGAGTCCTGTTCTCCATCCTTTATCATCCTTTCATTTGGCATTTCTGATGCTTTCAGCGTCACCTCTTTTCCTCTGTGCTTGGTTTATACCTGTATCTGTAGGGCAGTTACTCTTCCTTTCAGTATCTCCCAGTCTGTTCCTAACCATCTCTCACATTTGTTAGCAAGCACATAACTTGATTTTAGAGAGAGAAGGAAAGGAAAGGAGGGAAGAAAAGGAAAGGAAAGAAAAGAAGGAAGGAAGGGAAAGGAAACAAGGCGGGAAGGAAGGAAGGGAAGGAAAGGAAAGGAGGGAAGAAAAGGAAAGAAAAGAAGGAAGGAAAGGGAAGGAAGGAAGGAAGGAAGAGAAAGAAAAGGAGGGAAGGAAAGGAAAGAAAAGAAGAAAGGAAGGAAGGAAAGGAAAGAAAAGAAGGAAGGAAGGAAGCAATAAAGGCAAAAAAAAGCAAAAACGAACTAATAAAGTTGTGTATGTTTGAATTTTCAGACACTTGGCAAGCTGGCACAATATTTCTGTATTCCGTATCTTCTGTTTTATACAAGAGGGTATTCTCAATCCCCTTCACATAATAACAAATTGTCCAACTCTAGAATCAGTCAAGTAAGTGCATTGAGACAGATCATCAGGAAGACTAACATAATATCATAGGTTTGCTGTTTTTTGCCATGTATAGACTTGAATAGAGAACATGTTGGGAACTTGCAGTCCTAAAACAAAGTTTCAATCCTAGCTTGCTACATAATGGGTGTATGGCCATGTGATCTTAGAAAGTCACTTAATGTCTTTGTTTCAATTATCTCTCTCTGTGTTACAAACTGTCCCAAAGCTTAGTGGCTTCAAACAAGAATTCATTAGTTCAGGATTTTGTGGGTCAACAATTCAGACAGCACTTAGCCGGGTGGTCCTTCTGCTAAACTCGCCTGGGATCACTCAAGTGTCAGCAGCCAGGCAGCTGCTTCCTGGGATCTGGAGAGTCCTGGATGGCCTCATGCACATGTTGGGAGGGTGTTGCTGGCTGTTGGCTGCTCCTCTTTCTCCATGTGAATGCTCATCTTCAAGGCACCCAGACCAGGCCTCCTCACATGACAGTCTCAGGACAGGAGAGTGAAAATGAAAACTAAGGCCTCAAAGCTGAGACTTGGAACTCCTGCAGTGTCACTCTTGCCACATTTTATTGGTGAAAACTATTCACCAGGACCACCCAGAACCAAAGCCGTGGAGAAGAATCCTTCACCTTTTGACAGGATAAGCAGCAATGTCGCATTGCAGTGGGATATGCATATAGGAAGGGAAGGAAACTGTGGCTGTATGTTGCAATCTACCACACTCTCTGAACCTATGTTTCTAAATCCGTAAAGTGGGGCTAAAATCTCTTGTTGGCAGATCAGGATTTTCAGTTTCTTTTTTCTTTTTTTTTGAGACGGAGTCTCGCTCCGTCGCCCAGGCTGGAGGTGCAGTGGCGCAATCTCAGCTCACTGCAAGCTCCGCCTCCCGGGTTCACGCCATTCTCCTGCCTCAGCCTCCCGAGTAGATGGGACTACAGGTGCCCGCCACCACGTCCGGCTAATTTTTTCGTATTTTTAGTAGAGACAGAGTTTCACTGTGTTAGCCAGGATGGTCTCAATCTCCTGACCTCGTGATCCGCCCGCCTCGGCCTCCCAAAGTGCTGGGAACAGGCGTGAGCCACCACACCCCGCATTTCAGTTTCTTTTGGTGTCTCATCATTCTCTTCTTTATCAGGCTATGCCCTAGGTCCTCTGTCGGCTTCCTCTATGATTCTTCTTAAAGCTATCTCAATGATGCAGGCGTTGGCAAACTCTGTAAAGGCCCAGACAGTAAATATTTCAGTCTTTGTGGCCATAAGGTCTTTGTCACAATGACTCAAATTTGCATTGCAGCAAAAAAGCAGCCATAGACAATCTATGCATGATTAAGTGTGGCTGTGGTACAATAAAATTTGGTTTACAAAAATAGGCAGTGGACTAACCCCTAATCTATGCCAATGATGTTGATTACCCTCTATCTGCAGATGACTTTCTTTAAGTCCATTCCCAGCTGTTTCCTTCATTGCAACTAGAGTAATTTCCAAAACAGAAATTGATCACATCTCTCACTTATTTAAAATTCTCCATTGCCTCTGATTGATCTCAGGGTAAAGATGGAATCCTGAACATGGTCTGCAAGGCCCTGCAAGATCTCACTTGACCCACTTCTCCAGCTTCATGCTCTTCCACCTTCTTCCTCACTCTCTGAACAGCGCTCTCAGGGCTCCCTTCCTGTTCCTTGAAATTGCCATGCTACCCACTGTTTCACCACCTGGGTAATTCCCCACCTTCCTCTTTACCTAGTTATTTTTGACCTATCCAGTTTGCAGCTCATGTCTCTTATCTTCAGGGAAGTCTTCCTGACCCCAGATGTGATCCAGCCCTCCTGTTAGATCCTGACCAAGTACTCTCAAACTTCTGTCACTTTGCTGCCAGAGTTTTCAATTCTATCATTATATGTGATAGTTTGGATTATTGTTCAGAAATTCTTACTCCTCTCACTGTCTCACTGTGGACAGGGTATACTTTCCACTCTATTAGTTTTGGGCTTGGCCATGGGACTTCACTTGGTCAATGGGATGTTAGTGGATAGGACACGAGCAAAGGCTTGAAGTGTGTTTGTGTAGTAGGACTGGTTCTCTTGCACCTCTGCCATTGCCTTAAGAAGGACATGCACTTGGTCATTTCCTGGTACTGGAAGAATGAGAGACATAAGGAGTTGAGCTGCCCCAGCTGACCTATAGACCAACAAATGTGATAATTAATGCTTATAGTTGGATGCCACAGAGTTTTACGATAGTTTATTCTGCAGCAATAGATGACTGATGGAGTTATCTTCTATGAATCTCCCACCAGATTGAAAGATGCACGAAGAAAATATGCCTGCTTTGCTCACTGTTGTATTCTTATTGCCTACTACAGAAGGTGCTTAATTTAATAAATATGTGTCGAATGAATAAATGATTAAATGAGACACTATATGTGGATGCATTTAGTATACTACAGGCACATAGTTGTCACTCAGCAGATAATGTTTAAAAATGGGTGATATAATGCTTGATAGAATCGGTATTTGGTTCTCTTCTGGAGTTGAAAATAATCTGAGCTTTATAACTCAGCTTTATGCACAAGAAAAATGTCCCTAGATCTATAATCAGCTGTGTAATGACTCTGCAAGCACTTTCTTTTACCCAAAGGAAATTTAAGATTATTAAGGAAAATAAAAAATAAATGCAAGTTCAGGAAGTTCTTTGCTTGTGTTACTTTGTTTTCTAATTTTAAATCTTATTCGTTTAAAGTGATAATAAAGAAAGTCATTTGGAGATGGGACAATATTATCGCATCTGGAGCAACTTAATAAGATTAGGACAAAGGCTCTATTCTCTTCTTGATGCACATGTGCGGTTCTCATTAACTTTTGTATTATCTTGAGGAAAATATTAGAGAATGTGATGCACCATAAACATTCCACACAAAGGGGGTTAATTAACAGGTACATGTAGTATTAATGCAGATGTTAAACATTAACTATGATAAGTGTTCCCTAATAGCTGGTGTCTGTGGACAATTAATGCTCACCAATTTCCACAGTACTTACAAAAAACCATAAATATAAAACACAGTATAAATTATTACATAATTTTTAAAAATTCAAAACAATTTTGAAATGCCTGAAGATTTATGTGTCCAATACTTTGCTGTGTGAATTCTTAAAAATAAATGTGTACTTTCTATAAAACTATTTAAGATAAACTGAACCCCTCTCCCACTCCACTGCACCAATCACTTCCCAAATATTCTATGTATGTGAAATGCTAGATGTTGGGTATTTACATGTTCTTCCAATACCAGTGTGTCATTTTATATTAATAAATATATTATTAAATGTTAATTATAATATCTACATGGAATTAAGTTTTTCTTTGCAAATAAAACACATATTTGTATGTAAAGAACTTGTGTTTTTCTTCTCCATTCTTTTGTGCCAATTTATGGCTTGTCCATTGGATTTCTAGCATTGTGCATTTTAAAATGTTTATATGAACAAAATATGATTGCACATATTAACAAGTCAGATATATGGATTTGTAAATTTGTGTATGGTGTTGGAAAACTAAATAATGATATTGCAATGTATGTATTTATGTATCCTGATGCGATATTTAATCTATTAGTCTTAGAATTTCTCTTTCTTTTCAAAATTCTGTGTTGATGATTTGTCATTTGTTTAAAATAAAATAGAGGCCAGGCTCAGTGGCTCACGCCTGTAATACCATTGGAGGCTGAGGTGGGAGGATTGTTTGCACCAAGGAGTTTGAGACCAGCCTGGGCAACATAGACCACTGTCTTTCTACAAAAATAAATAATTAATTTAAATAGAATCTTTTCTGTGGCAGACACAGAGATGCACCACTCTGATCCCCCTTCAAGAAAGGAGTTGCTGCCACAGGACTGTGGTTAGTGGGTAGTTCCTTGAGGATCTATAGCTTTTTGCAATGCAGTCTTGCTCTTCTGGGGAAGTTGGCAGAAAACGACAGAGAAAGACAGTGGTACGAGGATGATTTGATGGAATTTCCATCCCAAAATTGGACTGACTCCTCTAACAGACAATCTTTGCTCCCTGTTGGGCAGAGAGTGACTTTATCAGATGTATGTCACCATCTGACCATTTCCCCTGTCCCATCCTGCCTTCTTTCCTTTTCTTTCATGGATGCTTCCCCCTAATAAACCCTTTGTTTGCCTACCTTCCCCTCAGTGTCTGTCTCTCAGAGAATCCAAATGGTACATTATATTTCCCAGGACCTAAGGGACAAACACGAATAAACCTGAGATCTGATTTGAGACGATAAAGTTGGAAAAATTCATTACCTAAACAAACAATGATAACACCATATGCTGAGCTAGATAGGATAGAAGGGAAAAGTGAGAAAAGGGAATCAGTTCACTTTCTAAGATATGAAGAAATATTGGTGATGAAGAAATCAGGATAAAAAGCAAAACAGCCTTTACGAACAACCAACAAAACATAGAGATAAATGCAATTCCAATACTTTTTTAAAAAGTTCTAAACTATCATATTTGAAATATATAGTTTGGCACAGATTCTGGATTAAAAAGATGATTTTCATTGTTGTTAAACAAATACATCTTTAAATAAATATGCCCTATAAATGAATCTATTTAACATATAGTTAACACTAAAATACAATTTATAGTAGCCATCTGGGCAAAGCTGTGTCAGCCTGTGCTAACATAGGGTGCTAACTGTGCTAACTTCTAAATCAAGTGTTGGAAGGTATTCATTAAAATGATATTCTACCTGCAAAAATATTAAGCTTGCGACAGACCATTCCATGGATCACATTTTGAGAAACACTGCTTTATGCACAGTGCACTAGGGTGAATACAATTCTGATAGTTTTTAGGTGAAGAAGGAATCACAATGCAATACAAATTCATCTCTAATGCATAACGGAAGGCGGAAAACAATGGAGAAAAAAGAGACAGACATGGCCCCTGGTTACAATTGGAGAAAATGTAACAAAACAAGTATGCGTGTGTTTACAGGTACTTTAAATAGTTTCAAGTATTTTCATACAAAACCCCTTTATTGTGATGCATTTGCAATAACTGGCACAGTGTGGAGTAAGTTGAAACGTGTGTAATACCATCAGTTCATGTGGTAGAAGCAGGAAAAATAGTTGACCAATTAAGTGTGCTGTTTTCAGGGTGGCCCTGAAATAGTGATATCAACCCCTCAGCTGCCAGTGCCAAGTTCCTATCGTCAGCTTTTCATGGCCATGCCACAGGAAAAGCATGTGGCAGGGTGTCCACCTAACATGCATTCATAGATGATAGAAATGCTTCCCTGCACAGTTGAGCTTTGGCATAACATTTTAATTTGTTTCCATTCTTATATTTCAGAACAAAACAATACCTCCTGTTTTATCATGAGACAAAGAACAATGGTTTGAAAGTTTTGAGCAGAGAAGCGTTTCAGAATAAAACCCTTTAGGTGGGAATGGGTGATTACTGACAAAGACCCTTTTCTTAATTAAACTGTGGTCTCTATGCCCTTTCTCTACTGGGTCCTGTCCTTGGGCCTATTTTCAAGAGCAAGAATCCTAGTAAGTGGGTTTAGCCATCAGATATCACCATCCCCCAGGTGATGTCTGACTATCCTTTCCTGGCTTCAGCAAGAATCCTGTTAAGTCTATTGAGCCAGAATCTTCCTTACCCCTGATGCTTCCTCTTAGCAGTTGTATTAGTCCATTCTCATGCTGCTATAAAGAACAGCTTGAAACTGGGTAATTTATAAAGGAAAGAGGTTTAATTGACTCACAGTTCTGCAGAGCTGGGGAGGCCTCAGGAAACTTACAATCATGGTGGAAAGGGAAGCAAACATATCTTTTTCACATGGCATAAGGAAGAAGAAGAATGAGAGCTGGGTGAAGAGGGAAGCCCCTTATAAAACCATTAGATCTCATGAGAACTTATTCACTATCTCAAGAATAGCATGGAGGAAACTGCCCCATGATTCATTTATATCCTACCAGGTTTCTCCCATGACATGTGAGGATTATGGGAACTACAATTCAAGATAAGATTTCAGTGGGGACACAGCCAAACCATATCATTCTACCCCTGGCCCCTCCCAAATCTCACATCCTCACATTTCAAAACACAATCATATCCTTGCAACAGTCCCCGAATATCTTAACTCATTCCAGCATTAACCAAAAGTTCAAGTCTAAGGTTTCATCTGAGACAAGGCAAGTCCCTTCTGCCTATGACCCTGTAAAATCAAAAGCAAATTAGTTACCTCCTAGATACAATGGGGGTACAGGCATCAAGTAAATACACCCATTCCAAATGGGAGAAATTGACCAAAACAAAGGGGCTACAGGTTCCATGCAAGTGTGAAATCTAATAGGGCAAGCATTAAACCTTAAAGTTCCAAAATGATCTCCTTTGACTCGATGTCTCACATCCAGGTCATGCTGATAAAAGAGGTGGTCTCCCATTGCCTTGGGCCTCTCTGCCCCTGTGGCTTTGGAGGGTACAGCCCCTCTCCCAGCTGCTTTCATGGGTTAGAATTGAGGGTCTATGGCTTTTCCAAGGGCATAGCATAAGCTGTTTGTGGATCTACCATTCTGGAGTCTGGAGGATGCTGGCCCTCTTTTCACAACCTCATTAGGCAACGCTCCAGTGGGGACTCTGTGTGGGGACTCTGACCTCATGTTTCCCTTCAACCTTACCTAGCAGAGGCTCTCCATTAGGGCTCTGCCCCTGCGGCAAACTTCTGCCTGGACACCCAGGCATTTCCATATATTCTATGAAATCTAGATGGAGGTTTCCAGACCTCAGTTGTTGACTTCTACGCACTCACAGACCAAAACCATGTGTAAGCTGCCAAGGCTTGGGGCTTGCACCCTCTAAAGCAATGGCCTGAGCTGTACGTTCACCTTCTTTAGCCACAGCTGAAGCCGAAGCAGCTGGGATGCATGGCACCATATTCTGAGGCTGCATAGAGCAGGGGGACCTTTGGATGGGCCCATGAAACTATTTTTTCCTCATAGCCTTTGGGGCCTGTGATGGGAGGGGCTGCCATGAAGGTCTCTGGCATGCCCTGGAGACATTTTCCCCATTGTCTTGGTGATTAACATTCCTCATTACTTATGCAAATTTCTGCAGGGCTTGCATTTCTTCCCAGAAAATGGGGTTTTCTTTTCTGTCATATCGTCAGACTGAAAAATTTTCAAACTTTTATGCTCTGCTTCCTCTTGAATGCTTTGCTGCTTAGAAATTTCTTCTGCCAGATACCCTTAATCATCTTTCTCAAGTTTGAAGTTCCACAGATCTCTAGGGCCGGGGAAAAATGCCACCAGTCTCTTTGCATAGCAAGAGTGACTTTTATTCCAGTTTTCAACAAGTTCCTTATTGCCATCTGAGACCAGCTCAGCCTGGACTTCATTGTCCATATTCCTATCAGCATTTTAGTCAGAGCCATTCAACAAGTCTCTAGGAGGCTCCAAACTTTCCCACATTTTTCTGTCTTCTTCTGAGCCCTCCAAACTTTTCTAACCTCTGCCTGTTACCCAGTTCCAAAGTTGCTTCCACATTTTCGGATGTCTTTACAGCAGCACCCCACTCCCTGTGGTACCAATTTACTGTATTAGTCTAGTCTCATGCTGCTATAAAAAACTGCCCAAGACTAGGTAGTTTATAAAGGAAAGAGGTTTAATTGACTCACAGTTCCACAGGGCTGTGGAGGCCTCAGGAAACATACATCACGGTGGAAGTGGAAGCAAACATGTCCTTCTTTACATGGCAGCAGGAAGGAGAAGCATGAGAACTGAATGAAGGGAGAAGGCCCTTATAAAACCATCAGATCTCATGAGAACTTACTATCATGAAAGTAGCATGGAGGAAACTGCCCCCATGATTCAATTATTTCCCACCAGCTTTCTCCCATGACAAGTGGAGGGTTATGGTAACTACAATTCAAGATGAGATTTGGGTGAGGACAGAGCTAAATCATACCAGCAGTTTTCCATCCACTGACCCCCATCCTGCTCCTGGGCTATAAATCCCCACTTTTCCTACTACAAAACTTCATTGCAGTAGGCCGTTTTTGGATAAATTCCCTCTAACAAGTGTTAGAATTTTTTTTTTAAACATTCTGTAGGTAAGGTTCCTTATTCCATCTCGATTGGGGTTTTCATAAAGGGATTTCCACTATCTTTATCCACCCTTCTCCCACTGCTTGGATCCTTCTTATGTGTCCATAATTATCAGTATTTATTTAAAGTTGCCATTGTTTATAATAAATATATATCCACTTATTTTGTTCCACTATACTTTAATGTATTTGTGTCTGTCCTATTCTGCTGATGGTCCCTACCATCTTATCTTCTGGTTCAATGGGAAAGAAAAGGGTATTGGTAGAGCTAGCTTGCACATAACTCATGGCTGGCAACTTAAGTGGTCTAAGCAGTGGGAAGTAGACAAAAGTCATTGATGAAGAGGTAACACGTGTATGGACATTTTCTGTCAGACATATCATAGTAGATAAAAAAAGGCCAAGAAATACGAACTGACAAACTTCTCTGAGATCAGTGTGCATTTCTCACCCTCCTCTCCAGCTCTCTAATGCAATACAGTCAAGGTAACGACTTGTGAGGGCACTGCTCCACCCGTAGTGGGCATGCTTTTTGGGTTGGTACAAAGGTGCTTGACTCAAAGAAGAGCAACTGAGGGAATGGTGGAAGAGGGCTTGAAAGAGAGACCACAAAAGCTTGGGCAGGCAAGGTAGGGAAATTAAGGAGAGAGATGGCTATAGTCTGAATGTTTGTGGCCCCTCCAAATTCATATGTTAAAAGCCCTAGCCCCCAAGGTGGTGGTATTAGGAGGTGGGGCCTTTGATAGGTGATGAGGTCATGAGGATGAGCCCTCATGAGCGGGATTAGTGCCCTTAAAAAAGAGGCCTTAGAGGGCTCCCTTGACCCTTCTGCCATGTGAGGACACAGTGAGAATGTGCTATGAACCAGGAAGCAGGCCCTCACTGGGCAGCAAATCTTCCAGCACCTTGATCTTGGGCTTCCCAGACTCTGGGACTGTGAGCAGTACATGTTTGTTGTTTATAAACTATCCAATGCATGGTATTTTGTTATAGCAGTGTGATCAGAGATCTTCTTGCTGAGAATCCACTATGCTTCCAGAATAAGCGAACTCTTTTGAGTGATCTCATTCTGAGAATGGTCCAGCCCAGGAAAGCATCAGGCTTAAGTTGCTGAGAAGCGAGGTCTCCCTTACTGTACTTTCTCTCTCCATTGGCCATTAAAGAAATGAACTGGCTGAGATTAGGTCTTTTGTTAGACTTACCTTTTGTAAGTTATTTGCAAATGTGGTATTTGTATTATTTTCCTTGTAAATTAAACCTCTTTGTATGAATGATGACTGTTTGAAAGATCAGTAGGGTTGGGTGGGGGTGAGGGGAGACAAAGGGAAAGAGGTGTGTATATAGTCTCCATTGAATATAAATAGTAATTGCAGAAACATCATAAGGTGATGCATATTCCTGTACACAGCAGCCTGAGCTCTTTGATGCTTTGGAAGGTGATATCAGAATTGCAAATGGGAATTATCTAATTACTTTGAGGAATATTCTGACTCTTCTTTATTGTCTAAAGACTGTCACTGTGTTAGGTACATACATCAAGGACAAATTACAAGCACTGTTACAGCAGTAGCCCTAGTAGGTTTGTGAGTCAAATAAAAGACCCTAATTTATTCTGAAAGGGACAGCAGGAAGGAGAAAAAAGTCTATAGATGGTTTTTCCCTCCCCCTACCCCTGGGGTCCTTTATATGCCAATTTTCTATTTAAAGGTGCCAAACAACTCATTTGGAGTTATTAAATGTGAGCTTAAGCTTGTTCTTTGCATGAATGTGTGGCACTATGAGATATAGGCCTACGAGAGAAATTAGATTGTTGCTTCTAGCGCAAACACCTGAATTTGTACCTTTACTTTTAAAAACAAAAAGTAATTACACAGTGTTATGTATTCCCATTAGCTGTTCAGTAATACCTATGGGGGGAGAGGGATTGAGAGGGAAAAGTATGATCCAAGCATTAATATTTATGAGCTTTGTAGGCACACTCTGCCCCTGGAAATAAGAAAATTAAATGAACACATTTGCAAGGTTGAAATGCTCTATGGATGTGACTATGTAATGCCAAAACAATTAGATCATAAATGAAAAATGCAGTGAATCAACATGCTGGCTAGTTTATCCAATGGCTAAAAATAACGTTGAATATTGTTTTCCCACCAAAGCGGGTTCTGAGCTGTCAATCAATCAGTCAGTTAGTATTTCATGGGCACCTACTATTGATCTGTAAGTGACTAGACACCTTCAGCTTCCTCTCCACCCAGTGGGGATTTGTAGTCACCTTCTAAAATGATCTGGAGACTTCAGTGTCTTAGGCCACCTCTCCAGGATCCTGTCTTGGTTTTTTCCTTGGCCTGTGGTGTCTCCCTCATTGCTCCACACTCTAGCTTATGTCTCTTTCCTTTTAGATAAATTCTGCAGTTTGATGGGGGTGTGAGAAGGAGGTGGAGGTGGCACAAGACAGCTCATACCTATGAATACAAGGCATTTAAAGATACTAAGTGATTGGCTGAGAGCTCAGAGTTCATCTTGGGCCTCAGATATGGTTTTGTTTAGATCACACTTATATTTTTAAAGGTCTTTTACATAGAGGATACTTTTACAAAACATAAGAGTGACTGCTTTGTTTCATCTTTGAATATCTAATTGAAACCTAGATATTTAGACTTCCGTACATTTGTATCTGATCTTTCTTTCATCAAGTCTCGATGATTTTCCTGGTTAACATGTTCTCATCTTTGCCCTTTTCTGTTGTATAAACAATGAATGATTTGGCTGTCCTGTCTCTTTCCTCTGAGAAATGTCTGGTTTTCTCACAGGAGTGGACTCCCAGCTGCTGCTGTTTTCTACTTGACCTTACGTACTGGTCCTAAGTGACTGGTCCCAAGAAGGGTAATTCAGGTTAATGCTTATGAAGATTCAAACTTGAAATGACAGACACAGAAACCAGGAGTGGTCGGAAGTGGGATCACACCTACAGAGACCCCAGGCCTGCAAGAGAAGATGCAGGGACCATTGCTGGCAAGGTCCCTGGCTCTCCTTGTTCCACTTCTCTGAGAATTGGCTTGCCCACTATTTCTTAGATTCCACAAGACATCCCAATATGCTTGCATTGATTTCTTTTTTATTTATTTATTTAAGTTAGAGTTGGTTTCTTAAGCAATACAGTAGCCATATTATTTAACAACACAAACAAAGGATCTCAAATGAAGGAGATCCCGTTTTACTAATTAAAAATACTTCTATCTTGTAGATATACAGGAGTGCTAATATTTTTCTCTTTTTGTCTGGTTTGACCGATAAATGAAAAAGAATAAATAGAACACCACCTCAGGAAGGAAATGAAAATGAAGGAGAGGGAATGCATATTTATTGAGAATAAGAAGCACAGATTACTGGAAGGGATATGGTTTTGGAGATAAGGAGACTTGGGCTAAGATTCTGACCTTTCGCTTGTAAGCTACGTGACCTTGGACAAATTCCCTCACTTCTCAGGGACTTGTTTCGTTATTTGTGAAGGGGATAAAAATACTAACCTCACTCGACTGTTTTGAAGATTCTCAAAACTCACGCAGTGGGAGAAGGTCTTGAAAATTACCAAAAACAATTTCTGCATGGTTCCAAAACTCTAATACCATCCTGTGTCACCAACTGAGGGATTCAAAAGGAAACTGGCCCCTATTACTGGGTGACTTTGTGCCAAGTACCTGACTTGCTTTTTTACATGATCGATAATTACTCATGGTCATTGCGGAATCAATTTTCTAGGTAGAGGTGGCGTGTGAGGAAGGAGCAATAACAAGTAATGCACTTTGTAAACTTAGTGAAATAAAATACAGCTGCTTAAAGTGATTCTTTGAAGAAATGATGATTTTCACAGTCAACATTTAACTCGGGAATGACCATAGGATTCAGGAGAGCCTTAGGAGACCTGAGTTCCAGCTCTGAATGTGCCACTGTGTCACTGTATGACATAACTTAACAATCCTGTCAGCTTTCTTCTTTCAAACAAAAGGATTAGAACAGATATTTAAGTTTCCATCTCCTATAGGAATAAAGATTTTCATTATTTTTAAGCAGAGATGAGTTTATTAGAGAACTGCGTTGAGATCACCAAAATGTCCCCAGTGGGAGATGGAGGGTATGGATCCTGGATGTCATTTTGGAGATTTGTGTGTTTGAGAGGAGGGACTGGGTGTCACAATGGTTGCCAGAGGCCAGTGGCCACATGTCCTGTAACACTGAGGTTTATCCTATGGAACAAAGTATTGTCCCCTGTCTGTAGGATGGTTCTCTGGGTGGCCTTAGACTGACCCAATTCTCCTTCCTTTCTTCCTTGTAGTTCTTATGAGTAACTGTAGAATGTGTTGGGAATGCAACATTCTGTGATAGGGAGGAACCAGCCAGAATAGCCTGGACTCTCTGTTCTAGTCCCCCCTGAAAACAGGATATCCTTAAATGCTTTAGTCCAGTGTGTCATGTTATCTTGGGGTATAAAACCCAGACTGGGCTGCGTGCTGAGGCCCTTCAACAAAGGGGGCACATGCAGATGAGACTCCGTCCACCCCAGGCAGCTTTCCTGAGCCCTGGAGGACAGGCTTGAAATGACTCCTAGGCTTCTGGTGACCCTTGTCACCTATCTGTGAGTAATAAACCAACTTCATGTAATTTGTGTGAGTGAATGTTTTGTCTGAGCAGACTTGGGCAAGTAGTGTAAGTGCAGCCCAAGACTCAGTGGGCTGAAGTGGTAACCAGTGCACAGTGAACCTGCTTCACGCTGTCCTGTACAACTTAAACTCCCTGAACTTTCATATAGATGAGAAGCATGTTTGCAATTATCTGAGTCTAAAGCAGAACTCTATTTAACATATGAAAGCAAACTGTTTTCTGTATAGTTTTAATATACACTGAATTTTCCAAGAGTGTAATTATTGGGTAAACTACAAATATTGTGTTTTGTTTTCTTTGGACCTTGACTATGAGAAGTGCACCATTTCAGATGCATTCCAAATGCTCATGGGATAAGGCATCAGTAGCATTCACAGTAGCATTCTAGTTTTATGACGAAAGGCAGTGTCTGACAACTGTAGATGTCTTCTAGTGCAGCTGTGATAATATATTCTAAATGACCTTCCCCGTATGTCTCCTTGATATTTCAGTTTACTCGTGATGTTTATTTATTTTAAAATTTTAGTTGGTAGATAGGGTACATTAGTCCATTTGAACTGCCATGAAGAAATATCTGAGGCTGGGTAATTTACAGAGAAAAGGGGTCTAATTGGCTCACGGTTCTGCAGGCTGTGTAAGAAGCGTGGCGTCAGCCTCTGCTTCTGGTGAGGCCTCAGGAAGCGCCTGCTCATAGCAGAAGGCAAAGGGGGAACAGATGTGTCACATGGAGAGAAAGGAAGCAAGAGAGAAGGAGCGTGAGAGAGGAAGGAAGTGTCAGTCTCTTTTAAACAAGTAGATAATGCATGAACTCATAGAATAAGAAATTATTTGTTACTGTGAGGATAGCACCAAGCTATTCATGAGGGACACACCCCCATGACTTAATCATCTCCCATTAGGCCCCACCTCCAACACTGGTGATCACATTTCAACATGAGATTGGAGAGAACACACATCCAAGCCATATCATAGGATATACTACCTATGGATTCTACTTCATGACGATAAAAGAGATATAATTGTTAAAAGGGGGCATTGGATTTGGTGGAGTTGAGATTTACTGGTCCCACATCAGTCGAAGGATACTGGCAACCCCAGATGGTCTCAAAACTGCAATGAGGAGGATGTGGAAAGTGTCTTTACAGGATCTGAGAAGAAAGTACAGGGGATTTACTCTTGGCTTAATTTAACTAAATTTAACTAAATTAAATTTATATTTAATTTAATTAACTGGTGAGAAAGAGCCCATTTCATTTCCTTTTAATTGTGCCTAATCACACCTGTACATTCATAGCATTTCTAGTCTTGGATGAATTTATTTTAAACTGTCAATGCTCAAAGTCTCAGGCCTAGGAAAAGTCAGGCAGTTAGCCCTATGTTGTTTTAGCTTTAGGCGTCACAGTTACAGGCAAGAGCTACTGAATGTTAGGCAGAGCATCCTTCCAGGAGGATGTCATCAGCCGCCACAGTGCAGCTGACCTGCTTCAAGCCTGTGCAGCCTACAAGCATCACAGGCCTCTTACCAGACTCTCCTTCAACCCTTCTTCCTTCCAGTTTATCCATACTCAGCAAGTCAAGGAGAAAATCATTTAATCTGTGTTCAAACCTACAGCCATTAGAGCAATAGCCATGAGAAGAAGGGAGATAATTCTAACGGAGAGTGGAGAGGAGCTCAGGGCTTTTGTCTTGGCACCACTGCCAGAAATGAGCGGGTGACAAAGACATTCACGACATTCACGAATAATCACTTTTGAGCCTTCCTCGAGGGTAGATTCCAACATTTTTGTTGTTTGTATTAATAGCAGAGAATTGTGCATATAAATTTGTTTGTGGTCTGCTTTTTAAAAGGTATGTGCGCCTGTAATCCCAGTTACTCAGGTGGCTGAAGCATAAGAATAGCTGGAACCCAGGAGGCAGAAGTTGCAGTGAGCCAAGACTGTGCCACTGTACTCCAGCCTCCAGCCTGGGTGACAGAGCGAGACTCTTCTCCAAAAAAAAAAAAGTTTGTGTAGAAGAAATAAACAGTGAAATCCTGGCTACCACTGATATTCTCTGATCTATTGTCTTTACATCTTCTTTTTAGAAGGCGTTTTCCAAATATTTCTAATATTTTCTTTCTTTTCCTTTCTTTCTTTCTTTCTTTCGTTTAGTAAACCCAAAAGCTAAATATTGCAACCTTAATAAAGCAAGGGTGAATCTGGCAACGGATACTAACCTTAAGAGTAACACAGTGGGCATTTCCACTTTCGGTATATCCTTTATGGTTGTTGGTATGTGTTGAGCAATTTTTAGGTAATAAAATTGTAATGAATTTTCTAAATGAGAATGTCTCTGATGACTGTTCCCTGAGAAAAATGGAAGTAATTTGGAAGAAGTGAGACTGGCTGTTACTCTCACTTTCACTCTCTCTGTCTTGCTCACTCACTTGAAATACCCCTTTGTTCCTGAAAACCTCTTATCAACTTCAAACCGTAGGCCTATGAAATGATGCTTTTGTCATGCTGTATATAACCTGCTCACCGCATTGTGAAAAAGACAGATTCTCTTTTATTTTCAACATAGAAAAAAGGATAGATAGCTGGATTTCTTCAAGGAAAGGCTGAGAGGTGGATACACCAAATTGCTCAAAAAGAAAGGTCGAGGGAGGGATGTTAAATGAATTTCCTCCCAGGAAACTCTAGAGGAGGATTACAGTAAACATGCACAATTTCAGATGAGGGACAGCTCCCTGAACTCAGGGCTAAAGGCGCCCACGGAGCCTTGGATGGAAACTTCAGGATAAGGCAATGGTTTCTGTGCCTTCTAATTTCCTGGAAGGAATCACTTTGAAGTTGTCGTTTCTGAAAGTGTCAGTTACATCCAGCTAACATGATTATTAGATACAAAACCAAAGGCCTTTCTTCACTCTATTGGAAAGAGTCATTTTTGCAGGTTTGGAAGTTGTCATTTCCACATGGACAAAAGATAGAGTGCTAGATTCTAGCTATGAGGGGAGGCGAGAGATTTGTGCTAAAGAAAAACCTCTGTAATGGCATTATTTTTTCTAGAAGGTGAGTTTTCTTTGATCAACAAATATACTGCTTCTGGGACAATGATATCTCAATTACTCCCCAGATATTTTCTGACACAGCTGCCAGAGCTGGCAGAATTTGAGGTGGGTGAACTCCCCCCATCCCTGTCCTCACTACTTACAGTAGCCCATATTGAACTTGCCTCATTCTGCTCTCTTCTGCTGTTTATGAAACCCATTTAGCGCTTAATTACACATTGCCTAGAACCACTGCCTGTATTAGGCAGAGCTCTTTCAGGCAAGAGTCAGGAACCCAAATTAACCTACTTCAGAAAAAAAGAGAATGTATTTGTTCACGTAACAAAAAGTCCAGGGGGTAGTTGATATCAGGCACATCTAGATCTTGGGACTCAATTGATGTGGCCAGGATTCATCACTTCTCCTAAGCTGCTTCTCCTCTATGGTTTGACTTAGGCAGGCTCTTGCCATGTGTTAGCAAGATGGCCCCAGAAGAAAGATCCTCTTTCATAAAAGTTCCAAAAATGGAGTTGATTAGCATTCATGGAAAGTTTAATATGTACCAAGCATGGTTTTAAGCACTTTGCCTTTATCGTCTTACCTAAACTGTCTCACCATCCTATGGCTAGAAATTATTTTCCCAATTTCCTACCCAAGAAACTGGAGCCATCAAAGAGCAGATAACTTGCCAAGTTCTTACACCTGGTAATTAGTGAAGCTAGGATTTGAACCCAGGTAGTCTTCTGCTTAACTACTATACTGTATTTGAATCTACTCATATTGGGTTGGTTTGGATTATATGCCCATCCCTGGGCCAATTACTGTGGCCATGGCTGGGATGCTCTGACTGGCCAGGCTTGGATCGCTGTTTACTCGTACACTGAACATAGGTTCAATTCTACCCAAAACAAGTGGACTGAGAGTGGAGGAGACATGTGTTTTCCCGAAGGGAAACCAGAAGGGAAAACAGATTCTGTGCAGAACAAATCATGTGATGTCCACTACACTGTCCATTGTTTCACATGTGTTGGTTTCCTCTAATAAGAGAAACATATAACCCAACATTGGGTACACATTAGATGTTGAATGATTGATTCATTGATGAACTATTCTTTTAGAGAGACGGATTTTGAGGTTAAGTAAATGTTCTTTGTTTTTTTTGATATGGGGTCTTAAGGCTCTGTTACCCAGGCTGGGGTGCAGTGGTGCCATCTTAACTCACTGTAGCCTTGACCTCCTGGGCTCAAGTGATCCTCATGCCTCAGCCTCCTGAGTAACTGGGACTACAAGTGCGGGCCACCACATCTGGCTAATGGTTTTTTGTTTTGTTTTGTTTTGTTTTGTTTTTGTAGAGATGGGGTCTTGCTATGTTGAACTCCTGGCCTGAAGCGATTCTCCTGCTTTGGCCTCCCAAAGTGCTGGGGTTACAGGCATGGCTACCATGCTCATCAAGTGGCTCTTGTTGAACTTGTAATATGTTATGCTTCTGGCAAAAGAACTGGAGATAAAAAGTGTTAAGTCACCATTGATTTCACAGTGGATCATTTTAGGGACCATGAGCTTGTTGCCCAGAATTCTGTAGGAACATTTCAAATGCCATATTTGTACATATCTAAGTGACTATCTTAGTATGCAATATGAGGTTTTCTAAAATGTCTATAAGCAAGCCAATATAGTGAACAATAACCTCACTATGTTTCATTTAAGAAATTCATGGGAAAAGACCTATGGAAGGTGAAGGGAGGAATTGTCGGGCTGTCAGGGGAAAGAGTGAAGAACTGTGGAATGAGCTCCCTGCCTGGGGCCAGGAGGAGGGCTGGGTAGTACAAGCTGGGATGGAGTGAGGGGGAGACTCAACAGTAGCCTAATACTGAAGTGGAACTTCATGTTCTGAAAGCAAGTTGGCTGTGTGACTTGGTTTAGTCACTGGCTGCCAGAAGAACCATGATGAGTAATAGAGGTGGAAATATGACACACTGGCAGATGGAGGCCGACAGGAATGCCACCACTCCATTCACTCATGTTCCATCCAGCAAATGAAGTATCACGAGCACACGCCAGAGGAACCAAATTCTCTAGGGTGAGTCAGGTATAGCTTTTTGAAGAGGTGACCTTTAAACTGAGACTAAAGACAAGTAGGATTTTACTAAATGAATAGGATTTTACTGAATCCAGGAATTGGAAGGAAAAGAAAACAGTTCTCTATTCATGCTAGTTAACTAATCAATTCAATATGTATTAACTGAGCACGCTACATGCTAGGCACTCTTCTAAGTGCAGGGGAGACAGCAGTGAAGAAAGCAGACAAAGTCTCTGAACTCCTGTGTCTTCTATTCAAATGGGGAAGATGAACAATGAACAGATAACACAAATAGAAGGTATGTCAAATGAAAATAAGTACAATGTTGAAAAATAAATCAGATTAAGTAAGGAAAGTAGGGAGTGCTTGGGAAAGATAGTGTTATTTTGTGCAAGGTGGTTGGAGAAGTTCTCTCAGAAGGTGATGGTTGAGCAGAGACCCAAAGGAGGTGAGAGAGTGAACCATGAGCCTATCCTAGGGAAGAGTATTCCAGGCAGAGGGAGCAGCTGGAGGAAAGATCCAGAGGTGGGACATGATGGTGTTTGAGAAACACACCCGTGGGAGCAGAGTGAGAGGAGGGAGAGTGGTGGTGGTACAATAAGTACTTTTAATGGGAAAAGAAGTGGGGGCCAGAGGATGCATGGTCCTAGACACGACCTGAATGCCTTTGGCTTTCATTTTGAATGAGATGAGAAGCCAGTGGAAGATTTTGAGCAGGTAGGCTACAGACGTGACCTGTCTTATATTAAAATATAAAGGATTGCTTTGCTTGCCATGTTGAAAATTTACTATAGAGGGGCAGGGATGGAAGCTGGGAGACAGTTTGGAGGCTAGAGCAGTAACCCAGGAAACGAGCATGGTGGCTTGGGTCATGGTGGTGGCAGTGAGTTGGTGAGAGGTGATGAGATCCTGGTTGTATTTTGAAGGCAGAGCCAGCTGGACTTGCTGAAACAAGCTGTAAGAGAAAGAGAAAGGAGTCAAGAGTGGCTCCAAGACTGACTTGAAGAAATGGAAGGAAGACCATTGTCATTTGCTGAAGTGGGAAAGGCTGTGGGAAGAACAGGTTTGAGAGGGAAGATCAAATCAATTTTGAACATGTAATTTCAAGACGCCTGTTAGACACCCAAGTGATTGGTTTCTGGACTGCCTGCCTTCTAGTTGTGGATTTTGGGAAGATGAAAACAGTGCTTCTGATCATCTCTGACTCTAGCACTTAAGAAACTGACATACATTAGGAACTTAACAAATTTTGTTCAGGGCTTGTATGAATGAATAATGGGAGATAAGATTGGAAAGGAAACATAGTGCCAGAACATGAGGGGCCTTTATTGGATGGGGAATGAGGGGCATTGAGGTTTTCCAGTAAGGCAGTAACATGGTCAGTGCTGAGACACAGGAAGACAGGGGAAGACTTACCTGGTAGGTGTCCCATCCTGCCACCAGCCCATTCAGAAACCTGCCACCACCAAAGAGCTGCACTCTCAGAACCTTCCTTTCAGTCCCAAACTTTCTTTTATTTTCTTTTATTTTTTATTTTTTTTGAGACGGAGTTTTGCTCTTGTTGCCCAGGCTGGAGTGCAGTGGTGCTATCCCGGCTCACGGCAACCTCTGCCTCCTGGGTTCAAGCAATTCTCCTGCCTCAGCCTCCTGGGTAGCTGGGATTACAGACATGCACCTCCACACCCAGCTAATTTTGTATTTTTAGTAGAGAAGGGGTTTCTCCATGTTGGTCAGGCTGGTCTCGAACTCCTGACCTCAGGTTATCCGCCCACCTCGGCCTCCCAAAGTGTTGGGATTACAGACGTGAGACACCGTGCCCGGCCTGCTCCTGAATTTTCTATTGTTTTGACTGGCAGAAGCCTGACAACACACTTATAGCTCTATAGCCCTTTGGACTAGGTGTTCAGACCAGGGTTTCCCTGAACTTGAGTCTTGACTTCCTTTAGCAGATAAGTTTATTGCAGCTGTACCCAAGTTGCAGCCCTGTGGAATCCAAGCCTTGTTTCTGGCTGCTTAGCCAGGCCGCTGCTTGACCTGAGGGGCATCCAGATGTGTGGATGTGTGGAGGGACAGGACAGGAAGGAGAAGGGAGGGAGGGAGAGGCCAGCTGCTGAGGTCACAGGGCCACAGACCCTGCCGGGCTGGCAGGAATGTCCAGAAGAGAGTACAGACTTCTTACAGAAGGAAGGAAGGAAAGCAGGTATACTGACATTGATTTGTTCCATTTATTTTGAGTATTACACATGATCATAAACTTTTATCACATGATAAATTTTGCACTGAACATTATTTCAGTTGATTCTTTATGAGCTCTAAACCCTTTACAATTTTTCTTCACGTGGACTTTTCTTCCCAGTAGGATTCTCACAGATAATTTTTCACAATCAGCTCTTTTTCATTTGCTCTGTGTGATGTTATCTTGAATAATGAATAGCCACACAGACTCAAGGAAAGTACATTTTGAAGATAATATTTCATTTTTTCTTTGCTTGTAAAAAAAAAAAAAACAAACAAACCTCACAAAACAAAAAACCCTAAACCTATAACCTTGTTTGGTAGTAAAAATAATTTGAAGACAATAGTTTATGTCACCCAGTAGAGAGATTGCTTTACACTTTTCTTAATACAGTATTCATTCATTTGTCATTTATTTCAATTTTTGTCTTTGTGGTTATTTTTACCCTTCCTCTTTTCAGTTTCACCTCAACTCTTGGCAGCTTGGTCAATCAGCAAAAAAGTCTGCAGGTGGGATCGGTGGGCAGTAGGTCTTAAGAAATCCACACAGGGTTGATAATGCTTTAGAAATAATCTAGAGCTGGCCGGGCACAGTGGCTCACACCTGTGATCCCAGCACTTTGGGAGGCCGAGGCAGGTGGATCACCTGAGGTCAGGAGTTCGAGACCAGCCTGACCAACGTTGTGAAACCCTGTCTCTACTAAAAATATGAAAATTAGCTGGGTATGGTGGCAGGTGCCTGTAATCCCAGCTACTCAGGAGGCTGAGGTAGGAGAATTGCTTGAACCTGGGAGGCGGTGGTTGCAGTGAGCTGAGACCACACCACTGCACTCTAGCCTGGATGACAGAGTGAGACTCCATTTTTTTTTTTAAAGAAATAATCTAGAGCAGAGCCATGCTCTGCTGTGCACAGTGGTCTCCATGAGGGACCCTCAGAGTTCCTGATTCAGTCTGGGTCTCGAGGTCTGGACATCTGCATTTTAAGACCCTCTGATGTAATTATTCCGTATACCTGTGTCTGAGAACTACAAAGCTCAGATTTTATTTTAATTTATTTTTTTGTATCAGACCTTGCTTGGTTTCCAACTATTTCATTTTTTCTCTCTCCACAGCTGATGTTATTATTTTATTGCCTTCATCTGGCCTAGCACTTTTAACTGTAGTTTTAACCCTCTGTGTGTGTGTGGGGGGTATGTGAATGTGTGTGTGTGTCTAGGATTAATCCTGGCCTAAAAGTAGAGATTTGGGTGCAGGCGATATTAAATATATTGAACAATGGGTAGGTGGTGGCAGCCTAGGGTAGAGGTTGCAGTTGCAACACAGAACCACGTGGGGCAACTCCAGGGAAAGGCTGATGGGCAGCCACAACTTGGGGTGGTGATGGCGGACAGAGAGCTGGTCAGCATTTGCCCACAGGGAGGCCAGTGCACCCTGTGTACTGAGTTGAAGTACTGGGAAGGGACTGTTGGCTATTAGACAGTGGCTGTCGGGGGAGTGGCCTAGGTGTTTGTAGGTGGTTGAAACAGAGCAAGGGGAAGGGGCCACCTGTTGAGGGTGGAGGAGAGGGAAGGGGGAGCTACAAGAAGTAGCTCATTGCCAGCCAGGACGGTACTGTTTCAATACACTAACCAGAATATTCCAGCTGAATCTCACTCCAGAATTTAAAGAACTTCATCCCAGCACCCTGGGGCTCAGAATACATCTCTCTCGTTACTACCATTCTGTCCCCAACCTTCTGTCTCAGTTCTGAAGCCTTAATTTTTGTACTTCAGTTCTTGCTTGATAATTTTCCCATAGTTTGATTCCCTTAGGACTGAGGCTTGCCTTGTTCTTCCCAGGCCTAATTGTGGATGCTGGATCCAGCCACCCAGCTCCTGAACTACACATAGCAGCTGGAGCTCAACTGCTGGCAGGTCTTCCTGAAGCTGACTTCTGCCCAGCTTCCTGCCAGCTCCTCCACCTGTCTTTTTACCCTGGCAGGTCCTGCTCCTCCAACTCTGGCCTCATCCCCTGCAGATAATGAGGATTTGCCCAGACAGATTCAGGCTTCTAAAACAGGAAGAAAATAGAGTGAAAAGAGAAAAAGTGCATTCCCTCTATTCCCTTAGAAAAATCTGAGTTAAATTTTTTAAATCTCAAAACAGAATGCAGTCTTGAGGCCAATAGTCCAGAGAAGGTGTGCTAATTCTGTCATCAGTCAGCATATCGTAGAGAGAATAAATATAATTAACAGTGGATTATCCAAATAATCCATTTAGTTTATTCCTCTTATTATTACCAAAGGTAGAAACTCCTGGACTCAATATAGAAAATTAACCAAAGGAGGATGTGCAGTCATCCTTTGGTATCTGCAGGGAATTGGTTTCAAGACCTCCCTTGGATATTGAAATCTGAAGATGCTCAAGTCCCTGATATAAAATAGTGTTGTATTTGCATATAACCTATGCAAAACACATCCTCCTGTACACTTTACATCATCTGTAGATTACTTATAATACCTACTACAATGTAAATGCTATGTAAGTAGTTGTTATACTATATTGTTTAGGGAATAACGACAAGAAAAAGGCTTGTACCTGTTCAGTACAGACATAAATTTTTTTCAAATGTTTTGGATTTGTAGTTGGTTGAACCTATGGATTCAGAACCCACAGATATGGAAGGCTGATCATAGTTAACAGGTGATGATCATAGTTCATTGGAACACTTTAGATAAAAGAGTAAACTTGCTTCCAAACAAGAATGTGAGATGTAGATCGCACACACACACACACACACACACACACACACACACACATATACACGGTTGAAATACAAGTGCAAGCATTCAAACTGGCCCCTATGTGGCATTAAAAGTAAGACTGCTTGTGTAGAGTATTACTGTTAATGTTAAGATGGGTCCCCTCCCATCTCTTCACCTAGATAACATGGGACAGCTTGTTCATACAGGAGACAGCCCCAGGAGTAAACTTCTTTTAGGACCTCATCTAGAAACTGCTCTTATTTTTCCATTTAAACCATGTAATCTGAACCTCTTGCCTCCTCACACATCCTGTTCCAGCCATAGAGATTTTCCTTTGGTCTTTTCTTTCCCCAGGACTTTTGCACATGCTTCTCTCCATCTCAGAATAATTTCCCCTCTACTATTTCTGGGCTGGCTTCCCTTCAGAGAGACACTTCTTGGTCACTCTTACTAAAGGAGTTTGCTCCTTATTTTTCTCTATTTCAATTATCTTTGTGTTCCTTTCAAAGCACTTATCAAAATTTACAGCTGTTTTGTTTGCTTATTTGTATTTTGTCTAAACTCCCAAAGTTCTATGCATCATGAGAACAAGGACCACATGTGTCTTGTTCCTCCTTGCATCTTCAACATTAAGCACAACTGGTGACACATTTTAGATACTCAGTAATTATTTGTGGAACAAATGAATGAAAATTGCTGCAAATGTCTGTCTTATATATTAATTTATATCAACATATATTTATAGACAACCTACAAAACTGACCCCTTCCACCTCTGTGCCATTCCCTGTATATTCTCCCTTCGGGATTCGTTGACATGTTGTTTTTTTTTTTTTTGAGATGGGGTCTCACTCTGTCACCCAGGCTGGAGTGCAATGGCGCGATCTCGGCTCACTGCAACTTCTGCCTCCTGGGCTCAAGCCATTCTCCTGCCTGGGCCTCCCCAGTAGCTGGGATTGCAGGCATGCGCCACCACGCCCGGCTAATTTATGCATTTTTAGTAGAGACGGGGTTGACATGTTGTCTTATTGAGTTGTTTTTGCATTTGCATGTTTTCTTCTCGTATCAGAATTTAAGAATTTAAGCCCCTTGAAGTGAAAAACTTAATTATGATGTCTTTGTCCCCCTTTTACTCAGTACACTGACTGGCATGTGATAGTACAATATTATTTTGAATTAAGAGATTGTATGGGAGGCAGACACGAAGAATTGTAATTCGTGGTCTGTGCATGAGAGGAGTTTGTTTACCAGCTAGATGAGGGGACAAGGTAAAAAGACATTAGAAGTAAAATGACATCCAAAATGTAAAAAGCCTCCAGAGACCAATATAATCATGTTCCTAGACTGTTCTTGACTAATTACAAATATTAAGTTACTTGGCATTTCAGGAAAGTAGCGACCCTTTCAAACTGGGTAATTGGGAAGAATTTCCATGGAGAAGCCAGGATCGAAGTTTATTCTTAGGGAATGAGTAGGATTTGGATAATGTCAATAGAATCCACCTTTGACTGTTTGCCACTAATGAGCTCTGTTTCTGTAATGTATTGATTTCTTTCCAAAATGGAAACCATCTAAAAGTCTATAGATTTCTTAAACCGATAGGTAGCATTTTAATTGGTAGCATTATCAAATTAAGGTGGAAAATGAAAAAAAGAAGAAAGTAATTTAGTAAGTGAATGCTTGAAATAACTTTGTGATTTATTGCCCTCTGCATATAAAGGAGTTAATGCATGGAATTTTACAAGATTAAAAAGACTTGACTACCGTCTTTCAATCTCATGGGAATGAAGAAAGGCATTGCTTAGGGTTTTGATTGTTCCACCTTTTCAAACCTACTTCTGAAAAGTTCAAATTTTAAGTCCATTTGGGCTGTGAGGATAGAGTTATCTCTAAGAACTAAATCCTTGGGATACATAGAGGTCTCATTTCTTAGGGTGCAACGACAAATGACTATCTGTGTTTACACGAGTGAGAACATACACACTGGGAAATTCTGCCTCTGCAGATTGAGAGGATTGAGTGAAACAATTTCTCTGCCAGATCCCTGCCAGATTTAGTTCACTGAAGTTGTTCAACAAATTGAAAAAGAAAATAACATTACAATCTCAACTCTTCAATTCAGAAATTATATCTGAAATTAGCCTATCTTCAAAGAAAAAAAAAGGATAGCTTCCTAAGGCAAGGATCTGTTTTTCTTCAAGATTAATATATGTTTGCAGGATGTACCATGAGGGAATACTCGGGATCAAAAAGTTCTCTGGAGCTGATTTAGGGGAGCGATGTGATGTCACTTGGCTTGGGTTAGGGGTAAACAAAACCAAGGTGGGTGGGCTATGCAGTAGAGGGTAGAGAGTTCTGCCATCTGATGCCCTTGTTTCGAAGTTATCTAGAGGCTCTCTGGCCTTCTCTGTGCAGAGCCCATAATTTTCGTCTAATATACTTCCCTAGGCATTATTTAATGGTCAAATGGTGCTCAAGCCAGGGCTCATTTATCAGTTGCTAAGTCACTGCAAATTGCAAAGGGAAAAGAAAACACAGCTCAGTGGAAAGACTTAAGGAACAGGTAAGGGGCCTATTTGCTGAGCCCAGATGAATAACTTGCTGAATTAAAAACATGTATTCATGAGGAGCATGTCAGAAATGTGCCACATCAAGACCCCAATTTGTACCATGCCATGTTTTGATTTAGGGAGCAACTAATTTGACATGTCTATGGAAAGAAAGACTGTTGATTCTTTCACTCATGAAACCTACATGAACTTCCAGAACTCTCAAATCCCCAGATAAACAAAGAAGTGTCTTGTATTATTTTCTCAGTTGGAGTCTGTTTAGAATAAAACTGAGCTATTTTCCCAGTGGCTAAAAAACAGTCACTGAACATTATTCAAACAAGGAAGAACACGTAGTCTCCTCAACATAAATCTATTAACATCTATATTTTCTTAAGAACTTAGTTTATATTTAGACCTATTTATCATTGAAAAAAATCTTTAGGTAAATAAGACCAGTGAAGATTACCTGCCCATTAAGCATGTCCTTATAGTGTTTTGAAATAATTCATATAAAGGAGTGAGCGTCATACATTAAATTTTAATGACATAAATATATCTGATTTTAAGTAATCATTTCTTGTTGTTCTGGGCAAGTATCCTAGTTCCTGTTTCCTTTGGTCCTCTAAAGTTTTTTTTTAATGTTGAAAATTTATTTTAAAAAATATGGTGTATTGTTTTGTCTCAGCATGTCTATGCCCAGTTAAATAGGTTTTCATCAAAGGATGTTGGGAGCTGTTGTCTGAAGTGATGTCAAATTAAGTTCAAAAACATCAGCTTCAATACTGTAGCTGGGTTTTTTTTGTAGGCAAAAAAGACACTAAATGTATTAATTTCTTTCTCTTTAATCTATTTTGATATATGTGTAGATAGAGACTGGTTTTAGTTCAGAAAAAATAAAGTAACTATTTAGGTTAGGTAGTGTGGTCCTATGCTTTGCCTGATTTTAAAGGATGTTGAGTCTTCTCAGTTAAACATCTTGATCACTGAATTTATATCGAATGTATGAAAAACCAAGGGCTGGGCCATGCACAGTGGCTCATGCCTATAATCCCAGCACTTTGGGAGGCTGAGGCGGGCATATCACCTGAGGTCAGGAGTTTGAGACCAGCCTGGCCAACATGGTGAAACCCCATCTCTACTAAAAATACGAAAATTAGCTAGGTGTGTACTTGGGAGGCTGAGGCAGGAGAATCACTTGAACCTGGGAGGCGGAGGTTGCAGTGAGCCAAGATTGCACCACTGCACTCCAGCCTGGGCAACACTGTGAGACTCAATCTAAAAAAAAAAACAAAAACAAAAACAAACAAACAAAAATTAGCTGGATATGATGGCATATACCTGTAATCCCAGGTACTTGGGAGGCTGAGGCACAAGAATCGCTTGAACCTGGGAGATGGAGATTGCAGTGAGTCGAGATTGTGCCACTGCTGGGTGATAGAGTGACTGTCTCAAAAAAAAAAAAAAAAAAAAAAAAAAAGAAAAAGAAAAGAAAGAAAGAAAACCAAGAGCTGATAGCTACCAATGATGATAACGTCCATTTATTAAGTGCTCAGATGCTTTATGTATGTTTCATGAATCCTCACATGTGGCTCTATGAAGGATGATGCTATCGTCTCTTTTTTGTATGAGGGCCCTGAGACTGTGAAAGGCTAAGCAGCTTTCCCGAGGTAGTGAAGCTCAGGTTAGAACCCCATTTTCTTTACCTCTAAGTCACAGCTCTTGTCGTTACTCTATGGTTCTTGAACTTTCACGAACCAGTAAAACTGCAAAAAGCAAAAACAAAACAGAAAAGTAATTTTTTTACATGTCCAAATAAATAAAAAATAAAAGGAACTCTACTCAACATAATTTTATAAAATAAATTTAATTTTATAATATAATAATTTTATTATATTATAAAATGCTAGCATGTAACATTATTTTGCAGTACTTTGTGATTTTGGAAGGCCAGAAGTCCATGAATGTGTTTGATTCCTAACCTGGAGGAAACGCTTGCTTTAAGCATGTGTGTGGCTAGGGTTACATCACATCTTAGAACAAAGAACAGTTCTTCCTGGGAACAGCTGGTAACCTTACACCAACATACTTATATAAACACTGTGTTGACCTTATCTTCCTCGTTTTGTTGAAGACCAGTGAAAATTTTTCCATAGACCAGCGCAGGTCTGAAGACAAACCTTTGGACACCATGTAGAACAAAACTGTTTTCCTCATATGTGTTTTTTAGAGATAGGGAGACAAATGGGTAGGTATAGATTGCAATGTTCAATTTCACTTTCTAGACCTGTAATGTAAAACATGGCTTCTCCCCATGCCTATGCAGACTGCAGTAGTCCCTTGGTGTCTCCCATGAGATATGTTATCAGAAAACACAGCCTTTTCCCTATTCTTTGAGGCAATGGACTGAATTGGGTTTTCCTTTCTGCTTTATTGTTTTCACATGTTTGCCAACTCTCAACTGACCATTTTCTTTCACCGATAAATTTGAGGGAAATTATAGTCCCTGCACATAGAAGGCCAGAAGTGTCCCCTCAAGCCTCTAGAAAACAAAAAGGGACCGTTTCTTTCATCTCTGATCAACTAAAAAATTGAAAACAGGGCTGATTCCATCAATAGGAGCTGGAATGATAACTCCATGGCTAGGAACAACCACTGTTAATGTAAAAGATTAGTTTCCAAAGCTTATGTGAACATGAGGAACAGTTTTCCTCAGTGTCATTGTTAATTTAATGACAATGTTACTTACATAAGTGCAAACATAAAGCTGGGTGTAAAGGCTGATGCTTATAGCTCTTCTAATTATAAAACTGAAATAAATTTACAAACTGAAGAAAAAAACTCTAAAACCAGTAAAACTCAAATTAACAACATAAATTTGGTGTGACAGATGAAGTTTTGAGAAATTTAAACTGCTACTCACAGTGTGAATGTATTACTGGCTGTCATGGTACAGGTTTTGGAATTTGGCATGCTTATGCTGTTGCACAAGGCATTGGAGTGGCCCCAATTTCTCCACCACTTCTCCATTTGAACTATAGAGACCTTGGCACCTGAACCTCCTTCGCTTTCATTTGGCATAAAGTCATCTTTTATTTCACAAATCTACCTTTGTTTTTCTCTCATTTGCTTATGTCAATTAAAATCCTTATGCCTGTAACCCCAGCACTTTGGGAGGCCGAGGCAGGTGGATCAACTGAGGTCAGGAGTTCGAGCTCAGCCTGGCCAACGTGGCGAAACCTCACCTCTCTCTACTAAAAATATAAAAATAAGCTGGATGTGGTGGTACGTGCTTGTAGTCTCAGCTACTTGGAAGGCTGAGGCAGGAGATTCACTTGAAGCTGGGAGGTGGAGGTTGCAGTGAGCTGAGATCGTGCCACTGCACTCCAGCCTGGGTGACAGATCAAGACTTTGTCTAAAAAAAAATAATAATCGTACTTGACAATAAAGTGATCTTGAAGACAAATACAAAATGAAATAAAGTAGTTAAAAAACTCAGTACAAGATTCATTTCCTTTTTCAGTCTTCCGTGCTGCCTGATCCTAGAGAAACTGGAAGGGGCTGTATCTGCTTTATCTTTGTATCTCCAATACCTACAACAATACTCCAGCACATGGAAGACCCTAAACTGTATTTGTTGAATGAATGAACAGATGAATACAAGCCCTGATAGAAGGAAGTAATGGTCTGGTACAGAATGGGGTGCGAACTCATATGGAGGTAAAGAGAGTCAGTAAGCAATGCCGCCACAGCAGCAGAACAGTGGAAGATAATTTGAAAAAAAAAAATGGAGAGATATTTCTTTAGCTACATGTGGAATTTACCGATATGCTACTGAGGAAGGATTGATAGAGAATATCAGTGTCATATCCTGGTGCTAGTACTATATCATTTGCATTTTTTTTGTGTGTAAATGTATGGTAGTGTTATTTAGTAAACTATAGTTAATTCCATAATATAGCCTTTATTGTTATCAACAAATCTTTCTAATGCCCTTAAAAAATGCACCTTCAAAGGTAGGGAAATCAATTGGGTGTACTTAGTGGGGAATTAACTGGGTCTACCCAGCCGATATTGTCAGCATCTTGTTTCCTTAAGTATGTTAGTCAATGCCATGGTTTGAGGGGGGAGGTAGAGGTGATGGTCCTCCACGCATTCCAGGCTGGTGACATTTGATGGTCTTCCAGGCATCCCAGGCATGGCCAGACCCTTGGTTGGGAAACAACACTTTTTAAGAGAAATAATAATGTAGCAAAGAAAATGCCTTGCTGCTGGAGTGTAAGAGATGCGGAACAACTCACAGTATCTACTTTCCAGACTGTCCTCTGGCCCAGGTCCCATGGGCTTGTGCCTGAGTCTTAAGGAGAGGGGTCATTGGGAGCAGGAGGCAGCATTACTTTGTTATCCATGCCAAAGGGGAAGAGGAAATTCTCCCTTACTTAAAGAAGAGCAAAACATTGCATCAGCATCTCAAAATCAGCAGCTTTGGTAGTGCTGTGACTTTCGGTTTCTCTGAAAGTGTTCCTCAAAGAAGCCAGTATTTGAATTGTTTGCTACTCAGCCACGAAGAGATAAGAAGCCTGTGTCAGAATGCATGTGAACACGCTGCTTGCTTCCTAGAAGCCTTGCTTTGAAAAAGAAGGTCTGCCCATCCACATCATTTTGGCTGGTATGTCTCTGGTCTGCAGTTATTATTTTTGGTCTTTGCTCTCATGTAAATGGTAACGTCTGGCCTTGTTAATGTATAACTCTAGTCTCTCAGAGAGTACTGCCAATAAAAATTTTTTAAAGTTAAATTAGTTCAATCATTGTGGAAGACAGTGTGGCAATTTCTCAAAGATTTGGAACTGGAAATACCATTTGACCTAACAATCCCTTTACTGGGTATATACTCAAAGGAATATAAATCATTCTGTTATAAAGATACATGCACGCATATGTTCATTGCAGCACAATTCGCAGTAGCAAAGACTTGGAATCAAACCAAATGCCCATCAATGATAGACTGGATAAAGAAAATATGGTACACATACACCGTGGAATACTAGGCAGCCATAAAAAGGAACAAGATCATGTCTTTTGCTAGAACATGGATGAAGCTGGAAGCTATTATCCTCAGCAAACTAACGAGCAATAGAAAACCAAACACTGCATGTTCTCACTCATAAGTGGGAGCTGAATAATGAGAACACATGGACACAGGGAGGGGAACAACACATACTGGGACCTATTAGGGGAAGTCATGCAGGGAAAGCATCAGGAAAAAGAGCTAATGCTTGCTGGGCTTAATACCTAGGTGATGGGTTGATAGGTGCAGGAAGCCATCATGGCACATGTTTACTTATGTAACAAGCCTGCACATGCACCCTGGAACTTAAAAAATAATAAAGAATAAATGAAAAAAATTTTTTTTAAGTCACTCAGAGATGTAATGAAATATTCAGTCCTATTTTACTTCCCAATAAAGAGCTTGGAGAAGCTTACGGACTGTGCAGTAGGTGTCCTCACATGCCCTGATAAGCAGGGAAGAATGGCTGGTCGTTGCCCATGGTACATATGACCTCATTGTCCCAATTGCCCTATGAGTGGCTGGACTGCTTAGTCATGAAGGTGTGGTCCAAGCAGTGATCTGGAGGCAGGGAAATTAAAATGCAACAGTCCAGCTGGGACCCTTCTGCCGTTACACAGTGAAGCTACTGGGAAGCTGTGTCTTTGCGAGGTGGGGGAGTCTGAAGCTTCATTTCATGTCCCTGCTATGGTGTGAGGCCTCTCTCTCTTTCCAAAGCTAATTATTTGGAGCCATTGTGAACTCCCACTTTCAGGCGATTTGAGTTCCAACAGTTTATTTCACTGTCAGTTGTTCTGAACTTAAAAATAATTTTTCTACCAAAAATAATAAAAGGAACGAAGGGTCAGCTCATAGAAATCAACTTAAATTCAAACCTAGATGAACTAATGTACATTTGCAATGAAAAGAAGCAGAGAAATCAAATGTTATAGTTTAGGTATGCAGACTGTGTTTGCAAATCCATTAATTATAACTGAACATAACCAAATTAATAAAAATAATTTCTTTTTTCTACAATATGGCTTTGACGATGGCATTTTTAATTAGAGGAGGAGAGGAGAATGTTGGAGACTTGTGGAGATTATCCAGGGGGAAATTCTCAGCACATTTGAAGCCTTTAGAAGTTAAGGAATAATTTTACTTAAAACTTTAGTTTGACACCCATGTTTTACTAGCATTGATCAGCCACCCCAAGGTTCATTTTTAATCACAAAGAAAGAATACGGAGCCTTGAGAGCGTGAAGGATCACGCCTGTAGTCCCAGCGACTCTAGAGGCTGAGGCTGGAGGATCACTTGAACCCCAGAGTTCACGGTTACTGTGAGCTGTGATTGCACGACTGCACTCCAGCCTGGGCATCCTAGAGACACCTGTCTCTATAAAAACAACAAGAAAGAAAGAATGTGGGGAAAAAGAGGATGGGTATCTTGGGTCAGTTTCCTGGAATTCAGACTCTGAGATAGTGTAGTTGACTGGGGAGCCGCTCTGAATCAACCCCTGTGGAGTAACAGAAGCAGAACTGGAGAAGAGGAGATGCAGGTACCGCAAATGACTTGGCTGATGGCAGGGCAGCCCTGAAGCAGGCACAGTCCTTCAGTTGTCTATCTCCTCATTGATCAGTGAGTGGATAGGGGCCACTTCAGGAAAGGTGTGACTTGGAGCATGCAACTCCCCCGCTGAGAGCAAATCCCACGGACGATGTCTCCTGAGTACCACGGTCGCTGATACGGTTTGGCTGTGTCTCCACCCAAATCTCACCTTGAATTTTAGTTTCTGTAATTCTCATGTGTGGTTGGGGGGACCTGGTGGGAGATAATGGAATCATGGGGGCAGTTTCCTCCCTACTGTTCTCGTGGTAATGAATAACTCTCACGAGATCCTATGGTTTTATAAGGGGAAACCCCTTTCGCTTGGCTCTCTGATTCTACCCTGTCTGCTGCCATGTAAGATGTGCCTTTTACCTTCTGCCATGATCGTGAGGCTTCCCCAGCCACGTGGAACTGCGAGTCCATTAAGCCTCTTTTTCTTTATAAATTACCCACTCTTGGGTATGTCTTTATCAGCAGCATGAAAATGGACTAATACAGCCACTAACACCACAGCCATTGGTGGAATTGGTTTCGGTCCTGAAATCGCAGTATCCACTCTAGCGCCATATTTTTTTTCTCTCAGGTAACTGGGCAAGGATGGGAGAAAAGAGGAAAAACTGTGTTTATGGAGGTGTGTAAAGATAGGGGGAAAAAAGACAAGCTGTGGAGGAATTAACCAAATTGAGCTTTGGAAGACAGAGGGCAGCAGGGAGCAGCTCTTGCAACACCTTTCTGAGGGGAAGAGGAGGTGAGAGGGAAGGCCCGGCTCAGGCTACAGGCTGCTCTTGCCAGAACAGTTGAGCTGCTGGTGAGGATATGCTGCCCTAGGGGAAGGAGGGACAGTAGACTGACCTGATATTCAAGGCAGGGAACAGTTGATGACATTTTATATTCTACCTTAGGGGGTCCTGCACAGAGAAGCAGGTGAGGGCTGCTATGGTAATTCCCAACGTGTTTTATTTATTTTATTTTATTTTTAATATGGCAATACAGATCAGTTTTGTTTTGTTTTGTTTTGTTTTTTTAACATTTTGCATCTTTCTACAAAGTGTTATACGGGCAATTTTTCTTTTCTTTTCTTTCTTTCTTTTTTTTTTTTTTTTTTTTGAGACAGAGTCTTAGTCTGTCGCCCAGGCTGGAATGCAGTGGCTTGATCTTGGTTCACCAGGTTCAAGCGATTCTTCTGCCTCTGCCTCCCAAGTAGCTGGATTACAGGTGTGCACCGCCATGCCTGGCTAATTTTTGAAATTTTTTTAGTAGAGATGGGGTTTCACCACGTTGGCCAGGCTGGTCTCAAACTCCTGACCTCAGGTGATCCGCCTGCCTTGACCTCCCAAAGAGCTGAGATTACAGGTGTGAGCCACTGCGCCTGGCCTAGGCAATTATTTTTGATGCCAAAGTAGAATTAATTGTTTTCATTAATTTTTAAATTAAGGCCAGGTTTGATGGCTCACACTTGTAAATCCCAGCACTTTGGGAGGTTGAGGCCAGAGGATCACTTGAGGCCAAGAGTTCAAGACTAGGCAACATGGTGAAACCCCCTCTCTACAAAAAATAATAAAAAAAATTAGCTGATCATAGTGGCATGCACCTGTAGTCCTAGCAACTCAGGAGGCTGAAGCAGGAGGATCTCTTGAATCCAGAAATATGGGGTTACAGTGAGCTATGATGGTGCCACTGCACTTTAGTTTGAGGAATGGAGCAAGATCCTTTCTCTAATAATAATTAATAGTAATAATAAGTTTTAAAATTAACTGTGCTTTAAGGATTTTTGTGATACCTTCCTAGACATCCTGTTTATTGTTGCAGAACTGATTGGATTCTCTTTCATAGAGCTCTGACCATAGAGGATACAAAGCAAATAAATAGAACAATCCTTGCTTTCAAAGGAGATTTTGATACAATTTTGAAAAAAAAAAAAAGAATGCAAAGTATGCTGCTCTTCCTAATGCCAAGGAGTATTTTACTTTTTAGCAAAAACCTTCTCTTAAATGTGGAGAACACTCAGGGGGAGGTGGAAGAGAGAAAGCAGTGAACAGATTCATCTTCCCTTCTATATCTGAAAGGATAAGCAGGCTGTGCTTTCCAGAGTGAGTTAGCATGCTATTTTATACAAATTCTGGGAAATGTCGGGCGTTTAAGTGTTGCTTTCTTGTTTGTTTAGTTTTCACGGTACTCCGGAATGTGTGTATCTCAGACATTTGAAAGGCATTCTGTAACCTATATTCCAGATATTATCCCTTAGTCATCTTTTGGGCTAGTCTGTCTGTAATTGATGAGTGTGCTTTTGAAATCCAGGGTTATCTTTGTTTAGGAAATAATTAATTGCTTGACATTGATGACCCTATTTTGTAGTTCTTTGTTCTATTTTGTAAATTTAAAAATGCTTCTTTTATCTTTGTATCGTTAACTTTGCCTTTATTACCTGACGAATAGCATATTTGCTGCTTAGGCAATGACCTCTGCAAATCAGTGTTTGGTGGGAAGGGCAAAGAGAACATGTAACTGTAACCTGAGGAGGAGTTTTTCTTTATCTCTTGTTCCGCTCTTATAGACTCCAGCGAACCACTAGAAGGAGCCTGTATCAGCCACTTTCCAATTCTTTGCAGTGATTATGTTTGAAGCAGATATTTATGTTTTCATTCCTGTTGATATCAGTGGGAATACTCTTGATAAACATAAGATGTGGGAAATATTTATTTCTGGGTCCTCTATTCTTCTTTCAGAAACCTTTCTCTCTCTTTTTTTTTTTTTGTCCACTCCTTCAAACTCCAGGCTTGCCACTTCTTAGTGGCATGACTGTCTCCTTTGCCCTTCCCACCTAGACCACGCCATAGCTTGTGGGTCAACCTCCTCACTTGGCTTTCCTGGTACCTCTGCTGTATAAACTTGCTGTTTTGGTTTCACTGCCTCAGGGCCTTGTTAGAAGATTTGCCAGTTCTTCTGATAAACCAGTCCATGCAATGCTGTTAATAGTTGATCAAAATCAACCCCAAATATGCCTCCCCTAAGAACCCGTTCCCATTCTAATCTGACGGGGGTCTTTAACACATTTAATTCCAAGTTTTCCAGTCTGGCCTGTGCTTAGAGAAAAATTCACAGGATAAGCACAACACATTTTTCTGGAGCTTCTCATTTACTTTAAGAACCTTAAAGGAAAAACTCACATTATTTTCATATTAAAAGAAATAAAGATACAGATTACACTAGACATCAGAATTTCTCATATCTTAAAAATAAAACATGAGAAAATAAGAAATTTTTACTTTTGGTGAATTATTCTGGGTTTGGTCTCTAGGTACCCTGCAAGGCTTGCATAAAAATCTTAAGAAGCCAAACCTCTTTGGTTTAAGCAAAAAATAGTTTTCAATGCTCAGAATTATAGACATTTGAGGAGGCTAATTTTTTTTTTTCTTTTCAGCACTTCTCTGATCATTTGCCCAGATGGGATGTATTTGCTGGGCCAATAATGTGGGCAGGAACACATTTTTCAGGCCTGAATATTTTTTTGAATCTCTTTACAAAGTCTTGTTTGGGTCTATTTGTGTTTTAGATCAAGTCTTGGTTGGTGAGTTAGAGATCTAAGTGATGACATTTAGCAAAAACATGGCATGGAGCTGCTTTTTAGTTTGCATTTTGGGCTAAGATAAGACACTTTATGTGCTTCCTTATAAAGGATATTTAAAATTTTTGAAATATTTACTTACAGTAGTCAAGTCAATGTCAAACAAGAGAATGAATCTTCAGGGAACTTTGAAGATAGGTTTAAACTTTTAAACATATGCATTTGTTTTATTGTATCGTAAATTATATAAAGAAGAATTACAATGAGGAATTGAAAAATTAATGGGATTTTTTTTTGTCAGAGGAATCCCTATGGGGAAATTATTGTAGAATCCGACAATAGTGCAAATTATTCATACTTTGTTGCTTTTTTAAAAAATTTTATCTTATTTTAGGCTTTTTTTATTTTTATTTTTTTTAATACTTCAAGTTTTGGAATACATGTGCAGAAAGTGCAGGTTTGTTACATAGGTATACATGTGCCATGGTGGTTTGCCACATCCATCAACCCATCATCTACATTAGGTATTTCTTCTAATGCTATCCCTCCCCTATCCCCCTACTCCCTGACAGGCCCGGGTGTGTGATGTTCCCCTCCCTGTGTCCCTGTGTTCTCATTGTTCAACAACCACTTATGAGCGAGAATATGCGGTGTTTGGTTTTCTGTTCCTGTGTTAGTTTGCTGAGAATTATGGTTTCCAGTTTCATCCATGTCCCTGAAAAGGACAGGAACTCATCCTTTTTTATGGCTACATAGTATTCCATGGTGTATATGTGCCACATTTTCTTTATCCAGTTCATCATTGATGAACATTTGGGTTGGTTCCAAGTCTTTGCTATTGTGAACAGTGCTGCAATAAACATGTGTGTGCATGTGTCTTTATAGTAGAATGATTTATAATCCTTTGGGTATATACCCAGTAATGGGATCGCTGGGTCAAATGGTATTTCTGGTTCTAGATCCTTAAGGAATTGCCACACTGTCTTCCACAATGGTTGAACTAATTTACACTCCCACCAACAATGTAAAAGCATTCCTATTTCTCCATATCCTCTCCAACACCTGTTGTTTCCTGACTTTTTAATGATCATCATTCTAACTGGCATGAGATGGTATCTCACTGTGGTTTTGATTTGCATTTCTCTAATGACCAGTGATAATGAGCTTTTTTTAAAATGTTTGTTGGCCATATAAATATCTTCTTTTGAGAAATATCTGTTCATATCCATCACCCACTTTTTGATGGGGTTGTTTTCTTTCTCGTAAATTTATTTACATTTCTTGTAAATCCTGGATATTAGCCCTTTGTCAGATGGAAGATTGCAAAAATTTTCTCCCATTCTGTAGGTTGCCTGTTTGCTCTGATGATAGTTTCTTTTGCTGTGCAGAAGCTCTTTAGTTTAACTAGATCCCATTTGTCAATTTTGGCTTCTGTTGCCATTGCTTTTGGTGTTTTAGTCATGAAGTCTTTGCCTTGCCTATGTCCTGAATAGCGTTGCCTAGGTTTTCTTCTAGGGTTTTAATGGTTTTAGGTCTTACCTTTAAGTCTTTAATCCATCTTGAGTTAATTTTTGTATAAAGTGTAAGGAAGGGGTCCAGTTTCAGCTTTCTGCATATGTTTAGCCAGTTCTCCCAGAACCATTTATTAAATGGGGAGTCCTTTCCCCATTGCTTGTTTTTGTCAGGTTTGTCAAAGATCAGACAGTTGTAGATTTGTGGCATTATTTCTGAGGCCTCTGTTCTGTTCCATTGGTCTATATATCTGTTTTGGTGCCAGTACCATGCTGTTTTGGTTACTGCAGCCTTATAGTATAGTTTGAAGTCAGGCATCGTGATGCCTCCAGCCTTGTTCTTTTTGCTTAAGATTGTCTTGGCTATATGGGCTCTTTTTTGGTTCCATATGAAATTTAAAGTATGTTTTCTAATTCTGTGAATAAAGGCAATTGTAGCTTGATGGGGATAACATTGAATCTATAAATAACTTTGGGCAGTATCACCATTTTCACCATATTGATTCTTCCTATCCATGAGCATGAAATGTTTTTCCATTTGTTTGTGTCCTCTCTTATTTCCTTGAGCAGTGGTTTGTGGTTCAACTTGAAGAGGTCCTTCACATCACTTGTAAGTTGTATTCCTAGGTATTAAATTCTCTTTGTAGTGAATGGGAGTTCACTCCTGATTTGGCTTTATGTTTGTCTATTATTGGTGTATAGGAAGGCTTGTGATTTTTGCACATTGATTTTGTATCCTGAGACTATGCTGAAGTTGTTTATTAGCTTAAGGAGATTTTGGGCTGTGACAATGGGGTTTTCTAAATATACAATCATGTCATCTGCAAACAGAGACAATTTGACTTCTCTTCCTATTTGAATCCCCTTTATTTCTTTCTCTTGCCTGATTTCCCTGGCCAGAACTTCCAACACTATGTTGAATAGGAGTGATGAGAGAGGACATCCTTGCCTTATGCTGGTTTTCAAAGGGAATGCTTCCAGTTTTTGCCCATTCAGTGTGATATTGGCTGTGGGTTTGTCATTAATAGACCTTATTATTTTGAGATACGTTTCACCAGTACCCAGTTTATTGACAGTTTTTAGCATGAAGGGCTGTTGAATTTTGTTGAAGGCCTTTTCTGCATCTATTGAGATAACCATGTGGTTTTTGTTATTGGTTCTGTTTATGTGATGGATTACGTTTATTTATTTGTGTATGTTGAACCAGCCTTGCATCCCAGGGATGAAGCTGACTTGATTGTGGTGGATAAGCTTTTTGATGTGCTGCTGGATTCGGTTTGTCAGTATTTTATTGAGAATTTTTGCACCGATGATCATCAGGGATATTGGCCAGAAATTTTATTTTTTTGTTGTGTGTCTGTCAGATTTTGGTATCAAGATGATGCTGGCTTCACAAAATGAGTTAGGGAGGATTCCCTCTTTTTCTGTTGTTTGGAATAGTTTCAGAAGGAATGGTACCAGCTCCTCATTGTACCTCTGGGAGAATTCGGCTGTGAATCCATCTGGTCTTGGGCTTTTTTTTTGGTTGGTAGGCTATTAAGTACTGCCTCAATTTCAGAACTTGTTATTGGTCTATTCAGGGATTCAGCTTCTTCCTGGTTTAGTCTTGGGAGGGTGTATGTGTCCAGGAATTTATCTATTTCTTCTAGATTTTCTAGTTTATTTGCGTAGAGGTGTTTATAGTATTCTCTGATGGTACTTTCTGCAGGATCAGTGTTGATCTCCCCTTTATCATTTTTTATTGTGTCTATTTGATTCTTCTCTCTTTTATTCTTTATTAGTTTGGCTAGCAATCTATTTTGTTAATCTTTTCAAAAAACTAGCTCCTGGATCCATTTGTTTTTTAGAAGGGTTTTTTGTGTCTCTATCTCCTTCAGTTCTGCTCTGATCTTACTTATTTCTTGTCTTCTGCTAGCTTTTGAATTTGTTTGCTCTAGCTTGTCTAGTTCTTTTAATTGTTATGTTAGGGTGTTAATTTTCAATCTTTCCTGCTTTCTCTTGTGTGAATTTAGTCCTAAAATTTCCTTCTAAACCCTGCTTTAGCTGTGTCCCAGAGATTCTGCTACATTGTGTCTTTGTTCTCATTGGTTTCAAAGAACTTATTTATTCTGCCTTAATTTCATTATTTACCCTGTAGTCATTCATGAGCAAGTTGTTCAGTTCCCATGTAGTTGTGTGGTTTTGAGTGAGTTTCTTAATCCTGAGTTCTAATTTGATTGCACTGTGGTCTGAGAGACTGTCTGTTATGATTTCCATTATTTTGCCTTTGCTAAGGAGTGTTTTACTTCCAATTATGTGTTTAATTTTAGAATAAATGCAATGTGGTGCTGATAAGAATGTATATTCTGTGGATTTGGAGTGGAGAGTTCTGTAGATGTCTATTAGCTCTGCTTGGTCCAGAGCTGAACTCAAGTCCTGAATCCTTGTTAATTTTCTGTCTCATTGATCTGTCTAATATTGACAGTGGAGTGTTAAAGTCTCCCATTATTATTGTGTGTGGGTCTAAGTATCTTTGTAGGTCTCTAAGAACTTGCTTAATGAATCTGGGTGCTCCTATATTGGGTGCATATATATTTAGGATGGTTAGCTCTTCTTGTTGCATTGACCTCTTTACCATTATGTAATGCCCTTCTTTGTCTTTTTTGATCTTTGCTGGTTTAAAGTCTGTTTTGTAAGAGACTAGGATTGCAACCCCTCCTTTTTTTTTTTATTGCTTTCCATTTGCTTGGTAAATACTCCCCCATCCCTTTATTTCGAGCCTATGTGTGTCTTTGCACATGAGATGGGTCTCCTGAATACAGCACACCAATGGGTCTTGACTCTTTATCCAATTTGCCAGTCTGTGTCTTTTAATTGGGTCATTTAGCCCATTTACGTTTAAGGTAAATTTTGTTATGTGTGAATTTGATCCTGTCATTGTGATGCTAGCTGGTTATTTTGCCCATTAGTTGATGCGGTTTCTTCATAGTGTCGATGGTCTTTACAATTTGGTATGTTTTTGCAGTGGTTGGTCCTGGTTGTTCCTTTCCATGTTTAGTCCTTCCTTCAGGAACACTTGTAAGGCAGGCCTGGTGACAAAATCTCTCAGCATTTGCTTGTCTGTAAAGGATTTTATTTCTCCTTTGCTTATGAAGCTTAGTTTGCCTGGATATGAAATTCTGGGTTGAAAATTCTTTTTTTAAAGAATGTCGAATATTGGCCCCACTCTCTTCTGGCTTGTAGGGTTTCTGCAGAGAGATCCGCTGTTAGTCTGATGGTCTTCCCTTTGAGGGTAACCCGACCTTTCTCTCTGGCTGCCCTTAATATTTTTTCCTTCATTTCAACCTTGGTGAATCTAACAATTATGTGTCTTGGAGTTGCTCTTGTCGAGGAGTATCTTTTTGGTGTTCTCTGTATTTCCTGAATTTGAATGTTGGCCTGTCTTGCTAGGTTGGGGAAGTGCTCCTGGATAATATTCTGAAGAGTGTTTTCCAACTTGGTTCCATTCTCCCCATCACTTTCAGGTACACCAATCAAATGTAGGATTGGTCTTTTCACATAGTCACATATTTCTTAGAGGATTTGTTCATTCCTTTTCATTCTTTTTTCCCTAATCTTATCTTCATGCTTTATTTCATTAAGTTGATCTTCAATCTCTGATATCCTTTCTTACACTTGATCGATTCAGCTATTGATACTTGTTTATGCTTCACGAAATTCTCGTGCTGTGCTTTTCAGCTCTATCAGGTCATTTATGTTCTTCTCTTAAACTGGTTATCCTAGTTAGCAACTCCCCTAACCTTTCTTCAAGGTTCTTAGCTTCCTTGCATTGGGTTAGAACATGCTCCTTTAGCTCAGAGGAGTTTGTTGTTACCCACCTTCTGAAGCCTACTTCTGTCAATTTGTCAAAATCATTCTCCATCCAGTTTTGTCCCTTGCTGGTGAGGAGTTGTGAGCCTTTGGAGGAGAAGAGGCATTCTGGTTTTTGGAATTTTCAGTCTTTTTGTGCTGGTTTTTCCTCATCTTCGTGGATTTATCTACCTTTGGTCTTTGATGTTGCTGACCTTTGGATGGAGTTTCTGCGTGTACGTCCTTTTTGTTGATGTTGATGCTATTCCTTTCTGTTTATTAGCTTTCCTTCTAACAGTCATGCCCCTCTTCTGCAGGTCTGCTGGAGTTTGCTGCAGGTCCACTCCAGACCCTGTCTGCCAGGGTATCACTAGCAGAGGCTGCAGAACAGCAAAGATTGCTGCCTATTCCTTCCTCTGGAAGCTTCATCCCAGAGGGGCACCCACCAGATGCCAACCAGAGCTCTCCTGTATGAGGTGTCTGTCGACCCCTGCTGGGAGGTATCTCCCAGTCAGGAGGCATGGGTGTCAGGGACCCACTTGAGGAGGCAGTCTGTCCTTTAACAGAGCTTGAGTGCTGTGATGGGAGATCTGCTGCTCTCTTCAGAGCTGGCAGGCAGGAATGTTTAAGTCTGTTGAAGCTGCGCCTGCAGCCGCCCCTTCCCCCAGGTGCTCTGTCCCAGGGAGATGGGAGTTTTATTTATAAGCCTCTGAGTGGGGCTGCTGCCTTTCTTTCCAAGATGCCCTGCCCAGAGAGGAGGAATCTAGAGAGGCAGTCTGGATATAGTGGCTTTGCCATACTGTGGTGGGCTCTGCCCAGTTCCAACTTCCCAGCAGCTTTGTTTACCCTGTGAGGGGAAACTGCCAACACAAGCCTCAGTAATGGTGGACGCCCCTCCCCGCACCAAGCTTGAGCATCCCAGGTCGACTTCAGACTGCTGTGCTGGCAGCAAGAATTTCAAGCCAGTGGATCTTAGCTTGCTGGGCTCCATGGCGGTGGGATCCGCTGAGCTAGACCACTTGGCTCCCTGGCTTCAGCCCCCTTTCCAGGGGAATGAATGGTTCTGTCTCACTGGTGTTCCAGGAGCCACTGTGGTATGAAAAAAAAAAACTCCTGCAGCTAGCTTGATGTCTGCCCAAATGGCTGCCCAGTTTTGTGCTTGAAACCCAGGGACCTGGTGGCATAAGCACCCGAAGGAATCTCTTGGTCTGTGGGTTGCAAGGACCATGGGAAAAGCGTAGTCTTTGGGCTGGAGTGCACCATTCCTTGCGGCACAGTCCCTCATGGCTTCCTTTTGCTAGGAGATGGGGTTCCCCAACTCCTTGTGCTTCTTGAGTGAGGTGATACCCCATCCTGCTTCAGCTTGCCCTCTGTGGGCTGCACTCACTGTCTAACCGGTCCCAATGAGATGAACCAGGTACCTCAGTTAGAAATGCAGAAATCACCCACCTTCTGCGTTGATCTCACTGGGAGCTGTAGACCGGAGCTGTTCCTATTCGACCATCTTGCCAGCCACTCATACTTTGTTGCTATAATGCCCACTGTGTCCAGCTGTGAATTCATAGCTCATGTGTATCTTTACAAAGGGGTTCAAATTAATAGTAGAGTCAAAACATTACAAAGTCATTTCCTTTGAAGAAAAATTTCTGTTTTTATATCATTCTCAACAAATAACTTACAGTCAGTATTGATTGTTATGTTATGTTACTCTCTTTTGTCAGAGATGTTGGGGAAAAAAGTATATTTTATCTTCCTGCGTAAGCATTGCCCTAGAGATAATGGGGGCTTTTTGGGAAAGGCTTACCCCAAAGTGGTTTTCCTGTACTCATGCTATTTCATGAAATATAGCAGGAGGGATTTATTATTCCAATCTCAGTGACATCTTGGGAGGAACAACCTGTAAAATCATTTGTCAATCACTTAAACCTCAGTGCTGATTTATTGGCAGCTTTTCCATTTTCATCTAAGGGCTATTGTTCTATCTATTGTCAAATCAAAGAATGCTGTTATCACGTCTTTAAAGGAAATGAAAAAAATAGTAAACAACTTATAATAGAATCAATGTACTATAGCAAATTCACCTTTGTGTTTTCTTTCTTGTCTTTGTCCATTTTCATACATTTTTAATATTGATATGATCACAGAGTTGACTAACTTTGTACCTGTACAGGTGGTGCCTGTATGGTGGGGAGTTGTGAGCCAAAGGGAGAAGACAAAGTGACACAGGTGACAGCCATGATTTTCTACCCAGGTGCTTTCTGTTGTCCCTGTTGCTCTGCTCTCTACTTCCCTTCACTTCACCCTCCTCCTCACCTACCTTGCATTTTTGAGTGAAACTAAGTTCACTGAAACTTTATAATTATTTTGAATTTAAGAATGTTTGCAATGATTGAAATTCTCAAATTGGAATTGCAAATTAAATGACCAAATCTAACTGCTGGCTGTCATTTTCTTCTCCCTTCTCCCCATGACTCCCCTACCCAACTCAATACATATACATAAATTACCTACCACTTGCCAAGCAACTTGCAGGGCTGGAGAATGCAGAAATGGGCGACTCTTGGACTCTACCTTCCAGCAATAGACTAATTGTTAAAGAGGTAAGTAATTACTAAGCTATATCATGAGAGCCATATTAGAGGAGAGCAAAACAAAACAAAACAAAACAAGGATGGGGAGGAACAGCTGCATGTTACATTTGTAATAACAATAGAGTATCATAAATTCTGTGACAGCATAATACAGTGGAGCATAAGAGCACACTGTAGGAGCCTTAATCCAGCTCTGTGGGGGGAGTTCCAGAGAAGGTAACAATCAACCTGGCTTTGGAAGGTTAAGAAGGTGGATGGAGAAGGAGAAAAGAACTTTCAGGCACACACAAAGACCTGTATGAAAGAGAGAAGCTGGTTGGCTCTAGTTCAGGCCTCAGGTTGAGAGAAGGGTGTGAGGAGATAGTTGCATGTGGTCCAGGGTCTGGTGTTCTATGTTAGGTAGTTTGGCTGTTGTTCTATGGGGAACAGGGTACTAAAGTGGAAATTTGGGGATACAGAAATGTGATCAATGTTTTGCTGGTTTTAAGAGGGAGTAATTATGGTGGGTAAGGGATTGGCAGGGTGAGGGTGAACTGAGGAGCCTAATGGTCCCATAGTTCTTTCCTTTGTAATGAATTTCTCACTATCTAGTGTGCTGTGAGTGAGGCTCATGGAAGGTGTTTAGTAACTACTTGCTGAATGGATGAATGGATTTAGCATGCATCAGAGCTTAAGGAGGATCATGTGTCTGCTTTAATCCCTGATCTTGTATGTTGTTTTTCCAGCCCAGCAGCCCCATGACTTGGGGCAGGACAACATACATCAAGAACACTTGAGCAACCCGCTCAGTTCACCCCTCTTCCTTGCCTCATGAGACTAGTGGCCAGTAAGGCCAAAGTGGAATTTAAATTCCATTTGGGGCAACCACCAGGGATCTCTTTTTAATTCTGAGATAAACCTCCCTGATTTTGGCTTCTATTTTGAATCCAGATTCTGTCTGCCAACCTAAAATAGTCAAAAGGGTCAGAATCCGTTTTTAAAAAGTTTATTCAAGCAAAAAGATTGAGGACAGCCATCTGGGAAGCACAGATTCCAAAGAATGGAAGTCAGCGTTCTGAGGTATAGAAGTTTGGGATTGTTTATATAGATAAAGTTTAGAGAAGCCTCACAGAAGTTCAATATCCTTCTATATAAGGCTTAAAGCATAGTTACAACCATCTGATTAGCTGAGGTGATTTTTCTTTCGGGAAAGGTATATTTAACATTCCACAATAAAGATATAACAGTCAAACCGTCATGGGGTCTTTTGCGCCACCTGGTCTCAGTTAGGTATGGGACAATAAAGGAGGCAGTTAATCTATAACAAAAGTCAGTGATTGGAAGGATAGAAAGCCTGGCTTCTGGCCTTTCCTGGTCATTTGCAGAGCAAGAACAATGAAGAAGAGAGTTAATCTATAATCGAAGAAACAGAAGCTGCAGGCTGGGCACGGTGGTTCACCCTGTAATCCCAGCACTTTGAGAGGCTGAGGTGGGAGAATTGCTTGAGCCCAGGAGTTTGACACCAGCCTGGGCAACATAGTGAGAACTCCATTTCTACAAAAATAAAATAAAAAAGGAAAAGAAAGAAAGAAACAGAAGTTGCAAACATGTTGCATGCCTCAGTCTCCAGGGCTTAACTTCCCCTTGGCATAATAAATTCAGAGGGTCCTAAAATTTATTTTCATTTCAATTTCACCCATTTCTTTAAAATCTTTTGGAGAAAGCATTGCAGAAGAATCATGTATTTAGGTCATGTATGTAGGTCAAAATCCCACATTGCTAGGAAGGCTCATTCCTAGGAAGTCATGTCCCATGAGGGGGAAAGTTGGAAAGGACCAAAGCTGAATTATAAAGCAAACACGAGAGAAATGGTCCTGAAACCTGATTCAGGCTGCATGACTGCCTCTTCAATCAAAGAAATTCTTTGAGCGACCATTATTCCAGACTTTTCAGTTGTGCATTGGTTCAATTGCAAACAAATGCAGTAACAGCAGTGTAGACAAAAACAGGACCAAACACCACAAATAATTATAATTACTAGAATAAGTAACAAGTTTTGCCACCAAGTTTCTCAGATCTGAAGCAGCTGCTTAGGCAATCATTTGGAAAGGGCCTTTGATCTGAAAAGTCAGTTATTTGGGTTTTCATATCAGCCATTAATTTAGTGATGTTACCTGATTCATCAGGGATTTGGACACAACACTCAGTTTCTACGTTAGCACAAGCTCCCCCTTGGGCTGCAGCAAGTGTGTCTAAAGCCATACAGTTCTGTAATACAGCCTTTCTCACAAGAGTAACTTCATTGTTTAATAATGAAATACCCATATGGCTATCATTTAGGGCCTTTATGTATCATTGTTAGGGCCTCTACACACCAAATGACATCCTCAATACCCAGCTGTAGTATGAAGATGAACGCTAATAAATGGTCATACCCGTGAAACATAGAACAAACCCAATGAGATTGCGAATGAGGAAAATTGGCAGGTTTTAGCAGAGTATGAACTACTCAACCCTGTGCCCAAGCATATCCCGAGGAATGTCGCCTAACCATCTTGGGGGTAACTGTGACCATAAGTTAGTGCCACAAAGCCCAGATGTTCCATTTGGAACTAACCAATGAATACCTGGTGGTTGTGCCCATTAGGTGGCATGCCAATCAGTACTCTGTCTCTAGTGCTATTGGGACAGGTATGTTTGGTATAATTTCTCTGTTCCAAAAATAAGGTGACAAGCTGACTGAGCTGGCCAAAGAAGGGGGCAAGCCAGATAAAACCATCCCAAATTTGTGTTGTATCATTCTAAAATTGACTTGTCTCAACTCTCAATTGGGGCAGTCTGGTTGTTTCATCTCTCAGGAGGGACAGTACCAGCATGAAAGCTAATGGACTAGTTTCTTTTACCGAGAAGCTCTTACTATGATCTTTATTCCGTAAAGTATTATTAATAGGCCAGTGATGTACATTATCCTTAGTCCTACTAGTGTCAAACATCGATGACTATTTTTGAGAAACACAGATATATTTCTGATATTCTATCCAATCTTTTCCTGGGAGATACCCATCATAATTGGCCAAAACTACTAGAAAGGGCATGAGACCACATACTCAACAAGGATATTTTTGAAAGCTTTTAGCATAGTCTTGGGCACTTTGCAAAGAGAAGTTTGCTTCAAGGGCAACAGCTGGTGATAGCAGAACCAAGACATGAGAACTAAGAATAAAAAGAAGTTTAGTGGGAGCTTGTAAAGGAAAATCTTCATCATCTATTTATTAACGAATGTTAATATTAAGCATTTGTTCAGATATAGACCTGGTCTGAAGCCTTGGGTTTTAGCTGTCTACATCAGATATCATCTTCTTTTCGACCTGGCATTAACTTGAGCTGAGAGTCATCTTCCGGGGAAACATTCCACTCAGGAGATACAGCCTTTTTTGATGAGAAACATGGATCTAGGAGTCTATTTTTTCTCATTTAACAGCACGAGGTTTAGTAAGGGACACTTTGGAAGGGCCCTTCTACTTCGGTCAGAAACAGTCTTTTAAAATATGTCATTTCCAATAAACAAAATTCCCTGGTTAAAGACTGTGAGTCTTTAATTCTTCATTTCCTGAGAGGTCTCTAATAATCTTTTACTAGATTATAATTTTTAGTTAATTGTTTCATAAGGTAATAACAATAAGGGAACATGTCTCCCTTTACAATTAAGGAGTTACAATTCCATGGGGACAGATTCATAGGTTTGCCAGTTATAGCAACAACTGACATTTTCTAAATGAGACTGATCTTAGGTTAAGAAAAACCAATGGAAGAGACTTTGGCCATGGAATCTTTAAAACTTCTGTTATTTTTGCCAATTGAATCTTAATTATTCAATTTGTATGCTCCACCAATCTAAATGATTGGGGATGACACGCACAATGAAAGTGTTGGAGGAGAGGCCAACTTTTACATACTGACTGAATTTTCTGTCTGGTAAAATGAGTACCTCTGTCACTGTGGAGTTTTAAGGGAGCTCCCCAAGTCAGAATAATCTTTCCTGAAAGAATTTTACTTACTGCTAAGGCAGTCAGTCAGTCACTCTTCTACATGGATAGACTTCTAATCAATGAGAAAACATGCAAATAATCACTAGAACATAATGGTATCCTTGCAGTGGTGGCAGCTGAATAGAATCTAATTGTCGTACTTCATAGGGGCCTTCAGTTAAAGGCAAATGTCCTCGGGAACTGTGTAAAGGTTTCCCTAGATTATATTTTGAGCAGATACATGGCAGTGATTGTATACCTTGTGAGCTATAATCAGAGATGGTTTTTGAAAGTATTGTTTTCCCCAAGCAACCATTTCATCAAGGCTCCAATGAGTTGAATCACGTCTATAGGTTAAAAATGACGACTGTAATTCAGCAGGAAGCATAGGTAAATTATTTGGCCCACACCACACCTCATCTTTGGGAGAGTATGTTCTCCTTTTCGTCTTCCAATTTTCCTGTTCAGCTTCTGGAGCTCTGTACTTAGCTCATTTTTTGTCAAATTCAGGTGCTTCTTTAAAAGTTAATATAGGTTACTTTTCTTGTTTAGATGCATTTAGTGCAGCTCTTTTTGCTGCCTTATCAGCTAGCTGATTTCCTTTGCTTTCTGGAGTATCTGATTTGGGGTGATCTGGGATTTTAATAATGGGCAGTGATCTTGGTATAATAATAAGCCTTCTAGCAATTGTGAAATAAGGTGTCCAATTTTTACAGACTGGTCAGAAGTGGTTAAAAACCTTCTTTGTTTCCATAGCATTCCAAAATCATGAGCAACTCCAAAAGCAGATCTGCTGCTTGCATGAATATTAGCAGTTATTCCTTTTGCCAGTTGACAGGCCCTGATTAATGCTACCAGTTCTGCTTGTTGAGTGAATGTGGCTCCTGGAAGGCAATCACTTTCTATTTCTCCCATTAAAGATACTATAGCATAACCTGCACAATAAGTCCCAGATTCATCCTTTAAGTTAGATCCATCTGTAAACCAAACAACATCAGTGCTAGGAAGGGGAGTCTCCTGGAGGTCTGTCTGGGAGAGAGAAGCGGTTGGTTAAGATTTTGCAATCTTGTGCCCTCTCATCTGAAGCCAGAGGTAGAAGAGTGACAGGGTTTAGATGATTGGACCTAGAGATTGTAATGTGAAGGACAGAATTAGGGGGATGCTGACCTTTAACAGTCATCTATATCCTTAATCCCCTAGAAGTTCGCCTGTTCAATACATCGGTTCTACTTGCTTCTGGAGTCTCAATTACCTGAGCTCACCACAGCCTAACATTTGTTGCATATTAAAGCAGTTGTCTTTAATTCAGAAGTGGTTTTGGAGAGCTTTATGTCTTCTTCCTATAGGGAAAGAACTTTGTCAGAGCCTCTCTTGAAAAGGTCTAAGTACCATTGGAAGTAACTCTCCCAATTATTGTTTAATTTTAGAGCTGTTTTTCTAGTTGTGTGTGTAAATAAACTAATTTAGGTATTTCAAAAGTATCTCATTTTGGCCATTGTAGTTTGGTGTCTTCACGGGTTAAGACTATTTCTCTAGATATTGACAGGAGGTGGCCCCATAAGTATTGCCTAGGAATCCAACTGGAGTTTCCATAGGTTGATCTCTCCTTTCAGAAGGAAGATGTGGTTTTACATAGATAACTGCCCATAAATTAAGTTCTTTTTAAGCTGAAAGTGAAAGATGTTTTGGATGTGGTGTGCTGCCCAATGAGGATTACTCCTCAAGGTGTCACCTACGAGTTGCTTCTCCCCTCTTACACATCTTGGCAAAACCCATGAGTCCTGGGTGCTTAAGGCACAGGGAGAGCAGCCTTTCATGGGGCCCCCTGGGTTAAGCAAGATTCCCCCTGTGTTCTTCTTTGAGGATTGCCTATGGGACCATTGCACATCACAAGCAATGAGCTCAAACACTCCCACAGGAACCTAGTTGCCTAAGGTACATTTTGTCCAGGAAGAATAGTGTCCCTTATCTTCAGGATTTATCTTCATTCTGATTAAAAGCTTTTCCCTGGCTTTGGCCACTCAGAAGGGACTTTAGATATGTCAAATGAACCCAGCTTCCAAGTTTAGCCAGTTTTTTTTTTTTTTAATTACAAACTTTGCTTAAACCACAAAAAAATTCACTTCCTCTTTTCAGAGAGAGAAATGGTTTCCTTTCCTGACCATAGTGCGAATGAGAGCAAAGGCTGCACAAACTCTAATGCATAGTTCAACAAACAACTGTTAACCTAAATCTATAGGACAGGCACAGTAGCTCATGCCTGTAATCCCAGCACTTTGAGAGGATCACTTGAGGCTAAGTATTGGAGATGAGCCTGGGCAACATAATGAGACCCTGTCTCTACAGAAAGTAAGTTAGCCAGGCATGGTGGCCCTGCACCTACAGTCCCAGCTTCTCCTGAGGATGAGGTGGGAGGATTCTTTGAGCCTAGGAGTTTGAGGCTGCGGTGAGCCATGAGTGCACCACTGCACTCCAGCCTGTGCAACAGAGCAAGACTCTGTCTATAAAAAAAAGCAAGACTCTGTCTATAAAAACAAAACAAAACACAAAATAAACAAAACAAAACCTGCAAAGAGCAGAATCTCTAGAGAACAAAACCCAAAACCTTACCTGAAAAGCAGAGCTTTAATTCCAGCTCTATTGAGCGTGGAATTAGGTGGCTTGAATAAGGTCTGAATATCAACAAAAATCAGGGAGATTTGAACTTGAAGAGGAACCTCACCAGAGACTCCTCCTGGCTCTAGTGAGGTCGAGTGAACAAAAGTCATTCATGCTAATACCAGTGCCCTGACTGTTGTTGGTGAAATGGTGGGGATCACTGGCGGCTTGCTTTGGGTCCCATCTGGGTCACCAAAATGTCATCCTAAAATAATCAAAAGGGTCAAAATCTAGTTTAAAGTGTTCAAATGCAAAGTCTGAAGATAGCCACCTAGGAAGCACAGATTTCAAAGAATGGAAGTGAGTGTTCTGAAGTGTCGAATTAGTTTATCTTTGGCCAGTGGCAACCTATTCAAGTTGTCTTTTGAATCTTTTGAGCAATCTCAGTAATCTCTGAGAGCCTCCTCGTTGTCTAGTATGACAAAATGTTCTAGGCTCATCCTCTACTTTTCCTTTCTCAGACTTGGAATCAGCCATTTTTTCTTTTTCTTTTTTTCTTTTCCTTTTTTTTTTTTTTTTTTTTTTGAGACAGAGTCTCGCTCTGTCACTCAGGTTGGAGTGCAGTGGCAAGATCTTGGCTCACTGCAACCTCCACCTCCCAGGTTCAAGAGATTCTCCTGCCTCAGCCTCCTGAGTAGCTGGGATTACAGGTGCGCACCACCACGCCCGCTAATTTTTGTATTTTTAGTAGAGATGGGGGTTTCACCATGTTGGTCAGGCTGGTCTTGAACTCCTGACCTCGAGGAGGGTGATCCACCCACCTCGGCCTCCTAAAGTGCTGGGATTACAGGTGCATGATTGCTTTGATTTGGAAATGATGACTAGAAACAGCAATATGAGAATTAAGACTCCTCATTGCTCTTAGGTTGATCTTTTCAGAGGATAGAGGTAGGAAATATATATATATTTTTAAATAAAATACATCATGAATTTATATATATTCAAATATAGAATAGGACTTTTAACTCAATCTTCTGCATCTTACGTTTGTATTTCCTTTCTCTCATGACAAAAATCCTGGTTTCTGATGGCACCAAGACAATTACTTATTTGCTTAATCTCACAATGCACACGACAGTCTCAGAATAACAATACCTACCACTAGCTGCAGTGATTTGATAATTTTAAGATTTATTTGCAGTTCTTTTTGTCCACAGAGTATATCTCAATAGAAATTTATAGTCAGTTTACAATGTTTCAAAGTCATTTGGAATAGTTCCTCTATGTGGTTTTGCCATCCATCTGATACACAGTTGTATTTACTTGACTAATTTTGCTCTCAATTGTTAAGTATCTGATTTTGTTATGTTTAATTTTGTTTTATAATTATGCAAAGTATTTACACTGTACCAAATTCAAATATACAAAACAAGGTATATTCATAGAAGTATTGCTTTGACCCTGTCCCTTCTTTTTTTTTTTTTTCCCTCACTCTGTCACCCAGGCTGGAGTACAGTGGCATGATCTCAGGTCACTGCAACCTCCTTCTCCTGGGTTCAAGCGATTCTTGTGCCCCAGCCTCCCGAGTAGCTGGGATTACAGGCATGCACCAGCACGCCCAGATGGGAAACTCCTTGTCTACTAAAAAAATACAAAAAAAGGGGTCTCCCCATGTTGGCCAGGCTGGTCTTGAACTCCTGACCTCACTTGTTTTACCCACTTCGGCCTCCCAAAGTGCTGGGATTATAGGCATGAGCCACTGTGCCTGGCCCTGCTCCTTCTATATAATTCCTTCTTTCATCATAGATAACCATTTAAAGAACTGTATATGTTAAGCCTTCCCTGCCTTTAAAAAATTTAAGGACTTGTCTGAAGATGACTCCATGGTAATATAGAGATAATTCTCATTTCTTTTTTGTAGCAGGCTTGTACTCCATTGTATGGCTGTATCCTGATTTATTCTTTATTGAATCCATTCTCCATTATGGATATTTGGATTGCTTCCAAGTTCTTTATTATTATTAATGGTGTTGCAATGCATGGCCTTGTGCATCTTCTTATAGTTTTGCCAATGTATCTTTTGAATAGATTACTCAACATGGTGTCGCTGAGTAAATATCTAGCAAGGTATCAGCAAATCTTCCTCTGGAAGAGAGGTGAAATTTTGCATTCCCACCAGCAGAGCAAAAGTGCTTGCTTCCCCACAGTCTGGTCAACTGTTTATGTGATCAAACTTTTGGATTTTTCCCATCCAGTGATAATTGAGAACTAGAATCTCAGAGAAGTGTAAAATTATACTTCTCTTACTATTAGCACTGTTGAGCTTTTTGTAGGTCACTTGAATTTGCTTATCAATTGTTTCTTAGTTTCGTTTTACAATAGAGTGTTATCGGTCTTTTCTTCTCAAATTCTAAAAGCTCTGTTTATGTGAAGAATAATCGCTTTGGGTGACGTAAGTGGCACATATTTTCCCCAGTTTGTCATTTGTCCCCTTTTTACATTACTTATGACACTTTTCACATATAAAGGTTTCTAACTTTATTTTATTTTTTACATCGTCAATTGTATCAGTCCTTTCTCTTTTTACTTCTGGATTTTGAGTCATGATTAGGAACATTTTTCCAAGTGTCATGTAATAAAGCAATTCACTCATGTTTCATGTAGTATTTGTATGGTTTCATTTTATTACATTCCTGATACACTTGGAATTTATCTTGTTTTATGGTGTGAGAAATGGATCCATTTCCTCCTTTTAAAGTATAGCTATCTATCTGTTAATAGTTGTCCTAATACTACTCACTTAAATGTTCATCTTTTTCCCACTAATTTGAGGTGCTGACTTTATTATATGTTAAATTTTCCTATGCAGTTGTATTCATGCAGGGCTTTCTGTTCTACTGAAAGTATCACTAAGGGTTATGACGGAAGTTTGAATTCTAGTTAAATGAATAAGCAGGTCCTGTGTTGCCCAGAGCACAGGAGAAGAGGTATAAAGTGGTATTAGCCATTTTCTCTGCAAGGTAAAAGACGTGAAACATTTTGGATGTTTAATGAATAGTTACATGAGTGACTCAATTAAAAAAGTAAATTAGTAAATGATCAAAGAAATACACTTGAGATATATATTTGGAACAGGACAAAGTTTCTATGAAATAGCAATTAGTGACAATGCAGTGGTGGACAGTATAACAGGGAGAAAATAGTAGTATTTATAATCTATCTGCTTAGAAAAAGAATAACTTTGTTGCATATTTTAAAATGTGAAACTCTGAGAACTTGTGTGTAAATATTAAAATATACTCAGATAATTTCATTATATTGAAAATTCTTATTACTGTATTGAAAATAAACCAATGATGAATCCTTTAGTGGAGAGAATCTTTTTTTTTCAATTGTGAATAATTGTAATTTAAATGAGATGTTTTCTTGGTTCAAATTTTGTGTGTAAGATTTTTTAATAGTGAGGCACATTGACATGTTTTGAAAACAGAGTGTAACAAAAACAGTGACCATTTCTCCTTTGAGAATGAAAATAATGACATAAAAAATAATTAATCTAGGTTTTCATTACACTGGGAAGACAACTCATAGACACCATTGTCCAGAAATCTGTGACAAAACGCCTAATTAGTGTTTCTTATCTAGCTTGGAAGTAACAGCCAGAACTCTGAAGGTGTCATCCTGACTTTTGAAGGATTTTACACATAATTCAACATAGCTATGTGTGAAGAGCTCTTCACACATCTCCGCCTTTCTTTTGTAGTTCAACATACAATACTACAAAAGAAGTTAATAAATAGTTCTGTAAATAAATTACTTTAGGAGGTACACAGGGAAATTAAAGAACAGGCAGGAAAGGAAGGAAAAACATTAAGCGAGAAGGAAAATTGACAAGATTGAGAAAGGAACTTCTCCATCTGGCGAAAGATTCAGGGCTCAAAATTCCCTTTTCAGCCATGGCTGGAGTGTGTGGAAGAAATGACAAAGCTAGTCCTCACTAAGCACCTGGGGAACAGAAGGGCTCTTTCTATGTTGTTAGCTTTGCAGTAGTTCTCTGGATTTTCTTGCTCTAGGATGTTATAATCAAGACATATTGAAAGTGTAGCCTCTCTTTTTTTATAATCTTGTGATTCTCAGAACCAGCAGTAAGAAATGTAGAAAGCAGTGAGATGAAAAATAGCTTGGGAAGAGCAGCCTACTTTATTTTCTCTTAAAGCTTGAAAATATTTTTGTTTTATTGAGGGGCTAAAGTTTGGATTGGCCCAATTAATATTCATGTGGTTTTACCACCCTTACTAAGTATACTTAACCTCTCCTTTGGACATTTTCCGTCTCTTTATTTTTTATTATTATTATTTTTTTTAACTTGAACTAGCCCTTAGTTTCACAACATTGGCTGCCCACCCTAGGGGCATGAAAGTTACCTGAATTAAGTTTAACTCTAAAACATACAGTAAACCTTTTAAATTTGGTCACACTTGCCTCTGAACCACTGTTAATATAACTAAATGTATGCCAAAGTTATTCTGAAAAGCATTTTTTTCCCTATTCTTTTAATCCTCTTATGTCAAATGGATAAGTGAATTTGTAGAGTATCATCATTCAGATTTGTCCTTGTTCTTCCTGCAGTTTGAACTATAATCTCAACCCCAGAAAAGGAAAAACTTCTTCCAACATGTTTGCAAATAATTTCTCTTGTCTATGAAAAATTTTTTGGCAATAATGAGGGAATTATATGGCTTATGGACCCAGTAAAGTTTTGTGCTGAATGTCAGCTGAGATGCGTGGCAGAGGGGCCAAGTGAAGGCCAAGAAAGCAGGTAGGGAAATAGAAAATATTTTTGGTACTCTTGTACAACTTAAATTTGCTACAATAGCTTTGTAAGACCCCATTGCGGGAAGATTCTCTGGTGGGACTTTTTCTGCATCTGGGAATTCTACCATGAATTTCAGGTCTCAACTAAGAAAAAATCTTCACTCAACTTGGTACTCTGGACTTTTCAGGTGTTGTGTCTTTTTGAGGGCAAGAGAATAGGATATTTTCATTTACCAGCTCCCAGAAAAGCAAACATTATTATTTGAAGGGGTACGTGTTACAGGAGCATCTCACCATGTGTTTCCCCTTCTGATATATATATATACATATTTTTTTTTTTTTTTTTTACCTGAGACAGAGTTGCCCAGACTGGAGTGCAGTGGCGCGATCTAGGCTCACTGCAAGCTCCGCCTCCTGGGTTCATGCCATTCTCCCACCTCAGCCTCCCGAGTAGCTGGGACTACAGGCGTCTGCCACCACGCCCGGCTAATTTTTTGAATTTTTAGTAGAGACGGGGTTTCACCGTGTTAGCCAGGATAGTCTCGATCTCCTGACCTCGTGATCCGCCCACCTCAGCCTCCCAAAGTGCTAGGATTACAGGCGTGAGCCACCGCGCCCAGCCCCTTCTGATATATTTTAATTCATTTAAAGGTAAGCTTAGAAAACAAATATTAGGGACAGTTTTAAGGGGTGATGATTTTGAAAGTGAAAAACCCTGGGGCTAGGACTAGGTGTGGTGATGATTTTTAAAAATTCTTTTATTCATTTATTATGCAGACAACTATTCAACACCTGTTCTATGCCAGGCACTGTGTTAGCTATTGGGAATAAAACAATGGCCAATATAGTTATAGTTCCTGCCTTTTACAAGGCTTAGTATCTAACAAGGAAGTCAGATAATTAAACAAATAACAACGTAAGCGTACATACATTTTGTGATAGATAATTATGTAGTTTATCATTCAAACTGGGACCTGAAGATGAAGGGGGAACTCTCAATAATTATGCTGGGCCAAGAGGTTTACACCGAGATCACCCTGGGCAAAAGGAGATGTTTCTGACCTTAGGGTTAAGAGATCCAGAGATGGTTACAGGACTGTGTATAAGGATCGCTTAATCCAGTCTGTATGTGATGATGGTGGGAGAAAGATTTTTAGGAGGAAATTACGTTGTTACTCATAGGACTGCCTCTTCAGGTGGGTTCTCTCCTGCGGCTCTCTAATGACTGCCTGTACGTCTGGAAGCCAAATGCTTCATATTTGTAAGACCAGCTGGGAGAAAGGAGTCTGCTACCCCAACAGCTCAACCCGAGTCTTAGATTTGAGTCTCATTGGCCTGATGGACTCATGTGCCCATCTCTGAACCAATCACTGTGGACTGGGGAATGGAATCTGGAGACTGGCCTATCCCTGTGACAGGTGAATTCAGGGTAGTGTTAGGGAGGGGAATGGGTTAATAATAAAGCAGTTGGCAGATACTACTTAGCCCAGGACCTGGTGGCTAGTCTGGTTCTCTCCTTTCTAATCGGAGGCCTCTACCGCAAACATGCTCTGCCGGATCATCAGTCAGGCCACTACGCATCCAAGCTTGATCCCCCTCTTCGTATTTATTGGAACTGGAGATACTGGAGTGGCACTGTATCTTTTGCACCTGGCATTGATCAATCCAGTTGTTAGTTGGGACAGAAAGAATAACCCAGAACCCTGGAACAAACTGGGTCCCAATGATCAATACAAGTTCTACTCAGTGAATGGATTACAGCGAACTGAAGAAAGAAGGTCCAGATTTCCAAATGAAATGTTTCGCTATAAAGCTGCTTTAGAATGAAGGTTTTCCAGCAGCCATCCGCACAATTTTCCACTTAATATATTTGTCCTCTAAATGCATGAAATAATGTTGATGCAATCTACTGTAGATTATACTGATTAATAAATAACTGAAACTTGAAAAAAATAATAACGCAGTTCTTTTTTTTCTTTTTTACTTTTTTGAAACGGAATCTTGCTCTGTCGCCCAGGCTGGAGTGCAGTAGTGCCATCTTGGCTCACTGCAACCTCCACCTCCCGGGTTCAAGCGATTCTCCTGCCTCAACCTCATAACTAGCTGGGACTACAGGGACATGCCACCATGCCTGGCTGATTTTTTTGTATTTTTAGTAGAGACGGGGTTTCACCGTGTTAGCCAGTATAGTCTCGATCTCCTGACCTTGTGATCCGCCCGCCTTGGCCTCCCGAAGTGCTGGGATAAAGCAGTTCTTATATAGCACTTATGTGCTGGGCATTGTTCTACGAGTTTAATGTGTTGCATTTTTAATTCCCCTAAAAACGCTTTGAGCTAGAAATTATTAATGTCCTCATTTTACAGCTAACGGGACTGAGGCACAGGGAGGTTAAGGAACTTTCCTGATGTCCCACATCTAGTAAGTGATTAAGCCAGAATTCCAACACAGGCAACTAGCTCTTAGCCATTACACTCTACCACCCGGACATCCTGTACAGCAGGAACTCGGTCTGACTGAATTGAAGAGTGTGAAGGCGAATGGTGAGAAACACTGCTCTCCAGTAATGGTTGGTTTTCCTTCCTACATCAGAAAAAAAAATTATATCATGTTTAAAAACACTAATAGCTGCTTTGTTGATAAATAATTTACATACCATACAATCCACCTGTTTAAAGTTTACGATTTAGTGGTTTTTAATTACAGAACCCATGACTAATCTTTTTTGTTGTTGTTGTTACAGAGTTGGGAAATCATCACCCCAATCAATTTTAGGACATTTTCATCCTCCTTAAAAGAAACCATTAACAGTCACTCTCATTTTCCCCACCCCTTCCAGCCCTAGGCAACCATGAATCTAATTTCTTTCTCTGAAGATTTGCCTATTCTAAATATTTCATATAAGTGAAGTCATACAATATATGGTCTTTTGTGATTGGCTTCTTTTTCAAGTCTTACTCATGTTGTAGCATGTATCGGTATTTCATTCCTTTTTATGGCCTAATAATATGGCATTGTATGGATATATCACATTTTATTTATCCACTCATCAATTGTTGGATATTTAGGTTGTTTCTAGTGTGTGGCTATTATGAATACTACTACTATAAACATTCATTTATAAATTGCTTATATTTTCATTTATCTTAGGATATACCTAGGAATAGAATTGCTGAGTCATATGGTAACTCAGAGGAACTATCAAATCATTTTCCATAGTGGCTGCATCATTTTAAATTGCCACCAGCTATGTATGAGAGTCCCAATTTCTCCACATCCTTTTTGAATACTTGTTATCTGTTTTTTTAAAAAAAATGTATATTATTAGCAACCTAGTAGGTGTGGTATTGTATTTTATCATGGTTTTGATTTGCATTTTCCTGATGACTAATGATGTTGAGCATAATTTAATGTGCTTATTGTTCATTTGTGTATCTAGTTTGGAGAACTGTCTGTTCCGATATTTTGCTCATTTTTAATTGGGTTGTCTTTTCATTACTGAGTTGAAATAGTTCTCTAACTATTCTAGATATACATGCCTCATCAGATATGCAATTTGCAAATATTTTCTCCCATTCTGTGGGCTGTTTTTAAACTTTCTACATGATATCCTTTTCAGTACAAAAGTTTTTAATTTTGACAATTTTCAATTTTTCATTTTTTTTTCTTTTTTTAATTGTGCTTTTGGTTTCATATCTAAGCAATCATTGCTAAATTCAAAGTCACAAAGATTTGTAGTTATGTTTCCTTCAAAAGTTTTACAGTTAGCTCTTACGTTTAGCTTTTAGATTCATTTTAAGCTAATTTTTGTATATGGTGTGAGTTAGTGGTCCAACTTCCTTTTGCACATGGATATCCAGTTGTCCCAACACCATTTATTAAAAAAATTACTCTTTCTCCATTGAAATATCTTGGCACTCTTGCTGAAAATCAGTTGATCTAATACCCAATGGTTTATTTTTGGACTTTCAATTCTGTTTTATTAATCTACATATCTTTCCTATGCCAGTACCGTATTTTCTTGATTACTGTAGCTTTGTAGTAAATTTTGAAATCAGGAAGTGTGAGCCCTCCTACTTTGTCTTTTTCAACATTGTTTTAGATATTCTGGATTAATTAAATTTTCATTGGAATTTTGGGATCAGCTTGTCAATTTCTGTGAAGAAGCTAGCTGTGACATTGATAGGGATTGTGATAAATCTATACATCAATTTGAGAAGTATTGTCATCTTAACAATATTGTATCTTCCAGTCCATGAACATGGGATATCTTTCTGTTTACTTGGATATTCTTTAATTTATTTAAATAATGTTTTTTAGCTTTCAGAGTATAAGGTTTGCATTTCTTTTCTTAATTGTACTCGTAAGTATTTTTCAATGCTATTACAAATGGAATTGTTTTCCTAATTTTATTTTTGGAATGTTTATTATAAGCATATAGAAATTCAATTGACTTTTGTATAATGATCTTGTATTTTGCAACTTGCCAAACTCATTCATATGTTCTAATACTGTTTTTAATGGATTCCTTAGGATTTTCAATATATGTGATCTTGTCATCTGCAAATAGAGATAGCTATACTTTTTCCTTTCCAATATGGTGCCTTTTATTTTATTATATTGCATAACTGCTCTGACTAGAGCTGCTAGTGCTAGTTTTCTTTTCTGTGATGTCTTCGTTTGGTTTTGTTATCAGAATAATACTGGCCTCATTGAATCAGTTGGGAAGGTTTCCCCTTGCTTCTTTGTTTTGGAAGAGTTTATAAGGAATACTATTAATTATCACTTTTTTTTTTACTTATTTTTTTGAGACAGAGTTTTGCTCTGTCACCCAGGGTGGAGTGTGGTGGTGCGATCCTGGCTCATTGCAACCTCTGCCTCCTGGGTTCAAGTGATTCTCCTGTCTCAGCTTCCTGAGCTGCTGGGATTACAGCATTGAATCCCAGGCTGGTCTTGAACTCCTGACCTCAAGTGATCTGCCCACCTTGGCCTCCCAAAATGCTGGGATTACAGGCATGAGCCACCACACCTGGCCTAATTCTAACTTAAATCCTTGGTAGAGTTCACGAGTAAAGCCATCTGGGCCTAGTAATTCAATTTCTTTACTTGTTATAGGTCTATTCAAATTTATATTTCTTCTTGGGTCAGTTTTGGTAGTTTGTGTCTTTGTGGAAATTCTTATATTTCATCTAAAGTATTCAATTTGTTGACAGGCAGTTGTTCATAATATTCCCCTATAATTTTATTTATTTCAGTAGAACTGTCCCTGCTTCATTTTTAATTTTAGTAATTTGAGTTTTCTCTTTTTTGCTTGGTCAGTCTAACTAAATATTTGCCAGTTTTCTTATTCTTTTCAAAGATCCAGTTTTTGATTCTGTTGATTTTATTCATTATTTTTCCTAGCCTCTATTCAGTAGTTTATTCCCTAATCCTTATTGTTTTCTTCCTTTGCTTGCTTTTTGTTTAGTTGCTCTTCTTTTTCTAGTGCCTTAAGGAGTCATGTTAATGACTTGAGATATTTCTTATTTTTTAACATAAGCGTTTTCAGTTCTCAAATTTCCTCTAAGCACTGCTTTAGCTACATCCCATAAGCTTTGGGATGTTGTGTCTTTATTTTTACTTATCTGAGAATATTTTCTAATTTCACTTCTGATTTCTTCTTTGACTCATTGGTTATTTAGTATTGTGTTGTTTAATTTTCACGTATTTGTAAATTTTTCAAATTTTTTTGTTATCAATTTCTAATTTTACTACATTTTGGTTGGCAAACATACTTTGCATGATTTCAATTCTTTTAAATTTATTCAGGCTGTTTTATGACTTAGCATACAGTCTGTTAATGAAAATACCAAACTCTGTAAATATTTTAAAGAAATTTATTCTGAGCTAATATGAATGACTGCAGCCTGGGGAAACACAGTCTTAAAAAGTCCTGAGAAAACGCACCCAAGGTAGTCAGATTACAGTTGGTTTCATACATTTCAGGGAGGTAGGATGTGTTAGTCTGTTTTCACACTGCTATAAAGAAATACCTGAGACTGGGTAATTTATAAAGAAAAGAAGTTTAATTGACTCAGTTCCACATGGCCGAGGAGGCCTCAGGAAACTTACAATCATGGCAAAAAGGAAGCAGGCACACCTTACATGGCTGCAGGTGCGAGAGAGCAAGAGTGAGCAAAGGGGGAAGAGCCCCTTATAAAACCATGAGATCTCATGAGAACTCACTATCATGAACAGGATGGAGGAAACCACCCCCATGATCCAATCACCTCCCACCAGGTCTCTCCCTCAACACATGGGGTTTATGGGGATTACAATTTGAGATGAGATTTGGGTGGGACACAAAGTCAAACCATGTCATAGGAGTTATAAGTAAAGACATAAATCAATACATGAAAGGTATATATAGAGTCAGGCTAAAAAGGTGGGATATCTGAAAGCAGGGGACTTATTACAAGTTATAGGTGGATTCAGAGATTCTTTAATTTCCAGTGGGTTAAAGAGTAAGGCTCTGTCTCTAACTTGGTGTGACTTAACCCTTGTCTTTCATAGCCTTCGGTCTTCTTTATAATTTGGTATTTTATTGCCACAGAGAGTCTGTTTTGTCAATCTTATGATCTTTCTTTTAACACTAATGCTGGTCAGTTGTTGTGCCTAAACTCCAAAAGGGAGGGGGTACTATGAGATGTGTCTGCCCTCCCTTCTTGTCATGTCTGGGAACTCAGTGTTTAAGGTTTCTCTGTGGTCCCCTTGGCCAAGAGGGAGTCTGTTCAGTTGGTAGAGGAATTAGAATTTTATTTTTAGTTTACAAGTCTATCCTAGAGAATGTCCCCTGTGCACTTGACAATAAGTGTATTTTGTGGTTTTGGGATGAACTTTTTTATAAGTGTCTGTCAGATCTAGTTGGTTTAGAGTGCATTCAGGTCCTCTATTTTCTTATTTATTATCTATCTAGTACAGTAGTCCTCCTATCCATGGTTTTCCTTTCCAGGATCTTAATACATGAGGTCAAACATGGTCTGAAAATATCACATGGAAAATTCCAGAAATAAACAATTCATAAGTTTTAAATTGTGTACTGTTCTGAGTAGATGGTGAAACCTTGTGCTCACTATGTCCTGCCTGGGATGTGAATCATTCCCTTGCCTATATGCTACCTGACTGTTAGTCACTTAGCAGCTGTCTTGGCCATCAGATCAACTGTTTTTGTGCTGCGGTGCCTGTGTTCAAGTGACCCTTATTTTATTTCACTTAATGATAGTTTCACAGTGCAAGAGTAGTGATGCTGGCAGTTTGGATATGCCAAAGAGAAGCCATAAAGTGCTTTTATTTAAGTGAAAAGGTGAAAGTTCCCAACTTAATAAAGAAAAATAAATCATACATTGGCCAGGCACAGTGACTCAAGCCTGTAATCCTAGCACTTTGGGAGGCCGAAGCAGGTGGATCACAAATTCAGGAGTTTGAGACCAGCCTGGCCAAAATAGTGAAACCCCGTCTCTACTAAAAATACAAAAAATTAGCCAGACATGGTGGTGGGCACCTGTAATCCCAGCTACTCAGGAGACTGAGGCAGGAGAATCACTTGAACCCAGGAGGCAGAGGTTGCAGTGAGCCGAGATCACGCCACTGCACTCCAGCCTGGGCGACAGTGCGAGACTCCGTCTCAAAAATAATAATAATAATGATAATAATATACTGAGTTTGCTAACATCTGTGTTAAGCATGCATCTTCTATCCACAAAATTGTGAAGAAGGAAAAAGAAATATGTGCTAGTTTTGCTGCTGCTCCTCAAACTGCAAAACTGCATAATATGTGCTCAGTTAAGATGGGAAAGGCATTAAATTGTGGGTAGAAGACATGACAAGAAAACGTGTTCTGATTGCTATAATTGTTCTATTTTATTATTAATCATTGTTAATCTCTTACCAGGCCTAATTTATAAATTAAACTTCATCATAGTTATGTATATAGGAAAAAAACATAGTGTATTTAGCGTTTAATATTGTATTCATGGTTTCAGTCATCTACTGGGGGTCTTAGAACGTATCCCCCATGGCTAAGGGGAGACTAGTATATCGAAGTCTTCAACTCTCATTGTAGACCTGTCTATTTTTCCTTTCAATTCTGTCAATTGCTTTTTGTATTTTGCGGTTCTTTTTTTTAGAGATATATATGTCTATAATTGTAATATCTTCCAGATGAATTGATATTTTAATCATCATAAGATGTTCTTCATTATGTATCATAACTTTTTTGGTTTAAAGTCTTTTTTGTCTGTATTAGTATGGACATTCCAGCTTTCTTATGGTTGCTGTTTGCATGACATATATATATTTATATCTTTTTACTTTTAACATATTTGAAAATTTTAATCTAAAGTATGTCTCCTGTAGACAACATATAGTTGGATCTTTTTTAAAAATCCAGTTTGACAATCTCTGCCTATTTGATTTGATCATTTAATCAGTTCATATTGAATCTAATGTTATTATGGCTGTAATTGGATTTATGTCTGCCATTTTACTTTTGACTTTCTCTTTCCCTAAGCTCTCCATTAAGCTGTCTGCCTTATTTGGTATCACACTAAGCTGTTAGACTTCACCAATTTCTAGCAGATTGCTCTATTGTTTTGACAGTTCCTGGGGCATAATTCGTTCCACAGCCTGACCCGATTAAATTCAAGCAGGAATAATTTTTGAGGCCAGTCTTTGAGGTTTGTTCTGTTGCCAAGAGTACTCTTCTTAGCTGTTTCTTTCCCTGATTTTCTCTCTTAAATTAGCTAGCCTATGATTTAGCTTGTTACTCTTACAGAGCTACCAGCCTCCTTTTAATTATTTACCATCAAAATGTCCATTGTTTTTGAGAGTGTCCTTAGGCTTGAACTTCCCCACACTCTATTTATAATAAAGTATTTTTTTTTTCACTCTGTCACCCAGGCTGGAGGGCAGTGGCGCGATCTCCGCTCACCGCAAGCTCCGCCTCCCGGGTTCAAGCGATTCTCCTGCCTCAGCCTCCTGAGTAGCTGGGACTACAGGTGTGTGCTACCACGCCCAGCTAAATTTTTGTATTTTTGGTAGAGACGGGGTTTCACCATGTTAGCCAGGATGGTCTCAATCTCCTGACCTCGTGATCCACCTGCCTCGGCCTCCCAAAGTGCTGGGATTGCAGGTATGAGCCACTGTACCTACCCTAAAGTAATTTCTTTTTGGGAGAGCTTCAGAGCCCTCTTTTTTATGATTTGCTTCTTCCTCTGAATAAAAACCAAGCTTTGGGTGCTTGGCATGGGGTAGTAGCCTCTGGTCTTCTTATTTTGCTTCTTCTGTGTGGAGCCTCAGTCCTGTGAGTGAGCTGGAGGGTGATAATTGGGGCCCTAGTGTTCCTGGCCTGCCACATCTGCTGTAGAGCCACCGCTCTATGTGTGGGGTTGTGGGTGGTAGAAAGGAGCTCCCAACAGCTGGGCCATACTTACCAGGAATTTAGCCTTTCCAACCTGGAATTGGAGAGGATGAGAAACACTGGTGTCCTGCCCTTTCCTGCGAGATTGCATATCCCTTAACAAGCGAGTAGAGGGAAAGGGAGCCTCACCTTTTGACCAGTCCCACTCAGAGTGAAACCTTCCTCAAATTGAGCTGGAGTGGGGAGGAAGCTAGTGTGTCATGGCTCAAGTGCCACAACCTCACTATTCTTACCAAGATTTAGTAGATTTTCTTGAATAGATTTATTTTCTGTATACCCTTAGAACAATTTCTGGGAACTTTAATTTTTTAAAAATGATTTTTATCAGTTACGATCATTTCACTGGAAAATGAGTCCTCAGGGGTCCTCATGTTGCTGGGAATGGAATCTATAGCTACTTCTTTGCAATCTAAAAATGCTCTTAAATGTGAAAAACAACATTTTAGATTTTAGCTGTGTTTTGGAAAGTTGACGTAGATATAAAATCCTGACAATGAATGAAGAGGTTGTGGTTAAGGTCCCAGTAGGGAAGACATGGCCCACTCAAAAGGTCAACTATAGAGGATAGTTTAAAAAATGTGTGAGTAACGTTAAAGCAAACCACCAAAGGATGGTGACAGGGAACAGCACAGCAGGAACTGGCATCACTCCCTGCATGGTCTGAAGGAAGGCAGAGAGTGGTTACCAGAAATTAGTACAACCTGTAGTTCTCTGGCAAGAGAGATTCCACCCGATAGGAGAAGTGGCCTAGTGCCAGGATTACAGTCACTGTATAATAGAGCCTGGGAGAGAGGGAGAGGGAGTGGGAGGAGGCTAGAGTGGGAAGAAATTTGCTTTCAGAGGTGTTCACTCCTCTCACTCTGTGATCTCCTGCCAATGACTCTCATTGGCTAAACTTAATAAAAGCCAGAGGACAAGTGAGCTGGAGTGATATGGTCCACAGAGCGCAGCCTCCCAGGGAACAGAAAGGGGCAAAGTGGAGAGTAGATCTACAGTACAAATACAAAACACCCAGCCCAATGGGCTTCCCTGCATGGCATTGACAGCGCTATAAACTTCAATGCTCTGCTCAATAGATACTTGCAGAGAACAGTGGGAAGAAGAGACTGATGGAATGGCATTGATCTGCTTATTGTCTCACATCTCCCAACATGCATCTTCATCAGAGTCCATAGTTCTCAGGTTCTTTAGGAATCGCATCTTCAGTGCATTAAGAAACTCAAAAGCAACTTTCAATGCTGTTTTAAGCCAAGGAAGTGGATGCAAAGATGTTAGCAAGGTTGATAGTGCTCTAGGAAACTGGTAGGGAAGAAGCTTTCTCTTTAAGTTATACGATGAATAGAGGGAATCTGCCTTTGTTTTGTGGATCATATCAGCTGTCAAATATGTGGTCTAACAATTGCATGCATTTAGAAGGCAGAGAAAAAATAAAATTTGCAAATGATCTCATTACACTTAGTGACAGAGGAATAATATTCTGCAATAAATCACCCAATACCTCACCATTGGTGATACTCAAATGCTTGAATAACAGCTCATAAAATAAGCTGGAATAACTAACTCATGCTGATGTATAAGCTGGTGAATAGGTAGGTCACTGCCTTCAGGTTCTCTCTTCCGTAAGTTTGGAGAGCAACCCCTTGGCTGGAGGAAATGATCAGGAATGACAGCATCATCAGGTTGGTGTGATTTTGTGCAGGCATTTGCTAGAGTTCTGCCAGAAATTTCCCTGATGCTCAGTGCTCCCACTTCCCCTCCTTACTATTTGTAGCTTATTTTTTCCTTAACTATTTTTGCTGTTTACTCTCCCTCGGGCTTCTACTCTGTGCCTCTAAAGACTCAACAAGGATGCTGTTAGCTGCTTTCTCCTCCCAATGACCCATAAAATCTTATCCTGGTGTCTGGTGATACTTCCCTGGCAATTATTCATTCACCAACACCACCTTCCACCTTGTGCAGGAAGGCCCCTTCTTGGCAAACGAAACTCCCACTTAGCACTTTACGGCTCAAAGTAGAGCTGCTGCCCCTCACCCTGTGCCTCCAGCCCCATCCAGTGGAATGTTTTCATGCTCACAGCAGTTTTAAGTAAGGCACAGCTTTTCTTGTCCCAGAAGGGTAGAAACGGGGATGGGTTAGAGGGATGTATTAAGCACAATTGCAATAAGGGCTTTGGAGCCTTCAGGTCCCAGGCAGGAGATCATATTTTAATACCCATGGCTAAAACTGAGCTATAAAACTTGGAGAAGATTGTAAATGCTTTGTTTTACAACACACATAACAAATAACAGCCTGACCCTTGTTAAAAAAAAAAATTCTGACAGTTGTTAAAACAGTAAGGAAGATTTTATTCAGGACTATTGCAATAGGTATCAAGACTATTGCAGTAGGGGAGAGACATTGGGTTCAACTCTGAATATAGCAAAGCCGTGGGGCATTTATATCCAATGAACAGAGTGAGGGGGTCCGTGAATGGAAAATTACTAAGAGGAGACAACGAAGATAGGGAAATTCTTCTAAAGAGACTAACAGAATTCTTGCTGAAGGCAGGCCAGGGTGATTAGATATCAAGGATAGGGGATTTTTGCTAGACTGACTTAGCAGAATTCTTGCTAAAACTGGACTAGGCAGGCCAAAGACAAGGCCCAAAGATGAGGCCTATTTGAGAAGAGGGCACAAAGAACCTGGTCTAAAGTTTGTTTACAGAGACAGTCTTTGTTGTTATCCTCTATGGTGTTAACTTGCTAAGCTTAACTTAGGTTTTCCAGCCCTGTCCCTATGTCAATGACTAAGCTTACCCCAAACACAAGTACACACAGTCTTCATTAATAGAAAGTAACCACTAAAAGAGAACAAAACAAATAAACCCACCTCCTACTGATTAAGCAAGCTAACTTGTAGAAACTTCTAGTTTTAACCAGCTCCCTCTCCCTCCTTTTCCTCCTTGCTTTGCTGAAAGTAAGTGCATTATTGCATTGTAAGCTGTGGGATTCTGCTGTGTATACTGTGTGATGTCAAAATATTTGTTCTAGGGTTCAAAGTGATACAAGTAAAATCTTTGGAGATGTGTGCTAGGTGACACAGAAAGCAAACCAGAGATTTCCTTGCAAATACAAACTCAGTGGCCTAGTGTGACTAAGACTTCCCATGCCTGGTTTGGAGTTAAGCCAAACCATGCTTAACACAAAAAGGAGGAACTCCTAAACTCATGTACTGCTCAGTCATTCCCCAAGTAACAGTCTTCACTAATCAGAGGGGTCTTGGTTTCAGCAGGAAGAGATAAGCATGTACGTGTATGGGTGTAAGCTGCTTTTCCCTGAGTTGCCGTTCTGAAGCCATAATGCACATAAAGAAAATAATTTAAATGGCAAAAAGTTTTAAATGGCAAAACTTGTATAGACAAAATAATCTACATTTGAGTATTTGACTTTTTAGCTAAGTAGATGCATTTATAGAAAATGAAAGAAAGGAAAAAGGAAATTATTGGGGCCTAGGGCATGATACCCCAAAATATAGCACCTTGACAATTGAGAAAGCCACAGAAGCAAGAAGGTCACTCTGAGCTTCTCCCATTTTTCTCCCCTAAAACATGGCCATAAATAAATTCTCGGCCAGGCGCGGTGTTTCATGCCTGTAATCCCAGCACTTTGGGAGGCTGAGGCAGGTGGATCATGAGGTCACGAGTTTGAGACCAGACTGGCCAATATGGTGAAACCCTGTCTCTACTAAAAACACACAGATTAGCTGGGCGTGGTGGCACGAGCCTGTAGTCCCAGCTACTTGGGAGGCTGAGGCAGGAGAATTGCTTGAACCCAGGAGGTGGAGGTTTCAGTGAGTCGAGATAGCACCACTGCACTCCACCCTGGGCGACAGAGCAAGACTCCATCTCAAAAAAAAAAAAAAAAAAAAAAAAAAGAAAAGAAAAGAAAACAAAAGAAAAGGAGTTCTCTGAACTCTCTTGCTAAGTTCCCCTCAGTTTATTACCACTGGGTCATACTCCCTTTTTGTCCAGTTGTAGTTCTACATGACTGCCCGTTCTTCATAGAACCTAAGCCAAAAAAAAAAAAAAAAAAAAAAAGACAAGAAAAAGAAAAAAAAAATCACAATTTTCCCCTGGTTTGAGGGTATTCATTTCTGAAGGCTCCCATGTCATGTAAAACTCTAGTTAAACAATTTTGTTATGATTTTCTCTTGTTAATCTGTCTTTTGTTATGGGGTGTCAGCCACGAACCTTGTCATCAGTGAGAAAAAGATAATACCTTTTCTCCCCTTCAGAATACGTTTCAACAAACCCAGCTTAATATTTTAGCAAAAATAATATGAATTTTATTTGGAGTATGTTGGGATGATGAAAATATTTATCCTAAATTATTTTAAAAAACTAACTTCTAAGAGAGTCTACTGAGGGATTCTGGAGAAATATTCTAGACCTTCATAGATTCAGAAATTATCTGACTTGGAAGGAGCTACATATATAATCTAATCTACCTCCCTCATTTTCAAATGAACAATTAGAAAGTCAAGGGAAATATTCTAAATGAGTTTTCAATAAGAAGTACCAGTCATACAGGCATTTTTTAATGCTCTGAAAATTCTGATGCCAATATTAATATTCAATATAACATTGTATACTGCAGTGATTTTTACTAGCAAAACTGAAAAGAGCTTAGTCTAGGAAAAATGCTTATTTTGGCACAAAAAGACCAGAAAAGTAGTACAGCAAAGGATGGATTCTAGGAGACTTAAGATTAAGGTCCCCACAAGGAATTTCATCAAGAACCACCTTACTCTAAATCTTTGAATTAATGATAAAAATAGCTCTTCTAAGCATCAGAAAAGGAGTACTAAACCACCCCCTTTTGCCTTAGATTGATCTCAGGGCACGTTTCTCTTTGGCGATAAATCAAATATGGAATATGGTAAAAATTACAGGGGTTGGTGATGCCTGTGGAAATGTTACATTTTGGTCATAATTTTTTATTCTAAATAATGGTTTATGATATTCCATTGAGACTTCTGTGCCCTATGAGTGAGGATAAGCCCCACACTGGAGTTTGTATACAACAATGAGATTTAGGATAGCTCTTTGTAAACAGGCTGGGAAAGAGGCTTATCTATGAATTGCTTTAGATTGAAAGAAAAAAGAAAAGTGCTGGGGTCTCACCCCTAATTCTTCAGCTTTGTTCTTCAGTGGATGTGAACTTAACCCAAGGCAGTGAAGCAGCAGATGTGATAGAGCACCTAAGAAAACAGGAAGCCCTGAGAGGCTGGGAGCTGATGAGCACATATTTGTCTTTCAGGAGAGTTTGGGGTAAATAAAAAGCCCTGGGCTTCAGGGGCATCTCCACCTCCTCTTCTGGTTGCCTTAGAGTGGCTGGGGAGAACATGAGCCAGTACAGTGCTGAGAGATTTTGCCGCTATGTCTTGGACTTTTGTGCTCAGAAAAGACTCTGGAGTCAGCTAGGATTCAGGTCAGGACTCAGCCCCTCCGGAGTTACCTCACTCTTCTCGGAGAACCTCTTGCTGGATCTGCAAGGCAGTTCATCTGACAGTGAGCCCAGAAAGCAAAATTCCATTCACGATGGGTTCAGTGACACACACCCGTGAGATGAAAAGAAGTGATGGGCTGAATAGGAAAGTCTGCATAGGTCCACTTCTTTCTGGCTGTGAGAATGGGGGTAAATTGCTCGACCTCATTCAACATCAGCTCTTCATTTGTCACAAAAATACTATTTTGCCTTACAGGATTGTTATGAAGACCAACTGAGCTTGTGCATGTAAATTGCTCAGCACAGTAGTGCCAAGGGTGTTGACAGGCCAGTGTCGTTCCCCTAGGCACAGCCTCTGTGTTCTCAACTTTAGAATGGCCAGATCACCTGCCCTCATCTATAGGGATGACTTGTAGCCACTTACTTATTCACCACACTGTGGAGCATGTCTTCTCCCATTCAAAGCCCTCTGCTAGTGTGTCAAATTTTGAATTGCTTAGAAGAAAATCAGTAGAAAACAAGTCCCTTTTGGCTTCCGTTGCTGTGCGAGCTGGTATTAAGTAGAAATCTCTCTTTGAAAAGTTAAATGACTCCTTCTCTGACACTAAAGACACATGATCGTGCTAATGTTTCAAATCTGTGCCAAGATGGCTATTTGGAAGACAACTAAATGTTTCACTGTGGTTTTGTATCTCATAATCAGAAAAACAACAAACCAAAAAACAAAACAACAAAACCAGGCTCAGCCATCTTCAGGAGGCAGCTCTGCTCCCAGCTCCCATGCTCTGCAAGAGAATTTTGTAAATCCATCTGCTGCAGGAAGTTAGGCAAAGCCATAGCTGTAGAAATTCAAAACAGCAGGTTTTAACTAAAGAATATTCTTCCTGGAAATGTACATATTTAAGCTGCTTCAGCAGAGCTGTCTCTAGCCCTAGGGCCCAGGAAAGCTCTGCGGAGAAGGGGGGAATGCACATTGCTTTCTCCTCATGGTGAGAGGGGGATCCTCACAGATATGAGGCTCAACTTGGACTTCCAAACACCAGGCAAAGGGCAGAGTCATTCTATAGCAGGGGAGAGCAAGCGTGTTTGAGTCACCCAACTCTTCTCTTGCTTTTTCAGGAGAGGTTGCCTATGTAGTGAAAAGAGCATATCCTTTGGAGCTGGACAGACATGAGCTCAAATCCTGGCCCTGCTGGTTTCTTTCTTTCTTTTTTATTTTGAGATAGAGTCTCCCTCTGTCACCCAGGCTGGAGTGCAGTAGTGCGATCTCGGCTCACTGCAACTTCCACCTCCCAGGTTCAAGCAATTCTCTTGCTTCAGCCTCCTGAGTAGCTGGGATTACAGGTGCATGCCACCATGCCCAGGTACTCTTTGTATTTTTTTTAGTAGAGACCGGGTTTCACCATGTTGACCAGGTTGGTCTCGGTCTCCTGACTTCAAGTGATTCACTTGCCTCGGCCTCCCAAAGTGCTGGGATTATAGGAGTGAGCCATGGCCCTGCTGCTTTCTAAGTGATCTGGGGGAGTTTCTTTCATCTGTAAAGGATGGTGACACCTACCTTATGAGATTTCTGTGAGGATTAGATGAGACAACGTATGCACGGCATCGTCTGCAAAATAGATAAGTTCTCACTACGTAAGTTCTGGGAAGTAGGTTGGGAAGCACACAAAAGTCCATGTGTTGCGTGGTGTAAAGAAGCCAAACAGTATTTGTGTAGTTCACATATCATTTATCTTAGTGTGGGGCAGAGCTCCTGGGCTTGATGCAGTCAGGACTCCTCGGTTACCTTTAGATCAAATGCACCTTCCTGTTTTGCGTAGACTTTGAAACTGTATTTTTGGTATAGAGTTCAGTCTGGGGACTACAGAGAGTTAAGGGCAACCATGAGGACTCTCTTAACCACTGAGGTCTTATGTTTTCACAATTTCTTGAGTTTTGAGAACTTTCCTGAGTCTTAGATTAAGCCTCTAATGCTCTTTTGCTGCAAAGCAAAATATGGCCTAGGAATTCCAGAAGGTGCCTTAAGGAGGGCCAAAGAGCGATTCGGCTGAATATCAATCCCTGATAGCTTTTGAACTCAGGGTCCCTGACCCTTGGCAAAGTGTTTCTGAAGAACCCTTTGGATTCTTTGGAAGATTAAGAATAAGGAGCTTCCATTTCTTATCCCAGGAAACCACCTCTGACCTTATCGGAAACCTGAGCTGAGAAGCCAACGTTAAGTTGGATCAGTGGCGAGGGCTGTTAAGTGGGGCCCTGTGTAACTCGATGGACTTTATTATTATTATTATTATTTTGAGACGAGGTCTCACTCTATCACCCAGTGACACAATCTTGGCTCACTGAAACCCCCAACTGCCGGGTTCAAGTGATTCTCCTGCCTCAGCCTCCCGGTAGCTGGGACTATAGGTGCACGCTACCACACTCGGCTAATTTTGTATTTTTTGGTAGAGATGGGGTTTCACCATGTTTGCCAGGCTGGTCTCAAACTCCTGACCTGAGGTGATATGCCCGCCTTGGCCTCCCAAAGTGCTTTGGTTACAGGCATGAGCCACCACGCCTGGTTTTTATTCTTTAGCAGGCTTCTGGGAACTGCTAGTTTCCGTTTCTGTAAAAGCAAAGCTTGGGAAGACCATATTCTTGCCCTCATAAGAGTCTATTCTCTACCTTACTCCAGGTGCCACTGCCTTAAATACAGATACCTTATTTCCCCCAATCTCAACCCTCAGCAAATCACTTTTATTCTTCTGTTTCTTGAAATATTTGACAAGAACTTTTGTGGGGAAAAAGAAATGGTGTGGGTGTATTGGAAACCGGGGAGAAATCTGGTTCTAGGGCTTGGCTTTCTACTAAATTACATCTCTCTGAACCAAATTCCCTTCACTGGTAAATGAGTTGTTAGAGGTTCTCAACTCCACTGCCCATCAGTATTATCTACAGTTGCTTTTTCAACACCTGGGTTTGGATTCCTGGAATCCACTCCAGACCTATTTTATTTACTTAATTTTTAGAAACAGGGCCTTGCTCTGTCACCCAGGCTGGAGTGCAGTGGTGTGATCATAGCTCACTGTAACCTCAAACTCCTGGGCTCAAGCGATCCTTCCATCTCAGCCTCCTAAGTACCTAGGAGTACAGGCCTATGCCACCATACCTAGCTAATTAAATTTTTTTTTTTTTCATAGAGATGGGGTCTCATTTTGTTGCCCAGGCTCATCTCAAACTCCTGGCCTTAAGTAATCCTCCTGCCTCAGCCTTCCAAAGTGCTGGGATTACAGGCCTGAGCCACCACGGCTGTCCAGACCTATTTAATCTGACTCTGTGAGGGTAGAGCTCTTCGCCAAGGGGTGCTTATATACATTGGATAGAGAGCCCCAGGGTTGTGTAAACTTCAATCCCAGGATTCTTTAGAGGTTCAACACTGGAATTGGCAAAAAAAAAAAAAAAAGCCTCCTTATAGCAAAAAAAGACTCTCATTTTAGTGTGGGGAGTGTGTTTGAGGGAACTTAATGCTTTTCTAGAAGGCTTCAGATAGCCGAGAAGAAAGCAGTGCTGTCCAAGATAAGAGCAGAGTGTCTCAACATGAATTACTATCAGCAAGGCCCTCTAAGCACAGGAGGATGGCCTGTCACTGAGCAGGCAAATTCCAACCTTGCTTTATCCCAATTATCTTTCCCATTCTCTTCCACCCCAGTTCTAAAGGAGGAGACGACAGGGGAACAGATGAGTGTGCCCAAAGTACCCGGGGCATGTTAGAAGGGGAAGTGCCATAGCCTCAAGACAGCCCCACTTCTACAGCCTGAGGCATCAGACATGCCGTCCATCTTCTCCGTGGCCAGCCTGTGGGTAGCCCTTGCCTTCGTTCTGCTCCCCACATCTAGCCAGACATTCAATTGTTCTCTAGCCCAAGCAAGCTTAAAGATGTTGATTCAGGATTAATAACTGGGATGGACAGGTCAAGATCTTGGCTTCACTCATTTACTCAACACGTATTTATTAAATGAATGGCTTTGCTATTGACAGAGCAGTTTTCATTGGGAAACCCCAATACAGCAATGGCTAATAAAGGCAGGTAGCACAACCATCTGAAAAAGAAAATGAAAAAGCCACCTAGAATGACATCTTAAATATAGCAAAATTAATTTAATTCTAAATGGGATCTAAAAGAATACTGATAGATACATAATGTATGCAAATCTATGCAAATCCTGGTACCAATTATGCAGAAAAGGATTGGGTGGCATTTCTAAAGACTAGCCATGCTCTAAGCTGTCACCCGCCAGCTTGCTTCTCTCTGGAGTCAGATTAAGACCAGATGGCAAGAATTAGAAACCAAGAAAAACGCCTCCCTTGAACCCTCACCTTCAAGTCTAATTTAAGCATCTGTGAGCTTTGAAGTGGTGGGACTACTTTGGTTAGCATTCAAGAGCCCTTTTAGGAGTTGCAGCAGGACATTGATTCAGGAAACAATAATACCTGACCATGCGGACTCTGCTAGACTCTTGCATGGCCTGCTGAGGTAATGTCTATAAAATGCTTTGACCTTCTTAGAATAAGACAGCTTTATGTATTGCTAGAAAAACAGCAAAACAGAATGCCTCACAAAATAAAAGATTCCATTTCCTCTAAGGGGATAAAGTACAAATGTGCACCTGCATACACACACACACACACACACACACACACACACACACACACACATACTTACCATCACCTTACAATGGAGCTAGTGTAATTTCTTTACAGAACCTCAGTCCTGCCCCATTCAGGCTTAGCAGCAGATCACTTGCACAATGTTGACTGCAGCTCCTTCCTTCATAAGCGTGTTCCCTCTAGACTACTGAGTCAGCATCATTATCCAAATAAATATCTGCTATATTTTGTTGTTAGTAATGATAATGACCAGCTGGGGTCACTAAGGATGGGCTTAATGCATATCATCCAAATGGAAAATTTGAGAAAATTGGAAGCTTTAGAAAGAGTCCAATTGTGTGTCCCTGTTTACTTTCAAAAATAAAACTCTGCCTTATATTAAAGTCATTCTGTTTTGTTATAGTGCTCAGGGCACCAGCCTTGGGATTTACAGTCCAGTGTACTCCAAAGCATTGTTGGACCCAAGAGTGGGGTTAGAAGCCTGAACCATATACTTCTGAGGGTCTCTCAAAGCCTGCAAAGAGTAGGAGGAATGCAAGGTCCTAGCTGGTAACCTTGGGACTGATAAAGGATGCCAGAATAAAGTACCTTCTCTTGGAGATCTGGAGAGTAGGGCTTCCCCAGCAGAGCAGTGCGGGGGGTCTGCAAGCTGGAAGGGAGGAGTTCGGATGCTCTGAGCTGTGTCTCACCATGGATCTAGCACAGCCCAAAAGCTGGCCCTCACTAAGTCAATTGTGGAAACTCCCCACAGGAGGATCCTGTGGTGTGAGGTCTGAGCACACGCTGAAATGTCCATGGGGATAATGAATCGCTTTATCTAATGGGAAGCAGAAGCTTCTCTGAAAACAATTCCTGCATTTTCTATTGTGACCAGGAAGCTCAAAGCACTCCATATGTCTCAGAAGCAAATGGCACATACTGGAGTTATATTAAACTCTAGAGCAACTTCTGAAGTAAGTCTTCTCAGGCTCAGAATCTACTGTTGGGGACTGACTATGGAGAACTGTTCTCTGAATGATGAGTTAATTTCTTTCCTGAACTTCATTTACACATACAATGAGCACATATTGCAAGAGGTAATGTGCTTAGCCCCGTGAGTTAAATAGATGATTCGGCAAACTCAGGCAGGTGAGCTCAGAAAACAACTCTTGGAGCAGACTCTGTGTGTGTGTGTGTGTGTGTGTGTGTGTGTGTGTGTGTGTCTGTGTTCTAGACAGAATAGGGATGGCACCCACTGTAGGAAGAAGCAGGTACCCATTGCTTTTGAGCTTTTCCTCACTTTTACATTTGGAGGAGTTCTTGACTTTTCTTCATCCTTCTGAAATCTCAGTGCTTCTTCCAGGGTTTGTTTTCTAAGGGTATAATTTCTTGGAAGAGACAAATGTCTTTATTTCCTGAACTGCTGGGGCTTGTGACTGAATGGGAATAAGAGTATAAATCAACTATGCCAGTTGTGGGGCTGAAGACCAGGAAGTGCTTTGTAGGCATGAAGGGCTTCACCAATTTTTAGGAATAATGCATTTTTATATGAGTTTTATACGGAAAATTTGTCAATTAGTTCTAATTATGCAGCATTCTGAAATTCTCTGAGACTTAGCCAGAACTGATGGAAACTCAGTAACGAAAGACTGAAACACTATCTTATTTCTATATTTCTATGCCTCCTTCACGTCCAGATCTGTTAATGACATTCTGAGTCTATACTACTTGTCTCTGGAGGTAGTGTATCAGTTAGAAGGGCTTTCGCCTGCAAGTAACAAATGCATCTAAAAATGGCTAGAGCAAATATTGAGTTAATTTTTCTCACGTCTTCAAAAGTCTGGAGGTAGCAGTTTTCTGATTGGTTCATTAGCTCCATATTGCCAGCACTCGTGTCTCTGGGATTCTCTCGAGTTTTTCCTGATGGTTACAAGATGGCTGCTGCAGCTCCAGGCATCAGGTCCTCTATTTAAAAAAAAAAAAAAAAGTTGGTGAGTATGTTGGTTTTAATATATGGCCTCAAATTCTTTCACATACCTCTTGTCTTTAAGTGGGGTCTATGTCCTTTTCCCTCGACTCTCAGTGGGTTTGTGCCCATTTGAACCCATAGAGTATGGTAGAAGTGACACTGTGTGATTTCTGAGGCTAGATCATAAAACGACATGCAGCCTCTGGCTGGTTCTCTTGGAACACTTGCTCTCTGGACACTCCCCTTGGGATTCTTCCTTTTGGGATCCTCACTCTCAAACTCAGATGAGATATCCACAGGAAGGATAGAAAGCCTGTTAGGAGCGTGCTACAAAATGGAAGACATTTGTGGAATTTAGGAACATGAGTCAGCAACTGTGGATAATAGCTTTATATTAAAGGAGCAGCAGTACTCTGTGCCCATAAAGTGCACACAGCAAGACATCCTTGAGCTTTGTGTTTATTCTCTGACCGTACATGTTTTTTTAATCAGTTTGCAAGGCTCAGCTCCACTCCAGAGGCAGGCATTCTGCTTTCCAGAGAACAGCTGGACTTTCTCAGAGAATATGCAGACAAGTCAGGCACCCTTTTTCTTTGCCCGTAGCAATATAAGAATGCACTGGCAGACTTATTTCTTCTCACTACTAAGGATCTATTTTATAACTCCCTGCCTTCTAGAATGTCTTTCCTTGTTTTTTTTTTTTGTTTTGTTTTTTTTTCCCTGTGTTGCCAATGCCTTTCTTTTCCAATCACCTTTGAAAGACATTTTTTTTCTCCCTTGAGCATATCTCCAGTCTTTTCTCTGGCAGCTACTATTCATTATTTAACTTATTTCTGTATTTTTTTCTTCTTTTTTATTTCAACTTTGTGAAAAATATAGGGGAAAATCTTGCTCTGGTGTCCTCAGCATGTCCTGTTTTGGCTTGCTCTCAGTTTCCTAGAGACTAGCATAGTGGCTTGCACATGGTAGACACTCAAAAAATGCATTCAGTGTGAATGAATGAATGAATAAATGATGGATGGATGGATGGATGATTAAATGTTTATATGGAAAGTATGGACTCAAACTAAAATGCAGCACAGCAATTAAATCAATGACTCCATACAACAGGTCAGGAGTTTAAGTGTGATGTTGCAGCTCTTCTGTTGTGAGATCTTGTGAATTTGCGCATTTCTTTTTTTTTTTTCTTTTGAGACAGAATCTTGCTCTGTCCCCAGGCTGGAGTACAGTGGCGTGATCTCGGCTCACTGCAACCTCTGCCTCCTCGGTTCAAGCGATTCCACTGCCTCAGCCTCCTGAGTAGCTGGGACTACAGGCGTACACCACCACGCCTGGCTAATTTTTTGTATTTTAGTAGAGACAGGGTTTCACCATGTTGGCCAGGATGGTCTTGATCTCCTGATCTCGTGATCCGCCCGCCTCGGCCTCCCAAAGTGCTGGGATTACAGGTGTGAGCTACCGCACCCAGCCGAATTTGCACATTTCTTCATTTACTTCACATTTATTGAGTGTCCATTTTGCTCTAGTTCCTGTGCAGTCTAATGGGGAGACAGGCTTACATAATGCAGCGTAATAAACACTGTGGCAGAGCAGCCAAATAGGTTATGGGAGCACAAAGTTGTATGCAGGCTTTGGGTAGATGGAGTTTTGCTCTCATCTTGCCTAGATCAGTTTAATATCAGGGTCTCCCAGAGGTAGCATGGCCAAGGGTTACATTTTTAATATGAATACTCATTTCTTTCTGTTCTTTTCTCCCAACACCCCTGACCCTGTCTTGCAAATGAAAGCTTTTCCTTTCCCATCCTGGGAGGGGAGGTAGAGCATTGTGCTTCTGAACATTGAGCCCTCCCTATGTCTTAGGTTGTGGAGACGCAGGGTTGCCCATGGTTTGAATCTAGACTAGTGGGATTCTAAACTCTTCCGGGTGAAACATCCTATCAAAGTTCAGTTAAAGAGCATATGGGAAGGGATCCTGGGAAAAGTAGGAAAGGCTCTGGATCAGAGGCACCTGTTGCCTAAAACCTGATTCTAGAGAGTTGTTTAAACAATAGGTCTGATGCCAGCTTGGTGCTCCAGTCCTGGAGGAAGATCTGCTGTGATGGGCACTGTTTGAGCACACAAGAGATATACTAAACCTGAGGCCTCCCCAGCAGACCTCCTGATCTTCGTGTATGTGAGAACTTTGCATGCCTGCACCACAGCTCTCTCTCATTGGCCACCCAGTTAATGGCTGAGAGGTTACGATACCAACACTGGCTCAAGCCCCATCATTTGGGCCCCTCAGAAGAAACTTCCCTGCAATGTACAGAATGTTCTGTAACCTACGATGACCCCTGGAGACTCCTGGGGAGGAGCTTCTATACAGATATTTTGGAGCCAAAGGGAATAATCCAAGTGACCTCTAACTAGGACAGTGGGAAGAGGGCACACCCATTACAATGAAAGCATATTCTGAATTCCCACAGCTTGCATTTGAATCTTGCCTTCACCACTTCCTAGCTGTGTAACCTTAATCCTGGGCAAGTTGTTTAACCTCTGTGAACTTCAATTCCCTCATCTGTAAAGTGAGGTCCTAGTATCTATTACACTTAGTGGTTGGGAGGATTCAATAAGCTTTTACATGGGAAACAGTTGTCACAGTGCCTGGCATATAGTATGTGTTGCTATTGTATTTTTGTTGTTTTTGTTTTTATTATGATGAGCAAGAAAGACTCGAGGGACATTTTAGAAATATCTAAAACTTTCCTGAATCTGAAAAAAAGATTTGGCCTCTACTCATCTGCCCATCCCACCGTTTATTTGGGGAACTTATTCTTCTCTAGGTTCCACTTTAGGATTGATTGGGGATCAAAAAATGGTGGAAAAGGGAGAATTTCTACAAAAATACAAATTTGAATTTATGTAAAAATGTATATAATAAATAAAATTCTGTTTATTTCATTCTTTTCTTCTGTGAGGAATAGGTATCTCTACCTATTGGGACTATGAATTCTGGAGTATAGTTCTAATGGAAACAAAAGGTCATTGTCTTCCCCTGTTTTTCTATGCCCTATTTGGGCCCAGCTTCTACAACTAACTGTATTATTGTCCCTCCTTGGCCATGCTGTTTATCTCTGTCTCACATCCAGCTCCCAATACTGGCCAGAAGAAATGGCGGACTAGTTTGAGGGCCAGGGATTCAGGCATCATCAGAATAAGATTAAGACCTTCCTCCTACTTAGAGACTTTCAAAGCCATAGTAACAGGAAGGAAATTTTTTTAAATGTTCATTTAGGTTCTTACTCAGAAGTGGTTATTTCTTAATTTTTTGACTCAATTTCTCATATCATTCTTTTCAACCTTCTTGTTGTTATGCAAGATTCAATAGACATTACTGATGGTTTACTGTGGGCCAAATGCTGTGCTTTCAAGTACAATTACCTCTCTTTTTCCTCTTCACTTCCCTAGGCTGTAATTCTCTCATTTTTATTACTTGGGAAAGTGCCCCAGATTGCCAGTTCTTCAATTAACAGAGCAAAAGAAGACGTCATATAGAATGTCTCTGACAGAATGAAGAAATTACTAAGAAGTGATTTTGTATGTTTTATTTTGCCCTAGAAAATTTTCTTGTTCAGATTCCAAAAGTCACTTCCTTTAATCTAACGTGCCTTGAGCTTCAATTCTGAAAGCAATAGATTGCTCTAAAATGATAGACAATGACTGAAAAATCATACAGAATTTCAGTATTCCCAAACTGATTGGCAATATGTGTTCAACAAAGTAACAACAAACATCTTATTTCTACAACAGTGACAGTGTACTTGGCATGCCAGGAACATTTCGACTTCATTTTCAGCTCTAATTGATCATGTACAAGGACTTGGATATCTGAAGAGCTGCAATAACTTCAACATCAAATCATCCTGGTAGATTACCAAAATGCATTGTTCTTCCAAAAATAGTTGGATAGCTTTCTTTATAAGTGAACTGGAAAACCTAGTACTAAGGCCAGAAAAGAAAAGACTTGAACAAAAGTAAACTTTATATTGAGCACAAAACCACTTTAGAACCACCAACTACTTCATTTGGATAAAATGAAAACTTTAAATGCAAAGAGAGACAAAAACTAGACATGTTTGGATAGCATTAAGCTGGATGGAAATAAATTTTGATTTGTGACTTAGGAGCCCTTTCAAGTCTGTTATGGTTTTAGTCTTTAAAAACAGCTGGGAAAACAGCATTTTCTAATTGAAGAGGGAAAATAATTGTATATCTTCAAGAAGGAATTCTGACCTAGAAATTTGCTTGTATATAAAGAAGCAAATAATTTCACTAAGAATGAAATAAAGGGCAAAGGACTTAGGATCTTCAAGAACCTGAATTTTAGTAGAGTAAGATCTCACAGTACTTGAAATATGGAAAGACTGAGGAAAAAGACTAAACAGCGAGGATCCACCAAGGGCAGGAATTAGGAGGTGCTGATTAGTAACGCGGATTTCCCTGAAGATGACGTCAGCTTACATACTGCTGAGAAAATTGATTCCAAAACTTTATCTTTCTTACCTGTTTTCCCAAGTCAACTTTTTGCTGTCATTGCTATTAAAGGGGGACTTTCTCCTGCCCCCTGCCGTGATGGCATCTTTCTCTTTCTACCTGGAGTTTTCCCCTGCCCAAGCCCTGAATTGCCTTCCTCCATTTCTTCCAGAGCCATTGAGTGTCATCCTATTTCACCCTCCAAATGGACATGTCCACATCTTTTACTGTGCACAAAAGACAGAAGACCCTCCTGCTATCGTAAAACACTCCCTCAACGCTTTCCTTTTCTGTAATCTAATGTGGTAGGGCTTCTGGGCCACTTCAGTGAGTCGCTGGCATTGTTTCCTACATAGCCCAGGGGGCTTTCTTTGTTTTACTTCTCTCCTTTCCTGCTCCAACCCTCTCTTTGCAGTATATGCTCTCCAAAGCTAGCTTTTGACACCTTGAAGACACCAAGAGGGTGCTTGCTGCTCTGTTAAGTCCCTGATTTAGCTGAAGGTTGCTGGGATTGGCCTGTGCTGCTCTTGGTAAGACAACTTCTGTGCCATAGAGGTGGCTCTCCATCCCCAGTGGACCCTGGTGGACCTCCTTACAGAGAGTGAGTCTCAGGTTCTAATGGGCACCTCTGCCCAAGGCATGTGAAGTAGAGAACACAAATGGTGATCTCGATTATTTTGTTCAGGTCCCAAGTGCTTGCTGTGAAGTAAAGAAAGGTTGCAGGTTTTTGTGGTGGTGGTCGGTGGTCAAATTGGCCTGGAATTACTAGGAAGAAATTTCTTGAAGCAAGTGGGACTTGAGTTGAGCAGGATTTGAAGCAGCAGCAGCAATGAGGAAAGCATTTCCCAGAGGAGCAACCTAAACATTTTGAGAATAAATATTGCTCATTTGAGGGTAGGTAGGAGAAAGTCTGGCTGGATTAGAAAGGGTAGGCTAGAAACAGGGATCATATTTATTTGTCCGTTGCTTTCCATTTTAACTGTTAATTAATTAAAAAATTAATGCATACACATGATAAAAAACCAAATAATATACATTGGTAAATGGTGAAAAGTTTCTCTTCTACCTTAATTTTCCGTTTTTCTTCCCCAAAGGTAATCATTGTTTCCAGTGTATCTTTCCAGAGATATTATATCTAGGCCTGTATATTTATATATCTCTACATATTTCTATATTTCTACCTGCCTATTTTTCCATCTGTCTCTCCATCCATCTCTTGATCTCTAGCCCCCTTCATTTTACACAAACAGCAGCAGACATTACATGCTGGTCTGTATGTAGGTTTTTTTTTTTCTAACTTAACCAAATATTCTGGAAATTGTTCATATTGTGGCCACAGTTTCTTCCATCAAAATTGGGATGTGGAGTGTGACAAAGGATTCTTTCTGATTTGTAGATTCATTTTTATAAAAAGACTTATAAAAGTACAATGATTGTATTGCATTTAATTAAGCATTAAACTGAATGTGTCTGTGGTCTTTATAATGTCCATAAGTTTAGCCTGGCAGGTATATGTGTGGAGGAGACAGGTGGGAGGCAGGCAGGCCTGGAACTAGGAGCTCCTTTAAACAACTTCGGTGATCCAAGTGCAGTTGTGGTGGGAGTGGAACATAACCACGCACAGTAAAAGCTAGTTTGAGCCCTGTCTTCTATTATCAGGTTTTAAAGAGGCTGCCCCTCCACTCTTTAGATAGTATCAACTGGAGCTGGATGGTATTTGAAGGAATGACAAACCTCTCACTACCAATGGTTTTTAATGGTGCCCACAGCTTCTCCAGCAGATTTTAGCAGATGTTGTCAGAACCTTGATTATACCTCCTTGGCACTCATCATCACAGTGCAAGTGGATGGCAGCGTCCCACTGCAAACACTGGGAACCTGCCTGAGGGTTTCCTCATGGACTGCCTGTGGGCGGTGGGAATTGCCAGGCAGTCAGTGCACCTGGAGTGGCCATCATCCATGATGAACTGGAGTTGGAGAATGAATACTCCTATTTCCTCACTTCAGTGGGATAACTCTGAGATTCTGGGATGTGATCCACCCTGCATCCTAGATGTACCCAGAGGGGTTAAGATGCAGGTACCCACAGCATCCGGTCTATGTACTAACAGTGTACCCTGTACTGGCTTTTCCTCCGTGCTCATGTTTACACTTTCCTCCTGGTACTTCCTAGGACCTTCTTTCTGTTAACTACTTGCGTTCAAATCACTGTCTTTTTTTTTTTTTTTTTTTTTTTTTGAGATGGAGTCTCACTCGATCACTAGGCTGGAGTGCAGTGGTGTGATCTTGGCTCATTGCAACCTCTGTCTCCCGGGTTCAAGTAATTCTCCTGCCTCAGCCTCCCAAGTAGCTGGGACTACAGGCGTGCGCCACCACACTCAGCTAATTTTTGTATTTTTATTAGAGATAGGGTTTCACCATGTTGGCCAGGATAGTCTCCATCTGTTGACCTTGTGATCCACCCACCTCGACCTCCCAAAGCAAATCACTGTCTTAAGATCTGTTTCTGAGTGAAACCAATCTTAGACCCAGGATCTTTCCTGCCCCATTCTTACCTCACTCTAACAAAGAGAAAAAAACAAATGTCATCATTTGGTGGTAATGAATCATTTAGTGTTAGTGATAAATTCCTTTTTGACACATGGAGCCCAGTCTTATTAACTGTTTCAGAGTCAATTGGGTCTCCTTCATCCTCACCCTACCCCTACCCTGGCTGCAGTCCCATTCTCATTTCCAGGGAGAACACAGTGTGAAGGGGGGCTGACAGTGGCCCGTACACTATCTACGTTTTCTGTTTGAGCAGGCTCCCGTGGGGGTTGGCTCATGCAGTTGACAGAAAGCAGCACCTTGCTGGGCTCATGTGAGGAAACAACAAGAGTGATATGTCCGGCTCCGTGTTCTGGCAATAATCACTCCATGCACATCCTGTGGCTTCCCAGCCAAGGTCTCTGCCCTTTCGTAGTCAGTTTATAGCTTTCTTGATCACACATGTTTTTGCCTTTTATTTGATGGACTTTCAAAAGTACAAATTTTGGATATATACATGAACTCCATCCTGGGGCTCTCAAAGAGTTCTGTTTGTGCCAACCAGAAAGCATGGTCATGTGGGTCCTGTGGGGAGAAAAAGGGTGAATTCAACAAACAAATCAAAGTGATTTGACCAGAGCTTTTCAATGCTTGTTTGACCATTGCCAGGGAAATTTATATTCCTATAGTGCATCATTACATACTCATGGACAGATTTCTACTAATAAACAAAAGGGATAATTGAGATGTAGGCATTTATTATGTGTTGGAGTCTCAATCCACTCATGTATCTATGTGAAAGCAAAATGCTATGACTTCTCTGCAAAGACTGGTTCATCTAGTAAATGTCTGGTGTACTTTGCAAAGCTCCCTTTGTTTCAAGAGGAAATGTAGCTGTTGGTCACAGCCTAATTGTCACCCGTCACTCCACATGGCCTGGCTGTGAAGACTTGGCTTAGTGGCCTGGAGAACTGAAATAAAGATCGGATTTGTGCCTGAGGAGTATGAGAATTTTCATATATGCATAACTCTGTTCTGCTTGAAAAGAAAGGTGGGATGGGCCAGAAAATAGCTTATTCCAAAGTCATTTAACTTTAGCCAAAGATCTGTCGTTTGGTGCTGATTATGAGAATTACAGAATTTACTGCCTCAAATAAACTTCTTAAGTCATCTCTTCCATTTTTGAAGATGAGAAATGAGAAACTGAAACTTAAAGAGTTGAAGGAATTTTCTCAAAGTCATTCAGCTCAGAACTACCACGCTAGACACTGTCACCTTGACCCTTATACAAGCGATGCTCAACCCTGTCTCAGAATAAGGACCCCTTCTTTAACATAGAAGAAAAGTTTTGGAACTTCTGCAGAATAGCACTTGTGGTTTTGAATAGTCACTGCTTGAGGAAACACATATATGCACCTGTTTATGTGAATTCTTGGTGGTAACTCAGCCCCCCATCCATCATGGAACCCTGTCCAATGCCAGTATCAGCTCTCCCTTTCCTTCTGTGTTCAGTGGCCATGTCAACAGCTCATTGTTTGCACCTCCACTCGTGGGTAAAGAGTGTCAAGAAAAGGGCAGAAAAGCCACTTTGGACTCTTGCCTCTTCTTTGTCACCTGCCTTCCATCACCAAGCATCACCAAATGCCTCTAATCCTCCCTTTGAATGGCTGGACTTCATTCTCCACCATTGGTTCCTCCCATTTCACTTTTACTGCCAGCATCCTCATCCTGCTTGCCATCCCTTCATGTCGGAATTACTGAAACAACCTCCAGTGGCATCTCAGATTGTTTCCTTCCTCCTTTAATCTGCCCTGAGCACCATGGTTGAACTTATCTTCCTAATCAGTCTCCTCCCGAGAAATCTCCAACACTCAGAAAACTCTACTGTCTCTAATATATAAAAACCCCCAGAAAATCCATATTAGCTTTTGAAGTCCTGCACAATCAATATCTACCCTTTTGTACGAATCACACTATTTTACTCTTATTTGGCATGCATTTATATTTATATGAATTTTTTTCATTCGCTCTTGTGAAATCTCTTGATATGAATAGCATAGGCTTTGTAATTGGACAAGATTATTATGTGCTGAGTCTCAAAATTCACTCAGTTTCCATTTTGAAGATGAGAAATTGGGTTCACATGCCTGCTTGGCTACTTACTGGTTACAAGAAGTTGGCAAATTTCTTCGTCTCTGCAATTCTCAGTTTCTTTATCTGTAAAGTGATCACCGCAATGCCTATCTTTCAGAGTTGTTAGGACAATTAGAAAAATATCTAACACAGTACTTTCAGCCTTTATAATTTAATGCTGCCACTCCCCCCACATGAACTCTTCTCTCTAATAAGACCGTTCTCTTTGCTGACTGACTTCTAAATGTGCCATGCTTATTCCTAACTCTAAATTTTGGTGCATTCATGTCTTCTCTCATAAGAAATCTCTCTCTCTCTCTTTTTTTTTTCCCCGGGTCTATCCAAATTTTATTTTTATCTGAGAATCTAGCCCAGAATTCAGTTTAAATTCAGTCTTCTCTGGAAGTCTTTCTCAAACATTCCACTCTGTCTCTGTCCTCGAAACTTCTTAAGTGAATAGAACAGACGATATCACTTAACTTAGTGTTTCTCCAAGTGTGATTGGTGGAAGATGATGCACATAAAAAGGTGTTTCACAATCAAGTAATACAGGAAGGACTGCATCGTGCATCCCTGTCTTAGAGATTTACAATTCACATTAGCCCAGTCAAGGTTCTGAGAGAGCTGACAAAAAAGAAAATTATTTAACTTTGTTCAAGCTTGCAGTTCTCAAAACTATTTAATGGTTGAATTGTTTTTTCATATAAAAACTATTAAATCAAGTAGTGTGTTTTCCTAGGAGCATGTTGTGGGAAACTGACTTATTGCCTTGTGATTTTTCTCTCTATAGGATGTTTCCTGGATGTTGCTGTCTCTTATATTTGTATTTTTACAGCAACATTGAGCTTTTAGCTATGCATCTTCTAGGTGCTCAACAAATACTTGTTAAGAGAAATAAAGTTCATAGTGTGGAAAGGCAGAGGAGTTTTAACATGGAACTCTTATCAATAGGGACTCTAGTCAAAGTAAGGTAAAAACGGTTATGTAAACTGGTGCCTGAAATGAGGTTTGGGAGCTTGTGGGTTTCAATTAAATACGCCATTCTTTGGTTCCATTTGCTTAAAGGCAAGAGATTTTGTTAAATTATACCTACATATTCCCATTTGTTTTCCTTTATAAATAGACTTGGAATAAGCTTTTTAAATGGTTTCAAAAGTTTGTGAGGATGGAAGCACAGCTCTGAGAGTAAGATTGGGTATGCATCTTTCAGATATGCATGTATAGTGTCTAGTTTTATAGCCCACACACATTTTTAAGCTGTATTTCTTTTAAAAGGAACTTAAATATTATTTTGATTTAAAAATTATATTTTGGGGAAAAAGTCTAGGAATTATGGGACCATAACAATATAATGCCATGAAGTTACAACCTTATAGTGGTGTTCTCTCTGGGCATGTTAAATAAAGTTTGATTTATTGAAATGGTTTTTTTAAACCATACTCTTAATTCACTGCACATTTAGGCCTTATGTTTTGCTTAATTCTTATACTTGAGATCTAGCCCAAATGCCGTATGTGTGCTTGCTTGTATAGCTTACTTTATAGGGAGGGCTCTTTCATTTAAAACTCAGAGAGGGTAAAAAGCAGAAGATAACCTTTGAAGAAGAGACATAACATTACCCACCAAATGCCAGAATTTCTAAAGGAAGTTGGATCTGTTGAAAGGAGCCTCTGTGTTCCTAAGATGGGTTGGTTGGGGCCATGGAGGTCTTTGGTTTTATATTCTTGGTCTTGCCTTTTAAAGAGGAAATGCAGCTCCTGTGAAGCAATGGCCTGACATTGGTAGGGTTGAGGTTCAGAACTTGTTCAGCCTGTGGACCCTGGGATGACCTTGCATTAGTCATGTGTCTGTGGGCCAGCACCTCATCTCATGCCCCGTGGGAGGGTGGTGCTCTCTCTGAGGTTCATGTTTGGATGAATTACTAACCACAATGAAGCACCCTCTTGAATCAGGCTTCTGGATTGTGGAGCAAAATAAAAAAAGTGTCCTTCTCTCACATATTTTTCCATCAGCCCTGCTTGCCTGCGTGTGATCCTTTTATTTCCTCAGCTGTGGGGCAAAGGATCTATCACTCTTGTTCAGTATTTAAATACGGAAGACATTGAAAGGGTAAGCCCTCAAGCATATAAAGCCCCTTATAAAGAACATTGCCATTCTTGTGCTCTCAGACGTGCATGAATCTTTCAAGACACCTTTCATTTTCATATTTATTGGGCAATATGAAGTTTGTAATTTATTTTGTTGAATTGTGAATATATTTTTTCATGTATTGGGCTGAAGCACACAACATTGCTGATGTCTGACCACTTTCAGTTTATAAAAATAGCAATTTCATATGGTTCCCTCTAGGGAAAGTGAAGAGAAAAATCTGCCCAGTCTCCTTTCCCTTTAATGAATCTTTATTATCCTGCTGGTGCAGATTGCCTGACTCTCCAAGTATAAATCGGGAGGGAGGAGGACTAGCCTTGAGTTGTTGACTGGGTTGTCATAGCTAGCCTGGGCTCTGGAGTGAGGATGGTCAGTGTTGGGCACAATTAATTCATCCATAGAAGGAAAAGATGTTGAGCAAAATATCTCAATGAAGTAATGGATTCAAATGGTGTCAGGAACATCTAAACAGCACAGCAGTTGCTTCTACATCAAATGTGACATTTGGCATTGAGGGTAAGTTCACAGAGCCAAAGCTAAACTCAGGTCAGGATTTAACACTGTTAAACCATTTTGACATGTGGCTTTTATTTGTTAATGAAACCAACTGCATTTGACCTGCTAAACATTAGGAGAATGAAAATATAAGAAAAACATAGATCCTTATGGGAAAAAGATGCAAGTAGAATTATTTTCACTGAGTGGAAGATGGAGATGGAGGTGGGGGTCTGAGGATAGAAAAGAAAGTAAAAATATTAAACTAAGAGAAGAGTGAGGATAATTGCCAAGGAATGTAGCACCGCAAAAGGTCAGTGTGTTCTTGGATAATGCTAGTGGCTATAGCAGGAGGTAAGCATGATTAGAGGTGCTGTGTCCTTTCCACAGCACGCCTCCAAGGAGAGTGAAGACTCTAATCAAATGCCTGGTCTGCCAGAAGTAAGAAATTGGGTGACGTTGGGTAGAAAAATATTTTATAGGTTTGTGACAAATTGTCGTACCTCTAAATCCAATTCATAGCTTATATATATATACACAATCTTACAAAAAAATCAACCTAACAAAGCATCGATCCACATATATCCACATTTCCTTTCATGTGGACTTAGTTTTTGTTAAGCCTTAATCAGGTTTTAGTATTGCCTGTAAACAGATATCTTGCTGAATGTGAGAGCGGTTTCTAAAAAGAAGATACAGCCCCATTTCTGGTCTGTACTTTTCTGCAGCTTATATATATATTTAAATAAACCTAGTGTTACCAGTTTTGATTGGTCTATTTCTGCTGAATGTTCCTCAAGGAAGAATATTATTATTGGAAAGAACCTGACATGTACTGGTTGTGGAATGGAGGAGTGAGCGATCTGAACAAATAGTTAACTTATAATGGTTAACTGTTTTCCTTGTAAAAGTCAAGATAAGATATACTCAGCAAGCTTGTGAATTTTGAGTGCTGGGAAGTCCTGGATTCCTGCAGAGTCATTGTGAGGTTTGCTTTTATTGGCCTCTGTTTCCCATGCAAGGGACAATTGTATAAATCCCCCTCTCCCTGCACCCACCTCCCTCCCATGTTGGTTTAATCCTTAGGCTGTTTCCTGCCTGCCCCCCTGGGAAATGCTGGTAAGAATTTCTTAAGATAGAACTTCCAGGGTCTTTATCTAGTTCTTCTCCCAGGCCAACCATTGGAACTTTCCTTTTGGATATGTCTCATTTGTGCAGCAAGTTTAACAGAGTGTTATATGCAAGTTCTAACAGGCAATGCTATATAATGGAGCATCCAAGACTGATACCAGTGTACTGGCTTTTTAAAACCCTAGGCACAAAACCTCACTTCAAAAGAGGAAAAATCTAAAGGTAGAAAGACTGCTTTTGGTCAGGGGGCTAAGTTAGATTCCTCAAGTCTCACTGTACAGGCAAGTTTTCATTTTTGTTTAGGGCTGTAGAATAAATCTTATTGTGCCCAATATGGAAAACAGATCAAAATGTTAAAGGGGAGTGTTGTGGCTTAGAGTCTCACCCACTCTGCTCTTTTCATTTCTTCTACTTTCCTGGGAAACCTTGAAAGATTTCACAGAGCCCTTGGGGTTGTACAGAGCACCAGGGCAGAGAATTGGTTGGGCCAATATTCTCAAATATAGTAACTCTTGATTATTTTTATTAAGACCCACATGATGATGTAGATCTGTAGAGAGAGCAGATAATAAGATAAGTAAGATAAGAAGCATGAGTAACAGGCCTGGTTCAATACACTCTCAAGTGGCCGAGAAAGCTTTCTGACTTCTAAATATGTTGAACACTTTGTACAAGTGGTTTGTGAATGTAGGTTTTCTGAGAAAGATAAGTGAATAAAAAAGAAACAGTACCAGGCTTGGGTCACTTTTATCTCAGGAGGAAGAGGCTATTGTTCATCCATGGAAAAAAGGGCCGATGAGCTGCAATTTTCAGCCTAAACTCTCTTAAAGATGGCTGGTCAACTTTATGTCAGACACAGAGTTCTTTCTCCTCTAAAAACTCATCATTGATTTGGGAGACAAGACATAGACAGATTAAGTAGCTGACTGTCAATACACAGCAATCCAAGGTAAACACTTATGGAAGTGGCAGAGGTACCTGCTGCTGAAAAGATACTTGAGTGTTGAAATAGTCAAGGAAGCTTTTCTGATGAAAATATCCTATGAACAGAAATGGTTAGAGAGAGTTCGTGTGCTAACTATATTCTTTCTGTGAGGATTAGGCTAGGTGGTTAGAGGATACAAGTGGAGATAAGAAATCTTGGCCCTGTGGCGAGGCCTCTTGTGCACAGGAGAAATAAAACAAGCAGGTTTCATGGGTGGACTGGAAGCCATGGAACAGCCACGTCACATGGTAATCAGGAACCTCAAAGGACAGTTGTCTATGGTCCACCAGCAGCAGTGGCTCATGGGTGATTCTTCTAGGGCTGATCATTAACGTGACTCAGACTTGTTGTGAATGCTCATTTCTGTCTTCAGCTCACTTTTTAGAGCTTGACTGGTCTTGGTGAGGAGCCATTCTGGCCTAGTCAGTTGTGGACAAGTGGACAGATTCACATAGTACAGGCATAGAAATTTGGATGTCTGTGGCGCAGTGGCTCCATGCCTGTAATCCCAGCACTTTGGGAGCCCGAGGTGGGCAGACCACGAGGTTACGAGTTCGAGACCAGCCTGAACAACATGGTGAAACCTCGTTTCTACTAAAAATACAAAAATTAGCCAGGTGTGGTGGTGCACACCTGTAATCCCAGCTACTCAGGAGGCTGAGGCAGGAGAATTGCTTGAACCCAGGAGGTGGGATTTGCAGTGAGCCGAGATCACACCACTGCACACCACTGCACTCCAGCCTGGGTCACACAGCAGAGCAAGATTCCGTCTCAAAAAAAAAAAAAAAAAGAAAAGAAAGAAATTTGGATGTCTGCAACTCTTAAGGCTACTTCCTTCCTTCCTTGGGGTGCTGTGGCAGGGACCCCTTTAACAGTGCCTGAGGTCGTGGCACTGGCTCCCCACTCAGGCAGTATCCATTGTGGAATATGTGTTGTACCCCAAAGATCTACCTTATATTGCACACTTTTGGGTCAGGAAGCACTCACTAATTAATTCTGTCTTACTTTTCATATTTGTTTTTTAGAGGCCTTTTTTCTTAGAAATGCATATGCAAACACAATGTAAACATATATCAATGCCATTTTCTACATGATTGTCAGGATTTATTATATAAAAGGATTGACTTTACTGATATTCTAATAGAATAAATCTGCCTGTCTTGCATTCTTGAAAGATCTCCTAAAGGTAGCAACAAATGATGGGATCATTATTAAAGTAAGATGAATGTGTTGTCAGGGCCTTGGAGAAACATAAGCATAATACTACCAGGAGAATTGTAAGTTCTTAAAAATGGTCAAGACCCTCAAAGTCATCTTGCCCCAAACTAGGGAGAGTTCATAAAAATCATCCACTGCTACTGCAAAGCTTGACAAGGAGGCTGAGACTGTGCAAGCTCTCTCGGACAGAAATTTATGGGACAAATCTGAGCTTTTATTGGGAAAAGAGAGTGAGAAGAGCCTTTTACTAAAGAGAATCTTGAGGTAGAAGATGCCCCACGGGACTCTGTGGCTAAGGAGAGGTTACTTTTAATAAACAATAGTGACCAGGAAAATAAGAGGAGGTGGCAGACACAATTCCATGCTTTTGACCTTTCAGTATTAGCTATTCTGAACTTTGTTCCTTTAACATCTTAATTTCTTGTCAACATTTCCCCACCCCCCTAACCCCCGCTCCTCTCAAATTGCTCCCTTCTTTAATTACCTTGTATTTTTAATTTCTTTCATATTGTCTTTGTCTCCTGCTATATTTCCTAATATAAGTGTTTTAATTGCTTTGAAATATTTCTAAGACTAAGGCATTTTAGGAATCAACATATTCTGTGTGTGTGTGTGTGTGTGTGTGTGTGTGTGTGTCTTCAGCTCTCTTTTCTCCTCCCTCACATCCAATGCAGTTGTTCCTAAATTGTATTATTTTTACTTGAAGTGGCCTATATTTGTGACACTGTGGGTTTAGTATAACATAGATAATTAGTAAGTTAGTACAATTAAGTAATGACTTATACTCTCAATTAGTTATGCTCCTAATCCTCATCCTGCCCCTTTGTTTTGTAATTTTTCTTTTTCAAAGTATTTCCAGTTGTTATCTCAGTCTACTATTATATAAACTATCTTGTTTTATTTTCACATACATCATTTAGGGAAGTAGAAAGGTGTGGTAGAGAGTTCGAGTTATGTGCTTTTTACGCTTGCTCTCATTTAGTTTTCCCAATAATGGTATGAGGTAGATATTCTTGTTCCTGTTGTACAGATGAGGAAACTGAGCCTGAGAAGGTTTAGTACCTTTTCTAGTTGCACACAGTTCGATAAGTGTCTTAGTCAGCTTAGGCTGTCATAACAAAATACCAGAGACTAGGTCCTTAAACAACATAAATTTATTTTGTCACAGTTCTGGAGGCTGGAAGTCTGAGAACATGAAGGCAGCATGATCAAGTTCTGTGAGGGCTCTCTTCCTGCCTTGCAGACAGCTGCCTTCTTGCTGTGTCCTCATATGGCAGAGAGAGAGCAAGAGAGAGAAAGACAGAGAGAGAGAGAGAGCAAAAGAGAGAGAAAGAGAGGTGAGGTGGGAGGTATTGCTGAGATGCTATGCTTATATGTGATAGAAAGTCTCCCTGCTGATAAAAAGGTGGAAGAGGTAAAGCGCTCTTGGGCATATTTCCAGGGGGTGAAAACCCACATTAGGATTCCATGAGGGGTCTGCATTCAAGGAGATAAGGAAGAGGCTACGGGGACTGGCTCTCAGGACAGAGTGGAAAGACAGTGGTTGCTGTATTGGTCTCTAGGAGTGAGGCATTGGGACGTGGATCTGAATTGCCACATCCAGAGATGAGCTCTGGGATTGCCTTCAGGGTCATTCTACCTTTGTCTTGAAGAGTAGTGTATGTTCACAGCCAAATTGCTCTATAGATCATAAAGGTCCAGTCCTTTAGGATCCAAGAATTCCAACAACCTTCCTTCATTTCATCTCATCTTGGTCCCTTTCAGTTCAAACTGGCAGTGTTTCTGCTGGAGTGACTGATTAGGTTCATGGTTCACACCCAGCTTAATCTCCTTAATGAATGGTTGCTTGGCCAGATCCTTAGTGTTCTTTTCAGAGCAAGCGTTCTTATTTTTTGCAATATAGATAGGCTGAGAAGTTCTGGTTCCTTTTTGCTTGCAATTCCATCTTCAATTTATCTTGCTCTTCTCACATTTTACTATAAGCAGTTGGAAGAAAGCTGCTCTTTCAACACTTTGCTTAGCAATCTCCTCAGCTAAATGTCCAATTTCATCATTGGCAAGTTTTGCTTTCCATAAAACACTAAAAAACAATTCAGCCAAATTCACTGCCACTTTATTACAAGGATATTCTTTTATGCATTGTCCAATAATTTGTTCCTTATTTCTGTCTGAGACCTCACAAGAATGGCCTTTACCTTCTATATTTCTATTAACATTCTATTCATGATTTCTTATATATTCTCCAAGATGGAAGCTTTCTCTATAGCTTTCATCTTTTTTTTTTCTTGTGCCATCACCAGAATTGCCTTTAACAGTCCCTTCATAGCAGTCTTGGCTTTTTCTAGTTTGTATCTCAAAACTCTTCCAGCCTCCTCTACCCGTTACTTAATTAAAAAATCATTTCCACATTTTTAGGTATTTGTTACAGTGGCACCCCACTTTTTGGTACCAAATCTGTATTAGTCTGAGTTTTCCAGAAAAACAGAGATATCTATAGATATCTCCTCCATTGGTTCTTTTTTGTGCATGTATATAAAATAAAGAATTGGCTCATGTGACGAGGGACCTGAGAAGTTCATGATCTCCAGCTGGAAAACTGATGACTCAAAAGAGCCAGTGGTATAGTTCCAGCTCGAGTCTGAGTCCAAAGACAGGAGAACACCTATGTCCCAGCTCAAAGACAGGCAGAGAGGCACTCTGATCCAATTGAGGTAACACACAAAATCAACCCATCACAATAAGTGATGGAGTCTGGATACAAAATTCAAAGCCTGTGATTTAATTATTGTGCTCTACTGGCTCCCCATAGAACTACTTTTTATGGGCTACTTACTATGTACCAGGCAATTTTAGATACATTTTCTTATAGGATATCTAACAATCTATGAGATTTAAAGAGCTATATAACTTACTAGCTGTGTGATTGTCTAGTTAATGTGCCTGAGCCATACTTACCTTGTGTGTAACATGAGAATAATAACACCTGTTCCATGTCTGACTAACAGTTATTGTGAAGAGTTCATGAGAGAATGCATATGAAAATAATTCTTGAACCATGAAGCATGATGTAATGGTATGCATTGCAAATGTGGAAATGTTATTTACTCCATTAATTAGACAACTTTGCAAATGAGAAATCCTGGAAACAAAAAGGTAGATGTAAATTTAGCCAATATTTATCAAGTATCCACTGTGTGCCGGATACTCTCCTCAGCACTTGCTAGAGTGATCTGCTCAAGATCTCTTGGTTTATTAGAGCAGATCTGGAATTATAATTGGTGTGTTGGCTCCAGATGGATGAACGAGTACTTGTCCCAAAAGTGAGAACTGAGCTGAAGACTTGTTGCAGACAGCGTTACTGCTGAGTTGACCAGTGAAATTTATTTCTTGCTGACTTTCCCTTCTTTATTTTTGCCTTTTGCTGAGCTTCTCCCCAGTCCTGCATTATAATAGGCTTTTCCAGTATAAGAGATCATATCCAGATTTTTCAGCTCCTTTGGAAAATTCCTGTGATAGACTGCTGGACCTGGAGCTTTTTGCTATTCATTTCTTGCTTTACTTTTCAAGCTAAGGCAAAACAGAAGCAAGGTGCTTAGTTTGAATGCATTCATGGCTTGACCATGCTGGTTCTGCAGGTGCCCATATGCCACACGTATGTTTTCTTGAGCACACAGCTTCACTCAAAGCCAGGCTCAGGCGCACCTGTTTTTCACCTGCTGGTGTGTTCTCTGTGGGAAGGAGGACAGTCCCTTGTCCTGTCTCTCAGATAATGAGACAGGATGCCCCAGGACACTAGACAAGGACAGGGGAGCATGGGATTATCTTCCCTCTTCTGCCCCTAGCTCCCACTGGGCCCTCAGATGGGGAAAGTTCATTACCTTGTGTCAGACTGAATGATGTTTGAAAGACTGCAGGCTGTAGTTTCTGAGTGGAGATGTATTTGAGATAATGAGGAACAGACTTCTATACGAGAAATGAAGCTTTTTGTAGCTGGCCTCTGAGGCTCCTGCCAAAAAAAACTCGAGGCTGAGCTAATCATAATGAGTTTTCAAAAGCTATACTCAGGTAACAGTTTAAAAGAATAGAAATATTATTTTAGCAAAAAAGCAATGTTTAGAATAGAGGTAAATGATTTCATTGGTTAACCCAAAGCTATTAACCAATAACATAAATATAAATTTTTATTATAGACATATATTGCCAAGCTACAGAAAATCCATGACTTCCCTAGAGGGAAAATTAGCATTTGCTTTATTTATATTAAAAATAATCATATTTAAGATTATTTTGCAGGTGGTGTGTGTGTGTGTGTTTGTGATGTGGCTTAATCTATTTATTTATCTCAAGTTATGGAAAAGTCTATAGCTTAGGCAGAATGTGGTTTCAATCAGTCTTCATTTGTTTTTCGGATGCCTTATTCATTTGAATGGATAAGAGAAGAAAAGAAAATAATAATAAAAATAAAAATAATGGAAATGATAATAGCAATAATAATATTTGTTTAGTGTTTTGCAAAGTTCACTCACAAATTTATCTCTTTTAAACTCTAAAGCTCTTAAGAGGGAGTTTTTGACCTGTGAGTCAAGACAAGCATCATTATTGTTATTTCTTTGATAAATGAGCAAAGTACCACTATAAGATAGTTAAGGGAAATTAAATATTTTTCTTCTTATAGCCATATTAAAAACTCAAGGTGAAACCTTTTAAAATTAATAAACTGAGTAGGATTTTATTCCCAGAACATAACGGTCTCTGGAAAACACCACCCCAGTTGGCATCACATAGAGTAGGAGAAAGGTATTTAGTGTGAAAGCTATGTAAAAAGTCTAACACATGGTTGTTGCTCAATACATGTCCATTCTCCTCCTTGTCTGGACATGACTATGTCATTACAGCTGAGCACTGTGCTGGATTATCTTGAGGATACAAGTGAGCTTAGTACATGCTTCCTGTCCTCATGTTGTGTATGATCTAACTGGGAAGGCAGAGCATGGCCATCTCTGAATCAATCACTGTGGCCAGTACTGCCTGAGTCATGGGTGTGTGTATGTGGGATAAGCCCCACCTAACCACATACACTGGGTCAGAGTGGGAGCAGTTCCCTAAAGTAAAATCAAAGTGTCATTTCCAGATGAAGAGTGAATGAATGATGGGCAACAGATGTCCAACTCAGGTGCATCTTCTGATATCCATGGAGTTAAGAAATCCCAGGAATCCCTACTATCCAAAGCCCTCCCTCTCACTGTCAACTCTCCTCTTTCCCAGGCAATCCTGCCAGCTCTAGTTGCAAAATGGAATGCATTTCCCCATATAAACAGAGTTATAAATGCTGGCTAAGCATAGCTAACATGGTACTATCGGTAGTACATATTTCAAATACATTAACTTTAAAGAGCCTTTTGTGGGAAGTTTTGAGGATTTAACCATAATTTATAATACAGTGTGTATGAGAAAATGTGTGCTGAGAAACTAAACACTCAAACCAACAGACAAACTCTTGAAACATGAACTGGAGTTGTATGAGCACAATTGACTGCTAAGTCATGTGGTAGAATTTGGAAGGGCTGAGACCATTCAGAGAAAGGAGAGTTCCATAGGAGCTCTCTGAGTCTGGGGAAGGGTTAGAGAGCCTGATACTATCAATCCATCTTGATGGTAGCAAAACCTGTCTTGTGTTCCCCAGATATTATCTCATGAGATGAGGATGACCTGGGTCTTGTGACTCAGGGCAGCTGGTCTGGGGCTCACCTTTGGGCTCCCTCATTATCCCATATATGTCCCTCTCAGCACTTCATTCTTGCTTGAAAACAAGAGGAGGAGTATGTACGTATTTTAATCAAGAGTATATTAAATATTTAAAAGGTTTTAAACACACAAATACAAGAAAATACAAAAATATTTTGTATAAAGTATAAATGGGAAAGTCTTTCTATCCCCTCCACTCCCTCCAATAGCATTCCCTTAAGTGAGGTGTTGATATGGTTTGGCTGTGTCCCCACCCACATCTCATGTTGAATTGTAATAATCCCCCCATGTCAAGGGCGGGGCCAGGTGGAGAAAATTGAATCATGAGGGTGGTTTCCCCCATACTGTTCTTGTGGTAGTGAGTAAGTCTTACAATATCTGATGATTTTATACGTGGGAGTTCCCCTACACAAGGTCTCTTACCTGCCATCATGTAAGATGTCCCTTAGCTCTTCCTTCACCTTCTGCCATGATGTGAGACCTCCCCAGTCATGTGGAACTCTTTCTTTTGGCTGGGCGCGGTGGCTCATGCCTGTAATCCCAGCACTTTGGGAGGTCAAGGCGGGCAGATCAACTGAGGTTGGGAGTTCGAGACCAGCCTGACCAACATGGAGAAACCCCGTCTCTACTAAAAATACAAAATTAGCCGGGCGTGGTGGTGCATGCTTGTAATCCCAGCTACTCAGTAGGCTGAGGCAGGAGAATTGCGTGAACCTGGGAGGTGGAGGTTGCAGTGAGCCAAGATCGCACCATTGTACTCCAGCCTGGGCAACAAGAGTGAAACTCCATCTCAAAAAAAAAAAAAAAAAAAAAAAAGATCCCCAGAACCCCAGAGAGCTCTCTCACTCTCTTTGCACCATGGAAGGATACCACAACAAGACAGCAACCTGAATACCGGAAGCAGGACCTCACCAGAACCAAACCATGCCCGCATGCTGATCTCAGACCTCCAGCCTTTAGAACTGTGAGAAATAAATTTCTGTTGTTTCTAAGCCACCAAGACTAGACTATGGTACTTTGTTATAGCAACTTGAACTGACAAAGATACCCTCTGCTTTGAAAATCATTGTGTCTTATTTCAAAGCCTATATTAACTAAACCTGTTATGGTTTACAGCATGCATCTTTAACTTATTGTAACCCATTTAAAATAATATTATACTACTTTAGCTAAGAAATTTGCAATAACATACTTACATTTTCTCCCTTTCTAAATGTTTTGCTATTTTAATATACTTCTACATATATTATAAAAACCACTATAAAAAAAAACCCACTACATATATTTGCTTTACATAGCCATCTTTCGAATAACCTAAAAAGCTAATCATTTGAAGACACTAAAAAATTAATACATGTTTTATATTTTTTCCATTTCCAGCCATCTTCATTCTTTTTTGTTGATTTCAGTTTCCATTTCAAATTGAGGGAGGTGCCTGAAGCCTTGGTGGGTCTCATGCATAGGGGGATGTTTGCAGAAAAGCAACCAGAAGTTTCACATCGCCAGGTGGGAGCTGGTGCAGAAATGCCGAGAGAAGGTGGACTGGAAGAGGCCTGGAGTCTAGACTGGAAAGCCATAGAATGCAGAGACATTGAGATGGGAGATTATAGCTGTGACCTGAACTTTAGTGGTGGGTGTCTATTTATTATATAATAAAGAATTTGTCTAGTCTTTTTCTCTGGTTCCCAGGGAGAACTTCTAAACCCTTGGAATTTCCTGAGTGAGAGGGGTATCTTTTTTCATTCATGATGGCCCCTGATAGTTTATGCTAATGAGGTGACTTGGGATAAGCGCAGGCCAGAAAGACCAACCATGTGATTAGAAGGTTGAGCCACAGGATATCAGCCTACCTTCCCAACCTCTGCACAGGGAAGGAGGCTAGAGGTTGAGTTCAATCATGTGGCCATGATTCAATTAATCATGTCTACATAATAAAATTCCAGGCCAGGCTTGGTAGCTTACGCCTGTAATCCCAGCACTTTGGGAGGCTGAGGCAGGAGGATCACTTGAGCCCAGGAGTTTGAGACCAGCCTGGACAACATAGCAAGACCCTGTCTCTACAAAATATATATATTTTTAAATTAGCCAGGTGTGGTGCTGCACACCTGTAGTCCCAACTCCTCAGGAGGCTGAAGCAAGAGGATCGCTTGACCTTGAGAAGTTGAGGCTGCAGCGAGCTATGATCACACCACTGCACTCCAGCCCGGAAGACAGAGCAAGACCCTGCCTCAAAAAAAATTCCAATAAGAACTCTGGACACAAAAGCTCAGTGAAGCTTCCTGATTGGTCAGCACATTGATTTTCTGGAAGGGTGACATGTAATTCTATGGGGAGAGTGCACGGAAGTTCTATGTTTGGGACCACCTCCTTTCCCTCGACCTCTCCTTATGAGTCTCTTCATTTGACAGGCCCTGATTTGTATCCTTTATAATACAACTGTAATTGTAAGTAGAGCACTTTCCCTGAGTTCTGCAAGTTGTTCTGTAAGTCATTCTAGTGAATTATCAAACCTAAGGGAGGTCATGGAGACCTTCTGGATTTGTAGCCAGTTGGTCAGAAGTGCTAGTGGCCTGAGGATCCCCAAACTTGTGACTAGCATCTGAAGTGGGGCAGTTTTGCTTTAGATTGTGCCCTAAAATCTGAGAAATCTGGCACTAACTGCAGTGATTAGCATCAGAATGAATTGTAGTGCAGAACCATCCCATAACAAAAAGGACTTGTGGGATTAGCCACATTGCAAGATCCAATGTAACGCAGTATAGCCAGGACCAGATCAGACCAGCCACCTTGTAAGAAGTCATCAATATCATCCCCAGGTGATTCAGAGGAAGGCCCTGTGACCCCAGGCCCCTTTTACCTCTATCACGTACAGATGCGGTATTGAGAGGGAGGAGAGGGAAGGAAGTCTGCTTGTAAAGGCAGAAATAGCTTCACTAAAGTGTTTGAACTTTGATGGGACTGCAAACTTACCTGCTTTAAATTAGAGGAGACTGTGGTTTTAAAAAAATTCTTAAAAACATTTTTTAGTCAACAAGTTCATACCTCTGAATCGTCAAGACTGGAAGCTTGAGAATAGTAGATTACTATAGAAATGAAAGAACACTGCCTTTTCTCCACCCCTGCTGCCAACACTACCCCCCCCAAACATTTGTGTTGTAGTGACTAAAATTGGACTCTACCATATATAGCTTATTTGAATGTTCCCTTACATTTCTCCTGGAGTTCTCTTTTTTTGGTCCAGAAGTATCTTTCCCATATCAACAGACCCACATTTTCCTTTCCAGTTGTCAAATGATATGTATCAGGTGGGCTGGAACAGACTCAGGTAGTTTCCACAAAGCAGATGGACTATATACCAGTGATTCATCAGTTTCCATGGGTGTTGGCCCAGCTTGTGTTTTGGGCCTCTGGTCCAGTGCTTGGTTACTGTGGGAGTCTCTATGGCTTACAAGATTCACTTAATCACTTATTGGTTATATAGTAGGTTCTGGGAAGGAAATAATGGATAAGATTCTAGTTGAGGTTTTTTTGTTTTTGTTTTTTTTTAATAGCTCCCCTTCGCCACCCCAGTTGACTTCTGAATTTAGTAGGAAGACATAAAGATAACTAACTTTGACAGAATTTTAAAATTGCTATAATAAAGTACTGCTAGTAAGGAATAAGTCATGGGCTCAGTCAGTTATTTTGTGCATTCTTAGGCCCCCTCTGTCTCTGATTAGGTGTCTTGAAAATGTCAGATGCTGGTGACAAGGGCAGAAGAGGAGGTCACAGAATTTCTGGACCCTGTCCAGAAATGTCTGCAGGGTCAAGTAACAATAACAAATGAAACGGGCTGATGTTGATTGGAGCAAATCGGGCAAATGATCCCTGTGTTGCCAGATTTTCTAATTTTTAAAGAGAAGCTAGAAATTTGTTATTTTTTAGAAAGAAAATGATGCCAATATTTAAATGCTGGCATAAGAACATAAACAAATACAAAATCACTATGCAGGACAAATAATACCTCCTGGCCAGCCATACTGGGCTAACCATACACTGTTTGCAACTGTCTATATAAATGGAGTGGCTCAATGCAAATCCACATGTACAAACAATGAGAAAAACACACTGGTTTACATTTGAAGTTTATCTCTGAGCAGAGCTCTTCCTTTTTATTTTCCAGCTTGGGATCCTATCACTTGATGATAATTATTGATTAATATTCTTTCAACACGTCCCTTAGTTGCCCCTCTCCATGCTTTCTGCAGACTTCCCTCTCTGTAGACTGTTCTTCCCTCCTCACTTCCACCTGGTCCACAAGGATTAAACATTGTCCCATCTGTTTCTGCTTTGTTTCTCTCTATTTCTCATATTCTACCTTGTGCTATGGCTCATATTTCTCTCCTTTGTTTTGGCATCACTCAATGTAACATCCTCTGTAAACATTCTTTTAAATTAGATGAGAGTCCAAATCTTGTACAGGGCTCATATCTTCCATTATCTTCTCTTTATTCCCCTTAATTAAACCCAAGGGATTATATTCTAGAGAAATTGTGGTATTCTGTCCCATTCCTTCTCTCTGCCTTTTCTTTCCATACCTGTATATGTACACCTAAAAAAAACCCAGTCACATGTATCCTGCCAATAATCACTAGCAAGTTCTCTTTTATTGTAGTTTTAATTAGCTTTTTGGCCTTTAAACCATAAGTCCACTTGTCAGCGACAGATTGGATTATTAGTTTTATTCTCATGAAATTTTTAGTTAAAACTCATTTTTTTATTATATGCATTATGAGATATGCATCTAGAATATTCATAAATGATTTTACTTCTCATTATTGATGAACTTTGGTCCCTGTGTCTTCATTAGTGCTTAGGTTTACCAATTTCCTTTGATTTGGAGGAGATTATTCATAATAAATGCTAAAAAATTGAATCTAGTTCATAACTGAACCAAACATATCTACTGTGATTCATTTTTTCTTACCTTTTCAGTAGCTTCTGAGAGTTTCCTATGGATTTTACAGTACAGCTGTGAAAATTAGTGTAGAGTGATGAAATCTAAAGGCACAGGCGACGGTGCAGAGATATGAAGTCCTGAGAGGCCTGTCTGAGCCAATGGTCCCAGCCTGAGCCCACTAAAGACCGGCTCTCTCTTCTTCAGTTTTCTCTGGGCTCATCTGAGTGGGGCCTCTAGAGATCCTTTGCATGATTATATGGCTAAAACGAGGTGGACTTGGCCAGCAGACCACATGAATGGGCCAACTCATTGTCTGAGAGGTAGTGTTCATTGTGCAAAACTCTAAAGCATTTCCTTTCACTTAGATCAGTTGGAACCAATCATTTCAGATGAAACTGGCCATGGCCATAAAAGTTATTGTCAAACTGCAGAATAAAAATAAATTTGCATCTCAGAATATTGTTCCTACTAAGGATCAGACAGCACCTAATATTTGACTTATCCTACTTAGTACCTGTTGGTTTTGCCGTTTTGGTTAACCTTTCTATGAGGGATGTTGGCTTCTCAGAATAGACTATGACTTTTCGTTGGTAGGAAAATGTGTAGGTATCTCAGACGACAGAACTTGGTGTTGGTAGTATTAATGCCTACATTTATTTCTTCTGCTTCTCCTTCCAAGAAAGAATGGCAATATATGTTTTCTAAAAGAGACTTGGTAAATCACAAGTAAATATGATATTAAAAATATCTCAGCACCACCACACCTGACATACAGACACACATCTCACATTTACTGGCTAACTTCAGTTTTTTCTTAGATTAAGTCCAAAATATCACTTCCTTCAACAAGAATTTATAGGTTCAAGTCTCTCTGCTCTATTTTCATAATGCATACCTAATTTCTTCTATTAAAACATTTATGACACTTTATTTCTTTTATTGCCTATATCCCTAAGTGAACCGAAATTTCTAAGAATAGGAACTATGTGTGTTTTGTTTACTGTAGTATTCTTAGCACCCAGCACAACTGACCTATGCTTTATTAGTCTGTTTTCATTGCTATAAAGGAATACCTGAGACTGGGTAATTTATAAAGAAAAGATGTTTAATTGGCTCACAGTTCTCCAGGCTGTACAAGAAGCATGGCACTGACATCTGCAGAGCTTCTGGTGAGGCCTCATGGAGCTTTTATTCATGGTGGAAGGTGAAGTGGGAGCAGGCATGTCACATGTTGATAAGGAGCAAGAGAAAGAGATGGGGGAGATCCCAGACTCTTTTAAACAACGAGATTTTGTGTGAACTCACAGAGTGAGAACTAATTCATTACCGCAAAGTCGGCACCAAGTCATTCATGAATGATCCACCACCATGGCTACCATGATCCAAACACCTCTCACTAGGCCCACTTCCAACACTGGAGGTCAAATTTTAACATGAGATTTGGCAGAAACAAAATATCCAAACCATGTCGTATGCCTTCAACAAATATGTTCTGGAAAAATACTTGTTGAAGAAATAAATATTCTCCATTTACAAATAAATCTAAGATTCTTGATATTAAATTATTAACCCATTTATGGTACTAATCTAAATGGCATTATGTCTACATTTTTTTTTTTTTTTTTGAGACAGAGCTTCACTCTGTCGCCCAGGCTGGGGTGTAGTGGTGCGATCTCGACTCACTGCAAGCTCCGCCTCCCGGGTTCAAGCAATTCTCCTGCCTCAGCCTCCCTAGTAGCTGGGACTACAGGCTCCCGCCACTGCACCCGGCTAATTTTTTGCATTTTTAGTAGAGATAGGGTTTCACTGTGTTAGCCAGGATAGTCTCAATCTCCTGACCTCGTGATCCACCTACCTTGGCCTCCCAAAGTTCTGGGATTACAGGCATGAGCCACTGTGTGCGGCCTTATGTCTACATTTTTATACATATGCACACACTTAGGCTTGTGTATATACCTAGTTTGTATATATACCTAGTTTAGTACTGTAATTCATCAAATTTAAGATAGCATTAATTATATAACACACTATTATCTTATCTACCCTTAAGAGAAAACAATCCTGCCAATTACAGTGTGACCCAATGTTTCTTTATTTTTATAAAAATAACCTCAGGTAAGTAATAACTCATTTTAAAATTTATTGAATTTAGTTTTTTTCAGTGACATTAGGAAATGCTCCAACTGAAGATTAAAACCAAATATAGGTACTTGTAAGCAATGAGGTAATTTAAAAAATTTAAGCCCAAGTAATTTTAAACCTTGTTGTGTATCCGTTACTAATTAAAGTATATAAGAAAATAATTTTTCCTACAATGAGTTTTAGAAAAGTTGCAATGCATTTTTTGCCTTCTCCATGAGTATACAAGAACAATATAGTTACCATTTCAAATATATCCATTTTCTTATTTCATGATGAAAACCTTGACCTTTTGTATTTCTGAGATCCAATCTAATTTTGTACTTTAATTGTATATTGTGAAGTGTTCCCTTCTGTTTCCTGGTTGCATTAATTCATTTGCATTGTTATAAAGAAATAGCTAACACTGGGTAATTTACGAAGAAAACAGGTTTATTTTGGCTCATGGTTCTGCAGGCAGTACAGGAAGCATGGTGCTGGCAGCTGCTCCTGGTGGGGGCCTTAGGGAACTTTCAATCATGGCAGAAGGTGAAGGGGAGCCAGCATGTCACATGGTGAGGGAGGGAGCAAGAAAGCGGAGGAGGTGCCAGACTCATTTAAACAACCAGCTCTCATGTGAACTGAATGAGAACTCACTTATTACTATGGGAATTCACCATGCCACTTATGATCCACTCCCATGACCAAAACACCTCCAATTAGGCTCTACCTCCAGTGCTGAAGATCACATTTCAACATGTGATTTGGAGGGGACAAATATCCTAACCATATCACTGGTATTTCCCAAAAGAAATGCAAAGTGGTGCTAAGTATTTTCCTCTAATTATATTCACAAAACTCTTAAAAGAGGAATTTTGGTTTTGGGGGAGAGAATCAAATGCCTAGAATGCCTTGGGTGGCCATTGGCAGGAGACATGAAAATATGAAAGTGGAGAGGAAGAGGGAGAAGGAGAGGGAGAATGAAGAGAGAGGGGCAAAAGAAAGACAAAGAAAAGGAACAGAAAATAAAGACCATTAAGTGTTGGCTTCTTTTATCTTCCCTCACACAAAGATATTTCCAACGCAGCAGTCGTGTAATATAATGAAAGTCCAGGCATAGTTCAGAATTTTAAAGTATTGTACAAAAATATATTGTTATGAAATCCATGTTTTGGGTATTGCAACAGAGTTCTTCTTTTATTGCTTTCATAAAGCTTCTTCTTGATCGAGCACATGGTTTGCTGCAGTTACTCATTCTCAGAAAAGTCTTTTCTGCATTTGGATCCCAGGTTTCCTTTCTACTTGATGAGCAACTTACTATCTCCATTTTGGGTATCTATTTAGGCATCTCAAACTTACCCGATGCCTTATTTCTACTCTCCCCCTCAGCAACCTGCTTGTCCTGCCATCTTACCTATCCAGTGAATGGAAACTCCACGCTTAGACGAAAATGCTGGGTAGTCCTTGACTCCTCTGGCTCATTTCACATCCAATCTACAAACAGATCTTGATTGCTCTATCTTACAAATATATCCAGAACCTGTCCACTTTTTACCACCTCCGGTGACATCAGCGAAATCCAAGTTTACCTGGGCCACTGGCCCCAGGAGGTCTCCTGATTTCCACACTTGCCTCCATACCACCTGCTCTCTCTCTCTCTCTCTTTTTTTTTTCCAGACGAGAGTCTCGCTCTGTCGCCCAGGCTGGAGTGCAGTGGCGTGATCTTGGATCACTCCGCCTCCTGGGCTCAAGCAATTCTCCCACCTCAGCCTCCCAAATAGCTGGGATTACAGGTGCCACCACTGCGCCCAGCTACATACAGACGCCCTCAACACCTAAGTCAGGTTGTGTTACTCCTCGGCTCAGAAAGAGCCTCCAATGGTTCCCTTCTCACTGACAGTGATTACAAGACTCCTCATGGTCTGGCCCCGTTACATCTTTGATCTCTTCTGCCGTTCTCTCCCTCACTCACTGCTCATGTCCTACTGGTTCCCTTGCTGCTCCTTGAAGAAGCTCAGGACTCAGTGAGATCTTCTCTGGCTACTCTTTTTAATTTTTGCAATAACACCTAGTATTCTCTAGCCCTGTTTTCTGCAGAAGTATATAGTTAAATTATTTATTTTGTTTATGTCTGTCTTCCCCAACTAGAATATAAATTTCACAAGGGCAAGGATTTTGTCTGTTTTGTTCACATAGCAATACTGGGCACACAGTGGGCATTCAATGTTATCACTGCTTCCTCTGTGCTAGGCATTGTGCTAGCCATAGAGAGCTGAGGGTGGCAAGATGAGAAAGGGAAGGGGGTCATATGAGCAGATGACAGTATTTTACAGAGAAGCTGACGTTTGAGCCAAGTGCGAATTTGTTAGGAGGAAAGACAATGCACTCCACTTAGAGGAAGCCATGCCTCTAAAAGCATGAAAGTATAAAAACAACTCCAATTCAGAACGCACTGTTCATTCATTCATTGATTTATAGCATCTGCTATGTTTTGGTCACTACCCTAGGCATTGGGGGAAAGGAATAAAGAAGAGCAACAAAAAGTCTCTGCCCTAAAGAAGCTTTTGAGCAGCACTTAAACAAGGAAGAAAATACATAATGCCATTTTGTGATAAGGTCTATGAAAGAAATAAGCAGTGTGACATTAACAGCCACAAGCACATGAAGTGTGAGAGTTACATTAAACAGGTGGTCAAAGAAGGTGTCTTTGTGGCAGTGATCTCTGACCTAAGACCTGAAGGAGAAGACACCAGCCACACAAAGATGCAGGGGGTGCGGTCTGGGTAAGAGGACAGTAAGTACAGAGTCCCCGAGGAATCCAGATGGAGGCCAATGAGACTCCAGTCCAGTGGGTGGTGAGTGGGTAAGACAACGTTACACAGGTACACTGGGCCAGATCCTGGAGAATTGTACAGATCATGAGTAGTAGACCGTGTTATGCTATCCGGTCCAACTCCAGCGCACCACTTTTTGGAAAGGAGCACTCCTTTTCCCAGCTGCCAAGAGTGTGGGCAATGCCAGTTTGAAGCTGAAGTCCCACTGGGAATTGCCCTTGGCTGAAGAGAGCCTGGTGGTGGTCCAAGGTCACACTTGTTTTCCATAGGGCAGCCCAGGAATGACTGGCAATGCTAACATACAAAGGCTGGGCTCCTTTTGATTCAATTAAGGATGACGCTGCATAGTCATGCAGGTTCCAAAGCTCTGTGGGACTGGTGGCAGCTTTTGCTGCAACTGTTTCCTTCTCTGTCCAATCCTGCCTCCTTCATGTCCTCCACAGGAGTTGACCCTGAGAGTACTCACCGATTAACCTCCTATATACTGACCTTCATCTCAGGATCTGCTTCTTGGAAAAACTGAACTGCAACGCCATGGTTTATGTTTTACGTACAAACTGAGTCCGCATAAAGCTTTATACAGAAGGGTGACATCTGATTTGCAATTTAGGAGGAGGACTCTGGTTCCTGATTGAAGAATGGATTATAATTGGGCAAGGGTGGAGGCCCTCCTATAACTTTCAAAAGCTGTGATGGGTTCAAGGGGAGATATGTTTATTCCACTTTGAGCTGTTTCTCAGGATATTACGTGCTGTGATGGATATGCTGGCTGGAAGAACATGCAAATCCAGCCCTAACACTGCAGAAAAGATTGTTCCAAAGCAGAAGACTATGCTTTTACTGATCGGTCCGGGCAGGACTATGGATGTCTTAGATGAACTGCTCTCCAAGACTAGATAAGTGGATGTTGGAGAATGTTCTAATATTGGGCCACTGTTTTTTGCTTTTTGGGTTTCTTTTTTTTTTTTTTTGAGATGGAGTTTCACTGTTTAGCCCAAGCTGGAGCGCAATGATGTGATCTTGGCTCACTGCCACCTCCATCTCCTAGGTTCAAGCAATTCTCCTGCCTCAGCCTCACAAGTAGCTGGGATTACAAACATATGCCACCATGCCCAGCTAATTTTGTATTTTTTTAGTAGAGACAGGGTTTCTGACCATGTTGGCCAGGCTGGTCTTGAACTCCTGACCTCAGGTGATCTATCCACCTTAGGCCTCCCAAAATGCTGGGATGACAGGCGTAAGCCGTTCGCCCAGACTGTTTTAGTGTTATTGTTGTATTGGGTCTGGGGGAAACCATAAAAGTGGTTGATAAGGGTGGACATTCACACTACTAATCATATGTGAAAGGAAGCGATTTCTGGATAAGGAAATGGGGCCCTCCATAGCAGGTCTAAGACCAAGGAAGTGAGTTGGGCTTCCTCAAGGCAATTCACAATCCAGAGGGTTGCAGCCAGCCTGAGGTCAAACTAACCCAATTTTCCTCCTATCCTCTGAAGCCGTAGGGAAAGAAGGCCCTGACCCATGCAGTCAAGAGAGGTCAACATCCTAAGCAGAGAACAAAGGTGGAAAAGGGTGGAGGGTGAATGTGGAGAGGCCAGTGATGGATATGTGGCATGCAGATGAAAGTTCGTCTGTGTTGAAATTCTTGTTTCTCATAGATGACGGGTTGATGGGTGCAGCAAACCACCATGGCACGTGTATACCTATGGAACAAACCTGCATATTCTGCATGTGTACCCCAGAACTTAAAGTATAATAAAAATATTTTTAAAAAAGAAATTCATGTTTCTCGAACTTTAACATGCATACAAATTACCTGAATGTTTTGTTAAAATGCACACTGTTTAGGAAGACTGGAATGGGACCTGAGATTTCGAATTGCTCTCCAACTCCCAGGTGATGCTGAGGCTGCTGTGCATGAACTACATTTGGAGCTGCAAGGTTACTATTCCCCCCTGTTATCTCAGGACCTTAAATGAAGTGTTGTCAAAAGTTACAGCCTGGTTTCAGCTGTGTCAAGGAAATATCTCTTATACACCAGACACGCAAGGAACAGGGAGGGAGTGCATCCCACTTTTCCCTTCCCTCCTCAACCAAGAGTGGCATGGAAATAGCAGCATTCGCCATAGGCAGGTCAGCAGTTCTAGAGGAGTAAATGGCAACTGGCAGTTGGCCTAAGTGGCCAGTGGACGGAGTGGAGATTGATGGCCTGAGCCCATGGAAGCAGAGATTAACTGACTCAGGAAAGCACATGAAATACCACCACCTTTGAGGATTCCTGGGGAAGGGGACTGTGGCCCAGCTAATTTGATAAATGGAGTCTTGAAGTTGCTGTAAATAATAGGAAAATGACTTTCCTTATTTATGTTTGCAGGCTAGGGAAAACTGGACTTACAGGGAATGAATCAAGTTGGATAGTTGAAGCTCAAAAACCACTGCAGAATACCTTTGTGCTTAGCTTTGTGGCTGCTTCATTGTGAACAGCTGCCTTTCACAGTTGTTTGTATTTAGTCTATGATATTGAGAACAGACAATCCTAAATGGGAGAGGACTGTCTAGTAGAATCCTATGGATCCATGAATGAAAAAGGTGCAAAAATACGTTTTTGACTGCATGCAGGGCACCTCAGCTTTTGCTACATGGTATTCTTACAAAAGTAATTGAAAGCAGAGGAATGGTAAGGAATGAATCATCTTTTCATCTCCTGCTATGGAGTAACCAGTACTTACATTCTTTTTCCAACCGCTGGTGTTCCTGAATTGGTAAGGTAAAATGTTAACAAGTTGACTTTGAGACGGATGAATCAGCAGGGAAACTGTTGAATGAGTGAATCAATGAAGTGAAAAGTGAAATAGGGGTTTGTCAGCACCATCCAGGCAGCAGATGGATGGAATTTAAGAGGGGATGGCAGTGAGGACTGCCTGCACATTTTTCTTCTTCTCAGTATTAATAATTGAGAGTAGCTTAATCATCAAGTTCCCTCTCCAAGAGCTACATAAAGTGGGGAGTCCTTTTTAACTTTCTCATCTGTAGAAACAATGATTTTAATCAAAGTATTCAGAGTTAAATTCTGTAAGCCCTAAGCCCTGGACAGTGATGAAGGCCGTGGTCTATCAGGGAAGGTAGGAGTTGGCTGGATTAAGGGTAGGGAATTCTACATGAAAGGTACAAATGTGACTACAAATGTTACTACTAATCGCAAATGCTTACACAGCATTTGTTATGTGCCAAGCACTCTTCTAAGGGCTGTACATGAGAAAACCCAGAGTCAAAGCCACATCCTGCCAGGAGCTTTGAAGGTCCCCAAATGCAAAGGCGGCAGGGGTGAAGAATGGGAAAACTTGATTTACAGTATTTTTATTTTCTTTTCTGCATATTCTGGCAACCTACCCCACTAATCACATAGCGGTTAAATTGAAAACAAATGAGTTTATGTAGTCCAAATTCAGTAAAGGTAGATTACAAAAGGAAGAAGGGAAAAGTTTTTATTTCTTTTGTGGAGCTTGGTGACAAATTCTTTTGAGGCTTACACTACCTTCATGACAAGGTCTGATATGATCCTCTCTATTCTACAATTGCCTCCACTCCCTCTCCCTTCCCCTCTACCAGTTTCTTCAAGGACAGCTGAAATCTAGGAATGAACATGTTGATACACCTAATCCTGGGCCCTCATGGAAATATTCATTAAGAATAACCTTACCCTTTGCCAACTGCTAGATAAACCAGTTTCATCAGATGATGCACACTGGAGCCAGATAACTTCTAAAGACCCTTGCAAATCTGTTTCAGAATGCGTGACCTATCCAATCCTTCCTCTCATGGAAACACCAACTCATCCATGCCCTCTGTGCTGAAACTTCGTCTCAGCCTGCTGGAATCACCTGCACCCCATGGGAACTGTAGCCATATCTTCAGTCCTGTGAGCCCCCGTCATGGCCTGTCACAGGAGTAAATGAGGAGTAAGGTGAGAGAGGGCACTAAAGAGAGGATAACTAATCAATCAATCATCAATTTCGACCAAGCCTCTCCAGTTGTGCTTGGCTCCTCTGAGGTTAGGAGACATGAGGAAGGTGAATTTTCAGTTTCCATTTTGATTATTTTAGAAAATACTGAGCAAAACGGCAAGCACATCCTGGTGACCTTTGGGAGCTCTTTCTACATGGAGGGGCACAGGGGCAGCAGTGTTTGAGGACTGTTAGGTGGAACCTACAATTCTGCCTTCGTCCGCCTACATCTGATCTATATATTTAGTAACGATTCTGAGTCAGGAAGTTAGGAAAGTTTTCATGCACTTCATTTGTATCTGTATTTGGCTAAGTTTGTGAGTTGCTATGAGGAAATAAACAAACAAAAGCAGCTCTCCCTCTCCTCCGCCCCCACGCGCCACTCCATGCAGGACAAGGGCTCCAGGCTGATGACGGTGGCTCCGTTTCCCTGACTTACTTCATCCTCTCCTACAGCTCTTTCTGCTTGGAAGCTCAGGGGCTGAGCAGAGGCCCCAGGGCTGTGTCACTATGGAGAAGAAGGCTGCGAGATCGCAGTGTGAGCACTGACTCCCTGTCCCCACACCCCGGCTGCCTTGTTCTTCACCCCTGCCTGCAGCCTTAGCCCTGCTCCAGACTGTGGGACCAGACCTGTCCCTTGTTGGGAAACTGAGGAGTCCAGCAGCATTGGTTACACACTGATGAGCTGCCCTGCTCTGACCTCGTGCTCCAGTTCTGGTAACTGGGCTTCTGCTTTGACCTATGATCCCACTGGGTAGTGTTTTGTCACCCTGACTTGTGTCCCTGCCCTGAGTTTCAGTTTGTCTAAGCCTGAGGTCATTCCTCTGAACTTTAGCTCCTTAGCTAAACTCTGCTCACACCTGTCCCCTATTTTGACCATCCACTGGGCAGCCTGTTTAATGCTTTGTGTTCTGTTTTCTCCTTGGTGCTCAGCTGCTGGTACATCATGGCTCCACTTCCCTGAGGCTAACTCTCCTCAGATTTTGACCCCTGGGATCTACCCTGATTATTTGGTAACTGTACCTCTATTTTACTTAGGATTCTCCACTTAGGGATTTACTTAGGGTTACCACTGAATGGTAGAGCTTCAAGCCTGCTATTCCTATACGCCACTACTTACCTTGCCTTTGGAGATTTCTTTAAAAAAAAAAAATTGACTGCCGCTGCTATGTATTAATTGAGATTCATTTGATTAAAGGGGGAGAAACAGACTTTGTCCAGTTTAAGTAAAAAGAAAAATGTATTGAGAAGATCTGAGTTTAAAAACCAAACCTCAGCAGGGTAAGAAGTAGGGAGGCTCCAGAGACCTTAACTGTGGGAATATCTGGACTTTCCCTTTAGGATGCTCTGTGGCTCAGCTCCAGGACCCTCAGGTGCCGGTCCTCTGAACACAAATCTCCACATTTCCAGGAAAGACAATATGATTAGCCCGGCTTCATTTAGGCATTCAGCCCTGAAGAAAGTAGCCCTGGCTCATGTCACCAAGTAAAGACACGACCTCTGGAACTCACCTCACTGAATCGGGGCAAGTCCCTGGGAAGGGGCCAGGGATGTGAACTGAGAAGTTCACTCCAAGAGTCACACCAGGCATGATCATGCTGGCCTCAGATGACACGCCTCTCCTAGCATGCACCCCCAGCATGACCTTAGTTCCTCCAGCACAGCTGAAGCATTTTTAAAGGCTCTCACAGAAGGCTAGATTTTTAACAAAAACATCGAATAAAAGAGGAACATAAAATGAGAAATACACTTTGTAAAGTAAGATGCGTTAGTCTTCAGCTTGAGATATCTTACCGGATGCCTTCTTGTCTTCTTCAGGGCTGGGTTTGTGTGTCCAAAGCCATCTTTAAGCTTTGCTCCCAAGCCAACTGAGCCAACTCAAAGTTCAGAGGGAGAGAGAAAGGCTAGGAATTCTGTCCTATCTGGCTAAGGCCTGCCTTCAGAGTGCCGTTTTCCCACCTCCTCCTCAGATAAGTGTGACACTGGGACTAGCCTCTCTTTTCAGGAGTAAACCTCTTCCCTTTCTACAGGAGTATGGTCTGGCCTGATGTTTAAAAAAAAAAATACTCTATCAGGGCCGCTTGGGCGCAGCTCACATCTATAATCACAGCACTCTGGGAGGATGAGGCGGGAAGATTGCTTGAGCCCAGGAGTTTGAGACCAGTCTGGGCAACATATGGAGCTCCTGTCTCTATAAAAATAAAAAAAAAATTAGCTAGGTGTAGTGGCATGTGCCTGTAGTCCTGGCTACTTGGGAGGCTAAGGTGGGAGGATTGTGTGAGCCCAGGAGATCAAGGCTGCAGTGAGCTATGATTGCACCATTCCATTCCGGCCTGGATGACAGAGTGAGACTCTGTCTCTGAAAAATAAAAATAAAAACTAAAGCTCCATGCAGCCAATGAAAACATATATATATGTATATATACAGAGAGAGAGAGAAAGAGAGAGAGAGAATCTATCAGAGCACTACCTAGTAAGCCCAACCTAGTAGTCCCGCTATTTATCCACAGGATAGTCACATCTAGTAGCAGGAGATTGATTTATTCTATCACCCAAATGCTAGGACATCTGTGATTTTGGTCCCGGTCATCTCACTGTGGCTTACTGCCATGACTACTGTGTTATAATCTGATTCAGAGTCAACATACACTGACTGTATGTGGGTGATCTGCCAGGCTCCATGGGTAAACATTTATACCTGTGTTATTTAATTCATTATTTAACACAAGTCACATAAGATTCTCTTGGAGAAAGTGTGGTAGCCAAATCTGTTTGGTTAACACTGACTCATCTGCCTTTCTTTTGCAGGCCCAGAATACTCAGTACCTCTCAATGACCCTCAGACGCTGTAGGAAGAGGATTGGTTCACCTTTTAACCCAGAATTTCTCACATTGAATGGTTAGTGTAATCCTTTTCTGTCTAGTCATATTTTTGCTGAACTAGCTTTCAATGGAACACTTTTAAGGAAATGAGAATTTAATTTAATGTTGCCAGCATTTCTGTGAAGAAGGTGCCATTAGTCTCATTTCACAGATGGGAAGACAGAGCCCCACCTCAGAGTCCTCGTACAGCTTGGCCAAGTTCATTGCGTGGCTCTGTGGAGCTCTGATCTGGGTCCTCTGAGTCCAAATCTATGCTTTTTCTGCTGTGCCTGGATCTCCACAGGCTTTGAGACTTGCCAAATTCTGCTGTGTGCCAGATCTGGATGCTGATTATGTTTCATGCTTTTGTTTCACTATGAAACCCTAGGTTTGGGTTGCAAATCCCTAACCAGCCAGAGAGAAAGCACTAAAAGGTGACCTCCCTGGGTAACTTCCAAGGCCACATGCAAACTCCTCTCCTGTTTCCTCTCCTGCTGCCGGCTCCACACACCTCCAGTTATCTCCATTCTTCATTCTAACTTGGCAGGCGATGCACTACACTAGGCCTGTTTCTAACATGGTACCCCACGCCTCCTGGTACCCCACAACATGTGTCATCTTCCTCTCTCCTTGAGTGTTGACTAGACCAAGTGACTCACTTCTAACTAACAGACTATGGCAAACGTGATGGGCTGTCCCCTCCAAGGTTAGATTAGGTACTTGTCAGCGTCTTCCAGAGAAACAGAGCATGTAATGTACAGCATGCAATTATAGAGGTCAGTAAGTCTCAAGATCCCCAAGATCTGCAGGTGGAGTCTACAAGCTGGAGACCCAGAAGCTGATGGTGTAGCTTTCATCCAAACGCTGGCAGGCTCGAGACCCAGGAACAGCCAGTGTTTCCGTGTGAGACCAAAAGAAGGAAACAGCTGATATCCCAGTTCAAAGGCAGTCAGGCAGGAGGAGTTCCTTCTTGGTCGAGTGAGGGTCAGTCCTTTTCTTCTATTCAGGTTTTCAACTGACTGGATGAGGTCCACCCATGTTGAGGAGAGCAATCTGCTCTACTCAGCCTACCAATTTAAATGTTCATTTCATCCTCACAAAGACACCCAGCATAATGCTTAACCAAATATCTGGGTGGCCAAGTAAGCTGACACACAAAATTAGCCATCACAGGTTTCAAAAATCTTCCGTGACTTCTTCTGTCTTGGTCGCACTCTCTCTGGTCCTCTCTGCTTTCTTGCTCTGCTGAAGCAAGCTGCCAGGTTGTGGGCTGTCCTATAGAAAGCCCCACATAGCAAGGAACTGAGGTAGCTTCCAGCCAACAGCCAGCAAGGAGCAGAGACCCTGAGTCCAACAGCTGGTGAGGAACTTCGTCCTGCTGATAGCCATGTGAGTGAGTTTGGAGGCGAGTTCTTACCTGTCTGTTGAGCCTTGAGATGACTGTGACCCTGGTTGACATCTTAATTATAACCTGTTGGATCCTAAAGCAGGGAACCCAGCTAAGCCATGTCTGGATTCCTGGTCTATAGAAACCATGAAATAATAAATGTTATTTTAACACATTTCATTTTGGGGTGATTCTTTTTTCAGCTCTAGATAACTAACACATCTCCAAACTTTTACTAGAAGGGATACCCTCATAGCTGAACAAATTCTACCTATGACATTTAGACAGTACAGTTTAGGGAAGAATACTTACTGAAAAAAATGAGACAAATTCAGAGGAAACTGAAACACAACTTTTCGGAATATTCCGTATCAGCTATCTTGCAATGTGCCCTTTCTTTCTCCACCCACCACTTCCCCAGAGTCATGGTACCTTTTGCTTGTGCCCTGCCCAATCCCACACAGCATAAATCAGTCAGCATCAGACCAACATATCTAGAGACACACTCTATGATTCTTTGTCAGAAATGAGGTGATAATTGATTTGTTTCTGTCTTCAAGGACTATAATAGGTGAAGTGAATGTGACTTTTTTGTTCCCTTTGGGAATCTTGACTACAAAATTATATTTTTCTGCATCACACAAAGGAGCAAAGCATATGCTTGGTGCTATGGACACCTAGTTTTTCATGGAACCCGTACCCAAATGTCCTGGAGCCTCCGTTTCTTTGTTTCTTCATTTTTCAGCTGTAAATTGAAGTAATGAGTCCTCATAGGATTTATGGGAGTATGAGATACTATATCAAAAGGATTACCTGAAATTACATGTATAGCAAAGGGCTTGTGCATAGTAATTCATTTAAAAAAGAAAGTTCTGGCCAGGTGCAGTGGCTCACTCCTATAATCCCAGCACTTTGAGAAGCCAAGGCAGGAGGATCCCTTGAGTTTAGGAGTTCTAGGTTACTATGAGCTATGATCATGCCACCGCACTCCAGCATGGATGACAGAGCAAGACCTTATCTCTTAAAAAAATTAAAAAGTAGCACAATAGCAGAGAATGTCTACCTTAATCTTTAGATACAAAAATAAAAATATTGTAGTTTAAAAACTTGCTGGTAAAAAAAATTGATGGCCAAAGTCAATGATTTGCTCTAAGTAATTAGAGTTAGAATGATTGCATTACTTATAAAAGTGAAGTCAAAGATCAAGCAACAAATATAGTAGAGAACAGCGGGTCAGCCAGTCGTAGAGCTGGGCTAAACCTCAGGTCCAAAGACCTGCGTGGCTTAAGCAGTTCTCTAAAACTGGATTATAGCATTTTAGTTTCTGCCTGGGGCACTCCTTGTTCAATGGGTCAAACATTGCTTTGCAAGCAAATTTCCTTTGCCAGTTAAGTGTAAGCTCAGGCCCCTGTCCATATAATGCAAAAGGTTGAGGCCTCGGGCACTATTTGTGAATGAGTATTTTATTTAGGTCTATTTATCCATTGTTATTGTAGCACATCGATATAGCTGGGCTGTTTTTAAACCTGAGATATTGGGATGCCCATTTAGGGAAAGAATGTGCACAAGATACAATAATGTGGAGCATCTGCCATGTGCCAGGCACTAGAGGACACACACACCATATTGAGACTTCCTATGGTTGCAATGCAAAGTATCTAGGATCCCCATGGTTATTGCACACTGTAGGGTCCAGCATCTGAGTGCCTCTGCTGTAAAAAGCAGATTTGTCATTTTTTGCACTCTCCACTTCCAGGTCGTTGTTGTTGCCATGTTAGGGGTCCCCTTCATCTGCTCACAAGTTCTAAGAAGCGGACAAAGCCTACAGACACTGAGGAGGGGAGGAGGTGCTTCCAGGGGAAGGAAGGCCAAATAGTTGACTATGAAAAGTCCTCACAAGGTTGTTTAAGCTTAATTCTTGCAAGCACAAAAATAAAATACGAGGATATATAGAAAAGATCAGACTTGCAGAGACATTTGCATAATTAAATTTGCATGCAACTAATAGAAAAACAGACTACTATTTTATTAACTTACAGGACAGGATGCATTCCAAGAGGCCAGAGTATGTGCATCTCAGCTCCTGATGGTTTCCACCACCACCATTACTTTCTCTATGTCAAGATACCTGGGAAGCCGGGTGAGTATACCTAAGCTTCCTTGGTAAGTAAACTATCTGGAGTAAGATTTCATCCAGACCATGGGGAGACCTTATGAAATACTCTTGCCTTTCAGCTGAGTATACCTCTCTAGGCCAAGCATGCCTCAGTGCCCTGACTCAGAATTTCTGTTTTTTGGGTGTACTGGCCTCCTGGTCAGTTAACAATATTGCATGCAGATTTTTGTATGAGTTTTGTACATATGTCTTCATATATATCTTTGTATGTCCAACTTAGTTGGACACACATTGCTAAGTTTGCTTCTTAGCACCTGGGTTTTCTATGTTGCCATTGCCTTTTTGTTGGCACATTCTTTCTTTAGAAGGATTAGCTATAGTGGTGTCTACTCACAGTAGATAGTAACTTAAATAGTTTAAGAAGGTGCATGAAAGGAGTCAAGCTGAATCATTACAGATTTCATGGTGATGGTGGGAAGAAGAGAAGAGGAGGTGCAGCCTTTTGGGGGAAGTACTTATTGTTAGAAACAGAAAGATGAGAAAGAGATTTTGCTGAGAAAGAGTTCTCAGGAAACAGAACTCTTTTATAAGGAAGTGCCCCAGAATTTGCAGGGCTTTTCTCCCTCAGTAGGGAGGCAAAGAGTAGGCAAAGAGTAGCAGCCTGTTCTTTGCCACTGCCCTTCTGATGTCTCCTGGATCAATATGGAGTTGCAATTCTCTCTAGGGGAGAATGCCACACACCAGTGGCATTATGAATAAACATCAAGATGACAGCAATTACATGGGAGTGGGCAAGAAGAAAAGGGGCCTTTGTTCCGTTTTCTTGAGTGACATAATCCTTGAGGCTTATGATGTGTAGATATGGCTGAGGGAGTATAGGCAAAAGTAGAGAAGGGTTGTATGGAAAAATGATTGTAGCTGGATTCTCCACCAACTGGCACGTGTGGGGTGAGCCAATTATATATTAATTTAGAAAATGAAGGCATGTGATATTTCTTGTACCTGAGTGCCAAGGAGATTTCTTCTGAGGATCTTTGCTGTTAATGCCCAAGACCCACTTGGGTCAAGGCAGAAGGTTTGTGTACAGCTGTGCCTATTTACTAGACCACTGTCTACTAGGACTGTATGTTAGCTCTTTAAGCTCTCTTCCCCTTCCCACCAGCTCATCTCCAACATGTGCTAGATCATGTCCCATTGCATTCCCCTAGCTTTAAGGGAAAAGGAAAAAGCCAGTAGATACTACCTATGGAATGCCCACTGGGTTTTCTTTAAGGCAGTAGTTCTTAACTCTGGCTGCAAGTTAGAATCACCTGGGAAAATTTTGGAAAAAATGATTATGCTCAGGCCCAACCTGTAGCCAATGAATCAGAATCTCCAGGGGTGGAACCCAAGTGTGAGAGTTTTTTGAAAGTTCACTATGTAATTTTAACACATAGCCAGTGAGAGTGGCTGATCTGGGGCCCCAAAGTAGACCACAGTAATGTAATTCAGAACTGGAGGCTTTGCTAGGATAGTTAAATATCACTAAGCTGAGAAACAGACTCTCTTTTAAAGTCTTGATATTATAATAACATTCTAAGAACATGATGCATGGAGACAGTCGCTTGACCCTTTAGAGGAAAGGCCAGCCAATGAGTGAAGGGCATGAGTGTGGCTTTGACAAGGGAAAGTACTGGAAGTTTGGGGCCTTTTGGAATATGCTTACTGCTTGAGATAATGCCTGAAGGTTGAGACTGATATGAATTATTTAGACCTTTAGAGAGATTCTTTACGATGGAATCAATTTTACTTATCTTTTCTTTGCATAGTCAGACTGAAATGGTCAAACCTCTGGAGTGAAACTGACTTTACCAACAGCAGCAAAGAGAAAGTTCTGATGTTCACTACCGTGTTGCTGATAAAACCTAAAATTGATTGAGATGCCCCTTGGGAGGTCTCAAGGGAACTTAAATCCTGTTGCTATAAAGTGTTATAATAATCTCCTTTGTATGTTATATTCATGAGATGTGTGATATGCATTTAATGAGAACTCAGACAAGAGGGTAGAAGCTTGGTCTCTTTAAAGCAACGTAGAATAAAACTCAGAGGTTGTATTGCAAGTTCACATTTTATTTTTTTCTCGGGAGGTTTTGGCTTTCTGGCACAAAGAAGTGTCAGGTCTAAGAGGTTATCTGTTTTTAGTGTGACTGAAGTGACCGTATGTCCTGATTTGCCCCAAAGGGTTTCAGTTTACACCTGTTGTCTTAATTGTCAATAGCCCACCTTTTCATTTTCTAAAGTGTCCTGGTTTAGATGATAAATGACATGGTCACCTTTGTCATCCTATAGTGTACCTCTGGACTGGGAAGAAGAGACCTGTGTTCTAGTACTATTTCTTCCACTAACTAGCTCTGTGCTCAGTAAATTAATTTTCCTCGTAGGGATTTAGGTTCCTTCTCAGTCAACAAAGGGCTATTTAACCCAGGGATCCAGGGACTAGCCTCCTGGCCAGTGAACAACATTGCATGTTTTTGTATGAATTTTGTATATATGTCTTCATATATATCTTTGTATGTATATTTTTTTTCTGGGGAGAGTTTCTGTAGCTGTCATCATATTTTTCAAAGGGTTTTATGATCCCCAAATGGTAAGGAACCACATTGGATGAACTCTGCAGACTTATTAATCTCCAGAATTCTGTGCTTGTGTGGTTATGATGCTTTTAAAATAGAACTTGGGAGTCAGTTAAAATATTGTCTGAGAATATCTCCACAGTGAGAACTGTACCATAATTGATTTTCCCTGTACCAAACAAATAAATGGAATCTTATTTTTAGAGACAGGCAGCCCACGCACTGCAGTGATGAAAGGACTCTCCAACGAGGCAGACAGGAACCCTGCAGTTGGGAATACAGAGCCTTCTCCTATGGGAAGACCACAGGAAAAAGAAACACCCAAGGGGGAGGCATGAGTCTTTGTGAAGTAAGGATGATTTACAAGGCAACCAAAGAAATGTCTTGGCTTTCTTATCTAAGGCTGATAGAAAAGAGAATGGAAGATAAGTAATTAAGGAAGTAATTATACTATAGACCAAAAGAAGGGACAGGGAGCTAGGAGTCTGCGGATGTTTTCCGTTCTGCCATTAAACTAGAGCATGACCTTGGGCAGATTAGTTTCCTCCGCTGCAAAACCAGGATCAAACTCTGTGATTATTTAATTGTCATGACTCAAATCTCTGTACTTGCTCATTTCAGCTCATTTCCCCCCTTTCAGTGACCTTGATGAAATTTTCCTGTGCCTCTTTTTAGTTTTTCAGAATCAATTCACTTGCCTAAGTCCTGCTATACTGCATTTTTTCATAAAGGATGCCTCACTGAGAACATTTTATATTTTAAGCACACCTATTTATTGTAGAGAGAAAATCTGCTTTGAAATTATGGCCAGAACTTTACTAGTGCGTTCTTTTGAAGAATGTAGCACTTGAGCAAGAAAACCTAGAGGTCGTTTTTTGGTTTAGAGTGACCACTGAAACAATGATGAAAATAGCTATAAACAGTTCAAAAAGTGATTTGAGTAAAATTGTTCAGAGGATCAGACTGGAGCCTGGGAAGTCCTAGAGTCCTAGCCCTGATGGTAACAGGAAACGTTTGGTACTAACACAAAATTCCGTTCGAATTTTTCATCAAGTAACTCATGGGTGATGATGAAGAATTTTCTGTTTACCTTGTTTGCATTGTTGAACGACTCTCATTTACAATTTCTGCTCTAATATTTAGATTCAGGGACAACTCAAAGCACAACAGTAATAATTGTTTGTCAGGCAGCATTATCCAGTAGACTGGCTCAGTGGTCTCTGGAGTGAGGTGTGAGCACCTCAGGGGAGGTGCAAGATGATCCATTGGATCATGGGGAAAATGTTAAACCCTTATTTAAACTTCTATTAGGTGTACTATCAAGCATGTTTAGGGGATCCCCAGGCTAAGCCATTGTTTATTCTTTGTGAGGTGTTTGTCTTGGGAGATATATACATACAATGTGGTGTTGCTATAATGAGTGCTGAGATTTCAACCCTATAAGAGCCATGGGCTCTGGAGAACTGTGAACTGGGACATTTCTAATGTGATGAGGATTGACAGGTTGTGTCTGATACCATGTGCTAACAGCCTGAAGATATTGAGAAAAAGGACTACACAAAATGAATGACCAATGGACAGTGGATTTGATACACGGTCCCTTGATAGTGACTTTTGAGGTGAAAGTCACACAGTTCAGCTATCTGAGGATTCTGGCAGGCATCACTATAATCACCACCCCCTACCCCTAAAAGGACTCGTATTTTTCCTTGTCTGTTTTCTTTTATCAAGTGGCAGGTAAAACAAAATCTCAAGTTGATTATAGCTCTAGTATCACTTATGTCAATGTCATTCAAAATAATAAAGAATGAGGGGGAGAAATGGACAAACTCTTATGAGGAAAAAAATGGAATCCAATAAAAAGGTAGTATCCAAGGTAAGTTTTAATGCTTGGCTGAGGCTAGTGGCTTCGTTAGAATAACGTGGGAAAATTTTTAAAAATTCTAATGCCTGAAACCCACCCCCAGAGATTTCCACCAGAGATTCCTGTCTTAATTGTCTGGAGTGGAGCCTGGCATCAACTTAACCTCCCATGTTTTGCTGGTTTGAAGACCTGCAAGGAATGTCCTGCCGTCAGTTAATTTCTGTAATAAACATTAAACATGCTGGCTCTCTTTCTCTCAGACTCTTAGGAGGAGCCATACTTTTCCCAACCCATTAAATATTCATGGCCTTGAGAACTGATAAAAGTAGGAGCTGGTACCTATATAACGTAAAAGCTACCATTAGAGAAAGTAAGAAACTTGGCATTTGATAGAAGAAATATTGGTCGTTCTATCATAAATTATTTACTCTCATGCTGTTCCTTTAAAGACATACTTCCTGATTTAAAATTCCTCTCTCCCTTTTTCATATTCAAGTGTGGACATTAACTTCTTCCTTGTCTATCTGGTGGTGCAACTCAGTAAAGAAAAATGTTGAAAAATCGTGTAATGTTAAAAGAACTCTAGGAAGAAAAAAAAAAAAGAATTGGTTACCTCAATTCGTTCACCATTTTTTCAAGGGAAATGAATATTCGGATTTCCCTTTTAAGTTATTAGTTGCTTTGGGGATGATATATCTAAGGTTGCTCAGCCATACTTCTCAAATTGGAATCTGCAGACAGAACTCATCCATTGTTTGGGTGTGCTTCCCCTTTGTGATACAGATGCTTTCCTGTTGAATCCCTTCTGATGACATATGGAGCCACAGGAAATTTAGGGAACAAAAATGGTTTCTACATAAAACAAATGTATACACTTTTGGGGAGATTCCTCTTTTTGGTTTATTCTTGGCACTTTGAAGTGTAAAAAAGAGGGAAGTTAAAAGTACAACAATTGGCATAAATACACATGGATGAAGGAAGAAATCTGATTGCTCTCCATCTCTTTCCACTCTTACATATAACCTGTGTATCTGTGGGGTCAGTCAGGAAAAGAGTATGATAAGAATAGTGGTTTAATAAAGGGAATTTATTATTGGAAACTAGTAAAAAACAATGCGTATTAGTCTGTTCTTGCATTGCTATAAAGAATTACCTGCGACTGGGTAATTTGTAAAGAAAAGAGGTTTGATTGGCTCATGGTTCTGCAGGCTGTAGAGATAACATGACTGGAGAGGCCTCAGGAAACTTACAACCATGGCGGAAGGCAAAGGGGAAGCTGGCACGTCCTACATGCCTGGAGCAGGAGGAAGAGAGAGCAGGGAGAGGTGTTGCACACCTTTAAACAACTAGATCTCATGAGAACTCACTCACTATCATGAGAACAGCAAGGGGGAAATCCCCCCTGCCCCCCCCCCCCGCCCATGATCTAAACACCTCCCACCAGGCCCCTCCTCCAACACTGGGGATTATAATTCGACATGAAATTTGGTCAGGGACACAAATCCAAACCATATCACAATGGTATTGGAAGAGAGGAAGAAATCAAACAGGGAATGGAGGGGCAAAAGAGAGGTTAGTGGCAGCAGCAGATCAGTACCAGGAGGCATCTGGGGAGGAGATAGTATGAGCAGAGGCAGGAAACCAGGGCTTCTGGATGCAGTCAGTAACCATGGCAAAAGCTGCCTTCCGGAGCCAGGTGGGATCAGGGAGGGAGGAGCTTCTTTGCTAGACTAGAACCAGAAAAGGGAGGGAGCAAATATCCTGACTTTTCCTTTCCCCAGCCCTCCAATACGTCTCTAAGTGCTTACAATTGCCTGAACCTAACAGGAAGCCAATCGTTTCTAACTGCAATACAATTTTAGCAAAACAATACTAATTGTCACATTAAATTAATCTTGTTAATTTGAACTGTATTGGTTTGGTAGTTTTGTTTCTAATTTGTAAATTTGTTTTGGTATTACAGTTGTTTAGCATAATGAGTTTATATCTAGTTTTACATTTGTATATATTTTTAAAGTAACATTCTAATGAAAGTAATTCATCAACATTAGGGGCTCAGAAGAATATTTTTCCTCCAAAAACAGGGTATACATTACTCAAGTTTGACAATAATGACATAAAATTCTGATAGCAGGAATCACCCAGGACTTAATTGGGAGAACTGGGAAAGAGAATCTGAGGATTGCCTAAGACTTGAGTCACAGAGGGTAGGGAGTTCTCAGTTTTGCTTAGGATGACTATTTTAAAGACACACTTCAAAAAGGGAGGATGTTTACTAAAACTCCAGCTCATAGGCAGACGTTGCTTTTTTATCAGAAGTATGTAATAAAATATTTTAAGTGGGGTCAATATAAATGTTGTTAACCATGAGGCTTGCCCCCAAGTTTGATTTTCTACGTGGGTGATCTGCAATATGTTCTTTTTAAAAATGACCGGCTTTGCAGCCTTTCTGGTCACCAGCAGGAGGTATTTTTGACAGACCTGAAGGTGACCCTGGAGGCCAGACTGGGAATATCTCGCCTTTAGCCTCTAGTACAATGGGACTTGGAGAGTAAGGAAAATCAGTTGCCCCATATTGGGTGAAGCCTTGTGTTCACTGATAGAAGCATTTTGTCTAAATTCCTGTCTATCCCATATGGAAAACAAATACAAAACAGATCCTTACCCATTCCTCCAATGATTGAGATACAAATAACCTTTATATAAAGCAGAATAAGTAACTTCATTTTTAAACTCAAAATAATTATAAACTATTTGAAGTATACAGAAAATAATATAATAGCATTTTTTATATATAGCATCCAGCTTTAAAAACTATGTTTTATGATATTCATTTCAGACCTCTCCCTCTCTTTCTTAAAAAAAATTTCAGGTATAACCCAAGCTTAATGTTTATTATTGACCATTTCTTTAAAATTTAATTTTCCATTAGAATTCTTCTTTGACTCATGAATTATTTTGGAAATTAAAAATTTTCCAGAAGACTGGGATCTTTTGGGCTGTGTTTTGGGTTGATGTTGGTCAGAGAATACAGTCCATGTGATACCAGTTCTCTGATATTTCCTGAGATTTGATTTGTTGCCTAGGTAATTTTTTTACTTTTATTTGTGCTTGAAAATCAATATTTACAATCAAATGGTTGGGATAAGGTTCCATATATTTCTATTAGCTTAATCATATTCATTGCATTGTTCAAATTATCTATATGCTTATTACTTTTTTATCTCTTTGACATATCAATTTCTGAGAAAGAGATCTTAAAATATTCCACTGTGGGTGTGTATTTGTCAATTTCTCCTTGTATTTTAATTTTTGTTTTGTGTGTTTTGGAGCTATAATGTTGTGGGGGGAAAAAAGGCATAGGATTATGCTATTTTCCTGGAGAATTTTCTTTTTAATTTTAGGTAATAGCCTTTATTATTCTGCAAAATACTTAAAGTCTGTTTTATCTACTATGTATGCCAATATACAAGCTTTCATTTGTTTATAATTTGCCTGGTATTCAGATGCTCCTTGACTTACAATGGGGTTACATTCTGATGAACCCATCATAAGTTGAAAACATCATGTCAAAAATGTATTTAATACACCTAACCTAATGAACATCATTGCTTAGCCTAGCCTACCTTAAACATGCTCAGAACACTTACATTAGCCTACAGTTTAGCAAAATTATCTAATGCGAAGCCGATTTTATGGTAAAGTGTTGAATATCTCATGTAATTTATTAAATACTATACTGAAAGTGAAAAACAAAATGGTTGCATGAGTACTTGAAGTACAGTTTCTACTAAATGGAGGGCCTAATGAATATGTATTGCTTTCACACCATAGTAAAGTCAAACAATCATAAGTTGAACCATTATAACTCAGGGACCATCTATATATATATTTTTTCATTTTTTCTACCTTTCAGTGTCATTGTGTTCTAGGTGGGTCTTCTGTAAGAAGCATTCATGTGGATTATTATTTTGTCTGTTTATTTTTAATCTAATCAGAGAGGCTCTGTGATTTAGTAGGTAGTTAGTTGTATTACTTTTTTATGATTATTTACATAAGGTATTTTATGATCTTTTCATTTTTTCTGAAAATGAAGTTATACTAATGTATAGGTGTAATTCTAAACGCTACTTAGACTATATTACATATTCGATCTTAAAACATATATTTTTCAAAGATAAATTGCTGGGACTTAATTAAACTAAAGAGCTTTTGCATGGCAAAAGGAACTGTCAGCAGAGTAAACAGAGAACCCACAGAATGAGAGAAAATTTTTACAATCTATACGTCTGACAAAGGACTAATATCCAGAATCTACAATGAACTCAAACAAATCAACAAGAAAAAAACAAACAATCCCATCAAAAAGTGGACTAAGGACACGAATAGACAATTCTTAAAAGAAGATAGACAAATGGCCAACAAACATAGGAAATAATGCTCAATATCACCAATGAACAGGGAAATGCAAATCAAAATCACAATGTGATATCACCTTACTCCTGCTAGAATGGCCATAATCAACAAATAAAAAATAGTAGATGTTGGCATGGATGCAGTGAACAGGGAACACTTCTACACTGCTGGTGGGAATGTAAACTAGTACAACCACTATGGAAAACAGTGTGGAGACTCCTTAAAGAACTAAAAGTAGAACTACCATTTTATCCAGCAATCTCACTACTGGGTATCTACCCAGAGGAAAAGAAGTCATTATATGAAAAAGATATTTGCACATGCATGTTTATAGCAGCACAATTTGCAATTGCAAAAATGTGGAACCAACCCAAATGCCCATCAATCAATGAGTGGAGAAAGAAACTGTGATACACACACACACACACACACACACACACACACACACACAAAATGGAATACTACTCAGCCATAAAAAGGAATGAATTAATAGCATTTGCAGCAATCTAGATGAGATTGGAGACTATTATTCTAAGTGAAGTAATTCAGGAATGAAAAACCAAACATCGTATGTTCTCACTCATAAGTGGGAATTAAGCTATGAGGATGCAAAGGCATAAGAATGACACAAGGACTTTGGGGACTCAGGGGGCAAGGGTGGGAAGGGGGTGAGGGATAAAATACTACAAATAGGGTACCGTGTACACTGCTCAGGTGATGGGTGCACCAAAATCTCACAAATCACCACTAAATAACTTACTCATGTAACCAAACACTACCTGTTCCCCAATAACCTATGGAAATATATATATGTGTATATATATATAAACAAAGAATAAGAAATACCAAACACAGGCCCTCATAAGATAAAAGGAAATTAAACTGAAGAAAGAATGGCAACAAAAGGACTATTAAACAAAAAAGCTGGTAAATATGTTCGGGCATGGTGGTGTGCGCCTATAGTCCCAGCTACTTTGGAAGCTGAGGCAGAAGGACTACTTTAACCCAGAAGTTCAAGGGCTTGTGTATATATATATATATATCTTATGTTTTTATTTCCTTTTCTCTCCTTTCTTTGAATTGATCAAATTTTTATGTTTTTAGTACTGATTTAGAAGTTTTACATTCTTTTGCAGTCTATTTTTTTTTTAGTGATTACCTGTACACTTTTGACACACATACTTGACTTACACAGTGTAAAGTGAATCCTTCTGAACAAGAAAAAGACCTTAGTACATCTTGACTGTAAGCAGTCATATTTTTCACACTGACATTTCAGCTGTACCTTATTTTTAAACTCTTCAAATGAAATATTAGAAGTTTTTACATTCAATGTTTATTTTTATTTACACTTTTTTTTTCAAGTGAGGTCTCACTCAATTGCCCAGGCTGGAGAGCTGGAGTGCAGTAACTCAATCATAGCTCACTGCAGCCTTGAACTTCTGGGCTAAAGTAGTCCTTCTGCCTCAGCTTCCAAAGTAGCTGGGACTATAGGCGCACACCACCATGCCCGAACATATTTACCACCTTTTTTGTTTAATAGTCCTTTTGTTGCTATTCTTTCTTCAATTTAATTTCCTTTTATCTTATGAGGGCCTGTGTTTGGTATTTCTTATTCTTTGTTGATTTCAATATCTATTTTTACTTTGCTTTCATTCTTGAATGACAACTTAGCTTGATAAAGGATTCTAGGTTGAAATTATACTTGAAGACATGATTTCATTTTCCTCTGGCCTCTGTTGTTGCTTTTGAGAAGTCTGCTGTAAGTCCAATTATTCCACTTTTTATTTTCCACTGATCTTAAGATACTCTCTTTTTGATGCTACACAGTTTTGCTTTGACGTATTTAAGTGCAGATTTATTTCTATTTTTCCCTTTCTGGCCTCTTTGCACACCCTCTTCGATGTGAGGATTTGTGTTAATTCCAGACATCAACTCTTTGAATTTTCTTTATTTTCTCTATAAACCTTTCTAGAAATCCTATTAAATAGATGTATCTTGGACCTTTCACTTGAAGGAAACTAAAATATTTCACCCGCCAAATATACTTCTTTTACATATTTCAAGATGGCTGTGCAGAAGACCTGGAAATATAAGAATAGCTGAAAAGCTGTCTTTTGTAGGGAGATTTGCTTCTGTAAAGAAAATCTGCATTGACAAAGCCAGGCTTTCTCTGAGGCTCTCCCTTGTCCAATTTAGGAAAAATTAACTGAGAGTTTGACACCGTTAAGGGCCTAAAGAAACACTTACTACCTATTCTCTCTGAGGGCTGCCACCTGTGAGGTTTCCTCTACATAAGGAGACCACCTTTACTAGCCAGGCTTCCTCTCTATTCCTCCCATAACCTGGTCTTGCCATCATAACCTGATTTACCATCAAAACGTGTTTTGGGCCATTCTCTGAGCCCCTGTTATTTCTGTAACTTCAAGATGGTATAAAAGCATCAAGCATCTTGCTTTTCAGATCTCTGTATGTCTCCTGTACATGCTAATACACTTGTATGCCTTTCTCCTATTAACCTGCCTTTTGGCAATGTTAAAGCTCTTTTAGAATTTGTCTAGCAGGCAAATAAATAAATAAAATAAAATAAATAATATGCCTTTTTCTAGTTGATTTTTCAGTAAAACTTCTAAAGGGAAGTTTTCTCTTGGCTCCTATGCACACCATCTTTCATCTTGCTTACTTTCCACCTTTTATGTTTTTTTACATTTAAAAAAGTCTCTCCATGCTACATTCAAAGTAATATGCCAGGATTTTTCTTCCAGTTAGCTAATTTTCTCTTCATCAGAGTCCAGTCTGTTATTTAACCAATCCATTAATTTTTCAGGTTTTATCTTTTATTTGCAGATTTCCATTTGGTTCTTTTAAAAATTGTGTGTGTTCTTTTGTCATAATGTCTTATTCTTTCATTATGAATTTTATTCCTTCTTTAATCTCTTTAGTCATTTTAATATTTCTTTCATACTAGCTTCCAGATAATATAAAATTATTTGAAACTGGACATGGTGGCATGTACCTGTACTCTCAGCTACTTGGGAGATGAGGTGGGACGATCTCTTGGGCTCAGGAAGTCAAGGCTGAAGTGGGCTATGGTCACACCACTGTACTTCCAGCCCTGGGTGGCAGAGTGAGACTCCATCTCTAAAAATATAATAAAAATAAAATAAATAAAATAATTTGGAAATGATATCTGCTTTTCTATGGCAGAGACCTTTGGATTCTGAGAGAGCTTTGGATCCTCACTCATGTTGGATCTTTACCTCATATACTATATAATTAAAAAAAAATTATAACCCGATCTTTAGCAAATTTTTTTCCTCTGTGGTAATCCCTGTGGTAATTCCTGTGGAATATCCTTCTAGAGATGTTTTGGATTTTCTTCTTCAAGGAGCCCTGGGCAACCAGCTCAGGAGCAACATCTATGTCAGTCTCAAACTGGGGAAATCCCATATCACAAGGAAAGTGCAAATTCAGCTTCCAAGCCTAGGATTGGCATGGCCATGGGGCTTCATTTTCTCGTGGGAAACTTTCCTTTCCCACCCTGCTCTTAGGGCTGAGGCAAGCCTCTTTGCTGTTTCCCTGGTGGGTAGGTGGACTTTGTCCAGTTCCTTTATACTGAGGTTGTAGCGCTGTAGGACTCTAGCTTGATCTAGAGGTCTCAGCCGCCACTGTCCTCTTTGCATGGCCCACTCTTGTATCTTGTCCTAGTGTAGATGGGAGGGCCTATTTCCCAGCATCATCTGAGCCCCTCTGCTTTTCCCACCCCAAGGCCACTGCTGCATCCATTTGGACATCCTCTGCCTTTCTGGAACCTGGTCATTTCCGTATTCTTGGAATTCTTCATTATTTCTCATGAGCTTAGCTGGGCATTTAAAAACAAATTCTTTTTTATCCTGTTTTACTCAGCATTTCTAGATATTTGTAGCTGAAGTCATTCTACTTTAGCTTGGCTGGACATGTTGACAGAACTCATTTTTTTCCTATGGAAAAATGCAACATATTGTACATACTATAGGTTTTTTATTTAACAGCTACATAAGTTGATATAGAGAGTTGAGATGTGTTTACACAGTGCTCAACTGTGTAATTAAGTAACTTACACAAAAAATATCTGCTTAATAGAATGTTTGGTACGAAAGACCTAAAGCCTTTTTTTAATTAGTCTTTTTCCTTTTAAGCTTTTAAAAACTTATTTGAAAAATATTCTGTATTCTGTGGACATATTTAAATTATCTCACTAGCATGTGACTATAGACTTCATGGAGAAAAATTCCTAGTGGTTAGATAACACTCATATTGCTATATATGGAGGGATAAGTAAATTGTTGAGTATGTAAAAAGTATCACATGGAAACACCGACTAACCAACAGGTATGTATTTTAAAATTCCCTCCACAAACAGATTCTAGAAGTTGCTACTGACCTCTTCAGAACAAAAAGGGTCAGGGAAAGGCTGGATAAGGAGAAAGACAAAATTCTCAACTGTATCACACTGGTATAGTGAGTCAGGACTAATCACAGGCAGAACACCCTCAGGTTAGGGGTTAGAATGGCTATTCCTCATCTTCTGGCTACTTGGTATTCATTCCACCTTCTTACTCTCTTTTTTTTTTTTTCTTTTTTAGACAGGGTCTTGCTCTGTTGCCCAGGGCTCAAGTGATCCTTTTGTCTCAGCCTCCCGAGTAGCTAAGACTATGGGCTTGTGTCACCACGCTCAGCTATTTTTTTTTTTTTTCTAGAGACAGGATATTGTTATGTTGCCCAGGCTGGTCTGGAATTCCTGTCCTCAAGGTATACTTTCACCTTGGCCTCCCAAATTGCTGGGATTACTGGCATGAGCCACTATGCCCAACCCATTCTACCCTCTTTGATAAAAGCACCAATTTCCTTTGAGGAAACCATTCTCCACGAACCTGTGTAGCTTCCGTGGGACTGTAATTGAAGGGGTGTGATTGTCTCTGGATAATTCCAGATTGGTCATTTTATCCTGGGAATTTGAAGCTTGAGCTGAGTGAAAAAGATCAGAAAAATGATCAAAGAGGCACTTCCTATCAGTTCTATCTGGATTCCAAGAGCTGCCCTCTTTTTCTGGGTTGGGGAGGCACAGATTTTTTTGAGCTCTATTTCCAGCTTTATCTTTTATTTAGTGGTCTAGAGGCCATTCCTTAATTTGGACTTTATGTTTTACGCACACACTATCTTTCTCTGATAATATTCATACAAGAATTTCTGTTTTAACTTAAGCCAGCCAGAATCAGTCTCTGTTCTTGGTCACCAAGCAGCCCTTGGGGTGCTTTTCTTTACACACAAAATATATTTCTGATGAAAATAGCTTTTGATAAATTGTCATTTTAAAACTCACTATTTAAGTGAAACCAATGGTGAAATAAGTATAAAACAATCACCTTTGTATGTCCATTTTGGAAATCAGTTATTTTCACATTTTAAGTTGTCTTCAAGTGAGTTTTACCTGAATTGTGCTTTTATTTATTTATTTATTTATTTGTTTGTTTGTTTGTTTGTTTTTATTTATTTATCGAGATGGAGCCTCACTCTGTCACCCAGGTTGGAGCGTAGGGGCGCAATCTCAGCTTACTGCAACCGCCACTTCCTGGGTTCAAGCAATTCTCATGCCTCAGCCTCTCGAGTAGCTGGGATTACAAAAAAGTACCATCATGCCCCATAAATTTTTGTATTTTTAGTAGAGATAGGGTTTCACCAAGTTGGCCAGGCTGGCCTCAGGTGATCCACTTGCTTTGGCCTCCCAGAGTGCGGGGATTACAGGTGTGAGCCTGGCCTGATTGTGCTTTTAATGAATATAGTTGATTATGCCGTGGCTGTGACATAACTTGACTTGGGGCCTCTCTAACCCTGCATAGTCAATTATGGTATGCATATGAGGCTCCACTGTGTATACAAAGCAAAGATATTATCTTATTATTAAGCTTGTATGGACAAGACTTAATAGGAGTTGTGTGCAGGCGGGTCAAGCACCTCTTGTGGCCACACATTTGCTGAGTGGAAACAGCAGATTTGGCTTAAGTTCCCTTTTTTGAACTTTCATAATTAAGAAAGGACTCTCAGTGTTTTATCATTTTGAAATTGCAATGTGTAATAGGAACTAATGAATCACTTTGCCATTATGAAAACCGAAGTAAAATTAGAATGTTGTTTTGCAAAAGCACATTGGCAGTTGTTCTGCTCAGAGTTGTGTAAGTTAATCTATGTGTGGCAGTTCCATGAGCCTTCAAATATATCTACACCCTGACTTCTGGCCTCTGTGGTTTGGATCAGCATGTTCTTCCTGTTGAAGTGCCCCCTCCACTGAGACTTTGCCTGCTCAAGTTCTACTCATCTCCTAAGGCCAAACCAAACATTACCTTCCCCTGAAACCTTGCTGAATTTCACCCAGCAGAATTAGTCATTCCATCATTTTATCCTTTCTTCATCCCATTGAAGATCCTATCGCCTCATCTAATAGATTGTGGCATGTTGGAGAAGTGGGAGAGGGCACTGGCTCAATGCTTTATGCAGACTCAATACCTGTAGTCAAATTAGCTTATCTCCTTAGGTACTGAACACCCTGCTCCCTCACTGAACAGAAAACCCCTTTAATACATTTCTCAGATGATCTAATACATGCAGCATTGTCAAGAGACCACAATTATTTGCAGAAGGACTTCAATAATGCACATGGGGGAAACCAACATATCCTCATTGCCTTGTTTATTTGTTTCAATTTAAATGCTATCAAATGCTTCACACTTTGAACACTCTGAATTGGGGAGATTCAGCAATGCTTTTTAGGGATAAATCCCTTCTACTGAGGAAAAAGAACTTCAATTTACCAATCAGATAGGAGAGAGATGTTTCATTAGTTTTCTTCTTTCCTGACCTAAAACCACATCTGTGCCAATTTGGAGTTAGCCATGCTCTTGCTCATCTCTGGGTAAATAGGAGTTTGAACAGTGGCCTTCATGAGTCCCTGTGGCTCACATGATCCAGTGTAGAGGCCACTCCTTAATTTGGACTGTAAGTTTTATGCACACACTATCTTTCTCTGGCCACCACTCTTTGTATTTCTGTCTGCTCAGAATGTTCTACCTTTAGTTCTTTGCCTAGCCAAATTCTGCTCATCCTTTGAGACCCTACTGCTACTCCACCACTAACTTTAAAAAAATACTTTGAGTGCCTTTTAGTAGCCAGGGAGACAAGGCAGATAAGAACCTGCATTGAAGAGTTTACATCCCAGTAAGGGAGACAGATAAGTAAAAATAAGTAAGATAATCACCAACTGTGGCAGATTTTCTGAAAGAAATGCACAGTGTAGTATGACAGCATGCCTGGGAGCAGGATTTTTTCAGGAAGGTTGTATTGAAAGGCCTCTCAGAGGAGGTGATATTGGAGGTTAGCCCCAAAAGGGAAGGTTTTTTGATCCTTCTAACTGTGTTCAGCACCCCTTCTTGGTGCTTTTATTATCTCTCTTGTTTCTTAACACATCACATTGTTAGCCACATCTATGTATTGCAGTGGTGCCTGGTGAATGTCTAACAAAAAGCCCAAATTTATAGTGTTTGCCAATTTCTGTGGTGTAAATACTCTCACTCTCACCATGGCTGATTTCAAGCTACTAACTTGATGTCAATGAAGTGGAATTGAGAAGAGATGCAGAGAATTGGCTCTTGGGAGCCAATGAGACCCAGCTTAAGCCAGCTTCAGCATGTCACTGTGCCTGTCTCTCCCACCAGGCTGTTTACTCTCTTTGAGGTAGTAGTAAATATTTAACGAATCAATGAATTTACCCATGTACAGGTACCTACTCAATCTAAATCCATTGTTTTTAGTGTTATTATTATTAACCATAGACTCCAAAGATGACACATGAATGGGAGTAAGAGTTATGTAACTATTGTATGTGCTTTTTTGAAATTCAATGATAAAAATATTTATGAAGCCATCAGCATTCTTTACAATATTGGTTCTTCTCATCAAAGGTTTGAACAAATTAGGAAAGGAAAGAAGAAAGATTTATCTTTATAAGTATACCACATACATCAGTATCAAGGCAAATAATATGTTGGAAAATAAAAATAAATTTAGAAAGGTTATACATTCTACTCAGACAAAGGAAATCAAAAGCTGTATTTCAGACCTTGTAATGAGCAAAAAAATTTGGCTGTAACCTAACCATCATTGTTTCTCAACAAAATGTGGGGGACATGATTTTATTTTCTGGGCATACCTTAATATGCTTTATGTAGAACCTAAAACATATCCTTATACATAAAACACATGAAAACATAAGCTAGTGAGTTTTTATGATTCTTTATCTTAGTGGTTATTTCCATAGACTTTGACACAGAAAAATGGTAGAGGAAAGACTTTTAAAAATACATATCTAAGAAAGATTCAAAATGTTTAAAACCAGAATGATTTATAAATGATTCCCCAGACTGATCTAAACACATTAGAATGTTCTCTGGGTATTTGACACGGTTGAAGCTACCCCTTCCCTCCATTTCTAGTATAGATGGCTTGCATCATGCACTCCTCGTTAGCTGAAATTTTATACTTAAAAAGCATAGGAGATTAAAGAGCTTCAACCTTTTTGTTATTCTTCCCATTGAGAGTTGAATTCAGTGGTTACACATGAATAAAAACTGGAGCAGAGAGACATTTTTCCTTCCCTTCCTTCCTTCCTTCCTTCCTTCCCTCCTCCCTCCCTCCCTCTCTGCCTTCCTTCCCTCCCTCCCTCTCTCTCTACCTTCCTTCCCTCCCTCCCTCCCCTCTCCCTGTCCCCACCTTTCTTTCTTTTCTTTTTTTTGCTTTTTTTTTTTTTCTTCATTCTTGTGGTAGAATGAATAAATGGCCCTGAGGATGTTTATGTCCTAATGCCTGGAACCTGCAAATATGTTACCTTCCAAAGTAAAAAGGATTTTGTAGATGTGATTAAACTAAAGGTCTTGAGATGTGGAGATTATCTTGCGTTATCAGGTGGACTAATGTAATCATAGGATTCTCATAAGAGCAGGCAAGAGGGTCAGAAGATAGGGAGAAGATGTAAGAACAGAGGCAGAGGTCAGAGAGGAGAAAAGATACTACACTGCTGGTTTTGAAGTTGGAGGAAGGGGCCAGGGGAATGTGTGCAGCACCTTGTAAACTTAACAAGGTGAAGAAATAGGTTCTCCCCTGGAGTCTCCAAGAAGAAGAAATGCAGCCTTATATATAGATTTTGGAATTCTGACCTCTAGGACTGTATATAATAAATGCGTGTTGTTTTAAGGCACTAATGTTGTGGAAATATGTTAAAGCAGCAATAGGAACAATCTCATCAAAAAGTGGGCTAAGGACATGAATAGACAGTTCTCAAAATGTCCAACAAACATGAAAAAATGCTCAACATCACTAATGATCAGGGAAAAGCAAATTAAAACCACAATGAGATACCACCTTACTCCTGCAAGAATGACCATAATAAAAAAATCAAAAAACAGTAGATGTTGGCATGGATGCAGCTATCAGGGAACATTTCTACACTGCTGTGGGGAATGCAAACTAGTGCAGCCGCTATGGAAAACAGGGTGGAGATCTTTTAAAGAACTAAAAGTAGAACTCCCATTTGATCCAGCAATCCCACTACTGGGTGTCTACCCAGAGGAAAAGAAGTCATGATTTGAAAAAGATACTTGCACATATGTGTTTATAGCAGCACAATTCACAATTGCAAAATGGTTACTAACCCAGATGCCCATCAGTCAACAAGTGGAGAAAGAAACTATGGCATATATATACAATGGAATACTACACAGCCATAACAAGGAATGAATTAACAGTATTTGCAATGACCTGGATGAGATTGGAGACTATTATTCTAAGTAAAGTATCGCAGGAATGGAAAACCAAACATTGTATGTTCTCACTGATATGTGGAGCTAAGCTATGAGGACACAAAGGCGTAAGAATGATACGATGGACTTTGGGAACTTGGGGGGAAGAGTGGGAGAGGGGCTAAAAGGGATAAAAGACAACATATATGGTGCAGTATATACTGCTCGGGCGATGGGTGCACCAGGATCTCACTAATGACCACTAAAGAACTTACTCATGTAACCAAATACCACTTGTGCCCTAATAACTTATGGAAAAAAAATAAAGCAGCAATAAGAAAAGAATGCGCTTTCTTCCTATTTTTTTTTTTTTTCTATTTTTTTAAGAGGTAGTAGAGCAGGGTTGTCCAATCTTTAGGCTTTTCTGGGCTACACTAGAAGAAGAAGAATTGTCTTGGGCCACACATAAAATACACTAACACTAATGATAGCTAATAAGCTAAAATTTAAAAATCACACACACAAAAATCTCATGTTTTAAGAAAGTGCTAATTTTAGCAAATTTTGGAAAGCTTCTCAAAGTAGAAGAGAAAGGAAGAGGTGTTAATAATTCTACTACTCTTCTAGGCTCCATTACAGGTAATATTTGACATATTTCTATCTAGATTATTCTATTTTTAAAGAAATGGCTGAGGTAATATTGTGGATATAGTTTCACATCCTGTTTTTTTTTTTTTCACATAAGTAAGTGTATATATATCACAAGAATTTTCCAAAAACACCATAATGTGGCAATGACTAATGTTGGGTATTCAGCAGTTTTAAATTCTTTTTTGTTTGTTTGTTTTTGTTTTTTGGAGACAGAGTTTTGCTCTTGTTGCCCAGGCTGGAGTGCAATGGCACAATCTCGGCTCATCGCAACCTCTGCATCCCGGGTTCAAGCGATTCTCCTGTCTCAGCCTCCCCGAGTGGCTTGGATTACAGGCACGCACCACCACGTCTGGCTCGTTTTGTATTTTTAATAGAGATGGGGTTTCTTCATGTTGGTCAGGTTGGTCTCGATCTCCCAACCTCAGGTGATCCACCCGCCTTGGCCTCCCAAAGTGCTGGGATTACAGGCCTGAGCCATCGCGCCCTGCCAGTTTTAAATTCTTATCATAAATAATAATGAAATGCATATTTTTGCATAATTCTTTGTGTATACTGTGGTAAAATATGCAACATAAAATTTAGCATTGTAACCATTTGAAGCCATTCAATTCCATGGCATTAAGTATATTCACAGTGTTATGCAACTATCACCACTGTCTAGTTCCGGAACTGTGCATAAATCTGCCTGAATTTCACACCATTTCTGCATAATAAATTCATAGAGAGTAGAGTATTGCATTAAAAGAAAACATAAATATTTTAAAGTACATCCAGAAAGGTGGTACTCATTTGCTTTTCTGCATATAAGAATATTGGTTATAACATTCTAGTTAGTCCTTATTTACACTATCATTCAAAATACCTTTGCTAATTTATGAGTAAAAAAATAAGATCTTATCTTTTATTTTGTTTGCATTTGATTATTATGAGGCTGAATATTTTCTAGTATGTTAATTAACTATTTTATTTTACCATGAGAAATGTCCGTATGCCATGAGAAGGGTCATGAGAAGGTGAAATCACAACTCTGCTCTCTGCCCCACCTTCCTGATTCAACTAGAGGACTCTATTCTTACCTGCTTTTTATCTTAGTTTCTGTGAAGGATTTTATTGGAAGAAAGGATCCCTTGGCTAATGTTTGAAAACGACAAATCTGGACTCATGGTTTTCAAATATTTGTGTGTATAAGTAATACCTGAGAAATGTGTTAAAAATACAGATTTCCTAAGACCTATCTCAGAAGTCTCAGAAGCCAGGGGATTTGCATGTTAATCTGGTGCTAGGTTATCTCTTGCAGACTGTCCAAAACCCACATTTTGAGAAATGCTGGCTTATCTTGTTTCCCATAAACTAGGACTCACAAGATGATTCTAAATCTAAGATGATCTTGAGTGGGGTTTAATAAAACCAATGTGGTGTTAACTAAAATGGAATCACACAAGATGAGAGATTTTCTTTTGCCTTCTCTTTCAGTCCTTCTGAATAGATTAAGAGAAGTCTCAATTTGATGTGAGTGCATCTTTAACGTAGCACATATTAACCACCCTTTTAAAAAAAACAGAAACAGGCCTTAGGCTCAGAGCTTTTAGCAGGCAATAGTATCCGCTTAAATTTTAATGGCATTATTTTTTATTCAGTTTATTTGTATGGTTACCTTTTAATTATGAAAAGTTATATTAGAATTTTAATTATAGTAGTGATATTAAGGTATTATATTAGGAAATAACAGTAGAAGTATTATGGGTAAAAATAGTGAAGGTTGTAATCAAATGAATCATATCTATGAATTACTGGTTTGGAACATGAGCTGCTGTACAGAAAGAGCAGATCTAAATCCAGACCTGGGTTGGGGGTGGTTTGGAAGATCCTTTGAAAGGGGACAGAAGTGGAGGTGGCTAAGGAGCTTTGGAAACAGCATTGGACGCTATGTTCTCGGTGAAGGGACAAAGAGGGACACTTCTTCATAATTTTTACCTTGTGGCTCGTACTGCCAGCCGCTTTAACAGGGGTGATGCACTTTGCTGTTTGCTTCTGCAGATGATTCAGGTTAAAACAGAAGAACTTAAGTCTACCTTCAGTGACACATACGTGATTCTTTGCAGGACTGAAGAGTACTAGGCCTTGCCAGCTGGCAGCCCAGGATTTAGCAGAAGGTTAAAGATGCTGCCGTGAAAAGTTACAGATACTTTCCCTTAGCCTCTTCTCTAACGCCATGGAAGAAAAAAAAAATCACTGACTCACTATGCCATGTAAGGCATAAGGAAGACTCTAAGAGAGTTTGTAATGGAGTCCCTTTTAAAGCATGGTAAAAACTGAATTATTATTGACTAAGAAAGTTTCAGGCAAAAATAAAATCCAAATATTATGGATTTGAAAAAGCTGATTCTATTATTTTTTAATTTTTATTTTAAAACATTTTTATTTTACTTTAAGTTCTGGGATACATGTGCGGAACATGCAGGTTTGTTACATAGGTACACATGTGCCATGTCATTTGCTGCACCTATCAACCCGTCATCTAGGTTTTAAGCCCTGCATGCATTAGATATTTGCCCTGATGCTCTCCCTCCCCCGACTCCCTGACAGGCCCCATTGTGTGATGTTCCTCTCCATGTTTCCATGTGTTCTCATTGTTCAACTCCCACTTATGAGTGAGAACATGCAGTGTTTGCTTTTCTGTTCCTGTGTTAGTTTGCTAAGAATGATAGCTTCTGGCTTCATCCATGTCCCTGCAAAGGACATGAACTCATTCTTTTTTATGGCTGCATAGTATTCCATGGTCTGTATGTGCCACATTTTCTTTATCCAATCTATCATTGATGGGCATTTTTAGGTTGGTTCCAAGTCTTTGCTATTGTGTGTGTGTGTGTGTGTGTGTGTATATATATAGATCATATATATATGATCTATATATATATATGATCTATATATATATATATATGATGATCTATATATATATACACACACACACACACACACACAATAGCAAAGACTTGGAACCAACCTAAAAATGCCCACTCTTGTTGCCCAGGCTGGAGTGCAATGGTGTGATCTGCAACCTCTGCCTCCCAGGTTCAAGCAATTCTCCTGCCTCAGCCTCCCGAGTAGCTGGGATTAGAGGCATGTGCCACCACGCGTGGCTAATTTTGTATTTTTAGTAGAGACAGGGTTTCACCATGTTGGTCAGGCTGGTCTCGAACTCCTGACCTCAGGTGATCCACCCGCTTTGTCCTCTCAAAGTGTTGGGATTACAGATGTGAGCCACGGTGCCCAGCCAAAGAAGCTGATTCTAAACCAACAACCATGGTGTTTTCCAATAGACTGTTTAGTATTCATATAAGAAGCATTATTTACAATGCTAACAATTTTCTTTTCACAATAATCATTTATCTAACTGGCTGTAAGATAGGGTAAACTATAGTTTACCCTATTATCTGATTTACCGAACAGATCTTGGTTTTTAAAATGTTAAATCATGTTTTTGGAATAAAAATGGTAAATGAAGAATGCTTGTCACCACATGTTAGTAATGGAAGTATTCTATTATTTTTAATTTTATGTATGTACAGACAAGAGCTATATGGGAAAGTAGCTATTACAGACCCATTATAGTTTCATCATTTATAACCAGGGTTGGTAGTAAAGCAACAGAAATACATCTTCAATGCAGACTTGCTCCCAGCATCTCTTTCCTTTCATCCTTGACCATATTGCATCCTGGACAGGAAGAAGACATCCTCAGCCCACCACCCCTTCCCCTCCAATGTGGACTGAGTGTTGGGTCAACTGATAAGCAGTGCAGACTCTTCATTTTGCTTTGTTGGTGCCTTGGAGGCATGTGAGGGCACAGCCTCAAATTCCAGAGACCTTGCCTTCAGGATTTGAGGTGGGCAAAGATGTGAAAGAAGACCTTTAGCCACTCAGTGTTATCAAAAGCAATCACCAAAGAAGTTTTTGCATCTGGCATTGTGTTGGGACGTCCATCAGCAGTACCGTACGGTCTCTTTACTGGACAAGTATTTACACCTTGTTAACAGCAGTGTACACCCGGTGGAAAACTCCTATTCATGGCATGGCAGAATTGTAAACATTTCCTCCTTCACCAAATTTGTGGATGGAATAAAATGTAGCCTTAAACTTTATTGGCTTCTCCAGTCTTCCACCTGCAGGGCCCAAAAACTTTCAGAAGTAGGAATCCTGTGGCATCTGCTAATGGTGATTGGAAGAAAGAGTAGAGGTGACAGTATCTATGGGTGCAGTACCAGAACTATTACGAAATGCTTCCAGCTGCGATTTCAGAGGAATCCCCCCTGAACCCCTGGACGTGGTTCTCCTATTTCAGTCACACTTCTAGCTATGACTCTGCTTAGACAAGATGAAGTTGATGGATCCATTAGAAAGTTTCCACTGAACTTGTCTGGTCCAATTTCTCTTTCCTCAAGGGCATGGACACAGCTTTGGTTCTCCTTCCTGAACTTACTTGTCTGCTGCTCCCATTCTTCCCATTAGGGCATAGAAGATTACCTAGCAGGTGAAGGCACCCTACACTCTTTGGTTTTTAATAGGAGAAACCCTCCAGTCAGAGATAAATCTTACTTGGAGTCTAGGTAGCTATAAGTCTGAAGTGTCAGTACGACATTTCAGCACTTTCAGTAGGAGCTCCCAAGGGCCAAATAAATCACAGAACCAGCCTTTGAGATATTGACTTTGGCTTGAAATAGAATGTGAGGTGGTGATTCTGCTCTATTATACCAGAGGCCAAGTTTTTTCTGAAGTAGCCATAGCCAGGTGAGGGTGGCCTTCTGGAGGAGTAAGGTTTGAGAGAACTATGTTGGAAGTCATTAAGAGAAAGAGCCTATTCCCCAGCTGCTTCCTGCTCAGAAGCAAGGGCCCTGGTGGTTGGTACAAGATAAAGCTAAGCATGAAGGCTCTTCTCTTGATAATCTAGATCGCCCCAAAACAACTGAGTCTATAAAGAACCCAGATTATGTCATGTGCCAATCTGTCACACACCGGAATGTATATCTCATGATTCAATAATTTCTGTTGTGTATACAATTGTGATGTGCATGTCAATTCCCATCTTTCTTAGGTAATGTGCGATAGTTCAGTCTTCATTGTCCTTGGAGAATAAGATGCATCATGTAAGGTGGCAGTCTGCTAAGATTGCTACTTTAAGGAAGAGGTGCTGTTGCAAAAGAAACGTTGAAGTTAAAAACAACTAATGATCAATTGATTGGGCTTGGACACAGACCCTAGCACTTGAGTACCTTACACTTTTTAACTTGCACTCCAGCTTTGATCAAGCTTTTCCTGTCATTGTATAGCCAGGAAATCATAATTCTCTTGGCTTCGCTCTTGGTTGACATTTGGGAAATGGCTGCCCTTTAGAACTTGGCTCTGATCTCTTCGGTATTTGCCTGATGTCTTGAGACTCCATTCTTCTGAGCTCCTGGTGTCTTAGATTCTCCCTGAAGTTAAGAACACTATCAATCCTCCAAACCTCCAATCCTCTTATACTATGACAACTCATAATGTACTAAATTCAAATGAAAATCTTAGGCAAGTCCCTTTAGGGTCTCCTACTCTTCATATGAAACTGCATTTTTATCAGTATAACAAATATAATTTTCAAAAGTCACATAAATTCTACTAGTTTGAAAGTAAAAGGGGTACAAATGCTTTGCATCATGTTTCTAGGGTTTCTTAGGAATTTTATATGAAAAGCACTTTTTACTTCCTGGCCAGCCAAGAACTCCAACTGATTTCAGCTGCTGCTATTTGGTGTGTGAAAAAAAAAAAAAAAAAAACAATTTTCCAAAGAATTTTGTTATCGGTAATGCTATGCAACCTGGCATAACACACTTGACAATATCAAAAGAGATGCTATCATATAAATGTAACAGGGAGCAGAATGCAGTTCTGTTTCATGATTTGGCCAGAAAAAAAACAAATTACCTTGAGTGACCCAAGGCAACCTGACTTCATTAGACCCCCGGCCCTTGTACACATTACAATTCTGCCCCAGTAAGGAGATTACAAAAGAAAGGTTTTCATGGCTCTCAAAAAGGAGATCCTCTCCTTTTCAATTACATCTGATTTATGAACTGTTAAAACTATTTCCCAAAGTCTGCCTTCACAGCCTCTCACTTGTCTGATAAACACTGCACAAAAATTCTGCTGGTTTGCAAAATATGACTCTTACGTGTCTGAAGTCCCCTTTCGGATCCTGGGAGGAAGGAACATTGAAGTCTCCAAAGAGCTGCTGGTGACAAATGTCTACTGCATTTCCTGATGGCAGAGAACAAAAGTGAGACGTGAAAGAGAAAACATACACGCAGTGGAATCCTCTCTCCTTCAGCTCCTTTGGAGCGAAGTGCTGAGCTATCTGATTTTTATACCTCTACCCCCTCAGCCCTTTTCCCTCTCAGACTGTGGTCTGTTCTCCACAAATATGTCCTTTTTGGTCTCAAACCAGATGGAATTATAGAAAACAAACTGTAAGTTCCCAGGCCCACAACTTTCTCACAGCCTGGAAGGGAGTGAGTGACAGGACGTGGATTACCCTCTCCTCCCCAGCCACCTCCACCTTCTTTTCAAAAGCGAATTCTTTAAAAAATATAGAGAGAGCATAACTCAGCCGTCATTTGGCAATGGGTGAGCATGGTTATCTTTCAAAATAATAATGACGCCAAACTTTATAGAAAAAGGAAACCGTTCTCTTTGTTCCAAAAACCCTACGATGTAGATGAATATCTCTTAAGGCATAAATACAAGGACATTTTTAGAACTGGCCCACTTGCTAGTCTAGACTTATAGGAAAGCATCATAAAACTGTTATTTTTCAATAGGTCAAATTCTCTTCCAATGCAACTCTATCTGCCCCAGAACTGAAAAGAATCCCAGTTTTAGAAAGAATTTGGCAGCACTAGGCCAGTTCTTTCCTTATTCATCTGCTATAGATCTTGATCCACATCATATTAACAAGAGTTTTGAAGGTTTTTCTGTGTGCTTTATTTTTTAACAAGGGAAGCGTCTTCCACCTGAGCTCCTCAAGATGATTTCTCAGACTCTACTGAGTGTGAGGTGGTCTGAGTGTTTGGCTGGAAGGCAGGTTTGCTCCTCCTGGACCTAATGTCTTGGTCTTATGAGAGAATTTTGTGGGCCCCTTTGCCTCCTGCTCAAGGCACCAGTGAATATCATTTGCAGAATTAGGGTGTTGGCTCAAAAGAGACATAGTGTATTATCCCATAGAAAGTATGAGAGCATCTGGGAATTATGAGGGCGTTTATGAGTAACATCTCTGGTAGACACATGAGATCAGCCTTCTTCCCGCTCACCACCACCGAAGATCTGGGGGCGGATGGGCAGAGGTGAGGTGGTGTGGCATGGCAGCTGGAACACAAGTGGAAATAGTCAACTTGGCCATACTAAAACCCTATTTGCCATCTATGTGTGACGCCATTCCAGCATTTGGTGTCCAAGGACACCTAGTCCTGGCCTCGCTTGCCTTCCTATTTTTAAGGGGGAAAGACTTCATCTACTTATTTAAGCAAAATGAAAAAAAAACTTGAATATCAAGTAATTGTTGAGAAAGCAACACAGTGATAAAATTTTAAAATATACAAATCAAGACTATATGGCATCAATTTTGCTAGAATGACCCATGAACTTTAAATATCAAGGAGCAACATCTTGGACATTGGGCATTAGTTTTACTATGATATCTTTCAATTCAGAAGAGGACAAAGTTTTTACGTAGTTCCCTGCATCAGTGATGGGAGTGTTGAGTTTTCATGTTTTTTGAAAAAAGTGGAAGTTAAATTACTTCTTTTGACTGTCCAAGGTGGTGCATTTTATGGAAGAAGAAGAAGGCCCTGTGCTGGGAGCCTTACATTTTGCTATGGCCTCTATCAGTAGCTGAGAGTGGTGATATGGAACTCCCCTGCCTGTCTGGGCCTCAGTCATTCTTTCTGCAAGGAAAGACTAATGGGGTTGACATTTACTGCCTTCACTGAGGTCTCTTAAAGTGTAATGACACTCTGGGCATGGAGTGGATTTTAGTAAGAGTGATGTGATTCACCTGCCCTCTGAATTCATGTGCAAGGTGTGAGCAGAAGCAGGAGCAATGGAGTGTGTGAGTGTGTGTGTGTGTATATGTGTGTGTGTGTGTGTTTAGAGCTAAAAGTAGTGACCAAGGACAGTTGAGCTGCTACAAGTTTCATTTTTTTTTATCTTCAGTAGAAACGTCCTATTGCCAAATCTTTGAGGAGGTAGCTAAGGCTTTTTCTAAGACGCAGACAAATGTTCCTCTTAGCTATCATGATAGATTTTTGACCAGGAAAGCCACTCTCAGAGACATGTGATGATTTGCCTGGGGTGATGTGTCTCCATTAGGAGATAAGTAGTGGTACTGATGCTGAAGTGATCTGGTGGAGGAATGGCCTGAGACAGAGATTGCAAACTACATAACAACCCAACATAATGACTCTGATCAACCCACAGGGGCTGTTGATGAGCATTCTGCAGGTAAACACAGACTAGCTCCAGAGAGAAGTGTCATGATCAACTTGTAATGCCTGTCTCAGGTGTGACAGGGCAAGTGGTGCCCTTGTGCCACGGTGTTGTCAATGGCACCATGGAACATACCAGAGAAAACACAATCAGATGGATCTGGCTTCTAATTAGATCCACCTTGGCAAAGTTGTGTGACTTTGAGCAAGTGACATAACCTCTCTAAGTTCAATGTCCTTCTCAAGAAATGGGGATACCTTCCTTGTGGAATTATTGTGAGGCTGAAGCAAGATAATGCATGCTTGCTCTTATTCTTGTAATTGTGGCTAGTAAAAGGTAACTAGTGTCAAGTGAGAAAGCTTTGGATTAGAGATGTGGTTCGGGCTTGCACATTCATTTTTCATGAATGTGAGAAGACTTATTGGAGACACCAAGTCATGGAGGGCTTCAATTCAGACTCAGCATAATAGAAGGCTTGATGATCATTTTCCCCAAACAGGGTCAAAGTCGTGTAAATAGGAGGCATACACATTCTTCAGATGGTGTTAATGACATAATCTTCATTAGGAAATGACTCCCTATGGTTATGAACTGTGCATAATTGTAGGTTTGGTGAGAGAAATCCAACCCCATCCTGGGGCATTGCCCGCATTAATCTCTTTCATCTACAGAACCAGAGCTCACTCTTTTTTTTTTTTTTTTTTTTTTTTGAGACAAAGTCTAGCTCTGTCACCCAGGCTGGAGTGCAGTGGCACAATCTTGGCTCACTGCAACCTCCACCTCTTGGGTTCAAGTGATTCTCCTACCTCAGCCTTCCGAGTAGCTGAGATTACAGACACCCACCACCACGCCCTGCTAATTTTTTGGTATTTTTAGTAGAGATGGGGTTTAATCATGTTGGCCAGGCTGGTCTTGAACTCCTGACCTCAGGTGATCTGCCCGCTTCAGCTTCCCAAAGTGCTGGGATTGCACGTGTGAGCCACTGCACCTGTACCCACTCTTCTTTTGAGTCTAAATCCCATTCTTCTCTATGAGCAGACATGAAAGCTACTGGCTTTCAGCCTGAGCCTCCAGAATTTGAAATATACGGGAAAGGAACCAGCAACTGGGCATCCAGGGGAAGGGGGATAGAATCAGAAATACTAAATGAGGCAGAGCTCTAAAGGCAAAGAAGATGTGGAAAGAGTGAAAGGGGAGAGTTAGGATGTTGGGAGAGGACCATGTGGTCACTCTCGGAGGGCTGTCTTCTTGGGATATAGAGTGTTCCAGTTGCATCTCCCTATTCCTTGATGGCCTTGGAACAGTTTCCTGAAGGCTGGAAACCTCACAGGGTTCACTGCATCATCTGTTCAGGGAAGGTGGGGAAGTGCCAGTCAGAAATGGTGGTGGGGAAACCAGTTCCCTGTCCATCCGAAGGACTTTGAAAAGCACCATCATTGTGAACCACCAGGCAGCCTGGAGCCTCAATTTCTGTTTACCTACCCAGCTGCAGAGAGAGTACAAAACAGTAAGGCTGGTTTTCTGTGAGGTCAGATATAAAACATTACATAGGATAGAGAAAAAGGACTTGTTTAGTTAGGTTTCTTTAACATTATATCATCATTATTTCCAGACTAAGGTGACCTCTCTACTGGCCAAAGGGACACACTGAATTGTGGATCATCTCTCTGGAGTTCCCTTGATATACAAATGATGCTCATTGGGGACATCTGAATGTATGCTTGAGGACATCAGAATTTCCCATTATCCATTTTATTGTTACACCCATAAAGATTCTCCCCTTAGGACTGAGGGAGGGCAGGTGCTTTCTTGGTTTCCAGAAAAGGATAAAGGCTTCTCATGGACCTTATAACCAGTAATAACAGAGTTATCTATATACTCAGGAAAATGACTAGGTGATGTCAAAGTGTATGTTAACTACATAACTCCCCATGTTTGTTATTCCCAGCCTGTTTCTCTGTAGTTCTCAGTAAAATCCTGGAAAGGAATTTACAGAGGATTGGTGAGGGGTATGGATGGGACAGAAGAAAGTGGAGGAACCTGGAGACCTGGCCCAAATTAAGGCTATCTAGGATGAAGTAAAAATCATGACAGAAGGCTTATAAGATGGAAGGATGGCAAGGTCCCTGTGTCCCATGGAAAGAGAGCAAGGGGTGCCATCTTGGGCCAGAGAAGATGTCTAAGCTGAGGACCCACAGTGATCACTCAAAAGTTTGACACCCCCCTCTCATATCAGCAAAGGACACCCTTTGTAAAAAGTTCTCAGCACAGACTCACCCCAGCAATCATACACAAGGAGTAGCCAGTCTTCTAAGTTTCCACTTTCTATTCCTGTCCTAACTGACCAATCTCTTTTGTAGCTGTTGTTTGAAAGGATTTTCAGTTGCACAACTTTCTGCACATGTTGTAATTTGAACATAAACAGTGAAAATCTTTGGAATGCTTCCCTTTCAAATGTTTGTGGTTGACAAATATCTTTTCAACTAACATTTTCCCACTTAAAATGTAGTAAACTATTTAGTTTCACATTAATCCAAAGTAAGAAGTGGCTTCTCCTCCTCTTGGTTTTCCTTTCGTCCTCTTCCTCCTCTTCTTTATCCTCCTCCTTTTCTTTCTCTGCCTCTCTCCTTTGATATATGAGATGGTTGGTTGACTTATCATGGCAGTGTGACATTAAATTTTTTTTCTCTTTGCAAATCCATTTTGAGCAAATCCTATGATAGGGATGGAGAGATCACATTTAGAAAAGCTTCTTAAAACCTTAAAGCTTTCATTTAGTAAATATGACAAGCACTGTAATTTATAGATGGGATTATAACATTCTAACCTCTATTTGGGCTCTGCTTTCCCAACTCTCAGGGGTAATGAGATGATGAATAAGTTAATATTTATTCAAGGATTTGAAGCAAAGCAATGTCTTAAATGCTTATGTATTTTGACCTCAAATTGCACTCCTACAGAATTCCCTGTAAGCAAGAAAAAGGAAGGAGGCAGTGGCAGAAACGACACAAAGCAACTATTTGTGCTTCTCTCAAACCTCCAGAACTCAGTAGAGGAGTAGGGGAAGTGCTTATATTTGACAATCCTTGTTCCAGAGTGATTCTTGCTGGACTTAAGTGAAGGGGCAGCATCGATAGATCTCTCCTCAGTGACTTCTAGTACTTTCTTTACCCCAACACCCAGAGCCTTCCTAATATCCAGTGGCTGTGACCCTTCACCAGCACTGTTCAGCATGGTGTGCTTCCTCCCAGGTTTAGACCCTAGTGCCAAAAATTTCTGTCTTTTGTCTTTGGAGCCCAGACAGATGACTGAGCAGCTACTCTGCAAATGCAGTTTGACCCAGGGGATTAATCGCTGCTAATATCTCAGGAAAGCTTTTTCAACAGTCATTACAGTAAGGAGAACAAATGCAGATACCAGAACAATAAAAACAGTAATAATAGTGTCAATCATCAAGTCCTGACCGTGGGTAAAGGTCTGTGTAAAGTCCAGATGTTATCTAATCAATCCTCACAGCAGTCCTGTGAGTGGGAATTATTATTATTCTCATATTACATGTCAGGCAGACAGGCTCAGGGAAGTTCACTAATTTGCCTAAAGTCACACAGCTAGGAAGCAGCTGAGTCAGGATACACACCACCAAGCCTCAGGCTTTCTAGGCTATGAGCTCCAGACTTGTAGGTGGCCCTCTCACCCTAAAAACCTGTACATGCCTTGCAAATAGAAGGGGATAAATAAATGTTTATTATCCAAATTGAATAGAATTATTTTCTATGTGATTTAGGGAAGTCTCAACCTTCCAAGGCAAACATTTTACATTTAACAGACAAGAAAAGAGTGACTATTGTTTGTATTTTAAGTCTTATCGCTGCATGGAGAGGAAGGTAGGGGGCTGAGGAGTTTCTCACTCATCAACTGAGAATTATTGAACAATAGTTTTTTTCCCCCTTCTGGCCTTTGAAGTCAGATCACATAAACAAGTACCTGACTGCATGAAAGGCTGTATTTGCTTGACAAATGTCTGAGAAAATCTTAACAGCACCAACTAAGTGATCAAGCATTTACTAAGCACACAGACTTAGGCAGAAACATGGATCTTGTCTTCTAGGAATTTGTAATCTGACAGAAACAAAGCAGGACCTCAGAGAACTTCCCATGTCTGGTTTCTTGTCAAGCACGCCCTTGGCCAGTACATGGAGGAAACTCTGGAAGTGAATTCTAAGGGGACTTAGGGCTCCTTGATGATAGTTTTAGGAGATGTTAGTTTCTGCTTCACTAGGTGAATTTCCCATTTCCCACTAGGTCAAGAATGTGAGCCAATTCCAAAGGAATGTGGTATTGTAATACATCTAGCAGGAAACTCACATAGACAGTTCCTTTTCCTTCTGGAGTTAGAAGATGAAATGAAAAGCGGAAATAGCCACACTGCAAGTTCCAAAGCTGTGCTTTTACAAGCAAAGTCTGATTCATAATATTGACTTGGTGCAATCTCATAGTATATGGACATGTCTCTAGGGTCTGTGTTTAACAAGCTCCCTCCCCGCTACAAAGCCCACCCTTAACCCTACTTTTTATCTCCTGGGGACCTCCCCAAAATCAGTTCAATGAAAATTAACATTTACTGGGGAAGGTCCTGAGACCCATGATATGCATGGGTGTGGAACATCAAAGATTAAAAAGATAATATTTCCCAGGAGCTAGAGACCAGCCTGGGCAACATGGCAAAGCCCTGTCTCTACAAAAAATATAAAGCAAACTAGCTGGGCATGGTGGTGCACACCTGTAGTCTTAACAACTAGGGAGGCTGAGGTGGGGGGATGGCTCGAGTCTGGGAGGTCAAGGCTGCAGAAAGCCATGATCACGCCATTGCACTCCAGCCTGGGCAACAGAACAAGGCCTTCTCTCAAAAAAAAAAAAAGAAAAAAAAATATAAGAAAGACTTTTCAGCTGTAAAGATCTTTTATCCCCACTGCTGCCAGGGAAAGCTCCCCAGAGCAGGAAGCCCAGAAGGCCTCTTGTTTGTGGTTCTTTCTCTGCAGCACATGGATGCACTTTGAAATTCACAGCAAGGTAGACCATGGGGCTGCTTAACCCTACTTTGCAGGCACTCTGTATATTGGTCAGAGACTGAGTATGTCCCTCCTCAGACCGGACACAAAGTGAACTAAAGGAAGATTCATAAACTTATTTTGCTTAAAGATTGAGTGGACACTGTGGAGCAATGCAGATCAGGGCTGGGAATTTTTATTTCATCTGATTGACTTGTCCCTTGTACCACACTGAGGAGGGCCATGCAGCTTAAAGGGTTCTGAATTCATCTTATTTCTGACTTTTCCTTCTTCGCATCCTTCATCTTGTAGTTCTGTGTCCCACCTCTCTCTCCCCCTCACCTCCCTCCCATTTTCCAACATGAGGGAAATTATTTCTTTTGGTTTATAAAACTCTACACTTCAGATTTGGGGCAAAAGCTAGTTGGCTCTACCTCGGTTTTGCTAATTCCAAAAGGCTGGTGGATGAGCTGAGATCTCCTGGTGGGGTGAAGGAAGAAGGCAGCTCAATGTTTGCATCAGTGTGGTGGAAAATTGGGATTCATCTGATTTCCTAATGAATTACAGAAGAGCACGCATAACCTCACCACAGTTGAGTATTTGTTTCTTTCTGAGGATAATACAGGTTAGTTGCAAGTGAGCAAAGCTTTTCCTTACCCTTAAGATAACTTCAGCCTTATTTCTTATGCAATAATATTTCTGCTATTATTTTTCTAATTCTCTTCTTGCTCCTTTCTGCTCACATTGTAGGGATGAACCCACGCTCTGAGAATGGTCTTTATGGCTGTTTGAACCAGTGACATCTGCTTTATATAGATACTTCATGATCTTTGCTCCATAGAAAGTGTGTGTTTGTGTGTGTGTGTGTGTGTGTGTGTGTGTGTGTGTAGGTTTATCCTGCCACTGTTTAGTAGACTGCTTTAAGTGTTACATGAGCTATATACAGCTATGGGTAGGTGGAATAAAGAGAGATTCGGACTAGGCAATTAGGAAAGTTTTCTTAGCCTTTGAGGGCAGTATTGGAATAGGGCCTTAAGAAGAAGTAGGATTTTATCAGAAAGAGTTAAGTTGGTAAATAGTTGGCAGAGATGAGAGTACTTAGGAAACCAGGCAGGAAAATACTCAGACTTAATAATAACAACCATTTATACTTATTGAGAACTCACTATGTGCTGGGGACAGATGTAAGCAATTTATATGTTTAAACTTACTTAACTTTCATGAAAATCAGTGACAAAACTTTCACTGTAATTAGGGAAGGCACTAATTGGACTGGACACAGAAGAGGCAGGGGAGTATATTAAGCAGTGAGGTGAGAAAGATGGGCTGGAACCATATCCCAGAATAACTTGTCCTCTTATAGATCCTGTACTTTTTCTTCCTGTAAGAATCAATTGACTTTTTGTATTTTGGGTTTTGTTTTATTAACGAGGTAGTGATGTGATTGACATATGATGGAGAACAATCACATTGGTTGCCATATGCAGGATGGTTCAGAGAGGAGAGAAACGAGTACAAAAGTCCAAATGGAAGGGTCAGAACAGAGTAAGCAGTAGAGAGAAGGAAAGGAGGGAAAGGAGATCAGAAACATAACCCATTGTCCAACTCAGGTATTGATTCAACATGCACTTACTAAGAGATGATTATGCTAGTTGCTGTATACTGTGCAAAGTACCTGAAAATTAGATTATGAGGACTTGGCGTGGAGTAGAAGTTAAAATGAGAAGCTGAAGATGATTAGTTTCGAGTCTCAAAGTATCAAAAGGAGGTGACAACATTATCCAGGAGTGGAACATAAGAAAAATAAGAAACCTGAAAAATAATATTTACACACCTTCATTCTACTATGGCTTTTTTGTATACAATGCCTTAATTTTTTTTTTTTTTTAAATCATGTTCCTCTCTTCACCAAAAAAAAAAAAAAAGAAAGAAAAAAAATGGGGCCAGGGAAGATTCCCTATTGTTTACTTTCGATTTGGCCTTGAAGACCCCATGTTCTGGCTCCAACCTACTTTTCCCATTCTACCTATTTTTCTCTACTGCCCTACAAGAATCCTTTATTCCAGCCAGGCAAATCTATTTATCCTTTCCTGACACAAACATCATGCTTTTGTATATAGTGATTCTTATCTCTACCTAAAAGTAATCCACCCTGAAATCCTACATTAATGTCCTATTTTCTCCCTTAATATTTTGGAGAACCTGTTATGGTCTGAATATTGGTTCAAAATTTATATGTTGAAACCTAATTTCCAGTGCAACAGTATTAAAGAGATGGAGTCTTTAGGAGGCGATTAGGTCATGAGCTCAAAAATGGGATGAGTGCACTTACCAAAGAAACTCCGTGGCACTTGTTCACCCTTTCTGTCGTGTGAGGTCCCAGCAAGAAGGAGCCATCTATGAAGTAGATAATGAGTCCTCACTAGACACCAAATCTACTAGTGCCTTGATTTTAGACTTCCCAGCCTTCAGAACTGTGGGTAATAAATTTCTGTTTGTTTATTTATTTATTTATAGACAGGGTCTTGCTCTGTCACCTAGGCTGGTGTGCAATGGCACAATCACAGCTCACTGCAGCCTCAAACTCCTGGGCTCAAGTGATCCTCCCGCCTTGGTCTCCCAAAGTGTTTGGATTGCAGGTGTGAGCCACCGTGTCAGGCCAAATTTATGTTCTTTGGGTTTGGAGTCTGTCTCAGTCTGGTCCTGCTACTATAATAAAATATTTGAGAACAGGAACAGACTAAAACAGACCCTAAAGCCTACGCCTTGCCTGACCATTTCAACCTCAAAGATGGCTCTCTCCTTTATAGGTGCCTTATTTCCTCCAATGGCCCTAAGAGTGTCTTATGGAAAGATCATGCCTGCTTAATATGTCTGTGGTTCTCAGGATCCCTAGCGCAGTACCGAATGTTCCGTAGTCCCTCAAGTGTTCATCAGTTTCCTAACTGGGGTGAGTTTGTAAGACTTTACATGCTCCACCATGTTGCAGCAGAGACAGCCGGGATGAAGTTCCCCTTCCTTTTGGAGCTTGGCTGTTCAGATTCCTTTGAATGCAGTGATGCTTTATGGGTGCATATAGCTCTGACTTTGCAAATCACCTCCAGAAACAGCACTGTGTTTATCAGCAATCACGCAACACACGTTCCTCAGATAAGGACATAGCTTACTTCCCGCTTTAGTGTTTAAAGATACAGTTCATTGGTTGCTGGTATTATCTTCTAAAAGAAAGAGAATTAAGTACTTTTCTCCAAACACTCTGGACAAACTTGAGAATATATGAATTTCGCATGTTTCCTGTCCTTCAGCCCAATATTCTAAATGTGATATCTGCTAATAAAAGTATTCAATGTTTACAAAGAAAAACGGTGTCTTAGATTACCTCAAACAGTGAATAATCGTGCTTATACAATTATTCATTGTTTTTGAGAAAACATTGAGATTTGAGAAAAACATGTCCTTCTAAACATAAGTTTCAAAATTAATTGCAACTGAGCAGAAAACCCACAGTAACTTGAACTTTTAATTTTAAATGTTGTAATTGGGTGCCTAGTGCTGAGAAGAAAATTGGTTTGTGGCTTTCAGGGAAATCACAGAGTATATTACATATTTAAATTTTTTAAGCCCCAAGAAGACTGTTTTTATAAAAACAGATAATGTATTGATTTGTGTTTAGTTGTTAAAATGAAATAGAATTGAATAAATCTCAGATAGCTTGAATACCTTGAAATAGTCAAGATATTTACGTATATTATATTTATAACTACGTTTTTATGTATAAATGCTTTACGTAAAGGTGTGTGTGTGTGTGTGTGTGTGTGTGTAAATGTGTTGATGTGTATTTATTATCTGATTTGAACATATTATATACCAAATAGCTGCATGGCATCAGGGATGCACAAATTATGTATTCATAAACCACATGTCAGAATTGCCTTAGACATAGACAAGATTGAACTGAACTTCATTTTGCTATTTGTGGGACATCCAATGCCTTTGGGGGTGACAAACATCAAATTGAAGATGGGGGTTATATCTAGAGTGGGGTGGGAGGGAAACAATATTGAAGAAACACAGGGAGCTTCAAATATATTGATAATGTGTTTCTTAGGCTGGCTGGTGTGTGTACCTGGAAATTTATTGTATTTATCCTTTTATTTTTTTGCATGACTTAAATGCTTTTTAATAAAACTTTTAAATGCCCAATTCCTTCTTCAGAATTTTGTGAATTCATAGGTGTCTTATGCTTTTGTGCTTACCTCTGATTCCAGCATTCTGCTTCTACTGCATGTGTGCTGTGTGAGAAAACTTTCCACCATGCTGATTGGGTTGTCTTCTCTCCACAGTGGCTCAGTGGAGACATGAAATTGAAATTCAGCACTTTTCCTTGGTTTAAACACAGGCTGATCCCACAAATGCAGTAGTATTAAAGTTTGCAGATATAGAAGCATTTATATCTTAAAAATGAAAGCAACTTAAAATTTGCTGCTGCCGCTCAGAAAGAGCTTCTGGCCTTTCTACCTCTAGGGATGTTATCACCAGCACTCCTGGCCTAGGCAGCATCCTGAACTTTCCCATCCTGTGTTGGCTCTGTTTCATCTTCCTCATTCTTTCCCTTCCAAGTTGCATTCAAGAACTCCAAATTCTTTTTGCTCTATTATTGAAGAACAATTTTGGTCTTTCCCCTCTCAATTCCTGACACCACATTATAGGCATTGAGTAAATATTTGTGGAAGATGAATACAACTCAGTTCCTGGCCCACTTGCTCATGTCCAAAACCCACAAATCTCCTCAAAGTTTCTATTATATAAATAGCAAAGGCCTGGAAGAAGTCCTGACGTTTCTTTTTATAGGTGCTAATCCCTTCAGAAGGAATTGCAGTTTCGAGTAGTAATTTTTCATTTTCTCATATGTTGAGGCCCCAACCTCCAGAACCTTAGGCTGTGACTATATTTGGAGATTGGGCCTTTGAAGAGGTGATTAAGTTAAAATGAAGACATGAGGGTGGGCCCTAATCCAATCTGACTGGTGTCCAAGAAGAGGAGATTAGGATACACAGAGAAACAGCAGGAGTGTGCAGAGACACAGAGTAAATACCATGTGAGGTCACAGCAAGAGGAAAGCCATCTGCAAGCCAAGGGGAGAAGCATCAGAGGAGTCCAATGCTATAGGTACCTAGATCTTGGACTTCCAGATTCCAGAATTGTGAGACAATAAATTTCTGTAGTGTAAGCCATTTAGTCTGCAGCATTTGTTATGGCAGCCTGAGCTAAGACACAAAGTCTTGGATTAGGAGAACAGGATAGAATTACAAAGAGAACAGTAGTCTTTGGTAAAACCAAAAGGCACATCATTCTTTGAGAAAGTGCAGTTTTAAAGTTAAGATTTTAAAAAGAGGAAGTTAATCCTGGATGACTAAAATCTACTTAATCAGATTATTTGGTGGGGTGGGGCGGGGGAGCAAGATTTAAAAACAGGGTAGGTAAAAATTTTAGTGAGGAAAAGAAACAGGCTGCAATAAAATTTTTAAAAGTATGCATTCAAATTATTTGGTATGCATTTGTACATAACAATTTTAGAATTTTCTCTGACAATGCTTGGACGCTTGGCATAAAATATTGTAGAACTGGAATCGGGGAAATTGTTACGGATGGAAAATGGAGGGATATAAGGGATTCTGGAATGTAAGATATCCCCACTGAACCAAGACTGAAAAGACTGACTCTGGCTTCCATTTGGTAGAAGGCAATTTAAGTGAGAAGGAGGCCAATAGTGTGAGAGATAGAATCAGAATTGAGACACTGAAGTCATGATGAGGCCAAAGAGGAATTTTGGTCAATGAGACAAAATTCACTGAAGCAGACAGTAAGGTGATTACAGAGAAAATACATTGAACTTGAAATCTGGTTGAGGTTTTGGGTATTGTCTTAGTTTTACTTCTATTTGTCATATTAACTGAAAGGATTTGGATAGGTATAAATCCAATCAACAGACTTAAAATCTGGTTGAGGTTTTTGGGATTATCTTAGTTTTACTTCTACTTGTCACGTTAGGTGAAAGGATTTGGCTAGGTATAAACCCAGTCCAATCCTTCTCCACCCAACTGATTTAATAATCAGTTGGTAGCCATCTGGTAATTAAATCATGAACACTCAAAGTGGAGGGTAATCTGACATGATAGCTATTCTCCTTTTTATCTTGGTTGATCCAGTATTTGGTATCAGAATTTGCTTTATTTCAAAAATTGTGCTTTAATGATTATAGTCAACTGCATTAATAAGACTTTTAAAGTTTTAAAAATAGGAGAAGAGTTATGAGATAATCTTAACTAATAGGAAAATTTTGAAATATTATCCAGAGCATGTAAGTTTCCCCTGATCTAAGGGAAATGTCACTGACAAAAGCAATTTTTTCATTCCAAAAATACTGATGGAGGGCCATGTGCAAGACGTTGTGCTGGGTCCTGTGGAGACAAAAATAGGAAAAGTCCTGCCCTCAAGTTCTCACATGCAGAAATATGAGGAACAGATACCTATGAGACAGGTGTCTCATGCCTGTAATCCCAGCACTTTGGGAGGCCAAGGTGGGTGGATCACCTGAGGTCAGGAGTTTGAGACCAGCCTGACCAACATGGCAAAACCCTGTCTCTACTAAAAATACAAAAATTAACCGGGCTTGGTGGTGGGTGCCTGTAGTCTCAACTATTCAGGAGGCTGAGGCAGGAGAATCACTTGAAGTCGGGAGGCAGAGGTTACAGTGAGCTGAGATCGCTTGGTTGCATTCCAGCCTGGGTAACAGAGCGGGAATCCGTCTCAAAAAAAAAAAAAAAAGAAAAAGAAAGAAAGAAATATTTTAATAAGCTCCCAGCTACCATTCAACCATGGTTGATTGGTCCATGAATGATCACGTGATCCAAATGAGACCAGATTCCTTTTCTTGAGAATTTTGGCTACATGATGTAAAACTGGGATCCAGGTTTTATACCTTGGAGAGAAAGCTGCTCTGCACTGAGAAAATTATATTAACAAAGAGAAAGAATCACAGATGAGATAGAGAGGATTTGGTAGTGTGCATATCCCCATTTTCCAGGAATTTGAGAGCTGTCTGCTCCTTGCCATTGTAGGCTTAGTCATCTTTTTCTTTTGTTGTTTCTTTTTTCTCTTTTCTTTTTTTTTTTTTTTGAGACAGGGTCTTGTTCTGTCACCCAGGCTGGAGTGCAATGGTGCGATCTCAGCTCACTGCAGCCTTGACCTCACAGGCTCAACCTCCCATCTCAGACTCTTGAATAGTTGGGACTACAGGTGTGTGCCACCAGGCCCAGATAATTTTAAAAAATTATTTCCAGAGATGATGTCTCACTATGTTGCCCAGGTTGGTCTCCAACTCCTGGGCTCAAGGAATCCTTCTGCCTCAGCTTTCCAAAGTGCTAGGATTATAGGCATGGGCCCCCCACCTGGCCTAGTCAACCCTTCATTAGACTATAACTCAGAATCCTTCCTTTAATTTTCATTTTAAGACTTAAGCTGATTTGAGTTGTATTCTACCACTTGCATGCAAGAAACTTCTAATAAATATAGTGAAATGAGATATATACTAAAAAAAATTTATAGCCCCAAATCTGCTATAAAATAGGCCCCTAATTCTGCAGAGCTTCAAAGGAGAGGTAGATGGTACCCGGGTTATTAAGGGTTATCAAGAAATGATTTTACACACGAGCAACATGTAGCTTCCCCCTTCTCCCTTATTCAACATCAGAAGCATCTGGCAGGCCCCATCCAGTGCCTGTCTTTCCTTTTTCCTTTGCTCGAGATGCCAAGGGTTTGACTTGTTTTCCACTTCTCATTAGAGCTGATGTCATCCTATCTTGTCCCTTGGAGTTGTCCTGTCTGGTTTCAGGATAGGACACAGTCTTACTCCTGTCTCTCTGCCTTATTGCCCCCGAAGAATAAAGCACAGCAAACACCCTTTTGCTCTGTTTTCTTCTACGAGTTTATGAGCTACTAAAGAAAACATACAGTAGTAAACTGGCAACATGGAAAGTGCTGTGCCAGGTGTCTCCTGTTCAACCCTCCAGATGCTCTCTCTACCCTTCTCCACCCAGCTCTCTGCTTGGGAGGATAACCTATATGGAGCATGTTAATGAGTTTGCTTACTGTTTGGCTTCTGGTTGAATTTTTTAATGAGAAGAGAATGAGGTCAGCGTATTTATTCCTGTGGCTTCTCCCCTACAGTGTCCCTAAGGGTGGCTGCTTCCCTTGGCTGATGTTCACAGCTCCTCTTGACAGGAGAGATGGATAAATCGTGATCCATGAACCAAACCCAGCCCACCATGTTTTGCATGGCCTGTCAGCTACATGCATTTTTAAGTGGTTGATAAAAATTGTTTAATTTTTATTTATTTTTATTTTTTGAGACAGAGTCTTGCTCTGTCACCCAGGCTGGAGTGCAGTGGCGCAGTGTCAACTCACTGCAACCTCCACCTCACGTGGTACACGAAAATTGCATAAAATTCAAATTCCAGTATCTGTAAATAAAGTTTACACTCATACGTTTACATATTGTCTATGGCTGCTTTTGTGTTACCATGGCAGAGCTGAGCAGTCGAGAGGGAAACAAAGCCTGCAAAGACTGAAATATTTACTCTCCTGTCCTTGACAGAAAAAGTTTGCTGACTCCTGCTCTATGACTCTCTCCTTCCAGTTCTAGTAATCTTCCCTCCATCCCTTTCTCTTCTCTTCAAGTGTGTATGGGAGTGGAGAGAATTGTGGAAGCCCTGGAGTATTGAACTGTATTCTGCGTTTTCCCAACCCTCTGCTCCTATCTTTTTTTTGTTTTTGAGACGGAGTCTTGCTCAGTTGCCAGGCTGGAGTGCTGTGGAGTGATCTTGGCTCACTGCAACCTCCGCCTGCCGGGTTCAAGCGATTCTCCTGCCTCACCTCCCGAGTAGCTGGGACTAGAGGCGCGCGCCACCACACGCAGCGAATTTTTGTATTTTTAGTAGAGACGGGGTTTCACCATGTTGGCCAAGATGGTCTTGATCTCTTGACCTGGTGATCTGCCCGCCTCAGCCTCCCAAAGTGCTGGGATTACAGGCGTGAGCCACCGCACCCGGCCTCTGCTTGTATCTTTTAAAATACAGTTGTCCCTTTATGAAACTCTTCTCAGATTATCCTAATCTGAGTATGCCATCTGTTAGTTGCTGAGACTCTGACTGATACATTTTACAAAGACAGGACCTTAAAAAGACAGGAGTTAAGGTGTCTATTTAGTCGGTAGCTGGGGGCTTAGTTGGATTTCAGTTCTCTTTTTTGTTTTTGTTTTTGTTTTTTCTCTGAGACAGAATCTCGCTCTGTCACCCAGGCTGGAGTGCAGTGGTGCGATCTCGGCTCACTGCAAGCTCCGCCTCCCGGGTTCACGCCATTCTCCTGCCTCAGCCTCCCGAGTAGCTGGGACTACAGGCGCCTGCCACCACGCCTGGCTAATTTTTTGTATTTTTTCAGTAGAGACGGGGTTTCACCGTGTTAGCCAGGATGGTCTCAATCTCCTGACCTCGTGATCCACCCGCCTTGGCCTCCCAAAGTGCTGGGATTACAGGCGCCAGCCACCGCGCCCAGCCCAGTTCTCATTTTTATTGCAAATGGTAGAAGTCATGGAACTTCTCCTTTAAAGTCATTTTTTTCTTTCCCAGAAAGGCCACATGGAAAGCAGTGCTCCTCTTCTTCACTGGATGTGATCATTTTTGCATAAGAGATTACTGAATCATCTTGCAATAACATAAGACTTGTCTGCCTGCCAAAATAATTTGCTCTGCTAAGGATGGCAGAGCAAGGAAAGGAGGAAGCACCCAGGTCCTTGACAAGGTCAGTTAGTCGCTGATTCATCTTTGCCTTCTTGTTATAGGAAATAACAAATTGCCATTTCTTTAGCCATTTCTAGTGGAGTCTTCTGTTAACTTCAGTAGAAAGTATCCTGACTGATACAGACTCTAATTTATAATTCATCCTTGTCTTCTTTCCTTCTGAGGTGTATAGACATTTTTATACAGTAATTATGACACAGCTGAAAGGTCTTTTTTCCCTTCTTCTCCAGGAATGCCTCTGCTGTATGTCATGAAGGAATGGCATGATTCCTTCCACTCTCATGCCTTTAAGATTTAGTTCATTGAACTTTAGAACTGAAAATGGTCTTACAGGGAATCTTGTCCTGGGCTTTGTAAGCTGAGCTCCTAAGAGTCATCACAGTTACCCAATGCAGTGGGAGTGAGCAGGGTCCAGCAGATCTCCTCAGCCAGAGGAGTGTGTGTATTGTCCTTACTTTTTGGAGCATTTTATAGTAGCTGATTAAAGTCTTTCTCAAACAATTCCAACATCTGTGTCATTATAGAATTGATGTCTGTTGACTGTCCTTTTCCCATGTAAATTGAGATTTCTTTTGTTTTTTCATAGACCATGTAATTTTGAATTGTATCCTTGGAATTTTAAATATTATGTTCTTAGGCCCTGGGTCTTATTTGAATCCTATAAAGAATGTCAATGTTTTTGTTTTAGCAAACAATCAGCCTGGTTAAATTCAGGCTGCAAGTTTCTACCACTCTCTTGTCAGTATGGCTTCAATGTTAGTTCTATTTGCAAAGTATTTTGAAACTTCCCTAGTTAACATAGTTTTAAAAATTCTTTTAAGCATATGGCTAAGCTGACAAGAAAATAAGGAAGTCTTTAAAAGTAAAAAAAAGCAAGAAGTCACAAGTCTAAAGAGATAAGCAATGGCAATCCTTGGTATTCTACAGATTTCAATGGGCCAAGTTTGGGGAGGAAAGAGGCAGCCGAGACCAATGTTCACACTAGGGAGAAATCAGATTGGAAAGTTTTCTCTTCTTACATAAGACCTCTGACCCTCAAAGAGCACCTTTAGTTAAAGGATGAACTAAAACAAGAGAGAACAACAATGCAAAAAAGCAAAAAGAAAAATATAGAAACTTGTACTAATGAAAACAGGAAGTGTCTTCTGAGAATTCCTAATCACAGTCTCTTAAATAGATTTGTGTGCTGAATTCACACTATATGCGTGGTCCCCAACCCCAACTTTAAAGTGGTCTTATATTGGTGCTGCCTTAAGGAGCAAGCAAATACAAATCTCTGGAAAAGTTTGTTTAAAACCCAATTCTTAAATCCTACAGACAAAGTTCTAATGAACATAAATTTATAAGGAAGATATTGATTTACTTAAGAATTTGAAGTTAAATATGCACGCTAAGTTGCATAGAGTAACCAGTAAGAGAATATAAATAGAATGTAAAGCTGCAAAATGAGCAGAGAGGAAATTTTTAAATGTAGGGAAAAATAATTTCAAAAGGTGGCAAGAAAGGAGGGAGAGAGAAAAAAAGAAATACAGGAACTATGAAGAAAGTAAAACATTTAAGAAAAAAGTGTTAAAAATTAATCCTAATTTATTAGCAGTCAACAAATAATATAAATGGGCTACATTTTCCAGTTAAAAGATAAAAGCTATTACATTGGAATAAAATTCCAGCTATATTCATTTACAAGAGGTGTACCTAAAACATAAGAACACAATAAGATGGAAAGTAAAAGAATATCAAAAGACCATTATGGTAGATGTAAAAGACATATGCAAATTATTTGACACTTTCCCTTTCAAAAGGTAGCAACCAGAGGCTGGGCACCGGGGCCCATGCCTGTGATCCCAGCACTTTGGGAGCCTGGGGCAGGTGATTGCTTGAGCCCAGAAGTTTGAGATCAACCTGGGCAACATGGTGAAAACTCTTCTCTACAAAACATACAAAAATTAGCCAGATGTGGTGGCACATGCCTGTAGTTACAGCTACTCAGGAGGCTGAGGTGGGAAGATCACTTGAGCCTGGGAGGTCGAGGCTGCAATGAGCTGTGATTGCACCACTGTGCTTCAGCCTAGGCAACAGAGCAAGACACTGTCTTAAAGAAGAAAGAAAAAAAAAAGTAGCATCTAGTTTCTCTCCCCTTGACTCTGACCGTTCTAACAAAAATTGGTGGAACTGGTAAAGTGATATCATGAAAAAGATATTCCACTTGACCATCTGTTTTGCATCACTTGCCTAAAGGAATCTAACCACCATGTCGTGAGAACACTCAAGCAGCCTGTGGAGAGGCCACTGAAACCTCTTGCCAACAACTAGCACCAACTTGCCAGTCATGTGATTGAATCATGTTAAAAGCACATGCTCTGGCTCTAATCAGGCATTCAAATGACTTTTCTCAGCCAACACCTTAACTCCAACTCCAAGCTGGAACTGCCCAGCTAAGTCTCTCCAGAATTATTAACTCACAGTGTCTGAGAGGATAATAAATGTGAATTATTGTTTTGAGCCACTACTGGTTAAGGGCAATTTGTTATGTATCAGTAAGTAATGAATATATTAGGCAAATACTATAAATATGTAGCAGGTATAACTATATAATTATCAGACAAAATAATATTACTGCCAATAAATAGCGTTAACATATAATGATAAAAGATTTTGGTTCACATGAAAGAAGTGTCAGATATAAACTTATAGGCACCGAATAACATAACTTCAAGATATATAAAGCAAAAATTTACAGAAATATAAGGAGAAATTTTAAAATCTGTTGTGGTGAGAGATTTTACCACGCCTCCACCCACAATTCATATATCAAAGAACAAAAAGTCAAAAAGATATAGAAGATTTGAAAACACAATTAATATACTTGATTTAATAAGCACTCCACCCAACAATTGGGAGAATACTCACTCCTTTTACGCATGCATAAAATAGTTACACACGTCTGACTGTATAACAGAATCGAGCAAATCTACACATTTCAGAGAATTGTTATCATAAAATCTATATGGGAATACTGAAGAATATGCAGTAATACAATACTTTTGTATGGCAGGGGAGAAGTATATTTCACTGAAAAGAGATAGTTAGGGCAATAGAGCTATAGAGGCAGAGAGACAGACAGAAAGAAAGGGACAAACAGAAAGAGAAAGAGAAATAGAGAGAGAGAGATGGAGGATGCACGAACTAGATCTACAAATTAGGCAACAATCTGCATGGCATCATTTTAGAAGTACACACATCTAATAAATGTTTTGATAAACGGCTATTCCATTCACCTGGCCCATGCCTAAAAACTTTCCCACATATTTCCTCTTTAGCACTAAAAGCATTTGTTAAAATGTCAGTGTTATCTAGGAGGATTAACCCACAGGGATAACAGCCTTTAGACTCATTTCTTTTCTGTGTGTGTGTTTTTTTCTTTTTTAATCTTTCTAACCAGGCCTTTGGCAAGACCTTGAGGGACTATATTGGGGAATAAAGAGAGAATGCCTTTGGGAAGCCGAGGTGGGCGGATCACGAGGTCAAGAGATCGAGACCATCCTGGCCAACATTGTGAAACCCCATCTCTACTAAAAATACGAAAATTAGCTGGGTGTGGTGGTGCACTCCAGTAATCCCAGCTACTCAGGAGGCTGAGGCAGGAGAATCACTTGCACCTGGGAGGCGGAGGTTGCAGTGAGATCATGTCACTGCACTCCAGCCTGGCAACAGAGACTCCATCTAAAAAAAAAAAAAAAAGGGAGAGAGAAAGCTTTAAATGAGGCAAAGAAGAGACAATTGGCAAAAGTCCAAGACATGGGATATTGCCAAACCAGAATGCAGTTCTGCAAAAAGGGCAGTGGACATCATGTGGGTAGGAGGATACAGAGAGACAGAGAGAGACGCAGCACATTTTGGTGTCTGCATGTCCCCACCTTCTTGGCAACCCAATCCTAAGTCTGAAGCTGTGTAAGTAGACTCTATACAAAGCAGAATGGCTAAACAGCAGGCTTCTCCTCTAATCACCAGCAAACCTGGCCTGTCCCAGTGGATGGATTTAACTTCATCCCTTCTTCTGCTCCTGCTAAGATAAAGTCTTCCCTGAACTATTACTTTTTCTGTAGACTTTTCCCTTCTTCACTCTTACCAGGCCCCTGGAGCTATAACTTGTTGCTCATTCTCCATTCATTGGCTTGGGGTTTAGTCCCAATTCAGAGGGTGTGTTCCAGATTGACATTATCTTTTATTGACCCCATTTTTTTCAGGACACCTTAGTGAGTTTAATTTGGGTTACCGATCACCATACTTGGAAGGGAGCCCCAGAGTTCAGTAAATTTCCCCAGGCTTGGTCTATTTGTTCTAACTTTTCCAATTTCCATGTTGGCCGTTGTTGAGACTTTATGAAACTTTGCAGCTTGTCTACCTGTAAAATATATATATATATTTTAAGAAAAGAAGAAAATGACAAATTTACCTCTTTTACTTTTACCATGTAAAGGCCAAATAATCACAAGGCCCCATGTGGCTGACTCTCAAATCAACATAACAATAAAAATAATATTGTCAAGTGAGCAAAAGGAAATAAAAATAATTTTAGTAGAATTCACACCTCTTTAAGGTCACTAAGAATCTGATTCACACTCCACAGTGACCCTTCTTTAAAAGACCTTTTTCCTTTCCTCCGTTCTTTTCCTTTTACATTCTATACTGCTTCTGAGCTTTCTATTTTCCTTTGAGAATAAAATGACTTTCTACTTCACTGATAAAAGTAACTGTGGGGGCTTGCATTTCCGCTTCCACCACCATCACCACAGCCCGATATTCAGGACCTACTAAGCCCCCAGTAGGTCCTTCACCCAGTAGGTGAAATCCCCAGTAGGATTTCACAGAAATCCCGTGTCTTCACAGAAAGAAGGCTGTGCTGCATCTGTGGAAGGCGAGTCTTCCCTCTGACAGATGTTCTCTTCAGAAATTCCTCCATGACCCTGTCAGCAAGTACTAGCATTTTTGTTTTCACATTTGTTGTGAACTAGTAACCCTAGGCAAACATTAATGTAAAACAACAATGTTTCAAGTTGTGGGAAGCAGGCTGCCATGGAGGGCATCTCGGATTTGCAGTGACTTTGAGCAGGGAAAGATCTGGAAGGAGGCAAAGCAATACATCCATCAAACCCATGGATGCCCCTAACAGAAACAGGCCACAAATATTCAACAAGCGCAGAAGAGAAGTACAAATAAGAAGACTGGAATTCATAGTCCAAAACAAGGATTAGTCTATGATAGATCCAAATGGATATATCCATGCTAAATCCATTTACCTCAAATATCCATATGGTATATCCATGCTAAACCCATTTAGCTCAAACACATTTAGCTGAAACCTCGAAAAATACAAAACTTTTTTATATTGGAAAGATATTGTATAATTTAGGCCTGAAAAGTTGCAGTAAGAGAAGTCAACGTGTTTAAAGCCAACTCCTTCTCCTGCCTCTTTATCAGTCTTCTTTATCTTTAAGCACCTTTTTTTTTTTTTTCCCAATGATGCACCCTTCTTCTCAGTCTATAAAAATGCCCAAGTCTCTTTCATCTTAAGACAAATATCCTTTGGCTCTCTTCTTTCTATTAAAATGATGCTTCTTTAAAGAGTAGTTTATACTCTTTCTTTAAAAAATTAATATTACTCTTTTTTTTTTTTTGAGACTGGTCTCAACTCAGTGAGCAAACTCAGCTCACTACAACCTCCACCTCTCGGGTTCAAGCGATTCTCATGCCTCAGCCTCCCAAGTAGCTGTGATTGCAGGTGTGCACCATCACACCTGGCTAATTTTTGTATTTTTACTAGAGACGGAGTTTCACCACGTTGGCCAGGCTGGTCTCAAACTCCTGACCTCATGTGATCCACCTGCCTCGGCCTCCCAAAGTGCTGGGATAACAGGCGTGAGCCACCATAACTGGCCTTAAAAATTAATATACTTTTAATTGAAAAATCACAATTGTATACATACATGGGATACAATGTGATGTTTTGATATATGTAAGCAATGTGAAATGATTAGATCAGGCTAATTAAAATACTCCTCACCTCACCTATCATTTTTTGTGGTGAAACATTTGAAATTTACTTAGTTATTAGTTATTCTGAAATATACATTATTACTGACTCTACAATAAATCTCAAAATTATTCCTCGTATCGATCTGAAACTTCGTATTGTTTGTCTGACAACTCTCCATTCCCTCCCTCTTCCCCTCCCATCCCCAGCCTCTGGTAATCACCATTCTACTCTCTACTTCTGAGGTCAACTTTTTTAGATGCCACGAATAAGTGAGAACATGTGGTATTTGTCTTCCTGTGCCTGACTTATTTTACTCAGCACAATGCCCCCCAGGTTCATCCATGTTGCCACAAATGAAAGGATTTTTTTTTTCAAGGCTGGGTAGTATTCTATTGTGTATATATCCATTCGTCAGTTGATGAACATCGAGGTTGATTCCAAAACTTGGCTATTGTGAATAGTGTTGCAATGGACATGGAAGTGAAGATATCCCTTCAACATACCAATTTCAATTCTTTTGGATATATACTCAGAAGTAGGATTGCTGAATCAATAGATTACTGGATCTATTTTTAGTTTTTTGTGGAACCTATATACTATTTTTCACAATATCCGACACTTTCCTTTTCTCCACATCCTCATCAATGCTTATAGTTCTTCTTTTTGATAAAAGTCATTCTAACAAGTGTGAGGTAATATCTCATTGTGGTTTTAATTTATATTTTTAGTGTTCACTATTCACTCCTCCATTTATTGCAGCTATTTGCAGCTTTGCAAAATTCACCAGGGAAATCCTTATCATTTGGCACCATGGACACAACTCACTATTTATCTTACAGTGCCCCTCACTTTGATTTATTTGACTTGTCAACTACTTTGTCCTTCTTGGTACCCTACTCCCTAGATGTCTAGGATATTGCCTCCTCTCTCAATCTTTCCAGCTTGGTCTCCTCTGTGGATTTTCCTTTCTTTGCCCATATTGATGATATGAAGTTCCCCTCCTAGAGTTGCTGCTTATATTATGCTATTATTCCATGCACTTTCCCTGGCCTTACTTCTCCATACTTGGGCTAACTGCTATCTCCCTATATTTGTCAGAGTGATCTTTTAAAAATATGAGTTTCAACGTATTTCTCTGCTGCTTAATCTCATCATTCATTCCTTGCTAAGTACAGGAAAGGCTGAAAATTCCTTAACAGGACTTATAAGGTCCTCTTTGCTCTTGAAGCAAGCTGTTTTTTTTTTCTTTTTTTTTTTTTTGAATGTTTATTCAGTGAGTGAATGGATGACTCACAAATCTGTGGCTCTGGCCCTGAACTTTTCCTTGAATTTTAAATTTGCAGACCCAGAGGTCTGCAAACAGCTCCCAACAGCTCCCAGACCCAAACAGTTCCAGTTGGATGTTTCACAGACCTCCCTCAAACCCACAATACTCCAAAATGAATTTATCTCAGCCCCACCTGCTCCTTTTTCTGTATTATCCAAGTTACCACCATCAGAGAAACCTGATAATTATTCTTTACATTTGCTCGTTCCCTATATTCACTGTATCATACTGATTCCCCTCCCAAATGCTCCTTCAATTTGTTCCCACCTTTCAGCACCATAATTTATATCCTTGTCTTTTTTCACCTAAATGATTGCAATAGTCCCCAGCTGATTGCCTTAATTCCAATCTTGCCTTCCCCCAACTTCACATCCTCCACGCTATCACCAAAGGAATCTATCTAAAAACCTTTAAATTTCCTCATTTAAAAATCTTTCAGCAGTCTCTTATCCCTAGAATAAAATGCAAGCTTCATTGCACAACATAAAAGTCATCTACAATCTGACTCTTCTTTATAAATCCAAACTCATCTATTTTCTGCCTCAAAGCTCAATAACACACAATGGCTTGTGATTATCTGGACATACCATACTGTTTCATAGGCTGGAACATTTGCTCATGTTATTCTCTGTTCTGGGCCTGACTTCTACCTCTTCTTCATCTATTGAACTGGACACAATCTTGTATTGGGAGCTGCACCTTTACCAGGAAGCCTTCTCTGATCATCTAGGTATGGCTAAGTGTTCATATTTATTCTGTTCCAGAAGGCAGATTGGCTAAGTAGTTGATGTTCAAACTGTTTAGGCGCTTAGCCCAGAATCACAGCTTACCAGCTATACAACTTTGGGCAAGTTACATAATTAATCTCTCTCTGCCTCAGAAAGTACTCAATAAATGTTAGCTACCACAATTATAATATTATCACTAGGAGCCTTACTTTCCAGTGTAAATGCACAGCCTACCTCATGTACCAGGAATCTCTGAGAGGAGTTTAGAAGGACTTTACTCTTCTGGATTGATTACTATCTTCAAAAGCAACAAAGAAATATTTGAATGAAGAAGGAATGTGAACTACTCTTCTCATTCTGGCAACCATCTTCTTAGCTAAGTTTTCTGAGGGCTGGGGGGAGGTGGATGCATGGACTCATTCTTCCCTCCTTTTTACATTATTTTCCTTCAGTGTGTTTATCCATGGGGAAAGCTGGTGATGTCATATGTTTATGTGACCTGAAATGTTACTCACCCTATATAACATCATTATTTGGGCTTTTAATTTAAAATGACCAGAAGAATGAGTTAAAACACAGAACTATTCTATGCCAAGACCAAAGATTTTAAAAATATCCAACAGCGATATAAATTTGATTTGTTTTAGCAATTTAATTCGAGGTAATTCTTTTCTTTTCCTGAAGTGTTTTTCCATCTTCCATGTTTCAAATTCTCCACAAAATAAATCCTTCAGTAGAAATGACAGAAACAAACCTGAGACTTTATGAGCAAGCCATAAGAAAGGCAGAACCATTGGCAATAGGACCCAGAAACTAAAACACCCATTCTGTCTTTGTATCCTGCCCTTGCCAGTATAAAATTAGTGTGCAGAGAGTATTTTCCAGATCCTTTTTCTTTTTTACAGATCCAGTTTAATGACCCAAATTATAAGATTTGGATAACTTTCTTTGGCTGCTCTTTTCAGAATATAGTTGACTTCACCATTAGGCAACATCTCCTGATATTTAAACTAATTGTTTTGTTTTGTCAGCTTCATCTCACTTTTCTGGGTCACATTGTACTGATTTAATTCTAACTAGGTATTTGAGCTCTTAAGTTTGAAAACTCCTCAATCACATTATATGCCCACGTATAAAGTCTCTTGTTTTAAGTCTGATGGTACTATGTTAAATCATGACAATTTGACGTGTTTGGGAATGGGCGGCTTCGGATAGCTGGCCCTTTTAGCATAAATCTTTCTGCATTTGTATGTTTATGTCACACATTTTGTGTAACAGTCATTCTACAGTGTGGTAGGTACATGCTGCCCTAACTCATTTTTTTAAATTGTGATAAAATTCACATAACACAGAATTAACCATATTAAAGTGTACAATTAAGTGGCATTCAATATGTTCATGATGTTGCACAATCATCACCTGTATCTAGTTCCAAAACATATTCATCACCCCCAAAGGAAACCCTCTATCCATTAGCCAGTCATGGCCATTCTCCTCTCCCCTCTGCCCCTGGCACCCTCTAATCTGCTTTCTGTTTGTTTGGGCTTACCTGTTCTGGATATTGCATGCTGCCCTAACATTATCATCTCAAACAGTACAAATGCCTTATTTTTGGTTAGTGCTATGCAGATTTCTAGGATTTTCCTGTGGATCACCTCATTCTTTATGAATATTTGAGATATTGCTATTACTAGATAAATCCGTGTTCTAATTCTCTATTAGAAAGGCAAGTTCAGGGCTGGGTGCAGTGGCTCACGCCACCAGCACATTGGGAGGCCAAGGCGGGCAGATCACAAGGTCAGGAGACAAGACCAGCCTGGCCAACACGGTGAAACCCTGTCTCTACTAAAATACAAAAAATTAGCCAGGCGTGATGGCACGTGCCTGTAATCCCAGTTACTTGGGAGGCTGAGGCAGGGGAATCACTTGAACCCGAGAGGTGGAGGTTGCAGTGAGCCGAGATTGCACCACTGCACTCCAACCTGGGTGACAGAGCAAGACTCCATCTCAAAAAAAAAAAAAAAAGGGCAAGTTCAGATTTTATTACGTTGGTTGTTAAAGATCTGATTTCTTTAAAGATATCATTTATGCATCCACAAAAACAGAGGTCCAGCGATTTTGGTTAACTTATCAGGTCAATCTGTGCCTTTCTCTGCACATCCCTGTGATCAGCAGGTGTCTGAGATTTTTAGTTGTTTGAAGATGCAGGTGTGTCTACTGACCCTACCTATGCAGCTTGACTCAACATTCCATCAAAAGAATGCCAACCCCTGTGTATTGACTAGGTATGTTAATGCTGATTCTTCATTCCACCAAGGCCAAGTGAATCTTGGAGTAAAGATTTTTTTTTTATTTCCATTTATTTGCTTGGAAGAATGATATGCAGACACTGCTAGTTGTCATTCTGTGCTTGTTCTCCTTTTCTATATATTATGTAACTCATGATTTTTTTGCTGATTACAGTGACCACCTTAAATATTCTATTTGCCAGCCTTCTTTCCAGCTGATTGTGGCCAGTTACTAAGTTCTAACCAGTCTGGCCAATGAGATGCTTATGAAAGCATCCTATTCAACTTACGAAAGTATCCTTACAGGGGAGAACACGCCTCATTTTGGTTCTTTGTTCTTCTAGCTGGAAGGTGGACTCTATACCTGGAGACCCAGCAGCCATTTTGAATATGAAGCAATCTTTGAAATGGGAAGCTGGGTTCCCAGTTAGAAGGAATCTTCATCCCTGACACCCAGAGCTACATACCACTTCTAGACTTTCATATGACAAGGAAATGTTTTAATCCTGTGTAAGTGACTATGTTGGGTTTTCTGTCATGTGCAGCCAAACCTAGTCTTAACTAATACAATTCCCAATATAAGCATATTCCACTGAAACCTTGAAGTCTTTCTCACATTCCATCTGGATTTGCCCCATTCTCTAAGGAAAGGATCTTATTATACACGAATGTTGTCATACAGTGCATGCAATGTCCATCCAGCCTTTGAAGATATTCCTATTTCCATTAAAAATCTTTGTGTCTTATTAGTATTAGTATTAATCTTATTTTCCAGAAGTAGGATCCTAGAGAAAAGAAAGATATAATTTCAAAAAGACCCCAGAAGTTATCCAATCTCATTGCCAATCTGACGATGCTAAAACCTTGGCATCTCACATGAAAGCTGTGAAACTAGTATTGTTTCCAAAATTCTTCCATCTCTATTGTTATTGCCATTACAATCATTCACAAAGTAATTAGATGTCAGGATAGTTTGTTTTTTAAAGTGGCGTGGGTATCTCACATGGAACAAAAACTCTGAAAAGAAGAAAATGACATTATTATAATTAATGCAGTTTTTAAGACTGTGTTTTAAGACAAATATTTCAAAGCACAAAGCATAATGGAAGAATGTGTTAGAAGTTAATAGACTGTGAACACTGATCTTGAGTCCCTCTGGACTTTTAACCACTTACGTGATTTTTGAAAGCCATTAAAAATATAGTATTAAATAGAGGTTGTCATCTTCCTTATACTTTTAAAGAAAACAGAAGGCAGAGCTAATTGGAATTGAGTTTAATGGAAGAGTTGAATGAAACTCAATGAAAGATCAGCAGCTTGGGAGGCCGAGACAGGAGGATCCCTTGAGCTAAGGAGTTTGGGACCAGCCTGGACAACACAGAGAGGCCCTGTCTCTTCAAAAAATCAAAAAATTAGCCAGGTGCAGTGGTGCATGTCTGTAGTCCCAGCTACTCAGAGGCTGAGGCAGGAGGGTCCCTTGAGCTAAGGAGTTTGGGACCAGCCTGGACAACACAGAGAGGCCCTGTCTCTTCAAAAAATCAAAAAATTAGCCAGGTGCAGTGGTGCATGTCTGTAGTCCCAGCTACTCAGAGGCTGAGGCAGGAGGATCACTTGAGCCTGGGAGGCCAAAGCTGCCACCATGGTCATGCCACTACACTCCAGCCTAGCTGACAGAGGGAGATCCTTTCTCAAAAGCAAAAAAAAAAAAAAGAAAGAAAGAGCAGCTGAATTGATTCCCAACTTCATCTTACTTCATCTTGGTACTAACAGTCATAAAAGCTTAGAAGAAACATACATAGCCAAGCCACTCACTAGAAAGGCAATGAAAATTATTTTCCTTTCTGATAAAAGTTTCATGTAATGATTTCACTGTGAGAATAGTTCCATATTTCATTATTCTATAAACAAGCCAACTCCCTCTATTTGTTTTGTACAGGGATGGGTTATGCACACATACACACACACACACACACACTCACACACATACACATATTATATGTAATATAAATATATTTACATGAGTATTTGTAGCTTCTGTCTTTTCTAAATGATAGAGATTCTGTATTTCCTTACTTGTTGGGCCCATGAGACTGTCTTATGAGTTTGGGAATCATAGCTGGATAGACATCGAAAGAACAGACAACTACCATTGGTGGTGTGTGCCTGTAATCCCAGCTACTCCGGAGTCTGAGGCAGGAGAATTACTTGAACCTGGCAGGCAGAGGTTGCAGTGAGCGAAGATCACGCCACTGCACGCCAGCATGGATGACAGAGCAAGACTCTGTTTCAAAGAAAAAAAGAAAGAGAGAGAGAGAGAGAGAGAAGAAAACATCTTTTAAGGTTGGGAATCATAGCTGGATAGACATCAAAAGAACAGACAACTACTGTGAGAAGAAAACAAATACATTGGTAAGGTGGAAGGGATGAGAGAAATTGAAAATACAAGCACTGAGTTGGAGGCTGAGTTCTAGGGGAGTTTCAAAGGACAGGAACTGCTGGGGGACACGGCTACATATGGGTGGCAGCGCTAGTGGCAAATGGACAACAGAGGTTTCTAGTCTGCATTGTGAACATAATTTTCCTCCTGGAATTTTTAAGGAAAGTGAAAGAAAAATTTACACTGTTTTTAGTTATTGTTGGATGTTAGGCTGATGTTTTCTGAATGTAGCACTGAGTTTGGACTGGACTATTTAATACATTTTAATGTATACATTCCTACTTGCCTCAAGGATGTATTGGTGATCTTTTGGGATCAGAGTTACATTTTGCTGGTTAGAATTAAATCTGAGCTCTTCTTCCTCCTCATCAATTTTCAAAAACCAAACTGCCGAGTTAGCTTTATCGACACCAACCTGAGCACTAGGGAGGTTGATTTAAACTATCTTGTAGTAATTAGAAGTGAGTTTTTGTCAAAAGGAATAAAAATAGATGAGTAAGATAATAATGGAGGTCCTGTCTAACAAAGACTTGGAGGTAAATAAATACTAAAAGCAATTTTCATGAATAGAATGAATGGACATTTCTGGTTCCTTTTTATCTTTTCCTCCTTTTCTCCCTCCAACAAAATCCATTTCAGAAGTGAGCACTGAAAGGAGTGGTTGATCTTTAAGTTAGCCCACATGACTTATGTAACAAAACACAGGCCACCAACCATCTAATGGGATTTTCCTTAATCTTTTAAAACAAATGCTTTTTAGATAAAGCTTCTAGATTTCAGTTACTGTGTGTTAGCTAAAAAAAACTGGAAATTGCTGTAGCATAGAGGAAGAGAGGACCTGGTCTCTAGTTAAGTGATAGATAATTCTTCTTGTACAATTAAGTGTCTTTCTTTCTTTTTTCTTCCTTCCTTTCTTCTTTCTCTTTTTCTTCCTTCCCTCCTGTTTTTTCTTCCTTTCTCTCTCCCTTCTTTTCCTTTATGTTTTCTTGTTTCACCTTTTCCCCTCAAATTGTAACTAAATTATCCTATCAGAAATTAGATTTTTTAAAAAAGAAATAGTTGCTGTTTGAATCTCTGGTCTATGTTTGGACAGTGCCATTGATAGAGAAAATCTGCTTTAGACATATGCTTTAAATTTTTGAATATTCTAGAGTCCTTGTCAAGGGCAGTTTTGACTCTGTCCCTTCCCTCATTCTCCCAGAGGACATTTGGCTATGTCTTGAGGCCATACTGGGTTGTCATGACTGAAATGGGGAGATGCTCCTGGCACCTGCTGAGTAGAGGCTGCTAAACATCTGCAATGCACAGAAAAGCACCCCCATAACAAAAAGTTATTCAGCCCAAAATGCCAGTGGTGCTGAGGTTACAAAACTGTTGGCCGGGTGCGGTGGCTCACGCCTGTAATCCCAGCACTTTGGGAGGCCGAGGCGGGCAGATCACCTAAGGTTGGAAGTTCGAGACCAGCCTGACCAACATGGTTTGAAACCCTGTCTCTACTAAAAATGCAAAATTTTCTGGGCGTGGTGGTGCATGCCTGTAATCCCAGCCACTCGGGAGGCTGAGGCAGGAGAATCGCTTGAAACTGGGAGGCGGAGGTTGCAGTGAGCTGAGATGGTGCCACTGCAACAAGAGTGAAACTCCATCTCAAAAAAAAAAAAAAAAACGAAGAAGAAACTGTTTCAGAGATTTCTTTAAGTATTCCTGGATCTTCACCTTAGGCACAGAAGTTACAAAGTGAATTAGGAAGTTTAAATAAACATGATAGCTAACGTTGAGTTCTTGCTATACTGCAGGCATTGTTCTAATACTTGTAGTTCTCATAATATTTCCATGCAGTAGAAACAAGTAGCTCCATTTTACAGATGAGAAAACTAAGAAACAAAAGTTAAGTAACTGGCCAAACAACATGTAGGTATTAAGAATTGTAGCCTTAATTCTTGATTCTTGAAGAAGCACAAAGGGGTGGGTTTGGAGCGTAGAGTTTGTTTGAGTTGCCACCTCTACTTCCGAAATTCATTGACTCATGTGAACAAAATTACCTTTTTATCCATTGTATTTGTGGAAATATTCAAAGTTATATACTTCGGTATTTATGTTGAACACACAATTCTGACTACTGTTAATTCAGTGATACATAATACTTGTGAATAATTTAGGCTTCGGGGAAAAAAATCAATGCAAATATTTTTTTCCAAACCCTGAAATATTCAACATGAAAGATGGAAATGATTATGAATTATGACTTCTTCTCTATTGTTACAATTAATAGTTTTTATATTTATACTGAAGCCACGATGCTTTCTTACTGCTCTCATTAATTTTAAGACTTATGGAGAAAAAAACCCTCAAGTTGGAGGGACAATTTCTTGTTTTCATCATTTCCCTCTAAGAGGCCAACAGGATTATTGCTCAGTGGTTGTGTGGGCAGCTTAGGTCATAGGGCAAGGTCCCTCACAGGGAAAGGCAAGCCCATTATTTTTGGCCCAGTGTCTAAGAATATGGATCTTGAAGAGCTCAACATAAGAAAAACATCATTCAGGGTGTTTTCAGGGAAACAGATCAAGCTGAGGGATATAGGCCTTGTTCTCAGAAAGACTGCTTTGACTGTTTTGATGTTTCCAAGTTGAGTCTATTGTTTTCCTGTGTGATTTTCCTTGGAAAAAAGAAATGATTTCCATGGAGATGGAGAAGTTGGATGAGTGGATGAGCAATTGACAAATAGATGGGATGTGAATGCCACAAAAACAAATCTGGTTGTAATTAATTCCTGAGAATTCTAGAAAGCAGCTACAGCTATCATCAATGTGAAACTCTGGACTAAAAGCTCTGACACCAGATCCTCCTGTTTCCTTTAAAAAAGTCAACTCACATTTCTCTGATTCTCTTTGATTCATTTCTGCTGAAAAAGACCCAGAATTTGATATAAAACAAAGACACTTGTCCCTGAATCAGCACTATGAAACCTGAATAAATACAAAATACAGCTGATTCACTTTCTCTCAGTCACATTAAAAAAAAAAGTAAAATCCAACTGGTGTGCTCTTCCACCCAAATGTGTCATATTCAATCCTTAAACTAAAAGGTGAAAAATGTAATTCACAGTCCACCAGCTTTCTTAATCACAGCCCCACCACTCCACATGGATATAAAAACTGATAAAAGCCAACAACCAGAAACTATCTGCAGATGTTTAACTTCATTGTATTCAGGTTAGTCATTTGCCAACAAAGTCAGATTGTCCACATTGCTATCTGCTTCCAATTCCCTGCCCTGCCCCAGTATCTCTTAAGTTCTCTTAGGAAAAGCAGTAAAGATGTCTCCCTGACACTAGGAGGGTGAACATAATCGCCTGAGAGGCCGACTATCACTAGCTTAACCTCAGGAAGGATTACAATGCACTTCACTCAGTTCATCTCTCTCTCCCTTTTAACTGAATTGTTAACTTGTTCATGTTTCTAGTGTTGGGGCTCAGAAACTGATACTCTAAGATATGGCACTTTGACATGCTGAACTGAAGGAGCCTCAAGGTCTCCCTGACCTTCTCCCCTTCCTATCTCCCAAAGCACAGGATAAATTTGTTCTCTGATGTTTCCTTATCTGCCGAAAAGTCTGGACCCATCAAAGAAGAAGACAATTACCCTAAGTTTTCCCTGAGTTTCCATTAACTCATCTCCTATCGCAGGAAGGAAGACTGAAATCTGTCAACACACCTGGACAGACTTTTGTCACAAACCATTGTCCACTCTGCAGGCCCAACAGACTTTGTCTCTGGCCATTGTATGTTCTTCAAGCCCAGTGAATTCCCCTAAAAATTGTTTTCTGTCCCTATAAAGTCACCTATACATCTCCATTTCCTTTTCCCCTAAGATGTAGGGTATATAAACACCTCTACCCCACGGGGTATGAGGCAATCACTCTGTGATTCTCCCTCGTGGATGCTAGTAATTTGTATGCCATTTCTCCTACTGATCTGCCTTTTGCCAGTTGATTTTCAGTGAACCTTCAGAGAGTGGAAGAGAAGTTTTCCTTTGGCCCCTATGCTAGGCATATTTAAAAAATTGCAGCGAATTCAACTAGTCATTATCCCAGAGCACTAAACTCAGCTAACCTGGAGGGCATGGAGTGGTAAATAAAGAACTTGAAAGAGGAAGAAGAAATCACACTAACATATCTGGTGTTCATTAATTTAAGGAACCATTGAACAGTGTGAACTGCATCATTCTTATCATCACCTCTTTTGTAGGTGTCATAGGCAACTCTGTAGGTAAGTTTCTCTAATCACATAAAAAGGAAATTGAACTATATTTGTGTTTTATGCATTAACCTTTTGTAAGGTTTATATATGAGCCAACCCATTTTTTTTTTAAACAAGAGTTAACTCACCTCACAAATAAACTTTTTTCTTGTGCCTAAGATTTCCTTAAAAGTACATAAGATATTGAATATTGAGTGGTTAGAACAGTAATGCCATTGTGCTGAGAAAGAGAAGAATGGCAGAGGGTGGGGCAGTGCTAAAGGAGAATTTACTGATTTTTTAATATTTAGAGCTTTTAAACTAAAGACACATTGTTTAAAATTTGCAAATCGATTTGAAATGCATTTAAGAAGAAGCCCTTTGAACATAGATGATGGTTTGGTTGTTCAGCTGTGTTCTGGAAATGCTTCTTCCCATTTCTGCCAGTCCAGACAACAGGTTTGCCTGGATTCTGCATATCCCTCTCTGCTCTCCCTGACAGGCCACAGAAGGGTCTAACTCAGAGCTGGCTTTACCTGATCAGTTCTGAGATTGTCAGGGTGTACCTGGCGAAGGCTACAGGATTTCCCACAAAGCTGGAACTTGTCTTCTATCCACACGTGATTTAACTGATTCCCACATGACCTTCTTCCCCTCTAAAAAAAGGAAGACAAAGGAAGCAAAAGGGCGAGGTGTTAGATCACCTCATGGAGCAGTGACTTTTATATGTCTTGATGATTGTTGTTATATCGTCAGTAGCAAGGTCAGTGCCTAGTACACCACAGGGACCTCATAAAAATTTGTAAAATAAAAATCAATGTAATCCTTACAATAATACTGGGAGAAATGAATTAACCCCAACTTACTAAAGAAGTTCCAGTTAGTGGAAAAAATGAGATTTGAACGTAGGCCTAGATCTTTCTACTACATTACATGTCTTATTAGAAACCCCTCCTCATCCCCCACCAAATTCAAGTTATTTCAAGAGATCTATTGAATATAGAGTTGTTCGTTTCTTTTCTTTTCTTTTCTTTTCTTTTTTTTCTTTTCTTTTCTTTTCTTTTCTTTTCTTTTCTTTTCTTTTCTTTTCTTTTTGAGACGGAGTCTTACTCTGTTGCCCAGGCTAGAGTGCAGTGGCACGATCTCCACTCACTGCAACCTCCGTCTCCCGGGTTCCAGTGATTCTCCTGCCTCAGCCTCCCAAGTAGCTGGGATTATAGGCACCTACCACCGCACTCCACTAATTTTTGTATTTTTAGTAGAGGCGGGGTTTCACCATGTTGGCCAGGCTAGTCTCAAACTCCTGACCTCGTGATCCACCTGCCTCGGCCTCCCAATGTGCTGGGATTACAGGCGTTAAGCCACTACACACGGCCAATTGAATATAGTTTTTCTATGCCACAGATTAAGTGATCTCTAGGCAAAAATGTGCAGATAATCCACCACAGACTAAAGTGGCCAACCAAATAACTTGGGTTTTAATAGACACTTTAGAAAGCCTCCTGCTCAACTTCCCACCCGATGAGGAAGCAAATGTATATTAGGACTTTACACAATGCCTGGCACACAGTTAAGTGCTTAAGAAATATTCATTCTTCACAATGCAAGGAGCTCGTGGTAGACTGTGGTCTCAGCCTTGGCCAGAGCACTTTCACTTACTATGTTACAACTTTGTACGGTGTTCTGTTCTAAGAAGGAATAGTTCTCCCTTGAAATGTAAACACCATGAAATCAGGGACTTTGTTCTATTCAATAATGTATTCCTAGTGCTAGAGGAGGATCTTAAACATGGCAGATGCTAAAAAAAATCTGTATTTTAAATGTATGGATAAATGAATAAACCATTGTTGGAAAGGTATTAGAAACAGTACCTTATTAGAAACAGTAGTTCTCAAGAAATGGATTGGGAATTCAGAGGAAGAGCTGGTACCCTATCATGGCAGGTGGCCCCTAGAAGAGTCATTTGAAGTCATGTGACCCTCTGGTAGATGAATGGTTCCCAAGCTGTGGTGTGGGTCCTCCATGACAGCAGCCTTGGTCTGGTCCAAATGACATGTGTAGGATGAGCTTACACCTGCACAAAATTTATGGACAGCATAAGGAAAGGTAAGCCAATGTTGGAAATGCACCAATCACATTTTGAAAAGATAAGATGGTTTGTGGTGTCCGTCCTCTTCCTCTTCCTTTGTCTCTCATTCCCATTCTGCAGAGATCCTTGATTTGTAGCCAATCAATCCTTATCTCTGCAGCATGAATTTGTACAAAATCAGGTCATCAAGGAATCCAGAAAATGAAAATTAAGAAGAAAATTGTATGCCAACTGACCTTGTGCCCAGATGGGGGATAATATTTGTGGCAGCTAATTTTTAAATGAGGAAACAAAAATGAAGTAGAAAAAAATTTAATACCTTTGATTTTTTTTAAAGAGATAAAATAGCTTTGTGTTATCTCCTATAATCTTTATAAATCCTTCACTCGGTGCAAGCTTCCTGCCGAATCTCTGAAAAACATATCACATGACACAAAACCACCAGGTTTCATGATGAAAGAAGAAAAGCATCCAGTGCACTCCAAGCCCACCCCCACCTTGATACTACTTGTTCACAAAAGACGGGTTGTGGCTCTTGGGGATTTGTTGATCAAAGTTCCAGTCATGCTGACTGAAAGGGTGTTCTGTTTTCAAAGTGATTATTGAGCCACTTTAAAAACACTTTAACTTGTGGGTTTGCCTCATTCTATTTGAGTCCAGATTTCACAATAATGTAATGAAGGAAGCCCTGTGGTACTGCCTGTGTCATCTTAATTTATCAGGAAACCACAACCTTGCACATCTTTTCCAAGTGACTTTTTTTTTTTTGGTTTGTTTGGCCACGATAGCCATGTTCAGGGCTGTTTGGACCCTTCCTGGTTTGGTGCTTGGCCTGGGTTCCAGGGTTGAAGGGCCAGTGCATCAACTCCACAAGGTTCTGAGTCTCTCTTGGCACCTTTAGAACTGCCTGCTCTCTGTTCCTTCTATCAGGTTTCAGGCACTCCTGTGCTCTTTGAGTAATCAAGGTTTTATTGTAAAAACCCATTCAAATCCCCAAAGAGCTGTGAAATATTTGTTTCACTTTTCTCTCTGCTTCAGTGGGTATTTTATGTGAACTGTAAACTTGGGAAACATAAAAAGAAAAAATTAAAAAGAAATATGTAGGCTTGGTAAGAATCAGAAAAAAAAAACCCACGAACAATGCTTCAGTGAGTACACTACGAATATAGAATGCATTTAGCCAATTTGATATATTCTTTACATTTTCTTTATGATTTGTTCCTGTTGGGATGACTGAACATTTATTTAAACTGTAGATAGGATCTTCATGTTACTTAAGGACTTGACTACTCTACTTTTAGAATTTTTTAACCAACTTGAAAAGGTACTTAGTTATACTGAAAGTGTATTTTAAAAGGTATCTGTTGTTTCTTTTAGGAACATCCATTTCTTTCATCTCTACTTTTATTCTTTTTTTTTAATCAATTTTCATTTTAAGTTCCGAGATACATGTGAGGGATGTGCAGGTTTGTTACGTAGGTAAACGTGGGGCATGGTGGTTTGCTGCACAGATCAACTCATCCCCTAGGTATTAAGCCCAGCATCCCTTAGCTGTTCTTCCTGATGCTCTCCCTCCCCCGCCCCCGCCGTCAGACCCCAGTGTGTGTTGTTCCCCTCCCAGGTGTCCATGTGTTCTCATCGAGGAACATCAACTTCTAAAATTTTTCTGAATATTTATAGCCCACAAAATGTAAAGGACCTGAATTTCCATTCATGATTTTGTAATAATTATGTTTTTACATAATTTCAAAATGCTACAATTCTAGATATTTAATATTTCTAATGTACTTTATAAAATTGAATTCAGAAATTTACAGATTCTTCTTCTTATCTAATTTCTATTAACGATGAAAGAATTGAATTACCCACATTGTAATTGGGAAACATAAAAACACTAAGGATGTAAATAATATCTACTGTACACAACATTTTAAAGAACAATTGTTAAGCAGGTAATGCGACAGAAAGAAAACCAGACTGAGTTGCAGGAGATGGGAGTCTTCTGTGTGATCCCAGGAAAGTCACCTGACCTCTCTGAACTTGAATAATTCACATTATTTCACTTTTTGCCATACCTGCATAAACATATTTATTTATTTTTTAAAATCAACTTTGGGAAACACCCAGCTAGATGAACTTTATTTTATTTTTTTAAATAATTTATTTAATTGACAAAAAATTCTATGTATGTATGGTATACAAATGATGTGTTGAGAGAGAGATATGTATATATATAGTAGAATGAATAAATCAAGTTAATTAACATATGCATCACCTCACATACTTATTTTTTTGAGGTAAGAACATTGAAAATATACTCTGTTAGCAATTTTTCAAGTAAGCAATATACTGTTATTAGCCATAGGCACTGTGCTGTACAGCAGACCTCTAGAACTTATTCTTCCTGTCTCATTGATTTGTACCCTTTGACCAACATCTCCCTATTCTCTCCCTGACCTCCCTACCCCTGGAAAACACATTATACTTTCTGCTTTTATGTATCCTACTTGTTAGATTCCACATATAAATGATATCATTCAACCTTGTCTTTCTGTGTCCAGCTTATTTCACTTAGCACAGTGTCTTTCAAGTTCACATGTTGTCACAAATAACAGGTTTCCTTCTTTTTCAAGGCTGAGTCATATTCCATTATGTCTAAATACTACGTTTTCTTTCTTTTTTTTAAATAGGGCATATTCTTTTAATTTTTAATTTTTGTGTGTACATAGTAGAGTAGGTGTGTTTATTTATGGGGTATATGAGATATTTTGATACAGGAATGCAATGCATAGTGATCACATCAGGGTAAATGGAGTATCCATTACCTCAAGCCTTTGTGTTATAAACAATCTAATTATACTCTTTTAGTTATTTTTAAATGTACAACTAAATTATTTTTTACTATAGTCACCCTGTTGTACTATCAAATACTAGGTCTTATTAATTCTCATTTAAATACCACATTTTCTTTATCCATTTATTTGTTGATGGACACTTAGGTTGATACAAAATCTTAGCTATTGTGAATAGCTCTGCAATGAACTTGGAAGAGCAGGTATCTCTCTGACATATTGTTTTCATTTCCTTTGGATATATAATCAGAAATGGAATTGCTGGGTCATATGGTAGTTCTAATTTTAATTTTTTGAGGAACCCTAATACAGTTTTTAATAACAGCTGTAGTAATTTACATTCCCACCAACAATATACAGGGTTTCCTTTTTTTTTTCACAGTTTCACTAGCACTTGTTATCATTCATCATTCTGATAATAGCCATTCTAACAGGTGTGAGATAATATTTCATTGTGTTTTAATTTGCATTTTTCTGATCAGCAGTGATGTTGAGCATTTTTTCATATACCTGTTGGCCATTGTATGTCTTCTTTTGAAAAATGTCTATCCAGTTTTTTTTTGGGGGGGGTGCTAGATGAACTTTAATGTTCATACTTATTTTATATATATATCCAATGAAAGTCAGCCATGAAGATGGGCACCCAACTCTATAAATCTTTGGTTTTCCTCTTTTTAAAATCACTTTCTATGAAGTTGTGGGGGATGTATAATGAAGCAGCAGTTCTTTTTTCCAGTTTTGACCTGACTAGGTAAACAATCCTCTCTTGCATAATCAAAACAAATTTTTTCATAACATTTATCTCACACTCAGAGAAAATATAAGTGACTAAATGAAACAGGTTACATACCAAAGGGAAAATCTTTGTTCTTTTGTCTATTCAGGAAAGCCATATATTTTTTAGCTGACCAATTTCTTTCTCAGAGTTCATATTAATTCATATATCTCCATGCTGGGTTTAATCTTACTTAGCTTGTAAGTGCGGTTCTTCATCCCTGTCTTTTCTTGATGTTACTTGTGGCTCACAGCACTTAAAGTTCCTTAGGATGTCTCAAATTCTTGAGATTTCTGGACACCTTTTTTGATGTTTGAAATCAAAATGTTGACTTGTTTCTGTGAAAAGGGAAAGCAGTCACTGCAAGTCATATATATATATATACACATATATACACACACACACACACACACACACACACACATACACACACACACACACATAATTAAAAAAGAAATCTGGAAGTTGCCAAAGGAAGTTATGAGAATGCTGAAAAGCAAGAGAAATACCCTGCAGGAAACCAAAATTTCGAAAAGGCAGGGATAAGAAAACCTCAGACATTCCGGAAGTTTTACATGACACCCAACAATTAGGTATATTTTTTATTTTGGCCAACCCATCTGCTATTTTGAGGTTTTTTTTTGTTTTTTTTTTTTTTTGGCAATGCTGATGACATGCTGTCTTTCATATAAATTTACTGCTTTTACCCTTTTTGGAAACATGCTCCTTCTAATTTCCCTTAACACTTGAGTCACTGGATGGAGGTAGAGCAGGATAGGAGAGGGGAGGAGATAGGAACAGAAAGGGTGCTATTGATAAAGCGCTGCGCAGAGCCAATGAAAGTCAGCCATGGAGGTGGGTGCCTGGTTCTACTGAGGATCCACTTCATCAGCAAGCAGGCTCTACTGCTTGGGGTTTTCTGATGTAAAGAAATGAAGCTACATGTTTTTCTAGTGATGGATTTATCATTAGTTATACACATATTTTTGTATGGGCCTTTTTGGGAAAAAAAGGGTTTGCTCTGAACATGCCCCTTGCTCAATTGTTAGTAAAATAATCTTTCTATAATTGAGTTTAATGGCCATTTTAGGAGTGGAAAAAGAAAGACGTGGTACTATCAAGACATTGTATAAACAAAGGTTATTATGCAGTGAGAGAGAGAGAGAGAGAATCAGAGAATGGAACCCACCTTAGGGCTAACAATTAAATTAGAGTGGGATCTTGACATGAATATTTTTTAAAACTCCTAAGATGATTTAATGTATAACTAGGCTTGTGAACCATAGATAGAAAATTGAGACTGATACTTAGCTGTTTTTATTTTCATTTAAACCGTAGTTATTATAGATTTTTAAACAAGTTGAGTGTTATGCCAATGTTCTTTTAAATATTTTTAACCTGTTCTGCAAATAGACAGCAGGCTATAATGGCTTTATCTGTTTAGAGCATTATTTTTTAAAAAGAGATATGAGGCCAGGTGTGGTGACTCACACCTGTGATGCCAGCACTTTGGGAGGCTGAGGCAGGAGGATCACTTGAGGCCAGGAGTTCGAAACTAGCCTGGGCAACATAGGGAGACTCTGACTCTACAAAAAATAATATTAAAAAAATTAGCCAGGCATGGTGGTGCACACTTGTAGACCTAGCTATTTGGGAGGCTGAGGAGGGTCATCTGAGGCCAGGAGTTTGAGGTTACTCTGAGCTATAATTGTGCCACTATATTCTAGCCTGGGTAACAGAGTGAGACCCCGTCTCTACAGAGAGAGAGAGAGAGACAGAGAGAGAGAGATCAATAAACAACCCTGAGCTACCCCATCTTCTAATTCTGTCATATCTTATGCACTGTTTTCTTCCTCCAAATGAGGTTAGCATTCTGGGCTGATACTATCTAAGAGAAAAACAGACCTACTTACAAGCCTGTGGAGAGAGATGTATTATAAAGATATTGAAAATTTTATTTTATACCCTGGGTAAAATTAATTAGTTAACTTGAAGTATGGCTGAGTTCCTTACTTGAGGAAGGGTACCTCTCCTATGGAAAGGTAAAATTTAATAATAAAATATAGGAAAATTAAATCCTTAAATTCAGAAATAAGACAAGGATGCCTGTTATCAAAGCTTCCATTATACATTATTCAGAGGTCATAGTCATTAGAGAAAGGCAAGAAAAACTAGTTATAAGTAATGGGAAGAAAGAAATAAAACTACCAGTCTTACATACCAAAAATCCACAAAGCTCTACTGACAAATTATTAGAATTAATTGCAGAATGCAACATGATTACAGGATATAATCTCAAAAAAAAAAAAAACACCCCACATTGCTATCCTTTATACTAGTGGCAAAGAGTGAACATTTAATTTTTTTAAATGACATTACCATAGCTTCAAAAATCCCAAAACCTTAGGAACAAACCTAACACAAGTTGGGCTAGAGATTTATAAATAAACTTACACAACTCTATTTAAAGGCAATTACAAACACTTCAGTAAATAGAGATTTAAAAAATATTTATGGGAACACACCATATTATATACATGTTGTATTTTCCCAAATTAACCTACAAATTCAATCACTCCATTTAAAAATTCTGTGGAGAGTATGTGATAACCCAATTTAAAAATACATATAAAAATAACAAGGGTATAAGGAAAGAAGAAGAAGCATATTAGAGGGACTTGCAATAACTTAAATGAAAATGTATTATACAATTTCAGCAATTAAAATGGTCTGGTAATGCCATAGAAGAGACAAATACATGAATAGAATAGAGTAGAATTAAACGACAGGGGTGGCATTGCTGACTAGTGGTAAAGTATATACAATGCAATGTATGATACTAGAACAATTGGTTGTCTATATGAAACAATAAAATTGAATATTTTCTATTCATAGAATTCAATTACAAGTATATTAAATGCAAAAATCAAAGCTTTAAAATTTCTAGAGGGAAATATTAGAGAATATGTTTATAACCCTAAATAAAGTGAATTTTTAAAGAAAACATAAAAAACTCAAAGAAAACAGAGCGGATAATATAAAGAATTTAAATTTTTGTACATTGAAAGACTGTATAAATAAAAGATAAAGACAATCCACAGACTTTGAAGGTATATTTGCAATGCATGTAATTAACAAAAAATTAGTGTCCAGAATATAAGAACTACCTTCAATAAGAAAAAAAATTTAAAAGGACATCAACAGGTAATTCACTGAAAAGGAAAGTCAAATAGACAATAAACACACAAAAATATTCTCAGCTTACTAAAAATCAGAAAAATACAAATGAGATGCTATTTCATGCATCTGCCATATTCGATGATACAAAATGTGGCAGGTAGGTGAAGTAGTGGACACTCCTCATCTGCTGGAAGGAACATAATTGGTGCAACCACTTTGAAAAGAAATATGGTGCTATCTACCAAAATAAAAGATGCACATTTTTATGGCCCAACAATTTTATTGTGAGGTATATACTCCATAATAGAAATTCTCATGTATTCACACTACACACACACACACACACACACACACACACAGACACACACACGAATAAAGATTTATATAGGATTGTCTGCAATAGGAAAATTTTTTAACAACCCAAATTCCTTCCAGAGGAAAAAGAAAAGATATTTAGCAGTTAAAATGAAAAAAATGACAGCAATAGTTTTTATCCCAGGGGATGGGGGATGATTTTACCTTCCCCAGAGGAAAACTGGCAATATCTAGAGACATTTTTGGTTGTTACTATTCGGGGGGGATTGGGCAAGAAATATTACTGGCACCTCGTGATTGTGTGGGTGGAGGCCAAGGTTGCTATTACATTTCCTATGATACACAGGACGACCCTTCACAACAAAGAAGTATCTGGTCCAAAATGTCAATAATTCTAAGGTTGAGAAACCCTGAATTAGAGCTACAATCAGCATGGATTAATGATAAAGTGAAGATCATTTATTAATTTTTTTCTGTGATAAATTGTGCTTTTGGCGTTGTACTTAAGGACTTTTCACCTGACTCAAAGTCTCTTGTATTTCTTTTAAACATTTTAGTTTTATATTTTACCATTTTATTTTGTTCAAAATATTTACTAATTTCCATTGAGACTTCCATTTTGAGGCATAGGTTAAATTTCTAAATATTCAGGAATTTTACAGATAGCTTTTTGTTTTATTTCTAGTTTACTTTGGTTGTGGTCAGAGAACATAATTTAAATGATTTAAAATTTTTCAAATTTTAAAGATTTTTTTTTTTACAGAGGTCCAGGATATGGTTTATCTTAAAGAATAATTCATTTATAAAACATATATATATCTTGCTATAGTTGGGTACAGAGATTGGTTAAATGCGATTCAGGTCAAGTTGGTCAATAGTGTTGGGTCTTCCATAAATCTATATTTACTAATTTTATGTCTGTAAAATGTTCTATTGACTGCTGAGTTGAAGTCTCCAACTATAATTGTGGATGTGCTAATTTCTCCTTACAATTCTATCCACTTTTGTTTTATGTATTTTGAAGCTCTATTTGTAGGTACATACACATTTAGAGCTGGTATCTTCTTGGTGAGTTAACCATTTTATCATTATTTTATGTTCCTCTTTATCTCTAGAAATATTCCTTATTCTATAGTTTACTTTGATATTAACATAGCTCCTCAAGCTTTCTTTTGATTAGCATTCACATTGTATATCCTTTTCCATCCTTTTACTTTTAACTTATATTTGTATCATTATGCTAAAAATTGGTTTCTGATAGATAGCATATAGTTTGGTCTCTTTTTTATCCAATAAGATAATTTGTGTCTTTTAACTGGTGTTTAAACCATTTACATTTAATGTGTTTATTGATATGGTTGAATGTAAGTCTAATCTATGATTATTTGTGTTTTGCTTATCCTCTCTGTTTTCTTCTGTTTCCTCCTTTCTGACTTCTTTTGGATTACATGAATATTTTTCAGTACTTAATTCCAATTTATTAATTGGCCTTTTGACTATATCACTGTGTTACTTTTCAATGGTTCAGTGGTTGTTCAAAGAATTACAATATACAGACCTAACTTTCCAAAGTCTATTTAGAATTAATATTTTACCACTTCAAGGAAAATGTAGAAACCTTGCAAGCATATTGAGTTCTTTAATCTCCCTTCTTTATTTTATAGTTTTTATATATCTTACATCTACATACATTGAGAACCCTGTGAAATAATGTTATAATTTTTGTTTTCCATAATCATACATGTTTAAATACTTAAAAGCAGAAAATCAGTCTATTTCTCAAGATATTTACCCTTTATTATGCTTTTATTTCATTTATGAAGTTTCAAGTTTCCCTCTGTTATCACTTTTCTCCACCTTGAAAAGCTTCCTTTAGCATTTTTTTAAACACGCCTGCTGATAATGAAGTCTCCTAGTTTTCCTTCATCTGAGAAGGCAATTATTTTGCCTTTATTCCTGAATGATAATTTCAGAACTGACAGTCCCTTTTTTCCTGACACTTTAAAAATGTTGTGACACTCTCCTCTGGCCTCTAAAGTGTCTAATGAGAAATCAGCCATCTTTCAAATTGTTTTTCCCCATATGTAATGTGTCATGTTTTCCCTTTCTGGTGGCTTTCACACGTTTTTCTTTATCTTCAGTTCCCAAAAGTTTAAATTTGATGTATCTGGACATGGTTTTCTATGAGTTTATCTTGTTTGGGGTTTGCTGGGCTTCTTGAATCTGTGAATGTATGCCTTTCACCATATTTGGGAAGTTTCTATCATGGTTTATGCAATATTTTTCTACACTAATACTTTTCTCTTTTCTAATTATGACTCTAGTGACACAAACATTAGATATTTTCCCCAATGGTTCCTGAGGCTGTATTTATTTTATAAAGCTTTTTGCTCTCTGTTCTTGGATAATTTGGATGAAGTGAATAATTTTTGTTGACTTGCCTGCTAATCCACTGACTCCTCCATCATCCCCATTATGTTACTGAGCCTGTCCAGTGAGTTATTTCAGATATTATTGTTTTCAAATTCTACAATTTGTATTTGTTTTTTTATGCATACAAATAAATGTTTGGAAAAATACAAAAAAAAATTTCCATACATTTATTTAGTGTTCACTTTTACTTTATGGGAGATAGTTATAACAGTTGCTTAAAGTCTTTGTTTAAAACTTCTGTTTCTGAGATCATGGATGCTACTATATTTTGGAAATTTTTCTAAATCTTTTTTTTTTTTTCTTTTAGACACAAGGTGTCTCTCTGTCACCCAGGCTGGAGTGCAGTAGTGCAATCATAGCTCACCGCAGCCTGGAAATCCTGTGCTCAAGCTATCGTCCCGCCTTAGCCTCCCAAGTAGCTGGGACTATAGGTGCATGCCACCACTCCTGGCTATTTTTCTAATTTTTTGTAGAGATAAGGTCTTGCTTTGTTGCCTAGGCTGATCTGGAACTCCTAGCCTCAAGCAATCCTCCTGCGTCGGCTTCTCAAAATGCAAGATTATGGGTGTGAGGCACTGTACCTGACTGGTTCACTTCTTTGTTAAACAGCTAGTGTCCGAAAAAATTATTTCATTATGACATTCTTGGACATTCTGGAGTCAATGATGTCCAGTAAAAAGAGTAATAGTCAGGACTTCTATACTGTTCCCAAATTATATAGTCAGACATGTGTGTTCATTTGTTTTTCCATACTGGGAAAACCACAGCAGAATATCAGCTGTGCAGTCCACTACACCAGGAAACTCCATAATAGAACTCTTTACCTTCAATTTTTTCTTACTAGTCATTTCTTGGCTCTGAATATTTACCACCCACTTGTAGTCATCTCCCCTTCTCTCAGTTCCTCCCAACCTTCCGCTCTCATTCCTCAATAGTTTCATGAGTAGATTCCATATTTGGGCCAGCTCTACTCAGAACGATCATCAGCATCAGCATCAGCATCACCTGGAAGCTTGTTAGAAATGCAAATTCTCAGGTACTCCCCATAGCTACTGAATCAGAAAATCTGGGGGTGGGGCACTGGAATCATCTTGAACAAGATTTCTATTATTATTTTGCGCACTAAAGTTTGAGAAGCACTAGTCTAGAAATTCATTAAGCTCATTTGACTGGTTGGAGGAAAAATGGGGAGGAGGTAAAATTTAGCAAGTGAAGGACGGGCCAGAGTTGATGTCAACTAACAGAGAGGAGGGTGATCAGACATGACAACTCTCAAACAGCAAGGAATGGGTATGGCAGGCACTGAAAAGCTAATGCAGCTGGTAAAGTGTGGTTCTAACATTGGCTGTCAGATCTTTTAATGATGTCAGACGGTAGGCACATAGGGCAAAGGAACATATTTGTGCACAGATTATTTCAGGAAGCTACATAAGTATATGCATGAACAATTTCACATTGTTTTTGTAGAGTAAGAAAGTGAGGAGTATTTTTTTCTGCATCTTATTGATAAATAGGAACAAAATCTCTGAAGTGACCTGATCAAAGTGACACAGTAGTAGCAGAAGTTGAAACTCTAGTTAGAGTTGAAGCCTATCACACCGTTCTGTGACTTCAGTAACTGATAGGTGAGGCTAGACAACTCCTACTGTGAGCAATTTATCACCAACCCTAATAACCCAAAAGATTGGGTAATAGAGTACTGCTGTATTCATCTGGTAATACCTCCCTTGTCACCAAACTCAGAAACGATGACCGAGCAAATGGTAGTTGCAGAAACTGATTACTTGTTCAGACGATGTGAGTCCTGGGGGAGGTGAGTCTTCAAAACCTCCCTTTATGCATTCAGCACTTTTAAAAGTGCTTATTTTCTAGAAACAAAAGTTTTACTGTTTTCAGATACTGGTTCACAGTAAAATTGAAAATGCAGTTGTTAATCAATCCTCAATCCCTATGGAAATCTTACCACAAACTTTGGAGTAATTTGTCATTTATTCACATTTTCAACAGGCAGAACAGACTTTGACCCAAGGTGCTTAGGTATAGCCTTGTTTATATAATAGTTAAGCCTAAGATTTGAGTGTCAGCGTTGATAGGTAGTGTTAAGGTGGAGATAACAGAGTCTCTAAAGCCAAATTTTGCTGTTGAATGTAGCCTAATTTATCTTATTTTAATAGCTCCATTCATTTTGCTTTGGGAACCTTTCCATTTGGTTTTCTCATCATGATTTGCTGTGATATGCAAGCTTAAAAGGTCTAAAAGTGAAAAGACTAAAAGAGAGGGATTTGGAGATCTTGAGGTAGAGTTTCCCTAAAGCTATTTACACGGCTGCACAGTTATCATCCCAGATGTCAGAAATGAGAAAGCACCTCTTGCCGTAGGAGATGGAAAAGGGGAAAAGGAACCGAAGAGAGGAGTTGAGGCAAGTTCCTTTGATAGGTCCCATGACTGATGTGGAGTGGATCAGGGAGTCTTCTTTCCAGAAGCGTGAGTAATAGGATATCCCATCATCTTCGTGATGGGATTATGGAAAGCCAGGCATATGGGCTGGCTATTCTGGAAGATGCTCTCTGTGTGCTCTAGACCATAGCCAATGCCTTGATTAAAACAAGAGAACAACATCCAGACCTGGAGAAACAGCTGGCCCTGCTAACAAGGCAACCTGCCTCCAAAGCTCCAGGTAGGATGGATGATCAGAACTGAGAAGGGAGACTTGGGTAAGAGCAGGGCAGGGGGAGCTCTGCGTTTTGGTGACAATGACCAGGACTTGGGAGTAAAGTGCCATCCTAGGGAGGCCAACCTGAAGCCATCGGATTCTGACTGTATTCAGATAAGGAACATAGATACAGAACCTCCCCTTTGTGTCAAACAACTCACTTTTTTTCTTTCCTAGAGTCTGTCTGTCTGTCTCTCTCTCTCTCATGCCAGATTTACTTACTACTGGGTAAAGAGAATAGAACCAGTCTGTGTTTCTTTCCTTCAGGCAGGCAATTTGCAAGCCCTTGATGTATTTCCACCCCTGCCAGCTTACTCAGGTCTTCTCTTAAGCACTGAGCCTTGTATAATGCTCCAGCGTCTATGTACAGCCTGGCCAACTCTTTTCTGTCCTGTGTGAATGCACTCTGCCCTTGCCACTCTCCCCAGTTTCCAGAAAAAAGAACAGGCAGATGAATGGAGGGTCAGGCACCCCTAAGCTGGCACTAGGAAGTCTCAATACCACGTCAATTTCTGCCTTTGAATTTACCTTGTGTGCATCTCTACCCTGGAAAATATGTCATTTTATGCTTTATGTCAACCAGGTGGTAGAAAATTGTGTGGGGGGTGGGGGCGGAGGGGTGGAATTCTTCTTAATTTTTCACTCCTGCTGTCTTCATGGCCAAACCCTATTATTCTGCTGTGGCTGACTAGTACAGGATTCTGGAGTAATAAATAATTTGTTTCAGTCCCTCTTACGTTTTCTGACAAATTCTCTATCAGGTTTTGCTACCCCTGTTAAGGCATTAATCTGAAGTGTCGCCTGCTGACGCTAGCAACTGTTGGTATAACCTGTCACTGCTTACAGAAAAATCCAAGAGAAAAGACATCAGATTCAAAGGGTTCCCCTCCAACTTCTTTTTATATCGCCAGTGCCAAAACAGCGTATAGCACAACTTGGCTGTAAAGAAGAAGTGCAGGGACCAGATTTCACTATCATTAAATAAAAAGAGCCATCTGGGAAATCTTGGTGTCCTTAGCAAGCTGTCATTGACTCCTCTCCAGCCTTCTCTTCCAAAGCCAAGGTTTCCTTGGGATTGTTATCATGAGTAAAAACAGCTGGTTTTCCTCCTATGAGGATGCTGTGTGTGCCAAGCACAGAGAGAGCTCAGAAGGCAGCCGTGTACCAGGTTGCCTCGCGGTGGGGGTGTGCTGGACAGTTATCAGGTGTTTCATCACATTCCCACACAGTTCTCAAAGAAGTTTTGGAAGCAATTTCATCCACTGGGGCATGATAATGAGGAAGAGAGTTCTCCTGGCCTGTAGCACATATCTCCTCAAATTCGTCATCACCATCAAAAGGTTTTCATTTACACCTTTATGCATCTAGTGCTTTGGTGTAACAGTGTAAGTGGAAAACATTGGGGGTAAAACACTTTTTGGGTGTGAAAACGAGAATTTCCTTGGTTTGCATTGTTTTCTATATCCCTTTAATGCCGCAACTTGGAAAGTTACATGCCTGAATGAAAGGGGGTTACATAGTCCCAGAAATTAAGTTACCAGATGTGATTTTAAAGTATGATATAAAAATAACCTGACATCAGCATTACATCTAGGCAGGAATGCTGTCAGAGAACGCTACGTTAGAAACACTCTCCTTAAATGTGTTTTTCTGCAACTAGTCACTAAAATTGGCAGTGATTTCTTGTGCAGTGTAGGATTTCTCTGTTTCACCTTTAATCTCTAAAATCGGTTTCTAAAATAATGTCACTTGTGGGTGAATGTGGGCCGCTGCTGTAGAATTAAATACCCTTCTGTTTCCTTTCGGGGAATCGGCAAGACAATCACCTGGGAACACTGGACCAAATCTCCCTGGACTGTTGAGATTTATTAGGGCAGCTCTCTATGGAGCCAGCAAATCTCAGATCTCTGGCAAATGGACCATGTGCAGACTGAGAAATGTCACCATCACACGTTTACACATTCACAGAAGCTTTGTCTGATTATCATTTAAGTCTTTTGGGATGAGCATTTCTTTCCAATGCTAGTAGGTCAGATTGCCCTTATGAACTAGGATATTGAGAGCCTTTAAAAATTAGTTTTTAGGAGTCCTGAAATGCTCCCTTTTCTTATATACTGCCTCAATTACTTGTTTTGTTTTCTTTTGTCCAATGACTTATGTTGAAATCCACAGTAATTTTTGTGGAAATTACAGTGTCTTCTAAGTCAATGGGAACAACTGGTTTTTCTCTGCTTCCCCACTGCTTGAAAATCAGAGAGAGCTCAGTCCTCAGTGTTTTTGTTTTCTTCTGGACACTTATGTAATTGAATTAAGAAAGGATTCAGAGGCAATAGATGGTAGAAGCGACTTTATGCAGCGAGAAAATGAAAGGTTAAGGAGAGGAGGAAAACTCTATGAGAGTGAAAATAGAACTATCTATCTGGAATTATATCACATGATGTGCCCCTTTCACTGAGTGATCTTTGGCACTTTATTTCAGTAAAAATAAAATGGCAGGTTGAGCATTGTTGTCCACTATGTTAGGTTTTCCTAACCCTGACGTATTTCCATTATCAGTTTCTCAAAGTGTCAGAAACTCACCAGAATAGCCTTCAGGATGTCCTTCTTTTTCTTCAAAGATACAGTGTGGAAAATATGGGTTTAAGGTAATAAGAATTTCTGTTGGAATGCAAATATATCATCTATGAGGAATAATTTATTAAACCATTGTTACCCTAGAAAACAATAGTGTATCAGATTGCATTACTTAGCTAACGGAATTCTAGGAGAATGGGATGAAGGAAAGGTCAACTTTGAAGAATGTTTGGTGTTCAGTTTATAGTGGGTTGACTTGATGGACTGTTATTTTGGAAAGGTGATAAGGGTGATCCTTGGGAAGGGAAGTAAGAAGGAAAACAGAATATACTAAAGATACTTATTTACTCAAAATTTTGCTGAGAGCTTTCTCTTATTTTAGGTGAATGCACAAATGGAAGTCTTAAATCATTCAGCATATGAAAAATCTGAAAATAGAGAACTAAAAGTACAAATTTCATTTTGCTAAACTGGTTGTGCATTTATTCTAAATTAAAAATAGACAGGGCCATCCTTGACTCTTGACCCAGTGCATTGTGTGTAGACAATCTGCAGAGACATGAGGGTCTACTTTCCTATTCAAAACTAAGGAGGATTTTGGAGACAATCCTTCTTGTGAATAGAGCAAATAATTTAGCTCCTAAGCATCCATCTAAAGCAACAGTAGCTTTCAGTGGTTGTTTTAATAGATTTACACTAATGAGATAAAGCCAATGTGATGATGTCTGTGATTGTTTGTTGGTCTAATCTAAAAGGTTACATGCTTTTGGCATTTCAGTATTTGTCCACAGTCTACAAAATTCTTTACAGTGAATCTTCAAAGAAAAGGACAGGGGAGAGGTGAAAAAAAAAGATCAATTTTCGCATGTTATCATCAGGTTTGGTGGCAAAGAATGTTAAAAAATCTCAGCAAAAGTGTAATTTGGGATAAACAGCAGATTCAATTTAATCATATTTTCTCTTTCCCCAATAGGAAAGATAATGAAGGGTTGGCTGTTGACATTAGTCAATAGACAACACTTATTATTCCTGTGCAGTGAAGTGTTTCATGAGGAAGTGCTGAATAGGTAGACAAAGAAAATGAAATGTCCTTTGATGAAAAGACTAACACAATACAATCAACGGTAGAAATCTTCCCACCAAAATCAATAAAAAAGAACTGTGTAATATTTTATTTATTTATTTTTTTGAGACAGAGTCTCGCTTTTTCACCCAGGCGGGACTGCAGTGGCCCTATCTCGGCTCACTGCAGGCTCCGCCTCCTGGGTTCATGCCATTCTCCTGCCTCAGCCTCCCGAGTAGCTGGGACTACAGGCACCCGCCACCGCGCCCAGCTAATTTTTCGTATTTTTTAGTAGGGGTTTCACTGAATATTTTTTTAAAAAAATAATTTGTCTAGATCATCTGGTTAAGTCTGAAGTTATGAAAACACTGTACCTAGAAAGTGACTTTTTTTTGGTTATAAATGGTAGCTATACAGTGGTTGAGAGAGTATGGACCATGGGAATTTTGTAGCAGGCAAGAAAGGTTAGAACACTATCAGTCCTATGAACTGTAGAACTTGTGGCAAGCATGCAATCTTTCAAAAAATTCATTGAAAAAATTTCACTGAAATCCATACAAAACTCGTAAGATGTGTCAACTTGAAAAGTTTCATCGTCATCTTGGTTTTAGATGTCTGGCTTAACTGTAAATTGAAAGAGAATCTTGTTAATTGTACTCTATCTCACCAGAGAGACAAAAGTAAAATATGTCATAATGTAATTGAGGCCTCCTTTCTTTCATCCAGGAACTTTGGACTTTCATTTTTTTTAATGTTGAAACTGAAATGACTTTTATTAGTTAATTTTGTGTGCCTTATAGTAACACCATCCAACCCTCACTTAGAAACTGAGACACTTCCAACTTAAAAGCAACATTTAGGCAAATGGTGAAGCAACATTTTTGGGGACTCAAGTATTTAAAGGTACTTCCTTACAATTCTTCAGTGTCTCCTCACAGTAAACATGCAGCTAATTTCCTGTTCTCTCCCAAGTGTAAAACATTAGTCAGTCACTTAGCTGTTCCCTTTGGGCCAGAGGACCCGTCTCATTTAGATGAGTCATTTTGTGAGGCTCTGAAGCAAGTTGGTGGTGAAAGAAACTATTCTAAAAGGGATTTTGTCAGCATGGTTTGCACAGCTAATTGATGATGGCAAATCTTAGAACCTTAAGGAGGCAGATACTTGAGTAAAGTGAGCAAAATGGGGCTTTCAAATCTACTGTTTTCAAAATATTTTTCCAACACACTTCCTATAATACTTTAAAAAAAAAGACATCATTAAGATTCTGTATAGACATAAAACACTTTCTGATTTTTCACTTGACTCTCTGATATATAATCTAAAACATCTAGAATATCATGGTACATTTAATGTAAGTAAGTCCTGCTGGACCTATGGCTAAAGAGCTAGGCCCATCCATCTATGAATATTTTATGGCAAATTTTACTATAGAATTAAGATACTTAAAAGAAAAGCAATAATACAAATGTGTGGGCAGAAGATCCTCCTAACTCAGTGTAAAATAGTGATAACATGGAATTCAGGGTGAGAAAAGAGAGGGTTTGCTTCCAAGAATTATCGCTCTGTCTCTCTCTCTCTCTCTCACACACACACACACACATACACACACAGTGGATTAAATAGGACCAGAGTAGGAGAATTTACTTTTTCCAAAGTGTGAGAATCCTTCAATTTCCTCAAGTTCTTTCCCTCTATAATAATCTCTTTCAGACTGTTTTCCTTCTGTAATAGTCCCCCTTAGTAGCCTCTCTACAGTACTGATGCAGACAAACTGATGGCTAAGTAAGGTTTGTCTTTGGTATTCCCATTCCTGTCCTCTTTAGCACCATATTTTCCAGTTTGGCACCATCTTTTCCAGGCTTTCTTGCTATCTCCACTGATAAGACTTCTTGTTTATTTGGTGCCTTCTTTCAACCCTGACATCTTCATCTCAAGCAGTGTTTTACTCTTCCAACTTCCACCAAAGATGATGTGTTCTGTGTGTTGTCTCAAAGTCTTGATGGGTGGCTGAGTCAAAGATATACACTTAATGAATTGTTGGTGCTAAGATTTTAAAAGACAGTTAGGTCATAGTGTGTTTCCATGCCTCTAATTGAAAAGGCCAGTTTGAGCCAATATTTTTTAATCCAAAGGATTGGCTCTAACTGGATTTGACAGGCTCGTGGTAGACAGATCTGTAGGTGAATGGGTCTTTGTTTCCTTAAAACATGTCTTCTAGGTGACTACCTACCCCACTTGTCTCAGGCAGGCCCCCCTCCTCTCACCGAGTCCTGTACCTCACATGGGACCCTGCTAGAAGGTTTGGAATACATCTTCGGTGCTGGGGGTAGACTCCCCTCTGGTTCTCTATGATAGGAACTCTGTTCTGGGGCTTCTCAAGAAGCGTGACTCAGTGCTAAGTCTAATTTTTTTTTTTTTTTTTTTAGCCAGAGTTTTGCTGTGTTGCCCAGGCTGGTATACAGTGGTGCGATCTTGGCTCACTGCAACTTCTGCCTCCCAGGTTCAAGCGATTCTCCTGCCCCAGTCTCCCAAGTAGCTGGGATTACAGGCACACGCCACGATGCCTGGCTAATTTTTGTATTTTTAGTGGAGACAGGGTTTCGCCACGTTGGCCAGGCTGGTCTCGAACTCCTGACCTCAGGTGATCCACTCACCTCGGCCTCCCAAAGTGCTGGGATTACAGGCGTGAGCCACCATGCCTGGCTGATTCAGTGCTAACTCTAATTAGAGGCCATTGCTGACCCTGTAAAATTGGTAGACACTTAAGGCAGTTGCTATTTCTTCCCCTTGTCTCAACTGTTTTACTCTTCCTTTTGTGTTGTTTCACAGTGAAAGCATCATCAGAAGCAGTTAAAGTGACAAATATTGGGTTAACCAGACAGTTTCACGATACATCTCTCCTTTTCCCTTTTTATAGTGGACACCTTTGAGAGTGTGAAGTTGCCATCCACAGAATAGATGATCTTTGAAAACCTTGGAGAGAAACATCTTTCAACTGCTTTTGAGGGGAATAAACATGACACAGAAAAAGAAAATCTGGGAATGCCTTTTTCTAATGCATTTGACTGTCTGGCTGTCTGACTTCCAAAACAGTTGGAGCTATAAAATGTTAAATTTGGCTTAAGGAAGTCGTCAGTGAGAAATACTACCCCAAGTTTTGAAGAGGAAAAAAAAAAGTTAAAACATGTATTAAAAGTTAATAGTGGCAAAATTTACAAGTCTGGGCATGTAGAGATTCAACACTTTCAATCTGCTAATTTGCCAAGGCATAATTTACCCACACAGTTCATAAACACATTTAGATGCTCAGAAAGAAACACGTGATCTTCTTGAGATTTATAGAAAATGGACATATCAATTCCTTCCTTCAGGGAGTCTGCAATCCAGGAGGCGGAAAAAAATGATGCATAATTTGTAAGTGGACATTGGTGAAAGAGAGTGGACAAATACTGAAGGGCTTAGTTAGGAAGGATGCCTTACATGTCAGGAGTTCTTGTATTTAGAGGTGGGCATCCGAATTATTACTTTAACTCTGGGAAGGATTTGGCACCTATACTGAAGGAGCCGACAGCTGTTTCCATGACTTGAGTTGTTTAGAAAGCTTTAGGTTCTTAGAGCCTATGGATTAATGTAGAAGAATATGGGTTGAAAGGGATGCAGTGAATGTACAGGTCAAGGACACAGCAGCTGGTAACTTACACCCAGCTGGAGACAAAAGGTCTGACTTTGTTCACGGGAGAGTTTAGAGACATTTAAAGAGAATGAGAAACTTCTTCCCCTATTACTAAAACAATGTATATTTATTGTAGAAAGCTTGGGGACTCTAAAAAAGCAGAAATTATAATAAAAATTGCTTCTAATCTCCCCACTCAACACAGCCACTGTTAATATGTTCCTGTAGATCTCATATCTTTTTTCCGCCTATAATTACCTAATTTGTCTTTAATAAGAACGGCATAATTCCTATTACATGTATTTTTTGAACCTGCTTCTTTCATTTCATGATATATCTTCAACATCTGGAAAGAGATTTCTGGAAAAGTGGTATTTAAGATTGGCTGAAGTAGAGAAGGGACTGGAGAGAGGGACGTCAGTAACAAAGAAACAGAAAATCAAAGACTTATTAAAGGGTCCTCAGTCCATGGGGAATATAACTGTCATGGGTGAACCTTATTCATTTAAAAGGCTTTAATAGATCAAAGTTCTGGAGGCTGGCAAAAGAATTCAGAATCAAAGACCTGGTTTGGGTCCCAGGTCCTTCCCTTACAAGCTAAGTCCCCTCAACAAATTCCTAAACATCTCTGGGCCTTAGATTCAAGAAAATTAACTGGGCATTTTATCACGGGTCAAAATCCTCGATGCTTTCATACACACATTCTGATTATCCTAGCAATAACCTTGCTAGGGAGGGATTGTTGACTGCATTCTGTAGGTGGATAACTAGAAGCTCCTAAAGGTTAATTTTCCCAACAAATGGCAGAGCTGACACCCAAACCTGGTTCCAGGTCTCTTCCCATAACATCCTGGCACTTATCTCATCCCTCATACAGAAAACAGGGCTAAGATTACATATCCTCCCTACCTCACAGTGTGTTGTGAGATGCAGGACCTATTGTATATAAAACTTTTTGTAAAGTATTAAGCACAGAAGACAAATTTTAGCTATCTCAAACAAATCTCATTTCAAACCATCCACTTGAATGCATATTTTGATCTTGAATCGACCCTTCAGACATAGTGCCTTGTGTATTCCCAGAAAGGTGCATTTAGGTCACCTGAATATGAGCTTCATCTGGCACAATAGTTTCTCCTATTTCATTTCTCCTGTTTTTCCCAAGGGCTCTACATTGCTACTCAGTAAAAGCTGGTGTCAGTCTGCATACTGATGGCAGACCTAAAATCTCAGCAAGTTACAACACAGAGCCTGCTGCCATGTGGACAGAATAAACCACATTCCACACCATGTCCAGACACTTTGAAGACACGTAAAATGATTTTTAAAAGATCATTTTAGATAAATAAAACTTGAGCTAGCAAGAGAGGCCCTTTCCAGATGTCCACCCACGAAACCCCAGGTGCAAGTGAATCAGCAGACGGTGTCCTCTCATCCGAGACAGTGCAGGATCCATGTGTCCACAGGCAGCCAGGCAGTGGCTGAGCTCGCAACCATGCTTCCTTCAGATGTGGCCATGCTGGGGCTGATTCAGGGAGAAACACTGCCTCTTATTGAGTCACGAGCCCATCCTGGAACTTCACTGGGCTTTGCTTGGATGACTTGCCCGGCGTCCATGGTCCAGACCTTCCCCAGCAGGCAGCAGAGTCCAATGAGGCAGAACAGGTAGTCTGCCAGGGGTGGTGGTGGGTGGTAGTGGGAAGGTATGTTACTATTCAAAAGGTTCAGTCAATTCAGAAAGGTTTTGGAGAAAAATTTAAAATTCATCAGACTCACCCAAAAGCAGATACAAATCTGAAGAAGATTTATTAAAGGCCCTTTATCTCTGTTTGAACCTGGTCCCTTTCCTTGGGCAGGATAGTGACTTAGAAAGTGAGAGCCAGGCTCATTCATGCTGGGTGATTATTTTATTCTCATGAAATTTTTCTTGAAAATTTGATGTATACTTGCTGACTCCCAATCTATTGAACCTGCCCACTAATTAAGGTCAATCAGTCTTTCTTTTGGTGAATACTTAGTGAGTTTTTCAATGTCAGATAATGTGGTAATCACTGGGCACACAGTGAATAAGAGACATAGACCCTGCCTTCATGTGGAGGAGAAGTATTGTTCAAGTTTTCAATTGCTATGTCACAAATTACCTCAATCTTAGTGGCTTAAACCAATCCACATTTATGATCTCACGGTTCTGTAGAACAGAATTCTGGACATAGCCTAACTGGGTCCTCGGGCCAGGGCCTGGGGAGGATGAGAACAGGCAGTGACCAGGACTGCTGTCTCATTGGAGGCATTGAGTTTTCCTCCAAACTAGGGAGTTTGAAGAACTTCCTTGACAAGAACTTTGCTTGCTGGCAGAAATTCTCCTTACAGCTATAAAACTCATGCCAGCTTGCTTTTCAAGGCTAGCAGGAGAGTGTCTCTGACTTCAGGGAACATCTAGGCCCCGCTTTAAAGGCTCACCTGATTAGGTCAGGCCCACCAAGGATAATATCCCTTTGGTTAACTCAGGGAAACTGATTAGGAGCCTTAATTACATCTGCAAAATGCCTTCATCTTTACCACATAATGGTGTGTAATCATGGAGTGACATTCCATCCGATTTCAGGTCATACCCATCAAAGGGAGGGGATTGATTATACAGCGCTTGTATAGCAGGGGATGGGAATCTTACGAGCCATCTTAGAATTCTATCACAGATATTTAAAAAGTTATTACAAAAAATTACTAAACAATTAGAACTGTGCAAAACTTTATGAAGGAGAATTATAGGATTCCACAGGCACTATCTGAGAGGTTGAGGGAGACTTTCTGAGACCAATGAGCTTGCACCAGCAAGCTGCTAGGATGAAAATGGGTATGGGTAGAGGAGAGAAGCAGAACTAGTGAGATAACATAAAGGGAGTTAACTGATGTAGCCCTAAAATGAATCAAAATGAAATCATGCCCTGGCCTGCCCTATTGTACCCAAATATTTAATTTCTGAAAGTAAAGTTGTACATTTTCCATGTGAAAGGAAGCAAGCAACAGATCTAAAGGTCTCCCCTTTCGACTTCCTTTGCTGGAGACCTTAGGGGTATCTGTCTGTTTATAGCAGAGTCTGATCTTCTCCCATAACAGGGAGATGAGGAGCAATAAAAGGCTAATTATGTTAGCTCCTCATTGGATGAGAGCCACCCAATTCTAAAAGGAGGTAGAATTGGGTGGCTCTCACCTATATTTTGCAAGCTGGCAAAAATATCCATAAGTGTGAGGTGTTGGGTGGTTCCATTACTTACAATGACAAATTAGAAAATTCAAGCATCATTTTCCATTTATCTTTGAACACTAACACAGCCCTTTGGTCAGAGTAAATGGAGAAAAGAAATTTTTTTTTTTTTTTTTGAGAAAAGAAATTTTTTTAAAAAAGCATTCAAGCTGGAAATCGGAATGTTCTTGTCAGCACTTTGAGAAAACTAACAGATGGGGAGCTTCATGCCCACCGCTTAATAAATATGTGCTGATTTTGGCAAAGACTTGTGACATCCCACAGGGTCTCTAATCTACCCCTTTCCCTCTCACCCCAGCAGCCAAATTCAACTCAGTTGCCAAAATGAGAAACAAAACACGTGAGTGTCTAAAATGTATGCCAAATTTAAAAATGGAGAGAGTTTTCATTTGATCAAATTATAGGTCTCTTTCTCACCAAATTCCCTTTCTGTACTTTACCATAAGTTTTAATTAAATGTCTTCTATTGGAAATACTCCGGAATGATGAGTTGAAATACAAATGTTTGAAATCTGAAGTACCAAAAGTACAGCCACTAACCAGATTTACCAGCAACTTCAATGGAATAGAAACATACTGAAGAGTTCGATAAATTCCCCTTCCTCTTGAATAAACATTACATTTTAAAGGCTGTAGATACACATGTCACTATCTATTATATTATAGATACACATGTCACTATCTGGAAGAATACATTAAATAGATGAATTACTTTTACCAAGTGACTCCCATATAAAGAAAGACTTCTACATTAGGAGAAAGATAAAATGAACCTGGAATAATAAAATAATTTTTTCTTTCTCCTTGTGTTTCATAATATTTCTTTTCTCTTTTGCTGATTAGCCCAGAACGTTACTTCCCACTGTCTGCTTCTTCAACTCATGAGATGGAAACTATCAGGATCTCAGGAATAGCTGAGGACGGCCTGCCTTCTTCTGGTTGTGTTTTCAATGACTAATTCATAAACACAAGGTTGTGAGTCACCCCCAAATTCCCTAAGACCCTGATGACCATGTTAGGTAGGCAAGAGGAAAGACTCAGTTCAAATGCAGAATGTGGTTCTGCCGTTTAGCAGCTATTCTGACATTATTTAAAACACAGTTTATAACAGGCGCTCTTTCCTCCTGTTGACATTTCAGGCACGCTGTTGTTCTTTGTTCTGTCAAGGATCCTATTGTTTTCCTAACTCACTTGACTATAACAGTTTCATAACAGTTTCTTGGGTTTGTTCTCAGAATTTTCTCCCAGAGTTTCTGATTTAAGAATTAGGTCCATGAATCTGTATTTTTAACAGACTCACCTGAGAGATTCTAATCATGAGGCAAATATGAGAAACATTCTAAAAGGGTATGTTCAATTGAACAAATTTCCATCATTTTACTCCCCAACAATAGGGAAACTGTAAAGAGTAAAAGATTTCAAACAGGGAAATTTATGGCCCAACAGGTAAACTTAAAATAGGGAGTTACCACCTGCTTGCTTTGTCTGATGGGCATGCCTGAATCACAAACCTTTGAACCAACTCATCTTCCAGTATAATTCACTTCCAAACTATCAAGTAACCTTCTCAAAAAATCTCTGTTCATTCATTCATCCATTCATTCATTTGACATTTATTGAACATCTGCTATGTGCCAGGCACTGTTCTTGGCACAAAGAATAGAGTGGTGAACACATATCCAGGCCCTACCCTTAGGGGGCTGAATTTTAGTCTTTTTTCAAATCATAGTCCTCATGTATTACCAATCAAAATATCATATGTTCTTTTGGATAATACCCTGCAAAGCATAATGTGAAATCACAAAGGTACAAAAGTCACCTCTCTCAGACACTGGTCGAATGCTTACCATGCATCAGATTCCATTGTAGGTATCCAGATACATCGATGAGCACACCAGGCAAAGATCTCTGCCCTCATGGATCTGACAGTCTAGATGGGTGAGACACTAGGCAATAAATCTGACAAACTACATAATGCATTATAAGGTACTGGTACTGCGAAAGAAACACATTCAAGCAAGAAAACATCAATTGAGCATGCGGGGAGGGTAGTCATGGCAAGGCTCATTGTTAAAGTGAGATTTAAACAGAAACTCAAGGAAGGCGAAAGATTTTGCCAAGTGGGGTCTGAGAGAACAGCATGTGAGGCAGAGCAAACTGCTGGAAGAAAGACCCTAAGCAGAGAGAATGCTTGGAGTATTTGAGGAGCAGAAAGAGAGGGGACATAAGAGGTAACAAGGGCAGCGCTAGGGTGAGGTCAGTTAGGGCCCTGTAGCTGTTTTGAGTGAAATAGGGTGGGGAGGCATTTCAAGGTTTCAAGCAAAGGGTAACATGATGTGACATGTTGTAAGAGGGTCACTACGGCCACTGTGTTGAGTGGTCTGTAAAGGGACAGGTATGAAGAATTCCAGATAAACACTTTGGATGGCATTTAGCAGTATCTAGATCTGGTAAAGCTAAAGATGTTCACACCCTAGAATCCAGCAATTTGAGGCACTAGGAGAGACACCCTTTCAATGTATGCAAGAATATATGTAGGGATGTTCACTGTGGCACTCTTAGCAGTAACAAAAATAAAAATCCAAATAGCCTGAATGTCCATCAACAGGAGAATGATTCAAGAAATTATGGCTCACTTATACCAGTAATTAAAAGGGATGAACTAGAGTTACATTATCAAGGTGAATACATTCACCAAATATAAAAACAGAGCAACAAAAATCAAGTTGCAGAAGGATAAATACAATATGACGTCAAGTTTAGAATACCCCAGTAGGCTGTGTGGTGTTTTATAGCCAGTGGCTCACACCTGTAATCTGAGCTTTGGGAGGCCTAGGTGGGAGGATCACTTGAAGCCATGAGTTCAAGACCAGACTGGGCAACAGGGCAAGACCCTGTCTCTACAAAAAATAAAAATGATTAGTCTGGTGTGGTGTTGTGAGGTTTTAGTCTCAGCTACCAGAGAGGGTGAGTGAGGCAGGAGGATCCATTGAGCCCAGGATTTCAAGTCTGCAATGAGCTATGACTGCACCACTGCACTTCAGCCTGGGTGACAGACAGAGAGATCTTGTCTCTAAAAAAATAACATAAAATACCATGATACTACTATCTGTGTTATGGCTATGTATATATTTAGTTTAAAAACTTAAAATGTCAAATGAAGAATACCCATTTCGTTATAATTACACCTGGTGAAGGAGAGAGGAAAAGAGTTTGGGGAAGAATATAAAAAGAATTCCAATGCAGTGTGTTAATTTTCTCTCTCTCTCTCTTTCTTTCTCTCTCTCTCTCACATGCCATTAAAAATACCCAAATGAAACTCTGCAAAATATGAAAACATTGAAGTTTCCATGTTTTTATGGAAATAAAATCAGTAAAATAACATACAAAAATATTTCTTTAAAATAAATAACAGAAAAGAGAAGTAATTCTATATTGCAATATATCTGACAATTTTTAAGTTGATTTCTGTCTCCATCTCTGAAATAGCACACATGATATTTACATATTTCATGAAGTTTTGTTTTGCTGGCATTTACAATCAAAAGTGTAAACATCTTACGTTGGGGCTCAGGACATAATACCCCAAAGCACGGTGCCTTGACATGTTGAATACTGAACGGAAGAAGATTGAACTGAAGGAGATTGGAAAGGCCTTAGCCACAAGGCCTTTCTGTCCCTCACCCACCCTCCTGTTTCTTGCCCAAATTCTCCTCAAAGCAAGTCACAGAAGCTGGAATTCCTTTCCCCTAAGGCACATCATAGAAACTAGAAATCTTCCCCAAAGCAAGTCATAAAACCTAGCAAGGTCACTCTCTTCCTTCTCCCTTCCCCCTTAAAGACCCTCATTCCAGAGGGGTCCTGTCAGACCCAGGAGGAAGAAATGCTACACAGAGAGGCCAAGAAGAAGCTGAACGGGCAGGCCCTGCTGGGTTAGACCATATCCTCTGTCCAATCACATTTCTACAGGACTGTCCATCAAACCTAAGCATAAACATGAATAGTTTTCTCTGTATCTTTAGATCTTCTTCCCAAAGCTCCCATATTACATAAAAATTTTTAATTAAATAAATTTGTTATGATTTTCTCTTGTTAACCTGTTTTATGTTATAGGATATTGACCACTACCCTTATGAAGGGTGAAGAAGGTGGTACACCTTTCCACTCCTACATTAGTAGATATTCTTTTTAAAATCTTTCTGCCTACTACTTTCTGACTACTTTTTTTTTTTAACATTTAACAACCTTTATATTGTTGATAGTGCATACTACTCATCTGAGTTAAAATCAATCCTTGCTGATGTTATTGTTTGACTGCAGCAGCAACTTTCTTCAACCAGGATCCCTAAGTTCATGAACTTGTGTTCACTTGTGGGGATTGGCACTTAGTGGCACCAGTTCTGCAAGCTCAGGTGGCTTTCTTCCTCTGCTGTTTGCAAAAGCTGGCTGGATGGTTTAGGAGCCTTGACTATTATTTGGATAGTTGTAATGTTATTCACAGAAGAGCAACCTGAGCAAATGGTATTTTATCAAGTGACAAGTATGTTTGCTATAATATACTGAAGACAATTTTCCTTCCTCTCCGTCTCTCTTTTTATCCCGCTTTTGTGTAAGAGACTTCTTTTAAAACAAGTGTTTTCCGATTGGAGCATGTTATGGCCAAGAGCCCAGAAGAGGTGGACTTAGTGCACTGAAGTTCTGTTTTCAATTATCTAGTATCCACGAAACCACAGGGTTAGGTTTTAGACGGGCCAATTTAAACGTTTGCCTTTCCAATGTAAATGTATAAAATATAAGCTATTCAGCAGTACTGGGGTCTTTCTCGGTGACATGGGTCCTGTCTCTCTAGCAGAGTGCCCACTGCACAGGCTTATCACACAAACAGGCTTATAGGGTCTTCATTAATCAGTCTGCAAACTGACTACACACCAGGATGTGCAACTCATTTTTTTCTAAGCTATCATCCACCACACATATTCAATTTAATATATTTCATTATGCTAATTTTTTAAAGAAGATGATTTTTTTTCTTAGTTCAGCACATTTTCCTAAGACAAGGAAAACCTCTTACTGTTACCAATAGTTTATTAGATTGTTATGTAAGAATTATATAACATTTTAATGTAGGAAAGTGACTTGAGATCATATGACACAGAGAAAAGGAGGGGTAGAGACAATGGAAAGCAGAGAGAGTGAGAGAAAGGAGAAGCAGAAAGAATAAACAAGGAAAAACTCTATGGCTTGCAGAGCACTGATAAAAGCAATAGTGTGTGGATCTTATGTTGGGCCCCACCCATGTTGGAAGCTCATGAAGTTAGCTTTGACAGCATTAGAACATGCTTCTGCAAAAGTTGACCTAGCTTTTTTATTTGCAAAAATGTCCGGTGTCGGCGTGTAGTTTTATATTCTCTCTCCTCCTTCTCCCTGCTTCTCTCTCCCTGCCCACATTTCTGAAGTCTATTTCAGGTCAGCCTACTGGTAAGCTGCATGAACGTCACAACATTCTTTCACAGGTTTCTCTTGCATTAGAAAGAACAAGTAGTTTGAGTCACAGGTCATTTAAATCACCAGTATGTCTTAGAGCATCCATTTCCTCAAGTGTAATGGAGATGATAATAATACTTATCCTATTGACCTCAGAGTGTTGCTTAGAGAAGCCAATGGTTATAGTGAAATTGTCTGTAAATGCTACTGTGATATTCACATTCTCAGTTATATTACTATATTACCACTATTAATAATGAAACAATGACTGAAACCTCATTTATTTCAGTTAGCATTGCAATATGTGGTCCTGCGTTGCTCTGTCCAATATGGTAGCCACTAGCCAGTGTGGCTATTGACATTAAAACGATCTTAAATTAATATTAAATGATATAAAAGACAATACCACAGTCACACTAGCTACATTTTAAGTGGTAATAACTACATGTGTCTAGTGGCTACTTTATCAGACAACATAAATATTAGAACATTTCCATCAATGCAGAAAGTTCTACTAAACAGCACTGGTCTGAAGTTTTAAGGGATGGACTTTCAATCTGCTAAAATACAGTACTATATACAAATAACTTTCCTAACTAGTAGTCTGTACCTGTGCATTAAAGGGGATTCAAATTCTTTTTACTAAGTTTGAAACTCAGCTGTGGTCCATGTAAGAGCAATCAAGAGCTCATGTAATTATTTTTTTAAAAAGTCAGTTTTCTGTTAGCTCAATGCAACAAATTCTGAAGTAATAAAATGTTCTATACACCGTAAAATGTTATTCTCTAGCTTTGTTCAGTGGAAACTCATTTAAATCTAATTTACTGTGACTTGGAATTTAAGACTTAGGATGAGATTAATGAGCTGCTTTTGGTTACATCATCTTCGTGAATTGTCCAGTGGAGTCTACACTGAAGTCACTCAGGACAGGTCAGCTTTATTCCCTTGTTGGCATAATGGAATGCTTGCTCTTTCCAAGTAACTTACCATATAACATAACAGATCACATGAGGCATGCAGCTGGCGTTTCTCACCCACTGCCTTGGCCAGCTAGCATGACTGTTCAGATGGAGTGTTTTATGTAGCACAGGATGCCTGAAGGAGAATTTAAGAAGAACCAATGGGAATCAGACTCAGGTCATAAGGCTGATACACAGAAATAGTCTCCTTTGCCTCATACTTATGTGCTGTTTAATACTTCCTTATTACCTGTTTAGATTATAAGTATATGAGGCGTCAGACATTTGTGAACATCGTTTCGGGTTACAAATTAGTGTCTTTGGTAACACACACATTCAAAATCCATAAATACCAATGCAAGATTTCCGACCTTTATGTTTTGACTGTATAACAGAAAACTGACTTCTACCAGAAGGGAGACTCAGATAATGTCCCTATCCATTTGTAGACCTCACGCTAGAGGTCCCGTTCCATTGAGTCTATGATCTGAGAGATCAGTGAGGGCTGAGCAGAATACTGGGTTCAGAAGGTGGAATACAAAAGGGACTTGATGTTGACTTGAAACGGGAGGTCCTGTTCTTAAAGGGACCAGGGAACTGAAGAATTCAATCAGGGGGCTTCAGGAGACGTTTGAACTAAAGAGGATATGGTGGAGAAACACAAGTAATAGGGTATTATTACAGAAGACTCTGCCTTATGAGCGAGGAAGAGGAAATGATGTGAGGAGATCAATGCAGCCTATGATGATGGTCTTGGCTATTTATTACCTTTTGCTAAAGAAGAAAGAAGCATGAGAAAGGTATAGACAAAGCAGAGGAATCTGGCGGGATTCCATGAGAACCTGAGATGATCGTTCACTGGTGGAAAGAGAAGCCAGCACCAGAGAAAGAAATTTGAGGTTGGCAAATCTGGAGGCCAAAGAAGATAACTAGAAAGAAGTAATCTCGGAAAACTGACTAATACCAATGACAGTTCGCACTCTGAATACTGATGAGGAAAGTCCAGAGGTTAAAATCAGGGATAATTTCAGGTCTCTCATTCTTTCTTTCCCTTCACTTACTTTTCCTTTCCCTCCTTCCTTTCCCTCCTTCCTTCCTCCTTCCCTCCCTCCCTCCCTTCCTTCCTCCCTTCCTCCCTTCCTTTCCTGCCTTCCTTCCTCCTTCCTTTCTTCCTTCCCTCTTTCCTTTCTTTCTTTATATATTTAGATCTACTGGATATTATATATCATGGAGACATAATGATGTGAAAGTCATGAGAAGGAATAATAAAAACAGTCCACCGTTGAGCTGGTAGAACAGCAGTTTTACACCGCTAGCCGGTTAGACCTCAAAGATTGTTGACTAAGTCAACAAGGGAAGGAAAGAAAATGTCATGAGAAACACGGATTCATATTTTTTGCAGTTCTATTCATCAGCAAAGGACTAAAAATACTGTGTTAGCCAGGATGGTCTCGATCTCCTGACTTCGTGATCTGCCCACCTCGGCCTCCCAAAGTGCTGGGATTACAGGCGTGAGCCACCGCGCCCGGTGGGCGCCTGTAGTCCCAGCTACTCAGGAAGCTGAGGCAGGAGAATGGCGTGAATCCCGCGGGGCGGAGCCTGCAGTGAGCCGAGATCGCGCCACTGCACTCCAGCCTGGGCGACAGCGAGACTCCGGCTCAAAAAAAAAAAAAAAAAAAAGGGACTAAAAATACATTCTAAATTCTGCATAAATAGTTAACAATTGATTTTGTTCCCAGGTTGACCAGATTTAAAGAAAGAAGAAAAATCAACTTTAAAAAAACAAAACAAAACACCAGACCTCCTAAGGAATCACTTAAGCATTTTTGTTTTGAAGGAAAGATTCAATAGAGATGAATTTCTCCTAGTTAATAAGACACCTTGACCCAGAAAGAAAATTTTAATGAAGGCGAAAGCAAAACCACTCTGTCATAAAGAATACTACTAAACATTTAACGAAGTGTTATCTTGACAAATGTTATAAAGAGTTGAGTATTCACTTAAAAAAAGCTGGGTATATTCAATTACATGTATACATTTCTTAAATAATTTTAGTTTTAAAGAAGCTGTGATGGTGATGTGAGATATCAAAAAATTATTAAGATTGTAGGATATATCTTGCTTGAAAGTAGAGTTTCTGAGATGCTCCTTTTAATAACAGAGCATGAAGTATTTTAAACACTGAGAAAAGTTCCAAGAATAATATAATGAACACCAAAGTAACCACAACCCAGATTATCCTTTTAAAAATAAAATGCGGCACAGTATGGAGATTTCTTAAAGAACTAAAAGTAGATCTACCATTGGATCCAGCAAAATCCATGGCTGGGTACCTACCCAAAGGAAAAGAAGTCATTATATCAAAAAGACACCTGCACACATATGTTTATCACAGCACAACTTACAATTGCAAATATACAGAACCAAGAGCAACATAAGTACCATCAACCCATGAATGGATGAAGAAAATAATAATGTTGTGTATAAAAAACTGCATGTGATATAGTGCTCCTGGTACAATGCCTTTTGTATAAAGTTCAAAAGCACATAAAACAAAACTTAATATACGTGTATGTGTGTATATATATAACAAAAAGCACCTAAAACAAATATATATAATATATAACAAAAGCACATAAAACAACATATATAAGTTAAGTTATATATGTATATATTAAGTTTTATGTATGTAATATATGCATATATAACATAATTTTATGTACATGTGCATACATTTATACACACACACACACACACACACACACACACACACACATCATGGAATACTACTCAGCCATAAAAAAGAATGAAATAATGTCTTTAGCAGCAACTTGGATGGAGCTGGAGGCCATTATTCTAAGGGAAGTAACTCAGGAAGAGAAAACCAAAAATCATGTGTTCTCACTTCTAAGTGGGAGCTAAGCTATGAATTTGCAAAGGCATACAGCATGGTATAATGGACACTGGAGACTCAGAAGAGGAAGGATGAGAGGTGAGTGAGGGATTTAAAAACTACGTATTAGGTACAATGTGTTCTACTGGGATAATGGGTGCACTAAAATCTCAGGCTTCCCCACTCTAAAATTTATCCGGGTAACCAAAAACCACTTTTATCCTAAAAACTATTGAAATAAAAAATATATAAAATAAAAATAAATAAAACATGGCAGATACAGTTGAAGCCCCTTCATCACCCTTACTGGTTCCATTCCTCTCTCTTCCTCCTTAGAGACAATTCTGTCCTGACATTGAATATCCTTCCTTTGTATCTTTATATTTTTACCACACATATTTTTTTAAAATCTATAAACAATATTAAGTTTTGTTTTATGTGCTTTTGAACTTTATACAAAAAGTATTGTACCAGGAGCACTATTTCACATGCAGTTTTTTATACACCACATTTTCTTTTCTTTAAGCTCGACATCTATGTATCATCTCTAGTTCATTTGTTTTCATTGCTAAATCATATCTCCTTTTGTATAAATCGACAACTCCTTCAACAACAGATACTTATTGAGCATTGTTGTAGGTACTTAGGATACAGCAATAATCAAAACGAAGATCCCTGTCCTGGAGGAACTTACATTCTAGTGAGGGAATTTAAGACAATTTTTACAATTAACCTAATAAGCACATTATATAGCATGTTAGATGTTGTAAATTGCCATAAGAAAATACAGAGCTGATTAGTATGGTTTGGGGTGTAGAGGGTGGGATGAGAAAAAGTTGCAATTCTCAACAAGGAAGTTCAACATGGGCCTTGTATTGTTTTGTCTGGGACCATGTTTATTGGTAGAGGTGAGAGCAGGCATTGTTTTTGTTTTATTTCTGAGTTCTGTGAAATGTCCCTGAAGTTTCACCTTTATATATGTTAGCTATAATGTTTAGATAATTCCATTTCTTAAATAAAGGAAATTTTTCTTTGTTCTTTGTTTGCTGAGCATTTTTTAAAAAATTATAAACAAGTTCTTAATGTTACCAAATCATTTTTCCCCTCCAATTGAGATAATCACAAAATGTCTTTCCTTTCCTTTAATCTGTTACTGTAGTTGATACATACCTAGAGTTTCAGCTAGTAAGCTATTTTATCACTTCTGGAATAAACTTCTCTTTGTCATAATGATATTTTAAAATACACTGATGCATTTATTTTACATGACAATTAACATGATATTTAGATATTTTTAAATCTTTTTTCTTCTTTTGAGACAAAGTCTCGCTCTGTCACCCAGGTTGGAGTGCAGTGGCATAATCTTGGCTCACTGTTACCTCCACCTCCCCGGCTCAAGTGCCTCAGCCTCCTAAGTAGCTGGGATTACAGGCATGTGCCACCATGCCCAGCTAATTTTTGTGTTCTTAGTAGAGACGGGATTTCACCATGTTCTCCAGGCTGATCTCGAACTCCTGACCTCAAGTGATCTGCCTGCCTCGGCCTTGCAAAGTGCTAGGATTACAGGCATGAGCCCCTGCGACCAGCCAACTTAAAAATCTATGCTTATGTATGAGATTGTTCCATAGATTTTGTGTGTGTATGCTGTTTGTGGTCAGTTTTTTTTGTTTGTTTGTTTGTTTTTGTTTTGTTTTTTTGAGATGGAATTTTGCTCTTGTTGCCCAGGCTGGAGTGCAATGTTGCGATCTTGGCTCACTGCAACCTCCGCCTCCTGGGTTCAAGCAATTCTCCTGCCTCAGCCTCCCGAGTAGCTGGGATTATAGGCGTGCGTCACCACTCCCAGCTATTTTTGTATTTTTAGTAGAGATGGGGTTTCACCATATTGGCCGGGCTGGTCTCGAACTCCTGACCTCATGATACACCCACCTCGGCCTCCCAAAGTGCTGGGATTACAGGCATGAGCCACCGCTCCTGGCCTGTGGTCAGTTTTTACGTGAAAGTCATTAAAGACAAAATGAGTTGGGTAGTTTCTCACAGGAATTATCTGTTTATTAAAGGTCTTGGAAAACTTTCTCCAAAACAACCTGGGCCTTGTTTCATTTGATATGGATGAAGGAAAATATTTGGGTTACTGGTTTGATTTTTGTTCAACAGAGTATTAATTTCCTAGGGATGCTGTGACAAAGCACCACAAATTAGGCAGCTCAACACAACAGATGGTTCGTATCTTACAGTTCTAGAGACCGCAAGTCTGAAATCAAGGTGTGGGCAGGTCCATGTGTTCTCTGAAGTCTCTAAGAGAGAATCCTGCCTTACTCTTCTAGCTTCTGTGTCTGCCAGCATCCTTCAGGCTCCTTGGCCTGTAGCCGCATCACTCCAGCTGCACGGCTGTCTACTCCCTGTGTGTCTTCACACAGTCTTTGCTCTGTGTGTGTCTGCCCTCTGTTTCCCCTTTTTATAAGGACACCAGTCATATAATTAGGGCTCACATTAATAACCTATTACCTCTAAAAGACTTCATTTCCAAATAAGGTTACATTCTGGGGTACTGGGGATTCATATTTCAATATATCTTTTTGAGGGAACACAATTCAACCCATAGCAAATAGGCAAATAATTACTTAATTACTTCTTCTTTTTTTTTTATTTTTATTTTTGAGATTGAATCTAGCTCTGTTGCCCAGGCTAGAGTGAAGTGGCATGATCTTGGCTCACTGCAACCTCTGCCTCCCAGTTTCAAGTGATTCTCCTGTCTCAGCCTCCTGAGTAGCTGGGATTACAGGTATGAACCACCACACCCAGCTAATTTCTGTATTTTTAGTAGAGATGGGGTTTCACCATGTTGGCCAGGCTGATCTCGAACTCCCGGCCTCAGGTGATCACCTGCCTTGTCCTCCCAAAGTGCTGGGATTACAAGTGTGAGCCACCACGCCTGGCTAATTTTTGTATTTTTAGTAGAGACGGGGGTTTCACTATATTGGCCAGGCTGGTCTCGAACTCCTGACCTCAGGTGATCCTCCCGCCTTGGTGTCCTGAAGTGCTGGGATTACAGACATGAGCAACTACACCCAGTCGCAAGTGGTTACTTCTTTATTCTTACTTTCTGCTTCCTCTTTACTCAATTTGATGGTTTATACTTCTCTGGAAATTGGTTCTTTTCATCTAAGTTTCCATATCATTGGCATAAAATTGTAATTTTTAAAATCTTGAATTCAAATATTAGACTTTATTTGTTTTTCCTTTGGTTTTTGTTGATTGATCTTGCCAGAAGTGTGTTTAATTTGTCTTCTCAAAGAATCATTTTTAGATATTCTTAATTTCCTTTAGTATTTCTTGATTCCTTTTTCTTTTTTTTAGAAAAAAATACTTATCAAAATGGCTTTATTTTGGTAGAAATGATATACAATAAACTACACATGTTTAAGGTGTACAATATGTTTTGATATATGTATTTGTGAACCTATGAAATCATCACCACAATCAAGATAACAAACTTACTCATCACTCCCAAAAGTTGCTCCCTACTCTTTTGTAATTCTTCTTTCCTGCCATTCCCCCCTCCACCCTTCCAGGCAGCCAGTGATTTGCCTTTGGTCATTTAGAATACTATAAATTAAATTGTATTAATTTATAGACAAAACTCTTTTTGTCTAGCAGATTTCAAACAGTATAAGACATTTGAGATTAATCATGTTGAATCTCCGTGTCTTCAACTTCTCTTTCCTAATTTTAATCTACTTATTCCTTCATGCTTTATTCCTGGTGAATTCCTCAAGACAACCTTCCAATTCACAAAATTGTCACCTGTGTGTAGATCTATTTGTCCATCTATTAACTGTTTTAAATCTTAACTAAATTTTTCATTTTAAAGATTTCTAGTTGGCTCTTTTCTCATCTACCTATTATTGTTTTATTTCTGCCTATTTGGTTTCATTATTTCTTGTTATTTTTTATTTTTTCGCACAATTTATCACTCTGAAGAGTCTAAGCATACGCATTTTCAGATGTTTTAATCATTTCTCCACTATTTTAATTTTACCTGAATTGAATTAATCTCCCAATAGTTGATGTCATTGGCTATCTTTCTCGGCATTTTATTTCTTTTCGTATATGAGCACTTTGGTTTGCCAAGTCTTCTCATATTACAAGTTCTTTCTCCTCTTATCCCACTCCCAACATCCTCTTCCTATTTAGGAGTTTAGTACCAGCTTTCAAATGGTCATCTAAGACCTTTTAATCCAGAACCAGTTTAAGGAATGTTGGCAAGTCAGTTACCCAGCCAATGGGTGGCTTGCCTCAATTTCTGTTTGCTAGGCTGTATTTGTGTGTGTGCAAAAGGGAATTTGAAGGCATAATCTTAAAATGCCATATTGACCGAATTGATTTTTTTGTCAAATAAGTGGCCACTTTGAAGATAACTGTTTTGGAGAGATGATGATATAATTATTTTCAGAATCAAGTCAATACTAGAATTTCTAAAATAAATTATTTCTAGAATTCTATGAAAGTAATTTTCTTTTGCTCATGAACTATCTCCAGAGAACTTCATGTTTTCATTTGCCTCTGTAAGAACAAGATTTCCAATTTCAGTCTTGGTAATTTTGTTTTATAAACCATGGACGAGAGGCCTTATCTATTTCAAGACAATACTGAAACTCATGATATCCAGAAATGTGTAGGGCCTAGTGAGAAGGTCAATTACAAGCATGTCTATGTCCACCAGAAATCTATTCGCTGTGAGAATTTTCACTGGAGGATTGCCTGGGCAGGGAAAAGTTTGCTCGGTATTTCTTATTTCTCTAGAATTGTCCTAGAATTAAAGCCAACATGTGATAGACATCACGACGGAGCTCTGAAATGGCAGCACTATACACCCAGGGCTATCTGGGAGTGCAGAACAGGGTGGTAGAATTCTCTTTAAGAGTGGAGGGGCAGGCCTGTTTTAATCCAAGTGCTTCCTTGGGAAAGCAGGTTGCCTGGAATCCAGTACTGTGTCCCTGACTGGGGCGTTTTTCATTGATTCCACAGCTGGAAAACTCCCAGGTATGGGCTTGGGGCCACCGAAATGAACAACTGCACTTAAAGTTTGACTGAGCTTGCCCAGTGATAATTCCCTCTAGACAAGAAAAGTCGTATGAAGACTGCTTGCTAAACCATCCCAAGCTAGGTCCAAAGAAATACAGAAATTTAATTTTTGAACATTTTCATCTGAATTAAAACCTCTTGGGTGATACATTGGAAAACAACATTTCTCTACAGTGTAAATGTGTTTGGCAGCCCCTCTATATACAAAGTTCAACTTTAGGGCAAAGAGAAAAAGATATGATGTAATCAGGTCAAATTATTGGTTACAGAGAAGAGTTCCCTGGTTTGGACCTCGTCTGTTACATGAAATAGATATTAGATCTTTTATACTGCCAGTGCCATTTTAAACACAGCAATTCTTTATTCTAAATGTTTTCACCTTGAAGATCTCTCCCCACGGTTTCTCATTTGTTTAGATATTGCTATGTAAGACACACAATAACATCAGTGAAGGCAAGGTTGACTCCTATTCAAAGGATTCAAAATAAATAAATGAAACTAGTTCTAGAAATATAGGGGTATTTTCTAAATTCCTGGGTAAAGAGGAGTAGGGGTGAGAGGGAAAGAGGTAGAGCAGGGATCCCTCCAAATAAGAGTTTAGGTGACAGAGAGATGAATGTGGAGATTCTACTTTTCCTCTCTTTTCGCATTTTCTCTTCACTTAATTGAAACTTTGTAAATCTCAAAACTCATTCGTTCAGTCTTTCCACCTAGAGCACAAGGCATAGACTAACATTCATGTTTGCTGGGTATGACCTGCATATGTTTTTGACAACTTTTGAACCACATGAAAAAATCAGAGCTTTCATTTAAAAATCAAGATTTTTAACTTCTCATAAAAAAATCAGATCTAGCAGGCCAGGCACGGTGGCTCATACCTGTAATCCCAGCCCTCTGGGAGGTCGAGGCAGGTGGATCAACTGAGGTCAGGAGTTCGAGACCATCCTGGCCAACATGGTGAAACCCCGTCTCTACTAAAAACACAAAAATTAGCCGGGCATGTGGTGGTGGGCACCTGCAATCCCAGCTACTCGGGAGGCTGAGGCACGAGAATCACTTGAAACTGGGAGGCAGAGGTTGCACTGAGCCAAGACTCGCCATTGCACTCCAGCCCAGGCAACAAGAGTGAAACTCTGCCTCAAAAAAAAAAAAAAAAATCAGATCTAGCTATGCTGGGTCCATCATTCAAGGCAGCAACTAGTGGCCTTTAGGTAATGGAAGAAGTGCTCCACTTAGCCACAGTTCTAACCTTGCTTGCTTCCCTTGCTATATTAACAGCTGGGTCCTTTAAGCATTTGCACTGGTAATTCCTTGTGTAAAACATAGTATTTTCTGTGTTCTTATTTGTTCATTCAATAAATATTAATCGAGAATCTCTGTTCTAAGAGCTGAGGGTAAAGCAACGAACAAATAGATAAGTTCCCTGCCCTCAGAATGCTTACATTCTAGTAAGGAGGGTCAAATAATAACAAATAAAATATATTAAATGATGTTAGATGAAAAGTGTCATGAAGACAAATAAAGCATGATGTGCCAGACATTCTTACATCCACTTGGACACGTAGGAGGATGACACTTCCCTGCCCACTTGTAGTTTAGTGTGGCTTTGGCCAATGAAATGTAAGTGGAAGTGATCTGTGTCATCTTTGGGTGGAAATCTTTACTTCATGGCCTTGACTGTCCACCACACTTTCACTTGCTGTGCAAGGTGTATTGGTTTATACTGATGAGGATTTATGAAGGAGGACTGCCTGGGAGAGTTGCTCAACTTTCGGTAGATTTTTCATAGTGATAAACTTTTTTTTTAAGCCACCAAGATTTGAGGATTAGCTATTATGGCACTATAACACAGATTATTCTGACTGGAAGCACAGTGAGGAGTCAGGAGTGATAGGAATGGGGTGCTGAAATTGTAGATAGAGCAGTCTAGGAATTCTTCTCTGAAGAGGCATTGTTTGAGAGGTGACTTGATTGAAGCGAATGGATGAGTTCATGGACTGTGTAGAGGAAGACCATTCCAGGCAGAGGAAACAGTACAGAGCTGTGTACATTCTTAGAATATCCACTTGGAAACTCAATGATTTTCAGGTTTTACTCTTCTCCCCAAGGTTTTATTCACACTAGAGTAAATGGGATAGTCAGTAATTAGTATTGCTAGCATTTTGTTCTCCACCTAGAATTTTGTGTTAGCTGTCACCTACTTTCCACCTGATTTCAGCCCATAGTTAGAACTGTGGAATCCATCAACGCATTCGCGTCGATTCTCAGCAGCAGCAAAGGCCATACGGCCTTCATCAGTGTGTTCAGATCTGAGCTTATTCCCAAAGAAAAAAAAAAGGCAGAATAATACGCTCTATTTTATTTTGTTTCCATTGGCCTGTCATGACTCTGTTTCAGAGAAACGTAAAATAAATCAACTCAAAGATAGACAACTTAATGTGTTCTTCAGCCATGAAAATTGTCTTGAATGTACACAATTACTTTTCTCCCAATGTGTTATACCAATATTTCAATGATACTACGAATAGGCACTCTGTTTCCTTATTTGTCAGTGCCATTCAGCTATTCAGTTTATAATAATTTAAATTCTAGTTTTTTTTATTTAAACACATAAAAGCAAGTGCTTTTTATGTTCTATTATGCAACTCACTGTGATAAACTATGATTTTGCATCCTTTAGTCACCAGATTAAATATGAACTGATGATCATAATGATTAAGATAAAATGGGTAAAACCTTTTTAGCTTCCTCTTTCTATTATTTACTATTTTCTTCATTCCTGAAAACACCAGAATTTAATCATTTCTTGATTTTACATTTTTTAGTGTTTCATTTGCATTCTTGGAGCCCAGGAACTGTCTTCTACAAACTTTTCTTCCTAGTACCATGTAAACGTACACAGGAAACGTTCAGAAAACATCAGCCAAATAGAAGAATAAGGAAATTCCTTCACTGACTAGATATTGGTGTTTGATTCTGTCCTGCTTTGTACTCAATGGCTATTTCGGGGTTTCCATTGCGGAAAACTATTTGGAAAATTGCAAGCCACGAGACAAGCCTCTAAGCTACTCCAGGATCATTGAGGACTCTCCATGGGTTCTTATTGTTAAAGATCTTAACTCCTCAAGCCACTGCATTTTTACTATATGCCTTGAACTACAAGATGTGTTAAGATTTATAGGATAAGGTTCTCATCTCTAAAAACTCATGGTCTCGATGGAGAAGCAGTATTTACACACATGGAGAAGTTGAGAGTACTTGAATGTGGAGTATAAAGTGTGCGATATTGACAAGAAGCTCTACGAAAGTTCAGGAAGAGGAGGAGCAAGTGAGGATGGAGATGGACTTTGCAGAATGGAGGAGAGGCAAAGAAACGGTTAGAAACAATCTACATAATGAAAAGTCACTTTTGGGGTAAGGAAATGACATGAAGTTACCTTTCTCTTAACTTTTGCCTAACTCTTAATCAATTATATATATTTAAATCTTAAACTGGGCCAGAAAAGGGGCAAAGTTAAGAATCTTTTGAGTTCCTTTATTGATTTCTTCTTAGTGGTCAAAAAAATGAAAATAGCCCTAAATAGGGAAAAAGAGGGAGTGAAGCAGGCAAGATGTTAAAATAGCATAAACATGTGAAGCAGATGGAGAAAATGTGGCCCTATGCATGCTTATCAATAATGTTTCACCCAAGAGAGGAAAGCAGGGATACATGGGAATGACGAAGGTAAGTAGACCTGTCTGGATAGTTTTTCCATATGGAAAATAATACTACTATGATCTCACTGTCTTATATTTAGATTTCATCCTGGAACATTAAACAATATTTTGTGAAGCAAAGTACACTAAAATGAATAGCATAGTTAGTGCTAACTTATTTTAGCATTATAATACTACAGACTAAAATAAAGGTTGCACTTTTTCTTCCCCCCCTTATCACATGGTCCAGAGGTTCACTTGAGTATACGAGAGTTTAAAAATAAAGCAAATTCTCGGGCTGAGGCTAAGATTCCAATAATGACATTATTATTTAAATTAGGTCAATTAAATTATTTTTCTTCTAACTTTTCCCTGATGTTGGAAATAGTAAGGAAGTTGAAGTTTTCAAAAGTGAGGGGATATACAGAGAGAGGGAAAAAGAAGAAGAGTGAATTATCTGGAGGGCACCAGAGTAGGACACTGGGCAGTGGGAGGACACAGGTCACCTTTGGTAATTGGTCCCCAAATGTGGGGACCAAGTGTTGAAGAATATCTTTATCTACTTCATAATTCGATTTATAGTAGGACTGACTTCAGGACAGTTAGAAGAAGGGTTAATAAATGAAAACTTAAATATGAGGTAGGCATAAGGCAAATCCCTCCAGTGGTATCTGTCACAGCTTAATGCATAAGTGGTCTCTCCATTGGATAACTGCCAGGGGAGGGAGAAAGGGAGAGAGGGATAGGTAAATTGGAAGGGCTGGCCTCTTGGTTCTTCCTACTAGTCTTATCATTTTTCTGTGTACATAGTGATGGATTCAGAGCATCACAAAATCCAGGAACATAGAGAAGGAAGGGTAAGTGGTAATATGGGCAACAACTAGGCAGCAACTAAAGAATAGTCAGAAACCAGCCTGCCAGTCTGCAGAGCAAAGCAGGTGTGCTTTTGTCTGGCCTGAAGCTCAGAGGCTGCTGGCTTTTGGCCCTACTCCTTTGCTCAGAGATGGGAGGGTGGACCAAAAGACTTTTTGACAAACTATTTTACAAATCTCCTACTCTTCTATAGTTTACATATATTTCTCTTGCTAACAGCTTGAATATATTAAAATTTTTTTCAATAAATCATGTAGCAAATGGTGGAAACAAGTCACATAAAAACCATAAATTTTTGAGGACAGACACTGGAATTTGTGTAGGAGAGACCCATACTTTGAATTGCTTGCCATCCTTCTCCACCTATGTGATCTCACCTATACTTCAGACTTGGTAAAACCATACGTAAACTCACCATTTTCTTCCCATGGTAGTTCTGTCTACAAAGTTCCCTGTTTCTTTAACGATAATACCAACTTTATCACCGCCCCCCCACCCCCCCAAAATGGAAGTGCTGTTTAACATCACTGTTATTTTCCCTGTACCACTTCCTATCAGTTTCCAAGTCCTATGGGATCTTCCTCAATACATCCAATATGCTGCTCCTTCTCATCTGTCCTGTGTCATGCTACTGTACGACTCTTCTAAAGGAACAGTTTAAATTGTGTCACTTTGCTGCCCAGTTCTCTGTTCAAAAATTTGCCAAGATTCTCCATTGACCATTAGCTCATTTATATTCTTTTCCGTATTTTTACATGGTATTTAATGACAAACACAGGAATTACTTTTGCACCAAACTAATATTATTGCCATACTTCCAAAAATATTGTAAACCTCAAAATACATTGTTATTTTCCTTTAAACATTTAACTGACTTTTGACAAATTTAAGAAAAAAAGTGGTCCTTTATATTTACTCCTATTTTAAATATTTTCATCACCTTATATCTTCCTGTAGATCCAAATTCAACCTAGCATTATTCTTCTTCAATCTTAATGTCTTTCTTTAGCACTTCTTGTAGTGTTGGTTTGCTTGTGAAAAAATTGTCCTAGTTTTTGTTCATGAAAATGTGTCTATTGCACCCTTATTTTTGGAAGATATTTTATTGATAATAGGCTTTAAAGATAACTTTTCATTGTCTTCTGTCTTCCATTATTTTCTGATGAAAAGTCAGCTGATTTTCTTGCCTTTGTTCCCTTGTATATGATAAGTCTCTTTTCCTTCTTCTAACTTCTTTGAAAAATTTGTTTTAACTTTGTTGTGCTTAGTTGCATATCTTGCTGTAGTTCACTGAACTTCTTGGATCTATGGGTAGCTGTTTGTGATCAAATTTGGAAAAAATATTGTCCCACATTTCTCCAAATACTTATTCTATCCTATTCTCCTTCTCTCTTCTTTCTTGTACACCAAATACATGCTTTTATACCATGCAATACTGTCCTACGAGTCACTGAAGCTTTGTTATTTTTGCAAATTTTTTTCATTTTATGCTTCAGATTGGATGATTGTATTGACCTGTCTGCAAGTTCAGTGATCTCTTTTGTCATGTCCACTCTATTGTTAATCATATGCAATGAATTTTTAATGTATGGTATTGTATTTTTTTTTAGCTCTAGGATTTCTGTTTTGTCCTTTCCATGGTTTTTATACCTCTCCTGAAATTTTCATCTTTTCACCCATTATATTATTTTTTTCACATAGTTCCCTTAGCATATTTCTAACACTTTCAAGTCTTTTTCATCTAATTCCAATGACTTTGTCATCTGTGAGTCTGTTAATTTTGACTAATTTTACTTTGACTCTAGATAATATTTTCTTGTTGACTTATATGCTTAGTAATTTTTAATTATATACTGAACATTGTGGTTGAAATGTTGTAGAGATATGAATTCTGTCCTCTTCCTCTGCAAAGGAGTTGAGTTTTATTCCAGTAAGGAGTTAAATTAATGGCATATTATCTTGAACCAATGTTGGTTTGCCCTTCAGTCCTAGAGTGAATTTCTTAGCCTTAGAACATAGTTTTTACTCCTAAGACATGGCTCTTCTGTTTTTTATTGAAAGTTTAAAATTTTTACCAAGCTCCTTTAACCTCAAACTCTGTCTCTCCTGCATTGGGCAGCTACTAAAATATTTCTTAGATCTTCAGCATTTTAAGAGTTGTTTTTCCTGCCAAGTTTCCTGGAGTCTCACCTCTCATATGCATAGTTCAGCAGTCAGCCAAAGATTAAGTGAAGTTTATATTGCAGATTTTGGAATTCCCTTTCTATGACTCTTTTTTCTCTGAGATTTTTTCCCCTTAATTTCCAGCCACTATAGCAGTCCCAACTTTGTTCTGACTTCTATAATAAGGGTGTGGTTTTACTTCTAGTTCAGTGGGGCTAAGGATTGCCCCAGTAAGAAAGCCAAGGGTGGATCTCACCCCTTATGGGTGAGATCCAATCATCTCCATTTTTTAGGATCAAATCATCTCCATTTCGGCCTGCTTTTGACTACTTTCTAGCATCTTCAAACAATTGTTTTTAATATTTGCTTAGAGTTTATCATTGTTTTCTTGGGAGAGTTAGTCCAATATTAGATACTCTGCAAATACAGGACTCCAGAACCTCTCTATTGGCTATGAAAGAATTCTAAAGCATTAGCCTGGCTTTCTGGATCTTTCAAGAATAGTCGTGATGGTTAATTTTATGTGTTAACTTGACTGGGCTAAGGGATGCCCAGATAGCTGGTAAAACATTATTTCTAGGTGCACCTGAGGGCGTTGCTGGAAGAGATTAGCATTTGAATCAGTAGGCAGCATAAAGATGATTGCTGTTGTCAGCATAGGCAGGCATCAACCAATCCATTGAGGGCCCAAATAGAACAAAAAGGTGAAGAAAGAGCAAACTTGCTCCTTCTGCTTGAGCTGAGACGTCCATCTCCTCCTGCCTTCAGAAATTAGTGCTCCTGGTTCTTGGCCTTCGGAATTAAACTGAGACTTACACCAGTGGCTTCCCTGGCTCTCAGGCTTTCAGTTTTGGACTGGAACTACAGCATCAGCTTTCCTGGGCCTTTCGCTTGCAGACAGCAGATAGTGGGAGTCTTCAGCTTTCATAACAGCTTGAGCCAGTTCCTCATAATAAATCTCTTTTGGTATATCTCTATATTTATCCTATGGGTTCTGTTTCTCTGGTGAACCCTGACTAATACATTCCCCAATCTTTCTTTTTAACTTCATCTTCTACTTCTCTCTTCATTCATACTTAATTCCTATTTGACATACTCAATGTTCCTCCAAACTTTGTATCTGTGTCTTTGCTTATCTTTTCCCCTCATCTCTTCTATCTCAACACATCCAAAGTCTATTATTAGATTGTTTATGAAATAATAACACCTTTCTTCCTCTTCTATGATAGACTCAGGAGACAGGCACAGGTTATATGGTCTCCTCTACTATTGATAAAGTTAACTGAAGAAAGAGGCATTAAGGATTTTTTTTATTGCATAACAAAAGATAGATCAAATCAAAGGGTCATGCAGAGAGACTCCTACTCCAAAGGGTCAAGCAATAGAAAACAAAATGGGCTAAGCCAAGCATGCTCAGTTTCTGCTCTTGAACTCATTATTTAACTCTCTGTGGAAGGTGAAATGAGTGGGGAGAGTGGTCAGAAGTGTTATTCTAGCTGAAGTTCTTCCACAGAAACATGAAGAAAGGAGAATAAACATTCCACCCAATACCACCAAATATTAAGCAGGATCCAATTTTCAGTTATCTTTTTGCAAATCCTTCCCTGTCCCCTTCTACATGGATGTAATATCTCCTTGCTGTGAATGTTCATTTTATTTTACTTAAACTTTTCTTTATTCTATTTTCTAATTATAATAATTTATTTTTCTCACTGTCCCCTTTCTTCTTTTCTAAGATCTCCTTAAAATTAGGTGCTATATATTATTATTCATACCTTAATATCCTCAACTATTAACATAGTAATGGAAAAATGGCAAGCCCTCAAAGACTACTTGTAGAATGAGAAATGAGTAAATAAAATGACTCATGAGGAAAAAAAATTGGGGCCAAGATAGTGGACGACAGGCAGCTCTTGTATGCCACTCTCAAGGAGAGGAAACAAATGGGCTAGTGAACACCAATCCTGCAAGCTGAGAAATCATGTTGGGATCTGTCACGGCAGCAGGGGGACACAGAGAGCAGAGAGGAGAGAATCTGGGCACTAGACTGTCTGGGCTCAGTAAGGAGCTAGGAGAATCTGTTAAACATGGGAAAGACTGAGTAAGTGAGAGCCCCTTGGGGGATTCACACTTTCCACAGGGACCTGTGCAAGACTCAGAATGGAAGAATACTCCTGGACCCCCTGAACCCCTCCACCATGCTTCTAGGCTAAGGCAGAGAGTTGCATGTGCAACTCAAGAGTTCAAGGAGACCTCTACAAGCCTTGGGCCCTGGAGCAGACCAGCACTGGTATCACAGCCCCAGTAGAGGCCATATATTTGTGGCACCTGGGAGCAATAAAATTGCTCCACCTCCTTCACCAGATGGGGCTCAGTGCCAGCTTCTGACTCAGTGGTCCTGCTATGGCCTGAACTTGGCCAGCAGCTGCAGTCACCTGTTGTCCCAGAAAGCACCCAGATGGCAGGGCTGGCAACTCCACCCACCCCCTCCACTGGTAACCAGGTGGGCAATGCCTCCTAGAGCTTCCAGTTCAGCAGTCTCACATCTGTCTGAACTTAGCTGGTGGACACAGACTTCTGCTGTTCCAAGTAATACCTGGATGGCAGGATGGGAGACTCCACTCAATTCCACCTCTCATAAGCAGGCAAGGTACATCTGCTAGAGCTTCCAGCCCAGAAGTTTTACTTATGCCTGAATTTGCCAAGGGGTGCAGCCTCCTGTTGTCCCAGAAACAAGCAGACAGCAAGGCAGGAAACTTCACTGACTCCTGTCTCTCATAGCCAGACTGCCCACACCCACCAGAGCTTTTAGTCCAGCAGTCCTGCTTCTACTTGAACTCTGCAGGCAGGTGCAACCTCACATTTCCCGCAGGAGGCACTCAGACACAAATTAGGGCCAGCCTGGCAAGGATACAACCTGTCTGTCAATTGTGACCCCTGCCTGAGGGAGCCCCATGGACCAGAACACCCAACAAAAGAAATGCAGGCATGAAGACAATAATTGGAGGGGCTCCTCCAAGATCCAGGAGCAGACTAGAACCAAATCCAGTCACTTGAACCCACCTTATACCATAATCAAACCCCCAAAGGCATCAAAGAAGATAAAAGCAAAACAAAACACACAAAGCAAACAAACAAAAAAACAACAGGACAGAAACTTCAAAGATTGAAGGAACATCAGCTCACACATATGTGAAAGAACCAGCTCAATAACTCTGGCAACTCAAAAAGCCAGAGTGTCTTATCTCCTTACAAACAAACAACCCCAGCAATGGCTCTTAATCTGGCTGAAATGGCTGAAACATTTGAAACAGAATTCAAAATATGGATAGGAATGAAGATCATTTACATTCAGAAGAAAATTGAAACCCAATGCAAGGAATCTAAGGAATACAATAAAATGATACAGGAGATAAAAGATGAAACGGCCATTTTAAAGAAGAACCAAACTGAAGTGATAGAGCTGAAAAACTCACTTCCAGAATTTTGTAATAAAATCACAAATATTAACAGCAGAATCAACCAAGCTGAAGAAAGAATCTCAGAGCTGAAGACAAATTCTCTGAAATAACTCAAGCAGACAAAAATAGAGAAAAATCAAAAAAGAAGAATGAACAAAACCTCTTAGAAATATGGGTGTATGTAAAGAGACCAAATTTATGACTTATAAGCCTCCTTGAAAGAGAGGGAGAGAAAGGAAGCAACTTGGAAAACATATTTGAAGATATCATTCACAAGAGTTTACCCAATCTTGCTAGAGAGGCCAACATTCAAATTCAGGAAATGCAGAGAACCCTTGTGAAGTAATATACAAGATGACAATCCTCAAAACACAGATATCAGATTATCCATGGTCAAAATAAAAGAAAAAATGTTAAAGACAGCTACAAAGAAAGGGGCAGGTCACCTACAAAGTGAGCCTCACCAGGCTAACAGCAGACCTTTCAGCAGAAACCCTACAAGCCAGAAGAGATTGGGGGCCTATTTTTGGCATTCTTAAAGAACATAAATTTTCACCAAGAATTTCATTTTTAGCCAAACTAATCTTCATAAATGGAGAAGAAATAAGATCCTTTCCAGAAAAACAAATGCTAAGGAAATTTGTTACTAACAGGCCTGTCTTACAATAGGTCCTTGAGGGTGTGCTAAATATGGAAAGACAAGAGTGTTACCAGACACCACAAAAACACACTGAAGTCCATAGACCATTGACACTATAAAACAACCACATAGTCAAGTCTGCATAATAGGCATCTAACTACACAATGACAGCACCAACCTGCACATATCAATATTAACCTTGAATGTAAATGGGTTAAATGTCACAATTAAAAGGCACAGAATGGCAAGTTGGATAAAGAAACAAGACCCAACTATATGCTGTCTACAAGAGACCCATCTCACATGCAGTGACACACATAGGCTCAAAGTAAAGGGATGGAGAAAAATCCACCAAGCAAACAGAAAACAGAAAAAAGCAAGGATTGCTATTCTAATTTCAGACAAAACAGACTTTAAACCAACAACAATAAAAAAAGACAAAGAAGGACATTACATAATGGTAAGGGTTCAATTCAACAAGAAGATCTAACTATCTTAAATACATGTACACCCAACACAGAAGCATCCAGATTCATAAAGCAAGTTCTTAGAGATCTGCAAAAAGACTTAGACAACCACAGAATGATGTGGGAGAAGACAACACCCCATTGATTGTCTTAGACAGATCACTGAAGCAGAAAACTAACAAAGATATTTGGGACCTGAACTCTACATTTGACAAAATGGGCCTAACGGACATCGGACATCTGCAGAACTCTCCACTCAAAAACTACAGAATATACATTCTCATCTGCACATATCATATATTCTAAAATTGACCACACAATCAGCCATAAAACAATTCTCAGCAAATTCAGAAAAACTGTAATCATATCAAACACATTCTTGGACCACAGCACAATAAAAATAGAAATCAATACTAAGAAAATTATTCAAAACCATCCAATTACATGGAAATTAAACAACCTGGTCCTGAATGACATTTGGGTAAACAATGAAATTAAGACAGAAATCAAGAAACTCTTTGAAACTAATGAGAACAAGGATACAACATACCAGAATCTCTGGGACACAGCTAAAGCAGTGTTAAGAGGGAAATTTATAGTGCTAAACACCCATGTAGAAAAGTTAGAAAGATCTCAAATTAACAACCTAATGTCATCTCTAGAAGAACTAGAGAAACAAAAGCAAAACAACCCCAAAGCTAGCAGAAGACGAGAAATAACAAAAATCGCAGCTGAACTGAAGGAAACTGGGACACATACACAAAACATATAAAAGATCAAGGAGTCCAAAAATTGGTTTTTTGAAAGAATAAATAGGATTGATAGACCACTAGCTAGACTAATAAAGAAGAAAAGGGAGATAATCCAAATAAACACAATTAGAAAGACAAAGGGCACTTTCCCACTAACCCCACAGGAATACAAAAAACCCTCAGAGACTACTACAAACGCCTCTGTGCACACAAACTAGAAAACCTAGAAGAAACTGAAAAATTCCTGGAAACATACAACCTCCCAAGACTAAACCAGGAAGAAATTGAATCACTGAACAAATCAATCACAATTTCTGAAGTTGAATCAGTAATCAAAATCTTACCAACCAGAAAAAACCCAGGAGCAAAGGGATTCACAGCTGAATTCTACCAGATGTGTAAAGAAGAGTTGGTACCATTCCTACTAAAACTTTTCCAAAAAATAGAAGAGGAGTGACTCCTCTCCAACTATGAGGCCAGCATCATCATGATACCAAACCTGGTAGAGACAACAACAACAAAAAACTTCAGGCCAATATCCTTGATGAACATAGATGCAAAAGTCCTCAACAAAATACTAACAAGTTGAATCCAGCAACACATCAAAAAGCTAACCCACCGTGATCAAGTAGGCTTTATCCCTGTGATGCAAGCTTGGTTCAACATATGCAAATCAATAAATATGATTCACCGCATAAACAGAACTAAAAACAAAAACCATATGATCATGACCATGATTCAGAAAAGACTTTCAACAAAATTTAACATCACTTCATGTTAAAAACCCTCAATAAACTAGGCATTGAAGGCATCTCATTTCAAAATAATAAGAGCCATCTATGACAAACTCACAGGCAACATCATACTGGGCCTGTGATGTTGGCCTAGTATGAATGGGCAAATGCTGGAAACATTATCCTTGAGAACCAGAACAAGACAAGGATGCTCACTCTCACCACTCCCATTCAACATAGTACTGTAAGTCTTAGACAAAGCAATCAGTCAAGAGAAAGAAATAAAACACATCCAAACAAGAAGAGAGGAAGACAAACTATCTCTGTTTGCATGTAGTATGATTCTATACCTAGAAAACTTCATAGTCTCTTCCCCAAAGCTCCTAGATCTGATAAAAAAAAAAAAACTTCAGCAAAATTTCAGAATACAAAATCAATGTAAAAAAATCAGTAGCATTTCTATACACAAACAATATCAAGCTGACAGCCAAATCAAGAATACTATCCTATTCACAATAGTCACAAAAAGAATAAAATACCTAAGAATACAGCTAAGCAGGGAAGTGAAAAATCTCTACAATGAGAATTATAAAATACTGTTCCAAGAAATCAGAAATGACACAAACATGGAAAAACATTCCATGTCCATGGATAGGAAGAATCAATAATGTTAAAATGGCCATGCTGCCCAAAGCAATTTACAGATTCAATGATATTCCTATCAAACTATCAGTGACATTCTTCACAGAATTAGAAAAAAACTATTTTAAAATTCATATAGAGAACCAAAAAGAGCTTGAATAGTCAAGACAATTCTAAGCAAAAAGAACAAAGCTGGAGGCATCAGTTACGCAACTTTAAACTATACTACAGAGCTATAGTAATCAAAACAGCATAGTACTGGTAGAAAAACAGACACATAGACCAATGAAACAGAATAGAAAACCCAGAAATAAAGCCACACACCTACAACCAACTGATATTTGACAAAGTTGACGCAAACAAGCAATGGGGAAAGGAATCCCTATTCAATCAATGGTGTTGTGATAACTGGCTAGCCATATGCAGAAGATGGAAACTGGATCCCTCCCTTACACCATATACAATAATCAATTCGAAGTGGATTAAAGACTTAAATGTAAAACCTAAAACTATAAAACCCTGGAAGATAACCTAGGATATACCATTCAGGACATAGGCCCTGACAAAGATTTCATGACAAAGACACCAAAAGCAATTGCAACAAAAACAAAAAGTGATAAGTGGGATGTAAGTAAACTAAGAGCTCCTGCACAGCAAAATAAACCATCAGCAGAGTAAACAGACAACGTATAGAATGGGAGAAAATATTTGCAAACTGCATCTGACAAAGGTCTAATATCCAGTATCTATAAGGAACTTAAATTAACTAGCAAAAAACAAAAAACCCCATTAAAAAGTGGGCAAAGGATATGAACAAACACTTTTCAAAAGAAAACATACAGGTGGACAAAAAGCATATGAAAAAATGCCTTAATATCAATGATCTTTAGAGAAAGGCAATCAAAACCACAATGAGATACCATCTCATACCAGTCAAAATGGCCATTATTAAAAAGTCAAAAAATAACAGATGCTGGCAAGGTTGCAGAGAAAAGGGAATACTTATACACTGCTGGTGAGAATGTAAATTAGTTCAGCCATTGTAGAAAGCAGTGTAGCAATTTCTCAAAGAACAAATAACAGAAGTATTATTTGATGCAGCAATCCTATTATTGGGTATATACCCAAATGAATAGAAATTATTCTACCATAAAGACACATGCATGCTTATGTTCATCACAGCACTTTTCACAATAGCAAAGTCATGGAATCAACCTAAATGCCCATCAACAATAGACTGGATAAATAAAATGTCATAAAGGTTGGTGCAAAAGTAATTGTGATTGTTGCCATTTGACAGTAATAGCAAAAACTGCATTTACTTTTGCACCAATCTAATACATATACGCCACAGAATACTACACAGCCATAAAAAAGAACAAGATTATATTCTTTGCAGCAACATGTATGGAGCTGGAGGCCATAATTCTAAGCAAACTAACACAGAAACAGAAAACCAAATACTGTATGTTCTCACTTATAAATGGGAGCTAAACACTGAGTACATATGGACACAAAGAAGGGAACAACAGAGACCAAGGCTTATTCGAGGGTGGAGGGTGGGAGGAGGGAGAGGATCCAAAAACTACCTATTATGTACTACGCTTATTACCTGGGTGATGAAATAATCTGTACACCAAACCCCCAAGACGTGCAATTTACCTATATAACAAACCTGGTCATATACTCCAGAACCTAAAATAAAAGTTAAAACAAAATCTTCCATTCACTGAAATAAAACAGTGCATGTTTAACTGTTTTAAAAATTATATATAATATATAATTTTATATAATATATTTATATATTATTTATATATAAATATTATATATAAATATATAATATAATATATATTATATATTATATATATAATTTTATATCTATATATGGCCTATCTCAAATAAATTCAAGCACAGAATGATTGAATAATTTTGAAAAGAGTAAGCGAAGGCATCATGGGAATTACAGAATACATTTTTGTTGAAAATAGCTAATTGCTTCTCACTGGAGAAGGTGTTAATGACATTACCAGCATTCTGACGTTGTGCACAACCATCATCTCCTAATCTACAAGGCAAGAGTCTGCTCTAGGAGGTGTGCTTAGAACGGAATTCAAGGGTCATCTGAGAGCACCTCCTTGGAGCCTCAGACCAGCCTCTCTAGAGGTTTTAAAACATCTTAAATTACATAAGAAATTAGAATCAGGAAAGTGAATGAATTAAAAGAGGGAATTGGAATTCCTCTGGAAGATTAACTTGAGACTCTTTCTGGGCTATGTTTTGTCAAATTCTTAGTTTAAGAAATAACTATTCTTCTTTACATTTATCCTTAGGCACTATCAAAGAGCATACTGGGAGAAGAGTTTTAAATTAAAAAGTAATTTTTATATTGTTCCCCGACAGAATTATTCCATACTGCATGCCTGTTAAATATTTTTAGAAATTTTAAATACTAGATATGATTCTTATTTTTGTACTTAGGGAAGTATTCTGGTCCAAATAAAGACTCACAATTTATTTTTGTTTTTGTATTATGAAATCATATATACAGATGAACAAAATAAGGAAATAATACTTTCTAATCACACCACCACCAATAGCCACTGTTAATATTTTGATATAGCTTTTTTCTTTTTTTCTATGTGGCCATATGTGTATCTATCTATCTATCTAAATATCTATCTAACTACAAATTCAGAAAAATTATAGAACACGCTCTTTGTTTAATTAACTTTCTATTTTATATTAGTTTAAGATTTATACTTAAAGCTTAAATTTTTTAAGTTGTAAAGATAGTGGAGACTTCCCATATAGACCACATTGTTACAGTATACATTATTACTAACTGAAGTCAATGCTTTCTTTATTCATATTTCTTTACTTTTTACCCTATATTCCTTTTCTGTTCGAGAATCCCATCCAGGATACCACATTACATTTAATTATTGTGTCTTTAGGCTGCTTAGATTATAACTGTTTCTCACGCTTCCTTGTTCTTGATGACTTTGACAGTTTTGAATAATAATGGTTAGTTGTTTTGTAGAATGTCCCTCATTTGAGATGTTTGTTTTTTTCTCATGATTATGCTGGGGTTATGAATATTGGGGAGGAGAACCCCAGAAATGCCATTATCATCCCAACATATCAAGGATACATACTATCAGCATGACTTATTACTGTACATGTCAACCTCGATCATCTGGCTGAGGTAGCTTGTCAGTTCTCTCCACAATGAAGTTACACTTTTCATACTGTGCTTTTTGGAAGGAAGTCACTGTGTAGAGCCCACTGTTAAGAAATGGGAAGTTATGTTCTACTCCTTAAAGTGGGGCAGTATCTACATAAATTATTTGGAATTCTTCTTTACAGATAATTTATATATTTTTTATTCTCTCTCACTTATATATTCAATCACTTATTTGTAACAATATTAACTGATATTTATTCATTATTATGGGTTATAATCCAACACTGTTATTTATCTTTTTGCTCAAATTGTTCCAGGTTTGGCCATTGGGAGCTCTTCAGTTGGCTGCTGTGTCCCTTTGACATGCCCCATTGTTGTGGGTTTTCTTGAGCAAGTTTTACTTTCTGGCACTTACAAGATGCTTCAGACTTACATTCTCCCTGCCTGACCTGAGATCAGCCATTTCTCCAAGGAGCTCTGGATTCTTTTATTGGAGAATGGTATTAGAAATCAATATCTGGGCACTGAGTGGGCTCATTGGTACTTGAATTTGTTGCTTTGAGGCTCTCTCAGCTAACAGAGCAAGAAAACATGTATGTGGTGTACACTAACTGGTGTATGCAAACATGTCTATAATTATTTCTTCCTATACATTCATTTGTATCTATATTAAACTAAATATGAGTTCATGCTGATATCTCCAACTCTAATCCAGTACATGAATCATTCTAGACTTATTTTCTTGCTTCTCTGTAAACTCCTACTCCAATAGTGAGAAACCTAGTTTCCACCATCTGCCATTTATTTACTTAATTGTTCAATTCTAGGATGCACATATGGTGGTTTCAGAATTGTTAACCCCTATTCTCATGGGCAATAATTTTACCAATTAGAGTACAGTGCTTATGTACAGTTTTACTTTCCACTCATTCCAAAAAGTTATTTAGTTTGGCACTTTTACCCCCACTCTCTTCAGTGAGGTCGTTTTATATATTTCTAACGGAAATTCCTTTGTCATAGTCTGCATTCCAACCCGGGATCCCCTGGACTCTTAAATGACTTTTGAAAATTCACACGCTTTAAGTTTCACTCTTTGTGCTGTAAAGTTCTATAAATGTTGACAAATGCAGTGTTAAGTATTTACCATTGCAATATCATACAGAAGAGTTTCACCACCCAAAAAATAGCTTCCCTTGCTTCACCTATTCGACCATCTCTCTTCTAAACCCCTGGCAACCATGGATCTGTTTGACGTCTCTGCAGTTTTTGTTTGTTTTGTTTTTACCCAGAATGTCATAAAAATTGGATCATACGGTATCCAAACTTTTCAGATTGGCTTATTTCACTTTGAAATATGCATTTAAGATTTACCCATATTTTTGCATGGCTTGATAGCTCATTCCTTTTTATTGCTAAATATTATTCCATTATATGTATGTGTCATAATTTATTGATCCACTCACCTATTAAAAGACATATTAGTTGCTTCTAGGCAATTATAAATAAAGCTGCTACAAATATTTTTGCATGTGGATTTTTCATGTGCATGCACATATTGTGCACATGGACATATATTTTCACATCAATTGGGTAAATAATTGAGAGCCTGATTGTTGGATCATATGGTAAGACTAAGTTTTGCTTTACTGCTAAGCTGTCTTCTAAAGTGGCTATATCATTTTGCATTCCCATCAGAAATGAATGAGAGTTCCTGTTGCTTAGCTTCCTTGCCAGCAATTTGTATTATCAGTGCTTTGGATTTTGGCTATTCGAATAGATGTGTACTGGCATCTCATTGTTGTATTAATTTGCATTTCACTAGTCACAAGTGATGTTAAGCATCTTTTCATATGTTTATTTTCCATCAGTATTTTTTTTGTGATGTATCTGTTCAGATGCTTTGCTCATTTTAAAATTGGGTTTTAGTTTCTCATGGAGTTTTTTTGACTTTTTTTTGTATTTTGGATAGAAGTTCTTTATCCAATATATGATTTGCAAATATTTTGTCATTTTACCCTCTTTGTAGTGTCTTTCATAGCATGACTCTCAATTTGCTTTTTTTTTCTGAACAATGTCATTCCATTTTTTCATATTATTCTATAAAATCACTTTTTAAAGACTGTAAATTATTCTATTATAGGACTGTACCATATAATGTGTTACTGTTGGACAAATATTTAGATGGCTTCCTGTTTTTCCTTTCTTTCAAGAAGAAAACAAAACAGTGATGGATATACTTGTAACTAAATATTCTCTTAAGTATTCACTTGAAATAAAATTCTTTAAGTGAAACTTCCATATCCAAAGGTATCACCTTTTAAAGACTTTTGCTAGAACAAATTCTCTTTTTCCTTGATCTGCCATGCTTACAAATTATTTCATTCCCTCTTTAGGTCAGAGTCAGAGGTAGGCCACAAGTGCATTTTGAAATATCAGATGCTTTGATACCTACTGTGTTAAACACACATAAAGCTGAGACATCAGAAGTATTCGGCCTCAAGTGAAAGCTGGATTCTAACCTTTATAAGAGTGACACCTCCCCATTTGTTTCAGTTTGCACTCTAAACCTTAATTTAGGCCTCCTCTAGAAAACCTGTGTACCAATCTGCCCATCCCCCAGTGGCTCAAAGTGAAGGTGTGTAAACAAGCTGGATGCTGTATGTCCAGTTATTCGGATTGCAGAGTTATCTGGGGTTCCAGGGAAACTGGTAGCAGCCCCATGGTGCCACCATTGCCTCCCCTCCTGTCTCAGCCTGGGTTAAGTCCCTCCACTGCATTCCTGTGCCATTTGATCTTAGACTTACTTTTTTGTTTAAATTTTTAATTAATTATTTTTTTCATTATACTTTAAGCTCTGGGGTACATGTGCACAACGTGCAGGTTTGTTACATAGGTATACACGTGCCATGTTGGTCTGCTGCACCCATTAACTTGTCACTTACATTAGGTATTTCTCCTAATGCTATCCCTCCCCCAGCCCTTTTTAATGTTTCTGCCTCTATGAGATTTTGAATATCTTAAACTGAGCTACCTAAAAATGTCATTTTTTTCATTTAAAATATATAATCAATGAAAACAAATGTTTTTGAAAATCCACCACATTGCCTGTTCCAAAACAGAGTTGGGCATCTCTCTCTGGGAGTAAAAGAATCACCCAGGTTTCTGCTCTGTTTTTATGCACCCAGTGTAGTCTGTAAATTCATACCCAGACCGAGCAGTGGAGAGAGTAAGCTGTAGCAGGCATTGGACTCACTGGCCTAGTGCTTACTTTAGCTTTGTAGACTTGGTTTTGTGCTGCCAGATGCTGCTGCTAACCTTTGGCTTACAGTAGTTTTGACAAACATGGAGGCTGTTAGTCAAAGGAACTCTGTCTCCCTAAGAATGTGTTGCGACACATTTAATTCAGAGCCACGTCAGTTGCAACAGATCTTGTGCTTTAACAAGTACCTTGGATCCTTGAGAGAATAAACTAGTCATGGCTTTACAGGCCTTTTAGGGAAAGCTACTGCTGCGCTCCGTGCTCTCTGGCGCTTGGGAATGCACAGCAGTGCTGGATGCCAAGAATATAAACAGCCAGAACGATATGTTCAGCATTTAGGAAATACAGCTGGACCCAGCAAATGTATATGACAGATAGACTCTGGGGCCAAAGAAATTTCCTCTGCACATTTTACCCACTTAAGTAATGTTAAACTGAAGGTCCTAGTATATCGCCCCATCATGACAGGTCTTTGAATATATGCTAATTAAAGGGCATGTCTATTCACTTCATTTGTGTCTCCTGTGTCTTTCTCTAGAGTTGTTTTAAGGCAGAGTATCATATCGCATCAAAACCGCTCCATAAGTCCTGCCACTCCACGTGCAATGCCATGAACTTGAAGAAACTGCTGGTAAGAGAAAGCAAATGCTGTGACCAGGCAAGTAAGTGTTGTCAAAGTGTTGTAAAACTACCCTGAACTTTTGGATCCAGAGTACTTTCCTTCCTTCCCCCTCCCTCGTCCTCTCTTTTCTTTGAGTATAAGTGGCCACAGCAACACATTTCCAAAGCTTAAACTTAGAACTTTTATCTGGGAAGTTTGTTTGGACAGTATTCAAATATAAGTGATAAAAATATACAAAGGCTGGCCAGGTGCGGTGGCTCACACCTGTAATCCCAGCACTTGGGAGGCCGAGGCAGGCAGATCATGAGGTCAGGAGTTCGAGACGAGCCTGGCCAATATGGTAAAACCCCGTCTCTACTAAAAATACAAAAAAATTAGCCCGGCATGGTGGCAGGCACCTGTAATCCCAGCTACTCGGGAGGCTGAGGCAGGAGCATCAGTCAAACCTAGGAGGCGGAGGTTGCAGTGAGCCGAGATTGCAACACTGCACTCTAGCCTGGGTGACAGAGCAAGACTGCATCTCAAAAAAAAAAGAAAAAAAAAAAGAATATACAAAGCCTATTTATGATTTTTAAAATTTGAATTCAAGGAAAGTATTGTTGCTTCTCTTAAAAGTTTTCGCTTAAGAACATGTTTTCATCTTCATTTTCCCTCATTCATCCTGAGGCCTTCAGCCCTCCCATAGCAAGAGAATATAAAAGAGGTGGGACAGAAAGAGTGAACAGGGCATCCCAACAAAGATGCGTTTTCCATTTTCCTCTGTATCTTGCAGCCTCTGTTACTACTGGGAGAGAGAGGAAGCTAATCAAAAGTGGAATGAATTTGTACTGTTTATAGGGCCTCCTCTTTCCCACACCCTTTACATACCTCACCTTACTTAATTCCATGACAATATAGTGAAGTCTATATTTTTATTCCGATATTACAGACACGTATACTAAAGGGCTCAGAGAGTAAGTAACCTGTTCAGAGTCACAGAGCTATAGCCGGGATTGGAGCCCAGGGCTGTGTGATTGTATAGAGCACCTTACGTGGTCCCTACCTACATTATGCTGAGTCCTTTTGCCTGCAATTAGGCTGAACTGCTGACAAGTCAGCTGGAAATCGTGGTTACAGCTGTAGGCCATAATCACAGGCAAACAATAATAAACAAAACATCTTCTGGGAGCTGAATTTGCAAAAACCTATGAAGTTATGGCAACTGCAGCCCTGAAGACAAGGCCCAGGTAGTACCCAGGCAGATTCAGAGAGAGCTGATGGAGAATAGGTATGAGTCTCCTACCTGGCCATTACTGTTTGGGTAGAACTTCCCTTCTCCCTCCTTCTGAAAACAAAAAACAAACAAACAAAAAAAAAAACTTGAACTCCACACAGGTTTTTTCTATTGCAGCTGCTGCAAACCAATGGGCTTTGGGGAACTGTGCTTCCCTTCAGAAAGGAAAGAGTATTTAACGATGAAAAGGAAGGTAAGAAAGAGGGATTTATGTGCCAGAAAATTTACATCATCTTTAGATGAAGGAGGGCTTGAAGGAAACATCCCAGCATGTAAAAGAGAAATGAGAAATGAGTACTTTTTAAAAAGTATCTATGTTCAACATTTCACAGGCATTGCTAAATCCCTTATTTTAAAAAATTATTTTTTCCCTCATATTAGCAATGTCACAATAGTCTCTATCACTGGAATTACACTGTATCATGCAAGGGGGTGGCAGAGGAAAGCACAGGCAGTGATGGATATACAGATCAACATAATGTGATGTGGCATCCCTTCTCAACCGCAAATACAATTACCTCCAGGGTGGCAGAACAGCCAAACTGCTTCAGTAGATTACTAGGATATTGCCTTGCTGCTCTAAATCCTAAGTCTATTTTCTGGGTTTCTATATATTTGTGGGGAAATGAATTTCCAGTTAAATCTTTGTTATTATCTCCCTAGAGCCAAAAATTGTGGGTGGGGCAAAGACTTATATTCAAAACAAATTTTATTCCTTGACGCTATCACTATCTTTCTTCCAAGGCCTCTTTGTCCAAGTACAATTCATTAACCACCATTTATGGAATACCGCCAATGCATCAGTCACTGTGCTAGACATTAGGGATAGAGACAAACAACACACTCCATGCCCTCCAGGAGCCCATGTTTAGTAGAGAAGAAGGACAACTGAACAAATAGTCACTACATAAAAGTTCACTGGTCAAGGTTTATACAAAGTATGATGAGCATACCTGGTATGTATGAGTATCTTCCAAGCAGGGAAAATTTCTTATGTTTTCTGTTGCAAAACAAATTTCCTCTGTTAAAAAAAAAAAATAAGTTGGCATCATTCAAATCGTCAACCCAAATTAACTGGTCTCTAAGTTATTGATGCCCTGTAGCTAGAAAGTCTTTAATTCTGTTACTGAAATCTACTGAAACATAGCCAAGTCTAATATCATACAACCCAAAGGGGAAATATCACATTTATCTAGATATGTAATTGAAAAAAATCTGTATACTTAGAAACTATGATATTTTCACTGCTTAACAATTTGGGGAAATCACATCAGGCCACATATTTAGAAGGTATCCCATGGCAACCATGAGAAGTTACTTTGGTCTCACATAGCTGAACATAAAAATGAATCCTGGCTTATCAGATGTCTGGAAGAAGGGGCAGCAAAAGTTATATCTCCTTTGAATTATTAAATTAAGTTCCTCTCTGGGTCTCCACGAGCTCTGGTGAAGCAAGAAAATGCATGTCCTACTCTTGGTCCCATGGATGTAGTAGACGTTCTTCATGCTTGATTTTTTTTTTTTTAAGGATTGTGTCTTACTTATACTTACGGGCTTGTGGTTCAGCGGAGACCACACTGGACTGGACTGAACAGACAACTGAAGGGCTCTCTCTACCTTTCAGCATCTCTGTCTGCCTTTCTGACTACCTAAAAATTACTGCAACCTCTGATTCTGTTTCTAAGGTGGATTTTCCCTACTCATGCTTCCTAGAGATTTGGTGAGGATTTGTTGAGTCATGGGACATTTCAGCTTGCCAAGGTAAGGCTTCATTTTGGCTTTGTATGGCCCTTCTGGGATCACTGATGTCCCTGGGCCAGGTTCATTTGTATCTGAAGGAGGGAGGAGTTAGTTTGGAGGCACAGTCTAAGAGGAGAGAAGTGGAGGGTGAAGAGGAGGGGACAGCAACTGATCTCTTTATGGCATCTTATACAGAGTTGGCACCTTGGCAATTAGGATATCGGGGACCAAAAGCTGATGCACCACTTTAACAAGATACTTTGTAAATGTAGGGCAGGGTGGAGGTCAGAAACACAGGCAGGACTTCCAAAGGCTGTGGGCACTGTCCCTGTGAGGCTCAAGTGACAAGGTGGGAGACAGGATTGGGTGGAGGCCACAGTTCTTCCATGTTGAAGAACTCTCTAGCATCCTGAAGACTGCCTACCTAGAGACCAACCCAGCGATGCTGGTGCTTTCTTGGTAGACTCCTTGGAGAGGCAGTCGTGAGGAGTCTTTGTGGTCAGTGGACAACTGGGGACTGGAACATGGGGAAGTTGGGTGGTTACAACTGTAATTAATAGACCAATCTGTGGCCCACATGAGATCCACCTGAAAGAATTCTTGCCCAGCTCTGTGCCTTCTTCCTAAGATGTGGCACCCAGAATGGCACCAAACATGCCTAGTGAGGTTTGGATCAAGAGTAAGCTGGCTTCTCTGCTATGTTTTCAGTAGCCTTCCTGAAAACACCCAGCATTTGTTTAGCTTCTTTAGCTTTAGCACGTGTTTCCACCAGTGTCCCTTAACGGAGAGGATGACTATGTCACTGAAGAAGTGGAGGGGCTGAAAATGGACTCAGCTCTTGGCCCCTGTAGAGACTGCAAGACTCCGTGCACAACGTGACAGTCGGGGCTTCCTCTGAGCACTGCGCCGTTCAGCCCTATTGCGCAACCTGCCACGCCCTGTTACTGTAAATGGAACACCGGCTGTGAGCTGGTCAAGGCCCTGCCATGACAAGGCCACTTGCATAGGACTCCAAATTAAAAAAAAAAAAAAGGCCTTTCTTATTGACTGAAAAACTGGTTGTGTTTTTCATATTTTTCACTTTCTGGAGCTGAATTATTAATAGGCAAAAATTAGGTGGGGCTTCATTGATATTCTCACCAGCTTTTACAAACCAAGAATCGGAAAGTGTGCCTCGGTGAGTTGCCTTTTGTTAGCAGTGTGGAGATGCAGGCAAAAGTGATCAGCGTGGTTTGTATTTGCAGCCGCCCCTCCCCTCTCTTCAGAGTCTCTCCTTCCCGGCTGCAAGGTGCGTCTTTAATGTGCGACACTGACAAGGCGTTTCAGCCATGCAGCTAATTAATATCATGCCGAGGCTCAATGTGACAGGTCCTTCAGACTCATAAATCAGAAACCACTAACAAATGTCGTTCCTTTTCTGATCTCTTTCTCTTGCTTTTTAATATGTTGATTTACTTTCAGTATGCATAACCAAAAAAGAAACAAACCAATAAAAATACTGATGAAAATGCCGGGTGCCATGGCTTGAATGCGTTTTAGACTTTCCAAGCCAGCAAGACAACAGCCAGGAAAACAGCAAAGAAAAAAAAATCACCCTTGCCTTTCAGGGTATGGACATAGGAGGAAAACAAAACATCAGATAGTGGTCTATCCTTTAGAGACTATGAGTCACTCCCCAGGGGCTGTATCAAAACAGACCTAGTTACCTGGAGAATACAAAAAATGGCCTGGCCAAAGTTCAAACACTAGACTGACCAAACAAAAGGATTCCCAGGGAAGAGGCGCTAATCAAAGCTCTGACAGCACGCAGCCCTGATGAAAAACGACTGTGGAGAATTCCCATTAAGGATATTTGAAACCACAGTTCTTATCTTTCCCTCCTTCCCCTTCTCTCAGCTGGGGACCTGCAGACTATCTTTTCCCTCCAATCTTATCCATGTACCGGAGACAGACTGTGTTCACTTAGGTCAAATGTGGTCAGGGTGGAGGGGTCAGGTTACAGCTCCCAGCTAATGAAAAAACTGTAGCTTCAAAGTTGCCTGGTTTGCCAGTTCTCTCAAGAAGATCCACATCCAGTAAAAATAATTCTTAAATTTACCCTACTGATGGGAGCACCTGGAAAAAAGGATTTTTTTTTTTAAGCCTGAATATCAAGTTTGAAAAAAGCCAATTATTAGCAGCCTGGAAGAATGCTTTACAAGATCTTGAAGAAAGATAGACTTAAAGAAAATAGTGGAATATTTTTTCATTAATTCATAGCCACAATAGTCCTATTCTTAGAGAGCTTTCTTTTCACAGCCATACTGATTTTTCAAACACTAATTTCCTCTTACTAGTTCTGCTCCTTGTGGAATTTATTAAAGAAAAGAAGAGTAGAGTCTTCTATTTATTGTGTGGTTGCCAGATAAAGTATCTAAACATAAAAATTAAAAAATTGCTTAGATTACATAGACACAGGCACTTAAATTTTAAAAGATAATGTTTAAAAAGATAAAGTTATCAGTTATATTCATGGGAATGAACATTAAGCATTCATCAAAAAGATTTTAAGAAATAACTGGGAGTAAGGGGGAATAAGAATATAAAATTAAAAAGTATTTCTCAGAAAAGCATAGCACAGCATGTCTGTAATAGAAGGAAGCAAAATAAAATGTTACACATTTTAAATCAAGAAAGTTATCAAAATGTCTAAATCCCTGCCCTAAATCACTGAAATGATTATGTACATCCATTCTGTCTCCCTCAATGGAGAACACTTGCAAATACATAGGTCCTTTAAAATGCTTTGGTGAGGATGGATATGGTAACATTGTGTCAGAGGCGTGTGAACCAGAGCACTTCCATCTTGAACAGGGGCTGGGTGAAATATGGCTGAAACCTACTGAGCTGCATTCCCAGAAGGTGAAGCCATTGTAAGCCACAGAATGAGCTAGAAGGTCAGCACAAGATACAGGTCATAAAGACCTTGCTGATAAAACAGCTTGCAGTAAAGAAGCTGGCCAAAACCCACCAAAGCCAAGATGGTGAGGACAGTGACCTCTGGTCATCCTCACTGCTATACTCCCACCAGCACCATCACAGTTGACAGATGCCCTGGCATTGTCAGGAAGTTACTCTATATGGTCTAAAAAGGGGAGGCACTAATAATCCACCCCCTGTTTAGCATATCATCACAAAATAACCACAAAAATGGGCAACCAGCAACCCTCAAGGGTTATTCTTTTATTCTTCTACTTTCTTAATAAACTTGCTTTCACTTTACTCTATGGACTTGTCCTGAATTCTTTCTTGCACGAGATCCAAGAACCCTCTCTCGGGGTCTGGATCAGGACCTTCTTCCTGTAACAATTGGGTGGACTAGGTTATGCTGCAATAACAAGCAACCCCAAAGTCATGGTGACTTAAACCACAAAGATTATTTTTTGCTCCTGTTATATGTCAATCAAGATTCAGCAGGGCTGTTTTGTTCATCACACTCGAAGAATACAGGCTGATGCCAATGCTGGCTCAAGAGAGACCTGGGGAGTCTCTTCCCAGACCTGGGAAGATCATGATCTTCTCAGAAGTGGGAAGGGACACAGACCTGTTCCATTCACACTTCATGAACCAAGTCATGGCCAATCCTAAACATCAGAGTGTGGAAAGTGCAGTCCAACATGAGGAATATCTTATGGAGTGGGCAATATTGATGTCTGTCTGGAATGTTTGCATTGGTTCTTTTTCATCTGTGTTTTGACTTTCTTCTAACAGGTGTTGGCCTGTTTACAGATGCCAATAAAATGCTTCTTTGAATGTAACTTCTTCCTTTTGGAATTCCAGGCATCTTGCTATCTGTAGAAATCTCTTGGACTAATAACAGGGTATTGACAATGGATTTCAACGCATAATGCCTAAAGGCAGGTGCAAATTTGAAATTCCCAAGTCCTTGTTTGTCCTGGAAGTCAAGCCTCTTGCAAAGTTAAACGATTTCAGTTTTTTCTCTTCCTGTTTTTTTCCTGTTTCTTTCCTCTAATCATCTTTATCTCCCAGATCTTGTCCCATGGCCCCTGTTTTACTGACTAAAACAGAACTTGGTCTGAACTTTTAAAACATATTCTCCAAGGCTTCCAGCATACCATTTCTGCCATATTTTCAAGATCAATTGTGGATGACCGTAATAGAGCCAGACTCTGGCACCAATGCACAGAGGAAAGAGTTTACAAATATTTATAAAGAAAAATGATTGAAACTAATTTTTTTTGTCAAAATGAAATTCAAGATGAAGACTACACCCTTCCTTTTAATCAGAAGGTGCACGAGGTTTAGGAGAATGCAATGAGAAATGAAATTCACAGGACTTGCTGGCTTCTAATCTTCCTTAAAAAATAAGAAAATTAAAAAGGGAAATTTAGGCTTTTTATCAGGCCAATTCAGATATGTTTTTGAGACATGATATAATAGTAAATCACAGTATAACATTTACATTAACAGGCTCTTGAAAATAATTGTTATTGTAAAAACGATACATTTATTGTAGATAATTAGGGAAATAATGAAAGGTATAAAAAAAAAAAGAATCAGCCATAATTTTAGCCTCTAGAAATAATAATTGCAAGCATTTTGTGTTGTCCTCCCAGCATTTTCCCTGTCTCTGCAGTTTTTTTATACAATTAAAAAATATACTGCAAAGGGTATAACTATCGGTCCACAAATTCAGACATACTTGAAATATTAATTTCCTTCATTTTTTAAGGCTCAAGCTGATTTCTTTCTTCTTTTTCTTCCCCCCTTTTTTAGAGACAGGGTCTTCCTCTGTCGCCCAGGCTAGAGCACAGTGGCATGATCACAGCTCACTGCAGCCTCAAACTTCTGGGTTTAAACAATCCTCTTGTCCCAGCCTCCTGTGTAGCTAGGACTACAGGTCCATGCTGCCATGCCAGGCCAATTTTTTAATTTTTATTTTTGTAGGGACAGGGTCTCATTATGTTCCTCAGACTGGTCTCAAACTCGTGGTCTCAAGTGATCCTCCCTCCTTGACCTCCGAAAGTGCTGGGATTACAGGCATGAGCCACCATGCCCCATATAGATTAGTTTCTATTTTAAGACCTCACTTTGCCTGGGAACTGAAATTTAATCTTGGTCAATGTCAGCCAAGTTCCTTCTTTCTGGAGGTTTGTCTAAATTGACAGGGGCTGGGGTAATGGAGGACCAAGGCACGGGAAGGAGTGTACTCCATCCTTGAACAATCATTTACAAATGTATCTGCAAAGTTTCTTCTTCCTGTTTGCATTTTTTTCTTTAGTTCCTAAGCCTCTGCCTAGGAAACAAGGTCACAGGACCAAGCAAACTATAGCTCTCTTATTGAGGAACTCCCAATTTCTTCTGTCCTAAATCCAGTGGTACCTTTTTTTTTCCAAGTACATGAACATGCAAGTTATCTACCTATTACCTTTCTGCTCCACATCCACCCTTTCTGTGCCGTGCTCTGTGATTCTGGGACTGAGATTCTGGAAACTATTTTCCAGGCTCCTTTGCTGGCTGACTTTCTGCTAATTCTGCAGCTGGATGCAGCAGAAGAGGATGGAAGGCAGAAGGAAGGGAAAAGTGGCTTCCTTCCCGATTACTGCCAGTCCTGTCAGTGTTGCCCAAGACTGCCAATTTGTTCCACCAGCAGCAGTGCCTTCGGACTTCTGCCTCAGTGTTTTCCAGCAGTCCCAGTGAGAGGTGACAACGCGCTAGCAGCCCTCACTTACTCTTGGCGCCTCCTGGGCCTCGGCGTCCACTCTGGCTGCGCTTGAGGAGCCCTTCAGCCCGCGGCTGCACTGTGGGAGCCCCTCTCTGGGCTGGCTGAGGCCGGAGCCAGCTCCCTCTGCTTGTGGGGAGGTGAGGAGGGAGAGGCGCGGGCAGGAACCGGGACTGCCTGCTGCGCTCGCTGGCCAGCGCAAGTTCCGGGTGGGCGTGGGCTTGGCAGGCCCCGCACTCTGAGCAGTCAGCCGTCGCCGCCGGCCCCGGGCAGTGAGGGGCTTAGCACCCAGGCCAGCAGCTGCGGAAGGTGCGGTGGGTCCCCCGGCACTGCCGGCCCGCCCACGCTGCTCTCGAATTCTCTCCAGGCTTCAGCCGCCTCCCCGCGGGGCAGGGCTTGAACTGTCAGGGAATGCAGCCCAGTAGGTCTCAGCCTCATTTTACCCAGCCCCTACTCAAGATGGAGTTGTTCTGATTCAAACGCCTCTGACACTAGCACCTGCTACATCAGGGTCCCTCAGAAGAGAAGAGCCATCCACGGCTGGGGAGGCGGCAGGAGCACTACCTCCACGAGGTCCTCTGCTGGAGCTTCTAGGGTCTACTAAGCCCCACTTTCTCCCCATTGCTGTCCCTCCCCATGAGCCATCCAGTTGGAAGCTGCCTGTTATTTCCTCCAGATTATTCCCTCAAAGCCTACTTTTGCTCTTTTAGCCCTCCAACACCTAGAGAGCCAATTTCCAAAATTAAACCCACTCTATTGAAATACCTAGTGAGATTTAGAATTTCCTCAAGAGATCTGACTGACACTTGGAGGCGGGATTCTTGATGTTTTTCCTCAGAGGAAATCCCTCAATCAGTGATGTTTGCATCCCAGGCATCTGGCCTGAGCTCTTGAAAGGATTCACGCAGGTGAAAACACAAAAGCTAGTGACTCCTCTGCGATCTGTTTCCTGCCCAGTCTCATAATGCTCTTCTCCTGCCATTATAAACACAGAACTGGGCTACGTGCTTGAATGGAGGAGGGGAGGCGGTGATAGAAAAAGGGGAAAATCATTACTATCGCAAAAGTGCAATATAATTACCGTACTTTATATAAATATTGCATTTAAAATGTTTTCACAAGCATCCTTATATTCCCTTTCTCTGCTAAGCCCTGCCCAAATTGCAGATTGGTGGACAACATAAATATTGTTGTTGTTGTAAGTCGGTAAGTTTTGGAGTAACTTTTTTTTTTTTCTTTTTTGAGATAGGATCTTGCTCTGTCTCTCAGGCTGGAGTGCAGGCGTGTGAGTACGGCTCACTGCAGTCTCAACCGCCTGGGCTCAAGCGATTCTCCCTTTTTGGCCTCCCGAACAGTTGGGACCACAGGCATGTGCCAACACATCTGGCTAATTTTTTAATTTTTTGTAGAGATGGGGTCTTGCCACATCACCCAGGCTGGTGGTGAGCTCCTGGGCTCAAAGCAATTCTCTCACCTTGGCCTTTCAAAGTGCTGGGACTATAGGTATCAGCCACCACACCCAGCCTGGAGTACTTTTTTACACACCTACATTGTCTAGTACTGACCCTGTCGTGTGTGTGTGTGTGTGTGTGTGTGTGTGTGTGTGTGTGTGTGTGGTATGTTTATAAAAACAGATAACTTGCATTATTCTGACATGTCTTGGTTTTTCAAAGGTTAGAAGAATCTTGGTCGTCCAGAAAGCTTGCTATAGCTGCCCAGCATTTGCCTCCTCCACAAAGAAGGACCAAAAGAACAAGTAGACAATCACATGCCAAATAAAATGTCTAAAGGAGAGCACTGAAGCTCAGCAAAAACGTTACAAAGACCCTCTGAGGTGCAGAAACTCGGGATGGCAGCACAAAGAGGAAAGCAAAGCAGCCGGTCAGGATCAGCTCACAGTCAAGGGCGCCCCGCCTTGAGTAGGAAATGTAAGCAGGAGATGCCCTGCAGGCAACATTCCCACCACAAATGCCTGCAAGCCTAGCTGTAGGAGAGCCTCGCAGTGTTGAGCCCAGTGCGGGAGCTGCCTGGAGTCTCTGTGACTACATTACTCCAGAGAGGCCACTGGGTCCCTCCTTAGTCCCTGGGACCCAAGCCGCTGCAGCACAGTATCATTTTGAGGACAGAGCCACTGCCAGAATGCTTCCTGTCCTGGGGCCCGGTAACCCCTGCATGTCCTCATCACTGGAGCCCCAATATCATTCCACAGTTGTATGAGGAGTAAAAATAACTATAAATAAAGATAACTCAAGAATTCTATAAGCAAGCATACACATGAAATTCATTTTATAAGAGGAAAGCTAACTCCATCTCTCTTGAAATATGGAATAGGTTCTTGAAGCAATTCTAAATGCTGATCTGCTGGAATGATGGCTTCATTGCACAAGAATTCTGCTTAGTTCATTGAAGTCTCCTTGAAGAAGTCAGTCTGAGAATGGGGGAATTCCGTTGTTGGTCAGAAGAATTCTTTGGTCACTATTGGAAGTGGGTTCAGTTTAGGGTGACTATTGATCAACAGGGTTCATGGGTTTGCTAAAACTCATTTCAGGCAAGCTTTGGAAGTGCAGTTCGCTTGGTGCTTATGGGGTTAAAAACAGGAGGAAGAGAATTTCACATTATTGGAGGGCCTGAAAGGAAACTGATTCCCGCAAGATGCTCAGACAAGATCAAACCCAGCCCCTTTTCTGGTTTGGAATTTCTCTGGGCTATAAAGGTAGAAGAAAAGGCCCTGCATGGGCCCACTCTAAGTGCTTGGAGGTTTTAGATAATTTTATTAAATTGTAGAATCTTAAACAGAACTACAAGGTTGCTTTTAAAACCAGATCTCAGATTTCTTTGAGCTAACAAATGGTAAAATGTATCTTTAGTATTAGAGTGAGATAAAGGTAGTTATAACTTTTTTTTTTACTTATTTTATGTTAACGTATGCAACAAAGGGTACAAATTGTAGGTACGCAGCTCATTGAACTTTTATGTCTGCACATGCCTATGAAACCAACACCCAGAGTAAGATGCGGATAATTTTCTGCTCCCCTGAAAATTCCCTTGTGCCTTTTCCTCATCAGTACCTCCAAAGGTAACCACTATTTTGATTTCCATTACCATAGATGAGTTATACTTGTTTTTGAAAAGATTATTTGAAATGTGTAATATAAATAATAGCGGTTGCTTATCTTACAGAAATATCACTGAGAATTCATTTCTTCTCTCCTTCATTTATTCATTTGTTCAAAACACTGTCTAGTACCAACATTGTCCACCGGGCGTTGAGAATACAATATTGAAGAAGAGTCACTGCCTGCCCTCTGGAAAAATCAGAGTATTTGAAAGAATACACACAAGTAAACAGGCAGCTATGGCAAAGTGGGTAAAAGCTGCAAAACAGGGAAGTTTCGCCAAGTGTCAGATGCCAAGAAGTGTCAGATGCCAAGAAGAAAGGGTGCATGACATAGACTTGGGGGGGTCAGTAGTGGTTTCTGGAACGAGTGACATTTAGACTGAAACTGGAAGGATATGAGTAAGGGCTAATCGGACCAAGATGAAGAGATACAGAAGCAGAAGGAACAGTAGGAACAAATGCTCAGAGGCAAAAGAAAGCTTTGAATATTTGAGGAACTGAAAAGCAAAACAACAAAAAATAGCCATCCCTTGACTAGACAAGTGACCTGGGGTCAGATCCTGAAGGGCTTTGCAGATCACTTTTCCGCTTGTAGACTTTGTACTTGACTTTAAGGGCCATGGAGAGCCACTGAAGCATTTTCAGCAAGGGACTGTCATCAGCAGATTGGTATTTGTTTTGAAGTAGCACATGTAAGAGAAAATAACAATATGGACAAATAAAGAGTTTGAAAAACAACTTTGCTTTGATACTTTAGGATGAAATATCTGAGATAGCAGCGCCCCCCCCCCCATCAGCCATTTTTAATGACACTACTATTTGAGCACAAGTTGCAAGAAAATTTGCAACAAATAGGCTTTTTCTGTAGAACACAAAGCAGGGATGTTTGAACGATGCATTATTTGAATTCCATCTTAGTAGGAAGCCATCCATAATAGGAGGAAGTTGAGGAATAGGCCTAATGTTCACAGTGGCACAGGTGGCGTTTGCATCTGCCTTCAATGTTCCTATGATACGAATCCTCCACTGCAGAAAATTCCTCGTGGAATTTTCTATTTTATGTGTTAAACTTTATCGAAATCTTTTCCTGATGTTTATATTTCTGTGATAATCATTATTAAACTGAAAAATGCGGAAGAAAAGTCTCAAAACCATCTTCACTGACCTCTCTAATTTCCACGTCCCCTTCTTTGAAACCTGTACTTTAATTAATGGTCTGGATAATTCTTTCAAACATCTGCCCTGTTTGCCTACTGCTTGAGTTACCCAAATGGATGTCTAAGCTGATGCTATTTAACTAGTCACCGAATTCCCACTCTACCATGTCATGTAGACACAGTTTAAGTAAAGTGCATGCTTTGCCTTCTTCACTGTGATAAATTGAAATGCAATGTTTTCATCAATATAGCGTTTATTCCCCTCTTTCTTACTTGAATGGAATCCATTTTTAAGCTTTTTGATTTTTTTTGTCATAAAAAAAGCACATAACATTCTTCATAATAGTATTGTTATTCAACTTTTTGTCATGGTTGAAATATTAATGCAATACTGAAGTGTCTATAAACCAGATTTATTTATTACCACACTGACAAAAAGTACAACTAACAGTTGGCAGGTAGATAACATCAGAAAAATCCATGCTATGAAAAGGAATTTTAGTATGAACTCATCAAAGTAACTAGTAATTTTTAACAGACTCTAGTGACATATATGCCTCTCTCTCTAACTCAATTATAAACCCTTTGAGGGCAAGTGTTATGAGTGAGTTGTGTTCCTCCAAAATTCATATGTTGAAGTCCTAACCTCTAGTACCTCAGAATATGACCTTATTTGGAAATAGGGTCATTGCAGGCCAGGTGTCATGGCTCACACCTGCAACCCCAGAGCACTTTGGGAGGCTGAGATGGGTAAATCACTTGAGGTCAGGAGTTTGAGACTAGCCTGGCCAACATGGCGAAACCCTGTCTCTACTAAAAATACAAAAAAAATTAGCCAGGTGTGGTGGTGTGCAGCTGTAATCACAGCTACTCAGAAGGCTGAGGCAGGAGAATCGCTTAAACCCAGAAAGTGGAGGTTGCAGTGAGCTGAGATCGTGCCTTTGCACTTCAGCCTAGGTGACAGAGTGAGACTCCATCTCAAAAAAAAAAAAAAAAAATAAAAAGTGGAAATAGGCACATTGCAGATATAATTAGTTGAGTTAAGATGAGGTCATACTGGAATAGAGTGGGTCCTAAATCTAATATGATAGGTGTCCTTAAAAAAATAAAGGAGGGGAGTTTGAACATATGCAGGCACACAGGGAGAATGCTGCATGAAGCTTGGTGTTATGCTGCCACAAGCCAAGGGACTACCAGAAGCTAGGAGAGTGGTTTGGAACAGATTCTTCCCTAGTGCCTTCGGAGGCAGCATGGCCATGCCAACACCTGGATTTTGGACTTCTGGTCCTCAGAACTGTTACACAATCTATTTCTGCTGTTCTAAGCCACCCAGTTTGTGGTACTTTGTTATGGGAGCCCTAGAAAATGAATACAGCAAAGATTACACTCACTCATTTTGTATGCCCTACAGAGGCTCATGAATGTTGGCTGAATTCAAGTTGCAACTATAGACCCCAGCTACTTGGGAATGTGCTAGGATTGATTTCCAACGGCTTGCACCTAGAGCAGACAGGCACCTGATCACAGTGTCCATCCACTCCCTACCCCACCTCCACTCTGAAAGAGGATGACAAAGAAGCTTCTTGATGCACCAGAGGGATCCTCACCCAGATGAGGCTGAAGCATCCACAGCATGCTTCACAAGGATACAGCGGCATGCTTCACAAGGATACTCAGGCCTAGATATCTCACCCCACTCAAATCTTCTCCTGTTCTCCGGTTCTTGTAGACATGTGTGAGGGTCAGACAACTTCTTTACCAGCATTCAAGGAATGTCTCCTAAGTCTATCTTTCACTTAATCATACTGTAGTGCATCGTGACTCATGAGCATAAGTTAAAACTTGTCGTAAGTGAAATTCCACTTTGATTGAAGGAGGAGTAGACTAGCAGTGAATGGCCTGGGAATATACTAGAGACAACTACATAGCACTACTTTTCACCTTTTGTTTTTGTTTCCACTGAATATGACACAGGCGTTGCTTAGATTAGCTTTGACTCAGCTGTGCACCCCAAAGAATAAGTCATTGTCTTATCTATTCCCACACCGAAGTTGCCACTCAGTTTTAAAGTTGGTAGTTTCTTCAAATATATATATATATTTGAATCAAAGATATATATATTTGATTCAAAGATATATATATATTTGATTCAAATATACATTAAATATATATATTTGATTCAAATATACATTAAATATATATATTTGATTCAAATATACATTAAATATATATATTTGATTCAAATATACATTAAATATATATATTTGATTCAAATATACATTAAATATATATATTTGATTCAAATATACATTAAATATATATATTTGATTCAAATATACATTAAATATATATATTTGATTCAAATATACATTAAATATATATATTTGATTCAAATATACATTAAATATATATATTTGATTCAAATATACATTAAATATATATATTTGATTCAAATATACATTAAATATATATATTTGATTCAAATATACATTAAATATATATATTTGATTCAAATATACATTAAATATATATATTTGATTCAAATATACATTAAATATATATTTGAATCAAATATACATTAAATATATATATTTGAATCAAATATACATTAAATATATATATTTGATTCAAATATACATTAAATATATATATTTGAATCAAATATACATTAAATATATATATTTGATTCAAATATACATTAAATATATATATTTGATTCAAATATACATTAAATATATATATTTGATTCAAATATACATTAAATATATATATTTGAATCAAATATATATATTAAATATATTTGAATCAAATATATATTAAATATATATATTTGAACATATATACATGCATATGTGTGCATATATTCATATGTTGAACATATGTTTACATATGTGCATATACTTTGAGCATGTGACATAAAGTGTGTGAAGTACACAAATCTTAAGTCTGCAACTCAAAGACTTTTTATGTATAGATACAGTTGTGTCATGACCCAGATCATCAAGATCTAGAACATTTCCAGCACTCCAGAAGATTTCCCTGTGTTCCTCCCCAGGCCTTTGCATGTATAATATTTAATAAACCTCAAATTCCTTTCTCCTAACCCTGCTGACAAAAAAAAAAATGTTTTCTGCACTAAAACTCTGTGGCAGTTCACAAGGAATGTAAAATCTGGCTCAAAGCTTACTCTGCTGCCTTTGTATTGTCTGCAAAGAGCAGAGTTTGCAAACTGGCTGCCTGTGGGTGAAATCTGCTCCACATATGGTTTGTTTGGACTGAAATATGTCTTCAAAAAATGAGCCAAAATTTTAGGTTTAAGGCATTTTACATGATAACCCAAATTCAGAGGGAGGAGCGATCCTTCTCTTTAAAAATTGGAAAATGTCTTACATCCTCTGTCTCGGAAAAAAATCACCTGGAGCTGAGTAGTAATTGCCTGCTTGAAATGGGTAGAGTCAAGGAGCTCTACCTCTCTCCATCACGTATGCAATGTCTGCATGAGCATGCCTGCCTGCTGCCCTCATGCGTGTATATTACCTGCTTGGTCCTTGGGCCAGCCACAGCTAGACAAGATGGGAAATGTAAAGCAGACTTCTAAAGGAGACTGTTTATTCCCTGCAAAGGGAAAAGTACTCCCAACATATTTTTAAGGGAAAGTAGAAAATAGAATTGGATTTTAAATTAATACACCATTTTGTATAACTTTGTAGTGATTTGCTTTCTGAACTTGCCTATTGTATTAGGGTTCTCTTAGAGGGACAGAACAAATAGGATATATGTATATGTGTGTGTGTGTGTGTGTGTGTGTTATATAACTCCCATATATAACATATATATAAACTCCCATATGTGTTATATATATGTGTTATATATATAACACATATATATACATATGGGTATGTGTATATATACACATATATATACATATGGGTATGTGTATATATACACATATATATACACATATACACATACACACACACACACACATATATATATATAAACCCTTGGAGGGCAAGTGTTATGGGTGAGTTGTGTTCCTCCAAAATTCATATGTTGAAGTCCTAACCTCTAGTACCTCAGAATATGACTGAAACTGGTTATATGTATATATATATACACACACATATATGTGTATATATGTATATATGTGTATATATGTATATATGTGTATATATGTATATGTATGTGTATATGTGTGTGTATATATATATACACACACACACACACACACACATATATGTGGGAGTTTATTAAGTATTAACTTACACAATCACAAGGTCCCACAACAGGCTGTCTGCAAGCTGAGGAGAAAGGAGAGCCAGTCTGAGTCCCAAAACTGAAGAACCTGGAGTCCGTTGTTTGATGGCAGGAAGCATTCAGCATGGGAGAAAGATGTAGGTGGGGAGGCTAAGTCCGTCTTTCCTTTTCATGTTTTTCTGCCTGCTTTATATTTGCTGGCAGCTGATTAGATTGTGCCCACTAGATTAAGGGTGGCTCTGCCTTCCCCAGCTCACTGACTCAAATGTTAATCTCTTTTGGCAACACCCTCACAGACACAACCAGGATCAATATTTTCTATCCCTCAATCCACTCAAGTTGACACTAAATATTAACCATCACACCTATTACTTATTATATACCATTTTAAGTAGCTTTACATGGACACTTTTGCATGCATGCATGCACACACACACACAAACACACACCCACACACACACACATCCACCCCAATATTAATATCTAACATCTGGACGCTGGCTAATGTTTAATTTTTAATGTAACCATTATGCTGGAAGGCATTCATTTGTGGTGTAACCACAGCTTCAATTCTGGTGTTATATCTTTTCTACTTAACTAGTTTCATTAGATTTCGAACTGAAGAGTAAATTAACTCATCTTTTATGACCCTTTATATTGCAAGGTGAACTTGAATCATCTTATTAGATCCATGTTAGACATATGCTTGGTGTTGAACATTATCTGTACATATATATGAAAATCTTTATGATGGCATTTGAAAGTAGGACATAAACATTGTCTCTCATAAAAACCTAGGCACTTCTAAGTTTCATTATAAAAGTTCCTCATTCAAAAACAGTATAAAAGAGAATTGCCATTTTAAAGGAAAACTACATGAAATGTAAGTTTTGAATGAAGAGTTCCTTGGCTTTGCTTTTCTTCTGAGCAACGCTTCTCCTTTTATGTTTTGCACAAGCTCATAACAATTTTTCTTACAATCTTCTAGACTGTAATATCACTACTTTCCATTTTTCCTACAAGGTAAGCACCCATACCGTCAATATATCTTAACATCAAGGGCTTGTGAGCAGTTTCTTTCTGATATGTCAAATTATTTGTAACCCACTTCATAGTGATCAGAGATGGTTAATTGGTAAAACTGATTAATAGAGATAAAAAGCATAGCAGTAAAAAAAAATAACATGGAGGAAATACAAATGGATTATTCATTTAGGATTTATTTAACTGTATTTGGAATTGTCATTTTGCACACACATATAAACACATGTGCACACCCACAGTGGTTTTAAAATCTATATGAAAGGTCTTATGTCATTTTACTATATCCTGAAAAATACTTGCTAAGTCAGTTTATAAGTACAACCATTGTTATTCAAACTCTTGAGTTATTACATGTTAAAATGACTTTATTTATTTACTTAGAGATAGAGTCTTGCTCTGTCACCCAGGCTGGAGAGCAGTGGCATGATCTTGGCTCACTCTAATGTCCACCTCCCAGGTTCAAGCTACTCTATTGCCTCAGCCTCCCATGTAGCTGGGATTATAGGAATGCAGCACCATGCCAGCTAATTTTTATATTTTTAGTAGAGACAGGGTTTCACCATGTTGGCCAGGCTGGTCATGAACTCCTGACCTCAAATAATCTGCCTGCCTCAGCCTTCCAAAGTGCTGGGATTATAGGTGTGAGCTACCACGCCTGGCCAAATGACATTTTTTTGAAAATAAAATTTTTAATAGCAGTATTAAATGTGATTTTGATCCTATTAGTTAGGTTTAGGGGAGGGAAGGCCCAGGTTTAGAGGAAGAGAAGGCAATTAGTGAGATGCATGCAAGGCCTTTAAGTCACAGACTCTAGAGGTAGATTTATTTATTATGGCACAGCCAAGCCAAAAGGTACATGCCCTTGAAATTATGTCAGAAGTCTTGAACACATCAATCTGCCCTCAATTTTTCTTTCCACACTAGTATGAATTTCACAGTAAGAATATCCTTCAACCCCTCTAGCCTCCTTCCCTATTCTCCACTCCTCTTTACAGCAACCGCCTCCAATAAGTTGTCCACACCAGCTGTTGCAACTTCTCTTTTCCTCTTCAACCCACTTCTGTTGGGCCTTAATCCTGGCCCACTCAATGAAACAGTTCTCAAATTCTCTGATGCAAAAGCCAATGATGAAGTCTTGCTGCCATTCCCTTCTGGAATTACTTTTCTTGACTTCCATCCACCACACTCTTCTAGTGTTCCTCCTACTGCAACCGCCTCTCCTTCTTAGTCTCCTTTGATTAATTCTCCTCCTGTTCTGAACCTCCCAACAGAGCAAGGCTTAGTCTTCAGACTTTGATACCCTGCCCCATGTCCCCAGGTCCACTTCTCTGCTTCTCTGCCTAAAAGCTTCCTCCAGCTCCTTCGGAGCCTCAAAGTAGCAGCTGCTTAAGACCCTCAGGAGCATCCTTCAACTGGTGAATTTAGGAATTGGTGGATAAACACTGAAAGTTCTTATCTCTTGGCAGGACAATTCTCCAGGGTGCTCTACACAGTTCCTCAGAGGGTACCCAGTGGAACTGAACTCCAGTTTCTCTAAGTAGTAACCAGTTTATCAATGCCCCCTGTATTCCTTTTATTGGTTTGCTTCCTTTCCTTGTTTCACTTCCCCTCTTCCTCACCTGTGTTTCCCGCCACTCAGTTAAATTAAAGTCATTCAACACCTTATATTAGGATTGTTTTCAGGAGAACTCAGAACTGAGATAGAACTTTTAGTGATGCTGACTCCTTTGGTGATTGGAAGTTTCTAGTCCTGATTCTTTAAATTTTGGCATACTTTGATAACTCCCAAATGTATGCACGAGCCAGGTCCTCTCTCATGAATCTGAGACTAGCATTTCTGACCTCCAGCCAGACATCTTTACTTGGATATCTGATAGGCAGCTCAATCTTAAACTCTTTTCTTCCTCTAAATATGCCTCTCCTTTATCTTCCTAGTCCTGGTAAATAGTGTCCCATCTTTCAAGTGGCTCAGGTCAAACTTGGGAGCCATCCTTAACTTCTATGCCTCTCTGATATCACACATCTGATCGCTCAAAGCGTTTCTACTTTCTCAATATATCAGGAAACTGACCGGGTTTAAAAAAAATCTCTTTCACCACTATTGTCCTGGCCCCACGACCGTCATTTCTCACCTGTGTTATTCATTACAGTAGCCTCCTAACGGCTCTACTGGCTTCCATACTACATAGTCCCCTACAGTTTGCTCAGTACATAGCAGCTAGGATGATCCTGTTGAAACCATGTCATACTGTGTGACTCTTCAGCTAAAAACCCTGCAGAAGCTGCCCATTCCACACCTGGAATAGTAGCTAAAAACCTCATGATGGCCTACAAGACCGTCCATGACCTGGGCTCCTCATGCCTCTGACTTCACCACCTACCACTTTCCCTCCTGATGTTTCAACCACACTGACCCCTTGTTTTTCCTTGAACTCAACAAGCACACTCACATTTCACATCCAGTGAGGGTATTATTTCACAAAACCTTCGTTTCAGCCAAGATGTGTGTGCCTGGATGTGTTGGGGTCTACATTACATGTATTTCTTACTTTGGGTCATGCTTTTAAAAACATTTGAAAAATAGTAGCTTAAACATTCATCTGAATCACGTTGCCCTCGCTGATGAAGGATTGAAAGCTCCATTCATTTATGCATTCCATATTCTCTGCAGTAATCTTTCTAGTATGTGTAATACTGTTGCACACCAAAAAAAAAAAAACAACAAAACATAATGTAAGTTTTTCAACTCCTAAGACATGAGGTTGTAATTAATTAGGCTGTTTAGATTATGGGGCACAGCCAGCTTCCCTTGGAGGTCTTTATTTATTGGGTAAAGGGACTTTACAGAGGATTTTCTCAAAATTGTATAAAAATTTAAGTTAGCATCTTTTGTCACTGAGAAAGTAGGTATGTACTGATATTGGCACATGGCCATTTAGAGAACCAGTAGCAGAGATTAGTTGAAGACATTTAGAGAAAATGACTTTCCTAATTAGAGAAAACATAAAAACTCAAGTAGTACTTAAAACTTTCCACTTTGATCATCATCCTGAAATAAGGAACTTTATTTTATTTTCTTTATGTACTTTTATTTAATCCACTCTCAGAATTTACTTGTGATTTTTATAATGGTATCCTTACAAATTGCACAATAAGAAAGTGATCAGAAAAATCCCATCCAAAAAATGGAAATAAACTAATGATTTGAACAGTGTTAGAAGGGAGGCTGAGCCTAGATGTTGGATGTGGGTTGAGTATAACAGGAAAAAAAAAAAAAAAGCTGCAGGAAATCAGAATGAGAGCAGACATCAGAAGTTGAAGTAGGAAGAAAGTGATTAAACATTCTGCAGGATAATTTTGGTACCATCTTGGAGTTCAGTTGATATAAATAAATATGAGAGCCTTCAGTAATTATTATTATCATCATTACTGTACTCTTCCAGGAAATTATAGCTTATTTAGTTCTTTATTCTTCATATTAATGAAGTGAAGTTTCATGACAACCCACTAAGAAAATAAAAAAGAAAATAATAAATCAGCCTGCGATTCTTAAAAGCTTAATGAAATCCAAACACTTCCCAATGGAAGATGACTCAGTGACACAGAATTGGCAGTAGTTTGTAGTTAGATCATTGGTTTTTATTGGAATATTTCCGATTTTAAGGAGGCATCTGTAGAACCTTCCTTCCTCTCATAGTCTGCTTGGATTTATTTAAAGAGACCTGGATTTGAGTCATCAACTGGAAAAAAACAGTAGAAATATCCCTTAATTGCTTAACTACATTTTTCCAATGGGTGTTAAATTATGGTAGTTTGAATTTAAAATACAGACTAGTCCCATTCAAACAGCTTTTTTGGCACTAATAAAAAGGAGGATGAACAGCCCACCAATCTCAAACCTCTGTAAGGGGTGCACAACAAGATTTGTAATTACGACTTTGCCATCCCCAGAGTTTGGTGAAGAAAATGTTACCTTTGCGTACATGCTCATTTTATCCCCTTGTCCTGGCTGCTCTTTAGGAAATGAAAGCTTTGAAAATGGGCTGCTAGTGCTTCTACATCTGGAAATATCTTCAAATGGGCAACACCTTGTCTGTTTGAGGGGATTTTTCTCTGTTAGCTGGCCCATTAGTGAGTCAGAAATAACTCTGGCTCTATGCAGGTGGTGGACCTACTATACTTCGCTTTTGCAACCCAAGAACAGCTATTTTATCATATTGAGCTAGATGTCCCTTATACCAATTCTCCCCCTAAAAATAATTTTTGAAAAGATTTTCTTTATCAAGAACTTAGAATATGTCATAAATGATCTTATTTAAGCTGTACAACAACCCTGTGAATGCCAATTTATCCATTCAACACTTTCTGTTAAAACTAGACAGGCACTGTCTAAACACTCAGAATATGGTGATGGGCAAGACAGCTAGAGCCCCTCAATAAACCCACATTTCAGGAATTTGGATGTGCAAATTACAATGAAACCAAAGGAAACTATTATAAACTGTGACAAGTGTTATAAGACAGAAAATAATAGGAGAGGTTAGTAAGATCCCCTCTCAAAAGGTAATGGTTAAGTTGATTCAAAAGATAAGGAAGTCCTCATGAAGCCCATGGGTGAGAGGGGAAGAGCTTTCCCAGCTTGACGGTGAAGGTTTGCAAATGTCCTGAGGTGGAAAAGAGCTCAGTATATTTAAGGAGCCTAAAGAAGACCTGTTCAGTTTTAGTAAAAATAGCAAAGAGAGAATTGTTACAAGATGAAACACAATTTTTATTTTCGGCAAGTAGTCTGGCACTTATTGATAGATTGGTGTATTAGTCAGTGTTCTCCAGAGAAAAAGAACCAATAGGAGATGACAAATAGGTAGATAGATAGATAGATGATAGATAGATAGATAGATAGATAGATAGATAGATAGATAGATAGACTAGAAGGGATTTATTATGGAAATTGGCTCATGTAATTATGGAGACTGAGAAGTCCTATGATATGCCATCTGCACACTGGCGAACCAGGAGAGCCAGTAGCAGAGCTCCATCTAAGCCTGAAGACCTAAGAACCAGGGGAACTGATGTTATAACTCTTAGTCTGGGGCCAAAGGCCTGAGAATCTGGGTGAACTGCTGTCCCAGAGTACAAAGGTCAGAGAACCTGGAGTCCTGATGTCCAAGGGCAAGAGAAGATGGGTATTCCAGTTCCAGAAGAAAGAGAGAATTCACCTTTTCTCTGCCTTTTTGTTTTATCTGAGCCCTCAATGAATCGAATAGTACTTATCCACATTGGGTGAGGGCAGGTCTTTCTTACTCAAGCCACTGACTCAAATGCCAGTCTCTCCCAGAAACACCCTCACAGATACACCCAGAAATAATGCTTTACCAGCTCTCTGGGTATGCCTTAGCCCAGTCAAGCTGACAAGTAAAATTAACCACCACAAGTAGGGAATGGAAGCTCAGATAAATAAAGCAGTATCCTCAAGACTGAGTAACTAGTAATACCTCAAGGCTCCTAAACCAGCTCTGTTTGATTCCAACATTTTCTACAAAGCTATAACTAGTTATAGCTTTTTAGAGTAGATGGCCTAGTTTGGCATTACTTAAAATCAAAACTCACCCAGCAGTGATCCCTGTCGGCAAAGTGAGGCTTCCTAATTGCTACCCTGCGGAAGTGCCAATGGCCTCCATTTTGGGTTAGCTGCCTGAGAAGGCTGTCTACCACATGATGCAGGATGCGAGCTATCTGTGTTTTCAGTGGGGCTGAAGATATTATGGTATAAAATTTTACACTTCACAGTCCAAACTCATCAAGTATGTGATGTGATCATTAAGGAATATTAAGTCATTCGTGGGTAGGCCTTTAGTAGTTATTGAGTGGTACTATTTTTCTATTTATTAATGAAAATTATGTGTGTATGATCATATGTGAATATCTGTAAATACTTACACACAAAAACACCATCCAATATTATCTTCGTTTTGAACCACAAACACACGATGTATCTTTAAAAAGATACATTCAATCATAAAAAAGTTTAAAAATAAGATATTAAATTCCAATTTATTTAAATTTTTATCAAAGATCTATTTCTGTTTGCTAAAGGTAGGGAGTCTAAATATTAAGCCAATCAACTTATAGATGTTAATTTATTAAATATTCTCAATAATTCTATGCTGTGACACTTAGAATGTCTGTTTTACAGGTGAAGAAACAGGTTCAGTGGGGTTCAGTCCCCTGTTCCACCTCACAGAGCTAGGCAGGATCAGAATTCAAGTCTCCTTTGCACCTCACTCTGCTGATTTCCCCAAGACTTTTAAAAATTATTTTCCTCTTTTAGGGGAACTATTACACTGATGATGCATATTTACACTCCCATATTTCAAAGCTATTATCTCCTCACTGGCTCATGTCTAATGAATTATAAATATTTCTGAGAACTATTTTCAGATTGAAGGAAGAAGTCATTTGGGTCTTTTATCTAAACTTTCACCTGCCTTTAGAAATTAATTGCCTAGGATATGCCAATTTTCCTTCTTTCATCAGCCGCAAGATGTAAAAATGTCTCTTAACTCAATGCTTTTTTAGTGGAAGAAGGGAGAAAGGTGGCAAACTAGCATTCCCCTTTGAGTTGAATCATTTGAACTACATGTACCGATATGTGGCTTTGATTCCTCCATCAGAAATACAACACATTTCATTATATTTTCATGATGACAGCACTGAAAAAAATAGTAAGAGTTTCCTCTTTCTGGCCATTTATCTGTAACTGGTATTTTGTGTAGTATGTTTAAGAGAGAAGAATGTTTAAGAAGGAAAAGACTAGAAAAGTTATTTTATAATTTATCAATATACAAAGCTGACATCTCAAATTTTACAACAATCACCAAAAAAGGCATGCTGTTACTGAATTGTCAGAAGTATTTGTGTGTGTGTGTGTGTGTGTTTGTGTGTGTGTGTAGGCCACCACTTGAACTCTAAGATCAGAGATTTCCTTGTAGATTAAAAGAAGCCCAAGGATCAAAAAGAAGAGATGTAGTTTTTATACTCTGCTCACAGTCAAGACATGCATGAGATTAGTCATATTTGAATATTAGTGTTTTGAGTTAAGCAGTACTACCAGATTTGGCATTGTTGGTCTAGACTAATTGGGATATACTTTAAAAACAGATGTTCTACGGCGGCATTTTACTCTCTTCCAGTAACACATTTTAGGAAGAAGCTCATGTTTATCTTACCTAACTTCTGTCCACCCACCAGAAGATAGATCCTCTCAGAGACCTATGTCCTCCCAGCTACACCACTGAAGTGAGAGCTGGGGTGGAGAATTTAACAACATGACTCAGGGGCAAAACTAGTGTTTGTAACTGACCACAAGGCTTCCAACGAGTGGTCATGGGAAAGAACCTTATAAATGGAAAGAACAAAGGGTGCAAGTTTCACTAAATGTGAACCCAAATCCAGGCTGCTCAAATTTTAAATAAAATGGAATGGACTTCTCCAATGAATGTAATACAAAACCAAAGACCAGATGTTCTAATTTTAAAAACAGGGTTGGGGAAAGATAAATAAGCTTTGATACCATTGTGGAGAGAAGCCATATATAATATGGGCTCTGGCTGACTGAGAAAAGGAATACCCAGCTGAATATCCCAGGGTAGAGCAGAGTATAATGGTGTCATTAGGTCCCTTGAGTTATTGGGAAGAAAACCTATGTTTACAGCCAAATGCCCATAGCTTTATGGCAATAATGGATAGAGAGAATTATAGACATTTATATTTGAGAGGGGTCTTGCCCTGTCATCTCTTCTATCTCTTTTATAGTATCCCAATAGGTGAACATACAATTTTTCCTTCAGAGGGGTCAGAAATCATGTTCATCCCTCACAAGGCAGCCCTTTCTTGGCCGTACAGTTGTAGTTGTTAGAATGCTCTTCACTAGTCTGAGTAAAAATATACATATCCATTGTTCATAGTATTGATGTATGAAATCCGAAAGCAAAAATTTACATATACTTCTGTAAAACATAATAGCTACTCTAATATTTGAATATGTTTATCACATCTTTAGTCTTTGCTTCTCCAAATGTTATTCAAACATTACTCATCTGACATGCTTCCTATTTCACAGTCTCTTTTGCCTTCCCTTGAATGTTCTCTAATTTGTTAGTATTACCTTGATGCCTTCACACTCAGAATTGAACACTGTATTCTAGCTAAGCCAAAGGATACAAGAGGCAGGGGATGCTCAAGGCTGTATTTTCCTTTCGTATCTTATTAGAGGTAATGTCAGAGTTAACTACACCAAATCTGGACCTTATGTCTAAAAATGTAGGTTCTTCAACAATTCAATTAGTTTTAGATCCCTGTGACTAGTGATAGGGCCACAAGACAGAGGGCAATGCTCAAGACCTTGAAGGAAGTACAAATATTTCACCCCAAAATATACTTCTTTACTTATTTCAAGATGGCTGTTCAGAGCGCCTGCAAACAGAAGTAGCCCTGCAAAGCTGTCTTTTGTAGGGGTGTGGAGGAAGGGCAGAGGGGTTGATTTGCATCTGTAAAGAATCTGTATTGATGCAGCCAGGCTATCTCTGAGGGCTTCCCTTGTCCAGATCTAGGAAAGATTAACTGAGAGTTCGACACCTTTGAAGGTCTGAAAAAAACATTTATCATCTAGTCTCTCTAAAGGCTGCTGTCTGTGAGGTTTCATCTACATATGAAGAGACTTCAAAAAGTTCTTGGAAAAATGGACTTCAAAGATAAAAATTAAAAGTGTAAACTTTCTTACTCAACATAAGACACATCAAGGTTAAGACACTTGCAAGCAATGATACCAGCCATTTAGTCCATTCCTAAAGAACTGAAGATCCTGGGAATTTCACCGTGTCAATGGAGTCCTTTTTCTGTCATTAACTGAAGAAAACTGGACACCCTTTGCAGATTCTTTTAAGATAAGGAAACAAAAAGATCTCAGAAGTAGCCAAACTGGGACTGTAAGGTGGATGCCTAATAATTTCCATCAAAACTCTCACAAAAATGCACTTGTTTGATGAGAGGAATAAGCAGGAGCATCACTGTGGAGAAGGACTCTCTGGTGAAGCTTTCCTAGGCATTTTTCTGCTAATGCTTTGCCTTATTTTCTCAAACACTCTCATAATAAGCAGATGTTGTTGTTATTTGGCTCTCCAGAAAGTCAACAAGGAAACTGCCTTGAGCATCCCAAAAGACCACTGCCATGGCCTTTGCCCTTGACCAGTCCAGTTGTGCTTTGACTGGGCCACTTCTACTTTAGTAGCCATTGCTTTGCTTCTGCTTTGTCTTCTAGATGGTCCTGGTAAGGACGTTTCCATCTCCTGCTACAATTCTTTGAAGAAATGCTTCAGGTTCTTGACCCCACATGTTTAACATTTCCATTGAAGGCTAGGTGTGGTGACTCATGCCTGCAATCCCACACTTTGGGAGCCTGAGGTGGGTGGATCACTTGAGGTCGGGAGCTCGAGACCAGCCTGGCCAACACGGTGAAACCCTGTCTCTACTAAAATTACAGAAATTAACCTGGCATGGTGTCGCACACCTGTAGTACCAGCTACTCGAGAGGCTGAGGCAGGAGAATAGTTTGAACCACAGAGGCAGAGGCCACAATAAGCCAAGATCACACCACTGCACTCCAGCCTGGGTGACAAAGCAAGACTTAGTCTCAAAAGATATATATTTTTTCATCGAAATCTCTGCTCTTGTCTGCAGCTAATCTGGGTGTAATGGTTTTGGCACCCACTGAGAGGAAAGTTTGCTGAACTTTAATTTTTAAGTCAGAATTGTGTAAGCAGAGTCAACTGAGATGTCTGTGGTATTGGCTGTTGTTTATGTTGTTAACACAACACAAACTTAGAGCACAAACAACATTAATTTTCTTCACTTAGGGCACAAACAAGATTAATTTTTTCCTTGCAAATTGATGTTGATGGTCTACTTTTGGCTTCATCTTCAACATCATCTCATCCCTTTTTAAAATGAGTTATCCATTTGTAAACTGTTGATTTCTTAGGGGCATTATCTCTATAAATTTGTTGTACAGAATCAATGATTTCACCATTCTTCCACTAAAGCATCACCATGAATTCATTGTTTGTTCTTTCTTCAATTTTAGCAGAATTCATGTTGCTCTAATAAGGGTTCCTTTCAAACTGATTCTTTATTCTTCTTAGTGCCTCAAACTAGAGCCTGTTCAGTCAGAACATGTTATAACAAGTTAGTGTGAGTTTACTTTGGTGCAAAAACGATTAAAACCCATGTAAAGTGTTTTCATAATACACATTTTTCATGAACTTTTTGGGTCCCCTCATAACAAGACCACCTTTGCTAGCCAGGCCTCCTCTTCTCTCCCTCCTATAACCTGTCTTGCCACCATAACGTGATAACCTGATTTTGGCCATGCTCTGAGCCCTCATTATTTCTGTAACCTCAAGATGATATATAAGCTTTTGTACCCCAATGAGGGATTGGGATAATCACTTTGCGGTTCTCCCCGTGCATGTTAATATATTTACATGGCTTTTCTCCTATCAGTCTGCCTTTAGTCAGTTGATTTTCCAGCAAACCTTCAGAGGGTAAAGGGGGAGTTTTTTCCTTGGCCCTAGTACTTCACTCCTGGATTCTCAAAAAGTTACCACGTAACTGTGGTGGAATGATGGAGTTATTAGATAGAGATGAAAAGAATGTTCTGGCTATTCTATAATCTTATTTAGAATACAAATTTTTTCCCCATAGTAATTTCTAATAACAGCCTTTTATATTACCTGTTTTGTAACTTTATGAGTTAAAATAGTTGTCCTTGTTTGTAAGGCACGTATCATGAATGGAGCTTCCAAAACTGGAAGTTGCTCTGGGTGAGTCAGTGAGTGGGTGGTGAGTGAATGTGAAGGCCTAGGACGTTACTATACACTACTATAGACTTTATGAATACTCTACACTTAGGCTATAGTAAATTTATTAAAAATAGTTTTATCTCTTCAATAATAAATTAACCTTAGCTTAGTACAACTTTTTTACTTCATAAACTTTTTAGATTTTTTTTAACTTTTTGAGTCTTTTGTGATAACATTTAGCTGAAAACACAAACACATTGTATAGCTGTACGAAAATATTTTCTTTGTTTATATCCTTATTCTATACGTTTTTCCCTCTTTTTAATTTTTAATTTAAAAATTTTTTTAGAGAGACACGGTCTCACTTCATTGTCCAGGCTGGAGTGTGGTGGCATGATCATAGCTCACTGTAATCTTGAGCTCAAGTGATCCTCTCTCCTCAGCTCCCGAGTAGCTGGGACTAAGGGTGTGCACCACCATGCCCAGCTAAGTTTTAAATTTTTTGTAGAGATGGAGTTTGGTTGTGTTGCCCAGGCTGGTCATGAACTTCTGGCCTCAGGTGATCCTCCTGCCTTGGCCTCCCCAGGTGTTGAGATTATAGGCATGAGCCACCATGTCTGGTCTCTACAAGCTTTTCTATTTAAAAAAGCTTTCATTTTTACTTTTTAAAACTTTTATATTAAAAACTAAGGCACAAACACATATATTAGTCGAGGCCTACACAGGATCAGGATTATCAAAAATCACTGTATTCCACTTCCATATTGTGTCTTACCAGAAGGTCTTCAGGGGCAATAACATGCATGGAACTGTCATCTATCTTCTTCTTTTTTTTTTTTTTTTTTTTGAGACATAGTTTCGCTCCTGTCACCCAGGCTGGAGTGCAATGGCACGATCTTGGCTCACTGCAACCTCCACCTCCCAGATTCAGGCGATTTTCCTGCCTCTCAGCCTCCCGAATAGCTGGGTTTACAGACACCAGCCACCACGCCTGGTTAATTTTTTTGTATTTTTAGTAGAGACAAGGTTTCACCATGTTGGCCAAGCTGGTCTTGAACTCCTGACCTCAGGTTATCAACCCACCTTGGCCTCCCAAAGTGCTGGGATTATAGGTGTGAGCCACCGCACCTGGCCAGAACTGTCATCTTCTATGACAAAAATGTCTGCTTCTGGAAGAACCTGTCTGAGGTTGTTTTACAGTTAACTTAAAAAATATATAACTAGAAAGGGTATACTTTAAAATAATATAAAAAAGTAGAGTATACTATAGTAAATCCATAAACCAGTAACATAGTTATTTATTAACATTATCAAGTATTATGTACTATACATAATTGTAGGACCTATACTTTTTTTTTTTTTTTTTTTGAGACAAAAATCTCACTCTGTCACCCAGATTGGAGTACAGTGGTGCCATCTTGGCTCACTGCAACCTCTGCTTCCCAGGTTCAAGCAATTCTCCTGCCTCAACCTTCTGAGGAGCTGGGACTACAGGCGTCTGCCACCACACCTGGCTAATTTTTGTATTTTTAGTAGAGACGGGGTTTTGCCATGTTGGCCAGGTTAGTCTCCAACTCCTGACCTCAAGTGATTTGCCCACCTCAGCCTCCCAAAGTGCTGGGATTACAGGCATGAGACACCGCACCTGGCCCCCCTGTCCTCTACTTTTATATGATTGGTAGCATAGTAGGTTTGCTTACACCAGCATTACGACAATCACATGAGTAATGTTTTTCACTACAACATTATGATGGCTACAGCATCACTAGGCAATAAGAATTTTTCAGCTCCATTACAATCTTATGGGACCACTGTCATACATGTGGTCTGTCATTGACCAAAATGTTGTTATACAATGCATGACTATATATATATATATATATATATTCTGTTTCTTATTAGGAACACTTAGGCTTTGTTATACCTTGCCCAGGAGTAATAGTAAAAAACCTATTAGTTACATAAGCTTCTTGCTAAATTATTACCTGGTGGTATCAAGGGACTTCCAGGGGCTATGTAAAGGTCACCCCCAACATATGGAGGAACTAATGCAGATTACCATGTGACTATCAACCACCAAATCTAGGCAAGCCTCCAATACCCAATACTTGTGTAATTAATTTTAGAAACTAAGTGTTCCTATTTATCCCAGGCTGCCTTCATTTTGTTTATTTCAATCTAGTTTTCTGGTCTCTGAAGAGTATTTTGAATTTTAACTCTATTACATTGAGTATTAAATACCTGTCTTGAGATTTGAATTCTCTGAAAGTTTGGTAAACGTTTGTCCTCATTCAAATGTAACAGAATAGCGTCAAAGACAATGTCTTAAAGCTCTCTTTCAGGCTGACACAGGTGCACAGCTCCTCACTTTGTGTTGTGCAGGTTACATTTAACCTCAATGATACTTGAAGAACTGGCAAGAAAGTTGCCTTGCTCCTAACTCACCTGAGTGTTGACTTAGAGTTCCTTAAGTTTCCCATTTACTTAGATCAAAATATGTTTCAATGGTCAACTGATTTCCAACAAGAGTGGCAAGATAATTCATGGGGAAAGAATAGTCTTTTCAATAAATGGTGCTGAGACAACTGGACATTCACATGCAAAAGAATAGAATTTTCACTCTCACACTCCCCCCCAAAAAAAATTAACACAAAATAGATCAGAGACTCGAATGTAAGAGTTAAATCTATAAAATTATCAGAAGGAAACACAGGCATAAGTCTTTGTGACTTTCGGTTAAACAATGAATACTTACACAAAAAAATACAAAAACAGATGAAATTTTTTTAAAAAATTGAACTTTGTCAAAATTAAAAACTTTTGTGCTACAAAGGGCCCTATCAAGTAGGTGAAAAGATAATACACAGAAGGAAAGAAACTTTTTTCAAAGTATATTGCAAAAAAAGAATAAGGTACTGATTGATAGCACTGATACAGGCTACTACTTGGATGAACTTTGAAAATAGTGTTCTGAGTAAAAAAAGCCAGTCACAAAAGACCACATAGTAGGTTGGTGCAAAAGTAACTGCAGTTGTTGCAGTTACTAATTGCACCTAATATTTTATAATTTTATTTAGTTTAAATGTCCAGAATAGCCAAATCTATAGAGACGAAAGTAGATTAGTAGTTTCCTGGGCTCATGGGGAAGGAAGAATAGGATATGACTATTAAATGGGTACAAAGTTTCTTTTATGAATGATAGAAATGTTCTAAAATGGACAGTGGTGATAACCACACAACTCTGTAAATATATTAAAAAGCATGGAGTTGCATACTTTAACAAGGTAAAATTATATGGTATATGAATTGTATCTCAATATACAATTATATTTTACAATCTAGAACAGTGTTTTTTTCAGTGAGGAAAAATATAGATTGATTGGGTTACTTAGCTATGTAACCCCTGAAAGTCTCAATTTTCAAAGAAGAGATTGAAAAAGTTGAATTCCAGAAGCCATTGGTCAGTATCCTTTCTATAATTCCAGAATAGAGAGTTTACAAACATTTCAGAAAAAAATGTGGTACACATTAAAAGCCAGTGTGGGTCCATGTTGTATCAATGCCATTTCCCTTTTGACAGATTTGGGAGATCGGAAGAGTAGTGTAGACATAATGCATTTTGACTTCAACTCATAGGATTCTAGAATGCTAAAAATATTTTAAAGATGAAATTTTTCTGCTTGAAGAACATCTCGTTCTAGATAATACATTCGTAAATACTGGAAAAGAGCCATGGACTCTGCCTAATCAGGAGAAATTGTTATGGTTTCCCCAGTTAACTAGAATATGTGTGGCCTACAAAAAGCTGATGGGAGACTTGGATTGACGTAGGTGTAAGACTTGCATCTTTACCAGACATCACCTTTGTTTCTGAAGTCACTTAGTAGGTGACATCACTAATAATGAACACCATTAAAACAGAACATAAATCTGCCTATAATAGGCCATATGAAGCTGTTATCAAAACCACAGTCCCAGAAATCAGCTTCGAGAGAAAGTATTATCAGAGAGTTTTTACCTGGATGTTTTCCTCTTATTCTCTTTCTGTCTCTGATACTGCAGTATGCATTGAGTGTAAACAAAAAAAGGAGCAAAAACAAAAGCAAAATGAACAAAATCCTGGATATAGACTATCACAACTCTCAGCCACAGGGAAGAGTGGGTCCTGTAGTGAGGTGCTGGAACTGGCTTACCCTGACTTGCAAGAGCCACTTGTACTCATCTTTTCCTCACCCTGTGTTCAGTGAAATCATTTTAGTAGCTTGAAATTATCTATGGTGGGAAGATTTACACCACAAAAATTGGCAAATTCTACAAATTTGGACTTTATTGCCCCTGGAGAGCCAGTTGTTAAGCATTTACCAGAACACCCCTTGCAAGTCTTTCGAGGTGGCTAAGGACACACAGAGCAACAGATGACATATGGTCTCTGAATGTAAACAGCATGCGAGTCATGGCACAAAGACACCAAATGAGAGCTGTACTAATAATACATGCCACTTTAAGCAACACCCATATTCATGATGGAGAACACTGGCTTAGAGTCAAGATTAAAAGAAATGTACCCATACTTTTAATTAAACAATAACAACATCCAAGTTATATGCAAGGTACGTATTTGGGTGAAGTAGCTTGTCTTTTGATGTATAATTACAGCAACCATCGCATTTGTTAAATGTTTGAAATTCCTTAATTTCCTAGAAACAACTTTGCACGGTCATAAAATTCAAGAATTCATTTGCCTTAATTTTTCAGGTTTTCTCCTTTGCCTCTGACTCACGGTGGCAGGCAGAACACTGTGTAGCTAATAAGAGAACTTTCTTTATAAATCCTAAGTACATAAGTGAAACAATGTTTGGGTTAGTAAAAATAATTAGAATAGACATGTAAAGCATATATTACTCAAAATAGATTGTTGAGAAGACTGAAAGTAGATTTAGGTGGGCATGTGCTTATACCTATGTACACTGTGGCCAAGAATTCCAATGGAAAAGCCAACATCAGTAGAATTGGATTTTGTTTCCCCAAACTCAAAGTCAGAAACAGCATGATCTGCTCTCTGTGAACAAACAGCATCCGAAGACTTCTATCCTAGAAAAGCAACATCTGTTTTAAGAAATCCTTTGAAGGAAAAACATATAAACATGTGGGAATGGCGTGGTATATACACTCCCTCGCTTAAGGAGTTGCCAGAAGAAGCAGGGAATCAAACCCCCAAGACAGAGGCCATTCAGTTATTTTGGCCAAGGCAGCACCAATTCCAGCCTCTCTGATGTTTAACACATCAAGAAAATGGAGGGAAATAAGGTTATGGCTGGAATCAATCTTGCCAGTTTCCTGGCATGATATCAAAGGTTGCTTAGTTGTACCTTTGCATATGAAAAATTAAAATTTGGAGGGAAAATTGAGGGAAAGGATTCGAAAGTTCACTTGAATCTTCCATGCAAAAATCTGTCCTCACAGGTAAACAACAAGAAAGTTTATCAGGTCTAACATTGCATCAAATCTTCTAAGCCAGGGGTTCTCAACCTAGGGTCCTTGGATAGAATTCAGAGAGTCTGTGAATTTGGAATTTAAAAAGAAACATCTTTATTTTCCCTAACCTCAGATGAAATTACTATTTGCTTCCATTATAAATGTAAGCGACAAACCACAGGGACTCTTACTGTGATTCATCGGGAATAGAAATCACAGATTTTTTTTATTATTATACTTTAAGTTCTAGGGTACATGTGCACAATGTGCAGGTTTGTTACATATGTATACATCTGCATGTTGGTGTGCTGCACCCATTAAGTCGTCATTTACATGAGGTATATCTCCTAACGCTATCCCTCCCCCCTCCCCCAATGCCACCGCAGGCCCCGATGTGTGATGTTCCCCTTCCTGTGTCCAAGTGTTCTCATTGTTCAATTCCCACCTGTGATTGAGAACATGCGGTGTTCGGTTTTCTGTCCTTGCGATAGATTTTTATATCACATTGCAATAGTTGCAATATCTTCAAATACCACTTATCGTCATCACTATTTTGAAATTATCATAGTTTTTAAACTTCCCACCATTCCTTATTAGTTAAGTATTAATAAAGTACATACATCATCATGTAAAAAAATTGGTGCTTTGATGTTTTGAAAACTATACTTCAGTGTAATTAGCTTCCCTTATGACTCTGTCATTCTGTGTGTTTTGTTTTATATTTATTTAAGACAGGGTCTCACTCTGTCACCCAGGCTGGAGTGCAGTGGCATAATCTTGGCTCACTGCAACCTCTGCTTGCTGGGCTCAAGCGATCCTCCCGCCTCAGCCCCGCAAGTAGCCAGGATTACAGGTATGAACAACCATGCCCAGCTAATTTTTTTGTAGAGATGAGATTTCACCATGTTTCCCAGGCTGGTGTTAAACTTCTGAGTTCAAGCAATCCACCCGCCTCTGCCTCCCAAAATGCTAGGATTGCAGGCCTGAGCCACCAATACCAGCCTGTTTTATTTTAATCTTTAAAAAATATCGTTGTGAAAAGAGGTCCATAGGCTCCCCTAGATGGGCAAAGGGGTCGATGGTGCAGAAGTTAAGAACCACTGTAATCAGAAGTGAGGACCCCTGGGGGCTATAAAGTCTTTCCTGAAGGTCATCCTTCCCCATATTAGAAGGAAGAAAAAAGCAAGAGTCTTGCCATACCCAGTTTCAGTTATAATCTCATTTAAAGGCTGAAGATAAAGGTTATCTATACAACACTTCCACTCTTAAAAAGAAAGGAAAAATGAAATAAAAACAGCAACAATCTAAATCCTCAAGGAAGTGAATGCGTGAAGGAATAGAAAGACCATTTTAAAGTGTGACACCTTTCGTTTTAGGACTGATTAGATAATACCAGGTCATGGAGTGCATGCCAGAGGTGGAACTAGGGATATGAATTATCTGAGGCTAGGACTGTGAGCAGGAAGCCAGGACAGCCCTGTGGCTTGTTGACTTTGCTATTACTATACCTTCTTGTGTGATCTTGAACAACTGACACAACCTCACATGATTTAGCTTTTCCATTTTCTTGGCCCCATATTCTATTCAGCTGGCTGTGCAGAAGTCCCAAGATAAACAGCTTGCTAAAAGAGAGACAGCATGGATGATTTTATAAAGGAAAGACAATGCCAAGGATCTGCTTCCAGGCCATCAATGACGGCTCCACTCCTCGCTTCAGTCCCACCCGTAGTCCTACATTTATTCCTGGTTTCACTCTAGTTCAATTTTCCACTTGTTGTTGGTCCACTGTTTGCAGCAGTCAGAGAACCTAGCTCTACCTCAAAAAGCCATCCCATGTGTCGCACTGAAGGAAGAACGTTTGTCTTCACTGTCCTCGTTGTCCTTACAACATTGCTTTCCTCACTGGGACCTTCATTTTCTTCCTAATAACACATAACTGCCTGCCCCCTGCCCCCATAAAACCATCCATTTATACTGGCGTGCAGCTGTGTTTCCAAACCTGAAAAATGCCAGAACCTTCTTTAAATTAAAAAGTTCTCACTTCCCCCAAAATGGATGTCTTACAATTGCCAATTACCAGTGCAAAAGAGTTCTGACTTTATAATTAATAAAAATATTGTATTATCACAGGGATAAAAATACGAAGCTATATAAAGAATATACAAGAGAATTCACGTGGGTCTGCAGACTTCTGTTTGAGAAATACCAGTATGCAGCTTTAAGTGTTGTCTTTCAATGATTATTTGAATTTTGACAAAGATTAAAGTTGTAAGCAAATAGAATGAAGCTTAGATAATGGGATTTTGCCATTAGGAAGTGAGTAGGAAGAAGCAGTGATGAACTAAAGTTCTTCTAAACAGTTCCAGAATTACATGTTAATTACCGATGTGTCTAAGGCTGGCCTTGCTGAACTTTCCGATTGAAGCAACGCAAGGTAACTTTTAAAGTAAGCCTACCATATTGAATTGAAAGAGACCAGAGGCCTCCTTAGCTACCTCAAGGTCATGACAATTATAGTATCTGTTCCCTCAAGAGCAAATTTAGGGTAGTCAGCAAGATTCCTGTTGTGTCAATCTGGCACTTACTTTATTTTTAAAGATAATTTTCAGGTTATCCATGAAATCTTTGGGAATAACTTCTGAAATCATTGACCAGAAATCAACCATCTTATCCACGGTTCACATTTTAAAAACTGGCTTGGAAATTCTTCCTGGAATAATCCTGGTCATCACATTTTCCACCATGCCTTTCAGCAGGAATAAAGTGGTTTTTCTATAAGCTTGCTTCCCATACATTTACATGTTTTTTTCCATTTTCAGGCATAAAACCATTTTTCCCCATCAAACTATTTGTATTAACTGGATTTCCACCCGTAGGCACAGGAAAATGTAAGGCTAAGCACAAGTGGTAAAGCCTTCCAAGCATAGTAAAGAGAAGAAACGAAGGCCACAGTCAGAGAAACAGGAGTTGTAAAGATAAGACTTCTGGGCCCATCATACTCACTTCTGAACATGTTTCTGCCTGGCTGTCTGGAATCTATGCTGATCTACCGACTATGTATGTGGGATTGGTGTACTTGTTTACACTCAGCTATACCTCTCAAACCTTGCCCGCACTCCTATTTTATGATGAAAATAAAGCTTTTTGCATTCAGGTAACTAAAACTATCAGGCAGGCAGGCAGACCAAAGCCAATTTATTTATCCCACTCAACAGATGGACATAAACCAACAGGTATTGGAAAGAGACCATTGCTCATACAGCAGCCTTGCATGGCTTTTAAGATCCTGAGTTGTACCTCCTATCACAAGCCAGGGCGAAGGAGGCGCTGGCTCCCAAGGTTCTGCCGGAAGGTAGCCACGTCCTCAGCCCTGCCACCAACCCATCCTAGCAGCTGGGGCTTCTGGGTGGTCAGCCAGCAGTACCTGCCCACTGTGAAGGTAGGCAAGGCATAGGTAACTGTGGTATCAAACAGTAATAAGTCATAGATTTGTGGGCTCTCATTGCTGAAAAATCCACTATCCCTCTCGGGATTAGAATGAAGTTGGTATCAGAGTTTGGGCGTCAACTGGCATATGACCACATGGTTTAAACTATTTATCCTTGCTTACCAGAATCACTTCACTTTTAAAATCCAGTTATTTTGGATCCCAAAGGGATGTATGCGTGTTCTTCACAAATTTAGGTTCTGAAATGTTTTGAATTCCATCAACTCCTTCTAAAATGTAATAACTTATATTCACACATTTTTTTTCCTGCAAGTACCTGAAAGGTAAAACATTTTTTCTAACCACGAATCCTTTACTTGTAAAGAGCATGTTTAATGGGCACTTAAATCTACCTATTTTGCCTTCATTCAGATTCATTGCTTTTTACACATCAACACAGAATCCGGTGAGAGTCATAACATCAAAGAAACCTTTACACTTGTAAGTGTTTTGGGCTTAAATTAAGTTGTGCCAAAGGTAAACTAATTTGAACCCATAAAGCTTTACTTGAGAAGAAAGTAAAATCTCATACTTTTTTTTCTTGGTTCAGTGAACTGTTTATTTTCTTCAATTAAAGTGCATTCTACCCCCCTTTACCCCTTTCTCAACTATGTTGCCAAACACATCCTAATAGTAAATCTATTAATCTATAAATTATGTATAAATACAAATGTTGATATAAATATTAGAATAAATATAAATAATATAAGAAATCTTCATTTACCTATCACCCAGCTTCAACAATTAACAATGCGCTGCCATTTTGTTTGATCCATGCCCAGTAACTTCATTTTTTTTCTCAGTATTTAAAGCAAATCCCAGGCACCATTCTATTTTTCCCATCAGGATAGATGTATCTCTCAGTATTAAGAACTTCCTTTTTCAAAACATAATCACAATACTAGCAACATGTCCAACAATAATTCCTTGAAATCATTTAATGTTTAGTCTATGTTAATTTTGCTTTTATTGTTTCAAATATGTCTTTTATTGATTTATTTTCATCAGGATCTAAACAAGGAACACACATTGAATTTCACCCTTATGTCTCCTAGAATCTTATCTATAATATTTTCCCCTTCCTTTATTTTACTTTGCCCATGCTGTTAAAAGGTAAACTAAGGCATAAAATAATTTTAAAGAGTATACTTGAACAAACAACAATTCATAAATGAGGCAGCTTCAAACTGTAAGTGCTTTGGGGTCTTCCATGAGGGGACACAAGAGAAAGGCTTTTATAGGCTGAACACAGAAATAAAGCAAAGAAAATATGTGATTGGTTACAGTTATACAGCTGCCTTATTTGGTCTGTCCTACTAGAAAGCCCCTAATTATATGTTAGTGTGTGGCTTCTGGTTGATTAGCCTTAAGTTTCATTTTTCTTTAGTACTGGTATTTACAAGAAATAACCCAAGTTAAGTCTTGCTTATCTTTGCAAATCAAGCAAGGTTAAGCTCACTTATGAGGCCTAACTGGCTTTGTCTGCTTGAAGATTCTTCAGGCCTGGACTCATTTTAATTTACTTTAGCAATGCCATTTATTTGTTTAAACAAAAGGGAGAGTGGGATGGAGGGAGCTGTTGGTCCTGTAGGATTTCCCCACATTCTGTAGGATTCTATCTGATTGTATCCTTACGGAGTCATTTAAAATGTTCCCATATCCCATCTATGTTATGTAAACTGGTAATTAGATCTAGTGATTTAATAAAATGCACATTCAGTTTTAAAGGTTGTACTGTATACTTCCTATTGTATTACATCAGAAGGGGCAGAATGTCTGATTATCCCACTTATAATCATGTTAAGACTGATCAGTTGGTTCCAGTGTCATCCTGATCCATCCTTTATTAAACGTCCCATCAACCTTTCACCTAATGGTTTTAAGAACCTTGAATAATAATTGCCTCAATCCATTATTTCTTTAGGAGTTGCAAAATGATGATTGTGTAATTTTATTATTTCTTCTGCATTTGTTGGCTGGAATTCTTCTAAAGAGATTTTTTTCTTATCAACTATTTAGTTATCTTGAAATATAGTGTGTGTACAGGAGAGACAGGCTAAATGCTTATTTTTTTACCTTTTATTTTGATATTTTCAGAATTAGTTATCTTGAAATACAGTGTGTGTACAGGAGAGACAGGCTAAATGCTTATTTTTTTACCTTTTATTTTGATATTTTCAGAATTAGTTGGTGTTGTAGCAACCGTCAATGGCTAATGTTTCATTTTGTTTTATTTATATCATTAAAGACTTATGAAATTTTAAAAATTTAAGAAATTTTAGTTGTTATCTTTATAATGTTCAAATTGTCCCAACTTTGGCCAGTGGAAATCCTTCAAATTGCATCCTACATTCTTTTGGCACAACCCTGTCATCTTTAGTAGCTTTCCTGTCTTCTGTCACATGAACCAGGATTGAGAATATATTTCCAGGCCCAGACTTAGAATTAGCCATTTTTCTAAAAAGCTCTGAATTCTTTGAGTAGAAAAGCATTTATAAAGAGCACAATATGAGTACAAGGCATTTATTGCTACTGAATTGTCACTCTTTTACAACTTTTAAGTGTGCAGGGCAAGGAAATAGGAAAAGTGCATTTTTAGAAAAAAATGAGTTCATGGTGATAATTCAGATTCAAATTGAACATTGTAAGATTTATACTTAAAACGTTTATTTTCTATTTATATATTTTTCACCTGTGCTGAGTGACATTGACTTTTTTGTTTATTCACTTTATCATACCTACCAATGTTATCATTCAAAATGACATACCAGTTTTATTGCTACAATAGGACTATGCGATGCAGTCCTTTTGTCCTTAGATATATCCCACTGAGAATGAAAGGCTGTATTTTAAAGTCACTTGAAATATTACTTATCTATATAGTTATCTCACCAACTTGACATAAAATTCAGTCTATTTGCTTTTTATTTATAAAAATTGTTCTTTTTGTTTAATTTCAGAAAATATTTACGTAATTTCAAATCCACAGCTATAACATATTACAATATATCATACTACCAAGAGACTCTATATCCAAAAACATCTATATCCCCTATTTTTTCTTTTCCTAACAGTAAGCATATTTGTTAGTTTTCAGCTTATCCTTAAATTGCTTTTTTTGAAATCATAAGATACATTTTTATATCTCTTTTTTAATACAAAAGGTAGAACCATGGTGTGAATGTTTGTATTCCCCCCAAATTCATAGGTTGCAACCTAATTTCCAATGTGATGGTATTAAGAGGTAGAGCCTTTGGGAGGTGATTAGGTCATGAAGGCTCCACTCTCATGATTAGGATTAATGCCTTTCTAAAACAGACCTGAGGCAGCTTGTTCGCCGCATCTACCATGTGAGAGCACAGAGAGAAAATGCTATCCAATGGACCCTCGCCAGACACCAAATCTGCCGGCACCTTGACCTTGGACTTATCAGCCTACAGAAACATGGTAAATAAATTTTCTTTTGTTTGTAAACCACCCATTTACGGTACTTTTGTTACAGCAGCCCAAACGGACTAAGACAGGTAGAACTCTATGCATTTGTCTGCACCTTGCTTTCTTAACTTAAACATCCCGGAAAATGATCTATGGCAGCGTATAGAGATCTTTCTCATTCTTTTTTACATCTGCAAAGGACTCTATTTTATAAATGTGCAACTGTTTATTCAACTAGTACCCTACTGACTGGACGTTTGGATTACTTCTAGGCTTTTGCTCTTACAAATGCTCCTCCTTGTCCATACTTCATTTCATATTTTTGCAGTATATCTTTGGGATACTTTCCTAGAAATAAGAATGATGGATCAAAGCGTAGAAAAAATGTAATTTTTCTAGTTATTATTAAACTTCTATCAATAAGGTTTGTGCCATTTTGCATTCTCCCCAGCAATGTATGGGAGTGTCTTTTTTCCTATAGCCATCAATGGAATATTTTGTCAAACTTTTGACTTTTTGCTCAATCCCTTATGTGAGAAATGATATATCAGTGTATTTTTATTTGTATTTCTCTTACCATGAACAAAGTTGACCACCCTTTATATGTTTTGGGGTCATTTTCATTTCTTTATCTGTGAAGGGCCTGCTCATATATTTTACTCACTTTCAATCAAGTAGTTTGAAACTTTGAAACTTAAGTGTTATTAATATGTCAAGGGTATTAAACCTTGGTCTGATAGAAGTTGCAAACATTATTTTTACAATTTGTCATTTGTTTTCTTACTTTACCAGAGGTATTTTTAGCCAAAATTTTTTAATGCAGTCAAATTTACCAATAATTTATAATGTGTTTTTAAGTCATCATTATAAAAAGTTACTAAAGGATTCATCCAAGTCTTCTGAGATTTGTAGGAATTCATTTTTTACTTTTAGATTGCTAATTTATTTGGAATTTATCCTTATGTATGATGTGAAGAATGAGCCCAATTTTATCTTTTAGATTCAGTTATTCAGTAATCCTTAAAAATTTTGTTCTTTTTCCCATTTATTTGAAAAGCTACTTTCGTCATTTAGTCTTATATATGAAATACTATCAAATACTAAATTTCCATATGTAATCAGGTATATTTCTAGATTTTCTATTCTGTTCCAATGGTATATCTGACTAATTTGAATTTTATTTCTCTCTTCTCAAACTTCCTTTTCTGTTTCAGTTGCTAAAGATTCACAATTTCTTTTAAGGTAGGAAGTATGAAAACAAAACGAAATGAAATAAAACAAGAGGCCATAACCATTCTCATGCTAAATAATTGCTCCATCCATACAAACCTTACTACTAAAAGCAATAGTGATTTTTTTTTTTTTTTTTTTAGATGGAGTCTCGCTCTGTTGCCCAGGCTAGAGTGCAGCGGTGCAATCTCAGCTCACCGCAAACTCTGCCTTCTGGGTTCAAACAATTCTTGTGCCTCATCCTGCCAAGTATCTGGGATTATAGGAGTGCACCACCATGCCTGGCTAATTTTTGTATTTTTAGTAGAGATAGGGTTTCACCATGTTGGCCAGGCTGGTCTTGAACTCCCAGCCTCAGGTGATCCTCCCGCCTTGGTCTCCCAAAGTGCTGGGATTACAGGTGTGAGCAACCGTGTCCGGCCAGCAATAGCGATTTTTCAGCATAGAATGATCCTAATTCAAAAACCTCAGAACTATCACTGAGTTATGCTAGTCATGGGATCGTCTCATACATAAATAAGGGCCTAGGAAAATAAATTAAGATTCAATCAAAATTACTCTTCACAACACAGTTCTTTCAGAAATAAAAGTATCCATTGGTTTCCACTTATTTTTATTAAATTTGACCTTCTGTTAAGACTGTTCACAAGCAATATCACTAAAGCTATTTTTAAAATTTTGTTTGCCACTTAAAATTCATTCAATAGCTCTAACTAATCCTACTGAAAAACTGTCTCAATTTGCCTCAAAAATCCTCATACTTTATCCAGAGAGTGAAGACTTGCTCTGTAAAAATCCATACATCAAGGCAACACACTCACCTCATTTATTCTCCTTCTACTATAAGGATTTGTAAGTTCTGAGAATTTTAAATTTATATGTTTTGGAGTTGCTATGTGATACAATTAATGTTTTCAAGAAAAACGCTAGTGTATTCAAAGAAACAGAGAGGCAGGATGGAGAGTCTGGGTGTTTTTTTTAACATTATTTGAAACCAAGTTTAAGATAATCATTTTAAATAGTATTGTTAGAGTGTCCACAGCTAGGCTTTTTTTCCATTTTGTTTTAAGTAAAACAACACACTCATTTAAAATGGACAAGAGGTTTTTAGATGAACATTTATAGAGGATTTGTTTCTACAATTTTCAAATGTTTTTGGATGAACTGTCCTATAACCAGGCACATTACCCACATCAATAAGAAGAGATCTTGACAATCTTGTATGTAACTGATAGGCAAGAAGGAATACTTTCAGGCAGCAGTCATAATTTTTTCCTTGACTGCTAACATCTGCTAGCTAAAGCCTGCACACATCCCCAGAGTGCTGGGGTTTGTAAACATTACTTGATGATGACACCCTGAATATTACGAAAATGTGTCTCTCAATCCACACCCAAAACCCTCCGAAGAACATTTCATATTTTCAGACTGTGGTCAGCAGGCTTTTTGGGGATGATTTGTAGTTTGTTCACTGAAAGTTAAATAGATTCTTTATTAAAAATGAATTCCTGGGCCAAGCTTGCAGGAAACACGGTGGCCATAAGCCACTAGGTCAATGTGGAAGTAAAATGCTATAGAAATAAAGTTGTTTTATCTCCTGATAAGAATTGCTCCAAATTATAAGAATGTATTATTTATGGAAATAAACATATAAATAGCCAGACAGGTATTTATGTGGCTTTTACAGACCTCAAGACTACAAACCACTTTTAGAAGTCAAAAATAAAATTGTAACATTTCTGCCAATTCTCAACATTCATGTAACATTCGTTCTTCTTTTTAGCAACACAGAATATACAGTTTGATGTGAGAAAAAACATGCAACACTTCTAAGGAAGTAAAATTTAAATGCAGAATGAGCATCTGAAAAAAATTATTAGTTTGACAGATTCAGTACTTTTCTGCTAGCTGAAATCAAGGACGGCAAGAAGCAGAGGACATTTGACAGGAAAAGAAATCCCACTCAACCCCCAAAGAGCCTTTCTCTGTAATCAAATACAAAGCCACTGGGATTCATGAGAATGTACTATGTGCATAATGAGCATCCTGAACATAAATTTATCGGTGGACATACTCCCAAATCAAGTAACAAACAAAACTATGAGGCAAATTTCTATCGAAAGGAAGAAACAATGAAAAGAGAAGAGAGAAAAGAGGAGAAAAATGTGAAATTGTCATAAAAAGAAGTATTGGGTGCAGTGGCTCATGCCTGTAATTCCAGCAGTTTGGGAGGCCAATGTGGACAGATCACCTGAGGTCAGAAGTTCAAGACCAGCCTGACCAACATGGAGAAACCCCATCTCTACAAAAAATACAAAATTAGCCAGGCATGGTGGCGCGTGCCTGTAATCCCAGCTACTCAGGAAGCTGATGCAGGAGAATCACTTGAACCCAGAAGGCGGAGGTCGTGGTGAGCTGAGATCACGCCATTGCACTCCAGCCTGGGCAACAAGAGCGATACTCAGTCTCAAAAAAAAGAAAAAAAAAGAAAAAAAAGTATCATATATTTAGCCTTTTGTTATCTGATTCTTCTTACTTTGTATATGGTCACTAAGGAAGAAGGACATCATGAAAGACTTTGGGAAACTTAACCAACTTTTGGATGTAGCTCATGAGAAGAAAAGTACAGGAAATTTTGACACATTTAAATGAAAGTGATAATAAATTTTCCTGGTTCTCACGCATTTTCTAATTAACAATTTCCTGCTTTTCTGATAATTAAACTCATCAAATGATATAAATTAATCAGAGTACTTACTAAGTCAAATTGCCTTAAATTATCACATTTTCTCCAAAAAAAATTGTTTTTATTTTTGCCCAACCAAAATTAAGCTCATTGAAACTAAAAGTGCAGTTATTTTAAGGACCAGCTCTTCCAGATACATACTTTTAAAAAAATTCTTAGTGAGGCCTGCTGAAGTATAAAGCAGCACTTTAGAATATAAACTCCATATGAGCAAAGGCATTATTTTGTTTACTGCTGTATCACCGGCATCCAGAACAGTACTCAATAAATCCAAAACAGCTGGGTGCGTTGGCTCATGCCTGTAATCTCAGCACTTTGGGAGACTGAGGTGGGAGGATCACCTGAGGTCAGGAGTTAAAGACCGGCCTGGCCAACATAGTGAAAACCCATCTCCACTAAAACTACAAAAATTAGCCAGGCACGATGGCGGGTGCCTGTAATTCCAGCTACTCAGGAGGCTGAGGTTGGAGAATCACTCGAACCCAGGAGGCGGAGGTTGCAGTGAGCCAAGATCCTGCCATTGCATTCCAGCCTGGGTGACAGAGTGAGACTCCATCTCAAAAAAAAATAAAAAAATAAATAATAAATAAATAAATAAATCCAAAACATTTGTGGGAGTCCTCCTGTGCACAAAAGGAATAAAGAACAAAATAATACACCTTTTCCCAAATATGATTTAATTAATTCTTATAATTAGGAAAAAAGTAGTTTTTATTGGCTGGGAGAAATTAAAATGAAATTTAAGAATTCAGGAGTGATGTTGGTTAAGTAGTATGTTATAGCTTAATTAAACTACTGAATATTAGTTCTGAATACTGAATGAAACTACTTTGGCAGGTAGTGTGTGAAATGGTAAGTCTGGCCTTTCTATTACTGCTGTTTGACTGCAGATCAGGGCCAGCTTCCTGGGCATGATGTAACCTGTGTAATTGTATAAGGCTTCATGCTTAGAAGGACCCCATGATTGGTTCAATACTCTATTGTCAGTGTTTTGAATTTCTTCTTTATGAACATTTTTACTTACTTATGATGCATTTTTATATTATATCAGGCCTGGAAATTATGTAGTCACTCCTTCTGCATTGTTTGTATAATGGTTGAGTCAGTAAAAGGATGCTGCATGCATGACCAATAGTCCAACACATAGAAGACAGATTATAAATGATTAAATGAGAGGTTGTATACTTCAAAAAGTTCAACAAAAGAAGTGCCAAATAATATCAACCTGTTTTGTTTCTTTTATTTATTTATTTATTTATTTGAGACGGAGTTTTTGCTCTTGTTGCCCAGGGTGGAGTGCAATGGCATGATCTCGGCTCACTGCAACCTCAGCCTCCTCGGTTCAGGCAATTCTCCTGCCTCAGCCTCCCAAGTAGCTGGGATTACAGGCACCCACCACCATGCCTGGCTAATTTTGTATTTTTAGTAGAGATGGGGTTTCACCATATTGGTCAGCCTGGTCTCAAACTCCTGACCTCAGGTGTTCCACCTCCCAAACTGCTGGAATTACAGGCCTGAGCCACCGCGCCGGCCTCTGGCCTGTCTCATTTCTTTAGATTTCCATCCTCTCCTTTCCCTCAAAAAATATATCTATGAACTTGAGCTATCACTCTGCATTCATCACCTTTGCCTTTTTAGCTGCCAAAATCATTATTGAATTCAAAAGTGCCAGCATTCTCTTAAGGAGAGCAAGTTTTATTTTTGCAACTCTCAGAAATCATTCACCCACCCCACTAAACTTTCTTAAAAGATCCTTATTCTACTTGGTAGGTCACTCTTTGTAATGCAGAAATCACAGTACTCAAGAGAACTATAAAGTCAGCTTCTTTAAAAAAATGAAAGTCGCATACTGGGGATTTACAAGTCTCTGAAGTCTGAAGGCTGTAGTGGGACTCTAATGTAATGTAGACATTTCAGACACACCGCCAACACTTGTATTATACTTCCTGCATGCTACATGGTTCACGGAAAATGTTCTTTAATCCATTAAGACATGCCATTTGCCATGACTTGAGTTCTTTATAGTTAAGATTTTACCAATGAAGGGATATTACCACTTCTTATATTTAAATCTTAGAGACATTTACAATGCAATAGTTTGGTGTTAAATACGCATCTTTACTCTTCTGTCACAAGGTGTAAGTTTGGACTAATCTATTCTCGTTTGTAGTAAAAGAGCATATGGCAGAGCTAAACTCACTATATTGGGTCATGAATATGTTTTGAAGAAATTATAAATAGTGTTCAATATCATCATTTACACGATGTGTTTGCAAACTCAAAACCATCTCAGAAAGAAGAAAAACCACAGGACTGCCCCCAAAAGTGTATTAATTTAAAACTAGAGCAAGATACATTTGGAAAAGGTACATCTCAGAACTAATATCATCAAATCCATAAATATGCCTTGGGTTTGGGTTTGGTTGCTTTGGAACAGACATTTTCTCTCTGCTCCAGCTGGAGAACTTCAGTTTCATTAAGTGGTTTCCTTGATCACAAACTTGTAATAAGTCTTTATTGCTTATTACAACCCCTGCAAATTGAGAGATTCTTATCAATCTGGGAATTTTATCAATGCCCAATACTGTGCTAGGGAGTTTATATATACACCACTTCATCTAATTCTTATAACATTATATAGAACCCTGGTCAGTTCCAACCTCTGACTCATACTTCTGTCTAACTTCTGTAATTAAACTTCATCCATGCTATTTCTCTATTCTTATTTTCTCATTTCTCTAGTTTGTATTCTCCAACTCACCTCAACAAATCAGAAGGAGCTCTGTCTTCAGGAGCTGCATTCCCACCTCTTTCAAGTGTCACCCAGTCTGGAAAGCCCTCTTTCCTCCCTCTTACCCAATGTCTCCTCTTTCTTCAACTCCTAGTTTAAGTCTTTCTTCTTTCATGAATACTATTCATACTCATCTTCTGACTATGAATTTCTGGTGTAAAACTTCTCTAGGAGAGAAGTGAGTGTGTGGTAGGCAAATTAATAGCATGAATCAAGAAAAAAAGATATAGGAGGGTTCAGCAGTTGAGGGAAGAATGAATAGTTTGATGATGCTGGAATATAAAATGCAGGTTGAGAAGTGGAGGAGAAGCAGGCCAAAAGAATAGTTTGAATCAAATTATTAAGCCTCAAGCATATAATTCCAATTGTTAGCAGTGGTAGCACTGAAGGACTTTATAACGAATGGTTGAGGGGGATCCTATTAGATTTGTGCTTTAGACACGTCACTCTGCCTAATAGGTAGAGGATGGATTGAATGGCAAAGAGGCAGCGAAGACAGCCTGGATGGGAAAGAGAAGGAAAAACATATCAGGAAAGGGCATTAGCTAAGTCAAATTTAGCTAAGGGACAGCAGGGACAGTGGCCATGTGAGCTAGGCAGAAGGAACAGCAAGTGCAAATGCTTTGCAACAGGAATGTGCTTGACATATTGAAAGATCATTAAGGAACCCAGTGTGACAGAATCATTGAAAATGAGTGGGCGACTGACAGGAGATGAGGACAGAGAGATCAGAGAGCTGGAGCCAAATATACAGACCAGATAAGATTCCGTAAGGATTTTAGATTTTTCTCCTATGTGTTTGAGAAAGCCATTAGAGGGTTTTGAGCAATGGTTTGAGTTGTTCACATATAAATTTTTAGAAACATGACTTTTACTACCATGCAGAGAAGTTGCTACAGGCAAGGTGAGTAGGGAGATCATTTGTGCTATGGTAGTATTCCGATGAAACATGACATTTGGTGGCTTGGACAAGTGTGGAGTGGTGGAGGTTGTAGGAAGCCCAAGCAGACAAGATTTAGTGAGATAGTAGATATGAAGTGTCAGAACAAAAAGAGGAGGTGGCTGGGAGCGGTGGCTCATACCTGTAATCCCAGCACTTTGGGAGGCCGAGGCGGGTGGATCACCTGAGGTCAGGAGTTCGAGACCAGCCTGTCCAATATGGTGAAACCCCATCTCTACTAGAAATACAAAAATTAGCCAGGCAAGGTGGCAGGCACCTGTAATCCCAGCTACTCGGGAGGCTGAGGCAGGAGAATCACTTGAACCAGGGAGGCGGACGTTGCAGTGAGCTGAGATTGCGCCATCGCACTCAGCCAGACTGGGGGACAAGAGCAAGACTTCATCTCAAAAAAAAAAAAAAAAAAAAAAAAAAGAGGAGGCAAGAATGGCCTTAAGCCATCCTTAAGAGTGAGCAATTCTCATTGACAGTGGAGAAGGCTGTGATGAAACACAGAAGTCAGTGTGAAGGCAAGACATGAGATGTACCTTGAACTAGTGGTTTCTTAGTAACTGTTGGATAAAAAAAAAAGTGAGTGAATGAATGATTAAATGAATAAATAAGAGCTGTGTGCCGGCTCTCAACTCTAATTGCAAAGATATGCCTCATACTATTGAGTGAATGAATAAATGAATAAAAGCCCCCAAATCTTTCTTTAGTTGGGGATCACAGTAACTTCTTTTCCCTGCCTCAAGTTTTCTGAGCATCCCATATCCCCTTGTCCTTGAAGCAGCAGCCAAAGCCCCCTCCCCCAACTGTCTTGTGCAGAATCTGTGACAATTTTCTCCAATTTGCCATACTCTAGAATTTGGCCTTGAAATATTAGTTCCTTCTGGAGAGCCCTATATTCTAACCAGAATAAGCTGTGTTGTCAAGCTGTTTTTACCTTAATTTTTTTTAAAAAACTAAATGGGTACAAATGTATGAAATCAAAGGTTAGTCATGTTTTAGCTTTGTATTTAAGTTTTACACATGAATTTCAGTGGAAAATAGTTTCTTAAAAGTTATAGAAAGAGGCTTTTGTTACAAGTTTAAATTGCACTGTTTTTTCAACAGAAGATGAGAGCTCTGTATTGTAGCCAGTATCCAGCTGTGCAAGTTTTCAACAGCTGGAATTATAAGTTCCATTCTATGAAAATGAGCTCATTACTATTTAGTTTGTGCTGTTGCTCAATAAATCCATAAAGTGCTTCTCCAGGCTTGAGGAGAATTTCATGAAATTGCATAAAGGATTCTTAAAACAAAATTTTTGTTTGGCAATGTTAAAATCAGAATATCTACCCCCACCCCCCTTATTTTGAAGTCAGTTCTCAAAGCTGAGCAAATTACACATGCTAATATACATATGTATGCTAAAGGAATACTCAAATTTAGTATATTACATATATAACATTAAAATGAACATTTAAATGAATATATTATAAACCAATATGTATTACAAAAGAAAAAATCATAAAGCTTAATAATCATAATAGCTATATTTTTCATCACAGCAGTTATATTTTTAAGCTTGCCAGACACTGTTATACATATACATTACCTCATTCTTTAAAACATGCATTTTAAATCATGCAGAAAAGTGAAAAGTAATACAATTAGTTACAGTTGTACTTCACTTTCACTCTCATGGTAATATTATTATGATGAGATCAAATCCCATCCTTAGGATTTATCTCATTATGTCTTTAGAGTAATTTTTCTTAGCACCAAAATTAAAATAAAGTAACTTAAAGATGTAAAGCTACTGGGAGGAGGAAAAAGAAATCCTGGTATTAAAAATGTATCAGAATTGGGAACAAAGAATGAAAAAAATCAATTTTTGGTCTAAAGTTCAATACATTGCAATATTTTTAGTTGAACATTTGAGTCACTTTAGGAAATATGAGGAAATAAAAGAATAAATTTACTAAGTCTTACAATTGAAAGCTTTTTAAATTTGACCACTTTTAGGTCAAATATTTTCAATGTGCCATTTTTCTATTCCTTTTATCTGAATTTCCAAAAGACTGAAGGGACAGACAGCTGACCCATAATTAAAACAATAATGGCTGGGAAATTCAACTTCTAAACTATTTTTAGTGTGAACTTCCCTCCGTGAGAACTACAGAAAATCACGAATAACACAGTTTGATTCTGATCAGCTGGGATTGTTCCAATCAGTTCAAACTTCAGTACCTTTGACCAAAGTCCAAAGATTCCATTCACTACTAAATCAGTGAATGCCTCTTTAGCAGATCTGTTCACTTGAGGATGTAACATTTAAATGAATGCCACTTTTGTAAATGCCACTTAAGAGGATCCTTCTAAAAGCCACAGTGAGATGCCACACTAGCCTTCTTGTTTGATTTTTCCCAAGGCTGATTTCCTTAGAGGGAAGGGAAGAGTGCTATCTGTCATTAAAACCAAAGAGATTCCTGGGGTTCTATTCCCAACCTCTACCTCTGACCACATTCAACCTGTAAATTTCCTCTGTGTAAGATTTCACTACTCAGAAAAATGTCTTTATTTATGTGTGTCTTGAAGAGGATAAAGTCTCTCTGTGGTTGGACAGCACCTTAGAATATGTGAAAGTAGGAGACTCAAACAATTTTGAGCACCATGACTGAGTGGCCAGCTCTGTCCCCGAAAGGGGACAGAAAGGGGGAATTATTAATATTACATTTTGGTTCCATTTATATAACAGTGACTCCCATTCTGGAATATTTTGTTCTGATTCCAGTACCTGGATGCTCTGTGATTCAAAGAAGAAATTTTACTATCATCTCATTTTACTATTGGTTTATTAAAACATCTGCCCTGCTTTTGGTGAGAAGAAGTAAAATTTAGTCTTCCTTAGAGAAAGAAGGACATAAGAATGCTGAGTTGTAAGGACAAGACTTACTGTTGTTACATTGCCTCTGCTGATAATTCCAAATGCGTTAGAGGATGTAGAAGAAATTTTGACCCTGAATGCCCTTTTTGTACAGCTGCACTAGTTTAGATTGTGATAATATAGCAGAAGTTTCCTGCTAACCACCACCTGCTGAGGTTACAGCTTGATAATCAAACAATATCCTTCATTTGGCCTGTATGCAGCCATTTAAAGAAAAAAAATACAGAAAAACCCATTAGTCTTTAGTTTAAAGGATATAATCTATTTGCAATTTGAAACACATTCACTTTTCAAAATAGTGCATGATCTTCTTGGAAAACTTGGAATACTAAATCAGCTTTAAAAAATACTCAGAGACACCAGATTCTCAGCTAATGGTTTGCAGCTCTCATCTTTATTCCCTGAATTCATTTTATAACTTGGTAGGAGACCTCTCAATGTATGAAATCTCCAAGATATGGGGAAGAAGCCCATAACCCCATTCCAAAAACATAATGCAATTTTTCATGAATAACTAGTAATTATTAATTAAACAGATTTATTGGGAATGTATCATGTGCCATGAACTCTGCTAAACATTTGAAATATAGATTTCATTAAACAAATGCAATCATAGCTGTCACAAAGTCTAAGGTTGAATGGGGGATGATACATAATAACCAGTGAACTGTTAGTGTGTTTTGAGTAGTGATGAAGACACACAGGGGCAATAGGAAAGTGCAATGGGCTAGGAGACCTAACCTAGCAAAGGGCTGGGGAAAGTCGCTGTGCCTAAAGACTTCTCTGAAGACAGAACTCTTAAGTAAGAGCTGAGATTCAAGTTAGTCAAGAGAAAGGGTTGAAAGATGAAGAGGGTTACAGGATGATGCTGGAAACATAGAAAAATGTTCCGGGAAGCTATGGAAGAGATTAAAGGGAAAATGGGATATTACATTATTATATATACACACACACATATATACACATACAGGTGTACACACACATAAATACATAAATACACACATATGTGTGGTGTATATTATATGTATGCATGTAAAGATAACATAGCAGGGGAAAATACTGGAAGAGAATGAAGTTGATTAGAAATGGAAAATTCAGTGAGGCAGCCATTACAGGATTTTCAATAAGATGCTGGCCGGGTGCCGTGGCTCACGCCTGTAATCCCAGCCCTTTGGGAGGCCGAGGCGGGTGGATCATGAAGTCAGGAGTTCAAGACCAGCCTGGCCAAGATGGTGAAACCCCATCTCTACTAAAAATACAAAAATTAGCCAGGCATGGTGGTGCGTGCCTGTAGTCCCAGTTACTCGGGAGGCTGAGGCAGAGAATTGCTTGAACCTGGGAGGCAGAGGTTGCAGTGAGCCGAGATCACATCACTGCACATCACTGCACTCCAGCCTGGGTGACCAGCGAGACTCCATCTCCAAAAAAAAAAAAAAAAAAAAAAAAGACGCGCTCATGGCTTAGGCTAGATGCATACAATTTCATTCCAAGACATATAGAAAGGTCTGGTTTTTTGTTTTTTGGGTTTTTTTTCTGAGATAAATTAGAGCTTGGGGTCACTGAAGACTGCAAGGAGACAAATACCAACCTGCAAGCAAAGTCATGCCTCTTGAAAGTTGGAGTGTTAGGAAAAACTTTGCCTGTTTTTCGGGTTGGGCTGAAGCTGACACTGTTGTTAACCATCCTACCGAAAGAAGAGGAACTTACTATCTTGACAGAAATTGCAACCAACATTTTTGATTAAAGAAAGCTGCATTTATTTTGATTGAACAACTTTTCGTTTTATTTCAGTCTTGCCTTTGATCTGACTCCTGTCAGAACCTTTCTTTCACAAGAGGCTTTGAATATTACAGGAGGCAACCTCTGTAATTTAAGACAAAGTGGTCTAGTTTGGGCTAGTAATTACTTCAGAGTGGGTTTCAAAAAGAGGGATAAATCTATGGTAAATGCTCCATGGCTAGCACTCCTTCCTTTCCTGCCCGGCTGCCGTCCTTTGCCTAATGCCATTCCTATCCTATGTTTAAGCCAAAGCTATAGACGGTCAAAATTATTCATAGATATTAAACAAGCCCACTAAAATACCAGATCTGTGAGAGATTTTTAGCTGTTTTTTCTGCTACTGTGTATTCCAGAATCTAGCCACTCAATAAACAGTCATTGAAAATTTTTGAAACCAATGACGACTAAAAATATTGACAAAATCCCGAATATGTCATCTTTTATTCAACATCTAGGGCTTAGTAAACTAAGTACTTTCTCCTTATTCTGGTATTCCAGTTCTCTGCAGGATAGTTTCATTACATGTTTCTTTCACTCTAGCCAATCAATATCATTCCTGACTTCTTCTCCACAAAATAATTTTGGTTTTCTGTTTGTAGATCTTTTCTTTTTTTTCTTTTTGAGACGGAGTCTCACTCTGTCCCCCAGGCTGGAGTGCAGTGGTGCCATCTCGGCTCACTGCAACCTCCGTCTCCAGGGTTCAAGCGATTCTCCTGCCTCAGCCTCTCAAGTAGGTGGGATTACAGGTACCTGCCACCGTGCCCAACTAATTTTTGTATTTTTAGTAGAGACGGGGTTTCACCATCTTGGCCAAGCTGGTCTTGAACTCCTGACCTCGTGATCCACCCGCCTTGGCCTCTCAAAGTGCTGGGATTACAGGTGTGAGCCATCGTGCCAGCCAGATCTTTTCTTATTTTGTTCCCTCGGCATAGAATGGAATTGTGCTTTTCATCTCCTTCCCCATACTCCCCAGCTCTAGCTGTCAGTATGGTCTCCACGCTTTTAGGACCATCTCAAAGGTTAGCTCTTTCGGAAGCATTTCCAACAAGCTTCTCACCAAATCTAGATATACTCACTTCTCCCTTAAAAGCTCAAGGCCCTTTGTCTTTCATTGAGCCTCCTTTAACTTGCCTTTTATGAAAATTATTTATGTGCTTTTTCTGTCCTGTGATATAATTCAGTATTTGCTAAGGAAAACCAAACCACTCTAGGTACTTCAAATAGAGAGAAATGTAATAGAGGAAATGTTATTTATGTGATGAAAGAGATGACAAAACAAATAGGTTTAATGAGGCAAATAAGAGATTAGCAATAGTAGAAAGCTGTTCTTACCCTTGGTGCTGGTGGGACAATGAAAGACAGTGGTATTGCCAGAATCCAGGGCCATCGGGCCAGATCTATGCCTAGGGCTAACAGGCAGGATCTGGGATCATGGGGAAGTCGCTGTCTAGCATGAGCTATAGCAAGAGAGGAGATGCAGCTGCAGCTAAAATTGCCACCCAATCGCACACAGGTTTTTTCTGCTCCTCCAGGTCTCCAGTGCTTTCCATTCCACCTAGAAGCATTCAACCTGGTAGCCAAATCTATCTAAAAACCAGTTGACAAAAGAGCCTAAGAAATGTAGCTCCCTGCAGTACAGAGAAGAGCAGGGACAAGGTGGGAAGTGAATATGAGGACAAACAGGCAAATAACCAATTCACTATCTTTTCCTGAAAATGAAAAAGCTGTTTGATTATAGAGACACCTAGCTAAGACACTTCAACACCTAGCACAGTATCTTACACAAAATACTGGTTAAGTTGTATTAATATATTCTGCTTCTTATAAGAAGACTATCACTATCACTCTGTACAAAGATGAAAATAAGAATTCACGCGTGAGGCGTTATTTAACCAGGAATTCTTCTTTCATGTCCACTAACCATCAAAATAATGTTTAAAGCACATGAAGCCTGTTTTTAAAATACTATTATTATTATACTTTAAGTTCTGGGGTACATGTGCAGAACGTGCAGGTTTGTTACACAGGTATACATGTGCCATGGTGGTTTGCTGCACCCATCAGCCGGTCATCTACATTACGTATTTCTCCAAATGCTATCCCTCCCCCATCCCCCCCACTTCCCGACAGGCCCCGGTGTATTATGCCCCCTACCCCGTGTCCATGTGTTCTCATTGTTCAACTCCCACTTATGAGTGAGAACATGCAGTATTTGGTTTTCTGTTCTTGTGTTAGTTTGCTGAAAATGGCCTTTGCAGGGACATGGATGAAGCTGGAAGCCTGTGAAGCTTGTTTTTTAGAAGCAAAATGTCATTATAAATTTGGCACTTCCCCTCTCCTAAGTTCTGCCTTTCTCTTTTTCTTCTGAGACACTACTAGATTTTTTTATTCAACAAAGCAGAGGTCCTAAATCTTGTGTGGGTGTGAAAACCCCATGAGAATCTGATAAAACTGTCAATTATCTGCATGGGGGCAGGGGTGGGGTGGTATATATTTGCATACATGCTCAATGTTGCATACAATTTCTTTTTTTTTTTTTTTGAGACAGAGTCTCGCTCCATCACCCAGGTTGGCGTGCAGTGACGCGATCTCGGTTCACTGTGTTACATACAATTTCTGAGTGTTTGCATAGCCCAAAGCCTGCCCATTAGTCTTCTACTAATCTGTTCACAGACAGTTGGAAGTCTTGATATTCAACTTTTTAATCAAATACAATTTATAAAATAGCATACAATATATAGCTGATGAACTATCTGTTTCCTCAGTGGAGTGGCCTCTAGGTAAACCAAATAGATGACTGTAGCCTGAAAAGGCATAGTCCGGAGCAGTGGTTCTCAGCTGAGGGTGAATTTGCCCTTCAGGAGACATTTGACAATGTCTGGAGATGATTTATTGCAACTGGAGTGCAGGTGTGCTACCAGCTTCTAGTGGGTAAAAGCCATGGATGTTGCTAAATATACCACAATGCATAGATATATGCCATAACATATAATTATCCAATCGAAAAGTGCTGATGTTAAATACCCTGTTCTAGAGCAGGAGCAATCATATTTTAGCTTCCACTGGGTTCAAAGAGATCACACTAATTTACAATCCAAGATACACCTTTCATTCCTCTAAGAAGCTATGATGCTCCAAAAAACAGGCACTTAGATATTGCTGACATGTTTAGTTAATCAGATTTTATCTATGTCTGAATTCTAAGAGTCTTAATCTTTTATGTGAACCATACCACTATACTTTTGTGTCTAGTCTATAGCCTATTAGATGGTGAAAAATAATCTCCTATTAAGCTTAAATAAACCACTCCCTAGTTCAGGAAATCTAGCTTTCAGGAAAAAATATATTAAATAACATTAAAAGGTATACCAAATCTCAACAATACAAAGATTAAGAATATGAACTCAGAGCTGGGTGTGGTGATGCATGCTTATGTTCCAGCTACTTGGGTGGCTGAGGCAGGAGGACCACTTGAGCCCAGGAGTTCGAGACCAGCCTGGGCAACAGAAACTCCCATCTCAAAAAAAAAAAAAAAAAAAAAAAAAGAGTATGAACTCCAACTACAAGTCTACATTATCCTTTTTTCCAGACAGTTAAGTGTCATAAAAACCCCAAACTAAATACTCCCTGACCTCAGTCCACTCTACTGTAATTCCATAGAGATTTGGACAATTTTTCAAAGCTATGGAAAGGTAGGGTCCTTCTATGGGCTAGACCCAGGAAACTATTCTGGCCTTCTATTTTGGAATAAGGTTTACACTTCAGGACTAGGATGATTCTAGGGCAGTATTTTTCCACGTTGATGGTGCATTCAATGCACAGCCTCTACTGCAGACCTAGTGAATCAGAATCTCCAAGAGTGGGATCTGCATATCAAATGAAGAACCACCATTCTAGAGATAATAATCTTCCTAAATCCCATGGGAGATCTTGTCCAGTAAAGAGCCTGGACTTCAACAGAGCTTCACTTCTAGGGAAAGCCAAGAGACAGGAGTCCCTCCATACTCTGTCAGAATTCTCGCACTTTGGAATATGCCTTGAAGATCTCAGAAATTCTAGAGCTGACCATGGACCTGCCGTCACATTCCAAGACCTATTCAGGGGTCTAAGGTCACATTCCAAGGGAGGAAGCTAAATACTCAGTTGTGGCTAATAATGCCATATCATCTCCTCAGTCACCAAGCTTTGAACCTTGGCAGTGTAGTGCACTTCTGCTTCTCCTTTGTCTCTCAGATTTCTTTACTGGCCATAGGTTGTGTACTCTTTCTCCAAATTATCTCTCAAATGTGCTTCTCTCTCTATTACCACTACCAAGCCTCAGGATTTCATTGCCTCCTTCTTGAAATATTGCAAAAGCCTCTGACATATCCCCTTGCCTCCAGCCTAACTCTGCCTCAATCCATGGCCCAGGAACACTGCTGCCAAAGTCATTGTCCTGACATGTGACTTTGATCGATGCTCTCCCTTGCCCAAAATTATTTCAATAATTCCCCTGGATTGTAGAAGAAAGCCCACATCTTTTAGCTAAGCACTATCTAAAACATTGATATCTGGCCTAGTTATACCTTTTCTTTTTCTCACTATTTCTATGCCAACACCTTGCATTCCTACCAGTTCTTACAAGTCCCTAGCTTTGTGTTTTCACTAATATGTCCTCCATATGAAATGCCCAACTTCAAATATCTCTAATGCCCTCATTTTCCAAATGTCCCCTTTTTCTTGAAACCTGACTTCATCCTGCAGTCAAAAATACCTACAGTCCTTTGGAACATCCAGTGCACTTCATGTGTCTCATCAAGGGTGTTTTCACTATCTTTCCTGTGTTACAGCCACTCATGCATCTTTTTTATGGCAGATTCATCTTGCTATCCTCCACAGAGCTTACTCAGAATAGTGTCTTTTACAAAGTAGATGTTCCTTCCATTTGGTGGAGTGAAGGCTGCAAGTAAAATTTTGCTGCAAGCCTGGTGTTCTACATCAACAACATATTCATACTTAATCTACTGAGGTCATTTATTTTGGGTCATGAGATTTGGAAGAATAAAGATTTATGATAACTGGAAATCAATTTGAAAACAACCATGAAGAATGTAGCATGTTGCATGGACAGTAGAACATTTCTTTTACATTATCCATTCTGATGGTTAGTTTCATGTATTCATTTGGCTGGGCCAAGTTCAATTAATTCAACCAATTTGATTATTCGATCCAACACTAACCTGGGTGTTGTGGTAAAGGTATTTTGTAGATGTGGTTAACATGCATAATCAGTTGGTTTTAAGAGATTACCCTCTATATCAATCTGAACCTGATTCAATCAGTTGAAAAGTTTTAATTTTTTACATTTTTATAGATTCAGGGTATACATGTGCATGTTTGTTACATAGGTATATTGCATAATGGTGATATTTGGGCTTCTAGTGTACTCATCACTTGAACAGTGAATGTTGTACCCAGCAGGTAATTGAAAAGACTTAAGAGCAGAGCTGAGGCTTCCCCGAGCAAAAAGAAATTCTACCTGTTTACTTCAGCCTCAACTCATGCCACAGAGTTCCTTCTGCCCTTCCTGACAATCTGCCCTATGGATTTCCGGTTTGCCTGACCAGTCTCCACAACTGTGTAAGTCAATTATTTGCAACAAATCTCTCTCTGTCCACACACACAGACACACACACACACACACACACAAATATGATTTCCATTTCTATGTGAAACCCTGACTGATACAACCATTGTGAAAATTCCCACCCCCAATTTTAGAAAGAACAGTTAGTGATTACATATACGTATGTATACATGTCTGTGTGTGTGTATATATATATATTTCATATATATAATACATATATATTTCATATATATAATACATATATATACATACATATGCACATACACATAGTGGAAATTAAAACAGTAACCTTTTTGCTTGAAAGAGATACAAGTTTAAAAAATTATAATAAATTTAATATTATTGAGAGTACTCAGTGATAGACTGTATATAAATGCTAATGTAAATTGATGCACCCTTTCTGAAGATGAATTTGGCTTAGGGGTCTCAGGTTCTTTCATCTAAGAATCTCTTGTGGACACAAAGATCTGCATACAAGTATCTGCAGTTCAATGTTATCTGCAATAAAAGTTGCAAATCACTTAAATGTAAAATAATAAGAACATAGTTTTCTTCTTAAAATGTTATGCACGCTTATGCAGATATGAAAAGTCTCAGAAAATTGGGGATGTGAGAAAATACTGAAAACATGTTCAGTGAATGAATTATAAAATTGTATATTGTATCTCAAGTTTCAACCAGAGAAGCAGATATATATATACTAAGAAATTTATTATAGGGAAATGGGTTACATAATTGTAAGTCTGAAATCCACAGGACAAGCTCTCAGGAAAGAACAGTTACAAAGCCCTCTCGGTTTTTTTTTGGAAGCCTCAGCCCTACTTTTAAAGCTTTCTAACTGATAAGTCAGGCCACCCAGATAATCCAGGGTAATCTCCCGTACTTAAAATTAATTAGAGACTTTCATTTACATTTGCAAAATCCCTTCCCAGAAATACCTGGTACTCTTTGCATAAGTGAAGCCTGTAGCCTAGCCAAGTTGACACATCCAGGAAGCCATCATATATATATATGATCTATATATATATATATATGATCCCAGTTTTGTAAAAAATCAATATAAAAATTAAACAAACCTGTAAAAGAAGGCCAGGGAGAAATACATGAATATGGTAAAAATGTTTATGTAAAAATATTATGACAGATTTTGTTTATTGTATGATCCTCCATTTCTCAAAAATTTTAAACAAATACATACAATATTGTGATTTTAGTCTGAAATATATAGGCTTTTAAAATTGTCAACAAACTAAATAATACTCAAGGACTTAAAAGCAAATAATAAATTGTCACTTATTGTGTTAACCAGTACCTCAGTATAAAAGCTGCTATCAGCTAAATAAAGCATGAGATTAAAAAGCACCATTAGTCAACTCATGAGTGATGAATCTCAAAACTTGCAAAGCCTCACCTGACTCAGGACATGCCTAACCATGGGTTTCTTGTTGGTTCTTTTTTTTTTTTTGGCTTTTAAAATAACCTTTATTTTTTAAAAGTTAATATGTGCATTATAGGAAACCGAAAAACACAAGAAGCAAAGAACAAAGTCATTCACAATCACAACCAGTTTATAGTTTGACATATTCTTCTAGATCCTGTGTGTAGGCACAACATCCAATTTTATGGGACTGAGATCGTACGGTATGAATCATGATTTTTCACACATCATGAATATTTACCAATTAAAAAAGGGACACAGGAGGGCACTGGGGCAAGGGCTCAGTTTGATTCCCTGGAAGGAGACATCTCTCACATGATTGATTTCTTACTGATTTGGCACATGAAAATTTCCAGATAATTTGGTCTTCAGGTGCCTAACTTTTGATACTTTCACAAATTTTAGTTTAGTACACTGAAATTATCCTATGTGTGGGGAGTGTAATGAATAAGAGAAAAACAGATTTTTCTATAGTGTAAACAAGATTTTTTTTCATAACATAATCTGCTTTCACACAAATTGACTTCAATTCCGCTGTGGATTTAGATTATAAAAAGTGAGAACTGGAAGAGATTTTAGACCAACCCTCTTTTGACAGATGAAGAAGCTGAGGGCATGAGAGGTGAGGTGACTTGTTCAAGATCACCCTGATGGGCGGGGAAAATGACAGGACTGTCATCAGGCCCCCTTTCATACCAGTACTGTGTGAATTATACTATGTCAACCTGCCTTTTTATCTACAATCTGTTTGGGTCAGGAAAAGTAATTGCCTCCTTAACATGTAATAGGAACTAAAGAAAACACTGTGGAACTTAATCATTTTCTATAGATGTATTTATTTCTCTGTGTTCACTCAATAATATTTGAAACTGCACTGTCAAACTCTGTAGCCACAAATGTTTACTTAAAATATGTCTAGTCTGAGTAACTACATTTTAAAATTAAAATTTAATTTAATTTAAAATTTTTTAAATGAATCCTTGATTCAGTTATTAAACACTTTTAAGTTTGGAACAATGTGTATATGTGAATCTACTTTTCCATCTATTCATTTTATGAAATCTAAATAAGGGTCAAATATATCTAATGACAGTTGAAATGTACTGTGAACATAAAATATACACAGGGGTTTGGAGATATAGCACAGAAAACAAAGAACATAAAATACCTCATTATAAACTTTTATATGATTATACACATTGAAATGATAATATTTTAGATATATTGCATTATATAAAATATGCTTAGTTCATCTTTTTCTTTTAGTATTTTCCAATGTGACTATTAAAAATTTGAAGTTATATACATTATATTTTTATTGGATAGCACTGATACAAAACCAATTTTTTTTCAAATTTGTAATAAAGTTTCTGTATTATTTCATTCTCATGCTGCTAATAAAGACATAACTGAGATTGGGCAAGTTATAAAGAAAAAGAGGTTTAATGGACTAACACTTCCACATGGCTGGGGAGGCCTCACAAACATTGAGGAAGGCAAAGGAGGAGCAAAGGTATGTCTTATATGGCAGCAGGCAAGAGAAGAATGAGTCTCCAGCAAAGAGGGAAGCCCCTTACAAAACCATCAGGTCTCAGGTCTCGTGAGAACTAACTCACTATCACAAGAACAGGATGGGGGAAACCACCCCCATGATTCAATTATCTCCACCTGGTCCCTCCCACAACAGGTGGGTATTATGGGAACTACAATTCAAGATGAGATTTGGGTGGGGACACAGCCAAACCATATCAGTTTCTCTAAATATCTCTTTTGTGTTTTTAATTACATGGAGGCACATATGAACAAACTTCCACTCCTTGTTACTCTGGATCTTTCTATGTTATTCTCTATGCAAGAGACACATCAATCAGAAATCAACACCTGCAATTTGGGATGTCGGCTTTGTAATTTACTCCTGGTGAAACAGACACTCATGGGATACTTTAGGGATTTGAAAGTAAAAAGGTATTGAAGGAAATCATTGGTATCCAGGGGATCTATATGGATTCCCTTTATCACGCTACATTGAAATCCCTGATGTAAACCCTAAAGGTGTATTTTAAATAACACCTGAGCCCCAGATATCATCACAATGAAGATTGTGGAGCACTGAGGCTCAAAACATGGCTCCCATAGGACTTTTCCCTTGAATAGCATATACCTTAGCTCCGCCTTCCCATTTTAGCTCGATAACTGTATCAAATTTCAGACAGTGAACTGCTATGACATTCCTTAACATAATTTCATTCAGATCTCATAATTGGAACCATTGTTTGTGTTCTTTGTTTATGACATCTTAAATATATGGTGTGTCCCTCCCAATTGGCAGCCAAATGTTTCCTATAATGGGCTCCTAACATGTCATCCCATGGGTATACCATAAACTTCATTTTAGATACTCTTCGGGAAGGCTTGAGTGCCTCCTTTTCTTTTTTTGTACTCAAATATCCTTTGGGCATCTGTTGTGAGCTAAACTATAAATTGTGTCTTCCCCAAAATCCATGTACTGAAGTCTTAACATCTAGTATCTCAGAATGTGACTGCATTTGAAGATAGAGCCTTTAAAGGGGTAGTTCAGGTAAAATGAGGTACTATGGCCCTTCTCTAAAATGATGGTGTTCTTATAAGAAAGGAGATTAGGACAGAGACATGTACATGCACAGAGGAAAGACCACGTAAGGATACAGCAAGAGGAGAGCCCAAGGCTAAGGAGAAAGGCCTCAGAAGAAACCAACCCCGCACAGCTTGATCTTGAACTTTCAGCCTCTGGAATTGGGAAAAAAATAAATGCCTGTTGTTTAAGTCACCCGATCCACGGTGTTTTGTTATGGCAGCCCTAGCAAACTAATACAGCATCCATCTCAGTGGGCCTTGATCAAGCACCCCTTCCCTAGTCACTGCTGAATGACTTTCATGTCGGATGTCACTCTTCTTGTCCTCAAAAGGACTTGTTTCTCCCACTTGCCTTAAGGTATTATTCCCCTGCTGCTCCTCGGCGTCCTCCAAAGTGCGGTTCCCATGTGCCGCATAGTCCATCTTTAAAAGTCAGACCATTCCATACCTTCTCTTCAAATTTGATGAAAATCTCTCCAGCCAATTTTTAGTGACATGTTAACAAACAAACAGAAAAGCAATGAAATTTATAGAGATTATGCTTAGATTCTAACCGTCAGCCCTAGGGCTGCTATAGACTGAATGTCCGTATGCCTCCAAGATTCTTACGTTGGGACCTAATCCCAATGTGATGGTATTTGGAGGTGGGACCTATGAGAAGCGATTAAGGTCTTAAAGGTGGAGCCCTCATGAATTAGATTTGTGCTCTTTTATAAAGAGACCCCAGGAAGCTCATTTGCCCCTTCCACACAGTGAGAAGATGACCATCTATGAACCGGGCAGTAGCTCCTCACCAGACTCCAAATCTGCCTCACTCTTGGACTTCCCAGCCTCCAAACTGTGAGAAATCAATTTCTGTAGTTTATAAGCCACCTAATTTGTGGTATTTTATTAGAGTAGCCTGCACAGACTAAGACAGAGCATTTGGGAAGCAGTGAATGAGGTAGAAGGAGCAAGGTCTGTGCAGAATTGTTGATCCAGGTTGGAATCTGGCCACTCACGCAGTGGCCTTGGGGAAGCTTGGTAACCCTTCTGAGCCTCTGTTGTCTCATGTTTAAATTAAGCTTGCTAGTTTCTCCTTCACTGGGTTACTTTGATAATTAAATGAGGCCAAGCATGGTGGCTCACGACTGTAACCTCAGCACTTTAGGAGGCCTAGGCAGGCGGATCACAAGGTCAGGAGATTGAGACCATCCTGGCTAACACGGTGAAACCCCGTCTCTACTAAAAATACAAAACCAAAATTAGCCGGGCGTGGTGGTGGGTGCCTGTAGTCCCAGCTACTCGGGAGGCTGCAGCGGGAGAATTGCTTGAACCCGGGAGGCAGAGCTTGCAGTGAGCCGAGATCGCGCCACTGCACTCCCGTCTGGGCAACAGAGCAAGACTCCGTCTCAAAAAAAAAAAAAAAGAAAAGAAAAGAAAAAGAAGAATTAAATGAGATAGCACATGCAAGGTTCATGGCAGATAGTACTGCATAGTAAATACTAATCCCCTTGCCTCGAAGGGGATGAAGGTTCCTTTGAAAGACACCTACAGATCTTTTTAAAAAACAATAACAACAACAAAAGTGTTTTATAGTTAAATAAGGAGGAGGAACAACATCTGTTTCTAGTGTCCTCTGGCGAAAGAACATTCATTTATATTCTAGGGCAGTGATGTAGCCCTAATTCTGCAGACACTTGAATGTAGTTAGTAGAAATGCATCATCATTTAGCCTCTCTGGAAGGGAGGGGGTTGCTGGTGAGCTCTTGTAATAAGGGTCTCAGTGCAACCACTCCTGAATTCTGCTTTCACTTTGCCACGTGACTGAGCGCTGGAAGACTTTTTACTGCTTTTTTTTCCCCCGATGCAAAATAATAATGGGAATGCTTGTTTCACTAAGAAGAAAATAAATATTATAACTAGAATACTCATTTATACATTTACACACACACACATACACACTCTCATCTATCAAGAAGTACCTACTGCAATGAGAAATTTGCCCCTTTTAGGTTAGGTTCAGCTCAACAGACACACGGGCACTAGTTGTATGCAAGTTACTCTCATGACCCCGAACAGACAGGAGACAAGTAGATGAATTAGACCCAGTCTTTGCCCTCAAGTCCTGGCATCAATACTATTCTTAGAAATGAAATTTGAGGCCGGGCACAGTGGCTCACGCCGGTAATCCCAGCATTTTGGGAGACTGAGGCGGGCGGATCACGAGATCAGGAGATCCAGACCATTTTGGCTAGCACAGTGAAACCCCGTCTCTATTAAAAATACAAAAAAATTAGCCGGGCGTGGTGGGTACCTGTAGTCCCAGCTACTAGGGAGGCTGAGGCAGGAGAATGGCGTGAACACGGGAGGAGGAGCTTGCAGTGAGCCGAGATCGCGTCACTGCACTCCAGCCTGGGCAATACAGCGAGACTGTCACACACACACACACAAAAAAAAGAAAAAAGAAATGAAATCTGAACTCCCCATGTCCATGATTTTAAAGCTCTTAGAAAGATACTAGGTGAACATTGAGTAGTGTAGAACAGCTGCTTGCTCTCCCATCTTTTCTGTAATTAACAGCTGCTGCCAAGATTGCTTAGTCTTCTCCATTTGGGAATCCACCCAGGTCATGGAAATGGTCCCTCATTCAATTGCATTCTCCTCACTCAGCACTGGGCTCCCTGCTGGTGGGACAAAGCCCAAGTGTGAGACCCTTTATGCTGTGCTACTAAATTGAAGAGGTCTGTTTTTAATCCACACACTTTTCACGAAAGAAAATAAATGACTCTATCCAGATGTTTTCAACAATAACACATCAGCCAGGTGATACTCCACCAACACAAGTGACAGGAACATCAACCTCATTTATGTAGTTTTTCCAACAACTTTTCCAAAACTCAAAGGAAACACATGTCTCCTAATGGCACAGTGCAATTAAAATATAATCTGTTAAATGTCAATGTTTTACATTTCCTTCCTAAAGGCATCAAACTAGAAATAAAATATTTTATAAGGAACATTTATTGAAGGTGTAACTAGGCGCTGGAGGTGATCTAGAGTGACATGAAAGGATTACTGTACTTAAATTGGTGAGAATTAATTTGGACACTTGTATTAGTCAGCTCAGGCTGCCATCACGAAATGCCACAGACTAGGTGGTTAAGCAATAAAAATTTATTTTTTCACAGTTCCAGAGGCTGAAAGTCTGAGATCAAGGTGGTCGCAGGTTGGTTTCTTCTGAGGCCTCTCTCCTGGCCTTGCAGATGGCCACCTACTTGCTGGGTCCTCATATGGCCTCCTTCCAGTCTGTATTTGTGTCGTAATCCCCTCTTCTTGTAAGTACACCAGTCATACTGGAATATGGCCAACTCATATGACCTCACTTAATCTCAATTACCTCTTGAAAGACCCTATCTTCAAATAAGTCCACATCCTCAGGCACTGGGGCTTAAGACTTCAACATATGTATTTAGGGGTTGGAGGGACACAATTAAGCCAATAATAGACACCCATTGGCAGATCTTTGGATTCACCTAGTCAGTGGTGTTATTGTTTTCTTTTTGTTTGTTTTTTGGTTTGTCTGTTTGTTTTTAAGACAGAGTCTTGCTCTGTCGCCCAGGCTGGAGTGCGATGATGCGATCTCGGCTCACTGCAAGCTCCACCACCCGGGTTCACGCCGTTCTCCTGCCTCAGCCTCCCGAGTAGCTGGGACTACAGGTGCCCACCACCACGCCCGACTAATTTTTTTGTGTTTTGTAGTAGAGATGGGGTTTCACCTTGTTAGCTAAGATGGTCTCGATCTCCTGACCTTGTGATCTGCCCACCTTGGCCTCCCAAAGTGCTGGGATTACAGGCATGAGCCACTGCGCCCAGCCCCCAGTGGTGTCATTGTTTTAATCTGACATTCTGTGTCATTTTTACCCCTTGTTTCATAATCATTCAAGTTGACTGTAAGTGACTCCAAGGTGGCAATGATCACACTCGGCCAATTCTAGTAATATAGGTAGAACCACAGTCAGATGGCAGTTCTGACTCCTTCCACACTCCCTCATCTCCCTTTCTTAGCCATCATAGATGTTTGAGAAGGCAGCAGAGATTCTCCATAAAGAAGGAACAGATGAAGGTGGAAAAACAAGGTTTTGCTTTGATAATATATATCAGTGGCAGCTACATTCTACAGAATAAAGACCAAAGAAGAAAATGTAAAATTTTTCTATGTACACTCCTGATCATTTCACTTTTAGAAAATTTGGAAGCATTTGGTTAAAATGTAGTCATTTTTGTTGTGTATCTCGTAAGCACAACCTGGGTATCACATGGTAGGAAAATTGGGCTCCTGGCAGGGGAAGGGCCTCTTTACTTCTTGTGCCTATGCAAGGACCCTGAGACCCATTTCTCCTTGGAACCAGAAGGGCCCTGAGAGCTCACCCTAGCCAACCTATTTAACTCCACAGGTAAGGAAGCTGAAGGCCCTGGAGGAGAAGCTTGCCGGAGATCATAAATGTGTAACACAATGAAGACTGCAATTTGGACTCACAACTCCTACTCCAGTGCTTTTCTCACCACATCATATTGCCTCTTGATCTGTGATGTTCTGGTCTGGATGGCTCTGTTTCTGGAGGTGTTTGTTGTCAAATTACTAGCACACTGTTCTCATTGTTCTACATATATATATAAAATATCTCAATTATATATATTATAAATAATATTAATATATATACACTACTCTTTACATTTTCTAAATATTAGAATATATACAGTATAATATATGTATTTATAATAACAACAATATAATTATATTGTGTATATGTGGTATTAAACATAGAGTCCCGCTATTTTGCCAGTCTCTGCCCATGTCAGGGGCAGCCAGTCTGTACAGTGTCCTCTCTGGCTACTCATTAACTCTCCATCACTCACTCCCACCAACCCCTTGTGCAGGATGATCACACAGTGTTTCTCTGGTAGCCCTAAGAAAACCATGCATGGCTCTATCTCGTCAAGGTCTTTCCTTGACTACAGTGCTTTGCATCTGTTATCCTGTTTGCCTGTTTCTTCAGTTTCTAAGGATAATTTAGTCCCTAACTAATTGCCTGCACTTAAACCCCTTGAACACAGTGTGTTTCCCTGGTGTTTCTCTATTTCCCTGGTCTTCTGAGCAGTGCTTTGTCCTGAGACTCTTTCTTCCAATATAGACTGTCCTGTGACCCTACTGTGATACGAGAATCCAAAGGGAGGCAATTTTTAATCAACCAGTACAGCACACGGGAGGAAGCCAAGGATTTCTGGCTGAAGATACTTCTTTACGGTCTTTAATTCTGAATACATTTTTCAAGCAAAAATGGAAAACGATACACCTTAGTTTTAGGTTTTCATACTTGCTAATTTTATTTCTTCTTTTTTTCATTTGTAACATTATCCCAGTTCCTCCCAACCCTATGGCCCTAACCCAACAATTACCCTCTGGATTCTCTATCCTTTGGTTTCAGCCAATAACCAAGTACAGGAAAGGCAGCTGAGAACTGAACATAAAATCATTAGATTGCTACAACACACAGTCACTGCCAGATATAAATACCTTAATGAATTCATGGTTCATTGCTTAAAAATTCAGCTAGCTTCAATCTTGTGTTTGACATATACATTATTTCCTCTTAGTCATGCCAAAAGCTGAATTTGGCTTTAATTCAAGCTATGCTTGAATTATACTGAAACATTAGAATCTTGAAGCTACCTTCCCGAAGATCTAAATGTGGGCATGGATTTGGGGCAGACTTACTTCAATGAGTCCTGGTATGGGAGTCAATCTAAATTTCTCATGAAAACCATGCAGACATTTGTTCGGGTCATTTATCAGGAAGCGAATCTTTGGCATAAAAAAGATATTCTGAGAATAAGAAATTCAAATGGCTAATAATAATATATCTCACCCTAAAGCTCTCCAGTAAGACTTTCGTACTTTCCCACTGATGAAATATGTCAATGTTCAGGCGTGTGCTCGGAGCTAGCAGGCTGAGCAGAGAATAAGTGCCACTTGCTGGGATACCCTCAGTTTAGGCCATTTGCTTTGCTCTTCATAGCCTATCTGTAAAAGGCTATGGATTATACCCCACTGATTTGAAGTTAAGTCTATGGACTGTCTACCCTAAAAAGTCTAAGTTTTAATACAAGGAGAGATATTTAGTACAGTAAAAACGCAATGCAAAATGAACCTGATTCACCTATGAAAATCCATTCCTTTGGATATTTTTCTTAACTTAACATTATGCAATCCTAGTTATATTTGCCTACAAATTACCAAGTAACCATAGAGGTGATGTCTTATGGTGATCGAGAGAGTGCCCTCTATAGGCCGAGCCCCTGGAGCAAGTCCTGCCACTTATTTGCTTATCTAACTTCTCTGTGTTTCAGTTTTCTCATCTGTAAAATGGAGATAATACCTTCTTTTTTGTGGGTGTGAGGATTGATGAAGTGAATACATGAATAGTGTTTAGAACATGGTATTAGAGCAGGTACCATGGCTTACCTGGTACACAGTAAGCACTATACATACACAAACTTAACTGATATAATTAATCTACTGGATAGTCTACATCTGAGCTTTAATGAACCATCTTAGTATCTTATTATTTTCTTATGCATTAATGTGAAATTATATATAGACTACAAATTATCTTCACATGGGCTGAAATTAATTACAGATTTTTTTTTTTTTTGAGATGGAGTCTCACTCTGTTGCCCAGGCTGGAGTGCAGTGGCATGATCTCAGCTCACTGCAACCTCCACCTCCCAGGGTTCAAGCAATTCTCCTGCCTCAGCCTCCCTAGTAGCTAGGATTACAGGCACCTGCCACCATGCCTAATTTTTGTATTTTTAGTAGAGACGAGGTTTCACCATGTTGGTCACACTGGTCTCGAATTCCTGACCTCATTTGATCCACCCGTCATGGCGTCCCAAAGTGCTGGGATTACAGGGGTGAGCCACCATGCCCGGCCAATTTATACATTAAAATAATATATCATGCTAATATTCTACATCTGGCCTTCCCAATGATATACAACATATTTTTGAAGTTGCAAAAACTATGTGGGGTGGCATTATTGGGGTTCTAGCAGTTACAGAGTTGGGTAGAGGAAGGTAGAGTCAAGGGAAATAAAAGCAATCAAAGACAATATTTGTCAGTAGCTACCAACAATCTCCAGGGGTCTATTTGTACAGTCACCTCCCACTGCACCTCCATGGGTTCTAGGGTACAGCAGGCTTCTCAAATAGGGCTTCATGAAGCCAGTCACTGCAAAGGAAGTTCCATGGGGAGACGGGGGCTAACAATATTGAATAAAATACCAACATTTTGGAAAATACATTTAGGAATGGCCTTGATTCATAAAATTAGAGAAACCACATACTGCATATTTATTATTTTTAAGTCTATCCCAGAGGGGAATCAAATCAAAGAGGACTTGTTTTTATTAAATAAAATCCTAGAATTTGCTGCTAATCAAGGCCTATAAAAACAGTCACAGGATTGGAGGTTCAACTTAAACAACTTCTTTTTCTGTTTTTGCATTTGCTTTACCAAGCACTTGCATTTCGAACCTCTCAAACAGATCAAATCAAAAAGAGGATTTTAAAAATTAGCTCTCCTTCTTCACACTTTTTACAGAAAGCACAGTTATAATTACTTTTCCAAAGTGGATTTGGTGCTGAATATACTGAGGGTATAAGGACCATATTGCTGAAATTTTTATAAACAGAATGTTAAGTAGATACTGTGTAGTAATCAATTAAAAGCTAAATTTCAGGTGGAAAGAAGGTAATTGGCCTCTTCAAAATATTAAATCATTTCAATGACTGTTTAAATTAAAGATCTGGGCTGTGAATTCAGAAAGCCAAATATCTGCATATTTAACATCATGTGGATTTAACACTTTAAAGTTAACACGCATTTCATTTTTCATTTAGAAGTATATCATCCTCTATGCAACACCCTCCTCAGATGCCTAACCAGTGTTCTATTCTTCTTCTTGGAGTTAGCTAATTACTAGACTTTGAGCATTGGAATATTTCTGTGCTACAATCTTTTCATCCATAAAACAGTTATCTCTGCTCCCTATTTTATATGATAAATAGTAAACGTTACACATTGCTTTGAACTGTTCAAATGGAAACGATTTCCTAAATACATGATTGTTATCATAGAACATCAGAACAAAGAGGCACAATCAGTCAAGGTCCTGTTGGTGTTTGTAGACCATTCATCCAACTTCACCTTTGTGCTCTGGTTTTTTCTCTACATGCGTCCTCTGTATCCATGGGGGACTGGTTCTAGGATCCCCATGGATACCAAAATCCACAGGTGCTCAATTTCCTTATATAAAATGGCAAAGTATTTGCATGTAACCTACACACATCTTCTCATATACTTTAAATAATCTCTAGATTACTTATAATACCTAATAGGATATAAATGCTATGTAAACCATTGTTATACTGTATTGTTTAGGGAATAATGACAAAGAAAAAAGTCTATACATGTTCAGTACAGATACAACCATCCCTTCTTTTCCTGAATATTTTCAGTCCAAGATTGGTTGAATCCATAGACATAGAACCTGCATACACGAAGGGCAGACTCTGTATTATTTCTAAACATTCTGGGACAAAAAATTATTGTTCTTTATATTTACATTTATATTTATATATTTCTTTTCTAAGGATGCTAGAATATGATACTGGAAGGATGTGGGTGGGCAAGCTTGGAGGAGTTCAGACCAGGTTAAATAATTCTGCATTTAAAAGGAAGAGATCAAGAACTATGGTAAAAAGCTAAAAAGATTTACAAAGCCATGACTGGCAAGGGACAAAGAGGAGAAAGAAGATTTTGGAAAAACATGGGCAGTTTGGGAACAAAATACAGAGGAGAATGAAATATAAGCACCTCCTATTATTTTCCATACAAATATTGAGTGAAATCATCCTGCTAAAATGGTAGGGTCAGAGTGGAGTCTTCATAGTGAATGTGAGGATGTGTTGAGTTGGTACCCTGGTCAAAACAGATGATGCACAGAGGGACTGCTACATATGAACTACGGTATAACACGTCTGAAACCAAGTATTGACCTGGTGTCATACAGGAAGGATCTAGTTCTCAGAAAGGCTAAGTGATGTTCTCAAGGTCACTTTGATAAAACAGTAGAGTTGGGATTTGAATCAAAGTCTCTCTAACTTCAAGGTCCATGTCCTCAGCTGATTATTCCTCACATACTGAGAGGCACTGTCCTCTAGACTGAGCACTTAAGGCTAACTCATATTCTGCTTCCCAAATCCTAATAGTACCCAGCACATGGGCAGTGTTGATTAAAGCATCTGTCACTGGTTGTAGGTGCACTGATTATGGCTGCACTAGACTGTGAACTCCCTGAGGGCAGGCTGCCTGCTCTTCTGCTTTTTACATTTTTAATTATTATGGATACATAACAGTCGTACCTATTTATGGGGTACATGTGATGTTTTGATACAAGCATACAGTGTGTGATGATCAAATCAGTGTAATTGGGGTATCCATCACCTCAAGCATGTACCATTCCTTTGCATTAGGGGCAGTCTAATTCTACTCCTTTAGTTATTTTGAAATGTACAATAAATTATTGTTAACTACAGTTGCCCTATTGTGCTGCCACACACTAGATCTTATTCTTTCTCTCTAACAGCATCTTTGTATACCCATTAACCATCTCCTCTTTATTCCATTCTCCCCACTATCCTTTCCAGCCTCTGGTAACCATCATTCTACTCTCTATCTCCATGAGTTCAATTTTTGTTTTAGCTCCCACATATGGGTGAGAACATGTGATATTTGTCTTCGTGTGCCTGGCTTATTTCATTTAACACACTGTCCTCCAGTTCCATTCATGTTGTCACAAAGAACAGGATTTCCTTCTTTTTACAGCTAATATTCCATTATGTATATGTACTAAAATTTTCTTTATGCATTCATCTATTGATGGACACTTAGGGTGATTCCAAATCTTGGCTATCGTGCATAGGGCTGCAATAAATGGAGGAGTGTAGATATCTCTTTGATATGCTGATTTCCTTTCTTTTGGATACATGCCCAACAGTGGGATTGCTGGATCATATGATAGCTGTGTTTTCAGTGTTTTTGAGGAAACTCTACATTGTTCTTTATAGTGGCTGTACTAATTTACACTTCTACCAACAGTGTATAAGTTTTTCCCTTTCTCCCCAGGCCTCACCAGCATCTGCTATTGCCTATCTTTTTGATAACAGCCATTTAACTGGAGTGAGATGATATCTCATTGTAGTTTTGATTTGCATTTCTCTAATGATTAGTGACGTTGAGTATATTTTATATACCTGTTGACTATTTGCATGTCTTCTTTTGAGAAGTCTCTATTCAGATATTTTGCCCATTTTTAATTGGATTATTTGGGTTTTTCCTATTGAGTTGTTTGAGCTCCTTATATATTCTTGTCAGAGGTGTTCGAACCACAGCAACTCCATCTTGAGTGGGGGCTAGGACAAGGAGGCTGGGATTTGCTGGGCTGCATTCCCAGAAAGAAAGGTATTCCTGGCCTCTAGATGTTTATGGTTAAGGGAACAGATTGATAATGTTTACTAAAGAGACCCAGTCGTGGGAATGTCCTAATATCCCGATATCTTGAGAACAAAGACATTCCTAATTTTGCTTTAAAGGTAATAATATTGATTCTTGCAAAATATAGTAATTACGAAAATTAATCCTTTATCACAAACTCTTACAGCACAATACATCTCCCCATAATCTTTTTTTTATCCTGTATATAAACAAGCATTATACCTAGGGTGGACGCATTCCTCCTCTTGCTTTCGGGAATGCCTTACTCTGTCTATGGAGTAGCTGTGCTTTCACCACTTTACTTTCTTAATAAACTTGCTTTTGCTTCATTCTGTGGACTCGCCCTGAATTCTTTCTTGCATGAGATCCAAGAACCCCCTCTTGGTGTCTGGATCAGGACACCTTTCCTGTAACATTCTGAATATTAGTCTCTTGTCATGCAGGTAGTTTGCGAATATTTTCTCCCATGCTGTGGGTTGTCTCTTTGCTTTGTTGATTGTTTCCTTTGCTGTGTAGAAACTTTTTAGCTTGATGGAATCCCATTGTCCAGCTTTTGCTTTGGTTGCCTGTGCTTTGTGAGGTCTTACTCAAGAAATCTTTGCCCAGACCAGTGTTCTAGAGTGTTTCCCCCGTGTTTTCTTCTAGTAGTTTCATAGTTTCCAGGCTTACATTTAAGTCTAATCTTTCCACTGCATTCCCAGCAGCTAGCCCAGGACCTGAGATGCCAAGACAATGTTTAAAGAATGAGTTGTTGGATCATCAGTATCTAGCCTATAAAGTCTTCTAATTCTTAAATCACTTTTTGTAATCTTCATGAAAATTGCACCTCTAGATCAAGATGTGAGCTTTTGCTGGAGGCCTCACGGACTCTAACACTGGGCTCTTTCATTTGACTGCATGATTCATTTTAAAGAAAATGTTTCTGATTTCAGCCTGTGGTTTAGAGCCTTACATGTTATCTTATCACAGATGTGTAGAACATAGATACCATTTCCAGCATTCTGCAACACAGCAGGGCATGAGTAGCATACTGGCAAATGGGCTTGCCTAGGAGGAAGGCATGTAATGGAACGCTGCAGAATTTAAATTTAAGAGCTAGTTTTGTTTACCCTTGCAGAGTTCATGAGATGCATGCTGTCATATTGATTCCTCCACTCTCATATTACTGTGTACACTTACCAAAGATGTAATTTCATAATTATTTGTGTGATGCAAGGATGAATGTCTGTATCCCCCTACAAGACCATCAGCTGCCTGACTAAGCTGTTATTGGTTGGCTGTTCTGCTCACCATTGTATCCCTATGGCCTAGCATGGGTTTAAGTGATCAATAAATATTGTTGAACGAATGAAATGAATGTCTACATTCCAAAGTGGGCAGGGTCTCTTTCGGAGAAGAGCATGAAAGCAGAAATTTTTAACTTTGCTCCACAAATAGTCCTACACCATCAGAATCAGAATCACTTAGGTTGCTTGATAAACAACATAGTCTTGGGCTCTGAATCAGAGCCTTTAGGGAGTGTGGCCCAGCAATCTACCCTTTTAACACATACTCCAGGGGACTCTTAAGCACGCTAGAATTTGAAAACCCACTGCTACCCAGTTCTTTTATTTAATAGCATTTATGCTTCAAGGGAAGTGTACATTTTAAATCTGCAACTTAGAGTCCCAAATGTTATTTGGTGCCCACAATTCGAAGGCAAACGCCGTCGGAGAAAGACAAGACTTCACTCAACGCTGAATGCATTGTAGACTTGATTTCACAGTGTGTTACTTCTATTCATCTATTTTACTTTAAGATAGCATGAGTTCTAAGAAAAAGCTATGCTTGAGATTCTAGAATTCTCAGTCTTTGGGGACAGACATGGAATTTGTCTCATCATTCACGCAGCACCTGGGACGAATTGTTTAGTGCCAAGTGTGTATGTTTGATGTGAAAAGCACACCTCTAATTAATCATTGCGTTCCCAGCTGGAACACTTTCCCCAGAATTGCTGCAAGCATGACTGAAGGACCATTCTCACCTGTTTTCTAGGCACATCAGATTCATTTAAATGGCCTACTAATTTTGTCTCTGAGCTTCTTTTTCTAATTTGGTGCATTTGTTTATTTTTGTCAGATTGTGAACTAGATACTTCATAATCAGTTAGCTGTAATAGGCAAAATGTTGACTCGTTTTGTTAGACATCTGGAGAGGGGGAAAGTGTTTCATTTATTGAATTTGAATTACGAAAGATGGGGGTTTTAAAAAAAAAAAACCATATTGCTTACAATTTGTGCTCCCAAAAATGCTGGTTATTAGCCAAACCAAGTCAAGTAACACCTTGTTCCCACTTGCTAGCAGTGAATTTCCAGCACGGACGGCTTTATAGAAAGTAAATTCAATGCAGTATTCCATTCCCATTTACTTGTTTTGCTATATTTCAACAGCATGTCTGTTTTTGTTTTGTTTTTTTGAAAAGGTTGTTTTCATCCATCATACTTTCCCTCATTTAAAGGCTAAAACAATTTTTACCTTCCCAAATCTTAAATGAAGCAATTGATTCCGATTGCATAGGAGAACTCTTTACATTTTAATGAATTCTTTATCTTAGAGTAACATGTTGTGTTACATATTTCAAAAGCAGTGGCAAAAAGTGAACCTCAAAGCCACATTCATCCAAATGTCTATTGTACTTAGAGAAGGCTTAAACGTTACTGTTTATCTCCACATTAAAAAAAAATACAGTATAACCTTTTGTAAAATTTATAGTTTTGAACTATGTCTTACCAATATCTGTCAAGCCCACTGGAATTTTCTAAAAGTCTCCCTTGAGGAAACGATTCTGAGGACTCTCACAAGAGCTTTCTTTGTAGGAGACGCAGCCTTGATGGAACGGTGTACTTTTCTAGCCCCACGAATGCTTGGAATGAGAAAATCTCCTTTTTCCAAAAGTATATACATAGAATGGGTGCCATTCTTAGTTAACACTTTTCTGAAAGTGTGGACAGAGTCTTAGTTATATTAGCACATCTCTGCCTCCCAATCAGGTGTGAAACTTGGCAAAAGGAGCTTTACAAGTATGAAGATCGCTGTCACAGCTAAATTACCAAGTACTGCTTGGTAGTCATTATCTAAAACCAAGAAAATGCCTTTAGGTGGTTTGTTAATTCAGCTTAGAGAGAATGAAATGATTGAGTCAAATGTCACTTCTTTTCTAATACAACAAAGGAAAAGTACTTAGAATTTGTGTTACAATAAGAAAACGGAAAGGCCCTTACAACTATCAAAATGCTTATTCAAAGGTAAGAACACGACCTTAACATGTTGAGATGATAACAGACGCAAACTAGCACTTCACTGCTGTATACAAACCCAGAATGAACCAACAAGTTCATCATATTGTCATCGACAGGCAATACGACGTATACGCTAGCATTTTACCATCCACCACCTCCCCCCTCCCCGCCCCGCAAAAACAAAACAAAACAAAAAAAACCTCTTACCCTGTTCTCTGGCCCAATCTTCATTCTTGGTGGCAACTTGCTAGACCAGAGGTTCTCAAAATGTGAGCCCTGTACTAGCGGCATCAGCAGCTCCTGAAAACTTGTTAGAAATATAAAATTTCAGGTCCTACTGCAGACCTACTGAACCAGAAATTCTGGAGTAAAGCTCAGCAGCTTGTGTTTCATCAAGACCGCCAGGTGATTCTGATATTTGCTAAAGTTGAAGAACGACAGTGCTCGACAGTACTGCATGTATTGCTCTCACCTGAATAACAATTTGCTTCATTTGCATTTAGGATTTTCTCATTCTGTAAGTAGCATCGCGGGCGGGGCCCACTCCCCAGGTCATCTAGAGGGGCTCACAGTCCAATCGCTTTTGGATCTTAAAGGTTGCAAAATGTAAACATTCTGTTTCTCTCTACTTCCTTTGTTTCTGCGCAAGATTTTGATGACATGTAGGTACTTTGCTGAGCTCAAAGACTCCACACATTCCGTATTTCATAACTAGCCCTGATAATAATTGCCCTCCTCCAATTCAAAATAATTTTATTATCTTCTTTTCAGTAACAAATTCATTGATTAACATTCCTATTATGGTCTCTAAACTTTCTCTTATTACACCTCCCATTGATTTCATTAACTAATTATTTACAACAATGGTTCTCAATTTAGGCATCATACTGTAATCACCTAGAGGAGCTTTTTTTTTTCTTTTTTTTTGAGACGGAGTCTCGCTCCGTCGCCCAGGCTGGAGTGCAGTGGCGCGATCTCGGCTCACTGCAAGCTCCGCCTCCCGGGTTCACGCCATTCTCCTGCCTCAGCCTCCCGAGTAGCTGGGACTACAGGCGCCCGCCATCTTGCCCGGCTAATTTTTTTGTATTTTTAGTAGAGACAGGGTTTCACCGTGTTATCTAGAATGGTCTCGATCTCCTGACCTCGTGATCCGCCTGCCTCGGCCTCCCAAAGTGCTGGGATTACAGGCGTGAGCCACCGCGCCCAGCCTAGGAGCTTTTCTTTTTAAAGTCCAATGACTGAAAGGTACGCCAGAGTAACTAAATACAAATGTCTGGAGATGGAATCCGGGCATCGGTATTTTTTTTTTTCTCATTTAGAGCTCCTAAGTGATTGCAATGTGTAGTCAGGGTTCAGAACATCTATATGTGTGTGTGTGTGTGTGTGTACGCATCTTATTTTAACATCTTTATTAAGTTTGGGAATTCAGTTGAAGATCTGGTTACATAAACACCTGTGCATCAAATACTCTTTAATCCACTGAACACGTAAAAAAATTATATACTCGTTCAGGCAAAGAAAATGACTAAACAAAATGTTTCTTTTCTTGGAATTGAATATTGACAAAAGTTGACGATGCTTTATCTTGATGATGGTGGCTTGCTGAACATATGATTTTTTTTAGTAAAGGTCAGTATTAAAAGAGGAGAAATAAAAACATGTTAATAGAAACACAATTTTATAGTCTCATATATTTGCAACTTGTTTCTGATACAGATTAGCTTCAAAGGAGGGTCTCCGAAAGCTGAGTGCTATCGTGTAAAAGTTCCTTCCGAAGAATGTAAAAGAAAGCAGAGAGTAATCAGCTTATATGAGAATAGTTTCTCAAACTTGAAATAGAAAGCAACAGTTGTTCATCTGAGGTTGACATTATCTACTTTCCAACACTTCTACTGAGGCTTCTGTCGCATTTAAGATGCATTTTTAAAATACATAATAAAAAAAGAGCTTTCCTTCTTACTAATGCATTTACACTGCATAAAATCATGGGTAATCATGCCCAGAGGAACTGAAATACATAAATACAGAAGCTCTTCAACCTTAATCACACCATGCAGAGAATAACAGGCAAACAGAAGTAAAGTTATGTTTTCCACAGAAAAGCAAATCTGACTCCCGTGGATTTATATTGGGAAACTGATACATTCAAAAGAAATAAGGGAACACAAAACATTTTTATAGAATTACAATATGTGTGCTTATCAAGCATACAGGATACACTTATGATTATATAACCTGTTTGTGGTACAAAGATGAAATATTAAGAATCCCAGAGTCACTCGCTTTACACTTTAATTTCATTGTCTAGTTAGGGGTCAGCGAGCATTTTCTGTAGAAAAGGCAGAAAGGCAGATGGTAAACATTTTCTGCTCTGTAGATCATACAATCTTTTTTAATACTAGATAACTCTGCCATTGTGGCACAAAAGCAGCCACAGGTAATACCTAAACAGATGAGTGAGGTTGTGTTCTAATAAAAAACATTTTTATTAGTACAGAAAACAGTAGCTGGCCAGAGTTGGCTCACATGAGAGTATTCACTGACCCTTGGCCTAGAGCATCATTTCTATGAATGACCACAACTCACATGCCTTAGAAGTGCTTGCCTCTACCCTCCCTTACATGTTGATGTGGCCTAGAGCTCTGTCAGCAGCCCTTGATTCTTCACACACCATGCCTTCTTCCAGTAATCTCATCTATGTGAGCATGTATGCTGATGACTCTAAATCATGCTCTCTACAAACAGTCTCTTCAGAGCTGGGCTATTTGCCTATAGGTGCACACATAGAGCCAAATGCCTCCTCTATACACCCACTGAGATGCTCTATAGGCAACTTAAACTGGGCACTAAAACAAACCACTCTCTTTCCCATAATGCCTACTCCTCCTTTTGGACTTCCTGTGTAAAGAATGACACTCCCATCCACCTAGTGATCCATGCTGGAGACCTGGGGATTGGAGGCAACCCATATGCCAATCACTAGGTTAAATATGGCACTACTATACTGTGGACTACTACACAGCCTCAAAAGCCATGAATGACAGCTACATGCAACATGGATAGATCTCAAAAACACTGTGTTGAGTGCAAAAAGTAAGAAACTGAACACATTCTATGATGTAATACTATTTGTGTAATTTAAAATGCATCATAAAAACAACACTGCATTTTTTTTTCAAAAACATATAAGGATACTGATTTATAAACCAAACACACTAAAGTAGGGGCCTTCGGAGTAAAAGAGGAACAATGGAGTAGAGATTAGGAAAAAAAGAAAAACGGTAATACCAACAAAATAAGGGAAGAAAGTTGACAGATTGTTGACAACAGTAAGCCATCATGATTAACTCAACTCTGCATGTAAAAGAAAAAAAATCTTTAAGTAGAAAAGCTGTAGTATAGGCTGCAAATCATATGTGCCATCAAAATAGGTAAAGTGAATGACTACATTACTGATGTTATAATGTTTAAAAAGTTGAATAAAGTTGAGCTTATATAATAATACAACTTTAACTGCTTTGATCTTAATGATATTTTTCAGTTACATAACATAAACCTGTTCATCACATTAATAACTAAATTATTTTACCACAAATAAAATTTTCTAGAGTTTACCAAAATGGCCTGGTGTCATCCAGCTTCATGATGTGAATGTCTTTAGATCTACTACTCTAAGGAGCTGCCCAGATGAGGTAGGAAATGTCAAAAAACAGCACCACATGAGACAATGCATTATTCAACCAGACAGACACCATGACATCATTGCATAAGATTTTTTTCAGATCTATCACATAAAAGTTTATAAGCAGAAACTAAAGAGGGTTGTCAACTTTAATTTAGAAAATTGCTGCATGATCAAAATATAGATGTGTTGGACCAAAACATTATTAGAAAAAAAAGCAGATATATTACTTTTATTTTGCACAAGGATAATTCAAAGTAAAAATACTGCCAGTCATTAAGGGGAGCATACGCTAACTGAGGAATGATTAAACTGGCCAGTCTCTAATGTGTATCTTGGTGAAATTTTTGTACACTCTGTTAAATAACGCAAACCCTTGAAAACTACAGTTTGGTACTAAGGCTTTCTGATTAAAGCTGAATATATTGGTTGTGAGAAGAAGCCACAACTTTTATCGATTCAAACATGAAAAACAGGAATGGGTTTTGTTTTATTTTATTTGACTTTAGAAATATGGTATGGGCCTTTTAGTTGGTTTCTCAACTTTTGACTTCTTTTCTTTTGGTTCCAGTGGTATCATTTAGAGAGAGCCCTGAAAGGTAGATTTTTCCCCTAGCCCTTCAAAATCACTTTAATTCTATTTCTGTCGAACCAATAAGTATATGCAAACCCAACATCAGGACCATTCTTGGGAAGAACTAAATGTGAACAAAGGTCACTTCAGGGCCTCTATACCCGCACTCCTTTCTTATTCTCTTCTTGACTCTCTGGTCCCACCCAACTGCCACACAAGGTCCTCATGTTCAGTGATATGGTTTGGCTATGTCCCCACCCAAATCTCACCTTGAATTGTAATAATCCCCACGTGTCTAGGGCAGGGCCAGGTAGAGATAATCAAATCACGGGGGTGGTTTCCCCCATACTGTTCTCGTGGTAGTGAATAAGTCGCACAAGATCTGATGGATTAAAAATGTGAGTTCGCCTGTGTAACCTCTGTGGCCTGCCACCATGTAAGATATGTCTTTGCTTCTCCTTTGCCTTCCACCATGATTGTGAGGTCTCCCTAGCCAGGTGGAACTGGGGAGTCCATTAAACCTCTCTCCTTTATAAATTACCCAGTCTTGGGTATGTATTTATTTTCTGTGTGAGAACAGACTAATATATTCAGTTCCTCACTGCTGCCAGCTCTTTCCAAGCCTCTGTCCTTTCATTCAGAATACTCCTGTGTTTTGTATCAGGAGACAGTGTGTACAAAAGTGCTTTACAAACTACAAGTCACTTTAAAAGGACCTTTGCAGTTTGTGCAGCCTCAAGGAGGCTAAATCAGATACTTATTTTAAAATAACCAACAATTTAATATGAAGAGGTAAGCATGAATTAACATATTGATAATGGATAATGGTCTGGCCTTTTATTTCTAGATAAGTTGGCAGTGATGATAACGCGTCTTTATTACTTACCTTTCCCAGCCATGTCTGAATTTTCATGGAAGGCAGGATGCTCTAACCCTAAGAAATTTCAAGATGTCAAATGGTAAAATTCCAGAACCTGTGCAGGTATAAAGGATACTTTTGGCTGGGAGGGATGGAGGAGGGTGGAAATCATCCAGGAAACACCATCCAAGGTAGCCACATGCCACATGATGCTGGCTACCACTCGGCTCAGCCCAGGTTCTATAAATATTGGCCTGGCATTCGAGAAAAAGTCCAAAAATAAATGGTGACTATAGAAATTCTAATTTTGAGTGTGTTGACAAATTTCTTTGACTCTATATCCTATACTGAACAGTCAACACTTTCTTTTAAATCCCTGTCTTTCTTGTCAAACTTAGAATATGGGGCTTTGCTATTAGAAATAATCTTGGTAGATGCAAATGGTATTATAATGGCTATTTTAAGCAATCTGAACGTATATTTTACATCTTTTACTAGAATTTGCTACTGTTATTTCAGATATTTTGATTGTTGTTATTTAATAATGATTCTAAAAGTATTCATGTTTTGAAATCTCATTGGAAATGGCAAGCTATGAATGACTGGCCTTCATCCAGACTTTTGGAACAATCACATACTGACTCACTGGGGTCTTGTTACATCCAGTCTGGATTTCAAACTATATATTCAAGCCAATTTCTTCAATCTACAGTGTTATGTCACCATATTTGGGCAAGGACTGAAGTGGTTCTAATATAAGCTTCTAGAAAAGTGAAAAGTTGAAGCAAAATTTTTTTTTCTCTTTATACAAAGTTAAATCACCATGTTTTGGATGCCACACATGAAGTTAATTTTAATGTCCTCATCTATTAGAGTTAAGAGACTTAAAAAAAAAAACTGATGATGTTAAAATCTGTATGTTGCCTTCCCCCAACCCCGTCCCTCATTGATGTTCTTAGCAGAAGTGACCCAAGATCTACACTGGATCTTAGGTGAAGATGGGCATCCTTTTGCTTATATTGAGTTAATGGTGGAAATAATTCTATCTCTATTTGGATACCCTATTAATATCTGAGTCCTAACTCTTAGGATAGACATATAGGCTCAACGTTAAATTGGCTCTTTCAGGAAACACATGAGGCACAGAAGTTGAGTACCTTTATGCCCATGGCTTAGGAATATACTCCCTGAACCTCCTCTGATATGACTTTAGTATCAGATTTTTCTTTGTCAATTATGTGACAAATATTTACTGAGTCCCTTCTATGTGCCAGGTACTCAAATGGGTGTTGGAGATACAGTGGAAAACAGATAAGTATCATCCCTGCCTTCATGGAGCTTATAGTGTAGTGACAGAGACTAACATTAAACATTAAAGAAATAATTACATAAATATGTACTTAATATTAAATAAACAAATAATTACATAAATATCTATTTAATTACAATTACAAAATGGTTATAAAAGTAGGGGAAATGCCCCGTCTCTACTAAAAAATACAAAAAATTAGCCAGGCATGGTGGCGGGCACCTGTAGTCCCAGCTACTCGGGAGGCTGAGGCAGGAGAATGGCGTGAACCCGGGAGGCGGAGCTTGCAGTGAGCCGAGATCTCACCACTGCACTCCAGCCTGGGCGACAGAGGGAGACTCCGTCTCAAAAAAAAAAAGAAAAAAAAAAAAGAGGGGAAATAAAATACTAGTAGAGTGCATAGAAGAGGAATGTAGTTTGATTTGGGGGATCAGGAAAGAAATTAAGTTTTAACTGAAGGCCATTGGGTGGTAAGTGATGGGAAAATGGGAAAGTGGTGCTGGCAATGTTGGCAAGTGTCAGATATTAAGGGCTTCACAGATGAGGTTCAGGATTTGGATCTTTATCTCAAGACCAATTTAGAAACAATGAAGGGCTTTAAGGAGGAGGCATGACCAGATTGTTATTTTGTGATCACTCGGGCCACTATGTAAGAGAATAAACTTGAAGGAGCCAAAGACGACGCAGGAGACCAGTAAATATGTTAATGCAATAGACCAGACAGAAGATAAAGGTGGCTGGGACTCAGGGATGATAAAGAGAAGTGGGTGGTGTGAAGTATATTTATTCATAGAACTTATTTGGGGGTGGAGAGGAGGTAAGTGAGAAGAAAGCACAAAGATGACTCTGGCTCCCAAGTTTATGAAATAAGCAACAGCATGAAAAGAGTTCTCTTTCTTCAACTTTGATGGGAGCTTGGTTGAAGGGGAATAGGGAAAGTTAATTCTGATGTTAAATGTTTGCATTTTGAAACATCTTAAACAGTGAGAAGAGAGGTAGGAAGCCTAGGCTTCAAAATGGTGGGTGAGGAATTCACAAGAAACTCTGGGCTAGGGAGTTCCATTTGGGAGTCACTCATTTGAGCATTTTAGACCTATGCCATGGAATTAAAGTGCTAATTTTGTCTTCCACTGTCCCACCAAAATATATTCGGTGAGTGAAGTTCTCCATCTGTAGATGAAAACATGGACCACAACCATCGTAAGATATCTTTGTGCTTTTCTAGACATAAAAGATGTTTGCAACTGACTCTTCTTTGGGTACTTTCATGGATTCTTTCAAGAGCGCTCATTACTGGGAGCTTCCTATCCCTGAATTGTCACTTCCTTCTTCAGGTGTCAGCACAGTTGGGTTCTAGTGAGGACTTGTCTTCCTTGCTGGATGATTGCTTTCTCTCTGGGTCCTCACATGACAGCATGACAGAGAGAGAGAGAAAGAGAGATTTCTCTTCTTTACAAGACCACAGTCCTGTTGAATTAAGGGCCCACTCTTATGACTTCATTTAACCTTGCATCCTACAGACCCTGTCTCCAGCTACACTAGGAATTAGGGCTTCGACATATTAATTTGGGGGGAACACCAATTCAGACCACAGCAATGGGAAACACTCATACAGCCATTTCCTAAACAAACTAATGACCATCTCTCCTTTACTCCTGACAGCGGAGCAGCCACTGGCCCTTCATTAAATTTCCAAGAGAATTCAGACACCTGACTATTGTATCCCCCAATTCACATATGCACAGCAAAAATTTATTTAATGCAAAATTATACAATGATTTTCAGCCACAACAATAATATTGTACAAGTAAATACAAATAAAGTATCATTTTTACTAATCTATTAACAATAATTTTAAAAAGTTAAAAATATCTGTTGTTGATGAGGTTATGCAGAAAGATGCATTTTTGGAACTTTTTGAGGACCTGTAAATTGATACAACTTTTTATAAAGCAATTAGGTGATATTTATGAAAATATTGAATTGACATACCTTTCGCCCAGTTCTCAGAATTTAACCTCTAGTAATACTTTTTCATAAGAAAGTCCTTGCTGCTTTACTATTACTTGTAATAGGAAAGAAAGACAGACAGAGGAGGGAGGGAGGGAAGGAAGGAAGGTAGAAGGAAGGAAGGAAGGAAGGAAGGAAGGAAGGAAGGAAGGAAGGAAGGGGAAAAGGAAATCATTTATGGCAATCAGAATTCTGACAGGAAACAACTCAGTTCAAGTTAATAAAGTGACTAATTTATGAGATGCTAACATGGATAAGGTGGTGGTGTTCTGGTGCACAATTCTTCCCATCGTTACATTTGGTGACCTCAAGTTGGTATCCTGAAATCAGAAACTGCAAAAGTATTTATACCCACAGAAATTGCCAAATCCTAAACATTTACTGGTTATAGGACTTTGTAAGAGACAGTAAGTCATGCAGATTAGCAACAGCTGGAAGCCATCACCACCTCTAGGCAAAGAAAGGAACTATGTTAACAGAACCAGAATGGAGGCATGGTGAAGGAATTATATTTAGAACAGCTCCGTCACTTCCAGAAAATGCAGCTCAGTGAGGAAGGAAATGGAAGAAATATCATGACCTCTTTCCCCCAACCCCAAATCCGCCATGCTTTCTATTGGCTAAACCCGACCAGAGGCCAAGGTTCAGCATCCTAGAGCATAAAGAACTATAGATTAAAGCAGAGAATAAGCTGTGAAGCAGGCAAGCAGACAATAACCAGCATGTTATTCAATATCCATCAAGAAGGAATGAGTTATACACATTGTAGGACATTCATTAAAATGAATTATCGTGCATATATGAAAATGAATGATGCAGATCTGTGCAGGTTTCTTTGTATCATTATTAAATGATAAAAAGTAAGTAAAGAGTAAGTTACAGAAAAGTATGAGTTTTTAATTCTATTTTTGTAAAAACTATATAAATACATATACTTTTTTTCAGAAGCCAAACAAAATATTTAGAAAAATATACATGCCAAACTCTCTTTTTTTTTTTTTCTTTTGAGATGGAGTTTTGCCTTGTTGCCCACGCTGGAGTGCAGTGGTGCGATCTTGGCTCACCACAACCTCTGCCTCCCGGGTTCAAGCTATTTTCCTGCCTCAGCCTCCCGAGTAGCTGGCATTACAGGCATGCGCCACCATGCCCGGCTAATTTTGTATTTTTAGTAGAGACGGGGTTTCTCCATGTTGGTCAGGCCGGTCTCAAACTCCCAACCTCAGGTGATCTGCCCACCTCGGCCTCCCAAAGTGCTGGAATTACAGACCTGAGCCACTGCTTCCAGCCCTTGCCAAACTCTTAAAGTGATTACTTTTAGAGCATGGGATTGATCAAAGAGGACTTGCACTTTCTACTTTCGATTTCTAATTGTTTGAATTTATAAACATCTATTTATAACTTTTTAAAACAACAAAGCAGTCTGTGTCTGTTTTTTCCTCTCAAAGCATAATGACACTAGGATTGGCAATGCTTTCATATGTGTCATCTAAAAGGAAGAATTATTTTTTCCCCTTCAGCTATGTCCCCTGAGGATTCTTCTAATTGTTCTGTGGAATGTGGAGATGTCTGTGCATTACGTGACTATCTGAAAATCAGCGATTTCAGGTAGTCATTGAGGGAATTATCAACTGAGGGGTGTGCATCAATTCACGTAAAGACATTCTATAGGACTCGAGAGCAAATTTTTGGTGAAGTGGCAGAGGTGTTTTTAGCACTGTACCTACAATTAAAGCATCATGAACTGTAGGAATAGGTTTTAAATTCTCAAGCTCCACTATAGGTTTTTATGTATTGCCTTTGTTTCTATTTAGCCAAAATAGAGAAATACGATGATAATTATTGAAATTTCAATAACCCATCCCCAGTATTTTTGGGTAATGTGTTTAGAAAATAAAGCATTTTGAAAAATGATTCCCACAACACAAAATTATTTTACCAACTAAAACTAATAAAGCTTTTATTCCTGATATTGAGTGCATATAAATCATTCCAGTTAGGGCCCTTTTTTGGCAAAGTTAGATTTTTTTCTATAGACAAGAAGGGCCATGTAATGTTTATTAGATATATGAACAAAAATAATCAGTGTTTTCAAAGCCAACAATGCTTCTGAACTTGAATATATTTAGATTTCTGAGACGGCTGAATTATAACCAACATGGAAAAGAAAACATCACTAAACATTCTTTTGACCAAAATACACACTCCACCCTTCAGCCACTTCCTCATGCAAGCATGTGGACATAAATGTTTATTTGCCTGACCTTGTCTGCTTGTTAACTAGTCATCATAGCTAATTAGAGGACTCCAGGTCTAGTTTGCCCACACTTATCAATGAAACATTGTTAACAGATTCTAGGAGCAGCTATGATAATTTTATCATCACCCCATCATAAGTAAACATCATGAAAATGAAATATTTTCCTCTAGAGATTTATTACTGAAATGTCACATAATGCAAAGCAACTATCGAATGCATCTACTGGATAAGTCAGGTCAAATGAAAAATAACAACTACTATTAACATTAACAGAAACTGAACAAAAATGTTGCTTAAAAAGAGTATAAAATCCCTCATTTTTTCTAATTTAAAATTTTAAATCTTCGTGAAATACATATAACATTTACTATCTTAACCATTTTTAAGTGTACAGTTCTGTAGCATTAAGTACATTCATATTGTTGTGCAATCATCATCACCATCCATCTCCAGGATTCTTTTCATCTTGTAAAACTGCAATAACTCTTCATTCCTCTCTCCATGTAGTCCCTGGCAACCACATTCTACTTCCTATCTCTGTAATCTTTGTCTCCTCTAGGTACCTCATATAAGTGGAAACACACAGTATTTTTCTTTTTGATGACTGGCTTATTTTACACACATTTTGCATATCCTTTCGTCTAGTCTATGGACACTTCGGTTGCTTCCATCTTTTAGCTATTTTGGATAATGTTTGTTCTCACACTGCTATAAAGAACTACCTGAGACTGAGTAATTTATAAAGAAAAGAGGTTTACTTGACTCATAGTTCTGCAGGCTGCACAGGAAGCATAGTTGGAGAAGCCTCAGGAAACTTACAATCATGGTGGAAGAGTGAAGGGGAAGCAAGCACCTTCTTCACATGCAGGGCAGGAGGAAGAGACAGAGCAAAGGGGAAGCGCTGCACACTTTAAAACAACCAGATCTCATGAGAACTCACTCACTATCACAAGAACAGCAAGGGGGAAATCTACCCTCATGAGCCAATCACCTCCCATCAGATTCCTCCCCCAACACCTGGGATTACAATTCAACATGAGATTTGAGAGGAAATACAGAGCCAAACCATATCATTCAGCCCTTGGCCTCTCCCAAATCTCATGTCCTCCTCACATTTCAAAACCAGTCATGCCTTTCCAATAGTCCCCCAAAGTCTTAACTTATTCCAAAAAGTCCAAGTCCAAAATCTCATCTGAAACAAGGTAAGTCCCTTCTGCCTATGAGTCTGTAAAACTAAAAACAAGTTAGTTATTTCCAAGATACAATGGGGGTAAAAACAGTGGGTAAATGCTCCCATTCCACAAGGGAGAAATTGGCCAAAACAAAGAGGCTACAGGCACCATGCCAGTCCGAAACCCAGCAGGGAAGTTATTAATCCTTAAAGATCCAAAATCATCTCCTTTGACTCTATGTCTCACATCCAAGCCACACTGATGCAAGCAAGGAGTGGACTTCCAGGGCCTTGGGCAGCTCTGCCCCTGTGGCTCTGCAGGGTACAGCCCCCAAGGCTGCTTTCACAGGCTGATGTTGAGTGCCTGCAGCTTTTCCAGGTGCACAGTGCAAACTGTTGGTGGATCTACCATTCTGGGGTCTGAAGGATGGTAGCCCTCTTCTCATAGCTACACTAGACAGTGCCTCAGTTAGAACTCTGTGTGGGGGCTTCAAACCCACATTTCCCCTCTGCATTGCGCTAGTAGAGGTTCTCCATGAGCGCTCTGCCCCTGCATCAGACTTCTGCCTGAACATCCAAGTGTTTCTATACATCCTCTTAAGTGTAGGCAGAGGCTCGCAAACCTCAACTCTTGCCTTCTGTGCACCTGCGAGCTCAACACCACATGGAAGCCACCAAGGCTTGGGGCTTGCATGCACTGAAGGAATGGCCCAAGTTGTACCTTCACCCCTTTTAGCCATGGCTGGAGCTGGAGTGGCTGGGATGCAGGGTGCCATGTCCTGAGGCTGCATAAAGTAGCAGGGCCCTGGCCCTGGCTCACAAAACCATTTTTCCCTCCTAGGCCTCCAGGCTTGTGATGGGAGGGGCTGCGGTGAAGGTCTCTGAAGTGCCCTGGAGGGTTTTTTCCCCATTGTCTTGGCTATTAACATTCAGCTCCTCTTTACTTATGCAAATTTCTGCAACCAGCTTGAATTTCTCCCCAGAAAATATTTTTTTCTTTTCTGCCACATAGTCAGGCTACAGATTTTTAAAACATTTATGCTCTGCTTCTCTTTAAAATATTCTCTTTGCTTATGCAAATGAGCATAGGCTTTTAGAAGCAGCCAGGTCATTTCTTGAATGATTTTCTGCTTAGAAATTTCTTCCACCAGGTACCCTAAATCATCTCCCTCAAGTTCAAAGTTCCAAAGATCCTGAGCAGGGGTACAATGCTTCCAGTCTCTTTCCTAATGCATAGCAAGAGTGACCTTGGCTCCAGTTCCCAAGAAGTTTCTCATCTCCATCTGAGACCACCTCAGCCTGGACTTCATTGTCCATATTACTATCAGCATTTTAGTCAAAACCATTCAAGTCTCTAGGAAGTTCCAAACCTTCCCTCATCTTCCTGTCGTCTTCTTAACCTCCCAAACTTTTCCAACCTCTGCCCATTACCCAGTCCCAATGTCACTTTCACATTCTCAGATATCTTTATAGCAATGCCCCACTTCTCTGGTACCAATTTTCTGTATTGGTTTATTCTCATACTGCTATCAAAAACTACACGAGACTGGGTAGTATATGAAGAAAAGAGGTTTAATTGACTCACAGTTCCACAGGTTGTACAGGAAGCATAGCTGGGGAGGCTTCAGGAAACTTTCAATCATGGCAAAAGAGAGAAGGGAAAGCAAGCACCTTCTTCAAATAGTGGAGTGGGAGAAAGTGAGAGAGCAAAGGGGAAGTGCTACACACATGTAAACAACCAGATCTTGCAATAGCTCACTCACTATCAGGAGAACAGCAAGTGGGAAATCTGCTCCATATGATCTAATCATCTCCCACCAGGTCCCTCCCGCAACACTGGAGATTACAATTCAACATGAGATTTCAGTGGGGACACAGAGCCAAACCTATCACAAAATCTCTTCCAGAGATATTTCAAGATCCTGCTTTCAATTCCATTTTGAGATATTTCAATTGAATTTCAAGATATTTCAAGTCTCTGCTTTCAATTATTTGGGGTATATACCTAGAAGTAGAATTGATGAATCATATAGTAATTCCACTTTAAAATTTTTGAGGGACAACCATACTGTTTTCCATAGTGGACATGCCATTTTACATTCTCACCATCAGTGCAGAAGGGTTTCAGTTTCTCCACATCCTCACCAACACTTGTTATTTTTTGTTTTTGTTTTTACTTAACAATAGTTATCCTAAATATGAGGTGAGATGTCATTGTAGTTTTCATTTGCATTTTCCTAAAGATTAGTGAGTTTGAACATTTTTCACAGGCCTATTGGCCATTTGTATAACTTATTTGGAGAAGTGTCTTTTCAAGTCCTTTGCCACTTTTGAATCAGGGTGTTTATTGTGATTGTTGTAGAATTTTAGAATTCCCTATATATTCTGGATATTAATCCTTTATCACATATATAATAAAATTTCCCCATCTCATGCTAGTTAACAGTGACAATAAAAACATTAAATCATAAAAAAAGAGTGAGAGTGATTTCACCAGTCAAGTGACTCCTAAAAATTTCTAGTTTTACCTTAAAGTCAAATAGAATGCCAATACAAATGTCTCTTAAGGCCTGACATTAGTTAAGATATATTTGCTTATTGGAAGGTAAGGGAAAGGGCGATGTGAATGGGGAAAGGTGAGTGGCCACAGGAGGGCATATTTATGTAAAAATATTTTTTGAAAAACCTACACGCCACAGTTAAAAAATCTAGTAAGTGCTCAGGCTGATGGTTTTAATGTTCATAATAGATCCAAGAGATGCATTTGTGATATTTCCATCCTTATACCTCCTGGTAGAATTGCATGTTATCTACTTACTTAATATTTTAATATTCTAATCTAGGCTTTTTTCATGAATCATTATATTAAACCAGTGCTCTTAATAAAATTGTCAGGGCCTCTGTTTATAGAACCAAACTGGTGGGACTTACCAGAATCCACTAACCAAGAAAAGAAAACAGAAGTTCTTTTCTTTAAAATGAGGCAGTGGTATTTACAAAATGGCTTGAGAGCAGTGTTGTCAACCCCTGAAATTATTCTGGACTAGATTAAATGTTTTTGCAAGATATTCTTCAAGTAAAGAAAGAGATAAGGGTCATTTCTTTGAGTGATAGGGAAGTTCGTCTAACAACATAACTTGTCAAGGAATAATTCTCACTCTAAATATTTTTCACACAGAATGGTGACTCACAGATCTGGGATCGGGGAAAAGGAAAAAATTGTGAGAAACTAAACAGACGTCACCTTTTTCATATTTTTGAGCTTGACTGGTAAGCCTGACACATTTTCCTAGCTGGGTAGTTGATTCCATGAAAGACACCTTTGTTTTATGAATCTAAAGGGGAGAGGAATGAAATGCCTATCTTATCTCTTCGTGAAGGGAATAATAACTACTATATCTAAAAATATGAATCGCCTCAAAATATCTCTATGACTTTCACAAGAAAATGCATATTTAGAATTGTCATCTTTTTTCTTAAAGCTCAAGTTTCACACAATCATCTATGAAGGTTTGTACATATCCAAGTCATTTCTGTCTTTCCTGTTGCTAAGGCTGAAAAAGGCTATCTGGAGATTCTACTCCATTTCTCTTGAGACACAGTCCAAGATAGTAGTCCTTAGTTGATGGTGAAAACACACTGATTCCAAGTGACATATAGATAAGTGATGCTCTATTAGGCCCTAAAATTGATTTTTCCCAGTAAACTTAAGGCAGAAATGCATTTCTCACGATGCTGCACTTTCCCTACTTTTTTTCTGCAGTGCCGAGATAGGCATTCTGTCTTCACCCACTCCTGCAAGTTCACATTCGCACACTCAGTTTACCTCAACTCTATGCACCTCTAAGTCATCAATCAGATGGGCAACCAGAGAATTAACCTCTTGATTTTTAAAAACAAAGTTTGTTGAACCTAAATGTCCAACAAAAAGGATTTGTTTTAAAATCCTGGTACATTCTAACAATGCAGTGCCTTTCAGTCATTTAAAATAATGCTGAGTGGACTATTTAATGATGTGGAAATATGGAAAAAGGTCCATAAACTATTGTGAAGTGGGGGGAAAGGCAGTTATCAAATGGTGTGCATAGAAAGTAATTATATAAATATAAATACACACAAAGTTACAAATGTCTGGAATGTTTTAGCAAATTAATGGTGACTTTTCTCTTGCATAAATAGATTTTTACTTATTTCAGCTCTACATGTACTTATTTTCTCATTTAGGAATCAAGATTTCACATGGCACCTCGAGGACAGGATTATTAATAGCCTTTGTGTCAGCCTGATGGTAAAGCTTTCTCTTTGAATCCTTTGTATAGTTGCTTTTCCTTCAGAAAGACCATCCCATTTACTCATCATGTGGTGAGTAAGCATAAGCAATCAAAATACAAGTACTATAAATATTGTAATTAGAGCCTCATCCTCTCGGTTAGACCCTCCCTAGCAAACACACCTCTCCCTAGCAAACACATTGTTTATATATTACTTTGATATTCAGAAAGAATTGGAACTGTGTCTGTAACCAGAATCTCCAAGGAGAACTAAGATGTACTGAGCACCTAACGTAATACATTCCTAGTGTTTTATATGTAGGATTGGTGATCGCAGATTTTAAGTTATGTGCCCAAGGTCACTTGGCTAAGTGACGAAATGCAGATTCAAATCCAAATCTGATTAATTGCAAAATTCTATGCCTTTCCCCCAGCAGAGAGTAAAGTCTCTAAAATATTTCTTGAGTACCTACTTTATGTCAGGCACTACCTATATAGATTCATTTGTTCCTTAAGATAACCTTGATAGGTAGTTATTGTTATCCTCAATTTACAAATGGGGAAACTGGTGTTCAGAGTGTTTAAACAATTTTTCCAAGATTACACTAGTGCTGCAAGCTGTACTCAGATTCATCTACAGTCAGGTTACACATAAGGACATTTGAATCTATGGTGGACCACAAATATGATGGTGGTCTTGCATGATTATAATGAAGCTGTCTTATGTACCACTTGTTAATCTTTTATGCCATATTTTTACTGCACCTTTTCTATGTTTAGATACACAAATACTTACCATTATGTTACAATTGCCCACAGTATTCAGTACAGTAACATACTATGCACGCTTGTAGCCTAGGAGCAATACGCTATACCATGTAGCCTAGGTGTGTAGTAGGCTATACCATCTAGATTTATGTAAGCACACATTACAATGTTTGCATAGTGATAAAGTCACCTAACAACACATAACTTGGAACATAGCCCCGTTGTTAAGCAACTCCTGACTGTATTTCAAAACTGAGCTTTTCCTACTACACCACTGTATTAGTTTGCTAGAGTTGCCATAACAAAATACCACAGACAGGGTGTTTAAACAATAGAAATTATTTTCACAGTTCTGGAGGCTGGCAGCCCAAGATCAAGGTGCAGGCAGGTTTAATTTCTCCCAAGCCCCGCTGCCTTCACTTGCAGGTGGCCACACTCTCACTGCGTCCTCACCTGGCCTTTTCTCTGTGTCCATGCATCCCTGGTGTCTCTTCGTGTATCCAAATTCTCTCTTCTAATGAGGACAGCAGTTAGATTTGATTTGTGCCCACCATACAACAACTACCCTACAAAGTCATGATACAGATCTTTTACAGACTTTCTTCAGTTCAGGTTTTTACCTGTTTCAAGGACTGTAAGCTTCTCAATCTATATGTGTGCATAATTCCAACATGTTTTCCACACTACATGTAAAAGTTTAGAAATACATTGCAGAAAAGATAGGAGGACTAGAATACTTAGCAGCAGAGTGTACAACTGTGTAGAAAAGGAATTAATTACACCCATCTTTCTTATGGTTTATGGTTTATTGTTCAGGCTTCTGAAGACAATGTAGAAACACAAGGGCTGAGCCTGGCCCTGTATTTCATAAAACTCAGTCAAGCCCCAGGGTTAGGTGGGGGTGATGCCTTAGGGATGTTTATGGTCCCCAGACATACCACCTCCTCACATCCTGTGGAGGGAAATATGGCTGAATGAGTCAGCGGCTAAGCTGGGAATTGCCACAGGACTTCTGGAATGGTATGTTCAACATGGAAAAATGAGAACAATCCCCCACGATCATTTTCACCCTGAATCAGTATTGATTCTAAAGATGATTCATTCAAGATAAAGCCAAATCCTCCACCTACATAATTTTTGAGCCATTAGAAAGAAAGAAAAAAAAAAACCACTTATATATAAAAATATATATACTTTTAGGGCATTTCTCTTTTCATACTTTTGGCAAATATAGAAAGAATGCAAGAACTTTGACTCAAATGTTGTAGATAATAGAAATGGATAGATTAGATGGATAGACACATACATACACAGACACACACAAATATCACAAAACATGGTAAAAATCTAGTCAATAATCAAGGCATTCAGATAGTATAGACACACAATTAAGAAATTTTCTTTGAAATCTAAACTATCTACACTGGTGAACTTCATAAGACATTTTTTCATTCTGTTTTCCTTTTTTCAGTGTAGACTTGATCTAAGCTATCAATTACTAACAGCCTTCTAAAATCAAGAAGAATGTCAACAAAATTATGTAGCTAACAAAAAGATTAGCGTGTTTTTTGTGTGTTTTTGTCCTAATGGTCTAAATTGTTTTACTAAACTGGTTTGTTGTAGAATATTTATTAATACAATAAAAATTAATCCAAAAGGTTTGGAAAAGATTTCAGGAAACAAGCCCAACTTGAAGCAATGTGGCTAGATAACCCAAATAGTTGATGTCATTCTTCACCCTTTATTTAAGAAAAGCTTTCTTTGGTTAAGTATGTAACCTCATGCCAACACATCATTATTTTCAGTCATGCACTGATCTAGTTTCCAATGTAGACACGGCAGCTGCTTTCTTTCTGTGGAACCAGGGACATACTGGGAGGGTTTTAGCTTTGGTTCATTCACACATTTCAGAGTCCCCACATTCTCCTGTATATGTGTTTTGGGGTTTTGGGTTTTTTTGTTTTGTTTTGTTTTCCTTTTTGTTTTTGAGATGGAGTCTCTCTCTCTACAGTGGCATGATCTCAGCTCACTGCAACCTCCACCTCCGGGGTTCAAGCAATTTCTCCTGCCTCAGCCTTGCCAATTGCTGAGATTACAGGCACACACCACCATGCCTGGCTAATTTTTGTACTTTCAGTAGAGATGGGATTTCACCATGTTGGCCAGGCTGGTCTCGAACTCCTGACCTTAAGTGATCCACCCGCCTTGGCCTCCCAAAGTGCTGGGACTACAGGCGTGAGCCACCGCGCCTGGCCAGTGTATATGTGTTTTTGATTCCTGTTTCAAGGAATAAGATTGATAAAGAACCCCATGGGTAGCTTAATATTGCCAACATCCTACCAGCTAATAAGCTGGAGCCAATACCCAATCATGAGAACACTCAAACAGGGCACCCTAGCCAGCCAGAGTGTGGATTCTCTGTCCACTGCACAGTCATAATGGTGGCTACAAAAACTTGGAGAGAAGAAGCTTCCAGCCAGGTCATCAGTATCAACAAATTATGATTTGTTGATTAGCATGACTGCCTGGATTATAAACATCTAGCTGCAGTGATAAATCATATTTTTTCCCCGAATCAAGAATTCCATGACATAGTTTCTCAGGTTTCTTTGACCTTGGAAGATTTATGGGACAGGTTATATGGGGGAGAAGCAAATATGCAGCAGGTATTACCTCAAATTTGAAAAGACCTACATACCTCTTTGGGACTAGAACAAAGGTAATGCACAAAACAACAGCATATAAGAATTATGTTAAGAAGGAAAATTTTGAAGTTCGTCATTTGCATCTTCAGCTTCCTCTGTCTGCTCCTCCATCCTCATTCACCATTCTTTAGGCTCCAGGGCCTTACGTTTTTAGAACTCTTTTCCCACCATTTTTGGAGTCCAGTGCCTATTCCTTCTCACTGAGGACCTGATGAAACCCTTGTCAGGGTACGGTCAAGGCAGTGCAGCTGTTTGACTGCTATTCAGCTCATCTTCTTGCAAGGTCATTCCATGCCTGTGGTATCTTTTGATTTCTTCTGCATCCCATGCTAATCCATGGAAGAATAATCACTTTCCTGTCCAGCAGCAGACATGTTACAGACATGAATTCTCAGTCTGGAACCAGCTGTTCAGATTTCAGACATAAACATTCAACATTTCATCAACTGTGTTTCTATAAGTACCAGTCGCCCCCACCCCCCGCCCCCCATCCATTTGCTACTTCACTTATCCTTGCAAAAGCGGAAGGTATCACAATCTTCTCATCTGTAAAAATGCTTTCTTTATCTTGTCTGATGTGCTGGAAGGAGTCTTACAGGCCTGTCTAACCCATGGTGGGGAGAGAACAACTTCTAGACCGAAATATTCCCTAAAGTGGTCTCTCTCCAGCTGTTCCCTAGCAATGTTTGGGTGTGCTGTTTTTCCAGGGGGTTGCTGTTTAACTGATTCTTGTCCACAGTGTACTATGCTTGATTACTAAGCTTTAGTTTTAGTTGGCTCAAAAAGATAAACCCTACTTTAAATATTTTTAGGAAACTCAGCCAGCCCCTTTCCTTCACTCACGTCTTTTCCCTCTCATCCCATTGTACTAAGGAGCTTGAAATACAAAGCCCTTCTGAGTTCTGTACCCTGTGTCCATTTTCTGTGCCACCAACCTTAGCCTCTTTCTTTTTGCTTTGGAGACAGAGTCTTGCTCTATCCCCCAGTGGTACCATCTCGGCTCACACTGCAACTTCCACCTCCTGGGTTCAAGTGATTCTCATGCCTCAGCCTCCCGAGTAGCTGGGATTACAGGCACCCAGCACATCCAGTTAATTTTTGTATTTTTAGTAGAGACGGGGGTTTGCCATGTTGGCCAGGCTGGTCTCGATCTCCTGACTGTAGGTGATCTGCCCGACTTGGCCTCCCAAAGCGTACCCTGTTTCTTACCTTCCTAGGTCTCTTCAGTCAGCAAAAATGGCCATGACATCTTCCTCCTCAAGCAATCTACAACCACAGGGTTCAAGTTCTGAAAACTTGGAGTCATGGTTGAAATAAGAAATAGATTGGCTGGTAGGGCACACAAATAGAGCAGAGAACTAGTCATTTGTAGAAGATAAGTAAAGAGGAGGCAACAGGAATCTTATTGCAAGATCCAGAATCTGTGTGAATATGCAGGAATGTGGGTAAGTGTGATGACAACACAGGTAATTTATTAGTCTATAAAAACAGAGAAAGCTATTAACATTAATATTGACTATAATTAATGGATAAGTGGGAATAAAAAGCTTAAATTTTTTATTTGGCCTAGCCAGTACTAATTGTATCTGCTACATTAGAATTTTCAGCATGTTTAATATTAATTAAGTGAACACCCTCCTTCCTAAAACCTTCTTCACAAATCCTACTGTTCTATATTTCTTCTATCTCACCTGCTTGCTCTAATTTCCTAGCTCCTCCTCTCTCAGCCTATAAATGTTGGGATTTCTTAGGATTCTGTTCTGGTCCCTCTTCCCTCTTTGTTATAAGAGCCTAGATGATATTTTCTATTTACATGAATTTAAATATAATTTATATACTGACAATTCCTAAATTTTTAACTCCAGTCCAGACTTTGCTTTTGAGCTTCAAACTTGAATATCTAATGGCCTACTGTTATCCCCAGTTGGATAACTCATCCAAAAATGGAACTCTTTTTTTTTTTTTTTTTTTTTTGAGATGGAGTCTCACTCTGTCATCCAGTCTGGAGCACAGTCGCATGATATCAGCTCACTGCAACTTCTGCCTCCCAGGTTCAAGTAATTCTCCTGTCTCAGCCTCTGGAGTAGCTGGGATTACAGGTGCCCGCCACCACACCTGGCTAATTTTTGTATTTTTAGTAGAGACAGGTTTCACCATATTGGCCAGGCTGGTCTCAAACTCCTGACCTTAAGTGATCCACCCACCTTGGCCTCCTAGAGTGTTGGGATTATAGGCATGAGCCACCGCACCTGGCCTCAAAATGAAACTCTCGATTACCCCCATGCCCATTCCCACAGACCTGAACTTCACTCAATAGTTTCTATCTTAGGAAATGACACTGTCATTTTCTGTTCAATTACTAAAGTCAGAAACCTGGGAGTCATCTGAGTAAATACCAATGATTCTACCTACAAAATATATACCTTTGTTCATCATTTTCCACCTGGATAACTAAAATATTCACCTAATCTGCATACCTATTTATTCATTTGGAGGTCCCCTCAAATTCATTCTTTACATAGTCTCTAGGGTGATTGTCTTAGTATGTTTTGTGCTGCTATAACATAATACCTGAGACTGGGTAATTTATAAAGAACAGAAATTTATTTTCTCACAGTTCCAGAGAATGGGAAGTCCAAGATCAAGGCACCAGCATCTGGTTAGGGCCTTCTTGCTGCATCATCTTATTGGCGAAAGGTGAAGGACAAAGAGAGAGCAAAAGGGGGCCAAACTCATACTTTCACGTGGAACCCACTCAAATGATAACAAACCCACTCCTGCAATTATGTCATTAATCCATTCCTGAGGTTAGTGCCCCCATGACTCAAACATCTTCCATTATGCCCCATGTCCCAACACTGCCACACTGGGGATCAAGTTTCCAACACATAAGTTTGAAGAACACATGAAAACCATAGCATGATTATTTTTTATTTTGTTTTTTAGACAAAGTCTCACTCTGTTGCCCAGGCTGGAGTGCATTGGAGCAAACTTGGCTCACTGCAACTTTTGCCTTGCAGGTTCAAGCAATTCTCTTGTCTCAGCCTCCCAGGTAGCTGGGATTAGAAGTATGTGCCACCATGTCTGCAATTTTTGTAAAGATGGGGTTTCAGCTTGTTAGCCAAGCTGGTCTCAAACTTCTGACCTCAAGCCATCCTCTCGCCTCAGCCTCCCAAAATGTTGGGACTAGAGGCACGAGCGCAATGATTATTTTTAAACAAAGGTGATCTCATGTTAGTCTCTTGATTAAAAACCTTTTAATGACTTCCTTTGTATCAGAATAAATTCCAAACATTTTCCCATATCATACAAATCACCCATGGCCAGGGCCCTCCCACCTCCTTTGCTGCACCTCCCTCCCTCACCTAACTCCAGTCACACCAGCTCCTGTCATTCCTGGTTGCCCGGAAGGAGTCATATGGCTGGCTCCTTCTTATCATTTGAGTCTCAGTTTTAATGTCATTAGTTTTAGTTGTTTGTTTACTGTTTTTTTCACCCACTGAGATGCAGTGGTCAGGGATCTTAACTGTCCTATTACTTGCATTCTCCTTGCCTATCAGGGTGCATGGTACATGGTAAGTATTCAACAAATGCTTATTAAATGGATCAATTAATGAATAAAAGAATGAGTGTCAAAATTATTTACAATATATGGAAAAATAGATTATATGTATAGCAATAGTAAAAACCAAAAATGGTTAATGTTAATGTTAACAGGTAATTATGTCTACCTATCTTTAGCCCAAGTATAACTACCTTTAATTTTCAACATGCAAGACAAACGTTGTTAATTTTACCTAATCACAATAGAACACTCTATATACATATGACATACATACGCTTTGTATTCATGTCTTTTTTGGGGAGTGAGGAGGGCAGGATTCCACCCTGTCACCCAGGCTGGAGGGCAGTGGTGTGATCACAGCTCACTGCAGCCTCACTCTCCCCAGGCTCAGGTGATCCTCTCACTTCAGGCTCCCAAGTAGCTGAGACTAAAGGTGCATGCCATCACACCAGGCTGATTTTTGCATTTTTTGTATAAACAGGGTTTTGCCATTTTGCCCAGGCTGGTATCGAACTCCTGGACTCAAGAGATCCACCCACTTTGGCCTCCCAGAGTGCTGAGTTGATAGGCATGATCCACTGCCCAGCCTGTATTCATGTCTTATAGTCTAACTCTCACAGTTAGTCAATCATGTATACAGCTCCCAATTCTTAAAAAGAGAAAGAACACTAATTTTATTTGGGAGAGTTTTAGATGATTTCGGCAAATTTGTACATTTGCAAAAATCTTACACTCTTATTGACCCAATATCTGTAGAGATTAAATGCCTAAGCAGAAATATTTATTAGTGTGTAAATAATACAGCTGGTTAGGCTGGGGATGGTTATAAGTGATCATATCATTCAATTCTTGATACCAATTATTTCCTCATACTTCCATTTTCTCATTCTTTGTTTTGCATAAACTGTAGATTTGGGCCCAGTAGTCCTATGCCAAAAGTAACCATGCTGAATTTCATCCTCTTTTCTGTGTACTGAAGGACCTCAGCATGAAACAAAGAATGGATTGTTTATAAATCTTTATTGGCTGGCGGCTAAAATAGCAGCTGCAAGCAGTTAAGTGTTAGGAGAGTCTTTCTTCCCCATCCCTCCCTTTGGTCATTTAAAATCTCCTCTGATTAACCTACAAACAATCCAGTTGATAGAGATTTGGAACATTCTGTAAATCTTATTTTGACTAATTTGATTTTCTACAAAAATATGCAACACTTGTCTAAGTTTGCTTGAGTGGTATATTTTAGATTTTCTTTATGAATTTTTTTAACTTGATATATGTACGTAGACTGAAAGATGATGCATGATTATAAAAGGCAAGAGTTTTTACTGTTCTCTTTCTAGGAGAGTCTCTTAAAAAGCCAACCCAAAATGGCTAATGTAAAGCTTCAGAGATATGAAAAGCTTCATATTACGCACTCCAGACAAGAATAAAAATGGACTCTACTCCTCCAAAATGAATTCACTGGGGAATATTCTACCATAACCTCTACAAGCATGAATTAGCAGGCCTAGTCACTCATGGTATTAACCTTTTCCACTGGAATAGAATTTCTAACTAGCTTTTGAGTTAATATAATGTTTACTGGGTGTGCCCGTGATAAAATACTGCACAGTAAAACTGGTTGAATTGAATTGAACTGAATAAAATTACATGCCACAGTAGGTTAGATTCGGGACATCAGAAAGACTTCTTAAGAATGGTTAGGATAACCACAAGCCTTACTCTTTATCCTAGCTTGAGTCCTAAATGAAAATACTTTGTGAACAAAGATCCCTCCAAATATATATCTGAAGAAATAATTGGGACTACCAAGAAAACCACATAGAGTAATATTCAAAGGGTCCCAAATAAGACATACATACACACAATAATGAGTTATGTATATTTCCCTTTTCAATGCTTTTTTGGGATGAAGAAGGGGAATTTGACAGCCGTGCTTAATTTCTTTTCATAAACAGTAGCATGCTGGAGCTGGACATATAGGCCCTCGACATTCATTAATCCAGACCACATTTTCCCCGTGAAGAGAAAAAAACAGGAAATTAAAATGAATTATCAAGTGAGGCACATCTGCCTAGCAGAGGTGTTTGGTTTAAATCTCCTGAGCCCTGGCTCAGTGTCTTCTCAGTTACACCATGCTTTCTTTTGCCAAATTTTCTGACTGAAGGAAGATATTCAAAGAGGAACTTGGAAAGAAAACAGCAAAATGAATTGCCAGATGGGTGAATAAGAAGAGTTTCTCATATGTCTTCTAGGCTTTCCTGATGGGGGTTCTGTGAGAGTGCTGAGCCCGGATGCCCAAGGCTTCCACTGCGTGTAATGAATTAGCTCCCACTACCACACAGCTATCCTGGAACTAGCTAAGAACCACCCATGGGAGAACTGGGAGAATCGTCATTTGAATCATTTCCTGTGTTCTGTGGTTCAGGTGAAGGATGCAAGATGAGAAAGATGAAATCCTCTAATATGGAAAACAGATTAGCAGTAGGCAGGGAATGGCAACCAGAGGTAGAAGATTTTAAAAATTAAGGGAAAGGTTTGGTGCAGGGAGGCAAGGTGAGATCATGGGCTTTGTATCAACCCAGCTATGCTACTTACTGTCTACGCCACATGAGAAAGTGACTTAGCTTCTATAAATCTGAACTTCTTCATCTGTGAAATAGAAATAATGTAGCCTACTTCCTAATATCTGTGTAAAGATTAAACAGGATAACATATAAGAAGCACTTGGTCCAATTGAGATACTTCATATATATTTGAAGGTGAGGAAATTTGACTAAATGGAATGAACACATGGTCTTCAGAGTTAGATAGATTTGGGTTCATACCCTGATGCTGATGAGTCTCCTAAAAGTGTGCCTGGGACATTGTAGAAGCTCGGTAAAAGGTAGCTCCTTCCCCTTCTCCTGAGTTCATCTTTCTATCAACTTGCTTATATACAGCAATGATTCTCAAACCATAATATGCACCAGAATCACCCAGAGGGCCTGGTAAAATGGGTTGTTGGGCTTCATTCCCAGAGTTTCTGATTCAGTGGATCTGGGGTGGGGCTCAAAATTTTGCATTTCTAACAAGTTCTCAGGTGGTACTGAAGTTGTTTGTGACTACACTTTGGTGTTAATACAGATATAGAGCAATTACTTTGGTTGCCGGAGGAATACGGTCTTAAGCTCCTTGAGGCCCTTTTTGGTTTCTGATGGAAGGTCCTATTAAAATTCATAATCAGCTGGGACATCTAAATTTACTCTGACACTAAGAGTAACAATGTGCCTGATTTCCATTTTCAATTCTACATTGTTTTTAGTTTTCTGTTCCACTGCCTACTGCTTTAAACTACATAGCTCCGTGTGAAGTCAAAAAGAACAATTACATTACTAGGTCAATACTCGATGAACCAGACAATGCGTCTCAAGTGAAAATCTCAGCAACATATTTTCTAGTTCTATAATTTTTCTATATTACTCATTATTCCTTTTTACAGGTGAAAACTCAGGGTAATCAATTAAACAGTAAATCACATATTGTGACCCAAATACTGTCTAACTGAGTCACAGTTTGGGACACATAAATACAGCACATTTATATAGGGTCAAACTTATACGCAGGCAGGTAGTTGCTGTTTGTATCAGAGGTCAAACACTGGTGTTTTAATGCTAGCTGTGGGACACGTCTCCTTTGTTTTATCTAAGGTTTTTTTTTCTGATGCCTGCAGGGGACTGGGTGTTTAAGTCCTCCCAGAATTCATATGTTGAAGCCCTTACCTTCATGTGACTGTATTTGGAGATGGGGCTTCTAAGGAAGTAATTAAGATGAAATGAGGTCATTATGGTGGGGCCGTGATCTGATCAGACTAGTATCCTTATAAGAAGAGATGCCAGTGAGCTCTCTCTCCTCTCCATGAGCACACACTGAGCCAAGGCGATGTGAGTATACAGCAATAAGGCAGCTGTCTGCAAGCCAGGAGACCAGCTCTTGCCAGAAATTGACCATGCTAGCACCCTGATCTTGGACTTCCAGCTCCCAGAACTGGGAGAAAATAAATCTCTGCTGTTTAAGCCCTCCAGTCTATGGTATTTTGTTATGGCAGCCCAAGAAGACTAATATAATGCCTGGAAGCTATTGGCCCAGAGTGTTTTTGAAAACTCTGAATCGATCATTGTGCTGGATATCTTCCATCTACTCCTGCAGATCCACTCTCTGCCATCCTTCCTCCTCCATCTATCCTAATTTGGGAATTTCATGTTTTCTATTTTTAAAAACCTGATAATATATTTGTCAGTATTTTAAAAATTGAGAGAGTTTACATGAAAATAAATCTAGATTGTCAGAGTCTCATGAGAAATTGTAAGACCGGACAATGCTGGCAATAATAAATTGGTACTTCCCTTTAGACTGGGCGTTAGCTCTCAAGCTGGCCATAGCTCCAACTTGGCATGCTTCACTCAATTACTTTACCAGGCTGGCCTCTCTGGCCATCTGAGAATATTGTCCCTGTTCCTCCTGAGATGGTATGAAGAACTAAAAAGGCCAGATGCTTGGAAATCCCTTTTACTGAATGCTGTAGGTGTTCCTGGTAACAGTTCACACTGCAACTTTTTCTGGGGCATTACGTTCAGTCCTTGGGCAATTGAAGTCACTTTGCTTGGAAGTGCCTAAGAATTTGCTAACTTCCCAAGGCAAAACCAGCAGCAATGCATTCTAAGATGGATCCCCACATCCTGGAGGGAGCAGTCACTTATCCTGACCAGAACTGATGTGTCTTGTAGAGATGAGTTCACCTTTACTGCTCTTACAGTGCCTCAGCCAGCCCCACTGTTTGATTCACCACTGACTTAGTAGCCTGCATAACATTACTTTGGATCAAGAGACCCACTTTCTGGCAAAAAAGGTGTAACTATGGGCGCATGACCATGCAATCTACTGGTCATACCAATACCACACCATCCAGAAGCTACTGGCATGACAAATAATTAGAATGACCTCTTAAAGACACAGCTTTGAAGATAAGAAGCAATTCATTAGGATGCCGCACTGAATTTTTACCAATGGCTATTTTATTGGTCTTATGTCCCCAGTAGCTAGACTATATGGATCTAGTACCCAAGGGCTAGAACTAGAAATGACCCCATTCACCGTCACCTCCAGTAAAAGTCACACTCACCTAAAGTTTTGGCTACCACCTGGTCACTTCTTGCATTAGAAGATCAGTAGGCAAAGAAAGGAGTTCCCACACTGGCAGAAGAACTTGTCCCTGACCATTATAAGGAGATAGGACTGCTGGTATGTAATGGGGGCAAGCAGGAATTTGTGCAGCATTTTGATGGACATAGGCCATCTTTTGTTACTCTCAGGGCTTAATTTTCTTTGGCTAGCCACCAGGACCGTGACCACACAAAGGCGTGGTAGAAGCTCAAGACGTGCAGGAAGGAGGTTCTGGGTCTTCTATAGATTTCTCCTGCATAAGGATCCTCATTTCAGGTTCTTTTTCTAGGTTGTACTAAGACAATCTTCTACCCCAAATTATTGTCCTTGTCCCTGATATTAATAATAATAATATTATTAATAAAACTTCTCCTCTCTAGGCAGGTCACCAGCAGACTGTGGGTTAAATGAATCAAGAATGGGTGGTAAAGGAGGGAGATGACGAACATTCGTTAGAGTCCATGAACCATTTGTAGCATTGGGTACACTAGCCCATTCCACACACACCCTTCTTTCAAGTTTTCCCAGAGGTCCAGAAGCATTGAAAAGCTGTAATAGGTTGGAGTAAGAAACAAATAGAATTGAGCAACACAGAGAATGGACTGTCATAGATTCTGCTAATGCCCCATTCAGATCCCAGTATCCCTTTTACCAGTTGCTGCAATGATGCCACTGATGAGTCACACTTGTAATCCTCCCTAAGATTTGCCCTTGGATGATGGGAACAGCCTCCTGAGAAGTACCTGAAAGTGACATCCTCACATCCTGGACATCCCAGAGCCAACAACTGAATGGCGAGGAGATACAGACTGTGGAGTGGAGTCTAGAGTTCCTCTCCGGGTCAGGAGGAGGATGAACCTGAAACCACTTCTGTATTAGCGTTCTCTAGAGGGATAGAACTAATGGAATATATATATATATATATATATATATATATATATATATATATATATGAGTTTATTAAGATATATATAATATTATATATATGAGTTTATTAAGATATATATGATTATATATATGAGTATATTGAGATATACATTATCATATATATATATATGAGTTTATTAAGTATTACCTCACACAATCACAGGGTCCCACAATAGGCTGTTGCATGTCCGCAGGCTGAGGAGCAAGGAGAGCCAGTCCAAATTCCAAAACTGAAGAACTTGGAGTCTGATGTTCGAGGGCAGGAAGCATCCATCACGGGAGAAAGATGTAGGCTGAGAGGCTAGGCCAGTCTCTTTTTTCACATTTTTCTGCCTGCTTATATTCTAGCCATGCTGGCAGCTAATTAGATTGTGCCCACCCATATTAAGGGTGGGTCTGCCTTCCCCAGCGCACTGACTGAAATGTTAATCTCCTTTGGCAACACCCTCACAGGCACATCCAGGATCAAAACTTTGTATCCTTCAATCTAATCAAGTTGACACTTAGTATTAACCATCACAACATCTTTGCTTAGTTTTCCCCCTTCCTTGTCCTCCTTCCTTCACTCCCTTACAGATGTCTCCTGAGAGCATGGCTTTCATAAATCCCTTACTTAAGGATCCCCACCTCAGGCTCTTTTCTAGGTTGTCCTAAGACAACCTTTTACCCTAAATTATTGTCCCTTTAGGCCGGGTGCAGTGGCTCACACCTGTAATCCCAGCACTTTGGGAGGCCAAGGTGGACCGATCACTTGAGGCCAGGACTTCGAGACCAGCCTGCCCAACATGGTGAAACCCTGTCTCTATTAAAAATACAAAAATTAGCCAGGTGTGGTGGTGCATGCCTGTAATCCCAGCTACTTAGGAGGCTGAGGCAGGAGAATGACTTGAACCTGGGAGGCAGAGTTTGCAGTGAGCCAAGATTGCACCACTGCACTGCAGCCTGGGTGACAGAGCAAGACCTTGTCTAAAAAAAAAAAAATTATTATCCATTTCTCTGATACTAATTAAAACTTTCCATCTCTCAGCTAACACTGTAAGGAGGTTCATGCCAGTTTGCTGAGAGTATGAGAGTATGATCTTAAAGACATATGGTGGAAGGACAGGCCCCTTAGTGCCAGTGAGGCTGTTGCCCTTGAGCCCTTAGGTACCTGCATGTTCTGAAGGCCCTGTGAGTTCTAGAAATCTGGAGGAACAGAGTTATTTCTAATGCTAGCAAAGTGAAGAAGATGGTGAGACTAATTATCAAGGGGCCTGAATGTATTCTAAATAAATACCAAAGAACTGATGCAGACGTGTTTTAAATTATTTAAATCACTTCTTACATTTGCCACTTCACATTGCTATATGGATCTGAAATAAGAACCTTTTGAAATTTATGGTAATGTTTTTTGTATAATGAGTTGTTTTCAGAACCTAAAAGACCTGAAGAATATGAGTTTAATTATCAAACAAGAGTTTTCCAAGTAATAACTATTAATATAACTTTTCTATGTCAGCTGATAAATAACTTTCAAATTATGACTTTTTTCTCCTGTCTTCACTTTTATACCTTCATCATATCCCAAATCTTAATCATTTCACAGAATGAGAGAAAACTCTGGAATACAGGGAGGAGTTCTTTTCTTAAATATATCCTGTTATGCTTGTGCTTGGAACTGTTGGGACAGATGGAGAAGACTCCTTCTGCCATTACAAATGGCTTTGTACAAACACAGAGCGCACAGCAAGGAAAACAGTGGTGCTTACTCTGATGAAAAGAGGGAGAAAAATTCTAATGCTGAACATGAAGTTTCATTTTATTGGTAATAAAAGTAATAGGTGTTGGTGTTTTTCTCCACAACAGTGCCCAAACTACTTAGTTTTTTATATTAGGCTGACATTTATTTTCCTCTAAGATTTCCTCCAGAAAAATGCAACTATCCCAAAAGTGTTCCTACTTTTTCTTAAAACCATAACACATTACTTGGAAAATAAAGATGGTCGATGTTTAATATTCACTATTTTGAAAGATTTTGTAAATGGTATTTTAAAAACTATAAAATTCCTTTGAGACAGAGAGAGCAGGAGGGAAAATATTTCTTTAAACTTTAGTTGAAAGCAGTAGGTATGTTTTCTCTGAAAAATTTTGTTTTAATTTTAAGGGTTTTTCTCAGTTAAATCGTGGTACTCTTCAGTTTTGTAAGTTTATTTTATTTTGTTGGCCTTGAAAGTATTGTTCAATCTGGTTGTTGTATAATATGATTTCTCAAACTGCCTTTCTCTATATGATTTTATCTAGCCTCAGATCTTTTATTAAGTTCCTTCTCTCTTCCCCTTCCTCTTCCTCTTCTTCTTCCCCTTCCCTTCCCTCTACTCCTCTTCCCTTCATGAACATTTCTGACTGAATGCTATGAGGTGAAGCTGAGCAAAGGATCCACATGTTCTGGGGAAAGAGTCAGCCACCGTGGCCCAGAGCAAAGTGCTGAAGCCCAAGATGATGATGAGGACAAAACATGCACAGCCACCCATGGCAGGCGACAGACACGCACAGCCACCCACGGCAGGTGACGGACACGCACAGCCACCCACGGCGGGTGACATACATGCACAGCCACCCACGGCAGGTGACAGACGCGCAGCCACCCACGGCAGGTGACGGACACGCACAGCCACTCATAGTGGGTAATGGACAAGTACACTCATAGTGGGTGATGAGCACGTACAGCCACTCACAGTGGATTTTGGGCACACACAGCCGCTCACTGTGGGTAATGAACCCTGGATGGGATAAGGAGCACCTGTGCATGTGGAGAGTCCTCCATGGGGTGTTCATGCCTGACATTTTTCTTGGGGAATGATGGCCTAGAGTCAGGTATTGAAGCTTGAGCTGAGTCAAAAGGATGTCCATGCAGTAGTTGGCCCAATATGGGGGTCCAGGTGAGGACAGCATCTACACTGTTTGGAGACTAAGAATGACCAGCACTCAGTGTTTGAGCCTGGACAAGGTAGACATGTTGGCCACAGTTGGGAGAGTGGTGAGGGTCCTGCAGCAGTGGTTTGGTCTGGACTCCCTAAGTCTGAGCTGGTATCCACACAGGATAACCTGTTACAGGGCATTGGAATCCAACCAGATGAGGAAAAGGGCACCTACATAGCCTGGTGATGAGACGGGATGGGAGGTGGGTTAGGGGATGCCTGAACCAAATCCAAGTGGGTTGAGGGGGTTATCTCCATAGGGCAGGAGGCAGCAGATTGGTTACAGACAGGGCAATTGAGAAAATCAATACGTTAAAGATAACTGAAGGCAGATTTCTCACTTTTGGAGAAGGTGGTTGAAAATATAAAAAGGGAGAAAAGCTAGACTGAATCCTGTCATGTTGGAATAGAATTGGAGGTATCAGTATAAAACAGTGGTTTTGTAGACAGATAGGTGGGTAGACAGATGTAAATGTGTGTATGTATGTGTGTGTGTGCACACGTACACATCATCTCCAGCTTCATTCACTGAGTGGATAACAATGACATTGTTAAGGTGGTATCTGCTGGGCTTATTTATTGTAAATTACTGCTTTCTTTCCCCTTTGCAATTAGTATGCATTTTGTTGGGCAGTACTTTGAAACTATATAAATATAATAATGAACAAACCAGCACTTAGATCTTGACTTCTAACTCCCTTTCTCCATCCAAATAAACTAAAGCTCCCTGGAGAAATGGCTGATCTTAGGGCTGGAGCAATGAAAATACAAGATGAGCTTGAAATATCTTTTTGTGCCAGAAAGTAAGGATGGAAACATGTCAAAAGAACACAGAAACCAGCTTGAAGGGGCTTTTACTGACCAAATCTGGAATGATTTATATAAATATAAATAATGATAGTATTGGGTTATAATCTACCTAATAAAATGGGAAACCATGAATCCATACTCATATAAATGCAGAAATTAATAAATGGAGAGTTTGATATGGATCAAGATGTTTATATAGTTTCAAAGTACCTCCTAACAAAATACATACTAGCTTCAAAGGAAAAAGCAGTCATTTATAGTATGTAAGCCTGGCAGACCCTACCTTAAATAAAGGATTAAAGTGAACAGCATCAGATATAAAATAAATAAAAATCATGCGCCACCTGATGCAATGCAATAAGAACACAGCATCTCTTCCATGATACTACTGCCAAAGATGTGCAAAATGAAAACCTAATCATGAGAAAACTCCAGACAAACCTTTGAGGGACATTTTACAAAATAATTGATCTGTCATCATCAAACGTGTCTAGATCGTGCAGTCAAGGAAAGACCAAGAAACTGTTCTGATTTGACATGGTCTATGGAGACATGACAATTAAATGCAACACGTGATTCTGACTTGAATTTTCTATACAGAAAATTATTGGGACAACTCGCAGAACGTCAGTGGGATCTGAGATTCAAAGCATAGTCATCAAGCAATATTAGTTTCCTAATTTTGATGGTTACCCTGCAGTTATAGAAGAGAATGCTTTTGTTGGTAAGAAATACACTGTAATGGCTGGGTGCAGTGGCTCGTGCATGTAATCCCAGCACTTTGGGAGGTCAAGTCCGGCAGATCACTTGAGGTCAGGAGTTCAAGACCAGCCTGGCCAACACGGTGAAACCCCATCTCTACTAAAAGTACAAAAACTAGCTGGGCGTGCCTGTGCTGGGTGGCAGATGCCTGTAATCCCAGCTACTTGGTAGGCCAAGGCAGGAGAATCACTTGAACTGGAGGTTGCAGTGAGCCAAGATCGGGCCACTGTACTCCAGCCTGGGTGACACAGCAAGACTCTGTTTCAAAAAAGAAGAAGAAGTACACTATAAAGTTTAGGATGGGACAGAAAATCCTGCCACCAACTTATTCCAAAATGGTGTTAAAAAAAAAAAAGAGTTCTTTGTAGTGTACTTACAATTTTTCTGTAAATTCAAGATTGATTTAAAGTCAGAAAATTTTTAAAAATTTATCTCTCATGAATTTTCATACAAAAGAAAATTTAATTTTATGAAAACTAGAACACTGATAAAATTTCAAAAATAATTTTTTAGGATGCCTTTTGACATATCCTGAATTGACTCACTTCTTTTTCACCCCTTCTGTTACTGCTTCACTCTCAGCCAGATCCTCTCACCAGTGTGTTTTGTGGACTCCTGCTGTTGAACTTGGACCTATTACCTTCACCTGTGTCCGCCTGGGACCCAGTTTCCACACAGCAACCAGAGTGATCTCTGAAAAATACAAGCCAGATCTCACAATTCTCTGCTAGTAAAACCCCTCCAGTCTCCTATAACCTAGAATAAAATCAGAACTCCTTACTGCGGCCTGAGGGTCCCTCTCTGGATGTCAGAATGGTCTCCCTGCTCTCACCTCCCAGTACTATGCCTCTCATTCACAGCCGGTGCCTCGGGCCTGGCTCACTCTGCCAGCCAACTGACTCTCTTCTCTGTACCGAGGTCTCAGTTCAAGCCCCACCTCTAAAAGGCCAGCTCTGATTTTCCAATCCAAAGTAGCTCTTTCTGCCCGTTTTCAGTCTTTGTCTTACTTAAGTTTTCTCCACAGAATTTATGAACCACTGAAATTACTATCTTTATTTGTTCATTTCCCTAAGGAGTGAGAGACTTCACTTTCCAGCTCACTGTTATATTTCAATGCCTAAAACTGAACCAGGTTCTTATGGTGAATGAATGAATGAATGAATGAATGAATGAAAAAAATGTAGGTCAAGAATACAGGTTCTGTGGGAAGGACCAAACAAATACTTTTCAGTTCAGAAAATAAAATTTAAAAACAAAACAAAGAAAATGAATAGCTGAAATTCATAATAAGTCAGAAAAGGTAATTCAAATAACTTTATAATGCAGTACTCTGACAATATATTCTCAGTAAGATATAGTCTAAAAATAAAACAAATGTAAAGAAATCTTGACCTGAGTAGGTTTTTATTGGTAATGATATTGGTGTTGTTTAACAAACTATTTTGTGTATAATAAAGCAATTAATATATAGATTTACATTATAGGAAAAGGAAGTTACAAATATGAAATGAGAGGAGGTGAAAAAAGCCCTGTGACATCATATAAACTTATAATTTAATGTGATAGAAATAATAACACTCATGAATTTATATTTCTGTTTCTATTCGTATGTATTTTAGGCCCTTTCAAAAGGCCTAAAAGCAATAACAGCCCTAACTGTACACTCCAAAATGGTTAAGGCAGTAAATTCTATGTTGTGTTTTTTTACCATAATAAATAAGTAGGAAAACAAAATAAATCAAAACAATGAAAATCCTTTTTCAGTGAATACACTAGTGCCCAGACCTTTAGTTTCTAAATATCATTCCTGATTAAAAGGCACCGAAGCTTTTTGAGAAATGAATGATTCCAGGTCAAAGGCAGGAAAAGTACAAAAAAATTATTGAGAAAAAAAAAAGTAAAGAAATGCTCAAACACTAAAGAATATGTTTTAAATGAATACAGAGGCTGGCTTGGAAGTTTTCACTGGGTAAATTTGGTGCAATTTGAACATCAAAGAAAGAGGAAAAAGGTACCTTCATAATAGAGAGATCCTGTGGTCAGCCAGACAAGTTGAGATTGTCTTTTAATAGGAAATCATGAGAATTGCCCATCATTTTTGTAGCATTCTTGATAAAAAAAAAAAAGTTTAACTGAATCTGATCATAAGGAAACAACCAGGCAAATCTAGCTTGTATGATATTCTAAGAACACTGACCTCATTTCTTCAAAAATATCAATGTCACAAATAACAGAAAAAAAAGGTAGGAGGACTTTTCTAGATTACAGGAACTAAAGCAATATGCCAAATGCAATGTCTGTCCCTTGATAGAAGAATATAAGTGTTCTTAAAGATACAGTTTGTCTAAAATGTACTTTCAAATTGTTTTAGACACACACACATACACATAGGGATACACATATACCTAAATAGAAAGATAACATGACAAAATATTAACATTCAGTGAATTTAGGCAAAGGATGAGCAGGAGCTCATTGTACTATTCTTTTCTTTTTTTATTATTATACTGAAGTTCTGGGATACATGTGCAGAACGTGCAGGTTTGTTACATAGGTATACATGTGCCATGGAGGTTTGCTGCACCTATCAACCCATTATCTACATTAGGTATTTCTCCTAATGCTATCCCTCCCCTTGCCTTCCACCCCACTTGACAGGCCCCAGTGTGTGATGTTCCCCTCCCTGTGCCCATATGTTCTAATTGTTCAACTCCCACTTATGAGTGAGAACATCTGGTGTTTGATTTTCTGTTCCTGTGTTAGTTTGCTGAGAATGATGGTTTCCAGCTTCATCCATGTTCCTGCAAAGAATATGAACTCATTCTTTTTTATGGCTGCATAGTATTCCATGGTGTATATGTGCCAAATTTTCTTTACCCAGTCTATCATTGATGGGCACTTGGGTTGATTCTGAGTCTTTGCTATTGTGAATAGTACTGCAATAAACATGCATGTGCATGTATCTTTATTGCTTCACTCTTACATACATTGTACTATTCTTTCAAAAAAAATTTTTTTTTTTTTTTGAGATGGAGTCTTGCTCTGCCACCCAGGTTGGAGTACAGTGGCACGATCTCAGCTCACTGCAACCTCCACCTCCCAGGTTCAAGCAATTCTCCTGCCTCAGCCTCCCAAGGAGCCGGGATTACAGGTGCCTACCACCAGGCACAGCTAATTCTACGGGTTTAAAATAACAGATTCTCCTCAACTTATGATGGGGTTACATCCTGATAAATCCATCGGAAGTTGAAAAAATCCTAAGTCAAAAATCCATTTAATACACCTAACCTACCAAAACACCATAGCTTAGCCTAGTCTACCTTAAACATACTCAGAACAACTATGTTATTAGCCTACAGTTGGGCAAAATCATCTAACACAAAGCCTATTTCATAATAAGGTGTTGAATATCTTATGTAATTTATTGAATGCTATACTGAAAGTGAAAAACAGAATGGTTATACGAGTACTTGATGTACAGTTTCTACCAAATGCTTTCGTACCATTGTAAAGTCAAAAAATCATTAAGTTGAACCATCATAGGTCGTGAACCACCTGTGGCTGGAGTAGAGACAGGTAACATCAACAAAAGACTGCAGACTCTGGAGTCAGACTGCCTGGGTTCAATTTCAGGCTCTAAATTCCAGCTATGCGATCAACATTTCTTGATCTGCTTGCTTATCTGGGAAAGGAAGGTAATAACAAACCTGTCTCACAGAATTTTTCCTAAGGATTAAATGCAAAAATTCATGTTAAACACACAGCACAGTTGTTTGGCATGTACAGTAAATACTCAATAAATGTTATGCTGATTATTATTATTACACTAGAACCTGTGTTAGCTCTTCACAGAATAAGACTTCTAGCTGATAATTAGATGGTACACATTTGTAAAAAACATATATTTTAAAATTTCTGTTTCTTCTTTTTTATATCAGTTTAAGATAATTTGCACCTGCATGAAAAAAGCAAATTACAAATCTTTATTTCAGAAACCCTAGTTTTGTTCTTTTTTGTAAATTGACTCTACTTTTCCAACCAGGAAAATGACAGAACTGTTAGCGCATTTAACCACATATGACTGACCCATAATAGTTGTACAAGAAATGTGAAAGAATGAAAGAATAAAATAATGAGTAAATGAATAAACTGGTCCTGGAAGTCAGGCTACCAGACTACACTCCCGAAATCTGCAGGAGTTATGAGCCTCTGCTTTGCTTTCTAGATATCTGTGTCAGCTGCCTCTCCCATGTGATGGCCAGATTTGGGGCTAATGTAGACTCTTTTGTATCCTCCATATTCCAGCCCTATACCCTAATTTCAGAGTTGCTTGTCTACTTTTTCTGTGGGCTCTGAATGGTTGTTTTAATCTATATTCAGGCAGAGTAACAGGCATGAGGAATGTATGACGTAAAAGGTGCCAAAATCAACCACTATGCAAAAAAAACTTCTCTTCCAGCAGCCTGGGTGGGGGCTTCTAGCTGGAGAATATTCAGTTGTGTGAGGGCATCTTAGTAGACCACCAGTGGTATCTGGAAGAAGGAGCCCCCAAAAGCCTCTATCACTCATTAGCAGGTTTACACAATTCATTGAACAGATTGAATAGTTTAACAGATTACTCCATTAATTAGATTTTGGGAGAACAGGGCAGTTATGTGTTGGCAGAGCAAACAGAGAAAATCAAATTCTGGAGTGTGGAACGTTTACCCAAAAGAAATGCAGCTCTGGCAGCCAGATCAAAAGGTAGGGCTCTGAGCAACAAGAAGACCACGCAGCTGAGTGGGAGGAACTGATGGAAAGAGAGATGTGGGTGCAAAACACAAGCCTCTCACCCTCTTTATCCTAGAGCTGGTCATGCGTATTTCAGGAGAGCACACAGATCAAAGGCCTCTCACCTCCTCTTGTTCTTATTTCACATGCCATATCAAAATGTTTTTTCAAACACTCTGATGGGGAAGTTAATTTAAAAAAAAAAAAGAGTTAAAAGTATGCAATGAAGATTTTCCTTCTTTCCTTCTCAAAGTCTCCACAGTCTTTTGAGTAATGCATGCAATTGCCTAAACCAAAATCTTTTGCCATTCACCAGATGGATGCAAGAAACTGACTTATGAAAAGGCTGACAGATGACCACTGAGTATAAAGCACCCTGACACCAAAGTGATCAAAGTCAAGAAAATAGAAAGACATTTTCACTGAAAGGGAGAAAAATCTGCACCAAAAACACATGTGGCTGAATCACATCCAATGGACAGCCTCTGCAGATTTTATTCTTTGACTTTAAAAATATTCAGTGTTTGTAATTTTTTAAAGTTTGCTTTATCATAGAATTCTTTAATATTCAATCTAGAAATCAGCCAAACTAGAGTGCTTAGTAATTTACTACAAGGAAAGACCAAAGACTTTTTGAGAGTAACAAAAAAAGAAAAAGAGGAACTTCCTACAACTGGATATTCTTAAAGACAGCTCACTTCCTGCAAACTCAATGAAAGGGCACTATACCAATATACTAATGCAATTGCAGGTATGATTTATATTTAACTTCATAACTTTTGCAAATCTAAGGAACTGGAAATATAGGCAATATAAAAGAGTAGAGAAGCTAAACATTAGGCTGCAATACATTTTTTGTTTTATACTTGATGTTAGTGAAGTAGACAGTCAATAATACACAAGAATTCAAAACCAATCAAAATGTGAGCAGGAAGGGTGCATACCTGGAAAACACCTGTTTAGGATCAGACAGAAATAAATACAAATTCTTTTTTTTTTTTTTTTTTTTTTGCCACAACTGGCTACACAGCAAGTTACTGTGTATCTCTGAGCCTTAGCTTCCACAACTATAAATGGGAATTGTACAACTTCATTCTCAAATTCAAGAGATAACATATATTAATCAGCAGGTTGAGTCTATGAGTGAGTAACACATGTTCACTATTATTCCAAAAAGAGTCACCCTGGCCCATTCCTTTGACCCTGTGCTTGAATCAACATACCTGTTCCATAATAAGGTGAGCAGCATCTGGCCTTGGAGTTTCACAGACCCACAGCCTTACCACACTCTCTCTCTTTCATCTCACTTTCTATCATATTCACAACCTATTTTAGTATATCAGTGACACATAAGAACTAAGGATATAATAATCATGAAGGGTTTTAAGTTTAAAATACTAACAAATTTTATTTTCAGAAACAGAGTTTAAAGAAGAGGCAAACAATTCATTGCTGCTTTCTTTTTCCTACCTGCATTCTGTCGGACTTGAGCTACATTAAAAATCCAGCTGTAGGCATCAGAAATCAAAAACATTTTTACACAAAGGCACCCCCTTCAGGCTCCTAGTTCCTGCTACTGCCATTTCTTTTGGGTAAACATTCCACACTCCAGAATTTGATTTTCTCTCTTTGCTCTGCCAACACTCTGCACTGTTTTCTCAAAATCTAGTTAACAGAGTAATCTGTAACTATTAAATCTGTTCGATGAATTGTGTAAACCTGCTGATGAGGGATAGAGGCTTTTGGGGGCACCTTCTTCCAGATACCACTGGTGCTCTACTAAGATGCCTTAACACAACTGAATATTCTCCAGCTAGAGGCCCTACCAGGCTGCTCGAAGAGAAGTTTTTTTTTTTGCCTAGTGAGCGTTTCTGGCTTTTTTTTTTTTTTTTTTTTTTTGAAGCGGAGTCTCACTCTGTCGCCCAGGCTGGAGTGCAGTGGCGTGATCTCGGCTCACTGCAACCTCCGCCTCCCGGGTTCACGCCATTCTCCTGCCTCAGCCTCCCGAGTAGCTGGGACTACAGGCGCCCGCCACCACGCCCGGCTAATTTTTTGTATCTTTAGTAGAGGCGGGGTTTCACCGTGTTAGCCAGGATGGTCTCGATCTCCTGACTTCGTGATCCTCCCGCCTCAGCCTCCCAAAGTGTACCTTTTACATTATAAATTCATCACGCCTGTTACTCTGCCTGAATATAGATTAAAAGAACCATTCAGAGCCCACAGAAAAAGTAAAAGTAAAAAGAAGCAAGGTTTGCTGACTCAGGGAGAGTCTGAAAGGCACTTTGGACTTGGCCCTATCTCCCTTCCCACCTCTTTGTCCTTATCTACTCCCCACCTCCTCCTGAAAGCTGCCAGATTGTGACTGTATTTTTGACCCTAGTTCTTCTGAAATTCTTGTGCAATGAGTTTATTACTTTCTTCTGCTCTTGCAGTTTCCTCTCATATTCTTTCAAAACGTTTTCTTATGAAATTGTCTTATTCACCCGATTGTAGCCAGCCTACCCTTCTAGAACAGAGGACTCCCATTCTTTCCTGTTCTGTATTTTATCTAAAGCCAATTCCAATTCAGAACCACCTCTATTTCTAAATTTTGATTATACATTAATACGTCTTGTAACATTCCCCATTTGGCTCCTCCAACCCATTTTTTTCTTCCATTAATTGATACAGATCTGAATTCAGAAGTGGTCTTCTAGTGGACTTTCCATAAGTACAAAATATTTATTCCAGCCACAGAGGTTTGCATAACTTTACATCTTGCCTTTGGTATTTATGTCCTCTGTTGGTGAGAAAGTCTGAAAATTTCCCAATGTTCTTGTGAGTTAAGGACACCTCAAGAGCTATTTCAATAAGGTGATTTTCCTACTCCACGTTTGTTTAACATCATGCATGCAATCTAGTATCCTATTTAAGAAGATATTGTCTGTGGATGAGATAGAAGGCAGGGAACAAATTGACTTACTAAATCTTTAGGCAGTAAATAAAGACTTCTTCTCTGAGCTCTTTACCACAAACACAAATAACCCTAAACCCTCATATCCATGTTAATAAATCCAAAACTCCCCTTCTGTCCAACACAGACGATGCCTGTCTTTTCCTAGCCCTTGGAAACAACTATTTAATTACCTGTGTAATTCTCACCAAGTTATTACCCTTTGCCTTATCAGAAAATGTTTTCTGCTCTGTCATTTGGTTTAGTCAGTGTGTTTTTCTTGGAAAGTTTCTGTTTCTGTGTCTCCTGTACCCCCAGAAGACTCACTCTTGGAGTCAGCACATGACATTTTTTTCCAAGTGCAGAGGAAGGGCTCTGTGGCCCCTGCAGAAGAACCACAGCTGTGGCTCTGTGACTTACAGGTGGCGAAGAACTTGAAGGGAGAACAGCCAGGTCCCACTGGCTATTCTGGGATGTTTGAATGACTCAATAACCATTATTCATTAAAAAGTAGGTTCCTGCTGCACTTCTGTCCAGAGAAATCCACAAGGTGCCCATGTGAGAGGTAATTTGGATACAAATCATACCTGCTTTGCAAAGCACCTACCCTTATGGCTTTCAATTTAAGGACCTATTGGAAACCAATGTTCCATTTTGTTCCATCTATGGGCATATTACTGAATATGACAGGCCTCTCCTAAATGACGTTTATTCATACCCCTTGTTCAACCCTACTTTCAGCTCCTGTATGATGACTGCCTACTTCTTTGAGGCTTCCCAGGATCTCCTAAAGTGATTCTTATCATATGCCACATAACCCAAATTCTAAATCAGATCTTCCTAAACAATACTTTCCAAATTTTGTGGAAGTCTATCTAAGAATTTTCATGATACCCACAAATAGGAAACTAATTTTATTTAAAAGCAAAAGTTTGTGGGTCTAAAGGTGTTTTTCTAGTGGCATGGCCTCCTCCATAGGAAAGGGAAGGGAACAGACCTTTAATCCACCAGATACAGCACTACCTGCTTTCTATAATTATCCCTGCATTTTCTCACAGAAACTTTATGGATTATATTGTTAGTCCCATTTTGCAAATAAGAAATGAAGGCTCAGAGAAATTAACTAGATCGAGTGTCTGGGCTCAGATTTCACCTGGTTCTAATGCTGATGCTGCCTCCATGAGATATGCTCCTTTCAAGGAAGGTGTTTCCCCATCCTTTGGAACAACTCCGTCTAGAACAGAAAAAGAGAAAGGTAAATGAATTCATCCTAAATTGGGAGGGAGGGCAAAGCTGTCATCCTCCCAAGCTCAAGAGAAATAATGTAGTAATAAATAGTTTTTAGTGCAAATAAAAATAGATTGTAAAGTACAAACAAGTTAATGATTCTGTTTAAATAATAGAATAGAATGTGAGCACCAAACACACAAACATTTATCACAGTCACTTTTTTATGAGAGCTATACAAAGAATTTTTTAAATGATCATTATGCACATCTGCTCCACATCTGTAGCCTCTCTGTCTGCAACTTTATGGCTAGTGGCAACAGTGAAATTACACCATCCCTCTTCACTGTAAGGCAAATCTAAGAGGCCTCCCCACTGACCATAATATTAGGGAACACAATGAAGGGAAAATAAGTGTCTGGGCATGGCATGGGGGCCTAGGGCAGTCTGTGGAAGACAAAGTTGTGAAGCCGGAGAGAAAGTACCTATCATTTCAGTTGGCTGAGGCATCCTAGGTAACAGAGCTACAGACATACTCTAGGATAAATAAATGTATAGATTGTGATGTTAAGATTCCTGGTCAGAAGGCCCTTCCACCTGCGTAAACTATTCTACTGTAATTGATCTGTTCCGTGGTCATTTTTGTTTTGTTTTGTTTTGCTTTGTTTTTTTGAGACAGTCTCACTCTGTCCCCTAGGCTGGAGTGCAGTGGTGCCATCTCAGCTCATTGCAACCTCCGCCTCCTGGGTTCAAGCAATTCTCCTGCCTCAGCCTCCCGAGTAGCTGGGATTACAGGTGTGCACCACCACACCTGGCTAATTTTTGTATTTTTAGTAGAGACAGCGGTTCACCATGTTGGCCTGTCTGGTTTCAAACTCCTGACCTCAGGTGATCCACATGCCTCCCAAAGTGCTGGGATTACAGGTGTGAGCCACTGCACCTGGCCTATTTTTGTTATTATTGCTGTTTTTTTACTTTACTCTCCCAAATATGAGATGATAATTACTACTGTGTGTGTTCAGATTGAACAGTGAGTTAAAGAATAATCAGGCCACATAATTAGATGTGGACTCAACCCAAAGAATATGGTAAAATACTTCTTTGCTATTTCTCTATGACTGTTAAATCTATATTATACATTTCACATGAAAGACATAAATGTATATTTGCAAATCAATATAAAATATGCCCTACGTGGTAGGCAAAATAATGGCCCCAAAAGATGTCGGTATCCTAATGCTCAGAACCTATGACTATGTTAGGTTACTTGGCAAAAGTAAATGGTAGTTACAGATGGAATTAATGTTGCTCATTAGCTGACCTAAAGATGAGATTTTCCAGTTGGGCCCAATGTAATCAGAAGGGTCTTTATAAGAGAAAAAGAAAGGCAGAAAAGGAAGAGTTAAAGTAATGCTATGTGAGAAGGACTTAACTGACAATTGCTGGTTTTGAAGATGGAGGAGACCATGAAATTCAGGCAGCCTTTACAAGCCAGAAAAGGCAAGAAAAGAGATTCTCCCTAGAGCCTCCAGAAGGTAACACATTGCTGTTGACACCTTGATTTTAGCCCACTGAGACACATTTCAGACTTCTGACCTCCAAAACTATAAGATAATAAGTTGGTGGTGGTGTAAGCAACTAGGTTTGTGGTCATTTGTTACAGCAGTCACAGGAAATTAATATACTCAGTATTCTGTAGCAAAATGTTAGTATAAAATTATGAATAAATTGACTAATAAAAATGCTTACATTTTAGACACTGACAAAAATATCACTAATTCCCAAAGGAAGTTTAAGTGCATTTAAGCTCCAGTAAAGTTATTGTTTGTTTGTTTGTATGTTTGTTTTAAGGGAGAGAGGTAGGGGTAAGTAAAGTGGGAATGCAGAGTGTTAATAAATGTTGAATGATGGGTGATAAGAGTTCATTACACCATCCTATCTGCTTTTCTGAATGTTTGAAAATGTCCACAATAAAGTTTTAAAACATTTTTCATTCCCCCCAATTAAATAACTTTCAAAAGTGAGCATCTAAGCAAAACCACTATATTAAATAAACACTGTATGTCTTTTTGTTTGTTTTTTTTTTTTGTGAGATGGAGTCTCGCTCTGTCACGAGGCTGGAGTGCAGTGGTGCAATCTCGGCTCACTGCAAGCTCCGCCTCCCAGGTTCACGCCATTCTCCTGCTTCAGCCTCCCAAGTAGCTAGGACCACAGGTGCAGGCCACCACGCCCAGCTAATTATTGTATTTTTAGTACAGACGGGGTTTCACCATGTTGGCCAGGATAGTCTCGATTTCCTGACCTTGTGATCCACCTGCCTTGGCCTCCCAAAGTGTTGGGATTACAGGTGTGAGCCTGTGTGGTATGTCTTTTTTCTAAAATAAAATGTGAAAGACAAAAATCTAAACCTTTCTTTTTATGACTTAATCTGAAAGCCTGTGGTATTAATATATTTCCACCAGAAATTATTAAACCATGTTTTCATAGCAGATGATTTGCTGCCAAAATTTTAAAAGCAAAGCTGTTTGTGCCTACTCATAGAGAATTATGTGTATATTTGTAGTTCTACTCAGCACAAAGAAATGCTTCTAGTGATAAGAGTGGAACTGAAAACAGAATACAATGCATTTGTATGATTAAAAACCAAAACATAAATATAGCCCTGCATCATGGAAAACACATAATGCTATTTTTGATAAGTGCAATATTTAATCTCATTTTTGCTAACATTAGGTGAAAATTGATTTTCCCCCTAAAATGTGATGTGTTCTATTAGAGCTTAAAATGCAGATGAATCATGAGACTATGTTTCTATGATCCTAGCACTACAAAAAGTAGAAATTTGCCAAAGAATTCAATGAGTTTTATTTCTTCATTGAGGTAACCAAATAACCAACATCACCAGTGACTATAGAGTAGATAGACATTCAAATTGTTTTATTATTGAATTGATCAGCTTATTTTACAACCTGGGAACATGAGGAATATTTAAAGTATATTGGTTCACACAAGGAGTTTTGCATAGCAGCATATCTACTTGGGGATCACTAGAAGAATAAACTTAGTTGGAAGAAAGAAAGAAGGAAAGAAAGGAAGGAAGGAAGGAAGGAAAAGGGAGAGAAAGAAAAAGAAAGACAGAGAAAAAAGGAAGGAAGAGGAAGGAAGAGAGACAGAAAGAGAAAGAAAGCAAGAAAGAGAAAAAGAAAGAAAAGAAAGAGCTCTGGGGTTTTTCTCTTTTTTTAAAAAATAAAATTCTAACTGAGGTTCTTAGGTGGCCATATAACTTAGCATACATATATCTATTGTATATTGTATTATTATACATAGTATCTATTGTATATTTTACACACACACACACACACACACACACACTTGATTTTACCTTTCCTTATGTCAATTAGCAGCAGTGTTTTTTTAAGAAATCAGAGTATCACACTAAAATGTTTACTCCTAAAGTCACTATGGAAACCACATCTCCTGTCTTGGTTTCACTTATTTAACGGAAAGTAAATTATAGATTCTATGAATCTTGGGCCATTATCTACACTTATTTCTTTAAAATACATTTTTGTTCTTATAGACTTATAAATCATGATGCATTAAGAACTATGACATAAGTATTATCTTCCAATCCTCAGAAAATATGAGACCAAAAAACTATCCAATATTTAAGTAATTCCAGAAAAGTTTTTACAAAGCCAATGGTTACCAGTTTATCTTTTTAACACTACCACCACCACAAGCAACAAGTTTTCCTTATATGTGATATATGCAGTGTGAGCACTTGACCTCTGATGTTCTTTGATAGAGAAGGAAAACACTTGGCAATCATCATGTATATTATGTAACTTCAAAAATGGGAAGACTGTTACCAGGTTACTTCTCTTCTCCAAGAAAAGCAATTCCAATTTCTTTAACTCTTTCTTATAAGTTCCATTTTCCAACCCTCTCATCAACATTCACAGTCTCTTCTGAATCTTTCCCAAATGTTAGAGTTCTCTTAAGATGTGGAGCTCCAAGCTGGAAAGTACATTCTTGTAAAAATTTGACCAGTGCTGAGTAAGAGCAAGTACCATCTATTTATCCATCTGTCTATTTAAAGTTAAGTGATCATGGAGGGTCTCCCAGCATAGACCATAGATGTTAGGTGTATTTTGGTGCAGCATGAACATCAAAAAGGGGAAAGCATGTCTGTTTTTGCCTTAAGCTCTTGGTTTCAGCAAGACCACACCTAAAAGAGTCCTTAAGACATATCTACAGCCAAATAACAGACAATGTCTTTTCTAAATCAAAGATAAATAAACACTCTGCCGACTCTGAATCATTATCTTTGAGACCTCTTGTTTTCACACAGTTAAATGTTACCAAATTCCACCGGCATGTGTGGGTGTCATCTTTTGGCAGTCTTAAAATATGGAACATTTCTTTATGAAAACATACCAGTTTTATGTTTTGTTTCATGAAAGAAGCCAAGTTGTCTAACTACACCTAGTGAAATATTTCATATTCTTAGGTAGAAACCCTATTCCATTTCTTCTTAAAATTTCCTACCCATTGCTCAGATTCTCACCCCCTTTGAATTGTCTTTTCATTCACTTTATTCTTTCCTTTGTATCTCTTTATTTTCTCTATTATGTTTCTTTCCCTCTCATACATTCTATGTAATTCAGACATACATAAACTATAAATAGAATAGAAAAGAACTTAGTAAAAATGTAGAAGTGAGCTTGGGCAAGAGGAGATTTAATTAAGGATTGAAGCATCACCCCTGTTCACATCTGAGAACATCAAATAGGAACAGTGGTATTAGGTGCATGTAACTTCCAACTTGTGAAGCAATCGAGAAGAAAGGAAATAAAGTTATTGAATGATCAAAAACATGTCATATCACCTCAGACTCAAACTTTCAACAGTTCAAAATTTGAAGAGCTTTTTTTTCCAAGATGAGTTGTGAGTTGTATTTCATCAAAAATAAAGTTTGGAATAAAGCAATCCATTTTTTTAAAGCCTGAGAGAAAAAAAATCTAGACTCTCTACTTCAAAAAGAAGCTATATTTATCAGTGTGGCTAAATCACGAATGAAGCCCAAGAGTTAGAGGAATGGAGCGAGTCAGCCTCACATCGACAAGCAGCAGAAGGCAGGCACATTCACAGCCAACCTGCTTGGCAAATTGGCGTTTGAAAATGCGATGTTTCCAATGTAGGAAGTCTGCAGGCGGAGTGTATGTGGTGTTATCAGACAAAAATCTCTGTGTACCTGGACTTGGCGTCCACATCTTCTCAAACCCCAGGCTTCACACTGAGTTACGTCAACATGTGACTCAGAAGAAGCAGAAAGGGAAAAACAGGGCACAAAGAAGGCAACATAGGGGAGAAAAGAGCAAATAAAAACACAGGCCAAAGTAAGCCAGCCTAGTTGTGAAGAGAACTGTGAATACTTTTTTATTTTTTTTAACCAAAGGTAAAAAGGAAAGCTGAGTTTACATTTTCTAATGACTGGAGCTGTCGTCTCAAGAGAATACAGAGAAAATAAGAAAATGCATAATTTTTTTTTGGACAGAATCTCACTTTGTCACCCAGACTGGAGTGCAATGGCATGATTTCAGCTCACTGCAGCCTCTTACTCCCAGGCTCCAGCGATTCTCATGCCTCAGCCTCCTACATAGCTAGGACTACAGGTGTGAGCCACCACACCTGGCTAATTTTTGTATTTTTAGTAGAGACAGGGTTTCATCATGTTGGCCAGGCTGGTCTTGAACTCCTGACCTCAAATGACCCACCTGATTCTAAAGGAGGATTAATATTGCCCTTTAACCTAAAACATTGCTAAAAGAAAAAAAAAAAAAAGTGCCAGTTATTCCTATCCCAGTCTCTCAGCTCCAACAGGGACTCGTGTTAGTCTTCCTGAACAGTTTATAAATCTATCTCTCACATTGTTATTAGAAAATGATGCTATGAGCAGATCAGAGACTTTTTTGGAGTAAATGATTGGATATTGGTCTCCCACATAACTTGAATCTCACTGAGAAGCAGTATTGGGGAAATTCAGCCAGATATCGGGCAAAATTCACCCCCGATATTTCACGTACGTTCTTTGCTATTTTCCCTAAGCATCAGCCGGTTTGAGAAATAAAGGGACAGAGTACAAAAGAGAGAAATTTTAAAGCTGGGCGTCCAGGGGAGATATGACATGTCGGTAGGTTCCGTGATGCCCCACAAGATGCAAAACCAGCAAGTTTTTATTAGTGATTTCAAAAGGGTAGGGAGTGTACGAATAGGGTGTGGGTCACAGAGATCACGTGCTTCACAAGGTAATAGAATATCACAAGGCAAATGGAGGCAGGGCGAGATCACAGGACCACAGGACCGGGACGAAATTAAAATTGCTAATGAAGTTTCGGGCACACATTGTCATTGATAACATCTTATCAGGAGACAGGGTTTGAGAGCAGACAACCGTTCTGACCAAAATTTATTAGGCGGGAATTTCCTCGTCCTAATAAGCCTGGGAGCACTATGGGAAACTGGGGCTTATTTCATCCCTACAGCTCGACCATAAAAGACGGCTGCACCCATGGGGGCCATTTTAGAGACCCACCCTCAGGGATGCATTCTCTTTCTCAGGGATGTTCCTTGCTGAGAAAAAGAATTCAGTGATATTTCTCCCATTTGCTTTTGAAAGAAGAGAAATATGGCTCTGTTCTGCCTGGCTCACCGGCGGTCAGAGTTTAAGGTTATCTCTCTTGTTCCCTGAACGTTGCTGTTATCCTGTTCTTTTTTCAAGGTGCCCAGATTTCATATTGTTCAAACACACATGCTCTACAAACAATGTGTGCAGTTAATGCAATCATCACAGGGTCCTGAGGCAACATACATCCTCCTCAGCTTATGAAAATGACGGAATTAAGAGATTAAAGTAAAGACAGGCATAAGAAATCACAAGGGTATTGACTGGGGAAGTGATAAGTGTCCGTGAAATCTTCACAATTTATGTTCAGAGATTACAGTAAAGACAGGTGTAAGAAATTATGAAAGTATTAATTTGGGGATCTAATAAATGTCCATGAAATCTTCACAATTTATATTCTTCTGCCATGGCTTCAGCCGGTCCCTCCATTCGGGGTCCCTGACTTCCTGCAACAAAGCAGTAGCCTCAAATAGTGGGCATTGATACTCAACTCAAATATCATGTGGTTAATTCTAGTCCCAAAAATCACTTTCTCACTTAAAATGGACATACTTGTATTACTGAAAAATGCTTTCATAAAATAGGCATCTTTTATTTCTCTCACTGCATGGTCAAAATTATCACCACCAAGCAATGCTGATAGAAAAGGAAAAAAACATAATTTCCTTTCCATTATACAATAGCAATTATATTTCAGTAAAAGTGCAGTTAATTTTGTTTGCTTTTAAGTGCCAGTATTAAATAAAGGCTATGAGACTGCTGGTCAGGGACTGAATCTAAAGTAACTTTTTCATATAGTGCATAACTTAACTTGTGTGCACTCAATAAAGCCATCAGCATAACTAGTGAGCAAATCCCTGAGTCTCCTAGACAAAGGAGAGGGTCATTGAAATACCTAGAAAATTTTATCTATTTCAAAACCAATTTAGAAAATCCAATGTTCTTGACTTTAATATAATGTGGAGTGGGTGATTCAATAATCCCAAACACATATAATAAAATCCTATGTCCAGAATCTCCAGGTTCTGCAGACACAGCCAACTACATAAATATGTGAATGTAGATAGCAGATATGCAATACTGGGCAGGGATGGAGAGGTGGAAAATCACATTCAGTTAGGCAGGATTGACTTAAGCATCTAACCAAGAGTTTAGAATTCAAATAGGAAACTAACAAGACATTTTGAGAAGTGCTTTGCTCCTCTTATCCTTAAATGTTCATATTTTTCATGTTCTTTTATATATTTTATACAAGATTCCTAAATATTTCACATATATTTCCAGTGACATTTTGTACTGAGAAGAAAAAAGGGTAATGAAATGTTAATGATTGTGAAATGCTAATAACCCATGGTTGGTATAGACTAGCAATCTGTATTTCTCAATGTGATAAACTGAGAAGGGCAAAAAAAATGAGAGTTTCTTCATTTTAACTGGAGTATTATAGAATGAAATGAGTTGTTAATTCAATTTCTTCTTTAGGACTTTTGTTCTAGACACATTTTCCTTTAACAATCTGGGACTGAAGGATACCTGTGAACTACTGTGAAAGCAGATTCTAATAAGTGTAGAAAGATCATGGTTGGGTCAGCATGAGGACATGACCAGTTCTTCTGCTAGCACAATAACATCACTGGCTGCAGCTCCTCTGTCAATACTCCACCAGCCTGACAGGCATGGGATGGCAAAGTCAATGGCTCATACGCCCTGTATTTACTGAGGCTCTTTTATCCCCAAATACATTGAGGGTAATGGGCTGGCTATGGCTGTTTAGAGTCTTTCTGAGACTTCCTAGTTGCAAGGTGTGTTGTTTTGAGAAGTAATTACCTTGTGTTAGACCTGCTAGTTTTAGCTTGATTTTTTAAAAAACTATTATGCTACAGTTTTTTCAGCCCCGAGAATAAGAGGTTTGAGGCAGATGTGTGCATAAAAGGGAAAGCAACCATCTGTCAGAGTAGGTCTATCCTCAAATACTATAAAATAATAAGCAAAAGAATGTTACTTCCACTCAGCAGTCTGAGCAGGATCAGAAGAGTGCTGATGTGATCAACAATGTTTAGTTTTATAAGAAATTGCTAAAGTGTCTTCAAAAGAGACTGTACCGTTTTGCATCCCCACCAGCAATGAATGAGATTCCTGTTGTTCCACATCCTGGCTAGCCTTTGGTGTTGTCAATGTTTTGGATTTTAGCCATTCTAATAGGTGTACAGTGGCACCACATTGTTGTTTTAATCTGTGATTCCCTAATGTGACATATAATGTTGAGTATCTTGTCATATACTTGTTTGCCATCTGTATAGCTTCTCTTGTGGGGTGTCTGGTCATATCTCTTACCCACTTTTTCACGGGACTGTTTGCTTTCTTACTGTTGAGTTTTAAGAGTTCTTTATATATTTTGTATATCAAACCATTATCAGATATGTGTTTTGCAAATATTTTCTCCCAGTCTGTGGCTCATCTTTTCATTCTTTTAACCGGCAAACTTTTTAGTGCAACTTTCCCCAGTGTGGCTGTTCTAGAGCAAATAGGAAGAATTTTTGTCACCATACTGGCTCTCCAATATACATATCGAGAAAGACTTTCATTCATCACGTAACAAATAAAAATAGAGAACAAAAAATAGAGTTATATTGTGTAGTTCCTGGGTCAGTGTAGATTTTTAATCAATGTCTCTTGCATAGGTGATTGGGTGGAAGGAAGGAAGGAAGTGAGGAAGGAAGGAAAGAGGGAAGGAGAGAGGGAGGGAAGGAAGGAAGGAAGGAAATAAATAAATAAATATTGCCAGCACCCTGACAGTCTGGGCAACAAGATTTTTAATACTATCCAGAACATATGCTGGCCTCAGGACATTGAAGGAAAGGGCTGAAGAAAGTGGCCATGTAGGTCTCCAACATCCTCTCTCTCTACTTATTCTCTATCCACAACCAAGAAGAGTGCTGATGTGATCAACAATAAAGACAATTTGGGAGCTATAAACTATAGAAAGGGTGCCTACAGGGAAGAGTTTAACGTCCACCAATGTGGATCTCAGACATCTCCACCTCTCATCTCTTTCTACTAAAAACATAATTTAAAGTTAGATTTACAACACCCTATTTTATTAAAAACATTTGATGAATGTGGGGATAATCAATGTGCTTCTCCATGTATTTACATATTTTAATATCATTAGCTGAATCAAAAGGCTGTTCATACTGCATTGAATTTCTTTTTGCAGTGTTGTGAAATCTTACAACAGCAACTTTTGCTTGAACCAAATTTAACCTTTTGAATGTCCAAGGAAATACTTTAGGCAGTGTAAATTTACACGGTGGAAATTAAAGGAGTTCCCTCTTTTAAAACTTTGAGGGCTTCTAGATATACATTTTTCTCTTGTAATACATAGTACTGGGGAATAATTGGAAAATGCAGAAAAATGAAACAGTAATTATTAGATTTCCTCTTAGAGATGAGGAAGACAATGCTAGTGCTGTCAATACTCAAGTTCCTTTTCTTTCTGTTGGGAATATAGTTCTCAATATTTTGCAGTTAGTTGGGTTCATGTGACTGAGCTCTGCTGCCCAGTGGTATGTGGATGGAAGTGATGTGTCTCAATTCCAGGCCATGCCTCTGAAACCTCCTTCCTTCACTTGCCCAGTGAATACATAAAGTAAGTCAGTCTTTAAAAGAAGGAAGGAGTCTAGGTCCTCAGATAATTACATGAAGAGCCACCTTCCAACCTTGCATTGTACTGTGACATGAACAAGAAATTAACCTTTAGTGTTAAGCCACAGAGACTCAGAGGTTGTTTATTAAGCAGGTAGTCAACCCTGACTAATAGAATCACAAACATTTCAGTATATTTCTTTTCAGTCTCTTTTCTAGGTACATATTGAATACAGTAATGGTCATATTGAAAGTCTGTCTTTGTATTCGAATTTTGTATTTAATATTATATCATAAGGTTTTTCTCTCATTAAAAACTCTTTATACATGTACATTTTAATCACTGTTTATTATTCTATGGTATGGATATAATTTATGTAACTAAAAAACTGTTTTGATTATTAAATTCCATTCAATTTTTTTACTATACATGATAAACATGTTTATATATAAATATATTTTCTTTAAGTTTATTTTTAAAAATAAAATCACTGGATCAAAAGGTATAAGTATTTTAAGTATCTACTCAGATATATATTGACAGACTGGATTCCCCAAAGATACTAAAATTTGCATTTCCATCATAAGTGCTATGGAATGCTTATCTTACCACATCTTCACCAGTACCAAGAATTATCACAATGAGTTTTAACTGAAGTTTATGTTCTTAAAATGAAATATCATGCTTTTGAAAGCAGGGTAAACAGCCCCTAAGGAAAGTGAGCTGGTCCTATAGTTTATCTACTTCTTGAGAAATGGAGCCACAGATTCACATGTTGGCAAATTCCAGGATGTGAAGGGCCAAATCATCAAGGATAGGAAATCACTTCAATAGCATAAGTTGTTCAAAATCTATTAGAATGAGGGCAAAGGACTGGGAGGTAATATTAGATTAGGGCCCTGAAGAATAAATTGGAAGTCTGCCATTCCGACAGGAGGACAGAATATATTACAGTGAGAGCACTATATACACACACATAGGCATAGCTGGGAGGCCACATGTGGAAGGAAACAAGCCCATCTGTGTTTTCAGAGCATGTATGATGGCATAGAAGCTAAGACTGAAAAGAAGCAGTCACCTGTGCAGGGCCAGGCATACCAGGCTGAGGAGTCTGGAATTTATTGTATAACTAATGGAAGAGAGATGTGTTCATAACTGGGTTCGTTCTTCAGAAATTGAAATGACTTTATACCATGTTCAGGCCACTTTATAGGTATTATTATGTTTGATTTCAAAAACAACTCCAGTCATAAATTACCACAGTTAAGGGATGTCATGTTGAACTTGAGGGTCAGCATTCAGTCACTTATGTGGCAGAGCTGAGATGTAAACCTAGGTCTTATTGGCTTCAAGGGCTGTGATCTTCTCATTGTACCATGTTGCCTTCTGTGCTGTGACAATGTGAAGGATATATTGGAAAAGAAAGAGGCAATGAAATAACTTAGGAGGCCATTACAAAGTTCAGAAAAAAAGATAGTAAAATTCCTACCTACCTGTCTCTAGGATAAAGTAGTGTTACAAAGGCCAAGATTATAGTAAAGAGATTTGCAAGAAAAAGGGATTGGAGTTAACATCACAGGTCACTGATTGGTTTCTCAAGACACTTCCAATAGAGAGGTTAAAGGGTGGGAGTAGAGGGCTGGGAGCCAGACTGCTTTACTGCTTGCAGAGTAAATGGGAAGTGAACTGTAGAAATGGTCTAAAAGTATGATTGAGACCATTCAGTGATATTTTCTCCAAGCCCTTTCATACCACTGCTATGACCACTAATCGTAATTCTTCAAGATTATAATGATCACACACAACTGATACTAGAAGTTATGTTGTGGGCTATAAAATACATTTCCACTGATCATAAAAATATCTTGGAGGGGAGTTACTATCTCAAAACATTAGGAATTAATTTCCCAGGTATTCAAAACCATAGAAATACCCTAGCTTCAACAAGATGGTAATAAATTTCCAGAGACATTGGGAAAAATTACACTAAAAAGTCTTCCTGTTAAGAGAATGAAAAGACAAGCCACAGACTACTGGGAGAAAATATTTGCAAAACACATATCTGATAATGGTTTGATATACAAAATATATGAAGAACTCTTAAAACTCAACAGTAAGAAAGCAAACAGTCCCTTGAAAAAGTGGGTAAAAGATATGACAGACACCTCAAAAGAGAAGCTATACAAATGGCAAACAAGTATATGACAAGATACTCAACATTATATGTCACATTAGGGAATCACAGATTAAAACAACAATGTGGTACCACTGTACACCTATTAGAATGGCTAAAATCCAAAACATTGACAACACCGGAAGCTGGCCAGGATGTGGAACAACACGAATCTCGTTCATTGCTAGTGGTCATGCAACATGATACAGTCACTTTTGAAGGCACTTTAGCAATTTCTTACAAAACTAAACGTTCTCTTACAATGTGGTCCTTGGTATATATTCAAATGAGCTAAAGACTTACATCTACACAAGAACCTGCATACAAATGCTTATAACAGCTTTATTCATAATTGCCAAAACCTGGAAGCAAACAAGATGTCTTGCAACAGGTTAATGAGTAAACAAATGTGATACATCCATACAATGGTATTCCAAATCACTGAATGGTATTCAATGATAAAAAGAAGTACATTATCAAAACTTGAAAATACATGGAGGAAACTTAAATGCATATTTCTAAGTGGAAGAAGCCAATCTAAAAAGGCCACATACTGTGTGATTCTAACTATATGACATTCTGGAAAAGGAAAAAATTTGCAGACAGTAGAGCTATTATTGTCAGGGGTTCAACACAGCGGGATGAGGAGGTAGAGCATGGGATTTTGGGGGGCTGTGGAACTATTTTCTATAATATTGTAATTGAATACGTATCATCATATATTTGTCAAAACTCATAGAATGTGCACACATAGAGTGAACCCCAATGTAAACTATAGACTTTACTTAATAATAATGTATCAATATTGGCTCATCTATTCTAATAAATGTACCACACTAATGCAAGATGTTAATACTAGGGGAAACTGAGGTGTGGGGAATGGGGTAGAGTGAGGGGGTATATGTAAGTTATATATACTTTTTGGTTAATTATTCTGTAAACCTAAAACTGCAGAAAGAAATGCCTATATCATTCTGTCTACATCCAGCTATTGCAGCAATTTGCTCCAAGTCAGAAATAAGCTTTTTAATTTAAGGAAAAAATATATAAGAGATATTTTAGCTTCTAGTCAACTAAGGTACTATTGAATAAATTACGCATGCTAAGGACTAAGCTAATCATACTGTGACTGATGCTTTTGTTAAAACTCCATAGAGACTATAAAAAGACTCTGAAGAAAGCCCTTAAGAGATCCCCATATGTAGTATTTAGAGTTAATAAACTTCTCACTATCCTTACCTAGGATAAGGTCTTCACAAAGATTAGCTTGTCTATGCCTAATAATATCTGATCATTAATGGCATGATTGTCGATACCCAAAGCATCATCAATGATCCAGAATTTATTTATTTAGAATTTCTATTACCCCTACAATCTTAGAATTTTCCAGCATTCTAATGTTTTCTTTCAGAGATATTCATAAAGATTCTACAAGTGTGTATCAGTCAGAGTCCAGTCAGAAAACAGAAATAAGTCTATGTTTTCCATAGAAGTACCTTAATATAGAAAATGTGTTAAGTAGATGTTACAGAAGTTCTAAAGCCCAAGCCCAATGCAGAGTGGAACCATTTCCATCTGCCCAATGGGGGCTGGAGCCACAGAGGAGACACATCTGTTAGAGATATTGACCAAAGCAGAGAGAGAGAATTAGTTTGTCTTCTCCCCTCCTTCTGCCCTCCAGTGTCTCACTTGTGCCTTCTATTGGTCAGAGTGATCCAAAAGTCAGAGTGCAGGGGAAACAGGGAAGTGTTGCTCTCCCATTATCGAGAAGGGCAGAGACTGGATCTGACACCAAAACTGAGAAGTGACTGACAAAAGGTGCTCATACTTCAACAATCTGTTCATTATGGCATCCATAAAAACGCTGAATTCACAGAAAAACTCAGAACTATGGAGAGAGGAAAAATCGTGTCTTCACAAAGTTTCTCATAACTGCTGATAATGGTAAAACACTAATGTCTTTTCAAGGAAGGAAAAAAAAAAGTTGACAGTCCCATAAAAGTAGAATATAGTGGGCATCCAAATGATGAGGGAAGTTTTGGAATGAGAACTTCCACTGGCACCTTCTTGGGTTTCTCTATCTCTGCTATCAGCTTTTAGCCAACTGAGATACATATGTGCAACACCGGATATGATCTAAAGTTAAGGAAAACTGAACTATCTTGGGGCTCTGCACTTCCTACTGTTTTTCTGCCTCAAAAGTCTGCCATTGTCAGGTTACTTCACATTTTACTGGAAAAACCATTCAATGGAGCTGATCTCAGCACAGTATTACTTTCCGGGATGTTACATGGTCATTTGCTTCTCGGTCAAAATGACTTTCTTATGTTGAGAATAAACCACATTTTTTTCTGAGTGTAGGGTTTTTATTTTTAAAAATCAATTGTATTTCCACAGATTAACAGCATACAATTAAAATATGAAATTTTTTGTTTGTTTTGTTTTAACTTTTTAGTTCAAGTGTACATGTGCAAGTTTGTTATATAGGTAAAACTGTGTCGTGGGGGTTTGTTCACAAATTATTTTCTCCCCGTATTAAATCTAGTACTCATTAGTTATTTTTCCTGATCGTTTCCCTCCTTCCAGCCTCCACCCTGCAATAGGCCCCAGTGTGTGTCGTTCCCCTCTATGTGTCCATGTGTTCTCACCACTTAGCTCTCACTTATAAGTGAGAACGTGGTATTTGGTTTTCTCTTCCTGCATTAGTTTGCTCAGTATAATGGCCTCCAGCTCCACCCATGTTCCTGCAAAGGACATGATCTCATTCTTTTTTATGGCTGCATAGTATGCCATGGTGTATATGTACCACATTTTCTTTATCCAGTCGATCTTTGATGGGCATTCAGGGAGAATAAACCACAATTTCCTATCATTTATTCTTAAGCTTATAGGAAGGGAGCTATACATAGTGAGAAAAATAATGATGGCTAGCTCGGAAACATTAAGTGCTTCAAGAATATCATCTATAGCCTGAATTCCTTTTGAAGCCAGGAGTCTCCCACCTCCTTTCTCAATTTTCACAACTACAATACAAGCCTTGTTTTCTCTTTTTGCAAGGCTTTCTCATTATCTCACTATGCAGCATTGAAACCACACACTCACTGGTCATGATGTGCTCTCTACTTACCAAGGGTGAAATTAAAAGAATAGTATCTAATGTTGGTGTTTAGGGTTATTACAGCAGATTCCTAGAGCGACTGAGCCACTTCTAGAGAAAGTGTCGATGTTATAGAATGTGCTTGGAGCGTATCTTTTCCTGGCCAAAGAAGCTGAATAATTAACTGCCCAGAACCCTAAAATACTCCATAATGGGAAGAGAGGGGACATTTTTGAGTTATTCACTATACTCTATAGTTCACTCACAAAATAATAATAATAGGTAACAATTACTGAGCACTTACCGCAAAACAAGCACTGTCGTATGCTCTGTGCATGAATCAATTTCTTTCTGCCTACAACTCCATCATTTTTATTTTGTAAATGAGTGAACTGAGGCTAAGAAAGACTACATACCTCCACCTAGGATCATGAAACCAGTGTCAGAGACAGAATTTGAACCCAGACAGTCTGGCTCCAGAGTCTATACTATTAAATACTCTACTCTCTACCTTTTTCTTCTTCTAGGAAATGGATTTTATATTGTCTTGGCCACCTCATCATGGCAGTTTTAAAGAATATTTGCATAAAAGCTTTGACTCGAAGTTTTGTCTACTGAACTGCAATTGATTCAGATGTTACCATAGTATATTACATGGCTGCATACAAGCCTCTTGCTGTTCTATAAAGATTATGTTGGCCCAATAATCCATATGAATTTGTTGGGATCTCATCCAGGGAAGAACTATGTTATTGACATGGAGTCCTCAAAACACCTGGAATTAACCCCAAATATAAACTTTTCAGCCACATCAGCTAGTTGTTCCATATAGATGCTGTAAACAACTTATGTTAATAAAGTTTAAGTGTTTTGTTGACAGGAATCTTTGAAAGGTGCCAACATTTTAAAAAGCCACGCTGAAATGGTGACACTGACCTCTAAGTTAACTGTAGTATTTCTCTGAGGAGTTGGCCGACATGCCTTGGCAGGTTTCTTCCTCTCATCCTGTGATTCTTAGGTCAACAACAGGAGTCATCCTGCTGAGTTAAAAATGGGGAAATAACTCCACACTTGCCATAACCATGTGCTTCCAGCCTACTTAAGAACTTGCACAATACCTATGAACACAACTTAGTTACTGCTCTGCCCGTCCCTACTGCTTACTTACCCGCATCTCAAAAGTTATTTTTGCTACAATTAAGGAGATAGATCATTCTTGTTTCATAATAAGTACACAAGAGTGGCAATGTCTATCATGTCGCTAGCCGTAAAGGTGTTCCTCCAAGAACAGAACTAAGTTAAGCATTTTAGTGTAAGCCAATTAATTTTTTTTCTAGCTCTGGGGACTCACAAAAACCATAGAGAAGTAATTCCCTGGTCTCTTTCTGTTCTGAAGTGATCTCTCTTGTTTCCATTCCCAAGGCAATCACAAAAGGGAACTCTATACTCAACAAATGGGGAAATGAGTTAAGTATGCTAGGAATTGATATGGTTCAGCATTGGTTTCTGGAGATCCAGTGGAACCCCTATTACATGAGCAAGATAATTTTTACAGTGTTAAAGAACTATCTTGTTGAAGGCCATTCCTGTTATCTATGGCTACATAATAAATGACTCCAAGATTTAGAGACTTAGAACAATGACATTTATTTTGCTCAGGAATCAGCAATTTAGATGGAGTTCGGTGAGGATAGCTCATCTTTGCTCTACTTGACATCAGCTGGGGTGACTCAAAGGCTGGGATTTGGAATCATCTGAAGACTTATTTATTCACAAAAATGATAGTTGCTGCTGGCTGTCAGCCTTGCAATTAGCTAGGGCTTTTAGACAGAATAAGTGCATGTGGCCTCTTCATGTGTCCCAGACTTCCTCATAACATGGTGGCTGACTCCAAAGGGGCAAGTGCCCTGAGTGAGAAAGAAAGAACCAGATAGAAATTATATGTCCCTTTATGTCCTAGTCTCATAAGTCCTGTAATGTCATATTCATCACGTTCTATTGCTTGAGGCTGTTAGAAAGCTCCACCCAGGTTCAAGGGGAGAAAACAGACCCCACAGCTCAATGGAGGCATGTTGATGCAACACTGTAACAAGAGCATGTGGAATGAGATATATATTGGTGCAACAAGCTTTAGAAAATACAGCCACAGGCTGGGCGCGGTGGCTCACACCTGTAATCTCAGCATTTTGGGATGCCAAGGCGGGTGGATCACTTGAGGTCAGGAGTTCGAGACCAGCCTAGCCAACATGGTGAAACCCTGTCTCTACTAAAGATACAAAAATTAGCTGGGCGTGGTGGTGTGCACCTGTAATCTCAGCTACTCAGGAGGTTGAGGCAGGAGAATCACTTGAACCCGGGAGGTGGAGATTGCAAGAATATGCCACCGCACTCCAGCCTGAGCAACAGTGTGAGACTCCGTCTCAAAAAAAAAAAAGAAAAAAGAAAATACAGCCACAATGGCCTACTTGTTTCTTTGCACATTTTTTTAGTGGGCTGAAACAGAGAAATGTCACTCTTAGAGTGGGCTGCCGTAATTACCACCTCTGTTTCTTTGAGTATGCCCACAAAACTATTTTTCTCGCTCTTTTCTGGATTTAAAGAGAAGGTTGTCTTTTTCTCTTGCTCTAACATTGGTAAAACTACATATAAAGTATATGAAAGACTTTAGGACATCTGAATGGCAAAGTTGTGTGTTTTATAGACAGTAACCTTTTTATGTTTGTAGTCTTCAGATTAATTTTTGTTAATGAACAAATGAGGAAATGTAAACAGTATGTAAACTAAACTTTAATATTTATGATTAGCTTTATAATACTGTACAAATTTTATTACAAAACACTTGCTGAATACCTATGCTTTCTTGTCTAAAATACTGGTATTTGTATTTTTCACTCACATCTGTGGGATGTTATAAACATTATCAAGGTATTAAGTGCAATATGGTTGCAATGCTAAAATCAGTAACTATGCAACTAGAGATAATTATTTTATTATCTTTCAATTTGTAATAACAAATCACAGATGTTATCATAGTCAGCATTTTTCTGCAATCCACACAACTGAGATGCTTTTGTAATATTCAGTGAATTGTCAGTATACTCCTCAAGAGGACAGGAGCTGGAACAATATTTCAAATCAATACTCTGTGTTCATTTGAAGACAGAATGATTATGAAGCTTTCATGCCTTTTGTAAGCAATTTGCTTCAGTCTAGATTATGCTATTTGTACTATCATATTCTATCGAATATTCTGAATTAAGGGGAAAAATTATGGTCTGTCTTAGATCAGATCTCTGTGACTAAGACAATGGTAAAAATAGCTGAAGAAATCGATTGCCTAACCTTTAATTCAGAGATTACTTGTAAAAGAAAAAAGAATTCTATCAAAGGCAGGGGGGTATTGATTCTAATACCTAATCAGTGTGTCCTTAAAAAAAAATAAGGAAAGGCGGAACCATCTTGGATTTGTGAGCAAAATTCTGTATAACTGCTGACAATGGTAAAATGTTATAATATTTTTAAGTTGGCAATTTTATTTAAAAAAAGGGGGAAAGAAGCAAGAAGGGAAAATCTGCTGTATTTTTTTTTTAATTGCTGAAATGGTCTTGTTTCAAAGGAGACATGCTCTGAACAGTGTTGACAAGAACCAAAGGGATTTTGTTGTTATTGTTTTTGTGGAGGTTGTTTTGTTTGCTTTTTGCTTTGTGTGTCTGTACTTTCAGAAATTCCCTGGTAACTGAATTATAAAGACTGTTTATCAAACCTGATAGATTTGAGGCAAATTGCTTGTGAAAGTGTTGTAAAAAAAGACTTGAATAAGGTCGTATTTATAATTAGTAGCTATCAATTAAAAGTGGTTGGGAATAATAAAAATTACTTTCAGCCAAACTAAATATGTTAGCAGGTCAAGAAAATTTTCTCAAATAAGTGCCTGATTTTGCAGAAAAATGTGAAAGCATGAACAGCCAAAAGGCTCAATTACTACAAGTTAACACAAAACAAATAGCACAACTGACATAACCATTACCCACTCTCATACATGCACATGTTAGTAATGAGACTTCTGTCCATATACACATGTAAGTCACTTTTATTCTTTTACCATTGTACTTGGTATATGGAGAAATAGAAAGAAGAGAAGGAGGAGAAGAAGGGAAATGGGAGGGCATAATATAATAACTTTAGGACTCCATGTTTTAAATATTATTTTAATCCCATCTATTTCTTCCTGAAAGTGAAGCTGTGTTTCTGGAAACCGCTCCACCTAAGATGACAGTGCTTAGGCAAATAGAAGAAAATGGCTATGGGGTTTGAAGAAAGAAGAAAAGATAAGGAAGAATGGGAAAGAAGGAAGATATAGGAGAATCAGCAGTGAGATGAAGGAAAGTCAAAAAGAAAGGAGGGAGAGAGAATTAGGTAATAAAGAGGCACAGGAAAAAAAGAAACGAAAATGGCTGAGCAAAAAATGAGAATAATGGAAACCAGGCATTGGTACACGATAACTCTTAGACCTAATCCAGCTCATTGCCTGTTTTCACACAGCTGAGCTAACAGTGTTTTTTCGCATTTTTAAACAATTGAAAAAAACAAAAGCAGAACAATACCTTGTAACATGTAAAAATTGCATGATGTTTAAACTTGTATATATCAATAAAGTTTTATTGGCATGCATCTATGCCCATCAGTTATATATTATCTATGCTTGATTTTGTGCTGCAACAGCAAGGTAGGGTAGTTGTGACAGAAACAGTATAGTTCTCAAAGACTGAAATATTTATTATCTGGTCCTTACAGAAAAGGTTTGCCAACACCTGGAGTGATCTATAAATATTTATTAAATAGCAACTCAGCACTACCCTCTATGGAGGATACAAAAGAAAAGAGAATGTCATGAATACATGGCTCCTATTTTTGTGGATTTATAATCTAGTTGGGAAAGGAAAAACTAATAACAGCTGTTTTTCATAGTTGATTGCTAGGAACTACAAAAATGGCTATAATATATGGTTTGTTTCTTCCTCATTCTTGCTGAACTTGATAACTTATAAATGGTCGTAATATTAGAACCCTGGCATCTACAGGACAATTGCATCCTTCAAAGCCACTATTTTACATTCTTAACCTCTAGTTTAAGGCTATCGTCTCCATCTCCAACAAACATACAAAATACCACAAATAAAGGCTTGATCTTGAATGGATAATTCGGCCAAACCAGTCTCTCAGTGAGACAATTCCTAAAGGAGAGGAAGGCTTTGGTGGAAGATGTAGACAAAGGCCTGAGAATTGAACATGACCCTTCATATCACACTGCTGATTCAAAGGGGATGATATGAGATAGCTACCCTTATTGGTCTAAAATAGAAAGAAAACTCCCTAATGCTTTGTTTGCAGGAAATTCATCCTTCCCCAAATTAAGATTGCCTCCTCTCCACTGCCCACAAACACCCCCTGCCTAGCCTGGAGGGATGGGAAAGCAGAGGGACCACTCACTCCTTTTGAGTATGCTCTTCAAAAGTGACACTTTTTCAACCCTCTTTAAGGCTATACCACCCAATATGGTATCCACTGACCATATGTGCTACTGAGCATGTGATATGTGGCTAGTCCAAATTGAGATGTGCTGTAATCGGAAAATACACATCACATGTCTAAGACTTAGTATGAAAAACAAAATGCAAAAATCTAATTTTTTTCTAGAATTTTGATTTCATGCTGAAATATTTTGAATAGAATAGGTTAGATAAAATATTTTGTTAAAATAAATTTACCTATTTCTTTTTACTTTTTAAAATGTGACTACTGTAAAATCTTAAATGACCTATGCTATTTGCATTCTATTTCAACCAGACAGAGCTGCTTTTTTTTTTTTTTTTTTTTTTTTTTTAATGGAGTCTCACTCTGTCACCCAGGCTGGAGTGCAATGGCGTGATCTCAGCTCACTGCAACCTCCGCCTCCTGGGTTCAAGTGATTCTCCTGCCTCAGCCTCCCGAGTAGCTGGGACTACAAGAGTACACCGCCACACCTGGCTAATTTTTTGTATTTTAATAGAGACGGGGTTTCACCGTGTTGCCCAGGCTGGTCACGAACTCCTGAGCTCAGGCAATCCACCTGCCTCGGCCTCCCAAAGTGCTGGGATTACGGGCGTGAGCCACCGCGCCAGGCGCAGAGCTGCTTTAACAGGCTGATTTAACGGTCAGTGTTAAAGAGGTAGCTGTGTGGCTCATTTTCTTACCTCCTTCAAGTCTTGGCTCAAATGTCACCTGCTCAATAAGGTCACTTGATAAATGATAACTTCCCAAATTCCTGACCCCCTTACCCAGCTCTATTTCTTTTTAGCCAACACTTATCATCTTCTAGCCCACTATATGGCCTAATGATTTATTATATGTATTGCTTATGGTCTATTTCCCTGCCCCTCACTCCCTACAAGGTAGAAGTAGTTTATCTATTTTTTTCTCACCAATGCATCCGCAGCACCCAGAGTGGCATCTGGTGCTTGGTAGGCATCTTCTGGATGAATGGTGAATGGTAAAATAAACAGTGTAAAATATTCAATGGAAACCTCAATGGTCAGTATATGAGGGCTTTAGGGAAGGTTTAGGGAGAGTTTTCAAAGGATTGAACTTTCTAAAAGATTTTCTCCTGCAAATCTCCCTCTGGTTCACACTCTCCTATCCCCAGGTCTCTGTCTCTGATGTTGAAACCTAGCTGTTCTCCAAGTTCTATTTCTGAGCCAAATGATTTCTAGTTTGGGGTGCTAGAAATCATATGTAGATGCTGGAGGGACATTACTGGCCTCCCCCATGCAAATGAATTGATATGCAGTATTTTAATAAAATCCTGCTATGCAACATACATGCATGCCCTAATCAAACTGCATAAAGTGCATATGACAAAGTGAGATTTTTTCATTCATTTCTGGGCTACATTGGATGGCACTACCAACAGAAGCTCTTAAGATATTGTATGTAAAGCGTATCTGAGTGCTGACGTTAATGGCGTCAAATACATAATAATGCAAACCATCAGAAATTAGACTACAAGTATTAATGACACCCCAAACTTTTTATATCAGAGGAATAAAAAGCAACATGGCTCTGAAAATGGTCCTTATCCTTCGGAAGGTCTTAACTTTATCCAAAGTATGTCCAATTCCTTACTCTTCAGATTTCTACTTAAGTTTTAACACGTTAAGTTGTACCCACCCAAGATCTAAATGGAGATTGCTCACATCTAGACATAATTATTATAGTAGGTGCTCATTTCTTGTATCAAGTTTTCCAATATCCATTCTACTTTTGTTCTTATTACTAGGAAGAGAAATGATCTCATTTTGGCATAGTCTTGAACATTAAACTTACCACTGAGGTCTCAGTACAAACCTTACTTTTAAGTTGAGCTGACAGACTCCTATTGTGTGACTTTAGGTTGCGCTTGTTGCTTCATAATATCTTTCTAATAACACTCCCTGCCTTTACGGGTGATATTTTCATCATTAGAGAGTCACTCTTTTGTTCATGCTATGTAACCTGGGATAAGTCATTTTTATTTTCAGAAGTCAGTACTCCATGGTGTGCTACACATGATTAAGGCATTAGTAGACCTTTGTGCCTTAACATAGGTTAGTATGTCAAAATTGCTTTCCTACTTAACAATTAATTGACATCGGTGTTCAAGAGAATGAGGCATAGGAGACAAAAAGTTTATGAGAAGTTCAGGAGATGAGAGAGAGCATTATATCTAGAGTACTGGACTTAATCTGAAGTAGAGATGATTTCATGGAGAAGGGAAATGAAAGGCTTTAGTCAGACATGAGGAAACTGGGGGCCAGAAGAAGGAAGAGCCAATTAGGGCAATCAATGGAGTTGAAAGGGAAGGAATTGCCCAGGAATGTCATGCAGGACTCTGTGGCTCCCTATTCTCTCTCCCTTATCATAAATATTGCCCAAAATGCCTAATTTATTTAAATGACTGCCTTACCCAAGGACCTGAAAACAAAACAGAAGGCACACTTACACTGGAAAATTTGAGGTGAGTTTAATTAAAACCACTTTTTACAAAGGAATGTGCAGGGTTTAGATGAAGCAAGAAGACATGGCAGGCACAGTACCTCGAGGGTACCAATAGAAGGGAGCTGCTGCCAGCCCTAGGTCTGGAAACATACAGGGAGGAAAGAATAGACCCAGATGGCAGGCTGGACAAGAGGTTCCCTGGCAGGGGCTGTGGCCTTTGGTAGAGGAACAAAGCCAATCCTCAGCGACTTGACAGACAGGCAGGTGGGATAACAAACACCGTGACCTTGCACTCCTCTGAAGCTCCGACTTCCTGCAGGGAGAAACCTTTACAGGAAAAACCCAACCATTAAACAGGAAACCCAATGGCAAGGGAGCCTTACCTATTTTCAACAAGAAAAGAGAAAGAATCTGTTTCTGCCACCTTTTTATAGAACATTATATTTTAACAAACTTTTTTTCAGTTCAAAGTGAGTAATACCGCATCCTCTTCATCATTCATCAAAGCTTCAGACTGAGAGGGAATTTGTACAGGTTCTAAACTCTGGGCTTAAAATAATGCGTCATAGTGGAGACAAAAGAGCACAGATTTAAAGTGCCCCTAACTTATAACAGATTTTAATTAGTTGCTGCAACTGTATTCAATCAACTGTACTCAAGCAACTGAACTAAACTATTCCTAAATGAAAGCCAAAAGAATAAAAATTAAAAATGACAGGCCCATGAAATATTCATTTTTGATGCTGGAAACATTTGCCTTGGTATCACAATCTTGAGTTACTAGAAAATTTTGTATACAGGAACAGATAGGACACACATACACACACACATACACATTTATAGCCAGCAAACGAATTGAAACATAGTAGCAACAGTTTACAGTAATGTAAAAAAAAGGGGGTGGGAACAATACTCCTGCCATGTTCAGGCGGATGAATAATTGGAATGCCATCTCTATGCCATAACCCACAAGTGATCAAGTATTGACCTGAGATTTCAGGATAAGAGGAAGGTAGGATGTATTTCTAGAGTTGTGTTTTCTATAACAACTAACAAAAAAATATTATATAGAACTTAAAAGTCCTAAAGATTAAAAATATCCACCTTGTACAGGAAAGAATCACTGTTTCAGAGTTCCAAGTCTGAGTTTCACTACTTTTCCAATTATAATTTCAACATTTTCTATATAACAAATGCAGAAATTAGTTAGCACTTCACAGAAAATTTTATTGTTGTTTTGGGTTTGGGGGTTTTTATTTGCTTTTGAGGGGGAAAGAGGGCCTTTGCCTATTTTAGCAAATACTTTTTAAACCAATGAACCTGTAATGGGAAGAACAAAGTCAAGGCACTGATAGATGATGAATACCATTTTTTCAAAAGGGCTTTGCTTTCATTCCTGGAGTGGAGAAAAGAAAGTGAGATCAGCCCTTCAAAAGTTCACAGACATTTACTGCAATTGCTCTCTTTGAAACCAACATTGAAGGCACCAAAAGCTTTGTAGCTGTTATGTTTTGACCACTGGTATTCTAATGATCTAGTATAGGAGCTAATGTGTCCCTGTATCTCTATTTGCCTTGGCTTAATGATGTCAAGGATAAGATAGGAATATTTTGATCCACTAAATAGTTATTGTATTCCCAAATCCAACATTCTCACTGAAGAATAACTGGATATTAATTGAAGATTTTAGAATTTGCTTTTTTTAAAAAATCTAATGATTTAGAATTGCAATTTTCTACCAGTGATTATTTACATCTAAGATAATGTTTTGTTTCAGTATGCTCTAGGATGGCTATGTGGGTTGTTCCAACCAATGTCCATTCTGATTGTGAATACCCATGATACACAAGTTATCACATGTAGAATATTACACCAATGTTAGGTTAAACGACAAAACCACATACCATCCTCAACAGACTCTAAATACAAAGCTTATGGACTATGGGAAATATAGTCCTCTTCATATCTCCCCCAACTCCATACCACATCTTATAAAATGATCCAATATTTCGGATATATAATAATAAATTTTTATAGTATTTTTCTCTTTCAAAAATTACTTTTTGTACTTACACTAGGTTTTATAACTATATTAACAATTATGTAGGCCAGGCACAGTGGCTCACTTCTGTAATCCCAGCACTTTGGGAGGCCGAGGTGGGCGGATCACGAAGTCAGGAGATCGAGATCATCCTGGCTAACACGGTGAAACCCCATCTCTACTAAAACTACAAAAAATTAGCCGGGCGTGGTGGTGGGCGCCTGTGGTCCCAGCTACTCTGGAGGCTGAGGCAGGAGAATGGCGTGAACCCAAGAGGCAGAGCTTGCAGTGAGCTGAGATTGGCCACTGGACTCCAGCCTGGGAGACAGAGCAAGACTCCATCTCAGAAAAAAAAAAAAAATTATGTAGACATTAAAAATATTTTCCAATTGTGATATCACCCAGAATCCTTTCAGTTCTTAATCCCCTTTTCAAGGTTTTACTTCCTTATGTTGATTTATTTCTTGGTTGGATAAAGAAATGCAGAAAGGGCACCTGGGTTTTGTACAGGATGGTTTTGGATGCCTGAAACTTAGACAATTTTAGGGGTTACATTTAAGAAAAAAAAAAACAATTATAATGACTTATTTTACTGTATATAAACAATACTTTGATTTTAAAATTAGGTATGAATATGAATTTGCATTTAAAAGGAGAAAGAACAACAAATACAATCTTTTTAAATATTTATTTTAATTTCTTTTTTTTCTAATTTTTAAAATATTTTCTTTCTTTTTTTATTTTTTGTTTTTGAAACTTCCAAGTTCTAAGAGCACTAGGCCCTTGTGAGGGATATTCAACTGAGCCCTTGAACCTGAAAACCTCAAGGGTACCCCTCCCAAATACAAGATATTATGTGTCAATGGAGTGTGCAGAAGGAGTATGAGCTTTGGATTTTATTTTTATTTTATTTTCAAAGAGATGAGGTTTCACCATGTTGCCCAGTCTGGTCTCAAACTCCTGAGCTCAAGGGATCCACTTGCCTGGGCCTCCCAAAGTCCTGGGATTACATGCACGAGCCACCACACCTGGCCAACACAATCTTCAAATATCAGAACATACGACAAAACTCAGAAAGTCCAGAAAAACCATATAGCATTTATATTAATTAATTGTCTGGTATACTTCTGCAATATTATACATATTTTTCTACATTTTTTGTTGCATATTCTTTAATCACCCCCCAAATGACAAAAATTTTGTAATGCCTTTATCTATACAGAGACGTGTAAGAGAATTTCTATAGCCTAGTGATCAAAATGTGTTTTTTATTATTGACAGTACCAAAAACTACTTTTCATTTCACCCCTTCTTATTGGTAATGAAACATAATTCTTTTGGATCCTTGTCATATTTTGGAAAAGCACTATCTATTTTCTTTCACAGAGAGAGGAATATTTGGAATATTTGAAATATTTAGAGACTCACTTTAGCTTTGTACATGTCAAACTCTGCTTCTTCTCCATCACCTACTCACCTTTGGGGCTGGAGTTCTCCCCGAGGCAATACAGTGTCTGTCTCTGCAGCTGTATGTCAGGATACCTTTAACTTTCCATTTAAAGATTCTCCTTTGTCTCTGAAATTCAGAAATTTTATGTTTATGACTATGTATGGAATGTGTTTGTTAATGTGCCTGGCATTTTCTTAGCCCTTTTGCTAAGAAGATCACATCTTCACTGACTCAGATCTGTTTCTGTCATCTTCTAAAAGTCTTCATGCATAAACTGAACTATCAGGATCGCTCATTCATGTCTGTTGTTTCTTCTCATCATATTGATTCTTTTATTTTTCTCTTAATGCTGGGAGAATTCCAAGTTGTCTTCCAATTTGCCGATTTTATTTCTGCCTCTTACATCTGCAATTTACTGCTTCCATCACATTTTTTAAATAACTTGTTTTCACCCCTAGGAAGCGTTTCCTGACCTCACATCTTGATCTAAATCAAATGCCCTCACAATTTTCAGTGATATAATGAACTACTTATTTTTTAAGTTTGCTTCTGTTTCTTTGAATAGGTAATTTATTATTGAATTATATAAATAGGTAATTCATTTTATTACTGAAGAATAAAATGAATTACCTATTTATATAATTACTGAAGAATAAAATGATTGACCTATTTTTTAAAGTTTTCTTCATTGTCTGTTTGATAGGGGATTTTGTCAGAGATGGTTTAAATCCCTGCACAAGTCTTTCAGGGTCCGAAGGGGAGAGTGGGGTAAAACTTAGGTGGTTGTAGTTGTTGTTGTTGCTTTGTTTGTTTAGTCGTTTTAGAGGACCAAACTTCTTCAATAGAGAGTGAGTACGACATTCTGAGCCATCAGTCTTCTCCTCGCTAGGTTGTGGCAACCTCCCAGCCTGCCACCTGTAACTGGCAAGGCTATCCTTGTTGGGGGTCACCTGTGACAGGGCCCTCTTTCTCTGTTGAATGTACCATCGCAGCAAAGTGCCAGATTGAAATGAAAGCCATTTTCTCTTGCTTTGTGTGTCACAAATATAAGCATCTCTAGAGCCTTAGCTTATCTTTCTGATGTGCTTAACAATTTTGTTAATAAGCTTGCTAGTATTAAAATATGTTCGCACTTTGAGATGAAACGCTACTTGGCCATAGCATTATTACTTACCAAAATACTAAAAACAATTCTATTATCATTTTCAAAAATTTGCATCATATTCACAACCGAAATTGGCTCCTGCTTGATTTTTTTCCAACTCCCTTTGTTAGGCTTTGATATCCAGAGATATGATAGTTTCATAAAATGAATTGGTATACTTTCCATTTCTTCCTGCATTGAAGAATATTTTAAATAGAATTGAAATTACCCCTCTCTTTGTTAAGTGTTAAGAACGCATCCATAATATAGTTTCAGTCTAGTGTCTTTCTGGGAAGTAAGCTTTCTGAGAAACAATATTTACTTTAAGAAAAACATATCCCTTTATGTTCATTTTGTGTGAAAAAATTAAAAATACATCATCAAAAAGATTATAAAATCATTGAAATCAAATTCCAGACTTATATTAACTTTTTGCCTTATTAACTATTTTGGTGTATAATTTTTTAGTATTGATCTTCCTATTATTGCCAACCCTCACTCCCGCCTTCCTCCCATCCATACACACAATGCATTCATTCTGCTATTATTTCATTTGTTTTCTTGCTCTCTTTTTTTTAAGCTTTGCAATATATTGTGAAAATCCTTTCATGCAATAAATGTTTCTAATCATATCATTCTAATGGCTGCCATTTTATGGCGATGAGGCACTTTATTTAATCAATTTTGGAAGATGAGCTTTTAGACATTTTAGTCCTCTTTTATAATCACTGTCTCACAAGAACACCTTTTCTCATAATGGTCCTCTCCTTTTGACAGCTGGGGGTTCTCACTTATCTGTCCTGCCATTCACCTCTATTTACCTACCCTTGCAAAAACAGATAGAGGTGTATCTATGTTGGTTAAAATGCTTTCATCAGAAATTGCAAGTGTACCTGTTCAAATCTTTGATAAAAACAAAAACAAGAAAACAGACAAAGGAAAGCATTTTCACTGCTTTCTCAGGCTGGTGGCCCATGAACTTGGGGAGTAAGAAGGAACTCCAGCTTCAAACCAAAGGCCATCACACCCAAGTGTGCCTCTCTCTTTGGAGGAATTCCTTGCCTCCTCTGTTGCGGCATCTAGCTAGCTGGGGCAGCACTTCCCTTTCCTACCTGGCATAACTGCCTCGTTAGGATTCAGCAAAGGAAGCCCTGGCTTTTTGCCTAGGAATGACCAGCTACGTAATGTGTGAGTTCAAATAATTTAAGAGCCGTGGCAGCAATCGCTCTCTATGTGAGCTATGACCAGTGTCACAGAAATTTGCACCTCAAAGACCCCCCCAAAGCCCACCCTTTCCTCCAGCTCCCTCTCTGGGGTAGAAGGTGCTTCCACCTACTTCTCTGACTGGCTTCTTCTTGTGCAGAAAACCATTGGTCGTCTTGCCCATCACTCAACTTCTTCTATCTGCATATATCCTCCATGAATTCCACTCAGTTTGAACATGTGGATGTCACCCTGTTGTGGTTTCAGCAATGCTAAAAAGTGTCTCCTGCATTTTCATGGTTATTTGGGAAAGAGGAGGATTCAAACATATGTGCTCAAATTGCCACCTTGAACCAGAAGCATTGTATTTTTTTTTTCTGCAAAAAGGGTTAAAATGATGTGCTTTACCTAAGAAGTTATTTTCTGAAAAGTAAGGATTTTCTACTAAGAAAATGTTCCCTTTACATCTTAAATGTAGAAGAAAATGTAGTTTATTCCTACATTTTCTCCATTGCCTCTTGGAATTCAACAAACAGCAACAAGTTCTGACACTTGGCACCTTAAAAGTAAGAGGGAAGATATTCACTAGACTAAAAGCTTAAGATAATTAGAGACTGTGGTCTTTGTATCCCTACCACCTTGCACAAAATAGGTGCTTGATAGATATTCTTAAGTTAATTTAAGAGACACCTGTGCAGACAATTGCTTCTTTAGCATTGTGTAACATGCAGGGTTCATGACAAACCCATGAGCCTTGGAGCAGAATGACCACATAGCACATAGCGCTACTTACAAACTTTATGTATTAGTTCATTCTCATGCTGCTAATAAAAATATACCAGAGACTGAGTAATTTATAAAGAAAGAGGTTTAATTGACTCACAGTTCCACATGGCTGGGGAGGCCTCACAATCATGGTGGAAGATGAGGGGGGAGTAAAGTCACATCTTACATGGCATCAGGCAAGAGAACTTGTTCAGAGGAACTCCCATTTATAAAACCATCAGATCTTTTGAGACTTATTCACTACCATGAGAACAGCATGGGAAAAACCTGCCCCCATGATTCAATTACCTCCCACCAGGTCCCTTCCACAACACGTGGGGATTGTAGGAACTACAATTCAAGATGAGATTTGGGTGGGGACACAGCCAAAACATATCACTTTCCAAAAGAGAGAGGAAACATAATACTCGTCAATTGCATAGGCAGAAAGTAGAATACCATAAACCCAACCTGGGACTCAGGGTCATAATAAATAAAATACATCATGGCAGATTTCATAAAAATTAGAACATAGCACATTTTGTCATTTCCTCTATTTGCAATGGAGAAAAGACTATGTGGTACCAGGGAGAGAGGGAGGAAGGGAGACAGTTATTCTAAGATGATTTACTTCCTCAAATCTATAAGAAACATATTCTGGAATTCTCACTAGAAGACTTGAGATCCTTAGATTTGGAGTTACGTGACTTCAGGAAATTGATATTTGGCCAGAAATTTAAAGATTGCTTTTTTTTTGTATTAGGTAAGGACATAATTTCTGAATAATTTAATGTACACCAGGTCTAAGTTCCAATCTTGCTAGGCTGATGGGAAATCCAGAACCAATTCTGCAAGCGGAAACACCTTTTCCTAAGTAGGAACAACTCATCCCAGGAATTGATGACAGGGAAAAGGTGTCTTTAAGGACCATTGAGCATTGATAGGCAAAATAATATTTGTCTTCTTTTAAATCACCAGGCAACTCCGTCTCAGGCACTACAGAGCCCTGGGGAGTTTTAGATTTAATGTGTTTCCTTTGGGCCTAAGTCTGGTGTGCTAGGTGTGCGCAAATGCAAATTCCACTCTGCTTTTTCAGGGAGAGAGCAGTGATGGGAGAAAAATTTGCAAGGTTTATCCACAGGCTCAAGAATTATCCGTAACTCCTTCCCCCCAATGGTCCCCAACCCCACGCCTGAAAATCTAGTCAAAATTTGGCTCTGAATTGGAAATAGTATTTCTCTAAGGAGGCAGATTTCTTGTTCCTCAGGAATCTATATACCTGTTCCCAGAAAGGGTAGATTCTATCTCATTAGGCTGAACCTACCCTGAAGGCAGCCCCAGAGTGCCAGAAAAACAGGGATCAAGAGAAAACAGCAATTAAGAGTTTTCCAGTATGAGAAGAAAAACAGGAATCTTAAACAAGACTTAGTGACTGCGGCTGTTGTTGCCACTTTGCAAACTGCGCAAGAAGACAGCAATGTCTCAAATGCCACTCTCCAGGAATGGAGAGAGTGGGCAGAAATGGATGTTTCTCCCAAATTATGGTAAATACAAAGTGCCAGAATGAACTTCTTTCTTTCTGAGAATCTTCTTCTACTTGAATATCTGTTTATAGGCCATGGAGTCCAGGCAACTAGCATTGGGGGAGGCCAGGCACAGTGGCCCATGCCTGTAGTCCCAGCATTTTGGGAGGCTGAAGCAGGAGGATTGCTTGAGCCCAGGAGTTCACAACAAGCTTGGACAACATAGCAAGACCCCATTTTATTATTATTATTATTACTATTTTTTGAGAAGGAGTTTTGCTCTTGTCACCCAGGCTGGAGTGCAATGGCACGATCTCAGCTCACTGCAATCTCTGCCTCCCGGGTTCAAGTGATTCTTCTGCCCCAGCCTCCCAAGTCACTGGGATTACAGGTGTATACCACCACACCCAGCTAATTTTTGTATTTTTAGTAGAGACAGGGTTTCACCATGTTGGCCAAGCTGGTCTTGAACTCCTGACCTCAGGTGATCCACCCACCTCAGCATCCCAAAGTGCTGGGATTACAGGTGTGAGCCACCGTACCAGGCTGTGAGACCCCAATTGTAAAAAAAAAAAAAAAATTGGTAGATTAAAAAAAAAAGATTTTCACCTACTATCCTCTCTTCAAACACCTCCATATGTCTGTAACGCTTTTTGGCAGCATAAAATACTCAGTTCTTGGTACATAATTTTGCTAAGGATGGCTGCTTTAGAAGGTTGGGTATTAACTTGTTTTCTAAAAATGAGGAGTGTGATGCCAGTGCTACAGAAATCTGTGTGTCCTGTTAACTCTCTGGGTTCTTTAGAAAGTGAGAGATTTGGTGTGGAACTAGTATAATTTCTGAGGTCCAGAAAGAACCACCCGCTTCCCTCTTCCAACATACCCACAGCCTCACACAATAAGACTGAGCTACTGAATAGTACATTTTGGAGAATGGCTTTTGAACTTTAACATCAGACATTTGGACTTTGACCTTTCCGTGCACAAGAATCGTGACATTTATTTATAGAATATAATATTCTCTAGACTTTAATATCTGTGGCTTATAATTTAAAAGGGAGCTTTATTATGGACTTTATAATTTCTTCCCAGGACTTTGATCATTAAAAAACTGTTATGGTTACATTTGGGGGATCTCTAAATTGTTGGAATGTATGACTGAAATTTCTATGCATTTCATTAGTGGAGTGTTTTTATGATTTCATTTGACCGCTGAAAGACTATAATGGATGATCCAGGACATCAGGTGGGATGGGAAAGAGAATAGGAAGTGAATATTCAGTCTTTGATACAAACCGGCTTTGAAGTTGGTTGAATTAATGTCCAGGCATAACTTGTTTTTTTTTTTTGGGGGGGGGGGGCGGTTGTTTGTTTTTGTTTTTGTTTGTTTTTGAGATGGAGTTTTGCTCTTATTGCCCAGGCTGGAGTGCAATGGCATGATCTCGACTCACCACAACCTCCGCCTCCTGGGTTCAAGCGGTTCTCCTGCCTCAGCCTCCCAAGTAGCTGGAATTACAGGCACGTGCCACCATGCCCAGCTAATTTTGTATTTTTAGTAGAGATGGAGTTTCTCCATGTTGGTCAGGCTGGTCTTGAACTCCCGACCTCAGGTGATCTGGCGGCCTTGGCCTCCCAAAGTGCTGGGATTACAGGCGTGAGCCACGGCGCCCGGCCCATAACTTGTTTTATTGTGCTTTGTTTTATTGCACTTCACAGATACTGCATTTTTTACAAATTGCAGATTTGTGGCAACTCTGCATTGAACAAATCTATTGGCACTATTTTTCAACAGTATGTGCTCACTTTTTGTCTTTGTGTCACATTTTGGCAATTCTCATATTTTAAACTTTATTATTATTATATCTCTTATGGTGATCTGTGATCAGTGATCTTTGATGTTACTATTCTAACTATTTGGGAGCAACACAAACTGTGCCCATACAAGATGGAGGAGAACCTGATAAATGTTGTGTGTTCTGACTGCTCCACTGACCAGTTGTTTCTTTCTTTCTCTCTCTCTCTCTCTCTTTTCTTGGGCCTTCCCATTCCCTGAGACACAACAATATTGAAATCAAGCCAATTTATAACCCTACAATGGCCTCTAAGCGTTCAAGTGAAGAAAGAGTTACACATCTCCCACTTCAAATCAAAAGCTATAAAGGATTAAGCTTGGTGAGAAAGGCATGAAAAAAGCCAAGATAAGCTGAATGCTAGGCCTCCTGTGCCAGTTATCCAGGTTGTAAAAGCAATGGAAAAGTTCTCGAAGGAAATGAAAAATGCTACTCCAGTGAACACACGAATGATAAGAAGGCAAAACTGCTTTCTTGCTGATATAAAGTTTTAGCCATCTAGATAGATCAAACTGGCTACAACATTCCCACAAGCCAAAGCCTAATCCAGAGTAGGTCCTAACTCTCTTCAATTCTATGAAAGCTGAGAGAGGTGAAGCAGCTGTGGAAGAAAACTTGGAAGCTAACAGAGGTTGGTTCATGGGGTTTAAGGAAAGAAGCCATCTTCATTACATAAAAGAGCAAGAGGAAGCAGCAAGTGCTGATGTAGAAAATTATCCAGAAAAAATCTATACCTAAGATAATTGATAAAGTCACTGCAGTAGACCGGGCATGGTGGCTCACACCTGTAATCCCAGCACTTTGGGAGGCCGAGGTGGGCGGATCACCTGAGATCGGGAATTCGAGACCAGCCTGGCCAACATAGCGAAACCCCATCTCTACTAAAACTACAAAAATTAGCTGGGCATGGCTGCAAGCACCTGTAGTCCCAGCTACTCAGGAGGCTGAGGCAAGAGAATTGCTTGAACCCAGGAGGCAGAGGTTTCAGTGAGCTGAGATGGTGCCACTGCACTCTAGCCTAGGTGACAGAGTGAGACTGTCTCACAAAAAAAAAAAAAAAAAAAAAAAAAAAAAAAAAAAAGTTGCTGCAGTAAACCACAGATTTTCCATGTGGATGAAGCAGTCTTCTATTGGAAGAAGATGCCATTGAGGACCTTCATAGCTAGAAAGGAGAAGTCAATGCCTGGCTTCAAAGCTTCAAAAGGCAGGCTGACTCTCTTGTTAGGTTCTAATGCAATTGATTACTTAAGTTGAAGCCAATGCTCATTTATACTCTGAAAATCCTAGGGCCCTTAAGAATTATGCTAAATCTACTCTGGTTGTAGGACAACAAGGCCTGGGTGACAGCACATTTATTTACAGCATGGCATGGTTTACTGACTATTTTAAGTGCACTGTTGAGAACTACTGCTCAAAGCAAAAGTTTTTTTTGTTTGTTTTTTTCAAAATATTACTGCTCATTAACAATGCACCTCGTCACCAAAGAGCTCTAGTGATGTACAAGGAGATGAATGTTACTGTCATGCTTGCTAACACAGCATTCATTCTGCAGCAAATGGATCAAGGACTAAGTTTGACTTTCAAGTTTTGTTTTTTGTTTTTCGGTTTTTTTTTTTTTTTTGAGACGGAGTATTGCTCTGTCTCCAGGCTGGAGTGCAGTGGCACGATCTCGGCTCACCGCAACCCCACCTCCCGGGTTCAAGCGATTCTCCTGCCTCAGCCTCCCAAGTAGCTGGGACTACAGGCGAAAGCCACCATGCCTGGCTAATTTTTTTGTATTTTTAGTAGAGACGGGGTTTCACAATGTTAGCCAGGATGGTCTTGATTTCCTGACCTCGTGATCCGCCCACCTCGGCCTCCCAAAGTGCTGGGATTACAGGCGTGAGCCACGGCGCCCAGTCTCAAGTCTTATGGTTAAAGAAATACATTTGGTAAGGCTATAGCTGCCATAGATAGTGATTCCTCTGATGGATCTGGGCAAAGTACATTGAAAACCTGGAAAGGTTTTACCATTCCAGATGCCATTAAGAGCATTCATGATTCACGGGAGGAGATCACATTTTCAACATTAACAGAAGTTTGGAAGAAATTTATTCTAATTTTCATGGATGACTTTGAGGGATCCAAAGCTTCAGTGAAGGAAGTCACTGCAGATATGGTAGAAATAGTTAGGGAACTAGAATTAGAAGTGGATCCTGAAGATGTAAGTGGATTGCTGCAATCTCTTAATCAAACTTTAACAGATGAGGAGTTGCTTCTTATGGAAGAACAAAGAAAGTGGTTTCTTGAGATGGAATCTACACCTTGTGAAGATGCTGTGAACATGTTGAAATGACAGCTTCATTAGACTATTCCATAAACATAGCAGATAAAACAGTGGTAGAGTTTCAGGGGATTTATTCCAATTTTGAAAGAAGTTCTACTGCGGGTAAAATGCTTTCAAACAGTATCACAGGCTACAGAGAAAACTTTTGTGAAAGGAAAAGTCAATTGATGTGGCAAACTTCATTGATGTCTTATTCTAAGAAACTTCAGCAACCACCACCCTGATCAGTCAGCAGTCATTAACATAGAGGGAAGACCCTCCACCAGCAAAAATATTACAACATGTTAAAGGCTCAGATGATCATCATTGGCATTTATTAACAATAAGATTGGGTTTTTTTGGTTTTTTGTTTGTTTGTTTTTTGGGACAGAGTCTCCCTCTGTCACCCAGGCTGGAGTGCAGTGCCACGATCTCGGCTCACTGCAACCTCCACCTCCCAGGTTCAAGCTATTCTCCTGTGTCAGCCTCCTGAGTAGCTGGGATTACAGGTGCACACCACCGTGCCTGGCTAATTTTTGTATTTTTAGTAGAGGCGGGGTTTCACCATGTTGGTCAGGCTGGTCTTGAACTCCTCACCTCGTGATCCGCCCACCTGGGCCTCCCATAGTGCTGGGATCACAGGCGTGAGCCACCATGCCTGGCTGCAATAAGGCATTTTTAACTAAGGTATGTACATTGTTTCTTTAGACAGAATGCTATTGCGCACTTAAAAGACTACGGTGTAGTAGAAATATCATTTTTGTATCCACTGAGAAACCAAAAAGTTTGTGCAACTTGCTATATTGCAATCTTGGCTTTATTAGGGTCGTCTAGAATTAAACCCACAATATCTCTGAGTTATGCCTGTTTTGCTCTAACCCACTTCAGAGCTCTGGGTGACCACTGAAGATCCAGAGGGATCCTCAATGAAGTGGTTTTCACTATTGGGGGTGGCCCTATAAAGGAGGGAATAAAACTGTCCTTGGAGGGAGGCAGCCACATTTCTGGCTGCTCATGGGTTTAATAGTTAATTCAGGGGGTTAAGAAAAAAAAGAGCCAGGAGATACTAGGTCAGAACTTTCTCCACATTCATGACATCTCCAGCTTCGCTAGATGCAACAGCTCTGGCCTTTCTCAACCCCTCCTCCCAGTCTTCAAGGAAGAATGACTTATCTAATTGGTAAATTTGAAAAGAATAAATGGGGCACGTTCACTAGGCCAGCTTGCTCACAGAGGCCCCTTTGGGAGACCCAGTCCAGGACTGAGTAGAAAGTCTGCCTGGTTATATGGTTCATATTAAGAAGTCCATCTGAGGCCAACTGACATCTAAGGCCAACTTTATCAGTAATAAGGGTGGTATTTGGGCTCCTTATTTTCTTATTTCTCAATGGTTCCAAATCTACGCAGCAAAGACAGATGCTGTTTACTGAGTCTCTGAAAGAGTGCATCAATGGAGAAAGAGGCATTCTTCCCTCTGCTAAATTAGGAGAATAAAAGCCTGGAACTGCTGCTAGACATCTTATCACTGTATATTTGTGGATGGGAGGAGTCCTGCCTGAAAACAAGCCAATGTGGAGAAGGCAGGGCCAGGAGTATTGAAAAAGAGTCCAAGTTCTGATGACACATATTAAACATCTGCATCCAGCTGTGTTTGATGCCTGTGAACTTTTCAATTATAGGAGCCAACATGTTAACTCATTTGCTCAGGCCAGTTAGAGTGAGATTTTGGATGCTTGCAATTGAAAGAGACTTGACCAGTATTGTTTAGGGATGGGCTAATTTTTTGAACCTCAGTCACAGAAACATCTGGCTTTTTAATTTGTTTCTCAATTAGATAAAATGTAAGTTAAAAAAGTTGTAAACCACTGGCATGAGGTTATAACTTTAGTTGCCTGGTTCAGAAAAAGTTAGTAGCTCCTCCCAGCCCCACTACCTTTAGAGATGCTCTTGTCAGACACCTGGAGGGGGCAGATGGATGGGTGTGACTGAGGAATAGAATGTTACTTTCCCAAATAAGAGAAGTGCTGCTTGGTAGATGACTACATCATGTTATCTCTTGTTTCTGAGCTTTTGATAGAGAGTTAATTTTCTTCACACTTGAATATATATTTGATTTAAAAATCTCTTAGGACAATAACTTCAGTAGTTCATATTTGAAATTTTAGAAAAAGTGGCACTTCTTTTGGGGAGGAGGTTAATGAGAACTGAAAGAAATGTGAGAGAAGAATTAATTATGCTTCCTTGAAGGAGGCATCAGAAGAAAAATTACATTAATTAAAATTTAACAGCATTAAGGTTTTCAAACTGATTTCATGTTTGTCTCATTAACATGGGTAGGAATACAAACATGCCTGTCATCATCAAAGAATTTCCTGAAGACTTCCTTATCAAGGCTCAATTGTACATTGAGACAATTGCTCTAGGGCAAAAGAAAATCATGTGGAACAGCAAAGGGTGGGAATTCTACCAGGAATGAAGATGAGATGCCACTAAGATGAGAGCTAAGATGAGAGCCACTGGGTCATATCTCTGAAATAGGATACCCATGATGTATATAATTTGATGATCACAAGAGATGAAGACAATAGGGTTTAAGAGGGCAACAGGAAATCTAAACACAGACAACTCACTTAACTGTGAAATTGGTTGCTTAATGGATGGTATGTCTAGACCGAATCCACACGTAACCAAGCATAGGAACAGGAAGAAGTTCCAAAAACTAGGGGTGAGAAATAGGTTACGCTTCTGCCTGAATTTATGAAAAGAAACCATGTGTAAATTAGATAACTCCCAGAGTTCATAATTTTTATGCGTCTTCGTAGGTTTGCTTTTCTCTTTTGCATTCTTATAAAACTCCAGTGAAGTCTTTAGGCTACTTACGCATTGATGAAACGACCTCTGAAACTTACAGTCAAAACTGAATGGCTTCACCTCATTCATTTTAGTAAAACCTTTTCATGATATTTTTCCAAGTGAATATGGGTAATAAGATTTTGTATAGGGATGCTACCATCTTAATCTCTACGTGGACAAAATGGAAAATTAATCTGCTGAAGTAATACAAGTAGAGAAAAAATTTATCATTAATTCTTTATTAAAGTAGCTGGAAAAAACTCAGCTAAAACAGAAAAGGAGTCAAATAAAATGACATCATTTGCCCTAGGAAGATAGTCTAGCTAATTTGTGCCCAATTCATATATATCAACTGCTATCTGCTTTATTTTATTTATTTATTTATTTATTTATTTATTTTTTTGAGACGGAGTCTTGCTCTGTCGCCCAGGCTGGAGTGCGGTGGCCCGATCTCGGCTTACTGCAAGCTCCGCCTCCCGGGTTCACGCCATTCTCCTGCCTGAGCCTCCTGAGTAGCTGGGACCACAGGCGCCTGCCACCATGCCTGGCTAATTTTTTGTATTTTTAGTAGAGACAGGGTTTCACTGTGTTAGCCAGGATGGTCTTGATCTCCTGACCTTGTGATTCACCAGTCACGGCCTCCCAAAGTGCTGGGATTACAGGTGTGAGCCACCGTGCCCGGCCATGCTTTAAATATTAAATTTAAAAATTAGTTTTCCAATGTATACAGAAAAAAGCCTTTCACTGACTATACAAGTATGACAAAAAGTAAGGTACCTTTTTAACCTTATGTCTCATATATATAACTCTATATGTCATAATAAATATTTCTCCAATGAAGTTCACATATAATGCTTCCACTGTAATTTTTTTCTATACAACCCACAATTTTTTTTATTATTATTCTTTGAGACAAAGTCTCCCTCTGTTGCCCAGGCTGGAGTGCAGTGGTGTGATCTTGGCTCACTGCAACCTCTGCCTCCCAGGTTCAAGCAATTCTCCTGCCTCAGCCTCCCAAGTAGCTGGGATTACAGGTGCCCACCACCATGCCCAGCCAATTTTTGTATTTTTAGTAGAGATGGGGTTTCACCATGTTGGTCAGGCTGGTCTTGAACTCCTGACCTCAGGTGATTCACCTGCCTCGGCCTCCCAAAGTGCTGGGATTACAGGCGTGAGGCACCAAGCCCGGCCACAATCCATAGTTTTTACAACCTTTATTCTTAATTACAATGAACATGATCCATTTTTAAAATAACACTTTATTTTTCTCCTGAAGTAAATCCATGTATATTCTTTCAACAGGTCACAAAGGCCTTCCAGGCCAGATAGCTCAACATACTCCCAGCAGGGATGCAGTATAGTAAATTCTGTTCATTTTGCTTTGTTTATTTACTCATGTAACAAATTAAATCTTGTGTGAATCAGTGTCATCTTCATTGTTACTTCTGCATTATTGCATTTGTAAGGGTTCTTTCATTGCAAGCAACAGAAACCAACCAGGGCTATGGTGGACAAAAAAAAAAAAAGGAACGTATTGAAAGAATATCAAGGTTTCTTAGAATCAAAATGACTCTGGAGAACTGGGCTTGGGGTCAGACTCTTCTCTGAGCTCCAGACCTTAGCGGCTACAAGTGGATTTCTTTTTTCTTTTCTTTTTTTTTTTTGAGATGTAGTCTCTCTCTGTGGCCCAGACTGGAGTGCAGTGGCACAATCTCAGCTCACTGCAACCTCCGCCTCCCGTATTCACGCCATTCTCCTGCCTCAGCCTCCCGAGTAGCTGGGACTACAGGCACCCGCCACCATGCCCGGCTAATTTTTTGTATTTTTAGTAGAGACGGGGTTTCACTGTTTTAGCCAGGATGGTCTCGGTCTCCTGACCTCGTGATCCGCTGCCTCAACCTCCCAAAGTGCTGCGATTACAGGCGTAAGCCACCGCGCCTGGCCCCTACAAGTGGATTTCTTAAAGGCACCTCAGAATCTCTTCCTCCCCTTCTCAGACAAACTTTTCTCCTGCTTAAACATTTTCCATGGCTCTCAATTGCCCTTAGTATAGTCAAGAACTTATGCTCAGAAAGGCCTCTCTGACTGTATTAATCTGTTCTCACACTTCTTTAAAGAACCTCCCAAGACTGGGTAATTTATAAAGAAAAGAGGTTTAATTGACTCAATTCCACATGGCTGGGAGGCCTCCGGAAACTTACAATCATGGCAGAAGGAGAAGCAGCCACGACTTATATCGCAGCAGGTGAGAGAGAGAGAGACCACATGAAGGAGGAACTGTCACACACTTATAAAACCATCAGATCCCATCCGAACTTATTCACTTTCAGGAGAACTGCATGAGGGAAACCGGCCCCATGATCCAGTCACCTCCCACCAAGTTTCTTCCTCGATACGCGGGGTTTATGGGGATTATAATTTGAGATGAGATTTGCATAAGAACACAGCCAAACCATATCACTAACCTTCAATGATCTTGAATGTGTTGCCTGCACTAACTCCTCCTTTCCCAACTCCCGCTCAGCACCCAGCCCCTTCCAATCAGACCTCTGTCTAACTCGTCAGCATCCTCTCATGCCAAGTTCTCTCGACCAGTAAGCTAGAGCTTCCTAACTGGTTTGACAAAGCCCACAGCACTTCTGTAAGCTGATCACAAAGATGCCAAACTATTGAACTGTTTGATATGGCCAGAAGCAGGGGTAGGTCCATTGATGCTTACATGCAATGAGGTGAAAACACCAGGAAGTGAGCTCCAATCCAGTCATGCTGATCTCCTTCATGCCCACAAGTGAGTCAGTCTCTCCGCTGCATTCAGGCTTCTGTCCATGATGTTCCCACTGCCCAGAATACTGTGCCCAACTCCTCACCCAGCTCATCCTTTGAGACTCAAGTTTTGCACCAATTCTTCTAGGAGACCTTCGCCACCTTCACATATTTGGTTAGCACACCATATCATTCAGACCCACAGAACTCTTTACTGCATCTTTTGAAATATCTGTGGCACTAGAAGTCATTTTCATGAATGTCTGACTCCCCCAGCTATATACCCAGCGGATCAGGGTCTCGGTCTGGTTCACTGCTACATTTCCAGCCACAAGAAGAATGCAGGCAGATAAACATTCAGTAAATTGTTGGTGCTGAGTGATTGTTGGCAATCATGATTCCCTAGATTTAGATAAGTAAAAATAATAGCAATTATTATCTTCTATGTGTAGACTCTTTTAAAATTGTTTTTGTAATTAGAATCTTTTCTTATCTGGAAATAAAGAAAGTGAAACACTGTAAACAGAAATTAACAATACACCTAAGGTGGCACATCCCATTAGTGGGAGATCAGTAATGAGAACTCAAGTTCTCTGCCTTGGCCCTCTGTTAATTAGAAGTTTGGGAAAGCTTTGGGCAGGTCTCTGACTTTCTAAGTCTGAAATCCTGTAGAGAAGCTAGAATTCTTTTTCAGAAAATACACATGACTGCCACAGTCATAGACAGACTTTTAGTTAGCATGAGGTACTGGTCTGACCCATTATAGCAGCATAATCATGCTCATATTGCTTTCTGTTGATTCACCTGAAATTTCAAGCATTAGAAGAGATCTGGTTATAAAAATTTTTTATTATCTGTCATCTATCAATTTTGTGTTTTGATTTAAAAATGCAACCAAAAAGATAACAGGAAAAGCACTGAAAATATACCATTGTTATGGTTATTCAAAGAACTTTTTTACAGTTTTGTAAAATTGCTAGCTCTCTACTTGGGTTTTTCTCTAATGATTCCACACAATTCACAGAGGCAGCTGAAAAGAAGGAAAAGGGCTTCTGGTAAGAAATATAAGAAGGCAAATGCAGCAACCGTGTGTAATTCTGATTTCTTTTCAATACGTCATGTGACATTTCTGATTATAAATTGATGGCAGACCCGCACTGGTATGAAAAATTTTCTGTTATGTCATGCAGACATGTTATTCATAACAATGTACCAGATGGAAAACGTGAGCACTTTAAATGGAAAGTGAGTTATTTGGTCTTTCTATTTTGTATAAATCTTCAAAGCATAAATTAAAAGCAGAAGAGTGCCTTGTACAGTTTCAAGATCTAAAAACCTCTACCATACTCTGCAAATTTCTCAGCAGTGTGAAGGACAGTGTGTTCAGCTAGCCAGACAGACAATCTTATCTATTCTCTATGTTGTTGTTCCACTCTGGGATGACTGGGTTAAAGAAAAATGTACCCTGAAATGAGTATTTCCAACTCTAAATATGCAACATGAACCTTGAGGCCAGACAGGGTTTATTTTAGTTTCTGCTCACAGTGCTGTGTGTGCTGCTTCATGTTGAAAGATTTCTCATTCAGAAAATATTTCAATCTTTCATGGTTTTGCAGTGACTACATAAAAGAAGACTCAATGCACAGAGAAATAATCTCTTAGATAGCCAATTGAAATGTATTTATTTTCATTTTGTATTGCCTGAATAATTTATGTGTTATGTTTTGCTACTTATAGAGATGAGGAACTTAAAAGGCAAGTTTTTAGAGCTAGGGAAGCTTTTGTTTTTCTTCCATAAACATCAAACTAGTACACAGAATGTCCTCATTAAGCAATATAATAAAATAAAAGGTGAATATTTAATACATAAGGAGAAATAGAAAAATTCACACTTACATTATTGCCATACACCTCAATGCATAAAAGAACTACAAAGCGTGAAACTGAAATGTCAGAATGACAAAACCTCTAAAACGGAAATATCTCCATTGGCCAAGAATCTATAAATTATTTCTACCCTTAAATACCAGCAAGGGAAACTATAGAGCATACGTTAAACTTGGAAAATAGGAAACAACGCTTCTGTGACAAGGACAATGTGGCATATCAAGTGCTTACACTACCCTGCCACTTCCTACTCCAATCCATCCCATATGGAACTGCCGGAAGAGCCTTCTGCAGTTCTGAACATGTTGCTCCCTGGGTTGAAAATATTCAAAGGCTTCTTCTTATCTACAGAATACTTAGAAACCCTCTAAGTCTTTAGTTTGGGGCTTGAAATATGTTGAAATATTTATAAAGCTATATTATGACAAAGATTTGCTTCAAAATAATCTGGGAGACAGAAGAGAAGGAGGGAGGAAGTAGAGTCATAGAAGGAATATAACTGATCATGAGTTGATCATTGTAGAAAATGGGTGGTAACCACATGGCTTTCATTATTCAACTTTCCCTACTTTTATGTGTTTATAAAGTTAAAAACAAAGCAACAACCCTTCACCTTAACATTCAAAACCTTCTATAATTTGGACCTAATAATTTACCTTTCAAGTTTACAGTCAACCCATTAAGCAACTAAAGTCACATCCAAATTCATTTTCAAAATTTTGTCCCTGAGTATATCTTTTCTTGACTCAGCGCCTTTGTTCCAGCCATTTTTCCTTCCTGGGATGTACGTGTCTCCCTGCTTTGATTATTGGTCCATATTTTCTGAGCCTGAGTTTCCTCCTCTTTAAAATAATGGGTATGGACCGGGTGCAGTGGCTCGTGCCTGTAATCCCAGCACTTTGGGAAGCCAAGGTAGGTGGATCGCCAGAGGTCAGGAGTTAAGACCAGCCTGACCAACACAGTGAAAACCCATCTCTACTAAAAATACAAAAATCAGTCAGGCGTGGTGGCACATGCCTGTAATCCCAGCTACTCGGGAGGCTGAGGCAGGAGAATCCCTTGAACCCAGGAGGCAGAGGTTGCAGTGAACCGAGATAGCACCACTGCACTCCCACCTGGGCAACAGAGCAAGACTCAGTCTCAAAAAAAATAAAAATAAAAATAAAATGACAGATATGGACTAGAAAATTCCCAAGGTCTCTTCCAGCTTGAAATTACTGAATAGGCTTGACACTCACTTCTAAAGGCAAAGATCTACTTAGGAATAAAATCTGTGGAACAGAGGACTCAACTAGCTACAGTCTGAGCTGGAACTGATGTCACCTGTAATATCAAGTTCTTTGGGGGATTTCAATAAAATTAGAATCCCCCCCCCAACCTTTTAAAAAAATGTTTCACTATTATTGACTTCTTTGAAACTTTTCATCTCATATGAAAGCTGGCCTAAATAATCTGTAAGGTCCACTTAGCAATACATTCCTGTTTCTGGGGAGACAGGATGCCTTAGGGAGAGAGGTACTTTGAGACTGAGACTAGGTCATTAAGGACTGGTTGTAGGAATTTGGCAAAAGAGTGTGAGATTGTGAAGCGTGGAAATGAAAAATGGGTTCTCCGTGTACCATCTGAGCACTAGTTCTCTTATGTCAAATGACTTAGAGTGAACATTTTTGTTGCTTAGATTTTCATTATTAATTGTTAACTAAAATCACTTGAGTGATTAAAAACTCTTGGCAGCCACTGAATGTAACAAAAAAGCAAAAATTTGTTAATAGATTATTCAAATCTACTTAAATTGTTTTAAGTGATTATTCAAAATAAATATTCTTATTGTCTGATTATAAAAGTCACACACATTTGAACCAAATGGCTTTGGTTATGTATCTCTGTTCCTCTTCCATGATCACTATCCCCCCTCACCCACCCACCAGAGTACAACAGGTATGTTTGTGCTCTGTGAGCCTGTCTGATTGGATCAGAGGGTAGAGATTCTCTCTATCAGGGTTCTATAGCTGGGATTCAAATTAATTAATCAATCTGAATGTTTACAGTGGGAACGTTACATCGGAGGCTCTGTGAGCCGACTGTTAGAACTCTTGGTTGACAATGACAGAAATGCAAACTCAAATGTGCTTAAACAAAATATAATAACTTATTGGCTCAATAACTTAGAAGTCCAGAAGCATGATATGTACAATGCAGCACCGTATAGATGCTCAAATGACATCTTCAGAGCTGAGCCCTTCCATCTCAGAGCTCACTTTTCTTTGGGGTGCCTTCATTCTCAGGAAGGCTGTTCCCACACAGAGGCAGAGTAATCACCAGTAGCATCACACCTACATTCTACCACTTTAGCAATTCCAAACGGAAGTGTGATTATTAATTAATTCTTTAAAAATTCTCAGGAAGGGTTTCCATTGGCCTAGTTTGGACTGCAAGCCCAGCCATGAACAAATAGTAAAGGCTGTTGGTAATCAGGTACTGCAGTGCTCTGATTACTGGGACCTGAATCAAAATCCCACCCTGAGATCAGCAGGACCTGAAAAGCATGCACTGAAAGTGGAGAATGAATGGGTCTTTAGAGGAAAATCGGGGGGTTTTCTCTTATCACAGGGTCACATATTAGAAAAAGAGGTGATAATATTAGGTTGGTATGAAAGTGATCGCAATTTTTGCCTTTATATTCAATGTAACATATTCAATGGCAAAACCGTGATTACTTTCACATCAACCTAATACTTAGTTAATTGACTATTAATTCACCGATCGGCTGAGGAACTATCTAGGGCCAGCTTTGGAAGAGCCCCTTCTTGGAGAGAAGATATATAAACAGAAATTTGCTAGCAGAATGGACTGACTGAGTGGCTGCAGACTTGGGCTTTTTATGATCTAAGTGGCTGTGGTGCTTTCCCATTCAACCGATTGACTACTGAGCCTTATTCATTGGTCATTGTTTATCTTTGCTTGGATTATGCTGGGAGAGAATGACCAAGGCATTTGGACCAATCCAAGGAAAAGCATATTTAGGGTTCCTACCTGGTCCACTGTATATGTAAACATGGCTTACCAAATTCCTGGCCAGGCGCGGTGGTTCATGACTGTAATTTCAGCACTTTGGGAAGCCGAGGCGGAAAGATCACTTGAGGTCAGAAGTTCAAGACCAGTCTGGCCAACATGGCAAAACACTGTCTCTACTAAAAATACAAAAATTAGCCACGTGAGGTAGCAGGCACCTGTAATCCCAGCTACTGGGAGGCTGAAGTAGTAGAACCACTTAAACCTGGAAGGCAGAGGTTGCAGTGAGCCCAGATCATGCCACTGCACTCCAGCCTGGGCGACAGAGCGAGACTCTATTAAAAAAAAAAAAAAAATCCTGGAGTAAGTCTGAGGTATCAGGAATAAGCCTATTTATCAAATATAGCATAGTAACCTGTTGATCCAGTGTGCCTTGTCAGTTAATTTTCTCATTACTTACCTTTGAAGAAAATAAACTATACAGATTTGGTGTTTGCCAACAGGCAGAATATGTGGTTCCATTCACTGTCCAAATAAGCAGATGTAATCAGTTTCTCATTTCTACAAAATACAAACCTTTTATTGGTAAATTTGTTATAATTTAGAATGAATACATTGCCCCTCTTCATGCTTACAAAAATTCAGTTAACCTTAATCCAACTCAAGCCTCACCTCCTTTATAAATCCTTCCTTGATCACTCTGTCTACAACAATTTTCTTTCACTTCTTTCTTTTCTCTCACTTTTTCTTTCTCATTTTCTTTTTCTACAATAATAATACTAAATGTTACTCATTGAGCAACTATTATGTGCCAGGCACTCTGCTAAATATTTGTTAAGAATGATCCCTTTAAAATCCAACCAACAAGGCAGGTTATTAAAGATGATGCTTGTTTTGCAGAAGCACGGAGAAGCTAAAAAGCTTTGTCCAGTGTCACCTAATTTAGTGATAGAGCATGACTTTGAACCCAGATAGTCTGATTCTCAAGCCCATGCCCTTAGCCACTTTACTACACAACCTCTCACTGCACTTTTGATTATGTTATGTTATGTGGCAAAAGCGATTTTGCAGATGTAATTAAGGTTATTAATTAGTTATTTTTGTGTTAATTAAAAGCAGATTATCTGGTGGGCCTAATCTAATCACATGAACCTTTTAAAAGCAAAGAGCTTTCTCAGACTGGTGACAGAGGAAATGTCAGAGAGATTCAAAGCACAAGGCCACTGCTACCTGAAGATGGAGGGGAACACGTGCAAGGACTGGAGAGCTGCTTCTAGTTTCTGAAAACAACCGCTGGCAACAACCACCAGGAACTGAATTCTGCCAACAATCCATCTGAGTTTGGAGGCAGACTCTTCTCCAGAGCCTTCAGATAGGAGCCCAGCCTTGATTTCAGCCTCATGAGACCCTAAGCAGAAAACCCAGTCAAGCCCACCCAGATTTCTGACCTACTGAACTGTGAGACAATAAATGAGTGTTGTTTTAACGGGCTAGATTTGTGGTCATTTGTTCTACAGCCCCAGAAAACTAACCCAAGGCCAGATGCAGTGGCTCACACCTATAATCCCAGCACTTTGGCAGGCTGAGGAGGGCGGATCACCTGAGGTTAGGAGTTTGAGACCAGCCTGGCCAACATGGTGAACCCTCGTCTCTACCAAAAATACAAAAATTAACCAGACATGGTGGCAGAGGCCTGGCCAACATGGCAAAACCCCATCTCTACTAAAAGTACAGGAATTAGCTGAGCATGGTGGTGTGCGCCTGTAATCCCAGCTACTTGGAAGGCTGAAACAGGAGAATCACTTGAACCCAGGAAGCAGAGGTTGCAGTGAGCCGAGATTGTGCCATTGCACTCCAGCCTGGGTGACAGAGTGAGACTCTGTCTCAAAAAAAGAAAACTAATGCACACTTTTTTAAAATTAGGTGAACCATATGAAATTGCCAATATTGACTGTTGTGACCTACAGAAATAATTACTTCATTTGACTCAATCTAACATTATTTGAGGATGATCAAGCTAATATTATTTGCTGATGGGTTCTTAAAGACTTGACATTTTAGGAAGACGCAAAAAAATAAAGGTTTATAAATTTTACTCATCCCCATGTTCTTTACTCCCCAAAATGCACACACCAAAAAAAGTATATATGTTGACAATTTCTCAGTTCTGTGACAGAGAAAATGTCCTCTACTGCCTAACCTGTTGTTTCTAACTGCTGCTATTACCAATTGTGAAGATATTACAGTTCGTGTCTTTTCTCCAATGTGATCTTAAAATGTTTGAGATCAGAAACCATATTTTTGTTTCCAGCACAATGTTTGTTACATTAATAAATTTTCAGGTTTACCAGTGTTGGCACTTTGAAATGCAGAGTTAGTGATTCAGTTATGCAGAGTAACATTGGAGAACTTGCATTAGCATAACCACTAGAGAGAAAAGACGTTTTTCAGTGCAGACCCTAGATTGAGACTTTAAAACCCTTTATTTTCAAACTAAAAGAAGAGGTAAGGAGCACTGAAAGTCCCCATGTGCAAAAACAGGACTCAGAGATGATGACCGAGGTGAAAATTGAACAGGTCATCCTTCTAAAACAGCCCATGAGGGCATCTTGAGAACAAAGGACAAAGCAATCTTCATTGTTATAAACTCTTAATTATCCAAGAGGCCAGCAATTGTGTTTTTTTTTTAACAGAGCTTAAAATACATATATTTTTATTTACCTTTTACGTATGTGGTCAAAAGACACAAAAGGTTAATTCAGTACAAGGTGCAATGTTTGATCCCATGGAAAGAGTTCTGAGGCAGAGTCGAGACCAAACAGCTCCTCCTAGTTGTCATTGAGGGCATGACACTTAATATCAAATATTAAGGAAATTTGTTTCTGAAGTGTAACTCTGAGATGGAATAAGAAAACTAGCCATATATCCTGATCATTGTTGCCTCAAGGTCTGTGTATCAACTTTGTTCCATTCATACAGATAATAAGTGGCTGTGGTTAATTGATGAATAATTGCCAGGTCACTAGAACCCATCCACTTGGGAACTCCCCAGGACTGTGCTTTCAAATTAATACAGTCCGTTCTTTGGGAAATTTTGTTCAGTGTTTTTCTTCTAAACTTTAGAATCAGCCAAATAATTTTACCAATAAAATTTTAGTAATATACAGTACTATTTACAGAGTAATGCACAGAATCTCTTTTCAGAACTAACAAAGGAATACTAGCAGTAAAAAAGATCCTGCAAGGATCTTTTTTAAAAATCTGCTTAGAAAATAGATATGATTTAACACCTTAATTTGTAAAAATTTATTTCAAATGGTCTCCTTCAATAGCCCATTTTAAATGTTCTTGGTTCTTTTCTATTATTGCAAGCAGAGGCATGCTGTGTACTCTTAGTATTGTCTATTAACTAATACAAAAGAAAAAATTGGTGAAAAGGTTTTCATCATTGCATGATTCTGTTGCTCTTATAGAATACAAGTATTAGAATTGGAAGAGATCTTGGAAGGCATGCAGTACAATACAAGCATGAGTGACTCCCCTTCAAATACTATCCCCAAGTAATTTTATGTTTTTTGTTTAACTATGGCAGCCCATTTCAATCTTAGATAGCTCTTACCGTTAGGAAGTTCATCTTTATAGTGAAATAAAATCCTACCTCCCTGTAATTTTTATCTTTAGTCATGAAAGTCAAACTGTACTTAAGATGTGGTTATTTTGTTCTTACCTTGCTAGTTATAGTTTAATTACCAGTCTTTAAGCACTGTGAAAATTCTAACATTCTCATTCTATCAAACTACATTCTACATTGTACAGCAATTTGTATCTCCATAGAAACAATTCCAACACATAGAATTGTAATTCCCAAATGGCATAATTGTAAACATTTTCTCAGATAACTTCAAAGCCATTTCTGAAATTTCTTCTAAAACATTCACATGAACTCAGATTGTGAAAATGAGTTATACCTCCTTTGAAATCAAGTCGTTTTTTAATTCCTCCAAATATAAATGTTAAAAACTAAAATGTCAAAATAAGCAATGGTAGTATTAACACAGTTAATACTGAAGGTAAATGTTAAACACATGCTACTTTCTTTGCAAAGAGCATCTGCAAATTTAAAACCAAGAGTGGTCTCATTACAGACAAGTCTACTTGAAAAGTTACATTAAATTGTTTTACACGACATATCTTGGCATTTTATACTTTTTTAATTTTCAAAAGTTTATTTATAGAGAACACAGCTATTAGTGACGATGATTCTAGGTTTAGAGGGAACACATTTTCCCATTTCCTGGTGATTTTCCGTAAGCACAGTCTTGGTGCTCCTCTGGGCCAATTTTCCCATTTTGTTTCTCCTCTGGAGAAGTGAAGTGACGCACTGGCTTTGTAAATTTGGGGAAAATATCCAGACCAGCCTGATCAACTCTGCTCTCCTTTTCTCTCCTGGGTAGGGAGGCTGCTCACTGCGATCTCTGCTGCTCCTCTGTTTGTCCGTGCAGTTGGCTTTACTGGAACAGCAATGTGCCCTGTGTGGGCCACTCCTGGCCAGCAGGGACTGCAGAGGATAGATGAGACTCCCTAACTCTGGGTACACTAGGCAGGCCTCCTTCACTCTCTTCCCGAGCCACTTCCTTCACCTTAGCCCCCATCAGTTAGTTCTCTATGTGGAATTCAGGCAGGAAAGAGATGAGTTGTTTAATGAGCGCTCCTCTCACCCCTAGGGACCCTCAAAATGGGAAATCATAAAGTAAAGGAGCAAAGATATTTTAATTACTTAAACAGAGGAGAGAAACAAAGCTTTTATTCTTGCTGGTGGTAAGGTATGAGCTCTTCATCTCTTCTCTTAGAAACAAAAGCAAATTTAGGATATAAATCTATATTCCTTGCGAAGATGTGTGCTCCAATATTCTGGGTATATGCAAAATGTGCACATGAATGTTTAGGAAGTGCACATATATCATTATTTTATATTTGGGCATTTTTAGGTGAGGTTAAAAAATTATAATGGACAAAAGCTTTTTTACAGTTATGTAATTTTTGAACCCAAGGAATAAGAATTAATCTAATTCAACATATTTGTTTTATAAATAGGGAAACTGAGGCACAAAGATTTAAGTATAATCAAGTTCACACAGATATATACTGACAGAACAGGAACTGGAATGTCAATTATATAAAAATTATAATTGATAAATATCATACCACCCAAAGCCATCAGTGCCACTGTCAAGCATCTTTGCAATATACTAATGATGTGAATAGACCAGATATAATTTTATCCAGCTTTTACAATGAGAGTAATTAAGTCATTAAATTATACAAATACATACCCTTTCTACAATCATAAGGCAAATCAATAATAAATTAATAAATAACCTAATTTCTATCAGTGCTTACTATGCCACCAGATTTCACATATTCAACTTTTAACAGTAATTGTACACAGAGATGTGTTACAAAATGGGCTAATTTTCAACCCCAAAGAATTTTTCTCTTAGAACCAACAAGGCAACTTAAACTAGATTGTACTACTACAGATTCTTGATCATACTCCTGGGTAGCTAAAAATCAAAATAGTTATTGCAAGAATTATGTACATTATGTGTAACAATTAACTTTCTAAGACAGTTCCTTTTTATTGTCCATATTAATGACATTTCAGAACTTGAGTTTTAGGCAGTCTTCGGTCAGCAATTTCATCTTACCATAAACTGAGCAAGCTTTTCACAACATACTCATTTTTGTCTTGAACAATAAATAGTACTCCCCATATTCACTCACATTGTTTTATGCACTATGAGGTCATTTGAACCTCATGGGCTTCTTTCACATCAGCAATTCCAACAGAAGAGATTTCTTTGAATTTTGCTGCTTAGGCAGAAATCCAACATTGAGGCGATAGACAAGAAAACATAAAAATGAATCATGAAAGCTGACGTGTCATTTGGGAGAATGGCAAAGAAGAATACAGCATCGCAAATCAAAACAGATTGAGAGTCTAAAATCAGCGGTTGAGAAAACCTTTCTAGGTGGCTGAGAGCTGACTTACCCCAAGAATGGTCATCTCTGGCATGTAGAAGCTTCATCATCTAACCTTTCAAGAGGGATTTATTCAACATTTGTCATGTGCCCAACTTGGTGCTCCATGCTTGAAAGAAGAATACAAAAGAAATCAAAATATTATCCCTGCTCTTAGGAGATTTATTCTTTAATTGGGACGAGAAAAAAAATCAGATACCTGAAATAACTAGGCTAATTACAACATAAAATCTCTTACGCAACTTCCATGCAACCCACTTCCCAACTGTGCTCTGCTTTCCCTCCATAAAATGTGCTGGTGATGTCCAAGGTATACTCAAAGCTCATGATTCCACCCTAGCAGGTCACTGCTCTTGTGCTCTTATAATTTGAGTTATATGTTTAACAGAAGTCAGTTGTTGGGTACCAAACTGTTTATTGCCATTGTAATGGATTTGATAATTATGTAATTAAGCTGTTTTTGCCTTTTGTATTCATCTGTTTTGCATTGCTATAAAGAAATACTTGAGGCTGGGCAATTGGTTAAGAAAAGAGGTTTATTTGGCTCATGGTTCTGCAGGCTGTACAAGCATGGCAATATACAGCATCTGCTTGGCTTCTGGGGAGGCCTCAGGAAGCTTTTACTGATGGCAGAAGGTGCAGGGGGAGCAGGTATGTCACATGGAGAGAGAAAGGGGGAAAGAGAGAAAAGGGAGGAAGTGCCAGACTCCTTTTAACAATCAACTCTCCCAAGAACTAATAGAGTGAGAACTCACTCATTACCATGAGGTTGGCACCAGGCTACTGATGAGGGATCTGCCCTATTACCCAAACACCTCCGCTAGACCACACCTCCAACATTGGTGACATGGTTTGGCTGTGTCCCCACCCAAATCTCATCTTGAATTGTAGCTCCCATTATCCCCATGTGTCATGAGAGGGACCAAGTTCGAGGTAATTGAATCATGGAGGTAGGCTTTCCGGTGCTGTTCTTGTGATAGTGAGTGAGTCTCATGAGATCTGATGGTTTTATAAACAGCAATTCCCCTGTACATGCTGTCTTGCCTGCCACCATGTAAAATGTGCCTTTGCTGCTCCTTCGCCTTCCTTCATGACTGTGAGGCCTTCCCAGTCATTAAATCTCTTTTTCTTTATAAATTACTCAGTCTCAGGTATTTCTTCATAGCAGTATGACAATGGACTAATACAATTGGGGATCACATTTCAACATGAGATTTGGAGGGGGTGAATATCCAAACCATATTATCTTTAAAATCAAAATGTTGAAAGAGAGCAATTCCTAAGAAAACCAATTTGAATTACTTTGGAAAGACGCAATAAAATTGAGATATTTAAAATATTGCTGTTAATTCAGTTTGGGCACGACAACTATAAAAGATTGGAGAAAATATTATAAGAATCTGGAAGGAAATTTCACTCAGATGGTCTACACCAGCAGTCAGCAAACTTTTTCCTAAATGAACACATAGTAAATATTTTCAGTTTTGTAGTCAATATGGTCCCTGTCACAACTGCTCAACTGTGCCACTGTAGCAGAAAAGTAGCCAGGGATGATACATTTTTAAAAATAGATGTGGCTATATATTTTTAAACTTCATTTATGAACACTGAAATTTGAATCTCATATAACATTCTCATGTCATAAAATATTATTTTTAAATTTTTCAACTGCATAAATTCTAAAAATCAATCTTAGCTCACAGGCTGCACAAAAACAAAGGGTAGGCTGGATTTGGCCCCTGGGTTTGCTGACTCCTAGGTTAAGTTACATATCTTAAAGAACAGAGAGAAATTTGGAATTGCTGCCTCAAAAGGCAAATGCATTCTGTTTTTAGTGTTCATTTAATTTTATTAAATGTGATACATTATGCTAGTCTCCTTGGGCTGCCATAACAGATACCACAAATTAGGGGGCTTAAATAATGGAAATTCATTTTCTCACAGTTCTGGAGGCTGGTAGTCAAGATCAAGGTCTGGCAGGGTTCGTTTCTGGTGCGGGCTCTTTTCCTGTTACATTCCTTTTCCTCTGTGCTTGCCTGGGGTCAGGAAGGCGTACAGGGTGGGGGAGATGTCTCTGGTGTCTCTTCTAATAAGGATGCTAATCTTATAGGATTGGGGTCTTGGTCTCTAAATATTCATACATGTATAGATCACTATTCTTGTTTCCTTCTCACAATATCTTCTCTTTCTACAGTCATGATTTTAGGTTTTAGTTTGTTTTTATTTTTCACTTTCTTCTATTTTTTGCATTGCCTCTTATTCTTTTGTTTTGTATTCTATAAATTCACTTTAACCTTTTGTGTCAGAGGCTTTTCTCAAAGGTTTGGTGACTGATCCTTTGACATCCATTCATGTTTAGAATCGGGACACTAAAGATCTGATTGGAAACTGCACAGAGGAGTGGAGCTTAGTGACTGATTGGCAACACTGTAGGTGATGGGGTTAGAATCTGGCTATTTCACTACAGGACTCCCCAGTGTCAGATCTACAGATTATTGTCTCCAAAGAGACTAAGTCCAGAGAGAACATTTTCAATCTGCCAAATGGAGAGTAAGCATGTATACCTTCACTTAACTCTCCATTTTTTTTAGCCCTGTGCTTCACCACTATCACCCTCCCTGCCACTGAGTTTGGGGTTTTTCTGGTTCAATCTATCTACACAGCAAATTTCCTGGGTCCTACTTGGGCAAGAGGAGTGGATCAGTCCATGGCTGGGTAGAATAGGGGCAGGAGTAACAAGGGCGTCCAGTTATTCTTTATGCAGATACTTTCAAACACCTCTCAGTCCCACTTTCCTGCCCTCCCTTCAGAGGTACCTGATGCCTCCCATGATTGAGGCTTTCCGGGTTTCTTGAATATCAATCAGCTTCTTTTTTTTTTTTTGGCTTGCAGGCATTAATTCTGTGACCTTAGGTATCACTTCTCCACCTGTGTTCCTTTTTCCAAAATGTTGTTGTCTCTCATCTACTGTCTCCTTTCTTATTCTCTTTATTCTTGTAGGTTTAAATTGTTTTCATCTCTGAACTATAGGTGTGATTTCAGGAGGGTGTAGAGGAAATGCTTGTGTTCAGTCTACTGTGTCTTAGGTTCGTGCATTTTAAATATTGCCAAAATGTCCTTTTAAAAGATTACCTCAATTTTCACTCCTAAAAATCTGTGCACATGTATACATTTTTCCAACTGACACACTTGCCAATAGTGTACAAAAATCAACCTTTTTATCTCTGTCAACTGACTAGTACATTTTACATTCCTTAAAAGTAGAGCCTACATCTTATCTATCAACGTCTCCTACACACAATGATTGACACAAAAACATCTGTAAGAAAGAGCAAGAATCAACAAATTCAGCCCTTCAGTTAACCAGGCATTTGCCTTTGGGCATATTATGTCATGCCTCTGGAGTTCTATCTATGAACCTAAATTTATCACTCATTCTCTTGTTATCATTAATACTCCAGGTGCTTGGATTCATTTGCTAGGGTAATACAAAGTACCATAGAATGGAGGCCTTAAACCACAGAAATGCATTGTCTTACACTTCTCAAAACCAGAAGTCCAAAATCAAGATGTCAGCAGTGTGGGTTCCTTCTGAAGGTTGTGAGGAAGAATCTATTCCATGCCTCTCCTCCAGCTTCTGGTGGTTTGCGGTAAATCTTCGTTTCTCCTTGGCTTGTAGATGCCTCACCCTGATCTTTATCTTCATCTTTCCTGGCATTCTCCCTGCCCGTGTGTCTGTTTCCCTCTCTTATAGGACAGCAGTCATATTGGATTGGGATCCACCCTGATGTACGTGTTTTAACTTGATGACCTCTTTAAAGATCCTATTTCCAAATCAGGTTACATTCTGAAAGACTGGGGGTCCAGACTGAATTTGGGAGGGACATCATTCAAACCATAACAGTTCTCTTAGCAGGTGCTCAAGAATATTTAACGGAAGACTTGAATTTATTATTTAAAAACAAATGGTAAAATATTATGGGAGTTTAGCTTAGAAGCTAAAATTCTGCGTGGAGTTTATGGAAAGCTAGGAAAAGAGAGGAAACTCGAAAGTAGAATTGCAAATACCAGGGCAAAGCTAGTAAACAAATCACATGCAGTCAGCAGGAACAGAGCAGCTGAGCAACTAGGCATGTAAGGAAGGTAGTGCATCATACTGGTTACTATGAAAGCTGGGCTGCTGTAACAAAGCTGCTCAGTAACACAGGGCCTTCTACAATAAAGGAGGGTGTCTACTTCTCATGCAACAGTCTCAAAGTGAATGGCTCATGTCAATAGTCAAGGTCTGCTCTTCATGATAATTCAGGTCCCAAATTTTCCCAAGGCATTTTGATCATCTACATGGTTAGAAGCTGGGTGTCCTCTGTGTTGTGTATTTCAGCTAGTGGGAATGAACAAGGGAATCTGGAGGAGTGACGTTATTAAACTAAGGCACAGAACCAGAGTTGGGATAGATCGCTTCTTCTCACAGTCCACTGATGAGGAACTATTTCTATTGCCATGCCTAACTACAAGGGAGACTGTAAAATTTAGCCTAACTGTGTACAATGGGACTAACTGTGAAAGAAGAGAATGGATCTGTGTGGGCAACTAGCAGTCTCCACCACACAACTTAAAAAACTTCAAATGGTAGAAAGAAAAAAAAAAGTCTTTCTAAAAGGAATTAATTTAGTGCCTACAATCAAAGAGTTTACAGTACTGTTGGGGAAAAAAGAATCAATATAAAATTTTTGAAAGAGCTATAATAATATGCTGGCCTGTGTGGAAAAAAAAAAAAGTATAGGTAAAGTCAAAATGAGGAGAAGAAAAATACCAGATTGGGCCATAAGAATTAGAAAAGGCCCATGATCATTAATCTTGCCACTAATAATCATCATCTTTCTGTTGGTTTTCTCACTTTTACACAGAGATAACAATCACCATCAGTGACAACTTCTCACAGAACATAATTTATATCACCTTATTTACATACTAATTATATTAAATGATAATAGATCTCATAATTATCTACCAATTAACTTAATAACTATTTAATTCAACACATAAAAAAGCCATGGTTTTAGCATTTATTTCCTGTGATGTCTTTTCCCCCATGAGTTTGAGATTAAACTTTTCTTCAATTTTACTCTTTGATATCTTGTTCCAAAAAAATAAAATTTCTTTCCAAAGCTCAGACTGATAGAAAAGGATTTAATGCTATATAAGCTAAAAGGAAATATTAAAACAACAGTCAAAATATATGTAATAAGTGGAGAGGGGTGGTGTAAAAAAAAGAAAAAAGAAAAGATAAAATGTACGTAATAGAAAATTGTCAAAAGTATGTCAATACTTGTCAAATTGTATACAGGTATGTGGGGCTTATGAGATGGCAATTATATCTCAATAAACCTGTTTTAAAAATCTGAAGGGAACATTTCAGAGAAAATTGTGTGGACATGTTATTTAATTTTTTAAATCTTGAGTCATTGCCCTCTTAATTACCTATAGGAGAACAACCAGAACCACAATTTGCTAAGCTATTTTAACTGTTTGTCTAAGTTGTAACTTTAAGCAACATTAATTGGTCCGCCATTAAAACTTAAATTTGAAAGACAAGAATAGATAATTAAAAAACAAAAATTTTCGTTAGTGAAGGAAAATACCTTCTAATTTAATACTTGTGTCCTTAAGTTGAAAAACTAAGTTCCCCAGAGAAGTTTTAAAAATATCAGTGCAAACTTGGTTTTCTAATTGTAATTCCATAGTATATTTACTTTATATTGTTCTTCAAAACTGAAATGTGTTTACAATTTGGGTCTATAAATATTTATATTATTTTGCTTTAAAACTTAATTGGACAAAGAAAATGGGAAGATTAACTTAATGTGTAAGTTGGTAAAGTATCAGGAATCTTTCAAGAATTTATTGTCTGCCAGGTGTGGTGGCTCACATCTGTAATCCCAGCACTTTGAGAGGCTGAGCCGGGTGGGTCACTTGAGGCCAGGAGTTCAAGACCAGCCTGGCCAAACACAGCGAAACCCCAACTCTACAAAAAAAAAAAAAAAAAAAAAAAAAAAAAGAATTTATTGTCAACTGACAAAAATGTGACCATTTCGCTGTAAAAATAGAAGATAAATTATCAAATATCTTTAAGATGAGCTGTAGTGAAATACTGCTCATATATAACTAACAAAAATATTATAATCACTTTTAAATTCAAACAAGCCAAAATTAATGGATTCTCTAGTTTTTGAAAAATAAGTAATGTAAGTTGAGGCCAGGTGCAGTGGCTCACACTTGTAATCCCAGCACTTTCGGAGGCCAAGGCGGGCAGATCATTTAGGTCAAGAGTTCGAGACCAGCCTGGCCAACATGGTGAAACCCATCTCTACTAAAAATACAAAAATTAGCTGGGCGTTGGGGTGGGCACCTTTAATCCCAGCTACTGGGGAGGCTGAGGCAGGAGAATTGCTTGAGCCCGGGAGGTGCAGGCTGCAGTGAGCTGAGATCATGCCACTGCACTCCAGCCTGGGTGATAGAGTGAGACTCAGTCTCAACAACAACAATAATAATAATAGTAATAATAAGTAATTGTTAAGTAGAAAAATCTATAGAATACTATCAGTTTCAATGCATTCCAGAAACAGTTGTGTTCCCTAATATCACATTTTATTCTATGAATAAAGATATGACAGATTTTTGTTTGGTTTTGACAGAAAGTCTCTATAAGGCATAAGTGATACTAGTCTACCAGGTCTGTCCAAGGTTTTCTTTCTTGAGAAGGAATTTGTGTACACTAATATTGTGAACACCTAGGAATTTACCACATGCTGAACTAGAGCGGATCTGAATAAGCTTTCCTCGACTTTACATGCTCTCAGCTAGATTATTTCATATCTAAAATGAATTTAAAGGCAAAACTTACATTTTTACATGTGTGAAAAATATATAAAAACCTTTAGCTTTTACATATATTGCATTTGTAGATTTAAGAAGCACTTTAAAAGATGAATCTCTTTCTGATGTGCCCCGATCTCAACTTCTTTGCGTGAACCAAATTACCTGGACAAAATCAAATTATTTCCAAGACAGTTAAGACGTCGACATGACCATGCGTGGTGGCTCACACCTGTAATCCCAGCACTTTGGGAGGCCAAGGCAGGAGGATCACTCAAGCCCGGAAATTTGAGACCATCCTGTGCAACATGGCAAAACCCCATCTCTACAAAAAATACCAAAACTTTGCCGGGCATGGTGGTGTACACCTCCTATAATCCCACCTACTCCGGAGGCTGAGGTAGGAGGATTGCCTGAGCCTGAGAGGTGGAGTTTGCAGTGAGCCAAGATCTTGCCACTGCACTACAATCTGGGCGACAAAGTGAGACCCTGTCTAAAATATCATAAATTTAAATATAAAATTCTGGTTTCTTTTCTCCGTCATTGTATGATGACTATGTCATTTGCTTCTATCATCTGAGCGTTTTACTTTGGGAAAGATAGAGTGTTAAAAGCGCATGCATTCAGTAGAGAGAAAAAAATAAGACCATGTAAGTCATGGGAAATACAAAGAAATCACAGCATGATTAATACTAGTTGCTAAGTTTGGAAAAGAATTCGTGTGTCCTAAGTCTATTCTGCTATAATTTAAGACTTAAAACTATGGGGTGGACTGCTCATGTCATCATTGGATGGTTAGAATCTGGATCGTCGCTGGGCATGGTGGCTCATGCCTGTAATCCCAGCACCTTGGGAGGCCGAGGCGGGTGAATCACCTGAGGTCAGGTGTTCAAGACCAGCCTGGTTAAAGTGGTGAAACCTCATCTCTACTAAAAATACAAAAATTAGCTAGTCGTGGTGGCGCATACCTGTAAGGCTGAGGCAGGAGAATCGCTTGAACCCGGGAGGTGGAAGTTGCAGTGAGCCAAGTCACGCCGTTGCACTCCAGCCTGGGGAACAAGAGGGAAACTCCATCTTAAAAAAAAGAAAAAAAAAGAATCTGGATCCCCGGGGTTTTAGCAGAAAATGGAATTAAAATGATTTCCATCGGGAGAATTTTGTGAAAGCACTGTTACCCCAGTGTGGGCATGACCAAGGAATAAAAAAGGGATGCTGAGGTTCCCAGGGACTAGCAATGTAGGCAGTTTGTCACTCCTACGGCTGCCATCATGGGGAAGGAGCCAGCGATAGCTGGAGCCTTGGAGGACCAAAGCCTGGGGAGGACTGCTGTCCTAGAGCAATGTTTCTCCCTTTTTCTTTTATGTATTAATGCCCTACCTTATACAACCCTCCAGGAAAGAAATGAAATTTAAAGTCTATCTAATATGATAAATTCATGGCCAGGCATGGTGGCTCATGCCTGTAATCCCAGCTCTTTGGGAGGCCGAGGCGGGCGGATCACCTGAGGTCAGGAGTTCAAGACCAGCCTGGCTAACATAATGAAACCCCGTCTCTATTAAAAATACAAAAATTAGCCCAGCATGGTGGCTCATGTATGTAGTTCCAGCTACTTGGGAAGCTGAGGCAGGAGAATCGCTTGAACCCGGGAGGCAGAGGTTGCAGTGAGCCAAAATCTTGTCCCTGCACTCCAGCCTGGGTGACAGAGCAAGATTCTGTCAAAAAAAAAAAAAAAAAAGTGTTAAATTCACAACTAAGGAATAAAATTTTTATTAGGTAGGGTTGAAATTTTTTAACCACTCCCCTTCTACCCCAAGAACCCACTTTTACCCTCTTGGGGCACTGTTGCCCCATTGATAATGCAGGTCCTAGGGAAAGGCAGCTGCCACTAGAACTCTGGCACTGAAGCCAGAACAAGGAGGGAGTGGGCAGGAACAACTCTCATCTCCGTCCTCTGTCCTCCAGCAAACAGAGGAAGCAGCCCCGCAGTTCACAGGGTCAGGCCCAGGGCCCAGAAGCAAGGCAGAACGATCTAGAGGAAGATAAAAAGTAACTGCCTGAGAGTGTTTCCAACGTTCTTTTAACATATAGGGCAAAGTCTCTTTGGGGAAAGCCATGTATGTCTTCGGTAAGAGCAAGAATTTTGTGTCAGGAGGACCGTGATTTCAATTTCAGCTCTGTCCCTTTCTTACAGCATAAGCTCTAGGACCATCTTTCAGCTCCGAGCTTCAGAGAGTAAAATGGCACTATTGATATCTACTTCTGGCAGTAGCTTTGAAGATAAAATAAAATAGCATATGCAGAGCACTTAGCACTGTGCCTGGCTGGATAGTCACTGAATGTGAATCTCAGAGTGTTTGTCATCTGCCCTTCTCTCCTTCCATTCATTCATTTGACATTTGCCAAGTACTTATCCAAGGGTGCCTGGTACCTAGTGCTGGGCATACAGAGGAAACAAGACAGAGCCTCTGCCCCCAGCAAACTTCCAGCCCAGTGGAGAGTCGATGGTAACAATCTTCCACATTTGATTCAAAATGCTGAAACACAGCCAGGCTGTTTGAAGGAAATTGGTTCCCAGAAGAATGGCCTTGGCTACAACAGATGGAAACTGGTAGCGTGTCAGTTGGCAGAGTCCTGTGTGACATCTTTTGATAAATTAATCTCATGTGAAAGAAGTCACCCACAAAATTCTTTAGCCAGTTGTCTTGCCCATACCTTTGGTTCTGAGGGAGACCATTATGTAATCACTTGACTAATCACCTGGTATTGACAGTGACACAACTTGACGCCACAATTTCTACAAGGCTTGTGATTGAGAAAACTTCATTCTTTGTCAATTATCAACAAACTTCTCAGACATTATACTCATGCGAGCTGCCTTCAGGGCATTTTCTTTTTCCTTTTCACATCTGTGCTTAATGAGTAGCATTTTTGCACATTGTTTTTCTAAGCTTTATATCCTCATCTGTAAGAGGAGAGGATGATAGTGCTTACCTTAAAAGTTTGTTGATGGTTAGATGAAAAAAATTCATATGAAACACTTAGTACTGGATCTGGTTTAGAGTGTTTAATAAAATGTAGCTATTTATTTCTATCTAGGTGCTGAAATCTTTGTGACTTCGTGACTACTTAAATGTGCATGCATGTAAGCAGTGCCTTAGTTTTCTTTTTTTTTTTTTTTTTTTTTTTTTTTTTTTTAGGCAGAGTCTCGCTCTGTCACCCAGGCTGGAGTGCAGCGGGGCCATCTCGGATCACTGCAAGCTCCGCCTCCCGGGTTCACGCCATTCTCCTGCCTCAGCCTCCTGAGTAGCTGGGACTACAGGCGCCTGCCACCATGCCTGGCTAATTTTTTTTTTTTTTTTTGTATTTTTTTAGTAGAGACGGGGTTTCACCATGTTAGCCAGGATGGTCTCGATCTCCTGACCTCGTGATCCGCCCGCCTCGGTCTCCCAAAGTGCTGGGATTACAGGCATGAACCACCACGCCCGGCCAGCAGTGCCTTAGTTTTTAATGTTTAAAATAGTAATGATTTTAAATGTCCATTTTATCTCAGTAAAATGGTCATACTTAATGAAAGAATATATCAAACTTATCTAGAAAATAGTTCAATATAAATTTACAATAACATGTATATGGCATCTTTACAATTCGATTGAATGTATTCTTAATTTATTTTAACTAATTAATTCACTAATTAGACAGGTAGGCATAAATATTGACAGCTCATATCAAAATAGTCTATTGTTGGCATAAATTGTTATTTACTAGATAATGTTTGTGGTTATTTTTAAGCATTTGGCTCAACTAACTTTTGTGATTAGCTGCATATGAGATGTTTAAAGTATGTTAATGCAAAAAGGATAGAAAATAATTTAAATATGGCAAAACTTCTATTTTTTTTTAAATTCAGCCTTTCAACAACAACAAAAAACTCTTTAATGCCAGCAACATGAAATAACATACAAAATTAAAATTTTTACAAGAAGCTGCTACTTTGCTTGGAAAGATGAAATGTTCTCCAAGACAGTTTTGGTTACATGTTCCAGCTACACAGTAGTTAGTTCCCATTTTACTGGATAAGTTAAACACCTTTGCCATGCCTGTTGGGAGTTACATCACTCTAATGAGAAAAGAATATTCCTGTTAAGAAGCAAAAAGCATAGATTAAGGCTTTTAAAAAGTGCTGATTAAAAAATAAAGTCACTTAAAATGTAAACAAAATGCCTATTAAGCGAAAACTGGTTAGCTTTCATGGCATAATTTAAAGCCCTTATCCAGTATTTTCTCCCTGGTTGCAGGCACCCTGTCAATTCTTGACAAACTTTTCAGACATTCTACTTACGAGGGCTGCCCGCAGGGAAGTTTATTTTTAACTTCTCACACCTGTGGTTAATGAGTAACATTTTTGTAAACGTGGCCATTTTCAAGGAAGAAGGGAAGCATTTTATGCCAAAAAAAAAAAAAAAATTCAAAATAAGAAAAAAAAAAAACTACCCTAATTTATCTCCCTCTAATCTACCTATAGAAGAAGATGAAATGAAAGTTCGAGCTCTCCAGAGTCAATGGCCTCCTCTCTAGCAGAACTGGAAGAAATTAATAACAGGATAAAAGCCAAAGGTTTCAGGAAAAACAGCCCATCAATTAAATGTTACACCTAAATGTAACATTTGAAATGTAACATCTAAATGTGACATATTTAAATGTAACCTTTAACATTTAACATTTCAATGTTAAATGTTAAATTTTTGAGACAGGATCTTGCTCTGTCATCTAGGCTGGGTCTGGAGTGCAGTGGTGTGATCACAGCTCCCTGCAGCTTTGATCTCTCGATCTTCTGGGCTCCAGTCATCCCCCAGGACTCATGTCAGACTCCTGAATAGCTGGGACGAGAGGTGCCTGTCACCATATCTGGTTATTATTATCATTATTATTAAGAGTGTCTCACTATATTGCCCAGGCTGGACTTGAACTCCTGGGCTTAAGTGACCCTTCCACACTGGCCTCCCAAAGTGCTGGGATTACAGGAATGAATCACCACACCTAGCCTGTTTTTATTTCAGTCCTTCTAAATGACTGGATCTGATCAATTATTTTTTGTGCTTAATCAAATGTCTCCATTGCTAATCTTCAAAACAAATGAAATCAATTTAATTCAGATTTCCATAATTGCTCATGCTCCTCCTTAACCTTCTGGAATAATAAAATTTCCCAATACCATTGCCCCCCGCCACCCACACCCCCCTAGTTCCCGAAAATATATGTGCTTCTTTTTGTTACAAAAAGTTTAAATTGCCTGAGGCTCTGGGAAAATTCTATCACTATGGCAATTCCAAGAAGAAACAAGGCACAGTCCTAAATGAAGATTTGTTCTGTCTCTACCACATATATGCCTTCACACAAATAGTAGGTTTCAGAAGGAGTTACTGGTGTAGAAGAAATCCACTACTATATTCAAGGCAAACTTCCTCTCAGAAAAATGAAGAAATGAGGACGCCTTGTGTATGTTGCTGCTACCTGAGAGCAAGTCTTTGAAACCAAAATCAGGAGATGGTTAAGAGTAAAAAAGAACAAATACTAATTTTTAAAATCAACTTTTGAAAAAAACAACTTTATTGAAGCATAATTTACATACCGTAAAATTCACTCATTTTGTGTATAATCCCCAGAATTTTGAAGCTTTTACCAAATTGTACAGTCATCACTGCAATGTAGTTTTAGAACACAGATTTCCATCACCTCAATAAGATTCCCTGTGCCCTTTTACAGTTAATTCCTGTTCCCAGCCCATAAACTTGGGTACCCATGAATCTACTTTCTGTCTCTATTGATTTCCCTTTTTTTGTCACATTTCTCTCTCTGAATACAGTTTTAGAAAGAAAGAAGGAAAGAAGGAAAAAGAAAGAAAGAAAGAAAGAAAGAAAGAAAGAAAGAAAGAAAGAAAAAGAAAGAAAGAAAGAAATCCAAGAGTATTTCCTACCAATAGGAGAATACAATTTACTGAGGAAGAACCCACCTGGATAAAATAGAATTCTTAAGGAAGTCCAACGATCCTGGACACCACACACGTTGGTTGAATTAGAGTCAGAGTGGTCTTTAAGATTTAATTATCTCTCCAATTAGAGATAACAGACTTAGAGTTACAAGGGACCTTGATAATTAAAGAATACTGTAGTAAGCCCTGTTATCTTAACTAAGAAACGCCTCTGTTTCTAAAGTTTAAAAAAAAAGGCAAAAAAAAAAAAAACCTTTCAAGTAAAAGAGTAAACTCCCAAGCATTCCTATAAAAATCAGTCAGATGTTATTTTTTTTCTTATGAGACAGAGATATCCTGTTTCCTTAAATAAATTAGATATCTATGGGATTGAAATATAAAAGTTTCTTCCAAAATGTAAGGTGGGCTTTCCACTTCAAGCTCCACTATGCATATGATTCTAGTGTATTTTCAGTGCAGTAAATATATCAAACTATCATGGTTTTGGTTGACCAAATACTTTTCTAATCACTTATTTCCTTCCCCCAGAATCAATGAATTTTAAGAAAGCTTTAGCTACAGGTTTATCTTGCTTACATCCGGATTTCCAGGTATCCTTCCCTCTGGAAGAAACACTCGGCTTCCCAGAAATTTACCAAGCATTTTACAAGGAGCTCTTTTATATTTGAAAAGAGAAAACTGTTTTGTCAAGTGATGAGAAATTCCAAAAAAATCCTCTAACCCAGACAGGATTCTAAATTTGGGGAAATCCATGGCACTCTTTCAATTTGGAGTGTGGGTCACAAAGATTCCTCAAGAGGTTTTTTTACACTATTTGTAGGAAACTGATATTTGCTGGGTGTTTTGCTTTGTTTTGGTTTGGTTTTAAATCCTTGCATGAATAAAAACAAATGCTAATTTTGTGTCTTTAATGTGTCAGGCATTTTATAGAACACAGAGTTCTAATTACTCCTGTGGCAATTACTGAAGGTGAAACTTTTGGAGAAAATAGGTACCTTGCCGAAATAAATATATTTTATTAGTAGCTTCTTGTGTTTTAAAGCAAATGGAACCTCTGAACTCCTAACACAAGGAGAAGGCAAAGCATTCAGTTCGGGTCTCTCTGGATCTACTGTGGAAGTGGTGGACTCCTCCTTCTGAAGATCTTTAAAAGCAATTGTGCCTGTGTTTATCTGACAAAAAGGACTGATGTGATGTGTTGCTAAATGAGAGACTTTTCAGATTCCCTTTCCACTCTGAGTTTAGAGTTCAAGGCGGGGGAATCTTAAAGGAGAACTTTCCACACTCTTGGAGTAAATAACAATTGAAATATAAAAAATCTGGCGGCGGGGGATGGAGGGGGCATTCTGTAATGGAACTTGTCAGCAAAAAGAAAATGGCAAATAAATGTGAGAAAGGGGCCGAAGGAGGGCAAGACAGTACATAGGGTGCCCCCCACCCACCCGGCTTTTAATGATTCAAGCAAAAAAATCTCTGCTTTGTGTGTAACTGGCACGGTGAACGTGGGAAAGGACACGAAGACCTTTCTCTCCCCACAGCTGGTCCAACTTTCCAATTTTCAGGTTGTTCACAGTGATTTCACTTTCAGTGGAAACGGGCGTCCCATCCCCAGGAAAGGAAGGCTTTCCTGCATGTGTAAAAAAGTAAACTGTTACTTTGTCCTTGCAAAAGAAAACTTCATTCTCTGAACTTCCCCGGGATCTGCAAAGCGCCCCGCGGAACTCCCGGTACTTAGTAGAAGCTCATTAAAGGTCTCTGTTCCCCTTTGCTCCCCGTTCGCCCGCTGGCCCTTTCTCAGAGCCAGACAGGCACAGCGCTGAGAAGGGAAGAAGTCCGAACAGGGAGCTGTGAAGACAAAATAAGGGAGTCCCGAGTCAGTACCCTTTAGTCCAAAGAAAGGGAGCGGGATGGGGGGAAAGGCAGCCCCGCCCTGGGACTGAAAAGTCTGGATTCTTAACAGCTGCAAGGTCGTGGATATTTTATGGGTTTTCTTCCTCACAAAATACACTCCTATAAGCAGAGATTCCCCCCCTCCACCCCGAAGAGAGGTGACGCAATGTCCTCAAACACTACCACCACCCCCAATAAAAAAGAAAAGGGAAGGGGGAGCGTCTTGCAACCCCTTCGCTTCACACAAGTCCAGCCACTCCCTTTCCTCCCAGCCGCTTCCCATCCCTTCCCCCATCCCCTAAAAAGTTTGATGACCGCAAAGGAAACCGAAAAAAAGTTGTCTTGCCCCAGTCCTGGCGGGCCATCAGCATCTCTTTTGTTCGCTGCGAACCCACAGTCCCCCGTGACGTCACCCGGAGCCCGGGCCAATCGGCGCGCGGTCGGCTGCGGCGGCCGGCGGGCGGGCGGGCGGGTGGGGTGGGGCGGGGCGGGGACAGCCCGGCGGGTCTCTCCTCCCCCGCGCCCCGGGCCTCCAGAGGGGCGGGAGGGGACCGTCCCATATAAGCCCCGGCTCCCGGCGCTCGGACGCCCGCGCCGGCTGTGCTGCACAGGGGGAGGAGAGGGAACCCCAGGCGCGAGCGGGAAGAGGGGACCTGCAGCCACAACTTCTCTGGTCCTCTGCATCCCTTCTGTCCCTCCACCCGTCCCCTTCCCCACCCTCTGGCCCCCACCTTCTTGGAGGCGACAACCCCCGGGAGGCATTAGAAGGGATTTTTCCCGCAGGTTGCGAAGGGAAGCAAACTTGGTGGCAACTTGCCTCCCGGTGCGGGCGTCTCTCCCCCACCGTCTCAACATGCTTAGGGGTCCGGGGCCCGGGCTGCTGCTGCTGGCCGTCCAGTGCCTGGGGACAGCGGTGCCCTCCACGGGAGCCTCGAAGAGCAAGAGGCAGGCTCAGCAAATGGTTCAGCCCCAGTCCCCGGTGGCTGTCAGTCAAAGCAAGCGTGAGTACTGACCGCGGGCTGAAACAGGCTGCCTCAGGGATGGGACCCTAAAGCCGACCAAAGTTGGGGCTGAAGTTTTGTGCGCGCGCGTGTGTGCGAGTGTGTGCGCGCTTTACTGAGAGAAACCAGCTGTGCACACAAAAGGACCGAGTTTTGAGCACGCTGGTTCTGAGGGCCTGGGATGATAAGACCGTGCATTGGAGGACGAGGACTCTGCGACTTTCCCGTGTTCTAATAAATTCTGCACGTTCAGATTGTCCTTCTAGGAATTAACCAAAACTTGCCTTTAAAGAGAAAAATGATGCATGTCTATAAATTTTCCGTCTGGGATTAGTGTGGTCCTTACTGCTACTTATTTCCTTCTGTTAAATAATTGGTCAAATATTTTCAACATGGGGGTGGAAAGGGGGTATTGAAATAGCTGTCTTGTTTCTAACTAACTTGGAAGAGATGTAATTGGTTCAGACCTCTTTAGGGCCGCTCAGGATACTTCACCAAGAACAGAGGTTGGAATTCTTTCCGTTTTTCAAAGACACACCCTCCTTTTGCTTTGAGAAAGCTGCTTAAAGTTGTCCTTTTTGACTATTACTCCAAAAGAATATTTAAGTTCCTTGCATGTTTTAAAAATGTGACTTCAATTGTCTGCCTTCCAAAATGTTTCCAACTTTTTTATGTAGACCCCTGGCCAGATGGAAATGACATCATTGTATATAACTTTTAGCAAAGTTAAAAGGAAAAAAATATGTACGTCAATATTCACATGAAGAAAATTCCATAATTTTGGGAAAAGGAGAAATGCAAATGTAACGTTTTCCTTCAATTATTTGCAGCCGGTTGTTATGACAATGGAAAACACTATCAGATAAATCAACAGTGGGAGCGGACCTACCTAGGCAATGCGTTGGTTTGTACTTGTTATGGAGGAAGCCGAGGTTTTAACTGCGAGAGTAAACCTGAAGGTAAGTGACAACAAGCCCCATAGTTAGTATCTTTTAATACATGAAGTGGTAATTGTTAAACTTTGCATTAGTAAGTAAAAATACATACACCATTTTTCTAATAGAATTACCTGTCATTTCCTCTTAAGTTTAAAAACTGCTTATATTTGCTTTTCACATGCTTTTACCTTTAAAACAAAGAAACGAATCTTTCCCAAATTAGTTCCTAGAGTCTTCTTTTTGCTTTACTCTCCCAAAGTTTTTGATGAGAAAAATGAAAGATTTTGTGTGTCCTCCGACAAAAAAAATTGCTTATAAAATTTTAATTTATTAGAAAGCAGTCTCAAATCTTAAACTGTTAGTTTATGAGCCAGAAAACACTTTGGGGACTTACATCGTAAAATGATTTGTCAGCGGCAGTTAACACAAAACCATTAGCCACTTCAAAGTTCTCATTCCTTTAGGACCAATGATATTTTTCTCATAAATTATAGCAACTCTGTCAGAGAAGCACTGATCAGGGGAAAATGGAAATCATAGGATTAACAACTGTCAAGGCCTTGTGGGAGGTGGGGATCTTCGAATTGTTTGTTTGTTTTTGTTTTGTTTTGTTTTTGAGACAGAGTCTTGCTCTGTCACCAGGCTGGAGTGCAGTAGCACTATCTCAGCTCACTGCAACCTCTGCCTCCAGGGTTCAAGCAATTCTCCTGCCTCAGCCTCCTGAGTAGCTGGGACTACAGGCACATGCCACCACACCCAGCTAATTTTCATATTTTTAGTAGAGACGGGGTTTCACCGTATTGGTCAGGGTGGTCTCGAATTCCTGACCTCAGGTGATCCACCCGCCTCAGCCTCCCAAAGTGCTGGGATTACAGGCGTGAGCCACTGTGCCCGGCCAATCGTTTGCTTTTTATGTGAACCTTGCTTTGACTTTCTGAGTCAGAGATTGGAATGTGAAACCCTTCACAAATCTAGCTCTGTCATAAGTTAGTACTTTATATGGCCTTTTCCTAAGAGCCTGAGATTTTTCTACAATATGAATAATTTACAGAAAATTTGACAATATGTCAAGGTCAAAAACCATGGCCTTATTAGAGCTTAGGATAAAAATCTGTATCTCTCACTTCATTTTATTCTTTGAGGTGTACCATGTTACTTGTGGAATAGAGAAGTGGGTTTTCCTTTAGAGGGGATTAGTGAACTAGAAAAGCTTGTACCTAAGTGAGGCTCACATGGACTTTCCTTTTCCCCTCAGCTGAAGAGACTTGCTTTGACAAGTACACTGGGAACACTTACCGAGTGGGTGACACTTATGAGCGTCCTAAAGACTCCATGATCTGGGACTGTACCTGCATCGGGGCTGGGCGAGGGAGAATAAGCTGTACCATCGCAAGTAAGGAAGAGATTGTGTAAAATGATGCCAAAATATCAAATATGAATTTCTCTGTTACCATCACTGTCATTTTCTGTTATCCATGACTGGATATTCCGAACTTTGAGGTTTGCCCCTGGTGACCAGGTACTCTTAAGTGGTCACCCAACTGGTTCCTGTGTTTCTTAAAGACGGGTATGAGCACAGATGGAATCAGTGTTTGATGTGTGTGCGTTTATGAGTGTGTGTGCATTTATGAGTGTGTGTGTTTCTGTACATAGTAGAACCAAGAGACCTCTTGGGTTCCATTTCAGTAAGACATGCTTAGGGGAGTTGCCCATTTTAAATCACCTGGATATCTTCAAGCTAGACAAATCATGAGACTTTTCTGCAGTGACTGGGAAGGTGTTCATGAAGAGTGAACCAGCCATGTGTTGTCTGGTCTTCATGTTTGCAATGCAGAGACCTCTTGCACCTCACAGAAACAGTCTGGTTTCTTGGTGACCAGTAGGTTATACCCAGGAAGCAGATGTCACTATTCCTAGGGATAATACAAAATTATTAACCCAATAGAGTTTGCTAAGGAACTTTGGGAACCGGGCTGATTCTCAACTCTAGTTTAGCTAAGGCACTCTTTCCAGTATGATTCACTGGGTTACCAATAGATTCTATTAAGATAGTATTTAAGTTTTTTAATCCATTCTTTAAATATAAGTCGTCTTAAAGACTTCTATTCAAAAGAACAAGTCCCGTGTGAATAGGCCCAATCAACTTTCCCCATATTTCATGTTAGGGTTTATCCAAGTTCACAGGCAAATCGCAAGAGGCAAGGGTCCATAGTGTTTACAATCTAGTTCAGCATTTGAATGTGCCATTGGGCTTAACAACTTAGAAAACTACCAGGATTTCCACACTTTATATGCATATGTCTGTTTGCTTTCCACCAAAATGACATTTCTATCCTAGGGTAAAATACAGGCTCTCCATGCTCCCAAAAGCTGGAGTGCTGTGCCTGATGTGGCCTTTTCACTGAATTAGTCTCAGTCTTAGCCTGCTGTGTATGAGTGAAGACCAAGCCTCCCAGCCTTTCTTTTCTGCTTAGGACCCAATTTCCTGTGATCTCTCTGGGAAAGCAGGATTCATGACCTCTTCCTTGCCATCCAGATTTCTCTGTGGTTTTCCATTGTGTTCTAAGCAAGACACTTAACTGAATTGACTCCAAGTGACCAGACCTGTTAACGTTTCCCCTGTCTCTGATGGGAAAGCTGTTGTCTGTGTCTCTACTTTAGCCAACCTAAGTACCTACCATGGGTGGAATATGAGACCAAAAAAAAAAATCTGTTCTGCCCTCTCCTAACATTTTCGTTGTATCTTCAACAGACCGCTGCCATGAAGGGGGTCAGTCCTACAAGATTGGTGACACCTGGAGGAGACCACATGAGACTGGTGGTTACATGTTAGAGTGTGTGTGTCTTGGTAATGGAAAAGGAGAATGGACCTGCAAGCCCATAGGTGTGTGAGTCTTAGGGCTGAGCAAGAGCTGGGATGCTTAGTTCTAATGTGGGGTTGGACCAGAATCACATCTACATAGGTCATAGACCTGAATTCCAGTGAAAACCAATAAAGAAATGGGAATTTTGTTTGAAATAATGAATTATTATATAATCCATAGTCTTCTTACAGGAGTTAGATCAAAAAGTACTGACTACACATAGAAGTCTTAACTTTGCTTCAAAAGCATAAGGTAGAATTGAAAGATTTAGAATGGAGTCATTTCTTTTACCTAATAGCTGATCTCAGATTCCTCCTTCGTCAAGATATAATTTATTTAAAAGAAAAAAAAATGACACTTTGGACACATTTCTATATGGAATGTCCTGGACCGAAACATGAAATAGTGTGTGCTTGTCACACTCTGCTCATTTCTTTTCAAATTAAAAGTTGTTGAGCTTCTTTGGATCTCAATCCTCAGTTGAATTTTGTAAGTACAAGCCTGAAAGTTTCTGGCTATAAATTTTACTCTGTTTACTTGTCTTCTAATTTAGAGGTTTTTGTCTTGTTTTGTATTGTTTTGCTTTCCAATATTTAAAAATAGCTTTCTTTGTCATTGTATTTAGGCCACTCAAAATTCATAATTGGTCATTTATAATTAAGATTGGAATTTTGCATATGTAGTCTCCCACAGACTAGATACATACATAGATCCTTGCTACTGGAAATGCTGCTGGGAAGTTTGGGGCTCGCTGAAAATATGTAGTCCATGTACTTATTAGGAGAATGGAATTTCTGCCTGCCAACTCAGCTTGAGCTTTCTTTTGCCTTGGCTACTTACTGTGTGCTTAGATGCTGGGTGTGTCATTCTTTCTGAACAGAGTGCCACTTAAAAAAAATGTGGCTGAATTTTTGCTTACACACTACACTTTAAATTACAGGGAGCTTGCACAATTCAAAATAACCTTTTTTTCCTGTTTTTCTTCCAAATTTCCCTACAGCTGAGAAGTGTTTTGATCATGCTGCTGGGACTTCCTATGTGGTCGGAGAAACGTGGGAGAAGCCCTACCAAGGCTGGATGATGGTAGATTGTACTTGCCTGGGAGAAGGCAGCGGACGCATCACTTGCACTTCTAGAAGTATGTTTTACATCTTTATGTTAAAGATTAAGCCAGGTATTGTTTTCTGGATTCCTAGAGAGAAGGGTAATACTATGTTACTCAGAACACATCCAGTATATCAGCATGCTTTGGTAACTTCTGGAAGTCAAGAAAACTTTCATAACCAACTTATTCCGCATCTTCAGAGAAGACTACATAAATAGAAAAACATATCACTTTGATAAGGTTCAATCTCAGCTCACTGCCACTGACATAGAGTTGAACAAAAGGTTTAGGTTTCCTTCTATGTTTGAAATTTAAATAGGGCACATTCACAGGCTAAATTGATAAAATTAAAAAGAATTTATCCCATAAATTAAAATGATTTATCTACTCTGGAGTTAGGGATAGTGTCTCTGACCTAACGCATTTGATTAGTGCTGTAAAGAAGCTGGCCTCTGGTGTCTTTACTGCTCCTTCTAAGATTGTCTTGGGGTCTTAATTGTTGCCTTTGGGTTTGAAGGCTCCTTTTTTGATATTGTAAACTAATAACAGCTAGAGAGTTTGTTGAAGTAAAACAGCCATTAACTACTGGTGTTGTAAATAAGTTTAAAATCAAATCCAAATAATTTGAACCTGTTTTATTTATCTAGCTGAACCCATTTAACTACCTTTAACATAGCCATCATCCAAATTCAAATTCTTTGCTAACAAAAATAGGTCTCTCATGAAAAGTGGTAACCATTTTGACCAAAGCTTTCCCAGAAACTTGCTGGTTTATTAGATATTTTGCATTTAAAATGTTACTGTGATCATCAGACTTCCAAGATCTTTGTGGCAATATTTTAGCTTAAGACAAATTAGATGTCTGATTCAAACCTTATCTGTTATTTAGAACTCTTTAAATAGCAAGTTGGGAAAAGTTTCTCAAAGAGAAGTCATTTATTCCAGAAAATTTTATAAGGACTTACTTTGTTCAAGGTATTATAGGGGTGCAGATATGAAATGAACATTAGCCCAGCCTTCAAAGAGTACTTAGGGGGTCAGGGAGATGAGAAAGTCTTATACATATTTATCATCTGCAAAACACAGTATTAAAGATTTCAACAGAAATACTGAAAGTAGTGCTATGGAGGTTCAGGGGATGATAATACTTTTCGCTGGGGATTTGGGAAAAAGCTCTAATCAGTAATTATACCTTCATGCAAACTTCTATTCTTGTGGTAGATGGATGTGGGTGTGTATTTGTTTGAACCTACATCAACTATTAATTTTTTTTCTCTAACCCAGGAGTTGCAACAATATCCAATTCACAAAGACATCAGATCCTCTATACTCACATCGTGGCACAGAGCAAATTTGGATTATAATTTAAATAATCTATTTACCAGATAAATGCACGCATAGACTAATGGTCATTTAGTTACAAATTATCATTTTATGTTGATCCCACTCTTCCAGTGGAGGGCTAACACTGAATAATTTGGGGCTATTTTGCTAGTGATTTTTAAATACTGTAGATGTTTGGGTATAGGGGAAGGGAAAATAATATTTTAGTCAAAGAAATTGTGCATCCTCTACATTTTTTACATAACAAATGAAGAAAGAGATACTACCACCTTCTTATAGCTTCTTTGTAGCCATTGGTGAAGACCCTTTGATACCTGCTTGCCTCCCCATTGTTATAAGCTTTTTTTTGTTTGCTTGTTTTTTTTGTTTTGTTTTGTTTTGTTTTGTTTTTGAGACAGTCTCACCCTGTCGCCCAGGCTGGAGTGCAATGGTGTGATCTCAGCTCATTGCAACCTCCACCTCCCGGGTTCAAGCGATTCTCTTGCCTCAGCTTCCCGAGTAGCTTGGATTACAGGCGCCCGCCACCACAGCCGGCTAATTTTTTTTGGTATTTTTAGTAGAGACGGGGGTTTCACCATGTTGCCCAGGCTGGTCTTGAACTCCTGACTGCAGGTGATCCACCCTCCTAAAGTACTAGGATTACAGGCGTGAGCCACCGCGCTTAGCCTGTTTTTAGTTTTCTAAAGCAAGGTCCCTATTGAAAGGCAGGCCATAAACAGTGATGACTAAGAAAAATCCTGGAAGAGCCTGAGAAGGAAAAAGATGAAATATAATGCCAGAGAATGAAGTTAGTCAAAGGAACAGTGTGAAAACAATAAATAAATAGATAAATGAAAATGTTATTTGACAGAGAGATGAAACTAGACTAAACCATTCAGCTGCCTTTCCACTGTAACAAATGTAATTTCATCTTTCAGAAGTGTAATACCTTGCAGCACCAGAGCTGAATATGAACATATTACCAAAAATAGATTACCAGGCATAGATAGCATTCCTTTTTTAAGTTTGAATTGACCACTTGCGACTCTCGACCTGATGTATGTATGTGCTTCCTTTGTGACACAGATAGATGCAACGATCAGGACACAAGGACATCCTATAGAATTGGAGACACCTGGAGCAAGAAGGATAATCGAGGAAACCTGCTCCAGTGCATCTGCACAGGCAACGGCCGAGGAGAGTGGAAGTGTGAGAGGCACACCTCTGTGCAGACCACATCGAGCGGTGAGGCACAGGACGAGCAGGGGCGGGAAATGGGGAAGCAGGTCAAGAAATATTTCCGCAAATCCATCTTTCCTTTGACATGCCATTTGAGGATAATTTGCAGTGTTTCAGCTAATAACCTAAGATAATTTACACATTATTGGTTGTTAAAACTTTTTTTAATGTCAAGTTTTAAATTTTTCAGAAAAAAAGAAAAATGACATACAAATAAACCTTAGGGGGAAAAAAGCCAGATTTATCTCCAAAAGATAAAACTGAGTTTTAAAGAATGCTAGCATCATAAAACTTACCATGGATAGATCACGCACACACGCACACACACACGTATTTTGAATATCCAAAGTTCATTTGAAAGGAAATGAGAGTTATAATTAATTATATGACTACCTGGTTCTTCTGCTAGGAAAGGACAAAAAAAGTGCATTTGGATTTTTTGTTTGTTTGTTTTTGAATGAAATATACTTCCCTGTCCCGACATTGAACTCTTTTTGTAGTGGAAACCATCCTTTATATGTGGTTTCTATGCTCTGGCAAACTTTGTTACATTCTATAAAGTAACACACAATTATTTCCTTCATGTATTGGCATTCGAAATTTTAGAAATTCAGAGAGGACTTAGAGATGGCCATGAAAGACATGATATCTAAGCATTCTTTTTAAAAAACAAGTTTTAATCATTTTTGGCATGAGAAAAAGATTTTTACGTCATAAATGTTTCATAAAAATCTGAAGAGAGAAATATGGCCAACAAGGACGTGCACTCCTCTCATTATTTTTAATATGTTTTGATTAACTTTTTACTATATGATGTGCCAACATCATTACGTAGTGTCTCAGCCATCCTTCAATTAAAAATATTAATTGTTCTAATTTTTCTTCTTTTGATGAGTTTTTGTCTTGCTTTGAGCACTTATGAAGGTGAACAAGATTAGATTTGATAATATCTTTGAGTTATTTTATTATCATTAATAAAATTGCTACTGGCCAAAAAAAATTATAAACATCGGCCACGCGCGGTGGCTCACGCCTGTAATCCCAGCACTTTGGGAGGCCGAGGCAGGCGGATCACGAGGTCAGGAGATCAAGACCATCCTGGCTAACACGGTGAAACCCCATCTCTACTAAAAATACAAAAAATTAACCAGGCGTTGTGGCGGGCGCCTGTAGTCCCAGCTACTCGGGAGGCTGAGGCAGGAGAATGGCATGAACCCGGGAGGTGGAGTTTGCAGTGACCCGAGATCGCACCACTGCACTCCAGCCTGGGTGATACAGCGAGACCCCATCTCAAAAAAATAAAATAAAATAAAAAATAAAAAAAATTATAAATGTCAGTCTACCAAAATAGATTAAAAGTGTAGGTGGGAATTAAATGGGGATAAACACTCAATAAATGTTAGCTATATATGAATATTGCCAATACTGAAAAGATTCCATTGTTCAAAAAAGTTTGAGAAGCAATGGGTTAAACAAAATGGAACCTGCTCTGCAGAATCTGTGTGTTCCTTTACATCATACTCTCCATGGTAGAGTGTAGGGGATGGGCGCCATGTCTCCCTAGTACGTTTGACCTTGGGATTCTTTGTCTGTGAACATCTTTGGGTTCTAGTGTTCAGCAGCACTTAGGGAGGCACTGAATTCAGTGTACCTTTGGTCTAGCCTCAGCCCTGATTCTGTTCTGCGGTGGGCCCTGGCCTTCAAGAGAACAGATATCTAAAAGTTGAAAGAAAAGATCGGCCGGGCGCGGTGGCTCACGCCTGTAATCCCAGCACTTTGGGAGGCCAAGGCGGGTGGATCACAAGGTCAGGAGATCGAGACCATCCTGGCTAACACGGTGAAACCCCGTCTCTACTAAAAATACAAAAAATTAGCCGGGCGTGGTGGCGGGTGCCTGTAGTCCCAGCTACTCGGGAGGCTGAGGCAGGAGAATGGCGTGAACCCGGGAGGCAGAGCTTGCAGTGAGCCGAGATTGCGCCACTGCACTCCAGCCTGGGTGACAGAGTGAGACTCCGTCTCAAAAAAAAAAAAAAAAAAAAAAAGAAAAAAGAAAAGATCAACACATCCTGTTGTGTTATTCTGAAAGGAAAGCTGTCTTAAGAGGATCAATTGGTTTTAGAAAAAACACAATAGAATCACAAATAATCCAGAGGAGAAATAAAATGTGGAAGGTGGAGGTGACCTCCAGAAAATCCAGGACAGCTGCTGAAGGCACCCTCTGATGAGCTCGGTTACTCAGAAGAGTGAGGATGTGTTGAAGGTATCTGCTGTATGGAGTGGCAGGATGATGTCTGTGATTGAGAAATATAATCCCGGCCAGGCGAGGTGGCTCATGCCTGTAATCCCAGCACTTTGGGAGGCCGAAGCGGGTGGATCCCCTGAGGTCAGGAGTTTGAGACAGGAGTTTGAGGTCAGGAGTTTGCCAACATGGCAAAACCCCGTCTCTACTAAAAAATACAAAAAAAATCAGCTGGGCATGGTGGTGCGTGCCTGTAATTGCAGCTACTTGGGAGGTTGAGGCAGGAGAATAGCTTGAACCCAGGAGGCAGAGGTTGCAGTGAGCCGAGACCGCGCCACTGCACTCCAGCCTGGGCAACAGAGTGAGACCCCATCTCAAAAACAACCCAAAAAACCAAAAAACAAACAAACAAAAAGAAATATAATCCCAGTAGCCCCAGCTGAGCTGGAGGATGGAGACCACTTGGTAGACACTTGTGGATTATTTCCTAGGCTAAATGCAAAAGCTACTGCTGAATAAGGGACATTTTTTTCCAGTCCCAGGCCAGTAGCGACATAGATTTCAGAGTGATCTCTGTGAGATCCTGAAGATCCTGACTGCAGAAAGTAGTGAATTGTCTTCTCTCACCCAGTTTTGTGACATTCCCTTTTCATGCCATTAGGATCTGGCCCCTTCACCGATGTTCGTGCAGCTGTTTACCAACCGCAGCCTCACCCCCAGCCTCCTCCCTATGGCCACTGTGTCACAGACAGTGGTGTGGTCTACTCTGTGGGGATGCAGTGGCTGAAGACACAAGGAAATAAGCAAATGCTTTGCACGTGCCTGGGCAACGGAGTCAGCTGCCAAGAGACAGGTATGCATTATCTTTTTGAAGAATAGGACTGATGACTTTATTATTTAGTTTTTGAAGGACAATACATTTTCAATGTGAAACAATAAAACAAACAAGAAGCCTGTAATCTTACCACCCTGTGATAACAATTAGGGTTGGCATTTGAAATAGTTTCTTCCAATCTTTTTAATTTATGTATTTTCTTTCTGGTCATGGATATCATGGGTAAAAATTTTATTGTATTTATCTGTCTAAAGTGTTGTTACAAGAGAGCTACTTTCTGAATAATCATCAATGTTTTATATTCTAAATCTCAAATTTCAGCAGCTTTGTGATGTAAACATCTTCCAATAACCTAATATATGTATTCTGCACTACAAACATGGTAGTCACTATGGCAATAACAATTGCTACACAATTCTCCCCCAGAATAGTCTCATATATTAATTTTATGGCATAGATATAGTCATAAATATTATCCCAACATCCTTAAGCAGCATCCTTAATTGACCTGTATAAATATAGCTTTACAAATAGAGAAACTGAGGCATGGCAGCAGAAGTGGTCATGAAGGACATCAGCAGAAGAACTCAGGTGTCGTTCTATCCACAGTAGACATGGATTCCTGAGTAATGCATTTTGACTGAAATTAACGAGATGATCATCTATACTCATAGCTTCTTCCTTTGAGGGCACAAGCTCAGTATCTCATTGAAGCCATAAATAAGCAGCTGCTGGTGGGAGATAAAGCATCTCTGTTTACTGACACTCTTTTGATTATGATTGTAGCTGTAACCCAGACTTACGGTGGCAACTCAAATGGAGAGCCATGTGTCTTACCATTCACCTACAATGGCAGGACGTTCTACTCCTGCACCACAGAAGGGCGACAGGACGGACATCTTTGGTGCAGCACAACTTCGAATTATGAGCAGGACCAGAAATACTCTTTCTGCACAGACCACACTGGTGAGTGTCCCAAGGGGGAGCCACAGAAGTGAGAAAAACTCACTTTCATGCCCTAGTTTTATTTGCCAGCATTCTAGCCATTTATTTTGAACCCGCCCAAGAAGCATCGCTTTTGTTCAGTTTGGACTCAAGAGATCGCAGCGCTCACGTAACAGCTGAGGATTCTTCCATCTTCCCCAGTACTGTTGGGAAATGACACCAAGGGAGTAGCCTTCCAGTTCATTTGATTTAACACATTGGGATTATGATGTGATTAAAGATACTTGTATTTTGGAATCAGTAGATGATCCCACAGGGCTGAGGAATACAAAGGATGAATGTTTTAGTGCCTTAGCTTATTTTCCAGTTAAAACAATGTTTTATTCAAAGCTATCATTTAATCTTTTGTGGGGGGGGTGCTGGGGAAATGACAGTGAAAGTGGGATTTAAACCTGTTTTGAAGGTGTGAAGGTAAATATGCTAAGAAGCTTAGAACTATATTATCAGACATTTTTTATTCTGAGATAGACTGTCTGTGAATGAGCTGCAGAAACCTGGCTCTCTCAGACCAGTAATTCTGTGTACATTGGAAAGCTCAGCGGTAATCTTTTCCTTCTTTGTTGTGTATTGTTCCTGGCAGTTTTGGTTCAGACTCGAGGAGGAAATTCCAATGGTGCCTTGTGCCACTTCCCCTTCCTATACAACAACCACAATTACACTGATTGCACTTCTGAGGGCAGAAGAGACAACATGAAGTGGTGTGGGACCACACAGAACTATGATGCCGACCAGAAGTTTGGGTTCTGCCCCATGGCTGGTAAGATGAAGCCCTTGTGGGTTGTCTTGTTTGACAACAATTTAGGGAGTAGAGACTAAAGACTAGTGTCCAGTTTACTCCCATTTCATTCATTAACACAATTTTGAGACAACAGAAAACTTCATGTGAAGTGTGTTTGTGTGTGTGTGTGTGTGTGTGTGTGTGTGTGATGTTACATCATATACATAAGGATTGGGAAGAATAATTAGATAATTATTTATATAATTTTTAAACCTCATTGACATGATTTAATGTCAAAAATATAATTACTTATTTGTAAGTCTGGAAATATGAATTTGCACAGGTTTGTCTTTGTAAAGAGCACACAACTGAGTAGCTTACAACATTTAATATATGTATGACGGCTTTAGTCACAGAGCTACAATATTGACACATGGTTGTGGTTTGATGGGCATAAGCTCTATCACTTATTAATAAGTGCCAAAGTGACTAAAACTCAATGTTTTCTAACAGGTAGGGAATCTCACTCTTTTTTTAAAGGTCCCCAGTTTGTATAGATGGCGAACAAATGGAAACGAATACCTTTTACTTGTTTTCAGATTTCAAGAACCCCATAGATTCCCTTTAATTTTCCAGTTGTAGAAACAAGAGCCTGGGCGGTAGGCACTGTCAAGTGTGACTATGAGACAAAGAAATTGCTTATACTTTTATTTCTTTCAACAAAAGAAGATGCTGAGTTTAGAAGAAAAAACCCACTTTTGCTTGTAATTCTATATCCAAACCCATAGTTTTTATTTGATCCAGAATAAACTGGAACTGGGAAAAGTTATGAAGCTGTAGTTAAATCCAGGCTTCTAGAACAGCAAGAACCCTTTGTGTGGATGTGTAGATATTATCTTAGTTTAACATCCCCTAACCCTTCCTGTAACTATTTTCTATGACACGTTTGGACTACGTTTTCTGCCTCCAGGGCTCAAAAATTCTACCCCTTCACCTGACAGCACTTAGATGTCTTTGATGCACACAAAGCTTCTTCCCAAGTGAGAATTCTTAGGATGACCAAACTGAACTGATCCTTTTGCACACATACATGTTTAGACCTGGTGATCATTTATCAAGTGCATTTCTTATCCATTTCCAAACAGCCCACGAGGAAATCTGCACAACCAATGAAGGGGTCATGTACCGCATTGGAGATCAGTGGGATAAGCAGCATGACATGGGTCACATGATGAGGTGCACGTGTGTTGGGAATGGTCGTGGGGAATGGACATGCATTGCCTACTCGCAGCTTCGAGGTATGCTGGCTGATTAACAAAAATATTTGAGATGGCAAAAGGTACAGAAAGGGACACTTTTTTTTATGAAAACTTGCACTATGCCAAAAGCAGGGGAAGAAATATGGAATGCCACGTCATTCATTAGTCTACTGTGCATGGTAAGATAAGCCTGAAAGGCTTAGCAGGCAGCCTGCTAAGACAAGCGGCATAGCAATGCTAATGTTCTGAAACACTCCTAGCATGTAAGTACTTAGGCTGAGCCAAAAAGATGGCTTCAAAAGTAAGAATGAAACATTTGATCCATTCAGCTTTAGGCTATGCCACTGGATTCATGTCTAGAAAAGATAGGATAATTTCTGTAAAGAAATGAAGACCTTGCTATTCTAAAATCAGATCCTTACAGATCCAGATTTCAGGAAACAAATACATAGGGGACTAACTTTCCTTGTTCAGATTAGTTTTTCTCCTTTGCACCCAGCTATATAATATGAGGAAGTATTGACTTTTTAAAAGTGTTTTAGTTTTCCATTTCTTTGATATGAAAAGTAATATTTCGGGAGAACCCTGAGCTATTAATAATCTATGTGGCTAGTGCGTAGATATTGGTCTGAATTTGTTCTCCTTTTGTGGTGTCCAGTGGGTAACACCATCCGGGAGTAATAATTACATGTGGTGTTGCAGAACTGAAAGAGACCTTAATAACACATAGAGACCTCACTCTATATAGATCAAGGAGCTGAGACCCAAAAAGGAAAAAGTAATTTTCTCAGGATCTCTCAAAGAGTGAGCAACAGAGTTGGCCTAATTTATTTTAGCGTTGTGAATACTGTTGACATTTTATTTCCCAAATCTAAGTATCTCCTCCCCTTCCCCCTATTCCAGAGACCAGACCACCACATCATGCTGGGTGTTAGATAAATATGTTTAATCTTCTTCTTATTTATCCTAACAAGCAGATATTTAAAGGAAATTATCAACTAAGCAAGAAATTTTCAGAAAGTAAGACATGTATTTGTTCAAATACTGGCTTCTCACAGGAAAGTGTATTTTACCACATTCTTTACTTGAGCATACTGTAACCTCTGCAAAAGTTACACATTTTGGGAAGAAAAAAATTTTTTTGGCAAAAATTGTATTACTGACCAAACTTTGAAAAAAATGTTATTCTATGCTTGTAGAAAAGTTATTTTAGTGGAAGGTGTTGATAATTAAGTGGAAGTAGTTGTATGCTTTGAGAAGCATACCTTTTTTCTTTCATCAATGGAACTTTAAAAAGTTTCTCACTCACCCACCTGTTTCCTAAACAGATCAGTGCATTGTTGATGACATCACTTACAATGTGAACGACACATTCCACAAGCGTCATGAAGAGGGGCACATGCTGAACTGTACATGCTTCGGTCAGGGTCGGGGCAGGTGGAAGTGTGATCCCGTCGGTGAGTAGCCCTATTTCCCTAGATGAGTTTGCACAGGGGGAATGGTTAGCAAGTTTCAGATAAGAAAAGCTATGTGAAATCACATGACTGAAGTTGGCTCCAGACTTTGATCAGTTGCTTGCAAAGAACTTTGCAAAGTCTTCTCTCTAATACTGGACCAAAATATCTCGATATTGGTAGTCGTCTGGTTTTTGCTGAATTTGGTGACAAATTTAGGCTTATTTTAATTGAATGGAATTTATTCTTGGGTTTAGAATCATAAAGATAATCCATGCTATTAAAAGTATTCTTTCCTTTTTTTTTTGTTTGTTTTTGTTTTTGTTTTTGTTTTTTTGAGAGAGAGTTTCGCTCTTGTTGCCCAGGCTGGAGTGTATGGCACAATCTCGGCTCACTGCAACCTCTGCTTCCTGGGTTCAAGCAATTCTGCTGCCTCAGCCTCCTGAGTAGCTGGGATTACAGGCATGCGCCACCAGGCCCAGCTAATTTTGTATCTTTAGTAGAGATGGGGTTTCTCCATGTGGGTCAGGCTGGTCTCAAACTCACTTCCTTACCAGCTGTGTAACAGCATGAGCAAAGGGTGTAAATATCACCCACCAAAACACTCTAGGTTTTTTTTTGGCCGCCCTTCAAAATAGAACTAAGCAAATAGTGAAGGCTGAGCCTTAAAAGAGCTGTGTTACCAGCACTACAAAGTTTAAGGTGATCCATTACTATTTCTTTACCAAAAGAGACAGGTTGCTCACTGAGAAAACAAACTGATAACATCCGTTTGTTTGACGTGAGATTACCAGAACTGAGAGAGAAGCCTGAGAGGTTTTCTTAGAAGCTGCTCAGCAGGTATACTCGTAAAGTCTAGTTCATTCATTTAAATGTCAAACAGTTTCTTTAAATTTTGAAGAAGTAAGGAAAATGAAATTATTGCAGATTTTTTTCTTGCTATTTAAATGTTAAGCCAGTTATATTAATATGGGTAAAAATAATAACTAATATTTAAAATTAATGTGTAGATTATCAATATACACTGAAATCTAAATCTTTACATTTTTATTTAGAAATATTACCTTTTAGAAAACTAAATATTCCTCCTAATAGGTACTTTGGTTTTTTTTTTACTACAAACTGTCCTGTAAGGTAAAGAATGTGAACAAAATATTTTTTTAACTGCATATATTTGTAAGAACAATTGCAAATTTCTATTTAAGCTAAATGTATGCTCTAGCACCCTGAAATTAAATTCGTAGTTATAAGTCTTCAAGGCTGTTTATCTTTTCCTTCCATGTATTTTAGACCAATGCCAGGATTCAGAGACTGGGACGTTTTATCAAATTGGAGATTCATGGGAGAAGTATGTGCATGGTGTCAGATACCAGTGCTACTGCTATGGCCGTGGCATTGGGGAGTGGCATTGCCAACCTTTACAGACCTATCCAAGTAAGTAGCTCTATTACTGCAAGTTGAGAACTGCCAATTGGGTTATAACAACAGGGCAGTGATTATTAATGCTCTCATGCCTAAGTTGGGGGTCTCCCCTCTTTCCCACCCTTTTCTCTTGTTATTATCTAATAATCAATTGAATTTTTGATTAAAATAATTTTTCTCTCTTCCTCTATCAAGTAAAAGGTAGAGAAGGCTATGAAAATGTGCCTGTTTATAATTTTACTTCTTAACTCTGTAAAATATTCTGTTAGGTTAAGACACTCTGGCTAATTTCATCTTATATCCATACATGGAAATAAAAACCACCAAGTGAGTTATGCTGGGAGTAAAGGTTTGGGGCTTTATATTATGATTCTTAACAGAGAAGCTGCATAGAGAGATGGCATGAAATGCAGCATAAGGTACGTGTTCATTCAACATGTCATCTAAGCTCCCTTTGCATCAAACTTTTCATTTGTTTGATCAGTTGCCACCAGGAACACAGTATGTTGGGCCAAGGGTTGAGTAACTTGGTCAACTCTCTGCCCACACAGTTCAAACACTCTCAAATGTTTATTGCTGGGTTTTTCCAGGTCACAAAGACATCATGCCTAGCTGTAGGTGTAATTAGTTCATTTGGGGGGAAAATTGCATTTAAATATTCACTGAGTGATTATAATAAAACATGTTAATAAAACATGAAAGGCTAATTAAAAGGCATCAGTTATTTGAGCAACTGCTGAGGTGCAAAGTCTCCAAAGTCTTCACTAACGTTTGACTGAAAATATGGCCTACATTCAGAAACAAAAGAGTTTCAGGGTGTCAGAATCTGCATGCGACAGAAATTAAGATTAACTCTGTGATAAAAGATTCACTGTGACAGAGAACAAGCTATGGGAACAACTTGGCCAAAGGTAGTGTTAGCCAAGCCTCATTCCTCCATTTCCTCATCTGTAATATGGGAAGATTGTAGCTGATTACCTTTAATGTTCCATCCTAAATACTAAACACCCAGATGCACCTTTTCTAGGAACTTGGAAGATTCTGCTTTTCCCAACCCTCAGACACTGTCAGTGCTGGGGAAGGTGACTTCACTTTTGAAGGCTTATAGCACAGATTGACCAACCTCCTAAATTGTATTTCTTGGAGGATTTAGGTGTAGGAATCACTTAATTTTTTGTAACTTAATATATATTTAAATCTGATTGTGGAAGTACTATAAGTATATGAATGGTTTGTTTGTTTATATGATGCAAATGATACTTAAATGGTAGAAACTTCTAAAAAAATGCTCTGTGGTTTCTATATTTATGATTGTTATTGGTGTTGCAATTTGCTGAAAATGATTTCCTTCTGAATGATTGAGAGAGATCTTCGTCTCTCTCAACATAAGGCTGTCCACATAGCTGCTTGCTGGAAGCATTTAGGTGGACATGTTGGAGATAAAATCTGGAAAGGAAGGAATCCTTGAGTATTGGAGTATTACATGTTGACCTTACTCCTACTCTTTAAAAAGGAGAACAGCAAGATCCCACTGAGCATAGAGGTGATTTCGGAGGGAAGAGATTGGAATTTGACCTCAGATATGCTCTTTGGTGCTTATCTGTATGTCTGGTTTGCTCCGTGGCCTAGCACGTAGGGCTTTAAGAGTGTGGTGAGAATAAGGGAACAGCAGATTACCAACAGATTGTCTCTGAGTCCTGCCTTGTTTGTTCCTCCTACAGAGAACTTGGTAGAGTTGTTCAAACTAGCAAAAGATAAGAGGCATTTGGTTTGTCAATAAGCAACTAGAAAAGCACAGATCTCAGCAAAATAAATAGAGAAAAAAAGGACTGAGTCAAAAAATCATAAATGTTTAACTTCTCCAAGGACACTACTATTGGAAATTATTCATTTAGACTTTATTTGAAACTAATTTTAAAAGTGTAGACATTGTACTATCTCCTTTTTTTGGTATCATCTCAACTATTTTATTGTTAGTTTATTCATATTGAATAAGAGAGGGAGTAAAGATTTCACAATGGCGATAGCTAGTATATGCCAATTAAGTTAATTTAAAAAGTTATACCAACTACCAGTAGCGAAAAAGGACTGTCAAAAGTTTAAATCTAAATAATGTAAAAGATGTCATAATTTTTAACTTTTCTGTCTTTAAAGGATACATAGTATAAGCTAGAGTAATTATACGTAGTATAAGCTAGAATATAGGAATTTAATTGATCTAAGAAATAACTGACACAAAGTCTCTTTACTTCCTGAACAAAAACATGCTAAATTCCATGCTGTTCAGTCCATTTCCTTTAAAGGTGGGCTATGCCACAGGGCTAGATTTTAAAACGTGGAATTTCACACCAGTGCTCGAAATCTTATGAAAGCAAAAGGGACCTCTGTAGTTGTACTCCACTTTGGCTTGAGTAAAAACCACTGCTGTACCCTTTTTCTTTCCTTTCCCTGCCCATTTTTATCCTCCTCCTTGTGTCCTTGTGGACATAGAAATATGATTAGGCTTAGAGGTGAACAGTAAAGGTCATTTATGTTATCTTTTCAAAACTTAATAGACATTTATCCATCATAAGCTTGTCCCCCCTCAAAATCATGATTGACAAGACTAAATAAAGTGTATATCAGGTGTCTCTTTATGGAGGAAATTGTAGTAGGATTTATTTAAAGGATCAATATTTAAATAGCCCTATGCCAATTATCATAAATAATTAAGGACATGATATTCCTAGCTTTCCTGATTTACATGGAAGTACGTTAAATAGTCACATCTCCAAAATTTTTCTTGAATAGTTGTCTTTAAAAATGTGTTTACATTTGTAAGGATCTTCATAAACAGAAGGGGTAATTCAAAGATAGGCATGGAATTGACTTATGCCAATTGATTAAAACAAACATCCTGTGTGTTCTGTGAAATACATACAACTTTAAAATGAAAAACTCATAATTTTATGCATGAATTTTGGTGTTCATGTGGCTTGGAAATATGTGCATTAAATGGAATTAAGATTCAAAGTATTTGCTAATCTTCAACCAACTTTGAATTGTTACTGGTGTGGAAGTGAGCATATTGTTTTAGAATTTCTGAATCTACATGGATATCCAAGTTATATATTTTTTCTGCTACAGAAAGCTTTGTTTTCCAAGAGAATTTAATGGCTTAGATAATAAAGTTTGAAAATCAATGTATTTTTTTTCCTAGAAGCTTTCAGAAAACTTAAATCTGTTAATAATCTGGTGAAGTGCTTTATTACACATACAAAATTTTGCTCTGTTTGACAGAGTGTCAGTTAGAAATTCTTGAAAAGGTTACTATAAGACACAATTTTTATTTCTAGTAATTTAAACATTGACTGACATCATAAAGATAGTGTTTTAAGAAAAGATAGTTTTCTGTTCTGCAAGCATAAATTTTCTAGCTATTTCATTATTATCTTAAATGGAGTTAACACTACTTAGAAATTGATGCTACTTCCCTTATTTTCCTTTTATTTTAAACAAAAGAACCAAAACCATACTTTAAATTTTGTTGATAACAGTGATATACATCAAGGTGTAGAAATACTGAATTTAGTATACACTTCATAAAGTCATTTCTGTTGACAACTGATTTTGGAAAAAAAATAAATTTAATCACTTAATAATTTGATGGATCAATGGTGTGATTTGGGAGTAAACTTCTTGAATAAAAATAAAACTTGATGTTTTTTCCAAACTGATAGACTGCTTAGACTGATGAGAAATAAAACTAGGTCTTTAATTATTACCTTTGCTATTTGTCTAAGATTCTACCCCCATTTAGAAATGTGTTTGTTTTACATCATCTCATATGGCCTTTGGAATGTTGTTTCCTTCTTAGGTAGTAGATTCATTCTTGATGAAAACCTTCCAAAATTAGAATTTGCTTTAAAAGAGGCTCAATACAATAAGTAAATGAAGTCTGTGTTCTGTATTACATTATTTTTGTAGGATCGTTTCACAATTTTCTCACAATTCTTACTTTGATAGTAGAGAAAATAAAAGCAAGCCAAGAGACTTTTTTTTAAAAATATATTTTATTTGCTATAAACAACTATGATTTGCATTTCTCATGTGAAGAATAATAATTATCGGCTAAAAATGGATTTGCTGCATTGATTTTCAACGTAAATATTTAAAAGATTAATGCCAGATAATTTTATTATACTCACATTTAACGACAAGCAAAGCTGTTTATAATGATGACTGTCCATGTACACAGTTTTAAGTTGAAGTGAGTGAATATTCAAGATAATTAAATGCTACATTTTCATTTTCAGGCTCAAGTGGTCCTGTCGAAGTATTTATCACTGAGACTCCGAGTCAGCCCAACTCCCACCCCATCCAGTGGAATGCACCACAGCCATCTCACATTTCCAAGTACATTCTCAGGTGGAGACCTGTGAGTATCCCACCCAGAAACCTTGGATACTGAGTCTCCTAATCTTATCAATTCTGATGGTTTCTTTTTTTCCCAGCTTTTGAGCCAACAACTCTGATTAACTATTCCTATAGCATTTACTATATTTGTTTAGTGAACAAACAATATGTGGTCAATTAAATTGACTTGTAGACTGAGGGGATTTTGGTTTTGGTTTTGGGTTTTGTTTTTTTGCGGTGGGGGGGCTGGTATTTGGAAGAATTTAGCTCTTTATGTTACAGAAATCTTTTTTGCAAGGACTTAGAAATGATAATGCTTAAGATTGTTCTTGCCCAATGTGGGAAGAGAATCTAAGGTTTTTATATGTCTTGCAACCTCATCAAAGGAAAATTACTGGCATCATTTTCATAATTTGAAAAAAAAAGCCAAATTAATATATTTCTTTTTTGATTCACTTTTTAAGTGATCATTTTTAAAACTTTACTTTTGACCCACTGAATTTATTTAGATAGAAGGAAAAGAGATGATGGGAGGGAAGTTTAGATAAAGGATGGAAGTTGGTTTTATTTAAACAATAGCCCTGTGATTTCCTAATGAGAAGTGACTAGAAATTGAAGAAACCAAATAAGGAGGATATTGGTCAATTTAGCTTTAGTTTCTCTTACTCTCTCAAGCCTGCCCTGTTTAACTCCAAAGTTCATGGCTCATAATTTGAGAAACACTGTTTTAAACACAGGAGAAAAAAATGTCCATTTTAAATCATAGCTATTGAATTCTACAATTACAAAGAAACAAACAAACAAAATTTGACCAACCCAGGCGGTTAAATTTAAACTCTTCAGGAAAAATTTAAGCTGTTAAAATTATTCTTTTTCTAAATTTCTAAAGTGGAGGGACAGAATTTTTCAGATTTAAAAGGGCCTCCTAGGTGCCCAGAAAATTAGTGGAAAGAACCACGTCTAGACGCATCTTTGATGTGTCAGAGTTCCAAGGATAAAAAGAAACTTTTAAAGTCTTCTATACTCAGCCAGGTTATCAATCAAATATGAGGGCAAAATAATATTTTCAGACAGATTTTAGGCAGTTTATCTTCCATATATCCTTTTCTTTAAGGGTATTTGTAGATACACTCCAGAAAAACAAGAGTGAAATATGAAGGAAGTTGTGGGGTCCAGCAAACAGTGCTTCCAAATCAGACCCCTGATAGAGGTGGAAAACTTTGCAATGCAACAACTGCGTAGCTGGCTTAGAGGACAGCCAATACAGATGGAACAGAAAGATGAGGATGGGATTGAGGGATCAGGGATTGAGGTCTCCAAGAATAAAAAGGGACTTCATGGAAAAAGTAGGCTTGTGGATAATTAATCACAGGGGCAAATAATGCAGTTAAAATAACAACATGACAATCAGGTGGAGGAATGTATAATAAACCCAAATGTGGCTGGGTAGAGTGGCTCACACCTGTAATCCCAGCACTTTGGGAGGCCAAGCCGGGCAGATTACCTGAGGTCAGGAGTTCGAGACCAGCTTGGCCAACATGGCGAAACCCCGTCTCTACTAAAAATACAAAAATTAGCCAGGCTTGGGGGCGCACGCCTGTAGTCCCAGCTCCTCAGGAGCTGAGGTAGGAGAATCACTTGAACCCAGGAGGCAAAGGTTGCAGGGAGTTGAGCCAAGATCGCGCCATTGCACCCTAGCCTGGGCAACAGAGCGAGATTCTGTTTCAAAAAACCCCCAAGTGTATTATAAGGCAATAATTCCTATACGAAGCAAACTAAAATGCAGCAATATTAAGGTATAAAAACAAAGAGGAATAATTCCATTGAACCTTGATTCTGGAAACTTTGATCCACCCAGCAGTCATGATGTTAGACTCATTGAAAAGAATGTATTTCTAATGCATGATGCGATCGGTCTATAGATGTGTCATGGAAACTTGGTTGCAACTTCAAGACAAAATAAAAAGTAAACATTTACATGAAAAATGGTGGATATGGAAGGTGGAGAAGAGAGGAGATAACAGCTTTATCTTTCAAAATAGAGAATTGAGAGATGGTACCAAAAGCTGATGAAGTAAAAAAAAAAAAAAAAAAAAAAGATACTTAATATAATACTTTAAATTACAAATATAAACACAAGAAGAACAAATATAATGATACAAATGTCAGACACTGGGAATGTCCAAGATTCTGGAAGGAAAGGGTGGTATTATTGAGCTAAATCCTCAACTTTGTCTGGGCACAGTGGCTAAAAATTAGCCGGGCATGGTAGCATGCACCTGTAGTCCCAGCTACTTGGGAGGCTGAGGCGGAAGGATCGCTTGAGCTTGAGAGGCGGAAGTTGCAGTGAGCCAAGATGGCACTACTGCACTCCAGCCTGGGAGACAGAGAAAGACCCTGTGTCAACATAAATAAATATATAAATAAATCATCAAGTCTCATATTAAAGACTCTGTAAATATGACTTATTGTTGACAAATGAAACAAATAGAGGTGTAAGCATGTTGTCTACATGGAGGCAAGACCAGAATAATAGAAAATGGAAACAGATTCCCTTAAAGAGGGGAATCGTGTCTTTCTCATTGGCTCAATGTAGTCTCCGTAGAGTCTAGAATGCTTCAGCACCTGGCACACTGCTTAACAAATGGTGAATGAAAAAAAAAAAAAGAAAAGTCATTCTTTTTCTTCTTTCACCCTATGTCCATAATCTGGCCATTTGCAGAACTTGATGTCCAGTGATCGAAATCAACAGCATCAGTGCATCCAATATCTTCTAGTCTCTCATCTTCTTATTACATCATTAATTTTATTTACTTTAAAATTAAGGATATCCAAAGTATTATGTGAGACCATTGCAATGGGAGACTTAAAAGTGGTATAAAATGTACTTTGGGCCAGGCGCAGTGGCTCACGCCTGTAATCCCAGCACTTTGGGAGGCCAAGGTGGGCGGATCACGAGGTCAAGAGATCGAGAGCATCCTGGCCAACATGGTGAAACCCCGTCTCTATTAAAAATACAAAAAAATTAGCTGGGCATGGTGGCGCATACCTGTAATCCCAGCTACTCGGGAAGCTGAGGCAGGAGAATCGCTTGAAACCAGAAGGCGGAGGTTGCAGTGAGCCAGGATCACGCCACTGCACTCCAGCCTGGGCAACAAGAGCGAAACTCCATCTCAAAAAAAAAAAAAAAAAAGTACATTGAATTGGAAAGTCTTCAAAAAGCAGCAGTGATGAATTTTTTGAGATTTTTAACAATTACAAAAATTCAGGGTTTTTTCTAATGGATGCCACCTGAGACTTTATTTTCTGTTATTTTCTTGTAATAACTAACCAAACAAGCTCATGTTGAAAAATGATTACTAAATTTGAGCTAATTGCAATGACTGGTTTCAAAATTTTCCACAGTGTATTTGAGTTAAAATTTCACTGTGAAGAGTACTACGATCACTCTCGCTTATTCCAAAAATATAAATGGACACTTGAGTATTTGAATTATTGAGGAAATGGTTGACTGGGTAATTTTTAAAAATCACTGGGCACAAAAAATATATTTTGACTTATATTAGTTTAGAGTATTTACACTTGAAAGAGTCTCATCTTTTCTGAAGGGTGTTTCTTTCATACACATTTTATTGCACTGAGTTTTGTGACCCATGGCATATTAATGAAGCTGAACAGGATGTGAAATATAAACTGGAAGCAAAAGATTAAATAAACCAAAATTGCATTTTTTCTGTAGTCTTGTCCAAAATTGGGTAACCACTTCTGATGGGGTAGCTCATATCCAAGAATGAGTCACAAAACCAGACTCGTTGAACCTGGTATATGATGAGTCACAAAGCAACATTCTGCCTTTGTTTTTTCAGGACAAGAAACTTGAATTGTATCCCACTGAGTTAAAAGATAAAATATATGGCATTGGCATTTCTGTACTTCAGAGAGGAATATATCTGTTTGTGGTAGGAATAAAAAATAAGTGAGAGAGGCAAAGCTTAGGTTCATCATATTATGTTACTGATATAACACAATTAACTTGGTAAAAGTGAAGGTGTGGGTGGGCGTGGTGGCTCACGCTTGTAATCCCAGCACTTTGGGAGTCCGAGGCGGGTGGATCACCTGAGGTCGGGAGTTCGAGACCAGCCTGACCAACATGGAGAAACCCCATCTCTACTAAAAATATAAAATTAGCCAGGCATGGTGGCACACGCCTCTAATCCCAGCTACTCGGGAGGCTGAGGCAGGAGAAGCGCTTAAACCTGGGAGGTGGAGTTTGCAGTGAGCTGAGATTGAGCCACTGCACTCTAGCCTGGGCAACAAGAGCAAAACTCTGTCTCAAAAAAAAAAAAAAAAAGTGAAGGTGCCCAGTGTCTGCAACTATGTCACCCCGGGCATATCACATATCACTCTGTTTTTCCGTCTGTAAAACGGGAGCAACAATGCCATTGCCTTATCATCAGAAGGATATGGAGACTAAATGGGAGAATGTAGGTAAACAGCACAGAGTATGGGTATCAGTAAGTAAACTGCAGCAGTTTGTTGATGTTAACAATAGTTAGCATTATATCTAACTATATCTAACGATATAACCATTGGGAATCCAGTTTTCCATGATTTTCCTCTAGAATGGAGCTGCCTAAGTCCTGCTTAAGTCATTTTTCTTTGAAGATTACTGAACATCATCTTCAAATGTTCATCCTTGTAAACACGTGTGTGTGTGTGTGTGTGTGTTAATTTAAATTTTCAGAAAAATTCTGTAGGCCGTTGGAAGGAAGCTACCATACCAGGCCACTTAAACTCCTACACCATCAAAGGCCTGAAGCCTGGTGTGGTATACGAGGGCCAGCTCATCAGCATCCAGCAGTACGGCCACCAAGAAGTGACTCGCTTTGACTTCACCACCACCAGCACCAGCACACCTGTGACCAGTATGTACACAACCACCCTCATGCCTCCTACCCCCGAGGTTCCTAGAGCTAGGCTCTCCTGAGGCAATGCTTTCCTTCTCAATTCATATTCTTCCAGGAGGGGCACCAACGTTTTTTAAAATGATGTTGGCGACGAGGACGGTAAATTTTCTAGATGACTGAAGGCTGACTTTCCCCTTTCTGTGACTCTCTAGGCAACACCGTGACAGGAGAGACGACTCCCTTTTCTCCTCTTGTGGCCACTTCTGAATCTGTGACCGAAATCACAGCCAGTAGCTTTGTGGTCTCCTGGGTCTCAGCTTCCGACACCGTGTCGGGATTCCGGGTGGAATATGAGCTGAGTGAGGAGGGAGATGAGCCACAGTACCTGGGTAAGCTCAATATGTCGCTCAAGACAGGTTCAGGGCAGCTGCTGGAAAACTCTCCTTGTGGGGGTGGGTGGCCTCTAGGCAGGTGGTATCTGTGGTTTGGAACTGGTTGACAGCTCAGACTGAACAAACCACCCTCTGGCATGAGGAAGGGAAGGACTGACTCTTTCTAAGAAGTGGCCGGGTTTTTCCCAAGCCACTGTCACATGTTCCTGGTCCCTGATGCCAGCTGCATCATGCGCCTACCTGTGCACAAGTTCCTACAGCAAAAGCTGTGTTCTTGGTGGAAGTAATTACCAGGACTGCAGCTGACAATGTGAGCACAGTACGGTCACTCATACTTTTCAAATTGTTATGGTGAGGGGCCTTTAAAAAACTTCATTGGCGCACTGAAGTGTGTGCCATCGTAAGCACTGAGTTCAGTGAATTTGAATTCTTATAAAGTGAACACACCACAAGACCAGCACCCAGATCAAGGAAAAGAATATCTCTCTACCCTCACCCCATCATCTTCCGCCAATAATCACTACCCTGACTCTTACTGCAGAGAGCTATTTTTAAAAATTTGGCATTCGATTACAAAAATTATACGTCTTTAGAAAAAAAGTTGGAAAAATGAAAGGAAGAAGGAGGAGGAGGAGAAAGGAGAAAGACAAGAAGTGGTGTTTTCCCATAGTACATTAATAATCACAGATTAGGTGGGTGCGGTGGCTAACTCCTATAATCTCAGCACTTCGGGAAGCTGAGGCTGGTGGATCACTTGAGGCCAGGAGTTCGAGATCAGCCTGGCCAACATGGTGAACCTCCATCTCTAATAAAAATGCAAAAAAAATAGCCGGGTGTGGTGGTGTGCACCTGTAATCCCAGCTACTCGGGAGGCCGAGGCAGAAGAATTGCTTGAACCGGAAAGGTAGAGGATGCAGTGAGCTGAAATTGTGCCACTGCACTCCAGCCTGGGCAACACAGCAAGACTCTGTGTAAAAATAATAATAATAATCACTGATTAGCTATTAGCACATTACCTTCTAGTCGCTTTTCCCTATGAATATATAATTCTTAAAATATCCTTCTTATAAGCTGTAGAGTCATTTGAGGGACTAGTTTGCTCTGATTAGTTACCTTTTCTTTTCATTTCAAAGATCTTCCAAGCACAGCCACTTCTGTGAACATCCCTGACCTGCTTCCTGGCCGAAAATACATTGTAAATGTCTATCAGATATCTGAGGATGGGGAGCAGAGTTTGATCCTGTCTACTTCACAAACAACAGGTACATGTGTGCTACATAGTGTTAAAAGAATCTTTTTCTGTAAAACACAGGCCTGTAGTAGCACTTCCTGACTGTTTGCCCCACTTTCTTTCTTTCTTAGCGCCTGATGCCCCTCCTGACACGACTGTGGACCAAGTTGATGACACCTCAATTGTTGTTCGCTGGAGCAGACCCCAGGCTCCCATCACAGGTCAGCTAAGCGTCCCCCTCTTTGGCTGCTATGTTAATCTTAATGACATCAGCAGGGAGGGCGCAGATTCTGACTGCGGACCTGCATATCACTTTAAATCTCCAATATAATTTATGGGAGAGGGGTTTGTGTGTGTGTGTGTGTGTGTGTGTGGCGGGGGTGGGGGAGTTATTTTCTATGGCACATTTCCCCTTGAAACCATTTCACCAACTCCCTTATACACACACACCACAACATACACACAACCTGTAAAGCCAGCTCATTGGCTTATTAAAGCAAGTGTTCCCAGGGTTGAAGAGGTGTAATTTCCTGAAAACGTTGCTCTAAGATTTATCCTTAAGGAGAAAGCTGAGCTGTCGTCTTAGCTCATTAGGTGATTCAACTGCCTCATCACTGAAGTTCCAAAAAGACACACACAGTGCTAGACAACTCTGCTTAGGCTGGTTCATTAATTGCTTCCCTCGTCTGGAGCTCAAAGAGGAAAAATCAGCTTAACATGAATATTTTCACCTAATGGCATCTCTAATTGACATTTATTAAGGATGTCAGGTCTTCAAGGATGACATTTATTATTAAAAAGGTTCGCATGACTGTTCTTATTTTATCTTCGTGCTGAATAGTCATTATTAGAAGAAGTGGCAATATTCAAAGAGTCAAAAAGTATCACTGGCTCTTCACTAATCAAGCAAGATGCTAAGGGATATTAGAAAAGGGAGGATTTATGGTGTTTCTAAGCCTCTGTCTCAAAGAAAACAGTGCATCTTACTTTTGCTCATGAATCTGCAGGGTACAGAATAGTCTATTCGCCATCAGTAGAAGGTAGCAGCACAGAACTCAACCTTCCTGAAACTGCAAACTCCGTCACCCTCAGTGACTTGCAACCTGGTGTTCAGTATAACATCACTATCTATGCTGTGGAAGAAAATCAAGAAAGTACACCTGTTGTCATTCAACAAGAAACCACTGGCACCCCACGCTCAGGTAACTTTTTTAAGAAGACACTTCCTATGTTATCTTATCAGGATTGTTCCTGAAGGAGGGTTGTTTTGTCTCTGTCAACAGTCCTCTCATTCAAGAAATCTTATATATTAGTTTTTCCCTAAACTTCTGATATTTAGCTGAAATGTCATAAGTAACTTATCAAAGCTGGCTACTGGCCTTTCTGATTAAAAACTGACACCATAACGTCCATCTACAAATTTTCCCCTAGAAGCTTAAGGGTCATTTCATTTTTGATTCTTAAGTATTATAAAATGATTCAGTAAAACAAAAACTGTTACATTATTTTCTGCAGTTATTTCAAAGGCTTTTTCTAAAAAATTTTTTAGTATCTTTTCTTATAACCCTCTCCCCCCACCACCATATGACACTTCATATGCTGGTAACTCACTTATTACCTATTTTAGATAAAAGGTTCAAATGTCATAATTTAAGCACTATGACTGGACCATGAAAATGTGATCTGATTAAGAGACAAAACTTAGCAAAACTCTCGAATGAGAGGCTCAATGAACTGCCTAACATATCCAAGAAACTGGCTTCTTAAAAGTAATCTTCAGCAGAGAATGTGAATGACCAGTTGACTCTTGTCTGTCAGATACAGTGCCCTCTCCCAGGGACCTGCAGTTTGTGGAAGTGACAGACGTGAAGGTCACCATCATGTGGACACCGCCTGAGAGTGCAGTGACCGGCTACCGTGTGGATGTGATCCCCGTCAACCTGCCTGGCGAGCACGGGCAGAGGCTGCCCATCAGCAGGAACACCTTTGCAGAAGTCACCGGGCTGTCCCCTGGGGTCACCTATTACTTCAAAGTCTTTGCAGTGAGCCATGGGAGGGAGAGCAAGCCTCTGACTGCTCAACAGACAACCAGTATGTCTTCTCCTATCTCTATCTCCCCTCCAAATTCTCCACCCTCACTTGCAGCCTGTGAGAAAGTGCAGTAAACCATTCACTCAGAGGTGTATGGCTTAGAGAGAGGGAAATACCCAGCCGGCAAGGGAATGCATAGTGAACACAAAGCACATTAAACTTGAAAACAAAACTCAGACAAGCTCCATGGATGCTAAGTGGTAACCCATTTCTAAAATACATGTACCAGCTGAAGGGTACTAAGAGGGGAGAACTGAAGAGAATCTAATTTGAGTGCATTTTTCGTGTAACTAAATATATCTAGATCAAAGTTAAAATGCAGGATCATAACACTTAGAGTAGAATTCATTTAACAATAGCAATTGTCAAGTGTCTAGTATTACTAGCCACCAGCTTATCTGCTCAGTTTTTACAAGCATTATTCTCATATTTACTCTTTGTTTTGACCTTAGGAAGGAAGGTCTTATTATTATTATTTTATTTATTTATTTTTTTGAGATGGAGTCTCGCTCTGTCGCCAGGGCTGGAGTACAGTGGCACCATCTCAGCTCACTGGAACCTCTACCACCTGGGTTCAAGCAATTCTCCTGCCTCAGCCTCCCGAGTAGCTGGGACTACAGGCGTGTGCCACCATGCCCTGCTAATTTTTGTGTTTTTAGTAGAAATGGGTTTCGCTGTGTTGGCCAAGCTGGTCTGAAACTCCTGACCTCAAGTGATCCACCCACTTTGGCCTCCCAAAGTGCTGGGATTACAGGCGTGAGCCATCGTGCCCAGCCGGAAGGTCTTACTAGTATCCGTATTGAATACTTAAAGAAACTGAGGCTTTAAAAAAGTTCTGCAACTTGTAGGGTCACAGAGATAGGAAGGGATAGAGCTGGCTCTATAACCTATGTCCGAAGCCCATGCTCTCAATTATTATACTCGACTGCCTCTTAAAGATTTCCTCTATTTGAAAGGTAATTTAAATTTCGGTGGGAAAACTGCTGGTTATTATTCTCAAGAATAAACTCCACAACTTATGTGATTCTGATAGTGCAAACTCACCAGTATCCTACCATGAATCTGAGGATACGTTATCATTACTGTAATTACTGTCTAATCTGAACCATGTGAAAATAACTTTTATTTCTCTAGCAAAGGGCTATTCACAGAATATTGCTTTTGACCCATAGAGAGCTTCTTCTTGCTGTCATTTTAGGAGGCATATCCCTTTTTCCTTAATCTGTTTGGCTCAGAGCTAACTGTGAACTTCAGAAGTGTTTGTTTTGCCTTTTTAAAAATACCATTGCTTTAATGTAACTATAATTTCTGAGACTGATGCGAAAGTCTTGCTGGAAAATTAGACTTCCCAAAGGATCACAGTCAAGCAAAATGGTTCCACAATTTCTCATGACTGGCAGAGTTTTGGCAAAGTTTTGTGTAGCACTCAATCTCTTACTGGCTCAGTTTTTCCAGGGTTTTGACTTTCACATAGTTACAACCTTGAGGAGAGAAAACTTAGACATTCAATCAAGTTTCAGGACTTGAGTTATGATCATTACTGATCTAAATATTTCTTGGCATGTTTCATCTTTTTTCCTAGAACTGGATGCTCCCACTAACCTCCAGTTTGTCAATGAAACTGATTCTACTGTCCTGGTGAGATGGACTCCACCTCGGGCCCAGATAACAGGATACCGACTGACCGTGGGCCTTACCCGAAGAGGACAGCCCAGGCAGTACAATGTGGGTCCCTCTGTCTCCAAGTACCCACTGAGGAATCTGCAGCCTGCATCTGAGTACACCGTATCCCTCGTGGCCATAAAGGGCAACCAAGAGAGCCCCAAAGCCACTGGAGTCTTTACCACACGTAAGCTGAAAATTAAGTGCCTTTTCTTAACTATATTTACATTCTCTATTCTTCATGCTTTAAAACAAAACAAAACAAAACAAAAAAAACATTAAAAAATTAGTACATAATTTAAATCAGTGATACTAAAAATGTGCTCCATAGACTGGCTGCTGGCCCGTTAATTGTTTGCTGCTAGTCTGCAACAAGAAAAACGGTTGTGCCAGAACGTAAATCACAAAGCACACTGCTTAGTACAGCTGAGAATTTTTCTGAAGCCAGATTTTCTTGATGAAGGAAGCAGTGTGTTAATTTGCACACATTGCCAAGCTCGCTCTTTCCTCTAGGGCCAGCACTTTGAGTAACATGGGTTTAAAGCAGTCTGTTATTAGAAAAATTAAATTCGATTACATTAAATGAATTTACCAAACACTAGTTAACGCAAGAAAAAATTAGCACCTATGTCTACATTCTATTACTTTGGGCATTGAATAGTAACTATAAATGCAGAATAAAAATATCTATGGATTGAATGGGAACCAACTAATTGAACATGAAGCCAAGGAAATGATTTCTTTATGAGTGTTGGCTGCAGAAGATTAAAGTACTTTTGCAGACGGAATCGCTCTTTTCTTAAATTACTCTTGAAATTCCTCAGAGGAGAAAAATACTAACAATAATTTTTGGTCATGTCTATCCTTTTGCTCAACATTTTAAAGGAAGTGGTCTTAAATCTCCCACATATCTACATCACAATAACAACCTCTATTCACAAACCGATTCCTATTAAATACATTTCCATTTACATTACAGAGAATTATGAGACTCCTTATTTCTAGCTGAACATCATTTGTTATTTTCAACTCGACATTTTGAATTATAGAAGCACCTAACATAAGTACTTTTTCAGCATATATTCTAACCATGGACTAGTTTGCAATTTTCTAAGAGCTTTCAACAAATGTTACTCTTCGACTAATTTAAAAGTATGGATGTTAAAAAGCATTCAAAAAGTCCATACAAGCCTAGTTTGTAAATAACTATGGAATTGATTTCCCAAAGAAAATACAAACTTTTCCCCATAAGAATTCATACTTTAAGAAAAACTTACTTCCATTTAAATTTACTGTATGAAGTTTGGCTCATGAAGGCTTTTTCCTAAATAATAGTTAATCGTAAGCAAGTAAAATTCACTTTTAATTTGCAAATAAGCTTACTTGAAAATTTGGCTAAAATTTTACACGGTTCTAAGATAGTCTAAGATCTACTCTCATGAAATTAATGTCTTTATATTTCTTGTAAATATTCATTTCTTATAAATGTCCTTCAGTGAATTAGAATGGAGATTTCAGTGAATGCGCCCTTTCAGTAGATGTCGTCTTTTACTAAAATGTAGAATTCTATAGTTGTCTTGTTCATTCCTTAACATGAGACATATTTTATGTAGTTTCTTTTGTTGAACACAGTGCTTATAAAAGAAAAAGCATTTTTAATGATGCTAACAATAATTAAGGGAAGGTGGTGGGCCAAGATATTTCAAGTACTTCTGAAGACTGATATATTGGATATATTATTTTATGCTTTGCATAATACATTCATATAAAATATAATGATTTTAACTGAAGTACTGATAGCCAAAACTAATTTTATTAGATAAAGGTTAACATAGTGTCTGGAACATTGTATGCTTTCAAAAACTATTTGGTGAATAGATAATTGAGAAAGGAATAATAATAAAAACAGCTAAATGAAGCTTATATTTAAATAAACTAATGTAAGCAGGGTATTCTACAACTCCATTTGAACTTTAAGCACTCCCTAAGGCTGTAAACATCCACAAGGCTTGCATGTTTTTGAAATTACTAAATTTCTGTAGTTTTTTACTATCTTACTAAGCTGAATTCTGGGAGTAACTTTTCTGAGTTTTATAACTTGTGCTAAATTCTTAAGAGCAAATGTGAGAAAAGTTAGGGGAAAAAGCTGTTTCTGGGGAAAATTCAGCTTAGTCTTATATTGATAGGGCAAATTTTATTTCTTTAACAGCTGGGCTGTTCTTCCCTAACAAGACCTGCCAGAACCCATAGCTCACACTTAGAATCACATCCTTTGTTTGACATCGTTTGTGGGTTTGTGGTTTGGTGATTTTCCCATAATGGCCTTCCCAGGCAGAGAGCATCATCTTAAACTTGGGAAGACTCTAGGTGGCTGGCTCAAGCAATAGAAAATACCTAGTCTTAAAGCCCAGGACAGTTGAGGCGAATATAATTTGTAAAAAAAGTTGTGGTTTTCACAGATGTTCAGTGAAAGAAACTGACTGTTCTCTGAATTGTTTTTTGTGGGCCATTAAAAATGGTCACACAGGGCTGGCCATGGCATTTTGGCACAGTCACCAGCAGTCAAGTGGTGTATAATTTCAGAGGTACTAAAAGGCATCGGGTCACCCATCCCAGTCATGTCCCCCCACCCCCCACCAAACACCATCAAAATAATAACATACATAGATGAAACAGCCCACTAAACCAGTAGTACCTCAATTCAGCCATTAGAGCTATCATTATGAAGTGGCCCACACATATATTTGGCTTTTTCTCACACAATATTTTTAAAATAAAAATAAAAAATGGCTCCTTAGAATCCAGACTGAAAAAAAAATGCGAGAATTGCGATGTTGATTCTAAATTCCCACATGGCAAAGAAAAAAAAATTGACTGGAGTTGAGTTGAGACTGGAGTCTGAACACTTTTTAATCCCTGTTTGTATAACTCTGGAGACTAATTCTTTGTCTTGCCAGCCATTCATAATTTAGTATAAATGCATTCAGAGGTTTTTTCCCAATGGGAACAAAATTTGATTGAGATGTAAAGAGAGGAAGAATTGTGGAGATGTCAAACATGTGACCAGAGCTATGAACACACTTGATACCCTTGAACTTAAACTTACCCAACTCAAAATATCTGGCCTTCTGCGATCTTACCTTTCTACATTTATAATAAGATTTGCAAGGTTGTTGGAAATCTCTATCTTAACTTTATATATACATGCCTCTTTCTTTCTTTTTCTTTCCTTTCCTTTCCCTTTCTTTCTTTCTCTTTCCTTCCTTCCTTCCTTTCTCTCTCTCTCTTTTCTTCCTTTCCTTTCCTTTCCTTCCTTTCTTTCTTCCTTTCTTTCTTTCTTTCTTTCTTTCTTTCTTTCTTTCTTTCTTTCTTTCTTTTCTTTCTTTCTCTCTCACTCTCTCTCTCTTTCTTTCTTTCTTATTTTTGGTGCTAAAACCCAAAACAAATCTTTTATTTAAAAATAAGATTTTTTTTTTTTTTGGCCAGGTGTGATGGCTCATGCCTGTAATTCCAGCACTTTGGGAGGCCGAGGTGGGTAGATCACCTAAGGTCAGGAGTTCGAGACTGGCCTGGCCAACATAGTGAAACCCCATCTTTACTAAAAATACAAAAATTAGCTGGATGTGGTGGTGGGCAACTGTAGTCCCAGCTACTTGGGAGTCTGAGGCAGGAGAATCACTTGAACCCAGGAGGCTGAGGTTACAGTGAGATGAGATTGCGCCACTGCACTCCAGCCTGGGTGACAGAGCAAGAGTCCATCTCAAAAAAAAAATTGTTTAAGTAAAATTTTATTTTCTTTCTTTTTTTTTTTTTTTTTTTTTTTTGAGATGGAGCCTTGCTCTCTCACCCTGGCTGGAGTGCAGTGGTGTGATCTTGGCTCACTGAAACCTCCATCTCCCAGGTTCAGGTGATTCTCCTGCCTCAGCTTCCCAAGCAGCTAGGATTACAGGCATCCACCATCACACCTGGCTAATTTTTATATTTTTAGCAGAGACAAGGTTTCACCATGTTGGCCAGGTTGGTCTTGAACTCCTGGCCTCAAGTGATTCACCTACATCAGCCTCCCAAAGTGCTGGGATTACAGGCATGAGCCACTGCGCCTGGCCAAAGTAATATTTTCAATAAGAAAAATAACAGTGATGTCAGGATGCTAGAAAATGCAAAATAAATTTGTTATAATTCCTGATTCTGGTGATAAAATACTAAATTTTTGCAGTATTATTCTGAAAGAATAATCACGTATTTAAAGTACAAATCTTTAGACTTCAAAGTGCATCCATGGTGGCAGATTTTGTTTAACTTTTATATAGCATCTTTTATTGCAACCAAAAATAGCTGACCATTATTGTGGAATAATTCAGCGTAAAGCTTTTTTTTTTTCTTTTTTTGAGACGGAGTCTCATTCTGTCACCCAGGCTGGAGTGCAATGGCATGATCTCGGCTCACTGCAACTTCTATCTCCAGGGTTCAAGCGATTCTTGTGTCTCAGCCTCCCAAGAAGCTGGGACTACAGGCATGAGCCACCATGACAGTTAATTTTTCATATTTTTAATAGAGACAGGGTTTCACCATGTTTGCCAGCCTGGTCTCGAACTCCTGACCTCAAGTGATCCACCCACCTCGGCTTCCCAAAGTGCTGGGATTACAGTCATGAGCCACCGATCCCCGCCCAGCATAAAGCTGTTTTTAGATCACCTTCTATAATTTACCATTGTTCTTAAATTAATGGTTAAGAAACAATATGATAATCAGTTTGTGGTGGCCAGTTTTACATTTTATAAGGGATTTTACACTGACGATATAGGGAAATTTATTGTCATCAAAGTCAAATCCCAACAATCATAAAAAGACATGAATTAGATTATATAATTTCAATGAAAGGACCACCTTAGCAAACATCTAACCCCTTGTTACTCAGGTATCATTCACGGGCCAGCAGAATTGGTATTATCTGTGTTTGTCAGAAATGCAAACTCCCTAGTTTTTTGTTGGACCTCCAGAAACAGAATCTGCATTTTAGCCAGACCCCAGATGATGTGTGTGGCACATTAAAGATTGAGAAGCCTGATCCTCTCCCAATTCTCACCCAATGAAAAAATATGTTACATCCTCTATCCACTGCTTGGTTAAACTGAGGTTCTCCATAAAAATACTTGTTATCTATATGCTATGCAATCATCTGTGAGTTTGAGTTTTGAATATGTGCATTGATTCTCTCTCACAGTGCAGCCTGGGAGCTCTATTCCACCTTACAACACCGAGGTGACTGAGACCACCATTGTGATCACATGGACGCCTGCTCCAAGAATTGGTTTTAAGGTAAACTGCAGATGTTCCTAATCTCTGTGATACAGCCCTGAGCTGTCCTTGTGGTTCCCATGTAGTGGAAACAGGGTGCTCAGGAGTCAGGAGACCTGGGTTTTGTCACCTGCTTCTGTCCATACATCTTTGACTACATTGTCAGGGCCTAACAGTCCTTCCCTGCCTACCTCACTGAATTGTTGGAAGGGTAGATGGAGGCTGCGAAAGTGTTTTGCAAAGGATAAAACATTAGCACGAAGCTGCTGCTTATTGTTATCTTATTTTCTCTATCCTTTCCTGCAGGGAATTACATTTCAAAAAAACATGGGAAAACTTTATTTGATGTGTTGTTCTAAATGAGTGTGAACAAGTTCACAAAAGCCAGTTTAGGGAGACCAGTTAAACTCAGAGTCACTTAAAAATCGCATTTTCATCCAATCAGTTTCATCTCCAACTGTTCAAAGCACTGAGGGTGAATCTCTTAATAGAAGTTAAGATTAAGGTTTCCCTGTGGATATCTGGATTCATCTTCTTTAAAGTAATGATATTAGGGAAGCGGTGAATACAAATGAATATGTTTAAAAGAATTCCATTCTTTGGCATTTAGTGTGAAGAGAGAAATATTTGTTATCGCTGGAAATCATGACTCAATCCCCTTGATCGTTTAAAAAAATACACCAAAGATAAAGTTTGTAAATGGCCATATTTATGATTATGCTACTCAAATATAGAAGAACTTTCTGAAGAGTGCCAGTATACCTTTTAATTCCCTTAATAATGTCATGCTGACTTTCAGAAGCCTTATGATGTGTGAAGGATCTCTCTAGAGTTGAACACTATTGGATAACAGTGTTACCTAAGTTTTTGAAATAGAATCTTAAAAGGATTTTAAATTATGGGCATAGTTATTCTAATTCTTCTCTTGTAATGTATCATCCTGCAGTTGAAGCTATGTACATATCTCTTCAAAAGGTGTGTTTTTGCAATACAGTTGCTACAGGGGCTGGTGCCTTTAAATGGCAACTAAAAGGTTAATTGAATGTGAATAACTCGTTAAAGGGAGAGCTCAGACATTCCTTCTAGCACACACACAGAAAAATAGAAATGAACTACCATGTGACCCACAGTCCCTGTATACGTCTGGTTTGTAACAAGAGATTCTTTATCAAGCAAAACAGTATGTAATGACATTTCTCTGGAACCTTCCATTACAAGCCACCTTAATGCAGTTTGGAAGATACCTCCCCCACCTGGGGGAATTTCCAGCTAAAGTATATAAAAGAGTCCCCAAATCATTTCCCAATAAAAGTACACTGTGCAGTTTCTGAAGAGTTTACACTATTTAAAGCATAATCATAGCCTCACAGCAGTAACAGTCCTCTGGAAATATTTGTCCTTGGTGTTTACTTTGCATTCCTTCCTCTAGCTGGGTGTACGACCAAGCCAGGGAGGAGAGGCACCACGAGAAGTGACTTCAGACTCAGGAAGCATCGTTGTGTCCGGCTTGACTCCAGGAGTAGAATACGTCTACACCATCCAAGTCCTGAGAGATGGACAGGAAAGAGATGCGCCAATTGTAAACAAAGTGGTGACACGTAAGAAGAATTTTTTCCCTTTTCTATTAGTTTTTAAAACTGTTCTACTTTTCGAAAAAAGCTAGTGTCAATATCACTTTTTACTTATGAGAATGGCACAGGGGAGATATCTTATCCTTACTTATATTATTAATGCTATTCCTGAATTTGGAGTAGCAGGTTCAATTCATGCTTTATATTTTATGGCATCAGAAATGTTCTTTCCATGTCAAGAATATTTATGAACTGGCAAGATGAAAATAATTTCAATAGTATTGCAAAATCATTAATCATAAAGAAGTCTTTGTCAGAGAATTACTGCTGTCCATCATATTTTCATAATGTAACCTATATTTTTATGGGAGGGAGGGAGGGAGGGAAGAAGCATGGAAGAGAGGGAGGTAGGGAAGGAGGAAAGATTACACAGGTCAAGAGCTTTGTGTCAGCTTTGACTTTTAAAATGTTCTTTCTGCATAGCATTGTCTCCACCAACAAACTTGCATCTGGAGGCAAACCCTGACACTGGAGTGCTCACAGTCTCCTGGGAGAGGAGCACCACCCCAGGTAAGTTTGGGATGGATCAGAGGGCAAGTATACACCATACCTTCCCAAGACAAAGATTTTAGAAACTGTGTTTCTTTCAGAGAAAGAAGGGATTCAAATTACAAATGCTTAGCTCTCCATAAAAACTATAGCAGTACATGATGTACATCATGGAGCAGCCTGCAGGATGCTTTAATGCACGTTGACTTCAATCACAGGAAGCAGAACAACCTTACACTAGTCTAGGGGGACAAGACAGATCCTCACACAGCTGTAGGGCTGAAGAAAAGCACTGTGGAAGGTGGCTTTTGCTGAGTGCATTAAAAATTGCCAAACAAATGGTTGAAGTCATATTACGTAATTTCCCTTTTGTGAGTTGTTACAGAGCCTAAGTTTATTATTCCCTGAAGTTTTATGAATGTTTTGTCATGGGTTGCACCACAAATATTTAAGGGTGATGAAAGGCAGAAATACCTTCATTTTACAGAATAAGAAAACTGAGACTTAGAAAAAATTGGCCTACTCATAGTCACACATTTTAAATGTTACAAAACTGGGATTGTAACTTAAGTTTGTAGACTCCTTCTCACACCCAATGTCACATATTTGGAATGTAATTTTTTTTTAATTATATTCTATGCAAACTGAAAATTCTGATTAAGGGGTTTCCTGACCATTTTTAGAGCTTTAAATGAAGCATTTGTCTAAATTCCTTGTTCACATATATTTGAAAATTATTTATAAAATGCTAAAATGTATAAAGATAGTTGTTAACAATATTCAAACAGCATGACGTACTATAGCAATAACAGGAAATTTTAGATACCCATTACTTTTGCCAAAACCACATGGAAGTCTCAACAAACCTATGGAGAAAAATCTTAAACAAAAATAAAAGTTCCAATTAATGTTGATTGCATTCTTACCTCATATACTTGTTAATTTAAGGGATATGTTTAGGTTATTATTTAGCTATTTCTAATTTTACTGTAAAATTCTTGTGAAATTTTTGTTTAAAAAAAAGTATTATATAGTTCTTATCTTTGCCGGGGCACAGAGCTAAGGCTATCATCTCTAAATCTGATTAATGTATGCAAACACACAGAATGAAACTAGCTCAGAATATCTCTTTTAATCTCCCTCTGAAGTAGAGTGATTTTGGTAAAGTTTTCATTATCTGCGGAAACATTGTTTAAGCCAAAGCTATACAATTTCCAGCTGAGTTGCTCTGAATTTGAAACTTTAAGTTGACAATCTTCGTGCTTGTTAGCAGCAGGATCATTAATATCTCGTCTCAATGGCCCAGCCCACACATATGGATGACCACTAGCAAGTGTAATGATCTCAATATTTATTTCTCATTCAGTTGGGTTTCCTTGTATTTGCCACATTAGTGTTTACCCTGTTCCTAATGGCAAAATATTCTGTCATCTCCTTGCCTTTTATAAAGTTTAATATACTTTCTCATTTTAATCTGTCCCCACAGATCTCTAGTCATCACTGTTTTTATTTGAATGTCTCTCATCCCTCTCAACTCTTTTACTGCCCAATTTCTGTGATTCCTGAAGACTTCAACAATCAATACTCTCTTTTTTTGTTTGTTTTGTTTTTTTTTTTTGAGACAGAGTCTCACTCTGTCACCCAGGCTTGGAGTGCAGTGGCGCCATCTCAACTCACTGCAACCTCCGTCTCCTGGGCTCAAGCGATTCTCGTGCCTCAGCCTCCCCAAGTAGCTGGGACTACAGACATGCGCCACCAAGCCCAGCTATTTTTTAGATTTTTAGTAGAGACAGGGTTTTACCGTGTTGGCCAGGCTGGTCTCGAACTCCCAACCTCAGGTGATCTGCCTGCCTCAACCTCCCAATCAATACTCTTTCTAGAATAAGTATCAGCACTTTTGTTTCTCACCTTTTCTCCTTTCTTGGTTCTCTTCCTATAAATCCCATAGTTTCAGACCTTTTAAATTAGGAGAGCTCTCTGGGGAATGTGCTTAAGGTGGAGAGCGATTCTATACTAGGCAGGTAGAAAGGAATATTCCTCAGCTGTCTTCAAATGATTCATTAAGGAAAAGCAGGGTACAGTGATAGGACCATGAGATTTGGAAACAAAGAAAGCTTTGGGGAATCACTCCCCTGGTTCAAGATTTCCTTTAAAGTGAGGATCTTGGCGGAGGTTGAAGTGAGCCAAGATCACACCGCTGCACTCCAGCCTGGGTGATAGAGGGAGACTGTCTCAAAAAATAAAAATAAAAAAATAAAGTGAGGATCTTAGTACTGCCTGAAAGGATTGTTGCAAGCATTGAATAACAGTGACAGTGGAGTCCTCAGTAAATGCCAAGTCCTGCATTCCGCCCTGTGAATCCATCATTGGAGTCTAGTTAAATATGCTCTGGCTCACAGATCCTCTGTGCAATAACTTCCCTTTTCTTTTTTCTCCAGACATTACTGGTTATAGAATTACCACAACCCCTACAAACGGCCAGCAGGGAAATTCTTTGGAAGAAGTGGTCCATGCTGATCAGAGCTCCTGCACTTTTGATAACCTGAGTCCCGGCCTGGAGTACAATGTCAGTGTTTACACTGTCAAGGATGACAAGGAAAGTGTCCCTATCTCTGATACCATCATCCCAGGTAATAGAAAAATAAGCTGCTATCCTGAGAGTGACACTTCCAATAAGAGTGGGGATTAGCATCTTAATCCCCAGATGCTTAAGGGTGTCAACTATATTTGGGATTTAATTCCGATCTCCCAGCTGCACTTTCCAAAACCAAGAAGTCAAAGCAGCGATTTGGACAAATGCTTGCTGTTAACACTGCTTTACTGTCTGTGCTTCACTGGGATGCTGTGTGTTGCAGCGAGTATGTAATGGAGTGGCAGCCATGGCTTTAACTCTGTATTGTCTGCTCACATGGAAGTATGACTAAAACACTGTCACGTGTCTGTACTCAGTACTGATAGGCTCAAAGTAATATGGTAAATGCATCCCATCAGTACATTTCTGCCCGATTTTACAATCCATATCAATTTCCAACAGCTGCCTATAAAATAGTTTTGTCCCTGTATGTGAGCACTGAAACAGCATTTGGTTGACACATCTAGTTTTTCATCTTGCAGTTTCAAATCCTTCTTTTTGAAAATTGGATTTTAAAAAAAAGAAGTAAAAGTCACACCTTCAGGGTGTTCTTTCTTGTGGCTTGAAAGACAACATTGCAAAGGCCTGTCTAAGGATAGGCTTGTTTGTCCATTGGGTTATAACATAATGAAAGCATTGGACAGATCGTGTCCCCCTTTGGACTCTTCAGTAGAATGCTTTTACTAACGCTAATTACATGTTTTGATTATGAATGAACTAAAATAGTGGCAATGGCCTTAACCTTAGGCCTGTCTTTCCTCAGCCTGAATGTGCTTTTGAATGGCACATTTCACACCATACATTCATAATGCATTAGCGTTATGGCCATGATGTTGTCATGAGTTTTGTATGGGAGAAAAAAAATCAATTTATCACCCATTTATTATTTTTTAACCTTCTTCATGCAAGCTTATTTTCTACTAAAACAGTTTTGGAATTATTAAAAGCATTGCTGATACTTACTTCAGATATTATGTCTAGGCTCTAAGAATGGTTTTGACATCCTAAACAGCCATATGATTTTTAGGAATCTGAACAGTTCAAATTGTACCCTTTAAGGATGTTTTCAAAATGTAAAAAATATATATATATATATATTCCCTAAAAGAATATTCCTGTTTATTCTTCTAGGGAAGCAAACTGTTCATGATGCTTAGGAAGTCTTTTCAGAGAATTTAAAACAGATTGCATATTACCATCATTGCTTTAACATTCCACCAATTTTACTACTAGTAACCTGATATACACTGCTTTATTTTTTCCTCTTTTTTTCCCTCTATTTTCCTTTTGCCTCCCCCTCCCTTTGCTTTGTAACTCAATAGAGGTGCCCCAACTCACTGACCTAAGCTTTGTTGATATAACCGATTCAAGCATCGGCCTGAGGTGGACCCCGCTAAACTCTTCCACCATTATTGGGTACCGCATCACAGTAGTTGCGGCAGGAGAAGGTATCCCTATTTTTGAAGATTTTGTGGACTCCTCAGTAGGATACTACACAGTCACAGGGCTGGAGCCGGGCATTGACTATGATATCAGCGTTATCACTCTCATTAATGGCGGCGAGAGTGCCCCTACTACACTGACACAACAAACGGGTGAATTTTGAAAACTTCTGCGTTTGAGACATAGATGGTGTTGCATGCTGCCACCAGTTACTCCGGTTAAATATGGATGTTTCATGGGGGAAGTCAGCAATTGGCCAAAGATTCAGATAGGGTGGATTGGGGGGATAAGGAATCAAATGCATCTGCTAAACTGATTGGAGAAAAACACATGCAAGTATTCTTCAGTACACTCTCATTTAAACCACAAGTAGATATAAAGCTAGAGAAATACAGATGTCTGCTCTGTTAAATATAAAATAGCAAATGTTCATTCAATTTGAAGACCTAGAATTTTTCGTCTTAAATACCAAACACGAATACCAAATTGCGTAAGTACCAATTAATTATAAGAAATATATCACCAAAATGTACCATCATGATCTTCCTTCTACCCTTTGATAAACTCTACCATGCTCCTTCTTTGTAGCTAAAAACCCATCAAAATTTAGGGTAGAGTGGATGGGCATTGTTTTGAGGTAGGAGAAAAGTAAACTTGGGAGCATTCTAGGTTTTGTTGCTGTCACTAGGTAAAGAAACACCTCTTTAACCACAGTCTGGGGACAAGCATGCAACATTTTAAAGGTTCTCTGCTGTGCATGGGAAAAGAAACATGCTGAGAACCAATTTGCATGAACATGTTCACTTGTAAGTAGAATTCACTGAATGGAACTGTAGCTCTAGATATCTCACATGGGGGGAAGTTTAGGACCCTCTTGTCTTTTTGTCTGTGTGCATGTATTTCTTTGTAAAGTACTGCTATGTTTCTCTTTGCTGTGTGGCAACTTAAGCCTCTTCGGCCTGGGATAAAATAATCTGCAGTGGTATTAATAATGTACATAAAGTCAACATATTTGAAAGTAGATTAAAATTTTTTTTAAATATATCAATGATGGCAAAAAGGTTAAAGGGGGCCTAACAGTACTGTGTGTAGTGTTTTATTTTTAACAGTAGTACACTATAACTTAAAATAGACTTAGATTAGACTGTTTGCATGATTATGATTCTGTTTCCTTTATGCATGAAATATTGATTTTACCTTTCCAGCTACTTCGTTAGCTTTAATTTTAAAATTACATTAACTGAGTCTTCCTTCTTGTTCGAAACCAGCTGTTCCTCCTCCCACTGACCTGCGATTCACCAACATTGGTCCAGACACCATGCGTGTCACCTGGGCTCCACCCCCATCCATTGATTTAACCAACTTCCTGGTGCGTTACTCACCTGTGAAAAATGAGGAAGATGTTGCAGAGTTGTCAATTTCTCCTTCAGACAATGCAGTGGTCTTAACAAGTAAGCAGTTGAATGTATCTGTTCCATAAATATTAACCTAGAGCATAGCAAATGAATTCTAAATTCTCAAGTAGGAGGAGCTAAGAGCAAGAGAGCTGCAACCAAGCTACAAACTAAACTCTGAATTCAATGCACAGCTCCATTAATTTTGAAAGATGTAATGTTTGTTGCTATCTTAATATACTTTTGATATCTACAGCTTTAAAAAAATCATAGTGGAAAAACACCTGCAGGAAAGTTCCATGACTTCAAACAAATTCTGCTTCTAAATAAGCACGTAAAAATAAGTGAATATCAAGAGAAATTATATGACTAAATCTAAATCTTTAGAGAAAAAAATGAGAACTGAAAATAGTGTCACCATATGTGCTTTATTCTCATTTTTATAAAAAAAGTGTCAGCAGTTGATTGATTTAGGATTTGAATACTTAGAAAAGTGACTGATTGTTTGGTCTAGATTAGAATGTTGTTGTGAAGAGAGTCAGAAGTTTAATTTGTACTTCAAAAAGAATCTGTTAGAAGGATTTCTCAGAAGACTGAGAGCTTAGAAAAAAAACTGACATTAAATAAATAACAACAATTTATGGAAATTGTCTCTTTCTAGTCCCAACCATTATAGAATAGACATCTTTTGTTAAAGAATAAAACAGTAGGCTGCAAGATGGTGCTGTGTTTCACATAAACAGTGCTTTTTATTATTTTCACTGTAATAGTCAAATATATAACAACAGCAAAAGATTCTACATAAGGGAAAAATAGCTTACATTTAGGTACATTACCAAGTATTAGTCTGAAAACATCTACCTTTCAAACATAATTTAGATAATGAAACACAAAGAAGAGCAGCTCAGCGTGACCATAATCTTGGTTTCTTACTTTGTGGCTGAGGGCAAGAATATCTTTATATTGGCATATCCACCACCCCAGGGCTGTTGCTTCTGTTCTAGAGCACCCTGGAATCACTAATTACAGCATCACCCAGTATACAAGCCCCTGCATCACAATGTCTGTCCCTTAGCCGTAGACCTGTCACATGCTAATCATGTGTTCTAAGACCTTATTATAATCCTAATGCTACAGATGACCTCAGGGTAGCCCCTCTCCCTCCTAGCAAAGTCATTATTATCCTCTTTTAAAGATGAAGCAAACCAGTGCAGTGGCTCTCGCCTGTATAATCCCAGCACTTTGGGAGGCTGAGGTGGGCCAATTGCTTGAGCCCAGGAGTTCGAGACCAGCCTGGGCAACACAGTGAGACCAAGTCTCTACAAAAAATACAAAAATTAGCCGGGCATGGTGGTGCACACCTGTGGTCTCAGCTATGTAGGAAGTTGAGGTAGGAGGATCACCTGAGCCTGGGGAGGTTGAGGCTGCAGCAAGCCATGATCGTGCCACTGCACTCCAGCCTGGGTGACAGAGTGAGACCCTGTCTCAAAAAAATAAACAAACAAATAAACATGAAGCCGTCGAGGTCCCCAGCAGTTAAGTAAATTGCCACTGGCCAGCTAGTATGGTGGAAATGGAATCCAGGCATCTGGTCCTCCATTCTGGCACTTTTCCAAACTTTTGTAGGGGGCTTTATAGAAACGCTGAAGGGCAAATGGTGTGCAGGGGAATGAGGGTTTAGTGAGTAGGAGTTCCAAATTTAGAAACCTCACTCTCTGTATCTTTTAGATATACAAATATTTACCATATATTACAGTTGCCTCTAGTGTTCAGTACAGTAACATGCTGCACAGGCTCATAGCCTAGGAGCAATAGGCTAGACCACATAGCTTATAGCTTAGGTGTGTCAAAGGCTCTACCATCTAGGTTTTTTGTTTTGTTTTGTTTTGTTTTGTTTTTGAGACGGAGTCTCCCTCTGTTGCCCAGGATGGAGTGCAGTGGCACGATCTGGGCTCACTGCAACCTCCACCACCAAGGCTCAAGTGATTCTCCTGCCTCAGCCTCCCGAGTAGCTGGGATTACAGGCGTGAGCCACCACGCCCAGCTAATTTTTTTGTATTTTTAGTAGACGAGGGGTTTCACCATGTTGGCCAGGCTGGTTTCAAACTCCTGACCTCAAGTGATCCACCCTCCTCGGCCTCCCAAAGTGCTGGGATTACAAGCCCATCTAGGTTTGTGTAGGTACACTCTATGATGCTTACACAATAAAATCACCAAATCACACACTTATCAAAATGTATCTCCACCATTAAGCTATGCCTGACTGTGTATCAAAATGGAAGAAGAAGCTGGGCACAGTGGCTCACGCCTGTAATCCCAGCACTTTGAGAGGCCAAGGCGGGTGGATCACAAGGTCAGGATTTCCAGTCCAAGCCTGGTTAACACGGTGAAGCCCCGTCTCTATTAAAAATACAAAAATTAGCCAGGCATGGTGGCAGGCACCTGTAATCCCAGCTACTCAGGAGTCTGAGGCAGGAGAATCACTTGAACCCAGGAGGCAGAGGTTTCAGTGAGCCAAGATCACACCACTGCACTCCGGCCTGGGCAACAGAGTAAAACCTCGTCAAAAAGAAAAAATAATAAAAATAAAAAAAAATGGAACAAGATACTCAGGGATGTATATTTAATTTTTTAAAAAATATTCTGCTCTCATTTTAATATGGCAGAACCGATTGCTTTCTAAGTGTGGCTTTTTTCCAGTAAAGGTTAATTATTAAGACCACTAGTCCTGGCCTGGGTCAATCCCAGTATGATCCTGGGCAAGTAAATTAAAGAAGATAACTTCTCTGTGCCTCAGTTTTTTTTTGTTTTGTTTTTTGTTTTTTCATTTACAAAATGGAGATAATTGTAGTAAATCAAATTTTTAGAGGTGATAGGTTTGTTCATTTCTTGAATGCGGTGATGGTCTCCCAAGTCACACATATGTAAAAACCCATCACTTTAAAGATATGCAGTACGTTGTATGACAAGAAATTGCTTTTAAAAGGAGCAAACTACCTTCCAGGGTTGTTGTGAGGCATAAATGGCAATCCACAGCACCACAGCAAGGATTATCATGTGCCCTCCAGAGACATACTCTCAGGTGGATGCGAGAAATATCCAGCTGTTGCAGCAACTTCATCCCACTCGAAATCCAGCTGAGTCACACTCACAGGTGGAATGGAGGGCTTCGAGAGGCCATGGGGCAAGGTGACCCTTCCTTATCATCTAATTACAGACCTTCTCAAGGTCTGTTCACTGAACACTTCGCTGTAGTGTTCACTTAGGTGTAAGTAGGCTATAGGACTGGACATTTGGATATTTCATCAGTTCAAATAGTCCTGGGCGTGCTTTAGTTTCTCATGCTTTTGAGCAGAGTTTTAAAATAAGCCCCATTTGCCCCTACAGATCTCCTGCCTGGTACAGAATATGTAGTGAGTGTCTCCAGTGTCTACGAACAACATGAGAGCACACCTCTTAGAGGAAGACAGAAAACAGGTGAGTGGTGTTGGCAGTATGACTATCCAGTAGCTTTTGCCTATCAATTCTGTATAACAAATGAAATGCTACTTCTAAAAATACATCTCCATTTTTTGTTGTCATGGTGTGTGTACCTTTGTCATCACAGTATGATTTTATCGCTGGTCTCAAAAACTAAAAGATACCTTACTCAACAATCACCTAGACTTTCAGTCACTAACAAATTAAGAAATTTGTTGTCTGTCCTTTTAAAAAACATTTTCTAAGAAGATCTTTGTTATTTAGATTTAGCAGACATTCCTTTTCATTAGGCAGCTCTGTCTAATGGCTGACCCAACACTCATTGTCATCTATTTGTCTTCCTTTACTAAGCCAGCAAGTTTACATTTTCTTTTTACTTAATAAAATATGCATTTACTAGAAGGAAGTTGAATTGAATCTCATAAATATTACATACTTAAATATGAATGCTTTTAATTTTTTCTTTCAAAAGGTACACTTTAGTGTATTCATTAATTTATTTATAGTCCACTTGCTTCCAAAAAGGACTTATGATATCTTAGTTTGGTTTCTTATTGAAAAGAACTAGTAAATGCTGTAACTGAAACAGAAATTTGCTGGAAGTCCCAGAGACTAAGTGATTTGAATTTGCAACAAACTCTGAATTTTTGTGCATTTTTGAAAAATGCATTTTTCAAAACTGTCAATTCACGAGGAATTATCAGCATTGTAATTTGTCTGGGATAATGTCTTTAGTTTCAGAAAGTTTTGTGTTTGGCATCATTACCACTCTGTTGACATATAAATTTCCTCTTGAGCTTAGGAGGCTTCTCTGAGAGTCAAACATTTACTTTGAGAGTGGGCAGATCTTGCTTTACTTGGAAGGATACACTTACAGGATAGAAACACAGAATACTTGAACACTGAAGAATTTGAAAATGTCAATTCTCAGAAGATCTTGAACACTTATCTCCAAATGTGACACAGAAACTTACTGTAATAACCCCTAAAATCTGCTTGAATTACTTAGCACAAGAAAAAAATGAATGCTTGAGCTGGCTATTTTGAATTGAGTCAATTTAAGATTTTAAAATTCATATGTAGCTTAGAATCAGTACATCTTACTCTTTGGTTTATGGCAAATCATGGTATTGATGAGACAGGAACGAAATGTTGGATGTACGTTAATTTCCCCTACACCTTCCTCACTTCCTAAACTGGTGGTGTCTTTTCTTTTTTTTTTCTCTTCCTCCCCCGGGTGGGAAAAACAGGTCTTGATTCCCCAACTGGCATTGACTTTTCTGATATTACTGCCAACTCTTTTACTGTGCACTGGATTGCTCCTCGAGCCACCATCACTGGCTACAGGATCCGCCATCATCCCGAGCACTTCAGTGGGAGACCTCGAGAAGATCGGGTGCCCCACTCTCGGAATTCCATCACCCTCACCAACCTCACTCCAGGCACAGAGTATGTGGTCAGCATCGTTGCTCTTAATGGCAGAGAGGAAAGTCCCTTATTGATTGGCCAACAATCAACAGGTAACTTTTCTTGTCTGCAAAGAAACTCAGAAGACTTTCCTACCCAGTTGGTAGATTCTGTAAAGTAGCTTGCTGTTGTCTGTCATCAGCTCTCAAAAAAAAAAAAAAAAAAAAAAAAAATAGATCATTGTCATGGTACATGGAGAGGGAAGTGAGAAAATGTGGAGAAACATCTTCCTTAGAATATGGTAAAGAAGCCCGGGCGTGGTGGCAGTAAAGAAGATAATTTTTTTCCTCTCAAGAAATTTCTCACCTGATTTGGGTATTTATGCATTTCTAATAACACAAGTTTTGTTGAAAATGTAGAAAATTGGCCGGACGGGGTGGCTCACGTCAGTAATCTCAGCACTTTGGGAGGCCGAAATGGGCAGATCACTTGAGGTCAGAAGTTCAAGACCAGCCTGGCCAACATAGTGAAACCCCATCTCTACTAAATATACAAAAATTAGCAAGGTGTGGTGGCATGCACCTGTAATCCCAGCTACTGGGGAGGCTGAGGCAGGAGAATCTTTGAACCTGGGAGGCGAAGGTTGCAGTGAGCTGAGATCAGGCCATTGCACTCCAACCTGGGTGACAGAGCAAGACCCTGTCTCAAAAAAAAAAAAAAAAAAAGGGCCAGGCGCAATGGCTCACGCTTGTAATCCCAGCACTTTGGGAGGCCAAGGCGGGTGGATCACGAGGTCAAGAGATCGAGACCATCCTGGCCAACATGATGAAACCTCGTCTCTACTAAAAATACAAAAATTAGCTGGGCGTGGTGGCATGCACCTGTAGTCCCAGCTACTCAGGAGGCTGAGGCAGGAGAATTGCTTGAACCCAGGAGGCGGAGGTTGCAGTAAGCCAAGATTGTGTCACTGCACTCCAGCCTGGTGACAGAGGGAGACTCTGTCTCAAAAAAAAAAAAAAAAAAGGTGGAAAACTGAACACTGTTTCAAAGTACCTTTAAAAATATAATTTTAGGGTAATAGTGTCATTGTTCTTAGCAGATAGAGGCTGAAGTACTTACGGGAACAGTAGCATCATGTTATCTGTATTTTAGTCTCAAGTCGTCAAGCCAGAGACAAATACCTAAGGGAAGGGTATATAGGTGTTCATTGTATTACTTTTTTTTTTTTTTTTTTCTTCCTGAAATGGAGTCTTGCTCTGTCGCCCAGGCTGGAGTGCAATGGTGGGATCTTGGCTCACTGCAACCTCTGCCTCCCAGGCTCGAGCAATTCTCTTGCCTCAGCCTCCCAAGTAGCTGGGACTACAGGTGCCCGCCACCACGCCCGGCTAATTTTTGTATTTTTAGTAGAGATGGGATTTTACCATGTTGGCCAGGCTGGTTTTGAACTCCTGACCTCAAATGATCCACCCGCCTCGGCCTCCCAAAGTGCTGGGATTACAGGCGTGAGCCACCACGCCCGGCCTTGTATCACTTTTTTTTTTTTTTTTTTTTTTAACTTTTCTGTAGTTTTGAAATTTTTCCAAATAAAATGTTGAGGGAAAAAAACTCTTCCCCAAATTTGAAATAATCATTTTATCACAATTTGAATGGGCTCTGTAACCCCTTATCTTGAATTCGTCATAATATAAAATTCTGCTAATTACACGTAGTATTTACATGATTGTATGGAAGAATCATTAAGACAATTATCTGGAAAATGAACAAACAGTAAATCTGAATATTGTTTGAAAATTACGGATGTGAAAAGTTTCCCTTTTTTTTCTAGTTTCTGATGTTCCGAGGGACCTGGAAGTTGTTGCTGCGACCCCCACCAGCCTACTGATCAGCTGGGATGCTCCTGCTGTCACAGTGAGATATTACAGGATCACTTACGGAGAGACAGGTACAGCAGTAAAATGCTATTTTACACTCTGATTAAATCAGATTCTGTTGTGGATAACCTGAAAGCCCAACAGTGAACAAAGAATTAAAGAAACTTTGGCAAGTCCATTCAACGGAGCCCTTGTTTTTTCCAAGAAAATACGTAAGATATAGATGATATAATTTGTTCTAAAACCCAAATAAAAAGTTGTTTATATACTACAACTAGAGGGGGAACGGCAGAGCTGAGGAAATAAAAGGATTGTAAATTCACAAACATATTATCAGTGGTGGAAATAAGTGATTTTTATTTTTTCTTCTCTTTACTTTTCTGTATTTTCCAAATTTTATTTAAAAGGAATGTATTCTGTTAAAAGTTTTAAAAAGGACACAATGCATGCAATCCTGGGTTGAGGGCTTACCTTCTCCCACTTCTAATGCTACTCTACTACTCAGTGACATTTTAAAGCTGAAATGTTAAAACAGCGCTAACTGTAATTTTCTCTCAATGTTTATACACTTACCAAGGTTTGCTACATGCATAAATACCCCTTTCTGTTCAAGATAGCGCTCTTTAAAAGGGAATAAGCAAGAAGATGTGATTTACATGCTGCTATAAATGTGGTAATTCAATTAATCAGTAATACCCAAGTAGCTCTAAACCCCTCACACTCTGAACTAACCCTTTTTCATACAGGAGGAAATAGCCCTGTCCAGGAGTTCACTGTGCCTGGGAGCAAGTCTACAGCTACCATCAGCGGCCTTAAACCTGGAGTTGATTATACCATCACTGTGTATGCTGTCACTGGCCGTGGAGACAGCCCCGCAAGCAGCAAGCCAATTTCCATTAATTACCGAACAGGTACAAACTTCTACTCTGGGGTGACACCAGCTTTTACTTATTCAGATACTGTTTTGCAATGTTCTCCCAAGGTATTTTTCTAATTGTAGAATAGATTTTCCTTTTTAATGAGCAACAACCTGCAGCTAGCACCTGCAGCGAACAGAGTTTTGAGCCAGATAAAGAAGGAAGCACCCCAAGGGCAGGAAGTTCAGTCAGTTTTGTCGATATATTCCGCATGTCTGCAATACGACAGGCATAGAGAGTGTTCAGTAAGTATTTGTGGGAAAAGAATGGATGAGTTGATAAAGTAGGAAGAGACACCTGCTTGTGGAATGTAGCTTCTTTGTGAATGAAGCAACCATCTCAAAAATAGGAAATGGTATTGAGATGCCTGCCCCATCCCTCTAAAAGCTCTCTCTGTATTCTTTCGAGAAGAAATACCTTTCTCATGTAAGCGATCATTCGAATATGTACCAGACCTAGAGAGGAGGACTTGTCCAATCTTGTCTCCAAGGACTGGGGCTTCACTGGTTTCTCCCTGCTTTTATTTGTAGAAATTGACAAACCATCCCAGATGCAAGTGACCGATGTTCAGGACAACAGCATTAGTGTCAAGTGGCTGCCTTCAAGTTCCCCTGTTACTGGTTACAGAGTAACCACCACTCCCAAAAATGGACCAGGACCAACAAAAACTAAAACTGCAGGTCCAGGTAAGAATCATCTGCATCTCGGCCAGGTGCGGTGGCTCACTCCTATAATCCCAGAACTTTGGGAGGCTGATGCGGGCAGATCACTTGAGGTTAGGAGTTCGAGACCAGCCTGGCCAATATGGCGAAACCCCGTCTGTACTAAAAAATACAAAAAAATTAGCTGGGCATGGTGGCTTGTGCCTGTAATCCCAGCTACTCAGGAGGCTGAGGCAGGAGAATGGCTTGAAGTCTGGAGGCAGAGGTTGCAGTGAGCCAAGATAGCCCCACTGCACTCCAGCCTGGGTGACAGAGTGAGAGACTCCATCTCAGGGAAAAAAAAAAAAAAAGAGTAATCTGCATCTCATATACAACAGGATAGATGGGGTAGGACCACCTAATATTCTTTTTTATATAAATGGCTACCTTGTTGTGAGTACTATGTATTTTTTTGTCCTATGTCATCATTGTCCCCATTCATGAGTTCAGGGCTCAAGATCATTATCAACCCTTTTCACAGTAGAAGTCTTAAGTGCATTTCTGTTTTTACATGGATAGTTCTATTTAGTGATATGGACATCTTAAATTACTAGATTCACCCTTCTGGTTTTGTTTATCATTCACACTAAGAAGAGATAAATGGCCTAACTGACTTTTTCAGCTCTTTTTAGCTATGTTGTCTTTGTTTTTAAATAGAATACTTGTGAAATTAGGATCTTAAGGCAATTTATTAGAGTCAAGTTAATTTTCATTTTTTCTGAGAGCAGTATCACTAATTGTTGGGGGCATCATATTAAGTTTTAGATCTTATCCTTGAGTGTGACTTCACTCCCATATGGTAATTTGTATTAGCAATGAACAGGTTTGTCCAAGAGGAAATCAAAGTCTGACTCTCCATATTTTTGTTACAATTCTGCAAATAAAAATTCTAGGCCACCATATGTTTACTACCAAACTCTAGACGCCACTTGAGGACTTTATAGTGGATGACGTGGATGTTGCATTTGCTTTTCACTCCCTTTGCAGATCAAACAGAAATGACTATTGAAGGCTTGCAGCCCACAGTGGAGTATGTGGTTAGTGTCTATGCTCAGAATCCAAGCGGAGAGAGTCAGCCTCTGGTTCAGACTGCAGTAACCAGTACGTAACCACTGCTTGGTTTCCATTTTCAAAGTCAAATTTTGTTCTTGGGTGTCTGAATGCCCACGACATGTCTTTTGCAATTACACATAGGGAAAGTGAACTTGTTGGTTAGTTTATGTCTTGAGCTGAGCCCTTTACGAACATCTTTTTTCCTTCTCAGTGCCAAGCGAGGAATTTACAGAGAAAGAAGTTGTGAAACCACCATAGTTAGTTGCTGTGCTTTGAATTTCTTTTGCTCAAATGGCCTCAGCGAAATCTTATTTGCCTATAGCAAATCTACAAAAAATTTTCCTAGACCGTCTTTTCTACAACTGGATGGTAAAGTTGATTGAAGTGTGCCTCATGTAGCTTTATGTTTGGGGCATTTGAAGGGCTATGGCTGGACCAGAGTGTAATATAAATGCTTAATAGAGAGGGGAAAAGAAGAGTGTAAGAACCATTATAGGGCTGGGCTCACGCCTGTAATCCCAGCATTTTGGGAGGCTGAGGCAGGCGGATCACGAGGTCAGGAGTTCGAGACCAGCCTGACCAACATGGTGAAACCCCATCTCTACTAAAAATACAAAAATTAGCCAGTCGCGGTGGCACGTGCCTGTAATCCCAGCTACTCAGGAGGCTGAGGCAGAAGAATCACTTGGACCCAGGAGGCAGAAGTTGCAGTGAGCCAAGATCATGCCTCTGCACCCCAGCCTAGGTGATAGAGTGAGACTCCATCTCAAAAAAAAACAAAACAAAACAATTATAACAATTTGAATCTGACATTGCAAATCAGCTTTACCACTTCCAAGGTATAGAAAATCCAGGTCTATGAGACTAACATCACATTGTAAAAATCAAATCGTGGTAGAATATCTTTAAATTAATATAAATACATCCCCATTGTGGGGACATTTTGCAGGGTATCTGCTTATCTCACATACACCTATGTTTTAATAAGTGATGCAACATTGCATATTTTCTAAACCAAGAAAAATTAAGCAAGTGTTTAAGTGATTTTTCCTTTTGATAGTGGGTTAATTGGACTTCATCAAAGAAAATGGTATCTGCAAAACTGCTTTGCATGTTATAAAAATGCTTATTTCACAACTTGCTTTTCACATAACCTCTTACCATTAATTTGCCTAACAGACATTGATCGCCCTAAAGGACTGGCATTCACTGATGTGGATGTCGATTCCATCAAAATTGCTTGGGAAAGCCCACAGGGGCAAGTTTCCAGGTACAGGGTGACCTACTCGAGCCCTGAGGATGGAATCCATGAGCTATTCCCTGCACCTGATGGTGAAGAAGACACTGCAGAGCTGCAAGGCCTCAGACCGGGTTCTGAGTACACAGTCAGTGTGGTTGCCTTGCACGATGATATGGAGAGCCAGCCCCTGATTGGAACCCAGTCCACAGGTATATGGTTAATTGCACCACCAGGTGCCCATGGGAGCAGCGGCTTTATGCCCTACTGAATGAATTATGCTTCACTGGGCTATTGATTCCCGTGTAAGGGTGAAAAAGAATTATTAGGAAAGATCCTCTTTAAAGAGGAATGGTAAGAAACAATAAAACTTAGGTGATATTTAAGGAAACAAGTCTGATTAAAAGAAATTTTGGAGTATCCTGGCTTATACACAAGACCATAAAGCAAGACATTTGAAGAGGATACTAAAGTTGTGGATTATTTCCTAAGCTCTGACTCCCTGTGATTACCCTCACTATGTATAAAGAAAAGAAGTTTGGCATTACAGAGCTTACTTATAAAAAGGAACCCAAACTCGGGCATTTCATAGCAGCATGATTCTGAGCACACGTGGGTAAGACCTTTCTTCTCTGGTTAGATATCATATGCTGGTGTATAATTAGCTTAAATGATTGTGATTTAGACACCTAGGAAATAATCAATAGGGCAATTGCTTTCCATAATACTTTATCTTCTTGTGCTTTATTTCTGAAGCAGAGTAGAATGCTAAAGATGTATCCTAGTGACAGCATAAACCCTAGAGGTGACAGTCTGTATTATTGCTTTTCGCTTCTCTTTTCTGCTTCTGTTGGGAGCCAGTTTTCTTCTTACGCCGCATTACAGAGAGAACGTCAAATTTAGCAGCCATATCTGCCATAGGGTCCAAATAAAGAGACAATAAAAACATTATTCTCTCTTTTTTGGATGGAATACTGCGTGAAATGGTTATCCATACAAAGATACTTTATGTAGAATAGAAAAAGGAGGCCGGGTGCAGTGGCTCACACATGTAATCCTAGTGCTTTGGGAGGCTAAGCCGGGAGCACTGATTGAGGCCAGGAGTTCATGATCAGCCTGGGCAATGAAGTGAGACCCCGTCTCTACAAAAAAATATGAAAAAATTAGCGAGGTGTGGTGACACATGCCTGTAGTCCCAGCTACTCAAGAGGCTGAGGTAGAGGATCACTTGAGCCTACGAGTTCAAGGCTGCAGTGAGCTATGATAACTCCACTGCACTGCCGCCTGGATGACACAGAGAGACCGTTTCTAAATTAATTAATTAACAATTTTAAGAAAGAAAAAGGGCCATTGCTTATTTTTCCATACAAAAGTAAAATAAATCATAATGGCCAATAAGCCAATGTAACTTTTTTTTTTAAGGGAAAGCAAAACTTGTAAAACCTAAAATCTCTTAGAGTTTTGGCATTTACCCAAATGTTTTCAGTGATTCTGAGAATTGGTGGATATAAAACACATTTCTCAGCAAACACTTTCTTCATTTTGCATCCCTTACTGTACGTACTTTCTTGTACTGAATCTTTGCTTGACCAGGGAACCCACCTAGCCCAACAAGAACAATCCATTCTACTTCTTGGAACTCACTTTATTTTCCTTTTCCCCCATTTCCTATAAGATAACCTCTAACCAATGACAATCTCGACAGCTATTCCTGCACCAACTGACCTGAAGTTCACTCAGGTCACACCCACAAGCCTGAGCGCCCAGTGGACACCACCCAATGTTCAGCTCACTGGATATCGAGTGCGGGTGACCCCCAAGGAGAAGACCGGACCAATGAAAGAAATCAACCTTGCTCCTGACAGCTCATCCGTGGTTGTATCAGGACTTATGGTAAGACATGACCGTTGTTCATTGGAATAAAGATGGAGATCATCTCTAACACAGTTTCTAAGGTGGTGAAAATATAATATCATAATAAATCTAACTGTTCTTTTCCTCTGCATCAAATAATCTTATTGTAATTTTATATCAACGGAATTCCTTTATGTTGACCTAAGTTTTCCAGATGACTATTGGGACAGAATTTTATAAATAGCTTTGGATTTTGTGCAGCTCTTTTAGATGTATTGTGCTTATTTTAAAAGGTTGTGGGGGGCAATTTACATATCCATTGGTTGAATGCATAAATCGACTTAGTTATGCATTTTCTGAGCTCTGTTACCTTGGTAAAGAATATTTTACAGTTTGTACCAGTCTACCTTGAGCCTACCCTCATTAAAACATTTTAAAATCCTTCCAGACATACATGCAGAAAACTGCTAGGAACCTAGGGGACTGATGTACCTCTTAACATAAGGCCAATTTCAGGGGAAACTACAGAAAGAGGGTTCAGAGACAAAATGGAACATTCTCTTTGCCTCTCTATGATAAGGAAAAAATTATGATTTACACCTGTCAGATCATAAAAAAGAAAAATACGCTAATACCCACTTTTCTCATTTTTTTTACCAGCTTAGTTTAAGTATATAATCTATGGCTTACTTAAGCTTAACCGCTAAGAGCATTTTAAAATTGATAAATACATTTATCACCTGCACTGTAGGAATGAAATTAATCTAGGAATTTTCAAGGTTGTGGGTTTTGCTGGTTTGTTTATTTTTTATTTTCTAACCATTGCATTTACCTAATGCTGTAGTGAAACTCCTTGGGTTTCAGTTGAGGACGTTGCTAAAGCTCACCATGCCCTTATTTCTCTAGGTGGCCACCAAATATGAAGTGAGTGTCTATGCTCTTAAGGACACTTTGACAAGCAGACCAGCTCAGGGAGTTGTCACCACTCTGGAGAGTAAGTAACAAAATGTCTTCATATGGACAAACCTTCTGTATAGACAAAAATTAAAGAATGGTAAATCAGTGGGGTTCAGTGGCTCATGTCTAAAATCCAAGCACTTTGGGAAGCTGAGGCGGGAGCGTCACTTGAGGCCAGGAGTTTGAGACCTACCCGGGCAAATAGCAAGGCCCTGTCTCTTAAAAAAAATAAAATAAATAAAATAAATAATTTTTTAGATTTATATGTTAACAGTGGAATGAGTCCTAATTTGAAAATCAATTTGATTGCCTTTTTGACGCATGACTGTCATCTTTTATACTCCTTCAGAAAGGGGTCTACTGACCCATAAAATGGAATCACTTCATAAGCTTATAATGTTGATATTATGGACTATGACTGACATCTAGTTTATGCTCTACTTGTTAGAATTTGTTTTCATAGAGCTAAGCTTGGGGAGACCCCACTGGCTTCTGCTATATCTTAACAATGCATATTAGGCCATTCTTGCATTACTATAAAGAAATACCGGAGACTGGGTAATTTCTAAAGAAAAGAGGCTTAATTGGCCCACAGGCCAGCAGGCTTTACAGGAAGCATGGTGCTGGTATCTTCTTGGCTTCTAGGGAGGCCTTGGGAAGCTTACTCATGGTGGAAGGCCAAGGGGGAGCAGGCACATCACATGGCTGTGGCAAAAGCAAGACCGAGAGAGAGAGAGAGTTGGGGGGGGAGGACCTTATACATTTAAATGACCCAGTCTCTTGAGAACTCACTGTCATAAAGAGGGCACCAAGCCACAAGGGATCTGCCCCCATGATCCAAACACCTCTCACCAGGCCCCACCTCCAGCATTGGAGATTACAACTCAACAGAGATTTGGACAGGGACAAATATCCAAATTATATCACAGCACAGTAACCATTGGACCAAATCAGGCTTAGATTCTAGTCTTCTGTTATATCAATACCTTGATGTATGCCTTTTCAAAAGTCAGGTAAAGTGTCAAAGTTTTATCATTTATAAAAGAGGGATGGCATTGTACCTGTTGAGAGAAAATACAAAATACTTGCCGTAATATTAGACACACACACACACACACACACACACACACTCTCTCTCTCTCTCACACACACATACACACACACACACACAAAATTGTTAGCTGGCCATGTTATTGTAACTCCTACCACACATATTTTTACATTATAATACATTAATAATTTTAATATTTATTGAAGTATTTGTAGATACTATAAAGCCAGCCCTGGGAACCACTGGTAGTATCTATAAAGCTTTTCAGCTCTTCAAAATAAAATGTCTGAGAGGTAGATATTTTCCTATTTTCTAATTACAGTTGACCTTTCTCTCTGAATGCCAAAGGAGATAATCTACACATTACTAGTTATATATTTCTTGAAATGGATGAATTTGATATATACCAAGGAAACGTTTTAAAATACCAAAACTTTACATGGATGAGCCAAGCAGGCACTAATCTCTAGCTATGCTCCTGTGCAGATGTCAGCCCACCAAGAAGGGCTCGTGTGACAGATGCTACTGAGACCACCATCACCATTAGCTGGAGAACCAAGACTGAGACGATCACTGGCTTCCAAGTTGATGCCGTTCCAGCCAATGGCCAGACTCCAATCCAGAGAACCATCAAGCCAGATGTCAGAAGCTACACCATCACAGGTCAGGGAACTCATTGCACTAACCACATTTGTTAACAAATACCCACAATGTAAACGGGCTTATTAACTGTTCTACGACTGACACTGATAAAATTTATTTTCAGTGTTATCATCATAACCCAGTTTTAGAACGTTATTTTCATGCTATGATCAGAAATAGTTTTGTCCTTTGAATGCCTGATTTTGTGTAATATTTGTCATGGAAATTGCGTAAGTGTCAATCAACAAGTTTGATCTTCCATCATTGTGCCCTTTCTTATTTAAAAAATTGTAACATAAGGTTTAAAACTAAAAGAAATAAAAAACAGTGATGTATAGATCTTAGCATTAAAAAGCATAGTTAATATAAAAGTAAACAATACCACTTAATAAAGGCCAAAATTGTAACCGAAGAATATTCAATATCTGAGGTCTTTTTTAGCTTTTTAAAATTGTGATTCCAAGGCTCAACTATTGACCATCTGATTACGGTAAAGAGAAAACCTCAATAAGTGGCTGACCCCCATTCTGCAAGAGGGCCTCTTCCAACATAGCATTTTTGCATTCCAGAATTTACTTTACCAGTGTCCTTGTCTGTATCAGTGATTCACTTTCGAGATATGTTTCTTGTTAACAGTTAACATCCATAGCATGCTCTACTTTACTGTTCAAATGTGGACCACTTTGGTAGTCTATATAAATATGGGATGATAGAAGAACCCAGAAAAATTGCAGGCTAGCTTGAGAATTCTCCTAGTAAAAAGCAAGAACTGTTAAAAATCATCTCTTCTCAAATCCCAGGTTTACAACCAGGCACTGACTACAAGATCTACCTGTACACCTTGAATGACAATGCTCGGAGCTCCCCTGTGGTCATCGACGCCTCCACTGGTAACTATACCTTCTACTGAGGAAATGCCATTGACTTGTATGCAATCAGTTTCATGAACTCAAAAAACAAATGTGAGGCGTATATTTTTGTATTATAGATTCCAGAGAATCTTGTTTCCGGTTTACAGTATTCTCAGATTCTTTTAAGTGTGTTTAGAACGGCTCGGGAGAAAAGTGTGGGAGTAATTTTCTTGGTTATTTGCCTTCTTAGAGACTTAATTTTGTTTTCTTTCAGCCATTGATGCACCATCCAACCTGCGTTTCCTGGCCACCACACCCAATTCCTTGCTGGTATCATGGCAGCCGCCACGTGCCAGGATTACCGGCTACATCATCAAGTATGAGAAGCCTGGGTCTCCTCCCAGAGAAGTGGTCCCTCGGCCCCGCCCTGGTGTCACAGAGGCTACTATTACTGGTATTGCTGCTTCCATGCTGTCATTTTCCTTCTTACTACCTAGGACACATGAAGTCCTTAGCAAACTCCCACAGCGTCTTTGATACTGTGTCATGAGAATGCGAAACTCTGTTCCTGATAACCTCAAAAAGCATTCTCTGTGTAGGAGTGGTAGAGCCTAATACATCCCAAAAGGCATGAGTGAAGGAAAATGCAATTTCAAGACTGTACTAATGGCATGACTAGACTCATGTTTTCCTTTCGCTGCAAGTTTGCCAGATACCTGTCAATTCAGTCCTGGAGAAAGATATTTTTCAAAGCATACTAGCTGATTGTGATTCTGTCATTACACTCAGCTCTCTATAGATATGGCAATCTTGCAGGACTTGCCAGTGCACCACCTGCCATTGACCTTGTTGACCACTATCACAGGATAGGTCTTGAGGCAGAGCAGTCCCAACCACCCACATTGGAAGAATGCCTGGAATGGGGAATAAGAGTTGTCTACCTTGGTGGGAAAGACTATAAGCCTCTAGTATTATTTTTGCCCAAGAGATGAAATATTTAAACTATCTGTATTAGTCTGTTTTCATACTGCTATAAAGAGGTTTAATTGACTCACAGTTCCGCATGGCTGGGGAGGCCTCAGAAAATGTACAATCATGGTGGAAGGAAAAGCAGGCATGTCTTACATGGCAGCAGGAGAGAGAAGCACACAGGAGGAACTTCCAGATACTTACAAAACTATCAGATCTTGTGAGAACTCACTATCATGAGAACAGCCTGGGGGAACCACCCCATGATCCAATCACCTCCTCTCCTCAATACATGGGGATTACAATTCCAGATGAGATTTGGATGCAGACACAGAGCCAAACCATATCAGTCTGTATAGAGTATCACCTGGACTTTAAAATTCCCACAGAACATACAGACATTAGAAGGAGACACTGGCTTTTTAGAATTGGGGGGAACAGGAAAATAGAAGCAGACATGAGAGGAATTGAACTAGACACTTCCCACAGAGGCTGCACAAACACTGGCCAATCTCTCCTACCCTTCACTTGCCTTTAGTTTCACTTTTCATTGATCTGCCACTGAGGACTGCTTGGTTATTAGGCCTAAGTAGATTCATGTATATAATCTGCAGGACTCTCTTTCAAATTTATATTCCAGTGGTGGTATATGATGCTGATAGATTTTCTTAAATTCAAAAAGGCAAATAAGACCACGTTAAAAGAATACCCTGGAAAGGCCAGGCGCGGTGGCTCACGCCTGTAATCCCAGCACTTTGGGAGGCCGAGGCAGGCAGATCACAAGGTCAGGAGATCGAGACCATCCTGGCTAACACGGTGAAACCCCATCTCTACTAAAAATACAAAAACAAAATTAGCCAGGCGTGGTGATGGGTGCCTGTAGTCCCAGCTACTCGGGTGGCTGAGGCAGGAGAATGGCTGAACCTGGGAAGCGGAGCTTGCAGTGAGCCGAGATAGCACCACTGCACTCCAGCCTGGGTGACAGAGCCAGACTCCATCTCAAAAAAAAAAAAAAAAAAAAAAAAAAGAATACCCTGGAAAAGTTAGCCAAAAAATGTCTATTCAGGCGTCAGATATGATAGTAAGATAATTAGTTTGCGATGCGGACTTTATATGCAGGATATTTGGGTGTTTATGGAGGAAAAGTGAAGTCGATTTTACCTTCAAGAGGCCAACAGCCAGCTGGAGAGGAAGTGCCTGCTCCCAGTAGCGTCTGCTGGTGAGACCGACTTCCACTTGACTAGCTGAGCCCATTGACATAATGTGATGGTTCTATTCTCCCTTCAGGCCTGGAACCGGGAACCGAATATACAATTTATGTCATTGCCCTGAAGAATAATCAGAAGAGCGAGCCCCTGATTGGAAGGAAAAAGACAGGTAAGAGTATCTTGCAGGTAACAAGGAGAAAGATAGGACAAAACTAATAACAAATGAGCAATCTTGCAATATGAAAAGGTTCTCCATGTTTTGATGCATTTCTTGTGATTTTTTTTATCTAACAGCATAGTGTATATATTGTATTCTTTAATAGGAGAAATAATTTAACATGCACTGCAGAGTTTGGTTTTATTTTTTTTCTTTACTACAGCCACTCAATATAAAGCCTTGTTATTCACCTTTTAAAAATTCAAACAAGATGTTAAAATGTAAAAGAAGAGCTATCATTGCTCTTCTTTTATACCTTCTGTTGAATTTTAAAATGTTTCCTTTTTTAAAGGAGGGAGAGAAACCTCTCACATTTATCTTTATTTGGTTTCTACAACTTAGAGCTAAATAATGTCTTACTTTTGCATCCAGTTTCAGTTAATTTCAAGAAAATGTGTATTCCTGATATAGGAAAATTTCAAAAATGAACATGTGTGTTTTATCTATTTTTACCATTTCAAACCATGAAAAACTGTTGAGCCAAACCTCTGTAATTCTCATACTTATGACACTGATATGATTAGTCTGGATTCTACTTCCTACAACTTGCTTCTCAAATTTAAAAAAGAAAGAGAGAAAGAGAAAGACTGCACATTTCAGTTCCATTAGGTCTAATTTGAGCAGAGGCAGCTTCTACGGGGCTCAGCGGTTTAAAGCTGTGTGTATGATAAATTCATACTAACACTTTTTTCTTTCTAAACTATAAAGAAACCTTTGAGAAAAATCCTAAAGATTTCTTTCTGGAAAAAGTGTTTTGTGATCTCAGAACTGCTCATTTTCTGGTGGCTTTTATCAAATTGATGAACAGTCATTGTTGCCTGAATCGATTATTATCATTGCTGCTACTTCCTGGAGCTTAATGCGCTTTGCTTTTTTGGCTCTAACCTCTCTCGGCTAGACGAGCTTCCCCAACTGGTAACCCTTCCACACCCCAATCTTCATGGACCAGAGATCTTGGATGTTCCTTCCACAGTTCAAAAGACCCCTTTCGTCACCCACCCTGGGTATGACACTGGAAATGGTATTCAGCTTCCTGGCACTTCTGGTCAGCAACCCAGTGTTGGGCAACAAATGATCTTTGAGGAACATGGTTTTAGGCGGACCACACCGCCCACAACGGCCACCCCCATAAGGCATAGGCCAAGACCATACCCGCCGAATGTAGGTGAGGAAATCCAAATTGGTCACATCCCCAGGGAAGATGTAGACTATCACCTGTACCCACACGGTCCGGGACTCAATCCAAATGCCTCTACAGGACAAGAAGCTCTCTCTCAGACAACCATCTCATGGGCCCCATTCCAGGACACTTCTGAGTACATCATTTCATGTCATCCTGTTGGCACTGATGAAGAACCCTTACAGGTAATTAATTGTTCTCTTCACTTCTCATGGGGCAGCACAGAAAGGAATAAGTTAGGTAACTGAAGTGACCAGCCCTCGAATAAAAAGTGGCTTCATGGCCGGGTGTGATGGCTCACGCCTGTAATCCCAGCACTTTGGGAGGCCGAGGCAGGTGGATCATTTGAGGTTAGGAGTTCAAGACCAGCCTGGCCAACATGGTGAAACCTCGTCTCTTGAAAAAAAAAAAAAAAAAAAAGTGGCTCCACTTTTAGAACCTCTTAGAAGATGGCACATTTAAGCCCTGCTTTTTTTTTTTTTTAAATCCCAATATGGCTCTACTTTGGAGGACATACCAGAGAGTCACTAGCTTTTATTTCATAGAGAAAATGAAACTATTTCTCTTATTCTCACACATTTGAGGTTCCTTTTTGAGTAAGATAGATGATTCTAGAAAAGAAAGATATTCTACCTGAATTTCCATTTGTGTGCAGAAGTCTAAAACACTACCTTTACGATTTGTCCTTGAAGAACCCCACTATCTACAACATATCTAAAGAAAAAAAAAAACAGGCGAAGCTGTGCATAGCAGCTGATAAGTGATTGATTCTCTAAAACGTATATTATTTAATTTGTGTTGACAGTATCCATTTTTTTTTTTCCCCGAGATGGAGTCTTGCTCTATGGCCCTGGCTGGAGTGCAGTGGCGTGATCTCGGCTCACTGCAACCTCTGCCTCCCAGGTTCAAGCAATTCTCCTGCCTCAGCCTCCCAAATAGCTGGGATTACAGGCATGTGCCACCGCACCCAGCTAATTTTTGTATTTTTAGTAGAGACGGGGTTTCACGATGTTGGCCAGGATGGTCTCGATCTCCTGACCTCGTGATCCGCCCGCCTTGGCCTCCCAAAGTGCTGGGACTACAAGCATGAGCCACCCACTACACCCGGCCCACTGACAGTATCAATTTTTATTGTGTTGTTACTTTTAGAAAGTGGCAGAATTTAAAAACTGACAACACTGTAGGAAATTTATGAGCTTAGAAACATGAGTTTGAGGATTTGCCCAACTGTTTTAAGGACTCCACACTGGGGTCAGATGTCACCTGGAGGAGCATGACCGTGTCTCCCATATAGCGCAGTGTCCAGGTTTTATGTGAAGCAAACATGGCCAGGGCTTCCAGAGGGCTTATGCAGACCTGCGACTGAAGCAAGATCAATGGCAGGCCGTCTCTAGTATTGTCGAGGGCTCCTGTTAACTACGGAGCACGTAGGTAGATTGTTGGCAGGAAAATCTGGCAGGAACGATGGCCCCTATCCTTGTTCCATTTCTCTCCTCAGCTGGTTAGGACCACTATACCCTCCCTCTTTTTTTTTTTTTTGTTTTTTGTTTTTTGTCTTCCTTTGCTTTGTTTAAACAGTGAGGGTTATTGGTAAGAGGAGAGCCCGTGTCATTCCTCACTATAATGCTTTCTCTCTGCTTTGGATGTACCGATAATTGCAGTTCAGGGTTCCTGGAACTTCTACCAGTGCCACTCTGACAGGCCTCACCAGAGGTGCCACCTACAACGTCATAGTGGAGGCACTGAAAGACCAGCAGAGGCATAAGGTTCGGGAAGAGGTTGTTACCGTGGGCAACTCTGGTATGTAAACACGTACTATTTAGACACAGGCTCCCCTCTGCTGTACACCAGAGATGGGCTTTTCTGTTGACTGTACCTTTGTTGCCATTGTCTTTTTATCTTTGGGATTTAATGCAACACATCAACATGAAATAAATGAGCAACTTTATATTAAATTAATCTCTCCCCCACCTCCTGCCATATCCTGTTGTCTTCACAAAATGCATACGTAATTGACAGACTCTCAAATGGTGATATGATTATAGATCTGGAAGGGATTTCAAATATTATTTAGTACAACACTCTGAGTCCTTACTTCTGAGTATCTGAGTTGATATAGGGCACAGGTTTCCTGATGTCTTTTCCCAGACCCTCTCCATCTCACCATGCTGCTGTCCTCTTGAGTGATTAAATACTGAAACGATTACCTATAAAGAAAATACCCCTTCTGCAGACATGGGGACAGTTGGCTTTTGCTCCTGATATAAAATGCTACCAACATTGTGCATTTCTGTCTGCAGAGAATGTTATTCCAATGTTATTTCCATTTTTTTCCAATGTTATTTCCATTTTTTTTTCTGACTATACAGGTTAAAAGCTTCTATAGAGGTTAAAAGATCATTAACTCTTCTTTGTAGCACCTGGGAAATCCTTTTAAATCAATAGCGTGCCACCTGGCTGCTCAATTTGCAGCAGCTGAAAATTCACCAAGGCACATGAGATAGGGGATAATCAAAACCGTGAATCCCCAATCTTCCAACAGGAGAGTTCTCTACTCCACACCAACAGAGAGTGCTAAGTCCTGTCTATGCCAAGTGACAGATTTTATTCCTAAGGCCAGTTGTTTAATTTTAGCCCCTTCCCTCATCTGATAGAAGACTGTGCTACTTTACATGTATAAATTCCTGTGAATTAAGCAGTTGAGCATTTGGCTGGAGAGAGGTTGGGAGGAGATTATTTTGTGTTTGTTGTATTACATATCCACAGTAATGCTTATCTTTGCCTTTTGTGGTTTTACTAGTAGAATGCCACGTGAACAGAATTTTCAAGAGCAAAAAGGTCTTTGTGCTTTTCTAAGTCATTTTTTTTTTTTTTTTTTAAAGATTCCATCTCTTTAACTTTAGTTAGGATGGAATTTGAACTCCTGGCTCTTTTGAGTATAGAAACCCCTAGTAACAATTTAAGTTCCTTCCATTTTTCTTTTAAACTCCTTATTCCCAGCAGCAGTATTCTACATTCTAACCAGGTTCTCCCAGCTTTGAGACGTCTCAGACTTACCAGTTCTCCAAAACGCTATTTTCTTTAAGGGTGACACCTTTTAAAAATTAGGCACCTCAAATATCTACTGCTTTTGAGCTTTTGAGTTTTGCACTGTAAAAAGAAAAATACACAGTGGGATTTTAAGTCAAATTAGTTTATCTAATTTTTAGGGAATAATTTGAAGCATGCTTTGTTTGCATAGATTTTTTTAAAATAAGCTTTTCCAAATCATAAAGAGATAAGATCTTAGGTAACATGAAGAGACTCCCTTACTTATTCCTAAATCATCTATATTCCAAGGGCATTTTCTTATTTGGAACAGTTGACCTCACTGATAAAGCTGTCTCACCACTATAATAACAATGTCCAAAATCTAGGCTTTCTGCACTATTATGCAAAAATTACAATAATAAAAGTGAAAATTACATTATAATGGTATATTAAAATGCTAAGACTTTTGCATTATAAGCAAAAGACAGCCTTTAATAATTATTCTTTATTTAGTGAACATTTTCTAAGTCTTGGAAAAGGGTCAATGTTTTGAATTCATGGCCTTATATAATCTTCACAAGATTCCCCAGGAGGTATAGATATTTTTATTATTACGCTAGTATTGCAGATGAGGGAAGCAAGGCAGAGTGGTATTAAATAGCTGGCCCAAGGTCACTCAGGTACCAATGGAGAGGCATCATTAGTCTTTGCATCCCACTAAAGTTCTCCACTAGCTTCAATTGCCTCAAGATCTGTTCCATGTTCTATGAAGTAGTTTCAACAGAAATGGCAATTATCTTAGAAGCAAGGGAAAAATAAAAGATGGGCTTCCTGTCGGGTGCCTGTGACAGGTGTCACATCTAACCATGGTTTTTTAGAGCAGTTAATGCCTTGATAGAACAGATGAATGCCTCTTAATCCTCCTGGAATTCTTGTTTTAGATTAAGTCATTGTATACAGTCATTCGATTTTCTTCTTATGGTCCAAATCGATTAATAAGATGTCTCTTTTTGCTTTTTCTTCCTTTTCTTCATAGTCAACGAAGGCTTGAACCAACCTACGGATGACTCGTGCTTTGACCCCTACACAGTTTCCCATTATGCCGTTGGAGATGAGTGGGAACGAATGTCTGAATCAGGCTTTAAACTGTTGTGCCAGTGCTTAGGCTTTGGAAGTGGTCATTTCAGATGTGATTCATCTAGTGAGTAGTTGCTTTGTCCATCCACTTCCGTGTTTGTCTCCTCAAGTTCCATGCATGCACTCATGTGCCAAGGAAGCATGTTTGGAAGACACAGGTTCTTCCAAACATGAAGCAAACAAGAGAATACTGTTTGACTCGAAGTAATATTTTGCATCATAGAAAAATGATGGGAAATTTTACTTGTTGGACATTGCTTCATTTCAAGGGTTGTATGCCAATACAACTATTAATTACACATAAGATTATGGTGCTAATTTGATTTTTGAAATTTTCTGTGAAAACAAATGGATAAAGACTTTTGGAACCAGGTCTATTTAAGAGTATTAGAGACACAGAAAAACCTCAAATCTCTTTTAATCTTCAGTGTTGAATGAGATCAGAGGTGAACATTTAGACTCAAAAACAGCCTCCTTCAACATAAACCAAACATGCACATATCATAGTACCCATGCACACACTTTTGCGTCACACACATAGCCCAGGTAGCTTGAACGTTGCTAGAAATATGAAAGAAAAAACAGATAATCTGCTTTTAGATCATTAAAAATCAACTTGAATTGATAAATGTTTGATTTTCAAATTCTAATACGTTTTAATTTTCAAATTTTTTAAGTTAAAATGTGCCTAGGAAATATCTATTATGCTTTGAGATTAGGATTAGAATTTATAAACCTTTCATTTATTCTTTGTGTTTAGGAGATGTGATGATTATTGACAATTGGTTCATTTTTATAGGTGTTGACCGTTATGCCTATAAATAAGCCTCCTATAGACATACAGAAATCATATCCTGTGGAATTAGAATATAAGACTTGGTAAAAGAGATTTTCAAAGTATTTTACTTAACTTGTATACTTGAAATCATTTAATCCAGACTGAAGTTGTAAAAGCCAGCCAGTGTTTTCAATATAGACTTCCATGTTTGACCATCTGAAAATGAAAAACACTAAAAACATCACATGCTGTTTAGGAGCTGGAAATTTTAATATTTGACTTCAAGTAGATGGTTTTTAACTCCTGAAATCGAACTACGTTTAAGTTTGTATGTTTATTACCTGTTTGAGCACTTAGGTGCAATTGTGGGAGCGGGGATGTCAAGTTCATTTATGTGACTCTTTGGCTCAACTTACATAATCTTTGTTTTGATATCACAGTTGTCTAATTATTTTACTTTGTAGCTTAAGGCAGGCTGAATTGTTGATAAAATGGAAAAAGTAGTATATTGTTATATAAGCTTCTGAGGTGTGTTTTGTTGTATAAGCCCTGGAGGTTAAAAAGTCATCCCTTATGTATAGTAGTTAAAGGCATAAAACTGTGACTTTTAGATATTCCACAGAACCAGACTTATTTGATGTGGATAATAACCAATGATTTAGCATTTTGTTTGCTTTTGTTTTATTTTATCCGGGTTCATTTTTTACTCTTCCCATGTACATGAAACAGGTGGTGGCGTGTAGAGATCAGCTGATCCTTGTTTTATGGTTAATTGAACTACTTTGTATCCAGGGTTTCTGCAAATCCAAAAGTGATTTTTCATCTAGGATCTATTCCTAACAGTCTACTCCAATCCCACTTTAGTTTTCCACAATTTTAAATCTTAATAGTGAGAATTCAAATGAAAGTCATTTCATTTGACTATTCTGATGACATGATTGTGGCAGAATAAATTGGGTCTTAAAATGCCCTAGAAAATGGTAAATGATAAAAAATAATATTTTAAAATTCAACCAAAGAAATGGCCCATTGGCCAGGTGTGGTGGCTCACACCTGTAATCCCAGCACTTTTGGAGGCTGAGGCGGGTGGATCACCTGAGCTCACGAGTTTGAGACCAGCCTACCCAACATGGTAAAACCCCATCTCTACAAAAAATACAAAAAAAAAAAAAAAAAAAAAAATAGCACTGTGGGGAGTGCCTGTAATCCCAGCTACTCAGGAGGCTGAGGCAGGATAACTGCATGAACCCAGGAGATGGAGGTTACAGTGAGCCGAGATTGCACCACTTCACTCCAGTCTGGGCGACAGAGAAAGACTTTGTCTCAAAAAAAAAAAAAAAAATAAAAAGTAAATAAATAAATAAAATAAATGGCCCATTATAGGGGTTTTTATCTTTAACTTGCTATTTTTCCAGATCATGGTTCTGAAGACCCTGTGACACGTCCCAGTTCACCTACTGTCTTGTGAGTCAGAATATACAAATAACTTTTTGGTCCTGACTTTCCCCACCCCTACAGGATGGTGCCATGACAATGGTGTGAACTACAAGATTGGAGAGAAGTGGGACCGTCAGGGAGAAAATGGCCAGATGATGAGCTGCACATGTCTTGGGAACGGAAAAGGAGAATTCAAGTGTGACCCTCGTATGTCATCACAGATCATTTTTAGTGCCTTATTAAGCATTCTCACTTTCATTATCAGGCTGTAACTCTCATTCACAGAAATGATTGGAGACTTTAGGTCTCCTTGAGGAGTGAACAGTGGGTTTCTTAATCTTTTGATTTGGGAAAGTGGAGACAAGCTTCAAAAATGAGTCATGATTTAATGTTATTACAGGACACTTTAGCACTTGTCCAACCTGAGTATTTTGACCATTATCTGCAGTAAAATGCTACAAAGAAGCTTTATTGGTCTGTAGATTCAACTTTTAAAATATGATTTCCATCTTCCCGTTGGACCCTTTCCAGTGTATTAGGTCTAATTTTTGGAAGTGCCACCCTAAGATCTGTATAGCAGTACTGCTCTTAGGGATGATTCACATAAATATGTGGTGTTTGCGCTGTGATGATACAAATTTAGGACAGAAATAGAACCCACCCCTAGATCAAGTCTGCAGTATTGTTCTCAGCTTATGCGTGCATCTGTCTTGTGTCTATATGCAGATGAGGCAACGTGTTATGATGATGGGAAGACATACCACGTAGGAGAACAGTGGCAGAAGGAATATCTCGGTGCCATTTGCTCCTGCACATGCTTTGGAGGCCAGCGGGTAAGACTGGATGTGCCAGGCTCCCTACAAGTTAGATAAGATAAAGGGTGGGCTCCTGCAAGGATGTGTCGTACACACAGGAGGGGCAGAGACCCTTCGGAAGTATTAAAATACCACATTTCCTGTTGGCATACAACTGCTGACATAGAGCTCTAGAGCAGCTCTATGTCTACCTTACATGCCATTCATTCTTTCTATTACTCTTAGTAGAAAGAATGAATGAATGGCATGTAGAGTACCAAAAACACAAGTCTTGAGTCATTCTTAATAGCAACACCTGTCATTTATATGATGTTAGAATCATTTTCCTAAGCTCCCTAGCATGTCAGAGATACTATTTACACTGAAAAATAGTGAAGCAGAGATACTATTCAAATTAATTAGTGGTAAATAGAATGTGTTTCATTTCAGCCGGTTCTCCCCATCCTGGGCAGCCTGAGACCCTCCCCTCCCCTACTATTCTCAGGCTGCTTCTATTTTTCAGCAAAGTGTTAAGTGCAGTGTAGCTCTAGGCCTCCAACTCCATTCTGATGGACAGGTGTCCCATGGCAACGTTGTTAAATATTTTGAATAATATCTCAGATGTAAGAAAATGCCACTTCTTTTAACCTCTCTCTTGATTCAGAACAGATGCTTGTTATAGGTCTAGCACTGTGCTAAGTAGTATAGGAAAAACAGAGGAAATGAGAAATGGCTTGGCTCTTAATGATATAGTTGAAGATGTTAAATTAGCATACATTTCAAAGTCAAGCTAATTAAGTTCTAAGTGGGTCTGACAAATACAGTTCTGGGTAGGCTGGAATTAGCAAGAAAGAGAAGCATGAACTGGCTGAGGTTTACGATGACTAAGGTTTAGTTGGGAGGGGAGAAAGCAGAGAGACACACCCCCTGGGATAGAAAGGAGCTGGCCCAGGTGGGCTTTGGTGAGCCAACCCTCTGCCTGCTGTCTTCTGGTAAGAAAATAGATGGGAAGAAGTGGCTTATGGAGGGCCTTGGCAACCCATTATTTAAGCCAGTACTTCTCAACCATTTCTAAAATATGCCCAGTATAACAAAAAATAATAAGCCTTTCTCTAATATGATTTCAAATTTCAAAATGAAATTATGTGTAACTCAAAAGCAATGGAATGTGACAGCCCTTTGTTTTCAACGAAGACATGCCCTCCCAGCAACTCCCCAAATCCTGGTGGGTGAGGGGCATGCTTCACACTCAAGGGTGAGACTCATTGGTTAATGCCAAATGCATTAACCAATTACAGGTATCCAAGATGCAAAGAAACATGATGGAAAATAGTCTTTGGGAAAATTAATCTGGCAGCAGGGGTGTTCAGGGGCCTGTCTTGGCTCCACCAGGGGCAGCCCATGGAAACTACTATGATCTTGTTTCACCCCCAGTGATTACATGGGGAGGGAGGTGCTCCCAATTCTGATGGAGGAGAATTGGAGATTGGAATTTAGATTGAATTCAGTATCTCTCTCTGTCTCTCTCTCTCTCTCTCTCCCATTAACACTTACAACGACTGTGATTGTATGACCTTAGAACTCAGTCATTCTGGTATGAAATTGTGTGATGGAGAATGAATTTGCTGGGAAGTTGATTTTGGTCTCACTTCAGCATCTTCTCATTATTTATGCACATGAAACCTTTCATGTGCGACACTTATTCTATTCTCAAGTGCTAAATGAAACATTTAAGACAGGAGTGGAAACTGTTCACTTTCTCATATGAAAGCAAGATTCAGTGATTCTGTAAGGAGGTAGTCACTGGTATTGTGTTAGGTATTAAGGGGCATATGTGCTTAAACAGAGAAATATGTCTAAAATATTTAAATTCTAATATAAAAAAGAAAGTGACTGTATTATTTAGGGCTGCATTTTAGTTGTAAGAAAAAAGTCCAACTCAAGCAAAAATGGCCCACACAATGGAACAGTCCCAGGACCCACCGGCTTCAGGGGCTGCTCCAGCAATGGCGCCCGGACTCCCTCTTGCTCCGCGTGCCTTCCCATGCACTGGCTTCGTGCTTCAGCGGGGTCTCTGCTGATGGTGCCATTGATGACTGACCTCCATGAGCTTGCTTTACCCCCTGCCAGCTTAAGAACAGTAGTGAAAGAGAACATGTGTGTCCTCCCATTTCCAGTAAAAACTTCAGGCAGGAGCCTCACTGGCTCAGCTTGGTCCCGTTTCCATCTCCCATGCCATCTCCGGCCAGGTGACAGGCTACCATGTCACTGCCTAGGGAAGTTTAGGAAGAGAGTGGCAAAGTGGTGCATTAGAAAGAACATGGCCAGGTCACCCCACCTCCTGGGCGGCAGGCCCAACTCCACCAGTGGTCCACTGTGTGACTTCCCTGCTCCCTCTAAGCAAGTCACTCCTCTCCTCTGGGTCTCTGTTTCCTTACCTATAAAATGAGAACGTTTCTTCATGTGATCTCAAGTCCCTTTTAAAATCGCTAGGATTCTTTGAAAACCTTTTCTATCATCTAGTGCAGAGAACTTGTTGAGGAAGTTGGGATTGGAATGAGCCTCAGCAGATGGGCAAGGTTTGAATAGGAAGAGAAGAGACATTTCAGGAGAAAGAAACAACATAGAGAGACAGATGTAGGTATAAGATATGGTAATAAGCCAAAATGTATTAAGAGTTATAAATGCATGAAATCATCATCAAAGCTTGCTTAGTGATTAACTGCTTATATTTTGCCAGTGCATATGATGTGACATTTTTCTTTAACTCAAACACTAAATTACGATGTCCTCAGGTTATCATAAACCCCATTTGACTTCATGCCTCTACTCTCTCAGGGCTGGCGCTGTGACAACTGCCGCAGACCTGGGGGTGAACCCAGTCCCGAAGGCACTACTGGCCAGTCCTACAACCAGTATTCTCAGAGATACCATCAGAGAACAAACACTGTAAGTGCATTAGCAGCACAAGTGTGTTCCCTCATACTAGACAGTCTCTTTCTACAGGTATCTTTCTTCAGAATGAACCAAGTGTTTTAATTAATTAAAAAAAAAAACAACTCATAAATGACTTAAGTGAAACACTGTATTCCATAATATAGTTTAAGTTATAATTTATGTAACTCTTGAACATCTCCTATTGCCCAGTATGCTGCTAGGTTCTTGAAACTAGGAAGAAATATTATCCTATCTATAAGCAGCTGTCATGAGTCCCCACCTCCCCGCATTTTTTTTTCTGTACACTTTACAGTATTTGCCACTAATTTTTTTTTCCTTCTTCCTTTTTAACAGAATGTTAATTGCCCAATTGAGTGCTTCATGCCTTTAGATGTACAGGCTGACAGAGAAGATTCCCGAGAGTAAATCATCTTTCCAATCCAGAGGAACAAGCATGTCTCTCTGCCAAGATCCATCTAAACTGGAGTGATGTTAGCAGACCCAGCTTAGAGTTCTTCTTTCTTTCTTAAGCCCTTTGCTCTGGAGGAAGTTCTCCAGCTTCAGCTCAACTCACAGCTTCTCCAAGCATCACCCTGGGAGTTTCCTGAGGGTTTTCTCATAAATGAGGGCTGCACATTGCCTGTTCTGCTTCGAAGTATTCAATACCGCTCAGTATTTTAAATGAAGTGATTCTAAGATTTGGTTTGGGATCAATAGGAAAGCATATGCAGCCAACCAAGATGCAAATGTTTTGAAATGATATGACCAAAATTTTAAGTAGGAAAGTCACCCAAACACTTCTGCTTTCACTTAAGTGTCTGGCCCGCAATACTGTAGGAACAAGCATGATCTTGTTACTGTGATATTTTAAATATCCACAGTACTCACTTTTTCCAAATGATCCTAGTAATTGCCTAGAAATATCTTTCTCTTACCTGTTATTTATCAATTTTTCCCAGTATTTTTATACGGAAAAAATTGTATTGAAAACACTTAGTATGCAGTTGATAAGAGGAATTTGGTATAATTATGGTGGGTGATTATTTTTTATACTGTATGTGCCAAAGCTTTACTACTGTGGAAAGACAACTGTTTTAATAAAAGATTTACATTCCACAACTTGAAGTTCATCTATTTGATATAAGACACCTTCGGGGGAAATAATTCCTGTGAATATTCTTTTTCAATTCAGCAAACATTTGAAAATCTATGATGTGCAAGTCTAATTGTTGATTTCAGTACAAGATTTTCTAAATCAGTTGCTACAAAAACTGATTGGTTTTTGTCACTTCATCTCTTCACTAATGGAGATAGCTTTACACTTTCTGCTTTAATAGATTTAAGTGGACCCCAATATTTATTAAAATTGCTAGTTTACCGTTCAGAAGTATAATAGAAATAATCTTTAGTTGCTCTTTTCTAACCATTGTAATTCTTCCCTTCTTCCCTCCACCTTTCCTTCATTGAATAAACCTCTGTTCAAAGAGATTGCCTGCAAGGGAAATAAAAATGACTAAGATATTAAAAGTATTTGAATAGTATAATATGGAGGAGTTTTATCTTAGGGAAACCCCATGGTATGATAACCCCCATCTAACATGTCTTACTTTGGGTCAGCTGACACTTTTGGCATGGCTTGATAAACTCCCAGCTAAACAGTTTGTTTACTCCTGATCTGTAAAGGTCATTTCTTTTTCAATTTAACATTGAGGAAACAAACTTTGGGATTAAATTTGACATTCAGGCCAGGCGCAGTGGCTCACACCTCTAATCCCAGCACTTTGGGAGGCTGAGGCAGGTGGATCACCTGAGGTCAGGAGTTTGAGACCAGCCTGGCCAACATGGTGAAACCTTGTCTCTATTAAAAATACAAATGTTACCAGGCATGGCAGTGGGCGTCTTTGGTCCCGGCTACTCAGAAGGCTGAGGTAGGAGAATGGCTTGAACCCAGAAGGCGGAGGTTGCAGTGAGCTGAGATTGTGCCATTGAACTCCAGCATGGGGGACAGAGCAAGACTCCATCCCAAAAAACATAAATAAATAAATGTGACATTCAGAATAGTAAATAGTGGAAATGGAAATAATTATTAGTAAAAAATTAGTAGTTCATAATAAACAAGACATGCAAAGCACTTTTTAAATATACTAATGTACAATGAAAGAAGGTATTTCAATAAACACCTGGCAAAGAATATTAAAACTAAATACAGAAAGATACTTCCTCATGTTCATTTGAAAAAAAAAAATACTAACTCCCATTTGAATTGATTTACAGTTTATAAAATGCTTTGACATTTAGCTATCTCATTTAGGGGAGGTTTTAGAGCTTAATTTTACAGGGCATGAAGCTCAGATGAGGTTTCCTTAGCGAAATACAGACCCAGCCCCTGGACTTCTATTTATTACTGATCTTTAAGCTTTATCAGCCCAATAGTCACCAAGAGAGCTGCTCTGTATGTTTTTTAAAAATCACAGAAAGTACAAAATAAAGGTGATATTAAACGACTGTCTCACATATGTCGGTCATCACTGCACCCTGGAGAGAGAACGTCATCTCGATGCCAATCTACACACTGTGGGAAGGGACAACCCCCTGAGACACATGTGCTGCAAAAAGTAAGCTGATGCTTCCATATTCATAGGTGAGCTGGTAAAGCAGGCCCTTCATCTGAATCTTGCTTAAAGCCTTGATATCTAAAAACATAAGGAAAGAGCAGCTTTAGGTTGAGACTGATGATGCTTCAAACCACTTGCCTAACTACAAACCTAAAAATATTTACCCTAAAATGCAGTGTAAGGGCCGGGAAGGGTGGTTCACACCTGTAATCCCAGTACTTTGAGGCGCCGAGGTGGGAGGGTTGCTTGAGCTCGGGAGTTCAAGGCCAGTCTGGGTAACATAGCGAGACCCCTGTCTCTACAAAAAATAAAACAATTAGCCAGGCATGGTGGCACATGCCTGTGGTCCCCATAACTCGGGAGACTGAGACAGGAGAATCGTTTGAACCCAGGAGGCGGAGGTTGCAGCGAGTCAAGATTGTGCTATTGCACTCCAGCATGGGCGACAGAGTGAGACTTCGTCTCAAAAATAAAAAATTTAAAAAATGCAGTTTAGGCAAATACAGTTGGACTGTATTAACTAAATGGATAGCAAGCCCCTTTACTTTTATGTTGAAATGTAAAAAACCTCAAGTTCCCCACTTAAGGTCAGGAAAAATGCCACCTTTTCCAAAATGTCTGTTGGATTCTCCAAAGTGATACATTAAATTTATGAAGTAAACGAATAGCAAATTAAACACATTTACAAGGCCTTTTCTTTTAGCATCACAATGCAAGAATGATGAAACTTTCTTTTGTACTGATCATTTCTCAGCAAATAGCATAGTATAGAGTTTTGTCTTGGGGAAACCCCATTGTATGATAACCCCAATCTAATGTGTCTTACTTTGTGTCAGCTGACACTTTTAGCATGGCTTGATAAGCTCCCAGCTAAACAGTTTGTTTACTCCTGATCTCAAACAGGAGAACCAACTATTTCCAAAGATCTTTTGCCGTTTTTATTGATTCAGGTTATTGCTTCCCCCGAGAATTGTTTTAAGCGGGCAAGATTGAAAAGGCATTACTAAAAGAAAAATCTATATTTAGGCAAGAAATCAACAATGCAAGAAAAATTAGGTAAAACTAGTAAATGTTAATCAGACTTTAAAAAGAAATATCATCGTTTTAAAGTTTTACATTGCCTTGCTACACTTGATTTGTAATAAAATGTTACATTTTATATTGTTTTCAGCTCTAATAATCTAAGTGAATTATGCAAATAAGTCTGTATAATAACATCACTATACACCTGTAGGGCACCCTTTCTATGGAGGTGAATAAAGAAATGATCAGGGGGAAATTACAAGTACAGGAAATGACTTTTCTATTTAATTATATTTCCATTGAAACTTCTATTCCATTTCTAGTGGTATGAAACTCATTAAAGTGATTAAGAAACATCACATCAGCACATTTAAGTGCTCAAATTGCTTCCTATTTAGTAAGTTCCCATTACTGTGATAGGGAATGTGGCAGGTTACAATTAAAAAATCCCATTTTCAAGGGAGACAATTCAACTCTTAAGAAAAAAAAAAAAAGACCGCTGTTGGGACTTCCCATGTTTGGAAACATTTAAAGATTACCATTAAGGCTGATAAAGCAGAAGAAACACAAAGATGACCTTGCAGAAACTAAGGAAGTTTTTTCAAAATACTTGAAATGCACGTTGTTTTCATTATCACATCGTCTCACTCCATATCCTCATTAAAATAAAAGATTCAACTTGAATTGCAAACAGAAACCTATATAAATTACAAATGAAGAAAAGATGTAATAAAAGAGCAAGAGAAACAGGGCTTCAGCCGAAAGTCCCAAATGGGAAATTCCTTTTTTAACATTCCTCAGTAGAGTCAGGTATGAGATATTAAAGCATGTTTTACATTTCCTTGAATTCCTTTTTACTTACTCTTTAGAGACATACAGGTTTTAACAATCTCAGGAGCCAAATTTATCTCTAAAACAGCTCATGTGGAGCCCCCAAAGGATTGAAACTAGCATTGGTTGAAGCTGTACGAGGCAGCCAGCCCAGAATGATGGACTGGGGCTGGCGTCAAGTGCCCTGAAGCTACCCAGCAGAGCAGGCTCCCTTAGGCAAGATACATCAAAGGCCAAGGAGTCTCCCATTGGGCCCTTTGCAACTTGGTACTTTGTAAATGGCCATTTCATTCTAGAATGAAGCACTGCCTTTGCCAGGAGACTGCTGGACAAGACTTTACAATGAAACATGCCCATCTCTGTAATTCAGCTTCAGATGTAAGATGCTGAGCCAAGTGCTGGAAAGCTATTTTTGACTCAAAAATGTACGGCGATGGTGGAGCAACTGGAACCCTCATTCATCGCTGGTGGAAATGTAAAACGGTGCGGCTGCTGTGGGAAACAGCCTGGCAGCTCTTCAAAACGTTAAACAGTTACCATACGACTTCACAGTTCCATTCCTAGATATATACTCGAGAGAACAGAAAACATATGTTCACACAAAAACTTGCACACAGATGTTCATAGCAGCATCATTCATAGTAGCCAAACACGGAAACAACCCAATGTCCATCGACTAATGAATGGATCAACAAAATGTGGTATATCCATATAATGAAATATCTGACCATAAAAGGAATGTACATGCTGCAATATAAACCTTTAAAATATTATGCTAAGTTGAAGCCAGACACGAAAGAGCACATATTATGTGATCCAATTTAGGCAAAATGTCCAGAATGGGCAAATCCATAGAAACAAAAGGTAGATTTATGGTTGCCAGGGGCTGGGGCGAAGGGGAAATGGACAGTGATGGCTAAGAGTTAACTTTTGGGGTGATGAAAATTTTATGGAACTAGATAATGGTGATTGTTGCACAATTGTGTGAATATACTGAAAACTGCTGAACAATACGCTTTAAAATGGTTAAGATGGTGAATTTTACGTTACATAAATTTTATCTTAAAAAATGCCACTTCAGTTATAGAAAATCTAATTTTTGCTCCTTCATGAGGAAGAGATGTGGGGTAAGAGTAGATGAAGGCTGAAGGAACTCAGAAACTTTGTGGCTACCAATTTGGAACCTGAAACAAAATTATCCATAAATAGACATCATTTTTCATAGTAATTTCCATAGGTTATCTTCCACTAGTTCCTATGCTTCCATATACACAAAAGCATTATGAAAAGAATAATCAGCATCTTTTTGAAACAGTATTTATCGTGACTCAGGTGGTATTTTAAGTGCCCGCAATATTTTGTCTCATTTGCTCTTCAGAGCAACTCTAAGACGTCAGTATTGTTCTCATCTCATTCTACAAATTGAAAGTGCGGGAAAGGCAATGTGAATCACTAAACATCACATAGCTTGTAAGTAGGAGAACTGGGACTCGAACCTGATAGACTAGCACCAGAATATGTGCTTTCAGCCAGAAGCTATTCAGCCTTTTGGAGGAGTGAATCCATCCCCATTTTACAGAAGAATCAAACTCCAAGAGGGTTAAGCTATGTGCCCAAGATTGCCCACCTACTGACTGGCAAAACAAGGTACTGATTATCCTAAGAGGCACAAAGACAATTTCCTCGAGGGAAAGATGGAGCCGTAATCAAGCACAGGAATGTGGGGGCCTTCTAGCAAAATCTCCTTCTTGACCTGGTTGGTGGTGACACAGGTGTTTGCATAAAAATTATACTTTAAATGGTAAAAGTTTCATGCACTTTTCTATATGCCTACTTCATTACAATTTCTTTTAAAGATAAATTTGTGCCTGGCACAGTGTTTGGCAAAAATAAGGTATAAAAATGTCCATGAATGGAAAGCACTGCGAGCTTAAAGACCTGCAGGGTTCTGTGCTCTGAGGAAGGGACATAGGCTGGGCTTTAGAAAGGTGGCCTGGAGAGAAGCAGGTGTCAAAGGGCAAGGCAACGGGAGGAAGAATGGAGGATCCCTTTCATGGACTGTTTTCTCCCTGTGCCCAGGGGATCCCCCAATAGAAATACACTCAGTATTGGTCAGGACGTTGTTACATTATGGATCTTCTGTCCTTCTGCTGGAAACAACAGACATAAGATCATTATGCATTTCACTTAAACACCAGTGAAACTCCACTCTTGACGTTTCGAATGATTGAATTATACTAGACATATATATGTTAATGGGGTTCCAGTGCCAGACCCTCCCAAAGTGCTCAACTTCCTTGGTTACTGGCTACCTCCACCAAGATTAACTTGAGTACATATAAAGGAAAACACCACCTCACAGAGCAAAATATGAGGAACCCAGGAGTAAGCTTGCATGTGAGGGGTGGCACTTTGGCTTAAGGCAGGACACTGCTTTTTTTGGCATAACACAGGGAAGTGAGACAGTAAAATGAGAAAGGAGCTGTTGACAGCCCTAAACTGAGTCGTTTTCCAGAGTGAAGAATGGTTGCTCTTATTGCTTGGGTGCTCCTCCCCGGGGTTCATTCAATCCTGTCCTTCATGAACCCCTTGGGGCTGGCGAGGAGTGCATCAGCTGGGCTGTCTCAAGCACACGCTGCTGGGTAGCCAATGTTAGTCAGGGAAAATGAGCTCACAGGCCAACATACCACAACACTTGAGTAAAGAGACTTTAAAAGAATAGTAACATACTAGATTACAGATCCTAACAGAAGTAGAAATAGTAAAACAAAGCTAGAAAGATGATACCAACAATTGGAAAAGAAAACCAGAAATATTTGAAGGGAAAAATAAAACTCCTGAAATAAAGGGCTCAATAGACAGGACACACAGCAGAATGGATACATTGTAGGAATTCATGAGAAAATTAGAAGACCAGACTAAAGAAATCTCCTGGAGGGACGAATAAAGAAAATGAAATATAAAATATAAAAGAAAGGCTAAGAGATATAGGAATTGCTTAGAAATGCTAACATTTGGATAAAAAACAGAAGAAATGGGAGAGAGGAAATATTAGCACAAAGAACAGAAATAAATTTCCTAGAATGAAAAACCCAGAGTGCCAACAAAGGGAAATACAAATAACACCCACACCTAAACACATTATAGAAGCTTGAAAATACCCAGGAAAAAATTAGTTTCCTGAGAAGGCATGGTGGCTCACACCTGTAATCCCAGCACTTTGGGAGGCTGAGGCGGGTAAATCACCTGAGGCCAGGAGTTCAAGACCAGCCTGGACAACATGGTGAAACCCTCATCTCTACTAAAAATACAAAAATTGGCCGGGTGTGGTGGTGCACACCTGTGGTCCCCAGCTACTCGGGAGGCTGAGGCATGAGAATCGCTTGAACCATGGAGGCAGAGGCTGTGGTGAGTGGAGATCACACCACTGCACTCCAGCCTGGGCATCGGCAACAGGGAACGACTCTGTCTCAAAAAAAAAGTTTCCTGACAAGGAACAAGAACCAGATTGACATCAGATTTTAAATAAACAATGGATGCAATAAAAAACCAAACAGTGTTTTCAAAGTATTAAAGAATTTAAAACCCAGAATTGTAAGCATAGCCAAAATGAATTCAAATATACAAGCATGATAAAAATATCCTTAGTTGGCCAGGTGCAGTGGCTCATGCCTGTAATCCCAGCACTTTGGAAGGCCGAGGCGGGCAGATCACTTGAGGTCAGGAGTTCGAGACCAGCCTGGCTAACATTCTGAAACCCCATCTCTACTAAAAGTACAAAAATTAGCTGGGTGTGGTGGCGTGCACCTATAATCCCAGCTACTCAAGAGGTTGAGGCAGGAGAATCAATTGAACCTGGGAGGTGGAGGTTGCAGTGAGCTGAGAGCATGCCATTGCACTCCAGCCTGGGCCACATGAATGAAAATCTGTCTCAAAAAACAAAACAACAACAACAACAACAAAACCTTAGACATGTAAGATCTCAGAAGCTTCATCACACAGACACTGCACACAGTTAACACAAGAGGAGAAACTGGAGGCACTGCAATAGATAGATGAAGTGAAGGTAAACACAAACCTTAGAAAGTCTGGTCTTAAAAAATAGGCTAAGTGAAAATGTGACCCCAAGTCCAGGAATCAACAGGAGTTTGGAATGGGGTGGGGTAGGTAGGGGTGATGGGGGAGAAACTGGGAGTTAAAGCTTTTAGCTTATTAGGGGGGAAATACAACCGTACATTCAAAACAATGTCAAGGAAGGAAATAAAAGTGGGTCAAACTTTACAGGATAGTAAAAATAGGCCTCAAATGTATCAATAATTGAATACAAATAGGCTGAGCGCAAAGGGAAAGGTTCACAAAATGCATTAAAGAAAACTCAAAACCAAAAGCAATAATAACTTTAAACATGGTCCGTGTTTTTAACCTCAAATATATAGGAAGTGAACATTTATAAACCTGCAGGAAGAAATTGGAAAACTCATCCTCATGGAGGGAAGTCTCAAAACCTTTTTCTAAATTCTCAACAAATCAAACTAAAAAAATTTACATAACTACGGCTATCAATGTGTAAGAAAGGAGCAGAGGCACAAATTAAACGACATCACAGGAATGCAAGGGCACAGCCCAGCACGTGGGAACTATGAGACCAAAAATCTTCAGTCAATCGACTGCAAGAAAAAAATCTAAAGAGGAGAAACCAGGTGTTGAAGATACTTGAGACATGCCAATCAAATGCAATGATGTACCAGGCTTGGGTTGCACAATCAAAAAACTGAAAGAAAAAAAAAATTAGCCATTGGGAGAGATCTAAAGGTGACTGGGTATTTGATATTCAAAATGACTTATCCTTTTAGTATGATACTTGAATGTGGTTATATACTTTTTAAAATAGGCTTTTTATTTTCTAATAGTTTAATTTTTTTTTTTTCTTGAGATGGAGTCTTGCTCTGTTGCCCAGGCTGAAGTGCAGTGGAGTGATCTCAGCTCACTGCAAGCTCTGCCTCCCAGGTTCAAGCAATTCTCCTGCCTCAGCCTCCCAAGTAGGTGGAATTACAGGCAGACACCACCACACCTGGCTAATTTTTGTAATTTTAGTAGAGACGGGGTTTCACTATGTTGGCCAGGCTGGTCTCGAACTCCTGACCTCAGGTGATCCACCCACCTCGGCCTCCCAAAGTGCTGGGATTACAGGTGTGAACCACCATGCCCGGCCTATTTTCTGAGTTTTAGATTTATAGAAAAAATTGTGAGGATACATCACACCTAATTTCCCCTTTTATTAGTATTTTACATTAGCATGGTACATTTATTACAATTAGTGAACCAATATTGATACATATTAACTAAACACTTTAGATTTTCTTAGTTTTTACCTAATGTCCTTTTTTTGTTCCAGGATGCTATCCAGGACACCACACTGCATTTACTCACCACATCTCCTTAGGCCCTTCTAGGCATGAAAGTTTCTCATGCTTCTCTTTTTGATGATCTTGACAGTAGGAAGGTATTTTGTAAAGTCCTTCGGCTAGGTTATATCTGATGTTTTTCTCATGATTAAGCTGAGAGTACAGGGTTTTGGAAAGAAGACCAAAAAGGTAAAGTGCTATTCTCCTATTTTGAGGTATTTCCTAGCAACATGACACTATTGACGTTGACCTTGATCATCTGGCTGAGAAAGTGTCAGTTTTCTCCACTGTAGTTACTATTTTATTCCCATTTCTATACTCTCCTCTTTGAAAGCAAGTCACTGTGTACAGGCCACACTTAAGGACTGGGAGTTATACCCCTCAGTAGAGTATTGATGTAAATTACCTAGAATTCTTCTGCATGGGAGTTGCATATTCTCCACTTATTTATTCTTCATCTATGTGAAGAATACTACAAACAGGAGCCACCATGCCCAGCTAATTAAAATTTTCTCTTTTTTTAGAGATGAGGATGTCGCTATGTTGCCCAGGCTGGTCTTGAACTCCTGGCCTCAAGCAATCCTCCCAAAGTGCTGGGATTATAGACAGGAGACACAGTGCTCAGCCTGTTCCCATTATCATACCCTTAATGTTAACCTTTGGTCAAGCCAAAGAACCATGAAAAAGACAACACACACTTAATTTACAAGCCAAAATCTGTATTAGCTATTTACTGCTACATAATTACCCCAGAACTTTGTGGCTTAACAACAGTATGCATCTCTCTGTATCTGTGGGTCAGGAATTCAAGAGCTCTTTTGGGCAGTTCTGGCTCAGGTCTCTGAAGAGGTTGAAGCCAGATGTTGCCTGGGACTGAAGCTGGAGGATCCACCTCTGAGATGGCTCACTCATGTGGCTGGCAACTAGTGTAAGCAAGATGGCGTCTCTCCTTGTGGAGGGCTGCTTAACTCTTACAACGTGGTCTTGGCTTATCCCAGAGGAAGTAATCCAAGAAACTAAGGCTGAAGTTGCAATGTATTAGGACCTAGCCTCAAAAGTCTTATTTTTTCTGCAGTATTTTACTGATCACACAAGTCAGCCTTGTTTCAATGTGGGCAGGTCCTAGGCCAGGGCTGGAAGATTAGCTTAACCAGAAATAACTTAGAAAGATGACCATTAAGAAAAAACTTCAGAAATTTTTATTTAGCAAGGGGATAAGTTAAAGACTTGGGAAGAGGGTAGGACTCATTGGTAAAGGTGAACAATGGCAAAGGGTTTTAGTTGAACACAGGTGCAATGCACGGGAATGGTCAGGAGCACACAGGCAGGACACACAGATGCACAGGTCTGTCCTGATGAAGGAAGGCACTGCCCTCCCACTGTGCCCACTGTAGTGATTAAGCCTGTAATTGGAATATTGGGTACAATTTCTGAGCACCAAATATTGACTACATTTTTATGCAGCTCCAGAGGGTGAATCTCGGGCTGCTGAAATTCTGGGAAACATTTCACTTAGCACTGAGAAAAATATACATCAGATTATCCATAGAGGGGGTCAACAAGACTTAAACCAATCCCCTCTAAGGTTCCAGTTCACAGGTGCCAATCTGCTGTTTGTTTGGAAAGTAGACAACCAAGCTTCTCAGAAGTGTGATTAAAAATAAATGGCATGAGGGCCGGGCACGGTGGCTCACGCCCGTAATCCCAGCACTTTGGGAGGCCAGGGCGGGTGGATCATGAGGTCAAGAGTTCGAGACCAGCCTGACCAACATGGTGAAACCCTGTCTCTACTAAATACAAAAATTAGCCAGGCATGGTGGCACATGCCTGTAGTCCCAGCTACTCAGGAGACTGAGGCAGGAGAATCGCTTGAACCCGGGAGGCGGAGGTTGCAGTGAGCCAAGACGGTGCCACGGACTCTAGCCTGAGTGACAGAGCTATTTTTTTGAGACTCCCTCTCAAAATAACAAATTAAAAAAATGAAAAACAAACAAACAAAAACGGCATGAGAAGACTCCCCTAGGAGGCAACATGGACCTTTAATATACAACTCCCATGCAGAAGAATTCTAGGTAATTTACATCAATACTCCACCTTTAAGATGGGTATAACTCCCAGTCCTTAAGTGTGGCCTGTACACAGTGACTTGTGCCATGTCCTCTGGCTGCTCAGCTCGTTTGGTTCCTGCTAATGTTTATGTTTCACACGGGCAGTGCTGTGGGATGGGCTGAGCTCCGGTAGGCAGGGGTGCTCTGGAATTCCTCATTTATGTGTTATGTGTCATGTGTCAGTTCAAAGAGCCTGCATCTTTAACATAAAACACAACTACCAAAAACTATGGATCCAGTGATTAAGAGATACTGTTTTATTTTTTTAAAAAGTTATCCTCAAAGTTTCAGGCGTGACTGTTCACCTACACATAAGCAAGCCAAAAAACAGTGTGTGGTAAAATCAGTGGTGGAAGAGCCGAAGGTTCGTATGAGCGAGGATGATTCCCAGTTCGTCGCAGGCCTCAATCACAACTTTGTCAGCAGCAGAACCGGAGGGAGCCGCAATGTACGCCACACCACTCTGGGGGAAGTATATTGATTTTCAAAACGCGATTTTATGTAAAAACCTGCAAAACTCAAAATCCCCCTCTAAAAAGCATATGCTAACAAAGATACACTCAGTCAAAAAGGCAAAATAACAACAGGATTTGGGTTCTCCATCCACCCAATGGAGAAGTCAAATGGTTCTCTGAATATTACTGATCTGTATCACTTTGCCACACCTTTTAAAAATCAAAAGCAGGATTTCTGAAACAGTTTCTACATAATGCTCAACTCTAAGCAAATGCACCCAATTCCATACTTACCCTTTTAGCTCTGTCTACGTTATCTCGGAAAGGGAAGAAGGCATCAGAGCTGATAGAAACTTCAGTCAGTTTCTCAACCCATTCCTTCTTCTCTGCCTCAGTGAGTAACTCAGGGACTTCCTCAAACAGTGCCTTCCACTTTATCAAATCTTCATCCTATGCGGGGAGAGAGAAAGGAAGAAGCTTGGTCTGACATCGTCTTTAGTTCTATGTGGTGCAAATCACCATGCCAGAAAGCACCTGGGCATTTTTCTTAGGACTTGTTTTTATTATTATTATTATTTTTTTTTTTTTAGACGGAGTTTTGCACTATCACCAGGCTGGAGTGCAGTGGTGCGATCTCGGCTCACCGCAACCTCCACCTCCCAGGTTCAAGCAATTCTCCTGCCTCAGCCTCCCAAGTACCTGGGACCACAAGTGCACACCACCACACCCAGCTAATTTTTGTATTTTTGGAGACAGAGTTTCACCATGTTGGCCAGGAGGGTCTCAATCTCTTGACCTCATGATCCACTCACCTCGGCCTCCCAAAGTGCTGGGATTATAGGCATGAGCCACCGCGCCCGGCCAGGATTTCTTAATTGTAAATAATGACCATTATTTACATGGAAGTTCACATATCTAGAATCTCTTTGATGCTTTTAGAAATATTTTCATTAAGGAAAAAAAGTGATTCTAAGTTTACCAAATAAAGATAATACCATTTTACTTTCCAAATCAGTTTATTCCAAGTACATATGTAATTTTTTTTATTTTTGGCTAAGCTACTTACATAAAAATACACTGTTTTAAAATCTCTAATTTAAATCTACTTCGTATCTACTACTTTATGTCTATTAGACTACCGTCTAATTTAAATCTACTGCTTTGGTACTACTGTAGCAAAGAAAGCAAATAAAAATTGTGTTCCAAGGGTTTTCAAAAAAACCCTCTATATCCAATCTAGGAAAGAGATGAGTAGTTCTTTAACTACATTTATACAAAAATTATTCTAAATGTAAAGGCAGTTGTAGACAAAACACAATTCATAATATTTGCTATGGTTTGAGTGTGTGTATCCACTCCAAAATTCATGTTGAAACTTAATCCCCAATGCAACAGTATTAAGAAGTATAAGGCCTTTAGAAAGTTATTGGGCAATGAGGGTGGGGCCCTCATGAATGGATTACAGACTTATAAAAGGGCTTCAGGGGAAGTATGCCCCTTCTGTGAAGTAAGGACACAGTGTTTGTCCTTTCCAGAGAGGGCTGTGCCATCTGGGAAGCAGAGGGTAGGCCTCCCCAGACTCTCAGCCCACCAGTACCTTGATCTGGGACTTCACAGCCTCCAGAACTATGAAAAATAAATGTCTATGGTTTATAAGTTACCCAGCCTGCAGTATTGTGTCATAGTGGCACAGACAGTTAATCATATTTTACAAGGTGCTTCTATCTTGGGTCATGTTTTAGCTTTGACATACTTTTATTCTTGTTCACTTCCAGGACTCTTTCAGGACTAGTAGCAGGGGTTGACTGGTAATATCAAACAGAAAAATCCAAGTATCAAAGTTGAAAAAAAAAAGATATCTTAAGGACTTCAGTTACATTCTGCAGCCTCACTCTTCAATGACACTTATGTTGATTCCTGCTCCTGAATAAAAAACTGAGGGTAGTCAATTGGCTCTTCAGAAGACCATCTAGTATTTGATTAGCAGCCTTCTGTTTTCCATCCAGCATTTTGTTAGGCACGCAATATGTCCAGAAACTGGGCTAGATCTTTTCTTCTGGCGGGCTACCTACCTAACGTTTGCGATTGTAATGTTCCCACATACCTTCTTCAAACAGAAGAACATGAAATGTAACAAAATGTATCAAGTTATTAATGGCACATGTAGAAAATGTGGTGGGAGAAGACCCCAGGGTTACCTGCCGTCAGGCAATTTGTATTTAATGTTGAATACAGACCCATCGGACAGCAAGCACCATGCATGACGTGGTGGCAGGCACCTCGACGTAGGTGAAAAGCAGTCCTTGTCATCAAAAGCTTATAATCAACAGGGGAAGTACAAATATACAAACCTACACCAAGGCTGCAATTTAAAAAGACAGAGGACTGTGGTTTCAGAAAGGGGTCAAAAACAATGAAGAAAGTTACATGAGACAGAAGAACATGAGAAATGTGTAAGAAGTTTCAATGATCAATTTTAGACAACATAGAATTTCAATGAAAGTATCTTTTTCTCTGTGTGGTGATGAAGTTAAAATCTGTTACACATAAAGGGTTGAACTGAATATTAACACAGCCGAGAACCCAATGCCAAGTCTTTCACCTCGCCAATGGTTCCAGTCACATATTGATCGATGGCATTGGAGATTTCTGCTCTCTTCACTCCTGTTTTAAACTTCATCGAAAGCACTTGTGGATGGTGTCTAAGCCACCAATAGTTTGCCTTATCTCCTGCAAGGCGAGTGCAGTGTATACGAGACTGCTGTCCTGCTCCAATGCCGATAACCTGAGGAACACAGACATTAAAGTGAACACCTCTTCCAAAGACACTTTCTTCTCAAAAGGATCTTTTGTGCACATTCTCCAAAACCTATTTATTAGTTTTGTGGAAGAACATATCAGGCCAAAATAAGAGAAATATAAATAATTTTTAAGTCATTAAAAGGGGTGGAGTAAGAGGTTTGTTTATAACTACTATTTATACCTCTTCAGTGATATGTGACATATGACTATTAATAATCTACAATTCAATAAAATTGATGGTTTGAGGTCAAAAAAAAAAAAAAGTTAAAATAAATGACCAATGCTGGGTGCACTGGCTCATGCCTGTAATCCCAGCACTTTGTGAGGTTAGGACAGAAGGATTGCTTGAGCTCAGGAGACCAGCCTGGGCAAGATGGCAACATCTCATCTCTACAAAAAATAAGAATTAAAAAATAGCTAGGGGTAGTGGCGCACACCTGCAGTCCCAGCTACTCAGGAGGCTGAAGTGGTAGGACCGCTTGAGGCCAGGAGTCGAAGGCTACAATGAGCTATGATCATGTCACTGTACTCTGGCCTGGGCAACAGAGCAAGACCCTGTCTCTATAAAAAATAAATAAATAAATAAATAAAACTAATGACCACAAAAATAACTATGGTTACTTGAAAGTCTTTTGTTTGCCCCAGTGTATAAATTACAGTTAAAATATCAACTCTCAGAAATTGAGATAAGGATCTGACATGGGTAGCTAAAAGTAGAAACAATTCCGCCAGGTACAAATGTTCTTCCTTCTTTCCTCTATTTCTATGGGTTGAATTCTAAGCAACAAGGACTTAAATGCACAGGTGTGTTTTCTGGTTTTAGTTCCTATAATGAACAGCCCCTAAGCTGTCTGCCCAACAGTCCATCTCTTTCTGAGCACAGCTGCTGGCAACCCTGCCCACAGCTACAAGAGAATAAAAGAGACCACAAATACCTGGGCAGCCGCCTCCTCCTCAACATCAGGAATGAAGCACTCATTCTACATGGACTTACAGAACTTCTTAGAACCTGACACCAGTAGACACAATCTCCCAGGAGTTTGTTACTACAGAGACTGGCAATCTGGGGTCTTCCAGGCCATAGGCTAATTCATATCCACCCACCTCCCTGTCACTTGTGGGCCAAATAATTTAACAAATGCCAAGAGATAAGCTCAGGACACCAGGTGAAGAAAAGGCTAGCAGAGACCTCAGAGATGAACCAGCTCCATCTTGTATTCTGAGGCTCGGGACACTAGGAAAGAAGTGTAATATCTTGCTTAACGTCACACAGTGAGAAATGTTTGGTATTTAATTGTGGCAGCGGTCACATACTGTGAAATTTGTGAAAACTGGTCAAACTGTACTTTAAAAAGGTGAATTCTACTGTATACAAATTATGCCTCAATGAACCTAACTTTTTAAAGATGAAGTTAACTCCTAGTCTAGCAGTCTTTCTACTCAGCAGATTCTTGATAAGACAACATAAGAAATAATGTGAAAATACCCTGCAGGCTGCAAAAATATAGGCTGGTGGGTGGCAGTACCGTAACTTACCTCCTCTTCCCTGGAAATAATACCAATGGGGGAAAAGGAAAGGAAATAATCCAGTTTTGTAACAGCTATTAGAGTCTCACTAATCCAAAATGTGCCAACCTATTCAAGGCAAGAAGCAGCACAACTACTTTGAGTACCTGGTTCCAAAGATATTTTCTGATCATCATTAGTTTTAACAGCCCACCAGGGTACTGAGGAAACACTGACAAACACAAAAGACAAACATTTGGCAAATATTCCCTTTCAAGCTGTCCAATATCTAAGGCAGACGGATGTTTAAATATCATTTCGTAAAACAACAGTCCCCCGAAGGCGAGTCCAACAGCCCACTTACCTGCCCGTTCTTGGCGTAGCACACAGAGTTAGACTGAGTGTACTTGACAGCAATGGTGGCTACGATGAGGTCTCGGAGGGCAGACTCTGGCAACTGAAACACATACACAATGGTAAATTGCATGGGGCCTTTTAAACTCATTTAACTTTAAGCTTCTTTTTTTAAATATTATTTTTTGTGGTTTTTTTGAGTCAGAGTCTCACTCTGTCTCCCAGGCACAATGGGACAATCTCCAACGGCACAATCTCGGCTCACTGTAACCTCCACCTCCCGGGTGCAAGAGATTCTCACACTTCAATTACAGGCGCATGCACCACCATGCCTGGCTAATTTTTGTATTTTTAGTAGAGATGGGGTTTCACCATGTTGGCCAGGCTGGTCTCGAACTCCTGAGCTCAAGTCATCTACGTGCCTCAGCCTCCCAGAGTGCCAGGATTACAACAGGTGTGAGCCACCACACCTGGCCAACTTTAAGTTTCTTAGTTCTATTTAATGTAAAAGACCTACAACATAGTTATACCACTCAAATGACAGAGGGAAATTAACTGTTCTCCTACACACTACCATGATTTACTTAAATATTTAACACATTTGGGGTGGAACTTAGCACAATGCATCCATAGACACAAACTCATGTTATTTTGTAGCAATTGTGGATTAAGCCTTTTTATATCACATGAGGTAAGAACTACCATATCCATTCCAAAACTGACAAACAATATTTTCTTGACCAGAGTACTTTTAAATATCTGGAGACATGGTAAAATTTACGTTCAGAACCAATGCGGAGAATTGTTTCATAGACATCACAAATCGTTATGATGCACACAGACAGCCAAGACTTTGGAAAAATCAAATTACGATCATTTTCTCTTTTGTTTAGAATAACTTAAGTTGAAACTGTTCAAAAACCATTAGGAATTACCAGTCCAAATAGAACAACAAGAATAACGCCCAAAAATATCACTATCTTTAGTATCAGGCATGAATACAAATGGAAAAGAAGGATGATAGTCCACGTCTGTATGCTAAATGGACAGAGGATATTTGCTACAGCCAACAGATAAGTTGATAAATTTGACTTCAGTAAAATTAAGAACTTTTCCTCTGTAAAAGATTCCTCATTAAAGAGGATGAAAAGACAAGCTACGAACTAGGAGAAAATTATTAACAAACCTCATATCCAACAACAAACTAGCACCTAAAACATAAAAAAACTTTAAAAACTCTGTAACAGGACAGGCGCAGTGGCACATGCCTGTAATCCTAGCACTTTGGGAGGCCAAGGCGGGTGGACCACCTGAGGTCAGAAGTTCCAGGCCAGCCTGACCAACATGGTGAACCCCATCTCTACTAAAAATATAAAAATTTGCCAGGTGTGGTGGCGCATTCCTGTAATCCCAGCTACTTGGGAAGCTGAGACAGGAGAACCACTTGAACCCGGGTGGTGGAGGCTGCAGTGAGACAAGATCATGCCACTGCACTCCAGTCTAGGTGACAGAGCGAGACTTCATCTCAAAACAAAACAAAAAAACTCAGTAACAATCAAAAATTTAATTAGAAAATGGGCAAAAGACAGACATTTTCACCAAAAAGGATACACATGTAGCAAATAAGTACACAAAAAAATGTTCAACATCATGAGCTATTATGCAAATTAAAATCAGTGAGAGATTGCTACACAACTATCCCATGTCTTTAAAAAAAAAAAAAAAGTAGCAATACCAAAAGCTAGTAAGGATGCAGAGACATTGGATCACTCATCCATTGCTGGTGGGAATACAAAATGGTACAAGCCACTCTGGAAAACAATTCAGCAGTTTCTTAGTAAACTAAACATGCAACTACCATACCACAAAGCAGTTAACAACCCTGGGCATTTATCAAAGAGAAATAAAAACTTACGTTTAGGCTGGGCACAGTGGCTCATGCCTGTAATCCCAGGCGGGTAGATCACCTGAGTCAGGAGTTCAAGACCAGCCTGACCAACATGGTGAAACCCCGTCTCTACTGAAAATACAAAGATTAGCCAGGTGTGGTGCCGCATGCCTGTAATCCCAGCTCCCTGGGAGGCTGAGGCAGGAGAATCGCTTGAACCCGGGAGGCGGAGATTGCAGTGAGCCAAGACCGAGCCATTGCACTCCAGCCTGGACAACAGAGTTGGACCCTGTTTCCCCAAAAGACAAAAACCTTATGCTCACACAAACACACAAAAACTGTACATGAATGCACGATGAATGAAAATTATAGAAAGGAAAAACAGATTTGTGGTTGCCCAAGGGTAAGGAGAGGGTGGAAGCCATATCAAGTGAGCCCGGCTACAGAAGAACATGAGGGATCACTGCAGTGTTGGAAATGCCCTGTGTCTTCAACTGTTATCAATGTCAATGGCATGGTTGTGGAACTGTACTGTAGTGTGACAAATGCTAGCATTAGGAGAAATAGGGTAACGGTTACATGGGAACTCTTACAACTGTATATGAATCTACAACTTTTATCTCAAAATTAAAAAGTTTAATTTAAAAAAAGCTATTAGGATTTCTTAAGAATTTATTACTCTAAGGTATTATTAATGTTATATATCTTTTATCTTTATCTGCTATTTGAGTCATCAACTATAAATCTGATTCCTCTGGTTCCCAGAAAACTTAGTAGCAAAAGCCAGCTTCATAGATGTCTAGACCTTCAAAGATAATCTTGGTGATACGGTTTGGCTGTGTCCCCACCTAAATCTCACCCTGAATTATAATAATCCCCATGTGTCAACAGGCAGGACTAGGTGGAGGTAACTGGATCATGGGGGCAGTTTCCCCCATGTAGTTCTCATGACAATGAATGAGTCTCATGAGATCTGACAGTAAGCGTCTGGCATTTCTCTCGCTTGCACTCATTCCCTCTCCTGCCGCCCTCTGAAGAGGTGCCTTCTGCCATGATTATAAGATTCCTGAGGCCTCCCCAACCGTGTGGAACTGTGAGTCAATTAAACCTCTTTTCTTTATAAATTGCCCAGTCTCAGGAATTTCTTCATAGCAGCGTGATAAAAACTAATACACTTGGCATCCTGGGTTGGGATCAAGGCATACGAGAAATGCCAGTGGACTGGGAGTAAGGGAATCCAGTCTTAGAAACATGCTACAAATAGTTAACACAATTAAAGCACTATTCAAGAAAAATGGGAGAAGAGGAAATAATTCAAACATGTTCAGTATTAATAAACATTCCATCCACCTGTCTGGCTCTCTCAGGACTGAAATGGTTCCAGACCTAATAATTCTGAGGCTGGAATGTTAACAAAAATCCACTTAAAAAGACGGGTAAAACAGAAAGGAGAACAAAGCTATCATTCTCTCATCCTTAAGTTTCCAAATTTCTACTAAGAATTCATATGAAGCAAGGAAAGAGTTTAGATAAACGATTAAGATCATACCTACCACTCTTATAAAAAATATCCAGAGGCACAAAACCTATCAAGATCACTAAATTATTAATGAATCCAATATCTACAAACCTTAGAAAAAAGACTCTCAGTAGCTAGGCACAATTCTCAACATGGTACCATGGAATCTAGGTCAATATCCATTCAGTATTTTTCAAAGTACATGAACCAACCAGAGTGGATTCCAAAGGGCTGAAAGATATTTCTATGTATAATGCCTACATGTTTCTTTACTTCAGGACACCATTAATTGTCAAAGATAGAAATGAAAGAATATCCATTAAATCAAACAAAAAAGATATGTTAATCGTCGTATGCTTATCAACAGACAGAACTCTCTGGATAAAGATTTTAAGGCTTATTTCCAGCAATTCTACTGAAAAGGCCTCAGGATTCAGACCTGGGAGCAAGCTGCAGCCCCTCATCTCCTTCTGTTACAGCAAATAGCTTAAGAGACCAATCCTCTTTTAGTAACAAACAGAAATGCTGGGCAGAGCGGACAGACAGCAAGTGCTAACAGACAAAGATCCCAGAGAAAATGGAAGCAGTAAGAAATGGGCCTGACAGTCTATGCTTTTCTCCTCAAGGCATTTTCCAAGTTGCATGCAATAAACTAAAGGTAAATTGGCTGAGCACAACTTTTGGCAGTCTTAGAGGACTAAGGGACAAAAGCCGAGTTCAGCGTACAGCAGTAGATACCTAGGGATTCAGGAGCAGGAATGAACCATGAACAGACCAGTCCTCACAAAGACTGAAGGCTAAATTCCTATTTAGCCTTTAGGAAGCTCAACAATTCCTGACAGAATGAAGATACCTCCTACACCTTATCTGCCCAAAAGAAGGACAAGTCAACTCTGGAGAGAAAAATAACACCATCCAGCCCTCAAAATATCGCTACAGTTTTTTCATACCCAATGCCTAGCACTCAATAAAAAATTCCAGGCTATCAGCCAGACAGACCAGAAAGCAATGGAATGATTCCTGCAAAGTACTGAACAACAAGCACAGCCTACTTTAGACCTAGGACAAACATCCTTCAAACTGAAGGCCCAATTAAGATACTCCAAAAAATAAATGTCAGCTTGTCCATTCTTTATTGTGTAACTCCGGTCAAATTTCTTAATTGTCCTTTATGGTACAATTTTGTGATCTTCACAATTGACACGATGGTAGTCACCCCCATAGAGTGACCTAAGTGTTAAATGAGATAATATATCCAAAACACAAAAATCACCATTATTATCCTAGGAACGTGTCCTTACTACAAGGTAACAAAGAGCACAAGCCCAAAAACTTGTCTATATAAAAACATTGATCATAGCACTGAAAATGTAAGCAATCTAAATATCCATCAGAAGATCCACGTTGCAGTGAGCTATGATCGCACCACTGCACTCCAGCCTGGGCAACAGAGCAAGCTTCAAAGGAATAAAAACATTCAAACAGAGCGAGCTTCAAAGGGATAAAAACATTCAAAAGTCTCTTAAAAAAAATAATAAAGGCTGGGCATGGTGGCTCACGCCTGTAACCCCAGCACTTTGGGAGGCTGAGGTGGGCAGATCACGAGGTTAGGAGATCGAGACCATCCTGGCTAACACAGTGAAACACCGTCTCTACTAAAAATACAAAAAAAATTAGCCAGGCGTTGTGGCGGGCGCCTGTAGTCCCAGCTACTTGGGAGGCTGAAGCAGGAGAATGGCGTGAACCCGGGAGGCGGAGCTTGCAGTGACCCGAGATCGCACCACTGCACTCCAGCCTGGGTGACAGAGCAAGACTCTGTCTCAGAAAAAATAAAATAAAAAAATAAATCAATCAATCAGGGTAAAAATAAGAACAATAAATATCCATCGTAGTACATCTACACATGGACTGACTGCCACATGGACTTTCAGATAAAGATATGAATATGCATTTATTTTCGAGATAGGATCTTGTTCTGTCACCCAGAGAGGAGTGCAGTGGCACAAACACGGCTCACTGCAGCCTTGATCTCCCAGACTCATGCAATCCTCTCACCTCAGCCTCTCGAGTAGCTGGACCTACAGGCGCAGCTACCACGCCAGGCTAATTTTTGTACTTTTTCTAGAGACAAGGTTTCACTACATGGTCAGGCTGGTCTTAAACTCCTGACCTCAAGAGAGCTGCCCCTTGGCCTACCAAAGTGTTGGGATTACAAATGTCAGCTACTGCACCCAGCATCTATATGTATTGATATAAAAACACATTTGTAGCCTAGCACATGGAAAAAAGCCAAGTTACAGGAGTCAGATTATGGAAGACATGATCCCATTTATACACAATTAAAGCTACTTATCTCTAGTGTGTACATATGCACAGAAGCTTCTAACATGGCCTTTGATTCATTTCTTAAACTCCAAAGCTTATGTGACAACTCAAAGATAAGCTAGCTAGCCGTGTGCATACAGACCAGTTCCAAATCCAGACCTTAATAAATGTAAAGCTCATTAAGTATTGAAAACAGACCAATGGAAGTTACTAGCAGTCAGTTCAGATACTTCCCAACTTACATCTTTATTTTTGGTAACAACATTGCTAAATAATGACTTGTCGACGACACCATTATTTCTCTTCTGGCTTAAATGAAGACCAAAGAGAGTTCGAACTTCATTTTCATCTGGTTTGTAAGATTGGTCCATCTAAAATACAAATTTTAAAAGTTAAAGTTAATCTCTCCACTTCCCTCAAATTTTTCATTTAATTTATATACAAAAGATTTCATTGTAAGTAAAGTTATATGCATGTTTCTAATTTTTTACAGTTTTCTAATTTTCTAATTTTTCTCACACAACAAATGATGTGTTAAATCATTCTGGTATGATACAATTCAACATTCTGGTATGATACAACAGCCAGGCGCTAATATTTTTCTCCAAAGTCTTTTATAGATTTTACTACCCAATAGTATTTTATAGATTTTACAACCTATATACAACATGTTAAAAAACAATGATTCCAGTGAGTGTATTTTTGGTTAAGTTACTACCTATATGGTTCTTTTGGAAGGTCAGCAGATAAAACAGATGTGCTAATTAAATAAGCAATGGCACAAAAATTAAATTCTAATTTTCCTTTCTAAAAATCTGTTACAAAATACCCAGCTAACCCAGGAATTGAAAGCTAAAAGTGAGAAAACAGGATTTGTAATCTGTGTCTTTGCTATTTGGAAGGAATTTGTATCATTTACTGCCATCTTCCTCTCCCAAATTTTGAGCCGAAAGAACATTAAGGTGTGTGGAACAATACGTGTAACACTACTCTCTCCCTGGATATTTTTTTAAACTTGACACTATTTCTTCTTTATGCTTTGGATGATCTTTGATTTAGAAAGCCCTGACATATAATTTATAAGCAAGACCCCGTAAATATTAGTTCTGTTTAATCTACATTTTCTTGAATTCTAAAATGTTCCTTTGTATTATGCACTATAAAATTTCTAAAATTGATATGCTCTCCTATTAACTGATGCTAGGAGAAACTTATCATTAGTCAGGTAGAGGGATAAGTTGTCTCATGCTTATAATCATGCGTCCAATGTGCAAACTAAGCCAAATTCTCAAATAAGTAAAATACCAATGAAGTCCTGATATTCCTTTGACACTCTCCAACTATCAGGTGTTAAAGAGATCAAGAAAATGACTCAGGTTTTGGAAAATATTTTCCATGATGCTACAAGAAAATGCTAATGGTTGTTAAGTACATAACACTCTTAACAACAACAACAAAAAAAAAACTTGATTAAGAAACTGGGGGCCAGGCGCGGTGGCTCACGCCTGTAATCCCAACACTTTGGGAGGCCGAGGCGGGCAGATCCCTTGAGGTCAGGAGTTTGAGACCAGCCTGGCCAACATGGTGAAACCCTGTCTCTACTAAAAATACAAAACTCAGCCAGGCCTGGTAGTACATGCCTGTAGTCCCAGGTACTTGGGAGGGTGAGGCAGGAAAATCGCTTGAACTCAGGAGGCAGAGGTTGCAGTGAGCCAAGATCACACCACTGCACTCTAGCCTGGGCAACAGACTGTCAAGTGGCTAAAAAAAAATAAGTATTAACTTTAATGTGGTATTCTCTTCTTTCCTTAAATAGCTGACATGGAATCTATGGTGAACTATAAAATTATTGGTATCTTACAATCAAAAGAATATACTTAATAACTTTCCTTGTAAGGAATTAGGATTCCACAGAGTTCTGATATCAATACTATGAAAAGTAGCATTAGGAATTTTTACTTTAAATTGAAATAACTCTTTGCTTTATCAATGCATAATCTTAGACCATGAGCTACTTTTCCCAATACAGAAGAGCTCATAAAAATCAGTTAAAAAAAAAAAAAAAGCCAACAACAACTTAGTAGAAAAATCATCAAAGAATATGGAAAGACAGTTCATAGAAAGGAATAAAAACATTCAAACATGAAAAGATGCTCATACCACACACAATGTTAAAACTACATTGAGATGCCATTTTCTAACTGCAGAGACTTTTTAAAAGTATAAAACCACAATGCTGACAAAAGTGTTGGGAAACAGGCATCCTTATATATTTCAGTTAGGACAATGAATTTGCCTACAACATCTAAAAGGGGCAGTATCAATTAAGATTACCAATATACATAGAGCTTGTTATTAAGCCTTAATTTCACTCTCAGGACTTTTCTAGGTTATTCACTGCAGGGGTATTTGTAGTAGCTAAAGATTGGTGACTGTCTAGGTAAGTTAAAATACACAGATACAGGACAAACTTCCAAGAAGGTGAAGCAGGGTGCACTTGTGTCAATAGGAAAATAGAAAAAGAAATGCACATGCAAATATTTGCTGAATACATAGACTATTTCAGGAAAGATAAGCAAGAAATTTAAAATAGTTATCTTTTCAAAAGGTAACAGAAGGATGGAGAGACTTTCCATTAAATATTGTTACTATTATTAGTATTTTAGAGACATGGTCTTACTACACTGCCAAGGCTGGAGTGCAGTCGTTATTCACAGGCATCATAGTACCACAATACAGCCTCCAATTCTTGGCCTCAAGCCATCCTCCCACATCAGCCTCTCAAGTGGCTGAAATTATAGGCATGAGCCATCACAACCAGCAAAAAGTTAAAATTGAGGGTAAGAAAGCTACTCTCATCTCAAAACCCCAAGTTAATAGTATTTTTTTAAATGCAGGATTGGGGAAAATAAACTATAATAAGGATAAACTAGAAGGGTATGAGTATAAAGGAAAGAGTAAACAAGGGAGAAAGAGACACAGAATAAAAGAGCAAATTACCGCTTCAAACATGAATTGCACTCACCTGAAGGACACAATAGTTTCCATTTTTCTTTTTGGAAAGTATTGTCAAGGCTTCTTCTTCATATCCTGGGGCAATTATACCATCAGATACCTGCAAAAATATTAAATTTTAATTTCTATTTTTAAAAATCAGAGAACACCTCTTAAAAAAATCTAGCAGCAATTATCAGTCTTAAATAATGTGGCAGCATATTCTGGTTTCTGCCTCCAACAAACAATGCTAACGCTATACTTGAAAAGAGAAATCTATTAGAATACAGCTTTCTGTATAGCAGATCCTAACTTTCTGTCCTCTCCAAGTTTTTGTTCGTTTCAGTTTAAACTAAGAAAATATGACTGATTTGCTCTTAACACATGTACCTCAGGAGGAAATATTTCTTCAGGGAGTGTTTTGAATGAGCAAGAGCACATTCTAGTCCTGACTCTCCTAGTACATGGTTAAATGACCTCTTCCGGCAAGGCGTTTTCCTTAACAGCAAGACCAGATTAAATCAGAGATTTGACATGACGAAAGATACAAATGTCACAGCCCTCCTGTAACCTGTAACCCAGGGATGGCAGTGGCCATGGAAAGAATCCTAAAGCAACAAAATAGTGCCAAGCCACATGCTCCTTCAGCCTTCACCTCTGCTTATTTTTTTCCCCTTTCTGAGCTATTTAATCTTTTTCTCTTTTCTTCCTGTCTTCCTACTACCAACAGTACCCCCACCTGTCTGGAATACCTGTTTGGTATTCAACTGATGGGGTAAGTTTATTAATGTAGTTTCTGTTTTTTACCCACTATGCAGTAAGATGGATTATATCGCATCACCACCTAAAATTACAACTTCTGCTCTTCAGAAACAGTAACTTTGGCATGAAGACAACAAAGAATTTAAAATAAATATATAAGTAAAAAACATCATAACAGCCAAATATCCATCTGAAACAATAATTCACTACATTTCAAAATTAACAATTTAAGATTAATGTTCTATTTAAAATATGAACATTAAATGATAAACTTAGCTAATTAAAAGATATTATAAATATAAATATTATAGGTTATGGTTTCAATTAACATTATGAACAAATAAAGCTTTATTCAACACACAGATTAAGATACATGAATGTCCACTAACTTCTCTGGAAATAATTTTTGCAGTTGGTACATCACAAACATCGGACAATGCAACAAAATCACCAAATGAAGACATCCTATCAGCCCCTGTAAATAAAATTAAAATGAGGTATTTATCACAAAGTATCCTGATACAGAAAAAGTAATAAAATTCTCCACTGTCATATAAAATTCATTACTCTAAAGCTAATCTTACTGTTTACATAAGATTTTAACAGATCAATAAGTCATTTAACTGAAGTAACCAGTAAGAAAGTATTCTTTAATTTTACCCTCTAGAGTGACACTCAGAAAACTTTTTCTGTGAAGGACCAATTTATATATACTATATTCACAAAAACAGGGTGGCAGGCTGGATTCAGCTGAAGTTGCTGACCACTGCTGTAGATGATAAACTATGGTAATAGTTTCTCAAGAACTTTCAGAAATACTAAAGGGATATTCATGGGTTATTAAATTCAACAAGTAAATGTCTCTGATAAAACATGACTCTAACCAAATGTAGTAAAGTTAGAAGAGCCATAAATCACGCCTGTAATCCCAGCCCTCTGGGAGGCTGAGGCAGGTGAATCACTTGAGGTCAGGAGCTCAAGACCAGCCTGGCCAACATGGTGAAACCATGTCTCTACTAAAAATACAAAAAAATTAGCCAGGTGTGGTGGCACGCACCTGTAATCCCAGCTACTCAGGACGCTGAGGCAGGAGAATCGCTTGAACCCAGGAGGTGGAGGTTGCAGTGAGCTGAGATGGCGCCACTGCACTCCAGCCTGGGCAACAGAGCAAGAAGCTGTCTCAAAAAAAAAAAAAAAAAAAAAAGAATAGCTTTTTGTAATTTCAATTTTGGTCACATATTAAACAATAACAAATGCATTCAATAGCCTAAATTAGCAAAATTACATTGACCAAATTCCAATTGTGTTTCCATTTATTACACTAAAATACTAACAAATACTTTTTTTTTTTTGAGACGGAGTATCGCTCTGTCACCCAGGCTGGAGTGCACTGGCGCTATCTTGGCTCACTGCAAGTTCCACCTGCCGGGTTCACACCATTCTCCTGCCTCAGCCTCCTGAGTACCTGGGACTACAGGTACCCCCCACCACGCCCAGCTAATTTTTTGTATTTTTAGTAGAGACGGGGTTTCACCGTGTTAGCCAGGATGGTCTCGATCTCCTGACCTCGTGATCTGCCCGCCTCAGCCTCCCAAAGTCCTGGTACTACAGGCGTGAGACATTGCGCCCGGCCTAAAATACTAACATACACTTTTATAAAGAAATGTATTTTGAGGTACTCACAGAATCAATCTCAAATATTAATAAAACAAATTAAATAGGAAATCCTATAATGAAACAAAGGGTATTTTACTTTAATCAAACTATATTATATAGAATAACTGTATATTTACATAGAGATAGAAGTCCTTAATTTCATCTATATATTATACAGAATATCTATATATTTTTTCTTTATTCTATCCTCTTTATTCTATTTAGGATAAAATATTGCTTTTTCTTTCTCCCCCAAATCAAAAAGCCCTATGAGTCTGACCTCTTGCTCTTGCATATGCCGCTGAGATGGGTGTGAGGGTTTTATAGAGATCATAAACCATGCAGACTTTGGCCTCATCTTCACTGAGTGGAATTCCAACAGCAGCACCTGGTTAGAAAATAGTAAAATCATAAACAAAGAAAGCTAAAGTTACTACCTGTCAACTCCTAAATCAAGACAGTTTTCTTAACACCCAGTCTACGCAGCACATTTTCTAGTGCCTGTGCTAAATTAAACAGAAATCTATTTAGCCAGATAATTATACACTAAAAATATGGTTGTGGGAGCAGTGTGAGGGAAATCTCCTCTCTGCCCTCCAAAACCACAGAGCCACTGAAGCCTGACAGTACCCAGCGTGTAGGTGAAGCTCGTTTACTTCATTACTGACTCACTCTTTCTCTCTGTTCTGCTTGATATCACTTTGATATCACACATCATTTATTTCTTCCCCACTCACATCACTTTAACACCCAATAAACACCTGAGAACAAATCATGTGCTGGAGGACTGTCAGCAAGATGTGGTGTACAGACAACTCAATTGCGGAGTTCATGATTTAAACACAGAAGCAAAGTATCTCATACAACGACTATAAGAAGTTTCAGATAAAGAGTCCAAAGAAGAACTTCTTTATGTTTACTCCATTACATTTTCAAAGATGTGGCACAAGACTTAGTCTATTGCATTAGGACATTTCACTTTTATTTTCTAAACTTTTATGGTTCCACCCCACAAACAAATTCCTGCCTCATTTTCCTGACAATATTACACAATTCTGTGTGTGTGTGTGTATCAGATTTTATATTATTACATTGATACTGTTATCAACAGATGACTTTCAGATTTCATAGCATGTCTATATTCACATTAGAACTTGTTAATATTCAAAAAAATTTAAGAAGAAATGCCTTTCGAACAATTCTGGAGCTTTCCAGAGCACAGAGCTTTACCTGCTGGGCTGACATGTTTGAAAGAGGCAGCGGCTGGAATACCTAAAGCCTCCTTGAGTTCCTTCACCAGCTGCCAGGCGTTCAAAGCATCGCACAAGTTTATAAATCCAGGGGCTCCATTTAGAACTAAATGTAAAAATATACATGCACATTACTAAGCAGGATCAGTAAGGTCAGATGTATGCACACTTCTCAAAAAAATAACATGACTAAACAAATGTTTTAAGTATAATTAAGAGCCAAACAGATACACACAAACATAAAATCTTGATGATAAAGAACAAAGCAACTGAGCCTGAGCCCATCTTTAAAAAAAATGCACATGTACATGAACACACACACACACACACACACACACACACACACACACACACACGACTGGAGGACCAGAACCAGCCAGTCTAGAAATAAATCCACAATAAGAGATTTAGGGATGGGAGAAACTATGACAAGACTAGTGATCAGTCAGGAATTCATGTAAATACAGAACTAAGATTAAACAATTGAGGTAATCACAGAGACAGTACAAAATTAAAGTTATAAACCCTATCGATGTAAGAAATTATATTACAAGCTAAAGCAACAGCTGTGGGTGGAAGAAGAGAAGAAATAATGTGTTTTTTCTTTCTTCTTTGATGGCAAACTCAACAGACTCTGCCTAAAGCAGAACTGTAGTTAAAAGGAGACTGCAACTTCAGAGTTTTCCATTACCTAGTTTCTCAACACTGGCAGATTTTTTTAGGAGCTAGTATCTCTTGTGAATAAACATAAGAAGTTCAGCACACAGAAAGAAATGGTGGGCCAGCACTAATTAAAAACAAAAATGAGCCGGGTACAATGGCTCACCCCCATGACCCCAGCACTTTGGGAGGCCGAGGTGGGTGGATCACAAGGTCAGGAGTTCGAGATCAGCCTGGTCAACATGGTGAAACCCCCGTCTCTACTAAAAACACAAAAATTAGCTGGGTGTGGTGGCGGGCGCATGTAATCCCAGCTACTAGGGAGGCTGAGGCAGGAGAATCGCTTGAACCTGGAAGGTGGAGGTTGTAGTGAGCCGAAACCGCGCCACTGCACTCCAGCCTGGCCAACAAGAGCGAGACTCCGTCTCAAAAAAAAAAAAAAAAAACCCAAAAAACAAAAATGTGTAATTTCATGTCCTTCATGGGTTAAGATAGTTTTTAAAGACCTTGCCAAATATTTACTGAGTTGCCTACTACGATGTTAAGCACTGTTCTAGGTATTCAGGATACATCAGTGAAAAAAACCGTCCCTGCAACCCTCTTAAAAAAAAGTCACTGTCCTTATGGAGCTTACTGGGGAGGCAAATAAAAAATAGGCAATAAATAGTATACAATAAAAGAAAATATTAGGTATTTATCAAAATGAGTTGAAAACTTGCACACAAATGATTATAGCAATTTTGTTCATAAACTACCAAAAACTGTCCTTGAAGTTTTGATGCCCTTCAATATGTCCATGGATAAACTGTGGTACATTCATACACAGTGAAATATTATTCAGCATTAAGAAATAAGCTACCAACCCACAAAAAGATGTGGAAGAAACTTAATGCATGTTGTTAACTGAAAGTGCCTAAAAGGGCTCCATACTGTATGATCCCAACTATCTGACATTCTGGAAATGGGTACAGAGTCAGTAAAAACAGCTGGGCATGGTGGTGCATGCCTGTAATCCCAGCTACTTGAGAGGCCAAGGCGGAAGGACTGCTTGAGTCCCAGGATATCAAAACCAGCTCAGACAACATAGCAAGACTCCATTCCAAAAAAAAAAAAAAGAAAAGAGAAAAAGATAACAGTGGTTGCAAAGGGTTGGGGAGAAGGGAAAGGAGGGATGAGGCGGAGGAGCACAAGGGAGTTTTAGGGCATTGAAACTATTCTGCATGATACTGTAATGGGGGAGACATGCCACTGTGCATTTTTCCAAATACACAGAATGTACAACACAAAGAATGAATGTTAAACTATGAACCTTGGTTAATAATGAATCAAAATCGGTTCATCAGTTGTAACAAATACACCACACTAATGCATGATGTTAACAGGAGAAACTGCGGGGAAGCGGGGTATATGGAAATTCCCTATAATCACCGTGTATTTTTTCTGTAAACCTGTAACTACTCTAAAAAAATAAAGCCCGTTTTAAAAAGAACTTGAAAAAATAATTCCCCCAACCAAAAATCAAGTCAAATAAAATCACTGTCCTCATGAAATTTATGCGAGAGGCACAGAAGAAAACAAACTAGGCAATAAATAGTAAACAATAGAAGTAAAATATCCCCTAAGGCATACAACAGGCATAATAAAACAAAACACCATATGTACAACTCCCCCATCTCCCTCCCACTCCTCATAGATGGTTTAGGCTAAGGTTGATAAGTGGGAGAAAACTTTTGGTTTCTGAAACATCTCATAGTTAAGCGTATCTGGATGGGTGCGGTGGCTCATGCCTGTAATCCCCAACACTTTGGGAGGCCAAGGTGGGTGGATCACCTGAGGTTGGGAGTTTCAGACTGGTCTGGCCAATATGGTGAAACTCTGTCTTTACTAAAAATACAAAAATTAGCTGGGCCTGGTGGTACATGCCTGTAATCCCAACTACTCAGGAGGCTGAGGCAGGAGATCACTTGAACCTGGGAGGCGGAGGTTGTGGTGAGCCGAGATCATGCCACTGCACTCCAGCCTGGGCGACAGAGCAAGACTCTGCCTCAAAAAAAAAAGAGTATCCGGTTCCCCTTCAAATATCAAATTTTCAAAGACATTAATAACTGAAATAGAAAGTGCCAGAGAAATGCTGAAAGTTGCTTAATCTAGTAAATAGCTGAAATAAATAGGAATTTTCTTCTTTCCAATCATAAGCAAACCAGTCATTAAAATCTCAGACACATACACACACTCACACAACCCCATCTTTGTTCTTGCTTCAATTTTGTTTTAGATACAATCGCAACCATACACTCTGTAATAACATCACTGCCAAATACTCAAACCACATGAAAAGGCAAAGTGCCTTTTCTATTGTGGAAATAAGCCCATGTTGGGGAGAAATCCTGGGAATCTCGCACAAGAAACGCTTATTTACGTGTCCAGGGCCGCCTCTGCCATGTTTACCACAAATAATACTTTAAACTTCAAAAGAAACGCACACACAGTCTAAGGAACAATGAAGGCTTTTATATAGTCCAATGAAAATGCTTTGGAAAATGAAAAGTATAAGAACTGACAGTACATGGGGATTTTTTTGTCTCAGAATCTTAATGGAGAATATAAACTATAAGCAGGAAATAGGTCAGATATAACAGCAGACAAATCAGTTTCAAGAAGTCCTACAAGGAAAAATTTGTGCAAAATGTCAGGTTGCTAATTATTCATTCAGTAAACATTTAGGGAATGTGCCAAGCAGTCTTCTAAGCCCTGGGGATTCAGCGACAAACAAAAACAGATGCAGCTTCTGCTCTCAAAAGCTGACATCCTGGCTGGGCGCTGTGGCTCATGCCTGTAATCCCAGCACTTTGGGAGGCCGAGGCAGGCAGATCACCTGAGGTCAGGAGTTCAAAACCAGCCTGGCCAACGTGGTGAAACCCTATCTCTACTAAAAATACAAAATTAGCCAGGTGTGGTGGCAGGCGCCTGTAGTCCCAGCTACTTGAGAGGCCGAGGCAGGAGAATCACTTCAACCCGGGAGGTGGAGTTTGCAGCGAGCCAAGATCGCACCACTGCACTCCAGCCTGGGCGAAAAGAGTGAAACTCTATCTCAAAAAAAAAAAAAAAAGGAAGCTGCCATCCTAATGGGGGAAGACAATTTGAACAGATTGAATAGAAACACATGCAGCAAAACAGGGTGATGGGATGAAAGCATGATGGGCTGCTACTTTGGTCTAAGCGGTCAAGGAAGGCTTCTCTGAGGAGGTGAGGCCTGAATAACAAGAAACCAGGACGGTGAAGGGCAGAGGGAAGAATTCTGGGTGAAGGGGACAAGGAGCCAGAGGCGCTGGAGTGGAAAGAGCTGGGCCCACTTGGAGGCACAGGGCGGAGGGGCTAGCAGCAGGCGCAGGGAGAGCTGCTGAGGGGGCAGATAGGAGGCAGGCAGGCAGCACAGGGTTTGTGGGGCAGGGCAAAGTGCTTAAGAAAAGCCAAGGAATGGCTTTAAGTAGGGTCTGACATCATCCGATTTCCATTTTTAAAAGATTACTGTGCTGTGAAGCCCAGAAAGGCCGAGAGAAAACAAATTACTTAGATTACTTCAGCCTACAGGACTTCACAGGGTGTCTGTGGGGATTTGGGAAGTGTTAGTGTCAAAGTGTATCTGAGATCTGAGGCCAGGTGTGGTGGCTCACGCCTGTAATCCCAGCACTCTGGGAGGCTGAGATAGGCAGATAACTTGAGGTCAGGAGTTTGAGACCAGCCTGGCCAACATGGTGAAACCCCATCTCTACTAAAAACAGAAAAACTAGCCAGGCATTGTGGTGCGCACCTGTAATCCCAGCTACTCAGGAGGCTGAGGCAGGAGAATCGCTTGAACCAGAGATTGCGCCACTGCACTCCAGCCTGGGTGACAGAGCGAGACTCCGTTGTCTTAATTTAAAAAAAAAAAAAAAAAATCTATCTGAGGCAGAACAATAGAACGCGGCAAACGTGAAGAAACTTTCAGATTCTCCTCCCACCTGGCACGCTGCTCCCCTCCCCCATCGCTCTCTCAGCTGATGACAGGGAAAGGAAGCCCAGGCTGCACCCCCTCACCAAATGCTGACCGCCCCAGGCAGGAAGGAGGCTGCCCTTGCTCTCAGCCAAGGCCAGCTGCACCGGTAGTGCTTGGGATTCCAAGGCCTCCATGCCTGGGACTCTCACCTCTGTCCCTGCCCCTACTCTCCCTTGTACCAGAGCAGGACAGGCTCTCACAGCCTACCTTTGGAACAGAACAGGACACACATTTAAAAACCCTCTCTAAACTCTACAAACCCAGAGAAAGTCCTACTTTCTTGTTCCAAGAAACCTCTTTATCGTTGTTAGTTCTTAACATCACATTTCTGCTTTGGCCTACTTCAATTGGGCTTCTAGATCCAATATTCCAAGGCAACGGCTTCTTACAATATGTGCAAAACAAACAGTCCCTTTTCTGTTCTCAAATGCATTCTAAAAGGTTGGAATTTCACAACTTTTCTTCTGCTGGTTCCTCCACAGTACACCTACCAAGCCTTTACCCCAAGGCTTTCTTGACCCTCTTCTCTATAAAATCCAGGCCATCCCATCCTGTCTCATGTCTTCAAAAAGATCTACGTGGCAGAGACATTCCAATCTCCATCTCCCCCATGACATCTTTTCAGAACTCCAGACTACTCAACTTCTGTGCTCTTCAGTCCAAATGGCGTCTCAAACCAGATGGTTATCAGATGGCTACAGGAGGCATTACGGAATGTATCATCTTCTGAATGTGAACCACATCAGATGCAATACAGAGAAACACACACTCTCCAGGCACAGCAAACCATGCCACAGAACGCTCGGGCTTTACCTGTGATGGGAAGCTTGGGCTGCAGTGTGTACAGCTGGGCAGGGGTCTGATGTGGGTTCATTCCATATCTCAAGGGCATCTGAGATACGCCTTTGCTGTACTGTTTCCTGAAATAATCTGAAATTGCTTCATCATATTGTGCCGTATGAGTGAATGCCTACAAAAAGCGTAAGTTTTGTGAGACACGAGCAGCACTTTCCAAAGTGGGGACAAGATGGTTTTCTACGTCCACAGCAAACAACATCTCCTCACTATTCAGTGCTATGTGGTGGCTGCACAACACGATGACACCATGAATGACAGCAAAGCACTGAATGGCCCAACAAATTACCCCTTTCCAATTCTTTTTCAATCTTTTTTTTTTTTTTTGAGACAAAGTCTCACTCTGCTGCCCAGGCTAGAGTGCAGTGGTGTGATGTCAGCTTACTGCAACTTCCACCTCCTGGGTTCAAGCGATTCTCCTGCCTCAGTCTCCCGAGTAGCTGGGATTACAGGCGTACCACACCACACCACACTCGGCTAATTTTTGTATTTTCAGTAGAGACAGGGTTTCACCACATTGGCCAGGCTGGTCTCAAACTCCTGACCTCAGGTGATCCGCCCGCCTCGGCCTCCCAAAGTGCTAGGATTACAGGCGTGAGCCACCGCGCCCAGCTCTCTTTCAATCTTTTTGACAGAACACCTCTGTAATAGCTGGTTTCTCCATTTTTAACAAAAGGATAGCAGCTCCAAGCAAAGCTTTGGTAGGTAATGCAATCTACCAAGAACTGAATACTGCTTGGTCTGGCAAACACTGCACTCCATGGATGTAACTTACAATATCATGAAAGTGCATCCCACCTTCAAGGCTAACTGGCGTCTAGTCTCCAAGGAGGTGTCCTTACTCTCGGAGCTCTGCATCTCCGTGGACACCACCACATAGTCCTCTGGTTCACACACCACTGTCACTCGAGCGTGGTTTTTGGCTGCAGCTCTCAGTAAGGTTACTCCACCTTTGAAGAACAAAAGACTTATTGATTTTTGTATGTCCCTATCAGCTTATGAACCGCTTTTAAATAAAGTCATTGTGCATGTACTTCCATTTTAATTCCTGACTTAAAAATCAGGAAAATAAGCTGGGCGCAGTGGCTCATGCCTGGAATCCCAGCACTTTGGGAGGCTGAGGCAGGTGGATCACCTGAGGTCAGGAGTTCGAGACCACTCTGGCCAACATGGCGAAATTCCATCTCTATAAAAAATACAAAAAAAATTAGCCAGGCGTGGTGGTGTGCACCTGTAATCCCAGCTACTCAGGAGGCTGAGGCAAGAGAATCACTTGAGCCCAGGAGGCAGAGGTTGCAGTCAGCCAAAACTGTGCCACTGTACTCCAGCCTGGGTGACACAGCAAGACTTCATCTCAAAAAAATAAAAATAAAATAAATAAATAAATAAATCAGGAAAATAACCCAGATGCATCTCTGCATACAAAAAAAGCTTAGAAAATATAAATGAAAAAAAGAAAATATAAATGAATTATAGTAATCCCAAAACACAATCCAGAAGTAGCTATTTTCTTTCTATTTCCTCAGTAATAAAATTCAAAATGAAATCTCACTAAAATTTAAATAATCCTCTCCTCTCAGTCTTCTAAAATGGTTTTTCTGACTTACCAATGTCAATTTGCTCCACAGCCTCCTCAACAGTTACACCTGGAGAAGCCACTGTCTTTACAAAGGGATAGAGATTGCAGGCAACAACTCTATAAAACAAAGACGAATCTGGCTGTCATTAAAAAGTCCACTCATGTGGTTTACAGCTATCTAGGAAAAAAACAAGTCAGTACTATTAACGTAAACAAAAGCCATAGAGAACTAATATATAAACTGTGAGCCTGACATTTTAGAATTCTAACGAGTGTGTTAAAAAGTCAGGGTGTCCTGCTGGGGTCGAGCAGAGGTAATTTAGTCAGCAGGTGCTCCCCGGATCTGAATACACAGTACTCCCTCCACGTCACACTGCAACGCTGCTGCTTGCATAACCTTAGCTACCCAGAACCACCAAGCCATGAAAAATTTATAGAACATTTTAATAGAAGTATAAAGTACAAGATTACAGATAACATTCTCATTTTGGAATGTGATCACTATTATCCAGAACATTAGAATTTAGATTCTTTTTCCAGTGGATTGGCACAATGATGAAAAATATCAGAGCATTCTAAGGGTGAAACATTTGTTTTGCCTTCAGAGAGGTCATAAAAATGATGGTAACAGGAATGCCAAAAGAATAATTTAAAATACAGAAGTAATCTAAAATTAACAATCAGTGAAGTACAGTTCCACTCCTAGGCCTGTAGTGCGAGGAGCTCTACGGGCAGGCTCCAAACAAGCCTAACTGCTGAAAACTAATTAAAAAAAACAAAAACAAAAACAGAAGAACAGAATTGGAGGGGAAACATTTTGCAGCTCATCTTTATTAAGTCTACTGCCCTCCTACTAAAACCAGACAAATGTCACAAGAAAACTAGAGACCAGTATCTCTTAGGTATCTTCACACAAAAACTCTCAACAAAACACTAACAAACTGAATCCAGAAAAATGCAAAAACCACCTGATCATCTCAATAGATGTACAAAAAGGATCTGACACAATTCAACAGGTATTCATATAGAAACACTCAGCAAATTAAAAATAGAAGGGAACTTACTGAACATGACAAAGTGTAAGAAAAACCCACAGCTAACATCATACTTGATGGTGAAAGACTAAAATACTTGTCTACTCAACTCAGAAACAAGACAAGAGGCCAGGCGCAGTGGCTCATGCCTATAATCCCAGCACTTTGGGAGGCTGAGCCAGGCAGATCACCTGAGGTCAGAAGTTCGAGACCAGCGTGGCCAATATGGTAAAACCCCATCTCTACTAAAAATACAAAAATTAGCCGGGCAAGGTGGCGCACGCCTGCAATCCCAGCACTTTGGGAGGCTCAGGAGGATGGATCAACTGAGGTTGGAAGTTCAAGACCAGCCTGACCAACATGGAGAAACCCCATCTCTACTAAAAATACAAAATTAGCCAGGCAAGGTGGCACATGCCTGTAACCCCAGGCTGAAGCAAGATAATCACTTAAACCCGGGAGGCGGAGGTCACAGTGAGCCAAGATCACGCAACTGCACTCCGCCTTGGGCAACAAGAGCAAAACGCCATCTTAAAAAAAAGAAACAAAACAATAATGTCCATTCTTACCACTTCTACTGAACACTGTACTAGAAGTTCTAGCCAGAGCAATTAGCAAAGAAAAGAAAATAAAAGGCATCAGGACTGGAAAGAAAGCAGTGAAGTTATATCTATTTGCAGATGATACCACCTAGTATACAGAAAATCCCAAATTCACAAAAATAACCTTTTAGCACTAATAAATGAGTTCAGCAAAGCCGCAGGATATATGATCAATATATAAAAATCAATTGTATTAAAATATACATTAGCAGTGAATGAGAAAAAAATTAAGAAAACAATTCTACTTCACAAGACAATGTTAAAGAAATTAAAGACACCCCATGTTCACAGACTGGAAGATTTAATATTCTTAGGATGGTAACATTTCCCAAATTGATCTACAGATTCAACACAATACCTATGAAAATTCCAACTGCGTTGTTTTGCAGAAATGGACAAGCTGATTCTAAAAATCATGTGGAAATGCAAGGGACTCTGAAGAGTCAAAGTCATCTTGAATAAAAAAAACGAAGTTGGGGCCGGGCGCAGTGGCTCACGCCTGTAATCCTAGCACTTTGGGAGGCCGAGGCGGGCGGATCACGAGGTCAGGAGATCGAGACCATCCTGGCGAACACGGTGAAACCCTGTCTCTACTAAAAATACAAAAAAATTAGCTGCGCATGGTAGCGGGCGCCTATAGTCCCAGCTACTCGGGAGGCTGAGGCAGGAGAAGGGCGTGAACCCGGGAGGCAGAGCTTGCAGTGAGCCAAGATCGCGCCACTGCACTCCAGCCTGGGCAACAGAGCCAGACTCCGTCTCAAAAACAAAACAAAACAAAACAAACAAACAAACAAAAAACAGAAAAATGAAGTTGGAGGACTCACACTTGCTGATTTCAAAATTTGTTACCAGCCTATAGTAATAGTGTAGTACTGGCATAACAGCAGGCACATGGACCAAGGGTGCCAAGACCATTCGATTGGGCAAAGAACAGTCTTTTCAACAAATGATGCTGAGACAACTAGACAGCCACATACAAAATAAAATAAGACTTCTATTTCATGTCTGTATATGAAAATTAACTTAAAATGAACCAAAGACTTAAGTATAAGAGCTAACACTAAAATAACTCTTAAAAGAAATGTACACACGCCGGGTGCGGTGGCTCACACTTGTAATCCCAGCACTTTGGGAGACCGAGGCAGGTGGATCACCTGAGGTCAGGAGTTCAAGACCAGCCTGGCCAACATGGAGAAACCCCGTCTCTACTAAAAACACAAAAAAATTAGCTGGGCGTGGTGGCGGGCACCTGTAATCACAGCTACTTGCGAGGCTGAGGCATGAGAATCGCTTGAACCCAGGAGGCGAAGGTTGCAGTGAGCCGAGATCACGCCACTGCACTCCAGCCTGGGCAACAAGAGCGAAACTCCATCTCAAAAAAAAAAAAAAAAAGAAAGAAAATATACACAAAAATCTTCATCACTGAGGATTAGGCAATGGTTTCTTAGACATGACACCATTAACACAAGCAACAAAAGAAAAAATAAATTCAACATCATCAAAATTAAAAACTTTTGTGGGCCGGGCATGGTGGCTCAAGCCTGTAATCCCAGCACTTTGGGAGGCCAAGGCGGGCAGATAACCCGAGGTCAGGAATTCAAGACCAACCTGGCCAACATAGTGAAACCCTATCTCTATTAAAAATCCAAAAAAATTAGCCAAGTGTGGTGGCGGGCACCTGTAACCCCAGCTACTCATGAGACTGAGGCAGAATCGCTTGAATCCGGGAGGTGGAGGTTGCAGTGAGCCAAGATGACGCCACTGTGCTCCAGCCTGGGCGAGAGTAAGACTCCGTCTCAAAAAAAAGAAAAAACTTGTGATGATCAAAGGAAACCATCAAGAAAGGCTAACACAATCCATAGAATGAGAGGAAATAAACTTACAACTCAATAATAAACAGATAAATACCTCAACTAAAAATGGACAAGAGGTCTCAACAGACATTTCTCCAAAGGAGGTAAACAACTGGCTAGGAAGCACATCCAACGGTGTTCCACATTATTTGGAAAGCAAATTATAACCACAATGAGATGCCACTTCAGAACCCCTAGAATGACTAGAATCAAAAAGACAGATAGTAACGTTGATGAGGATGTGGAGAAACTGGAGCCCCATCCAGCACACTGCTGCTGGAAATGTAAAATGGTGCAGCACTCTGAAATACAGGGTCGCAGTTCCTCAAAAGCTAAACATAGTTACCATATGACCAAGGAATTCCACTCCTAGGTATATACCCCAATGAAACGAATGTGTATGTCCACACAAAAACTTATACACAAATATTTATAGCTGCATTATTCATAATATTCAAAAAGTAGAAACAACCCAAATGTCCATCAACAAATGAACTGATAAACAACAGGGTATGACCACACAATGGATTATTTTTCAGCACTAAAAACGAAATGAACTATTGATACTATGCTATAACATGGATAAACCTTGAAAACATGCTAAGTGAAAGAAGCCAGGAACAAAAAAACCATATATTGTTAGATTCTATTTATATGAAAATGTCCACTACAGGCAAATCAGACACGTAACAATTGGTGGTTGCCGAGGCTGGAGGACGTTGGGGAAATGGAGAATAAATGCGTATGGGTATAGGGTTTAGGGTGGGGGTGATGAATATGTTTTAATATTGGATGTGGCAATTAATATGGTTTGGATGTGTGTCCTCTCCAAATCTCATTTTGCAATGTGATCCCCAATGTTGGAGGTGGGGCCTGGTGGGAGATGATTGGGTCACGGGGGAGATCCCTTATGAATGGCTTGGTGCCCTCCCCATAATGAGTCCTCACTCTGAGTTCATGTAGAGCTGGTTGTTTAACAGAGCCGGGCAGGCCGGGCGTGGTGGCTCACACCTAATCCCAGCACTTTGGGAGGCCGGGGTGGGTGCATCATTTGAGGTCAGGAGTTCCAAGAGCAGCCTGACCAACATGGTGAAACCCCATCTCTACTAAAAATAGTAAAAATGAGTTGGGCGTGGTGACAAACGCCTGTAATCTCAGCTACTCAGGAGGCTGAGGCAGGAGAATCACTTGAACACAGGAGGCAGAGGTTGCAGTGAGCCAAGGTCATGCCACTGAACTCCAACCTGAGCAACAGAGCGAGACCCTGTCTCAAAATAAAATTAAATTAAATTAAGAATAAAAGTTAAAAAGTAAAAGAGCTGGGCAACTCCTCCTCTCCCTCTCTCTTGCTTCTTCTCTCATGGGATATGCCAGCTCCCCCTCTGCTTTCCACTGTGATTATAAACTTCCTGAGGCCCTCACCAGAAGTTGATGCTGGCACCACACTTCTTGTACTGTCTATAGAATCACGAGCCAAAATAAACCTGTTTTCATAAATTACCCAGCTTCTAGTATTCCTTTATAGCAATGCAGAACAGACTAACACAGTAATGGTTGCACAACTTCTGTGAACCACTGATTTGTACATTTTAAATTGGTGAGTTGTATGGTATGTGGATTAGATCTCAATAAAGCTGTTACGTATATTTAAGAGAAACAGCCAGTATCTTTATGCAAATAACTCAGTTAGTTGTGCAAGTTGATAATTCCTAATATGAAAACCTGAAATCTGAAATGCTCCAAAATCTGAAACTTTTTGAGCGTCAACATGACACTTGGAGGAAATGCTCACTGAAGCATTTCGGATTTCTGAGGGACGCTCAACTGGCATGTTACCTGCAAATATTCCAAAATCTGAAGAAATCTGAAATCCAAGACACTTCTGGGTCCCAAGCATTTCAGATAAGGGATACTCAACCTATACATACTAAGATTTAGATTGTAACTTCCTAAAAAACTTCAGTATGTATTTTGGTATATAAATCTGGCCAAACCAAAATGCTTACACACATACAAAGTCACACAGAAGGTACGCAGTAAAGGTTTATAGTGAGTAAGAAAACACAGGGACACCAGGTTTGGCATAGTCTTTGTCGTTGGTTCGTAATGTGTTAAAAGTTTAATTTCAGGTTTTTACCTTATAAGATTGAAATCAAGTCTGGCCATGTCAGCATTATCTTCTGGAATATTACGAGCTAGGATTCCTAATTTAAAAAAGTTAAACAAAGTCATTAGCTTCAAAAAACAAGTCAGATTAAGGAATGTCTTTCAACATAGTGTCTTCAATCAAATTAAATCCCATTGATTAAAAAAAAAATTTATTTTTTTGAGATGGTCTCACTCTATCGCCCAGGCTGGATTGTAGTGGCGTAATCACAACTCACTATAGCCCTGACCTCCAGGGCTCAAGTGATCCTCCTACCTCAGCCTCCCAAGTAGCTGGGACTACAGGAATGCATCACCACACCCAGCTGGTCTTTTCAATTTTTTAAAGAGAAGGGGGGTGTTGCCATCTTGCCCAGGGTGATCTTAAACTCCTGGGCTCAAGCGGTTCTCCTGTCTCAGCTCTCCAAGTGCTGGGACTACAGGCAAGAGCCACCATGCCCAGCATAATATTCTTAATTAAAGAATATCAAACATGTAGTTGGGGAGTTATCAAACAAAAAAATTAGGATTAACAGATATATCTGGCTGGCCACAGTGGCTCATGTCTGTAATACCAGCACTTTGGGAGGCTAAGGTGGGGGATCGCTTGAGCCCAGGTGTTCGAGACCAGCCTGGGCAACAAGGTGAGACCCCGTCTCTATAAAAAATACAAAAATTAGCTGGGTGTGGTGGCACATGCCTATAGTCCCAGCTACTTGGGAGGCTGAGGTGGGAGAACTGCTTGAGCCTGGGAAGCAGACAGAGGCTGCAGCGAGCCATGATCGCACCACTGCACTCCAGCCTGGGCAAGAGTATAATCCTGTCTCAAAAAAAAAAAAGAGAGATATATTTAAAAATCTTTTTCTTCAGTTCTTGATCCCAGTTTCTTGAGCAATAAAATGTAAAAAAGGTAAAAGGAATTTTACAAAACTGTTGCTAGTTCCAGAACAGTCTATGCGTTTCTGTAAGTCAATGGCTTGTCTGATGATCTGTAGCCATTCAGCTTTATTCACCAAATTGTACCACAACTGACAAACTAGGAGGATACCAGTTTCTTGCCGTTTCGGTTTATATACAATTCATTCTTAGGTGAACGAACAAATGTAAAGCACTTTGAAAAAAAAAATTCCTTTGCAAGTCAGTTACGCTGTGATGCTTTCTTCTAAGTTTGAACTATTTTAAAAGTATTTTCATACGATGAAATCTAAATATCTTCAGCAACTTGAGCAGGAAACACCAGACTCTAAATTAGGTATCAGGTCAGGACTAATAGCAAGCAGAGGAAAACAATCTGAATTCATCAAGTAGTAAGACAAGCTGGATTTTAAACCAGTTCTAACGTATTATGAAATCTGGCAGCAACTTCATAACATTAACTTTATATGTAAATTTCTCTTGAGCCTTTTTCTTCCTTTATTTTAGGACGCTATCAACTAAAATATTCCTGGAAACCACTGACTGTTTTTACATTAAAGATACCAACCACTTACCAGCATGGACTGCAGGATGCAAAGTTTTCACACGTCCCCCCAACATTTCAGGAAATCCCGTCAACTCAGAGACATCTCTGAAAAACAGATAAACAGAATGGTACTACTGGTGTGGCTGAATTGTAATTTTCACTATTCAAAGCATCTACTGTTTTCATTTCAAGAGATTTTGAGCCTGAATTCAACGTGAAAATTCTGATTTTTTAAAGTATTTCACTATATTTTATTTCTTAAGTAAAATTCTATTTACTTCCGAAAAAAAGTTTATTTAATTTATTTCCTAACTGTTGTGTATGTTCAGGGATAATTGGTAACTACTACAGCACTGGTTTTATAATTTTCAGAGCATTTAGAAACTGAATCATAAGCCATACTCATTAAATATTACTAAGACATACAACTGAGAATTTGGCAGTATGTAACAAAAAGCATTAAAAATATCCTTGGCCGGGCACGGTGGCTCATGGCTGTAAACCCAGCACTTTGGAAGGCTGAGGCAGGTGGATCACCTGAGGAGGGGAGTTTGAGACCAGCCTGGCCAACATGATGAAACCCCAGCTCTACTAAAAAAATACAAAAAATTAGCCGAGCGTGATGGCGGGCACCTGTAATCCCAGCTACTGGGGAGGCTGAGGCAGGAGAATCACTTGAACCCAAGAGTTGGAGGTCGCAGTGAGCCGAGATCATGCCACTGCACTCCAGCCTGGGCGACAGAGCAAGACTCCATCTCAAAAAACAACAACAACAACACATGAAGATGGCATATCAAGTGAGTGAAGACATAAAAGACTGTTTAATAAAGTGGTGTTGCTATTGGAATAACGGGTTAAACCCAAACAAAAATATATTCCTTATGAATCAAAGGTTTAGCATTTAAAAAATCATGCATGTAGCAAAATTAAATATGTGAGGAATGCTTTCCAAGTTTTAAACAAAAGATTGAGAGTTCTGATTACAGAAATGTTAAATAAAAAGTTTTACATGGGAAAAAAAAGTAAACTAGAAAAAATAATCACACAATGTGACAAAGGGTCAAGTGAAGGACAGTAAATATTAATCCATATCACAAAGCAGACCCCTAGAAAGTCGTAACCACGAACACTCTGGCAGACTTTATAAGTTGTAATGGTGTGTAAAAATGCCCACAATATATAAGAAAAAATAAAGCAGGGGCCAGGTGGGGTGGCTCACACCTGTAATCCCAGCACTTTGGGAGGCCAAGGCGAATGGATCACCTGAGGTAAGGGAGTTCCAGACCAGCCTGACCAACATGGTGAAACCCCGCCTCTACTAAAAATACAAAATTAGCCAGGCATGGTGGGGCATGCCTATAATCCCAGCTACTTGGGAGGCTGAGGCAGGAGAATCGCTTGAACCCGGGAGGCGGAGGTTGCAGTGAGCCAAGATTGTGCCACTGCATTTCAACCTGGGCAACAACAGCAAAACTCCGTCTCAAAAAATAAATAAATACATAAAAATAAATAAAGCAGGAAGCAAAACTGCATCTATCTTCTGTGTAAGCTATGAAATAAAGTACATGCTTATAAAAATGCTTGAAGAAAAATATACTAGCATGTTAAGAATTACAATCCATTTTTACTACCTTCTTTATAGTTGTCCATATTTTCGAATTTTCTACAATCAACATATATAGTTTTTGAGATGGGATCTCACTATGTTGCCCAGCCTGGAGTACAGTGATTATTCACAGGCAAGATTACAGTCCATGGCAGCCTAGAACTCCTGGGCTTATTAAGTAATCCTCCAAGTAGCTGAGACTATAATAAACACTTTAAAGCAGCAAGTTCTGCCAGTAAGATACGGAATTTCCTGGGTAGATTCTCCTGTTAAGGGGAGCCATTTGCAAATGACTGGTGTTTGACCAATGACACACACAGTTCCAACATCCACAAACTGGTGACATAAGTGTTTTCAAATTCAAAATTTCTTTTCCTGGGGTTCAGGAAATAAAATCCATTTCCTCCAAATGAAGACAGTCACTTAAAACTTAGAGAAGGCGGATTTATTTCTAGAATTAAACATTTGGGGTAATTAAAAAGCTTGCTACTCCTTTGAACTGAAGAATTTATACATAATGGCTGTAGTCTCGGGAAATAATTCTATGTATGCTCACTGCTGTATACTCACTAATTAAAATCCATCAGTTTACCTCATGACAAGGTAATGGTTAACTTCCTGGGATAAAATTATTGCAGATAACAACACCCAAAAATATGCTCAGAAGCAGCCTCAGAACCAAGATCTTTTTTTTTTTTTTTGAGACAGTGTTTCTCTCTGTCATCCAGGCTGGAGTGTAGTGGTGGAATCTCGGCTCACTGCAACCTCCACCTCCTGGGTTCAAGCAATTCTCCTGCCTCAGCCTCCTGAGTAGCTGGGATTACAGGTGCACGCCACCACACCCGGCTGATTCTTTTTTGTATTTTTAGCAGAGATGGAGTTGCACCATGTTGGCCAGGCTGGGCTCAAACTCCTGACCTCAGATGATCCAGCAGCCTCAGCCTCCCAAAGTGCTGGGATTACAGGGGTGAGCCACTGCGCCCAGCCAGAACCAAGACCTTGTCCAGGCATGGTGGATCACACTTGTAATCCCAGCACTTTGGGAGGCCAAGGCAGGCAAAATTGCTTAAGCCCTAGAGTTCAAGACCAGACAGACAACATGGTGAAACCATCTCTATGAAAAATACAAAAATTAGTTGGGCATGCTGGTGTGCAGCTGTAGTCCCAGATACTCAGGAGGCTGAGGTGGAAGGATTGCCTCAGCCTGGGAGATCGAGGCTGCAATTAGCCATGATTGTGCCACTGCACTCCAGCCTGGGTGACAGAGTAAAACCCTCTAAAAAAATATATATATATAGCTTTCTCCTGCCCTCTTGCCTCTCACCCTTCATTCTTCCCTGAAGTCACAGAAATGAGAATTTCTCTTCCCCAGGGCAGTTTACAGAAACTAAAACTCTTTTTCCCCAAAGCCAGTCATAAGATTTAAACTTATGATTCTAACTTTCCACTGGCTTTCTGTCTAGGAGCTGGACGTAAAGAAATCCTCTCATCTCCTTGCCCATTAGTAGGTCAGGAGATCCTTAGGGGGTGGAGAAAGAATTTTAGAGAAGCCAAGAAGAATCTGGACAGACAGGCTTTCCTGGCTTTCTCCACCTCAGTCTACTAGCATACACCATATCCTTGCTGTCCAATCATACTTCCACCTTTCTGTCCATTCTTTGTTGAACCTAAACATAAAAATGGATGGTTTTTCCTCTGTCTTTGGGTCTTCATTCTGAAGGCTCTCATGTCATGTAAAACTTTGTTAAATAAATTTGTTATGCTTTTCTCTTATTATAACCTGTCTTCTCTTATAAAAATATTGGCCGTGACGTTTACGATGGAGAGCAAAGGATCACACCTTTCCACCCCTACAAAATCTTGGCCTCGGGTGCGGTGGCTCACACCTGTAATCCCAGCAGGCCAAGGCGGGCGATCACTTGAGGTCAGGAGTTCGAGATCAGCCTGGCCAACATGGTGAAACTCTGTCTCTACCAAAAATACAAAAAAATTAGCCAGGCGTGGTGGCGGGCGCCTGTAATCCTAGCTACTTGGGAGGCTGAGGCAGGAGAATCGTTTGAACCTGGGAGGCAGAGGTTGCAGTGAGCTGAGACAGTGCCATTGCACTCCAGCCTGAGCAACAAGAGTGAAACTCTATCTCAGAGAAAAAAAAAAAAAATCTTGGCCTCTTAACTAGCTGTGTAATCTCGAGCGAGTTACTTAACTACGTTGTGCTTAATTTCCTCACCTATAAAATGAGGATAACACTACCTAAACTAAAAAGTTGTTATAAGGACTATAAGAGTTTATATATGTAAAATACCACTGCAACTGAATAAAATACCACTGCAACTGAATGTGGCCTTTGTTGAAGAAAAAACAATTGCTCCAAGTTGTTTACATTTCATTCAGTGAACTTTACTGTGCTGGGGTCTAAATAAATCACTCATGGTGAACTTCTTATCCTTTCATAGAAGAGAAACACATTTACATTTCCAGTTTTTAAAGAAGATATGACCATAATGAAGATAAGTGAGGAGTGGGTATAGGTACAGAAACAAGACTAATCAGTTGATAAGTACCTAAAGTGGGTGACAGATATAGGACCCAAGGGATCATTATACTTTTCTACTTTTGATTGTGTCTGAAATGTTTCCATAATACAAAGTTTGGTGGGGAAAAAAAAGAGACTACAGATGAGGATTTTGCTTTACGAAGGTTCCATTACCATAGGAGGACCCAACTTGGCCCAATGGAAAGCACGCAGGTCTGGACTTTGAATTCTCATTCGGTTGCTGATGAGCAAAGAGCCAACTTGCCTGCCACGATTCTCACAGGTTTCCCATGAAAACCACAGAGACAAGACGCAAAAAGACATCCGAAAATATACAGTTATGTATTTGTTAATAAAGTAAGGCATTCTTACCATCTGAACTTGTTAAACTTAGGGAAGCTGTGTACTGCTCACATAGCTGGGAACTGCACAAAGAAAAGGTAATAACCTACCTCTACATGGATCTAGAAACCAAGAAGCAAATTTTCCACATGGCAACAAAAAGCAGACAGATATCCTTCATCTCTTTCATTCTAAAATATGTTTCAGGGGTGGTCATCTCGTTCCTCCCAACTCTCACTGCCGTTTATTAAATAGCTATCCTATAGTTTTTTTCATTTTTCTACCTTTCAGTAGACTTCCTCCCTCTCCTCCCAGAATGCCACTCCTTGACATCAGCAATGGCATCCTGGTTAATCATTTCTAAGTCCCTTCTTTCCATGGCCTAGTCAGCTAATGAAGGGCTTGTGAACGTGGGAATGAATGATTTGCACCTTCATATGGTTACCAGAGATTCTAAGGGAAGGCAGGTAAATTGGAATCTTCATGATGTCGAGTTTTATTAAATCACCAGTCAAAGTAACTGAAGTTTTCCTTGCATAACAAGTGGCCCACCTAAGTTAATCTGTTTAAGGAAGGGGCTAAGACTAGTGTCCTAAAATCAGGAACAGCACGGGTTCCAATCCTACTTTTCCCTTACTCAACTGTTTAAACTTGTGCAGAAGATGCTAAATCTGTCCAGTGTGTTGTCCAGGGTCTTTCTCTGTCACCCAGGATGGAGTGCAGTAGTGCCATCTCGGCTCACCACAACCTCCGCCTCCTAGGTTCAAGCGATTCTCCTGCCTCAGCCTTCCCAGTAGCTGGGATTACAGGCGTGTGCCACCATACCGGCTAATTTTTGTATTTTTAGTAGAGACGGGTTTCACCATGTTGGCCAGGCTGGTCTCGAACTCTTGACCGTAAGTGATCAGCCCACCTCGGCCTCCCAAAGTGCTGGGATTACATGCGTGAGCCACCTAGCCCAGCCGTCCAGGGTCTTAAAAGTTGCTAAATCTCTCTGAGCCTCACTTTTTTTCCCCATAAAGTGGGGAAGTATTACACCAACCTCACAGCGCTACTGGGAGGAGTAAATAAGGCGTTTTGCTGCTGGTGCCTGGAATACAATACTTCCTGGTTAATGTGATCACACTCCTTTCTGATGGAACTAGCTATGCCTTACCTGACTGCCAGACCAGCATCCCTGAGAGCTTTTGCAGTCCCTCCGGAAGCGACCAGATTCAAACCAAGAGCGGTCAGGTTTCTTGCAAATTCCACAAGGCCGGTTTTGTCAGAGACACTAAATAAGGCTGAAAGAGAAGACATTTTTTCTCATGATTCGCAGCACATTGCACTGTGTTCTGCAAGGCCTTGGGAGGGTCTGGGGGAGGAGATTCTCGAATCGCAAGGCCAGCACCTGGACCCTGCGTTCGCAGGCCTGGTCCGGGCCTCCCCAGGTCTTACACCCGCGAGCTGCTCTAAGGCGGGCCCCACGCAGGCTGCGGCCCGGCCGGGGAGCGGGGACGCTGGCTTTCAATCCCGCAGCGCCGCCCCTGCAGTGCCGGGTCCCGCCGGCCGCCGCCAAGGCGGGAGCGTGGGGGGCCGCAGGCGAGGACGCAGACCGCGCCGCTCCGCTAGGGCCTCACCGAGCTGGCCGGGAGCCATGGCTGCAGGCACTGGGTTCAGGGCGAGCGGGAGGCAGCAGCGGCGGCACCACGTGCGCAGGTAGGAGGGCTGCCGGGATGTGGCGGCTCAGGAAGCGAGGGGGCGGAGCTGTTTCCGGGCTTATCACGTGGCCCGCCGGCCCTGCCCGGCGCCCTGCTCTGCTCAGTTTCAGATGCAAGATCCGCGCCCCGGGGCTGAAGGGAACGGCGGGATGGGGTGGGGCTCTGCCTGGCGCGCCTGGGCGGAGTGCTTGGGCTGGAAGGGATCCTGCCTGCGATCCCGAAGTCCAGGCGTGGGAGCCAGCGATCTGCCCACGACCCCAAAGTGAGGCCACTCCACGGCCTCTGGGGCAAATGCCTGTTATTCTAGGCAGCCGGTCCCCAGAAGCTGGAAAGTACGTAAAAGTGCCAGAAGCTCCCATGCTGAAAACTAAACAAAAGGAATAGTTCATATAGCGGCAAAGCTGGAAAGTATCTGGACAGTTATCTACCATCCTCCCTTTTTGTTTGTTGTTTTTTTGTTTTTCTGGGTTTTTTTGTTTTTTTTGTTTTTTTTTTTTTTTTTTGAGATGGAGTTTCGCTTTTGTTGCCCAGGCTGGAGTGCAATGGCGCGATCTCGGCTATGTCACGTGCAACCTGCAACCTCCACATCCCGGGTTCAAGAGTTTATCCTGCCTCAGCCTCCCGAGTAGCTGGAATTATAGGCAGGCGCCACGATGCCCGGCTAATTTTTGTATTTTTAGTAGACATGGGGTTTCGCCATGTTGGCCAAGCTGGTCTCAAACTCCTGACCTCAGGTGATCCGCCTGCCTCGGCTTCCCAAAGTGCTGGGATTACAGGGGTGAGCCACCATGCCCAACTTGTTTTTTGTTTGTTTGCTTGCTTGCTTGTTTGCTTGTTTGTTTTGAGACAGGGTCTCGCTCTGTCTCCCAGACTGGAGAGCAGTGGCACCATCTCAGCTCACTGCAACCTCTGCCTCCCAGGTTCAAGAAATTCTCCTGCCTCTGCCTCCACACCCGTCTAATTTTTTGTTGTTGTTGTACTTTTTTTTTTTTTTTTTTGTATATTTAGTAGAGATGGGGTTTCACGGTGTTGGCCAGGCCGGTCTTCAACTCCTGACCTCAAATGATCTGTCCACCTCAGCCTCCCAAAGTGCTGGGATTACAGGTGTGAGCCACCGTGCCCGGCCCCATCCTCCTTTTTAATAGGCTTAAAAAATAAAACCAAGGACCAATGATTTAAGTGAGGGACTCCAGAGGCCACAGATGACAGTCAAAACGAAGTGAAATTGACATTCGTTGTTGATTTTCACGTCATAAAATTATAATTTAAATATTAATTTATAATACTATTTTATACAATTTAGTCAGTATTGTAAAAGTGCCTAAAAACTACTTAAAGATGGTGTCTTCTTGCAAACCTGTAAATATTCCTGGATGAGAGGAATGATGACAGTCAAAAGAAGGTAAGAGAAGACCTTTCTTAATTCATTAAAAACAGGGAAAGCAAAATTGAACACATTTGTTTCTTTCTAAAAATGACACCTTTGCCACAAAATAAATACATATTGTGGTCTATGAGTCTTTTTTGTGTTATTAGAATTATATTCCAAAGTAATAGCATTGTTTATCTTTTAGTCTGAGCTCACAGCTGTAAAAATGAGTCTATTTTCTCATTATCTGCATGCTATTTATTTTTGTTTTTCCTCTTCCTTTCTCTAATTCTTCCCATCTCTTTACTCCCCAAAATAAATACCTATTGACTAGAATCAATTTTTTTTTTTTTTTTTGAGACAGAGTCTCGCTCTGTCACCCACACTCTCGCTCTGTCACCCACACTGGAGTGCAGTAGCGCGATCTCGGCTCACTGCAACCTCTGCCTCCCAGGTTCAAGCGATTCTCCTGCCTCAGCCTCCCGAGTATCTGGCACTACAGGCGCGTGCCACCATGCCTGGCTAATTTTTGTATTTTTAGTAGAGATGGGGTTTCGCCATGTTGGCCACGCTGGTCTCGAACTCCTGACCTCAGGTGATCCACCTGCCTTGGCCTCCCAAAGGGCTGGGATTGCAGGCGTGAGCCACCGCGTCCAGCCTGGAATCAATTTTTTGACCTCTAAATATGTTAGCCCTTTGCTCTGAACACTTCTCACATTCCTACGAGGAATATATTAAGATTATCGCATGTCTTCAGTGTGTTTGCCAAATTTGAATTTAAAAAGGATATTTCCTTGGCCAGTCACCATCAGGTTTTTACAGGAAATCGAAAGCAAGGAAAGGAGAAAACAATGCTGACATTTATTGATAAGGGGAAATAAACAGTTGCTTCGGCATTATGCATTTGTCTGTCATGTGAATTACAAATATTTATTCGATTCAATACATTTTTATTGAGCCTTTTCTGCTTGGATGGCAGAAACTCAGTGTCAGAAGACAGATAAATATCACCTAAGCACTGTCCTCAAGGAGCTCATGATGGAATGAAAATGTAGACACATGAAGTATAACTAAAAAATATTAATAGAGGCCGGGTGCGGTGGCTCACACTTGTAATCCCAGCACTTTGGGAGGTGGAGGCGGGCGGATCACGAGGTCAGGAGATCATGACCATCCTGGCTAACACAGTGAAACCCTGTCTGTACTAAAAATACAAAAAATTAGCCGGGCGTGGTGGTGGGCGCCTGTGGTCCCAGCTACTCGGGAGGCTGAGGCAGGAGAATGGTGTGAACCCGGGAGGCGGAGCTTGCGGTGACCGAGATTGCGCCACTGCACTCCAACCTGGGCGACAGAGCGAGACTCTGTGTCTCAAAAAATTAAATAAATAGGCTGGGCGCGGTGGCTCACGCCTGTAATCCCAGCACTTTGGGAGGCCAAGGCGGGCAGATCACGAGGTCAAGAGATCGAGACCATCCTGGTTAACACAATGAAACCCCATCTCTACTAAAAATACAAAAAATTAGCCAGGTGAGGTGGCGGGCGCCTGTAGTCCCAGCTATTTGGGAGGCTGAGGCAGGAGAATGGCATGAACCCCGGGGGGCGGAGCCTGCAGTAAGCCGAGATCGGGCCACTGCACTCCAGTCTGGGCGACAGCGAGACTCCATCTCAAAAAAAAAAAAAAAAGAAGAAAAAATTAAATAAATAAATAATAATAATAGAGAAAACACGGCATTAAACTGATTTTGTAGAGCCTCTTTCATTACAGACTCTTCCATTTACAGATGTTTACTCTGGGGCCTGGTGTAGTGTCTCATGCCTGTAATCCCAGTGCTTTGGGAGGCAGAGGTAGGAGAATCACTTGAGGCCAGGAGTTTGAGACCCACCTGGGCAACATAGTGCATGCCTGCAGTCCTAACTACTTGAGAGGCTGAGGTGGGAGTTCGAGGTTACAGTGAGCTAAGGTTGCACGGCTGCATTTCGGCCTGGGCTACAGAGCAAGACCCTGTCTCTTAAATAAAATAAAATAAAAAAATAACAGGCTAGGAGTGGTGGCTCACGTCTGTAATCCCAGCACTTGGGCAAGCTGAAGCAGGTGGATCACTTGAGGTTAGGAGTTTGAGACCAGCCTGGCCAACAGGTGAAACCCCGTCTCTACTAAAAATACAAAAAGTAAGTTGGGTACAGTGGCTCACGTCTGTAATCCTAACACTTTGGGAGGTCAAGGCGGGTGGATTGCCTGAGCTCAGGAGTTCAAGACCAGCCTAGACAACATAGTGAAACACCGTCTCTACTAAAAAAATACAAAAAATTAGCCAGGCATGGTGGCGGTGCCTGTAATCCCAGCTACTCGAAAGGCTGAGGTGGGAGAATCGCTTGAACCAGGAGGTAGAGGTTGCAGTGAGCCAAGATAGTGCCACTGCACTCAAGCCTGCACTATAGAGCGAGACTCTGTCTCAAAAAATAAAAATAAAGATATTTACTCTGATTAATTCTCCCATAGTTTTAGCATCCCGACTTGATAGGACTTAATATGTTAATGACAAAAAGAGTAAATGAATTTTTTACTAGCTTTGTGATCCTGGCCAAGTCACTCCATCTTTTGGGGACCTTTGTTGCTTTACCTGTAATATGGACATAATATTTTTTCTGCAGTCCTCATCATATTTTAAGAAGCGAATTAAGTACAGGTAGTCTACTGAAAGTACAAACTGCAAAGAGACTAAGAAGAGTAAAATAGAGGTGTAATCTTCTTGGTTCCCTTGGTCTGGCTAATCAGGTATCTTTCTGGGCACCAAGGTATGTCTTCAAAGATCTAGTCACCAGCAAGCTAGTGTCTTAGAAAAGGGAGATGTTCTCATAAAGATGAGAATGCATCTTTTACCAATGGTTTATCGCAGGATTATTGTTTCAGAAAGACAGAAAGGGCGTGTATACACTATAATGATTACATTTTCATTTCTTCTTACTTCACATACCTCCAAAGAGAAGCTTGAAGACCCTAAAATCATAGTAATATACCTTAAAATATTTAATGTACATGAATTGTTTCAGTTCTTTGAAGGTGTTATAATCTGATTTTGCCCCTATGTTGTTTGTTTCTTGTGTAAATTCATCACTTTTTTTTTTTTTTTTTTTGAGACGGAGTCTCGCTCTCACTCTGTCACCCAGGCTGGAGTGCAGTGAAGCAATCTTGGCTCACTGCAAGCTCCGCCTCCTGGGTTCACGCCATTCTCCTGCCTCAGCCTCCCAAGTAGCTGGGACTACAGGCACCCGCCACCACATCCGGCTAATTTTTTTTGTATTTTTAGTAGAGACAGGGTTTCACCATGTTAGCCAGGATGGTCTTGATCTCCTGACCTTGTGATTCGCACATTTCGGCCTCCCAAAGTGCTGGGATTACAGGTGTGAGTCACCGCGCCTGGCCAAGCTCATCACTTTCTTTGAAAAACCTCCATCTCCCTTCCAAGTCTTGGATCTCCTATTGGACTCTAACGATTAATAAAGCTGCATCATCTTGGGCTGACTTGCTCCAAGGGTTTGTCCACTCAAGTGGATGTAGTTTATCATATAAAGGGATTCCCAGGAGCTTGGTATAAAATTCCTCTCTACTGTAGTTCAGAACATTAAGCTAATTTATGACCTAGTATGAAATTCAAACATTTTTCTTGAAAGTCCTGGAGATGTTTGGAGATATAAAGCTGACAATAATACAAAGAATGAATTGGAATAGTAGGAAGTAGAGAAACTGGTTAGGAAGGTTTTGCATCCACTCACACATAAGAAGGTGGAAAAGAGGTTATCTATGTGAGACGATTCAAAATAGGTAAAATTAGCAGCATGCAGGGATCAGTGACATATAGGAAATATTAGACACAAAAAACTAGGGATGATTCCATCATTTCTAGCTTCGTCATATGAGTAGCTGGTGAGGCAACACCCAAAATATAAAAATATATGTAAGAGAAAGAACAGTTGTGGCATGTGTTTATTTTAATTTAAGGTCAGTGTGAGTGGTTGGGTAAATAAGTTTGAGTTTCTAAATATTGATTTTAAAGTCTAGGTAATTGGTGCACACAGTTAAAATCATACAGCAAATTGTTGGAAATACAAATGAAATTCAGGAATAAAAGTGAGGTTAAAGATAAATAAACGTGGAAAATTAATGAAATTCAAGTAGTAGTTGAAGCCTGGAAGAAGATAAGCTTGCTTAATTAGGTCTAGTAGATAACCCGAGCGACAAAAAAAGCTAAAGAAAGAAAATTCATTCAGGAAGGCATTTAATGTTTTTTGGTTTTTTGAGACTGAGTCTTGCTCTGTCACCTAGGCTGGAGTGCAGTGACGCGATCTGGGCTCACTGCAACCTCTGCCTCCTGGGTTCAAGCAATTCTCCTGCCGAGTAGCTGGGATTACAGGTGCATGCCACCACGCCCGGCTAATTTTTGTATTTTTAGTAGAGACAGGGTTTCACCATGTTGGCCAGGCTGGTCTTGAATTCCTGACCTCAAGCGATCTACCCATCTCGGCCTCCAAAAGTACTGGTATTACAGGCATGAGCCACTGTGGACCACAGGTGAAGAGACACTTTATCCTTTTGGATAAAATAAAGCAGAGAAGAGGGACAGGGCAGAGGTAGCTGCACCTTTAGGAAGGCCTGGCAGAGAATTTCTTACTGACAAGGTACATTTGAGTGAGGACTGGAGGGCTGGGTGGGGGATAACAAGCCACAGGGTATTTGAAGGAGAAAGTTCCAGGCAGTGGGAACAAGTGCAAAGGCCGTGCATAGGGAGTGTGGCTGTAGTGTCTAAGGAATGTCAGGAAGGGTGGTATGGTAGCAACAGAGGGAACTTCACTAGGAGAAGGAAGACACAATGTCAGCAATCGGGTTGGATAAGGCCGTGTGGGCACATCGTAAAGACTTCGGCTTTTATTCTGAATGAGAAAGGAAGCCCTTGGAGAGTTTTGGGAAGGAGTGACATCTAATTTACCTCTTTCACACACTCACTCTGGTTGTATGAGAGCAAAGGTGGAACAGGGGAATCCCTACGAAAGCTCTCACAATGATCCAGGACCTTGACACTAGGTGAAAGATGAGGGTGGCACGGCCCAGAGTGGCAGCAGTGGACATTGGAGGAGGTAATTAAATCCCAGATATATTTTGAAGGAAGAGCCAATAAGATTTGTTGACAAATTGGATGCCAAGTTTGAGAGGAAGAGAAGGAGCATTGATGATCGCTTGTACAGCTGGAAGAATAAAGTTGACATCAGCTGAAATTGGGAAGGATACAAATGTAGTAGCCCTGGGGGGAAGAACAGGGTTAAGTGTAGGACACTGGATACCTATGATACTGTGTGTCAAATACTGCCAGCAGGTTAAGTCTGATGAGGACTGAGAGTAACCATTAGATGTTGGATTATCCTGACAAGGACACATTTGGGGAAGTGGTAGAGATGAGGGTCTGGCTGGAGTAGGTTCAAGAGAGAATGAGGGGGCTGGGCATGGTGGCTCACACCTGTAATCCCAGCACTTTGAGAGGCTGAGGTGGGCGGATCATTGATGTCAGGAGCTTGAGACCAGCCTAGCCAACATGGTGAAACCCGTCCCTACTAAAAATACAAAAATTACCTGGGTGTGGTGGGGCGCACCTGTAATCCCAGTTACTTGGGAGACTGAGGCACGAGAATCACTTGCATCTGGAAGACTGAGGTTGCAGTGATCCATTGCACTCCAGCCTGGGCAACAAAGCAAGACTCTATCTCAAAAAAAAAAAAATGAGACACAAAGAGGGAAGGAATTGGAGATGTGGAATAAAGATGACACTTTTAAGGAGTTTTGCTCTTAAACAGGGTTTGTCAACCTCAAAACTATAGACATTTTGGAGCGGATAATGCTTTATTGTGTGTGTGTGGCGGGGGGAATGGGGGGTGTGTCGTGAGCATTTCAGGATGTTTAGTAGTATCCAAGCCTTCTACCACTAGATACCAGTAGCACCCCTACTCCAGTTGTGACAACCAGAAGTGTCTCCAGACATTGCCAAATGTCTCCTGTGGGAAAAATTGCCCCCAGATGAGAACCACTACTCTAAAAGGAGAGTAGAGGAATAGGGTGGTAGCTGGTGGTACAAGTGGGTCCAGGGAGCTTATTGACATTTTGTTTTTGTTTTTTTTGATATAGGGTCTCACTCTGTTGCCCAGGCTGGAGTGCAGTGGTACCATCACAGTTCACTGCAGCCTCGACCTCCTGGACTCAAGATCCTCCTTCCTCAGCCTAGCAAGTAGTTGGAACTACAGATGCACGCCATCACATCTGGCTAATTTTTTGTAAAGACTAGGTGTCACTATGTTACTCTGGGCTTAAGTGAGCCTCCTGCTTTCAGCCTCCCAAAATGTTTGGATAACAGGTGTGAGCCACCACACTCAGCCTTGTTTTTTCTTAATCTGAAAGAATAATCACATTTGTTTGTCCATAACACTGATCGATTCAGTAGTGAAGAGGGAAATCTGATAATGCAAGACAGAAGCAAGTCTTATTATAGAGGGATCTACTTAGGGACTGTGGGTGGGGAGGGAAAAGCTTCTTCAAGGAAATAATTTTTTCTTTTTTTAGACAAAGTTTCACTCTTTTGCCCAGGCTGGATGCAGTGGTGCGACCTCAGCTCACTGCAACCTTCACCTACTGGGTTCAAGCGATTCTCCCACCTCAGCCTCCCAAAAAGCGGGGAGTACAGACGTGTACCATCACACCCAGCTAATTTTTGTATTTTTAATAGAGACAGAGTTTATCCATGTTGGCCAGGCTGGTCTCGAACTCCTGGACTCAAGTGATCCAGCCACCTCAGCCTCCCAAAGTGCTGGGATTATAGGTGTGAGCCACAGCACCTGGCCTCTGCCTCTTATTTTAGATTACTTATGTCAACCACTTAACTCCAGTCTCTATCATATCTCACACTTGGCTGAATAGCCACCATCAGCATTAATAGTTGTTACAGCTTTCTCAGCACCTGGACTCCTACTACCAATGTTTCTACGAATAAAATGTCAGAATGAATCCAAGAACAAATAGATCTTATGTTACCTCTGTCTCTAAAGGCTTTCTTGATTGCTGTATCCTCCATGTGGTGGATTGATTGTTTCCCCTTTTTTGATGCAGGAGCTTATTTAATTGTAACACCTGTAGCATTGAATTTCACTCATTTGTCTGTTTCCTTTCTTCCTTTTTTTTTTTGAGACGGAGTCTCGCTCTGTCACCCAGGCTGGAGTGCAATAGCATGATCTCGGCTCACTGCAAGCTCTGCCTCCTGGGTTCATGCCATTCTCCTGCCTCAGCCTCCCGAGTAGCTGGGACTACAGGCACCCACCACCACGCCAGGCTAATTTTTTGTATTTTCAGTAGAGACAGGGTTTCACCATGTTAGCCAGGATGGTCTCGATCTCCTGACCTCGTGATCCACCCAACTCGGCCTCCCAAAGTGCTGGGATTACAGGTGTGAGCCACTGCACCCGGCCCCTTTTTTTCTTTTTTTAATGTTAAACAGATAATGTGCCAATGTCCTGATGTTGTAACAAGGTTGTTTTTTGTTTGTTTGTTGTTGTTTTTGAGACAGAGACTTGCTCTGTTGCCCAGACTGGAGTGCAGTGACACAATCTCTGCTCACTGCAACCTCAGTCTCCTGGGTTCAAGTGATTCTTGTGCCTCAGCCTCCCAAGTAGCTGGGATTGTGGGTGCAGGCCACCATGGCTGGCTGATTTTTGTATTTTTAGTAGAGATGGGTTTCGCTATGTTGGCCAGGCTGGTCTCGAACTGCTGGCCTCAAGAAATCCACCCATCTTGGCCTCCCAAAGTGCTGGGATTACAGATGTGAGCCACCATTGTAACAGGGTTTGAGGAAGGTATTTCTCACAGATGCATGTGAAAACCCAAACTTCATGCTTATGAACTGCAAAAGGATCACACTCATTTCTTTTTAAGCTGTCTGCCCCTTCACGCTGAACCCCTCTTTATGGGCAGGGACTACATTTTTTTTCTCTGTGCTTATCTGAGTGCCTAATAAAATAACTAGTAGATAACACACCAACTATAAACACTTAAAAGATCTATCTCTACTACTCTCTACTCTTAGTACCCATCACCTCCAATTCATGGACACAGACATTCATTCACAGAGATTTGGGGACCTGGTTCACAGTGTTTGTGTTCTACTTCAACTCCTACATTATTTTGGTAAGGTCAATATCCCCATCAATGGCTCATTGAATATCCTTGCATTTCGATTCTCTGATTCCAAGAATGAGGAAGATACCCTAAATACTTTACATCAATACCAATGTGTGGGTGTTAATGCCTTAGAACTATCCTTGAGAAAGTCCTATAATTATGTTATTATAATTAGAATTTCAATATGAGTTTTTACCTATTAATGACATTAAAACCAAATAAAAATATATTATTTTTAGGTGAACCATAATTTATTGTCCAAACCAGAACAAATTTTACAATCTCTGCCTCTTAGTTTGATTGTTTAGTCCATTTACATTTAATGGTTTTTGTTGGTGGTGGTGGTGTTTTGAGACAGGATCTCGCTCTGTCACTCAGGCTAGAGTGCAGTGGCACAATCATAACTTACTGCACACTCGAATTCCTAGGCTTAAGCAATCCTCCCACCTCAACCTAGCTAATTTTTAAATTTTTTATTCTTTGTAGAGACAAGGTCTTGGTATGTTGACCAGGCTAATTCTCAAACTCCTGGGCTCAAGCAGTCTTCCCACCTCAGCCTTCCAAAGGGCTGGAATTACAGACATGAGCCACTGTACCTGGCCCACATTTAATGTTATTATTGATATATTTGATTATGCCATTTTGCTATTTGTTTTCTATATGTCTAACTTTTTTTGTTCCTCTGTTTCTTCTTTAACGTCTTTTTTTGTATTAGGTGGATATTGTGGGAAAATTTTTCCTATCTCTTAGAAAGAAGCTTAAGGAAAATGCAATGCCTTTTCCTCTATGGAAATGGTTATAGTAATAGTCGCAGCCATCCTTTGACTATTTTTGCATTTTTAGTAGAGACCTCAAGAGAGAGAATCTTGAGGTTTAAGAAAGATGAGAGGAGCCTGGAGTTTTTTATGCCATTATGAAGGCTTTGAATTAACCAAATCTTGGGCCGTCCTACTTTCAAACATTATTATTTGAGTAAGCAATGTCATTTTTATGGAAGGCAGTTGATTTGAAATCTACAGAAGTAACTTAAAACACCCTAAAAGATTTTTAAAAACAAATGAATATACTTGTTTCAGAAACACACTAGCAAAGGATAGCATGGACCTGCACCTAATGTAATGTGTTGCTGACCATTGAACTAACTATCTAGACCTGCACTGTATTATAGTAGCCATGAGCCACATGTGATTATTGAGCACTTTGAAACGTGGCTAACCTGAATTGAGAAGTTCTGTAAGTATAAAACAAACACCACATTCTGAAGACTTAGACAAGAACAGTAATAATATAAAATATTTCTAATAATTTTAATTGATTACATGTTAAAATGACAATATTTAAGATATATTGGGTTAAATGCAATATATTAATAAAATTAATTTATTTTTTTCTCCTTAGTTTTTAAATGTGGCCACTAGAACATTTAAAATTACATATGTCGGCCAGGCGCGGTGGCTCATGCCTGTAATCCCAGCACTTTGGGAAGCTGAGGCGGGCAGATCACCTGAGGTCAGGAGTTCAAGACCAGCCTGGCCAATGTGGTAAAACCCCATCTCTACTAAAAATACAAAAATTAGCCCGGCATGGTGGCACATGCCTGAAATCCCAGATACTCGGGAGGCTGAGACAGGAGAAGCACTTGAACCCAGGAGGTGGAGGTTGCAGTGAGCCGAGATGGTGCCACTGCACTCCAGCCTGGGTGACAGAGTAGACTCTGTCTCAAATAAATAAATAATAAAATGAAATTACATATGTCATCCCCATTATATTTCTAGTGGACACCACTGATCTAGATGGAATCTAAGAATTGTCTGTCAGTTGCTAGCTGAGATAAGACATAGAATTTCTTGAAAAGGTTTACATTAACACTTTTTAAATATTATTTATATAGCATGATTCAACTGTAAGTTACAAATTTTGGTAATTATCTGAAATTTAAAAAGTGGTAACCAATATATACTTGGTTTTGCCAGAATTCATAAAAAAATCCAGAGACTTAGAACTGATTGTATAGAATCTAGTTTGCATAAATTCAGGATTTTGGTACCAGACCCTTATAGATATACTCCTCATATCTTACTCCTGTGTCTAAGTTACCAAGTAATATACAGGGAAAAAGTTACTAAATAATAATCAGGGATCTTTAGATCAGAAATGTAAGTTCCTTTGATTCTAAAAATCCTAGATTTTGAGTTCTATGATTGGCTATGTTTCTAATAACAAGAAAAGCCAAATTAAAACTTTATTTTAAAAGTGTAATTTGGCCGGGCACAGTAGCTCAGGCCTGTAATGCCAGCACTTTGGGAGACTGAGGTGGGCGGATCACCTAAGGTCAGGAGTTCGAGACCAGCCTGTCCAACATGGTGAAACCCCATCCCTACTAAAAATAAAAATTACCTGGGCATGGTGGCAGGTGCCTGTAATCCCAGCTACTTGGGAGGCTGAGGCAGGAGAATCGCTTAAACCTGGGAGGTGGAGGTTGCAGTGAGCCGAGATTGTGCCACTGCACTCCAGCCTGGGCAACAGAGGGAGACTCCGTCTCAAAAAAAAAAAAAAAAAAAAAAAAAAAGTGTAATTAAAAAAGACCCAAAAGAATAAAAGTGTAAATAACATTAGAAAAAAGTATAACAGGGCCTGTGTTATGGGCTAAATTGTGTCCCTCCAAATTCACATGTTGAATACTAGCCCGCAGTACTATGTGGAGAGATAATGTGACTATATTTAGAGATGGGGACTTTAAAGAGACACTTAAGTTTAAATGAGGTCATGGGGGTGGGTCCTAATTCAAAATGACTGGTGTCCTTATGAGAAATGGGAGAGCCACTGGGAATGCGCCCCCACGGAGGAAAGGTTATGTGAGGACACAGCAGGAAGGCAGCCATCTGCCAGCCAAGGAGAGAGAAGCCAGAAGAAACCAAACCTTCCATTACCTTCATTTTGAAATTCTAGCCTCCAGAACTGTGAGAAAATTATTCCTCTGGTTTAAGCCAGTCAGTATATAGTATTACGTTATGGCAGCCCTAGTAAACTATGGCGGCCGCAGTAAAGCCTTAGTAACCTCCAGCCTGATACAGACTATCCTTGTATTTCCATAAAGGACTCTGAGGAGGTGGGCAAACTGTGTCCTTTCCCACATGCTTGAGGGCTGAAAAGTGATCACCACGTGAAAGTGTTGTTTTATCTTAGGGTTGCTTGCCAATATGTCGATGTTGTAATTTTCAAAGTAAAATAATTGAATATATACATGGATTTAAAAGTATATATCATGGCTGAATACCTGGGAAAGTAAATTTCCACATTTTAAGGATTTTCAAAAAACCTCATTTGCATTAAGTTTTAAGGAAAATAATTTGTATGGATTTATTTATACAACTTTATTGAATAAAATATACTGATGTCTAGCAATGTATATATGCCCATTACAAATGTATGGCTATGACAATGTTCATTATAAATACATAGCTAACAGTTATATATCACTACCACATGCCACACACTGTTCTCTACACTTTACATAGATGAATTCATTTAATCAGATGTACTTTCTTAGAATTTATTTATAAAAAATGAAACCTTTAATAATACATCATATTTTCAGAACTTGGAACCACTATCCTACGCATTTCAAAAGAAAAGTTCAGTCTACAAAGGTTAAACTAAAATCCTCCATCTAATATCTGGAAAAGCTCCATATAAAAATCAATAGCAAAAGAAAAATATTTTGGATCACTTGGAACAATAAGAGCATGATAAAATACTTGGATGTTTTTCTTGGGGCAGAAAATGTGTCACCCTTCAGGAGTAAGAAGAAAGACTCTATATGCTCAATTATAAGACGAAACACAATTGTCATCTGTCATATATCTTCTTTACTTTCAACAATCTAGTTTAGGATTAAGATTAAATATCAGACCCAAGAGACCACACATTGCATCTATTTGTTATCAAACCTGGATGTCAGAAGACCTTTCAAGCAGAAGCAAAACTTGGGAATAGCATCAGTATAATTTATTATCACTTTTTTATCAATAAATGTTAAAGGATGTCAACCATAAATAAATACAAATTTTAAGTTCAAGTATTGTGAAACCCCTAACATAATTTTATACTTTTAAAAAATATATATTTTTTCTTTTATTTCCCCATATCTACTCTGAAGGAATAAAACATAATTTACTTCAGTTCTTTAATGCTAGGTTTTCTTTTCTTTTTTTTCTTTTTTTTTTTTTTTTGAGATGGAGTTTCGCTCTTCTTGCCCAGGCTGAAGTGCAATGGCACAATCTTGGCTCACCACAACCTCCGCCTCCTGGGCTCAAGCGATTCCCCTGCCTCAGCCTCCTGAGTAGCTGGGATTACAGGCATGCACCACCACACCCGGCTATTTTTAGTAGAGATGTAGTTTCTCCATGTTGGTCAGGCTGGTCGCGAACTCCCAACCTCAGTTGATCCGCCGGCCTCAGCCTCCCAAAGTGCTGGGATTACAGGCGTGAGCCGCTGCGCCGGGCCAATGCTAGGTTTTCAATCAGCGTTTAAGAATGTGTTTCTTTTGTTTGCTTTTGGAGTTGACTCAGCATGGATATGAATAGCAGATGGATATGAATAGCAGGAGTACGGGGGCAAGGACTGGGTTCTTAAATCAGCATAATAAAGAATAAACAGGCAGGGTGCCATGGCTCAGGCCTATAATCCTAGTACTTTGAGAGGCTGAGGTGGGAGGATCCCTTGAGCCCAAGAGTTCAAGACCAGCCTGGGCAACACAGTGAGACCCTGTCCCTAAGGAAAAAAAAAATTAGCTGGGCTTGGTGGGTGCACACCTGTAATCCCAGTTACTCAGGTGGCGGAGGTGGGGGCATTGCTTGCGCCCAGGTTGAGGCTGCAGTAAGCCACTGCACTTCAGCCTGGACTACAGAGCAAGACCCTATCCTTCAGCCTGGACTACAGAGCAAGACCCTATCTAAAAAAAAAAAAAAAAAAAAGAGAGAGAATAAACATGATTCTTGCCCTCAGGAAAAACTTTTGTGTTGACTAAAGGGAAAGGAATCTAGAAAGAGCTACATTTAAATAAACGTTTTGTGTTTAAAAAATACTTTCATTTTTAAGGGTGGTGCAAGCTAGAAAGGAGAGAGGATCTACAGTTAACAGAACATAAATGTGAGTTATTCAAGTGTCCATAGCACAAATTCATTTATAGGCTTGCTCCTTCTCACCAAAACTTTATGTTTGCAAAGATGTTAAAGACAAGGTAATGGAAATGGAGGCAAGGAGGGCATTGAGGACATTCAGGCTTAACAAGGGTGGAGAAACGGAGAAGGTTAAGGAGGTGCAAGCACGGAAGAACACTCCAACCTTTCCTTGCTTAGATTATTCTCCATATATTCTTTCTTTTTTTTTTTTGGGACGGAATTTCACTCTTGTCGCCCAGGCTGGAGTACATGGCGCGATCTCCATTCACTGCAAGCTCCGCCTCCCACGTTCACGCCATCCTCCTGCCTCAGCCTCCCGAGTAGCTGGGACTACAGGCGCCTGCCACCACGCCCGGCTAATTTTTTTTTTTTTTTTTTTTTTTTTTTTTTTTTTTTTTGAGACGGAGTCTTGCTCTGTCGCCCAGGCTGGAGTGCAGTGGCGCGATCTCAGCTCACTGCAGGCTCTGCCCCCCGGGGTTCACGCCATTCTCCTGCCTCAGCCTCACGCGTAGCTGGGACTACAGGCGCCCGCCACCTCGCCCAGCTAATATTTTGTATTTTTAGTAGAGACGGGGTTTCACCGTGTTAGCCAGGATGGTCTCGATCTCCTGACCTCGTGATCCGCCCGCCTCGGCCTCCCAAAGTGCTGGGATTACAGGCGTGAGCCACCGCGCCCGGCCTCCACGTATTCTTTATGCAATGCGTTCATGCAGTTGTTCCACAAGAAATATTAAGCGAATCCACAGAGAAGCATCTCCTCATGGGTAATGAAGGAGGTTGATTTATTTCTAGGAGCTGTGCTCCCAGGAGAACACACCACCACTAGGGAGCGGTAAAGGTTGTTCCCTGGGGCATCAGTAGCAACTCAGAATTTCAAAGACAAGGACAACCAACTACATTTGCACAATGACTTCCAGTTAATGAAGTGCTCTTATCAATCATTTTCATTATAACCCAAAGACGGACATTCTATTCCTACTCCTATTTTTGAGATGCAGAAAATGAAGACCTGAAGAAGCTCTAAGGTCACAGGGCCAGGAAATGGTAGAGTTGAAACTGCTTTTTCTTACTCTGAAGTCTGATGCTTGGGCTAATTAGGTATAGAGAACTAATGATTAAAAGACACCCTCCTGGGCTGGGCGCAGTGGCTCATGCCTATAATCTCAGCACTTTGGGAGACCAAGGCAGGAGGATCACTTCAGTTCAGGAGATCAAGACCAGCCTGGCCAATGTGGCAAAACCCCACCTCTACTAAAAATACAAAAATTAGCTGGACGTGGTGGCGCGTGCCTGTAATCTCAGCTATTTGGGAGGCTGAGGCATGAGAATCACTTGAACCCACAGGATGGAGGTTGCAGTGAGCCCAGATCGCACCACTGCACTCCAGCCTGGGCAACAGATCAACACTGTGTCACTAAATAAATAAATAAATAAAAGACACCCTCCTGGAGCATAAATTTCAGCCCGGAAAGGAGAAACCACTGAATTTTGGAATTCTAATGTGTGCCATTGCTTTTCTATCTTTGTTGTTGCTGAGGATAGGTATTCCGTCCTTATTTTTGAGAAGTATTACATTCCACATTAAGGTGCATTCTAATTTTAGAAAATTGAAATATAAAAAATAAAAAACACGCTATAAACTTCAGAATATAGTATCTATAAACCATTCAAATATCCTTTTTTAGCGTGTGTTGACAATCTTTTAGAGAAAGCAGCACAGTGGGACCGTGAGTCTATGCTCCTGTCATCCTTGGCCTCGTGTCTTCCTAATGCTCCCTCTTTTTGGTTCTTATTGAAATGTGTTCATTTTAATCTCATTGCCCTAGGGCCAATACTCATTCGAAATTTCAAAGTGATGCTTGTCAGATCACTCCTGATTCATTAGCAAAGCTAGGGTAGAATCCTTTCATTTCCTTCCCTTCTCCCTTATTCCTTTTAAAAAGGCAATGTCCATTTTTAGATCAGGTCGTAGTGGTAGTTGGTATCAAAAGAGAAGATATTAAGGTGGAGGTGGACTTTGCAACACCTTTCAATAATGCTATGGGGGTGGATATGTTCTCCACCCTTATTATGTTGCATCCTTACGCCTACCTCTTTCTTGCCTTACATATTTTTCCCCCGGCTGATGATGACCAGGCAATTCTAGTAAGTAGGAATTGTGATTGCTTTGATAGCTAGGGTTTTTGAAGGATTGAGAAACCATGGGCTAATATTGAAATGAAGAAATTAGATTAGATCATCTGAAAAGTTCATTCATTCGACAAATATTTATACAATACCTACCGTGTCTTGCACATAGATTGGCTCTGGGAACATTAAGGTAAATAAATAGTTTTCAGACAAAAAAAAAAAACTTTCCAATGATATCTGCCAAGATCAAGACAGTGCCAACATTAAATGCAAAATGGCTGTCAGTAGCTTAGCAGAAATCCTTTCTCCCAGCTTCGTTACAGAAGGAAGTATTAGTGAAACACCCTTTTAGCAAATATTGCACTGTCAATTCTCTCTCTCTCTTTCTTTTTTCTCCAACGTGGAGACTTGCTCTGTCGCCCAGGCTAAAGTGCAGTGGCGTGATCTCCACTCACTGCAACCTCTGTCTCCCAGGTTCAAGCAATTCTCCTGTCTCAGCCTCCTGAGTAGCTGGGATTAGAGATGCATGCCACCATGCCCCGCTAATTTTTTTTTTTTTTTTTCAGTAGAGATGGGGTTTCACCATGTTGGCCAGGCTGGTCTTGAGCTCCTGACCTCATGAACCGCCTGCCTCGGCCTCCCAAGGTGCTGGGATTACAGGTGCGAGCCACCGTGCCCCACATATTGTCAATTCTCTTGATGGTACACTGGGAGTTATTGTGCAGAGAAACATGGAAATTGAAAAATCTAAATTTGTGGGAGCCAGCCTCCAAAATAGTCCCCAATAATGCTCATCTTCCATCTTCTCACCTTTGGGTGGTTCTATCTCATGTTGTAGCAGGGTTGGTTGGTGGGCCCTGTAACTTACTGTGAAAATGATGGGGCAGCTTCCATCTCAGGCTCTCACTTCCTTTCCCTCTCTCTTGGATCACTGGCTCAGGAGAAGCCAGCTGTCATTCTGTGAACAGCCCTCTGAAGAAGCCCGAGTAGCCAGGAACTGGTTTCCAGCCAATAGCCAGCAAGGACCTGAGGCCGGCCAACAGCTATGTGGGTGAGTTGGGAAGGTGATTCCCCAACCCTGGTCAATCCTGCAGAAGACTGCACCCTCAGCTAACAGTGAGACACAGCCTCATGAGAGGCCCCCAGCCAGAACCAGCCAGGTAAACCACTCCTGGACTTGGAACCCACAGAAATAGATAATCAACGTTTGTGGTTTTAAGCTTCTGAACTTGAGAGTACTTTGTTATACAGCTAATATAGGTTTGAAACAAAATGTGTTTCAGAGGAGTCGGACTCTGAATACAAGGAAGTTGCAGGGCCCAAAGGCTTTCATACAATTATGCATGCTTTATTTACAACCCAAACTGACTAAAGCTAGTCTATCTAGTTTTAATGGTGGATCTAAAATAGGTTTTAGACTTAAACATAATTTGGTAGCAGGACAGGCAAAACCTGTTTTCTATTTTCTCTCAATTTCTTGCCTATTTTCTACTTTCTCTTTTCTTTTTTTTATTATACTTTAAGTTTTAGGGTACATGTGCACAACGTGCAGGTTGGTTACATATGTATACATGTGCCACGTTGGTGTGCTGCACCCGTTAACTCGTCATTTACATTAGGTATATCTCCTAATGCTATCCCTCCCCCCTCCCCCCACCCCACAACAGGCCCCAGTGTGTGATGTTCCCCTTCCTGTGTCCAAGTGTTCTCATTGTTCAATTCCCACCTATGAGTGAGAACATGCGGTGTTTGGTTTTTTGTCCTTGCAATAGTTTGCTGAGAATGATGGTTTCCAGTTTCATCCATGTCCCTACAAAGGACATGAACTCATCATTTTTTATGGCTGCATAGTATACCGTGGTGTATATGTGCCACATTTTCTTAATCCAGTCTATTGTTGGACATTTGGGTTGGTTCCAAGTCTTTGCTATTGTGAATAGTGCCGCAATAAACATACATGTGCATGTGTCTTTATAGCAGCATGATTTATAATCCTTTGGGTATATACCCAGTAATGGGATGGCTGGGTCAAGTGGTATTTCTAGTTCTAGATCCCTGAGGAATTGCCACACTGACTTCCACAATGGTTGAACTAGTTTGTCTAATCCATGTTTCCTATAATTTATTGATGAAATTGATGAACTAATACTAATTAGGGGCATAATGTTCTAACTCTAGTTGTGTAAGTGAGGCCTTTATAACATTGAATAAAATGTAATTAATAACCTAATAAAGGAAAACATTTTAGAAATACTTTGCTTATATTTTCCTTTTTACATATGCATGAGTATATGAATTTTTAAAAATCTATGTCCAAGTAAGTCATAGATAAATAAGAAAATATCAATCATATTTCAAATGGCTGCTTTTTCTTTCTTAGCAATGCAAAAAATAATGGTGCATATTACAATCAATGGCATCTTTGATTGGATGTGGAAATTCAATTTTGTGTGGTAAGTACCATGCTAGAATGATTTATAAAGGGTCATTTAGCTCGAAATATCTATGACTGCTGTAGGTCCTCAATGTTATCAGTCTAGGGAAACAAGCACATAAAAAAAAGTGGAGAAATGCTATTGCCAAGCAGCCTAAGTTCAAAGGATGGTTAAATATTGGGGTTTAGAATTTAATCCTTACCTTTGCAGCTTCACTCCTTGACAGAGGTGATGTGGGATGTGTGTGTGTGTGTGTGTGTGTGGTGTGTGTGTGTGTGTGTGTGTGTGTTGGGGGAATTTGGAAGAAATGTGTTGATTCCCAACACTTAGTTCTATTCCCTCAAGAATGCCTCCCACAGCCATTACATCTAGTTGATGAGACCTATATTCAACCACTGCTTCTGTGAAATACCTTGAAGTCACCCTAAACATCTTTCTGTCGTACTCCATGTCTAATCAGGACTAAAGGCGGGCGCCTGTAGTCCCAGCTACTCGGGAGGCTGAGGCAAGAGAATGGCCTGAACCCAGGAGGCAGAGGGTGCAGTGAGCCGAGATCGCGCCACTGCACTCCAGCCTGGGTGAAAGAGCAAGATTCCATCTAAAAAAAAAAAAAAAAAAAAATCTGGTTATCAGGGTGACCTCATTAAGATGATATTTAAAGAAAGACTTGAAGAAGAGAGTTAGTTATTAAAGTATTTGCAAAACCGCTTTACATTCTCCTGCATTTTCTTTCCCTTCCTTGCACAATTTCCTCTATATAAAGCCTTATCACCATCCAACATACCATAAATTTTATATGTGAAGTGATTTTAACTTATTATATCTTCTCTAACAAAATAACAGAGTTGAACTTTCCTTACATGTTGAATCCGCTTTGATGATATTGAAGGAAGAGCTAGGAAAAGAATTACTGGGCTAGAATTTCGATCCTCTTCTAGTATCCAAGCAGCTAAATACAAAAGGATTCTCAACATGCTTTGGTGGAGAGGATGCAGAACTAGGTTCCTGGGTTCTAGAGTGTAGCTAGAGAGGAAAATAGGGCATAATGTTAATAACCACTGGAGAAGTGGCTTAAGCCAAAAAGATTCCAGTACATAAACTGTCTGCAGTAATCTTTCAGACTTTCCACTTGAAATTAACACTGGCAGACCTGGCAATGGCTTTTGACCAGTGGGTTCCACTGTAGATAGTATGATGATAATTTCCATTTTACGAAGATAAGAAAATATGGAAATGAAGCTCAGACTTGACCTTATCTGAGACAACCCAGCACGTAACCCAGCAACCCAGCCAGATCCAGGATATGACCTGAGGCCTGTCCATTGCTAGAGCTTGTGCTCTTTCTGCTACAACACATGCTTTTCCAGGATGGGAGCAATGGAAGCTTCCTTAAGCTCCTATTAAAGCTGCTTATGCTGAGCTGTTGTGCATTTTTCTGGCTGGGTTTGGATTTCCTGGATCTCTGACTGAACACAAAGTGATTAGGAAGCCCAGTGTTTGGCAATAAGTACAATGGGGAGGGTGCTGTGTGTGGGTCTACAGGAGCACAGCGTGTTTTCATAACCTCATGGAGGGAATGCCCTGCTAGGTTGCCTGTCCTGTGGAAACCAATGAGCATGGTACCTTGGGGAAAATCACTCATTGCACCATAGTTGTAATGTACTCATTTGGAGTGTAGATTTTCAAGGGGCATGTCCAGTTCACACAGAGTGTGTTTATCCTGTGGGTGTACTGATGGTGAAGTTTGGCAACACATTTTTTTAAATGCAGTATTCCTATTGTTTTCTAAAACAAATTACTGAAATGATCCCTTGACAAACTCTTCTTGGGGATATGCAAATAATCTACCATGAAAGCATGTAGCAAGTATGAATTTAAAAATAGACATTCTGGAATCTGAGTCTAGTTATAGAAAGAAGAAATAAAAAAATAAAAATCATGGAAGCACTGCAAAAAGATAGAGTAAAAGAATAACATTAGTATTTTGCTTCATGTGTCACACAGAAGCACATATCATGAGTGAGAAAATTGCCTGATACATTCGCAAAGCCTCTGAGAGAAGCTTCTCTCAGTTGAATGTGTATAAAATGTTGCTTGAAAAAATATGATCTCTTTAAGAGAGAATAGACTTTGGCAACGAACAACTACCAAGTAGACTTTAGGGAAGCTACTGCTTTTGGTATAAAATCCTGTTGGACTTAGTGTAGGAAATTAAACAATCAAAATACTTGATAAGAGATAGGAATATTTCTGTTTCAAGAAAGAATTCAGTCTCTCCCTCATATCTCTCTCTTTTGTCAGATAAAACAGAAAAACCAATTTCTTCCTTATGTAAAGATACTAAGGAAGGTAGTCCTTAGACAGTGAGAGGACAGTACTATTTTTTTTTAAGTCACCTAAAGCCTATGGCAAAGAAATAAGGGCCGCAGGTGTTTTAACACCCTTTAGACTGCTTTGATGACAGGGAATCCACAATCTCTGGATAAGACAAATAAGTCAGAGTGAGTTAAAAAGAAGCCTGAGGGTAGGTAAGTGTCAGATAAAGCTACAACTTATAACAAGTGACAGAGCACAAACAATTTTTCTATACAAGAGAAGATCTAGCTTACCTGATATTATTAATTAATATTTTGGTGAATTGTTTTTCAAATTTTATTTACTTATTTTATACCACAAGTATATACAATGTTTATTTGTCAATTATACCTTCCTAAAGATGAGTAAAAAGGGACAAAAAGGACAATTTAAGATTTATAGGCCAGGCACAGTGGCTCACACCTGTAATCCCAGCACTTTGAGAGGCTGAGGTGGGCTGACAACCTGAGGTTAGGAGTGAGGTCGGTGAGCTGAGATCATGTCAGTGCACTCTAGTGTGGGCAACAGAGCAAGACTCCATTGGAAAGAAAAGGAAAGAAGAAAGAAAGAAAGGAAGAAAGGAAGGAAGGAAAGAAAGAAAGAACGAAAGAAAGAAAGAAAGAAAAAGAAAGAAAAGAAAGAAAAAGAAAGAAAGAGAAAGAAGGAAGGAAGGAAGGAAAGAAAGAGAGAGAAAGGAAGAAAGGAACGAAGGAAGGAAGGCAGGATTGCAGGCAGGCTGAGGCAGGAGAATGGTGCAAACCCGGGAGGCAGAGCTTGCAGTGAGCCGAGATCGCGCCACTGCACTCCAGCCTGGGCGACAGAGCGAGACTCCGTCTCAAAAAAAAGAGAAAGAAAGAGAGAGAGAAAGGAAGGAAGGAAAAGAAAGGAAAGAAAGAAAGAAAGGAAAGGAAGAAAGGAGGAAAGAAAGAGAGAGAGAAAGAAAGAAAGAAGAAAGAAAGAAAAGAAAGGAAGAAAGAAAGAAAGAGAAAGAAAGAAAGAAAGAAAGAAAGAAAGAAAGAAAGAAAGAAAGAAAGAAAGAAAGAGAAAGAAAGAAACAAAGAAAGAAAGATGGACTCCCTGTGCTCACACCCACCTAAAAACTACACAGTGACTGCCCCTTCTGGTCAAACAGTGCTTTCTCCAGACACTTGTATGGCTAATTCACTTGCTTTCTTTAAATGGTACTTTCTTGGCGATGTCTGCTCTGACCACCCTATTTCTGTTTTTTTTGTTTGTTTGTTTTTTGTTTTATTTTGTTTTTTTGAGATGGAGTCTCGCTCTGTCTTCCAGACTGGAGTGCAGTAGCGTGATCTCGGCTCACTCAACCTCCACCTTCCAGGTTCAAGCAATTCTCTTGCCTCAGCCTCCCAAGTAGCTGGAATTACAGGCATTTGCCACCATGCCCTGCTAATTTTGTGTTTTTAGTAAAGGCAGGGTCTCGCCATGTTGGCCAGGCTGGGCTCGAACTCCTGACCTCAGGTGATGCACCCCCGCTTGGCCTCCCAAAGTGCTGGGATTACTAGTTTGAGCCAACGCGCCGGGCCTGATCATCCTATTTTAAATTTTCACACACCTCTGATTCCTTGTGTCCTGGTGAATGGATTATTAAAACTAAAGCATTCTATGAAATTTGATGATGAACATTCTTATCTTTCATTCATTTTTTAAAAAAGAATAAAAAGCACAAGAAAGAAATCATTGGTTATCATCAGCTCCAGGTTTAACATGTTTCCGTAGCTGCCGTACCATGATAAAGAATGTGACCAACGTGTGAACTTTGGGGTATACAACTGCAGTTGCTTTGGGGCCAATGGATTTGTGCTATTTCATCGAGATTCTCACTTATCAGGTCCTTCTTATGACTATGACACAGCATGACTAGCTTGATCATTTGGGGATCGATCCAAGGCTTTGGCCTCATTAGAACAGTAAATAACAAGCTGAGTTAATTGGTCACACATCACAGTAACTACAAAATTCTCATTTATAGTACACCAAAAGATAAAGTCTTGAAGTATATTTGTGGCAAGCACATTTTGTTTTATTTACATTTTAAAAATAAAGCAAATATAAACAGAATATTGCATCATGCTTTCAGGTTTACAATACCGAACAATTTCCTAAAGGAATGTTTTGCAATTTTTTTGAATCCATAACTGCTTTTTTAATTAACATAAAATTCTCCTGCTCCTACTGAAAATCATTGCTATCACCTACATATTCCCAGCAGCTAAAGTACATCTATGAAGCTTATTCATGGCAGTCAAATTTAAAATATTATAATATTAAGTTTGCTTCTTCAAACTACAAATATACTTCCTGAAATGTTTTCTTCCTGCCCTTCTCCTTTTTCCCACTCAATCTGTAACAAACCAGGCTAAAGATGGAAAGCATATGTCCTTTGATATGATTTTCTACAAGTTATGCAGGCATTAATGTATAATTTCAAAATATAAGTGTAATTTGTATACAAGATGTTAGCATGAATTAAACTTTTATTTAACCAGGAAGTTAACAAAACCAGTGCAAGTAAGGATATCAGACTGATATATACGTTAAGTAAAACAATAAATAAAAACAGAAATTAGATTGTTAAATTATTTGCAAATCTAATTAATGTTTCTACATGGCAATAAACCATAACCTTCAGAGTTAGTTTCTCTTTTGGACAGACATTATATGTCTGTCTCTTCTTCTTTGAGAAGTGAAAAGTTGAAGAATAAAGAAAGGAAAGAAAGGTGGATTCTTCTTTCTTTCAAATCATTTGCAGTTATCAGTTTCTCCAAGTTAAACATCCAACTTCACAGATTTCACATCCTAATTGGTAGTGAATAGTAAGTCACATAGCCCCAAGGTGAATTTATTTTCATAATATTTAAAAATAACAGAATCATTGTTTTTCCTTTTCTCAAAATTTCTGGTAATTTTTCTTTCTTTTTTTGAGATGGAGTCTCTCTCTGTTGCCCAGGCTGGAGTGCAATGGCGTGATCTCGGCTCACTGCAACCTCCGCCTCCTGGGTTCAAGCAATTCTCCTGCCTCAGCCTCCCAAGTAGCTGGGATTACAGCCACCTGCCACCACGCCCAGTTGATTTTGTATTTTTAGGAGAGATGAGGTTTCTCCATGTTGGTCAGGCTGATCTTGAACTCCTGACCTCAGGTGATCCACCTGCCCCAGCCTCCCAAAGTGCTGGGATTACAGGCATGAGCCACTGTATCTGGCCTGGTAATTTTTCTTAATACAAGTTATAAAAATGTGAATATATGCTATGAAACGGTAAATGGTGAAGTGGTGGGGTTTTCTTGGCTAAGCTTTTACACTTATGTCATCAAACTCCCTTTCCCTACACATAGATCTCTTAAAATCACTTTTTCATAGAATATTAAGGAAATGGGTTTATTTTACACCAGCTCCTGGGTAATCCCGGTGAGCGTTGCCTTTCTTGGCCTTGTGCTCTTCCCTATCTCGTGTTGTTCTGCTTTGGGACTGATCACTGCTTTTTTTGATGCTAACAATACTTACCTATCCCAGAAAAGAGGCTTCCCATGATTGGATGCAGAGGAAGCAACATCCAACCACATTTCCCTTTGTTACTCCGTCCTTTAATTCCATGCCCATCCCACACTAGACTGTAGAGATGTATCTGATTCACCTACCATGCTGAGAGTAAACAGAATTATGACTTGCAAAAAATAATAAAGTGCATGCTACATGTCATTATTCCCATTGCCCAAAGGGAGAGCTCCCAAAAGTTAGAACCTTTGAGAATAATTCCCTTTGTGTATAAAACTCAGTTTCTTTCCTTGATCTCCTGCCCTCAATCCTGCATTTCTCAGTAATTGCTTTCTTACTCATACCGACACTGAGCCTCGAATTCCCTTTTGGGAAAATCACTTCCCTCTTCACAGGGATGTGTCTGATCTTCCTCTAGACATAATAATTCACAGCATGACATTTCTGAAAATCTAAGTTATTGAAGGTAGAATATCATCCCTGAGGGCTTCCAAATGATGGTGTAAGATGAACACTAGACTCCAAGTCAAATCTCCTTGATTCTGTCTTTCCCACCCCTGCTCCAATGTTAAGTGGCGATATACTCTCTCATTAGAAACTTCCAACTCTCAAATCCAATACTTACATAGATACTTATATTCCCCCCAAGCAAAGGTACTTTTCAGAGAGGAAGAGAAACTTTTACCTAGATATAACATAATTTTCCAGGGTCCCCTGCTCAGGTGTATGTGACACTTTACATTTATTACCCTGAGTGGTCATTGATAACCCTTCATTATTCCTCTAACCTGGGCCTTTTTCAAGCACTGTTGAGCCATCTGCCCTTGGTCAGTACCCTTTAACACTGAAGGATCTGGATGAACTTTGAAATGACCATGTTTCTGAGAACAAAATGCAGCATCTTAATTTCCCCATCTTTAAGCAGAGGGACGAGCCATGAAGCGATTTCTTTTTTCTTTTTTCTTTTTTTTTCATGTCCAAGCTTCGTCTCCTCTCTTCCCAAGGGGAGTCCTTCCAGTTAAACTTATTTCTATTTGGCAAGAAAAGGGCAGAAAGTTCGTAAGCATTGTTATTGGTTGAATTGTGTTCCCCCAAAAGATATATTGAGGTCCTAATCCCCAGTACCCGTGAATGTGACTTCGTTTAAAAATAAGGTGTTTGCAGATGTACTCAAATTAAGACAAGGTCATACTGAATTACAGAGGGCCAGAACCCAATATGACTGGTGTCCTTATAAGAAGGGGAGAAGAGACACGGAGATACACACACACACACACACACACACACACACACACACACACAAGAAAGCCACATTAAGGCAGAGGCACAGAATGGAATTATGTTGCCATCAAGCCAAGGCAAACCTGAGACTACAATAAGTGTAGGAGGCAAGGAAAGATCCTTCCCAAGAAGCATCAAAGGCTGGATACCACGGGCAGCACCTTGATTTTGTACTTCTGCCCTGCAGAAGTATTGTTTTAAGCCAGCCAGTTTGTGATATTTTGTCACAGCAACCCTGGGAAACTAATACAAGCATTGTCATCATTCTAGGTACCACTAATGGCCTGCTACGTGACATTCACTTGATTGATTTGTGCATTAGATGAGAGTGTAGGTTTTGGAGTCAGAATTCCTGGGTTAAATCCTGGCTCATAAAAGCTAGGTCTGTGGGCTGGGCGTGGTGACTCACGACTGTAATCTCAGCACGTTAGGAGGCCAAGGCGGGTGAATCACCTGAGGTCAGGAGTTCGAGACCAGCCTGGCCAACATGGCGAAACCCCATCTCTACTAAAAATACAAAAATTAGCTGGGCGTGGTGGTGTACGCCTGTAGTCCCAGCAACTTAACAGGGTGAGGCAGGAGAGTCACTTGACTGGTAAGGGGGAGGTTGCAGTGAGTCGAGATCGCACTACTGCACTCTAGCCTGGGTAACACAGCAAGACTCTGTCTCAAAACAAAAACAAAAACAAAATCTAACTAACTAACAACAACAACAAAAAACTAGGTGTGTGACCTAGGGCAAGTTATATAACTGTTACCTATTATTTCTATTATTTTGTCAAATCATTAGAATAGTCCTGAAAGGTAGATATTAATATCCCCACTCTTTTTTTTTTTTTTTTTTTTTTGGAGACGAGGTCTTGCTCTGTCACTGAGGTTGGAGTGCAGTGGTGCAACCATAGCTCATTGTAACCTCAAACTCCTGGGCTCAAGTGATCGTCCCACCTTGGCCTCCCAAAGTGCTCGGATTATAGGTGTGAGCCAGCATTCCTGATCTAATATCCCCACTTAAGAGAAGAGTCTTCTGAGACATAGAGAAGTTCACCATTTGCCCATGGAAATACAGTTAGTAAGTGGAACAGTTGGATTTTTTTTTTAAACCCTCCAACTTCTGGACTCAAGAAATCCTCCTGCCTCAGCCTCCTGAGTAGCTAAGACTACAGTTGTGTGCCACCACACCCAGCTAACAGGTGTTTTTAAAATACGTTTTAATTATTTTGAAAGAGTTTCAAAGTTTCAGAAAAAATACAAGAAAAACACAATAAACTCTCACATACCCTTCACTCAAACTCCTCAATTGTTTTGGAACGATCAAATTGGCATGATCTTGGCTCACTGCAACCTCTGCCTCCTGGATTCAAGCGATTCTCGTTCCTCAGCCTCCCAGTTACCTGGACTACAGGCACGCACCACCACACCTGACTAATTTTTGTATTTTTAGTAGAGACAGCATTTCCTTACATTGGCCAGGCTGGTCTCGAACTCCTGACCTCAGGTGATCCACCTACCTCGGCTTCCCAAATTGCTGGGATTACAGGCATTACAGGTGTGAGCCACTGCACCTGACCTGTTTGGGTTTTTTTTGTGTGTGTGTGACAGCATCTCACTGTGTTGCCTAGGCTGGTCTCAAACTCCTGGACTCAAGTGATCCTCCTGCCTTAGCCTCCCAAGTAGCTGAGATTACAGGTGCATGCCACCGCACCTGGCAATTTAAAAGAAAAAAAAACATATTTGCTTCATCATTGGCACTCTCTCTCTCTCTCTCTATACACACACACACACACACACACACACACACACATATATATTCATTCCACAGATGTATCATGTATATTATATATTCATATATAACACATATTTTATATTTTTACCCCTAAGCCATTTGAGAATTACAAACGTGCCCTATTACCTTTTGACAATTCAGTATGTAGCTTCTAACAACAAGAGCACTCTCCCACCTAATGAGAGTTCAACCATGAAAATGAGAAAATTGGGGTTTATTCCTTACCATGTTGAGTGTTTTTTTTTTTTTTTTTTTGGTAAACTTTTTGTCTGAGAATAACATACATACAGACAAGGGCACAAATCATAAGTATACATCTGAAGGAATATCCAGCAAGTGAACACACTTGCATAACCAGCAGACAAATGAGGAAATAGATTATTATCAACATCCAAAAGCTCCCCACCCTATGTCATATCTTAGTTGCTTCCTCCTCCTCTTCAAAGGTGACCATTATCCTGATTTCCATCACCATAAATTAGTGTTGCCTGCTTTTGAACTTTATATGAATGGAATTACATACTATGTACCCCCCCTCCTTTTTTTTTAGATGGCGTTTCACTCTTGTTGTCCAGGCTGCAGTGCAATGACACCATCTCAGCTTGTCTCCTGGGTTCAAGCCATTCTCCTGCCTCAGCCTCCTGAGTAGCTGGGATTACAAGCATGCGCCACCACACCCGGCTAATTTTGTATTTTTAGTAGAGATGGGGTTTCTCCATGTTGGTCAGGCTGGTCTCGAACTTCCAACCTCAGGTGATCTGCCCGCCTCAGCCTCCCAAAGTGCTGGGATTACAGGCATGAGCCACCGCACCCGGCCCCCACTTTTTGTTTTAAAAAACAGCTTTTTTCCACTCAATATTACATATGTGAAATCTATTATTATTGCTGGAAATATCTGTAATTTGTTTATTTCTCATTGCTATACAGTATTTCTTGTGTGAACACATCCCAATTTATCCTTTCTACTGCTATTGGACATACAGATCATTCTCTGTTTTTGGCTATCAATATTTTTGTACTTTTTTGGTGCACATGTGTATACATTTCTGTTGGGTTTACTACTAGAAGTGGAATGGTTATGTGACAAGGTGTATGCAGTTTAGCTTTAGTACCTCCTGTACTGCCAAATAATTCCCCAGAGTGATTGTACACAATCTTCAGCAGTATATGAGAGTTTCATTTGCCTCATATCCTTACCAGCACTAAATGTTATCATTATTTTTTATTCTAGCCCTCTGGTGGGTGAACAGTTTTTCTCGTTGTTGTTTTCTTTTTTTTTTCTTTTCTTTTTTTTTTTTTGAGACAAGAGTCTCGCTCAGCTGCCCAGGCTGGAGTGCAGTGGCACAATCTTGGCTCACTGCAACCACCATCTCCGGGGTTCAAGTGATTCCCCCATCTCAGCCTCCCGAGTAGCTGGGGTTATAGGCACCAACCATCATGCCCAGCTAATTTTTGTATTTTAGTAGAGACAGGGTTTCACCACATTGGCTGGTCTTGAACTCCTGACCTCAGGTGATCCACCTGCCTCGGCCTCCCAAAGTGCTGGGATTACAGGCGTGAGCCACCATGCCCAGTCTCATTGTTGTTTTAATTTGAATACCCTATGGCTAATGAGGTTAAGTATCCTTTTATATACTTACATACTACTTGAATATACTCTTTTGGGATGTGCTTGTGAAGTGCTAGATTTTAAATATCCTTACCTGACCCCAAAGTTGATTTTTTAAATTTATTTTTCTAAATTCTTCATATACGTCATGAAATAAGTAAAGTTTTACTTGGGAGAGATGAACTATGCTGTAACTGTACCAGCATCAGTTGTTTTAGTTATCTATTTATCACTGCACACAGAGCAAATTACTCCAAAACTTACTGGCTTCAAACAATAATAAACATTTATGATAGCATAAATTTCCTGAAGGTGAAGAATCCGGGGGCACATTAGGTCATTCTGGCTCAGGATCTCTCATGAGGTTAACAGTCAAGATGCCAGCTGGGGCATTTGAGAGGGGCTGGAGGACTTGCTTCAAGATGGCCGACTCACATGGCTGGTAAGTTGATGCTGGCTGTTGGCAGGAGGCCTCTGGTCCTTACCACATGGCCCTCTCCACAGAGCTGCTTGAGTGTCCTCACAACACGGTGGTTGGCATCCACTAGAGTGAGTGACCCAAGAGAAAGCAAGGTAGCAGCTGCAATGCATTTTATGACCTAGCCTTAGAGGCCATACTACATCATTTTCCCAGTATCCCATTGGCTACACAGGTTAGCCTTACTGAATATGGGAAGGAAACTACACAAGGGCCATCTTGGGGATTAGCTGCTACACTTGTCATTATAAACTTCATTGCCCAAGCTCTTTTAAAAATGTAAATAGAAGGAAAATTACACTTTTTAAAAATTATGTTTTTTGAGACAGTCTCAATCAGTCTGTTGGCCAGGCTAGAGTGCAGTGGCACGATCCTGGCTCACTGAAACCTCTACCTCCTGGGTTCAAGCGATTCACCTGCCTCAGCCTCCCAAGTAGCTGGGATTATAGGCGCATACCACCACACCTGGCTAATTTTTGTATTTTTAGTAGAGACGAGGTTTCACCATGTTGGCCAGGCTGGTCTCAAACTCCTAACCTCAAGTGATCTGCCCGCCTCAGCCTTCCAAAATGCTGAGAATATAGGTGTGAGCCACTGCACCAAGCCTGAAAATTCTTTACCATCAAGAATGAACTTGAAGAAAGATTATTCATTTAATACATGTGTATTCTAATGGAATACATTCTCTGTTTTTGGTTATCAATATTTTTGTGCATTTTTTTGGGTGCACATATGTATACATTTGTGTTAGGTTTATTACTAGGAATAATAATTTCCTAGTTTACTCCTAGGAATATTTATTAGTTTATTCCTAGTTTATTCATATAAATTCTTAGTAGTTTATTACTAGGAATAATGGAAAATGTAATTAATTGATTTTAGGATCAGCAACTTGTATTGCTTACCAGTGTTTCAGATGTTTTTGAAAGTAAATGGATTTGGATAATTATCATAGTTTGTTTTACCCCTGTCTCTATATAAGGAGTGCCTTCTTAAATATACTTATAAGAATATTGATTAGAACTTCAGAAGTCATGTATTTAAGATTGTAAAATTGGTTGCATATGTTGTTTTAGTCTGCTTGGGCTGCCATAACAAAATACCACAGACTAGGTTCCTAAAACAACATAAATTTATTTTCTCACAGTTCTGAAAGCTGGAAGTCTGAGAACAGGATGCCAGCATGACTGAGTTTTGGTGAGGACTCTCTTCCTGGCTTGCAGCCAGCCAGCTTCTCACTGTGCCCCACACTGGCCTTTCCTTGGTGCACATATATGAAGAGAGAAAATAAGAACTCTTTCCTCTGTCTTTCTCTTCTCATAAAGCTTTAAGTTCTATGGGATTAGGAGCCTATATGACCTCCTTTAGCCTTAATTACCTTCTAAAAACCCTGTCTCTAAATATAGTCATGTTGGGGGTTAGGGCTTTGACATAGAGATTTTGAGGGGACATGATTCAGTCCATAGCACGCATAAGCATGTCTCAGGTTCTCCTCTCCTCTCTTTTCCTCTCTCTCATCTTTGGTGATATAAGGAACAAACAGATTTGTGAATATGAAAGTATTTTTCAGTACAGTCATCACCTCTACAGAAGACTGGCCATCAGCAGCTACTTTTCTAGGTTAGTTGTGGAGTAACAGATGAACAAAGGGGAAAAGGTGAAAATGGATGGTGAACCTGGGCAGGTCAGAGCAATGCATACTAAAGGTTTAATTTCTTGGAAGACTTGTGCAAAGTGTTTCCTTCTTTCCTTCCCTTTCTTCCTTCCTTCCTTTTCCTTTCCTTTCTTTTTTCCTTCCTTCCCTCCTTCCTTCCCTCCTTCCTTCCCTTCCTTCCTTCTTTCCTTCCCTCCCTCCCTCCTTCCTCCCTCCCTCCCTTCCCTTTCCTTCCTTCCCTCCCCTTCCCTTTCCACCTCCCTTCCCTTCCCCTCCCCTCCCTCCCTCCTTCCCTCCGTCCCTCCTTCCCTCCTTCCTTCCTTCCCTCCCTCCCTTCTTCCCTCCTTCCTTCCTTCCCTCCCTTCCTCCCGTTTTCCTTCCCTCCTTCCCCTCCTTCCTTTTTTCTATCTTTCACTAAGTGAACCAGTCATCTTTCAATTTTTTTTTTTTTTCTTGAGACAGAGTCTCGCTCTGTCGCCCAGGCTGGAGTGCCGTGGCGGGATCTCGGCTCACTGCAAGCTCCGCCTCCTGGGTTCACGCCATTCTCCTGCTTCAGCCTCCCAAGTAGCTGGGACTACAGGCGCCCGCCAACACGCCTGGCTAATTTTTTTGTATTTTTAGTAGAGACGGCGTTTCACCGGGTTAGCCAGGATGGTCTCGATCTCCTGACCTCGTGATTCGCACATTTCGGCCTCCCAAAGTGCTGGGATTACAGGCGTTAGCCTCCCACGCTGGCCTCATCTTTCAATTTTTAACACATCTGAGGAATATGAATAATTCCAAGTGAAGTAGACATTCATAAAATGCTTTTGTTCTTCCATCATTTAAATCCAAACTTTTCCATGCTGTCTTATTATGTTGGTGCAAAAGTAATTGCGGTTTGTGCCATAACTTTCAAGGTCAAAAACCGCAATTACTTTTGCAGCAACCTAATAGTTTGCTTACAGGAATCTAACAGTCGTTATTCTCTTGGTCAAATTGAAAGCTGAAAAATAATCTTTAAAATATAGATCTCTATGTTTATTTCAAGTCTTCTTGGCATTTTCTAAATTAAATAATTTCATAAAACTAGACCAAAGCTGTATGAGCTAAGATATTTATCACAGTATCAAAATAATTAACATTTACTGAGAAAAGTCAGACACTGTGATGCACTGTTTTATATGCATAATCTTTATTTACTATCACAACCACCCTATGAAGTAGCTTGTATAATAATCCCAATTTTTACAGATGAGAAAATTGCACTTTAGAGAGAGTACGTAACTTGACTAAAGTCACATAGCTAATAAGTGGCAGAGCCAGCCAGGACTTTTTTTCTTTTGTTTGTTTGTTTGAGACAGGGTCTTGCTCTGTGGCCCAGACTGGAGTGCAGTGGCACAATCTCTGCTCACTGCAACCTCTGCCTCCTAGGTTCAAGCGATTCTCCTGCCTCAGCCTCCAGAGTAACTGGGATTACAGACACATGCCACCATGCCCAGCTAATTTTTTTTTTTTTTTTTTTTTTTTTAGTAGAGACAGGATTTCACCATGTTGGTCAGGCTGGTTTCAAACCCCGACCTCAAGTGACCCACCTGCCTCGGCCTCCCAAAGTACTGGGATTACAGGCATGAGCCACCACCGCGCCTGGCCCAGGACTTTATGTATGTGTGTGTGTATATATATATATATATATATATATTTTTTTTTTTTTTTTTTTTTTTTAAGGCAAAGACTCGTTCTGTCTCCCAGGCTGGAGTGCAGTGGTGCAATCTTGCCTCACTGCAACCTCCACCTCCTGGGTTCAAGCAATTATCATACCTCAGCCTCCCAAGTAGCTAGGACTACAGGCATGCACTACCACACCCAGAATTTTTATATTTTTAGCAGAGACAGGGTTTCACCCTGTTGACCAGGCTTGTCGGAAACTCCTGACCTCAAGTGATCCACCCACCTCGGCCTCCCAAAGTGTTGAGATTATGGGCGTGAGTCACTGCACCCACCACCAGCCAGGACTTTAGAGTCAACAAGTCAAGTCTTTCTGACTCTAAAAGCTCTTCTTAACCTCTAGAAAAAGTAAATATTCAGCAATAGGAAACTCCTCACATCTATTATAACTTCAATATAACAGAATATTATGCAGCCATTGCAAATTATGTTCTTGGTTAATTTTTATTGACTAGAAAATGCTTATATTTTAATAGCAAACAAAAGAATAAGCAAGGTGCTGTGGCTCATGCCTGTAATCCCAGCACTTTGGGAGGCCAAGGTGACAGATAACTTGAGTCCAGATGTTCAAGACCAGCCTGGGCAACATGGTGAAGCTCCGTCTCTACAAAAAATAAAAAAAATTAGCTGGGCGTAGTGGTACATGCCTGAAGTCCCAGCTATTCCAGAGGGTGAGGTGGGAGGATCACCTGAGTCCAGGAGATGGAGGCTGCAGTGAGCCATGATCATGCCAGTGAACTCCAGCCTGGGTGACAGAGCAAGACCCTGTCTCAAAAGCAAACAAACAAAAAAATAAGATTCACACTAATGCATACATTATTATCTCAGCTATGTAGAAATATAAACATTTATGAGCTGGGTGCGGTGGCTTATGCCTGTAATCCCAGCACTTTGGGAGGCCAAGGCAGGTGGATCACGAGGTCAGGAGATCGAGACCATCCTGGCTAACATGGTGAAAACCCATCTCTACTAAAAATACAAAAAATTAGCCAGGCGTGGTGGCAGGCACCTGTAGTCCCAGCTACTCGGGAGGCTGAGGCAGGAGAATGGTGTGAACCCAGGAGGCGGAGCTTGCAGTGAGCTGAGATTGCACCACTGCACTCCAGCCTGGGCAACACAGTGAGACTCCGTCTCAAAAAAAAATAAAAAAAGAAAAGAAATATAACCATATATGAATACCCATAGAAAAAATGGGAAATAGTATATACAAATATTAGGATTGCTTTATTTAAATGTGGTATGATTATGAATGATTTTGCTTTCTTATTACATATTTCTGTAATGAACATGTATTACTTTTATAATCAGGGAAAAGATAACAGAAATTTTTAATACTTATAATATGAGGGAGGAAATATAAAGACTTGGTTTTTATGATTAGAGAAATAAGTCCATTTAATAACTGCTGTATCCATGAAGTGCAAAACCTTCAATATGCGATCTGTTTCTGACATGATGGCTATCAGATACTCAGATACATACAAAGTAATATTCTCTTGCTTGCTGAATTCTCTTATTCTTTCTGCCTTATGTTGGAGATAAAGTAGAAAGTGTGTGTTTCTCATTGGGAAGTTGGCACTTGAATGAGACTGCCGCTTTTCTCAGCTTAAAAAAGATAAAAGGAGTTATCAAGTAATGTTTTCTTTCACCTAAGGATGTTGGTCCCACTCCAACAATTGGAATTGATTGAACTCCTGTGCTTGCAAATTTAAAAGCCTTTTACACAGGGGATCTACTCACTCAGAATTTTACAAATCAGTGGATGAACTCAAAACAAAAACCCATTACAGGGCACCTTAATGTTTATCTGTTTGGCAAGATAAACACTTGTAAACAAGCACTTTCAACTGTGAGCTTCGATAATAACACTATGAGATCTGTACTGGATGTTAAAAATTTACATACAACTGTAAAGATAGGACAAACCTAAAGAAGAAAATTGCTTTTTTAAAATTAAGTTTTCTGATCCATATTCTTAATTACATTGTATTTCATTTATCTAGACCACAGCCACTTCTCTTGACTTTTTCCTTGATAGCATTTTTATTATTGCCTATGGAACGTAACATTGCATGACACAAGTATGCCATTGGTATTTGATTAAATAGTACTGCTTCCTGAAAGCCTGGAAACCTTCAATCAGGCAAAAGAAATGATATTAAATAGCCTTATGTCTGATGAACATAATAACTGCTAATTAATTTGTTATTTAGCCCTGAAATTGTCAAACCTAAATGTGCTTTTTTTTTTTTTTTGAGACAGGGTCTTGCTCTGTCACCCATGCTGGAGTGCAGTAGCTCAATCATAGCTTACTGCGGCTTCAAACTTCCAGTATTAAGCAATCCTCCCACTTCAACCTTCTGAGTAGCTGGGACTACGAGTGTATACCACCATGCCCAGTTAAATATGTATATATATGTATATGTGTGTGCGTGTGTGTGTGTGTGTGTGTGTGTGTGTGTATACATATTTTGACAGGGGACAGAGTCTCTGTCTCCCAAGCTGGAATGCATTGGTGCGATCTTGGCTCACTGGAACTGCCATCTCCTGGGTTGGAGCAATTCTCCCGCCTCAGCCTCCTGAGTAGCTGGGATTACAGGTGTGTGTCACCATGCTCGGTTAATTTTTTGTATTTTTGATGGATGATGGGATTTCACCATGTTGGCCAGGCTGGTCTCGAACTCCTGACCTCAAATGATCCACCCGCCTCAGCCTCCCTAAGTACTGGGATTACAGACGTGAGCCACCACTCCCGGCCCAAATCTAAATCTTGACATTAAATTTAGACTTCAGAGTTTCATTGAGATTAATCAAACTTGAAATAAACTTTAAGAAAGATCATATCCAGGTAAAATCAGTTCTTTTGTCTAAAAAAATTAGTTATTACATTTCAACCAACAGACCAAAGGGCCTTAACCTCTAGATCAGTGCTTGACAAATTACTGATGGATCAGTCCCCAACAAAACACACACAATTTGTTACAGACCAATACTTTGATAAAACTGAAGAAGCAAAACAATGGAAAATGAAAAAGTCATGCAAAATAGAAACACATTTATAAATGATTAGTTTCAACAGATACACAACTATTGTCAAACTTTTCCAAATGTTTTAAATCCTTACTCTCATTTTCTGTGCTTTACTTGCCATGAACCAATAACAAACAATTCTGAGAGCCATGCAGATCACGGACCACATTTTGAGTAGCGCTGCTGTCGGCTCCCTGCTCACCTTAAAGTCCCATATGTTGCTGTTTGTCTTTGGCTGAGAATCTGATTAGGTAATGGAATGAGGCTGACTTCCTTATCTTCACCTGCAACTCCCCTTGAGTAGGTTTGCAGATTGTAATTATACCTGTGTGGTATCAAGATCTTTCACCTGTAGGGTCCTGATGCAACTGAGGTATTTATAAACACCGAGGCAAGTTCCCAGGGTTCAGCTGCCCGTGGTTTCAGGTGATGACTCCGCTGGGCAAATGTCAAGGACCTCCGTGAACAGCATAACCAGCTGAACCAGAGGGAAATTTCCCCAAATGTTTTACTCATATATAGGTGAAATAGCTAGTAGTTCCCGCACTGTGTATGATCATCAGAATCATAACAATGCAGTTTTAAAAATATGTTAGAACCAACTATAACTGCTGACTCTATTATTGTTCAAACTATTTCTAAGCGTTTTCTCCCCTCCTCATTGGTTGATTCCAACACCACAGGGAATGGAGGCTGCCCACAGCCAGAGTCTTTAGGGAAAGGATAGAGTCAGACTGCTCGGTCTTTCCTATCAGCAGAAGGCCACACTGGCTGCTGTGCTGTTCTGGGCATAGTCAGCATGATGATTGCTTTGAGAGATTTAGAATTGGCATTTCTTTAGCTGTTGCGCCTTCTTTCACACCAGCTGAACAACAGTTCTTAAAATGTGGCCCAGAGACTCCTACAACCATTTCAGGAGGTCTGCAAGGTAAAAGATCTTTTCATAGTAGTACTAATGTTATTTGCTTTTTTCACTCCCATTCTTTCATGAATGGGGTTTACAGTGGCTCCATAACGTGTAATGATATCATTGTTCCGATGCTTAATGGAATGTGTGCTTCTGTGCTCTTCGTGTATTCTTGTAATACCAATCTTAATTTCAAATATGATAAATATTGACAGATAGAGCCTGCGTAAACTACAGCCGTTCGGAGTCTGTAATATTTTTTAAGAGTATAAAGGGGTTTCGAGACCAAAAAGTTTGAAAATCACTGCTGTAGAAGAATAAATTTAGTTAATTGTGTCTACAATGAAATGTAGAGGCAATTTGGCCTAGGAGATTTTTCTTTTTATAGCGTCCAAAATGCTATAGTAGTGGGGCCATGCCGTGGCAAGGAAACATTCTCCTCTGGAGTGCCCAGAGGAAACACAGCCTTGCTCAAGACGCTGAAGGACTTCTGACCTTCAGAAATGTAATAAATCTGTGTTGTTTTAAGCCTTGAAGCTTTTGGTAATTTGTTACAGCCACAATAGGAGCTGAATATAGGCCAGGTGCGGTGGCTCACACCTGTAATCCCAGCACTTTGGGAGACCGAGGCAGGCAGATCACCTGAGGTCACGAGTTCGAGACCAGCCCGGCCAACATGGTAAAACCCTGTTTCTACTAAGTATAAAATTAAAAAAAAGCCAGGAGTGGTGGCGGACACCTGTAATCCCAGCTACTTGGGGGGCTGAGGCAGGAGAATCCCTTGAACCAGGCAGGCAGAGGTTGCAATGAGCCAAGACCATGCCATTGCACTCCAGCCTGGGCAACAGAGTGAGACTCCACCTCAAAAAAAAAAAAAAAATAGGATACAAATACAGATCTGTTTCAGAGAAAACAAAGACTTGTTGAGCACCTGCTAGGCACCAGGCCATGAGCAAAATTACATAGTCAGGGCTTACAAACACTAGGATTCAAATTCAGGTTCACCTGCATTCAGAGACCAAATCCTTTCCATGAATCTTTTTTTTTCTTTTTTTTTTTTGTCCCCATTCCAAAAGAAAAAATGTTCTATGGTAAAAGTGGTGCTATAAACTTTTGATTTTCTCTAAGGACAATTGTAGAATTTCAGTGCATGATCCATATTGTCAGAGATCATGAATATTGCTTAGGTCCTGATGGCACCTTGATCGTATGCCCTTACTTGACTACAATCTAGTCGATATGGATAGCACTGTGGGTAACTTTACAGGCACTCAGTGTGTTCCCCTGAGCTAAAGAAAGGAGGTATTTCCCCCACGTTACTCCCTGTATTCCTAACTATGAATCAACTCTCAGGTTAACTGCAGCATACTCATTTACTTCTGAAAATGAAACATGAGAATTGTTAAATGTCAAGCTCTGCCTCATGAGAAGGAAATTCTAAAGTGAATTCTTATTCAATATGGGTAAGAGAAGATTAATTGCTTTTTAAAAATTTGGTGATGAAACATGCTGGTTTTCTAGTCTAAAGGAGAGTATTTACTTATATCAATATTCAACACCAGTTGATTTGTAGGAATATTTTTAAGGCAAGATTGGTTTGAAAGCAATTAGGATGGATAGAATTTGCTTTGGAAGGTAGCTTAAATGTAAGCAAGGCATCAAAATAGCTTAAATATCCAAATATTCAGAGATGTAATTCAGAGGTTTCAGGAACATCATGTATTTGGAAAAGCCAAGTTGATAGTTCCACGCCATGAGATGGTGATTCATACAAGATGTCTCCATCTTCATTTTGCCTATTATCTTTCCCCCAGTTCTACACTGTTCCAAGGGTATATGCCAGTCATTTCTGAGTTGATATTAGGCCGGGACTCAAGATCACCAAATCCCTAAAAAACCACTTACAGTCACAACCATGTCTACTAGATTCCCCATAAGAGACACAATCCATGCCTTGATGGTGAGGCCTGGCCTGTGCACACTGTTTATTACTGTTTGGGTTTGGTGCCAAAATCCTTTTTGGAATTCCTAGACCTGGCGAATTGTGCTGGACTACATAGGGCTGAAAACATTCCTATGTGTCTTTTGTCAGAGGCCTAAATGAAGTTCCTCCAGATCTCACTCTAGTGGCAAAAAAAAAAAAAAAAAAAAAAGAGAGAGAGAGAAATCCAAAGAAAAATAGAATATAGGTGGGATGGTTCCCTACGCCCAAAACCTAGACACTCTACCCCAGGCCAGGCCTTCCTGTGGCAATAGGAAGTGGGGTGTGGGTGGTTGGTGAGAAAAGGCCGTTGGAGGAGTTCATTACTAGGTGGAAAGCAGGCCTGTCTTAATTGCTAGAGCGGCAGCTGGCGGAGACATCATTTTAATAAGACAAGTCCAAAATGACAGAGTCTCTAAAATCCCTAATCCAACTGGAGAGCATAGTTAGAGAATAAGCTTCTGCCTCCTTTTCTTACCATGACATTAAAAGTTCCACGCTCTGCCTCAACACTGTGGCCCAATAAAGATCCTCAGAAATTAATGTTGCTTCTCCTTAGGTGTCAAGGACAGGGAGGACTGGAGCTTTGATCTGACCCCATAGGCCAGCAGTGTATATTACCCCACAGTTAGCTAATGTTATGGTCATAATTTACCTCCTCAGGCCTGCCTGGGATCTGTCAGTTTTATCAATGGGGAGGTGAAACAGAAGCTGATCCTCTTCCCTACCAGCCTTCCAGATTGCCTGGGCTGCTTCATTCCTCCAGCATTCCATTTAAATCAAGGCAGGCACAAGACCTGCTGCTTTGCATTGTGATGGGATGCACCTGACAGGTAGCATCTGAGCACTCTGGGATGCTATGCAGCAGTGCAGCTACAAGCATGAATCAATTAAGTGGCGATTAGGTTCAGACTCTCAAGCAATGACATAGTCGGCTTCACACTGACTTTGCTATACATAAAATCCCCAGAAAGAATAATACCTTATCCAAACTTTCATTATATCTGGTAGTAGAATGAATATGGATCGATAATAAATTTTGTTCCAATATAACATTAGTTTCAGAAGAATTTTCTCCTTCTTTCCCTATCAAGAAATCAAATTATGGCCATAAAAATAAAGGCTTATCTACTTGAGGACTCTGTGAAGAGAACAATGGTTTGCTTTTTAATATTAACATTTTAGCTTGTATTTGAAAATAAGCTTGGGTGATTTTATACAAGAGAGAATTAAATATGTTTCTCAGAACATGAACTTACATTTGGATGTTTTGGAAAAATAACCTTTTTTACATGACAATGGAATTAGATCTTATAATAATTTCAGGTTTTTGAATGAAACCTTTTAATTTTGGGGTATATACCAACTTTATAGATAAGAATGGAAAATAAAATAATGAAAATTCATTATACATCTGCCACCAAGCTTTATTAAAATAATATGCCGTATATGCTTCAATAGTTTCTGAATAAATGATGCAGTATAAGCATAACTGAGGCCACCTTCATTTTTCCCCATCTCATTACCCTTTCTTGCTCTGAAGGGTAACAACTCTCATGAATTCAATGTTCACTATTCCATAGTTTGCATATTTTTACTATATATACATAGAAACTATACAGTATTATTTTGCATACAGTCATTCTGTACATGTCCTTCTCCAAATTGATTTTTAAACTCACCATTTCAGACAGGATTTTTAACCTATGGAACCTGGGATGTGTAGAGGTATATAAAACCCCAAGCCTTTAATTTAGGATGCAAGGCCTTCAGGTGTTACATGAACCCCTGAAATTATAGGTACATGCACTTTTTTTTGAGATGGAGTCTCACTTTGTTGCCCAGGCTGGAGTGCAGTGGTGCGATCTCAGCTCACTGCAACCTCTGCCTCCTGGGTTCAAGCGATTCTCCTGCCTCAGCCTCCTGAGTAGGTGGGATTACAGGCATGCACCACTATGCCCGGCTAATTTTTGTATTTTTTAGTAGAGACGGGGTTTCGCCATGTTGGTCAGGCTGGTCTCAAACTCCTCACCTCGTGCCTCAGCCTCCCAAAGTGCTGAGATTACAGGTGGCACATTTTTTTTTTTTTCTGAGAAGAAAGTCCACAGCTTTTCTAAAATTCTCAAGTCCGTCTTTGACCATAAAAGAAAAGAACCACGAGATGGAATCTTCTTTCTTCAAAATGTTGAGATTCCATTAATGTACAAAGCTGTATTTCTAACCATGATGTATGATTTTTCTTTATTTTATTCTGCGTGTTTTTTTCTAAGTCTCTAGCATTATAGAAAATTGATTATTCTATTGGTTGGCTGATTTTTTTTTTTTTTTCCTCTTGGCTGGCTGGTAGAATGGGAGGTGGTCAGCACGTTTTGAAGGCCGGGAATGACTTAAAAAAATTGTAGACACCACACTGACCGCTAGAGGGCACTGGCACAACTGCAAAGAGTGTCTTTTTTTTTTTGAGTATAGGACTATAAATGCCAGAGGAGCCGCTTACAAGATCTTCACATATTTATTTATCTCTGTTTACAGATTTCTTCATCGAGCTTTTAATATGTTTTAAAACGTTGGTGTTCAAGTTATTTTAATGTTATCAGACTCATAAAACAAATTTAAAGCAAGCCTGAAATAAATGAAGTACACTACAGCGGATCCTTGCTTCTTATCTAGTCATTGCTAAATATTTAAGACATCAACTGCTGGTCAATTTATATCTTTATTAATAAAAATAGATAACATGATTTAAGAGTTAACATAGAGAAAGGCTTTTCATTTAAGACTTTACTAAAAAATGCTTTGTCATCGTTTATGCAACTGTTGTACATATTCACTCTTTGGGACTGTTTCACGCTTTTCTTTTCCCAATTAAGAAAAAGGCTGTAGGCATTTTGCTGTGCTGCTGGGACTCTGGCAGAAAGCAGTTATTTCACGGGAGACCCCTCCCACCCCCGACTTGCTTTTCTGTGTCTACTGAGAGAGCTAAAGTAGAAAGGGATCAATTTTCCTTCTCCTAAATGAAAACGACTCAAGGGCTTTTTATGTGCTAACTGCCAATTGCCAATTAAGAGCCAAAAAAAAAAAAAAAAAAAGGCCAACCTAAGCCAGTGTTTTAATACCAGCACATTAAAATAACTCATATTTATAAAGCACTTTACAATTTACAAGGAATGTTTACCTACAAGAAAATAACTCATATTTATAAAGCACTTTACAATTTACAAGGAATGTTTACCTACAAGCCTGACAATAAACTCCTTGAGATAAGAAAGTTAGTAAATGGTTATTTCCAATTTATGGATTAAAAAACATATGCTTCTAAAGTATTTCATGATGTGGACTACTTATAACTTTGGCTGCCACTAGGTAATATTGTTAAGAAGTGGCAGAGTAGACACTTCTCTGATGGTTTTCTGATTTCTAGTTTACTATGAGTCTTTTCTACCCCGTTTTCCATTTTCTTCTTTACTCATTTTGAATAAATTTCTTTTGGGGGCTTAATCTATAGGGTGGGGTCTTTCAAAATATTATTTAATTCATGTTCTTTATTTTGTTTTATATTCCCCTAAATTTTAGTGTTTTGTTTTGTTTTGTTTTGTTTTGATGGAGTCTCGCTATGTCAGGCTGCAGTGCAGTGGTGCGATAACCTCTGCCACCTGGGCTCAAGCAATTATCCTGCCTCACCCTCCCAAGTAGCTGGGATTACAGGCATGTGCCAACATACCTGGCTAATTTTTGTACTGTTAATAGAGACGGTGTTTCACCGTATTGGTCAGGCTGGTCTCGAACTCCTGACCCTCAGGTGATCCACTTGCCTTGGCCTCCCAAAGTACTGGAGTTACAGGCATGAGCCACCACACCTGGCCTAGTTCTGTCTTAACCATGATCTTGATACAGTCTCAGGATTGCCAAGTGAGTGTGTAGCTATTTGTTAATTTATTTAATCTGTTGAACAAAATAAGGATTCCCCATCTACATGGAGCTTACATTCTAGAGAAGGGAGGACACATAATAAATAATAAAGAAGGAAATTATATTATGTGGTAGAAAGTAAGTACCAGCAGAAAGAAAGAAAGAGGAAAAGAAAGAAAGGAAGGCAGAAAGAAAAAAAAAGAGAAAGAAGAAAGGAAAGAAAGAGAGGAAATATAGAAAAGAGAAAAAGAAAAAGGAAAAAGGAAAGAAAAAGAAAAGAAAAAGAAAAAAAGAAAAACAGCAGGATAAGGAATACAGAGTCAGGGATGGGGGTTGCAGCTTTAACTAGGTGGGCCTTCTACTGGGAGGAGGCAGGGAGAGCAGCTAGAACACTGGCCCTCAGGTCAGAGGGAAGCTGGTGTGGAGAGGACCATGAAGGAGGAGGCCAGGATGGCTGGGGTGGAGTCCATGGAGGGGAAAATACCAGGGCAGGCAGTCAGAGAGGTGCCATGTGAGGGCAGCCCATGAAGAGAACTCATGGGCCTCTGTGGGGACTTTTGTTTTTACTGAGCTCAACGGATGGCCAGAGTGGAAGAACACTATTAGAGCAAATATTTTATCAGGATCACTCTGGTTGCCTTGCAGAAAATAGACTGTGTATGTGAGTAGGGGGAGAGGTAAGTGTCAAGGAAGACAAGCAGTTGATAATGAAAGCAATCCAGAGGAAGAGGGATGGCACTCAGACCAGGGTGCTGGAGAGGTGGGAAGCGGGCTGCTTCTAGATACGCTGCCAGGTGGGGCCAACTCAATTGCTTGATGGATTGAATGTGTGGTGTGAGAGAAAGAGAAGAGGTTAAGTATGGCTTCCAAGCTTTGGGCCTGAGCAACTGGAATCATGGAGTTGCCCGAAACTGAGAAGAAGGCCGTGAGTAGAGCGGTTGGGGGCAGTGGGGCGCAGGCCAGGAGTTTGGATTTTTTTTTTTTTTCTTGTGACGGAGTCTCGCTCTGTCTCCCAGGCTGGAGTGCAGTGGCGTGATCTCTGCTCACTGCAAACTCCGCCTCCCGGGTTCCTGACATTCTCCTGCCTCAGCCTCCCGAGTAGCGGGGACTACAGGCGCCCACCACCGCACCCGGCTAATTTTTTTTTTTTGTATTTTTTAGTAGAGACGGGGTTTCACCGTGTTAGCCAGGATGGTCTCGATCTCCTGACCTCGTGATCCACCCGCCTCAGCCTCCCAAAGTGCTGGGATTACAGGCATGAGCCACCGTGCCCGGCCTTTTTTTTGTTTTTTTTTTTTTTTTTTTTTTTTTTTTGAGACGGAGTCTTGCTCTGTTGCCCAGGCTGGAGTGCAATGGCACAGTCTTGGCTCACTGCAACCTCTGCTTCCTCAATCAAGAGATTCTTCTGCCTTGTCTTGCCAAGTAGCTGGGATTACAGGTACCTGCCACCATGCCCGGCTAATTTTTGTATTTTTAGTAGAGATGGGGTTTCACCATCCTGGCCAGGCTGGTCTTGAACTCCCGACCTCAGGTGATCTGTCCACGTTGGCCTCCCAAAGTGCTGGGATTACAGGTGTGAGCCACCACGCCTGGCGAGTATGTATTTATATATGAACTTTAAGATGCTATTAGACATGCAAGTGAAGAAATTGATTAGGCAGTGAGATTTGAGAGTTTGGGGCTCGGGAGAGAAGACTGGGCTGAATGAGGTGCAGGAGTCATCAGTGTTCTAGGTATGCAACTGGACGTCATGAGAATACTTATTCCCAAGCACTTAATGTTAAGAGGACAAGGTGAAGAGGGGGAACCAGTGAAGGAGACAGGAAAGGATCAGTGGTGAGGCAGCAGGACAGCCAAGAGGGTCTAGTGTTCAGGAAGAAAGAAAGGAGAATGGATAGAAGAGCCAGCAACTGCCTGTGAAGCTCCATGCCTAGACTCTGCAACCCTCAGGCAACTTCCACCCAGAAGCATGATAAAGTGGCCTTGCACTGTGGAAATTTTCCTCTGAAAGAAAACAGGTGGGGACATTTATCTCATTCCGGTGGGGACATTTATCTCATTCCTACTTCCTCCCCCGCATCAATCACAGATTTGCTTTATTTAAAAAAAAATCTTAGTATCAATTAAATTTTACTATCTAAGAATAAAATGCAGTAAAGAGAAATGTTGAAATGATGTAAACCATCGGACCTTCTGCACTTTACGAAATTTGATACTTCCTTCTTATGCATGTGTCATTTGATTATTTCAATAGTCTCTCAGATTGGAAGAGCTTGTATGATCCCATTTTATAGGTGCAAAAACTGAAGCTTAGAGATATTATTTGCTGAAACTGCTTTTTTGGCCTAGTAAGTATTACAGATTTCCGCAAAGCATATATTTTCATAATGTGCATTTGGGACTAAAATTTGAAGCATACCATAGCTATGTGAAGACTGACAATTTTTTCTGACTTTTTCTCACACAGGGTACTTTATAAAGACATATTTAAAAATATTTATTCTTGACATTTTGGAAGAAACTTGGGGAATTTTCACCCAGAAAATACAATCCTTTTACATTTAAAATTCATAGGAAGACAGTTGTAATATATATATAGGAAATTCTTCTTTGTAGGGCAGCTTTGCAAAAGTTACCAAAATCTGAACTTTTGTATGTCCAACTTTGATCCAACAATTCTACAACTAGAAATTTACCTTAAAAAAATCAGAGAGAAAAGAGTTAGACTAAAGTATATTTGTTACCTAAAAAAATTGGAAACAACCTGAATAAATGTTGTCATATCAAGAAAATGGGCCAGGCACAGTGGCTCATGCCTGTAATCCCAGCACTTCAGGAGGCCGAGGCGGGTGGATCACTTCAGGTCAGGAGTTCAAGACCAGCCTGGCCAACATGGCAAAACCCTGTCTCTACTATAAATACAAAAAATTAGCCAGGCACGGTGGCAGGCGCCTGTAATCCCAGCTGCTGGGGAGGCTAAGGCAGCAAAATGGCTGGAACCTGGGAGGCGGAGGTTGCAGTGACCTGAGATTGCACCATTGTACTCCAGCCTGGGCAACAAGAGTGAAACTCTGTCTCAAAAAAAAAAAAAAAAAAAAGAATGCTGCAAAACTGAAAAATGATGCAACACAACATTTAATGACTGCATAGCTAAGTAGGAGAGGAAAGCAGGTTGATAAGCAGTATGTATGATGTCGCCCCATTTTTATTATAAATTATATCTATAAATTGAGGAATAACTGGAGGTCCACAAGCTTTTTCTGTGAAGAGCCAGATAGTAAATATTTTAGGCTTTATATGGTTCCTATTACAACTACTCAGCTCAGTTGTAGTGCAAAAATAATCGCCCACAGTATAGGCATAGCTGAATTCAGCCCCTGGGGTACATAGTAGTTTGTAGACCCCTGCTCTATCATTGTAAACATTGATTATCTCTGGGAGCTATAATTCTAGATTTAATATGCTTTGTTGTTTTTGCTTCTCCACAAGGTCGTAGATCATTTTTAAATTTCTTATAAAAGTACAAGATTTGATGAAATTATAATAAAGCATTTAATTATTTTTTTTGTATTATTAAGATAGACTATTGTTAGTAATTCAATCCGAATAGGATTAGGTCGCATAAATATTACAAAACTTTTATCAGAAGAATATATTAAAATAAAGGCAACTGTTGATTCCTTGGATACTGAGCATATTCTTTTATAGCCTAGTTATGATGTTTTATTTTCTATGCAATATGTGCTCAAAAATATGATTATTTTAATATTAGCTTCAAAAAAATATAATTAGAAATTAGGAAGTTTGGTAGGACAAATAGAGCTTGCATTTCAAATAATTTTCCAAAGACTTCTAGATTTTGAAGTGTGTGTGGCGTTCTTTGCCTCACTGGAAGAGAGAACCGGTCAATTAATTGTGTAACTCAAATATCTTCTGGAGCTCTTAGGCCTTCCAGCCTTGTCAGTGGTGTACTGGTAAATGTTTAACAACCAGCACTGGTGGGGGATGGCGAGGAGGGAAAACTCAGATTTGTAGCATTTGCCAATTTCTGTGGTGTAAATATTCTCAACCCTGGGTGACTTCAAGCTGCCAATGGGACTCGCAAAATTTCTGAACATTTATCCATCTCCTCTTTTGAGCCAATATGAGGCAGCTCCAGCTCACCACTGGGTCTAGTTAAAATGAGTTGAGCCCTCACTCCACCTACTATAAAAACTCTAGGCCCTACTCATCCACCATCAACCCTGTCCTCCCTCAATCTTTCTAGGAAGTCCTGAGTTCTTCCATTCTCCTGGCAGGTCTATGCTGCTGCCTGCCTTTTGGGGGTTTACTAGCTCTTAACAATCCCCCATGGCTGCTGTCCACTGCTCTGTGGGCCTCAGCTCCTACTCCTGCCTTACAGGGGCTCTTGTGGCTAACTGACTTTTCCTCACTCTCACTTCTATGCCATCAACACAACTCCACTTTGAAAATAGTTTCTAAACCATGGGTAACACTGTTCTATCCATCTCCATCTATAAGCCTCCCTCAAGTCACTGTCATCTCTTTTCCGGGTGGTTGCAGTGGTCTCCTAACTGACTTTCTGCATCCACTCCTGCTCATTCCCACACAGCAACCAGAGTCATATTTTAAAAATTAAAGTATAATGTCTATATGTGCCAAGCACCAAAAAGGAGAAATTATTGGCAGCAAGGCAAAAATCTCTTCCTATCAAGTTGTTCAACTGTCAATATTTAGTTATAAAATGTGTATCAAAATACCTCATGTTAAAATTTTTACATGAATGTGTGTCCCTTGGTTTAGTAGAAATTCTAATTTGTATGCAATTACCAGTGTTAAGAGGCAGAGGTGGGGTTTGAACTTACATCTTTATGAGCGAAGAATCTATGCTCTTGACTGTCAGGACTCTGAGTTAGAATAGTGGCCCAAGCAACAAGAAGGAATTGGAATCTCATTGACCTGACCTAGTGCTAGTCATCAAAGAGTCCAGGATGGCTTTGGTGGGATGAAGTACAGGAAGTGGGATGAGACACACTTTCAGGACAACCATGGCTGTCTTTGGGGCCATCTGAGTGCCTGTTGGGGGTGGGGTGTGATAAGTGGCTTCCAGAAACCCGTGCTGTAACTCAGCAGCAGAAATGTGCTGGTTCTCCTTCCCACCTCCGATTACCCTTCACTGTTTCAACTAGCCCATTAAGGGCTGACATTATCTACCTGGGGATGGCACTGGAGAAGTTGAGAGGACAGTGACAAGCCCCCATTGGTAGGACACAACCTTGGGAGGGTTTGCCTGGCTACAGGGCTGTGACCAGCTTCTGCCTGAGACTGGTTAGGTCTTTGACCACATAGTTCAGGAGATTTTCATCAGCGTCAGTCTCTACCACTCCAAGCTGCTGCCCTGTCTACGTTTCCATTTGCATTTACTGTAGGGCAGTGTATGGAATCATGCACATTATTAAAATGGAACGTTCACAGTAAGACTACAGGGCTTTGAGCTGTGTTGTCTTTGTGTTTCAATTTTATTATTAAGGAAGGAATAACTGACAATATTTTTTCCTGACTATAACTCATTAGGTCTGTCAACAGCAAAATTCTTAATGGACTTTAGCTGTGTGAACCATATGTGTTATTCTTTGCTTTCTTACCCTTGGGGCCATTTGGAATGAAAGATTCTCAGGAAATGGACAACATATTGTCAAGTTTGAAAGCATATGGAGCTAAACGGGATTCTAGTAAAGGCTCTTGGTCTTATAATCCAATATTTATAAGCAATTAAAGTTCACCAAAGTCTATAAAAACATACTGCAGCTGTGAATCAAATTAGTGCCTTGACCTACCCAATTAGACAAAGAAAACATCAATATAATAATTAGGCAGACAATTTCCATCTTAGAATAAATGTAAATAGTGATTATGCCTTAAAAACAAATGCCGTATTTTTCAAACTAGGAGAAAATTCATGTGCTAAAAGATACAACATCCCAGGTTAGAGAGAGTACCTCCATGTTTGATTAGTGAATTGACAAGGAGAATTGTTTTTTGGTCACTCAGCAAAATTTTCCTTTTGATTTCAATTAGTCTCTCTCTCCTTTTACAAGGATTGACTGTCCATAGATTGAAAGTCATTGCTTTGTCAGTTCAGGTTTAAAGAGCAAAGAGTTTCAAGCCTTCTAATAGGCCATTGCTGAATTCTTTAGTAATTTCAGACCACACCTAAATTTCAAACTGGTGTTAGTAACAGCCAGTCATCTGTCAATGAGGGAATGATATTTCAGAGCTAGGGAGAGATCTTTTATTGTCATGGGTTGAATAAAATTATACAAATGCTCACTTCTTGTCTCCAGTTTCCTATTCTTATTATTTCCTCTCTGCCTCCTCTATTCACTGGTCAGAGTTTCCGATTACTGAAACCATACATTTAAGAAATTGAAGGCAAAGGAGTATAGAGTAAGGAAGAGTTATCATAAATTGTCCATTTTCAATTGCAATGATATTTTGGGGGTCTTCTCTAGATGGAAGGAGGGCTCATATTAAAATTCTTTTTAAGTAGCAACTAAAACATGTTAAAAACAGGTGAATTTTAAAAAACGTGCTGCTGTGGAAACGGGGCAACAGAAGTGTTTTGGCAGTTTTCATAATAGTTATTTTATGTCTGTATATCCAAAATAATCTCACATGGACTGTGAAATAAGTTGGTCTGATTATTTTGATTCTCTTCACTCGGGCCATTAATAGATTTGTAGAATATTTTGCTAGCAGCACGTGGCATAGTCCTGACATCTTCATTATTTATCCTTGGGATTTAAGGATCACTTTATGCTATATTATTTTTTTTCCCCAGAGTGTACCTGGTGTTCTACAGATAACTTGAAAGACAAAATTTTTTTTCCAGATATTCGCATAACAAGTGTAAAATATGCTATCAGCATCTTAGATAAATCTCCACCAGAGAGGGGCTCAGAATATAATATATCTTGTAGTGTGGGGACTTTATAAATATTTGAAGATGATTCCAGAAGTAAGCTCTTAAATTCAAAATGTTGTAATTTATCCTTTTAGACTTGATGTATTTCCTTAAGCACTCAGGAAAGGTAAAGGCAAATTATTTGCATCCTCACCTTCCTTTTCATAGAGAACTTACTTGTTTCAGGAAGTCAGTCTTGAGTATTACACTTTTGTAACTTGAATTTTTTGTACTGAAGGCATCTCTTTATATCCCTCATTCATCAAAAGATCACTGAGATTATTAGCTACAGCTTGTTTATAGTTTTTGATTACAGGTCAATTCATATATTGAATAAAAATATATATGTCTTATATTGACAGAGAGGGTAAACCACCCATTCTGTCATTAGCTTTAAACCATTGAATTTCTGTAAATTATATTTTCTAGGAGTTTGAAGTTTCTGTTTGAAACAGAACAATAAAACAATAACAATTTTTTTCTTTTTTTTCTGGTTGTTAAATGAACGTTGAATAACAGTATATTCAATATCATATGCTAGTTATTGTTGGTCAACATTATGCTTTATTTATATTTTCAGTTTAAGTAAAATTCGTAGAAATTCAATGGGCATTGAATTTAATGTTTCATATAAGTCAAAACGTAGTGCATTAGGCCGGGCACAGTGGCTCACACCTGTAATCTCAGTACTTTGGGAGGCTAAGGTGGTCAGATCATTTGAGGTCATCCTGGCCAACATGGTGAAACCCTGTCTCTACTAAAAATACAAAAATTAGCCAGGTGTGGTGGTGCACTCCTGTAATCCTGGCTACTCGGGAGGCTGAGACAGGAGAATCTCTTGAACCCGGGAGGCAGAGATTGCAGTACTGCCCTCCAGCCTGGGCAATAGAGCAAGACTCAGTCTCAAAAAACAACAACAAAAAAAGTAGTGCATTAATGTTCAATTAATATATTCCATTTCCGCCACTAATCCATTCTCTTTTTGCCTTTTCTTCTTCACTCCCACATATTTGCTTAATATCTATAGTGTTTTATTCAAAGTTGAGTACAACATCCCTTTGTTCCCAAGGAGCTCACAGTTCAGTGCGGGAGCTGAAAATATAATCATTTGATGATGTCTGAACTTTCCTTGGTAGAGACATGTTACCTATTATTCATTTGTACACAGTTTTCTTCCATTGTTTTTGCTGTTTTGAAAGCTATTTTTGTGATTTATTTGATGTTAATTGCCTCAGTCGCCTCTTTAAAAGATACAATTACTTTTGTTTTCTTTCAGTCTCCTAGCAACTTCTCAGTTCTTGAAGACCTTACAAAGATAATTCAGGCTGTGGTGAATTCATTAACAAATTCCCTTTATAATTTAGGATTCTTGTCAGATCTGCCAATGTGTACAGAACATACTCAAATGAGCATTTCCTCTAACCTGCGTGTAAGACAAAAACAAACAATGAACTACTATTCTTTAATATTCTTCATTTACTTTGAAAGGATTCATGATTGTTTTCTTTAAAATGAGAGTTTTGTTTTTTTCTCAGCCATCTGAGACTATAATTGCTTCAGAATTTTCATATATTAATAAGTATGTAGTATTTTAAAAGAAATGTAATGCTTGAAAAGCTCATTTATTTCCCTAAAACTCACTGAACTGACATCAGTTTTTAGTGGTAATTCTTCGTGAAAATAATTGATACTCTGAAGTATCACTGAGGTTATCTTTTTGCTATTGATTTTTCCAGAAGTTAAATTTCTTGCAGAAGTTTGCTTGTCAACCATCACATACTTGTGCTTTCCGGGCACAACTGAAATAGTAATCATTTGAATGTTTAAACCTCCTTTTATACCTATGAATATAAATGCTTAATATTATTGAACATTTATCACTAGATTTCAAAAATATTTTTTCTTATACATCATGAGAAATTATTTACTTTCAATTTCTTTAGATGTCTTAGTCACTAATATCCAACTTTTTTTTGAATTTGTATTTTGAAATAACTTCAATATTCCTGAAAATTGTTGAGAATAGTACAACGAACTCTATACTTTTTACCTAGGTTCACTCTTTAACATTTGCAACATTCACTTTATTTCCTAATGTATGCCCCTTCCTTCCTTCCTTCCTTCCTTCCTTCCTTCCTTCCTTCCTTCCTTCTTTTCTTCCTTTTCTTTTCTTTTCTTTTTTTTCTTTCTTTTTCTTTCTTTCCTCTCTCTGTGTATTCATACACATAAATGTATTTATATGGATATTTTCATAGAGGTATACATTTTTTCCTGAGCCATTTGACAGTAGGTCACAGACAACATGCTCTTTTGCCCTTTAATATCTTAGTGTGCATTTCCTAGAAATAAACACTTTCTCTTACATAATCACAGCACAATGACCAATATCAGAAACTTTAACAATATTATTATCTAATCCACAAATATTTTCAAATGTTGCAGTTTCACTAATTGTCTCAATAATTGTCTTTTTTAAATTATATTTTAAGTTTTAGGGTCCATGTGCACAAGGTGCAGGTTAGTTACATATGTATACATGTGCCATGTTGGTGTCCTGCACCCATCAACTAGTCATTTAACATTAGGCATATCTCCTAATGATACCTTCCCCCTGCCCCCACCACACAACAGACCCCAGTGTGTGATGTTCCCCTTCCTGTGTCCATGTGTTCTCATTGTTCAGTTCCCACCTATGAGTGAGAACATGCGGGGTTTGGTTTTTTTGTCCTTGCAATAGTTTGCTGAGGATGATGGTTTCCAGCTTCATCCATATCCCTACAAAGGGCATGAACTCATCATTTTGTATGGCTGCATAGTATTCTATGGAGTATATGTGCCACATTTTCTTAATCCAGTCTATCATTGATGGACATTTGGGTTGGTTCCAAGTCTTTGCTATTGTGAATAGTACCGCAATAAACATACATGTGCATGTGTCTTTATAGCAGCATGATTTATAATCCTTTGGGTATATACCCAGTAATAGGATGGCTGTATCAAATGGTATTTGTAGTTCTAGATCCCTGAGGAATCGCCACACTGACTTCCACAATGGTTGAACTAGTTTACAGTCCCACCAACAGTGTAAAAGTCTTCCTATTTCTCCACATCCTCTCCAGCACCTGTTGTTTCCTGACTTTTTAATGATTGCCATTCTAACTGGTGTGAGATGGTATCTCATTGTGGTTTTGATTTGCATTTCTCTGATGGCCAGTGATGGTGAACATTTTTTCATGTGTTTTTTGGCTGCATAAATGTCTTCTTTTGAGAAGTGTCTGTTCATATCCTTTGCCCACTTTTTGATGGGGCTGTTTGTTTTTTTCTTGTAGATTTGTTTGAGTTCATTGTAGATTCTGGATATTAGCCCTTTGTCAGATGAGTAGATTGCAACAATTTTCTCCCATTCTGTAGGTTGCCTGTTCACTCTGATGGTAGTTTCTTTTGCTGTGCAGAAGCTCTTTAGTTTAATGAGATCCCATTTGTCAATTTTGGCTTTTGTTGCCATTGCTTTTGGTGTTTTAGACATGAAGTCCTTGCCCATGCCTATGTCCTGAATGGTATTGCCTAGGTTTTCTTCTAGGGTTTTTATGGTTTTAGGTCAAACATGTAAGTCTTTAATCCATTTTGAATTAATTTTTGTATAAGGTGTAAGGAAGGCATCCAGTTTCAGCTTTCTACATATGGCTAGCCAGTTTTCCCAGCACCATTTATTAAATAGGGAATCCTTTCCCATTGCTTGTTTTTCTCAGGTTTGTCAAAGATCAGATAATTGCAGATATGCAGCATTATTTCTGAGGGCTGTTCTGTTCCATTGGTCTATATCTCTGTTTCGGTACCAGTTCCATGCTGTTTTGGTTACTGTAGCCTTATAGTATTGTTTGAAGTCAGGTAGCGTGATGCCTCCAGCTTTGTTCTTTTGGCTTAGGATTGACTTGGCAATGTGGGCTCTTTTTTGGTTCCATATGAACTTTAACATAGTTTTTTCCAATTCTGTGAGGAAAGTCATTGGTAGCTTGATGGGGATGGCATTGAATCTGTAAATTACCTTGGGCAGTATGGCCATTTTCACAATATTGATTCTTCCTACCCATGAGCATGGAATGTTCTTCCATTTGTTTGTATCCTCTTTTATTTCCTTGAGCAGTGGTTTGTAGTTCTCCTTGAAGAGGTCCTTCACATCCCTTGTAGGTTGGATTCCTAGGTATTTTATTCTCTTTGAAGCAATTGTGAATGGGAGTTCACTCAGGATTTGGCTCTCTGTTTGTCTGTTATTGGTATAGAAGAATGCGTGTAATTTTTGCACAGTGATTTTGTATCCTGAGACTTTGCTGAAATTGCTTATCAGCTTAAGGAGATTTTGGACTGAGACAATGGGGTTTTCTAGATATACAATCATGTCATCTGCAAACAGGGACAATTTGACTTCCTCTTTTCCTAATTGATACCCTTTATTTCCTTCTCCTGCCTGATTGCCCTGGCCAGAACTTCCAACACTATGTTGAATAGGAGTGGTGAGAGAGGGCATCCCTGTCTTGTGCCCATTTTCAAAGGGAATGCTTCCAGTTTTTGCCCATTCAGTATGATATTGGCTGTGGGTTTGTCATAGATAGCTCTTATTATTTTGAGATATGTCCCATCAATACCTAATTTATTGAGTGTTTTTAGCATGAAGGGTTGTTGAATTTTGTCAAAGGCCTTTTCTGCATCTATTGAGATAATCACATGGTTTTTGTCGTTGGTTCTGTTTATATGCTGGATTACATTTATTGATTTGCATATGTTGAACCAGCCTTGCATCCCAGGGATGAAGCCCACTTGATCATAGTGGATAAGCTTCTTGATGTGCTGCTGGGTTCGGTTTGCCAGTATTTTATTGAGGATTTTTGCATTGATGTTCATCAGGGATATTGGTCTAAAATTCTCTTTTTTGGTTGTGTCTCTGCCAGGCTTTGGTATCAGGATGATGCTGGCCTCATAAAATGAGTTAGGGAGGATTCCCTCTTTTTCTATTGATTGGAATAGTTTCAGAAGGAATGGTACCAGCTCCTCCTTGTACCTCTGGTAGAATTCGGCTGTGAATCCATCTGGTCCTGGATTTTTTTTAGTTGGTAAGCTATTAATTATTGCCTCAATTTCAGAGCCTGTTATTGGTCTATTTAGAGATTCAACTTCTTCCTGGTTTAGTCTTGGGAGGGTGTATGTGTGGAGGAATTTATCTATTTCTTCTAGATTTTCTAGTTTATTTGCATAGAGGTGTTTATAGTATTCTCTGATGGTAGTTTGTATTTCTGTGGGATCAGTGATGATATCCCCTTTATCATTTTTTATTGCATCTGTTTGATTCTTCTCTCTTTTCTTCTTTATTAGTCTTGCTAGCAGTCTATCAATTTTGTTGATCTTTTCAAAAAGCCAGCTCCTGGATTCATTGATTTTTTGAAGGGTTTTTTGTGTCTCTATTTCCTTCAGTTCTACTCTGATCTTAGTTATTTCTTGCCTTCTGCTAGCTTTTGAATGTGTTTGCTCTTGCTTCTCTAGTTCTTTTAATTGTGATGTTAGGGTGTGAATTTTAGATCTTTCCTGCTTTCTCTTGTGGGCATTTAGTGCTATAAATTTCCCTCTACACACTGCTTTGAATGCATCCCAGAGATTCTGGTATGTTGTGTTTTTGTTCTCGTTGGTTTCAAAGAACATCTTTATTTCTGCCTTCATTTTGTTATGTACCCAGTAGTCATTCAGGAGCAGGTTGTTCAGTTTCCATGTGGTTGAGCAGTTTTGAGTGAGTTTCTTAATCCTGAGTTCTAGTTTGATTGCATTGTGGTCTGAGAGACAGTTTGTTATAATTTCTGTTCTTTTACATTTGCTGAGGAGTGCTTCACTTCCAACTATGTGGTCAATTTTGGAATAAGTGCGGTGTGGTACTGAGAAGAATGAATATTCTTTTGGTTTGGGGTGGAGAGTTCTGTAGATGTCTATCAGGTCCGCTTGGTGCAGAGCTGAGTTCAATTCCTGGATATCCTTGTTAACTTTCTGTCTCGTTGATCTGTCTAATGTTGACAGCGGGATGTTAAAGTCTCCCATTATTATTGTGTGGGAGTCTGAGTCTCTTTGTAGGTCTCCAAGGACTTGCTTTATGAATCTGGGTGCTCCTGTATTGGGTGCATATATATTTAGGAAAGTTAACTCTTCTTACTGAATTGATCCCTTTACCATTATGTAATAGCCTTCTTTGTCTCTTTTGATCTTTGTTGGTTTCAAGTCTGTTTTATCAGAGACTAGGATTGCAACCCCTGCCTTTTTTTGTTTTCCATTTGCCTGGTAGATCTTCCTTTATCCCTTTATTTTGAGCCTATGTGTGTCTCTGCACATGAGATGGGTTTCCTGAATACAGCACACTGATGGGTGTTGACTGTTTATCCAATTTGCCCATCTGTGTCTTTTAATTGGAGCATTTAGCCCATTTACATTTAAAGTTAATATTGTTATGTGTGAATTTGATCCTGTCATTATGATGTTAGCTGGTTATTTTGCTCATTAGTTGATGCAGTTTCTTCCTAGCCTTGATGGTCTTTACAATTTGGCATGTTTTTGCAGTGGCTGGTACCAGTTGTTCCTTTCCATGTTTAGTGCTTCCTTCAGGAGCTCTTGTAGGGCAGGCCTGGTGGTGACAAAATCTCTCAGCATTTGCTTGTCTGTAAAGAGTTTTATTTCTCCTTCACTTATGAAGCTTAGTTTGGCTGGATATGAAATTCTGTGTTCAAAATTCTTTTCTTTAAGAATGTTGAATATTGGCCCCCACTTTCTTCTGGCTTGTAGAGTTTCTGTCGAGAGATCAGCTGTTAGTCTGATGGGCTTCCCTTTGTGGGTAACCCGACCTTTCTCTCTGGCTGCCCTTAACATTTTTTCCTTCATTTCAACTTTGGTGAATCTGACAATTATGTGTCTTGGAGTTGCTGTTCTGGAGGATTATCTTTGTGGCATTCTCTGTATTTCCTGAATTTGAATGTTGGCCTGCCTTGCTAGATTGGGGAAGTTCTCCTGGATAATATCCTGCAGAGTGTTTTCCAACTTGGTTCCATTCTCCCCATCACTTTCAGGTACACCAGTCAGGCATAGATTTGGTCTTTTCACATAGTCCCATATTTCTTGGAGGCTTTGTTCATTTCTTTTTATTCTTTTTTCTCTAAACTTCTCTTCTCGCTTCATTTCATTCATTTCATCTTCCATCACTGATACCCTTTCTTCCAGTTGATCGAATCGGCTACTGAAGCTTATGCATTAGTCACGTAGTTCTCGTGCCTTGGTTTTCAGCTCCATCAGGTCCTTTAAGGACTTCTCTGCATTGGTTATTCTAGTTAGCCATTCGTCTAATTTTTTTTCAAGGTTTTTAACTTCTTTGCCATTGGTTCGTACTTCCTCCTTTAGCTCGGAGTAATTTGATTGTCTGAAGCCTTCTTCTCTCAACTCATCAAAGTCATTCTCCGTCCAGCTTTGTTCAGTTGCTGGTCAGAAGCTGCATTCCTTTGGAGGAGGAGAGGCGCTCTGATTTTTAGAGTTTCCAGTTTTTCTGTTCTGTTTTTTTCCCATCTTTGTGGTTTTATCTACCTTTGGTCTTTGCTGATGGTGACGTACAGATGGGGTTTTGGTGTGGATGTCCTTTCTGCTTGTTAGTTTTCCTTCTAACAGTCAGGACCCTCAGCTGCAGGTCTGTTGGAGTTTTCTGGAGGTCCACTCCAGACCCTGTTTGCCTGGGTATCAGCAGCGGAGGCTGCAGAACAGCGGATATTGGTGAGCAGCAGATGTTGCTGCCTGATCGTTCCTCTGGAAGTTTTGTCTCAGAGGAGTACCCGGCCGTGTGAGGTGTCAGTCTGCCCCTACTGGGGGGTGCCTCCAAGTTAGGCTACTCAGGGGGTCAGGGACCCACTTGAGGAGGCAGTCTGCCCGTTCTCAGATCTCAAGCTGTGTGCTGGGAGAACCACTACTCTCTTCAAGGCTGTCAGACAGGGACATTTAAGTCTTCAGAGGATTCTGCTGCCTTTTGTTTGGCTGTGCCCTGCCCCTAGAGGTGGAGTCTACAGAGGCAGGCAGGCCTCCTTGAGGTGTGGTGGGCTCCACCCAGTTCGAGCTTCCCTGTCACTTTATTTACTTACTCAAGCCTCGGCAATGGCGGGCGCCCCTCCCTCAGCCTCGCTGCCGCCTTGCAGTTTGATCTCAGACTGCTGTGCTAGCAATGAGTGAGGCTCCGTGGGCGTAGGACCCTCCTAGCCAGGAGCAGGATATAATCTCCTGGTGTGCTGTTTGCTAAGACAGTAGGAAAAGCACAGTATTAGGGTTGGAGTGACCCGATTTTCCAGGTGCCATCTGTCACCCCTTTCTTTGACTAGGAAAGGGAATTCCCTGACCCCTTGTGCTTCCCGGGTGAGGTGATGCCTCGGCCTGCTTTGGCTCACGCTCGGTGGGCTGCACCCACTGTCCTGCATCCACTTTCTGACACTCCCCAGTGGGATGAACCCGGTACCTCAGTTGGAAATGCAGAAATCACCCGTCTTCTGTGTCGCTCATGCTGGGAGCTGTAGACTGGAACTGTTCCTATTCGGCCATCTTGGCTCCACCAATAATGGTCTTTATAGAGTTTTCTCTCTGTGGAGGATCTGATCCAGGAACACATGTTATGTTTAGTTGTTGTAGCTCTTTATTCTCCTTCAGTGTGGAACAGTGTCTTCACCTTTCCCTGTCTAAATGACATTAATGGTTTTGAAGAATACTGGCTAGTGATTTTGCAGGTTGTCCCTCAATTTGGATTAGTTTGAAATTTCCTTGTGTGTAGATATAGGTTATGCATTTTGGGGAGAATACCACAGAAGTTTTGTCCTCAGTGCATCGTATCAGAATGTCCCTTTGTAGTTTATATCACATTGTGGTTTATAACTGATACATGGGGAGATCCTTTGAGACTATGTAAATATCTTATTTCTCATGAAAGATTCTTCATCCACTAGTTTTAACATCCATTGATGACTCTTGCCTGAATCAACTGTTACTACAATGTTTAAAAGGTGACTCTCTGTATCCTTTATTCCTTCTACATCATAATGTGAGGAAGAGCTTTCTCTTCTCCTCCATTTATTCATTCACTCATTTACTTAGCAAGATTCTTATTTTAATTATCTGAGTCATATGCTATTACTTTCATTATTTAAATTGATGCTCAAATTGTCTTAGATTTGACTAGTGGGAGCTCCTCTCTGACTTTGTTTTGGTATCCTCATTTTTTTCTTTTAATTATGCATAGATAAGTGAGTTTTCTTTGTTTATATTAATTTACTACCTGAATCACCAAGGTGCTATCTTAGTAAACTCATAAGGCAGTAGTGTTATATAAAAGGCTGATTTCCAAAAAGTTAAACATGACTCATCTAGAACCATGGTGAGTGTATGTTAAGTAATTATTTAATTAATGAGGGAACTATTAGAATGGTCAATTTGATTAAAAGGAGAATTTTAGAGTCTGAATATTTATGGATAATAAAAGACAGACTACCAAAATAAGATTACGCAGTTAGATATAAAACTGATTAATGTGCTACATAGCAATAAATCTATTACCATTAGTATTATCTGTGAATCGAAATCTGTAATTTCACAGGATTCTAGGCGTTGTCCATTATAAAACAGTAAAACAAAGTTACATTCTCCTAGAGATTTAAATAATTCTTGAGTGGGTCTGTTACACAGCACTCCATATTACATTGCCAGGATATACAGTATCCTTTGCCTTACTTCCACGTTTTGGATAATTTTTCTTATTACTGCAAAGTTATATTTCTCTTAACATGCAGACTTTTTGAATTCTATTCTTCAATTTTAATAGAAAATCTAAAACTTCGTTGGTATCTTTTGTGCTTCCTCCAAAATCTGTCTTATTGCAATGTAAACTCATCTCACTTGTGAAATTAGAATTTGTCTACTGTAATAATCCTTCCTGAATGTGAAGACTGTTATTTAGTGGACTTGGCCTCCTCTTCTTTGAAATAATTAATTCTTTACATATTTTCTGGTATCTTCTGTCTTCCTACCTTTGAGTGTTTTTTCCACAGCTCTTAAAACTGCAGAGTCCCAAATATGATACTTCTGATAAGTATAACAAATGCCAAGGGCATGTGGCATCTATGCAATTTCAAAATACCCGTCTCTGCAAATGTTTCATGGAATAGTACTCTACACTTACCCTTTTTTAACTGATAAAACATGCTACATTAGAAATTGCCAGCTTTTCTTTCTTTCTTTCTTTTTTTTTTTTTTTTAGACAGAGTCTTGCTCTGTTGCCCAGGCTGGAGTGCAGTGACGTGATCTTGGCTCACTGCAAGCTCCGCCTCCCGGGTTCACACCATTCTCCTGCCTCAGCCTTCTGAGTAGCTGGGACTACAGGCACCCACCACCATGCCCGGCTAATTTTTGTATTTTTAGTAGAGATGAGGTTTCACCGTGTTAACCGGGATGGTCTCGATCTCCTGACCTTGTGATCCACCTGCCTCAGCCTCCCAAAATGCTGGGATTACAGGCGTGAGCCACCACACCTGGCCAGAAATTGCCAGGTGCAATTTCCTGATGTTTCTCATTATTAATTCATTTATGTAGCCCTGCATTCATTTAACCATTTATTCATTTATTTAAAACATTTATTGTAAAAAATATATAACGTAAAATTTACCATCTTAACCGTTTATAAGTGTATAGTTCAGTAATGTTAAGCATGTTCACATTGTTGTACAATCTCCTGACCTTTTTCATCTTATAAAACTGAAATTCTATATGCATTGAAAAATAACTACCCATTTTCTCATCAACCAATCTCTGGAAACCACCATTCTACTTTCTGTTTCCATGAATTTGACTACTCTATATTCCTTAGATAGGTAGAATCATACAGTATTTGGCTTTTCGTGACTGACATCTCACTTTGCATAATGTTCTTAAGGCTCATCCATGTAGTAATGTGTCAGAACGGCCTTCTATTTTATGGCTAAATAATATTCCATTGTATGTATATACTATATTTTGCTTAGCCATTCATCTGTTGATGGACACGTGGGTTGTTTTCACCTCTTGGCTATTGTGAATAGTGCTGCTATAAATATGGGTGTACAAATATCTTTTCAACGCCCTACTTTCAATTCTTTTGTATATATACCTAGAAGTGAAATTGCTGGATCATATGGTAATTCTATTTTTAATTTAGGGGGACCTGCTATACTGTTTTCCATAGCAGTTGTACCATTTTATATCTGTACAAGGTTTCTAATTTTTCCACATCATCATCAACACTTTCTGTTTTTTTGTTTTGTTTTGTTTTGTTTTTTTGATAGTAGCCATCCTAATGGGTATGAGGTAATACCTCATTGTAGTTTTGATTTGCATTTTCCTAATAATTAGTAATGTTGAACATCTTTTCATATGCTTGTTGGCTATTTGTGTATCATCTTTGGTTATTCATCCATTTTTAAGTCATTCATTGTGTACCTGTTAAAGCCTTAGACTTTGAACTAATTGCTAGAGAAGCAAAGAATAACTTTCCTGACTTCAAGAAGTTTATTGCCACCTTGGGAAACCAACCTATAAACAAGTATCTGAAACAAAGTGATAAGTGCCCTGAGAAAGGTATGCACAAAATGCTTTCTGGTCATTCAACTTAACTTGTATCTGTAGTGTTTTATCCTTTGTAGTTTCTTAGTATGGTTGGTCACATACACCTTATTCCTTCAGAGATAATTTAGAAGTCTGCTCCTTCAGCAACTGATACCTACTTTTTATTATTCATTGGCTATTGCTGTTTAATTGAATTGCCTCAGGTTCCTGATTGACCATAGTAAAGTGGATAGACCTTTGAAATTTATTTCAGTCATTACACAACAGTTTGTGGCTTGTCATGATGCTAAGGACCTGACATACTGCCTAATTACCAACTTATTTTCTCTATAGGAGTTTCTTATCTTTGTAACAAATCTGGAAGGCCTGCTGGGCAGTGGCTCAGGCCTATAATCCCAGCACTTTGGGAAGGCCGAGGCGGATGAATCACCTGAGGTCAGGAGTTCGAGACCAGCCTGGCCAACATGATGAAACCCCGTCTCTACTAAAAATACAAAAAATTAGCCGGGCATGGTGGCGGGAGCCTGTAATCCCAGGTACTTGGGAGGCTGAGGCAGGCAAATTGCTTGAACCCAGGAGGCGGAGGTTGCAGTGAGCCGAGATCACACCGTTGCACTCCAGCCTGGGCAAAAAGAGCAAAACTCCATCTAAAAAAAAAAAAAAAATTTAGAAGGCCAATATTCTGTCTCTGAACAATTGCTCTGTACTTCCTGCAGTGAAATTACAGCTTCCACACCACACCGCATTGTTTTCTCTAGTTCTTTTAGATGTGGAGTCAGAAAGAGTTTGGAGAAGGAGGAAGATAGAGGGATATGAGAGGATTCTGTTACATGACAACTAGACCCAAGTCCCTATACTTACTAATGGTCACTGATTTTGTTTTTTTTGCTTTGTTTTGTTTTGTTTTAGGCAGATTCTCGCTCTGTCACCCAGGCTGGAAGGCTGGAGTTCAATGGTGTAATCTGGGCTCACTGCAGTCTCCACCTCTGGGGTTCAGGGAATTCTCCTGCCTCAGTTTCCCAAGTAGCTGGGATTACAGATGCGAGCCACCTCGCCTGGCTAATTTTTGTATTTTTAGTAGAGACAGGGTTTCACCATATTGGCCAGGCTGGTCTTGAACTCCTTGACTCAAGTGATCCACCGGCCTTGGCCTCCTAAAGTGCTGGGATTACAGGTGTGAGCCACCATGCCCCACCCTTGATTTATGTTTTTTAAAGTTTCCTTAAAATTTCAGGTTTACATGGAGCCAGACATTGTTCTTAAAAGTGTTAGCAATCAAACTACTTGGTCCAAACACAAACCTGATACCTTTATGCTATGATAATAGAAATCCACTAATGTTTTCTCAGGAAATTGCTAAAATAGTGGTAGAATCAGACTCATGTAAAATATTAACTAACAAGGATGCAGAACATATCTTGCCCTGAATATGATAAATGAGTCAATACAAACTCGTATTTAGCCACTAATCACTCATTTACCATTGACTTAATTCCTCGAGTTCCTTAGTTTTATGTATGTCAGTCTGTAGTAATTTGGTATTTATTAAAAAAAATCAATTTGTTGCTCCAGTCTTCTGGAATAGGTAAAAATGGCACATTTGCTCAAATATATAAAAATAGTTCCAGTTTTGGCCTGTCGTTTTACTTTCATCCTGAGACAACACCTTCTGAGGAGAATAATACAATCTTATTTCAATATTTTTTAAAAGCTGGAGAAGAATAGATATAAAAAGTCACTCCTGGTTATTAGTGGCAGTTGAATATGACTTCCACTCTAAAACTTGAACAAATTGTGACTTAAAATGTCTATTTGAGATATTTAGGAATTTGCTCTTCACTCTGTTTCCTGAGATATATATACTGAGGTTTTCTCTGTATATTACAGCAAATAAAACAGAATGTACTTAATAGAAATTGGAGCTTTTAATAAGTCAAATGTTCTTTAAAATAGGCAAATACCTTAAAAAGATAGAAATTTCCAAAATGAACCTAAGAAGAAACAGAAAATGTAAATAGCCCTATAATTATAGACAACCCATACCTAAAACTCTATACTAAAGCTACGAAACTTTGCTAAAGAAATAAAAATCTAAACAAAGAAAAATATTTGCCATAATAATTTGGAAGTCTCAATATTATTAAGATGGCAATTCTTTCCATGTTGATTTAATGCAATACCAATAAAAATCCTGGCAGGCTATTTTTAAAAGAAATTGATAAAATTTATTCTAAAAACTATATGAAAATGTAAGGAGCTCAGAATAGTCAAACAGTTTTGAAACTGGAGGTCTTATAGTACCTGATTTCAAGCCTTACTGTAAAGCTAGTCTCAACCCAGTTTGGAACAGATAGAGAAATTCAGAAATCATTGGATATACATGGTCCAACTGATTTTCAACAGAGATTCTAGGGTACTTCAATGGTGGTAAAACAATTTGATAAATGTATGGAAAAAAATGAACCTCAACTCTTACTCGATATTATACCAAAAACGAACTTGAAATGGACGTAAAAGTAAGAGCTAAACTATAAAATTTGTAGAAGAAAACAGGGAAAAATAAATATAAGATAAATAATTCTAACATTCATTGGGTTAGGCAAAGATTTTTCAAAAGGACAGAAAACACAAACCATAAAAGAAACGCAAGTTCGGCTGGGCACAGTGGCTCATGCCTGTAATCCCAGCACTTTAGGAGGCTGAGGTGGGCAGATCACGAGGTCAGGAGTTCGAGATCAGCCTGGCCAACACAGTGAAACCCTGTCTCTACTAAAAATACAAAAATTAGCTGGGCATGGTGGCACACACCTGTAGTCCCAGCTACTTGGGAGGCTGAGGCAGGAGAATCACTTGAACCTGGGAGACGGAGGTTGCATTAAGCCGAGATCACACCACTGCACACCAGCTTGGGTGACAGAATGAGACTTTGTCTCAAAAAAAAAAAGAAATGCAAATTCACAAGCCTGATTCCACACCTACCTAGTCGTAACCACTGCTTGCTGAAACTCAGGAATTTGTGTTAACAGGTTTCTCAGGTGATTCTTTTGCATGCTAAAGTTTGAGATGTACCAGAATAAGTATAAAAACATATTAACATGTGAGTGTTCTAATCTTGCCTCCTTCCACCCAAAATAATTGTGATTCTTTTGAGAAAATAGTGAAATGATGAGAGTTGAGACAAACTATAGCATGCAGCATGGTACATATCCCAGAAAGCCAGAGGGCATGGCATAGAGAGTTGAGAGTAGGAAAGGATAAGTATGTCATTGTGTTTGGGGGATAAAAGTCTTCAGGAAGTTGTCTGAGTTTTTTTGTTTTTTTGTTTTTTTTTTTTTTTTTTTGAAAGGGTTGGGAATATAGTGGATTAATTTTAGCATTCTTAAAGAAACTCAAGTTAATGATTTTAGAATATTTCCCAAATTTCTTTTGGTGGAGGAACTGTGGCTTTCGTCTTTTTGTTGTTCTTTTGCTTGTTTGTTTGTTTATTTTAGAGACAGGGTCTTGTTCTGCTCTTTCGTCCATGCTGTAGTGCAGAAGCAGGATCATAGCTCTCCTGGACTCCAGCGATCCTCCTGCCTCCCAAATTTAATTATCTTTATTATTTTTAATTTTTTTTTTTTGTAGAGATAGGGTCTTGCTATCGAGAGGTGACAGCGTGCTGGCAGCCCTCACAGCCCTCGCTGGCTCTCAGCGCCTCCTCTGCCTGGGCTCCTACTTTGGCGGCACTTGAGGAGCCCTTCAGCTCACCGCTGCACTGTGGGAGCCCCTTTCCGGGCTGGCCAATGCCGGAGCCGGCTCCCTCAGCTTGAAGGGAGGTGTGGAGGGAGAGGCACGAGCGGCAACCGGGGCTGCACGGGTCGGGGGCTTGTGGGCCAGCTGGAGTTCCGGGTGGGCATGGGCTTGGCGGGTCCCACACTCGGAGCGGCCAGCTGGCCCTGCCAGCCCCGGGCAGTGAGGGGCTTAGCACCCGGGCCAGCTGCTGCAGAGGGTGTGCTGGGTCCCCCAGCAGTGCCAGCCCACCGGCGCTGCGCTCGATTTCTCGCCAGGCCTTAGCTGCCTCCCCACGGGGCAGGGCAGCCTGCCATGCCTGAGCCTCTCCCCCTCTGTGGGCTCCTGTGCGGCCTGAGTCTCCCTGACAAGCGCCGCCCCCTTCTCCGCCAGCACCCAGTCCCATCGACCACCCAAGGGCTGAGAAGTCCGGGCACACGGCGTGGGACTGGCAGGCAGCTCCACCTGCAGCCCCGGTGCGGGATCCACTGGGTGAAGCCAGCTGGGCTCCTGACTCTGGTGGGGACTTGGAGAACCTTTATGTCTAGCTAAACGATTGTAAATACACCAGTGGGCACTCTGTATCTAGCTCAAGGTTTGTAAACACACCAGTCAGCACCCTGTGTCTAGCTCAGGGTTTGTGAATGCACCAATGGACACTCTGTATCTAGCTACTCTGGTGGGGACTTGGAGAACCTTTGTGTGACACTCTGTATCTAGCTAATCTAGTGGGGATCATGGAGAGCCTTTGTGTCTAGCTCAGGGATTGTAAACCTACCAATCAGCACCCTGCCAAAAGAGACCACTCGGCTCTCTGTAAAATGGACCAATCAGCAGGATGTGGGTGGGGCCAGATAAGAGAATAAAAGCAGGCTATCTGAGCCAGCAGTGGCAACCTGCTCAGGTCCCCTTCCATACTGTGGAAGCTTTGTTCTTTCACTCTTTGCAATAAATCCTGCTGCTGCTCAGTCTTTGGGTCCACACTGCATTTATGAGCTGTAACACTCACCGCCAAGGTCTGCAGCTTCACTCCTGAGCCAGGGAGACCACGAACCCACCAGAAGGAAGGAACTTTGAACACATCCGAACATCAGAAGGAACAAACTCGAGACGCGCCACCTTAAGAGCTGTAACACTCACCGCGAGGGTCCACGGCTTCATTCTTGAAGTCAGTGAGACCAAGAACCCACAAATTCCGGACACACTATCTTTCCCATACTGGTCTGGAACTCCTGGCCTCATGTGTTCTTCCTGCCTCAGGACTTTCCAAAGTGTTGGGATTACAGGTGTGAGCCACTGCGCCTGTCCTGAACCATGTTTTGTCGAACTCAATACTGCTGTAAGATTTACCACTTGAATCTCTGGGTTCATAAGAACTACGGGGCCGGCATGGTGGCTCACGCCTGTAACCCCAGCACTTTGGGAGGCCAAGGCGGGCGGATCATGAGGTCAGGACATCGAGTCCTTCCTGGCTAACACAGTGAAACACCGTCTCTACTAAAGATAGAAAAAACTAGCCGGGTGTGGTGGCAGGTGCCTGTAGTCCCAGCTACTCAGGAGGCTGAGGCAGGAGAATGGTGTGAACCCGGGAAGTGGAGCTTGCAGTGAGCCGAGATCGCGCCACTGTACTCCAGCCTGGGTGACAGAGCAAGACGCTGTCTCAAAAAAACAAAAACAAACAAACAAAAAAAACCTACGGAAGATTTTTTGTTTACTCTATAATTATATTATTCATCTAATGAATTTGTGAGATAATTTAAGGCATACTTCTTCCAGCATTATTAATATTACTTAAAGAGAAACATTTCACAAATGGGATCATATTGAAGCAAATGCTTTGTCATTAACATCGCAGAGTTCTAGCGTCTCTCTCCACACTTACAATTTGGGTATTAGGTAATTTAGGATAGTATGTAGAGTTCACAAGAAAATCTTCTAAAAGTTCACTTTTATAAAGGGTCAGAAAAATACCCTGTCCAATTAGAGTGTGCACTACTATCACAAACTTAAAGTGGTGTAGATTAAAATGAAGTCCAAGATAGGCAAATAGAAGCCAGTGCTTGAAAAGGGCTAATAGAACATGGACTATATAACTTAGTATTTAAAAAATACTTAGAATGGTGCCTGGCGCAGAGTAAATAAACACTATACATGCATGTGATGAGAAAACAAATTCAATAAAATGTGTATATTTATTAGGCCAAAGTGAAAGGATCACTTGATGCCAGGAGTTTGAGACCAGCCTGGACAATATAGCAAGACCCCATCTCTACAAAAAAATCAATAAAAATTAGCCAGGCATGGTGGTGCACACCTGTAATCTCAGCTACTCAAGACGCTGAGTTGGATCACTTGACTCTACAAGTTTGAGGCTGCAGTGAGCTAAGATTGTGCCACTGCACTTCAGCCTGGGCAACAGAGCAAGACGCTGTCTCCAAAAGAAATGACAACAACAAAAAACCCCACACACATTAGTTTATTATTGAATACCTGCTACATAACAGACAATAAGTAAAGTCCTGGGGGTAGAAGGTCTCTGCCTTCATGGAACTTAGGGTCTAATGAAAATATTAGATACTCAAATATTCACATAAATAAGGTACAAATAATTTTACGTGAGGAGGAAAAGATGCATGATGCAGTGAACACATATAGTTTAGTGAATGTAGTGATATAGTCTAGTGAGGCTTTCTAGAGGAACTGACATTTAAACTAAGTTCTGAGTTATGAATGGGAATTAATTAGGCTAAGGAAAGAGCCTGTGTTCATTCTCTAAGTAAGGAATGAAAATGACATCTTTCTGAAAATGCAAGCAGATTTATTTGGCTGATGGAAAGAGAATGTTGGTTAGAGGGGCTTACAGTGAGGTTGCAGAAGGTAGGTAGGTGCCACTTTATGCAAGTCTTTGTAAATCATGCTAAGATAAGGATGTGGGTCTTCGTTTTAAAATCGGTTGAAGGACATCAGAAGTTTTAAGTACAGTGAATGTATGGGTGTGTGTGTGTGTGTGTGTGTGTGTGTGTGTGTGTGTGTAGAGAGAGAGATTGAAAAGAGAAAAACACAAGTCCCCAGGGCCAGCCACAGTTTGGAGAATGGGGTATAGGAAGCAAGAGTGAGTGCAGGGAGATAGGAGATAGTTAGGCAGCTATTGCAGTCATCTGGAAAAGAAATAATGCTGGCTTGGACTAAGGAACTAAGGTGATGACTATGGGTTTAGGGAGAAGTAGATAGATTTTCCTGGTTAAATTAATAGAATCTGTTACAGGATTGGGTTTGTGGGAAGGGTGATGAACAAAGCAATGTCAAGAATAACTCATGGATTTTCACTGAATATGTCCTCCACGGATACAAGGAAGAGTGGGAGAAGGGGCAGGTTTTGTGGAGGAGATTGGAATTTTGTTTAGGTATTTCCAGTTTGAGGTCGCTTTGTCATTTTTGAGTAGAGCTGTGAAGAGATGATTGCTATTTTGGATTTGAGCTCAGGGGAGGGTTTTGGGGTTACAGATGTAAATATGAGAGTGAACTATTAATGTATATAGGTGGTAATGAAAGCCGTATGCATGGATGAGTTTGTATAGAGATTATAGAAAAAGGAGGCTACAGAAATGCAGACTTTATAATGAGTCTTCAGAAATTTTAACACGTAATAACCAAGCAAAGGGAGCAGAACCTGAGGAGAGTAAGTAGCAGAAAAGCAGGAGGCTATCAAGGGAAGAGGTCTCTCTAGAAGAAAGGAATTATCAACAGTATTGAATGCTGCTGAGGACTAGCAAAAAAGGACTAAAAAATAAAGAGCAATGGGACAATCAGTGCTGATGTTGGATAGAGCAATTGTGGGGTAGTGATGGGGGTAGATGGCAGACTGAAGTGGATTGAGGGGTATGTTCTGGAAATTAGCAGATTTGATCAAACAGACTAATGTCTGTTTAGGAATGGAGGAGGCTTATTCTGAAATTCTACGTACAGATTCCAAAATGTGAATGAAACAGTACCAGGAACTGGCAGGCACCATTGTAATGAAGTGATTCCAGTTAGCACATTCAGTAATAGGATCAACGGACGCCCTGTGCCTCCTAATGTGATTAACTGAGAGGATCCAACGTAATTTATGTAGAATTTCTGCCAACAATGCATAATCTGAATTAAGTCATGAGTAAACAACTGGACAAACCCAAATCCTGTACTCTTAAAAAAAAATCCATGTTGTGAAAGGAAAAGGAAGTCTGAGGAACTGCTTCCAATTAAAGCGTACTAAACGGACACGTGACTAAATGCAATGCACTATATTGAATTGGATTCTGAATCCAAAAAGGGGAAAATGCTATAAAACATACTCTTGGGAAAATTGATGAAATTTGAATATGGATTGGGTATTAGATAATATTCTTGTTATAATGTTAAAATTTCCTCTATTTGGTATTTCTACTCTGGTTCTGTAAGAGAACACCTGTCCTTAGGAGATACACGTTGAATACTTAGGGGTAAAGAAGTTGCAACTTACTTTTAAATGGTTTAGCTAAAGTAATATGTATAAACACTTTTTTTTTTTTTTTTTTTTTTTTTTTTGAGATGGACTCTCACTCTGTTGCCCAGGCTGGAGCGCAGTGGCGCAATCTTGGTTCACTGCAACCTCTGTCTCCTAGGTTCAAGCAATTCTCCTGCCTCGGCCTCTTGAGTAGCTGAGATTACATGCATGCGCCAACATGCCTGGCTAATTTTTGTATTTTTAGTAGAGACGGGGGTTTCACCACGTTGGCCAGGCTGGTCTCGAACTCCTGACCTCTGGTGATCCACCTGCCTCGGCCTCCCAAAGTGCTAGGATTATAGGTGTGAGCCACTGCACCCAGCCAAAAGTAACATGTGTATACACATACAATATACAAACACACACAGAGACAAAACAAATGTGGTAAAATGTTAGCAGTTAGTGACTATTACAACTTTTCTGCAAATTAATTTTTTTCATATAAAAAATTCAGGAACTCAGAGCTCTACATCATCTACTAATCTTTATTATTCAAAAAATGTATCATATACAGATTAGGTAAAATGATTTTGGAGATTCTGACTATTAGGAACAGCATTCGTCTATGGCCGTCAATATAATCTGAAGTCTAATCTCAGAGGTTAACAGAGGAACCAGGAAAGGTACCTTTTATGACCTTTCCTTCACAAGACATTTTGCTAAAATTGCCAAGACGACTTTTTCTGTCAAAACTCATCACAGTATTCTTACATGAGAACTTAACTAGATTCAGGTAACACACACAGAGGTAGTTGTAAGTGTGGTGCTGGTTGCTAGACGTTGTAGGGGATGTGGAATTGAGTATGGCCATCCAGGATATGTGACTGTCAGGCTCTGACAAAATCACACAATCACGGAAATTGTCTACAACACAATAAAAGAACATCAGAGAATAAGAAAAGCTACAGAGCTATGTTTCCCAGACTCTGGACTGATCTGAGTGGCAAAATTTCACCACTGACAAAAATGTGGGGTAATTTACATACAAGAAAAATGTGAGGAAACAATCACCACCATCCATTCTCACTAACATTTTATAGAGAAAGGACACTTTCATACCAAAAGACTATGACGGCCAATATCAAAGTAAAATTCTTAAAAATGAAATTAATTTTACCGTATTGAGAAAAGAAAGACCAATGAAAGCTTAATGAATGGTGTCAACCAAAGAACTTAAAGAGCTCTGAGCAAGTCAAAACTTTAAAATATATATATAGAGAGAGGAAATAAGACTCATCTGAGTCCTTAAGCAGATATTCTTGTTGCAGGTAATAGAAATAAGCTTTGGAAAATTCACATTTGGGAAATAAAGATCTAGGAAAATGACCTGTATGATTTTCTACAGCACATGATTGGCATTCAGTAAGTTACAAGTGCATGAGTGGGGTAAATTTAGTAAATTACTGAATTAAGTCAGTATCTTTTTTTTTTTTTTTTTTTTAAAGACAGAGTCTTGCTCTGTCATCCAGGCTGGAGTGCAGTCGCACGATCTTGGCTCACTGCAACCTCCGCCTCCCGGGTTCTAGCAATTCTCCTGCCTCAGCCTCCTGAGTAGCTGGGATTACAGGCATGCACCACCACACCCGGCTAATTTTTGTATTATTAGTAGAGATGGGGTTTCACCATTTTGGCCAGGCTGGTCTTGAACTCCTGACCGCAGGTAGTCTGCCTGCCTTGGCCTCCCAAAGTGCTGGGATTACAGGCACGAGCCACTGCGCCTGGCCTAAGCAGTGTCTTAAAGTCTTAAAAGCTTACACCTAACTTCAAAAGCATTTAAGAAAATGTGATGAAAGTTGCTTATTTAAGAAAAAAATATGAAAAAGTGTATATCTGTATACATAAAACACATGTACACATACATATATATATATTTTAAAAATTTTAACTGATGCTTATAATTGAGAGAAATACTGAACCAGTATTTTTGAAATGGCGTCTCACTCTGTCGCCCAGGCTGGAATGCAGTGGCGAGATCTTGGCTCACTGCAACCTCTGCCTCCTAGGTTCAAGCAATTCTCCTGCCTCAGCCTCCCGAGTAGCTGGGATTGCAGGCATGCACCACCACACCCAGCTAATTTTTGTATTTTCAGTAGAGACAGGATTTCACCATGTTGGCCAGGCTGGTCTTGAACTCTTGGCCTCAAGTGATCTGCCCACCTTGGCCTCTCAAAGTGTTGGGATTACAGGCATTGCAGCCTGTTTTGAACTATTGATCATTGTTTCCAGTGGATATATTTTAAACACAGACTTTCAACTCAATACAACAGTAAAATTCATTCTGCTAGACAATTCAATGAACTCATTTAATTAAAAAGGAATTTTAATGCGTGATGGTAATGCAGATTTGTAGCAAAACAAAAAAAAAGCTTTTTACGCCTTATTTTCATTAGTAATAAGTTTCAAAGCACTTAATTTATGCGTAGTTTAAACAAACTTGTAGATATTGAATATGTATCCATTTTGTATTGTATTCTTGTTACTTTCTGCCAAGTATGAGTACAAACAAGCTGTGTAGTAAACTATGTTACATTTCAAACTTTTCCAGTCAAAAAGTTAAGTTCAACATTAATGGCTCTTTCACTCTGTAACATTCTGCCAAAGCTTGCAGCAAGTTTACTAATGATGAAAGTTGTCTCCTGGCTTTCTGACTGCTGTGTTCTGGAGAGCTTGGAAACACTGTGTTGTAGCAGTGAGGTGCATATTTAACAGTCAGGAGGAGATCCTGCACCGAGGATGCCTGTCAATCAAGCCAGCCCTCCTGCTCTTTTTATTAATCAGAAAAATGCAGATAAAAATAAATGCAGTGGACAAAATAAACAGGGAATACAAAACTGGAAAAATTTGAGATCTCCTTGCTGTAGCCTTGTGCCAGTTTGAAATATAGTTCAATCATGACATCATTAGAATCAGAAATGTATCTTATTTCTTGTAGACGGAAATAAATATTGCTTAATATTCTCAGAGTACATCGTCTTTTCACTACTTGTCTAGCCTAGCATGTGGGATTGGGTAAGAGATTTTGCTGATCTTATCTACACAGTTTTTAATGTGTCTATTACCAGTTCTCAACTGCTGTTCCAAAGATCTGGGTTTTATCTATGCTACAACTGCTATTAGAGAAGAGGAGACTATGAAAGAGTGATGCCTCTATGTTACTATCTTACCTACAGTGTTGATAAATCATCAATACTCTGTTTCAATTTCATTATCCTCCTTGAGATTGTGTCCCAGTCCCAAAGCCACAGGGTGTGAGCTAATAGCTCCATGAACATTACGTGTACTAAATTATTACCTTCCCTAATGATATGCCTAATCTACAAAAAATAACTTACTGGATTGCATGGTGTGAATAGAATGCAGGAGAATTTTAGGTAGAGTTGGCTTGGCACAGTGACACTGGGAGAGTGACATGTAATCTTTCTTGCCCATGAGGCAAAGCTGTGGTAGAGATATCAGTAGTACAAGAAGTGGATTTCAATAGGTGGGATAAATTACTGAGATATATCCTGAGCTTTGTTTATGTACCCAAATTGGAGAACAAACACTATTGGATAATAGGGAATTCAACAAGGAAATATGCTGCTATTAGAGAAGTAGATATCTCCAAAAGTGCTTTTTATGGCAACTATGCCATATTCATGCCCCTATTTTCTTTCTTATCTTCCCTAAAGTTAGAGAATGTACTTTTTTAAAGATGGTTTTTTTATTATTATTTTTTCTTTGTTTGAGACAGAGTCTAGCTCTGTTGCCCAGGCTGGAGTGCAGTGGTGCGATCTCAGCTCACTGTAACCTCCGCCTCCCAGGTTCAAGCAATTCTCCCTTCCTCAGCCTCCTGAGTAGCTGGGATTACAGGTCCCTGCCACCACGCCCGGCAAATTTTTGGATTTTTAGCAAAGACAGGGTTTCGCCATGTTGGCCAGGCTGGTCTTGAACTCCTGACCTCAGGTGATCCTCCTGCCTCAGCCTCCCAAAGTGCTGGGATTACAGGCATGAGACACTGCACCTGGCTGGCTTTTTTTTTTTGGTGGGGGGGGTGTGGGGGTGGGAAATCATTTTAATGTAACCTTTTTAGATTTAGAAGTAAGTCTTCAGGCTTTGAAACTGTTTAAACTTCCTGTTCTCGGTTGTAAGGGGGTAGATGAGGGGTGTGATTATGTAGAAAGCATAGGTCTGTAAATTTGTGAGATATTTGGCTTATTGGGCCAGCCACCAGAAAATTTACTTAAAGAAATTTTATTTTTTTCTTGTGCTGCAACTTTATTGCATCATATTCATAGAATTGAGGCAATTAGTAACTTTTTATTCTTAGTGCTAACTATAGAAAGAAGGAAAAGAAAAGGTCTTAATAATTTCACTTTGCTGTATTTTATGTTCAAATAAGTTACAGCAGACATGTACTAATTTGAAAGTACAATGGGGGCAGATAAAACTTCTAAACTTTATATCCTCAAGGCCGTATACTCACCTAGAGGCACTTGCGGGCAAACCAGTCAAATGAGAGTTTATTCAAATGTCAACTCAATAATGTAAAAAGAGCATTTGCTCTGTGCGTGGGAGAGAGGGAGGGATAATGCATTATCCATCAATAAGGAATGCCAATATGGTAAATAGTGTGGCTGTGGCTATTTCTGAAAAATATTTGGGTCAGTGTTTTACAAACATGGCAAAATAAACAACTATTTCTTCACAGACTAGAACAAGGTCTTTCATGTTCAGAAAGAAGATAGATAGCTGCAATTTTAGTGTCCTAATTATTATTAAACTGAAGTCTTCTACCACCATTTCATTTTCTGTTTATTTCATAGCAGGAAATTGATTATTCCATATCATCGTTATCTGATGGTTTATATATATATAATATATAATTTGTATGTAATATAATTTGTGTATAATATATATTACAAAATAGTACAGACTCATTACAAAATAATATTCCGACAATTCAGAAATGTATAAAGTAGAAAACAAAAGTCTCAATTTCAACCAGTATTAATAGTTTAGTTTAGATTTTTTTTCACATATTTGCTTGTGTATCTCCCAATATATAATATTAAGAAAACCCTGAAGTAGTATTTTATTTTATTTATTTATTTATTTTTAGACACAGTCTCACTCTGTCTCCAGGCTGCAACCTCTGCCTCCCGTGTTCAAGCAATTCTCCTGCCCCAGCAGCCCAAGCAGCTGGGATCACAGGCATGCGCCACCACGCCCAGCTAATTTTTTTTTTTTCGTATTTTTAGTAGAGACGAGGTTTCACCATGTTGGTCAGGCTGGTCTTAGGCTTCTGACCTCAGGTGATCCACCCACCTCGGCCTCCCAGAGTGCTCAGATTACAGGCGTGAGCTACTGTGCCCAGCCTGAAGTAGTAGTAAAACATTAAACCTTTTTTTTGTTTTTTTTCTGAGAGTAGTCTCGCTCTGTCGCCAAGGCTGGAGTGAAGCGGCACATTCTCAGCTCACTGCATCCTCTGCCCCCCAAGTTCCAGGGAGTATCCTGCCTCAGCCTCCCAAGTAGCTGGGATCACAGGCATGCAGCACCACACCCAGCTACCTTTTTTTTTTTTTTTTTTTTTTTTGTATTTTTAGTAGAGATGGGGTTTCGCCATGCTGGTCAGGCTGGTCTCGAACTCCTGACTTCAGGTGATCTGCCCACCTCGGCCTCCCAAAGTGCTGGTATTACAGGCATGAGTTGCCGTGCCTGGCCTAAAACATTAAACTTTTCTGAAACTTACTCACTCTGACATAGTATCAGGGGCATCTTTTCATGTAGCACACATTACCCGGTTGATTTTAGTGACTGCAGAGTGTGATGTATTCTGGATGCTATCATTTATATCGATAATTCTGTATTGAGGCTGTTCTCTAACTCTGTTTTTCCCCAGTTGTAAAATTATTCATCCAATTAATTTTTTTAAGTTTCTGATTATGTTTCTAGAGAAAAAAAAATTAGTGTGTTTAGTGTGATGCTGAGCTGGGATACCAATGACTTGACATTAATTAGATTTTAAGGTAAACCTTGTATCCTCTCCTTACAGAGTTCTTTGAACCACTATTTGAGTTGCTACAGGTCACAAAGTGGTTTGCTAGCTTTAGGATGACTGATTTTCTCCAACTGTGTTAAGTTTTGAAATATTTTTAAACAAATTATATATTCATTTAAGCCTTCTATGCATTGACCATAGTAGTAAATTTTCTTCTAATATTAGACTTCTGTTGAGATGCAGTTAAATAAAATAGCAGGAAGTAACATTTTATTCTAAATTTTAATTGTGACATGTATCTTGCATGTGTAGTTGTACACAGCATGTATGTACAAAGTAAAGTGTCATAATAAAATGAACACATGTGTACTCACCACTCAGGAAATAAACTTGGTAAGTTCCCTAGAAGACCTTAGTGTTCTGCCTTGACTGTTTCTCCTCCTGCTCCATCCCCCACTACAGGTCACCTCTATAGTAGATTGTGTTAATAATTTTCATGGTTTTCTTTATAGTTTTGTTACTTAGGTATGTGCTGTAAATAGCACATTTACTTTTCTTATTTTTGAATTATATATAAATGGAATCATACAGTAGGCATGCTTCTGGGGTTATTCCTTTTGCCCATCATACCATTTTTGAGATTCAACCATGTTGATGTTTGCAGTAGATTGTTCACTGTATTACACAAATATACCACAATGTATATATCCCATTTTATTTTGTCGTTTGCAGGTTTTTGCTGTCTTGACGTAACATAATAGTGCTGCAATAAATACTTTTCTACTTGTCTCTTGGTGTACATATGTAAGACTTCCTGTAGACAGTGATATTCAAAGATTTTTGCCTGAGATACACAGTAAAAATATATCTTTTCTTTTTTTTGAGATGGAGTCTCACTCTGTTGCCCAGGCTGGAGTGCAGTGGTGCGATCTCAGCTCACTGCAACCTCCACCTCCCGGGTTCAAGCGATTCTCCTGCTTCAGCCTCTGGAGTAGCTGGGATTACAGGTGTGCACCACCACGCCTGGCTAATTTTTGTATTTTTAGTAGAGATGGGGTCTTGACGTCCAAGACCCCCCTGGGGTCTTGACTGTTGGCCAGGCTCATCTCGAACTCCTGACCTCAGGTGATCTGCCCGCCTTGGCCTCCCAAAGTGCTGGGATTACAGACGTGAGCCACCGGGCCTGGCCTAAAATAAATGTTTATTATCATAATTCGGTCAGTACACATATGTACACACCTACATAATGTGTGAAGGAAACAATACATATCCTTACTAATTGCAATGCATTCTGATATCTCTATTCAATTCTTATATTTCCATTCTTTCTATTGACTTTTAAGTGACTGTGTTACAAGTCACAGTCTGAAATGTACAGCCCTCGGATATGGACACAGGAGTGGAAGTAGTGTGTTGCTATATAAGCACATGTCCAATTTTATTAGATGATGCTAAACTGCTTTCCACATTTATTCTCTAAAAACAGTGGGTGGGAGATTTCAGTTGTTATACTTAGTTATCACTGCTTGATTTGACCAATCTTTAATTTTCACCAGTCTTCCATGTGTGGGATTATATTTCATTCTATAAGGTTGAGCATCTTTTCATATGTTCCTGGGCCCTTTGTGCTTGTTTCTGTGATCTTTCATTCCTTTGACTATTTTTCAATTGGTCTGTCATTTTCTTGTTGATTCATAGCTATACTTTACATATCCTGGATGCCAAGCTTTCATATCTTGTTCAGTTTGTGGCTTATTTTCTTACTTTTATAGTGGTGTCATTTATTGAATAAAAGTCCTGAATTTTAATTTTCAATCTTCTTTAAGGTTGGTGATTTTTAGGTCTCAGGAAATCTCTTTCTACCCTGAGTTCATGAAGATGTTCTCATATACAGTTGACCCTTGGACAATGCAGAGGTTAGGCATGCTGACGCCCACACAGTTAAAAATCCATGTAAAACTTTTGATGCCTCCAAAACTTAGCTACTAATAGCTACTGTTGACTGGAAGCCTTACCGATAGCATAAACAGTCAATTAACACATATTTTGTATGTTAAATGTATTATATACTATATTCTTACAATAAAGTAAGCTACAGAAAAGAAAATGTTATTAAGAAAATAATAAGTGAAAAATATATTTGCTGTTCATTAGATGGAAGTGGATTATCATAAATGTCTTCTTTGTCGTCTTCACGTTGAGTAGGCTGGTAAGGAGGAGGAGGAAGCGGGGTTGTCCTTGTGGTCTCAGGGGTGTCAGAGGTAGAAGAAAATCCACATGCAACTGGACTCATGCAGTTCAAACCTATATTGTTCAAAAGTCAACTATAATCTCTTAACAGTTGTATATTTTGCCTTACAAATCTTTAATCAATCTGAAATTGATTTTTTTCATATAGTGTGAAGTAGTAACCCACTTTCATTTTTGTCCATATGGATATACTCAATTGTTTCAGAACTATTTCCTGCAGTGCCTTCCTTTTCTCTACATCTGTAGTGCCAATTTTATTATATTTTCTGCATAGGGCTGTCTCTGGGCTTTCTGTTCTGTTCTATTTGTCTATTTGTCTATCCCTGTGCCAATATCATGGCATGTCTTAATTATTTAGCTTTATAATAAGGCTTGATATCCAGTAGGGCAAGTTTCTTCCATTTACTTTTCTTCAGTAATATTTTCATCATGGTCCTAAGCTCTTCTATGTAAATTTTGAGAATGAGTTTGACAATTTCTCCAAAATAACCCTTGGAGATTCTAATCTGAATTATATTGAATCTCTCGGTCAATTTAGGAAGAAGTGATTTCTTTAGTATAGAAAGTTTTCTTATCCAGGAAATGGTCTACCTTTCCATTTTATTTAGGTCTAACTTTGGTATCTCTTAATATGTTTTATAATTTTCTCCACAGAGATCTTTCCATCTTGTTTGATTTATGTATGGATACAATATATGTGTTGCTATTGTAAATTTGTTATGTAAAAATGCAATATATTTTAAAAATATTCGTTTTATATATACAACTTCTCTAGACCTGTTCAGTTCTAATATTTAATCTGCATATCATGTGAGTTTTACACTGAGACTATCACATCATCTATAAATAATGACATTGTTTCTCCTCCTTTCTGATTGTTACACTTTTTTTTTCCTATTTATTTATTTGAGACGGAGTCTCACTCTGTCTCCCAGGCTGGGGTGCAGTGGTGCGATCTCGGCTCACTGCAACCTCTACCTCCCGGGTCCAAGCAATTCCCCTGCCTCACTCAGCCTCCTGAGTACAGTTGCCCCCCACCATGCCCAGCTAATTATTTTATTTTTAGTAGAGACGGGGTTTTGCCATGTTCGCCAGGCTGGCCTTGAACTTCTGGCCTCAGGTGATCCACCTGCCTCAGCCTCCTAAAGTGCTGGGAATACAGGCGTGAGCCACTACGCCCAGCCCCATTTTCTTACTTTAATATCCTGGCAAAGATCTCAAACACAATTTCAGGTGGGATCAATGACAGCCAGTATCTTGTTTTGACGCTGATTCAGAAAGAATGTGCTCAGCTTTTTATCAGTAAGTACTTTGTGTGCTTGCTTACATTTCGCTGTTGTTCTAGACGCCATTTCGTGCTGCATAGTTTTCATGGTCACTGCAGATATCGCTCCACTTTTCCCACCGGTTGGTGCCCTGAGGGGCCCACATTTATGGGCCACTTCAGTGATTTTTTTTTGGCTTCCATGGGCTCCTACTGCTTTCAGCCAGTGAGGATCAATGGCAGGAGAGGGAGGAGAGCAGACAGAGGGAGGAGAAAGGTAGGATCTTTATTTCCCTTGCTGTTTCACTGTGCAACCCTGCACAAGCCAGCTGCATCACTAGGAAGAAAGTCAGGCTTCTTTTTTTTTCTTTCTTTTTTTTTTTTTTTTTTGAGACGGAGTCTCCCTCTGTCCCCCAGGCTGGAGTGCAATGGCGTGATCTCAGCTAACTGCAATCTCCACCTTCTGGGTTCAAGGCGATTCTGCTACCTCAGTCTCCGGATTATAGGATTTAGCTAGGATTACAGGCACTTGCCACCATGCCCAGCTAATTTCTGTATTTTTAGTAGAAATGGGGTTTCACCATGTTGGCCAGGCTGGTCTCGAACTCCTGACCTCAAGTGATCCGCCTGCCTCAGCCTCCCAAAGTGCTGGGATTACAGGCATGAGCCACTGGACTGGCCAGAAAGTCAGGCCCCTTCTATCGCTCTGTGTGTGTGTATGTGTCTCTGTGTGTGTGTGTGTGTGTGTGTGTGTGTGTGTTTCCCCTAGTTAACTTTTGGTGAGTAATTCTAATTTAATTCCACTGTGGTCAGCAAATGTGATGTGTTTATTATCTTTGAAATTCCTTGAGGCTACTTTATGGCCTAGCTCATGGTCGATTTTTATATCATTTATATGTCTGTTTAAAAAATTGATTTCTGCTATTGCCAGATATAATGATTATTCTGTTGACAAAAATTTCCTGAGGACCTACTGTGTGCTAGGCATTGAGGCATTGTTTTAGCTGATGTGAATAAGCAGTCAACAAACAGAAAAAATTCCTCCTTTTTGGGAGAGCATATTCTAGGGAAGGAAATAGAAGACAAAATAAAAAAAGTGAAGCATATGGTGCATGTGATAGCAATGAAGGAAAAGGAGGAAAAATATAGTAGGAAGAGTACTGGAGGTAACTTTCCATACTCTTGGTCAAAGGCAGCCTCAATAAAGACTGTAGAAAACAAGCCATGTAAATATTTGTGAAATTGAATAAACATATCTTAGCTCTTATCATTACCTTTTGATTCTAGTTACCATTATTATATATTCCAGATATTTATTTCATTTATTTCTTAGAGCTTTTGAAAATGTGTAGAAGTTTCTTTCAAAGTCACTAAAACTGTTCATATTTTCTCCATCAACCTGAAAATTTTTCCTAAAGAATCATTTAAGACAAATTTTGGATGGGGTGTGTGGCTCATGCCTGTAATTCCAGCACTTTGGGAAGCCAAGGCAGGCAGATCACTTGAGGTCAGGAGTTCAAGACCAGCCTTGGCAACGTGGTGAAACCCCGTCTCTACCAAAAATACAAAAATTAGCCTATACTAAAAATATAAAAATGAGCTGGGCATGGTGGCAGGCGCCTGTAATCCCAGCTACTTGGAAGACTGAGGCAGGAGAATCACTTGAACCTGGGAGGTGGAGGTTGTAGTGAGCCAAGATTGTGCCACTGCAGTCCAGCCTGGGCAACACAGCAAGACTCCGTCTCAAGAAAAAAAAAAAAAAAAAAGACAAATTTTGGAAAGTTTCTCCCCTTTTAGATATCTTTTCCCCATAAAAATAATATTATAAGGCCACATGTGATGGCTCACACCTGTAATCCCAGCACTTTGGGAGGCCGGGGCAAGTGGATCACTTGAGGTTAGGAGTTTGAGACCAGCCTAGCCAACATGACAAAACCCAGTCTCTACTAAAAATACAAAAATTAGCCAGGTGTGTTGGTGGGCGCCTGTAATCCCAGCTACTCAGGCAGCTGAGGCATTAGAATCGCTTGAACCCCAGAAGCGGAGGTTGTGGTGAGCCGAGATCACGCCACTGCACTCCAGCCTGGGTGACAGAGCAAGACTTTGTCTTAAAATAATAATAATAATAATAATAATAATAATAATAATAATAGTATAACAATAGTGTTTTACATAATTGTTTATGGTAAATTCTCGGTGTTTCAATAATACATCTAATCTACTAATGTGAACATCTATAGCATTTTCCATCCAAAGGAAAACACCTTCTCAGTTTTGAAGTCACAATTTAAAATTGGATCAAATATTACTATGTACACAGTGTTTAATTTGTGCTTTATTTGATTAAAACTCTTCCACCTCCTACTACAAAAGTTTTAATGAGGCTGAAATAACTAAATTTTAATACTTAATTTGAATTATCTCTAAAATAATGTTTTATATTAGAGAAAAAAAGCCTATTTTCTCTAATAATAAATTAGGTAGTTGGATATATGTGAACAAATTATTTCTGGGACTCAGATTTTTTATTCGTATGAAGCAAGTTAGTACCTGAGTTTATTTTCCTTCTCAGTCTTTGCCAGTCTTGTTTACTCAGATATCTTTCAAGATAAACAAAATTGGCAGTACCATTCTTCTTAGGGAGAAAAGATCTTTATTTCGGAAAATAATTCTTTTTGCTAATGGGGACACAGGGAGGGGATATGTGGAAAAGTGCTTTGCATAAGGGTGGGGAGAGCAGAGACAACAGAAGAATGTGGAGCCCAACAACCTAGCTGGAGGTTGGAGCCTGAGTTGAAGAAAACACAGAACATGTTTTCTAAAGAGGACGCTTAATATTTAATTTAAAATCTTTCATGTTTGTTCAATATAAATATCCTGCATTTTTCAAATGTTCAGAATATTACTGTGTACTTTTGGAAAGTTAGCAATATGGCTTTTGTGCAAATATAAAATGAACATGTAAAAAATGTATTCAATTCATTAATGCAGGAAGTTGTATGCTATTAAGACTAGTTCAGATGAGAATTGAAGAACAGGTATAAATAGAAACTCAAGATGCTTAAATTTAGGTAACAGATAAAAACTGTTTAATTTCTTATCTAACAGTAATATTTTCAAATTTACTTGCATTGCTTTGGATGAGAATCTTTCGTATTACTATCCGTCTTCTACAACCCCTAGAGAGTTATAAAATGACCTTGTTAATGGAAAGAAAATCAAAAGTGCACACTCGTATAAAATCACATAATTCCCAGAGGGTCTACTAGGCCATACCTAGACCTGTAAAAGGACATACAGTGATGTATTTTGCCCATTTCCAAGTCATGCACAGTTTTTCTTGGCAGAAAAGATGTGTAGACACACACTAAATTGTGTGACAATTATGGAAGAGGATTGAAATACCTGTCTTGAGTTGATGTGTTAAAGGAAAAAGTAGCATGGGCAGAGTGGTGTGACAACCCATACAGTGATCTAATTCTGTGGAAGCTGGAACTCACCACTTAGGTGAATATAAGGACAGAAACCGACTGGGAAGTCTTAGGGGAGGATGTTGGACTGCTTATGAGATGTGAACAGGGGCCTATAAATGTCATCTAGATTTTAATGGACAAGGTGACCATAACCACAGCTGAAACATTGGCCACACTTTTTATAAAATCATAAACGTTTTCAATTTTCAATTGTGAGAGTTAAGAGTTCTATTTCCTTCAACTTCTGAGCAGAAGTCTTGGAAAAGAAAAAACTCTCCAACCTATTCAGTAATGATGATATTTTCTAACATATCAGTGGTTTCACTGCTTTTCCAAAGGCTAGTCTAGCACTTCAACATCCCTGAAGACCCTGGCTTCTCCCAGTTTGATGGCTAATATTAAAGAAAACCATGAGTAGTGAAAAGAGATGTGTCTAAATGTGCAATGACTTTTGAAGTACTTTTGTTCATAGTGCCTAAGGGTTCTTTTTACTTACATTGGTTGCCCTTGTCCCTATCAGAGATTGTGGACCACTGTTTGATGAATTTGGGGCTAACTAGCGTGATCAGAGATTTAGCCGGATCTGGTTCCAGCAATCCAATCTAAAACTCAGGCTTGGTGTCAGTTGGCCATTCTAAACTTCTTAATGCTCTAGCGCTATTTTACACTCTTTGGGTTCCAAGAGCACTGTAGGTAAGTGGTTGAGGGTTCTAGTTCTGTAGCCATGCTCCTTGGGTTTGAATCTTGATTTTATCTTTTATTAGTCACATAGCCTTACGTAAGTTGCTCGAATTCTTTCTGCCTTAGGTTTCCTAATCGTAAAACGGGGACAATAGTTGTACCTTTCCCATAAAGTTGAAGTGAAGATTAAATAAATCTGTATGATTAAAACATCCCTGACATATGTTAAGCATTATATACATTAGCTTTAATTCTATTTTTTTATTTTTTATTTTTTGAGATGGAGTTTTGCTCTTTTTGTCCATGCTGGAGTGCAATGGTGCAATCTCGGCTCACTGAAACCTCCACTGAGGCAGTGATTCTCCTGCCTCAGCCTCGCGAGTAGCTGGGATTACAGGTGCCTGCCACCACACCCGGCTAATTTTTTTGCAGTATTTTAGTAGAGACAGGGTTTCACCATGTTGTCCAGGCTGGTCTCAAACTCCTGACCTCAGGTGATCCACCTGCCTCGGCCTCCCAAAGTGCTGGGATTATAGGCATGAGCCACCATGCCTGGTCACATTAGCTTTAATTCTAAATTGACAGTTTTAATTCACAAGATCAGGCCTAAAAAAAGTTTCCATCAATAATAGATGTTCCGATATGTTCAATACACAAACATAAAAATCTATGTCATATATATGCACACACATATATGTCATAGATAGATATCAAAAAAAAAGTTTATAAGAATAATATATGTCAGACTTCTACCAGAAAAACAGAACCAGTAGGACACACATACACACACACACACACACACACACACACACACACTTCACACACACACTTATATAAAGAGAAAACTAGAGGCTGGGCGTGGTGGCTCATGCCTGTAATCCCAGAACTTTGGGAGGCCGAGTCGGGTGGATCACCTGAGGTCAGGAGTTTGAGATCAGCTTAGCCAACATGGAGAAACCCCATCTCTTCTAAAAATACAAAAAATTAGCTGGGCATGCCGGCACGTGCCTGTAATCCCAGCTACTTGGGAGGCTGAGGCAGGAGAATTGCTTGAACTCAGGAGGTGGAGGTTGCAGTGAGCCAAGATCACGACACTGCACTCTAGCCTGGGAAACAAAGTGAGACTGCATCTCAAAAAAAAAAAAAAAAAGAAAAGAAAAGAGAGAACTAGGGAGAGAGGGAGAGACAGGGAGAGAGAGAGAGAGAGAGAGGTGGGGAGGGGATTTATTTCAAATAATTGGTTTACAAGACTATGGGGTAGGTGTGTCTGGAATCGATAGGTCAGGTCAGCCAGCTGGAAAACTCTTGGGCCACAACTAATGGGAATTTCCTTTTCTCAGGGAAACCTCAGTTTTGCTTTTAAGGATTCAGCTGATTAGCTAAGGCCCACCCAGATTATCAACGATAATCTTCTTTACTCAAAACCAACTGGTTGTAGCTGTTAACCACGTATTCCAAATACCTTCACAGCAACACCTAGAGCAAAAGGTGATTTAATAATTGAATACTGTAGTCTAGACAGGTTGACACATAAAACTAACCATCACAAGAAGCTTGTTAATCTAGATCATATTGTGTCCGGAATTGGTGGGTTCTTGGTCTCACTGACTTCAAGAATGAAGCCACAGACCCTGGTGGTGAGTGTTACAGTTCTTTTTTTTTTTAATTTTATTATTATTATACTTTCAGTTTTAGGGTACATGTGCACAACGTGCAGGTTGGTTACATATGTATACATGTGCCATGTTGGTGTGCTGCACCCATTAACTCGTCATTTAGCATTAGGTATATCTCCTAATGCTATCCCTACCCCCTCCCCCAACCCCACAACAGTCCCTGGTGTGTGATGTTCCCCTTCCTGTGTCCATGTGTTCTCATTGTTCAATTCCCACCTATGAGTGAGAACATGTGGTGTTTGTATTTTTGTCCTTGCGATAGTTTGCTGAGAATGATTGTTTCCAGTTTCATCCATGTCCCTAGAAAGGACATGAACTCATCACTTTTTTATGGCTGCATAGTATTCCATGGTGTATATGTGCCACATTTTCTTAATCCAGTCTATCATTGTTGGACATTTGGGTTGGTTCCAAGTCTTTGCTATTGTGAATAGTGCCGCTATAAACATACATGTGCATGTGTCTTTATAGCAGCATGATTTATAATCCTTTGGGTATATACCCAGTAATGGGATGGCTGGGTCAAATGGTATTTCTAGTTCTAGATCCCTGAGGAATTGCCACACTGACTTCCACAATGGTTGAACTAGTTTACAGTCCCACCAACAGTGTAAAAGTGTTCCTATTTCTCCACATCCTCTCCAGCACCTGTTGTTTCCTGACTTTTTAATGATCGCTATTCTAACTGGTGTGAGATGGTATCTCATTGTGGTTTTGATTTGCATTTCTCTGATGGCCAGTGATGATAAGCATTTTTTCATGTGTTTTTTGGCTGTATAAATGTCTTCTTTTGAGACGTGTCTGTTCATGTCCTTCGCCCACTTTTTGATGGGGTTATTTGTTTTTTTTCTTGTAAATTTGTTTGAGTTCTTTGTAGATTCTGGATATTAGCCCTTTGTCAGATGAGTAGATTGCAAAAATTTTCTCCCATTCTGTAGGTTGCCTGTTCACTCTGATGGTAGTTTCTTTTGCTGTGCAGAAGCTCTTTAGTTTAATTAGATCCCATTTGTCAATTTTGGCTTTTGTTGTCATTGCTTTTGGTGTTTTAGACATGAAGTCCTTGCCCATGCCTATGTCCTGAATGGTATTGCCTAGGTTTTCTTCTAGGGTTTTTATGGTTTTAGGTCTAACATGTAAGTCTTTAATCCATCTTGAATTAATTTTTGTATAAGTGTAAGGAAGGCATCCAGTTTCAGCTTTCTACATATGGCTAGCCAGTTTTCCCAGCACCATTTATTAAATAGGGAATCCTTTCCCATTGCTTGTTTTTCTCAGGTTTGTCAAAGATCAGATAGTTGTAGATGTGCGGCATTATTTCTGAGGGCTCTGTTCTTTTCCATTGGTCTATATCTCTGTTTTAGTACCAGTACCAGGCCGTTTTGGTTACTGTAGCCATGTAGTATAGTCTGAAGTCAGGTAGTGTGATGCCTCCAGCTTTGTTCTTTTGGCTTAGGATTGACTTGGCAATGTGGGCTCTTTTTTGGTTCCATATGAACTTTAAAGTAGTTTTTCCAATTCTGTGAAGAAAGTCATTGGTAGCTTGACGGGGATGGCACTGAATCTATAAATTACCTTGGGCAGTATGGCCATTTTCACGATATTGATTCTTCCTACCCATGAGCATGGAATGTTCTTCCATTTGTTTGTATCCTCTTTTATTTCATTGAGCAGTGGTTTGTAGTTCTCCTTGAAGAGGTCCTTCACATCCCTTGTAAGTTGGATTCCTAGGTGTTTTATTCTCCTTGAAGCAATTGTGAATGGGAGTTCACTCATGATCTGGCTCTCTGTTTGTCTCTTGTTGGTGTATAAGAATGCTTGTGATTTTTGTACATTGATTTTGTATCCTGAGACTTTGCTGAAGTTGCTTATCAGCTTGAGGAGATTTTGGGCTGAGACAGTGGGGTTTTCTAGATATACAATCATGTCATCTGCAAACAGGGACAATTTGACTTCCTCTTTTCCTAATTGAATACCCTTTATTTCCTTCTCCTGCCTGATTGCTCTGGCCAGAACTTCCAACACTATGTTGAATAGGAGTGGTGAGAGAGGGCATCCCTGTCTTGTGCCCATTTTCAAAGGGAATGCTTCTAGTTTTTGTCCATTCAGTATGATATTGGCTGTGGGTTTGTCATAGATAGCTCTTATTATTTTGAGATATGTTCCATCAATACCTAATTTATTGAGAGTTTTTAGCATGAAGGGTTGTTGAATTTTGTCAAAGGCCTTTTCTGCATCTATTGAGATAATCACATGGTTTTTGTCTTTGGTTCTGTTTTTATGCTGGATTACATTTATTGATTTGCATATGTTGAATCAGCCTTGCATCCCAGGGATGAAGCCCACTTGATCATGGTGGATAAGCTTCTTGATGTGCTGCTGGGTTCGGTTTGCCAGTATTTTATTGAGGATTTTTGCATCGATGTTCATCAGGGATATTGGTCTAAAATTCTCTTTTTTGGTTGTGTCTCTGCCAGGCTTTGGTATCAGGATGATGCTGGCCTCATAAAATGAGTTAGGGAGGATTCCCTCTTTTTCTATTGATTGGAATAGTTTCAGAAGGAATGGTACCAGCTCCTCCTTGTACCTCTGGTAGAAATCGGCTGTGAATCCATCTGGTCCTGGACTTTTTTTAGTTGGTAAGCTGTTAATTATTGCCTCAATTTCAGAGCCTGTTATTGGTCTATTCAGAGATTCAGCTTCTTCCTGGTTTAGTCTTGGGAGGATGTATGTGTGGAGGAATTTATCCATTTCTTCTAGATTTTCTAGTTTATTTGCGTAGAGATGTTTGTAGTATTCTCTGATGGTAGTTTGTATTTCTGTGGGATCGGTGGTGATATCCCCTTCATCATTTTTTATTGCATCTATTTGATTCTTCTCTCTTTTCTTCTTTATTAGTCTTGCTAGTGGTCTATCAGTTTTGTTGATCTTTTTAAAAAACCAGCTCCTGGATTCATTAATTTTTTGAAGGGTTTTTTTGTGTCTCTATTTCCTTCAGTTCTACTCTGATTTTAGTTATTTCTTGCCTTCTGCTAGCTTTTGAATGTGTTTGCTCTTGCTTTTCTAGTTCTTTTAATTGTGATGTTAGGGTGTCAATTTTAGATCTTTCCTGCTTTCACTTGTGGGCATTTAGTGCTATAAATTTCCCTCTACACACGGCTTTGAATGTGTCCCAGAGAATACCCAGTAGTCATTCAGGAGCAGGTTGTTCAGTTTCCACGTAGTTGAGTGGTTTTGAGTGAGTTTCTTAATCCTGAGTTCTAGTTTGGTTGCACTGTGGTCTGAGAGACAGTTTGTTATAATTTCTATTCTTTTACATTTGCTGAGGAGAGCTTTACTTCCCAGTATGTGGTCAATTTTGGAATAGGTGTGGTGTGGTGCTGAAAAGAATGTATATTCTGTTGATTTGGGATGGAGAGTTCTATAGATGTCTATTAGGTCTACTTGGTGCAGAGCTGAGTTCAATTCCTGGGTATCCTTGTTAACTTTCAGTCTCGTTGAATCTGTCTAATGTTGACAGTGGGGTGTTAAAGTCTCCCATTATTATTGTGTGGGAGTCTAAGTCTCTTTGTAGGTCACTCAGGACTTGCTTTATGAATCTGGGTGCTCCTGTATTGGGTGCATATATATTTAGGATAGGTAGCTCTTCTTGTTGAATTGATCCCTTTACCATTATGTAATGGCCTTCTTTGTCTCTTTTGATCTTTGTTGGTTTCAAGTCTGTTTTATCAGAGACTAGGATTGCAACCCCTGCCTTTTTCTGTTTTCCTTTTGCTTGGTAGATCTTCCTCCATCCCTTTATTTTGAGCCTGTGTGTGTCTCTGCACATGGGTTTCCTGAATACAGCACACTGATGGGTCTTGACTCTTTATCCAATTTGTCAGTCTGTGTCTTTTAATTGGAGCATTTAGCCCATTTACATTTAAAGTTAATATTGTTATGTGTGAATTTGATCCTGTCATTATGATGTTAGCTGGTTATTTTGCTCATTAGTTGATGCAGTTTCTTCCTAGCCTTGATGGTCTTTACAATTTGGCATGTTTTTGCAGTGGCTGGTACTGGTTGTTCCTTTCCATGTTTGGTGCTTCCTTCGGGAGCTCTTGTAGGGCAGGCCTGGTGATGACAAAATCTCTGAGCATTTGCTTGTTTGTAAAGTATTTTATTTCTCCTTCACTTATGAAACTTAGTTTGGCTGGATATGAAATTCTGGATTGAAAATTCTTTTCTTTAAGAATGTTGAATATTGGTCCCCTCTCTCTTCTGGCTTGTAGAGTTTCTGCTGAGAGATCAGCTGTTAGTCTGATGGGCTTCCCTTTGTGGGTAACCCGACCTTTCTCTCTGGCTGCCCTTAACATTTTTTCCTTCATTTCAACTTTGGTGAATCTGACAATTATGTGTCTTGGAGTTGCTCTTCTCGAGGAGTATCTTTGTGGTGTTCTCTGTATTTCCTGAATTTGAATGTTGGCCTGCCTTGCTAGATTGGGGAAGTTCTCCTGGATAATATCCTGCAGAGTGTTTTCCAACTTGGTTCCATTCTCTCCGTCACTTTTAGGTACACCAATCAGACGTAGATTTGGTCTTTTCACATAGTCCCATATTTCTTGGAGGCTTTGTTCATTTCTTTTTATTCTTTTTTCTCTAAACTTCTCTTCTCGCTTCATTTCCTTCATTTTATCTTCCATGGCTGATACCCTTTCTTCCAGTTGATCGTATCAGCCACTGAGGCTTCTGCATTCGTCACGTAGCTCTCGTGCCTTGGTTTTCAGTTCCATCAGGTCCTTTAAGGACTTCTCTGCATTGGTTATTCTAGTTATCCATTCATCTAATTTTTTTTCAAAGCTTTTAACTTCTTTGCCATTGGTTCAAATTTCCTCCTGTAGCTCAGAGTAGTTTGATCGTCTGAAGCCTTCTTCTCTCAACTTGTCAAAGTCATTCTCCATCCAGCTTTGTTCTGTTGCTGATGAGGAGCTGCGTTCCTTTGGAGGAGGAGAGGCGCTCTGCTTTTTAGAGTTTCCAGTTTTTCTGCTGTTTTTTTCCCCATCTTTTTGGTTTTATCTAACTTTGGTCTTTGCTGATGGTAACATACAGATGGGTTTTTGGTGTGGATGTCCTTTCTGTTTGTTAGTTTTCCTTCTAACAGCCAGGACCTTCAGCTACAGGTCTGTTGGAGTTTGCTAGAGGTCCACTCAAGACCCTGTTTGCCTAAGTATCAGCAGCGGTGGCTGCAGAACATCATATATTGGTGAACCGCAAATGCTGCTGCCTGATCGTTCCTCTGGAAGTTTTGTCTCAGAGGAGTACCCAGCCATGTAAGGTGTCAGTCCGTTCCTACTGGGGGGTGCCTCCCAGTTAGGCTACTCGGGGGGTCAGAAACCCACTTGAGGAGGCAGTCTGCCTGTTCTCAGATCTCAAGCTGCGAGCTGGGAGAACAACTACTCTCTTCAAAGCTGTCAGAGAGGGACATTTAAGTCTGCAGAGGTTACTGTTGTCTTTTTGTTTGTCTGTGCTCTGCCCTGAGAGGTGGAGCCTAGAGAGGCAGGCAGGCCTCCTTGAGCTGTGGTGGGCTCCGCCCAGTTCGAGCTTCCCGGCCGCTTTGTTTACCTAATCAAACAACTAACTCGGCAATGGCGGGCACCCCTCTGCCAGCCTTGCTGCCGCCTTACAGTTTGATCTCGGACTGCTGTGCTAGCAATGAGCGAGACTCCATGGGCCTAGGACCCTCTGAGCCAGGTGTGGGATATAATTTCCTGGTGTGCCGTTTTTTAAGCCCGTTGGAAAAGCGCCGTATTCGGGTGCGTGTGACCTGATTTTCCAGGTGCCGTCTGTCTGTCACCCCTTTCTTTGACTAGGAAAGGGAATTCCCTGACCCCTTGCGCTTCCCGGGTAAGGCGATGCCTCACCCTGATTCGGCTCGCGCACGGTGCGCTGCACCCACTCTCCTGTACCTACTGTATGGCACTCCCCAGTGAGATGAACCTGGTACCTCAGTTGGAAATGCAGAAATCACCCGTCTTCTGCGTCGCTCACACTGGGAGCTGTGGACCGGAGCTGTTCCTATTCAGCCATCTTGGCTCCTCCTTCCAAGTGTTACAGTTCTTAAAGGTGAAATGAAGTTTGTTCCTTCTGATGTTCGGATGTGTTCGGAGTTTCTTCTTTCTGGTGGGTTCATGGTCTTGCTGGCCTCAGGAGTGAAGCCGCAGACCTTCACAGTGAGTGTTACAGCTCATAAAGGCATTGTGGACCCAAAGAGTGAGCAGCAGCAACATTTATTGCAAAGAGCAAAAGAACAAAGCTTCCACAGTGGGGAAGGGGACCCCAGTGGCTTGCCACTGCTAGCTCAGGCAGCCTGCTTTTATTCTCTTATCTGGCCCCACCCACATCCTGCTGATTGGTCCATTTTACAGAGAGCCGATTGGTTTGTTTTGACAGGGTGCTGATCGGTCCATTTTGACAGGGTGCTGATTGGTGCGTTTACAATCCCTGAGCTAGACACAAAAGTTCTCCACTTCCCCACTAGATTAGCTAGATGCAGTGTCGATTGGTGTATTTACAAACCTTGAGCTAGACACAGAGTGCTGAATGGTGCATTTACAAACCTTGAGCTAGATACAGAGTGCCGATTGGTGCATTCACAATCCGTTAGCTAGGCATAAAGATTCTCCAAGTCCCCACCAGATTAGCTAGACACAGAGCGCTGATTGGTGCATTTACAAACCTTGAGCTAGACACAGAGTGCTGATTAGTGCATTTACAATCCCTTAGCTAGACATAAAGATTCTCCAAGTCCCCACTAGACTCAGGAGCCCAGCTGGCTTCACCCAGTGGATCTCACACTGGGGCTGCAGGTGGAACTGCCTGCCAGTCCTGCGCCATGGGCCCGCACTCCTCAGCCCTTCCATGGTCGATGGGACCGGGTGTGGTGGAGTAGGGGGTGGTGCTCGTTAGGGAGACTCAGGCCACACAGGAGCCCACGGAGGGGTTGGGGGGGGCGACTCCATCATGGCGGGCTGCAGTTCCCGAGCCCTGCCCCGTGGGGAGGCAGCTAAGGCCCAGCGAGAAATTGAGCGCAGCGCTGGTGGGCCAGCACCGCTGGGGGACCCAGCACACCCTCTGCAGCTGCTGGCCTAGGTGCTAAGCCCCTCACTACCCAGGCTGGCAGGGCTGGCCTGCTGCTCTGAGTGTGGGGCCCACCAAGCCCACACCCACCCGGAACTCTAGCTGGCCCGCAAGTGCCCGCGTAGCCCCAGTTCCCGCCCGTGCCTCTCCCTCCACACCTCCCCACAAGCCGAGGGAGCCAGCTGCGGCCTCGGCCAGCCCAGAGAAGGGCTCCCATGGTGCAGTGGCGGGCTGAAGGGCTCCTCAAGTGCGGCCAGAATGTGTGCCGAGGCCGAGGAGGCACCGAGAGCGAGTGAGGGCTGCCAGGGCTGCCAGCACACTGTCACCTCTCAGTATTTCTTGATGCCTAGGGGTTTAAATAAAGTTTAGTGACAGACTGTTTCATATCTACTACTTCTGCTGCCAGTTTTCTGGCATGATTTGTTTTGGATTCTGAGAGATACAATTACGCAATTATTTCTGGACAACATCCAGCTAGCAATAGCCGGAAGCTAATTTTCCTTTTTTTTTTTCCACACTTGAGAAGCACTTCAAGAAAATCATCAGGAAGAAGTCAATTGTTCTAGGCACAGGGGTTTGTCACTTCACCTGCTAGGGGGGACGACTTTCTCATAGTAATGGAAGAGAGCCTTGGAGTTGAAGGAAGGGGTCTTATTTATATTTTTTCTATTGAGAATCCTAGAATTGCAGAATTTCAGCTGAAGAGCCACTCTCTTTCCTAGCTTTACAAAGTGTCCAACATTACAAAGCAAATCCATGCATGAAACAGAAATATAACAAAGTTTCCTACACATTTCCCTCAGCTATTCAAATCATCCTAACAGAAGGCATAGCATTAAATCTACTAATGCCATAAAGCTTCTTCAGAGTTTTTCAGAAAATTTAGTGTTAATTCCAGGTGGCTATAATTTTATTATTTTTGATGGCTTTCTTACATTAAGTAGGTTGAATGGTGGAATACTTGACAATATGATGCCACAGATAAGCATAAGAACATCTGAAAAGAGAGGCCAGGCACGGTGGCTTATGCCTGTAATCCCACACTTTGGGAGGCCAAGGCGGGCGGATCACGAGGTCAGGAAATGGAGACCATCCTGGCTAACACAGTGAAACCCCATCTCTACTAAAAATACAAAAATAGTCCCAGCTGCTTGGGAGGCTGAGGCAGGAGAATGGCATGAACCCGAGAGGCAGAGCTTGCAGTGAGCCGAGATAGTACCATAGCACTCCAGCCTGGGCAACAGAGTGAGACTTTGTCTCAAAAAAAAAAAAAAATCTGAAAAGAGAATAGGTACTTCGATTGAATCACTTAAAATCGAAGTGAATCTTCATTTCTAAAATGTGTAGAAATTGGTAGAAAGCTTTGTTCCTTTAAGTGCACAGAACCAATAAGATTTACAAAAGGTGTCATGGAGGGACCTGTAAGATTCATTTTAAGTCGACAGTCATCTACGTGGATAGAGGGCACACAGTCAATCTTCTATTACAATGACCAGTAGGTCAGTCTGTTTCCTTCCTCAACTGTATAAGGGCCCTTAGATAATCAAGTATCATTCATCTTTTTTAACCTGAAGTGCCTTAGCCGTTAATATATAAAGAAAATTAAGTGCACTGCTAGAATTAAGGCTTCTAATTGCCTTAACATAGGCACTCGATGATGGCAAAACACTTCCCAGTTCTTCTGAGATGGAGCATATAGTTATTGTGTGTATTACATTGCTTATTGGTTACTTGTAAGATACACTCTTCAGAAATAGGTTCAGCCTATATTACTGGAGTTATCCTCACACGTTAACGAAGAATGACAAGGCATGAAGATAATGTGACATTAAAAATAACAGTGAATTGCACCTTGACTTCCTTATATACGGTGAGAATGGGAAATATGATATAGATTGTTGTGAATATTTTCCTTTTGTCTATTAAAGAGAATTTTAATGATAAAGATAAATATTAATATTTATGTGGTGCTTTTGTACATCTAATTAAATGTTGGGCTTGTAATATATAACAAAACAATTATAAGCACTGCTTCAGAACTTTTATAGCTCTTTTGTATATAGGATTTATAAAGTTACATTTACTGTACTACAGGGTCAAATTTGTAAAAAGGAAAACTGGAATGGCTAAAAGTTAGACAGGTTTCTTTTGGAACTGAGATCAGGTTATCACGACCTATCAGTAAACACCATAATATAAGCAGAATCTCTCCTGGTCCAAGCCACACGCAAATGTGATGTCAACAGAGTCTTAGCTAACAAGTACTTTATTGGTGGTATTTGTTAAAGGTTGAAACTATTTCCAATCTGATACCTATAAATCACTCAGATAGAATTGCATCTCATTAATTTTGGATTGTAGGACAAGCTCAGTCTCAGGAAGTTTATATATTTTAGAGCAAAATCTGTGAAATATACTTTACCTGAATTTCTTAATTTGCAAAACTTTGGACCAACCTTACAGGACATTATGCATTTCTCCACAAGAATGGGAGCCACTGGTGGACAGCGACATTTGTCCCTTGTGGGCACTGTATTTGTCTCTTGCATACTACAGTACTTAGCATGTATAATAAGGGTAGCAGTAATTTCTATTTATTGAACATTTATTTAATGATCAGTCATTACATTAATAATATTAATTGAATAAATTCTGCTTTTTTAATGTAAGCATGGCTCTAGACATTTTAAACACATTACAGTATTTAATGCTTGCAACATCTTTGCAAGGCGGATTCGTTATCTCCATTTTAAAGGAGAGAATTAGACTCAGGGAGGCATAGGTGTCTAACTAGAAGATATTAGAGCCAAATTTCAAGGAGAAGACCTGTCAGATTCTTCTAGGTCTGCTACCTTTCTTCATTAGGGTCTGCACTCAATACATGTTGGATAAATAAATGTTCTTAAAATATAGTATTTATAAATTATATGATAATTGTCTGGTCTGCATTTAATTTTAAGGAACTAATGGGCATTCAAACTTAAGCTACTGGCATGTTCTGAGATGGACATTTTGATTCTAATATGAGTAAGCATCCGGGTATTACATTCATTTACAAGCTTTGGATATGTTCTAGCGATTCTGATACACCTTGTTTGCTCACACACCCCTCCTCCACAGCACATTGATTTGCCCCCTTACACCTACGAGCGAGGGGACTCCTTCTTGCTTACATAAGGTACCTTCTTTTTAGAGTAGCACTATGATAAACACATGTTCAACTGCAGTCATTTTGGGCAAGACTTTGGGTTTAAAAGTATGATGAATTGACGTAATTCTCATTATAATTACAAAGTGCAAACTACACAAACTCCTCTTGATCTCTCTAGGCAAACACTTTTGCTAAACACTCTCTTGGGGGTCTCATTACCATAGGAAAGACTGCCTGGGACAGTTTGCAAACTGTCATTGACCACCAACCTTGAATGAAGTGTGAAGGCAAACAAAGAGGAAGTGATCATGTGTTATGTAAAAATAATTTAGAATATTTTTAACAGGTCTTTATCTTAAGAAGGGTTGAATAAAGCAATGATCAAAGACGAACAATTTTTAACTTTTACATATTGTTCTCTATGCCAGGAAATGTTCAAAGTGGCCTACTTGAGTTTTCTCATTTAATCCTTCTATGAGATAGGCGCTATTAATTTCATCTTACAGATGAAGACACTGAGCAGGCAGTGCCTTGCCAAGGGTCACACCCTTAGCAAGGAGTGATGGCAGGATTCAAACCAACATCTATCAAACTGCAAGGTCCACATCTGTAACTTCCCAAACTGCTTCTGAGAAATCTTCATTGTCTCAAGGATTGAGAAACCTTGACACAGTATAGGATGTCTGTGAACATCTAAAACTTCACATGTTCACAATAGACCCTTTCCTCTCCCACCCCACATCCACCCTGATTTTCCCTCTCCCTCTCTCGCTCCCTCCCTCCCTCTCTCTCTCTCTCCTTTTCTTTTTTCTTCTCTTCCCTTTTCTTTTCTCTTCTTTCTTCTACCAGGACAACAATTCACATGGTCACGAAGCTGGAAATGTTGACATCTCTCAACTGCTCTTAGTATTTAATTAGTTGCACAGCTCTGTGGCTTCTCCTGTGCATTGTGCCTTGAGTCTATCTCTCACTTTTCCTGTCTATTCCTATGACTTGATCTCAGTGCTCATTGCTTCTCATCTGGAAAATTGACGTCATTTTCTTACTAGTTCTCCTACCTCCTTTATTATTATTATTATTTTGGTCCATCCTATCATTATGCCAATATTCATCCTAAAGCTAAGCTATGATAATTCCTCTCCTCTGAGTTTTAAAAACAAGTCTTTATGTCTTCTGTATATGGAATTATGTCCAAATTTCTCACTTGAGGTTGTGGGGAGATGAATTGAGATCTTATTCCCTACTGCTATCGGGAAAGATGTGAGGATTTTTTCAACCAGAGAGAGCCATTATCCACTAAGGTTGTGGCCCTTACATTCAAGCAGCCACAGGAAGTAGTCACATGCTTGTTATCACAATGAGTCCCAGGTTGCTATTTCACAAGCAATGCAATCAAAGCCATGTTGCAAAGAGAAGTATGACTTCCCCATAGGAGATTAAATTGTGTTGTTTGGAAAAGAAAATTAATGTTTGCTCTAGTGAGATTTGTTTGCCTTTAGGTAACCTGGGAGGCTGACAGCAGTAGCCTTTGCTGCTTCAGCTTCTTCCTCACCTCAAGAGACCAGAACCCACCTATCCCAGTTGAGAGCCTGAAACTCCTAAGCAAAGGAAGGGCTGCGTTACTCTATTTGATTGAAGATTGAGGTTTCCATGACAAATACAAGATGCAGCTGTTTCCCTACAGGGAAAGGGGTGGAGTTTTAAGAGTGAAGGGGATTGAGATTCCAGATGTTGAGAGTAAGATTAAAAAGGGATTATGGGATGATTGTGAGAGGGATTTAAAAGATAAACCACAGTTGGGAATGAGAGGAACACCTCCTTCTCTATCACTCTCTGTAAGTATAAGCTTTTATTTTGATGTTTCTTTTCTTTCCTTTTCCTCCCCTTTCTTCCTATCTGCCTCCTCCTTCTCCCCCTCTTCATTTTTCATGGAATTCTAAGAATTGTATGGAATCAATATAATCTATGGAATCCATATGTTTCAACCACACTGTAAAGTATTCTTCTCCTCCTCTTCCTTCTACACTTCCTCCTCTTCTCCTCCTTCTCTCATCCTCCTCCTCTTCTCCTTCTCTTTCATCCCCCTCCTCTCCTCCTCTCCTCCTCCACGTCTTCATAAATCAGTTTGATTATTGTCTGTCTCCCTCTATTAAAATGTAAGCTCCACAAGGACAAATAACTTTACATTATTCACTGCCTCTTCCTAAAGCCTAGAATAGAGCCTGGAATAAATTGAGTGCTCCATAAATATATGTAGAATGAATGAAGGTTGGTCATGTGAAGCTCAGATATCTAAGACAGGTCTCAGTTAATTTAGAAAGTTTATTTTGCCAAGGTTGAGGACACACACCCATGAAACAGCCTCATGAGGTCCTGAAGGCAAGTGCCCAAGGTAGTCAGAGCACAACTTGGTTTCATACATTTTAAGGAGACATGAGACATCAATCAATGCATATATGATGAACATTGGTTTGGTCCGGAAAAGCATGACTACTCAAAGTGGGGAGGGGGTTTCCACGTTATAGGTATGTGAGAGACCAATGGCTGTATTCTTTTGAGTTTCTGATTAGCCTTTCCAAAGGAGGGATCAGATATGCATTTATCTCAGTAAGCAGAGGGGTGACTTTGAATAAAATGGGAGGCAGGTTTGCCCTCAGCAGTTCCCAGCTTGACTTTTGCCTTTAGCTTATTGATTTGGGGGCCCAAAGATTTATTTGCCTTTCACATTTCCCCCCTTTTCTTTTAAAAAGTCTTTTGGAGAAAACATTTTAGAAGAAAATGAGTCTCTGGTCTCAGGTTTCATCTTCTCTCTTATGACTAAGTTGGTTTAGTCCTAGATGGGTAGGTTCTGAGTTATTAGAAAGCTCATTTTTAGCAGGTTGTGAAGTCTCATGTCCTGTGAAGAGAAAATACTGGAAGGAAGGGAGAAAAACAACAACAAACAAAAGAACAATCCTGGAAAATTGATATAGGCCACATTACTCTGAAGTCCATTATATCAGTAGGCAGGTGTGAAAGTGGCTTATATATGTAAATGCTGTTATTTTCTGCTGAAGTGTAAGTTGTTTAGCTTCAGTTTGCAGGGCTTTAAGAAAGCACAGCTTAGTTTTCAGTGATTTCAGTTTAGGTAAAAAATTGGAGAAAAAGGAAAAGAAAAGAAAAAAATTTAAAACATTATTTTGGAGACTTGTAGACTGGAAAAAATTAGAATTTGGTCCAAACTGTATAAAATAATAAAAATTGAAAAACATTAGGCAAAACTAGAATCTAACAACTGGTGTACTATAGTTTTTGAAACACAATTTTTCTCTCTGCAGTTTCCCATTTTTACTAAAGACAAATCATGATAGAACTGATTTGCTTTGTTATACTTGGCCATATTATTTGTATAAAGTACAGCAAGAATAATTATTTTCACATAGGCTTTTAGAATTGGCTTTAATGGAACTTTGTTTCATAAAAGGAACCTCAGATAAGACTTTTTTAAAGCTGAGCCCAGCCATGGATTTGTACCATCAAACACCTATGAGTGGGGTGAATTCCTCTCCTCTTGAGGTCCCAAGATAAACTTGGGGGCTCCAAGGCCTGTCAGAAAGTTGCATTCTTTGCTTACCACAGGTCATGAACCCTGTGCAGGGACTGTGTAGACAAGGTATGAGGCCAGTTTTTCCAAGGGGCTTTTATTGGTTGCATAAGTCAAGTTTGACTCCTTAAAGGAAAGCATGCCATTCCAGTCAAAGCCTTGGTAAAATAACCAGTTTCTCCAGTTGTGTCCTGTTACAAATGAAAACAGATTCTTATTGCACTTATGCAAATAACTGTATTGTCGTAAGTTAAGAATACTCAAAAATATTTTCCAAATTCTGGAGAAATCAGGTAGAGAGAAATAAATATGCTCCAATTTTTGTTCATAGGAGTATACTAAATTGTTAAAAGCTGTCAATAGCTCAAAGAAAAGTTGCCTTGACTCTGAAAAACAAAACAAAGGGTCAGCAATGTTTTAAGCAAAAAGTCAAAGAGATTAATTCCATCTTCTGTTAGTTCAGTCCATGCAGTTAATTCCTGTTCTGCTTGATATTCATGAACATTTCAGCTCTCCATGAGTCCTGAATGTTTTTTCCTCTATTCTGATACCACAATCTCCAAAGTTATTGGAAACCTGCATTCAAGAGAGCCTGTTAGAGTTTTATAGCTGATTATAAAACCACCTTCTAAGGAGGATCAAAACAAAGCAGCAATTTTCTGTGGATGACAAAAGGTTTTAGGGCAGCCATAGTCAAAGACACAATTGACAAGGAAATTTGTTACCTCTGTGGCACACAATAATTTAACATAACAATTGTAATTTTTACCGATAATGTACACTAGGTCATATCAGAATTATAGGAGTTTCCCATGATTTTGGAACACATACCAATAGCATATTTATACAAATACAGCCCAAAGAAAACCAAATACCATTTCATATTTGACAATGCTTCCTGTAATTTTTACGCCAAATAAGCCAAATTATGTCCTTTTTGGACTTTAGGGAACCTAATGTCTTAAAGGATTACTTAGGTCAGAAAAAAATATAATTTATAATTTGATTTTGGAAGGTTTGTTAAATATCAAGGGTTTAAAATACTTGATATCACAAAACAGAATCACAGGTCATTGTAAAATAAGTCATTTATACAAAAGTGATAACTCAAGGATTTCAAAAAAAGGAGAACACCTTTATTCTTTCAGAGAGACTTAATTTTCCAAACAGCATGAAGCCAACGAAATTTGTTTTTCAAAATTTTATAAATAATCTATAAAATTTTAATCTTGACCACAAGATATAACTTCCATAAGCCTTTTATAATCTTTATAACCTTTATTAAGAAATTGGTTAATGCTTCAAGAAAACCTTGTCAGTCAGACACAGTGGCCCATATGCTGGTCTTGCATCAGTGTGCCTTTGACATTAATGATTAATTTATAGAGAAACTGAACTTATTTTATCTTTCAAAATCAGCCATAACAATCTCACATGCCCACCTCTTCCATGATAGTCCCTGGGCCATGAAGAGTTGAATAGCTTTAATTTCTGGCCCTGTGTCTCAGGAATGCAGTTTGATTGGCATTTTCTACCAGACCTGAGGATGAGGCTTTAATTGCTGTTAGTGTTTAAGATTTAGCAGGAATTGGTGTCTGTTTTAGAATGAAAGCCCAGTAACTCAATGTCACAAGGACTTTAAAAGCACATACCAAAAGATACATGGATGTAATAACCTTAATTAAAAAAAATGTTTTAATCTAAGTTTTTTCCTAAGCAAACCAAAACTTAATAATAATGGTATAGGAATTGTTTTGATAAAATGTAAAATCTGTTAGGCCAGTTACGAAAAGGCAAAAGAAAAGACTTTCTTCAATCCACAGAATATTATGTTGGAAGAAAATAGTTCCTTTAGACCTTTAAGAAAACATTGTTAACATCAGGCCCCAACAAACAGAGCTCATGGAAAAAAACTTATATGAGCTGACAATGAGTTGAAGGAGAGCATAACCATTTAGCACTCTTTAAAAGGAGAGAGAAAACAAACAATGGTGAGATGCTATAAAAGTTGAACTTCGGGTTAAAAAAATGAAAATGTCTTATAATTTATTAAATCAATTGCTTACGAAAATTTCATTGTTCTAACCAATTATTTAGTGTATAAATTTTTTTTACATCAAGCCCAATCTCTAGATAGTCCATTATCATTTCTTTTTAATTATAGACAACTTTATCACATACAAGTTTTTTTTTTAAATCCTATTATTGTGACTTACACAGATCATTCATGACATGCCTGGACTTTCTCGTCTGTCCTGAACATTCCTCTTTCTTAAACAACCAGTCATTTTATTCTAGGACAAAATTTACCATACAAGATTCTTTCTCATATAAAATTATTTCTCTTTAAGCTTTCTTATTTAAAAAAACCTCTTTTTTTTTTTTTGGAGATGGAGTCTCACTCTGTCACCCAGGCTGGAGTGCAGTGGTGCGAGCTTGGCTCACTGCAAGCTCCACTTCCCAGGTTCATGCCATTCTCTTGCCTCAGGCTCCCAAGTAGCTGGGACTACAGGTACCTACCACCACGCTTGGCTAATTTTTTGTATTTTTAGTAGAGATGGCATTTCACTGTGTTAGCCAGGATGGTATCAGTCTCCTGACCTTGTGGTCTGCCCGCCTAGGCCTCCCAAAGTGCTGGGATTACAGGCATGAGCCACTATGCCCGGCCACCTCTTTATTTCTATAACTTTATTCATATCTCTCTTACTTCCTGGTTCTTTTTACCTTGTTTTATACATAATCTTTAAATAAACTTTGAATTAGACAAAAATTATTCACCTTTTTAAAAAGAACACACTTTTTTTAAAGAATGTTTTCCAACAGTATATTTTTATTGGGAAATACCCGAATAATGAAATATCTGTTAGGTAATTTAATATAACTTTAGATTCTAAATTATGACAAGTTTGTCTACAAGTATTTATTCCATTACACTTACCTAATTATTTTAATCACTTACTGAGATTATTTATGAAAACTGAAAGTCATAATTTAAAGTTATGAAACCACCATTGCAAAATTATAACTGAGACCATGAAAAAGATCTGACCTAACTGATTCTATCTTGCTTCTAACCTTCCAGCTCCTTGTTCATTCCCAGACATAGGCCAAACTAACTTTCGGAGGAACTTTGTTTATAGGTTAGCTTTGAAACAAGTGTTAACAGTCCTTTTTCAAAACAAACTTCCTTCCTGCATGTGGACTAGACTGCCTAAAGCCACAAGATTAGAAGTTACGGTAGTCTTACTAAATTCAAGATGTAGCTATTTTTATTAAACCAATGTCAATGTCTTATTTATTAAAACATTACATAAATGAAGATCATTCTGTTTTGGGCTGGGTTTATAGTTTTGTAACCCTTATGCCAAATTTTGACATGTTATAGTGTGTCCAGAATTGGTGGGTTCTTGGTCTCACTGACTTCAAGAATGAAGCTGCGTACCCTTGCGGTGAGTGTTACAGTTCTTAAAGATAGTGTGTCTGGAGTTTGTTCCTTCTGATGTTTGGATGTGTTCAGCGTTTCTTCCTTCTGGTGGGTTCATGGTCTTGCTGGCTTCAGGAGTGAAGCTGCAGACTTCCGTGGTGAGTGTTGCAGCATTTAATGCGGCGTGTCGGGAGTTGTTTGCTCCTCCCATCTGGAGTTGTTCATTCCTCCTGGTGGGTTCGTGGTCTCACTGGCCTCAGGAGTGAAGCTGCAGACCTTTGCGGTGAGTGTTACAGCTCATAAAGGCAGTGTGGACCCAAAGAGTGAGCAGCAGCAAGATTTATTGCAAAGAGCAAAAGAACAAAGCTTCCACAGCATGGAAGGGGACCCGAGCAGGTTGCCGCTGCTGGCTCGGGCAGCCTGCTTTTATTCCTTTATCTGGCCCCACCCACATCCTGCTGATTGGTCCATTTTACAGAGAGCCGATTGGTCCATTTTACAGAGAGTTGATTGGTCCATTTTGACAGGGTGCTGATTGGTGTGTTTAAAATACCTGAGCTAGACATAAAAGTTCTCCAAGTCCCCACCAGATTAGCTAGGTACAGAGTGCTGACTGGTGCATCCACAAACCCTGAGCTAGACACAGAGGGCTGATTGGTGCATTTACAATCCTCCAGGTAGACATGAAAGTTCTCCAAGTCCCCACGCAACTCAGGAGCCCAGCTGGCTTTGCCTAGTGGATCCCACGCCAGGGCCGCGGGCGAAGCTGCCCGCCAGTCCCACGCCATGTGCCCGCACTCCTCACCCTTGGGTGGTTGATGGGACTGGGCTCCACGGAGCAGGGGGCTGCACCCGTCGGGGAGGCTTGAGCTGCGCAGGAGCCCATGGGGTGTGGCGGGGGGCTCAAGCATGGCAGGCTGCAGGTCCTGAGCCCTGCCTCGTGGGGAGGCAGCTGAGGCCCAGTGAGAATTCAAGCACGGTGCTGGCAGGCTGGCACTGCTGGAGGACCTGGTGCACCCTCCACAGCTGCTGGCCCGGGTGCTAAGCCCCTCACTGCCCGGGGCCGGCGGCACTGGACAGCTGCTCCGAGTGCGGGGCCCGCTGAGCCCGCGCCCACCTGGAATTCACGCTGGCCTGTGAGCGCCAGACACAGCCCCAGTTCCCATCCACACCTCTCCCTCCACACCTCCCCACAAGCAGAGGGACCGGCTCTGGCCTTGGCCAGCCCAGAGAGGGGCTCCCACAGTACAGTGGCAGGCTGAAGGGCTCCTCAAGCGTGGCCAGAGTGGATGTCGAGGCCGAGGAGGCGCCGAGAGCAAGCGAGGGCTGCTAGCACGTTGTCACCTCTCAATAGTATTTGGCAGGGATAAATATGAAGTTACTTGATCAATAAAAGCAAACAAAAATGTATGCTGGCAATTCTTAAGACATTTCTAATATTACTTTACCAATACTTTTAAAATTAGCTTATTTATTAAAGATTTTACTTAAGTCACATAAACTTGAAAAAACATTTGATTAGTCTTTTCTTTTTTCCTGATAAAGAATGTGATTCAAGTGCTTTTATTTTTCTCAAGCCAATTAATTAGAGCTCTTTTATGTATTTTCAGTAGTGAAACATTGTGTACACAACACATAAATACATAGTTGTATCAGTCATACTGATAAAAGTACATTTTATAGATCCCTAAGACCTCTTTTTTTTCCTATCTTTGATTTGCAAACTCTTGTTAACCTGTTTTATTACCCTTGCAGTTGTTGGCTAAATAGTCCTAAATCTGTATATTGAAGGAAACAACTCTTAGATGAGAAATCAGATAGCAAAATTTACATCTCAAGATACAGAGATAAATAATCTGCTGGTGTAGAAGGAGATTAAAGATGGATGCCAAATCAAACATAAAATTACAGAAATCTATCACAGGATTGTACAAGGAGGCCAGTTTTATTTAGATAAGGACTACTTATCTTTTAACTGGATCTCTGAGCTCTGGGCATGGCCCACACTAAATCTTGGGTCTCTAAAAAGGGAGAATTCTTATGAGGCTAGACCATGTGATGCTTTTACAGTGCACTTAAAAAAATTTTTCTAACAAAGACATTTTTAAGTGTCTAAATGACATTCTTCCTTAAAAAACCAAGGGTAGGCTGGGCCCAGTGGTTCTGGCCGGGCACAGTGGCTCACACCTGTAATCCCAGCAATTTGGGAGGCCGAGGTGGGTGGATTACCTGTGGTCACGAGTTGAAGACCAGCCTGGCCAACATGATGAAACCCCATCTCTACTAAAAGTACAAAAATTTAGCCAGGCGTGGTGGTGGGTGCCTGTAATCCCAGCTACTCAGGAGGCTGAGGCAGGAGAATCTCTTGAACCCGGGAGGTGGAGGTTGCAGTGAGCCAAGATTGTGCCACTGCACTCCAGCCTGGGCAACAAGAGTGAAACTCCATCTCAAAAACAAAACAAAAAAACCCAAGAGTAGCCTCTGTTGCAATAACTATTTTAGTCAAAAAATCAGGCAACACAATACAAAATCAAGCAGTTTAAGAGCTGTGACAAACTTGTCTGTTTACACTCTTACGGTTCCATAAGGAAAAACAGGTTTCTCTCCCAAAAGGAGTCTGGTGCCTTCCTCATTTTCTTTAAGGAATTCCAGCCTATTATAAACTATTTTAGGTCCCTCATGCAGCAGAGGGTGCAAGAGAAAGGAGAGACAGCAGAAGTAAATGAAGAAAGCAGAATTCAGTCAACTGAGAAGAAAAAAACTTTTGTTCAAAAAAAAAGACAAGGTCCTAGGAGAGAAAGAAAACAAAAATATGAAAGCCTTTTAAATACAAACACACACACGTGCGCGCGCGCACACACACACACACACACACACACACATCTTGATGTTAGCTTTTAATTAAGCTGACTTTTAACCATTGAGCTCCTTAAAAAAAATCCTTTAAAATCTCTTTACCATATTTCAGCTAGGACAAACAGCTGCTATTTCAGAACTGCAAAGTATCAAACTAGAAAGGGCTTGATTTAGGAACAAAACCCAGGCTATGGTGGTGGAAACAAAGAAAGCAGAACCTTAGCTATCAAACTGCAGCGTGGGGTGATAGCCATTGCTCTTTCAGTTTGGCCTGGCTAGCAAAAAGTCGCCTTGTTTTATAAATAAAGCCCTTTAAGTAGTCAAAATAAAAAAAATTTCCTTTTTTTTTTTTTTTTTAGCTTTCGATAGCGGTTTTTCTCCTCCCCCAACCACACTACCTTTTGTGTGTGTGTGTTGGGGGTGGGGTGGGGGGGCAGAATTTAGCCACTTCAGAGGACTTGTTCCCCGTAATTTGGAACTTTCCTTTGGCTTTCATCAAGTGGGATAGAGTTGTTCAAACCCAGTGGAAAATAAGACCAAAACAACAACAAAAACAGAAAGAAACAACAAAAAAATTAAGGAAAATAAATGATAGCACAACTTACTTAGTGCTCTAATGATAAGGAGAAATTAAGACCAGCTCGTTGTTAATTTTAACTTTAGCTGAGACAAACCCCAATTCATCTACTTATCTAGCGATGGGTCTCAGGCTGAAGACTGCTCTCTACCATCCTAGAAGCAGGAAAAAATTCAAACTTGTCTTTCCTGTTGGAAGCAAGCCCAAACTCAATAAAGGAATTACCTGCCTTCCATCATCAGGGAAGCAGGAAAACTTGCCTTCCTTGTGTTAGAAGCAAGTAATGTCCAAAAAAAGGAGTTGAATGGCAAAATTAACTTTATATCTCAATCAAATTTTGGGAGATCAGAGATTCTCTGGAGGTGGTGCTTCCAGGCCTCAGCAAATTTTCCTATTGGTTTGAGCCATAGAGATAGCTCAAAGGCCAGGCACGGTGGCTCACGCCTGTAATCCCAGCACATTGGGAAGCCGAGGTGGGCAGATCACGAGCTCAGGAGTTCGAGACCAGCCTGACCAACATAGTGAAACCCTGCCTCTACTAAAAATACAAAAACTAGCTGGGCGTGGTGGCACTTGCCTGTAGTCCCAGCCACTCGGGAGGCTGAGGTAAGAGAATTGCTTGAACCCAGGAGGTGGAGGTTGCAGTGAGCCAAGCTCACGCCATTGCACTCCAGACTGGGCAACAGCAAGACTCCATCTCAAAATAAATAAATAAATAAATAAAAGATAGCTCAAGTTGGCGCCAAGCACTCACAGATTTATCAAAGGTCAGGAGCACCTCCACTTAGTATCCCTTTGTGGTTACCAAAATGTGAACCCCAAATATCTAAAACAGGTCTCAGTTAATTTAGAAAGTTTATTTTGCCAAGGTTGAGTGTGCACGCCTGTGTCACAGCCTCAGGAGGTCCTGATGACATGCAGCCAAGGCGGTCAGAGCACAGCTTGATTTTATACGTTTTAGGGAGACGTGAGACGTCAATCAACATATGTAAGATGAACATTGCTTCGGTCTGCAAAGGCAGGACAACTCAAGGTGGCGGGGGGGATTTCCAGGTTACAGGTAGGTGAGAGACAACCAGTTGCATTCTTTCCAGTTTCTGATTAGCCTCTCCAAAGGAAGCAGTCAGATATGCATTTATCTCAGTTAGCAGAAGGGTGACTGAATAGAATGGGAGGCAGGTTTGACCTAAGCAGTTCCCAGCTTGACTTTTCCCTTTAGCTTAGTGATTTTGCGGCCCCAAGATTTATTTTCCTTTCACAGTCAGAAAGAAGGAAGGCATAGCAAAACTTCGGAAGGCACAATCCATCATGTCTTCTCCATCCTGTGCACTATAAGGGGCCAAGGACTTCGTCCTTCTACAATATTCTGCTTTGAGAAGTTACCTGATCTTTTAGAAAGTGAACTGCTTTCACATGGATGGATCTCACAAATTAAATGTAGAGCAAAAGAAGTAAGACAGAAGGGAATTAATGTAATATGATTTCATTTAGATGAAGTTAAAAAGACAAAACTCTGTTGTCAAAAGATGTCACTATGGTTGGTAAGACTATTTTCTTAAAACAGCAAAGAAATGATTATCACAAATTTCAGAATAATGAGAATAGAAAAGAAAGTGTGATTGGCTGGGCTATTTCTCAGCCAGTATATACCCACCCAGCTCTAGAGGTTGCTATCAGTTGGTGCTATTCTGACCTTTCCAGGAACTTGAAAGTATCTTGAATAATTCCCCTAGTAATTTGGAAAGTTCTTATTATTACATAACAAACCACCCTAAAACTTAGTCATGTAAAAACAAACATTTTCTTAAGCTCACAGACTCCGAGTTGAGAATCCAGGCAGGGTACGGTAGGGACGGCTTGCCTGTGCTCCACAATGTCTGGGATCTCAACGGAAAGCCATGAAGGCCAAGAGTGCCCGGAGGCATCTTCATTCACAACTGTAGCTGGGATCTCAGCTATGCTTTTGGCTGAAACACTTACATGTGGCCTTTCTACTTGCCCTGGTGATAGGGACAGGAGGCAGAGAAATTCTAGGCAGGAAAAGGGCAGGGGTCCTGGTGAAGCCCCACTCTCAAGCCTGGAAACTGCAGCCCAATATGAGAACATCTTGTTTTCCCACTTGAATGTTGTCTTTTCCAAAACCACCCCTGGCCCACCCCACTTCCCATCCTGTACTCATAAAAACCCCAGGCTCCACTGGCAGAGAGTAGAGAAGGGGAGAAGAGAAGAAGCAGCTGAAGGTCAGAGAGAAGTAGGATGACTTCACAGGGACAGCTTAATGGTGGGACTTTGGAGAAAAGTCCAGCAGGAGATGGCTAGACTTCCGGGGAAGAATACCTTCCTGCTCCATCCCCTTTCCAGCTGAGAGCCACTTAAAAGCCTCTGTATTCACTGCCCTTCAATTCATTTGGGCAACCTGATTTTTCTTGGATGCTGGACAAGAGCTTGGGATATAGAAAGCTGTCTCACCGACTCTCTGCCCTCATGAAAAGGTAGAGGGTCTGACCTGTTCAACACTTAAGCTATCCACGAATGGCAGAGCTAAAAGAGTGCACTGCAACACACACCCCTCTGGGGCTTTGGGGGTTGTGGGTAATTCCCCCCTAGATGCTGCGTGTGGAGCTGCACGGAGTTTCCACTTGTCCTGGTTCCTGCACCTGCTCACCTGCATGCTCCCCCTCCTGCAAGGGGTTGAGAGTTGTGGGCTGAGTAAGCCAGGCACCCCTGTTGCAAGGCCCACGGGGGCGTCAAAGGAAATTTCCTGTTTCACTGGGAATTTTTTTTTTTTTTTTGAGATGGAGTTTTGCTCTTTTCCAGGCTGGAGTGCAGTGGCATGATCTCGGCTCACTGCAGCCTCCACCTCCCAGGTTCAAGTGATTCTCCTGCCTCAGCCTCCCAAGTAGCTGGGATTACAGATGCCTGCCACCACACCTGGCTAATTTTTTGTATTTTTAGTAGAGATGGGGTTTCACCATGTCGGCCAGGCTGGTCTCGAACTCCTGACCGCAGGTGATCCACCCACCTCGGCCTTCCAAAGTGCTGGGACTACAGGGATGAGCCACCGTGCCCAGCCTCACTGGGATTATTCACAGCATGATGCCTGTGTTCAAGATCAAGTGGCCCAACAAGCAGGAGTGGAAGCTTCAGGCCTGGACCTGGAAACTCATAAAGCACCACCTTACCATATTCTATTGATCAAGCAGTCACAGACCTCAGGTACAAGAGAAAGGGGTATAGATTCCACCTTGTAATTGGCAACGGTGTCAAAAAATTTGGAAGCGTACTTCAATGCCGCCACAAAAAGAGTGCGTGGGGGTTTCTGGGAGCTACAATTTTCTATTACATAGGGAATAATTATACAGGTGTTTACTTTATAACTATGCTTTAAACTCTACATATGTGTTTATGAACACTTCCGTGTGTATAACCAAAAAAAAAATTAATGCTTAAACCTCTGTGGGAGCTTTGAGTGTGTTGATTTGGGGAAGATGAGCATTGCTGGATTTGGAAGAAGGTCACAGTTGCTTCCTGATAACTCCCAGGGATCTGACAAGATAGGTCTTATAAGGGAAGGGTAGGTGCTAGTTCTCCCCTGTGAACCATTAGGTGGAGGAACTATTTATCGGCAGACAAGCCTATAAGTTTGCAAAGCCATAAGGCTGATTTCTCTGATCCCCACTAGTGAGGAAGAGATACAAATACCACAGAACAAAGTGAGAACCCCTGACACATCCAGATTACATGGAATTCCAACACAATCCCAGCCTTTTCCAGCATGTTCCAAGTCAATCATATATTTCAGCCATACTGTAAAAGTATTACCCTCAACTTTGCTTTCCATTTTCCAACTTTAGTACCTTTTGTTACTATGCTCTTTTCTCAATTTGCCATGGCCTCTCCAGCCCCTGTCTTCACCAGGCAATGTATTTCAAGTTTCTGGTCAAATGCTGTCTTCTTCATAAAGACAATCCTCGCCTTTCCCCAAAGGTTATTTCTTCTGCCTCTCTTTCTTTCTCTCTCTTAAACCACCATAATACTTTCTCTGAACCCTCTTTTTGGGATCTTACATTTTTGTTACATACATATTGTGGCTCCTTGTCTTCTTGCCTTAGCCCACCTACTTGGCCATTATTATAAACACTATTGTTGAGTAAGTGAAAAACAATCATTTAAAGTAACAATTTTCCAGCTTTCCATCCTGAGGAGCTTTGACTTGTTAAGTTTCTTGGGAATTATTTAATGCATGTTCTACTTGTTTCAATGTCCCAACACTATCCCCCACCGTATAACAGTCTGGAGAGAAAAGCATCAGACAAAATCGCTTGGTAACTCAGAACAAAGAGTTAGAACCCTCGGTAGCTGAGAGTGATTGGTCTATTCTGTTGATTATCTCACTGATTGCCAGGAAAAATATGCCTGGTCTGATTGACCAGGCACGTCCCTCCTTCTTCCTCACTTTCTCACGTTTGTTTTCTTTTTTTTTTTTTTTTTTTTTGAGAAGGAGTCTTGCTCTGTTGCCCAGGCTGGAGTGCAGTGGCGCGATCTCGGCTCACTGCAAGCTCCGCCTCCCAGGTTCACGCCATTCTCCTGCCTCAGCCTCCCGAGTAGCTGGGACTACAGGCGCCCACCACCGTGCCTGGCTAATTTTTTGTATTTTTAGTAGAGACGGGGTTTCACTGTGGTCTTGATCTCCTGACCTCGTGATCCGCCTGCCTCGGCCTCCAAAAGTGCTGGGATTACAGGTGTAAGCCACCAAGCCCGGCTATATTTATTTATTTATTTATTTATTTATTTATTTATTTATTTATTGAGATGGAGCCTCGCTCTGTCGCCCAGGCTGGAGTGCAGTGGCGCAATCTCGGCTCACTGCAACCTCCACCTCCCAGGTTCACACCATTCTCCTGCCTCAGCCTCCCGAGTAGCTGGGACTACAGGCGCCTGCCACCACACCTGGCTAATTTTTTTGTATTTTTACTAGAGACGGGGTTTCACTGTGTTAGCCAAGATGGTCTTGATCTCCTGACCTCGTGATCCACCCTCCTCAGCCTCCCAAAGTCCTGGGATTACAGGCCTGAGCCACCGCGCCCAGCCTCATGTTTGTTTTCTTAAAGCTTTTCCCTTGGCCAGGGAGGATGGACTTCTCAGGAAGAGAAATCAGAAACAAGTTGGATACACAGTCCATACAGAAAAGAGCATTTTATCTATAAACAAACCCTATAGGGGTCTGTTCCCTTCCTCCTCCTGATGTTCTTAGAATCACCTAAGTGGAAAGAAAGAGGATCTCTAGCATGAAAAAGGAGAAAAAATGAGATGTCAGTGAAAACAATCCACTAATAATGGTATAAATATAAGACATTTACCTCAATTCCTACAGCTTTATTTTTCTTTCTTTTTGGAGTTAGAGAAGTAGAGATACATCCCCTGGAGGAAAGGAACTTTAGAATTAAAATTAACATGTCATTTTTCTACTTCTTTATTATTCCTCAAAACTTCTGTTTTTTCTGGTTAGGCACAGTGGCTCATGCTTGTAATCCTATCAGGAGGATCGCTTGAGGCCAGGAGTTTCAGAGCAGCCTGGCAACATAGTGAGACCTCATCTTTACAAAACAAAACAAAACAAGAAAAACCTTTGACTTTTTTCTATATTCTCCATTATGATTATAGCTACACCCAACTAATTTCCCAAGATGGAAGCTGAGAGTTACCTTTGACTCTTCCTGTGTTCATCCCCCAGGTTCGATCAATTTCTAAGACTTGTCAAATCCACCTCCTGCATGTATGTATATTTCCACCACCTAGCATAGTGTCAGCATCCTAGTACAACATAGTAGCAATCTATGGAACAAAAGAGACAGAAGTGGGGGTGGGGGGGAGAGAGAGAGATTGGAAATTGAGAGCCTTGGATATCAAGCTCTTAGCCAACGACTACAGGGCTAATTAATGGCTGAGCTAGGTCTTGAATCAAGGTCTCTTAAATGCCAATCTAGTTCATTGATTCCCTCTTGTTGCATTTTATCCTCTTCATCTACAAGTATTTTGGTTTTCAGGTAAGCAGGAACAAAACAGGAGGCATTATTATATCTCACATCATTCTTTTACTAGTTAAAATTCAAAGCTGGAGAGGGCATTTGATCTATCTTCATTTGCCTAAGAACTTCCACCACCCACCAGCCTCTGTCTCAGGCAACGCTTGGTCAAGGTGAGGAAAGAACAGATGCACCAAAAATATATTAAAGGAAACACGTCAGCTGAAACATTAAGAAATGATAATTTTAATAGGCAGGAGGAATGGTTTCTCCTAAATAAACTGCTCAAAGAAAAGTAGGTGAGGTTAGACAGAGTGACACCCACGTGCTGGAATTTCAGACCTTCAAACAAGGCAGTTTGTTGTTTCGATTATATAAGGCATCACTGTAATTCTTTATGAAACAAAGGCTAGGGCTGATCAGTCTTCACACTGGAGCGATGTTGACAGGCTCGCTGACAGACCTGGCTCTCCCTTCAGTGCAGAGCACAGACACATTCTCAAAGTAGTATCTGCAGTAAAGACCACAGTGGTGGAAAAAGATTCAGAAGAATCAAATGGCGTAGACTGACTATGTACACTCCAGGTATTAGTTGCTGGTTAGCTTTCTTAAAGAAATAAACACTGCTGGCTGTCCTATTCTCGTGCTCGTTATTGGTTTTATGTCAAAATTTTCTCATACTCACATTTGTCTACCCATAGGACAAAAAGGCATTGTCATAGAGCATGTGGTGAAATGCTTGCATTTTAAAAAATTTGGGACAAAAGAGCAAAGACGTCCTATATTTTGGGAAATGCTACAGAGGTGAAATAAAATATGATGGGAATGTGTCCAGACCGCCTACTCAGGTTACCTTAAATTTACCATCAAAACAAAATCCCAATGTTTAGAAGTTTGGAGAAAATATGAAATACCTCTTAAAATTGTGTGTTTTGTTTTTCTTTTTTTTGGTGAGACTTCTTATGTACCAACCCCAGCTATGTCTTCCCATCACTGTTTGAACATCACTGCTTAATTTTTCAGAGATGACTTCTTAAAAAATTGTATATATTTAAGGTATACAGCTTGATGATTTGATACAGGCATACAATGTGAAATAATCACCACAATTGAGATAATTAACTAATCTGTCACCTCACATCGTTACCGTTGTTTTTGTATGTGGTGAAAATAGTATGTACCCTCTTAGCAAGTTTCATGTATACAGCACAGTAGTGATACTTCAAGTCACCATGCTGTACATTAGATCTCCAGAACTCATTCATCTTGCATAACTGAAACTTTGCATACCTTGAGAACATCACCCAAACCCATGCCCTGGTAACCATCATTCTACCCTCTGCTTTTATTTTAGACCCTACCTATAAGTGAGATCATGCAGTATTTGTCCTTCTGTGTCCAGCTTATTTCATTTAGCATAATGCCTCCCAGATCTACACAGTGATAACTCCTGAGCCCTTTTCCTTCAAATCGCGCATGAATGGCCTCTATGGTTTACACACGAAAGGACCTGCTTTACATGCCTGTCCATCACACAGCATCTTTGTCTCTCTCATTTGTGAGTTACCAACTCTTCTGTGTCTACTCCTGTGCTTTCCTGTACCTCCTTGTTGTCTCTGAGTTACCCACACACCAACTGAGCTCTTGACTTCCACGGAGGCAGAGGCATCTGCTTGGCAAAGGTCCTAGCTCACATTCATCATGCTCTTCTTTCCGGCTGTTCTCCAATGATGCAGATTTTAATTATTTTCAGTGGAAGTTAGTGAATAGCCAGTATCAATAAGACAGGCAGTAGGCTAAAGAAAGAAGAGGAGTAAAAGACGCCTCGACAATCTATAAACTATATACAGTCATTAATCACCTTTTAAAAGATGGTGGAAGAAGAATTTTAGAAGTGAGGATATAAAGAATATTTCATTGGGTCTACCAAATTGATTCTCTGTGAAATCTTTCAGAAATGAATTCTCTCTCTCTCTCTCTTTCTGACTTTTTGTTATATTTTGGCTCTTGTTATTTTTGTAGTGATATACTAATTACATTTAAAATATAATAATTGAGCTCGATAGCCCCTGTTGTTCCAGAAATTTCTAACACACTTTATTGTTTGCCAGAGGATTAAATATAATTGTTGTAACTCTTTCCTTGAAGAAATAGAAGGTAAAATGATTTGCACACAAGGTCACTTTTTCCAATATGTAACTTGATAGCCATTCCTACAGTGTCTGAAGTTAAAGAAACTATTTTAACAAAAATTGAGCATCCTGCTACATATAATAAACTCTGCATTGAAATATGTTCTCCAGGCTGGCCAGGCGCAGTGGCTCACGCCTTTAATCCCAGCACTTTGGGAGGCCGAGGCGGGTGGATCACAAGGTCAGGAGATTGATACCACCCCGGCTAACATGGTGAAACCCCGTCCCTACTAAAAGTACAAAAATTAGCCGGGCGTGTCGGCGTGCGTCTGTAATCCCAGCTGCTGGGGAGGCTGAGGCAGGAGAATGGCATGAACCCAGGAGGCGGAGCTTGCAGTGAGCCGAGATTATGTCACTGCACTCCCAGCCTGGGCGACAGAGCAAGACTCCGTCTCAAAAAAAAAAAAAAAAAAAAAAAAAAAAGAAATATGTTCTCCAGGCTAATTGCAGATTCTGAGATACTTTTAGACTATCCAGAAATTTTTCCATTCTGGCAATTTGTTACATATAGATTCAATCTGAACCTTCAAATTAACTTTTCTTTTAAATTTATTTATTTTTTATTTTTTTATTATACTTCAAGTTCTAGGGTACATGTGCACAACATGCAGGTTTGTTACATATGTATACATGTGACATGTTGGTGTGCTGCACCCATTGACTCGTCGTTTACATTAGGTATATCTCCTAATGCTATCCCTCCCACCTCCCCCCACCCCATGACAGGCCCTGGTGTGTGATGTTCCCCATCTTGTGTCCAAGTGTTCTCACTGTTCAATTCCCACCTACAAGTGAGAACATGCAGTGCTTGGTTTTCTGTCCTTGTGATAGTTTGCTCAGAATGATGGTTTCCAGCTTCATCCATGTCCCTACAAAGGACATGAACTCATCTTTTTTTATGGCTGCATAGTATTCCATGGTGTATATGTGCCACATTTTCTTTTTCTTTTTTTTTTTTTTTGAGATGGAGTCTCGCTCTGTCACCCAGGCTGGAGTGCAGTGGCACAATCTGGGCTCACTGCAAGCTCTGCCTCCCAGGTTCACACCATTCTTCTGCCTCAGCCTCCTGAGTAGCTGGGACTACAGGTGCCCGCCACCATGCCTGGCTAATTTTTTGTATTTTTAGTAGAGATGGGGTTTCACCATGTTAGCCAGGATGGTCTCAATCTCCTGACCTTGTGATCTGCCCGCCTCGGCCTCCCAAAGTGCTGGGATTACAGGCGTGAGCCACCACGCCCAGCATATGTGCCACATTTTCTTAATCCAGTCTATCGTTGATGGACATTTGGGTTGGTTCCAAGTCTTTGCTATTGTGAACAGTGCCGCAATAAACATATGTGTGCATGTGTCTTTATAACAGCATGATTTATAATCCTTTGGGTATATACCCAGTAATGGGATGACTGGGTCAAATGGTATTTCTAGTTCTAGATCCTTGAGGAATCGCCACACTGTCTTCCACAGTGGTTGAACTAGTTTACAGTCCCACCAACAGTGTAAAAGTGTTCCTGTTTCCCCACATCCTCACCAGCACCTGTTGTTTCCTGACTTTTTAATGATCGCCATTCTAACTGGCGTGAGATGGTATCTCATCGTGGTTTTTAATTTGCATTTCTCTGATGGCCAGTGATGATGAGCATTTTTTCATGTGTCTGTTGGCTGCATAAATGTCTTCTTTTGAGAAGTGTCTGTTCATATCCTTTGCCCACTTTTTGATGGGGTTGTTTGATTTTTTCTTGTAAACTTGTTTAAGTTCTTTGTAAATTCTGGATATTAGCCCTTTGTCAGATGGGTAGATTGTAAAAATTTTCTCCCATTCTGTAGGTTGCCTGTTCACTCTGATGGTAGTTTCTTTTGCTGTGCAGAAACTCTTTAGTTTAATTAGATCCCATTTGTCAATTTTGGCTTTTGTTGCCATTGCTTTTGGTGTTTTAGTCATGAAGCCCTTGCCCATGCCCATGTCCTAAATGGTATTGCCTAGGTTTTCTTCTAGGGTTTTTATGGTTTTAGGTCTAAAATTTAAGTCTTTAATCCATCTTGAATTAATTTTTGTATAAGATATAAGGAAGGGATCCAGTTTCAGCTTTCTACATATGGCTAGCCAGTTTTCCCAGCACCATTTATTAAATAGGGAATCCTTTCCCCATTGCTTGTTTTTGTCAGATTTGTCAAAGATCAGATAGTTGTAGATGTGTGGCATTATTTCTGAGGGCTCTGTTCTGTTCCATTGGTCTATATCTCTGTTTTGGTACCAGTATCATGCTGTTTTGGTTACTGTAGCCTATAGATTCAATGCCATCCCCATCAAGCTACCAACAACTTTCTTCACAGAATTGGAAAAACTACTTTAAAGTTCATATGGAACCAAAAAAGAGCCCGCATTGCCAAGTCAATCCTAAGCCAAAAGAACAAAGCTGGAGGCATCACACTACCTGACTTCAAATTAACTTTTAAAGCATGAGTGTGACTAGCCAACCAGCCACTGCATACATATATATATAAAATCAGTTTGTAAATGTGAAAGACTGTAGGGAGAAATGGCAAGGAAGGATGAGATCATCAGAAAGGATTGAGAGAGTGCAGATATTTTGTAGTTTAGAACTTTAGAATAAAGCAGCAATCTACGTTTCACTGCAAGCTAAGAACTATTTACACAATTGTTCAATTAAAATTGAAATAATGTTGTAGTTAATCTTCTACATTTAGGAGCTTTATTATGGAATTTAAAATCAATACGAGTGAAGTTCAAGAGAGGGCCATTGCATGAACATGTTGGTAATTGTAAAAAGTTCTGCAATAAATCCCTAAAACACGAAAGTTTTCACTATTTACAAATGAAGCTGAGATAAAAGCTAATATAGGAAAATGAATCTGTATATAGAATTTTTGAAACCTAACTTTTGAAGCAAATTTGATATCTTTCAAAAAAAATCTATCTTTCCTTTTACATAACCCTCACCCTCTACTCATTTAACCCACAGGCCAAATTCCTCTTTGCTGTTTCTTACAGTTAAATTTCTTTTTTTTCTTTTTTCTTTTTCTTTTTTTTTTTTTTTTGAGACAGAGTTTTGGTTTTTGCCCAGGCTGGAGTGCAATGGTGGGATCTTGGCTCACTGCAACCTCCACCTCCCCGGTTCAAGCCATTCTCCTACCTCAGCCTCCCAAGTAGCTGGGATTACAGGCATGCACCACAACAGCTGGCTAATTTTTTGTATTTTCAGTAGAGATGGGGTTTCACCATATTGGTCAGCCGGTCTTGAACTCCAGACCTAGGGTGATCTACCCGCCTCAGCCTCCCAAAATGCTGGGATTACAGGCGTGAGCCACCACACCTGGCCTCTTAAGGTTAAATTTCAGAGGTACCACTTGGTGAGAAATGGGGAATTTCTTCCCTGGGGACCATGGCCAATTAAGTCTTTCTGGTTTGTTCCTTCAACGTTCTTTTGCTTCCCAACGAGATAATTTTTCTCTCTCTCTCTTTTTTATTTTTAAATGGAGTTTCCCTCTTGTTGCCCAGGCTGGAGTGCAATGGCATGATCTTGGCTCACTGCAACCTCTGCCTCCTGAGTTCAAGCGATTCTCCTGCCTCAGCCTCCCGAGTAGCTGGGATTACAGGCATGCGCCACCACCCCCAGCTAATTTTGTATTTTTAGTAGAGACAGGGTTTCTCCATGTTGGTCAGGCTGGTCTCGAACTCCCAACCTCAGGTGACACACCCACCTTGGCCTCCCAAAGTGCTGGGATTACAGGCTTGAGCCTCTGTGCCCGGCTGATAATTGTTCTCTTACTAGATCAAGTGCATGTGTTTTTATCCTATAAGGGTTATACAGCCTGGCCTACACAGAAAGCCTGAGAAAGCCCGTTCCAGCTGCTGTCATTCCTTTTCCCCTAACCTCTCACAGGGCGGCTTATGATGTCTTTGCTACTGAGATTAGTGTTCTGTTTTTTTTTGTTTTTTTTTGTTTTTGACTTGAACATATAGCTTGGTGAGTTTTTTTTTTTCTCTTGATTATGAAGATTCCTTACAGTGCTCCTTTGGTTGCTGTGTTTTTTTGTTTGCTCTAAGATCAAAGCTGAGATTTTTCCAACATTGGAAAAGCAGGGTTTTTTCTTTTGCAAGTACTACGGACCCAGCCACTCTGCCATTTTATTCTGTTTTGGGGAAATCTTGGGCTAGTCCTCCTCCCATTATAAGAACATAGTGTTTGTTTGGACAGGTTTCCTGAGCTGAATTGCCGTTTGGTCACTGAAGGACACACAGATCTGCTTCTGCTCTTCCACCAGGAGGATAAACAATTAGCACAGAGCCCACCAAACGATCAGACCTAGGTTCATTGAATTCACTATTTGTAGACCATTTGAGAGGAGTTGCTCCTAATTGTCTAATGAGTTAGTCTGGAATTAAATACAAATGAATAATTTTTTTGGAGTGGTCATTTGTTAGCTTCATTTGCTTCTGTTTTGATTCAATTTTGGGATTCATTTTTTCATATTCTTTTTATTTTATATCATTTTGTATATGCTTCAAAACAGAAACATATATTCAACAGAAGTTCTCACTCCTATTGGCCCATTTCCATCTATCTATATAGATAACTATTGCCATTAGCTTCTGGCTTACTTTTCCTACGTCTCTTTCTGCAAAATTAGCAAATATTTGTGTATGTGTGTGTTTCTATATATATTTGTTTTCATTTTTCCTATATAAAAGGCAGCATACTATATACATTCTATATACACATAGCCATATACTACACATGCTATATAGATCACAATATGTATTCATTAACAATAATAATCTCAGAGATCTTTCTTATACTTTTTGCTTGTTTCTGCATAGTACTCCATTATGTAGATATTGTAGTAAAGATTTTTGGTCAACGTATCCCCAAAGAAAATTTACAGTCATGGAAATTGCACCTCATAAAAGTTGTTAAATATTAAAAACTTATGGAGAAGCACATTGGAAAAATTAGCCAAAGTTAGAATTGGTAGAAATAAGCCATAAAAAAAACAAAAGCTAAAACTTCACATGGTAAGGTTTATTATTGACTAAAAACTAATATCAGAATCAACTCTTAACAAAGTTTAGATATGTCAAATTTGATGTGGGGAAATTGAGCTTGTTAGAAGGAAGAGCTGCCAGAGAAAAACCACATGGTGGAAGCCATAATTGGAAAAATATTATGTTTTCAAGAAATCCAATCGAATAATCATAGTCTCAGAGTAATATTTAAGTTAGAAAGAATCAATGTCAATAAAAGTAATTTCAGTTACATTAAAGATAAAAATGAAAAAAACAAACTGTGCTTTATAGAAAATTGATCAAAGAATCAAATTGGCTTAATGGAATGAGCTCTAGAAAATACATTCTTGATGAAAATTAAAATCGATCATGTTTGTATAATTCTGCTTAAAATATTTTATACAGGATCAAAATATCTACTGGGTCCTGAGGTAGAATCAAAACAATGTGTATGGATGTGTCCTGGGCTGCTTTTCCACAGTCCTCCCCTTGATTTTTTTTCTTCTTCTCTTCTTTCTTTCCGTCTCTGGTAGTCATCAATGTGCCATTTTGGAGCTGCTTAACTATGCATCAATTAGGCTTTTCTTTGAAGTATTATTTTTCTCCTTCCCATTTCCTACTGACTCAAAGTGTCCTCCCTCTTCAGATTATGGGTGACCCTCTCTCCTCCCTCTCTCCTCCCATCCTGAGTCACCCATAATCTTTGCTGACATTTGTATACGTCACATATTCATTGGCATGCTGAAGGGAGCACCCAGTTGTCCTTGTGAGTGCTCTCACCACCTTCCTTTGAAACCTATCTTGACCTTTCTGGCTCCCTGCTTCTTCTCCTCTCTTTGCCCTAATTTAAACTCTTGATACCCTGAAATTTAGCCCAACTCTGGCTGGGACCAGTTGCATTCCTGGTTGATTAATTCCAGGAGCTCTCAGTGAAGTGCTCCAATGACTAAGCATCTCATCAATTCTGCTGCCAGTTCCATGCTGGTATTGTGTCTTGGTGTGACAATTGTGTTTAGGCTTGTGCCTTGATAAGTGTTCCATAGTGTGCCCTCATTCCAGATTCTGTATTCTTTTTTTGTCTGGGTTTCTGTTTTGAGAGCATGTTTGGTACTTGTGTTTCACTAAGACTGCTTTGTCCGCCTTCTTAAAGGGCTTAGTGCTGCCCTTGAACTCTAGCCTCAGATCTAGGACCCTGTTTCCTGTTTCCAGAGTTTCTTGATGTCTATCAGCCACCAGCCTGGCTAGACCTCTGAGTATTACCTACTCCTGATCACCAATCTCCAGGTTCTCCCTGTCCACTGGAACCACCATTTATCTTTCATTGAACCTCCCAGGCATTGAGCATTTGACTAGACTCCTTACTCATGCACCCACACTCTTCTCCAAGTAGGTCATAGTTCAAGTTATGCTTCTTTCCATTCCTTGACAATGGCACCACTCTTTAGCACCTGCTCAATTCTGGGAAGTGATTTCCATGTCCAAGTCTCAAATTAAGCCTTAACTTCAAATTTCAATTTTGACAAAAACTTTATTTAATTATTAATAAATTATTATTAAACTATTACTACTATATAACTAATTAATATTATATAATTATTAAACTAATTATTATTAAACTATTATTTAATTACTTAATTATTCCACCATTCTTCATTCTTCTACTTTTTCTTTTCTTTTTTTTGTCTGAGACAGGTTCCTGCCATCATGTTGCCCAGGCTAGTCTCAAAATCCTGGGCTCAAGTGATCTCCCACCTTGACCTCCTAAAGTGCCAGGATTACAGGTGAGCCACTGCAGCCAGTCTCCACTCTTTTTTGAGTTTATTTCTCAATATTTAATCTATTTTGGGAGAGTTTTTGTTGTTTTGTCTACTCTATATTGCTCTTAAGTGTCCTTAAAGTAAGAAATAAGTCACCTACTACCTGTCTCTGTCAAAAAATGTCCTATCATGATTGTTCCTCAAATGGAAAGGTTATACAATATTAATCTATTAAAAACTTGCTATGCCTGGGCACGGTGGCTCACGCCTGTAATCCCAGCACTTTCGGAGGCTGAGGCGGGCGGATCACAAGGTCCGGAGATCGAGACCATCCTGGCTAACACGGTGAAACCCCATCTCTACTAAAAATACAAAAAATTAGCCGGACGCGGTGGCGAGCGCCTGTAGTCCCAGCTACTCAGGAGGCTGAGGCAGGAGAATGGCTTGAACCCAGGAGGCAGAGCTTGCAGTGAGCCAAGATAGCGCCACTGCACTCCATCCTGGGTGACAGAGCGAGACTCTGTCTCAAAGAAACAAAAAAAAAAAAAAACAGAAAACAAAAAAAACTTGTTATTTGCCTGGGCACCTGGGGTACAAAGATAAATAAGACATACTCCTTGTCCTTAAGGAACTCACTCACTACACAATTACAATACAATATAAGTTCTACCAGGTGTGATGTGTAAGGAACTTTGGGAGGACAGAGGTGAGTTTGCCTTGCAGTGAAACAATCAGCAAGATTGTTAATGACAAATAAGATGTAGTCCTTGTCCTTAAGGAACTTACTCACTACACAATTACAATACAATATAATAAAAGTTCTACCAGTTGTGATGTGTAAGGAACTCTGGGAGGACAGAGGTGAGTTTGACTTACCTCCTTTGCAGTGAAATGATCAGTGGTTGCCTAACAGCCAATTTGAGCTAGTTCCTAAAGACTGAGTAAGAGTTTGCCATAGGGGGTACTATATGCCTAACAGAAGAAACAGGAAATGGAAAGGTACCCAGGCATGTCAGAGCATGGCCCATTCCACTGGAGGAAGCATGAATAACTTGGATGGCTCCAGTATAAGCAGCATTGAAATGGGAGGGGCAGGAAATATGGCTAGAGAGACAGGTTGAGGACCTCTGATGAAAGACCTTGTATGCTATGCTAAAAAGTTGGGACCTGATTCTACAGGTGATAGGACTGCTCCCTGACAGTTGAGCAATTCTTCAACTGCCTTATGGAATAATCTAGTCCTTCTTGACTGCCAAAAAATTTATTCACAGTGTTTTAAGAAAACAGTAGGAGTTCAGTGCTCTGAAAGTTACATAAGGCTGGTGTGATTCTTCCAGAAGGCAGGTGCCATGGTAAATAGCTCTACAAATATATTTTCCCACATTTTACACACAAATATTTTTCCTTGTTCTGTGGATACCTTGTAGAAAAATACACCTTAAAGTATAGCTTAGATCTCCCTGCTCTTCTATTTATTTACTTGTATTTGAATTTTATGGTGAGTATAAATTTTTTCTGGCAAAAGTCACCTTTGTGTGTGTGTGTGTGAGAGAGAGAGAGAGAGAGAGAGAAAGAGAGAGATTAGAAGAGCTTCCTGATTTAGGCCGGGCATGGTGGTTCACACCTGTAATCCCGGTACTTTGGGAGGCCGAGGTGGCCAGATCACTTGTGTTAAGGAGTTTGAGACCAGCCTGGCCAACATGGTGAAACCCTGTCTCTACTAAAAATACAAAAAAGAATTAGCCAGGCATGATGGTGGGCACCTGTAATCCCAGCTACTTGAGAGGCTAAGGCAGGAGAATCTCTTGAACACAGGAGGCAGAGGTTGCAGTGAGCTGAGATTGTGCCACTGCACTCCAGCCTGAGTGACAGAGCGAGACTCCATCTCAAAAAAAAAAAAAAAAAAAAAAAAGAAGAAGAGCTTCCTGATTTGTCAAAGTCCATTTTGTTTTTCTCAAAGCTGTTTTGATTATGCATGACTTCTTCCTTGACTTACTGTTAGGACAAGCTCTCAAAATTTCCTGGCAAAAGAGTAACAACTTTAATTATATCATATGGTTCTGGAAAAGGAATTATCTGTCAAGTAACCATGAAAATATTTTCAAAATTCTTTCTTTTCACAAATATTTTTCAACAGCTGTGCTCTAGAGAAGCATCAAAAAAAGTACTCCTGAGAATGGTTGATTTTCTGCTTTGTTTGTCCCTGTGCATCTTGCATCTTAGTGAAATGCAGCAGGACAGATCACTTCCTTTTTCAACATTTATTTAGCATTTACTGTGTATACACAGGCACTGGTGAGCTCCTGGAGCAGGGTGGGAGGTTTACAAAGAAAAAGGGTGATTCCTCCTTCTAGGGCCATTGTGATATCTATTAGTCACTTCCTCCTCTGGCCTATCAGCTTGTGGCTGCTTCACTCCTGTGGTCTTGGCCTTGCATTCTCCCTCAGAGGACAATGCTTGGGCCATGGAAGCCTGTTGCCAGGACTAACCCAGAGCAGAAAGTGCATGGGGGCACTTATATCCACCAAGGGAGGCTATAGCCAATGACAGATGGAAGGGACTTGATCTGAAATTACTTCTGTGTCTGGCTTCTCATTCTCTCACTTGCCTCCTCCACTCCCTTTCCAGTTTCTCTTGGGAGCACTGGGGGCAGTTTGCAACTTGAGACAGTAGCCATGTATATCACTCAGGTTCTCCAGAGAAACAGAATCAATGGGCTATATAGATAGATACATAGATAGACATAGATACATGTATGCATGTATACAGATACACAGTCAATTATTGTTACTCACAATTCATAGTAATTATGTTCTATTATGTTGCTGCGAATACTGAATTAGCAAATATTGAATAGTCGCTTGTATGAATAATAAGAAATACAATGGCAAATACAGGGTTGGATTCATAGAGTCTCTCTGTCCACAACATTGTCATCAATTAATCAAGATATAACCTTGCTTTATGTGTGTTTCTTCTTAAAGACACCTTACTTAATATAGTCATGCACTGATTAATGATGTTTCAGTCAACAACACACTGTCTATATGATGGTGGTACCATAAGATTATAATGGACCATATATAGAAAAGTGATATATGGCACTTGATATTGGCATTGCACATCAAATAGAGGAAATGATTAATATTCAGTAATGGTGCTGGGATGTTTGGTTTTCCATATGAAAAATTAATATAAATAAAAATGTGCCTGTGCCATCTAGGTTTGTGTAAGCACACTCTATGATGTTTGTAAAACAACAAAATATGATGCATTTATCAGAACATAGCTTTTCATTAAACAATGCATGACTCTCTATATATTTTTGATTTATTAACATTGAGTTCAAGGCTAAGAGCACTAAAATCCTTGCCTGAATAAAGCTTATCTAGCACATACATTTTCTCTGGAAGGCGTGTCACAGCTTTCTTGCACTTAGAAACACTAGACAGCACTTCAGCACTGTGCCGGGAGAGGGGCATTTTAAACAGCAAAATCAACAAAAAGCACAATGATGTGAAAAACATGGCATTAAATATACCACAGAAAGGAGACTTGTTTACAGTATGAGAGTTGAAACAAGGCTGGACGTGGTGGCTCACTCCTGTAATCCCAGCACTTTGGGAGGCCAACACAGGCAGATCACCTGAGGTCAGGAGTTCGAGACCAGCCCGGCCAACATGGTGAAACCCTGTCTCTACTAAAAATGCAACAATTAGCTGGGTGTGGTGGTGTGTGCCTGTAATCCCAGCTACTCAGGAGGCTGAGACAGGAGAACCACTTGAACCCAGGAGGCAGAGGTTGCAGTGAGCCGAGATCATGCCACTGCACTTCAACCTGGGCAACAAGAACGAGACTCCATTTTAAAAAAAGAGTTGAAACAAGAAGGCAGAGCGTTGCCTGTTTGTTTGGCTTTGAGTAGGAACGTACCTGAGGAGCAACTCAGCATTTTCATTACTATGTGCATGTCCAGAAATGACTGCAAAACTATCATATTGATTTTGGGGTTACAAATAAATTTTAGTAAGTAGGCAAAACAGCAAATACGGAATTCATGAATAATAGGGATTGACTGTATGTCAATATACATGTTATATATATATGTGTGTTATATATGTATATATTGCACATATAAACATCTATTATATGTATATATTACAGAATATATACATATAATGCATACATATATTACATATGTGTATACACATAATATGAATGTATTTATTATATATATTTATATACATATACATTTGAATGTACATATATGTAGATATAGATACATCAGATACATATATACAGCCTGAAAACTCAGGCAGGAGTTAATGCTGCAGTCTTAAGGCAGAATTCCTTCTCCAGAAAACCCACAACTCTGGGAAGGCCTTCAACTGATTAGATGAGGCCCACCCACATTATTGAAAGTAACCTCTTATACTCAAAGGAGTATCTAACTGATTGTAGATGTTTTCCAAATTTGTAAAATGTCTCTACAGCAACACTTAAATTAGTACTCCATTAAATCACCGAGGCCTAGCCAAGTTGACACAAAAATTCCCATTCCTTGCAAATAATTTTAATCTGAAGTTGGTTTCTCCATTCTTCAAATATCCTTTGGCTACTCAGCCACTAGATATCTCTACTGGCTGTTTCCCTGCAGGGTCTCTTATTTCACCTCCTCTTTGTGAGCTTTCTCTTTTTTTCCTGCGAGAGCAGGATAGGTTTCATTTTGTTTTTTGGGCTTACGCCTCTGGATACCACTTTCCATCTCAAGAAGGTTAGCCAAATGTTTTCCCATATAGCTATAAAAATTAAATCCGTTTTAAAATCTTGTTTTATTTAGATGGGGATCAGAAATAAAAGGCTAGTGGTGATTTGAACTAGTTCTTGGAGAATCAGTAGGATTAGAGTGGGCTGAGATAGACTGGATATAATTCAGGGGGCAGGATTAACATGAACCAAAGCACAGGGATGAGATAAGTGCAGAGCACAATCTTGGAAGACAGATTGCTCTAGAATGGCTGAACATCAAAATTAACGTTGGTAATCTATGGAACATTGAGACAGAAAGATGGGCATGAGCCATATTACAGATCCTTGAATGTAATGATGGATGATGAGGAGTTGGTTGTATGAATACAGCAGCTTAGGTATTGTATTTTTATTTTTATTTCTACCCATCCACCACATCACTCAGCCTCCTTTCTCCTCCCCAAAGAACTGTGCCGAGTCTGAGCTGCAGTTAAAGCTTCGAATGCAGGTTCTGGCTCTGAGTTCTGAGCTGAAGGTCTAGGAACCCTGAGTATGAGTGAAAGGAGAAAAAATAAAACCAAAAAAAGGATTTTGGGGCTCAACATTTAATAAGTAATTACAGAGTGTAATATTTACCATACTTTTCACTTGCCGTATGAGTGCAAAACCAGGAGAAACTCCTATGAGGCAGTGCCATGCACGAACATGGCTGTCAGAGGAAGTTGCAGCAAACTGAGAGGGAGAGCATTTGAAAATGTGGAAAACGGCCTCTTTCTCTCTATTCCAGAAAGTGACCCCAAAAAGAGTCGAGTGCCTCCTCTATTCTATTCTCTAGCCTATGGAATACAAAAATCACAAAGCGCTGACTGAATATGGCTGTTTCCTTTGTTCTCCCTCTGTAGAGCTAAGGGGCTTTGGGAGGTATTTACAGGCAGTTCGAGTGCAAATGGATGTCCAATAGTTCTCACTTTAAAAAAAAAAAAACCCTCAAACAAGTAGCCTCCAGGTGCATCCCAAATGGCATGTTGATTGACTCAGCTCAAAAAGAAATTAGGGATGTAAATGTGTTTGAGAAAATTATTACCCAAATCACAACATCCTCTTCAGACAGTTGTATGATTGAATACTGAAAAGAACATTAAAAGTCTTCTAGCAAAAGCCTTTGCCAAAGTATTAAATGATAGACTGGTATGAATTCTCTTCTTGCCCTCTGAGAAAAAGATCTTCTTTGCCTTTGATATTCATTCAGGTTTGTTTGCATGTATAATTCAGACACATTTGTAGGTAGCCTTCTGTCAAAATGTCATGAGATTTCATATTTAGAAGGACTAATACTTGGAGTGATGTAGTGAGTATTAAAATTATTGGCATAGACAACTGTCATACTGTCTTAAAGCAAATGTGGTACAGACGATGTATACCAAAGGTGAATATGCTGAACCTGAAATTATATTGACAATATCTTTCATTCGTATATTAACCTCTTCAAAAAATTTTATTGAAGTCATAAAAAAGACACTTCATTTTTTAAATGAAGACCTAATAAACACCTGAAGTTTCTCTTAATCGTAGATTTTTACCCTATTAATTCATCAATTTGTTCATTCTATAAATAAATGTCTATTAGTGTTAGACCTTCGAGACATGGCAATGAACAAGAGAAGCAAGGACAGTTTCTGGCGAGCTTATATTTGAATGTGAATAGAATTAGAATTTATGAGACAAACAAGATAAATTAAACAAAAATATAAAAACATCTCAGAGCTTGAGTTTCAGCTTCCTTTTCCTATCACTTAATCCACCATTGGTGATTAATTTGATCAACATCATCTATCATTTTAAATTATTTTTCATTGATGGAATTTCAGCAGTAATTTTCTTTTCTTTTCTTTTCTTTTCTTTTTTTTTTTTTTTTGAGACAGAGTCTCGCTCTCTTGCCAGGCTGGAGTGCAGTGGCATGATCTCAGCTCACTGCAACCTCCGACTCCCTGGTTCAAGCGATTCTCCTGCCTCAGCCTCCTGAGTAGCTGGGATTACTACCACTGAGTACTGAGTACTGAGATTACTCAGCCTCCCGAGTAGTTGGGATTACTAGCCACCACACCCAGCTAATTTTTGTATTTTTAGTAGAGACAGGGTTTCACCATGGTGGCCCGGATGGTCTCAATTTCCTGAATCTTCTGATCCTGTGATCTGCCTGCCTCGGTCTCCCAAAGTGCTGGGATTGCAGGCATGAGCCACCATGCCCAGCCTTCAGCAGTAATTTTCTAACAGGCATATGTGGATTTAGGAGGAAGGAGAAAATTTAAAAGGACACGGAGAAATTTTTACTGGTGTTATCTTTATAAGTATCTGACTGGTTGGACTTGCTTGAGCTTGATCAAGAATGGTTAACAGTTAATTCTGGAAAGATAATGCTGCTATTCTGTTATTATGTGTCTGGTCCTTTTATGATGCTTTGCTCTTGCAAATATCCAGGGACCAAGGAGCAGGTATAAAAGCCTATAAACAAAAAATATTTTATTGATCAGTGATACATTTATTTGGTCAATGAATAAAAATTACATATTGCAAACTTTGTAAACACTGTCCTGTAACCAATAACTATAGTTGTTAGTACTCAAGTGAAAAATTTATGATCAGTTCTTGGTTGGATTGAGTCTGTCTCTCTCCCTCTCCCTCTCTCCCTCATGTTCATTAGCACAATAGTCTCTCAAGAATGGCAAATTGTGCGGAGGAGATTAAAGATGGCTGACTAGAGGCATCTGACAGTCACCTCCTCCATAAAGAAGAATCAAAATAGCGAGTAAATACTGGATTTCAAAAGTGAAGTGACAAGAAACACCTAAAAGGAAAGAGAAAGAAGTGAGGCAGTCTGTTTGGCAGGATCAGCTGGGAGCCCAGAGAAGCTCCCCAACGTGAGAAAAGGGTAAGTGAGACGTCCCCAGTCGTCTACATTTCCACCATGGGCTCCTCCAGTCCTAGCCATGGGAAAGCCCCTCCACCATTGCAGGGCCTGAAATTAGCATAGGGGGCTGCCTGCAGATGGCACGACAGCATTGCTCCAGAAAGGGATCTCATGTGGGGTCCCACACACCCCAAGATCCCAAGCAGCTACAGCATGGTGAGATTTTGAGAGTCCAGTCTCTACCAGACTGAATCCTTCCCTAGGGCCCAATAGTCCCTGCATCTCTATATCCCTGGTACCCCATTGACATCCCCTGCCTACAGTTGTCACTGCTGTTGGCTGCCACTTCTTGGGCTGAAGCAGGAGTCACTGGCAGCAAACCTACCCCCAAGAAGTGGGGCTGTTGCACGTTTTCACGTGCCTTGAAGCCAGGAAACCCAACCCGCAGCCACCACCTGGGCCTGAAGCTTGTGATCCCCAGCCACCATCCTACAGCCACCAACCTACAGCAGCTCTGACCTCCCCAGCAGCAGGGCTGCAGCACACCTGCTGCCTTCACCACCTGAGCACTCTGACGGGGGCAGGGGATCACCTCAACAATACTCACCACAGCCAGTACCCATACATATACATACCTGGGGACCTAAGGACAGGTCCACCCAGCCTAGCTTTGCCTCCCCCGGTGTCTGAGCACAGTATGCAAGGCTAAGGGATCACTCTGTCATGTCCACCACTGATTGGCACTAGAGTACTCCTCCCAGGGCCCTGTGGACTGGTCCACCTGGACTGTAGCAGACACTGCCAAAACCAGGACGGACCGCTTGGCATTCTAAGAGCTGTCCCAACACTGCTACTGCCATCACCAACACCATGCCTACTATCTAGGGGCCTGAGGACACACTCACTTGCCCAGCCCACTACTACCACTGCTGGCACCCAAGGAAGCTACCTGGAAGCCTAAGAATTAGCCTTCCAGAACCCACTAACACCATTGCCAGTGTATGCTGCCCTTAGGTTCAAGGAGAGGCATTCTCAGCCAACCACTGCCACCACTGGGAACAAGCGATCAGCCCACCTGGCATCCCCATCTCCAGCAAAATTTCACCACAGCTTCCACTAACAACCATACCCTAAGACACTGAGGAAATAACAGACACCACTGACCCAAAATTATATGGTGACTACACTACTGCGCACACCCAGACTCAAAACCAAAGTGCGCTACCCAACCAACACCAGAGATACATATTCAGGAAAAAATCCTCCCTTATGAAAGCAAATCCGAAACATTGGGGAAAGTGACTATTGTGCTAGGTGAGCGGGTATCAACATAAGGACCTAACAAACATAAAAGAAGTAAGGAACTGTTACATGTTCAGAGGAATGCAATAATTCTTCCGCAACAGATTCCAATGAAAAAGAGATTTATGAAATGCCAGGAAAATAATTAAAAATAATGATATTAAGGAAGCCCAGTGAGATATAAGAGAACACAGATAAACAATACAAAGGAATCTGAAGAACAATTCAGGATATAAATAAGAAATTTACCAAAGTAAAAAAAGAACCAGACAAATTTTGAAACTGAATAATTCATTAAATAAAATAAAAATTCAAAATATTAAAGAGCTTCAATGATAGACTAGATCAAGCAGAAGAAAGAATTTTAGAACTTCAAGACAGCCCTTTTTAAATAACCCAGTCAGCTGAAAAAAAGAAAAAAGAATTAAAAAGAATGAACAAAGCCTACATGTCATATGGAATACTGTAAGTGATAAAATAATCAAATTTTCAGTGTTCCAGAAGGTGAAGAGAAAACCAAAGAGAAAGAAAGTACATTTAATAAATTAATAGTGGAAAAACTTCCCAAATCTACCAGGACATTTACACATCTGGATACAGGAAGCTTAGAGATTCTCAAATATTTATAATACAAAAAGATATTCTCCACAGCACATTATAGTCAAGCTGTCAAAAGTCAAAGACAGAGAGAATTGTAAAAATGGCAAGAGAAAAGCATGTAGTCACTTATAAGGGGATCTCATCAGACTAACAGTGGATTTCTCAGCAGAAACCTTACAGGCAAGGAGAGAATGGGATGATGTATTCAGAGTGCTCAAAGAAAAAACTGCCAGCCAAGAACACTATACCAAACTAAGTTATCTTTCATAAACAAATGAGAAATAAAATATTTTCCAAATAAGCAAAAACTGAAGGAATTCATCACCACTAGAAAGGACCTACAAGAAATGCTTAAGAGAGTCCTAAACCTGGAAGCAAAAGGACAATATCTACCATAATGAAACACACAAAAGTATAAAACACACTGGGCAGGCAAACACACAAATGGGGAAGAGAAATGACTGAAATGTTACCCCTACAAAATGTATCTTTTATACAGAAAACCACCAAACTATAATGATAAACAATAAGTGGAAAAGAAAGGAACAAAGGTTATATAACACATTCAGAAAACAATTTAAAATATGATAGGAATAAAACCTGATATGTCAATAATAACCTTGAATTAAATGGAATAAGTTTTCCACTTAAATTGTATAGACTGGCTGAATGGATTTTAAACACATGATCCAATTATATGCTATCTACAAGAAACTAAATTTACCTTTTAGTCTATATGTAAAGATAGACTAAAATATATGTAAAAGATAGTCTATATATAAAGATACATATAGACTAAAAGAAGTAAAGAGATGGATAAAAGATAATTTATACAAATGGAAACCAAAAGCAGTCAGGAGTAGTTGTACTTACAAAACAGGCTTTAATTCAAAAACATTTAAAAAGACAAAGAAGGTCATTATACAATGATAAAGAGATCAATTCGGCAAAAGGATATAACAATTATAAATTTATATGCACTCAACACCGGAGAACTCTGATACATAAATATTATATTACTAGATGTAGGCCAGGTGTGGTGGCTCACGCCTGTAATCTTAGCACTTTGGGAGGCTGAGATGGATGCTTCACAAGGTCGGGAGTTCAAGACCAGCATGGCCAACATAGTGAAACCCTGTCTCTACTAAAAATATAAAAATTAGCCGGGCACGGTGGCACACGCCTGTAGTCCCAGCTACTCAGGAGGCTGAGGCAGGAGAATTGCTTGAACCCAGAAGGCAAAGGTTGTGGTGAGCCGAGATCACACCACTGCACTCCAGCCTGGGCAACAGAATGAGACTCGGCCTCAAAAAAAAAATTATATTACTAGATGTAAAGGAAAAAATAGACTCCAATACAATGTACAATAATAGTGGGGGACTTCAACACCCCATTCGCAGCAATAGACAGGTCATGTGGACAGAAAACAAAAAAGAAACACTGAACTTAAACTGGACTTTAGACCAATGAACTTAACCTTTACTGTTTCCAATGGCTACAAAATACACATTCGTCTAATTAGCACATGAAACATTCTCCAGGATAAATCACATTAGTTCACAAAAGAAGTCTCAGCAAATTTTTTAAAAATCAAAATCACATCAAGTATGTACTCAGAGCAAGTATCTTTACTGTTAATCTGATTAGATTCCCTTACAGGTGACTAGATACTTTTCTCTTACTGTTTTTACAATTCTCTTTATTTTTGACTTTTTACAGCTTGACTATAATGTGCTGTGGAGAATGTCTTTTTGCATTATAAATATTTGAGAATCTCTGAGCTTCTTGTATCCAGATGTGTAAACATCCTGCTAGACTCGGGAAGTTTTCCACTATTAATAAAACTGGAATAAAAGTGGACTAAAACTAGCAATCAATAAGAGTAACTTTGGAAATGATACAAATACATGGAAGTTAAACAACGTGCTCCTGAATAACCACTGGGTCAATGAAGAAATTAAGAGAGAAAATTTTAAAAATGTATTGAAACAAAAGAAAATTGAAACACAGCATACCCAAAACTATGGGATATAGCAAAAGCAGTGCTAAGATGGACATTTGTAGCAGTAATACCTACATCAGAAAAATGGAAGATTTCAAATAAACAGTCTAATGATGCACCTCAAGGAACTTGAAAAGCAAGAACAAACCACATCCAAGATTAGTGGAAGGAAAGAAACGATAAAGATCAGAGCAGAACTAAATAAAATAGAGACTTAAAAAAACAATACAGGCCGGTCACTGTGGCTCACGCCTGTAATCCCAGCACTTTGGGAGGCCGATGCGGGCGGATCACGAGGTCAGAAGATCGAGACCATCCTGGCTAACACGGTGAAACCCCGTCTCTACTAAAAATACAAAAAATTAGCCGGGCGTGTTGGTGGGCACCTGGTAGTCCCATCTACTCGGGAGGCTGAGGCAGGAGAATGGCGTGAACCTCGGAGGCGGAGCTTGAAGTGAGCCGAGATTGAGCCACTGCACTCCAGCCTGGGCGACAGAGCAAGACTCCATCTCAAAAAAAAAAAAAAAAAAAATACAAAGGATTAATGAAATGAATAGTCTCATTAGAGACTATTATGAACAACTATGCACTAACAAACCGGAAAACCTAGAGGAAATGGATAAATTCCTGAACACATACCATCTTCTAAGGTTGAATCAGAAAAAAAATAGAAAACCTGAACAGACCAATGAGTAACAAGATTAAACCAGTAATAAAAAGTCTCTGAGGAAAGAAAAGCCGAAGACCAGATGCTTCACTGCCAAATTGTACCAAATGTATAAAGAATTAATGCTAATTTTCCTGAAACTATTCCAAAAAGTTGAAGAGGAGGGAATTACCCCTAACTCATTCTATGATACCAGATGCTGTCTCTCCTGCTCTGCCGTGTGAAGATTATGCTTGCTTCCCCTTCGACTTCCACCATGATTATAAGTTTCCTCAGGCCTCCCTAGCCATGCCTCCTGCACAGCCTGTGAAACTGTGATTCAATTAAACCTCTTTTCTTTATGAGTTACCCAGTCTCAGGTAGTTCTTTATAGCAGTGTGAGAAAAGACTAATACAATAATGAAGGACAAAAACCATATGATCATCTCAAAAGATGCAAAAAAAAGCATTTGATAAAATTCAACTTGTCTTCATGATAAAAACTCTTCACAAACCAAAAACCCCACCAAAAAACTCTTAAAACTAAGAAATTCAGTAAAGTCTCAGGATACAAAATCAATAATTAAAATTAGTAATATTTCTATACACCAATAATGAACTAGCTGAAAAAAAATCAAGAAGGCAATACCATTTACAATAGCTACAAAAAATACCTAGGAATAAATTTACCCAAGTGGATGAATGACTACAAGGAAAACTACAAAACACTGATAAAATAAACTGAAGAGGACACAAACAAATGGAAAGACATCTCATGCGCATGGATCAGAAAAATTAACAGTGTTGAAATGCCCATACTACCCAAAGCCATCTATAGATTCAATGCAATTGCTATCAAAATATCAATGTCATTTTTTATAGAAACAGAAAAAAAATCCTAAAATTTGTACAGAACCAAGAAAGAGCCTGTATTAGTCTGTTTTCACACTGCTGTAAAGAAACACCACAACTGGGTAATTTATAAGCAAAAGAGGTTTAATTGGGTCACAGTTCCACAGGCTCAACAGGAAGCATGGCTGGGGAGGCCTCAGGAAACTTACAATCATGGCAGAAAGCGAAGGGGAAGAAGGTACATCTTACATGACCTGAGCAGGAGGAAGACAGAAAAGGAAGAGGTGCCACACACTTTTAAACAACAAGATCTCATGAGAACTCACTATCAAGAGAACAGCAAGGGGAAAACTGCCCCTAGGATCCAATCACCTCCCTCCAGGCCTCTCCTCCAACACTAGGGATTACGATTCAACATGAGATTTGGGTGGGGACACAAATCTAAACCATATCAGATCCCAAATAGCCAAAGCAATCCTAAGCTAAAAGAACAAAGTTGGAGGCATCACGCTACCTGACTTCAAAATATTTTACGAGGTGATAGTAACCAAAACAGATAGTATTGGTATAAAAGCGTACACATAGACAAATGGAACAGAATAGGGAAAACATAAATATATATTTATAGCCAAATGATTTGGACAAAGGCACCAAGAACATACACTGGGGAAAGAATATCTTCATCAATAAATGGTGCTGGCAAAACTGGATTCATATTCAGAAGAATGAAACTGATTTCCTATCTCTCACCATATACAAAAATAAACTCGAAGTACATTAAAGACTTACATGTAAGAGCCCAAACTATAAACCTGCTAGAGGAAAACATAGGGGAAACATTTCAAGACATTAGGCAAACATTTCATGGCTAGAAACTCAAATGCATAGTCAACAAAAACAAAAGTAGGCAAATAGGGCCATATTAAACTAAAAAGCTTCTGCACAGAAGAGAAAATAACACAGTGAAGAGGCAACCTGTTGAGTGGGAAAACATATTTGCAAACTGTTTATCCAGCAAGGAACTAATTTCCGTAATATACAAGGAACTAAAACAACAGTAAGAAAACAAAGAATCCCATTAAAAAGTTAACATGAATGGACATTTCTCAAAAGAAGACATACAGGTATATAAAAAATTAACACCACTAATCAACAGGAAATGCAAATCAAAGCCACAATAAGATATCATTTTACCTTAGGTAGATTGAGTATTATTAACAACAAAAGATGATGCTGAAAATGTGGAGAAAAGGGAACTGTTATACATGGTTGGTGGGAACGTATGTTAATATAGCCATTGTGGAAAACAGTATGGTGATTTCCCAAAAAACTAAAAATAGAACTACCACGCAATTTAGCAATCCCAATATTTGAGTGGAGTGCAGGTATCCCTTTGAAATACTGATATCAATATACTGATATCCTTTCTTTTGGATGTCAGTATATCAAAGGGATACCTGCACTGCAGCACTATTCACAGCAGCAAAAATACAGAATCAATCCAAATATCTGTCACTGAATGAATGAATAAAGAAAATGTGGTATATATACACAATATAATACTACTTGGCTATAAAAAAGAATGAAATCATGTCATTTGCAGCAATGTGGATGGAAATGGAGGTCATCATGTTAAGTGAAATAAGCCAGGCTGAGAAAAGGAAATATCATATGTTCTCACACACATGTGGCAGCTAAAGAAAGTGGATTTCATAGAAGTAGAGAGTAGAATGATAGAGGCCAGAGATTAGGAAAGGTGTGTGGATAGGAGAGAGGGCATGAAGAGAGGTTGGTTAATGGGTACAAACATATAATTAGACAGAAGTAATTGGTTAAAATGTTCAGCAGCAGAGTAGTGTGACTATAGTTGACAACGATGTACCTCATGTTTAAAAATAACTAATAGAGAGCACTTGAAATGTTCCCACCACACAGCAATGATGAATACTTGAGGTGATGGATACCTTTAATACCTTTAATGACTTGATCATTAACACATTCTGTGCATGTAAGAAAATATCACATGTACTCTACAAATATGTACAAATATTATGTATCAACAAAAAATAATGGCAAATTGAAGGCAAGGGTCAGTATTCACAGGAGGAGGGCCATTTCTGGCCTTAACCCCTTACCCAATCTGTTAGGACCTTGTCTGCCCTCTTTCTACGGGCAATACGGTTTGTTGTTGTTAAAGGAATGGATAAATGCATAACAAGTATTGAGCTTTGGTTACACAATTAATTGAACAGGTTGTGGCCAGAGGGCAAACCTTCCAGAACAAATCAAGTACCTGCTATACATTCCTATATGCAACTGTGACACTGAGCTCATGTCTCTGTCTCCTTGGTGTTGATATGACTTTCTTGTTACTAGAGGTGGGGAAAAGAGACTCATCCTTTCTGAGAACTAATAATGACTTTTTTCCACTTGGTTGAGTTCTGAAAATTACAGAATTATAGTTATGAGTAACAGGACATTGTTTAGAATTGCATTTTATCGCTTCAATAAAATTCCCAAATATACACCATTTTGCCCATTGTGTCACATCGGGGTTTAAATTGTACATTTCAGTCTATATTCTCCCCTTTTGAAAAGAACAGCAAATCACACTTTTGCTGGAAAAAAAAAAACTCTCGACTTGGAAGCAGAAGACTAGATTTTACAATTTAGTAACTCTGGACTTTGGGTAAGCTGCTACATATCCCTAAGCCACAGCTTTCCTCATCCATAAAATAAGAGGGATTCTTAGATGAGCTTTAAGTTGTCTTTCCAGCTTCTTAATTCCTCAACCAGTTGAGTAGCCAGTCAACATTACTCACCTTAGGCTATATTGGCCTCTCAGATTCTGTCCCCATCTGAAATCTACTTCCTTCTTGTTCTCTTACCAGCTGTCCTCCAGTAACTTATAGAAATGCCCATAGAAGTGAGGAGAACTTTTACAAATTAATTATGTTGCCTATTTCTGTTAATATATTGTGTTTCTATATTTTTACTAAAAATTATTTTTCTATCAAATTATTGTGTGGAATGCTGGAGAAAATGCAAGGTTCATTTAAAGTCAATTCCACACACATTTTGTTGTGCTCACTGGCTCCACAGATTTGTTACATGAAAAATTCTTTGCATGCCCACATTCCAGAGAGAAAGAGCAATGAACAATTCTGAAATGATTTTCTATTTTTATTTTTTATAAATTGGAGCTGATTCTTAAATACAGAAATACTTCCATTTTTTCTAGTGGTTCTGTGTCCTGCAGTGATGTGTAGACCATCTCACAGAGGACTCACTTCTGATAATCCTTTCCTTGGGCCAGGCCTGGCACCATAGTTCTTAGACGTGTTCATTTTTTTCTCATAACCACTTCTCTTACCTTTTTATCTACATTCACACTGCTAGGGGAATTTGCGAATCTCTGCATTTTAAACAAGTCTTCTTGTGGATCTGTACATTTTTTAAAATTTGATTTTAATTAGTCTTCTTTTGTCGTATAGTTATATAAGTTTTGACAAATGCATAGTCCTGAGCACCACTCTCAGGACATAGAATAGTGCTCTTACACTAAAAATGTCCTTGAGCTGCCTCTTTGGAGTCAAATCCCACTCTCAGCCCTAAACCTTGTCAATTACTGATTTGTTTTCTGACCCTAAAGTGTTATGTGTTTTTAGACTGTCATGTAAGTGAAATAAGATAGTATTTATTTTTTGAGTCTGGTTTCTTTCACTTCGTGTGATGTATTGAGGACTCGTTTATGTTGGTGCATGTATCAATAGTTTGTTCCTTCTTGTTGCTGAGTAGTATTCTACCATATGGATGTACAACAGTTTATATATTCTCCTGCTGAAGGACTTTTGAGTTGTTTCTAGTTTGGGGCAATTATGAATAATACTCCTCTAAATATTCATGTGCAGATTTTTGTGTGGATATGTGTTTTCATTTTTCTTCGGAAAATACCTAAGAGCAAAATTGCTGGGTCATGTAATAATCATATATTTGATTTTCTTAGAAACTGCCAAACTGTTTTACAGGGTAGCTGTACCAGTTTGCATCTTCACTAGTGTTGAATGAGAGTTGCAGAAATTTCTCTGTCAGTACTTGATATAGCGAGGGTTTTATTATTTTAGTCATACTAATAGGGGTATAGTGAAATGTACTCTTTTCTTAAACCACAAGAACATCTTTTACATTATGAAATAGACTACTTAACATTGCAGTCTAGTATATTTACATTTGTATTAAATTACCAATATCTGAAGCAATCCCAAGGATCAAAGGACCATGAGTAGGCATTTGATTTACATCTGCTTGGCCAAAAAGACGTATGAGAGATCTATCCCCAAACAAAGATAGGACCCCACAATGATAAACTACACATCTTGAACTGTAGAAAGCGAACACATAGCTTTAAACTAGCTTCCCCGTCCTGGTAGAGCCCACTATCAAGAGTTCAAAAATAATGGAGACCTCTCAGATTACACTACTATACAACTAGGGAATACTTTAAAAAAAAAAACAAAAAACAAATCTTTGCTTTATAGAACAAGTCAAAATATAGAACTACCCACACCATTAGTACCATTGTATTTTCAAGAATTAGACCTGACTCTTCTTGGAATTGCTTTCTCTCCTACTACCTAGTGACTACATGGAACTCCTGGTCTTTGAAGTCGGCTGAGCCTCAGACTTGCAGTGTCTTAGCCATGCATTAGAATAGCTAATGTCTTCACTATGACTTTTGTCCTCATGGCATCTCAAAATCTTACTAACTTCCTCAGAACTAGAAATACCATTTGACCTAGCAATCCCATTACTGGGTATATACCCAAAGGATTATAAATCATGCTGCTATAAAGACACATGCACACGTATGTTTATTGCGGCACTATTCACAATAGCAAAGACTTGGAACCAACCCAAATGTCCAACAACGATAGACTGGATTAAGAAAATGTGGCACATATACACCATGGAATACCATGCAGCCATAAAAAATGATGAGTTCATGTCCTTTGTAGGGACATGGATGAAACTGGAAACCATCATTCTCAGCAAACTATCGCAAAGACAAAAAACCAAACACCGCATGTTCTCACTCACAGGTGGGAATTGAACAATGAGAACACATGGACACAGGAAGGGGAACATCACATACCAGGGCCTGTTGGGGGGTTGGGGGAGGTGGGAGGGATAGCATTAGGAGATCTACCTAATGTTAAATGACGAGTTAATGGGTGCAGCACACCAACATGGCACATGTATACATATGTAACTAACATGCACGTTGTGCACATGTACCCTAGAACTTAAAGTATAATAAAAAAAAATCTTACTGACTTCCTCAATTACTAGACTAGCCTGGTACTGTTGGTTTGTCCTATCTTGAAGCTGCTTAGAGCCTAGTGTGGCTGGGTTACATCTTAAGTGGGAGTTAAGGAACAACTACTTATAGTCAAAGTTACTCCTGAACTTTTAGAATAATGCCACGTTGGAGGCCACAGCATGCTGTCTCACAGCTGAATCCAGTTCTGCCAGTTTTTCCTCCAGCTTTGGAACGAGTGACTTTTTCTTCAGTTGAGCACCAGATGAAGGAATTGGCTTGTGTGTGTGTAGGGACCATCTGGTAAGAAAACAATCCTTGGCACCTGAGTACCACAATTCTATTAAGTGCATCTGATTCTCATGCTATGAGTGGCTCAGAGAAAGTGAGATAAACTGAGGGAACAGACTTATGTCTCCCGCTCGTACTCATCTTGGGCACCTACTCAGCATATTGAGGGGGATGGCAGGTGAAATTTCTGGCACCATCTTAAATGTTATTTTTCTGTCTTTCCTGCAACCCTTTTCCTATCTTCCCAAGGTATATAGTTGGATTTCTGCAAGAAAAATGTCATAAAATCTGTAAAGTTACTTTTCTGTAGTGGCAATGCAGTAGCTGGCTACTGTCTTCTTTTCCATTTCTTCGCAACGGGATGGAGAAATATTGATAGATTTTATGTACCCTCTTAATGTCTAATGGCAAACTTGGCCAACCTTACTCCTTCCCTGAACAGTGCCCCCACTGCAAGTAGCACAATTGGTGAGCCTGCACACAGAACAGCCATATTCAACGCTGTTCTTACATGAGTGAGAGACATTCTTTTCAGCTGCTTCTAGCCCAAAGCCACAGAGTGCCCCTCCTGAGGTCTATAAATGCTCAGGCAGATTACAGAGCTGGGCTCATTAAAATCTGGCCGTAGAGCAATGGTGGTGACAAAATATGATATGTTATTACTTTCATTTTCATTTTCTGAAATGACTGTGGCATTACTCATTGGAGGTGCATTAGACATTTTAGATACGTTTTTACCCAATCAAATTCATAGAAGTAAAAATACCAACAAAGTTTCCAAAATATGACAACACAAATTTTCAAGTCTGGTTTAATAATACAAAATAACTGCTACTTATTTGTAATAAACAACAGTGTGTAAAAATAAATAGAAACCAATAAATGTACTTAATAAACAAATTGTTTAAAAAGAAGTAGATAAGAATTGAAAATTTGCTAGTGCAGAGCCTTACATAGTAGGAATTCATTAACTATTAATTGCCCTTGTTTTCTTTCATTTTTAACCCTTTGTATTTAGAAGATAGGTTTGTTAATGACCTAGTCATGGCAAAAAGAATAAAAAATGCTTAATAAGAAAAGTTATTCCTTGGACCCCCCTTTTTCTGGTTTGTTTTGGAAAGGCAATGTGGCACAACAGAAATAATATTTATGAGGCAAACCTATATTTAAATCCCAGCTAGTTGTGTGACCTTGAGCAAACTATTTAATTTCCTGAGCATCAGTTTCTTATTTTCAGAAGAAGATAATGTTCCAAATATCCAGGGCAGGGGATAATAACACTGCCTTGTGGAATCATTTTAACAGTTTAGGATGAAGCCATTAAACATTCAATGTATTGAATTTCTTTTGATTCCAAGAAACCTTCTAACTATGTATAGTTTTCTTGATAGGTATCTCCAGATTTTGTGGTGACCAAATGGGCTTCTAGATCTTATCAGTCATTTCCTAGTGTAAACCAGTGATTCTCATTTACCTAACCATGTTGCTTTACTAAACATAGAAAAAGAACGAACCATTTATCCAGAAGGCATGCTGTCTACTGGTGCAATGAGGTCTCGTCTTAAATTAATATACCTCATTTCATAACTGTAATTAAAGTGAGTTTCACTGCTTCTCCCAGAGACAGACCTGCTCTTTATGTAAAGGTGAAATTAAGCTTTTGAGCCTGCAAGGTGAAGGACTAGCAGCTGAAGGTTATACATTTAGCGAGGTAAGGAATGTCACCCAGGGAGACTTCTTTCTAGACTATTCTACTTCTGCATACCCAATTAAAGTTTACGTTTAATCATTATTACAGTAATGACTGGACATAATTTAAAAATAAAAAGTATTTGACTTAAGTATTTGACTTATAATGGAAAACTCTCAATTCCTGTTACTTGCAGGCAACTGCTTTGAATTCTTTAAGCTATTTCTTCTGATATTTACCCCCATATTTCTAAATTGCATGCCTCTGGTATTGATTTCTTGATTTTTAAAGTTTTAGATATTCTCTACTTATCTCTTCGGATGAAAGAGGAGGATGTTGCTAGCTTACACACACTGATACACATCCACGCAGCTAGCACACACACACATGCATGCGCACACACATACAGCTCTTCCATATAGTTATATCATATTTTTAGAACAATTGAATCATTATAGTGTTATGAAAACATTGTTCATAGCTGAGACATTATTAGTGAGTATTATAGTTGTGCACATGAGCATTTTCTTGCACAATTTTTGCTTTTTCTAGAATGTATATTGATGAAGGGACCTGCTACCCCATAACATCACTCTGTATAGTAGACAGTTAAAGAGTTTTTGTTGTCTACAATGCTTTCAAATGCCCATTTTGAAATTTAGCTCAGCACCTACAAGGCCTGCATTCCAAGCTCTCGCTTCTAGAGATCCTATGGACTACAATTCTTGGAAGAGACCTCAGCTTGTATCCAAGCATAAAAGAAAAGCAAACTTTGATATGCCTAGGAGCTGTGATTCCATCGTCCCTGGCCTCTGGCTGGTGAGCCAGCCCTTCCTCTCTTTCTGCAGAGCTTTTCTTACTGACAAAGGTTTGTTGCTAAATTCTGAGTTTGTAGTCTTAGTTTCCTTAACAGGTGTCGCTCTTCATCTTTATGTTTTCCCAACCTCCTCTGAAATTTTAAACATACTGCAGTTTTGTCATCTGCATGTTCTTCTTGGAGATGGGCCTCCTTAAGACTTTGTCCTGCTGTAATGGGGATGAGCTGCTCCAGAGCTGGCAACGCACCTACCGCCCCAAGACTACGCCTCTTCCCCATCCACGGGAGGCTCTCCATCTCCCTCCTCTTTGGGGCTCTCTGTTCTTTGTATCTTTATCTTATCTGATTTACTCCTCAATTTTAAAGAAGTACATCCTTCAGTAGTTTCCTGGGAAAGAGTTTGTGGTAAGTACATTTAATTTTTTTTTGACTGAAAACATCTTTATTTTCACAGTTGCTAATTTTGCTGAGTACATATTCTAGGATAAAAATTACCTTTTCAAATGCATTCTTCCAGATTTCAGTGTTGCAATTGGGAAGTTTGGTGCTATAATGATTCTTTTTATACATTAATAACTTTATTGAGTGATAATTTTATACTGATTGTTGATCCACTGTAAAAAATATATATATTTTTACATTCTGAAGACATTTATTTGTTTATTTTAATTTCATTTTATTTTACTTTAAGTTCTGGGATACATGTGCAGAATGTGCAGGTTTGTTACATAGGTATGCATGTGCCATGGTGATTTGCTGCAACTATCAACCCGTCATCTAGGTTTTAAGCCCCACATGCATTAGGTATTTGTCCTAATGCTCTCCCTCCCCTTGCCGCCCACCTCCGACAGGCCCCGGTGCCTGACGTTCCCCTCCCCATGTTTAAGGTCTATCCTCAGTCTCTGTTATTCATGAATTTTATATGTTGTGGCTTGAGGTGAGATTTATCAATGGGTCTCTTTAAAGGTAAAAATGTATGCCTTTTAGTTCTAGAAAATATTTATATTTTATCCTATGATAATCTCTTCTGTTTTCTGTGCTCTCTATATCAGCAACTATTATTATTTAGATGCTAGGCTTTCTGGATTGGCTAAATAAATAAATTTTTCCCTCGATTGCAGTATCTCCATATTTTATTCCTATTCTTTATTTTACTTTTCAATGCTTCTGTTGAAATGTTTATTTCTGGCCTGGCATGGTGGCTTACACCTGTAATCCCAGCAATTTGGGAGGCCAAGGCTGGTGGATTGCTTGAGCTCAGGAGTTCGAGACCAGCCTGGGCAGCAAGGTGAAACCCTATCTTTACAAAAATTACAAAAAACTAGCCAGGCATGGTGGTGCGCGACTGTAGTCCCAGCTACTCAGGAGGCTGAGGTGGGAGGATTGCTTGAGCCTGGGAGGTGGAGGTTGCAGTGAGCCATGATCACACCACTCCACTCCTACCTTGGTGACAGAGTGAGACTGTCTCAAAAAAAAAAAAAAGAAAGAATGAAAAAAAAGAAAACAAAAAGAAGTGCTTATTTCTATATCATACTGTTAATTTTCAAGAGTATTTGTTTTTGTTTGTTGGTTTTTTCAAAGTAGTATAGCATCCTTTTTTTTGTTTTATGGATCCTGTATCTTTTAATTTTAAATTTAATTTTTAATCTTTTCACAAGTTATTAGGGTACAGATGGTATTTGGCTACGTGAGTAAGTTATTTAGTGGTGATTTGTGAGATTTTGGTGCACCCATTTCCCAAGCAGTATACACTGCACCATATTTGTAGCCTTCTATCCCTTGCCCCCCTCCCACTATTCCCCCACGTCCCCAAAGTCCATTGCATCATTCTTATGCCTTTGCATCCTCATAGCTTAGCTTCCACGTATCAGTGACAACATACAACATTTGGTTTTCCATTCCTGAGTTACTTTACTTAGAATAGTAGTCTCTAGTCTCATCCAGGTCACTGCAAATGCTGTTAATTCATTCCCTTTTATGGCTGCATAGTATTCCATTATATATGTATAATGGAATATATATATATATACACACACACACCCACACACTCACACACCATTGGGTTGGTTCCATGATTTTGCAATTGTAAATTGTGCTGCTGTAAACATGCGTGAGCAAGTATCTTTTTCGAATAATGACTTCTTTTCCTCTGGGTAGATATCCAGGAGTGGGATTGCTAGATCAAATGGTAGTTCTACTTTTAGTTCTTTAAGGCATCTCCACACTGTTTTCCATGGTGGCTGTACTAGTTTACATTCCCACCAGCAGTGTAGAAGTGCTCCCTGATCACTGCATCCGTGCCAACATCTATTCTGTTTTGATTTTTTGATTATGGCCATTCTTGCAGGAGTGAAGCAGTATCGCATTGTGATTTTGATTTGCATTTCCCTGATCATTAGTGACGCCGAGCATTTTTTCATATGTTTGTTGGCCATTTGTATATCTTCTTTTGAGAATTGTCTGTTCACGTCCTTAGCCCACTTTTTGATGGGATTGTTTGTTTTTTTCTTAATGATTTATTTCAGTTCGTTGTAGATTCTGGATATTAGTCTTTTGTCAGATGTATAGATTGTGAAGATTTTCTCCTACTCTGTGAGTTGTCTGTTTACTCTGCTGACTGTTCCTTGTGCTGTGCAAAAGCTCTTTAGTTTAATTAGGTGCCAGCTATTTATCTTTGTTTTTATTGTATTTGCTTTTCGGTTTTTGGTCATGAGATCTTTGCCTAAGCCAATGTCCAGAAGGGTTTTTCCAATGTTATCTTCTAGAATTTTTATAGTTTCAGGTCTTAGGTTTAAGTCCTTAATCCGTCTCAAGTTGACTTTTATATAAGGTGAGAGATGAGGATCCAGTTTCATTCTCCTACATGTGGCTAGCCAATTATCCCAGCACCATTTGTTGAAAAGGGTGTCCTGTCCCCAACTTTATGGTTTGGTTTGCTTTGTCGAAGATCAGTTGGCTCTAAGTATTTGAGTTTATTTCTGGGTTCTCTATTCTGTTCCATTGGTCTATGCACCTATTTTTATGCCAGTACCATGCTGTTTTGGTGACCATGGCCTTATAGTAGAGTTTGAAATCAGGTAGTGTGATGCCTCCAGATTTGTTCTTTTTGTTTAGTTTTGCTTTGGCTATGCGGACTCTTTTTTGGTTCCATATGAATTTTAGAATTGGTTTTTCTATCTCTTTGAGGAATGATGGTGGTATTTTGATGGGGATTGTGTTGAATTTGTAGATTGCTTTTGGCAGTATGGTCATTTTCACAATATTGATTCTACCCATCCATGAGCATGGAATGTGTTTCCATTTGTTTGTGTTTTCTGTGATTTCTTTCAGCAGTGTTTCATAGTTTTCCTTGCAGAGGGCTTTTGACTTCTTTGTTAGGTATATTCCCAAGTTTTTGTTTGTTTGTTTGTTTGTTTTGTTTGTTTGTTTTTTGCAGCTATTGTAAAAGAGGTTGAGTTCTTGATTTGATTCTCCGTTTCGTCACTGTTGGTATAGAGAAGAGCTACTGATTTGTGTTCATTAATCTTTTATCTGGAAATTTGCTGAATTCTTTTATCAATTCTAGGAGCTTTCTGGAGGAGTCCTTAGGGTTTTCAAGGTAAACAATGATATCATCAGCAAACAGTGGCAGTTTGAATTCCTCTGTACTGATTTGGATGGTGTTTATTTCTTACTCTTGTCTAATTGCTCTGGCTAGGACTTCCAGTCCTATGTTGAAGAAGAGTGGTGAGAGTGGGCATCCTTGTCTTGTTCCAGTTCTCAGAGGGAATGCTTTCAACTTTTCCCCATTCAGTATTATGTTGGCTGTGGGTTTGTCATAAATGGCTTTTATTACATTAAGATGTGTCCCTTGTATGCTGATTTTGCTGAGAGTTTTAATCATAAAGGAATGCTGGATTTTGTCGAATGCTTTTTCTGCATCTATTGAGCTGATCATATGATTTTTGTTTTTAATTCTGTTTATGTGGTGTAGCACATTTATTGACTTGCATACGTTAAACCATCCCTTCATCTCTGGTATGAAACCCACTTGGTGCATTCATCAAGGATATTGGTCTGTAGTTTTCTCTTTTGGTCATGTCCTTTCCTGGTTTTGGTATTAGGGTGATTCTAGCTTCATAGAATGAATTTGGGAGGGTTCCTTCTTTCTCTGTCTTGTGGAATAGTGTCAAAGGATTGGTATCAATTCTTTGAATGTCTGGTAGAATTCTTCTGTGAATCTGTCTGGTCCTTGACCTTTTTTCTGTTGGTAATTTTTAAATTGCCATTTCAATCTTGCTGCTTTTATTGGTCTGTTCAGGGTATCTAATTCTTCCTGATTTAAGCTACGAGGGTTGTACTTTTCTAGGAATTTATCCATCTCTTCTAGATTTTCTAGTTTATGTGTGTAAATGTGTTCACAGTAGCCTTGAATGATCTTGTGTATTTCAGTGATGTCAGTTGTAATATCTCCTGTTTTGTTTCATAGTGAGGTTATTTGGATTTTCTCTCTTCTTTTCTTGGTTAATCTTTGCCAGTGGTCTATCAATTTTATTTATCTTTTCAAAAAACTAGCTTTTGTTTCATTTATCTTCTGTATTTTTTTGTTTCAATTTCATTTAGTTTTGCTATGATCTTGGTTATTTCCTTTTGTCTGCTGGGTTTGGGTTTGGTTTGTTCTTGTTTCTATAGTTCCATGAGGTATCATCTTAGATTGTCTGTTTGTGTTCTTTCAGTTTTTTTTGATGTAGGCATTTAGGGCTATGACATTTCCTCTTAGCACCACCTTAGCTATATCCCAGAGGTTTTGATAGGTTGTGTGATTGTGTCATTGTTGTTGAGTTCAAAGAATTTTTAGATTTCCATATTGATTTTGTTTTTGACCCAATGCTCATTCAGGAGCAGGTTATTTAATTTCCATGTATTTGCATGGTTTTAAAGGTTCCTTTTGGAATTGATTTCCAGTTTTATTCCACTGTGGTCTGAGAGAGTGCTTGATATAATTTCAATTTTCTTAAATTTATTGAAGCTTGTTTTATGGCCTATCGTATGGTCTATCTTGGAGAAAGTTCCATGCACTGTTTAATAGAATGTGTATTTTGTCCTCTGCCTCTGCCTCTGCCTCTGGCCTCTGGCCTCTGGCCTCTGCCTCTGCCTCTGCCTCTGCCCTTTCCACAGTCTCCATCTCCCTCATCTCCCCTTTCCACGGTCTCCCTCTGATGCCGAGCCGAGGCTGGACTGTACTGCCGCCATCTCGGCTCACTGCAACCTCCCTGCCTGATTCTCCTGCCTCAGCCTGCCGAGTGCCTGGGATTGCAGGCGCGCGCTGCCACGCCTGACTGGTTTTCGTATTTTTTTGGTGGAGACGGGGTTTCTCCGTGTTGGCCCGCCGTGTTGGCCGGGCTGGTCTCCAGCTCCTGACAGCGAGTGATCTGCCAGCCTCGGCCTCCCGAGGTGCTGGGATTGCAGACGGAGTCTCGCTCACTCAGTGCTCAATGTTGCCCAGGCTGGAGTGCAGTGGCATGATCTCAACTCGCTACAACCTCCACCTCCCAGCCGCCTGCCTTGGCCTCCCAAAGTGCTGAGATTGCAGCCTCTGCCCGGCTGCCACCCCATCTGGGAAGTGAGGAGCGTCTCTGCCTGGCCACCCATTGTCTGGGATGTGAGGAGCCCCTCTGCCCGGCCGCCCAGTCTGGGAAGTGAGGAGCGCTTCTTCCCGGCCACCATCCCATCTAGGAAGTGAGGAGCGTCTCTGCCCGGCCACCCATCGTCTGAGATGTGGGGAGCGCCTCTGCCCCGCTGCCCCATCTGGGATGTGAGGAGCGCCTCTGCCCGGACAGTGCCCCGTCTGGGAACTGAGGAGCGTCTCTGCCCAACCGCCACCCCGTCTGGGAGGTGAGGAGTGTCTCTGCCCGGCTGCCCCGTCTGAGAAGTGAGGAGCCCCTCTGCCCGGCAGCCACCCCCTCTGGGAAGCGAGGAGCCCCTCCGCCCGGCAGCCACCCCGTCTGGGAAGTGAGGAGCGTTTCCGCCCGGCAGCCACCCCGTCTGGGAAGTGAGGAGCGTTTCCGCCCGGCAGCCGCCCCGTCCGGGAGGGAGGTGGGGGGCAGCCCCCGCCCAGCAGCTGCCCCGTCCGGGAGGTGGGGGGGCGCCTCTGCCTGGCCACCCTGTCTGGGAAGTGAGGAGCCCCTCTGCCCAGCCGCCACCCCATCTGGGAGGTGTACCCAACAGCTCATTGAGAATGGGCCATGATGATGATGCTGGTTTTGTCGAATAGAAAAGGGGGAAATGTGGGGAAAAGAAAGAGATCGGATTTTTACTGTGTCTGTGTGGAAAGAAGTAGACGTGGGAGACTCCATTTTGTTCTGTACTAAGAAAAATTCTTCTGCCTTGGGATCCTGTTAATCTATAACCTTACCCCCAACCCCGTGCTCTCTGAAACATGTGCTGTGTCCACTCAGGGTTAAATGGATTAAGGGCGGTGCAAGATGTGCTTTGTTAAACAGATGCTTGAAGGCAGCATGCTCGTTAAGAGTCATCACCACTCCCTAATCTCAAGTACCCAGGGACACAAACACTGTGGAAGGCCGCAGCGTCCTCTGCCTAGGAAAACCAGAGACCCTTGTTCACTTGTTTATCTGCTGACCTTCCCTCCACTATTGTCCTATGACCCTGCCAAATCCCCCTCTCCGAGAAACACCCAAGAATGATCAATAAATACTATAAAAAAATAAATAAATAAATAAAAGAATGTGTATTTTGTGGTTCTTGGATAAAATGTTCTGTATATATCTGTTAAGTCCATTTGTCTTTGTTGGGTTGGGTTAATTCTAAGACCTTGTCTTAGATCTCTGAATTTCTTTCTTCTAGTTGTTCAATTTTACTGCTGAGACTTTTCAGAGCATTTTGCATTTCTAAAAGTTTATCCAAAGTTTCCCGAGTTTTTTTTTATTGTTTTTTCTTTAAGCTATCTATTTCCTTGAATATTTCTCTCTTCACTTCCTGTATCATGTTTTGGATTTCTTTGCATTGGGCTTCACCATTCTCTCTTCCCTCCCTGATTAACTTAACAACTAATCTCCTGGATTCTTTTTCAGGTAAATCAGGGATTTCTTCTTTTGGATCCATTGCTGGTGAAGTTGTGTGATTTTTTTGGGGGGTGTTGAAGAGCCTTGTTTTTTCATATTACCAGGGTTGGTTTTCTGTTTCCTTCTCATTTGGGTAGGCTCTGTCAGAGGGAAGGTCTATGTCTGAAGGCTGTTGTTCAGATTTTTTTGTCCCACGGGGTGTTCCCTTGATGCAGTACTCTCCCCTTTTCCCAGTGGATGTGGCTTCCTGTGAGCCAAGAGTAGTGATTGTTGTCTCTCTTCTGGGTCTAGCAACCCAGCGAGTCTACCCGGCTCTGGGATGGTACTGGGGGTTGTCTGCACAGAGTTCTGTGATATGAACCATCTGTGAGTTTCTCAGCCGTGGATACCAGTGCCTGTTCTGGTGAAGGTGGTGGAGGGTGCAGTGGACTGCATGAGGGTCCTTAGCTTTGGTGGTTTAATGCACTATTTTTGTGCTGGTTGGCCTCCTGCCAGGAGGTGGCACTTTCCCGAAAGCATCAGCTATAGTAGTGTGGAGAGGGAGTGGCGGTGGATGGGGCCCTAGAACCCCCAATATTAAATGCCCTCTGTGTTTGGCTACTAGGGTGAATTTTGAAGAACCATTAGATAAGCCTGGTGCTAGGGGCGGGTTTTGCTGCAGCTACTGTGGGGAATGGGGGTGAGATTCCCAGGTCACTGGAGTTGTGTACCTAGGAGGATTATGGCTACCGCTGCTGAGTCATGTAGATTGTCAAGGAAGTGGGGAAAGCTGGCAGTTACAGGCCTCACCCAGCTCCCATGCAAATTGAAGGGCCAGTCTCACTCCCACCGTACCTCCCCCAACAGCCCAGAGTCTGTTTCCAGGTGGAGGGCAAGATGGGCTTGAAAACATGCCTGAGGCTTTCCGCCTCCTTATCTGCGAAAGAAAAGGGCTTTAGTTCTTTCCCCTGCCTGTGAAGTCTGCACACCTGTGCAGTTCTGGCCAGGAGGCTTCTGTTCTGCCTGTGAGTTCTAGCCAGGAGGCTTCTCGCCCCGTTCACATTGTTACAAAGTTAAGCTAAAGAAGTCCTTCTCCCCGTGGAGTTTTACCCCCTGCTCCTCTGGCCACCCTCCCGATGGATCCTTGTGGTGTCAGGCAGGAATGGGCTGCTAAGGGACCCAGCGAGTTCCCAGGGCCTTTCTGCTGCTTCCTCTACTCTTGTATTTCACTCAGCTTGGCTGTCTAACTTGACTCAGCCCCAGGTACAGTCAGAAACTTCTCCTGCAATCAGACCTTCAGCTTCTCCAGTGGGGGTGTGTGTTCAGGAGAGGAGGGTCTCCCTTTCCCACTTCCGCAGTTGGGGCACTCATGATATTTGAGGTGTCTTCTGGACCCTGCAGGAGCTGTCTGCTTCCTTCAGAGTTTCTGTGGGTCCTCTCAGGATTGCTGGTCTGTTTTTGCAGTCAATCTGGAGCTAAAATTCACAGTGCAAGCCTCCGCTCGCTGCTCTGTCTGGAGCTGCAATTCTAGTCCTGCCTCCCGTCTGCCATGATCCCTCAGTAATCTGTAATTTTTTTAGATGGTTGCAGTATCTGCTCTTACATTTTAAGTAAAATCATGTAAGCATTTTAAAGTTTCCATTTGTTTTCTCTCATCATTGTTTTCTCTGTTCTGTTTGTTCAGTTTCCATCTTTGAGTTTAAACTTCCCTTAGTCGCCTGGTGGTCTCTGGCTGTTCATTTTTAAATAAGATATTATTGAGAGCTCTGTTTCTAGGCACAGTTTGCCAATTTGTGGACCTTGCCACAGAGTGATTGGATGGAGCGTCTGGCTATCTCACTGGGATGCTCCCCAAATAAGATTTGAAGTATTTTCTTTTGGTTAAATCAATTTTCTCAAAAGTAAAGTCTACAATCTCCTACCTAATGATATGTACTTTGCTGTAAGCATTTTGGGAGTCCAGCAGGAAAAAGTTGTTGGTGAAGGGAGTGGGAGTGGAAGGAACAGCCAATTTTATCAGCCCCCAAAAGTTAAGTGCTCTTTGGAGAATAAGCCAGATCTTACTCATTGTAGCATTTCTCATGGGAATGAGCTAGACAGCTTGCATATTGTGACATAAAGATGTTGGCAGTTTGGCTGGGATATTTGTCACACTATTATTTGTCAGGGTTGATTTAAGTGATTGTTTCATGCTTCATGGGTGTCCCTTTAGAAACTGTGAAAGGGGATAAAAAGCTTCAACAATAGAGAGGCCTACTCTGTTTTTTGTTTTGTTTTATTTTTTTTTATTTTTTTTAATTTTTTTTTGAGACGGAGTCTTGCCCTGTCGCCCAGGCTGGAGTGCAGTGGCATGATCTCGGCTCACTGCAAGCTCCGCCTCCCAGGTTCACACCATTCTCCTGCCTCAGCCTCCCAAGTAGCTGGGATTACAGGCGCCTGCCACCACACCCGGCTAATTTTTTTTGTATTTTTAGTAGAGACAGGGTTTCACGTGTTAGCCAGGATGCTCTCCATCTCCTGACCTTGTGATCTGCCTGCCTTGGCCTCCCAAAGTGCTGGGATTACAGGCGTGAGCCGCTGAGCCTGACCTTGTTTTATTTTTTGAGACAGGGTCTTGCTTGTTGCCCAGACTGGAGTGCAATGGCACAATCTCAGTTCACTGCAACCTCTGCCTCCCGGGTTCAAGCAATTCTCCTGCCTCAGCCTCCCAAGTAGCTGTGATTACAGGCGTGTGCCACCACACCTGGCTAAGTTTTGTATTTTAGTAAAGACTGGGTTTTACCATGTTGGCCAGGCTAGAAAGGCCTACTCTTTCATCACAGTGACTACATTGCTGAGCCTCCAGCTACGAGACAGAAGATACAAGATAGGACTTAACATATGTGTAAGGCACTTAAAGTAGTTCTTGGCACAGGAACTATTATTAGATACACAATTATCCATTATTTTACATCAATTTATTAAGTAAATACCGCTTTTTTACCTACAGTTTTGCTAAAACGGTCCTTACTTCAAATAAAATCCTACTCTCAACTAGCTTATATCCTAGAAAAGACACTTGAAAAATTGATAAACAATTGAGAAAAAAAGACAGATGAAACAAGATGAAATCCATGTTATTGAAGAGAGTAACAGAGATCCAAAGAAGTCACCTTCTTCTAGGGCAGAAAGAATCTTTTCTGCGCTCAAAGAGAATTCAGGGCTCCTTCATCTTGAGTGTCTGGGGCTTTAACCAGTATACATCGGATTTGGTTTTTATTCTACTCCAGAAATCTTCTGTGAAGCCCTTTAATTCACAGAACCCAAATATTTCCCCTGAGAGGTGATGTCACTCAAATGTTTGCTTCCTCTTTAATATATTTGTATTTCTAAAGATGTACTAATGTTTATGGACAGGCTTTATTTTCATAGAAACAGGAATCATATGCCATCCCATATACTTCCGATAAGTATTTCAGCTGTTTTCTGTTGTCCTTAAAGAAACAGGATACCCAGAGGACAGTAGGAAGCTAAAATGATCAGTATTATCCCACAAGAGAATTAAAGAGTGTAGAAAAAGGCATTATCACATGATATCAAATGGCAGAAAACTAGGTTAAACCTTTTAGCAGGCTGGGCTGTTGTCCTTTGAGGGACAACTCGGAGACCTACTGATGCATTTCAACAATGACTGCGATCATCACTGCATTTCTATTCCTTGCTGTGATGAGAGAAGCTTGTATTCTCAGTAGAGGTCCCAGGCTTGGAAATAAGTTGGTTTTCTTAAAATAGCTTATTGAAAGGAAGCTCTTGCAAAAGCGATCAGCGTCATTACCAATAAACTGTTTTGTTTATCTTTAATGTGAACGAATGTCATCCAGAAATGGAGCTTCTTCCTGCCTAGTGTCACTGACCACCATTGGCTGCAATGGAAAATATTGATTTAAGGAAATACTGTTTATTCAACAAAAATTTACTGAGTCGAGCACTGTGTAGGCCCTAGAGATACACTGTGATGCCAATACGTGAAGGATTTTAATATTTACAATCTAATGAGGGAGACAAAGAGCAATGAAATAATCACACACAAAAAATGTAAATGCCAACTCTATAAGGGCTACCAAAGAGAAAAGCACAGTGCTGTGGATGTTAGGTTAGACATTTGTAAGAAAATGACTGCCAGAGAGAGTGAGTGGGTATGAAACTCAGAGAGGGCAGGAGGGAAGTGTGTGCAAGACCGTGACCCTGGGAAGGGAAAGAGTGGGATGAAGAGACAGTGAAAGAAAACAGGTAGGGAGAGTTTTGGAGGATGGTGGACTCTAAGTATTAGACCATAGACAGTCTTGTGGACCATTAAGCAGTTCCGTCGTTGTCCTAAACACAAAGGGAAGCCATTCAAGGGCTTTAAGAAAGGGAGTGACATCTTTAGACCTGTGCTTTGAAAAGATCATTTTGGCTGCAATTTGGAGAATAACTTGGAAAGGCAAGAGTGGATGCGTAGTTGTGTGTAGATCATGTATCACTGGTCAAGCCTTATTGAGAACTGTTACATGAAAGCAGCACTTAATTTATAAGAGAATAAAACTAATGGATGTCAAAAAATTCAATCTGATATTCTCCTAGATTAGTGGCTGCTGAAAACTTTCAGGACAAATGACTTAAAAAATCTCTCAGAAGAGAAAATCTACTATATTTCTTGGGAACAGATACTGACATTTGACTATTACAGGGGAACCCATTCAGTGCTTTAAAATGCCATACCTTTTATTGGATAACTTTCACAACAATATTGAGAAGCAATTTGGGAGCATAATTTCAATTTTACAGATGCGGAGTTTAAGAACCTAGGTACAGAGAGACCTAGTGACTTGTCCTGGGTCATGAAAAAATTGAATAGCAGTGCTAACTGTTGACTTTCTTCTCAAGCTTTCAATTCCTTGAGTTGTCTAGATGACTTGGCATTCACCAGAAATGTCTCAGAGCACTTAAAGTTAGACCACAATTAAGCATAATATTGTAGACTTGGCACACATCTCCCTAAGGTTATTCTAAGCATGAAACTGCACCCTTGACCTCAATTTTTACACTTTACATACACGTTTTGTTCACTTTTTCACTTAATTTCATCAATCCCTTCATGTTACTTATTTGTCCTTTAGGTTTATACACAGTAGTTTTATGAACTTATAAGGATGCCACTAAGTTCTCAACTCTACCCCATATAGATTTGCCAAAGGCTGTGTGTTTACTGCAATGAACGTGAGGGAGTTTTGAGAGTTGATGCATGTTAGCCCCATAGAAAATGATGTATATGAACTGTGGCCTTCTAATAAAATCTTTCTCCATTCTTTTTAAGGTGATAAAAGGTAAAATCTATAAATTGTTTCAGAAATTAAATTAATGGTAACAGTAATGTTCTTCCCTAAATGACGATTTTAATTAACGTCTCTTGTTTAACCTGTATTTGTAATATTGACTGCCTATTATCTAGAGTTTCCAAGAAGCTTTAAAAGTGTACTATCTTCTAAAATTCCTGGAGAATGACAATGAATGACTTTCCCACCTTTTTTTTCCCCCGACTACAGGCAGACTTCTGGCCTAGAATCAAAACTCAGAATTTTTATTAGTTTTTTTTTTAATTGCATTAGAGAAAGTAGTTTGAATGGTTTGATTATTCACAGCAATAGGGCATTAGCAGAAAAGAAAATATTTCATATCATAAAGATGTTATAATAGATATTGAAATTCATCTTTGAAATGCTGACAAAGCATTTAACCTTCCATCTTAGTCATTCAACTGTAACTATCTGGGTAAATTCAGGCAAAAGCCTTTCATGTGTTTTTAACTAAAACATCCTACTAATGGGGAGAAGTCTCGGGCTTGATTGAAATTATACATATATATTTCTACTTAAACCTTTATATTCTATTAGGCCAGTATATTCTTTTTGGCAAAGATTTCTAATTTTACCATTATTTAGTCAAAGTATTTGGAACTCTTTGGATCCAGTAATCAAGTAAATAAAAGTCTGGAAGATTAACTTAGTGGGTAAAATTGTGGGAAAAAGTTTAAGGAGGAGCAGGATTTTTGCATAGTCTCAAAGTGTCCTACTGAAAATAGTCATTCTACAGTGAAGAAACTTGGCATGCATTACTTCAACCAAGGCTCATAACTAACATTTGGCAAATGATATAATGGTGATGTTAACAGTGTGTCCTAGAGAAAAATTTCGTGTTCTTTGATCATGTATCCTCACGATGAAATAAAAGCCTGGTAAAATGTAAGCTCCATAATGTTTATCATCAGGGGCATAAACTTTTTTTTTTTTTTCTTTGGAGACAGAGTCTCACTCTGTCGCCCAGGCTGGAGTGCAGTGGTATGATCTCAGCTCACTGCAACTTCCGCCTCCTGGGTTCAAGTGATTCTAGCCTCCAGAGTAGCTGGGATTACAGGTGCCCGCCATCACACCCGGCTAATTTTTTTGTATATTTAGTAGAGATGGGGTTTTGCCATGTTGGCTGGGCTGGTCTTGAACTCCTGACCCCAGGTGATCCGCCCACCTCGGCCTCCCAAAGTGCTGGGGTGACAGGCGTGAGCCACCGCACCCGGCCTATCAGGGGCATAATCTTAATCTGACATAGTTACTTGTTATGCCTTGAGCACTTAGTAAATGTTCAGTGATAAGAAATTACTTACTCATTTGAAAAGCAAACATTTATTAAACATTTATAGAAAATCTAGTATGGAATACACACATATACACACACACACATTTCACACATTTAAGAAAGTACTTTTTTTTTTTTTTTTTTGAGACAGAGTTCCGCTCTTGTTGCCCAGACTGGAGTGCAATCGCACTATCTCGGCTCACTGCAACCTCCACCTTCTGGGTTCAAGCGATTCTCCTGCCCCAGGTTCCTGAGTAGCTGGGATTACAGGCACCCGCCACCACACCCAGCTAATTTTTGTATGTTTAGTAGAGACAGGGTTTCCCCATGTTGGCTAGGCTGGTCTCGAACTCCTGACCTCAGGTGCTCTGCCTGCCTCGGCCTCCCAAAGTGCTGGGATTATGGGCGTAAGCCACCGCACCCGGCCAAGAAACAACTCTTTAAAGAATTCTGTTACATGATTGAGACTACACTGGGTTTCAGAATTTTGACTTAAATATTCACACTGGATTCTACTAGTTTAGCTATCTCTAACTCTGGATTTATAAAACCAACATAAATTAGTTAAACATAATTGAAGTTAACCCAAAGAATAAAATAAATATCAATGAGTCCATATTGATATAGATAAGTAACTGAATAAATAGAGAAATGGTAGACAAGAGTTAACATGTATTTACAGAAGAGTTCCAATTAGTAACTGTAGAAGGAAGGTGGTAATATAAATTCACTATTATAAGACTACAGTGCAGACAAAGGAGCAAAGACAATACATTGGGGAAATATCACCTTTTCAACAAATAGTGCTAGAACACTGGATATCCATCCAAAAAAAAAAAAAAAAAAAGAATCTAGACATAGACCTCACACTTTTCACAAAAATTAACTCAAAATGGATCAGAGACCTAAAACGTGAAGGGCAAAATTATAAATGTCCTAAAAGGTAAGATCAAAGTAAATCTAGATGACCTTGGGCTTGGCAATGGCCTTTTAGATAAGACACCAAAGGCACAATCCATGAAAGAAAGAATTGATAATCTGGACTTCATTAAAATTAAAAATTCTGCTCTGCAAAAAAGATTGTCGAGAGAAGCCACATATTGGGAGAAACTATATCTCTGATAAAGGTCTGTTATCAGAATTATACAAAGAACTCTTAAAACTCAACAGTAAGAAAATAAACAACTAATTAAAAAATGGGCCAAATGGCTAGGCACGGTGGCTCATGCCTGTAATCCCAGCACTTTGGGAGGCCGAGGCGGGAGGATCACGAGGTCAGGAGATTGAGACCATCCTGACTAACATGGTGAAACCCTGTCTCTACTAAAAATACAAAAAAAAAAAAAAAAAAAAATTAGCTGGGCGTGGTGGCGGGCGCCTGTAGTCTCAGCTACTCGGGAGGCTGAGGCAGGAGAATGGCGTGAACCCGGGAGGTGGAGCTTGCAGTGAGCCGAGATCGCACCACTGCACTCCAGCCTGGGCAACAAAGTGAGACTCCATCTCCCAAAAAAAAAAAAAAAGTGCCAAAGACCTTAACAGACACTTCACCAAAGAAGATATAGATAGCAAGTAAGTGTATGAAAAGATATTCCACATGATATCATATGTCATCAGGAGGGGAATGCAAATTAAACAAAATGAGATAGCACTGTACACTTAATAGAACATCCGAAATCCAAAACACTGGCAACACCAAAAACTGGCAAGAATGTGGAGCAACAGAAACTGTCATCCATTGCTGGTAGAAATGCAAAATAGAACAGCCACTTTGGAAGACAGTTTGGCAATTTCTTACAGAACTAAACACATTCTTACCATATGATCCAGCAATTATGCTTCTCGGTATTTACTCAAAGGAGTTTAAAGCTATGTCTACACAAAACCTGCCCACAGATGTTTATAGCAACTTGATTTATAATTGTGAAACCTTGGAAGCAAACAAGATGTCTTTCAATAGGTGAATAAATAAACTCTGGTCCTTCTAGACAATGGAATATTATTTAGTGCTATAAAGAAATGAGCTCTCAAGCCATGAACAGATGACAAGGAAATGTAAGTATAGATTACTAAGAGAAAGAGGCCAATCTGAGAAGGCTACATACTGTATGATTTCAACAATATGACTTTCTGTAAAAGGCAAAACTATGGAGACAGTAAAAACATCAGTGGTTGTCAGGGGCTTGGGAGGAGGGAGGGATGAATAGGCAGAGCACACAGGATATTTAGGGCAATAAAACTACTCTGTATGGTATTATAATGGTAGATTCATACCTTGATACATTTGTCCAAGTCCACAGAATGCACAGCTCCAAGAAGGAACCCTAATATAAACTGTTGATTTGGGTATTAATGATATGTCAGTATAGGTTCATCAATTTTTAAAAATGTGCTCCTCTGTGGGTGAATATGCGTGTGTGGGAGTGGTGGATGGATGAGAGGTCTCTGTATCTTACTCTCAATTTTGCTGTGAAGCTAAAACTGCTTTTAAAAAATACAGTCTTAAAAAATTACCTGCTACCCATCATGTAGGAAGACAAAAAAGAAAAAGTATTTATCTTGACATAAATAAATAACTGAATAAATATACAAATGGTAGACAAGAGATAACACTTCCTTACAGAAAAAGAATCCAATTAGTAATTCTAGAGGAAAGGTGGTAAATATAGAATTACCATTACAACACTACAGTTATAATTGTTTCAGGCAAGATTCACCAATGGATGCTGAAATTTTGGGTAAAATTTTAAGGAGAAAAAGGATATTTGCACCCCAAATTATGTCTTCCAAAATAGTAACATCACAGGGGAGAAATCTGACAGACACCACCTTAATCAAGGACTCAAAGCTAACATCACAGGTAATAAGATATAGTGACAGGTGGCATCATGCACCCTTCTGATACGGTACCCTGAGAAGTGTACATTGTCTCTGTACTATCCTTCCCAATAATAATGCAAAGCTCACTCCAATCATGAGCAAGCATGAGACAAACCAAAACTGAGATATACTCTACAAATTAGCTAAATTAGATAGTAACTTAGTACGACATAAAAGTTTTGAAGTCCTGAAAGACAGGCAAGGAAAGACTGAGAAACAACAGTTTGGAGGAGAGTGTGGAGACATGTCAACTAAATGCAGTGTAGGATTCCAAATTGGATCCTGGAACAGAAAAGAAGACTGTTGTAGGAAAACGAGGAAAATCTGAATAAAGCTTGTATTTTAGTTAACAGTATTGTACAAATGTTAATTTCCTGGTTTCAATCATTGAACTATGGTTATGCTACACTGGGGAAACTGATGAAGGGGATATGGGAACTCACTGTACAGTGCTCTTAATTCTTCTGTAAGCCTAAAATTATTTCAAACTAAAGTCTTAAAAGACAGTAAAAATTGAAGTTGACACTATGAATTGAGCACTATATTCACTGTAGTACAAATATCACAATTGGGGAAAGGCACGTCTCTGAAACATTCTAGTGTTCTATTCCATTTCCACCACTTGAAACACATTTGTTCCTTAAACATTGGATTTTAGAAATATGTGGATGGCATAATGTAACTGTCTTTAAAGATAACAGAATTTTCTATTAATTTCCACTTGTATCTCTGCATTCATTGCCTACAAACCAATTTCAGCATTTTCCCTAAAGCAGAATGATGAGAGAGTTTTGAGAGCTGGCAGCATGTGAGAAGCCTTTACAGTTTCAAGACCCATCAGGATGCTTACTTCTTCAGCAAGTCCCAGCCACACGGTGCTTTTTGCAGTCACTCCTTGCTAATAAGACTTGCTACGTGGGTATTGCTATCAACAAAGTACAATAGTAAGAATTTTTTTGTTATTGTTGAAACTGACTTGTATAATATATACCACCCAATTCCATATTAGAATTAATGTAAATAGTGATTATGCCTTAAAAACAGAAGTCTCAGGATACAAAATCAATGTGCAAAAATCACAAGCATTCCTATACACCAATAATAGACAAACAGAGAGCCAAATCGTGAGTGAACTTCCATTCACAATTGCTACAAACAGAATAAAATACCTAGGAATACAACTTACAAGGGATGTGAAGGACCTCTTCAAGGAGAACTACAAACCACTGCTCAAGGAAATAAGAGAAGACACAAAAAAACAGAAAAACATTCCATGCTCATGGATAGGAAGAATCAGTATCATGAAAATGGCCATACTGCCCAGGGTAATTTATAGATTCAGTGCTATCGCCATCAAGCTACCATTGCCTTTCTTCACAGAATTAGAAAAAACTACTTTAAATTTCATCTGGAACCAAAGAAGAGCCCACATAGCCAAGACCATCCTAAGCCAAAAGAACAAAGCTGGAGGTATCATGCTACCTGACTTCAAACTACACTACAAGGCTACAGTAACCAAAACAGCATGCTACTGGTACCAAAACAGATATATAGACCAATGGAACAGAATACAGGTCTCAGAAATAACACCACACATCTACAACCATCTGATCTTTGACAAGCCTGACAAAAACAAGCAATGGGGAAAGGATTCCCTATTTAATAAATGATGTTGGGAAAACTGGCTAGCTATATGCAGAAAACTGCAACTGGACCTCTTCCTTACACCTTATATAAAAATTAACTCAGGATGGATTAAAGACTTAAATGTAAGACCTAAAACCATAAAAAGCCTAGAAGAAAACCTAGGCAGTATCATTCAGGACATAGGAATGAGCAAAGACTTCATGACTAAAACACTAAAAGCAATGACAACAAACGCCAAAATTGACAAGTGGGATCTAATTAGACTAAAGAGCATCTGCACAGCAAAAGGAACTCAAAATGTCTTATCCCACAGTTTGGGCTTGGGGTGGGGGTGGGGTCTTTCGAGATTGCAGTCCAGATGTTGGTTAGGGCTTCAGTTGCCTGAAACCTTTACTGGGGCTGAAAGATCTACTTCCTAGTTGGCGCACATGAATAACTTAGCAAGCTGGTGTTGGTTGTTGGCTGGAGGCCTCATTTCTTCCTTACCCAAACTTCTCCATAGCCTGCCTGAGTGTCCTTACAACAGGGTAGCTGACTTTCTCTAGAAAAGGTAATTAAAGAGAGAGAAGTTGGAAGCCTCAATATCTATTTCAACATAGCCCTGGAAATCTTAATGCAATTATTATTTATGGAAGTCAGTCCTATTCAGTATGGGAAGATACTATCCCAGGAGGTAAGGATCATTAGGCGCCATCTTGGAGGCTAGTTACTACTATAGTGTTCCTAAAGGTAACAAGCTTGTGTATTTTCTCTTAATGTTCATATTAACTTTCAATATATTTTTCTTATTTACCTACTTCAAAATTCCTAATAATTGTTCTTGTACATTAAATTAACAGCTTTCAAAACATACCATTGTAGTATAAAAACAAAATCCTAAGTTCACTCATGGATTGAAAAAACACCCTCTTGACCAAGGTGACCCCTGGCATGGGAGGTTGGACACACTTCATGATATCCTCTTTTTTTCCAGTTTAGACAGAACAACTGACCAGCATTAATGTTAAAATTGAGATCATAATACTGACAAAACAGACTCTTTGTGACAATAATGTAGCAAGACCTAAGGCAATGCCAGGTAGGGTTAAGTCACACACCGCTACACTTAAAGAATAGACTATGTTCTAACTGCCATAAGGTTTTCCTCTTTCTCTAGCAGCTAACCAAGCACTGGCCTCAAGATAAGCAATATGAAAACAATTGTAGCTCACCACCAGACACTAACTAACTAACTCTCCCTGTTTCACAAGCCATAACTACAGCTTTGATTGGACAAGAGACTGATCTTAATAATTTTCTCCTGATAAGATCACCAACCAGGACTGGTTCTGATGGGTTTACAGAGGATGTGCACTTGAGTGCCTTTATGTCCTGAAAAGATCTTTGGATGTGCAGGGCCTGACTATAAAATACTTAAATGTTAAGTCATCAACCCAGAGTGAACATGGCTCATATGTTATATGCATGTTTGTTCAATACACATGTGTCAGGACCACCTTTATGAATAATCATAGCTCCTCCTGTAAGCTGTTGAATATGTATGTTTGGCCAATAAGCTCAGCATAAAGCTCTCTCCCAACTCCTCCTCCTTCAAAGTGCCTGTCTCTGGTCGTTGCTGGAGGCTGTGCTTCCCAGCCTGTGGGATGGCCACCTTGTAGGCTGTAACCCTTTACAGGTAAAGTCTCCTTTTCTAGATTTGTAGATCTTGGGATGTTTCAGTTGACAATAGTAAATCTTTACCCTTGCTATGATAAACATACCTTTATATTTCAGTTGACATAGAATTTCAATACAACAAACATATAAACAGGTTTTGCTTCAAAGTATATCTTGAAATTGTACCAATATTTGAAAGGAACGATTTAGTGAATAATAGTAAATCCAAATGACTTGTCTTATTTATATTATGACAATGTAATTCTGATTAGGTATATTGGTAACATACATGATGACATAACCATTAATCACATACAGGTTCAGGGATGTCTGAAATGACATTTACTCAGGTATTCGACTCTTCATCTTCCAAAGGCTGAGGCTGTCCCAAACAGATTTGTGTCAAATAATGAGGCCAAAGCCAAACCTCAGTACAGTTCCACTACATAAGGCCTTTGGTGAATTCTGACATGAAGATCAATTTCCTCCTTACCAAAGTACTGCTAAACCTTCAGAAACTGCAGCTGTCTTAAGGATGCATTCCGGACTGTTTCAGATCCCCTTTGTCTGTTTTCTCCTCTCTCCACGTTTGCACTTTGCCAGAAGGTTTGGTGTCTGAAGACTCAGACCCTTAGTTCCTGATGGTAAATGGCTCTTAACTTTTATTTTGCAGAAAGACCAGTCTTGTTATTTTAATTTTATGCTATATAGTTATCACCTGGGCATCAAAGAAAATCTAGTTGTACTGAGTTCTACAAAATATTTTGTAAGCATTTCTATTAGTTTTTTACTCTGAACCCTGTCCAGGGATCCAAACTCAGTCCAGACCAGTTTGTCTGAAAAGGAATAGATGCCATGTACTCCCTTCCATTATTTTTCTACCTTAACTCATCTTCAACAACCACTCCCCTACTCTCACTCCTTTTACAGTTGTAAAATCAAAGGCATATTTCTGGACATTTTGGGAAATCATTTAAACTCTGAATCCCAGGCCTTTCATTAAAAGAGCCCTTTTATGACACGGTTGAAAATGTATTTACACTGCCTTAAATGTGCCAATAAAATATAACTTCCTCTTTTAATAGATCAGATTTTTTTTTTTTTTTTGAGACGGAGTCTCGCTCTGTCGCCCAGCCTGGAGTGCAGTGACGCGATCTCGGCTCACTGCAACCTCCGCCTCCCGGGTTCACGCCATTCTCCTGCCTCAGTCTCCCGAACCGCTGGGACTACAGGTGCCCACCATCACGTTCGGCTAATTTTTTGTATTTTTAGTAGAGACAGGGTTTCACCGTGTTAGCCAGGATGGTCTCGATCTCCTGACCTTGTGATCCACCCACCTCAGCCTCCCAAAGTGCTGAGATTACAGGGGTGAGCCACCACGCCCGGCCCCTAGATCAGAACTTCTTTACAAGATTTTGCTTTACTGGATAATGTGGAAGAAAAACAATTGTAGAAACTTGGTAATTTATAGTTTAACAGTCTTTTCCAGTTTACATAACCTCTTTATTATGGCTCAGTGTCTTTGGTATAAATGCTTAGTGTCTTACATTTCTTTCACCCACTATGATTCTCTTTAAAATGGTAATGGGTATGATTGGATTGTTTGTAACACTGTGAATAAATGCTTGAGGTGATGGATACTCTATTTATCCTAATGTGATTACACATTGTATGCCTGTATCAAAATATCGCATATACCTCATAAATATATACACATAATATGTACCCACAAAAATTAAAAATAAAAAAATTTAACAGATGGTAATGGGATTTATGGAGGGTTGGTTTTATAATCTTGGAATATCAGGGGCCAAGCTGCTGGTGAGATTTGGGAAAAGGGAGGATCATGGATCCACATTCATTCTGAATCTTCCTTGGCTTCTCCTAGAGTGACAAATTCTGTTTCTTCTCTGGATGTGTAACCCCTGTGTCAGTTCTGTCTGATGTTTTGAGACATCATGCTGGTACCTACCATTAATGGCCATTGGCTAAGACCATTTGTCTTGCTTGAAGTTTTCCTAAATTGCAATCTCTTTATTGTTCAGTAAAGTTTACAGCAATTGCTTGAAAAAGCTTTCCCAGTTTTATAATCAACAACATGACTTCATAAGAAGTAGATGCCATTTAAAAAAATTAATGCGAGTGCCTTTTTCCCTTCAAGTATTGGGATACGGGCATAACTGTCTCAGAAACTTTTTAAAAAGTAAAAAATGTTTTTAAATGAAATGTTAGTTTTTAAATACCTACAAAGTTCTGCTGGATTAAAATATGTATTAGATATCAGTACCTTATGAGTGCGGAACATCTGCATGTCATCACGTCATTGGGGCCCTGTAACAGTCAAGATTCAACCAAAGAAGATAAACCAGTAGGAGATATATATTGAGAGATTTATTAAAAGGAACTGGCTTATGTAATTGTGGGAGCTAGATAGGCAAGTCTGAAATCTGTAGAGCTGGATATCAGGAAGGGCAGGCTGGAACTTCGGGGCTGAATCTTCTAGCCAAAGGCAGAATGGCGTCTTTATCAGGGAACCCTCAGTTCCTCTCTTAAAGCCTTTCAACTGATTGGATCAGGCCCACTCAGATAATCTAGGCTGATCCTCTCTTACTTAAAGGTAACTGATTATGAACTTTAATCACACCTACAGCAACCCCAAGATTAGCCTTTGGTTGAATAACTGGAGACTTAGCCTAGCCAAGTTGACACATCAAAAGATCATCACAGGTCTCAAAGTGTTTGTCCCCAGAGTTTTTCCAATGTTGCTCATGATCTAATTTTCTGTTCTTTATCCCTTTAATCATAGGGATTAACTGTGAATATTTACCTGATATCTTTGGATATTTAAATGGTTGACTTTAACCTACAAGGAAGAGTTAGTATAGTCAGAATATTCTAAATGTAGGAAATACATGTGTATATAAGTTATACATAATGGCATTAATACTCTTAGGCTTTGTTTGCTAGTTCAGCCTTTATGTTTAATAAGAACCTTCCAAAGAGAAATCGCCTCATGATTTAAACTATAACTAAGAAACTTCCATTTATCTTCAAACAATTTTTAGAATATCATGAATAAGTTATTTATTGCTGACCTTTTCAGCAGTCTGCAGGCCAGCTCTGTGCTGAAACATAATTTAAAAAAAAACACTTGGGCCGGGCGCAGTGGCTCACACCTGTAATCCCAGCACTTTGGGAGGCCGAGGTGGGTGGATCACGAGGTCAGGAGATTGAGACCATCCTGGCTAACACGGTGAAACCTCGTCTCTACTAAAAATACAAAAAATTAGCCAGGTGTGGTGGTGGGCATCTGTAATCCCAGCTACTCGGGAGGTTGAGGCAGGAGAATGGCGTGAACCCAGGAGGCGGAGGTTGCAGTGAGCTGAGATCGCGCCACTGCACTCCAGCCTGGGGGACAGAGCGAGACTCCATCTCAAAACAAAACAAAAGAAATCAAAACAAAAAACCATTTGTATGTACTTTTTCAATGCTACTGTGCATGTATAATTTTTGTATTAAGTTCACCTCCTTTTCTCACTGACCTACTGCAATTAAAGTAGTATTTACTTTGCTTTGCCATATCATGATTCAAAATCAAAGACTTTATTTTAAAAAAAAGAAACATTTTAGTTAGGAAATATCATTGCTAAAGAGAGATATTACTTTTATAACATTAAAGGAATTGAGCAATTCTTTTGAGTGTGAGTTACAATATCAGTTATGTAACAATTGCTGTCAGTTTTACGTTGCCATATTAAGAAGCTAGATAATCTTATGAATTCATGGAGAGGTTAAACATTTCTACCACGGATGGATTGCTTCATACTTAATTGTTCAGACTGGGTCATCCAGATGAAGCAGGGTAGGCTAACTTTAATTTTTCAAAGAGTGTTATAAATATGAAAGCGACAAAATACTCAATCTTCAAAAAGAATTTCTGGGCTCCTGAGAATATGTCAGGGATCCCAGAGAGGTTTACACTTCTCCTCACACTGTCTTGAGTATAAGAAAAAATAGAAAGTGACAGTATTTCATGTGTCCTGATGTATAATTGAATATTACTTTGAGTTTGAAATAATTGCTGTGGAATTAATCTCATTATCTTCCTTGATTGTCATTGTTCTGAAGGTTCCAAGTGATCAAGCATTATTTTAGCCAATAGTAATAGTAATTAAGTGTAAAGAGTTGGTGAAATTTTTACTACTTTAGGAGCTGCTACCAGAGTTTCTCATATGGTGAAAAGAGAACAGCTTTTATTCTAGTGACTGAGAAGCTTGGATGTGAATGTATTCCTCTGGAGTCTGGAGGTCAGGAAGCACTATAGCTTCAGAGAAGGGTTCTAAACTACTCAGCAGAAACGAGAGGAATTTAATTGTCCTAGAAAGGGACGAGGAAGAATGGAGTAAAGAGAAGAAGGAAATGGAAGGGGGAGAGAAAAAAGGTTGAGTTGGGGAGATTATGAGAGGCCATATACATGCAATTACTTGTCACCCCCTAATCATTAATAAGTGTGCTAATCACGCCTGTAATCCCAGCATTTTGGGAGGCCGAGACGGGCGAATCACTTGAGGTCAGGAGATTGAGACCAGCCTGACCAACATGGTGAAACTCCATCTCTACTAAAAATACAAAAGTTAGCCGGGCATGGTGGCAGGCACCTGTAATCCCAGCCACTCAGGAGGCCGAGGCAAGAGAATTGCTTGAACCTGGGAGGCGGAGGTTGCAGTGAGCCAAGACTGCACCATTGCACTACAGCCTAGGCGACAAGAGAGAAACTCAGTCTCAAAAAAAAAAAAAAAAAAAAGTGTGCTAAACTCACAGAATACTTTGTGTGTGGTTTTTTTGTTTTTGTTTTTGTTTTGTTTTGTTTTGTTTTGCTTTCAATTAATATACACCACCAATGAGTTTCCATCTGGGTTGTATAGGGTATTAACCCAAGCCACTGCACAGATGGCAGGAATCAGGGAGGCAGAAGTGGCCTCAACTATCCTCTAGGTTATTTATATTTGTTTGATCTTTTAGTTTAATTCCCCAGTAAACCTGTAGGCCGAGAATAATTATCACCTCACTTTCTAGATAAAGCAATTGACCCTCAGAAAGTGGTAGCTTGGCCTCAACACCTATCTCGTCAGTAGGGCTCCTCTGCTCTTTCCCTCCACATTCTCTGCTTCTTTGTGCAACAAAACAATTCTTTCAATAAGCCCTATGGCTTTCTCTCCCCTTGCAGTAAGTGTGTACCTTCGCTTTCAATGTGATTTGACATTTCTCACATGGCCCCTAGTTTAGGGAATGAAGTTGCTATATCAAAGTGGCATCTTGCCAATGACCTTCTGATGCTGCAGAGCCATGGTGTCAACAGAATTCTGTTTCATGGGCTCCCTGTGCTACACAAAATGGTTGTTGGCTCTAAGCAGTGAACTTTCATTATTGGAAGAAGGCTGATGATTTGAGGGTCAAGCTGTAGGTGAGAATGAGATTATGTTTCCCATAAAAGTCTCCGTGGTAGAGAAGTTTGTGCAAGTCTCTCAGAGTGTTTTGGACAAATTTCTTCTTTTATTATTGTCTATATATAGGTCACAACTAGCTTTCAAAACAATTCCATGGTCCAGAAAAAAACCACAGGTAGTAACAGAATGGGGAAGATTAACGTCATTCCTGCCACTTAACATGATTATTTTAGATTGAGATATATTTATTGCGTGTTATATGGGAGTACTTCCCCCTTGGAAAAGGGTTAAAATATAAACTTGATGCTCCCAATTATAATACAAATTAATGAATGCACAGTTAGTTAATTTAGAAGTTGATATGTTTAGAAAAATACCATGGGTGAAACTATATGCTGCAAAATTTGATTCAAAATCTCTGTCCAGTTATCTGTAGCAAGACTTCACTGATACAATAGCCATATGTTCTGCTTGTCACATGCTGTCATTAAAATACTCATTAAATGCATATCTGGAGAGCCAGATGTTTCATTTTTATTATATACCATTTTCTTCCCATTTACAATCCATATGTGCTTATCTAATGGTTAAAATTTTGTGAATTTTTTTACATACTTTTGAATATACTTTTTATCTCTAGCCACATATTTGTAAAGAAGCATATATAGTACATATTTACATCTATATAAACACATACAAAAATGGATATTTTTGAGTGTGGACTTGTGAATTTATCCTACTCTATTTGTACATTCTCTTGTTCAAGAGTCAAGCTATCAGCTACCACTATACATGCCAATCAGTTGTTCCCTTTCACTTCCCCCTGTACCTTTCCTTCTCCTCTGCTTCCAAAATATTACTGATCAGGCTGGGCGTGGGGGCTCACATCTGTAATTCCAGCACTTTGGGAAGCTGAGTAGGGTGGATCACTTGAGGTCATGAGTTCAAAACCAGCCTGGCCAATATGGTGAAACCCTGTCTCTACCAAAAGTACAAAAAATTAGCCAGGCATGGTGGCACATGCCTGTAATCCCAGCTACTAAGGAGGCTGAAGCAGGAGAATCGCTTGAACCCGAGAGGCAGAGGTTGCAGTGAGCTGAGATTGTGCCCCTGCACTCCAGCCTGGGCGACAGAGCAAGACTCCGTCTCAAAAACAAAAACAAAAACAAAAACAAAAAAATATTGCTGATCAGTTAGTGCTTGAAAGAGACTTCTCAACTAAAATGTTTGATTATTGATTTGAATTGAAATTATTGACTAGTTCCTTTACCCCCTAGCCTTATGCTTTCAAAGTAATACAGTAGTAGTTGCACATACAAAATGGGAGGCTGAGGGGGGCGGATCATGAGGTCAGGAGTTCGAGACCAGCCTGACTGACATGGTGAAACCCCATCTCTACTAAAAATACACAAATTAGCTGGGCATGGTGGCACACGCCTGCAATCTCAGCTACTCAGGAGGCTGAGGTGGGAGAATCACTTGAACCTGAGAGGTAGAGGTTGCAGTGAGCCGAGATTGCACCCCTGCACTCCAGCCTGGGTGACAGAGCAAGACTCCACCTCAAAAAAAAAAAAAAAAAAAGGAAAGAAAACCTGTGTGTTGCTCAAGATTGAGGGGACAGATAACTGGTTGACTTATTTTTCTTATATGTTGGAATTTGAAAATGCTAGAAATGATCATTTTCTAGCTTATTTAATAAAATTAATCTTTTCTAAGATAGTTTTTGTTGTGCCCAAGAGAATGCATGCTATAGAAACCTTTACTATTGGGATATTCTTTTTTAAATTGCTCTGGGAACAGGCCAGTCATCAAAGACTAAAACACATGCAAAAATTGGCTCGTTGTATTTTTTCCATGAAGAAACAAGCGATAGTAGATAAATATATAGATTTGTCTTTTAAGCTGCTTAAGGTGTTATGAGGGGGAAAACATAAATTGAGAAGAAAAAAATACTATTTTTCATTTTCATTTTTCCTTTAAAATGGAGAATTGATTATTAAAACTTACATTGCAAAGAGGAGGAGATGATCTTTCTGAATACTCTACGCTATATCTTTCCATCAGTTTAAATAGGTTGGCCAAAAATTTCTAAATTTTACAGGCATCAGTTTTTTTTTCTTAGCCTCACAAGATTATAGCTACACATGTAGTAAAATTAATTCAACATCACCAGTTTAAGAAAATGATTACTCACCCTGAGTGAGTGGATGAATAATTCTTCACAAGATGGGAAATCACCCTGAAATTGCCATACTCACATGGCTCAATGTAAGATAATCAATTGATTTACAAACTTGGTCCCTGACATGACTGTGTTATTTGTGATGAGAAATTCCATGCCATTGAAATCACCTTGGAGGGATAAGGTGCTCTGTAACAGCTTGGAGTGAGCGAGACTTTTTAAAGCTCCCTTGAAATATGTCTTCTTTTCGGGTTTTGTGGATCAGATTTTTACCAGTTGCTTCTTGACACAATTCTTTTGTCTACATTATCATTGGAGTGTCTCAGTGCTGAAAACTTGAAAATCCTGAATCTGATACCTTCCTCACACCCACCTGCTTCATAGCATCAGCTATCAACCTCTTACATCGCAAGTGGATCTTAGGCAATGAGGTATTAGCAACTGGTGCCTCATTATGGTAATCCTTGGGTGGAGTCCCACCCTTCTTATAAAAGAAGGATGCTGTTATTTTTACCATGAGTTAGCTTCAATTTCCCAACTTGTTGCACATTTCCACCTAGGTTAAATGTGTGCACTTGCTGTGTTTTCTTACCCATGCTTGCTTTATTAGGGCCTGTTGGAGAACAGGTTTTGCAGACACAGAAACCTGGGTTCAAATTAATGTTCTGACACCCATTATCTGTGTGACCTCAGGAAGCTACTTGTCCTATGCATCTTCACGTATACAGCAGGTAAAATAATGTTGACCTCACAGGTCCTGTATGCAATGAGTATCCCATAGCACCTTAATGTAAAAGTCAGTTGATGGTAAAACAAACAAACAAACAAAGTTGTCACTGATGCTATACACAACAACCAGTGCTGAGACAAAGGAGTAAAATTATAATCTGGTTGCTGTTAAAATTTCTGAACTGTTTTACATCATCACTAACTCAATTCACTTGTTTTTTCTATTCAAAAACAGGGTTTCAAGTCTCAACTTCAATCAGTTTCTCATTCTACTAACATTTTCATCATCCCACAGCATCGGCTTTATCATACTCTATCTCTTAAGAAGAGTTTCCAGGAACTTTTCATTTTAAATCCGCAATATGACATCTCCTCCTCTTTGGCTTTAGGTCCCTAACTCTCCAACTTTATCTTCTACTACTTCAGACCAGCTCTTAGATTTAGTTGGGTCAGAATTCTCACCATTCAGGAATACAGAATTTATCTCAAAATTGTGGTGTTCCATGAGACTTGGTCCCTGTACTCAAGGGGCTCAGAGTATGGACAGAGAGACAGACTGACTATACTAGAAGGTAATAAGGGAGTTGGCTATCTGTGCGAACAAAGCTTTATGGGAAAACAGATGAAGGGGTGATTAATTCAGCCGGGGGTGGGGGTGTGGTGGGTGGAAGTGCTGGAAAAGGCTTCAGAGGGGAAGTTACACTTGAGTCAGTCATTTGAGAATGAGCACAATTTCATTTTGGGCAGAGGGAACAGCATGACCAAAGCCTGAAAGTGAACAGTCCTCATCTAAAGTATTCTAGCAGATGGCAGGAGGGAGGGCTGAAGGTGGAGAGACAACTGATGAAGCTGGCAAGAGCCAGGCTGGGAAGTGCCGTGAGGCTCTATGAAGAAGCCTAAAAGAGCAGCCTTCCTTCTCCTGAATTCCTGGAGCAACTACTCTTTGTGAACTCATTTTGGCCATAATTTTTCATGCGTGTACTTACAAAAAAATCTCTACAAGTGATTTATAGACCTGCCTAGAGAAACAGGGAAAATCCCTGATGTTCATTTGTTTCTCAGCTCTTCCTGTGAAGTGTAATACATGGGACTGGAGAAAACATAGCACAGAGATTAACAGTACAGAAACGAGGTTCGAGTTCCTTCTCTGCTGTTCCCACTGTCCTCACTGCTAACTAGGTGAAATCCAGCAAGTTATGGCACTTCTAAATATCACTTTCTTTCACTGAAAATGGGAATAATGACAGTTTCTATATAATAGGACTCCTAGGATGATTCAATAAGTCCTTAGCAAACATTGCTACCCAATTAATAGAATTAATTGACTACTTACTATGAGGCAGGACCTGTGCTAGATTCCTTTTTTTGGAGGGGGGATGGAATCTCACTCTTTTGCCCAGGCTGGAGTGCAGTGGCGCCATCTCAGCTCACTGCAACCTCTGCCTCCCGGTTTCAAGCGATTCTCCCTCCTCAGCCTCCCAAATAGCTGGGATTACAGGTGCCCACCACCATGCCTGGCTAATTTTTGTGTTTTTAGTAGAGACGGGGTTTCACCATGTTTGCGAGGCTGGTCTTGAACTCCTGACCTCAAGTGATCAGCCCGTCTCGGCCTCCCAAATTGCTGGGATTACAGGCATGAGCCACCGCACCTGGCGAAGGGAGAACTCTTAATGCTTTAACGGATTTTGCAAGTAAAGTCTGGATTAGTCAGGGTAGGTGTGAGGATCAAAGGGGAGCTTCACCCTACTAGCCTTGGCTCCAGTAGTTTATTCAATTACATTCAGCAGCAAGTATTGAACACTAATGATATGTAAAGTACTGTGATATAAAATAGTCCATGTCCTCAAATAATTTATAATCTTGTAGGAAAAATAAGACATACACAAATAAAAATAATGCAAAAACTTTAAGTTCCTTGAGAGAGGGCAACAAAGAATGATTCAAAGGCAAGAGAATCTATCCTATGGGATATATCCAAAAAGGCTTCATTGAAGATGTCAACTTGGGGATAACTTTGAAAGGCAGGATCTTAGAGAGGGAGGAATGTATCATGGAAAGAGGAAATAGAAATGTCTTGGATCAGCCTGTGTCCCCTTTCACTATAAGAGCCTGAAACAATGTGGCTTGTCTGTAATAGACACGTGAATCTCCACTCACGAATTGAGGGACTCCAGTTTGTAATTTATGTCCCCTACAGCCTACCTTTCCTTTTCTGCCCTGTGCTTAACCTAGTACATTGTGATGAAAGGTGGGACCTGGCCAACATAGTTTCTTCCCCCAAAATCGAAACATTCAACTTTAGGTTAAAGGTGGACACTTTCCCTAGTATATCTAATGATGGGCTGAGGCTCAGAGCTTTGCAGCTAAGCTCTGGCCTTATTGACTTAAATCATTTTAATGACACTTTAATATTAAAGAGTCACTGGGCCCAGTGTCTGTGAAATGCTCTCTGTGCCCTGCCTCTGCTAGAGCAGACACTGTGTGCAGGAAAGAAGACAAGAGAATGTAGGACAAGTCCTACTGGCCTTGCAAAGGTCCCACCCCCTAGTCCCTGTGACGCATCCAGTGCAGGTGACATGTTCTCTAAGGTGTGGATAGGCAATTAATTTCATGGAGAGTAGGAGGTGTGGGTTCAGCTGCTGCTTTTTTTTTTTTTTCAGTGAGGCATTATCTGAATGATGCTCATTCTCTCTTGAGTCTGGACTTCGTGCAACAAGCAGCAACTGGATATTATTTTAAAATAAGCATAAGCCACCCAAAGATACTGATCTGGGTCCTTCTTTTGGAAGAAGAGTTGATTGAGAAGTGCCTCTTGGTTAAGGATTAACCACAGGGAAAAATCCAGCAGAAACAGAAGAACTGTGGGTTTCTTACCCCAGCCCTCAAGGAAGCTATGCCGTGAAAGGGGTACTGATACACTGACATACAGCAAGTTGGACGGGGCATCAGTTCTTCATTTGTGGAGTGGAGAAAAGAAGAGGAAATCTCTCATTTGGGGCATTTGAAGGATGGCTTCCCTGTTTCATCAGCTTCAGATCCTGGTCTGGAAAAATTGGCTAGGTGTAAAAAGGCAGCCGGTGAGTTAAAAAAAAGTGTGGGAGTATGGGTCATGGGGCAATACGCCAGGTAATCCTAAAATGTGATCTTAATGAGAAGTGAAAACAGAAGAGTTTAAAGGCATTTTCCAAAGCAGGAAGTAAGATATTTAGAATTCATCCCCCTATCTGTCTTATAGCTAATGGAGCGAGTCTTAACATGCCCCCAAAAGCAGCCTTTTCATTTCAGTAAATTAAAGAGTAAACCAGGACATGCCCTGGGCAAAAAAAAAAGAACATGACTCATTACTGGCTGAACTGGAACGTTGAATTCTGGTTTCAAGCCAAAAGGCTTTCAGAATTTTTCTTAATGTAGTTAAAAATGGGATAGAGGAAAGAAAAGTATTATTTGAAATGTACAATAAATGGGAAGAAATATACTGGAAAACTGAAAGCCATAGAAAGTTTGGTTGAAAGGTAAAATACAGAACAGAAATAGTTTGAAGGCTATTAGTATAGAAAAGCTACTGAGAAATTTTAGTATCTAAAAATCATTTACTGGGAATACCAAACAAGAGTATGTATATGTGCTATGTTTTAAGAATATTATTGAATCACTTAGCTTTACTACTACAATCTATCTTCTCTTGCTCATTGCAACGTCTTTTTTGTACTCTTACATTAATGTTTGCGTTCTAATTACAAAGTTAGCTATTAGATCCTCATCAGATGGCTCCCAGGATGATTGAGAAAGGAATTGGTTTCTGGGAGTTGTTATATATTCAGAAGAATGTTTGAAAATCGGGGAAATCCAAAAAGGTATTCAATATACTTTATTTTAAAGTGGTAATTCCCAGCCTTGAATGAGTAATGTAAATATTATGCAAATAATATGCATCACACAGAAACCAGCACTTTATCTATGCACCTTATCTCGCTCCAGGCTTGCTTGGATTGCCTGACACTTTACTTGAGTGTTTTGATGTGTGTAGTAAGAGGAGGAAGTAGATGTTCATTTACCCTTGTGAATTTTGTGGGTAGGGTTTTAAAATTCTAAGGCATGTGATTGCATGGGTGTGGGGTTTGAATATAAAATTATAAACTCATTCATGTTTTTATTTGTTTTTTAACTGGAAAAAAAAAAGCACAGAAGAAAACCTCCCCATAATTATCATGTGGTTGATTCTGTGTGGCATAAGCAGGGAAAGGATCCTGGGTGTGTGGATGTGGTCATGTGGTCAGAGCATGCGAGTTGGGGCCCCTGCCACTGCTCCTCATGTAACTTAAGTAGCTTAAGACAGTTTCTCTAAGCACTGTTTTTCCCACCATGATGTGGCATGATGAGTTAGACGTGACATGATTAGTTAGATGTGGCATGAAGCCTGCCACATCTAACTCATTGGGGGAAGTACCAAATGTGCTAATGTATTTCAAAGTGCTTTATAATACTGACACACTTAGCAAATAGATTAGTGAGGGATTTGAGGCAATGTGTGTCATATTTTATGCAGATTAATAATGAAAGGAAATTCAGGAGAAGATACTGTGGGTAAAAGGAAGAAATCCACGTACAGTCAAGTTTGTAAGTGATAAAAATTCAATAGCTAAAAACAAAAACACAGAGGAACTAAAATCTGTACGTGTTATTGTCAATAATCTGAATGCTGAGGTCTGTTTCTTTTACAACTCTATTTTGTGTAAAAAAAGTTATAGGAAAAAAAAACACCCAAATCTCAGGTGAAGATGTTTGTTTTTCATTGAGAAATTTTATCTTTAGAAATTTTAATGACAAATTTTTTTCCTCATTTTGAAAGTAGTAGGTATATCAATTTTCTCCTTTGGGGTTTCTCTTCATTTTAGTCAGTGTTTGTGGACATGGTGAAATATTTAGGGGAGATGTAAGTCAGATATTAAAAGTTTTTCAAGCATGACACCTTGCATTATTCCCATCTAGTCAAAACCCCTAAATAAACTCTGGTAACTATACTTTTCCTAGGGAGGGAGAATACATGAGCCATTAGTTCATTTTGGGACAGGGAATGATTCAGATCTTAAGTGCACCTTAAACAAATGGAAACCAGAACAGATAAGTCTTCACGGCAGAGTGAGGTCAGAGAAAGTCCAAAATTTGGGACAATACAGAGGCCAACCTGAATCCATTATAACCAACCAGAGGGACAAGAGAGACCTGTAGAAGATGGTGATGCAAAAGGAAAAGGAAGGACAATTCTGAGTGGAGGGGGAAAGGGCAAAGAAAGAGAAATTTCCTTCACAGTTTCGCCTAGGGTCAGCTCTGTCTCTCCATGTTGGGAAAAAGACTTGAAGACACGTGTGGGAAGGATATATGTGCGATGGCATTACACTTAAAAAGGAAGAGAGGAATAAGAGGTTGGAAAGTTGGAATTAAAGATCTAAAGGGGGATAAAATGAAAAAAATTGTCTAAAGAGAAATTATAGGCAAATTAGAAGACAGACAAAATGTGAAATGAAGGTACATATGAATTTGAGGAGAAGAGTGTTTTTGTAGGAACTAGACTTGGTTATCCATCAAATAATAATTTAAAATGCAAGCATTTATATTTCTACATTCATAATCATTCTAAAAATTGTACTTTCAAAGTATACTTTTACTCACAGCAAAACAGAAATTAAGCTATGGACACAGGAAATTTATAGTCCTTACTTAATGGTAAAGAAAAATGGAAGCATCACCACCATGACAACTTTGCCTAATATTTTTTAGAAATTCCATCACAAAGCAAGGTGGTGGGAAGACTAATTCAAAAGAGAAGAAGTTAAGAATCTATTAATGGAGAAACAAATGGCACATGAAAAAAGCAAAGGAAAACAAAGATATAGTAAAAATATTAAGGTAGATTGGAGATAAATGAGGAAATGTGTTGATTATAAAAGTATATGCTGGGGCTGGGCGCAGTGGCTCATGCCTGTAATCCCGGCACTTTGGGAGGCCGAATCAGGTGGATCACTTAAGGTTAGGAGTTCAAGAACAGCCTGGCCAATATGGCAAAACTCTACTAAAAATATACAAAAATTAGCTGGGTGGGATGGCAGGTGCCTGTAATCCCAGCTACTTGGGAGGCTGAGGCAGGAAAATCGCTTGAACCTGGGAGGTGGAGGTTGCCGTGAGCTGAGATTGTGCCACTGCACTCCAGCGTGGGTAACAGTGAAACTCTGTCTCAAAAAAAGAAAAATAAATAATTTTTTTTTAAAGTATATGCTGGCCAGGTGCAGTGGCTTATGCCTATAATCCTTTGAGAGGCCAAGGCAGGTGGAAGACTTGAGCCTAGGAGTTCGAGACCAGCTTGGGCAACATGGTAAACCCTGTTTCTATTTAAAAATACAAAAATTAGCTGGGCATGGTGGCGCATGCCTGTATTCCCAGCTACTTGGGAAGTTGCGGTGGGAGGATTACCTGAACCTGGGAGGTCAAGGCTACAGTGAGCCTAGATTGAACCCCTGTACTCCAGCCTGGACAAAAAAGTTTGACCCTGTCTCTCTCTCTCTCTCTCTCTCTGTTTGTCTCTCTCTCTCTCTCTCTCTCTCTATATATATATATATATAGAGAGAGAGAGAGAGAGAGAGATTATATATATACACACATATATACATATACGTATATATGTACATATATACGTATATATACACATATACATACGCATATATGTGCATATATACGTATATATACACATACACATATGCATATATGTACATATATACGTATATATACACATATACATATATGTACATATATACATATATACACATATACATATATGTACATATATACATATATACACATATACATATATACACATATACATATATATGTACATATATACATATATACACATATACGTATATATGTACATATACATATATACACATATACGTATATATGTACATATATACATATATACACATATACATATATATATGCTAAAATAGAAAATGAGAAGAGAATTACAAACAGCTATACAATCCGAGAAACAGGATGAGAATAGCATAAGCTAAATATTTAGTTTGGCTATAAAAAAGGGAATCTTTAATTTTGGTGGTGACTTCCCTCAAAATTATTCTTGGAGTAAATGTCTCTCTCTTTTTTTTTGTAAAGTAAGATATCAGAATTCTGGAATATTGGGACATATCTAACTGACTTAATTTTACAGGGTCCTAGAATGCTCAAGGGACTTGTCCAAGGTCACACAGCAAATTTAAAGCTCAAAGTCAGATTTCTTCAAGCATGAATTTATTCTTTCCATCACTTCCTGATGCTTCTCTATTGCTGCTGAGTTGAGTTTTTTCTCTAACATTCTCTGATCCCACTTAACACTTAGCCCACCAAAGAACAGATAATATCTGCTAAGGAGGCCTTGGAAATTGATGATTTTTAATATCTGTGGTAATATCAGTTCTCAATTGTATTGCCAAAGAAATGAATACTAAAGGAAAGTAAAGAAAAATACATTAAGTACTAATAGAAATGTTAGGTAATAGAGAAAGCCAACCAGGTGCAGTTGCTAACCTGCTGGGCTTGTAATTTAACTTTAAAAATAATGAAATAATGAAGAAATATTCCAGCAGAGATGGTTAGCAATAGGAAGGCTTACCTAATGAGATGCTAGTTAATGACAGGGAAGAGTCCTGGGACAGCAAAGAGATTGCAGGCTGAAAGACTAGATAATATAAGAGTTTGTCTTCCATTAAGATGACGAAGTCTATGAGAAGTATGAGATTATGTAAAGTGACCAAACCTACACATTATTGGAATTCTTGATAGAGAAGGAGAAAAAGTAAACAACTTGAAAAACATATTTTAGAGAATAATTCAAGAAAATTTCCCCAATCTTGCTTGAATGGTAGACATCCAGATATTACCAGAGATTCGGATAAATTTAGAGAACACTTGTGAGAGTTCATACAAGCCAAACGTCACCAACTCATGTAGTCACCAGATCATCCAAAGTCCATACTAAAAAAAAAAAAAAAAAAAAAAAAAAAAAAAAAAAAAAAATTAAAGCCAGCTAGAGAAAAGAGTCAAAGCACCTACAAAGGACAACTGGTTAGACTAACAGTGGACTTCTTGGCAGAAGCCCTGTAACGGAAAAGATGAGGATCTATTTTTAGCCTCCTTAAAGAAGAAAAAATGCCAGCTGGAATTTTATATCCTGCCAAACTGAGCTTCATAAATGAAGGAGAAAGTCTTTCCCAGACAAGAAAACACTAAGAGAATTTGTCATTATTAGCCTGGTCCTACAAGAAATTTTCAAAGGATTTCTAAACATAGAAACAAAAGGACAACACAGAAAAAGATACATAAGTACAAAGCTCACAGATCTTGTAAAGCAACTGCACAATAGAAACCTCAAAAGAACTAGCTAACAACATTACATCAAGAACAAAATCTCACGTATCAACATTAACTTTTAACATAAATGCCTCAATGCCCTGCTTAAAAGATGTAGAATGGCAAATAGGATTTTAAAAAAGACATGGCCATCTTCTGTCTACAAGAGACTCACCTACTGAGTAAAGATGCATTCAGACTTAAAGTAAAAAGGTAGAAAAAGATATATCACACAAATGGAAAAGAAAAGCAAGCAGGAATAGCCATTCTCATATTAGATAAAACAGACGTTAAACCAACAACAGTTAAAAAAAAAAGACAAAGGCATTGTGTAATGATAAAAGGCTCAATACAACAAGAAGATTCAACTATCCCAAGTATATATTAACCCAATACGGAAGCACCCAGCTTTACAAAATAAATACTACTAGACCTAGGAAAACAGATTAATAGCAATACAATAATAGTGGTGGACTTCAACACCCCACTTATATTACTAGACAGATAATCAAGGCAGAAAATCAACAAGGAAACTCTGGACTTAAATTGGACTGTGGAGCAAAAGGACCTAATAGACATTTATAGAACATTATACCCAACAACTGCAGAATATACATTCTTCTCATCTGTGCATGAAACAGTCTCCAAAATTAACTGTATGCTTGTCCAAAAGGGAAGTCTCAATAAATTCAAAAAAATTGAAATCATATCAAGTAGCTTCTTGGACCACAGTGGAGTAAGATTGGAAATCAATACTAAGGAGAAGCTTTCAAAACTATACAAGTACATGGAAACTAAACAACTTTCTCCTGAACAGCTTTTGTGTAAACAATAAAATAATGGCAGAAATTAAAAAAATGCAAAACAAATAAAAATAAAGACACAGCATACCAAAGCTCCTAGGATATAGCAAAGGCAGTGCTAAGAGAAAAGTTTATAGCATTAAATGCTTACATCAAAAAGATAGAAAGCTCTCAAATTAACAATTTAACATCACACTTGAAGGTACTAGAAAAACAAGAGCAAAATAAAATAAAAGCTATCAGAAGAAAAGAACAACACAGATCACAGCAAAAATAAAGGAGATTCAGGCCAAAAAAAAAAAAAAAAAAAACAATAGAAAGGATCAATGAATGAAAAGTTGATCCTTTGAAAGGCTAAACAAAATTGACAGACCACCAGCTAGACTAAGGAAAAAAGAAAGATTCACATAATTACTAGAAATGATAAAGATGACATCACAACTGTTACCAGAGAAACAGAAAAGATCATCAAAGACTACTGTGAATACCTCTATTCACACAAACTAGAAAACCTAAAGAAAATGAATAAATTCCTGGAAACATACAACCCCCAAGATTAAACCAGGAAGAAATAGAAACCCTGAACAGACCAATAACAAGTAATGAAATTAAACCAATAATAAAAAAAATCTCCCGATAAAAAAAGCCCAGGACAAGATGGATTCATGGCCAAATTTTACCAGATGTACAAAGAAGAGGTGGTACCAATCTTGGTGAAACTATTCCAAAAAAAAATCGAAGAGGAGGGCTCCCTTCCCATCTCATTCTATGAATCCACCATCACCATGCTTATCAAAATCAGGCAAGGACACAACAACAACAAAAAAGAAAACTACAGGCCAATATTTCTGCTGAACATAGATGCAAAAATCCTCAACAAAATACTGGTAAACTACAACAGCACATGAAAAAATGATTCACCATGATCAGGGAAGCAAGGATGGCTCAATATACACAAATCAATAAACATGATCCACCACATAAGCAGAACTAAGCACAAAGACCATATGATCATCTCAATAGATGCAGAAAAAGAATTCCATCAAATCCAACATCCTTTCGTGATTAAAAAAAAAACCCTCAGCAGACTAGGCATAAATGAAACATACCTCAAAATAATAACAGTCATATATGACAAACCCACAGCCAACATCACGCTGAATGGGGAAAAGTTGAAACATTTCCCCTAAGAATTGGAACAAGACAAGGATGTTCAGTCTCACTACTCCTATTGAACATAGCACTGAAAGTCCTAGCTAGAGCTATCAGGCAAGAGAAAGAAATAAGAGGCATCCAAATTGGAAAAGAGGAAGTCAACTTATCTCTGTTCAATGAGATGAACAGGTATATGCCATGATCATATACCTAAAAAACCCTAAAGACTCCTCTAGAAGTCTTCTAGGCCTGGTTAGTGACTTTAGTAAGTCTCAGGATACAAAATCAACATACTCAAATCAGTAGCATTTTTCATACACCAACAATGATATATCTGAGAACCAAATCAGGAACTTAAGGCCATTTAAAATAGCCGCACAAAAAATACCTAGACATATATTTAACCAAGGAGGTGAAAGATCTCTACAAGGAGAACTACAAAACAGTGATGCTTTAATTTCTTTAAATTGTAGATAACACCAATAAATGGAAAAACATTCCATGCTCATGAGTTGGAAGAGTCAATATTGTTAAAATGACCATATTCCCAAAGCAATCTATAGACTTAATGTAATTCCTAACAAATTAGTAACATCATTTTTCACATAATTAAAAAAAAAAATCCTAAAGTTTACATAGAACCAAGAGAAAGCCCGAATAGCCAAAGTACTCCTAAGGAAAAGGACAAATCTGGAGACATCACATCGCCTGACTTCAAATTATACTACAAGGCTATGGTAACTAAAACAGCATGATACTGATACAAAAATAGACACAGATCAATGGAACAGAATAGAGAACCCCAAAATAAAGCCACATACCTACATCTGACTGATCTTCAATAAGGCTAACAAAAATAACAATGCAGAAAGGACATCCTATTCAATAAATGGTGCTGGGTAACTAGCTAGCCATATGCAGAAGAATGAAACTGGATCCCTATTTCTCATCACATACAAAAATTAACTCAAGATGGATTAAAGACCTAAACATAAGACTTAAACTATAAAAATCCTAAAAGAAAGCCTGGAAAAACTTTTCTGGACATTAGCCTAGGCAAAGGATTTATAATGAAGACCCCAAAAGCAAATGCAACAAAGCAAAAATAGACAAATGGGACTTAATCAAACCAAAATGTTTCTGCACAGCAAAAGAAATAATCAACAGGATAAGCAGACAATCTACAGAATGGGAGAAATTATTTACCAATTATGCTTCTGAAAATGAATTAATATCTAGAATCTATAACGAACTCAAACAAATCAACAGAAAGAAAACGAACAACCCCATTAGAAACTGGGCAAAGGATATGAGCAGATGTTTCTCAAAAGAAGAAATACAAGTGGTCAACCAACACATGAAAAAATTCTCAATATCATGAATCATAAGAGAAATGTAAATTTAAACCACACTGAGATGCCACCTTACACAAGTCAGAATGGCTGTTACTTAAAAAGTCAGAGTGGAGCCCGCGGCAACTCCTGCTCACACTGGATGCAGATCAGGCAGCACCAGGGACATGACCTGGAGACCTGAGATCAGACACAGACCTTCTGAAGGAAGTGGACTGCTCCTGAAGGATCCGAGACCCTTCCAAAACTGTGAGTGCCCCAACTGTGGAAGTGGAAAGGGAGACTCCCCTCTCCTGATCACACACCTCCACAGGAGAAGCTGAAGGCACTGGTATCCATGGCTGAGAGACCATAGACAGTTCACATCACAGGACTCTGTGCAGACAACCCACAGTACTAGTCCAGAGCCGGGTAGAATAGCTGGGTTGCTAGACCCAGAAGAGAGACAACAATCACTGCTCTTGGCTCACAGGAAGCCACATCCACAGGAAAAGGGGGAGAGTACTACATCAAGGGAACACCCCATGGGACAAAAAAGTCTGAACAACAGCCTTCAGACATAGATCTTCCCTCTGACAGAGCCTACCCAAATGAGAAGGAAACAGAAAACCAATGCTGGTAATATGACAAAACAAGGCTCTTCAACACCCCCAGAAAATCACACTAGTTCACCAGCAATGGATCCAAACCAAGAAGAAATCCCTGATTTACCTGACAAAGAATTCAGTAGGTTAGTTATTAAGCTAATCAGGGAGGGACCAGAGAAAGGTGAAGCCCATTGCAAGGGAATCCAAAACATGAAAGAAGAAGTGAAGGGAGAAATATTCAAGGAAATAGATAGCTTTAAGAAAAAAAAATACAAAATTAGGAAACTTTGGACAAACTTTTAGAAATGCAAAGTGCTCTGGAAAGTCTCAACAATGGAATTGAACAAGAAGAAAGAAATTCAGAGCTCAAAGACAAGGTCTTAGAATTAATCCAATCCAACAAAGACAAAGAAAGAAGAGTAAGAAAATATCAACAAAGCTTCCAAGAAGTCTAAAATTACGTTAAATGACCAAACCTAAGAATAATTGGTGTTCCTAAGGAAGAAGAGAATTCTAAAAGCTTGGAAAACACATTTAGGGGAATAATTGAGGAAAACTTCCCCAGCCTTGCTAGAGACCTAGACGTGCAAATACAAGAAGCACAAAGAACACCTGGGAAATTCATCACAAAAAGATCTTTGCCTAGGCACATTTTCATCGGGTTATCCAAAATTAAGATGAAGGAAAGAGTCTTAAGAGCTGTGAGACAGAAGCACCAGGTAACCTATAAAGGAAAACTTACCAGATCAACAGCAGATTTCTCAGCAGAAACCCTACAAGCTAGAAGAGATTGAGGCCCTATCTTTATAGCCTCATCAAATAAAACAATTATCAGCCAAGAATTTTGTATCCAGCAAAACAAAGCGTCATATATGGAGAAAAGATATAGTCTTTTTCAGACAAATGCTGAGAAAATTCACCATTACCAAAGCACCACTACAAGAACTGCCAGAAGGAGCTCTAAATCTTGAAACAAATCCTGGAAACACATCAAAACAGAACCTCTTTAAAGAATAAATCACACAGGACCTATAAAACAAAAATACAAGTTAAAAAGCAAAATAAAGAAAGTACACAGGAAATTAAAAGCACAGTGAATGCAATGGTACCTCATATTTCAATACCAACAATGAATGCAAATGGCCTAAATGATGCACTTAAAAGATATAGAACCACAGAATGGATAACAACTCACCAACATCTGCTGCCTTCAGGAGACCCATCTAGCACAAAAGGAGTCACACAAACTTAAAGTAAAGGGGTGGAAAAAGGCATTTCATGCAAATGGACACCAAAAGCAAGCAGCGGTACCTATTCTTGCATCATACAAAACAAACTTTAAAGCAACAGCAGTTAAAAGAGACAAAGAGGGACATTATATAATGGTAAAAGGCCTTGTCCAAGAGGAGAATATCACATTCCTAAACACATAGGCACCTAACACTGGAGCTCCCAAATTTATAAAACAATTACTAATAGACATAAGAAATGAGATAGGCAGCAACATAGTAATAGTGGGGGACTTCAGTACTCCACTGACAGCATTAGACACGTCATCAAGGTAGAAAGTCAACAAAGAAACAAAGGATTAGACTATACCTTGGAACAAATGAACTTAACAGATCTGTACAGAACATTTCATCCAACAATGGCTGAACACACATTCTATTCAACAGTGCATGGAACTATCTTCAAGATAGACCATATGATAAGCCATAAAACAAGCTTCAGTAAATTTAAGAAAATTGAAATTATATCAAGCACTTTCTCAGACCACAGTGGAATCAAACTGGAAATGAACTCCAAAAGGAGCCTTCACAACCATGCAAACACATGGAAATTAAATAACCTGCTCCTGAATGAACATTGGGTCAAAAACAAAAATCATATGGAAATTTAAAAATTCTTCGAACTCAACAACAATAATGACACAACCTATGGAAACCTCTGGGATACAGCAAAGGCAGTGCTAACAAGAAAGCTCATAGCCCTAAATGCCTACATCAATAAGACTGAAAGAGCACAAATTGACACTCTAAGGTCACACCTCAAGGAACTAGAGAAACAAGAACAAACCAAACCAAAACCCAACAGAAGAAAGAAAATAACCGAGATCAGAGCAGAACTAAATGATATTGAAATAAAATTACAAAAGATAAATGAAACAAAAAGCTGGTTTTTTGAAAAGATAAATAAAATAGACCACTGGCAAGATTAACCAAGAAAAGAAGAGAGAAAATCCAGGTAACTTCACTAAGAAACAAAACAAGAGATAATACAACTGACACCATTGAAATACAAAAGATCATTCAAGGCTACTATGAACACCTTTCTGCACATAAACTAGAAAACCTAGAAGAGATGGAGAAATTCCTGGAAAAATACAACCCTCCTAGCTTAAATCAGAAAGAATTAGATACCCTAAACAGACCAATAACAAGCAGGGAGAATGAAATGGTAATTAAAATATTACCAACAGAAATAAAGTCCAGGACCAGACAGATTCACAGCAGAATTCTACCACAAATTCAAAGAAGAATTGGTACCAATCCTTTTGAAACTATTCCACAAGATAGAGAAAGAAGGAACCCCCACCCCCTAATTCATTCTATGAAGTCAGCATCATCTTAATACCAAAACCAGGAAAGGACAAGAGCAAAAAACAAAACTACAGACCAATATCCTTGATGAACATAGATGCTAAAATCCTTAACAAAATACTTGCTAACCGAATCCAGCAACATATCAGAAAGATAATTCACCATGATCAGGTGGGTTTCATACCAGGGATGCAGGGATGGTTTAACATATGCAAGTCAATAAATGTGATACACCACATAAACAGAATTAAAAACAAAAATCACATGATCATCTTAATAGATGCAGAAAAAACATTTGACAAAATCCAGTGTTCCTTTGTGATGAAAACTCATGGCAAAATCGGCATACAAGGGACATACCTTAATGTAATAAAAGCCATCTATGACAAACCCACAGCCAACATAATACTGAATGGGGAAAAGTTGAAAGCATTCCCTCTGAGAACTGGAACAAGACAAGGATGTCCACTCTCACCACGCCTCTTCAACTTAGTACTGGAAGTCCTAGCCAGAGCAATCAGGCAAGATAAATAAATAAAGGGCATCCAAACCAGTAAAGAGGAAGTCAAACTGTCACTGTTTGCTGATGATATGATTGTTTACCTTGAAAACCCTGAGGACTCCTCCAGAAAACTCCTAGAACTGATAAAATAATTCAGTGAAGTTTCCGGATACAAGATTAATGAAAAATCAGTAGCTCTTCTCTACACCAACAGCGACCAAACAGAGAACTAAATCAAGAGCTCAGCCCCTTTTACACTAGTTGTAAAAAAATAAAATACTTAGGAATATACCTAACAAAGGACTCGAAAGCCCTCTGCAAGGAAAACTAGGAAACACTGCTGAAATAAATCATAGACAATGAAAACAAATGGAAACACATCCCATGCTCATGGATGGGTAGAATAAATATTATGAAAATGACCATACTGCCAAAAGCAATCTACAAATTCAATGCAATACCCATCAAAATACCACCATCATTCTTCAGAGTTAGAAAAAGTAATTCTAAAATTCATATGGAACCAAAAAGCCCACATAGCCAAAGCAAGACTAAACAAAAAGAACAAATCTGGAGGCATCACACTACCTGATTTCAAGCTCTACTATAAGGCCATAGTCACCAAAACAGCATGGTAGTGGTATAAAAATAGGCACATAGACCAATGGAACAGAATAGAGAACCCAGAAATAAGCCCAAATACTTACAGCCAACTGATCTTCCACAAAGCAAACAAAATCATAAAGTGGGGAAAGGACACCCTTTTCAACAAATGGTGCTGGGATAATTGGCTAGCCACATGTAGGAGGATGAAACTGGAGCCTCATCTCACCTTATACAAAAATCAACTCAAGGTGGATTAAGGACTTAAACCGAAGACCTGAAACTATAAAAATTCTAGAAGATAACATTGGAAAAACCCTTCTAGACATTGGCTTAGGCAAGGATTTCATGACCAAGAACCCAAAAGCAAATGCAATAAAAACAAAGATAAATAGCTGGGACCTAATTAAATGAAACAGCTTTTGCACAGCAAAAGGAACAGTCAGCAGAATAAACAGACAACCCACAGAGTGGGAGAAAATCTTCACAATCTGTACATCTGACAAAGTACTAATATCCAGAATCTACAATGAACTCAAATTGATCAGCAAGAAAAAAACAAACAATCCCATCAAAAAGTGGGCTAAGGACATGAACAGAGAATTCTCAAAAGAAGATATACAAATGGCCAACAAACATATGAAAAAATGCTCAGCATTACTAATGATCAGGGAAATGCAAATCACAACCACAATGTGATACCGCTTCACTCCTGCAAGAATGGTCATAATCAAAAAAGAGTAGACATTGGCATGGATGAGGTGAACAGGGAACACTTCTACACTGTTGGTGGGAATGTAAACTAGTACAGCCACTATCAAAAATAGTGTGGAAATTCCTTAAAGAACTAAAACTAGAACTACAATTTGATCCAGCAATCCCACTACTGGATATCTACCCAGAGGAAAAGAAGTCATTATTCGAAAAGGTACTTGCACACACGTTTATAGAAGCACAATGCACATTCGAAAAGGTACTTGCACACATGTTTATAGCAGCACAATGCACAATTGCAAAATTGTGGAACCAACCCAAATGCCCATCAATCAACAAGTGGATTAAAAAACTGTGGAATATATATGTGATGGAATACTACGCAGCCATAAAAAGGAATGAATTAACAGCATTTGCAGTGACCTGGATAAGATTGGAGACTATTATTCTAAGTGAAGTAACTCAGGAATGAAAAACCAAACGTTGTATGTTCTCACTAATATGTGGGAGCTAAGTTCTGAGGACACAAAGGCATAAGAATGATGCAATGGACTTTTGAGGCTTAGGGGAAGAGTGAGAGGGGGGCGAGGGATAGAAGAGTACAAATGTGGTGCATTGTATACTGCTTGGGTGCTGGGTGCACCAAAATCTCACAAATCACCACTAAAGAACTTACTCATGTAACCAACTAATACCTGTACCCCAATAACTTATAAAAAAAATTAAAATAAAGATTAAAAAAGGAAAAAACAAGCCAAAAAATAACAGATGTTGGTGTGGATGCAGAGAAAAGAAAACATTCATACTCTGTTGATGAGAATGTAAATTAGTTCAGACTATGGAAAACAGTATGGAAATATCTCAAGAAATTGAAAATAAAACTACCATTTGAATCAGCAATCTCACTACTGTGTATCCACCCAAAGGACACATGCACTCATATGTTTATTGCAGCACTACTTACAATAGCAAAGTCATGGAAACAACCTAAGTGTCCGCCAACAGTTCATTGGATAAAGAAAATGTGGGACGCCAGGTGCAGTGGCTCACACCTGTAATCCCAGCACTGTGGGAGGCTGAGGCAGGCAGATCACCTGAGATCAGGAGTTTGAGACCAGCCTGGCCAACATGGTGAAACCCCATATCTACTAAAAATACAAAGTTAGCCAGGTGTGGTGGCGGACACCTATAATCCCAGCTACTTGGGAGGCTGAGGCAGTGAATCACTGGATCTAGGAGGTGGAGGTTGCAGTGAGCCGAGATTGCGCCACTGCACTCCAGCCTGAGCAGCAGAGCAAAACTCCATCTTAAAAAAGAGACAAAAAGAAAAAAAAGAAAATGTGGTATATAAGCACCATGGAATACTACACAGCCATAAAAAAGAATGAAATCATGTCCTTTGCAGCAACATGGATGGAGCTGGAGGCCATTATCCTAAGTGAACTAACATAGAAGCAGAAAATCACATATCATATGTTCTCACTTATAAGTGGAAACTAAACAAATGGTATACACAGGCACAAAGACAGAAAAAATACTCTGGGAATGCCATAGTAGGGAAGGGATGATGGGTGAGAAATTACCTACTGGATACAATGTACAATATTTTGGTGACGGGCACACTAGAAGCCTAGTCCTCACCATTACACATGTAATACCCATATAACCAACAAGCACATGTACCCCCAAATCGCAAATTTTTAAAAAAGAAGATGGTTCCTAAATAGGCACATCAAGGAGTGACTTCAAATTTCAACAGAGGTGGGATCTAATTCCAGCCTTCTGACCTAAAGAAGGGAAATTAACTTTAGTTGTTTATTTTCTGTGGTAACTGTTTCGCTACTGGATCACACTGTAGCTCAGTTGATGATAGAACTAGCTTTTCCACTCAGATGTTGTCACAACTTGCTAAAGGCTTACATTTTGGATCAAGCTTGACATACCCTCCTGCAATCCCCAACTTGCTCATATTACCACCTTTCACAGTGACTAGAGAAAGAGGAAAACTTTGCTTCAGAATTTAAGGACAAGTTTGTCTATGCATTAAAATATTTTTTAGAATAAAACAATTTAGGATTAAGCCCTAATTTCAAAATAATCCTAAATCAGATTGAAATAAACTGGGTCCTGCACAACTTACTCAACTATGTGATCAATGTTCCAGTTCCTTTTATCTCTTCTGAATTGGTATCATTTACTCCCTTAATCCCTTTTAATTGCTTGAAAATTTTAGTTCTACCTATTGATTATGGTGCCTGCCACATAGTAGACATGCAAATTTTATGAATGTAGTCAACCATTAAAAAGTAACTGAGGTGAAGAGGTTTCAGAAATGGGAGCAATAGAGGAGTTAATTGACTTAATGTCTGATAAAAATCCGTTGCTTCTGTAAACACCATAAAAAATTTACCAATCTTTAAATTTCAAATCTATAAGTACGGATTTCACAAAACTTTCTTGATTCCAGTTTTTAGATGAGTCATTTCTTTAGATGGCAGTGAGGCACACCAGTGTATTAGTCTGTCCTCATGCTGCTAATAAAGACATACCTGAAACTGGGTAATTTATAAAGCAAAAGAGGTTTAATGGACTCACAGTTTCACATGGCTGGGGAAGCCTCACATTCATGGTGGAAGGCAAAGAAGGAGCAAAGATACATCTTACATGGCAGCAGGCAAGAGCTTGTGCAGGGGAAGTCCCATTTATAAAACCATCAGATCTCATGAGACTTGTTCACTATCATGAGAACAGCACAGGAAAGACCCGCCCCCATGATTCAATTACCTCTTGCTGGTTTCCTTCCACAACACATGGGGATTATGGGAGCTACAATTCAACATGAGATTTGGGTGGGGACACAGCCAAATCATATCAACCAGAAAGACTAATTGAGAACTCCGAGCCATTTTTATTTCCTCACTGGGAAAGTAAGGTTCCTCATGGGAACTAAGGTTTATTCTGGGTCTTAGGTACCAAGCTCTTACTTCGCAATGTAAACCTTGGAATCCTCTTGTTACCATCAAATAACCGTCATTCTTGTCTTATAGGACAATGCTAAAGGAAATAAATAAAAAAGGAAAAAAGAGAGAGTGTACTTTATATATGGAAGTTTGAGCAATTTTTATTTTCAAGTTTGCAATAAAAAGTTCTAGGTTACAGAAAGTCCTTTAAATGACTTTCAATGCTCTCATAGAATCAATTAATAAAAGTATAGTATTCAAATCAAAGACAGCCAGTAATCCATTTTGTAGTGCGTTAGCTCTATAATTTAGTGATTAACTCTGCTAGTGTAGCCAGACTCCCTGGGTTCAAACACCAGCTCTACTGCTTAGTGGCTTCTGGAAGAAAAGCTTATTTAGTCACTTTAAGATCCTGTCTTCCCATCTGCAAGAGGAAGGGAGGTTATTATGTTAAAAGTGATAACGCATGTTGTGTTTAGCAGAGCATGTTACACAATCTAAGCAGTCAATATATATTAGCTATTATCATTTGGAGTATTGTATTGAATGCTGACATTAATTATAAGAAGACCACTTGACAACAAGAATTCATCCTGGGGAACATATTTTTTAACAGTACTTAACAGAATTGTTAAAGTTGCCTAGGGGAAGAAGGGATTTTGTCTCTCTTCAAATATTCATAGAATTCTCATGTGGAAGAAGTGGCCAAACTTAGACAAATAGGCAGTAGTTACGGGAAGAAAGATTTCACCTTAATATAAGCAAAAATATCAGACAGTATGAGTTGTCCAATGATGAAGAGTTTCATAGTAAACTTCTTGTCACTAGAAGCATTCAAATAGAGGTTGGATAACCATATGGCAGATATATTTTCCCTAAGTCTCAACGTACCAGTCATTCTGGACTTATTTCTGTTCCTGGACTATCCCCTTCTCTTCCCCATCTGTGGATCTTCACACATATGCTGCTTCTGCTCTACAGACTCCCACTTCTTTCTTACGCTCCATCCAACACATATTTATTTCTTCTGTTTGACCCTTTTTCATCCTTCGTGTTTTAGACTCAGCTTTCTTTATCTTTCTCTTGCATTCTTTACTTCCTATGTCATATTATCCATTCCAACTAGCTGTAATTATTTTTTTCAAATTTTATTTTAGATATGGGAAGTATATGTGCAGGATTGTTAGATGAGTATATTGCATCCAAGTGGTGAGCATAGTACCAAATAGGTAGTTTTTCAACCCATGTCTCCATCCCTCCCTCTTCCCTCTAGTACTCTGCAGAGTCTGTTGTTCCCATGTGTGTGTCCATAAGCGCTCAATGTTTAACTCTCACTTATAAGTGAGAACAGAGAGTATTTAGTTTTCTGTTCTTACATTAATTTGCTAAGGATTATGGCTTCTAGCTCCATCCATGTTGTTGCAAAGGACATGATTACATGATTTCATTCTTTTTCATGGCTATGTAATATTCCATGGTGTATATGTACCACATTTTCTTTATCCAATTCACCATTGATGGACACATAGGTTGATTTCCTGTCTTTGCTATTGTGAGTAGCATGGTGAGTGTATGTATCTTTTTGGTATAATGATCTTTTTTCCTCTGGTTATACGCCCAGTAAAGGGATTGCAGGGTTAAATGGTAGCTTTGTTTTAAGTTTTTTTGAGAAATCTCCAAACTGCTTTCCACAGTGGTTGAACTAACTTATACTCCCATCAACAGTAGATAAGTGTTCCCTATTCTCTGAAGCCTTGCCAGCATCTGTTTTTTTTTGTTTTGTTTTCATTTTTTTTTTTTTTTTTTACTTTTTAATGATGGCCATTCTGACTCATGTGAGGCCAAAACAGCATGGCACTGGTCCAAAAACAGGTGCATATAACAATGGAACAGAATTGGAAACAGAGAAATAAAGCGACATACTCACAACCAACTGATCTTTGACAAGGCTCACAAAACCAAGCAATGGGGGATAGGACTCCCTATTCAATAAGAGGTGCTGGGATAACTGACCAGCCATATGCAGAAGAATAAAACTGGACCCGTACCTTTCCCCATATATAAAAATTAACTCAAGATGGATTAGAGACTTAACTGTAAGACCTCAAACTCTAAAAATCCTAAAAGAAAATCTAGGAAGTACCCTTCTCAACATTGGCCTTGGCAAATCATTTTTGGCTAAGTCCCCAAAAGCAATTGTAACAAAACTAAAAATTAATAAATGGGACCTAATTAAGTTAAAGAGCTTCTACCCAGCAAAAGAAATCATCAGCAGGGAGTAGTGGCTCATGCCTGTAATCCCAGTACTTTGGGAGGCCAAGGCTGGCAGATCACCTGAGGTCAAGAGTTCAAGACCAGCCTGGTCAACATGGTGAAACCCTGTCTCTACTAAAAATACAAAACTTAGCCAGGCGTGGTGGCACATGCCTGTAATCCCAGCTACTTGGGAGGCTGAGGCAGGAGACTTGCTTGAACCTGGAAGGTGGAGGTTGCAGTGAGCCGAGATCGTACCACTCTACCCTGGGCAACAGAGTGAGAATCGGTCTCAAAAATAAAATAATAATTATCAATAGAGGAAACAGATAACCTAAAGAATGGGAGAAAATATTCTCAAACTATGCATGTAACAGAGGTCTAATATCCAGAATCTATAAGAAACTTAAATCAACAGCAAAAAACAAATAATCCCATTTAAAAAACGGGCAAAAGACATGAACAGACACTTCTCAAAAGATGACATACAAGAGGCCAACAAACATATAAGAATGCTCATCCTCACTAATCATAGAGAAATGCAAATTAGCTGTAATTATTTTTTTGTTTCCCTTTCTCAAAAGACTGAAAACTTACATTGCTGTATCCCCACTGTCTGGTACATAGTAGGTGCTCAACAATTTTTTTTTTGTATTTATGTATAAATCTTAAATAAATGATTACTGTTTTATATATGTTTATATTTATACTCTAAATTTCCTTAAAACTCTCCAAAACTATGACACTATGAAGGGGAATGAAAACTCTTCATCTTAGCCTTTTGTTTTTGTTTTTGGAGTGAGGCAAAAGAAATCCTATTGAAATATAGAAATTGTATTGATATTCAGTATCATATCATTCTTTTTTTATTAATTAATTTTTTTTTGAGACGGAGTCTCACTCTGTCACCCAGGCTGGCATGCAGTGGCAAGATCTCGGCTCGCTGCAACCTCCATCTCTTGGGTTCAAATGATTCTTCTGCCTCAGCCTCCTCAGTAGCTGAGACTAAAAGCGTGTGCCACCATGCTCGGCTAATTTTTGTATTTTTAGTAGAGACGGGTTTTCACCATGTTGGCCAGGCTGGTCTCAAACTCCTGACCTCAAGCAATCTGCCCGCCTCGGCCTCCCAAAGTGCTGGGATTACAGGCATTAGCCACCATGCCCTGTTGGGTATCATTTATTTTTGACATAACCAGCCTCAGGCTACTCTAGTATAAAGGCACAGACTCAAATGTCTGTAGGGGCAAAATATATAATGTGATAGGTAAAGTACACCATGCACTTCATTAAAAAGTGGGGAATGGTGACATCTGTGATGAACTAGAGAGTACTTTCCCTATTTAAAGGCATTCACATTTCATCGAAAACAATAACAAAACTGTGTGAAAGAAACAAAACACCTCCATGAGTCTGATGTGATCTTTCTACCACCAGTCTGTTACCTCTGCTCTAGGATAATAAGATGTAGTAATTAAATTCACAGAGTCTCCAAACAGTAGTTCAGTTTCATATAATTTAAAAATATATAGTTAGACTTGTTTACTTAAAATTCACCTGTATCTTATTTTCTTTACTGTTTAGTGAAAATGGTAAGAAAATAACAATGGTAGACAAAAATAGCATCAGATAGACTAGCATTAATTAGAATAAAGGGTTCTGACAACGTAATAAAGTAGTGATGACCTAAAGTTGAAATTATATGCTTTGCCCAAATTTTTTAGAACATCGGGTTTTTGAAATTTGTAAATACTTGAAATAATAGTTCTTAGCAGGTGCAGAGGAAAATATTACTAGATAATTCAATTTTGTTAATAGATACTGCAGATTAGCTTTAAATGAAAATTTTGCATTGAATTTACATTTGATTAATTCAAGGAATTGCTTAAGATTTAAACTTGTAATTTTGAGTTGATGACTTAGTGACTACAAGGTCACTGAAATGTGCCCTGGCATTATCATTAATTCTCCAAACCTCAACACTTGCATGCAACAGGATAGAATTTCTTGATGTGAAGCTTGTCTTTATCTCTTTTTCTGTTTCTTCATCTCTTGCACTCTTTTAAAAATTAGTCTAGATTTTCAAAAAGGAATGCAGAAATCTTTTAAATAATTTCTAAACTTTTTATTTTAAAACAAATTTACAGAAATGTTGCAAGAACAGCACAAATAACTTCTTTTCTAGAACAATTTGAAATTGGTGCTCCATTACCCCCAGATACTTTAATGTACATTTTCTACAAGTAAACATAGCTCAATACCACCATCAAATCCTTAGACTCAAGGTTCACCAGTTGTTGGAACTGTGGCCTTTATATAGCAAAAGGATCCAGTTTAGAATTACCTGCTGCATCTAGTTTTCATGGCTCTTGTCTCCTTTAATGTGTAACAGTTTCTCAATTTTTCCTTGACTTTCATGACCCTGACGCTTTTGAACCTTCATGACCAATTGTCTTGTAAAGTATCAGTTGTTTCTTTATTTTTTGAGTCAGGTTATTATTCATCTTTGGCAAGAATGTCACAGAAATTATGCTTTTTTCCGTTTCATCACATTAGGTTGTGCATGATGACATTTTGTCCCATTTTATAGAGAAATATTTTGTAGGTACATACTCCATTCCTCATTAAGCTTTCAATTTATTTATGTTTACCTATGTGTTTGTTTCCATCAGCATAGATTCATGGATTCCTAGTTTATTTAATTAAATATATTTTATTTTCAAATATATTTTAATGTTTAAATACAGCCACAGGCTGGTATCTGTATTCTTGGATGTGTCCTCATCATTCATTGCCAATCCCTTTGCAGTAAATCCATCACCCTTCTATCAATCTATCTACCTACCTATCTATATCAATCAAGCAAGCAAGCTATATAACTATCTATCCTTTTGTATCATCTGTCTCTTTCTTTATCTTCTACATATCATCTTTAGCTATGTCGAGTATTGAAAATATTGAGACCCCACTAGCAATGATCACACCTAGAACTCAGTTGTCTACTAAAAGAAGCTAGCATTTTTTTTGGAAAAATAGGTGTTTTCAGGAATTGGACAAAGAAGGTACACAATGAGGCAGAAACAAATTGTGGAACCAGAAAGTAAAAAATAAATAATACACATACGCATTTTTATCTGCATTTTATGCCTCTTTATACATTTGGGAATTAGGAGTTTATGCCCATTTTGCTCATTCTAACCTAACACTACCAAGATCATTCTAGTTTCCTTCTTTTCCAATTGTTATAATTACCTTGAAGGACAGTGAGAAGCCTGACTCCCCTAATGGGGGATATTTCTACTTTTATCATCAACCTGCTCTTATGAAATCGGTCGCCTGCCACTGCCTCTGTCCTGTCTCCCTGCACTGACACCTTCTTCACCCCACTTGGTCTCTGACATCCCACATCTCACTGCCTCAGTGCCCATGTCCTCTTCACCCTTCTAAGGCCCCACTTCCCTCACTGGGTAGCTGTGGCTCCTCAAGTACTAGCACGTACACTTACCTTGCTAGGACCTACCTACGGACTTTTGGATTGAATTTTTCAGGAAAAGAAGAAGAAAAAGAGAACAGAATGGTACATCTCAGTAGAAAATAAATCCTGGAGAAATAAAAGGACACGAATGCCCTGGCCCACTAAGGAATCATAAACTATTTAGTGTGCACATACCCTTTGATGCCAAGAGTATAGGGGGGTGGAATGCCAAGGAGATGTAGAGACAGTGTGAAATAATTACACTCTAAGCAAAAATACTAAACCTTTAAACACTGCTTTCCTCAAACATCTCCAGTAGCTCCTGTGTCTATATGTGTAAAATTAATATATCATCCCTTTCTCCAAACAGAAAAAAGTCATGGCCTATTGGTTTAGAGTTTGAATCCTTGACACCGCATTTGCTTCTAGGTTGCTTATGAACATATTTAGAATGGTGTTGTGAGCAACACTGCTGCTATGAAAATTTAAATTTTATTTATTTCTTGCTTTTGTGATTAACCTGTCAACCTTAATATTCGTGAGACCATAGTGTAGAGGGCTTTGTATTTATTTTCCCCGTAAAATGCAGTATGCAGAAATGTTCTCTAAATCTCTCTCTGACCTGAAATCCCAGGGAAACCTTGTAATAATAGATTCGTTTATAGGCTGGCTGTGGTTTTTGCCTTCAAGAGTCTAAAATGCCTTAAACGTCTCTGGTATAGATTGCATTTTTGTCTGGATTCAAAATATGTTTAAAATTAATTTTAAAACTCACCAAAACATCCTCATGAAATCATCAAATTAGATCAAGCAAAAGGCAACCATACATACCATACAATATATGCCCCTTATCTGAATGTGGATATGTTGTTATCGTTGATCTCGGTCACTGAATTCTCATGAAGTTGCCATAGAAAATGAATAGAAGTTCCTAAAAGTAGCTATGGGGCATTAAGTCTACTCAGATGAATACTTTCATAACTATGACCTCAAATACAAAACTGATAAATCCACAAACATTAATTTTTTAACCTTAATTCTTTCTAGTCTACATTTCAAATGAGAAACATAAAATAAAGACGATACCTTGTATTCAGGATCTTTAAAGAACAAGCTCCAATTTTGAAATAAATCAGAGATGAGGCTAGAATAATAACACGTCTTACATTTCTGTAGCACTCATATTTTTGCAATACACTTTCTGTAATGCTTTCTTATTTGCTGCTCGGAACAGCACAATAATTATAAAAAAAAGAATCCTGGCCTCCTATGTATCTTGGGATTCAGATCCTTGTCTCCTGCTCTGCCTCACAATTGGATATATGACTTTGGACAAGTTATGCTAACTTTCTGCACCCAGAGAATACAAAAAAGAGTTAGATCAGATTACAGGACCTTAGGATGGCTTTGGCAGTTTGGTCAAACCTACAGCTCCTTTAAGAATAATGTTTTAAAATTCATCATGTAAAATAAAATAAAAAGGATTATAAATAAAGCCAATTATATTGAAATTCAGTTATCAAAGTATTAAGAAAGCAAATTTGGCCGGGTGCGGTGACTAACGCCTGTAATCTCAGCACTTTGGGAGGCCAAGGTGGGCAGATTATGAGGTCAAGAGATCAAGACCATCCTGGCCTACATGGTGAGACCCCGTCTCTACTAAAAATACAAAAATTAGCTGGGCATGGTGGCATGTGCCTGTAGTCCCAGCTACTCTGGAGGCTGAGGCAGGAGAATTGCTTGAACCTAGGAGGCGGAGGTTGCAGTGAGCCGAGGTTGCACCACTGCACTCCAGCCTGGCGACAGAGCAAGACTCCATCTCAAAGAAAAAAAAGCAAGTTTATGATATGGTAATATGTGTGTCTCTTTATTGTAGTATTAAATAAAAGGTCTAGTGGTGAATTCATAACTAATTTTAAGTAGTAATGAGTATAAACAGCGCTTTAAGATATCTGCAACAACTCTAATGTGATTTTTAAATATCCATAATTTCTATTAGTGACAAAGTCACAGGTTCTTCTAATAACACTGTGGTTCATTGCCTATATTCATCATTAATGGAAATACTAAATGTTAATAACAAGCTAGAGAAAATAAAAATATAATCTTTTTTTCTCCCATTCAAATTTACAAATGCCTTGAATTCTATTCATTAGGTGATCCCAAAGAAATTTTCCAACAAAAATATTCCAGGACTTTGTAAACACTCCTGTTAGATAGGTAGGGTGGCATACATCTAGATCCACTCTCCTCAAAGTGCAGTCCATGGACCAGCTGCATCAGCATCACTTACCTGGGAGCTTCTTAGAAATGCAGAATCTCAGCCCCCACCTCAGATCTACTGAACCATAATCTGTATGTTTACAAGATCCCAAACTGATCTGGAAGTCCACACTAGTGTTTGAGAAGTGCTGTTTTAGATTAAGTTGTTCAGTCTTTATGGGTGCTTTTCAAGCTATGTTCAAACCGAGTGCCTCAGGATTCCTTGGATCTATAGTGAACTTTGTGAACTTCCATTTTTGAAAACTTACCATTATACCCAACGTCTAAGAAGTTGGTGACAGGCCTACCAGCAAGGAGAGCAGCACTCTTGGACACAAAATGGAGATTTTAGTAGCAAATGTAGATTAGGAGTTATTTAAGGATCAGTAATTCATGGGGTTTGGATTGCTTTGGTGAATTGAAGAGCTCCAGGTAGATAGCTTGAGATTTGGCTGAAGCAAATTGTCTCTGAAAAGTGGGAGAGAAAAGATAAGTCTGACCAGAAAACTATACAGTTCCAAGTTTCACTTTATTAAGTATAGGCAAAATTTGTCCCTGTGGTTTGGTTTTAGCACCATAACTATTTGCATATCACAGTTAATGTTCTTGTGAATATGTTTTTCATGGTTCTGGAGCCAATTATATAGGTCTATAAAATATTAAGCAGTTAGTGTTTTTCAAACTGAATCACTTCTACACGGGGAGGAAAAGCAGCTCCTAAAGTACTTAAAGTGAAATTCTCTAATGAAAATTTCAGGCCGGGCACGGTGGCTCACACGCCTGTAATCCCAGCACTTTGGGAGGCTGAGGCAGGTGGATCACAAGGTCAGGAGTTCAAGACCAGCCTAGCCAAGATGGTGGAACCTCATCTCTACTAAAAATACAAAAATTAGCCAGGCGTGGTGGCGGGTGCCTGTAATCCTAGCTACTCGGGAGACTGAGGCAGAGGATTGTTTGAACCTGGGAGGCAGAGGTTGCAGCAAGCCAAGATCACACCACTGTGATCCAGCCTGGGTGACAGAGCAAGACTCTGTCTCAAAAAAAAACAAAAAAAAACAAAAAAAAAACAAAAAAAACCCAAAGAAATTTCAATGCAGTATGTGTTTTTGAGCATCTATTTTTCATCGAGTGGTGGAAATTTAGGTATCAATAAGACACTGCCCCTACCATAAATGAACGTCCAGTTTATTTGGGAACTGGGCAAAAAAAAAAAAAAAAAATCATTGACTATAACGGTGTAAGTTCTATGATAGAAGTAGACACACAAGACATTAAGTAGTATATGGGACTGCATGGGACTTGAAGTTCCTTTTTACTTCTTCACTCATTGACTCAATTATTTCTTTTTTGGTTCATTCTTAAGTTCATTTTTTCAACAATATTTATGGGTCATGACCCACTTCACACACCAGTCTTTATGACTGAGCATAGAATGCTGACATTGAAAGGGCTAAAATAGGCATAGGTTGAAATTATTTTGGGTTTTGTATGGCCTGTTTAGAACATTGTGTCTTATCCAATAGGGAAGTGGGAAACTCTAAAGGATTTTTAAGGAATGAAGTAACCAATCAGGGTTAATTTTAATATAATGATGATTGGGGCAGTCATGAGAGGTGATCCAAAATAAATCTTCAGAAGGTTATTTCATGGTTTTAAGCCTGGAAAAATCATTCTTCTGTGCATTTACAGGTCTTTTACATATTAAAAAAATCTCTCATTCACTTTTTATTAATAATATCTACAGTTGGTCAAATATTCAGCTTGTGTTGAAATATTATAGTATGACATACTTTTTGTAGTCAGGTTTTAAAAATCTTTGGTTCAACAATAAAACTAACAATTTTTTCTACCATTATTTTGCAGCTTTGGACACTTGTCTTGATCTTATGGCCAGTCATTATTTTCATAATTTTGGCTATTACTCGGACCAAATTTCCTCCAACTGCAAAACCAACTTGTAAGTAAATGACATTTGTTTATTTCCTTAATTTTTGGATTCTAGTTAAAATTTATTTTGGTACCACTTTAGTGTTTCATTTCAAAAATTTTTTTTTGTATAGTGTTTTCACTTGGAAGGATTAATATGAACAATTTGTGTGTTTTTTACCCTAGATTTTCAAGTTAGTCAGAAAGTTGAGTTTGTAATATTTATCTAGAAAAATATGAAGCTTGTAGAAGCCAGAAAATATTTTAGCCTTTATAAAATTTTGACTCATTTATTATTCATTTCATAAATCTTGCCATGATATGCACAGCACAAACAAGCAGCAATCTCTTGCTATATCATTCTTTACTTTTGTAATGGAAACCATAGTCTTGTATTTGATCAACTGAACAAATGAAAATCCAGAGTAGTATACAAATCCCTTCTCTCTCTTTAGGGCTGATATTTGAGTGGTGTAAATGTGTCAACACATTTAGTTCAAGAGAAGATTGTTATCTAATTAGCGCTCTTTCAGTTACATTTAGTAATTGTCAAGTTGTAAAATGGGCAGAATGCCCGACACTCCGTTATTTTCTTTTGGATCCAGAATGAAAAAGTAGAAAGGACTAAGAAAAGTCCTCAGAACTGAGGGGGATGAGGGTTTTAACCCCAGTGGCTTGATGAATGCTGTTTTCATTTTTATTTTTTCCCTGTGAAGCCAGTTTTCTTAAAAGAGGAGGAAAAGTCAAACCAGACACTTCTTGCTTCACAAAGCAGCCATCTCCTAAAAAGCTTCTTGTAAATCAAATTTCTATAAATTAGATTGTATTTCACATAAATTATGGTAATTTGCTATGTAAAAGAAGACAATCCTGAATTATTTTGTAAAGAGAGTAAAAAGCTAGTGACTTTTAAAAATAATTAGTGTTTTTGAATCACCCAGTTCTAAGAAATCAGATGAGAACCATAGCAGAATTTACGTGAATCATGCTCAATAGGCTAATTCAAAAGAAAATGTCAACTCAGTTAGTGGAAAGCATTTAAACTGTTGGTGCTAGAATAAACAATTCCTTACATTTAAATAGTACCTTATTTCTTTTTTGTTTTGTTTTGTCGAGACGTAGTCTCACTCTGTCGCCCAGGCTGGAGTGCAGTGGCGCGATTTCGGCTCACTGCAAGCAAGCTCTGCCTCCTGGGTTCACACCATTCTCCTGCCTTAGCCTCCTGAGTAGGTGGGACTACAGGCGCCCATCACCACGCCTGGCTAATTTTTTTGTATTTTTAGTAGAGACCGGGTTTCACTGTGTTAGCCGGGATGGTCTTGATCTCCTGACCTTGTGATCCACCCACCTCGGCCTCCCAAAGTGCTGGGATTACAGGCGTGAGCCACCGCGCCCAGCCAACAGTGCCTTACTTCTAAAGGATGTTTTCTCAAGTCATTTGAGTTATTGATGAGATTTTATTTGATTGTTCATAAAAACAGCATAATTTTGCTCTCTTCATATTATGTGTATATTAGTTATTTATAACAGATTGACTCCACCGTATACTGTTGGAGTTTATATGTTTGTTCATATCTTAAGTAGCATGGGTCTCAGAAATAATCCATTTATATATTTCTACATATCTTAAGTAGCATGGGCTTCAGGAATACCATATAAGTAGGACAAATACTCTTAAATATTCTGGTTTAATATGCTAACTATCAATTTTCTAACAATAGTGATGGGAGGATTTTAATAGCTCCTTTCAACACCTATTTTCACCAATTTCTTGTTTTTAAGGACTTTTCAGTTACATAAAGTTCCTCTTGTAAAACTTCCAAGAGAGAAATATAAGGTCTTTGAATGAGCAGTCTTAAATTAATTGATATTACCTGATAGCATTAGAGATTCATGGAAAAAACTGTGGAAAGCTCTTATAATTCTACTAAATTAGGAAGAAAAAAAATACTAGAGAAATAATGTGATATGTGCCTCTTAGGCCTAATCTAAAGGGCTCTGAAAAAACATTGTATCAGGGAGGAGATGAATAACTTTTTGCTATGGACCTATTATCATACTCTAATAATAACTAGCCAAGGAAGTGATTATCTTTCTGTTTATCAGTAGGACAGTACAAAATTATAGGATGGTTCAAACACGGAAAGTATGTTTGTTAGTCTCTTAGACCTTATCAGACTCAGTCTAAAAAATAGTTTTTTGGTTTGTTATTACAAGTAGAAGTGACCCTCTCACTTTACAAATGAGAAACCTGCAACACAGGGAGATTACAGTTTGCCAAAATTCAATCATGTGGGATAGGAAAGAAAGGTGGTGAAAACCGCTTCTTTGTCCATGAGATTTACCGCATCTTACCCTTTTATACACAAATTTTTTCTAAGTCTGAAACTCCTATTTGGGTAAATAAGAGCCAAGTAAAAATTATGCCCAAAGTTTCAATACATTCTATAATCAATAGAATATAAAATGTAATTTTGTAATCAGAGGTGCTATAGAGTAATTTGGAGAATGTAAGACTGGTAGAGAAGCAGTTACTTGCCCCCCCGCCTCCTTTTTTTTTTTTGAGACAGTCTTGCTCTGTCGCCCAGGCTAGAGTACAGTGGTGCGATCTCGGCTCGCTGCCACCTCTGCCTCCTGGGTTCAAGCAATTCTCTGCCTCAGCCTCCTGAGTAGCTGGGATTACAGGAGCCCACCACCACACCTGGCTAATTTTTGTATTTTTAGTAGAGACGGGGGTTTCACCATCTTGGCCAGGCTGGTCTGGAACTCCTGACCTCGTGATCCACCGCCTCGGCCTCCCAAAATGCTGGGATTACAGGCATGAGTCACCGCACCTGGCCTTTTCCCCCTCTTTTGTCGTAGAAAGAATAACTTTGAGATGACAGTTTGGATTTAGATGCTTTTATCCTGTTTTTTAAATTGCTCTTGTTTTTCTTTGTTTCTCATGTATGTCTTTTATGCTGAAAGATTAGAATTGGCCAATAATTCATCATAATAAAAATATTTCTTGATCTCATACTGTGTACCAGATATTTAGTAAGGTGGTGACTGTATTATTCATCTCACAGTTGAGAAAACTAATGCACAGAGAACTTAAGTAACTTGACCAAGATGGTACCGTTAATAAGTGGTGGTGTCAGGATTTGAAACCAAGCAGTCTGGCCCCAGAATCTTGTTTTAAGCTCATGAACTCACATTTCTTACATCTAGTAGTCAGTACTAATTTTTCACATTGCATCATTTACATTTTGTAAAAGTGAACTAAAATTAGAAACTAGGATTGGAAGCACCCCTGCTTTGCCTCAATTATGAAATCAAGAAATATGGGGAGTAAGTGCATTCCAATGTATGTATTAGAGTTATCCTAACTATTAGTATTCAGTGCTACCTGTGTCCAACTAATTCTTCATGAAGCATTGTAGCTGAAGTATCATAGAAATTAGGTCCTCTTTAATAGAGTTAAAATCATTTGTGGGCTACAGTGCTAGTTGGGCAATAGAGAAGTGAAGATGAAACTCTAGAATCCACCTCTAAATGAAACTCAGCCATGGTGGGTCCCTCAGTCTTCATCATTAGATCATGGGTGTGCTGGAGAGCAAGGTGCAGTCTGGAATCCTGCACTCATGCCCTTGCCCTCACTTCCTTGAAAACATACCACGGGAAAAGTCAGCAGCAAGAGCAAGGCCAGAACACACCTCACTCCTCTGACTTTCACAACTCTCATCAGTGAGATGCCCCACAGGCTCTTTCAACATTAAGACTGTACAATAGCTCCTCTTAACAATTCGGGCACTGGAGTCATAACAACATGCATGGATCCCACAACAACTTCTGTTCTGTAATACTGTGGGTACATTCTGCTCCCAGAAGAGTCAGGCAGGTCTGTAGGACTTGATAACTCATTTAGAACAAATATAATTAGTGACGTAAAGGATTCCCTTCATAGTCTTTTTGATGGTTGGGCATCTGGAGAAGTCTGCATTTTTGATGAGCGGGAACCAGCTGCAATCCCTGACACCATTGGTGCTGGTCCAGATAACATAGATATTCCTGACATCACCTGACTTCACTCATTCCCTTTTGTGTTGCAACAAATGGCTTAGGTAACTAGCCTCTGCAAAGAATAAATCCCAGGTGAAGAAAACCTTTTGAGCCTGGCAGGCAGGCCCTAATTCTTCTCATTCAAACAGGGAAGAAATGAGCTGAGGTGCCAAGTTTGAAGTAGTTTCAATCTCTTATAATCTCCACATGCAGCAGCTTGTCAAGAGGCAAATGTTAAAGCCAAAAAACACTGCTTAGGATCAAGGGCCAACAAAACAGCACAAATCTCTACAAGACACACTTAGACTAAGCCAAGCTGTAATGTGCGGCAAGCTTATTTTGTCTCCCTTTAATACACACATACCCATGAATGTCCAGGCAAGCAGCCCCTAATTACTGTACAACTATTTTTCAAGTACAGTAAAACCCTGACAGAATGAGATAAGTAGACTCCAAAAAAAGTAGTCATGTCAAATAAGGAGTCACACTTTTGTGAAGTTTATGAAAAACAATGTTTTTCTATTGTTCCCTAAATACCTCTAAAAGTACAATGGAAATCATACTGTGCAAATATGACCATACATTACATTAAGCCCCAACTATCTCAAGGCTGTCACTTTCTAACACTCCTGGGCCCTCTGCGGATAAGAAATTCAGCCCATCTTGCATGTGAAAATCAGGGCTGGTGGAAGGCAGGAGCCAGCCATGAATTGAATTATATCCAAATTTATATTATCACAGAGTTATACTAAATAGCACCCATCCAGATGTTACTCAACAGCTTTGGTAAATGCAAGAACGTCCAACATTTTCAGCCTGACTTTTTTTTTTTTTTTTTGCCTCCAAAGCATACCCTTTATCTTCAGGGATGCATACAAGTAATAACAGGGATGAACATTTATTGAACACTTTGCTATGTGTCAGACACTGTGCTAAGTACTTTGCATGCCTTAGTTAATACTCACATCATTTCTTTGGACCTTGTAATAGAATTGTCCCTATTTTAAAGATGAGAAAATTGAGACACAAATAATGTGTTAAGTAATTTACCAAGGTTCACATGGTTATTATGTGCTGGAGCCTGGATTTTTGGATAAGATACCTGCGGACAGATGGTTTTATCTGGGTCATGGGTGTCACCGATGGCGGTCCTGAGGTCTGGTTCATTACAATAACTCATTTTTCTTCCTCATACCACTTATTAGGACTATCATAGATTGAGCATTGCTGTAAAAATGAACTCAAGTTGTTTTTCTACTTGTTAGTAGCTCTGGGAAAAAAAAAATGTGAGAAGGAGGATTGAAATTGTTGATCAACAAGTGGTTTGTGGGATCCATGCAAGTTGTTATGACTCCAGCGCCCGAATTGTTAAGAAGAGCTATTGTACAGTCTTAATGTTGAAAGAGCCTCTGGGGCATCTCACTGATGAGGGTTGTGAAAGTCAGAGGAGTGAGGTGTGTTCTGGCCTTGCTCTTGCTGCTGACTTTTCCTGTGGTATGTTTTCAGGGAAGTGAGGACAAGGGCATGAGTGCAGGATTCCAGACTGCACCTTGCTCTCCAGCACACCCATGATCTAATGATGAAAACTGAAGGACCCACAGGAAATAATTTCATTTGCTATCTTGATTGGCTAAAAATTTACATAGGTTTTTTTGTTGTTGTTGTTCTGAGGAGCTCAGAATTCATCATCATTTGTCTTTTGCTGTGGATTGCCCAATCCAGTTTCTGCATTCTCATGAGTACCAGCAACACTAGTTAGTCTTTCAGGTTAGAAACATCTGAATCATCCATGACTCCTCCCTTCGTTTACCTCCCATAACCGCTGGCATGCAAGTCAGAATCCATTTGTGAAATGTGTCCCAGAGTTACTGCTGCCCTTCCATCCTTCCTGTCACCCCTTGGTTCAAGATCCCATTGTCTCATGCTTGGATTGCTTCCATAGCTTTGTGACTGTGTGAAAGTGCGTGTGTGTGTGTGTGTGTGTGCGTGTGTGTGTGTGTGTGTGTGTCTTGAAGCCCTAACTCCAACTCTTTCCATGTTTCTTCATCAGATAATCTCCCTAGAATACTATTTGGGCCCATTAGGTTTCACCTTCTCTTTGTCTGACTTTCAAGACCTGCATAATCAGGATTCTTCCAACTTTGTGTTCATTCTGTTCTGCAGTAGAATGCCTGTGCTTAAGGAGGAGGTGTCTGAATGTCCTCCACACGTCTCATTCTCACTCCCACGTTGATGCATGTCCTTTTATCTTCCCTGCATGCCAGTTAAAAGCCAAGCTCACATCCAGGGTACTCCCATTTAGCCTTGTCTGATCACTCAAACCCCAATCAATTTTCCTTTATATCTCTCTTGTTGAAGTATTGGCTTATAATGGTCTTTAAGTGTTTGCTGCTTCAGTCTTGACTCACTTATTGGATAGATAGCACATTAATAGCAGAAATCACATCATACCACTGTACGCACAAGGTATAGCATGGTTCCTAACAGGGAACACAGTCAGAATGCAACAGGTAAAAATCTGATACAGTTTGGAAGATTTATATGGGTGACTGGATTACAAAATTCACTCAATGATAGATAGTAAAAAAAACTCAATGTGAGTCTGAGATGGGTAAGGGACAAGGAGTTAGTTTGTTTTGGTTTGCTATTTATTTTTCAGATCCAGGTAAATCTGATTATGGGATCAAAATAATGTCTATAATGCCCATATGGGGGAAAGAAAATGAATATAAAGCCCCGTCACTCCTTCCCAGCTACATCCACCTGGGAATTTCCATCACAAATACGAAAGAGTTCCAAATATGTAGGAGAGATTTTTTGTGTAGGAGCATTAACAGCCTGCTTCTTGCTTAAGAAGTTTCAGAACATTTTGGAACAGCTTTTGAATTTCACGGCCAAAGACCCATCCTGTACTTCCTCCATCAGCAAATTGTAGTAAGTGACTTTTTGGGAAACATTACTGACCCTTCACATACCAACATGGAGATAAATTCTGTGGAAGCCATAGAAACTGAAATTGGGATTTGATTGGGACCCTGTTTCCTCCAGTGTCCCGTGCAGAGCTGTCTGAAGCACACAGAGGGGTCGAAGATGTGGACACGGCTGCATCACTCACAGGGATGACTACAGCTCCTGCTGGCAGTGGTCCATCTCCCCCAGCTCCTGGCCTGACTCTCATGCAATGTGGATGGGCACACCCTAATGCCAGCTAACACGATGACAAGGTTTCTCAGCTAATGCCCTCTTAGGCTCAGTAAACAGAATTGCACAGAGAATAGGAAATATCTCTGAAGTACAATAAAACTTAATTTTAACAAGTAGAAAAATTAAGAGTAAGGAAGGGTATTTTCTCTCCATCCTGTATCATCCCCACATTGTGTAGTCTACCTTGCAAGCTTCCCAAAGGTGATTGTCTCAGTGAAATCGGCCATGGGAACCAAATGTCTTCTGGTTTTTACTCCTTTTCTCTTTCCTTCATAAGAGCAGAGGGCCTTTTGTCAGACAGGGCCTCCTCTCAGATAGGGAGTGCTAATGTCCAAGTCTATCCGATAAGTAAAGATGAATGGTTGAATATTTATAACATCTTTATAACATTTTTTTTAAATGGAATCTGTCCCTGTTGCCCAGGCTGGAGTGCAGTAGCGCAATCTCGGCTCACAGCAACCTCCACCACCAGGGTTCAAGTGATTCTCCTGCCTCTGCCTCCTGAGTAGCTGGGGTTACAGGCATCCACCAAGATACCTGGCTAATGTCAGATTTACCTGGATCTGAGAAGTAAATAGCAAAAACAAAACAAAACTAAACTAAACAAAAACTTGATATACTTAGATTAGTGCCTGCTATATGGTAAGAGCTATAAAAGTGTTGGACATTATTTTCTATACTGTATTATTTATGATACTATATTTGTATAGAGTATAGCATCTATCCTTGAGTATCATGAAGCTAATCTAGTATCTTGTCATTATTTGTCAGATGAGGAAACTGAGGCTCAGAAATTTTGAGGGATGTTATAGGGCCAGGTGCCATGGCTCATGCCTATAATCCCAGCACTTGTGGGAGGCTGAGTTGGGTGGATCACCTGAGGTCAGGAGTTCGAGACCAGCCTGGCCAACATGGTGAAACCCTGTCTCTACTAAAAATACAAAAAATTAGCTGGGCCTAGGGGTGGTCACCTGTAATCCCAGCTACTTGGTAGGCTGAGGCAGGATAATTGCTTGAACCCAGGAGGCAGACGTTGCAGTGAGCTGAGATCACACCATTGCACTCCAGCTGGGCAACAAGAGTGAAACTCTGTCTCAAAAAAAAAAAAAAAAAAAGAAAGAAATTTTAAGAGACATTGTTAAAGTTTCACATTTATTCTTGCCATCATCACATATTTAAAGGGCGCCTGTTGCATCTATTAAGCACTAATTAAGAAAGCCATGAGCCCTCACAGCAATCAAGCCTATAAGAGAGCAATAAGTATATCAGAAACTATTGCAATGTGAAAAATTCCACAGTGGAGGTAAGTCCAAGACAGAAGCAAGGAAGTTGGAGTCAGCAACTGCCTGGGACCAAGGCAAGTGCAGTACAAAATTAGAGAGTTTGAAAAAACTCAGTGATCAAGATCAATAATTGTTCAAGAGAGAATTTTACAAAATCAAAATTAATACAAAACCTTATGATGAACAAAATATCAATATTCAAAGTAAAAACAGGATCGGGGTTACCAACTTTTCTTTTTCCTTAGCTCCAACGTAGAGTTCAGTGCTAAGACTTAGCATGAGTCTTGAAGAATGAGTAGGAGTTCATCAGTTAGATAACCAGTGTCATTGCATTTCTTACAGAAAGCAACTTACATGAGTGAGGACATAGAATGTGGAAGAGTTAGATGTGCCAGGAATTTGGAATCTCTTTTGCCTGAAAAAGGAAGATGCTTGTTGAGTACTGAAAGATAAGGCTGTTTGGTCCAAACCAAAAGTATTAGAGTTTATTTTTATTTTTTTGAGACAGGGTCTTGCTCTATCGCCCAGACTGGAATGCAGTGGTGCAATCTCAGCTCACCACAACCTCCGCCTCCTGGGTTCAAGCAATTCTCCTGCCTCAGCCTCCCAAACAGCTGGGACTACAGGTGCGCGCCATCATGCCCAGCTAATTTTTGTATTTTTAGTAGAGACAGGGTTTCACCATGTTGGCCAGGCTGGTTTCGAACTCCTGACCTCAAGTGATTCACCCACCTCGGCCTCCCAAAGTGCTGGGATTACAGGCATGCGCCATTGCGTCAGGCCTAGACTTTATCTTAAAGGTGATGAGAAGCCACTGGAATTATTTTTACTAAATTAGTTTTATTTTTAAATGTTTATAGATTTTTCTGACTATAGATATACATGCTCATTATTAAAAATTAAATAATGAGGTACGAGTGTGCATACTGTAAAAAATGGAAGTCATGCATAATCTCAACCTCTAAAGAGAACCATTGTTAACATTTCAGTGTACATTTGCTAGGACTTTTTTCTATGCATGTACCAAATACTCACAAACACACATACATAGGCACACACACACACACACACGTGTACAAACAAATAAAATAGGACCATTGGGACTAGACAATAGTTTAGAAGGTGTTCCTGCAGCTGTGTGGGAGATGGTTTTAAGGAGTAGGAGCTGGTGGCTGGATTGGGAATTCTGGAGTTAAGACTTCCACTTCGGTCTTCTTTTTCATGATCTCTTGATTGCCCAAGAGAAATAGTAACTGAGGCTAAAAGAAATCTGTATACTTCTCTATCAGAGCTAGCTATTTCCTTAGGCTTTTTAAACACCCCCTCCTTCAATCCTCCATTTTCTTTTCAGATTTTTTAAATGCAGATTTCTTTTAAAAATAGAGAATTACTCTTTGTACTATGAAGGTTTTCAGTGCAAGGTTAGCCATAACCCTCTAATTTCATACTGTCCAAAATAAGATTTACACAATTTAGGAGAAATTTGGGAAGTGAAAATGGAGCAAACTAAGGAGCAAATAATACAGAAATCACATGCTATTATCAATATTTTTCTTCTTTGTCTTTTCTCTATTTTGGGGATTTACAAACAGATGTACCCAGCTACTCTACCTCAATCAAAATGATCTAAGTATGTTTGCTGAAATAGACAAATGGCAGAGTATTACCCTAGGCTTTCTGAGTTGGCATCTGGAGGTGGAGGTGGAGTTGGAGGTGGTGGTGAGTGGGATGGTGTTGAGGACCAGAGAGTTTAAATTTTGAAGAACTCGCCAGGTGATTCTTATGCTACTTCAAGTTTGTGAGCTACTTTTTCCTTTCTTTTCAACTTAAAAATAATTTTAGATCAGCTCATCACTGTGAAAACAAACCAGAGAATGGATTTAATTCTTTGAATAATCACGGAGAAGAACTTGCCTTTCACCTGAGTTAGCTTGCAGGCTTTCAGTGGCTGCCAGCACCCTATTCTTCTTTTCAGCACTCAGTCTTTCACTGTAATCCCCAGGATATCAGAAGTCTCACACCATTCTTCATGTCTTATATTGAAGACACGTTTTTAGGACAGGTGCGAAGAGGAGCAAACCTCCTCTCAGAGAGTACTGTTGGAGCAGTGTCTAAAGAAGGACGTGTTCACAATTTCCTGAACTGGTGCTTTTCCAAGATGATTTCATTGATAAGTTACATGCCCAGGGAACCCAGGTCCATGCAAACAAGCACTTCCCACTCTAGCTTTATAACACTGCATTTATGGCTTCATAAATATCAGAAGAATGAGAAATGTTAAAATCTTTTCATTATTTTGAAATTGCTGCCCTATGTGGAGATGGTTAAAAAAAGATGCTTCTGGAGATTTATATTCTACAAGGATGTGCCTAGGGCTGTAAAGAGCAGGACTGCGTTCTGACCTCAAGTTGCTTACGATGGAATTGTAAAGTGAAGAAACACACAAGATAGATTATGGGCCATAATATATTTTTAAAAACAAAAAATTAAATATAATTAAAGTAAAAGTGTTAAATATAGATCTTGGCCAGTACTTTGCACATAATGGGAACTCAAATATTCATTGATTAATAGTGACATGTAACAATTGTGCAAATAGGAAAATAAATATTAAATAGGCAGCATTGGCAATGAAAACTACTGGATGTTTAAAAAGGAAAAGATGGCTGCGAATTAGGGTAATTGAGAATTACTTCAGGATTAAATTAAGCTTGGAAGAAAAAAAAGTGAATATGCAACAAGAGGAAGTGGCTTTCAAGAGGCAGAAGGGGCATGATCGAGATCTTGGAGGCAGAACTTCTCAGGCTTAACTGGCTAAAGATAGGTAGACTAGTCTAGCCAAAGTAGAGTGTTTTGCTTGAGAGTAGACTGGGAAACAGAGGGAGACACAATCTCTACAAAAAAATAAAAATAAAAAATTAGTCACATGTGGTGGTATGTGCCTGTGGTGCCAGCTACTTGGGAGGCTGAGGTGGGAAGATCACTTGAGCCTGGGAGGTCGAGGCTGCAGTGAGCCATGATTGTGCCACTGTACTCCAGGCCTGGGAAAGAGAGTAAGACCCTGTTTCTTAAAAAAAAAAAAAGAGAGAGAGAGAGAGAGATCAATTTCATCATGTAGGGTTTTGAATACTAGACTAGGAGTCTAGATTTTATCCTGTAGTAATGGAAACATTGGAAGTCTGTGAAGAGTTATTTAATTTTGTGTTTTACAGCATGGGAGGTAAACTAAAGGAAGTTTGTTAAGTTTTCCACCCTAATTGTTTATATCCATCCAGATGTTTATATCACAGGCTGTATTAGTTATCTGTTGCTCTATAACAAATTGCCCCTCAAAACTTAGTGGCAACAACAATAAACATTTATCATCCTCCATTTTCCAGGGGTCAGAATTTTTTTTTTTTTTTTTTTGAGATGAAGTCTCGCTCTGTCACCAAGCTGGAGTGCAGTGGCGTGATGTGGGCTCACTACAACCTCCACCTCCTGTGTTCAAGTGATCCTACTGCCTCAGCCTCCCGAGTAGCTGGGATTACAGGCATACGCCACCGTGCCCAGCTAATTTTTGTATTTTTAGTAGAGACGGGGTTTCACCATGTTGGCCTGGATGGTCTCGATCTCTTGACCTTGTGATCTGCCCGCCTTGGCTTCCTAAAATGCTGGGATTACAGGCGTGAGCCACCGCGCCCAGCTGGGGTCGGAAATTAAAGAGTGACTTAGCCACATGGCTTTGCCTTGGTGTGTCTCATGAGTTTGCAGTCAGGATTTGGGCTAGGACGTCAGTCATCCAACAACTCGAGTAGGGCTGGAAGATCTGTTTCCAAGGTGGATAGCTCACATGGCTGGTGCGTTGGCACTGACAGTTGGTGGGAGGCCTCAGCTTCTCCCCAGCTGGGCCTTGAAGCTACTTGAGTGTCCTCAAGACAGAGTGGCTGGCTTTCCCCAGAGAAAGCAATCCAAGATAGGCAGAAACTATCCTTTTTCTGTCCTGCCCTTAAATGCCTTAGAGCATCACACTGCCACATTCTATTCATGAGAACAAGTGCTTCAGCCTGACTCATATTTAAGGGAATTAGGCTCCACCTTTTGAAAAAAAGTGCCGAAGATTCTGTGGATACATTTTAAAACCACCACACAGCCTAACAAGATTCAATGGTGCAATAACAAAGGGCATAAACGTGCTTACGATATTCAGCCCCATCATCGCGGTGTCCTTATCTGCTTTGGGCCACACTGAATTCCTAGTACCTAGCAGGGCCTGCACGTTGAGGCACTCATTAAATGTTTTTGAGCTATTACTGTTTTACAGATGGAGACATTTACTTTCAAAGATTTTAGTGACAGTCCTTACTAAGTGTTGAAGCAAGATTTAATTTGTTCTTACTTCCCATATCCTCTTTCTACTCTCTATGCTATCTGTCAAACAGAGTCACTCATGTCTGTAGAGATGCTCACCTTGCTGTTGGCACAGCTAACAGAATTACTCTCTGGAATATTGCTTGGCACTTAGTCACCCAACAAATATTTGTTGAACAAATGAGTGAATTTGGTGCAACAATAATTGAAGGCTGGAAGTTTAAAGAAGTCTGTTCAAATTTACTTACAAGTCAGTGGAAAATGGGAATACAATCTGGAGTGGTTGCCTTTTGTGCAGGTTATTATTCTGTCATATTTGCTGAAAGGGCACCATGTTCAAAGGGCAGAAGTTAGATATTCTGGATATAGAAGAGATGGAACTCCTGGAGTTTGAGAAGCTCTGTGATAACCACCCAGAAGGATTCTATGGCAAATGAACTTCCTACCATTGAATCATTGTTTTGAACATAGTCTTTTCAAGAGCAGTAATATTGCAGGGGGTGTGGGGGCTGGGATAAGTGTGGATCAGCTGGAATTCCTCCCATTTGAGTTGTGTTGTACTTTGACATTTAAACCGCAAAGAGAAACAAATGAATTAGGATGCCACATGGCATACCTAAACTCTCATACACCTCTCTACACAGCTCTAACATGGTTTATTCTGGAAAAATTTTGGACCAAAATTGAACCTAACTCCTGTGAAAACTTGACTTACCTCCACTGAATCCTGTTAGCTTTAATTAGCTGTTTTTAGGTTTTATGATAAGCAGAGCTCTGAAAATCAGGGAAAAAAAATTATAGAACTTTGTTATGCAGGTTACATTCTTTTCAGAGATATACCCAAGAACTGATATTTAAGGTCTTTATTTTGTTGATTTATCTTTGGTTTTATGTGGAAATTTGGCATTAAATATATAATCCAGAAGGTAAATAACAGGGACCAGTGTATTTCATAGGCAGGTTTAACGTTAGGGCTTTTATGGAATTTGTTAATATTAGATAGTATTAATGTAGCCAAACTCCCAGAACAATAAGCAATCAGTTTTTCTGCAATGTTAGTGCAAAGAGTATTAAATTTTAGCTCAAATACAACTGAAAGCAAATGAACAAGAGTGGGATTAGGTTAATCGCAAGCTTTAGGAAGGTTGCTCAATGTATTACAGCCGTGATTCCAGTCCCTGCTTTTGTTACATAGATTTCTAGCACCCAGCTGTGCACACCCCAAAACACTCGGCTATTTGTTAAGCAAATATTTATTTATTATAGCATCATGTGGACTCTAAAGGGAAAGAACGCAGGATTTTTAGGTAAAAACATGGATAATCAAATTACAGTAACTGTAAAATCCGCAATCTATTACATAATCAAGTGTGATAGCAGGAACAAAGAACCATCAATGCACTAAGATTTTTTAGAAAAAAAAAGATTTTTGGAGGCTAGAGAAGTAAGGTAAAGCTTAATAGCATAAATAAGACTTAAGCTATGTCCTCAAAAAAAAACTAATAGGATACTTGGATTTGCATGGAGAAGAGTGGGGAGTTTTGTAAGGAAAGGAAGAGAATGAACAATTTCGTGAAGGTGGGGGTAAAGGGCTTATTTTGCTTCAGGGAACTTTCTCTGAACCTCTATACCAGGTTAGTTTTCACTCCTACACCAGCCCTCCTTTATAATTGTAATTGACTAAGTATGCATTTATTTGATGTTTGTGCCTCTGGTCTTCCCTTCATAGGATCTATACCTAAGTCTGTTTTTCCCACAAATACAAGCAGTGCCTAGCGTATCAGATACTTAACAGTTAAGGAAATGCCCCCTTTTTCCTAAATTCCATTAGATTCTACTGGGAAATGAGTTTGAATCTATAAAATTAGACCAAGAGACCCGGAGTCATAAATACCAGGGTGAAGATATAGGAATATCTTTATTCCATAAGCAATGAAGAATGACCCATGGCAATAAAAATATGGAGTTTTGTGCATATTAATCAGATAGTGTCAGAAGACTAGATCAGGGCAAGGAAAGGCTGGAGAAAGAAAAAGAATTACACAGTTATTGAAATTATAATATAAAAAGTAGTGGGTACTCTAATGTAATTGGAGAAACAAAAATGGAGAAGAATGAGTAAGTCTTAAAGATACTGGGAAGAGGAAGTAGTAGAATATGGTAGAGACTGGATTTGGGGGACAAAGGAATGGTTTGAAATAAAAACACTCTTCTGGCTTTTGATTTGGGAGTCTGAGAAAACAGAATAGTGACAATAATGACTTCTTTCATGTAACTTATCTTTCAATTCTTGTACCAAACCTGAGAGATTAATTACTGTGATTTCCATTTCCAGATGAGAAAAATCAAAACTCTTAGAGAAGCAAGTAGAGCCTAATGATCAAACCCCTGGGCCTTTGATCAGGGTACTCAATTCAAATCTCAGCTTCACCTTTGTGTCATTGGGAAGTTAATTCTTCTGTGCCTCAGTTGGGGATAATCAAAGAACCTACTTCATAGCATTGTTGGGGAGTAAAATAAGAATAAAACTAATAAGATAGCATGTAATAAGATAATTTGTGGTATCACACAAAAGGATGCCTGCAGTCTATAGATGCATATAGTAAGGGCTCAATAAAAGATTACTATGAGTAGGTAACTTGCCCAAGATTAAACAGCTGGTAAACGGCAGAGCTTCCTACTTGAACCCAGGTCTTCTGGTGTATTTGTTATACATATTGTTATGCACGTCCGTGTGAAGAGACCACCAAACATGCTTTGTGTGAGCAATAAAGCTTTTAATCACCTGGGTGCAGGCAGACTGAGTCTGAAAAAGGAGTCAGCAAAGGAAGATAGGGGTGGGGCAGTTTTATAGGATTTGGGTAGGTAGTGGAAAATTACAGTCAAAGGGGGTTGTTCTTTTGCAGGCAGGGGTGTGGTCACAAGGTGCTCAGTGGGACAGCTTTTGAGCTAGGAGAAGAAATTTCACAAGGTAATGTCATCAGTTAAGGCAGGAACCGGTCATTTTCACTTCTTTTGTGGTTCTTCAGTTGCCTCAGGCCATCTGGATGTATATGTGCAGGCTTGGGCTCAGAGGCCTGACATTCCTGTCTTCTTATATTAATAGGAAAAACAAAACAAAATAGAGGTGAAGTGTTGGGATGGCAAAAATTTTTGGGGGTGGTATGGAGAGATAATGCGTGATGTCTCTCAGGGCTGCTTCGAGCAGGATTAGGGGAGGTGTGGGAACCTAGAATGGGAGAGATTAAACTGAAGAAAGATTTTGGGGTAAGAGGTGATATTGTGGGTTTGTTAGAAGGAGCATTTGTCGTATAGAATGATTGATGTGGCCTGGATGCGGTTCTGTATGAATTGGGAAACTAAATGGAAGACACAAGGTCCGAATAAGAGAAGGAGAAAAACAGGTTTTAAAGGACTAAGAATTGGGAGGACCCAGGACATCCAATTAGAGAGTGCCCAAGGGGGTTTGGTGTAATTACTTGCTTGGTTGGTGAGTTTTTGGGCTCTATCTTTGAGTTTTTTTATGTTGTTATATACTAGGCCAGATTGATTTAGGTAAAAACAACACTCTTCATTTAAAAATGTAGAGTCTTCCTTTTTCAGCAATGAGTAAGTCAAGGCCTATTCCTGTCGTCTTGTATTCATAATAAACAAAACAAAACAAAACAAAATAGTAGTGAAGTGTTGCTGTCATGAGGGGGACAGGGCACTGTTCGGTCCTATTTGCAAATTGATTTTTGGGGATAAGGAAAACTAGCATACATGTGCCTGTCCCATTGATAGGTAGACACATGTAGGTGGAGAAGCCACAGAGGAAGAAGAGAACTATGTAAGGCAAAACTGGAACTGTAAAGTGAAAAGATGAGAGGGAGCACCAAAAGAGATGATGTCTTGCACTCAGACTCTTAGGGATTTAGCGAGGGCAGCAGCTGTTAGAGGTTGTAATGGGGATTGATGGGGCAACTGGGTAGAGGGGGCGGTTCGATTTTTATGGTGTATTAGAAAGCACATAGTGTCTATGAGTAACCTTTCACTGCTATTCATGGGGCTGAGTATAAGCAAGCAAGAGGAGGGGCTAGGAGGAGAGTCTGAAGAACAAGGGGAAGGTAGCTAAGGATGGAGTGAAATGCAGGGCAAACGTCTTAAAGGAAATGAGAGGTTCTAAGAGGCAGGCTAGTGGCTTGTGACCTACATAGAAGAGGTTGTGAAACGACGATAGAATGGAATGAGCCTGTGAGGCTGGAAGGAGGTATTTTCCTTAGTCTAAGAACCATTTGCCTTGAGTGGGAAGGGATTGATAGGTGGACAACTTCAGTGGGAGAGCAAGTAGGAGTGACTGATGAGAAGCAGAAAAACTGGCCATGAGGGACAGAAGTTGGAACGCTAGCTGCTTCTTTAGCTACCTTATCAGCATAAGCATTGCCCTGAGCAATGGGGTCTGAGGCCCTTTGATGGCCTTTGCAGTGAAGTACTCCATCTTCCTTTGGAAGTAAAGTGGCCTTGAGAAGAGTTTTTAATTAAAGAGGCATTAATAAAGGAGGACACTTGCGTAGTGAGGAAACCTCTTTCAGCCCATGTAACAGCATGGTGGTGCAGGATATGGAAGGCATATTTAGAGTCAGTATAAATATTGACACGCAGTCCTTCTGAAAGAGTGAGGGCCTGAGTTAACACAATGAGTTCAGTTTGCTGAGAGGTAGTGGAGGCGGGTAGAGTGGTAGCCTCAACGATAGATATGGAAGATACTATAGCATAGCCTGCCTTTGCTGGTGAGTAGCTATTAGGCCTGGTGGAACTGCCATCAATAAACCAAGTGTGATCAGGGTGAGGAACAGGAAAGAAGAAAATTTGGGCAAATGGATTGAATGCCAGGTGGATCAGAGAGATACAGTCATGGGGGTCAGGTGTGGTATCAGGAATAATGTGGGAGGCCGGATTGAAGTCTGGGCCAGGAACAATGGTAATTGTGGGAGACTCAACAAAGAGTGAGTACAGCTGAAGGAGCCAGGGGGCAAAAAGTATATGCATCAGGTGTGAGGAAGAAAATAGATTTTGAAAGTTATGAGAACTATAGAAAGTGAGTTGAGCATAGTTTGTGATTTTGAGGGCCTCTAAAAGTATTAAAGCAGCGGCAGCTGCCGCACGCAGACATGAGGTCCAGCCTGAAACAATAAGATCGAGTTGTTTGGATAAAAAGACTACAGGGCGCGGTTCTGGTTCTTGTGTAAGAATTCTAACCGCACAGCCCTGCACTTCGGCTGTGTGTAATGAAAAAGAGTTGGGATGAGTTAGGGAGAGCTAGTGTGGGAACAGCTTCTAGGGCTGTTTTTAAGGAACAGAAAGGGGAGTGGGGAAGGGATTTAGGATTTATGGGGTCAGCCAGGTTTCCATTTGTGAGTTTATGTAATGGTTTAGTTGGGATGGCAAAACCAGGTATTCAAAGGTGAAAGTACCTAACCATGCCTAGGAAGGAAAGGAGTTGTTGCTTTGTAGAAGGGGTTGGAGTTTGGGAGATTAGCCGGACATGATCAGCAGGGAGAGCACATGTGTTTTCATGAAGAATTATGCTGAGATAAGTAATGGATGAGGAAGATATCTGGGCTTTGGAGGGGGATATGCGATATCCCTTTGAGAATAGATGTTGGAGGAACAGGAGAGTGTCCTGTTGGGAAGATTTGTAGGAGGGGCTATAAAGTTGAAGGTGGTCAAAATATTGAATAGGTGAGAAGCACATGGATGGAAAGAAAGTAAATCATGAGAAAGGGCTTGACTGAAGTAATGGGGGCTGTCCCTGAAGCCTTGTGGCAGTACAGCCCAGATAAATTGCTGAGACTGATGGGTGTCAGAGTCAGTCCAAGTGAAAGCGAAGAGAGGCTGGGATGAAGGGTGCAAAGGAATAGTAAAGGAAGCATGTTTGAGATCCATAACAGAATAATGGGTTGTGGAGGGAGGTACTGAGGATAGGAGAGTATATGGGTTTGGCACTATGGCATGGATAGGCAAGACAATTTGGTTGATAAGGTGAAGATCCTGGACCAGCCTGTAAGACTTGTCCAGTTTTTGGACAGGTAGGATAGGAGAGTTGTAAGGAGAATTTGTAGGCTTTAAGAGGCCATGTTGTAACAGGTGAGTGATAACAAGCTTTAACCGTTTTAAAGCCTGCTGTGGGATGGGGTATTAGCATTGAGTGGGGTAAGGGTGATTAGGTTTCAATGGGATAGTAATGGGCGTGTGATTGGTTGCCAGGGAGGGAGTAGAGGTGTCCAATACTTGTGGGTTAAGGTCGGGGGATACAAGAGGAAGACACGAAGGAGGCTTTGGGTTGGGGAGAAGGGTGGCAATTAGATGTGGCTATAGTCCAGGAACAGAGTAGCGGATAATTTTGTTAAAACATCTCGATCTAATAAGGGAACTGGGCAGGGGGAGATAACTAAAAAGGAGTGCATAAGAGAATATTGTCCAAATTGGCACCAGAGGTGGGGAGTTTTAAGGGGTCTAGCAGCCTGGCCATCAATACCCACAACAGTTATGGAGGCAAGGGAAACAGGCCCTTGAAAAGAAGGTAATGTGGAGTGGGTAGCCTCCATATTGATTAAGAAGGGAACGGACTTACCCTCCACTGTAAGAGTTACCAAAAACGTCTGTGATGGTCCAGGAGGCTTCTGAGGCCATCAGGCAGCATCAATCTTCAGCTGCTAATCTGAGAAGATCTGGGAAGGAGTCAGTCAGAGAGCTTTGGGCCAGCATTCCAGGGGCTCTGGGAGTGGCTGCCAGGTGAGTAGGACAGTCTGATTTCCAGTGGGGTCCCTCACAGACGGGACACAGCTTAGGAGGAATCCTGGGCTGTGGGCATTCCTTGGCCCAGTGGCCAGATTTCCGGCACTTGAAGCAAGATCCTGGGGGAGGACGTCCTGGAGGAACACCTGGCCACTGCAGTTTAGGCATTTTGAAGTTCTTGTGTGCTAGAGATATGGCTGGGGTTTCTCTCACAGTGGAGGCAAGTAATTGCAACTCAGAAATACGTTGCTACATGGCTGCCTCTTCTTTATTATTGTACACCTTGAAGGCAAAGTTAAGTAAGTCCTGTTGTGGGGTTTGAGGGCCAGAATTTAATTTTTGGAGCTTTTTCTAATGTCGAGAGTGGATTGGGTAATAAAATGCATATTGAGAATAAGATGGCCTTCTGGCCCCTCTGGGTCTAGGGCAGTAAAGCGTCTAAGGGTTGTTGCCAAATGAGCCATGAACTGGGCTGGGTTTTTATATTTGATGAAAAAGAGCCTAAACACTAACTGATTTGGGAGAGGTCGGCTAAAGAAAAAGGAGCATTAACCTTGACTACGCCTACAGCTCCAGCCACCTCTCTAAGAGGAAATTATTGGGCAGGTTGGGGAGGGCTAGTTCCAGAATGAAACTGTAAGCCAGACCAGGTGTGAGGAGGGGAGGTGATAGAAGGATTATAGGGTTGGGGAGCAGAGGCTGTGGAAGAATTGGGACCTGGCTCAGCCTGGTGAGAAGCAGCCTGGGGAGGAGTGGAGAGGTCAGATGGGCCCATAGAAAAAGAGGATTCAGAGGACTCTGCTTGGGGTGGAGACTGAAGGAACAGACAGGAGAGAAAGAAGAAAGCTTTGGGATGAGGTGCATTGGGAGTAGAGACTAGGGAGGGACCAATGTGTAAAAGAATGCCTGGACGTCAGGCACCTCAGACCATTTGCCCATTTTTCGACAAAATTATCTAGATCTTGTAGGCTAGGGAATTCAAAAGTGCCATTTTCTGGCCATTTAGAACCATTGTCGAGTTTGTATTGGGGCCAAGTGGTGTTGCAGAAGCAAATAAGATGCTTAGGTTTTAGGTCAGGTGAGAGTTGAAGAGGTTTTAAGTTTTTTAGAACACTTAGCCTTAAGGGAGAAGAAGGATGAATGGTGGGCGGAAGATTGCCCGTAGTAAAAAGGTAAATCTAGATAAAAGAGGGTAGAGACATGGAGAGAGGGCAGTGGGTACTTGTCACCCAGGGGAAGTGGTACTTGCCACTAAGGTGAAGGATCAAGACAGGCATCCCCGTGGTGATCAGACACCTCTGAAAAGTGGGAGAATAATCAGGCAGGCATCCCCACAGTGATTAGATACCAAGGGAAGACTGTCTTCTCGAGTCTGTGACCGGCGCTGGAGTTTTGAGTTCATGGATAAAACACATCTCCTCTGTCTCTACCAGAAAAGGAAAGGAACCAATATTAAGGAAGGGAGAGATTGAAGGGTGGAGGGATAGCAAGAGAGGTTAGAGAAGAGAATAAAAAGAAGCCGCTTAACTGATTTAAAATTGGGGAGATGTTCCTTGGGCTGGTCTGAGGACCCGAGGTGGTAGGTGGATCTCCTCACAGAGTGAGGACAAGGACAGGGGACTGGTCTCCCAAAGGAGTCCTCCTGTCCCGGGTCTTCAGCACCAAATGTCACACGTGTCCATGTGAAGAGACCACCAAACAGGCTTTGTGTGAGCAATAAAGCTTTTTAATTACCTGGGTGCAGGTGGGCTGATTCCGAAAAGAGAGTCAGCAAAGGAAGTTAGGGGTGGGGCAGTTTTATAGGATTTGGGTAGATAGTGGAAAATTACAGTCAAAGGGGGTTGTTCTCTTGCAGGCAGGGGCAGGGGTCACAAGGAAGCTCAGTGGGAGAGCTTCTGAGCCAGGAGAAGGAATTTCACAAGGTAATGTCATCAGTTAAGGCAGGAACCGGCCATTTTCACTTCTTTTGTGGTTCTTCAGTTGTCTCAGGCCATCTGGATATATACAGGCAGGCTTGGGCTCAGAGGCCTGACACATATCATGTTGCTACTGGAGGTAAAAATTAAGTCACAGGGGTAGAACTGAACTATTAGTTGCTTCTTAGTCAAAGAACACCACTTGTTTGTTGCAGTTCATGCTTTAAAAAACTGGTCTAGTGTTTGGAGGAAAAAAGGAAATCAATGGTTCTTATATTAGTTCTGCTAATGTAAATTATCCTAAGATTTGAGAAAGGACACAAATTGTTTTTTGGTTGCTATACTTAGGTACTGAATCATATATGTGAAATTGTGCTAAGAGAAACAATGGATAAAAATCCTCTGAATGCTAAGTTAGTCCTAAAATCTTTAGCGACCTCCACTGTTAATGGACTTTGTTTCTTTTTGAACTTTAAAAGAGAGGGCACTAAAGATGCTTCATAGAACCAACATTTGAAAGAATTCTGCTCCCTGCAGTAGTAACCAAATAGCAATCACACAGAAGTAAATTGATGAGAAAATGGTTTCTGAGAGCATAAATATTCAGAGGCTTTTTGGCCTGTGCGCTAATTAGTAAAATGTAGCTCTTGTTTTATTATTATATCCTTGCTAGTAAAGGTCTAGATTTTTGTGAATGTAGCGGTTCCTAGTAGTTTTAGCCTAGTAATGCTTTTCCTTTTGACGTGGTTTTGTTCCCCATTCTTAGGAAAAGGAATATGAATCTCATGAAACTGTAAGCAAGGAAAGATTATAGGGTTTATATGGAAACTGAGCATAAATAAGGCCTGGGAAAAAAAAATAAAGCAAAACTTGAGCCATAGCTAAAACTAATTCAACAAAAAGTGGGTGTTAATCTACTTTAGTTATTGCTATCTTGTTTCCTAGATCCCATATTATCTCCAGGAGAATGTTCTGACCACAATTTTATCCTTTCTGTTTAAAAATTTCCTAAACTCTCCCTGCTCTTTCAATGTGCCTGGCATTTATCAGATGTTCAATAAATATTTATTAAATGGAGGGAGGGAGGGGTGGATGGATGGACATATATGAATGATATACATGAATGATTAATGGAATGGTTAAATCAATGAATCAATAAAGTTTCAAAAAAAATTAACCCTTTTTTGCTACTAAAGCTCATTCCAGGAGACACTGTGTCACATCACTAACATAATTCAGCATTCCTAATGACAAATGCACGATCTTAACCAGGAATTAGCAGTCTTTTTTCCAAAACAGGTGTCTCCGTTCTCATTTCCTCTTCCTTAATGAAATCAATTTTGCCTCTTCCCATTTATTAAAATTCTAGTTTAAGCTGATGACAAATAATGTCAAACTAAGCCTCTGACAGCTTTGTTTCCAGTCTTCCCATCAACTCATGAAAAATGAATCAAATCCAGCTCACTTCCAGCTATTGGAATCTAATAGCTTTTCATTACACTAGACTAACCCAATTGCAATACCTAAAGAAAAATAATCAAGGAAATGTGGGTATATTACACATTTTCAACACATTTAATACTAAATCCTTTATCTTCCCTTTTTCCCAAACTGGCCGTTGCCTAATGTGGGAAATGAATTCGTCTTCTACTGAGTCATTCAAAACAGTAAGATGGCAGCCATTTTTTCCCTTCATGTCCACATCCTTTAGTCACTAAGTTCTGTCAATTTGTCCTTCCAAATGTCTCTTGAAACCCTCTGTCTCCATTTCTGCTACAATTGTCTTAGTTCAGATCTTCATTATATTATCCCATCTCCATGCATATGTTTTAGCTCCTTCAGTCTATCTTATATATTAATGCTAGTTATTTTCCTAAACAGAAATCTGTACATGCCATTTTCTCTGCTTAATATTCTTCTAACTCAAAATTACATTCAGGATAAAATCTAGACTCTAATGTGTGGCACCTAAGATTTTTCATGACCTAACTCTTCAGAGTCATCTCTTACACAGCCCCCTCTCCATCACTCATTGTCACATACATCACACTCCAGCCACTTTCAATGAGCTGAAGGAAATGCTGCCATAGCAGCATAAATGGGATCTAGAACATTCAGTCATGTAAAATGCAGACAGCTGTCTTGCAAGGGTAATGAAATGACCAGGTGAGCCAATTGCTTTATATCTGAATTCAAATAATTGCATTATCATGGGGCTTTTATGGTACTTCAGGCTCCTCAAGGGTTTTCTTACATTTATACCTTTGAATATATTATTCTCTCCCTTCCCTGTCATTCTCTCAGTTAGCTCCAACTTATCCTTCAAAACACATGGCAGGTACCACTTTCTCTAGCACTCACTTGCTCACTCTACTGTCTGCCACCAAGTTGTATTAGGAGCCCAAATTTCATCCTTTAATATCATACCCTGTGCATGACTCTATTAGCGTAAGAAGAATCATGCCAATTGAAATTGTTTTGTACATATACTTGTCTTTTTTCTCCTATCTTTATGAACTTCCCCCACCACAAAACACACACACACATGCACACACACACACACACACACGAAGCCTGTATGCACATTTAGGTAAGAATTTTATTTTTCATATCTATATTTGCTCTTAAGACTCAGTCCGTTGACAAGCACATAGTAAAAATTTGTGTGTTAATCGAAGCTAAAGATCTGTATTTGCAGTAAACCATTTTAATAAATATTTGACAGCGCTTTCCAATCCGTGAAGAATATCCTGATCCAGTTTGGACATTCATGATTGTCAGGTTCATCTTAATAGACAATATTAATAATTAACTGGGCCGGGCATGGTGGCTCACACCTGAAATCCCAGCACTTTGGAAGGCCGAGGTGGGTGCATCACCTGAGGTCAGGAGTTTGAGACAGGCCTGACCAACATGGAGAAATCCAGTCTCTACTAAAAATACAAAATTAGCTGACCTTGGTGGTGCATGCCTGTAATCCCAGCTACTTGGGAAGCTGAGGCAGGAGAATAGCTTGAATCTGGGAGGCGGGGGTTGTGGTGAGCCAAGATTGCGCCATTGCACTCCAGCCTGGGCAACAAGAGCCACACTCTGTCATAAAATAATAATAATAATAATAATAATAATAATAATAATAAACTGGTAGTTAGAGAAAGGTAAGTTCTGTGGGTCTTTGTCCCCTACAATCTTGTTGGCAGTTGGTGTGTTTACAGTGAAAACAAGCCTCACAGTTTGCCACACATGAAAATATTTATTTGCAAGCATGCACAAAAGCAGTCACACAAACCTGCTCATGAAGCTCTGCAAATACCCAGCTGTTTGTCCCTGTAGGCACTCTGATAAGGACCTTGCTGGAAAAATGTTTTAGAGGCACACGCAACAATACATTAGCAGCAGTGGGCATTAGCTCCAGAATCATACGGTGAGTGATGGGACACAAGGCTGAATGGAACTTCTAGGCTCAGGATGGTATTAGGAGCCTGGGTTTGCTGATTCTTAGCTGTGTTCATGTAAAGGTGGAGGTACATTTACAGTATTTCTAGTCAAGCCACATTAACTGACTACTTTTCATTTCACGGATAAAACCTTACTTCCAACACCCCTCATGCTACCTAACACATCCCAGGACTGACTGAAGGTACAGACAGGAGAAGCATTTCCATGCAAAGGGCTTCGCTGGCTTGAATTCTCCTAGAGGCTCTCATTTAGACTTAAGTATCCCTGGTCTGTGTATTCCTGATTTGGTAACTTCAAAAGTTAACTAACAGCCTCTGGATTGTAGATTAGAAGTAACTACAAAAGTTAATTGATAGTTGCTAAGTTATAGGTTAAAATTGACTAATGTACTTAACCCATTGTATCTGGATGTATTTTAAAATGAAGTATAGACAATCTTGGATCCTTTGGCCAGTCATGATGGTGGTTTGCCATCCCCACTCCAATAGTTGGTGCGCAATAAATGTAGTTGACAGCAATGGATGCTAGCCAGAATGACTGATTAGCTGAGCAAACAGTATCTTGCCCATGGCTTAAAATACTTCCCATTATTTATTTCCCCTCTGTCATTGTCTGGCCTTCAATCCAGAGATCCTGACTTCTTCCACCACTGTTACTTTTTATTCTTTATATAAAAACTACATAATGATTTTTTCATTTATATTAGGAATCTGCGATTACATAACATTATTTGACTCTTCAAGTGCCTATGTATTTGATGTTCTTGTGGAAGCAGGTTGATGCTTTATTGAACATTTCTGCCCTTCTTCCTCCCTTCTTCATTCCCCACCCTGCCCCAATAATTCTACTGCAGTTACTTACAAATATAAAGTGCCAAAATGTCTATAGAATGAATGAATGAATGAATGACATCCCATGTTATGGAAGGAAGAATCTTATCCTTGTGTACGTAAAGCTAAAATGGAGGAGGCAGAATTGTTACATGTATAAAAGCAAATTACTTTAGGCCAGGTCTTGTTGAAATAAATCCCATTATAAAATTGAGATTTTTGCATGATGAAAGAGCACTCACTGTACCCAGGAGAATGGTAAATCTTTTACCTACAGGTTTTCATTTAATCTCAAAAATATTACTCTGAGGTAGATGTTGTTGTCTCTGGTTTGCCCCTAAGAAAAAGAGAAAGTAAAGTCAGTGGGCCAAGGTCTTAGGGTGGTAGAGTTGGAACCAGGTTTTGAGTCCAGGCCTGGGCTAACACCACACAAATCTTCACTGCAACCTATCACCAAATCTTTTTCACCAAATCTTGATTCAGTTCACTTATTTTCAGTTAACATTTAAAACAGTGAAAGTCTTGTGCATCAAAAGAATAGAAAGCTCATTGTTACTGAGAATTGGGCTTTATAGCAAAAGCTTCTTACACAGGCACGAAGAACTGTATCAATCATTCACTCATTTTAGTCAACAATGTGTTTTTTGTTTGTTTGTTTTTTCTGTTTTTTTTTTTTTTTTTTGGAGACAGGGTCTGTTGCCCAGGCTGGAGTGCAGTGGCATGATCTCAGCTCACTGCAACCTCTGCCTCCTGGGGTCGAGCCACTCTTCTGCCTCAGCCTCCCAAGTAGCTAGGACTACAGGTGTGTGCCACCATGCCCAGCTAAGTTTTGTATTTTTAGTAGAGACGGGGTTTCACCATGTTGGCCAGGCTGGTCTCGAACTCCTGACCTCAAGTGACCTGCCCGACTCGGCCTCCAAAAGTGCTGGGATTACTGGTGTGAGCCACTGTGCCCAGCCCTTCAACAGTGGTTTTTTGAGTTCCTTCTCCAATCATATTGTGACAGGTGTATATATGGTATGGCATACATATAAAACTTTGCCAGTAAGGTAAATTGACCCTCATGGAGAACTGTAACCATTACGTGGTTCCTAAGTTCAAAGGAACACATCAAATTTTATGCAGTTGGGATGATAATAGTTACGAGAAGCTTCTGGCTAAGTTTCCCCCTTTTGATGGTTAAGGATCTCCATTCAGCCTTGGGAATTGAAAAGTTTTAGTGTTAAGGCTGTTGAGGTCAGTAGGAGAGTGTCTTTCACCTTAGCATTTGTAGTACTTTGTCCAGTTTTATATCTTTGGATTTGAAGAATTACTGGAAAACAAGTTCAAATATTTTGTTTAATTTGAGTAATAAGAAAATCAACTGTTGTGACTCAGATTGCCACTTGATAAATAAAGGGTTATTTGCACTTTTTTGGTGGGGGGGTGGTTCTGAAATAATGCAGTCTGTAAGCTGAAACTGTGAACACATGTAAACATTTGCTGGCCAGGGATGGTAGCGCATGCCTGTAATCCCAGCACTTTAGGAGGCCAAGGTGGAGCGCTACGTGAGCCCAGGAGTTTGGGACCAGCCTGGGCAACATCATGTGATATGGTTTATACACAAAACAAAACAAACAAAAAAATTTGGCCAGGTGTGGTGGTACGTGTCTGTAGTCCCAGGTATTCAGGAGGCTGAGACGAGAGGATCACTTGATCCCAGGAGGTCGGGGCTGCAGTGAGCTATGATCATGTCACTGTACTCCAGCCTGGGCAACACAGTAAGACCCTGTCTCAAAAAAAAATTGCTATCTTGGGTACAGGTCAAAGATATTCTTTATAAAAAAGATAAAAGGAAGAAAGAGAAACTTCATAATAATAAACTTGAAAATCACAAAGACCAAACCATACCAAATGATATTTTGATGGATTAATGGTAGCTTAAGGGGAAAATATGCACATGAGTTAAAGCTAGGGCACCCAGCATGACATGCCACTTAGCTTTTCAGTGAATTGAATACCCAAGATAAAGCTGCTTGTTATGTCATGTGAGCTACTCTGCCTTGGTATACCCATCTGAACTGTGGCTTTCAACCTCATTGTCCCCAAGAGAGCACCAAGATGGTAAAGTGTATAGAAATTCTATTAATAGTTAGTATACTCTAGATAAACAATGAAAATCCGTCTTACATTCATCCAAAAGAAACTTAGTGTGGTTAATTTTTTTCTTTTGTTTTTGTAAATTCTGTCCTGCTTGTTTGGTGTATAGAGACTTTGACGTAAAATTGCTTATGATACCCAAATGCAATCAATGCTCTAAAACCATCGGACACTCTGGCTTTTCTCCTTGTCTCCCATGATGAGTCCAAGCCCTCTCTGATACCTTCGTACTGAACCCTGATGTCTTGACCTGTCACTGTGATGTCATATTCAGGAATGACCTCATACTCAGGATAGTATGCAGCCTCCTTTCCTTATAAACTTTCACATTCCACTATCCGTTACCACAAACACCTGTTCTCTTCTGGGTGACTCTAGGTGTTGCTGACTAACAGGCAGTAATTTCTATAGATATGTCAGGTATCCAGTATCTTACACATCTCAGTAACAAGATCTATTAGTCTGGTTTAAGTGTACTCATCTCCAGAGAACCACTGCTGTATGGAAATGCCTGTTACATAGCCAAGTTAGGGAAGAGGTTTTAATTAGAGGAGACTTCCATCAGCTTTCAGCTCACACAATATATACAGAATGACTTCGTGGAAAGAGTGTGGGGCTTGAAATTACAACTCTTATTTCAAGTTCCAACTTTGTTTACTTACAAATATCATTGAGCTTTTATTCCCTAATCCATAAGAAGGGAAATGATGTTTATCTTCCATGGTTATGTGAATGAAGCTCAAAAGGATATTATTCGTGAAAGTACTTTTAAAGCTAAAAAGCATTAAAACACATTCTGTTACATATGTTATTATTACAGTAATTGAAAAGGAGATCCCTTGAGCAAACTCTTTAAGATAAATAACAGGTTATATGGATTCCAGAAAACTACAACAGGACTGGCAGTTAGCAGGGGGCTTGTGTGAGGTGGAATGGTGGGTCACAGGCTTGAATATTTATGCATCAGCCCCCTTAATGACTCTTCACAGGCCACTGGTCCTCCTTCCTGTGCACCCAGGCTTAAGACCATCAGGCTGCTAAATGGTGAAGAGAAAGAAGGCAATTGCTTGAACAAAGAATATTGATTGCTCTGGGCCTATGTTCCTTTGAACCCTGTAGCACAATTATAAAAGTATTATTGCAAAATATAAACAATGTGATTCAGTTTAGTAGGCAGGAGAGACAGCCTATGGTTGAAAGTTAGTACCAGCTGAGGGCTGGTGGGAGTCCTGCTTAGCGCTAAGGGGTGGGTTTTATCCTGAGGGTGGGAAGGCTGTTCAGAAAAAAGAGCATTAAAATACCAGGAAGAATTAACAATTTTAGCCGTTTGGGAGGCCGAGGCAGGTGGATCACAAGGTCAGGAGTTCGAGACCAGCCTGGCCAAGATGGTGAAACCCCGTCTCTACTAAAAATACAAAAATTAGCTGGGCACGGTGGCGGGCACCTGTAATCCCAGCTACTCCGGAGGCTGAGGCAGGAGAATGGCGTGAACCCAGGAGGTGGAGGTTGCAGTGAGCCGAGATCGTGCCACTGCACTCTAGCCTGGCCAACAGAGCAAGACTCTGTCTCAAAAAAAAAAAAAAAAAAAGAATTAACAATTTCAGTAAATAATATGTAACTGCATATGGACTTGTGAAGTGGGAGTCATACTTTCATCTGAGGTCAATACAGTGTGTGTAACACTATTAATAAGAATAATTCCAATCCTCTAGTAACAAAACGCAATCCCCAATGCTCCGTTGATATCAGTTTTGTATCTGAGAATTCAAGATCCTCTTAATTGTTTTATAGGGAAATAAAACTTCATTGTCAATCTTGTCTTCCAGGTCTCTTTCTGTTCCCTGTCCTGACATTCTCTCCTGGGCTTCCTAAAACATATGTATTGTGTGTGTATATATTTAAGATATCTATATACACATACTTTTAAATGTATAATTTCATGTGTTAGTTTGGTAATGTACTATAAAGTAGTATGTATCAGAGCATTCCAATGTTTAAAAGTAATCCAAGGAGCAGTGTAATAATTTGGTCACCTTTATTTAGGGGGGAAACTAAATCTAAATCCCTTCCCCCATTTTTTTGTTTGTTTCTTTTCTTTTTCTTTTACTTTTTCTTTTTTCTTTTTCTTTTTTCTTTTTCTTTTTTTTTTTTTTGAGACAGAGTCTTGCTTTGCTGCCCAGGCTGGAGTGCAGTGGCACGATCTCAGCTCACTGTACCTCTGCCTCCCCAGAATTCAAGCAATTCTCCTGCCTCAGCACCCAGAGTAGCTGGGACTACAGGCGTGCACCACCATGCCTTGCTAATTTTTGTATTTTTAGTAGAGATGGGGTTTCACCATGTTGGCCAGGCTGGTCTCGAACTTCTGATCTCAGGTGATCGGACTGCCTCAGCCTCCCAAAGTGCTGGGATTACAGGCGTGAGCCACTGCAGCTGGCCTGTTTGCTTGTGTTGTTAAGAAGTGAAGGCAAACAGGCTAAAGAGAGTCAATTGACATAAACTTTAACTGAAGCTTTTGAATACAAATATGTGCAACATGAAACTGAGGGTAATTGATTTCTCTCTTTCCTGGCCAGAAACTGGCATCATAAAACTATTAATATAGGAAGCAAAAATGAATAATAAACCAAGTGATTTTCAACTTTTTGGTCAACTAACAGGAGAATTTTCCAGCACTGGTTGAGAAAAGATTTAAAATAATATGGTTCTGAGGGGGAGGAAAGAGGGACTTAGAACATTTTTCAAGGATTACCTGGTAGTTCTAATACTCTGTATGAAACCACAGTTACTGCAGCAAGCAGGAAAATAGAGCATCGAGTGGAATACAGCACTTAAGATACCGTCTTGACTTCCCAATGGAGCGGCCTACTGGATGTGACAAGAAGTGGGTGTTATTTATGGCTGCTGACTGGGCTGCCTCCGGCATATCATTTACTCTTACAGTGTCTTCCTTTTCTAGCCTATAAAGTGCAAATAAGGGATTTTTCTCTCTTAAACAGCCTAGGGTGATTGTTTCTTAGATTTATAAATATATATATTTAAAGCATTTTGAAATTTAAGTAAGAATGTGTCTTAGTTCTATGATAAATCCTATGATAAATTTCTGACTCAGTTGCATCTTTTCTTTTTTTTGAGACCAAGTCTTGCTCTGTTGCTCAGGCTGCAGTGCAGTGGCACAATCTCAGCTTACTGCAACCTCCGCCTCCTGGGTTCAAGCAATTGTCATGCCTCACTCAGCCTCCTGAGTAGCTGGGACTACAGGCACGCACTACCACGTCCGGCTAATTTTTTGTATTTTTGGTAGATATGATATCTCACTATGTTGCCCAGACTGGTCTCGAACTCCCTGCCTCAGGTAATCCACCTGCCTTGGCCTTCCAAAGTCCTGGGATTACAGGCATGAGCCACTGCACCTGGCCTTTAGTTCAGGGAATTCATCACTGTATATTTTTAAAGGAATTTTAAGTAACTACATTAAAGTTACTAATAATATACCTTATTTTCCTGTAAGCAAGCAGAGCAGGAAAAATGATTTAGGAATAAAGATGCAAAGTTTTTTCAATTACATGTGGGATTCCTCTAATTACCGTATATAGCAGAAAGAAAATCCCCAACTAGCCGAGTTGTTATAAGAATTAAAGACAATACATGCCACATATAGGGAAACATATTAGGAATACGATAAATGGTAGCCATTAGTCTATTTATCCCCAACCAGTATTTTGGTATTAATCCTGTCGATATATCTAAATTTAATTTCTTTTCAGCTTTTTATGTTGTGTCTGATTTCATCAGCCTATCTTAATGTTGAAAGCCACTTGCCTGGAATTGAACGCTTCTGTTCATTTATTTCCCTAAACATTTTATTAAGTAACGCAAGATTAAAAACTGTACAACCTCACCAAAAGGAAAAATTAAAAGAGTCTGATGCCCAGGGGGAATCTGTGAATGTCTAGGAGCAATAAGCAAAAGCTGGCAGCTCATTTTGACCTGAGTGAAACAAAACAAGAGGGGCAATAGAAAGGGAAAGAAGTAATTGAACTGGGAGACATTAATGACATTTGCCCTGAATTAACTGTTCCTTTAAGCATACTAAGCAGTCAATGATAAACTTATACCAGTTCTGATGTTTGAAAACTGGAGATCAGTTCAAGCTTTCAGATATCTTCCACGTTTCATTTCTATTATTTATCCATCAATATTTTCCACAGCAGGCACCAAGGAGTTGATACCGAACACGGGCTGTTTAGTAAGGTTCCCTCACTTACATTTTATTGTTTTAGAGCCAGGAAAAAGTGCTATGACTTCTGAGTTCTCATCCTTCTGTTTCACATAGTCACATTTTTCCAAAAAGAAATCCACCACTGTCTACAGGAAGATTTTCTTGTGTGCTATATTGCACCTTCTTGCATCTTTCACCTTTTCTATATATTGAACCAGGAAGAAAAGATGGTATGAGGGTTGCGATTTTAGTATCTGTTATCTCTGCAGATGAAGCACTTGAAGACTTTTTCCCATCCTTCTGTTTTTCTCCATATCATTAGGCTAAAAGAATAAAAGCCATCTGTCTGCCTGAGACACAGAAGGGGCTACTGAAGGTTCACTAAATATGCATAAAAAAGGACAAGAGGGAAGAGGCAAAATATACCATGTTACCTAGATCATGTGCTGATTCACATCCCACTTTCTTTTAATTTTTGGACCCGTGGGTAGGATTTAATTTTATTGTTGCCTTAGAGAAGTCTAGTCTTGGGAGTTTCAAACTAGGAAAAGAGGAGTAATTGCCTGAAAGGTATTGTATTAATTTAGATCTAATTCTTAGGTATAATGGCCCAAAATAAAGATAGAGTGACTAGGATTTGTTTTGCTCCACTATGAACCTTGTGTTTTTTTCCTATTTCTCATTATTCTCACTAAGGGTAGAAACAGTTATAGTTTTCTTGTCCACCAGCAGTATCTCCACATTATGGACATAGAAGATGTTCAATAGCCATGTTTGGATTGAATGAATGAATGAATGAGTAATGATTCTCCATTGTGGGTGTAGACACACAGACTGGATCAATATCTACACAGGAATAAACAACAAAGGGGATACTTATCAACTAGGACTGCATAAGAACTGGGACTTTTAAGATTCAAAATGAATTTGAAGGCAACATTACCCGAAATGTGAAAGATTAACAAGAATTCTATGATAGCATCCATACAGTAAAATCATATGAAACCATTAGATCAGTATTCTCTCAAGGAAGACAAAGGCTAAACACAATGCTACATGATCTCAAGTTACTTTGCTCTACCAAGTGGCAGACTGCTGGCCTGAGTTTGCCAATGAAAGCTGTAGGAGTCAAGGGGAATGAATGGGATTGTTTTCCCTGGCTATTGTTTTTAAAAATCTTAAGAAACTGCAGAATAAGACTGAACCACTAATAAAGCGGTATCATTTACTATTAATTGTGAGAATATCTTTCAAGAGCTGCCATCTGGCTAATGGCTAACCTGTTTTTTAAAAATGCGAGAAGAGAGATCTTGGGAATTCACATCAGGAGTTGAGCAAATTTTACCTTTCACAGGAAAAAGCAATGACTGCACAGGCAGCAAACGTGGTATCGTTTAAATAAATTAGGTTGTGTCTTTCTAATCTGTGGAAATTCCTTGAAAGGATTGACTGAATATCTGTGGTTAGGAGCATCTAGTGCTTTACGTTTTTTGTGTGTGATCTTCCCATAAGGCTATGAACAACTGTTGCATTAAGTAATTTGAGGTATAATTTAATAATAGATAAAAGGTCCGATCTCGGATTCCAAAAACCAGCTGAGATGGGCAAATATGTAAAATGAGAGCACAGCATTCATCGAACAGTGAGTTGACTTTTAGAAACCTAGAGACAATTTAAAAATATATTTGTTAATAATTCAGAAGCAATACAAATAAATGGCACATGTTTGCCAACAACCAAAAGTTTGAAGGATTATGAGAAACTCTTGCAGGACTTAATTTAGCTCGGTAATGGAGTAAACACAATAGCAGATGATGCTCAGTGGAGAGTAGATAGAGGTAATATATAATGGAACAGTTTGGAGTTATGCATTTAATGAGCTCTGAATTAGCTCTACCCCTCAGGAAGAGAAATCCCAGCTAGTATCATAATAAACAGGGCAAGGAGGACAGTGAGTAAAAAAATGAAACCTAGGTAAATGAGTTACCCACAAAATTGACAAAACCAAAGAATGGAATTTATCAACTCAGAGAGCATTGTTATAAAGCTATTCTTGAACTGGCTTGTAGGTAAGCTTACATTGTAATGAGCTGTCTCTGGTACTTTGTAACTAAAACCTAGTTATGGCCGAATGCAATTCCAATACATCATTATTAAGAAAATTGTGAAATATTTCAAACACATTGGCAAGCACAAAAATAACAGACCTTCATGTATCTACTGCCCAACTTTATCAGACTCTAATATTTTGATGTCATATTTGCTTCAGCATCTATTTGTGTTATCATTTAAAAGAAGTCAAACATTAAAGGTACCTTGGAGGCCCCTGTGTAAACCTAGTAGGTTCCATTTTCTCCCTCCCTTCCTGCCTCCTTCCTTCTGTTCCTGAAGGAAATAATTATCACTAATTCAGTGTGTAACATTCTTATGCTTGTTTTATATTTTTTACTACATGTTTATATACTTGACTACATCACATAGTATTATTTTGCAAGTGTCTAAATGTTATGTAAATAGCATCCCACTCACACATCCTTTTGTATTAAGCTTTTTGGGCTCAACATTATGTTTTGCTCAGCACTGTGTTGTGTAGTTTATCTCCATTGATTTAGGCAGCTTGAGTTTATTCACTTTGACCCATCTACTCCATGTATAAATATATCACAATCTATTTGTCTGTGGTCTTTTGATGAACACTTTCAATTTATTACCATAATGGATATTCTTTTATATGTCTCCTTTTGCACATGTGTGTGTTTTTCTAGAGTACCTCTCTAGACTTAGGCACATTTTTAAACTTTGTCAAATGTGGCCAAATGCTTGCCATACTAGCTTTATCAATTTACTTTTCCCCACCATGGGATGAGAGTTCCCATTCCTCCATATCCTCTCAACACTTGTGTTTTAAACTTTTGCCAATCTGATAGATGTAAAACGGAATCTCTTGGTTTTCCTGTGTATTTTGCTGAAGTATTTTCTTTTCAGAAAAAAAAGAACTTTTTCTTAGAAAAAGCAAATACTAATTGCTATGTTAAAATATTTTTAATGATAAATTTTAACTGTACAACGTGGGAACATACCACCAGGGAATTTTTGTCTGCTATTTTTCCCCTTAATGAGACAGTAACTTTGACGAAAAATGGATCTGCGAAGAGAGAGGGAGAAGGCCAGTAACATGTTGTGGGATACAAAGCAAGCCACGGGTCACATAAATTGTCTCTTTGCGATTGGCAGAGGTCTTGGTAAGGAAATCTTTGGTTGAGGAAAAAAGTCAAGTCTGATGAGAAGATGGGGTTTTGCTACCTGTCAGCAGTGCTGCTGGAAAGAAAAGGTTGTGACACACATTTTCCACTGGTGGGCTGTCACAAGTATCATTTGTAAATAGATGGAATATGAATACCAAAGACCTAAATATTACACAAACTGTTGAGGAGTGATAGGATCTGGAACCAGACTTCGAGCATCCCGAGTGAATAGACCATCTGTTGAATTAAAGAAGTGACTAAGCTTCTGCCTTGATGAGGTCTATTTTTTTTCCATACAATGATCCCAGCAATAAATTTCACTGGCTTTTAGTTTTACACCATAGCACACAAAATTCACTGTGATAATAACTGAGTCAGATTTCCAAGTGAAAAGATAGTTGTTAGTAACATACCTCTATTGGGGTAATTACTAAAATTTGTTTTCTCCATTTCATTACTTTTAATGGGTTATCAAAATTATATTTTGATTTCCAAACATAATCTTCATTTTAAGTGCTTAATACTTGAACATGCTCATCTCCTTTTACAGGGGATTCTTCTACTTGGAACACTTGTGATGGATGGATGGCCCAGATTTTTTTTTTTTCCTGCATAAATGAGGAAACTGACTCAAGATACAGGGTTATGATTGCACAATAAATCATTTGCAAAGCTAGGATTAAGAGGATGCTTTTTGACTCTCGCTCCTGTCTGAACCTTCACTCACTAGAGTACTTCCTGAAAATTTTGCCAATATATAGTTCCGGGCAATAACTCATAAGTTAGCTCAGGTTACTAGAAGGGCAAAGATTTGGGGAAGAAGTTGAAAAGGGCATTTTCTCTGATTAACTCCTAACAACTTTACACTGTTTTCATTATCTTTCTTGGTATTCTGTACACTGGTATCATGATGATGGTGGCCCAAATTGGCAATGACCCCTTTAGAAGTGTCGAAGGGAGAACATTACTCAATTTTCCCCCCTCTTTGCCTGCAAGTGGTAAACACCTCCATCTCCCTTCTGCTAAGGATTAGCCACTGGAATAATGGATCACTTTCACTGAAGCTCCCATGCATTGGTGGTGGGGGGTAAATACACTCTCACATTTGACTCACTAAAGTGAAGCCCTAAAGTGCCTGACAAGTGTGATTTCTCTCTGTATAGTAAAAGCTGTATCTATCCCAGTACATTTATTTATTTATTTATTTATTTTTATTTTTATTTTTTGAGACAGAGTCTTGCTCTGTCACCCAGGCTTGAGTACAGTGGCGTGATCTCGGCTCACTGCAACCCCCACCTCCCGGGTTCAAGTGATTCTCCTGCCTCAGCCTCCCAAGTAGCTGGGACTACAGGCACGCACCACCACACCCAGCTAATTTTTGTATTTTTAGTAGAGAGGGGGCTTTACCATGTTGACCAGGATGTTCTCGATCTCCTGACCTCATGATCGGCCCACCTTGGCCTCCCAAAGTGCTGGGATTACAGGCGTGAGCCTCCACGCCTGGCCTATTTATTTATTTTTATTTTATTTTATGGACACTGTGAACTCGGTAAATGATCACGTTTCTGTATTTCTTTGACACCCAGATCCAAATTTGTGGCCAACCTCTATCAATACACAGACCTCTGGCCCATATTATTGTATTGGCTTTATTTTTTCCTATCCTTGTTTGTTCTCATTCTGAGTCCGTCATTATTTTTCCCTATTATAGAGTGTGTACTTTAATAAGCCTCCTAAAATCCTTCTAGAATGAAACTCCCTTCTTCAGGCAATGTCTGAGATAGGTTTTGCTGAGGGACTCCCACAAATAGTAATGCACAAACACTAAGGTGCTTGCTGAATTACCATCTTTAAGCCTTATTAGTAAGGTGACAGTTTACAAATAAGTTTTAGTACATTAAGACTTGAAACCAAAATATTTTCTTATGTAAGACGTTTCTTCCTGAGAGGGGGAAAAACAACTTTTCAATTCCAGGCATCTTTTCAGCTGGGAATATGTGAGATCATGGATTAAGGCTCTGTTTTCCAAAGTGTGCCCCATGGAATATTCATTCCCAGGTTATTATCCAATGCTACCCTAAAAAACAGGGAGAAAAATTTAAAGAAGGAAAGGAAGACATGTTCTGTAATCAGATCATGGAAATCTGGAATTAACCAAAGTTATTCAGGTTTTTTACTGAAAAACTTTTCAGAGTCTTTAATATGCAAATATATTCTGGCTTTCCCAGAAGGGGAGATAGAGTTTAGTTTCCTAAGCTCATTTGGCCCCAGAGTCTGGTTTAGAGGAATCCCCGATGCTTCCCCACTCTACTCCTCCAAACCCCAACATCACATTGGAGATCATAGTAACAGGAGAGGAATTAAATCCTCAACTCGTTCTCTCAGTGCAGGCTTTGTGAGTTAACTCCTAGATGCCTAGGTGATCAGCAACACAGTTAACTATGAGCACAGCACTTCCCTCCTCAATCAGAACAGATGCAGTGGCACTGCAGGAAGTACCACTCCCCCAGTGTACCATTCCTCCAGGGTACCCCTCCTTTCCTGGATGCTAAGTGGTGTTGCTGGATCTGTGGAAAGGGAGAATATCTCGGTGGGGGCGGGGGCTGCAGCTGATGGGGCTCAGCATAGTGGCTCTTTACCCACCAGCACCAGGCCTTTCTGATATGACCAATCAGCACGGTCATACCCAGTGTATGCGTACCCAGCTTAATTCAGACCTGCCCAGAGGCTAAAACCATCTTCCTGGTTAGCCGCATCTAAGGAGAATTAGGAGGCTAAATTTTAGAGGGAGAATGTCCTACAATGAAATGAGATTCTAGGGGTCTATTTAAAAAAAAATTAATGTATATTTAGAGGGGAAAAATAGTTGCCAGGATTCTATTTGCAAATGGCCATAGCAGGGAGATTTTTTAAAAATGCAATCGTGAATCTTTGTTACTAAAAGACAAGTTTCAGAAAAGCAAAATGTCAGTTACTGTAAGGCTTATCTAACAAGACTAATAAACCCTACTCACCCCAGATGAGCCGTAGAACTCAACATTCCTTGTTTCTTTTCTTTCTTTCTTTTTTTTTGGAGGCAGACTCTTGCTCTGTCACCCAGTCTGGAGTGCAATGGCACGATCTTGGCTCACTGCAACCTCCGCCTCCTGGGTTCAAGCAATTCTCCTGCCTCAGCTTCCCAGGTAGCTGGGGTTACAGGTGCCTGCCACCATGCCCAGCTAATTTTTGTATTTTTAGTAGAGACAGGGTTTCACCATGTTGGCCAGGCTGGTCTCGAACTCCTGACCTCGTGATCCGCCCACCTTGGTCTCCCAAAGTGCTGGGATTACAGGCGTGAGCCACCGCGCCTGGCGAAGAACTCAACATTCTTTGTTAAGTGGAAATGTTTTGAAAGTATGAGTGAGATTTTTATTTTTAAACTTCCCCCAGATTCAGTTCACAAGGGAGTTTATTATCTGCCATGTATTTGTTACTGTTATATCTCCCAGCCTTGAATCAAAACATTTTGTTTAAAATTTAAATAGACCAGGCCATGATCTTTGGAACCCATCACCCAGCAGGGTCTCCTTAACATTCAGAAAAGACGGAGCTACATTTTGGTCTGGACATGCAGGAAGGTGGGGTTATGGAGTCTTCTGGGCTGACCATCAATTCAAGTGTACACTAAAGGGTCAAAGAGATAACATCCAAAGAGACAGCAAGGTCCTGAGTCCAGACTGCCTTCTAAAAACTCTGCTTCCCTTAAAAAATAATAATAGCAATAAGCCAACAATATAAAGAAGGCAGAGATCTTCCCCCAGTGCCTCTTGCCTATAGTTTCATAGCCAGAGTCTCAAGGTACAAAAAATGTCCCTATGTCCTATCCATAGGGACACTTTTTGTACTTTTCAAAATCCGTCTGGCTGTGGTACTTGGCAGCAGCTATGAGGGATGCAGAGGATGTCAGAAAGATCCCGACATTGTAGGACACCCACCCAAATGACCCAAGGTTTGTTCTTGTTCCTTGTGGCTGTAGCAATTGAACATATTCAGGTGCCAACGTTTTGAGTACAGGAACTCCTTAATCACTGCTTTCAGGATTAGGCATCTTGCCTCAGCCCTCATTACCACCTACAGTCTACCTTTTTGCCAATGGATTTGAACTTGGAAAAGAATCTGTGCTATGAAGTAAGACTTGCCTGGGGAGAAGGAGGGAGAATGTATCATGGCACCACACCCACTGAGCACACAGTAATTTAAACACTACAGCGGTTGATACAGGTACATATTATGAATTACTAGGAAGAGAAGTGCATCATCATGCAACACTCCAAACCATTCACTGGCTCAAGGCATGAGCCAGGAGACCAGGTCGAGCAGAGAAGCCACAGCCAGCAAGTGGAAAATAAGATGAATGATGCAAGAGAAGCCCGATGAGCAATGGTAACTCATGGTTCCATGGGGCCTTGTGTCTTCAATGCTTATAGTACCTTACACAAGCATTGCCTAATTGATCTTCCCTGTGCCCTGTGAGATGGCAAAATCCATTATCTTCAATTTGGGAGATGTGGAAATAGAGTCCTAGGTTAATTTACCCCCTGGTGATTCAGTGATTCAACAGCAAAACTAGAAGTGTACCTGTTTTTCAAATTCTCAGTCTCTTTCCTCCTCCAAGATTCTGAAGCTTAGCTGAACATGTTGTTTTCATTACTGTAATCTATCATATAGTTCTAGATCCATCTCTGGCATTTTATTGTTTATGTTTGTTTATTATTAATTATTTATTTGGACTTTGACCAAATTGCTTGATTTCTCGGAGGTTATCTACAAAATGGGCATAAACCCTCACCCTGCCTATCTGACAGAATTGTCATGGAGCTTGTATGAAATGATGTATGTTAAATTCCTTCAAAACCATGAAGATTTATTTTTTATTTTATTTTATTTTATTTTATTTTATTTTATTTTATTTTATTTTATTTTATTTTATTTGAGACAGGATCTCACTCTGTTGCCCAGGCTGGAGTGTTGTGGCATGATCATGGCTCACTGCAGCCTTGAACTCCTGAGCTCAAGCGATTCTCCTACCTCAGCCTCTGGAGTAGGTGGGACTGCAGGCACATACCAGCATGCCGAGATAGTTTGTGGGTTTTCTTGAGTGTGTATTTTTTGTAGAAACAGGGTTTCGCCATGTTGCCCAGGCTTTGTCTCGAACTGCTGGGCTTAAGCAATCCATCCGTCTTGGCATCCCAAAGTGCGAGAGTATAGGTGTGAGCCTCTGCTCCTAGCCGAAGGTTTATTTTTTAACCAATGTCTTTTGTTTGTTTTCAAACATACACTTTTTAGTACACAATATTTCTGGCAGTTCAGGAAAACAAATGATTTCTATATGCATTTTACTTAATAAAACTGTGATGACCTTGTAAACCAGATTCACATACTCTCTCTTTTTTCTGTCTTTCCATAATAACCCAGAGTAATATTTTTTAACTGTTAAGATGAACAATTTTTAATCATCATTCTCAGTAAACTATCACAAGGACAAAAAAACAAACACCGCATGTTCTCACTCATAGATGGGAATTGAAAAATGAGAACACATAGACACAGGAAGGGGAACATCACACTCTGGGGACTGTTGTGGGGTGGGGGGAGGGGGGAGGGATAGCATTAGGAGATATACCTAATGCTAAATGACTGACGAGTTAATGGGTGCAGCACACCAGCATGGCACATGTATACATATGTAACTAACTGTGCACATGTACCCTAAAACTTAAAGTATAATAATAATAAAAACATTTAAAAAAAAGATGAACGATTTTTTAAAAAATAGAAGAATGAACCCTACTTAACACCTTTCTTGGTGCCAAGCACACAATACCTGCCCAGTAAATATTATTGAATAGATGGCGAATGGATTCACTTTGTGGATAATAAATCCAGAGGTTGACATTTATGGATGTCAATGTGTATTAGTTAGATTTTCAGAAAAATCAATACTGAAAGGCTCTACAACAATAAATATTGATTTTATTAATCATTTAAATCTGTCTATTTTACAAGGCATGTGAATATAACACAATATTATCCCTTGAACTTACTATAACATTGGAATACAATTTGAATCTTTGTCCTACAAACGATAAACATAACGATGTATATTAGGTTAGAGTCTTGAGTCATGCAGTCTTCCTCGGACTCCCCCAGGGGTTCCTACAGCTACCCATTTATTCACATATTTAAAATTGTTTACAATGTGTGAAGCATTGTGCTAAGAACTATGTAAGGTTTTTTCTTTCTTTTAAATAGCTTATTTTTTTATCCAGTCTCTTAAAAAGACGCAATTTTACTAGGTTAGAGTCTCTATTAGCAAGTTCGAAGTCATATTGGTTTTCAGCCCTAGGCTGAAGTCACTCTAGGCCACATAGGTGTAGAAGCCCTCATTCCGAGGGACTGGAATCAGGAAGAACTGGTGTATTTGATTTTATCTGAAGGTGGGTGGTGGACAGGACACCTCCCCTCAGTAAGTAGACTGATCCCTCAAATGAAAGGTGCATGCGAAGGAGAACAGGAACAGATCTACAGGCTCCTGATATAATGTTACGAACTACTTTGAAAGGCCAAGTTTATATCATTTACAATTTAACTTGTCTTTTCAAGTGTAACCGAGAACAAAATGTGCTTGAAAACTACAAGAAGATTTAAAAAAAAACGTTAATAAATTATTACAAATATGCTTCTAAGATTCATTTCCTTTCCTATGCTTTGAAAATTCACATTTAGGTATTTGATTGTTTACAGCTGATGTTTTTGATATGCTTCTCTCATTCTGTACTCTTGATATGGTGTTAAGTCCCTGTTGTGGTGCTTGACAAGGAGACATTATTTGCACGATCAGAAGGCCTGACACTTATTCTGCCACTGTGACCCTGTATCCAAAGAAATTAAGAAAAAAAAAAATGCTCTCAAATGAGTAACTCCATATTTTTTTTTTTAAAAGTCAGAATTTTCCTTCCAAAATGTATCATTCTATTCTTCACTGGGGTAAAGACTAAATGCCTTTCACCTGGAAATATAAAAATACCAACTAGGTTGTCTTCTGAACTGTTTTGAGAAAAACAGAATGAAACAGTGGCAAGTGTCCGATTCTACCATTGCTATAATGTGTACAAATGTCACCGAGGCAGCCTACAGAATATTTCTGGAGCCTAATGATTTCAAATGGAAGTAGCTTCATTCCTGAAAAGACCATGGCATAACTTTCTGCAATAATAAAATAAATAGAAAATAGCACTTCTCTAGACAGTGCCAGTGAGCAATGTGCTCCTGAATTTATTGCGGAAGTGAGTCAAAATTCTTCTATGGTGGTGAAAAAGACAAAGTAAAGGAAGACATTGAGAGACAACTGCATTCTTGGCTGCATCAATGAATACAGAGAGGGGAGCAGGGAGGAAAGGCAGCAGCAGGAGGAAAAGGGAAAAGAAGAATTGGAAATTGAACGAAAAGAGGAAGTAGTGAGTGAAAAGGAAAGAAGAAAACATTAAGAAGTAGAGGAAAAAGAATTAAGTCGATTAGATGCAATGAGGGAAGAGGAAAAGAAGGATGGGGGAGAAAGTGAAAACAGGAAGTGAACAAGGCAGGGGAAGGAGGGAGATGCCTGTAAGAAAGGCTATCCTTCCAGGAGTCAGCAAACTACAGCCTGTGGGCCAATTCCAGCCTATTGCCTGTTTCTGTAAATAAAGTTTTATTGGAATACAACCAGGCTCATTGAGGCACCCATTGTCTATGGCTGCTTTCATACTATAATTGCAAAATTCAGTAATTGTAATGGAGACAGTATGGCCCACAAGCTTAAAATATTTACTGATTCTCATGAAAAGCTTTGCAGTCTAATCCAGTGGTTCCCAAACTTCACTGTGCATCAGAATTACCTAGAGAGCTTATTAAAACACAGACTGATGAACCCCATCCCCAGAGTTTCTGATTAAGGAGATCTGGGGTGGGATCTGAAATTTTTATTTCTAATAAGTTCCCAGGTGACACTGATGTTGTTGGTCCAAGGATCAAACTTGGAGAACCATCACTCTAATCTTTACATTCTGTCACACTGACAGTGTTCAGAATAGATTCTTTTGAGAGGAAAGGAAAAGGAAAATCAAAATTGATCTCCCTTTGAGGTAAACATTACATATATCCATTGATATCACAATTATTTACAAAGCATACATTTAAAAAATTCTTAGAACTGATTCTTTTTGTAATTCTAGTTTCATTCTTATAGCAATGAAAAATGAATCTGATTTACTTTAAAGTTGAGTTAACTGGTGGTTTGTTCCCAAAATTGTTTCATAGTTTGGTTTGATTCAACTCCTTGAAATAACGTGGACTGTGTCAGTGTTATGATTGGACAGTGTCAATGAGGTAGACTGTATCCATTCAATGAGAATGACCTCTCTCCACCCATGAGTGGCTGGCTCCTCACTGCCTTTGCCTGGGGCCCCTGAGAAACTAAGCCATAACCAGCTTAGGATTTTGCCAACCAACACATACCTCACCCTACTCCCAGATGATGCTGACATCTTCTGAATTCGACCCTATGAAATTGGCAGATTCTTCAATAGCTTTTCTCCTGGAGATGGGCATGAATGTTATCCTGGGATGAGACTTTTGGGAATCATGGTACCATGGACTTTATCCTGCTTAAACACTCTATCTCAAAACCCTGCCTGAGATTTTTTTATTTTTATTTTTACTTGTATAGGGCTGCCATGGTTTGCACAATCATGGTCTTCCTTTACTTGTGTCCTTAAATTTGTGCTTTGGCTGGGAACATAGACACTCAATTATTAGCTTTAATTTTGCAATTCCTATGCTTGCTGCATGGAAGTTTCGTGAAAGAAAGAGAGAGGCTTCTCTTTTTTCTTTATCCTAGCACTGGGGAACTTAAAGGGGAATGTAATTTCAGAACTGAAAGTGCCAGAAACACCTTCAAGGATAGAATGCGCTGAAGTCAAAATTAGCAGCTCTTTAAAATGTGTAACGGTTTGATTCCACCATTGCTCTTTTTATTTGTATACATAACTGAGATGGGAAAAGAATGGAAAAAATATCATTTTTTTTACAAGAAAGCTACAGGAAATTTAATTCTATTTAATTCAGACATTACTTCTAGAGGATTTCCAGAATTTAAAGTTCATGTATATGAGAAAGTATATTATAGATGTCAAGGAAGGATGAATAACATAAGTAAATGTTACATGCCTAGCACAGTACATGGGATACAGTAGATACTTAATAAATCACTGTTGTTATTGTTGTTGCAACAGGCACCCTTACATTGATGAGGGTATAGGCCTTGATTAAAAGATTACGGCAAAACAAATAACGCAAGCCATCCATGCTCTGCATGGCACTCTGTTAGCTGAAACTTGTGCATGCCTGAATCAATTCCTCATTTGCACGATCCCATGTAACATGTTAAAAATCCATTATCAAAAAACTGTGCAAAGCATAGACTGTCTATACTTTCAACACCATGGGAGTTTATTTTTAAAGAAACTCTGTGATGAATTTTCCTATAAATTAGGTTTGTCCTCTGTAGATATCATACCAAAGAATGTTGTGGGTTAAATTCCTTCAAATTCCTCTCAAATCATTTGCAATTTGTAATGAATGCCAGGAAAGGTAATTTGGATGTCACCGAAAGCTCTTTTTTCCATGACATCTTTTTCCTTCTTTCCCTCTCTTTGTATTGCAATATGGCTTTTCTTGAGTGTCTCATTTTTTTCAGTACTGCCTGACTCAGCCACGCCATCATGCTGATAAGTGGCATAGAGCAGAGGGGTCATCTGGTCATCTTTCTGTTGCCCTTCCATCTATCTTCCATTCAAATCAGCCACTCCATGTGTTTGACAGAGAGTAGTAATAAATTCATTTGCAGCCCTATACCCTAAGTGAGAGGTTACAGTGGAGATCTGTGTAACAGAGTGCATTACCATGAATGGTAAACCTCCACTGCAGACTTTTAAAGGTCTTGCCATATGCAGTTCACTGTGGTAAAATTTTGTTTCGGAGGGATGACATGAAAAGCTAACAGGCGGTTTAGCAGCTACTCTCTATTTTATTCAGGGAATTGCATACAGTGAAAACATTGTGGGAAATTATTATTGGTTCACTGCAATTTTCACTTAGGTTTAACATTAGGAAAGGCACCAATCTCTCTGGTGTCAAAGAGGGTCCACATGGAAGGAACTAGTGAATAGTTTGGTGGGCTTCAGTTCTCTCCAATTTCTTCTGAGTTTTCAAATCTTTCATTCATACTGGTATTAATTTTTAAACTATTTTTTTCTATAGTTACTGTGATAAATTACCCCAAACTGAGTGTCTTAAAACAACACAAACTTATTATTTTACAGTTCTGGAGGTCAGAAGCCCAGAATTTGGTCTCAGCGAGCTAAAATCCAAGGTCTCAGCAGGGCTGCATTCCTTCTGGACCCTCTGGAAGAAAAGCTGTCTTCTAGATTGTTCTAGTTAGAAGTTCTAGAGGCTCCCCATATTCCTTGACTTGCAGCTTTTTCCGCCATCTTTAAGGTCAACAGTAGAGCATTCTCCAATCTCTCTTTTTCCCTCTTTGCTTTTCTTCTGGCAAGCTTTCATATTTTCCCTTCTTTATTTTTTTCCCCCAGCTCTTTCTTTATACAGAACTACATTTAAGTTACTGGAATCAAATACCTATTTATTCTTTCTACTGGTAGATTAATGCATGGCCATGTTGCTCTTACCATTCTCTCTTTCTCTCTCTCTCTTTTTTTACTTTTCTCCTTTCTCTTTAAAATGAAAACAGACCTGTACGGGCACTCTTTTTTTTTTTTTTTTTTTTTTTTTTTTTACACATTCATGCGGAGATTAAAGTTTTGCTTTTTAGCCTTAATTTTCCTAAACTTGCCTTTTTTGAAAGTTCATTGTCTGTGTATTCCCCCAAAGGAAGAAATCTAGTGTTTTCATAGCAAACCTAATTGTGAAAAGATGTGTATTTCCCAGCTTGCCTATTGTCATGACTCGTGTGTATGCCATCATCGTATTTTATAAAGGAAATGTTAAAGTTTACAAAACCCCTCACTATGAAAATTACTGTTTTGTATGACTTTAATTTTGGAGAAAATTTGCATTTTCATTCATACCATTCACTATTGGTTTTTAAACGGGAAAAAGAAGTTGTGTATATAGGATAATTAAAATGTTAAATTTTAAAGAGACCAAAAATAGCTCCTGGTTTTTGGAAGAATGGCTGCATTTATACCTACTTTGATTACAAAAGAAGACATGTAAATTGTGATAAAACACAGTTAATATACAGTCAAAAGGAAGAAAATAAAATGAAATACACTACCCAGGAAAAAAGCCATCAATCAAATTTTGGTGATACAATCTTTTGGATTTTTTAGTACATGTTTGTGTGTGTGTGTGTGTGTGTGTGTGTGTGTGTGTGTGTGCGTGTATTAAAAGATTAGGACTCTTCTGTTCATCTGTTTTCTGATCTGTTCTTTTAAACTAACAATGTGTCATAAACACTTTTTGTATTAATTGACAACATTTGTATTGGCTGCTTTGTGTTTTATCATGTGGATACACTGTGATTTATTTTTAAAACATTCTGGCAAACATTCTTGCAACTACCTGTAAGTATTTCCTTAGAATAAATCCCAGGAAGGGAATTCATGGGGTAACCAGGCATTTTTAAATGTTTTTATACGTATTAGCAAATCCGGAAAAGGGAAGTTAAACATAACACCCTCCAAGACTGCTCCTACTCAGTGGTGAGTGTTAGTTGCAGAGTTGGGGCTCAGTTGGGGGACCCGGAGAGTGGTAATCCAGGAGGTTAACTTCACAAAGTGGAGTTACTGCATTTATGTTCTTTCCCAGACAAATGTGCCATACTGATGTAATGACTGTTTTTTTAATTTTAGGTTACCTCGCACCTCGAAACCTTCCTAGTACTGGATTCTTTCCATTCCTGCAGACCCTACTCTGTGACACAGACTCTAAATGCAAAGACACACCCTATGGCCCACAAGATCTGCTTCGTAGGAAAGGAATTGATGATGCACTATTTAAAGACAGGTGGGGGCACTTCTCAAGTGTGTTCAATTGTTCTGAGAGATCAAATCTTGTTTCCTTCTGAGATAGCCAGGAAGCCATGCAAGCTTAGATATGCAATTTTGTTTTCTCTGTCTATAAATGTGATGATCTAAATATGAAATAACAAAGTAGGTATAAACTGGAATAACTGTTTATGTGAGATTGAGTACAATCTACTTTGGGTGAATGTCTCAAATTTGCTTTATAAGATGGGTGACTAAAGTAGTCCTCCTTTACATCCCTCAAAGATTCTCTATCCAACCTTAAATTATCAGTGACACATTGCCTGAGACTCATCACAAGCATGAGATGTCGTAAGTGTAAGATAAGTGTCAGGGCCATCATCCTGGAAGAATCACATACTGGTACTACCATGTGTGATACTTTCAGATACAATAAAAACCAGGAAGTGCAAAAAAGGAAATTAAGCGTCCTGAAATTCAAAGTAATAAAGTTAAAAGTATACATAATTGAATGACAACCTTTAAATGAGGTTAATGCATGTTCTACTTTATGGTGTAAGGAGCAGGTGAAGAATGAATAGGGAATCTAAGCCATTAACAACCTGACCATTTACAACTTCAATTTTCCTTGCTGGGATTCTAAACCTAAAAAGACTCCCAGAAGCCTATCTGTCTTCAGAACTGAAAACAATATTGTAATCTTGAATCAACCATGCGCTAATTCTGTTAGAGATATTTTTTGAGTATCTCTCAAGAAAATATTATATTTATCTATAATCGTAGATATTTAGTTGCCAAATTTAATACTAAATTCCCTAGCATGTAGCACAATTTCTCCTTTAATACCATTCTCATTATTTTGGTCATCAAATAATCTAGGTGATACTTTAAGAGTGCAACTGCAACCCGTTTATCAAAAAATATAAACATGTTAAGAATTGTCATGAGACACAGCTTGGGACCCCTAATTGCTGGGATGCTGATTCACACTGATTTTGTTGTTTCAATAATTAGGCTTGATGCTTAAAAGAATCTGATGTTCATTCATTCATTTATTAATCTATTTAAAAAACAGATTAATAGACTGAGAGGCTTCTATGTGCCAGGCACCATTCTAGGCACTGGGATACAGAGGTGAATAAAACAATTTCTCTATCCTTTTTGCATTCTAAAGGAAGGGAAAGCAACAGCATGATCAAATAAATAAATAGCATAATTAAATAATAATGAGTGTGCTAGTGAGAAAATAAAGCAGTTTAACAGGTAGAAATTATAAAGTAGGGATTTAATAGAGTGTCAAAAGAAGGCCTCTGCTAGAAGTGACATTTCGGTAGAGACCAACAAGGACAAGGAAAAATCAGCAGCAGCATATGAATATCTGGAAGAGAGTGTTGCATGCCGAGAAACAGCAAATGATCCTGAGGTGGGGACAAACCCAACCATTTAGAAGAGCAAAAAGTCAGCTAACACGGTTGCAATATGGCAAGGGATGAGGAAACGGATTGGGATACGTAGAAAAGGAACCTCAGAGACCAGAGCATGCAGAATTGATCATGAAAGAAAAGGTAAGGGGATTCGCATTGTGTGTTTAGTGTAAGGAGAAGCCATCTGAAAGTTTTGAGTGGGGAAATGACATGATACATTGTCTATGAGAACGGCACAGTTCTAGGCATATACAAGCATGACCTCAATGAGCACCGGTGTGCAATTAATTCTGTAAGAAGACCACTGCCAGCTAGTGTCTATTCCCTCTTGTATAATCAGTGCAAAGGTGGGATGGAAGAAGAATGGCATTCCTTCTTGTTCCAATGTTGATGGTCTCTATGTTTGTCACTAAGTGAGTGATGAATTAGGAATAATGTATGCTGATGTTCTAGCAGCGGAGGGAAAACATTAAATCAATAACAATAATAGGAGATAGAACAATGAAGACTGCCAGAGGGAAGCTGAAGCAAGACACCCTCTATACTTAAAGCAGAAAGAGAGCTTTCAGCTAGGGTAATCAGGTAAATCTTCACAAAGAGGTTTACTTGAGACAGACATTTTGTGAACCAGGCATTAGAGGAGCTGTGAGAAAAATTAATATCCATCATTTACAAATTGGATTACCATTTTACAAAGAACTATAAGGGACATAATTAACAGTATCTAAGAAGTAGACAACTATAGTTCCCTCTAAAGAAGTATTTGTCTATCTAATATTATAGACAACCAAATTCATGGGGTTGCATGAGATGAGACACTGAGTTGGTTTTGGAAGTAGGATTAAAGCCCAGGTGTATTTTTTCATCTGTTGATTATTCTCTAGATGGCTGATCATGTCTGCTTTACTTAATTTTAGTTTTACCTCCAGGTAGTTTATCTAGCTCAAGTTGTATATTGCTGTATATTCACTATTTTCTCTAAACTACTAAGTAATTGGAGTTTAATTTATAAAATTATGTACAATAATAAAGTTGCATTAATGATATTTCCCATCATGCTATTAACTTTTATGCTTTATATAGCTGTGCAATGAAACTGGCATATATTTTACTGGATAAACAATTCCACTAAAATTGCTTCCCTTTAGTGAAGGAAGATTCACCAGCATAGCCTCATTAGGAAACAAAACAGTCTTCCTTTTCTGTTCTATAAGTGAGGGGAAAAATGCCACCTTTGGTCTCACCAAAAGAGGCCTGCCATGTTTCTTTTAATAGAATGCTCTTCTGAAAGACATGATCACACTGCAGTCACTACTTGTTGGCCAGTCGCCAAGTGTTTTGATGTGATTTTGCGTCTGGCACCAGCCTTCTGTTATTAAATTTATACATCTCTAAGCATTAGCTTCAGGATGAGATGTTTAAAAAAAAATCCAACACTGTACTCAGCATCGACTCTAACTAGCTGTCTGAAAAAAGAAACTATTACGTTTATGGTTTTCTTGCTCATTTGCACAACAGATGATCCAACATCACAGATCTTACCCTTTTCTTTCCTCCTTACACTGCCTCTCAGAATCTATCAGCACAGTGGGAGCCCCTGGCCATGTGCCATTGCTCACACAGTTGGCGAATAGCAAAGATCATCCCCTAGAGCATACAGGGTCATTATTTGGAGAAGGGATTCAGCTTTCCTGAGATCCTGGGGGCAGTTTCCTCTGTGGATTTGCTCCCTATTTCTGTTGACACTCATTCATGACCTGCGGCTTCTAAATTCGTACCTCTGCTCCTATTATATGGCTCTTGCAGAACTTGAAAAAATATTTAATCAGAGTTTAGTCGGGTCAAATTTTAAAGTGCCAAGGCTTTTGTTTAATATTGAAAAATATGGATGAACTTAGAAACTGACCAAAAGATATTATTAGGAGTGTAAGATAACTGGAAGTAAAACAGGTGTTTGCCTTCATTTGGTTATATAGATGAGAAAGGATGTAGAGGTCTCTTCTTGTATTAATTTTAGATTAATTTATAACCATTTAGTAACCATTTTAGCTAAAATCAGCGTAAAAAGAAAGGGCAATAAGAATTTAAGAGTTTTAAACTTTCCTCTAGCTTGTTTTAGTATTACATTTTTGTTACTACATAGTTAAAATCACAAAGAGATACATGAATTGGAACATAATTACATGTAATTTAAACAGAAACATTGATCATTATGAAATAAAATTGATAAAAGTGAAAAAAGAATGGTTAAAATTTTATTTATCAAAAAACAAAGTAGAAGAATGTCTTAATTATTATGTAAGCACAACCATTCATTCAATAAGAATATAATGAATTCGTACAGCATGCTGGAGGCTATGCAAGTCACTATAGATACAGAAATGCATGAGGCATATGCCTTGCCCTATATAAACTTACAGTTCAAGTGGGAAAGAGAGACGGAGAGACAAGATAACACGTAAACTGCTATATAACATGGTAAATGTAATGAATGTCTGTTTAAGTGTCACTGTGCCCAGAATATTAGACAACAAATGGTGAATAGTTACACAGGTACCATAAGACATTGTTTCTGCCTGAGGAATATGGATCTTACTGGAGAGTGTATTAGTGAAGTGGAGATAAGTGTGGGTGGGCAGATGCCAGGAGAGTTATTTCAGAGGCTTTTAAGAGTGTCGTCATTGAGAACAGATAGGGTGGTGGTTACCAGAATAGCAGAATGTATATTTGAGATAGGTCATGGAGAAAGAATGCCAGAATTCAGTGAAAGGGAAAAATAGAGGCAGTTGCATAGTTGGCGTACAGGAATAGGCAGACAGCTTTGCTACTGACTGTGATGGAGAGATTACACATTTCCTTGCAGTGTTGCCAAATTAATCTGCTTGTTTCATGGTTAGGTAGAACATAATCTGCACAGTGTCATCTGAGAGACACAGTGGTGTTATCTCCTTCTCCCCATATTCTATGTGTTCCTGACACATGTAGGATACCCCCTAATCTGCCCATAATAATAGCCTGACAAATTTTAGAAATGTATTAGTTAGCCTCTACTCACTATATACTATAACTAACTCCAAAGTCTTTCCTAAGAATATAAAAAACCCTAAGACACAGTAACATATTAAGTCATTTCTAAATCTTAATGTTTTAACTGATATGGATTGTTGGATTGTAACTGGGCCACTTATAAGAGATATATGTTTGGAATGTGGACAGATATCCATAGCTGAAGTATGGATGACCCTTAGGGAATGAGGGTCAGGATGAAATATGAATAATTAAAACAATTAAAATTCTCCTGTGGGTGACTTGTGTTTGGGATATCCAGGAAGGACAACTGCGTCAAATCACTGAGGGGGCCTCAAGACCATTACAGTGTCCTTAGTCCTTATTTGCAGTTAAAAGTTAATGACAAATGTCATCTGGAAGTGGGATCAGAACTAGACTTGCAGAAAATCTCATATGTTTCCAGGTGCCACTACATACCCATGTAATTCTAATTCTGGGGAAATGAGAAAAAATACATATACAAATTTAACTAACCCTTAGAGACAAAAAATAATGTCAGAATTTTCTTTCCAGGATTTGCCATATGTCCCTTTCCTGATAGGAATTCCTCTTATAAATAGATTATGCCATGGCACACAGTACCACTTATACAGGTAGTGACGTTTCCTACTCATAGGAAAAAGACACCCAGTGGAAGTACATGCATTTTACCATTAAGACGATATATATAAATGTGACATTTCCTGAACGTAACTATTGGTAGACATGTCTGAGAACAAGTAAAATCTATTCAGTGTTTAGTTTTTTTTTCCTCAGAATGATGGAATTCTTAAATCCAAAATGTTTCCTGTATTGAATTCCACTCCAAAATAGAGCCCTATAAATGTCACTGAGGCAGAATCTACATCTTCACTATCTTAGAGGAGTGGCCCTTAGCCATGCCCATCGTACCGTGCATGTGGCCGGGTCCAGTAGAAGTTAGTAAGCTGATGCCATGGGCCACTTGGTGATTTGACTCAGGTTTTGTTGGTTCACCCAGAGGGTTGAATTTTCTGGAATCAGATGGGCCTATGTCCCGAATTCAGTGGACAGCTAAGTTTTGTGCAGTACTTTCATATGCTTCCCAGAGATATCCAGTATGAGATAGAGTCTCTGAGACTTCCTTGGAGCTATTTAGAGTTCCTGAATAGGATTTTTATCTCTCCTGATTTGGTTTGGTCATGGGGACTGGAAATGGGGATGAGTTGAATAATTCCATTATCTGTCATTGCACAGGGTTTCTCAACCTTGATTCTCAACTACTCATAACTGGGACCAGATAATTCTTTGTTGTGTTGTGCATTGTAGGATGTTCAGCAGCACCCCTGGCCTCTACTCACTAGATGCCAGTGACACTCCACGCACAGTTGTGACAACCAAATATGTCTCCAGACATTGCCAAATGTCCCCCGGGGTAGGGGTATTATCCACACTTGAAAACCACTGGGCTAATAGAAGGCTGAAGGAAAAATGTTTCTGGTTGCAAGAGGCTTGCATTAAGGATGTGAGTAAGGATATTGCTCTATAACAAACACAAATGGGACTAACTCAGATTTAGGGGCCCTGTCATGTGTTCCAGTCCTCCTTTGCACATGTCCTTACTTAGCTATTCTCATTAATGTACCATAATCCCTGGTTTTCTTATTTTACTTGCCCATTATTTTACATATAATAAGAATGTAATCAATGTTGGTGAGTTAATGAATGAATATGGTAGGTACGATGTAAGATGATAACTTTGGGGCTGTGGCTGGGTGTTTCCTTTTCTAAGGATCCTTGCAGAATCAGATATGCAACAATGGAGAGCAGGCCACAGCCATTTAAAAAAAGTTGCTTTAGTGGTAAGTTGTTCCAAGTAATGTTCCTCATTATCAAGTATCCAGTGCTTGTCATGTGCTAAACATCCTACTATCTGCCAACATAATACACTGTAGGCTTTTCTTAAGAACCTTACACTCTAAAAAGGGGGAAATTGGTAAACACTACTGGTGGAATATTTATCTCATAAACAGATAAAAGTTACATAAACTCATAAAATGAGGAAGGGGTTACACGGCTCTGGGTGAGGGCCTGTGCCTCATTCCATATCACTAGTAAATACTTGTAGGTTCCAGATCTATAAAATAATGGGATACATCCATTTGGTATCCGGAGCTTTTGAAGTTTCTAGGATTCTAAAGGGATTACATCTAAAATATGGGCCTCCAGCTCCATATTGATGGTGAAGGTTGCATCTTTGCAACATCTTCTTTTGTGGGTACTCTGACCAAGAGCTAATATTGATGAGTACCTATGATGACAGGGCCCAGAGAGACTCTTGGTACACACACCTCATATCATACTCATAACAACCTTGCAAAGTAGGTGTTATTATTGCTAATTTGCTGGTGAGGGAGATGATGGCTGAGATCTTTTAGGAAGAGAGAGCTGAAATTCTGAAGATATCTTCTAACTCTATAAAGTACTTTCTGCCATACCCCAACAATATGGTCTCTTTTTATTTAATCAGCCATCAGATCTTATGGTCCTATACTATGTTAGATATTGGGAATATAAAGATAAATAAGACATGGCAGCTTTTCCTAAAGATGTCACAGCTGAAATAGAAAAAGTGGTGGGAATAGGTACAGATAGATATGAAATAAGTGTGCACTAAGTGCTTGTGTGAAGTAACAGGAAGGTGCTATTTCTCAACCACTGTTCTAAGAAGCATGTAGTGCTTTGTCTATAAACATGATCCTGCTCATTAGAAACTTCAGGGAATGCCATTAACTCAGCAAGACCAGCTACTTTCTTGCCCTCTTTAAGTAATTTAATAGGGAGTTAATAGAATTAATTACCTTTGTTTGGGGGGAAAGTAGCTGTGTTTCAATTTACAGCATTAATTCATCTTTTTATGCACATACTCTGTTGTACATTTATTTTGTGATTTCCATTTTAAGAGTTTAAAGAAAACAGTTTTGATGTGTGATGGGAGTAGACACGTGCTGTCACACCACACCTTGTCAATGCAAAATGAAGCTGGAGAATATTTTCAGGAAGGGGAAGAGGAAAGCACACATGATATCCAACTCTTGCTTCCAAAAAAAAGACACATTAAGGCTACATAAAAGATGTGGGCAACCATGTCACACTGGGCACTTCCTGGTGAGAGAAAGGTGCTGTTAGAATGGGAGCTGCTGTGCGTCCTTGTCTAGGAGCAGTCATTTTACTGTTGAGCAAGCTCAGAGCTGCAGAGCCAGCTGCTTGCTGAGAAGGGAATGAGTTTGTCTTTCCATGGTGTTTAAATGCTATTTGTAGGAGTAATTTTAGGTTTCGTTTCTGAATGTGGGAAGATGAGTAAAGTGTCCTCCGTGGAGCAGATGCAGCTTTTGCTTCTCCAAGAGCACACTTGCTTAGTTTCCTATTGCCTCTTCTTTCTTTTCTTCCCACTTCCTCACCACCATTCATTATTGAGTCTATTTTCTCTTGCTCTTTCCATTGCTCATTTTGATCTTTGTCATCCTCCCTTTTGTTTTTGTTGCTGTCCCTAGTCCTTAAATTTTTATGAAGGCAGTTTTTGCTTTTGTCTTCAAAATGTGTTGATATTCAGTAGTCCTCATAGGATTTCAAGCCAAACTAAAAAAATGTCGAGAAAAAGAAAAGTAAACTCAACTTTCTCAAACTTTCTAAAACTTCTTTTTGAGAAAAGGGAAAATGTTCAGGTCATTTCTTATTTTTACCTGAACAATTTTCCCATCACGTAGTCAGCATAAGGAATGTAAAAAGATTAGGGGCATACAGTCAGGGTCATGAATAATTCAAATATATATTAAGAATGCAGAACTTTTGGAGCAAAAAGTACATTTTATGGAGAATATTGGAAAAACACTAGGGAATGAAAACAAATATCACTTCTTTTTCTTTTTCCAATTATAAACACAAAGTACCCTGGAACTAGGATTCAGATCTTGTTTCTAAAACAGAAGTCAAGTTGAACCATGGTAGTAAGCAGAATTTCTTGCTTTTCCATTATCTTTTTATAGCCATTGTTACGTACCTTAAGGTTTTTATAAATAACTACATAAAATACACCAACTTTTTGGAATTCTAAAAATTATTTGCATCCTGGCATTTAGACTGATTTTATTTTTGAAACATACATACTTATTTTAGGCACGAGCTTTTAGATACATCCAGTTTTCAAGAAAATGTGATCATCTCCATTTTAATAACAAACTAAACAAAAAGCGAATTTTTAGAAAAGAGGGGGTTACTAATTGTGGGAAGGCCCAGCAATGTCTTCTTCTAAAACCTAGTGTGATCATGTTGCACAGGGATTCCTGGCACCACAATGTAATTATTACTGCCTTGACACATTCAATGCAATGGAAAATTTATTTTAATGTTATTCCTTTTATACTTGGTGCCATCTGTGATGACATCAACCACAATTCCTGGCACATACTGGGTATTCAATAAATGTTTGGCCTTTCTCTTCTTCCTTGAACCTGTGTTGAAAATCTTTAAAAGGCCATCTATAATTTAACATAGAAAACTTATTTTTCTTTTAATGTTGACAAATAAGCAGACCTTTGTTTCAGTCCCCAAAGCACTCTTGGATTCTCATTTGTTTGGGACCTATCAACTTTTTAAAAGAAAAATATATATCATACATATTTTAAGTATTTATCTCTAATGTCTTTTAAAATGTCCTTTCTACAAGATTAAAGTAAAAATAACTATTTTAAACTTCATCTAGGCCATTTTCTCTGAATAAAAATATACTTTGTAGGAGACCTTATATATTCATTGGTGTGTGGTTAGGTGAATTCTTCCATTAAAATCCTGGAAACTATATTAAATATTTGAAAGTCCTCAGACAGCCCTGGAATCTGCCACATAATACATTGCTGTAACTAAAATTAATGTGGGAGAAGTTACAGAGTTCTTGCTTTTTCTTCTCTAGTGAGATTCTGAGAAAGTCATCCAACCTGGATAAGGACAGCAGTTTATCATTCCAGAGCACCCAAGTTCCAGAAAGAAGGCATGCATCACTAGGTAAGCTATTTTCTTCTGTAGAGTTCAGAACAAGCCTTATGGAACAGTAAAGGTCTAATCTTTGAAAGGTTTATACTTTAAACTTTTCAAACAAAGAAGGAATGCTTAGAATAGCCCTGTGAGATCTAAACGTTCCTCATGGTTGCCTGAGTATGGCGGTGCAATTACGCAAAGGTGTTGAAAATAATTAGAAATTAAGTTCTTACTGAAATACTCCATAGGAGCAAAAGCCTACATGTTGAGAATTGCACCATTTCCCAGAACTGACTCTAGACTCTTTAGTTGTCTGCAATTAGATGATGCTGGGATGGGTTAGAAAGCCCATTAATAAAAATTTTTGGAAAGAATCTCAGAGGTTTGTCCAGATTTTCCATTTTACAGATGAGAAATATGAGGCTCAACAAAGTTAAGTGCTGTATCTACAGCCATACAGCAGAGCTGGCATTAGAAGGACTTCCAGGCCAGTACTCTTTCAGCTGTACACTTCTTCCTCACACTTAAGGCTTAGTATCACAGTCTTCAGTGTGACTGTGGACTTGCTTCACATCTAGGCCAGTAGCTCTCAAATTTTCACGTGCAGAGACTCTTCCTGAGTTGCTCCCTCAAAACATGCGTTTCTGAGCCTTAGGTGCGAGTGATTCAGTTGCAAGTGGACTTGAGAAACACTGATTAGAAGCCACATGTTAAAAAAAATAAACGCTCGAAACAGCACGACTGGCTAACATTCATTGACAAATATTTACTAAGTCCCTAATACTAAGCAGCCACTGTCTTAGGGGCTGGGGATATATTAGTGAACAAAACAAGATTCCTGTACGTTGAAATATGATTGGTGCTCTGGATAAAAAGGGAGTTTCTTTAAAAGGCCATGGGATATTTAAGACTTTATGATATTCAATAACATTCCAATGCAAGTTGATGGAGCAAGTAAAAAAAAAAGTCCTATGTTAATGTAGCAGGAACATGGTGGTGAATGGTTTTGAGGAGTTAATGTTCTGTTATGAATGATCTGTGGGTCTTTGGCTGAGTAGGTTAAAGCACCGTAGAAATAAGGTTATAATGTTATGGTCCAGTAAGCTTTGCTTTGCTTGGTAGCCACAGATTATGTTTCTCACTCTGGCCAGTTATCTCACAAATATATTGCCATAGTCTAAAGGAATCAGATGGCAAATTCTTCAGCCCTGTGGGCACAAAAATAAAGCCTAGGCCCTACTGCTGATGAGTCACTGGTACCATTGAATATTAAGATTCTTTGCTCTGAGGATGACAAAAGACTTCTGTATTAAATTTATAAAGGTCAATATACTGGCTTAATGAACATCCATGTTATAGATAGGAATGTCGTCTTCTAGCTAATGCTCCAAACCCAGAAAACTCTGCCACATCATAAATAAATAATACTAGATGTAGATGCATTGGGAATTACTTAATTAGAGTATACTGTATGTAGTCCAGGCTAATGGCTTTATCCCATTTATTTGATCTAAAATATCATTCAGAAACCACTTTGAGGAGAGAATTTATGATTCTAAGCAGATTTCGGTGTCCCAATTGGATAATTAAAAGAAAAGACCATTATCACCAGATGTGCATTGGCAGATCCTTTGAACAGATGTTGGATATGATGGATCTGTGGAGCTAGTGTAGGCACCTCAAATCCTCCAGGCCTGCACAGAAATGATTCGGTTTATTGGGCAATAATGTTGGTGATGAAGTTTAATGTCACCGACTGGAATGAAAGCAAATGACATCTAAATGATTGGATAAACAACAAGAACAGACCAAAGTCATCACAATTTTATATGAAAAGAAAAACTCATGGAATTTGCCACTTTTCCAGTATAAAACTTCCATGGAAGAGGCATGTTTGAGCACATCCTTGCTGTAGGGTATATGAGGTCACAAGTGATGTTTATGGATTCTCATGTGGTCCTGTGCATTTGTGTGTGTGTGTGTGGAATGCTAATCTGTTCCTTCTTTGATTACAGCCACAGTATTTCCCAGTCCAAGTTCTGATTTGGAAATCCCCGGAACATATACTTTCAATGGCAGTCAAGTGCTCGCACGAATTCTTGGCTTGGAAAAGGTAACTTGATTCAATTTTGTAATGGGTAGAGTGATTCAACATAGGCCTTTTAGGTTAATAGAAGGATCTCTCAAATAGCAAGATGTTTGGAGCACCTTTCCTATTTAGGGTAATATCTCAGGCAACTTCTTTTCTTAGGAACCCTTCAATAAACAGCTTAATTTTAAGACATTCTGAATTCCTTAATATCTTGAGTATTTATTTACTTCCCTGTTAAGTCCCTTAATTGAACTTAAAGTTTTCACTTAGTAAGAAATTAGGGTGGCATAATATGTGATGTTTTAATTTTCTGAAGCAGGAAAGAAAAAAAGACCAAATGAAGTTATAATGCTCTTCGAATTTGCTGCCTCATCCATACTAATCAAGTCTTGGGAAAAATTAGAGCTAAGGAAAATATTGCCCCAAAGTAGGAAAATCCTTTTTCTTAGCGTATTTTAGAGAGCTTACTTATCGATTTCTCTGTTTCCTAGAGATCATCTACTTTAAGATTTCCCAGATTGCAAGATAATGAACATAATTTCTATCAGAGGTGTAAACTGGCAGCCTGTGAGCTAAATGTGTGTGTGAGTGTGTGTACGGAGATTTTAAGAAATTGAATGTGAATGCCTTTAGGCAGAACACGTGCTCTTTGTAACTACAATCTCTACTTCCCCTTATTGTCTTTCATCTGGCCAGATTAATATATTTAAGTTATTTGGCTGGTCCCATAGGTATTTAAGTCCTGTTTTATGTGCTCTTTAGACATGAAAAGACTTCATTTTCAACATTTGGCATTAGAGATACTATTCTCTCTCTCTCTCTCCCACTCACCTTTCTTCTCTCCTTCCCCCATCACCTTCACACACACACACACACACACACACACACACACACACACTAGCGTTTTTAATAATATATCTATATCTTATATAGCAACCATTTCTTTTATCTGATCATGAGACATGTCTTTAACATTTATTAACATTCCAGTAACCATAACCACTGCTACTTAATATGACTTTGTTAGTTATACTTAAATTAATACTCTGTTTAACTGAGGCATTTCAATAAACTGAGTTATATAAATGAGCCAAAGGCCAGCACAAAAGCGGACTCCAGGAAATGGCATCACACTCATCAACTCTGCCCATGCTGGCCAAAATAGAGGACCTTTCAATCTGTCCAATCTAGACATTGAAAGTCTAGTTTACATAATATTTGAGGCTTCTAATGTTTTTTGTCTGGCATAGAAGTCTCTCAATATGCCCAGTTAATTCCAGTCTAAAGCTTCCCCCAATCAAGCACAGTGTATAAATTAGAGAACATTATTCTATTCCATTCCAGTTCTTACATATTGGTTCCTAGAAGTAGACAGTCTTGCATTGGATCAGATAAATTCTTTAATATCTAGAAGAGCAATGCTATTCTCCAAAATGCTACTTTGTCATATTGAAACTCCCAAGTTATCTTTCTCATATGGAATAGAATTTCAGAATTTTGTGAGGCAGCACAGAGCTATATATCCAGGGGAGATAAGCCAAAAATGAAATTTCTATGTATGGATACATATTTTTAGAGTAGTTGGAGCAGGGAAGGGATGTAAAAATTAGGATGATATATTGATGCCTATGTCAGCAATCTCTCTGATTCCTCTTTCTTTCTCTTTACTGCTTTCTGCAACACTTGCAAGAATGAGTAGAGAAATCATTTTTGGGTGAGTTTATGTGGAATGTTAGAAGAGAGATACGGATGAATGACTAGAAGGCCTAACACTTATAGTACATCCTAGATAAGTGGATTCTGTCTTGTTCCATTACTTTTAGAATTTGAGTCACTAGAAGGTAGCATGTAGGTTTTGTAATACACACTTAAGGGGAGGATGAAATTGACCTCACCTCATGGAGTAATAAGAATTAATTATTAAGATGGACCCCTTAAGTCTGACAACTAACTATCATCAGCTCTGTAAATATCTAAACAACTTAATAATGGTAAATATGATCAACATTATGGGTAAAATACTGCTATATCTGTGACTGGCCTGAATTATGAAATATATAGGGAGATTATGATGATTCCATTACGAAAATGATTTCCAATGACTACTTTTAGTAGTTATGCCTGCTATTATACATTTTCACATACGTTTTCCTTTTTCTTTCTATATATAAGACTTAGATGGAAGAACTGCTTTGCAAATGAAGCAATCTATATTTGTACACTTCTGTAAATAAACACTGTTCATCCTAGGAATAGACCTCGAAGCTCCTTCTGTTGGAAATCTTCCAAAGATCACAACCAGTTTCCTATGAGTGCCATGAAGAGTTAGGACACCTGAGTTTCTGCTACTCAATGTCCAGAAAAAGTGAATAAGATTTTTATGCGTGAAGATTTTTGTAAGCAAAGACTCTGTGCATTGAGGTTTTCTGGTCAGAGACAAGAAATGAGTTCAGTCAAACAATTCATATATAAATCATTTAAATAATAACAATGACAAGAATTTACCACATTCATGCATTCGCTCTACAAGTTTCATGGGTAAACTCTATCTACTTTATTGTTATTTTAATAGCTGCTATAATGGAGGACCTCAAAATGGCTATTTTGAAGACAGCTTAGATTCCTTGAAGAATAGAATATTTGAACATCTACATTTATTAACACTCTTATTTTACTCTTTTCACACATGCTTTTAGCTGTTAAAGCAAAATTCAACTTCAGAAGATATACGAAGAGAACTATGTGACAGCTATTCAGGATACATTGTGGATGATGCCTTCTCTTGGACCTTTCTAGGAAGAAATGTTTTTAACAAATTTTGCCTTTCTAACATGACCCTTTTAGAGTCTTCTCTCCAAGAACTAAACAAACAGTTCTCCCAGGTGAGTGTAGATCTTTGATCCACAAAGTGACTCAACATGAATTAAAGGGTAAATCTATAGCCCGTGTAGACTGGGAAATGCTGACTGGGATATTTGTTTACCTTAGGCATGTTTTCCTCACATAGACATTTGCACACAAAGTTTAATCTTAAGTAGTATTACTTATTTAATGTGAAAGGTTGAAACGATTTCAATGCTAAACCAAAAATATTACATTATGGTTAATGTGGACACACCTTTATAAATAAAATATGGCTTTGCTCTACAGTAAATGAAGTTTGATAGTTTTCTCTGAGATCTTTAGGTGAGATTACTCAGGCTGTGATACAAGTTTAATAATTAAACTGTCACAGTCATATAACTGCCAGAATTTAGAATAATGGGTAAAATCTTTTTATTTTTCTCACTGACTTCAAACCTAGTTTGAAAAGCTAATTTTTCTTTAATTGTGAATTTTCAAAAACTTTTATTTTAGGTTCAGGGGCACATATTGCAGGTTTGTTATATAAGTAAACTCATGTCACAGTGGTTTGTTGTCTAGATTATTCTGTCACCGAGGTACTAAGCCTAGTACTCAGTAGTTATTTTTTTCTGATCCTCACCCTCCTCCCACACTTCACACTCAAGTAAGTCCCAGTGTCGGTTGTTTCCCTCTTTGTGTCCACGTGTTCTCGTCATGTAGCTCCCACTTATAAGTGAGAAAATGCAGTATTTCGTTTTCTGTTCCTGCATAATTTGCTAAGGATAATGGCCTCCAGCTCCATCCATTTTCCTGCAAAGGACATCATCTCATTCTTTGTTATGGCTGCATAGTATTCCGCAGTGTATATGTACCACATTTTCTTCATCCAATCTGCCATTGATGGGCATTTAGGTTGATTCCATGTCTTTGTTTTTGTTTTGCTTTGTTTTTTGTTTTTTCTGAGACACAGCTTCACTCTGTCACTCAGGCTGGAGGGCAAAGGTGCTATCTCAGCTCACTGAAACCTCCGCCTCCTGGGTTCAAGTAATTCTCGTGCCTCAGCCTCCCGACTAGCTGGGACTACAGGTGCAGGCCACCACACCCAGCTAATTTTTTTTTTTTTGTATTATTAGTAGAGATAGGGTTTTGCCATGTTGGCCAGGCTCATCTCGAACTCCTGACCTCAAGTGACCCACCTGCCTCGGCCTCCCAAAGTGCTGGGATTATAGACGTGAGCCACTGCACCGGCTGATTCTGTGTCTTTGTTATTTTGTGACTAGTGCTGCAGTTAACATATGTGTGCATATGTCTTTATAGTAGGATAATTTATATTCTGCTGGGTATATACCCAGTAATGGGATTACTGGGTTGAATGGTAGCTCTGTTTTTAGGTCTTTGAGGAATCACCACACTGTTTTCCACAATGTTTAAACTAATTTATACTCCCACTAACAGTGTTTAAGTGTTCCCTTTTCTCTGTAACCTCACCAGCATCTGTTATTTTTTGACTTTTTAATAGCCATTCTGACTGGTGTGAGATGGCATCTCATTGTGGTTTTGATTTGCATTTCTCTAATGATCAGTGATATTGAGCTTTTTTTCATATGCTTGTTGGCTGTAGGTATATGTTCTTTTGAAAAGCATCTGTTCATGTCCTTTGCCCACTTTTTAGTGGAGTTTTTTTTTTTTCTTGTAAATTTGTTGAACTTCCTTATAGATGTTGGATATTAGACCTTTTTCAGATGCATAGTTTGCAAAAATGTTCTCCCATTCTGTAGGTTGTCTGTTTATTCTGTTGATGGTTTCTTTGCTGTGCAGAAGCTGTTAAGTTTAATTAGATCCCATTTGTCAACTTTTGCTTTTATTTTGATTGCTTTTGGCATCTTTGTCATAAAATATTTACCATTTCCTGTGTCTAGAATTGTGTTGCCTAGGCTGTCTTCCAGGGTTTTTATAATTTGGGGTTTTACATTTAAGTCTTTAATCAAACTTGAGTTGAATTTTGTATATGGTGTAAGCAAGGTGTATATTTTTTAATTGAGTTGAATTTTGTGTATGGTGTAACCAGTTTCATTCTTCTGCATATGGCTAGCTGGTTATCCCAATGTCATTTATTGAATAGGGAGTTCTTTCCCCATGGCTTGTTTTTGTCACCTCTGTTGAAGATCAGATGGTTGTAGGTGTGTAGCCCTATTTCTGGGTTTGCTATTCTGTTCCATTGGTCTATGTGTCTGTTTTTGTACCAGTACCATGCTGTTTTGGTTACTGTAGCCCTGCAGTATAGTCTGAAGTTAGGTAATGTGATTCCTCAGCAATAAGTTAGATTTTGATAAAACAGTATATCCCTCTCACCAAAATATTATACATTAGAAGCAAGAACACTCTACTATGGAGTGTTTGCATACATTAGTCTTTAAACAAATTTAATTTAATGTTAAGTTCCAGGATACATGTGTAGGACATGCAGGTTTCTTACATAGGTAAATGTATGCCATGGTGGTTTGCTGCACCTATCAACCCATCACCTAGGTATTAAGCCAAGAATGCATTAGCTATTTATCTGGATGTCTTCCCTCCCCCTATCCAGCTCTGACAGACCCCAGTGTGTGTTGTTCCCCTCTGTGTGTCCATGTGTTCTCATTGTTCAGCTCCCACTTACAAGTGAGAACATGCAGTGTTTGGTTTTTTGTTCCTGTGTTAGTTTGCTGAGGATAATGACTTCCAGCTCCATACATGTCCCTGCAAAGGACATGATCTCATTCCTTTTTTTCTGACTGCATAGTATTCCATGGTGTATAGTGTCATATTTTCTTTATCCAGTCTATCATTTATGGGCATTTGGGTTGATTTCATGTCTTTGCTATTATGAATAGTACATACACTAGCCTTAAACAACAATGGTAAAAATGAGACAGCAATAATCTACATTTAATGCAACCCCACATACAATGAGAGAACACAAAAAAATACAGTTATAATAATCCCCAATCCAATGTAAAGTACTTACAATTGTTTTTTTAACAAAATTGGCAGTCATGTAGAATAGAACATGTGGTAAAAAAGACATTGTTCAAAATCACATAGCACTAAGTATGTGTAATTGTAATAGTAAACATTTTCCTGAATTATGTATATATATATATACACACACACACGCTCTTATATATATTATATTATATTATATTTTATATATATATAAAAATCTATCCGTATCTCTACTAATCTATATATTAGTTAAGGAGTACTCCATCCAAACAATATAACACCTAGTAATAAGTATAGGGAAGATATATCTGCAACCCTAAACCAAGTCCTAAGAAAAAAAAACATTACTCAGAGCTAAAATTATTTTAGGAACTTAATTTTAATTTCCAAATATATAATTTGAAATATTTTATATAAATACAGCTTTGTTAACCAAACTTTTATGCCAATTTCTGGAGTTACAGGGAAAAGATCCAATTATGTTTAAGAACATTAGAAGTAGTTGCTGGTTTTCCAAATAAAAGATTGGCTTCAAACTGAGTGAAGGTCTAAAAGAATTGCTTATGTGAAAATCTAGATTTTTGATGCTTTTAAAAACAGCAAACCATGTGATTACAAATGTTAAAGTCTCATTTTGCTCTGTTTGTGGTTTTATATTTTAAGCTATCCAGTGACCCCAACAATCAGAAGATAGTGTTTCAGGAAATAGTCAGAATGCTGTCTTTCTTCTCACAAGTGCAAGAGCAGAAAGCTGTGTGGCAGCTTCTGTCTAGTTTTCCAAATGTGTTTCAGAATGACACATCACTAAGCAATCTATTTGATGTTCTTCGAAAGGCAAACAGGTAAGAAAATGTAAGAATTAAATGTAATATTAGTGTTCACAAAGAAGTGTTTAAAAAAATGTTACCTGTGATGATTACTGTTATCTGGGTTATTTAAACACAGAGCAAATAATCCTTCAGCCTCTTATTGCAGATTTTAGCAGTGAAGGTGAGTGTATTAGTTAAGCAAAGAAGAAACATACACTGTGGTCATCAAGGTTATGGAAGCATCCACGAGGAACTGATCCTAACTGTTGTATTGTTACTGGGTATCGCAGAGCTTCTAAGAATGAGGTGTACAGCAGGACCAACAGTATATTGCAGCACTGACTCCAGTTCATTCAGGGACAACCTGAGCTCTATGCAACTAGCATTTAAACTATCCAGGAATAAAATATCTCAGTGAGTTTTGTTTGGTACCATCCAACATAAAACAACCATATTGGTAAGAGTTTTGTTCCAAGCCACCTCAAAGAGGTTGGCCTCCCTCATGTGTAGTCAGCTTAGAAATGACCTTTCCAAGCCTGCATATCAGTTAGCCTTGGTATATATGTTATAAAGATTTTAAAACCTTTGCAGGAGAAACACCTTTAAAGGTTACTTTATTCGTAAAAGAGATCTGGGCACGGCCAGTATTTAGAGTTTAATGGACAGTACTTAGGTTTTGATTGCCCTGTATAGCTAATTTGAAAATGAGCCTTAAAAATCCAACTACTGCATCAATGATGTTCGATTATTAAGTGCCTATTACATGCTAGATGTGTTACCAAGTCGTTTGTACACATGATCACATTGAATCTTACAACAAACAGTATTTATTTTATAAATTAGATTAACAGTCCTAAAAATTAAGTATTTGCAGATCCTGCATCTAGAAGGGTTTGCAACTAGATTTTCTAACTCCAGAACCCAGGCTGCCTCTCTTATATGTCACTAATAGCATGATGTAGTCTATTTTATATGTCTAGAGCATCAGAAGAGATTGCTTTTTACTTTTGGAATGCTTTTAAGAGCTTATATCTATTCAAAGACCTTATAATAAGCCCTTGTATTGATAAAACAATCTCATTTGATTCTCAGAATAGTGCTTTGAGCTGGAGACAATGGATTCCCATTTTATAGAAGAGGAGACAAATCCTTATGGAGGTCAAATGGCTTCCCCAAGGTTCTACAGTTAGTACATGGCAAAGCCAGGACCTAAACTTAAAGAATTTGAATCCCAGTCCTATACTCTTTCCATGGTAACACACCATAACTGGAATACAGAAGAAGCAAGATATTAGGAAGTTTGATTCTCTATGTTAACCCTCATTTTATCTCTTAGGGAAATTTTCACTCACTCAGAATTTTGACTCTGATCCTTTTCCTCCTATTTATTTTCTGTCTTAGGAAGCAAACAGGTGAATCTGTAAAAGGAGAAGGGGAATTATTTGACTTGTATAGTGTAGCAGTGAAAAGAGTCAATAATATTCAGACCCCAAATAAGATATCACTACACACTCACTGGAATGGGTTAAATGTTAAAAGATGGATAATTCCAAGTGTTAGCAAGAACATAGAGCAACTGAAGCGGTCATATATTACAAGTTAGCATGGGAAACAACACAGTCATTTGGAAAATAGTGTGACAGCTTCTAATGAAGTAAAACAGTAGATCCGTATGAGGCTGCATTCTACTCTTGGGTATTTATCCAAGAAAATGAAAATATACACCTATATGAAGACTTGTATGCTGATGTTTATTTCTTGATAATAGCTAAAAGTGGAGCCAGGTAATCAAATCTCTATAAAAAAATGGCAAAACAAATTGTGGTTTATTCATATATTAAAATACAACACAACAATAAAAATAAGCAGATTATTGAGTCATACAAGGTAAATAAGTCTCATTAATATTATGCTGGCAAAAACATCAAAACAAAAAATATATACTGTGTATGTAGATAGCGTTATCATCCTATTTATAGAAGGTTCTAGAATTGACACAATTAATCTATAATGTTAGAAATCAGATCAGTGGATTCAGGAGCAATTGCATGAGAAAAATTTTCTGGGGTGATTGAAATGTTTGTATCTTAATTGGCATGGTGGTTACATGTATGTGTATTTGTCAAAACTTATAACTTCACTTTGTACCCCGTAAGTTTATACAATTAAAATGATCACTTTACAACTTAAAAAAAACTCATTTAATTGTACACCTAATATAGGTGCATCTTATTGTATTTAAATTATACCTCAATGAAATTTGATTAAAAAATCAACAACAACAACAACAACAACAAAAATTCCACAAAATAATATTTACTAAAAGACAGAAGATCTAAAAATACTCTAGGCATTATTTTGGCGGAGCAAATTACACTGGCAAAAACATTGTGCTGTGGCTATTTTAACAACAACCTCTGATCCAAGTTCTGCAGCTATTTTAATTCCCTTTAAATTTTAAAATAAAATTATTGCATATTTTGGCACTATGCAGTAGAGTATGTTGTCAAGTAATGATTATATATGTAAAAGAGTCTGCATAATAATGAAAATAGCTTATTAATAAATGGCTTCAACTCAAGCACCTTAGTAGCAAAAAAACAAATAATGCAATTTAAAATGGACAAAAGATCTGAATAGATATTTCTCAAAATAACACATATAAATGGCCAACACGTGTATTTTTAAAATGCTCAACATCACTCATCATCAGGGAAATGAAAATCAAAACTATAATGAGATATCATCTAACTGCAGTTAGAATGGCTATTACCAAAAAGACAAAAACAATAACAGATGCTGGCAGGGATACAGAGAAAGGGAAACTCTTGCACACTCTTGGTGGGAATGTAAAGTAGAATGGCCATTGTGGAAAATAATATGGAGGTTCCTCAACAAATTAAAACAGCCATGCACAGAAAGACAAATACTACATAATCTCATTTTTATGTGGATCCTAAAAAAGTTGATCTCATAGTAGAATGTAGAATAATGATTACCAGAGGTTGGGTGAAAGGGGAGGATGAGGGAAGGTTGATCAAGGGGTAGAAAGTTACAATTAGATAGGAGGAATAAATTTTACTGTTCTATTGCACAGTAGGGTGATTGCAGTTAATAGTAATCCATTGTATATTTCAAAATAACGGTAAAAGAAGATTTCAGATGTCCTCATGATAAACAAATAATAAACGTTTGAGGCAATGGATACATTAATTATACTAATTTGAGCTTTACACATTGTATACATGTACCAAATTATCACACTGTACTCTATAAATATGAACAATTATGTGTCAATTAAAAATAAAATAAAACTTACAAGAGGCTGAGTGCAGTGGCTTATGCCTGTAATCCCAACAATTTGGGAGGTGGACATGAGAAAATTGCTTGAGTCCAGGAGTTCAAGACTAGCCTGGGCAACATAGTGGGATACTATCTCTACAAAAAAATAAAATAAAATAAAAAAGTAGCTGGGCATGGTAGTGCATACCTGTGGTCCCAGCTACTTGGGAGGCTGAGGTGGGAGGATCGCTTGAGCTTGGGAGTTTGAGGTTGCAGTGAGCCATGATAATGTCAGTGCTCTCTGGCCTGGGTGACAGAATGAGATTCTATCCCAAACAAACATAAAACCTAAAGAGAAATAGTTTCAAATTATTATGAAGCAAATGACATTTGACTTAAAAATTATTTTATATTCATAAGAACACTTAACATGAGCTCTGCCCTTTTAACACATTTTTAAATTGTAAGCTATAGGTACAATGCTGTACAGCAGATCTCTAGAGCTTATTCATCTTGCTTAACTGAAACTCCATGCCTGTTCATTACCAACTCCCATTTCCCTTTCTAATCAGACCCTAGAAACCATCACTTGACTCTTTGATTCTAGGAATTTAACTATTTTAGATACTTCCCATACAAGAAATTTTGTAGTATTTTGCTTTGTGTGACTGGCTTAAGTGGTTATGCATTATCATTTCACATCATGTCTTCAGGGTTCATCCATGTTGTTGCATATTTCAAAATGCATTCTTTTTTAAGTCTGAATAGTATTCATTGTGTTTATATAGCACGTTTTCTTATTCATTTATTTGTTGATGGACATTTAGGTTATCTCCACATTTTGACTATTGTGAATAGTGCTGCAATGAACACAGCAATACTACTATCTCTTCATTATTCTAATTTCAATTCTTTTGGATAAGAATCCAGATGTGAGATTGCTGGATCATATATGATAGTCTATTTGTAATTTTTAAGGAACCTCCATACTGTTCTCCATAGCAACTCCACTGTATTCCTTTTTTTTTTTTTTTTTGAGATGGAGTCTCGCTCTGTCGCCCAGGCTGGAGTGCAGTGGCACGATCTTGGCTCACTGCAACCTCTGCCTCCTGGGTTCAAGCGATTCTTCTGCCTTAGCCTCCCGAGTAGCTGGGACTACAGGCACGTGCCACCATGCCCGGTTAATTTTTGTATTTTTGGTAGAGACGGGGTTTCACCATATTGGCCAGGCTGGTCTCAAACTCCTGACCTTGTGATCTGCCTGCCTCAGCCTCCCAAAGTGCTGGGATTACAGGCGTGAGCCACAGCACCTGGCCTATTTTGTATTCTTTTGGTAAATTTTTTATCTTCAATTTTCTTTAATTCAGCAGTATTTCTTTTTATTTATTTTTAACTGACAAAAATTGTATATATTTATGGCATACCACATGTTGTAATATATATCTACATTGTGGAATGGCTAAATCAAGCTATTTAACATATACATTTCCTTCATATACTTATTTTTTTGTGGTGAGAACACTTGAAATCTACTAGCTTAACAAATTTTTTGTATTTAATATACTTTTATTTACATAAACAGGCCTTAGGGCTGGATTTGGCCTGCAGGTTGCACGGCTTAGTAGGTGCAGCAAACCATCATGGTACACATATATGTATGTAACAAACCTGCACATTCTGCACATATATTCACACCCCCCCTTTTTTTTGTAGAAGAAATAAAAAAAGGTTTGGGACACATAACATTTTGTTTTTTTGTTTTTTTGTTTGTTTTTTGAGACGGAGTCTCCCTCTGTGGCCCAGTCTGGAGTGCAGTGGTATGATCTCAGCTCACTGCAACCTCCACCTCTTGGATTCAAGCAATTCTCCTGCTTCAGCCTCCCAAGTAGCTGGGATTACAGGCATGCACCACCACACCCAGCTAATTTTTTTCGTATTTTTGGTAGAGACGGGGTTTCACCATGTTGGCCAGGCTGGTCTTGAACTCCTGACCTCAGGTGATCCGTCCACCTTGGCCTCCCAAAGTGCTGGGATTACAGGTGTGAGCCACCGCGCCCAGCCAACATTTTGTATTCTCACCAATAGCATGGAAGGTTTGGATTTCTTCATATCTTTGCCAATACTTTTTGTCTTTTTTTTATTTAATAATATGCATCCTGACAGCTGTGCAATGATATTAAGATTTTGATTTGCATTTCTCTGATGATTGAACATTTTTTCATATGTCTATTGGCTATTTATATGTTTTCTTTATATTTTGGAAATTAACTGTTTATCAGATAAATGGTTTCCAAATATTTTCTACCATTGTATAGTTTGCCTTTTTGATAGAATAGCATCTGACTTTTATTTAGTCAGAACAACTCTTTTTTTAGTGGTCCAGTAATACTTGATCTTTCTAACATGATAGCCCCTAGTTAATGTGGTTTTTGAGCACTTGAAATGTGCTAGTGTGCCTAAGGAACTGAATGTGTAACGTTACTAACTTGATTAATTTAAATTTTAAAAACTGATACTTGGTTCAGTTATTGTAATACTTTTTAGTATGTTAACAATGGCTTAGGTATGTGAATCTACTTTTTCATCCGTAAATTTAATGAAATCTAAATACAGGTGAAGACTTTTCAATTAAAATTTAGCATCTGCACTGAGATGCCCCATAAGTTTGGAGACCTAGTACAGTAAAAGACCTAAATTATTTCATTAGTAATTTTTATATTTATTAAATATTGAAATGCTAATATTTTGGATGTATGGAGTTAAAATATATTATTAAAATTAATTTCATCTGTTTCTTTTTACTTATTTATTTATTTATTTATTTATTTTTTGTGAGAAGGAGTCTTGCTCTGTTGCCCAGGCTGGAGTGCAGTGGCGGGATCTGGGCTCACTGCAAGCTCCACCTTCTGGGTTCATGCCATTCTCCTACCTCAGCCTCCCAAGTAGCTGGGACTACAGGCGCCCGCCACCACGCCTGGCTAATTTTTTGTATTTTTAGTAGAGACGGTGTCTCACTGTGTTAGCCAGGATGGTCTCGATCTCCTGACCTCATGATCCATCCGCCTTGGCCTCCCAAAGTGCTGGGAATACAGGCATGAGCCACTGCGCCCGGCCTTTACTTTTTTAATGTGACTACTAGAAAATTCTAAATTAAATACATGGCTTGGACTTTTTAAAGTCAGCTGTTTATTATTATGATAAAGCTGACAGTGTCACTAAAAGCCATAATTTTCTCACAAATGACTGTATTTTATCACAACATTATGGTCTCATTGGTTTATCTTAATCTTTGTTGAACAAGTAATAGAGACAAATGGACCCCACAGGAATTTTTGTTATTTCTCCAGCATTTTTTTACATTGTATGTTGTATATAAACCAACCACCGAAATCAGATTATATAATGTTAAAGTTAAGACAGTAATAAGCAGAAATCAGCAATCTCAAAAGTTGAGAAAAGCATATGAAAGGACACACAGGATTGTTGCCTTACTGAGATGAAGGCTATGCTGAGACATAAATCACAAAAACTCTTTTTAAAAATTACCTTTACTCAGAGAGCAACCTGTTTTTGATGATGTTTTGTTTTGATGATGTTTTGTTTTGATAATTTCCATTTTTATATGATGAAGAGAAGAAAAATAATCTATGAAGTAAAATAAATATCAAGTATCAATGGTGTAAAGGATTTCAGAGAAGATGGAAGCCCAGGTGTCATTATTTATTCAGTTACATTTTGTTAGATAAAGATGAATGAAGTCTACTGACATTTAATTAATAATGTTAATGATAATAATGCTGAAAGATTTAATGAGATTGTCAAATGTTCAGTCTTTGAAGATGTTACTTTGGGACAATAGGTCAGGTGAGTTAGGCAGAGGGTCAGGCTTGAAGGCCGACCAAGATTTACGCCCTGAGACAGTCTAACTGATCTCCATGGTTGCTAGGGTTTGGAAGTAACCCAACACCTGAGAACCAGGAGATTCTTGGGGCAAACATAAAAATGCCTGAGGTGTCACCAGTCATGTATACAGAGCAGAGATGAGAAAAATACAGCCATGCCTCTGTGGCCAACTGTTCGGAACACAGCTGGGTGACAAATTAAAAATGCCTGTGGGCTCTGTGCAGAAATGTTCTGCCCTCCTCCTCCCCACCATGTTGAAGCAAAGCTTTTGTGCTAGAGGCAACATATAGAGTGGATAGAACATAAACTTTGAAATAGAGAGACCCCAGCTGTACTTATTATTAACTAAATAACCTTGTGTTATTTAGTTACTTAACTTTTTTCAACTTTAGTTTTCCCATCTGCAAAACTGGACAAATAAATAGATTTTATAGAATTATTAGAAAACTAAATGTTAGAAAATATATATGCATATATTTTTATGTATGTTTATAAACATACACACATATCCACATGTATATCCTTATTTTATACTAGGAACTACCCAGATGGCACCTAAAATTTAGTTCTCTAAACAGCTATCATTCATATCTAGGGGACTAAAATTAACATCATCTTAATCTAAATTTCAAAAATTCCAAAAACATTATAGAATGCCATGAAAGTGTACACAAATACTATCTATTGCTGGAATACACATTGAGTTTACTAAGAAACTAGATAGGGAAAAATTACTATTAGCTAATTTGTACTACATTTAACTTCACAATGTCAAATTTTTAACAAAAGCCTACTACTTAACTAAAGCATTGACTCAACTGTTGATACAAATCACAGTACTTATATAATGTAGAAATGCATGTGCAATAACAATATTTCTTTAAAATGCACTAATGGCTATAAAGGAACTAAAAGACATGTTTTGAGAAACTAATTGCGTTTTCCAAATACAGGATGAACTCAAGCATAACTGAATTTTCTGATTTTCTATCCCCAGTGTAGACTGCCCATCTTATCGGTAACATAAAAGCTATAGAAACAGAGTATGGATATTAATTTTGAACTACCTCTGGAATAGTGCCTATAGACCACTTAGAAGATAGAATATAGTCTTTAATTAGGGCAAGCTCCATTTTCTTCTTCAAAAACATTACTATCTGTTTAGCAAAAGATAAATATTATAAATGCTTAAATAATAATTATTCCTGAAACTAGATCCTTTATTTGGGTTTGGTTTTTAATGAAAATACTTTCTAATATTTAATTTTTCTTTTTAGCTAAAAAAAGATGTATTCTTTAATTGAAAGTTGCTTTTCCTAACTACTTATTTCTAAGTCTTAGAAAAAAATTGATGGGAACCTTGCTCCATTACTTTAAGGCTGGTGATTCCTGATGTTTTAGAAACCTAGAAACATAAACTGCTCTGTCTGGTTAAGAATATTTTGTTGAGATTTTGTGCATGAACAGACAAACAAGTAATTAAATTACAAAAAGTAGCATCTTGTCTTTTATATTATAAGAATAATTTATACTGTAGCCATTTTCTCCTTGAATAATCTTTTGTTTCTGTCTGCAAACCTTGAAACAGAATCTGGTTTAATTGCTTTTTGACTCCTTAGTGTGCTGCTGGTTGTGCAGAAGGTTTATCCACGTTTTGCAACTAACGAAGGTTTCAGAACCCTCCAGAAGTCTGTTAAACATCTGCTGTACACTCTGGACTCCCCAGCTCAAGGTATTATATTTCCATCTTACTGTGTTAAATTCAGTGTCACAAAGCCCATTGGAAATATAAAGCAGAGTGCAATGAAAGTAATCATGTAGAGATGATATTATTCTTAGGTGGGGACATATGCTATGAATAAATCTGGATCTCGAGTTAATCAAAGTGTGGAGAAAGGGAGAAATGGCCAAGAAGAGGGAACTGTGGCTTTCTAGGGTTTTTAGTTAGGTGAAAATGATCTCTGTTAGCTTGTAAAACTATGTTTATACTTGGTATAGAAAAAAAAAATCAGGGACTATGCCTCAACAAATCGATTTCTACCTTATTATTTGAAACAAATGCCTAAAGTGAATTGCAGTATTTTAAAATTCATTTTCAAATTTTGATTTTCCAGTAAGACAAGGTATAACATGTTGGTAGTGAGTCACAAAATGTCCCTTTGGCATATCTAGAATGGTACTGTCTACACTCACATGGAGACATACAGCTACATACACACAGACACATACAGACAAAGGTTTGGAGATGTAAGGAATAAATCCCTACTTGCCAAGTTTGGTTAACAATTTATCTCTGGTGAATAAATTTAGAATTATGCTTTCTCAGCTGAGTTTGTCAGCTTTTACATATTTCAACTTTTACCTTTAGATTACAAAATAAGCATCCTGAGATCATCAGGTCAAAATCTGATTGTTCATTACATAGTATTGAAATATCAATTTTCATATAAAAAGAAAGCATGCCTGTGAAGGCTTTGAAGAATTCTCACTGGAGGGTCCAACAATACTCTTGGATGCCATTTTCTGTTAGTCTAGAGCATTTTTTATATCTACAGTTTCAGAATTGATGGTTAGCTTGCAGGATTGACTGTTATTAAATTTGATGGTCTTGACGTCCATTAGAAAAACAGGATTACTCTTAAAAAAAAAGTTTAGGCTAGAAAACCAGACAATGTGCTAACAAACATAATTATTTCCTCTGTTTTCTTTTCATATTTGCATTTTAAAGGCTTAAGAACTTAATGGTTCTCCTTATTACCCTTTCCTTTTTATCTTCAGACTCATCCTTTATAATTAATATAAAGTAAAGTAATAAAGTTACATTTTTAAAAATTTTAAGTACAAAGCTCACCTGTGCTTCAAAAGCTGGAGAAGTAAGCAGGATTTCTTATTAAGCAGGGAGCAGAACCCATTTCCTGGTGAAAAATGTAATTCAGTTTTCAATATTTAACCGTGACCATGTCTTATGTCTATGACTGTGCTAATCATTTTGGCAAGTCTTTTTTTTTTTTTTTTTTTTTGAGATGGAGTCTCGCTCTATTGCCTAGGCTGGAGTGCAGTGGCGCGATCTCGGCTCACCGTAACCTCCGCTTCCCAGGTTCAAGCAATTCTCTGCCTCAGCCTCCCGAGTAGCTGGGATTACAGGCGCCTACCACGCCCGGCTACTTTTTTGTATTTTTAGTAGAGATGGGGTTTCACCATCTTGAACAGGCTGGTCTTGAACTCCTGACCTCGTGATCCACCCACCTCAGCCTCCCAAAGTGCTGGGATTACAGGCATGAGCCACCACGTCTGGCTTTTGGCAAGTCTTAAAACACGTCATTGGATGGTCAAGAAGACAAGGACATACACCAAGGAAATGTATTTTTATTCATAAAATTTGATACACTTACCTTTTGTTTCTTTTTAAATTTCCTGCACTGTGAGTTCATCAAGCCAAGAATATCAATGCAGATGTATTAATGTCAATTCCTAAAAGTTACTAACTTCAAAACCCTACCTGTTTGAGCAGAAATTTTGTAGACTTTGAAAACCCTCCTAAGTATTTCTAGGAAACTTTCAGGGAACTTAAACTTGTCATTGAAGGCAGAACTAGTGACTACAGTTCAACAGCACTGGGGTCTCTGGTCCAAGTACAGATACCTGCCCCGTAACCCAGGCCACCTCATTCTTAGTCTTCACAGTGTTCAGCAGTATTTTTGAAAATGAACATCCTTTCTCCCTTGGTTTTTTACTCTGTTATGCTGGAGTGGGGTGGTATCTCATAGCAGAGTTGCTTGGATTCTCTCTAATATAATGGTTAAGATAGGTTTGTAGGCTTCATACCACTCTTTCAAGTAAAGAACACAATAGGTAATATTTATTGTATCAATGCTCAGTACTTTAGTATCTGAAATTCATTTTATCATCTAAATAACTCTGTGAGATACAGTTATTATCCCATTTTATAGACAAAGAAACAGAAGCTTAAGGAGGCTGGGTGCTTGGCCTGTGTTACTCATCCAGTAAGTGGCCAAACTGAGATTAGAACTTGGATCTGTGTATCTCCAAATCTAGGCCCCAGGAGCTCTTTTATGAACAACCTCACTTAAACATTTACCTTCTGGGACATACTTGCTTCTGAGGTATCTCACTGGGACATGCAAGTACCTGCTTAACCTCAGAAGAGCCCACACTTTTAGTCACTGATGGAGCTTGGCTCCCCATCCACACTTATTCTGTGGGAAGCCATATGCTACATTTTTTCCACTGCCTTCCCCCATTCCTCTCCACACTCTGATTTCTACCCACTTTCCTCACACCATGTTTATCTCTGATCCACCCTGACGTATGAGCACACTTCAAGATTTCTTCAGGAGCCTCCTTAGCAACCGTGAAAATAGAGAGCTGCTAATAAACACCTGGGAAGAAAGTTGCCTCCTAACTTCCTATCTCAAGATACCTAATTCTCAGCTCGGCTCCAGCTAGGATCCTTGCTACACAGTTAATACACTCCATAGTAGGTCCATTTATAAATACTGAGTTTTGGGAGCAGAGATTATGTTTGTGACTCACTGGAATTTGCTCTTTTGCAAAATAGTACATTATATAAAATTACATTTTTAGGATGTAATTTAGGATAGAAATCCTTACTGATAAAAAGAGGTTATCTATGCACCATATTTCTGTGTCTGTGAATACAATTTTTTTAGCTGTGTCTATCCCAGTACATATATTTATTTTTTTATTTTTATTTTTATTTTTTGAGACGGAGTCTCACTCCGTCGCCCAGGTTGGAGTGCAGTGGCATGATCTCGGCTCACTGCAAGCTCCACCTCCCGGGTTCACGCCATTCTCCTGCTTCAGCCTCCCAAGTACCTGGGACTACAGGCACCTGCTACCACGCCCGGCTAATTTTTTATATTTTTAGTAGAGACGGGGTGTCACCGTGTTAGCCAGGATGATCTCGATCTCCTGACCTCGTGATGTGCCCACCTCGACCTCCCAAAATGCTGGGATTACAGGCATGAGCCACTGTGCCCGGCCTGTGAATACAATTTTAAGTATGCCTAATCTTACAAATAAAAAAGAAGTAAAATCTCAGTTTTTAAGGGTCTGTAACATTTTCTATTTCATTAAGGACTGTTTAGTATAGTATTTCTCTCAATATACTTTATAGTCCTTAGTGACCAAAGGGAAGAGTCTTTATTTAACTTCAGGGTCAAGTCTGTCATTGATAATATAAAGTTAATTTTCTATTAGTTACTTATTTTAATGGCTTGACGAAAAAGAGAAACTCTATAACCACATAGTATTACAAATACCAATTAGCTTGCTGAGCATCACATAGGAGTTCAAAGTGAGCAAAATTTGATCTTAGAAAAAGAGTTTTATATACCTTTACATTGCAAAGGCATAAATCTCAACAGGTTTTTGAATCTATAGTTATTCTATATATAGATGCCAATACATAATAGGTATTACTATTGTTAATTAGGTTTGTTTATTCTGGGCATCCCATTCATTCTTGGCCCTTTAACTCACTGATGCATTACTGTTATTAGAGCAATAATATTCAGCTGCATCGTGAACAGAGCACAGAAAAACTCTACTCTGCTGAACAGAAAAACCTGAGACAGCCACTCTGCCAGATAGCAGGGGCTGTACAAACGTTACTTAAACATGACTGATACAGGTGACAGACAAGGAGATTTTTAATTCTGGGATAGTCTTTTTACACACATACTAATTTAAATAAAGTTAATAATCAGGACCAGCAAAAAAATGGGTGATTGCATAGTTTTGTGCTAGTACCTTTTTAGAAGGCTTTAGGTTGCACTAACTAGAGACAATACAAGAACTATTGAAGCTGGTAATAAAATATCCCATTGAAAATGATTAGGCCAATGTTAAAAATGACAGCATTGAGACATACTGGATTATTTATAAGGAATGAGTAGAGTCTGAAGAGAAGGGAAATAAGTGATATCATTTCCCTAAAGGAGCTGAATTAAAGTATTGGATTTATGATGTTTTTATTTATGCAGGGGCCATTTAAAGCATTTTCATTTTCAATTTTTATGTGAATGCTGTTGCACACTTACTCTTTTATGATACAACCTTATGCAGCAGGCTGAATTAGGGACCTATTTAACTTCTGGGGGTAACTCATGGTGTTGAATTAGATCTTCGTATGTGGTCTCCATTAGACCAAACTTAGTGACTGCCTTCCACACTATGCACCCTCATATTATTTGAGAACTCTCAGAGCAGTTCTGTTAACATCAGTCAATTTGCATTCACAGCTGCATTCAATTGAGATTAGTGGCTGCTTTTTGAAAGATAGAAAATATAGATTAGTGATGGCAGATGTTTCCTGAGGCTACATTCTAGACAACTGAAGGCAAAAAAAAAAAAAAAATCCAGTGACCCATAAGACTAAAATTGGCTTCATTTGATTAACAAATCACGTGGTAGTCAATCTTCATTATAGTACTTAGCAGTCATCTGCATATGCAGGTCCTGGGATAAAATAATGTAGTGGCTTGATGCACAGACAAAGAACTTGTTAGAAATGCATATGCTTGACCATCGGGATTATTTTGATCAGTAGGCATCTATTTCCTATAAATATCACAAATATTTCCAACAAAAGAGCATAGATGTCTTTTATACAATTCTTTTGAGAATGATTCTGCAGATTTCTGCATTTTCTCCTCATTAATTTGACCTGGGATGGTTTTCACTGAGGAAAAAAATCTTTAAGCAAACATGTTAAATGTTTACCTATATAAAAATTATTACTTCAGGTGACTCCGATAATATAACGCATGTGTGGAATGAGGATGATGGACAGACCTTATCTCCAAGCAGTCTGGCTGCACAGTAAGTCTTTGTTTATTTCTAAATAGGTAGATAACTTGGCTGAATAAACAATCAAAACAATTTCTAAACATAATTCGCTTATCAGTGTATATAAGCATGGAATAGAAAAATCAACTATTGACTGAGCAGAGGAAAGGGCATAGTCCAAGTGTAGTAAAGTTGAAACTTATTTTTTGATATTATTTAATGATATTTAAGCATTGCACAAGAAAATCTCTTTTTCAGTTCTGAGCTTGCATAACTAGATCTAATGTGTCATGTCTGGATTGGTTACCTTATGCCTATGAGGATGATCTAGCTGGAGGGCTGTCAACACTTTTCTTTCACCACAAACAGTGTGTAAGTATCTGTCTTGCTCTGTGCAGGCTGCTATAGCAAAATACCATAATCTGACCAGCTTATAAACAAGCCTCCTAATACCATCATCTTGGGGGTTAGGAGTTCAACATACGAATTTCGGGAGAACATACTCATTCATACCATAGCAGCCTCTAATTTTTTGTTACTATTTTTTGGGTTTCCAGAGAATAAAAATATTTTTTATGCTTAAACAAGATAATGCAAAATTTGTTTGCTTTCAGTGGTATTCAGTTAGGCAAAACTGTTTGTAGGTAATTTAATTTGGGACTTTTATTGGCATATATAAAGTCCCGGGAATAGGCAGTGGAAATAACAGCAGCAACCATGCTGTCTAAAGACCATTAATGTAAGCAGATCCTGAAGTAACTGTGATAATTATGGTAAGAAATGCAAACAGTTGCTTATGGTAGTTAATTGACGCAAATTTCTGTAGTTCAAGGCAAATTTAGAGACGAGATGGCCTGCCTGTTAGGTAAAGATTGCTTTAGCCTGTAAATTATACTATTGAAATTCTTTTATTTTAGTCCCAAAGGATACATCTGTGTGCTAACGGAAATCTATACAAATAAAAAAACAAACAGGATTACTTAGGTTTAACCAATTTTTTTCTTTTTCTAAAATAGAACGTACATAGTTGTTTACAAACTTTCTATTATTTAACGAGAAGTTCTCCACCTCTGAGTAGATTCTGGCCAAAATCCTTGCATAAACAACTACCTCCTCTTTCTGCTGCCATCTCTCTCATCCTCTAAGGTGGCTGACCCAGGTGCTTCTCCCAGAGCAACCAAGCCCTTAGGCAATTTCACCCTAGCCAGGCTGCCATGTTTCATATAGTCATGTCTTTTTTTTTTTTTTTTGAGATGGAGTCTGGCTCTGTCGCCCAGGCTGGAGTGCAGTGGCGCCATCTCGGCTCACTGCAAGCTCCGCCTCCCGGCTTCACGCCATTCTCCTGCCTCAGCCTCCCAAGTAGCTGGGACTACAGGCGCTTGCCACCACGCCTGGCTAATTTTTTTTTTTTTTTTGTATTGTTAGTAGAGACGGGGTTTCACCATGTTAGCCGGGATGGTCTCGGTCTCCTGACCTCGTGATTCGCCCGCCTCGGCCTCTCAAAGTGCTAGGATCACAGGCGTGAGCCACTGCGCCCGGCCAAATAGTCATGTCTTTTAAACACATTCCCTATATAGCCATCAAAAATAATAATAGCAAAATACCTTTAAACTGAGATAACTGCATGCGTATTGCTGAAGCCATGTATTTTTATGAGAGCCTTGAGGCATCCATAGCATTGATAATGTCAACGCCACAGACCTGCAAATTCCACAGCAAATGTAGGTAGTTGCTGACAGCTAGTTGACAGTTTATTAGGAAGAATTCCATACTTCTAAGTTGGCTCTTGTTGTGATTGATGAAATTAAGGGATTTCTTATCTTCAGACTTCCTTTCCATTCCAGCTTTAAAATAATCACAGAGTGGCAATACTGGTATAAGGTAAAAAGTTATTTTGGCTCAGAATTTTCTAAAGAAAGATGCTCAAAAATACTTTTTCCTCATAGCTCTACTTTCTCCTAATTATTTTTGTTCTAAAGTCATTATTTTTATCATTTTGTGTTTGTACTTATGAACATGAATGTGCACATCCAGACACTTACCTTTTATGGTAAGCACTCTTGGGAAGTAGGTAGGATTTTGTATAAAGGATTACTCCAGTGTTGTAAGGGAATAATTGGGTATTTATGCCAAAACTGTGGCACACAGATATAAGATCTTATTTTGGAGTATACTAAGTCTATTCTCAGAAATTTTTGTAATCAAATGTTCTTCATGAAACTAAGAGAATGCCTTATCAAGGTCAATTCTAGCCCAACTGTCCTCTATTTTAAGCTTGACAATACACCATGAAACTCTCTTGTTCCAGTCCATCTAGTAGATAAGGCCAGTATTTTGCTGTTGAGCAGTGCACCAAGTGGAAATAGCTCTATGTTGTAACAATGATGACAGACAGAAAGACAAACACAAAAGAAGGAAGGGCAATATTGGGAAGTGTGGGGAAAGGTGAGGAGAGGAAGGGAGAACCACCTTACTGAAGCAGGAGAACGACCCGACGTGTGCTTATCCGGTGATGCCTCATTGGGCACTTCTCAGATAAATGGCCAGTGTCTCTGCAGCTTCCTGCATCTCTTTTCCTTATGTATTTATCCTTTCCACAGATACTAACTCAAGTGTATGATGTACGAAATACAAATGCTAGATATTCTGTGATGGGGATGGGGTCGGGGTGAACAGGGAATGGGATACAAAACTAAATGGATCATTCTTTCAAGTTGCTCAGAGGAGAAATGTTTATATTGAAACCTCTACTTATCACTATAGCCAAATAAAATAGATGGATTATTCTACCCTCCTCTTCCCAAAATAGATGCAGTAAATTTATAATTATTCTCATAGTTTCATTTGTCTCTTCTTTGACGTCTTGGATTCTCAAATCCCATCTTCCAGCTTATCTTTAGAATATTCTTTCTGACACTGCTTCCCACTACCCTCAACATTCTGAAACTATCATTTCAAAATACCTGCTCAGGGTTTTTTGAGCAAGTGCTGTGAGTATATTGGTTATTATTATACCTTGGCTTGATTTGATTTGACTTGACTCACTGATGTCATAGGTAGACTACAGTCCATGAAACTTGACTGTAGGCATGACTTCATATTACATGCATAACCTATATAATAGGGTTAGTTTTGTCACCTGTCACACTCCTGTTGCATTTTTAACAGTAATAATGTGATTTAGAAATTTCCCTAATAGATAGTTTATTTTATTTAGGACAGAAAACTTACTCTAAGAATACACTCTCCTGGTCCTTCATTTGTGAATTGATCAATGGCATTAACTATCTATAAGGAGGCTTTGATAAATAATGAAGCTCACTGTCTAAAATCTCTAAGGTCTGAGTCCACCAAATATAGTATTACCAAGAGTCTCTAGTCAAGGAAATGCCTATGCACAAGCATGAGCGCTTGTAAAATGGATACTTTTTAAAAAAATATAAAGACTATGAATAGTATTTAAATGAGTCAGCCCTCTGACCACTTTGCTGTGCTCTGACTGCCAAGTTAGAGACTTTTCTTGCCATGTATTTCTTTTTCTTTTAAAGTTCCTCAAGGATCCAGTGTTGTTAACCCACATTTAAACACCCTGAGTCTTCTTTAATATTGATGAAAATATTTTCCTGCATTTACTAGCTATGCCAAGGTTAATCGTTCCCACTCGCATTTTAATAAAATCTAAGTTAAACATCCAGTAGGACTAGTTAATTTGTGTATTGTACAGTTTGATTCAAAACAGATGATCCCCAAATCAGCCATTGACATTTATTCTATCTTTACATAAAATTCAATAGTAGACACTAAGGAAAGAAGTTACAAAATAAATAGAGATGTAGCCTCACAGTTGAAGCGACAGAGCACACATAATACGCACATACTCATTCACATAGCCTTACTCACTCATGTAGCCTGAAAAATCTTAGGCCCTTTCCTTACATGCCAATCACTTTGAAAGGAAACCAGAAAGTGGTGAATTTGGAAACACTAAATTGGTTGATTAGAGAAAAAAGGAACTTATATTGGTCAATGGGATCCCATTAATTCAAAATTAAATGAATTCAAATCTAGTTATTCAATATTATAGGTGGAAAGGACCTAGCAGATCATCTAGCCCCCTAGCTTTCAATTGACAAGAGAAGAATCGGAGAGTCAGAAGGGGGTTGCCAGATTTAGAAAATGAAAAGTAAAAAAAAATTGCAGGACTCGTGGGATGTACTTATACACAAAAAAGATTATTCATTGTTTATCTAGGATTCAACTTTAACTGGGAGTCCAGTATTTTACCTGGCAATCCTCACCCAGTGACCTTTTTCTTTCATGTAAGTGTGCCTAGAAATTGCCTTAAGATGACCTATGATGGCATATTAAAACAATTAAATATAAAGATAGTACACATAGAAAAGGCAAGTGCTCAGAAGATCTAGAGTAGTGCTGCCCTTGTACAGTTAAACTGGGTGAGGGAAGACATCCAACTGCATAGTATTTCTTTCTTTTTTTTCTTTTTTTTTGAGATGGAGTCTTGCTCTGTCGCCCAGGCTGGAGTGCAGTGGCGCGATCTCGACTCACTGCAAGCTCCGCCTCCCGGGTTCACACCATTCTCTTGCCTCAGCCTCCAGAGTAGCTGGGACTACAGGCGCCCGCCACCACGCCCGGCTAATTTTTTTTTATTTTTAATGGAGACGAGGTTTACACTGTGTTAGCCAAGATGGTCTCGATCTCGTGACCTCGTGATCCGCTCGTCTCGGCCTCCCGAAGTGCTAGGATTACAGGCGTGAGCCACCGCGCCCGGCCAACTGCATAGTATTTCAATGTCCAAGTCAACCAATGCCAAACAAGGGACCAAAATGATCTCAACAAAACGGCTTTGCTTTACTTTTATATGTCTTAATTTCTATATTCTTTTCTAATTCTGCAGGCTCCTAATTCTGGAAAACTTTGAAGATGCCCTCTTAAATATATCAGCAAATAGTCCTTATATTCCTTACTTGGCATGTGTGAGAAATGTGACTGACAGTTTGGCCAGAGGTTCACCAGGTAATACTGTTCTTAACAGTCAAAATGCTGCTCATGGTTTCTACCTCTGTTCTAAAGTAGTGAGTTTTTGAGGCATTTGCTTACACAGGAAAGAAAATTTGTAAAATCTTAGTTTCCATATGCATCAGTTTCAGTCTGGTGATTTGATATACAAAGGGAATGTCTTGTCATAATATCATATTATTCTGTTGCTGCTGCTAGCACTAGCTGGCCACCTGGACAAACTTTAATACATAATGGCCATATAATGGATAATATGATAATGGCCACTGGGACAAATTTTCCAAGTGTCCAGAGTCATTAGAGGTTCATATGACCCTTCATGACATTTCTATGCTCTTAATAATCTTAGCTGTTAAAAAATGTTAAGGAATGATAATATAGAGTTCTAAAAGCGGGTGTAAATTACATAAACAAAGGCATTTTTGTGGCAGACTACTTTTATTTTCTACCCTTACACACTTTATTTGCAATTTTCTGCCTACATGGGCAACCATAAAGATTATATTTAATCAAATGTTTCTTTTTTTTGAGAGAAAAGACCTACTTTCTCACATTTTCTAGGACACACACATTCTTTTTTCCTACACCAAAAATAGTTTTCTGAGAGTTAATGGCAAGCAAATAGCACAACAAATATTTAAGTCCAGACTTTGTTTACAAGGTATGAATTAATCAAGGTTGGAAAGGCATATTTATATCACAGTGATTCTATAACCTATTCTTTCCAAGATACTTCAACTTAATAGTATATCCAAAAGTCAGGAATGAAAGCATAGTCAGTTCACAAAGAGCCAAAACTATGGAGCACCTTTGCTAGAAATATTTTTATCTCTAAGCTGATATTTTTAAAATAATGAACTCTGTTGTCCCCATGGTTCAAATAAAGGTTAAATTTTCATTCATCTTATGTTTGTATTGAGGTAGGCTATTATCTTAGGAAAAATTTAGTAATAAGTCAGGATAGAGGTGTCTTTCAAACTGGTTTCCTAAATGACCTTGCAATTCACATAAAGTAACTCTTCTCCCTTCCTTTACAGAAAATCTAAGACTCCTGCAGTCCACAATACGATTTAAAAAATCTTTTCTTCGCAATGGTTCCTATGAAGATTACTTTCCTCCAGTTCCTGAAGTCCTAAAATCAAAAGTAAGCCATGAAAGTAAAAAAAAAACAAAAAACAAAAAAAAAAACAAAAAGACAAAACAAACAAAAAAAAAACCTTAACACTTCTCATAATATTTGGCAAGATACACTTTTAAGTTTTAAATCTGATCTTTGTAAATAATGATGCTATTTTAACTCTAGATTTATAATGGCCCTACTTACGACTCTAGAAAAATGGTGACAAAAGAGTTTATGGCTGGATGCCGTGGCTCATGCCTGTAATTCCAGCTACTCAGGAGGCCGAGGTGGGAAGAATCACTTAAGACCAGGAGTTTGAGGCTGCAGTCAGCTGTTGTCACACTGTGCTCCAGCCTAAGTGACAGTGTGAGACCCTGTCTTTAAAAAGAAAGTTTTTAAAGAGTTTGATGTTATATAATGGTATTTTTTTTTAATCAGTGGAGATCTCGGCATGAAATGACCCAAAAGAGCCTAATTAGAGTATGCACATTTATAAGGGAATGGCTAACAATAGTTATCATATTAAACTTCATAATTTGAAAGAGATTTGAAAAAGGATTCGTAATAATAATTTCTAATTTGAGATGTCTTGTTTTAAAATTTGTAAAAGTAGATTTTGAAAGCTGATGTTTTAGATTTCACAGCATACAAAAATCTCAAAATGTGGTTCACCCTACTTTTATTGTTGTCATCAGAAGCTAAAATGAATAATTTATATTAAAATTTATGATACTAGAGAATGTGGGAAAAGGCAACCAAAAAATATATAACTGTATGTGGGAATAACTTTATGCTTATTTGTCTATTATTCTTTATCTCATGCATATAGTATACAGGTTATCATGAAATTTAGTTTATTTTTTAAATAACCCTATTAAAATTTGAAAGCTGTATTCCTAGAAAGAATAGCTATTTAATTGGATTTACATAGTCAGGAATAAAGTGAAATTAGAACTGGTTTATTCAGGGCAAGCAAGATGACTTGTATAGTGAACATGGTATAATTAAGCAGGCATGCAAAACATTATGTCCATGTATATTACAAATAAATGTACTACTTACCATTACCTACATTTTAGCCCTAGTCTTCTACATGCATCAAAATTTCTAATATACTTAATTTAGCATTATCTTAATTTGTTTGTGCAAATGAGAAGGAAATTGTGCATTCATCTGGAAAATTCCTACTCATCCCTCAAGGACAAGTTTAAATACCACTTCTTCGATAATATTAGAGTATCACCTTTCTTGCTGTTTTTCAGCCAGGATAATGACTTTTTCTTCTGTGCTCCTATAATATTTATCCGTTCATTTTTTTATCAATTATATGTACTCCCATAATACTAATCTATTTATTTGTAAGACATAGCCTCTTACCCCAAAGTGCTTATTGTCAATCCATTGGAGGAGATGGAAAAGCAGACCAACAATTGTAATACAGTGAGATAAGTGTTGTGATAGGTGGATAGAGGCTTCTGTGCATGGAGGCGGGATATCTAACATGGATTGTAAGGGATAGAGGTGGAGAGAAGAAATTCTGTAGAGAAAATAATGCTTTCTCTGAGTTTTGAAGGCTGCATAGAATTAGGTTAGTTGTGCATTCTAGACATAGAGTCCTGAGTTTAAGAAGATAGAGGCGTGAACTTGAAAGACAGGTATAGGGGTATCTGCAGTCATGTGTTCAGCTGGAACAGAAGATGCCCATGTGATAGGCAGAAAACAGGGCTGCAGGGTGAGGCTGAGCCTAGATCCTGACTTCCTTGTCAAGGAATTTGAATTTGATCATGAAAGTTGTAAATTTGAAGAAGGTGAAATTTGCATTTTAGAAAGAGACATCTCTAATGAGATGACATCTCCAGTGACAGTGAGATATCTGGCCTTTGGAACTTATTACTTGGCATTATAATTTGTTGCATATGTCAGGTCTGTTTTCCTCACTAGAGTTTAAGCTGATGAAATTATGCTTTCATCACCCCTAAAGCCCCACATAGTAGGAGCTTAAGGCTTGATTCATGAATGTATGAAAAAGTGAGGGTGTTAAAGTAGAGCACTGAGAATGTAATCATGCTCCCTGGGCAATTACAGTTCTTGACTTAGAAAGTCACCAGGAAGCACATAATATACACTAGGGAAATGGAAACACCACAGTCTCAACCATTTATACTAATAGGATGGGACTGGGGCTAAAAATAATTTAAAACATCATCCCCAATTTGAATATAATGCTCTCCTTCAGGGTTACATTATGGAAAAAGTTCTAGAAGCCACAGAAGTGGAAATAAACTACACTCGTTTCTTTTGAGTAGAAAATCTATCATCATTTATAACAAGCATGGCTGTTATTTGAAATTGACGGGACCCATTCAGTCCTAGACCACAAGCTCCATGAGGAATATTGCCAGGTCTGTTCCTTTACCATTGCATCCCCAGCACCTGGCATAGGGTATGACACATGGGAAACACTCAGTACCTATCACTGAAAGAATGAAGACAAACTCCTAGAGTTTCACAGTTACTGATGCTCTTACTCCCCTGCTTTGTTCACCCTGATAATTAGTATCATGCTTGTGACCATCAGTTAGGGCACACCCAATCTAACGCTTTATTCATGATATTCCTAAGATAGTGGTGAACCCTGGCATTCATTGGTGACTTTTCCCAGCTTTTTCTCCTTGCCGGAACATTCTGCTCTTCTTGAACTTTTGTGTTTTCTCCTCCCTTCATTGTTTTATCTTTTTTCTTTCCAGTTGCTTTGATGGGAAGAATAACTTCCTGATTAGGGAGCTATGCATAAAGTGGGTGTTCCTGTATTGGGCAGAAATACAAATAACACAATATTTTTATTGTAAAACCTGTAAAATTTTAAATAGACTCATTTTTCCCTCTATTTACCCACCAAGAGCTCAGGAATATTGCTGCTTTATCATTTTATGCCCATTGCTATTGTGAGGTCAGTACCATCATGTCACTTACGATTCTGATTCAGATACATTTGAAAAGCATCAGGCAGTGGAGAATTCAGTCACAGCTGGAAATGGCATTAGTCATCCGTTGTTCTATTTTAAACCTGAACTTTTACTCGTGATAAAAGAGAGAAGGGCTCTACATGAAGCTTTGGCAAATCTGCAATCTGAAGTTGACACATACTTTTGAAGAAAGAATTCTAATTCACTGAATTTATGTTGATGATTAATGATCTGTGAAGCTTCTAGAACTTTAATGCCTGTATTGTTCTCAGAATAAAGCAGTAAGTAATAACAAAGACAAAATGACCATAATGTTGCTCCTTGGTGGATATGCTTCTCAATGCCTTCCACATTATTGGCCCTGAATTATACTTTTATTTCAGAGAACCAAGCCTATTAGCCACAGTGTGGCTAGATTTCCAATGTCCTCTTCTATAACTTTTATCTCACTAAGCCAAGACTATACTATATGGAACTTTGCTGGTTTCCCACATATGTACACCAAACTTATAATTAAAAAACATATTTCAGTATCTACTGGGTAAAAGTCATTCAAATGTACAACACCCTCAAAGCTCAATTAAAACAAATATATTAGCCCAACAGAATTTATCTTTTTATTTAATAAATTACCACAAAAAACTCCCTGGAGAATGTAATATAGAGGCTTCACTCCATTTATTACAGGTTTAATCATATCTAGTAGCTGGAAAATCAAAAGAAAGACTAGAGTGGCAAATGCAGTTATAGGTGGTACAGTGATTGGGTCTATTCCAGAATGGAAAATCTCTCATAGCAATAACACTAGTAAGTAGAATTTTTGTACATATAAACCTATTTTTGAATAGTTCAAACCCAGAGGTCAACTATAATATTAAGTACAATGGAAAATAGACCAATGATATTTACTATCTAAGATGACCAACATTTAATTGCTATAACTACGTGTAGTTATAAACCTCTCATTAAAGACATATCATTGTGCCTTTCTTATTTGATAATATAGAAATAAATATTCCCAAACATTTGCCGGTACCATAAAATACTTCATTTTGGTCAAACTGTAACTTCTGATTAGAAACTGAGCTGCAATGAATGACACATAGGATGTCATGTTTCTTAGGATGTTGTTCCAATTTATTTCCCTTCTTAAAAGAAACAGCTCTAGGGTAGCTTCCAAGCACAATAGAATTTTCTTTCCCAGGGGCACATATTATTTTTTCCCCAGGATGTAGGGCATGGAATATATCCTCAGAACACATAGAACACAGTGAACTGATAGTGAGAGGAATATCATTGACAGGATAGGAAATTATTTGATTTTCATTTTCCTCTTTTTCCTCCGGGTGTGGGATTTTTAAACCCCTTTAAGCACTTTTTAAAGCACTTTGAAAGACAAAAACACCGAGTATCCTGTAATACCTAAGAGAGAAAATAACGTCAATAACGGTGCAGACACTTCCAAAAAATCAGGCGTCTTCTCGTCCATAGTTTAAATACAGTCTTATTAGAATGAATGTGATCTTCATGCTGCAGTTCAAGAAAGGCTTTTAAAATTTTTTGTTAACCTTTAAAAATTGTCGACTGGCCACAGTGGCTCACATCTGTAATTCCAACACTCAGAGAGGCTGAGGCCGGCAGATGGCTTCAGCCCAAGAGTGAGACCAGCCAGGGCAACAAGGTGAAACCCTGTTTCTACAAAAAATACAAAACATTAGCCAGGAATGCAGGTATATGCCTGTAGTCCCAGCTACTTACTCGAGAGGCTAAGGTGAGAGGATCACCTGAGCCTGGAGGTCGAGGTTGCAGTGAGCTGTGATCGTGCCAATGTACTCCATTGTTTCCACAAGAAATACAAAAAATTAGCCAGGAGTGCAGGTATATGCCTGTAGTCCTAGCTACTTACTCAAGAGGGTAAGGTGGGAGGATCACCTGAGCCTGGAGGCCGAGGTTGCAGTGAGCTGTGATCGTGCCAATGTACTCCAGCCTGCGTGACAGAGTGAGACCCTGTCTCAAAAAATAAAAATAAAAATAAGAATTGTGGTAAAATAAACATAACATTTACTATCTTAACCATTTTTAACTATATAGTGCAGTTGTGTTGAGTACATTCACATTGTTGTACAACTAATCTCCAGAACTCATTTCATCTTGTAAAACTGAAACTCCATATTCATTAAACAACTCCTCATCTTCTACTTCCCCAGCCCCTAACAACCCACATTTTGCTTCTGTCGCTATGAATTTGACAACTCTAGGTACCTCATCATATAAGTGGAATCATATAGTATTAGACCATTCACCTTTCATTTTCGAGACTGGCTTATTTCACTTAGCATAGTATCCTCAAGGTTCATTCATGTTATGGCCTGTGTCAGAATTTCTTTCCTTTTTAAGGTTTAATAATATACCACTCTGTGTGTGTGTGTGTGTGTGTGCATACATTCCCACCAACAGTGCACAAGGGTTATAATTTCTCCACATCTTCTCCAACACTTGTTATTTTGTTTTTTTTTTTAAATAGTAGTCATCTTAATGGGTGTGAGAAAGAAATACTTTTTAAACGTTCTAAAACAAACTTGCTTTTTATCTGCCCTTACATATGATTTAAAATATAAATCAAAATATAAAATTAGTCAAAGTATTTGTGAGTTAAGCTGGATAAAACTAAACTCCATTTTTTAAACCTGTGACTCCACAGAGAAAGACAGGTCTAATAGGCCCAAAAGTTTTACCAGGTTCTTACGAGAACAATAAACTCAAATGACAGACGGTAGTACTTCATAATAAAACTAACGCCAAATGCCAACTAACCACATACATAGGCAGAATGTTTTTCTTAAAGGAAATCAATTGTGGTTGCTTATTATCAACTACTATATATGTAGAAAAATGTAACTAATCTATTTCCCACTCTTTTCCCTTTTTGGAAAGCTGTCTCAACTTCGAAACTTGACCGAACTTCTTTGTGAATCTGAAACTTTCAGTTTGATAGAGAAGTCATGCCAGCTCTCTGATATGAGCTTTGGGAGCCTGTGTGAAGAAAGTGAGTTTGATCTGCAACTCCTCGAAGCGGCAGAGCTGGGCACCGAAATAGCAGCCAGCTTACTGTACCATGACAATGTCATATCTAAAAAAGTGAGAGATTTGCTGACTGGAGATCCAAGCAAAATTAATTTAAATATGGATCAGTAAGTTTTTCCATTGTCTTCTTCCTTGGTGAAATCTCTTTCAAAATATTGAAATACTTAGTTGAATTTCTTCTTTTCTGTTTTGTTCCAGGTTTCTAGAACAGGCACTGCAAATGAATTACTTGGAAAATATCACTCAGTTAATACCGATCATAGAAGCCATGCTGCATGTCAATAACAGTGCAGATGCTTCTGAAAAGCCAGGTGTTTCCCCATCCACATTTTAAATCTTGTCTTATTAGAATGCATGTGATTCTCACGCTGCAGTTTAAGAAAGCTTTTTTGAAGTTCCCAACCAAACTCGCTTTGCTATCTGCCCTTACACATGAGAAACCTGAAGCATTCAAATATGGTTACTTGTCTAAAGTAAACACACAGAAAGCTAGCAGAGAATGAAACAGGGAAATCTGATTTCACAGCAAAAAGATCTTCAAAAGTTTAACTAGTTAGACCATTCACCTTTCGTTTCTCTGATATATTAAAGTTCATCCCATAGTCAGCTGCAAGGGCAACAATGAAATTTACTTGCTTCTGTGAAAATAACCTGATGGAAAAAAACCAAAAGGATGCACTGTTGTCTACAGAAATCTCAATTCAGAACTTTCTATTAGTATTCCAAGCATGAGGTATCATGCAATACGTTTCTTCTTTGCATAATTCCTCAATACTGAAAGGAAAGGCATTCAGAATTTTGGACAACGGGCAGCCACAAAATTGGAATGGCACTAGATTGAAAAATAAAAAAAAGATATATTTGCATGAAGGATACTTAGATGGAAAGGCATTTGCAGGATGATTATTACAATCTGCTAAAATCTAAATATTGTTTATTGTGCCATAAATGACCCAGAAATAAAAGAATTATAATCACCGTCCTAAAAGAGTTTGAAGTTAAACACGTTCTATTTAAAAGTGAGATAATGATTGTAAAAACCCTTTATAACTGTAGTGTGACTGTAGTTAAAGAAAAATGCTCTGTGGCATTATGTGTGGATTTATCAAACTTTGTCCTAAATTGACAATATTACATGATCCCAGATTAAAAAAACATATTGAATCTGTGTGATATTTTAAATCAAATGGAGAGATATTTATTTAGTGCATTATGTGATCAAAATCTGTGAGGAAAGCATATTTTCCTTAAATAAACCTTGACTTGTAGATACCTAAGGAAAATTTATAACTCAGAGCAATCTGTTACCTCGGGTTTATGATATAATAATAAGAACAAATCTAAATCAGATAGAAATAGATCCTAAATATGCAACGTTTGCCAAAACTGGGAGACATCTGCCCCTGAGAAGGCACGTATGTCTTAGTCTAGAAGGTTTCTCTATGTTAGTCATACTAAAAAGAGTGACCTGACAAACCAACATGGGTTTTCTTTTTACATTTTTCTTCTTGCAGGTCAGTTACTAGAAATGTTTAAAAATGTTGAAGAGCTGAAAGAAGATTTAAGGAGAACAACAGGAATGTCCAACAGGACTATTGACAAGTTGCTGGCCATTCCCATCCCTGATAATAGAGCTGAGGTGGGGTGTCATGTGTTTGTACTTACATGCAGTTCTTAGAAATTTAAATAGCATTTAGCATTTGTTGAGCGCTTACCAGTTAAACACTGAGAAGTTGCATGCTAATCTGGTGAATTTTCTATGCAAGTGATAAACCTGGAGGCCTCATTAAAGATAGAAGAAAAATTCTGAAGCAAGAATTTTATCACTATGTGTCCCTTTTCTCTTTATTTTTCCTTGTCCTTTCCCATGCCCCATTTGTTCTTTCCTTTTCCTTACCCCCAGATGGCTTCCTCAATCAATGAGCTTGCAGTGAGCTGAGATCGCACCACTGCACTCCAGCCTGGGCGACAGAGCGAGACTCCGTCTCAAAAAAAAAAAAAAAAAAGAATTATATTCACTGTCGCAATTACATTGTATGAGGTGAATTTGTACCTACTCAAATGCTATCAAAGTCAAACTTCAGTAACCTAATTGGGGGAAAATGTATGGAGACTACTTACTATTGCTTGCAACTAAAATTAAAATGGATATCCATTTTTACTTTTTAAAAGTCGTACAGCAAGACATAGCATATACAATAGATGTGGTCAAGGGAACTAAGGGTAAGTTTGTGGTTGTAGTAAATATTTTTTGATGTGAAAATGAATAATGTCATTTCTTCATATGCTGGTAATAGGGTTTTCCACTCAAAATGTCTTATCTTTTATTCTTTTTCCAAGTCCATTGTCTGGAAGTGTCATGGAAATTTTCCAAAAGAGCTGCAGAGCTTAAGGCCTCATCCATTCAAACCTTATGTGTGACAGAGTGTGTCATTTCTAAGCACAGCCCAGTTATTTTCCAATATTGGATAGTTTCTAAAAAGCCTTTAAGGTTCCCCTTAAAAAATATTGCAGCTATCTCTTGTCATTTTAATTGGTTCCCCCATACAAAAATTAAAACAGCTTTGCCTTTACTGTACTAGTAAATAATATTCATTGATCTTTTCTCTTTAATCTCACCTTTTGATTATTTGATCCTAAGATATAATTTCAGCAATCAAGTTTTTGGCTTCTATAGAGCAGGTTCATTTTAGTAAATAAAACGTGTAAATGGAGAGTCTACATTCTTATTACTTTCAAGAGGAAAGAGTGAAAAGTTCCTGTGGCCTTGAATGTTATACGCTTTTCTCTTTATTTCAACTCGGTGGCAATAAAGATGACATCTTATTTTGCGTAATCATACCTCACTATCTACAGGAGCATTACTGTTCAAGATGGGTAATTCACATGATTGTAGGATCTGAAACTCTTTTTCTTTGCTTTACATCTCTGGACCCACAGAGTATATTGCCTAAGATTTTAATTTTGAATGATTACAAAAATTAAATGCAATTTGAATTTATTAAGAGTGAGATTTTAAAGGGAGCAAAGTCTTTTTTTTTTTTTTTTTTTTTTTTTTTTTTTTGAGACAGAGTCATGGTCTGTTGCCCAGGCTGGAGTGCAGTGGTACAATCTCCGCTCACTGCAAGCTCCGCCTCCCGGGTTCTCACCATTCTCCTGCCTCAGCCTCCCGAGTAGCTGGGACTACAGGCACCCGCCACCACGCCCGGCTAATTTTTTGTATTTTTAGTAGAGACGGGGTTTCACCGTGTTAGCCAGGATGGTCTTGATTTCCTGACCTCGTGATCCGCCTGCCTCGGCCTCCCAAAGTGCTGGGATTAGAGGCGTGAGCCACCGCGCCCAGCCAGGGAGCAAAGTCTTAAACTAACGTTTTCCCCAAACTTACTCCAAACCACTTGTCTTTCTTGGTATCATCATTCACCCAGCTGTTCAGGCAAGAAATCCAGGGGCCATCCTGAATGTCTCCTTGTCTCTTTTTTCCCCATCTTTTTTCTTTTATTTTTGAGACAGAGTCTCACCCTGTCTCCCAGGCTGGAGTGCAATGGCGCAATCTCAGCTCACTGCAACCTCCACCTCCAGGGTTCACGTCATTCTCCTGCCTCCGCCTCCCGAGTAGCTGGTATTACAGGCGCCCGCCACCACGCCCGGCTAATTTATTGTATCTTTAGTAGAGACGGGGTTTCACCATGTTGGCCAGGCTGGTCTCGAACTCCTGACCTCGTGATCCACCCGCCTCAGCCTCCCAAAGTGCTGGGATTACAGGCGTGAGCCACCGCGCCCGGCCTCCCATCTTATTTCTTAAGTGAACTATTAATTCTCTATTGTCTTATTAATAGTAATTAGTGCTTTAGATGAAAAGTTGTTTGATTCTTGAGGACCTTTTGTTTTAGTTTAAAATTTAGAGTATACAGAAAACCTCACAAAATGAACAGTTGACTCTCGAATGATTCACAGTTGAAATATTTTTCTTCCTCCATTTGCAGATTATTTCTCAGGTGTTCTGGCTGCATTCCTGTGATACTAATATCACCACTCCCAAACTAGAAGATGCAATGAAAGAATTCTGCAACCTGTCTCTTTCAGAGAGATCCCGGCAGTCTTACCTCATCGGACTCACCCTTCTGCACTACTTAAACATTTACAACTTCACATACAAGGCAAGTTGCTGTTGGTTAAATATGTTTATATTCATGGTTTATATAAAACTATTTAATTATACATTTATGTTCTCTGATACTATGAGGGATGAGATCCATTTATTCGGCTTTTGGAATTATTGCATTATGTTAAAGCTAAATGCAACCTTAGAGATCATTTATTGCAATTTTGCACGTTTTATAGATGTGGAAACTGATATTATTCCTTACTAACTCTCGGTTTGTGTATCAGAGACCAATTATTAAATTTAATATGTACTGTTACTGTGAAATACAAATGTTGTATTTCAAAAGTGTTAAATGCAAATGTTGCAATTATTATTTTTTTAACAGTGAACAGACATGAAGTTGGTAGGGTTAAAAAAGATTAGAAAAAAGGGGTTTCTTAATTAAAAATAGGCTTTTTTTGGCGTTCTTTAAAAAAAAATTTCCTGTTTCCTTCATCAATTTAGATAGAGGCTACCATTACATACCCAGAAGGAAAAACAAATGGTTGTTATTAGAGCTTAGTAAAGTCAGCATTGACTTCATCTTGCAATATGCAGATGCTCTATGAGTACTTATTTACTAAATAACCGAAAGAAAAATATAAACATAGGAAAATTAAGCACCTATGTTCACCCAAATTTCACTTGGGTCAAAAATATTTACATGTTCTTAAAAACACTGAAGAATTATCCTTCTCTGTAGTAAACACAACCAAAAGGAAATAGCTGACATATTTTTGAGACATAGCCACAGGGATAAAAATGTTTTGGACTAGTTATAAATAATTCTGCTCTGAGTTACTGTCATCTCATGCCTATATTTCTGCAGTGGTCTCCTAACCATATCCCTTGCTTCCACACCTACCCTCTACCCCTCTCCCTAGCACCTTGCAAGCAGCCTGACTGATCCTTTTAAAACTTAAAGTCTCATTATATCACCCTTCTGCTCAAAACTTTCCAGTGGATCTCCATTTGATTCAAGTAAACCCCCAAATTTTACAAGGGCCTTATGATCTGCACAATGATTCCTCATCACTAAAATCTCATTTCTTACTTGGCTACTTTCTGGACCCTGGCTCCAGAGTTGCTGTGTGGCACAACTCCAGAGACAACCCTTCACATGATTTGCAAGGCTATTTTTTTTTTTGACTTTGCTTAACATTGACCTTTTCAGTAAGGTCTACCCTGACCACCCTATTTAAAATGCAACCAATGCTACCTACAGCACTCTCAAATCCCCTTTTCCTATTCTGGCTTCTGTTTTGCTTCCAGCCAACTATATATTTTATTAAATTTTCATTTTTAAACCTTTTTTTTTTTTTGAGTCAGAGTCTTTCTCTGCCACCCAGACTGGAGCGCAGTTGTGCCATCTCGGCTCACTGCAGCCTCCACCTCCTGGTTTCAGGCAATTCTTGTGCTTCAGCCTCCTGAGTAGCTGGGATTACAAATGTGTGCTACCACACCCGGCTAATTTTTGTATTTTTAATAGGGATGGGGTTGTATCATGTTGGCCAGGCTGGTCTTGAACTCCTGACCTCAAGTGATCCTCACACCTTGGCCTCCCAAAGTGCTGGGATTACAGGAGTGAGCCATCGTGCTTCGCCCATTTTTAAAATGTATTTGCCGTTTGCACCACTAGTATGTTAGTTCCACAAGGGCCTCTTTGTTCACTGAAATATTTTAAATGCAAAGAACAGTGTCTGGCCCATAGGGAAATGAAGCAAATACCCATTAACTCAGCCAATGGTTATTTTACATAAACTATAACCTACAATGCATATGACATGAAATTACTATTATTACTTTGCCTAAAATTTTAACTCTAATTTTATAATGCCTCTACAGAGCAGATATCAAACTAAATATTTGCTGTTGAGTCTAGCCGTTAAACGTCGGCATGCCAATTTATTTCACGTTAATGTGGGAATGCCTAGAATTCTGGCAGAACTGCAATAGAAAATAGAAAAAAATGTTGGTTCTGATTTTCAAAATATGATTGGAATCAGGAGCTCTGCTATTGAGGTAACCATATCTTCATGACTGAGAGATGGGCGGTGTGGGAGATATGAACACAAAGCTACCTCTCTAACTGAATCTTGTGCTCAAAATCTTGGTCTTTGACTTCCTTAGAAATATCACAGGTTTTCTCTCAGGGACCTCAAACAGCTTTGCCCCTCTGCCTATGCCCTTCCTCTTCTTGTTCTTCCAATGGTATGTTCTTTCTCATTCTTTGAGATTTTGCTTTGAAAAGGTCTCCTTTGATTTCGTAGCTAAACACTCCCTACCTTCTCATATGCCCCAGCCTTTGGTTCATTGGCTTGTTTGATATCTGTTCCTCCTAATAGATCAAAGTTCTGTGAGTACCGAGATGGTGCCAGCTTCAGCACCACTGCATAGCCATCACCTCACCCAGTGCTGGGAACACAGCAGGCACTCAATTCATGTTCCTGAATAAATGAAATAAGAGGATAAAAAAATTACATTAAAATTTTAAAACATTTTCAATGTTTCTTCTTGTAGCACATAAGCATTATGGGATTAAAATGACTTAGCCTGATAAATCATGTAAGCCTTTTGACAGTTTTATTTTAATTTTTAGGTGCATATTATATCATTTTTGAGCAATAGTATACATGAAGAAATATGTAGTTGACATTTGCCTTTATGACTTATAAAATCATCTATTTTTGCAACTTTATTGAGGTATTATTTATATACCATAAAAATCACTCATTTTTCGTGATTAACTCAATGATTTTTTTAGTAAATATACAGAATTGTGCAACTATTACCACAATCTAATTTTAGGACATTTCCATTACTTCGGAAGGAAACCTCATGTCTATTTGCAGTTACGTCTCATTTCAATCTCTAGCCCAAGCAACTTCTAATCTATTTTCTGTCTCTGTAGATTTGCCTTTTTAAAAAGATATTACATATAAATTGAATCATGAAATATGTGGTCTTTTTGCCTGGCTTCATTCACTTATTCACTTAATATAATTTTTTTTGTTTCATACATATTGTACATGTATCAGTATTTCATTTCCTTTTATTGCCAAATAGTATTCCATTTTAAGAATATATACTTTGTCCACTCACCTGGATTGTTTTCCCTTTTTGGCTATCGTGAATAATGCTGCTATAAACATTCACATACAAATCTTTGTGTGGACATGTTTTCACTTCTCTTAGGTAAACGCCCAGGAATGGAATTGTCAGGTTGAGTGTTAAATTTACATTTAACTATTTAATAAACTTCAAAAATGTTTTCCAAAGTGGCTGTACCTTTCTACAACCTTACCAACAATGCATGAGGATTCAATTTTTCCACATAAAGCATTTATTTTTATTCTGTTTCTGTTAGGTGTTTTTCCCGAGGAAAGATCAAAAGCCAGTAGAAAAGATGATGGAGCTCTTCATAAGACTAAAAGAGATTCTCAATCAGATGGCTTCTGGCACACATCCGCTGCTAGACAAAATGAGATCCCTGAAGCAAATGCATCTGCCCAGAAGTGTTCCATTAACACAGGTAGCAAAGTCACCCAGTAATGTTCTTGTTGAAAAATGCCTTCTGTCATATTGAGTAGTTATAATACATTCAGCTTCAATCGTAGTACATTGAAAAAAAAAAAAACAACACCTACAAGAAAACTCTTCTACCTAGCAACACTTTTTGCCACTTTAATTAGTGAAGTTTATTGTTCTTCATTTACATTTGGAATAAACATATAAAAGGAATTATGGAAACTGTAAGGATACTCTAAGTATTATCAGGTTCTCTTTCTCTGTTGTTTTCAGTAGCTTCTAAAGCTCATATAGTGTCAATAAATTGTGGATTTTTGTCTCACAGGCAATGTACAGAAGCAACCGAATGAACACACCACAAGGATCATTTAGCACCATCTCCCAAGCATTATGTTCTCAAGGAATTACCACTGAATATTTAACTGCCATGCTGCCCTCTTCCCAGAGGCCAAAAGGCAACCACACCAAGGATTTTTTGACTTATAAATTAACTAAAGAGCAAATTGCTTCAAAATATGGAATTCCCATAAATTCCAGTGAGTATACTTTAAAATAAGCATGACAGTTGCCCTTAATGACAATAAGAATACTGTCTATTCTGTCTTAGTTTTTTATGATAAATGAAGTATTAATTTTCCCCAAGAATAAAAATAGAAAATAATTATACAGCACTTACCACATGTCAAGAATGTTATATACATTAACTCATCTTAGTATGGGGAAGTGGAGTACAAGGAGGGTAAGTAACCTGGCCAGTGTCGCTCAACTTGGAAGTGCCTGAGCTGTCATTTGAACCCAGGTACTCTGCTACAAAGACTATCCTCTTAACTACAATACTACACTTAGATTTTGTCAGTCATCACTGAGCCTTCTAGACAATATAAAAACTTGCCTTAAATCTGTTTGGGTTGAAATTTTTTTCCTAACTTTCTAGAATTAGAATTTTTATCACACATGGTAGAGTTGCATGACTGCAGCAGAACCGTAAATGTCTCGTGGCACATCAAAACCATTTACTTGATCTATAAACTTGGAGATGCAAAATGTGATGAGTGAGCTCATTCAAATAATATATGGGTGTTTAGTATAGCAACTGGATTCATTTATTCATCTTTTTATTCATTCACCAAGCATTTATTGAACAGCTCTTATGTATCTGGTACTATCCTAGTGGTTGGTTTTTGTGTATTTTTTTCAAAGGTAAATGCTGGGAAATGAATCTGTTAGCCATTCTGAAATGTGGCTTTCACGTTTTCTATTTCCTCCTGGCAAAATGCCATCACTTACTCTGGGCTTGCTTATTGGGTTAAACTTTCTCACCTAAAAAAGATTGGTTACTGTGCTTTCTTACTTTGACACCAGATGCCTCACATCTGTTAATAATATAGGAAGTACTAGAGCATGTATTTTTGGGTGTGATAAGAATAATCTCTGTCAATTTGCCATGTGGAAATGGATTTGAAGTACATCTATTAAATGGTTTTATTTCACTTTTTCCTTCCAGCACCATTTTGCTTCTCCCTTTATAAAGACATCATTAACATGCCCGCTGGACCTGTGATTTGGGCTTTCTTGAAACCTATGTTGTTGGGAAGAATTTTGTATGCACCATATAACCCAGTCACAAAGGCAATAATGGAAAAGGTTTGACCATTATAACTCAGTTTCTATTTTGACTATTAAGATGTTTTTTAAAGTAGTCAACTTCCAAATTTACTTTAGCTGACTGATTTCTTTCTATCTTACCTACTATTATTATTATCCTTGGCTTTCTGAAACTATTAGTAAAATTCTCAACTTCTGCCCTGGATATGTGCAAGCAGTATAGATTGGGTGGGAGCCCTTTGAAGAGAAATGAACCATGTTAACATTTGAGAATGAGGTTAGTTGAAGCAAGACCTCAGATTTTTCCATTTATCTCAAAAAGCAGAAAAGTCCTCTGCAACTGGTGTCTAACTTTCAAAGTATGTAAAAATTATTGTACTAGAAAAAGTAATATTGAGCATTATATAACTAGTTGGAACAAAAACAATCCCTGAAGTATAGATTCTTGGCTTCATATTTAGTTGTACAATTTAACGTCTCATTTATATAGAAGATAGATGTCGAATAAGACAACATTATTAACTATACTTACCATTTACTTCATTTAACCATAATAGTATTTCCCTCTCACTTTAAAGTTGGCTTTAATTATTTGAATTTATAAACCTAGTACTTTTAAAATGACGGAGCTAAAGTAAAAGAAAAATCTCTGTTTTACCATTACTTGGCCATTCAACTATAATTATATGAACATAACATTATTTTTATATGCTACAGAATAATGGACAGCGATCATTATTATCAAAGAATATTCAATTTAATCTCTGTCCATTTTTATAAAAACTGTGATTTAATACCTTATTTGCTTTACTGACTATATATTCCTATGTAGTTTTGCATAAATTGAGTTATATATGAACTTTGTTTTTCAATTTAAATAAACAATTATTTGTTGATTTTTTTTAACTTTTATTTTAAGTTCAGGGTTACAAGTGCAGGTTTGTTACACAGGTACACTTCTGTCATGGGGGTTTGCTGTACAGATTATTTTATCACCCAGGTATTAAGCCTAGTACCCATTAGTTATTTTTCCTGATCCTTTTCCTCCTCCCACCCTCCACCCTTCTGTTCCCCTCTCTATGTCCATGTGTTCTCATCATTTAACTCCTGCTTATAAGTGAGAGCGTGTGGTTTTTGGTTTTCTATTCCTGTGTTGGTTTGCTAAGGATAATGGCCTCCAGCTCCATCCCTGTCTCTGCAAAGGGCATGCTCTCATTCTTTTTTATGGTTGTGTGGTATCCCATGGTGCACATGTACCACATTTTCTCTATCCAATCTATCATTGTTAGGGATGTAGGTTGATTCAGTGTCTTTGCTGTTGTGAATAGGGTTGTGATGAACATATGCATGCATGCATCTTTATAATAGAATGACCTATATTCCCTTGGATATATACTCAGTAATGGGATTGCTGAGTCGAATGGTATTTCTGTCTTTAGGTCTTTGAGGAATTGCTACACTGTCTTCCACAATGGCTGAACTAATTTACACTCCCACCAACAATGTATAAGTGTTCCTTTTTCTTCACAACCTCAGCAGCATATGAGCTTATGTTTTAAGCGTGGTCTTTTTTTTTCCCCTTTTTGTATTTGGTTCTCACCTCCCCTTTTCCTCTTCTCTTGATCCTATTCTTCCTTTCATATAAACTAATGTATGTTAGCATTCATATATGCATCTTCCTATAATTTATTCTATTACTCCAATCCTTTATAGATTATTATACCACATATATTCATAAGCAGAGTTCTTTGAGGTCACTGCATTAAAATGATACTGCATTTTAATCCTTTTTTATATATAGTTTTTCTCATACAAGAATACATTGTGAAAATTTTTCCAACTCAATAGGTATAATTTAATTCATTCTTTTTAGAGATTGCACATTTTTTTTTATAACACCGAATTTACTCATCCAATCATCAGGTGTTGGGCATTAATTTTGTTTCCAATGTTTTGTGTGTGTGTGTGTGTGTTTTTCTTGCTAATATAAACAATGTAGCAATAAATATTCTTGTGTATCGGTTTTATGTAGCAGTATTTTTATTTCAATAAGATGAATGTTCAGAATTGAGGGGTTGAAGGATATTGCATTTTATTTTAATAGCCATTGTCAAATTGCTTTCCAAAAACCTCTAACATCTATTCTCAGCAGCAATACGTGAGAATATCCTTCTGCTATCCTCGAACTAGGATGTTTCTTTAATAGTAAAGTTAAGTGTGTCGTTGGTGAAAATGAAAAACTGGTAAGAACTCCAGAAGTCAGGCTTTCATTTTGGCTATAAACTCACTCTGGACATGAATCAAACCCTAAATTATCCAGAATTTTTATAAATGAACTTGACCCTATGAAAGCTGTCATTTGAAACTTTTGACCATGTGGGAAATTTCTGACAATTGTTTGTACTAACTTCATGTTTTAGAACTGTCTTTTGAAGTTACGTAACAAAACAATCTTAAGATACCTTGTTAAAATATAGACAAAATACTAATGGATCACACTTCTTTTGTTTCTTTGTCATTAAGTCCAATGTAACTCTGAGACAGCTGGCGGAATTAAGAGAAAAATCTCAAGAGTGGATGGATAAGTCGCCACTTTTCATGAATTCCTTCCATCTGTTAAACCAGGCAATTCCAATGCTCCAGGTATGAGATGCTTCTGTCATTCAACTTAGTAGGAATTTGAATTCTTTGAGATTTTAATTGCCTTCAATATGTGAACGGGAAGGGGGTAACTTTCCGTATTCAACAGATTAAATTGCCTCTCTTCCAGAGAGAAGGTCTGAGACAGGGTAACTGATCTATCACTCATATTCATAATTGGCTAACTTCACCTCTGGTACTGCAGCTCCTCTGTCTGTAATTCAGAGAAGACATCTTACAAGTTGATCTAGAGACATAACTAGTGATGTAAATCAGTTTTTCAAAAGTTTAAAATGCTACAAAAATGCTTGTTATTGATTTCTCTCCTTTAAATTACTCTCCTTTGCTATCTTAACCAGAATTCCTAAAATACCAATAGGCTAGAGAACATTAAACTTGGGGAATTCCATGGTAGAAATTTATGACACATGTGTTAATAAATTCCAAATTCAGTTTGACATGTTATACACAAGGTGTTCTCGTTAACGTATTTATCTGAATTTACGTTTAAGGCCACTTAAGGAAGCAAAAGTTATAATTGGAAAAAGTGCTCTAGGCCAGGTGCGGTAGCTCACGCCTGTAATCCCAGCACTTTGGGAGGCTGAGGAGGGCGGATCACCTGAGGTCGGGAGTTCAAGACCAGCCTGACCAACGCGGAGAAACCCCATCTCTACTAAAAATACAAAATTAGCCAGATGTGGTGGCGGGCGCCTGTAATCCCAATTACTCGGGAGGCTGAGGCAGAAGAATCGCTTGAACCTGGGAGGTGGAGGTTGCAGTGAGCTGAGATTGCGCCACTGCACTCCAGCCTGGAGAACAAGAGCAAAACTCCATCTCAAAAAAAAAAAAAAAAAAAAAAAAAGGCAGGAATTTCTGAAGATGATGCAAATAATGTGGGGAAATGTTCCAATCACAGAGATATTGGCAACTGAAGATGGAGCAGCAGAATTAGCCCAGTAATCAGTTGGAGAAAAGAAAATTGGCAGGAATGGTGACAACCTAGGAGCTTCAAGAGACTGGCTTGCATATCAAAGAGAGGTCCTTGGAAGAGTAATGGAGCCCTAAAATATTTTTGGGAAAATAATGCCCTTTTGTATGATCATGCTTAGGAAGTTAAACTTAGAATGGAGGATATTATATGATATGAGATGGTCAGAAAAATTATACTCCAAAGGTGCTTTTATTCAGTCTTTGTTTTGACTAAGAATTAATGCATAGTTATAATTACAACCCAAATTTTATCATAAATGATTAAATAAATTTCTAAAATAGACATTTAATATATTTAATAACATAAACTTTTCATCAAATGTCTTCCCCACAATTTCCTATTAATTTTTGGTTCTAATTCTAAGCATGCTCATTTTAAGTGGCCTTTTCTAGTGAGTCTCAGAAAACGAAGGCTACTTAGATAGCACTTCATGACAAATATATTTTCCTGAACAACACATTGCCATTTTCTCCTAAGACTTTTTCTCCAGGAGGAGAAAAAAAAGCCACATATGATTTTCTTAAGAAAAGTTTTGTTAGCTAAAGTGGTGAATTAACAGGATGTGTTCTATACATAATAGTTTCAAAGTACTGTAATTTGCTGGAATCTCTGAGATTGTGTTCATAAAGGGATCATCATCTAATGGAAGGATCTTGATTCTGTCCAGAGCAAAATTAATTATTTTCGATTATTGAGGAAATAATATTGTAAATATGCACAGAATTTGAAATTTTAAGCTTTTGGCACAAGAACTGGCTTTGCCACTGTGAACCCTTAGGTGAATGACTTAAAGTACGTGAACTGCAGCTTATGGATCTCTAAAATTAGTATATTGGTAATGACAGACTTGTGAAGATCACATATGTGGAAGCATTTGGTGTTTTGGTATTTTTAAATTTTGTATACATTTATGTGATACAAACGCAATTTTGCTACATGCATGGATTAGTATTGATCAAATCAGGGTTTTTAGCATATCCATCACCCAAATAATATACATTGTACCTATTATTAGATGTCATATGATTGATTGTAAAAGGAGTGATGGGAGAATTGAAATAGGGTTTAATGGATTGTCTCCAGATTGCAACTAACACAGTACTTTATTTGTTAGTGATGCTCTGATACAGATTTTCCAAGATGCAGAAGCTAATTCCTGATAAACCGATCTTAAAGGACTGTTATCACAGCATGTAGCTGCATGATAGCTAGCCATCAGTCTGCATGCCACCAGCTGCTTTTAGAACCCTCAGCAGCTATGGATTTAGCAAACTAATTCTATTATATATGTGCTCGACTAATATGTTTTTCTTAGTCATTCATCCCCATGACAATAAAACAAAAGACACTGGTAAGAAGGACATGAGACTATGTTGTACCAAATGGGGCTCTAAAAGGACAATCAAGCCTCACTTACATAAAAACCAGGCCATGAATTTACACATGTGATGAAAAAACATTTCTTTAATTGAGTTGAATTCTCTCCTTCATTTTTTCCCTTAGCCCTTATTAATTGTGTGTCCTTAGGAGAATTTACATAGCTTCTTTAGCCATAGCTTTGTCATCTATTACTTAGAGGTAATAATAGCCCTTACCTCAAAGTGTTGTTGTAAACAAAGTGAGAAAGTCAAGTTAAACTCTATAAGACGGTGCCCAGCACATGGTATTATAAAAGCTCAACAAATATTAGGTAATAGTACTCCTAGAGTGATAGAAGTTATGTCTTCTAATTTGGCAAATAGCTATAAAGGCCTTTATATTTTAAAGCAATTATGTTTTTCTTTTAATTTTTCAGCCTTTCCATTGATAGAGTTTAAAGTTTTATCATCAATTTATTCTTTCATATTCACATAGTTGCACTTACGACAGTACAAAAATAATATTATAATAATTGAAATGGACTATTCTGATGTGATGAGGCATTCTTACCTACTTCACCAAAAGGTTACCTGAGACTGGAAACGGTACTTGCTAAAAGCTTCAGGCTAGGAAGTAGTAGAACTTGAATACAAATCAGTTGTGATGTCAGATTCCACGGAGACATCATGATTTTTAAGAGTTTTGTTTCAAGTGAACAAAGTTCAACCATGAATCACAACATTGTGTATAGTATACATTAAAAAGGAATAATATAGCCATGAGGAAAAATCCTGTTAAATCGAATATAAATTTCTAATGTTGATAATTGTAGTCACATCTGGCCACTGTGCATGCTGACCAATTTGTATCTATAGACAAGCAACAGCCCAGCCTGTCAAGTCATTACCAACCCCCAATCTTCTCTTTTCTTCTCAAGGATTTCTCTGTGAGCCTTTGCAAGACAGTGCATTGATAATGCCCAGTTGTGGTTACTGCACTTCACTGTGGTGGTTATTAGAGAGACAATGTCAAACATGATTTTTCTTGTATTGAAACTGATTTTTAATTATTATTTGTTAGAATACTCTAAGGAACCCTTTTGTGCAAGTTTTTGTAAAGTTCTCCGTGGGACTCGATGCTGTTGAACTATTGAAACAGATAGATGAACTCGGTGAGTCCAAATTCACAAAGCTTTTATTCATGAGTCATGTCGGACATATAAACAACATTGTTCCATATGATTACATTTTCCCCCCTTTTCTCCTGTACTTAGTTTGTAGCTAGCTACTCAAAGAAAAATGAGACCCTGGATATATCCCCCCTATCTTCTTCCCAGTTAGTTGTACAATTACAAGTAGTCATGATTATTTGGATGCCCAGTGTCTGTAGTTAGTTTCAATAATTATAATGTAGGCCAGGCGTGGTGGCTCACGCCTATAATCCCAGCACTTCGGGAGGCAGACACGGGCAGATCACTTGAAGTCAGGAGTTCGAGACCAGCCTGGCCAACATGGTGAAGCCCTATCTCTACTAAAAATACAAAAACTAGCTGGGCATGGTGGTGCACGCCTGTAATCCCAGCTGCTTGGGAGGCTGAGGCAGGAGAATTGCTTAAACCTGGGGGGTGGAGGTTTCAGTGAGCCAAGATCATGCCACTGCACTTCAGCCTGGGTGACAGGAGTAAAACCCTGTCTCAAAAAAAAAAAAATTATTATTATTATAATAATGTAATATAAATGCAGTTTTTTTCTTCAATCATAGGTAGGTTGTTAGAAGTAAGGGAGCACTTTATTTTAGTGACTTGATGAAATGCAAGTCCTTAAGGACAAGGGAAAATGAAATTATTTATTTCTGGCTACATTTAACATTTTTATCTCCACTGGCCTCAGTATCACTTGACTAACCCAGAATGTAATTAGAAGAGATATAGAGTTAGCAAAAGCAAGAAAAACGCAATGGGGAGACTCAAAAGAAAATACACTGAAATCAGTATTCAAGGTTGGGTCCTCCTCACATGGTCGTTTAAAAGGAAGAGGCTGCAGAAGATCAAAGGAAGCTGTCTAAACTTATGCATTCCCTCTGCCATGTCCCCACCTTCAACCTAAGGGATGCAAGACATCTAATTCAGGCTGTGTCTGATTCACTGTTGCTATGCAACCATGGGTATGAGAAACGGATTGAGAGCATCAGAATTTGGCAGTAGCAGAGCAAACGCCCCTCCCCCTCCCTGGCACTGCTGGGACGTAAATGATTTAGGTTCTAAACCACTGGGGAAGAATTATGCCTATATTTGTATTGTATATGATTGTACACATATTATGATAGTCAACCCAGCTTGATTAAATAAAGGTACTAGTGGATTTACTCTCTAAAAGTATCATTTGGGCAAGGAACTATTTGATTAACACATCAGGGCTAAACTGCAAAGTTCTTAGATAAATTTTGTCATTTCTAACTTCTGAACTAGGAAGTGAGGCTAAGAATTTAAAATAAGATTAAAATGAACGTAGCACTGAGACTCTTATGTTTGTATAATTACACATGTAACTTAGTATTGAAGAGGTTATATAGTTTGAATTCGGGGGACTCTGACCCCTTGAAGTGTTTTTATGATCCTGTCTACCAGAATTTCTAAATAATTCCTTGGTGTTGTGTTGATTTCCAGTGGCCGCTGGAGGCCACTGTTCAACCACAATTTACCCCTCCCCCACCAACATCTACATCAAGTAAAACATTTCACTTTAAATTCTAATGAGAAATGCATTTAAGAAGTTGTCTTCTGTGAGAAATTTAGTCCTATTTTGGACGATGTAAGAGACATGTCTGGGTTCTGTGAAGGAGGGATTTATGATATTCGCAGCCTTCTCAGCATTCATGATGATCAAGTCAGTAAAAATGTAATTGGCCAAATGATTTGTTAACTTGCAATTTCATATTTACCCTTTGTCCCGGTTGATTTCCTCACAAAGAATCATAAAATTGAAGAGAAATTAAGTCCCCTTTATTCCAGAGTAATTACCCAAAATAAAATCCTGATCATTTTGTCAGATTAATACAGATATCAAAAGTATTAATTTTAAGATATACACATAAGATTTTAAGTCAAACAGTATTAGAAACTCACAACTATGTGGCATATATTTTCAGGTATCTTAAGTGTTTCTATATCACAGCTTATGTAATAATACAGTTTATTTATCCTATGCATTCTACATAGACTTTCCTTTGTTTCAGTTTGTGCATTCACATTCCGTGTACAAAGCAGGCATTTCTGTTTAGTTTATTCTAAACTCACATCTCTGGTTTATAGTTTTTGTCCTAACTACATGTAGATAGATTTTTAAAAATTTATTCATCTTAGTTCTTTGTTATTAAATTGTAACAAAATATACTTTTAAGTTATCTTGTATCTTTCTTAGAACCTAGGTTTACTGTATTTGTAACTAGCTTGGCTCCTCAATGAATATTTGCATAACGACCCATTTTCTTTGGTGTAGAATACTAGATATTTTTAGAGTAAATTCTGCAGGCTTTTGTTATTTATAATCTAGTTTAGTATTTACAAAAAATCAGTATTTCATCTAATTACGACCAGAATCAGGACCATAATTTTTTTTTGTCTCTTTTGCTTTGCCTCTTTAGATATTCTAAGACTGAAATTAGAGAACAACATTGACATCATCGATCAGCTTAACACACTATCTTCCCTGACAGTAAATATTTCCTCTTGTGTATTATATGACCGTATTCAGGCAGCAAAAACCATAGATGAAATGGAGAGAGAGGCTAAAAGGCTCTACAAAAGCAACGAACTCTTTGGAAGTAAGTGCTGTTCTATTAGGGTTTGAGCATCTCTTTGTGCTAAAATTGGCCAAATTCTTTCCTCATGTCTTTCATCCAGAACTCAGAAAACTAGTGTGGGGGTCCTTAGGTCCTCTGATGTCCTTAGAAAAGAGAACCTTTCATGTAGGCAACCAACTATAATCTCTAAGTATGTCTAATTTTGTTGGTGTACTTCAAATTAAGATTGAAAAGGATTACATAGTTACAGAGTGAAGTTGAGTCCATCCTCATAATCAGTCATTATTTATCTAAAAGTGTTTTTATATTAATAAGTGGCTTAGAATGGTGCATTTAATCTGTCTACTTAGTTGGTGATTATATTCTTAAACTCCAGCTTTGAATTTCTGAGGTTGACACCTCCAATTAACCATGTTTTCTGTAAATTAAGAACCTGAACCTACTGTCACATTACTAACTCAATTGACTGTTTGGCTGTCCCCTCTGTGTACTCTCCAAACAATGAATAACGTCAACCATAAAATAACCTTTCTGCTGTTGTTGCCATTTTATTTTTAGGTGTTATTTTTAAGCTTCCTTCTAACAGAAGCTGGCACAGAGGCTATGACTCTGGAAATGTCTTTCTTCCTCCTGTCATAAAATATACCATCCGGATGAGTCTCAAGACCGCACAGACCACAAGAAGCCTAAGAACCAAGATTTGGGCTCCAGGGCCACACAATTCTCCATCACACAACCAGATCTATGGCAGGGCTTTTATTTATTTACAGGATAGTATTGAAAGAGCAATCATTGAATTGCAAACTGGAAGGAACTCCCAGGAAATAGCAGTCCAGGTTCAAGCAATTCCTTATCCCTGCTTCATGAAAGACAAGTAAGTGTGTGCACTTCCAGCCTTTTTAATGATCAACAACTTTTCTGAGAACTCACTTCAGTCCATTCATTCAGATGTATTACATGAAAGGAACAACATTCACCAAACTTTTGTAATATGCTTGTTTTGAGAAAGAGTTCACACTATAGGGCATAGCTTCATCATAACTGCTCATCAATACCAAAATGATGGTAAAGTGTTTACCAAATGATCTATAAAAACCCTTAGCTCTCCAAAAATTCTGGCCCTAAAATTGGAATAATTGGACTTCAGACCTGAGTACATTGCTGCATGATTTTGATGTTCCCCACTGTCTACTGGGCTTACCTCCCTCTAGTCAAATGAAAGGGATGAACAAGACGATCTTAAAATCCCTTCCAACTCCCAAATCGGATTTTAAAAAATCTGAGCGCATGATCAATTTTAAGAAAACAAATTGATAAAAGAAACCTTGAACACATTTTGATCAACTATTTCAGATAAATATTGTGCTACCTGAAACTTTCATGTATTATCAGTTCATTTGCTAGGAATCCTCTATATCTAAAATGGTTTTTCTAGATGAATAAAAAAGTAACAATAATGCTTTTAGACAATTCAATTTGAATGTTCGAGAAATCTGCCAGTTGGGTAGCACTGAATGCTTCCTTCACTCTGTAGATGGTTAAAAAATAAGCAGATTATGGTTTTCAAGCTCACCTTCCTATATAAAAGCTTGAGGCTGAATATTACTTTAAAGGAATTGAACATGCTACGCAACCCAGTTATTGCAGTTTATATACAATTCAGATGGTATTGGATTTTTCTTTTCTCTTCTTTTTTCTTTCTTTCAATGCTTCTGTCTCCCTTGGCTACTTCAAGAGTTATAAATGAGATGAGGTAATGTAACCCAGTGCAACAGTAGCATGAGGAAGCAGGTAAGGAGTCCATCAAGTGGACTGTCAAGGTTAGCTGGCTATTGTGGAGGCTGTTGTGGACGGGACTGTGCTGCCCGAACTATGTGTGAACTGCAATGGTTTGCACAAATTATAAAGATCTATGGGGTCAATGAAGTTATAATTCTTATCTAGTTCCCTGCTCATTTGTTCCCCTTATAAATTTTGGTACCTAGGATGGTGGGTACCTGGGTGTGCAGTCTGTATTCTTTATGGGAATATGTTCATTATGCCTTACACACATATACACTGTTGCATATAAAGTGATTTCCCATTAATTATTTCATTTGTTTCACCCAACAACCTCATAATGTAAGTAGGAGCAGGAATTATTGTCCATACTTTCCAGATGAAAAAACTGAAATCCAGAAAGGCTAATTAACTTGCCCAAGATAATATAACTGGTACTACACTAGTCCTCCTGTTTATAAGACCAACATTTCTGCTTTATACTAGACCAAATCTAAAATACACTATCACTTGGAAGAAACATTACAGGGGATTTGTTGTTAATGAATGAAGGCCTTTGCCTAGTTCTAGATCCAGAAATCACTTCAAGGCTGTACCTGAACCAAAACAAAATTCATTCAAGAAGTAGTCTGTAAATGCCTACCCCATGCCATACAGTTTCCCAGGAAACAACAACAAAAAAAATGGAATATGGCCTCAACTCCCACTGCTCCCTCACCAAAAAAACACCTCATCTCTCTGATAATGACACACTTCTGCATGCTAAAGTGATACTGAATGATAGTGATCTCATGCTTCATTAATATTTACATTTTTCTTGGGGTACTTGGAGGTAATTTTTTAGTCTTGTAGATTAAAAAAGGAAATGGCCTTGGGACCTTTCTCCAAGTGAAAGCTTGAGTGGAGCCCAACACATAAACAGAGCAACTTAGAATCTCTCATCGACATCTACTGCTTTTGCCTCAGCTCAAATAAGGGCATCAATTGTCAGAACCATGGCTCCTAAGGTGTGGTCTCTGGACCAGCAGCATCAGTATCACCTGGGAAGTTGTTTAAAAAGCAAATAGATGGTCCCACCCAGATATAATAAATCAGAGGCTGGGGCCCAGAAACTTGTGTTTTAGTAATCTCTTTGGGTGCTTTGAGAACCACTCCAATTTAACTTTCAGGTTTCATGAGCAGGACATTGAGGAATACATCTGGGCTTGAGGATGTCTTCCAGTGATTCTCTAGTTGAGCACATCATCAAAATAGACATTTCTATACCATGTATAAAGCATCTTCCAGAGCATTACTTTGAGGAATCCAAGTTCTTTGTCTGCATTTTAAATCAAATGCTTTGGGCCAGGCACAGTGACTCATGCCTGTAATCCCAGCACTTTGGGAGGCCGAGGCAGGTGGATCACTTGAGGCCAGGAATTCGAGACCAGCCTGGCCAGCATGGTGAAACCCCATCTCTACTAAAAAACAAACAAACAAACAAAAACAAATGAATGCTTTAGATTTTATTTCATTTTTAGAAATTTAGTTTCATAATAACTATGATCTTCCTAAGAGTAGCTATAAATACAGTAATTTTGGAAGATATAGCTTTTAGTTAGGTAAACCAATCATCGTCTCATTTTAAATCTGCCTTTTAGATAAGAATTTAGTTTAGACATAAAGGTTTTGAGCCTTGCAATTATATCTATATAGTAATTATTTTCCCAGACACATACTCAAACACAATTTAAACAATATGGCAATTTTATGTAATAATCCAGAGCTTTTTTTTTTCTTACTCTTGAAACATTACACTAAAAAAATCACAGACCTATGGTTAAATCAGCTTCATGCTTCGTAAATAATGGGGTAATACCGATTATTTTCAATTTCAAAACACGATCATAAGTTCAATGTAAGAGAGAGTGAGTTCTTTATATATTATAATCTCTGCAAGTATGGTGTTCATTTTGGTCGCTGAATTTTTCTTTTTTTGTTTGTTTTACAGCTTCCTAACCAGTGTCTCTTATTCTCTTCCAATTGTGCTTATGGTTGCCTGGGTTGTATTTATAGCTGCCTTTGTAAAAAAGCTTGTCTATGAGAAAGACCTCCGGCTTCATGAGGTATGTTGAAAATCACTTCTTGTTATGAATAAGTCCTGTTCATAGAACAATTACTATGATTTTCATCATGCCTTTATAAACTTCAGAAAGCCTAACTTATCCCTTGTGAATTAAACAGAAAGAAAAACCTTTTACAAATCACAAAAGCAGCTGATAAGGCAATATTTTATTTTCTCAAAAAGTGACATAAAAGTCACTTAATAAGTGCTTTTGAAAAACAACATCTGAATAAAATATGAGTACAATGATAATTCCTGGAGTAATTTTTTGCCCAAGAAATTACCTATAGGACTTAGGATCTAACAGAGGAAGTTTAAATAACAACAATAACAACTGTTCAGGCAGAGAGATTGTTGGCATGGTAACTAAAATAACCCAAATGTAGATATAGATAGAGCTATAAACATAGACATAGACATATGGCATATTTCGGCTCTCACAAAGAAAATTCTCTTTCCAGTATACCTTGTCTCCTTCAATTACCTTCTCCATTTCCCACTGACTCCTGACTTATAGAAACTAAGAATTTCATGTTATGCTACTGATTGGGTTAGTAACCATATCACAATGGAAGACAGAACCAGGAGTGTGATGCATGACCTCTTTCTGGGCACGTTCTTCATCATTAACCCCAAATCCAAAATATCTTACTTCTTTTTAGAATTTATGATAAAGCATTATGTGATTTTTAGATTGTATTTGAGTAGAAATTATTTTATCTACTTATCCCATAATGAGTCCCTTCTTATACTCACTCATGGAGTGGAAACAAAGGTGAAACATTTCAAAACTGGGGCACAATAATTATTGCAAGGCCTGGCTGAATTCTGAAATAATGAGGTTAGAGGAACCCGTCCATCCACTTGTCCTTTTCAGACTTACCTTGCCAATGCTTTTAGACAATTGATCATTTCTCCCTATAAGATACAAGTTGCTGCTACATATTTCTGTTAGTTCAGCATCAGGCTTTCAGGGTTGTCCCCGTATTTGAACTTATATTTTTTACCTCTTCTGTTTGAATTTTGGTTGATCCACACAGCTGCATTTTTATATTTCAGTTATAATTTGGTAAACTTCTCATCAACTAGTTTGAGTCCTGTTGTTTTCAGGACTGTATGCAATGGTTTTCTAATTCCAATTTAGAAACTTGAATCCATGCCTTCAACCGTAATTATGATTGCAAGCCCCTCCCTTCTAGTTATCTTTCAGGTTCCCAGTATTCAGAAGCAAATCATCACAGAGTAAAGAAAATCTTTGAGATAGAAACTGTGACAGAAACAGAGTCCATTTCTACTTCAAAATTAATACCTACCTTTAAAATATTACTTGTGATAGAAACAGTAAATAGAAGCATGTATGCATACAGTATATATACAAATGTATATGCATATAATAAAACTGTGTGTATATAATACACACACATTGTATTATTTCATGTTTGAAGATGATGCTCTCTGAATGCATCTATGTATGTCACCAAAAATTATCAAAGCATAACGAAAAGTCATTTCTCAACTGAAAATGCAAAAGACTTGTTTTTAGCTATGAACCAGTTTCTGTTTGGTAGCTCTGTGTCTCCATTTGGCCTGCGTCTACCTTTGAAATTTAACCACCTTTGTCTTGGGGTCAAAGTCACATGGTGGAAGATCACTGAACTTGTAATCAGAATATCAGGTTTTGTATTCCAATTCTACCAGCCATATACACTCGGGCTCAGTCTCTTAAACCCTTTGAGTCTGATCATCTAGACTTCATTCAACATTTATTTCCAGAATGTAGCTCTCTCTCTCTCTGCCAGAACAGAGGAGCTCAATTATTCATATTTTATCAATTCTAAGACATTGATTTTCCCCCCTTTTTAAAGCCTTGGAAATTGGGATACATTTGATAGGGTGTCACGATTTATTTGGCAGTAATCTTTCTTTCTTGGTGGCATGTAAAATAGTGGCACATCCTCAATGTGTTCTAAATTCAAAGAAATACAGTGTGTTTATGAAATGAATTGATGGAGGTGAGCGTGGAAGGAGTGGGATGTCCCTAGTGCCTCCTGCTCAGCCTCGCTCCACTGCCCACAGTTCTCATCTAAACTCCTCCTTTTTAAAGATGTAAGGTTCAGCTCAGAAAGTGAGAAGTGACTTGCTGAAGACCTTGGAGCTAGTTAATGGTAGATCTGGCAGTAGAACGGAAGTATTTTGACTTCCAACCAATCCTCTTCCAGATCATAGCTACCTTTACCCTTAGAATCTTACTTTAGTAACACAGACTTCTAAGGACATTTGCAGATGATGATAGATAATCTCTTAAGTTACCAGAAACTCAAAGTCACTTTTTAATACTATCTTTTCATATTCTGATAAAGTCTAAAGCTGCCCAAGTCCTACTTCTTTCTCATTCAAATTAAACCAAAAAGGTAAGTAAAATCAATATTCTCCCCTTTTCGTTCTGTAATTATTCTCAGTCCTGGCAAGAAAACCAAGTTAATTGCTATCTCAATGAAGCCACTTATCTTTGACTTTGTTATGGTATGATTCCATGAATCCCTTTCCCTTGTTAAATAAATTAGCACAAATCTAATAAGTTTATTAAAGTAAGCCCATAGTATAAAAAAAGTACTTAAAAAATGCCTTTCGATTGGGTTTTGTTCTGCACTTTGCTTTTAAAAATTAAAATACTGAAGCTATAAAAATCTGATTTTATAACATATACAGAAGAGTATATTTTTTCTCATTATTTTCATGGTTTATGAGTTCGATTCATCTGTTTGATCTAATGTAAGTCATGTATGGGACTTTCAGTGCTTATATTTTGTTGGAGACAGAATTTTGGAGTCATTCTCTCAGTTCAGACAGGTAGCCTAAAATATATGTGGGCCGCAGAGGTGTTACCAAGAATTAAACAAAGATTTTTTTAGTCTCCTAGTACTTCACATTAAACAATTTTTTTGTGCTTTCCTGACATACATTAATCCACCCCACCAGTGGGAATTTGAAATGTTTCCAGTAATGATCACAACATCCTTTATATCATACTAAAAAAAACAATAATATAAATGTCTATTGTCAATAGAATTATAGAAATTGAGGTAGAAAATGTTATTATTCCTTATGAGTTAGTACTTGACATTCTTGCAGAATTGAATGAAGACATTGCTCTCAAGTAAATATATGAGTATTTCTGATTTCTTTTCTTGGCAGTATTTACGTCAACCCCTGTGCATAAGCTTCTCATGAATGTGGCAACACATTTATCCAAACTCTTCTAGAATCTCTTTCTTATTCTCTGCTATAAACTGGGCAGACTTTGGCTACTAGGCAGCGGGGTTTTCTTTGAGCAACAGGTTATCAGATATTGATGAATTGCTCTGGCAGGTTTGGGAGGCTTGATAAAAGTGACTCTCTGATTACAAAGCTGGCACCTGACATCTGTCACTTTGAGGAGGAACTAATGGCATCCAAGAAAGCACATCTAGCCGCTCTCGGTGGGCCCCCTTCCATCAGCAAATTTGGTCTTGTTTATTACAACAAAGTTGGCAGTGAATCTGGATAATTTATGGATGACTTATATGCTCTCACTGGTCTTTCTCTTTATGAATAGCAGCTGTTTTCCTCGTGGCATAAAATCCTGAAGTTTAACACTGAAGTTTCATGCTAGAATGTTAAATAGTGAATGCTTTTGGAAGCACCTAACTCACCCTGTTTCAGGAAAAAGCAAAATGATGAGTCTCTAACTTTTGCAAATTCCTGGGACTGGAATCTGATCTTGAGTATCAAAAATTTCAAAATTACAGTGATTAAACACCTTTAGTCCTGGTGTTCAAGCCTGCCAAATTATCTTTTAACAAGCCTATGAATGAAGAACATTCTCAATATATAAGTGATTTCTAGAAAGCTATCAATTGTCAGGGAAGAAAAACACGTTTATACACATGACATCAGCTTTATTTTGTGGCCTTGATATGGTCTAGATATTTTATAAACCACCTTGGGAAATATATTGACATTGTCTCCTACTTACATACATTACCACTGGGACGAAATATGTTTGTATAGGCTACATAAAACTGTGGTAAATATCAGCTTGGGAAGTAGTAATATAGGTTCCATAACTCCCCACTTAATTATATTCAAATAGGCATAAAAATCTGAAAATACAAATAGTAGGAAAGGGAAATAAAAAGGACTAACATATCATATTGGAACAGGTGAATATCTCTGAAATAGTCGCCAAACATGACACAGTAATTTTTTCAAATGGGGTAGGGTACACGCAAAGAATTGCTGGAATAAGATATCTGAGGTCTTTTTCACACCAAACTGTAGTTTTGTTTTCAATGATAGCATGTGTAGCAATTGGGGAAACTTTCCATAGTGACCTTTGCTTCATGCTACTTTGACCCATATTTTCCATTCCCACGGAAGCATAGGTTGAGTCTTTACTACAAATGGTGACAGGGCCTTGGAGGAGAAAAACATTAGGGAGAGAAGAAGGTGAGAAAGAGGGCAAAGTTAAGAGGGAAAGTCACAGGGTCTTTCTCAGTGGTGATTAGTTTAAAGCCCACAGCTTAGGCTGTTGGCAGCCAGGTAGCTGTTTCCCTGGTAACAACTGGAGCAGCAGAGTTATCGAAATGTGATGTTACCAAAGCAGAAAGTAAAATTCACTATTTTGCTCGTAGAGCAAAAGATCCGATGCATTTGCTATAATTTTTTTTTCCTGGAAAACTTAGGTTTAAGGGGGTGGGGCATTGACTATCCTTGATTTTGAAAAAAGAAAAAATTGGGTTATAAAGCTGTTAGTGGAGATTTATTTATTTATTTATTTATTTATTTTGAGACAGAATTTCACTCTTGTCTCTCAGGCTGGACCTGCAGTGCAGTGGCATGATCTCGGCTCACTGCAACCTCCACCTCCTGGGTTCAGGCTATTCTCCTGTCTCAGCCTCCTGAGTAGCTGAGATTACAGGCACCACCACCATGCCCGGCTAATTTTTGTATTTTTAGTAGAGATGGGGTTTTGCCATGTTGGCCTGGCTGGTGTGGAACTCCTGACCTCAGGTGATCCGCTTGCCTCAGACTCCCAAACAGCTGGGATTACAGGTGTGAGTCACTGTGCCCGGCCAGTTAGTGGAGATTTCCTCTGTTCTTTTTTTTTTCCTAAAAAAAAAAAAAAAAAAAAGGGGGGGGATACTAGGTTGATAGGCTTAACATTAATCATGAATTGTTTTTTTTTTTTTTTCATTTTTTTTTTTTCTTTTTGAGACAGAGTCTTGCTCTGTCGCCCAGGCTGGAGTGCAGTGGTGTGATCTCGGCTCACTGCAAGCTCCGCCTCCCAGGTTCACGCCATTCTCCTGCCTCAGCCTCCTGAGTAGCTGGGGCTACGGGGGCCCGCCACCACTCCTGGCTAATTTTTCTGTATTTTAAGTAGAAACGGGGTTTCATTGTGTTAGCCAGGATGGTCTCTGTCTCCTGACCTCGTGATCTGCCCGTCTTGGCCTCCCAAAGTGCTGGGATTACAGGCGTGAGCCACCGTGATCGGCCCTCATTAATCATGAATTGTTAAAATTAGAAACCAGGATATCCAGGTTTCCCCAAAGTACATGTCACAAAATTCAACCAAACCAAGGTCCAGGGGACTTTAAATCTTTTTATTTTTATTTGTATTATTTTATTATACTTTAAGTTATGGGATACATGTGCACAGCGTGTAGGTTTGTCACATAGGTATACACGTGCCATGGTGGTTCGCTGCACTCATCAACCTGTCATCTACATTAGGTATTTCTCCTAATGCTATACCTCCCCTTCCCTCCATCCCCCGACAGGCCCTGGTGTGTGATGTTCCCAGGGGACTTTAAATCTTTCAGAATCCTTTTGAGTTAATGCACAAATTGATTGTGCTTGTTTATTTTTCTACCTTGTGGAACGCCTTGGCCTCTGGGGATATCACTGAGGTATCAAAGAATATCAATTGAGAGAGAGGTATAGAGGATCTCAGATACATGAGTTTATTATGAATGTATAAATGGCTTTTTGGAAAACAAGGATGACAAATATTGACCTAGACTGCCAGTAAGTGTTAAGGATGGGAAGGCTATAGCTAAAGGCAGGAGGTCTCCCTTAAGTTATGTGTTTTAAATTCTTAGGAATCAGGTATACTGTTTCTCTCAGGAACATCAATACTGATTGTGTTGTTCATTAGTGTTTAGTAAAAAAAAAAATTATGGATTTTTATGAGCTCAGTCTCTACACTGAACTAATAGTTAAGCCATGGTTTTTTACCAGTTTGAAATGCTCATGCCTGCATAAATGTCAAAATCATGTAAAATTCTACAGGGGATACCATAAATTTGATAATCTATTCTAAATTAGTTTAATCTAGAGATGTCAGCTGGGTAACAATTATAAAGTGGAACTGTAATTAAACCCTCACCATCCAAATTGTTTATTATATTGTGCCATTCTGTGAACAAATAATCTAAGTTGTTCTGGTGTATATAGGCATATTTCACATAGCAAGCATGGATAAATTCTTGATTTATGTAAATTATTAAAATGCCTAGTTCCATATACAGAGAGACTATCATGACATTTTGACATAATACAGGGAATAATTTTTATTTGGAAGAATATCAGCATAACAAGCGCCTCACATTTTTTCTTCTTACAGTACATGAAGATGATGGGTGTGAACTCCTGCAGCCATTTCTTTGCCTGGCTTATAGAGAGTGTTGGATTTTTACTGGTTACCATCGTGATCCTCATCATTATACTCAAGTTTGGCAATATTCTTCCTAAAACAAATGGGTTCATTTTGTTCCTGTATTTTTCGGACTACAGCTTCTCGGTTATTGCCATGAGCTATCTTATCAGTGTCTTCTTCAACAACACCAACATTGCAGCTCTGATCGGAAGCCTCATCTACATCATTGCCTTCTTTCCATTTATTGTTCTGGTTACAGTGGAGAATGAGTTGAGCTATGTATTGAAAGTGTTCATGGTAAGTCAACCGTTGGAATGGCAGAGTGGGAAATTACCCATTTTTGTTTGTTTGTTTGTTTGTTTTTGGATTCTCAGACTGAAAGTTCACTTATCTTAATTTGAAATTCAGTGAAAGCAAAGTAAGCTTAATGTCCTAATGATAGCTTTTCTTACATCACTGTATACCATACAAGACAATGAAGAGCTTACAAAACCATGATATGTGATACTGTTAAGAAATAGTTCCTAAAGAAAGAACAGTTAAAATGTCATACATCATGTTTTAGAGGTCTTCAAGAATTCTGACTTCTCTCTGGACCAATTCCTGAAACGTCTTGGAGCCTCTAGTATTGGAATTATTCTCATATGTGAACAATTTTCATGGTTCTCATGACATATAATATAGCTTAAAGGTGTAAAGACAAATGCACCAACAGCATATAAGCAACCTTAAATTCTCTCCTGCCTTGTCAATTCAGAAGCACTAAATTAAGAATTTTAATTAAAGCATTAAGATTACTGACTGAAATTTAGAAAGCAGAAGCTAATTTCATCATATTAAAACTTTGCTATTTATGGAAATAAAAAGTAATGAATAACTTTATCTAGCATTGACAACTTTGGGTTTAAACAATATTTAAATTTCTAATTTGTTGCAATTATCAATATTCAATCAACTGATATTTTAGTATATTTTTATTCATAGTACTTCTATTACCTGAAATAAATGTATGGAGTGAAAATGCCTTCTGGCCCTTAACATTTTTGGTAAATTTTAGTCTTAATACTGAATTACTCCATAATTAACTATTTTATTACTTGCTGAGCAACATTTAATGAGTTCAAATGTATATTTTGATTTTTTAAGGAATGGTTTTCAAGTTGTAATTTTCCTGTTTTTGTTTTCTGCTATTCTCTCTGCTCTTGCTTCACAGTTGTAGCATGGTTGGTAAGGGACTGCTGTATTTTTAAATATGCTTAGAGAATGAGCATCAATTTTATCTATACAAATGTCCAAAGTTTTAAGTATTTTAGGATACCTCTGGGTGAAATACATGAAATCTACAAGAACTATCATTGCCGTTTCCTTTCTTCACAGAGCCTGCTGTCCCCAACAGCATTCAGCTATGCAAGCCAATACATTGCACGATACGAAGAACAGGGCATTGGTAGGTCCCCTTTCTTTAAAACTGGATTTTATCTTTCACAACTGTGCTGTGTGTCACAGAAGAATAAACACTTGTGTTCACTTTTTAGGTCTTCAGTGGGAAAATATGTACACCTCCCCGGTTCAGGATGACACCACCTCATTTGGCTGGCTGTGCTGTCTAATCCTAGCTGACTCTTTCATTTATTTCCTTATTGCTTGGTATGTCAGGAATGTCTTCCCAGGTATGAATGTGCTTCCTACAGATACATGCTTTTTATGGTTGACTTCAATATAAATCAACTAATAATATGTTCTAATATTTTATTTGCAAAAAATTTTTAAATTAAAAAATAAAAATATTATATATATATATATATATATATGTATGTATTGAGATGGAGTCTCCCTCTGTTGCCCAGGCTGGAGTGCAGTGGCGTGATCTCGGCTCACTGCAACCTCCACCTCCCAGGTTCAAGCGATTCTCCTGCCTCAGCCTCCCAAGTAGCTGGGATTATAGGCACGTGCCACCACGCCCGGCTAATTTTTGTATTTTTAATAGAGCCGGGGTTTCACCATGTTAGCCAGGCTGCTCTCGAGCTTCTGATCTCAAGTCATCTGCCCGCCTTGGCCTCCCAAAGTGCTGGGATTACGGGCAAGAGCCACCATGCCCGGCCTTTAACTTTTTTTTAATTAAAAAAAAATCTTATTTGCCATATATAATCTCCAAAAAGAAGTATTCAAATCCCAAAGCTAACAAAAAATTTTCAGGATGAGATAATATACTGCTAAATTTCCTCTCGGATATTCCTTTAAAAGATGGAGTGAATTAAGAAGCTTAGAATAGTGTCAAATCAATCCAGTCTCTCTAAATAGGAGTGTGAGAGATAATAAGGGAAAAACCAAATCTCCTAATTCTAAGGAGAATTTACCAGATTCTAACGGAAGAAGACAAGTTGGGTTCCCCCTTCTAGGTCTCAAGCAGTCATCCTTTCTAACATGCTTAGTTTTCCATTTAGCCCTACTTATATGTATGCATTTTTTGGTGTTATACATGAATAAAAGAATATGATTTCATTTATGTAAGATCTGTGAAAGACAGATAGAGACAGAAGGCAGATCAATGATTGCCTGGGATGTGAGGTGGGAGCAGGGATTATCTGCAAATGGGCATGAGACAAATTTTTTGAGTTATAGAAATGTTCTAATACTGAATTGCACAACTTTATACATTAGCTAAGACTTATCTACCTGTACACTTACAATAATAAGACAAGTAGGCCAACAGCATGCATTGTTATGAGAGAAATGATATGAAATTATATGACTAACAGTTTTAATTATGTTTTTCTAAGTGGCAAAATTATCCTTTTGGTCATAGATGAATATGTCTACACATGTCTGTTTGGACCCTTGTGGGGATTAAATTGTGGCTTTTTCTGGGCTGGAAACCCAGAATCTGGATCTGAACTAGTCTTATCACTGTAAAATCACAACTTGTAGACATGTATTTCATAGATAAATAGTGGCTTTTTCCATTACAATAAGTGTACAGTTAGATAAGTTTTAGTAAATGTAAATAAAGCTGCTTAAAAACTAACAAGGAAAAAAAGCATCGTTTTTTGCTTTACTATGGAAACTGAGACCACCTTTTAGTTTTATATAGTGTCAAAAAATAAAACTACTTCCTAAACCATACATAGGATCTACTGTTTTGTTTCTGATGATAAATGTTAACAGTCAACTAAAACTCACTGTTCCTGATATATTTTTATTCCAGGGACATACGGTATGGCAGCTCCCTGGTATTTTCCAATTCTTCCTTCCTATTGGAAGGAGCGATTTGGGTGTGCAGAGGTGAAGCCTGAGAAGAGCAATGGCCTCATGTTTACTAACATCATGATGCAGAACACCAACCCATCTGCCAGTAAGACAAGTCGGTCAACAGCGTGCTTTGTTATGAGAGAAATGATATGAAATTACATGACTAGTAGTTTCAATTATTTTTTTCTAAATGGCAAAATTATCATCCTTTTAGTCATGGATGAAAATGTCTACACATGCGTCTTTGGACTCTTATGGGGATTAAATTGTGGCTTTTTCTGGGCTCATTAGCTCAGTTGGTTAGCATATGGTGCTAATTAGGCCAAGATTGCAGATCCCTTTGTGGTCCAGTTAGACTCACACAGAGAAAAATTTTGTTCCTTGGCCACAATCTACACCCCTAACTCCAGCCATCTGTCACCAGTCATAAGGGGTAACCAAGTAACAAGTTTGAGTAATTTAGCATAACCCATCACAAATACTGGAAAAGTAGTTCAAAGCTTGTGTCTTCCTGATACTAGGTGAGTCGTGTCATTATAAAGTGAGTACGGGCCACTAAGCGGTCCTTTTGTGATGCCTGAAGGAGGTGTAGATAGTTATTAATGAACTGGATTCTATAAACCACAATCTCAACTAGTCTTATCACTCTAAAATCACAACTTTGGAGGCATTTATTTTATAATTTGGTATCATCCTGCCCAACCAGAGGACCAAGCCTTAGACATATCTTTTGACTATTTGATATCTGTTGAATAAAGGAGAATTTATAATTATAATACCATATTCTGGGACTGCTTTTTCCAACAAAGAAGGGTGAAATGAACCCTGGTTCTCCACTCTTATTCATTCTGCAACCAAGTGAGGAGGCTGAAGACTATAATAAATCATTTGTTTCTGGATTTTTTATTTTACTTAGAGGGTTATATTTTTATAGTCTTAAATTTTTAATAAAGATAAAGTCTAACTCTAGCTGCATTACCTTACTTGTGAGTTTACAACTCTTCCCTTGATTTCTCTCCAGGTCCTGAATACATGTTTTCCTCTAACATCGAGCCTGAACCTAAAGATCTCACAGTCGGGGTTGCCCTGCATGGGGTCACAAAGATCTATGGCTCAAAAGTTGCTGTTGATAACCTCAATCTGAACTTTTATGAAGGGCATATTACTTCATTGCTGGGGCCCAATGGAGCTGGGAAAACTACTACCATGTATGTTAACTTTTTGACATTTATTGCCATGGAAGCATGTTACAAAAAATACAGGTGTAAAAAAAATAAACTAACCTATGTTTATAAAACATAAAGTTATTACATTTCCCAGATGGAGGAAGATGGTTCAACTTGTATGCTATAGAATGGAGTCAAAATCAAAGGTTGTAATACTTTAAAAAATTTTTAATTCAGTGCCAATTTTGTAAAATAGGGAGTTTCTAATAAAAATAAATATTCTTGGCACCTCTTAGATAATAGGAAATTCTACAACATTGAGTTCATATTCTTAGGTAGAGACTATTGATTGGGGCTCATTAGTAACTGATCTCTTAAAGGGAGTATCTGTTTTCTGGCTCATCCCTGGTCTCTACCAAGCTGCACTGCTTCATACACCCACCCTGTTTCATTTATTTGCATTTCTAACCTGGCATATATATAAGTATGAAATTTTGCATCCTGATATAAACACACTTAGCCTCAGCTGCTCCTTCATGGGAAACCTTTGCCTTGACTCATAAAGAAACAAAGGAACCACCAGCTATCAGACAGCAATCAAAAAGGCCAGGAGCAGAACATAAGCTGTTCTTTCTCACTCCTCACCTATGTAGCATTTTCCTGTGTCAGAATGGAGAAGAGATTCAACTGTTTTTAAAGTGACATTCTTTTGAGTTATTTTTATGTGATTTGCCTCCAATGCTCCATATTCACTTAGTTGCTGAGTCAGCTCTAAGATGCTGCTGGTGCTCGAGCCCTTGTTTGAGAAAAAGGATCAGTTGCTGCATATCTTACTTAGTATCATCACGAATCAGCTCAGTGACTGCAAAAACACTGGAATTAATTTTTTTTTGTAAATAAAAGGGGACAAACGAGGTCATGAAATGAGTGAGCATACAGCCTCTGCTATTTGCATGGCCTGTTTAAAGTCAGAGTTGGCTTTCCAGGGAGAATACAATGCCAAAAAGGCCAGATTTTTTTTTAACTTTTATTTTAAGTTCAGGGGCACAAGTGCAGGTTTGTTACACAGGTAAATTCATCATGAGGGTTTGTTTTACAGATTATTTCATCACTCAGGTATTAAGCCTAGTGCCCATTACTTATTTTTCCTGATCCTCTCCTTCCTCCCACCCTCCACCCTCCGAAAGCCCCACTGTGTGGTGTTACCTTCTCTGTGTCCGTGTATTCTCATCATTTAGTTCCCACTTATAAGTGAGAACATATTTGTATTTGGTTTTCTGTTCCTGTGTTAATTTGCTAAAGATAATGGCCTCCAGCTCCATTCATGTTTCTAATAGGCAATAAGAGGCTAATGAAGAAAAGGAACAGAGAAGGCTCTTGAAGAGGCTATAATTTTAGCTGAGAATGCCCCCATTTTATTGTTCTAAATAGAAACCTTTAATATAAAGTATGTTATTTGTATTTCAGTGTTCATATGGGAAAACTGCATATTCCTTTGTTCATAATTTAATCCAGAAGTCTGCACTGCAAGGCACTGAGTAGGTTACTGAGACAAAGTGCTTAGAAAACAGGACCTTTCCTTGACCTCATGGAGCTTACATTATAGTGGAGGAGATGGGTATTAAATAATTGCCCAGTTTACTAACTATCTGAAAGATGATGAGGAATTATCCAGGTGAGAATATTCTAATCACAGTATAGAGAAAAGGACTAGAGATGACCAAAGAGCATGCGGGAAGTAGAGTTAGGAGCTTAGAGTGATGGGTTAGGCAGGTGGTGATGGTGATGGTCCCATGAGGATAGCTGTGAAAACGGTGAGATGGGCATGTAGTTAGGAGATTAAGATAGGAGGAGAGTGCAAAAATGACTTACAGATTCCAGTCTCGTGCAACCAGTGTATGAATTTATCACATGGGGAAAGAGGCAAAATCAATGAGGGTGTGGCTTTTAGGGTAAAGATCATGAGCTCGGTTTTAAACATACTGAGTTGAAGGACCCTGTAAGAAATCTCACAGAGAAGTGGTATTGTCTGATAGATATATAGAGCAATCCTGGAGCTGAATAATGAAGTCTGGGCTACAGATGTAAATTTGAGACATGCCAACCTGTAGATGCTAAGGGATGTCAGGAAAGTGCATGGGTATGCTCAAGGAGGGAGAACGTACTTGGAATTTAAAAGCCCAATCATGGCTGGGCGCAGTGGCTCATGCCTGTAATCCCAGCACTTTGGGAGGCCAAGGCGTGTGGATCACGAGGTCAGGAGATCGAGACCATCCTGGCTAATACAGTGAAACCCCCGTCTCTACTAAAAATACAAAAATTAGCCGGGCGTGGTGGCACATGCCTGTAGTCCCAGCTACTCGGGAGGCTGAGGCAGGAGAATGGTGTGAACCCAGGAGGCAGAGGTTGCAGTGAGCTGAGATCGTGCCACTGCACTCCAGCCTGGGCGACAGAGTGAGACTACGTCTCAAAAAAAAAAAAAAAAAAAAGGCCTGATCGTTTTTGTCATCATCATTTAGCATTTATGTAATACTCTGAATTATTAAAAACTTAAAAGTAATATTTCTTATTCCCATTAAATACCATTTTATTTCATAGTTTGCCCTTGACTGAGAAGATACACTGTATTTTTTCCTTCTAACAACTGAGATATAGTTATTCCTAATATCTAGCTTCAATGCTTGGCTTATACCTAATTTATCATTTCTTCATTTCCAGTTCCATGTTAACTGGGCTGTTTGGGGCCTCAGCAGGCACCATTTTTGTATATGGAAAAGATATCAAAACAGACCTACACACGGTACGGAAGAACATGGGAGTCTGTATGCAGCACGACGTCTTGTTCAGTTACCTCACTACTAAGGAGCACCTTCTCCTATATGGTTCCATCAAAGTTCCTCACTGGACTAAAAAGCAGCTCCACGAGGAAGTAAAAAGGCAAGTTAAGACAGGAATGAGAACCTAAGTTGCTAACTCCTCTCAAAGACCCATAGCTTGGTTGGTAAAGTTCTGGTAATGATACCAATAGGAAATATTTTCTCACGAAATAATTACTTTTTAGTTTTTCTACTTATTTAATATTGCAAACATTTAAGGTCATTATCCTTACCGGCCAGTTATTACACTGAAATTGTTTAACTCTCTTCATCTGTGGCTCCCATATTGCCCCGAATCCTTTGCTTCTGATCTCCATGGCTACTACCCTGGTCCAAGCCTCCTAAGTGGATTCTTGGATTTCACTCATCTCTTGTGAAATCTGTTCTTCAAAGAGCAACCAGGGTGATCTTTTTCAACTGCAAATCAGACTATGTCACTCCTGGATTTAAATCGTCCAGTGGCTTCCTTCCATGCTCAGTATAATACTCAATAACATCCTTATCAAGACTTAGGAGGTCCTAAGTGATTTGCCTCCATTCTCACTTCTGATTTCATGTCCTTCCACTCACCTCCACATTCACTCTGCTCAAGGCACACTGGCCTAGCTACACACGTGACTGTCCTAGGCCTGCTCCAGCCTCAGGGCTTTTTACTTTCTCTTCTCTCTACTTACAGCACCTACCCCCCCAGATGGCCATTTGTCTTAATCTTGGTCAAATGACCGCTTTCCTGGTCTGTGCCAAAATGTCACCTTTTCTGAGATGACTACCATATATAAAATTGATGCCTATAATAGCATGTCCCAGCCACTCCTTATCTTATATTCACTGCTTTATTTTTTTTAATTGCACTTATCACCACCAAAACTTACTTGAGAATATATTTATTGACTGGATTTCCCTATATCCCTCCCAATACACACACTTACTAGAACATAATCTCCTTATGAATAGAAATTTTATGTGTTCACTGCTTTTCCCAAGTACATAAAACACAGCCTGGCACAAAATAGGTAGGAACTCTCTAGATATTTGTCAAAGGAATGAATTATATATTCCTTTGTGTTTTTTTCTGAGTATTAATTTTGTACTTTGTAAAGTACATTAATTTTGTACTTTGTAAAAAGTTAATTTTTTGAGTATTAATTTTGTATCCAGGTGATAAATAATAGAAAACTATATTATGAATCCTCAAGAGTTTATTGTACCTTACTGAGCACATAATAGTTACCTAGTGAATACATATCAATTAGGGTTATTGTATGTTTCCAGTACTCAAATAGTATATCTGTAAAAAAATAACCATCATACATTATTTTTGAAGGACTTTAAAAGATACTGGACTATATAGCCATCGTCATAAGAGAGTTGGAACACTGTCAGGAGGCATGAAGAGGAAGTTATCTATATCCATAGCTCTCATTGGTGGATCAAGGGTAGTAATTTTGGATGAACCATCTACTGGAGTTGACCCATGTTCTCGCCGAAGTATATGGGATGTTATATCCAAGAACAAAACTGGTATGAGTAGTTTCTCAGAACTTCTCCACCCAACAGTCATACTTCTGCCCTCTGGCATATACAAAAGCAAACTGAGGCTGGGTGCAGTGGCTCACGCCTATAATCCCAGCACTTTGGGAGGCCAAGACAGGAGGATTGCTTGAGCCTGGGAGTTTGAGACCAGCCTGGGTAACATAGTGAGACGCTGTCAATAATAATAAAATAATAATAATAATAATAATAATAATAATAATAATAATAATAAAAACAGCTGACTGTGGTGGCTGGCATGTGTAGTCCTAGCTAGTCAGGAGGCTGAGGCTGGAGAATCACTTGAACCCAAGAGGTCAAGGGTGCAGGGGTGCAGTAAGTTATGATCAAGTCACTGCACTCCAGCCTGGATGACAGAGTGAGATACTGTCTCAAAAAAAAAAAAAAAAAAAAAACCAGCTTGACGACTTTTCTGTTTATGATATCTTTTTAAAAATTTTAAAATTTATTTGTATAGATACATCATGCTTGTACATATTTATCGAATATGATATCTTTTAAAAGTCTAAGATTGGCTCTTTCTTTTCTGAAGATTTTGAAGATTTTTCTCCCAGACAACTTTCTGGGTCAATTGGTTAATATCTATGTACTGCCCGCTGTGAGTTGAGCACTTAACTGGCCTTTTTGAGAGCATGCAAATCCAACAGAAGTTTCAAAGTTTAATGCTTAGAGGAGCTAAGAATCTAATTAGAGATATCAAACATACACAAATGAAAATAAACTGAAAACAGACTAAGTAAGTGCTGACAGGATGTGAAGCAACGGAGTAATCAGAGTGGAGTGGAATAATCAGAGAGGAATATTCAAAAAGTCTTAAATTATTGCTTTTTCATAATGAAGAAAGGGGAAGAGAGAGAGAAAAACAATGCAAAATGAACCCATGGGAGCAAAATTCTAATAGACTGTGAAGAATTGCCAATGCCCACATGACAAATGGTGAACATTTAGTCACTCAGCATAATAAAGGATTATTTGCTGTTAATTTATATGAAAAAAAATGCGTCCAAATATTTAAGAACACCCTTCTGAGTTTTTCTTCTTTTTTTCCTTTCTTTTTTTTTTTTTTCCCTTTGAGATGGACTCTCGTCTGTCACCCAGGCTGGAGTGCAGTGGCATAAATCTTGGCTCACTACACCCTCCACCTCCCGGGTTCAAGAGAGTCTCCTGCCTCAGCCTCCCAAGTAGCTGGGATTATAGGCATCCGCCACCACACCCAGCTAATTGTAGATGGGGTTTCACCATGTTGGCCAGGCTGGTTTCGAACTCCTGACCTCAAGTGATCTGCCCGCCTCAACCTCCTAAAGTGCTGGGATTACAGGCGTGAACCAGTGAGCCTGGCCCTGAATTTTTCTTGCATCATTTTGGAAGCTCTTTGAGGTCAGTCAGTTTTTCAGTTAGCTCATGAAATGTGACTCTTCTCAGATGTCACAGGATTTACTCTGGCCAACTCTGTGTGTCTTGGGAACTGTACTTTCACGTTTCATTCCCTGTTGTTCTTGTCTGTATTTTCAAGCCAGAACAATCATTCTGTCAACGCACCACTTGGACGAGGCTGAAGTGCTGAGTGACCGCATCGCCTTCCTGGAGCAGGGTGGGCTTAGGTGCTGTGGGTCCCCATTTTACCTCAAGGAAGCCTTTGGCGATGGGTATCACCTCACGCTTACCAAGAAGAAGGTAGGAATGGGAGAAAATATATCTCATTATGGCACCATAAATTAAGTTTTATATGAAATAGGAGCAGAGTCTCTCCAACTTTATTCATTGCTAAAATTCATTAGTATACTAGCTTACTGCTTCTCATATTTGAGTGAGCATCGAAATCCTGGAGGTCTTGACTAAAACCCAGAGTTCTGGCCCCACCCCAAGAGTGTCTGATCCTGTAGGTCTGGGATGGGAGTGCAGAATGTATTATATTTTTATCAAATTCCCAGGTGACGCTGATGTTGCTGGTCTGAGGACTGCACATTCAGAACCAATGTGCTAGGTAAAAAATGATTGACATCTTAAGGTTACTGATGGAGAATCAGCCTTTTAGTTCTCCTAACATTTCAACCTAGAAAGCCAAAAATTCAATTTTCTGCTTTATCAAAAGCAAATAAAACGAATATGAAGTCATGGGTTCACATTCTGATTAGTACTCCTCAAGTGGCAGTGCAGGGACTGTAATTTGCACAGGTCAACGGTGCCTTTACATCTTTTGGAGAACAAAAATGCTCGCTAAAGATCCCTGCACCACCTAACAGAACATATGATTTAAAAATACTGTGCAAGATGTATATGCTATTAGGAAGTTTTCAACTACCTCCATTTATTTTATATCTAATCCTCCTGTGACTTACAAAATATAAGAAAATGTTATGCTATTAATAGTTATACTCTTAATTATTATACTCATTCAGACATTTATGTATTAGGTGCATTATGCCTTATGATATCCAAGCACTGTCCCAGGCAGTGGTGACACAGCAGTGAACTGATAATATGAAAATCTCTGGCCTCTTAGAGTTTATATTCTGATGGAGTGTGAGGAATTCAGATGATACGATCAATAAGTAAATTATTTCATATATTGGCAATTAGTACATCACTTATTTCTATTAGTAAATTTTTTAATATTTATTAATAAATAATATTTTAGTAAATATTTATTTCTATGCTATGGATAGAAATAAAGCAGGGAATGCCAAGTGGGGCAATATTTAAGTAGGGTAATAAGAAAAGAGGTTCTTTGATAAAGTGACAGTTGAGCTGAGAGTTGGAGGTGGTGAGAGAATGGGACACATCGCTATCTGGAGGTATAGGACCACCAGTTGCAAGGACCCTGAGGAGGGGATGTGCCTGAACCCAAAGCCCTCTAGCAACAGAAAAGAGACTGTTGTTGCTAGAGTAGAGCAAATGAGAGGGAGGGGGTTAGAGAAGGGACAGCGTGACATGGGAGAATGGGGCCAGTAGAATAGGGACCCAAGTGGCAAAGGGGTCTCTAGAGCAGTGATGTTATGATCTGACTCAGGTGTGGAGTGGCCTAAAAGAGCTCATCACCTCACCCTCTGATTAGGGCCTGGAGCACTATAGTGTAAAGAGAGGAGAGTGTTTTAATTCCTACTTTTCTCTCTTAGAGTCCAAATTTAAATGCAAATGCAGTATGTGACACCATGGCCGTGACAGCAATGATCCAATCACATCTCCCCGAAGCCTACCTCAAGGAGGATATTGGGGGAGAGCTTGTTTATGTACTTCCTCCATTCAGCACCAAAGTCTCAGGGGCCTACCTGTCACTCCTACGGGCACTCGACAATGGCATGGGTGACCTCAACATCGGGTGCTACGGCATTTCAGATACCACCGTGGAGGAGGTATACCTCAATATTTCTTTTTTTTCTTCAAGCTGATATAACTTGCTGTTCCCTTTGAAGAAATATGTGCCATTTTTCTAAAAAAATTTTTAAAATAGTTCACAAAATTAGAAAAGCTTAACATTTTTTCAGTACTATTCTTATGTAAGACTGAGAATAAAATGTTGCCCCAGCTAGACAGCACGTATCTTTTACATACAGAAATATTCACTTGAAGTCAGACGGGAAAAATTTGTCTCAGTAAATGTGATAAAAGTTCAAAATCAAAGGTAAGCTTAGAAATGAGAAAAGACATGCACTTTTCATGTTAATGAAGTGATCTGGCTTCTCTTTCTAGGTCTTTCTGAACTTGACCAAAGAGTCACAAAAAAATAGTGCTATGAGTCTTGAGCACTTAACACAAAAGAAAATTGGGAATTCCAATGCCAATGGCATCTCAACTCCTGACGATTTATCTGTGAGCAGCAGCAATTTCACAGACAGAGATGGTATGAATCTAATGTGGATATTTTGTTTAATTCCAATGGATGACATAAATGAGAAAAATCACAGACAGACTTTGATTTTTAAAAATTCAACTCTAAAGTTTCATTCTAAATTCAAAAAACACTAAGGAAATTTAAGCCTCCTTTTTTAAGATATAAAATATTCATTAAACCAAATCGAATTCTCTATTTCAAAAGTACTTTGAAGAATGTGAAAGAACTCTCTTGATAGCATGGTGATGAGTATTCCACCTCCCCACCAGAAATTGTTTTCAAGAAGTAACTTCTACAATTTCAGTTCATGTTCAGCAAGGTAAAATTCTTCTTGTAATCGGGGCTAACAATGGACAAGATTACCAAGTAAGGTAGTTCACTCCTTGTTATTAGACATGTTGAAGTAGAGACAATAGTCATAAAAAAAAGGAAAAAAAAAAAAAAGGAAAAAAAAGGAGCTGCCGCTCTTTATGGTACCCTCAATGGAAAACATGTCTAACCTACGTGACTCTGAGTCTTTCAGGTGCTGAGAAACTGCTTTTGGGGAGAGTTTCTGAGTTAATTAATTTGGACTTGATGGCTAAGAGTCTGTAATAGTAGATTTCCTCCCCCAATCCTTAACATAGGATATGCTTAAAAAATCATGTTGCTTGACACGACTTTGTGGGATTGGGCTCTTTTGAAAATAACTTTTATTGTCTCTTCTCTTTCTGACAGTTAATTTATACCTCTGGAAACACCATTTACTTAAGGAAGCATAGAGTAAAATGATATATAAATCATGGAGTAGTCATTTCAACAGTTTTTGCTTACAGAAAAAAATCTCTAGGAACAGAACTTTTAATTAAACATTTGCCTGGCTCTCAAAGTCAGGAAAGATAATCTCTGATGTTTGTATAATTCTGGAACTGGAGGCTAATTTGTCCTCTGTCATAGTTCTCATTTCTTTTCTTTTGGGGAATATAATTGTGGCCTCCATGGCATTGAGGACTTTTATTAGAAAGTGGTCATCTGCTGCAGGAAGCAAAGGCTAAGTATGTGCCTCTGCATGTGTCTTATAATTTGAAACTATTCTTCAGTCCAAATGTTCCCTTCATTGACATTATCTTTTAGAAAGCACATTTATTTCATTTGATACACCTGTAAGTCATCCACATATAATTTCTCAAGAAACAGAAAAGCATACTAATTAACTGAAAATATTCAGCTCCTTCTACAGTTCCCTTTTGCAGAGATATGAGTTTGCATTTAAACTTGTTCACTCTGTTTAATTGGAATTCATTTTAAATTAAGCAGCTTTGTATTTTTTCTTATCAGCTAAATGAAGATCATGATTTTTGTGCTGCATAATTTCTGATGGAAAACTTAAAATATACGCAGAGTTGATGAATACCATCATTTTATCACCTATGAAGGTGTGCGTGGTGGCAGGCTTTCGGAGAGAATGCTATATTTGAACCTGTTTTTAGAGGGAGTGCTGAAATTATTAGCCACAGAGCTCTATTGAGGAAGCAATGGTTTATGGCCTCTATAGCTGCTCTGCCATGGAATTTTTCTCAGCACTAGAAAAGCATTTCAAAGTATGGGGATGGTAGATATTTTTTCTAATGAGTTCTTTTTTTTTAATAACTCTAGTGGCAAAAATGGAGTTTTGAAAGGCCATATAATCATTCCAAATTTCTAAAGAGAATGTAATAAATATGTGGTTGAACCAGAATTGTACTCTGGAAGAGAGGATTTCCCTTTTCCTACTCTTAGTGTGAATTAATTGGACCTCATGTTAGAATCAGAGCCAATTAGACTTACAGTCACTAAGTTACTCACAATAGGAACAAATTGTTAGATTAGGTTGGTGTTTGAGTTTGTATTTGTCTCACATGTATTTAGTCTCTTCATAGAAACTATCTCTTGAGTATTAGTAATATATACTGGGTCTGCATTGAGACTTTAGGGTTTGAGGTCAATATTCATTTATGAAATTCTAGGTATCTAACTTTGACATGTAAAATTACTATGCCTGTGATTAATACTATTTTGTGTATAGTGAATTAGAATTTTCAAATCACTTTACACACAGTTCTATATGAGATGGATATTATAGTTCTCAGTTTTCCCAATGGAAGGTCCAAGGCTAAGGCTGAGAAATAACATTGCTGAACCTCAAATCCAAATCTTTAAAAGCTTTTCCCACCACAGTGTATTATACCATTTATATATAGTTTCTGAAGTTATTTTATTGCTTATCAAGATTTCCCAGAACCATATCCAATCTCTTTTTCTTAATCAGACAAAATCCTGACAAGAGGAGAGAGGCTGGATGGCTTTGGACTGTTGCTGAAGAAGATCATGGCTATACTCATCAAGAGGTTCCACCACACCCGCAGGAACTGGAAAGGTCTCATTGCTCAGGTTATCCTCCCCATCGTCTTTGTTACCACTGCCATGGGCCTTGGCACACTGAGAAATTCCAGCAACAGTTATCCAGAGATTCAGATCTCCCCCTCTCTTTATGGTACCTCCGAACAGACAGCCTTCTATGCGTAAGTTTCTTTCTGTTAACTAAAAGAATGTTTCCAAAATGCTTCCAGGAGTGTGGTTGTACCTGAATGAAGGCCATGAGATCTGGAGAATAAAGTACTTAGAAGCCATGGTACCTGATTCTGCTAAAGGAATGAACAGTTTGATTGATTGCAATATGTTACTTCTATTGCCAACAAATAGTTTTTTTCAGAGTTTTTGCATTCATCTAAAACTAAAGTTATAGTAGATATTTATTTATAATGACGACTTTAATTAAGAAATCCAGGCTAGGTATGGCTTCCCAATCTGTTGTAATATACAGCAAATAACTTTTTATTGGTCTCACAAATATTAAATAGCAATGTCAGAATCCTGTGTAATATAATGTTACATATACAATAGGTGATCACTGATGCATGTGACAATTAGGTGAATAAGAAGGCAGCCAAACAGAGACATGTGCATTTTCCTGTGATACCTTTCTTTCTTTTCCTGAGACTGTGTCTTTTTTCAGATTTCTTAGATTAAGAAAACAGTCCTAGGCTGAGTGCCGTGGCTCACGCCTGTAATCCTAGAACCTTGGGAGGCCAAGGTGGGCTGATTACTTGAGCTCCAGAGTTTGAGACCATCCTGCCAACGTGGCAAAACCCCGTCTCTACTACAAATACAAAAATTAGCCAGGCCTGGTGGCAATCACCTGCAATATCAGCAATTCGGGTGTCTGAGGTATAAGCATCGCTTGAACCCGGGAGGCTGAGGTTGCATTGAGCCGTGTGATTGCACTACTGCACTCCAGCCTGGGCAACACGGCAAGACTCTGTCTCAAAAAAGAAAAAGAAAACCCTTCTATATACAGCACATTTCATTTCTTCAAGCATGATTTTAATATGGGAGACTAGTAGAAAAATCATGAATTTGTTTCTGTCCTTTCATATTGCAGTAATTATCACCCGAGCACGGAAGCACTTGTCTCAGCAATGTGGGACTTCCCTGGAATTGACAACATGTGTCTGAACACCAGTGATCTGTAAGTGGTTCTTGCTCTTCTATTTTTTGTTTTCAGCATTCCAGTTTGAGTGTGTGCATGTGTATGTGGGTGTGTGTGTCTGTTATTTGCCTGGAAGAAAGCTGTACCCTGATAGAAATCCCTGTTTAACAGATTTTGTCTATCTCCTTTAGTTCATTTCTTAGTTATCCTATGCTATACCAATCAATATTAGATGTCTTATGATTTGTACAACTCTCTTGTATACATATTTTCATTTAATTATCACAATCTTGTGGATTATTAATCCCATTTTACAGATAAAGAACTGAGGCCCACAGAGACCAAGATACTTATCTAGCTGAGACTCCAGTTCTCATTTGCACTATATAGTGTTGCTTATTTGAACATCTAAGATAGTATTAATACACAACTCATGTAAACATGACCTTGGTGTATTATTATGCTAAAGTATCCCTTCCTCTCTGCAAAGAGTATAAAGGAGAGAAGAAACCCCATCCTGACACAGTAAGACAATTCAATAAGCACTGGTCTCAATACTATGTAATCAATAAATGCTCTCCCTTGTCCCCCATCACAAAACGTCAAATCATTTGGAAATGGTGGAGCAATGTACACTGAAGTTATGAAAAATCAGTAAATTGTTCTGTGACTACACACATGAACTTAATACCAAATACTTGTTTACATGCTCATATGTAAACATGAGAACACATATACATACACACCTCACAGCAATATCATTTTAACTTGCAGACAGTGTTTAAACAAAGACAGTCTGGAAAAATGGAACACCAGTGGAGAACCCATCACTAATTTTGGTGTTTGCTCCTGCTCAGAAAATGTCCAGGTAAGATGGAATTCAGTTTCAGTGAAATGGGAAAAATACGGGAATAAATATCGAAAGCTCGAAAGATCTCTCTAGGTTACCAAAGAATCAGTATAAGTTCATTTTATGGAAGCTAGTAGCTCAGAAATATGGATCTGGGCAGCTCAAAAAATACTGACTTTGAACATCAGCTTACTGTTTTAAATCCATCTCAGGACCAATTTCCAAAGGTAGGTAATTCTATGATGGTCTTTGTGGAAACCAACCGAAAATGAATTTTTGGTCTCAATTTAGAACTAAGTAGAAGGCTCTATGCTTCACAGGAAAAAATGAGACCATAACTGTCATATTTGAAATATAGCAAGACTGCCACTGTAGTGGTCAGCTGGGAAGTCAATAATGTATAAGTCTAGAACAGAACTCCATGTGTCTCTAAGCAACACCTCCAGGCTTCAGGAAAAAAATCATTTCCTGAAAAAACAAAAAAATTATTCATCACTTACTCTGTCTGTATTCTATTGATGCGGACCTTAGTTTTCTAAGCCTATCAGTTCACCACACTTGTACGAGAACCACATTCACTAGAGAAGTTCAAGATTGTTGAAGAAAAAAGGTCACTATTAGTTTCTAATAGTTACTATATTGCCAACTAAATTTCTTGCAATATTTTCTTCAGAGTGACATATGGTTGTACACTGAAGTGTCTTGGTATAATAGTTTATAATGAAAATATCTTCAGTGAATGCAACCCATTTTGGTGTTCTCATGCAAAATAGATACTAACAATAAGAGTTGGGACCCAAAAAGAATCTTTTGGAATCCCTGCATATTTAAAAATTAGTCTTGGCCAGGTGTGATGGCTCAAGCCTGTAATCCCAGCACATTGGGAGGCTGAGGCTGGTGGATTGCTTGAGCTCAGGAGTTCAAGACCAGCCTTGGCAACATGGTGAAACCCCATCTCTACCAAAAATATAAAAAGTAAAATAAAATTTGCTGGGCATGGTGACACGCGTCTGTGGTCCCAGCTACTCAGGAGGCTGAGGTGAGAGGATAGCTTGAGCCTTGGGAGTTCAAGGCTGTACCACTGCACTCCAGCCTGGGTGGAAAAAAAAATTAGTCTTAACCCAGTATTAAAAGTTTTAAAATCCTTTATCTAATTTAGCTAACTTCAGAAGTTCTTTATGTATTTCTTTAGTTCACAGGAAAAGTTACCTAACTTAATATTTAAAATTGACATTGGTATAGTTTTTATTAATCTGAAAAATCTAGGCCAGGTGCAGTGGCTCATGCCTGTAATCCCAGTACTTTGGGAGGTGGGAGGATTGCTTGAGCCCAGGAGTTCGAGACCAGCTTGGGCAACACAGTGAGACCTCATCTCTACAAAAAATTTAAAAATTAGCTGGGTGTAGTGGTGTGCACGTGTAGTCCCAGCTACTTGGTGGGGCTGAAGTGGGACGATGGCTTGAGCCCACGGGGTCAAGGCTGCAGTGCTGTGATTGCACCATAGCACTCCAGCCTGGGTGACAGAGAGAGACCCTGTCTCAAAATAAATAAATTAAAATAAATTAAAAATCCAGTAGATCTTCAATTTTTTCCAACCAATTTTGTCATTTAATTAACATCCCTAAATCTATTTCCAACTATTTAATAACAATGAGGTCACTTTGCATAATTGATGCTCTGTATACCAGACATACAATATGGATAAAGTACTAAGTTTTTTGAGAGAGAAAAAAAATTATACTGTATATACATCAAAAGATGAAGAGAGTAAAAAGGAAATCCACAGAGTAGAGAATGATATTCACAATATACAACAAAGGACTCATATCCAGAATAAACGTGTGTATAAAGAACTGCAAATCAATGAGAAAAAGATAAATAACACAGCAGAAAAATTAGCAACAAACATGAGACACTGTACAAAGAGCATATCCAAATGGCCAATAAATATATAAAAAGGTAGTCATCAGGGACATACAAATTTAAGGCACAAAGCAATACCACTCCACACTCACCAGAATGGCTAAAATGAAGAAGAGGAAAAATTCTAAGTGTTAACAAAAATATGCAGCAACCAGAACTCTCATATTCTGCTCTGGGAATTTAATTTTGTGCAAACAGTTTTTAAAACTACTTGGCAATATATCCCAATGGTAAAAATTTGCATATCTGTGGGACCTGCAATTCCACTCTTACTATATACCCATCAGAAATGTGAATAATGCTCACTAACAGAATAGGTAATGTCAAATACAATATATTTCCACAGTAGTATATAAACAAAATGAGAATGATTGATCGACCACCATACATAACATATGGAAGATTCTCATAATCATAATAATGAGTGAAAAGAACCAGACACAAGAAAACACATTTATACTATTCCATTAATATAAAATATAAAAATAGGCAAAACTACGCTGTGTCTGTTACTTTGGGAGTGATAGTAATTTGAAGGGAGTGTGATGAGGGGGCTTCTGAGGTATGGGTCCTGTTCTGTATCTTGTCTTGGTTGTTGGTGACTGGTTACACAGGTGTGTCAGTTTGTCAAAATTCATCAGGCAGTACAGATAATACATGTGCATTTCTCTATGTATAGTATAATTTAAAAATTACACGAATACATAAGAGTATTCTCTTTTAATTATTTGTGAAAGCAGTGTCACTCTGGAATGTGATCTTCATGTTGATATAACTTGATATAAGATAAAATCCAGCACCGATTTTCTTTAGAGCAAGCTGGAACTTTATGTTCTTGAGATAGACAGGTGGCACTATAAAAACGTGCTAGACTTTTCCCATACTAAACTTCATTGCAATGAAGCATGAGAAGCTACACTGAAAATTAAGTTGTCAGGAAGCAAAGAAAGTTACAGGCATAAATATAAATGGTTAAACTAAGCTCTAAACAAATATACTTGGTAATATAAGTACCCACAAGGGAAAGTGACCAGGGTACACAGGAACTCTCCACTAGCTTTGTGACTTTTCTGTAAATCTAAAATAATCCCAAACTAAAAGTTTATGTATATCAAACTAATATATATACACACATATATACATATATAATATTAACTAATATACATATAACTAAGCTGAGTCTTAGGTTGCATACTAAAACTAATGTATCATAAACTTTTCATCCACTGCTATCAATCCTTGAAAAGTGTTATATTTTCAATTTGTGGCAAATATTTTTTTCCTTCCTTGAGAATTATTGAGGAAATTTTATCATCTTAATGTTTAACATTATTGTCCAAACATATTAAGCCTCAGCACAGTGAAGGAAATATCACACATTTGTTAACTTGTGTTCTTCCAGGCCTTTAAGTGAGTCCTAAACATAGGGATTTGCTCTACATGAATAATAACTATTTGTTCTAATTTCTTGGTGTAGGTGAGATGACTTCTTTTTCAAAGCTCTTTAGAGTCAAAGGACAGTCTTATCACACTCTACCAGTTGCAGTAATAGACAAATCATGAGACTGAAGCTCCTTGACATTGTCTATTTAACTTGCACAGCATTGGCCAGAAAAAAATTCATTTTTAACTTTATTTTCCAGGAATGTCCTAAATTTAACTATTCCCCACCGCACAGAAGAACTTACTCATCCCAGGTAATTTATAACCTCACTGGGCAACGAGTGGAAAATTATCTTATATCAACTGCAAATGAGTTTGTCCAAAAAAGGTAAAATAATCTGTTTATAACATATTTAATTGCTTGCTAATTTTAATGGTAGCTGCCTTCTAAAGAGACAATAGATACAAATTTCTATTGTTTACATTTTACATGGTTAAATTCTCAGTTTTATTTAAACAGCCTTATATATTGAAATGTAAATAATGACTCTAAATTAAGATTTATTTGAGCAAATGGAAAACCAATGGTTATATTAGGCCTCAAAAATGTACTGTTAAATTTGTACATATTTTTTTTTTCCTTGAAGCCAAAGGGAATTTATTGACTGACTTATACCAACTTGGAGAGGTTTAAGGCATGACTTTTGATGACAATTGGCCTCAGTTCCAATATGAATATCTCAAAACTTAAGAGTGTGATATCTGCATATGGACAAAATGTGTTGTTCATGTGTAGCAAGGAAATGTGCTTGTACTTAAGCCACCCAAGCATTTGTCATGGACACAAAGTTGGTAGACCTTCAATTGCTGCCATTTTCTTCTTTCCTCCATCTCTTCCCTCCTTTGTTTCTCAATATATATCCATGATTAATATTCATTGTAAAAAATAATTAGAAACTACAGATAAGCAAAAAGAAGAAAAAGAATATTATTTCTCCACACAGATATAAGCACTATTGATATTTTGGTGTATATCCTTCCAGAAGTTTGTCACAGATATACATGTAAATATTTTTAACAAAATGGGTTTTATTATAAACCAACTGTCTTAAAATCTGCCTTTGAAAAAAGTGAATTACATACTATGATGTTATTTGCATGTCAAAAATATATAGCTCTATAGCACTACATTTAGGATGACAGTCACAAGATTATTCTAGTGTGACTGCACCATTATTTATTTAGTCTGTCCTTAATTTGGTAGGCAGTTAAATTAACCTATTCTTAAAATTACTACTTGGATTTTAAAAATCAACTTTTCGTTTTTATACCATGAATTGACAAGCAGTTGACATGAATTGACAAGACCCAACTTGCCCTCAAATATTCAGGGAGAAAAAATGTATAATGTCTGGGGACAATATAGGGGAAAATTTGTTATATAGAAGAAATTGAGCCATTTGAAAAAAGATATGAACTGATATTATATCACTTCCATATTAATTACCTAAAAGGAATATTTGAGTACTAAAATATTAAGATATTTGAGATGGTAGATGGGTCAGTTAAGTTGGAGAAATTGATTACATTATATGCCACTCATTTTCAGGATGACTACTAAACATATGCAATTGTTTAGGACTTATTGCCTCTAGTTATAATGTACACTTGAGACTGAAATATGATAAAAAGAATTGATAGAAATGTAAAATATTTGTCAGGAAGTATTCATTTTATACTGTAAATGTGTTCCTAACAGAAACAAAAAGTTGAGCTCCTCGTTAAGTATTTTAGATCTATTTAAGAAGATTTTCTCCACTAAACCAAAGATATATTTTTATTACTCTCTGTAGATATGGAGGTTGGAGTTTTGGGCTGCCTTTGACAAAAGACCTTCGTTTTGATATAACAGGAGTCCCTGCCAATAGAACACTTGCCAAGGTAAATTTTGATCTTTTTTCTGGAATGTTATACAAATGAGAAGGTGAAATTGATATGTTTAATCATTTTCATGAAGTGAAAACAAAATATGGGTACAATCGATTTGGCATTGTGCATAACCCAGGGCACAGTGGTTCCAATTCTGTGTATGTACCCTAGGGAAGCATGTACACATTAGCATCAGGACACACGTACAAATGTGTATACATAGTAGCATTTCTCATAATAGCCAAAAACGCAACCCAAAATGCCCACATGCAGAATATAGAAATAAACTGTTTCATATTCATTCAATAAAACTTTCAGCAATGGAAATGAAAGAACTCAGCTCCATGTAACAAGCAAGTTAAATCTCCCAAACATTATTAATAAGGAAAGAAAAGACAAAAAGGAATACATTGACTATGATTACATTTACTGTAAACTTTGAGAGTTTATAGGCAAAACTCAACCGTTTGTTTAGGGGAAAGGGAGGGTATTGTGATTTGGAAGGACACAGAGGGTCAGGGAAAAGGCATTCTGGAGGCTGGCAATTCTTATTTCTCAACCCGTGTATAGTTTAAGGGATGTACTTCCTTCAGAATTTTTTTGGTAACACTATACTTTATTACCTGCACTTTTCTTGTGTATACGTCAAAACTATTTAGAAATGAAAATGTATATGTTTAGCCTTGCTTCTTAAAGAACCTGGAAACTTTAACCAAATTTAATGGAGATAAATAATTCTGCTCACTTATTTTTCCTTTTAGATTATACCTAAAATGAGGTAGAGTCACGGGATCAGATGCATATTCTTACGTATGTGATCAATGGTAGTCATAGGGATTTAAAATTGTCTACACATATTTCTCATCTGGTAGTAAGAGACATACACAGTCTTTGGGAAAGTGGGGGAACTAATGTCCATTTCATGATGATTATGTGCCAACCACGAGTATCATCTTTTACACAAACTACCTAATTTTCTGCTCACAGCATCCCTGTGTGATAAATATTCCTGAGTCTATTTTAGCTGATTTTTACAGTAAATCATATAGAAAGTAATTAGTGGTGCTGGGGATTTCAGTGCTTTCCTTTTCTTTCTTCCTCTCTTCTCTCTCTCCACACACACAGTAAATATTCTTGCACAAACATGTGAATTTCTAATATAAAATCATTTCTCTCAAAATCAACTTTGCTATTTTGAATTAGTAATTGGGTTTCTTGAATTGAGGTTCACCAGTATATTAAATCTCTCTGTTTATGACATAGAAGGTAAAATCGCGCCCCATTTGGTAGGTTATAATTAGGAATCAAAAATTAGTGGAGGAATGTCAAGGCTTTCAATCTTGTGCTAAGGACACCATGCGTGTATATGTATTTTATTTATTTCTCCAGCTTGGTCTATTCCATTAGTTTTTATTACCATTATTGGCAGCCAGGATACCTTAGTTCTAGTCTCAGAATCCCATGGATCTGCCACAGGGATGTAGATAATGATTTCTCCAGTTTATTTCAAGCTTTGCCTAGAAGAGATCCTGAATAACTAATAATTTAGTGCTATCCACAGAACAACTCTCTTCCCAATTTCTGCCTGTTTCTAAATTGGAAATTTATAGGCCTATGGTCAGTACTCTAGAGAACAGTGCATAATCTTCCAAGATAAAATAAATTATTGGAAAATTGATGCTCTTATTTTAAATATAAATAAGATAGCTGTCAGATGTTAAGACAGCCTAATTTATTTGAATGCAATATTGATCTTGCCTTCTTTTGGAATTTAATAGGTATGGTATGATCCAGAAGGCTATCACTCCCTTCCAGCTTACCTCAACAGCCTGAATAATTTCCTTCTGCGAGTTAACATGTCAAAATACGATGCTGCCCGACATGGTAAAGTTACTAACACAAAAGTGTCCTGTATTGCAACTTCTGTTACTCTTTGTATAAAAATGCACTTTATATCCTGTTTCTTCACAGGTGGCAGGTATTTTATGGTATCTAAATCACAGGTCTTTAAAAGGAGTTTAGAAGTAGTAACTATCGCCAGATGCAACATTCTGGATAATCCTCTTAACTTCAGGTCAATTTAGTTTTCTCATCTATCAAATCAGGATAATAATGCTGACGTCACGTGCATGTCTGCTGTCAACCAAGCAGTTATAGCTTATAGAAAAATATTTTTAAACGACGTGCTTGTCTATAGGCTAAACAATTTTTAAAAACAATTAATGTTTACAAATACTGTTCACAAATCTAAATATGATGACAAAACTTTTCTTTCTTTTTTGACATATGTTAGTGGTTACTTTTTTATTTCATTATTATTTTTCTTCAACTTTTATTTTAAGTTCAGGGGTACATGTGCCAGATGTGCAGGTTTGTTACATAGGTAAACATGTGCCATGGTGGTTTGCTGCACATATCAACGCATCACCTAGGTATTAAGCCCAGCATCCATTAGCTATTCTTCCGGATGCTCTCCCTCCTTCCATCCTCTGCGCTCTGACAGGCCCCAGTGTGTGTTGTTCCCCACCATGTGTCCATGTATTCTCACCATTCAGCTCCCACTTATAAGTGAGAACGTGCAGTATTTGGTTTTCTGTTCCTACATTAGTTTGCTGAGGATAATGGCTTCCAGCTCCATCCATCTCCCTGCAAAGGACATGATCTCGTTCCTTTTTATGGCTGCATAGTATTCCATGGTGTATGTGTACCACATTTTATTTATCCAGTCTGTCATTGATGGACATTTAGGTTGATTCCATATCTTTGCTATTGTGAATAGTACTGCAGTGAACATACATGTGCATGTATCTTTATAACAAAATTATTTATATTCCTTTGGGTATATATGTAGTAATAAGACTGCTGGGTGAAATGGTATTTCTGCCTGTAGATCTTTGAGGAATCACCACACTGTCTTCCACAATGGTTGAACTAATTTACATTCTTACTAACAAACAGTGTAAAAGTGCTCCTTTTTCTCTGCAACCTCGCCAGCATCTATTGCTTTTTGACTTTTTACTAATAGCCATTCTGACTATTTTGAGATGGTATCTCATTGTGGTTTTGATTTGTATTTCTCTAATGATGAGTGATGTTGAGCTTTTTTTCATGTGTTTATTGGCTGCATGTATGTCTTCTTTTTAGAAGTGTCTGTTCATGCCCTTTGCCCACTTTTTAATGTTTTCTTCCCCCCTCGCCCCAGTAAATTTAAGTTCTTTAAAGACTCTGGATATTAGACCTTTGTCAGAGAGACAGATGGCAAAATTTTTCTCCCATTCTGTAGGTTGTCTGTTCACTCTGATGAAAGTTTCCTTCTCTATGCAGAAGCTCTTTAGTTTAATTAGATCCCATTTGTCAATTTTTGCTTTTGTTGCAATTGCTTTGTTTTTGGCATTTTCATCATGAAATTTTTGCCCGTGCCTATGTCCCGAATGGTATTGCCTAGATTTTCTTCTAGGGTTTTTATAGTTTTGGGTTTTACATTTAAGGCTTTAATCCATCTCGAGTTAATTTTTGAATATGGTGTAAGAAAGGGGTCCAGTTTCAATTTTCTGCATATGGCTAGCCGGTTCTCCCAGCATCATTTATTAAATAGGGAATCTTTTTCCCCATTGTTTGTTTTTGTCAGGTTTGTCAGAGATCAGATGGTCGTAGGTATGTGGTCTTATTTCTGAGTTCTCCATTCTGTTCCATTGGTCTATGTGTCTGTTCTTGTACCAGTACCATGCTTTTTTGATTACTATAGCCTTGTAGTATAGTTTGAAGTTGGATAATGTGATGCTTCCAGCTTTGTTCTTTTTACTTAGGATTGTCTTAGCTATTCCATCTCTTTTTTTGGTTCTGTATGAATTTTAAAATTTTTTTCTAATTCTGTGAAGAATGTCAATGGTAGTTTAATGGGAATAGCATTGAATCTGTAAATTACTTTGGGCAGTATGGCCATTTTCGCGATATTGATTCTTCTTATCCATGAGCATGGAATGTTTTTCCATTTGTTTGTGTTCTCTCTGATTGCTTTGAGCAGTGGTTTGTTGTTCTCTTGAAGAGGTCCTTCACTTCCTTTGTTAGCTGTATTCCTGGGTATTTTATTCTTTTTGTAGCAATTGTGAATGAGAGTTCATTCATGATTTGGCTCTCTGCTTGCCTGCTGTTGGTGTATAGGAATGCTAGCAATTTTTGCACAATGATTTTGTCTCCTGAGATTTTGCTGAAGCTGCTTATCCTAGCTTAAGAAGCTTTTGGGCTGGACAATGGGGTTTTCTAGATATAGGATCATGTCAACTGCAAACAAAGATAATTTGACTTTCTCTCTTCCTATTTGAATACCTTTATTTCTTTACCTTGCCTGATTGCTCTGGCGAAAACTTCCAATACTATGTTGAATAGGAGTGGTGAGAGAGCATATCCTTGTCTTGTGCCAGTTTTCAGGGGGAATGCTTCCAGCTTTTGCCCATTCAGTATGATATTGGCTGTGGGTTTGCCATATACATCTCTTACTATTTTGAGGTATGTTCCTTCAATACCTAGTTTGAGTTTTTAACAAAAGGGATGCTGAATTTTATCAAATGCCTTATCCGCGTCTATGGAGATAATCTTGCAGTTTTTGTCTTTAGTTCTGTTTATGTGATAAATCACATTTATTGATTTGTGTATGTTGAACCAACCTTGCATCCTAGGGATGAAAGCCAACTTGTGGCAGATAAGCTTTTTGATGTGCAAACTGGAGTTTGCCAGTGTTTTATTGAGAATTTTTGCATCGATGTTCATCAAGGATATTGGCCTGAAGTTTTTTTTTTTTTTTTTTTTTTGAGGCAGAGTCTCACTCTGTCAGTCACCCAGGCTGGAGTGCAGTGGCACGATCTCAGCTCACCACAACCTCTGCCTCCCGGGTTCAAGCAATTCTCCTGCCCCAGCCTCCCAAGTAGGTGGGATTACAGGTGCCTGCCACATGCCTGGCTAATTTTTTGTATTTTTAGTAGAGACAGGGTTTCACCATGTCTCTACCGGGCAGGCTGGTCTTGAACTCCTGACTTCAGGTGATCCACCCGCCTTGGGCTCCCAAAGTGCTGGGATTACAGGCATGAGCCATCATCCACAGCCTCTTTTTTTTTTTTTTTTTTTTTTTTGGTATCTCTGCCAGGTTTTGGTATCAGATGATGCTGGCCTCATAGAATTAGTTAGGGAGGAGTCTCTCCTTTTCAATTATTTGGAATAATTTTAGCAGACATTGTACCAGCTCTTCTTTATACTCTGGTAGAATTCAGCTGTGAATCCATCTGGTCCTGGGCTCTTTTTGGTTGGTAAGTTTTTTATTACTGCCTCAATTTCAGAACTTGTTATTGGTCTATTCAGGGATTCAATTTCTTCCTGGCTCAGTCTTGGGAGGGTATATGTGTCCAGAAATTTATCCATTTTTTCTACATTTTCTAGTTTATTTGCATAGAGGTGTTCATAGTATTCTCTGATGGTTGTTTGTATTTCTATGGGGTCAGCGGTACTATCCCCCTTATCATTTTTCATTGTGTTTATTTGACTCTTCTCTCTTTTCTTATTTGTTAGTCTAGCTAGTTGTCTATTTTATTAATTTTTTCAAAAAACAGCTCCTGGATTCGTTGATTTTTTTAAGGATTTTTTGTGTCTCTATCTCCTTCAGTTCAGCTCTGATCTTGGTTATTTCTTATCTTCTGCTAGCTTTGGGGTTTATTTGCTCTTGGTTCTCTAAGTTCTTTTAGTTAAGATGTTAGGTTATCAACTTGAGCTCTGTCCAGCTGTTTGATGTGGGCATTTAGTGCTATAAATTTCCCTCTTAACACTACTTTAGCTGCGTCCCAGAGATTCTGGTACATTCTCTCTTTTTCTCATTAGTTTCAAAGAACTTCTTGATTTCTGCCTTAATTTCATTATTTACCCAAGAGTCATTCTGGAAAAGGTTGTTCAATTTCCATGTAGTTGTGTGGTTTTGACTGAATTTCCTAATCTTGAATTCTAATTTAATTGCACTGTGGTCTGAGAGACTGTTTGTTATGATTTCAGTTCTTTTGCATTTACTGAGGAGTGTTTTACTTCCGATTATGTGATCGATTTTAGAGTAAGTGACATGTGGCAATGAGAAAAATGTACATTCTGTTGTTTTGGGATAGAAAGTTCTGTAGATATCTATCAGGTCTACTTGATCCAGAGCTGAATTCCGGTCCTGAATATCTTTGTTAATTTTCTGAAAGACAAAACTTTTATACTAAGAAGTTCTATACCTGGGCAAAAGCATTGCCATTCATTGAGCACTGCCCATATGACATGCTTTATATGAAATATTGATGATCCCTACAGCACTCTTCAGGGTGAATATTATTATCCCCTACTATTATATTATTTCTCTAAGGCCTAGAAGTGGGATTTGAATCCAGGACTGTCTGACTCCTGCCTGTTTATTTTTCTAATCCTCCACACTGCTCCTCTGGACTCAGCCATGCCTACTTCAGTTGAGTTTCACAAGAGGCTTTCACATAGTTTTTAAAATAAGGTTTGAAATTTGAAACAGACTTTTAAAAAATATACATATTTCAATTACTGTTTATAAGACCATCTCATCTTCTTGAGCCTTGCGCAAATTGTTTTTCCATGCTGATCCTCAAAAAAATTAAAAAGAATAAAGAAAAGCTGGCAAACACATTTGCTGGCCAAGATTGAGATTTATAGCCTAATAGTCTATTAAGTAGGAAAAAAGATACAACATCTCTTTTAGAAATGCCAACATCTACATTTCTTTCATCTTCCTACTGTTGGGCATCATAGTGTATGCCAGATGTACTGGTGACTGTAGAAGTAGACCGAAGAGTCCAATACTCATTCCAGCAACAGGATCTTGAGGAGTCTTCATTTCAGAGAAAACAGTATTTTTTTCCCCAATTGCTTTGGCATTTTCCTATCAGGAGAAACCAAGAAGAAAATACAAGATTGATAGTCATTAGATCTAGAGCATCAATAAAGAACAAAGTAAAAAGTGGTAAATTAAATTAAATGATGACTAAAGTGAATTGGGTCTAGTGTAACCGGTGTGAAATACTACTGGATGCTGTACTTTCAGTAGGGTGTTTTACTCAGAGCAAAAGACATTTATTGTTGAGACAGATAATGAAAGTATAAGAACTATAGAAATAACTAGGGGAAAATGTAGCAAAGATAAAGAGAACAAGAGACCAATGCTGCTTTTGAAGGGTCAGCTTTTTAAAACCTGTATTCTGGCTTCCTTTGTAATTAGTGCTCTTTATTTAGACTAAGGCAATCTGAGTCACTCTAGACTCCAGCAGGCTTGTTGTAGCTCCTAACATTACATTTTAAGTTACAGAGCATAAAGAATTAAGAATTCTAAAACATAAAAGTTTATTTTGACCCTAAACTGAAGTTTATTTTAATTAAAACTAATTTAAGATGTAGCTTGAGTTATATAGAAATTAGTAATAGTATGTCTTCTAGCCTCTAATAATTTTTCTTAAATAGACTTACGGAAGTGGTAAGTTTCCACTCTCTCTGGAAGGAACTCGATCTCTTTCAAAGAAGAAGTGCTACATCACCCTAACTTACTTTTATTGTTTCTTAATGCATATATGAGATCTACCATTGTAATAATGTTACTGGTTTTAAAAATCAACCCAATTATTCTCCCACTGCCTCCCTCTAACACACTAGTTGTTTGAAGGCATCTTTGTTAGATTTTGCATGAATTGGGTTTTTACTTTAACTATAAAATTGATTTTCTTTGAATTCTAACATGCTAATAAAAATCTTTTAATTAGCTTTCCTTTGCAATGTCAATATCTATTCTATTCATGTGGTTCCCTCTAGTGGTTAATATAACATGAAAATTCTGTTCTTTCTTCTCAAAAAATACAGGTTTGCTTGTTTTCCTTAACAAATGTTATACAACTAGGCTCTTTTTCAAGAATACTAACACATTGTCCCTTCCACTCCAGTGTTTATTCTTACTTTGTTGCATTAGAAGCAGTGGTCCATGGGAAGCATCTAAATTAAGGTTTATAACTGTAGAGACATCAGAAGATGTCTTATTTTTAATATACATTATATGTAAGAAAAATATTAATTGAAATTTTAAGATTTGAGTTCATTTAAAAGCATTTACTGACCAATCTCGCTACTTTGGACATCATGCTGGATGCTGTAGAACCTACAGAGATAATTATGATACAGGTCCCCAACTGTGACACATTTCCTTGATCTTTCAGCTAAAAATATGTATAAAAAACTGGTTCCACAGGATTTTGCATAGTGGAGTAAAATGTATTTGCAAGGATTCCTCTGGTGAAATAGAGTATTTCTTGATTCTGAAATACAAAGCAGAAATAAAAGAAAAGTTCTCCCTTACCTATATAATAATTTACCATTAGGGTTTAAGTAGAGCCCCCAGGAAAACTGAATCTCAGTTAAAAAGGGCCCCTTAATTTATACAAAAGATAAGAAAAGTATATCCCTCCAATGATGTGATTAACATTATAAATCAACTTGGTTTTTGTTGTTGTTAGTTTCTTGCTTTAACCATATATTTTTTCTTTAATATACAAGAGTTACAGAACTCAAATTCAAAGGATGTTACATTCTACTTAATGAAAATTACAAATGTAACTTGAGAAAATCTGCCTTTAGAATCATCTATAATATTCAGTGCTGTGCAAGGGCCTTAACATCCTAGTACAATGAACAAATACTATATGAACAGTTAAGTGAGAAAGCTCTCACTTAGTTTATGACACTATAGGAACAAGTATTTAGGAGCTTTCTTCAGTGGCATCCCCTACCACTCTTTTCCACAGTCGCTCAGACAGTACACACTTTACCCTCACATTGTTTTCCTTTGGGAAACTGTTGACAGCTCATTCTTGACTTTGGCTAACCAAGGTCCCCTAAGGAAGGGAAGAAAAGAGCCTTGTTTTTTACTCAAGTATAAACAACACTGGGAGATCCCAGCAATTTGGGACTGTATTGGAATTAAGTGACCACTTTTCTGAAGCCAGCTAATATCTCTGAATCCTCTTGGATATTTATGTCTCAATGAAAAGGCCTCGGGTATGGCTGAAGTTCCCAAGCCCTACTCTGGTAGAGCTCTAGAAAAATAAGCATCTTAGAAGCAATAAAGGGGAAGGAGGAGTCCACTCAGGCTACACTATTTCCCCAACACAGACAGCACTAAAGAGGGATGGGGGAAGTAACTGTCTGCTCTTTAAGGGATCCTCATATAAATAATTGGTCCTGCTTTGAATTGCTTATTTAAATGTAATACATGTCTGAAGTGCTGTTGAAATACAAACATATATATGACCAGATAGAAGGAAAAAAATGGAACATACTTATTTAAATATAACACACTAGAGAGAAATGCAATATAAGAAATACAAATTCTTGCTCCCTTCCCAAAGGTTCTAAACACAATGTGAAAAACTTCTTTTTATGTGAGTGCCACCAATTGTATGGCATTAATGGGATTAGGGGAAAAATAATTTTCCTTTAAAAAAAAAAGGTCCCCCAAATAAAATTGTTTAGATAATAATATAAGGAGGAAAGTGTTGAATATTATTCATCTAAAAATTGGTATTTCTGATTAACTGAATACCTACTAATAGAAGAACTGTTTCGTCTTTAAGGCATCATCATGTATAGCCATCCTTATCCAGGAGTGCAAGACCAAGAACAAGCCACGTAAGCAGATATCTCTAGCATGACTACTTTCTCCTTGACATAGCTGAGCCTTTGTATAAAGTGCTGTAATTGGAAATCACAGTTGTATCTGAATGAATGTCAATCTAGAAGGGCTGGTAATATGTCACTGACTGGGATCAAAGGAAGTTTCTGCAAGGGTGTAGAGTGGGCTTGCCAAGTAGAGCTTGTTGACTGTAGACTCACAGCGTTTGCTGCTTTTATAAGTCAAGTGATAAGTGCTACATCACTTCAACTTCCCTGCATAGCAATTAAGTATGGTTCCTATGCTCAAGAATGATATATCCCTTGCATAGACTCTGTAACCGTTGGAGACCGAGGTTTTTCTATCAAATATCCCTAGTCAATTCAGATGCACTAGAACTACATTTATTCTAGGGTCATGGTAGAGTCACGTTGGAAATATTATCTGGCTGCCTTGCAGGATGCCTTATTTGTGTCACAGCCAACTCTTGTACTGTTTTCTTGATGGTTTTAGTTATGAATCTTTCTGAAAGGAAAAGAGTTTCAAAAACTTATGTGTGTTTTCCTCTCCCTATTGCTCACTCTAGAATCAGCAGTTTAATCGATATTTTAGTGGCACTGTCTATCTTGATGGGCTACTCTGTCACCACCGCCAGCTTTGTCACCTATGTTGTAAGGGAACATCAAACCAAAGCCAAACAGTTGCAGCACATTTCAGGCATTGGCGTGACATGCTACTGGGTAACAAACTTCATTTATGACATGGTGAGTAACTTATGTCCTTCATTGCAGGGAATAAAAGATCAATTTGGATAGAAGACATCAGTTTTCTATTCAAGAGTTATTTACTCTAGTTTGTTCAAATTGTTATCACAAAGACAGGAAATAAAGAAAATGACTTGAGTCAGGCTTATCTTCATCCAGTGGTTGGAGGAAACATAACCTACCGGCCCTCATCTCTGTGGACTATATCAGATTCTCTAGGGCACTTAAAATGAGGATTTCTGGGCCTCACTCCAGATCTGTTAAATTCATATCTTAGGAGGGGAGCGTGGAGAACATGCATTTTTAAAAAGATCCCCCAGGTGATTCTAAGCACGCTGAAGTCTTACAGTCAGTACTGTGGAGAAATAGAAGCTTAGCAGCAAAATATCCTTACGTAATTGTGCCAAACAATCAAGCTTATAAAAATTTAATCAACTAATAGTGGAAAATGCGAAGTAGTAGCCCCTGCTAATGACACATTAGAGAAGATTAGTAGGAAAAAGAAGGGATGTATTTCATTGATAGCTCTCTCATTTGCATAAAATGGTCCCAAGTTCAGATGGTTGTTCTGGACTCCAAACATACCAATGTTGGCCAAAAGCCCAGGATGGGTATGCATTTGCCTGGTGATTATGGTGAAATTGTCTGAGTTGCTGTCAAGATCATCGGCTTAAAGGGTTGGAGAGTAATTAACTGCATATCCATTTTGTTAATGTATCCAGTGAGGTCTAAAATGTGTTTGTTGTAGAAGTCAAATCTAAAAGAATAGTAATGACTTCTCAGGACTTAACAGGAGCTTTAATGTTAAGAAAATTTCAAGTACATACTTCTGTGAAGGTCTACTTAGTACTTTAGGATTCTGTTGTCTTATATCTGGAGCTCATTCCAATTTAGGAGATTCCTCCCCACCCTGCAAATTAAGTTACCACCACCTTCATTGTGTCCATCTTCCTGCAAACTCCTCAGCATTTAATAAATATTTCTACTTGCCAACAAAATGCTAAGTTCTTTGTTCGTATACCTGTGATTATGAGGATATGTGGGACCTGATGCCCTGCTGCTTTGCACAGAGTGGTTCACACTGATAACCAAGCTTTAGAAATCAACCATCTGAGAAAGTTCCAGCATTCAAAACGAAATCAATACTTTGAGGACTGAATGTAATACCAAGATACCTGGCTGTCTTATCTTTCTCACTGAACCTCTGTCACTGAACCATCCCAAGTCTCAAAGCCTAGAGGCAGGAACACCAGGGACTCCTTGTATATCTGTTAAAGATGGAGATTGGCTTAACCTCATATTGCAGGAGACAAATTCTAAAGTGAAATCAATGTAAAATAAGTTGAATGTTAGAAGCAATGGGAACATAAATAAGAATTCATTTCTTCAAATTTTTCTAGGTCAACTTGTTGCAGTTTTAAACTAGATGGGTTATTGATTTTTTTTTTTTTGAAAAATGCTTGTCACGTATTAAACATTGTTTTGAATATTTCCATAGGTTTTCTACTTGGTGCCTGTAGCGTTTTCAATTGGTATCATTGCGATTTTCAAATTACCTGCATTCTACAGTGAAAACAACCTAGGCGCTGTATCTCTCCTACTTCTCCTGTTTGGGTAAGCTGCTGATTAAGCAATGAAAGAAGAATTAATAGAATTAAATGCCCCTAGACACAAATAGGACTTAAATCTCATTAGCTAAATTACAATTGTCTTGGGGTTTCATTTGACATGAGTGATGACTAACAACACATTGCACTTGCTAGTCCATAGACTGCAAAGTATAATACTTTTGAAAATTAATGTTGTTATTAATAGTAATACCTAAAATTAATAAGCATTTATTGGGTGCCAAGTGTCATGCTTTCTAATTTACATATGTGATCTCATTTACATAAAAATGAAAGCTTTAGAATGATGAGAAAATGTGTATACATGTATAAATTTATGTATTGACTATATGAGTATATGTAGCATTATGAAGTGCATATACCTTCATGTATACTTACTTATATTTATCTTTTTATAGATGTATAAGGACACACACATAATATTGTTTCTATCTTAAGCTAATACAGGTAACACAGGCTGATATAATCAATGCTTAGCATAACAAATCTTTCTGCCCTGAATACATGGTAGTAACCCTTAATTAGCAATTGTAGCTAATGCAGGAACTCTGTCTCTAGATCTATTTAATTGCCCCCCAAATTGCTCAAGGTTTTGCTCAAAACAGGCTAGCCAGCTTCTAAGCATGCTCTTTCTGCTCAGCTAGACTTGAACAGTGTCATTACTTTTCCTCAACTTTAAATTATAAGATTTATACTGATTAAACTCATATTTCTGAGCAACCTAAAAGGCTTGCCTAGGCGGGATAATACCATATTCAGGAGGGATTAATTTGTAGTTTTAATGATGTAGAACTACTCAAGGTTTCTTAAAGAGGCTTTTTACTGTCTTTAAAAAAAACTCTTTGGATTTTTTTTGTCAAAAAGGAATGAAAGAGAGATCTAGTTAGAAGGCTTGACAACTCATCCCTAATGGTTATTTTTACTTTGGAAGCCCATCTAAATTGTTATTTTTTGTAAAATAGAATAATTAAGGCATTTCTTTTCTGAGACAGGATCTCACTCTGTCACCCAGGCTGGAGTGCAGTGGCATGATCACAGCTCACCACAGCTTGATCCTCCGACCTCAGCCTCCCAAATAACCAGGGCTACAGGTGCGTGCCACCGCACCTGGCTGATTTTCATATTTTTCTGTAGAGACAGGGTTTTGCCAAGTTGCTCAGGCTGGTCTCAAACTCCTGGGCTCAAGTGATCCACCTGCCTCAGCCTCCTAAAGTGTTAGGATTACAGGTGTGAGCCACCATGCCTGGCCGAGGCGTAATTTTAATTCTTTGTGTTTTTAACCTGCAGGTATGCAACATTTTCCTGGATGTACTTGCTGGCTGGGCTCTTCCATGAAACAGGAATGGCCTTCATCACTTACGTCTGTGTCAACTTGTTTTTTGGCATTAATTCCATTGTTTCCCTGTCAGTGGTATACTTTCTTTCCAAGGAAAAGCCTAATGATCCGGTAAGGTCCCTTATTTCAGTGAATTTATCAAAAGCTTCAACATGTTCCAGGTGGAAAGATTTTATTTATTCTACATAAAAAAGAAGAATATCATTTGATTCTATTAAATTTGGGAGAGGAGAAACTACAGCTTTTAAAATTCTTTTTGGGCCTCATCTAAGTTAATGCCTATCATTGTATGTATTGAGCGTCAAAACTATTGACACCTGATAGGGCTTGAATGTGGTGACAGAGGTGAAATCAGATGTATTGTGCGGCACTACATAAATCACGCAACCATTGGTCAGCTAAACATCTTACTCATTAACAAGTTCTTATGGTATGGTGGTGACAAGGACAACGACTTAGTTATATGACTGTGAGCTTTGATTCATTTGAACATTCATAGAGAAAAAACCTAATTCATCCCCTTTCAATCATGTATTGGAGACTACTTCATTGTAAGCATCACTTTCCATTCAGAGCTGACAATTACGATTAGTGAGAAGAGAAGCACTAACAGTGTCAGGCAATTGAACAGAAAAGAATAGAGAGGAAATGAAGTGAACTGAGGACTAGACAAGCATACTCTGGGAGAAGGAAGAAAATTCATGAAGTGGAAGTAGTTGGCCCACGTGTGAATAATGTGAAAATGAGCTATTTGTCCCTCTTCGAGACATGTTGGCTCTTCTTCTACCTCATTTCAGCATTTTAGTCCCTCTCCAAGTAGGGATTACCTTGGGTTCCAAAACTTTACTGTACCAAGTACCTCCCTCCCTCAGGCACATAATGATACCGTGTAACAGACCCCAACACACTGGCTAGCCCTACATTCCTGGGATTAAAGGTAGGTCTAGAAATAATTTTGCCTCCAGGATTAGGTCCAACATTATAGGTGGCCTCATATAATGATTTTCTGCTTGTATTTCAGTGATAAACATCCACCATTTAGTATACTAAATATTTGTATGCAAATTCAGCCTATATGGGAAATAATTGCCAATCTAGATAAGCTTTTTAGGTTTCACTATTTGTCTACATCCATCTAGTTTTAAATTTTTGTCAGCTTTTTGGAAACTTAACACTGAGTTTTATTTTTATTTCTCTTATTTCAGACTTTAGAACTTATTTCTGAAACCCTCAAGCGCATTTTCCTGATTTTCCCACAATTCTGTTTTGGCTACGGTTTGATTGAACTTTCTCAACAACAGTCGGTCCTAGACTTCTTAAAAGCATATGGAGTGGAATACCCAAATGAAACCTTTGAGATGAATAAACTAGGTGCAATGTTTGTGGCTTTGGTTTCTCAGGGCACCATGTTTTTTTCCTTGCGACTCTTAATCAACGAATCCCTGATAAAGAAACTCAGGTAAATATAATGAAAACATAACGTTTGACATCTAAAACAGAACTCAATTCAACCTATTGAGAAAGAAGTCAATAGTCTAAGCTTTTCCATTGGTAATATGGAAATGTTTGGCTCAAAAACTTTTAAAAAATTCTAGCATAATTCACTATTTATTTTATTCTAGTAAGTAGTTATCAAATCTTAATATGTGACTGCAACTATTGCTGTTGAGTGAGGGAATAAAATTAAATAAGCACAGTTGTTAACCTTAAATAGATTAAGGTACAGTGGTGAAGTGAAAATATGTAAATGAACAAAAGATGTAGTCTTTGAGTTGAGTTTGGGAAAATGGAAAACACTTTCAAGGCAGAAATGGGGAAAGAGGATTGAGTGTGGAGCATGTTGGCAATGAGTTTGGGAAAAGAAGATTAAGAAAAAGTGAAGACAGCATCATAAATGAGAAGAAATACACATGCCATTGACCCAGCAATTCCATTTCTGGAATGTTTGCATATATGGTCACAGATACACAGACTTACTTATGTATGTTTAAAGTTATTCATCATGGTAACCATTTCTAATACCAAAAGAATAGAAACAACATAAACGTCCTTCATTTAGGGACTAGTTTAATTATATACATAGATTCACTAATAGAACATTAAACAGCCATTAGAAAAAATGATATAGTTCTCTATGTAACATTTGGAAGTGTCTTTAATATTTACTTATTTAAAAATGCAAGGTTCAGAACTATGTGTAAAGTATATTGCCATTCAAGTTAAAAAGAAAAGAAATATTTATGCAGACATATCCATAGACTATCTCTAATTGTGAGTGCCTCTGCTGATGAGAGATATATACAGTTGAAGATGACCAGTTTTTACTGTCATCTTCGGTACCATTTAAATTTTAATGACATGTACATGTATCACCTATTGAAAAATACAATGTTAAGTAAACAATGAGAGGAAATAAAAGAGCAGAGATAGAGAAATATATTAAGAGCATATTTAAGAAAGAAGTATTACAATTTAATCAGAACAGAATAAATGTAATGAAAAAGTAGGAGTTACAGTTTAACATGTGGTTGGGAGATTATGGAATCTCTTAAATGCTTGGTAAAGAAATATGGTTTGGGCTTTATTCAACAAACAAATGGACATTCATTGAGAGTTTTTGAACAGAGAGAAACATGATCAAGTTGTGCTTGAAGAAGTGTAATTTTGTAGATGGAGTGCAGATTGGAATGGAAGAGTCAGAGACCCTGGAGCAGTTTTAGCTCCTGGAGAAATCTAGGTGAGAAGAATAAAAGCCTATAGGACTAGGCAGAAAATAATCCACGATAGGGTGTTATAAGGTGCGGTGGCTCACGCCTGTAATCCCAGCACTTTGGGAGGCCAAGACGGGCAGATCATCTGAGGTCAGGAGTTCGAGACCAGCCTGGCCAACATGGTGAAACCCCATCTCTACTTAAAATACAAAAACTAGCTGGACGTGATGGCACGCACCTGTAATCCCAGCTACTCGGGAGGCTGAGGCACGAGAATTGCTTGAACCCAGGAGGCGGAGGTTGCAGTGAGCCGAGATGGCGCCACTGCACTCCAGCCTGCGTGACAGAGCGAGACTCCGTCTCAAAAAAAAAAAAAAAACAACAAAAAAAAGGCATTTCCAGTATTTGGAGACTGACTACATGATTTTGGAATAAGGAAGATTAGAAGAAACATTACAGTTGGGGTCTTTGGGGATCTCATCAGAAGAAACAGGGACATTGGGAAGAAAGCCTGGATTGATTTCTTTAAATTTTTTTTTTTTTTGGTATTTGTTAGCCAATATATCAAGGTGGGTTTGGGACTTAATGAGTTTGGAGGGCTGATAACCTTAAAATATTGGCTAAATCCTAGGTGAGACATTAGTAAAACAAGTACAGAATAACAATAGTATTCATATTATTGATGATTATAAAAGTAGATATATCTGCGGTACAATATTGTGCCTATAGTTAACAATACTGTATTATGCACTTAAAATTTTGTTAAAAGGGTAGATCTTATGCTGTTTCTAAAATTAAAAAGAAGAGAGGCTTTTTAAATTTAATTGAAAAAAACATTCTTTTTTGAGACGGAGTCTTGCTCTGTCGCCCAGGCTGGAGTGCAGTAGCGTGATCTTGGCTCACTGCAACCTCTGCCTCCCAGGTTCAAGCAATTCTCCTGCCTCAGCCTTCTGAGTAGCTGGGACTACAGGTGTGCACCACCATGCCTGGATAATTTTTGTATTTTTAGTAGAGACAGGGTTTTGCCAGGTTGGCCAGGCTGGTCTTGAACTTCTGACCTCAGGTGATCCGTCGGCCTCTCAAAGTGCTGGGATTATAGGTGTGAGCCACTACACCTGGATGAAAGGATTTTTTTAAAAGGTGATCATTGGTCTTAGGTTTGTAGATGATGAGTTTTCCTAATGATTCTGGAGTTCCTTAGTTCCTCTGTTAGGAACTAACCTTCAAACATATACTTACTGTATTCCTTATTACTGAAATTAGAATTATAAATCTTAACAGTGGATCTGTAAACATTTAAGGCATGGAGAACAAAAGCTGTTTCACAAATATAGTGAATACAGTGAGGAGGGTCTATACTGATTTAAGTTATCTGAGTAGCATAATTCATTACAAATGTAAAAGAAGTCTAATGATGACTAGTACACTGTTAGTGACATGAAAACCCATCAAAACATGTCAAAATTGAATGCTGTCATTTCAAAATCATTGACGTAAAATCACTGGGTCCATTTTTAGGCTTTTCTTCAGAAAATTTAATTCTTCACATGTAAGGGAGACAATAGATGAGGATGAAGATGTGCGGGCTGAGAGATTAAGAGTTGAGAGTGGTGCAGCTGAATTTGACTTGGTCCAACTTTATTGTCTCACAAAGACCTACCAACTTATCCACAAAAAGATTATAGCTGTAAACAACATCAGCATTGGGATACCTGCTGGAGAGGTAAGAAACTGTGTTTTGTTTCTAACTGTCCTTTTCATTGGCATACTATGTGACAAATTAAAATCTTAATTATTGGCCAGGTACAGTGGCTCACACCTGTAATCTTAGCACTTTGGGAGGCCGAGGTGGGTGGATCACTTGAGGTCAAGAGTTTGAGACCAGCCTGGCCAACATGGTGAAACCACGTCTCTACTGAAAATAGAAAAATTAGCTAGGCATGGGGGCGCACGTCTGTAGTCCCAGTTACTCGGGAGGCTGAGGCACGAGAATAGTTTGAACCTGGGTCGTGGAGGCTGCAGTGAGCCAAGATTGTATCACTGCACTCCTGCCTGGGTGACAGAGTGATTCTGCCTCAAAAAAAAAAAAAATCTTAATTATTTTCCCACAATTTTTTTCTAGAAATATAAATGTTAATCTGAATATTTCCATGGGAAAATATACACACATGCATATATATACACACACACACACACACACACACACACACACACACAGATATATATATACACACACATATATATATATACACACACATATACACATATATATGTATACACATATAGAGTCATCCCTCCATATCCATGGGAGATTGGTTCCAGGACCCCCAAGGATATCAAAATCCACAGAAATCCACAGATGCTCAAGTCCCTGATATAAAATAATGTAGTACTGTAGTACTGCATATAATCTATGCACATCCCACTGTATATTTAAATCATCTCTAGATTACTTATAATACCCAATGCAATGTAAATGCTATGTAAATAGTTGTTATCGTGTATTGTTTAGGGAATAAGAACACAGGAAGTCTGTACATGTTCAGTACAGATGATTTTTTCCCCCTGAATATATTTCAATCAAACCTTTGGATCCAAAGGTTAGAAACTCGGATAAGGAGGGCTGACTGTATATATAATTTACACATGTCCAGGTATTAGGTTGGTGCAAAAGTTATTATTATTTACCCTATGAGTCTTCCCGCTTGGCGGAGGGAATTCAACAGGTCCTACCACACAGCAAGTTCTGAGCCCCTTCCTAAACTACTGTCCACTTACTGTGGGGTAGACTTTGGTCAGGAAGCCTGTTCAGGGTGCTGTCTTCACCCTTTCATTTCCAGTCCTCCCCAAAAAACATCATAAAGACATCAGTTTTCAGAAGTGAGGTCCTAGGACTGCATCTATTTATTTATATTCTTGCCATTTTCACAGAAGCGATATTAAGGCAGCATTGAAAAGAGAAAGCAAATCTGGCTGTGCCACTTGGTTTTCTAAGCAGAGCTGCAAACTACACGCATCAAATTTGACAGTACGAAGAAACTATTGCCGCGATAGTTTATTCAGTGAAGTTGTGATTTTGTGTGAATAATGTGAAATGTATAAATATAATTACTTTGTTGGGTTAGCAGATCTTATTTGTGGGGTATTTTATCATGTCACATAGAGGGATGATATAACATAACATGTAAAATAGGTCCTGTGTGTGTGTGTGTGTGTGTGTGTGTATATATATATATATATATATTCAGATGGTTAAAGGAAAAAGAATACATGGTATCCATTTGTTTTAAAAAAGAAAGTTTTATCAAGAGCATTACACTATCCATGAATAATTCCAGAGATTTATTTTTCTCGGTAATTTATTTCACCCAGGGAGAAGAGGGAGAGATACAAAAGCAATGTCTCATTGGTTTGGATTAAGGCTTATATCTTCTTTTTCTCCCTCAAACCAGTGTTTTGGGCTTCTTGGAGTGAATGGAGCAGGAAAGACCACTATATTCAAGATGCTGACAGGAGACATCATTCCTTCAAGTGGAAACATTCTGATCAGAAATAAGACCGGGTATGAAAAACTAATGCTTCAATTTAGCGAGTACAACATACTTAAATGAGAAAAATAATTGAAATGAACATTTAATGTTATTTTGTGGTTATATTATTCAGTCCTTAGGGGAGAACAAAGCTATTAAGGTGGGTGGAAATGTTTAAATGTTTAAATGTGAATTTGATAGTGGGATTATTTTATCCCTTTTTATCAAAGTCACTGACCACCATGACCAAAATAGAGCTACCTTCCCAGCATTTGGGAACCAGGAGGGATAAATCTTTTGAAATTCATCTGTGTTTTTGATTCTCTCAATTCAGATCTCTGGGTCACGTTGATTCTCACAGCTCATTAGTTGGCTACTGTCCTCAGGAAGATGCCTTAGATGACCTGGTAACTGTGGAAGAACATTTGTATTTCTATGCCAGGGTACATGGAATTCCAGAAAAGGATATTAAAGAAGTGAGTACAAGTGTGAAAAATTACTTAATTTGAAACCATTATTGTTTCTACTTCCATCCCCCACCCCACCACACCCACTGTCCCCCCTGCCCCACCATTTCCCCTCAAAACCACCTGGAAAACATTGTCATTTTCCTTCTGGCAGTGGCAATGGCAGTGAGTCCCTCTTAGTTTGGTCATGTGCATTATATATGCACCTATGAAATTAGCTTTAGAAACTCCTTGGCCCGTGTTTGTTCAGTTACCCTTTTAAGAACTGTCAAATACAGGATCACACTTGCATTAGGCTCTGGGCTGAGCACTGGGTGGTGAGGCCTATACATCTTTTAGTGTTTGGATTAGCACTGACACATACAGTTAACGGCAAAATGCCCAAGTAAAATAGATTCGTTTCCACTTTGGTTTTTAATCTGTGGCTTTAGATCTCACTGCAACTATTTGCCATTTTAATGAGATGGCTGACCCTTAGGGCAGTTTCTTCTACTTTTGAAATCCTGAGGACCTGTTGTTTAAATTCAACTAGGATTTCATTATTTGCCAGGACTATTTAACTTCAGAAATAACTGCAAGAACCCATGATTCCTAATGTGCTAACGTTTTGGTACTGGGTCAGTTTTAAATAGATTGAAAGCCTTTGTGACAACTCACCCCTCAGTAAGGAGAAAGAGGACGCAGGGGTAACAGTCAGTGAGAATCCTGTCTTGTGAATTCTGTTTCAGCTCTATTAAGCCTTACTAGAGAATCTTGTGGTAATGCAGCAAAAAGTTCAATCTGCAATTGTAAACACACACACACGTTTGGTGGGGGAGGGAATCCCATCTGAAAATGAGCCTCCAAAGAATCTCTTTAAATAAACTATTAATCCTTAAGTGATTCTTTGAAAATAAAATCTATGTTGAATTTAAGTGTTTTCATTTTTTTCCAGATATATTCTCCATGATAACATTTTCTTTTCATGAGCATCTTTTTTTTTTCCATTTAGTGCTTTAAGGGTTTTGGCACAGGAAGGTCAACCTAACTCCCCTTTTATTGCCTACAGACTGTTCATAAACTCCTTAGGAGACTTCACCTGATGCCCTTCAAGGACAGAGCTACCTCTATGTGCAGTTATGGCACAAAAAGAAAATTATCCACTGCACTGGCCTTGATAGGGAAACCTTCCATTCTACTGCTGGTAAGAGAATCATTATTTAAACAGGCCACTCCATAATTAGAACAGCATATCTGATTGCATGTGTTAACATTTCATCATCATGATTGCAGTCAACATTTATTGAGGTCTCACTATGTGCTAGCTATTGTGCAAAGCACTTTATGTATACTATCTCAATAAAGGATTTTATATCAGCAAATAATTTGTTACCACAACAATATGCTCTCAAAAATGTTTTATCTGAAAGCAATAGCTTAGTGCGTTTCCAAGGAAACACTGGCATGGAAATGGGAAGTGAAACAAATTCAGGGTACTCAAATGAGTAAGTTACGGAATATGGTAGCATCTGATTCCCACCTATTGAAGAAATCATCTCTCTTTTTCTGTTAGGAACTGAGTAGGTAAACTCACATTTTCCAGCTTCTACTATGGAGGACAGACACATTTTAGGACAATGTGTTGTGCTAAAATTTTATTTCCTTGTTACTTTAAAATATGAGTTATCTAGCTTAGGATGTGATGGATCCATCCTATGTCATCTGAATGTGGGGGGTATAGGGTGGGGAAGAAATGCATTCCACATTTACATTTTTCTTAAGAGATGGAAAATTTAATTGATTACCTGGAAATATAAATTACACATAGTAGTAATGTTAATATTCTGCACCCCAAGTCTAACTTTGTCAAAGGATGGTTATTTCAGAAAAATATACTTGCCCTTATTTTGGAAAATCCCGTTCATTCAAGGACCTCCAAACTCTGAAAGAGCCTTAACTATAAGGAATCATAATGCAGCTATAAATCACCACATTATTCCAGGGATTAAGTCATACAGTGGATCAAATCATTTCAACTGCCAGATAAAGTGATGCACAGCCCATCTTTCTATAATACCAGAAGCTTATAATGCATTATATCTCTGCCAATCGATGCTTATAATGGAATTCTATTGTGTAAATGTTCCTTAAATTGAACAAAACAATCTTTAGGCACCTCTGTGAAATAACAAATGTAAAGTACTTTAAAATGTTAGACATTTTATGTAAACATTATGCATTAATGAACCAAAATGAAATATTGACATGAAAGATACCAAGTTTTCTTCTATATGCATTTACTAAATATGCTATCTTCTTCAAAAACAGGAGCAGTGACAATGTATCCTTTGTTTCCCCAAATTAACACTAATTTCTTTATTTTTTAAAAAATTATTTAACTACCATTTTAATTGACACATAATAATTATACATATTTATGGAGTACAGTGTGATATTTTGATTCCTGTATACAATATGTAATGATCAAATCAGAGTAATTAGCTTATCTATCACCTCAAATATGTATCATTTCCTTGTGTTGGGAACATTCAAAATCCTTTCTTCTAACTATTTGAAAATATACAAGAAATTATTGTTAACTATAGTCACCCTATAGACCACTAGAACTTATGCTTCTTGTCTAGCTGTAATTTTGTATTCATTAACCAATCTCTCTCTATCCTCCTCTCCCCGCTATGCCTCCAGCCTCCAGTAACCATTATTCTACTCTCCACTTCTATGAGCTCAACTATATTAGCTTCCACATAACCCATTCCTTTCTTTAGATTTTACATCATTCTGTAAAAACAAGCCTCTAGTTATGTACATATTCTTTGTTACAAGTATATTTTTTAAATTTTTACCTAATCTTGCCCTATAGTTTGTTTAACCATCTGTCAAAACCTGTTATTGTATGTTTAGATTATCTACTGCTACATTTTCTGTCTGAATGATTTTTCATAACATCATTTACTTTGAAAAATAACGTACATCTTTCTACTTGGCAATTTCTACAAATCTTGTTTTTATTTCCCAAGGAGTGTTAGATTTCAATTAATAACAGAAAACTAAAAATATATCTCAAACAAATTAACTGAAATATCAAATTATGTTCTTTCTGTTTCACATAGCATATTATCACTCATAGCCACAATTCTGCTACCAGGAACAGGGTGGTAATCTTGTTGATGTGGCTTATATATGTGGCAAGATAGAATTAAATATAAGAATTTGCCAGTAATTGAAGTGGAATTTTTTTCCAAAGAAACATAAGAGACGGATGTAAAGTAACAGGGTGTCAACTTCACTTAGACACTTTTTGAAACAGATTGACAATTTTAAATGATTAATTTTGAACTTTTTGACAGCAGCAGAAAGAAGTCTATTAAGTATAAAACAAGTTAGTCACAGGACCTCGAAAAGTATTTCTGTTCTAGGGAAGTGAAATGCAGTAATTCATGAAAAGAACTTCATCAAAAATTAATTAATTTGATAAATTTTTGTTGTAACTTTCTATTAAGGATGAGCCGAGCTCTGGCATGGATCCGAAGTCGAAACGGCACCTCTGGAAGATCATTTCAGAAGAAGTACAGAACAAATGTTCCGTCATCCTCACATCTCACAGGTAAACTGAGTGGAATCTTTAAAGCGAATCCACACAGTCTTAGGATGACAGGTGGGAAAAGGTAATCCTGTATAACATAAATAAATATATACACATACATATATATGTGTGTGTATATATATATATACACACATACAAAATATATACACACAAATATATGTATATATATAGACAACGAATGCCCACAGTTCAATCAAACTATTTTATATTTATAGTAGTAGGAGCAAGTCAGGCAGGTTTCATGGTGAGAATATAGTTCCTGTGGTGGGACGGAGTCTAAGGTCTAAGCAGTCTTTTTAACATCGAATTTCTCATGACTTATGGCCCTCTTAACTCGTCTGTGGCTCCCTATTGCCTGTCAAATAAAGTTCAGAATCTTTAGGCTCAACATGCAAGGCTCTCCATTCTATGGCCTCATCTAAATGCTCAGTCTTTTTCCCCTGCAACACCCTCTCCTATCAGTCAATCTGGATGACTCCTTCCTGGTTCTGCATTCTTCCCATCTCCATACCCTTTCCCATCTCCAAGCCCCTTCTTTGGCTGTGCTTTCTATTTGAAATTTTTTTTTTATTTTTTAATTTTTTTTATTTAGACAGAGTCTTACTCTGTCACCCAGGCTGGAGTACAGTGGCACAACATCTGCTCACTGCAACCTCCACCTCCCGGGTTCAAGCAATTCTCCTGCCTCAGCCTCCCATGAAGCTGGGACTACTGGTGCCCACTACCATGCCCGGCTAATATTTGTATTTTTAGTAAAGGCAGGGTTTCAGCATGTTGGCCAGGCTGGTCTCAAATTCCTGACCTCAAATGATACACCCCCTTGGCCTACCAAAGTGCTGGGATTACAGGCATGAGCCACCCCGCCTGGCCTGAAATGGTCTTTTCACAAAATCTCTCCAACTTCTAATCTTACCAGTCCTTCCAGAACCAGCTCACATACCTCTCCTCCACAAAGCAGACACTTCCAATCAGCTAAGTATAGGAGATACTAAATCATTTTATCCATGCCTCTCTTATGAGGATGGCCTTGTCTTATAATTTGTATTAAGTTTATGTTTGCATTATAATTGTCATATAGTAGAAAAAGTATTAGATTTGCTTATTATCAAGAGACTTGTTTATATCATAGTTTGCCCCAGCACAATGGAGCCAATCATTTAATTTCCATTGGCTTTTGTAAGAGGTGGACAGGGTAATACCTAAAATCACCTCCAATTATGATAGACCATGAAATTAGAGACTGTATAATCAAGTACAGGCCAACTAGTTATAAATCCAAAAATAGGAAAGCCAACAGAATATGGGGTACGTAGCATAATGGAAAAAGCTTAGTGTTATTTTGGAAACACTTCTAAGGAAGTGTAGGTCTTGAATCAAAGATTGAAAGAAATACTAGGTTTGATGGAGCGGGTATTCCAGGTGAGAGAGAGATGGCCTTTGGTTTTAGAAGAAACAGTAATAAACCCTATCTGAAGACATTTAATTTATATTTTAAGAGATTGGCTTTTGTTCTCCTTTAAAAGAACTAAAAACTAAAAGAGAATCAAGAAACTAGGCCAGGCACGGTGGCTCATGCCTGTAATCCCTGCACTTTGTGGGGGTCCAAGGCAGGAGGATCACTTGAGCCCAGGAGTTCAAGAACGGTCTGGGCAACATGGCAAGACCCCCATCTCTACAAAAAAAAATTAAAATTAAAATATTAGCCAGATGTCGTGCACATCTGTCGTCCCAGCTATTCAGGAGGCTGAGACAGGAGGATTACTAGAGCAAAGGAGGTCAAGGCTACAGTAAGCCATGTTCAAGCCACTGCACTCTAGCCTGGGCAACAGAGTGACACCCTATCTCAAAAAAATAACAAAGAAAAGAAAAAAACTAAAATAGTATTTCCAAGTGCCATAATGAAACAATTATGCTTATGCTCATGAACTTCAACCCAAGTTTTCTGTATCCTGAATGCTAATATGATCCTGCTTTGTCTTTTAGCATGGAAGAATGTGAAGCTCTCTGTACCAGGTTGGCCATTATGGTGAATGGAAAGTTTCAATGTATTGGATCTTTGCAGCACATAAAGAGCAGGTGAAGAACAAATGCATTGCTTAACAGATAGTGTTGGGTCATCTATCTAATGGTGCTCACTCAGATTCAAGGATTATCTCAGCAGCCTAAGTAGTAAAACTAGAATGGACAAGCTAATCTTTGGAAGCTAGTCACTGACTCACCTTAAATTTAAATTATTTTATTGGGGATTTGATGAATTTTTACTTAAATATTTTAGTTAACTCATAAATTTAACTCATAAATGTATTTTAGTTAATGCATAAGTTTAGAAGGCCAAAGATGAAAAAATGAATAAATAATAAACAGTTCATAACCAAATTACTCTCAGGTGGAAGTTCTAGAGTTTACCCAATAATAAATTAGAACTTGACAAGTAAATGAAGGCATAGATTGTATCTAGCATGTTCATTTGCCATTTGCACAGTCTTTCAGTAAGCTATCTAACATTCATACCACATTCAAAACCTTTTAATCAAGAATACATTGGAGAAATGTGCATAAATATCATACTACTATCAAATTTAATAGTTTGTATACACCAGAGTGTATATGCATTTATACATATCCATGTTAATCTCCAAACTTCAGAATATTTTATACTTTTCTGTATAACAAGTTGACTTTCTTGCAAGATAGCATTAACCAAGATAAGGAAAAAAGGATGAAAGAGGCATTGTGTTGCTCTTAGAGAGTCTGTTGTGACTTCTTTACAAACTCTATTCTTGGTGCAAACAGTTAGCTGGCACATTGATTTAATATTTATTTTTAAAACCCCAATAACATTAATTTTTATTGATGACACCAAATCTCCAATGACCTGCTTATCAAGACCTTGCTTACTTTAAATTAGAATGCATTTAACTTTACAAGTGTATTGTAAAGACCATCAACACTATGAAGAAACTGCATCAACTAACAAACACAAAATAACCAGCTAGCGTCATAATGACAGGATCAAATTCACACATAACAATATTAACCTTAAATGTAAACGGGCTAAATGCCCCAGTTAAAAGACACAGACTGGCAAATTGGATAAAGAGTCAAGACCCATCAGTGTGCTGTATTCAGGAGACCCATCTCATGTGCAGAGACACACATGGGCTCAAAATAAAGGGATGGAGGAATAGCTACCAAGCAAACGAAAAGCAAAAAAAAAAAGCAGGGGTTGCAATCCTAGTCTCTGATAAAACAAACAGACTTTAAACCAACAAAGATCAAAAGAGACAAAGAAGGGCATTACCTAATGGTAAAGGGATCAATGCAACAAGAAGAGCTAACTATCCTAAATATATATGCACCCAATACAGGAGCACCGAGATTCATAAAGCAAGTTCTTAGAGACCAACAAAGAGACTTAAACTCCCACACAATCACAGGGGAAGACTTTAACACCCCACTGTCAATATTAGACAGATCAACAAGACAGGAAATTAACACAGATATTCAGGACTTGAATTCAGCTCTGGACCAAGTGGACCTAATAGACATCTATAGAACTCTCCACCCGAAATCAACAGAATATACATTCTTCTCAGCACCACATCACTATTCTAAAATTGACCACATAATTGGAAGTAAAACACTCCTTAACAAATGCAAAAGAACAGAAATCATAACAAACAGCCTCTCAGACCACAGTGCAATCAAATTTAAGAAACTCACTCAAAACCGCACAACTACATGGAAACTGAACAACCTGCTCCTGAATGACTACTGGGTAAATAATGAAATTAAGGCAAAAATAAATAAGTTCTTTGAAACCAATGAGAACACAGACACAACATACCAGAATCACTGGAACACAGCTAAAGCAGTGTTTAGAGGGAAATTTAGAGCACTAAAATGTCCACAGGAGAAAATGGGAAAGATCTAAAATCAACACCCTAACATCTCAATTAAAACAACTAGAGAAGCAAGAGCAAACCATTCAAAAGCTACCAGAATACAAGAAATGACTAAGATCAGAGCAGAACTGAAGGAAATAGAGACTCGAAAAACCCTTCAAAAAATCAATGAATCCAGGAGCTGCTTTTTGAAAAGACTACCAAAGTAGACCACTAGCCAGACTAATAAAGAAGAAAAGAGAGAAGAATCAAACAGACACAATAAAAAATGATAAAGGGGAGATCACCACTGATCCCACAGAGACATAAACTACCATCAGAGAATACTATAAACACTTCTACACAAATAAACTAGAAATTCTAGAAGAGATGGATAAATTCCTGAACACATACACCCTCCCAAGACTAAACCAGGAAGAAGTCAAATCCCTCAATAGACCAATAACAAGTTCTGATATTGAGGCACTAATTAACAAACAGCCTACCAACCAAAAAAAGCCCAGGACCAGATGGATTCACAGCCAAATTCTACCAGAGGTACAAAGAGGAGCTGGTACCATTCCTTCTGAAACTATTCCAATCAACAGAAAAAGAAGGACTCCTCCCTAAATCATTTTACAAGTCCAGCATCATCCTGATACCAAACCCTGGCAGAGACACAACAAAAAAAGAAAATTTCAGGCCAGTATCCCTGATTAACATCAATGTGAAAATCCTCAGTAAAATACTGGCAAACCGAATCCAGCTGCATATCAAAAAGCTTATACACCATGATCAAGTCGGCTTCATCTCTGGGATGCAAGGCTTGTTCAACATATGCAAATCAATAAATGCAATCCATCACATAAACAGAACCAATGACAAAAACCACATGATTATCTCAATAGATGCAGAATAGACCTTCAATAAAATTCAACACCCCTTCATGCTAAAAACTCTCAATAAACCAGGTATTGATGGACTGTATCTCAAAATAATGAGAGCTATTTATGACAAACCCACAGCCAATATCATACCAAATGGACAAAATCTGGAAGTATTCCCTTTGAAAACCAGCACAAGACAAGGATGCCCTCTCTCACCAATCCTATTCAACATAGTATTGGAAGTTCTGGCCAGAGCCATCAGGCAAGAGAAAGAAATAAAAGGTATTCAAATAGGAAGAGAGGAAGTCAAAATTGTCTCTGTTTGTAGGTGACGTGACTGTATTTTTAGAAAACCCCATCTTCTCAGCCCCAAATCCCCTTAAGCTGATAAGCAACTTCAGCAAAGTCTCAAGATACAAAATCAATGTGCAAGAATCACAAGCATTCCTATACACCAATAATAGACAAACAGAACCAAATCATGAGTAAACTCCCATTCACAATTGCTACAAAGAGAATAAAATACCTAGGAATCCAACTTACAAGGGATATGAAGGACCTCTTCAAGGAGAACTACAAACCACTGCTCAAGGAAATAAGAGAGGACACAAACAAATGGAAAAACATTCCATGCTCATGGATAGGAAGAATCAATATCATGAAAATGGCCATACTGTCCAAAGTAATTTATAGATTCAGTGCTGTCCCCATCAAGCTACCATTGTCTTTCTTCACAGAATTAGAAAAAACTACTTTAAATTTCATCTGGAACCAAAAAAAGAGCCCCTATAGCCAAGACAATTCTGAGCAAAAAGAACAAAGCTGGAGGCATCATGCTACCTGACTTCAAACTATACCACAAGGCTACAGTAACCAAAACAGCATGATACTGGTACCAAAACACATATATAGACCAATGGAACAGAACAGAGGCCTCAGAAATAATGCCACACATCTACAACCATCTGATCTTTGACAAAGCTGACAAAAACAAGCCATGGGGAAAAGATTCCCTATTTAATAAATGGTGTTGGGAAAACTGGCTAGCTATATGCAGAAAACCGAAACTGGACCCCTTCCTTACACCTTATACAAAAATTAATTCGACATGGATTAAAGACTTAAACATAAACATAAACACTTAAACATAAAAACCCTAGAAGAAAATCTAGGCAATACCATTCAAGACACAGGCGTGGGCAAAGACTTCATGACTAAAACACCAAAAGCAATGGCAACAAAAGCCAAAATAGACAAATGGGATCTAATTAAACTAAAGAACTTCTGCACAGCAAAAGAAACTATCATCAGAGTGAACAGGCAACCTACAGAACGGGAGAAAATTTTTGCAATCTATCCATCTGACAAAGGGCCAACATCCAGAATCTACAAAGAACTTAAACAAATTTACAAGAAACAAAAAAAACCCATCAAAAAGTGGTCAAAGGATATGAACAGACACTTCTCAAAAGAAGACATTTATGCTGCCAACAAACATGAAGAAAATCTCATTACTGGTCATTAGAGAAATGCAAACCAAAGCCACCATGACATACCATCTCACGCCAGTTAGAATGGTGATCGTTAAAAAGTTAGGAAACAACAGATGCTGGAGAGGATGTGGAGAAATAGGAACACTTTTACACTGTTGGCGGAAGTGTAAATTAGTTCAACCATCGTGGAAGACAGTGTGGCGATTCCTCAAGGATATAGAACCAGAAATACCATTTGACCCAGCAATCCCATTACTGGGTATGTCCCCAAAGGATTATAAATCATTCTATTATAAAGACACATGCACATGTATGTTTACTGCAGCACTGTTCACAATAGCAAAGACTTGGAACCAACCCAAATGCCCATCAATGACAGACTAGATAAAGAAAATGTGGCACATATACCCCATGGAATACTATGGTGTATATGTGCCACATAAAAAGGATGAGTTCACGTCCTTTGCAGGGACATGGATAAAGCTGGAAACCATCATTCTCAGCAAACTAACACAGGAACAGAAAACCAAACACTGCATGTTCTCACTCATAAGTGGGAGTTGAACAATGAGAATACATGGACACAGGGAGGGAAACATCACACACCAGGGTCTGTTGGGGGGTGGGGGGCTAGGGGAGGGATAGCATTAGGAGAAATACCTAATGTAGATGATGGGTTGGTGGGTGCAGCAAACCACCACGGCACATGTATACCTATGAAACAAACCTGCACATTCTGCACATGTATCCCAGAACTTAAAGTATAATAATAAACACAAAAAATAAGAAAAAAAGGGAAGTATTTAACTGCAGAAATTAACATCCATTGCCGATTTATGAATGTCATAGAAAGCCAAGATTTTATGTTATGTTTTCTTTTCAACTCAATTTTTGCCCAAAGACTCTGATTTTATATAGAGGTAGAAATAAATAAAAAATCATAGCAGTGCACTATTTCCAGTTTGCAACATGTCCTGAACTTTTATGGCAAAATGATAGTCTTCATATAAAGAAAAGGTGATATAATGGTTGGCTTGGGTCCTGTTTCATTATCTAGAATTCCAGAGGAGCTATTTCAGCAAAATGTAATTCATATCATATTTTGCACTTTTTCTTTCTAGGTTTGGACGAGGATTTACTGTCAAAGTTCACTTGAAGAATAACAAAGTGACCATGGAGACCCTCACAAAGTTCATGCAGCTGCACTTTCCAAAAACATACTTAAAAGTAAGTGATGATGGCTGGGTGCAGTGGCTCACGCCTGTAATCCCAGCACTTTGGGAGTCCGAGGCGGGCAATCACTTGAGGTCAGGAGGTTAAGACCAGCCTGGCCAACATGGTGAAACCCCGTCTCTACAAAAAATACAAAAATTAGCTGGGCATGGTGGCACATGCCTGTAATCCCAGCTACTCGGGAGGCTGAGGCAGGAGACTTGCTTGAACCTGGGAGGCAGAGGTTGCAGTGAGTCAAGATCATGCCACTGCACTCCAGCCTGGGTGACAAAGCGAGACTCTGTCTAAAAAACAAAAACAAAAACAAAAACAAACAAAAAACCAACAATGTAAGTGATTATCTTGCCTTTTGATCTTCACTAGTTTTGATGGTAATGTCATAGCGACATTTGTGATTTCCAAGTTGACTACAGCTTTATTATTAATCTTAATTTATTGATTAGTTCAAGATGCGTAAGATATGCCAAAGCATACTTAGTATGAACAAATAGCATCAATTAATTATATATTTTTGTACTTACTTAAAGTTAACACAGTCCTTTCACATACATGTATTTTTTTTTTTCCTCACAAAGGATTTATGATCATATTGTATTAGTTTCCAAGTTGTATACCTTGCTGATCTACTCATTATATATATTAGGGAACTGAGGGATGACAGGTATTATATGACCAAGGTCATTTCTTCTTAAAAAAACCCAAAAAACTACAGAGCTCCAGAATGATTATCTGGTTTGTCCCCCTCATTTGAAAGAGAAGCCCACAAAAGTTGGAGCAGGACTGAGTAGAAATCAAGTCCTCAAGTTCTAGACTAGATGAAATATTGTACAGTTGATCTCATCTCACATATGCATAGGCATGGGATGGACACACACAGATATATGCATATATACCTAACATAGCCCATACTTAATTAAAATAAATGTACTTGACAGGAAAATTTGTCATTATTACATCTTTGATATACAGGCAATTTGTAGAAGATGATTTCAAATGATTGTTTTTGAAAGGAAATCAGACGTGGAATGATAAAAAGAAATTGGAAAGACTAGGGCTGAGGTCCAATTGTGCCCATGTGATTCCCAGCAAGCCATTAATCTCTGAGCCTCATTTTTCTCATTTGTAAATAGGAATACAGGAGTGTCCCACTATTCATGGGTGATACATTCCAAGACCTCCAGTGGATGCCTGAAACTATAGATAGTACCAAATCTGGTATACACTATGCTTTTTCTTATACAGAAACAGGCAGGTAGCTTACACAACATAAATATACTGGACAAAGGAATGATTCACATGCCAGATCGGGTGGTACAAAATTAGATCACACTACTCAGAAAGGCATGCAATTTAAAGCTTATAAATTGTTTATTTTTGTATTTTTCCATTTAATAGTTTTAGAACTTGGTTGATCACAGGTAACAAACCATAGAATGCAAAACCACAAATAAGGGAGTACTACTACAGTAACATCTACTTCACAAAACTGATGTGAGAATTAAATGATAAGGTGTCCACAAAGATACTCCATAAATTATAAGGCACAATGTTAATTTGAAGTGATTTTAGAGAAAATAAACTGCATTTTAAAAATAATTATTTTATCTTCATAAAATACCTTTGCCTCAGCCTCTCCAAGTTTGGCTAACTTCTCTATTTCTCTAGGAAAGAATAGCTTTCTTAATTCTTAAAAAAAATTTTTTTTAAGACACAGAGTCTCGCTATGTTGCCCAGGCTGGAGTGCAGTGGCATAATCATAGCTCAGTGCAGCCTTGAACTCCTGGGTTCCAGGAATCCTTCCACCTCTGCCTCACAAGTAGCCAAGCATATAGGCATGTGCCACCATGCCCTGCTAAGTTTTGGATTTTTTGTAGAGACAGAATCTCACTATGTTGCCCAAGCTGGTCTTGAACTCCTGGCCCGAAGCAATCTTTCTGCCTTGGTCTCCCAAAGCACTGGGATTACAGCTGTGAGCCACCACACTCGGCCTAGCTTTCAGGATTCTTATCAAAGCTCATTTTCTATCATCTAAATTTAAATCAAATTTAAAAGTAAAAGGACATCTTTCTTGCACAAATTGTGTTGGTAGTAATGCTTTCTCTTTTAGTGGATTTCTGGGTTGAAATCTGTGTTGTTTCACTGAGTGATGAAATTACATTCTCCCTGGTCTGTTCCTCATGGGACCAGGGCTATACAAGGCAAATGCAGTGATAATAAAAAGTCTGATTTCTCCCTAGCAGACCATTCTTTACAAATTTGTGGTGGTTTCTAGATGTCTAGAAGGAAAATAGCCAAAACAACAATCTGAGAGCAAAAGTAGGCAAGATGGCCCAATTGCAGTAACAGATATAATGCAACTGCATGTCAATGGGAGACGCTAAGCAATGCACAAAGCGGGAGGAGAAGGGTCTGAAATACATGGTCATGATCTGATGCACTGGCGTCACAGGGGTAGATTCTGGAATAAGAAAATATCCTAATCAAACTAGTATCAGCAAAGATTATCCCAGCTGCTTTCTGCAAGAAAGTTAAGTGTACAGAGTTTCTGGGGTTCTGAAGAGGCTGTTGCAGTAACTAAGATGTGGACTAATAAGCATCAAGTTAATCATATTGGTGGTGCAAATAGAGAGAAAAGGTTAAGTTTGAGAGGTATTTTAGAGGAAAAATAAATAAGATCTGGTAACTGATTAAATATCCAGGAAAGCAAATTGTTAAAGATACTCCAAGGCAACTAGAATGGATTAAACTAAGTAGATGGTGATACTGGTGACCGAAATAAAGAAATTGGAAAGAATTTTAGGGTGAGTTGGGAAAAGGATGAGCTGTCATTTGAAGGAGCTTCAATGCTTTTGAAGTCTACTGTCTTTAGCCAATATAAATGGAACTGCTAATTTTTAGCGTTTTAGAACACTTCTAACACAAAAATGAAATTTCTTAAGATTGAGCACTGAGAAAGCTTATGTGAGCTGAGCATAATGTCACATGTGAAATACCATTCCACAAATTCTTTTCCAGGCAAGATTATAATGACTGTATAACTTCACATGAATATAGAATGCTTTGGAGTTTTCATGAACTTTTAAATTTGTTTTCTCTTTGACATTCACAAAACTTTCATCTCATCTTTGCAAGCTGTTAGTTTCAAAATATACTCGTTATTTATACTGTAGCATCATTTTCAGTGGAATGAACTTCAGTTATTTTCCTGAACTCTTGGTAAAGTTATGTCTAGTCATGTCAACATTACCAGACATTGCAAAATAAACTTTTTTCCTTTGGTTCCCACAGGATCAGCACCTCAGCATGCTAGAGTATCATGTACCAGTCACAGCAGGAGGAGTCGCAAACATTTTTGATCTGCTGGAAACCAACAAGACTGCTTTAAATATTACAAATTTCTTAGTGAGTCAGACCACTCTGGAAGAGGTAAGATATATACCACGATCCATGTGCACAACGTCACATATTAATATTATTATTCATTCTGGTTATTTCTTTTTAATTACATTCAATTTGTTTTTAATTGAATTAATATCTAGTCTTGCACCTGAAAAACTTAGCAAAGAGCCTAATCAATTTCTCACTTAATTTGGGGATATTAAAAAAATAGATGTGAAAGACATTAACTTTTCCATTTGATAAGACATCTGTACCCATAAAGTTATATGTATACATAAAGAAAAAAACCCCACTATTTTCACATACATAACAAACAGCTGTTAACACTTTCCTTCCTTCTTCCATGGTAGGTTTCTTAAAGAACATTTCTATTGATTGGCTTCCTGGATTAGGGTTGGACAGGGTAATTAGAATTTGGTGTCAGACCTTTAGATCTGTTAAATTCAGGCAATTAAAGTGGTAAATGCAGAATCCTTTCCGTTCAACGTACATCATCTGTCTTAATTACATTTGCATTTAATAACTACAGACTTATTAGGTCATCCTTTATCACTTCTGTACTGTCTTAATTTTGCACAGCTCAACCAACATGACATATAGAAAGTTTGATTATATCTGTCATTGGACTAGGTCTGAAAGTAAGGCCTTTAGGGGTCAGTATATGGTGCTGCATTTGATGTACAACTCTTCTTGTGGGGCTTTAGGCATTTTAATGGGGGCTTTAGACAATCATGACTTTCCTGAAAATGAAGACTTAGTCTTCGACTTATGACCAACTACCAGCACCATGGCAAAATACAGACTCTCGATAGTTTTTGGATGAAACTATGACTAATAGATTTAATGACTTTAAACAAAGTGAAAAGATCTGCCTGTTAAGTAATTGGCTTACTGAACACAGTGTTAACATGGGCTTTCTATACAAATTTTATCTTAATGCATTAACTCTTGAAACTAGTGAAATTTCTCTCAACATTTCTACACAACCATTCAATAAGGGCACAGGGCTGGGCTCCTTGTTTATACCTGATAGAGATATTGATGTAGGTCATATGAATGCAGAAATGTGGCTACAGATAGTCAACTATGGCTTAAGATTGACATGATTATAAATAAAATCATAGTCATAAATATGGTCATAGATATAGGTGCTGTTTTCAAGCCCCAGTTAAATTTGATTTTCTGAAAGGACTCCTAGTGCAAGCATGTATAAAACTAGGATTTGGATTTTATAGGGGCCTGCATACACATATATACACGCTTGCACTAGGAGAGAGGAAGGGGAGAGAGAGAGAATGAATTAACTTTATTTTTTCCTTTGGCTTACCAGGCATTAATGGCTTTATTTTCCCTGAAAAATCAGGTTTTCATCAACTTTGCCAAAGACCAGAAGTCCTATGAAACTGCTGATACCAGCAGCCAAGGTTCCACTATAAGTGTTGACTCACAAGATGACCAGATGGAGTCTTAACACTTCCAGCAAACTCAATCTCAGCGTGTGACCAATGGCTTCATTTTGAAGAAAAGCCACAGAAGATACACTTCCGCAAGATATCTTCATTTTAAAGTAAAGTAATATACTGTATGGAAAGTTACAACTGTGTTAGACTAACAAGTAATTATAAAAGGAAATTTTTCCTTCTAAGGTCAGTGAGTGTTGTTGCTACTGAAATGAATTCCTGTATACTCAACACTGTGAGCATGCTAATGTATATGCTGGTGATTCTTATGCAAAGGTGAAGCCACCTCAAGATGAATATCTTAATTTATTACTTTCAATAAAAAGACAGTTTAAAAGGCATGGATTTTGGTAGTTGAAATATAAGAGTGGAGAAGAAAAGTCAGATGGTTTGTGGCAGGTGCCACCGGGCAAGCAGACAACATAATTTATTTCCAGAAAACAACAGAATGAACATCATCATGAATACATGAATCGGCTGTGATGTGTGAACTGCTAAGGGCCAAATGAACGTTTGCAGAGCAGTGGGCACAATGTTTACAATGTATGTGTATGTCACTTTCGGTACCTGTGAATGCATGGGGACGTGCTGAACCCGAAAAAAAGTGCCTTTCCATAAGGACTGCAATAGAGAGGGCAATTTACCCTGGTGGTACACGGAACCTAGATTCACTCCTGCCATGCCTTGCCAATAGTAAGCTGCAGGGTGGAACAAGAAATCACTTGCTCTGGGGGGAAGGGAGGGGGGAATGGGTGTGTCAGCTGGGTAGATACAAACCCTGAAAAGAGAATCCATGTGCTACTGGCAGGCAACATTTTTTAAAGCTCTTTCAGAAACCCTCATATTTGGGGTTTCTTTTCAGGAAACATTCCTGTGGAGGGAAAACGAATATGAAGATAATTTTCAGCTAATTATCTGGGTGACCCAGAATCGTGTATATGGCTATAGGATAGACTTCTTAATAATGGCAAGTGACGTGGCCCTGGGGAAAGGTGCTTTATGTACCGTGTGTGCGTGTATGTGTGTGTATCTATACAAGTTTGTCAGCTTTGGCATGACTGTTTGTCTCGAAAACCAATAAACTCAAAGTTTAGAAAAACTCATTCATGCTGTCATTTCATTTGTTAGGGAAGAGACAGGAACCTAAAAATGGGAGTCATGTGGCCTGCAAAGTTTCACTTGATCTGGCCCCTGTTGGCCTCTCCACCCTCATCCCCATCTTTCTCTCTCTTTGGCCCTTTGGGATCTAGCCATGCTGGCCCCTTCCCACTTTTTCCAGTGCTCCACAGTCTTCCCCATCTCCAAACCTTTGCACATGCTGTTCTCCTGCTGGGAATGCTCTTCACCCCACACTTTTTACCTGGCTAACAGGCTCCAGAAATGTCATACTTTCTTAGAGAACCCAGACTGCCCGGCTTTCTCATTTTAAATCTGGTCTGCTGTTCTAATACTATATGCTTTGTTGTTCCTCCCAACCTCCTACTTTTCTGTCAGAGCATGCATCATCATTTGTAATATATCCAGACTGACTGACTTAACTACAAATATATATATATATATGTACCTTAACAGATGGTAACACAATTTCTTTCAGGATGGAAAATGTCTTTGCTGAATATAATATGTAGACACGCCTTTTGGAGTAGATAGAAGGTATAACTCTGAGAGCGTGGGTGTCTCTAGGGTCCCAAGTGACAAAATAGATAGCCGAGCTCCATGAAAGAATAAAAGGAATTTGTTTGCTGTTCATTGTCTTTGTTGTGGTTGGCTGGTTGTCTGCTTGTTTCTGAGCAATGGTAGGAAAGGAAGCAAAAGAAAAGGACACAAGGGACATGGAGAAAGGTGGAACCAGTGAGATGGCAGAAGGCTAAGTACTGAAACAGACGGAAGCCCAGTGAGAAAGAGAAGTGGTTGAATGGACGTTTAAAACTATGAGTATTCAAATACTTTTTGCATATTCACTCACTGTGCAGCCATGCTGTGGATGGTCCCTGTTACCACTGAATCTTCGTTGAAGTCAGACACGCTTACAAATGCTCTGTGTGACTGAGTGTCTTGTGGAGACTGGAATGAAGATATGTTAATTCCTTTTTTGAAAGAGGTGCAGTACAGTGACAGCTTCATCCCAGAAGCTGTCAGACCATGAGACAGGGAGATGCCAGGACATGTGTGGAGCAGAGCTTCTGACCATAGGACATGGATCAGGGACTCCAGCCAATCTCATCTACCTCTCAATGGGCAGGGAAGCCCCAGCTGGGCTCTGGACCGTGATAGTAGCACCATTATTTGAGTGATTAGTATTTCTCTGTCTCACTAGGCTTGAAACTCCATGAGGACAGAGATCTATTTTGATCTTCCTGGCTCTCCAACTGGTACCTATATACACAATAAATATTCGTGGCACTCAATAAGTAAGTATTTGTTGGTTAAATGAGTAAATAAATGAAGGAGAAACAAGAGAGGCTGGCATGGTTGATATGAAAACCAAGCAACCTGATTTTGTTTAAATTTCTGAAATACAGTGAGGTTTCCCATGAGGTAGTTTATTCTGAGGGAAGAAAAGAGAAAGATGATACATAGTCCCATATTACAGATATTACAATGAATCTACTGCGATGGAAGGATTTGGGTATCTTCTTTAGAATGAGAATGCTATGTTTTGTTTTTGCACATTTTTGGACATTTATTTTTCTTCCTCTTTTTTTCTGTTAGTATGTACTATTTAAGAGTATCATGGCACATTTTTATATGTAATTAAGGAACATCTATGAACAAATATTTGAACCCATATCCCTTTGGGTTTCTCTGCAGTAGAGGAAATGTTTAGAGAATTCCCAGTTCCCAGAACTTCCACTCTGGATAATACCTACAGAATGTGCTTGCTTTTTTGTTTTTGTTTTGTTGTTCTTGTTGTTGTTGTTCTTTTTTTTTTTTTTTAGACAAGGTCTTGCTCTGTTACCCAGGCTGGAGTGCAGTGGAGAGATCACAGCTCACTGCAGCCTCGATCTCCCAGGCTCGAGTGATCCTCCCACCTCATCCCCCTGAGTAGCTGGGACTACAGGTGTGCACCTCCAAGGCTGGCTAATTATTTTTTATTTTTAGTAGAGATGAGGTCTCGCTATGTTGCCCAGGCTGGTCTTGAACTCCTGAGTTCAAGCAATCCTCCATCCATGGTCTCCCAAAGTGCTAGGGTTACAGGTAGGAGCCACCACGCCTGGCCCAGAATCTACTTTTTTAATGTGAGTTACCTGAATTACCTCTGAGGATAGTGGCAATTTTTACTTCATGCATAAAACCTAATTTTCATAATATTTATACAGTGGGTACAAAAATCACAAGAATGGAAAAATGATAAGCCAGGTAGAGTGACTCATACCTGTAATGCCAACACTTTGAAAGGCTGAGGTGGGTGGATCACTTTAGTCCACGAGTTTCACACCAGCCTGGGCAACATGGCAAAACCCTGACTCTTAAAAAAAAAATAATAATAATAACATTAGCTGGGAATTGTGGTGCACATCTGTAGTCCTAGCTTCTCAAGAGGTTGCAATGGGAAGATCACCTAAGCCCAGGATGCTGAGACTGCAGTGAGGCTTGATCGTGCCATTGCACTCCAGCCTGGATAACAGAGTGAGACCCTGTCTCAAAAAATAGAAAAATGATCCAGACAGCCTTCTGCACAGTATGCTGTCTTCCTTATTGATCGACTTCTAGACAAACAGCAAATGCTGACCTAGGTAAAGATGGGAATGACCAACTAGGCTTCCATCCTCTTACCTTCACCTGACACCAGAAGTCTGCTTGTTTCATTAACCTAAGCTTTTCAATGTAAGAAGACAACAAGCTACAAAGAAATGAATACTATTTCCTCTGGCATCATTTGTTTCAAGGTTAATCTTATCACTCCTTTGCTTGTAAATCCAGATTGGTTTTCCATAATCTGCAGGATAAAATACAAACCCCTTAACTGATCTTCAAAGTATTTAATAATCTGGTTCCAACACTTCAATCTCTCTTCCCTACGCAGTTGATGCTCTTACTGTAATAAATTTCTCGCTATTTCCTATTTATGTCAGAGCCTCTCTCAATTCTGTGCAACTTTGCTCACACTGCTCTTTTCTCTTGGAAGACCTTTTCTCCCTCCCTACTCAGCTTTTATCCAGAATCTCCTTTTCATCTTCATTACACTTCTCTTAGGCCTTATCTTTAAGGAAGACTTCCGAGAGAGCCTCAGGCAGAGTTAATTGTTCTATCCTTTGTTACAAAAGCATTTTTGTGCATGCCTCTGCAGAAGTATTTTCATATCACATTATAAACATCTCTGTACATATCTCTTTCTTCCCTAAGTTCCTTAAGCGCAGTGACCTATTTTTCTTCATCATTGTACCTCCCATATCCAGCAAAATATCAACATATTGTTGCTGCTCAATAAATTTTTGAAGAACCAAAGAGGTCTATTTCAACTTAGAAATGCTTGTAGGATTTTTGCTTTAACTTTTTTGTAATCATGTTTGTTTTAGTTTTAAAGTTTAAAGTTAATTGCTGGGGGAAAATGTGCAGATGACCAACATTTTAAGTTAAAATGTTGATTCTGCATAAAGTGCATTTCATTAAAATGCCAAGCATTGGACATACAATTATTTTAGTAACACTACTGCCTATTATGGCATTTGCCTAAGGATTTTCTTTTATTTTGTATTTTTTGAGACAGAGTCTCGCTATGACACCTAGGCTGGAGTGCAATAGCATGACCTCGGCTCACTGCAACCTCTGCCTCCTGGGTTCAAGTGATTCTCCTGTCTCAGCCTCCTGAGTAGCTGGAACTACAGGCATGAGCCACCACGCCCGGCTAATTTTTGTATTTTTAGTAGAGACATGGTTTCACCATATTGGCCAGGCTGGTCTTGAACTCCTGACCTCATGATCTGCCCACCTCAGCCTCCCAAAGTGCTGGGATTACAGGCATGAGCCACCACGCCCGGCTTGCCCAAGGGTATTGAAAATAAAAATGCTATTTAAATCAAATACTTTCACTAAGACAGAGTTATACTTAATCACTCTCATCGCACAAGTGGAAAAGCTAGATAAGAAAGCAGTTGTAGTTAGGTTGGCTGCATGTGGTGTCTCACACCTGTAATCCCAGCACTTTGGAAGGCCGAGGCAGGAGAATCCCTTGAGGCCAGGTGTTCAAGACCAGCCTGAGTACCTAGCAAGACCCTGACACTACATAAAATTTTAAAATTAGCTGGGTACAGTGGTGTGCATCTGTAGTCCTAGCTTCTTGGGAGACTGAGGTGGGAGGATTGGTTGAGCCCATAAGGTTGAGGCTGCAGTATGCCATGATTGCACTAGTGCACTCCAGCCTGCACAACAGAGTGAGTCCTGTCTCTTCCAAAAAAAAAAAAAAAAAAAAAAAAAGAAAAAGTTATGATTAAAATAGCAGGATCTACCACTTATTCATAATTTTTTATCTGTGAGATACAGGTCAAGTTTGCCACATTTCTTATTCTCACAACAAACTTTCAATTGGTTACTGAAGGTTGGAAAAAGGCAACTATCTGGCCCAGAATCCTACAGCCAAAGAATGAATTTGATGCCACAGACTGTATTCTGACATAGACCCCTCCCTCACAAAAAGACTTGACTATGTCAACTTACATATTTAAAATCCATTCATAATTTAGTGATGAGCTGTATTTATGTCTGTGCTGACTTGGCAAGAGAATCACTGGTCCTGTGGGCCCTGAAAACTGCTCCCTTGTCTACTGTAGCTATCTCCAGTACTGTTTCTAGCACAAACAAGAAGACTCTGTCCCTGACTATCCTCTTTCCTTAGAAATCCTTAGGAAGGATCCTCTTCTTTCACCTTCCTACCTCCTGCCCCCGCCCCCCTCCACTGAACTATCTCGCAGAGAAAACCAACAATGTCATTAGATATACAAAGATTTACTAATAATTTCCATTTATTTTAACTCAAAAGAGTTGTGGTTTGTACTTACTGAGATTTTGTTGTTGTTTTCAATATAGCAGATAATTTTGCTATTCTGTTTATTTGATTTCTTTCCTCAGTTTATTTTCATTTTTATGCTTTATTATTGCATTCAAATGGGAGCTATAATTTCCAGTGTAAGGAAGCCCACAATGTGAAATGGTCTATGCCCTAAACAGGTTATGGCCAAGATGGCTCTTTCAACACCTCAAAACAGATTTTTAGTTCTTATTTCATGGGACCCACTGAAAGTTTCTAGTGGAAGAGGAAAACCCTTCACTTAAGTTAATGCTCTTAGCAACTCAACAGAATTGCAAACTGAATTCTTCTCAAAGACAAAAGCTTCACTAATCAGCCCAAAAGAAATATTTAGTATTACCAGAGAAGTTTAACTTTCTTTTATTTAAAGCAGTCCAGTCATTAAAGAAGATATTCATGAAATATTTTGAGCTAAAAAATTGTAGGCAAGATGCTCCAACCAATGCATATATCATTTAAGAATGAAATAAATGGAAAGTTCTACTAAAGGCAAACCAGATATAACTCCAGAAAAATCCTGAAACTTTCCGTCATATTCTTTGGTAAAATGCATAAGCACACACTAACTAAGCTAGAAGATTTTCTTTTCACACTAATCTGTTTTAAAAATTTATCTAAGATACATTTAAAAAAAAGAAAACTACAGGCCAATATCCTTAATTAAAAATGATGCAAAAATCCTCAACAAAATACTGGCAAACTGCTAAAAGAAAAACTTCAGCCAAATTAAATATAAAGGAGTTTAATTAAGCAATGAACGATTCGCGAATTGGGCAGCCCCCAGGATCACAGCAGATTTAGAGAGACTCCAGGGATGCCTCATGGTCAGAAAAAATGTATAGGCAAAAAAAGTAGTGATGCACAGAAACTGGTAGTGAGGTACAGAAACAGCTGGATTGGTTACAGCTCCATGTTTGCCTTATTTGAACACAGTTTGAACACTCAGCAGTGTATGAGTGGTTGAAGTATGGCTGCTAGGACTGGCCAAGACTCAGTGATTGTTACAGGAGCATACTCCTAAGTTAGGTTTTCAATCTTGTCTACCTATTAAGTTAGGTTGCAGTTTATCCACAAGGACTCAAATATAGAAGTATGGAGTCCTTCTCAGGACATATTTAGTTTGCTTTAACAAAACCAAATTCAACAACACATTAAAAAGATCATTCATCATAACCAAATGGGATTTATCTCGGGGATGCAAGGATGGTTTAACATATGCAAATCAATCAATATGATGCATCATATCAACAGAATGAAGGACAAAAACCATATGATTATTTCTACTGATGCTGAAAAGCATCTGGTAAACTTCAGCATCCCTTCATGATAACAACAACAAAAAAAAAACCCTCAAAAACCGGGTATAGAAGGAATACACTGCAACACAATAAAAGCCATATAGGACAGACCACAGCTAGTATCATACTGAACAGAGAAAAACTGAAAACCTTTTCTCTAAGCTCTGGAACAAACAAGGATTCCCACTGTCACCATTGTTATTCAACATAGTACTGGAAGTCCTAGCTAGAGCAATCAGACAAGAGAAAGAAATAAAAGTCATCCAAGTCAGAAAGAAGTCAAATTATTCTTGTTTGCAGATGATTTATCTTGTATTTGGAAAAAACTAAAGACGCCATAAAAAAAAAACTGTTAGAGCTGATAAACAATTCAGTAAAGTAGCAGGGTACACAATCAATGTACAAAAATCAGTAGCATTTCCATATGCCAATGGCAAACAATATGAAAAGGAAATCAAGAAAATAATTCTACTTACAATAGCTACAAATAAAATAGAATACCTAGGAATTAACTTTAACCAAAGAAGTGAAATATCTCTACACTGAAAACTATAAAACACTGATGAAGGAAATTGAAGAGGGCACAAAAAATTGGAAAGATATTCCATATTTGTGGATTGGAAGAATCAATATGGTTAAAATGTTCATACTATCCAAAGCAATCTACATATTCAATGCAATCCCTATCAAAATACCAATGACATCCTTCACAGAAATAGAAAAAGCAATCCTTAAATTTCTGTGGACCCACAAAAGACCCAGAAGAGCCAAAGCTATTCTGAACAAAAAGAACAAAACAGAAGGAATCACATTACCTGACTTCAAATTATACTACAGAGCTATAGTAACCAAAAGAGCATGGTATTGGCATAAAAACAGACACAGATCAATGGAACACAATAAAAAAGGACTCAGAAATAAATTCATACATCTACAGTGAACTCACTTTCAACAAAGGTACAAAGAACATACATTGAAGAAAGGACTATCTCTTTGATAAATGGTGCTAGGAAAACTGGATATCCACATGCAGAAAATGAAACTAGACCCCTATCTCCTAACACAGATAAAAATCAAATCAAATGGATTAAAGACTTAAATCTAAGTCCTCAAATTATGAAACTATTAAAATAACACATTGGAAAACTCTCTAGGACATTGTACAGGGCCAAGATTTCTTGTGTAATATCCCACAAGCACAGGCAACCAAAGCAAAAATGGACAAATGGAATCTCATCAAGTTAAAAAGCTTCTGCACAGTAAAGGAAACAATTAACAAAAATGAAGAGACAACCCACAGGATAGGAGAAAATATGTGCAAACTATACATCTGACAAGGGATTAATAGCCAGAATATATAAGGGACTCAAACAACTCAATAAGAAAAAATCTACTCATCCGATTAAAAAAATGTCTATTTGAACAACTAAATGTCTGAATACAGAATTCTTAAAAGAAGACATACAAATGGTAAACAGGTATATGAAAAAGTGCTCAACATCATTGATCATCAGAGAAATGTGCATCAAAACTACAATGAGACACCATATCACCCCACTTAAAATGGCTTTTATTCAAAAGATAGATAATAACAAATGCTGGCAAGGATGTGGAGAAAAGAGAACACTCATACAATGTTGGTGGAAATGTAAACTAGTACAACCACTATGGAGAGCTTTCTAAAACACAAAAACTAGAGGTATGATATGATCCAGCAATCTCATTGCTAGGTATATACCCAAAAGAAAGGAGATCAGTCTACTGAAGAAACATCTACACTCTCATGTTTACTGCAGCACTTTTCACAATAGCCAAGATTTAGAAGCAACCTAAGTGTCAATCAGCAGATGAATGGGTCAAGACAATGTTGTGCTTATACACAGTGGAGTAATATTCAGCCATAAAAAAAGAACGAGATCCTGTCACTTGCAAGGATGGAACTAAAGATCATTAAGTAAAATAAACTAGGCACAGAAAGATAAATTTTGCATGTTTTCTCTTATTTGTGGGAGCTAAAAATTAAAATAATTGAACTCATGAAGACAGAGAACAGAAGGATGGTTACCAGCCCCTGGGAATAGTGGGGGAGGGGGAGCAGGGGGGAAATGGGGATGGTTAATTGGTAAAAAAATATAGTTAGATAGAATGAGTAAGATCTAGTATTTGATAGCAAAACAGGGTGACTACAACCAATAATAATTTATCAGACATTTTAAAAGAAGTAAAAGAGTATAACAGAATTTGTGTGTAACACAAAGAAAGGATAAATGTCTGAGGTGATGGATACCCCATTCACCCTGATGTGATTACTACACATCGTATGCCTGTATCAAAATATCTCATGTACCCATAAATATGTACATCTATGAACCCATAAAAATAAAAAATAAAGTTATTAATTGAAAAACTTATCTGATAGGACTTGACAGACAATAATAGATTTAAAAGATACACAGGAAAATCAAACATTATATAACAGAAGTTCCTTTTTGTTTTTGAAAACCAGTCAATGTAAGAGAGCACATGTTAAAAACTATGACTGAAAAAAAACTTACCTTAAAAAATAAACATCAAAGCTAAATATTGAAATGATACATTGTGTATCTGGGTGGACTTCACTGAGATGAATATTCTTGTAAAATTATTGAAATGTAAAGGAAAAACCCTTTGGATAGCCAGAAAAAAGAACCAAGACCCATTTTAGAGAAAGAAAATTAAGTAGTCATAATATTATTTGACAGTAATGATTTATATCAGGAGAGAAAACATAAACAAAAGACTTTGTATCTAATTAAAATGAAACTGAATTATAAAGGTTTTAAGCAGATTATTTTGAAGATATGAGAATTCGGGAAAATTCAAAACCCTTTCCTGAGGAACCTACCAAAAAACAATTTTCAGACAACAAAATGATGGGAGTAACATTGACATAAAGACTAGTTTTGAGCATTAAACATCTATTTGTCTGCAGAACTAAATCTAAATGAAGATTATAAAAGTATGTATGTGAAAAAAAAGAAAAAGGAACATATCTGATCTCTTCCTAGGTAGAGCTTCAAAAGTACTCCTCTGTTATAAAGGTCTTCCTAAAACTGTTCCTTGATAATGAAATTAAACTATAAATTATCTTATCAAATAATTTATCTTTATTAAAGAGACAGCTTACATCCTTACTTGACCAGTGTAACCTATCTAGCATTTTGAGATCCCTCCACGAATACTGAATCTCTAACATAACTTACATATGTAAAGCATATCATTTATTGAGCACAGAGATTTGAGAAAATTGAGGGTTTTTTTTTTCAATTATTCTTTTGTGAATGTACTAAGGAGAGGAAATAGGTGGTTAAAATGTAACGGACACTCTACAATGGCCCCCAATTATTCCTACCTCCTGGTACAGATGTTTTTTAGTGAAAAATTCTCTCTCCTTGACTATGAGAGAACCTGTGACTTGCTTCAGACAAACAGAATATAACAAAAGTGATTATGTCACAAAAGATTGTACCATCTGTCTTGCTAATAGCCTCTCTCCCTTCCTGGCTTTAATGAAGTAAGAGGCCATGTTGAAAGGCCTCCTTGGCAAGGAATGGCAGGCAGCCTCTGGCCAACAAGTGGCAAGAAACTAAAGATGGCCTCCAGCTGAGAGCCAGCAAGAAACTGAGACCCTTAGTCTCACAACCAGCAAGTAAATGCTGCCAACAACCATCTGAGCTTAGCAACAGGTTCTTCCCCAGTCTGGTATGCAGATAAGAACTCAGCCCTAGACAATACCTTAATTACAGCCTTACAGAGAACTCTGCTAAGATGCACCCAGACTCCTGACCCATAGAAATGGTAGATAATAAACATGTGTTGTATGAAGCCACCAAATCTGTGGCAATAGTATTACGCAGCAATAGATAGCTAAAACTCATAGGTAGATTCAAATCTAACTGCCTATGCAGCCTTAACTTCCATTTTTTTCTTTGATAATATTTTTCCCTCAAAGTACCCTTTCCAAAAGATTCTAGTCAGTATTTGCTTAAGTGTGTAATTAATAATCCTGTCCACCCCAATCTTCGAGATAATTTTTATTCCTCTCTGTTTAAGGCACTAACTCTTTGGTTGACTTTCTGCTAATTATTTCACTGTGGTAAAATACACCTAAGATTTATGATCTTAATCATTTTTAAGTGTACAATTAACTGGTATTAAATACATTTATAATGCTGTACAACCATCACCATCTGTCTCTACAACTATTTTCATCCTGTAAAACTGAAACTATACTCATTCAACAATAATCTCCTTTCTCCCCTCTCCAACTCAACAATCACCATTATACTTTCTTTCTTTATGATTTTGACTACTCCAGCTACTTAATATAAGTGGAATCATATAGTATTTGTCTTTCTGTGGCTGGCTTATTTCACTAAGCATAATATCCTCAAAGTTAATCCACGTTGTGGTATATGTCAGAATTTCCTTCCTCTTTAAGGCTAAATAGTATTCCATTGTATGTATATACTACATTTTGCTTATCTGTTCATTGGTCAACGAATACCCGAGTTGCTTCTACCTCTTGGCTGTTGTTAATAATGAACATGGATGTACAAATATTTCTTCAAGACCCTTCTTTCAATTCTTTGTAGTATATACCCAGAAACGGAATTGCTGAATCATATGAATTATCACATAATTATATTTTTAATTTATAATACTGTTTCCACACACAACAATAGCATTTTTCATTCCCATCAACCCTGCACTAGGGTTCTATTTACTCCACATCTTTACCAACAATTATTACAATTATTATATTCTGGTTTTTTTGGTAGTAGCCATCCTAATGGGTGTAAGGTGGTATCTCATTGCAACTTTGATTTGCATTTCCTTAATGATTAGTGATGTTGAGCATCTTTTCATGATTTTTGTTTGTTTGTTTTTGGTTTTGGTTTTGGTTTTTGAGATGGAGTCTCACTTTGTCGCCCAAGCTGGAGTGCAGTGGCACGATCTTTGCTTATCTCAAGCTCCGCCTCCCAGGTTCACGCCATTCTCCTGCCTCAGCCTCCTGAGTAGCTGGGACTACAGGTGCCCACCACCACGCCAGGCTAACTTTTTGTATTTTTAGTAGAGACAGGGTTTCATCGTGTTAGTCTGGATGGTCTCGATCTCCTGACCTCGTGATCTGCCTGCCTCGGCCTCCCAAAGTGCTAGGGTTACAGGCATGAGCCACCGCGCCCAGCCCTGTTCATGTTTTTATTAGCTATTTTTATATCTTCTTTGGAGAAATGTTTATTCAAGTCTTTTGCTCATTTTTGAATTGGGTTGTTTGTCATTGAGCTGTAGAAGATCTCTATACAGTCTGGATACTAATCCCTTATAAAATATATTATTTACAAATATTTTCACTATTGTGTCAGTTGCCTTTTTACTCTGTTGATAGTGCCTTTTGATGCATGATTTTTAAAAATGTCCATGAAGTTCAAATTTGTCTGTTTTTCCTTTTGTTTTCTATGCCTTTAATGTCATTGCCAAATTCAATGCTATGAAGCTTTTACTCAATGTTTTTTTTCCTAAGGACTTTATAGTTTTAGGACTGACATTTAGGTTCCTGATTCATTTTGAACTAATTTTGTATTCCAACTTCTTTCATTTGCATATGGATATCTAGTTTTTCCAACACCATTTGTTGAAAAGACTATTCTTTCCCCACTGAATGGACTTGGCACCCTAGTCAAAAATCATTTGATCATATATGTGAGGGTTTACTTCTAGGTTCCCTATTCTGTTCCATGGGTCTGTATACCTGTCTTTATGCCAGTTCCACATTGTTTGATTACTGTCGCTTTGTAGTAAGTTTTGAAACCAGGAAGTGTGAATCCTCCAGTTTGGTTTGTCTTTTTCAAGGCTGTTTTGGCTATTTGGGACCCCTTGAGAGTCTGTATGAATTTTAGGTTGGCGTTTTTTATTTCTGCAAAAAAATGTCATTGGGATTTTGATAGGAATTGCGTTGAATCTATAGATAGATTTGGGTAGTGTTGACATCTTAACAATAGTAAGTTTTCCAGTCTATGAACATGAGATGTGCTTCCAATTACCTGTATCTTTACTTTTTCAGCACTGTTTTATAGTTTTCATTGCACAAGTCTTTCTCCTTCTTGGTTAAGTTGGTTTCTAAGTATTTTATTCTTTTTGATGCTATCTAAGTCCATTTTGGCTTCCCGAACAAAATATTTTAGACTAAATAATTTATAAACAATAGAAATGTATTGCTCACAGTTCTAGAAGCTGAGAAGTCAAAGATCAAGGTGCCAGCAGATTCATAGGTATCTGTTGGCAGCCTACACTTCATAGATGACACTTTCTTGCTAGTCCTCATATGACACAGAAGACAAATAAGCTCCCCTAGGCCTCTTTTACAAAGACATTAATCCCATTTATGAGGGCTTTGCCCTTATGACTTAATCACCTTCCAGATGTCCCACCTCTCAGCTCCACTGCGCTGATTGTTAAATTTCAACACATGAATTTTGGAGGGACACGAACATTCAGATCATAGTAGGTGTTACTGTAAACAGAATTGTTTTCTTTCCTTTCTTTTTCTTTCTTTCTTTTTTTTTTTTTTTTTGAGATGGAGTTTTGCTGTTGTCATCCAGGCTGGAGTGCAGTGACACAGTCTCAGCTCAGTGCAACCTCCACCTCCCGGGTTCAAGCAATTCTCCTGTAATTGGGATTATAGGTGCCTGCTACCATGCCCAGCTAATTTTTGTATTTTTAATAGAGACAGGATTTCACCATGTTGGCCAGGCTGGTCTCGAACTCCTGATCTCAAGTGTTCCTCCCGCCTCGGCCACCCAAAGTGCTGGGATTATAGACATGAACCAATGTGCCAGGCCTAAAATTGTTGTCTTAATTTCTTTTCCAAATTGTTCATTACTAATATATTGAAATCTAACTTAGTTTTGTGTTTACTTTCCATCCTGCTACTTTGCTGAACTCACTTATTAGTTCTAACAGGATTTTTTTTATGTGAAAATTTTAGGTTTTCTACGTATAATATCATCCGCAAGCAGAGATAATTTTACTTCTTCTTTTCTAATTTGCATGCCTTTTCTTCCCCTTGCTTAATTGTTCCAGCTAGAATTTCCAGTACTACATTGAGTAGAAGTGGTAAAAGCCTGTGTGATTGACTCTTGTCGACATCTATGCTATTGTTACAAATCACAGAAGGTCAGCTTCTGTATCTGTTCACATTTTGCCAGCCACTGATGAACTAATCTAGATTTAATAATAGTTAACAATTACATAAGTATAAAATTTCACTTTTTATGAAAAAACTTTACATGTTTAAAATCATTTGAACCTCATAGCAACCCTGTGCAGTATTACTGCCCCTAGATGGGAACAAGTATCAAAGGGGTTAAATAATTGATTTATAGCAAAAAAGATGATATATTAAATTATGGTATTAAGCTATATTTTTTATCTGCCCTAAATTCTATCCCAACCTTTTTCTTTTCTTTCCTTTTTTTTTTTTTGAGACAGGGTCTCACTCTGTTGCCCAGGCTGGAGTGCAATGGCGTAATCTCAGCTCACTGCAATCTCCGCCTCCCAGGCTCAAGTGATTCTCAAGCTTCAGCCTCCCAAGTAGCTGGGATTACAAACACGGACCACCATGCCCATCTAATTTTTGTATTTTTAGGAGAGATGGGGTTTTACCATGTTAGCCAGGCTGGTCTCCAACTCCTGACCTCAAATCCAGCTCCTGACCTCAAATGATCTATCTGCCTTGGCCTCCCAAAGTGCTGGGATTACAGGTGTGAGCCACCATGCCTGGCCCCTAGTCTCTTTTCTTATTTCTGTGGTTCCCTTGTTCCCATTCCAGGTTGTCTCAATGAAGCTGGTGACTATGGTGGCCCCTCTTCATCCCAGCAATTAGGTGTGCATATGACCCTAGATGGCCAGAGCATCTTAATTCTCTTAACCACTTTGATTAGTTTAGAGATTGACACAAGACTCTAGCAAAGTTAGTCAATCATTCCTGAATTAATATTTAAATTTTGGAAGAGACATTTCCTTCTCATGGGATTGCTGAACTGAGAGAAGACAAGTCTAGGACAAGTGTAGGGCTCCCAGTTGCTGTCTTGTTCATAACATGGAAAGAGCTTGTGTATTTAATAAAGTCTAGCAGAGACAAGCAGAACCAACAAATAAAATACAATTACCTAAGAAAGTCCTGCTGCCTTTTTTGTTTGTTTGTTTACCATAGAATCCAGCGAAACCCAAAGGACCACTCTGGCAGCTATGGAGGACAGGCAGTAGGGATCTAAAGCAGAAGTCAGGGCAATCTAGAAAACTAGTGCAGCAGAATAACTTGGTAGCTATGGAGATAGCAAAAAAAAAAAAAAAAAGGTTAAATTCTGGGTACGTTTTTGAGGAAAAGCTGATAGAAACTGCTGCCAGATTAATGAAGAATACATAAGATAAAGAGAGTCAAGAATGAATCCAAGGGTTTTAGCTTGAGCAACTGGATAAATTGAATTGTTATTTATTGGAGAATGAGAAAATTGGAGACACAAAGACAGTTTAAGGCGATAAAATCAAGAGCTGGGTTTAAGATGCATTATGTTTGAGATGTCAGACATTCTAGAGGAAATTTTGACTAAACTATAGATCTCTGTGTCTGGAGTTTGGGAAAAGATCTCTGCTGGAGAAAAAAATAATGTGGAAGGCACTGGCATACAGATGAAAATTCAAGCCACAAGCCTGAATGAGATTATGCAGGGAGATGAGTTTGGCTAGATCAGTGAAGCAATCTAAACAGAGCATCCCAAGGCAGCACAGTATTTTTGAGGTAGAGAAGGAGCATCCAGAAATAATGTGTAACATGCAAGCCAAGAAAAGAAATTGTTTCTAAAAAGGAGAGAGTGGCCGACCTTGCCCAGGCAGCTGCTAGTTAGATTAAAATAAAGACTGAAAATTGACAGTTGGATCTAACATATTCAGGGATGACCTTGACAAAAAAAGTTTCTGGGGAATGACAGAAAGAAAACCTCATGAATGAGTTGAATAAAAAATAAGAGAGAAAGTAGGGAGGATGGGAAAGGGGAGCAGAGAAATAGGTGGTAGCTGGAGGAGAATTCCTAGTTATATTACAAGAGGGATCTCACATATTCTAGTGGGGGCAGAAAAAGGTCAAGTTTGCCAAGGGTAGCGTCCTGTACCTTTGATAGTCTCTGGGGTGGACAATGTCCCCTTTTCCCTGGGTAATATTTTCTATGTCAGGATTAGGGGCCGACATAACTTGTGATCTGGTCTCTTTCTTGACTTAGTTACAATATGGTAGTGCTTCTGGGCTAACTCATTTTCACCCTCGAGTGTCTGTTACATCTTCCATTTTTCCCATAGGCACATAAGCTCACACTTAGCTCAGAGGTCACCCAGTTCACCAGAGTGGGATCCATGACAGAACACTGTTCACAAGTCAGTGACCATGCCACACTCAACTGAAGGTGACCAATCCGGAACCCAATGTCTCCTTTACTGTACCATCTTGTGCAGGATCGTTTACTTTGATGTGGCATGTACAAGAGAGATCTACAGCAGCTTGCCTTCCATGTTAAACTCATTTAATGAATATTTAAAATACCTTGCCTTCCACATTAAGCTCATTTAATGGATACACATGCTTCCGGGTCAAAGCCCTGAGGTAGAAAATTAGCACTGTGTTCACCCCTCTCTCCTCTTACTTTCTTTCCTTTCTTTTTCCCTTAAATCCTAAGGATAGAAAGCAGGTATGCTTTCTTTACATCTGATCTTCCTTCTACAAATGAACAACAAATCTTAAGACAAATAGTGTCTTTTCTTTATAAGAGAACTCTGTGATCTTAAACTCGTTCTCTAGTTTTCCAGGCTAGACTTGTTCATCTACTACAAGGGGTGGAGGGAGGAAAGTCAAAGAAATTCAGCAAATCCATTCTTAAAACAATACCATGGCTTTCAGAGTTACTATCCTGCTCTGTATTCCTATTTTGTTTGTCATAAACTGAATGTTACCTTGGCCTTTCCTCCACTTTCTGGAACTTTTCCAATTCCCTAACTCCTCCTGCCTCCCTCTCCACCAACGTGCCCCCACTCCTACCCTCCAGCAGATAAACACCTTGAACTACAGGGCACAGGCATAGAAATCAGAGAGGCAAATGAGAACAAGCTTCAAAGGAGAGAGGTTATAATGGCAGGTCTATCCAGGCAGGTCTTTCTCACACAGAATAGCAAGACTTTCACCAGACCTCATCTCTGCAGCCTCAGAATCATAACTTAATAACACAAAGGGCATACAGCTCTTATGGGTGGACTTGCATTAAAGTTCAAAACACTGATGGCTAAAATCTGAGTGTCAGATTATTGATTTACAATGAGAACTTTAACGGAACACTCCTATCCCCCAGCCAACAAATTTTATCTCCCCTCATGCACACTATATAGGAAGTCATGCTTTAATCAGAGGGTTACTTGCTGAGCGGAGAGACTCAGGCCAAGTTGAGATAATTATGTGATTTCAATGTTTAATGTCATCAGGCTTCTTGAGCCTGAAGCATCCATCTCCACAGTAAGATACACCTTCAAAAGATATATCCTTGACTCTGGAAACCTTCTTCCCTCATCAGAGCTGAGTGGGCCTTGAGGTCTACCATCCTCTGTCCTTCAGAAACTCTTTTTCAATGCTTCTTTGGCCAAGCAACTCCCTTTTAATGGATCTTTATTTCTTTAGACATGATAATCTAGCACTTTACACCTGAAAGAAATATCAAGATATTTTTTCAGGTATAAAGATTTTGTGCCTTCATTATTTGTCGATTATAATGCTTAACTCAGAGCAATGTTTCCAAACTTCCCTTACAATAGGAATGACTTAGGGCTCGTTGTTGGAAAAAATTCAGCTTTCCAGGCTCTTCCCTTGGAGATTCTAATTCAGGGAGTCAGTGACTAGGGAAAAAGTGACAGTGTTAACAGGTACCCAGGGGATTTTCATATTCAGAGAAATTTGGAGAACAATCTAATACACCTTATTTCTATGCTCTTCACTAAGGTTCCACTATGGACAATATATACTCACAACATTTACACTAATTATGTGTATACTTATATAAACCCTCATAAAATCAGGCTGGGCGCGGTGGCTCACGCCTGTAATCCCAGCACTGTGGGTGGCAGAGGCGGGTGGATCGCTTGAGGTCAGGAGTTTGAGATCAGCCTGGCCAACATTGTAAAACCCCATCTCTACTAAAAATACAAAAAATTAGCTGGGTGTGGTGGTGGGCCTCTGTACTCCCAGCTACTTGGGAGGCTGAGGCAGGAGAATGGCTTAAACCCAGGAGACGAAGGTTGCAGTGAGCTGAAATTGCACCACTGCACTCCAGCCTGGGTGACAGAGTGAGACTCCGTCTCAATAAAAAACAACAACAATAATAATAAAATCAATCACATCAGGTCTGAGAGGGAGCATAACACAGGGATTTAAATGATTGCTTCTTAAACTTAAGCACCGCTTTTGAAGTCACCCCCTAGTTTTGAGGTTCACACCCAGTTGCCCTCAGGAAGTAACTGATGCAGTTTGGCTGTGTCCCCACCCAAATCTCCTCTTGAATTGTAGCTCCCACAATTCCCACATGTTATGGGAGGGACCTGGCAGGGGATTATTGAATCATGGGGGCTGTTTCCCCCATTCTGTTCTCGTGGTAGTGAATAAGTCTCACGAGATCTGATGGTTCTATATACGGGGAAACTGCTTTCACTTGATTCTTATTTCTCTTGTCTGCTGCCATGTAAGATGTGCCTTTCGCCATCCGCCATGTTTGTGAGGCATCCCCAGCCAACTGGAAATGTGAGTCCATTAAACCTCTTTTTCTTTATAAATTACCCAGTCTCGGGTATGTCTTTATCAGCAGTGGGAAAATGGACTAATACAGTGACCTTGTATGTTTTACTTAACCTCTCTATAAACTCAGTTTCCTTGTTTTTAAAATGGGGATAATGCTAATATCTTCCTCAAAGGATTGTTATGAAGATTTTATGGATGTTAAAAGTACTTAGCAGAGTACCCATGGTAAATTCTGCATAAATGACAGTTCTCATTAACATTTTGGTGCCACGGCTTGGTTTCAGCTCTCAAAACCAGTAATGAGTGCAGATTTAAAGACTTTGTTGCTCATAGGTATATCTTCTAAAACAAAAATTCTCAAAGCAAAAATTGTTATAAATAATAAGATGACTATTTTCACCTAACAGTGGGAAGATTAAGTTTCTGCATTTTGTTGATTCCAGGAATCACCTTAACTGGGTTTCATTAAGCACATTCCCCTTAATGTATCTACTCAAACAGAAAAGAATCTTGTGTTAACAAGCTCTCCAATTGACAAAATTATTTTCACTGTAGCCTGAACCCCAATTGTTAGAAAACTGTTCCTTTGCTTTATCTCTTAAGGTTAGATTATCACAAGAAATGATCAACCTGTCTTCAAAAATATATTTTCCATAACTTAAGATTATAAACTCGGCCCAATTTGGCACATATTGGAAATTAATAAGTGCTACTGAATGTATAAATAGATGGATGGATAAATGAAGAAATAAATGTAATATTCCTAAAAATCCTTTTTCAACTTTCCTCTGTCAACAAAATCTAAGTCTGAGCTTTACAATACAGCATTTTATCAGAAGAAGAAAATGATTTTAGACATACTTCTCCATTATGGTACTTTCTAATTCAGTGATTCTCAATTTGGGCTGCATATTGAAATTACCTGGGGAAATTATACTGCTTCCAGGGTTTTACCCTTCCCTGGAAAATCTAAAATGATTGGTTTAGGGTGTGGTGTGGCCACTGGGAGTCTTAGAAGTTCCCCTGGTGTTTTTAACGTGCAGCCAAGGTTGGGATCCACAGTTCTATCTACTATGGATAATTGATATCTCACTGAAGAAGTAAATTCAAAAACAATATATAACTCTTGAACGTCTTACTGAATTTGAATTATACTTCGGCTCCATAGATAGAATTATAAATTGTATTGCTTCAATATAGATCCCAGGTACTAATGCCCCTTGAAAACTTGTATTATAATCATGCCAGTATAATTAGAATTGGAAAGAAGAGTCTTTTGAGAGATCTAATAATGCTTTTAAATGATGTGAAAATCAAGTTATGCTCTAGCCTTTTTTCTTTTAAACTTATATTTAAAAACTAATGCAGCTACAAAAAAATAAGATATGTGCCCAACTGCCATATACAAGAGGAAGAAACAGCTGAGCCTGTTTGGGGTCATTATTTTCAGAAAGAAGTTCTCAACAACTATGCTATATAAAACTATTATGATGAACATCCTTTTGCTTTTTAGCCAGGTGGTTCTACAATACTTATAGGTACTGAAACAGCTTCTAACATATTTGTCCCATCTGCTTTTGTAGTTGTTGCTCTATTCTTTCTGTTCTCTGAAAATATAGCACAGAATATGAATCATGTTCAGCATCATATGTGAATCATTTAAATCCCACCTAACAACCCAATTAAGGCGTGAAGGCATTATGTTATGTATCAGTGAGTAAAAAACTACCACAGAGAAATGAGTTTTCTTAGTAAATTGATTACTTAAGAAAAATGGCAACACAGAAGTAGACTTCTATTTCTGTAGATTTTAGCAATGGAAAAGTATATGTCTCCTTACAATATTTCAGCAAATTATACTTTGAATGCTTTCCCAACTTTTAAAATGTAAACATCTTTTAAACAAAGCAAGAAGGGCAACAATATATATTTTTATATTAAAACTCCATTAAAGAAATATCACATAAATAGATGGATTAAGATTTAACAGACATAAAAATCATGCTTCTAAGTAAAAAGCTAAAAAGAATAAACCAGTGGGTATTTATAAAATGCTCCCCTCATTTTCATTATGTTTTGTTTCATTAATATACATTCACAGGTACACACCAATAGAAAACAGAGAAACTGGCTCTAAATCTAAGCTCTGCTGGCCCTATCTTTACTGTAAAAATTGAACAATGGCAGATAAAATGTAGAAGTAAAAACAAAACCATAACTGGACTTTAAAAAGAGATAAACCGGCCCATGGACCAGAGACAGAGCTGAAATAAGAGCCACAGGTTGCCAAAACTCTGGGTCCAACAGCAGGCAGTGGTTGGAATTCAGCCACTAAAGGGATGAGGGGACTAAAACCTCACCCAAATGAGGTACAGGGTGCCAGAGTTCATTTACTCAAGCATCCTCAGTGAATCTTCTCTTCCTCAAATAAAAACAATGATTTACTTAAGCACATGTAGGAAATCTGATTCAGAGGGCAAACAAGACAATTTGCTAATATCTCTCATGCAATTGGGGCAGGGAGGTTTATGGGATGGGTTATGTGACTGCATGGTACAAAACACAGTCTTCCTCAATCTGTGTTTTTCCCTCTGTTTGCAACTCCTTTCCTGTGGTATCTCAAGGGGGGTGGGTAAAGGGATCTGTCAGACCCAGTGCAGACAAAATTGGTGTACAATGTCCGTAGAGAATTTAAAAATAATAACAGGATCAACTTATTTTCACCAAGCTCCAGCAAAGGCACTTCTAAACAAAGTCAGTGATTGATATGGTTTGCCTGTGTCCCCACCCAAATCTCATCTTGAATTCTCACGTGTTGTGGGAAGGACCTGGTGGGAGGTAATTGAATCATGGGGGCAGGTCTTTCCTGTGCTGTTCTCGTAATAGTGAATAAGTCTCACGAGATCTGATAGTTTTAAAAAGTGGAGTTTCCCTGCACAAGTTCTTCTTGTCTGCCACCATTTGAGACATGCCTTTCACCTTCAGCCCTGATTGTGAAGCCTCCCCAGCCACGTGGAACTGTAAGTCCAATAAAACTCTTCCATTTGTAAATTGCCCAGTCTCAAGTATGTCTTTATCAGCAGTGTGAAAATGGACTAATACAGTGATCAAATACTCCTATCAAAAAAAAAATCTTTCATCAGGGTAAATTCTAAAGAAGTGATGTGGTTGCTACTAAATTTTAATAACATATTGGTAAATTGCAAATTTGAGCTTTTAAAAAATTATTTATTCTTTGATAAACACTGTATTCTTCATGAAGGAAAACTAGGAGAACTCCCAGGTAAAACTAGGAGAACTTCCAGGTAAAGTGTATACACTTTACCTGGAAACTGGGGAACTAACTCATCACAGAATTCCAAGTTGAAGACAGTTAGGAATCTCTTTCTAGCTAGCTTGGGGGGCAATTTCTACCTCCATCACCTCTGAAGCTATATATTTCTGCATTTAACTGGTAGATTTGTTTTTTTTATTTGGTTTTGTTTGTTTTGTTTTGTAGAGATAGGGTCTTAGTCTTGCTCTGTCTCCCAGGCTGGAATGCAGTGGCACAATCATAGTTCACTGTAGCCTCAACCTCCTGGACTCAAAGTGATCCTCCTGCCTTAGCCTCCAGAGTAGCTGGGATCATAAGCTCGAGCCACTGCACCAGGCTATTTTTATTTTTATGTTTTTATAAAGATGGGCCCTCACTTTGTTGTCCAGGCAGGTCTCAAATACCTGGCCTCAAGCGATCCTCCTGCCTCAGCCTTCCAAAGTGCTCAGATTACAGGTGTGAGCCACCATGCCAGCTAACTAGTAGGTTTTAAACAAGCAATGATAGCATTGTGATTGCAAAGATGAAGAAACAGAACTTGTTACTTCAATTCTGTCATTCTATGTAGCCACTTGGAATTTTTATGTTTAAAATATTTTGACTGTAGGGACATTTGAAAGCTGCTAGAATCAATCCCAAAGAAAGACATGGAGAGCAATGAAATTTATTGTGAAATAAGATTTTTATAAAAATCTCTGCCAAACTATCCTTAAAGACTTTTCTAACTATTTGTATAACTGTTGCTTTGTGTCAGAGAAATATATCAAACTGAAAATAAAAAGTAACCTCTGATCAACTAAGAGTGAAGATAGATTAAGCAATCTGTCTATACTTGCTAATAAACTTAAACATGCAAAAATCTATTTTGCTGAAGCCGTTGACAGAGGGCTTGAACACAGAAACTATATTATTCATTTAGTGACAGATCATTATGTAGATATTATTTTTCCTTTTTTAAAAAATGCATTAGTTAAATATCAATTCATTATGTTTTCCTTTGTTGAAGGTATTTATTTTAGTCTCTAAATTTATTAATTTTTAAATTTTTAAGTGACGTGACTATATATGAAATTCAATAAAAGATAAATCTTCACTGTTTTCATCACTTTCACAGCCACTATGATTAGTTTTATTTCATAATTATTAAAAATAATTTTGTCATATACAGGAGGGAGGTGTCAAAGAAAAAGATACAGGCCATGCACTGTGGCATGCACCTGTCGTGCTTGTATTTGGGAGGCTGAGGAAAGAGGATTGCTTGAGCCTAGGAGTCTGAGGCTGTAGTACTCAATGACTGTGCTTGTGAATAGCCACTGTACTTTGGCCTGGGCAACATAGCAAGATTCCATCTCTAAAAAACAAAAGGAAAAGATCCACTCTTAAAAAGTCAGATATGTTAAGTGAGTCCCTGTTCATCCCACCATCAAACCTCCCAGTTTGTGAAGCTGATAGGTGCAAAGTTATTGCAGTAAAACCCATTATTTCTAAATTGAGAATGAAGGAGAAGGTTAATACTCCTAGCATTATTTATCTGAAAGGAACTAATTTACCCTACTAAATTTTTAAGTAATGAAATTAGAATGAGTCCAGAAGTCACAAATGTGTAGTCCAAAACCCAGATTCTACACAAAGATATATTTTACATAATTTATACATTTCATGGAAAAGAATAGAAAGCCAATATGTTGCATTCTAGATATCTGACTTGAAATTCAAATATTTTACTCTGAAAATGGCAAGATCTGATATCACTGATATCCCACTGATACCACCATGGAAGGTAATTGAATCATGGGGGTGGTTTCCCCCATGCTGTTCTCATGATAGTCAGTGAGTTCTCACGAGATTTGATGGTTTTATAGGCATGTGGCATTTCCCCTGCTGTCACTCATTCTCTCTCCTCTGCCCTGTGAAAAAGTGTCTTCTGTCATGATTGTAAGTTCCTGAGGCCTCCCAAGCCATGCGGAACTGTGAGTCCATTCAACCTCTTTTCTTTATAAATTACCCAGTCTCAAGTATTTCCTTATTGCAATGTGAGAACGGACTAATATAATGTAGTTTGAATATTGAGATTTGAGGGTGGCTTTCACAGAGCTTATAGGACTGTACACAGGAAGTCTGGGAGTTAAGAAAGAGGTTACCTGAGCTATTTGCTTACTTTCTGTAAGTGACTTGAGAAAAACAAACTATGTTCTCCAGCAGCCAAACTGGAAAGAGTACAGTTACTCAAATATCTGCTTCTACAGCCAATATCTAAACTCACCTGGCAACTCAATCCTGCAATGAAATCCACACCTATGGCTCGCCCTCCAGAGTCCTCGCTTCTTGAAATAGCTGTACAAGATCTCTCTTTGAACTATGATCTAACTTCAAAACAAGCTCATTTTGCAGAAAGAACAGCTTGTAGTCTATTATATAGACAATATAAGAGAAAGGCCAAATGGCATTCTTCAAGAACAAACAGTTTCCTTCAGTTTCTTGGAAAGGAAAGTCTATGCAAAAAGTACTTTTCTCCCTGGATCAATAGTTTTAGGTTTTAACCTCTTCAAAGTACATAACATTCACTAAGATTTTCAAAAGAAAAAAAGGAACATACTGTAGGTAATTTATTTTTTGTTTGTTTGTTTTTTGCCATGGAGACATTCTTTGTGACTGCAGGTAATTTCTAAGTTGTTGCATTCCAGGTGTGAATATGCTAATTAAAACAGCATGCACCTGTCCTGACCATAAGATTGAAAATACAGGAAAGTGAAAGAAAGACCATGAACTAGAACAGAGATACTAAAAGCAATTAAGGACGCTGAGTTGGTGTGATTTTCCTGTGTTTAAGTCTTACAGAAGATGGTTCTAATTTTTAATTCAAAATCAGTTGGTTCACATCTTAGCTTCCTAACCATATGGGGGATTTCCATCCCTATCCCCATCACCACCTCATTGCTGTCATCAGCATTACAGAAGATCCCATTACCCTTTCCCAGTGTCATCTGTCCTTCTTAAGTAGGTTTCCCAGTAAAGAAAGATTTCCTTTAAAAGGTTTTTTTTTTTTTTTTTTTTTTTTGAGACGGAGTCTCGCTCTGTCGCCCAGGCTGGAGTGCAGTGGCGGGATCTCGGCTCACTGCAAGCTCCGCCTCCCGGGTTCACGCCATTCTCCTGCCTCAGCCTCCCAAGTAGCTGGGACTACAGGCGCCCGCCACTACGCCCGGCTAATTTTTTGTATTTTTAGTAGAGACAGAGTTTCACCGTTTTAGCCGGGATGGTCTCGATCTCCTGACCTCGTGATCCGCCCGCCTCGGCCTCCCAAAGTGCTGGGATTACAGGCGTGAGCCACCGCGCCCGGCCAAAAGGTTTAATACTCTTTTCTCTTCTACTTTGTTTTTTTTGGTAAGTTATAAAATCTAAATAGTTCAGCTATTTTAGTTTTTAAATATATTTTTAATGTAAAGAATTTGTTTTCCAAAAATTAGTTTAAGTAATTCTTAAATAGTCCATCATTTAGTATACTGTAAAATCTAATTTATTTTCATCAGTTTTTATGGATCTGAAATGTTTCGGAATTAAAAGAAAGATAAAACTTGGTCAAATGTCTAAGAAATCATCATCTGATTACATAAAGGACATAATGGAAAAAAATCTGAACTTAATTATATGAATACATGGGAGACTGCTAAATTTTTTCACTAAAAAACAAATAGAGAACTACTTATAATATTCTTTATGCTTCATGGCTGGTAAAATAAAGGCTCTAGTTAGAAATGGTGTGGCATTAACACTACGTGGCATAATTTTTCCATGAATCATAGCCAAGTTCTGACATTTATGCTGAGATGAGAAGAAGGAGTTAAAGAGGCAATGGGAAATGATTCCAAGCAAACCTAAAAAAAGAGAATAACTGAAAATGCTAGTTCTAAATATCATTTGCTTCTTTCCAGAAAGGATATGTTTTAATTTTATAAAGCATTAATGATAATATCTACATATAATTCCCTTATTTGATCAAAGAACCTATGTATCCAATTTTCATTTTCTTTCTTTCCACTTATTTTCATTTAAACCAGAGGAAAGACTATGACTGGGAAATTAATACATTTGGAAATATACCTATAGTGGCCCATAATAACATATCTGAATAATTTAAATTCTCATGCTCATTGCCATCAGTTTAGTTCCCATTGTTTTTACTTGTCTACTCATAGGAGGAGCATTACAAAGTGAAAAATATGCCGAGGCCCCTAGTTGTGATCCAAGGGACTGTGAGCCAGACCACTCTTAGCAGTCTCTCCTTCCAGCATGCCCGATTGTTCACAACTGGTGGAAAGTCCTGGTTAATTTGTCAGTTATCATCTCTGGAAGATATATACATTAAGCTATCATCTGCATTAATATCTTAGGCCACATTATTTTATTAGATTAGCCTTCTAGACTAGAAGAAAGTTCTAGAGCAGAGATTCAAGGCACTGGTGTCCCTCCAACCTGATCTAGACCTCCCTTGTATTCTGTTACCAGTGATATAGTGTTGGTTGGCAAATGTCCTATATCTTAGGTACCAACATATAAAAAGGCAATTTCTTTTTGAAATCTAAATTTGAGTTTCTCTTGAAAGGCCAGATCTGGCAACATTGCCTATCTCTCCCCAATGCCAAGTGGATTCTGCAGGAATCCAATGGCACTGCTTGTTTCAAATGAAACACAGACTCTCCAGTTGGTCACGGTTGCCTCCATCCCTGAGTTTCTCCGAACCCTGATGCTAAATGTCTGATACCATTAAGAGGCTTTTCTGACCATTGAAACTCCTCCATCTCTAAATCTGGTGACTCTACCCCATTTTGTAACTGAAAAGTATAGCAGCTTAGCCTCAGACTACATTTTAAACTTTTTTTTCTTTTCCCTTTTCTCTTCCCCCTCCAAATCTAAAGATGTAACTTTAAGACAAACTGCATATGTGCTACCTTTCATCTCAAAATACAGCCTTGGAATGTGCTGTGAACCTCGACTCCCTTTCCTTTTCCATACTATACTCCCATGCCTTGTGCACGTTTATTTATCTCGATGCTTGTTAACCACACACCACGCTCTCTTATCTGGTCACATATTTCCTTAGAAGTGTCAGGGGTCAGATCCTGATAGGGACGAGACAGCTCCAGAATTCTCTCTCCAACAAAAGATTACTTCAAGTCCAGAAGTCACTCCCGACTGAAGAGTGACTACAGAATTGACCTATTATGACCTGGCAGGACCCACGATGGCGCCAGCTCCTTTACCAAATGGGACAATAATTCAAGGTGAGCCACGGGAGCAAGTCAGGCCACCTGGCACCTCCTAGCTCCCTCCTTACCTCTTCTGCATTCCAAACCCTTTCTTTAAAAACCCACGTTCCCTCCACAAGTTGAAGAGTGGAATTCCTTTCTACTCTTCCCATTGCTGGCATGAATAATAAAGAAATATCACTCTTTATTATGATAATTCATTATTATTTTGACTTCTTTCCACAAGCTGCAGGCAGCTGGATCCTTTTGCCAGTTGCAGTTTTACTCTTTTCTCTTTTCCTGACGATACTTATCATTCTCGAAAAGAATCTTACTTGTCCTCTTGTTTACTTGTTTATTCTCTGATTCCACTATACTCTAGAATTGAAGTTCCAAGCTAGCAGAGAGCTTCCCTGTCTTACTGACTACAGTATTCTCAGTGCCTAGAATACCACTTGGCACAACAATATCTATTTGTTAGATGACAATAACTACTTGTTATCATCGTGACTGCATTATTGTTTTTCACAAGGCAGAGAAATATTTCTCTGTATGCCCATGACCTTATGTAAAGGACTTGAGGAAAGAAGTTACATTCAAAGAAACAAAAATCCAACAGAGCTTCTGGTCTATTTGTATCTGGTCATTTCACTGCCTGCAATATAAAAACAATGGGATCTAAACTGATGGTAATTAACATGACTTTTAAGATCATTCAGAGAGTTTAGTATGGACCACTAGAAGCATATTTAAAACTATTAATTTCCCAGTCATGATCCTTCCTCTGGTTTAAGTAAAAGGAAGAAAATGTATTTTTTTCATTTATATTTGTTTCATTGAGAAGCCTTAATTGTATGTATTTGTGGAATACAGTGGGATATTTTGATATATGTATACAATGTGAAATGATTAAATCAATATAATTGACATATTTATTACCTCACATGCTTTTCTCTGGCAAAAACATTTGAAATTTACTCTTAGCAATCTTGAAATATGATATATTACCATTAGCCATAGTCACCATGCTATGCAATAGACCTCAAAAATTTATTCTTCCTAAGTGAAAGCCATTTGTTCCTGTGGAAAATAATGATTTTAAGACCCTTGAAGTGTCTTGCTAGGGTACATTCAACTCTAGCAATTTGATTGTCATGCCAATCTTGTTTTTCACGCTGGGCTCCATACACTTTTTTCTTTTTTGAGGTGGAGTCTCACCCTGTCGCCCAGGCTGGAGTGCAGTGGCGCAATCTCGGCTCACTGCAACCTCCGCCTCTGGGTTCAAGCAATTCTCCTGCCTCAGCCTCCCAAGTAGCTGGGACTACAGGCACCTGCCATCACGCCTGGCTAATTTTTTCTATTTTTAGTAGAGACGAGGTTTCACTATGTTAACTAGGCTGCTGGTCTCGAACTCCTGACCTCGTGATCCACCCACCTCGGCCTCCCAAAGTGCTGGGATTACAAGCATGAGCCACTGTGCTTGGCCTCATCCACATTTTTAAAAGCACATTAAAAGGCTCTATGTCCCATCACCAAGCAAATCTGGGTGGATTTGAGCATAAATATTCATTAGAACCTCCCTCCACCTCCTCTTAAAAATGCTCTACTGAAATGGAGATTTTGACTTTTAGAATAATGAAGAATATAAAAAGCCTTTATTCTGAAAAATTAACAGATTAATAAAATAGCATTTCTCTTTTTATTAAGATGAGTTGTCTTATTTTTTTAAGTAAATTTCAATGTACTGTGCTTATTGTAAGAAAAGCATGTTATTTTTCAGAGGGTGGAATAGCTCCTTAATAATGTGTTATAATTTCTGCATTCTCTGTTAATCCCCAATTAAATGCAGCCAGAATTATTTTCATTTTGGTACTTAGTATAAACTTTGAAGCTCTCCTTTGTCTTTGGTAAAAGTATAAGAGGCCTTAGATTCTGCTCCTTTAGTTAGGGACTTACTACACAAGCCATCTTACTACACAACCCAGCTCTCAGTTGTTTTCTTTTCTCTCAAAAGAGGGAAACAATAAATGAATCATCGTGAGAATTAATAAATCCCTGTTAATGCAGTGTGCTTGAGTAATGTTTTGCAAAGTCTGTTTTGAAGAGAGGGCCTGTATCCTTTCTAGATAAAACTAAAAACCTGGGAAAAGAGAAATATGCTTTCAGAGTATTTCAGAATAGGAACATTCAAAATAAGGTAAAATTTTTGTTTTGTTGTTGTTTTGGTTGTGTCTTTATCACTGCTACTTTTTTTCTGAATGGAACCCCACTCTTGGAAAATCCGGTTGCCTCCCAGGTGAATCAAGACAAATGAAGAGTGATGATTTGCTGTTGCCCTCTGCCTCTCAGTGTCTATAAAATCTAGCTTCGGTTTGAACAAAACAGGTGCCCTGGTGTTTTCAGTTCTACATCTGCTGCAGAATCTAATTATAGCATTGATGCCCGTTTAATCTGATTGGTTTCCATTGTGTCTTTGTCTATGCTCAGGGCCTTGTTTCCGAGTCATTTCACTAGCCAGTTGGTCTTTGCCACATTCCATTGAAAGAGTGTGATTTGGTTTCTCGATTCATCATATCTTATTGTTTTTTGTGACTTGGAACTGTAATGTCACAGTAAGATTTCTTTTCTTTGTCTAAGAATGTTTTTAAAAAGACTTCTAAAATTTCTATGACAGAAAGTAAAGAGGTTTAGTTAGAATTAATCTATGAATCTCCCATAAAAAGTATCTGTAATGTATTGATACAAATTCCTTCGCAAAAGCAAACAAAAGTTTACTTCAAATAAATTACACTTAATTATTATTAACTTTATTTTACCAAAACAGTAACAAAATGTGGTATAAACTATTGATAGACAACTGTTGTCTTTCCAACTGTCACATTCCTCCTTCCCACTTCTTCCTTCCTGGCCAAGATGTCATTCAATGACAGAGTCTTAAAATGTCATACATCATTTTCTTTAAATTTCTTTGCAGCTAGGTTATGGGGTTGTGATCCAATCCTGCAGAAGAGACCAAAAGGAAAGTCTGCCAGGGAGCTTCTGAGAAAAGTTTTCCTTCCTATTAAAAAGATACGTGGGAAGAAACTGTCCATCTTTTATGACAGATGATGTTATCTCTACATGTGATACCTAAACTACAGCTACACCCTTACATTCAAGAGGTTAAAATAAATCTAAGGTCCAAGACAATATTCTGAGGATGAAGAGCTGAAATATAGAAAGATATGAATCCTTTATAATATTACTAAGCTGTCAAACCAATCCTGAAAGCACTTTGACACTTACTTTTGTTAAACTTTTTAAATTGGGTATTCTATTACTTACAACCAAAAGAATACAATGGAAAATCACCACATTAACTGATAGAAAATGTGATTATTTTTATGCAATGCAGAACTATATCTGTACCAAATAATATGTAACTAAAAACCTAAATTACATTTATTGAAATGGTGTCTATTCTCTTACCAAATTAAAGCAAACTTCTTGAATAACAATTATTTTTCTAATTTTGTACTAAAAATCACTTTTAAATGGATTCTAGTCCTAATGACATTCTCCCCCTCAAACATGGTATTGATAATTCAGCTGAGGCTCTTTTTAGAGTGGTTTTAGTTTATTTATTTATTTGCTTATTTTTGGTTTTTACTTAGGGATGAGGTTAAGGGAGAGTTTCCACAATGTCAGACAGAACTCAGAATTGAATATATTTCAATTCAATTCAATTGAATATATTGACATCTGTTTTTTAAGATATTATATAATTGTATAGGCATACATCCAACAATGAAAACTACAAATTCCCCATGATAACCAGTTTTTTAAATGTGTCCTAATAGTCTGATTCATTTTGAGTATATAAAGAAGTCTTACCTTATTTTCCTCGCAACTCTTTTCTTCTTTTTCTTTTCTTTTTTTTTCTTTTTTCTTTCTTTCTTTCTTTCTTTTTTTTTTTTTTTTTTTTTGAGATGGAGGAGCTGTGCTTTTTTTGCCCAGGCTGGAGTACAATGGTACACTGCAACCTCCGCCTCCCGGGTTCAAGTGATGCTCCTGCCTCAGCCTCCTGAGTAGCTGGGATTACAAGTGTGTGCCACTATGCCCGGCTAACTTTGTATTTTTAGTAGAGACGGGGTTTCACCATATTAGCCAGGCTGGTCTTAAACTCCTGACCTCAGGTGATCTGCCCGCCTCAGCCTCCCAAAGTGCTGGTATTACAGGCCTGAGCCAGTGCGCTTATTTTTCTCACAACTCTTAATATATGTTTCTTAAAAGAAAAGCTTCCTTTTAAAAGTTAATACCAACAAAACAAGTGGATAATTTATAAGCCTATCACCTACCCATGATCCACAATAACTGAGTTACTTCTTTTCTTGTAGCAAGGTCAAAATAGAGTTCTAATCTACCGTGGGTAATTTGGATGAAGAGACTGGCTTTAGGAAGAAGGTAAACAAGCACTTCACTTTGGCTGATAGCCTAGATAAATTTAATGTGTGAGTGGAGTCACAGAAATGGGATAGCGATTAATGGAGAAAAAGAAACATGAATTTCACATTAAAAAGATTAGGCAAATCCCAACCTTTATTATAAAATATCTGTGAGCCTACAAAGATGATTTATAATACTGGAAAAGCTTTAGCTATGCTTTGGCTAATGCTCCGGGGAGGCTCAGAAAACACAATCCAATTTCCTAGTGGTGTACAAAAGAGACATACTTTAAAATAATTGCTATTTTAAACTGTAGGCTTCGTGGAGCTATTGGCATCTAACCACAACATAAGGATCAACAGAAATTGTTACACTGCCACTTTAAAAATGTGATATTTTTTGTCACATATTTCACAGCCCATGGCAAGAAAAGCCAACTACGTGAAAGAATTGTTTCAACTGATGCGCACACCTTACCTTGGCTGATTCACCTTAGAGACGAACAAACAGAAACAAACTGGAAGTCACGAAGCAATATAACCTGTTAATTAAGCTTTTGGAGTGATCCAATTGCTATTCTCTGGGAAAACAAAGCTGTGGCTCTCACACACAATTTATGTTTTTGAAAGCACATCCTTCCTTTTAGGCATTTTGTTTTTTTCAAAATTTTCTAGAAGATTCAGAAGTATTTTGTTCCAGGGTTAATTGTAGGAGCACACCACAGCAATATGAAAGATATATTTACCTGTCTGACATCTCAGGCAGTCTTATTTAGCTCTTAACCAGCACAAGAGCAGGTTTCTTAGAGAATTTTTACATTGTGAATTATGCCTCCAGAAATGTGACTTATATCTGCTTTACTTTAGCCCAATCATCAAACTCTGATGGTTTTCTGCTGCAGGCTACTCTGATTGTTTATTCCATTCTGACAGCCAGTTTTACAACTTAGTGTTCTAAAGTAGCATCGAACCAGAGTCAAGCAATTTTGTTCTAGCCCCATTATTGGTGTGATGGACTATTCAGTATTCAACCTAATACAGAGTTTCATAAACAGCTTCTAAGGGCTAGAAATCTGCCATAGCTGAAGCTTGTTTTCATGGCTGATTTATCCAAAGACACTGCTTCACAACCAAAAAATCTTGGCAAGTAATCAAGATGTTGATCAGCTCAAAGAAAACTTTATTATTTCTCAGCTTTTAGCATCCCTCTGACAACAGTCAGAGACCAGATGCCAATTTGGTAGTTTTGGAAGGAATCTTATGATATTACTGTTTAAATTTACTGAAAAAGCTCAATGTGATTAATTAACTGCCTCAAAGTAATGGTCTGTCTTTAAGGTAAGAGCATAAGATAAAGTAGGGTAAACATACATAGAATATTTAGTCATTCAATAAATATTGAGTATCTCCCTCTTTTGGGGTATTGTTCTAAACACTAGAGATACACAAGAAAGATATCGTCCCAGATTTTCTTTAAAATAATTCAGTGTGTGGGTGGGTAGGGGAGGGGTGAATTTGAAAGGTGTTAGTGGATGAAATATGAGGGGCTTGTTTTGATGATTCTTACACATGAGTGGTGAGTACATGAAGGTTTGTTACTCACTAGTTTTATTTATCTTTAAAATATCCCATTAAAATATTTTAAATTAATAAAGACCACAGAGGTCCAGAAATAACAAAAAGATAAAAGAAATACGCAGTCTCTGCTGTCATGGGATTGACAGTCTGTCAGGGAGGGAAGACAGACATTCTGAAAGTATTGAAAGGAATTAAGAAACTATTCAATTCAATATCAGAGAACTGCAAATTAAAACTACAATGAACATCACTAGTCACCAGAAATTAATATCTGAAAATACCACGTGTAGGTGAGGACATGGAGTAATTATTAACCCTCACACACCTCAGGTGGAAATGTGAACTAGTACAACACTTTGGAAAACCACTTGGAAGTTTATTTAAAAGTTAAAAATACACGTACCAAATGACTCAACTATTTCACTGCTAGTTAATTACCCAAGAAAATGAAAACATGTCTGCAAATACTCATATTCAAATGTTCATAGTAGCTATTTATAATAGCTAACAACTGGAAACAAGGCAAGCGCTCAACTCTTGAATGGATTAAACGAACTGTGGCATATCCATACAATGGAATTCCACTCATCGATAAAAAGGAATGAACTACTGATATTAAACTATGTGCGAATCTCAAAAGCATTATGATAAGGAAAAGGAAATGGTCATAAAAGACTACAGACTGTGTGTATCTGCTGTTTCTTGCTGTCCCATTCACATTTAGCATACATGATGCCCCATGAGCACAGAATTCAGGTAGACCCACAATGCATGGGAATACGACATGACTGAAAGAATGTACAAGGTAAGTGCATAATCTGTACAGCTAAATACATGGGACACTGACTGCCCTGAGAAGCCAGGCTTTCTGTTCAAACTATAGCTGCTTCAATAAAAGCAGGACCGACTGAGGAGCCCAATCATATCCTTTCTTACATTACTTGCCTGTATTATGTAGAAAATGATGACATAGAAAGAAAGGAAAAGTGGGGTAACCACTAGAGAGTGTTAGTGGGATGTGCACATACCGAGAAGTGAAATACAAACAGCTGAGTTGGTTTTGTGCAGCATTTTCACATATGCATATATAAAACACAACCTGTGTAATTTGGGTGATTTTGCATTTAAGATAAATGCTTTTATATTTATATTTAAAGTTGGCAGTGCCATAATATGAAGAATGGTAAATTTTATTCTAAAAATTTAAATATTTAATGTTTAAACTTAGAACATTAAATAGCAAATAAAGATACCATGAAAAGTTGAAAGACACACCAGAGAAGAAAGGAAAAATCTTTTATATTTGATTACCTTAAATGGCACAATTTTTCCTGCTTTTTGAACAAGGAGCCCCATATTTTTGTTTGGTAATGGGCCCCACAAATTATGTAGCCCTGTCTGGACTTGACCCTGAAGGACAATGGGGCATGGGGTATCATGGAAAGATATCAGAAAGGAAAATCACATGACTGAGTTTGTGCTTTAGAAAGCTTGCTCTGGGAATAAGGTGGTCCCTGGATTTGGGGGACAAATACATTGGAGTAAAGGAATCCAATTATAATGATGACAACAGGGATGTCGCTTGGTAAAAGGATGTAGATTTTGAAATATTAAGAGTTAGAGTTGCCAAGACTTGTTGACATGCCTTTTGTTATCTATCCTATATTGATATTAAAAATCCTTGAATTCTCAAAATAATTTTATCTTTTAGACACTGTTTCTCAAGTTTTTGGTATCTATGAACTACCTTGATGATGTTTGGCTTCACAAAGACCACCAATTTTAGGTAAACTTACAGATAAGTTTTTCAATGATAAAATATACTCTTTTAAAATTTAAAGTAATTAAAGTGTATTTATATCATCGTGAGTAATGATGTTATTTGCTACTTTTCAACTAAAGTAACAACATCTGTCTGGCACAAAGGTCAGCCTTCCACATTGAGGTTTGTTTTTTCTCTCTTTTTATCTCATATTTTAAAATGCTCATTCAAATAGTAGATCAAAATTAGAATGACTATCGTCTGAGCTTCCCAGATTTTACTGTTGTCCAAGTATAACTATTAACAGCACCCCTTTTGCTCTCACCTGTCTACCTTGTACATAAATTACATGCTCACCCCACCCAGCAATATGGCAGCAAATGTTCGGTGACTCTGTTCAATTAGTTCTGGATATCTGGATCAAATACACCCGATATAGTGGGATTTCTGACTGAAAAATGTTTTCTGTGCTGCATCAGAGGCTAATCAGTGAGCACATCATCCCAAAAAGTTGAGGGATCAAATGTTTTAACACAAGAGATAATAGCAAATGGAGTCTTAACCTGTTCATTACTTGTTTTCCCATTCAGGGCGTGTTTTTTCCTGTTCCTATTGCAGCACTTTGGGTGTGGTATTTAAATAGGAAGCAGACCAATGTGAAAGAGACTTCTTTTAGTCACACAATATTTGTGTTCTCCTTTTCCCTTAGTATAATAATAGATCTTTGGATTTTAGCTGGGCACATGGCCATTAGAATAAGGACTACATTTCCTAGTCTCTCTTGCTGCTAGATAGGGCTGTGTGACTCAGTTTCAACCAATGAGATATAAGCAGAGATAGTGTGTTCAACTTTCTGGAAGAATAATTAAGGAAGGAAAACATCTAATTCTTCAATTCTTCACATAATTCTTTCCTCAGTTCTTCTGAGCAAATTTAACACATCTGAATACTACCACCCAAATGCAATATTATCAATACATTAGCCTATGGCAGAGGTTGACAAACTTTCTCTTTTTCTTTTTTTTTCTTACTTTTTTTTTTTTTGAGACAGAGTTTCACTCTTGTTGCCCAGGCTGGAGTGCAATGGCGCGATCTTGACTCACCGCAACCTCCACCTCCCGGGTTCAAGCAATTTTCCTGCCTCAGTTTCCTGAGTAGCTGGGATTACAGGCATGCGCCACTACACCTGGCTAATTTTGTATGTTTAGTAGAGACAGAGGTTTCTCCATGTTGATCAGGCTGGTCTCAAACTCCCAACCTCAGGTGATCCACCAGCCTCGGCCTCCCAAAGTGTTGGGATTACAGGTGTGAGCCACTGTGCCCGGCCGACAAACTTTTTCTTAAATGGTCAGATAGTATCATAGGTTTCTAGGGCTACATGGTTTCTGTCACAACTACTCAACTCTGCCCTTGTAGCCCAAAATTAGCCATAGATAACACAATATGAATGGATGTGGCTGTGTTTCAATAAAACTTTATTTACATAGTGGCCAGGTCATCAACCATAGTCTGCTGGCTCCTGGCTTAGATTGGTGTTTTCCAGCTTTTTGCACATCAGAATTCACTAGGGAAATTTTAAATATACAATGTCCAGGGCCTACACCCTGAGCTTCTGATTTAATCAGCTGGGGTAGAGCCCAAATATTTGTTAAAATGTCTCACTATAATTCTTCTGTGACGCCAGAAAAAAAACATGCTTTCCATGCATTAGCTTACTTTTCAAACATCGTCAATCTTGGGAATTTCTTAGGAAGAAATGGTTAAATGTCCTGGATGGTTTCTTTTCTATTTGTATGTGTTTTTAATACCCCTAACTGCCCTTTCTCAGACAAAAATTTATGACACCATGTTTTGTTTAGTTAGACTTTCAGTGGCCTAAAGGCTCTGAATGCTAATGAGATAATTTGGCTGGAAATTCCAGATTGAGGCAATTAAGTCATGACCTGTGACAAACTAACTGTGCCTTAATTGTGAGGTAATTGAAATTCCTTTATTTGAAAAATATAATGGAAAAACAAAGTTTATTTTAATCACCTGGCCAAACTTTCAGAAAAATAGAATTGATAGTTATCATGTTAATTCTACGGATGTGTTACAGGGGAAAATGTTAATTCGTTTTCAGTTTGGGGCTGTAAATGTGGATCTAATATATACCACTTTGATTATTCTTGATCAAAAACTTTAAAAGGCTGTGTAATACAAAAATTACATAGCATCAAAATGTGCTAAGCCATACATAAAATTGTTGCTGGCATAATCCAGAAATAGAAAGGGGGTCTTCAAAAAATTCATGGACAATGCAAATGATAAAAAAAACTCTGGCTGGGCATGGTAACTCATGCTTGCAATCCCAGCACTTTGGGAGGCTAAGGCGGGCAGCTCACCTGAAGTCAGGAGTTCAAGACCAGCCTGGCCAACATGGGGAAATCCCATCTCTACTATAAATACAAAAATTAGCCGGGCATGGTGGTGCACACCTGTAGTCCCAGCTACTCTGGAGGCTGAAGCAGGAGAATTGCTTGAACCCAGCAGGCAGAGGATGCAGTGAGCCAAGATCATACCACTGTACTCCAGCCTGGGTGTCAGAGTGACAGTCTGTCACAAAAAAAAAAAAAAAAAAAAAAAAATGAGATGACATTGAAGATGAAGCCCACAGCAGCAGACCATCACATCATTTCATGAGGAAAAATTAATCATTTGTTCCCTAATTGAAGAGGACTGATGATTAACAGCAGAAAGAATAACCAACACCATAGACATCTCAGTTGCTTCAGCTCACACAATTCTGACTAAAAAATTAAACTTGAGCAAACTTTCCATTCAATGAGTGCCAAAAGCATTGTGTCCAGATCAGGTGCAGAAAGAACTTTCAATGGAAATATTAAACAAGTGGGATCAAGATCCTGAAGCATTCTTTCACCTTGGCAGACAAACAGATATATGTATACCCTGAAGCATGTCTTTGAAGAATTGGAACAGGTGATGAAATATGACTTTACCAGGATGATCCTGAAGACAAAGCACAATCAACACAAGGCTACCAAGAGGTGGAAGTGGTCCAGTCAAAGTAGAAATAGCCTGGTCAAGGGCAAATGTCATGCCAAGAGTTTTTTGGGATGCTTAAGTTATTTGGCTTGTTGACTTTCTGGAGGGCCAATGGATGAAAAGATCTGCTTATTATGAGAGTATTTTGAGAAAGTTAGCTAAAGATTTAGCAGAAAACACCCAGGAAAGCTTCACCAAGGAGTCCTTGTCCACCACAACAATGCTCCTGCTTGTTTCCCTCATCAAATGAGGGCAATTTTGTGAGAGTTTATATAGCAAATCATCAGACAACTAAACTTACAGTATTGATTTGGCTCCTTCTGATTTTTTTTTTTTCCTTTATCTTAGAAAATCTTTAGAAGACACCCTTTCTTTTGTGAGTAATATAAAAAAGACTGCACTGACATGGTTAAATTCCCAGGACCCTCAGTTCTTTAGGGATGGACTAAATGGCTGATACTGCTTAGAAAGGTGTCTTGAACTTGATGAAGCCCAAGTTGAGAAATAAAGTCTTTTTTTTTTGTTTTTATCTTTTAATTCGATTTTCCATGAACTTTTAATTCCATTTTTCCATGAACAAGCCCCCTCATATATTAGTGTATGTACCCATAGCTTATAAAAATTTAGGTCTAAATTAAAGATGTGGTATGACTCAGGTATTCAGTAAACATCATGAAAAAGTGAATGGCCATAAAAGAGTAACAACACTGTTTAGAGTGCCCCATATAAGTGAATTTTCCAGATAACAATAGCTGGCCCCTTAAAGTGACATTATTTTTTAATAATTTATTTTTCTTCAGCTTTTATTCTATGTTCAGGGTACATGTGCAGGATGTGCAAGTTTGTTGCATAGGTGAAAGTGTGCCATGGTGGTTTGGTGCACAGATCAACCCATCACCTAGTTATGAAGCCCAGCATCCCTTAGCTATTCTTCCTGATGCTCTCCCCCCAACCACCCCATTAGGTTTTGAGAGAATTCTTTCTGCCCTCTGGAACAGAATTGTATCTTCTTGGTGACTCAGGACCATCATTGTAAGCTTGGGTTATTATACTGGGCTAGGATGCACTGACATCTACAGGGGCCTCAGAAAAAATGGGTAAGAGTGTGAATTCTGGGGCAAGATGGCCAGGTTTAAAATTTAGCCCTCCCCCTAACTCTACTAAGTGTACCTAGACTCGTTACTTGCACTCTGGTGTCCTCATCCACAAAATGAGAATAATAATAGTACTGCCTCACCAAGCTGTTGTGAGGATGAAATGAGTTCATACATGTAAAAGATTTAGAAGAGTGCCTGATAAACGTGCATTACTATTACCACTATTCTTGAGGTGTTTAGTTGTTCACAAAATAGTCCCACACTTTCTTTTGATGTTGTGTTTGTTCAGTGGACATTCATTTTTTTTTCTTCTGCTCTTTTAATTTAAGGATGTTGAGGTCATATCTAGGGCATCAAGAAGCCATGGCCATTAGCCAACCAGGATGGGGGAGATAGGCAGTGGAACAGTATCTACACTGTCAGCATTCAACCTGCTCAGCCAGCAGACAGTGCCAACACCAGATGTTGAGATGGTGACAAATGTAGGGTCAACACTTGGCCATTCCCTCAGTTCTTCAGCTGTGGCCTGGACAGTCAGCCACAGGGTTTCATGATGAAGGGTCATGAATTCCTAACATGGGTAAAAACTGACAAAGGGGGCTTGGATTAGGGACATTTAGTAGTCTAGTAGTTTCCAGGAAGCTGGCACTAGAAATGTCCTTCACCAAGTAAAACAGCTCTACTGTCTAAACAGGATTCATTCATGTGCTGTGGCTAACCGCTGAATGGGAAGGACCACAATCTAGGAGGAGTTTCTACATCAGTTATCAAATAACACCCTGAAAACAGGAATCCAGGATGAAGCCCAGTTAGGAGAATTAAGGGAAGGGCGGGGCTCAGGAATAAGGGGATTCCCAGTCATTACAACAGAGACAAGACTTCAGGGTCAGATCTACACCAGAGATAACTAAATGCTGACCCTCGGGAAGTGGTTCTTTAAGTATTTAAGTTTCCATTGTTCTTGGAATTGAGAATGAAGATGAGCCCATACAGGAAGACCAGCTGATCCTAGAGTTTTGTATGATAGGGTATAGAGTATGGAAAAGAGGGGAAAGATACTGGGATTTGGAAGCTATTTAGGCTTAACAGCTGAGTCATTTCTTGTTGCTGTCAGTGGACTTACCTCTGACAGTATTACGCATCTCTCTCTACCAATCTACTAAGGTACTTTAAATTTGTTATCCACTAATGTACCAAAAAGTGTATGTACCTATTTATTTTAATTGTGTGTAAAGTAAGAGTGAATAAACTCTCTAAATGAGACCTCGAACAGTCCTCTTATGAATAAGTAATACACATTCCCAAGTAGAACTTGTACTACCGCTTTGGCTGCTCTGAAATCTTTTTAGTTTTCTCCAACATTGTATCATATATTTAAAATAACCAGTTGTGGGCTGGGCTTGGTGGCTCATGCCTGTAATCCCAGCACTCTGGGAGGCCAAGGCAGGCAGATCACCTGAGGTCAGGAGTTTGAGACCAGCCTGGCCAACATGGCAAAACCCCGTCTCTACTAAAAGTACAAAAATTAGCCGGGCGTGGTGGCGGGTGCCTGTAATCTCAGCTATTCAGGAGGCTGAGGCAGAAGAATCGCTTGAATCCAGCAGACGGAGGTTGCAGTGAGCCGAGATAGTGCCACTGCACTCCAGCCTGAGCAACAAGAGCGAGATTCTGTCTCAAAAAAAAAAAAAAAAAAACAACAAAAAACTAGTTGTGATGGCAAAATAAATGAGATGTTGACAACAATTCCACAGAAATGATTCTGCCTGACTCCTTTCCCCTTTCTAATGGTAGCACTCTTTCCCTCTTAGGAGTAATGGGAAGGTTTGACCTTACTGTCTCGGTCAGGTAGGTTCACTGACAGAGTTCTCCTGCAGTCCCCTAGTTCCCAACTCTGCCCTGGATTACCCATCTGTAATGCCAGTAACTGCCGGAAACCTATGTTATAGTGCACTCAGTAAGCTTAGAAGGCCATAGTCGTAGATTGAATACGTCCACGAATTTTTTTTCTTGCTTCTCTCATTGAGAGGCATTGTTTAATTCCTCTGATCTTAAATCCACCAGACTTACTTGAGCAATGGAGTGTAGCATTTTAGAATTTCTAAAGTGAGGGTATAAAAGTTTTGCACTCACTCTTGGAGTCCTCAGCTGCTATACAGAAACCCTGACCTCCCTGAGGCTGCCTTGCTGGAAAGACAAAATGAGAAGACCATGTGGAGCGGCTCTGAGACCACATAAGAGAGAGATATACATGGTCAGCTGCTCTACCCCTCAGCCATTTGAGCATCTCTGCAGAGGCCCTGCCCAATTAGCAGAGTTGCGAGCATAATAATGTTGTTGTTATTTTATGGCTTTAAGTTTTGGAGGTGGTTGGTATGTAGCAAGACATAGCCAGAACTGCCACTCTTCACTTGTGCCAGAGATTCATAGCATAAAAAAGCCTGCTTTGCTTTTATTAACTCATCATTTTAGTCTCAAGACTACCACACTAGATATTTAGCCAAGTGCAAATTTGCCTACTAAAAGGTTAGGGCAATTTCAGGAGACACATATAACATAGATGGCGAAAGGTTGTACTTAAGTACTGAAAGAAAAGGCACCTAAGAATTGGGTCCTGCAAAAGAGGTCCCCTCCAGGGTTTCTTTGCATCTCATGCCCCTCAGGTACACACATGCACTCCTCCAAGCATCTCTATCTTCTAGTCATCTGCCTAAATTCCCACCCACCTACACAGAACACTCCACCTCTCCTGAATCCATTCCCCCTCCTTCTTTAACATAAATACCCAAGTCTGATGCGTGAAAGGAAATAGCAGCCCCAGGGTTTGATGGGATGTCAGTGAAGCAGGTGGATACCAAGTCTCCTACATAGAACAGGTGAGGAGTAACAGCTCTGAACCATTGTTAATGGGGAAGAAGGAAGCTCCTTGCTGGAATTTTTTTTTTGAGACACAGTCTTGTTCTGTCACCACAGCTGGAGCGCAGTGGCATGATCAGCACTCACTGCAGCCTCAACTTCTCAAGCTCAAGTGATCCTCCAGCCTCAACACCTCTGAGTAGCTGGGACTAAAGGCATGCACAACCATGCCCAGCTAATATTTTTGAATTTTAGTAGAGATGAGGTCTCGCCATGTTGCCAGGCTGGTATCAAACTCCTGAGCTCAAGCAATCTACCTGCCTTGGCCTCCCAAAGTGCTGGGATTACAGGCATGAGCCACTGGGCCCAGCTGGATTTTTTTTTTTTTCAATATTTGCATCAGTATGTGTTACAGTTGAGCAGATCCCCGTAATTAAGTAACTTTTAAGTGAAACACATATCCAAGAAAATTCATTACTTTTGGGGGGAATAGGGCATTCCAAACTAAGAATCATAATTGAGGCATTCAGACTTCAAGCAGGTAATGTAAATGAGTGAGATGGACTTGGTGTCATTAATAGGGAGAGACAGGAATCAGGGCAACGCAGAATGAGCTTGCATGCTTTTGCAAAGGGCACAGTTGTTACATGCCTCCCAGCAAATGCTGTTTTGCAGGAATGCAGACAGTGTTGCTACATTTTTCTCTCTCTCTCTTCAGAAATCTAGATTTACATATGAAATGTCCAATTTTTAGAATGTTGAGGAGGTTAAAGAAAATATACCTATCCACTGAATTGGGGGCACCAGATGAAAAAAAATTCGAGAAAGTAATGTTCTTAATTATCAAGACACCCCTACCTTCTCTTTCTCTGAGTCCTATAATTATATTGAGTAGCATTTAGTTTCCTTCTTCTTCAGCCTGAAGGTTCTACTTGAATAAATTAATTACATTAGCCTTTAATATTGACTCCTATTTTTTTCTTAGAGTGACTCCCAGATATGATTAATTCCTAAACTTTAACCATCTCCCTCTAGGGTGGAGAGAAGAATGTTTGCCAATTATTTTCTTTCTTATTTCTTTCTTTCGAGACGGAGTTTCGCTCTTGTTGCCCAGGCTGGAGTGCAATGGCGCAATCTCGGCTCATTGCCAACTCCACCTCCCGGGTTCAAGCAATTCTCCTGCCTCAGCCTCTTGAGTAGCTGGGATTATAGGTGCCGCCACCACACCCAGCTAATTTTTTGTATTTTTAGTACAGACAGGGTTTAACCATGTTGGCCAGGCCAGTTTTGAATTCCTGGCCTCAGGTGATCTACTCACCTCTGCCTCCCAACGGGCTGGGACTACAGGCATGAGCCCCTGTGCCCGGCCCAATCATTTTCTTCACAAAAGTTTAAAAGTCTTAGAGATATAACCTTCACTACTATGTTAATTCTGAAACTCTACCTTCTTTCATCCTTTCTTAAGCAATACTGTATTAATCAGGTATTCATTGGTCCCTGTATTTCTTATAGGTGTTTCTCCTATAAGAAATGCCTGGTGAGATTTTAATAGAAAATAATTTAACTTGGGATTTTTAAACAGAAAATAATTTAATGAGTATCTGGTGGGGAATTATAATCAATTAAAATAACCAAACAAAATTAATTATTTTTATTCTATAAGAAGTTAATAAATACTGCATTGAATCTCTACCACCTCTTCCCCTTCCCCAACTCCCAATCCCTTCTGACAGTAATTCCTTACATCTGAATCACATAACGTTCCAAGATCTGCCAATATTTGAGAAGACTCCGTGTTCTGGTCTAGACAGTATAGTACTTTAAATCTTTTCATTACAACAATATAAAAAGGATGGGTCTGCAATAATTCATCACTCTTTATTCTCTATCAGTTGCAATGTCAATAAATGTCCAGATGATAACCAAAATACTTTCAGCCTTCTGGCTGAAGGTAGGCTCTGAAATCATTTGAACTGTTCTGATTCCTTAAGGTAGCACTGCTTAACTCTTTAAGAGTGGGCAATGAGAGGCTGGAATCTGAGCTGGGAGCTGATGTACGCCTTGTGGTACTGAAACTTTTAAAACTTCAGAGTTCTCCTTAAGAAAAAGAATACACGTTTACAGGCAAACTGATGTCCAAAGTGTTCTAAAAAGAGTGGACTTTTTTTTTTTTTTGAGACGGAGTCTCCCTCTGTTGCCCAGGCTGGAGTGCTGTGGTGCGATCTCCGCCCACTACAAGCTCCGCCCCCCGGGTTCACGCCATTCTCCTGCCTCAACCTCCCGAGTAGCTGGGACCACAGGCGCCCGCCACCACGCCCGGCTAATTTTTTTTTTTTTTTTTTTTTTGTATTTTTAGTAGAGACAGGGTTTCACCGTGTTAGCCAGGATGGTCTTGATTTCCTGACCTCGTGATCCGCCCGCCTCGGCCTCCCAAAGTGCTGGGATTATAGGCGTGAACCACTGTGCCCAGCAGAGTTTTTTTCCTTTAATGAGAATATGATAAGAGGCACAATCTCTCTTGTGATCGTTAACTTTAGGTGTCAACTTGACTGGATTGAGGGATGCCTAGATGTCTGGTTTTGTCTTTCTGGAGAAACCTGACTCATACACCTCTCAGGTGGTGAAACCAGAAAATATGAGCCAGGGAGTTATTGGTAACTGGGTTCTCAGAGGTATTGAATGAATTCTTTAGAACTCAATAAAGTCCACACATATAACCTGTTAAAAGACAGAAAGAAATGGCCTGTTGTGGATGTTCAGGTACCCTATTCTGTAACCATTTCTTAAATGTTTCAGTAAAAATAATAAGAAAGTATACACACTGACTTATACTGTATAAATGGTACCTTATTTGTCTTACATAATTTATTAAAGAACTAAGAAAGTTCAGATAAAAATACTGGTATAAGAAGCAAAAAGGATGAAGAATGATAAAGATTATTCTAACATCAAAAAGAACATTCAAATAAGAGCAAAAAAACCAGATCATACCCAAAGTATTAACTTCTGTTTTGAGGTCATACAAGTGAGGTGGCCCTAAAGCTCTCTCATCATTAGCTTTAGGATAAATCTGCCTCTACTTAGAAGCTCCATCCAATCTCCAACACAAGGTGACCTAAAATCATTCCAGCACAGAGAATTTTGGCCTTTTTTTTTTTTTTTAACTAGTTTCCTCTAGGTAGAATATGTGAGTTTGGTAAAATCTAATTACAACTTCCTTGTGCCTTATTTGAGAATAGAAAGATTCTTTCTCATCTATCAGACATACAGATACAGAGAGTAATCGAAGAGACTCCCTAACAAAGCCACTTTTTAAGAAGAGTTATAGATGTTACTCAGACTTAGCGCCAATATTTAGCAGATATTTGATAAAGGAGATTCTTTGCATTGAATATCTGTTACTTCAATCTGTTCTCTTAAGGAAAAATTGTGTTAAATGTCAGTGAACAGGTTCTTAGACTTCCGCTGGAAGATTTTTTTGCAAGGATCTTGGGTAAGACTTTTATTCTGTCTCCTAGATCAGTTTTTCTCTTTTACTTCTCTGACAATATCCTCATTCTAGTATTTGAGCTGCCCATCTACCATCTATAGGAGACTTTCTATCTCTATCCATATTCCTGTTGTGGTAATACAGAATATGCCTTCTGCAACTATTTTAATGTCTAGATGGAACCATTTTTTACTGGACCTCAGCTGCCTTTACTGCAAATCCATGTAAGTTTGCCCTACTTTTCAGTTTTTCTTCCTTAAAAATTTTTTTTTGCCACTTATTGCCTTAATGCTTTTAGTTCTACGACTCAAGGATGTTTTTATTTATTATTTCCTATAGTCTATCCCCTCCGTGCTGTTTTTGATTCTCCCTGCAGGCTTTCCCTCTTTTTGCTGACATTTGCCCTCAAGCTGTACCTTTTATGTTTTTTTCTTTGGTTCTTTCTTCCAGTAGCCTTAATTCTTGGTAATAATGGGAAGAGATGTGACCATTTAGCAATACACCAACTTGCTCAAAAAGACCCTGCTTTCTAGACCCCTCTCTTTTTTCAGAGTCTTTTTTTCATTCACTTCAAAGCATCCTTTTGGTCACTGATGTTCTATTTTGAGACAGACATAAATGCCACTTTGGAAGTTTTTTGAAAGCTTTTCCTGACCATGCAACTTCTTTTAAATGTGTGTTAATTGAGACTAGCCAAAACCAAAATAGCTGTTGAACAAGGGAGCAGAGTGTTTCCAATGGAGCTAGGTAGCCCTTAGGCAAACTCAGGACTCTACTCTTGCTGGGAGGGTAGACATGCATGGCTATCAATTTGCTGCTGTATAGCTAACATCACTCCTATAATTAGGAGATGAAGATTATCTTTCGATGTTATAGGAATAAACTGGTCACAGTGCATCTTTCTCTTCCATTCTCCACTGAGATAATTCATAGCCTATCTTCTATCTGAGCTCCATAACAGACACCAGAAACAAGATTATTACATAAAATTAAGAGTAAACTCTGTATTTGGTAAGGATTCCAAGAAAGATGGTGATAGTCTGTGGTGTTTCTCACTGGCAGGGACAGGTGGTAGTCATGGTGCAAAGTAGCGTTAGTAGTGTCAGATCACTATCTGTTAAGCATAATTGAATTGTCACTGATACTCAATTATACACTTATATTACATAATCAGAAATAAAAAGTTGTAATTATTTTTTTCTACCTCGCTTTGGCAAACTGAGATTTGCCAAAGTGGTGAATTTTTAAGAAGTTTTGAGAATTTACTAGTAGTGAGTTAGTTACACTTTTAGATGAGCCAATCAGTATGCTTCCAATGACTGATTTGAATTGTAATTCATCTTATGCTCACATCCAATTACTTCTCATAGAAAGGGTTCAGAAAAGTTCCCAATACACCAAAGCAAAGCCTTGACTTCAGAAAATATGTATACTTTGTTAATTTTCAACTTTTTTCTTAATTGAATGGGGAAAAAAGTAAAGTTCAGTCATTCTGTTAAAAAGCATCATGTTTCTTCAAGCTAGAATGACATTAGAATGAAGGTATTTTTAAAATTCTTTGTTCCCTGTAGTCCCAGCTACTGGGGAGGCTGAGGCAGGAGAATGGCGTGAACCCGGGAAGCGGAGCTTGCAGTGAGCCGAGATTGTGCCACTGCAGTCCGCAGTCCGGCCTGGGCGACAGAGCGAGACTCCGTCTCAAAAAAAAAAAAAAAAAAAAAAAAAAAAAAAAAAAAAAATTCTTTGTTCACAGTTAATATTTCTACCCAAATTTTGAAATATCATCCCAAACTTTAAGAAAAAAAAAAAAAACTAGGATAACTGTCCTCTTAGAGAGGCATACTGAGTTACCATAAAAGTGAGCTAGAGTCTAGACCAGGTTACATTTCTGGGATATAGTAAAGATTTAGTATGAACCAGTCAGAGGTTATGTCAGGAAGCTGTGAGGAATGAATTGCAATTTATTGGTAGCTGAGAAAATGGGATTCAGGTCACAGCAATATATTATAGATTGGTTCAGAGGTCGACACTCTATTTAGTTCTGAATGACTACAGAAAAGTGAGGTAGAAAAATAAGAAAAAGAAAGGAGTATCAGTAGGAGGTTTAGGTAGAGACCATTGAGAGGAGAAAGAAAGGAGAACGTAGGAAAGAAGAAGCTATACAGGTAATACCAGGATAAACCTAGAGTATCACGGACTGATTCAGGTTCTTAGGAGCCAAGTTTATCTCTATTAGTTGTCCTCAACTTTCTGATTGCTTACTGTCTTGTACTCAGTTATTACTAAACACAGGGAAAGGAACTTTGATTTATCAAATTCACAATCTCTAAAATCCAGGTATAGGTGAATGGACAGTGGAAACCAAACACAGGGCATTGACTGTGCATTCGACACTGGACATTGACCATAGATGTGAGTGGGATAGAGGACTATAGGATTACTTCCTGTATTCACTATCCAGGAATACCACAAAATACTTCCCCCCAGGGTTTCTAACATGTGCTAGGACCAAAGTAAATTCTGCCCTTCCTCCAGGCAAATCATAGCTTGGAAAATCAACTGTCTTAGCACAATGGAGCTGAGACTAAATCAGTGACCTGAGACCATAGTAATAATATGAATATTTCAGGTTTCTGCAGTGTTCCTAAATGGTGAGAAGAGACAATTATATCAAATTGAAGAAACACTTTTTTTCTGAGATGGAGTCTTGCTCTGTCATTCAGGCTGTAGTGCAGTGGCGCGATCTTGGCTCACTGCAAGCGCGAACTCGCCTCCTGGGTTCACACCATTCTCCTGCCTCAGCCTCCCCAGCAGCTGGGACTACAGGCGCACGCCACCACGCCCAGCTAATTTTTTTTTTTTTGTATTTTTAGTAGAGACGGGGTTTCACCATGTTAGCCAGGATGGTCTTGATCTCCTGACCTCGTGATCTGCCTGAAGTATGGATCTTTAGACCATATTTGCGACAATTCTGTTTCATTTTCCCTCGTGATGAAATCCCCCATTTCCAATACAGACCGGCTGAATATGCTCTCTCCTTCTACATCATGGAGGACTTTTATTATCTCTAAGGTATAATTGGATGACAATCTAGTAAACATAATCTACTCTAGAGATATTTTTATTGCAATAAGGGCCAAGACAGTTATCCTAAGAAGGATCATCAAATATATATGTGGTTACCCTTCGTCTTTGATGATGATGGCAGACATAACAAAACATGGACTTATTTCCCACTGATACCAGATCTAGCCACAGAATCTTCCTCAATATTGGTGTTCCAGATTGCCACAAACAACTGAACAAAGTAAGCCATTTAAAACTTATTTGCAATTCAGAAGCTATGTCATAAAACTCTAATAGTAACATTTTAAATATCAATCAAGATGCATATGCACACAGAAAGTATGAAATATATGGAATGATGAAAGGGACTGAGGGAAGATAGTTCATATAATTGTAAATCTAGTTCTGCTATCAGATATGATACTGAAGGAAAATATTAAATAATTCAATAGTTAATGACAATTCCTGGTAAGAGTGTCACAGACCCAAATTGTCAATAACTACAAAATGCAAAGAGGTCACATTCAAGATCACAGGTACACATGGCTGAGCAAAGACTGAAACACTGTTTGAAACCTTTTATTTAAATTTTTGTTGTTGCAGTTGTTGTGGAATGGATGGCCATCATTTTCTGAACACTTGTTATATAATGTGTTTCTACTCTTCAAGAAACAATGCAGAAATGACAGATCCAAATTACTATATCCCTTTCAAAGTAGCTGACCTGACAGACTATACATTTATTCCAGCAGTACTGCCATTTCTTAAAACAGTTTTAGAACTCCTCTTGAAATTGCTTTCAGAGCCTGAAGCTAATTTCTTTGACTATCCTCAATAGTGGCAAATCTTCATCCCTTGACAGGGGATTTGATTTTTTAGAGCTTGCCAAAAGTCAAGACTAGTGAATAAAGTCGTTGGTTAAATTGGATTATAATGTTTGGGTTTCAAAAATAAGGTGAGCTACAAAGTTATGAGCCTGGTTTTCTCATGTAGCTCATAAACCAGTTTAGAAGCCAATCACAAAAGGGAATTTTTAAAAGTATATTTTAGTTTCTTCCTCTATAAAATAAGTGGATACTACTAACTGATCTCTAAATTCCCTCCAGCTTTATGATTGTTTCAGTAATTTATTTTAAAAAACTCCATATGATTGAATTTTTTTTATCTTTTAAAAAAGGCCATTCATCATACTAACATAATACTGGCATACTTTATGTTCTTAATTATCACTGGGATTCATTTTCCTCTGCTGTCAAATGAGGAAGGGTCTTGAACTGATAACTCTTCAGCTGTACAATGCTGTGCTATGTGTTAGTAACCTATGATTTCACAACCAATTATTCCAAATTAAGTGGCTTAAACAACATTTATTATTGCGGTTACTTTGAGTCAGGAATCTGGGCCCTGCTTATCTGTGTTGTCTGCTTCAGGTTTCTTACAAGCTACCATCAAGGTATCATCTGAGTTGCAGTAATTCCAATGATCAGCTGTGGAAGAATTTGCTTCTAAGTTCACTACATGATTGTTGGCACGGTTCCATTCTTTATTGGCCTCAGTCCTTGTTGGCTGTTGGCTGAAGGCTACACTTAGTTCCTTTTTCACATGGGCCTCTTTGTAAGGCATCTTAAAAGCAAGCAAGCAAACAAGGAGGACCAGGGAAAGAGAGTGTAAGTGAGGCAGGATAGGTAGTCAAGGAAGTGACCATGTTCTCGAGGCACAGCAACCATGGTGACTGCACAATCCACACAATAAATGACATTCGCAATGTAGTTGAGCTCATTCAAGCAAAGCTATCTTCAGTAGGGACTTTCCGGTCTAAAGAGCATGCACATTTTTATTTTACCTATCCTCAAACTGACCATTTGCTCATTTTAACAGTAAAAAGCACACCTCCGGGTGGAGATTTAAGATGCTAATGAGACATGCGATGTATGAACAAGCATGTACAGCTATTGTGCATGTGCACCAAGAGGACAACCCAGAACATGCTTACTAGTAACACCTCTTTCCACCTCTTTATGAATAATCATGTAGGTCTCCATAAAGGGAGCCTCCCTAGTGCCAGTCTTTGCTGTCTTGTCCTGCTCTGAATCCTCTCTCTCTCTCTCAGGGTATACTGCCTATTCTGCACCTAACCTTCGAAATACTCTTTTTCTTTTTGAAATAAATTACTCTATACTACACCCCCTTTGCTGGGTGTCTCTTGTTTAAATTATTTTAGGAAGACAAGAACCGAGGTATCACATCAGCCATCAACATAAGCAAGATGGAAGTCATAGTTTTTGTAACCTTATTTCAGAATTGGCATCCATCACTTTTGCCATGTTCTGTTCTTTGGAAGAGAGTAATGAAGTCCAGCCCATACTCTAGGGGAAGGAGTTACACATGGGACTGAATACAAGAAGGTAGGGAAGACAGGGATTCAATTTATAAGCAACCTACTATTGTCTTCCCTCTGGCCCCCAGTGATTCTCATTTCTTCCACATGAAAAATATGTGTACCATCTCTCATGTCTCTGTAAAACTCACACCATTATGGCATCAGATGAAAGTCCAGTATCTCCTCATCTAAATTATGTCCAAGTATATGAAGGAATTTCCTTGAGTGTAGTTCTTTAAGTACAGCTCTAGGAGTACAGCGCCTCTATATCTGTGAACTTGTGAACCCAGAAAGACAAGTTATCTGATACCCAACAAACAATGATGAGGCAGACATAAAATAACAGATGCAGACATTTCTGTTCAAGACAGCAGAAAATTGGGAGATGCGATGCATTTTGTACTGCTTCTGTTCACTTCAGCCCATGCTGGCAATGTTTTTGCTTATATATTTTTCTCAAAAATGTTGTGGGTCTTCTGTGAATGTCACTGGCATTTTGCCTATTAGACAAATCACATCCATACATCTTCTGGGGTGGGATTGGGGAGGCTTTGGGCTTCTATTGAGATTCCTGAAGAACAAAGTTCTGAAGCTTCCTGGAGGCCCTATTGTTCAATAAAAAATCTGTGACGTATGCCCATAATCTCTAGAGTCTTTTGTGTGACTGAATAAAACTCTGATCCTTTTATCTTCTCTTTTTTAAAAGGTAGTATAGTCAAATCATTAATACACCTATTTTTAGGTATCCCACAGCTAGGCACTCCATATCTACCACTCGCACACCAGAAGATAAATATTTTAAAAAGAGTACACTTCTCCACTGTATTTGACCTGGCCTTATTCTATAACTCTAGGAGTTCTGGGATTATGATTTTCCTATTACCACAAACTTCACGGCTACCCTAACACAAGTGCCTCTGTACCACAGGGCTTGCTGCATCTGGACCTACTGCACAGACTTTATCTGCTCTGGTTCCACTCACAGCTGGCAGAGCAGTATCCCCAAGTATGCAATAAACTGCCTCAGATCCCAAAGAAGAAACCAGGTATCATGTTTTCTTGCTTGATGAAAGATGTGAGGATGTGATAATTTATCCTTTACTTTGAAGGGGATGTTCTAGGATGCCCCAGACCAATGAATCCCTAACATTTAACTGATTGAATCAGGTCCTTGAACCCTCAGAATGCTTATCTCCTACCCTCTTACCTAGTCTTCCAATGTACTTACCTTGCCACTTTTTGATGATCTGATCCAACCAATATGATGCCATCAATATAATGGACCAATGGGATGTTGTGTACATAGCTGATCTGTCTAGATCCCTCCAGAAAATATCATGATAGAGGGTAAAACAGTTAACCTAGTTAACCTAGGTAACAGTTAACTTAGGCAAAATTATGCTTATTACATATGAATACAAACTGTTCCTGATCCTCCTTTCCAATAGAGATTTTTAGAAAGGATAAAACTGCTACATTAATGACTTCATACCATGTACCTGAAGTTGTGGTAATCTGCTCTAACAAAGATGCTTCTTCTGGAAGAGCAACTGCAATTAATGCAACATTTGGTTGAGTTTGCAGCAATCTACTTTCATCTTCCAGATCCATCTGGGCTTTCTAAGAGCTAAAATAGTGAATTAAATGGAGATATAATGGGGCCATGACCCCTGCATCTTTTAGGTCCTCTGCTGTTTCCCCTGGGATGCAATATTGCATGTGAGGAAGGGGCATATTAGAAATTTCCACTTGCTCTTCCCACTAGAGTAACTTTTATTCTGCAATTTAATAAATCATTAACTACCAAGCATTTCTATTCCAATTATATATCTTGGGACCAAGGAAACAATAACTTTGTGAGCCTTTGAACCCAGTGAACCCACTACTATGAGCCGGACCAATGCCAGCATTCCATTTATCATCTGTCTTCTGTATACCCTCACTTTAACATGGGGATTATGATGCTTTATGTCTCCAGTTTTCAATGTCAACTCAGGCATGACATCAAACAGCTCTCGAAATGTTTGGGTATTCCCTTTTCCCCAGAGTTTAGTTATACATGTAAATGGGTATCATTCCTGTTGGAGAATGACTTGTCTCTGTGTTACAGGGTCCCTCTTTCAATTGATAAGTTTAGGATATGAAACTGACACAAGTATGGAAATGGAATGTGACTTTGTAATATTTTATGTAGTTTATTTCAGTCTTCTGATCATCTATTTTTGACTTATATTAACTTATAGTTTGAACAACACCCTGATTGGCTGCTCATCTCCCTTGCCTTCAGGGATGTTGTGTACCCACTGTGATAACTGAACTTTGGTGAATATACACCAATGAGTTATAAGCTTATATAAGGCCCTCCAGTTGACTGCAGGTGGAAACTGTGACTTGCTTCTGACCCCCAGAATATGGTAAAGATGATGGGATGTCACTCCCTCAATTCAGTTATGTTTTATGGCAAAGGTAATGGATGTTACTGCCATGATTATGTGACCTTACATGACTGTCTTAGCCAACCGAAAAACAGAGACTCTCTGGCTGGCCTTGAAGAAGTAACCTGCTATGATGTGAACAGCCATGGAGAGGGCCACATGGCAGGAAAGTGAGGTGACCACTAAGAACTGAAAGCTTTAATCTTACAACCACAAGGAATTTGGAACAAATAAAAATGACACAACTCATGTCTAGATACAGATAGAAATAGTGATTATATAGGTATAAATGTAGATAGAGGGATAGATAGATAGATAATGTACTGAAGTGAATTATAAAGAAAGGCATAACTTACTCTGGTGTGGACCATAAATCTTTTCTCATGAAGGGTTTTTGGAAGCACACTTATATCTACAATTCATCTGTAATAAATTTTTGTGAGTGGACTGTGCTAGAGACTTCAGTTAATTTTTTCATACGTGGATATGAAAATTTATAGGCCTAAATGTCAAATTCTGACCACACCAAGTACTAGCAAGAACATGTAGCAACTGGAACTCTAATATACTATTGAAGAGAGTGAAAATTGATATAACCAATTTGGAAAAGCTTTGGCAGTACTGACTAAAGCCAAAGTCATACTTCATGATCTACAAGTTCAATGCTAGGTATATTTCCTATAGAAATGTATACATATATGCACCAAAGTACATGTACACGAATGTCTATAGCAGTACTAGTCTTAAATGCAAAAAGGAAATATTTAAATGGCTACTAACAATATAATCAATAAATAAATTGTGTATTTCTAAAATTAGTTATCATATTGGAATAAAAAAGAGGAAACTTCACCAACAATATGGATAAAGCTCACAGACATATGATGAGTGAAATAAATCAGACAAAGAATATATGCTGTGCAATTTTGTTTGTAGAAAGTTACAACTCAAACTAATTAATGGTGAACAGAATAGTGATTAATTTTAGGAGGGCAAATGGAGGGAGCATGAGGAAGTCTTCAGAGATATAATGTTTATAATATGACCTAGTTGGTTGTTACAAGAGAATATTTACTTTGTAAAAAAGATTCATTGAGCTATATATTTACATATGTAGTGCACTTTACAATATGTTGTACTCCAATGAAAAAAATATATATCTTCCATAAACAAATAGTAGTTTAGAGAAGAAATGAAAAGGTCCCCTGCATATTCAAAAACTTGTTCAATTTTATTCATAATAAGAGATGCAAATTCAGCCATATATTGTGATACCACTTCTTACCTACCAGATAGGCAAAGAGCCTATACATATTGGATATAGTCTGTTGGACAGGCTGTGGGGAAACAGGACCACTCCTATGTTGCCAGTGACAACGTCAAATGGTATAATACCTATGAAGGTGAGCTTGGTGATATCTAGGAAATTTACACAGCCATTTACCATTGATCCAGCAATCACACTTCTAGCAATCTACTTCTAATACATACTGTCATAACGTGAAATTACTTTTTATGCTGAATAGCTTTTGTTTGCCACTCCAGATCTCTTCTCCACCCTTCCCCACTCTGCTCTGAGCCTGAGAGACTGAACTTTTTGACCTACGTCAATGGTCAGCAAACATTTTCCGTAAAGGGCCAGAAGGATAACTGAGGGCCATATAATCTCTAACTACTAAACTGCTGTTATAGTGTGAAAGGTGAAAGCATGCACAGATAATACATACACAAAGGAACATGGCTGAGTTGCGATAAATCTCTGTTTACAAAAGCAGGCCATAGTTCATTAACCATTGGACTACATTAACTAGATTCCTCTGGCTTCGACATAGGTTTGGCCCATAGGAGGCATCAGCCAGAGACTGGAAGCCAGGAGGAAAGTTAAGTTTGGGGTATTTATTTCTCACCTCCTTCTGGGCCAAGTCAATATTCCTCTACCTAGGGTCCAGCTTCTATCAGGCAGTGCTGTCCAACAGCTACAGCTACCACTTCAATGATAGTAGTTTTCCAGATTTCAGTAACTACTCTTATAACTTCAGGCCAAATGGAGGGGAAATGACTCTCAAATGTTACTAGCATTTGTCTTAGCACTTTTTCTGTTTCCCTTGACCGTTCTTTATGTCTCTTTGAATAATACTTTTATTAGCCTCTCCTCAATAACCCAGTTTGAGTGTGCCATCTCTTTCCTGCCAGTACTCTGACTTATTGATAGGTTATTATTATGGCATTTTTTAAAGCAAAATTTGGAAACAAACAATATTTATCACCAAGGAACTCACTGAGTAAATTATGATTGATTCGTGTGTGTGTGTGTGTCTGGCATGTATCAGATATCTTTGTTTTTTCCCTTTCTTTTCTCCTTATCATATAACATAAAATTTACTGACTTTTATATTATAGTATTTAAGTATTGTTAACTTTACATCAAGTAATACAACGTTATAAGATATCAAGGAGAAGAGTGTTCTTCTCCTTGATATCTTGTAACTAAATATAACAAATAAAATATATTTTTATTTGGAGAGTAAGTATAGTTTAAGGAGATGTGTATCAGTGTCAAACTGACACGGAGTGGGCTTGTGTTGGTTAGTTTTATGTGTCAACATGGCTAGGACTAGATATTGCTATGAAGGTATTTTTAGGTGAGATTAACATTTAAATCACCAGACATTCACTAAAGCTGATAACTCTCCACAATGTGCATGGGCCTCATTCAATCAGTTGAAGACCTTAAGAGCAAAAGGACTAACATCCCCCAAAGAAGGAGGAATTCTGCCAGCAGATTGCCTTTGGACTCAGGTGAAACAACTCTTTCCTGTGTCTCCAATTGACCAGCCTGTTCTGCAGATTTTGGACTTCTTAGCCTCCACTGTCGCATGAGCCAATTTTTTTGAAATAAATAAATCTCTCAGATAGATAGACAGATGGGGTTGGCAAGGGGAGGGGGCATGATGGCAGACAGGCAACAGGTGGGAATGTAAACTAGCATAACCGCTAAGGAAAACAGTATGAAGATTCCTTAAAGAACTAAAAGAGAACCACCATTTGATCCAGCAATCCCACTACTGGGTATCTACCCAGAGGAAAAGAAGTCACTATATGAAAAGACACTTGCACATGCATATTTACAGCAGCATAATTCATAACCGCAAAAATACGGAACCAGCCTAAATGCCCATCGACCATGAACAAGTCGATAAATAAAATGTGGTGTATATACACCATGGAATACTACTTAGCCATAAAAAGGAATGAAATGATGGCATCTGCAGCAACCTAGATGGAAGCGGAGGCCATTATTCTAAGTGAAGTAACTCAAGAACGGAAAGCCAAATATCGCATGTTCTCACTTAAAAGTGGGAACTAAGCTATGAGGACACAAAGGCATAAGAATGATATAATGGACTTTGCGAACTCGGAGGGAAGGGGGTGAGGGATAAAAGACTACATGAGTGTATACCGCTCAGGTGATGGGTGCACCAAAATCTCAGAGATTACCACTGAAGAACTTATCCATGTAACCAAAACTACCTTTTCTGCAAAAAATATTGAAATTTAAAAAAAGACAGATAGAAAAAAAATAGCATTTAGAATACATTCTTTAAAAATCAACATGTAGACTGGGTGCAGTGGCTCACACATGTAATCCTAGCACTTTAGGAGGCCAAGAAGGGAGGATCGTTTGAGCTCAGGAGTTCAAGATCAGCCAGGGCAACCAGCCATGGCAAAATCCCATCTCTACAAAAAATAGTCAGGTGTGGTGATGCATGCCTGTAGTCCCAGCTACTCAGGAGGCTAACGTGGGAGGGTCACTTGAGCCTGGGAGCGCAAGGCTGCTGTGAGCCATGATTGCATCACTGTACTCAAACCTGGGTGACAGAGCAAGATCCTCTCTCAAACAAACAAACAAACAAAAAACAAACAAACAAAAAATAACATGTAGAACAAAAAGTTAATTATTTACTAGAACAAACACAATCCTCAGAAAATGATACATTTCAGAGTTGCTGGAATGTCCAGTTTTCAATCAAAATTTGCTAGACTGGCAAAGAAATAGAAGAGTTTATCCATTCTCAGAAAAAACAAAAGCAATCAGTAGAAACAGATTCTGAGTTGGCCTACATGTTGTATTTCGCAAAATCTTCAAAGTAGCTATTATCAATATATCTAAAGAATTAAATAAAAATATGGTTAAGTAATTAACAGATATGCTGTTAATGAGTTAAAATACAGGTAGCATTAACACAGAAATAGAAATTACCAAAACAGAAATTCGAGAGATAAAAATACAAAAACTAAAGTAAAAAAATCACTAGATAAACTTGATAGCAGATTTGAGATGGCAAAACAAAGAAAAAGTGATCTTGTACTATAAATTTCTAAATGTTGTTAAAAAAGGAGAAATGGATTCCGTAAGTCTTTTAGGACACCACTTTCCTTTTAAACCTTTACTTTCCCTATCCTAGCTTCTCCTCTCTTTTCTGATGACAACAACATCTAGGAAGTTATGCACCTAGACAAGAAAAATAGTTCCTCTCGCATCTGCAGAAAAGGCTGGTTGTGTATCTGAAACTTAAAAGCCTTATCTAAGGCCCTGTGCAGTGGCTCACGTCTGTAATCCCAGCACTTTGGGAGGTTCAGGTGGGCTGATCGCTTGAGCTCAAGAGCTTGAGACCAACCTGGCCAACATGATGAAACCCCACCTCTACAAAAAATACAAAAATTACCTTGGCAAGGTGGCCTGTGCCTGTACTCCATCCCAGCTACTCGGGGGCTGAGGCTCAAATATCACTTGAGTCTGGGAGGTCGAGGCTGCAGTTGAACTGAGATCAAGTCACAGCCCTTTGGCCTGGGCAACAGAGTGAGACCTTGTCTCAAAAAAGAAAAACAAAAAAACAAAAAAACTGAAACTAACTCAAAGCCTTATCTATATTCTAGCTGCATGGCTCTTTCATTACTCTATATTTGTCATCACCCTGTTCAAGATTTCTCACATCTGCCTCTCCCCTAACACTGCTGTTCTTTGATCTCAACTAACTACAGATTAGAAAGTGGCAATCCACTTTCTAGTCTGTAGGCAGGTGGATCACGAGGTCAGGAGTTCGAGACCAGCCTGATCAACGTGGTGAAACCCCGTCTCTACTAAAAATACAAAAATTAGCCGGGCATGGTGGTGCATGCCTATAATCCCAGCTACTGGGGAGGCTGAGGCAGGAGAATCACTTGAATACAGGAGGCGGAGGTTGCAGTGAGCCAAGATTGCACCACTGCACTCCAGCCTGGGTGACAGAGACTCTGTCGCAAAAAAAAAAAAAAAAAAAAAAAAAAGAAAGTGGTAATAGAAGTGGCAATAGTAGTTTGTCATTAGTACTGCTCACCAAATATTTGTATTTGTAGTAGTATGCTTTCTCATGTCTCTTGAAGTTATTTGTGGCCTTGAACTTACTTTAGACACAAAGTGTGAGTGGAAGGTTAACAAAGGGGATGTGTGTTACTCTGCACACAAGCATTAAACACCAGTATGTAATTCATCACACTCTCTGTTCACTTTGGATGCCTTGCAGTGTTACAGGCAGTAGTATCTTGTTCAATGCAGATCCTGTAGTAAAATCCATGGAGAATTGGTACCACTTCTTGGTTGGAAAACCAACCAAACAAACAAAACAATGGGGAGTGGAAGACACATCCAACTTGCAATGGACATATAATGTGAGCAAGAATTAAACTTGGTGGTTTTAAGCCATGAAGATTTTCAAGGTTTTGTTACTTCAGAATAACCTAGGCTATTCTGACTAGTATATGTATTAATACTTTTCTCCACCTCTCTCACTTTTATTATCTAACCTACCCAGAGGAATGATGTCACTGCCTCTGTCCTTGAACCCATGCCTTATCTTTTAAAAGAAGGTGGTGGCAGCAAAAGAAACTACCATCAGAGTGAACAGGCAACCTACAGAATGGGAAAAAATTTTTGCAATCTACTCATCTGACAAAGGGCTAATATCCAGAATCTACAATGAACTCCAACAAATTTACAAGAAAAAAACAACCCCCATCAAAAAGTGGGTGAAGGATATGAACAGACACTTCTCAAAAGAAGACATCTATGCAGCCAACAGACAAATGAAAAAATGCTCATCATCACTGCCCATCAGAGAAATGCAAATCAAAACCACAATGAGATACCATCTCATACCAGTTAGAATGGCGATCATTAAAAAGTCAGGAAACAACAGGTGCTGGAGAGGATGTGGAGAAATAGGAACACTTTTACACTGTTGGTGGGACTGTCAACTAGTTCAACCATTGTGGAAGACAGTGTGGCAATTCCTCAAGGATCTAGAACTAGAAATACCATTTGACCCAGTCATCCTATTACTGGGTATATACCCAAAGGACTATAAATCATGCTGCTATAAAGACACATGCACACATATGTTTATTGCGGCACTATTCACAATAGCAAAGACTTGGAACCAACCCAAATGTCCAACAATGATAGACTGGATTAAGAAAATGTGGCACATATACACCATGGAATACTATGCAGCCATTAAAAAGGATGAGTTCATGTCCTTTGTAGGGACATGGATGAAGCTGGAAACCATCATTCTCAACAAACTATTGCAAGGACAGAAAACCAAACACTGCATGTTCTCACTCATAGGTGGGAACTGAACAATGAGAACACTTGGACACAGGAAGGGGAACATCACATACCGGAGCCTGTTGTGGGGTGGGGGGAGGGGGAAGGGATAGCATTAGGAGATATACCTAATGTAAATGACGAGTTAATGCGTGAAGCACACCAACATGGCACATGTATACATATGTAACAAACCTGCACGTTGTGCACATGTACCCTAGAACTTAAAGTATGATAATAAAAAAATTAAATAAAAAGAAAAAAGAAAAACTACCTATTGGGTACTATGTTCACTATTTGGGTGATGAGATCAATAGAAGTTCAAATCTCAGCATCACGTTTAATATACCCATGTAACAAACTTGCACATGTACCCTCTGAACGTAAACTTTTAAAAAAAAATTTAAGAAAAAAAATAATAAATAAATAAAAGAAGGTGGTGGTTGTTTTTCATTCTGCATGTACCTATACTAATTTTTTTAAATCTCTCCAGGTCTACTGACCTGAAGTTTTAAGATAGTATTAGCCATGATTAGCTGTATTTTTAAAATCCTATTAATATATATCTAGTGGGTTACTTTTCTAAATAAAGGAATAGAAACAATATTCTGAGGCTTGGAACAGAAAAAAGCACCACAGAGCCTATTTGTAATTCTAGTCCCCCAAATACCATATTGAATCAGTTATATCAGTAATATTTGGATGCTCATATTCAACCAATGCTACATGTTACAACCTCAGAAGAACTTGTATATTAAGAGTGTACTTTTCAGCCCATTAAGGTGAAGCCACAGTATGATTTAGTTTTGATCTCACCTAAAAACTACATGAAGGCATTCTGTGTTCTGCCAATAAGCCTGTTGAAAGACAACAAATACCACGGGATTCCAAGTGTGTCCTAGTTTTTTTTTTTTTTTTTTTTTTTTTTAAGATAGAAGATAGCATGCTATAGAAAACTTTGGCATAGAAATTAAGTTATCTGTGACCTTTCCTAGCTCTACTTACGGTGATTATGTCTCAACTTCTTCAAGAAAACTGATGTAAATCAAAGTTCCCAATCTCATCAAGATCCCCTAATGTGCCTTAAAGCAACAATGTGATTTATATTCTTGTTTCAGAAGCTTAAATGTAAATGATATATTATCCAAAAGATTATCTTTTGAATCTGACACATATTGCCTTTCTGAAATCTTATATGACCTACGTAAGGTTTAATAAAAATAGTAAATTTTCCCATGTAGAAGCTAATATATAATTATTAGTTTCATCCATTTGAAATTGCCAATATTTAACAAATCTGACCTATAAAAGTGGCACTTTATGGTTTAGCCTAATAACTTTCCACATATTATTTTGTTGCATTTTCCTTTATATACATGATGAAAATGTACAAGAAGAAATTGGTCATTTTCTCCCCCAAACTCTGCTCCTACTTTTATATTCCTTATCTTGATGAATGCACCATTGACTACCCAGTTGTCCAAGTAAACGTGGAAGTTATAATTAAGTCTTCCATCTTCCTTTCCTTTTACATCCAATTGGTAGTGAATGCTATTATTCCTTAAAATATCCTAAAGTCTACACTAGCTCCATTGCTACTGCCTTGGCTCAATTTGTAATCTGCCACAGATGGGGTTCCCAAGGAAGCAGACTGAGACAGGGATTATAGCCAGAAGGAAGGTTCTTAAGGCTGCAACATGCTGAAGGGAAGGGAGTCAAGCAGGATTGAGCAGAGGGAAAAGTTGGGCTGTGATGCACTCTCAAGAAAAGCTTCAGCAGATTCTATAAGGAGTTTGTTGGGGTTCTTTGTTTTGTTTGAAGAGATAGAGTCTTCCTCGGTCACCCAGGCTGGAGAACAGTGGTACAATCATGGCTTACTGCAGCTTAGAACTCCTGGGCTCGAATGATCCTCCCACCTCAACCTCCTAAATAGCTAGGACAACAGGTACATGCCTGTAGTTTGCGTCTGGCTATTTTTTTTTAATTTTTTTTTATTTTTAGAAATGGTTACCCAGGCTGGTCTCAAACTCCTGGCTTCAAGCGATACTCCTGCCTCAGCCTCCCAAGTAGTTAGAATTACAGGCATAAGCCACCACACCCAGCCCACAAGGAATTTTACAGTTGAGATGGCCATTCTGAATTATATTAAATTGGAGCAAAGGGATGAGGCCTTTATACCTCTGCATCAACAAGTCATCAAACATGGTCTGGGAAAGAAGTATGGCATTAAGAGAGGCCACACTCTTCAGCCTAGGCAGTCTCTAAGATGTCTGGAAGCTAAAGGCCATCTGCTGGCAGCATTCCCAGAGGGGAGAGGAAACTTTTCAGTTCTGGAGGGGCATCTGGGTAGCACATCACAACATCCACTAAAGTTCGTCCCCTGTAATGCTCATATCCACTTCTTCACCATAAGTTCCAGAAGCAGTTCCTCCAGGATTCCATGGGCATCTTTTCCTAAAGAAACTTACAGGAGGAATGTCAATAGAACAAAACATAACCTTTATCTCTGTAGTTTGTCTCCAGACCACAATTGATACTCACGTCTCTCTTTTCTATTATGCATTCTAGATTCCTTTTGCCTTCAGGTAGCATTCTGCTAGCCTCGATGTTTTTCGTGGTGGTGTGACTGAGACCTTCATCCTCAAAGGTCTAAGCCTACAGTAACTGTGCCTTTCCCAGGCCCCAAGTGCTGCCCTTGTCCTTTTAAACATCAAAATTGGGGAAGCGGTTACCAAGAGACGATGCTCAAGTAGATATCTAGAAGCCAAGTGCATTTTTCTTGCCCCATGAAGTAAAGACAGCTCTAAGTCCTTGTAGAAGTCAAGTGTATTTTTCCTACCCCACTAACTAAAAACGGTTCCAAGTCCTCGTGATGATTAGGGTCAATTACCCCTGCCAAGAGAGTCACTCCTCCTCTTGCCTGCTTCTCCCTTGGTAAGGTGAGCCTGAAGTGCCCAGGAAACAGCTGTAGCTTTTAGTCCAATAAGACTCTTGTGTATTTGGAAACCAAACCTCTAAACTCATGAAGCCCAGAGTTGTAGAAATGGGAAACAATCCCCGAGAAGGTCAATGGTAGTGATGGTCAGTGGGGCTCCTTGGCTTTTAACTCATGAGTCCCAGATCAATGAATTTCAACTATAGGGAAACAGCATCATGTAAAGGTCATTGGTTTAAAGCAGGGTTTTTTAACCCTTGGCATTATTAATATTTTGAGCGGAATAATTTTTTGTTGGGGGGGGGGCTGTTCTATGAAGTGTAAGATGTTTAGTGTACTTCTTTCCTCTATCCACTAGATACCAGTACAACACAACCCACCCCAGTTCACCTCCCCAAGACCCCCCACTCCACTATATTACGACAACCAAAAGATGTCTCCAGACATTGTCAAATATTCCTCCAGGGACAAAACTGCTCCTGGTGGAGAACCACTCATTGAAATGCATACAGGAGGGATATACTGGAGGATGGTGTCCCACCATTGCTAGGCATTGCCTCTGAGTTGACATTTCAGCTATGCCTTCAGTAGGCCATTTTATTGCTCTATAAGGTTGTCAGCTTTCTGGGGGGTGCAGTATGTAATGTGCCCAGTGGGTCCAGTGGTTATACACCCACTCCCACACTTTGTTTGCCATCAAAATGGTTCTTTAGTCTAACACAATGTAGGTTAGAATGCCACATAAATGGAGAAAATGCTGTAAACCCTCAGATGAGAATGCCAGTTTAGGCTCTGTAGCCAAGAAAGGGAAATCAGTACCTGGATATATAGCTGCTCCTAGTGTTGTGAAGGGGGACTAATGTAATCAACTTGTTACCAAGTAACTGATTGATCTCCTTGAGGGACGGTGCCATATTGACAGACTCAGTATTAGGTTCTGCTACCGGATGATTGGGCATCTGTAGCAACAGTGGCTTCGTAAGTCTTGGTAAGTGAGAGTCCACACTGCTTGGTCCATGCATGGCCTCCAGCTTTGCCATCATGGTCACCCATTCATATGCCCATTGTAATAGCACTAGTGTAGGGTGAAGAAGAGATCAGTTGATATCAACTAGGTGAGTTTTTGGTCTGATTGTTTAATGCCTCCTCCATGGTGAATGCTTTCTAAGTGCATGACATGTGATAGAAATATTTTCACATTTGGTGCCCACTTGCATATGTCTCTACTCTAGAACACCACAGAGCATCTCTTCCCATTTCTGATACCTCTAATACAATAGGGAATCCAAGGTTGTATGGCCAAAGAGGTAGGGCTACTATCACCACAGCACGGACTTGCTACAAAGCCACTTTCTTCCCGAAGCTGGTAGCTTTTCCTGTCACCTAGTATGCGAGTTGGAGCAGTATTCTCAGCTGTGGAAATTTTCTGACAAAAAAGGGGGGCCTAATAAGCCTTGTGTTGTCCCCCTTCAAGGTAGGAAGTTCAACATGCAATAATCTGTCATTTTACTGGTGTCTTACAAAGGCCTCTTGATGTTATGTATCACTGTTAAGTGAAAGAGTGTGATGTTCTGCAAGATGTCCAGCTGGTCCAGGTTTGTCCTGACTATAAGAGAGGGAAGAAGAGTTGATGTAGTCCTGGGGCAAGACTGTGAACGTATACACCTGTCAGCGGTGAACGAAAAGTTTTCTGATTCCCCCCATTACGCTTGTTTGTTAGGAGAAAAGGCATATAAATTTGTTTAACGTGCATACACAGGAAGAACGACAGTGATTATCCCTGATTCTGTTTTTGATAGGGGTGGGAAAAATACATTTACCAGCTTGTTAGCTATATATCATTTACCTGAAGCCACATCAATACATAGCAAGCATTCCACATTGATGCAGAAGCCATAATTGGGAATATATTTATTTATTTATTTATTTATTTTTTGAGACAGAGTCTGTCTCTGTTGCCCAGGCTGGAGTGCAGTGGCGTGATCTCACCTCACTGCAACCTCCACCTCCCTGGTTCAAGCAATTCTCCTGCCTCAGCCTCTGAGGTAGCTGGGACTACAGGCACCCACCACCACGCCCGGCTAGTTTTTTGTATTTTAGTGGAGACAGGGTTTCACTGTGTTGCCCAGGCTGGTCTTGAACTCCTGACCTCAGGCAATCCGCCTGCCTTGGCCTCCCAAAATGCTAGGATTACAGGCGTGAGCAGCCACCGTGCCTAGCTGGGAATACTATTTAGTGGAGTTTGCGGTAGACAACTGTCTTCCTCCAAAATCTGTCTAGTTTCTACAGGGGCCAGACTGGTGAATTAAGTGGAGATATGAAGGGGAACATCACTCTTGCATTCTTTAGGTCTTAAAGGGTTACACTAGTCTGTGCCATCTCTTTGGGATGCAAGATTGCTTTTGATTTACTATATTGCCTGGGGAGGGGAGCAGTTTCAGAGCATGTCCAATTCTCTGAGCCTCTTAAATCTTTTCTTCCATTGCCTACTATGGCAATTCTGGTATTTAATACTTCATTTACTGTGGGTCATCACTTTTCCATGCTTCTAGGAAAAACTACCATACTCTAGAGTCTTTTCCAAGTATTAAATCCCGTATATTGGAGAGACCTGTCAAATCAATAAACAACTTTATGTTTTGTCCCTTTAATCCAGCACTCTCACAATCCAGTTCCATATGTACTCCCCAACTCCTGTCGATACATTTTGGCTAAGTCCTACAGCAGTTTAAGGGTTATTTTAGTTTTCTATTTGCTGTAAAACAAATTTCTACCAACTTAGTGGCTTAAAACATGACCCATTTTTTAACTCACAGTTGTGTAGGTCAGAAGTCCAGCACTGCGTGACAGGGTTCTCTGCTTAGGTCTGAAATCTAGGTGTAAGCCAGATTAGGTTCTCTTCTGGGGGCTTTGGGGAAAAATCTGCTTCCAAGCTCAGTCTTACAATTTGCAAAATTTAATTTCTTGAAGTTGTAGGACTTAGGTCTTCATTTTCTTGCTGGCTGCCAACCTGGAGCCTCTCTCAGCAACTAAAAGCCTACTACATTCTTTGACATGTGGACTCCTTCACCTTTCAAGATAGCAACTTGCTGTGTCAAAGCCTTCTCTTTCTTTTAATAACTGACTTCCCCTTCATCAACCAGCTGTAGAAAGCTTTCTTTTAAAAGGTTCATTTGAATAGGTCAGACTCACCTAGATAATCTATCTTAAGGTCAGCTGATTTAAGACCCTAATTATACCTGCAAAATTCCTTCCCAGCAATACTTACATTAGTATCTGATTGAATAACTGGGAGAAGGTGTGTATATACCAGGGGCCTGGAATCTTGGGGATCATCTTGGAATTCTGCCTCATACAGGAGGAAAGGGGAAGGGTTTTTATTCATTTGCATTAACCAGTTATTGGATATGGGCTGTCATGAGAGGGCAAAATGACCTTAGGAGAGAAATCTATTTAGCTAAGGCAATTATGTAGAGGGCTGACAGCTGAGAACTGCCTGTCAGCAGCACTCCCAGGAGCTAGGGGGACAAATTCTTCTATCCAATAGAAGGGAATGGATGGTTTAATCTCATCTATTGCATCATCCTTCTTGTCTAGATTACCATACCACTTCCGGTTTTGCCCTCTTCCAATATACACTTCACACAAATGACAGACCACATTTTCTACAACACAATTCTGATGATGTAATTCCCTTCATTAAAGTAACTGCCTAGTTATGTACAGCATTCATACCTTTACTCTTACTACCATGTAATACAAATTCTTCATGATCTCATCCTTTTTTGCCATCCGGTCAAAGGCTACAGACCTTCCATTTCTTGTTCTTTCTTCTTGGAAAGCCTTGATCATCCAAACACTGTCCTTTTTTCCCAAGTTAACTGTCCTATTCAAAACTGGCGATATCACCTCCTCCACATAGCCACCAGAGAGCCTTCATTTATGGCGCTGCCATCATCTCAGCTAAGTCCATGTCCTCTGTGCTTTCCAGAGAAGTCCATGCTTACCTCTACGACAGCATGTGTCATTCTATTTAGTAGACATATATATTCCTTTAATTTTTTATTTTCAGTTTTTGTGGGTACATAGTAGGTATATATGTTTATGGGCTACAGGAGATATTTTGATATAGGCAAACAATGCATATTAATCACATCAGAGTAAATAGGATATCCATCACCGCAGGCATTTATTCTTTGTGTTTCCAACAATATAATTGTACTCTTTTAGTTATTTTAAAATGAACAATTAAATTATTTTTACTATGGTCACACTGTTGTGCTAGCAAATACTAGATCTTATTTATTCTAATTATATTTTTGTACCCATTAACCATCGTCCCTTCCTTCCCCCCACCCTCCAACTACCCTTCTCAGCCTCTGTTAACTATCCTTCTACTCTCTATCTCCATGACTTCAACTGTTTTAATTTTAAGCTCCCACAGATAAGTGAAAACATGTGATGTTTGTCTTTCTGTGCTTGGCTTATTATACTTAATGACCTCCTGTTTCATCTGTGTTGTGGCAAATGACCAAATCTCATTCTTAGTTATGGCTGAATAGTACTCCACTGCGTATATGTACATTTTCATTACACATTCATCTGTTGATGGACAGACACTTAGGTTGCTTCCAAATCTTAGCTATTGTGAATAGTGCTGCAATAAACTTGGGAGTGCAGATACCTCTTCAATAGATTGACTTCCTTTCTTTTGGGTATATACCTAAAAGTGGGATTGCTGGATCTTATGGTAGTTCTATTTTTAGTTTTTTGAGGAACCTCTAAACTGTTCTCCATAGTGGTTGTACTAATTTACATTCCCACCAACAGTGAATGAGGGTTCCCATTTCTCCATATCCTTGCGAGAATTTGTTATTACCTGACTTTTGGACAAAAGCCACTTTAGTGGGGTGAGATGCTATCTCATTGTACTTTTGATTGCATTTCTCTGATGACCAGTGATGTTAAGTACCTTTTCATATACACTTTCCATTTGTATGTCTTCTTCTAAAAAATGTCTATTCAGATCTTTTGCTCATTTTTAATCAGATTCGTAGATTTTCCCCTCCAGAGTTGTCTGTACTCTTTACTTCTTGATTTCTTTCTCACATTGTTCACTGTTGGCATACACAAATGCTACTGATTTTTGTATGTTGATTGTGTATCCTGCAACTTTACCGAATTTGTTCATCACTTTTAATGTTTTTTGGTGGAGACATAAGGTTTTTCCAAATACAAGTTTATATCATCTGCAAATAAGGATAACTTGACTTCTTCCTTTACAATTTGGATGCTTGTTATTTATTTCCCTTGTCTGACTGTTCTAGCTAGGACTTCCAGTGCTATGTTGAATAACAGTGGAGACAGTGGGCATCCTCGGTATGTTCCAGGTCTTAGAGGAAAGGCTTTCAGTTTTTCTCCATTCAGTAGGATACTAGCTGTGGGTCTGTCATATATGGCTTTTATTATGTTGAGGTGTGTTCCTTCTATACACAGTTTTTTGAGGGTTTTTATTATGAAAGGATGTTGAATTTTATCAAATGCTTTTCAGCATCAGTAGAAATGCTCATATGGCCTTTATCCTTCAATCTGTTGACATGATGTATCACATTGATTGATTTGCATACGTTGAACCATCATTGCATCCCAGGGATCAATCCCTCTTGGTTGTCATGAGTTATCTTTTTAATGTGTTGTTGAATTCTGTTAGATAGTATTTTGCTAAAGATTCTTGCATCACTATTCCTTAGTTGATATTGGTCTGTAGTTTTCTTTTTTTATGTGTCTTTGGTTTTGGTATCAGAGAAACACTGGCCTTGTAGAATAAATTTGCAAGTATTCACTCCTCCTCTGTTTTTCAGACTAGTTTGAGTAGGATTGGTATAAGTTCTTCCTTAAACGTTTGGTAGAATTCAGCAGTGAAGCCATCAGGTTCTGGGCTTTTCTTTGCTGGAAGCCTTTTTATTATCCAAATCGGTAAACAGAAAGTCAAACTGTCGCTGTTTGCTGATGATATGATTGTATACCTAGAAAACCCTAAAGACTCCTCCAAAAAGCTCCTAGAACTGAGTTCTAGGAAATGAGTTCAGCAAAGTTTCAGGATACAAAATTAATGTACACAAATCAGTAGCACTGCTATTCACCAATAGCGACCAAACTGAGAATCAAATCAGGAACTCAACCTCTTTTACAACAGCTGAAAAAAATAATAAAATACTTAGGAATATACCCAACCAAGGAGGTGAAAGATCTCTACAAGGAAAACTACAAAACACTGCTGAAAGAAATCACAGACAACACAAACAAATGGAAACACATTCCATGCTCATGGATGGGTAGAATCAATATTGTGAAAATGACCATACTGCCAAAAGCAATCTACAGATTCAATACAATTCCCATCAAAGTGCCATCATCATTCTTCATAGAACTAGAAAAAGCAATCCTAAAATTCATATGGAACCAAAAAAGAGCCTGCATAGTCAAAGCAAGACTGAGCAAAAAGAATAAATCTGGAGGCATCACACTACCTACTTTCAAACTATACTATAATGCCATAGTCACCAAAACAGCATGATACTGGTATAAAAATAGGCACATAAACCAGTGAAACAGAATAAACAACCCAGAAATAAACCTAAATACTTACAGCCAACTCTTCTTCAACAAAGCAAACAAAATCATAAAGTGGGGAAAGGACACCCTTTTCAACAAATGGTGCTGGGATAACTGGCAAGCCACATAGGAGAATGAAACTGGATCCTCATCTTTCACCTTATATAAAAATCAATTCAAGATGGATCAATGATTTAGACCTAAGACCTGAAACTACAAAAATTCTAGAAAATAATATTGGAAATACACTTCTAGACGATGGCTTAGGCAAAGACTTCATGACCAAGTACCCAAAAGCTAAGGCAATAAAAAGAAAGATAAATAGGTAGGATTTAATTTAACTAAAGAGCTTTTGCATGGCAAAAGAAAAAGTCAGCAGACTAAACAGACAACCCACAGAGTGGGAGAAAATCTTCACAATCTATGCATCTGATAAAGAACTAATATCCAGAATCTACAACTAACTCAAACAAATTAGCAAGATGAAAACAATCCCATCAAAAAGTAGGCAAGGACATAAATAGACAATTCTCAAAAGAAGATATACAAATGACCAACAGACATATGAAAAAATGCTCAATATCACTAATGATCAGGGAAATGCAAATCCAAATCACAATGTGATACCACTTTTCTCCCACAAGAATGGCCATAATAATAATAATAATAAATACATGTAGGTGTGGATGCAGTGAAAAAGGGAACACTCTACACTGCTGGTGGGAATGTAAACTAGAACAACCACTATGGAAAACAGTGTGGAGATTCGTTAATGAACTAAAAGTAGAACTACCATTTCATCCAGCAATCCCCCTACTGGGTATCTACCCAGGGGAAAAGAAGTCATTATACAAAAAAGATACTTGCGCATACAGGTTTATATCAGCACAATTTGCAACTGTAAAAATGTGGAACCAACCCAAATGCCCATCAATCAACAAGTGAATAAAGAAACTGTATTTATATATGATGGAATACTACTCAGCCATAAAAAGGAATGAATTAATGGCATTCGCAGCATCCTGGATGGGACTGGAGACTGTTATTCTAAGTGAAGTAACTCAGGAATGGAAAACCAAACATCATATGTTCTCACTCATAAGTAGGAGCTAAACTATGAGGATGCAAAGACATAAGAATGATACAATGGACTTTGCAGACTTAGGGGAAAAGGGAGGAAAGGGGGTAAGGAATAAAAGATGACAAACTGGGTTCTGTGTATACTTCTTGGGTGATGGGTTCACCAAAATCTCACAAGTCACCGCTAAAGAACTTACTCATGTAACCAAATACTACCTGTTCTTCAAAAACCCATGGAAATAAATAAAGTAAAATAAAATAAAATAGTCATAGACACACACACGCGCACACACAAAAGTTAAAATTAGGTACTGTGAGTGTTTACCTGATTTCTGGTTCTTATGAAGGTGCTTTTTCTGTGTAATTAGTTGTTAAATTGGTGTCCTTGCAGGGGGACAATAAGTGGAACCATCCATTCCGCCATCTTGCTCTGCCCCTCCAATGGTTTACTTTTTTTTGGTATCCACTGAACTAAGAGCTACTTGAAAGCAGATAAATTTTTTTGTCTGCATCCTCATATCTCTAAATTTCTTTCATCCATCCCTGCACTTGCTACTTACTAGATGTTCACTACACATAAATAGGTTTTCAATTACTCTGTTTTTGTTTTAACAAATATCAACAGAATACTCTAAAAGATACATATTAATATATTAATATTGGTTGTCTCTGGGTAGTGGGATTATGTAATTTTTCTTTTTGGCTAAATTGCATTTTCAAATTTGTAATTAATTACCAGAAAAGATTACTAAAAGATTACTAAAGACTACTAAAATCAAGACTAATCATAGCATCCACTTATCTTCCTGTCCAGAATTCTTCTAGATAACAGAAAATGCATCTTTAAAAAAGTATTTCGGCTGGGTGTGGTGGCTCATGCCTATAATCCCAGCATTTTGGGAGGCCAATGTGAGCAGATCACTTGAGCCCAGGAGTTCAAGACCAGCCTGGGCAAAATGGCGAAATCCTGTCTCTACAAAAAATACAAAAATTAGCCAGGCATTGTGGCGCCCACCTGTAGTCCCAGCTACTCAGGAGGCTGAAGCGGGAAGATCACATCCAGGAGACGGATGTTGCAGTGAGCTTAGATCACACCACTGGCCTCCAGACTGGGTGACAGAGTGAGAGCCTATCTACGCCCCCAAATAATAGTAATTTATTAAAAAAATGTATTTCCATCACAGTGCTAGAAAACAAGGGTGCCATCAGTGGAACAGAAAGTCCTGAATAATAGAAAACAGACAGGATCATGTTGACAGAGAAACAAGATTGAAAAAAACATGTTCAAGAAGAAATATCTGGAGAAATAAGAGAAAGTCAAAGATGTTCCAAGCTTAAAGTGAGCAAATACAAAGAGAATGGGAAGGCATAGAAATATCATCAGGGTATTAATTAACTGTGTTTGGAACAGCAGTGGAAAGAATGGATATTGCTCTCCAGGCAATATTCTGATAACTGCTTTCTAAACCTTGCAAACTGTATGCTCAGACATTTTCCTGGTATGAGTGCTAAGGGTGAAGAAAGATAGAGAGGTAACTCTTTGTTACCCATAGTCCTCTACAAGAACAGCAGGACTAATGAAAAAGTGAGAGAGAATTTGACTTCTCCCTAGTCTAAACTCAACTATTCGTGTTATTTTCTAAAGTAGAAATGTTCAAATAGGAGGTGCACAGAGTGGGTACCAGAGATGGAGGAGGAAGCCAATGTCCTGGTAACTGAGGATCTCTGGGGGAAATGCACACTCAAAGCTCTGATGCCAAACCATCCCCATGTGCCTAGCCTGGCTTCAGGTACTGCCCTCCCCTAAAATCACCAGAGGCAAGCTTCTGTAAATGGAACCTACAGTCACCAAAAAGGAAAATAAGAATTTTCAAATATTAGCATAGAGGAAAAAACAGAATTATAAAACACTTAAGGAAAAAAACCATGAACTAGAGGTGCAAGATTCAACGAAAAACTCACATTCAAAGGTACAGTTCATAGAGAAAACCAGACTAAGTGACTATGCAAAGAATGAGTAGAGATCATAGAAATGAAAAATATGATCCCTTAAATAAAACATTCATTAGAGAGGCAGTCTAGCAAAGGAGGATGGAAACAAATAAAGATTGACTTACTGAGGGGGCCAATTGACCTATCATTCTTTCAACCATCCCTGCACTTGCTACTTACTAAATGTTCATTACACATAAATAGGTTTTCAATTACTCTGTTTTTGTTTTAACAAATATCAACAGAATACTCTAAAACATACATATTAATATATTAATATTGGTTGTCTCTGGGTAGTGAAATTATGCAATTTTTCTTTTTGGCTAAGTTGCATTTTCAAATTTGTGATTTGAGATCTATATGATTCTCATGAAGTTCAGGAGAATGAAGCAGCAGAAAGTACAATAGAAACGTTAAGAATGGAGAATACATTCAGATGTTCCCACAGCATTCCAGAAAGAGAAGGAAGAGGAAATAAATGGGAGAAAATTACATTTAAAAGGAGAGGGGAGAAGGAAGAAAAAGAGAAAAGCAAGGAGAAAAAAGGTTAGGAAACGGAGGAGATAGGGTGGAGGAAAAGGTAACTTTCCACAGGTAAAAAGTCCACCATGTGTCTGAGTACTGATGTTAAAAAAAACCCCACATGGCCAGGTGCAGTGGCTCATGCCTGTAATCCCAACACTTTGGGAGGCCGAGGTGGGTGGACTTGAGGTCAGGTGTTCGAGACCAGCCTGGCCAACATGCTGAGACCCCGTCTCTACTAAAAATACAAAAATTAGCTGGGCATGGTGGTGCATGCCTGCAATCCCAGCTACTTGGGTGGTTGAGGCATGAGAACTGCTTGAACCCGGGAGGTGGAGGTTGCAGTGAGCCAATATCTCGCCACTGCACTCCAGCCTGGGCAACAGAGCAAGACTCTGTCTACCAAAAAAACAAAAACAAACAAACAAAACACATACGGACACATTCTAAAAATATGTCAAAGCCCTAAGTATAAAAGAAAGCATTCAATGATTTTCAGAAAGAAAACAAACATGTATCTATGAAGGAATGAAAATCAAGTTAGTGTCAGACTCATGGTCCCCACAATTTTACAATCCCCATCATGCAGAATTCACACTGTGCTGCCGAGAGGCCAATCCAACAAGACACCAAAGTAGACGGTCCCTCCTGCAGTTGCAGAATATGGCACTCCAGCCAGACTTGTCATTGCTAACAATAAAAGCTAGAGAATAGAGCAATGACTTCAGAGTTCTGAAAGTTATTTCAAATCTAGAATTCTATACTCACTGGATTTAGTGTGAGAGCAAAATAAAGACATTTTTTTTTCAGACATACAAGGCTCAAAAAAGTTACTATCTACAAGTTCTTTCTGAAAGAATTCCTAAAGGGAAATTCCAGTAAGAGAAAATAAATACATAATTCCATTTCACAGAGGTAAGAAAAGACGCCTGAATGGTTACTGTACAATATTTTAAAAAGCTAATTTGACCATGGGAAATGATGAGAAAGGAATGTAGGGTGTAACTAACAGCAAACTATTGTTGTCTTGTTCAAGGAGAGTCTTATACACTGGCATGCTTTTAGGGGGTTGCATCTCTTCTCCCTTGATTCTTCCCTTGGGGTGGGCTGTCCACATGCACAGTGGTCTGCCAGCACTTGAGAGGGGCCCAATGCGCAGTGTGTTTACTGAAGTTGTGCACATGCTCACTTGAGGCATTTTTCCCGTTCAGTGTTCCCAGAGAAAGGTCACCTACCAGTTAAACTCTGCCATTTTGCCTCTTGGTGCACATGCTTGAGCCCATTTGCTCAGCTCCTGAGATCTTATCAGGAAGCTGCTGATCACCAGATTCAGGTGTTTCTATCTATTGGGAGACTGCCTTTCCCTGGCACTGGCTGCAACCAATTATTAATACTATTTTAGAGAGACAGTGTAACAACCACCTGACCATCACCTGATGGGCACCAGACATTTCTGGTAGGAGGGGTCCTCTCCTGCCCTGCACATATCTGACTATCTACTATTAAAAATATGGCTGCTCCAGCTTTAAGGGATCCTGGGAAAAGAGTATTTAGCTTTCACCACCCTATATGGAAGAAGAGTAGGGAGAGGGCTTGGGGAAATGTTGGTGGATCATTTGACCAGAGTGTCTACCTGGAAGTTAAATGTGCTGATCCACTGTAGATATTGATAGTGAAAAGGATCAAGATATGCCACTCCAAAATATGCCTCTTTGGCCTAAGGATTATTTGGAGTTAGAGGTAATTAAGCATAAACAAAATACAGGAAGGGTTCTGTGCTCTCCTCTTATCTGTCTAAAAGTAAGGCATATATTACCCTTTATGAAAATGGCATATTAGTCGGGTGTGGTGGCTGGCGCCTATAGTCCCAGCTACTCGGGAGGCTGAGGCAGGAGAATGGCATGAACCTGGGAGACGGAGCTTGCAGTGAGCCCAGATTGCGCCACTGCACACTCCAGCCTGGGCGACAGAGCGAGACTGCTTCTCAAAAAAAAAGAAAAAAGAATGAGATGGTCCCTGAAATATCTCCTCAAGAGGGTAGAGTAAGTTAACTACAGGCCTTTTGTTTTGCTGAATGTCATATACAAAGCTGAATTGCTCAGAATTTTGAGAACCTGGATGACAGGAAAGGGAAAAGGGGAGAAATTAGAAGTGTAGGTTTCTATGTACTCTCACCATTCATCAAGTAAGTTTCCTAGTGCTCTGAACAAGTGAACTCCAAATATGCCGGCAGCATGGCCCTATCTATTAATATAAAAATATATGAGCACTCTCCCTTTGTTGTATGTGTGTTTTCAGGTCCGAAATATATGAAATGCTGCACTGGTTATTACGTGAGGACACCAGTGTCAAAAGGTGTTTTGTTACTAATAAAGCCTAATTTCTTCATTTTTTAAGACATAAAAGAACTATAAACATATTAAATTTTCTTATTCACTTCATTCTTCCACCAAACTTGGAAACAACGGTATATTTCACTTGGAAAAACACACTGTTTGCATATCCTGCCTGACAGAAAAACTCTGGCATAGCACAACGTGCCCACGCTGCTCTGAGGAGGTGTTCTGATCCCAGTGATACAAGGCATTAAGATGGGAAGGCTGCCTGAAAACAAGATTGTTTGGGGATTTCTTTATACTGTGATTGTTCACCCTGGTGATTGTGAATGGAATTCAAATCATTTTAAGCAAGCAGAAGAGTTGCTGAATCACCACCTTGACTGCAGGCTTCCAAACTTGTGGCAACAACCAGGAAGGGGGAGAGGTTAAAAATTCAGTTGAAATGTGTACTTAGAAAAAATTAAAAACTGAATTAAAAATTATCTAATCATAATGAATTATAAATATAAAAACTATTACTTGATGTTCTTGTACCTTGTAACAGATCACAGGCAAATTTATAAAGATCTTTTAACAGTACTAATATTTTTTAAGAGAGGTTCCCCCTTTTAGATTTTGCTTATGTGATGTTATCATTTGAGTTTATCATTTCTGTAGCATGAAACAAACATAACCCTTTTTGGAGCACATTTAAATGATGTCAAAAATTTAATAAAATTAATGGCCCTGTTCTTTGCAATTGCTGCAATACATTTTCTTTCTTACACTAAAATTATGAGTAAAGATGCTGTTACTTTTTAAGTGATTTCACATAATAAAAATATGAAGTCTAGATTAAATTGATCTTTCTACTACTATTCATTCTGCTATATTCCCTCTATGAAATTGATGTTTCATCTTCAATTGTACAATTTCAACTAAAATTGGAAGACCAAAGCAACTTAGGCTATAAAATAATAAAATTACCTTACTCTGGTACAGTTTCATATTTTTCAAAGCACTTTCCCCTTATTGAATTCTGTCTCACAACAAATCTAGTTGTTATTATTTTTCTTTTGATATATGAGGAAAATGAGACACAAAATGTTAAGTGGCTTGTTTTTAGTTACACCATTTAATTAGTTATAAAGCTAAAGCTGGAACAGAATGTTTCTGTTTCTGAGTTCTTTTCTTCTGTGACTATTCCATGAGACCTGATGCTTTCATGGAAATGAGTCAGAAGTGTACCCTCTCCAGATAAACTCTAAACTCCTCACAATGAAGAGTTCAAGGAGACTGTCAGTTCTTAGAACACCCTTCCAAATTCCACAATTTGGAAACTATAATGATCATGGAAACTATAATGAGATTGGTAATCTAATATTTTCTGTTCTTCAGCAGCTGAAATAGGACTATACAGCAATTATCTATTAAGCCAAAGCTATATGTTACTGAAAATACAAGCATATTCAAGGCACCTAGGACAGGGACTGAAGGAATGGTTTTTTGATTAAAATAAGAATTTCAAGGCCTGGCATTCAGAATTGTTAAAGATCTCAAGGCCTGAAATGCCTCCTACTACTTCAAACAGGTATCTGGGGATACAGATATCCAGGAATACAGGAATTTCCCAGGACTGGTATGCCAATTCTGACTATGCAATTAGAAGAAGGAAACAAGACCTCAGCCCATGTACCAGAACTAGAGAGACTGTCAATATGGATTCAAACCCAGATGCTATGAGACAAAGTCAGAAAGATAATCCCAATAGCTGTGGAGAGTTGCTATGGTTTTAATGTGTTCCCCAAAAAGCTTGAAGTGGAAACTCAATCCCTAACGCAACAGTTCTGGGAGGTGGGACCTAATGGCAGGTGTTTAGGTCTTGAAAGCTCCACCTGTATGAATGGATTAATGCTGATTATTAAACGGCTTGAAGCTGTAAGTTTGATCTCTTGCTCTCTCTCACCTTCTCTTGGCCCTTCCACCATGGGATGACATAGCAAGAAGGCCCTCACCAGATACTAGCCCCTTGATTTTAGCCTTCCCAGCCTTCAGAACCCAAAACCAATTTCTGTTTATTATAAATGACCAAGTCTCAGGTATTCTTTCATAGCAGCACAAAATGGACTAAGACAGTAGTTGCAGAAGTATAGTGAAATTTTTCTGAGGAAGCTCAGATTCCCTAAGCAGCAGAAGCAATGTGGGAAAGAAGTCTGCCAAAATTTCACTATTAATGAAGGTAATTTAGAAGGACAAAGAGAAAGGGAGAGTTCTGGCTGCTTTTCCATTATAAAACCAAAAAAGTAGTTTGCATAGAGAATTACTAGTCCAGACTTGGGGAACAAGGGTTGCATGTTATGATTCATTCTCCTAGCTCCAGTCCAATTCCCCACAAGATTTCTGAAAGAGAGGAAAAGCAAGCCCCAGAAGGATGCACAGAAAAAGCTTCAGACCTGGTTTGCTTTACTCACTAATGTTCAAGTAGTGTAGTCCTGGCTATTCACTGACAGGATAGGTAAACACTAAGAACCAGTTTCCTGGTATCTTCACTTGTGTTGCCATAACAAATTATCATAGACTGGGTAGCTTAAACAATGAACATTTATTCCCCACAGTTTTGAAGGCTGAAAAGTCCAAGGTCGAGGTGCTGACAGATCCGGTCCTAGTGAGGGTTTGCTTCCTGGTTTGCAAATGGCCATCTTCCTGCTGTGTCCTCACATGTTGGAGAGCAGAGAATAAGCTCTCATATCTCTTCTCTTAAAAGCACTAGTCCCATTCATGACTAATTACCTCCCAAAGGCTCCATGTCCTAATATCATCAAATAAGAGGTTAGGATATCAAATTATGAATTTTAGGGAGACACAAATACCTGGTTTTCCAAGAAAAATAATCCCAGCACTTTGGGAGGCGAAGACGGGCAGATCACGACGTCAGGAGATCGAGACCATCCTGGCTAACACGGTGAAACCCCGTCTCTACTAAAAAATACAAAAAATTAGCTGGGCGTAGTGGTGGGCACCTATAGTCCCAGCTACTTGGGAGGCTAAGGCAGGAGAATGGTGTGAACCCGGGAGGCGGAGCTTGCAGTGAGCTAGATTGCACCACTGCACTCCAGCCTGGGCAACAGAGTGAGATTCCATCTCGAAAAAAAAAAAAAGAGAAATGAAGGAGTACTGGGGACTCTGCGGAAAGTTAACATCAGGATTTGTTTCTACTGTGGGAAGGATAGGCATCTCAAAGTAGAGCATATCTGTGAGGCAAACTCTACCCTAGTCTTCCAGAAATTGAGGTAGGAGCTGGTATAAGAAGACCATGACCCTCAGAGACAACAGAAATGAGGATTAAGGAGGGGATCATGGAGACAAGAGTCCTGGGTGTGGGGTAATTGAAGATCCAGCCTAGGCTTTGCACCTACTCTCCCAGACAACTTTGTGTCCCAGGGGATACCTGTGATGAACCAATAAAAACTTATTATGCATTCCATATTCTCCAGACTGGGAAGGATCATGGTGGGGAAGATGCCCAACAAAAAGAGGTGAAAATATTTCCTGTATCTACATATTTGCCCATCTTAGGAGGAGTGGCTGAGCCCTGAGTTGAATAAGACTTGAGAACCACACATAAGCCTTGTGTTTTTCTTCCATTCATTCGACCTAAAGGGAGAGAGTTAGTATAATTGATTTGTCAGGATAGCCAATATTTTCTCAAGGGAACATATAGTAACTAGAGAACATGTTTTTCAGTAGCTGTTAGGAGAATCCCATCACAAGAAAACACACAGATTTGTTAGAGAGATGTCAGTAGTAAAGTCCAAAGAAGCTTCCTGTTGGCCTCCAAGTTTTATTGGTAAAAAGCTAATTTGAATAATATGAAGGGAGGGGAAGAGCTTAGGAGCTGAGAGAGGCAAATTTCCATAAAGAAGAGCCCAATCTAACAGGCTTTGGGGAAAAGACAAACTTCTAAGACAGTATTATTGAATTGTTGGCTAAGTGACATATAAAGTAAAACTCCTCCAGCTCTGTTATAAAATCAATGTTAAATCTTACATTTCCAATTAATGCCTTCATGGCAGTTGTTCTGTTTTTTTTTTGTTTGTGGGAGGAACTCAGAACAAGTTGTCTGCCAGGTAATTGAGTTACCCCATGTGATGGTTAACTTTATGTGTCAACTTGACTTCTCTAAGGGGTGTCCAGATAGCTGTTAAAACATTTTTCTGGGTGTGTCTGTAAGGGTGTTTCTGGAAGAGATGAGCATTTGAATCAGTCAACTGAGTAAAGAAAATTGCCCTTACCAATGCCAGCAGGCATCATCCAATCCCTTGACAGACCAACTAGAACAAATTAGTGGAGGAAGAAAGAATTCACTCTGTGCTTGAGCTGGAGTTATCTGTTTCCTCCTGCCCTTAGACATCAGCATTCCTTCTTTTCCAGCCTTTCAAATTTAAACTGAGACTAACACCATTGGGTCCCTGGTTCTCAGACTCCAAGGCTTAGACTGGAACTACACCACCAGCTTTCCTGGGCCTCCAGCTTGCAGATGGCAGGTTATAGGACATCTCAGATTCCATAAACACATGAGCCAATTTTTCACAATAAATACATATATATATATATATATATATATATATATATATATATATATATCTCCTATTAGTTCTGTTTCTCTAAAGAGGCAAGGCTAATATACCCCATGAGAAATATAATGCTTCAGAAATACAGCCATCAATCCCTGTTTCATCATTTGTTTATAGGGTGCCTTATAGCTTTAAAATATTCTCATAAAATTATTATATTCTGAGTTTTTCACAATAAAATAATGTAGATGAGTAAATAGAGTGGTATCATCCTTTCTTTTTTGCAGATGAGGAAATGGGCTTTGCAGAGAATAAGTAACTTGGCCAAGTGATAAGTAACTAGAACTCTGATTCTTGTCAGTAAGTTTTTTGGTTTCAAGGGACCAAAACCACTCATACTTGGTAAATAATGGGTCTCAGTGGTGTGCTAGTAAATGTCTAAGAATTGGAAAAAAAGGTCAGAGTTTGTAACATTTGCTAGATCTCCATGGTGTAAATACTTCTCACCTATGGCTAATTTCAGCCTACTAATTTTGATGTCACCGAATGAAGAGCTGGGAAGAGATGCATGTGACCAGCAAGAGCAGGTAAGAACTGGCTCCAACACACCACTTCCTGAGAGGCCATCCAAGGCCAAGAAACGAATTATAGCTAGGACTTCTTTTAAAGCATTTGATGAGCAATCTTCCACCCTTTTCCGATTTGCTTTGGACACATTCATTTATCTTAACTATGTCTTTGGTAAGTTTACTTTGCTAAAGTTCGACTTTCAGAGTCCAAGGAAAAGTAAAATAGTATGCAGTCTCTTTCTGTGGTATCTTTCCCCTCATGGAGTCTGTGAAGGGGCAAGTTTTTGCAGCTAATGGAGAACAGAGGTAGAAAACATCAATGCTCTCCTGTATAACTCAGTGGTGTCCCATGAGGGACAACCATCTGGTAAAATACAATTTATGAACATGTAACAACAAAAACTAAAACTCTCAGTAGGCAATTTTTCTTTCATAATTTCTGGAACTTCTATCACAGATATGGGGACATTTCTCTAGAAAAAATTCTGTGGCAAATCTCTTGAGAATGGATCATTTCTCTATTAGAATGATGTTATGAAGGAGAACAAAGAAAGAAAGAAATAGAATTAACTACCTTGGAAACTTCCACTGACACAGATTGTAAGAATTAATATTTTGTATCTAATTAATATTTTATATCACATTTTGGGGCAAATAGCAGATTATCAATAAATATTTTTGAATTGATAATTTTTCAAATACTAGTACATAAAATATGTATTTTATTTATAATAGAATTTTAACGTGGTCAATTAAAATATTTTAAAATTCCACATATAACTTGAAATAAATGATCTTGCCTTTCTAACATCTACCTTCCCACATCTTGTTCCTCAAATCAACAATGAACCAGGTTAAGGGCTAGCTGTTGCACAGACAAGGATTCATAGAACCCAGCACTTTAAGAGATTACAGACTAGCTTAAATCTTCAAATTAAAAGTAAAAACAAGATTATGAAATACTATTTTCAAAAATAAATGTAAATAAACCCAAAGCCATTTTGAAAATCATCTTCAGGCCAGGTGTGGTGGCTCACGCCTGTAATCCCAGCACTTCGGGAGGCTGAGGCGGGCAGATCACGAGGTCAGGAGATTGAGACCATCCTGGCTAACACAGTGAAACCCCGTCTCTACTAAAAATTAAAAAAAAAAAAAAAATTAGCCGGGCGTGGTGGTGGGCGCCTGTAGTCCCAGCTACTCAGGAGGCTGAGGCAGGAGAATGGCATGAACCTGGGAGGTGGAGCTTGCACTCCTGCCTGGGTGACACAGCGAGACGTCATCTCAAAAAAAAAAAAAAAAGAAAATCATCTTCATTTTCTGTGTTTAGGAGGAAATATCTGGTGGTAATATACTTTTTATTGACTTTCCTTCCTTCCTTGGGAGAATAAAAGGAGTGATTCTTAGAAAATGCTTAGCACAGGTGCCCGGAATGCCATGCATATGTATATCGCTTATTCAGCACCATTATCAACTGGTAACCATTTTCAGAAAACAGAGTTCAGTGTTGCTGTGGCCTTTCTGAGAGAATGTGTATAATACACCTCAGAACTGTGCCATTAAGAGGTGAGTCCCAAGCAACCCCTTCCCTTATTTGCTGAGAATTGTATTAATACTACTGGCATTAACTCTTCAGCATCTCTGGCTGGTATGGGCAACCCTCTCCCTGTTGCATCCCATTGCCTGAGGACCACTGAAAAATCTCTCCTGGGGCTTCACAAAACAATGTTTGCCCTCCTCAAGATCTCCTTTCACCTCCTCTCATTGCTTTTAGACAAATGACTGGGGTCAGGTCTCAGCATGGTTCAAGTGGGGAATTACTGTCCCTGTTATTTAAGTAAATAGATAATTTACCCCCAAAGTCTCAGAACCTGGATAGTGGGTATTAGCAAGAACCAGCAGAGTATATGTGAGATATATATATATATATATATATATATATATATATATATATATATATACATATATACACACACACACATACATATATATATAAGCTGAGAGTGTTGAATGGGGAATGAGGGTTGAGGTGGGACAGAATATAGGGAATTCATTGATATCGGACAGTCTCCTGAGACTTAGATGATAATACCTTGACAAGGTTGCCTGGAGTCAGTTCTAATACACTGCTGGCTGGCTCCTTGAAGTCTGGAAATAAGGATGGTCTATAGTGGAGATGCCAGCACTGCCTTGGCAGAGTATTGAGGAAGGGGTCTTAAAGACTTGGGCTCATTTCATAAGACCTGAGAACACACTAGCTGATTCTTACCTGGAAGGACCTGGGTAGGCACTCCCCTAAAACTACAAGGAATGCACTAACGAGGGAGTGCTGGCATCATTTAAAAATGAATGATGATAGATGTCATCTCTAGACCAGGGTTGATAGGAGAGGAGATGGCTATAAAATTGAGCTTCCTAGTGATAATGGAGATGTTATAAGATTCTGAAATAACAGAGGCCAGGTGGCACCACTTAACTATCAGAGGTAAGCCTGACACAATTACTGTAACAGACACAGGCCATAATGTCACCAAGGAAACTTGACCCACAGGGGTCTGTGGTAATGGCAAACTGACCAGGGTGTTCCTTGGGGTTAAATAAATTAGCAACTAATAAAGGTTATTCCTTGATTTCTATAAACATAAATAATCAAGAGCTGGAAAGCAAATGGTTGGCGTCGGCCACTGCAATGGCCATTGCAATGGAAAATCATGCTCCCTTATCTGCTGTCTAGATCTGAGCCAATTCTTAGTCATACAGCTCATCAATTGAGAAAGAAGAGGTCAGGTTCCCCTTCAAAAGGTCTTTGCAATGCTATAGCAAGTATATGAAATAAATATTTCACTAATCCTTAATCAAAAGAATCTTGGGCCTTTCATCTTCTTAACTGTACACTGGAGAAAGGATAATACAGATCTTTCAAGGGCTTCTGAAAATAGAGAAAAAGATGACGCTGATATTAGGAGGACACATAGGTGATGATGGCCCCTGTTAGAGTGTGGCTCTACGGAGGCAAGGTGACAAATGGGTGTCCTATCTCAAGTCTATCTCACAGTGGGTCTAATGAGTCTAAGGCCTTCAAGATGAATATTTTCCTAGTTATAAATGCAAAATTGGATATTCCTAGTAGCTGGCAGAAGCCTCACATTAGTTCCTTCACCAGCTAGATAAGTGCCACAGTGGTAGAAAAAGCCAAGTGCAAGTTTCTGAAATCACCGTTGCAACCTGGCCAAAATAATAAATCAAAAGCAATCTATAGGTCATTTGGAATGGCAGAGACTTGTGCCATCTTCAAAGTCTAAAAGATTGATGAATGATGGACCCCATCATATTCCCATTTAATTCACTGATATGGCCCCTACAAAAATCAGGGTGATCACAGCAAACAATAGTGGACTTACCATAAAACTGACCAAGTGGTAGTGTTAATCATAGCTGCTATGTTGTATGTAGTACTGCTAACAGAACAAATCAACACAGCTGCTATGAAACTGGAAAATGAATTTTTTAAAGTTGTTATCAGGAGAAAGGACTGAAAGCCCTTAGCATTTACCTGATTGGACAGCAGTGCAAGTTCAGAGAGTTGCCCCAGGTCTATGTTAACTCTGCTGCTTTCTGTTGCAATAGAGTCTAAAGGGACACTGCACAGAATCTGCTGGTCCACGAGTTAAATGACATTATATTAATCAAACTAGTGAGCATGAAGTAGCAAATGCTCCAGATGTTCTGACAAGCCATATGTGAACTGCAAGGTGGATAAACCATAGAAAATTTAGTCTCTACTAAAAATATAAAAATTAGCCAGGCCTGGTGGTGGGCACCTGTAATCCCAGCTACTCAGGGGGCGAGGCAGGAGAATCACAGGGTGAACCTGGGGGGTGGAGGTTGCAGTAAGCCAAGATCATGCTACTTCACTCCAGTCTGGGCAAAAGAGCAAGACACCATCTCAAAAAAATAAATAAATAAATAAAAAATAAAAATAAAAAAGAAAATTTAGGGTACATTAGTGACATTTTTTTGACAGGAAGTAGAATTTATTGGTGAGTATTAAGAGGGGGGCAGCACATTGGAAGCCCTCATGAGTGCAGGGCCCGCCACTTGTCCAGAGGGCCACGATTGGGGATGTACTTGACCCCACAGCCATCTGGGATGAGCCACTTCTCAGCCACCATGTCTTCAAATTCATCAGCATTGAACTTGGTGAAGCCCCACTTCTTTGAGATGTGGATCTTCTGGTGGCCAGGAAGCTTGAACTTGGCCCTGCGCAGGGCCTCAATCACATGCTCCTTGTTCTGCAGCTTGGTGCGGATGGACATGATAACTTGGCCAATGTGAACCCTGGCCACAGTGCCCTGGGGCATTCCAAAGGCACCTCGCATGCCTGTTTGGAGCCTACATTGGGGTAGCGCAAGGTCAGAAACATGAACATCCATTGGAAAGGCCTGTCTCCAAGGTCCCTCAGAGCAACCCATACAACCAACAGGCTGTGTACACTACCAAGGAAGCTGCTGTGTGCAGCCATTGCACACTGGGCCCCCACAAGGAAAGGAACTCAGTTGGCTTAATTGGCTGCAGAACATTAGTGACATTTTTATAGTCCATGTTTTGAGGCAAGCTAGGACATTCCTTCAATGTAAAGGACAAGTTATTACACCATGCACCTCCTATATTAAAGAAAAAGGCACAGTGCTTCAGTTCTCTTTAGATATGGGAGATATTCTATCACTTGGGTTCCCTGTCTCAAGTTTCTTGTGCCCCTTGGTGTCACAATTCAGAGACATGTTCTACTCAGTCTCTCAGAGGTTCCCTAGCAAGATCGAGCCTGGCTGTCTACAATAGTAACCACCTCATTAACACTAAATCTTTAATGGGCTTTTCTCCTTACTCCTATCTCTGCACTACTCTCTACAATGCTCCCTGAGATCACCTCCTAAATAAGTTACACTGAAATCCTTGTTCAGGATCTGCTATTGGAGGAACCTAAACCAAGAGAGTGGATAAAGGTAAAAACAAGGACAATATTTACCAAGTTATTGCAATAATCCAGGCAAGAGATGATGATGTATGAATGAAGGTGGAAGCACCAATAAGAAATTGGGAGGCCATTAGAATGAGGCAGCTCCAGCACCATGGATTCCCACTTAAGCAAACCAAAACCTACTTCAGTGTAAACACTCTTAACCAATCTGAAACTGTCAACTAACATCTAATCTTAATCAAAAGAACCTTGGGCCTTTCATCTTATTAACTGTACACTGGAGAAAGGATAATACAGATCTTTCAAGGGCTTCTGAAAATAGAGAAAAAGATGACACTGACATTAGGAGGACACATAAGGTCATGATGGCCCCTGTTAGAGTGTGGCTGTATGGAGGCAAGGTAACAAATGGGTTTCCTATCTCAAGTCTATCTCACAGTGGGTATAATGAGTCTAAGTCCTCATTAGAACATTCTATTACTTATACCTATATACACATGTATATATGATAGATATATATATAAGAAGAACATTCTATTACTTATGCATAACCAACTGAAACCATCTAACTAACTTCTAACTAGATCACTTTAACCAATCAATTTTTTTACCCTGCTTCCTCATTTACCTTTTTTTTTTTTTTTTTGTGAGACAGAGTCTCACTCTGTCACCAGATTGGAGGGTAGTGGCACTATCTGGGCTCACTGCAACCTCCGCCTCCCAAGTTCAAGTGATTCTCCTGCCCCAGGCTCCAGAGTAGCTGGGACCACTGGCACATGCCACCATGCCTGGCTAAATTTTGTATTTTTAGTAGAGACAGGGTTTCACCATGTTGGCCAAGATGGTCTCGATCTCTTGAACTTGCGATCCTAGCGCCTCAGCCTCCCAAAGTGCTGGGATTACAGGCATGAGCCACCGTGCCCGGCGTCGTCTACCCTTTAAAAGCCTTCCCCTTATGCCCATTTGTTGGAGCCCCAAATTGCTTGCAGTCTTGAGCTGCCCCATTTGTGAATTGTCGTCTGTTCAAATAAACTTTAAAAAATTTTAACGTGCCAAGATTTGTCTTTTAACACACTGGAGGTAATTGGATGTGGTCAAGTGTGATTGAATTTTGGATGTATTTTGAAGTTAGAGGTGTGAAGTTGGATGTGTGATGAGAGAAAGATGGAGTCCAGGATGTCTCCAAAGCTTTTGCCTGAATTAACTGGAATGATCAAGTTTCTTTCAAGTGAGATGGAAAAAGACTTCAGGAAGAACAAATTTTCTGGGGAAGATACGGAATTCAATTTTGGTCAGCTTAAGTTTGAGATACCTAGTAAATATTCAAGACAAGCTTTCAAGTAGGCAGTCTGTGTGCATGAGTCTAGTGCTCAGGAGGAAGGCTCACACAGGAGATATAAATTTGGGACTCATTGTCATATGATGATATTTCAAGCAATAAGACCAAATGAGATCACCCAAAAAGTAAATGTAGAGAGAAAGAGAAGAGGACCAATGCCTGAGCACTGGACCCCTCCAATGTTAAAAGCTGGAAAGGAGAGGAACAGACAAACGAGATTTTAAAAATTCTATCAGTGAGATACGAAGAAAACCCAGGAAATGGGATATCCAGGAGGCTAATGGGACCAAAAAATATGGTATATAAAAAAGGATGTGATCACATGTTTTTTAAAGGTTTGCTGATATGTCAGATCAAATAAGGACTGGGAATTTATGAGTGGATTTAGTGATGGGAAGATCGGCTGAAGCCTGGGGACATGTTTTTTGGTGTTCAACGATATTATGAAGTACACTTCATTAATTCCAGTGAGGTTCAATGAATATCTGAGCATTCCTGAGGCTGAATACAATGCAGCCTTTCTCAAAAAGATGGGGGAAGGTATGCATGAAAAGAACTCTTAAAATGAACTTTGGATACTTTGCAATTTTGCCAAAGGTCAGCCATGACATTGGCAATAAAACACTGGAAATAATATGATTATAATAATAATATTACAGATGAGCAAACTCCCCTGGGTGCCCTGGTGGGAAAAATACAATAATACTAGAATCTCCTGGCAGTCAAACTAGTTAATTTACTGAATGCTTTTTGTGATAATTTTGCTGTAAAATAGACAGTAGATTATATTGAACAACAGTACCTACAATTTCCAACTGCACAGTGTTTTGGTTTGTTATAATCAACGGGAGGCCCAAATGATGGCTGAGTTCAGGCTGGTACAGCCACCTGACAGTAATGCTGAAAGTCATCTCTCAGTAAGCCCTAATTGTTCAATGAGAGCCCATGAGAGATAATGCCAAAAAAGCCTTATACACAAAAAGCAACTGACTCCCAGACAGGTAGGGGGCAAAAATAAGTCCATTTCATCTGTTCTCTCTCTGGCGAAAAGTTGTTCTGTGGCTAGTTTTACCTTTGTTACAAATAATAGATTTTTTTCTTCTCTTATGATAGCATTTGATTTGGGTCTAGCAATTACCTTTAGCTTACTTCACCACTGCTCAGTGTCATTTTCTCTCCTGATGGAAAATGTTGCCTAATCAGTGTTTGCATTTCTTCATCCACTATCCTTCCCTTGCCAACAGTCATACTTGTTATAAAAACAGCATCTACCTATAGGATTGTTAAAAAGATCATGGAACTTAATCTAGCTAAATCACTTAGGATGGTACTTGGAAAAGAGCTTGTGCTCTGCATATGAGTGTTACCTCTTGTTTTCGTTTTACATGATAAATGTTTAGGGGGAGAAAAGATTTCTTTTCCTCATCCATTGCTAGGTTCATGGCTGAGGGTCCTATAACATAAGACACATTAACAAGAGAAAAACACACAAATGATTTAATATAAGTTTTATGTAACACAGGAAACTTTGTAAGGAAATGAAGACTCAAAGAAACAGGTAAACGTGTGTATTTTTATGCTTAGGTTTGATGATGAGTGTACCGTCATAGGCAAATATGACTGGAACAAAAAGGGGTATGATCTAATGGTAATAAACTGGGGAGAACTTAGCAAAGGCTGTTTGTACAGATTCTTTTCTGAATGTCTGTGCTTCAGAGGTAAATATGTTCCTTTGCTCTAGGTATAGAAAGGGTACCTCAGAAATGAAGGTCTTATGATCTGCTGCAGGGGAGAATAGTGAAAGAAGGTCAGAGGGTGACTTTTCCAGGTTTTATGACCTGCTTCAGCAGAGAAGGGTGAGTGGAAGGTAAAGGTGATTTTCCTTCTGCTGATTTCTCAAATGCTAAGGTGTCATGTTTAGGGGTAGTATTTCCTGAACTCCATCAGGTTTTACTTTTGTATGGCCTATCTTTACATGAGTTTCTGTTACTTGTGACTATAAAAAATATGGAACTTATCAAATCATTGTGAGCATGGATTTTTCTAATCTTTTTCTTTTTCTTTCCTTCTCCTTCTTTTATTTATTTATTTATTTATTTATTTTGAGGCAGGATCTTGCTCTTTTGCCCAGGCTGAAGTGCAGTTATGTGATCATAGCTCACTGCAGTCTCAAACTTCTGGGCTAAAGGGATCCTCCTGCCTCAGTCTGAGCAGCTGGGTCTTATAGGCATGCACCACCAGGCCTGGCTCATTTTTTAAATAGAGACAAGTTCTTGCTATGTTGCCCAGTGTATTAGTCCATTTTCACAATTGCTATAAAGAACTACCTGTGACTGGGTAATTTACGAAGAAACGAGGTTTAACTGACTCACAGTTCTGCGGGCTTAACAGGAAGCATAACTGGGAGGCCTCAGGAAACTTATGATCATGGAGGAAGGCGAAGGAAAAGCAAGGCACATCTTCCCACGCTGAAGCAGGAGAGAGAGAGAATAAATAGTGAAGTGCCACACACTTTCAACCAGATATTGTGACAACTCACTATCACGAGAACAGCAAGGGGAAGGCCCACTCCCATGATTCAAATACCTCCCACCATGCCCCTTCCCCAACACATGGGGATTACAATTAGAGATGAGATTTGGGTGGGGACACAGAGCCAAACCATATCACCCAGACTGCTCTCAAACTCCTGGGTTAAAGTGATCCTCCCACCTTAGCCTCCCAAAATGCTGGGATTAAAGGTATGAGCCACCACACTTGGCCTGTACTTCTAATTCTAAATGTATGAATGTGTAGGAAATAATAATCCTGAAACCTTCAGAAATCCCACAAATTCTGGAGAGGAGAGTAAGTATGAGCCATTCACATTCTAAAGGCTCGGACCAGACCTCAGAGTCTTAGGATCTCTGAGTCTCAGCTAAGCAACTGACATCTCCCAAGTGAGCTGCTATAGTTTGGATAGGCTTTGCTTGGCTCCGCCAAGTCTCATGTTAAAATCTGATCCTTAGTGTTGGAGCTGGGGCCTGATAGGAGGTGTCTGGATTGTAGGGGGAGATCTCTCATGAATGGCTTAGTGCCATTGTTGGGAGAGTGAGTGAGTTCTCATTCTTAGTTCCCACAAGAATAGGATGTTGAAAAGAGCCGGGTACCTCCTCCTATCTCTTGCTCTCTCTCTTACCATACAATCTCTACATACCATGAGCAGGAGGAGCCTGAAGCCCACACCAGAAGCAGATACTGGAACCATACTTCTTGTACAGCCTTAAGAATCACAAGCCAAATAAACCTTTTTTCTTTATAATGTACCCAGCCTTAGATATTCCTTTATAGCAACACAGATGTACTGAGACATAAATTTGGTCCCAGGAGTCAGGTGTTGCTATTAAGATACCTGAAAATGTGGAAGAAGCTTTGGAACTGGGTAATGAGCAGAGGTTGGAAAAGGTTGGAGGGCTCAGAAGAAATAGAAAGATAAGAAAAAGTTTGGAACTTCTTAGACACTGGTTAAATGGTTGTGACCAAAATGCTGAAAGACATATAAACATTTAAGGCTGTGCTGATGAGGTCTCAGGTGGAAATGTAGAAACTGTTAAGAACTGAAGCAAAGGTCACCTTAGTTACAATATAGCAAATAATTTGGATGCATTGCATGCATGCCCTAGAGTGGCAATCTACAGTATCCAGCAAGAGAGATTTCTAAGCAGCAAAGTGTTTAAGAAGTGATGTGGCTGCTTTCAACAGCTTATGATCAGATGTGGGAGAAAAGGAATGACGTGGAGTTTGAATTTATAATTAAATGAGAAGCAGAGCATAAAAATTTGAAAAATTTGCAGTCTTGCCATGTGGTAGAGAACAAAAGGAGCATTTTCAAGAGAAAAATCCAAGGGTGTTAACAAGCAACCACTTGCTGGAGAGATCAGCACAGATAAAAGGTAGCTGGGTGCTTCTAGTCAAATCAGTGGGAAAAAGGCCCAAAAGCCACTTCAGAAATATTTGAGGCAGCCCCTCCCATCACAGGCCCAGAGGCCTAGGAGGACAGAATTGTTTGGGGTACACACCTGGGGCACCACTGCCAGATGCCACCTTAGGTTGCTGCTTCCTGCATACCAGCTACTCTGACTCTAGCCATGGTTGAAAGGGCCCCAGATACTGCTCTAGCTGCCACTCCAGACAGTGCAAGCCATAAGCCTTGGAAGCTTACATGTGATATTAACTCTGCAAGTATGCAAAATTTAAGAGTAGTGGAGGTTTGGTAGCTTCTACCTCAATTTCATAGGACCTATCAGATAGCCCAGGTGCCCAGGCAGAAGTCTGCCACAGGGGCACAGCCACTGCAGAGGGCCTCTACTAGGGCAGTGTGGGACCAGTATGTCAGGCCTCTGAGCCCAAGTCAAGCTATCGCATCCCCTGTGACTTGCACGTATACGCCCAGATGGCCTGAAATAACTGAAGAATCACAAAAGAAGTGAATATGCCCTGGCCACACCTTAACTGATGACATTCCACCACAAAAGAAGTGTAAATGGCTGGTCCTTGCCTTAACTGATGACATTACCTTGTGAAAGTCCTTTTCCTGGCTCATCCTGGCTCAAAAAGCACCCCCACTGAGCACCTTGTGACCCCCACTCCTGCCCGCCAGAGAACAAACCCCCTTTGACTGTAATTTTCCTTTACCTACCCAAATCCTATAAAACGGCCCCACCCTTATCTCCCTTTGCTGACTCTCTTTTCGGACTCAGCCCGCCTGCACCCAGGTGAAATAAACAGCCATGTTGCTCACACAAAGCCTGTTTGGTGGTCTCTTCACACGGACGCCCATGAAACAGTACTGCTGTCCTCCAGGTTCCAGAATGGTAGAGCCACCAGTAGCCTACAATCTTAGCCTGGAAAAGCTACAGGCATTGGATTCTAACAGTGAGAGTGGCCACATGGATTATGCCTGGCAAAGCCATTGGGCCAGGGCTGCCTAAGGCCTTGGGAGCCCACCCAATGAACTAGTGTGGCTATGGGACATGAAGTCAAAGATTATTTTGGGTCTTTAAGGTTTAATGTCTGCCCTGCTGGGTTTCAGATTTGCCTGAGGCCTGTTACCCCTTTCTTTTGGTCAAATTATCCCTTTTGGAAAGGGAATGTTTACCCAATGTCTGTTGCACTATTGTATCTTGAGAGTATGTAACTTGATTTTGATTTTACAGACTTACAGCTTGCTTTGAGTCTCAGAAGAGATTTTGGACTTTTGGGTTGGTACTGGAATATGTTAACACTTGTGGGAACCATTGGGACAGAATGATTGCAATGTGGGAAGGACATAAGATTTGGGAGCCCAGGGGAGAAATGCTATAGTTTGGATAAGGTTTGTTAAAAGTGTCATGTTGAAATTTGATCCCCAATGCTGGAGCTGGGGCCTGCTGGAAAGTGTCTGGATCATGGGCACAGATTTCTCATAAATGGGTTGGTGCTATTCTTGAGTTCAGTAAGTGAGTTTTCACTCTCAGTTCTCGCAAGAACTGATTGTTGAAAAGAGCCTGGCACCTCCTCTTCTCCATCTCACTTCCTCTCTTGACATGTGATCTCTACACACCATAAGCAGAAGCGGCCAGAAGCCCTCACTAGAAGAAGATGCTGGTGCCATGATTTTTGTACAGCCTGAAGAACCATGAGTCAAATAAACCTCCTTTCTTCACAAAGTACCAGCTTCAGGTATTCTTTTATAGCAACACAAATGGATGAAGACATGAGTATTTATAGCAATTGCATGCTTCTAAGAAAAACAAAACATATATCCCCCTCTCAATCCCATCTCCATCTTTCTTAGATTCACTGGGTCTTATCTTTGGCCCACCCAGGGTACAGCTTATATTCCAAGTCTCAATTTCCTTTGGAAGGAGGCTTTGCTGGTGAAGGGAACCAGAATATGTCACCCCAAAATATGCCTAATTTACATAAAAATTATTTTGAGCTGAAGGTAATTAAGCAGCAGCAAATGCAGGAAAAGCTCCCTCTACCCTCCCCCTTTCCTGCCTAAAGGAAAGATATAAATTCTCCTTTACCAGAAACAGCTCTAGACACTTAAACCAGCCTAGAGATAACACCAGAGAAATCTGCAAACAAACCTTACTTCATTCATTTCCTCACATATTTTTACCTTCCTACTGTTTGCCACCCTTGGAAGCCTAAAACCACTTTTCTTTGTCCTGTCATTTCTTGACAAATTTGTTGTTCTTTGTTTGAAGATGGTGTATCAGCCAGAGTTCTAAGCCACTGATTTGAGTTACTCTGTTGAGGTTTCTCCTGTGTGATGTGCATTGCATGCATTATAATAAACTGTTTTTCTCTTCTTAATCTGTCTTTTTGGTTAATGAGTCCCAGCTAAAAACCCATGATGGGTGGCCAGGTGCGGTGGTTCACACCTGTAATCCCAGCACTTCGGGAGGCCAAGGCAGGTGGATCACCAAAGGTCAGGAGTTCAACACCAGTCTGACCATGGTGAAACTCCATCTCTACTAAAAAAAATACAAAAATTAGCCAGGTGTGGTGGCATGTGGCTGTAGTCCCAGCTACTCCAGGAGGCTGAAACAGGAGAATTGCTTGAACCTGGGAGGTGGAGGTTGCAGTGAGCTGAGATCGCGCCACTGCACTCCAGCCTGGGTGACAGAGAGAGACAGTGTCTCAAAAAAAGAAAACCTCAAGATGGGTAGAGGTAAGTTTGCTTCCCCTGTGCTGGTAACACGCTCATGCACTGACATCCTTTTGGAGGGTGGCAGCTTTGGTAGTTGGGTCCAGTCATTCTTGGAGCCCCTGACACCTCCCTGGGATGCCATGAGGAGATGGAGTACAAATTTGCTGCTTCCAGAACCTCTAATCACCAACCCTTCAAGATCTGGAACCTTTTTCAGTTTTTGTCATGTCTGGTTCCTGATCTTAGAGTCCCAAAGCCCATCTCCTTTGCTGGACTGTGTTCTTTTACAAACTTTTCTTAACTCTGTAAGACAAGCCCCAGATCTCCATTCACCCTAAAGCTGAACTGAGACAAAGGGGTATGAGAGAGAAAAATAAATATCTCTTGTGTTTCTCACATGCCTAAGCTGTGCAAACAAAACACAAATTCATATTTCAGTGGATTATTCTGGAACACAGTAATAAAATGGATCATACCATCTCTTGCCTCTGGCCTTGGCATATACTGCTGCTTCTTCCTGGAATATGCTGCTACCCCCTCCTCTTTAACTGGCTACCTCCTACTCTTCACATCTTAGGTTAAACATCACTTAGCAAATTTAAACTATGCCTTAATTCATTATTTCAAAGAATCAACACAGATTAAAGATTTCAAGAACATAAATATACTTTCATATATGATATTCACTACCATAGCTTAAATTAAGGAGAGAGTGGCCTCCCAAGACCTGCAAATAAAGAGAGATTTCCCTTCAGGGGTTCCTACTTCCTTCCTGCAACCTCCTCTTCTTAAAGGCATCCACCTTTTCAAGGGTTGTGGGCTCCTGACCCTTTCCATTACCCTTTCCCAAAGTCTTCCCACAGAAAAGGATCATTAATTGCTCATTTCCATCTTAGTGCAAATGTAAATCAATGTGTTAAGTCTCCTGGGGTATTCAGGCTAAGCCAAGATACTCTGGTGGAATGAGAGACTTTGTTCCCAAATAAAGTGATGTTAAGCTGCAGGAAGAAGGATTTTACTTATTGCAGTTTAATATTAAGTGACTTTGGGCCTGCCCCAACCTCTCTCTATCAGTAAAATAATGCTGCATGTATTCTGATTTTCCCAACAATTACTTTGGAAACTAAACGAGATAATGTATCTGAAAATGTCTACAAAGTATTACATAAATGCTATTGCTATTATTAGTTAAGTTTTACCAACTTAACATCCATTGGCATTCAAGGCAAATCTGGACACCCTTTATTCATAATGCCTGGATCTCTCTCTAAGTTGCTGCATTCAGTATACTTCCATGTAGATTTACAGTTTCAGACTAGTTTCATAAAGTAAGAAAGCATATTTCTTTAAGAATAAAACAATACCTATGTCTTGCAATAATTTTTCTTGTAATCTTTTTCAAAATCTTTTGTCTCAGGGGAATCTTCTATGTTTTTCTTACTTTTGCACTATAGAGCATTTTATTTGTCTATATAACTTAAAATATTTTTTCTCTCTGCCCCAAGAGCTAAAATGTGATATTAAAATAACTCATCTCTTCATTTTCAATGAAAATGAATTAAATCCACCATTATCTTTTAATTAATTAGGGGAAAAGGTTTTACTTATTATTTCTTACAGTTGAATTGCACTGATCTCTAGAGTCTGTGAAATTAAGAAATTAAAACTTAAGGCTGTTGGAACTTCAAATTATTCTGAGCTTTGAGAGAGATGTGGCTATGCAGTCTGAGTCACAAGGCATGCAGCTGCAACTTCTGACTTTTTTTTTTCCTGTAAATAATTATGACCAAAGAGTGCCAGAGATTAGAGTCCCTCAGATCACTGTCCACCCATCCTTAGGAAATAATAAAGTAATCTTCCTTAGAATGTAGCAATCTATAACCAATGAAATCACTGTAACATATGCACTGGTCTCATATGAAGCATGTAACCTGCTAAAATTTCTCTTTCTGCCTATATAAATGAAACTTTACCTTTCCCACTTTAAAACACTGATCTCATTTGTTTGGAGTTGTGTCTCCTGGATGGCTATCCTTAAGTGTTGCACTGGAATAAATGCTATTCTTAATAATCTTTTCTGACTCTCATTATTTAAGATCCCTCTCCCTCTCCCTCTCCCTCTCCCTCTCCCTCTCCCTCTCCCTCTCCCTCTCCCTCTCCCTCTCCCTCTCCCTCTCCCTCCACGGTCTCCCTCTGATGCCGAGCCAAAGCTGGACGGTACTGCTGCCATCTCGGCTCACTGCAACCTCCCTGCCTGATTCTCCTGCCTCAGCCTGCCGAGTGCCTGCGATTGCAGGCGCGCGCCGCCACGCCTGACTGGTTTTCGTTTTATTTTTGGTGGAGACGGGGTTTCGCTGTGTTGGCCGGGCTGGTCTCCAGCTCCTAACCGCGAGTGATCCGCCAGCCTCGGCCTCCCGAGGTGCCGGGATTGCAGATGGAGTCTCGTTCACTCAGTGCTCAATGGTGTCCAGGCTGGAGTGCAGCGGCGTGATCTCGGCTCGCTACAACCACCTCCCAGCCGCCTGCCTTGGCCTCCCAAAGAGCCGAGATTGCAGCCTCTGCCCGGCCGCCACCCCGTCTGGGAAGTGAGGAGCGTCTCTGCTTGGCCACCCATCGTCTGGGATATGAGGAGCCCCTCTGCCTGGCTGCCCAGTCTGGAAAGTGAGGAGCGTCTCTGCCCGGCCGCCATCCCATCTAGGAAGCGAGGAGCGCCTCTTCCCCACCGCCATCCCATCTAGGAAGTGAGGAGCGTCTCTGCCTGGCCGCCCATCGTCTGAGATGTGGGGAGCACCTCTGCCCCACCGCCCTGTCTGGGATGTGAGGAGCGCCTCTGCTGGGCCGCAACCCTGTCTGGGAGGTGAGGAGCGTCTCTGCCCGGCCGCTCCGTCTGAGAAGTGAGGAAACCCTCTGCCTGGCAACCACCCCGTCTGAGAAGTGAGGAGCCCCTCCGTCCGGCAACCACCCCGTCTGGGAAGTGAGGAGCGTCTCCGCCCGGCAGCCACCCCGTCCGGGAGGGAGGTGGAGGGGGTCAGCCCCCCGCCCGGGCAGCCGCCCCGTCCGGGAGGTGAGGGGCTCCTCTGCCCGGCCGCCCCTACTGGGAAGTGAGGAGCCCCTCTGCCCGGCCAGCCGCCCCGTCCGGGAGGGAGGTGGGGGGGTCAGCCCCGCCCGGCCAGCCGCCCCATCCGGGAGGGAGGTGGGGGGGTCAACCCCCCGCCCGGCCAACCGCCCCGTCCGGGAGGGAGGTGGGGGGGGTCAACCCCCCGCCCGGCCAGCCGCCCCATCCGGGAGGGAGGTGGGGGGATCAGCCCCCCACCTGGCCAGCCGCCCCGTCCGGGAGGTGAGGGGCACCTCTGCCCGGCCGCCCCTACTGGGAAGTGAGGAGCCCCTCTGCCCGGCCAGCCGCCCCGTCCGGGAGGGAGGCGGGGGGGGGGGTCGGCCAGCCACCCCGTCCGGGAGGGAGGTGGGGGGGTCAGCCCCCCTTCCGGCCGGCCGCCCCGTCCGGGAGGTGAGGGGCGCCTCTGCCCGGCCGCCCCTACTGGGAAGTGAGGACCCCTCTGCCCGGCCAGCCGCCCCGTCCGGGAGGAAGGTGGGGGGGACAGCCCCCCGCCCGGCCAGCCGCCCTATCCAGGAGGTGAGGGGCGCCTCTGCCCGGCCGCCCCTACTGGGAAGTGAGGAGCCCCTCTGCCCGGCCACGACCCCGTCTGGGAGGTGTGCCCAGCGGCTCATTGGTGATGGGCCATGATGACAATGGCGGTTTTGTGGAATAGAAAGGCGGGAAGGGTGGGGAAAGAATTGAGAAATCGGATGGTTACCGGGTCTGTGTGGATGGAAGTAGACCTGGGAGACTTTTCATTTTGTTCTGTACTAGGAAAAATTCTTCTGCCTTGGGATCCTGTTGATCTGTGACCTTATCCCCAACCCTGTGCTCTCTGAAACATGTGCTGTGTCCACTCAGGGTTAAATGGATTAAGGGCGGTGCAAGATGTGCTTTGTTAAACAGATGCTTGAAGGCAGCATGCTCGTTAAGAGTCATCACCACTCCCTAATCTTTAAGTACCCAGGGACACAAACACTGCGGAAGGCCGCAGGGTCCTCTGCCTAGGAAAACCGGAGACCTTTGTTCACTTGTTTATCTGCTGACCTTCCCTCCACTATTGTCCTATGACCCTGCCAAATCCCCCTCTGCGAGAAACACCCAAGAATGATCAATTAAAAAAAAAAAAAAAAAAAAAAAAAAAAGATTGACATACCTTAAGTCAAAAACAAAACAAATAAAACTACATTTTTCTGCCATACCAAAGATGTACTGTTCAATCATTAGTAGCATGCATTTCATACTTCCTGCATATCACCAAAACACTACATTTTTCCTTTGATCAAATCTTATGAATTTGGGTGATTAAAAATGATCATTGCTTACCGATATTGAAAGTTTAAAGATTTCCAAGCTTATTTAAGCTTTCCTGTTACTGGTTCTTGTGAATCTCTTTTCCCATGAAGTCATCACATAATTTTGAAAAGTAGGCAGCTAATTACGCTAGGAAAAAAGAAATAAAAGAATATGTAAATTTATTTTCTACTAAATTGATATACACTAGGCAAGAGTATGGCTGCTTACGTGGCTAGGCAATACCCTGTGAACTCAAATCAAATAAGCCACTGAGTTTTTCTCACAATGATACCCTTAAGAATAATCAATCATTTTTCTTTCTCTTTTTAAAATTTATATTTATTTATTTATTTATTTACTTATTTGTTTACTTTTGAGGCAACGTCTCACTCTGTCACCCAGGCTGGAGTGTAGTGGTGGGATTTCGGCTCACTGCAAGCTCCACCTCCAGGGTTCAAGTGATTCTCCTGCTTCAGCCTCCCGAGTGTCTGGAATTATAGGTGCACACCATCACACCCAGCTAATTTTTGTATTTTTAGTAGAAATGGGGTTTTGCCATGTTGGCCAGGCTGGTCTCAAACTCCCGACCTCAAGTGATCTGCCTGCCTCAGTCTCCCAAAGTGTTGGGATTACAGGTGAGAGCCACTGCGCCCGGCCAATCAATCATTTTTCAAATTCAACCAACTGACCTCATGACCTTAATCATATATATATATATAAAATCTAAAAAGTGCCTGGCACTTTTAATATATAGTAGTATAGTACATTGTCAAGAAACACTTGCTGAATGAATGCAAAGATGTATAAAATACAAAATTTTGGGTACATATGCTCATGAAAGGCATGAAAAAGGCAACTACGCATCATAAACTATTTAGAGATGTGTTAATAACACTTGATTATTAGACAAATGGTAGCAAAAAGCAATGGTGAACCTGTAACAGCAGGCTTCTGGAAGACATATAGTTTGAGAATCACTCGGACAAAATAATTCATTCTGAACTGTAGTAAAAACTAGATTCAGTTATCAGTTCTACACAAATTACTTAATTTGGGACTCTGAAACACAAATGTCTAAAGCAGCCAGTCAGGAAATAGCTGAGCAAAGGTACTGGAACCATTGGGAGTGCTGAGCATGGACTAAACTAGAGGACACTTGCTTGGTTCAGGAGCAGATATTTCTCAGCAATTTCAGTCATTATCATATTGGATTGAGAGTGCCATATTGCCAGATGTTTCCATTTTTCAAGACTTTTAAACACTGGTGATTCCATTATTTGGAAAATGCCACCTGGCCAAATTTGGCTCTTGGATTCCTAATTCTGACCTGGACTTAATCTTCCCAGGCCTCAGATGATGTAATTATGTGACAGTGCTATGTAAACTAAACACCATTTTTTCGGTGGTTCATAACATCTTGGGTCACACACCTTTCCAAGATTCTGATGAAATTATGGATACTTTCCTCAAAACAACTTGATATAAGTGACATTTTGGATAAAATTTCATGATATTCATGTGCCCCTTGAAGGGTGTTCATGAACTGTTAAGGATTACATGGACCCAGCTTAAGAATCCCTGGGTTAAACAAATACAATATTAAAATATTATACTGATGTCTCTTTTTTTCTTTAACTGCCAGGAAGCTCAGACCCAGATCTGTGGCTCTAAAATAATAATTGTGTAAAATCCTAAAATGTCTACTTTTCAGTTTGATTTTGCTCCTTGGTCTTGACCTTCTAAAATTCCTTCTATTTCTTCCATTCTATGAAATGATAGACTCTTTGTGTTTTAGTTGTAGTTGCCTATTTTATTGCCTGCATTTTTTATAACCCACCTAAAATTCCTTGAGCAATAAATAAATAAGAAATGATAGTAAACTGTAACAGGAGTAATACTAACGGACACATATTTGTTCCAAATGAAGAGTAACTGTGAAGTAAAGACAGTTCTCTAGTATCCTCCTAGCTCTCTCTTCTCTCATTTTCTCCTTGTAAGTTATTCTTCACCCTCTTCTGATTGTGCTCATGCTACCTTGGTTGCTCAGAGTTCCCCAAGGCTGTCTTCTACCCAAGTCCATTGTCTCATGGTAACAATCTGTCTTGTATCTGCCTTGGGCTAACTACCTTAGACCTCTGCTGACATCTTCCTCTTAAGGCAGAAGATGTCTGAAGATGTCTTTCAGAAGAACTGTCTGACTGTGTCTCATTTCGACAATCACAGTCTGCTTTACAATGTTATTAAATGTTTTGCAACATGATTGTGCCATAGGGCTACATAAAGTTTGGTGTCTTGTCCCTCTTTTATAGGCTCCATGGCTTAGCAAAGTGGTGAGTATAGATAACAGCTTAATAGACACAGATTAAGTTTGAGTGTACTACTTGTTATTCAAAGCCTGCTGTTTTTTTCCATTTTTTCAAACAGGCAAATCTCTCAACAAAAATGTCACTTTTTCAATAAGCTTTCACCAGGTGATGCAATGAAACCTGGATCCACAAGTGAACATCGGGATTTGGGCAGATGAAGAATATTTCTGTCTGGAAGCCATAAGAATTAGTGCTATAACTAATCTGACTGAATTCTAGGGATGATGAAGTGAACACAGATCACCGGGAAGTGGAAGATTAACAAGAGAATATGTTCCTTGCTATACAGTTATAATCTGGGAGCTTATGGTTTCTGATAATTTCTCAATCCATTTTATACTTTTATTAAATCTGTTATTAGGTTACAAGTTATTAGACTTAGATGTAGCCTGTTGTTCATTGCAAAACATGGCCTTCAAGTAAATGCTAATATGGCTTCTAAAGGTTAATGTCACCAGAGTCAGATTTTTCTAAGCAGCAGTTTAAAAGGTTTGACATTTTCTGAGTTGCCCCTGAGAAAGTGCCTCTCTAAAAGCACACCTCCTGCCAGAATGTAGCACTTTCAGAAGCTAGACTCATTTCAACAAACGCTGAGTGCCTACTATATACTAGGCATGCTGGTATCGGGGGAAAAGGAGGGCTTGCCTTCGAGACAATAGAGATAGTGATTAGATCTAAAAGAACCAAACACTAACCCCATCCTCTCCCCACTGTTTACTGGCAAAATAGCACAGCAAGGACAGGTAACATGAGAGTATAAAGGAAGAGCTCATTAGGGGAACTTGGGAGCACAGAAAGACTTCCTGGAGGGGGCGATAAAGCAGCTGAGTTTTCAGACATGAGTCAGGATTATGGAGTTTATATTTCTGACATCTAACAACACCATGTATTAATAGTCCATCATCTCGTATTTCTTGAATTTATATAGTGTAATCTTGGAACAAAAAACAGTAAATATAATCATCCCTTAATGGATCCCTGTGGACACCAAAATCGTCAGATACTTATGTCTCTTACATAAAATGACATAGTATTTGCTTATAATCTACACACATTCTCCCACATACTTTGAATCACCTCTAGAGTACCCATATTACCTAATACAATGTAAATACTAGGTAAATAGTTGTTATACTGTATTTTTTTTTAGTTTGTATTATTAGTATTATTGCATTGTTTTTGAGTATTTTCAATCCATGGTTGTGTGAATCAACCCATGGTTCAGACATGGAACCCACAGGCACACAGGATCTACGGTATAGACCTAGCATGAAATTGTGTGATGGCGCTCAGCTATAAGGTAGCCATTCCAGTGATCCATAACATGTTTGTATCAGTTGATTTTTCAGACTATCACATTATTAGCAGGCACCCAGGACTGGTCTAACAGTTACAGAATGAGAATCAGAAGGTCTAGTTCTACATAAAGAACTTCCTACAGAAGTGCCTTTTAAAAAGAGGCTCTGGGCCTGGTAGGCAGTTTCTCAGCGGTGGGCAGTCTAATTGCAAGTTTAATTGCATAATTTCTTCAGTGAAAGGAGAATGGATTCTTTGACTCTATGAGCCTATAGAATAATAAGGGTACAAATAATTACAATTGAGGAAATATGATAAATCCAAGGGAGAATACCCAAATTCATTAAATCTTATTCATTATCAGTTACAGCTGTATACAGCAAGGCTAAGAGGATTGCAAAGTGCTTAGGGTAAAGAGGAAGGTAGGTTGACTTTAGTAAAACTATCAATGAGTTTTTATATCTCTATTGATTTTCTTGCAGGAGTTAAGGTTCTTCCCTTTGGGAGGAAAGGAGGGGAAAAGGGCTGGGGGTAGGAATAAATGCAGAATCAAGTAAAAGTGAGAGAATCACGTTAAGAAAGACCAAATTGCAATTTGTCCGATTTATGCAAACAAATTAAGTTGGAGCAAAGCAGATGTGAAGATTGAATAGAAATTTCTGAGTATGGTGACTTCTCTGAGTGGAAGCCCAATTTGAAACCCCAGAATCCACATCCACAATTCAGGGTTCTTTCCATCATAATCTGATGCCTGCTATTTTTATGGTCATGAATTTGAAAGCTTCAGAGAGGTAGAGTAAAATGTCAAGGAGGTCTTTTCCGCTCAGAGACCCTTTCCTCTGCAGAGGAAGCTGTTTCTCTTTCTCTTCTCTTCTACCTATTAAACCTCCACTCCTAAAAGAAAAAAAAAAATGTCAGTGGTTGTTTGCAATCCGTAGAGATTGTCTGGAGGAAAGACATGGCAGTTACTTTGGTCCAGAATTTTCATAATCTTTTTTTTTTCATGCACCTCTCATAGTAATATACAATTTTTCAATCCCCCTTGGGAACTTTTAAATCATTCGGTAATTTTTATGTACTAAGTTTATATGTGTGTGTGTGTGTGTGTGTGTGTGTGTTATATAATTCATACATATACATATTCTAAAGTTGTCTTCAGTGATCAACTTTAATCATTCCTGGTTGAGAAAGGAATGATTGAGAAAGGGTCTTCCCTTTTGTCTTTATAAATTTATGTCTTGCTTTTAGGCAAATTAAGGAAGGGCAGAGAGCTTTTCTTATATCTGCTTCTTCTCAAATGCCATCAGCTCAAAATAATCCTTATGCCAAAGGAGTATATTTTGAGGTGGCATATTCTGGTCTCCTATAATTATAAGATCATAATTACATTTTAAATTGTCTTAATTTATAGTTATGTTTTCCCTATATATACATATAACAAAGTTTAGGAAGGTAAAATCTCTAAGGGTAAAATCAAAACATACTTCTAAAAGATTGTGTTTCTTTCATATAAAAATTTAGTTATTTATAGGATGTTTGGAAACAGGCCATTCTTGACTATTCAGAGATCAGAGTGAGTTTTCATAATCAAATTCCTGGATTTATAAAACATAATACAAAACTGGCCACTTACAAAATTAGTCATCAAATAACATGGACTACTCTCTGCCTCTCATTAGCCTCTATAATTCTCATTGCTTAAAGCACCAGTACCTGGACAGTATGATATAAAATACAATGCAAATCAAATTCAAAGTTCAAAATACAAATATTGCACAAGATGCAAACTTTCTTAAAGTCATTGAAAGTGATATGGAGAATTATTAGAATCATAAGCAAATAAGAATTAAACCACTCAACAACTAAAGAGAAATGCAAGAGCCATGATGACAAGTTAGGAGCATCAAAAGATAATAATTTGAGTATCAGAAGATTAAGAGAGGCCCTTAAGAAAATGGGGATTAAGAATGTCATGTCTTACTATCAAAAACATTGTTTTGCCCGGGTGCAGTGGCTCATGCCTGTAATCCCAGCATTTTTGGAGGCTGAGGCGGGTGGATCACAAGGTCAGGAGTTCAAGACCAGCCTGGCCAAGATGGTGAAACCTTGTCTTTACTAAAAATACAAAAAAATTAACTGGGCATGGTGGCGGGCGCCTGTAGTCCCAGCTATTCGGGAGGCTGAGGCAGATAATTTCTTAAACCCTGGAGGTAGAGGTTGCAGTGAGCCAAGATCACCCCACTGCATTCCAGCCTGGGCGACAGAGTGAGACTCTGTCTTAAAAAATAATAATAATAATAAAAAATTAAAAAACATTGTTTTGCAATGTTACACTCCCAAACTATGGGATTTCATTTTTAATTCATTCTAAAAATCAATACATAATTGCAGTTATAAACCAAATATTATTAAATGTAATTCATTTTCACAATTTTTATTTCCTTTTTCAAGCTAAAGAGCTATCAAATATTTTAAAATCTTCTTGTCCTTCCTTCTTCTCCTCTTGTTCCTTCTTTTCCCATTCGCTTTCTCCAGTATTTAATATAAAATTGTGGCCCAGCAGTTAAGATGGTCCACCTTAAGTGAGCTTTTCCCAGTCCCAAATAGTGTCAGAGCATGAGGAACTTCTGTGCAAAATCGGAAAAAGGAATCAGCCAGAGCCATCCGGAATCTCAATATTTGGAAAAAGATGAAAGAGCAGGCACCTTTGGGACAGAAATAATTATACTTGCTCCAAATTCTGTGGCCTTTTCTCAGTTCTCAATCCCTAAGCTGTCTTATCACTGGAGGAGAAAGCCTTTTAAAAAGAAAAATATAACCAGTAAACATTTTCAGTCTATTTCTCCCTGCACCATCTTCTTCACCTAAAATCCCAAGTCTTCTTCAAAATAAGGGTTTTCAAGCCTAAATAATATTCCTTCTATGGCTTATCCTTGAATGAAGTTTTTTTTTTCTTTTTAACTTTATTATTATTTTAATAGAGATGGGGTCTTGCTTTGTTGCCCAGGCTGGTCATGGACTCCTGGGCTCAAGTGATCCTCCCACTATGGCCTCCCAAAGTGCTGGGATTACAGTTGTGAGCCATCACTCTGTTTTTTTCTTTTGAATCAACATCTCTTGGATGTTCTCTTAGATGATCATGCTACTCCATCCAATCTCCTAAATAGGAGTAGGTGTTTCTGAAAGTGCTTGCCCTTCCTTTTCTGCATACTTTCTCCCAGAATGTCCTAGAAATCAGAAACCATGCTTTTAAATTGCTTATTTATCATTTCAGAGACCTTTCTAAACACTTTCTGACCAAAACAAACAAAAAATCCTATTTTTTTGTTTTAAAAAATCAAGTTTTTAACCAATCTAACATGTATAATGTGCAAAAATCTCAGAAGGCATTTCTTATTGTATTATTACTCTGTGGCGTATTAAAACAAATCTCTTTCATTCTAGGTTTGAAACTTGATCTCTTCCCTATCCAATGTATTACTATTTTTTTAAAAGTCTAGGTATCAGAGAACCCCACTGCCTGAATAAATTTTCAGTCTCTTTCTGGCTTGAGTAATTGAAAAGCGGTATATGACTGAACAGCCTTGTTAATTATGATTCAGCCAATGCCATCCATAAAAGTGAGGAATAAAAAATATTGGTACATATCTTCCCAGTTCATTTTAATGAACTATAGGTAATTAGTACTTGACCTTTTGGTCATCTCTGCTTTTAGTATAGACGCATAATAGACATGAGTATTAGGCATAAATTTTAGGCTAAGTTTGAAACTTGAGGAGCTATATTTGTAAACTGTATTCCTCAGACACTTTACAGTTGATCTTAATAGATTATTTTAAAGAAAATCTCACCAGTAATATAGCTCCAAATATGAAATGATTACTCTTTACAAAAACATGCCTTATAAGATTTTAAAATTATATTTAACTTAAATAATTAGGTAAAATGTAGTTCATCAACTGTGATTAAAAAATGTTTCATGATATTCTTCATTTCACTTATGCAGAATATGAGTAATGTGTTGTGGAAAAGGAGCTGTCATCCTCTCTAAAGTCATGTCAGAAAGCAATTTAAAAATTGTTCATTATTTTATTTTTTTTGAGTCAGTGTCTTGCTCTGTTGCCCAGGCTAAAGTGCAATGGTGCAATCATGGCTCACTGAAGCCTTGACCTCCTGAGCTCAAGTGATCTTCCCACCTTACCCTCCCCAGTGGCTGGGACTACAGGTGCATGCCACCATACCCTGCTAATTTTTAAAGTTTTCTTTTGTAGAGACAGGGTCTCACTATGTTGACCAGGCTGGCCTCAAACTGGTCTCAAGCAATCCTCCTGCCTTGGCTTCCCAAAGTGTTGGGGTTACAGGTGTAAGCCACCACATCCGGCCGGCCCAGGTTTATCATTTTAAAAACAAATTCACAATTTTAAAGTTATTCTTTCTGTACTTGAATTTCTGTGAGCTAAAATATTGATTTTCACATTTTCAACTTATATTAAAAAATGCCAAAACTTGTAAAATAATGAATACTATATTTTTATTTGAAGTCTCTTGTAGGTATTTTAATAAATAAACCATTTGTACTAAGTATCACATGAAAAACATAACCTGCGGAGTTATTTTAAAACATAGAGGCTGCTGTGCAAGTACTCGGAATATCGTTGTACTTCCCTTCTTTTCCATAAAGCATGGTGGCATTTTTCACCTTAAGTCTTTCCTTTAGGAAGTACATTGTTTAGTCTTTATTGGGATTTTGTAGTCAGGGAAAGAAAAAGAAGTGTATTGTTGGTAATTCATATTTCTCTCTTAGCAAGGCAAGGTTCTTTGTTGCTCTGACAGAACATGAAAGTCTTGATTCATGTTTGCATAGAAGTAAGCTATCAAAGTATATCATATCACTACCAAAACTATTTTACTAGCTTTGTCACATTACAAATTGATTTTAAAATATACTTGTCTTATAAAGTAAAAAACTGCATTACTCGTGTTTAAACACCGCATAAACCAAATTTAATGATCTGTTTATTTTTCATGCTTGCATGGACCAAGTTGTTTGCACTTCAGAATGTTGTGATCCGCAATTATTTACTGCAGAAAAACTATTAGTTCTACAATCTGTGACTCTTTAATCTTATAAATTTAAGAATGAGTCAGTTTAACCTTATATCCTAGTATAATAATATATTTGTATGTATGCCCTATTATATTTATATACATTTGATTTTAGTTGTAATGTATAGTGGTTTTGTTCTAGGCTTACTTATAAACTTAGGTAAAGTACAACAGAGAAATGCATCTATGAATTGACTTATGGATGAAAACTACAAACATTTCAGCTTGTGTAAAAGAAGATGATGTATTTATCTATTTTATTGTCTTGCGAGGTCTATATTTGTATCCTTTATTTTCAAAAGTTAATTACTTTATTTAGAAGATTAATGAATCAAATACCCTTTAAGCTGGTATCACCACTACTTCAAAACTGGTGTGGCTTGTCAACAAGTAAAACTTGACATTCAAGAAATACTCAAGTAATACTTCACAATTTTTGAATAATTACAAACACTTAGCAGAGCTAAGCTTGTCAAAGTTGTTTCATCTATGAACATATTACTGCTGTAATTTGATTTAAAGACACGTAGTATATAAATGAGACTAGAAGGGGACATAGAGCTATGATTCTGTTTGATCCAATATTAAAATTATCCTCTGAATGGGCAGATAAAATGGTTAATTCAATATTTTAAGAAATTATCCTTAGATATGGATTTTTTACTATCTTGTACTGATGTTGTATGATAAAAAAAATTACCACCTTAAGTCTTAGGACATCTTTATTTAAATTATAGTTTTTTTTTTTTTTTTTTTTTTTGGCTGCAGTTTACCTACTGGGACAGAATGAGCTAGATTTTGTGATTCTCACCCAATGCTTCAACCATTTATTCTGGCACCCTATAATTCAAGAAAGGAAGTTTAATTCCTACTTGGAAATGAAATATAGAGGAGAAATTTCAAAGCAAGCCACATTATCTATTGATCATAATGGGAATTACACAAAACCTTGGTAGGTTTTTTAAAGAAGGTATTTTTTTTTCTACGGAGGCAATTGTGCACTGACAATTGAAGTTAATAATTTTGTTTTAATTTTAACAAATGTGAGGTTGGCTGAGTACCTCTTATTCTGAGTTTGGACAAAGAGAAGTATAATAACCTCTCACATGTATGCTTTACAGACTACTTTTACATAGGTATTCCCATTTGATCCTCACAGCAACGCTATGAGAAGGCAATTATTATTTTTTCCATTTTAGAGTTAATAAAAGGGAAGCACAGGTTGTGAACTCTATGAGGACAGGGTCAGGTCAGTCTTATTCGCCCCTCTAATTCCAGCACCTAATATAGCAACTGGCGTATGATAAGCTCTCAGGAACCATTTGATGCATGAGATTAATTGGAAAGATTTTAGCATTAAATGGCTTTTTAATGCTAAGACTTTTTCTTCTTCCCAAGGTCGCTCCACCTGATAAAACTTTTAATGGTTTTAAAAAAAAAAAAAGTAAATGAGAGGGCCAGGGCTTGAATAAACATGTTACAGCTCCAAGAACACTGCTGCCTTAGTTTTTCTTTTTTTTCCTACTCATTATTAGTTATCCCATCCCTTTTGTTTCTCTTTTGTCCCCCTCAAAATGCTTATAAATTCTTTTTAAAAACATATACATTTTAAAATGTATTTTTCCTTTTATTTTTAAATACTCCTAACCATTAAAAATAGTTGGAAAACAAAGAATATTTTTCCTTTTTCTGTTCTTGGTTTTTATAATTACTGTTATCACAGCATCCTCCTTCACCTAAAGCAATAAGCTGGAAACATGTGAAAATCTTCGACATCAAGCCCACTGAGTGTGAAAACAGAACTCTATTGAGAAGATAATATGATCAGAAACAAATTCAGGTAATATGTTTTACCCATAAGGACTGTCATGTCTTGCCTCTGGAATGATAAGCATGCATTTCACAGGCTGGCTGGGCAGTTTGGAGAGTGAGGGAAATAGAAACCTGAAACACCTCGTACCATATCTATCTTGCCCACCTTGTTTGGGAGCAAAACGTTTCCCCTTGGGAGCAGGATGTACTGTTTTTCTGATATTAAAAAACATAACAAAAAAATAGAAGCCTTCACCCAGTCTTACTGAGATAAAACAAAAGATTCGATTTCAAACCTGGCTCTCACAAATCTGAGCTTTCAGCAGGCACCATCTTTGCTGGCAATATTACTTTCCCAATTATTTCCAGGTTCTGGATTGCTGGGTCCTGCCTCCCTCCTTTCTTTTCTTTTCTTTCCTCCTTCCCTCCCTCCTTTCTTTCATCACATCATGATGAGCTATATATAATGTATACAGCTACTTCACTTGTACAAAAGAGGCCTGGTGAGGCAAGAAACATCTTCACCTTTATACTCAGTTACATGGCTAACATGGCATTTTCCAGGGGCCAGCCCTCATAAATCCAGACTTCAGATTTGTTTCCATAGCAATCCTATATTCTGCTAAAAAACATTCCATAATTAAGGACTCTTGTTCTTAAAGTTCTCAGCCACCCCAATCCTGGGATTTTCCCTGGCTGCTTTTAATCGATTCAAGTCCAGTCTATGATTATGACATATTGATTCCTCTCTCTGCCCCACCATCCTCTTTCCTCTCTTCCTCCTTCCCATGGCTTAAACTTAATTTCTCTCTTTGCCTCATGGAAAGTTACTTTGGGTTCTGCTAATTCCCCTCTTAGCCAAGCATCTTTTTTTTTTTTTTTTTTTTTTGAGATGGAGTTTTGCTCTTGTTGGCCAAGTGGAGTGCAGTGGCGTGATCTTGGTTCACTGTCACCTCCGCCTTCCGGTTCAGGTGATTCTCCTGCCTGAGCCTCCCGAGTAGCTGGAATTGCAGGTGCCCACCACCATGCTCAGCTAATTTTTGTATTTTTAGTAGAGACGGGGTTTCACCATGTTGGCCAGGCTGGTCTCGAACTCCTGACCTTGTGATCTGCCCACCTCGGCCTCCCAAAGTGCTGGGATTACAGGTGTGAGCCATCACACCCAGTCTTAGCCAAGCATCTAATCAAGAATTTTCCCAAACCATCTCACAAAAGAAATCTGGTCTGACATGTTAAGAAAATGAATTTTTTTAAACTTTTGATTTTATACACTCCTAGGTTTTATTTTTCTTCAGACAATGGGAAGAGAAGAAGTAGATTGAATCTATTGGAGTGCAGAAAACAATACCCTAAAATATGCCCCATTGGCAAGCTAAGTGCTTTGAATTAAAGAAAACTGAAAGGCCTCAGAAATAAGCCTCAGAACTAAAGTCTCTCTCTGACCTTCCCCAACCACCCTCTCTCTCTGACCTTTTTCCTTGCTCAAAGCACCAAGAGAGATTCTAAGATTTCCTTATCTGACTAAGGAAGCTTCTTTCCAACAGAAATGCAATTGTCTTAAGACCCACTTCCTAGAAATCTCATCAAATGACCAGGAAAGTTCAACCATTGAAGAAGAGAACTGACTGGGAGTCAGCACCATGCCTAGGCTTTTCATCTCTTCTCTGACGGCAGCTCCAAGAGATTACTTACCTACAAGACTATTTGCATATTTTCCCAGTGAAGTTCAGCCACTCATCATCCTGCCACCTCCCCCAGAACTCTGAGAAACTTCATCCCAGGCCATTGTTCTTGGGGTTCATTAATTTCCCCTGAAAATCATTTACTACTCCTCATGATTGACTATATCTCATATTTCCTTGTCTATTATGAAGAGGGTAGTATCAACCATCTGGCTCTTCTTTGAATCTCGTATTTTAAATGTTTCCTATGTTTATGCATGTTCAATAAATTTGTATGCCTTTTTATCCTATTAATCTGTCTATTGCAGTGAAACTTCAGCAGGTGGAGAGGAAGCTTTCTCTCCACCTATACAAACCTAAGCAATACTCACCAAAAGCCAGAAAAATTTAGTCATTTTAGAGAACTTAAAGGGCACAAACCATCCCAAAAAGGGTTGGTTATCTGGAAATCTCTGGGGGCAGTGGGGAAGCCTTCTCCTAAGAGAAAAGAGCAATTTTGGTCTGGAAATAATACCTTAGCATCTAAGGGCCAAGCTGATTTTGATTACGGCATGTGTCTTCACTCTGTCCTCATTCATTCATTCCTACACCTATTACATCCCTGGTGCTGTCCTAGGTACAGGGGATATAGCAATGTACAGACAACAATTGATGCTTTCTTGAAGCTGGTGTTGCATAAATAAATATAAATAATAAATTACACAAGTTAAATATATAATGTGCGAGTTGGTGAGACACATAAAGAAGGAAAAGTGGGGTAGAAAGTGTTCCTCCAAACCAGCCCCTCATGGATTTGTGATATGAATGGAAAAAGCACAAAACCATAAGAGCCAATTTTGCATGCTTCTGAGAAATAATGAAGGCATTGGCAGCACTAAATTATTTGAGTAGACACAAAAATGGGGAAAAGCCACAATCCCTATTTTAGTAGAGCTGTGTGGAAATGGAGTACCTTGTAAAGGCAGCACCTAGGGAGAGTTTTGGACTGGAGGGGTTGAGGGGCTTGAAGGAGCGAGGAGCTCATGACCTCAGAGCATGCCAAGCTTCAAGCTTCTTTTATTTATTTATTTATTGAGAAGGAGTTTCACGTTTTGCACAGGCTGGAGTGCAATGACATGATCTCGGCTCACTGCAGTCTCCACCTCCCAGGTTCAAATGATTCTCCTGCCCCAGCCTCCCGAGTAGCTGGGATTATAGGTACGCGCCACCATGCTCGGCTAATTTTGTATTTTTAGTAGAGATGGGGTTTCACCATGTTGGCCAGGCTAGTCTCGAGCTCCTGATCTCAGGTGATCCGCCTGCCTCAGCCTCCGAAAGTGCTGCGATTACAGGCGTGAGCCACTGTGCCCAGCCAGCATGCCAAGCTTCTGAGTCTAGGCAGTAAACATCACTATGGAGCTCAGTGACAGATCCTGAGAGGAGGCAAAGTCTGGATCCCATGTTGTGCCAACAGCACTGTGTTTGCGACTAAATGTCAAACACAGCCTGAGATTTCCACACGGTGGTAGGCAGGGTAGACACAACTGGACATAATAGGTAGATGCACTGACATGCTGGTAAATGTTGAACAATGAGCATTCTGAGTGTAGTTGCAACATATATGTTGGTTGATATTTGTATTAGAGTCAGACAGAAGTGAAACTTGTTCATCAATGATGTGACTTGCTTGCAAGTTGAATACTGAAAGAATATGTCACCAATTTTAGGCTGTGTGCAGTGGCTCATGCCTGTAATCCCAGCGCTTTGTGAGTCCAAGGTGAGCGGATCACTTGAGGTCAGGAGTTGGAGACCAGCCTGGCCAACGTGGTGAAACCCCGTCTCTACCAAAATACAAAAATTAGCTGGGTGTGGTGGCAGGTGCCTGCAATCCCAGTTACTTGGGAGGTGGTGGCAGGAGAATCATTTAAACCCAGGAGGCGGAGATTGCAGTGAGCCGAGATGGCACCACTGCACTCCAGCTTGGGCACAGAGTGAGACTCCCTCTCAAAAATACCTATATCTATATCTACCTATATAGATAGATATAGATATATATCACCAATTTTTGTACCTATTCACAATACAACATCTATAGACATGACATACTTTTTAAACATTTTTAAAATGTATTTTATTTTATTTCAATAGTTTTTGGGAAACAGGTGGTTTTGGTTACATGAATACGTTCTTTGGTGGTGATTTCTGAGATTTTGGTGCACCCGTCACCCAAACGGTATACACTGTACCCAATGTGTAGTCTTTTATCTCTCACCCCACTCTCACCTTCCTCCTGAGTCCCCAAAGTCCATAATATATTTCTTTTGCCATGGCAGACATGACATATATTTAAAAGTAACCTGCATTATTACATTTTTCTCATGTACGTTTAGAATAAACAATCAATGAAATATATTAAGCCCTAATTAAGCCTTACACCAATATTCTTGGTGTAAATACTCTCACCATGGCTGCTTTCAAGATACTGAAGTAAATGTATTCTGTATTATTACATTTTATTCATCTATGTCTGGAATAAACAATCAACAAAAGAATATATTAAGCCCTAATTAAGCCTTACACAGATATTCCTGTTGTAAATACTCTCACTGTGGCTGATTTCAAGCTACCAAAGTGATGTCACTGAATGTGAAGTTGATAAGATGTGCAAGAGCACACTATCATATACTATAGCATTTCTACTATAGGGATAGAAAAAAATGTAAATAACTTCAAGAGCATAGATAATAAGTAAATGCAGTAAAATATTTAGGAAGTGAGTTTTTAATATTACCTTTGTTTTTAAAAAGTTATTCTAAGTTCACATAATATAATTTTAAATAATGACAACATTTAACAAACAGCTGGCAAAACTCCTAAAAATTCCTGAAAATTTAATAAATGGCTCTTGTGAGCCTAAACATGCCAGCTAGCACACACCACTGGTGGATGGCAAAGCTATATAAATGTGGGTTGTTATTAATAATGTGACTTAATATTTACTCCCTGGCTCAAGTTGCCCTGAAAGGCAAGCTTTTAAAAAAATATTTCAGGGCTTTAATTTTAGTCTATTTGCTTGGTCGCAATGGGGCTTTTCTTTGAATAGCTAAGCACCATATTTCCAAATCTCTTAGGGTGGCATATATGAACAGATAAAAATCTCAGCCATTATTTATTGATAGCTGCTAGCTTCCCTCTCAGAAAGTGACTTTTCACTGATCCTTCCCCAAATTCTAGGAGTTCGTTATTACATTTAGCTGTGTACTAACTATAATCACTACTATATAATAGGTATTAGGTTGAGCCAGATGAAATTGCTGTTGTCTGACCATTTTTGACCTACAAAACCAGTAATTTTATATGCTTCAATCAACACTTTTGCTCTAGTCAAGCTGGTAGTGATGTTCCCCTATCATTTGTGTGTCTGCATTCCTATGATTTTGCCCATCTAAAATAATTTTCCTCCTCCCTTCTACTACTCAAACCTAAGACTTAACTCCCACTTTCACCTCTCCCACAGATATCCATGATCGTTCCAATCTTCATTAAGCAACTGTAAGGATTCTCTCCCATGACCTTTTGTGATACTTTATGTGGATCACAGAATTGAACACTTAATTATAATGTCTCATATTATTTATATTGTGTCTTGCATAGTCTTAATAACTAGGAACTAAATTCTCTGAGAGGAAAGACTATAACAAACTTTTTCTGTAAGTAACAATGTATAATTGTGCTGAAAATGGGTATGAACTCGTATTTCAACTGATTGGGATTTAAATAATATCCTTTTCTGAAGTTGAACGTAATTAAAACTAGGTTATGTGCTACTTATGTGCTTGGGCTTTGGAGTCAGGCAAACCTGGAACTATTTCCTTGCTCTGCTATCTGTAAGCTATATGTTTTTAGGAAAGTCACTAAATAGCTTGAAGTCCCTTTTCCTCTTCTGTCAAACGGGGTAATGGTGTCTATACTACTGGGTGATTGTTAGGATTATATGATGAATCTGGATTATACAGACTTTTTTCTAGAAAATATAACCAAAGCAATATATTTTTCTCAATGATGTGAGTAAAATCAGGGAAGGAAAGATGATCATGGTGTTTGGTTTAAGAATAAAGAGAACACAACATTATATTTATTTTTATGATTGTATTTTTTGGTTTGACTCGGCTTCCAAATTTCCCAAATTAATACCTAAAAATGGTATGTGTGTATTGTGTGTGTGTATACCTATACTGTATTAGTCTGTTCTCAAGCTGTTAATAAAGACATACCCAAGACTGGGTAATTTATGAAGGAAAGAGGTCTAACTGACTCACAGTTCCACACGGCTGGGGAGGCCTCACAATCATGGCGGAAGGTGAATGAGGAGCAAGGTCACTTCTTACATGGCAGCAGGCAAGAAAGCTTGTGTGGAGGAATGCCCGTTTATAAAACCATCAGATCTCATGAGACTTATTCACTATCACAAGAACAGTATGGGGGAAGCCACCCCCATGATTCAATTATCTCCACCTGTCCCCACCTTTGGCACATGGGTATTATTACAATTCAAGGTGAGGTTTGGGTGGGGACACAGCCAAACCATATCATATACACATACATATATACACACACACTTATATATACATATATACACACACATACATATATATACACACATGCTCTTATTACCTAAAAAAAATTCTGATCAATTTATTATTCTTGAACCTAGAGTTTTTTGTACAGTGGTAAATGCTAGCATTTATTAGGAACTTAATATGTTCCAAGCACTTTTCTAAGTGTATTAGCTTATTTTATCCATATAATAGCAGTAAAGTATTTTCTGTTATCCCTACTTTACAGATGAAAAAATATATAAGCTATATTTTGAGATAGTGAGAAAAGTAACTAAAGGCATGAGCGAAATTTAATAGACTATGTCTGATAATTGTAACTAAATTTTAAGTCAGCGTTCTAAATTCTAAATATATTGCTGAAGGGCTCTTAAGGATTATTAACAATAAGAGTAAAATGAGTCCAATATGAACAAGGCATAATTTCTAAAAGAATATATATGGATGAAGAAAAATTAAGCTGAAATGCATGTTGTAATTGATCATTGCTTTTACAGATAATGGTATATAGTCATTCTTTTTTTTTTATTCCCATATTTATTGAACACAAATTGTATATGAGGCATATTTAAATATATTGGTTACTTCTCACTTGTGCTTTGAATGAAATTTAAATTATTGCATGAATTTTGATTAAACTGATTACAGAATTTTGAAACACAATGGAACCCAAACTAGGGCCAATGCTCATTTCCTAAATGAACATTTTATGTGCAAACAAACAGCTGCTAGAATCCAACAGAATTTAAAACAAGCTGTTTGTAAATTTTACTGACAGCTGTTTTTGGTGATTTTTGTCAACAGAATTTTCCTGCTTTGCATCACAGCATCCTTTTATTATAGTATCCCCTCAAAGTATAACTTGCTTGCTTTAATCACGTTTACAGAGATTTATGACTTGATGCTTATTCAGTGGTAGAGCTTCTCAACACAAAATGTCAGTGAGCCTGTTATAAATTGCTTCTGGCATTCCTACTCTATCTTTTATTTGGCTGGGAGTATTTCCACCTGAAAGTGATAAATTCCTGTTATAACCACTTTATGTGCTTCAGTAATTACACTGTACAGAAAAAGAGGATTTCTACTGAGGTGTCTCCTTAAAAATAGCAAGCAATAAAAGGCAGTGGAATGGGCTGAACTCTGAAGTCTATTGAACAAAAAACAATGACCAGTGAAATATGTGTGTCAGACTGAATTTGATAAATGATCAGGAAGTACAGAAGATACCAAAACCTTTAAAACAACTACTGTGGGGTCATAGTAATGTAACTATGTCCTTAGACTAGTTACTTTTAAGCCTGTGACAGAAATTTGGCAGGTGCCCACAAGAATGGAGTTAACATCCTTTCAAAAACAATCTTAAAATATCTAGATGCTTCTAGAGACTTGGGTAATTCTAAACTAAATGCCAAGGTGTACATGACATAGGGACTGAGTTGGTATGTACTAGTCAAAGAGACTGTGGCATGCTAAAACGGTTCAGTACAGTACACTGCAGCCAATAACTTGATCAATACATATACACACAATTGAACTGATTGAAATACACATTAATCATGATATTCATGGGTGGTTTGTTTGCTTCATATATGCTGTCTCTAGTACGTAGGACAAAATTACTGTTTTTAATTGCTTAGGCTTTTTTTTGTTCTTAAATGAGCAACAAAATGATGTAAATAAAAGATGTTTAAGTTAATGAAACAAAATTATAAACATTTTCATTGTCACGTCCTAATATTATGCCAACGATGGTGTTAGGAATCAGGTGGATACTTTATCTGAGATGATACTAAAAGAGACTATAATCAGTAAATAGGATTTAAGCTTCCTTTCCAGGTGATTGCATTATATTTGCATAGGAATTGCTACTGCAAGTATCTCTGTTCCAATAGCCACAGAATAAGTGGTTCTTTGCTTAGAATATGTACTCTTTCATAGGAGAAATCATAAGCCAGTGTAGCTGGCTTCATGCAACTCAACAATGCCAGTCCTAACAATGGAAAAATATGTTGTGCACTTATTGTGTTTTAAGCTTTAATATATATATTAAAGTTTAGGACAGTCCATTGCAAAGGGATGTCCATTGGTTGTGCTGCACTTCTGGTTTAGGACAGTTTCATAAACTGTAATTCCTTTCTCACCACAACCCTTTGAGTATGAGATTGACATATATTAACCCTAAATTTACAAAAGATGAAACTAAGTTCCAAGATGGGTTACACAATGGACAAAATTGTAGGAAATGTCAAGGCTAGGTTTATAATTCAGTTCTGCTTGACTCCAGATCACCGTGTACTTAATCATTACGCCACATTGAATTTCAGAAAAAAAAACAGCACAAAGCATATGACTTTACCTTAATAGCATCATATAAAGGCAAGCTCAGTCAAATGTGCACAGCACACACCACAGTCCTAGATGCTGGGATGGTCTGCTCTATTCCATCAATTACCATATTCAATTGCTCCTTATCAAATGTTTCAAACTACATTTTTTTGTGGGGGGACTACACTTCATAGAGGGGTGCTTGCAAACAAAATTTGTATCTGACAAAAAGAATGCTCTCAGGAAGTCGAAGTGGCCTTTTCCAGTGCATAATACCATAATTAAAAATCAGAGAAGAATTAATATAAAGGTAAGAATTTGTGAGATATCTTTACACTCCTTGGGAGTAGAGTCTGGGTATTATGGATATCCCATTTTGCTTGTTATATATGTTTATCCAAGTGAATATGAGGAAGATTTACCTCTTTGTAAAACACTTCATAACACAACAGAAGAGAAAACAGCATTTTGACTGTTTTCAACAAACCATTATATAAGCCTGAAGATCAGAAAAGAATTCAAGGCTGGAGATGCCTTCATAGCATGGTAACACTACAGAGGGTAACTGAAGCAGTCGGGGGGATGAGGGTTTAAGTGGGCCTGGAGAGAGGAGGATAGGTAAATAAGGCTGAAGCAAGCTTATCTGCATGCCTCAGAATCCACCCAGGACTACAGTGTTACAGTGGGGGAGGGATGGATGATTTTGAGTCTAGGATACTTGGGAATACTGCTTACTAGGAAGAGAACAGACTAGGAGTGAAATGGAGCAACAAGTCTAAACTTTTATGTACACAGGAGGTCCTTGCAGGGAAAACTCTGAAAAAGAAATGATACCATTTAGCCCTTTTTAAAGTGAGAAGAAGAGGACATTGTTCATGTCCTAAACCATGGCTTTACTGAGACCCTGCTGATGGCTGGAGTTCCCTGCAGAACTTTTTCTCTGGGACAAGAATTCCAGGATTTTACACATTGTTGGATGTACCCCATGGGAGAAGGAATGTGCCCTTGAAACTCAGGATCCAGGGTTAAGAGGAAGAGTTGGTTCAAAACAAACATCCCATCTCCACTAAAGGCAAAGCACCAGCAAGCTAAGCTGTAGAAAAGCAAGGCTGGAAGGAAGAAAATGGAATGGGAAGTTGCACATCGGAGAGTAACCCTGCTTATTCTCTTTATGAGTTTCATTATGGCCACTATTAAACAGCTGCCACGAATGTCATGACCCCTGGGGAGATGGAACAGGACAATGGCAGAAGAAAGGAAAAAAGCAAACAAACAGTAGAAAGAACTAATTGTATCTGCATCATAATTCATTTAATAGCATGGTATGAATACGCCAGTTATAAATGTTTGGTCCCAAATCATTTTACCAAAATGTGAAATTTTCATTTACTCTGATCACAGTTAAATTGTGCCCCAAGTATAGTGGCGCACGCCTGTAGCCCCAGCTACTCGGCAGGGTGAGGCACGAGAATCGCTTGAACCCCTTGAACGCAGGAGGCAGAGGCCACACTGAGCTGAGATTGTGCCACTGCACTCCAGCCTGGGTGACAGAGCAAGACTCTGTCTCCCCCGCCCCCCCGCAAAAAAAAAACTGTGCCCTTAATAAAAAAAAATTGATAAAAATGTTCAGTGTTATTCTTTAGTAAATAAAGCATTAACAGTACTGATTATATATAATCATCCTCAATCAGTTACCATTTACTGAGTACTTATGGTGTATGTGATTTTACATTTAATCTTATTTAATAGTCCTCCAAATCTACCCGATAAATATTATCCCCATTTTGCAGACAAGGAAACTAATGCTCAGAGAGCTTAAGGCTTGGTTTAAATCACACAATTATTTAGTGAAAGTGGGATTATAAGTAGGACAATCTATCTCCTGAAATCCTCAATTTACCCCATTAACACCATAGTATCTCTCCAGGTTTTAACGTTTTAAGTTTTCGTTCTTTTTCTTTTTCTTTCTTTTCCTTTTGTGTTTTTTTTTTTTTTTTTTTTTTTGAGACAGTCTCGCTCCGTTGCCCAGGCTGGAGGGCAGCGACACCATCTTGCCTCACTGCAACCTTCACCTCCTGGCTTCCAGCTATTTTTCTGCCTCAGCCTCCTGAGGAACTGGGATTACAGGTGCATGCCACCACACCTGGCTAATTTTTATATTTTTAGTAGAGACGGGGTTTCACCATGTTAGCCAGGCTGGCCTTGAACTCCTGACCTCAAGTGATCCACCTGCCTTGGCCTCCCAAAGTGCTGGGATTACAAGTGTGAGCCACCGTGCCTGACCCATTTTAAGTTTTCTAGAACTTGATTTCTCCCACGCTCAACAAAGAGTAAGCACTGGCTTAACAGGACTAATAAGGACTAACTTCTTAGGTGCCTCTGAGTTAAAAAAAAAAATTGGTTCGTTTGTGTGCTATCATAGTTTCAGTTAAAACATTTAATAAAGCCTTATTTAGTTGTGCTTATTCTAACTAACCAAGTGTGTGATTTTGGCCAAGTCATTTAAACTCCTTGAGTTTTCATTATTTAGTGGAGCTACAAGGCACAGTGGCTCACACCTGTAATCCCAGCATTTTGGGAGGCTGAGGCAGAAGAATTGCTTGAGGTCAGGAGTTCTAGAGCAGCCTGGCCAACATAGAGAGACCCTGTCTCTACAAATAATTAAAAAAAAAATTATCCAGGCATGGTGGGGTGCACCTGCACAGGTCCCAGCTACTCGGGAGGCTGAGGTGGGAGGGTCACTTGAGCCCAGGAGTTCAAAGCTGCAGTGAGCTGAGATCGTACCACTGTACTCCATCCTGGGCAACAGAGTGAGACCTTGTCCCAAAAAACCCCTCAAAAGACCAAAAATATAATTTACTGGGGCCATTAATAATCAAAAAGATCTGGGTTAATATTCTGCCACTGTTGTTATCTGTGCCTCCATCCTGGACAAGTATGCTTTTCTTTTTACAAATCTTACTTTTCTCTAAAGATGGGGGTCTTGCTATGTTGCCTAGGCTGGCCTTGAACCCCGGGGCTGAAGTGATTCTCCTGCCTCAGCCTCCCAAGTAGCTAGGACTACAGGCATGTGCTGAGCCCCTTGGGCAAGTAAATTAAGATCTCTGAGCCACACCTGCCTCCTCTTATTAAAGAGCACTGTCTTAGCTGTTATAACAAAATACTATAATCTAGATGGCTTAAGCAACAGAAATTTGTCATATTTCTGGAGTCTAGAAGTCTGAGATTAGCGTGCCAGTATGACTGGGTTTTGGGGAGGGCCCTCTTCTTTTGCGTTCTTGCTGTGTCCTCATGTGGTGGAGAGAGAGAGAACTCTCTCTTCTTACAAGGTCATTAACCCCATCATGGGGGCTCTGCCCTCATAACCCCATCTAAATCTAACTACCACCCAAAGGTCCCCTCCAAATACTATCACGTTGGGGTTACAACTTTTAATATATGAATTTGGGGGTGACACTACAGATACTAATGCCCATTTCATAGGGTCCCTATAAGGCTTAAGGCAGGTATTAACATAGGAAAGCACTTAAAGCTGGGTCTGGCTTGGGTAGGTAGTTCAATGATTCAACAAACACTGAGCACCTACCTGGAGCCAAGCACTGCATGTGCCACATGAAGCGATATTGGGAAATGAGTCACATGCAGCCAATCTCTGGCCTTTTGGAGGTTTTGAACTAGAAGGGGACACGCACATAATCGTATGTGTGTGTATCTACATACACAGGTGATATGATGCACCTGAGAGAATCCAGTCTAGGAACTAGGAAAACCTTTAAGGAGTGATACTTCAGCTGTATTCTGAAGGATGAGGAATGGAGAGGAGGCCAATTCCAGGTTCCAAAGTGAATCTTTGCGCAAAAGCCATGAGGCAGCAAGGTGCAGGGGCTTTTAATGACCTAAGGGAACGCACTGTGGGGTTGGGACCATGATGGCCAGAGGAGGTTTTGACAAGAGGCTAGTCAAAGAGCAGAGAAAAACTTTAAGGAGTTTTAAGAAAGGGAAGTGCCACGATGAGTTTTGTGTTTGGAAATGTTTTAGGCGGCCACACCGCAGTCTCGGGACTGGCTGGGACCTGGATAGACACTTGGATATCAGCTAGAAAGCTACGACAGGAAACCAGGCGAGGACGAGGCAACTGGGGATGTTGTGGAGCAGAGACGGAGAGAAAATGGGTGCATTCGAGACAAGTTAGGGGGAAAAAATGCAAGGACTTGGAAATGAACTTGGGGCGCGGCAGGAAGGCATGACGGGTTGCTCTGTAGGTCTTATCTGTAAATTACGGCGATCAGTGAAAGATCTGGAGGAGGAAGGTGGACACACTCTCTAACAAAAAAAACCCTTTTTGAAATTTTATACCAATATTTTAAAAGTAAACCAGATCTTTTCAGACATGCCTTTGAGCTGATATTTGTTAACTAGTTAGAATTAGAAACTTTCCTTATTTTTACTCAGTTACAATATACGCCACAGCTGAGGTGAGAGGAAAGAAAAGGTTGCTTTCTTAGGAACAAAGAGTGGTACCTTCAGTATCGTGGGCAAAGCTTTTCCAAGTCCAACAGCAGTCAAAACAGCGCTTTTTATAAATAACACTCAGCTAAAAGTTTCTGGGTTTGTGATTGTTCCAACGGTTAAGCTCGGATGAGGGTCCCTGGAGTCGTAGCTCCCGGGAAACGTCGACTGGCTTTCCACCTGGACTTCATCCGTCCAGGCAGCCCAGAGGGGCTTCAGGCCCCGCCCGCTCTCCTGCCAACTACAGCCTCGCGACTGCGCTCAGCCTTCAGGCCCCGCCCCTTCGGTCAAGCGGCGTGCTCTCACTGCACGGCGCCTGGGCCCCGCGCGCCGGGACCTCGGTTTCAGCCGTCCTGTCCTGCCCCGAGGCCCCTAGGCCCCGCCCCTGGGCCCCGCGCGCCAGGACTTCGGTTTCGACCGTCCTGTCCCGCCCCGAGGCTCCTAGGCCCCGCCCCCTCTGTCCCCGGCGTGTTCTCGCGGCTCCGCCCCTAGGACCCGCGCGCCGGGACTTTGGCAAGTTTCAGCCGTCCGGCCCCGCCCCCTCGGTCCCACGGCTCTCGCGGCCCCTCCCCTAAGTCCCACACGCCGGGACTTTGGCAAGTTTCAGCCTCCAGCCCCACCCCTAGGTCCCGCCCACTCGGCCAGCGGCTGGCTCTCGCGGCCCCGCCCCTGTGCCCTGCGAGTCCCTATTTTGGGAGCATTGCGGCCGCCGTGCCCCGCCCCTCCCCGCGCGCCCCGCCCCTCTGGCGGCCCGCCGTCCCAGACGCGGGAAGAGCTTGGCCGGTTTCGAGTCGCTGGCCTGCAGCTTCCCTGTGGTTTCCCGAGGCTTCCTTGCTTCCCGCTCTGCGAGGAGCCTTTCATCCGAAGGCGGGACGATGCCGGATAATCGGCAGCCGAGGAACCGGCAGCCGAGGATCCGCTCCGGGAACGAGCCTCGTTCCGCGCCCGCCATGGAACCGGATGGTCGCGGTGCCTGGGCCCACAGTCGCGCCGCGCTCGACCGCCTGGAGAAGCTGCTGCGCTGCTCGCGTTGGTAAAGACGGAGCTTCTTGGGGGTGGCTGCGAGGGCACGGGTCGCACAGTTTCTGGGGGCGGCAGAATCTTTTCAAATCTTCCGTTTCCTCCTTCCGTTCCCGCGCTGCAGTCGGGTCGGCGTGCGGTTAGCACCTGCCGGGGGATATAGTATTAACAACTTCTGCTTCTCATTCACTTTATTTTTGGGCGACTTACCGGCCTCCCCTTGCCCTGAATCCAACTGAAACGGTAGTTTTTGAACTTCAGCGGGCTGAAGAACCGTCTGGAGGTGTGGCTAAAAAAATGTTCATCCCGGTCGCGCCTCCAGAGTTTGAATCGGGCTGGGGTGGGGCTGAGGCTTCTGCATTTTTTACCCGGCCCTGGATTACCCCGCTGCTTTCCGGGAGCTGTGGCGAATTGGGCTGGCGGGCCGCCCCGGAGACCCTCTAAATTAGAAGCAGCTGCCACTCTAAGTTAAACTGGCCTTTTTGACATTTTCTCCGTGCCAGCTTTTTCGAGTGAGATGGGATGGAGCATCGGATATCTACCATAGTTGTAGATTGAAGATGGCACGGAATTTCTCATTTTCTTAGTTTGCTCAAAAGACTGTATGTCTGGTGTCCCCGCTCTTAGTGATGCTGTTTATTGTTTTCCTTCATGCTGTCACATTATGGGAGTCCTCTCAGGGTTTTCATTCCGTCCAAAGACATTTTCATGAGTGTTACTTCTTGCTTTTTTTCGTGTAGCTCTTTCTAGTATACAAACCAAGAAGGTTTGTAAAACCCAAGAAAGGTTTGTCTCATTTTCATTTCTTCTGAAAAGCATTTTTATTGAGCACTTGCTGTGTGTACAGCTAAGTATTTCTGTATGAAGATCACTGGCAGTTTTTTTGTTATTTGTAGCTGTCAAAAGTTTATATCCTTTTTGGACTTTTTTCCCCTTTGATTTCTAACTTGCAGAACTTAAGTTACCTAGTTGCATAAAGTATAAGTAACACAACTTTTTCTTTTCTTTCCTTTTTTGAGACGGAGTCTCGCTCTGTCGCCCAGGCTGGAGTGCAGTGGCACGATCTTGTCTCACTGCAAGCTCCGCCTCCCGGGTTCACGCCATTCTCCTGCTTCAGCCTCCCAAGTAGCTGGGACTGCAGGCGCCCGCCATCATGCCCGGCTAATTTTTTGTATTTTTAGTACAGATGGGGTTTCACCGTGTTAGCCAGGATGGTCTCCGTCTCCTGACCTCGTGATCCGCCCGCCTCTGCCTCCCAAAGTGCTGGGATTACAGGCGTGAGCCACGGTGCCCGGCCAAACTTTTTCTTTAAAAATGAAAAGGACTTAACTGTCAGAGTTTTGCACTTATATTTTCTTTGACGAAAACTTTTAATATCTGTGACAAAATGACATTGCACTTCTTAGAAAAGTGACACTCAGATAAGTGAGTACATGAAGACATTTGAGTTGTGTGTTTGTTTTCCTGTAGCACATGGGTCATCTGAGAATAGGAAATTTAAAACTGGCACTGCTAGTTGCAATAACAGAAGCATTATAGTTCACACCTTGATAGTCCAACGAAAGTTAGACATTCCCTTGGCACATACCTATGTGGAAGCATCGGGCTTCACTTAGACTGTGGTCAGAATGCCTGAGTTCAGGTTCTAGCTTTGACACTATTGAGTAGGCCAAGTTATTCATCTCTCATTTTCCGGATATGAGTAATACTAATGATTAGCTTATTTTCTTGTGAGGATTCATTAATAATCATAAATTTATTGAGCACCCATAAAGTGCCAGACCCTATTCTGGGTATTGGGGATTTGTTAGTGAACAAAGCAGACAATAAATTCCATCTCTTAGGGAGCTTTTATGGAAGAAACAAAATGAAATTTTACATGTATGTAAAGTATTGAGTTTGGTGGTTGTGATAGAATAAATGATAAATAATGTGTGTCTTAATCTAAAAGAATGTGGTGTTTGCTTGCTACATGATTTGGGAGAGACAAAATAGATAATATATATGAATATATGTTGTCCTGAAAAATAACAAAGCCGGTTTCACTTTTTATCCCCTACCAAATATTTTTCCAGTTTCTAACTGAAGTGAGTAGACAGTAAGAGGCAACGGAGTGTAAACAGACATCAGTAACCAGGCCCAGACTTTTAGCATGGCTCACCCATTTGACTACAGAATGCTATTGAATGCTATTGATTTTTTTTTTTTTAATCCGAACCTCTATAGATGAACTGAATCTTAACTCTTAGACTGCATGTTTTCATGTAGGGGTCTGCAAATTTTTTCGGTAAAGGGCCAGGTAATTAATATTTTAGGCCTTTCTGCCCGCAAATAGTTTTTGTTCTTATTTATTTTTACATCTCTTAAAAATGTAAAAACCATTCTTTCCTTAAGGGCTGTACAGAAACAGACTGCTGGCTTGGTTTGGCCCACAGGCAATAGTTGCTAAACTGTCGATAAAGTCTTGATAAACTTAATGTCTCAAGTTTAAAAATCCTTTTTGGTATACAATTTTATATCACATGGGGTGCCTTTTTTTTTTTTTTTTCCCTAGGCAAAGTTTCACTCTGTCACCCAAGCTGGAGTGCAGTGGCATGATTTCAGCTCACTGCAACCTCCTTCCCCCGGGTTCAAGCAATTCTCTTGCCTCAGCCTCCTGAGTAGCTGGAACTACAGGTGCATGCCACCATGCCCGGCTAATTTTTGTATTTTTACTAGAGACGGGGTTTCATCATGTTGGCCAGGCTGGTCTCCAACTCCTGACCTCAAGTGATCCGCCCACTTCAGCCTCCCAAAGTGCTGGGATTACAGGCGTGAGCCACCATGCCTGGTCTTTACATGGGCTTTAATGTTTAGAAATGATTTTGCTTTCCTCTGTAGGTGTCTCTGCAACTTTGGCACTATCTATAGTGAAAAAAGCATGGCCAGCTGCACCTTACTCAAGGAGGAAAAGCATTGTTCCTACCTCTGCCTTTGCCCTGGTAGCCTCCTGACATTGCCGGCAAGGAGCAACTCAGAATGGTCTGCTTCTTCCATTTGCTACCCTCCATTCAAAGCAGTGTCATATTATTTGAAATTGTGTCAGTATGTCCTTTTACAGAGTTTCAGAGTTCTACCCAGTGGGCTAGTGATTACCCCGATTACCCTCACATTCAGCTTGCAGCTGACATCTGCCTTGTGTTGCACATGGATCTGTTTTGCAGCAAGCATTACTTGCTGGTGAGGGTGGATTGGTACATAACCGGGCATCCTTTCTTGACCTTTAACATGAATCTGGCTTCAAGGTGAAGCCGATGAAAGTGTTCAAGAGGCCAGATGTGACATTTATATTAGGACCAAGCCTCACAACCAGAAAGAAGCTATTTAAGGATTTGGAAAAATGAGACAGGAAGACCATATTATTTGAGAGGCTGGCAGAAAGCACAGTAATAATGTGTTCCTAAAGGAAGCAGGAAATGGTAATAGGAGCTGCAGTGTAGAAGCCCCAGGTGTCATATAACACTGTTTTGTGAATTAATAGGTACCTCTTGGCATATTTTTGAGGGTGAGAGTGGGATTAGACATCTATGACAATTGTAACGTGGGCCTTTTTAATCAACTTTTTATGAAAAGTTAGAAAGTAATCTTTTAACCTTTATGATAGGTATTTTTTTTTTTCTGAGTTCTTGTTTAGGAGATGATCAAGCTTAATTTTGTATTCTCTCATACTTTGAGGCAGCATAGTGTAGATGTTAAATGTGTGGAATCTGGAGTTAGATTCCCTGGGTTCAAATCCTGGCTCCATTATTTAGGTTATTTTATCTTTTTATGCTTCCTTTTCTTCATCTGCACAAAATGAGTGGATATTCATAAGATGCCTTGAGCTGTGTCTGTTATGTACTAAATACTATATGAATATTTGTGAAATAAAGGATAGGTTCTCTGACTCCGGGTTCAGCTTTTGCCTTTCTTCATGAGTTTTGAATGTTCAGAGGCATTCTCACAGAGCAGTGATCCCCAAATGGAATGATTTCTCCCTGGCACTGGTTATTCATTAGAATAACGAGAAATCACTGAGACACTGTGTAAGGGGTGATAAGGTGATGCATTTTCTACTTCTGCCTTTAAGGAGTGTATGCTTAATTATAAGGGATAAAATAAATACAAGTTCAGGGTAAATTGTCGTGCAGGTCGACATAGTGCTGAGAAGAGTACTTGGGTAGGGCCAGTGGAAGGAAGCTTCATGGGCTTTTAAATTGAAATATGAATAGATTTTCTTTTTTCTGAGACGGAGTCTCCCTCTGTCACCCAGGCTGGAGTGCGGTGGTGTGATCTCGGCTCACTGCAACCTCCGCCTGCCAGGTTCAAGTGATTCTCCTGCCTCAGCCTCCTGAGTAGCTGGGATTACAGGTGAGCGCCACCAAACCCGGCTAATTTTTGTATTTTTAGTAGACACGGGGTTTCACCATGTTGCTCAGGCTGGTCTCGAACTCCTGACCTTGTGATCCGCACTTCTTGGCCTCCTAAAGTGCTAGGATTACAGGCGTGAGCCACCACACCAGGCCGAGATGCGAATAGATTTTTAAAATGGAGCCAGGTTGCAGGGAGCTGGGGTGATGGGTGTTATTTGCAAATAACTAGCTATAAAGAATTGTAGGGTAAAGGGGGACTGGGTCAGGTGAACAGAGAGTTAAGACAGGGTCAAATCAGTGATAGTAGCCTAACAACAGAATACTCAGTTGGTTTATATAGTTAACTTCCTAAAGAGAGCAATTTGTATAGCTTTCCTGGACTCTGGTTCCTCATCTATAAAATGAGGAAAATGGACTCGTTGATTTGTAAAGTTCTCTCCAGTTTGCAGATTTCATAGTTATTTGTGTCCACTGGATGAAGTTTAACATACATACAGAAAAGGCACAAATCATTGGTGTTCAGCTTGTATCGTATCTTCCAAGTTAGAATTTATTTGTGAGATTTATTTATTTATGGAATATTTTGAGTGATGTCTGTCTCCTTCAGTTATATATTTAGTAAAACTAGGTTCACGTTTGTAGCCACAATGCCAGACACATAGTTTCTTAGTGTATGTTAAATTGATGTATGAAAGAACTTAGGTTAAGGTAGGATCACATTTGAAGGGCCTTTGCAAGTGGTAATACCAGAAGATCTAGTTAATTTACATGAATTGCTAAGAATCCCCTATAGGTTCCATGTCATTATCCATATACTTTACTTGTTAAACACTTTATTCTTCTAAAGATAAACACAAGAAAAATTGTTTAATTGGCTTGGTGAGCCTGCACATTTAGATGTTCAACATGTTGGTCCACACGTTAAAATTACCTTGAGGATTCTTTAAAATGTAAGAGCACTTTGGGAGCTGTCTTGCCTAATATTAAATAGCAGTTGATATTTCATGGAGATACAGGGGAGCCATTCTATTAAGAAATAGATCTGCCTTGGTATTATCATCTCAGATGGATTTACCTTCCTTTTTTTCTTTTCGAAGAAAATTTTGTATCAGTAAGAACTTTAAAAAAAATTGTTCTCACTACTTAATTCTTCCCTAAGTTATCCTCTGACAGCACTGATCTGAAGGGGTGGGTTGCCCCTCCACACCTGTGGGTGTTTCTCGTAAGGTGGAACGAGAGACTTGGAAAAGAAAAAGACACAGATACAAAGTATAGAGAAAGAAATAAGGGGACCCAGGGAACCAGCGTTCAGCATATGGAGGATCCCGCCAGCCTCTGAGTTCCCTTAGTATTTATTGATCATTCATGGGTGTTTCTCCGAGAGGGGGATGTGTCAGGGTCACAAGACAATAGTGGGGAGAGGGTCAGCAGACAAACACGTGAACAAAGGTCTTTGCAACATAGACAAGGTAAAGGATTAAGTACTGTGCTTTTAGATATGCATACACAGAAACATCTCAATGCTTTACAAAGCAGTATTGCTGCCCGCACGTCCCACCTCCAGCCCTAAGGCGGTTTTTCCCTATCTCAGTAGATGGAACCTACAATCGGGTTTTATACTGAGACATTCCATTGCCCAGGGACGGGCAGGAGACAGATGCCTTCCTCTTGTCTCAACTGCAAGAGGCTTGCCTTCCTCTTATACTAATCCTCCTCAGCACAGACCCTTTACGGGTGTCGGGCTGGGGGACGGTCAGGTCTTTCCCTTCCCACAAGGCCATATTTCAGACTATCACATGGGGAGAAACCTTGGACAATACCTGGCTTTCCTAGGCAGGGGTCCTTCCGCAGTGTTTGTGTCCCTGGGTACTTGAGATTAGGGAGTGGTGATGACTCTTAAGGAGCAAGCTGCCTTCAAGCATCTGTTTAACAAAGCACATCTTGCACAACCCTTAATCCATTTAACCCTGAGTTTGACACAGCACATGTTTCAGAGAGCACCGGGTTGGGGGTAGGGTCATAGATTAACAGAATCTCAAGGCAGAAGAATTTTTCTTAGTACAGAATAAAATGGAGTCTCCTATGTCTACTTCTTTCTATACAGACACAGTAACAATCTGATCTCTCTTGCTTTTCCCCACACTGATCTTTCTAAATCAACTACATGTAAAGTTACAGAAGTATGACTGTAGATGGGGAAAAAGTAGAGTAGCTGAATTTTCAAGGTACAGAAATCCTGTTACCATGCAAATGTCTTCTCTTATTTGTTTGGATTTTTTCTATCTAATATATATGTATATCAAACAGAAAATAGGGTAAGGATAAAATGGAATTGTTAATACAAATGCATTTTTGTATATAGGCTTCCATTTGGTTCATTCACTAAGAACTTATTGAAATCCTGCAGTTAATCTAGCACCATGCTAGGTAGGTAATGGTGGGTTGGGGAGCTCAGAAAAAATGAAAGTTAAGATCTCTTGTCTTAGGGCTGGAGTCTAATTTCAAGACAAGAGAAATAGAAAATCAGGAAGTTAAAATACAGATGCTCCTGAACTTGAGATGGGGTTATGTCTGGATCAACCCATAGTAAGTTTAAAATATTGTATGTCAAAAATATATTTAATATACATACCCTACCAAACATCATAGCATAGCCCAGCCTACCTTAAACATGCCCAGAACACTAACATTAGCCCAGTTGGGTTAAATCATCTAACACAAAGCCTATTTTATAATAAAGTGTTTAATAGCTCATGTAATTTATTGAATACCATACTAAAAGTGAAAAACAGAATGACTTCCTGCTGTGGCCCAGCATTGTACTGCATATTGCTAGCCTGGGAAAAGATCAAAATTCAAAGTGTGATTTCTATTGAATGTGTATTACATTTGCAGGATAATAAAGCTAAAAAATTGTGAGTCGAACCATTGTGAGTCAGGGATCATCTGTACAAAATATTTAGTTTTCAAGCCTGGGCAACATGGCAAAACCCCACCTCTACAAAAAATTAGCCAGGTATGGTGGTGTGCACCTGTAGTCTCAGCTATGTGGGAGGCTGAGATGGGAGGATTTCTTCAGCTCAGGAGTTCAAAGCTCAGTGAGCTGTGATCATGCCACTGTACTCCAGCCTGGGCGACAGAGCAAGATCTTGTTTTAAAAAAAACAAAAACAACCCCCCCCCCCGCCAAATATTTGGTTTTCAACATTGAATCCCAGAACCCCAACTAGATGCTCTCTTCTTTGTAACTTTAGAGCATTTTGTACATCTTTTAAGTCATATTAATTTGGTTTATGTAATTAATTGGCCAGATTATAAGACCCTTAGAAAAGAGTGGAACACAGTCAACTTTGTTCTTTAGATGTTACATGGCATGAATTTTGCAGAAGTGATGGCTGGAGGCTGAAATCCAAGAGATGGACATAGGCTAATAATAGTTGTAAGAGACACTGGCCTGACCACAGCAGAGTTTTTGTTGAGGAGCAATGAGAGAAAAGGTTGCATGGCTTAGGTGTTACAGATTGTGAAGAACTTTTTAATAGTAAATTTTTTTTTAATGGTAAACAGTGTGTGAAAAGAATTAAAATAACACAGTATATGGCCATTCAGTATTTGTTAAATGAACGACAGATAAGTGTGAATCTTCTTCAGTAACTTATAATTATCAGTTTCTTGTGTATCCTTCAAGAGGTTCTATGTTCATATAAGCATTGTACTGCCTCAGATAAGCAGATACTAAACACCATGTAGTTGTTGCATGATTCATTTAACCATTTCCTTATTGGAAACATTTAGGTTGTTTGTGGTCTTTTGCTGTAACAAGCAGTGCTGGAGTGATACTGATGTCATGTGCCTTTACATTTAAAATGTTTTTAAATAAAGTTATACATGAACGTAGTTGACAGAGTCAATAGGACAGACTATTAATGAAAACATTCTTTGCTTCATCCTTCATCACCCCTGAGTTCTATGCATCAGAAACATCTTTTGTCTTTTTTTTAGTTTTACAAGCATGTACCTCTACATTTCCAAATATGTTTATATTGCTATTTATTTTTTTTTCCATTTTAGATGTTATTAACTTCCTAACTATTCTCAAAGATGAATTTTCTTACTACTGTTAACTTTGACAGTGGAAGTTAGTGGATGTAGAATTCAAAGTACAAAATAATTGTCAAGAATTATTTTGAAGGCCTCGTTCCACAGTTCTGTAGCATCTCTTATTACCCTTGAGAAGTCTTATGCTATCCTGATTCCTTTTTTTAAAAAAAGTATGACATTTAATTTTATTATTTCTTAAATCTCTGGAAGGTTTTAGAATCTTGTCTAGATATCTTTGATGTTTGAAAGTTTCATTTTTGCAAGTATCTAGTGTTGCTGAAGGACAAATTCCTGGCAGTGGAATAGCTGAGTTAAAGTTGGATGCATTTATATTCTTGATAGGTATCTCCTAGTTGTAATAATTTTTTAAAAAAGTTTTTCTAAAGATACATGTTCTTGTTGTGTTGTCCAGGCTGGAGCGCAGTGGCTATTCACAGGCACGATCATGGCACACTATAGCCCTGAACTCTTGGGCTCAAGCTTTCCTCCTGCCTCAGCCTCCTGAGTAGCTGGGATTGCAGGCATGTGCCACTGAATTTGGCACTCCCTTCTCTCTCAGCTTGGCTCACACACTTCCTTCTTGTTCCCTCCCCCAATACACACAAGTGCACATACTTCTCATTCACATTTCCATTATCTTTCCTTATCCGTTAACAGCAACACAAATATATATTCTAACTCACTAATTAGAATAATTAGTACAACTGATCAATTATTCCCACATGTTAAATCATTACTAATATGTGATAGCACCTTATTGCTAGAGTGAAGGTTAAGAACTATAGCTAAAGAGTTCAGTCATCTTAGGAAGGAAATTTAAAGTTGAGAAACAGAATCAAGGCGTTGAGTCAAGTATTGCCAGAGAAAGCCGGAAGGCTACGGACTGCATCCTGGGGGTATGCCTACATGGAGAGGTAGGAAAAGCAGCTAAGGAAATGCTGAAATAGGCAGATCAATGTGTATAAAAATATTAAAATGCGGTGGAAGGAAAGGTTTCAGGAAAGAAGATGAGGTCAGTGCTGTTTCCCAGAGTGGTCAGAGAGAAGGGGACCAAAAATGCTTTGGAGAACAGTTTCAGCAGAGTGGAGGGAGTTAAAGCTAGGAAGGTGAGGAGATGGGAGTAGCTGGTATGGAGCACTCATTTAAGAACTTTTATCTGTTCAAGAAAGGGAAGAGATGGAGCAGAAGGTAGAATGGGAGGTATGATCAAAACTGTGTTTTTTCTGTGTCAAAGGAGAGATTACCTGTTCATGTGTAGATGCAAATGAGAGAAGAAAGGCAAGTATTATGAATATCTAGTGCTTTGGGAGGCAGAAAAGATATGGGAACTATAGGTAGAGTAGCACATTTTAGGAAGAGTGACTAAAGGAGATCGAATTTTCCTCTTAGACTCTAGGAAGGGTAAGATGACTGGTGAAGAGATAAAAATGTATTTAGGTGTTAAAAAACTTACACCATTAAGTTCCAGTAAAGTTAATGAGATGAGGAAGCATAGAGATTGTTTTGAATAGCCATCTATTCATTTGTTTGTTTATTTATAGAATATTGAATACATTACTTTGGTAGAGATACAAACATGAAGAGGCTACCAAATAAATTTTATGTCTTTATTTTATTTTATTTTAATATTTTTGAGACAGAGTCTGGCTCTGTCACTCAGGCTGGAGTGCAGGGGTGTAATCTCGGCTCACCTCAACCTGTGCCTCCTGGGTTCAAGTGATTCTTGTGCCTCAGCCTCCCCAGTTCCTGGGATTACAGGCGTGCACTACCATGCCTGGCTAATTTTTATATTTTTAAAATTTTATTTATTTATTTTTGATACAGGGTCTCGCTCTGTCACCCAGTCTGGAGTGCAGTGGCTCAATCTTGGCTCAGTGCAACCTCCACCTTCCAGGTTCAAGTGATTCTTGTGCCTCAGCCTCCCAAGTTGTTGGCATTACAGACATGCACCACCACACCTGGCTAATTTTTGTATTTTTAGTAGAGACAGGGTTTCACCATGTTGCCCAGGCCAGTCAAGCTCCTGGCCTCAAGTGATCCTCTCACCTCGGCCTCCCAAAGTGCTAGGATTACAGGCATGAGCCTCAGTACCCGGTTGCTACCAAATGAATTTATAGAGAGAAGTTTATTCATCTTTCTTTCCTTTTTTTTTTTTTTTTTTCTTTTTTTAATAGTGGTTATTCGCAGCCTGAGTGGGCAGGGAAGAAGTAGACTCTGGGGCCTATCTAGCATTATAGATTGGCATCCATGAGTGTCTAAGAGGTCAGCACAATTAGGTAGTGGTGAAGGTGGCTTGGAAATAGTTAACTCTGGCCTGGGCTGGATAGGGAATCCAAGGTGCTAGGAAACTGAATGGACTTCTTTCAAGGTAGAGAGCAACCTGAAGGTGGAGGTTTGGCCAGGGCGATGTAATAAAAGAGGTAAAGGAAGGATATTATGATAGGAGGAGCTTGCCACGAAATAGAATTCAGTACACTTGATGGGGAAAAGGAGGTTAGGTTTGCTAGGTCAAATAACAAAAATTATAGACACAGTATGAATGTTAAAAGAGATCATGTTTATTGGCAGAGTCACAAGTCATATTTTTATCTGTACGTTTTACATACTGTGATACAAAAATCAGACATGGTGAGTTTTTAAAAAGTAATAGGTTTTGTAACGTCAGTGAGCACCATTTTCAGTATCTTGAGAATAACATTGTGGGTGTGTACTGTTTTTCGCAATCTTTCTGAAAATCTCAATTTCACTTGAATGTTCATATCTATTAAGATGTGCAGTGTGATACTTTCAATCTTTCAAGAAATGTGAAGAATTGTTTTTATTGATACGTGGTATGTGTACAGAGGTAATTTAATAATAATGGTGTAAATATCTAAAGGTTTTAGAGTTAGTATAATAAACCAAGCAGAAAAAGTGCTCATCATTTAAAAGGCTTTACTTCTCTGGGTACATTACATCCATTGAGTATAATGTCTTGGTGTGTATTTATTAGTATCATTACTTTGTTAGGATTAACAAATGTAGCAGGTATTTTGATGGACAGTATTAGAAATATTTTGTTTCTGTGTCTCTTTGCTCACTCACTGCAGGGAACTTCATTCTATCTGCAGACACACTGCTAATCTGATGATTTCTGTTTACATTTGCTTAAAGAACAATTAACTTTCTGTGAACTGAAAGAATGGCTGCATTTTTCACAATATATCTGTGAAAAATTGATGGCTACTTTACAGTAGTAAGAAACACATGTTTTTTTTAATTGGGAAACCTTGGATTCTTACGGTCAAAATGACTAGATATCCTGGTTTGTCTGGGGCAGTCCTGGTTTATTCCTGTTGTCCCAGCATCCTATTCAATTATCACTCCTCTTCACTCTCAGAAGTTTTCTCATTTGGATGATACGTTATATGGTCATTCTACGTGTGGGACACATTTTGAGGTATATGGTCTACACTTTGAATCATAAGGGGAAGATACACCTTAGTAGTTGAAAGAAGCAGCCAGTAGTTGGTTTTGCCTTAAGAGGTTTAGAGATACTTGAACAAAATTGTTCCTTTCTCCAACTTTCTAGAAAATACATTTTAAAATGTATTACAACTTGTACCCAGTTTGGTGGTTACTATTTAAAATCATCAGGTATGTTATGGTACAATATTTAACCAGGGAGTAACAGCCTTTCAAATGAATGCATCCTTAATACCTTCTGCTTTGAGAAAGTGAGAAATATGGTAGTGTTGGGCCTTGGATGAAATATTGGGTGTGAGATGTTTATCTAACAATGACTCAAATCTTGATTGTTTTAATTTCTTCAAACAGTACTAACATTCTGAGAGAGCCTGTGTGTTTAGGAGGATGTGAGCACATCTTCTGTAGGTAAGTAATTACGGTTTGATGTATATAGTACAACTGTATTTTTTACTAGATAACAATCATGTAATCTTGTTGATAATAATGGTACTTGATGTTTGTGTAACTTTCAAAGTCTGCAAAGTAACCTATTGTACATTATCTTAGTTTGATCTTTAAAACTGTGTCTTAATTTACAAATAAGAAAACCAAAGCTCAAAGAGGATGACTTGTCCAAGTTACAAAGCTTAGTAGACAGCTTTGCCAAATTGGAGGAAAAAAATTAATGCCTTTTATATAATTCAAATAGATGTTTTTAAATTTTCCAGTTAAATTTTGAATCTAGACTCAAAATTGTGAAAGTATAGGTCTTACAGTTATTATATTAGTTTCCTAAGGCTGCCATAACAAAGAACCAAAAACTGGGTGGCTTAGAACAACAGAAATGTATTGTCTCTCTAGTTCTGTAGGCTAGGAGTCTAAGATCAAGATGATGACAGGGTTGGTTCCTTCTGTGGGCTGTGAGGGAGAATCTGCTCCTTGCCTTTCCCCTAGCAATCTTTGCTGTTCCTTGACTTGGAGATGTATCACTCTGGTCTTTGCTTTCATGTACACCTGGCATTCTTCCTTGAGTGCTTGCTTCTCTCTGTGTCAAATTTCCTCTTTTCATACGAATACCACTTATATTAAGGGCTCACCCTAATGTTCTCATCTTAACTTGATCGTCTAGAGCCTCTTTTTCCAAATTAGGTCACATTCACAGTAACTGAGGGGTGAAGACTCAAACATCTTTTTGGGGGACACAATTCAGTGCATAACAGTTATTGTGAAATTATATCCATGTGATGGCCCTGGCTTACAGGTCAGAAGATTAGATTTTTATCTCTTATTTCTTGTTCAGGAGAAATCAGTTGAGAGATTAAGTGTCTTAGTTTAATTGCCTATGAGACAGGGAAAATATAGTCTCCTTTGAATTAATCTTTTAATTATTTCCAGTTATGAGTATGTTACTGTCTGACATGAACAAATACATTCGGAAATTTGAGCATATATGAAAATAACCTTGTGTATTACTTCAAGGGCTAAGGTTGTCTGGGAGGCAGCTATGTTTTGGGTCCCAATTTTGTTCCTGGAAAAACAGATCTGTTATACGAGGGATATCCAGCAGGAGGATGGGGGGTAGGAGATGGAACCTGTTGCCTACCAGATACGTCTGTTTGGATGATGAAAGAAAAGGCATTTTAAAGTTGGTGTGTTCAGAGCTGACCTCTTGATCATCCTCCTCTTCAGCCTTTTCCTGCCTGGGTAATCTTCATCACAGTAAATGGTACCAGTTACTGCTAGGTTGCTTATCCCACATCGCTAAGTTCTGTCAGTTCTGCCTCAAAATGTGTCCTGAATCTTGAATTTTTCCACCTTTTTTCTGAATTTTCTACAGTTTATAGTTTGTTCCAAGCCATCATTGTATTATCTCTGCTCATACTATTGTGATAGGTTCATAGCTGGTCTTCCCTTTTTGGCATCATCACCCCTTCCTCATTTTCTACATTCTTGACAGTGATCTTTGAAAAATCACGATAATATCCATATCATTACCCTGCTTAAACTCTTTAGTGGGTTCCTATTGCAGTTAAAATAAAATCCAAGCTCTGCCCTCTGGTCTGCAAAACCCTGTATGGGACCTAGAACCTGTCTTCCTCTTGGACGTCATTTACCTCTGGCTCACACTGTTCCAGCACTTCTCCTTTTAGCTCATTCAATACACCAAATTCACTCCCGCCCCAGGACTTTGGCACTTGCTATTTCTTCCACGTGAAATGTACTTATGCCAGATTTCTGTGAGGCTTACTTTTTACCAGTTATATATCAGCTGAAATGTCACTGCCTCCAAAACGCCTCCCATGGATCTGCTTACGAAATGATGCCCACTCCCTGTCCCCACTCTGTAGCAAGCAGATGTATTTTGTTTCAGCTGACAGATGATGGGTTTGCTCACTGTATACAATAGGTCAGTCACAAAGCTGCTAGAGCATAATGAACTCCATGACATTTTATGCAAAGTTGGTTTGTGTGTGTGGTGGGGTGGGGGATCCATACGTTTAATCAGATTCTAAAGGACTCTGTGACTTAAAACAACCAATCAAAGGTTTGAGACACGAGAACATCTTAAAAGAGAAAATGATTATGTGTATATGACATGAACGTAGGAAAGAATTCATTCAGTGCAGTTTTGATTTGTTTTGATTATATGATGCCAAAAATTATGGTAGCTGTTTTTATTCATGCAGATTTTGAGTTAAAACTGCTCAGCAATGAGGTTTTAAAATGATTTGACATAGCTCAGTTCAACTGATAAAGGTAATTCATCTACTCTCTAAGATACAATTTAAGACATGTGGCAGGGGTGCTCAAACATTTTGAGCATTCTTCAGAATTGAGAACCATAAAGAGCTTTTGTGTGTTCATGCATTTACCGTACAAAACTGAGACTTTTTAAAAAAATTAATTTAAAAATAATAAACCCATTAATACAAACACAAATAACACTTTGTAAGGAAAAATAACAATTTTAACAAATCAAAGAAAAAAATAGAGTGGCACTGTTGTACATTTTTGCAAATCTCTGTCTTGCTGAATGGAAAACAGCTACATTCTCAACTTATATATTCAGTCTATTGTGATACTTTTTTGATTGAAGAAAATCTGGCTTTATACATAATTGTAGTTGGAAGAAGTATTGAAGTATTTTCAGTAGCTTTTTTAGATAATTGTGGCTATTCTTCTTTAATACTACACCAAAACTTGACAAGTGCTTTTTTATTTTTATTTTTTTGTGAAGACAAGAGTCTCACTCTGTCACCCAGGCTGGAGTGCAGTGGCGCGATCATGGCTCACTACAGCCTCAACTTCTTGGCTTGGGTGATCATCCAATCTCACTTTCTGAGTAGCTGAGACTACAGGTGCACCCCACCACGCCTGGCTAATTTTTGTAGTTTTTTGTAGAGACAAGGTTTTGCCATGTTGCCCATGATGGTCTTGAACTCCTGGGCTCAAGCGATTCTCTTGTCTCGGCCTCCCAAAGTGCTGAGATTACAGGAATGAATCACCATGCCTGGCCAACAAGTGCTGTTTTCTTTAGGTTCATCACAGTGTGGAATCTGAAACTATATCAATAAATTTTTATACTCTGTTACATGAAATTTCATTGGTTTATCTAGTACTTTGAATTTATCTGTTACTCAGCATGATTTTATGACATCACACACGGGTCATTTGAGAAATACTCACTGAGCTATACAGGTCCACCGAAAAATGACATTTTTTTCAGAATTCCAAATTAATGTATATAAAATAATTTGGGAATAGTTTATAAAATGTTATAGAAATATAAAATACTAGTCTGATCTGAGTACTAGTGCAGTGCTGGACAAGTAACTTAAATAACTGGATCTCATTTTCTTCATCCAAAAATGAGGTGGTAGTTCTTGATGAGTTGATTTCAGATTGTATTTTACTGATAATTAAGTATTGCACAAATGATTTAAATTGCATGAGTAATCAGTTTTACATATTTTTTTGTGTTGGGGTTCCAAGTTAGAGTTCTTAACTACTAGCAAACAAATGTACAGAAGATCCTTTGCTAAAGAAAGTTGACATTTATTGACCCCAGTGACATTTTTTGAATTAGATGGTCCCAAAAGTCTCTTCCAGCTCTGGTATGGGTTACAGATTCATTTTACAATTTTTTTTGAGTTACATTCTGTCAGAAATCATGCTAGAAGCCAAGGATACAAGAATTAGAAATGGCATAGGTTTTGTTTGAGGATAGTTCATATTGAGTAAGAATCCTCTCTGCCTACAGAGGATTGGGTCCTGTGACAAGGAATGTCCTGTGGTGCTTGGGGAAGATGTGGCTTTTCAACTGTTACATTACTTACTCAGTCCTACTGGAACCCATCTGGTGAGGCCAATGAAGGAGGAGATTTATAGAATTCTTATTCTGGAATTCACAGATGGGCTTGTGGGGGGGATCGTGAATCCCTCTTTTTACATGAGTATGTATAGATTTTCATCAGATTTGCAAAAGGTCTATAAACCCCAAAATTAGAAAAACTCTTCTAACTCTGAAACTTTAGTCCTTAGATAACCCAGGTAATTGAGTCTACAGGTTTTAAAATTGTCTGAAAAAGTCAAAGATCTTTTCCCAAAAGCTACTTTAAAGCCTTGAGATACTAGTCCCAAAACAAAACAGAAGGTCTTTCCCAGTGTCTGCAGTAGTTTTGGGTATTTTCATGCAATGTTAAGATAGAAAAAGTTAGGATGCACGACTACTATGCATTAGGCATTCTATCTTTCTGTTACATCTCTGTAACCTTTAGAAGCTACAGATTTATTTGTAGGGAAAATTATGCAGACTAATAATCAGGCTAAGTAAAGTCTCTTCATAGCAAATTACATGAGCAACCTTAGATTTGATGTATGTATTTTACTCTTTAAAACAGTATTCAACAAGGATATTACAATTGACCATTGTATGTTAGAATAACCTCTGCTCCATTTATTTCTGTTCAAACTGTTTAGTTTTTGGAATTAAATTCTGCTGAATGGGTTGCTTTTTTTTTTTTTTTTAATTATTTTAAAGTAATTGTGTAAGTGACTGCATTGGAACTGGATGTCCAGTGTGTTACACCCCGGCCTGGATACAAGACTTGAAGATAAATAGACAACTGGACAGCATGATTCAACTTTGTAGTAAGCTTCGAAATTTGCTACATGACAATGAGCTGTCAGGTAAGAACTATCCCTATCTCTCTTAGTTAAATTCATCAGTTAAAAACTGATGAATTCATATTCATAAAGTATATAAAACATCTATCTGGAGTTCTGGAATACGTATTTCAGATTTTAAAATCTGTAGGTTTTTTTTTTTTTTTTTTAAATAGCCATTGAGTCTCTCTATGTTGTCCAAGCCGGACTTGAACTCCTGCACTCAAGGGATTCCCCCCACCTCAGCCTCCCTGGTACATGCATGTGACACACCCGGTGGTTTTTTGGAAGATCATTTTGAGAAATGACGGGAACCATAGAGATAATTAAAGTCTAACCCCCTTATTTTATAGTTGAGAAATCAAGGTCCAGAGAGGTGAAATAACCTTGCCTACAGCCGCATGTGTAGTTAGTACTAGAAGCTGGAGAAATAAAGCCCATTTCTGACTGTAAATCCAGGAACTTTTTTGCTGCTTTACATTGCCTGCTTTTTACATTTATGATAACTTCTGCAGAATATATATGGAATAGTGATTTTGGCCTTAATAGCACTTAACTCACTTAAATACACTTTCCCAAGATAGAATACGACATTTTTCCATGGATCACTTTTCTAGACTGAATTAATTAGATGAGCACATTTTGAAAGAGCAGAAATCTAATATTCATTTTCTTTTCTATTTAAGTGGGGGTTAACGTTTTTTAAATTGTCCTTAGACTCTGTGTATTAACTGTGTATCTTTCCATTGTGCTTTCTGCTGAGAACTAATTAACTGTGGAAAGAAAGTAAAATGTTTTGTATCTTCATAATTGGATATTAGAGTTGTCTTTTTATTGACCAGATCATGCTATTTTAGTGTGTGTTTGTAGAAGAACGTGTTCTTGACTGGCAGGATGCCATGGATGATTGATAATGCTCATATAAAATTGTTAGATTTCTATTTTTAAATCTTTTGTTCTTAGAATCCTGCCATGATGTCTTATTGTCAGCTAAAGATGAAGTTGATTATACAAAATAAATAAATGTGGCAAAAACTTTGAGTCTTACCACAGGTCCATATTTTTAAGAATTAGAACTTAAATCACTTTATACCTATTAAAATTTTCCTTCAGCTAGTTATCTGCGTCATTGTATTCAACTCCATTCTTTTATGATAAAATGTGCTGTAGTGCAGAAGTTTTTCTTACTTTCAGATGTAACTATACACACACATTTTTAAAAGTTGCCGTTTTTTAAAAATGATATTGTAGTTGTAAACCTTTTTAAGAACACACTGAAGAAAAATTCTGTCATTAGTTCATCTGAACTCTTCTTATTTAAAGACAGTACTGACAATGTTTATTTTCTAGTTAAAAGAGATTGGTGTGTGATCTACCTTTCTCTCCCCACATAGATACCGAGGGTCAGTGCAGGGGTTCTTAATCAAGGGCCCATGCACCTTTGGCAGTGTTCAGAGTTGAAGTGGGTAAGGGATCAGTGAGCTTCTTGAGTTAATTGTGCAGTATGAAAACTGTTCATGTTTGTGTGAAAGTGACTTTTGTTAGATTCTTAGGAGTGTGTGGTCTGTTAGGATTATTGGCTTTGCACTGAAATTTGGAGTGCTACTTTGGGATTTGTGGCTATGATGATATTTTGATTTGGTTCTTCACCAGTTGCTGTATAGTAATGTATTCATTTGCTAGAACTGCTGTAACAAAGTATCACAAACTGAGTGGCTTAAACAACAGATATTTATTGTCTCACAATTCCAGACACTGGAAGTCTGAGATGAAAGTGTATGCAAGGTTGGTTCTTTGTTGAGGTCTGTGAGACAGAACCTGTTTTAGGCCAGTCTCCTTGTCTTGTAGATGGCCATCATTATGTTAACATGGTTTTCTCCTTGTTTGTGTCAAATCTCCCCCTTTTTAAAGGACAGGAGTCATATTGCGTTGGGAGTCCACCCTACTCCAGTATCGCTTCATTTTAGCTAGTTACATCTGCAATGACCTTATTTCCAAGTAAAGTCACATTCTAAGTTACTGGGGGGTTAGGACCTCAACATGTGAATTTTGGTGGGGGAGGAACACAATTTATAACAATATAACATTTTTAATGATGATAAATGGAGAGCAGGGTAACCCTTGATGGATTTACCGTTGTCAGTTATGGCATACCATAGGGGTGCAAAAAAGAGTAAGATAGACTCCTTTCCAGAAATTTTATTCTAGCTAGTGATGTTTGAATCATTTATATTTTGAGGACTATGGAATATGAAATGCTTTCTTCATATTTCATCATTAAAGATATTTAGGAAAATTGAGTTTAGAACAAGTTTCTGAGGCCTTTAAGAATGCGGTCTTTCTCATCTAAGTAGAGTTGGAGATTGGAGAGATAATTCTACTGATTAATTTCCCAAAGGCCATTTTATGTTTGTTTTCCTTATTATAATTAGGAATAATTATTTTAGTCCTTACCAGACTTAAGCACTGCGCCCTCAACGTTACTTATATTAAACTGAGTTGAAGTTCCCTGTTTAGATAACACATAATCAGAAATTTAGGAACACGAAGGTCATCTTTAATCCCGTTATTCTGTAGGTAAGGAAACTGAGGACCCAGGCTACACAGGGCAGTTGTGTTGTAAATTTCTTACTGTTTTTCTATTTTACACAACTTTTTGGTTCGAAGTGTAGGTATTCATTATGTTTGTTGAATTGAGTTGGATAAAAATTGGCAGTGCTAATTTATATGCTAGAGACTAAACTTAATTAAAATTATTTATTTATTTATTTTGAGACAGACAGTGTCTTGCTCTGTTGCCCAGGATGGAGTGCATTGGGGCCATCATGGCTCACTGAAGCCTTGAACTCCTGGGTTCAAGAGATCCTCCCACTTCAGCCTCCCAAGTAGCTACGACTACAGGCACTCACCACCACATACCCTGCCAATTAATTTTTTTTTTTTTTAGAAGAGATAGGGTGATAGGGTCTTGCTGTGTTGCCCAGGCTGGTCCTGAACTCCTGGCTTAAATGATTCTCCCACCTCGACCTCCCAAAGTGCTGGGATTTACAGGCATGAGCTAATTGTGCCTGACCTAATTAAAATAATTTTAAAATACATTCTTAGAATTTGGTTTAAATAATTTCATTTCATAATGATAACATCTATGCATTCATAGACCTTCTTAAAAAATTATAATGGTAGTATCTTTCTTTGCTACTTTGATAGGAAATGACAATAAATTTAGAGTATAAACATACTGAATTATAACCTTCTGTCCAGATCTCTAAATTCCATGGTGTAGAGCTTTTTCTACTTTAATATAAGTTGTATAGACCCCCAACTTTTCATCCCAAATTCTTCCCAAAACAAACTAGCCTTGAAGGGCATTTGAGATTTTTTTCTGGAACATTTCCCTTTGTTTCTTTATAGTTTGTCTATTCAGTGTATTTTACGCAGTACCTTTGTGGTAATTGATTATCTAGTAAGTACTTCTAGAACTAAAAGGTTAGAAGGTAAACTATATACCAGGAACTGATAGTTGGGGACAAATGACAGTTGGTCTTCTTTATAATAGTAAGGAGATTGGAAAATGATCTCATTAGGATAAGGGTATTAGATTAAGTGATTCCTAAGCTGTCTCTCCAAAATTGTATGATTCTGTTAAATGGTCATGTGTAGAAGATGATGAATTAAGTGGAATGGTGAACATCTCTCACATTTTCTCTTTTAAAAACCCTGTAGTTCACAATTTATCTTTCAAATGAACCTTGTTACTTGCATTTACTATAATATATATAATTACTGTAATTAAGGTGGGCAATTAGGAAGAACTTGTCAAATCATGGACATAGTGTATGGTATACTGGAGATAAAGAAGCCTAATTTGTAGTAATACTTTCTAAAATGAGCTTCTAAATACTTGAACAGATTTTTCTTGGTTCAGTGTACTTTAAAGAGGAGATTGTCAAATTTTGCTGACAACCATTTATGGATAATTTTACCTTATCCTTTATAACATGATCTTCTTTTTACTAATGGAGTTAAATTTAAAAGTTTTTATTTTCTCTTCAACCCTATCATATTAAGTCAGACCTTGCAGGTGCTGGTCAGGTTCTGTGAAACATGTCGGTGTTGGTGACATTAAAAAAAAAATACTTTGATTATGCTTTTATAGTATTACAATTTCCTTTTCTATTTTCTGCTTTAGAGAGAGATGCTCGTCTTTCTGTAACGATTACATAGTGTTTCATATATGCTATGACTTTTTTATAATAGAGGAAGATGAATGTTTGAATAGCTGTGTTGCTGTTGTTTTTCTTAAATAGTACTAAATGCTTCCTAGCTTACAAAATAATCATTCTTCAGTGAAGGCGTTAATGTTGCACAGATGGTAGCAAAGGACTTTCCTTTGATTTTTAATAAGGGACTGGTTCGTCAAAGAGATTTCTCAACTTCTGTTGTGAAACCTATAATAGAGAATAACTTGAAAGGCACACAGTGTACATGATTATAATCCTTTGATGTAGATTAATGATAGCTAAATCACATTTTCTAATTGCCTCTTTTTTCTATAGTTGATTATTAAATTGTAAGAAAAAACTTGGCCAAGCAGCTCCTTAGTAACACATGCATCTCTGTTACTCAATATTTTGTGATGTACTCTGAAATTCAGAGAATGGAATTCTTTTAAATATTATCATTAAGGAATTTTCTGTGCAGAGGAAGGACCAGTATTTTTCTTCATGAAATGAATATGTTGATTTATCATGCTGAGAAGCATTCACCCATAAAAATTGTTGGTAGCTGTTAATAATGTGATTTATGTTCCAGCAATAGTGTTTTGCTTTTTACAGTTTTATCTTAGAATATTATCTTAGATATTCAGAATATCTAATAAAATTCAGAATATACAGTCATCTTTGTTGTGCTCCTTGCTTAGTTATGCAAGATACATAATTAAAATCTTTTGAGTAAAGTTATTATTACCAGATGAATAGTAAAATTGTGTTCATATCAATTACATTGAGTATATTATCTTCATTTACTCATTTATAAGGTAGGAAATATGTACACCTGAGTATGAAATTTCTTCTTTTTATATTGAGGTTTTTTAGTCAGTTGAGTATGTTGCTGCTATATATAAGCCTTAATTTTCCTTTAAAAGCTCAATTCTACATTTTTAAAGTTTTTCAAAAATTGAGAACCTCAGGGTTTGAACATGGTTTTAATTGAAAATGTCATCTGTGTTTAAAATAATTAAAAAAAAATCAAATACAAGTTATTACAGACTATCAGAGGATTAACCTTTATGACTTTGTAATCCTGAGTCTTTCTTGAAAAGTAATCCTGGTAACATTTCATTTTGACCTTTCCTATAGACTTGAGATTATATCAGAAGTGACTTGGTTTTGAAATCTACTTACCACTGCAAAGAAAATACCTTGTTGAATCTAGACATAAAGTCTCTATGTGAATGGATACGTCATTCTGATACTTTCCAAGATCCTGTCTTAATAACACTTTGTGGACCAGGTCATGTTCAGCTATGATATTTAAAAGTTTATGTAGGAGAATCTGCCCTTATTCATATACATACTCCTGCCTTCAGTAGGTTTATCATTTTACTGTCTTTTCAGTGTAGTGCTTCCATTTCATCTGCAGGAAGTGATGGTACACTTTGGAGTAGAAAATCTTTACTCTTTTGCTAGAGAGGGACCATGTCTGAAATTTCTAGAGTTAAGTACTAATTATTTTATTTTTCAAAGCCTGTTTCCCATTTCTTCTTACCTGTTTAAGGTTCTTTTACCAGGTAAATATATTTTTGAAGATAGGACTTTTGTACTCAAGAAATATGAGGTGAAAGAATAGGCAGAAGAAGCAATTTTGAACTTGAAAGAATTGAGATGATCATTAACAATCTTCTGGTGTATTAATAATTTTAAGCTGGTAAAACAATAAAACAAGCTGTTCTATGTGGATAAAAAATGACTAAAAGGAAATAAAAAATAATAGATGATGTACTTTTCTTTTGCTAATAAAGACATGAGAATGTTGAAAAGAAATTTATTCCCCAAAACGTAAGAAAATGAAAATAATGTTGTATCTCTTAAGTATTAAAAGTTCTCAGTAATAATCACCATTTGAAAATGTTATTGAACACCTTGTAACATCAGATGTTTATTTCCTATATGGTAGATGTTATATCCCTTAGGAATAAGACTAGTGGCCACTGGTTTTCTTCTTAAAGTACCTTAGGTTTAGAACTCCATTCCATTAAAAGTTTTCTTTGGTTCTGTAATGTAGGTAAAGTTTTATGCAGAGTTCTTTTCGATTTGAATGAAGAGTGACTTAAGGAGGAAAACAAAATTTGGGTAGTTTCTTTTTCTCTCTTTTTCTCTGTCTCTCTCTCTCTTCTCTTTCTTTTTAAAATAGGAATAACAAAACATATTGTAAGAAGCCTGGTTGGTCAGAGGAGATTGTCTGTGTTAATTAGGAGAATGTTTGTCAGGCAGCATGAAATCATTTGTTAATTACTGTTTTTAATCTTATCAGATTATTGTTATTTTTCCAACTTTCCTCCGTTTCTAATGTTCTTCTTTTTCTTTCTTTCTTTCTTTTTTTTTCTGGGCCTGAAATTACCTTTTGCTAATCCAGTTTGTGTGGAGAGATAGAGTGCCAGATTGGGAGTTAGGGGACTCCTTCCTTCTTTTTGTTTTAACTTTAGTCCTTCATTGTTAAAATGAAAGAATTAGACTAAATTATTTTCAAGTTTTCTTCTAGCTCTTAAAATTAATTCTAACATCTCTTACGTAAACATTTGGAAAGATTTAAGAGATATCAAATAATTTATTCACTAGTACTTACTGAGTACTGTCTATTCATGTGCTCACCACTGTGCTGGGCTGAGCTGGGTTGATTTTACCTATGTTGTCATGGGGTGGGAGAGAATTTTAAGGCAATTTTTTTTTCTTGAAGAAAATGAATATCCCAAAGACAAAAACAACATAAGACAACTTGAAGGTAGTTGATCGTCAAAATCAGAAAAGTGGATGACTTGTATGATTTGTCAATGAAGAAAAACTTTTCCTCTACACTCTTAGGTTCATTGTATGGAGGCCTGTGAATTAAACTGTAAAACAATTAGCAAGAGAAAAAATAGATTTTTATTTATGAATATACTTGTGAGTTCACAGAAAAATGTGACTCTCCAAACAGGTAAAAATGGGAGTTTATAAACCTAAATTAAGGGGAAGAGGTAGAGGGAAGAAAAGGCTTCTATGGAAAGAACAAATGGCTTTCTTTCTTTTTTTTTTTTTTAACTATAATTTCTGGGATACATGTGCAGAACATGCAGGTTTGTTACATAGGTTTACACATGCCGTGGTGGTTTGCTGCACCCATCAACCTGTCATGTACATTAGGTATTTCTCCTAATGCTATCCCTCCCCTGACCCCGCTCCATCGGACAGGCCCCGGTGTGTGATGTTCCCCTCCCTCTGTCCATGTGTTCTCATTGTTCACCTCCCACTTATGAGTGAGAACATGCAGTGTTGGGTTTTCTGTTCCTGTGTTAGTTTGCTGAGAATGATGGTTTCCAGCTTCATCCATGTCCCTGCAAAGTACATGAACTCATTCTTTTTATGGGTGTATAGTATTCCATGGTGTATATGTGCCACATTTTCTTTATCCAGTCTGTCATTGATGGGCATTTGGGTTGGTTCCAAGTCTTTGCTATTGTGAACAGTGCTACAATAAACATACATGTGCATGTGTCTTTATAGTAGAATGATTTATAATCCTTTGGGTATATACCCAGTAATGAGATTGCTGGGTCAAATGGTATTTCTGGTCCTAGATCCTTGAGGAATTGCCACACTGTCTTCCACAATGGTTGAACTAATTTACACCCCCACCAACAGTGTAAATGTGTTTCTATTTCTCCACATCCTCTCCAGCATCTGTTGTTTCCATGACTTTTTAATGATCGCCATTCTAACTGGCGTGAGATGATATCTCATTGTGGTTTTGATTTGCATTTGTCTAATGATGATGATGAGCTTTTTTTTCGTGTTTGTTGGCCACATAAATGTCTTCTTTTGAGAAGTATCTGTTTATATCCTTCGCCCACTTTTTGATGGGGTTGATTTTTTCTTGTAAATTTGTTTAAGTTCTTTGTAGATTCTGGATATTAGTCCTTTGTCAGATGTATAGATTGCAAAAATTTTTCTCCCATTCTGTAGGTTGCCTCTTCACTCTGATGATAGTTTCTTTTGCTGTGCAGAAGGTCTTTAGTTTAATTAGATCCCATTTGTCAATTTTGGCTTTTACTGCCATTGCAGTAAAAGACTTCAGGACATTGTTTTAGTCTTGAAGTCTTTGCCCATGCCCATGTCCTGAATGGTATTGCCTAGATTTTCTTCTAGCATTTTTATGGTTTTAGGTCTTATGTTTAAGTCTTTAATCCATGTTGAGTTAATTTTTATATAAGGTGTAAGGAAGGGGTCCAGTTTCAGTTTTCTGCATATGGCTAGCCAGTTTTCCCAACATCATTTATTAAATAGGGAATCCTTTCCCCATTGCTTGTTTTGTTAGGTTTGTCAAAAATCAGATGGTTGTAGATGTGTGGCATTATTTCTGAGGGCTTTGTTCTGTTCCATTGGTCTATATATCTATGTCACAATGGTTTGCCGCACCTATCAACCCGTCTTCTAGGTTTTAAGACCCACATGCATTAGGTATTTGTCCTAATGCTCTCACTCCCCTTGCCCCCAACCCCCTGACAGGCCCTGGTGTGTGATGTTCTCCTCCCTGTGTCCATGTCTTCCCATTGTTTAACTTCCACTTATAAGTGAGAAGATGTGGTTTTTGGTTTTCTGTTCCTGTGTTAGTTTGCTGAGAATGATGGCTTCCAGCATTATCCATGTCCCTGCAAAGGACATGAAGTCATTCTTTTTTATGGCTGCATAGTATTCCATGGTGTATATGTGCCACATTTTCTTTAAAAATCACTTTCTTCCGTGGTCTCTGTAAGTGAGGTATACTGGCCATCCTTTAATTCCTTAAACTTACTACAGTTGCCCCTTGAATAACATAGGCTTGAGCTGCATGGGTCCACTTATATACAGATTTTTTTTGGTCAAATGCAGATGGAAAATACAGTATTCATGGAATGCAAAACCCAAGTATACAGAGGGCTGACTTTTTCTACACTCTGCTTCTCCAGGAGTGAGTACAGGAATTGAGTGTGTGGGTATTTTGGTATCCAAGGGAGTTCTCGAACCAGTCCCCTGATAATATGGAGGAACAACTTTGTATGCTCTCTGCTATTGGGCTTTTGAACATTTTATCATCTTGCTCTTGCCTCTTGGTCTAGGTAACTTGTGATCTTTTAGAATGCTTTTTACCATTTCTATTACTGTAACACTTGTCAGAGCCAATATATTTCCTCTTGGATGATAGCCACATAATTGGCTATTGTTTCTACTCTTTTCTTTCCAAAGTTCCTCCTCCACATGGCAGTCAGAGTGGTAATTCTACAATATAAAACATTATATCCCTTTTCTGCATTGGATGTGAGATCCACAGGACTGTTTCCTTTACATCATTTACATCTCAGCTCAAAAATCAACTTCTCCTTGATGCCTTCCTTGATGACCTTAATTAAAGTAGCAGGTGAGTGTAAAGAAGAGTATCTCTCACAAAATCTGGCACTTTGTGTACATAGAGACAATTTTTTTTCTTTTTAAAAACTCTGCTGAATCTTTGTATATTCTGTCTACCCTCAATGGAATCTTTGTGTTTTAATTCTTGATTATAAATCTATATTTTTCAAATTTTTAAAAAGTATTTTATATATATATATGTAGAAAAAATATATATTTTCTAACCATATAGTTTAATGAATTTGCACAAACTGAACTCACCCAGAACAAAAACAATACTCTGGAAGCCCCTCTTGTGCTCCCTTTCAGTCACTACTTTTCCCTGTAGGGGTAACCAACTACTATTCTGACTTAACACATTAAATCAGTTTTGACTGTTTTATATTTGATGTAAGTGAAAACATATAATGTGTATGTAGTTTATTTTGCTTAAGAGATTATGTTTGAATATGTAGTTATTGTTCATTTATTCTTACTAATCTTTGGTTATACAGCTTGACGTTAATATTAGATGATACCTAAAGGGTCATGACTATTGTCTTTAATCCCCTTTATTCATTTTGTCAGAGATACGTTTTGAAGTCATATAGTATGAGTCCTCCAACTTGGTTCTTCAGTATTATGTTGGTTGTTCTAAGTCTTTTGCCTTTCAAATTGTACCTTTCTTTTTCCGTGTAAATTTTATAATTGCTTGTCGAGTTTTACAAACAAGCCTACTGGAAATTACATTGGGATTTGTTATATCTGTAAATCTGTTTGGAACAATTGGCATCTTAACAATATTGTTATAGTTCATGAACATGGTATATCTCTCCATTTGTGTAGAATTCTTTAATAAGTATTTTGTAATTCTTAGCAAACAGAACTTATACATTCTGTTAGATTTGTATTTTATGGGTTTTTTTGGGTACTATATTTGGAATATAAGTTTCATGTTTTGTTCTCTGCTATATCTTCAGTCTCTAGGATATGGCACAAAGTCGGATTCAGTAAGTATTGAATGAGTGAATATCTGCTATCAAAGAGTTCACACTCTAGGAGCTGAGAAAGAAGTACATAATTAAAAGATGATACACTTTAGGGGAACTGTAAACAAAATTCTTCGGGAGCTCCATGTGGGAGCAATAAATTTCATGTAACAGATTTCTTTTTCTTTTTTTCTGTCAGATTTGAAAGAAGATAAACCTAGGAAAAGTTTGTTTAATGATGCAGGAAACAAGAAGAATTCAATTAAAATGTGGTTTAGCCCTCGAAGTAAGAAAGTCAGATATGTTGTGAGTAAAGCTTCAGTGCAAACCCAGCCTGCAATAAAAAAAGATGCAAGTGCTCAGCAAGACTCATATGAATTTGTTTCCCCAAGTCCTCCTGCAGATGTTTCTGAGAGGGCTAAAAAGGCTTCTGCAAGATCTGGAAAAAAGCAAAAAAAGAAAACTTTAGCTGAAATCAACCAAAAATGGAATTTAGAGGCAGAAAAAGAAGATGGTGAATTTGACTCCAAAGAGGAATCTAAGCAAAAGCTGGTATCCTTCTGTAGCCAACCATCTGTTATCTCCAGTCCTCAGATAAATGGTGAAATAGACTTACTAGCAAGTGGCTCCTTGACAGAATCTGAATGTTTTGGAAGTTTAACTGAAGTCTCTTTACCATTGGCTGAGCAAATAGAGTCTCCAGACACTAAGAGCAGGAATGAAGTAGTGACTCCTGAGAAGGTCTGCAAAAATTATCTTACATCTAAGAAATCTTTGCCATTAGAAAATAATGGAAAACGTGGCCATCACAATAGACTTTCCAGTCCCATTTCTAAGAGATGTAGAACCAGCATTCTGAGCACCAGTGGAGATTTTGTTAAGCAAACGGTGCCCTCAGAAAATATACCATTGCCTGAATGTTCTTCACCACCTTCATGCAAACGTAAAGTTGGTGGTACATCAGGGAGGAAAAACAGTAACATGTCCGATGAATTCATTAGTCTTTCACCAGGTACACCACCTTCTACATTAAGTAGTTCAAGTTACAGGCGAGTGATGTCTAGTCCCTCAGCAATGAAGCTGTTGCCCAATATGGCTGTGAAAAGAAATCATAGAGGAGAGACTTTGCTCCATATTGCTTCTATTAAGGTAGGATGCTTACTCTGAAATACCATCTCAGAATGAGGCCAACTATAAAGCAATTTCTTTGCAGTTTTTGAAAAATGGCATAGGATTACTAGGATAATTAACCTTTCACAGACATGATACTTCCTCTGAACCAGAGAAGCCAGATTCATAGGGAGAGCATCTCTACTTCAGTTGGAGCAGTGGCCCCTGAGTCTGGGCGCATGATCTTGTAGGAGAAAACCAATATTTGAATATTTCGGCTTTTATTTTGCCAAGTGCTTTTGCTTTTGTCTATTTTACCTTCAGTTTTTATCATTTTGTTTACCTGTCTTCATGCTTTATGAATGTAGACAATTGCTAAGTTATTACAGGCAACAATGTTTACTTAGTAAAAAAGCCCATATTTACCATCCAAATTCAACCAAAATTTGGAAGGTTGAAAGATGTGGTCTGTACATTTCTCCAATGACCGGGACATTTGACTATCAGAAATGGCTCCTCCAGTTCACCACAAAGGAGCTGCTTTTTACCCTACAATCAGCTGTTCCTTTTACTGACCTGTTCATTGACGTTCATTCTCTTTAATTATTGCCTCAACACCTGAGATGTGGCAGCGTTTTATGGAACCTGGCCTGTTTTCTGAACACTTGGCAGTGGTTAATCTTTGAAACTGACACAAACACTACATGTGAAATAGAGCAGTAGGCACCATAGCTTTATAAGCTTTGCTCTGTGATTTCATGCAAATGTTAGGAAAGTATGATATGGTAGACCTTAGTACTAAATTAGGATAGCTTTTATGCAGTCTCAGCGACTGTACGTAGTCAATTCACCCAGGAAATCCTTTGGTCTTCTGGATGGGTAGAGAACTTTGGGACACCTGGGAGGAACCACTTGGAGGTCCACAAACATGAGGCTGGTGGGCAACATAAAACATTTGAGAAGAACATGGAGTAGACATTGAGTGTGGTCCAAAGATTCCTGTATTTCTGTGTGGAGAAAGGGAATAGCATAAACTGAGCTTATCCCAGCTGCTGCTGGTTTGTTTTCCTTGCTTTTCTTCCAGATTAATGAGGAATACAGTCAGCTCTGTGTATCTGTGCATTCTATGTTTATGGGTTCAACCAACTGCGAATCAAAAATATTTGGGAGAAAAGCCAATAACAATACGCAATAAAAAAATGCAAATTAAAAAATATCGTATAACAACTATCTACATAGCATTTATATTGTATTAGGTGTTATAAGTAATTTAGAGATGATTTAAAGTATACTGGAGGATCTCTGTAGGTTATTTGCAAATACATCATTTTATATGAGGAATCTGGATTTTGGTATCTGCTGGGATTCTGGAACCAATCCCCCACAGATACTGAGGGATGACTGTACTCTATTTCTGATACCAGTGAGGCAGGGACCTTACAACATGACCACATATCCTTTGGACATGTTGAATTTTTGCACTTGGCTCTGGTTGTGTTTTAGTTTGATTTTTGCAAAGCCTGACTTAACAAAATTAGACATTTTTTGTCATCTCTGTTATATATATGTATATTATATGTACATATAAGCTATTGTAAACAAAGTTATAGACATAAGTAGCTAGTGTAATGATTATTTTTGTTCATTTTGCTGGCTAATACATAGTAATTTATATATTTTGCTTTCTGGGAAATTTTTGGACTATCAGGCAAGCATTTACTTATATTGGTGGCGACTTTTTCTTCTAACCATAAGAATAATTTATCTTTATTAATGAGGATCCCTAGGGTCTAGGCCAGAGTTTTGTAAGTTCTTTCTTAAAGGTGCAGTTAGAGTAAATGTTTTCAGCTTTGCAGGCCATGAAATCTCTATCATAGCGGTTCAGCTCTGCCTTCTTAGTGCAAAAGTAGCCACAGGCAATATGCAAACTAATAAAACTTACGTACAAAATTGGGTGACTGGCCCATAGGCTATAGTTTGCCTACTCTTGGTCTAGGCATGTGAAGAAACTGTAATAGAATATTAAGTCAGGATAAAATGATGGCATGCTCCTGTCTTGGTGAATTTTCTCTATTAATACGTTCAAGATTACTTCATATGAGTTTTGTCAGTTTGCTTAGAGTTTTGCCGGAATTATTAAATCCATTTTTATTTCCTTGAACTTAATTATTAAATGCAATTATTGTCACCAGTTGTCAGATTATGTTATGGTACATTTTTTAAAAGTTAATTTTTATTGTTTTTAAAATCACCAATTAATAGTGTCCTTTTAAATTTTTTTATGAGTTGAATGTATGCCTCTCGCCTTAGCTTTATTTTAATAAATATATCCTTAAAATCAGATTTGCTTATATAAATATATTTATATATTTTTTTCTTTTTTGGGGGTGGGGGGAGGGGCGGGGGACAGAGTCTTGCCCTGTCACCCAGGCTGGAGTGCAGTGGCACAATCTCAGCTCACTGCAACCTCCGCCTCCTGGGTTCAAGCAATCCTTCTGCTTCAGCTTCCCGAGTAGCTGGGATTACAGGCACCTGCCATCATGCCAGGCTACTTTTTATATTTTTAGTAGAGACGGAGTTTCACCATGTTGGCCAGGCTGGTCTCGAACTCCTCACCTCAGGTGATATGTCCTCGGCCTCCCAAAGTCTTGGGATTACAGGCATGAGCCACCATACCTGGCCAATCTTTTTAGAAACAGTTTTCATTTCATTCCTATCCTAATTTTCTCATTTGCAGCCAAGAATGAATAAATCTATGTGTACACATATTGCAATTCTGCTATCTTATTTATATTTTGCACCCACCTGCTTCAGAAAAGGATTTGAAGTGGCTCTAAAGTTAAAGCTACTATAAAATGGAACAAGGAGTTGGTAAAGAGGAAAGAGTTACTACAACTGGAGTGAATTTAGTTTTGGTGACCTTTAAGGCAGCCAAAGCAAATAAGGGGAAGGACCAGGTTTTGTGCTGTCAAAAGATAATGCATCTTTTTTGGTGGTGATTATTTATGTTTTGTACCCACCTACTTCAGAAAAGGATTTCAAGTGGCCTAAAGTTGTTTAGACTTGCGTTGTATTGTTTCTTAAGCATGTTGGTAAACTTGCAGTTTCTATAGTTTGAGCACATGTTTGCGCTGAGCATCCTTGGTGTATGCACCGAGGGCAGAGAACCCAGCAGGAGTTTGTTCTCCTGCACTAGTTACCTTCCCCCACTGCAGGTAGGGCTTTACTGATTGATTTCTGAGCTTGGAAACATTATTAATAAACATCGTATAATACCTTGCCCCAAACTACCTCTGGGCATCATCATTGGCCATAACCTTTCCATAGCTACCACCCTACTGGCAGCTACTTCTCTTTTCTTGCCCCTACCACTTGCATTAATTTTCTATTGGTGCCAAAACAAACTTCCACAAAGTTAGTGATTCAAAGCAATGCAAATTAATTTTCTTACAGTTCTGTACACCTGAAGTCTAGTATGGGTCTCATCACACTAAAATCATGTTGTCAGCTGTTTTCAGGAGGTTCCAGGAAAGACCCATTTCATTTTTGCTTGGATGGTTGGCAGGGACTTCATAATTCTTGTGGTAAGACTGAGATCCAGATTTCTTGCTGGTTTTCAGCTGAGGGTTGTTTCCAGGTTCTAGAGACTCTCACATTCCTTTAGTTCGTGGTCCTCTTCTTCATCTCATCCAGCAGCAGCAGATTGAGTCCTTCTCACATCTTATCTTTCTGACATAGCCAGAAAGACCCTCTGCTTTTAAGAATTCATACGATTAAATTGGGCTACTTGAGAAATGCGGAATAATCTCCCCATCTCAAGGTGTGTCCACTTAATTACACTGCAGTGTCCCTTTCACCACGTAAGGTAACATAGTCACAGGTTCTGGGGATTATTCGTGTGTGGACATTTTTGGAGGTCGTAATTTTTTGACCACACCACTGAAGTAGCTTCCTAATTTCCCTTTGTATTTCCTGCAGTCAGTTCTCTATGTAACAGCCAGAGTAATCTGACCGAAATCAAAATTATCATTTCTCTGCTCTCCTATCAGTAAGTCTTTTTTATACCCCTCTTCCTATTTGAATATCTTCATAACTCATGTTCCTATTTGAATGTCTGCATCAGCTATGTTAAACTGCTATTGAGAACACTGTGTCATGAATGGGAGAGTTTATGAGAAAGCTTTGTGCGTAAGTAGAAACTAAGATACTCATTGTTTATTCTTCTGATTTATTACCACAATTACTTTTGCACCAACCCAATAGAAAACAAAATACTAAGGATATAGAGAAAATTTTTTATTTTCTATTATGTCAGCTTTGCTTGAGAATTTGTGCCATCCTGACCTTCCCCTTTTCTTCCCCCACACCCTTCTACCAAGTTCTCTAGCACAAATTCTTAAAATGGCAATGACTACTCATAATTTATGCCACAGCAATGACTTACTGTGGAATAGAAGAATGGCTTGAAGCTGGCATGCCATGATTTATTAGTGATGTAGACATAATAGATAATGTTTTGAATGCAACTTACAAGGCATGGTATGCTTAGAACATAACAAAGGTGATGAAGATCCCCTGGAGAGAGAGAAGATCCCTTGTGAGGAGTCTCATTTAGAGTTTAACTTTGTAGTTTATTATACTTGAAGACAGTCATGTTATATTGTGTGTGAAATTATATATCCTTCATAGTAGCTTCATGAGAAGGTAGCAAAGGAAACAAAAGCAGCCTTGGCATATGTGATATTTTCAAGAGTTTAATTTCTAAAACACCTCCTGGAGTCAGTATCTATTTTTCTCCTCTGTCACTCACCACATATGTATAAGTCTGCTTTTGTAATACCAGTAACTTATTGTGCCATTGACCAGGTTATCAGAATTATCTGTTAAATTACAGGCATACCTCATTTAATTGCACTTCACTTTTTTATGCTTCGCAGAGAGTTTTGTTTTTGTGTTTTTTGGCAATCCTGCATTGAGCAAGTCTGTCAGTGCTGTTTTTCCAACAGCCTATGCTCAGTGTGTCTCTGTGTCACATTTTGGTAATTCTCACAATATTTCAGATATTTTCACTATTGTTGTATCTGTTACGGTGATTTGTGATCAGTGATCTTTGATGTAACTATTGTAATTGCTTTGGGGCACCACAAACCCTGGCCATGTAACATGGCAAACTTAATTGATAAATGTCTTTTCTGACTATTCTGCTTACTGATAATTCTCCCATCTCTCTCCCTTTGAATCCCTGTTTCCTGGGACACAAGAATATTGAATTTAGGTAAACTAACAACCCTACAATGTCCTCTGAGTTTTCAAGTGGAAGGAAGAGTCACTCATCTCTTACTTTATATAAGAAGCTAGAAATGATGAGTGAGGAAGGCATGTTGAAAGTTGAGATAGGCCAAAAGCTAGGTCTCTTGCCAAACAGCCAATTTGTGAATGCAAAGAAAAAATTCTTTAAGTAATTTAAAAGAGCTACCCTGTTGAATACACAAATGAGATGAGAAGAAAGCATAACCGCCTTACTGCCGATATGAGGAGAGTTGGAATGGTCTGGATAGATGATCAAACCAACCACATTTCCTTAAGCAAAACCCTACTCCAGAGCAAGATCCTAAATCTCTTCAATTCTGTGAAGACTGAGAGAGGTGAGGAAGCTGCAGAAGAAAAGTTGGAAGCTAGCAGAGGTTGGTTCATGAAGTTGAAGGAAAAAAGCTGTCTCCATAATATAACAATGCAAGTTGAAACAGCAGGTGCTGATGGAGAAACTGCAGCAGGTTATCCAGAAGATCTAGCCAAGATAATTATGAGAGTGGCACACTAAACAACAGATTTCAGTGAAGTTGAAACAGCCTTTTGTTGGAAGAATATGCCATCTGTGTCTTTCATAGCTAGAAAGGAGAAGTCAATGCCTGGCTTCAAAGGACAGGCTTTCTTGTTAGGGGCTAATGCAGCTGGTGACTTGAAGTGGAAGCCAATGCTCATTTACCATTTAGAACAACAAAGCCTGGGTGGGAGCACATCTTGACAGCATGGTTTGCTAAATATTTTAAGCCTGCTGTTGAGACCTACTGTTCAGGAAAGATATTCAAAATATTACTAATTGACAGTGCCACCTAGTCACCCAAGTGTTCTGATGAAGATAAGGACATTAATGCTGTTTTCATGTCTCCCAACAAAACATCAATTCTGTAGCCCATGGATCAAGGAGTAACTTTACTTTCAAGTCTTGTTACTTAAGCATTTTGTAAGGCTATAGCTGTTGTAGATGGGTATTCCACAGATGATTCTGGAAATGACTCACCATTCTAGATGCCATTAATATCATTGATGATTCATGGGAGGATGTCCAAATGTTAACATTAACAGTAGTTTGGAAAAGAGTTGATTACAGTTTTCATGGATGACTTTGAGAGGTTCAGAACTTAAGTGGAGAAAGTAACTATAGATGTAGTAGAAATAGCAAGATAACTAGAATTAGAAGTGGAGCCTGAAGACGTAACTGAATTGCTGCAGCCTCATGATCAAACTTCAATGGATGAGGCGTTGTTTGTTATAGATGAGAAAGAAAGTGGTTTCTGCAGATGGAATCTACTTCTGGTGAAGATGTTGTGAACACTGTTGAAATGACAACAAAGGATTTAGAAAATTATATCATCTTAGTTGATAAAACAGCAGCAGGGTTTGAGAGGATTGGCTCCAATCTTGGGAGAAGTTCTACGCAGATAAAATGCTACCAAACAGCGTCACATGCTACAGATAAATCTTTCATGAAATGTCAGTGGATGTGGCATACTTCATTGTCCTGATTTAAGAAACTGTCACAACCACCCAAACCTTCAGCAACTACCTGCTTGCTCAGTCAGCAGCCAGCAGCATCAAGGCAAGACCATCCACCAGCAAAACAATTGTCACCATTTTTTAGCAATAAAGTTATTTTCAATTAAGGTCTGTTCATTTTTTTTAAAAAACATAATGCTATTGCACACTTAGTAGACTACAGTATAGTGCACATATAACTTTTATATGTGCTGGGAAACCAGAAGATTCGTGTGACTTGTTTTATTGCAATATTTGCTTTATCGCAGTGACCTGGAACTGAACTGACAGTATCTCCGAGATATGCCTGTATTTTATTCAGTAAATTCTAAGAAGCTACAGAAATATTTAACATATTTTAGAGCTTCATTCCAGTTGGTTCATTTTTGTTTGTTTGTTTTAATGGCATCTAATTGCCAAGAAGGGAAGTCTTTGGTTCCTGGTCGGTTCATTTACATGGAAAGGCTTAACCATGCTAGGCAAGTCATTTGTCTTATACTTAATTGTAACGTTCTGTATTGTTTTTATGAATATGTTTATTAATGGTATTTTAGAAGAGCTAACATTTATAATAAGGAAAAGTTTTGTTTTTATGTGTGTGTTTTTGGAAAGTTAATTTATATTGTTGGAATATGTGTGGATCTGCAGTATGTACAAATGTGTGAAGGATCTTTCCTTTGATTGAAAGATTAGGAATAAAAGATTCAGTGGGACACACACACACTCTTATTTTCAGCCTTCAGTGTATTACTTGAAAATACCAAATTCATTTAAAATTTTTAATAAGCCTTGGCAAATACTTTCCTTAGATAAATTATGTTTGCTGTGGTTTAAGAAAAGTTCAATTATTCTTTCAAGTTGTGAGGAGCCCAAAAGTGAGTACTTGAAAGTAATTTAAAGAAGCCAGAATCAAAACTTAATTTATTTCCTGGCTACTTCATATCAGTTCAAGCTATTCCAGTTACTGTAGACTCTATCTAATTATCATAATTTTATTTATGCGCATGACATTACATTTACATGAAGTAGAAAGATGAAAATATGACAAAACTTTCAAGTACTAGAGAGGAGAAAGCAGATTGGTTATAAAAAGCAAGCCGTTTGCTAATCAGCTATACAGTTCAGGGGTGGGGAGAATGTTAACAGAAGACACTTTGATAATATGAAGAGGTGACATGAAAGAAAAATAGCAACTGTCTAACAACCTTAAAAGAGAGTCTACTTGTATTCTTTAAATTGTCACTCCGTTTCTGTTTGACTATTCCCTTGAGACTCTTCCATTTCACAATTGTGTTTATATTATTTTTTAAGCTTCTTTAATATTTTTTTTTTGCATTACCATGTAGAATTAGAATGGGGAAATCTTTGAGAAGGTTTTTGTGTGTGAGTACTTTCATGTTAAAGATAGGGAATGTGTGTGGTTCTGGCAGTTTATCTGCTCACTTGTTACAGGATTGTTTTGGAAAAAAAAATTTGTATCTTGGCAGATATTCCTGCATTCATTTGTAACCGTTATGAATATAAAGCAAAAGTTGCAGGGGCTCACACCTGTAATCCCAATAATTTTGGAAGCTAAGGCAGGAGATTGCTTGAGTCCATTAGTTTGGGCAACATAGTGAGACCCCCATCTCTACAAAACAATAAAAAAAATTAGCTGGGCATGGTGATGTATGCCTAGCAGTAGCATACTGCTGAGGCTGAGGCAGGAGAATTGCTTGGGCCCAGGAGCTTGAAGTTACAGTGAGCTATGATCATGCCATTGCACTCCAGTTGCTAAATACATGATAACTTGCTCTAGAAGTAGAATTTGCACTGTTAAGAAATCTGGGAAAATGTTGCTTTTTTTTTTTTTTTTTTTCCTGAAACTGGGGTAATTAATTTGAAACCTACAATCCTTTTAGACCCATTGAGCATTTAAGGTCATTTTGTTAATTTAGGAATATAAAAATGTATGTTGCATGAGAATTTACTTTTTTAGAAAACTGAAGATTTGAGAAACAGCCCAGAGCACAGAAACAGAGACAATTAGATATAAAAAGCATTTTTTTTTTTTCTGAGGTAGAGTCTCGCTCTGTCGCCCAGGCTGGAGTGCAGTGGTGTGATCTCAACTCACTGCAACCTCCGCCTCCTGGGTTCAAGCAGTTCTCCTGTCTCAGCCTCCTGAGTAGCTAGGATTACAGGCGTGTACCACCATGCCTGGCTAATTTTTGTGTTTTTAGGAGAGACGGGATTTCACCATGTTGGCTAGGCTGATCTCAAACTCCTGACCTCATGATTTGCCTGCCTCAGCCTCCCAAAGTGCTGGGATTACAGGTGTGAGCCACCACGTCTGGCCAGCAAAATTTTTTAAAAAGAAAAAAAAATCAAATATTATATTTAGGAGAATTAGTGATTTCTACATTATCAAACCAACAGAGGAAAAAAATTTCAGAAAAAAGTATTGGGAGAGGGGTTGGGTGGGGAGAGATTTATTCACTAAAGAAGCACTCACGAAACTCATTGAACACAATGTTATGCATGTAACTTCTGTCTATAGCTTTTTATTTGGTCTTTTTTGAGAGTATGCTCTGCTAGATATTTTTGCTTTATCGTCATGGACTTAGGTACTGTACCCTGCCCTGTTATCCTAAAAGAACTGATTAGTTATATTTGCAGTGAGTGGTGATAATAATGTAATTTCAAGAAAATTTTTACCTTCATCCCGCTGCATAAATGCCTCCTTCTTCCTAAAGCCTGACATTGTTTTACAAAGGGACAGTATCCTTTATATTACAGCTAGAGATTTTTAAAAAGGCTTTAAGAGTTAACGGATACTTAAAACGTAATATGTAATTAAATATAAATGATAGATGTCAGATCTTTCCACATTACATGAAGGGCCAAATTTAAGAGACCCTGGTATTAGATAGCTGGAGGATTATTATCTCTCACTTCTAGGAAAATAAAAAAGAAGAGTGGGAGGGCAGACTACCTGAGACCAGTTCCCCAGAACTCCTTTGCCACAGTCTACCTTCGCTGGAGGCTGGCAGCAGAGGGAAGCTATTTTTTTTGTCTTACTTCAAGACAGCTTTAAAGTGACCTTAAAAGTCTACTCATTTATAGTAGGATTTAGTTGGATCATGACACACAAGACACAGAAAGTTCAAAACTGGAAGGGGTCTTCAATTTTAATGCTATTTAATAATTGACGGTGTCTTAATATGAAAGTCGAATTAATATTGTCTGCCTTCAGAGTATTTTCCTTGCCTTGTGCCTCATTTTAATTCACTTATTCCCCGGATCTTGCTCATCTGATTTAAAAAGAGGTTGTGATTTCTAAAGTAAAGTTATTGTATTTCTTACTATTCCTCATCTGCCTTCTCCATTGCATCAGTGTGCTACTGTTGCTACTGTTATAACATTGTTGCATAGCTCTCCAGAGTACTGGAATAGAGAAATAGAGAAATTGAAAACCACTTGTTAGAAAAGACTTGTAAGGCTACATTACAGAAGCTCTATTTCGTATAGTTGAATTAGTTGATAATGGGTGGTGATTTTAGTCTTGAACTGGGCGGGGAGCAGGGGGATAAAAAATTTAATGCTAATTCTGTGGGCTGATTTGAATAGGTTTGTACTGATCTCTTTTTTTGCCATTTTAAACAGAGCAACTGTTGCTTCCTAGAAAATGTTGAACAAATAAGGTGAATATAAACTAAATGTATTAGGATGGAGTAACTGCCAATAAAATGGCAGTTTTTGGCTGTTTTTTAACTTTGGTTTCACTGAGTAGTCTTCTGGGCTAAACAGTTTTGGTTGTTTTAAACAATACTCAGAAGCCATTTACAAATGCTCAAAAATTGTTTTTTTCACAAGTGAAATTATGGCTTTTAAAACTTCATTGTGAGCACATGATCTTTGGCCAGTGTCCTTTATTTGGTACCTGAAATGAATTTTGAATATGGCTTTCTAATAGATTTTGTAGTCTATATTCAAGCATGACTGTACTTCTTGATATCTCAGAATAATTTATACGCAGACAATTTCTTTTTTGTTTTGTTTTTTTGAGACGGAGTCTTGCTCTGTGGCCCAGGCTGGAGTGCAGTGACATGATCTTGGCTCACTGCAACCTCTGCCTCCTGGGCTCAAGTGATTCTCCTGCCTCAGCCTCCCAAGTAGCTGGGATTACAGGCTGGCACCACCATGCCCGACTAGTTTTGTATTTTTAGTAGAGACGGGGTTTCACCATGTTGACCAGGCTGGTCTCAAACTCCTGACCTCAGGTGATCCACCCACCTTGGCCTCTCAAAGTGTTGGGATTACAGGCGTGAGCCACCACACCCGGCCTAATAATTTATTAACTCATGAACAGTAGCCTTAAGAGAAAACGATTTAAGTTTTACTTTATATTGAAGAAGGCAGCATTTAAAAAAGCTCAATATTTTCCTTTCTTTCCTTAATGCTTTTTAATTTCCGTTTTGTTCATTTTTCTAGGGCGACATACCTTCTGTTGAATACCTTTTACAAAATGGAAGTGATCCAAATGTTAAAGACCATGCTGGATGGACACCATTGGTAGTTGTCTGGTTTTTATTCTCATTCTTTCTGTGTTTTACAGTTCTTATAGTTTATAGTTATGTAGTTGTCTATATATCATCCTCTGCCACATATACTCTTTTTAGTCTGAAGAACTTATGTTTTCATCAAGTATGAGAACATGATTACTTTCCTTCTAGCTTTTCATTTGTGACAGGCAAGAAATTGGTTACCTTTTGACAGACTACCTTTAGATTTAGGAATCCATTTGTACTGTACTGCAGAATTTAGCTAATGTCTAGAGGTAACAGCTACAGCTGACATCAGGCTCCATTCTGTAGCACTGCATGTCACTGGAACCAAATTTCTTGGAACAAAAAGAGGTCGGAGGAACTGAGTATAGGAAAGTGATCACAAGGAAGTAATTCTCACTGAGGGTCTATCTTAGCCTCACTTATACCCTATCCAATTGTAGATATATAAGGCAGTAGAAATCTTTGCTTACATTAAACATTTTTAAAGGTCTTTGCTTATTATTACTAAAAAAGTGTGAAGCATAATCTGGAAACAGAATGACACAAATACTTGGAAACAATTGGTATGTAGGCCAATTACATTAGGACAAACATGAGATTTGAATGCAGCCACAGAAGTGTCAGCAAATGAAGTGGATGCCTTCATCCTGTAACTAGAAATTCAGCCCAGAAATTAGGAGACTCTCAGTAGGCTAGGTGCAAGAAAGCTGGGAGAGTTTAGTCTAGATCAGTCGCTTTGCTGGTTGGACTCTACTGGCTGGCTAACCTTTTCAAAGAAAGGTTAATTTTATTTTTTTCTTCAAAGCCACTAAGGCAAGTTGTAGTAAAGATTGGTTAGTGATTTAGAGGGTTTAGTGCCTAGTTTGGATTCCTTTCTCCTAAAAATAGACCTACAGATGTTGAGTGTGATATCACTTATTATGAATTGAAATTGATGTACTTAAAAAGTATAGAATGCCAGAGATTTATTAGAATACAGCATTGTTTATAGTTCATTAGACATAAGGAAAGATTTGGATGTAAGGCATCTTTGAACACTCCATTGTTGCCGTTTCTGTCATTCAGCAAGCTCTTTTTGTATTCCTACTCGTGTTATTTCTCTTATCAATAACAGCAGCCATACAGCAATTTGTAGGTTCAGCAAATAGCTTATCTTAAAAGCATTCCTTCACGGATACTTACTTTGTTGCATGATATGTGTATGTACTGGTACAGATTTTATGTATCATCTTGTTATTAAATATGTAGACTTTTTTCTTAATGTGTTACATTTATTGTAGAACATTTAAGGAGCTACCGTTGGTTTAAAACTACATTTTCTTCTAAAAAACAGAAAAGTGCTTGACCCAAGGCTCAAATGAGAATAGCCTTTCTTTTTTTATGAGTTACACAGATCTTGATTGAAAGATTATTAATAGTAACTTTCACTCTGTCAGCAACTTATAGTGTTTTTGAGTATTTAGGTAACAATAAATTTACTGCCTGACGTTTACATTTATTTTTCTAAAGTGTGATATTATAATATCATCCATTGCTCTTTCTTATCACTTCTTTCACTTCTTTTTCAAAAAATTTAATTAGCATGAAGCTTGCAATCATGGGCACCTGAAGGTAGTGGAATTATTGCTCCAGCATAAGGCATTGGTGAACACCACCGGGTATCAAAATGACTCACCACTTCACGATGCAGCCAAGAATGGGCATGTGGATATAGTCAAGCTGTTACTTTCCTATGGAGCCTCCAGAAATGCTGTGTAAGTAGTTCAACGTAAAAATTATTTTTAAAATGGACCTATATTCTTGAATCAAGGTGTGTGATAAAGCAGACTTTAAAATAGTCAAGTTGATGGCTTTCTTCACTTTCACAACTAAAATTAGATGTGATCATCACATTCTGCACTCATAATCAGCCTTCATGCCCTTTTTATGATACAGTTGGTCCTTCATATTCTTGGGTTCTACACTTGAGGATTCAGCCAACTGCAGATCAAAAATAATTGGGAAATATCAATGACAGATCGGATAAAAAAAATGTGTTACATATATACCATGGAATACTATGCAACTACAAAAAAGAATGAGATCATGTTTTTTTGTGGGCACATGATGGAGCTGGAGGCCATTATCCTTAGTAAACTAACGCATGAACAGAAAACCAAATACCGCATGTTCTCACTTATAAGTGAGAGCTAAATGATGAGAATTCATGAACACAAAGAAGGGAACAACAGACACCAGAGTCTACTTGAGTGTGGAGGATGGGAGGAGGGAGAGGAGCAGAAAAAGTAACTATTAGGTACTAGGCTCAATACCTGGGTGGTGAAATAATCTGTACAACACACCCCCGTTACACAAGTTTACCTATATAACAAACCTTCACAACTTAAATAAAAACCTAGAATAAAAGTTTAAAAAGGGGAAAAAAAATAACACTACGATAATAAGTAATATAGGTAAAACAATATAGTATAAATATTTATACAGCATTTCATACTATTAGGTATTACAAGTAATCTGGAGATGATTTAAAGTATACGGGAGGATGTGTGTAGTTTACAAGTAAATACTATGCCATCTTTTATAAGAAACTTGAGCAGCGGCACATTTTGACATCACGGGTTGAGGAACCAATTCCCCATGGATAGCAATGGGGATAACTGTGCTGACATATTTGGGGGAGATTTACTTTCTTAATTCAGAAACAGTTGTCAATTTTGGAAGCTTTCATTTAATGGAAAAATTTACTTAGTGTTTATATTCTGTAGATTGATTTACACTTTAATAAGCAGTTATTGTAGAAATAATTATTTTGTATGCTTCCTAATAGTTTGGAATTATTTTAAATATTTCATTCCCATTTTATTTTTTCTGTGTATTTACTATTACAACAGGTAAAGCATATAAGAATTTAAATATTGGGCCGGGGCAGTTGAATTATTTCTTAAATTTTTTACATCATTCACATGAGGTTCTGGGTGAACTTTTTGCAGTGTCAGGACACAGAGATGCATTAGTGAATGCCAGCAGCTGGATTTTAAAATTGGCATTGTCAAGAGTGTCACAAGCAAATGCTGTATGTAGATTTTGTATCTTTAATCTGTAACTTGGTTCATGTCTCCCTATGTAGTATTTTATTCTTTTCAGTTAATTAAGTAGTTGAAATGAAAATGCAGGTATTGCGTCTCTGCCCTTGTTGCTTCTATAGGTTTGAAAAGGGCACAAAAAAATTAAGTTTTCAATGGTAACAGATGCAAATAAGAATTATAAAATGCAGGGCTTCTAGGTCGTAATTTTTTATTGGTAATTATTTAACATAATTGAAAACCAAATTAATAATGCAAGAATGTACCATACCTTGGTGCTGTTAGTTTCAGTAAATGTGTCTAATCTCTTTTATCTCTCATCACAGGTTATAAGATAATTGGGGCAAATTCAGGGGATGTGTATATTCTTCCGGTTTTTATTTGTGTGTGTGTGTGTGTGTACACACGTGCGTGTTTGTGTGTGTCTCCATATACATGGACCTATTTCTTTGTAAGGACCTAACCGATATGACCCTCCCATATGTGTTGCAAGCTATTTGGTAACGCAAATTATTGCTTGGGTCAGGTGAAACTGACTAGTTTTCATTCTAGGGTTCTTAAATCAGCCATGACTACTTTAATGGATGGAGCACTGGTCAGGGCGTTAGGGAATCTAGCTTTTATTTGTGACTCCATTACTGACTGTATAGCTTCAGGCAGGTTAATTTCTGTGCCTTGGTGTCCTCACCTATAAAACATGGGTGATGCCTGCTGCATTTCTATTTCTTCAGAGCATAGTGAGGATTAATGAGCCAAAACACAGAGCCTGTCTTGTGGTTTGTACACCATGATTCGTCACTGCACTGTGAGGGCTTATTAATATACAAGGAGTGGCATGAGACAGTGAGTGAGTCTGCCTTCACAGGTGCCTTCAGTGTTGGTTTAAGTAGGACTACCTAGTGAAGTGGCAAATTTAGGTATATCTGTTCCTCAGCACTGTCCAGTAGACCTTTCTGTGGTGGTGGAAATGTTTATATCTATGCTGGACATTCAGTAGCCACTAGTCACCTTTACTATTGAACACTTGAAAATTAGCTATTGCTACCAAGGAATAAATTTTAAAATGTATTTTATTTTAACCATATGTGCCAGTGACTACTGTGTTGGACAGCTGGTTGATACAGCTGGGCAGTTGGGAAGTAGGGTTTATTTCACCCAAGAGGTTGGGATTGATATTGGATAAAGGATAGTAGGGCAGATGAAGGGACAGATTTAATCCTAGGGTACAAGAGTATGGTGGCTGTTTCTAAAAATTTCCTTTCCAGACTATTGGTCTTCATACTTTTTTCCTGTGTTTTTTGCCTCTTAAAAACATGTCGTAGTCATTGTTGTTCATCTGATTGGCTTTACAAATTTCCTGACTGTTCTCCTCCTTTTCAGGTTACTTTTCTTTATTCACTCTCCATCCTGCAGCCAGAGCACCTGCAGAAGAACACGAGTCTGGCCAAGTCATTTATTTGCTTAAAATCCTTCCGTGGCTTCCTCTTAATGTTTTTAAAATAAAGGTTAAATCCCAAAATATGGTTTATAAGACCCTGGATGGTCTGGTGCTACTTTCCTCTCTGTTCTCATCGGTCTTCACAGCTTCTCCTTTCCCCCTTTCCTTCAAGCATTTTTTGCACCAGCTTTTCTGAATTTTTGTTTCCTTAAAATATGTAGGGTCTTTTACCTCCTAGCCTTTGTACATGTCTTTGCATTGTCTAGAATATTTGTTTTTGGTAGCCAGTTTCTCATTTGGGTTTCACCTGGGTTATCCTGTCCTTTTGGCCACCTTTCCTGATGTGGTACTTCTCCCCAGTCGTAGGACTTACTGTTTCCTCCCTTCTCGTGAGGCTGTAAGCTGTATGGGCCAGGGATCATGTCTGCCCTCCCTAGTTCTGCCAAGTGCCTAATGTAGTCTGTATCCACATTTGTTTGTAGAGTGAATTAGTGTTTGAATGAATGAAGATTATGGTATACTTTTTCCTCTTTTTTGATAAAAGGTCAGATGACATGAAAATGGGAATTGCCTCCTTCTGCCACTACCTTTACTGTGTGACAAGATGTCTAAAACCAAGTTTCCCATATCTGTGCCTTTTCTAAGGTGGTTGAACTGGTTCCTGGCAGCTTTTGCCCAATTGGCATCCATGGCATGTTACTTTTTGTGGGATTGTGGCTACCCAAAGTAATTCCTATAGCCTTGACTTTTAAGTGCATGCTGTCTCAATGTTCTAGAGACTGTCTTCTAGAATTAGGTAGTAACAGGTGAGAATAGATGAAATTTATTCCTGCCCTTTCCTCCATTTCTTAAGGAGATCATGGGAAGGGGGTCTGGAGCATGGAGACTATGGGATTCTTACTACTCTTCTATTTCTTCCTGAAGCTCTTACTCCTTATAAACCATTAACATCTCAAATTCTGGAATCTGAGTTGGCAAACAAACTTTTTCTGTCTCTGCTTACTGTATCTCTTACTCTTGCTGGAACTCTTTTCTCAATAACCAGGCCTGAACTCTTCCCATGGAAGAAGGGTAAGAACCAGCAAGGGCAAACACCATTCTGTCTGACCCTCTTTAGGGTTTGCTACTTTGGCTGATTGAAGAAGTAAAGTCCTTTTTGCTTACTGTAAATTTCTAAGTGGCCTCCTTTAGCTCTAGCATAGACATTTTGGCTGTGTTCTTCATGACCTCAAGGTTGAAGTTTTCTCTTAGATGCCTTCCTTTCTTCTTAAGTCTTCTCATAGTCCCTCCATTGCTCCTTTGCCTCATCATCCCCTCAGTTGTCTGCCTGCTTCTGTTCTAGTAGGAGTGAACAGTGAACAGTCTGTTAAAGCACTGATTATAGAATGGTGTGAGGTATGCCTTCATAGCACGGTGCTCACAGTAGTATGAAAGTCTCAGCTAGGGCTGAAAGTAAGACCAGAGGAAGTCACAGAAGGCTTTCTGGAAGAAGAAGAACTTCGAGTTTTGAAAAAATAGAACGGGAGGATGGGATTTTGAGAAAGATAAGATATGGGTGCTAAGGTACTCAAGGCCAGACTGCTTCTTCATTCATTCTAGGAACTTCCGTTAGTGATGTAAGTGGAATAAAAGGATGGAGGAGGATGAGAGGCCAGAGAAGATGGGCAGGGTCTTTGAAAGGCTGTGTGTGCTAAACAGAGTGCTGATTTTAAGTTGAAAACCTCCTCCTTCACACTGGGGAGGGAACTCAGTTAAGAGGTTTGTCCAGTAATCCAGGAAAGGAGTGATGAGAGTCAAATCAAAGTAGTGACAGTAGTGGTGGGAGGGGGGTGGGGTGGAGAATTAGCCATATTTATTAATTTATTCTTTCAAATGAAGTTTGATTTACTTTGTACTGTTTCAAAAATACCATATTAGGATGTTTTGAAGTTGGGTACGTACATAGATTCTAGTGGAGTACCGATTAGGATGTTGATTGAAATTGGTAAGTATATACAGTGGATTAATAAAGTTGGTTTCTATCAAGTCGATTGATAAACTTTATGTCGTGTGTTATTCTTTAAATGAATACATCAGTTTGCTAGGTTTTTGTTTAGGAATTTTGCATTTTAAAAGTTAGAGTGATTTGTGATTTTATCTTTCACTTCTTGTCGGTAGATTTTGATATCAAAGTTAGACTCATAGCTTCTAAAAAGTAATCAGGACCAAGCTGCATGTCTCCATTTGTTTAAGCATTCTGTTATATATATCTTAGTAAAGTTTTTAGTCTGTTTCATATATATGTATGTAGGTATACACATGCATATACCTATTAATTGAGGTTATTCTAGTTATAGACTGAGTATCCCTTGCCCAAAATGCTTGGGATCAGAAGTATTTGGGATTTCTTTCAGATTTTGGAATATTTGCATATACGTAATGAGATGTCTTAGGGATGGTTCTCAAGACTAAATGTGAAATTTATCTGTGTTTCATAAACATTTTATACACATAGCCTGAAGGTAATTTTATACAATATTTTAAACAATTTTATGCATTAAAATGGTTTTTTAAGTACTGTGTTTGGAATTTTCCGCTTGTGTCATATTGGTGCTCAAAAAGTTTCCAATTTTGGAGCGTTGCAAATTTCAGATTTTTGGATTAGCAATGCTCAACCTGTATAGTATTTGATTATTTGTTGCTAGTAAACTGGATATTGTGTTAATAAATATAATTTGTTATTCTTGATATATAGGAGAGCTGTTGATTTAGTACGTTTCTATCCAGTCAACACCTAATTCTAAAGATCTAATTATCATTTATTAACTTCTATTTCTTATTGCATTTGTCAGTGCTTCCAGAATGATGCAATAATGATGATAGTTGGCTTGCTTGTTTTGTTCTTCCTTTTTTAAAAAAGTACTGACCCATAGAGTTATAGTCAATACTAATATCCATATTAAATACAAAGATTAATGTTCTTTATTGCCCTGTGGAAGCTTTCTTCCCTTTATTATTTTCTAACAAGACTGTATTTTATTTTATTGAATGATTTTCAGCTTCTGCAGAGATGATCTTATACTTTTTTTGTTTTTGTTTTTGAGATAGGGTCTCACTGTGTTGCCCAAGCTGGTCTTGAACTCCAGGGCTCAAGCGATCCTCCCACCTCAGCCTCCCAAAGCTTATGCTTTTTTGACTATTGATGTTGTTAATACATTTAAAAATATTAAATAATGCTTGTATTCCTGGGATAACCTTGACTTGGTGTTGTGCATCATTTAAACACAAATTTTACATGAATTTGCTAGGGTTTTAGGAATTTTGCATTTATGATTATAAGTTAGAGTGATTTGTGATTTTTATCTTTCATTTTTTTGCCTCGGATTTTGATACCAAAATTATACTCATAGTTTCTAAAAAGTAATCAGAATGCTTTTTTTTTTTTTCTTTTTACCTTTCCTCTTCTCTGGAACATGAATAGAATGTCTTCTGGAAATATCCTGCCCCCTGCCAACTTAGCATAACAGTATCTATTTTGATAACTCACATATTATATAATTTTTGGAGATCTCTCTAGTTTTGTTATTAGTAGTAATCACTCTGATAGACCAGTGTATTCATAATAAAATACAGACACTAAAGAGAAAATGGACTTTTTTTTTTTATCCCATCAAGTTCATCCTTAAAAAGTCCCTGTGGATTGAGAAGCCAAGGCGGGTGGATCCCGAGGTCAGGAGATCGAGACCATTCTGGCTAACACGGTGAAACCCCGTCTCTACTAAAAATACAAAAAATTAGCTGGGCGTGGTGGTGGGCGCCTGTAGTCCCAGCTACTCGGGAGGCTGAGGCAGGAGAATGGTGTGAACCCGGGAGGCGGAGGTTGCAGTGAGCCGAGACCGCACCACTGCACTCCAGCCTGGGCGACAGAGCGAGACTCCATCTAAAAAAAAAAAAAAGAAAAAAGTCCCTGTGAACTGTAAAACTTTTACCTATTTTGACGTTTTATCTGAGGCTGTGATTTTGATTAACTTTATAACTTTCCTGTTACTGTAAGAATATTAGTTTGAATTAGAAGAGTAAATATTTTTGTAATGCAGCCCTAGGAGAGAGAAGAAAAACTAAGACAAAATCCAGCCATAGAGTTAGTCTCGGATGTCACTGGGAGAGAGGAAGGCTTGTATAAGAGGGCTAAGTAATCCAGGTTTTATCCTGATACATGTTCTGGCATTATTAATAAGTTATGGGCCTGGCGCAGTGCCTCATGCCTGTAATCCCAACACTTTGGGAGGCCGAGGCGGGTGGATCACTTGAGGTCAGGAGTTCGAGACTAGCCTAGCCAACATGGTGAAACCCCATCTCTACTAAAAATACAAAAATTAGCCGGGTGTGGCGGCGTGTGCCTGTAGTCCCAGCTACTCGGGAGGCTGAGGCACAAGAATCGCTTGAACCTGGGAAGCGGAGGTTGCAGTAAGCCGAGATCGTGCCACCACCCTCCAACCTGGGGGACAGAGCGAGACTCGGTCTCAAATAATAATAATAATGTATCATGAATGGTGCTAAGTAAGATGTGACTTTAAATATTGGAGACCAGGCTTAAGAAGTACCTTTTCAGTAGTGACATATAAAATATAAAGATAACTGAGAGCTTTTTTTGTAGCCCAGGAAGTGGGGACAGTAACCAACTCAGTCATATAAGTTAGACATTGAATGTGTGTGGAAGACTAGACATAGGAAAAAGAATGGAGTATTATCTGCTGCAAAGCCAAGTGAATTTAAAAGCGTCCTATTGAATATTGGTGGAGGGAAATCTTGAAACCTTATAAGGCAAGGCAAAATAGCTAAGAATTAACCATATTGTGGTATGAATTTAAAGTCAATGATACTCTTTATTTGCCATCTTCACTATTTAATTTTAAATTAAATGAGCTTTTATAGTTCACCAGTGAAGTCTCCCAATCCTATTTTTTCCCATAGAGGCTGTGTTCTTTATTAATTTTCCTACTGCAATGTTTTTGGGCCCTAAATCTTTATAATTATGGAGGATTCGAATGTACAGTGGAAAGTCATATATCTACTTCATACTTTCTCTTTTGTTTTGATTTAACTCTAATATTCTGGCAACTTACTGTTTTTATATGTCTTGCATTTAAATAACAGTATTAAGTCATTTAACCCTTAATTTTTTTTTGCATAAAAAAAGTACCTTTTGTGAGCTAAAACAATAAGAAAGTCAGTTCTGTTTTAACCCTAGATCATGAAAAAAAGATTTATAATCTTTGTTGTCTGGGAGTATTTATAACTGTTCAAAACATCATTGGTAATCTGTCTTCCCCACTGCCCTCTGTACATCCCAGTGTGAAGCTAGAACCACAGCTCTTACGGTCACATGAGAACCATTTTGAGTGTGTGGCGAATAACATGTGCTTCTTTTTTTTTATTTTTAATGGATATGTAGGATTTTAGAATGTGGTACTTGATCTGCCATTAACAGTTTTCCTTGGAAGGATGTTGAATTCTGAAGTAGAAAATATTACATGGACCATTGGACCTATTAATTGTCCCACTGCCCTAGGTTAATTTTAAAAAATTAATTGCCAGAGATAATTTATGTTTTATAGCTTTAAAAACCCATGTTGCTAGTTTGAATTACTCTGCTTTATCCTGCTCCATAGCAAGCAAAGTGACTTGAAAAATTAAATCTATATGTTTGCAGTTTTGTAGTTATTCATGAAGGGTTTCATTCATGAACTCTCTTGGTATCCTGTCATGCGTGATAGATTTAGTATTAGTAAAAATGCCTTTTTGCATATGTTTTTGCAGTTTGGATGGTCTGTACATGCAAGTACAAGTTTAAATTTGCCCATCTCTCCTTTCTCTCTTTTATTAGTGGTGTAATGAATTCAGATCACCATTGTAGGCAGGTGTCTGCCATATTATTACTGAGGGGAAAAGGATATTAAAAGGTTATACTGCATCCTGAATGTGGCCTTTGGGACAAAACTGAAACATTGAACACCACAGTTTAGCCCTTTCATAAGTACTTCCTTTTCCTCATCTTCAGGATCAGAAGGATTCCTAGTTAGGAAAAGGATTTTCAGAGTTATGTGGTTCATACTCTTTAGATAGTGCCACATGGGAAAATGAAAATCTACTCTTAGAATGTTGTTAAGAAGACATAATTCTATACTTTCCCTTAGTAAACTTCCAGATTATCATGAAAAACATGCATCAATTGTATCATAAAATTGGGGAAAATGAAGATATGAGGTTAATGCTCCAGACATAACTTATTTTGTGCCCTTATCTTCATTCTGTATCTGTCTTCCAAAAATGCAAATCCAATACAGTAATATAATGGCAGTTATTGAGCTGTTCATATATGCTAGGTACTGTTTTAAATGCTTTTGATGTATTCATTTGATTCTGGCAACAATCCTGTAAAATAGATAGTGTTATTATTTCCATCTTATAAATGAGGAAACAGGCACGGGATTTAAGTAATTCGTGTAAAGTCATAAGACTTTTGAGTGGCAGGGCTGAAATGTAAGTTCAGGCAGTCTTATTCGGTAACCCCAACTCTTAACTACCATGCTACGTTGATGCCATCCCTCCTGCTTACAATGATTTAGGAAGCTGTTCAGGGTTTCTTATTGCCTTTGGGAGGAAGTCCAACTCTTTAACACCTCCTCTTTGTTCTTATATAATCTGACCATAGCTTACAGTTCGAGAGTACCTCATATTCCTGTGGTACATTCCCTCTCTTTCTCTCACTCTCCCTTTACCCCCTTTTTTCCTTTTTTTTGGTGGTTCTAAAAAGTTCTAAGTGCTATCTCACTTAAAGTCCTTCACACACTTTTCTGTCTGCTAGGATATTCTTATTCTGTTTGTGTACCCGCTTTTCTTCCTTACCCTTTCAGGTCTGGGGAGCTTTACCAGACTGCAAAACCTTTTCTGTGTGCCTCTCTGCTTTCCTCCTCTGAGTTCTGTGAGGACATTGTTTCTATAGTGCCAAAAGTTGTTGGTACATTTTTTTCAAAGTATTTGCTGAATGATGACTATTTTCCAAACTAATTGCAAAACAGAGTTTGTGACTTTTCCCCCTACTTGTTTATACAAATATATTCATTCCATGTGTGTTAAATAAATAAACGATTATTGCTACTTCTGATATATGCAATATATATATCATGCATTATGTATATTAATACATATATCCATTTTCACATAGGTTCTATCAACATCAGTAACAAATCATCCAGTATTTCATACTACATTTTAGATAGCAAAAAGCAATGACACATGAACACCTGGATTGTCTGTTCAAGATTTTAAAATGTAAAATCTCCAGTCATATCTTTAAAGATTTTATAAAGCATATTTTCCACATTATGATTTAAAATCATAGGTAAAGGAATAGCGCAAGAGTACATTAGAAAAAAAAAAAACTGGTGAAATCTGCCAGTGTACTGTGTTGTCAAGGAACAGAAAAAAAATTAGAGCCTTTGAATTTTTAGGATTCAGTATATGTATTAGTCCCTTTTCATACTGCTGTGAAACACCTGAGACTGGGTAATTTATAAGGAAAAGAGGTTTAATTGGCTCATGGCTCCCCAGGCTATACAGGAAGGGCCTCAGGAAACTTACAGTCATGGTGGGAGATGAAGGGGAAGCAGGCACATCTTACGTGGTCAGAGCAGGAGGAAGAGGCGAGGAGGTGCTGCAGCCTTTTAATTTATTTATTTATTATAATTTTTTTATTTCCATAGGTTTTTGGGAACAAGTGGTATTTGGTTACACAAGTAAGTTTTTTAGTGGTGATTTGTGAGATTGTGGTGTACCCATCACCCGAGCAGTACACACTGAACCCAGTTTGTAGTCTTTTATCCTTCACCACCTTCCCACCTTTTCCCCTTGAGTCCGTGAAGTCTGTTGTGTCATTCTTATGCCTTTGCATCCCCATAGCTTAGCTTCCACTTATGAATGAGAACATACAATGTTTGATTTTCCCTCCTGAGTTACGTCACCTAGAATAATAGTCTCCAGTCCCATCCAGGTTGCTGTGAATGCCATTAGTTCATTCATTTTTATGGCTGAGTGGTATTCTATTGTATATATACACCACAGTTTCTTTATCCACTCATTGATTGATGGGCATTTGGGTTGGTTCCACATTTTTGCAGTTGCAAATTGTGCTGCTATAAACATGCATGTGCATGTATCTTTTTCATATCATGACTTCTTTTCCTCTGGGTAGACACCCAGTAGTGGGATTGCTGGATCAAATGGTAGCTCTACTTTTAGTTCTTTAAGGAATCTCCACTGTTTTCCATAGTGGTTGTACTAGTTTACATTTCCACCAACAGTGTAGAAGTGTTCCCTGTTTACCACATCTATGCCAACATCTGTTATTTTTTTATTTTTTAATTATGCCCATTCTTGCAGGAGTAAGGTGGTATCAATATGGTTTTGATTTGCATTTTCCTGGTCATTAGTGCTACACCCTTTTAAACAACCAGATCTGGTGAGGACTCAATCACTATCACAAGAACAGCAAGGAGGAAATCCGCCCCCATGATCCAGTCACTTCCCACCAGGCCCCACCTCCAGCATTGGGAATTATAATTTGACATGAGATTTGGGCGGGGACACAAATAGAAACCTTATCAGTATAGGTAAAGTATATTATCTACATATAATCATTTTCAATTCACTGAATTCGCGACTGTCCGTTGATAAGGCATTAAAAGAACTGACTGTCGAAAGTGGTACATGTAAAAGATATTAATATACTGTCGTGTACTAGATGTAAATTCAGCAGTTAAGATCTCGACATTTTCATATATTCCAAAATAGTTTTAAATATTTTGGTGTTGCATTGACCCATGTCATTTAGCTAGTAGACACATGTGCCTTTCCATTTTCACAGCAACATACGCTTTGTGTCTGTAATGTTCATTGCTTTATATCTGATTTTTTCATTGGTTTTTCATACTGTGTTTGGTTTCTACACATGAGCACACAGTGCCTAGAAGGTTTGATAGAAAGCTTTCTTCCATCAGTTGCATCCATTTCAGTAATCATGTTGCTTATTCCCTACACGGCCCCTTAACAGTTAACCACCATATTCCAGTTTCTAGTCCTGGGATCAAGGCCATTTAAATCTTATCTTCTATTTCACCTCATTACTTGTTTGGGTTTATACTTTATCAGTTTGATACCTGTTTGTTGAATGAACGTTTATCCTCAGTAGGATTATAGGCAAGGACAGTGTTTTTCTAAGTCTTATGTGTCCCTCCAAAACACCTAGTTTGGTAAAACTTTAGGTTAAATCATGCTAGAAAAGAGAGAATTTACTATATTTAAGTGTATTTAGAAAAAGCCATTTTATAAGCTTCCCCAGTAACCCATTCTAATAAATATCAAATCAAGTTATTGATGTCTGTTTTGAGTCCATGATGTAGTAAATCTAAAAAAGAGTCTTCTTCCCTTGTATAGTGATGAAGAATAATGTATTTATCACTGACTTCTCTATTTAGTAATAAGTCATGTTAATAGTTCCTGAGATACATTTCAACATAACTTTTCCTGTATGTAGTACCTATTAGTTTTACAATGGGAATAAAATCCACCTCTGTGTATTTTAAATTGATTTTTCACACTAATTCTCTAACTAAAGTGTTAGTCTGTTAAAATACATCAGTGGGAAGAAAGCACACATTATTGTGCCCAAATAATAAGAAATCTTACACATGCCCCATCTTCTCTTGCTATGGTCTTTGAACGTCCCACATGTAAACTTACATCTACTTCCAAATTTTAATGGTTCATGACAAAGCAGAAGCAACATGACTGGATTTAATAGGCTCTATTTCCCATGATGCAGGACTGAGGTAAACTGATTATCTTTCCATCTGTAGCACTTGTAATGTGCCATTCAGTTCATTAGCGTTACAGGAGGGCTAAGAGTTTAGTGAATTGTGTGTGAGCAGAAGCCATCCATAATCCAAGCAGAGAAACCACATGTTTTAAGACCATATGACATAGTAAGCTTTGTATAGTAAGGATCCTAAATGTAAATTGGAACTCTGGTAGTCACTTTGTAAAATCATCTTACTGGCTTAGACCATGTTTTACTGGCTGATTTTTGGTTTATATTCCTCCCTAGCTGATGGTGGTACTTTGAGAAGCACTTGAACAGTTTTTCATGTTGTCATCATGCACTTTTTTTCAAATATGTGTAAAATAACTATGCTAATGTGATTCAGTTGCTGTGCATTAAAGTGCACTTGATTGGGCTCTTAGATTTTATTTTTTTGAGGTGTAAGGTCTATGTTTGTCTCTGTCAAAAAGTCCTAGTGTATGCATGGATTTTTTTTTTTCTCATTTTTTCTTTTTTTGTTGAAACAGTATCTCTTGCTCAGGCTGGAGTACCATGGTGCAATCATGGCTATGCAGTTATGATTTTTTTTTTTGGATGGCATATAATGTGGCCATTATATGTTGTTGTTGTTTTGTTTATTCATTTTTGCACTTGGTGGTTTAAGACCTAGAACATTGGTTCTTCAACTCAGATTTCTATTTTTTGATTGTCATATGTATAGCATATGTGGGTGAGGAGATTGTGTAGTTGGTATATGAGCATAATAATTTAGAGAATGAATTAGGAAGTATCAAGAATAGTGGATGAGTTTCTTTTAAAATACCCTGAGATTGTCTGCTGTAAATGTATACTGTGACATGTGTCACTTTGTTTTAAATTATAAAGCTGAAATGCAATCCGCTGTATTATATCTTGGCTGGAGAAAGACTGTTGCCAGAGGAAGGTTGTTGGACTTGGACATAAAGAAGAGTCAGAATACAAACTTGTCAGTGTTTACCCAGGACTGTCCAAAGAAGAAAGCAATTGGACCTGATAGTCACGAATTGCAGTCATTAGAGAAACATTTGCTGTGGTTCATTTCTTATTCTAATACATTAGCTTTCTTTTCCCACTCTGCCATCAAAACAGTTTTCACCAAGGTCATTAGTGACCTTGTCTGTGAACTCAGTAGATGCTTATATCCCTCATCTACATGATCTCTCTCTGCAGCATCAAACGGAATTGGCATTTTTCTACCTTTCACTTCCCCTAATGTTTCTCTCTGTTTCCTTCCAGATCTTTTTCTATACATTTGATACAATTTACAGAATTAGTATTATACCATGTTTATAACTTCATGTCCCATTTACTGCATTGGATTTTCACATGGACTTCTGTGGCCATTATATGAATATAGCATAATCTTTAAAAAAAACATAGAAGACTATAAAAGAATTGCTCATTTTGAAAACTTCTTGCCATGGTATAGTGTATTTAAATCATATTCTGAAACCATATGTAAGGAAACAGAATAGTAGACAGAAGTCCTTTAGTTTTAACAAGTTACTTATAATTGAAAGACTTTAGGCTGGGCAATATTTAATTTCAGTGAAATTGAACAAGGAGAATATGACCTTAGTTAAGCCATTGGAACTTGTTCTTCTCTCTTTTTTTTCTTATCTTGAACAGGATCAAACTGGGATCTCTAAAATCTCTTCCAGCGTAACATTCTGTGACTTGTGAATTAGTACATGCTGAGAAGTTTGTATCTCTCTGAGCCATAATACTTTGTTCTGCGATGGTTGTGATTATTATAGGTTATTGTATGCACACATGTTTAAATTAATTTTTAAAGTACCCTGTTAACTATATTATTAAACTGTTTGTTATGTGGCATAATTTTCCTTCTAGTAGAACAAAATCCCTGTCCTGTGAATTTATCTAATTTTTTATTGGTTTATAAAGACTATATGGCCTATAATAGCTATAGTAAATGATTTTTATTGGCATTTGAAAGTCTGTCACTTATAGTGATTGGTGATTATGAAGCCATATTTTAATATGAATAAGAATGCAGAATACAGTTGTGAAAAATTCATAATACTATATTCAGTAAAAACAATCCCTATAATCTGATGTCAAACTGAAATTTTACATCATTTCTCCTTTGAGTTCAGCAGCTTTTGATTCTAGATTCTTCTGCCTAATATGAGTTCTGAGTAATTTATTTTAGTTAAAATTGTATATTATTAAGGATGTTGAAAAATTGAGTCGAGTCACACATTTGACTTACTTAAACACATCTGCACTTATTTTACCAGTAATATATTTGGTCTGCGGCCTGTCGATTATACAGATGATGAAAGTATGAAATCGCTATTGCTGCTACCAGAGAAGAATGAATCATCCTCAGCTAGCCACTGCTCAGTAGTAAGTATGGATTTAGCTTTGGGACATTTATATATTTTATTAAAATTGGTTATGAAAGGAACATAATAGAAAAATTTCCATTTGACCAATTGCTTACATTCACCAAACAATTATTGAGCACTTCCTGAGTATTAGCTACTGTGGATTCAAAGACATAATCACAGTACGACCATCTAGAAATACTTATTGAGCCCACTCTGTATTTTAGGCAGCATTCATAAAACAATGAATATGACTGGTAGAACTCTTATTCTCAGGGAGGAGCTTACCATCTGGTGAGAGGTAGGAAAGAGACAAACTGTAAATATTGAACTAATATAAATAAAATAATTTCAGACACTTAGACATGAGTGTTTCGAAGATGTTGTAGAGTGTCGTTGGGTGGAGGTAGTGGGCTTCTGCAAGGCCATTGCTTTAGCTAGGGTCACAGAGTGGAGCCTTAAAGCACTGATTTGAATTGAAGCCTGAATGTTGAAGTGAGGAGGCTGCCAGGTGACTATCTGGAGGACACAGTGTATAGGCCCTTCAGTGAATGAGGCTGGTATGTTGGAAGGTTAGAAAGAAGTTTGTTATTGCTGGAGACTAGCGAGCATCAAAACGGGACTTTCGGATAGATTACATATGAAGTGTGGGAAAAGAATGGAATAAGTATGACCTTAGCAGGGAAATAGATGGTAATGCCATTTGTTGCCATGGAGAAGGAAATCAATAGTTCTATGTGCCAATTTGATGTCTGTAAAACATGAAATGGAGATATCGAATAGATAATTGGATATGAAAGTCTGGAGCTTAGGAGAGAGGTACAAGCTAGAGATAAAGTGGAAAGAATGCCTGTTTCTTAGGAACCCATAGCTTAGCAGGGATTTCAGATATAAAAACTTTTACTGTACATTGTAATAAATTTGTAAAATAAGCTATAAAAATATACAGTAGAATCAAAGTAAGTAGAAACTACAGGAGATGTCAGGAAAAATTTCACAGAAAGGCCAGGTGCAGTGGATCGCACCTGTAATCCCAGCACTTTGGGAGGCTGGGGCGGGTGGATCACTTGAGGTCAGGAGTCTGAGACCTGCTTGGTCAACATGGTGAAACCCCATCCCATCTCTATGAAAAATACAAAAATTAGCTGAGTGTGGCGGTATGCGTCTGTAGTCCCAGCTACTAGGGAGACTGAGGCACGATAATTGATTGAACCCGGGAAGTAAAGGTTGCAGTGAGCCGAGATCAGGCCACTGCATTCCATCCTGGGTAACAGAACAAGACTGTCTCAAAAAAAAAAAAAAAAAAAAAAAAAATATATATATATATATATATATATATATATATATACACACACACACACACACACACACACACACACACACACAGAATTTCACAGAGAAAGGTGTCCTAAGTCTTTCAGGGTAAACATTTTAGCAGAGTGTCTAATAGAATGCTGTTGGCTGCCAGTAACAGAAAACCTTTTCTCAAATGCTTGAAGACAATTTATTACTTTATATAGAATTAATCCCAATGCAGGATAGCTCTGCATTTGCTTAATTTAGCACTTAGTGGTTGCATCAAGGAACCAAATTCTTTGTATCTCTTTACCTTGCCATCCTCAGTTTGGGGGATTTGTCCTCACTAAGAAGTTTCCTTTAATGGTTGTCGAATGATTGCCACAATTCTAGATATGACAGTGGCCAACTGAAAAAGAGACACTAAAGTCTTTCCCTGAAGCCTTTCCGTGGACTTCCCCTGTGTCTTATTGTCAGAAATTGATTTTGACAGCCCCTCCTGGGGCTGGAGGTTAGGGTCAGTCTTTGAAAGGGGGGCTACCTGAACAAAACTGGGCTTCTGTTAGTGTGGAGGAAGTGAGCAATAGATTTTGAGTGTAACAGCCAACATTCCCCACTGCAGTCAGGTGTACAAAGTGAGAATGGCAGCCCAAATCTAAGGAACAGCTGCTCAGAGACAAGGAGGCATAAAGGACCTTAGGAATTTGAGAAACTATAGCATTTACTGTGAGAGGAGTATGACGTGTGTTTAAGAGGGATTCAGGGTAAAGGGTTAGGTTGGGACCAGATTGTGAAAAGCCTTAAATTCCCTGATACGAGTTTAGACTTAATAGGGTACCTTCAGTGTGTTTATAACTGAAATAGGACTGTCTGCAGGCTAGCTGGGAGTAGGAAGAGACTGAAGGCTGATTGGGAGGCTGCAGTAGTGGAGACCAGGTTTGAAATGCTGAGGACTGGAATTATAGATGGTAGTTATGTGGGGATGGAGAGAAGAAGAAGAGTTTTAGAGAGAGTTGGTAGACTCACCAGATCCCAGTACTGCTCAGATGGGGGAAAGTAACAGAAAGGGAGGAGCTGAGGTCAAGGATCATTCACAAGAGTAGTAGTAGATGCCATTGTTTAAGATAAGGAGGTAGCCTAAGGTAGCTACAGTTTGATACTCTCATAGATGCTTTCATGAGCTAGTTGCTTTCATATCTTGAAAACCCTATGTCTTCTGCTTTAGACTTCAGCCTTATAAATCTGTTCCAAACTATAGTTTTGGTAATGAATTGGAAGAGAAGCTAGAAATCAGCAGTTTAATTTTCTCACTTTACAAATGAGAAAAGTGAGACCTAAAGAGGCTATGATTTGCCCCAGGGTTAACCAGCCATTAAAAAAAAAAAAAGGTTGTTTTTTTCTTTATTAATGGACCAGTTAAAACTCACATTTCTTAAAACTTAGGTCGGTACTCAATTCAGTCCCACCGTACTCAGCAACTATAAATTGACTTGTTTTCTTCATTTGTACTTGAAGTCTGACAGAGCATAGCATAACCAAGTTGTCCTTTGCTGATGTTCCTTTTATGTAAAAGCTGGAAAATGATTACTTTAAATGTGTCAAGAATAAAGATATCTTTATGGTATTCTTGGAGTCTGGGGGTGGCAGTGCCTTTCAGAAAAGGAGGGTTTTTATTACATGGAAGAGACCTATACTTTGGGCATGTCATGTAGACATGGCCTTTTGAGTTTTACTATTTACTGTCTTAATGGTTGGTACTTGGCTAAGGAAAAGATAATATCAAGTCCTTCAGGTTTAAAGGGTAGTTTCTTAATGTGCAGTCCTTAAAGATGGAACCTCTGGAATATACCTTCCCCCAGCCACTACCAGTCTCTTCTTCACTCACTCTTTTTCAGTCACATGGGCTGCCTTACTGTGTCTTGAGTCCACCAAACATACTCTCATTTCAGGTGTGCAGCACCACTTGTTTAGTTTTTTTTTTTTTTTCCAGGAACTAGATGTTCCCATGGCCAGCTTCCTCACACCCTTCAGACCCAGCTCTAGCATCGTCTTAGCAGAGAGGGCTCTGTGCCACTGCACAGTAAATAGCAACCTCCCAGTGCTGTCTAACCCCCTTCCCCTGGTGTGTTGTACCATACTATTTCTCATTTGATGTAATGTATTTTTATTTTCTTGTGTTGTTTTCCCCTCTCAACTAGAATATAAACTGTGTGAGGGCAGGGGCTGGCTCTTCTGTTTACTATAGTAGCCCTAGCATTGAGAACAGTGTTTGGCACATACTGAGTGTTCAGTGTGTGCTGAATGCATGAAGGAACATTAGAGTATTCTTTATGATACATACTTGCCTCTGAAACAAGCACAAGTGCTTGGTAGCGTCATTGGGAACCCTTTAAATCAGTGATCTCCAGTGAGCTGCTTTAGGGAAGCAGCTCACTGCTTCCCTAAAGGAAGGGGTTTGAATTTCTCTCCTTTCTCTTTAGAATTTTTATGTTTTAAGTAAAATTTAGTGGCTGTTGGAAATCTGCTTTGAGAAGCAACCTCTAATCTTTTAAAAATTTAAAAAACTCCTTATCATTCATTCATTTTGAGACTTCTCTGTTTGTGATTCATTTTAAGCAGCATGTTTACCTTTTTAATTTTTTTTCTAGATTTTTTAACCCCATTTTTGATGAACTTAAGAAAAACTAATGATTTTATCTAAGAAAAAGTACCCTATTTAATTATTCCTTTGAATTTAATGCTAATGAACATAGTATCTAATCTCTATAAAATCAGGGTATTAAACCTTTGGGGTGTTTTTTGTACCTCTTTTGAGCCTCATGGGTCAGAGACCTATGCTTATTCAAGTCAAATCCCCAGCCCCCATGCCACCTCACCCCAAATCAGACATGTGGCTTTGGCAGCTGTTTGCTTTATGTTTTATTATAGCACTCTTTAACTGTGAGAAATTAGTGCCAGTTTCTATTTTTTATGCAAATTTTTAAAAGTATGATAGGAAAATACTTGACCCACTTTGGTGCTTTCCTTGGGTTGGTAGAAATAGTATCATATGCTATATTTAGAAATGATATCTTTTTCACTCTTGTGTTTTGTGCAGAGAACTAATGTAGCTGAAGTGGAGTTATATAAATTGAGAAGTAATGTGTTCTGTTTAGAGCTATTTTTATGGTATTTGTGTAACTTAAGAATTTTTGAAATACTGTAGTGTTTTTAAATATTATCAAAGAGTAATTGAACAATCCATAAAGTACACTGAATATTTTCCTTTTTTAATTTTTTTATTTTTTATTTTATTTTATTTTATTTTATTATTATTATACTTTAAGTTTTAGGGTACATGTGCACAACGTGCAGGTTTGTTACATATGTATACATGTGTCATGTTGGTGTGCTGCACCCATTAACTCGTCATTTAGCATTAGGTATATCTCCTAATGCTATCCCTCCCCCCTCCCCCCACCCCACAACAGTCCCCAGAGTGTGATGTTCCCCTTCCTGTGTCCATGTGTTCTCATTGTTCAATTCCCACCTATGAGTGAGAACATGCGGTGTTTGGTTTTTTATCCTTGCAATAGTTTGCTGAGAATGATGGTTTCCAGTTTCATCCATGTCCCTACAAAGGACATGAACTCATCCTTTTTTATGGCTGCATAGTATTCCATGGTATATATGTGCCACATTTTCTTAATCCAGTCTATCGTTGTTGGACATTTGGGTTGGTTCCAAGTCTTTGCTATTGTGAATAGTGCCGCAGTAAACATACGTGTGCATGTGTCTTTATAGCAGCACGATTTATAATCCTTTGGGTATATACCCAGTAATGGGATGGCTGGGTCAAATGGTATTTCCAGTTCTAGATCCCTGAGGAATCGCCACACTGACTTCCACAAAGGTTGAACTAGTTTACAGTCCCACTAACAGTGTAAAAGTGTTCCTATTTCTCCACATCCTCTCCAACACCTGTTGTTTCCTGACTTTTTAATGATAGCCATTCTAACTAGTGTGAGATGGTATCTCACTGTGGTTTTGATTTGCATTTCTCTGATGGCCAGTGATGATGAGCATTTTTTCATGTGTTTTTTGGCTGCATAAATGTCTTCTTTTGAGAAGTGTCTGTTCATATCCTTCGCCCACTTGTTGATGGGGTTGTTTGTTTTTTTCTTGTAAATTTGTTTGAGTTCATTGTAGATCCTGGATATTAGCCCTTTGTCAGATGAGTAGGTTGCAAAAATTTTCTCCCATTCTGTAGGTTGCCTGTTCACTCTGATGGTAGTTTCTTTTGCTGTGCAGAAGCTCTTTAGTTTAATGAGATCCCATTTGTCAATTTTGGCTTTTGTTGCCATTGCTTTTGGTGTTTTAGACATGAAGTCCTTGCCCATGCCTATGTCCTGAATGGTATTGCCTACGTTTTCTTCTAGGGTTTTTAATGGTTTTAGGTCTATGTGAGGAGGGTTTATAGCGTTTAGGTTAGATGTGGTTACATCATCTTACAATTTAGTGACTAGGAAAGATGAGCTGAACTTTTAAGTGCTGAATTCTGTCATTTACAAACACTTTTATGGAAATATATATATATATGGACATATATTGTTTCCTGGAGTCTTTCACTTCTCAGCTTTAATGCTGTCCACTCTTACCTTCTCTTTATTTTTGTCTTTTTTGTCTTCTGTGAATTCTAAGTCTAGATTTTAAAGTGAAACTATTAGTCTTTGTTACAGCACTTCTTTCTTAGTCGTGAGCTATATGGACTTCTTACTATTTATGGATCTGATCTCCTAAGTTTTGAATTAACTTGTCTGTTTTTATCTTTTCCTAGTTTTGAGGGGTTACTATTTTGATGCTAATTTGTTTTCTATCTTTGAGGTCAGCACTGTTCTAGAAGCCTTGGCATTCTTTGATTTTTCAGATAATCTCAGTTTAAACTAAACAAGTTTGATTTTAACTCTATTGGGACAAGTTAGTGGAGGTGGAATAGGGAATTGCTGATTTTAAGTGGATATTTTAAGTTACTTGGGAAAAGAAAAAGACTTACTGGTGACTGAATGAAGTAAAACCCTAGAGAGACCCAATTTAAAATTGAAGAAATGAGATGCCCTGGGTATAGAGAGCTATCACAATTGACATTTTCTTGAGGGAAAAATAAAGAGAAAAAATTTATTTAAAAGGTTCTGGGTGTAGATTCAATGGAAATAATTGAAAATTATTAGAGTAAACTAAGTAATGAAATTCAAGCTTATATCAAGTAACAGTCTGTTTAATGTCTTTGTCTAGTCGTCTAATGTTTTTAACACTGGTATCTCCTTTTATATTAACAGATGAACACTGGGCAGCGTAGGGATGGACCTCTTGTACTTATAGGCAGTGGGCTGTCTTCAGAACAACAGAAAATGCTCAGTGAGCTTGCAGTAATTCTTAAGGCTAAAAAATATACTGAGTTTGACAGTACAGGTGAGGATTTTGAATTTTGGGAGGTGGGGTAGAAAAAATGTTAAATAGATGATCCTTTTGGAGAACTACCTTTGATAATTTACATATGTTTTAACCATTGGGAGATGGCTGTATACTTTGCATCTTGTAATACATCTAAATTTTTTTTCAGTAATAAACTACTTATAGACAACAACGTAGTTAGGAAATGTAAAGTTTAAAGGTTTGCATATATTTTAGGACAAGACAGTATTTCAGAAGAGCAAATTTGTGACTTTTGCTAGTGACAAATAAATTGTTGTGCAGTGTAATGTCATAATCCCTTAGCTGTAATTTGAAAATAAAAATTTGTGTTTGCCAATATGGCTTTAAGATATATGGTTTATGATCTGATTTTTCATATTGATGGCCAGGTTAGAGAACTAGATACTAAATAGAAGTAGTCTTACACTTAAGTGTAAAAATTGTTGCCTTTGAAGATTCAGATATAAGCTTACAAAATATAGATGAGTTATAAGAAGCAGGCCAAAGAAATACTTTGGCTTGTATCTTTCTTTCTCTTACTGCTTTTTTTGTATTTTAGTAACTCATGTTGTTGTTCCTGGTGATGCAGTTCAAAGTACCTTGAAGTGTATGCTTGGGATTCTCAATGGATGCTGGATTCTAAAATTTGAATGTAAGTGTTGGATTTGAGAGAATTAAGAAATGAATTAGACTAGTTTTGTTTTTCATGGTTATTAATGCCTGTGATTAAGGAACTTGATGTTAATTTTCTTACCTCTGGTTAGTCACTGCATTTTGGAAAAGCTTCTGGCTGGGCGTGGTGGCTCAAGCCTGTAATCCCAGCACTTTGGGAGGCCCAGGTGGGCGGATCACAAGGCCAGGAGATCGAGATCATCCTGGCTAACACGGTGAAGCCCTGTCTCTACTAAAAATACAAAAAAATTAGCCGGGCGTGGTGGCGGGCGCCTGTAGTCCCAGCTACTTGGGAGGCTAAGGCAGGAGAATGGCGTGAACCTGGGAGGTGGAGCTTGCAGTGAGCCAAGATGGTGCCACTGCACTCCAGCCTGGGCAACAGAATGAGACTCTGTCTCAAAAAAAAGAAAAAAAGAAAAAGCTTCTCATATTTATGGTGTCATTTAGATGTCCTTAGTAAATGTATATACATATGTTCTGGTTTTAAAGTCTTTTTTCCTACAATACCAACTATTTCAATGAAAAGTAAATGGAGTACATAGTATACTTTTAAGCCTAAGCGATTCATGTTACTGTTAAATGATATATTGAATTTAATAACACATGTTTTAAATATACTGCATGACATGTCTGTGAAATGAAAGCAATTTATTGCTTTTCCTTTATGATTACCTGCATAACACCCTTTTGGTCTTAGTTAATTTAATCCAGTATTTTTAGGAAGCTGTTGGGAAATTGACTGCCTTTTACTACTTTAGTTGGAGTCACTATACCAGCTATCTCAACCTCCACTGAAAATGTATACCTGTTCCCCTCTTCTTGCTGATAGTCAACCCACCATCACCTTCAGAGCTGCCTGTCACCTTCCCTGCTGTCACTCATTTACATTTCTACTTGGATTCTCTTGGGACTTAAAATGAAAAGAAAGCTCATACACGATTATTTTCTACTCCTTAATAGTTAACATATCTACTTTTGATACTATGGCTAACATAGAACAGTGGATTGACCTTTTTTTGTTTATTAATTGTTTACAAAAGATTAGTAGTTACAAAAGATTAGTGGTTACAGAGGAGGAATGTGGGGAGCAATACAGTTGCGTATCTTGATGTTAGTGGTGGCCATGTAACACAAGACTACCTGAGATAAAATTATGCAAACAAGTGCATTTATAACCAGTGAAATCAGGCCAGGCACGGTAGCTCATGCCTGTAATCTTAGCACTTTGGGCGACCGAGGCAGGCAGACCAGCCAGGCCAACATGGCAAACCCCCTTCTGTACTAAAAATAGAAAAATGAGCCAGGCGTGGTGGCACATGCCTGTAATCCCAGCCACTTGGGAGGCTGAGGCAGGAGAATCACTTGACCCCGGGAGGTGGAGGTTGCAGTGAGCCGAGATGGCGCCACTGCACTCCAGCCTGGGCAACAGAGTGAAACTCCATCTCAAAAAAAAATAAATAACTAGTGAAATCTGAATAAGCTCTATGGATCGTATTGAACTCAATTTGTTGGTATTATGTTATAGCGGTGTTAGATGTTAACATTGGACACTGAAGGAAAAGTACGTGGGACATCTCTGTACATTCCTTTGAAACTTCCTGTGACTATAATTATTTTTAAATAAGATGTTAAGAAAGAACAGTGGGTATATTTATTGAAACTCTTTATGAAGCAACTGATGGATTAAAATTAGTTTATAAAAATGGTTTTATGGCTTTGTGCTTTGAAGGTTTTATGGTAGAATGCCTGATTTATCAAGATCTTAATTATGTTATTAATTTAATCTGTAGTTAGAAGTTGATTTGGTTTGTAAAACAGTTTCCTTTCATCAATTGGTATTCATGTCATTTTCAAATACAGCTACCACTTCTTTTTTTGTGATGCTTGTCTCAACCAATGCAGTCTGATCCAGCTAAGAGGCTGTGACTAGCAATGCCACTCCATCTGTTCTCATCAATCCCTATTAATTAGTCCCTCCTAGTTATGATGAGTTTGAGAAGTATAAGTAATTGGACTAATTTGTCTCACTTAGTTTTGAACTTTCTTTTTCCTTTTAAATCTGTGAAAGTCTTATTGAGCCTCAGTGTTTAAAAAATTCATTTAAAATGGTTTCATGATTAGGGATGCTTTTGTATCAAACCTGTGCCAGAAACCTTTCCAGTGGTTATAAGGAGAAATAGATTTTCATCATAGTAAGGTCGCAGTAATAAAGAAGCCATACGAAATTTTGAATGTTAAGACATTTACCACTTAACTTTTGAGTCTAGTTCTTGTGAATATGCTGAAGTGGCATTTGGTTACATATACAGGCTACATGATTTATTTCCATAAAATATGCCTTCTTTGGGAAATGTGGGTTTTGTCACTTTAATATCTTGGCCGTGTCGTTTTTATAGAACCACTGATGGACTCGGACTAACTTAATAGTGTGCTATTTGGTGATTCTGACAGTAGTGAATAACATCCTCTAATATCAATGGTTCTTTTAGGATAAAGGATGGATGGAATCCCTTACTGAAGTTCATATCGTCATATTTTCTAATATAGAGTACAAAGAGAAACAGATTCAAAGTTTGAGATACTTCCTTTAAATAGTCACTGGGTTTACAAAAAGAAGGCAAGAACCTTCAAATAGTTCTTTCCTAATATATATTTCTCATAGTTTCTATACTGTTCTCAGTGTCAAGCATCTCAGTTTGATTCTTTGTTTGTTTTTTAAGAGATGAGGTGTCACTCAAGCAATCCTCCAGCTTCAGCCTTCTGAGTAGCTGGTACTACGGGTGCACATCACTGCACCTGGCTCAGTTTGATTTTTAAAAATGTTTCAGAGCTATTTAAAACTATTTGAAAACCATTCATATTAAAAGATGATAGGTGGACCAAAGCTTTCAAAATTAATTTTAAAGATTTATGACTTTTTAAAACTAGGTCTCATGTTTGAGTCTGTCCATTAACTTGCTGGTAGACAAAACTTCAGGATTAACTATTAGGAAACTTTCATATTAACTTTTCATGGGATTTCTCATAAACCAAATAGATTCAAGTAGAATTTTATTTGTAATTTTCTCTATAGATAATCAACACATTTTATAAACTAAACCATTTAACAAAAAGAATTATACAAAAGATTTGGATCCATTGGGTCCAAATTTAACTATGAGAAGTTTTCTGTTGAAGTGTTCTGTCTTAATTGGTTAATATCTCTTATTTTCCTACATTGTTTATACAGAGTATCTTACAGTGCCATAATTAATGAACTTAGCATGAGGATTCTGAGACTAAGCCATAATTTTACAGACCATCCAGTCTATCTTATATTTCTTTTACAGATATTTTACAGAATGATACTTATTTTATATTTTACAGAAATAGGAGCTATAGATAAGAAAAGTCCCTCCTTCAACATCAAAATGGTGAGGGAGACTCTACTTTAGTCCTAGTCTGGGTGCTAATTTCTCACAGGCCATTAGCACCACCCTCATACAAGGTTGATTTTGGCATTAAAGAGGTGATAAGAATGAAAGAATAGAAGGTATATAAATAAGTCATCTTACGAATCTCATAGAGTATGAATAAGATGAAACTGTATCCTAAAGATGCAAACTAGGCCAAGATAAAATGTTTTCTACTGACCTATTCTTTTAGTACACTGCTTTCAAAATTTTTTTGTATCTTAGCCTTTTTTTCTAAAATAAATTTAATTCTACATCTTCTTTTCTTATCTCATTATGAAGGGGAGAACAGATGGCTGTCATCTTTTCTTTAATAATCTTTCCCTCTTCCCCACTCTCATCTAAGTTTAAATAAAATTGCAGCTGTAGAAGTTGTAAAATTCCCCAGTACCTAAGGGAATTACTGAAGGAATGTGCCAGACATTTTACACTGGATTTATGTCTGTGAGATGGGGAAGGGCTAAATTGAGTGTTTTTTCATTTTTGTTTTAGCTGAGGAGAGATGGACCCTAGAAGACAATCATTACATCATCATTTAATAAATAACCTCATAATCAGGCTAACACATTAATTCTTTTCAAACAAATTCTAACAAGTTGGCTTCTTTAAATGGATACTGAGAGTACTATGGAATTTTAAAATTAAATGCAACTTTTATTCTATACAGACTTTGCTAATTATTTAAAAAAAAACATTCGTATAAATTAAGATTGATTAGGCAACTTTATGCTGACAGAAGGCTTCCACCAAAGATTGTCTAAGAATAAAAAAAAATAACATCCTTTGATCTAATAGTCCCAGTTCTGAGAATTTACCCTACGCAAGAAATACAGATGAAAGAAAAAGTATTTGCAGTGTTACTTCTAACAGCAAGAAGTAGAGAATATAACCTACATATGAAAGATTAGGAAAATTCTGAAATGCCTGAAGATACTCTCTGGAAAAAATGCATATTTTTAATATGATAAATATTAAGACTAAAAGATTATGAAAAATAGAATTGTTTAAATTTTAAACACATCAAAATTATATCTTCACTTTCAACAATATATAAATGTATGCATGCATGTGGGTAAAAAAATAATCAAAGAGCAGTAAATTGGTGGGTTACTGAAGAGGACTATTTGTTTATAACAGTTTTAAAAATAGTGTGTGCCTGTTAGATCAAATTTAAGTTCTCTAGGAATAAATTAATACGTTGAAATTTTCAAGTTGTAATAATAATTGGAAGTATTTTCACTTTTCTAACGATTAATTGGATAGGGAAGGGCTTTGGTCTTAATTAGGGAAATTAGAACCTGCATGTATTTATTCCTCCCATCTGATACAACAGGTCTTTTATACCTGTTTAATGGATACCCAGCAAATACATTTGAATATGGTGATTGTCCTAATCAGAACAGAATTTTTTACATAAAAATTTGAACTTTTAATATATGACTTCAAAAGAACACTGAGCATGAGTTTTCTAATAATTAGGAGAATTTTTGGACGTTAGACTGTGTTCGGTTTTTAACCATACCTATATAGAGACAGACAATTTTGATATTATTCATAATACAAGAGATAGACTATTTTGATATTTTGATATTATTATGCATAATACAAGGTCTTAGAATTGATACCCAAGTTTTGTCTAAGAAAAATTTATGATATAATAATATATTTTTGCAATAGAATTTAACCTGCTTCTCAATGCATTAAGTAAAATAGCAAATTACACATCTTGTAATGTGAAGAAATATATTTCTACATATAAATATGCTGATAGCCAGAATTTTTACTAAAATGTCAAAAATAAATAATTGCTAAATGATATTTATATGGAGCCAGAATTTAATGACTGTCGACAGTATTTAATGAGATATCTCAAATCTTAAATGGAAACATTTAGCCTTTATTTTATATTTTCAGCCTTTATTTCATTGTCCTTTCACTTTTCGCTATGGAAGTTTCAAATTTCAAACTCATTTCTCTGTTCTTTTACTTAAGTTTTCCAAAAATTGCAGTGATAGTATGCTACTGTTTTTTCATTTTTGTCATTGTTGTAGGCTGCCTATTGTGATGTCCCTTTTTACTAAAGTTTAGTGCTGTTATAGTTTACTCGACTAAAAAGTCTAAAATATAATCATTTGCAAAACACTTGTTTTGCTTTTACAATCTGGGTGTTGATTTTTAATAGAATCAAAGGAAATTCTTTAATTTTTATTTTACTTACATACTGTTATCTTGAGTGACACACATCCCTAATTTAAACATCTTTAGTTTAGATCTAATGACATACTGTAGTAGAACATTTGTTTTCATATAGAATAGTGATGTTTGATTCTGTATTTTAATTTTTTTTTTTTAGGATATTTTGTATTGACTAAAAGTGGTTAATTCTGATTCCCATAGCTATTTCAGTTACAAATAGCCATTAATTCCAGAATAATAACAACCCTTTTTTCCCCTCCCTCACTCTGTCACACAGGCTGGACTGCAGTGGTGCAATCATAGCTCTTTGCAGCCATGAACTCCTGGGTTCAAGTGATCCTCCTGCTTCAGCCTCCTGAGTAGCTGGAACTACAGGCACTCACCACCATGCCTGGCTAATTTTTTTTTTCTTTTTAGTTGAGGCAGAGATCTCACTTTGTTGCCCAGGCTGTTCTTGAACTCCTTGTTTCAAGCGGTCTTCCTGCTTCACCCTCCCAGAGTGCTAGCATTACAAGTGCGAGCCACCAGGTCTGGCCTAAAAATTCTTTAAAATGTGGATCTGTTTACTACTCTGGGATTTGAAGAGTGAGAAAATTCTAAGTATGGCTTTCCATGCAGAGTTAATAATCGTCTCCTCCTTTGGACATTTAACAGATCTCCATTTTGAAGTTTTCTTCCATCTTCATTGTATTCTCTCATCATTTTTGTATAACTGTGGATTCAGGAACACCCCTCCTTTTTTTAATTTCCTTGCATTTGTGTTATCTTTTTTTATTATAGGAAATGTAAGCTTAATATAAAACCATGACCATCATCAGTGGTCCATGCAGCTAAAACAGAAATATACATCTACTGATGTATATGCTTTTATGAGGTAGGAGGAGAGAGTGGTTATTAGCAATTTAGAATAAAAAAATACCTTCTGTACAGTACAAGTTTCTTTATAGAAAAGTGTTGTAGCCCTGGAATTCATAAGCGTCATTATTATGCAAAAATTCCAGGCTTTGCTAAGGTAGACAGAGCTACCTTAATGACTTTGGGTTAATCAGTACTTTAGAAATGGGGCTGCTTACCTATATGTAAAAAATTAATAAGATCTCAGGAAAAAAGGAAAGCTTACATGAAATGGAGAACATGATCAGGAATACACCTGGGCTAAAAGAATCTCTAGTTGTAATAGCTAAGTAGTTCATCCGTTTGTTTCTGCGAAGTGATAGCTTCAGTCAAAACCTTCAACTATAAAGGAACATATGAAAAGTAACAAAGATGAAATAAAGCATACATTTTATAAGGTTAGTGGCTTGACACATTTTCAAGTATGTATCATTCTGGCATATGCAAAAGTTATGTTTACGTAAACTTACTCATGCAAGGTAATTTTAGTAAGGAAATTATTAGCCAAGAAAGCTAACTAAAATGTGGTCTTATATTTGTATTTTTGCTTTTTTTTTCTTCAAAAGGAAGTAGAAGAGTTCATCTTTCTACTAAACTGATGGAATAATTATGGACTTTATTAACTGTTTATTACAAATATAAAATAGTTTAAATCTTAAAATGTAACTGTGTTTTAAATGGAAAATAGGTTAAGAATTCTTGCTGCAGATTGCTTAACTTTTATTCAGTAAATAAAACCTTAAAATGTTAGTCATTATTTAGGCTTGGGTTAATTAAGTAATGTTTGGCTGGTAGATTCTTCCAGTGCATTGATAATGTATCACCATTTGAATTGCTGAAAGTTTATTTTAAAGCATTTCATTCTTATTTACTTTTCAGTAAATCAACTCAATTGATTTGTCTTAAAAAAAGGTTCAGTAGGAAGTTGATATGAATTTGTAACTGTGGTATTGTCTCCGGAGTAGGTCATCATTCTGAAACTCACAGTTTCAGATAACAAGTTAGACAGTGGCAACCTTAGCATGTCGGATTGAGTAAGCACATTGATCCAACTAAAAATAAAGATGAACAAAAAAACTTGATCTGTGACATGGAGGATATTTCAGTTCTCATCTCAGTTATGTCACTGAGAAAGCCACTTAAATCTCTTGGGACTTAAGTTTCCTTATCTATAAAAGAGGTTGATTAGACAAAGCATCAAAAGTTTCAAATCGGCAGGCTGAGGACTCTGAGGGCTGAAGGAAATACAGTGTCTGGTTTTGTCTAACATAATTAATTTTTATATATTTAGGCATGATGTTTGTTACAGTCTCCATAGCTTCCTACCACCTCACACCAGGTTCTTCACACATTTATGTAATCTACCTGGCTTTTGTAGGCATTTGAGTCGCAATCCTTGAAGTAGTTGTCACTCCCAGCTTTGAAAAAATTCTAGAGATTTTCTATGCTATAACAGCAACTTTAACAAAACACTTTGCCACCCTTCAAATGTAGTTGTAGACCTGGAAACATCCTTTCTTTTCAGGAAAAGAAAAAGAGCTACTTTCATTCTTCCTTAGTTAGTCTTAGGTGACACAGGATTCTGCAAATTGTTGCTTGGAGTAAAAGCATATTAGAGAAATGTATTTGTTTAACTCAATCATTGTAACTAGAGCATTGGATTTGCTTTACTTTACAGAAACTTACTACATAACTCCCATGAAACAGAATATTTAATGAATTAAGACTTACACTGGCTCCTTCTCATGGAAGTACCATGCTGCTCTGTTGGTATCTGCCATCTCATTTTTTTGATGCCATACTTACTGGACTGTAGTATCTATTAAGGTTAAATTCTGTTGATTGACTAATGCCAGCATGTTTTCAGGAGGAATAGATGCCATTTTAATGTGTTTCTTGTAAATAATCAGTCAAATAAACCCATAAAATGGAGAAGCAGCTGGCACAAGCACAGCCTACTTAATTCTGCAATTAGACATTAGCCATTCATTCGATACAGTAGATATCATAAGAATGTTCAGTCCTTGGCTTTCTGTGCCACCATATGCAGTTAAAGATACAATTATGAATACTCTGTAAGTACCATTGGGAAGGAGATTTGGGAAGGGGAATACCTGCTTACGTAATGAGGAAAATAAAAAAATCACATATAAAATAGTGAATTTGAGTTAACCATTTCACTGGATTCCTGATGGTTTTTTATTTGATTTTTAATATAGAAACAATATATGACATAATTCCAGCACACTGGCAGTGCTTCTAGTATGGTATTTTGACCCAGTCAAGAATTTTGAGTCTCATTTTCAATGTATAATAAAATTAATATTTATATTACCTTTATTAGAAAGGTTTTTAATTCAGTGAGTGGTTATTAAAATTTATGCCTTTTTTAGAGTATAATTTTTATTATATGTAAACAATTTTCAAAGCACATTTATGATAATTTAAAATTATAAGATTCGGAAATTCAGCTTAGCAACCTTGGGTGAATATGACTTTCATATTAAAAAAATGGGGGAGAGAGATCTGAGAGCCAAATAAAACACAGATAAAACTAACAAATTAAGATTGACATGATGGGTAATCATAGACGTCCTGAGTGTGAGTGTTGAATTTGAATTTGCATTAATGACCCAATTCAGGAAAGACTCAGCGTCTTGACAAACCTCTGCTTTTGGAGAGATGGAGTATTCAGTTGTTAGTCTTCTGACCTTTTTATAATAAACAACATCTTAGAACACTCAATTTAAGCAGCTTTTAAGCATTTGACATATTCACATCATGCTAAGATAATACCCAAGGTTTATCTTGTGTACCACTAAGTTATATTTCAGTGTGAAATACACAGCCTTTAGAAAACTAAGCAGATTTAGGTTCAAATTCCCATTCTGCCACTTAATGGCTGCATTCAGCTTTAAGCAAGTTGACTTCTTAGCATTTCAGTTCCCTCCCCTGAATTGGAAGTAATAAACAGTAAATCCTCATTGTTTGTGGATTCTGTGTTTGTGAGTTTTCTTACTTGCTAAAATTTTTCTTGTAATCCCCAAATCAATACTCACAGTGCTTTTGTAGACATGTACAGAGTAGTGAAGAACTTTAGTTGACAAACAAGTGTGTCCCCAGCTGAGGTCAAACAAGGTGATACTTTACCTCCTCTTTTCAGCTCTCACGCTGTAAACAAGTGGCCCTTTCACAGTCTGTTGATGCCATGTTTTTTGCATTTTTGTGTTTTTGTTGCTGATTTTATTATTTAAAATGGCCTCATAATACAGTGCTGAAGTGCTGTTTTGTGAGTCTAAGCTCAAGAAGATGGTGATGTGCCTTTCAGGGAAAATATTAAATACTGTGTAGGATAAGCTTTGTTAAGGCCTTAATTGTAGTACTGCTGGCCCTAAGTTTAATCTTAATGAGTCAACAGTATACAATAAATAATGTGTATAAACAGAAACATACATAAAACAAAGTTAAGTATTGATCAGTTGATGGAAATGCTGGAGCCACAGGCCCACAGAAATGTAACCCTGTATTTCCTTTAACAGCAGTGTTTCATTATTCACTAATCGGTGTTCATAGCATCTTTATAGAACATAACTACTGTAGATAATGAGCATTGACTATACTACTCTTGCTGGATTTGGGGAAGGATACAAGTACTTTTGGTAGCTGTTATCACAGTAATTTTGATCAGGATCTTTTCTTAGAACAAACAGTTGTGTCCTTGGTCATTTAAAGTTAGAAAAGTAAAAAGAAAACAGAATAGAATAAATTGGTATTTTAAGAATTTTCTTTTTCTCCTTTGACCAGAAAATATTGGTGTGTGATTTTTAGCATTGGATTGGTTAGGCCTTATGATTTATGAGTATTTTATTCTAGATTGTGGAAAAATTAAAGTTTTCAGAGCACTGCACAATGTACACGTTCAATCTATAGTAAAGTATTTTGCTCATTGGATGAATATTAGGTAACATAGCATTCATAGTTTTTATAAAATGATACTGCTCTCATGGTTCTCTATTAATTTATAAGAAGAGAGTTCTGTCTGATAGTATTTACAGGTGTAAAATAAACTTATATACAATCAAATAAATTCTACTCAGGTTCTACTCAATTTAAACCCAGAGAAGTAACAATGGAACAACTTATTCCATATTTTCTTAATGATGTTCTACTTTTTCTTTCCATATTTAATATTGTGATTTCGTATTTGTTTAACAAGAGCTATAAATGGCTAAAACTCTGGCTGTGTATTATTTCCTGCTTTATTAGTATTTTTGAATACCACTTCACTAATACATGTAAATCATTAATACTTCCAGCATATTTTTTTAATATTTAAAATATATTGGTCCTCCATTATTTTCAGAAACAACTTTGCATTCAAACATTTTATTCAAAAAACCTATTATCTTTGCTTTTAACATTGAAATACATGCAAAATATAAAAGAATATTTTATTATCTTTCTGGCAAGCAAATCTGCTCCCACATTTGTTATTCTTTGAAAGGTTAGCCATTTTAAGTAGGAAAAGAGGGAAAAGCTGAATCTGAAAAACGAATCTTCTCATGTTTGTCTATGTATAAGCTATTAACCTTTTTTCTTTCACTGACTTTGTAACAGAAGTTTACGTAATGTGAAGTTCTTAGGATTTCTGGACAAGAGTAGGGAGTTTTCTTGTTATTAGATATACCATGATTGAGATTATCTCAGTGGCATCCTTAATATCTTTAAAACATGGATGTAATTTTAAATGTGCTTGAAAAATTAAATTTGATAGTGGATTGCTTGTTGACAGAGGAAAATAAAGCAATAAAATTTCATTTAAAATTAAGCACTCTGAGATAGAGCATACAATATTAATGAAAGTTCAGGATTAGATTATTGAAATAAAGTGACAGGAAACAGCAGGAATTTTCTTCTTAGGGAAGAGATTATGACTTCTCTTGTACATGATAGGTGTTTAACACAGTTTGAGCATTCCTAATCTGAAAATCCAAAATGCTGTAAAATACTAAACTATTTGAGTGCCAGCACAACACACACGACCTAACATGATGGCTCACAGTCTAAACGCAGACACAACTTTATGCACAAAATTATTAAAGATAGTATATAAAATTATCTTCATATATGCTTTATCTGTATAAAGCGTATATGAAACATAAATGAATTTCTTTTTTAGACTTGGGTCTTGTTGCCAAGATATACCTAATTATGTACGTGCAAATATTCCAAAATCCAAAACAAAATTGAATTTTAAAACACTTGTGGTTTCAAACACTTCAGATAAGGGATACTTGGCCTATAAATATGATATAGGAAGAGCGCCGAAGTGGAAGTCTGTTGCTTTAGGAAGTGGTTCACTTTAACTTTGCTATTAGTGATCTTAGCAAGTCACTTTATGTTTCTGCACTTGACTGTGCAGATCTTTAAAACAAGAAGGTAGGACTAGCTCTTCAGGGTCTTTTCTACCTCGTAAGTTATTTGATTCTAGGTATTTTCAAAATTCAAGTTACAAGATTAGAATAAATAAAACATTTTATAAAGAGGACTCAAACACATTTTTTTTCCCTCAGAAAGTACCAGTTTTTTCAGTTCTGTCGCTTACTCCAAATTCTGCAGATGTGGCTCCTGGAAACAGTTGAAGTTTTGTTATTGTGTCAGTGTGGGGTAATAAAGAAGAAAGTTTAAAACCGATTATGCCATAAAGTCTGAGTTAGTCTAAAGTGGACCATTACTCACTCTTGGAAAACATTGCATTTCTTTTTCTTCTCCAGTATAAGTTTTTGCTCTCAAGATAATCATTATAGGTCAGCAAGGTGTGGTGGTTCACGCCTGTAATCCCAGCACTTTGGGAGGCTGAGGTGTGCAGATCACGAGGTCAGGAGATCGAGACCATCCTGGCTAACGCGATGAAAGCCTGTCTCTACTAAAAGTACAAAAAATTAGCCAGACATGGTGGCGGGCGCCTGTAGTCCCAGCTACTTGGGAGGCTGAGGCAGGAGAAAGGTGTGAACCCAGGAGGCGGAGCTTGCAGTGAGCCGAGATTGCGCCACTGCGCCCCAACCTGGGTGACAGTGCAAGACTCTGTCTCAGAAAAAAAAAAAAAAGAAAAAAAAATCATCATAGGTCAAAAGACATTTTACTCATACACAACTGAATCTTAATTTATATTAGATGCAATCGCAGGACAGTTCTGGGTAGCAGATTAACTGTTGGTTCTTAGCCACCCTTTAGTCAAGAAAGGAGCCCTTTTGCAGGCATATGCAGTTTACATGCCGAGTAGTGGTTCTGCTCCTGTGTTGGAATCAATTTACTGTTGAAGTAAGTAGGGATCAGCTGGACAAAACTTTATCACTAGCATTTTTCAAGAGGTTTCCAAAACACTGTAGTATATCCAACATATATGTCTAATCCTCAATATAAAGTATATGTTTATGCAGCCATAGATTTTTTTCTGATCATTTTAAGCCATTAGATATCAAGTGATAACAGGATGTAACAGTTTGATATTCAAAACTATGTGTAACTCTGAACTCTTACAGGTGCTATATAATTACTTATTTTTATTGATGTGGATACAATCTGTCAATGCTGTGTCCATAGTGAATTTTTAAAAACTTTTGTTCCTTTATGTTAACAACACTAGACAGTGAAGGGGATACCTGAGTTATTGTTCCAACTTTCCCGATACCCTCTGCTATTAAACTCCTGTTCTATGGGAAAGTGTATGAAATTCTGAAGAACGCATAGGTGAATAATATATGGTTCCTACCCTCAGTGATAAAATGAAGTATTGAGCAAAACAACCTCAAAGACAAATAGGAAATTGTATGGAGGGTTTGTTTTTATGATGAAGATAATTCATTGTAGTATCTAGTTTTTAGAATGCTTCTTGCATTTTATCCACAGAAGCCCGGTGAAAAACATTGTTTTCATTTTTTATTTCCATAGGCAAGGAAGCTTCCAGAACAAGTAATTGGGATAGCCAAGTCCTTCAACTGCAAATCTCAAATTTAGTTTAGTTATATGCCATCAGAACAGAAGCATGATAAATATATATACATGCCATCAGTTCCCTCGCTTGGTGGTAAACAGGCATTATCCAAGATGTTGTCTCTAGCTGAAGCTGACCATGTCCTTCATGATTGGTCCTGGGAATCCCAAGGGTTCCTTTCATTTCTAGAGCCTAGCGAGACAATTGGTACTGGCTGCCAGCCAGTGGCCCTACTTAGGGATTCCCCACCCAGGTGCCAAGCAGTGGAATGACTCTAAACAGTGCCAGGCTGAGCTGTCTCTATTGCTTTTGCTTTTTAACCTGAAGCTGTGAACAGACTTACTCAAGCCATCAAAAGAATGCTTTTTTTTTTCCTGCAAAGCCCAATCAAATCATCTCTAGACTAGCAACCTCAGTTGTGTACCTGTCACATGCCAAACCTATCCCAAGCTCTGCTTGTTTATTTTAGGAAGCGCTGTTGAACCCCTGTTGTGTGGCTAGCTGAGCTTGGTGCTGTAGACTAAAGCACATTCCTTCATGTCAAATCACTTACAGTTTAACAGACGATTAGACATATAACTGTCAAAATGAGCAGTATAGATGGTAAGTGCTCAGTTTAGGTTATTGTGTCATGGACTTTTTATTCACCTTAATTTTGGGTAATTGCTATGAGTGGAAATGTAGACTTTTATTTTTGTCTTTGAAATAGTATCCTGGCTTAGGTTTTTCAGAAAGGAGATTAAAATTACAGTTAGTGTTCAGTACTAACTTATGGCTTAATCCTCCAAAGAAAGAGTTTTTTAAAATATTTTCTTTATATGGGAAAACCAGTTGTATTACATTTTGTTTTGGCATAAGTAAGATTTCTGTTTGCATTTTAGAATAATACTTAAAAACTGCCATGAAGAAGAAAAACCACTTAGGTAAATTGCTTGATTTTAATGAGAGAGATATAGTGCTCACTTGATACTTAGTTTGCTTTAATTCTTGTGTTTTTGTCAGGGGTAAAAGCATGTCTACGAAGAAAAGTATGTGAACAGGAAGAAAAGTATGAAATTCCTGAAGGTCCACGCAGAAGCAGGCTCAACAGAGAACAGCTGGTATTTTTCTTTTAATACAACTTTCATTGTTCTTATTATGACATACTATTATTATCACCATCAGGAAGAACTTCTGCCCTTTCAACAGCTACAGGTGACTGATTAAAATTTTAATTGTGCTTATTTCAAGCACTTGATTCTGAAAGATGATCACGATGAGCAGTAAAATCCAGAAGGTAATAATTTCATACTGTTAATGGATTTTTGGCATCTTGAACATTGCCATAAACCTTTCAGAATCTGAGGTAAATCTCAGATACAGGAAGTAGCTTGAAAGAAGACTTACAGCTGCTGCTTGGATTTAGTTACCATATGTCTCTATGGCCACATATTGTAGCTTTAATGGATAATATCGCATTATCCTGTTGATATTATATAAGTATATTAGAAGTCACAAAGAAAATTTCCATAGAAGGGAATTATGAAACTTTTTTTATTTCCAACGAGCATACGGAAGTATGTTTCATAGCTAATTGGATCCCTAGCCTCAGCACAAAAATCTTTTGTGCCCCGTGAATACATTTCTGGAACCCTGGAGGGCACACCCCCATGGTGGCTGCCCTGGAGACCTTAGGTTGGTAATATGTAAGGACCTGAATGTGGATGGGCAGAATTGGATAAAAGTCCACGGAAAAGATGTTACTCTTGTAATTTAATAATGTTTAGCCTGGTGTCTCTGAAGCCTATTTCAAATAAGCTAGGAGTTGTGGAGGCTTTAAGTCCCACCAAATAAGCATAAACATCCTGATGAAAAAAGTTTGATGAATAGTTTGTTTTTTTCTTTATACCAAGCATATCTAAAATTTTAGAAGAGTGAAAAGGAACCGAGATGGTGACTGAATCTTAGGGAAAAAATTGTAAATAGGAAGCCCCTATTTGCCTAAGTATTTTTCTTGATCCAGTTAGTATGCTTGAAATATAACTTGTCCCAGCACCTCATTAAGTAGCTTCTTAGCTGCTCATAATTGTTACAGATGGAGCATTCCTAATCCAACATCTAAAATGCTCCAAAATCCAAAACTTTTTGAGCTTTGACATGATGCCACAAGTGGAAAATTCCACACCTGACCTCATGTGACAGGTCACGGTCAGAACACAGTCAAAATTTTGTTTCATGCACAAAATTACTGAAGATATTGTATAAAATTACTTCAGGCTATGTGCATAAGGTGTACAAGAAACAAACGAATTTTGTGTTTAGGCTTGAGCCTCATCCTTAAGATACCTCATGTATATGCAAATTTTCCAAAACCCAAAAAATTTATGAATCTGAAATGCTTCTCCTCCAAATGTTTCAGGTAAGGGATATTCAACTTGTATTTTTATTTTCCTCATTCATATACAGTGTTTTTGAATACAGTATTTTGATCTGCCTTTAACAAATGTTTTCTCATTATTTCAGTTGCCAAAGCTGTTTGATGGATGCTACTTCTATTTGTGGGGAACCTTCAAACACCATCCAAAGGACAACCTTATTAAGCTCGTCACTGCAGGTGGGGGCCAGATCCTCAGTAGAAAGCCCAAGCCAGACAGTGACGTGACTCAGACCATCAATACAGTCGCATACCATGCGAGACCCGATTCTGATCAGCGCTTCTGCACACAGTATATCATCTATGAAGATTTGTGTAATTATCACCCAGAGAGGGTTCGGCAGGGCAAAGTCTGGAAGGCTCCTTCGAGCTGGTTTATAGACTGTGTGATGTCCTTTGAGTTGCTTCCTCTTGACAGCTGAATATTATACCAGATGAACATTTCAAATTGAATTTGCACGGTTTGTGAGAGCCCAGTCATTGTACTGTTTTTAATGTTCACATTTTTACAAATAGGTAGAGTCATTCATATTTGTCTTTGAATCAAAAAAAAAAAAAAAGTCTAATGCCAGATTAGGAATTCATGTTATGTTTACCATTTAGAAGCTGGGATTGCTTTTAAAGGTTTTTCTTTTTAAAATTGGCATGTTTTTGATTTATCATGTCTTTCTATTCAGATTATTGGGTATCAAAGATTAATGAGGACACCAGAATCTTGGTTAAATAGACAAGTGGTATCATTACTGTTTGAGTCTTTTAATATTCTCCATACCTGCCACCAGTGAAAAAACTTGCCTTTTTTTTTTTTTTTTTTTTAGTAAACAGAATATTATCAAACAATTTATTTTGGCTTTATTGAAAAAAGAGTATTTGGTCTAAATGTGCCACCATAGGTGTTAAATTCTCCTATCTGCAATTGTCTTTATCCTATATTGTGTTCATTTCTTTTCTTAATAATTTACTTTGTTGTGTGTTTCTACACTTTCATCCCTGTTTTTTATCTTGTATATCATCAGGAAATTGTGATTTAATCATTAACATTGGTTTTTTTGTGTGTGTGGTAAAAATCAACACTAGGCTCATGGTACATATTTTTATTCTGTACATTTGCTTGTAACTATCAATTTGTAACTCTGTTTATCTACTACATGTGTATATATACTTAGAGCATTTTCTCTAACACATTTTAATGTTAGTATTTTTTAAAAGGTCTGACCAGTCTAGCAAATTGTCAGTCCAACGTCATTACTTTAAATTAAGAAGCAGTCTTCTTCTGGTAAACCTTGTTGGTATTTGTAAAATAATTTTGAAGGTCTTAATTTCTTCCTTTGTAAAAGGAAAAGGTTTTTTTTAAAGTTTTTAGGTTGGCATGGAGGCAGAAGTTGGTGATTACTTGATTTACAACAGATTTTTTCCAGATCATACAAAAGGCCATACAGTAAGTATAGAAGTAGGTATGGGGAGGGCTTACTAATATCAAATAGGCAAGGCCTTAGTGAGTGGGCAGGATACCACCTGAGAGTGGCCAGATGTGGGGAGGTTACTCTGCTCTGGGTGCTCTCATTCATGAATCGACAAGGATACATTAGATTATTTTGAAACATTTTTTTAAGAAGCAGAATTCTTTAATAATTCCTTCCTAGACATTGAATATACTTATAAAATTAAAGACTTGGGGAAGGAGACACTGAGAGACTTGCCAGTTTGGTTCCTCATGAACAAAAGAGGACAGTTTGATAACTACCAGAATAGAATATCCCTAGTTTTAAAATAGTGAGAATCTCTGAAGTTCATCAACATCTTAAGATGCACTTACTTGAAAGTTTGAGATTCTGTTTATCATTTGAAAACACATTTTGCTTTAATTCTTTCTTTGACATGTTGTTTTTTCATATCAAGAAATATATGAACAAAATAATAACCTTTTGACCCTGACCTTGCTGGGTGAATTAGCTCTGAAACACTCTCTACAACCAGTAATGCATTTGTCCCACATTTCATTCTGATAGAAAATGAACACCATAGCACCAAACAAAAATCCGAGGCGTTAGATAATGTCTGGATTAAATAATTTAAGACTCTCTAGGATTTTGGTTGTCATTTTTTATTTATAACAGACTTTAAGTCACTTTCTGTTGCCTCATAGGTCACATTTTAGACAGGTTTGTGTCTGTTCCTTGCATCTGAATTCCTGATTGTAAAGACACCTATGAGGTCTCTTAGTTTTTGTCATTCATTTTCTTGGTTTATCACCCCTCCCTTCTTTTTGTTGTTTTTCCCTGACTGTTAAGCAGTTTCATCTTTGCTTTTGTTAAATATTTGACAGCAGTTAGTTTGTGTTAAGCTCTTGAAACTTGTGATTGTACTTTCTGTGTAGATATACATGTAATTATTTTTTATTTTTCAATCATAGATTCAAGCTTCCTTCTTTTTTACCACAAATCATTAAAGTTATTTGTGTTTCCATATACCTGTGTCTTGTATAAAATTGGCTTATTCTGTGCTGTTGAATGAGGCTCAACATGACTTGGTGAGGAAGTCTATTAACTAACAAAAGCTTATCTTTTTTAACATAATGCTTTTTAATTAATTTTGAATAAAAATATTTCTAAAGTGTACTAGATACTTTATTACCTTAGATTATTCCGAATACAGTATAACTTTGATAGTTTGGAATAGTCATTAAGAAACAATTACACACTGATTGCTTTGTGTCTCTAAAAGTGAGAGGCTGGTAGCTTTTCCACATTCTCATGGCTATTTTCTAGTTCTACTTGAATTTATAACTGTTTCCCTTTTTCCTTGACAGCTGCCACTTTGTAGCTATTTTTCTGTCTCTGCTAATACTTTACCATATCTATCTCAATTGTTTTTTCTTTTGACTTGCTGAAAAATAGAAACCAGATGGGAAGTATATTAGCATTATGATTGAAATAAGGGTAAATGAGCAATGTGTGAAGGTTTTCACTGACTTCACCTAAAAGATAGTTTAGCTACTTGAATTTTAGTAAATAGAATTTTTCCTTTATTTCATCGGTCCCCCCACCTTTTTTTTTTTTTGCACCTGCCTTGTAAATTTAATAGTTAAGTGACCTCTGCCTAGAGGATGATATTTGGGGAGGTTTGATGTTTCCTGTGGGAATAAGACGATTCACAGGTGAGAGTGGGGCCACATTAGCTGTTATTGTTTCCATGGGTCAGTGTGGAAAATGCATTAATCATATTCTAAACGTTCATGGGCCTCATTACAGTCACAATTGTCTATTCTGTTTCCTACCCTGAACACATTAAAATGGTAGGAACTAATGCTTGTCTTATTTAATTACTAAAAGCCACCATTTTCTTTGATAGATTGAGCTACAGATTGTAAACTTCATGTATTTCTTTATAAGTCAACCCTTTTCAAAGATACGCACATCAAACTGAATGAATAAATAAATATTGAGAAGTTGTCTTCGTTTAAGAGCTGTAATTTTTTTTTTTTTAGTCAACTAATAGTCTTATGCCTGGCTAATTAAGCTGCAGACATTCTTATGAATTAGGGATTGTTGATTATTTGTGTAGCTTTCTAAGGCACAAGGTGCACTTTCTGATACCTGTAAGTTTCTATTAGAATGGTGATGTGAGAGAAGTGGGAAAAGCATGTTCTTTGACTAGGCTTAAAGGGTTAATGACTAATACTCCAGCCCCAGGGAGGATCCTGAATCGGCTTTGAAGTTAGACATGGGTTTGTTAACAATCTAACCTGTATCATCAGTGATAAAGGGGGGGAATACAGTTCATTTCACCTGAGTATAAAGATGTGTGAAAGTGCTTAGCACACTGTAGGCATTCACAACTCGCCTTCCAGGACCCCTGTGAGCAAGCTCATGAAAAAGTGACTGTTGGTAGCACAGCTTGTGTCAGTCCTGAGTATCCTGGCTCTTGTATCCCATGCACAAGACTGCTGGGTGTCCTCCTGTATTCACTTTACTGGTTTTAGCCTGAACAACAACCAGAGCCAGGCCCTAGTTTCTTATTTCTGACTTCTCACCATCCCATCTGCACTGGTAAAGTTTGCCCATCTATGTAGCCACTCCTGCTCATTTAACTAAAATGTTTAGCTTTCATCCCCTCAGTGTATTTACTGTGGATACCAAGATTGCTTAAGCCTCCACACAGAAGTGGGGCACCTTGGACAGCACTGGCAAAGCTTCTACAGTTACCATAATATCATAAACCCTTCCGCCACCTCCACTTGAGGCCTAAAACAAGGATGTTTATCTTTTCTGCCTTAGTTCATAGTTTGTGAGACTCATATTTTCATTAATACCACTAATTTGTCAAAACACACCTTATTTGCCTGCTGTGTAAGATAATGTAACCTAAAAATAAAGGTCTTTTTCTGAATCTTACTACTGTAAATGTTTGAGCTTTTAAACAAATCTGTTTACAAAAATATTACATAGTTCAGAAATACAAAAAGAATTTCTGCAGAATACAAAAGCACAAGGAAGAAAACAGGCACAAAATCCAGGGACCGTTAAACTGACAAACTATTTTGTGTGGCCTTCATAGTGTTAAAAGTACATCAAATGCTGTTGACAGGGGACATGAGCTTCCATTCACCACATCCTCACCACTTGTCTCTCACCCCTTACATTTATTCTTTTAGTTGGGCCTTGGAAACATTGACTTAATCCACAACTCAGGAACAACAACTATTAACATTCTTGTCTTTTTCTTTCCCCATAAGTTATTGGGGTACAGGTGGTATTGGGTTACATGAGTAAATTAGTTGTGATTTGTGAGATTTTGGTGCACCCATCACCCGAGCAGTGTACACTGCACCATATTTGTAGTCTTTATCCTTCGCCCCCCTCCCACTCTTCCTCCCAAGTCTCCAAAGTCCATTGTATTATTCTTATGCCTTTGCATCTTCATAGTTTAGCTTCCACATATCAATGAGAACATACTGTGTTTGGTTTTCCATTCCTGAGTTACTTCACTTAGAATAATAGTCTCCAATGTCATCCAGGTCGCTGCAAATGCTCTTCATTCATTGCTTTTTATGGCTGCATAGTATTGCATCACACACACACACACACACACACACACACACACACACACACACGTATATGTATATATACACACACCACAGTTTATCCACTCATTGACTGATGAGCATTTGGGTTGGTTCCATGATTCTGCAATTGTGAATTGTGCTGCTATAAACATGGGTGTGCGAGTATGTTTTTCCAGTAATGACTTATTTTCCTCTGGGTAGATACCCAGTAGTGGGATTGCTGGATCAAATGGTAGTTCTACTTTTAGTTCTTTAAGGAATCTTCACTGTTTTCCATAGTGGCTATACTAGTTTGCCTTCCCACCAGCAGTGTAGAAGTGTTCCCTGTTCACTGCATGCATGCCAACATCTGTTTTTTGATTGTTTAATTATGACCATTCTTGCAGGAGCAAGGTGGTATCACATTGTGGTTTTGATTTGCTGATCATTTCTGATGTTGAGCATTTTTTCATATGTTTGTTGGCCATTTGTGTATCTTCTTTTGAGAATTGTCTATTCATGTCCTTAGTTCACTTTTTGATGGGATTTTTTTTCTTACTGATATGAGTTCATTGTAAATTCTGGATATTAGTCCTTGTCAGATGTACAGATTATGACGATTTTCTCCCGTGCTGTGGGATGTCCATTTACTCTGCTGACTGTTCCTTTTGCCATGTAAAAGCTCTTTAGTTTAATTAGGTCCTAGCTATTTATCTTTGTTTTTATTGCATTTGCTTTTGGGTTCTTGGTCATGAAATCCTTGCCTAAGCCAGTGTCTAGAATGGGTTTTCCAATGTTATCTTCTAGAATTAGTATAGTTTCAGGCCCTAGGTTTAAGTCCTTAATCCATCTTGAGTTCATTTTTGTATAAAGTGAAGAGATGAGGATCCAGTTTCAATCTGCTACATGTAGCTAGCCAATTATCCCAGCACCATTTGTTGAAAAGGGTGTCCTTTCCCCACTTTATGTTTTTGTTTGCTGTGTCTAAGATCAGTTGGCTGTAAGTATTTGGGTTTATTGCTGGGTTCCCTATTCTGTTCCATTGGTCTATGTGTCTCTTTTTATACCAGTACCTGTTTTGGTGACTATGGCCTTATAGTATAGTTTGAAATCAGGTAGTGTGATGGCCTCCAGATTTGTTCCTTTTGCTTAGTCTTGTTTTGGCTATGTGGGCTCTTTTTTGGTTCCATATGAATTTTAGGATTATTTTTTCTAATTCTGTGAAGAATGATGATGGTTTTTTTTAAATTTAATTTTATTATTATTATACTTTAAGTTTTAGGGTACATGTGCACAATGTGCAGGTTAGTTACATATGTATACATGTGCCATGCTGGTGTGCTGCACTCATTAACTCGTCATTTCCATTAACTTGTCATTTAGCATTAGGTATATCTCCTAATGCTATCCCTCCCCGCTCCCCCCACCCCACAACAGTCCCCAGAGTGTAATGTTCCCCTTCCTGTGTCCATGTGTTCTCATTGTTAATTCCCACCTATGAGTGAGAACATGCGGTGTTTGGTTTTTTGTCCTTGCGATAGTTTACTGAGAATGATGATTTCCAATTTCATCCATGTCCCTACAAAGGACATGGACTCATCATTTTTTATGGCTGCATAGTATTCCATGGTGTATATGTGCCACATTTTCTTAATCCAGTCTATCAATGTTGGACATTTGGGTTGGTTCCAAGTCTTTGCTATTGTGAATAGTGCCGCAATAAACATACGTATGCATGTGTCTTTATAGCAGCATGATTTATAGTCCTTTGGGTATATACCCAGTAATGGGATGGCTGGGTCAAATGGTATTTCTAGTTCTAAATCCCTGAGGAATCACCACACTGACTTCCACAGTGGTTTTTTGATGCAGATTGCATTGAATTTATAGATTGCTTTTGGCAGTATGGTCATTTTCACAATATTGATTCTACCCATCCATGAGCATGGGCTGCATTTCCATTTGTTCGTGTCGTCTGATTTCTTTCAGCAGTGTTTTGTAGTTTTCCTTGTAGAAGTCTTTTGACTCCTTGGTTAGGTATATTCTTAAGTGTTTTATTTTTTTTCAGCTATTGTAAAAGGGGTTGAGTTCTTGATTTGCTTCTCCGCTTGGTCGCAGTTGGTGTATAGAAGAGCTACTGATTTGTGTGCATTAATCTTGTATCCAGAAACTTTGCTGAATTCTTTTATCAGTTCTAGGAGCTTTCTGGAGGAGTCTTTAGGGTTTTCAAGGTAAATGATCATATCGTCAGCAAACAGTGACAGTGTAACTTCCTCTTTGCTGATTTGGATGCTCTTTATTTCTTTCTCTTGTCTGATTGCTCAGGCTAGGACTTCCAGTACTCTGTTGAAGAGCAGTGGTGAGAGTAGGCACCCTTGTCTTGTTCCAGTTCTCAGAGGGAATGCTTTCAACTTTTCCCCATTCAGTATTATGTTTGCTGTTACATTAAGCTGTGTCCCTTGTATGCCATTTTTGCTGAGAGTTTTAATCATAAAGGGATGTTGAATTTTGTTGAGTGCTTTTTCTGCATCTCTTGAGATGATCATGTGTTTTTTGTTCTTAATTCTGTTTATGTGGTGTATCACATTTATCATGACTTGCATATGTTAAACCATCCCTGCATCCCTGGTGTGAAACCTGCTTGATCATGGTGGATTATCTTTTTGATAAGTTGTTGGATTTGGTTAGCTAGTATTTTGTTAAGGATTTTAGTATATGTGTTCATCAAGGATACCCGTCTGTAGTTCTCTTTTTTGGTTATGTCCTTTGCTGGTTTTGGTATTAGGGTGATGTTGGCTTATGGAATGAATTAGGGAGGATTCCTTCTTTCTCTATCTTGTGGAATAGTGTCAAAAGGATTGGTACCAATTCTTTGAATGGTAGAATTCTGCTGAAAATCCATCTTGTCCTGGACTTTTTTTTGTTGGTAATTTTTAAATTACCATTTCAGTCTTGCTGCTTGTTATTGGTCTGTTCAGGATATCTAATTCTTCCCGATTTAAGCTAGGAGGGTTGTATTTTTCCAGGAACCTCTCCATCCCTTCTAGGCTTTCTAGTTTATGTGTGTAAAGGTGTTAGTAGCCTTCCATGATCTTTTGTGTTTCATGATGTCAGTTGTATTATCTCCTGTTTCGTTTCTTAGTGAGGTTATTTGGATTTTCTCTCTTCTTTTCTTGGTTAATTTTGCTAATGGTCTATCAACTTTATTTATCGTTTCAAAAAACCAGCTTTTTGTTTTTTGTATCTATCTTTTGTATTTTTTGTTTTGTTTCAATTTCATTTAGTTCTTCTCTGATCTTGCTCATTTCCTTTCTTCTGCTGGGTTTGGGTTTGATTTGTTCTTATTTCTCTAATTCCTTGAGCTGTGACCTTAGAATATCAGTTTTTGCTCTTTCAGTCTTTTTGATGTAGGCAGTTAGGGCTATGAACTTTCCTCTTAGCACTGTCTTTGCTGTATTCCAGAGGTTTTGTTAGGGTGTGTCATTACTGTCATTCAGTTTCAAGAATTTTTAAATTTCCATCTTGATTTTGTTTTTGACCCGATGCTCTTTCAGGAGCAGGTTATTTAATTTCCATGTATTTGCATGGTTTTAAAGGTTCCTTTTGGAGTTCATTTCCAGTTTTATTCCAGTGTGGTCTGAGAGAGTGCTTGATATAATTTCAATTTTCTTAAATTTATTGAGGCTCATTTTATGGCCTGTCATATGGTCTATCTTGGAGAAAATTCCAGGCACTGTTGAATAGAATGTGTATTCTGCGGTTGTTGGATGAAATGTTCTGTATATATCTGTTAAGTCCATTTGTTCCAAGGTATAGTTTAAATCCATTGTTTCTTTTTTGACTTTCTGTCTTGATGACCTGTCTAGTGCTGTCAGTGGAATATTGAAGTCCCCACTATTATTGTGTTGCTGTCTATCTCATTTCTTAGGTCTGTTAGTGATTGTTTTATAAATTTGGGAGCTTCAATGTTAGGTGCTTATATGTTTAGGACTGTGATATTTTCCTGCTGGACAAGGCCTTTTACCATTATATAATGTCCCTCTTTGTCTCTTTTAGATGCTGTTGCTTTAACATTTGTTTTGTCTGATATAAGAATAACTACCCCTGCTCGCTTTTGGTGTCCATTTGCATGAAGTGCCTTTTTCCACCCCTTTACTTTTAAGTTTCTATGAGTCCTTATGTGTTAGGTGAGTCTCAGCAGCAGATAGATGGTTGGTGAGTTCTTATCCATTCTGTGGTTCTTTTAAGTGGAGCATTTAGGTCTTTTACAGTCAATGTTAGTATTGAAATGTGAAGTACCATTGCATTCATCATGCTCTTTGTTGCCTGTACACATTGTTTTTTTTTGGTTGTTTTTTGTATTTGCTTTTTAATTTGTATTTTGTTTTGTAAGTCCTGTGTGATTTATGCTTTAAAGAGGTTCTGTTTTGCTGTGTTTCAAGGATTTGTTTCAAGATTTAGAGCTCCTTTTAGCAGTTCTTGTAGTGGTGGCTTGGTAATGGCGAATTCTCTCAGTATTTGTCTGTCTGAAAAAGACTGTATCTTTCCTTCATGTATGATGCTTAGTTCCACTGGATAGAAAATACTTGGCTAATAATTGTTTTGTTTGAGGAGGCTGAAGATAGGGCCTCAATCCCTTCTAGCTTGTAGTGTTTTTGCTGAGAAATCTGCTGTTAATCTGATAGATTTTCCTTTAAAGGTTACCTGGTGCTTCTGTCTCACAGCTCTTAAGATTCTTTCCTTGTGTTAACTTTGGATAACCTGATGGCAGTGTGCCTAGGCAAAGATCTTTTTGCAATGATTTTCCCAGGTATTCTTTGTGCTTCTTGTATTTGCATGTATAGGTCTCTTGCAAGGCCAGGGAAGTTCTCCTCGATTATTCCCCCATATATGTTTTCCAAGCTTTTAGAATTCTCTTCTTCTTTAGAAACACTGATTATTCTTAGCTTTTGTCATTTAACATAATCCCAGACTTCTTGAAGGCTTTATTCATATTTTCTTTTTTTTTTTTTTTTTTTGAGACGGAGTCTCGCTCTGTCGCCCAGGCCGGACTGCGGACTGCAGTGGCGCAATCTCGGCTCACTGCAAGCTCCGCTTCCCGGGTTCACGCCATTCTCCTGCCTCAGCCTCCCGAGTAGCTGGGACTACAGGCGCCCGCCACCGCGCCCGGCTAATTTTTTTGTATTTTTAGTAGAGACGGGGTTTCACCTTGTTAGCCAGGATGGTCTCGATCTCCTGACCTCATGATCCACCCGCCTCGGCCTCCCAAAGTGCTGGGATTACAGGCGTGAGCCACCGCGCCCGGCCCATATTTTCTTATTCTTTTTCCTTTGTCTTTGTTGGATTGGGTTAATTCGAAGAGCTTGTCTTCGAGCTCTGAATTTCTTCCTTCTACTTGTTCAGTCTTATTGCTGACTTTCGAGAGCATTTCACATTTCTAAAAGTGTCCAATGTTTCCTGAATTTTTTATTTTTTCTTAAGCTATCTATTTCCTTGAATAGTTCTCCCTCCACTTATTGTATCATTTTTTTGATTTCCTTGCATTGGGCTTTGCCTTTCTCTTGTCCCTCCCTGATTAGTGTAATAACTAACCTCCTAAATTCTTTTTCAGGTAAATCAGAGATTTCTTCTTAGTTTGGATCCCTGGCTGGTGAACTAGTGTGATTTTTTGGGGGAGTGTTGAAGAGCCTTACTTTGTCATATTACCAGGGTTGCTTTACTGTTTCCTTCTCATTTGGGTAGGCTCTGTCAGAGGGAAGGTCTAGGGCTGAAGGCTGCTGTTCAGATTTTTTTGTCCCATGGAGTGTTCCCTTGATGTAGTACTCTCCACCTTTTCCTGTGGATATGTCTTCCTGTTGAGAGATGAAGCTAGCTGGACTTCCTGGGTTGAGTGGAGACTTGGAGAACTTTTCTGTCTAGCTAGAGGATTGTAAACGCACCAATCAGCATTCTGTGTCTAGCTAAAGGATTGTAAATGCACCAGTCAGCACTCTGTGTCTAGCTGAAGGATTCTAAATGTACCAATCAGCACTCTGTAAAAAAGCACCAATCAGCGCTCTGTGTCTAGCTAAAGGATTGTAAATGCATCAGTCAGCTCTCTGTAAAAACGCACCAATCAATGCTCTGTGCCTAGCTAAAGGATTGTAAATGCACAAATCAGCACTCTGTAAAATGGACCAATCAGCAGGATGTGGGCAGGGACAAATAAGGGAATAAAAGCTGGCCACCCCAGCCAGCAGCAGCAACCCGCTTGGGTCCCTTTCCACGCTGTGGAAGCTTTGTTCTTTCGCTCTTCACAATAAATCTTGCTGCTGCTCACTCTTTGGGTCCATGCCAACTTTAAGAGCTTTAACACTCACCATGAAGGTCCACAGCTTCATTCTTCAAGTCAGTGAGACCAAGAACCTACCAGAAGGAACCAACTCCTGACACACTGTGAGCCGAGCTGCAGTGATTGTTGTCTCTCTTCTGGGTCTAGCCACCCAGCAAGTCTACCTGGCTCCAGGTTGGTACTGGGGGCTGTCTGCACAGAGACCTGTGATATGAACAGTCTATGTATGGGTCTCTCTACCTTGGATACCAGTGCCTTTCCCTGTGGAGGTGGCGGATGGGAGGAGGGCAGTGTGTGCAATAGACTCCTTGAGGGTTCTTAGCATTGGTGGTTTAATGCTCTATTTTTGAGCTGGTTGGCTTCCTGCCGGGAGGTGGCACTTTCCAGAGAGCATCAGCTGTGGTAATGTGTGGGTGAAACAGTGGTGGGCGGGGCCCTAAAACTCCCAAGATTGTGTGCCCTTTGTTTTCTGCTACCAGGGTGGGTAGGACCATCCGGTGTTTGAGCTCAGACTCTCCTTGGGCAAGTCTTGCTGCGGCTGGGGATGGGGATGAGATTCCCATGTCACTGGGAATCGTATACCTAGGAGTTATATACCTAGGAGGATCATAGCTGCCTCTCCTGAGTCATGCAGGTTGTCCGGGAAGTGGGGGAAAGCTGGCAGTCACAGGCCTCACCCAGCTCCCACGCAAATCGAAAGTCCGGTCTCACTCCCACTGTGTCCCCCGATGAACAGCCCTGAGTCTGTTTCCAGGTGGAGGGCTAGACAGGCCTGAAAATCTGCCCCAGGCTACCCGCCTCCCAGCTGGGAAAGAAAAGGGTTTGGTTCTATCCCCACCTGTGGCATCTGCACACCAGATTTGCACCCTCCCCCAAGTTCTGGCCAGGAGGTTTCTCACCCTGTTCAAATTTTTACAACGTTCTGCTGGAGATTTCCTTCTCCCTGTGGAGTTTTAGCCCCTGCTTCTCTGGCTGCCTTCGGTATGGATCCCTGTTTTAGCCAGGCAGGAATGGGCTGTTTGGGGACCCAGTGAGCTCCCAGGGTCTTTCTGCTGCTTCCTCTACCCCTGTATTTCACTTGGCCATCCAAATTGACTCAGCTCCAAGTAAAGTCGGTAACTTCTCCCACAAACAGACTTCCAGCTTCTCCAGTGGGGGTGTGTGTTCAGGAGAGGAGGGTCTCCCTTTCCCACTTCCGCAGCTGGGGCACTCACAGTATTTGGGGTGTCTCCGGGTCCTGCAGGAGCAGTTCTCTTCCTTCCGAGGGTCTGTGGGTCTTCTCGGGATTGCTGGTTTGTTCTTGCAGTCAACCTGGAGCTAAAATTCATGATGTGAGCCCCTGCATGCTGCTCTGTCCAGAGCTGCAACGTAGTCCTGCCTCCCGCCCGCCATGAAGATCCGAGAATTTGTTTTCCTTTTTAGGGAAATAGGATTCTGAATCTTTTTTTTCCCGCCTATTTAAGCACACCTATATAGGTTTTATAACTAAGGCATTAAACTCTGTGTATGCTTTTATTTTCCATGTTTTTCCTCGTAATTAAGTATTCTTATACACAATTTCAAAAAGTGTAGTATCCTATCAACAAGATGTATCATGATTTATTTAACTGAATCCCTGGTGTTGAATATTTGGATTCTTTCTATTATAGAAACAATTACTATATTATTATCTTTTTTTTTTTTTTTTTTTTTTTTTGAGAAGGAGTCTCACTCTCACCCAGGCTGGAGTGCAGTGGTTCGATGGCTCACTGCATGCAGCCTCCGCCTCCCGGGTTCAAGCGATTCTCCTGCCTCAGCCTCCCAAGTAGTTGGGATTACAGGCACTTGCCACCATGCCCAGCTGACTTTTGTATTCTTAGTAGAGACAGTGTTTCACCATGTTGGCCAGGATGGTCTTGAGTATTATTATCTTTATAATAAATTTGGAGTGGGAGGGGACAAAGTTTCTTTAAAAGGTCACGCTAAGTTGGTATCCATGGCTACCATCTCTGCAGAATGTGGTGCATAGCCTACATATTTAAATTATAACCTGTAGTTACACCTAAAATACAAAAATTAGAAAAGGAGCCTTAACTGACTGCTGTGATTCTCATGAGTTGGTGAAACTTTACCTGTGTGACTAAAAACACCTTATGGGTTAAAAACTAACCATAAAAAGAAAAAAGAGAAACAATCTGCTTTTTGGTAGAGACCTCAGAGATTATCTTGCTTGTGAGAAGTTATTTTGTTAAGATGAGGAAACTGGTCCAGAGAACTCACTAGTGACTCACCCAAGATCATTCTACTCACAAATGGCAGGACCTACAACAAATGCCTGTGTTTTTTCTCTATCCCATACTACCCCCTGGGGCACCTGTGTCTTTAAGGCTATTAAAGCATTTGCTGTTATGCTTTAATAGAGCCTTTGATCTGATATCTACCGAATGAACTTACTGGACTGTTCTAGGACAACCATAAGGGAAGACTGTCTGTCCCACACTTGGGGCAACCCCACCTCTACCTCAGCAGACATTACTAATCACTGTACTTTGTTTCTGAGACTGCAAAGGATCTTGAGATCTTTCTCAATTTTTGTTTCAGACAACCACATCTAATTAGTCAAGTTGGTTTATCAGCTGGAATACATTTACCATTTCTAAACTAAGCCATGCTTAAAAACTCAAGTAATTTTTAAGTGTATGTGTGTGTTGCTTTCCTCTGCAGCAGACTAGAAGTACGTAATTTTCCAGTTAATGATATTCCAGTCAGTAACTGTGGCTCAGTACAAGTGATTTTCAACTGGGAGGCTACGCCCTCCTAGTCGAGGATAGAAGGGGTAAAAACAAACGAAAAAACACCATCAAAGGGTAAGAGAAAGAGAGTGGAAAGAAGGAATGTGGTTCAAAAAAATTCTCTAGGCGATTTTTATGCCTGCATTTGCCACAGTTTCAAGTCACTACTGCTTTAGCACCACTTGTTGCTGGAATTTACTTGTGACATCATCACACCATTCAGAAATTGTATTTTTGATTTTAGCACCTATTGTGATGTGAGAAGTATGTATGTATGTGTGTGTATGTGTGTTTGACTAACTCTAACTATATATTACGTATGCAGTGTGTCTGATTACCCATCACACACATTTCTAAAGCTAAGGGATGTAGAATAAGATGATGTGCCTTAAAGACATTACCATCCTCTTTGTAGTAATTCTTTCCTTTTTTCTATAAGTGCTGAAATTTTGGCATCTGGTAGTAAATTCAGATTAATTTTCTGGGCTGTAGAACTAAGGATTAACACTTATGGCATTTATATTAAAATAAAATTAGTACATTCTGAAAAATAAATGAAGTCTGTTGAGTTTTTTGGTTTTGTTGTTATTGTTGTTGTTAGACAGGGTCTTGCTGTCACCCAGGCTAGAGTGGAGTGGCACGATCACAGCCCACCACAGCCTCAAACTCCTAGTCTCAAGCAATCCTCCTGCCTCAGCTTCCCAAGTACCTGGGACTACAGGTGCATGCCACCATGCCCAGCTAACTTTTGTATTTTTTGTAGAGCTGGAATCTCATGTGTTGCTCAGACTAGTCTCAAACTCTTGGCCTCAAGCAATCCTTCCATCTCAGCCTCACAAAGTGTTGGGGTTACGGGTGTGAGCCACTGGGCCTGGCCGAGATATTATTTTTCTATTGACCTTTCTTTTGCAGATATGTAACAGAAAGTACAAAGACTAGGCATTTGACTTTTTCAGTGAGTATCCTCTTACTTAAACTGCTATGCAAAGATTCACTTGCAGTGATATATATGCATTTTATCCTTTTCCTTCCTAAAGATCTGGCTTTACATTTTAAGAGGGTGAGAAAGAATCTGATACTAATTAACCCAGTAATTTGTACTATGTTGATTCATTGACTATGAGGACCTACTGGGTATCAGACTGTGTTGCTCACCTGGAGGAACAAAGGTGAATAAGATATAGCCCCAGTCCTCAATGGGCTTACTACACTCTAGTAGAAGAGCCAAACGAATAAACAGATGATTGCACAGGTATTGTTTTTGGCAAGGCAGGCCCCTACTTTTCCTGTCCAAGAGAAACATCATGTTGGAGACCTTCTTGCTAGCGGGTATTGCTGTGTTTCAACAAAGTCTACCTTGCTACACATGACTCACTTGTTAAAAGAACCAAATCAGTGTTTGCTCTGGATATAATCAGGTATTTTTTGGCAAGGTATCTAGGATTTATCTTAGGATCGGATGAGTTAATATTCACCTTATGTACTAAACATTGTTTGATTCCTCTTGAGTGGTACTTCTAGTCTTTTGCAGAAGAGAATGGCATTTTATCAATATTTTATTAGCCGTTTTTTTTTTTTTTTTAAATTAGGAATTCAAGTCAGAAACAGGAAACGCAGTTTGCTGAAACCATGAATGGGAAATGGTTTTTTTGCCGTCCGTATTTAATTTGCTAAGTTAGCAAATTTAATCTGAAGATAATTTAAACAGTAGTTAAATCTATCCAGATTTATTTCATCTACCTTTCTAAAAAAATGTGTCTTTTTAATATTCATGCTGGTTTTCTATGAAGTCAGATGTAGTCTTTAGAAAGGGTTTTTTTGTTTTTTTTGTTTGTTTGTTTTGTTTTTGGCTGGGCGGTAGCTCACACCTGTAATCCCAGCACTTTGGGAGGTTGAGGCAGGCAGATCTTGAGGTCAGGAGATCAGGACCATCCTGGCTAACATGATGAAATCCCATCTCTACTAAAGATACAAAAAATTAGCCAGACATGGTGATGCATGCCTGTAGTCCCAGCTACTCAGGAGGCTGAGGCAGGAGAATCCCTTGAACCTGGGAGGCGGAGGTTGCAGGGAGCCAAGATCACGCCACTACCCTCCAGCCTGGGTGACAGAGGGAGACTCTGTCTCAAAGAAAAAAAAGGGAGGGTGGTTGTTTATGTCAGAGAGATTTTTAAAACTGATTATTGGCATTTAAAATCTTTTTATTTTGTAGCAATTTGTGCATGTAGTTTAAAAATTCAAATATTGCTAGAAGATTTAGACTAAAATGCATGCCTTCTCTAGCTCTCTCAACTTCTGCCCAGAAACACTTAGTACTCCTGTAACAGTTTTCGGTATTTTACCTTCTACTTAGTAAATATGTCTGTATTGCATTTTCTTGACTCATTCATTTTAAGCATCTATTGATTCCCTGTTGGAGTAGATGATGATTTTGGCACTCAGATTCCTTCTGTCTCCCTCTCCCCATCTTCCTAGTGGGTAATTTAAATCTCTTTCTGGGGTTTTCACCACAATGACTATGGAAATATTCATTGCTCTTCCAAGTCATTTGCAATAATTGCACTTTTGTAAACTTTGTTTTTCTTCATTTTTTATTAGTTTTTAAAATTTGTCTAAATTTTTGAACTCATATCTAAATCTTCCATGGCTTTGATATTTCTAAAAAGTCTCACAGTCTTACAATACATTTTTTTCTGCAAGACAAACCTATTCAGGCAGTAGATGAATAGTTTCATTTTTTTTTCCTGGAAATACTTCTCCTGGCACCCCCATGCCTTCCCACTCCCATCTGGACTGGCTGCCAGTGAGACCTGCCACCTCACCTTCATCCGGGGACTCCCCTTCTTTCCCAATTGCTGGGAACCCTGTTGCTTTTCTTCTCTATTGGATTCGCTGTTTTCTGCTTTACATGTATATTTTGATGGAGTGTATCAGTTGGTTTGTAAGAAAGAATACAATCAATAAATATTTTGTCTGGAAAAGGTTTTCATTTGGCCATCACACCTGACTGTCTGACTTGGCAATTATAAGGTGGCAGTTGTTTTCTCTTAGTGGGGTTTTGAGGGGTAAATCAGCTTCTTCCTTATGGTCTATGTTCCCAATGCTGGCACTTGGGTTTGACCGTACCTCCACCTAAGTCATTTTCACTCATCATATGTTGTATTGAGAGTTACATCAGGTTGTTCATCATGTTATTTTACCGTGGTTTTCAGGCAGAGAAAGGGACAGTCAATGGGAACAACACCTTTAGCATCCATACCCATTCTTCTGAAAACCAGAAACTCGTTCTATCTATCTATCTGTATAAAATGGTGCATTGGATTACATTTGCCATTTGAAAATAATTGGCATAGACTTGTTTAAAATGGTGTAACCTGGCCCTTTGAAAGGAATAGTTGATAAAATAAGGCAACTTGGTCATTTGAGGCTTGGGACAAACTTGCAGACAAAACTTAGTAAGCATTTTCCTTTCCAAAGGAGACCTGGGCTCATGAATGATCACTGTAAATGACTAGTCATCCCCTGCCCAAATGGCTACTGATTTATCCGTAGTATTCTATACCAAAAAAACTGTACATTGATAGTTAATCTTTTTAGCAGCAAGTCTTTGTAATGTTTCCTGGCCGGACACTCTCTTTTTGGTAATGCTATAGAGATGTATAAAAATCTTGGTATTATAACCCAAAAGTAAAGGCAGTATTCATAGGAAATCTGCTAAAATGCAAATGTAAGCCATGTAGGTGTAGAGGGGGTAATGGGGATTTTTTAAAAGGCATAAGAAGAATATACTCTTAAAAGCCATGTTAATTATGATACAAAAATATAAGGCTATCAATTGATGATTATCAATTAGACATTTGGGGGGAGCGGATATCAAGTAGAAATCCAACCAATTTCCTATGACCATAGTCGAAAGAGGAAGAAAGAACAAACAAATGGAAGTATATATAATAATTGCTTTATGTCTTTTTATGTTATTCTATAATTTCTTAAGAATTGACAGGTAAGCTATTTTGCTTCACTGAAAGATAAGCTTGTGGTTTTGTGGTTTTTTCATCTGCAAGAAAATACAGCTATTCAATTTTCATTATATCTGTGCATTGTGGGAATTAGAGACAATAAACCATTTATCCTTCTTTGAGTAGTAAATAATCTATAGAAATATTATACTCAGGTGGTTACCTCTGGGGAATATTTTAAATATTATAATATTTGAAGGAAAAGAATTCATGTAACAAAAAAAAGGAATTTAAGAGTTTGCTGTCCTCAATGGGATCATGCCTACTAAAATCTTCAGCATGTGCTTAGTGTCAGGAAACAGTGAAATAAAATATCAATCCTGAGCCATTTCCTTCTCTTGTTTTGAAGCTTTTCCAAAATTTTGTTTCTTTATAAATCTTTTGCATTTGTAGGTGGTCATCAGGATTACTAAAGATAACAGCCTGCTTCAGTTGTCTTCTTATTTTAAATATTATATCACATGTAAGCTAAAAGGCTATAGAATTGGAGCTCAAAGTTTTTTTTCTCCCTTGATTATTAGATTTTCCTTTTGTCTCCATCTTAAATTTGGGTGTTTTCTTCTTGCTTTTAATAGGGTCTTCCCTCATAGAAGGGTTTCTGCCTTCATCCCTGTCTTAGCATCTTGAACAGAAGTCTCATCACATTGTCTTTGGCTTACCATTATTATTTTTCTGCTGGTGCTGGACTTCCATTCACCCCATACCACCATTCTCCTGCCTTGCTATGTATTTTTACCCCTTACTGACCCTTCAGTGGCATTCAGTCTTAAAATCTCTGAGCTTAGATGCTCTCTGGTTATTTTCCAGCTTTGTCGTCTCACAGGAAAAAAAAATGTTCTGCAGAATTCTTGGAATTGCCTATTTTATAAGCCATCAGAAGTTCATCCACTTCAATGAATGCAACACGACTTTTTTTTTTCCATTTGCCCTTTACATTATTAGCTTGTTTTCTTTCTCTCTTCTCCCCTCCTTGCCCCCAGAATTTGGCTTTTACTTCAACATTCACTCACTGTCACTATCAAAAAGTTAGGAAAATTTTTATTTCCAGTTAGTGTTGAAAGTAAATGGCCCTTTGGCTTTTATTAGTAAAGCAACTGTGCTCTAATTTGTATAAACTCCTTAAAGCTAGTACTGTATAGTAATCATAGATAGCAACGAATGCTTTCTTGTTGCCTGCCTAGTATGAATAGACACTGTTTTCATTCTTTTATATGTATTAAATAATTCTCACAACAGCCTTAATTTTCTTATTAGTGTTTTTGTCCCATTTTAAAGATGAGAGTTTAAGTAACTTATCTCTCAGGGTTATGCAGGTAGTCCTCGTCTTGCTGAGAGTTGAGCCCAGATTGTCTGACTCAAGAGCCCAAACTGTTGACTGCCACTTTATCCTTCCACAACAATTTTGAACCTAGATGTGGTTAGGAAAGAGTCTGCCACAAAGAATCAGCCCCTGATCTTCCTGAAGCAACATCTAACGAGAACTAACTATGAAAGGCAGTGTCAGAGGCCACACACCATAGTGTTTAATACTGGGCTAACTTTGTTAGAAAAATTAACTTGCATGATTGTGACAAGCAGCTTCACATCTTATAGTCAGTCTCCTCATCTGTAAAATGGGGAAAGTGATATTTCGAAGGGCTATGAAGATGAAATGGGAACCTATAAAGTGCTTGGTGTAAGGAGGGCAATAAATACTTGGTGTATCTCAGATCAGTCGCATGGATCTGAAAGTCAGCAGCCTAAAGCAGGTAGGGGATTGTTTTTCTCTTCTGTAACATGAAGTCTAGAGGCTAGGGCAGTGGCTCCCATTTTCTACCTTGTATCATTGTTACATGGTGTCCACTGAAACTCTGACCATCACGTCATTTGAGACTGAGAGGCAGACAAAAGAGCCCACTAGTTCTGTCAGCCACACCCAAAAACTACTTTCTATATCTTATTGGCTAGAAAGGCACATGATCACTAACATCAAAGTGTTGACTCTAACAACAAGAAATGTGACTATTAGTGAGAAAGAAGGTGTGTGTGTGTGTGTGTGTTTACATGGTGATTATATGTGTGTATTATATACCAAAGAAGGAGCAGAAAGAACAAACACAAAATGGGGAAAAAGAGAAGGGCCTACCACCAGTAGCAATCCTAAGCAGCTAATAAAGGCTGGAGGGAGAATGAGATGTTCCTGCTACACACATTAAAATATGTTTAAGACAGGAAAATATGAGCTAGGCCCTTTCAAAAGAATGGCATGCAAATATATAAAAGAAGGTCACGTTCAGGTCTTAAGAAGTTACCTTAATTGGTTAGACAGAGTGATAACAAAGCCTCTGTATTGGGCTTGGACTCTGCAGGTACTAATTACCTGCCCCCTTACCCTTTGAGGGTAAGTCCAGACAATAATTTGTATTTTTTGTTTTTCTCAACCTCAACAGTGCTTTTCCACTCCCAGGGGAAAAGCAAACCAAAACTATAGAACACTCACTTAATAGAAAATGGCTGATCGCATCATTTCCTCTCTAAAAGACAAGAGTTAGTATATGGTGATGGGCTGACATAGTTGGCTTGTAGTGTGGGAGCCATCATAGGGGGCCCATTTGTCATCAGCCCGCTGCACACTGGCGTGACCCTTTCACTTCACAGGTCTCCTTAACCCTGAGTTGATCTGGTGAATTACTTGGCATTTCACCTGCAAATGGTTGATTTCATTAGCTTTATTGATCTGCAGTGGAAAATAAAGACTTTCAATGCTCAGACTCCATTGTTCAGACCAAGTATATAATCAAAGGTTAATTTAACCTTGAATGCATGATTGGAGTACATTTAGATAGATAGCATTTTGGTATCATTTTGTTTGGCAAAGTTGAATTCATGTGAGGACATATGCAGATACAGTTATTCCAAGCACATTTCTAAGGTTGAGATAAACAAGAAAATGGCAACTCTAAGAACAAGGTAATTTTTTAATGATACTGAGTTTCATTTGAAAAATCCAGTTGTCAATATTTAATATGTAAGATGGTAAACAATATATAAATGGAGTTTTTAATAACTGTGTAATTGTAAAATTAATGGATTTTAAAAAAAGAATCTTCAGGAGTTCTGATGGAAGACAAATGAAACAGAAATATAACCATGAAGGATAGTGTCCAGGTTCACTGCTAAGAGTAGATATCTTATAATGTTCAGGTGAATGGACTGGATGAAAAATATAACTATGATTTTCCCCCATCTGCTTTAAAATATGAAAGTAATGTGATTTTAATATGCCCGAATTTAAGAGAGGAGAGTGGCCTGGATTCAACGGGTTTTTTGTGAGGTTTTTTTTTTTTTTTTTTTTTTTTTTTTTTTTTTTTTGCTTCTGTGCCTCTGGTCTGATAAAGTTCATTTTTGCCATTTCACAAGATAGGACATTTCAGAGAAGATTCTTGCTTCTTAAGTTAAATGTACTAGTGACAAAAGAATGTAGAAAGGAGGCAAAAATTTCTATCTGGTGCAAAAGAACATTCAAAAATTTGGAGAACTATTTAAATGCTGGGTTGCCTTTCAATTGTACCAAAAGTTGTCTACATCTGTACCACCCTGAATGTGCCTGATCTTGTCTGAATTGTACCAAAAGTTCCTCACTAAGCCTTTAATGTTGCAGGTTTAAGAGTCATTACTGCCCTTGGAGGAAGATAGGCATTTGTGTCCTGCAGTTAACAGTTGAGCCAGTTTCACTGTGGCTTTGATTGACTTTGCTGGCTTCAGCTGCTGGGTCTTTGCCATTATAAAGATAAGAGCTGACGCAATCATGCAGAGGCTCTTGATATTTATGTAGATGTACTTTCTGTGGCTGAAGAATTCTACTTTACCTAATTTCAAATCGCTGTTAGGCATGATTGGACCAGTACAATGTTTCTCAATTTCTTGGAGACTTGCTGCATATTACTGTCACATAAAAATCAAGGATTTTTAAATTAAATCTCTATCTCCTAATAATGAGATCTGTGACTGCCACTCATATCAGAGCACACTCCCACATTCATTACTTGAGATGTCAAACATTTTTGTCTCTATCAGGATAAATTCAGGTATTTCTGAAACAGGGTTGAAATGTAACATTTTGCCAAATATTTATGTGTATTCTTTACATTAAGAACATAGCATTGGAAACATTAAAAAAAAAAAGGATTCCTCTTGCCTTGTATTTCATTGCCAACAATGGTGACTGCAATCAGAATTTAGTCAGCGATATTTTTGATTTTTGAAGCAGAATAGCATGTATTTTGCTCTTCTGTAGTAATATTGGTTCTGCAGGGCAGATGGCAGTAAAATATTTATTTTTCTGAGTAAACTAAGCAGACATGAATCAGAAGACACATGGGAAGGAAATAAATGTTCTTCTGAGACACTGTTTTGCAAAGGCTCTTTTTGACAATAACCACACTTTATATCTCTGTCCTTTACAATATTCTGTAATTTCTAATACACCATAAAATAAATTTATACTTTCCTTTTAAAGACAGCAGTTGAGGTTCTGCTATCAATCCCTCAAGTTAAAGTATATTGTGTGATCGGAAGCAGAGTGATATAGCAGCAAGTGCATTAGCTGTAGGTTTTGGAAGTTCTGGATTGAGTCCCCACTGGGTCATTTACTGTCAACTTGAACAAGGCTTTTTAGAGTCTCATTTTCTTGACTTATATTACAAAAATAATAATCTTTAACCATCTTGTGGGGTTACTTTGAACATCAAATAAGATAATACCTGTATAAATTATTAGGTCCTCCATGGACATGCAGGATTATAATTTAGGACATTTTTGACACCGAACTATCCATTATTCAGAGCTTTTCTACCTAAGGACGAAAAAGCTGATGGATGTACTTGACCAGGCAAACAGTTTTTGGCTGTCATGAGAAACAGGAAGAATTTTTGACTTAAAATAAATCTGACATCTTAGAGGTGAGTAGCATCTTCAGAAACTCCCTAGTTCTGAGATGTAGACTTGCAATAATTATAATATTACTGTCAGAATATTTACAACCTATCTAAATTTTAAAATATTTTAACACTTTTTATTAGATACATAAGTATACATATTTATGGGGTTCATGTGACATTTTGATAAATGCACACAATGCATGATTAAATCAGAGTATTTGGGATATTCAGTCCTCAAATATTCATCATTTCTTTGTGTTGGGAACATTTAAAATCTTATTTTCTAGCTATTTTGAAATATACAATACATTATTGTTAACTGTATATCACCCTACCATGCTATCAAACACTAGAATTTATTTCTTCTATTTAATCATATGTTTGTACCCATTAACCAACCTCTCTTTACACCCCTACCCCACTTCCCAGCCTCTGGTAATCGTCATTCTACTCTCTACATCTGTGAGTTTCACTTTTTTAGCTCTCACATGTAAGAGCATGTGATATTTTTCTCTCTGTGCCTGGATTATTTCACTTAACATAATAACCTCCAGTTTCATCTGTGCTGCTGAAAATGACAGTATTTCATTCTTATTTGTGGCTGAATAGTATTCCATTTTGTATACATACCACATGTTCTTTATCCATTCATCCATTGATGGACACTTTGGTTGATTCCATATCTTGGCTATCATATGAATAATGCTGCAATATACATGGAGGTTCAGGTATCCTTTGATATCCTGATTTCCTTTCATTTGGGTAAATACACAGTAGTGGGATTGCTAGATCATATGGTAGTACCATTTTTAGTTTATAGAGAAAACTCCATACTGTTTTCCATAAGGGCAATAATAATTTACACCCCCACCAACAGTATATAAGAGTTCCTTTTTCTCCACATCTTCACCAGCATTTATTTTTTGTCGTTTTGATAATAGCCATTGTAACTGGGGTGAGATGATACCTCACTGTGGTTTTGATTTGTATTTCCCTGGTAAGTGATGTTGAGCATTTTTCCACCTATCTATTGGTCATTACTATGCCTCTTTTGGAAAATGTCTATTTAGATCCTTTGCCTAGTTTTTAATGAGATTAGCTGAGTTTTTGCTGTTGAGTTGTTTGAGTTTCTGGTATATTCTGGATACTAGCTCCTTGTCAGATGAATAGTTTGCAAATTTTTTCTCACGTTCTACAGGTTCACTTTCTTGATTGCTTTGCTGTGCAGAAGCTTTTTAGTTTAATATAGTCTCATTTGTCTATTTCTGTTATTGTTGCCTGTGCTTTTGAAGTCCTAGCCATAAAATCTTTGATGAGACAAATGTCCTGGAGTGTTTTCTTCTACTAATTTTGCAGTTTCAGATCTTACTCTTAAGGCTTTAATCCTTTTTGATATGGTGGGAGATAAGGGTCTAGTTTTATTGTTCTGCAAATTGATACCCAGTTTTCTCATCACTGTTTTCTGAAGAGGAGGTCTTTTCCACATTGTATGTTCTTGGTGCCTTTGTTGAAAATCAGTTGGCTGTAAATATGTTGATTTATTTCTAGGTTCTCTATTCCATTCCATTGGTCTATATGTCTGTTTTTATACCAATACCATGCTACTTTGATTACTATAGTTTTGTGGTATATTTTTAAGTCAGGTAGTGTGATGCCTCCAGCTTTTTAATTTTTGCTCAGTATTTCTTTGGCCAGTTATGGTTCTTTGTGGTTGCATAAAAATTTTAGGATTTTTTTTCTAGTTTTTTGAAGAATGCCATTGGTATTTTGATAGGGTTTGCATTGAATCTGTAGATTGCTTTGGGTAGTACTGTCATTTCAATATTAATTATTGTAATCCAGGAGCATAGGGTATCATTCCTTTGTGTTCTCTTCAATTTCTTTCATCAATGATTTATAGTTTTCATTGTACAGGTCTTTCACATCCTTAGTAAAATTTATTCCTAGGTATTTTGTGGGGTTTTTTTTGTAGTTATTATCATTGGGATTGCTTTCTTGATTTCTTTTTATGCTAGTTTGTTATTGGTGTATAGGGATGCTACTGATTTTTATATGTTGATTTTGTATCCTACAACTTTACTGAATTCATTTATCAGTTCTAAAAGTTTTCTGGTGGAGTCTTTAGTTTTTTTAATATATAAAATCATGTTGTCTGCAAAGAGGAACAGTTACTCTTCCTATTTTCCAATTTTGATGTCTCTTTTTTGATTTGTTTGTCTCGATGTCTATTTCTTTTTCTTGCCTGATTTTTCTGGCTAAGACTTCCAGTGGTATTTTGAATAAGTGTTGTGAAAGTGGGCATCCTTGTCTCATTCCAGTTCTTAGCTTTTCAATTTGTCCCCATTCAGTATAATGTTAACTATGAGCTTTTCATATATGGCCTTTATTATTTTGAGGTATGTTTCTTCTATGCCTAATTTGTTGAGTGTTTTTATCATAAAGGGATGTTGAATTTTACCAAATGCTTTTTCTACATCTATTGAGATGATCATATGGTTTTTCTCCTTCATTCTGTTGATATGATATATCACCTTTATTGATTTGTCTATGTTGAACCATCTGTGTGTCCTTGGGATAAATTGCACTTGAACATGGTGTGTTATCTTTCTGATGTATTGTTGGATTTAGTTTGCTTTAGTATTATTTTGTTGAGGATTTTTGCATCTATGTTTATCAGGGATATTAGCCTGTAGTTTTCTTTTTTTGTTGTGCTCTTGTCTGGTTCTGGTATCAGAGTAATGCTGGTCTCATAAAATACATTAGGATTTCCTCCTCCTTAATTTTTAAAAAAATAGTTTGAGAAGAATTGGTGGTAGGTCTTCTTTATAGGTTTCATAGAATTCAGCAGTAAAACCATCCTGTTCTGAGTTTTTCTTTGATGATAGACTTTACTACTGATTCAATCTCATTAGCCCTTATTGGTCTGTTCAGATTTTCTTTCTTCCTGGTTTCATCTTGGTATATTGTATGTCTCTAGGAATTTATTCATTTTTTAAGTTCTCCGATTCATTAGCAGATAGTTGTTCATAATAATCTCTAATGATCCTTTGTATTTTTGTGTTATAAGTTGTAATATCTCCTTCTTTGTTTCTGAATTTATTTATTTGGATCTTCTTTTCTTGGTTAGTCTAGCTAGCAGTTTGTCAATTTTACCTTTTTCAAAAACTAACTTTTTGTTTCACTGATCCTTTGTGTCTTTTTTAGACTCTATTTTGCTTATTTCTGTTTTAATCTTCATTATTTCGTTCCCACTACTAACTCAGGGTTTGGTTTCTTCTTACTTTCTTAGCTCTTTGAGGCATATTGTTAGATTGTTTATTTGAAATTTTTCTACTTATTTGTTGTAGGTGTTTATTGCTATAAACTCTCTTAACACTGCTTTTGCTGTATCCTATTAATTTTGGTATGTTGTGTTTCCATTGTCACTGTTTCCTTAATTTCTTCATTGACCTAGGGATCATTCAGGAGCTTTTTGTTTAAATTCCACGTATTTGTATCGTTTCCAAAGTTTTCTTATTACTGATTTCTAGTTTTATTCCATTGAGGTCTGAGAAGATACTTGATATGATTTAGATTTTAAAAAATGTGTGGAGACTTGTTTTGTAGGCCAACATGTAGCTTATCCTGGAGAATGTTCCATGTGCTGATAAGAAGAGTGTGTATTTTGCAGCTTTGGATGAAATGTCCTATAAATGTCTATTAGGTCCATTTGGTCTATAGTGCAGATTAAATTTGATGGGATTTTTTTGGTTTATTTTCTGTCTAGATGATCTGTTCGATGCTGAAAGTGGGGTGTTGAAGTCCTCAACTATTATTATGTTATGCTTTATCTAACTCTAATAATATTTGCTTTATATATCTGGGTACTTCAGTGCTGGGTGCATATATATTTACATTTGTAATATCCTGTTGCTAAATTGATCCCTTTGTCATTATGTAATGACCTTTTTTGTCTCTTTTTATGTTTTTTGACTTAAAGTCTATTTTGTCTGATGTAAGTATAGCTACTTCTACACAATTTTGGTTTCCATTTGTGTGTAATATCTTTTTCCATCCCTTTACTTTTAGTTTATGTCTTAAGAGGTGAAGGGAGTTTTTTGTAGGCAGCATATAGTTGGGTCTTGTTTTTGTTTTTAATCCATGCAGCCAATCTATATCTTTTAGTTGGGGAATTTAAACCATTTACATTGAAGGTTGTTATTGATATGTGAGGACTTACTCCTGTTATTTTGTTGAAATTTTTCTGATTTTTTTAAATATCCTTTGTTTCTTTCTTCCTCTTTTACTGTTTACTTTTACAGTTTGGTGGTTTTCCACAGTGGTAACATTTCAGACCCTTCTCTTTCTCATTTGTGTATCTATTCTACCAGTGAATTTTATACTTTTGTGTGTTTTCAAGATAGTAGATATTGTTTTTTTGCATCCAGGTGTATGACTCTGCTATAGTTTGGATGTTTGTTCCCCAAATCTCATGTTGAAAGTTGATCTTCAAAGTTGGAGGTGGGGCCTGAAGGTGTTTGGGTCATGTGGTCAGATCCCTCCTTAATGGCTTGGTACCATCCTCATGGTAATGAGTGAGTTCCTATTCTACCAGTTCCTGTGAGAGCTGGTTGTTAAAAAGAGCCTGGCATCTACTTGCTCTCATTCTTTCTCTCTCACCATGTGATCTCTGCACATGCCAGGTTTTTGTTGTTGTTGTTGTTGTTGTTTCCTGCCATTGGAGGAAGCAGCCTGAGTCCCTTACCTGATGCAGATGCCAGTGTCATGTTTCTTGAACAGCTTGCTGAACCAAGGGCCAAATAAATCTCTTTTCTTTATAAATTATCCAGCCTCAAGTATTTCTTTATAGCTGCACAAATGGACTAAGACAGGCTCTCTTAAGCGTTTCTTTTAGCACTGATCTAATGGTGATGAATTCCGTCAGTTTTTGCTTGTCTGGGAAAGACTTTATTTCTTCTTCGGTTTTGAAGAATAGATTTGTTGCATGTAGTATTCTTGGCTGACAGGTTTTTTTTTTCTGCACTTTGAGTATATCATTCCAGTTTCTACTGGATTTATGTAAGTTTTCTGTTGAGAAATCTTCTGTTAGTCTGATAGGGATTCTTTTATATGAGACTTGACACTTTTCTCTTGTTTTTAGAAATCTTTATCTTTTTTTGACAGTTTGATGATGTGCCTTGGGAAGAGATTTTTGAGTTGAGTCTATTTAAGAATTTTTTAGCTTCCTGTATCCAGATGTCTATATCTATTGCAGATATCTTCAGATATTATTATTATTATTATTGTTATTATTATTTTTATCTTGTTTTTGAGAGGAGTCTCGCTCTGTCCCCCAGGCTGGAGTGCAGTGGTGCAATCTCCGCTCACTGCAAGCTCCGCCTCCCAGGTTCACACCGTTCTCCTGCCTCAGCCTCCTGAGTAGCTGGGACTACAGGCACCCACCACCACACCTGGCTAATTTTTTGTATTTTTAGTAGAGGTGGGGTTTCACTGTGTTAGCCAGGATGGTCTCAATCTCTTGACCTCGTGATCCACCCACCTCGGCCTCCCAAAGTGCTGGGATTACAGGCATGAGCCACTGCACCCAGCCGTCTTCAGATATTATTTAATTATATAGGTTCTCTGTACTTCTGATCATCTCTTCTCCTTCCAAAACACCCCAAATTTGAATATTTAATCACTTTACAGTGTCCCATATCTTATTTGGCTTTCTTCTTCTTTTTAAAAATTGTTTTTCTTTGTCTGGTTTGTTTCTATAAACCTGTTTTCAATGTCAAAAATTCTTCTGCTTGACTTCGTCTATTGTTGAGCTCTCAGGTGCATTTAAAAAATTTCATTGATTAAATTATTCAGTTCCAGGATTTCTGTTTAGCTTTTTTATAACTTTTGTTGAATTTCTCATCTAGATCATGCCTTTTTAAAGTTTATGTATGTAATAATATGACATATCTATGTGCAACATTGCTAGGACCATTGAAGAAACTATACAGTGATGCTCAGCATTTTCCCCTTCCCATATGGACTTTCGATTAAGGATGATAGCATGAGGAAATGGAGCCAGAAATACAAAAATTATATACAAGTGACAGCCAAGGAGTTTAGGGGCCAGGGACTCCAGAGATCCTGCTCTCTTCATTCCTTCCTTACCAACTTTCTCATGTCCAATCTGAATGACAGCCTGACAATTGAATGGCCAGTCAGAAGAGAAGTACATACACACCTTATCCCCCTACATGCACATCAGCTAGTTCATCAGACATTCTCACTGGGCCAAATGTTTAGTATATTGGAATTTGTGATGTAAGAGGGCAAGGGAAGATTACAGAATCTTGCTCTCTTGAATAGTTAGTTCTCACCCTGGCCTTCTCTGTTATAACTAGCAGGTTGTATTCAGTAAGATTCAGTGCAAGCTGGCGAACTAGATTGTAGATGCTGGTCCCTTTCAAGTCCTTTCCTCCTCCTGTTCATGAATCACCAGCATTGCTGCTTCTCCACATCACATAAGAGCTGGGTTGCTGAGTTCTGGGAAGGCAGAGATTTCTCAGTCTTCCTCGTCTCCCTAAACACTTTCCCCAGCTTCTTCCAAGGTGAATCATCTCCTAAGTACCTCCTCATCCAGCTCCCCTGTAGTAATAAACCCCAAAGGCTAGTTCAGTTTATCCCTTTTCTTCCCTTTTTCCCAAAATACACCTGGCATCATATTATATCTGACCCATGGGTCAGCACATATGCAGGCATGATTGAGCATGTCTTCCCAGGTGCACAGTTCTGCTGCCAGAGCAGCTTTTAAGAAGCTAAGGCCCCGATGTAGACTGGAAAAGTGGACTGGGTCAGAGGCAAGAAGCTTCCATGGGTAGCTGCTGCTGCTGCTTTTTTTTTTTTTTTGGACTCTGAAGACCATGCCCTATATGAGGTTCAGGTTCACTTGCCTGAATTTGTAACTCCCAAATCTCAACTTTCTCTCTCCTCATGTAGCCCTCAAATGGTTCCCCTGTGTAATACTTTCCCAGTATTTCATAGCAGCACAGTATTACTTCATCACCTGTTGGCCTTCCTCACTTTTAATTTTACAATGATCAATACAGCGTTTTTCTGCTGGAAGTTATAGGGCTTTAGAATCAGAATCAATTTTATATATATTTAACTCTATTTTAGCGATGAGGAAATGGAAATCCAGAGAGGCTAAATGACTTAAAGGTTATACATGAGCTCTGCTGAGACGAAGTAGAACTAGAACCCAGATGCCTTGACTCCTAAACCAGTGCTTTTCCCATTATCCCACGATATTTTCAAAAGCAACATGTTGGAAGAGAGAGAGAAAAAGTGCCCATTTTCTGTGAGTAATGTTCATCAATCTTTACATTATTTGAGAGCCAGGGCAAACTGCAAGAGATACTAAGTAAAGGGGGCTAAGTGGACATTGTAGTTTTAGGCAAGCAAGTCTGTCTTTCTTTGTAAGGATTTTCTAAACCTGCCGTAATGGAAACATGAAGCAATAGCAGCATAAGGGACAAAACACTTAGAAGCACAAAAACATGTCTTATTTAATCTACCTTTCCCAACTATGTCAGGTTAGCTTTTGGATGTTAAACCTGCCGTATTATTCCCAAGGCTCAGCTTAATCAATTATGGGATATTCTCCTCCAAAAGGAGAAATCACATCTCTCCAGTTTCTCACAAAAGAGAAAGCATTTGCAGCATTATCCAATCCTAGTCTTTCCTATTTCTGGGCCCTACCTGGATTATAGGGAGGATGTAGGAGTCTCAATTTAACCAAAGAAATGGACTCAGAGTCCCCCTTCAACTTACATTACCTTCTCAGAAGCCACTAGGAGAATCATAGTCATTTTTGCCTGGTAACTGAGATCTGACTAGGTGTCCATTTCATCCCTGCCTATAATATGTAAACATCCAGTGGGGTGAGGAGTAGGAGGAGAGGGCAGCCTGGGTTACCCTGCAAGCTTGCTGGTGATAACCAAGGACTTTCTGTGGGGCAGAATGTGGTCACCAGTCACCAGGTTCTTCTTTGGTTCTGCACTTGGAAGCTGCTTACTCTTCATCTTGGCTTTGGCCATGTTGTAGTCTCCTGAGACAAAGTACCTTTTCCCTTTCTGTAATCTCTTCATGAGGAAGTTGGAGCCTCCGGGCTCTTGTCCTAGGCTTAGGTATTTGGACTTTAGCTTTGGCTCCTCAACTCTCTCAGAGAGAATACCTTCTTTATCCTGCATCTTCGTTTCTCCTTGTTGGTCTTCTCCACAGGGTTCTCTCTTTCTTGTTACTGGGATGTGGTAGGACTGAGTCTCTGGGGCATAGGAGGGCCCATATAGTCCACCTGACAAGGGAAAGGGGAAGGGAAATGGGGACAACCTATGCTGCTGCTTTGGCTCCTGTCACTAGGGTTGCTCAGTCAAAATAGCCATAAATTGTTTTTTCTGATTTATTTGTATTGCTTATCTGTGTTCTCTTGCATCTCACTTAGTTTCTTTAATATCATTATTTTGAATAATTTTTCAGGCATTTCATAGATTTTCTTTTCTTTGGGATCTTTTACTGGAGAAGTGTTGTTTTTTCATTGGAGGCATCATGTTTCCTTGCTTTTATATATTTATTGTGTCCTTGTGTTGATATCTGTGCATTTAGTATGAGTTACTCCTTCAAATTTTATGGATTGGTTTTTGTAGAGAAAGACTTTTTCATGTATTTATAGCATTGGTTAGGTAGGATGTTTTGGCTCTGATTCTGAGTGGCTGCAGTAGTATAGTGTCTGTATAATTTTTTTCACTACAATCAGCATCTGTGAGTTCATCAGTGGCTTAGCTTGCAGTGGTTAGCAGAGGCTATGGTGAGGTTTTGCACAAGACAGGGATGCCAGGAGGGCCAGTCCTTGGGTGTCAGTGGTGGCAGCAGCGAGCTGGGTGTGCAGGTCTTCGGGCCCCTGAGTAGTGTATGTGAGTGCCAGCAATGGTGGGCCTAGGCAGACCAGTCCTTGGGCCTCCAAGCAGCTTGCTTGGGTGCTGGCAGTAGTTGGCCAGGTAGGCCTTGTGTTCCTGGATGGCATGCATGGCATTGGTGGTGGTACATGAGCTCTGCTGAGTGGCATGCACAGGTGCCAGCAGTGGTGGTGGTAGGCTGGATGAGCTGGTCACCAGGCCCTAGGGAGGTTCATGTGGGTACTGGTAGTGTGGGTAAGGTGGTCTCATTTCTTATGTCCCTGGACAGTGCATGTGTGCACTGGTGGCAGCAGCAGGGCAGGCCTACCCCCAGGCCCCCAGGAGCATGCACAGACAGCAGTGGTGATGGAGTGGGACTGTCCTCAGGACCCCCAGTAGTGTGTGCAGGTACTGAAGGCCACAAGTGGGGCAGATTTATCCCTGGGCACCTGGATGACATGCTCATTCATGCCAGTACCCAGGCCCCTTGAAGACATGAGCAGTGGCTTTGCTGCCAGAGGAAGGGAGGTTGATTACAGTGGTAGCAGCAGCCCTGGGCATGCAGCTCTCAGGCTCTGGGAGGTGTATGCTTTAGCTCCCGTTGTCCAGTGGCAGCCTCCTTGTTGCATTTCACCTCCCGTTCTTTGGGGTCTAGGATATTGTGTGGCTAGAGTGCTAGACAATGTGCTGTACTGCTGGGTCCAGTTGGCATCATAACACTGCAACCCTCTGAGGGATGGCAGTGGGGCTCCAGGGTTGTGGAGATGCAGGTAGAGCAAGAAGTAGTCAGGTGGAAGGTGGGTTCTCAAAATGGTGCTGTGCTGCAGTTGCTTGGGTCTCGATAGTGTGTGGAACCCAATGCAAAGTCCCTCTCTGGAACCAAGCTCTTGTGTGGACTCCAGGCAGCTCCCTATACTAGTCTTGGGGCCCATGAGGGCTGAGAGGCTCTCCCTTGGCTGCATTGCTGGAGTTTGCATGGGAATGTGGCTCACTGGGGATATTTTGCTTACTTTTTCCCCTCAATGAGGAGTTTCTCCTGGCTCCAAGCCAATACTGACTAGGCTGACTGCTTTGATTCTCTATCCTTTGGTGATTCAGAGGTTTCTTGTCATTTCCTTGCTGAATTCCTGTGTTCTGTCTTAGAAGGTCCATTCAACATGGGGCTATCTACTTGCTCTTTTGTCCTTCTTTGTGGGGGAGGTGAGTGCTGGGTACCTTTAGTCAGCCATTTCGAAGCTATCTAAATTGAAATGTTTTATAGATGCCACACAATCAGTGATATCTTTAATAAATGCCTGAAATTCTATTAAAATCATGGAATACGTTTGTTGTATACAAAGGTACAATGATTATGTAGTTCTGATAATAGTTCATATTGTTTATTATATTTTTATATGGTTTTAAGGTATGAGTAATTTCTAGATTACTCATACTCTTTTACTCAAGAAATTAATTTCTTGAAATAAATTATTTACATTCTTAAATAAGGAGATATTCTTAGATGAAATGTCTTTATTTCTAAGCCACATAATTTTTGTAACTTTAAGAATATAAAGAATATTCTCTTGAGCTGTTTTTCATAATTACATACTCTCAGTAGTATAGAATTATAAATTATAATTAAAATTTATCTTTACATTGAATTCTTAGTCATGCATAGACTCCATATCACCTTTTAGAATTAGAAAGGGGAGATTTAAATTGTATAGACTATTAAATTCACAAAGTAATCACATGAGGGGGATCTAAAAAATGTCTGTAGTCAAAAGTCTTGTTCTTTACAATGTAGTAAACATATATGCAATACAAATTTGGCTCTGAACTTTAAACTTGCAGAACTCTACAAACAGTACAGGAAATATGTTTTGAAAAATAGCCAGAAATCAAATGTCAATTTAATATGACTAACAAAATGAGAGATTACCAAAAGTGGCTTTCTTTTTTATTCCTTCCTTTTTTTTATTGAAGGAAAACATTCTATCCGTAAATGTCATTCACCTTAAAACGCTCAAAATAATTTCCAAAAGAATAAATCTTTTATTGAGATTTTTACACTGCTTATCAAAAAGTTTTCATTCTTTATACCTCACTTACTTTTGACATTATAAATGTGTATTTCTTGAAAAGAATCTTTTATTAAATAAATATTTACATGTGACTCAGTCTACTACTAGTCCATGCAGTATGGATTTAAAGGTGAGAAGGCATAGTCTTGATTCATAAGGAGCAATTGGCATTTCCTAATGATTTAACAAGTTTAAGAATCATTATTTTAGAAAGACAACAAATATTTTCAATCTAATGCCATATGAAAACAAATTGTATTTTATCACTGATTTAATGTGGGAGGGTGTGTGTGTCAGTTTTGTGTGTGTGTCAGTTATATATTATTGTATAACAAATCTTAGTGGCCCAAAAAATGTACCATATTTCATAAGGTTTGACAGGCTCATCTGGATTGTTTTACTCTATTTACTCTTTATCTCAGCTGAGGGCAGATCTGACTGGGCTCCATCATCCAATATAATTCATGCACATGACTGGCAGTTAGCATTGGCTTGTATTTTGTTCCTTCTACGCATGGCTTCTCAACTTGGCTTAGACTTCTAAGTATATGGCAACTGGGTTCCAAAAGAAAGTATTTCAAGCAATGAAGGAAAACACTGCAAATCCTTTGAGACTTAGCGTCAGAAGTTACATAACATTTCTTGTACTGCATTCTGTTAATAGATGCATATTACAGGGGTAGCCAGGTTACTGAGAAGAGAGGTAGAATCCAGCCTCAATAGAAGGAGGAATCAAATAATTTTTAGCCATCTTCAAGCACCTACAGGGGGAAAAGTCTCCATGTTTGTTGAGAAATTGACATGGTACCCTATAATCTGTTTCAGACTCTGCCATTACTTAAGTGATTACTTGCTTTTTCTAAACATTCCTCCCTTTTGCACAGTGATTGAAAACAGAGTTCATTGTGTGCATTGAACATTATAACTTTTTGATCTGGCACACAGCTTTTGAAAAATATATATGAGTAACATGGCTGCAGGATAATTACCATTGGCACATAAAAGTAGAAAAAAAACTTAAAAGTTTACATTTAATTTATGGAAGCTCATTGAAAATTTCTAAGTGCAGTTTATAAATATAACTTGTTTATGCTCATTGCTTGGTTAGACTCGAAATGACAGAAATTTTGATGATTGTTACACCACTCTTATAGCAGAGATTTCTAGGTATTGCCTCCTTTTCACTCTCTCCTCCTTCCTTAGTGTAGATTTATATATTTTTAGCTTAACTAAAGGATTACACTTCCAAGTGTCCATTGCAGTTAGTTGTAAGACTAAGTGCTGGTGATCAGTCATAAGAAGTGTTGGGTGAGCCCTTCTTGTCTTCTTTTATTTTACTGTTCAAAGTAGATAATACTGCTGAACAAGGATCACATCCAGATATGGAGTGGGAAGCTGAAAAGAGTCTGGTTTCCTGATGACATTGTGGAACACTTATGCCAGCCCTTGACTGCCAACCTCAGGATTGCTTTTATGTGAGAAAAATAAACTTCTGCTTGTCTAGCTACTTTTATTTGGGATTTTTGTTGTCGCTGTTTTTGTAAGGAGCCACGCCTAATCCAAACTGATTCACCTGCTAAGCAAGTTCTCTATTCTGAACTTAATGAAAATATAGTCAATTTTGAGAGTTATCTTTTCTATGGGTGATGTTTTAAACATGATTCTTGCCTTTTTTTCTTTTTTCTTTTCTTTTTGGCCTGCCACTTACTTGGTGGCTTCAGTGAAAGAAATATTGTATGTGTGCACATGTACTCATTTACATGCAAGGAAAATTAAAGAATTGTTAAAGCTGACCTCAGATAATATTCTGGTTGTTGTTTGCCAAGTACTAATTGGCCAAAAGCTACACCAAAATAAGTGAATTCTTTTATGTCTATTGTTTTGATTATCAGAGCACTATTGAGAATCTCAAGCAAGAAATGAGTAAGTCTAATAAAAATCAAGTAAAAAGTTAAATACTTTAACATTACTATGACTAATTTGTAATCAATGGTTGATACAAATAAAACTTTACAACATTTTATATAAATAGAAATATTTAAAAATGGCTCTGAAAATTTGTATACAAATCTTCGTCAGGACATATGTTTGCATTTCTCTTGGGTATATCCCTAGGAGTAAAATTCTGGGTCATATAGTAACTCTATGTTTAATAATTTTAGAAACTACTAGACTGGTTTCCAAAGTGGTTGTACCATTTTATGTTGCCAGCAGAAGAGTATGAGGATTCTGATTTCTCTACATCCTTGACAACACTACTGGACTTTTTGATTCAAGACATCCTAATAGATGTGAAGTAGCATCTCATTGTGGGTTGTTGTGTTTTGTTTGAGGCACAATCTCCACTCACTGCAACCTCTACCTCCAAGGCTCAAGCAATTCTCATGACTCAGCCTCCCAAGTAGTTAGGATTACAGGCATGCACCACCACACCAAGCTAATTTTTGTATTTTTAGTAGAGACAGGATTTCCCCATGTTGGCCAGACTGGTCTCGAACTCCTGGCCTCAAGTGATCCACCCACCTCGGCCTCCCAAAGTGCTAGGATTACAGGTGTAAGCCATGGTACCCAGCCTCTCATTGTGGTTTTGATTTACATTTCCCTGATAACTAATAATGTCAAATATCTTTTCATGTGCCTATTGACCATTTGTTTATCTTCATTGGAGAGGTAGGCCTATTCACCTCTTCGCCCATGATTTGATTGAGTAGTTTGCCTTTTTATTATTGAGTTGTAAGTGTTCTTTGTATATGCTAGATACAAGTGCCTTGTCAGATATACAATTTGCAAATATTTTCTCCCATGCTGTGAGTTGTATTTCTACTTTCTTGATGGTATTCTTTGAAACAATACCTGTTAAATTTTGATGATGTCTTATTTATCTTTTTTTTGTTGTTGCTTTTGCCACTTGTGCTTTTGGTGTCATATCTGAGAAACTGTTGCCTAATCTGAGGACATGAAGATTTACTCCTATAATACCTTCTAAAAGTTTAATGGTTTTAACCCTTATGGTTAGATCTATAATCTACTCTGAGTTAGTTTTTGCATACGGTTTCAGATAGGAATTCTGCTGAATTCTTTTGCATGTGGATATCTGGTTGTCCCAGCACTATTTGTTGAAAAGATGATTCCTTCCCCACTGGACGACCTTAGCATCCTTGTCAAAAATCAATTGACCATCAATGTAAAGGTTTATTCTTGGACTCTCAAATTCTATTCCTTAATTTATATGACTAGTTTTATGCCAGTATCACACTACCTTGATTACTGAAGTCTGTAGTAAGTTCTGAAATTGAGAGATGTTAATTTCCCAACTTTGTTCTTCTTTTATTATATTGTTTTAGCAATTCTGTCTTTTGAATTTCTACATGAATTTTAGAACCAGCTTGTCCATTTTTGCCAAAAAAATAAGGCAGATGGAGTTTTTTTGGGAATCACATTGAATCTGTAAATCAATTTGGGGAGTATTGCTATCTTAACAATATTAAGTCTTCCAATTTATGAACATAGGATGGGTTTTTTATTTAGTTACCTTTTATTTTTTAATTTATTATTTACTATTTATTATTTTTATTTTTATTTATTTATTTTTTTTGAGATGGAGTCTCACTCTGTTGCCCAGGCTGGAGTGCAATGGCATGATCGCGGCTCAATGCAACCTCCGCCTCCCAGGTTCAAGTGATTCTCCGGCCTCAGCCTCTCAAGTACCTGGGATTACAGGAACCCAACATCATGCCCGGCTAATTTTTGTATTTTTGTAGCAATGGGGTTTCACCATGTTGGCCAGGCTGGTCTTGAACACCTGAGCTCAAGTGATCTGCCCACCTCAGCCTCACAAAGTGCTGGGATTACAGGGGTGAGCCACCGGGCCTGGCCTAGTTAGTTTTTAAATACTTACTTCAATGATGTTTTATAGCTTTTTCAATGTGTAAGTCTGATATATCTTTTGTTAAATTTATTCCTCAATATTGTTGATGCTACTGTAAATAGAATTGTTTTATTAACCTCATTTTCTAATTTTTTATTATTAATGTATGGAAATACAGTTGACTTTTGTGTATTGATCTTGTATCCTGCAACCTTGATGAGTTCATTTATTAGTTTTAATAGTTTCTCTGTGGATTTCTTATGATTTTCTATATACAATATAATGTTGGGTATGAATAGAGTCAGTTTTACTTATTTCTTATACTCTGATGCCTTTTATTTATTTTTATTTCATAATTGACCATACCAGAACCTCCAGTACAATGTTGAATTAAGTGGCAAGAGTGGACATTCTTGTCCTGTTCCTTATCTTAGGGTGAAAGCTTTCAATCTTTCAGCACTAAGTCTGATGTTAGCTGTGAGTTTTTAAAAAATTCATGTTCTTTATCAAGTTGAAGAAGTTCTGTTCTCATCTGTACCTAGTTTGCTGAGTATTTTTATAATGAAAAGGTTTTGGGTTTTGTTGAATGCTTTTTTTCCATCTATTGAGATGATTATGTGGGTTTTGTCCTTTATTCTATTAACATAATGTGTTACAGTGATAGATTGTCATATATTAGAAAAACTCTTGATTCCTGGGACAAATGCCACTTGGTCATGATATATAATCCTTTCTATATGTTTCTGGATTCAGTTTACTAGTATTGTGTTAATGATTTTTCTGACTATATTCATAGGAGATGTTGGTCTATTGTTTTCTTGTGATGTCTTTGTCTGGTTTTTGTATCTGGACTCATAAAATGAGTTGGAAAGTTTTTCCTCCTCTTCTATTTTTTATGGAAAAGTTGGCAAAGGATTGGTGTTAGTCTATTAAGTGTTTGATAGAATTTATCAGGGAAGCCATCTGGGCCCAGGCTTTTTCTTTGTGGGAAGTTTTTTTGACTACTAGTTCAATCTCTTTTCTCTTAAAAGTTTACTAAGATTTTAAAATTTCTTCTTGAGTGAGTTTCAGAGATGTGTATTTTTCAGAAATTTGTCCATTTCATTTAGGTTAATCTAATTCTTTGTTATACAATTGTTCCTAGTATTTCCTTATAATGATTTTTAATTTTATAAACTCAGTAGCAATGTCCCCTCTTTTATTCCTGATTTTAATATATTTTTCTCTTTTTTTTTCTTAGTCAAGCTAAGCAAATTTTTGCCAATTTTCTTAGTCCTTTCAAACAACGAATTTTGGTTACATCGATTTTCTCTATTGTTTTTCTTTTTTTTTTCATTTCATTCCTTTTTTTTTTTTTATTATACTTTAAGTTTTAGGGTACATGTGCACATTGTGCAGGTTAGTTACATATGTATACATGTGCCATGCTGGTGCGCTGCACCCACTAACTCGTCATCTAGCATTAGGTATATCTCCCGATGCTATCCCTCCCCGCTCCCCCTACCCCACAACAGTGCCCAGAGTGTGATATTCCCCTTCCTGTGTCCATGTGATCTCATTGTTCAATTCCCACCTATGAGTGAGAATATGCGGTGTTTGGTTTTTTGTTCTTGCGATAGTTTACTGAGAATGATGATTTCCAATTTCATTCATGTCCCTATAAAGGACATGAACTCATCATTTTTTATGGCTGCATAGTATTCCATGGTGTATATGTGCCACATTTTCTTAATCCAGTCTATCATTGTTGGACATTTGGGTTGGTTCCAAGTCTTTGCTATTGTGAATACTGCCGCAATAAACATACGTGTGCATGTGTCTTTATAGCAGCATGATTTATAATCCTTTGGGTATATACCCAGTAATGGGATGGCTGGGTCAAATGGTATTTCCAGTTCTAGATCCCTGAGGAATAGCCACACTGACTTCCACAATGGTTGAACTAGTTTACAGTCCCACCAACAGTGTAAAAGTGTTCTTATTTCTCCACATCCTCTCCAGCACCTGTTGTTTCCTGACTTTTTAATGATTGCCATTCTAACTGGTGTGAGATGGTATCTCATTGTGGTTTTGATTTGCATTTCTCTGATGGCCAGTGATGATGAGCATTTTTTCATGTGTTTTTTGGCTGCATAAATGTCTTCTTTTGAGAAGTGTCTGTTCATGTCCTTCACCCACTTTTTGATGGGGTTCTTTGCTTTTTTCTTGTAAATTTGTTTGAGTTCATTGTAGATTCTGGATATTAGCCCTTTGTCAGATGAGTAGGTTGTGAAAATTTTCTCCCATTTTGTAGGTTGCCTGTTCACTCTGATGGTAGTTTCTTTTGCTGTGCAGAAGCTCTTTAGTTTAATTAGATCCCATTTGTCAGTTTTGGCTTTTGTTGCCATTGCTTTTGGTGTTTTAGACATGAAGTCCTTGCCCATGCCTATGTCCTGAATGGTAATGCCTAGGTTTTCTTCTAGGGTTTTTATGGTTTTAGGTCTAACATTTAAGTCTTTAATCCATCTTGAATTGATTTTTGTATAAGGTGTAAGGAAGGGATCCAGTTTCAGCTTTCTACATATGGCTAGCCGGTTTTCCCAGCACCATTTATTAAATAGGGAATCCTTTCCCCATTGCTTGTTTTTCTCAGGTTTGTCAAAGATCAGATAGTTGTAGATATGCGGCATTATTTCTGAGGGCTCTGTTCTGTTCCATTGATCTATATCTCTGTTTTGGTACCAGTACCATGCTGTTTTGGTTACTGTAGCCTTGTAGTATAGTTTGAAGTCAGGTAGTGTGATGCCTCCAGCTTTGTTCTTTTGGCTTAGGATTGACTTGGTGATGCGGGCTCTTTTTTGGTTCCATATGAACTTTAAAGTAGTTTTTTCCAATTCTGTGAAGAAAGTCATTGGTAGCTTGATGGGGATGGCATTGAATCTGTAAATTACCTTGGGCAGTATGGCCATTTTCACGATATTGATTCTTCCTACCCATGAGCATGGAATGTTCTTCCATTTGTTTGTATCCTTTTTTATTTCCTTGAGCAGTGGTTTGTAGTTCTCCTTGAAGAGGTCCTTCACATCCCTTGTAAGTTGGATTCCTAGGTATTTTATTCTCTTTGAAGCAATTGTGAATGGGAGTTCACTCAGGATTTGGCTCTCTGTTTGTCTGTTGTCGGTGTATAAGAATGCTTGTGATTTTTGTACATTGATTTTGTATCCTGAGACTTTGCTGAAGTTGCTTATCAGCTTAAGGAGATTTTGGGCTGAGACAATGGGGTTTTCTAGATATACAATCATGTCGTCTGCAAACAGGGACAATTTGACTTCCTCTTTTCCTAATTGAATACCCTTTATTTCCTTCTCCTACCTAATTGCCCTGGCCAGAACTTCCAACACTATGTTGAATAGGAGTGGTGAGAGAGGGCATCCCTGTCTTGTGCCAGTTTTCAAAGGGAATGCTTCCAGTTTTTGCCCATTCAGTATGATATTGGCTGTGGGTTTGTCATAGATAGCTCTTATTATTTTGAAATACGTCCCATCAATACCTAATTTATTGAGAGTTTTTAGCATGAAGGGTTGTTGAATTTTGTCAAAGGCTTTTTCTGCATCTATTGAGATAATCATGTGGTTTTTGTCTTTGGCTCTGTTTATATGCTGGATTACATTTATTGATTTGCATATATTGAACCAGCCTTGCATCTCAGGGATGAAGCCCACTTGATCATGGTGGATAAGCTTTTTGATGTGCTGCTGGATTCGGTTTGCCAGTATTTTATTGAGGATTTTTGCATCAATGTTCATCAAGGATATTGGTCTAAAATTCTCTTTTTTTGTTGTGTCTCTGCCTGGCTTTGGTATCAGAATGATGCTGGCCTCATAAAATGAGTTAGGGAGGATTCCCTCTTTTTCTATTGATTGGAATAGTTTCAGAAGGAATGGTACCAGTTCCTCCTTGTACCTCTGGTAGAATTCGGCTGTGAATCCATCTGGTCCTGGACTCTTTTTGGTTGGTAAGCTATTCATTATTGCCACAATTTCAGCTCCTGTAATTGGTCTATTCAGAGATTCAACTTCTTCCTGGTTTAGTCTTGGGAGAGTGTATGTGTCCAGGAATTTATCCATTTCTTCTAGATTTTCTAGTTTACTTGCGTAGAGGTGTTTGTAGTATTCTCTGATGGTAGTTTGTATTTCTGTGGGATCGGTGGTGATATCCCCTTTATCATTTTTTATTGCGTCTATTTGATTCTTCTCTCTTTTTTTCTTTATTTGTCTTGCTAGCGGTCTATCAATTTTGTTGATCCTTTCAAAAAACCAGCTCCTGGATTCATTAATTTTTTGAAGGGTTTTTTGTGTCTCAATTTCCTTCAGTTCTGCTCTGATTTTAGTTATTTCTTGCCTTCTGCTAGCTTTTGAATGTGTTTGCTCTTGCTTTTCTAGTTCTTTTAATTGTGATGTTAGGGTGTCAATTTTGGATCTTTCCTGCTTTCTCTTGTGCGCATTTAGTGCTATAAATTTCCCTCTACACACTGCTTTGAATGCGTCCCAGAGATTCTGGTATGTTGTGTCTTTGTTCTCGTTGGTTTCAAAGAACATCTTTATTTCTGCCTTCATTTCGTTATGTACCCAGTAGTCATTCAGGAGCAGGTTGTTCAGTTTCCATGTAGTTGAGCGGTTTTGAGTGAGATTCTTAATCCTGAGTTCTAGTTTAATTGCACTGTGGTCTGAGAGATAGTTTGTTATAATTTCTGTTCTTTTACATTTGCTGAGGAGAGCTTTACTTCCCAGTATGTGGTCAATTTTGGAATAGGTGTGGTGTGGTGCTGAAAAAAATGTATATTCTGTTGATTTGGGGTGGAGAGTTCTGTAGATGTCTATTAGGTCCGCTTGGTGCAGAGCTGAGTTCAATTCCTGGGTATCCTTGTTGACTTTCTGTCTCGTTGATCTGTCTAATGTTGACAGTGGGGTGTTAAAGTCTCCCATTATTAATGTGTGGGAGTCTAAGTCTCTTTGTAGGTCACTCAGGACTTGCTTTATGAATCTTGGTGCTCCTGTATTGGGTGCATATACATTTAGGATAGTTAGCTCTTCTTGTTGAATTGATCCCTTTACCATTATGTAATGGCCTTCGTTGTCTCTTTTGATCTTTGTTGGTTTAACATCTGTTTTATCAGAGACTAGGATTGCAACCCCTGCCTTTTTTTGTTTTCCATTGGCTTGGTAGATCTTCCTCCATCCTTTTATTTTGAGCCTATGTGTGTCTCTGCACGTGAGATGGGTTTCCTGAATACGGCACACTGATGGGTCTTGACTCTTTATCCAATTTGCCAGTCTGTGTCTTTTAACTGGAGCATTTAGTACATTTACATTTAAAGTTAATATTGTTATGTGTGAATTTGATCCTGTCATTATGATGTTAGCTGGTTATTTTGCTCGTTAGTTGATGCAGTTTCTTGCTAGTCTCGATGGTCTTTACATTTTGGCCTGATTTTGCAGTGGCTGGTACCGGTTGTTCCTTTCCATGTTTAGTGCTTCCTTCAGGAGCTCTTGTAAGGCAGGCCTGGTGGTGACAAAATCTCTCAGCATTTGCTTGTCTGTAAAGTATTTTATTTCTCCTTCACTTAGAAAGCTTAGTTTGGCTGGATATGAAATTCCTGGTTGAAAATTCTTTTCTTTCAGAATGTTGAATATTGGCCCCCACTCTCTTCTGGCTTGTAGGGTTTCTGCCAAGAGATCCGCTGTTAGTCTGATGGGCTTCCCTTTGAGGGTAACCCGACCTTTCTCTCTGGCTGCGCTTAACATTTTTTCCTTCATTTCAACTTTGGTGAATCTGACAATTATGTGTCTTGGAGTTGCTCTTCTCGAGGAGTATCTTTGTGGCGTTCTCTGTATTTCCTGAATCTGAACGTTGGCCTGCCTTGCTAGATTGGGGAAGTTCTCCTGGATAATATCCTGCAGAGTGTTTTCCAACTTGGTTCCATTCTCCCCATCACTTTCAGGTACACCAATCAGATGTAGATTTGGTCTTTTCACATAGTCCCATATTTCTTGAAGGCTTTGCTCATTTCTTTTGATTCTTTTTTCTCTAAACTTCCCTTCTCGCTTCATTTCATTCATTTCATCTTCCATCACTGATACCCTTTCTTCCAGTTGATCGCATCGGTTCCTGAGGCTTCTGCATTCTTCACGTAGTTCTCGAGCCTTGGTTTTCAGCTCCATCAGCTCCTTTAAGCACTTCTCTGTATTGATTATTCTAGTTATACATTCTTCTAATTTTTTTTCAAAGTTTTCAACTTCTTTGACTTTGGTTTGAATGTCCTCCCGTAGCTCGGAGTAATTTGATCGTCTGAAGCCTTCTTCTCTCAGCTCGTCAAAGTCATTCTCCATCCAGCTTTGTTCCGTTGCTGGTGAGGAACTGCGTTCCTTTGGAGGAGGAGAGGCGCTCTGCTTTTTAGAGTTTCCAGTTTTTCTGTTCTGTTTTTTTCCCCATCTTTGTGGTTTTATCTACTTTTGGTCTTTGATGATGGTGATGTACAGATGGGTTTTTGGTGTGGATGTCCTTTCTGTTTGTTAGTTTTCCTTCTAACAGACAGGACCCTCAGCTACAGGTCTGTTGGAGTACCCGGCCGTGTGAGGTGTCAGTGTGCCCCTGCTGGGGGGTGCCTCCCAGTTAGGCTGCTTGGGGGTCAGGGGTCAGGGACCCACTTGAGGAGGCAGTCTGCCCGTTCTCAGATCTCCAGCTGCATGCTGGGAGAACCACTGCTCTCTTCAAAGCTGTCAGACAGGGACATTTAAGTCTGCAGAGGTTACTGCTGTCTTTTTGTTTGTCTGTGCCCTGCCCCCAGAGGTGGAGCCTACAGAGGCAGGCAGGCCTCCTTGAGCTGTGGTGGGCTCCACCCAGTTCGAGCTTCCCGGCTGCTTTGTTTACCTAAGCAAGCCTGGGCAATGGCGGGCGCCCCTCCCCCAGCCTGGCTGCCGCCTTGCAGTTTGATCTCAGACTGCTGTGCCAGCAATCAGCAAGACTCCATGGGCGTCGTAGGACCCTCTGAGCCAGGTGCGGGATATTATCTCCTGGTGCGCCGTTTTTTAAGCCGGTCGGAAAAGCGCAGTATTCGGGTGGGAGTGACCCGATTTTCCAGGTGCCGTCTGTCACCCCTTTCTTTGACTCAGAAAGGGAACTCCCTGACCCCTTGCGCTTCCCGAGTGAGGCAATGCCTCGCCCTGCTTCGGCTCGCGCACGGTGCGCGCACCCACTGACCTGCGCCCACTGTCTGGCACTCCCTAGTGAGATGAACCCAGTACCTCAGATGGAAATGCAGAAATCACCCGTCTTCTGCGTCGCTCACGCTGGGAGCTGTAGACCAGCTCCTCCCTCTCTATTGTTTTTCTAGTCTCTCTTTCACTTATATCCACTCTCATCTTTATTATTTCCTTCCTGCTTGCTTGTGACTTAGTTTGCTCATCCTTTTTTAGTTTCTTAAGGTATGAGGTTAACTTACTGATTTGAGATCTTTCTTTTCTTCATATAGGAATTTACAGGTATCAATTTCCCCCTAAGTATTGATTTAGTTGCATCCTATAAGTTTTGGTACATTGTGTTTTTATTTTCATTAGTATCAAATTATTTTCTAATTTCCCTTGAAATTTCTTCTTTGATCCATTGTTTAGTTAGGAGGGTGCCTACCATTGATGTCAAATTATAGTATACAGGGGAAAATATTGAAAGGAAATTTTAATAATTTATAGTGTGAAGTAGGTCCTACTCTGAAAACAAATTACTTGCATTTAATAGAACATACCATTGCTCATTTTCATCTCACGCCTGTGTTTATTATCACATATTCCAAGATGGTGTGGGTAGATCTTCTCAAGGTTTTCATTATGTTTTCACCACCTACAATATCCTTTATTTTTTCTGATTCAATTTCAGTTTCTCTAATTGTTCAGCAATCAGTGCAACACGGTGGTTTTTCTCCTTCATCTTCAGGAGGCCGTGTGGTTAGCAAAGAAAGTCAAACATTTATTATATTTTCTATTTTCAGCATAACAAGAGTTCCAGCAGAAGAAGACTGACATTTAGTGGACCTGTAATGTATTTATGTGTTATTTTGAATTAATTATTTCAAAAGAATATAGTAAAGAAAATTGTTCCCATTTTCCAGTTGAGACTCAGGAAATGTCAGTAGTTTTGCAAAAAGTCAAAATGATAAATGATAGACATGGGATTTAAACCCAGTTTTGTGCTATGTTAGTGCTCATACTCTTTCCACTGCATCTGCTTCCTGAGGAGCAAAGAAGGCCCATCACTGCTAGATTTGGGGAGTTTTATAATTAGCACTAGAAACATAGTAGCTATGTCAGGCTCTACAATCTTTCTTTACTTTCTCAAAGTTTTTACTTTTTAATTATCTGTTAATTCTCAACTAAATGTTCTCCACCAGATGATCCACTTTAAAATGTGTTGGTTTCCAGAGTGTTTGATACTATAATTCTTCTTCTTTCTATTAGATCTGTTTATTGCATTATCCACATTCTAGCCATGATTTACATGCCACCATATCTTGGGGATACCTAAGATAGCATCTGTAATTTTGCTGTAAAATCCTATGCCTGTTATTTTTCATGTTGTGTCCCAGTAGATTTGAAGTTAATAGTATTATTCCTATCATTTTACTCTATCCTTCACCTATTCTTATTATTTTTGTCCTAGCTGTTGACCTTCCCTATCTTGTCATATTTTTATGGTGTTTTCTCCATTTCCGTGGTCAGCGTAAAGCTTATAAGTTTAGTGGTTAAGATGGATTCTGGTGTGCATAGAAGTAATTAAGGCATATTATTATTGTAGTTTAAAGGTTGTACATAATAAGACATTTTGTTTTTACTGTATGTTTTTACTGAGTGATCTATTTACCATCCCAAGGCAAGCATGAATAAAAGTAGGTTAAACGTGAAAAAAAAAAAAGATGGATTCTGAAGCCAGACTGTTAGATTCAAATTCTTTCTCTGACAACTGACCCGAAATGTAAGAACCTGGGGATGTTACTTTACCACTTAAACCTACCTTACAGGGTTATTGTGAACTTAAATAAGTAGACACATGTAAAATGCTTCGTCAGAGTTCGGCATACAGTGTTCAACAGCTTTAACGCTTATTTCTCTTATTAGTATTATCCATTAAGTCAGTCACTATGATTCACATATAATTTTCTTTCAGTAAGAGCATAAGCTGGAAGTTATTATTCTAATATTTTTTAAAGAATTTCTGCATGATTAGCCATTAGCATCCTACCATCCTCTCACTTTTTTACTATCACATTCATAGCTTTTCTTGAAGAAATTTTTATAAATTCTGGGTGTCTGGCAGCATGCCATAGTAGAAGAATTTAGAATATTTGGCTAGAAAAGAGATTCGTCAACTTAATAGGGTCTGATTTCTCCTTGTTTAATCAAGCACAGGACAATCAATATCCTTCCAAAGGTTTGGGTTGCCTTTAATGAATGGGATGCATCCTTATATGATTCCAGGAGGGCACACTTCCTACTCTCTTCCACTAACTAACCTCTCCACCATATTTCGCTTTTCCTGGAACTCTGCATCTTCTATAACAAAATGCACTTCTCAAGTCTTGTCCTTTTGCAGAGAGATCTTTCTCAGAAAAATAAAGCATAAACTCTGCAGGATATTGGATCACCTCTCTTTAGCCTTGAGGTGAAATATAAGCTTTTTTGTTTCCCTTTGGTACAAGTTTTACAGGATATATGGGTAGAGGATCAGAAGAGAAATGCTTTTTGAGATGAGTACTCAGCTTTTCTGGTTCACCAATTTCCTTCTGTTCTCTATGCCTTCTCCTACCCAACCTTCTAATTGAAGGTAATTTCAAGTAGCATCAGCTTTCTTCAGCGACTGCACTGGAATGAAAATCATATGAGACATTTGTAAAATTATAGTTATCAGGGTCTGACCTTGAGTTCTTAAATCAGAATCTCTGAGTTTGAAGTTACACAAATCTGTATTTTAAAAAATTCCATCCAGTATATACACATTTTCTCTGTTTTTTTTTCCTTTATATACCTGATAGTAAATATATATGTGTACATGTATTTAAATAAATATATATATGTTTAATGTTAATGGGCATCTTACTATATTGCCCAGGCTATATTATCCAGGCTGGTCTCAAACTCCTGGCCTCAAAAACCTCAGCCTCCAAAGTAGCTGGGATTACAGATTCAATCCACTGCACAAGGCATGATAGTAAAATTTGAACTACTGGGTTTAATTTTTTTATTTTTTATTTTTATTTATGTATTTATTTATTTTATTTTATTTTTTTTTTGAGATAGAGTCTTGCTCTGTCACCCAGGCTGGAGTGCAGTGGCGCAATCTCAGCTCACTGCAAGCTCCGCCTCCCGGGTTCACACCATTCTCCTGCCTCAGCCTCCCGAGTAGCTGGGACTACAGGTGCCTGCCACCACGCCCGACTAATTTTTTTTTTTTTTTTTTTTTGAGACGGAGTCTCGCTCTGTCGCCCAGGCCGGACTGCGGACTGCAGTGGCGCAATCTCGGCTCACTGCAAGCTCCGCTTCCCGGGTTCACGCCATTCTCCTGCCTCAGCCTCCCGAGTAGCTGGGACTACAGGCGCCCGCCACCGCGCCCGGCTAATTTTTTTTGTATTTTTAGTAGAGACGGGGTTTCACCGTGTTAGCCAGGATGGTCTCCATCTCCTGACCTCGTGATCCACCCACCTCAGCCTTCCAAAGTGCTGGGATTACGGTGTAAGCCACTGCGCCCTGCTATTTTTTTATTTGTTAAAAACAGTTTTCCTTAAATTATTCAAACTTCTGTCTGTTAGTTTACCTTCTGGGAGATTTCCTTGCTTTATTTCTATCTTTTTTATTTAAAAGTTTATTTCAAAAACTGATTTCTAGGCACGCTTCTTTTTTTCCAAATGTTACAAATTTCTTGTTTTATGCAGGCAATATCCTCTTCCCTATCTTTGAAGATACAAAATAGTTTCAGTTTCATCTGGGGTCAGTTTTCCTGTTTGCTTATTTTGGTTTTCTTCTTTAATGTTATATATTATTCTCATTTTCTGGTGACCTTGGATATTGAGTCAAATTTAATATCTAAGAGGGATTATTGGGTAGGAACTCTGTTTATGGGTAGAGTTAGTAACACCAGGCTTCTTTCAGCCTGAGTGTTAAGGGAGCTGCCTATTTTTGTCAAGTGTCAGAAACAGGAAGGTTGTACCGAAAGGCACTAAGACACTCAGTAGCTATACTAGTTATCTCTAGATTTTTTTAAAACCATCTAACAATTATATCTTCTGTTGTGTAATTTCTGTTATGTAAGCCACCCAGCCTGTGGTATTTGGTTATGGAAGTCCTGGCAAATGAATAGACAAGCTATTAATTGAGACAAGCTCTTGTCTTAAGGACATTAAGAAACAGCAAAGAAAATGGCTAATGAGTGGGGAAGATAGACTTACACTCAGGGCTTCTGACTCCCTCCTAATTCTCTTTTGTATTACACTACCCCTGTCTTGCTACTGACTGGTTCCTAGAACATATATTATCCCAGGGTCACTAATACCATGGACCACAGATCCTGTATCAATAGTTCATTCCATGTATCTTTCAGTCTTACATTCTGACTGTTGAATTTCTCTTATCTATGTTGAGCTGAAATTTGTAGCCCAGTAGCTAACACTGGTTGGTGCTGGATTTTCCTTGAAGAAACAAGAATAAAGATAATTATTTTCCATGTAGTAAGTCTTCATTAGCATACTTTCCCCTTTCTTTATCTTCCACCCCATAGTTGCTTCTCTTTTCTGATTGAGCAGTTTCCTTCAGCAGCTTCTTTTTAAAATCTTTTAAATTACAGTAAAATATATGTAACATAAAATTTACCATTTTAGCCATTTTTAAGTGCACAGTTCAGTTTTACTATGTACATTCACACTGCTGTGCAACCATCACTAATATCCAATTTCAGAAATCATTTTATCTTGCAAAACTGAAACTCTATACCTATTAAACAACAACTCCTCATTCCTCCTACCCCCAGCTCCTGCCAACCACCATTCTACTTTCTGTCTCTATGTTTTGATTTCTCTAAATACCTCAAATAAATGGAATCATGAATAATTTCTCTCTTTTTGTGTGTGACCGGCTCATTTTACTTCACTTAATGTCCTCAAGCAGTTTATTTTATAACAGGATTTCTAGCTCCTTCCCAATCTCAGTCATTCTTCTCTGAAAACTGTTTATTCATAGCCCATTCAAGAAAGTGGAGTTCAGACAGCACATATTAATCAAAGCATAGTCTGAGAGGCAGAGAAGAGAATTCATTCTGGATATTACGTTTCTAATAAAGAACGTGTGCTATCTTTTTGATTGCCTCCTGCCACTGTTGACTCATTGAGCTTTACTATCAACTCATAGCCCTAAGTCCTTTAAGGTACTTCTTCCACTGTCCTGCCCCCTACCATTTTGTATCACCAGGCACAAGGAACATTAGCAATTGCATATCAAGGTCATAATGAGATCGAAAAAAGGATCGCATAAAAAATGAATTTTCTTATGCAGTTTCTTCTACAGTAGCATTTCACATTCCCGTTAAATTCTAGTCCATAGGTAGAATCAATGCAGTGACTTTGGGAGATATAAAGTAATAAAAATTATTAATATATACTGACCCTACTTTCCAAACGCACGTTCTATAATGACTCAGAATTATTATGCTGAGCACATTTTTTTTCACCAAAAGCACAAACATATAAAATTGAACATTTTTTCTTTTACAAACACACACTAGTTTGCATTTAATAGACAGTTCTCAAAAATGATGCCAAGCCACACTTATATGTATGTGATAAAATAGGTTGTGAACCAAGGTATGGTCATTTGTTATTAATGAGAATACTGAAGTTTTCTAAATGAGATACCTTTTGTTAAAACTTAAGGTGGATCCAAGTATATCTCTCTCATTTGTTTTCTGGTATGGAAGGAAAATGATTGAGTTATAATTAGTTAGCTAGGTGGAAATTGTTCATAATTCAGTCTTCATGGAATGCAACTGTTATTAATGTACTGATAATACTTGAGGGATTATGAATCACTTAAATTCTTTTAAGTTGCAATTTTAATTATTTTTTATTTTACCAAGTGGATAAATTTATTATAAGGAAGAAAATTATAAAGAAAATGTAAATAGGTTGGTGAATCTTACATCTACATTACATCCATAGGACTATGTAGAAATGCTTTAGTTCCCAGCTGTTTCTTTGTTTCATCAAAATCTGTGTAACCATGGGAATGTGAACATGTGAATATCACCCATCCCATATATTAAAACCATATATATATGTGTGTGTGTGTGTATGTATATATATATAGACAGAGATAGAGAAAGAGAATCACTAATGAAGGCAATTTGGATAATATATAGCTGGGAATACAAATATAATATTTTACATTATAAAAAACCTTATAATATATAAGATTATATTTTACAAGACACTTGAAGTATTGATATTTAGGCAAGTGACTATCTCATGCTAGTCAAATTCCCTAAGTATATAATTCACTGGCTCCTACTGGGACAGCATTTTAGTAAGGTAGTCATCCAGATAGATGGCATTTTGACCTTGAAATGGACAGACTATATAGTATTAAGTTTAACTTTGAAGTTGGAAAATTGTTTAGTGGTATCATAGTTTGCTAACAGTTTCCCCCTAAATACCTATACCTTCTTAAAGTTATAGGAGACTTTCAGACAATATCAGCACCTTCAGAAAATACATATTACTCAGGAAATGATACATTTGCTAATAAAAATAATTTATATATGCATTTATCAATAAATAGGTTCAGAGAATCATCCTATACTTTCTGTTGAGAATCCTGTATAAGGATTGTAGTCAAGGTACTCAAATTGTCTTTCTAATAGACCATTTCTTATCAGCTTTACTTGGTCTATAATTTTCAGTGTGACTAGCTTTTTTTCTGATCTTTAGGTCATACTTCAATTAAGTAGTATTTTATTAGTAAAAGCTTTTTCTAATTAAATTACAGTCACGTGCTGCATAGCGGATTTCAGTCAACAACTGACTGCATATACGATGGAGTCACCTAGTAAGCTAATGTTAATTTATTATTGAAGAAATAAAAATATTTTAAAATAAATTCAGTGTAGCCTAGGTGTGTAGTGTTTATAAAGACTAGAATAGTATATGGTAAAGTTCTAGACTTTCACATTCACTCACTACTCACTCACTGACTCACCCAGAGCAACTTCTAGTTCTGCAAGCTCCATTTATAGTAAGTGCCCTATACAGGTGTACCCTTTCTTATCATTTATATAGTATTTTACTGTACCTTCCCTATGTTTAGGTATCTTTAGATATGCATACTTTCCAGTGTGTTACAACTGCCTGCAGTATTCAGTACAGTAACATGCTGTACAGGTTTGTAGCCTAGGAGCAGTAGGTTATACCGTATAGCCTAGGCGTGTAGTAGGCTATACCATTTAGGTTTGTGTAAGTACACTCTGATGTTTGCACAATGACAAAATTACCTGAAGATGCATTTTTCAGAATGTATGTCATTGTTAAGTGGCATGACTGTATTCTACTTAAACTGCATAAAAATCTCAACTTTCTCTTTTAGGATGAATATAGATTTTACTGCTTCTTGTCTTTGTTCTTTTGCTTTGTGCATCCACCTGTGTACCCAATTGTTTTAACCCACTGTATCTTATCATTTATTATTTATTATTATTATTTTTTGATACAAGTTCTCCCTCTGTTATCTAGGCTGGAGTGCAGTGGCATGATCTTGGCTCACTCCAGCCTCAACCTCCTGAACTCAAGCAATCCTCCCACCTCAGCCTCCCCAGTAGCAAGTAGCTGGGACTACAGGCACGTGCCACCACTCCTGACTAATTTTGTTTATTTTTTGTAGAGACAAGTTCTCACTATATTGTCCAGGCTGGCTTCAAACTCCTGGGCTCAAGCAATCCTCCCACCTTGGACTCCCAAAGTGTTGGGATTATGGGCGTGATCCACTGTGCCCAGCCCCCACTGTATTTTAATTTATCACTGCCTGTACCCTCTTTAGCAGCTATAATCTTAATTATTTCCAAGTTTGAATTGACAGAATTTAGCTTGCTACTAAATGACTGGAAATTAACTTTCTCATATCTCAAATGTCCCCAGGTTTTGCTAATAGGTAGCAAGGTTTCAGTGTGACACTATTTGAGGTTCTGTAGGCAGTTAATGAAGTTTTTCTTTTAAAGAAATCTTTTCCTTTTCACTAAATGGCCTCCAGATTGCTGGTCTGGCTGGACTGGTGTGTTCTTAGCAATACCCTCAGGGCCTGATATAGGTGGAGCTTGCCCCTTTCCTGTGCTACTGTGGTTGGTATCCTCCTGCTGTTGCTGGACCTGCTCCCATTATTACTGCCTCAAGCCTCTGCAGTCAGTTCTCTTAGTTGCTCCCTTGACACTTCGCTGTACTCATCTTTCCCACTCTTCTTGCTACTCTTCCAACTAATCTGCCTTTGGTGATGAAAGTCCTGACTTTTTCTATTTTTTTTTTTTTTTAAAGATTTTACTTTCTTTATCCAGGTAGGAAGTTAGACATTTTACCAAGGTCTAACAATGACTGATTCTTCAAAGTGGGCACAACCTTTTAAACTCAGGCTATGTACGCAATAACCTTGTGGAATTGGTTCAGCCAGATCTTCACTTGCATGAAGGCACAGGGTCTGTCCTTTTCTTTCCAGAGGCCCCCTCTCACATTCCACTGCCAGTTCCTGTTAGGCCTGACTTTTATAACAATGGTATTCCCTTCCTTATGGTTATGAAACCAATCAACTGCACACCAGGTGTGTAGCATTCCCATACTAACTTTCAGCAGCTGACATTACCACTGATGCAGGTGCATGCCATCTTTGGGCTATGCCACCTTTAGCATGTTGATTCTTCTTCTCATATTGTCCCCAGCATGGACACAAGATGACTGCAACAGCTCCAGACATCACACAGTAAGTTTCAGTGTCTGAAAGAGTGTCCATCCTTTTATAAGAGCCGAGAACACTCCTTTATAAGTCACCCAGCAGATTTGCCTTCACATCTCAATGGTCAAAACACCATTGTTGGACCCACTCTGAAACTGGGAAGGGAAATGGAGTTGCCTTGATTGGCTTATGCTACACAAGATTTATCCCCAGAGTTGAGGAGGGGCCTAGGTTCTCCTGAAACACATGGATTCTTATACAGAATCCAGGCTGTAATAGTAAGAAAAGTCCAGGGATAAGATTGGCTGTAGAGTAGGCCCCAGCCATGTCTGCTGCTGGAATGAAAAACTTTGCTTGAACAGGTAAGAACTGGGCCCAAAAAACTGAGACTAGCCTTTGGGAAATAGACTATCCAAAAGGCCTTCTCCCAGACTACACTAGCAAAGTGTTCTTTTGACTCCTATAGCATTTGTTAATGTAACACTTACTGACACTTAGCACATCTGACCTTTTGGGGTCAATTATCCTCTCTATGTTCTGTTTCCCCAACTAGACGGTAGATGAATATGTTAGCAGGTCGAGATTCATGAAAGGGCAGTGCAGGGATTAGGTGTCTCACCGTGTTTCTAATCTCAGTTGCACTTCCATGTGCAGAGCAGGGACTGGCCCTGAGCACTGGATGAAGTCACCTGACTGGTCTTGCCTTCCCCTAGTGCAGAGCCTGCAAACTGCCAGTTGTGGGCTGTGTCAGGCTAACAGACATGTTGTTTTAACTTTACAATGTTTTTTGATTTTTTTTAAAGAAAACCGAATAGTTTTTAATATTTAAAAATTGGAAGATGGTCTATAAAATCTTGATTTCTCTCTTTTTTATTTTTTTTGAAAAATCTGATGCTATGACACCACTGAGTCCATATCCTTTTAGAGCAGCAGCTGGCTTGGGCTGCCCAGCGCTGGCCTTTTTGGAGTGGAGCCTGGGCTCTCCTGTCCTCCAAGGTGCTGCCCGGATCTTGTTCTCCCCATAATAAGAGCATTTAAGGTACCTGTTGGGCTTCTGTAACATTTATATTTGAGATTCCTATTGTGCATCATCCCGTATATTGACACCATGTTAATTTTAAAAAATCTTCTGCTGCACACTTCTGATTGCTTCTTTCAGTTGTCTTTTTTTTTTTTTTTAGACAGAGTTTCACTCTTGCTCAGACTGGAGGGCAGTGGCGGTGATCTCGAGGGCAGTGGCGGTGATCTTGGCTCACTGCAACTTCCTCACCCCCGGGTTCAAGCGATTCTCCTACCTCAGCCTCCTGAGTAGCTGGGATTACAGGAGGCCGCCACCGCGCCTGGCTAATTTTTGTGTTTTTAGTGGAGACAGGGTTTCATCATGTTGGCTGGGCTGGTCTCGAACTCCTGACCTCAAGTGATCCACCCGCCTCAGTCTCCCAAAGTGCTGGGTTTACAGGTATAAGCCACCGCACCCTGCCTCAGTTGTCTTTAAATAAAGTTTTCAGCCTCCTTGGTAGTGTTTTGCCCATCACATACATGGAGGTTCCCTATCTCCACTGCACATTGCCATTCCTCAAACAATGGTATCCCTACCTGCTTCCATGACTTTGTTAGAAAGCTCCCTAGGTCTGGAACACCTCTGTGGTAAGCTAAATAATGCAGCTCCTGTTCACCGAAGATGTCCATGTCCTAATCCCTGGAACCTGTGGACATGTTACCTTCCATGGCAAAAGGAGATTTTTGCAGATGTGATTTAGTTAAGCATCTTAGGATGGGGAGATTATTTTGCATTACCTAGGTGAGCCTGATATGATCACAAGGGTCTCCATATAAGAGGAGACCAGATTGGAAGAAGGTGATGTGAAGTCAGAAGGGGAGTTATTAGAGTGATGCAGTTACAAATTATGAAATGCCAGCCAGGTGCGGTGGCTCATGCCTATAATCCCAACACTTTAGGAGGCCAAGGTGGGTGTATCACAAGGTCAGGAGTTCAAGACCAACCTGACCAAGATGGTGAAACCCCGTCTCTACTAAAAATACAAAAATTAGCCGGGCGTGGTGGCAGGCACCTGTAATCCCAGCTACTTGGGAGGCTGAGGCAGAGAATTACTTGAACCCGGGAGGCGGAGGTTGCAGTGAGCCAAGATCGCGCTGCTGCACTCCAGCCTGGGTGATAGAGTGAGACTCCATCTCAAAACAAAAACAAAACAAACAAACAAAAAAAGAAATGCCAAAGCAGCCATTAGATTCTGTAGGAAGCATGGGTTGGCCTCCAGAAGGAAGCAGACCTGCTGACATTTTGATTTTAACTCTCTAAGGTGAAGTTTAGATGAAGTTTAGACTTCTGCCCTCCAGGACTACAAGAGTAAATTTGTGTTGTTTTTAAGCCACCAAGTTTGTGGTAATTTGTTATAGCTACAACAAGAAAATCATTATAACTTCCTTCCTTTATCATTCCCTGTAAATATTACCTTCTCATTGAGATCCTTGGAGATCATCAAAACATGCGCAGTCTCACTGATTTTATGTGCATACATATCTTAATTCTCCTACTAGGTTGCAAGCCCATTGAGAATAGGCCCTTTGTGATTCAATATGGTGCTTTTCCCAGAACTTATTGTTATTATTTTTGAGATGGAGTTTCGCTCTTGTTGCCCAGGCTAGGGTGCAATGGCGCGATCTCAGCTCACTGCAACCTCCGCCTCCCAGTTTCAAGCGATTCTCCTGCCTCAGCCTCCTGAGTAGCTGGGATTACAGGTGCCTGCCACCATGCCAAGCTATTTTTTTTTTTTTGTATTTTTAGTACAGATGGGGTTTCACCGTGTTGTCCAGGCTGGTCTCCAACTCCTGACCTCAGTTGATTAGCCAGCCTCGGCCTCCCAAAGTGCTGGGATTACAGGCATGAGCCACTGTGCCCAGCTTTCCCAGAACGTATTTAAGTGCTTGATCATGGCTAATAGTTAAGAAATATTTGTTGAGTGAAAGAAAAGGAAGACTAGGAGTATTAGTGGCCAAAATGGCCATGAGGTGCAATTATAGGTAAGTTTAATAGTATGCTTAAATAACAATTGTTTATATGGCTTGGCATCTTGGAATTTTATTACCTCTAGATTAGTTGAATTGGCCTAATGAACTTTCAGGAAAGGATAAAAGAAGAGAGAAAAGAAGAGGAGAGGAGAGGAGAGCTTGACTAAAACTGGAAGAATAGACTTTCTCAAAAGGATGAAAGAAGAGAGGAGTGGTGAGGGGAGGGGAAGGGAGGGAAGAGCTTGACAAAAACCAGAAGAATAGACTTTCTCTGCTTCCTCTTTATTTTGGATGTGGTGTGGATCACAGAAAGACATTTCCTGTTGGAGCACTAGGATAAGCAACTTTTCTCATTAAGCTTTAAATTCCACTTCTATTGATGGCTCCTCCTAAATGGTATAGATTACAGAATTCTAAAGGCATGTTTGTCTTATGAGACCTTTGGTCAAGAATGGCATTCTACTCTAGACATTGTAGATTCCCTTAGCAAATGAGGTCAAGATAATTTTTCTTCGCTTTTGTGACACATATTAGAGTAGGTCACAGCTGTCTAAGTGGACAATGTGCTATTTCAGTGCTACTTACACATTGGCATCCAAGCAGTTCGTCTCCAGGGAAAGTTACACATTTGCATAATGTCACTGAAGTTTTGTGTTCCTGTATTAACTGACAGAGACGGGCAATGACAGGATACCAGGCAGCTGTGTTGATGACAGAGCCTCTGAAAATAGAGAGTGCACATTCTTTCAAGCCTTCAATTAAGGGAAGGTAGGACATCAGCTTTCAATTAAGGGAAGGTAGGAAGATACCCAAAGGAAGGAGAATGGGGAAAGGAGAAAGAGCGAGCTACTGAAGAGCTGGAATGATAGAAGGTAGCTTTGATTACTGAAGGAAGGAGGGAAGCAAATGTTTTCATTATGTTGGACTTTGAAAGACAGAATGTGATACTTGGTGCAAATGGATTAAACATTTTATTTAACTAAAGGATTAATGAAAGAGGAGAACAAATAGATTAAGATTAGGCTAATGTTATTACTGTTGTTTTTTCTTGTGGATTACAACTTAAAATCTTGTCTTTCGTACGTGTAACCACAGTGAAATGTGACCTTACTGTCTGTCCCTGTGTAGCTTCATGAGAGCAAACTTTGTTTATACATCTTGCGCATTCTGATGGAGAGCCCAGCACTTGAGCTAATTCTTCAAAAAATCCACTTCACATGTGAACAGTTTAAAACGAGACATGAACGTTACTTATTATTTTATAGAAGGTATGATTTATATGTGTGTATGGGGCATTGGTGGTGGTGGTGGTTATATCACACAAATCACCAGCTCTGCCTCAGCAACTACTATGAAATGTATATTCTGAAACTCACTGAAAAAAAAAAAAAGGTCCTCCAATTAATAGGGCGCACCAATTTTAAAAGGCAGATAGCGATTACCTTTTGGTACTTATGCATTCCTTTGGGGTTGCAGCCAACACCTAAGTAGGTCAGTATCTTAGGTTGGATTCCCTACAAGCAAATGCTGAGATGAGGATTTGAGCACCAGTGATTTATTGAAGGTGTTTACAAGAGAAACTGGAAAAAGAGTGAGGGATGCAGAATGCGGAAGAGGAAGAAGCCAAGCAAAGGTACAGCCTTAGGTTAAGTTCTAGACTTGCCCCTATCCAGTGGCATATAAATTACACCTCATAGTTGGTGATTTGAAGCAAGAAAGCTGGGCTTCCATGCTCTGGTACCATTAATCATTGGCCAAGAGCCAACTCAATGGGCTATAAACCCTCATGTATTTGAGGCTTTCCCTGTGTACAGTTTCCTGAGGGCCATCCCTCAAAGAGGAAGCACTGCTGTGGGCCCTGACAGGCAATTGCACATTGAAGCTGGGGAAAATGAGGGACAAAGAAACAGGAAGAGGGATCCAAGAGAATCTTAGCTAAACGCTGACACTGACTGCTACACTTATCAAAGTACTCTTTTCAAATACCAAGTGCCTCTTCAAGGGGAGTTCTTGATAACAACATCTCTTTCTCTCACTTTATTTTTATTGCCCTTCACTAAAAGATGTTCCTGCCCCTGATTACTATAACAGGTATTAATTAAGGCAAATTGCCCTGTAAAAATGGTACAGAAAATGAAATGGGCTATACAGGTCAAAATTTGCTATCAACATGAGCTATTTATCCCCTTGACTCCATTTGAATACTTTGCCTAAACTGACTTCCTGGATTCTGGTCCTGTGCCCTAAGGACTTAGTTATGGTATTTCTGTGGCCTCACTGGTTTTGAAGTGATATGTCAACAAACTGCTTTTCTTCCATGAGCTCCCTAGGTTTTAACTCTGTTGTGCATTACTGAGATTTATTCCTAGCTTATTAATGATAATGACCACAGTAGTAAAAGTGACAGCTATCATTTATTGAGTTCTTTTGTGTATCATGCAATTTAGAAATAAATTCTCACACTGTCCGTGATAATTGGGTATTATTATTTTCTTTTTATGAGTGACGAAACTGAAGCGAAGTGGGAGAAACATAAAACTTTCCCAAGGACCTCTCCTTTTTTTAACATGCTACATTGGGGTTAGCATGTCAAAAACCCATACCCCTTCTCCCCTCATATCACCACTCGCTCTCTCTGAGCAACTTGAATTTTACAAAATTGGGGCAAATTAAAGGCAAATACCTGTTTGCTTTTTTAAGGTCAGTAGCAGGTTGTCTTCTTCAGTGAGGCCTGCTAGTATTTAAATGGCAATTCATTCTTCAACTCCTACATATAGACAGTCAACTAACAGCAAAAGAGATAGTAGTTCTTTTTGCAGCTTAATGTTTTTTGAATTAATTTTTTCTGTCCTCATTAAAGGCTGTTAGCATATCAAAAAGGTGTTTTAAAAATCACTCTGAGAATCCAAAGAGCAAACCCAAGCACATTTTGACATATTCATAATGAGGCCAGCTACCTCAGTTAATAAACAGGCTGCAGCGCTATGAACAGAAGTGTCCCCAAAATAGTCCACAGGAATGAGACTAGTGATGTCAAAGGCCCCTGGGAGTTTGGAAATTCTCCAATGTTCTGATTCCTGTGATGCCATTGAGAGGTAAGAGGGAGGAGATTATCTGTACTGGGACCTGTCTAGGCTGCTTTTAAATCTAGGTTAAATGTTTTAGGTTATTTTTATTTTCTTTTTAAAATCCAGATTGGACTTGTTTTATCTGTCTCTCAATGTAGGAACTTCATTTTGTACTATCTTGGGAAGATCTGGTTGGTTATCCATTGCTGTGTAACAAAGCATGTCGAATTTAGTGGCATTTTTAAGAAAAAAAATTTATTAAGTAAGGAATCCTTTCCCCATTGCTTGTGTTTGTCAGGTTTGTCAAAGATCAGATGGTTGTAAATGTGTGGCATTATTTCTGAGGCCTCTGTTTTGTTCCATTGGTCTATATATCTGTTTTGGTACCAGTACCATGCTGTTTTGATTACTGTAGCCTTGTAGTATAGTTTGAAGTCAGGTAGCATGATGCTTCCAGCTTTGTTCTTTTTGCTTAGGATTGTCTTGGCTATACGGGCTGTTTTTTGATTCCATGTGAAATTTAAAGTAGTTTTTTCTAATTCTGTGAAGAAAGTCAATGGTAGCTTGATGGGAATAGCATTGAATCTATAAATTACTTTGGGCAGTATGGCCATTTTCATGATATTGATTCTTCCTATCCATGAGCATGGAAAGTTTTTCCATTTGTTTGTGTCCTCTCTGATTTCCTTGAGCAGTGGTTTATAGTTCTGCTTGAGGAGGTCCTTCACATCCCTTGTCAGTTGTATTCCAGGAACAGAAAATCAAACACCTCATATTCTCACTCATAAGTGGGAGTTGAACAATGAGAACACATGGACACAGGGAGGGGAACATCACACACCAGGGCCTGTTCGGGGGTTGGGGGGAAGGGGAGGGATTGCATTAGGAGAAATACCTAATGTACATGACATGTTGATGGGTGCAGCAAACCACCATGGCACATGTATACCTATTCAACAAAACTGCTCATTCTGCACATGTATCCCAGAACTTAAAGTATAATTTAAAAAAAGAAAAAAAATGTATTATATCAATTTGTGTGTGTGTGTGTGTGTGTGTGTGTGTGAGGGATATTGTCTTATACCATGTGATGTCTATTAGGATCACTCTGTGATCTTCATTTAGTGTCTGAGCTATTAGAATAATAACTCAATGGATGGGTTGAAGTGTAGAATGCAACTGAGGTAAGAATTAGTGAATTAGAGGATCAAGTTGAGGAACTCCCTCTGAAGACATAAGAAAAAGGTTAAAAAAAAAGAAAAGGAAGGAATGAAAGAAAAATTAAGATATATGAAGGGTAGAGGTAAGAAATATCAATGCCCCTTTAATATGAATTCCAGAAAGAAAAAAGAATTAATGGAAGGGAGAAAAAATTAAATAAACAATGATGATTACAAGTTCAACATACAAAAATCAACAGCACTCTTCTACAAAAGATGATATAGCTAAGTAAGAAATATAATAAAATAAGATACTTTTGGTAATAGCAAGAGAAACTATGAGATATTCAGGAATAAACCTAACAGAATGCACAAGATCTTAAGCAGAAGAATTTTTTTTTAAATTACTAAAGTTAATAAAAAGAAAAATTAAGTAAGTCAAGAGATATGGTATATCCAAGGATGAGATTACATAACATGGGAAAGACCTAATTTTCTCCTCCAAATTAATCTTAAATGTAATGCCATTCTAGTTAGAATTCCTGGAGGATTCTTTCATGAAATTTGAGAAACTGGCTTTCTAAAATTAATATGGAAAAATAAAAGCCCATAAATAAATGTAAACTTTTTTAAATAAAAAAAAGGGGGAATGTGTCATATCAACACTTGGGATCTAGTACAAAGAGTAAAAACAGCATGACACTGGTGTAGGAAAAGATAACTGACTAAAGGAACAGTATCAAAGGTCCAGAAGTATCATGTATTAGGTTGGCAGAAAAGTAATTGCGATTTCGTACCATGAATTTTAAATCATTATAACTAGGTTAAAACACATTTTTATTCATCAAAATAGGAACCATTACAATCAACACAGTTTTGCCATTGAGAAAATTGTTGCTTAAATATCTGTGCTTTGGGATTCCATTAACTCTTGGAAATCATTTTCTGTATCCTGCTGGTTGTGGGAGCATTTTCTCCACAAAAAGTGTTCAGGTGCTTAAAGAAGTGGTAGTTGGTTGGTGAGAGGTCAGGTGAATGTAGCGGATGAGACAAAACTTTAAAGCCCAATCCGTTCAACTTTTGAAGTGTTGGTTGTGCCACGTAGAGTTGGGCGTCGTTGTGAAAGAGAACTGGGTCCCCTCTGTTGACCGATGCCGGCTGCAGGCATTGCAGTTTTCAGTGGATCACATTGATTTGCTGAGCATACTTCTTGGATGTCATGGTTTCGCTGAAATTAGAAAGCTGTAGTGGATCAGACCGGCCAGTGGCAGACCACCAAACAGTGACCATGACCTTTTTTTGGTGCAAGTTCGGTTTTGGGAAGTGTTTTGAAGCTTCCTCTCAGTCCAACCACTGAGCTGGTCGTTGCAGGTTGTAGTATAAAATCCACTTTTCGTTGCATGTCACAATCCAATCAAGAAATGGTTTGTTGTTGTTGTGTAGAATAAGAGAAGATGAAACCTCAAGACAACGATTTTTTTTTAAATTTTTGCTCAGCTCATGAGGCACCCTCTTACTGAGCTTTTTCACCTTTCCTATTCACTTCAAATGCCAAACGGCCATAGAATGGTCAACGTCGACTTCTTCGGCAACTTCTCATGCAGTTGTAAGAGTATCAGCTTCGATGACTGCTCTCAGTTGGTTGTTGTCAATTTCCAATGGCCAGCCACTATGCTCCTCATCTTCAAGGCTCTGGTCTCTTTTGCAAAACTTCTTGAACAACCACTGCCCTGTAAGTTTGTTAGTGGTTCCTGGACCAAATGCATTGTTGATGTTGCGAGTTGTCTTTGCTGCTTTATGACCCATTTTGAACTCAAATAAGAAAATCACTTAAATTTGCTTTCTGTCTAACATCACTTCCATAGTCAAAAATAAATGTAAAATACACAGCAAGTAATAAGTCATTAGCAAAAATCATAAAGCGAGAAATGCGCATTAAAATGATATATAACATAACCACATTTATTTAAGAATGTATCTCAATATCAAACGGCAAATTTCAAAGTGCAAAAACCGCAATTACATTTGCACCGATCTAATATATACAGAGTTCAGTGTATGATGGCCATTACAAATCAGTAGGTATACGGTGGATTATTAATGGATAATGTTAAAGAAATTATCCCTCTATGTAGAGAAAAAATAAAATAGACTTGCTAATTAACACCATATGGCCTTCAGATGGGTTAAAAACTTAAATAATAAAGATGACGTTACAAAATTAAATAACATAAAACATGAGAATATCTTTATTATCTTGAACTGTGGAAGGATTTAAAAAATTAGATTCTCTAAAGTAAAAACCATTAGGTAAAGCTTCATGCTTTTTACTTTAACCACAATTTTTTTTGTTTAAAAAAGTTACCATCACCAAGTTAAGATATGCTGCTAGACTGGGAGAAGATATTTGCAATATGTAAAATATAAAAGGGGATTAAATATCTAGAACATAGAGTAAATGTCCAAATTAGCAAGAAAAAGGACAGCCAATAGATATTTGGGCAAAGATGATGAGGTAATTCAGAGAAGAGAAAACCAAATGGCTAATAAGTATATAACAAAAAGATGTTCAAGAGAAATGCAAGTTAAGTTTATGACTAATCACTAATTTGCCACATGTCAAACATGAGAAAGTCATGTTGAAGTTGAGGAGATCAAGGGGGAGGGAATCCTCATATTCGGTCATTTGGGGGAATATCCTGGCAGTGCTTAGTGATATTAGATATGGATGTACCATTAAACCCCACAAGTCCATTCCAGTGTATATACCTGATAGAAACTCAAGCAGAGACCCATAAGGAGCTGTGTTTGAGGACGTTTGCAGCAGCATTTCTACCAGGCAAAATTTTGTCTGAGATAGATGACGGTCCTTAGGGAAACTGGCATTTAAGCTGTGTTATAGGCCGAGTGTGGTGGCTCATGCCTGGAATCCCAGAACTTTTGGAGGCCGGCGCAGGTGGATCACTTAAAGCCAGGGGTTCAAGACCAGCCTGGCCAACATGGCAAGACCTATCTCTACTAAAAATACAAAAAAAAAAAAAAAAGAAAGAAAGAAAATAATTAGCTGGACACGGTGGTGCACACACCTGTAATCTCGGCTACTTGGGAGGCTGAGGCAGTGAGCTGAGATTGCACCACTGCACTCCAGCCTGGGCAATAGAGCAAGACTCTGTCTCAAAATAATAATAATAATAATAATAAAGTGTGTTATCATCCCATGGTACAATACTATACTGTTATCAGAATGAATCTACTGCATTAACTGATGACAATGTGGCTAGAACTTAAGAATAGTATAAAGTAAAAAAGAAAATATTTAAATCCAATACCATTTATAAAACTTTATAAATTCTTAAAATATATTTCAAGAATATACATTTATTGAAATACAAATAAAATGATGTATGAGAGCACATATTTTAAATATAATAAAGCAGAAGGCTAGAGATAGGGGAGGGGGGACAGAGAGACAAAAATAAGGAACTAAAACAGAACAAAGTCTATCAACCGGTGCTGACGGTGTGCCATGAGCAGAGCAGCATTAGCTTCTTTAGCTTCTTTCTATGCACCAGAGGGAAAGTAAATCAAGATGGAAAAATAAGAAGAAAGAAAGAAAAGAAAAAAGGAAGGAAGGAAGGAAGGGAGGGAAAGAAAGAAAAAAGAGCGTGAAACAGCATGAAGGGACCTTCTTTTTTTTTTTTTTTTTTTTGAGGTGGAGTCTCGCTCTGTTGCCCAGGCTGGAGTGCAGTGGCGCGAGCTCGGCTCACTGCAACCTCCACCTCCCGGGTTCAAATGATTCTCCTGCCCCAGCCTCCTGAGTAGCTGGGACTACAGGTGCAGACCACCACACCCGGCTAATTTTTTGTATTTTTAGTAGAGATGGAGTTTCACCATGTTAGCCAGGATGGTCTCGATCTCCTGACCTCATGATCCGCTGCCTCGGCCTCCCAAGAAGGGACCTTCTTGAGGGGGAAACATGAGCCACAGTCCAGGCACTGTGCTGACCCGCAGAGCAAATCACCAATTTAGAATTCCCTAAACTTTGACAGTTCTTTTCATTCATTTATTCGACCTATAGATAATTTCCCTTCAGATTAGTTGTTGGTGATAATGATAATGGTGATGTGACAATGACTATACTTGGTAGAAATAGCATTGACAAAACATGAAATAAATGCAATACGCTTTTAACTAAAGCCTCCAAAAAAAATAATCACAGAATTCCATTGACAGAATTTCAACTTCTATTAAAAGTGAATTGTTTTTGAATAATTATTTTCTCATTACAGTCATAGGCAGAATAATCTATTTTAAAATTGTTTGTAACATAAATAGTCATTTAATCATGGACACCAAAAGAATGAATACTGTCAAACAAAAAACCGAAAAGTCATTCGAGTGTAAAGTCGCACCTATTCTATATTTTCTAGTAAAGACTCTGCTGTCACCTTGCATTTGGAAACTTGGATCTTGATTGACATAGGTGCCCAGAACCTCTCCTGATGAAAAGCCATTGGCAACTGTTTTGGGAAATGTAAGATACTAGATTTCTTTCCAAGTAGGAAACAGACTCAGAGAATTAATTAGTAATATTTGAGATTTTTCAAAACTTACGAACTACATGCCAAAATTCTGATGATTTTTACTTGGCTTCAAATTCTAGAGTAAATATGACTGTAATGCTCACTCCCTTCTATTTTGGTATAATCATTTGGTGAGGATTACACTCATATTTACCCATTTCATGGGATTATAATGAAGGATATTGCATATTGCTTCTGAAACATACTCCTTTTGGGGATTGCTTCATATAAAGAGGGAGGCTTGGGGATTGGATATATAGAGAGCAGAGACCCGGATACATTTACTGTGGCTCCAGCTTTCAGGGCACTCTTATTGCCTACTCTCACCTCTGACCTGACAGAGTTTTGAGAAAACCTTGAGGTTTGCAGTTTTCATGCTGTATCAAATAATGAGCTGGATTCCATAAGGAAGACAAATAATACAAGTAATAGAATTATTCTGCCTTTAAAAAGTCCCTCATTTTGTTCTTCAGTCCTTGTGTCTTTTGAGTATGAAGTGACACTAGAAATGCATCTTCAGCCATTCCCAGTGAAGACTACATATCTGAAGTGATTATCAAATTATTTTTTTACAAACCCTCAGCAGCAGATTTTATTTTGATTTTTTTTAAAAACAGGATATATACATGCAATACATGTATGTATACACACATACGTTAAAAAAGTTTGCAACAGTTTGCTTTTATATACGTATTGAGGGAGTTAGAATATGCTATCTTAGCATATCGACTATTTAAATAGACTCTTGAAAAGCAGCAGGTGCAAAAAGATCACTTTGACCTTCATGCTCTTTCATAAGAGCAAAAGATGAAATTCGCAGGTGAAAGACACTCTCCCTGTACTAGAAGAAAAGGCAACATCCTTATCTTCCAGGACAAGAAGTTGAGATTGAGAGAACACCATACAGATCTTGTTATAATAACTCTTATCTTTTAAGCCTCCCCACATAATTCAGTCACATTTTCACAGTTTACTATTCTTTGTCCAATTCAGTATAAAGCAACTGACTCTAGATGCTTTTTTGGTCTTCATTTCTTTATGAGGGTACCTGCGCCATGTAAAATGTGTATTAAATAAATGTGTATGCTTTTCTCTTGTTAATCTATTTTATCTCAATTTAATTCTTGAACCTAGCCAGGACCCTAAGAGGATGGAAGTAGAATTTTTCTACACCTATAGTATATACATACAAGCATATATATACACACAGACATACACAGAGTTTGTAAGAGAATTTGTATATATATGCAAATATATGTATACATGCATGTATGCACATATACACATGTATATGCACATACATGCATGTGTATATATGTGTATACACATATACATAGGCACATACATGTGTATACATATGTATGTATATATACACATAAATTCCAACTGTTAAAAACTGATGTAAGCCCATTTGTTCTGTCAGAAATTATTTCCTGGATGCTATCTGCAGTGTCCAGTACTTGGAAGTAGGTGAGGGGCTATTGGTTCAGTTTGCTTGAAGCAGACTTTGTGCCTATTATGCTGGTGTCCCTTTCAGTTTAGTAGTTTAGCACTCTTAAAAGTGTCCTCGTTTGGCTGATAAATTATATGGCTACCTTGCTTTGGTTCCTCCTCTACAAGCTCTTTACCAGGTAGTGTATCACATTGAAAACAAATTTTAGACCCAATTTTGTCATATATACAAACTTTTGTTAGCAAGCGCGTTCAAAGACAGACATACAACCCATTTCAAAAGCTTAATGAGGGGCCATCTCTGTGTTTTCACAGGTCCTCCAGCAGCACCTTGTCTAAAGGTCTTGTGTGGCATAAAGCTTAAATAATTCTGAGGGCTCTCTTTAAGAAAAAAGTGATACAAAATTTCAAATACAAAACTGGAGATAAAAATGAATATTTACTTAGAAAGAGAAAAGAAAACACAACAAATCACACATTTTGTGGAGCTGACAGATACCATAAACATCAAACAATTCAGACAAATACCCTAACATCCTGCTGGGTTCATCACTATAATAGTTTTTTTCTACTTTTGTTGTTGTTGTTTTTACACTGACTTTGGTTACTTCTTCCTATATTGGCAAATTAAAAACGATTTGTTATTGTTTCATTTTCTCACCAATATTTAACTTATATTTACCTCTTTAAAAAATTTTATTGGCTATTCTAGAATTTACAATACATACTTTTGCTTTATTAGAATCTCCTTAAAAATATTATACCACTTTGGCCGGGCACAGTGGCTCACGCCTGTAATCCTAGCGCTTTGAGAGGCTGAGGCGGGCATATCATCTGAGGTCAGGAGTTCGAGACCTACCTGGCCAACATGGTGAAACCCTGTCTCTACTAAAATTACAAAAATTAGCCAGGCGTGGTGGTGCACACCTGTAATTCCAGCTACTTGGGAGGCTGAGGCAGGAGAATCACTTGAAGCTGGGAGGCAGAGGTTGCAGTGAGCTGAGATCGTGCCACTGCACTCCAGCCTGGGTGACAGGGTGAGACTCTGTCTCAAAAAAATAAATAAATAAAAAATATTATACCACTTTAAGTAGTGTACTTTCCACAGACCAGTGACACTATAAAACAACCACACAAACAAGTCAGCATAATAACCAGCTAACACCATGAGGACAGGATCAAATCAACTCATATCAATACTAACCTTGAATGTAAACCGGCTAAATGCCTCAATTAAAAGGCACAGAGTGGCAAGCTGGATAAAGAACCAAGACCCAGTGGTATACTCTTTTCAAGAGACCCATCTCATATGCAATGACACACATAGGCTCAAAATGAAGGGATAGAGAAAAATCTGCCAAGCAAATGGAAAACAGAAAAAAGCAGAGGTGTGAGTCCTAATTTAGGACAAAACAGACTTTAAACCAACATAGATCAACAAAGGCAAAGAAGGGCATTACATAATGATAAAGGGTACAACTTAATAAGAAGACTAACTATCCTAAATATATGTACGCTCAACATAGGAGCATCCAGATTCATAAAGCAAGTTCTTAGAGATCTTCAAAGAGACATAGACTCCCACACAATGACGTTGGGAGACATCAACACCCCACTGACAACATTAGATTACTGACACAGAAAATTAACAGAGATATTCAGGACCTGAATTCAGCACTGGAACAAACGTATCTGATAGATATATACAGAACTCTACACACAAAAACAACAGATATACATTCTTCTCATTGCCACATGGCACATACTCTAAAACTGACGACACAATCAGACATAAAACCCTCCTCAGCAAATACAAAAGAACTAAAATCGTAACAACCACTCTCTCAGATCACAGTGCAATAAAATTAGAAATCAAGACTAAGAAATTTGCTCAAAACCATACCATTACATGGACATTAAATAACCTGCTCCTGAATGACTTTTGGGTAAATAATGAAATTAAGACAGAAAACAAGAAGTTCTTTGAAACAACCAGAACAAAAATACAACAAACCAGAATCTCTGGGACACAGCTAAAGCAATGTTAAAAGAAAAACTTATAGTACCAAATACTGACATCAAAAAGTTAGAAAGCTCTCAATTTAGCAACCTAACACCACAACTAAAAGAACTAGAGAACCAAGAGCAAACCAACCACAAAGCTAGCAGAAGACAAGAAATAACCAAAATCAGAGCTGAACTGAAAGAGATTGAGACACGAAAAACCATTCAAAAGATCAATGAATCCAGGAGCTGGTTCTCTGAAAAATAAAATAAAATAAAATAAAATACACTGCTAGCTAGACTAATAAAGAAGAAAAGAGAGAAGATCCAAATAAACACAATTAGAAATGACAAAGGGAGTATTACCACTGACCCCACAGAAACACAGATAACCACCAGAGACTATTATGAGTACCTTTATGCATACAAACTAGATAATCTAGAAGAAATGGATAAATTTCTGGACACATTTACCCTCCCAAGACTGAACCAGGAAGAAATTGAATCCCTGAACAGACCAATAAGTAGCTTCAAAATTGAATTAGTAATAAATAGTCTACCAACCAAATAAAGCCCAGGACCAGACAGATTCACAGCTGAATTCTACCAGATGTACAAATAAGAACTAGAACCATTCCTACTGAAACTATTCCATAAAATTGAGGAGAAGGTACTCCTCCTTAACTCATTCTATAAAGCAAACATCATCCTAATACAAAAACCTGGCAGAGATATGACACAAAAAGAAACTTCAGGCCAATATCCTTGATGAACATTGGTGCAAAAATCCTTAACAAAATACTGGCAAACCAAATCCAGCAGCACAGGAAGAAGCTTATCCACCACCATCAAGTGGGCTTTATCCCTGGGTTGCAAGGTTGGTTTAACATACACAAATCAATAGATGTGATTCGTCACATAAACAGAACTAAACACAAAAACCACATGATCGTCTCAATAGATTACAAAAAAGGCTTTCAACAAAATTCAGTACTCCTCCATGTTAAAAACTCTCAATAAACTAGGTACTGAAGGAACATACCTCAAAATAATAAGAGCCATTTACGACAAACCCACAACCAACATCATACTAAATGCGCAAAAGCTGGAAGTGTTCCCCTTGAAAACTGGCACCACAAAAAAGGGATACCCTCTCTCATCAGTACTATTCAACATAGTATTGGAAGTCCTGGCCAGAGCAATCTGGCAAGAGAAAGAAATAAATGGTATCCAAAAGTCAAACTATTCCTGTTTGCAGATGACATGATTCCATATCTAGAAGACCCCATAGTCTTGTCCCAAAAGCTCCTTAAGCTGGTAAACAACTTCAGCAAAGTCTCAGGACACAATATCAATGTATAAAAATCACCAAATCACCAGCATTCCTATACACCAACAATCATCTAGCCAAGAGCCAAATCAGGAATGCAATCCCATTCACAATGGATACAAAAAGAATAAAACACTTAGGAATACAGATAACCAGGGATGTGGAAGATCTCTACAGTGAGAACTACAAAACACTGCTCAAAGAAATCAGAGATTAGACAAACAAATGGAAAAACATTCGATGCTCATGGGTGGGAAGAATCAATATCATTAAAATGGCCATACTGCCCAGAGCAATTTATAGATTCAATGCTATTCCTATCAGACTACCAATGAAATTCTTCAAAGGACTAGGAAAAACTATTTTATAATTCATATGGAACAAAAAAAGAGCCCAAATAGCTAAGGCAATCCTAAGCAAAAAGAACAAAACTGGAGGCATCACCATCACGTTCCGTGTCTTTAAACTATACTACAGAGCTACAATAACCAAAACAACATTGTACTGGTACAAGAACAGACAAGTAGACCAGTGGCACAGAATGGAGACCCAAAAATAAGGCCGCAGACCTAAAACTATCTTATCTTCAACAAAGCTGACAAAAACAAGCAATGAGGAAAAGACTACCTATTCAATAAATGGTGCTGGGATAACTGGCTAGCCATATGCAGAAGATTGAAACTGGACCCCTTCCTTACACTGTATACAAAAATAAACTCAAGATAGATGAAAGACTTAAACATAAAATCCAAAACTATAAAAACCCTGGAAGACAATCTAGGCAATACTATTCTGAAAATAGGAACAGGAAAGGACCTCATGACCAGCATGCCAAAAGCAATTGCAATAAAAGCAAAAATTGATAGATGGGTTCAAATAAAACTAAAGAGCTTCTACACAGCAAAAAAAAAAAAAAAAAAAAAAAAAAAAAAAAAAAGCTATCAACAGAGTGAACAGACCACCTACAAAATGGGAGAAAATATTTTCAAACTATGCATCTGACAAAGGTCTAATATCTAGTATCTATAAGGAACTTAAACAAAGCTACAATAAAAAAAAACCCCATTAAGAAGTGGGCAACAGACATGAACAGACACTTTTCAATAGAATACATACCTGCAGCCAACAATCATAAGAGAAAAAGCCCAACATCACTGATCATTAGAGAAATTCAAATTAAAACCACAATGAGATACCATCTTACGCCATCTCACAGTTTGAATGGCTACTATTAAAAAGTCAAAAAATAACAGATGCTGGCAAGGTTGCAGAAAAAAATGCTTATATACTGTTGGAGGGAGTGTAAATTAGTTTGATCATTGTGGAAAACAGTGTGGCAATTCCTCAGACCTAAAACCAGAACTACCGTTTGACTCAGCAACCCCATTACTGGGTATATACCCAAAAGAATATAAATTGTTCCATCATAAAGACACGTGCACACATATAATCACTGCAGTGCTACTCACAATAGCAAAGACATGAATCAACCTAAATGCCAATCAATGGCAGATTGGATAAAGAAAGTGTGGTACATATACACCATGGAATACTATGCAGTCATAAAAAGAATGAGATCGTGTCCTTCGCTGGAACTTAGATGGAGCTGGAGGGCATCATTCTTAGCTAACTAATGCAGGAACAGAAACCCAAATACTGCATGTTCTCACTTAAAAATGGGAGCTGAATGATGAGAGCACATGGACACATAGAGGGGAACAACAGACACTGGGGTCTACCAGAAGGTGGAGGGTGGGAGGAGAAATAGCATCAGGAAAAATAGCTAATAGGTTCTAGGCTGAATACCTGGGTGATGAAATAATCTGTACAATAAACCCCCATGACATGAGTTTACATATACGACAAACTGCACATGTACTCCTGAACTTAAAATAAAACTTAAAAAATGTGTACCTTCATTTCTCCCTCCTACCCTTTTTGCTATTGTTTTAATCATTATATTTCTTCATGTCTAATGAATTTCACAGTGTTATCTTATAATTATTTTTTAACAAATTAGAAAATTCAAAAATATAAGTAATATATTATCCACATATTAGCCTTATCCACTGTCTTTATTCCTTTGTGTAGATTTAGGTATTCATGGGGTACCCTTTTACTTGAATCAGAAAAAACTTTATATAACATTTATTGTGTACAAGTCTGCTAATGACAAGTCTGTCTCTGTTTTTGTTTATCTGAAAAAGCCTTTATTTTCACTTCTTTTTAAAGTATATTTTCACTGGATAGCAAATTGATAGTTTTTCTTCGTCTCTTTATATATGTCATTCTATTTTTTGTTTGTTTGTTTTGGCTTGAATTAGTTCTAACTAGAAATCAGTGTAATTCTCCTTTTGCTTTTCTTTAAGTAATGCCTTTTTACTCTGGTTGCTTTTAAGGCTATCTTCTTATCACTAGTTTTCAGCAATTTGACTATGATGTTTGTGCTTGAGATTGGTTGAGCATATTGAGCCTCTGTGGGCTTACAGTTCTCATTAAATTTAAAAACATTAGTTTATTCAATTCCTCTTCCTCCACCCTTTTTGATTCTTGAATTTAAGTATTTTAATTTCATAGATCTCAGAATTCTTGGTATTGTCCCATAAGTAAATACTTGCCCATTTTGTTCAGGATTTTTTTTCCTTTCTGTGATTCAGTTTGGAAGTTTTCTTACACCATATCTTTAAGTTATTATAGTGTCTAAAATTTGATGTTAAGCACATATAGTAAGTTTGTCATTTCTGACATGAATATTCATTTCAAGAAGTTTCATATCTTTTTTAAAATAGGTTTCATGTCTTTCTTCATTTTGTTCACGTTTTCCTTGGTATAGTTGACCCTTGAACAACATGGGGTTTAGGGATATTGACCTCTCTGTGCAGTTGAAAATCTGTGTCTAACTTTTGACTCCATAAACACTTGACTGCTAATAGCCAACTGCTGACTGAAAGCCTTACCAATAACACAGTTGATTAACACATATTTTTGTATGTTATATGCATTATACTGTGTTCTTACAATAAAGTAAGGTAGAGAAAAAATGTTACTAAGAAAATCATAAGGAAAATAAAAATATTTATTCCTCAAGTGGAAGTGGATCATCATAAAAGTTTTCATCTTCATTATCTTCACATCGAGTAGGCTGAGAAGGAGGAAGAAGAGGAGGCATTGGTCTTGCTGTCTCAGGGCTGGCAAAGGCAGAAGAAAATCCATTTATAAGTGGACTTGTGTAGTTTGGATTCAAGTTATTCAGGGGTCAACTGTATCCTACCATGACTTTTTCCTTTTATTTAGTTTTTGTTGGTTACTAATCACATTTTGCTACTTCTTTGCACATCTTTATAATTTTCGATTGGATGCTAGACATTTTCAAGAATCAATATTTTGCTGTCTTTTTTTTAAAATGTGCAATTTTATTTTATCAGTCAGCCGAGATAAGGCTGTAGTTTTGAGGCTTGTTCTGAATCTTTTTTAGTATGGATCTTGAGTAGTCCTTACTGTAGCCCTAGTTAGTCCTATTGCTAGGGCAAGACCCTTTTGGGGTCTCTATTCAATGGCCTAGTGCCTCAATAAAGTCTTTGCTTTGGCTAATTGGAACTTGGATATCTCCCAGCCCCATGTGAACATTGAAAATTACTCAGCTGGGTGGTGGGTGAGGGGAGGGAGAGCATTAGTACAAATGGCTGATGCATGCAGGGCTTAAAACCTAGATGACGGGTAAATTGGTGCAGCAAACCACCACGGCACACATATATCTGTGTAACAAACCTACATGTTCTGCACTTGTATCCTGGAATTTAAAGTATAATTTTTAAAAAATTACTCAGCTTACAGTTGCCCTATGGTTTTCCTACTCAAGAGAATACCTTTGTTTAGAATGTCCTCTCCAGTATTCTACTCTTTCAGCTGCCTCCATGTACTCTGAACATCCTCTCTTCCTGTCAGCAAGCCCACTGTGGTTTGCTTAGGTTTTCTCCATTTCTGTGCTACTGCCCAGAAATTACTTCTATGAAACAGGCTAGGTCAATGGTAGGGCTCACCTTGTTTGTTTACTTTCTCCTAGGCCTTACTGTCCTGGACTTCCTGTGTTTTAGTCTCTGTAAACTCTAATTTAATATTACGTTAAGTTTTCCAATTGGTTTTGTTTGGGTGGAAGTCAGGTACTATTTAATTCATCATGGCTAGAAATAAAGTCATATCTTCTAATGTCATCCATAAAGAAAACCTTTAAAAGGTATGTTAGATCACTAAGAGAGTAAGAATTTTTATTCTGTTTGCCAATGTAGGCCAAGTGCTAAAATGCCTGTGCTAAACTACTAATTATGTAGTTTCTCAATAAATATTTGTTAAATACTTGAATAGATGAATAAAATCTATTTTTAACCAATTTGACCTCTGCTATAGCTCAGAAAGCAAGACTGATGATGTGATTATGTTGGCCTATTTCTGGAATGTATACTTTTTATCACCACTTTTAAATGCTAATTATTATTAACAATTATTTGGTGGCATATTCCTGATTAGGGCACTTCAAATATTAACTAATATTTGAAGGGTACAAGAATGTTAAAAATATTGAATATGTACATATATACCACCCTACCTATGTTGAAGTATTATTTTATTTTATTTTATTTTTATTTTTTGAGACAGGGTCCCCCTCTACTGTCTAGGCTGGAGTGCAGTGGTGTGATCTCAGTCACTGCAATCTCCGCCTCCCAGGCTCAAGCGATCCTCCCACCTCAGCCTCCCAAGTAGCTGGGACTACAGGTGCACACCACCATGCCCAGTTATTATTATTACTTTTTGTATTTTTGTTAGAGATGAGTTTTCGCTATGTTGCCCAGGCTATGTTGAAGTATTTTAGACAACACTACAGATGACATATAACACAACACAAAAAGGCAATAAGTAAAAATTCTCCTTCCAATGCTCGATTCTTACTCTCTCAATCCCCTTTTCACAATTGCTCTTTTTAAAAATCAGCCTATGCATATACAACTTACATATACATGTCCTTCTGTCTCACAAATGATCACTTATTAAATGTACTAAACTGCATCTTTCTACTTTAATATATCTGTGAAGAAGAGTTTCATAAACCACCTCACTGGTTTATGAACTAGTTGCCTAATATTTCACTGAATAGTTACATCATAATTTATTTAAAACATGTTTTTTGATGAACATCTAGTTTTCTGCAGTTATTTGCAGTTATAAGCATTGCTGCAATGAACAGCTTTGCATATGCCATGGTGCTTTTTACATGCCACAGTTCTATACAATTGTATAAAGTAACAACAAAAACTACCCCAAACCAGGTAATGAACAAATAATCCTTCTATAAAACAGTTCTTTATTACTGGACAATAATTGCATAGCCCCAGTTAAAATTATTATGATAAGAAACCTCAAGCACACAAAATGCCCCAAAAATATTAACACTGCTTTGTAATACACCATTGCCTCTTCTCAGCTGGCTCTGTGTAACAATATGTGGTATTGCTATGGTAAAAGTTGTTTTTATTAAGGAAAGAAATTACATCCTTGCACTTCTTTGATCTTGGGATTAGAAAAAAGAAATTTCAAACCTTGAGCCTTTTTGTGTGTGTGTGCAAAAAAAAAAAAAAACACACACACACACAGAAACGAAAAACAAAAAACGCTTCACGTAAAGATTCTTGGCTTCTGAAGAGCCAGAGTCTTGTTTGCATTTTCTGCATTTAAAAAAATCTACTGTGTAATTTGTTAAATTAGCTGTTTGCATTCATAAGAGAATTGCATTTCTCGTGCCTTCATTTTCTCATTAAGTTGTCTTGGGACACCCCCTCCAACAGAGAGAACTATTGTTCACAATTCTATAATGAACAATAGTCTTGTGCTGATAGAATTGTGGCTACAATGAGTTATCTCTGAGAAGATGAGGCACAAATATTCTTTCATATGTTAAAAAAATTCAACTTTCCCAAAGAATAATTGTGAGTCAGGAAGTCCTTCAAATACTTTTCTTGTTCTCCTATTAACATCTTTGTGTATTGAAGAAATTCCCAGTGGAAGCCTAAAGACATTATTAAAACAAAGCAGGAGCTTGGATTTTGTAATGTAAAGATTCTTGATAGACACATGGGAGCCTGGACGTGGAATAATTCTTAACTCCTCACAATTAAAGGTCATTTTATATGACATTGAAAATGCAATTTTCTTAAGGCTTTGATTCTTAATTGTTTTTTTCCTTATCAATACCTGGAGGGTTTCCCAGATCTTCCATACTTCACAGTGTTCCTTTTATAATAACTACCCAAAACATTCAGAACAGGTGATCTTTGAAATGGCTTGTTAAGAGGGAGAAAAGCCAGAGGACCAGTTCTCTGGGAGATTGTCAGCTGGATTTGGGGTTCAGGCCACAGCATATCTCAGCAATAGGATGGCTACAAGATGAGGGAAGAGAGACAGAGAGCCAGGTTTTTTTGGAAAGCTAATGGATTCTCATGGCTATGAGAAGAATAATAGGGTGGCCCTGCAGGAACTGCTTCTGATGACAATCCATTTATACCGTCACTGTCTTAGAGTCTGGGGTAGATTCTGATTTGACCGGCAACTGTGACATGCAAATAATTGGAACTTATAGAATAAAACCTCTCCCCTGATAGCTAGCTCTACAGTAATGACAGCTATAAGGAAGTAACTGACAGCAAACAATTGTTATTATTTAACATTTATAGGATGTCAACAGCAGGCTGGGTGGTGTGAAAAATGAGGAATACAATACTGAGATAGCTTGATGAGTTTATGTTGTCAAGTAAACAGTGGCAGCTAGAACATTAGGCTATCCTCATGAAAGGGACAGGACAAATTTGCTGAATTCAATGGTTTGTTTCTTTTCTCCTCCCTTTCTTAGTGTTCTTCTTCGATGACTCATATCCCATAGCTCAGGGGTTTGAAAACTTGGTTATGCATTGGAACCATCCAGAGAATTTTTAAAAACACTACTCCCTGCTTCTCATCTTAAAGACGTTGTTCACCAATATAGGCCAAGTGCTAAAATGCCTGTGCTGAACTACTAATTGTGTAGTAGTTTAAAACCTGGGGCTCTATCACTCTTCTTTCATCCTGTAGCCATTTTACTGCTGAGATGTGCTATGGCCTGAACCCCAAATCCAGCAGGCTGTGTCCCAGAGAACTGGTCCCCTGGCTTTTCTCCTTCTGAACAAGACATTTCGAAGATCACCTGTTCTGAATGTTTTGGCCAGCTATTATAAAATATCAAGCTATATAATAAATCAAGGGCATTTTCTGGGCATCAGGATTTTGAAAACCTCCCTATGTAATACCCACTGGTCTCCTGCTCCTCTCCCAGGTGGATTTCAACGGGAGTCTTTTGGAGACAATACCTTATCCCTTATCTATAGCAAAGGATCTAATGGTATAGATTTTTGGCAAATTGTTTGATAACAAGTCTCTAATTAACTTGTGAATCACATTTTAGCCATTAGTCTGTTCGCTTGGGATAGATATGTGAGAAAGACCCCTGTTAAGGTTTCCATGTCACGCTTGCCAACCAGCTTTAGCTAATTTATTCTGGATCAAAGGCATATTCTTCCTTTACGCAGACGTAGAGAGTCCAGATTGAGTTATAACTGCTCCTGTCGCCACCCCACGTCCTTACTGCTTTTCTCCCATCATCTAAAAAGCCTATCGGATATTTTGCAGGCTCTGGGATTCCACCCTGGAAGTAGCTATTGGGTCAAGGCGTGGCTCCCCCAAGACCACAGACATACCAAATGTGCGCTATGTCTAACTCTCAATGTTCTGCAGTAAGTTGATGTATTAATTATTTACTGCTTTATAACAAATTACCCCACAACTTAGCATGTTTAAAACAACAAATATTTATTATCTCAGTCAGTTTCTGAGGCTTGGGAATCCAGGAATGGCTTTGCTGGGTGGTTCTGGCTCAAGGTCTCTCAACAGGTTCTAGTCAAGCTGTCTTCTGAAGTTTTAACTGGGCTGAGAGGATTTACTCCCAATCTCACTCACATGGCTGTTAAGAGGCCTCAGTTTCTTGCTAGCTGTTTGTCAGCAGCCTCAATTCCTTACTAGTTGGATTCCCCGTAAGGATGGTCATGAAGTGACACTGGCTTACTCCAGAATGAATGTTAGAGAAAGAAAGAGAGAGACAGGAAGATATAAACTGCAGAGCCTTTTATAACTAATCTTGAAAGTGACATACCTTCACTTATGCTGTATTTTATTGGGCACTCAGACCAACCTTGATGCAACGTGGAAGGAGATGTAATCCTTGTGACACTCCACTAGAGTGTCAGTACCAGGATTTTGGATCACTGGGGGCCAGCTTGGAGACTGCCTACCACAATTGGGCTGGACCAAGCACAGCAAACTCATTAGCAAGATTTAATATCCTCTTCTTGGTTGGCTTTTGTTTATTGCTCATCTTCCATCACTTGGATCTCTCATTTCATGCTGTCGCAATAATAAGTTACTTGTAGTTCCCCAAATACACCATGCTATTTTATTGCTGTGCTTGGTCCGGCCCAACTGTGGTAGCCAGCTTCCAAGATGGTTAGGGATGGGGTACTCAGGAAGGATGGGAGAAAAGAATTACAAAAGACCACTAGGAAACTTTCAGGAGTGGTAGATATATTCATTATCTTGATTTCGGAGATGATTTTATGTGTGTATATGCACACCAAAACTAATCAATTTGTACAATTAAATATGTGCAGTTTATTATTTGTCCATCATGCCTCAATAAAGCTGCTTTACTAAAAATAAAAAGAATTAAAGTGATAGAACAACAACTATAAAAAAGAAATCCCTAGGGTATGAGTCAGAGGTCTGAACAATCCTCTCTTACTGAAAATACCACATGTATTAAAGGGGTTACAATGTAGCTTCAGAATGTCATCATGATGACTTGGATAATCAACAAGTTTCTTTTCCCAGCATAATTCATGGCAAGGAATAATCTCTTGCCACTTCTGATGGTGGATTACTGTTGAACATAATATAGTATAATTATAAGGAAGATTCAGAAGCCAAAATGTGGGTGAGGGTTAGATACAAAGCACAAAGTATTTATATTTCAAATAAACCAAAGCAGAACGGGGATGATGAACACTTAACATTGTTCATCTGTCAATCACTGGGAGAAAAAATCTGCTATACAAACTAAGTGACTTGTAGTTGTCCATTAGAATAGATGGGTTTTGTGGATTCTACAGAGCTGCCTCTAAGAAATGCCCAATTGTGAGAATACTGACTTTTATATGCCCCCTTTAGTTGGCCAGGATGATGACAATTAGACACTGAGTAGAGTATTAAATGGGAGTAGGTGGTAAGTATCACTGAAAGTCACTAGTGAAGTGTTCTAAGCAAGAAATACAAACTGGTTAGTGTTTTGGAAAGATTGCTTTGGTGCCAGAGTAGAGAATTGATTTAAATGCCTGTTCTCATTACTGAAGTCAAGGGATTTTTATTTCATCAATATTTTATTGTTTAATTGTCATAAATTAGCATTGATTTGCACAATTATATTTCATTACTAAATGATGAAAAATGACTCTTAAAACAGAGAAGTAATTCCTTAACATAATTTCAATTTAAACAGACAGATAAATATATAGAAAGTTTTTTTCTTTTAATGTGGCCTTAATTCAGTAATGACAGTTTTAAACTACTCCCTGCCCACATTAAAACATTAAAAGTCTCTTGTGGCTGAAGAATGGGTGAGTGGGAGGGTGAGCCACGATAAACTAAACAGTTCCAATGTAGTGAGCAGAAGAAGCCGTCTCCTCTAGAGAGAGGTGAAGGGACAAGTTGCCCTTTAGAAATGAGACTCATAGACTATTCTGTACTAAAGAAGGAAGCAGGCTTCACAGGCTGCAAAATGTCATGCCACATTTTCAGAAAAATAACAATCCCAACTAACAAAGATCTTTAATATTTTATTCTCCTGGACAGACATTGAGACCTCTTTACAGATCTGGAATATCCTCTTGTCCTAAACAAACACTGTGACCCTTTATAGATCCTAAATGTCTTCTTGCATCAATCCTGAGATCTCTTTTCAATGTATGTTATCATTATCATTTCATGTAGCCTTTGTGTAGTTAGCTAAATTGTAAAAACACATTCTATCTTTTCCTTCCCTCTTGAATGTCTTGAGATCTCATTTTCCTTTCATAAGTTTCATGTCATTGCCCTTCCCAGCTGACCACATGGCAAATCATGAAGAGTTCTGAATTATACTCATGTATCAACCAAAGCTTGCCATACCGATGTTATAGAGGTAGAGTAGTGTGGTCCCTTCCTTCAGTGCTCCTTTCTGACTGTAGGGTAGCTCTTATACATCGCAAAGTCTTATTTTCATATTTTGAATCTGGATTGATTTTTCCTCATCAGTACTTGACTTAGCCTGTGGTGTGTTAGGCCCTTCATTATTCTGGAATGGAAAATTGGGTACTGGAAAAATGAAGCAAGACTAGAAGAAAGAAATTAGCATGACAGAAAAATATCTGAGTATGTAGGAATGAAAGAGCCTAGCCTGAATTCTAGGCTTGCTGTGGGATATACCCGGAAACTCAACTTTTTCTTTAGTCCGTTTCACATAAATACTTAGGGCCATGTAGTATACTTTCTTTGTAACTGTTGAGTACATAATCAGAGACTTTAGAATAGGCAGGTAGGAGAGGAGGCCATGAGGATATAAAAGTTGCCCCAAGACAATCCAAAAGCAAACTTACATGCCTGGTTGAACCTCTAGGGAGGGGGATAGGTGGCATTTCATCTGTTATTCCCATGGCAAACTTTGAAGACCTGGGAAGCACCCATGACGGTGCCCATAGTTTTGTCTTTAGGACTTTCTCTCTCTGTGCTGTTAAAGGACTTCTCCGGCCTCTATTCATGACCATAGTTACTTTCTCTTAATGAAATCATCATCCTGTTGAAACACACATGTACCTGTCATATGAAGTGAATAGAAATAATCAGTATGCTAGGAAAATGGTACTCCCAAAATGGGAACAAGAAAACATGATAAATGCCTTCAAATATTTGATGGACCACCAGGATCTAGAAGGATTAGGTGATTTTATGTGGTTTCCAGTAGTAGAATTAGGAACAGAAAGAAGACATAGGTCAAGATAGGGAAGACTTTTTGTACAGTAAACAATTTAAGCTGGTCATAAGTAGCTTTTGACTATTCAATTTGTTTGCATGGAAACCAGCTGCTGTCCAGTTAGATCACAAAGGATGCTTTCAAAATTCAGTCAAGCTAGATATTTTCTATGTCTCTTTAAACTGTAATGTTCTAGAATTCAAACAGTATGATAAGCTCAATATCAATATTGTGAACTACAATTTTCATAAACCTTTTGTTTTCTATCATTGAAGATAATTAAGGCTCTACTCATTTTGTTCTGCATTATGAGATGTTCTTGCTCCTGCCCTGTGATTGTTGCCATTTTGTGTCTGGCATCTATTTTAATTTGTTATTTCATGTGTTTATTTGTTTATTCAATCAACCATTTATACAACAAATATTGTCGAACTATTCATCTATACTAAATATTATGCTAAGGACCCCAGAATGGAAATGACATAGTATCTCCCTTGTGCTCATAAAAACATGAGTCTCTGCTCAGCTGCTACAAAAGTTGGAGCTTTACCCTTAAATGTATGTGATGCTTCTACTTTCTAATGGATTGTTTAGGCCCTTAAAAGGTACTATTATTCATTCAACCTGCTGTTTCCAAGCCTGGATGAACTTAAATATCCCAAGAGTCAGGTGAGAAGGCATTTGAGATACATCATTTGGCTCCATATTTAAATACTGTTTTTTGACCGCAACTGAGTGATTGAGCTTGTTTATGATCAGTGCTTGCAGGCATGGGATACAGGTTCAAAGAGCAAGTTTCAAATCCTGCTTCCTCTGGTTATCAGCTATGAAACCAAGTTACTTAACCCTTCTGTGTCTTGATGTTCTCATCTGGAAAAGGGAACTGTAGCAGAACTTACCTGTGAGGATTCTTATGTACAATAGAAATAATGTTTGTACAACTTGCCACAGGACTTCATGTGTAGTAATTACTGAACAATGAGAAACAATTATTATGGTGCTTTCAATGAGGCTCTCCTCTGTGCTTATTATTTTAGCACTTATTGGATTGAATTTTGGTAACTATAGTTCTTTGCTTACATCTCTGTCTCCCTCACTAAACTGTGAGGTTTCTAATTCCCTGACCTTACCTTAGTCTTCACTAGATCAGTGTTAGAGTGCTTTCCAATCTTGTTCATGCCAGGAAAACACTGAAAATCCTAAAGTTGAAGTGACACACCAGGGAAATGAAAAAGACTGGTCTGGGTGAAGGTGACCAACCTGTGGGCTCTAATAACCCTGAACGGCCCAGACTCCCTGAGGGCTGAGAGCATCTGTCGGACACCAGGAACTATGGCACGGTGGCTGGAAAGCTCAGGCCTCATCCAGTGTCTGATGGAGTGATAATCAGGGAATAGTTGGTGACTGCTCTGTTGACTTTTTTTCTTGGATTAGAAAGACTTCCACCTCCCAGCTCCATTATGGTGCTTTAGAAATGAAACATTCTATTTATGTTTTTCCGCTTTTTGAATGTAAATCCTATATCCTGAAATATTGAGCTTTTTCACCAAAATTTCCTTCACAGGGATCTACAGGCCCTTACTGAAAGGTAGTGGTTCATCTGGTAAGCTGTCCAGAAGACTTGGAGTTTCCAAGGTGTTTTATGCCTCAATGTGTTGTTTTATTATGAATTACTTGCATGTACATACGAATTTTATAATGGATCTCCAGGAATAAGCTTTAGGGATATACAATATCTAGGTACAAACTTCTATCTATTTTAGTTTAGATTTTCGTAATTGTTACAGAGAAATGCTTCTTTCCCTAACATTCTGTAGTCCATGAAGAGGGGTTTTTTCTTAAATGTTTTAAGCCTCTTGCTTCAACTGTTCTTGTCATGGAGGTTGAATGAGCTTGTTGGTTGGTGGGTGAAAATTATTTATTCACAACTCTCTATTGGGTAAAGCCAAATATTGATAGTTCTTAGGCATGGAGAATCCTGTCTCTTGTTGCTATCCTCCCTTCTCCTGAACAGTGTGCAGCACTCATCCTCAGGAAGTGTGTGTGTATTCAGACTCAAGCTTTTTTGGGGGGTCGACTGCTCTAAGGTATAAACCAGAAGGGGACAAGATTAGGGTGTTTTAACAATTCCATTTGGCTCTTCACTCAGCCATTTCCTTCAGTATAACTTTATCAGAAATGGCTTCTACCTCTCCGATTCCAGCATCTGATCTCAGTTGGTTCTGAGTTCAGGCAGAAAAAAAGTGTTGTCATTGATCAGACCCCCTAGAATGCCAACAGCAGTTACTATTTATTAGTACTCAATCTGGATTTAAAAACAAATCCTTAAAAGAGAAGTGAGACATGCATATGGTAAAATAATTCAAACATATACATGAACAAAGTGAAAAGTAAAATTCTGTTTCTTTTCCCTTTGTCTCTCCTCACAAAGTTACCAACTATTAACATTTCTGTGAGCGTTTAGAGAAAAAAGCAGTTATGCTTACATATGTATTTACATGCTTTAGAAAATGCACAAAAAAATGTTGGGTTAGGCAACAGTTTCTTAGACACAACACCAAAAGTACACGTTATAAAAAAAGATCGATAAGTTCTATTTCAAAATTAAAAACTTCTATGCTTCAAAGGACATCATCAAGATAGTGAAAAGACAACCGATAGAATGGGAGACAATATTTGCAAATTATAGATCTGATTAGGGATTTGTATCAAAATATATGAATAACTCTTATAATTCAATAATAAAAGACAAACAACTCAATTGAAAAATGGGCAAAGGATCTGAATAATTTCTCCAAAAAAGATATAAAAATGGCTAATATGCACATGAAAAGATACTTAACATAATTAGCCATTAGGAAAATGCAAACGAAAACCAAAATGAGATGCCACATCACATCACTAGGAAGGCTATAATAAAGAAGATGGAAAAATAACAAGCACTGTCAAGGATGTGGAGAAAGTGGAATCTTCATGCACTGCTGGTGGTCATGTAAAAGCCACTTTGGAAAAGAGTCTGATGATTTCTCTAAATGGTAAACACAGAGTTACCATTTGATTCAGCAATTTTATTCCTAGATAAATACTCAAGAAAAATAAAAATACATGTTTAGGCTGGGTGCAGTGGCTCATGCCTGTAATCCTAGCACTTTGGGAGGCTGAAGTGAGAAGATCACTTGAGGCCAGGAGTTCAAGACCAGCCTGGGCAGTATAGTGATACCCCATCTCTACAAAACATAAAAATTTAGCCAAGCATAGTGGTGTGCACCTGTAGCCTTAGCTACTCAGAAGGCTGAAGAGGGAGGATCGCTTGAGCCCAGGAGTTTGAGGCTGCTCTGAGCTATAATTGCGCCACTGCACTCCAGCCTGGGTGACAGAGTCTCTAAATAATTCTTTTAAAATTATTAAAAATTCTTTTAAAAATGACTACACAAAAACTTGTACATGGATTACAACATGATTGAACGTTGAAAACATGCTAAGTGAAAGAAGTCAATCACAAAAGACCACATATTGTACGATTCCGTTGATATCAGATATTCAGAATGGGCAAATCTAGAAAGAGAAAGTAGTTTAGTGGTTACCAGGAGCGGGTGGTAGCGAGAATGCTGCATGACTGCTAATGGGTACAGGACTTCTTTTTGGGAAAATGAAATATTCTATAATGAGATTATAGTGATGTGTGTACAACTTTATAAATATACTTAAAATTAGGGAATTATACACTTGAAATGGGTAAACTTATGACATATGTAGATTATATTTCAATAAAATCAGAAAGAGAAAAAGGTACACATATATGACCCTTTTATACTAAACACATTTTAGGGTGTTCCCCCCAATATAAGCACATATAAAGCTGGTATGTTTTTACATGGTTATGAAATATCCTAAATTATGGGACAATTGATTGTTTTCTGCTATTTGACTTTCTATCAAAGAATTTCCTGAAGTTGAAAAGAGGCTTGTTCTTGGCCTGTTCATATCCTACAAATGACCACAGTTAGGGCATGAGAAGCATTTAGAACGGATACAGCAGAAGATCGGGGAAAGAGGTGAATAGGCTTTGATTCTGTATATGCGGCTTGGAGTTCTGGAGAAGAAGCAGAACAGCTGTAGCCCAGTCGTTGGTGCCTGAGAGCCTTTCCTTGTCTGAACCAACAGTTTTCCGGATATTAAAATTGGACCACCAGGCCCGCCCCAAATATGATGTACTTCTTCAGAGTTAACTCAATGCACCTCTGTGGCTGATGAGTTTGCTTTTTGATTAGGTTTCCTTTGAATTTCTTTGTGGGAGTCAGTAGGTCATTTAATATTTCATAACTTACTTTAATATTTTTGCTTCTCTCCTATCTCAGGCTTGTGAGTTTATTTTTATTCATAACTGAGACCTTGAAAGGTGTACCTTTTATGAATATTTACAAATATTCATATTTTTAAATGAATAGAAAAAGAAAAAATCTTTCTTTTATGAATACTTGCAAATATATTTTGCTGTTGGTTTCTGATAAGTTCTTTTATCAGGTTAATGTTATTTCTTCTATTTCTTGATGAATAAATTTTCTTAAAAATCAGAAATAGATGTGGAGTTTTACCTGATTTGTGGGGACATTCATCACGATGGTTGTATATGTATTTATTGTTTCTTCTTTAATCCATTCACGTGGTTAATTGCATTAATGCATCTCCTAGTCTGTTTTTGATCACTCATTTGGAATTCATTTCACACATATTTATTTAGTGCCTTCTACATAGCAGATGATGTTTTGAGCACTGATGATACAGTAATAAGCAAAACCGACATTATTCTTTAAAAACTGTTAAATGCAATCTGCTAGCATTTAGAGGTTTTTTTTGTATTAGATGTTAGAATCCATCTCAAGAAATATTTAAAGCTATGAACAAGGATATATTTATTGATAAAGAATGATTATTGCAACATTGTTTATAAACATTAACATGCTCATCCATGGGAGAATATTTAAGCATATTTTAGTTCTTCCACCTGTTGAATAATATGTAGCAGTTTGCTTATAAACATTAACATGCTCATCAATGGGGGAATGTTGAAATATATTTTAGTTCTTTACCCTATTGAATAATATATAGTAGTTAAAAAGAACAAAGTAGCTCAGTATATACAAATATGGAAAAAAACCAAGTTGCAGGATCTATGTTTCCATAACATCATGTCATTTTTGTAAAAATGAAAAAAATTTCTGTGTGTTTGTACTTTCTATAGGCATAAAAAATACCTGGAAAGATATGAAACAACAAACTATTAACCGTGGATTCCTCTGGGGTCTAGGATGAGGGGTAGGGAGCATGAGGACTTATTTTTACTTATTAATGTGTCACTATTGTACTGCTTGTTTTTTAAAAAACAACAGGCAGTTATTGTTGGGATTACAAAAGGAGAAAAATTAAATGTAGAGCTTGAGGACTATAAGGAGAGCATAGAAAAACATTTTGAACACAACTCCATGGGTTAGTGCTCAATTGCAAGCAAAGAAACTGTCATAGCTAGTTTTAAGCAGAATGCTACTTATTACTATGTATTAGATGATTTGTAGTATCATTGGAAAAGCCAGAGAAGCAGGTGGTAGATGGAATTTCCAGAAACAACTTCCAGCCCCAGAATCATATGGTCTCTGCTGTGATCAGGGTAGTTGTCACCACTGCCGCAAGCAGCTGCAGACTCAGGAGGCTGATGACTCCAGAACCACCCCATTTCTGCTGTGATCTGCCACCATCTGTGACACATCCCCTGCCTCCCTCCTCATTCAACTCACTTCCAAATTCTAGCCTCACAGCAATGTGTCTAACGGGCAAAACTGAAGTCTCATCTTGAACCCTAGCTGCAAAGGAGTCTAAAATTGTAATTTTATGCTTTCTGAAAACCACAGTAAAGGAAGATGTGCTAGAAGAAGTCTTCAATAAATATTAAAAATGCAAGCCAAACACAGCATCTACCTCAATAAGCAAATAGCATATTGCTTTTCAAATACAATAAATAGTTGTTTCCCCACAAAGACTGAGAAAATCTTTGATTCATTGGCAAAATTTTTTTGATATGTAAGAAATATATGCTTATTGTTGAAAAGTGGCGAAGTAAGAATCACATAAGAAAAAGGTAGATAAAAATAATCTGAAAGCGCATCCTCCAATGTTAATATTTTGATTATTAACATTGTTAGTATTTTTACCTTTGAAACACCCACACGCACAGTTCCTGGCCCCACACACTTAAAAAAAGAATCATATTAAATATCGACAGAATCTATTTTAAATGTGTAGCAAAGCTGGATACAATGTTTAAAAAGTAAAGTTAATTAAAAATCATAAAACATGTATTGACTTAATAACTTAGTTTAAATACTTATTGAATTAATAGACCCTGAGTTTATAAAATGAAATTCAGTTTTAAATCACTTTCATCAGATCAAAAATGGGCTATCTTTTCTTCATTTTTAATGAACTCTAATTTTTGATTCCAAAGTTTTGTTTTTAATTAACTTTTTAAACAAATTTTGAAAATATCTCCCTCAATACTCCCACTGGCCCTCAGTATTCAGAAAATTCTGTATACTGTTTAGTTTTAAAACAGTGGAAAGATCAGTCATTAACCATCCTCATGACCCACAAAAGTCATGAAATCTGTCAGTACCTTTGTTTCCACGTTTGCAAAGCCAAGATGTTGAACTAAATTATCTCTAAGGGTTCAGAACTATGAGATTGAACATTCCGTGAAGAGATTTCCATCCTTAGGGAAAAGTTTCAGGCTGCAAAATCCTGGCTTTGATTTTCAGGACTGCTTTTCATGTACCGGGTGACCTTGGGCTCATTATGAACTGCTGGATGCCTCCACGTATGAATCTGAGCACTGAGATGAAAAGTAGCTCCTATTTACTTCCGGGAGTTTGATGAGGACTGCTAGCTCCCTTGCAGCAAATGTCCTATATGCATATGATACCTAATTAAAGTAAGGACAGTAATGTGGTCCAAGAGATAGCTAAACAGAGTTCTTTAATTTCAGTGTAGATTTTAATCTTGAGATGACTTTGAGAGATGTGAAAACAACAGTGATAGCATTTTAAGACAACAAAAGAGCACAGGAATTTATTTCAGATAATGAATGGATTGTATGATTACTTCAAATAAAAAGTTTACCTAGCAATATACATTACTCTGTCTATAAATCTACCAGTGTAGAAACATGTATTTCATATATCCTCCTATATCTGAAAAAGCTTATACAAATTAAATGTGATTATCTCTGGGGATAGAATTATAAATTATATTCAGAGTTTTCCAAGTTATTAATTGAATTACTTTTATTAAGCCAATAACATTTTCTATGTCTAGAAAAAATATGATTCAGTGTTTTTTAAAAAAAATGTAAATGAAAGTTGTGCTTTGTTGCATATATTCTTAGGCTGGAGCAGGTAGGTGGGATAACAAGGAAAGAAAGAGTACCTGTTAAATTATTCTGAGAGAGAGGGATTGAACACGCTAGTGAGTAGAAAGTTCAAAGACCCTTTCAATCATTCATGACCCTAACTTCTCACCTGTCAGATGACCTTAACTTTTGCTTCCAGTTTAAGATTTACCTTTAGGAATCAATGTTGTCCTTTCTGGACAATCATTTAACCTCATCTTGTTTAGCACTTGCAGTGGTGGGTGCCAGGAACATGAAAGGCAAAGGGTGACATATTCTCAGGCCAGGCTGTCTACAGATGTCACTGGGACTATTTCAGTAGGCTTGTTTCTCACTGTCTCCATTTCCTCCCCTAATCCATTTTACACTCTTCTTCCCATTGTTTTCTAAAGCACAGCTCTGATATTTGCATTCCTTTGCTTAATAATCATGAGCACTCCCCTAGCACAAAAAAGTAAGAAAAACAGAAACAGAAGATCCTCCAAATAACTTAGGTGGATTTTCAAGGCCCTCTTTCTCTGTGCCCCAGCTTACCTTTCCAACCTTATTTTTCCTTCAGGCTGCAATCCCTTCCTTTACTGCTCTTTGCCTTTGCTTTTGCCAGTCCCTTGAATCAGCCTGCTTTAGTTCTATGCCTCCATATCCCTGTCATTTAGATTTTAGCTCAAACCCCTAGAAGGCCATCCCAAATTCCCTTCCCTGAAACACTCTATACCTTCTTCTCAGCTCCCATAACACTCCATCTTTTCTTCTCTTGGGCACTTACTACAGTCCACCCTGTGGCTATTTGTGCTCTCTGGGAGCTCAGCCATCAACACATTCTGTCTCAGCTCTGAGTTGGTATTTTCTATTGTAGGATTGTAAAAATATGTGCTATTGAAGAATTGGGTCCAACATTTGTTTCTGGGCTAGATCCCACCAGAGTAGCTATACAACGAATACCTATTAAGCTTTTGAAAAAAATTAACTTCCCTAGGCCAGAAGCACCATTTAGTGCACAGGGCTATGATTTATTAAATAATCCTCTACCAGACCCAGTTATTTTTTTTAAGATGAGTCACTTATATTTAACACTACACTGTCTTTTTGGGGGAATATGAGCCCTTTCTTGGTACTAGCCCCTAAATCCACATTGATGTCTCTGAGGCTGTAAAATGGCAAAGTAGTTAATCAATGGCATTTGAAACTGTAGGCAATGGAACAAATTTTCAACTTTTTGTCACACTTAGCCCACTTTTTCTTCTCTGCCTTCTTGCCCCTTTGATTTATTTGTTTATATTTTTCTTTCTTACATAGGTGGGATACAGGCTATTTTTCAGAGTGATTCAGTTGGAGTAGCTGCCAATCTCTATTAATGACAATGTGTGAGTGTTTGGGAGGTGACTGGGAGTTTGGGGAGGAAGAGGTAAGAAAGGCTTCCCCCTCCCCAGGGAGTGGGGGGAGTTGGTGTTTCATCAAGGAGAGCAGAAGACCAGATTGTCTTTCTCCAGAATTATGTAAACCATCCCACCGTCACCTGTGACTTGATTAAGAAAACCTAAAATCAACAGATTACCATGAAATGAGTAGTATTAAATTTCTCCACTTAGCAGCATGAAGTCATAAAATCGAAGCTAAATTCAAATAGGAAACATAACTAGTAATATTTCTTGAACAACTAGGTTTGTGATCTAAGATTTGTATTCTATATATATATATATATATATATATATATATATATATATGTCACTCTTAGGTAATTTTGTTTGGCTACCCTGAGTCTGATACATTCTGGCTGCCCTCATCAAGTTGAATTTCTAGAGTGAAGAGCTGTGGTTAAGTAGATAATTGTGATTTCCCCAGCGATGTGCTATTCTTGAAAACCTTTTCTGGGTAGCCTTGTAGACTTCCCTTAGTAAGTCTGTGGTCTTATCACCACGACTCTTTAAATTATTAATACAAGAAATATAAGGGAGAGAGGAGAGAAGTGGCATGATGTGGGCATAAGGACATGTGAGTAGAGTTGCTTTGTTCTGTTTATACATGTGGCAAAATTCTAAGAAAAGCTTGTACATATTTTTATAACTACAAATTTCAAGGAACTTTTCCTATGATTGACTTAGTTAAGAAATAATGTTTAAACATTTTGTTGAACCAATCTATATACAACTGTTGCCAATTTCTTTCCACAAAATTAGCACTGAATACTCACAGAAAAAAAACACTCATTTTTTCTTCTAATAATCAAATAATTCATGTGAATGTAGAAAAATGAGAAAAAAGAGAAAAACCTACAAGAGTGAATAATGCAGCAGCATGTTAAAACGGTACTTTTTAAAATTATATCACTGAGTTTCAGCAGAAACGGCAAAGGCTACAAATAATACAATAGGTTTCATGTACCTCATATTCTAAAGTGCCATGTGGACCCTGTATGCAGGATGCACTAAGAGATAAAGGAGTTGACACATTTAACCTTGGGTGGTCTTCCATCTTGACAGTATACAAGAATTGCTTCTTTCTCACCTTAGCCAAATGAGATAAGGGGTTTGAGAACATCTACTTGGAGGGATTGACATTTGTTCCCTGTTGTTTGGTGAGCTCGGTACTGGGGTCTGGTTTTTTCCAGGAGAAATCTTAAGATAAGAAACTGACTTGAGTTTCTGAGAATGAGCTGTGCTTTCTTTGAAGGTGGAACAAAGGTATGTGTTTTTTGTGGAACAGATGTAGGTCCCAATGAAAGGAATGGCCTGGAATTATATTAAAATAGACCCTGTCCAGAATACTATGTGAAGAAGTAATGTGACCCCAATGCGGATGTGGAATGCTGCAAGTTCAGATGTTGACGGGGTATCCGATGTGTGTCAGAGGCGATGTTGCGAACATGTGAAAGGAAATTATCATTAGAGGTGCACAGAGATGAATCTCAAAAGAATTTGCAAAAGATCTTCATAAAGCCAACAGTCAGCTCTGGACTGCCATTTCTAGAGAACGTAGACACCAGATCACAGATGACTCATTCAAAGAAAACTGACCTGGCCGGGCGCGGTGACTCAGGCCTGTAACCTTAGCACTTTGGGAGGCCGAGGTGGGCAGATCACTAGAGGTCAGGAGTTCGAAACCATCCTGGCCAACATGATAAAATCCCACCTCTACTAAAAATACAAAAAAATGGCCAGGTGCAGTGGCTCATGCCTATAATCCCAGCACTTTGGGAGGCCAAGGCGGGCAGTTCATGAGGTCAGGAGTTTGAGACCAGCCTGGCCAACATGGTGAAACCCCATCTCTACTAAAAATACAAAAATTAGCTGGGTGTGGTGGCAGGCGCCTGTAATCCCAGTTACTCGGGAGGCTGAGGCAGGAGAATTGTTTGAACCTGGGAGGTGGAGGTTGCAGTGAGCCGAGAACATGCCATTGCACTCCAGCCTGGGAGACAGAGCAAGACTCTGTCTCAAACAAAAACAAAAACAAAAACACAAAAACCCCAAAAACCAAAAAGCAAACAAACAAACAAAAACAACAAACATTGTCCCTACACCTTTACATCTATTCACCTTTTTACCCTCATCCAACTCTGGAGAGGCCATACCTTTCAGCTAGCAAATGGTGGAGAATGCAAAGTGAGACAGAGAGAAGCCAAGTTGTTATCTTTTTTCCACTGTAGCATTTTTAGTCTAAAGTGGGCTCAAGCATTACTGCTCATTACAGGAAAAGTGACACAAATTGGATAAGAATTTGGAGGAAGATCTACCAAGCAAATGGAAAACAAAAAAAGGCAGAGGTTGCAATCCTAGTCTCTGATAAAACAGACTTTAAACCAACAAAGATCAAAACAGACAAAGAAGGCCATTACATAATGGTAAAGGGATCAATTCAACAAGAAGAGCTAACTATCCTAAATATATATGCACCCAATACGGGAGCACCCAGATTCATAAAGCAAGTCCTTGGAGACCTACAAAGAGACTTAGACTCCCACACAATAATAATGGGAGATTTTAACACCCCACTGTCAACATTAGACAGATCAACGAGACAGAAAGTTAACAAGGATATCCAGGAATTTAACTCAGCTCTGCACCAAGTGGACCTAATAGACATCGACAGAACTCTCCACCCCAAATCAACAGAATATACATTCTTCTCAGCACCACACCGCACCTATTCCAAAATTGACCACATAGTTGGAAGTAAAGCACTCCTCAGCAAATGTAAAAGAACAGAAATTATAACAAACTATCTCTCAGACCACAGTGCAATCAAACTAGAACTCAGGATTAAGAAACTCACTCAAAACCGTTCAACGACATGGAAACTGAACAACCTGCTCCTGAATGACTACTGGGTACATAACGAAATGAAAGTAGAAATAAAGATGTTCTTTGAAACCAACAAGAACAAAGACATAACATACCAGAATCTCTGGGACACATTCAAAGCAGTGTGTAGAGGGAAATTTATAGCACTAAATGCCCACAAGAGAAAGCAGGAAAGATCCAAAATTGACACCCTAACATCACAATTAAAAGAACAAGAGAAGCAAGAGCAAACACATTCAAAAGCTAGCAGAAGGCAAGAAATAACTAAAATCAGAGCAGAACTGAAGGAAATAAAGACACAAAACACCCTTCAAAAAATCAATGAATCCAGGAGCTGGTTTTTTGAAAAGATCAACAAAATTGGTAGACTGCTAGCAAGACTAATAAAGAAGAAAAGAGAGAAGAGTCAAATAGACGCAATAAAAAATGACAAAAGGGATATCACCACCGATCCCACAGAAATACAAACTACCATTAGAGAATACCATAAACACCTCTATGCAAATAAACTAGAAAATCTAGAAGTAATGGATAAATTCCCGGACACATACACCCTCCCAAGACTAAACCAGGAAGAATTTGAATCTCTGAATAGACCAATAACAGGCTCTGAAATTGAGGCAATAATTAATAGCTTACCAACCAAAAAAAGTCCAGGACCAGATGGATTCACAGCCGAATTCTACCAGAGGTACAAGGAGGAGCTGGTACCATTCCTTCTGAAACTATTTCAATCAACAGAAACAGAGGGAATCCTCCCTAACTCATTTTATGAGGCCAGCATCATCCTGATACCAAAGCCTGGCAGAGACACAACAAAAAAAGAGAATTTTAGACCAATATCCCTGATGAACATTGATGCAAAAATCCTCAATAAAATACTGGCAAACCGAATCCAGCAGCACATCCAAAAGCTTATCCACTATGATCAAGTGGGCTTCAACCCTGGGATGCAAGGCTGGTTCAACATACGCAAATCAATAAATGTAATCCAGCATATAAACAGAACCAAAGACAAAAACCACATGATTATCTCAATAGATGTAGCAAAGGCCTTTGACAAAATTCAACAACACTTCATGCTAAAAACTCTCAGTAAATTAGGTATTGATGGGACGTATCTCAAAATAATAAGAGCTATCTATGACAAACCCACAGCCGATATCATACTGAATGGGCAAAAACTGGAAGCATTCCCTTTGAAAACTGGCACAAGGCAGGGATGCCCTCTCTCACCACTCCTATTCAACATAGTGTTGGAATTTCTGGCCAGGGCAATCAGGCAGGAGAAGGAAATAAAGAGTATTCAATTAGGAAAAGAGGAAGTCAAATTGTCCCCGTTTGCAGATGACATGATTGTATATCTAGAAAACGCCATCGTCTCAGCCCAAAATCTCCTTAAGCTGATAGGCAACTTCAGCAAAATCTCAGGATACAAAATCAATGTACAAAAATCACAAGCATTCTTATACACCAATAACAGACAGAGAGCCAAATCCTGAGTGAACTCCCATTCACAATTGCTTCAAAGAGAATAAAATACCTAGGAATCCAACTTACAAGGGACGTGAAGGACCTCTTCAAGGACAACTACAAACCACTGCTCAGTGAAACAAAAGAGGATACAAACAAATGGAAGAACATTCCATGCTCATGGGTAGGAAGAATCAATATCGTGAAAATGGCCATACTGCCCAAGGTAATTTATAGATTCAGTGCCATCCCCGTCAAGCTACCAATGACTTTCTTCACAGAATTGGAAAAACTACTTTAAAGTTCATATGGAACCAAAAAAGAGCCCACGTTGCCAAGTCAATCCTAAGCCAAAAGAACAAAGCTGGAGGCATCACACTACCTGACTTCAGACTATACTACATGGCTACAGTAACCAAAACGGCCTGGTACTGGTACTAAAACAGAGATATAGACCAATGGAAAAGAACAGAGCCCTCAGAAATAATGCCGCATATCTACAACTATCTGATCTTCGACAAACCTCAGAAAAACAAGCAATGGGGAAAGGATTCCCTATTTAATAAATGGTGCTGGGAAAACGGGCTAGCCATTTGTAGAAAGCTGAAACTAGAGCCCTTCTTTACACCTTGTACAAAAATTAATTCAAGATGGATTAAAGACTTAAATGTTAGATGTAAAACCATAAAAACCCTAGAAGAAAACGTAGGCAATACCATTCAGGACATAGGCATGGGCAAGGACTTCATGTCTAAAACACCAAAAGCAATGGCAACAAAAGCCAAAACTGACAAATGGGATCTAATTAAACTAAAGAGCTTCTGCACAGCAAAAGAAACTACCATCAGAGTGAACAGGCAACCTAAAGAATGGGAGAAAATTTTTGCAATCTACTCATCTGACAAAGGGCTAATATCCAGAATCTACAATGAACTGCAATGAATTTACAAGAAAAAAACAACCCCATCAACAAGTGGGCGAAGGATATGAACAGACACTTCTCAAAAGAAGACATTTATGCAGCCAAAAGACACATGAAAATATGCTCATCATCACTGGCCATCAGAGAAATGCAAATCAAAACCACAATGAGATACCATCTCACACCAGTTAGAATGGCAATCATTAAAAAGTCAGGAAACAACAGGTGCTGGAGAGGATGTGGAGAAATAGGAACACTTTTACACTGCTGGTGGGACTGTCAACTAGTTCAACCATTGTGGAAGACAGTGTGGCGATTCCTCAGGGATCTAGAACTAGAAATACCATTTGATCCAGCCATCCCATTACTGGGTATATACCCAAAGGATTATAAAACATGCTGCTGTAAAGACACATGCACACGTATGTTTATTGCGGCACTATTCACAATAGCAAAGACTTGGAACTAACCCAAATGTCCAACAATGATAGACTGGATTAAGAAAATGTGGCACATATACACCATGGAATACTATGCAACCATAAAAAATGATGAGTTCATGTCCTTTGTAGGGACATGGATGAAGCTGGAAACCATCATTCTCAGCAAACTATGGCAAGGACAAAAAACCAAACACTGCATGTTCTCACTCATAGGTGGGAATTGAACAATGAGAACCCATGGACACAGGAAGGGGAACATCACAAACCAGGGCTTGTTGTGGGGTGGGGGGAGGGGGGAGGGATAGCATTAGGAGATATACCTAATGTTAAATGAGGAGTTAATGGGTGCAGCACACCAACATGGCACATGTATATGTATGTAACTAACCTGCACATTGTGCACATGTACCCTAAAACTTAAAGTATAATAAAAAAAATAAATTAATTAAAAAAACAAAAAAGCATTTGGAGTTTTAATATTACACCTGACAGTTGTGTGTGATCCTTAGATTAGACTGCACTTTTTATTATCTGGAAAAAGAGACCATTTCTTTGTTATTTAAGATAAACCAGAAAAAATTACAGGAACCCTTTGAAATTTAAGCTAAAGGGCAGGGCACAATAAAGTCACAGAGGGCATTTGTGGGAGTATAACTGAGAAAATATGGTTAGTTTCTGCTTGCTGTTATAATAACAATCACCTGAGTTGCTCTTATGATAACAAGCACCTGAGATTACCCAGAGATAGCCAGTGTGTGTTGGTTTATTTCTTCCAGTCTTTTTTCTTTGCCTCCATACATTTTCTAAAACCAAAAATCGGGATCACACGATATCGTTTATTGTACATATTTCCCATCTATTTTCCCTACACCTTTATAAAGTCTTTAAAAAGTCAGACAACAGTAGCAAAATTATTTAGAAAATAAATTTGGGTGTACCTGGAAGACATAAGGCAATTTAATGCTATTAATTTTCTGTAAAGGTGAAGGCAACTGTATAATTGTCCAAGGACTAACATTAAGGACTATTACAGTGCTTTGCAAATCAGTTAGTTTTACTTGCCGCATTTTGTTGACAGAAGTGAGGCACTGCAGCATATGAGAGCTTTACACTCCATTTCCATCCTATGCAGAATGCAGGGGGTGTGAGTCCCTGGTCTATCCCCTTCATCACAAGTCATCAGTCTCTTTTGAAGTATCAGAAACACGTGGTAATTGCAGTGAGACAATAATCTTGGCACTATTTCATTAATTATGCCTCCTTCCCAGCTGGTGTTTTTATTTCAGGAATGTTTTGTCTTCCTTCTGTAGGCTTCATGCCCCTTGGGCAGGGACTGAATTTTTCATTTTGTCTTGTCTTGTGATATTGCCTAACAAACACTGAAATACAATTTAAAAAATGGATTTGGTTCACTTATAATTCATCTACAAAGATTGGCAATGCCACAGGTATTTTTCAGCCTTGTGTCTTGCAAAAATAATATGTTTCATTTTTAGTTTTTCCAGTGTCTCCTCCTGGCAGGGGCATGTGGGCAAAGGTGGTTCCTTCGGAAATGAAAACATCAGACATTAAAGATATTTATGGCAGAAGGGACCACTTATTTCAGCTAAGATGTGACTGAGAAATATTGGCAAACTTGCTTTTTTTTCCTATCACTATCGCATATTGACAGCCTATGATAGACTTTTTTTATTTGGTTTACACATTCTTTAAGAGTTGAATTAATTGATAACATGTACAAATCAGAAGACTGACATAAAATTCAAGATAAAGTGAAAAGAGCTGACAACTCAAGTCCCATATTCCTTTATGGTAATAATCAGCTGAGCAGCTATTTTGCTTTTGGATAAGACGTGCCTACTCCATAATACTACAGTCTCTGTGACTGCCTAATGTGTTACCAACTATGAGCCAATGTGTTATTCACCATTTAACATTGTGCTTCTGTTGCTTCTCCCCTCTATATTTAGCCTACTTTAGTCATCATATGGATTGCCTTACTCTGTAAGCATTTTTATTTTGCAAACTCTGCCCTTTCCACATGGTCTTCCTGATCTGCCTGTTTAGTAGCTATAAGGTTCCAAGTTAAGTATCCAATCAATCATTGGAGAACCCTTCAGACAATGATATCATAAAACAGTCTATTTAGAAAGAAGTTGTTATGGTTAGGCTTTGTGTTCCCACCCAAATCTCATCTTGAATTGTAATCCCCATAATCCCTATAATCCCCAGGTGTCAAGGGAGAGACCAGGTGGAGGTAATTGAATCAGGGGGCGGTTTCCCCCATGCTGGTCTAGAGATAGTGAGTTCTCATGAGATCTGATGGTTTTATAAGGGGCTCTTGGCCTTTTGCTCAGCATTTCTCTTTCCGGCCACCTTGTGAAGAAGGTGCCTTGCTTCCTCTTCATCTTAAGCCATGATTGTGAGTTTCCTGAGGCCTCCCCAGCCATCCTGAACTGTGAGTCAATTAAACTTCTTTCCTTTGTAAATTACCCAGTCTTGGGCAGTTCTTTATAGCAGTGTGAAAACAGGCTAACACAGTAAATACTATAAAAAGATTTGAAAATAAAAAGCATCTTTAAAGCTCCTTACTAATAAGATAAAAACTAACTCCAGCTTGGAGAATAATACTGTTGGCAAGATCTGAAAAGCAAGTGGCTTACTGTGCTACCATAACTGAGCTAAGATGTGTAGCTCTGGATTCTAGTTAGAACAGATGCAGAAAGAGGCAGCTGCTGTATGTCTGGACAACACTCTGGTTGGTAACATGACGGTAAATTTTGCTTATCTCATTGTTTATTTAAATGGTTGGAATTATGTATTTCTTTTCAAATCCCATCTGTCAAGAGATCATTTATCTTACAAGGACTTCTGAAAGGCACTCACTTGCTCTCAGGCCCTATTCTGCCAATTCTGCCAGCTTAACTTTGCATTAGGAAGCGTAGACATCAGAATTTTGTCAAACTAGTTTAGACTTCAGGCGTGAAGGTTCTGTTTCATTCTTTGCTCATCTCTTCCACCTCCAGCACCTTCTAGCTCAGTAAACTGCAACCATCCAGTGCAAGTCCGATGTTAGGGAGTCGTCTTTGGCAGTTTTCTGACAACCACATCCAGTCAAGTCCTGTTCTACTTCTTAAATACTCCTGCCACATCTGCTTCTCTCCTATTGCCACTCTCCTTCTCCAAGCCACCATCCTTTCAAGAAAAACCTACTAACTCATCCCTCTTGCCCTACTCCAGACCTCCCCAGTACGACAGCAGTTTTCCATTACCTTCAAGATGAAGTCCACAGTAATGAACATCTCTCCAAGGCCCTCCATCTTCCACAACTGCCTTCATTTCCAGTGTTTTCCCAGAATCATTGTCTTTTTGTCCCACCTCCATACTCCCTAAGGACAGCATGCATGTGCTTCGTCTTTCTGGAATACTCTTAGCTCACACTTTATTTCATGTCTACTTTTCACCTTGAACTTCTTTCCTCAGCCAGTCCTTCTCTCTACTCCTAGTACTCTCATAGCATCCTATAATTTTCTTTTTGAAACAACTATTACCTTTTAATTTATTCTCCACTGGGTACTAAGGTTCAGATTCTATTTGTCTTGCTCACAGTTATAAATCTGATGCTTAGCACAGGGTCTGGAACCTGCTTCGTGCTCAAATATATTAAAGAAACATGAAGACGCAAGGCTCTGAATACATAAGACGTATGTATGAGAGGTAAAAACCTGAGCAAATTGGTTATTTAGCATTTGTAAATTATGCAGTTTTATTGCAGAAATCAAGTAGAAAAATCATAAACAGGCAGAAAAATAAAGATAAAAATTTCTTTAAATTCAAGATAGGAACAACTATAAATATTTTTGTATAAATTATTCCTGTGTTTATCCTCTATAAATGTAGGTGTAGCTTATAATCTAATTTTTTTCACTTACCACATTATGAAACTATTCCTGTGCTACTATTCTATGAAACACCATTTTTAATGTCCATGGAATGGATGTTTCAAAGTTAATGTCTTCATTCTTAAAGGATTTTTAGATTGTTCACATTTTAATTTTTACTATTTATGTCTTAAGATTTTTTTTTTTTGGAGATGGAGTCTTGCTCTGTTGCCCAGGCTAGAGTGCAGTGGCACGATCTCAGCTCACTGCAAGCTCCGCCTCTTGGGTTCACGCCATTCTCCTGCCTCAGCTTCCCGAGTAGCTGGGACTACAGGCACCTGCCACCATGCCCGGCTAATTTTTTTTTGTAGTTTTAGCAGAGACGGGGTTTCATCGTGTTAGCCAGATGGTCTCGGTCTCCTGACCTTGTGATCCACCTGCCTCAGCCTCCCAAAGTGCTGGGATTACAGGCATAAGCCACCGCATCTGGCTAAATTTTTTAAAGTTAAATGTCATGTCATTACTGTATAGCTTTAGCTTTTGGAATGGCTTACAAGAAGGGTTACATTACTGAAAAGTCTTAATACTGAGACACCATATAGCAGAGTGGTTAAGAGCATGGACTCTGGAGTTGCATTTCCCAGAACTTGAGTCATGGCTCTGTTGCTAACCAGCCATGTGACGTTTAACATGTTACTTGTTTTCTTTTCCTTTCTTTCCTTTTTCTTTTGTGATAAGAACACAGCATGAGATTTGCCTTCTTAACAATGTTTTCAGTGTAAAATGCAGTATATGTTAACTATAAGTACAAGATTGTACAGAAGATAACTAGAACTTATTTATCTTGTATAATGGAAACTTGATGTCAGTTGATCAGCAATTTCCCATTTTCCCCTCCCCCCAGTTTCTGGTAACCACCATTTTACTCTGATTCCATGAGTGTAACTATTTTAGATAACTCATAAAAGTGGAATCTTACAGTATTCTTTCCTGGCCTATTTTGCTTAGCATAACATCCTCCAGGTTTAAGCATGTTGTCAGTATGTCAAGACTCCCTCCTTTTTTTAAATCAAGGCTGAACAATATCCTATTTGATGTTTATTTCACATTTTTGTTATTTATCCATTGGTAGACGTTTACATTGTTGATGTGGTATGGCTGTGTCGCCACGCAAATCTCAACTTGAATTGTGTCTTCCAGAATTCCCACGTGTTGTGGGAGGGACCCAGGTGGAGGTAATTGAATCATGAGGGCCGGTTTTTCCATGCTTTTCTTGGGATAGTGAATAAGTCTCACGAGATCTGATGGGTTTATCAGGGGTTTCCGCTTTTGCTTCTTCCTCATTTTTCTCTTGCTGCTGCCATGTAAGAAGTGTCTTTCACCTCCTGCCATGATTCTGAGGCTTCCCCAGCCATGTGGAACTGTAAGTCCAATTACACCTCTTTTTCTTCCCAGTCTCAGGTATGTCTTTATCAGCAGCATGAAAACGAACTAATATAGTTGTTCTTGCATCTTGGGTGTTGCGAATAGGGCTGCAGTGAACTTTCAGGTGTTACCTAACTTCTGTGTGTTTTAGTTACCCATCTGTAAAATGTAACATCATCGAAAATCAGGCTTTCCTTAATGAATTGGGCTACTTCAATAACATTTTTCCTGCTTTCCTTCAATCCTCCCTTCCAGTCCAATTTACAGTCTGTTTTAATTGACCCTTAATGCCCAGCTTTGATATTTTTCAGTCTATTGTTCAAGAATCATCAGTGCCTTTCTAAGTAGAAAAAAAATCTCTGGACTCCTTCCTTGAGTATTCAAGGCCTTCTGTGTCTCTGCACCAATCCTCTCTCTACAATAGTATTCTTTGTTCCTTTCCTGCTCTTTATCTTGGCTCTTCTTCTTCACCTCTACTTATTCCTAGCCTTGTGATTAAGGACTCAGCTCAAACTCCTAGGAAGCTGTTTTCAATTCTCTTCCCTTGAAGTGCCCTCTTCCTTTCTGTGAATGCTTGTAACACTTTCTATTTCTCTCTGGTCACTTAAATTGTTTTAAATGGCAGTTTGGTTATTTGTGATTTTAGGAGAGGTCAGCATGTAGTGACATGCCCACCATCAGTCTCTGATCTGGCTTGGTATTTGCTACAGGATCATGCCTTCAAAGGCATGCAGTAAATAAGGGCTAAATGATTGAATAGATTTCAAAGCATTTGGGGGCTAGGTCCCACTACACTTTATTCATTTTATTTTTTTGAGACAGAGTCTTGCTCTGTCGCCCAGGCTGGAGTGCAGTGGTGCGATCTCAGCTCATTGCAACCTCCACTTCCTGGGTTCAAGTGATTCTTATGCCTCAGCCTCCTCAATAGCTGGGACTATGGGTATGCACCACCATGTATGGGTAATTTTTGTATTTTTAGTGGAGACGAGATTTGCTCCATGTTGGCCAGGCTGGTCTGGAACCCTTAAACTCCTGGCCTCAAACAGCCTGCCTCGGCCTCCCAAAATGCTGAGATTACAGGTGTGAGACACCATGCCTGGCCCCCATTATACTTTAGAAGATAAATTAACTTTCCCAGCCCACAGTGCTTAAACCATATGGTTGTGATGCAAATTAATGCAATAACATATGCAATTCACTTTTATCTAATTTGATTCTGCTTTATGAAATGCCATCTTTTCTTACACCCACTGTTTTCTTGCTGAAATAATCTACATCATGGATTAATTCCAGGATTTCTAGCAGGCTTTTTTCTTTCTCCACCTCCACGTATAGCCCTTTTCTTGTAAACAGGTGCAGTTTATTGTGGCCTTTTCCACGTCTCTTTCCATTGCTCTTGCACGGTCACACGTGCTGCCACCTGTTGCATTCTAGAATATGCTAGCTGTCAATGTTAGCAAAAAGATGAGAGTAGGGTCAGGGTCATGAGCTTGGTGCTTCATCTGTCTCACAGAACAGTAGTCTCATGCGGTCGAAGGATGATTGCCCTGGTTTTGGTTGTCATCAACTTTAGAATGCTTGAGTCAGGGAGCAGACAGCAAGGAAAATCGACATGTCTTTTTACCTTAATTCATGCTGCCTGTGTTTCATAAGAGCCTCAATTCAGCATCATAGTCAGCATCTCAATCCACCTGCCTTAGAGTTAGGGCAGCTATCACTTGGATTTTGGTATTGGGTTATCCAAAGGTCTTAATTGTAAATGCTAACTATAAACACTGAGTTTAAGTGGGAAGTGAGAAAATCGTGTTTCAGGTGCTGTTAGGCAGATGTCTTTGTCAATTGGAAGCCGTCAGAGACAATGTTTAGAAAGTTTTCAATCAAAAAAAGTTTTTATAATTGCAAGTTTGTATATGTAGCTGGTATAGCCCAATATGCCACAATAGCAGCTTGTGGCACTGTTTATAACGTCTGAGCAACAGGCTGTGAGACCCCCTGTACAGATGGCATCCCACTTACTTCATGGCACGTGGATAAATATCCAAATAATTTCCACATGGTGTAGTTTTGATGGCGATAACAATAAGCCTCATTAGATGCATTTGGGAAGGGGACTACTCCTTTAGATTGGCATCAGAAATCAAAAGCCAGAAGGAGATGGAGGGAAAGAGAACGGTTTAGGCTCAGAAGGCAGAAACTTAGACCAAGTTCAGCATATTTTCGGTGGCTGTGTTGTCAGAAGACAAGATATTGATTCAGAAACCAGGATTTTTCTGAGAACATAAGCAAAGGACTCCAGGTATTTGTGCTTCGTTTTATTAGGATCCCATATTACTGCAGAGAATGAAGAGAATGTACGTTCGTTTTAGAATATAGGAATCTGATTTATTTTCTCTTAATCATCACAAGCCCTGAAGCTTGCTTCTTGCTGTGCTTAGTGGAATCATAAAACATACATAAATTTCTCATGGCATAAATATTTCTCAAATATTAGCATATGGACTAACTAATGGTACTGAGTTTAAAAATTTAAAATCAAGTAATCAAGAGAAACGAGGACGTTGACATTGCTTTATAATGAGGGTTTGAAACTAGTAATTATTAACTGATTCATGATTGCAAAACAATTGGAAAATAAAAAGCACAAGGAAAAGGCTTTAGAAGAAATGCAATGAGGTCAGACGGTGCCTTTTAAGCACATCATAAAGATAATGTATGAATGTGATTAGGAATTTTCCTTTTTATAAAGAAGGACTTTGGAAATTCTTTGCATTTTGCCCCTTCAGTGTAGATCTTCATCTTCTATCTTTCATCACCTACCCATCTAGCCTTGACTTTACTGAAACTAATGAATAGCTGTGGGAGTCAGCTGGCACAATAACAGCAGTGCTGATCCTCCTGAGATGCGATAGGCGTCTACCCTGTGCAATGTCATGATGATCAGGAGGCCTTTTCTACCACACACACCCAGGGCAAAACATCCAGCTTCTCCTGTTGCCTGTTCCTTTGGCTTCAGATTGCGATTTGCAAATCTGGTTTGGCCATGACTTAGGATTCTTTGCAGTACCTCTGGTTTGCATCTGGATTTCCCTGGACTTGTTAAACATTCACCCAAGTTAGGTCTTGTACCATCTTCCCCACAATCCTCTGGGGGAGTCAGTGAATGTGAAAATTCCTAGTCTCCACCCCAGACCCACTGAAGCAGCACCTCTGGCAGTAGAGCCCAGGAGTCAGCATTACCAACAACCCAGGTGATTCCTTTGAAAAGATTTTTGTAAAGCTCAAGAAAGTAAAATAATTTATCAAGCATACATATAAACCTAACCAAAAAAGACATAATTTTTTGTTTTGAGTTTTTCATAAAAGATAGCAAATTGCAGATACAACTTAAGCTTCTTTTATACTCATCCCTCTACCTCTTCTTAGTAGTAATCACAATCAGAAATATGGTATCTCCTTAGTCCATATTTCATAGTGTATATTTAGGCTTTCCATGTGGGAATTCCCTTCCAGGGGTTTTTTTTTTAAATCATTTTTGCAAATCCCAAATCTTGAGAAAAAAATTAATTGAGAAGTTGGGAAAATGGGAAGAAGTATTATAAATTCTACTACAGGAATTAAAACTTAATGATCAACATAGAGGTATTGCTGGTTGGAAGGAAGGAATTCATTAATGTCAAGTAGAAGGCAGAAAACACAAGCAGAGCTGCTGATCCCTTTAGGAACCAGGATAAGAGTGTGTATGAAAGAAGTGGTCACAGGCCAAATACAGTTTCTCATGCTTTTGGGAGACCAAGGTGGGAGGATAGCTTGAGACCAGGAGTTCGAGACCAGCCTGGGCAATAGAGCTAGACTCCATCCCCACACACATACACACAAAAAATTTTTTAAAAAATAGCTGGGTGTGGTGGCATATCCTGTAATCCTTCCTTGCTACTTAGGAAGCTGTTATGGGAAGATTCCTTGAGCCCAGAAGCTCAAAACTGCAGTGAGCTATGATTGCTCTATTGTACTTCAGCCTGGGTGACAGAGCAAGACCCTGTCTCAAAAACAAAACAAACAAAAAACCAACAAAAAAAACCCCTATATTCCCAAGCTCATAAGACAGTCTTGCTTGCAACTGTGGCCATATTAAAAGTGTGTGTTCATGGTTCTATCTGCTATAACAGTGAGTTAGTCTTGTGAATAAAATAAATATCTAGAAATTTATAGGCATAGTGTACTTTAGATAATCTTATGAGATTTATACTTCAGGTAAATCTTTAGATTAATCTTATAAATCTTGCATTCTAAGGAATAGCAAATTTTGGAAGCAAAAGTCCTTAAATTGTCAATTGTGGTATATAATTCTGTGTAACGCTGTTTACTTTGCTAGGAGATTTAAATGCAATTTGAATACTGTCCAACAATGTTTGCTGATGTTTTCTACTATATGAATCCTGGACAAATATTTATGAAATATTTTCCTTGTTAACAAAGGAAATTAGTTCACATTTAGCAATTTGTACCCTAAAGTCCAATTTGAAGGTGCTGTTTCTTGTACATACATGCTCATAAAATTTAACCAGTGTCAACACAAAATGAAAGCATTTTATTTTGCATGTGGAATATTTATCTTTTATTTGAAAATGACTTTTATTGGTATTTTTTGTGTCAGTGTCCTTCTTAAAAATATTTTCCTCTATCAAATCTGTATAACAGGGCCAAGCACGGTGGCTCTCGCCTGTAATCCCAGCACTTTGGGAGGCCAAGGTAGATGGATCACCTGAGGTCAGGAGTTTGAGACCAGCCTGGCCAACATGGAGAAACCCCATTTCCACTAAAAATACAAAAATTATCCAGGCATGATGGCGGGTGCCTGTAATCTCAGCTATTAGGGAGGCTGAGGCAGGAGAATTGCTTGAACCCGGGAGGCGGAGGTTGCAATGAGCCAAGATTGTGCCACTGCACTCCAGCCTGGGTGATACAGTGAGACTCCATCTCAAAAAAAGAAAAGTATAACATGTAGATATCATTTTTATGGCATTGAAATATATTTGTGTGATAAAAATGGGTTAATAGTAAACCCTGTATTTTTTTTTTCAAGACACCTCTAAAACATTTAATATAACCCTATTACATAAAAACAATTCAGTTTCTTCTTGTGGCTACTTATTACTTTTAAAATGTGTGAAAAATTTTAATAAAACACAGAATAAATCATGATTTTAGGAATTCCTGAGAATTTCTTGTTCCACAACTCTGAAGATTAATAAATGTCCAGAATATAGAAAGACTAGATAATACTTGGAGTGCTTCTGCTACTTTATTTTTTTTTATTTTTTATTTTTTGAGAGGGAGTCTTGCTCTGTCTCCCAGGCTAGAGTGCAGTGGCACAATCTCGGCTCACTGCAACCTCCGCCTCCTGAGTAGCTGGGATTACAGGCACCTGCCACTGCGCCCAGATCATTTTTGTATTTTTTTTTAGTAGAGATGGGGTTTTGCCATGTTGGCCAGGCTGGTCTTGAACTCCTGATCTCAGGTGATCCACCTGCCTCGGCCTCCCAATGTGCTGGGATTACAGGCATGAACCACCAGGTCCAGCCGCTACTTTTATTTTTAATGTAATTTTTTCAAGTGTATGGTATCAAGAACAGACACATTAAGGGAGCTTTATGTAAGTGCTCTGTGTATTAATTCCTTTAATCGCCATAACAATTCTATGAGATAATTTACCATTATTTACCACCATTTTCTGATGAAGAACCAAAAGGATTAAATAACTTGCATATCATGGTTACTCTGCTATATATATATTGATAAAAATAGCCCTAGTTCATTTACTTTAGCTACTATATAATATTTTATATGATTACACCATGAGTTTTCTATTCCCCTGTGAATGGACATTTATTTTGAATTTTCTACTTCAAGACATAATGACATCCTCCTATATGTATTTATAGGATATGTAGGTACATATAATTATTATCTCTCTCTGGCTTATGAGACACATATGTTTTCAATTCTGCCAGTTTTTACCAACTGTTTGACAAAGATTAAATCAAGTTATCCTTCCATGAGCTCTACTGGGGTATTCTTATCTTTCTGTCTTCTCAGCAACACCTGACATGGCCAGAGTTTTCAGACTTGATGTGATCTGATGAAATGATATTTTACTGTCTTAATTCGTTCATATCACATTGTCATTAAAAAAATGAAGACATTAAACCTTAATAATTTGCTCAAGGTCATAGACCTAGCCAAGATCCCTGGAGCACAGAAACGGATAGTTGGATCATTGAAATAAAATTTTTCCCCTCTGGTAATTCACTCCAAGCTTGACTTTGCAGTTGCATCTAGCAATTTATAAAGGAAAAGTTGTCCCCAAATAATTTGACTTCTGGAAATTTCCAATCCCTAGTAGCCTCCTGAAAGGGTATAAGTGGTATAATTTTTAAAAATTGGGCTAGGTTAGGTAAGAGTTGGGCACTACATCTGATCGTAGCAACAGAGAATTGTAGAGGTGGTTAAACAATCTGGTACTTAATGTTCTCATCTGAAAAAGGAAGACATTGGATGAGATAATTTTCTTTCTTTTTCAAATACAATTTTATATTTTTCCTCAATTTATAAGACAAGTAAAAGCTGAGCAACTTTGGTTGCAAGGTGGTGAAGGCCTGCCTGATCTTTCTTTTTTTTCCATGTCATCCACAACACTTCATGAAAGTTCTCCAGGGCTCCAGGAAATACATTTAAAAACCACTGAACATAATGATCTCTGAGACCTATACCTAGTACTAATAGCAAAAGTGCGTGTACCTAATCAAAAACTGGACCAACGTTGTCAAATACAAATGCTCCCTCAGCTTTCGATTGCTTTTATACATGATCTTGATATGCCACAAACCAAATCGCATCCTTTAAACACCAGACAGCAGTTAACAAACCTGATAATCTTGCTGTTTGTCCCCATTGCAAGTTTCATATGTACAATGGTAGAAATCTTAGGGTAAATGTTCTGAATTAACTGACCCATGAGTGATACGTTTTCATACATGAGGAGTCATACACAATGTTTAAGTATTGGTTACTACTGGTTTACCCAAATAGTTATAGCAATAATGACTAACTTCAAAATGTAGTCTGAGGAATTCTGGAAGCATTTTCAGTATCATGTGATTGTTGGTTTTTGGTCTTTCTGCACATGCTACTTTAAATGTCTTTTCCTCCAACTCTTCATTGAGAAGGAAAACCAAAGCAGATTCAAGGAAGCCAATTAGAATATATTTCCTTTCTTTTGCCAATTTTCTTTCAGCTTATACTATCTGTTCTTATGAGAATAAATCAGTTTACATTTTGCATAGAGAGATCTTTTGCATTTTTAATATTCAATTCCCAGCAAAATACTCCTCAATGCAGTAGAAAGCTTATAATAATTAATCCCTTGGATTTGATAAGCATATTCATGCATTTAAACCCAGCAATCAACACGCCAGCACACACATTTATTAACTGGTATCTGAAGTATTATGGAGCAGGAAAAAGTGTATGTGGAAATTATAGGAAAACTTAACCAGGGATTTAAGATTAAGCAACATGATGAATAATAAAATTACCCAAAGGCAATAAATTATTTATTTTTGAATCCATAAAAGCATGAAAAATTAAGCCATTGAACTATTTCCCTCTGCTAAGGGAAAGAAAACAACCAAAGCCATTAGGATCACATCAGTTTAAAAGAAATAGACCTCAGCTGGAAGTGCTTGAGTTTTCTAAACCAAAGCTTGAAAATTTATTCAGTAATGATGGTTAAACTCTCAGACTGGGCAATTGGATATAGACGGATGCTGTATGAATCTTCCTGTGTTGATTGGGTAACAACCAAGGCATAAAATAATGGGAAAGGGCCAGGTGTGGTGGCTTATGCTTGTAATCCCAGTACTTTCCGATGCTGAGGTGGGTGGATCACTTGAGATCAGGAGTTCGAGACCAGCCTGGCCAACATGGTGAAACCTCGTCTCTACTCAAAATACAAAAATTAGCCGAGTGTAGTGATACACGCCTGTAATCCCAGCTACTAGGGAAGCTGAGGCAGGAGAATCACTTCAACCGGGGAGGCGGAGGTTGCAGTGAGCAGAGATCGTGCCACTGCACTCCAGCCAGGGTGACAGAACGAGACTCCGCCTCAAAAACAAAAACAAAAACAAAAAAACACACACACACAACTTTTTTTCTAGAAATTTAGAAAATCTCTAATTGGCTATTTACAATGTCAAAGATGACTTTCACACAAGATAAACAAGCAAACACACTAAAAAAGTTAAAACATATTGAATAGGAAAGATTTTAAAGAAGCAAATGAAATTTTCACTTTGTACAAGTATGAACGTGGAGAGGACATGAGCTAAGCTTGAAAGTCATATTTTGGAGATGAGTTTGGGATTCTAAGTATCAGAAAGCCTCTTTGCTTGAATATATTTTCCTCCTCTCTTTTCTTGAATAATTGAAAAAGTTGAATTATTTCTGCCCTAGGACTTTCCTGCAGTTTATTAAAAGTACTGTTTTATAATAGAAAAAAGGTAAAGCATAAACATTGAACAATTGGGGAGTAATAAAAATATTTTGTGGCTCAACTATATGCTAGAATGTACCTGTTAAAATTACTTCCAAAGAGCTAAGAATTATTTTTTAAGATTATGTTTAATGACATGGAAAATGGAAACCTGGTTTTTAAAAATTTATTATTGTACTTTAAGTTTTAGGGTACATGTGCACAACGTGCAGGTTTGTTACATATGTGTACATGTGCCATGTTGGTGTGCTGCACCCATTAACTCGTCATTTAGCATTAGTTATATCTCCTAATGCTATCCCTCTCCCCTCCCCGGAAATCTATGTTATATGAAAAAGAAGCAGACTACAGAATGGGATAGAAACTCTCTTCTCAGTTTTATTAAAAAATGCATATTTACATATGTGTAGGAAAAAAGGACAGTCAAACAAACCACATTTTCTAATCAGTAAATATAAACATTGTAGAAATATACAAGCAGCTTCCTATGGTTATTAGTTTGTTCTTTTATAAGATCCCTTACACAAACATTTCTTTCCTTTTCCTTTTTAAAAAATTTATCAGTGCCTCATAGCTACTAGATTCTTAGTAATTATTTACTGAATTTGCCAGGATATTGTGAATTTAAGATACTTTAAATTCAAATAAGAAAAAAATATTACTAATTCCTTGGTCCTGTAAGTGGGTTATGTTAATGAGAGGATTATGGATTTTGTAGTGCTTAAGACTCCATATGGCTGGGTTTAGGTCCAGTCTGATACTTAACTGTGTAGTCTGGAACACGTGGCTTAACCTTTCTGTTAGGACTAAAGTTTTATGGCTGTATTGGAAACGCTGAATGAGATGATCGTTTTAAAAGTAGTTTATGTGATGCCTGACACATTGTAAATGTTTAATATATGTTATGGCTTTATAACAGAAGTTAGACAAATAATTCAGATTGTTTAAAATTAAACTGGAAAAAGCTCATAGGTCATAAGCACGATGATTTTAATGAGAAATGAAGTGACTAGATTATTATCACAAATATTTTACAAATTTGACATATAATCATTACTCTCTTGTAAAAAGTGATTCTGTAAAACAGTATGTGAACATAATTCCACTTATATAAATATTTTTCTATTATCTCTTTACCACTCATTTTCTCTCTCTCTCTCTCCATCCACCTATGCATCCATACAGAGAGATAATCTAGAGTGATATTAACACCAGTTATTTTTGAGTGGTGCTCTTTGATGTGATTGATTGTCTTATTCTTTATACTTTCCTGTAATTGTTGAAAATTTTATGAATATGTATTTTTATGAAACTACAAAGGTATTCTAAAAATCATAGGATAAAAATGAATGTCAAATCATCTGTTATAATAATTATAAATCCAATTTAGTAGAAACAGAATTAATAAAATCATACCGTATTTATAAGCTATAGGCAAAGAAGTTGTGGAATTAAATATAACTACTATTTTTTCATGACAGAGTAGAAGTAGAATAAATTTAACAGAATTTATAATTAGGAGAGATGATGCTTTCACACATTTCAAAAGGTTCATTTTGCATAAGAAGAGAAATATGCCTTAGGTTTTGAGAGAGTTTGGGCAAATATGTCCTAATTGCTTATGGTTTTACAGAGAGTCTATTACAAAAAGATATTCATGCTGGAAAGAATGACTTGAAAATATTTCTGTGCTATTTCTAACAGTAATATTTTTAATATAAACGAGAAAAAAACACCTCGTAGCTACCAAATAACATAGAAAATCTACATACAACAAACCCCAATGATTGAATTTCCTTTCTATGAAGTTGGAGGTATTACCAATCCAGCCACTCCCTGTGGTGGAGGCTGGGGTCCATCACACAGAGCCCCACCCCGGGACTGCAGTGTTCTGTCCTCCAGCTGCCCAGCCAGAAGGGCTTGCCTCCCATTCAAGAGAGCTACCTCAAAAGAGCTCGTGCCCCTTCCTGGGAGCAATTGGGTATCTCTTGGGCTCCCTTCTCACTCCCACCTCCTCAAAAAAAGTTGATTACTTCAATCATGCTACATTTATACCCCTCTTTCTTGATTTAATGACTTTAAGTAACATTTATATACTAACCACTAGAAAAAACGGGGAATTTAGTGTATATATGCTACTTTCCACTCCTTTCTGAATTTTCTTTGTAGTATTCTTTCTAGTTTTGTTTCCTTAGAACCACAAATTAAATACCTAAACTTCTGGATTTTGAACCATTAATCTTAAGCAGGGTCTAGTTATATAAAATTAAGAAATTAGTATACCTACACACTCCCAAGTCTCTTTCACTCCTTCTGCCCAGTCATTCCATTGACTTTTTTTTCTTTTGAGAAAAAAATATATTAAAAAACCTATAAATATTTTTATATATTATATATATAGTGTGTATATATACTTTATATATATAAAAAACATATATATATATATAAAACATATATATAAAATTTTTTTTTTTTGCTCTGTTGCCCAGGCTGGAGTGTAGTGGTGCTGTCATGGCTCACTGCAGCCTCAACCTCCCAGGCTCAAGTGATCCTCCCACCTCAGCCTCACAAGTAGCTGGGACTACACATGTGCACCATCATGACTGGCTAATTTTTGAATTTTTTGATGGAGATGGGGTTTCACCATGTTGCCCAGCCTGGTCTCAAACTCCTGGCCTCAAGCAATCTGCCAGCCTTGGCCTCCTGAAGTGTTGGGATTACAAGTGTGAGCCACTGCACCCAGTTTAGTACACTGATTTTACAGAGGTGATTTATATAAGGAAATGTTTGTGTGTGTGTCATTCACATGTACATAGAATATAAGTGTTTATTTTTCTGTATACTGATAGAGAAAATATATGTATTTGAGAGCAAAAGAGTGTAGTGAGAAAGAGACTCATTCCAGGCTTTTAAGATTTGTCCATAGGTTGATTATAAAACAATAAACAGTACATAATACGCTATGATTATGTAGGTTTTCTTCATTACAGAACTGAGATTTTATGATTAAGTCCAAAGAGAAGGAAACATAATGCTATGTCATTAAACCTGTGCCATTTGAAGGAGAAATTATCGGTATTACGATCAAATGGATTCTTCTTTCTTTTACTCAATAGTTGACTTCGTATTTGGATAACGACTTCATTATAGAGCTTGTCTCAAATTTCCGAACTATTTTCTAAATGCATTTTTTTCATGAAACCCTCAAGATTTTTCCACATTCTTTCAGCAAAGTAATTGAATTATTCTTCTAGAGGCTTCTAACTTACTATAATCTGGCCTGTTTTGATAACATAATCCTAGGGTATCATCTCATTGCCCTTTTAAGTTGGTTTACTGTTTTATAAGATCTCATTTATTTTTCTTGAATTTCTTTTTCCTTTTTGCTAGAAGATAACTTTAAGTGCTGTTTTCAGAAAGGGTCTTGGAGTATAAGTTTTCTGAGTCCTCTAAAAATGTAATTATCTATATTGGTTTGATAGTTTGGCTAGACATAAAATTACACATTCATATAGTTTTCCCTCAGACATTTGAAGGCATTCATTCTCTTTTAGAATTCAGCATTAGTAATGTTAATGTTGATTTTAATCTGATTCTTCTAGTTTTCTTCCTCTGGAGTCCAAAGCTTTCTTTTCAAACTTAAAATTCAGAAATTTCACCAGATTACAGCTGTGTGAGCCTTTTATCAATTCCTCTTCTTGACATCGGCAACTTTTCCATCTGAAAGTCTATGCACTCATTTTAGGGAAATTTTTTTCTTATCTTGCTCATGCCTTGCCTTTAATTCTCTCTCTATCCTCCTTATGGAATGCCTCATAGACAGATGTTGTGCCTTCTGGATATAGCTTCTGTGTGCTTTAATTTTTCTCTGCTTCATCATTTTGTCTTTTGGCCTTACATTCAGTGTGATCTATTTTTGTGTTATCTTTCAGATGTCTAACTTGGTCTTCAGTCATATCCATTCTAAGATTCAATCTCTGTAGTGAATTTTATATTTTAGCAATTAAATACATAAATTCCCGGAATCCTTTTTTGTTCTTAGATCTCAACTTTTTTTTGTAATAGCAACCTATGCTTATTTCATGGATTTAATATCCTCTCTAGTATATTTGGGGATAATTGTGGGTTAATTAGAATTTAATTCATATTAGAGTAGAAAAGTTATTTTTGACAACTTGTATGAGTTATGTTTCCTCCAGCGTTATTCTTTTTGTCCACCTTGATCATTCTTTTCTGCATTTATTTTCATCAAATGTCTGACAAGAAGAGTAGGTTAACTTGTATAGGCAGCTAGTGTAGGTTGCCTTTGTTGTTGAATAAATCTTTTATTCAAAAGACCTCTCCCTTGAATGGAAAGCTTTAAAATAGCCACAAATTTTTTGATAGTCTCTCTCCCTAGAGGTACAGTCCATGTCTCTATACCTACATTCTAGATAAGATAAGCTCTGTTATGGCTTGACTAATAAAATACAGTAAAAATGTTGTGCCAGCTTCTTGGACCAGGCCTTCAAAGGATCAGCAGCTTCCACTCCTATTTCTTGCCTCTTGGAACACTCTTGGAATCCAGCCACCATGCTGAGGGGAAGCCCAAGCAGCCTTGTGGAGAGGCCTGCAGAAAGGGAAACTAGGCCTCTGACAGCCCTGTCCAAGCTGTCAGCTGGAAGCCAACACTAACTGGCGGGCTGTGTGGCTAAGTCATCTTAGAAGTGAATACTTCATCCCCAGTTGAACTGCCCCACCAATGTCATGGAGGTCCTGCCTGAATGGCTAATTTATAAGAAGAGTAAATATATTGCTTACTGCAATATTGTTTGTTGCTGTTTTAAGTTACTAAATTCTGTGGTGGTTTGTTACATGGCAATAGATAACCAGGACAGAGGCTGACTATAGAATCTGAGAGTTGGCAAGTTCTGTTTAGAAGTCTTTCAAGGTATACGGCGGAGAAAAGCAAAGCAAAATGAAGCACAAGAAACATTATACTGTGTAAATTAAGCCAGGTACAAAAGTGTGCATACTATATAATTCCACTTAAATACATCTGTAGAAAAGGCAAAGCTCATCTATAGTGATAGACATCAGATCAATAGTTGCCTGGGTAGGAAGTATAGGGATCGACTGGGAAAAATGGTGGAAATGTTCTGGATCTTGATTAAGATGGAGGTTACATAAGTATACACATTTGTCGAAACTCATCAAACTGGCCAGGCATGGTGGCTCACGCTTGTAATCCCAACGTTCTGGGAGGCTGAGGCAGGTGGATCACTTGAACCAAGCAGTTTGAGACCAACCTGGGCAACATGGTGAAACCTCATCTATGCAAAAAATACAAAAATTATCCAGGCATAGCAGTGTGTACCTGTGGTGCCAGTTACCTGAGAGGCTGAAGTGGGAAAATCACCTGAGACTGGGGAGGTCAAAGCTGCAGTGAGCAAGTGACTGCGCCACTGTACTCCAGCCTGGGGGATGGAGCAAGACTCTGTCTTAAAGAAAAACAAAATAATCATCCAACTATTCCCTTAAAACATGTGCATCTTCATTGGGTGTAAATCAATAAAGATTATATCCAAATTCCTTTCTCTTGGATTCCAGGCTCTTCATGATCTGGAAAATGTTCCTCCAGAGCAATCCTTGATTCATCCCAAGTTCCTGCTCACCAGTCCCATGCTCACCATTCCTAAACATGAGTGTTCTTCCTAGTATCCATGACTTAGCTCTCCCTATGCTCTCCTTGTGAAAGACTTTCCCACCATCATTTAATTTTCCAAATCCTATCTGTCTTTGAAGGCTAAAGTCTAACATAAAATGTTTCTGGATTCTGCAGTCTGAATTGTTTTTCTTTTTTTGAGCTACCACAAGTTGTTTGAACCATTCTCATAGAATATATGTTAGTGTGATTTATATTATACAGATGCTCCCCTGCTTATGATGGGATTACCTCCCATTGTAAGTTGAAAATGCATTTAATCTACCTAACCTGCCGAACATCATAGCTTAGCCTAGCCTACCTTAAACGTGCTCAGAACACTTCCATTAGCCTAGAGTTGGGCAAAATCATCTAATACAATACTTATTTTTAAAATAAATCGTTGCATATCTCATGTAATTGAATACTGAAAGTGAAAAACAGAATGGCTGTATGAATACTTGAAGCACGGATTCTATTGGATACATATTGCTTTTGCATCATCGTGAAGTTGAAAAATTATTTCAAGCCGTCATCTGTTATGAGATATGTATGTTTCTCTTCCTCACCAGACCCAAGCTCCTGGAGAGCAAGGACTTTTTCTTCAACTTGGAACTCCAACAGTTCTTTGTGCATAGGACAATGTTCTATGTACGCAGTTGAGTTCTCAACAATTTTAACAATTTTATCACATCTAGGTTAGGTCTCATTGCTAGTCATGTTTATATTCTTCTTTGTATAGCAATTTTTTGACATTACAAATTGGCTTTATTTCCATCTTGTCATAGTACTTTCTTGTCATAGACACCCCCACCCATCCTTCTCCAAGGCTCCATTTTAATGTCATTCACCGTTTATTCCAGGAACTTTCCTTTCAAAAACCATCTGTTCCACTGCTATGTGCTGGGCTGGTTTTTCTCTGGGTGTACTGGACTTTGGCTACTTTGGGACTTCCTTGCCTCCTGCCATCTGTCACACATGTTAACACTGAGAACACTGGCTACCTCTGTCTTGTTTCACAAACTATCCCTTCATCCGCCTCTGCATTCTAGCAATCTGTGGAGTCTCATCTACATACTGTCTCCTTTCCTATTCTAGTTGCTATTATCAGTTGATATTTTAAAATCTTTATTTACTAATATTTTAGTGGTATAAAGAAGAAAGAAACACAGGGGTTCCATTCATTATCTGTAACAAAAAGTTCTATGTTCTAGGTGTCCCAATGCTGTATGATTATAAGTTTTGCTACTGTGTTACTGTCTGCAAAACAACTTCTCTCTTTGGGACTTCACTTCCTCATCTATAAAATGATTGGGATGAATAAATATCAAAATAGTTCAGATTTAACATTCTTAGTGCATTGAGGTTCAAGCAGATAAAGACATATTTTTCCAATATTGAAAATTATTTGTGCATGCCTGCCATAAGATGCAATTTTTGAGTAGGTAACGTAGATTGAAGTGAATTTACAATATGTTGTAGCAACAATGCCCACTAGTTTTTTAATGAGGTGGTGCACATTCTCTTTTGACAGAAGTCCTTGTGTCCATTTTGCCCAGAGACTTGATTTGCCTTCAAGAAACCAAAACAGAGGTCAGGAAATGGAATCAACGTCTCATCCCAAAATCGTTCAATATATATGTGCTTGTGCTCTAACATGTGTGAGAGCTTTTTGGAATGATATTTATGGTGTGCAAAATGGGGTGATCTTAATTATTCATTGAAATGCTTTAAAAATACATGTTGTAACATATAAAAATCTACTGTCCTGAACAATGCATCCCATGTTATTTATTGGTAATTACAGCTGTTACTCATATATTTTCTACAAATTTCCAAAGGCATGGACCACTAAAACAAGAATGTGTGGTGGAAAGCTGTGCTCATGAGAGTGGAAATCCTAATCATGGCAGAGTGGAATGAAATTTCTCTTCTGGTGGCTTGTGTTCTTCTGACAACGTTGTACATGCACTTAAAAATACTAATTATTTGGCACTTAACCTAATTAATGAAACCTAAACTCCCATAATTCAGGGATCTAGGACTGTTACTCTTGGAAATGGCATAAGTCAGCATAACTATGAGGATGGGGGAAATAAGAGAAGCAATTTTTAATGGAAGTAGAGAGAAGGAAGGGAAATCCCTGTGTAACTATGGAACCAAATATGTATCACAATTGGAGGATGAGTCTGGACTCTTTCTGATCTGTAAAGAAAAGGAGGAATCTGCAGAAAAATGCTAACAATCTGATGCCTGAATTTCAAAGTCAGGAAACAGGATCAGAACCAAGGGGAGATAGAGTGCTGTGAGAACACCCTGGGGAGAAGAGTTGCTTGCTAAGGAAGTACACCTAACTCACTATTAATATTAATGTTCTGGTTACACAGAAATAGGATCACATTCCTGCACCTTAGAATTCCCCCAGGGTGTATTTTAGCTTGCCTTTCCTTTTCCATAGAGGCTCATGTTATCAATTTAATATGTAAACTACTCTGTCGGGGTTCAGATCCCCCACCTGGAAGGGGTCAAAAGGGAATGTTTGCCAATTTGCCTTTTGGAAAAGAGAAACTTACAAGACAATATTTTTCATTTTCTTTAAAATGACACAACAAGAAACATAAATACTAACAACATCAAAAGGAAACCATAAACCACATTCATATATATAATCTAGTATACACTGGCGACATGAGACACATGCGTTCTGAAAACTCACAACTGGCAAATTAACAGTGTATTCCCTAAATAAATCCTTCCTTTTCCTGTTCTCTGGAGTTCTTATGGGATTTATGCAGCAAAGTTTACCTCTTTTGTTTTTCAAAACCTACAAATGGGAATTTTTGAGCCCAACATTGCTCAGTTTTCAGTTTTTAAAGCCCACTTTGAAATATTTGTTTCAAATCTCAGCAGCACAGTTCATTGTGAGGTTCTCAGGATGCATGGGTTTATTTGTGAATGTCCTCATGAGACTCATGGTTTTAGAAGCAGAGGTGCTTCCTAATAATTATTGAGGAAATGAAAGAAATGCTGTTTTTTCATGATGATACTCTGGATACTCTTGCTTGTCAATGGTTTCCAGGACACACAATCACCTTCAGCTACCCCTACATAAAACAAGACTCCAGGACCCATTTACAAGCAGGTCAACTGAAAGGAGCAGAGGTGAGGATAACTTAATAGCAAAGGACAATCTGAGCATTTTCTCAATGCTTAGAGATCAATTGCCTTTCCACATAAAATGAAATGGTCATATTTATAAGCGTGTTCTCAACAGCTTCATTGTACCCTTCATTTCCACCGTGACTGCACATGTCCTATCGTGTTTCATGGGTGCCTTATTGGTTTTGTATGAGCTATAGAGCATTAGGCTATTGGGGCAAAATATCATTAGGTCTGGAAAAGGACTGGGTCACTAATGCTTTGTCATCAAGTATCATTGGACACAATTTTTTTTGCAACCTTTCATGTGTTTAAGTGATAAATATCAAATAAAGCATATTGGTGTGTGCACATGCAAAGAAGTGGCATTTGAAATCTGTTAGTGAAGTGATATTCCAATGAAAAGCAAGATATGAGTGCAGAAGTGTTTGTCACAATTTCACTACAGGGCATCCGTGATTGTTGGTCTTCTCTATTTTTGACTCTATGGCATTGGTGTGAAAGATAATCTTGGCCTGAGTTTGCTTCTTGGAATATTTGCCCATGGGTTTAAGTGGCCCAGCAGTCCACTCAATGCTTTGCAGAAGAGGAGGGAGCAGGGTGGGGTGTAAGGAAGAGGTGTAAGTGTGTATGGATGTTTCTGCCTATCTACACGTAATTTTAGAGGTGGAAGTTATTTCTACATTATATAATATATATTTTTATTCCTTCATGTAGTGGTTAATCAGACTTTCAGATTGCTTGGGTTTGGTTCTCAGCTTTTTGGCTTATAGCTTTAAGAACTTGGGCAGTTAATCTCTCTGGTTTTCAGTTACTTAATCATCACACAACTCTAAATTGTTACTCATTTTATTGATGGGGAACCTTGGACACAGAGAATTCCAAAATTTTCCTCAGTTCACACATTGAATAAAGTGGTAAAGCTGAGGTTTGCACAAGGTTATCAGTTTCCAAGTCCATGCTTTTTACACTACACTACTACCTTCAATTCATGTAAACACTTAGTAAATGCTTCATATAGCTGAGAAAGTTAGCTATCATTGTTATTATTCAAAACATATTTGTAGAGAACCATTATGTGTCAGACAAGCTGACAGTACCCCTATGGAAATGATGGTAGATTGGCAGAGAATGACGCTTAAAAAGCATACAAATGTGGCTCATGCCTGTAATCCCAGCACTTTGGGAGGCCGAGGCGGGCGGATCACGAGGTCAGGAGATTGAGACCACCCTGGTTAACACGGTGAAACCCCGTCTCTACTAAAAATACAGAAAATTAGCTGTGCGCGGTGGCAGGTGCCTGTAGTCCCAGCTACGCGGGAGGCTGAGGCAGGAGAATGGCGTGAACCTGGGAGGCGGAGCTTGCAGTGAGCTGAGATAGCGCCACTGCACTCCAGCCTGGGCAAAAGAGGGAGACTCCGTCTCAAAACAAAACAAACAAACAAACAAACAAAAAGGCATACAAATTAGTATCTAATTATAAACTATGATTAAAGGCTGTAAAGGGAGGATACCTGGAACTCTAATAGGAAATAACATGGGATTCTGACCTACTCTAAGAAGGGAAAGGCTTCCCCAGAGAAGTGGTATTTGAACTGAGATTGAAGAATGAGTAGGAGTTAAGTCGATAATGCAAGTGGGTAAGAAAGAAGTGGTGGTTAGGGGAGGTGTTCCAATGAGAAGGAAAAACAGAAGAGTTCATTTGGGGAAACTAAAGATGGTAGGTGCGTCTGGGGTGTCATGGCTGCGGGACATTGGAAGCACAAAATGGGATGGGAGAGGTTGGCAAGGAACAGATATTGCAGGACAAAATGTACACAATGTAAGAGTTTGGATTTTTTCTAAGTGTAATGGGAAGTCATCAAAGGCTTTTAAACTAAGGTGTAACAGGCTTGTGCTGTTTTTAAAAACATCATTCTGTCATTGCGATATTTACTCATCTCCTCCTTCACGTCTACAAAATCACCAGAAAGGGTGATTACTGAGAATACATACACGGACACTCAATCTACCCCATCCCTTTCTACAAATAACTTTTTAATAAACAGCATCAACTACTAATGTTGCAATGTTTGTTCCCAAAGCCCAGAAATATTCTAGGTGCAAATTTTCTCCTATTTTCCACTGAACTGTAAGCATGTGAGTTATAACTTGCTTACTCTGTTAGGAAATATTGTTATGTTACAACACTGTCACAGTACTACTGCTGGTCTTAGATGTTTTATTCCTCTTGCAAAGCATAATTTGTGGGTGTTACTTAATGTTCTGCCTTTGACCCATTTCCCTAATTTTTACACTCATTACACTTTGCTGTCTTTTTTCCATTGACTCAACTATAATTTTTATTTTACCCAAAATAGATATCTTAAATAACTGCTCTTAGTAGGTACCAGATTATGCACTGAGTAGTCAATGGTGAAGAAAATAAACACTGTTCCTGTTTGTGTAGAGCCTGCAGGTTAGATTTGGAGATGACTTCCTAATGCCCAGATCCACTGAGCCATTGGTCTGCTGAGCATATCGGAGGATCAACACATGGAAATTATGTAGCATGCTCCCAGCAAGCTTATGATTCCAGATTTCAAACTTCACAGCTTCTTAGGTGACACTCTATCCACTTTGTACTCTCCTGCCTATTTCCCTGCTCAGAGATTCTCCCACTTGAGCCATTTGGCAGAAGCTCACCTTGTCTTGTCCTCACATTCATTCTCTTTCTATTTCCAGAGCTACCGTCCTAGTTACATTTGTACTTAAATTATTGTTTTAACATCCTAACTGGGCTGATGGATCTGTGGTTACACTCTTCTTCAGTACTAGTTGCATTCTTGATGGCAGATTCATCTTCTTAAAGTACATCCTGATCATGTCGTCATCAAAACTTTTCATGGTGCCCACATTGCTAGGGAAAGAAATCCCAACTCTTCAGCTTCACAGTCCAGCTCTAAACTTTGAGTTCAGTTTTTGCCCCTCAGGCATCCCTCAGTTCAGTTAAACTGTATTACTGCTTTTCTCCAAACACGTCGCATGATTTCTTTCTTTTGTGTCTTGTGCTAATGAGGTTCTCTCCATCTGGAATTTCTTCCTGAAATATATCATCTGTCAAATTCCATCCTTCAAGACCCATTCAAAATGCTACCTACTTCATTAAGCCGTGCTTGAATTCCCCAACAAGATAGGATCTCTCTCGCTCTTACTTTTTTTTGTAAGGGGACAAATACTGATACAAACAGTTCATAAACAGATGTTCATTTCAGCAGCTATTTATTAAACTATCAGGTTAAAAGAAAACACTGCTCCAGGTATGCTTTTTTGTTTCTCATGCATGTATGTGTCACCTTCTATCTTATAATCCTGTAAGCTGAAAGCTTATCTATTGATGTTACAAAAATTTGTGCAATATTTTCTAAGTCTAGGCACTCAGTCCTTGAATGGACAAAAATGGAAGACTCTTGAGTCCATGAATCAGGTGTTTGTGAAGAGAGATTATCTCAGTGTGGGCCTGGCAGGATATTTAAAATGTGCAATGCAGACATACGTTCTCTAACTAGTGTAATTATCATTTTTATATATGAAATAATGTGTATCTGAGTGCTGATGGAGCTGGAGGTATAAAAGATGGCAAGCCCAGAGTACAAGCTCCTGTCAGTGGTGGTTAGTTCACTATGGGCCTCAGCTGCACCCATAAGTGGTAACAAGGGAGGCAATGCTATTTGTTTGTATCAGTCTTTGTATCTTTGTCTCTTGTATTTACTTTTTTATGCTTACTTGCTGCTTTAGAAGTAAAATAAAAACCTATTTTGAATTTTGTCCAGATGATCATTCTCACCCGGGATATATCTGACCAGGGACTTTAGTACTCTATTTTTGAACAGCCAAGTCTCACAAAGCTAGCAAGCTGCCTTTGGAACTGAGCGCCACAGGAAGCATCTTTGCCTTACTTCAGGAGCTACAAAGTCACACTGGGCCCTGCTGGGCCTTTCCAGCTTCAGAAGCAGAAACATCACACTTTTTAGATCAGTGGAGAAAAGGGAATCTGGTCCTGTGACTTCGGTTCACCTTGCACATTTCTCCATATGCAGATAACCCTGAAGGTCACTCTTCTTTCAGGGGGACGATGATTCTCTTCATTTAGTTTCCATCAGGAGGAATTTTTCCTTAACTCTCCGGGATTCTGTGCACCGTCTCTTCTCTCCACAGAAGTAAAATGAGTTATGTAGGTGGTGGGTTGATTAGAGAAGTTAATTTATTAAAAATCTGTGCAAGGTGGATTTAGCATGACATGAATAAAACATTAGGCCCCTCATTTTCACAGAGCATTTCCAAGGCCCTGGCTAGAGACTCTTCGATTCAAAGAGTGTTTAAGATTAGTGGCTATAATGAAATATTTTAAATGCCCTAAAACCCTACAGCTTTTATATGAATAAAACCTAATAGAAGTTTCCCTAAATTCAACAACAACCCTACAGGCACTTTTTGTAAATTGTCAACAAAAAAAAAATCACCATGCTAAAGATGAATTATAAATTCTCTTTCTCCAGAAAATATTAGAAAATTGTTACATGGAAAGGCAATCAAAGGGTATTCTGTGGGAAAAAAATTAAGGGGAAGGAGTATTGGAAAGGTGATTCTAATCAATTAGTTAAAATATTATGTTATTTTGTGGTTTGTGATATTTGCTAGCACTAAATGTTAAAATTTGGTATGATTTCTCTCACACTAAATGGATATTTACTTTTGAACCTAATTTTGTATTTTTTTAAGGTCTGCAAATTTTATTAGCTTCAATAGACATAAAATTAAATAGACTCGGTCAAATTGGTATAAAAACATCAAAATGCTTAATCTCAGTTTCTATAATAGTGATTCTGATTGTCATCTCAACTACAGATGGATGACAAAGAGTTTGCAGACTAACACTGGGCCCTGGACCATACTTTGTGTAGCAATGTGGTAGAATAAATATTTGAAGAAACAATTTCAGGACTGTAGCTCTTAACCCACAATTCTAAACCCAAACTACCAATCAAGTGTGATGACAACGGGATAATGGAATGTTGAGACTTAACGTAAACAACTTGTCTTCTTGAATTCTTTCTTAGGAAGCTACTATGAGGCACTTAAGCATGATAAAGGAATAAATCAAGAAAGTACAAGACCAGGCCGGGCGCAGTGGCCCACACCTGTAATCCCAGCACTTGGGGAGGCTGAGGTGGGTGGATCACCTGAGGTCAGGAGTTCGAGACCAGTCTGGCCAACATAGTGAAACTCCATCTCTACTAAAAATACAAAAAATTAGCCGGGCATGGTGGCGCATGCCTGTAGTCCTAGCTACTCAGGAGGCTGAGGCAGGAGAATCGCTTGAACCTGGGGGCGGAGGTTGTGGTGAGCCAAGATTGCACCACTGCGCTCCAGCCTGGGCAACAGAGTAAGACTATGTTTCCAAAAAAGGGCAAGATGAGAGATGGGCACAGTGGCTCACGCCTATAATTCCAGGAGCTGAGTCAGGAGGATTGCTAGAGGACAGGAGTTTGAGACTAGCCTGGGTAAGATAGTAAGATTCTGTCTCTACAAAAATAAACTAGCTGGCTGTGGTGTAGTCCCAGCTACTACTCAGGAGGCTGAAACTTTATTCTTTTTTTTTTTTTTTTTTTTTTTTTTTTTAGTATATCTTAAAAGTATACAGGCTTCAAGCTCCTGAAAGCCTGGATTCACTCCCGGCCTCTCCACTCTAGACCAGCATGTCTGCTCTGCAGATCCAAACTTCCCCTGCATGGGCTATTCCAAACACTAGATCAGTGGGTCTCAAACTTTAGCTTGTGTAAGAATCACCTGGAGGGTCTGCTCCAACGCCCAACTCTCCCAGAGTGTCTGATTCAGTAGGGCTGGGTAGAAACTGATTTGTATTCCTAACATGATTCCAGGTGATGCTGAAGCCAGTACTCCCAGGGCCACGCTTGGAGAGCCAGTCTCTAAATCAAAAGTCCTCAACTCTGGGTGAACAGTAGAAACATTTGAGGAGCTTTAAAAGCTACTGATGCTGGGGGCATATCCTTAGTCAGTCTTCTGATTTAATTGGCCCAGGTAGGGAATATTTCACAAGTTTTCCAGGAGGTTCTAATGTGTATCCAAGGTTGAGAACCAGTAGTCTAGACTGGGGAAGGAGTCAGCTCACTTAGGTAGCAGATCTAAGCTATGCCTTTCAATATGGCATTGTCAGTAAAAAGGGTGACATTTTATATATTTATTGTGATGTATTCCAATAGTGATAACACATGAAGTCTGTGAATGAAATCAATTAAGGGCCTTTGTTTTGTGAAACGATTGTACATATTACACTAGCTATAGCTCTTGATATTTTAGAAATATATCAATATATATTTAGAAAATTAATATTTTGTTTTGAAGTTACTTTTGGGTTATGATACAATTGATTAAATGGAAGACGTTATACGGGATCTGAGTGAGTTCACAATCTTCATTTCTGACTAGAAGTTGGATCTTACAGAGTAACTAGTTTGGTGTGTGCCCTCGTGTGCATAATTTACCAAGCTCTGGAAATCTGAAACAGTTTATTACTAACACTTTCTAAAATTTTACTTTAAGTTCCGGGGTAAATGTGCAGAACATGCAGGTTTGTTACATAGGTATACGTGTGCCATGGTGGTTTCCTGCACCTGACTTGTCCTCTAGGTTCCCTCCCCTCCCCTGCCACCTGCCAACAGGCCCTGGTGTGTGTGTGTGTGTGTGTGTGTGTGTGTGTTGTTCCCTTCTCTGTGTCCATGTGTTCTCTTTGTTCAAATCCCACTTATGAGTGAGAACATGCGGTGTTTGGTTTTCTGTTCCTGTGTTAGCTTGCTGAGGATTCTTAGAATAATACTTTTTAACTTTTGATTTTATCTTTTTAATTTATGCTATTTCTCTATTTGATCTGGCTTAGCAGCTGTAAGAAAATGTATTCCGACACTTATCTGTTTATTTATTTTTGAGATGGAATCTTGCTCTGTCGCCCAGGCTAGAGTGCAGTGGTGCAATCTCACTGCAGCCTCCACCTCCCGGGTTCAAGTGATGCTCCTGCCTCAGCCTCCCGAGTAGCTGGGATTACAGGTGTGTGCCACCATGACTGGCTAATTTTTGTATTTTTAGCAGAGATGGGGTTTCACCATGTTGGTCAGGCTGGTCTTGAACACCTGACCTCAAGTGATGCACCCGCCTCAGCCTCCCAAAGTGCTGGGATTACAGGCGTGAGCCACGGCGCCTGGCCTATAACACTTCTTAAAATACTCAATTTATTTTTTTCTCACTAGAAACGACCTGTTAGGCTCATTTGCTGAAAACCAAGAGTATTGTGGCATCTCTATACTTCTCTTTAGCAGGGCCCTGCACCAGGGCTCTGCACCAGCTGGCCATCCTGTAGTGATCGGTGGCTTGAGAATGAAAGTAATTTCTTCCTTCAAATATCTGGGTGCCTCATAGAGATGGGAAGTCTTGAACTACATATTCTATCTCTATACTTATTATTCCATTTGGAAAAACATGTCACATAGGGCCAAAGAGATCCAGTTATGCTGCAGATTCTGGTTAAATGAATACCTGATGAAGCGATAAACCTGTTTTAAAATGAATTTGCTGCTCCCATCAATTCCTTCCTACTCTGTTGCAAGCCTGAAAATGTATCAAATAATGAAACTTGATAATCTGCTCCTGCTAAATGCTACAACTAATGTCCCCAGCTGCACATATGGTGAGCCCTTTATTTAATTTCCAATTTAAAAAAATCCCAAAACACTCTGTAGAGAAATGTCTTTTCCATCTTTCAGGTTAATGTATTAAATCTGGCTGTATGTGGAACTTAAATAAATTGTATCAGGTTATTTAGACAAACATAGAATTAATTTACATGAGGTACAGTGTGACACTGCCATTAATTGTGATACAGTAGAGGATTACAGAGGGAGAAAAAAAAATGCCTGATTTCTGTGGCTGACTCTACCACTGGACAGATAATCCAAGGAGCACAAGTTTCAGACTGGGGAGTTCTGGAATTTGGCAGTTAACAGGTCACACCTGGTGAGGTTATCTTTTTCACAGGCTTTTGAACTCCATGTGAACAGTCCCTGGGGTGAGGAAACATATTTTGATCCCAAAGTCATTATCAAATTCACCCCTCCCAGAACTTTTATCCGAGTGCCTCATTTTGCCCTGGTGAGAGATTAGCATGCCTCATAAGAGCATTGAAACTAATTGCTACAACAAATTAATTAATTACATGCACAAAAGGAGTTATTCCCTTGCATGGAGAGGGCTAGAAGAGACAGCATATATCACTCTTAATAATTATAATGAAATAATGTATCTTGTTTCTGTAGGTCTTCAAAAATTGAAGGCTTAGGTGTGATTTTATTGGTGACTGGGGATGAGTTAAACAACCTTTCAGTGTCACTCTTCATTTGCTGTTTTTTGATACCTGCACAGCAGATTTCAAATCATAACTGTGAGTTATAATTATGCAACCATATGAAAATGCAGTGTTAACCCATCAGCAGTAGAAAATGGATTTTCAGTTTATATTTTTTCCAGCTATGATGATGAGTTTAGACTGAGTTAGCCCTGCTTTCAGACCCCACCCCCTTGGTGACCAGTAGTATTTTTTTCTGAGATGACAGCTTAAGCCTTCAGTAATGGATGTCTATTGCTTTGCCTTCCACTTCCCTTCTGATAACAGCACCTCAGTGTTTCTGTGGAATATCAGCCTTTGACCATTTCAATCCCCATGATCGTGGGGGTAGGGGATGTTGATCCCCCTCTTAAGCTCTGGGCAGGTACATGGACCAAGCATGGTAGATGAGGGTGCAGCATCTACAGGGACACACTGACTGGGTTAGGAATGGGCATGGAATCATGAGACCTGGAATTCTTGCTGGGAATTTTAGAAAAGAGAAATGTTGTATTTTTCTTCTGGCGTCATTGCTAAACTAGCAGGATATAATTTGAGAGGCTCTGTTAGACCTCCGTGCCACTATCTGAAGAGCCTGTTGGAAGAAAGTAGACCGAGAAACAGAAGGGGGCAGATGACTCTGGATCTGGCTGTGCCTGAAGTAGACACCTGGACTTTAGACATTCGGAAGCTAAAAATCCTTTTTTTAATTGGATTGAACTGGGTTTCTGTTATGTGAATACAAAAGAGTCCTCTCACACACAGTTCTCTGGTCATCATTCCTATGAAATTTAAAAGGAGACAATTGTAAATAGAATTCCCCAAAAGTATATCTGTATCAAAGAGTCCAATGCATTGTTCTCTGCAGTAAAATTCACAAGAATTCTAAGGCCCAAGGGTTCCTGAGGCAGGAAGGAACTGAGAGTTTCTCACTTTAAAAAAGAAAAACTTGGAAATTTGAAATGTGTTTCTGAGAAAGTGGGAACGTTAGCACTCCGTTCTGTATCAGAATGTTTTCATTTACAACCAAGATATGAGTTAAACAAAAAATGAGAGACAAACATTTCTTTTTTGCAAAGTTTATAAATCGATTATTCTGTAGGATGCCCAATATTTTACAGAGGAGACAGATGGAATGGTTGCCAAATGGAAATAAAATACTTGTAAGTAGAGTAGTGCCCCCTTATTCACAGGTGGTACATTCCAAGACCCCTAGTGGGTGCCTGAAACTGAAGATGTTGTTGAGCTCTATATGGAATGTTTTTTTTCCATACATACATACTTATAAAGTTTAATTTCTAAATTAGGCCCAGTAAAAGATTAACATCAATAACTAATAATCAACTGGAACAATACAATGACAGTCAATCTGATGACCAAGATGGCTACCGAGTGACGGAAGAGTGGGTAGCATACACAGCAGGGAGACATTGGACAAAGGATGACTCACATACCAGATGGGACAGAACAGGCTCATGGAAGGTTGCATCAAGGTACTCATAATGGCATGCAATTTAAAATTTATAAGTTGTTTATATCTGGAATTTCCCATTTAACATTTTTGAACTGCGTTGACCATGGGTAACTGAAATTGTGAAAAGTGAAACCTCAGATAAGGAGACACTACTGTCATGATTAATCACTGGAAATGTATTTGGAACTATTTTAATATGAAAGTTCATTTAATTAGGTGGAAAACAAGTGTTCACATGAGAATATTATTGTAACCCCAGGCTGCAGTATCTTCATATCTTTTATTTGAGTTTACCGTTGTCTTTCTTTGGTTTGTGTTGACTGTTTGAATCTGTTAAGATTTTTATTTTTTTTAAGTGTTAATCACCTGGTCATGGAAGTCTGGAATAACATGAGAAGGGCTGTTTGAACTGGGATAAAGGTAGCCTTCCATTGCCTCTTTCCTGCTCTTAGATGACCATTTCTGGGACTCAAAATAGAAGTCATGTCTTTTGAATAGCCAGTACCCTGTTTTTTATTGGCTTCAGTTGTTCCCTGGGTCAGCGGGTATCAGCTAAGAGCAGTCTGTGTGTGGGAATGAGTGAGGCTAATTAGCTCTGATGGGAATCAAATGTAGGATCTTGGCCTTATTAGCATTATCCTCTATCCACCTGAGCAAACTGGAAGTAGAGCGACAAATGAGAAGTTGGCAGGTCCAGCCTTTATTTTGGCCACAGGCTTCACCAACACAGGTGTCATATTATATCTGAAAAGGAAGGAGTTGAAGTCAGTAACCTCATTCTGCCATTTATCAGACCTGCCCACTAACTTTTGACCAGTTAGATAATGCCAGTAAGTTAAAGTCACTTTTAATTGAGGATGAGCTTAACCTTTAAAGGCAATATTTTTTTCTTTTTATGTATTTTAGGTATCGACTATAATACTTCAGGTGTTGTAGATTGAATTGTGTTTCCCCAAAATTCTATGTAGGAATTCCAACCCCTAGCACCTCAAAATGGGACCACATTTTGAGATTGGGCCTTTATAGTTAAGGTAATTCAAGTAGGCCCTAATCCGACATGACTACTGTACTTAGAAATTTGCACACAGCTACTCACAGTGGAAAGATGACGTGAAGAGACAGAAGACAGCCAGCCGCAAGCCAAGGGGAGAGGTCTGGACCAAACTTCTCCCTCATGGCCCCCAGAAGGAACCAACTCTTCAGGAACCTCAATTTTGGATCTAGCCTCCAGAACTGTGAGGTAATACATTTCTGTTGTTTAAGCCACAGTGTGTGGTGCGTTGTTATGGCAGTCCTAGCAAACTAATACAGAAAGCCAGTGTCTTAGGCCTTGTGCCTCAGGATATCTCATTCACCCTTTCTCTGCAAGGTAGTTATTACCTTCTCATCTAAAACTCAGGAGGCTTGCCTATGGACTCACAGCTGCCTGCTGCAAGAGATTGGACTTAACCTGTGTTTGACTCCAAGTTGAGTGGTTTTCACTTTTCCAAAAACAAATCCAGGAAGCTAAGGGAAATGCACTACTTTCCTTAAAAAGGAAAAATATGAACATTTTGAGTGTTATACACAAAAAATAATGTTATAAACACCCATGTACCCGCCACCTAAATTTAATAAATGTTAACATATATTTCCCTTACATCTTCTTAAATAAATAAACGATTACAGATACTTCTCTTAGGCTTCTGTCTGTAGATCATTCCGTTTTCTCCTCCATAAAGGCAAACACAGCCACTAATTTGATTTATATTCAGTTCCTATTTTAATATTTTCATGATACATTTATCCATAAATAATGTGGTATTCCATGTATTCTTATAAAACAAAATAAATGGTATCATACAATACATGTAATTCTATAACTTTTCACCTAGTATGGTTTTGAGCCTTATCCATGTGGACATAGATCTAGCTGGCCTACTTTAACTGCCCTGTCATATCCTGTGACATTTACTCTCTAGTAAAAATAACCTGCACAAAGTAATGCTGCAGCGGAAATTATTGAGTTTGTTCTTTGCGTGTGTGTGTGTGTGTGTGTTTTCCTTAGGTTACTATATGTAGAAACCAAATTGATGGGTCATGAGTAGGTATTTCTCCATTTTCAGTAAATATTGCCAAATTGATCCTGAAGTAAGTAATGCCAAATCACAGTTTCACTTAGTGTATGAGAATTAATGTTTTCCCACATTTTTGGTATTGCACACTTTAAGCTTTTGATTATCTGATGTAATTTTAAAGTGTTTTGTATATTTATCTACTTAAACACAACACACACAGACACATATATACATGTGTACACATAAATATATAGCCATAAAGCACATAATACTGCCTCCAGGTTTTAAAATTATATACTAAAGGTGTATACATTACATATTATACTATAACTTGCTTTTTTCACTCAAAGTATTCATGAGATTTATTTAAATTAAGATGTATTGTTCTAGTTCGTTCACTTTCACCACTGTATAATAATCTACTGTATAAACATATCTCAATTTATTCATTCTCCTCTTGATGGATATTTAGGATGTTTCTGATTTTCTAGGACATCAGTCAATATTGCTGTGAACATGCTTATGTATGTCTCCTTTTACCTACACGTGAAGGTTCTTCATATGCCCAGCAGGGAAATCGCTGTCATAGGATGAATATGCCTTCAGTTGTACAGATAATGCCACATTGTTTTGAGTAGTTCTATTATCTTATAATCCTACCAGCAGATGAAGAAATTTCTCCTTATTTTATACTCTTGTCAACATTGGCTGTTGTTAATGTTTTCAGCTCGTGTGTATCTCATAGGTTGAAGCAATATCTCATTCTGAGTTAAAGTCAGTATATGCTGCCAAACTGGTAAATAGGCAAAGCAGCCCTGACTTGTAGCATTTGTCCATTTCCATTGTGTAAAACTTCCCACATGGCCAGTTTCAGGTTACCAACACGACAGCACTAATGTGGCAATGCTGACTTGGGAAGAGATGGGAACGATCAACTTTCCGATGATGGTTCAACCTTGCCTACTTTGGGATGCCAAATTTATGCTTAAATTTAAATTTAATTAAATTTACATTTCCCTGATTACATTGAATGTCTTTCCATATATTTTCCACTATTTATATTTCTTATTCTATGAAATTCATTATTCATTGATCTAAAATGTTTCCACTCCCGTAAATTAAATGTGTAAGTGGTTTACAGGTGTTTCAATCTGTTTCACTGGCATATTTACTTATTTATTCATCAATTTCACACTATTTCAAGTTACAGTGATAAAAATATCTCCCCATTCGCCTTTTCCTTTCTTGTTCTTCATCAGAATCATTTGGTATTCCTGACAGAATGGCATAGTGGTGTCAAGGGCAGGGACACTGGAGGCAAATGGGGGAAGAATCTTCATTTTTTATTACTATTTGTTTGACCCTGTGTAAGTTTTTACTCTCTCTGTGCCTCTGTTTTCTCAGGTATAAAATGGAAATGATAGTGGAACCTATCTTATAGTTAAGGTTATTGTGGACATAAAAGAGTTGTTATTTTTAAAGTTCTTAGAATGGTGCCTGATCAACAGAAAAACTATTAAGTATTTGCTATTATTCCATAAATACCTTTAGAATCAACCCATCAGGTTTCCTAAAACATAATACTAGGATTTTCTTTTTTTTTTCTTTTTTCAAAATTTTTTTATTTCCATAGGTTATTGGAGAACAGGTGGTGTTTGTATATGAGTAAGTTCTTTAGTGGTGATTTGTGAGATTTTGGTGCGCTCATCACCTGAGCAGTGTGCACTGCATCCTATTTGTAGTCTTTTATCCCTCACGCCCTTCCCACCCTTTCCCCTGAGTCTCCAAAGTCCATTGTGTCATTTTTATGCCTTTGCATCCTCATAGCTTAGCTCCCAATTATGAATGAGAATATACAATGTTTGGTTTTCCATTCCTGAGTTACCTCACTTAGAATAAGTCTCCAATTTCATCCAGGTCATTGCAAATGCCATTGATTCATTCCTTTTTATGGCTGAGTAGTATTCCATCATATATGTATGCCACAATTTCTTCTTCTTCTTCTTCTTATTATTATTATTATACTTTAAGTTTTAGGGTACATGTGCACAATGTGCAGGTTAGTTACATATGTATACATGTGCCATGCTGGTGTGCTGTACCCATTAACTCGTCATTTAGCATTAGGTATATCTCCTAATGCTATCCCTCCCCCCTCCCCCCAAATACTAGGATTTTCATTGAAATTTTATACATTAGCTTGGGGGACAATCACCATCTTAATAATAGTGGGTTTTCCCTTGCACACAAATAGTATATTTCTACATGTATTTAAGTCCTCTTTACTTTTTTTTTTTTAGTAAGGCTTTAAAATTTTCTTCAAAAATTTATGTAGATCTTTTGTTATATCTCATGCAAGGTATCTTTTGTTCTTCATCATTGTTGTGCCTTAAAATTCAGACATTCTCTTCTATATGAGTTTCAGACATTCTCTTCTATATGAGTTTCAGACATTCTCTTCTATATGAGTTTCAGACATTCTCTTCTATATGAGTTTCAGACATTCTCTTCTATATGAGTTTCAGACATTCTCTTCTATATGAGTTTCAGACATTCTCTTCTATATGAGCTTCAGACATTCTCTTCTATATGAGTTTCAGACATTCTCTTCTATATGAGTTTTAGACATTCTCTTCTATATGAGTTTTAGACATTCTCTTCTATATGAGTTTTAGACATTCTCTTCTATATGAGTTTTAGACGTTCTCTTCTATATCAGTTTTAGACGTTCTCTTCTATATGAGTTTTAGACGTTCTCTTCTATATGAGTTTTAGGGTCAGTTTAAATTTCAAAGAATTTGGAGGGAATTTTGATAAAAACTTTATTGAATTTGTAAACTAATTTTGGGGATACTTTTCTCATATTCCCTTTATGAACATGTTAATTTTTATTTAGAATTTTTAAAGTTCTTGATGACCATCATGCAAGACATGAGTGTTATGCTTAAGTACCTTATATTTTCTGTTGTCATTATAAATGAGATTTTTATTGCCATTACATTTTCTATTTATGACTTGGGGAGAAATGCTATTAATTTTTACATGTTCATTCAGCTGCTGAACTGCATAAGTTTTTATTATTTGATATTTTCTTGATTTTTCTATGTAGATAGTAACATCTGCAAATAATGACAATTGTGTCTCTTTTTTTGTACAACTCATGTGTTATTTCTTTTATCATTTTTTTGTTGACTAGGAACTCCAAGAAAATGTTGAACTATAGGAGTGGTAGAAGGTAATTGCGGATATTTCTTTTGGTAGTACACCAAAACTAACAGTTCATGGCAAGAAGAAATCTGAAATCATATCAATAAGTTATTCTGTTACACATGATATCCATTGGTGTATCTTGTACCACTTTGAATAGATCTTCTTCCTCTGCCTGATTTTGTAATACTATAGTGTGGAAAAAATTACATTCATTAAGATAAACACTGATCTTGTTAGAACAGTCTTGAAGTACTGTAAAGCTATCAAGCTCAGGGTGGTGAATACAAGTTTTGCAAAATTCGAATTTTCCAATTTTCACTTGAAAAGTTGAGTTTTATCATTGGCAAGAGATACTGCTAGCTGTCACTTGTTTTCCTTGAAGTGATAAGACTTGCTACATATATTCTTGAGAAAAATGTATGCAGAAAAACAAACTTTGATAGCTATAGTTTGTCCATCAGTCATTCTTACAAGTAAAAATCATGTTCCATGAAAAAAAGTGGTAGTTCATTTTACAATTCAAACAATTGAACATAGCTTTTCCTTAAGGTAACTTGAGTACTTTAGTATGCAGCAGAAAGTACTTTATTTATAATTCCCATTTTGTCACACTGCATACTAAAAAGACATGTACTCGAGGATTGAGTTTTAATATAATTAATATCGTTTCATGAAGGTCATTCTTATGCAAAACTGGCTTTTGGGAGCTGAGTGAGGGGGTGGCATGTGTTTTCTGCAAGTGCATGTGAAAAATGCAGAACTCATGGCACATGAAACTTCATTCAAACTCTTGCACTTTGAGACCTGACAAAACTCTGGCATGGCTTCCAGTAGCATAACACCATGTCCCTAGGATGACTCCAGTCCCCGTTAAAATGCCTGCCTGAGAAAGTTCATGCTGCCAGAAAAGCTTACTATTTGTTCTAGCCAACACACACAGAATGATAGGCCTCTGACCTCCCTTTCTTAGTTCACTAACTAAAATGGGCTCAGGATTGTAAATACATAGCTCTTGCTGCTCACTGGGAGGCCATTCCTTTGAAATGCAGTCATCAAAAAGGATAAGGCCTCTCTCTCCCAGTCTCTGTGGGAGGATAGAACCTTAACTTAGATAACTACCTGCTAGCAGACACAGCTGGCCTACTTACCTTCACACTGACTAACCCTTTGTACTTGTTCACTTCTCTGATTCTGTTGAGTCCCTACACTGACCCCTTCCTCATTCTCCTTTTAAAACACCCAAACCACCTCTGCCCAAATTGAAATAGAGCTTGACTGTTTCCCCTACTGTGAGTAGTCATTGAATAAAATTTGTTTTCACTGTTTTAATTAATGTCCAATTGTGTCTATCTCTGACACATAGCAGTGAAAAAGACCACTAGTATAATTTAGTGCTACTGCCTTGGTTTGAGCAGTTTTACCCACTGTTGCTTTTGTAATATCAGTGCAAATGTCAATACAATGAAAACAAAATAACTTATAAAATTATAAAAATATTATATTATAAAAATATTTTTAAAATATTATAATTATATTATAAAATATTATAAAATATTATAAAAGTATTATAAAAATAATTTTTAGGGCCAGGAGTGGTAGCTCACACCTGTAATCCCAGCACTTTGGGAGGCCAAGGTGGGCAGATCACCTGAGGTCAGGAGTTCGAGTCCACCCTGGCCAACATGATGAAACCCCATCTCTACTAAAAATATAAAAATTAACTGGGTGTGGTGGCACACACCTGTAATTCCAGCTACTCAGGAGGCTGAGGCAGGAGAATCGCTTGAACCCAGGAGGTGGAGGTTGCCGCGAGCTGAGATCATGCCACTGCACTCCAGCCTGGGCAACAGAGCAGGACTCCATCTCAAAAAAAAAAAAATTGACTTTGTATATCTTTTCTAATCCCTTTATTTGAATTTTCAGTGTTTTATTTTAGGTGTTTTTCTTATAATATGCTGAATTGAAAAACATCTTATTTAATCTTTTATTAGGTAATTTTAAACCTTTATATTTGTTGTTACTACTGGTTAATTAAAACATTTTACTTTCTATTACCATGTTATTTTCTCTTACTCTCCCCTACTCCCCTGTTATAACTTGGATTGATCTTTTTTCTCAATTTTTTTCCTCCTGGTTTAGAAGTTTGATATTTGATTCTAATTTTCATTTTATATATTTTCTAAAGCAGTTTAATGTCATCGTCATTACTATACCTTTTTACTTTTATACTTATTTCTCCCTGTTTTATTCCAGGTGAATATTTTCATATCTACATTCAAATTATTACTTTGGCTATATCTAGGAAATAACTTAAAACATACTGAACTTTTTATTTTAATAGCTAATTTTTGATTTCCAAGAATTCTAATTGGCTCTGTTTTCTTAGCCTATTCTTGATTCATATCTGACATCTTCGGTTTTATAATTTTAGTTTTTGGTTTTTTTACAGATGTTATTAACTTCTTTGAGGATATAAAACATTTCTTCTTTAAAGTCATTTTAACATTTCTTGATTGAATTTACTTTCGTTAGCATTTCTGTGTTTCAAATGCTTAAAATTTTAGTTGGACAATTCCTTTTCACATTCTCTATAGTTATTCTTTCCTGTCTATAGTCTGCAGACTCAGTATCTCCTATCTAGAGCCAGGCTTCATACTGATGCCTCTGCATTTGTGTCCCATGGTGATAATGAAAACAATACCGACCTAATCATAAGCCTTCAAGCTTGGCTCGGGTCCTACTGGCATGGCTGTTTATGCTCTCTATAGTTCCCCTCCTGCTGCCAAGTATAGTTTCATATAAGCCAGTGTCTTGGGGATTGGCACAGGCTCTCCATTAAAATATATGCGTGTGTGTATATATGTATATATATATGTATATGTGTGTGTATGTTATATATATACTATGAACAATTCTGGAATCTGGTTGATCTAGTGGCAATAGCCTTTCCTCACCTCTGTCTGTTCTATCGTATTACTAGCTCTTGTGCATGTTAATATACTGAAAAATATTAATGTTAAAATTTTTTAAAGTATCTAATCTATTAGTATTTGTGTGTGTGTGTGTGTGTGTGAGAGAGAGAGAGAGAGAGAGAGAAGGTTGCAGCATTAATTCAAGGCACCATCTTGACTGGAAGCCTTTAGGCTATTTCTATAGTAAGTTCTATTAAATAAAAATGTCAACAAAAATGGTGATACAACAGAGATAGAGGCACTGGACTAATTAGTAAAATATTTAGAACAGAGACAATTATGCATATTGAATTCTCTGCAGCACTCGCCACAATGTCTTGCATATAATAAGCACTTAGTATCCATTAGATTCTTTGCATTCACAGATTTGACACTTGTGGTTTTGAATTTTCCCAAGTGACCTCCAGAGGGCTCTGAAATTTTACTGCTCCCAGCATGTGCATCTCAATATGACTGTGGTTCTTCTTCATCAAGCAGTCTTTATTGTGCATCACTAAGTGCTTATAACTACAATTTTTGTATGTGTATAAAATAAGAGACATGGTTTTATAAAAATTTAGTAGTAAACTTAGGAGTTGAGAAGGAAAAGGAAACAGGTTATTTTCAATAGAATGTGATTTTGGAGAAAATCAAGATCCATGCAAAAAGTTCTGGAATATCAAATTTAAGGATATGTAGAGGACTCTGGAAGTATTGCTGATGAATGCCAAATGTCCACTATAAATATTTGACTTGAAGTAATTTGAATTCATTTTGGAATTTGCCTATGTGATACAATTCGAGAAACAATAAGATTGTGCTGTCCCTACATTCCCAAATTATATTCATTGTGATATTTCATCTTGAGAGATTCATTACTTTGTGCCAAGTATTTCCCTTTTCCTGATGACATATCTTCACATTTATAAGCATCTGTTATTGTGAAGGGAGTGGGCCCATTGTCATCAACACTTTTGGCTAAAGGTTTTCAGGTCCACTCACTCCACATTTATTGAACATCTCTTATGTGCCAGAGACTCTTCTAGGTACTATGGTCAATACAAGGATGAAAATTGGCTGTCTTGCAGGAGCTCAAAGTCCTGGGGAAAAACGGATAGGTTGAAATATTAAAATATAATGTAATAAGTACTGTTAAAATGTATGAAAAAAGCTCTCCTCTGATAGCTTATAGGAGGACACAGTAAGTGATTCCAGGAGAAAAAGGAAAATATTCAGAGAGGAGATCATATTTGAGTCTGCGAAGTACCAGTAGGAATCTGCTTAGTAGGAAGAGATGGGAATGACTCTTCTCAGCATGCTGAGGATTTCTGAGGATGCTAAATCCAGGTCTGGAAGGTAGAAAGATGGGGAGAGAAATAGGGCTCTGGGAAAAAGGTTGGGATGTCAAAGACAAAGTCTGTCTTATAAGAAAACTTTTTTTACAAACAACCCCATCAACAAGTGGGCGAAGGATATGAACAGACATTTCTCAAAATAAGACATTTGTGCAGCCAAAAGACACATGAAAAAATGCTCATCATCACTGGCCATCAGAGAAATGCAAATCAAAACCACAATGAGATACCATCTCACACCAGTTAGAATGGCAATCATTAAAAAGTCAGGAAACAACAGGTGCTGGAGAGGATGTGGAGAAATAGGAACACTTTTACACTGTTGGTGGGACTGTAAACTAAGTTCAACCATTGTGGAAGTCGGTGTGGCAATTCCTCAGGGATCTAGAACTAGAAACACCATTTGACCCAGCCATCCCATTACTGGGTATATACCCAAAGGATTATAAATCATGCCACTATAAAGACACATGCACACGTATGTTTATTGCAGCACTATTCACAATAGCAAAGACTTGGAACCAAGCCAAATGTCCAGCAATGATAGACTGGATTAAGAAAATGTGGCACATATACACCATGGAATACTATGCAGCCATAAAAAAGGATGAGTTCCTGTCCTTTGTAGGGACATGGATGAAGCTGGAAACCATCATTCTCAGCAAACTATCACAAGGACAAAAAACCAAACACTGCATGTTCTCACTCATACGTGGGAATTGAACGATAACACATGGACACAGGAAGGGGAACATCACACACCTGAGCCTGTTGTGGGGTGGGGGGAGCGGGGAGGGATAGCATTAGGAGATATACCTAATGTTAAATGACGAGTTAATGGGTGCAGCACACCAACATGACACATGTATACATATGTTACAAACCTGCACATTGTGCACATGTACCCCAAAACTTAAAGTATCATAAAAAAAAATCTCAACCCAGAAAAAAGATTTTTAACATGACACTAGGCCCTATTTCTACCCTGAGTGAGACCTCAGTAATGTTTTTGTTTTTTATAGGATGCCTGGGGTAGAGTAAAGATAATACTACTCTAGAAACTGGGAGGTACTTAGCTTCTAGACAAGTTTCGCCATGTATTATGTTATTGTGTGCTAGCTTTGTAACTTTTTGGAGCTTCAGTTCCCCCAGTAAGATATGCAATAACAGCCGCTTTGTTACTATAGTGAGTTCATAGAATATAAAATTAAATAGCATATGTGAAAATTTGTTGAAATTGCAAAATACTGTACAAGTATATGATTAAGTATGAATGTTGTTCAGCAAGCTATTGAGTCTGATCAATGCAGGGATCACCGGAGGTGATGTGTCCGTGAAGGACAGGTGTGAGGCATGTGGGCTAGTAAAACAGTATAGGAGAATTTTTTCCCTGAGTACATTTTCTGGATTGCTTTTGATCTGCTGCCAGGATGAGCTCTCACATACTACATTCATGGTCATCCCGACTCTGATTCTACTCCAAATCTGCCATTTTGCAGATAGAGCTATGAAAGGGGATATGGCCACTGGTGGAGATATGCAAATCTATTTTTATGATAAAGAAGCAATCTAAGGGAATGCCACTTGGCCAGGAGGATCAGGGGCATTACCTTTATACATAATGACTATTTTAGTCATGAATAAAAGTTATTTAAGCTGTTTCTTCTTTAGAAAGTACTTGTAAATTCAGCAGAAACTGGAACCCACATCTCCCATTACACTGTTGTCTATATTTTGGGAGAGACAACATTTCTACTTTTGTTTCCTGTGGGTGATACAAAATTAGCTAAAGACTAATAAGCCAAAGCAGTAACCTTGAATTTTGTGAAAGTTACGGAAAACGTAATGCCAGGAGTTATATATCTGCAACTGAAATTAGTCCCAGTGCACCCCTTTCACTCTGATTCCGGGCATGCCGATAAAATACCAGGAGACATGCAATACAACGAAAATTGGTTCTTTGGGTATCTGAGCATCTTGGCTTAGAAGAGATTTAACCTTGGCCTCATGCTTCCCGAGGGGCCTGTTGCTGACACTGCTTAAGTGCTGGAACTACCAAGCAGCATACAGAATTTTTCATGTGAGTGAAATTAAAAATGAAACATTCAAAGTCCTATTGATTCTAGATGTGTTCTATATGCATTAAATTGAACGTAATGGACTGAAAAATGAACATTTCAGCATGTATAGGTAAGACTTATTTGTGTGAGAATATATTGCTGTCATACCCTTTATCCAGCAATATATGTATTTATCTACATTGATATGTAATGCTAAAGCATTCTGTTGAATCTTTCAGAGATAACAGAATCAATTTTCACTCACTTTACTTAAATGTTGCTCATCATTAATCTGTAATTAGCCTTTGACTTTTCTTCTCTAAATATAGGTGGACAAGATTTAATGAACACTGTATTTTGACCATTGGAAATACTGAGTAAGATTCTTAGCATGAAGAGAATGTAGAAGAACGTATGGCTATACAGTATCTATAATCTGATCAGAGTCACAGCATGTCTTCATTTGGATTGTTTCTATGTGTTATCGGTATTCTCCCAGGTCTATAGTCTATTCTTACGCAGTCTTACCTGCTTATGTTTCTGTCATCTATGTTCTTAAAACTCCTTCACTTGCATTCCTGTCTTGATCTTGGCCTTGAACTTCAAACTCAAATATCCAATGGACTATTTGGGAGAGATACTTAGCTATCTTGCTGTCACTCAATGTCTAAAGCTCAGCTCATCATATTCACACACAACCAAAACTATTCTTCCCTTGTATTTCAAAGCTCACTCAAGTTATACTGCTTCTTCCCTTTAATTCCTTTATTCAGTTTCCAAGTTCTCATAATTTCATTGCTTCAATTTAGCGTAAAGGGTCCAGGTGTAAGTCTGCTGCTCCCTAAAATGGGAGCTGAGAAAAGAGATGGCTAGGAGGAGTGGGTGGTGGGAAGGTCAAGGTGATCCAGGACGAGATCAGGGCACACAATTCCCGCTAGGAGGAGCTGTTCTCAGGAAATGCTTTGGCACTCTCTCCAGTCTCCAATGACCCCACCCTGGATGCCATGATGCTTTTTCCCCTCTCTATTTCAGGTCTGATTTTTCTGAGCTTGCCTGTCAGGGAGTCTTGCTTTTTTTCTAGGCCACTGAAAGGCTTTACTGAAGAGTGAAAGGAGAAAATGATAATTGATGAATTCAGCTAGAAGTGATGAAATAATACAAAGAAGGGCAAGCCCTCTTCAAAAATAGAAACCTGGCCCCACATCTGCTTAACTTTACCTCCTGCCTAGAAGCAGCTTCCAATGGAGGAGTCTAGGAAACTCCTAAATTAATGTGTTACTAAATTTCTAGAAGAAGAAAGTGTAAGTTTAGAGATTTCTCCCTGTTTCTTCATATTCTCTGATCTTTGGGTGAGATTTTAGTTTTTAAATACTAATTATACCTCACCTAGGAAATAAAGGGTTGTAGCTCTGTCAATGACATCAAAATTTTTTTTGTAAAGAAAAATATGGGCAAATCTCACAAGCGAAATTTTGCATGGAAGGTGCTAAGTTCAAAAGATACACACTGCATGATTCTATTTACATAGTTTTATAGCAGGCATAAGTGAGTTTTGCTACTGGAAGCTCAGCCATTCTTGTTGGGGTTATCCTTGGTGGCAGTGAGGATACTGCCTGGGAAACAGTATGTGGGAACTTCTGAGGTGCCAGTGTTATACCCTATATACCCTGTGTTATAGGTATACTTAGAGTGTGTACACTTTTCTGTATAGTCTAAGTAAAAAGTTAAAGATGTTCATGTATTCCCATGTTCATTACAACCCCATTCAGAATATCTAAAAGAAGCAACCTAAATGTCCATTGACCAAATATTATTTGGCCATTAAGAAAGAAGGAAATTCTACAACATGAGAGAACATGAATGAAAGTTGAGGACATTATGCTATGTGAAATTAGCCAGTCACACAAAGACAAATACTGTAATATTCAAATACTGTAAGGTGTCTAAAATAGTCAAATTCATAGTCAAAGAGCAGAATGGTTTCCAGGGTTGGGTGGTGTGGAGAGGGAGAAATGAGGAGTTGCTAATTAACAGACATAAAGTTTCAGTTAAGCAAGATGAATAAGTTCTTGGATTTGTTGTACATCATTGTACCTATAATCAACAATAGTGTATTATACACATAATTGTTTAAGAGGGTAGAACTCATATGAAGTGTTCTTGCCACAATAAAATGAAAAGATGTTCACTTAGAATAAATCCTTTATATAAAGAAGGAAAGCATTTGGCCTTGCACACATGATTCTGATGATATCTACAGAGCCATGAAGAAGTGGACCTTTACGATGATCCAGTTTACACATAAATCAGGTCTTAAATTACTTTGGGCCAGATTATTCAGTTCAACCTCAGTTCTGGTGATGCTAAGTATGCAATTGTTCAAATTAACCAATTTTAAAAATCTATTTCATTGTGAACCTAAGAGGGTTAGAAAAAATATTTCTAGTTGTATTTCAATGTAAACATAATACATTTCCAATATACTCTTTTATTTCTCCAGAAGATAACTAAAGAAAATAGTATAGTGCTGTATAACCAGCCTACATGCTGTGGATTTTTATGTACTGAAATATAGATTATACGGTAAACAAAGAGTATTTTTCTGAGTTGACATCATTTCAATAGGCATATGAGTTTGATGACTAGCCTTCCATTTTCTGCAAGTGAAAATCAATGGGATGGAATATGTGATTACAGATATATGTTCTGGTTTTACTTCTGCAAGTGCAAAGAAAGGAAATGTATCATTGCATGCTACATTGGTGGTGTGAAATATCACAATTCTGTGCACCTCCCCCATTTTTTTAAGTTACTTTATGCTTTTTCAGATGCTTCATTTCATAGCTTTGCTGCTGTGAGCCTGACCTCCCTGCTCATTGGAGGACAGTTGATGCCAAGGAGGTTTTTTAAAAAATAAAGACCCAGTTGTAACGGTCTACCGAAGCTATTACAGGCTGCTGACTCTGGAGTCTTGGTAGCCAGTGGCCTGGCTGCTGCTATAAGTCACTGTACTGGAGGAACAGGAGTGAGAAATAGGACACTGACTCTGCTCTTACTTATGGGTGGTGCCTTTTATACTATGTATATCCAAAGTGTGCCTTGCACAGTGCTCAGTAACTCATGAGCCAGAAGGTGCAGGTGGATATCTAAGGCAAACTCAGGCAATTAAAGTTAACATTCCTGAGAGGAGGATACTTTTCAGGCTGAGAAACAGGCAACTGATGGTTGAGAACCTCCTGGAACTTTGCTAGGTTTTCTGGGGAAACTGAAAGCAGCCCAGCCAACAGGATACAAGTGTGCCTTACATAAACAATAAAGTGGCTTGGATAATATTATCCTCCAAGTGCATGTTAAGTGTGCAGATCTGGATACCCAAGGAAGTTGTTCCCTTTATCTTATAGAAGTAGTACCCTACAAGGCCACATCAGATAGTAAACATAGCAAGCAAGTGGAACCTAAGCCCTCTTATGCAGAAATAACTGTCTAATTGCAAAAAATCCCAAACAAAAGCAAAAATCCCAACTATATGCTTATGTTAATATTTGCACATTTGATAAGAAATATTTTCTTTTTATACATCTATTTCATTGCCACTGCAATGATTTTAGGTTTCATGGCAGTTTGATTTTCATTCCCCTCTGCAGCTTTCCTTCGCTCATGTTCAGCCTCCCTCTGAAATCAATGAACCACATGAGCCACAAATGATTAGGGATGGGAAATTAAATGTACGAACAAGCATAACTAATAAAGTGCCTCAAGCAAGGCAAAGATGGGGTAAAATTACTGTAGGCTAAACAAGCCTGCAATTTTTAGGTACAAAAGAGAAGAGTTTACTAGACAGATGGAAACATAGTGAATATTTGATCTTAATGACACAGCCATCAGTTCACCATAATGTTCATAACTTTTTACATTTCTATAGATACATAGACCTATACTATTTACACATAGATACAAATGTACACACACACCTTAGACATTTTGATACTTGCAATTTACAAATTATGTCTTATATTTTTATAGCCCATAATCTCAATTTATCCACAAGATATTTTGTAGTATCCTTTTATCTGTAAAATTGTAACACAGAAAACTTCTTGACAGCTGGTTTCAAGACTGGTTGTGTGAGTTTCCAGAGCACATGGTCATCCTCATATTGTTATTTCCATAAATTTGGAAAGGGATTCTTGCTCAAATACACATCTCTTGATTGCTTACTGATGCTCTACCAGGGGCCCAGCCTTCAGTTCTGCAGTTGAGCCTGGTACCAAGTAAGCTTTCAATAGATTAGGCCAACAGAGCAACTACTATTGACGGATGGCATTACTCAAATTTCTGCAGAGATACAAGGACAATTCCTGACAAAATGCAGTGTAGTGAGAACCTGAAGTGGGTAGAGGGGAGGGGGTTCCACTAATCAGTAAACTGACTACAGAAAAGAAGGGTTGTCATCAAGATACATGATTTCTTCACGACATAGAGGTGACCCATCTTTGCTTTTTTTGGAATTTTCTCAAAGTCCCCGCTTTTATGAGGCATATGTTTACTGATTTGAATGGATTTTATCATTAGCAAAATAGAGCAGTTACATGATCTGAGCTGTATCAGCAGAAACTCCATCTTATAAACTGCCAAAGGGCATTGACCACTTTCTTTATTCTTACCCTGATCTATTTCTCTTTTAAAACTCAGATAAAAAATCCCATTTCCCAGAAAGCTGCCTCACAGGCTCCCAGTGTGCCTGTTCATATCTAACACACAGCATTTGCCTCCCTCTCTGTTATTGTGGACTTGCCTTGTTGTGTGCCCCATCAGACTGTAAGCTTCTTGAGCACAGGGGAAAAAATGCATTATTCAGTTCAACCACAGTCTAATTTCCTAGGTAGAAAGTTGTTTATTGAATAAATCTTTTTATTAATATGACAGATAAGAAAAAAATATTTGATTGTAGGAATTGGGTTAGCTACAACACAACATGGAGAAGTCTCAGAAACTTAAGTGTCTAGTAACATACTTTAAAACCTTGAATCTATTTTTTTCTGAGTTAAGTGCTTTATAGTATTTTTCTCAGAGTTCCTGGTTTATAACATATGCATGATGAGCTTGCAGCAGATCTATCTCATAACAGAACCTGGATGAACTTTTGTGCAATAATCGAAAATACTGAATATGGTGACTTCTGAAACAAACACCAAGTCACCAGAGAAGTATGCGGTTGAGGGGAACTGGAAGCTAAATAACCTGCCTGTGTGGATACCTTTCCCTTGAGATGGTGGCTACTGGAAGCCAGAGACAGACCTTTCAACAAGATTAAAGAGATGCTATTAATTGCTATCGATCATGGGTCAACAAATTAAATTGCATCTGCAACTGCATCTCTGGAAGGTCTAAATGAGAAATGCAGTTAATGGGTCTGGCTGACCCAATGTTGTGATTAATTAAAAAGGGAATGCAACCAAAAAAAAAAAAAAAAAAAAAAACAAAGGCGAAGAAATATATAATGGGAGAAGGGTGGACAACCTTAAAAATCTCAAGTTGAAAGCCTTTCCCAGGACCTAAGTTGTCATTTAACTCTATATATTCTGGGGAAAAAAATGAAAAACAGAAGGCCACAGTGAACAGCTAAATAAGTATTTTTTTGAATTTCTGGAATTCTGGTGAGCAACAATATGAAAAAGAAACCAACATTTTGTATTCCGAAGGGGCAAGTGAGGGAAGAGGTGCTGGAAACTTATAAGCAGTTTGTGTCACAATATGCAGATAAATTGTTTCACTATCATGTGAGATTAATATTTGCCACATACCAATGAAAGAATTCGGTTATTCTTGCCATTCCAAATTTGACCTCCATTTCAAAAATACCTTGAAAAAAATATGACCAGTGGTAAACTTTGGCTATTCAAATCACTTTTATTCAAACCAAGATACAAATAGTGTTGACAAATAGTAACAGGGTGGGCTGCCCCAAAGACTACTTTTTATCTGAAGTTGACTCTGAATATCTGATATATTGTCAGTATCTTCAGCATAATGTCCTAAAATGTCATGAGCCACCCCTAGGTAAAGCGTAAGTTGCATATTTTTGGTGGTGGTTTTATTAGCGTCAATGTCTTAATCACCTGGGCTAGAAAATGTGACTGTTTTAATTCTTGAGCTCCCGTTTGATCCTCCATAAGGTCCTTTTGTTCCAGCTGGTCTGTTTGAGTCTTTCCACTCCCAGAACAGACCCTCATTCTTCTTCCTGGACTTTTGTGATTACCTCCCTCAGTGTTTCCACCTCTCTCTCCCTGGGCCCCAAAGCATCCTTCGCTATATCAGATTTGTTTTTAAAATACAAATACAGCCACGTCACCCTGTTATTTGATGTCGATTAATCAATAGTATCAACAAAAACCAAGTTGGATTTTCTTGGCATAATCTTCCAGGTCTTAACAATTGAGTTTTCTTCCCAGACACGATCTCCCACTGTATGCCCCCATCTCTAGCCTTACACTATAAGCACGCCTGACTGCTTCTCACACTCCAAATACTCTGTACTCTATTCATTTTTTGTTGCTCTGTAATATCATTCTCTTAAATATCTGCCCAAATTGTATCTAACTGACAAGATCCAAATCCAATATCACCTTATCCATGAGATCTCCTTTCTGATACTATAAATCTTAATAATGATAGCTTCTTGTGCTAGGCCCTATTCTAAACTATTTTATGGGTAGTATTCTGTTTAATATTTAACAACCCTCTGATATAAAAGCTGGTTCTGCCTCTTTCTAATCATGGAAGCCTGAGAAAATCAAAAAACCTCTCTGAACTTCAGTGTTGCAGTCTTCAAAATGGGATTACTAGTCCATAATTTCATGGTGGTTATGAGGATGGTTGACTAATGAATGCAAATTACTGTCTTGTGTGAAGTAACCAGTACAGTGTCTGCCACTCAGAAGGGGCTCAATAAATGGTCTCTGAACTTTATATCCAAATTCTTCTCCAATCCTGCCCAACTCACAAAATTATTTGGGAGGTTTTAAAACTAAAACTTTATTCTAGAAATGTAGTTTTTTGAAAGTATCCCTACTCAAAACCAGGTTGTAATGTGAGTACTGGGATTACTGAAATTGGAGTTTGGGCTTCAAACAGTTAGGAGTTCAAGATTCTAAAAAATTAAGAAAGCCATCATATCATTACCACAACTGAAAATATTTGGAATGTAAAGCAAATTTTGAGTTTCTAAAATTAAGTGAAAGAAATTCATTCAACTCAATCTATTTAACTCTCATGAAAGATACTATGGCGCTAGCTGTGTTTTGTTTCATCAAAATAACAACATGCCTTCTAGGTGTACAAGGTTGATTAGGGAGAATCAAGTGTTCGTACTAGACAGTACAGTTTGAGGCTCACTGATAATGGTGTCACCCAAATTTAAGGTATAAATCCCTTATGAATTTGGTAAGGTACAGGTGAGATTGCTGGCTCAGAGATAGCATTTTGTTTTTCAAACTCATAAAAATACCTCTATTTAAAAGAGTAATATTCCCAACATAAAACCTAAAATAACAAGAAACCCAGGACTTTGTCTCAGTTCATAGCTTTCTCCTCTATACTTTGAGGTGTCCTCTCCATAAGACTTGAATCTGAATTGAACTGTACAGTCGTGTAAAATGGACATACAGAGTAGAGAATTTCTCTCTATTTTGACATGCAAGAAAGTCTAATCTTGTTTTAAGAAAATGGTAGTGGAGTTGGGGTGTGTATGCTTGTGTGTGGGAATGCCATGCTGATGTTTTCTCAGTGGTTGCCCTTTTTTTTCTTCCTCCAACAATGCAGAAGATGATGGCAATTCATAAAATATTGTTCAGTTTTGCTCTGCATCAAGCAATGTGTTTGTCTCAAGAAGAAGAAAAATAACAGTTTACTTTTACTCTCTAAGGAGAGCTTACATACACATCAAAGGCACTGTCTTCTGCGTTCTGGTCATCAGCAACAATTCTTGCTCCAGGGCTCTTTGACCCTTGGAGGTCAGTTGGTAGAAAGCCTCTTGCCCTGCTGTTTCCCTGCTCAGTCTAGAAAGAAGTTTACCATGGAGCTTTAAGAAACACAAATGCTCGAAGAACAATAAACTAAGGACTCTGTCAGAATTCATAGCTGAACTTAGGAGGCAAAACAACCACATCCAAAGTTATGGACTGTTTGAATCATGCAAACATCTCTTCTCTCTCATATTTTAGAAAATCTAAGAAGTTTTAATATGGATTAAATATTAAATGATACTAAGGATTTATTTTGTTAGGTTTAATAAAATATTGTATAACAATATGGTCTTGTAAGAAAATGTCACTTTTCTTAGATGATTACTGCAAATTGTAAGGGTAAAATCATACGATGCTTGATATTTGGTTAAAATAACTTAAGAGGGATTGGGCACAGTGGCTCACACTTGTAATCCCAGCACACTGGGAGGCCACAGCAAGCAGATTTCTTGAGCCCAGGAGTTTGAGACCAGCCTGGGCAACATGGCGAAACCCTATCTCTACAAAAAAATTAGCCAGGCCTGATATATCTGTAGTCCTAGCTACTTGAGAGGCTGAGGTGGGAGGATCATCTGAGCCAGGGAGGTCAAGGCTGCAGTGAGCTGTAATCGCACCGCTGCACTACAGCCTGTGTGACTGAGTGAGACCCTGTCTCAAAAAAAAAAAAAAAAAAAAAAAAAAGAAAAAAAGACTTAAGGGGGGTAAAGAATAAAGGAAGTATTATACGGAGGGCATTATATTAAGTGAAATAAGCCATACCAGAATGAAAACTACTGCATGATCTCACTGTTATATGCAAGCTTATTAGATTCTTGATTTGTAATTTAGGAATAATATTACCTCTTTAAAGGGGTTGCATGAGAATTAAGTGTGATGATATAAGTAAATTTCAAGTCATAGTCTCTGGCATGTAAGCGTTAAATGAACTGTAGGTAGTAGCATTGGTTATTTAATAAACATTTGTTGGATTGTTAAAAAAATTCACAAAATCTTGATCACTGTTGAATCTGGGCAATGGGTAAATGGAGGTTCTTGATGCTATTTTCTTTATATATGTTTGAAAACTTTTATAATAAAGAATTCCTGCTTTGCTACTTACTAGCCTGTGACTTTGGGCAAAGCATTTAGCCTCTTTATATTCCGGTTTCCTCAAGAACAAAGCAGAAATGACAAGAGTTCCTCTCTCATAGGTGTGCTGTGTGGATTGAATACAATCCTGTGGGCACAGAGCTTAGTACGGGGCCTGGCTCAGAGCCAGCACTCAATAATTATAGATTATCGTTAGCATAGTATATGGATCTGGGGTCAGGAAAAGACTTTTCCTATCACTTACCCTGTCACTGCTGGCTTATTTGAGCCTCCTCTCGGATCCCCAAGTCAGCAATGCCTTGCGTTATGAAAAATGAAAATGTGTGCAGGCAAATGCAAAAGCTAATGCTTCATTCTAATTGAATACAGCTCTAATGACACATGTACTTTCAAATGATAGAAGTAACCGAGAATTAGTCATTAAATAATGAGGGTAGGGAGAAAGGAGAAATGTGGGAAGGAAAATATACCACAAACAATGTTTGCTGGTTAACACACTTTATATTTAACAAAATAATTTTTTAATAATATATTCTTTTACACATCAAATATTGTTGCTAGAATCCCCTTTTTACAGTTTAGTGTTTAGGTTTTTTTTTTTTCTCACTAGTTTTCAGGCACGCCATTTTTCAAAGATTTTAGAAACTGAATCGTTTTTAATAGGCATCAGCTGACAAACAAGATGTTGATCCCTTATTTTAACATAGCTGTTGTTAAAGCCGAGAACCAAAGGCGGAGGAGAAATAGGAGTACAGAGATGACAGTGTGGCTGCAAACAAAGACTTCACAAGAAACAAACAACAGATGAGACCAGAGCTCTGTTGTTCAGAGTCTGGAAAGAATTTCTCAATGACCTGGGTAGAAGGAAGTTGTAAAATGTTTATCAGTTTATGAGAAATTGTCACAGTATAGGTTCATCTCTCCCTAAAGGGGGAAAAATGTCAGTGCTACAAAATCTTAAAGGAAACAGCCTGCAGTGAAACTTTGAGAAAAAGAAAATCCAACAACAACAAAACCAACCATAAAAATCCCTCTCTCTAGCTGGTTATCAGAGGCCACAGAACAGCCTGCTTTCTGCAAACTCTCTGAAGAGAGATCCTTAATGGATGTCCCATTCAATTCTAGTAAATTCTTGCTGTGACTCTCGCTGTGCCAATGCTTTGATGCAAAATTTCTGCACTTCAGCTTCCCAGTTGTACTCTCTTTCTGTTTTCTAAAAAAGGACATAGTAACTCCTTAATAATAGATAAGGTACTATGCTGCATGGCTCTATTAATGATATTTTCTGAGTTTCAAACCTTATTCCTGTCATTTATTATTATTATTTCTTTCCAAGAGTGTGGATTTTTGAAGTTGGCAACAGGCAACCTCGGGGCAAAGAAAGCTCTATAATACATCTCTGTCTAGACATAAGCTAAAGTGTGGAATTCCTTTACTTTTGAGTGCAGACATAAATCATGCAGCATTGCTCATGAATGATTCATGACTGTCTATATGATGTATCCATGGTGGCAAATGAAAGGCACCAACCTTGCTGCAAATTGGTGTTCTAAGGGAAGGTGGCTTGATGCTCTTCCTCGGGATGGTGCCGGCATGGCTATTTGTATCATAACGCAAGCACAGTGTGCATAAGAATGTCAGGTCTGACTCGTCAGCACGTTAATTTTGGAAATGACAACTCTTTCTTGATGACAGCAGATGCTTCCAGGGAGGAGAGGCTGACAATTTTAAATGAAAAACCAGTTGACAAGACTCAAAAAAATATGTTTCCTGAGGGTGGGCCTATAGCATTAGAAGCCTCACTCTCTATGGAGAAGACTGACCCCTTGGAAATGCTGACTGTGTATGTCCCATAGGGATCAGAAGCTCACAAAAGCCACAGGTGCTGCTAGAGCTTGCCTACTGTGTCCCCTGCCAGAAACCACTCTATACTGATTATTCTAGACCACTGGTTCTCAACGAGGTGAAATTAGGCCCCTCACTCCCACTCCTTAGGGACATTAGGCAATGTCTGGAGAAATTTGGTTGTCACCAGTTGCTGGGATGTTGCTAGTGGATAGAGGCCAGTGATGGTGCTAAACATCCTAAAAGCACACAGGACAGCCCCCACCAACGAATAATGATCTGGCCCCAAATGTCAATCCTACTAAGATTGAGACACCTTGCTCTAGAATATGGCTCTCCACAGGAGCTATGGCAAAGCCCAGGTTGGGGGAGCAGAAAAAGAAAGAACATTGATAATAAAGACAACTGTAAAGTCTCTTCAAGGACCCTATCAGATCTGTGCCAGGGTTTTTAGGGCAGGAGCATGGAATAAGCGACTAACTATGCCATGTGGTTTCAGAATTGTTAATTTTGCACTTGAATCGAGGTGGCATCAGATACCCTGTGTGTTTTGTTTTTTCTGTTACTATACTAGCAGCATTACCAGGGCAACCTAGAGACTCTTCAAAGGTTCACTTTAATTTTTCAGTATCTAATATATACATTTTAAAAAATGTTCAACAAATGGAATTGTATTGTGCAAGACTCACTCTACCCTAATCTTTAATTTAAATCAGCACTTGAGGTGGAAAGGGTGTCCTGAATCTGTGTTTCAGACATAGGGCTGAGTGGTTGTTACTACAACATGGCAAACACAGTCCCGAACCACAAAAACTGCCAGTGTGTACTACTGACTTTTAGCCAAATCTGAACTCAAAAGCCAGAGATGTTCATAAGGATTTGGATTCACAGTGGGTTTTCTCACCCTGGTTCTGGTATTTATATTGCCTGATGACAGTGAGTTTAGAGTGTGTTTAGCTACAAACCAAACTCAAATTTCACATCATGAAAAAGTCTGATGATTAATGCTACAATTTTAAAGATCTGTCTCTCTTTGGATTCTTTAGTTGAGCTTATGGTGTTCTTTACGTAATAGATTTTGATTGGCAGTTTCGAGGTTTTCCATATGAAATGTGTGGTTTGTAAGAATTAAATTGTGAGCCCCCACGTAATGGACAAAGTACTTGTTCCCAACCCTGTCCAGCAATAGGCCCGTCTATGTGCCCACCCCTCTTTCCTTAGTCTACAGGGCATGATTCACCCTAGGGGAGCAATTGACTGGATGCTCTTGTGTTTCCCAGCTCGGGAAAGATATTTCCCCTGACATTCCTTTACCAAACTTTTTTTTTTACACAACTCAAAACTTTACTGTGCAGTCAAATTTAGCCCCTTAGACTCTAAAAGTGAAAAAACAAATATTACAGGAGAACAATGCCATGTACAATGTACAGAAGAGTAAAAATGAAGTAAACCAGGGGACAGTGAGCTGGTAGGTCAGAGGCATTACCAGGGAAGGAGCCTGTGCAAGGCTATTTCTTTCTTTTTGTTCCAGCAATCCAGTCGTCAAGTCACCATCAAGCATTGGTAAATACAAAAGCGATTTAGATAGCTATATACTATATATATTTTATATAGCAAGAGAGAAAGAAATTTCCTCTTAGGAAAATATTCACTTTTGTCAACCCTAGAAAGTTTTGCTGGTGACCCTGTTGTAGCTGGCAGGAGTTTGTTTGTTTTGTTTTGTGTTAAACATGTGCAGTGTTGAAGCCATAGCATCCTTTCCTAAGAACTCATCATTGGGTGGAAGTTTGTCCTACACAGTCTGCTTGCCTTGGCATTCACGTTTCGAACACTGAGCAGGCTTCCACCAGTCCCCGTTGTGACAATGACAGATGTTACATTCGTCCACTTTCACTTCAATGCCAGCTGGAATTATCGTCGTTCCTGCAAAGCAGTTTGGACCTGAAACACACAGATACATTGATTAGTTGATTAAATCTGAGAGGCTCCCTTTCTCCCCACCATCCAAACCCAAGCCCCAAAGCCATAAATGAGTAAGTCAGACTACTCTACTGACTTATCATCAAGGAATTTTCTAGCCATCTCCTTGAAATTCAAAGTTGCAACTCTGCTACCTTTTGCACACAGCTCATATTTCCCGTGTATATTGTGAACTTAAATAAAAAGAGACAATCTTCAAAAAAAATCGTATTTTCTGCTTCCTGAGTACATGCAGTTTTCTAAATTTAGGTTCTGTGGGTTAAACTGTATTTGTTTTGTCCTCTGAGGTGTAAAGGCTGCCAGCGTATGCTCTGAAACACGAGGGAGGGCTGACATGGTCGGCCTCAGATGGTGGCACCCTTGGCCTGTCCTTCTCTTTTCCTGTGGTGGGTATGAGACAATAAACTCGCTCGTTCCCCAGTTTCAGTGCCTCCCCAGCCCAGTTCCTGGAATCCCCAGCTTGTTTCTTGATAACAATGAATAATTCATGACCAGATGATTTATTCATGTCCTGAACAAGCTTTGTTAGAGGTTCATTTGATTTTTATAAATGGACTTCCTTTAATCTGCTGGCTCTTTTTTTTTTTTTTTTTTTTTTAAAGAATGACCCAAAATAGTGGGCTTTTGAAAGTCAGCAGGAATTTTATTTTACTTTTTGACATTCAAAAGCCTTATTGAAAATGTCCCCTGCTCATTATAGATGAATGTTGAAAAAATTCACCAATTTCAGGTTTTTAAAAATTTTTTCTGTCTTTCCCTCCTTTTTCTTACTTTCCCCTTATTTTCTTGCATTTTTTGACCTTCCCAACGTAGGAATATCAGTGTTCAGTGTTAGTTGTTATTACTATAGTTCCCAAATTCAAATGGAAAAAAAAATTGCTTCCCAAAGTGCACTGGATTATAGTAGGATGGTACAAATTGTTCTTTCTTTGAAGCAATTTGGTATTAAGTCTCTGAGGTACACATTTGGGTAAAGAGAGAGAATGTTGAGTTGTGTCTACCAGTGATTTATTAACCTGGCATTATTGGCCACTCACCATAACCACTACAAAGTAACATGGCAATGCATATCAGTATCAGTGCCCTACTTTCACTTTCTTACCCCCTTGATAAGCAAGACTGTCTTTACCATCAAATAAATGAAATCTGGGGCTATGTGTAGTTCCGCTTCATATTTGGAGTCTTGCTTTTTATAAAATTATAATTAATTACAACATATACTTATCAACACAAGGCTATTCAATATGTTATGGTTTTAATTGCCCATTGTTTCAGAGCTCCCAGACCTCAATAGTGCATACACTTACCAGTGGTGGAGTTCCTATGCCTTTCTTCACTCTGTAACACAAACACTTGGCATGTGCTCAAGCGTGAAGAGCCATGCAGAGCAGGAGGGAAATAAGGGTCAGCTCTGACAAACAGCTAGCAAGCTGTCAGCCTTCACCCAGAAGGGTGCTTCTTGTTCATTTTGTTGTTGTTGTTATTGTTTTTGAGATGGAGTCTCACTCTGTCACCTAGACTGGAGTGCAGTGGCGCAATCTTGGCTCACTGCAACTTCTGCCTCCAGGACTTGAGCAATTCTCCTGCCTCAGCCTCCCAGGTAGCTGGGACTACAGGCAAGCGCCATCACACCTGGCTAATTTTTTGTATTTTTAGTAGAGATGAGGTTTCACCATGTTGGGCAGACTGGTCTCGAATTCCTGACCTCAGGCGATCCACCTGCCTTGGCCTACCAAAGTGCTGGGATTACAGGTGTGAGCCACCACGCCTGGCCTTGTTCTGATTCTATGATTCTAAGCCACTGGCCATCCTTATTGCTGATTATTTAAGGGCTACAATATTAATTCCATAGGTCTTGGGATTTAAGTCATTGTTCGATAGATTGGACTGCCTTTGGGTCTACAGCTCCCTGGGAAAATTCAACACTAAACCACGAATTTGTTCTGGACTCAGAACTGAGGGAGTCTTCAGAGAACTTGGCAGAGAGGTTTTTCCAGAATGTAGCTCATTCTCCTGGGGCCGTTGTTGACAGACCTCTCTCAGCCCAGCCAGTTCTAGGCCAAACAGGGTCTTGCCAGGGCCAACCTAGCTTTAATAATCATACTAGAGTGAACTACCACCTATTTGCCTGGAGTCAAACCGGAGGAGGCAGTGGTTCCTCTTGCCACCTGTCCCCTTGTAACCAAGTCTGTTTACCCCAATTGTATACTTTTAACTTTTCCACATGGGAAAATAAAATTCTAAATAGTGGTTTTAAAAGAAGTCCCTGAACCAGGCAAGATATTATCCAGTAAGAGTTTTCCCAGCTTCTTGAGAAGATTTGGATATTCGACAGTCAGAAGAATCTTAACCGTGTGAGCGTGCGTATGTGTGTATGTGTGTGTGTGTGTATGTGTATGTGTAGAGACATGCTACTGGCTCACGGGAGGCTGGGTAATATCAGTGGCACAATAAGAGAAACAGGCAGGGAGGAATCTTTGTGAAAAGAGAATTCTTACAAATTTCTATGCTTATCCTGAAGGGATATTTTACTAGAGCTCTGGTTTTCATATCCACCCCTTTCTGCATATGCTGGTATCGTACTACGGTCAGTGTGTATTTGACTAACCTCTATACACCATTTCTTAAGAGTCATTTAGAATTTGCTGCACTCTCAGCTCAAGAAATATTAATGACTGTATATTGATTGACAGAATGCAAAGAAAGATCTTTGCACGTGCCAGGCCTAACCAAAGGCACTTCTGTAAATCATATGGTAAGCTCTTACCTCTACCTGATGGCCAGAGGTATTTTACAGAATCAAAAATTCCTGTTTGATCTCATTAGCTTTAGTAGTACAGTGATTTTTTATTAGTACCTGTCTGAGAACCTTAGGTGTAACTACAGAAGTCTCAAGTTTGCTGTTAATAGTCTTATCTGCTTAAAAGTAATTTAGATAATTGTCAGGCAGAATGGTTGGCACTATTTAAAATGATTCTGGTTTTAGCCCTTCTTCCTTAATAGTGGTGACAGTAAATGCAAATTTGATTTGAGCATATGAAAGCCCACCATGAGTTCTTTACATAGGAAATCTACCCTTCTATCTACTGTCTACCTTGTATTTGGGGACTGATTTCTTTTTGTCTTGGTCGAAATAAGGGAATACGTTTCTTAAAAGAGTGAATTCAATGGCAAAGCAACGTATTTTAATGCAGAGGATTTGGAGAGACTCCAGAGGGGAGCAATGAAAATGATTAAACTGAAGGCTGGCAAATAGGACCTCTGAGAAAAGGTTAAGGGGATTGGAATTATTTAATCTAGAAAGAGAAGATGGAGGAATAACTCAATAACTCTCAAAGAATGAAGGCTTATTATGTAAAAAATGGTGAACAACTGTTCTCTCCTCCTTCTGGGGTCTAGAATAAGAGAAAATGGAGACATATTGATTCTCAATGAATTGAACACACTTACACATCATGTGAATTCTTCAGAGGACTGAGAACTGAATGTAGTAGTTGCCAGCAATGTGGTGAGGGCCTCTCTTTTAGTGATCTTTAAGAATATAGGAGGTAGGCTGGTTGTGGTGGCTTACACCTGTAATCCCAGCACTTTAGGAGGCTGAGGCAGGAGGATCACTTGAGCCCAGGAGTTTGAGACCAGCCTGGGCAACATAGTGAGACCTTGTCTCTACCAAAAACAGAAAGCCAGGAGTGGTGGTGTGCACCTGTTGTCCCAGATACTGGGGAGGCTGACTGTGGAGAATTGCTTGAGCCCAGGAGGTCGAGGCTGCAGTGAGCTAAGGTTGTGTCAGTGCACTCCAGCCTGGGCAATACAGGGAGCCCCTGAATCGAGAGAGAGAGAGAATGAATATGAATGAAAGAAAGAGAGAATATGAATGAAAGAATGTGAATGAAAGAATGAAAGAGAATGAGAGAGAATATCGGTCTTATCTGTCAGGTATGGTTTAAGTTGTCAGATCCTTGAAGACAGGAACTGAAGGTTTGTTATTTCTTATGGTCCAGGTCTACTACTGTGTCTGACAAATATTAGGAAAGTATAAATTTGTTTAACTGAATGAAATAGTATAAACTAATTATATATTGGAAGTGAACTTATTTTCTGAACTTAGGAATCAGGCTTTATATATCAAGCCTAGTGTTAGTATTAAATATATAGGAGTATTTGATAATGAATGAAAACACATGGTGATAATTTCTTGAACATTTACTTCAAGCCAGGAATTTGTCTCGTTTAATTATTACAACAAACCACATAAAAAGTGCATGTTCTTATCTTCAGGACACTGAACCTCACAGATAAAAAGTAACTTGCCAGAAATCACACATCCAGGAAATGGCATCAATGGGATATGAATTCATATCTCTCTGAAATAGAGGATGCTTCTAATAGCCCAGGAAAAGAGACAGGTAGCTAGGAGTGCATTACTGTATTCCTTTGCCCGGATCCTGAGCTTCTGATCAGAATTTAGAAGTCTAGTTGGTTTTTGTGTTTGCATACTGAGGCAAGAAATTTGATGTGGCTAGAAACAAGTGAGATTGTTTTTCTATAGGTCTTTATCAGGTTTACTGGTTTTATATTGTGTATTTATATAGTCTTCAGAAAACATAATTTATTTTAAAACTAAAGGAAATTTCTCTTGGAGAAGATGCTTGGGCAGTTAGACTTCCCTTTTGACAGCAGTGAAGTTCTCACTGCTGCTGGACATAGACCAACCAAAAAGCAGAATTAAAGTGGCCCATAACTCAGGAGACCTGGGAGGTTCTATGACTTATCAGCTCAAGTGCTCTGTAACCCCCACACAAATGGGGGCCTAAGTGGTCTAGTCTCAGGATTCATATTTGTGAAAATGTGATAAAATTGGAGATGGAATCTTTTACTGGGAGTTGGAGCTAGGAGCAAAGAGGAAAAGGTAGGAAAATTCACACATGAAAACTTTTTTTTTTTAAATGAAACACCTAAGTAATTTTCCCTGCCGGGCATGGTGGCTCACGCCTGTAATCCCAGCACTTTAGGAGGTCAAGGTGGGTGGATTGCTTGAGCTGGAGTTTGAGACCAGCCTGGGCAACATGGCAAAACCCCATCACTATGAAAAATGCAAAGAATTAGCTGGGCATGGTGGTGCACCCCTGCAGTCCCAGCTACTTGGGAGGCTGAGGCAGAAGGATCTCTTGAGCCCAGGAAGTTGAGGCTACAGTGAATTAAGATCACGCCATGGCATTCCAGCTTGGGTGACAAAGTGAGACCCTATCTCGAATAATAATAATTTTCCACATTCTGTTTTTCTTTGAGCACATATTTTGCACATCTATAAAATGAAAACTGGTTGGTAAACATTTTTCCACAGTAGGAATCATTCAAAAGAAATCTTACAAGGAAGAACAATATGAGAAATATATAACAGCAGAGTTGCTCTGGTGAGGTGGCTGTGGAGAGCCCAGGGCTCTATCCTTTCAGCCCCTTTTTATTCCATCTTCTCACCTCAACCTCCTCAAGATAGACCATAAAGCACCTTCCAGTGTATCTAGTAATCAGAGAAAAAGCATTTAAAATGATCTTTTCCAGTTTCAATCATCCAGGATTCTACAAAACCAGCAGAAAATTGAAGGGTCTCTGTCATATTTGTGGTATTAAGAGCTGAGCAGTTTTTTTTTCCTGGTAAGCCCTGAAATTTCCCCATAAAAAGGTGCATAAAAATTGGATGGAAAAGGAAGTTGATAGCCACCCTGGTTACACCTCTTCCAGTCTGTGTTTACTTACGATGTTAAGCATTAAACATCACATGATTGCATTAAGGGGAGTAAATATATAACCTGAAGTAAGTGCTCTAAAGGAGAGGATCACAGAGCTGTGGAAGGTTGTAGCAGAGAGCCTGACCTAGACTATGGAAAGGCTGGGTGTGTGTCGGGGTGCAGATGAGGAGCCATTGAGTGGCTGTAGAAGGCTAATGGGGTTGAAGTGATGAGTGAGGCATAACATGATGATGTCAGTGAAGTGGCCAGGAAGACAAGTTGGGACAGTTATGTACTGGAGCTGGTGCCTCATATTGGCTTGCGAGAGCAAATAGTTAACTCTTCAGGAATCTTATAACGTCATTGACACTATTTTGATAGCTTGAAACTGGCCATGGTGGGTGTTTTTATGTCACCCAAATCAGAAAATGCTAAAATTAGGGTTTCTTCCTCTAGCCAATTGTTAAATACTTTTGGACACATCCACTAGACTGGGGGCCTTGTTGGCCATGATAAAGCATTGGGAAGTCACTGAAGGATTTTATGTAGGGGTGTGTGTGTGTGTGTCTGTGTGTGTGTGTTACCATGAAATACAGACATTGATTTCATTAACTGCACCATGGTTGCTATATGATTGGTCCACAGAGCACTCATGGATGAAATAGACAGGAGCTGCCTTGATGGATGCAGGGCTCTTAAGATTGCAGACAAAGACTAGAGCCCTCACAGGCCCTGGAACTGTGTGATGGTAATGAAAACACATTCCTTTCTCCTTTGCTTTGAGGCATTGGAAGTATCTACTGAAATGCTGGAGTAATATCAAATTAGTGTCAGCAATTAGCACATTGCCTTGAATTAGTTTATGAGATTATCCTTTATAAAGAGTAAAGTCCTAAGGGAAAAGCCCCTAGAAAAAATGTGCAGTTTGATCTGGGGGAGGGAGAAGAAAAGGGCTGGAGGGTGGAGGTAATTTCTAGGAGGACAACACAGTTGGGGTCCCTTAGGAGACCAGGGTCACATGCAATAGGATTAAGATACCAGGCTGTTGGGAGAAGAGGAGGATCCTATCTATTAAGCAACAAAACCAACCCTGGATAATTTAAGCAGAAAATACACTTATTAAAGGAAGTTGTAGCCACAGAATATTCAGAATAGCCAAGACAACCAAGCCTGGAGGCAACATAATCACCTGTTGTGAAAGGGACCACATGGGAGGTAATCAAATCATGGGAATGGGTCTTTCCTGTGCTGTTCTTGTGATAGTGAATAAGTCTCATGGGATCTCATGGTTTTAAAAAAGGGAGTTCCCCTACACAAGCTCTCTTGCTGGCTGCCATGTAAAATGTGACTTTGCTCCTCTTTCACCTTCTGCCATGATTGTGAGGCCTCCCCAGCCATGTGGAACTGTGAATCCATTAAACCTCTTTCCTTTTTACATTACCTAGTCTCGGGTATGTCTTTATTAGCAGTGTGAGAACAGACTAATACATAATAATATAAATACTCATTCCAAACAAGACTTCTAGAAGCAGTAGTGATGTGGCAATGAATAAGAGTTTTTGCCTTCAGGGAGTTGACATTTAAATGGGGTAAATCAGGCAAAATGCACAAAAACAAATTAACAGGACCATTTCAAGTCATGGAGGAGATAAAAATGACACATAGTCAAGGTCCTAGATCCAGAGTGGGAAACTAATGTTTATAGAACATATTCACTATATTGCTAAAAAGTGGTTATCATGATCTCCTTTCACAGGTGAGGAAAGTAAAGCTCAGAGAAATTAAGGGACTTGTTAAAGGGCAGAGAACTAAACAATAAGAGAGTTTAAATTTCAGCCCTCACATTCCGTTTCCTCGGTTGAGTACTTCAGAGAATTTATGTGCTAATATTTACTTCATAATCATATATTTTCCTATTCCTGACTCCCCAGTTTTCTCTTGTAGGAAGCTCATACAAAATCCAGACTTAGTTGATAACATGCAATTTTGTTAACACTTTGAAGATTCTTTTCAAGAGCTTTTTATACATGGCCTTATTTTCTCCTCATGAGTATTATTTTTTCTGTTTTACAGGTGAGACAATAAAACATAGAAATGTCAAGTGGCTTTCTCAGAGTCACACAGTTAATAAGTGCGTGGGGTGGGATACAGCACCATTTTTTTCTGTGCTCCATCCCAGAAGTCCATCTTTCTGTGAGTTAGAACTACTTTTCATTTCCTCCAAGTTTTGATAGCACCTGGGATGATGCTGCTGTAGCAGAGGTAAAAGGCTATGATGTTTTAATTATCTCTCTCTCTCTCTCTCTCTGTGTGTGTGTGTGTGTGTGTGTGTGTGTGTGTGTGTGTGTGTGTGTGTATGTGGATGAAGGGGTGAATGGATGATAGGGGAAAGTCCAGCTACAAAATCCCCATGTGGGGCAGAGAAACAGCCTCTCGAGTAGCTCTATTCAATCTCTTCTCTAAACTGCAAAGCAAGATTTGCTCCTGTGAAGCACATATGGCCAGGAAGGCAATGTGGTTCTAGCAATTATCTTGGAAGGCAGCCAGGTTGTTACAGAGATCTGATCTTTCAGTACTAGATACCCTGCTCTGTTGTTTGTCGACCCAGATCCTTTTTAAAGCTGAGACTCCTACTTCCCAGAGACTAGGAAAGCCAGGCTGGTCAGGACCACTTTATTGATCTTTTATGATTTTAAATCCTCCTTGGAAACAACTTCATATTGCCTAATGCTCCTCTTTTGAGTATAGCAATTTTTGGCCTTGATTTGAAAATTTATTATTGACACTTAGTGTCTTTTAGAAATTGGCTGTAAATGATCTTTCTGATGCATAAATGAGGCAGGTTCCTATTGTGTAAAGCCATAAACATCCTATATTTATTTGGCAGAGCATCTAAATCATTGTTTCAGCTAATAGTAGGCTTGTAGGCCTTAGTCTGTGGGGTTGAATTGAGTTGGATTATGCCCTTTCTCTTCAATGATTTTAATTCTCTGCTTGGTGCAGTCTGATAGATGCTATTGTGCTATGAAAAATCAAATAGGATTTCTGATCAGGTGTAGCCATTTTCATCTATTAAAATATTAGAAAAAATGTTTCTAAAAACCAGTCATTAGAGCTGATTGCAGTTAAAATTGTACTAAGTGCCTTAAACCTTCTAGTATCATGCTCTGATGCCCTTTTGGTGCCTGGGAAGAGCGTGGTGATGAGATTGCTATTGCTGGAGGGAGCTTCCAGACCAAAGAGTAGAGGGCCTCTATCTGATTTTACTCACTCATCCCTGTGTTACTTCCAAACCCTTTTTATTAGACCTAAAAACAAACAGCTTCCTTAGATTAAGGTGGCAAGATGCAGGAAATATTGTTTTCTCTAAGGCTGCCTTAAAGGTGCCTGTTAATCATTTTATTTGAAAATTCAGTATTGCTGAACTCCCACACAAATTTCAGTCTGAGAGCTCTAGAGAGTTTTCTGGCCCTTAAGTATGTAAGATTTATAGCCTGGTGTTCCAATTAAGTAAAATGCAAGGGCTGGCGTGAAGAGAGGAAGGACGTGGTCAAGCTGCACAATAGAAGTAAAGGTTGGCTGCTCTTTTCCTAATTTCAGGAAAATTCGCAGGCTCTGAGAACCTGGCATAGTTCGGGTCCTACGTTTGCCAGCTGTAGCTGTCTAGTCTCACATTCAGGAGGATGTTTGTGGTCAGAAAATGGTTTGATTTGCTGTGTTATAAAACATTTAATCTGCTTAGTTTTTGCTTTGAATGATGGAATAATCTCTCAGCCAAACTTCCCAAGCTGAAACAAGACTAACCCCACCTTGTTAGATCTTTTAATGATTTTCAAATCACTGTCCTATTTCTTCTCAGCAATCCTAAAAGTAGGTTGTATCGTTCCTGTAACACCCATTTTACAGCTGAGAACACTGTGGTTCAAAGAGATAGGAGTAAAAGGATAAAATTAGGACCCTGGAGCCAGACTGTCCACGTTTCAGTTCTACTCCTACCATTTACTGGCTGCATGAACCCAATGTCAGCAGTCAAAAAGTGGGAATAATAATAAAGTGATAAGAGAACGTACTTTACAGTTTCCTTCCTTTTTGAAGGAACAAATGAATTCACATATGCAAAGCACTTAGAACAGTTCCTGTCACACAGTAGGGCACAAAAAAATGTTAAGTTGTTGCTATTTATGATTCTACTTATTGTTATTACCTGAGTTACAGTCTGTACTACTTTATAGAATCCAGGTCCTTTGATTTCTAATGTTTATTAAAAAAATGTCAAGACATCAATGAAGAAATTAATCTTGTTCATGTCATGAATAGTTTTTGCACAGTGAGAGGGCATATAGCAGTGAAATCTTTTCTATGTGGATTTTCTGTCTGCAAGAAGCAGGACGAATGAAAACATCTGAATAGACAGCACATCATTAGGTAGGGTCAGGGGAGGTATATTAGTCTGTTTCAGTTGTTGACTGAGGAGGGAGTCATTAAGAAAATGAAAATGGTTTGCTGTGATTGCTAATGGTAAGTGCTTTCATTGGTTGAAAATAAAGGGCCCAGATGTGATGGGAGAAAGTCTAAGTTAAGGGATAACAAAGAGGTTGCAAGCTCAATAAAAGAGTAGGCAAAGATATTTATCTAAATATCTATCTTTCAATCTATTTATGTAGAGTGGTTTTTGAAGTTTTTTTTCTTATTGCTTAAAAAACTGAGAAAAAATGTGAATGCCTGCCAGTCACAGAAATACTGAATTATGGTACCCTTCTCCATGGACTCTTCTGCAGTCACTAGAAAGAATGAAGTACAACTTCCAGCTGACTTGCAGGGATTTCCATGAGTTATTGTTGAATAAGAAAGTGATTATGCAGATAAGTGGGTATAATAGGATCCTATTTTAGTAAAACAAATGTAGACAAACTTTGGTGCATATTTGTATAGGATTATATGAGGATGGAAGGAAAACAAAGAAGCTAAAGAAGCATGAATACCAATGTTGGTAACACTGTCTTGCTAGGGAAAGGGGCTACTGATGAGGGAGGAGATGTGTAGGATAAAGGGGCAGCAGAAAAAACAAATTAAAAACTGCACCAAAATAGGGCATCATGACATATATTTGGTTTGGGGCATAAAAATAAAGAAATTCTGATATTGGCATGCATTTTTAAATCAATGCATACATTTAATGTTGTAGTGCTTCCTTTCTTTCCTTACAATCTATTATTAAAATGATAATGTATTTGGCAACCAGGCACATCTTAGAAGAGGAAATGTGCTGAAAGTCACAGGAAGGCCAAACAAAGCCTTCAATACTCCCCGTTTCTTTGACAATAAAGTTCTAGTGCTGTGCTGCCTATTCAGTAGCCACTACCATGCGTAGCTGTGGAGAATTTGAAATGTGGCCCGTCTAACCTGAGATGTGCTGGAAATATAAAAAAAAACATCAATTTTTGTACCAGTACCATGCTGTTTTGGTTACTGTTGCCTTGTAGTATAGTTTGAAGTCCAGCAGTGTGATGCCTCCAGCTTTGTTCTTTTTGTTTAGGATTGTCTTCCCTATATGAGCTCTTTTATGATTCCATATGAATTTTAAAATAGTTTCTTCTAATTCTGTGAAGCATGTTAATGGTTGTTTAATGGGTATAGCATTGAATCTATAGATTACTTTAGGTAGTATGGCCATTTTCACAATATTGATTCTTCCTATCCATGGGCATGGAATGTTTTCTCATTTGTTTGTGTCCTCTCTGATTTCTCTGAGGAGTATTTTGTGGTTCTCCTTCAAGAGATCCTTCACTTCCCTTGTTAGCTGTATTTCTAGGTATTTTATTCTCGTTGTGGCAATTGTGAATGGGAGTTCATTCATGATTTGGCTCTCTGCTTGTCTGTTGTTGGTGTATAGGAATGCCTGTGACTTCTACACGTTGATTTTAGTTGTTCATCAGCTTAAGCTTTTGGGCTGAGACAGTGGGGTTTTCTTAGATATAGGATCATGTCATCAGTGAACAAAGACAATTTGACTTCCTCTCTTGCTATTTGAATACACTTTATTTCTTTCTCTTGTCAGAGTTCCCTGGCCAGAACTTCTAATACTATCTTAAATAGGAGTGGTGGGAGAGGTCATCCTTGTCTTGTACTGGTTTTCAAGGGGAGTGCTTCCAGCTTTTGCCCATTTAGTGTAATATTGGCTGTGGGTTTGTCATAAATGGCTTTTATTATTTTGAGGTATGTTCCTTCAATACCTGGTTTATTGAGATTTTTAACATGAAGGGATGTTAATGGAACAGATTAGAGAACTCAGAAATAAGGCTTCACATTTAGAACCACTTGATTTTTTTTTTTTTTTTTTTTTTTTTTTTTTTTTTTGAGACGGAGTCTTGCTGTGTCACCCAGGCTGGAGTGCAGTGGCAGGATCTCGGCTCATTGCAAGCTCTGCCTCCTGGGTTCATGCCATTCTCCTGCCTCAGCCTCCTGAGTAGCTGGGAATACAGGCACCTGCCACCATACCTGGCTAATTTTTTGTATTTTTAGTAGAGATGGGGTTTCACCGTGTTAGCCAGGATGGTCTTGATCTCCTGACCTCGTGATCCACCTGCCTCAGCCTCCCAAAGTGCTGGGATTACAGGCGTGCACCACCGCACCCGGCCTACAACCACTTGATCTTTTACAAACCTTACAAAAACAAGTAATGGGGAAAGGATTCCATATTTAATAAATGGTGCTGAGAGAATTGGCTAGCCACATGCAGAAAATTGAAACTGGACCCCTTCCTTACACCTATAGAAAAATTTACTCAAGATGGATTAAAGAATTAAATGTAAAACCCAAAACCATAAAAATCCTAGAAGAAAATATAGGCAACACCATTCAGGATGCAGGCAAGGGAAAGATTTCATGACAAAATAATCAAAAGCAGTTTCAACAAAAGCCAAAATTGACAAATGGGATCTAATTAAATTAAAGATCTTCTGTACAGCAAAACTATCATCAGAGCAAACAGGCAACCTACAGAGTGGAAGAAAATTTTTGCAATCTACTCATTGGACAAAGGTCTAATGTCCAGAATCTACAAGGAACTTAAATTCACCAGAAAAAACAACCCCATTAAAAAGTGGGCAAAGGACGTGAACAGACACTTCTCAAAAGAAGATATGCAGAGAAAAGCTCAACATCACTGATAGTTAAAGAAATGCAAGTCAAAACCACAATGAGATGCCAACCATCTCATGCCAGTCAGAATGGCAATTATTAAAAAGTCAATTATTAAAAAGATGCTGGTGAGATAGGAACAGTTTTACTTCTGTTGGTGGAAATGTAAATAAGTTTGACCACTGTGGAAGACGGTGTGCTGATTCCTCAAAGATCTAGAACCAGAAATACCATTTGGCCCAGCAATCCCATTACTGGGTATATACCCAAATAATGTAAATCATTCTGTTACAAAGATACATGCATGCGTATGTTCATTGCAGCACTATTCACGATAGCAAAGATAGGGAATCAACCTAAATGCCTATCAATGATAGATTGGATAAAGAAAATATGGTACATATACACAATGGAATACTATGCAGCCATTAAATGGAATGACATCACGTCTTTTGCAGGGAGATGGATAGAGCTGGAAGCCATTATCCTCAGCAAACTAACACGGGAACAGAAAACCAAACACTGCATGTTCTCACTTATAAGTGGGAGCTGAACAATGAGAACACATGGAGGGGAACAACACACACTGGGGCCTGTTGGGGGGTGTAGTTGGGGGAGGGAGAGCATCAGAAAAAATAGCTAATAAATACTGGGCTTAATACCTGGGTGATGAGTTGATAGGTGCAGCAAATCATTATGGCATATGTTTACCTATGTAACAAACCTGCATATTCTGCCTGTACATGTACCACAGACCTTTAAAAATTAAAAAAAGAAAAACACATCAGATTTCAAAGACTTAGTGTGCTTTGAACATAAGACAAAAAGAATGTAAAATAGCTCATTAATTTTTTATATCAATTACATGTTGAAAATATTTTTGATATATTAAATTTAGATATATACATAAAATTATATGAAAAATTATATATATAAAATTATATATGTGTGTGTATATATATATATATATATATATATAATTTTTTTTGAGATAAGGTATTACTCTGGTTGCCCGGGTTGAAGTGCTGTGGTGTGATCTTGGCTTACTGCAGCCTTGATCTCCCAGGCTCAGGTGATCCTCCCAGTTCAGCCTCCTGAGTAGCTGGGGCTATAGGCATATGCCACCACACCTGGCTAATTTTTTGTATTTTTAGTAGAGACAAGATTTTGCCATGTTGCTCAGGCAACATGAACTCCTGGATTCGAGCAATTGGCCCATCTCAGCTTCCCAAAGTGCTGAAATTATAGGCATGAACTACCACGCCTGGCCAAATGTGTTCTTAAAATTAATTTTTTCTCTTTATTTTTACTTTTTTAAAAATGTGGCTACTAGACACAAAAAATTACATGTGTGGCTCACATAGTATTTCTACTACATAGCACCAGCCTAGAAGAATTATGGAAGGATGAGATGACAGGTGGCCAAGAGGAAACCAATTTTTGTACAATTTGGCAGGGAGGAATGCCAGGTGTAATGAACAAGGGCATCTCTTTACGATAGGAGTTTTCAAAGGGTGGGTGCTTGATCAACTGCATCCGTATCAGTGGGGATATCTTTGAAGGGCAAATTCTTCAGCCCCATCAAACACCTAATGAATCAGCAACACTGGGTATGGGGCCCAGCAATCTGTCTTTTAACAAACATTCCAGATAAGTCTGATGCAGGCTAAAGTTTGAGAACCACTGCTTTAGAATAAGGCAGTGCCTGGATGAAAACCCTAACATTGGAAACCAGGAAGAGAACATAGTCTGAGTTTTGGAAGAAGTTTCAAAATATATGGAGCTTATCCAAAAGGCAATGAATTCAGCATGCTACAAGAACAGACTTTTAGCAAAGGGTCATTTCTGAGGAGAAATTCTGAGCAAGTACATGGTGGTTAAATGGTTCAATTACTTGCAAGTCTCAGCATCAGCCTTTGAGCTGTCATTATTGTGTTTCTTTGATAAGTGTGATTTTAGCCCACATGACAGCTTGAGAATGAAGGAGACATGTGTGAAACTTGGCATTCGGAACCATTTTGGGTGCTTTAATGACCTCACTTACTGAAAAACAAGCCAGTTATCACTGGACAGAAAATAGTATATATTTATCTTTGGGATTGAAACAGGTTAAAAAAATAGTGTTACTCAGTTTTGTCCAGCTTTCATATAAAACATAAAATTTAAGCAACAAACCTTCTACTTCTGACGATTAATTTAGTATCATCTTTGAAAACTGCCTAGTTCCTTGATGAAAAAATTTAAAACCTATTTTCACTTCATTAAAATGATATGCTTGATATGCATAACACACCACAATGGAAGTCATGTTCTCACTCAGGGAAAGGGACATGGGACATGGAGTACACTTGTCAACAAAGTGGAACATTACTACAGACAGACACGCCCACCCACCCACACACCACAACGAAGCAGAAAACTTCCTATTTTTATTCTCTGTGTTCAAAGACACAAAATGCCTTATAACTAAAAAAAGATGAGTAGGTGATTTCATTACTGGAACATACTACCAAAGATGCCCTGCTAACATTTCCATGGTTTTTATAGTAACACATTATTACACATGCCGTTGGTAAATTAAGCAACAAAGTGGCATTTTCTTTAATGCATAAACTAACTGGCTGTAGATAGCTAGCAACTATCAAACAGAAATAATAAGATCAGTATAAATAAGAGTCCACAAAATGTATAATGAGGCTAGTTTGTTTTAAATCATAATAACATGATAATTTAGAATTCTATAAGCAAATATTAACTACTCCCCATGTACCAGCCATTGTTTCAGGCACTGGAAATATAACTTCAACAAGACAAACATATTTCCTTCTTGTATGGATGTGGTATAAATAGATATTAAAAATTAGGCTGGGCTCAGTGGCTCATGCCTATAATCCCAGCACTTTGGGAGGCTGAGGTTGGAGGATGGCTTGAGGCCAGGAATTCAAGACTAGCCTGGGCAACATACTAGACCTTGTCTCTACAATTTTTAAAAAAATTAGCTGGGCATACATCTGTTGTTTTAATTACTTGAGATGCTGAGATGAGAGGATCGCTTAAGCTCAAGGGTTCAAGGCTGCAGTGAGCTGTGATCACACCACTGCACTGCAGCCTGGGCAACAGAGTAAAATCTATCTCAAAAAAAAAAAAATGAAAAAAGAAAAGAATGGGATTAAATTTGTGAAAAATAAAGAGTTCATATACTAAGGGGATTTAATCTAGTGTAGAAGTCCAAGACGGGTGCCTTAAGAAAGTGGTGGGAGAAGGAGGGGCCAGTGAGAGGCATCAGGCAGCAGAGCCCCACAGGAACAGCTTCTATCTGCAGTGGAAGCTCGGGATATGGGAAAGCATTTGCAACAACCCAGGGTAGAGTCAGTGGGAGGGGGCCAAAAGATAAAAGTAGAGACAGATAGGAGCATGTTCTTACTGTTTTTAAAAAACTATAGTTGGTTGCCATTCTAACTGGTGTGAGATGGTTTCTCATTGTGGTTTTGATTTGCATTTCTCTGATGGCCAGTGATGATGAGCATTTTTTCATGTGTTTTTTGGCTGCATAAATGTCTTCTTTTGAGAAGTGTCTGTTCATGTCCTTCGCCCACTTTGTGATGGGGTTGTTTGTTTTTTTCTTGTAAATTTGCTTGAGTTCATTGTAGATTCTGGATATTAGCCCTTTGTCAGATGAGTAGGTTGTGAAAATTTTCTCCCATTTTGTAGGTTGCCTGTTCACTCTGATGGGGTGGGGGGAGGGGGGAGGGATAGCATTGGGAGATATACCTAATGCTAGATGACGAGTTAGTGGGTGCAGTGCACCAGCATGGCACATGTATACATATGTAAGTAACCTGCACAATGTGCACATGTACCCTAAAACTTAAAGTATAATAAAAAAAATTTAAAAAAAAGAAACACTAGCTAAAGGGAAAATTTTAAAGCATAAATTTAAAAAAAAAAAACAAAACTATAGTTGGTACTTGTATTGCATCTAAGGTGCAATTGCAACCACGACATAACCAATTTACTTTTTACATAGATGACGCTGGTTTTAATGTGGATAATGAGTTGTTGCAGAGGCAGGGGCTGTGTTGCTAGAAGTAGAATAATTGAATCAATTTTTACACTAGTCCAGGCAAAGATAATTGTGGGTGGTGGCCATGAAGAAGGGAGAGAAGTGAATGGGTGTGAGCAATATTTAGGCAATAGAGTCAGCATGATTCATGTTGGTGGTAGACTGAATGTGTGGAATAAGGTAGAACATGCTCCTTAAGTTTCTAATTTGAACAAGTGTATGGAATGCTGGAGAAGGGGCAGGATTTGGAGAAAAGAGAATGAGGTCAATGTTAGAAAGTTTGAATTGATATACACATGAATCATCTAAGCAGAGATGAATAGGGGAATAGAATTGACTGAGTTGGGCATAGAGAGGTGGAACCCCTGGAAAATGAATGGTAATTGAATTCAGGGGAGTGAATGAGCATTTGATGTCCTGCAAGAAGAAAGAGGGCCTAGGACGACATTGTCATTTAAGGGAAGACAGATGAGATGGAGCCACCTAAGAAGACAAAAAAGATTTCAAAAAGGAAGGAAAAAAATAGCAATACATGATAGCAGAGAAGCAAAGGAAAGTAAAGGTTTCTGGCAGGACTGTGACAGCAGTGTCAAGTGCAGCTGAGATGGGCGTGGAGATAAGGCAGAGACAAGCTCCTTGGTGACCTTGCTTGACAAGTACAATGTCTGCGGAGTGGTGAAGGCAAAGGCCAGGCTGGGGAAGACTGATGAATGGATGGGAAGTAAAAGCTGCAGAAATAAAAAGAGTTCAGTAGCTGTAAGAGACAGTGCAGAGGGAGGATAGTTAAAATGAGAGAGAAATATCTTTAAATGCTGGTGAGAAATAATCTGGTGGGAGAGAGAGGTTGAATGTAAAAGAGAATGGCTAGGGAGACTAGAGTACCTGAGACAGCAGAAAGGCACGAAATTCTGTGTTGTTAGATGGGACGTGAGGGCCCTCTTCTATAGTAATAGGCACTAGGAGCTGAAATAATTTCTGTCTGATAATTTCTATTTTCTCTGAGCAGTAGGAGGGGCCCTAATCTGCTAAGGGTGAAGAAAAGATGAAAAAAGGAAATGGTTGAGACAGTCACTGGGGAGAATAAAAAGTCTAGCTGACTGGGGACGCCTAATATATTTGTTTGAGTAGGGTTGACAGTCCCAAGAGGAAGACTACTATAATTTGTAGTGGTATCAATTTGGTGGCTTGTGTGGTCTTTCCCATCAGAGCTCAGCAATATTGTGGAAGAGCATCTGATATGGTTTGGCTGTGTCCCTACCCAAATCTCATCTTGAATTGTAGCTCCCATGATTCACATGTGTTGTGGTAGGGAACTGGTGGGAGATAATTTAATCATGGGGGTGGTTTCCCGCAAACTGTTATCATGGTAGTGAATACGTCTCACGAGATTTGATGGCTTTTATAAGGGGAAACCCGTTTAGCTTGGTTTTCATTCTCTCCCCTGCCACCCTGTGAAGAGTTGCCTTCTGCCGTGATTGTGAGGTCTCCCCAGCCATGTGGAACTGTGAGTCCATCAAACCTCTTTTTCTTTATAAATTACCCAGTCTCGGGTATGTCTTTATCAGCAGCATGTAAACGAACTAATACAGCATCTGAGGCAAATAGTCATTATTTAATAGCAGTGTGACCTCAGGCATGTCACTTACTCCCACTCTCTCCCCAACCCCGCACTGTTTCCTTATCTGTGAACAGGGAACAGTAAGAAGACTCCCTGCCCCTGTAGGGTTGCTGTAATTACTAAAGAGTCAATGCACACCATGTGCTGAGGATAGTCAGCACGAAGTGTGCCCTGTACAAGTGTTAGCTATAATTTAGGCTTGAGGTTTTGGCAGGCATTTGGGATGCTAGGAGCAAAGGAGTGGAAGATATTAACAAGAGAGTGGTTGAAATGATAGACTAAGGAGTTAAACTGGAGGAATAAGGAAGTGAGGAGGTTGATTTTAGAAATCACTGGATTATTTTGTATTTACTGGAAGTCCTCCTGGTATGGATTCCTCGCCTCAGATTGTAGTATGCTAGATTTGCTAACAGAATTAGCGTGTGCATAAAAAATGAATAACATTACCGAGCTCTGTTACCTAACTCCTACTCTGGCTGTGGCACCCAACTCATAAGGAATTTACATCAAAAGATATTATATTGTTGTAGGGTATTTTTTCGGGTGGGGGTAACTCTAGCTTGAAGTAGTTCCTGTGTGTGACCCTTCATGTTTCTAGATTCTCATGAAATAGGAAAGTTCTTAAAAAGAGAAATTATAAGAAGCAATATTAAGGGAATCCCTCAAGTTAAGACAATTTTGTTTTAAGGCTGTAAATTTGCCAACTGTTTGTGTTTTTCTCCTTGAAGTCCATAATGCAATTTAAGCCAGAAAAACAATCAGTTTGGCCTAAGTTTAAATTGCTGCAGAATAAACCTCCAAAACTAAATTTTATTTATTTTTTGAGATGGAGTCTTGCTCTGTCACCCAGGCTGGAGGGCAGTGGCACAGTCTCGGTTCATTGCAACCTCCGTGTCCCAAGTTCAAGTGATTCTCCTGCCTCAGCCCCCTGAGTAGCTGGGATTACAGGCTCATGCCATCATGCCCAGCTAATTTATATTTATTTTTATTTTTAGTAGAGACGGGAGGAACTCTCTGCATTGGTGATCTGCCGAGACTTGATGTGCTCATCTGAGTGTGCTGGTGAACACACTTGGAGGTGCTATTTTGTCTCAGAGAATACATTTTTGTATAGTCATTGAGATCATAGATTGGGACCTTTGCCTTTCATCATAAACATAAATGGGCTTTAGACAACAACATTTATTTCCAAGTAGGAGAATGATTGAGATTTTATATGATGAGAATATTACTGAAGAGCCCATAGAGCTTTCTGAAAATAGGAAAACAGCTTCATACACTAATGAGCAAATAAATAAAGTACAATTATTAGACTAGGGGATGGCCTCCAGGGAGTTTAGAAATCTTAGTTTTTATTCTTGCTTGTGAAAATGAGTTTTACCTGAATTTAGAGGAAACATTTAGAAGTGGGGATGGTAGAGACAACAGCGATCAGGAGAAATGCTGCCACTCTTAGCTCAAAGATATCCCCAAACCTGTTCTCTTCCCAGAAATTGCCAGTTTTAAACTATTAAGAATAGTTAATTATTCATTTATTCAAAAACATGTATTAATGGTTTCATATGTGCCAGAGATAGCAAAATACTGGAAATAAAGTGATAATAAGATGTATTTCCAGCTCTCAATGGCCTTTATTGATGAAAAAGAATCAAACTCTAAAATATTTGAAGGAATTTATTCTGAGCCAAATGTGAGTGACCAAGGCCGAAGGCACAGTCTCAACAGGTCCTGATAACATATGCCCAAGGTGGTTGGATTACAGCTGGATTTTATACATATTAGACGTAGAAGTTACAAGCAGACATCAAATACACAGAAGGTGTACATTTGTTAGGCTGTAAGGGCGGGACAACTTGAAGTCAGAGAAGGGTCTTCCAGGTCATAGGTGGATTCAAAGATTTTCTGATGGCAATTGGTAGAAAGGGTTACACTCTTCCTGAATAGTTAAAATCAGCAGAAAGAAATGTTTGTAGTTAAGATGGGGGCGGGGCTTGTGGAAGCCAAGGTTCTTGTTATGTAGCTAAAACTTCTAGGCTTCAGAAAATAGATGGTAAATGTCTTTTATCAGACATGTGCCAAACTTAGTTAAATGTGTCAAACTTAGTTAAACCTTTCCTGGATCAGGAAAAGGCCAGGAAAGGGAAGGAGGATTCTTCAGAGAATGTAGATTTTCCCCACAAGAGGCAATTTTGCAGGGCCATTTCGAAGTATGTCAAAGAAATATATTTTAAGGTAAAATACAGTTTCTTTCAGGGCCTGCTGTCTGTCATGTCATACTATTCTAGAGTAAGGTTGGAATTTGGTATCTTATTGCTACAAAGAGTCTGTTTTGTCAGTCTTAAGATTTCTCTTTTAATGTGAGTGCTTGTCACTTTTGCCTGAATTTGTTTTGCTTTGTTTTGTTTGTTTGTTTTGTTTTGAGATGGAGTTTTGCTCTTGTTGCCCAGGCTATAGTGCAATGGCGTGATCTTGGCTCACTGCAAACTCTGCCTCCTGGGTTCAAGCGATTCTCCTGCCTCAGCCTCCTGAGTAGCTGGGATTACAGGCATGCACCACCACACCCGGCTAATTTTGTATTTTTAGTGGAGATGGGGTTTCTCCATGTTATTCAGGCCGGTCTTGAACTCCTGACTTCAGGTGATCCACCCGCCTCGGCCCCCAAAGTGCTGGGATTACAGGCAAGGCATGTCTGGCCCCCCAAAACACCTGTCTTTCTCATCACGGCCTGAACTAGTTTTTCAGGCTTACTTTGGAATATTCTTGGCTGAGAAGGGGGTTCATTCAGTCAATTGAGGGGCTTAGAATTTTATTTTTGGTTGACACCGTACACTGTAGCAAACAGTGAGGCAAATACAAAGTTAGAAATAGGGTGTTACAGAAGAATGTACAGGGGACTTAACTGAACTGAGGAAGAGGTAGGCTTCCTAGAGGATATAAAGACTGAGTGGAGACTTGTGGGGTGAAAAGGAACTATTTTGGTAAAGACTCAGGATGGTAGTGGTGAGTGCAGAAAGAGTCCAAGATGAGTTAGTGGCCTGGGCAAAGATGGGCTTGTGGTCTATTGGAGGGATAAATGTGAGCAATTCTATGTACCTGGGATCTTAGGGTGCCAGCAGGAGTCTTGGGAATTGAGGCTGGAGGAAAAGGAGAGGCTGTGGCCAGGTTCTACAGACCTTTAAGCACTGGAGAGATGCTGCAGATTTTTTGTATCATGTTTGTGCTGTAAACCAAAAATGAAATTCTAAGCCTCTCAGCCAACTGATGGACCTTCCCCTTGGCCAAGGGCATTCCAAAGTTAACCTGAAAAACTAGTTCAGGCTGTGATGGGAAGTGGGGAGTCTAGACATGCCTCATTTTACTCTCCTACCTTTTGGAATCCAGGCACAGCTGACCAGCATTAACATCAATATAGAGACATTAAGACTGAATAAAACATGTTCTTTAAGTCTGATCAAAATAAAACAAAAAACATTTACAATCTATTCTCTCTGAAGCCTGCTACCTGGAGGCTTCACCTGTATGATAAAACCTTGGTCTCCATAACCCCTTATCTTAACCCAGACACTCCAGGTCTTTAGATAAGAACTCTTTCAACCAACTGCCAATCAGAAAATCTTTGAATCTGCCTATGACCGGGAAGCCCCCACTTCCAGTTGTCCCACCTTTCTGGACCAAACCCATGTACATCTTACATGTGTTGATTAACGTCTTATGTATCTCTAAAATATATAAAATCGAGCTGTAGCCTGATCACTTTGGGCACATGATCCCCTGGGGCTGTGTCATAGGCCATCAGTCACTCATATTTGGCTCAGAATAAATCTCTTCAAATATCTTACAGAGTTCGACTGTTACTGTCAACAATGGCATTAGCCAGATCACTTCTGTTGCTCTGTGGGGTGGGGATAGAAGGCACCCAGACTAGAGGGAGCAAGAGCAGCAACTGCTTTTGGAAAGGGATGGGGAAGGACCACGTTGAACTAGTGGCAGTAAGAATGGAGAAGAGGGGATGGGCTGGGGAGACACTGAAAGGAGTAGAGTTGATAGAATGTGGATACACAAGAGGTATGGAAGAGGAAGGAAATAAGATGGTGCCCATGTTTCTTGCTTATGTGCTCAATAGCAGGTGATATCTTTTGAGAAGAGAAATATAAAAGAGGAAAGCTTAGGAGAAAAGTCTAGAGTTTAGTTATAGAGATAGTGCATTTTAAATGTCTTTGGCTTACAAGTGGAAAGCTTAAATTAAGCAGTCGAATATGAGGGTTGAGATCTCAAGGGAAATATTTGCTCTTGAGGCATCATTTTAGAAGTCTTCAAGAGAAATATAGTGATTGAATTCATGAAAGTGGATTCCTATGAAGAGAGAGAATATATAATAGGAAGATGACTAAGGAAGGAATCCCAAGGAACTAACATTTAAGTCGTGAGTAGAGAAATAGAACCCTGGGAAGGGAGCTGTGAATTAATGATTACAGAAATAGGAGTAGGATGATATAACACAAGTCAGAGAAGAAGAAGCTTGTAAGGTTTTAATAAGGTGTCCAATACTACTAGAATGTTGAATAGACCAAGGTTGGGAAGCATCCATTGAGTTTATCATCCAGCAGGTCCTGAATGGCATTGTGAGAGCAATTCCTATGTCATTGTGGGGATAAAATTGGACCTCTATTGTTTTGAAAGTGAGATGTGGGGAAAAAAAAAGCATGTTGATTACACAGTCAGGAAGGCTCAGTTTGAAGAGAAGGTGAGATGCAGGGCTAAGTAACCAGAGGTAGGACTTACTGGTTTGGTATTTATTCATTCAGTCAACTTCTAAGGCCTATTTTTCTTTCTTTAAAGATCAGGGCCATGTGTTTATCAATATGCTGAAAGGAAAAAGCCAGTAGTGAGGAAAGGTTGCAGGTTAGGAAAAGAAGTTCTGAGTGTTCATGTAGAAAATGAGTTCCAGGAACTGTGAATCACAGCGAAGCTGATCTCCGGACCAGCAGCAGTAGCCTTCCAAGAGAGCTTGTTAGAAATGAGCAACATCAGGCCTTAAACACTAAACCACAATATGTTTTTCAAAAGGAAGAAAAATTCTTTTGCAATACAAAGATAAGGATGGGGACAGGTAAGTTTCTTGATGTTGGCAATGAAGGAGTTAAAATGATGCTATTTCATTTTACTGTGAAGGAAAGACATCGTCTGCTGGGGGTGAGTGCATGCAGTTAGAGTCAGCTCTTGAGGTCTGCATGGGTATCACTGACAGCTTGGCTGGGAGAAATACCCTGGCTTCTATTGTGGTATGAAGAGGAATATTTGTGTGGGTGCCTCTCAACAGCCAAAGGCTGGTATTGGAGGAGGCAGACATTTAGATTGATGCGGGTTTGGGATTTTGCTAGGCAAGTGGGAATCATCAAGAAAGAGGGTGGATTAATGAACTGCAGGTTTTAAGTTGGAAAGAGAAGTCAATAAAAATCACTAAGAGCTGATAGATTGGAATGAAATGGGAGTCAATCATAGTCATTAACAGAAATGAGAAATATTACACTGCCAGCAACAGTGGATGCTTGTCCAAAAAGAGCGATTATTTCTCTCTGAGTAATTTTTTGTTTGTATGCTTTGCAAATAATTTGTCTAAAGCATTCACTATTTTCTTCCTTCCCCTAGTCACTGATTATAAAATCTGAGACTGCTCCAGGCACTGAAACTGCCCACCAGCATAGTGTCTGTGGTACTAAATTTATTACAGCTCAAGGTGCTTAAAATACGAATAAGAAGATTTGTAAAATTTGACTGAGACCTTTAAAAGATCAGAACGATATTCTTTCCTATCTTGAATGTCCTTTATATTTTCTTCCTATTTACAGAATTTATACTTGCAGCATGTTATGAATGCTACACTGATTCTCCCCTGAAAAATACTTTCTCTGACCTTCGAACCTCAAAGCACTTAGTTCTTCCCTTATGATATCATTTAACTATCTTTTTCTTTTAAAACATAGTTCAACAGTTTTATTCCTTCCAAGAGACTGTAACATCTTGAATAGAAGGAGCTGTTCTGCTAATTTTTGTTGCAGTGCTGGGCAAAGAGGAAGTTGTGTAGCTGAGTCATAGGGTTCATAAATGGAACTAGAGGCCCAGAAAGATGGAGTGCTGAAGAGAGGGCTGGTGAAGATTACAAAAGGCCTTTTGTAGCAAAATTAGTTGTTTAAATGTTAACCTCTAAGAAATGGGGAGCCACTGAAAAGTTTGAGGTAGGAAAGTGACATGACACTAACATTTCTGAACGTGCGCTCTGTTCAGAATGTAAAGGACTGAACAAAATGAGCAGGATCAAAAACCAGAATGTGAGTTACAAAGCTATTGTGATTGTCCAGGCAAGAGACAAGAGTCTGAAATAAGGCATATATTTATATATAAACAGGAAAAAATCTTCGTTTAGTACATTGTAGGATTTAATGACATTGGATATAGAAAATGAGGCAGGGGAAGACACTTCTAGCTCATTCCTAGTTTCTGAATGGGGTGATGGGTAATGTCACTCCCTGAGACGGAGAAAACAAAACAGGTTCAAGGAAGAGGAAGCAGAAAGAGATGATATGTGGCAGGTGGGGAGTGATGAGTTCAATTTTAGACATTTAAAAATATTTGATTTTTGGTAATAAGTGTTGGATACATTAGAAATAAAAGAATGAATAAATAATAAATGAATATTGAGACTGTTTTGAAGTTTAAGAAAGAGCCAAGGTTGAAATGGAAACATATTATTAAGAATGTTTATATTTCTTTTCCCAAATGGAACTTATTAACCACTCCTATGGCCGAGTCTGTTGTATGGAAGCAAAACATGTGGTTGAAATTCCACTGACCTTTAGAATATACCCAAGTTTTCATATGATGTTCATTTTCATTCCAAATGGCACAGCACAGCCCTAGGGATTGTTCTTTCTGGAGCATTTGAGCAATAAAGGGAATTTGTGCAGCACTTGCATTTCACATGCGGGTTTCAAGCCAACTTGATTCTAAACACTGCATTAGCCACTTTAAAAATATTTGCATATCTGGGTTTGTCTCTTTGTACCAGTAAGTTTGCAGAGTGATCCTGAAAGATGCTGGAAGGTAAAATCTTTGATCCAGCTCAGTGTTTATCTCTGAGCCTTAGCAGAGGCACCTAGATAAGGCAATGAAAGGGCATCAAGGCTGTTATGTTTAGGAACAAGAAAGCTGATCCAAGAACAGTATCTTATAATTCTACCCAGATCTCAGTCTTTGATAACATAAATATATGCCTAGGCCAACTTTTTTGTTTTTTGTATTTGTTTTTGTTTTGAGACGGAGTCTCGCTCTGTTGCCAGGCTGGAGTGCAGTGGCACGATCTCGGCTCACTGCAACCTCTGCCTCCCGGGTTCAAATGATTCTCCTGCCTCAGCCTTCTGAGTAGCTGGGATTACAGATGTACACCACCACGCCCGGCTAATTTTTATACTTTCAGTAGAGACATGGTTTCACCATGTTGGCCAGGCTGGTCTAGAACTGCCGACCTTGTGATCCGCCTGTCTTGACGTCCCAAAGTGCTGGGATTACAGTCGTGAGCCACTGCGCCTGGCCTAAGCCAACTTTTTAATATGGTCTGTTTGCAGTAGCATAACTTAATGTTGTCCTGATTGCTTCTTTTCATCTGTGATTCTCTGGTGCTTTAGAGAGGGAAATAATGTCCTAAATTGGTGAAGTTGCTATATTTGTGTCCCCTTTGGTATACATACCTGTGGTAGGCTGAAAAATGGCCTCCTAAGGATGCCCACATCCTAATCCCCACAACCTGTAAATATGTCACCTTACATGGTAAAAGCGAGTGTGCTGACACAATTGAGTGAAGAATTTTGAGATGGAGAAATTAGCATAAATTATCTAGATGGGTCCATTGTAATTACAAGGGTCTAATAAGAGGAGCGCAGGTGGATCAGAGGAAGTGTGGGGAAGAAAGCAAGGAGCTGGAGGGATGAGACAAAACAGTCTTGAGCCGAGTAATGCAGGTGGTCTCTAGGAGCTAGAAAATGAAAGAAAACAGATTTCTTGGAGCCTCCAGAACAAATGCAGCAGTCTTGCCAACTGCTTGGTTTCAGACTTCTGATCCACAGAACTGTACAAAAATAAATGTGTTTTCTTTTAAGTGATTAAGTTTGTGGTAAGTTGTTACAGAAGCAATAAGAAGGTAAAAACTACCCCTTGAATCAACATGTAGATAATGCCGAAGCAGGAAGGATCAGTCTAGATGTAAAGTGGAATTTCCCAATTAATTTTAAAGGAACTTCAAACTGTGTATTGACTACAAATGCTGCTATTAGTGCTCTTAAAAAGAATCTCTGGAAGGCTAAGAGCTTGGTCTAGCCTAAACATGAGTTAAAATAGTTGGCCACCAAAAGCAAGCTATTATCACAGCAGCCCCTTGACAAATTGTCTGTTAACAACTTGGTTGGATTTGACTAAAGCATTTGTGGTCTACCTTTAGCTGCTTTATGTATACTAAAACATCAAGGATGCTTCCATGCTCTCAGAATGGTACCTCAATCCACTGGACTTGGTTGAGTTCCCTGCTTAGCTTTCAATTTGTAGGCAGTGTTTTAGAGTATTTATATCATGCAGGGAAAACATGGACATTTATTTATGAATTGTAAGTCCTGGCTTGCACTGTTTATATTCAGAAATCAAAAGTACATCATCTCTGCCAACATGCATTTTTTTTAAATGCCCACGCAGATCCTAGAGAATACTGGCACAAAATTTTTTTAAATTGTGTAAATGTTTTAAGCCTGTAAATTGCATGCCTTGTGTTGTCAAGCAGTGACGGAACACCCATAATACAGGAGAGATGCTGAGCTACATGGCTCAGAACTAACAAGTAGTACACTAGCAATTGCTTTGGTAGTGTACTACTGGCAAAGAGCCTCAGAGAAGAAAGTGTCCATGAGTCATATGATTTTTGGAGGTTTAATGACAACCCGAGAATTATACTGGCATTAGCCTCCAAATTGAGAAGACACCGGAAGAAGGCAGAATTCACATTAGCTTGCATGACTCAGTGTGAAACCTAAATTATGAAAGCATCTGGAAGAAGAAATAAAAACTCTAATGCATACAGTTAGAGGCAAACCTTCATGTATTTGTGGACTCAGTCAACAAGCTCTGCTTGGTGCCTATGGCATACTATTCACTGTGCTTCTTCAGGACAAAATGATCTTTTTCCAACTATTAGTATGAGAGAAAAGTCACACTAAGCTAAGAATTGATAAAGTCATCGCAAGGCTGTTTGTTTTCCACCAAAACCCAGTTACTTATGTGCTTTTCCTTATTTGATTCCCATGGAATATCTGTCACTTCATGTGTCTATTACATTGCAAGTACCTAAAACCCTTCAATTATTGAATCCTGTCACTGAGGGAGAAAGCTAGATATAATTTCAGTGAGTTTTGCTCTATAATGATCTTGAATAAGTGTTGCTCGCTTGATCTACTCAGTAGCTTTCATGTTGATGCTAGTCTTTATTATTAAATTAATTGTTGCATCTATTTTGAAGGAGCACCTACAGAAACACCAACAACACAGATGTCAATAATAACAGACCACATGGTAGAAAGTGTTTACATATCTTCTACCCTTTCAGCCCTAGTAAATTTTACCTTGCACTGAATTATATGTCGAACATTCTCCCTCCTGCTCCAGGTTATAGGAATCTAGATCTAGATGTTTAGTTCTACACTGGCTGTTCTCCCTTAATCATACTTGCTTAAGTTCTAGGGCTGATTCCAGGATTCCAGGAGGATGTAAACTCAAAAGTTTGAGGATGGAACCCCAAGTATTCTATTTGTTTTCCTAAAATTTCCTTGCAGAAGTAAACTAACCCCAAGTATTCTATTTGTTTTCCTAAAATTTCCTCAATCTTCCAGTTTACTTCTGCATATATATTAGCATTCAAGGGGGCCTTCAGATCCTGATTTTAAAAATGCCGCTAGCTTGAGCTGACCGTCTTCTTTTTAGGGCCATCCTTGTACTTTGCTCTCTGTCTCCCTAAAGAATCAGGCATTTGTGAACACATCTATTTCCACACTGGTCTTTGAACACCACAAAGACACTCAGTACGTGGCATAGAAGGAGTCAGTAAGTGTAGCATTTATTTCAACAGTACTGCTGAAAGTAGGTTTTGTCCTTAGTATTAAAATTAGGGTATCATCCTTTTTGGGGTTTCCTCTGTGACACTTGAGTTTGGCATAGAATCACTTTAACATGCCAGCTCTACCAGCGAAAACTCCTTTCATTTCACTCATGTCACTTGTATGGCTTGTAACATTCAGTGTTCTTGGTGTTTGCTAAAAACAATTTTCTATAAAAACTAGAGGTTCAGGGATGGAAGACTGCCATTCACTTAAAATATGCAAATATTATAATAGAAATCATATGACAAGGTTTCTCGGTACCTGAACAATACATGTGTTTTCTGTCATTGTTAAAAATCTGCTATTTACAATAATTTGCCCGGTTTGTGTGTGAACATTATACTTCATTTTTATGAAACTAACAATCTCTGGCAATGAGGACAACTGCTGCATAGAAGTGCAATATTACTCCTACTGTGGCCATTTCTAGGATAAAGAAGTACTTTTGCATGCCCCCACTAGAACATTACTGAGAAGGGAAGGAAAACATTAGCATTCAGGAGAATCTAGGAGAAGCTAAAAGAGACAGCAAACAAGATCTAGGGAGCATTTGGCTGGAAGAAAATGAACACAATGAGCATATGGAAATCAAACTGAAGTTTTGTGCATCTTGTCAGCTATGTGCCAAAAGCTGCAGCAATTCCTTCACACTGCTTAGTAAATGGGCCTGACCATAAGAGAAAATGAAAGATTCAATACTGTGAGGAAGCTCTCTAGACTGTTTTAGGGCCAGTTAATTTCCTAGAGCTAAGCTAGGAGTTTCCTCCCATCCCTTGTTTATACAAATTCCCTCCACCCCCTCAACCCCAAGCATGCTAATATTCATGTTCTGGCATGTGATACCAAATCAAATCCAAAGTTAGCATGCAGGGCTGGAGACGGAGGTGATAGGAGGTTGGATACAGAAATGCCTTTTAAAAATGGAATAAATTATGGATGGTGAACATCCCTAGTATTCTAGTATGTATGTGCTAGATGTAGTGTGTAAAATTTGAACTAGTATTTTTTCCTTTACAGTGTGGGAGTGAGAAAGATCCGTCACGTTCTCAAATTGTATATGTATAGTGAGGACCCATGGGATATTATGGTTGCCTCTGTGGCCAGATTGTTGGAACAAAGTCACCAAGGATGTCTATGAAATTTCTTGATTTCCCCAATAAGTCCCACTGAGAAAGTTTTTGAAGCTCTATTTTCAATGTGGTTGAAATTGACAAATACTCTGTAAAATGGCCACAGAGATAAATTTTTTTCAGAAGAGATAGCAATGCTTTTCCTTAGATTTCTGGCAGCTCTGGAACTTCAGAAACATCACATTATATTGTATTTTGAAATATTTTGAATCACATAAGATGTCATTTACTTTGTTTGGACTTAATATTACTGTCACAGATACTTGAACAAAATGACTGTCTTGCTTAAAATATTCTCTTTACAAAAACCATGTGTTACTCTCATATTTGGTTAAAAAAATTTGTGTCATGAATCCAAAAAGCAACAGCCATGTGTAATTCCATATTTTCTAGAGCAGTTTGTTTAGGGCTGATATTCAGTGTGTTGGCAAAGAGTACTTAAAGATGAACAATGAATAACAGTGGCTTTTAAATGGAGGGTGCACGCGGATATAACACATGTCAGTGCTCCTAAAGTACCTTGTAGATTTTTTTCTATTTTAAATATTTCTCTATTTGCAAAATATTTTTATCCACTTTGACTATATTACTACTTTGCCCTTTTATTTTATAATCCTTCGAAGTTTTATATGCATCATATTGCTTTTCATGGTAGTTTTCCTATAATTGCTAGTGGATGCATTTAGCAATGAATTTCTGGAGATTGAGATTTTAGACACTGCTTTCCAAAGTAACCTAAAAGACTTTGTAGTTTAAGTGGTATGGAATATGTGAAAAATCAGGATAATTGGGAAACAACATAGCAGAGTAAATTTGGGACCTTTCATTCAAATCTTAGTTTTTGTACTTACTAGCTACATAGTAAGTTACTTTGCCAACTTACTTAACTTCTCTATGCTGTAGTTTTCTTCATCTGCAAAATGGGACAATAATAGCATCTACCTCGTAGGGTTGGTATAGGGTGTAGAATACCCTATAGCATAATAGAAGAGATCACTCCATTAACCTTTTGTAATCATCTCATCATATTTGCAATAAACATAGTAGTGTCCCCTATTATAGAAAACAAATTGGAACTCAGAGGGGGGAAGAGACTTTCCCAAGGCTCATTTCAAAACCTGTGTGCCATTCGCCATTATTCAATCACTTGTTTGGTTACCAAGTTTTGGCTGGAGACTCTCCATCCTATAATGAGGATGGCATCCTATATCAGGGAGTAACAAGCGTACCAGTCCTTAGGCTACAATGTTCTGGGAAGGACAGTCAGGAGTACGGGGTATGTTCCTGAAAGACCTCCAGGCCTAAGGAATTTCTAAGTCATAGAAGACAGGCTGTGTTGACCAGTTTGGGTGAGCAGCTCCAACTTGCTACTTATCAGTGGCCGGCTACTACTTTCTTGAAGGCTTTACAAGTCACATCTTCTCACAGTACTTGGTTCTAGCTAAACAAATGAATCAGCAGCTCTGAGGATACACCTCTATTACAACAGGGCTCTCTAATCTATACCTGTACAGATAAATGCCCAGAGAATTCAGAATGCTAGGAATATGGCACGGCAATCCATTCCTGGAGTCACTCCCTTTCCCCTTTTCACAAACACAGAGCAAATAACTTGGAATCAGAAGCCATGGATTCTAGTTTTGAGTCTGTGTCTTATCAGATGTGTGATCTTTCTGAGTCTTAATTTCTCACTTTTAGGCAGAGATAACAATACTATTTCTGTGTTTTTGTCCCCATAGGGTTGCAGAATAGCCAAGTACAATCGTAAGAGAGAAAACATTCCTGTAACTTGCAAAGCGCTATAGATCCTTCTGATCTTCATAGACATGATATTGGCAAGTAAACATACTTCTGGGTACATCATAAAGGCTTTAGGTTTTCCCTTACCTGGCGACAAAATGAAAGTGAAGCCATTTGGCAGATCTGGCCAAAAGCCAGAACTGTGATATGCCCTGTAGGAGCCACTTAGCACTTTAGAATCAACCAAACCAGTTTGGCTTTGAGAGGGCATATAGGATGCTGTTTGGAATTCCATTGTTTATTCAATTAAGCTGAGGGACCTTGCCAGCCATCTTCATTTTCCTCTCTTAGTCTTTTTTTTTTTTCTTTCTCTTCCTTTCTTTGGTCAGCATATTCAGCTAGAGGATGACTAATCTATAAGTTTTCTCAGAGCAAATACCACATGGCTTGTTCTTCTGGAATGTGCTCTAGGTAAAACAATACTTTTCATTGACTATTATATTTGATAACTATCTTCAAAAAAACTCTGTTTATGAAATGTGAAGATAAAAACTTGACGATATTGATTAGATTATCTTGGTTGACTTTCAAAACAAATTGCAAAATAGAATTAGCTTTTCCCTATAATTCCTATCCAGTTGAATTTCATTCATGTGAAACTGATGTTACTATACGTAATAAGTTTTATATGATTAAACCAAATATATTTAAAGGTAAACACTCTATGGAGAATTGAGAGGCCTCAAAAATGAATTAAATCTTGGCTAGGTTGAAAGTTACGTTTGAACATGTGTTAATGAAACCATTTCTATTCAACTTAAGAATTCTGGGGGGAAGCAGGGTGTATCAGAATGGGAGGTTAGTACTCAAACTTAGAAGTCAACTTTTCATATTGACCTAAAAGAGATGCTGTCATTAGGTTGCTATTGCCACTGAGTATCTGCCAGAGAAAATATGTAAACTGAATGTTACATTCCTTGAGGTGTGAGTAATTCTATGAGCAGGATTAAGATTTTTTCATGAGAACTATCAGAAACTGTTCTCATAGTTGTTGCAAGGAAAAGGCATTAGTATGATACAGTGACAATCTAATACAGAGGAGGTGTGCAATAAATATTTGCTTGAATGAATGAACCCTAATTTGGCTCATGATTTCTAAACTGTGCACAAGTTTCAGTAATGTGGAGGTTTATATAAATATGTCTTTGATGAAAGTGTATGAAAATTGTACAGCCATTAGCTTTAACCACCCCTGGGATAAATTTATCCCTGGAGTAGGAAAGGCGGAGAGAGTGTGAAGGTTGAAAGATTGGAAAGGGCACAGGAGAGGCATACTAGTGGGATAATAAGATGCAGGGAGCTTGTTTTGACCGCTGCCTGCAGCAATTTTCACTTGCCTAGGGCACCCCGTCACTGCGTGGTGGACAGTAGCTAAAATAGGAATTCTGTCGGCCTTGGCAGCTGTAACACCAGCATCTGCATCTTGCATTAACTGCACATTTATGAATGATGTCAGGGTGGATCTGAGCCAGGCAGCAGCAGGAGAAGCTTTCAGTTGCTTCAACTTTGCTCCCACCTCCGTGTTAGGACCATCCAAGTCTTGTCAGCAGCAATGATTGCTCACTGATGCTGCAAGCGTGGAAGACAGGCAGTTGGCAATCTCAGTCCCCAGACAGGCACAACAGCTGGTATCAGGCACCTGAGAGGGAATGCGATCCTGGTGGGTTTTGGAGGTGTTTATGTCATCTTCCAAGCTGTCTGAGAGCTTGGTGGGTTTGTGTATACATGATCAGATGCAAATAGTCCCCAGTGAGCATAGCTTGTTTTCCCAAAATTTTACTGCACTGCACACAAGGACAAGCCGAAGGAACTGTGTTAATAATCTAGTGGTGAGAGCCACCTAAAATAAGAGGAAGCCATTACAGCCAGGCAGACTGTCATCAGCATTATATTCACTCAGGGAGCCAATGCTGTCCGATAATGAATGACCTCATCCACGTGATCAAAAATAAACAACAGCAGCTCTTCAGCAGGTGAACTTCCCTTCTGGTGGCTGTTTATTATTCTGAATTAGAGTCAACACTTTTACCTCTGGGAAAAAAAAAAACAGTAAACAGTGTTTACTCTTCCCCAGAACTCTAATGCTATCTAAAATTCACCTAGAATATATGTTTTAGTGACTCAGATTAAAATCTCCAGGTTACTAGTGTAAATGCATTATCTGATTACTATGAAATAAACAAAAGCTCTGTGATTGTGTATGTGCTAGTTGTCAGGCACAGAGCTGAGTCTCGTACATGCTAATTGTCTTAGTCCCAGTTTTAGAGATGGGAAAACCATGGTTCGTTGGGGTTGAGTGATTGCCCAAGGTCCTACCTAACGTGTGGCAGAGCGAGAATGCAAAATGAAAACTACCCTAGCCCAAACTCAAGTCTTCATCACACTGCATGCTGCCATTTTCATCCATGCACTACCCAAACAATTATTTCTAGGCTTCCATTACAAATTTTAAGTTCATTCAATCATTTCTTTGACAAATGTTTGAGTTCCTATTCTATGCCCAGAAGCATGCTAATCAATGACACAAGACTGCATGGAGCAATGAGGCAGCTCTAATGACAATGGGATTAGGAGTCCACAGATTAGCAGAAAAGGACATATGTCTAGTGTTTCAGCCTGATGTAGAAACAGCTAAATGTCACTCAGATAATAAAGAAGTCAGACTTTTTTTTTTTCCATTTGGGTGGTACCAAGATGAAAAACAAAATGAGACAATTAAAAGGGATGAAGAATAAACTATATAAAAAGCCCAATGATCCTGACTGGGGATAGCTGAATAGAGGACATAATGCTCTTCATCCCAGCCCAGATAATCATCTCTTACAGCATCCTACCATTTTGTGCCAAAGTTATCTCTGGAGTTGGTATAAGCAAAACAGCCTGCATATTATTAGCTGAAGAACCAGTCTTTTGTGATCTTATCCTTTCCAAGTATTAACAATTAACTAGCATGTCTCAAGAAAAAAAGTGCACCTGGGCTGGAAGAAGAAAAGCTAAACTTAGAGATATTAAAGGGCTAAAATAAAGTGCAATAAATGGAGATTAATTGACTGCTTTGCATGTGTTGCCTGAAGAAGAGCTTTGGTCTGACTCTGTCACTGATGAAAGACAGAACATTTTGACACTCTTAAGGGCATATATTACCATGAAATCTGTCCCAAGTCCCTTTTGTCTTGCTTTCTGATGTATTGTTTACGGATGCTAGGCATTTTAATAGAAAAGCCGTCTGCTATTTACCACACATTTCTCAGAGAACAAATTAATTTCTCTGGGATTCCTCTAATTCAGATGAGGTCTGCATTCTTCTCATGTAAATCTTAGTAAGAATGCACTGTTCATTAGCATTGAATAACATGGAACTTTGGAAATAAAAGCCTTCCATCCTGGTGCAGAAGATGTTGGTTATAGGCCAGAGTTAAAGATATCAACTCCTTGGTATATAACCGCTGTATGCAAGGAGAAACCACATCTAATGGAAAAGCTAGTGTCTTGTTTTCAAGCAGCATTGCACAGTGGCTCACAGAAGGGCATGGGCATCATATTTCCAGGGTCTAGTTCTTGCTTCGGAATTTGCTATCTGCAGAACCTTGCCTATGTTGCCTAACTCTTCTGAGCTTCAGTGTCCTCAATTTTAAAATGGGGTGCTCTGTTAATAGGTTATTTTGAAGTTTAAGAAAGATTAATGCACATGAAGATTCCATAAAATACTCGATAAAAGTTAAATATTTTTAATGGTGCAATCTATTATCTTCTTTCTGAGGATTTCATTTAAAACTCAGTTTTCCAGTGCAAAGGGCTTATGCAGGGACTGAGAACTTAGCAGATGTAAGTTCTATTCAATAACCATTAGAAATTATTCACTATTTTACATGGGCCTCTCACCAAACAAATATTAACACTTTCAGGGTGATAATCAATTCCAACTAGGTTTTCTTGGGAAGGATATGGTAGGTTCATCAATTTTATATGTTGTTCCTTTAGCTAATTTGTCTCATGTTTTTAAGTTTTCTGTGATTTTTACCAATACAAAACACACCCAAACAAGCCCCATGCAGCATTAAAAATATATTCAAGATTAAAATTATTCTTTACTTTAAAAAATTATTTTAGTGGTAAAATTTAAACTGCTTTAATTTGTTTAATACAATGTATTTTCCAGTATCAGTGATGCTTGTGAGCTGTAATTTATTTTAAAGGAAGATAAAACAGTCTGTTCCAGGAAAGTTCGTGTCTTTGTTGAAATATTAGCTGTTAAAAGTTTATGCAATCTAATTACAAATTGCCTATCAATAAGAAGCAGCACATCAACAGAAAACAGAATACAAATCAAAATCTCAGCTTGGATTAACTACTATACAAGGTCAGGTTAACGTTGTTTTTCAATAACAAAGTTTCTGGATAAGTACGGAAATTTTAGCTTCTCAGTTTAGTGGTTCAGAATAACTAGTCACACAGTAACAGACCTAAAAGGTCTCTTATTTGCATTTATTTTTTTCCAAATTAATACAAGCTACACACAGGATTTTAGCTAGCAGTGATAACTATACTGACAGTCAACTAATGACAGCATTTATTTTGCATTTGCATTTTGATTGTGGCAAATTTTGGAAAAAGGAATGAAATCGTGAAAAGTGTTATCAAAGTAATTTTATAAACTTTTCTGTGATTGAATCGAACATTTTTAGGGAATAAATCGTTTCCCTTGATGCCAATTGGGTTATGCGTTGTTGCTCCTCTGAGTTGATTTACATCCCCTTTGCAATGTTGTCAAGTGTCTGTTCCCATTCTTAATCAAGTGCAGTAGTCTCCAAACAAATCAGAGGCAGTGTGGCATCCGAGGAGAGCACCATCACGTTGCCTTTTAAAAATGTAATTGATTATATAGTTGCTTAATTTTATGAGGCAGCATTGCAGCAGGTATCACTAGATATGAAGCCAGATATCCATTCATGCAAGGAAGATCTATAGATGCAATTTAAAAGTGCTCATTTTAGAAATTATGAGGGTTTTTCCCCAATAGAGGTTTTAATGTGAGTTTTGCAAAAAGGCTAGACAGCTAATTCGTCTCTCAAACAACACTGAGAACTGTGGATTTCTGAAAGAAGTGACCCCAGATTCACTCACTTAACCACTTCTAGCTCTTAAGTAACTTAAAATTGACAAAGTACGGTATCAAAATGTGAACAGTAGCAGATAGTAAGATATTTTATGAATGAACTTGGGAGAAGGTAGAAAAAATATTCCATTAGAACATCTTCTCCTTTAGCAAAATTATACTGTTTATTATACTAAATTATATATTTTATATATACTATAATGTACTAAATAATATATACTAAACATGTATACTAATTAATATACAAAAATTATACTATAAACTTGGAGAATCTGTTTGCATTCTTATTTGCGTCTATGTTGCAGTAGTTGTCCAATAAAAAATATTTGCTTTAGTTAGAAAATTTTTATCCAGGGTATTTTTTTACCCACAGCACTTGAAGCCACGAAGTTACTTGCTCAACACATTTTTGTTGAATGGATTGAATCAGAGACATTTGTAACATGATAATATTCATTTGACCTGCATAACATAGGCCAAGCATCCCACTGATTTTCTACTCATACAAGCAGCCAACTGTGCTCACCTATAGTGTGTAGGAGACTGTCTATGTACATGTCTATTCAGTGTGGTAATTTGGTAGAGTGATAGCAGCTTCCAGGTCTGTGAGTGAATGAACAGTTCATGAAGAGCCATTTAGCGGTTGTCAATGAATAGTGCTCAGTCTGTCTCTCAGTCTCTTATTTTGTCTGTCACAGTCATGCCGACACTAGGATACATGCTTGTCACATTGTTTACCATGACTCCTCACAATTTCCAAGCATAATCATCCCATCTCCTATAGTACTCTCATGAAAAATGTCAAATACACATGTCCCATAGAGGAGACTGGAGAAGCAGAAAACTGCTTGGGAGAATGAGCATGTGTGATGATATACATATTTTCTTAGTGTCTGGTTTAAAATCTTACACGTGGCAAGCCCACCAAAAAAAAAAAAAAAAGGCCACTATCCTTTGGAAGCAATTTGCTTATTTTTGGTCACTTTGTTTGGTTTTATGGATTGGCTTAATGGGTTCACTAATAAATCCATGCAGAATAATTTGAAAGTATGAACAAATAAAAAAGGCCTGAATATATTTGTTCATTTATTCCATTCATTCATACATTTTTGTGACAGATTACAATGTTATATAATTATGTGGTACGCATAATGTTATGATGTATGTATACAATGTGGAATGAGTGAATCAAGGTAATTGACATGTTCTCCACCTTAAATATTTATTTATCCTGTCTAACTTTAACTTTGTACCCTTTGGCCAACATCTCCTCATTTCTCTCATCCCCAGCCTCTAGTAACCACCATTCCACTCTCTCTCATCCCCAGCCTCTAGTAACCACCATTCCACTCTCTGCTTCTATGAATTTGATTGTTATAGATTTTGCATATAAAAGAGAACATGCCTTTTTTTTTTCGTCTTTTTGTGTCTGACTGATTTTACTTGGCATAATGTCTTCCAGCTTCATCCATGTTGCCACATGTGACATAATTATTCACAAAAGCCATGATATGGAATCAGTGAAGTGTCCATCAATGGATGAATGGATCGAGAAAATGTGGTATATTTAATTCACTTTTATTGAGTCCTTATGAAATAGCAAGCATTCTCCTGGATGCTAGGGATCCAGAGACATTTATGCTCTGTCTTCCAAGAACTTACAAACTATTGGGGTAGGGGTGAGTGGACACACGAGGTTTGACAGTGTAGAGTATATCTAAGAGGGACAACTAACCCAGATTATGGGAGAGAGGGATGGGGGAAATCTTGTAAGTCTTTTGGAAGAATGAGCCCCGAGGTAATTAAAAGGATGAATAGAAGTTAGCTTTGTAAAGTGTGTGTGCGTGTGTGTGTGTGTGTGTGTGTGTAGGAAATAATTTTGGGGTGGGTGGTGAGAGGCATTATTGTACAGAGACGACAAGAGGGAGAAAAAAAGCAATGCATGCTTGGGAATTTCAAGTATTAAACATTTATTTAGGGATAGTGATAGTTGCTATTGGGAAGAATGCTAGGGCATGAGTTTGCAGAATAAAGATGAAGTGAGATCATCAAGCCTTTGGTAAATCACGCTAGGAATCTTGACTTTATGTTGAAGACAATTGGGAATATTTCAAGCATGGAAGGAAGAGATTAGATATACATTTTTAGAAAACTTTCTTCATAGGAAGTGAAGGTAAAATACTTTTATATGATAATAAGAACATAAGATTAATGCTAATACTTGTTGGAAGGAAAGGTAAAGGAAGCTAAGTCTGTTTTTCCACAAAAAGCATAAGGGCAAATAGTCATTTCTATGCTTTTTTTCATTTTTACTCATAAATGTTAAGATTTTAAGATTCAACTTGATGTAGCCCAAGTACCAAATTTCCGATGGTGGATTAAGTAAGTGCTGACCAGTAGTCAATTTCCTAGCTGGCTGAAAAGTATCTAAACACTACAAGGTGTTTTCAATGTCATGAACTTTGCTTTAATTCATTGTGATCATGGGGAATACAGAAGGTTCTGCTGGTCCACCTAAGTTTTTTCTCATGTGAAAAGCTGACCTTGACTTGAAACTGCCCTGTAATTAACATACATGTTTATTGAGGGCTTATGCCAAAAAGAACCTGTGGTAGGCATTCAGCAAGTGTGTGTTTGATGAAAGAAAAAAAATCAAATCTTTAATTCAACATTCCAACATTCCAACAAGTTATTTACTGAGCATTTACTATGTGCCATGCAATATGCAAGTCATGGGGGCTCTAATGGTGAGCAAAAACAGGTCCTCACAGTGTAGTGTAATGGATGGATAAGAACAAAGTTAGGAGAAACACTTTGATTTCCCCTGTGCCAAAAAGAGATGTGGAAGGAAATTTAAATGGGTGTAACAGCAGGACTGCCCAGGTAAAGCTTAGGTTTGGATAGAAAGCCTGAAAACTGAGGTAATGTATCCCTATTCTCTTTTAGAGGGGAGTATATATTGCCTGCCTTATAAGGTCAGAGTCCTGTATCTTCTCTTTTTGTTGTTTCTAGGTACAGACTAGTGTGTGTGTGTGTGTGTGTGTGTTTCATTTTTCCAAATTATGTTTGAATTTCTATCATGATCCTGTTGACTTTTGTTATAAAATTTAATTTATCTAATTGATCTAAGTACTCTGTAGCTGTATACAGCCTGAGTCAGGCTGTCAGACCAATACCCAATACTTGAAATTGGGATGACTTACGCAGCTTTAAGGATCACCCTTTTGTTTATATTTCTAAAACAAAAGCTCATGGTTTATAAGCACAGTGCTGCTTGGATTATAGTATTTGAAGTGGCTGCTAATTCTGTTTGAATGTAATAAACCTGGTCTTTCCCATGAGAGAGCCAAGCTCAGATCACATTTCAATAGGCCAATGTGGATATAAGAACTTTTTGACTGGACGGTGGTGGGGTCGGGGAGGAGGGGTGGATGTTGGAAGAGCATGATATGGTATGAGAATCTTGGACCAGAAGGGTGGAGAAGAGCATGGGAACTTTAACAAAAAGTTTCTTTAGTATGTTCATTAATTTTATAAATCAAATGTCAGAAAGTAAAACTCAGTAAAGAATTTGACTGGTGATATTGCAAAAGATGCTTTGAGAAAACATTATAGGAAACACAGTTTTAAATACAAAATTGAAAAATATTACCCCAAATCAAGGACTCTGCTTTGTTTGCATATGATTTAAAGCAGACTTTATTGTTTAGCCTAAAAAATGTTTCCAGCTTGGAGGAAGCAAACTCCTAGGATCATTTTTGAAATACTGCCTATATTGCTTAAATGAAGCTTTCCTTTTCTTTATGATTCCATTCCGCCTATCCGTTTTTGCAGTATTTTCATAGCTGTGAAAGAAACTGAATGGGTCAGGCAGTCCAGAGACTTAACCTCTTTCCTAAGGCCCACTGGAAAACAATTCAAGGTTATTTGAAAATTTCCCTTGTTTTCACTAATATAACACTAGTTACAAGAACACTGCTTAAAAAGAGGGAAACATTTGCATCTGACATTACCACTTGATATGTATAAATTGGCCTACTCTTAGAATCACAGACTTTCAGAACTGGAGTTAACACTGGAGATAATGCCATGTAACCTTCTATTTAGTGTGAGAAAAGTCAGGCCTAGAGCACAGAAGAACCAGAACTTAATGTTTCCTAGATGGACATTTCTAAGGTATTTGAGTCAGTTTTTCTTTAATAAGATTTCTCTAGGATATCTATGATCTTGTAGGATGTTTACATTGCACAACTCCAGGGGGCACAGTTCACAATGTGGTGAATAGATGATGCTCCCAGAGTCATGCAGCAGCTCTAATTGGTGCATTTTCTGTATCTCCCACCAATGCTTTCTCATTGGTGGTGATGTATTTCTTTCTGTTAAAGTGGAAGGTGCTTGCAAACAATCCATAGGATTCTGTCCATATCACAACTGCAGTTGTTATGCGTTTTTATCAAAGAACGCAGAGATACAATGAACTGGAAACCAAAGAAATGCAATAATTTCTTGAAATCCTAAATTTTAATTGCAGCATGTGCAATTAAAATGCATAGCACCCAGGCCTAGTGATGGCCTAAGCAATATGCATTGCAGCACAATTGGCATTAGGATGCGACAACGGCTTCTGGTACAGTGAGTGATGTGTTGGCTCTATTTTACCATCTTGGCTGCAGCATTATCAGTACCTCAGACACTTACCACACATCTCAGAGATACCCGGTGTGAATCGGAGGGTCCAATTTGGCCCTATGTATGTCCCTTCTGTGAAACTTTTCTGGGGCCTGGCCCTTGATTCCAGCCACCAATATCTGCAACTGAAGGGAATCAAGCAGCGCTAGGGTTCTGAAGCTATGACCAAGAAAGAAAAAGAGAGAATTGAAAGCGTTTCCATCCATTTTATTGGCAATGACTCAAGGAAAACAGTTTAGAAATATTTATTAGAAGGGGCTCTCAGGAAGTCACCGTTACTTGGAAGGTTTATGGCTAAACTCTGACTGCTGTTATCCTTAGATAACTCCAACAATTTAAATTGTAGAAGCTGTATACAGATAATTCAAGGCAAGGTTGTGAGCATTTCCTAAAACCTTTTCTTTATTCGGTTGACTGAAACCAGAAAAATGTCTGTGTTTATGACTAGGGAAATTCCTTAAATCAGAGAATTCCATGTGGTTTTACTCTTGGGCTGAATTTGCATTTATATGAATAGGAATAACAACTGTGTCTTTGAGCGTTGGATCCTGTCTGTTATTTGTTTTTTCAATTACACTTATTAAATCTCTTGGCTTTTTTTTTTTCTTTTTCCCCTCTATGCCCTACAAGGGAGTTCATCACTTCAGATTATTTTAAAGATGAATGTGGAGGCAGAGACATTCCAAAGTGGAAGTTAGATAGCAAGTCAGTGGCAAAGCCCAGGGGTAGAGACCTGGGAAGACCAGCTGCAATTTGTGCTGTTTAATACTAGCAGCCTCGAAGAGAGCAGACCCATTACAGCTGCAGGCTTGTTCAATTATTCTAACTTTATCTTTAAATATTGCTAGAGCATCTCATAAGCTAAAGTGCTTTAATATATATACATCTGCATACATATAAATATACATACATATACGTATGTAATTACTGCTGAAAACAATCCCAGGAGAGAGATTTTCACATTATTGTGTTTCTGGGTTACAAAAGAAACTGGAGCATGGCAAGGTTAAGTGGTTTGTCAGGTAATCGCAAGCAGAGCCACGAATCAGATATGGTGATGTAGGCAGAATTTTGTTCTGCTCACTTGTAGAGGTTGTAGACTGTCCTGGGTTTCAGTCTATAAAAGAAGTCATGACTTTGGAAGTTGGTATAGGTATCACAAAGGATTTGGGTTGGTGAGAGGGTGTCACAGGAAAAAATGCAGGAGTCAGCCTGTCAGGGTCCCCTCTCTCTAGGTCACTGCTCCAGCATCTGTATTTCCAAGCCAGCCTCATGGGCTAATGAGGTTACCTCTGGCTGTTCCTATCCGGTCTCAGGCAGCAAAGACTCAGCTGGGAGAAAGTTTTAGGTTTCTGCTCTAACACCTGAAATGAGTTCTGCTCACTGCTCTTCACCCATACCCCATTATCAGTCAGTTGAAACCATCAAATAGAAAAAGCTGCCATTATCAGGTTTTTTGCTTATAAATACATGACTTAAAAAGAAACACAACAACCATACACAAAAATGCTTGATAGTTTTGTAAAAGCCTGCAGAATTACCACAGAGCTAAAAAATGAAGGGATATTAGCCCTTCTTCTTGTCTCCTAATTTCAATACCAACAAAAAATGGAAAGTGAATGTAAAAGACATTTCAACACAATCATAAAAGGATTATATCGAACTGTTAAAAAGAAAGGTGAGAATTGACTCCTCCATGGAAAGACTACTCATGTAATGCTTGGGGTGTCTGTTTCTTAGTGTGATAGCAATAAAATGACTTTTTTTTCCATAGTACATTTATCAGAAAAGCGTGTTCTTACCTCAGTAATATCCATGTGCGCAAAGCAAAAGATCAGATTTTATCACCAGCTTTTACATCTGGAATCTCAAGTAATAGTCATAATGATACTCCTAATATTATTACTATTCTTACTAGGAATTCTAGTTATTTATTGCTTCCCTACTATTAATATGTATTAGGTGCTGTGTAGGCATTTCCTATGTGATCAGAAGTGGGTTATGTCAACTAATGAAGCAGGTTTTTTCAGTCTCTGGCCTAGGTTTCCTATCTCTATGGTTACCTTTGCATTTCATGATCTCAAAATTTATAATCATTATAAATGTTACAACCATTATAATCACCCCCAGAGAAGTAGACTTCTTTTTCTCCCCTTAGCCTTTACTGAGCTGAGAGAGAAATAGTAGTATTGTGGTATGATTCCTTATGAAGATTGAAACACTGTAGATTACAGAACTATATCATTAGTGCATGTGTGGAAATACTATAAAACTGCACTTGGATATGCTACTCTAGTTTTTATTTCCACTCATTTGAAAAATTATGATAGCTAAGACAACTCTGGAAACCTGAAACGCAAGCATTCAAAACTGTTATTTCAACAAGAAAATAAGACCTCGGTAGCTTCCACTGATAGTCATGTTTTCATGTGGGCGCTCCCCTGGACAGTCACATGAGAAATTGCTTTAGCTGTACTGTCCTTTGGGCCACGGTACCTCTGGCTCTGCCTTAATGTGAAGGAAACCACTTCTGCAAAGAACCCACTTAAGAAATGGCCTTGCTTGACATCTGCCGACTGAAGAGCTTACCCTCCCTGAAAAACAGAACACTTTACTTGAAGGAAAAGTTGATTACCTGTAGAATAGATCTAATATTCTAATACAGAGAAAATGCAAAATTGCTCCTTTTGTTTTCACGTTTCTCTACTGAGCTAGAATGAACTACCTGTTCTTCCATACATTTGGAAGAAGGACTCCTGTACTAAGGAAGAAATAACTTCATCTAAAAAGCATTTGTTACTTCCAAGTAATAATTATTTGGCAGTGTTTCCTTATATCCTCAGTAGAAAAATTTGTCTGGACTAACACAGTCCACACACGATCAGAATGCGTTTACTCGTCAAAAGTCCTACAGATATTTGCTGTGTAGGTAGGGACTCTTACTTGCATTTTTCCTGTTTCCTGTGATTCCCAACTCAACTCAAAATTTGTAAAAATGTTGGTTGGAAGGTCCTTGGGGGAATAGCCACTTTCCTTTTCAACCTTATTGAGTCTACAGGCAAGTAGCAAGATCAATGCCGAAACACAGTTAAGTTCACTTAAGGATGAAGATGGAAATATCTTAGATTCAGGAAACATTCAAATTACTGTGTGGGTGGGTGGCAATATTAAACCACCCCCATTGTTGACATTGCTGAATTTTTTGTTTTCACCTATTCATCCTAACACGATTGCCAATGCAGCTACCTGAAAACACACAAAGTTAATATTGCTGTTTAAGCAATGGTTTAGAGATTTCAGGGGTCTCCCTTTTATATGGCTACCAGCTTAATGTTGTTTTAGTAATGAGCTTTGCTTATGAGTGGGCATAAATTTTATATAAGTATACATTATTAACTCGCCATGGGCTGAAAGCAGATATAACTAGGTCCCTGTGACACCAATTTATTTTCAGAGCTTGTACAAGTTACTTACAATTCACCAAAATTTGTTTGTGTCCCTAATTTTTCTTTTCTATCCTCTCACTGCTTGAAAGATCCATCTCCTTCCTCTTCTAGTGCCCCTTTCTCAACTCTCCCAGGAAGGTGTGAGCCCATGAATCAGGATTGGGGTCTATGTCTGCCTATCTTTTCAGCTTTGTCAGTGCTAAGAATGTGTTATTAATAAAGGATCAGCTGCCATGGGATGAGAGCACAGGCAAACATTACCTAATGTGTATTGTAAGCAAATGACTAAATGGGGATCAATAGTTCATATTATTAGAAAGTGTAGACTTTGCTACTAGTCGTCATTGAGCTCCACAGGTAATCTTGATCCCCTCTGCTTCTAGCATTAACTTTTCTCTCCTCACTGAGTAATTGCTGGTTGTCTTTGTTAACCACATGCCACAATGCTGTGGTAACGGTGGTGCTGTCACGACTTTAACATTTTAACTAAGGAAAGGTGAGCTGTGAAGGAGAGAAGGTTTGGCTTGAGCCCCACTTGGCACAAACTCATTTTAAAAAGTACTTTGCCAAGGAAATGGCAATGTAAGTATAGAGTAATTTCATTTTTTTCTCATATGGTAAGTTATTCTTTGACTACTGTAATTCTCATGACTTTGACATGCTTATTGCTGTTTCAGCTTTTGCTGCTGCTGTGAAACCTGAAGAACTACTAGTTCAAAGAAAGTTTTTGTTTTTAAACTTAAGATGCTAGTGAATCCACTGAATTGCAGGACTTAGTGATGGAGGCTTCTGGAACTGCCAGTTCCTTATCTGAGAAAAGATGAGGAATGAAACTACCCAGTATATGAGCGTAAGCATGAATCACTTGAACAGATGCGCATAGATGACTTGATAATTCCATCGATCTGAGATATAAATTAAACATAGTGACCGTTTGACTTCCTCAAACATTATAGTGATACCCCTGTGTAGAATCGATGCAATAATGAAAATGACTCAGCACTTTCCCTGTGAACCCGATTTGTAGAAAAGCTTCATAATTTAGATATAAAGCTGCAATGGAACAAAACCTGGACCTGGGAATGGCTTTGATACAAGTGCTTTTAGCCTCTCAAGCTTTTTCAAGTTGCCTCCATGGTTTCCAGTGCCTAAAGATGTAAATCAAATATGTGGTCTTGAGTGCTTGTAAGAAGAAACGGCATATAAAAAATAAAGGAGAAAACAGAGTTTGGTCATTGAGTTTCCGTAGTTTTCTTCAGTTTTAAAATCTTAGAAAACCCATGAACCAGGAACTGTTCATTGAAAAGGCAAATGGTAGCAGGGACATACTGAACCTGTCACGCTGGCTAGGAGCCCCTTGCCCTGGAGTCAGGGCACCCATGGTTGAGTTCCCAACTGCCCAATTTGTGATTTTGGTCACGTTAATAAACTTCTCTGAGATTCAGTTTCTACATGTTTCAACATGAAGAGATGATGAAATTTGCCTTGCCATACAACACGTTCACTTTCTCTCTAGGAATCCAAAAGCTGGCCTTGGGAAAGGACCTGTGCTAAGGTGGCAAGAGCGTTGGATCAGGACTTTGGTTTCAGATCCTGGTTTTGTCATTGTCTAGCTTGTGATTGTAGGCAAGTCCCTTACTCTCCAGCGACCAGTTTCTCACTTAAGGAATAGTGATGTATAATTTGTTTATGTATACCTGCTAACATTGGGTCAAGCTCTAAGAAATGGCTATTTTTGTAGGTGAAAATAATTGCATAATGGCAACTTCATATAGTGGAAGTGAAATAGGATTTATTGTCTCTAAAAATTCAGGAAGAGAGACTCTATCATGAACTTAATTGCAAAGAAAAGTTAATAAGAGATTAGAAATGATTAGAGAGAGAATGGTGTGTGGCTGAGGAGTGCAAGAGGAGCAGGTATTCTGCAGTTTCCTTTCTTTTGTTTTTTCTACTCTGTGTGTTAAACTCCCCGCTACTTTGATATGTTTTGTTGTTGTTATTTTTTGACATCACGAACATGGGTTTTGACAGACTGCTTTGCTCTGTAGTGATCTGGTTACCCGTGGCAAATGGTTCATTCTGGGTTCCCTCTGTGAAGCAGACTATAAAAAAAAAAGAGATGTAAATTTAAAAGATTACTCCCTGGCGATAATGTGAAACAATGGCATATTAAGAATAGTTGAAGGAACTAAAACTTTTATCTCAGAGAAAAGAAAAGTTAAGAGGATATTACAATTGTCTTGAGAAACATGAAAGGCTGGTGTGTATAAGAGAGGTTAGATTTATTCCACTTGGATTTAAGATACTGAAATACACCAATAAGTATAAGTCACTGTGGGGCTTATCTCTTCAAGTCAGAGGTCTTCAAACAAGAAAGTGTTACCTCAAGAGGTTGTGAATTCATGATTCATGAAGAATAATTACTTGGTAAGAACATCATAGCAGGGATTCAAATGCTGGAGAACCAGCTAGTTCTAAGGCTATTGTGTTTTCTTGCAATGCTTAAACTGTATGATTTCATGAATTATTGATACTTCCAGGGTTCAGGACCAACCAAGAGATAAAGCAGTCTCATTTTCTGAAAACATATTCCATTTACAAAGTGTTATAGAACTTTGAGTACAAAGTTTATAAAACACTTCGTAAGTGAAATATGTGAGCTTCAGTTTCCTCTGTTACTATTCACATACCCAAGGGATGATTTAAAATTAATTTAGCAGTTATATACCTTGTAATTTATTGTAAATGATAGAAATGACCTAATTTTTATCTCAGCTTACTGGTTGAGAAAGACTTAATATAGGGCAGTAACAATAAGTAAGGATGACTTCTTAAAGTAGAACAGATATGGAAGACTTCATTTATGCCATGGATACAACTATGGAGAACAATTTGGTGTTAATATTAATGTATTACTTAATGTCAAGTATATATTGGTACTTTGAGGCAATAAAATTGGTTTATTTAGACAATAAACAGGGAGAGGAGGGCTACCTTAGACAGAGGAGTCAGGGCAGGCTTGTGGAAAGACATCTCCTTTACCATCTCTTACCAGCTCAGATGGTAAGATGGAATCAGGCTAAGTACGATGTGAGGGACAGATATTCCAGGTAGAGATAATGACAAGTGCAAAGGCCCTGAGGCAGGAAAGAACTTGCTTCAAGGAATGGAAAAAAGCTAAGGTAGGGGAGAGTGGTGTGAGTTAAGAGGCCAGAAGCAGCAGCAGGCCACATCATTAGTTAAGGATTCCATTCTAAGCACAATGGAAAGTAATTGGAGATGGTTTTCTTCTTCTTTTATTTTTTTATTTCAACTTTTTAGATTTGGGGGTACATGTGCAGGATTATTACATGGGTATATTGCATGATACTGAGGTTTAGGATACAAATGATCCTGTCAACCAGGTAGCGAGCATAGTAACTGATAGTGTTTTGACTCTTGCCCCACTCCTTCCCTCCACCCTCTAATAATCCCCAGTATCTATTGTTGCCATCTTTATGTTCCTGAATACCCAATGTTAACTCCCACTTATAAGTGAGGACATGTAGTATTTGGTTTTCTGTTCCTGTGTTAATTTGCTTAGTATAATGGCCTTCGCTGCATTCATGTTGCTGCAAAGAACACAATGTTGTTCTTTTTTATGGCTGTGTAGTATTCTATGGTGTATACGTGCCATATTTTCTACCACGGAACCACCTATACACCAGCATGTGTCATATTTTCTTTATCCAATCCACTGTTGATGGATACCTAGGTTGATTCCATGTCTTTGCTATTGTGAATAGTGCTGTGATGAATATATGAGTGTATGTGTCTTCTTGGTAGAACAATTTATTTTCTTTTGGTTATATATGCAGTAATGGGATTGCTGAGTTGAATGGTGGTTCTGCTGTAAGTCTTTTGAGAATTCTCCAGATTGCCTTCCACAGTGGCTGAACTAATTTACATTCTCACCAGCATGGTATAAGCGTTCTTTTTTCTTCATCAGAGAGTTATAAGCAAGGGCGCAAGCTGGCTAACATGTGGTAATTAGGTTTATGAGAAAAGAAAGCCATGGAAGAAGAGAAACCAATAGGAAGAAACAGAATTTTCCCTATCCCTTCTAGAGAAGCTTACGATAATGAGGCAAGTCAAAGTGGAATTCAGCCAGGTTTGAATCCTCTTATATTTTGTGTCCTTATATAGGTGATGATGGCTTTCTTTATAGCAGGCTGTGGTTTTACTCTTAAATACCTCAGGTTGTAATTGTGTCACTTATTTTATTCTACAGTGAACGAATCGAAAAATGCCAAAAAGTATTATATGAATATGGGGAGGTGTGAGCAGGGAGGATTAATCCATTTTCACTTCACTCTTTAACCAAGTTTCTACATGGTGATGTAGCTCTAAATATATGTATAGAACTACATGGAAATGTAAGTAACTCTCATGGATAAGAAATGGCTTTTTTTCCTCTAAATATGTAACTTTTCCCCCTAAATGTTTCCATTTGTGTTCAGATATTCTCAGAGTATCCATTGTCTGCTTTGGAAAATATTAATAATACTTATTTCTCTGTGGATATATACGTTATTCTGAGCTTCCAGAGTGATTATATATAATAGATGAATATATAAAAATATATTAATAATATATGTTATTTATTTTTGGTATGACTGGGAAAATAAAAATTATAGCTAATACTTATTGGGTACTTATATGCTGAGAACATATATACATATAGAACACTGTTCCAAATGCCTTACATGTACTAAGTCATTTAATTCTCACAATAATGGTATGCGGTATGTACTACTTTTTATCCATATTTAATATGTGAGAAAACTGAAGCTGAGAAAGTCTTAGAAACTTGCTCAAACCACACTCACATTGTGTTTTCAGGGCCAAAGGTTTAACTAAAAAGCAAAAGGTTCCTTCAATTCAAGTGGACAGTTATTTGTTTTTAATGCTCATGTCACAACAATCATTGACTATTAACCTTAATGTTATTGACTGACTTTTTTCTCATAGCAGATGATCTTCTGCAGCCAGATTCAACTGATGGATCTGGGAGCATGGTAGGGATGTGAGGAATGAATTATTTCTGAGAGTGTTTCTTAGAACACCGGTCAGAAGAGGCAATTCCAGGGGGTTCCATGCCCAGAGCAGTTAAGAGAGTTATTGCCACATTCACATCATCTTTTTAAGGAAGTGCGGTGCACATTCATATACTAAAGAATTTTGAAAAATCACTTTCAAATCCAGCATTTCCCAAACTTATTGACTCTGGAAACAACCTCCTCACCCGGGTAACAGTAATCCTAATTTTTGTAGAACACATTTTTGTGAAATGTAATATTTTGTATACTCTGTTACCGAGTTGCTTACCTTGGGAATGAACTACTTGTGTGCAAACTTTTGTCTGTTTGCACACATGTACTTCCTGTCTTCTCCTGGTCCCCTCACCTGCCAGGCCTGAGGTTCATTGCTTTCCTCTGATTCTCAAAAAAATCTCTGACCCTCAAGGTGGTTAAAAATTCCAGATGGGGATTTTTCCTGAAGAAAAATGGACCGGATAGGATGAAATAGTTTTTCAGTTAGTGCAAAAAGAATTCACTAGGAACTAATGATCCCATTATTTAAAAGTGTATGTGTGTGTGTGTGTGTGTGTGTGTGTGTGTGTGTGAGGCAGAGAGAGAACTCTTCTTGCACCCAAGCTTTTCTAAACACAAACCACTCAATTGGTCTGTGGCCCTGTCTTGTACTTGACATTTCTAAAAACAAGAAAAAAAAAAAAGCCAGCCAAAGTGCCCTTGGCTCTGAAGATGTCGGTGGAAAAATAGAAATGAATTTATTGTGTGTTCCTCTAAACTTTGAGTCAAGATTCTATAACGGTCTACAATATATTTGGTGTGATAGTCAAATGATCTGATTCTTTTAAATAAGTTGTGAAGAGTTCAGTCTTTCATTTGAAGAGACGAGGGCATTAGTGAGAAAAAAACTGGGGCATTGATGCGGCATCATCAACTTCCTCACTCAGCTGTAATTACGTTCTAGAGTGTAATTAGGTTCAGGCAGGGACCATGTGGCTCTCACTTGCCACTGTATCCTCAGCACCTAAAACAGCGCCTGGCACATGCTAGTACTTAATAAATACGTGTGGAACGAATGCAGAATAGGTTAGAATCCAAACTGGGTTAATTACAATTTGTATTGCCCATAAAGGTCAGAGGTCCTTCTAGTTTAATCCCCTCATTTTTAGAGAAAACTTAGACTCCAGATCAGATCTAAGGGAGAAAAATCCTCAGAACGTGGCTGAGATGTACAAATTTTACTGAGGGTAGAAACTCTTAGAAAAAGAATGACCGGAAACAGACCTGGTCATCTTTAGAAAACAAATATTGTCCTTCATAGTGTTAAGGTGATATTTTGTGCTTGAACTTGTACTGTTTAACAACCAAGAATAATTTGGGTAGATAGAAACAGAAAACTGAGAGGTTGGCAAGACACAGGTACAAATGAAGAGGGGTAAAAGTTTGTCACGTGAGTTTTATTGCTGTTAGGTAGCAAAGTACATATTATAGTAATTTGCCTCTTTGAAAAAAATGCTGTATATAACAATATACTATGGTTCAATGTATTTAAAATTTTTCTTTTTAAAATTTTGTTCTCTTGTAATAATGATTTAAGATAACTTTATGACTATATAAGACATGGATTTTCTAATTTCCTTTCCAAATAAAGCTTAAATCAATCACATTACACGTCATAGTTAAAACAAACCCCAGAAATTAACAGTAAATTTAAGCATTAAATTAAGCACTAAAAGCAGAATATTTGTCAGGATTTGAGTCTTTTAAATTTTATTCAACTAATTAACTAATTTATTTATTTTGAGACAGAGTCTTGCTTTGTCACCCAGGCTGGACTGCAAGGGTGCGATCTCGGCTCACTGCAGCCTTGAACCCTCCTGGGTTCAAGGGATGCTCCTGCCTCAGCCTCCCGAGTAATTACAGTGGTGCACCACCACAACCAGTTAAGTTTTGTATTTTTAGTAGAAATGGGGTTTCACCATGTTGGCCAGGCTGGTCTCAAATTCCTGACCTCAAGTGATCTACCTGCCTTGGTCACCCAAAGTGCTGGGATTACAGGCATGAGCCACCACACCCAACCTCAAATTTAAACAATAATTTTATATTAATTTCTCAGTATCATCACAAGTAATTTTTTTTTGCATCTTAGAAAAAAATCTGTTTCTCAACTTGAAAAGTATACATTAAGATTTCTAAAATACTTTCCTTTCTAATGAAAAACCTTGAAATTCAAAGAACAACCAGCAAATTAGAAGATTGTGAAGCTATCATAAATGAGTTGGGCATCTCATAGAAAATGGGGAAAAGCAAAATGTGATCAGATTTGCAGACTGTTTTGGCTCTTGGAAAACAAGACATAGGTAACTCAGTAACACTTTTCTCAAGAATGCGAATTCCTCAAAGGGTTCTCTGCATTGATTCATGTTGTCACAGAGGTCAACAATTAGCAGAGACTGGAGTTAAAATGAAATAAGGCAATGGCATGGGGCTAGGGGATTAGGACCTGGACATTTTAGCCATTGAAACAAAGAGGAGTTATTACTAAATGATAGAATCATTATAAAAAGTTATTTCTCTCTGGACAAAACTCAACCAATAAAGTCTAGTTTGTTAATGCTTATTTCCACTTTGGTATAAATGTAGGACAGTGTGTCTGAATATATTATATAAACAAGCAACATGTTCTTCTTATATTAAAAAGAGTCAGCTTTGGGACATTTTCCTCTCATACAAATATTCTTTATTTTTTCCGTATTGTTCTGTGTATTGTGTTCTCAATATAAATATTTAACATATCAAGATTTAATAAAAGCCAAAACAAAAACAACAATTTGAAAAGTGGCTTCTTATTCTATAAAATAGCTATTGTATTCATCTATTGCAAATATGTATTTATGTAGCTTGTAATGATAATTAGGTAGTATGTTTTAAAAAATCTATCCAAATTTATCTTCAAAAGACATATTATAATGACTCCTTTTCAGATTTGTTAATATTTTAGGTAGATAGTATATATTTAAAATATTGTGTATATGTATGTAAAGACTAGAATTAGGGATGGATACCTCATTCTCCATGACACACTTATTCACATCACATCATATGCCTGTAACGAAACATCTTCTGTACCCCAATGTCTCCTGTACCCCATAAATATAGACACCGACTATGTACCCACTAAAAATTGAATATAAAGAAATAGAAGTGGAGGAGGAATCAGCAAAGAGGAAAAAAATGCAATTTTTTTTTTTTTTTTTTTTTTGAGACGGGGTCTCGCTCTGTCCCCCAGCCTGGAGTGCAGTGGCGCGATCTCGGCTCACTGCAAGCTCCGCCTCCCGGGTTCACGCCATTCTCCTGCGTCACCCTCCGGAGTAGCTGGGACTACAGGCTCCCGCCACCACGCATGGCTAATTTTTTGTATTTTTAGTAGAGACGGGGTTTCACCGTGTTAGCCAGGGTGGTCTTGATCTCCTGACCTCGTGATCCACCCGCTTCGGCCTCCCAAAGTGCTGGGATTACAGGCGTGAGCCACCGCGCCCGGCCAAAATACAATTTGTAAAAGACTAGGATTAAACATTGTCTAGCTATTATCTGGACTTTCGTAATGAAGTAAACATCATTTATAAACATAAGAACACATCATATTTATATCACTGCTTCCTGCCTGCTATGTTCTCAAAAGCTATTAAGATTAATGCTAATAGGAAGAAAGTACAATCCTCTCATTAATGCAGGAAGGACAAAAGTTGGATTCTGACTTTGCCTACCTATCTCCCTAATGTCGCTACTTTTTTGCTCATACAGATAGCATTTCTTGTGGCCAGAGTGATGTGCTGACAAGCCAAAGCCAAGATGATGTGTGCTGAGCTAGGCAGTTACCCATGTGGTATGGTTTCGTAGAGCAAGGAAGAGTTACTCCAGTTAATGATGCTGGTGACCCCTTGCCTTTGGGCAAGTCCTGGTCATTGTGAGATGTCCAGAGAACCTCACATTTACCTCCCTGAGGTAGGGAATGAGCTTACTTTCTGGAGAAGCTGGCCAAATTTTATTGGCAACAAATGTAGTAGGGGATCCTCTTATTTGGGGCAGACAGTTAAGATGACTTTTATTGCTTTTTATGATTAAAAAAATGCTCATTGACAAGAAAGCAAAAATATGTTAAATTAAGAGCAAGAAGAGGAAAAAGCAGGAAATGCAGAATTAGTTAAGCTAGAGTTTAAATACTGTCCCAGCCTCTACCCAGTTTTCTTGACTGAGTCATTTACTGCTGTAAATGGGGTAAAATTTTGCAGTGTTTTGAGGATTAAATGAGATGCTGCATGAAAATTATGTAGCATGTTTGCTCAAACTTGGTAGTTTTATTTATTTATTTATTTATTTATTTATTTATTTATTTATTTATCTTTGAGATGGAGTCAGAGTCTCCCTCTGTCGTCCAGGCTGGAGTGCAGTGGCGCGATCTCCACTCACTGCAAGCTTCGCCTACCAGGTTCACACCATTCTCCTGCCTCAGCCTCCCGAGTAGCTGGGACTACAGGCTCCCACCACCACACCGGGCTAATTTTTTGTATTTGTTTAGTAGAGATGGGGTTTCACCGTGTTAGTCAGGATGGTCTCGATCTCCTGACCTCGTGATCCACCCGCCTCAGCCTCCCAAAGTGCTGGGATTACAGGTGTGAGCCACTGCACCCAGTCCAAACTTGGTAGCTTTTGAATAATCATATATATTACTATTATTATTAATGATATATAAAAAAGCACTGATCTGTTATTCTACCACCAGATGCTAAAAATGTTTACACTTTCATGTATTTCCTTTCCTTTATTTTTCTGGCCATAGTTCTACATTGTTGAGATCATATCGCATATGTAGTTTTGTATTCTTTGTTTTAATGCAATATAGCATCAAAAAAGAATACTGTTTTTTGTCTACCAAATTGGCAATGATGATAAAAGATAACACTTGATGCTGGCAAGTGTGAGAGTTGTGGGCACCGTTGTGCATCACTGGTGAGAATATCAGCTGGTATAACCTTTCTGGAAAGCAATTTGGGAAATATTGTTCAAGAGCATTAGAATTCTTTTACCTTTTGACCTGGTAATTTTACTTCTATATCGCCAGTCTCGGGAAATAAGTGAATCATGAACAAAGACTCATGGTCAAGGAAGTTCACTGAAGAATCATTTATAAAAACCAGAGTATAGAAATTATTACTGTCCACCATAATGAAACTGCTTCATAAGTTATGCTACATTAAAAAAAAATGGAATATTTACAGACATTAAAGTCCCATTTTCAAAGAATAATTGATTACATGGAAAAGTGTTTTTGACATGATGTTACATAGGATGAGCATCATGTATGATGCAAACCCCCAGGATTCTAATTTTGTTTCAAAAAGAAGCAAGTATATATGGGGAATGGGCTGGAAAAATGTATGCCCAGATGTTATCAATGATTATCTCTGGGTGGTGGGATTATATATTCATTTTTTTCCCTCAAATTTTGAGAAATGGACCTATGTAAACACAAGACATCTACATAAGTGTGTGTGTGTGTGTGTGTGTGTGTGTGTGTATAACAGGAGCAAATATTCTGAGAATTTCCCCATACCATAAAATTAAAATTTCCGAATTATGTATTTTTAAGAGCTTTAGAGTGTTTTATTTTTGTGGAGCCATCTTAATGTGTATTTACTCCTTTTTGGTATTGTTTGAAACATGTAGATTATTGTAATGTATCTCTTTGCACATATATAAATCTTGATTTGCATTTATAGACCATTTCCCTTGTGGTGCAGAGGCATCATTGGGTCATGCGTGTGAACCTAGGGGGAGTCAGTTTGGGTGCAAGTGAATGCACCAACTGAATGTGCACCTTCAGAGCAAGCTATGGGGAGAAAATGGGACCATCACCATAGACCAGTGGAAAGAAACAATATGGCATCTCTACGGAGGAAGCGAAAGGCTTTTGTAATTGGAGACCAGGCTACTAATACTCTGAGAAAGACCACTTGAGAGAGAATTTAACCATCACACTGTTGTGGCCAGTTCCTGTTTTCTTTTATTTATCTTGAAAATTCTTTCAGATTCCTTTGCCTAATTAGGCTCTTGGTTTTCAAGACACACTTGTGGTATCATGGTTTCCAATGTGGGCAAAGAACAGCTGTCAGAGCACTGTGTACCTACTATCTTTGTTCCTATTGTCTTTGCAATTTACGTTATATTGACATGATCTATTTGCATAAGTGGACTGCTTGCCCTGCTCTCTTGCATTCTTCTCAAGGGCAGAGACTGTGTTTTATCATCTTATATTTCTAGGACCATGAAAGGTGCTTGGTGCATAGTGGGTGCTTCATAAATTTTTTCTTCGGTGGGTGAAAGAGCAGCAGTACATGGGTAAGAAGTGGGAATTCTAAATGGAAGAACAGGTTCTGAAAAAGAACAGGCTTTGCAATTCCAGGAACACATGAATCTCTGCGTTTCCTCCCTTCCTTTTATTCCTCAATCGCACTGATTATGACTAAAGCAGCATGTCTTTCATGCTAAGGTTTTTCAAAAGAACGAAAGTTTGTATAAGCAACCTGAAAACCTCCTTTTTGTCACAATGCTCATTGCAGTCAAGTCTTTTCCCCATAGGTCTAGGATTAATGTGCTACTAGTAAGGGATATTGGCCTTCTAGTAAGATCAAATATGCTCTTTGATGGGCATGTGGAAAATAAAGTGGATACTCCCCTTAAAAATGAGAGGGCTTTGTAGAAGTAAATTATCATAGGTGAAGGTTAATATTTGCATTGCAATTTATAAATTAAAAGTGATTTTAATCTAAATTATCTCATTTAATTTTCTGATTACTAACATTCTTTTGGGGATAGAGTCTTTCATTCCACAGTTTCAGGTAAGGCTTTAAGATATACAGTACTACTGAGAAAAGTAATCCCAGGAGTGGTACTGTTATCAAATCATTTTCTACTGTGAGGTATTCGAAAGTAGAAAAATCCTGCTGTTGAAGGACAAGGAAGGGGGAAAGTGCCATAAAACAAATATGCAGACTAGAGACAAGCTTTTCATGCTTCACAGTATTTCTTGTGCTAGTCCTGGTTGGAAGAAGGGAACTTAGCTTGGCATCTATCATAGTTCTCCCCAATTGAACCCTAACTTTAGGCCAACTTCTCAGCCAAGTTCCCTCAACTTTTGCCAAAGACCTGCATCATCATAATGTCATCATCATTTAATGTTTATTATGTGTCAAGTGCTATTCTAAGTGCCTTATATAAATTATCTAAATTAATCCTCCAAGGAACTAATGAAATAAGTTTATTTTATATTGTTATACATACTACATATGAGAAAACTGAGGTATCTTGCCCTAGCACAAAGAAAATAGTTGAATACAAATTTAAATACAAGTAATTTGACTCCAGGCTTTCTATCAGTTGACATACAGTACTAATTCATTTTTTTTTTTTTGAGACAGAGTCTTGCTCTGTCATCCAGGCTGGAGTGCAGTGGCATGATCTTGGCTCACTGCAAGCTCGGCCTCCTGAGTTCACGCCATTCTCCTGCCTCAGTCTCCCAAGTAGCTGGGACTGCAGGTGCCTGCCACTACGCCTGGCTAATTTTTTGTATTTTTAGTAGAGACGGGGTTTCACTGTGTTAGCCAGGATGGTCTCGATCTCCTGACCTCGTGATCTGCCTGCCTTGGCCTCCCAAAGTGCTGGTATTACAGGCGTGAGCCACCACGCCTGACCACACAGTACTAATTCTTTTAATTGTTATCTTTATTTGCTTTCTCATGAGTTCAAACCATCTCTCTATTCTCCCAGTCTCTTAAGTAGTACTTTATAAATGTGGCCTTTTTGGCATCTTTTAACCAATATTATGCCTTGTATTATCACCATTATTTTACAAGTGTTCTATATTTCTTATTTTCTTTGCTCTGGTGTCATTAAACATTTTCAGTCTTTTGTGTTCATTTATTTGCTAGTTTTTACCCCATGGAATCTTTCTATAAACTGCTTCTTCCTCCTGGGATCTGCCTTTACTTCTCTTATTGCATCTAGGTCAATGTTTTGCCATGTTGGTCCCACAGTGTAATCAACTGGGGAACCTAAAGAAGAAATACTGACACCTGGATCTCATGCCTAGAGATGTTAATTTACTTGGTGTGGCTTGGGCAATATGAGTTCCAAAAGCCCTCCAACTGATTGAGACGTGCAGCCAAAAATTGGAAACCACTGGCCTGTTCATTTTCTGTGCATCTTACCTGCAGCAACTCCACCTTCCTCACTGCAGTCCAGTGACCCTGTAGCCGCCTGTCATAACACTACATAGCTCTCCTTTTTAGCTCTTAGACAACTGGAATTGGTAATGCCCATACATAGGAAGGAAACCTTGAGAGTCTGGGGTACTGAAAGCCAAGTGAAGAAAGTATTTTAAGGAGGAGGTGTTAATTAACTGTGTTACATGCTAAGACACAGAAGATGAGAGCAAAGATTAGAACAACGAATTTAGAAACATGGAGGTCACTGATAATCTTGACAATGTCATTAGAGATCATTTGAGTGGCAGGGAATAAATTTCTGAGCAGAGAACAAAAACATTGATGATGCAGGGGAGAGAGCAAAAGTGAGAATGAGAGTGAGAGTGAAGAATTGCTAGGGCAAAATTCTTGGGTAGGCATAAGAAGATAGGGTTTAGTGTACTTTGTCTTATTTAATCCTTGTAATCCCTAACAGGAAGATATTATTTTTCTTTTTCATTTTACGTATGAGGAAAGTGAGGCTTAGAGAAGTTTCTAACTTGTATTAAGATCACAGGGCTCATAGTTGCTAGACCTGGGACCAAACGTAAGTCTACATGCCTCAAAGCTCTTAAAAACTATATTTCCTTGCCTCTTGTTGGTAAAGAAGACCCTCTGGTTGCAGTTGAACTAGCTTTATATACATTTCTTCCCCAGCTTCCTTTTTTTTTTTTTTTAATTTCAAAAGGCTGTTTCTCTGGCAGCACAATTTTGCTTAACGATAAGCTATGCATAATCGACATAAACTAAAGCTACCAATGCACTCTTTAGATTAAAAGAAATAAATCTTTGGAACCTCAAGCTCTGACAAAACTATTGAGCCTATTAGCTTTCTATAAATTGTGACAAAACTGCCTAGTCTGGTATCTTCTGGTTTTGGGCGTGCTGGTGTAGCCCTTACCCACAGAAACAGTTGATTCACAAGATTCATTGTGGTCTTGAAGGAGCCTCATAGCAGCTCCTGGCAAGCCATGCTGGAAACAACTGAGCATTGATCACTGAAGCTTAGGAGGCAGGGGATGAGGGCTGTTGGGTGAGAGCAGCGTTACACTTAATCATTTATGAGCTGACTCCTGGGGCGATACACCGAGAAGAGTGATGTGTTGATCAAGGTCTATGCAGCGGGTGGGAGGGAGCCCTGGTTTGTAGTATTTGCCAATTGTGGTGGTGTAAATACTCCCCGTATGGCTAATTTCAAGTTATCAGTATGAAGTCACTGAATGTGAGTCAGGAAGAGATGAAAATAATAGACTCTCAAGAGTCTGTGCCAACTGGCTGCAGCACACCATCACCTATGAAATAAAAAGTTCTCACCTGTATCTCTCAGTGGATGCTCTCATTCATTCTTAGAGGTGTCAAGCACTTTCTGAGGCAGCATAAAGAGGTAGAAAGAATGTTGTGTTCAAATTTCCAAGAATAGAGGTCTGGTTCTGCTTCAGTCAATAAAATTAGCCATGTGGCCAGGGCACGGTGGCTCACTGTAATCCCTGTACACGCTGGCCTGTAATCCCAGCACTTTGGGAGGCCGAGATGGGTGGATCACCTGAGGTCAGGAATTTGAGACCTGCCTGACCAACATGGTGAAACCCCATCTCTACTGAAAATACAAAAAATTAGCCGGGACTGGTGGTGGGTGCCTGCAATCCCAGCTACTTGGGAGGCTGAGGCAGGAGAATCGCTGGAACCTGGGAGGCGGGGGTTGCAGTGAGCCAAGATTGTGCCATTGCACTCTAGTCTGGGTGACAGAGCGAGACTCCGTCTCAAAAATAAATAAATAAATAAAATAAATAAATAAATGAAAAACCATGTGGATTTTGCCAACTCACTTGTTTTCTTTGGACCCTGATTGGGAAATGAAGCAGCTGTCCCTTTAAGGCTCTTGAGAGTAGGAAGATGCTGTGATACAGCCGCACACAGGATGCTAGAAGTCAGCCCTCTCCTCCACAGGGGTGGAGGAGAGCTCCTTGTAAAACTGTGTGCTATATTGTACTTTTAGGTTTCAGATGAAAACCTTGTCTGTCTTTAGTAGCTTGCCCATGCTGTTCTCTATCACTGTGGCCTTTGAGATTTCTCAAAGAAACCAGCAGGGATGTTCGAGGTTGTTCACATATGATATTCCCAACGAGGCTGTCTAAATAGTAAAAAGGAGTATGCAATCATACCATATTCCTTCTCATTCCGAGGACAGATAGAGCTGCAATCCTAACCTTTAATTTTATGGCTTTCCCATCTTTTGCTAACCCTTTAACATTATATTAACAAAAGATGGACTGGGTGGGGGCAGGGAGGGACTTAATGCTTTTTATGATGTATTTTAACATTTTTATCTCTTCTTGAAAAAATAAATTTGCCACAGGAATTAAAACTGTATTTTATCCTTTTAAATGCAGCCCTAGATGATGTATGTAACTGCACTGGCAGCAAGTCAAGTCTGCACAAAGCCCAAATTGAATCTTCCTTCTGACTACAGCTGTGCATGATATTTTATGCAATTTTTTATGCTGGTCATAAACGAGGTGGAAACTGTGATTATGCCAATTTTGGGATAACACATTTTCACCAAAAAGTGACTGTCAGTGTTCAAACATGTGTATGTATTTACAGGATCCAGCCCTCCTTTTCTCATCATTAGATAGTGGGCTGTTGACCCAGTAACAGATTTCTAGGTGAAGTGCTATAGGCACTTAATATCCTATTGTTGTAGGACACAGGATTGCAAAAATGTATCATGATTTCCTCTTACTATACTGTCTGCTTGGCAAAATGTTGCCCCTTCGCAACTGAATATGCTGAAGTGGAGGGTGGGATTTAGTTGTAAAAATAACTAAGTTTACTACTATTCCATTATTTCTCTGTATCTGTAACTGCACTATATCCATATCTAGACAGAGACTAAAATGAATGGAAAGGGAGATTTCAAATAGGCTTGCAAAAATTTGCCCTGATATTATAATATCATATTCCACTGTTACATAAAATTATGTTAAGAACGAAAAAAAGTGTTACCTAAAGATCAGAAATTGCTGCTTTTCTGTTTCTTTTACACTTGACATAATACAGATGCTTTCTGTCTATGTCTGGTATTAACACAGAGATTACTGTTAGATGATTTTAGTTGGGAGACTACACAGGGAAAAATTAAAACGTTAAGTAAATGATTACAGAAAAAAAAAAAACCTTTGATATGAACCTTAACAACTGCTTATCCAAATTAACATGGCATTACATTTAGTGCTGTAAAGATGAAGTCGTTTGCATGAGTGTGTGTATATGGGCTGAACCATCAATCAGTTCTCATTATAAATAAAACCCCAAGCCAAAGATACTTGCTCCATCAACATCCTGCTGTCATCTCCAAAGACCACTTCTAGCAGCTGATGTCCTTTCAACTTGTTGACTGAACTGAGGATGCCATGCCACTGGCAGAGGGCAATATGGCTGCTACTGGTCATATTGAAGGGAAGACTTCATACACCTGAGAATTTGTCTTTAGAGCTTTCCGGAAGATTTGAACTAGAGACTGAGCACTTGTGAGGGGTGCTAAGAGGACACTCTTGCCTTGTATAGAGGGTTCTGTTTTATAACTTGTGTTTCCCAACTTGAGGATCATTTATTCTATGAAGGAGAGATGGCTCGATAGAACCATCTGTAGCAAGCTTTGATTGGCACTAAATAGGTCCTCCAAAATTATATATTGAATAGCTGAATGAATGAGTGAATGAATGAATAACAGATATGGCCACATATCATGTTGGACTCACTTCCATTCATGTCACAGTTCTAAGGAACAGCAATAGTGAAAATCTTCTCTGCCACGTTACGAATGTTTGCATGGAATTCGTCCCTGAAGATTAAATGTCAAATGAGAATCTTTCTGATAACAGCCTAATGGTAAAATGAATCATACTTTTTACATCTTCAGAAACATTGCCCAGGACTATGATTTTGGCATTCTGGACGTCATTCAATAATCAGCTCACAAAACTATTTGCCTGGCTTGCATGATTTTGTTGGATGTTTCTGATTGGGAGGGCCAATTGATTGAATTTCAAGATGAAGGAAGCCCTGCTTTGAAGGTCAGGGGAAAGGTCTAGTGCATGAAATGATTGAGGAGACATTCCTGGGTCTCTTTGACCCGACAGTAATCACTTGTCTGACCAAAATGACATTCATTTCTAAAATGTTACCATCAGTGCTAGGCTGGTTCTAAGGTTTCCCTCATTTGTAGCTGTGCGATAATCTTTTACTTAACTGAGCCTGATGACCAAGATGCAGCTTTCCTTTTTCAACAGGGCTGTGCAGCCTTTATCTACTCATCATAGTTGGACTATCACTCTAGTAGATGCTATAAACATTCAACCTAGAAAATCACCAGAGTTTCAGTGGATTCTGTAAGGAGCCAGCCTTGAAAAACCAGTGATGTTTCAGGAGGACCTTCTTAGCACGTATTTTACTTAGATACTGTAGTTTATGTGATCATTTTACTTCTAGCTATAATTCATCATCCCAACCTGGATACATAAAGTCATAAATGATTCCATTCCAGTTATATCCACTTATGCATTCTTCCTGTAGTCTACCACTGTTGTATGGGGAAACTGTTACTTTTGACAGCTCTTAGGTTTGAAATTCTTGGGTGTTGAAATTCATCCACCTACTCTTTTACATTTGGTCATTGGTTTGTAACATAAATCCTACTGTTCATCAGCAGGTACATGTCCATTGACAAAAATTTTTAGAAAGTGAGAGTAAAATTTTTTTTTTTTTACTTTTAAGTTCAGGGGTATATGTACAGGGTGTGCAGGTTTGTTACATAGGTAAATGTGTGTCATGGGGGTTTATTATACAGATTACTTTGTCACCCAGGTATTAAGTCTAATATCTATTAATTATTTTTGCTGCTCCTCTCCCTCCTCCCACTCCCCACCCTCCAACAGGCCCCAGTGTGTGTTGTCCCCCTCTATATGTCCATGTATTCTCATCATTTTGCTCCCACTTATAAGTGAACATGCAGTATTTGGTATAGTGAAAATTTTGAAATGCAAATGATTCTGATCACCTCATGATAGCATAGGTATCCTGAAGGTACAGTGAACTTGGCAAATGAAAGACATGCTGGTTTATTTTTGCTTGGCCAGGTAGCAACACAGTTGCTTGCTAGCAAATCTGTTGTAGAAAGAAAAATTTATTTTAATCAGTCTTGTGTGCACTCTATGAAACCATAATCAAGTGATATCAAGACTATAATCAAATATGATCAAGTGAAATGGATAGTCCATTTGTGAGAGAGGGATGGCTTGTAAATAATATGTCTCAAAAAGAGAAACACTAATGAGAAGGGTAAGCATTAAGTTCATGACTCTTTGGGGATCATGACCAGGTGTGTGTGTGTGTGTGTGTGTGTGTGTGTGTGTATATGTATATATAAAGTAAAGTATATCTATATAAAGTATATATATAAAGTATATATATAGAGTATATATATATAAAGTGTATATATATATATAGTGTGTTGTGTAACTATTATTTCATCCAATTCAACTTTCTTACACTTTCAGTTTAAATAATGAAGGGTTTCATGAGATTATATACCTTTTGTGGAGAAATATATATTTTTCAGATGTGTGTGCTAGTATGCTCAGACTGCCATAACGAAATACCACTGGGTAGCTTAAACGACAGACATTTATTTCTCTCAGTTCTAGAAACTGGGAAGTTCAAGATCAAGGTGATGGCCGATTCAGTTTCTAATGACAACTCTCCTTTCAGTTTGCAGATAGGCATCCTCTTCCTGAGTATTCACACGGCAGAGAGTAAATAAGAAGGAGAAATTGTCCCAAATCTCTCTCTCTCTTCCTCTTCTTATAAGGCCACAGTCTTACGGCATTAGGGCCCCACCCTTATGACCTCTTTCAATCTTAATTATCTCCTAAAGGCTCTATCTCCAGACAGTCACCTTGGTGATTAGGGCTTCCATATGAATTTGAGGGGGGACCACAATTTAGTCCACAGTGGTTTGGCTACAGATTTTCATTTTTTGGTCACTTTAACAATTTTTTTTTCTTTTTTGAAACTGGGTATTGCTCTGTTGCCCAGGCTGGAGTACAGTGGCATGAACATGGCTCACTGTAGCCTTGGTCTTCTGAGTTCAAGTGATCTTCCTGCCTTGGCCTCCCATGTAGCTGCATTTGGCTAATTTTTAAATTTTTGGTGGAGATGGGGTCTCTCCATCTTGCCTGGGCTGGTCTCAGACTCTTAAGCTCAAGTGATCCTTCCGCCTTGGCCTCCCAAAGTACCAGGATTTCAGGTGTGAGGCACCATGCCCAGCCTTACTTTTACAAATATTACATATAGGTTCAAAGTGTTATGTTGGTGGATACATTCATTGTAATCTTCCTATCTCAAGGTCAAAAACTTAATTACATTTGTAAAGTACCCTTTGCCATGTAAGGTAACATAATGACAGGTTCTGGGGGTTAGGATGTGGACTGACATTCAGGGTTGCCTTTATTCTGTCTACCACATGAGCCAAGAGTAGAGCAAAATCTAGGATTCATTCATTTATTTAGTAATTGTCTTTTAGGGAATAAATAAGTGCCAGGCAATACACTCTGTGTGTATATTTTTAAATGGTTAAAAATGAGATTCTGGCTGACTGGAGGAGTCACTAGGCTTTATCTGTGAGGATCAGGAGAAGTCCTAAGTTTAAAATGAATTTTGCTTCAGTATTTGATATTAGATTGACAAGTCCTTCCTAGAACTGTGAGAGAGGAAACTAGAAGTAAGTTAATCTACTACATAAAGTTTTAAATAGGGAAGAAGAAAATCTCAGAACCACAAAGTACCTTGTCGGTTTTTCACAGAAGGATAAATTGAATGATACAATGTGGGGGAGAAACTGGAAATAATACTGTTTTCTTAGGAGACTGTCTAGAACTAACAGAAAGCGGCTCCAAATAGAGGGGCCAGATAACATGTAAATGAATTAAATATTTAATGCCTACTCATTAATGCATAAAGGGAATAAATTATATTTTCTAAACATTTCAGCACAGCCACAGAGACCACAAAAGTACAAACATAATTGATCACAATCTATGATAATCAATTCAGCTTACATCTGGATCCCATGAATTAGTTATTAGGACTGACAACTTCAGAATGAGTATCAACTGGCTTTCTGATTCTGAAAAAAGAGGGATAGAATAACATAATGAAGCTTGGGATTTAATTTAAAAGCAAAGGCAATCAAAATTGAGTCAGGTGACTTCTGTACCAAAATCTTACGTATTTTGTAATCCCATAGTTTCAACTGGGATCTTATTTTACTAGTTTATAGTTATATAAATGATAAAGTATATTTAGCCAATAACTTTACTTGCAAAAACATCTAACTTTCATTTTAATATGGCATTCTGATCAAACTTGTTTGTTTCCTTCAAAAGGCCATCCTTAAATTGATAATAAAGAGGTTGATTAAAATATGTATAAATCCACAATCATGAAAAGAATAGGAAGGGAGCCATTATCAGCAGAAAATGTCAACAGCTATCTGTTAGAAAGAAAATAACTGAGCTTTAAACTGGGGTAGAGAAAGTTATTGCTGGAATTCTGCAGTAAGGGGTTACAACCAGAGAGTCAATATGACCTGCAGGACCCAAAAGCAATTCACTTCTCAAAAACACAGGAAGGTGGGAGAAGACAGTGAGGAAGAGGATACCTGAAAATGACTGTCTTCAAATCAGCTGCATTCCCGCTACCCCTCTTACCCTCTACTCCCACTTCCATCCAAATCTACGATATCCGGGAGTCAAGGCTTCCACCTCCCAGGCAGTGCAATATCATCAACGAACACATTTTTTTTTTTTAAGTAGCAAAGTTTTTCTTTAGAGAAGTAGAAAAAAAAATTCTGTCTTGGGGTATATAGGCTGTGTCTTGAAACTAGAGACTAGAATAGCAAGTAGAGTTATAATAGCTAGTATAGATTCAAGAACAAAATATCTAAATTTTATTAAGTAGGAATCTCCCAACAAAATAGCCTTATATTACTATTTCATCAATTGCCTCATGTTTAAACATGAATGTACAGTCAAAGGTAATACATACGTTAGGAAAATTCAGTCTCAGTTTAGATGCGAGCAGTTTATATGGGAGGTGATTTCTAGAAATGCCAGTGTGAAAGTGGGGAAGTGAGACTAGGAAGGGAAAGAGGCTCAAGCCTGTGTGCATCTGGAGCAGAATCCCACTGGGGAACTCTGGCAATTCAGTGAGAAATCTCCCCTCAGAGTGATTCCAGAGAGGGGTGAGCATTCTGTGGTCTGCTCTGCCCAGAAAATGAAAGAGAAAGACAAGGAAAGGCAAGGCAAGACAAGAAGGAGGAAGGGAGGGAAGAAAAGGAGGAGGGAGGGAGAAGGAAAGGAAAAAAAGAAAAACCATTGAGGAATCGAACTCTTTTAGGGAATGGGTCAGAACTTCCACAGTAAAACTCAGATTAAATTCTCCAGTAAATTTGCAAAACAAAAACAGAAACAAACCAAAAAAACACAAAATTGCCCCAAAATCTTCATTGAAAAAGAATAGGCTATTACATACAAACAAAAATCTAAAAACGTGAAGGAGCCCTTGGAATTTAAAATATGACTTTTACAAATCTATGGAAGTCTTAGAAGAAAAGTCAAGGATTCTTATGAAAAAAAGGAAAATATGGGGAAAAGGAAATTGGAAACTCTAGGATAGAACAAATTCACACTAGTTACACAGGAAGGAAAATGTAATCGTAGTTAACTACTTGGTTGTTAGTGAAAAATAAATTATCAATGTGTTTATAATTCCATCATTTAGAATCATCCTATGAGCAAAGCTTGATAGGAAACTGTAAATGTTATCAACCTTGACAATAAAAAGTAGAAATGGCAGTTTGGGAGTAGACAGGGAAAATGTGGGATGAAAAGGGGAGAGACAGTAGCATCTTCATCTTACCAAATGGCGAATCCAGAGAAAATTTCTGTAGTTTTAGAATAAGAAATAAAGCTAAGTATATCATTTAAAAGTGCACAGAAGAGCCGGGGGTGGTGGTGCACGCCTGTAATCCCATCACTTTGGGAGGCTGAGGCAGCGGATCACGAAGTCAGGAGATCAGACCATCCTGGCTAACACGGTAAAACCCCGTCTCTACTAAAAATATAAAAAATTAGCCGGGCACGGTGGTGGGCGCTTATAGTCCCAGCTACTTGGGAGGCTGAGGCAGGAGAATGGCGTGAACCCGGTAGGCGGAGCTTGCAGTGAGCCGAGATCACGCCACTGCACTCCAGCCTGGGCGACAGAGCGAGACTCTGTCTCAATAAATAAATAAATAAATATAAGTGCACAAAAGAAAGGATAACTTAAGCCCTTACATTAATGGGCTTTTTAAACAATGTGAATATAACATCTAATAAGATTTTGCTTGAATTTCATTAAAGAAAAATGTGGCAACTAGCTGCAAATTCCTTGAAACCCATTCCCCAGAAGAGAAGCAGGCTATGTGCCATCTAGCGGAAAACAGAGCCTGCTTGAGGCTCATGACTGTCTCCAAGGCTGTTCAATAGAAATACGGGTTGTCTGTCAAACTCACTAATATAGATGATGTTATAGTTTAAGAGCAAATGTTCTTGATAACATCACATGACTAATTAAGAGATAATAATTATTTTAGGGTGCCAGCATGGTACATTGGCACAAACTCTGGACTTTGGTCCAAGATTAGAAAACGGAGGTACAAAGTCAAAATCCTGGTTCCATCACTGACTTGCCAGGAGACCTTGGGGAATGCCATCAGTTTACCTCTGGCAACTTTCCCTGTAGCTCTAGTCAGGAGAGCGTTATTCCCGTTTACAAATCTGAGGGTCAAATATGGTAATATATGTGAAAATGATCATTATCCTTTATTTCTTTGATCATTCTATACATGCAATTACTTTGTCTAAGTCATTCATTAGAGGATTTCTGAATTGTTTAATAAAATATAAAGGACTTCAGATAAAGTTCAATTAGAAATTAAACTATCTGATTATGCTGGGTAGATAATATCATTTGTCTTCTTAAACTTATTAGAGATTCCCTTAACAATGTTAAAATAGCTGTGGTTTGAAAACTGAATCATTACTGTCTTTAGATACACATGTTAAATATTCTAAATATTTTCAGTTAGATTTAATTGTGGTAGAAGTCCACATATTTTAAAAATATTTTATAAAAATATGCTTATACTCTAGTATTTGTCACTTCAAAGAAACATGTTGACCTTTGTTTTATAAAATCAATTCTATATTTTGTAATAATTAAATAGCTCATTTTTTTCCATAGAACATTTTTTAAAAATTAGAAAATTTTCAGTAATTTTAGCCACCCAGACACAACCTCTGTTAATATTTTAATGTATTTGTACTCTTCTTTCTATATATTTAGACACAGACTTTTAAAAATTTGGATAATGTAATTTATATTCCATTGTTCACAAAACATTGTATCACAAGTCTTTATTTCATCAGCATATCTTTAGAAATATTTTTATTGGCTCCATAATTAACTAAATGAGTGATCAATACATATTTTAAACTTGACTCTTGGCATTTATGTTATTCTAACTCGATATTACGAATTTATTATAATATTTTCTATGATAAATAACCTATATAGAGCCTTCCCTTCATCTTTGAACATTTCTTTAGAAAGAAGTAATTATTGAGAAGTAAATTTATATAGAAGTAAAATTATTGAGTCAAAACATGTGATGATTTCTAAAGGTTTTGATACGTATAGCTAAATTGCTCTGCAGAAAGATACAATTTGTAGTCCCAACAGAAACCATAGTATCTTCAAACACTGGGAATTAAGATTTTAAGAAATTCTTAATAATGATATAGGAGTTAAGGGTATAGGAGAAATACAAATCTCAATTTGATTTGTATTTCTTCGAGCTATTTTATGTTTATTAGGCATTAGCATTGTTCATGTGTGATTGTTGCTGTCTCTCACCTTCATTGGTATTTTTGTATTATTTTATAGATCTATAAAAGCTTTTCAAATGCTACAGATATAAATCCTTCATCTATATACTTGTTTGATTTCTACTTTTTTGCCCAAATAAAAGTCAGTATATATCTTTAAAGTGGAAGGATGAAGCTTAAATATGTCGATAGGAAACAGCCTTTTGAAAGACTAAAGATAGAAACATGAGATAATATCTTTCAAATTCTTTATTAAACTGTCCTTCCTGAGACCTTGTTGTTGTTGATAGAATTAATCATACGTATAACATTTTCATACATATTATTAAGCAATAAAGCCAGATTACTGGGTATGAAAATAAGCGAATCATCTTCCCAGCACTCCCGGCTACCCCTTTGGCCCCTGTGCTCACCTTCCCCACCATTACTAAGAAATTTGGAGATTTAAAAAAGTCTCCAAAAACGATTGGACTAGTTTGGAGCTTGGATCATGTTAAACACTCTTACTAGAATATGGATCTATGGGAACATTTTTTATACCTTTATCTGTCCTTTTCTTCCCACCATTCTTATGTTTTGCTTTTTTTTCTTTTAATGATTGGGAATGATATTGAATTGAATACAGGGCCAGAACATCATCTACAATAAAGGATAATTTTATAAGACAGTTAAAATTTTCTTAGCCACATTTTCTGTGGTAACTCAATGCCAATGAATTTCTTAATTCATTAACAATGTAACAGAAGAAAAGACTTTGAAAACACTGTGCTTTGTGTAGATGTCTTTTAATTATGGCTAATTAAATACTGTGCAAGGACCTGATTATACCTTTGAGTATTTCTTAATCAGAAAAAAAAGGAAAAAAACAAGGCTTGGAGTTATGAACACATGGAACAAAAGCTGATTTCAGCAACTCTTGATTAAAAAAAACCCAAAACTGCAAAAAAGAGAACAAATTATAGAGTAGTACAGGGGAGTATTCTTTAAATCTTTGTGCTGATTCTCCATGGAGGTTTATGTACCACTGTTTGTTTTGGTTATTAGGTAGAATCTCAAGTAAACCCAAGTAGAAATCACACTGCTTCTAAAAATGAGGAGCAGAGCCAGTGGGTAAACAGTTTCAGGGCAAACTGATGCAATACTCCCTGAAGTTAGGAATGAATTTTTCCAGATGGCCACTGTGCATATGGCCGGGGCTACTTCAGTAGCCAAAATAGGAAACGAGAACACAGTTCTTTCCAATTAAATCAACACTGTCCTTGAGAAAAGAAATTTCAAAGAGCATGTCCGTGGGGATGGAGGTGGACAGGAAATAGCATTCCTGTCTATCAAGACATCTTCAATTGAACTAATTATGATATCTTTAAGTGTTCAGGCCAGTCAAATTTATTTTGGGATTTTAGGAGAGCAAGGCAATGAACTAAATGATGTGCTGGAAATTCACAGCTCAAAATTGGACTTGTCTGTCTATCCTCTTTCATCCTGGAACATTGGGTGAGTTACTTAATCTCTCTCTGATTGTTTCCTCCTGTGTAAAATGGGAATCACATCTCCAGGCTGCCCAACAGGCTTGTTGTGAAGATAAAATAATGAACGTTATGAAGTACTTTGCAATCATGAAGCACTGGATTATGCTTCCCAGGACTCGGAGAGAATAACCACTAATGCCAGTTCATGCTGCGGGCCACGTCATGGGCTTTCCTAGGGAAGACATTCCTATTTATACTGGGGTACGATTTTCAGCTTTGTTCAGACCCTGCCCCCTAACAAATCCTTTGGTGGTTATTCAGTTCATCTTAATTAAAGAATAATTTACTGGCCTGTGTGTAACCAGCTTCGCTGGAAGCTGATTTTTGCTGGGTAAATTTGCTGAACTTCTCAATAAATTTCAGCTCCCCAAAATGTCAGACACGTGCTGCAGAAAGAAACTACCATGCCCTCTATCACTAGTGAGCAATCAGATGCAGACTCTAAACACTTAGACATGGACAGCAGCCCATCCATGTTAGTCCTTTGATTCACCTTAATAAGTGCATGGGTAACAGGAAGCTACTTCCAACATCACTCATTCCAACCAAACTATCTCGCATTTTCTGTTTACCTTGTACATTCTGATTTCACCCTTCTCTTAGGGAAACGAAGCAGCTAAAGCTATTCAAAATGATCAGTAAAGAACCTTTCTATTTTCTTATTTTGAAATCTGCATTCTTTTGATTTTTGTTTAGTACTTTAGTCATCTACCCAACTGGTCGTATTTGTACACAGAACCAGTTACAATTTGTACAATGTACTGGACTCTCAGCTGTTTTCAAGACTAGCCTGATACATCTTGTTTTAGCCAGTGTCTAAATATAAGTGGTCTTCTTATAGTCAACAAATTGTGCTCCTTCCCTGCAGAATAATCTATCCACAGATGGAAGAATTTCAAGGGAATATCAGGTAGCTGCTGATTACAGAGCCAACAGTTTAATGGTAGCTGTATGATGTGGTGAGGATAAATCAATTAGGACAGAAAAGATATAACAAAAAGCAACATACTCATATCTTACTTGTCCCATCTCTCAACTTTGCCACATGGAAACAGAAACTTTTATCATTTCTGTTTTTTTTTTTTTCTCATTTCTGGTTTCACTTTTTTAGTTTTATTCTGATTGTGTACATAGTGGAATTACCTAAATTGCTCAGCAAAAATGCAGACTCCTGAGATTTATTCTAGCCCTACTCAACAATCACTGCTTTTGTAGCTGAGAGTTTGGATTACAAAAAAGTATCCCCGGAAATTTTAATGCTTTCTAAGTTTTGAGAACAATTAGCCTAATAAATTTTTGGCCACATTATGACTTTGATGAGCTCTAAGCTCTTTTCCCTTTGCCTCTCTCTTCCTCAATATAAAAATTAATTATATTTTACTATGGCCTTGGTATCAAGATGAATATATTAATATTACATATTAAAACATTTTCTTTAACCTAAGTTTACATTTTTTTTTCTGATTAAAATTAAGTATTTTCATGGGCCTCTGAAAGTATTTTGGGACTTAGGCACTTTGCTTCCTATCTCCTGAGTAAGTCAGCCCAGAATGAATCGAGGACTTGTTAACTTAGAAAACTGGTAATCTTAATATTTTGAAGATTTAGATGCTAAATGTTTTCTTTCCCTAACATATCATGAAGAGATCTAGGTCAAAACTCTTGCTGGAGTTCAGGGGATGCAGCTTTGCATGAAGATAATTTGCAGGTTCTTGGGTTTGGTGCTACGTGCCTAGATACGATGGTAGCCAGTTTTGAACTGCCTTCCCAATACTAGCAAAGGCAAAAATGGGGAAGATATTGGTTCTCAGCTTTGTTAAGCATTCCCGTCTTATTTAGGTGATATACACTAATAAATGCACACAACAACTACATACAAATAGAAGCTGATGAAATGTGACGTTATGGTAATACCAAGTATTAGGGCCTGGTGTTGCCCATCTGGGGAAGCTTTTTACTGGAAGCAGGAAAATGGAAGGGATGAGAAAGGGAAGAAGAAAAACACAATCTAGTTAAGGAATTTCATTATATGAAGCAGGAATGACTTTCACAAGAATTTCTAAGAATAAACAAGGAAAAATGACCTGGTGTTACACAAAATAGAGGGGAGACTGCAACTGATAGAAAAGCATAAAAACAACAATTTTACGTCATTATGAAAGAAGACTAGGTATCATTTCAGAGTGTTGAAAAGGCAACTAGCAGCAAACTGTGCTCAATAGTTATCACTTTTTTTTGTTTGTTTTTGACGTGGAGTCTCGCTCTGTTGCCCAGGCTGGAGTGCAGTGGCACGATCTCGGCTCACTGCAACCTCTGCCTCCTGGGTTCAAGTGATTCTCTTGCCTCAGCCTCCCAAGTAGCAGGGGCTACAGGTGTGTGCCACTATGCCCAGCTAATTTTTGTATTTTTAGTAGAGGGGGGGTTTCACCATATTGGCTAGGCTGGTCTTGAACTCCTGAACTCATGATCCGCCTGCCTCAGCCTCCCGAAGTGCTGGGATTACAGGCATGAGCCACCGTGCCCTGCCAATCGTTGTCATTTTCTATGCTTTATATTTACACTTTGCATGAACAAAACACCTTACATAATAATCACTGATATTTATTGAGAACATGCGAATATTTCAAGTTCAATGGTAATACTCATTGAAGCTGAGACTAGATAAGGAGGAAAAAATGAAAAATATTGAAGAAGGAAAAACAGCAGTGTTTAATTGTTTTGGTTATTGATCTGTGACAAACTACCTCCAAAACATGGTAATAGAAAACAATGACATTTATTTAATCATAATCATGCCATCTGGGATGACTTTGCTGGGGAGTTCCGCTCATCTTGCTGGTAGCCACTCAGGTGGCTGCAGTCAGCAGGTGAGTCGGTGGGGAGGTGGGCTTAGCTGCAACTCCCCACTTCTCTTTCTCTGTAATCTCAGGGCTGGTCCCTCTGTAAGTGACCTTTCCTCGTGGCCTGTACAGCAGGGTAGCTGGAGTCTTATATAGTGGCTCAAAGATCCCAAGAGAGCAATGGCAGCAGCAAGTAGCCTTTTTAAGGCCTAGGCCTAGGGATGGCACATTCTTTTTTTTTTTTTTTTTTTTTTTGAGACAGAGTCTTGCTCTGTCACCCAGGCTGGAGCGCAGAGGCATGATCTCAGCTCATGGCAACCTCCGCCTTCCAGGTTCAAGTGATTCTCCTGCCTCAGCCTCCCGAGTAGCTGGGATTACAGGCACCCACCACCATGCCCTGCTAATTTTTGTATTTTTATTAGAGATGGGGTTTCACCATGTTGGCCAGGCTGGTCTCGAGCTCCTGACCTCAGGCGATTCACCGCCTCGGACTCCCAAAATGCTGGGATTACAGGCATGAGCCACCACGTCTGGCCTATTCTTTTGGTTAAAGCAGATTTAAGGTGGGAGTGGGCAGGTACACGTAAGGGTATGGATTCGGGGAGGCATGATTCCCTGTGGCCACTAGTATCACAGACTCCACCAGAGCTGGAGAGAACACTTCCTTCCTATGGCTCAGGTTTCTTTCCAGGTGGTAGTGACAGTTAGTTCTACACTTCATCAGAGGGAAGGTGGAGTGGCTTTTCCGATGGTTAAATTTGTGAAAAATTACTGAATATGTTTGCCGCTTGGGAGTGTACTTGTTCTATAGAAAAAGTACAGCATCACCAGTAGGCCAGTCTGCATAATTTGGGGGTTTAGTATTGGCTTACTGGCTAATAAACCTGAAACCACACCCTCTAACTTGGTCTCTATAAGTAACTAAAATGATATTTTGCTTCTGTCTGCTACTGTGTTATTTTATTTCTCAATTCAAGGAAGAGAGATGCTGTTTATAGGCTTACTTAGAGAGTACAACCTGATGAGATTAGAAATTATGACAAATGTCTCATAGTTTCATCAAGAGTGAGTGATGAAAACACTGAGAAAGGTCTTATATAACCTAGAGAGGACAAATAATTAACAGAGCAATAGGCCTTTAAACTCATTGGTTAGAGAATGGAGGTTGGTCGTTTGTTTACACCTCTTAATAACTGAACCTGGGCCTAGTTGTCTACCTGATACTGATTCTCTCCTTCATTCTTACTAATAGAACTCTGATCTTGTTAAGGAAAGCAATGTATACAGGTAAAAATACATTTTCTAGCCTTTTTTGCAGATAAAGGGGCCATAAGGCCCAACTGACTAAGGGCAGGTAAGTACAAGTTGTTAGGTCAGACTTGTGGAAAGGTCTTCAGAAGCTGGCAGCAGGGATAGGGAGCTGGAAAACAGGCTCAGATGGGAAGGACTTACTTGCCTTTTGTCCTACCTGGAATACAGATGAAATGGTTAGAGTTGCAGTAGCCATATAGTGACTGTGAGGTAAACTTGAAGATGGAATCCATGCACAAAGAATGGCAATGCAAGAAAGTAGGATGCCAGAACGTTGATGATACCATAGAGCCCTTGTACCAGCCTCTGATATTTGCTCCCTGACTTTAATCTACATGAGGGAAAGAAAATATTTTATTGGCACTCCTATTTTTTAAAATGTTTCCATTACTAGCTGAATACCGTTTCTAACTCACGGTTTTATCAGAGCAGAAAAATAATAGTATGTAGTTTATGCTATTTCTAAGATAGATGATGCCGTTTAGGTGAAATATTTACCCAAAATTATGTGGCAGAGGTTTCTTATGTGTGTATATGTTAGAGATTTCTCATATAAGATGTATCTTTCCATCAGAGCATTAACACTTGCTCTTACCTTTGCCTGATGCAATTCTCTCATGAATATTCAAAAGTCACATACCCTTCCTTCGCTGGGGTTTCTACTCAAAGATCCACAGCTCAGAAAGGCCTTTCCCAACTATCCTATCTACCGTAATAGCCCCTATCATTGTCTATAAACTCACTCTCCCTACTTTTGACATTTTTTGTTTTATGATTGGCTTGTACGTTATTATCTCCTCAGTGCTCAGAAAAGTGTCTGACACTTTGTAGTGGCTCAATGAATATTTGTTAAATGACCAAATAAATAAAGGCAAAGCTAATGCACATTTGATTCTGAAATTTTTCTGAGTAAACTACCAATGAATCAATCAATGCATGAATAAAAAATGACAGCTCATTGCAAGTTGAGAACTTCAAATAGACTGTTAAACTTCTTTTTTTAAAATTTTTTAAATCATACTTTAAGTTCTAGGTACATATGCACAACGTGCAGGTTTGGTACATATGTATACATGTGCCTTGTTGGTGTGCTGCACCCATTAACTCATCATTTACATTAGGTATATCTCCTAATGCTATCCCTCCACCCCTCCCCCCACCCCACGACAGGCTCCAGTGTGTGATGTTCCCCTTCCTGTGTCAAACTTCTGAATAGTCCTATGCCTGTTAAAATAATATGTCTGTTTCAAGTGTTCAGTGTAACTGGTGGTATCTAAACTTGATGGCAGTTTTTCAAACTTTGCTGATTTCTTCCCTTCAATTTTATCTGAAAGAAACAGAGTGGTATGGCTGGGCGCAGTGGCTCATGCCTGTAATCCCAGCACTTTGGGAGGCTGAGGCAGGTGGATCACGAGGTCAGGAGTTTGAGACCAGCCTGGCCAAGATGGTGAAACACCCATCTCTACTAAAAATACAAAAATTAGCTGGGCATGGTGGCAGGCTCCTGTAATCCCAGCTACTCAGGAGGCTGAGGCAGGAGAATTGCTTGAACCTGGGAGGCAGAGGTTGCAGTGAGCTGAGATTGGGCCACTGCACTCTAGCCTGGGTGACAGCAAGACTCTGTCTCAAAAAAAAAAAAAAAAAAAAAAAAAAAAAGAATGGTACGATATAAGCCTCAGAAGGCATATGAAGGTATCCATAAATCCCCTCTATGTTGACTTGGTCATGCAGTCCCTAATTTTTCTTAGGCTGATATGCTCTATGTCTTCTTGATAATAAAATGAATAAGACAATGGTTTACAATGATGAAAAATATATCTGCCCGTGGGTTTTTTTGCACATATATACACAATCCAGTGGTAGATTTATATGTATATGTACACATATTAAAATACATGTATGTATAATATATATACACATATAAAAATATGTATATGTATAATATATACACATATAAAAATATGTATATGTATAATATATACACCCATATATAAAAATATGTATTATATATACATATAAATATACATATAGAGATATAACTTATTTTTCAATACTAGGAACATAGAACATATTAAAAGATTCACCCACTTTTTTATATATTATAGTATTCATATAGCATTTCAAAATCATAAACTTTTTCTGTATTTTAAGATAGCCAAGGAGAAATATTAAGAAAAAGAAATATTGAGGATTCAAGCATACCTAGAGACAAGGCTTCAGAGACCGTGACTTTTCTGCTTGAGTAGGAAGTTCTGGAAATGGGGGTCATTGAACAATAGGCCTCTGATACTCCACAGAGTGTTTTGAAACCACACACTTTATGTCTTTCCCCTCTGGATGGTGCATAGCGGCAGAGATGCCAAGGATCTATCAAAGAGTTTTTCTCTATGTCCATTGTGGAAAGTGGTGGTTAGGAAGCTGCTGCCCAGAACCTACATTTTCTAGCACTTCTGAAACATCTAAGTGGAGTCCCAAGTTAGTGCCATGCAAAGGTGGGTGGAGTGATAAATGGCCAGGCCCATAAACATCTCCTAGGTGCTTCTCTGCCATGTTTCCCACTGCAGACTGGTTGGATTTTCATGCCCTGGGTGACCCTGGGAAACATGTTGAAGCGGGTGGAGCCTCTGTTAGCTTCAGCCACATGTTCATTAGATTCATCATGTCAGTCACATGATGAGGAAAACATTTCTCCCCCAACTTCTATTTGGCCAAGCCACAGAGATTTGGGTTTTTATTCATTACAGCACCTAGCACAACTTTAAGTAATCCACATATACTACAGATTTAACAGAAGTTATGAACTTACTATCATTGTTGAAAGATGGCTGAGCAGAGAGCAGCGGTTCTCAAACTGCAGAATATTTGGGGAAGAAGTTTGTTATGAATATAAATCCCCAGGCCTCCCTCCCAGAGATTCTGATTCATCAGGTCTGGGATGGGGCCCAGAAACAGGCATTTTCGTCACCACTGCAGGTTTTTGGATGCACATTTAGAGAAACACTGATAAAGAGAGTGAATTTACGGAAATGGCAGCTGGAAATTTGGGGTTAGAAATGGACAGCAGATTATATCCTGAGCCAAAGTATGAGCTGGATGAATTAGAAGACAGTGAATAAATGGGAAAATCAACAAAGAAAAATTCCATACTGCAGCAATGAGTATAATACTTGTGTACCTATGAACCCACCATATATGAAGAAGGATCATGGCTCAAAGATGAGGTTGCGAAAATTGGGTGGAGTTAAGAAAACAGTTGAATTTAGAGAGGCAAGAGAGGATAGTTTGAATATAAACATTTACAAACAGAAAGCTTTTTTAAACTGGCATAACAAAATTGAAACAGACCACTTAAGGGAAGCTATAGTTTTGAAGCCAACACCACCATCTACACTCATTGACCTATCACAGAACAATATGTAGAAGGGTAAGAGCTTAAAATGAATGGTTTTTTTTCCTTTCCAATACACTATCAAATAAAAATGTTACATGCCTGAAGCCAAAGACTATTCTTGGATTGGATATTTTTCAATGCTCTAAATTTAGCCAGCTGAACTTCTGTAAGTACCAGCTTATTCAACCTTTTGAAATATAGGATTTGCTTTTTAATTGGAAATCTGCATCTCACCTTAACGATGGAACAGAACATCCTTTCTTTTCAAAGAAATATGGTGTTTTGATATTGTACACTTAACATAGTTAAACAAGATTGCAGCAAAGAGTGAAAGGACCAAAACATACAAATACACACATGCACATATGAAGGACCATGACAAATACACCTCCATTTCTGATTAATTAGAAGCCATAACATGAATACTCTTAGGTGTTATCACCACCAAGTTTTTATTGAGAACCAAGCGTCTGGTGAGAATAGAATCTGAAAGAAGTGCATTTTTAGAATAAATCATTGGTAAGATTATAACTTTTTGTTTAAATTAAAGCAACATTTAATTATTGAAGTTTTAATTGTCAACAACAATTTTAAGCAATAGTACAATCACGTAAGATTTCCCTTCAATCTGTGCTTCCTTTGGGAAAATCAGATGCTTTAGTTAAGAATGTCTTTGCTCTGTACTGTTCAAATAAAACCCCAATGTGGATGAAGCAGACTGTTGAACGTATTCTTAGGAATAGCAAATTAATTAGGAGGTCTATCAATGTTCTGAAAGCTGGTGCCCTTGTAGATTGACAGATCTGGAGACCTAAGTATAACAGATAGTTGAAAAATAACAGACTGCAGCACACAGATGTCAAGGTCCAGAAGAGGATGCCTATTATTGTGAGTTTAAAACCAAGTCATGGAGAGGAAGATGTTTCATATGCTTGCAGCCATTCTATTGCATCTTTCTTTTCAAATATACTCATGTGCCACATAAAGTTTCAGTCACTGATGAGTTACTTATATGAGAGTTGTCCCATAAGATTGTAATACCTTATTTTGATTGTACTTTATCTATGATTAGATACAAAAATGCTCACTATTGTGTTACAGTTGCCTACAGTATTCACTATAGTATTATACTATACAGGTTTGTAGCATAGGATCAATAGGTTACATACAGGCCTGTTATTCCTAGGCTACAGTATATAAATATACCCTATAGCGTAAGTGTGTAGTAAGCTATGCCATCTAGGTTTGTGTAAGCAGAATCCATGATGTTCACACAGCGATGAAATAGTCTAAGGACACATTTCTTAGAATGTATCCTTGATGTTAAGCAACACATGACTGTATGTAGGATATTCAGCTCAAAAAAATCTGAACTGACTTGTTGGCTTTTTTGAAATATTATTTCCTATAATTTACATGTTTTGAAGCTGGTTGTGAGGATTTCAGAAAGAGGTTATGCTTCCTTTTAAGCATATATCCTTATGTGTAAAATAATACAGCTTGAGAGTGAAAGTTTTAGTGCCTTGGATTTCTTTAGAAAAAATGGTGTTTTCAAGGTAAGCAAATACTTTTACAGAGATAATTTATTTGATAGAACAGCTCTGTTTGGTAGATGGTGGGAATATTTTGGTAGAAATATACTGGTTCTCATTTACAGATGAGGAACCTGAAGCAGGAATAGACTAAGGGATCTGCTGAAAGATGTCACTGCCAAACTAGTGGGGCAGTGAAGTTCTCTGCCAGTGGTTCCTAAGTGGTAGTCCATCAACTGGGCAAAACTGATGTTTGAAAGACCCCTGGATTTATTATCTTGGCAAGTAACAGAAAATCGAAATCATTGAAGTTAAGAAGTGTTTGCTGAGAATCTGTCATTTCAGATGAAACAAAGATGAGACAGCATAATCCCTGACACCAACAAGGTTGCAGTCCTCTAAGAAACCTCTGAGCAGGCCCTCAGAGTCACAACTGGCTCAGCAACAAAAAATGGTAGATGATAAACAAAAAGGCAGTAACGAAGGATCAGCAAAGGATGGGGAGTAGGGATTTTCTTAGCAGCCTTCATAATTTAATTTCCACAGCTCTCAGTGACTTTACAGTGGGAGGAGAGAGTATTAGCAGAATGTTTTCCAATCTTGAGAAGTTTAAAGTCAAATCAATATAAAAAAAGCAAGAACAATAAAAACCGTTGAACCAATCATTAACATGAAAGTATGACATAGTTGTTTATGAAAATTTTTAATAAACCAGACACTTCGAAAGCACAACTAAAGACTATGCTGTATTAGAAGGCAGTTCAGGAACAATCAAAGTAATGCAAAGACCTTAGAAATCTAAGAGTTGGCCTGGATGGAAACTTTATTTCATGGGCAAATGAGAACAGCAGTATATTTGTCACTTTTCCAGAAAGTTTTCTACCATAAGTGAAGTGTGCCCTTGAAAGGAAAAAACAAGAAGAAAACACCCAAGACACCAAATTAGAAACTTAAAAAAAAAAAAGTACCTAGTGCTATAAAAAAAACACAGTTGTGTAACATTTCAAGGATGAATTTTAAGTACATTCAAGTCTTGAGGTAGGCAACACCTGCTTAATTCTGATAAACTTTAATTTCTGATTTGCCTTTAAGAACGTCTGGGAAAACAGGATAAATAAAGATGATCTGAAGAGACTTTGAGACTCAAAGATGAGCTGAGAGATTTTCCTTCAAAATGGAGGACACTGTCACAAACATGAGAGGTTAAAGAAGGCTGACTTGGAAGAGGAAAAAGGCCCAAGTCATTCCTGACTCTCATCTGGGAAACTCTTCAGAGACATGCAGAGGGTAGGGTCTCCTTGTTTACTTTGCTGCTAAAATGTTTCTGGCAGAGTGGCTGGCGAACAGATCTGTCTTAGGTAATTCTAATAGTCTTGTACTCATTCTGCATGGCAAAGTAGTTTTCCTTGCTAAAAACATTCCAAATCGGAATAATTGAGAAGGACTCATGTCTATGAGAGTAAATTATAATATTTTATTATGCCTAGGACTGGATAAATAATTAAAGGCATTGTAGCAAGAAAGAAAACCTTAGATAAGCAATTTACAGTGTTTCCTGTTTATGTGGGAATAAAGTTATGCTGAATAAGACTACTGTAGTAGATGAGGATACAGTGGATGAATTTAACATAAAATACTGTAATTGTAGCAAAATGGAGTGGATGTCTCCAGTGATTTCCTTTTGAACTTTAGAAAATTAGGAATAGTATTACAGAATTTTGCTGCAAATTAGTTTGTTAGCTTATTAGGAGCTGGTGTACTACACTGATTCATTGTGGAGAAATAATGGAAGAAATAGATGACAGTTGGTGAATAAGGTCAGATATAACCTCATCCCAGAAACATCTGCAGGTAGGGTCTTAGATAGACTTCACTTGCTTGCTTCTTTATCTGTTTTCTGCACAGCATCTCCTTTGTCAATAACCTCTTTGTCATCTCAACAGTCTTATTCAGTCCCTGGGGTCTGGGTGACTCTCCACACACTCTGCCTCCCCAGTACCTTAGATGGACAGTTGATAGAGACCTGACCTCAGAATATCCTCTTTCCTGGTTATGGAGGTAAACACATGATCCAAACTGAACCAGTCAGAATCCTCCTTGGAAATGGTGCCAGAGCTGTTAGAAAGACATTTCCTCTTTCAGTGTATTTACTAGGTTGGTGGGATAGAAAACCAATAGTGGCCACCTTTGCTACACAAATGCATGGGGGTGGGGAGCATGCACAAGAATGCAAAGGAATAGAGAGAAAAGCAGCACCAAAGGATGGAAGGACAAAGGGACAGAATCGTTAAAATATTTGTGAGCCTCTGGGTCTAGCCATGCATAAAATTTTACCTACTCTTAGATTTTTCAGTTATATGAACCAATAGCTTTCCTTTTGTTCTTGTTAGCATGGGCTTAGGCTTTGTCACTTGCACAAAGATGGCTGCCTAATCAAGTAGCATCTGTGTTAATAGAAATAATACTCATTGAACTAGTCATACTTTATTTAAACCTTGCTTCTCAGAAGCCATAAAGTTCTTCCTTGAAATATTCTTCTGATGTAACAGGGTTATATTTTGTTTCATTTTGCTACATTTTGCCTAATTTTCTCAGAGAAGCCTGTCTAATCTAACTTGTGCTAGTGTAATTTTATGTTTGACAGATTCACATATGCAGGTGTACCCCATATTAGGAATGTAAGTTATGATATATTTTGTTTAATATTGTTCTCAATTATTTGTCATCTTCTCCCTGAAAATCAATTCTATTTCCCTGCACCATTGATAAACGCTTGGCCAGGGGATTAGCTTTGACCAATGAAACCTGAATGAAAGTGATGAGCTCCCTGAGTGAGCAAAAGCCCCAGCAAACTCACATCCTTTATGTACTGTGAGCAAGAAACTTGGATTCTTCTCCAGTCCAAGTATAACACTTTGTTGTAAGCCTCTGACATGTGGGGTTTGTTTGTTATAGCAGCAAAACCTAATAAACACTGACTGATACATCAGACATACCAAAACTCAAAATTAAGAAAAAAAATGATTGTTTAAAGTTAGTGATTCATAGTAGCAATTGATGTCTCCTTTAAATTAAAAATTCCTCTGGTGCATTTATAATATTGAATTTACCAAAAAATTTATATACACACGATAAGTGAACACATTCATTTTAACGTCCTCACCAATCCTAGATATAGTCTCTTCTCCATTTTCTTCTTTGGTTGTCATCTCTGGGTTCTGATTATTCTGTGTCTCACAGGTACATTGGTCTATGTGGGCTGGACTGCTGATTTGGTGGATCTCTTTGATGCATTATTGTTCTAAGCTGACAGCTCCTCAGCTGCTCTGCCAAACAAATGTCACAAGGTGCTTGTCTCAGCGGCACCGCCTTTTGTGGTCATGGTTGATGAACTGTGGAGTTCTTTGAACAGCTGTTCCCCTTTGTCACACATCACACTCTGAGTGCGGTGCATCCCTGATCCCAACCTCTACCTCTGGGGATAGTCATCACATGCCCTCTTGCTTCTGGGAGGCTTTATGCTATTTAGTGGGTCACCCCATGTCATTTGGTACATCCCAGAACTACACACAGAAAATACTCTTTGACTTCTCCCTGCTTTGGTTTGTTTACTATGTTTAATTTTCTTAGATCAGCTGTCATTATGCTTACTTTTATCCTTCTGTTATATTCACAGTGCCCAATAGTATTTTGAGTTGTGCTACTTTCTCTTTTATATCTTTGGCATAAAAAAAGTGAAGTGTCAAATAAAAACAATGCTCCTCTCCTTAACATTTACCACATTTCTGCAAATTTCAGCTATCCCATAACTGAGAGGCAACCAGAAAGTGAAGCTGGAGTACAAGAGAAAAAGGGGGAGAAGAATGTTTACTATGTAGCTATGATAGGGGTAGGAACTACAGTAATTGAGAAGTAATTTTTTTTTTCTATTTTACACATGTAGAAATAAAACTCAGGAGGTTAAGTAACTTGACCAAGGTGATACAGCTGAGAAGCAATGGAACTGGGACTTAAACATATTTCCATCTGACTCCAGTGTTCTCTCCTTTCTTCTATGTAATGCTGTTTCTTAGAATTGAGTGAAAGGACTCAGGGCACGAAGGGAAATCTCTGATTCTGGGGAAGTTACTTCACCTTGCTCCCTAATACGGGAGTTGAGTAAAATTTCCCCAAAGGTATTGTAACATTACATAACATCTAAAATGGTTATCCAAAAGCACAAGCACTTTATTCTATTTGAGATAAGCAGAGCTATTCCTTTAATTTACTGTCCTTCTCTTACAAAATCTTTGGCTTTGGGATTTAGTCTCTCTTCTTCCCTCATGGAAAACCTTATTCCATCCAAATTTAACCCATTGCTCGTGCTCTGCGTCCTCAATATTCTCATTCAATCAGACGCATGAACCAAACATTACCCCTTTCTTCTGCAGATTTTTCTCCCAACTTGTTGTGTCTCCTTTTACACAGAAAACATCAAGACTCTCCCATTGAAAATTAAAACATCCCCCTAACCTATTACCATATCATTTGCCATGCAATGGGCTAATTTTTGAAAAATCGAAGTGAAATCCATAAAATTCACCATTTTAAAGTGTATAATTCAGTGACTTTTAGTCCACTCACAAACTTATGCAACCTTCAGGATTATCTGCTTGCAGAACCCTTAAATCACTCCCTAAAGAAATCTATACCCATTGAGTAGCCACTCCCCCCATCCCCTGGCAACTGGAATCCTGTTTTCTGTATCTATGAATGTACATATTCCGGAAATGTCATAGAAATGGAATCATACAACATGTAGACTTCTGTGTTTTGCTTCTCTCATTTAGCACGGTGTTTCCAAGTGTCATTCTTGTTGTGGCTGTAGGCTAGCTCTTTAAAGCTTTAGCCTAGTCACATTGACACCAATTCCTTACCTTCTTTTTCTCTGTTTAACTTCTATGCAGCAATTGAGAGCTTGACCTCTCTCTTCCTCCTAAGCCTCATTCCTTCCTGGACATCACATACAGTTGAGGTTCTTTTTTTCGTAAACTTATTTGCAGGTTTACTTTCTTCTCCTGGCACTTGTAAAGTGGTATTTTCAAGGGTTTCAGCTGGGGCCTGTTTCCCTTTGTACTCTCTTTTTGGTCCAAGGCTTCAGTTACCATACTCACTCTAATCACTTTGAGTAGTAGCTGCTTATTTGGTTGCCTGATCAGTCCTTCTCCTTCTTCCAGCTTCCCTGCAATCACCTCTTGCATATCTTGAGCTTGATCATTCTCTCCCTTCCCATCTATATGCTTCAATGTGACTTTGAGCAGCTAAGCTCCTGTGACATGATTCAGCCAATTAAATGGTCTGAGGGTAGACATATGATCTACACTGAATCAGTCAGAAACCTTTCCTAGAAATTTGTAATTGGGACCAAAAAAAAAAAAGATTTAGTGTTTTAAAAAATGTGTCTATTCCTAAAGCACTTGGGGCTAGTAGTTATCAGAGGTCATGTTTTACCATGTGGTCTAAGAAACCAAAGAGGAGAGATGATATAAGGAGAGTGAGCCCTTCTAAGTCCAGGTCTCAGTCTGTTCTTGGAGCTTGGCTGCATCTCTGCCTTTGGGATCCAACTGATCCATTCCCAAATATATCATCAGCTCAGAATTTGCTCTTATATCCATTTGCTTCTGAAAACTCCACTCAGCTATTTGTGGCAGACTGGCTGGATGACTGCAATTTCTTCTTCCCAGGTACACAGTTAAACTATTTCCAGCTCTCCTGCACCCAGTGACTAGTTCCTGCCAAAAGAATGTGATTAAGGTGATGTGTCACTTCTGGTCTTAGATGCTTAGGGTAAGCGTGCTTTCTTCATTCTCTCTCTTTTTCTATCCAGTGCTGGACACGGCCAAGGTGACCTTGAAGCCACATATTAAAAATAGATGGCCCTAAATAACTAACTGGAGCAGAGCACTCCCACAGTGCAACACCAATTGACAAGAAACAAATTCTTCTGGTATTAAGCCTTGGAGATTTGGGGAGTTCAGCTATAACAGTTGTAAAAGCATTACTTGCCCTAATTTGTGGTCTCACAGTCACCTCAAATTCAACACACTCATAATCTGCTCTTTCTCTCCAGAGCTCCCTATCTCAGTGAAGGTTCCAAAATCCATTAAGCCAGAAATCTCAACATCAAACTTGACTGCTCTGCTTTCTGTAATTTTCATGATTTCCATTGGTTACCATTTAAATGCTATTAATTTAACATATTTAAAATCTCTGTACTCTATCCCCTTCTTGTCATCACCACTCAACGCCTCAGTTCTAGCCCTTGGCATTTCTTGCTGTGTTACCACAGTGGCTTTTTAACGAGTCTCTCTACCTCTAGGGGCACACTTCCAATCATTCTTTTCTCTTCTGCTATAGACTTTTAAAAACAAAAATTTATATTCTATTTCTCTCCTTAAAATCTTTTAATGACTCCTTAACATCTTCTGGATAATAACTGTGAAATGCTATTTGCCTGTCACTACCACAGACTCCTTCAGAACTAATTGATAAAAATGATTTCTTTGAGCACTAGCTGATATGACTATGGCCAGCTACTATGGACAAGGCTGACTGGATAAGAGATTGGGGACTAAACCCAAAACAGGCCTCTGGTTAATACATAGCAGGTGATGAAGTAGCCAAGACTCCAACTCTGCTGCTGTAGTTTGAATATATTACAATATATTCAAATGTATCAAGTTTGTCCCCATCAAATCTCATGCTGAAATGTGATTCCCAATGTTAAAGGTAGAACCTAATGGGAGGTGTTGGGTGATGGGGGTGGATCCTTCATGAACGAATTGATGCTCCCCGAGGGTGGCAGTGAGTGAGTTCTCTATTAGTTCCTGTGAGAACTGGTTGTAAAGAAGAGCCTGGCACCTCCCTCCTCTCTCTTGCTTCCACTCTTGCCACGTGATCTCTGTACTCTGGCTCCTCTTTGCCTTCTGCCATGAGTGGAAACAGCCTGAGTCTGTCACCAGATGCCCAGTCCTCCAGGCAGCAGAATCATGAGTCAATTAAACCTTTTTTCTTTCTAAATTACCCAGTCTCAGGTATTCCTTTATAACAACCCAGAACAGATGAAGACATGTGCCTAACAGGGTTTTTGTTTTGTTTTGTTTTTTGAGACTGGATCTTGCTTTGTCACCCAGGCTGGAGTGCAGTGGTGTGAACACGGCTCATGCAGCCTTGACCTCCTGGGCTCAAGTGATCCTCCTGCCTCAGCCCCCCAAGTAGCTGGAATTACATGTGTACACCACTACGGCTGGCTAATTCTTGTATTTTTTTGTAGAGACAGGGTTTTGCCATGTTGCCACGGCTGGTTTTGAACTCTTGAGCTCAAGCAATCTACCTGCCTTGGCCTCCCAAAGTGCTGGGATTACAGGTGTGAACCACCATGCCCAGCCTTGTGACTTCTTGACCAGGTTGAATTCTCTATCATAGGAAGTTTGGATGTGAGCTATAAATGAGAGACATAAATTGTAACAGAATTACAGAAAATAGACTTATAGTGAAGTCTGTTGAGTAAAGACATTGATGAACAAAGGCCATGAAGCGGTAGAAGCTGGGGTAAGCAGAATCCATTATGGGTGGAGGAGAGGATAGAATTGGTGGAGCAGAAGATATATATGTAGCTGCAGTAGAATCCAAGACCAAGATGAGTAAAATACAAGGTACGGTGAGTCCCTGGAGTAGGAGTAACATATACTTATTTTGGAGGAGATAAGTTTTGCTGTAATAGCAACAGTATCAATGAACCCAGAGCTGTTGTTGCAAGCTGATCAACCTTCCACTTTTCTGTGAGACCTGACTGTTTGGTTTATGAGATATTTTCCGTGTTTCTTCACTCCTCTACCTATTCTAATAAAGCCCCATCATTTGAATTAAACTGAATGTTGCAGTTTGTAACCAAAAAACATCATGACCTACAAGGTACTGTGAATTGCCCTCTTCCTGACCTCCAGCTATTCTCCTGGGACCTTCACTCACATCCGATTCTTTATGCTGGACTGTACAGCTTTCTTGAATGCACTTGCTCCAGGGACTCTTGCTTTTCCAAGGGCAAAAGTTTCATGGAAGGCCCATTGTCTTTGGCTTACTTCTATTCATTCTTAAAAACATAGCTCAGGTGCAAATCCCTCTTGAATGCCTTACCTGACACCTTATTCTCTCCTGCATGTTTTGGATTGTGTCACTCTTCTCAGGGTCCCCATGGCACATTGGGCATGCCACTGTCTTATTGCTAATTGATTACACTGTGATATCTTTCCTTGTTTTGTCTTTAGGAGGCTTGAAAACCTCTTAAAAGCAGCACCTATGTCTTGCTCACCACTGTAGCCCCAGCAACTGACCAGAGCTTGGCGCACAGTAGGTTTTTACTGTGTGATAGAGTGAAGACTTTCAGTTCTTCAAGCCCATGCTTGCTGATTAATGATGAAAGTAATGTCAAGATTGCTTAATGTATCAATTTGCTAGAGTGGCCATAACAAAGTAACACGTACTGGTCACTTAAACAACAGAAACTTATTTTCTAACAATTCTGGAGGCTACAAGTCTGAGAACAAGGTGTCAGCAATCTGGATTCTTTTGAGGTCTCCCTGGCTTTTAGATGGCTGCCGCCTTCCTCTGTCTTCACATGGAAGACATTTGTCTCTGTATATGTCTCTGTCCTAATCTCTTCTTATAGGGACACCAGTCCTATTAGTTGAGGGTCCATGCTAATGACTTCATTTAAACATGATTACCTCTTTACAGACCCTATTTCCAAACACAATCACATTCTGAGATGCTGGGAATGAGAACGTCAACATAGGAATTTTGGGAGGTCACAATTTAGCTCGTAACACTAAATTTCCATGTCTGGTTTGTGGTTTCCTTGGAAGCTATGAATTCTGCTTTATTTTGTTTTCAGATCATTTATATCAAATGAGTCCTGCTTAAAGTAGAAAGCAGGTTAAAAGCAGAGTAGTGACAGCTTTAGGCAGACCCAGTGATAGGATGGAAAAGTTGCAGTAAAGAAAAAAATAAATAAAGAACATCTTAAAGGTCCAGCTAGCTGAGTGTACGGGCAACATTCTTAGATATATAGAGATCTCCTCCATTCCTCTGGCATGTGAGGTCAGTAGGGTTCCTAGCCCTGTCCCCCTCATCAATGGCTATTTTTTACTCATCAACGCAGAGATATGTAATTACCAGTGCAGTAAGGGGCTGTTCTGAGCAGTTCTATGAAGCAGCTAGATAAAGAAGATAGTCTGTTTGGGGCATATGAAGAATTAAGGTGCATATGAATAATTAAGAGAAGGTGACAATCTGTTTCAGATCAATTTTTACCCCCAGTCTCCTAAGATTTCTTGTAAGAACACGCTGTTACACATGGTGGTAACTCACATGCATTGGTGCTAAGCAATAAATACGGGACTCCATGGCTGCAAGCTCTAACTCCTGCTTTGCCATTGATTGACAGTATGCATTAAACTAAGCCACTTAACTTTTCTATGGCTCAGAGACTTCCCTGTAAAAAATGATAGTATCTGTGACATTCCTTATCAGGATGTTGTGATAAATAAGCAATTAAAAGGGCTCTGGGTATATAATTATAGTTTAACATAGCCATGGCTATTTGCTGTTTACACACACAAACATACACAGACAGAGTGTCTAAGTACACATATTACATGACACAGGAAGAAAAAAGACCACTTAATGTCATTCTAGATGAAATGATCAAAAAACAAATTTATCCACTAGGGGTCAAGGGTTTATGTCTGTTTTACCTAAAATAATTCATTTCTAATTAGTTTTTGTTCTTTCTGAGTTCATCATACCTTTTAAAGTCTATGAAATTAAAGTTTTCCCAATATTTATTTCTTTGCAATTTACTTCATTTTGGAGAGTCAATTCAGCTAGGCACTAGAGAGAGAAAGATGAAGACGATGTGGTTATTGTCTTCAAGGATCTCCCAGAGTAGTGGAGGGCCACGAGAATAGTTAGAATCCTACTCTCTGAGTGTAGGTGGAGACATATGTCAGGTAGTGTGAGCACAGAGGAAGAAGAAAGCATATTTCCTAGGGGAGTGAGGCAAATGTGTGAATGTTAGCCTCCTACTACATTTTTCAGGAAGAATCTTTCCTTTTTCCCTGTGTGCTGGGCCCTAAGCTAAGTGACCTTCGTATGTCAGCCTTCATCTCTTCGGCCAATCTATGAAGAAGATATTTTGATTAGTCTTATTTTTCAGAAGAGGAAGTAGAAACTCAGAGAGGTTAAGTAATTTACCTACAGTCACACAGAGAATGAATGACAGCTAGATATCAAATCAGATATCAAGCCTAGATATCAGGCTTGTCTCTTTACCACTGCATGCTATTTCTTCCCCGACAAGTTGTAGTTAAGATACACACTTTTTTTTTCTTTTTTTAAAGACAGAGTCTTGCTCTGTCACCTAGGCTGGAATACAGTGGCACATGCAACCTCTGCCTCCTAGGTTCGAGAGATTCTCCTGACTCCGCCACCTGAGTAGTGGGACTACAGGCATGCACCACCATGCCCAGCTAATTTTTTTTGTATTTTTAGTAGAGATGGGGTTTCACCATGTTGGTCAGGCTGGTCTCAAACTCCTGACCTCAAATGATCCACCTGCCTCAACCTCCCAAAGTGCTGGGATTATAGGCATGAGCCACTGCACCCGGCCAGATACAGACTTCTAAAGGTAAGAAGTGTTTATTCTTCACGTCTCAGTTTCAAACAGGTCCTTAATAATTTTCATGATGATACATTTTCATGATGATACATTTCCATGCTCTGGAAATACAGATGAGCTCAGAAAAGGTACTGCCTAAAAGCTCATTGGTATGGAATTTTGATATCAACATTATCATGATGCCAAGAACTTGTGAGAACATTTAGCTTGCAAAGGCCAAATTAAATTAAGGAAAATATTACACAAATGTTATCATGTTGCTTCACTTTTTACCATGTCTTAGGCAACCTTTTCAAAGGACTTTAAAATAAAACATGGTAGAAATAAATAAAATGTTTGAGCTTTAAAAACTTCATTGATTTCTGCCCGATGCCATATCTTAAAATTGAGCCCATAAAGAGGCCTAAGAGAAACTTCCTGTCTCTCTAACTAAGCTACCTAACAGGAGATGATTTTCCATTGTTCTGCCGTATGATCACTGCTTCAGCCAGCTGGGTGGTAAGTGTATGCCATTGTTCATAGGGGAAATTGGGAGAGCTGAAACTGAATACATGAGGGAACCACTAGTGGCTAGAGTTTGGCAGTCCCCCAGAGAACATCTAGTTCAAAGCCCTTCCTTTTAAGGCAAGGTACCGAGGCCTGGAGCCGTCAAGTGAGTTGCCCAGTGTCACACAATTAGGTAGTGGCAAATCTTGGGAAAGAATTCAGACTAGTTGATTTTCTTCCTAGCATCCTTGTACTGTACTGAATCTTGTACTCCCCCAAATTTGTCCATTCAGCACCTCAAAATGTGACCTTACTTGGAAATGAGGTCTTAGCAGATAATAGTTAGATGAGGTCATATTGGATTAGAGTGGGCCCTAATCCAGTAACTGGTGTCCTTATTAAAAGGAAAAGCAGACACGCAGGCGCATAGGGGAGCAGGCCATGTGAAGATGCAGGCAGAGATTGGAGTGATGCAAGCCAAGGAATCTGCAAGCCAAGGAACACCAAAGATTGCCAGCGATTGCCAGAAACTAGAAGCAGCAAGGAAGCATTCTTCTCTAGAGTTTCTGGAGGGAAGATGGCCCTTGCAACACCTTCATTTGAGACTTCCATCTTCCAAAACCGTTAGAGAATAAATGTTCTGTGGTTTCAAGCCACTCAGTTCATGGTACCTTGATATGGCAGCCCTAGAAAACCAATCCAATCCCTTCTGCTTCACCATGGCTTGTCTTGTGCAGCCCCATCCCTCGATCAAAAGCCCAAGTATCCCACCTCTGCCAGCAGGTTAAGAGTCTCATTCTCAAACGTGAATGGCAGCATTTTAATACATAAATCAAACGGCTTTCCTACTGACAAGCACACGTACTGTTATTTTTGTTCTAATTAGCTGTAAGTCACCTTAAATCTCATCACAGGAAGCAGTGATCTATTTAAGTTGAATGTAAACGTATTGCTGTTTTCCAAGGTGTTGTGGGTCTTGAAATCCATAATTGATAAAAGAGAACAGATTTTTGGAGGTCAGAAGGAGAGAAATACTGATATTCTGGGTACCAACTCACCAAATAATTGAAGACTTGACTGTCACACTGCAGTTTTCAAAATCTTTGAAATTCCTTTTTTTTTTTGCTTTTGCCAGATACATTATTCTAATTTTTATCATGCTAATTGAAGTTGAAAGCCTAACAGAAAAAAAAATAGTTAAGCCATTAACTCAGATTATTGTATTATGGCTTATCAGAGTCTATTTGCCTGCTCTCCATCTATTTGCCATCATGGACATTGTAGTGGTAGCTGGTACTCTTAGTTTGCACTCCATCTAGGCCAGACAGTAGTAAGGTGTAGGGCTGAAAACTCAGGCTCTGTGACCAGAAATGCTAGTTTCAACTGAAGTACTTAGGTTCTGTTTACATGACATGCTAAACAACCAGTCAATTAGAATGTCACATTTCAAGCCTCCTCATTCATATGATAGGGATATTAGCAGAAGGAGAGTATATTGATTGCAAGCTCACTGCCTGCAAACTGCTGCTGGTGGTCAAAGGAGAGGGAGGAAGGGGTAGCTGCTTTGCTACCAGGAATGGGTTGAGAGACTGCACACAAGTACTCTTAGAACAAATGGTCTTTTGACACTTCTGCCCCGCCCCCTCGAATGGGGCAGATGCTCAGAATCCAGGACAATAGGTCTTAGGGAGAAATAGGGGGAAAAATTCAAACATCAAACTGGCTATCAAGTAGACTGAAATTGATGTTAAATAAACCTTATTATTATTATTTTTTTGAGATGCAGTTTCACTGTGTTGCCCAGGCTAAACAGCCTCCCAAGTAGCTGGGATTATAGGTGTTATACCACAGTGCCTGGCCATTAAAGAAAAAAAAATATATATATATATATTTATTTATTAACTTTTAATATTAAATTTTTTTCTCTCTCTTCAAACTGGTAAATATATATATTTGTTTACCAGTTTGGAGAGATATATATATATATGTGTGTGTGTGTGTGTATATATATAGATACACACATATACATACACACATATATATACATACATACATACATACACGTATATATGTGTGTATGTGTATATATATATTTTACCAGTTTGGAGAGACAGAAAAAATTTTCTCCATGCTGGTACTGGGGTCAGTAATGGAAAGGATGGTTCACAGGCTCAAGAAGGCATTATGAGGGAGGAGGAATTGAGTAGCGTGTTTTAGGAGGAAGCTTGTTGCTTTACATTTTCTTTATCCACATTAGAATTATTAAAAATCTTTTTTCTGCATACTATCAGATGCTATTGGTGAGCACCGAAGAGCATGAAGGCCTATGGCAAATAACACTTTTCTTAAGGTTGTGAGTACATAGACTCCTATTTGGTTTTTAGACCTATTGCGACTGTTCATTTTAGTTATTCTGCCATGTTTAGTGTGGCTGCATTTATTTTCGTATATTTTTGCCAATGTTTCAATCATCAGTATCCCAGATCATGATACTGTCTGCCTTAGTGGAATATGTGCTTTAAAATCAGGGGTTGGTTTGCTTTGAGCAATATTTTATTTTCTCCGTTAATTGCATTGTCTTCCTTGTATTGAACATTTCTTTTCCCCTGTTAACTAAGAACATTTACAAAATTATACTAGGCACCAGTATCTGGGAAGTGGCATCTTAAATGAACACAAACCTTTCTGTTATTTTTATTTTCAAGAATACAATAAAGTATTTGTGATGTCTTCAAAAGAGCAAACTTGATGGGATCAATGCTATCATATTACAAAATTAGAATGTAAGTCAATATTTCAGTATTTGTAATGCAGCTTAACATCAGGACTATAGAATTTGTGTAAAATTTAAAAACCAGCATCTTTAGGTACATCAGATGTCAAACTATTATTTGTGGTTACTTAAAAATATATCCATGTATCAGTTGTGTATTGCTGTATAACCACACCAAATCTTGCTGGGTTTAAACAACAATGATTAGTTCTTTCTCATAGTTCTGGGGGTTGACTGGACAGTTATTCTTTTGGTCTTTTTTGAGCTCACTCACAAGGCTTCAGTCAGCTGTCAGCTCAGACCTAAAGAGCTCAGATTTCAAGAACATCTAAAAATAGCCTCATTCACGAGTCTGAGATCCCAGTCCTAGCTGTCAGCTGAGCCTTTTTCTCCACATAGTCTCTCATAATTCAGTAGTCTAGCCTGGACTTCCTTACATAATGGTAGGAGTGTTGCAAGATGATGAAAACAGAAGCTGTAAGATCTGTTAAGGCTTAGCCTCAGAAGCCTCCCAACATCATTTCTGCTGCAATCTATTTGTCAAAGCAATTCATAGCCAGCCCAGTTTTGGGGAGTGGAGAAATCGACTCCACCTCTGTTTAATGGGAAAAGCAGAGTCACATTGAAAAGGGAGGTAGACAGAGAAGGACATTGGTGTTATTATGGTGAATCCCTATTGCCATTTTCTAAGCTGATTTTTTTTCTTTGGAGGTTTGCATTTCTCTGCCCCTACAGTCTTCTTCCCACTTAGCTCAGTACTTTAGCTCAGTTTGGCTTTAGGTTATAATAGTAAACAAATCACTTCATCTTTTGCAGCAGAGATTACTAGTTGTCCTCCAAAATCCATTCTTTCTTTCTTCATCAGAAATACATCTACCTTTTTTTTTTTTTTTTTTTTTTTTGGCTTGGCATATGGACCTCTGAATAAAGAAGACTTTTTCAGCCTTTTATTCTGTTAGGTGTGGTCATGGGACTGATTTCTGTCCAGGGGGATGTAGACAAATGGGATGTACTTTAAGGAAGGGAGTGTGCCTATTTTCCAAGCTCCTTCCTGGAGCTTGGAGTGCAGATGTAATAACTCATGTTCCAGTAGCCATCTTGGATCATGAAGTTATCCCCAGAATGAAAACCATGTCTAGTGGACTAATAAGATGAAAGGAGCCTGGGTCCCTGACACCAAGAAGTGCTACACTAGCCCTGGACTGATTTATTCTAGATTTCTTGAATGTGCAAGAGATAGATATTTCTAAACTGAGCGTGATTCTTTGGGCTTTTCTAATATTCGCAGATGAACCTGAATGCTAACATATCTCCTTTCATTTTACAATTAGAGAGCCATTCTGAATGTATTGAATCCATATCAAGTAATTGTCCATTCATCTTCCAATATCATGCAGACATGGAAACTTAATCATCTTTGCTTTTAGTCAACCATAACTTTAAAACATATCACAAACATCTGGGACTTTAGGTTTTTTCTAGTTTTGTTAATTCACATTATCTCTTTTATTACCATACAATATCAGGAATTAGTAAGAATTTTTTAAAAATTCATTTGCCCTTTAGTATACACAGGGCATTAGTTCCAGAATCCCCAAGGATATAAAAATCTGCAGATGCTCAAGTGCTTATGTGAAATGGTATACGTAATATTTGCATATAGCCTACTCACATCCTCCCATATACTTTAAATAATCTCTATATTACTTATAATATGTAATACAACGTAAATTCTGTGTAAGTAGTTGTTATACTACATTATTTAGAAAGTAATTACAAGAAAAAAGTCTGTACATGTTCATTAATGACACAACCATCCTAGGATTAACTACATTTTCAATCATCATTGGTTGAATCCATGGATGCGGAACCACAGATAGAGAGGGCCAAGTGCAGTGAAGTATTAAAAACTAATACAATCTTATTAGATTGAATGTTCTTTCTTCTTGCTCTATATCCAGATTATTATTATTTTGAGACAGAGTCTCACTCTTCTTGCTCAGGCTGGAGGGCAATGGCACGATCTCAGCTCACTGCGGATTCAAGCGATTCTCCTACCTCAGCCTCCTGAATAGCTGGGATTACAGGCACCCGCCACCATACCCAGCTAATTTTTATATTTTTAGTAGAGATGGGGTTTCATCATGTTGGCCAGGCTGGTCTTGAACGCTTGACCTCAGGTGATCCGCCTGCCTCAGCCTCCCAAACTGCTGGGATAACAGGCGTAAGCTACCATGCCTGGTTCAGATTATTTTTAAAAATTTAGGAACAGTCAATTCCTTGAGAAAGTGGACCTGTTAGTAGATTTTATATTTTGATTGCTTCTTTTTGATGGGTACAAAAAGAGATAAAAATTCAAAGTTTTATAGTCCAAAAGTCCAACAACAGGGCACAAATAGATAAATAGGGAGAATAAATGAAGTAAAAATTTTGTGGTCATTAAAAAGATAAACACTATGACTATCAAAAAATAAGATATTTTTATGGAAAGGATTGTCCATTTACCATGAATATACCTGTAAAAGATATTAGGATGGGAAGTTTGCTTCATCATTTATAAATGACATGATATCATGGTAACAAAATTAGTTTGAGATGATCTCACCCATGTGGAGAATTTACAAAGGGAGTGACCTCTCCCATGATCCTTGGGGTCCTCTGCAAGATCAAAGTTATTAGAGGGGGTCAGAATGTGTGTGAGAGTGAGGAGGGGGCATCGCTGAAGAGACTTTTGAGGAAATAGCTGTTCTGCCTGAACCCTCATGTCTCACTTTGGAGAGGAATGTGTGGCAGTATGAGTTCCTAATCCCAAGCCTAATGAGGCGGCAGAAGTGAGAGCTTTGAAATATGTTTTCCTGCATCTGGGAAGCAGAGCAGAATGGTAGCTGGCCTCTACCTGGGAAAGGTAAGGCAGCCTAGGGACTAGGGACAGGGGAAATAATGAGGGCAAGTAAATGGCAGATGGGCTCTTTCTGTGGCAGAACCACGACAGCTGCTGCTTTGGGGTGTTCCTCAAGGCAAGAGGGGATTGAGTATTTAAGGCACAGCTGTGGGCTATGCGACAGAGGGATCCAGTTTGAGGTTGTTTTGGATCCTGCCTAGAAGTGTTACCTGGAGGGTGAGGACACGCATGGAAGCTGCAGTGTGGTAGTGGGTAGAGGAGATAACTCTAGGAAAAGCAGTGACTTTGGGTTTTGCTGGTTGTGTTAATTCAAGTTACTTGTCTCTTTTATTCACATACAAAATCAGCAGCCAGTCTTTTTTTGTTGTCGTTGTTTTTTGTTGTTTTTTTTTTTTTGAGATGGAGTTGCCCAGGCTAGAGTGCAGTGGCGCGATCTCCGCTCACTGCAAACTCCGCCTCCTGGGTTCAAGCGATTCTCCTGCCTCAGCCTCCTGAGTAGCTGGGATTACATGTGCCTGCCACCACGCCCAGCTAGTTTTTGTATTTTTAATAGAGACGGGGTTTCACCGTGTTGGTCAGGCAGGTTTTGAACTCCTGACCTCAGGTGATCCGCCTGCCTCGGCCTCCCAACAGATATTATTTTTTAAAATAATAAAACCTAAAAACAAACACAATTTAATAGGATGAAATTAAAGGAATAAGACCACACCTTCTCACCTGTTCCTGGCTGCCAGACTGAAGCTGGAGGAGAAATTTGACATTAAATCAGGTTTGGAATTTTTATTAATACCTTGGATGAGACATTCTAATTAATGAGTTGAGACTATGTTTGTGACTTAAAGTGCCCAAAGGCCTGTCTGAGTTTTCATCTAAGAGCTGGGGAAGAACTTCCACCAAAGAAGTTTTAACAGAAGAGAAAAATCAAAAAGAAAGTTTTTTTTCATAATCTCTGTTAGCTGTGATAAACAACTTACGACATACAGAAACCGTCAGAACAAAAGTGACATTTTAAAACAGCTGTTTTTCCTTCAAAAGAATTCTCTTAATATTGTAATAGCATTATCTAACAATGAGTGAAACTCAAAGAAAGATGAAGACTTCAATTGTATAATATATTCAGCATAACACAGGAATTAAGAGCCTGACTAGGTTCAAATTCTGCTACATCATTTACTAGTTATATGATGTTAGGCAAGAGGTATAATATTTTAAGTCTATTGTGTCTTCAGCTATAAAATGGGAATAATAATCACAGTTCTGAGGATTAAGCTCCTTGGTAAAGCAGTAAGTGCTCTACGCACTCCCAAACTGCTGTCATTTTTGTTAGGTTCCAGGGATGGTGATGAAATTAGGCAGGACTGGACTTTTTCCAGAGGTTGTGGTCATAGGAACAAAAAAGACACTCTTATAAATCAGGAGGGGGTTGTAAATCTCCTACCACAGATTCGTACCAGAGATATAAGTCCTATTTGAGTTGAACCAAGGACAACCTCTGCATATTTCTCAAGGTTTGCCTGCAATGTGAATGCACAGCTATGGCTCCCAGAGAAATGATGGGTTGAAGGAGGGAACATCCTGGCTCCTTCCATTGCTTGGGGAATTTCCCAACATTGCTATAGGATAGTAAGAACTCAGCTCACAGCCCTATCAGGGAGTGAAGTGTTCACATGAATGGCATTTTCTGACTAATTGAGCTCTGTCCCTTTTCACCTAAATTATATATGCCTGATGCTTCAGTTTTCCTGAAGAGCTAGTACTAGCTGGAGGTGTCACGTAGCTTTAGCAAATGGAAAATAAATTAACAGTGGCAACCCTTTTCTTTCCTTTTTTTCCTCTTCAGAACCTTTGCTTTTATCACAACATAAAAGTTAGTTTCCTGAGTGTAGGGTTCTAAAAGGGGCTCCGATGCTTAAGAGAAGTTAATCAATGCTCTTGGATGTGGAAAGAACACCTCAGCATCAGCTACACCGCAAATTGGCAAAATAAATGTTTGAAGTTCAGCTTTTCTTCCTGAGTTTCCACAGTATTAATAAGTAGATGAAATACCAAAATACTTCAATATCTTAAAAGGGAGAGAGAGGAGAGAGAGAGAAAGGGAAAACAGAGAGTAAGTGGTGTGTATGCTCATGAGAAAGTCAGGCAAAAATAGGATTTCTGTTCAAAATTCACTGAATAAATCTAATTATGGATGTAATGAGGCCAGCTTCAGGTTTTAATCACTGTTTCCACACTACCTAATAATTTGATATTCAGCACCTGCTGTCATACAGATTTTGGGTTGGGTGGCATTAGCTCACTAGGTAACTACAAGTAATCTTTTTAGTTTAAGCCTGTGGTACATCAGAGTATGGAAAGCCGGGTAAGTTAGATTTAATATGCCCCCCAACCCCCACAATCATTGTCATTTGTACTTGACATTTGATACTCTGCTCTGTAACCCAATGAATATTTCTGCAATTACTATACTATTACTATATGAAAACTAGCATTTTGACCAGTATGTCAATATGTGGTCCATAAGCCTCATACTGAGTATTAAAAACTATATAAACTATCAATTGGAATGTGCATGATTTGGTTATGAATATATATCATTGAAATATTGATTTCAATAATGCAATATGTGCTTCTTGTGCTCCTTTTGCATATTGGCTGTGGTATATTTCCTTAACTCTAGAAAGATGGTACCTATTGAGCAGAAGATTACTTCCTGTGAGTGTGAAAATTATTATCACACAATCAAAGAGAGAAAGGAGGCCTCATGTCCTGGATAACACATGAGAAAATGGAGAAGTCTCTTGAGACAAAAGAAGGGCAGAAATAATAACACATTTATTTAACTGCTTTATTCTATTTTCACGTATTCTATTTCATCAATTGTTTTGCGGCTGCTTTGCATGTGAGAAGACAGACTGATTTTCCCAGGCTGGGGCCCAGGACATCCACATTCAACTTTTGGCTTTGACAATATCAATGTGACCTTGGGCATGGATCATTTAGTTCCTTTGCAATCAGTTACTTCTGCAACAGGGGATTCATGTAATTGTCAGCAATGAGAAAGCCACATTTGACCTACAGGTCAACATTTTTGTTGACATGTTTTACATTTTTTTTTTTTTGAGCCAACATTTAAAAATAGGGAGATTTCACTTAAAAATCAGATTTCCGGTTTCTGTTCAAAAATTGGGAGACTTAATATCAGTTTCACATTCTTACATGACAACCATTGACCAGAGCAGAATGGTGCCTCCATTGCAGATGTCATGTCTTCTATTTCATTTGTCATAGTCTTCACCATAATCTCTCCCCAACATTGGGACTAAATGCTAGTTACATTACCTTTGCTTATTTTAAAAATAATATGGGTATATTTTTCAGTGCCTATGTTTCTTTCCAAAATGAGCAAAAATAAATATTTTGAAACATACACGTTTCAAAAATAAATGACAAGAGCACATTTCTTTCTTTTTTTTTTACATATCCCTTTGGTTTTAGTTTACTAACAAGCATGTTTTGGTTTGAATTTGCTAACAAATGCATCCATGTTCAAATAATACAAGCCCTACTTCACTTACCTTTGTTCCTTGCCCAGCCCATCTAGCATTTGAATTTGTCATCCCTGGTCCATTTGGGCATAAAATGCTACAATTCTATAACATCATGAAGAAACTTCTCAACATATATTTTCTTTTTAATGTCCCGTTGAGGTACAACAAAGAATTTCTTTTACATCTACAATGTAAAGCTTTCAAAAGAAGGGCTCTGGAGGTCAGGAAAGTAGCGTGCTGAGTAGTTACAAACAATTCGCATCAAGTCAGGGGCCTTGGTGAGACCACTATGTGCCAGAGATAACAGTTGTCCCAAACCAGATTCCTAATTCTCTCTGAAATCCTTCATTTCCACAAGGAACCAAAGATTCCTGTCCAGGTTGGTATTACTTTTTGGATAACCACAGAAAACTGAGCAGACTGGGAAGCTGGGAGAAGCAAGGCCTAGCATCAAAAACCCTTCCCTGATAATAGACACAATACATTGCCAGGATTTATTATGTGCCGGCAACTATGTGGAGCATTTTACATATGCTATCTCATTTAATCTTCCTAATTTATTAGGAACATGTTGTTTTCCCCAATTCACGTGGAGAGTCTAAGTTGCTGGGAAAATAAAGAGCTGGTTCAAGGTCACAAAAGTAGCATTGGAGAGCTAGTCTCTCTATTGCCACAGGCCCTGCTCAAAGCCACTTCATTATATTATACAATGGCCTTCGTGGTTTTGAAAAAGAGAGATCAGGGAACAAAATGAAAGGCGTACTTATGCAATAATAGTAAGTATTTTTCCCCTCAAATGTTGTCATATTTCTCTACAAATATGCATTTTTTTCTTTCTGTAATAAATATTGGACAAAATACTTGCACACACACGTAACTCTCACAACAGACCTGGGAGGCAGGCAGAGAAAGTCTCATTGACTTCACTTGGCAAATGAGAAAACTGAGCCTGAGATAGATGAAGTGACTTGCTCAAGGTCACACTGTGAATGGATTGACCCTCAGTCCTCTAAAGCCATATCCTATTATGCCATGCTGCCTCTTTGCTTTCAGGATAACTTTGGTAAGCTTTTATGTGTGACATAGACTCTTCTCTTAAAAAGTGAAGAAAAATAACATGCCTTCAATGTAAACAGTAAGATATTTTCTTCCTTTTTTTTTCAATGCTGCAGTGCAGATGGTAATAAAAATAATTTTATTGGAAATCAGGGTGCAATAATTTAGCAATCTGCTCTTCTTTAACCTGTAGACTTTCCTTTCTTTCATGGATAAAATCGTAAGACTGCCATGACATCTTTAAGAAGTGTCTGCTATGATTAAGGTCTTTCTTCACAGTATAAGGGAACTTGTTTGTAATCAATTAGCTCACTTAACACATGTGCTAATGAGACCAAGATGACCATTTAACTTTGCATATGTCCATAGACACAGATTGGCCCTCTGCTAAAAGATGTTCTGAATATTTTTTATTTGAGCAATATGTTCCCCTATAAAACATTTTTATTACACATGTTGGTTAGAGTGTCTTTTTTTTTTTTTTAAATCAGGAAGTTGCGCTGTACCTGAGAGCACCGAGATATAACATAAGAAGCCATCTTGGAATTAAAGTTGTTGTAAGTGTAAAACCTGTCTGGGTTTGGGTAAATTAGCTATATGCCTTCCCCAAAACTGGACATACAGTGAGATCCCAATTCCTTGCCTCCTTCACAATTAGATGTGACCATGTGATTTTGAGTGGAGATGAAATGTCTCACTTCCAGACCTGGTCCATTAAAGATCTCCCATAGACTGTCCTCCATGCTTTTCTCACTTAGGCTTGATGAGTAAGAAGACTTGGATATCTCAACTTCAATGTGGTAAACTCTTCAGGCATGGGAGCTGGGTCTTTGAAACTTAACTTGGAAGCGAGCCAGCCACCAATAAGAAACACCTATTTAGGCCTTTATATGAGCAATAATAAACTACTATTGCCTTCAACCACTGAAAATTGGGGGTTTATCTGTTACAGCAAGTTAACTTTAATACAGAATTAATACATAGAAGAGGTCAAACACATTTTTGACACAATAGGTATGTATTAATGATTATCATTATGATCACCTTCTTGGTCATTATTCATTAGGATGTGATTGAAATGTACTCAGCTTTTATTGTGAGCAATTTGCTTACTTTCAAATAATCTTAGGACTATTCCAGACTTTTCATTTAATATTTGCTTTTGCTTACTTTTGACTATTGGGTGGTAGGAAGTTTCATTAAACTGTTCACAAAAATAATTCTAAACAGACATTTCTGGAAAGTGATTTCAATATATAATATCTTTAAGCTATTGTTGGAGGAAAAGAAATGGCTTTATCATTCAAAAATGGTGATTACATATGAGACATATCACTTTGGTTAGAGAACCCAAGTAGATGCCTAATTATGGTGTGTTACACATATATTTTCACACTGAAATGACAAGCCTGCCATCAGGACCCATGGTGAATATAATGCTCAATGACTTGTATGATAGACTTGTTGGCTCTAATTTCTAAACAAATTTTCTAAAAGTACCAAAGAATTTCATTTCCACAGCAACCTGGTGAGGCCAGCCCAGAATGGTGCCAATGGCAATCTCATCACCATGGTGACATGCTATGCCAATCTATTGGATATAGAACTTGTGCTCTAGGTCTACTTTAACCTGTTGCCTGACATTGGGTAATGCTCTGTATCAAGATTTCTTGTATTCAAAGGTGGTTCTTATCATGTATGAGTTGAACATTCAGAAGCATGACTATGATAAATTTTATATCAAAAAGTTACTTGGTTTTAAATGATCCATTATGTATTTGTCACTTATTGGCAAATGTCTATCATTTTGGTACATGTGCACACACATTTTAAAAAAATATTTCTATGATATTTCTACTTTCTTCCTAATTCTAGACTCTAGTGAAAAATGTTGTAGTTTTGACACTTAGCAAACATTATCCTTTTCTTCTGAATATAGTATTTATTTTCCTTGGGGAGCCACTCGCTTTCACTATCTTGTGACTCTAATGATATCTATCTCCTTCTTCAGGAATGGAAATGTGGCTTCAGCCTGGCTGTGTATCACATCCTTCTGGTTAGGGGCATTGCTGCAGGAATCTGTTTATTCTCAATTCAAGCCAATGTGAGTCATACCCAATACTTATTTTAGAAAAAAAGATCTATCCCTTTCCCTTTTCCCTACTAGATATAGCCATATGAGGAAGAAAGCCTGTACCTGCTGCCAGCCATCATGTCACTAAGAAGTTCCTCCAAACACAATCATTAAGAGAAATGCAGAAGAGACAAATGAGAAAAATTTAGGTTCTCTCAGATTGTCTGAGTCCCTTAATTTACGTAGGCCTAAAGGCAGGTGCCCTTGGGTTTTACAGATACGTGAACCTTGTTTGGTTTAAGCCCATTGGAGCTGGGTTTCCTGTCATTGGCAATGAGCTAGTAATCACCAATGCAACCAGAAAAAAGAAGTAAGCTAAAACTAGTATGCAAAGCACATCTAGAGTAATATAATTTATAGAACCCTATGAATATGTTCCAGAGCCCCAAACCTCCATTTGATTTTGCCCTTTGTTAATAGAGTTTATTACTGACAGTGTTGTATCCAAGTAGTCTCTTCGTAGAGCACACATTTGCTGTGTGGTTTAATAGGAAGAGCATGGGCTTCTGATAGGAAATAGTGGTGAATACATGTGCTACAACCTTCCAGCCATGTGACCCAGTGATAGGTAAGTTTCTAAGTCTCCATTTCTCATCTGCAAAAGGGCTGTTGTGAAGATTAAGTGAGATTACATGTGTACAGTAACTGACATAGCTACCCCTAAAATGTTTATTTTATAAATTTACCTTTTACATTTTTAATCTCATTCAACCTACTCATTCTACAGTGCATAAAACAGTTGTACTTTATCCATTCTGCCTTGGTCCATTGATTGATTTGTTCGTTCAACTTTAGTCACTGATGAGTTTCTATGAATTGCCTTCATTTTCTATTTAAATTATACATAATTATAGACGCATGACATGCAATGTAAGGGGTCTGCAATCTCTAGCAGGAAGCATGAGTTGGGCTTCGAAGTTTTCTTCTTCCAACTCCAGGAATGTAATGCAGCTCAGAGCAGGGTAAACCTGGATAGTGTCATGTTCCTCATGCTAGAAAGATTATTGAGACATTCTTGTAGACAATAAAAATTACTGAGAAATCATTGAAATACCCTTGAAAAATCAATTTAAACTCATGGGGAAAAAAGGTACTTTGTAATCAGGATATACATTTGATCAAAGTATGACCTTGAACCTAATTTTGACCTAGTCTTAATATGCCCATTACGCGATCACCTATCTTTTTTTTTTTTTTTTTTTTTTTTTTTGAGATGGAGTTTCACTCTGTTGCCCAGGCTGGAGTGCAGTGGCACAATCGTGGCTCACTGCAACCTCCACCTCCCAAGTTCAAGCGATTCTCCTGCCTCAGCCTCCCTCCTGAATAGCTGGGATTACAGGCATGTGCCAATATGCCCAGCTAATTTTAATATTTTTTTTTAGTAGAGATGGGGTTTCACTACATTGGCCAGGCAGGTCTCGGACTCCTGGCCTAAAGTGATCCACCTGCCTCAACCTCCCAAAGTGCTGGGATTACAGGTGTGAGCCACTGCACGTAGCCTCACCTATTTGTTTCAATAGGAGGTTTCAAACAAAGGCTTCAGTCTTTTTTAGTAAATGTTGCCATTAATATTCTAACCACACATTTTTACTTGTAAGTGTTCAAGTACTTGCAAAATCAAAAATAACCTTAAGAATCATTTGGTTGGCACTCAACACCCAGCAGCATGTAAAAACAAATTAAATCCTATAAAATACTTGTCAAAATGTACAAGCATCCCTGTTAAATGAAAACAAACCTATAAGTACCTATGGGATATCACACAGAATATGTACTCATTTAATTTAAACCATGGGACCCCGAGAATGAGGAGAGTTGTGTTCTAGTTCTAATTTTTCCTATTTTAGTCCTTTGAGCAATTTATCTTCACCTTCCATCTTTGGGTTTTCTTTTCTTCAAGTGCAAAAAAAAAAAGCATTTATCAAAAATGATTTCCAAGATCCTTTTCAGCTTTACCTTATGCATCCAGCTTTTCTCTCGGAACTACAGTTATTCTGTAATGGGTTCATACCTGTGTCTAAATGAGCATGATAATATTTTGCATATACTAATAGTTCATCTGAGGACTTACATGTAATATTAATACCATTCTGCCTTTTGCTTTGCTTTTTTTTCCGAACTGTTTAAGGTATCAAAATTTCTTCTCTTTCCAATGGAGCTGACTTTAAGTTACTTGGATGCTTAAAAAATGCTGATACATAGGGAAAATAATTTCCATCACCATTCTTTACAACCATGCCATAAAGAAAAATCATATCACGAGTATTCATTCATACAGCCAAGATTTTTTCTTAGTCCGCTCTTCAACAGGAATAAAATAGTCTTAAAGTTTACATTTTACTTAAATGCAGGAATCTTTAAATAGATGAAATGAATGGGAAGTAGTTCTGGAAAATTTATTATTTTGTCCTAATGCCTTTCAAGGTGATATTTTACTTCCATCTATCTCTAAGGCAATACAGAGATCTTTAATGCTGTACAGAGTTTCTTTTAATCTTCTCATACATAGTGTACCCATGATTTTTTTTTTTGGAGACAGAGTCTCCCTCTGTCGCCCAGGCTGGAGTGCAGTGGCACAATGTCTGCTCACTGCAAGCTCTGCCTCCCAGGTTCATGCCATTCTCCTGCTTCAGCCTCCCAAGTAACTGGGACTACAGGCGCCCGCCACCACACGCGGCTTTTTGTATTTTTGGTAGAGATGGGGTTTCACCATGTTAGCCAGGATGGTCTGGATCTCCTGGCCTCGTGATCCACCCACCTCGACCTCCCAAAGTGCTGGGATTACAGGCGTGAGCCACTGTGCCTGGCCCATGATATTTTAAGGAGCTTTTAGTGAGGAGGTATAGACCTGAAGCAGACCAACTTCTTATATAAGATCGTCATTAATTGCATGGATTACATTGGAGATAATTGGTCTTTCCTATTTGATAGTGTTATTGGCACAATATGTATGGAACGTTCTTTTATCTTTATTGCATTTTGTATATTTTTCATCACTGTTTTAATTCAGTAATAAGACACAATTATTTGATTTTTGTGACATTTTTGATAACAAAGAAGTTTTAAAAATGATTATTTTTATACTGAAAGTATTTATGTGCTTATTTATAATATTTAAACCAAGATCTGAGATTAAGTGGCTTTCAAAAAATATATACATTTTAGTAATATATTTAAGTCAAAAAATTATTTGCTATCTTTAATGAAGATTAAATTGGTAACGTTAATTTTTACAAAGTTTGTGTATTCCATATCTTAAATGGAGTTTGTAAGCCATCAGGATAATCTAGCTTTTAAAATGTCCAACAGTTTTGGTTTTAAGTCAGCAAACCTATGCTGTGTTTGGTGGCTTGTCAAATGATCCATCTCCTCTGAGTCTTCCTTTGATTGTCTGCATCTCTGGGTACCCATTCTCTTCTCATTATACGTTCTAATTCTCAGCATTTGGCATGAAACTGAGTGATAAAGTTAATTACTTTGATTTTTTTTTTCATTTTATTGCTTTTGTTCTTGCAATATAATTTTTCCCTGCCGATCTATAGAAAAATCTCTTTTAAATTCTAATCAGCTAATATTTTTAAGGTAGTCAATTAGAAATGTTTCATTGTATTTAGCTGAAAAGCATAATTAGAAAACCCCTTATTAAAGGGTTAATAACCATATTGCTATGGAAAGCACAATGTCTTTGGAATCAGAAAAATCTGGATGTGAAAGCTGGATCCATAATTTACTAGGTATTTGGAACAGCATTTCACATTTTTAACCCTAGTTTTCCTCATATACATAAAAGGTAAAATTAAAAAGAGGTGAAACTGGCCAGGTGCAATGGCTCACGCCTGTAATCCCAGAACTGAGGCCAAGGCGGGCAGATCCCTTGAGGCCAGGAGTTCGAGACCAGCTTGGCCAACATGGTGAAACTCCGTCTTTAATAAAAACACAAAAATTAGCCGGGTGCGGTGGTGAGTGGCTGTATTCCCAGCTACTCAGGAGGCTGAGGCAGGAGAATCACTTGAACCTGGGATGCAGAGGTTACAGTGAGCTGAGATTGCGCCACTGCACCCCAGCCTGGCAACAGAGTGAGACTCTGTCTCAAAAAAAAAAGACGTAAAACCTCATAATATATTATTATTTATTTTCTGTCTTTGTTGAGACAATGTCTCACTATGTTGCCCAGGCTGGTCTCTAACTCCTGGGCTCAAGTGATTCTCCCATCTCAGCTTTCTGAGTAGCTGGGACTATAGGTGCACACCACTGCTCCTGGCTTCATACTATGTTATTAAAAATATAAACAACTTATGTAAATTATCTAATATGGCTAAGACATAGTAGGTACTCAGTAGTTATTGAATGACCATCATTTAGTAGTTATTTAGGGACAATGAATATTACGTTTTAATTTGGTTAGCTATGAATTGATCAACATTGCTGTATTGTTGTGACAGACTGAATGGAGCTAAATCTCTGTTAAAAAATACAAGTTGTAAAGTATGCTCTTCCAGCTGGGGCCAAGGTATAGTAACAGTGCACTAGAAACCATAAAAAAATCAATATATATAAAACAATGATTTTCAAGACACTGGATATCAGGCAATGAAGGACAGTGACTCCTGAGAGATGGGTAACTAATAAATGGAGCCCTATGATTGCCCCTTGTTTCTGCCTTGCAAGTTTCTAGGCCATAGTCATGGGTAGGGAAAATCAGATGACTTCTGCAAAAGTTGAGGAAACAGGGCTAAGATTTCAGAAAGACCAAGGCAGCTTGAGTGAGGATTGAGCTTCTCAGAAAACTCAACAGACCTGGAGATGGTTCCCCTCAAGTATTCAGCTGAGTATTGATCAGCATATACATGTGGGGAAACAAGTTGTTCACTAGGGAACGAACCAACAGGGTATAGGACTGGGAAAAGTGACTGTTCCAGCTAGCTACATTAGAAAGCCTTATGATTAAAAGAGTATTGGGTATACTACTTAAAAGTTCTTGCCTCAATAGTGGGAAATAGCCCTAGACTAAGTGCTGTACTGGTAATGCTGAACAAATCTTAAAAGCCAGGCATAAAAAGAGGAAAGTATTTCCACGTAACTTTGTCCTACAGCAAAGCTCTAAAACATTTATAGAAAACATGTCCAGCACTCAACAAGGTAAAATTCATAATGTCTGACATTCAATTAGAAATTACTAGTCATGCAATGAAGCATGAAAATGTGATTCATAATAAGGAGATAAAGCAATCAATAAAAAAGATCTAGAGCTAACACAGATATCAGAATAAGCAGACAAAAACATTAAAACAGTATTAACTGCATTTCATATATTCACAAAACCTAAGTAGAAACAGGGGGACATTTAAGAAACCAAATCCAACTTCTAGAGGTGAAAACTACAAAGTGTGACTACACTAGATGTGATTATCAACAGGTTAGATATTGCAGTAAAGAAGGTTAATAGGATTGAAAACAATAGTAGAAGCTATAGAAAATGGAAAACATAGAAAACAGAATATTATTAAACCATGGGACAATTTTAAGCATCCTGGTACATGTGTAATTGGGGTTTTCAAAGTCAAGTAGACAACCTTTTTAAAAAATAAAGCCTGAATAATTTTCAAATTTCACAGAAACTATGAACCCACAGGTCAAAGAAGCTTACTGAAATACAAGCACAAGGAACACTAAGAAAACTATATCAAGACACATATTCCACAAAAGCAGTGATAGAGAAACATTAAAAGCAGCTAGGGAGGGGCATTTTACATTCATAGGAACAAAGATAAGGATAACAGTAGATATCTTGTCAGAAAAAACATGCAAGTGAGAAGTGGAGCAACATCTTCAAAGTACTGAAAAGAAAAAAAAATGTCAACCCAGAATTTTACACTAGTGAAAGTATCTTTCAAAACTAAAGGTTTACTGAGAGAGGTAGAACAATATGGCCAAATAGAAGCCTCCAGTAGTCATTCCCCCAACAAGAACACCAAAATGAACAACTACACAAAAAAGCACCTTCATGAGAATGAAAAATCAGGTGGACAATTACAATACCTGGTCTTAACATCATATCAAGGAAAGAGACACTGAAGAGGTAGGAAAGACAGCTTTGAATCCTTGATGCCACCCCTCCCACATCCTCTGGCAGTGACCTCATTGCAGAGAGAAAGAATCTGTGTGCTTGGGGGAGGGAGAGTGCAGCGATTGTGCAACTTTGCATTGGAACTCAGTGCCCTGTCACAGCAGAAAGCAACATAGGGAAGAATTCAGATGAGGAATTCTTCTGAATTCCACAGAGGAAGCATTTAGAACAACCCTAACCAGAGAGGAATTGCCCATCTCGACAGTAGGAACCTGAGTTCTGGCTACACCTACCACCACACGCTAAAGTGCTTAGGGGTCCTAAATAAACTTGAAAGGCAGTCTAGGCCACAAGGACTTCAATTCCTGGGCAAGTGCTGGTGCTGAGCTGGGCTCTGAGCCAGTGGACTTGGGCTGCATGAACCTAGTGAGATACAGGCCAGTGTGGCCAAGAAGGTGCTTGCATCACCCAGACAGAGCAGCTCACAGGTCCAGGAGTTATTCCTTCCTTCAACTAGAGGAGAAGGGAGAGTAAAGAGGACTTTATCTTGCATCTTGATAACAGCTTAACCACAGTAGAATAGGGCACCAGGCAGAGTCCTGAGGCCAGCATTCCAGGCACTAGGTCCCAGTCAACATTTCTAGACACACCCTGAGTCAGAAGGGAACATGTTCCCTTGAAGGGAAGGACCCAGTCCTGGCAGAATCCATCATATGCTGACCAAAGAGCCCTTGGCCTTGAATAAACATGAGTGGTACCCAGGCAATTCTCACTGTGGGACTTAGGTCAGACCTAGCACCATGCTGGCTTCACATGTGACTGAGTGCATTCCCAGCTGTGGTGACCATGGGGAGATACTCCTTCTGCCTGAGGAAAGGAGAGGGAAGAGTAAAGGGGACTTTGTCAGGCAGCTGAGGCACCATCTTGGCCAGTGGGACCCCAGGTAAGTTCCTGGGGTCCCTGATTCCAGGCCTTGGTTCATGGACAGCTTTTTTGGTATTCGTCCTGGGACAGCGGGGAGCCCATTGCCTTGAAAGGAGAGACCTAGGCCTGGAAGGATCCACCACACGCTGACTAAAAAGCCCTTGGACCTTGAGTGAACATTGACAGTAGCCAGACAGTAATTGTCACAGGCTTGGGGCAGTGGTGGCCACAGAGAGAGACTCCTGCATGAGAAAGGAAGAGGGAAAAGTGGAAAGGACTCTGTCATGTGGCTTGGGTGCCAGCTCAGCCACAGTAAAATATAGCACCAAGTAGATTTCTAAGTTTTCTGACTCCAGGGCCTGCCTCCTGGACATTCTGGGACCTGCTCTGGGCCAGGGGTGAGCTCACTGCCCTGAAGTGTAAGATACAAGCCTGGATGAATTAGTCACCTGCCAACTGAAGAGCCCTTGGTAATTGAGTGAACATTGGCAGTAAGCAGGCAGTGGTTGCCATGGGCCTTGGGTGAGACCTAGGTCTGTGTTGGCTTCATATCTGACCCAGTGCTGTCTATGTGGTGGTGGCCACAGGAGTGCTTGTGTCACACCTTCTCCAGCTCCAGGGAGCTCAGCATGGAGAGAGAGACTCTGAGGGAAAGTAAGCAAAGAAAACAAGAGACTCTGCCTGGTAATCCAGGAAATTCTCCCAGTTGTTACCCAAGACCACCAAGGCAGTACCTCTATGAGTCCACAAGAGTCTCGGTGTTACTGGTCTTGGGGTACCCTCTAATGCAAATACAGCTGTAGTAACCACAATTCCCTTTGAATAGTTGGAAAACCTTCCCAAAGAGGACAGGTACACACAAGCCCAGACTATGAAGACTACAATAAATACCCAACTCTTCAATGCCTATACATTAACGAACATCCACAAGCATAAAGCCCAGCCAGGATAACATGACCTCAACAAATGAACTAAATAAGGCACCAGTGACCAATCTCAGAGTGATAAAGATATGTGACCGTTCAGACAGAGAAATCAAAAGAGCTGATTTCAGGATGCTTGATAAAATTGAAGATAATACAGAGAAGGAATCCAGAGTTCTAACAGATAATTTTAATAGAGATTGAAATAATTTTTAAAAACCAAGCAGAAATTTTGAAGCTGAAAAATTCAACTGACATATTGAAGAATGCATCAGAGTCTCTCAGCAGCAGAATTTATCAAGCAGAAGAAGTAGTGAGCTTGAGACAAGATATTTGAAAATACATACAGGAGACAAAAGAAAAAAGAATAAAAAATGAAGCATGCCTACAAGATCTAGAAAGTATCCTCAAAAGGGCAAATCTTAGCATTATAGGCCTTTACAAGGAGGTCAAATGTGATAAGCTAAAGATGTATACTGTAAACTTCAAAGCAACTACTAAAATAAAAAATTAAATAATTACAGCTTAAATATCCAACAAACAAAAATATAGAATCATACAATATTCAGTTAATTTTTTAAAATGAAAAAGAATGAAGAAACAGAAAAAATTAAACTGATAAATTTAAACCATGTATCAACAGTCACATTAAACATAAGTGGGTTAAATACCTCAGTTATAAAGTAGAGATTATTAGATTGGATTAAAAAGAAAGACCCAACTATATGTCATCTATAAGAAAAGGACTTTATAGAAATACAAATAAATAGAAGTAGAATGAGGATACAAGGAAAAGATGGAATGGCTATAGTAATATCAGGACAAAGTAGATTACTGAGCAAATATAAGGGCATGAAGAATGTCATTTCCTGATTATAAATGGTTCAATTTGTGAAGAAGTCATAATAAATCTATGTACATCATAAAAAAACTTCAAAGTACTAGAAGCAAAAGTTAATAAAACTGTTAAATAGACAAATTCAAATATAGTTCATTATTTCAATACCCACCTCTCAAACTGATAAAATAGATAGAATATTAATAAGAATATGTAAATTTTGAACAATACTATTCATCATCTTGACTTAATTGACATTTATATAGTACTATATCCGAGAATGGCAGAATACATGTTCTTTTCAGGATGTGAAACGTTCACCAAGATAAGATATGTTCTTGGCCGTAAAACATGTTTCAATACATGTAAAAATTTGAGTTATAAAAAATGTTCTTTCGTCTTTGTGGAATTAAATCACAAACAGACACCTGCAAAATATTCAGTATTTGAAAACGAATCAACACATCCTATATAACCTATGATTCAAAGAATAAATTAAAAGAGAAATTACTGTTTTAAGTGTAATGAATATGTAAAGTCAACCTATCAAAATTTGCAGAATGATACTAAAGCAGAATTTAGAGAAAATTTATAGAAAAGCTTACGGTATTAGAAAACAAGAAAAGTCTCAGGTTGATTACTCTATATCCTACCTTAAGAAACTGCAAAAAGAAGAGGAAATTAAACCCAAAGTAGGTTAAAAAAATACAGACATCAGTAAACCGGAAGCCATTTTACTTTGGTTCTTTGAGAAAATAAAACTGATAAATTTCTAGTCAGACTAAGGAAAGAAATATACATGAGAAAAATCATCAACATCAAGAATGAGAGGGGGCTTCAAGGAGGCTGACTAGAGGCACCCAGCAGCAGCTTCCTCCACAAAGAACCGATACTGCAAGATAATCACATTTTAAATAAGCATCTAAGAGAGCACACCGTAATTTAGCAAAGAAGTAACAGAAGGCACTTGAGGCTTGGAAGGAGAGAGAAATGAGGCAGTTGGCCAGGCTGGGACTGGCTAGAAGCCTGGAGACACTTTCCAGTGCAGGGACAGGGTAAGTAAGAGATCCCAAGTGGCCCACATTCCCACTGTGGACTCTTGTGATGCTAGCCCTTGCCCCCTGTGGGCCCTAAGATTAGTATAGGGAGCTGCCTGGAGTCCATGAGATTGTATTGCTCAAGAAAGGAAGATCATTCTAGGTTTCACACACCTGCCAAAACCCAAGCAGCTGCAGTGCAGTGCCATTTTGAGAGCCTAGCTTCCACTAGACCGCATCCTGCTCTGGGCCCCAATAGCTTCTCCACATTCCTGGAGCATGGGTGACATTTTCCCGTGTCTACACAGAGGGCTACAGTAATGCGATGACATTTGAACTCAGTGCAGCAGGGTCCTCAGCACTCCATCCCACACAGTGTCCTACAGGGAACGAGCAGTGCAGTTCACTGGCGAGGCTTCCCAGAGCCTAAAAGCCAGCTTTCTGAGGTAGCTGACACTGATAGCAACCACACGCACACCAGAAGCTGAGCCACTGCGACTGTCCTGGTTGCGGGCTTTCTCCACATACCGCCACTGCTGCCACTGCCGCCACTGCCATTACCTCCTAACCATGCTGTTAGGGAACCTGGGGATTGCCCCATCCTGCCTATCATAACCTGCTCCTGTGTGTACCACTAGGGAGCTTGAGGACAGAGTTACCAGCCTGGCACTGCCGGCTCCAGTGCCTGAGCATACTGCCCCAGGACCTGTGGATTGCCCCATTCTATTAGTTTCCCCAGGTGTGCATATGTACCACCAAGGGCCTAGCAACAGGTGTTCTGGAACACCTGCCACTGGTGATAAAGCAGGCCATTTAGAGGCATAGGCAATGCTCTGACCTGAACACCATGGTTAGCGTCACCCAGCCTGCCACTACTGCCAACACTCACCTGGTTGTGACATTTGGGGGCCTGAGGACTGGCCTACCCAGCTCATCACCGCCACCATTAACACTAGAGTGTTCCCCCTTGGAACTTGAGGGTTGTTTTATCACTGCTACTGCCATTGCCTATGCCACACAAACTGCCCAGGGGTATGAGGACCTACTCAACTGTCCAGGCCATTGCTGCTACTTCTGGCCCCTGAGCAAGCTGCTGAGAGGCCCCAGAATTATCCCACTTAAATCCACTACCACCAGTGCCTGTGTACACTGCCCAGGGGCCCAAGGACAGGAACATTTGTCCCACTGCTGCCACGACTGGGGCCTGACTACTGGCCCATCTGGCATCCCCATTCCTAACAAAGCCTCACCACAGCCTCCACTAATAACTGCAGCCCAAGTCACTGAGGAAATTATACATACCACTTAAGCTGTTTATAGCTAAAGAAATCATATGGATACTAGACTATTGCATGCACCCAGAATCAAAACTAACATTTCCTACCCAGACAATACCATAGATACAGCTTCACACAAAGGGCTTCCTCTACGAAAGCAAATCCAAAAAACTGGAAGAAGTAATGATCCTATTAGATGTGCAGATACCTAAGGACATAAAAAACATGAAAAAGCAAGGAAATGTAACACCTAAAAAAACACAATAATTCACCAGTAACACATTCCAATGAAAAATTTATGAAATGCTTGAAAAAGAATTTAAAATAATGATATTAAGTTCAGCGAGATGCAAGAGAACCCAGATAAACAAAACAAATCAGAAAAGCAATTCAGAATATGAATCAGAAATTCATCAAAGAAATAGATGTTATAAAAAAGAACCAAATGAATCCTGGAATAAAAGAATCCAGTGAGTGAAAAATACCATCAATAGCTTCAACTATAGGCTAGATCAAGCAGAAAAAAATATTTCAGAACTTGAAGACAGGTCTTTTAAAATAACACAGGCACACACACACAAACACACACAAAATCCAAAGAGAATAAAAAGGAATGAAGAATGCCTACATTACATATAGAGTACTATAAAGCAACCAGATAGTCAAATTTTGGGTGTTCTAGAACGTGAAGAGAAAGCAAAGATATAGTAAATCTGTTTAACAAAATGATAGCTGAACACTTCCCAAACCTAGCAAGAGGTTTACACATCCAGATACAAAAAGCTCAGAAACCTCCAAATAGGCACAATTCAAAAAGATTTCCAAGGCTTGCTGTAATTATACTGTCAAAAGTCAAAGAAGGCCAGGCATGGTGGCTCACGCCTGTGATCTCAGGATTTTAAGAGGCTGAGGCAGGCGGATCACCTGAGGTCAGGAGTGAAACTGGCCAACACGGTGAAACCCTGTGTCTACTAAAAATACAAAAATTAGCTGGGCATGGTGGCAGGTGCCTGTAATCCCAACTACTCGCGAGGCTGAGGCAGGAGAGTTACTCGAACCTGGGAGACGGACGTTGCAGTGAGCTGAGATCACACCATTGCACTCCAGCCTGGGTGACAAGAGTGAAACTCCATCTCAAAAAAAAAAAAAAAAAAAAAAGTCAAAGGAAAAGAAATAATTCTAGAAACAAGAGGAAAGCATCTATTTACATATAGGGAAATGTCTATCAGAGTAAGTGAATTTGTCAGCAGAGACTGTACAGGTCATAAGAAAATAGGATCGTATATTCAGAATGCTGAAAGGAAAAAAAACTAGCAATGAAGAATCCTATACCCAGCAAAGTTATTCATAAATGAAGGAAGACCAGTCTTTTCCAGACATGTAAAAAGAACGAATTCATCATCACTAGACCAGTCCAACAGAAATGCTTAAGAGAGTCCTAGAGTCCTACACCTGGTAGTGAAAGGACAATATCAACCCTCATTAAAACACACACAAAATATAAAACTCATTGGTAAAGCAAACACAAATGAAGAAGAGAAAGGATTCAAATGTTACTGCTACAGAAAACCAACAAGTGGGAACAATAAGAGGGAAGAAAGGAACAAAGGACATACAAAGCAATCTGAAAATAATTAACAAAATAAATAATAACCACTTTGAATGTAAATAGATTAAATTTTCCATTTAAAAGTTGAATTGATTTAAAAAATGTGATCAGACTATGTGCTGCCTAAAAGAAACCCACTTCCCCCTTAAAGACACTTATACATTGAAAGTAAAAGGATGGAAGAAGTCATTCCACTGAAATGGAAACAAAAAGTGAGCAGGAGTAGCTACACTTGTGTCACATACAACAGACTTCAAGTCAACACTAGTAAAAAGAGATAAAGAAGGTTATTATAATGATAAAGAGATCAATTCAGCAACAAGATATAACAATTCTAAACACATGTGCACCAACACCAGAGTATCCAGATATATAAAGTAATATTACTAGATCTAAAAGGAGAGATACACCCCAATGCAATAATTGTTAGGGACTTCAAACCACTCTCAGCATTGGACATCAACTACACAGAAAATCAACAAGGACACATTGGATATAAACTGCGCATTAGACCAAATGGACCTAACAGACATTTACAGAATATTTTATCCAACAGCAGCAGAATACACATTTTTTTCATCTGCATATGGAACATTCTTTGGGATAGACCATATGTTAGGCCATAAAGCAAGTCTCAACACATTTTTAAAATTCAAAATTATACCAAGTAACTTCTCAGACCACAATGAAATAAAACTAGAAATTAATAAGACAACTGTGGAAACTGTACAAATACATCAAAGTTAAACAATATGCTCCTAAATGACCACTAGGTAAAAGAAGAAATTAAGATACTGAAAAAATTCTCAAATGGAATGAAAACACAACATACCAAAACCCATGGTAATAGAGCAAAAGCTGTGCTAAGAGGGTCATTTATAGCAATAACCACCTACATCCGAAAAGTAGAAAGATTTTAAATAAACAACCTAATGATGCCCCTTAAGGAAGAAGAAAAGCAAGAACAAACAAAACCCAAAATGAGTATAAAGAAAGAAGGAATTACAATCAGAACAGACTAAACAAATTAGAAGCTAAAAAACATCAACATAGAATATCAAGCAAACAAAAAGTTGTCTTTTTGAAAAGATAAACAAAATTGATAAACTGTTAAGTAGACTAACCATGAAAAAAAGAAGACACTCATACAAATCAGGAGTGAAAAAGGAAACATTACAACTGATACTACAGAAATAAAAAAGATGACCAAAGACTTGTATGAAAAACTGTATGTTAACATACTGCAAACCTACGGGCAATGGACACATACAACCTACCAAGACTGAATCAGGAAGAAATAGAAAACCTGAATAGACCAATGATGAGTGATGAGATAGAATCAGTTATAAAAAGTCTCCCAACAAAGAAACGCCCAGGACTTGATGGTTTTACTGCCACATTAGAAGAAAAACCTATTGTCCTCAAACTATTCAAAAAAACGGAAGAGGAGGAAATTTTCTCCAACTCATTCCTGAAGCCAGCATCACCCTGATACCAAAACCAGACAAGGAAACAATAGAAGAAAGAAAACTACAGGTCAATATCCCTGAAGAACATAGATGCCAAAATCTTCAACTAAATACTAACAGATCAAATTCAATGGCATATGCAAAAGATAATGCACCATGATCAAGTGAGATTTCTTCCAGAGATATAGGGATGGATCAGCATAACCAAATGCATAAATGTGATACATCATATCAAAAGAATGATTGTGATCATCTCAAGAGTCACAGAGAAAGCATTTGATAAAATTCAACATCCATTCATGATAAAAACACTGGGCTTGGAACATGTCTCAACATAATAAAGCCCATATATAGCAAACATATAGTTAAAATTATAATGAATGGGAAGAAGCTGAAAGTCTTTTTTTCTAAAAACTGGAACAAGACAAGAATGCCCACTTTCACCACTCCTACTCAACGCAGTACTTGAATCCACAACCAAAGCAACCAGTCAAGGGAAATGAAAGGTATCCAAATTGGATACGGGAGAGTCAAATTACCACTCTTTGCAGATATGATGTTAATAAACCTAAAGATTACACCAAAAACTTTTGGATCTGATAAATTGCAGAATACAAAATCAACACATAAAAATCAATAGTGTTTCTATACACCAACAATGAGCTAGTTGAAAAAGAAATCAAGACTTTAATTCCTTTAAAAGGAATTACAAGACTTTACAATACCTAATCCTTGCCCCACCAAAAGCCTGTCTAGGAATAAATTTAAGTGAGGAGGTTCATTCCATGTTCATGGATCAGAAGAACATTGCTAAAAGGATGCTTCTACCCAAAGCATTCTAGAGACTCAACGCAATTTCTTTCAAAATACAAATAACATTTTTCACAGAAATTTTTTAAAATTCTAAAATTTGTATGGAATAAAAAAGGAGTCTGAATACTCAAAGCAATCTTGAGCAAAAAGAACAAAGCTGAAAGCATCACACTACTTCAAAATAAATTAAAAAGTTATAATAACCAAAACATCATGCTGTTGATATAAAAACAAACACACAGACCAACAGAACATAATAAAGAACCCAAAAATAAATCCATATATTTACAGCCAATTGATATTTGACAAAGATGCCAAGAACACATAGTGGGGGGAGAAAACACTTTCTTCAATAAATGGTACTGGGAAAAGTAGATGTTCATAAGCAAAGAATAAAACTAGTGTCTTTCACCATATGAAAAATCAACTCAAAATGGATTAAAGACTTAGAAGTAAGACCCCAAACTATAAAACTAGTAGAAGAAATCATAGGGGAAAAGCTCCAGGATGTTGGTCTAGGAAAATATTTTATGGCTAACGCCTCAAAAGTACAGGCAACAAAAATAAAAATAGACACATGGGACTATATTACTATATTAAACTAAAAATCTTTTGCACAGCAAAGAATACAATCAACAGAGTAAAGAGACAGTAAGTTGAATGGGAGAAAGTATTTGTGAACTTTTCATCTGACAAAGGCGTAATGTCCGGAATATACAAGGGACTCAACAGCAAAAAACAAAACAAAAACCCCCAAACAAAAAAACCCAAACAAAAACCAAACAATCACATTAAAAAGTAGACTAAGGATCTGAACAGACATTTCTCAAAAGAAGACATGCCAATAGCCAACAGGTATATAAAAAATGATCAGCATCACTAATCATCAGGAAAATTCAAGTCAAAACCCAATGAGATATCAGTTTACCCCAGTTAGAAATGCTATTATCAAAGAGACAAAAAAATAACAGATGCTGGTGAGGATGAAGAGAAAAAGGAAGCTTATACACTGTTAATGGGACTGTAAATTGGTACAGCCATTATTGAAAACAGTACAGAAATTTGTTAGAAAACTAAAAAGCAGTACTAATATATGACCCAGCAATTCCACTACTGTGTATTTATCCAAAGGAAAGGAAATCAGTATATCAAAGGGATACCATCATTGCCGTGTTTACTGTAGCACTATTCACAATAGCCAAGATAGGGAATCAACCAAAGTGTCTGTCAATGAATGAATAAAGAAAATGTGGTATCTGTACACAATGAAATACTATTCAGATATAAAAAAAATGACATAGTTTTTTTCAGCCACCTGGATAGAATTGGAGGACATTAAGTGAAATGAGCCAAGCACAGAAAGAGAAATACTCACATGTTTACACTTACATGTGGGAGCTAAGAAAGTTAATCTAATGGAGCTAGAGAGTCAATTGATAGTTACCAGAGGCAGGGGAGAGAGATTGTTCTGCGGTGAGTTAATGAGGGGATTATCTTATGTTGGTTGGTGGGTACAAACAAACAGAAGGAATAAGTTCTAATGTTTGACAGCAAAGTAAGGTGACTATAGTTAAAACAATATATTGTATATTTCAAAATAGCTGGAAGAGGGGTCTTAAAATGTCCCCAACACATAGCAATGATAAATGCTAGTGGCGATGAATATCCTGAATACTCGGAGTTGGTCATTACACATTCCATGCATTTGACAATATATTAAATGTAACCCATAAATATGTGCAAATATATTGGTTAAAAAATGAGAAAGCTGAAATTACATAGAATCAAAATATTAAAAGTTTACTAAGGGAATATTATTAACAACTTTATGACCATAAATCCAGCAGCTTAGATAAAATGGTATAATTCTTTAAAGATACAAACTTCCAAAGCTAACTCATGGTTATAAATATAAAATAAATTTATTTTAAAAGTCTTTTTTACAAAGGAAACTGAAATTCAGATAGTGTCATAGGTCATTGGTGAATTCTATCAAACATTTAACATATATATGTATACTAATTCTATACAAACTCTTCCAGAAAATTGAATAAGAGAGACTATGTTCCTAATTCATTCTATGCTGACAGCAATATCTTGATACCCAAACATGATAAATGCATCAACAGAAAAGAAAACTATAATATGCCTCATAAGCTTAGATGACCAATTTTTAAAAAATTTTTTGCAAATTAAAATCGATCTTATATAAAAAGGACAGTACCTTTGAACAAGTGCAGTTTATCTCAGGAATGCAAAGTTGACTTAGCCCGGGTACGGTGGCTCAAGCCTGTAATCCCAGCACTTTGGGAGGATGAGGCAGGCAGATCATAAGGTCAGGAAATCAAGACCATCCTGGCTAACACGGTGAAACTCCATCTCTACTAAAAATATAAAAAATTAGCCGGGCGTGGTGGCAGGCGCCTGTAGTCCCAGCTACTCGGAGGCTGAGGCAGGAGAATGGCATGAACCTGGGAGGCAGAGCTTGCAGTAAGCCAAGATTGCACTACTGCACTCCAGCCTAGGCAACAGAGTGAGACTCCATCTCAAAAAAAAAAAAAAAAAAAAAAAGAAAATCAATCAATGTAATTCAGTATACTAGTAAACTAACATAAACCCCACATGATTATCTCAAGAGACACACAAAAATCCTTTAAGAAAATCCAACATCAATTCCTGAGTAAAAAAAAAAACCCACACAAAATCTTACTAAAGTACTACTAGAAGGGGACTTTTTCAAACTGATAACAAGCATCTATGAAAAACCTGTTAATAAAATTATACTTAGGAAAGACTGAATGATTATCCTACAAGATCAGAACAACGTAAGAATGTACAGTTTTTACCATCTCTATTCAACGTTGTATGGGATGTTCTAAAAAGCACAATAAGATAAAAAACTAAAATGCATCCAAATTGGTAAGGAAGTAATAGAACTGTCTTTATTCACAGACAACATGATTGTCTATGTGGAAAATTCAACTGAATCTACATACTCACACATAAAAAGCTACTAGATCCAATAGTTGAGTTTAACAACGTTTCAGAACCCAAGAGCAATATATAAATATCAATTCTATTTCTATATACTAGTATCAAATAGTCAGAAAATCTTTAAAAATCCATACTAACTACAAGAGTATTTAAAAGGCTGGGCGCGGTGGCTCACTCCTGTAATTCTAGCACTTTGGGAGGCAGAGGCGGGTGGACTGCCTGAGCTCAGGAGTTCGAGACCAGCCTGGGCAACAAAGTGAAACCCCATCTCTACTAAAATGCAAAAAATTAGCTGGGTGTGGCAGCACACGCCTGTAATCTTAGCTACTTGGGAGGCTGAGACAGGAGAAGCGCTTGAACCTGGGAGGAGGAGGTTGTAGTGAGATGAGATTGTGCCACTGCACTCCAGCCTGGGCAACAGAGCGAGACTCCATCTCAAAAAAAAAAAAAGAAAAAAAATTCTTTGGGACAAAACTGAGCAAATATGTGAAAAGCCTGTACATTGAAAACAGCAAAATAGTGCTGAGGGAAATTAAGGAAGAACTAAATAAATGGAGAGACATACCATATTCATGAATTGGAAGGCTCAGTATTGTTAAGATGCTAATTTTCCTCAAATGGGTGTATAGAGTCAATGAAATACCAATTAAAATTCCAATATACTTTTATGAGGGGAGATATAAACTGATAAACTGATTCTAAACTTCAGATAGAAAATCAAAGAACCTAGAACAGCTAAACAACTTTGGTAAAACAGAATACAGGGTTCAGAAATTATTGCATTTGTATATAAGCATAGACAGCTGATTTTTAACAATGACACAAATGCAATTCAGTGGAGAAGGAATAGTTGTCTTGGCAAATGGTGCTAAAACAACTGGATATTCATATTTAAAAAAAAACCCTTCAATCAGTTTCTTGCATCATATTCACAAATTAACTCAAAATGAATCATGGACATAAATGAAAACCTGAAACTAAAATACTTCTATTAATAGGAGAAAACAAAGGAAAAATATTTTTTTGACCAAGAGTTAGGTCAAGATTTCTTGGTTACAACCAAAAGCACAATTCATAAAATAGTGATAAATTATACTTTATTATAATTAAAAACCGCTCTCCCAAAGACATTGTGAAAGGGATGAAAAGACATGCCATAGACTGATGGGAAATAGTTGCAAAGCATATGTCTCATAAAGGACTTGTCTACAGAATATATAAAGAATTCTTCAAACTGAAGAACAAGCTAATAAAAAAATGAGCAAATGATTTGAACAGACATTTCACCAAAGAAGATACACAGGTGGAAACATATCATATGAAAAGAGACTAATCCTCACTAGTCATTAGGAAAATGCAACTTAACACCACGATGACAGAACAATACATGTTTACTAGAAAAGCTAAAATTAAACAAGACTGGTAATTCCAAGCATTGGTGAGGAGGTGGAGAAACTGGCAGTCCCATTTTTTATGGGAATTTGAAATGGTACAGCCATTTTGAGGCACTTTGGCATTAAAAAAAAGTTACGTATACATCTACCATATGATCTAGGATTCCACTCCTAGGCATATTCAAAAAAGAAAGTATCCATACGAAGGCTTCTGTTTAGTTCTAGCAGCTTTATTTGTAATAATCAAAAATTAGAAACAACCTAAATGTCCATCAACAAGTGAACAGATAAATTATACTGTGGTGTAGCTATGTGATCAAGTAGTTAAAAAGGAATGAACCATTGATACATGCCACAGCATGTATGAATCTCAAAATAATTATGCTGAATGAAAAAAGCTAGATGAAAAAGAGTAGAGACTAGCCTGGGCAACATGGCAAAAACCTGTCTTTACAAAAAATTAGCCAAGCGTGGTGGTGTGCATCTGTAGTCCCAGCTACTGGGAGGCTGAGGTGGGAGGATCATCTGAGCCCAGGAGGTTGAGGCTGCAGTGAGCTGTGATTGTGCCACTGCACTCCAGTCTGGGTGACACAGCTAGACCCTGCCATGCACACAAACACACACACAAAAAGCCAAAAACAAACAAAAGAGAGTGCATACTGAATGATTCCATGCATACAGAGTGCTAGGAAATGCAAATTGATGTACAAGGACTGAAAGCAGAACAGAGATTGCCTGGAATGGGATGGGGCAGAGAAGGACTGGAGGGAAGAACTATAAAGGAACTTGAAGGAAGTTTTAGGAGTGATGAATATGTGTATTATCTTGATTATGACAATAGTTTCACAGGTATACATGTCAGAACAGGAAATATTTTAAAAATGTACAGTTCATTTAATTATATCTCGATAGAATTATTTAAAAATGAAAATTTTTAAATAAAATCACGACATAAAATTTTATTAATAGTTGCCATGACTCATATCCAGAAAGAATATGTTACTTGAAACAAGCACTTCTTTATAATACATCAGTAAAGACTCTGATGAATGAAAAAGGAATTAGCAACCATTATTCATCTCACATTGCCTTTCCTTTCATTATTGTGCCTTCTTGAGTGACTTTTGCTGCCTTTAAAAATTGGTTGAATTTAGCTCTCAATGCTCATGACTTTGTTATTAAAAAATGCCATGAGCCTTAAGAATAGCCCTTCTTGGCAGCTTAACCTGAATACTATCTCCCTGGTATCTCCCACCTATTTCCACTTCTAGGCCCTGAAGGACTTGCCTTTGCCCCTACTGAGATTTAGCATTCATAGATCTTCTCCAACCCAGGTGGCTTTGCTTTGACTCCTGGGCATTTTGGGGTCTGACCCTTCCTTTCCAGCCTTATCTTTCTTCTTATCTTAGTAGAACATTCTCACAGGTAGTCATTGGATGACAATTATTTCAGCTTTTACTGCCCCCCCCCCCCACACCGACCCACTTATCCTTCCTTAGGAAGGATTTTTAGAATGAATTTCTTAATATTAGCACCTAAAAAGAAGTATATATTCCTTGATCTTTGAGCAACAGAATTTCTGGAGGCCTTGTTAAGACATAGAATGCGGGTCCCAGTCCCAAATTTTCTGATTGAAAAAATCTAGAATGGGTTCAGAAATTTGCATTTTTAACTAGCTTCTACCTAATACTGATGCTGCTGGTCTGGGACTACGCTTTAGGAACTACTGATTAAGAACGCAGGCTTTGAAATTTGATGGAGTGTGGTTCAAAACTCAGCAATCTAAGGGCAATTTACTTATTTTAGCTCAGCTTCAGCTTCCTCCTCCACAAATTAGTAATTATAATTATTTCCCCTTTATAGGACTGTTGTAAAGGTTAAACATGTTAATGCTTTCAAGCACCTAAACATATCAGGGCTTAATAAACAAGAGCCAGTGTTACTCTTAGTAGTTATATTAATCATCATTAGACCAGCCATTGAGAAAACATGTGAAAAGGGCAACCATTCCCCTCAGCAGGTGTCATCAACAGAGACCTTTTTCCATCCCACTCTCCCAGCACCTGTTGCCCCCTGACTCATCCTACAGGCATCTCTCCCAGGAGCCCTCTATTCCCTGGGTTAGGATTCTCCTGCTGTCTCCCTGTCATCCAGGGTTTGCTCTTCCCCATATTCCAACTAATTGGGTCCATATTTTATGACCTAGTTATACGATTAACACAAGAATGCACCACATTAGGAAAATATATGTAACTAAACTGATGTGTTTAATACCTGATGTTTCAACTCTTTCCCTCAAATTTTTAGTAACATTCATTATGCAAATTTTAGAAGGGAAAGGAATTGGAGTGTGAGAGTATTTTGGAATCCACATGGGTGCTTAGACACATACTGTGATAGGCTAGAAGGGTCACCATAGTGATGGGTTGAACAGCTTTTCTGTCCCTCTCTGATGACACTGCCTAGGGGGCTGATTACTTCACTCAGCTGAGACCTGACTCTTGCACTTACTGTAAGTACAAGAATTCAATGTAGATTTTGCCGTCAGCCTGCAGGAGTTCTGGCTTGAAAGGCTCACGTGCTTTCCTCTTCACTGCAGACTTCCTCCTGGGTTCCTTGTCATTGTCATCTTTCCCCATTCGCAAAGGAGTCATCACATCTAATCCAAAGACATCAATAACCCTACACCTTAAACACATGAATCAGTGCCCAGTGCCCTGCATCTTGCCCCTATTTCAAACCCTAACACAGAAAGTTGGAGCAGGAGGCTTTCAAAATTTGGACGCAACACTGCCAACTATCTAATTATTTAACAACATGGGAAAGTAACCGAGCTTAGCCTTCCAGAAGGCAGATATATTGCATTAGGGACCTTTCTGCAAAACATATGAAAGTAATGGGTAAAAGGAAGGAAAGACTCGGGGCTGGCTAGTTATCCACCCTGACAAACAGTAGCATTTATGGCTGCTCTTTTCTATCACCTTGTACAAATGAAGCACATGTAAGCAAAATAAGTATGTATGCAGGAACTTCCTATTTCCCCTTTCTCAATTGAGGGGTATCCAACCATAAATATATTTCAAAAGAGGTTTAACATTTCTGATAGATTGATTTGAAGCAGCTCAGAGCTACATTTAAATATCAGAGGTCTCGCTGCAAGGGCTTCCTGCCACTGCCACAGCAATTCTTGGAGGATTTCCCAATCACTGTGTGTCAAAAGAGGTATTGGTTGCAAGTTTCCTTTGTTTGCGTTTTATGCCATATTTCTGACTTATTTTTAAGTCACATAATGTGATATCTAGAATTAACTATTATCTCCTACAATCAATTTTTTCTCCCACTGCTCTGATATCAAGGCACATTTTCTTTGTTTCTTGTCTTCACATTAAATTCTGTTGATTTTACCAAAATGTTTCAAATCACATATTTCATCAATGCTCATGGCTTTGTAACCTCTTAAAAAGTCCAATCAACCCCCTATGCTATGTTATCTGAGATGGACAGAAAAGCTGCTCAATACTTCTAGCCTACCACAGTGTATATCTAGGTATCCACACACATTCAAAAATACTCTCACACTCTCAATCCCTTTCCCTTCTACAATTTTCATAATGAATGCCACTAAACATTTGAGGGAAATAGCTGGGACATCAGGTATTAAACACACCAGTTTAGTTACTTATATTTTCCCAAGGTGGAGCATTTTGGGGTTAATCAGATGACTGAGTCATAAAATATGGCCCCAATTAGTTGGAATGTGGGGAAGAGCAAACCTTGGATGACGGGAACAGCAGGAGGGTCCTGGCCCATAGAGGAGAAGACATCTGGGATAGGTGCCTGTAGGATGACTCAGAGGGCATTGAGTGCTGGGAGAATAGGATGGAAAGGGGTGTTTGCTGATGGTACCTTCTAAGGGAACAGCTGCCCTTTTCACATGTTTTCTCAATGGCTGGTCTAATGATGATAATTAATGTAACTACTAAGTAACACTAGCTCTTGTTTATTAAGCCCTGGTATGTTTCAGGTGTTTTGCAGACATTAACATACTTTATCTTTAGAATTTGATAAATCATTGAGAATGATACTGGGTAATGTATAACATTAATTTTGCACTAAAGCGACCCACACATTACATGAAGTCTGTTCTTAATAAACAGGAGCTTTAGGTATCCATGGTGAGATTATGAAACAGTAAAAGTTCAAGCTAGACTTGGTTTCCCCTGGCAATCCGTCTGTCTTTTCTAGATCATCTGGCTCTGCCTCCTATCAGTTAATATGTGCAGGCTAATCTTAGTGGGAAACAAAACCAAACTTAATTATAAAAGTAATCTTCTGAGAAGCACCTTCCTTCCCACCACCAAAAGCATCCTAGACTCTCCATGTGAAAGTTATTCTGTATGAAATAGAAAACATACATTTCAAAAGGTAATTTAAAATAACTCAAAGAATCAGACTTCTTATTTAATTACAGCTATATTGAAGATACAATATGGGTGTGTGTGGATTCATTTATTCACAAACATATATATTTGCATCTACAATGTGTTGTACATAGTAAGAATACAACTGTGAACAAAATAGATAGAAATCTTTGCTTTCATGGGGTTTACCCCTGTGTCCTGAGGAGGGGAGACCAGTAAGTCAATAGGTAAAGTAGTTGTTTATGTGGCAGTAGGTATGGTGGAGAACAATAAAGCAGCAAAATGGACTCGTCAGTGGTGATTTGGGTTGTTAACTCATAGCTCATAGAACCACATGGGGATCACAGTCCAGGGTTTGAGGGATACCCTGGTGGTTCTGGGCTTCTGGTGGGGTCTGAGACAAGCAGGGAAAAAGGGCATCATGAGATCAGTCCTAAGATTTCCAAGCCAGGCAGTGAGGGTAAGACAGTGACTGCTGGGAAAGGAGGGGTTGGGATCTTTTCAGGACCACCCAGCATCCTTCTTCAACAATGACGTGGAGATGCAAGAGCCCAAGAAGGTTTAGACGGAGGGAATCTGGGACTCTGTGCCCGAGGAATCTGAACATTAGAGTCTCTTGTTCCAGATGTGTAAAACTTCTGAGGAAGATAGAGGGATAACCTTCTAGAGGCCTTCTAGGCTCATCTTGCCTGAACTCTTTTGAAGGCATTTACATTTAAGGATGAAGAACACACCACAGCTTTGTTTTTATTTTTGTCAGCCTGCACAAAGGTTACACAAAACCAGTTCAGGGTATGGTGGTGGGGTGGTAGGGCGCGGTTGGCTCTGGGATTCCAACTCCCTGAAAAGCTTAGGGTATTATATCCCAGTGCTGATGTGAAGTGAAGAAGTGAATGTAACTTCCTAGCATGTCTACATCAGAGAGTAGGTTTAGATGAAGTTAGACTGTGTACCTTAATTTGTGCCTTCAGTGTGAGCAGTTACCACTTGATCTCTGGGTACCTCTGAGAGATACATGGATGTCTGGGCTCTGTGAAGAAGAGCTTGGGGGTCACTGTGGACTGGAGACTCACCACTCCTGAGACTGAGGAGTTGTATTGCACCTTCAATGAGGCTCTCCCGTAGCCAGTGGTTTGAACCTCTCTGGAGAGATATCATTTCTAGGTATTCATGAATCTTGGCAACAGCGAATGCCTTCACTTCCCAGTCAGACCCCACCCCATTTAATTCTGAAACTATATCCAACTCCCAAGGTGATCCCAGTTTCCCAGTTTCTACCATGCACACTTCACAGAGGTAGTTTATTAGAGAGTCTGTCTACAATCCTAGAAATCAGGAATATTCTATAAAAACCGTAAATGAAGAGAGGTTCAAGAATGAGACAGGAACGAGGTTTAAGAATAGTTTTCAGGGATACACTCAGCAGTATGCCTAGCTACTGTTTTTGAGTCCGATTATCTCCAAGATTATATGAATGTTTATGAAAAAAAATTCCATATGTATGTGTTCAACACCCTTCCATCAGTCTCTCAAGCGTCCTGCAGAATGGGGTACTGAACATTAAAGTATTGCATACCACTTGAAGCAGTGCATGCAACTTCCTAATGTGTCTGTTTTCAAGGGAAAAAATGTATGTTTTGTGGGGGGACTGGACTCAACATTTCAAACATTTACTTAGGGAAAAAATAGTCCCCAAGTATTTTCCATATCTTAAGTGAGAAACACAGAAAACATTCAAAATTTTGCACGTTAGCCTTCCTTTCTGCATTTTCTTGAAGACCAGGTAGCCCTAATAATTCTAGAAGCGATATGATTAGCAGGAAATGAACATGGCATTAATTTTTATTGTGTCAACATTGTAAAATAATACTTCTAAAATCTAATTTGCTGATGAATTAAGAGGGAATCCTGTTGGTATAAGAGAATATAAACATAAATATTTTCTTTCATATTTTGGAGGAAGCTTTATGAAAGAAATAGGAAATTATTGTTTGTGGCTCATTAAAATAGCTATTTATAACTATTCTGTTTTGACATCTACTTTATAAGAATATGATAATTCTGACCTTCAGTTGTAGAGATGCAGACTTTGAAACTGCCTTTCATAGGACATGCTTGCATCATGAACTGCTTCAGGGGCTCTGCAGCCAACATATGTGTGCAGCTGCCAGAAAATGTTTCATGTTCAGTGTGTTTGTTTCATGTCTGTTATGCTTATCACTAATTGTCTACCTAAAAAGAAGTGAGAACATATTAAATTAAGGTGGACAATTTGCACCCAATTCTCAAATTTAAAAAGCTGGTTTTTCACGTAGTTTCATAAAAATGTAAATGGATATACTTAAGTGAATATTTTAGCAATTTCCCTAATAGATGCATAAAATGGTCAATGAGGCTTTCTAAATGCTTTGAAAAGAATCTCATAGTTAAAGGTGTTGAAAAGTCAAGTGGTAGAAATTATTAGTTGGTTAATTAGTTGATAGAGTACAAATTTTAATAAGAAGTCATAGTATAATTTCTCATAAGGAACATGCTATTGTTTTTTTTAGTAAAAGAAAAAATTATATCATCTTGGTTATAAATTTTATTTTCTTTTTTAATAGTAATTTTAAATCACAAGGATAATATATACTTGTTGCAGGACATTTAGAAAATACAGGTTTGTCAAAGGAAGAAAATAAAAATTATCTATTAGCATATAAAGTTATCATATCATATAGAGTTAAGCAGTACTAATATTCTGAAGTATTTCCTTCTAGTCTTTTTCCTATACATGTATTTTCTTTTTAGTAAAAATAGGGTCTCTCTATATATGACCTATAAATATGTATATATGTACATACATACATACACACATATATGTACATACATGTATAGTTTCTGGCTCATTAGTTTAATATTGTAAACATATTTGTGAGGGAAATGCTTTTTTTTTCTATAATATTACTTAAAATGCTTTCTTAGTAGTTCATATGGATATACTGTGGTTTCTTTAACCAGTCACTTTATTCTTAAATATTTAGGTTTCAGTTTTTCCAAATTGTTGCTATTATCAAACAACTTTATAACAACTATATCCATATACACCATTTAAAATTCTTCTCTCATTATTTTTGATCAATTTTTTAAAGTGTCATTGCTGCATTAAAGGTCCATACATTTTTACTACCCTTCAGAGAGCATATATCATTTACACTCTTACCAGTAGTGTGTGAGAATGCTTGTTACATTTTACCTTTCCTAAATTAGATGCTATCTTATTTATATTTGTTTATTTTTTTTAACCTAACTACTCAACATGATAGCAATCTTCTTTTAATATATGAAAAAACTTACAGATGAAATTATATGTTACCCATACATTTTTTCTTTTAGAAACTATTTGCTTTTATGTTTAGGAAGAGCTTCCCTATTCTCAGAACAAGTTAATATTTACAGTATTTTCAACATACCGTTATGATTTGATTTTTTAGATTTAGAATTTTAATCCAACTTAAATTTATTTTTATCTTTTTATATAATCGGTAAGGTAGCAATGTAACTTCACTTTCAAAAAATGAACTTTTCTAGACCAATACATCTTTCATCAGATATTTGGATGTCACCTTAATTGTGTACTAAATTGTAATACACACATGGGTTACTTTTTTACTTTCTAGTCACTTCTGTTTATTTCTGTTCCAATAGCACATTGGTTAAAATTACATCTTTATATATTAATACAGCTGGTAGGTTGAATTTTCCAATGCCCCAAATGCATTTTTTCATGTATTTAACATTTTCACAAGAAATGTTTATTTTGTCAACTTATTTAAAAAGTTACATCCCATAGAAAATTGTATAGAATTTCCATTTAATTTATTGTTAGATAACCTAATAAATTTGAGTTTTTACATTTAGAAACCTGGTTTGTTTCCTTATTATTTTTAATAGGTTTTAATAAACTTTGTGGCTTTTGTAAAATATGTATCCCCCCAAATTAATGTTTATTCATTTTCTCTGGAATGTCTTTTGAAGTTTTTGGCCCATTTTAAAGATAGAGTCATTGATCTTTTTAAAACAATCAATTTCTAAGAGCTCTTTCTATATGAGAATTATGGGATAAAGTAGGTATTAAATTTTTTTTCTGATAACTATCCAGTTTCCCAGCACAGTTTGTTCTACAAACCTGCTTTCTCCCATTGATTTGAAGTACAACTTCATTGCATACCAAATTTTCATATGTAGTTAGGACTGTTAAACTTTCTATTATATTTTATTGATACCTCTGCATCATTCACTAGTGCCAAATTTTTCTTTTAATACATATATGTGTTATTTTATATATGTATATGTGTATATATAAATGTTTTGACATCTGCACGTTCATTTTGTACCGTTATCTTACTAAATTCTCTTGCTTATAGTAGTTTTTGTCAATTTTCTTGGGGCTTTCAAGAATGCAATCACATATCATCTGCAAATAGTGACCTTTTTTACCTCCTTCTTTCCAATTTTCCTCCCTTGAATTCTCTTTTCTAATTACATTAGCTAGTATGTATGTATTCATCTATCTATGTATCTGAAATGTAAGATGATAGTAGACATCCTTGTCTATTCCTGACTTTATCGGGAATTTCTTTAGTGTTTACCTACCAAACATAACTCCGGCCTTTTAGGCTGAGGTAGATATATTTTTATCATGTAAAAATTGTCCACTTCAGTCTTGTTTTATCAAGAATATTTGTCATTACTTTTTGCTTTTTCATGTACAATGTCATTTTATAGAAATAACATGCTCTTTCTCCTCAAATGACTAACAAGGCAAATTATACTAACGGGGTTCCTAATATTGAACTATCTTTGCAGACCCCTAGTAAATCCCATTTGGTTAGGTTGCATAATTATTTTGATCTGCTGCTAGCTTCTGTTTGCTAACAAAATATACAATGCCTTTCTGACAATCTCTGAAAATCCAGGTTTTTTTTTTGTTTTTTTGTTTTTGTTTTTGAGATGGAGTCTTGCTCTGTCACTCAGGCTGTAGTGCAAGGGCGTGATCTCAGCTCACTGCAACCTCTGCCTCCCAAGTTGAAGCAATTCTTCTGCCTCAGCCTCCTGAGTAGCTGGGATTACAGGCACACACCACAGACAGCTTTTTTTGTTGTTGTAGCTACAGGGTTTCACCATGCTGGCCAGGCTGGTCTCCAATTCCTGACCTTGTGATCTGCCGGCTACAGCTTCCCAATGTGCTGGGATTATAGGTGAGAGCCACCACGCCCGGCCTTTTCATGACTTCGATACAAAAACTCAGGTGAGATTAAACCCTAACCTGAGATGATATTAGACTCTTCATTATTTTTATTCAGTCTCCTTAGTATCATTATTACATATTTTGTTGCAGAAATATTCACGTAATTGATTGAAGAATGCTTTCCTAGACCACTAGTAATATGTTATACAATATATGAACTGCATTTCCTCTGTAAAATCTAGAACTCAGGGATTTAGATCAAGGATTTTGTAATGGTATTTTATTTAAGATTTCCCCATTAATAATCATAAGCAATGTAGCTTTTTAGCTTCATTTTTTTAGTTTGCAATCTTTGGTTTGTATCAATTTATATACCATTTTAAAAAAGAAAGCTTTTTTCTTGCCTTTTCTCTAGAAAAATTTCAATAAAATTAGGATTATTTTTTCTTCAAATGTTTGATAAAATATTTTAAATTATAAATATAGATTTGTAAAAATTATTTAATAAAGAGTCCTGTGAAATAAAATATCAAAGTTCTCTGCTTCTAGATTCTTACTTCCACTTCTTACTTCCTGTTCTGATCACTGGGTACTGTTAAAAATTTGGTGTGTATTCTTTCAGAACTTTTATCAATGCAACATGCAAAAATAAAAAGGGGTTTAAAAATAATCTAATTTGATTTTTTAGTGAGATAATAATTTTTGTATTTTGTGAAACTTTGTATTTTGTATGTGAACTACCTGTTCACATCTATTGTTTTTGTTAATTTGTAAATATTTAATGTTTTAAAGACTTTAGCTCTTTTCTCTACCTTCTCACTTCTGCCTAAAAGAATCATTATTAACATTCTATTATGTAGCCACTTAACTTTTTTCGTATACACATACAAACTCAATATCTATTTAAAATGATATCTTATTGTCCGGGCACAGTGGCTCACGCCTGTAATCCCAGCGCTTTGGGAGGCCGAGGCAGGCGGATCACAATGTCAGGAGTTCGAGACCAGTCTGGCCAACACAGTGAAACCCCGTCTCTACTAAAAATACAAAAATTAGCCGGGTGTGGTGGCGGGCACCTATAATCCCAGCTACTTGGGAGGCTGAGGCAGGACAATCACTTGAACCCAGGATGCGGAGGTTGCAGTGAGCTGAGATTGTGCCACTGCACTCCAGCCTGAGTGACAGAACTAGACTTCATCTCAAAAAAAAAAAAAGGTATCTTATTTAAAATAAAAATCTTATTTTATTATAAGATACATATTTTATTTTAAATTATATAACATAAAATGTACACATTAGATATGTAGTATACATTATATTACATACAAAATGATATGTATTCTTCTAAACAGTTTTTGCTTTATTTTACATGGCAGTAAAAAATATCAGTAGTCTTTTAAAAGGCTGTTATATATTTAATTATCCCAGTGAAGAATTATTAGGTTTTCTCCCAACTTTTCACTCTCAAAATGGGGTGAAAATTTTGTATGTGAATGTGGGAAAAAGTACAAAAGGTGAAACTGCTGACTTTGAGGGATACAAACATTTTGAAAGAAAGTGTCTTTTAAAAAGTTTATAACATTTTCTCCACTCTTTCTTAACTCTTCTCAATACTTTTGCTGATATGAGGCACCATCAATCCCACATTATCATCAATAAAAAATTGACATCCCATTGTTTTAATTTCTATCTCCTTATCCATTTGGTGATTATTATATATTTTTTATATATTTATTAGACAATTCATTTTCTTATGTAAATTTCCTTTATTTGCTCTTTGCCCATTTCCTTCCCTGCAGAATCGTTTTCCTTTCTTATTTATTTTAAGGAGCTCTTTGTGTATTAGATATATTAACAATTTTATTTGGCAAATATGTTCTCCCAAGGACCTTTAGAAGGTATTGGATGCCTGTGAAGTCCCTTCTCTTTCTTATTGTGCATGGCTCATCCCCTCTGTTGTCCTCTTGTTTTCTATTAATATTTGCCCCTTTGCCTAGTTTATTTTCTGCCCATTTGCATCACTACTAAACTAGAAGAGAGTGAGGGACATAGAATTAAATATTTGAACAGGGCTTGTGACAACTTTAATTTAGTTGAAAGGAACTGAAAACTTAATGTGTGTACAGGATTTTGTGGGAGCGTTCTGTCTTTTCAAATTTTTCATGGGGTAACATTTCCTTCTGAGCCTTGAATAATGACTGACTGTGTATTCCAGTGAAAACACAGAACTCACTGACAAACCAGCTAATGAAATGTAAAAAATGCAGTCTGTCATTTGGATGCTCCAATGATCAAATGTTTTGATAACTGACTACATATTTTATTTTTTAATGCAGATGTTCAGCATTCTATAAATATGGATTCTTAATGACTTGGGACAAAAATATTAGAATGTATGAACAACTGAAGAATGGAATGAGTGGCTGCAGAGCAAGAGTTTGAAATTAATATTAATTCACATACAAAAATAAACGATAGGTATTTTTAGCTATATATATAAAATATATACATATAGCCACATTACTAGTCAAATTTATGGTCAGTTTCCAATGTTTGAAATATTGCCGTGACATTCCAAACCATAATGTTTTCTTTAAACAGATGCTGTGCTAAATTATTTTTTTCATACCATAAAAACAAAAATCCATAAAGAGTGCTCATTAATTCACATGGAAAGGCCTGGGGCTGAAAGATAGGTCAAAGTAACACAATCTCAGGGAAAGAAAAACAGTCTGAAAATGTCATATTTTTCAGGAAGGCATTTGTATTGCTAGTTCTTGGAGCTGTGTAAAGGAAAGAGAAATAAATGCTTAATAATATTTTTAGAAACAATAAATTCCTATGTCAATCCCCCCAATTCTCACCAAATAAAAATTACTCTCATCTTTTTCCTCCTATTATGTGTCTTACATAGACTCTGTCCAGTCATTCATATCTTTCCTTAGTGTTTTTATTTTATTCAGGCTAAATCGATAGACTGTTCTTGGTACTGAACTAATTTTAATGTGAATAGATTACTGTTGGGTATAGTCATTGACAACCATTGAAAATCTTGTTTATGGTAATCACTGAGACAAGAAAATTTAAAACTCTCTTCTTTACACAATTAAATTCCTGGAAATATATGTTCTTAAACTTATTCTTAAAATTATATTATCAAGAATAAAGACATGGTACCATTGTTTAGGGAGTAGATTACCCTGCACTTTATAATATTAAAATATTTATTTCCAAAGATAATTGTTTATTTTCATTGGTAAACAGTTTTACGGAAAAACTACATACATATTGTTATCTTTCTTTGTTTTGTTTGCTCTTAAATAATATCAAAACAAATATTTCTATATTAGCTTAATGTTGAGTTATAAGGTTAGGTGTGATGGATTCCATCACATTCAAAAGTTTATATCTTTAATATAAAGTTTAAATCATATTTTAAAAGTTTTATAACTTTAATGCCTCATGCTTTTGGCAAGTTGTAATTCAGGAAGGCAGAAAAATCAATTTTAATATGAAAAACCAAAGTATTTGACAGCCAAGATAATAAGCATTTATGCAAACTGAAAATTACTTGCCCGCCAAAATAACCATTTATGAAGATTTAAGAAAATGTAGAAAATGTTATGACTGTTTATAGGTTAGAATTAGTTGCATCTACCTTGAATCCATAGTATATATTTTTAGCTTATTGTTGCTTTTTAAAAATCTATGACATAGCAACTATATTTAAAATAGTTTATACTATAATGGGCATATTTATTATGGTTATAGTTAATAACCATATATAATGAGATAGACTTAAATCATGTGTTGGAAACTTAAGTTATTCCAGTTATACTGTCATAATAAACATTTATTTTTCCTCCATGTCTTCTATATATCATTCATCTGTTTCTGTTTTCTGGGCTAGGCTTAGAATGAGAGCCAACAAAACCTGGGACTCAGTCTGTCTTCTCAATAAAATTATTGGTACCACTGGTGGTCATACGTGTCTTCATTGGTTCTTGATATACTCTTCTTTGGCAATGATTATACTTTAGTTTTGGGGCATATGTGACTAACTAGCGGCATTTAATAACAAAAAGATAACATCTCATAATGTTACATTACAATCAGTCCTTCCACTAATTTAAATTCAGATTCATTTCCCTTATTTAAGAAAAGAAAATTTGTTTGGAAGTACCAAGAGGGAACAGAAGTGGCCATTTCATAGTGCTTCATGATTTAAAAAATATCAGAAAACTTAACATACCTTGTGTACTTAGCATCTGTTTATCAGAAATACTAGTGGTTACTAATTAATTAACTGATTGAACAAGTAAAGTCTATTCATTATACACTTTTGTAAAAAGAGGATTTCATTTGGAGAAAAATTTCTACTCTGACATGGTTGAGAGAAATAGGATAATCTTGGGCGACATCAAATTAAGTGTAACTAGTTTGTAGTGGCTGATTTAACATATGACATAGACATTAACTCTGGGTATATTATGGGCTTTAGTGTAGGGTCGCTAGAAGGATGTGATAGATGCATGTGTAAAAACTGTTTTAAACGTATGCTTTACATGTTCTAATTCTATGAATATGCTGGATGTGTCTAGACAAGAAATTTTAACTATAACCATAATTGTGAGACAAAGCTAAAAGTAAGACAAAGCTAACCAGAGCCATGTGGGGAAGGCAAGAGCCTCAAGGACTTGTTTAGACAGTTGCTTCCAGGGGAAAAAAAGAAAAAAAAAAGTGCAGTCTTCAGTCCAAGACCTGTCAATCCAGTTTTTAAAGATTGATTAGGTAGTTGAGTTTTTCTTCCTTTTATCCTTGGAGAAAATGAAAAATAATACTTTCTCTTCTACTTTAGACTCACCATTCATATATTTTATGACAGTTTGGTCTCACCTGAGCCTTTCTTCTCTAGGACAAATTATGCTAACTCTTTCTGTCTGTCCTCATAGGTCCTATTTTTCAACCACTAAATCCTCTTATTGTTCTTTCTTGTATCTTTTCCAGTTTCTTCAGTCCCTTTAAAATTTTAAAGTCTTAAATTTAATATATTTGCATATATTTATTTTTGATGAGTTAGAACTTCAGGAGCGTTATTTCTTTCTGCTAAGTGAGAGAGTGGTCACTATGACAGGTAGATTGGAGAAAGGAGATAAGAAGAAAAAGAGGAGCGAGATGAGCAACTTAATATTCAAGTTAATCGATTTATATGATCAGAAATAGCAAAACGTGTATCTGGAAAATGTCACAAAGGTTTTTAATAAGTCCTTTGGAAGATACCAAAACACAAAAAAATTATTATCAGAAATAACCAGAGCTACTTAAAAAATCTTTTAAAAATATTTTTTTATCTTTTATAAAAGGTAAAAGATATCTTTATGCTTATTTTTACTAATTACCCTTCTGTAAAGGAAAAGATTAGTAGGTGAGCTCCAAATTCAGAGCAAAAAATAATAGAGAAAGATGGCCATTGCCAACTCAAGAAAAGGCATAGGAATTCAGCATAAGAGTGAGCTTATCTTAATTAGGGGCTAGAACCACTTTTTCCAGCAGATATTAATGACAGAACATTTGTGGAATGTGGCCTAGTAAAGAATTATTTTTTCCTTTTTGGTAGTACATGGTCATAAGGCAAAGTGCGCTATTGGCTTTGTTGATGCGCTATCTTGGGTTTATAGCATTGCATTGTCTTCTCTGCAGCATCATGTTGATTTTGGGTGATTAGGATATTATAGTTGGTTCAACCTCTCCATTCCATGAGGGACAAAAAGGAACCTATAATGTCGTAAATAAAACAAGTTGCTCTCTATAGCAGTTACTGTGAGAGCACAGTTCCACTGTAATAAAAACCTACAATAAAGGCCCTAAACTTTTTAATCTTTATTACTTCAATTTAAGTGCAATGCTAATTTTATTTAATATTTCTTGAATTTTATATTTAACTTTAAACCTAAGGTCTTATCTACATTCAAAACAAAATACCTGGCATTTACCCTACCCTATATCCTGGGTCATACACCACAAAATGGGGTGAACTGCTTCATTGGCTCTACAAAAGAGAGGAATGCAGTCACTACAAAAGGATGGTACTGTGTTCTTTCCAATATACTCCTTTTAAATCAACACGAAATAATAGGGATCACAACGAAGTCAGCTTACAACAGCTTTAATTCCCCAGATGGAAAGCTGCACAATAAACCCACTGCAGGTTTATTTTCACTTTAAGATGGGATAAAAATATACATCCGCCATGCCCATATTGAAAAGCCACAGGCAGATCTTAGAGGGGTCTTGCATTGAATGGTATGCAGTAGTGAAATATTTGTATTTTGTGCGAACCCCTCTTCAAAAGCTAATGCAGTGTGGTCTTACCATTTTTGCAGACAGGACAACATTGTTCTGGTTCATAGACTGGGTTGACACACTCAGGAACTGCGCAGTCTGCTACAACACAGTGAACTTCATTGCTGGGCTCACAGCGACACCATTCACATGGAGAGGGCTAGGAACAAATCTAAAATTAGCCCCTTTTCTCCTATAACTTAATGCTTGCACATTCATATGCTGTCAGAAGACAAAACATCAGTGCTTATTATATTGGCTTTACTGTATTAATTCCATTTACCATGTCTACGATCATTCTCCCTTGGTGGAAGGCAAGTTAGACACCCAAGTCACAGTGGATTACAACCTGCACTCAGGTTGCTGTGAACAAGAAAAGCACCCGTGTATGACTTTTCCTATATCTTATGTTCCTACTTTCCAGAGAAATATTTGCATAACTAATATGTCATCTCCTGGTTTGTTTTCCAGATGTACTGATTGCTCTGACCTCCTCTCGTAAACAGGCATTCTACTGGAACGTGTAAGATAATTTTTGCCATCTGTCATTTTCTTCTTCTTGAGAAAGGAGGAGAATTACTGAGAAACAAGAAAATGGTAAGTGGACATCTGTACCCTTTGTATGAACTCTTTTTCAAGCCAACTTAGACTCTAAATGGCATTTTTTTTTTCAATGTGAATATTAGAGAAGATTGCATTTGGGAACCAAACATCCAGGTACTGCCTCTTGAAAGATGTAGTGAATACCTTTCATCTTGCCTGCTTGCTTTTATGAATGAACAAATCGACTGGCCTAAAAAGCCACTATTTAAGAGTCAAAAACTCTAAAAATGGAACTAAAAATGATAATTAAGAGAAAAAAATTAAACATCAGAAAAGAACATTTGTCTTTGCAGTACTTACCGGCCGAGAGTGTTTAGAATTTTCTATTTCCTTTCTAGAAACTGCCTATGGCACAAATAATCTAAAGCAGGGGCCACCCTCTGACTTTCTCATCCTTTGTAAGTTCTAGCTCTACTTTTCTCATGGAACAGCAGTTTAAAATTCTGGAATGAAAATTTGGTGGTGTCAGAAGTCATACAATGTCCACATTTCTCAAATCAAGCCATTTGTTCTTAGAAAGCTCTGCCTCCAATCTGAAGCCACAGATTCTTACCTGCAAACTGTGCTAATTAAAGCCCTCTTCCCTTGTTTCAGTGACTACTGTCCAAAACCCTTGTCAGCTCTTATTTCTTCCCTGGATCTGACAATCTGTGTAATATCAGTGCTTCTCAACTCAGACAGTCTATAGTGGAAACCCTTCAACTAATTATTTTAAAAATTCATTTTGTCTTTGCTTTTTGCTTGGAGAATGACAGCCTAACTTTAAATTACTTTGCTTTCAAATTTAGTATGAACAAAACAATTAGCCATGGGATCTGTGGTAAAGTATGGCTATTTGTTAACATGATCAATGGCATTTTTGAAGGGTACAGTTAAACTCTTTACCATGTGGTGAGTTGTGTTTAAACATTTCAGAGAAATCTATTGCATTCTCAAGGGTTGAGATTTTTCTGATGCTTTTCTGCTAAATAATCTCAGCAAATTAAGAAAAAGATTAGAACGTACAGTACATTATTTAATGGAGAAAATTAGCAAATAAGAGATGGAAACTCTTGTTGCTCTTTTGCTCCTTATTTTGCAAACCTCATCGTGATATCTAAAATTCCCAAGCAGACTTGTCGAACTTTCCCCTTTCCTTGGTTAATTACAAATAAGTATTTTCACATAGCCTTCTGAAATGCAGCAAAGACTTGGACTGTATTTACTGCCAGTATGGGGGAAAAAGGAAGCCACTAATATAATCCCTTCCCCACAGCTAGCATTGTTTATTCTTTCTGGTTCCCTTCTTGTTGAAGGAAGGGCTGGTTTGTGCAACTCTAGTGGATTGATTCAGGGAATAAAAATTCTGAAGAGAATCCTAAATTTTCAAATGCAAAATGTTTACTTCAAAATAACTATAGTCTTTAAGAAAAATTTGTTGAACTATTAGATTCCCAACACTGATGAGGAAGACCATTCTAATTTAAACACTGGCATTATGCTAAGCAATTTTCCTATATCTACTTACTTAGTTTTTGTAATAATTCTATGAAGCAAGACTTGTTTTTATCTTTATCTCACAGATGAGGAAATGGGCTGAGAAAGGTTTAATAACTTTCCCAGGGCCTATGGTAGTAAGAGGCAAAGGCAGGATTTGAATCCAGTAGCCTAACTGCTATAATGGACTGCCACTTGGTAACAAGAATCACCATTCTGTGTACTGATGCTCCTGCTAAGAAAGAGAAGTCCATTAACTTGGGTGTTTGGTGCATGATGAGATTATTATGGAAACTTAGAGCTTTTTAACTTTCTACAAATGTGAGTTAGAAAACCGTAGTTGCCAAAGTTAGGTTGCCACAAGTGTTACATTCTTGGAGACCTCGACATCTTCAAGCTTTGGAACCTGGTAACTAGATGTGCAGGCATCTGGGAGAAGTGTTAACAGATAATAATCCAGTAAAGACCAATAAAGCATTGGAAACTGAGAAATATTCTGAGGAAGATCTAAGACCACAAGACTTAGTGATAAGACTATATTTGATTTTTTGAATAGGGTTTGAATAATGAAAAACATAAATGAGAAAAATAAAAACATCACATTAATCATTGGTGGCTTCTCACCCTGCCCTGAACTTGGCTTTATTTATGTACTGTACGCCATCCCTTTCTGACTCAGAATCTCTTATCATATGCATGTGATTTCCTCTTCTGTTTTCATTAAATTGTTTTTACAAATGGTCTGTCTCTATTTTAGTGCACTTTTTCTCATGTCAAGCCTCCTTGTGCCCCTCTGATCCCACTGTAAACACTCAATCAAATGTAACCCATTGACTTCAAGCTAGAACCCCTTTCCATCCTCTCCAGACTTGCCAAGCCTCTTTCCTTTCATCATCTTACAATTCCGGCACTATTGTTGTCCTCTTGCTCAACTTGACTTTCTCCATTGCTCCTGCCTGCCCCTGCATTTGTAAAAAGATACTGCTTGAACAGCAATAAGTTACTAGGAGTGTGCAGCATGCTACTTTGACATTAAGTTCAAACTTTAAAAATCCTTCCCATTTACAGTGTAAAACTCACGGTACTTTGGATAAATCTTTATATCTTAAGCATTGAGCTGGTTACAGATTTCCTTTTATTGGGTTGTTCCATGTGAAAACTATAGATGAAACCTGAAAATGTCCCTGTAAAACCAAAGTTTAAAGAATAAAGCTATCCTTAGAGAAACAGAGAATACTGAAAGAAGTACCCAGAAAAATTATTTCTACTAGCATTTTTTAAAGAAGAACATGTGAAATTATGAGTAGTACATGGCTTTTGCCAGCTAGAGATTTGTAAGTATGGTGATTGAATTATACCATCCTAAAATTTTATACAAGAAAACTCCTAAGAACCCTCACAGAACACTTTATTTCTGTGCACTCCTTAGAAAATAAAGTAACATTCACTCACTACTTTTTCATAAATTTTAGTTGAAATTAGGATTAGCGGTCAAATGTATTTGTTTATACATATATTTATATATAATATATATATATATATATATATATCAGGTGGCTTGAGCAGTTAATATATCTGTTTTAAATTTGTTATTTCTCCAGCTTAGTGTTTTTAAATAACTAATGTAGAACTCCATTTAAGCAATTTCTGCTATCTCTGAATACATACTTTTTTTTTTTTTTCTTCTTGAGATGGAGTCTTACTGTGTTGCCCAGACTGGAGTGCAGTGGCACAATCTTGGCTTACTGCAACCTCTGCCTCCTGGGTTTAAGTGATTCTCCTGCCTCAGCCTCCCAAATAGCTGGAATTACAGGTGCATGCCACCATGCCTGGCTAATTTTTGTACTTTTAGTAAAGACAGGGTCTTACCATGTTGGCCAGGCTGGTTTCTAACTCCTGACCTCAAATGATCCACCCACCTTGGCCTCCCAAAGTGCTAGGACTATAGGTGTGAGCCACTGTGCCTGGCCCTAAATGCATACCTTGTATGGCAATTCCAAATGCTGTCCCAGCTGGCCCTAGATTAGAAAGGGGTTTCCTGCTATACACAGTATAGTTAATAGAGCAAAATGAGACTCTTTCATAAATATTGGTTTAGGCAACTAAAATCACAATTGTTATTAGAAGCTTCAGATAAAGAGTAGTTGTGAATGGTGAAACTGGCCATTATAAATCAACAAGTAAAATGAAAGAATGAAAAGCAACGAACCCATTTTCTTTTCCTGAAGTCTCATCATCTAGGTGTCAACTCAAATGCCACCTCCCCAGGGAGGTATTCCCTGATGACTCAGGCCTTCCAGCCCCTTCATCTTCTCTGTCCATCATGTCAACCATTCAGAGCTCTCATCAGTCTGTGAAACTATCTTACTGATTTCTTTACATTTTTTTGGTAAATTTGCTCCTGTCCTCATAGATTCTAATCTCCTTATAATATACTGTTCATTGTTGTATTCTCAGCACCTAGAAGACATCTTAGCACATGACAGATACTCAACAAATATTTGTTAACTAAAATGCATAATCATTTATGTATAATCTATGTTTTCTTATTTGCTAAACCATATCTCTGGGCGGCTTCATCTGTGTTCATTATGCGTGAAAATGATTTTGAGTCAATGAGATGTTTGTATTTTATTTAAATATTATAATGGGCACTTTGGGGAAAAAGGTTTCCGACTGTGAGTCGTGAAATAACTATTTGGGTTCCAACATTATGGCAATGCACATAAACTCACCCTCTAAAGGTAATTTTAAATTCATAATATTCATCATGCAGATCACAGGTAAGTCAATCTTCAAGCACTCCATTGACTAGGTTATCTAGCAGTAGATGATTACAGACTTTTATTGCACTAGAAAATACTGTGCTAACTAAATTTGGACAAGAGTACATGCAGAGGAATTGCTAAAGGGTCTGAGAAAAAGCTAGTCTCATTTTATAATGTGTATCAATTTTAATGGTTGCTTATTAAGCACAACAATTTAGTATATTAGAAAATCTTTTTTCAGAACAAGTCCTGATTTTAAACATGTCCATTTCCCAAAAGGATGGGATAGAGTACAAAGCCCAACAACACACATTTTGAATATTCTGAAAACAACACGGGTTTCTTAGAAAGTTGTCTGTGAATACTGTTGAAAGCTGAAGGGACGGATACGCAAATAGATGGGATATATTCTAAGAGCCAAGTTTATACCTCCTAACCCTATAAATGGGTTTCCTTCTGATCAAGTGATATTAGGCTTCAGAGTCCAAGGGGTACTTCATTTCTTTCATAATAAGCAAAAATGATCAAAGAAAATCTTTGTTTACTTTTCAAAAAACTCCCCTTAAACAACTATTTAAAATCTAATCTTTTCCACAAAGGAAAAAATACAGCTTTTAGAAGCACTCTTCTTTTAGAGCTAATTTATGGCATAAATTTTATCACTTTAAGGAACAAATCTCATTACTTTCAAACTGTATGAAAATTTGGAAGACTCTATTTCAAAGTTGCTGATGCCTGTCAGGAATCTCACTGTTCACTTCATTAAAATATACATTAAATTACAAAGTGCAAAAGTATTTAGCATCCACTGCCACTCCCGTAGCCGGTAATTTGCATGCAACAGGTGTCACCTAATAATCAACTGATCCAATGGGTTTTAACCAAAATTCACAATTGTCTAAAAGATGACCCATAGCATCACTGATTAAAATGCTCCTAAGTGTTCCTGGTCTTATGAGATTGTGATGACCTCTTCAGCGATCTGCTCTATTGATTGGAGCATATTTGGAACACTGAGGTTGTAACTCATCAAATTATGGACATCAAGCTGAAACTTCTTTAAGAATTTTAATACTGAGGAAGCAAATAAAAAAAAGCAGATGCACAGAGTTTTTTAAAATAACCATCTCAGTTACTCAGCAAATGTATATCGTGGTATTATTATCTGCATTACGAGTTAAGTAGTAGCTGCCCTGGCTTTCTCTGGTGGAGTTTGTATTTTGATAATACATTCTGGAGTATATTTTTTCAGCATGTCTATCAAAAAACATTTCATTTTTGTTGAAAACATAAGCATTTTAGTGAAATGATTATGGAGTGCACATAGCTTTGCCCATGTAGATATAATAAACTAGGTAGGTAATAAACTACAATTCAGAAATATGATGTCTAATTTAAAAAAAAATTCAGCATATTCATTAAACATACATTGTATACAAAGTAGTGTATATAAGGTATATCGAGATGAACTATATATCTCTCCTACTCCAATAAATGCAATCTAGAAGAAGAGTTGAAATATTTGTAAACACATATTTTGATGTTTTTAAAAAACAAATACCTTTTCTGTAAGAATAACTGGCGGTACTACTATAATAGAAAACCTAGCCACTGGATTTAATCTTTGTATTTTTATTTGCATGCACTCTGAGCTAAAGTAAAATATTAGAAGATTGGAAAACAACTGATGAAGTACCCAATTGTAATTATTAATTATCAAGTAAAGTTTGCTCATTCTTGAAATTGCCATTGTTGCTACACAACAGTGACATTTTATCAATGTTCTATTTTTTTTTTTCCTAAAATTATTTTCTTCCTGGCCAGGCACGGTGGCTCACGCTTGTAATCCCAGCAATTTGGGAGGCCGAGGCAGGTGCAGCACACGAGGTCAGGATTTTGAGACTAGCCTGGCCAACATGGTGAAACCCCACCTGTACTAAAAATACAAAAATTAGCCAGGCGTGGTGGCAGGTGCCTGTAGTCCCAGCTACTCGGAAGGCTGAGGCAGTAGAATTGCTTGAACCCAGGAGGCGGAGGTTGCAGTGAGCCAAGATTGCGCCATTGCACTCCAGCCTGGACAACAGAGCAAGACTCCATTTCAAAAGAAAAATAATAATAAAAAATAAAATAAAATTTTTTTGGTAAAGTTTTAAAAATATACTTTAGTATATATTTAAGGGCAGGTAACCCTATAATTTTCTGCCTATACCAACAAACTGATGGTGTGAAGAACCGATATTTTTCCTCAACATTTTCAAGGAGTCTCATGACAATAAAATGCAGCTTTTTCCAAAATATGAAGAAAACATATAAATGTAAATTTTAAAAAATATAGGTAAGGAGAATGTAAGCAATAATATCTGTTTATTTGCAATCAAAGATGTATTTTTTTTAAAGTAGGCACAGTATGCTTATCAAGGAAATATCAGGGTATATTTAAGAGAGGAAAAAGATAATTTAGCTGCCTTTATGATAATCAAAGGAGGGCCCAGACATATAGACAAAAACTTGAGGATTTAATATAAAATCGAGGTTTTGATGAAGTATCACACCTATACTTGTGAAATACTCAGGAAAAGCAGCCGTCCTTAGTCCTTCACTGACAAGCTGGATTGACAGTTGGCTTTGGTATAAAAAACATTCTTGACAAAGCAACTGAGTACTGTAAGCAGAACCCATGTATTTTCATGCTGAAGGTGCTACATTTATCGCCCGTTTATGCAACAGGAAAAAAGTGAGCAACTGTGTAACTTCAAAACTTTTCTGTTGACACTGGAAAGGAGAGATTGTTGATATCAGACAAAGAATCAGTCATCTACAACAGCAATAAAGCAAGGTCACATATGGTTGGGGAAGAGTACATCACTAGGAGAATTCTACAGCCTGAAAGAATCATAGGAGATGAATATGACCTGGCCTATTCTGCAGAAAACATTGAAAGGAAGTGATAACAGAAAAGAGAAAGAGCCATAACTCAGCCTGCTAAACGTGTGTGGATGACACTGAATTTAAGACCTTTTAGGGTCTAAGGGATGGGAGTTATCACCCTGGAACAACCAAACCCATTTGTATTAGAAGTGCCAATCAGATTATTTCTCAGGAACTCCTTTTTTTTTTTTTTTTTTTTGCCACTGTCTGTGTGCAAAGATTTTCTAAAAATTGAAATTTTTTCTTCATTTTATATTTGCTGATGTCATACTTTGACAGGTTATGAAGAAAGAGTAATTAAAATATAATAATAACAAGTGCTTTATCACTGCTGGTATTGAAATATATTTCTAAAGTCCAAACAGTAATTTCCTACTGAATTTGATAGTTCATTATTTGATGCTTAGTTCATAGCTTATCTCATTCCACAAAAATATATTGAGATGGCTTATGGGCAGTAACATGAAAACATATTTTAATTTAAAAAATCTTGACTGAGTACTTTCTTGATAAACCTCTCTACTTTAGTGTATAACTTTGGGACAAGGTATGGCAGAAGCAGTGATAATTTTGTAACCATGTATAAAAATTGTTAGTGCTATCACCCAGTGGAACTTGGCTATATGATAATGTGAAATAAGCACATTTGCAGCTGAAATCCTGGCATGAAATATAGCTTGCTGTTCTACCTTGGACAGGTTACTTAAACCTCTTGAGCCTGGGTTTTTCGCTTGTAAGATGGAGCTAATAATAAAATATTAAGAGTGCTCTAATTTTCTCATTGGATTGTTTTGAGACTAAACTATATAATATGTGAAAGCACATGTAAACGATGTGGGATTGATTACATGACTATGATTGCCATCATAGCTTTCAACTTCGTCAGAGTTTCCTTCCCCACTCTTCGTCCATTTGCAATGGCTGTGTATTCCTCAAGGGAGCATATTAGTTATAACTTATTCTTATTAAATTACGGCATAATGATATTCATTGTGAATTATTTGAAATGTTGAATTTGTAAAACATACAGTCAGCCCTTCATATCCGTGGGTTTCATATCCATGGATTCAACCCACTGTGAATCAAAAATACTGTATTGGAAAGGAAATGGATGGTTTTCTGTACTAAACATTTACAGACTATTTTTCTTACCATTATTACTAAACAATACAGTATAATGAACTATTACACAGCATTTACATTGTATTTGAAATTATAAGTAATCTAGAAATAGTTTAAAGTGTATGGGAGAATGTGCATAGGCTATATGCGAATACTAATCCATTTTATGTAAGAAATTTGTATCTTACAGTTTTACAGAGTATTTGCAGATTTTGGTATTGGAGAGGATTTGGAACCAATCCTCTGTGTGTGTATACCCAGGGACAATTGTACATCTTTCAGAGTTTTGAAAGCAATCTGTGTTACATCTCTAAAACACAACAATGTTTGCACTCAAATTGTGGTTCGATTGAGAATGGCATTGGACAGTATTTTTAGATAGTTAATTGGATTCTTATTTACAGAGATGAAACTTCAATCTTTAATCAGATTCTTGCCAAAAACAGATTTTTAACAGGGTAACTTTAGCTCACAGTTTTTGGAGTCTTGATTTAAGTATCTTTTAGTTTCAATGTGAATGTCCTAGAGTCTCATTAACAAAAGAAAAATTCTCTGATTCTCCTTTTTGTCTCTAATGAAGCTTTCTACATCTCAGCAGTCAAAGGTTTGCAATTTTAGCAGGATTTTATTTTTAATGTTGGGGGAAAATTAAAGTTACACTGAACAATTTTGTTTTTTTCTCTGTCATATTTAGGAGAGAGCAATAAAGCTAACGTGTGAAAATAAGTGAAGTATTAGAGAGTGTGCATTTCTAAGACTGCAAGAATTATTAACAAGTTTTGCATTTTCTTTTTTAAAAATTTGTATTTCACTGATTTAGAATTTTGTTTTTAATCTCTAAATTGGCAAAAATAATCCTGGCCAATCCTCACTGCATTCAGAATGCAGTTTGTTTTTTAAATGGATAGGAATGTGCCTTAGAAGCATACTTCTTTTGACAGTGGGAGCTTTTTAAAATGAAACCAGTCAAGCCCTATAAAGCAGGGAAAGAATTTTCCTCATGTTAGCAATGTGCCACATTTCTGTGAAAAAGAGGTGACTAAACATGAAATAGACTTATAATTGAACACATTCAACAATATAGGAAATATATACACCCAAAATGAAAACTACACTATCTCTACCACATTACTTGCATAATGTTCATAGTGAATTAATCAAAGCTGGTAAGATATGAGAGAAAACCCTAGAGTTAGAGTTAGAAGACCTTTTTTGATTTGCCAAGTTTGATAATCTCCATTTATATGACAAGGACAAAGGCACAAATTTCTCTGAATCTTGGTTTTCTCATTTGTGAAATGGGAGTGAAAATATTTTAGGATTCAATAATTTAATAAGGAAATGCATGTGCAAGATACTTAATGAAATTGCCAACTATTATTGGTATTTGTTTTAGGCACAAATCTAGTTTTGTTGCTTCTTTGATCTAAGCCGTTTGGTGGCTGTCTACTCAGTTCAGACTTTGACCCAAGCTCCTTAGCCTAGCATTCATGCTGTGAATTGGTCCCATGCTCCCGCCTCACTCTTATTTCTAACTCTGTATACCCTTTGATCTTGTCACTCGGCTTGACACCATTTCTCTGAATAAGCTTTGCCTTTAGGTTTGCAAACGTTCCAATTTTGTCTAAACTGCTTTTAATGCATTGCAACCCCCACTCTTAGCATATCTTCCTTTAGTTCTTCAGACTGAATTACTTTTTTTTTTTTTTTTTTTTTTTTTGAGACGAAGCCTCACTCTATCACCCAGGCTGGTGTGCAATGGCCAGAACTCGGCTCACTGAAACTTCCACCTCCTGGGTTCAAGTGATTCTCCTGCCTCAGCCTCCAAAGTACCTGGGACTATGGGCACCCACCATCATGCCAGGCTAATCTTTGTATTTTTAGTAGAGATGGGGTTTCACCATGTTGGCCAGGCTGGTCTTGAACTCCTGACCTCAGGTGATCTGCCCGCCTCAGCCTCCCAAAGTGCTGGTTTTACAGGGGTGAGCCACCGTGCCCGATCTGAATTCTTTCTTCATCTGAGTTCCTAGAGCAGTCATCATAAGCTACTTATCATCAGTGGTACCTGTATTATTCCTTTAGATAGACTAGGCGCACCTTGAGGGTCAGATTTCTGTCTTCTATATTTTGGTATAGCCCACAAGATCTACCGCTTCTCTATATGAAAGGGATATTTATTTAATGGGATCAAACTGTGGATTGTGTATGTAAGCTGATTTTACAAATGCAATAATGGACTGAGTACCTAAGTAAGCAGAAATAATGTATACATGTTTTCACTTAATATAATCCTAAATATATCTATTATATTAAATTAAAGATAACTTTTTGACTTATCAAAAGAGAACACATGGGATATAAAAAGATAAAAAATTAATCTTTATCTGTTTTATTTGAGAATTTTCAGTGAATGGAAAATTATTAAGTTATGATACATCAGTGCAAAGAGCAAAGCTGTGCTCTTTTGAGTCAGGAATGCAGAGAAATAGGATTGAACATGCCTGCTGTTAAGTATGTATACATTTAAAATAGGCAAATCTACAGGCTTTTTGAAATTTACTTGTGTGAAAAGAGATCCCTGAGACCACGCACTGATTAAAGAGAACTGATATCCAGCAGTACCCAAACGGCTGTAACCTTCAAGAGTGCAAGTTAGAAGGATTTGGTGACAGCACAGTTTGAGAGAAGTAGAAAGGGAAGAATATCTGATTCCAGATTAGGCAAGGATCAGCAAACCTTCTCTATAGAAAGCCAAATAGTAAATATTTTAGATTTTGTGGGTCATACAGTGCCTGGAATATTCTAAAAGCAACCATAGACAATATGTAAGTGAATGAGCATGGCTGTGTTTTAATAAAGCTTTATTAATAAAATGGATTGTGAACTGGATCTGGCTCATGGAGCATAGTGTGTTGACCCTTGTCTTAGAGAATCCATTACTTGTAGTTGATATTACCACTATTTTTTAAAAGTCATTTTTCAACTAAATTGTCTTTTGTAACACAAATTAATACATTTCCATAAATAATCGCATTAAATACAATTTTGGGAACTTTACAAAGGACAAAATATTAAAAGATAAGCTGAGAAAAAATAGATTTTCATCATTAACTGCTCATAAAAGTCAAAGGAATTAGCCTATCTTGAATCATTAGAAAAATATTTCTTAAACTGTGTTTCATTGAACTTTTGTGAACTTTAAGATGTTAATAAGTGTTCTGAGAAAAAAAAGTGTTCTACTGTCACATAAATTTGTGAAATTCTGGATGAAATACAGTTTAGTATTAATAGTAATCGTAGTAAAAATATCAGGTAGCTTTTATAAATCACATGGTGCATGCCAAGTACTGTCTACTATTATCTCTCTTTTATAGATGTGTACATAGAGAAAGAGGTGAAGTAATGTGTGCCTAGGTCAGTTGGCTGGTAAGTGGTAGGGCCGGCTTTAAAATCCAATTTTCACCACACTTTTGAGCTCTCAGCTGTTGAACTATACGTACTAACTCTCAAACAAACCTAACTTTCAGTATGCTCAAGTAGTCTCAGTATACTAACGTGTACTGCTCATTTCCAAGAGAGGTTAAAGGATGCATCATTTCTCAAATTTATTTGACCATGAAAAATAACTGAAACCCTTATGAACAATCACACAGGATGCTAGCATTCCTTAGAAAACAATCTAGAAAAGGCTGAATTATAGCAGTGATTCCCAAACCCTACTGAGAATTATAATAATCTGAGAAACTTTAGAATAACATAGATTTAAATGATGTAAATTGGAATTTAAGATGGAAAGGTCAAGGAATCTGAATTTTTGCAACAGTCCTTCCTTAGGTGATATTGATCATCAGCCAGTTTAGAGATTTTTGTTGTTGTTGTTGTTCTAATGCCACAGAATTAGAGATTTTTGCATATACCATCTATTTTGCATACTCCATTCCTGCCATCTAGTGAGAGGTGAGAGTTTGCTAAGTGAAAAAAAAAATGGGTCCTCATTTTCTAAAACCATCAAAATACATGAGAAAGCACAGCTAATTTTGCTCCTTTGTTACATCCAAGTATAAAGTAGTCTCAGTGAAAATAAATGGGTAATGTTTAATGTAATATATTTTAATTTTATTTTGGCCTATATTGTTTGGTTTAATTACATAATTTTTCTGTTTTAGACAATGGGCCCCATTTTTATTACAGCCTTTGGAAACTTAGGCTAGTTTGACAAATTGTACTCAATCTGTATCAAAGACTGATTTTTGATGTGCCAGTATTTTATTGTTCTTGTCTACTTGTAACTCTGTGTTGTCATGGTGATAGGTCCTGATATCACATTTCTATAGACAATTGGCTGAGATAAATCATTGAATCCAACATATTTATTGGAAAAGAAGATGCAAATGAGCTGGTATTTTTCTGTTAAACCTGAAGGTAGTAAAATATAGAAAAAAGATCACAGGAAAGTGACATATTAATACTGCTTTTGCAAATAATGAGCTGTGCCATTATTTGGCACAATGGAAGTGTGTTATCACTAAGTTTCTGTTAGTCTTTCTTTTATCACCTCTAAAATAAGGGAGTCAGATAAAATAATTTCAAAGTTCTGTTTTAGATCTAAAATTCTATGGTCAGCGCTCAAAAGTAGAAAGGACCTAGACTATAAAAAAGAAACCATAATGCCTGCCTTTTTACAAACAGAAAAATTTATATAAATGCAGATACTAGAAATAAAATCCCAAACCAAGATGTAACAATGGTAGTGAAAGGTAAATACTAAAACAAAAATTATTTCAAAATCCCAACCCAATAATGTTTAATTAAAAAAAACCTTCTGAGCTTTGGTAATTGTTACAAATTGATATGTAATATTATAATCTTCAAATCTTCAATACTATTTATTCTTCATAAGATATATATGGTCTCATTATTGTATCAATTCTGTAGCCAGAATAAACGTATTTGAGTTTTGTTCATGGTTATGTGACATAATGGGAAAATTAAGAGTAGTGTTCAGTGCATGTTTATACCCTGTAGACAACTTTATACAGCCATAGAATAATGTCATCTGAAAACTTTTTCAGGAGCTGAATGATCTTTCTTGTCACTTTAGTACTTTATTCACTCTTTCCATGATGTCATTAAATCTTTGCAAAGATGGTTTATTGTGATATACTCTACAGCAGGCTAGAGGCAAGGAAATCAACAATGGAAGTGTGTTAGACTGAAATTACTGATGCTAATCAGTAGTGATGATAAAACCCAAAGTACAGACTCTAAAATAAGCCAGTTCCCAATTAATAATGCCTATTGTTTGAGAAAGCAAAGACATTGATCACTTCAACTCTCCTCTTAGTTATTTGTTTCAAACGCTTCCCTAAAAGACAACTAAAAAATACACCGATAGGTTTTTCTTGTGCTGTCCTTCATAAAACACAGTGCCTGATGTATAAATTAAGATGCAGGATAACAAAACAAAGTGAAAATATGTTCATGGGGATTAAGAAGAAGGAACAAAAAGATTTAATATCTTAAAACAAGATTTTCTTAAAGTAAGAACACTCTTGCTCCTTCCAGTTTAACACACACACACACACACACACAAATTAATGCATGTATGGAGCAATTAAAATCTAGATTATATAGGTTATAAATTAATCTGCAAAATTTGCCAAAGATATGTAGGCCTGTGTTATGAAATAAGATGTAGGAAATAGGCCGGGCGCGGTGGCTCACGCCTGTAATCCCAGCACTTTGGGAGGCCGAGACGGGCGGATCACGAGGTCAGGAGATCGAGACCATCCTGGCTAACACGGTGAAACCCCGTCTCTACTAAAAATACAAAAATTAGCCGGGCATGGTGGCACGCGCCTGTAATCCCAGCTACATGGGAGGCTGAGGCAGGAGAATGGCGTGAACCCGGGAGGCGGAGCTTGCAGAGTCGAGATCGCGCCACTGCACTCCAGCCTGGGCGACAGAGCGAAACTCCGTCTCAAAAAAAAAAAAAAAAAAAAAAAAGATGTAGGAAATAGAAAAAAATTATGCTTGTTAATATCACCCGATTAACCAATTCTGTCTTTTGGTGAGGAGAAACAATTAAAAATAGGCAATTTTTTTTAACATATCCAAAACCATGTACAGTTGGAGTTAAAATCTGGAAGGGAGACTACCAGGTCATTCTTTTTTTCAGCTTCATCTTCTCTCAATGTGGGTGAGTCAGTAAGGAATGGGCAATCATGTCTGTAAACTACTGATGACTGACCTCAAGTCTGGGGTAGTCACTAACAGTGACAAGCTCCGCAAATCTCAGATGTGGCTGCAAATCAACGCCGATCTCCCAATGTGCACACGGCACAGAAGCCCAGTCACAAATCTCGGTAGTCACGCTTGTCACACAGTTATCACCATTAACAGCAGCATCTTCCAATATGAAGGACAGCAATAAATATTGGTAAGTGAGTATGAAAAACTACTCCTATATATAACTAACAAAAGGGCTAGCTGACCATCAATTCTCTTAAAATGTAAAGTAAGAGACTGTAGTTCTGACTGTCAATGAGCTATTTCACTCCTTTGGGAATTAATTTGGAAGCCATTTATTCTTATAATTCTACTCTCTTTTAGAAAGTACTTAATATCAAAAGGATAACACTCAATTATCAATGCAATTTTTTAAGAAAAATTATTTTAAAAGTAGATTTTTTCCTAGATTTCATGTACTTCTGTGAGTGCAAAAAACTTTTAGTGTACTTTTGTGGGTGCAAAAAGTGTGCAGTGAACATTATAAATTTTTTAATAAAATTGACTTCTAATCTCTGGAATGAAATTACTCAAAGAGTATAAAAATTACGTAAAGGTTCCCCAGTTACTTACGAAGATGGGAATCCCCCATTGAGAATATCCACTTTGAACCCACTCATTCTGCATGCTGAGGCTGAGCCTCAGATAAGCAATTGTAAGGTCTCAATCACTGTTATTTTGTAGCAACTTGAAAGGGGAAGGCATTCCTTTTAACTCACTCAAAGCCATTTTAATGTTAAAAGCCACAACATGCTCTGCAAAACAGAAACTGCATTTTGCAGAGCCAATAATTATGGAATTAATCTTCTCAACCTCTCTACAAAGATCCCCAATTATCTTTGCCGCATAAAATCATGATGCTTTCTAGTTCTTTCTTGGGATAGTATCTTAAAAATGCCCCTGGTGACTCCACTACCCATTTGTTGAGAAATGAAAACCCTCTTTTGTATAAAACTCTTTAAAAACTGCACCTCTATTCTCATAATCCACTGATTTCTCTGTTATTAAAATAAATACAGGCTTCATACTTCATATATATGCTTTTTGTACTCCTTTGCCTTGTGTAAACATCTGACTTAGTTCCTGTGCTTTTCATAGACACTCGTGCAATGGCAGGTGGGTAAGTAGGCAAGGGGCAGTGAATTGTGCTGTGCAAAGTGTTACCTACCTGTTAGTCCCCTCAACTGAGATATCTCTACAGCCTCTGGTTTTCCCTGTTCTTTCATAAGTCTGGTCCTCAGCTCCTAGAACATGTTGCCTTCCATTTTCTTCTCCATATTAAAAAAACAACTAGACGTCAAATGACTCTCCCAAACCTGAATTCCAAAATTCTTCCCACTCAAACGTTTTTACAGATTTAATTTTACAATATTGGACATTAACAATGTGGCACCTATTAATGAGAAGGTTGAAATTTTTGTCTCTGTGTGAATATACCCATTAAAGGGCAAATCAATTCTAAATCCAAATTGGCATCAACAATTTTTATGAGTGTGATGACTTGGCAAAATAATCCCACGGCTTAATTTTCTTATTTCTTTTTTTGGAACAGAGTCTCCTTCTGTTGCCCAGGCTGGAGTGCAGTGGCGCAATCTCTGCTCACTGCAGCCTCCACCTCCCAGGTTCCAGCGATTCTCCTGCCTCAGCCTCCCGAGTAGCTGGGACTAGAGGTGCCCGCCACCACACCCAGCTAATTTTTGTATTTTTAGTAGAGGCAGGGTTTCACCATGTTGGCCAGGCGGGTCCCCTTTTATTCTCTTGAGATTTAAATATTAAGTATAAAATTCAGGGCAAAAACTTGGCATCCTGAAAACAGGCTCATTTTTATAAAAGCAACAACAAACCCATAAGACATTTGACTTGAAAAAATATTCACACCGCACCTTTCGAATATAGAATTCAGAGACCTGGTCCACTGTCTTTGGCCCATAGTGGGAAAAACACAAAGGTCAGTGTCAGCAGGGCACTGATCTTGGGCAAATCCAAATCCTGAATTAGGGACACTGGGAATTGGCTGCAGAAAATCACTTTAAAATAAAACAAGCTATGCAAAAGCTGAAAGGTTTCTTTCAGCTACATGTAGTATAACCTTCAGTGTATGACCTACAACTAAATCAGTACAAGTTCTAAAGTATAAGGAAATAGTCAAAAAAGCTAATTCTAGCAGAATCAGAGTTATAAAAATACTGAGCAAAATAAGAAATTATTTCTTCCTTTGAGAAACTCAGCATTAAGATAGTTAAGCCTACATTTCCAATAAACTTTTTCTGGTAGAAACTGCTATTATAATGTATTATTTATATGCTTTATTTCTCAAAAAGTAGGTTCCAGTGTCATATTGCCGGGGTGCACATAAAAGAAAGATGAGAGAACCTACTATACAGTGACCTTTATCTTAATACAATATTACCAGAACCCTGGAGAATTTAGAGTTTTCAAAAAGAATAGAGAGAAATTCATTTTCAAAGCTTGCATCAGTAAATGAAATAAAAACCCCACAAAAATCCCACAACCTTTATAAATGACATCAGTTTTCCTATCAGGTGACACATGTGGATCAATTTACATTTGAATTTGGTGATCAGAAAATATTGAAGTGTGACCTATGATTTGCAACTGCATAGGGTGAGACAGTACAGCTAAAACACTGGGTAGTCATTGCGATGCTGGGATGGAGACAGAATCCAAGACAACCCTTGGTGAGGAAGGGGTTGAGAGAGGAAGAAAGTAAAGGCAGGACGAAAATAGGCAGTCTTATCATAAGAGAACAATGTGTGCCATTTTAACTGCCCAAAGAGCATTTTTTGTCTCAACTTTCAGTGCTTCTTTAATTAAAATGAAGAGATCAACACATAAACAGAAACTAAATCATTCTAAAGAAATTCTAACTTCTTTATCCTATAGGTTTGATTACAATTTGACCTGGTATGCTATTCATCAAAAAAGGTATTAAATGACTGTTACATAGCTCACACGGTGTTGGGAATAGAGGGGAAAAGAAAAAAGAAAACAGTGTCGCTAGCCTCGAAGGGTTCAATGACTAATGGAAGAGACGAGTGGTTTCATATGATATTATTTCATATTATATTTTACATGATTTAATATTATTGCAGTGTGATGTATTACATTATTGCTGTGGGGTAGATCACTAGAAGTGGTGAGGAGCTTAGATTCTGCAGTCAAGCTGCCTGGCTTGGAGTCCTACTTTTTCCTCTTTCCAGCTGTATGGTCTTGGACAAGTTACTTACACTCTGCTGCTTCAGTTTTCTTATCCGTAAAACAGTGCTAATAAAAGTATAATTCTCACAGTGTTATTGTAAAATAAAATGTGTTATAATATACATAAAGCTCTTCACAGTATCAGACAACAGTTACTGTTCTTGTAGTGATGGTGTGTATAGCAGGCCGTGGGAACATACGGAAGGAGTGATACAGTGTGGGAGATATGAGGTAGGACAGACAGAGAGGGGTTTCCAGTTGAGGTGAGATTTAAATGGAGCCTTGAAGTGGTCCAGTAGGATTTAAACAGGGAGCAATGTTGAAAAAGTGTTCCATACTGTGGAACAGCAGTGCAAACACACAGGGAAAAAAAGCCACCAAGAGTTTGAGGGATTTGGAGAGGTTGATGAGTAGAATCTAGGCTACAGCAGGGAAATTAGATTTTACCCTGAAAACTGTCCTGAATGTCTTTGTGCTTGTGCACCTCATTCTCTTTTTTTCTGCAACAGACTTCCTTCCTCCACTATTAATTTCTCTTTACTTCTATTCAATTCTGTGCTTGGATATAGGACATTCATTTTTATTTATGTTTAACTAGGTCATCTATGTACAGAACAATCCGCATTTTATTTCCTATTATTCTTCAGATGAATCTAAATATTTTGGCCCAGTATTCAAGGCCCTTCCATCCACTCTCCACCGACACATATCTGAATTTGCCTCTTACTAGGATAGCATTTTAGTCATATCTAGCTTCCAATTATACCCATCTCCCTCCTCTTTGCAGACTGTATTCATCCCAATCTCTGATTTTGCTCTGGCAGTTTCGTCTTTGGAATTTCAGTCTTCCCAGATCAATTTCAAGTACTTCTTGAAGAACAGGCAGCTCTACAAGATGTATAGGGTTAGCATCCTGAAGACAAATCTCTTGCTTAACCAAGCCTCATACTATTTTGATAAGCTTCTGCCATCACAATCTCTTGGGAGTTATATTGGGATTTCATAATCATATACTTAACTTTTACCTGCTTTTTCCCCCTTCTCTCTTCACATCGATCATGTCTTTCTTGTGAGCAGAGATTTTGGTTTCTAGATATCCTACTTTCAATTGTAAGTACGTCTACAGTATCTTATCTACTGAACGGTCTGATAAATGCTTGTTGGATGAATATATTTATGTGAAGATTATCTCATAATACAACCTCCCTAATTGACATATCAACATTATTATATGAAAGTTTTATGCATCTTTAATAATTAATGACTTGTTCCTTGCAAGCTGAGTTGGAAGAGAATCAAGATGACAGATTATGGCTAATATTTACTTAGAGTTGTATGGTTCATAGGGATAAGTAGAGCATTTTAAAAAGGTATGAGAATTCTTCATTTGAAAGTCTTTTAAAGTTGAACTTTCATTATAAAATGTAGGCAAAGCCATAGAGGAATTTAGAATTTAGAGTAAATCCCTGGATATTAGAGTTAAGAAGGAGGGGACAATCATTTATTTAATACCTATTGTGTACCCGTCATCACAAGGTTAGTGACTTCAGAGAAATTATATGTTATTAAGAATTTCCAACCTCTCCTCCTAAGGAAAGTGATTATTACAATGGCTATTTTATGGTCAATACCACTATGGATCAAAAAGTTTAAGAACTCCATTCAAAAATTTATATCCAAGTGATGAATTTGGGATTCGAATCCAAGTCTATCTGACCTTAGTGACAAACTGCTTTGAGAGATCATATAGTATGTTAGAATGGCAGCATTTAGAATTAAGATAAATAACTTGACAATTTTGGATAAGTAATTTATACTTTTTTGGTCTCAGTTTCTCATTCTGACACATTTGCCCTATATAGTCTCTAAAACTCTTTATGACTCTAAATTCTTGTTAAAAAAAGTGATATCTATTATTTTAAAAATCACATCAAAAATTTTATGACACAAAAAGCCAGGTGAAAAAGCTGTGCATATTAATGGATCATACATTAGGAAAGAAGTAGTAGGGATTAATTAGATTATAGTAGGGTTATAACGAGAAGGGGTACAGAAATTATTAACTTTTTCTTTAAATACCTCTATATTGTTTGACATGGTAACATAGTTATTATCTTTGTAGTAAAATCTAATAAATAGAGGGAAAACTATAGCATTTTCAATAGTGAGTTAAGTTAGACAATATTTTCTTTATTAAATACAGATTACCAAATTATATAAATCTCAGAAACTTATGTTTTTATTTGTGCTAGTTATGAAACGCTGTTCCTACAATACCCTTTTGTATTCTAGTCTAGATATAAATGCAGGTTAGAAAAGGGTGATATGACTGCTAGAATCAAGTGTGTTGAGTACTTCTACTTACTTCCATTAAGATGACATTAAAAATAGGTAATGTCAAAATATATACAATATTTTAGAGATCATAAAACCATTAATAAATGTACTCTACTCTCAACTATTATTTGGTGTCAACAATGATACTTTTACTAGACTCTCATGCTTTTACTTCTTAATTTTGTGCAATAAAATAATACACGAAAGACAAAAGTCGAGAATAACATGTCTAAGGAAGTTGAATGTCACAATTAAAATTTCCCTTTTGTCCTAAGGAATCTAGTTCCAATGACTGGGTATTCTTGGGTAAATCAGAACTGGCTTGAACCGCTAACCTGGTTCATTCCAGGTTAATAATGAACTAAATACAATTAACTATGAATACACAGATTATGCTAATGATGATCAGTTGAGACCTTTTTTCTACATACTGATTTCTGGCACCATTTGACCCTTGTGGTGAGAGAAGTTGGGTCAGTGCTAATAATGGAAATGTCTTCTCTCATACATAAACACCCACACTGAAAACTAGCTATATCTGCTTTTACCTCTAAGGTTCTGAGCACCTCATCACAGAACTTGGTTAGATGAAATGGGAACATTTTATATAAAGCCATCAGTATGACAGACACTCCAGGCACAAACTGCCATTACATTTAAGGTGGACATTTTTCATGTATTCATACCTTCAGGGTTCAGATCAGGCTTGTAGGATATCCCAATTAAAACTAGCCATTGGGGAAAAGAAAGTTCAATAAGGGATAAAAATGAACTCTAAGCTACTTTGAAAATATGACGCAAGCGTAAAAGAAAAACTAAAAAATACCAGGTAGGCTGAAAAAAATTACAGTCTTTTTTACTACTCTTTACATGGATTGTGATAAAAATTCAGTTCTCTGTGGAATCCTGAAAGCAAAAAATCCAGCGAGCAGAGAACAGAATGGGGATCTTGCTTGACCACAAGTAGGCCCAATGCATTTTCTTAATATGAGGACCACAGCTAAGAAGTATATCTCTGTAGCTTTTCCACACAATAAACAAATAATTCTAGACTATATTGTTAAATGACTTCAAATACAGGCTAATAAGCAACACACAAAACTGACACAATTAAAAAATTAATTTAGGAGACACATACACTATACACAAAATTGTTCCCATCAGAAAACATATTTTGTAATAACAGAGAAGAAATGTTTAAGGGCAAAAATAAAAGGTGTTAGGTATGCCCCAAATACTTCTGGGAAAAAAAATAAAGGTTATTGTGCAACTTAACAAATATGATCAACAAACCAGTTGGCCATTTGTTGACCATGGTGCTACTTATGGTAATTAGAATCAAATTGTATAATTTAAAGGGAAATTTTAAAGTACATTTTTCCAACTCTGACTTTAATGTAGCAATGTACTAAGCACGTGGTATGAAAAGTTGATATTTCAATAAATATGGAGGGTAACGCATACCTTAAATTCCTCCAAGATTTTGTAATTTTTCCCGTGATATTCACAGAAGTTTTTTACTTCTTTGCACTCAGGACAGCATCCATTGTGTTCCACTTTAGTACACTTTGGGTGAATTTTAGGGCATTCTGGTTGGTCGCAAACAGGTCCATCTAGAGCACAGACACATGGACAGTTGGAATGCCCAGGGAAAAATCGTTCTCCCAACTTGTATACAAAGCCGCTGTCATCGACACACCCTTTCCCTCGATAGTCATCAAAGATCAGATTGTCATTACTGGAGATCTGGTCACCTTCATCAGCAGGATAGTCTTCATGACTGATAGCAGCAGAGGTGACCAATCCAGGGATGACCAACAGAAGTATGCAAGCTTCATGAATATGAAGAGCCATCCCCCTCTTCAAAGACTTCTGGATGTGCTCCTAATATTAAATATACTCAGCTCCTTCCATGGGAATACAAGAGGGGTAGGCTGAAAATAAATATTTAAAAAGAATAATTTGACATATATAAAGTGAAGATAGATTCATTTAAGCCCACGCTCTTAAACTGTTTGGGATCAATTTGAAGATACTAAGTCCTCAAATAGACTAAGTTCATGCAACTATCTGTGCCTTATTGTGAGGTTTGGAGAGTTGATACTTGGCAATATATGCATTAAAATTTGTCCTTTTGGATTATTTTATATAGGAACCTTCAGCTTGAATTTTCCTTCTGAATTTCATAGGTCTGGCTTTATCTAAATTGCAAAGAAATGGTTTTACTGAGCCCCAAAATGTGATCCAAGGAGTAACTTACAAATAGCTCAAGAATATTTGAACTCACATTTTCTATTATTCTTTAAACTGGACTAGTCAGTGATGGAACATATGTTATAATTATCTGTGTCAACTCAAGAGATTAGTGAGAAAAAAATCTAATTCTAAAGGAAAGGGAATAAACCAACAGTTGAATATAAATTATATTTAGGAAGGAGCTACTATAAAGGATTTCCTACTTATTTATGCCCATAATTAAAGAACAACAATGGCGTCAACATCAGTTACCTGTTTAAGTGAATGTGAGTCTGGATTTTTGAAATAAAGTTGATAACAAAAACAACATAACTATTCCATAGTGATTAAGAGAAAGAAAATTTGAAATAATAAATAATACAAGAGAATTCCATGTGCTTAAAAGAGTTTGTTAAAAACAAATTTATTTGTATTATTGTCCACATTATTTTACATAGGAAGGAAGCTCCTAGTGGGCAGGAAAGATCTATCTATAAATTTACTTCACAGTAACTTGAATCTAGTATATATGTAATATTATTTAAATTAAAATTTGCAATATAATATAAATACAATTTATGAGATCTTGAAAACATAACTCTTGAAATGTCAAAAATATTTACATGTACAAAATCTGCACAAAGATGCCAGCATAAAATTCTTTATGGAAGTTGCTTAAAACTGTAATTAAGTGTTAACCATTCATAGAAAATATGCCTTATTAATTTTGTGACACTGACTCTTGTAAACTCCACTTAGTATTGGTGCTTGATGTGAAGTGTTGGGAGTGGGCTCTTATTTAAATATTTAGAATAACTAAATCACACAGAGGCTCTGGGGAGACTGTGACTTTAGGGAGTAATAAATAAGAAAAAGTATTGTCAAATAGCTCATTTTTTTATTTAAATGCTATTGGCTTCATGCCAATAACACTAAGATGGTATACAGGACATTTTCAGGTCAGTTATAAATGTTATACATTGGTTTATTTTCAGATTATATTAAGAGCAATGATAAACCATCTCTTTTCAGTCTAACATATACAGACGATAACAAGATAAAGATGACATTAGGAAACTTCATAAACTATTATATTTGCATTTTAAGGTAGATATACAAGTTCTAGTAATAGTAAAATGGAAGGTAGTATGCCCTCTTTCTGGAGAAAGCTGATATCAGAATTACTCTGATATCCTCTGATATTAGAATTCCCTTTGGGTAGGTAATAAAGCCGATGATTTCTTATAAAATATGTCAAAAATAATAAGTCATGACAGAACAAGAAAATGCAAACCTATAATTCTACTTGAGAATCTGGAAGCTCCCTTTGACAAAGCATTTTTTTCTCTCAAATTACTACAGAGATAACAAACATAACAGAAGCTTCTGAAAAAGCATAAATATAATTTACTAATTAAAGCAAGCATTTATACATCACATATTTAGAAAGTTTATCTTGGAGGAAAAGAAAGCTACTGTGCTTCCTTATAATATTCCAGCAATATCTGTCAATGCATGCAAGATAAGCCATATAAAATACACATATGATTCTGCTTCAAAGGGACATAGGCAGAAAATGATCTCTTTGTAAGCCACAGGTAGGCATTAATGTGTTAGGTTATGGTAAATGTAAACTTAGAGGTAAAAATAGGAATGTAATATCTACTTTATATAAACATTAAATATGTTTTTATTATATGAAATATATCTTAAAATCTGCATGGTAAAAAACAAGATTTTATTTTCAATATAACAAAGTTCTTAGGCTATTTTTTTTTTAAAAAAAAGCCTTCATAATTGAGCTGCCCTAGTACAATTTAAGATACTATTTAAGAGAAGAAACATGGGATAAATCAAATGTAATGTTTATCTGAAGATTTTTAAAAAGAAAGCAAACACTGCTAAACTGAGGATCACTTCCCAGCTTAATTTTCCCCCCCTCCCCATATTGCTACAGATGATTTAAAATGACTGCATCTATTTCTTTGAGAAAACAAACATAATTCATGTCATAAGATACACTTACCTAATCACTCTGGAGGTTAATGGTGGTGGTAGGGGTCACAGCCCAAAATGAACTAAAAGGTCAGGTATGTTTTAAGAAAGCAGTTCCTCTTTAATTACCCAAAGAATACATTTTTTAGGCATGAATTAAAGGCAATCCATTCTCTCTACCTCCCATTTCAAAACACAGTAAAGAAGCAGTCTCCCGCCCTTCCAGAAAGAAACACAGCAGACACATATAAGAAATTTGCTTTGGACCTGTCTTCAGAATTCAAAGCAAGAAGCAAAGCTGGTCCTGTAGAAATCCAGACCCCAGTAGCAGAATCATGTTGAACTTATTTTTAGCATTTTCTTAGATCCTTCTATGAAATTTCCCGGCTGATTACGCCTCCTCCACACATGAGTTCACTTACACAGTGTTTGCTACGGCAGTAGAGGTGATTTGGCTAGGCTCTGAGGATCACAAACAGCAACAGCATGCTGTAGCTTAAAGCCCACTCCGCTGGCAATACCATCACCATCGTCCACAGTGTGTTGCTTGAATCCCCTCTTACACACCGGAAAATACTAACTGTGGATGTGAAGGAAAGGAGCAACTTTAGCTGGGTTTCTGCATCAGTAAGAGCAGTTTGCAGATTGCTGATTTGGAGCTCATTCTGCCGGCAGCCGGGAATTCCTCAGCACCACGGACAGCGCCAACAACTGGCTTCTGAGCCCAGCTCTGTCGAAATCCCAGAGCTGCTTTAGACGAGGCTAGAGTGCTCTCCAAGCAGTCGCACTTTATACAGCGGATGCGCGCATTAGGAGGGGTAAAGACATTCTACGTGCGAGATATTTATTTGCATTGAAATTGCAATTAATTTTTTTTGTATAAAATTGTATACCTAACGCGTTCTTGGATGGGCTGCAGAGATGAAAGTTCCAGAAGAGGCTTGCATTTAGATTTAAGCCATCTGCAGTCCCCAATTATTATTAATAGATAAAGCATAATCATTGTCAAACAATCTGTGAAAACGTATGCTTGTCGATTCTATTTGACCCTTTGGTGGCAGAAAGACTTCCCTGGTGCTGCATGATTAAACTTCAGGTCTTCCTGCAGCTTGGATCTGATTTTTTTTTTTTTTTTTTAAAGTAGCCAGGTTTTCCTGCAGTTTGTTCTCTAACATTAAAAATCAATCTCCTGTAATTCATCTAGTCTGTCATTAGGCGTCATTGTAAAGCTGTTTCTTTCAAAACCCCTAGCAAAGATGCCGTGTCTCTAAATTCTTATCAAAATGAGAGAGAAAAAAGACCCTGACACAAATGGGTGAGCATAAAGTTATTTTTTTATTAGTAACAGTATGAGCACTAAAATATATGTCCAAAGCATGTTTTAAAGCAGACTGTAAATGTTACCTGCTGGCACATTTAACCAGTTCTTTGCTGGTTTGGGACTACAGGAGGCATTTTCAAGCCTTAAAGGGAATGCCCTCTGCAGCGGGATGTGCTGACGGTCAAGACCACGTTCGAACTGTGCCGTCAGAGCCTCCAGAAAAGAGAATCTCCCCGTCGTGAGAAAACACAACCGTGTGTGCCTCGTTTTCGTGGCCCATCAATTTGTGAATCTCCCCAGATTTAAGATCTAGCAAATGGATAACACCATTGCCACTTGCCTGAGCTAAAACTCGACCTGAGGGAGACAGAGAGGAGAGAGAGAGAGAATGAATCAAAGTTTTATTTCAAGTGTTCACAGTTTATAAGCAATGAAGCATTCTATTTTTTTCAATTATCATTCTGTGTTAGGGGTCAGTTATTAAATATGCAGTAGCTCCTGTAGGTATAAGAAATAAGTTGAGTCAAAATTAAGACACATCAATAATTAGGTTATAAAATTTTCTAATTGGGACATAGAGCCTAATGGTCTACCTCCTTTATATGCAGATTTCATCAAACATCCTACTATTCTTTTATATTTGTGATTAATAAAGCATTTCGAGGAGATGAGATTGAAAGCAACTATGCAAGGCAACTTTCTTTTTCAAATAAATTATATGTTAGAAAGTTTTAAAAGGCATAGCTTTCAAAATTTATGGAAAACATTTGTATTCTTCTTTAAACTTATTTATAATAATTATGCTAATCATTACTTACAACTCAATATACATTCCTGCTTTAAAAATTGTGATACTCATGAACTCAACAAATTTTTTTGAAGCTGAAGTGGAAATAAATACTTCCATTTCAAAATGACTTGAGAGTTTTTACTCTAGCTTAGAATTCAAATTTTGATAAATTAAATTTTTTTTACATAAGATGGCTAAATACAGCACAGGGTATTTGCATAATTTTTGTATCATATATTTTTTAGTGGCTCATTTCCTCAAAGTGAAAACAAATCAGGGATCCAATTTTAATTAATATTTTTATTAAGGAAGTCCAGTAACAAACTATCATGGGACTTGGAGTTAAGTAAAACAATAGGATATGTTTACATAAGCTCAGTACTTAGTGTAAATAAGTATGACATTAGTACTATCCATGGGATTATTTAATCATACTTAGAAGGCATATTATTGTTTCAGTAATAACATTTAAAATTTATTAAACTCTTTTAATGTGATAGATACTATATTTAGTGCTTGATATGGATAATTCCGTATGATCCTTATATTTAGTGCTTGATATGGATAATTCTGAATGATCGTTACAGTAATCTAATGATAAAGAAAATAGCATTAACTATTTAATATTTTAAATAGTTAGTACTAATAGTAGTAACTAATATTTTAAATAGTACTAACAGTATTAACTATTTAATATATTAGTTAGTATTAATAGTATTAACTATTTAATATTTTAAATAGTACTATTTATCTGTATTTTAAATAGTTAGTACTATTTAAAAATGCTTAAATATCTGTTATGTAAAAAATGCCTCCTCTATGTAGGTGAAGAAATAGAGGCTTGGAAAGGCGAAGTAACTTGCTCATAATGACACCCTAGGTATAGAAGGAGCTAGCATTTAATCACAGCACTTCGAATCCAGAGCCTGGGCTTTTAGCCATTGCTTTCCACAGCCAGCATAGCATTGTTATCAATGATGCCTTCTTGACAGATTTTAGGTAAGTGATATATTGTGAAAATAGCATTGGTCCATTTTATAATAAGAATTCTAGAATTATATCACCATAAAAGCTATAGTGAAATATTTAATCACAAATTTTACCCCCAAACATCATGAATACCTCTAAAACAGAGAAAAGTTATAAAAGTAAAGCTAACCATGATAAATACAACCTATTTGCAAACCTTTATAACTACTGGGCTTCTTCATCTAGAACAAAACCTGACACAGCAAAGATCCTTAGGATGGATTAGAGTGTCCAAAGCAGCAGATGTGAATATTTATTATAAACCATTTTCTACTAAGTCTTTGCTGACAGAGGCATTACATATGGATTTCACTTCCAACCTCACTCTATAGGCAATTGCTGTTTGTGACTTTCCCAAATAACTTTTTTTCTTGTAGTCTTTATACAACAGCTGAAAAGTGGGGTAAACACTGATTTCTATTTGTGAAACCAAACAAAACGAAACAGAACCAAGTCCATAAAGAAAAAGAAAAATATTTAGCTTTAAATCATTATTCACATCTCTAAAAATAATAATTGGAAATATTTATGAAGGCTCTGGTAATTTCTGAAAGTTTGTTAAATAAAATACAGAAAATGATATTGGAACCTCATATTAATTCAACAGCACCATGCCTCAGGTGTTCCAAAAATTTGTTTTTTCAAGAACAGATTTTGGTCAGCAAATTTATTATGCGGTTTTTCAAGTTTACCTGAATTCATTTTCAGAAGATTGCAAGACTGAGTACGTATCGTAACTAATTCCTAAAATGAATATAAGTTTATAATCATGTTCAACTTCATTTACAGTATATTGGATTATTACACGGCATGTAATGTGTGACTTAAAAATTAGTTTTGCTGGGAACAGGGATGCTAACCTCTTTCTAAGTTAGAAAATGTTCAAAATTACTTACCAGGGTGTGTCAATTGCTACATTAGTACTTTAGTATCCAATTGGTTTGAGAGAGAAGAGGTACTCTCAGAAAGAAAATAAAAAATGCCATAGTCTCATTACTGGTAGCATCTCCACAAAGTGGAGCATTTATAGAGAAAGTGTTTATACAGAAGTGCATGGGTATCTTTTTAAATCTCCTGGTGATTGGCAATGAAAAACAAACCACACTGCAAATCACTTGTCATCTGAATGTCAGGGTCTTAATGACAAATTTAGGGAGGATAAAAGATTTAACTATATCAGAACTTGGTCAATGGAATGAAAATATGGTAGAAATACAATTTTAAATAGCGTCATGAGAACTTACGTGAAACCTGAACTAATAATGTTCATATTGAAGTAAATATGTCTCTTTAAAAAATGTGAAATTAAATAATTTATTTTTACTTTAAATCTTTTATTAAAATATTAAAAGCAAAATATTGTCTTGTAACATGTAATTTCTGAACAGATTATTAAGTTGTTATTTAGCTTAGTATTTTAACAAGAATAATTATAACAATTTATGAATACACACATTCCATAAAAATCACATGAAATAAATTTGTGATTAAAAACAGAGTAGTTTACCAATAGGTTAAAAATAAAAATGGTCAAAATTGATTTATAAAGGTATTTTAAAATACAGATAAATGTTTAAACATCTGTTATGTAAAAAATGCCTTGCTTTTTTTCTTTTGTTAACATTCAAGTTATAAGGATGTCATACTTTTCACAGAATGGAAAGAAAATAAACAGTCTAGGGAGAAGATTGATTTAATTTTGTAACTGCTATTTTTTATACAAATAACTCAGTATATATCAACACTGAGTGATTATGACTCCTTCATATGTCTTAAAATATATAATCAATACTTATTTTTATCTGCCAAGACTTTCAGAATATTTTCATGTTTAGTAAATCAATACCTTTTCTGTTGACCAATAGGACTCAATGAGGAGCATATGTTGCTGTCCATTTCACTCTGTTGGATGAATTTGCCAACTCCTTTTGGCTTTGAAGACAAGAATTAAATTTCTCCTAACCTCAAAGTATTGCTCTGCTATTAAATGATTCAATCTAATTTTATAAATTAGAGGGTCTTTCAAAGTTAGTTCCAAATAAATTTATAACTTTCTTAATACAATATAGTTCCTTTATATGCTGTATTTATTTTAATAAGTAGTTTCACTAATATCTTAGGCATAACAGTTTCAATTGAATTTGTTATAAAAACTTGAATATTTGAATATACTTACTAATTTAAGCATTATTAACAATAGAATCCCTTGAAGAAGTTTACAGAATGAATTAATCCATACAAATTGAGTGGTAAAATTTTATCTGGATGTAAAAATCACTTTATATAAACTAGCATAGTTTGGAAACTCTTACTCTCATGCTAATAAAATGTGTAATATTGACACTTTTTCTAGCTACAATTTTTAAAACTTTTCAATCAATTTTCATTAATTTTTATTGAATTTTAAATTAATTTTAGAAACACGTGTGAGAAGTCAATTTGATTTTGACAGTGTACACCTAGAATAACCAGGAGTTACCTTAAACCTTTCAATACTTACTTTCCTTCTCATGTAGCCAAGTTCTCCTTAAGGTTGAGATTCATGCTGCTTATTATTGCAATTTTTTTTATGATCATGGAACTTGACTTATCAGTACTTAATATGTGCTTGTTGCTTGAAGATTCATAGTGTGTTACAAGTAGGAGCACAAAAACCTTTATGACATTTTTAAATAGAAAGGGTTTGAGCCCATTTCTTTGTCATCCAGGTTTACTGGAATGAGTTGATGGTAGCCCTCATTCATTGAATGTCTAGAGCTTTCTTTTTTACATCACATGTTTTTCACTCAACACTGTGATGTAGCTATTCTTTCCTCCTAGAAAATGAAGAAGGAGACTCACAGAAGGTTGAATTGGGATTTTCTTTATTTATTTATTTTTGAGATGGAGTTTCACTCTTATTGCCCAGGCTTGAGTGCAGTGGCGCAATCTCGGCTCACTGCAACCTCCGCCTCCCGGGTTTAAGTGATTCTCCTGCCTCAGCCTCCGGAGTAGCTGGGATTATAGATGCCTGCCACCACGGCCAGCTAATTTTTTGTATTTTTAGTAGAGATGGGGCTTCACCATGTTGGCCCTGCTGGTCTTGAACTCCTGACCTCAGGTAATCCACTCATCTTGGCCTCCCAAAGTGTTGGGATTACAGGCATGAGCCACTGTGCCCAGCCTTGATTTGGGATTTGAATTGAAAACTTTATTACTCAAAAAGTCTTGCTTCATTTACTGGCTTTAGAATTTCTTTCATAAATTAAGATTTAGGGCCAACTGGGTTTATGCCTATAATCCCAATGCTTTGAGAGGCCAAGGCAGGAGGATCACTTGAGGCCAAAAGTTTGAGAGCAGCTTGGACAACATAGTGAGACTCCATCTCTACAAAAAATTTAAAAGAAAATTAGCCAGGTATGGTGGCATGCATCTGTAGTCCTAGCTACTGTGGAGGCTAAGGCAAGAGGATTGCTGGAGTCCAGGAGTTCAAGGCTGCAGTGAGCTATTCCCACCGTTACACTCCATTCTGGGTGGTAGCGCAAGTCCCTGTCTCTAAAATAATAACAAAAAATAAGCAAAAAAGACTCAGATAAGTGTCACACTTTGGGGCCTCTTTATGAATATCACTGAATTCTCTAGTTGCATAAGTTCTTAACTTTAATGCTCATGTTAATCTCATAATTGTTTTATTTAATGTTGATTCTACTACTTTGTGAAACTCTGAAACTAAAATACTCATGTTCTTGCAAAAGTCACTATATATATCCATTAATCTCTAAATACATACATTCTAATGCATATATAATATGTACTAAAAATTGTACCCGATAACTAAAAACACTCATTTTACATCCCTTCCCATATCTCCAGCCAAATTATCTCCCTGGTTCTACCATTTCTATTATGAATACTAATTATTTTTTTTTCTAGACTCCAAACTGTAATAAAATTCATTTCTCACTTTGCCTCCCTCTCCACCTTCAATCCAAGTCCTAGCCATTCTTTCTTTTTTTAAACAAATTTTCTATAATCCAACCCAGCCATTTATTAATATTTCCAACTGTTATGTCCACAATATTAGTTAAAATCCTTTTTTTAAAGACACTAGGACCACTGAAATGATTCTCAAAATGATCTTTTCATTTTCATATTTTTACTTTTAAATCTACCTATATTAATTCCTGAGGCATTTCTTCAGTAATGTTATCCTCATCCTAAAATACCACAAATATAAACAGAACAATGATCGCAGTAGCAGCAGCAACAACAACAAAGAGGCCCTTTTCATCTCTGACGTTCTCAGGTTTTGTTTTGTTTTAGATCCAACCATCTTATGTTACAAATAAAACAGCTGAGCTGAAGTGACTTGGCCAAGGTAGGAAAATGCACGTGTGGCAGTTGCAGAATATGGCTGAAATCAGATCTTTGGCACCTAAATCAGTGCTCTTTTTTACTATTTCTTTCAGACACTGAATAATGTCCAAGTATCTTAGCATGGCTTTTAAGATCTCTACACTCTGATACAAATCTGCATTTGCTAACTCAAGTACACTCTTACATGAACTCTGTGCTCTCCATCAAACAATTTGCCCTCATTTCTTGAATGTATTTTTCACTTCCCTACCTTTGGATTGTTTCTTCTGTAATTCCCTATAGTGGAATATTTTTCCTAGCTGTCCTCATGGTCCCTAACCATTACTTCCTAACAAAAATCAACCTACCTATTAAATCCTAGTTCAAAATGATTTTCTTCACCAAGTTGGTACAAGGGATTCCTAGTACAAGATCTGCCTTTTCTGAGCACTTATTGCATTTCATTCATACCATTCATGTGATAATAAGATGTCAAAAATTCTAGTTAACTATATATTTGTCTTACATTCTTAACTTCGTGATTACTCAGGAACAGGGGCCATGCCATATATTTTTCCATTCCCCCAGCAGAGCAAGGAAGATATAATCAATATCAGTGGATAATAGTAGCAGCTTTCACACTACCATTTGTAGTACATATTATTTGCCAAGCACTGTTCTAAGTCCTTTACTTGCATTATCTCATTTTATTCTTCAATAACCCTATGGGGTAGGTTATACGTGTAATATCCATTATAGCAGCTATGACACACATGTAGCTATTGAGCATGTGAAATGTGGTTAGTACAAATTGGAATGTGCTGTAATTGTAAAATGCTCACCAGGTTTCAAACGAAGAAAGAATGTAAAATAGGCTATTACTCATTTTCATATTGATTACTTGTTGATATGATACCATTTTGGGTACATTTTATAGATTTTAACATATATTTTATATGTATATAATTAATAAGTATAAATATATATCTCATATATAAATATAAATATATAAATAAATATATCAATTTTACCTGTTCTTTAAAAATGTGTCCACTAGAAAATTTAAAATTATCAACATACTATTATCATAGTATATCACATATCACATATTTTTATTAGAAAATACTAGCATATACTCTGCTTTACAGAAGAGGGAAATGAAGTTTAGAAAGAAAAGCAACTTCTCCAAGGCCACACAGCTTGTAAGTGATGGCATCCGGATTTGAGGTCTATATGACTCCAAGGCTCATGCTGTTATCTTTTATGATATGCCCAGATGAGTTTTTTTTTTTTTTTTGGATTGGCTCCATGTCATCCCTTCCACTTTGATTCAGCTGCCCTTACTAAAACACAACATGATGGAGAGATGTGTCTATCAAAATCTCTCTTGAGTGTGCCACTCCAGTTTCCAGTGTGAATCTATGCTCATCTCTAGGAATATATTTAAATTAATTTTTACATAAGTAAAAGAAATATTTTAAAAATTTTATATTCATGGTCGCCCTAGTGGCATCTATTGATTCCAAGAATCTGATTGTACAACTAGTTTCCTGGGAATAAGTGACAAACTCAGGAAGGCTGCCCTATTCTTTTAGAGCTTCTGGAGACCATCCAATGTACCCAGTGCCTTAGTGGGCAGAAAAAACACTTCCACATCTTTAGGTAAGTATTTTATATTAAGATGTTATTTAAAAATTGTCATTTAATTTTTGATATAGGGGAAACAAACCAGATTATATTTTCTTTCCAATGCTTATGCTTTCTATGTTGGCAAACATCCCCTTAGCCTCACCCAAATAATATTTTTGAATACAGTGAATATATTTTATCCAATTCTTTACACTAATTGTTCCTGAAAAAAAAAACAGTTCTTGTTTTGCTGAAAGATCTCAACTTAATTTAAGAATTAAGAAAAGACAAAATTAATTTGATAGATTGGTAAAGTAAAATCTTCTAAGGTAGAGAGAGGTATTGGACCTCGGTTGTCAATATGAAAATTCCTATTCCCTGAAATTCCAAGGAAAAACCACTGAGAGGCATGAAACTTGTTAATAAATCCAAGTTTGAAGAAGATACTGGTTGAGGCACACTTACTGTGGTGGTGTATTAACTGGCCAAATGATGTCATTTTGTAATGGAGCACCCTATGTTAGTTATGAAATTTATTAAATAATGTTGACAGAAATATTTGATTTTTTGTTAGAGGAATAATTCACAACACTAGTTAATATATCAAGAGTTAAGAGTTGTGTTTCCTTGGGGGACTCTTTAATTGATCAAATACAGTTTCCCCAGTGAGCCACCAGTTATCAGGTACTGTTAGTTAAGGTAACTGTGGATATATAAGTTGGTTGGGTTAATTAAATACAGTCATTTTTAATGAGAATTATTAAATGTTATATCTATCAAAACTTTAAATTTCTTTATGTTCAGAAAATTCAGAATATCTATTTTTCTTATTACTCTGTCTAAACACGTAACACATACACTAGCAAAAAGGTTACAAAATTCACTTATAGGTTTGAACATGTTACATTTTCTAGCAATACTATGAGTCAGCAATTGGCTAAAACTATGCATTTTTCTATTATTTATATAGTCAGTAATAGTGTCATTCTGGATTGTAGGAATGTGTCTGCAGGAATGGAGCTTTGTTATAAGAAATAGAAGCAAACTCAAACCTTTTAAGCTTATTATAAATAATAAAAATGTGAATGAAATACATCATTACGTTTCTCATTACAATAACTTCAGTAATTTCTCATGATTATTCATTCTTTGATTAAATTTTGAGCAATAGGTTTCTCCAAAGAAACAAAATACTCATTTTATATTTTATTCAAATGAGTCTCATACACAGATCATAAGAAATTTATCACAAATATACAAGAATAGAGACAAAAATCATTGTGTGCCATATATGAAATAACATATCAGGGAAGAGAAACTTTGATGAATAAGGAAATGATTTTTATACACATCAGAACAGATTTGAAGCAATTCTCTAAATCAATATAGATAGGCAGAAATGCTTCTGAACATATATTACCTGTGGAGAGTGTTATTGATTAATTTTATTGATTTTTTGAATGCATGTGGAGAGGCATCTGCTGTTTCTTTAAAAGATGCCTCAAAATGGAAAGTATCAAGAAACTACTTAAGTTTTGAGGATTTGCATTAATGGCTCAACCAGGGTCATTACTCAGAATTTCAAAAACACCACAGAAAGGAGATATGAAATGTGATTTAGTTTATTTTGTACCTTACTGCTGATCAATGCATTTCAGAAAAAAATATTGCTTGCGAATTTAACTTACCTAAGTGCTAGTAACAATTTAAAAACTTTTCCAGCATTTTTTACTATGTATATTAATGCTAAAGGGTCCTAACTTTTCTTTTGTGAGCAAAGATTAGTTGATGTCAAAGTGTAAAACATAGAGTATAAAACAAATGCATTTTAAATTTATCTTGGTAGAAGTTCATATCACAAAAATGGTAACAGAGAAGGAAGGGAAGCCTTCAGTATCTTCAGAGCTCTAGTCAACAGATTTGTTTACCTTACTTAGAAAACATAAAATATTGAATGGACATCAAACACATGGAAGTTGAGGATAATCTACCATTATGTGAACTTGGTATGGAATGTGACTTATTAAGCAAGTGAATTTTATTGCACAGAGTCTGTTTTAGAAGTTTGCCAAAAATGGTTTTAAACAAATATAAGTTGCTCCTCTGTATCTATGGGGTTGTTGGTTCCAGGTCCTTCCCAACCCACAGATACCAAACTCTTCAGATGCTCAAGTCCCTTCTATAAAATGGCAGAGTTTTTGCATATAACCTATGCGTATCCTCCTGTGTACTTTAAATCATTTCTGGATTATTTATAATACCTAATACAATATAAATGCTACATAAATAGTTGTTATATTTTTATATTATTTTTGTTATACTTTTTTTTGAATATTTTCAATCTGTGATTGGTTCAATCTGTGATTGCAAAATCTGCAGCTACATGGGGCCAACTATCATCTTTTTCTGTCTTTAACATGAAATCCATGTCTTTCTTAGGAAGGCAGTTCTTTGATTCTCCAGAAATTCCTAAACTATAGCATGTGAATATATCAAAAAAATTAAGTCTACCTTGCTAGGAACAGAACTTTTGGCCTGTGTGGAGTTTTAAAAATATTTCCCCCCTATTAGGAGAGCATGAATGATGATCTTGAACCAGGTGCTTTCCTACATGGGCTACCTTCTGAATATTACAGAAATCCCTTGTGAAATGCACCTAAAGTCCTAAAAATGTTCTAATTAATTATTGAATCTATTTAAAATATCAACAGCCACCTGCTTTCATTAAGAAATCCTTGTAGACCTATTTCCTAACTTGGTCTTCACCTATGCAGCTGATCAGTGTTGGGATAATATTTATTCAGGAACCCCATATATCTGGAGCTTTGCAAACATTTCAGAAAAGCTTTTGCTGATAACAGAGGAAATGCAAGTTCCAGTTCAGTTCTGAGGATTCGATAAGCCATCACAAAACATAATTCATAGCAAATCATAGACTATGATATATTCTTCTTTGTTGTTTAGAAATAGGCAAAGGAACCAAGGGCTTATATTTAATATCAAAAATTTAATTAAGAAATTAATCATTTTTGTCTTATTGTAAAGTAATAAAACCACCCTTAGTATTGCTCAGATTTTACTACTGAAACCATAACTACATTTTAAGACTCTAAAAGTCAGAGTTATAATATTTTGGGAGTTGTTCTCTTAATGTACATTGGTGTCAGAACTAACTTCATTATAAAGGAATCCTCTTTCTTGAATGTGGAGGTTTGTCTGTGGGGAAAGCCACTGTCAGATTCTGTTAGTTAATGTTCAGGTGGTGAATTGTTAATAATTACATCCTAATTTTAGAACTTCATCCTTTCCTACTTCAGGGCAACATTGTTAGGTAAAAGAGGCTAAGTGATAAATCAGCATCACTACACCATTAATAGTTATAGTAAAAAAAAGATATGCAAATATGTGATAAAAGAATTATAATTGAGATGGATACCCTCCTCACAAGAGCAAAAGAATGGCTGCAATATCAAATGCGAAGGTCTTGTATGAACTGGGAATGGCTAAATTAATTAGTTTAAATGTAGTATGTAGTATAATCGGATGATTAAAAAATATTAAACTCTCTGAAATCATAGATTAGCTCTGAATTTTATATATGTCACTATATATTACCTGAGTAAGCCCCACAGGCATAATACCTAATGGAGGTTTCCTTTTAAATAATTTGAAGTGCTTGATAATAAAAGATAGAACCACTAGCTTACAATTATTATCTCACTTTTTCCCAAATATTTCACATCTGTTTATTATGGAATCCTTACAATCAAATGCAAAGGCAACATTATTATTTTCATTTTACAGAGAAAGATATTGAATCATAGAGACATGAAAGACCTCCATTAAGATAACAGAGTTAGGATTTGAACAAGGATGCCAACCAAGTATGTCTATAAAATTTCCTCTATCCTGCAGCCTGAGGGGAAACAAAAGTAGTTATGCCAGAAAGTTAAGCTAATTTGGCTGCTACATGAACTGCTAAATAAATTTATATTAACTAATAATTCTGTGAAGGCATCTTTATGGAAATTTCAGCTAACATTCTATAATATTACATTCCGATGACCTGGCTTTATATCTCATAGAAAATTTAAAGCAACATGTGATTAGTTTGTTCTTTATTCAGCCTCTCTCCATCATACTTTCTCACTGTTAACCTCTTCATCTGCTAGCCCACTTGGATCAAATGGGCTTTTGCTGAAAGCTAGTAGACAATTTGAGATCAAGGGCACTGATGAGTACTTGGAGTTAAAGTAATGAGGCACGCATGATTTAGCTATATACAGGAGGCATAAAAATGGCAAAGTTGGAAGTACAATTATTAGAAAATATGGAGTGTGACTTGTCTGAATAAATGGAATATTAGGGTATTTTCAGTTGCAAGTGAAGGAAAGTCAACTCAATGTGGCAAAGGGAAAAATTTTTTTAAAGTTTAACAAATATATTTATCACACAGAAATTCAAATAAACTGACTCCAATAATGGCTGGATCAAGAGGTTGGAATGATGTTATTAGGATGCCTTCTTTCATTGTCTCTATATTCTGATTCCAGCAGTGTAAATCCATACTGAGGCAGACTCTGTCCACTTGGTAGTCTGGGTTCAGGCTCATGGCCTACCAAATTCAAATTCCATGGAAAGAGTACCTCTATTGCCTAGCAGTCTCATAAGGGGTAAAAATTTTCCCTTATTGGTTAGCTTGGATCATGTGGCTGGCAGGCGGAAGGGTGTGATTTACTAATTCACCAGGCCAGGATTAAGTGCTGACCAGAACAAGTGAGAGTGCATACGGAGAACTACCCAAATGAAGAACAAGATGCTGTCATTTTAGGAGGAATGACACTAGGCATTTAAAAAAATTCTACTTCAGATAGTCATTCCAGATGTGCAATTCAGAGCCAATTTTTGCATTAGAGAAGAAAACAAAGAAATAATAAGCCACATTGTAGGCCTTGAAAACTGTGCTTTACCTTCTATTGTCTTTAATTTGACTATCTATCTATCCTCTTGCCTCCTAAAAGACTCTTATGCAAATAAATTGCATCTAGTTTTATCAATAAATCAGCTCAAGTATTTTGTTAAATAGACTGCCAATGTTTGGGGTCCCTTGATCTACAGTGAGGCTATTAAATGCAAAAACTCCCAAGGATAAACTGCAGGGAAGGTAGGGGTAAAGTGGGAATTATAGTTGCGAAGGAATAGAAAAATTTGAACACCTATAAGACAAGCAATCTGCATTAGAAAATTTAAAAATATGGCCGGGCGCGGGGGCTCACGCCTGTAATCCCAGCACTTTGGGAGGCCGAGGCGGGCAGATCACGAGGTCCGGAGATTGAGACCATCCTGGCCAACGTGGCAAAACCCCGTCTCTACTAAAAATACAAAAATTAGCTGGGCATGGTGGCGCATGCCTGTATGTAGTCCCAGCTACTTGGGAGGCTGAGGCAGGAGAATCGCTTGAATCCAGGAGGCGGAGGTTGCAGTGAGCCGAGATTGCACCACTGCATTCCAGCCTGGCGACAGAGCGAGACTCCATCTCAAAAAAAAAAAAAAAAGAAAATTAAAAAATTTATATAAATTCAAGCTTTTTTGCATTAACTAGATACTATGATTATTAATATCTCAGTGGCATTCATACACTAGAGTATCTTGCCAAAATCAACAATTACAGCAAGCTGCACTGGATTTTATTATATTAAACAGAATAAAATTTTTATAAACTCTAAAATTAGAAACATACAGTATAGTTTTTATACTTTCCTAGTAAATCCCAGTATTTTTAGGAAAAAAGCTAAAGAAAAGTGCTTTTTTTAAGGGCTATTTATCAAAGATGATACATTTTATGTTTCAGTGGCAACTTTGCACATGTTCAAAAGATCTTGATGTAGATCTATAAAAAGTTCTGAATACTAAATATTTCAGTTATTTCTAAAGAAATCATTTTTAAAATAATATATAAGAACATAAACAACCAAATAGATAAAAATTATTTTGTGGAATCATTTTGAGAAACCATACTATTTTGCTGTTGTCAATATTTAAATTTAAAAATATATTCTTTGGGAATTCAGAATCTTAAGAACAAAACACATGAACATGTAAGAAGAAGGGATCAATGAAACAAAACTGTCAAAATATTAACAGTTGTCAAACCTGGGTAGTGGACAAATGGGGCTTATTAGATTATTTTCTTCACTTTTATGTATGCTTGGAAAATAAAAACAATAAAACATTAAAAAATATTAATTACAGATCACCATTATTACCATGTAGTCATTTCTTATACATAGAACTCAAAATTTTGAATTATCAGAGAAGCACAAAGTATTCTAAAACTAGGTATATATACAATGTGTCTAAGTACTTTTAGCAACTGCAGAGCAAAATAGTGAGTGATAAATGAAGATACTAAATATAATCATTAAAAAAACAAACTGGAGGACTTTATTAAAATAAACAACAAAAAGCCAAGCCACAGCCTGGTACAAAATATTTGCAAAAGACATACCTCATAAAGGACTATTATCCAAATTATACAAAGAACTCTTAAAACTCAAGAATAAGAAAACAACCTAATTCAAAAATGGGCCAACATTGTGGAAAGCAGTGTGATGAGTCGCAGAAGAACTTGAAGCAGAATTACTATTCAACCCAGCAATCCCATTATTGGGTATATACCCAAAAGAATATTCATCACTCTACCATAAAGACACATGCACACGTGTGTTCATTGCAGCACTATTCACAATAGCAAAGACACAGAATCAACATAAATCCCATCAACTGAAGACTGGTTAAAGAAAAATTGGTACATATATACCATGGAATACTATGCAGCCATAACAAAGAATGAGATTATGTCTTTGCAGCAACATGGATGGAGCTGGAGGCCATTATCTTAAGCAAACTAACACAGGAACAGAAAACCAAATACTGCATGTTCTCACTTATAAGTGAGAGCTAAATGATAAGAACACAAGGACACAAAAAGGAAAAAAAAATAGACACCAGGGCCTACTTGAGGGTGGAGGGTGGGAGGAGGAAGAGGATCAGAAAAAAATACCTATCGGGTACTATGCTTATTACCTGGGTGATGAACTATTTTGTACACCAAACCCCTGTCACATGCAGTTTACCTATATCACAAATCTGCACATTGAAACTAAAATAAAACTTACCATAAAAATATTTAAAAATGGGTCAAATACCTTAAACAACCTTACCAAAGAAGATAGACAGATGGTGAATAAGCATATGAAAAGAGGCTTAACATCATATGTCATCAGGGAAATGCAAATTAAAACAGCAGTAAGGTACCACATACACCAGAACATTGATAACACCAAATGCTGGTGAGAATGTGGAGCAATAGGAACATTCATTCCTTGCTGGTGAGGATGCAAAATGTTACAGCTACTTTGGAAGATGGTTTAGCAGTTTACTTACAAAAGTAAACATACTCTTGCCAATTATTTCACAATAGTGTTCCTTTGTATTTACCCAAAGAGGTGGAAACTTATGTCCACATAAAAACTTGTACAAGAATGTTTATAGAAGCTTCATTCATAATTGCCAAAAGTTGAAAGCAACCAAGATGTCCTTCAGTAAGTGAATTAATAAAGCGTGGTACATCCAGACAATGGAATATTCTTCAGTGATAAAAAGAAATGAGCTAACAAGCCATGAAAAGGCATGGAGGAAACATAAATGCATACTACTAAGTGAAAGAAGCCAATCGGCCAACGCTACATACTGTCTGATTTTTATTATGTGACATGTTGGATAAGGCAAAACTATGGAGATAATAAAAAGATCTGTGGCTGCCAGGAGTTGTGGGGAGGTAGGGATGAATAGGCAGAGCACAGAGGATTTTTAGGCCAGTGAAACTATTCTGCGATACCATAGTATCATGATGGATATACGTCATTATACGTTTGTCCAAATCCACACCAAAAGTGAACTGTTTTGAAGGATAATGATGTGTCATTTAGGTTCATCAGGTGTAACACATGTGCCACTCTGGCAGGGGATTTTGATAATCAAGGAGGCTGTGCATGTGTGGGGATAGGGGATATATAGGAAATCTCTGTACTTTCAATTTTTCTGTGAAACTAAAACTGATCTAAAAAGACAAAGTAAAAAATAAAAGTTTGAAACCAATATGAGTTTAATAGCTAATTTTTAGTTGGAATTAAAGGTAAAATATCTCTTAGGATGATATTATCCTAAGTGCTCAAAGTAGGTGCTTTAAAATGTATTTTTAAAGTTTTTTTACTCAATTACATAATCAGAATCAGCAAAATAGTGTCTTCTCTCAATTGTGAACCCTCTAGATGATTTTAAGTAAATGAAATAACTCAGATTTGTACACTGGTATAGGGAGTAGCTATTTCCTCAAAAAAAAAGTAACAAGCTATGCTGATATTTAAAAATAAAGCTCAAATTATTAGATTTCTAAAATCATCACTGTATAGATCTTACTTGACTTAGAAAGAGAGAGAGAAAAAAAGCCACACAGAAAAAAGAGGCACAGAGAGAGAAATAGAGACAGAAAGAGACAGAGACAAAGAGAGATGCCTATTTAGATGAGGACTGTAAAATGGAAACTAAATTAATACAAAGATTTTCATTAAGCAACACTATCCATCACAACCCAAAAGCAGCTTGAAAACACAGAATAAATTTCCTGGCCCATATTCTGTGTATTGGCCAATGGTAGTGCCCAAATACACCAGATAATTGCTCCACCATCTGCTTCACATTGATTACATAGTTGTGGTGGTACATTTCCTATGACTGGAGAAAGATTCCATTTTAAAAAATAGACATTATTTGAGCTTTCTAAATTAGGAGTCTCTTCAAAATAGCACAATATTCACCCTTCAAAACATTTTTTAGAGCAAATCTAAAGCTTTGATGTGTTTCTTTTTCTAGAAATTAATACCTTCATTACTTCTCATGTATAACAATTTTCTGTTTTGTTTTTCCAATTTCACATTATGAGTGTTGTAAAGCATTGGGGGTCTAAAATATCCTTTGTTCCAATCAAACGCAAAAGAGATATAGGATCATGTTTAATTTTGCACAGATGACACACACATTTTGACTTAAATGATCTTGATATGTATAACAATTTATTTTCATTAATTATATTTTATATAATTATATTTTAGTTTAATTATTTTGCTATTTTGGGAAAATATTCATAAAAATTTTTTAGACCTGAAAATACTAATTTCCATTGAGTACATACTTAAATAAATATCTTGCCTTTTATGTTTATTATCCAGTGGACTAGTCTAACATTAAAAAATAACATATTAAACTCAATTCAGGGGATCATTGAACAAAACTTCCCTACCTGGTGATAGATGGGACATGGCAAGACAAAGCCAAATTTTGTATATTTCCTTCAGGGGCTGATAGCCAAAGAGCAGAGCATAAACTATTGTAACATTCAACCAAAACAAAGATAAGTTACCCACTATAAACTGTCTGAGATTCACGAAAATATGTTTAATCTAATTTCAAGAAAAGAGATTAGATGACTGCTTTCATACAAGATATTTGTGCTTCAATTTTAACTTTTGTTGAGAAAATATATGACATGGTTTAAGAAATCAAGTTCTATAGAACTATAGTGAAAAATAACTTCTGCCTTAAACCCTTCCACCACGAAGTTTCATTCCCAGCAATACCTACTTTAAATTATTTTAGCTGCTTGGATAATAATGAATTCCACTAGTATTTCTTAATACATCAATTTTAAACATTTTCTATGGACTTCCTATTAAGAGAGAATATTAGACTCTTATGTAATTCTACCCAGTTATTATCTCTTCATTCTTTCAACTAATTTAGAACACAATTCTAGGTTCAGTGTTAACAAATTAGTAGCTATATTATTGTAAATATGCATACACATTTCTATGGAAGTATTTCTCTTAGGCGTTTGGGTCCCTGCTTCTCCCACTCTGTTAAGTCAGTGACCACTCCATGATCTTTTTTTTTTTTTCCTTTGTAGGTTGGTTTTCTATCTACCTGTCACTAATTACTCCTAAACTCTTCTTCAGAACTATAAAACTTCTTTCAATACTATTCTTCCCCAGGTCAAATGCATCAAATTCATTTTGATGATTTTGATGAATTTAAGATTATTTCTTAAAGACTCTACCTCCCAAACAAGGGCTTGCTGTCATGGGAAAAGCTCACCTTCTGGGGGTTCTTGAGGAAGGGTGAGTACAGGGATAAGATTCTGAGGCTCAGCACTGTGGCTCTTGCTTGTAATCCCAGCCTTTGGGAGGCTGAGGCGGGTGGATCACTTGAGGTCAGGAGTTCGAGACCAGCCTGGCCAACATGGTGAGACTCAGTCTCTAATAAAAATACAAAAATTAGCCAGGTGTGGTGGCTGGTGCCTGTAGTCCCAGCTACTCTAGAGGCCAAGGTAGGAGGATTGCTTGAGGCAGAGGTTGTAGTGAGCCAAGAGCCTGCCACTGCATTCCAGCCTGGGTGATGGGAGTGAAACCCTATCTCAAAAAAAGAAGAAAAAAAATTCTGAGACTGAGTGGCAAGCTGACATTTTTAATGTGTGACCCTCAAATGTTAGTATCTGTAGGCATTTTCTTTGGGTTCTATTCAATTTCTTCAGCAATGAATCTTGTGGTTTGCTCACTGGTGACCTGTGTTCCAGGAACTGGATAAGGGGAAAGATGGACAGAATTCTCTTGGTCCAAATCTCTGCGTTGTGTTCATATTTTGTGCCTTGTATTCCTGAGTCCAGGGCCCCTTTTGATTTAACTTTTCTGAAGGACAAACCTCCTTTCTCTTGATAATTGTGGTTCAAATAGAACCAGTTGCCTGGTTGAGCAGGGTTGGAGAGAAGATCTAGGGGCTTAGAATGCTCTTTATACAATGTGTCAGATCCAAACTTCATTCTTAAATTCTTTGTAGCTGGTGACATCAATTCCAGAATGGCTAGGGAGCTCAGTGGTGGAAATTAGCTCATTTATGTGGAAGTCGTCTTCTTTAGGCATTTGAGTCCCTACTTCTCCCACTCTGTTAAGTCAGTTACCGCTCCATGATCTGTTTTCCACTGACATTTCTTTCCCTCTGTTGTATCCTCTGTGTTTCCTTTGGCCTTGTGTGTTTCTACCCATTTCCTTCTTTACTATTATTAAAGCTTTGGCATTTAATTGACCATATTTAACCCATTCTTCAATGTGATATTTTCATTTTGGTGGATAAAATGTAGTGCCAATTTTCCCATTTATATTTTATTCAATAAATTAGGTAATCTAAGTTTTAGGAATATAGTTTAAAATTTATTTCATCAGATCAGAAGAAATACGTTTAATGAAATTTTGAATGAAAAAGATGAAGCAAAAATATTTTTATTTTTCCTTCTTTGACCTTCATTTTCCTTAAGTGTTTTACATATATTAACCAATTTACTGCTCAAAATCATTCTAATGATTATCCCAATTTTACAGAAGAGGAAATTGAAGCTACAAAGCTTAGGGAAGTTGCCTTGTATCATATAAAACTAGTAAGTAGTAGGGTCAAGATTCATACCCAGTATGTTTGGGTTCAGTGTCTCTGCTCAAATCCATATGCAAACAGCCTGTCAACAGTCAGGTCATGATTTTGTGATCTCTGGTGTAGTAATAGTGTCCTCCACTGTCCTTAAGATCTTCTAAGAACCATCACATCTGAAGTCACAAATACCTAATCCTCTTGCCCACCCAGCTGCCTCTTCACAACCTTAGCAATATTTCTTGGTTTTACTCTGCACTTGTTTCAAGACTCCTTTCTCATGAAAATCTCCTTGTTTCTGCCTATCAATTTTGTACATGGCCTTGTCTCTTTTGCCAAGCCTTCTATAGACTGGCAGCTCCATTTCAGATCATCTCTGTGACATTGATCTTGCTCTCCAATGGAACTATGCTTCTAGTAACTTTCCCCTTGGCTCTACATATTCCATCCAGTTGGACTTTAGCACCATGACCCACACTTGCCCCTAGAACTCAGGCTGTGCTCCCCTGCCTCTCCCACTCCATTGGGAGTGTGGGGAGGTGGAAAGGGGATGAATGCTCCACTATGGTTCTAATTGGATGATACTAGATTTAAACTGCCCATTCAGTTTATATCTTTTAGTCATATTTAATTCAGCATTTGGATTATGACTGTTTTTAACCAGTTTGTGCTCAAAGTGAGCCTGAGATAAAGTGGGAGCTGAGTGGTGTAGAAGAATAGTCAATTGTTTGGCCATCCAGGAAGCCAAGTTTAATTTTAGCCTTGAGAGAATTTGAAATCATTATAATTACATGGGTATTAAAGCCCATGAGTGAAAAGGACTTTTTTTTTTTTTTTTTTAAAAAAAAAAGCATACCCATTCATTTAGCATCAATTCACAACTGGCAGTTCACCCTCCCAAATGCTCTACCACTGACCATGCATACAGAGTTAGAGTAAAACATTTCTGGAGGAGTTCAAATACCTAGGAAGGAGGCCATTACTGGAGGTATAATATTGAAACTGTAATTAACTTGAATACTAGAGAAATGCAAGAAATACAAAATGTGTATATATTTTTGGAGAGAAAAATTGTATTGTTTCATACATTTTATTTGTGGTACAGAATAACTGGACAATTGGCTTAAGATAATTACAAGGTATCCTACACATAGTGTCGGGCTTCAGTACAAACGTTGGTTAATAACCATTCCTGAGCTTGGGCTCCAAGGTTAATTTGAAGTGCACTCCAACAAAAAATAGGCAGTCATTTCACAGTCACTTCAACGTTTTACATAGGTTCTGCCTCGGTCCAGACTAATGCCCTAACTGAAGAATGTCAATGATATGATGGAATGAGGTATCTTGAAAAACAGATGAGGCAATATAACTGGCAGTTTAGTCTTCTATCCTTGCAAATGACTAAAAGGTATTTTTGTAATATTTAGTAAAAATGGATTCAAAAAATTGGCATTGGGATTTTCAGTGGAAAATGAAAGCAAGGACTCTTCCTTTAACATAAGCAAGTTATTGTCAATAGTGGCATCTCTATTAAGCTTGTTCTCTTACTTAAACACTCCTATTACTGTCATCTCTCAAATTTGTCATACCCACTGCCCTGGCAGTACAAACATTCTACATTAAAATCTGTCAAAGAGGCCAGTTGATTTCCTACATCTTCTGACACATGCTGCTCTTTAATATCTGCCTGTCAGAACACCTAAGAGAAAGGTATCTGCTTTCATGCTTGGAGCTGAGGCTAGAACTACCATCATACATTGCAATCATTAGCCCTGTATTGCTATGAAATTCTGCCTTTTGGAACCATAGAGTCTCCTGCTGGAAAATACTGTTGGCACAACTCTGTCACACACGTTAGATTGCACAAATTTTGGTAGAACTAGTTATTTTGAAAAACATTTTTTTCCTAGTGTGAATTTGCCTTAATTTCTTTTTGTGATAAGTTGTTTTGAAATACATATTGGATTTTTCTCTGCCACAATCAACTGGTTCCCGCATGGATGTTTTGAGATATATTTTTGGCTTGACTTGTCTTGATTATATTTTATTCTTGTGGGTTACATATGCCTTTGTATTCATTTTATGTTTGTCTTATCTATAGAGAAATATTTCTCTTGATTTCAAAACATGATTGATTTAAGTGATTTCAGGGTGATACAGTGGGCGTCTTTTATTTACCAGAGATGGTTTACCTGGCACCCCATTGGTAGGTCACTGAGCTTTTACGTTCTCGCTTCTTATCTGATTGTCTTGTGGCTTGTGTTTATGAGAGGCCTGGGGAACAGTCTATTAATACAGGCAATGTTCTCAGAAAAGAAAGTGGCTAATTTTGTATCAAATATAGCAGAATTTCAGAAACCAATATATGTGGTATATTCATATAGTAACTTTGGGAAGATATGGACTTATTCCAAAGACATCCAAAAAATTCCTTTTTTGGAATTCTTTCACATGCACATGCTTTTGTTCCCCACCCAGTAAAGTTTATTTTGGGATTGAAATTTAAAAGTAGTGCATTATTGCTGTAATAATGAAAATAAAGGTGTCTAAAAAATGATCAGACACATGCGTGGATGCACACACACACTCCTACTTTATCTTACCCTCTGACTTAATTCTGTCTTGATGAAGGTGATTTTAATAATTTGGTTCTGCATTATTCCAGAGTTTTCATTTGCCCATAAAACATATACATAACATAAAGTGGTTTAATTATTTTCAGGAGGATGTAAAGATCATATATATTCTTTAACTTTTCCTCTTCCCTTTAACAATACATAACAGACACAGGCAGGTATACCATGACATTAATGAACCATGTACTTTAGGGCCCCTCACTTGTATAGGCCCTTCCAAGGCCTTAGGAGGGAGAGGACCTAGCAATTTTCTATTAATAATTTTTTTTTCTTAAATAGGGACCCTGCTATTTTATGTGCCAGGCTCTACCAAACCTGTATCTATTTGTGAGCTTGTTATTTGTTAATAAAATATAAAATATAAAAATATTTGTTAATATTTTTCCAGGTCAGTAGATCTGGAATATGTGCATTCTTTTTGTTCTAGCATTTCCAAAAATGTGAATCTCTCCAACAGGAAAAATGTATCAAATACATTAAAAAATATGTACTAGGATAATTTTAGCATTTTATGATTAAAATATATATTAAAAATATAGCAATAGTAGGTATTTTTTTCATCACTTGGAGAGAAATGTAAAACTTATGGTATAACCACATGATATGGTTTGGCTGTGTCCCCACCCAAATCTCATCTTGAATTGTAGTTCTCATAATCCACACGTGCTGTGGGAGAGACCAGGTGAAGATCACTGAATCATGAGGGTGGCTCCCCCATCCTGTTCTCCTGACAGTGAGTTAGTTCTCATGAGAGCCGATGTTTTATAAGGGGCTTCCCCCTTCACTGGGCACTCATTCTCCTTTCTGCTGCCCTGTGAAGAAGGATGTGTTTGCTTCCCCTTCTACCATGATTGTAAGTTTCCTGAGGCCTCCCCAGCCATGCTGAACTGTGAGTGAATTAAACCTCTTTCCTTCATAAATTACCCAGTCTCTGGTGTGTCTTTATTAGCAGCGTGAGGATGGACATATACCACACTTTTGAATATTTCTAAGGGTAGATTTTATTTTTTGAAAGCACCAAAAGGTATTTAGAATGTGGTGGAAAGTAAAAGTCCAATTGGAATAATATCACCTTTGGTTAAAAATTAGAATGTGACTATAAATCATAAAATTATCTTATTTGGTCAGTTCTTTCCCTCAACAGTTATATACTGAGATGCTGCTCTGTTTCAGGTTCCTGATGGATCAAACATCGCCCTATTTTTAAAAGTGGAAATAACATATATATGATAATTCTACTTTAATATAGAGTATTAGATAGCAGAAATTCAATGAATATTTGTTAAAAGAATAAAAAATAAATCAATAGAATGCCTTACCAATATTATATATATGGCATCTTAAGAACACAAAAGAGGGAGAGACATCAAATGGCTAAGGTGTCAGACAATGCTTACTTCACAGAGGAGATGACCTTTGAGCTAAATCTTAAAATATAAAAGGAAGTTGAAGGGAAAAAGACTGAACAGAAAACAATCTGGGTAGAAGGAAGTAGTAAAAATGCTCCAGGTAAAAAGATAATGTGTCAAGAAATTTGACTTGGAGAAGTTAAATTAATTGGGTTTGGAGTGCAGTGTGCCTGTATATGACTGTTAGAAGCTGAGATAGAAAAGTTACGCAACTGTCAAAAGCAAAGTAGTTCTCCCTATTTCATAGTTGTTTTTTTTTTTTCTCTTTTTTTGAGACAAGGGTCTCACTCTGTTGCCAAGGCTGGAATGCAATGGCACAATCTTGGCTCACTGCAGCCTCGGCCTCCTGGGCTCAAGTGATCCTCCCACTTCAGCCTCCTGAGTAGCTGGGACTATAGATGTGTGCAACCATGCCAGGCTAAAACTTTTTTATTTTTTGTAGGGATGGGGTTTCTCCATGTTGCCCAGGCTGGTCTTTAATTATTGAGCTCAAGTGCTCTATCTGCCGCAGCCTCCCAAAGTACTGGGATTACAGGCATGTACCACATTGCCTGGCCTGTTTCATAGTCTTATACAGTGTTCTCATTTTCATTCTTCAGTGGTCCTTGTTAGAACAACATTTATCTATTTGATAAACTTTGTTTCCATATTTCCATATTTAGCTGACTCCACAGAGAAAAATGTTTCTTAAAAAACAATGTTCATAAATTTTGTCTTTGCTTTTTTCTTTTTTCTCTTGAGACAGGATCTGGCTCTTTTGCCCAGGCTGGAGTACAGTGGTGTGATCTTGGCTCACTGTGACATCACCTCACTGCCACTTCTGCCTCCCGAGCTAAAGCCATCCCACCACCTCAGCCTCCCAAGTAGACAAGTAGCTGGGATTACAGGCGAATGCCACCATGCCCGGCTAAGTTTTGTATTTTTTGTAGATATGGGGTTTCACCCTATTGCCCAGGCTGGTCTCAAACTTCTGGGCTCAAGTGATCAGCCTGCCTCAGCCTCCCGAAGTGCTAGGATTGCAGGCATGAGCCACCGCACCCAGCCCTACTTTTGTCTTTTTAAGTCGTTTTATGAGGTGGTTATTATAAAAGGCAGATAATATGTGAGAGCCAAATTGGAATATTAATAGAAAATCAAGATCCCGAAAAAGAGACCATGTGAAAGCAAATGGAAACCAGCAAATTCAATACAATGACTTTATTGTTGAACTTCAGATTTGGATCTGTGCTTGTTGTCAGCCAACTCAAAAAATAAGTTTAGAGTTTTTTTGTTGTTGTTCATTTATTATATTTTGAGAAAGAGTCTCGCTCTGTCACCAAGGCTGGAGTGCAGTGGTGCAATCTCAGCTCACTGCAACCTCCACCTCTCAGGTTCAAGTGATTCTCCTGCCTCAGCCTCCCAAGCAGCTAGGACTACAGGTGCGTGCCACCACACCCGGCTAATTTTTGTATTTTCAGTAGAGACGGGATTTCGCCATGTGGGCCAGGCTGGTCTTGAACTCCTGACGTCATGTGATCCACCTGCCTCGGCCTCCCAAAGTGCTGGGATTACAGGTGTAAGCCACTGTGCCCGGCCTAGAGTTTTAATAAAACAAAGATATAACCCTAAAAATAAAAATATTCTCTCACAAGTCTTTATATAAAGAACTCGTTAAGATCATAGGCTCTAGAGTCAGAATGCCTTGGTGGTAGTTATTTAGCCCTCTGTGACTCAGATTCTTCATATATCAAATAGAGATTGCATGTGGTTTAAATGAGATACTGATATATAAGATTTACATAATGTTGACCGTGTGCTGGGAAGTGATCTAGGTGCTTTATATATATCAAGTCATTTAATCTTCACACTAATCCCAAAGGTAGGGACTGTTATCTTTCACCCCATTTTACAAATGAGGCACTAAGAAGTTAACTCTCAAGAGCATACAACTATTGAGTGACAGATTCAGAACCCGTACCCAGGTGTCTTGGCTGAACTGTGTACTGAACTACTAGCTATGCTGCTTGTCTGGAACAATGAAAGCTGTGCGTAGCACATCATGCTCACTTCCTATCTAATGACTATTAGTGTTATGACAGGACTAAGCACATTTTCAATACCATTTGATAGTAAACATACCATGGGTTTTCTATGGTTGTCTCTGGTTGTCAATGGTGAAAATATAATGTTAAAATGGATCTCATTGACAGTGAATATGGAAAGGAGAAATCTAATGTGTTTCAAGTATGAGGACTTTAGGAATTCAACTTGACTCAGGGATAGAATTAAGGACATGGAGACGAGTGACTCAATAGTATGTGCTTTAGTTACTCTCTCCTACATATGACTTCTTTTAGTTATTCTTCTACATTGCCACTTGAAGCAGCAGCCATATGCTTTGGAAAACAGCTCAGCAGATGGCATGTTTGATGACCTATTGCAGAAATTAGGGAAATGAAAAAGAGTTTTGCTGCCTGGAAAACATGTTCTGCCACTGGCTTGTAAGTACATACCCATTGCTTGGTGAAGGATACAGATTGTTTATCCAGGAGGACATCCAAGATGCTTGAAATTCTTATACATTATTCATGGGATAGGGAGGAAGAAAGCAGAGATACTGGTTGTGGAGAGGAAAATTTGTCAGACCTTCCTCCCTTGTATGAAATATGGCACTACTCTGAAACCCAACACAGTTTCCTGAGTAAAATGTCACACTGGAGACATAGGTATTATTGGTAGTACATTCATATTAACTGTTATATTTAACTTTCTTCACCTCATGTTTCACAGGATTATCTGTAGCATCTCTAGGGAAAAATGGGTGCTAATAAGTACCAACAGTATTTAAGTAGGAAAGGAAAATTCCACTTATAAAACAAAAATGATTGGGGAAAAAGCATTATAACAAACAGTGCAGATAGGCATTGTCATGCCTTCATGAATAGCAAGTCCTTTCAGACAACTCCAATATCTTCAGTGGCCAAGATTAAGGGGAAGTGTACTTTATGTTAAGTGTTTTAATAGGTATATTCATTAAAAAACAGATTTGGTTTTAAATTGAAATATTCTGAGATGGTCTTGGACACTTTAGTAGCTCATATTCAAAATAACAATGCTATCATAAGCGTTCTGGGTCCAGTGTCTTAAATATATATTAATCACCTGGAGTAAAAAAGTAATATGTCAGTGATAACAGGCTGATGGGCAAAGTTGTTTTATCAACAGAGATTTAAAGGTTTGCCATGTCCATGAATTGTTGCAACAGCCTCTGCTCTGGTCTAGAAACTTATCTTTTTCTGAACAATAATGTATACAATAGCCAGAATGAGTTTTAAGAAATCTAAATTTGATCATGTCATCACTTGTCTTTTGATGACTTCCCATTTTGCCTGTGGTTTACATAATCTCTCTCCCATATACTTTTCACAACACTTGCCCTCACCCAACTCCCACCTCTCAGCCTTAACAAGTTAGATTCTGTCTGGCCGGAATGGTCTTTCCTCTAAACACCTTGTTATCCTCATTAAATACATTTCTTTCAACTTCTAGTCTAAATATGTCTTTTTTTTTCTTTTTTCTTTTTTTTTGAGATGAAGTCTCACTCTGTTGCCCAGGCTGGAGTGCAGTGGTGCGATCTTGGCTCACCGCAACCTCTGTCTCCCCAGCTCCAGCGATTGGCATGCCTCAGCCTCCCAAGCAGCTGGGACTACAGGTGCACCACCATGCCCGGCTAATTTTTGTATTTTTAGTAGAGATGGGGTTTCGCCATGGTGGCCAGGCTTGTCTCGAACTCCTGACCTCAGGTGATCTGCCTGCCACAGCCTACCGAAGTGCTAGGATTGCAGAGGTGAGCCACTGTGCCCAGTGTAGTCTAAGTAAATCTTTTGGGGGCCTCTTTTGATTTCTTAGACTATGCTTAGGACCCCTTATTATATGCCTTCATAGTATCAGAACCTCTTTCCAGTGCCATGCAATATGTAATCACTTAATTATTTGTGATAATCTTAACATAATGCCTATCTTCCCTATTGGATTATAAGTTCAGTGAAGGTTGAAATGTGTTTTTTCACCTCTATTCTCAGGGACAAGCATAGTATGTTTTAAGAGGATAGCAGCTTTCAGATGAATGGAGTTGTCTTTTGTGGGACAGGAGAGTGAGGCAGGGGCATGAAAGTAGGGTGGGGGCTTCATGAGCAAAGGTACAGGCATGGGGATAGGCATGGCCTCAGTTGTGTGACATTCAGAGCTCCTTTATGAAACGCTTCAGCAACAGTCATGCTTAGAGAGGCAGAAGCCCAAACAAGCGGATCTCATGAAGCTCCTTCTACTCCATGATGCTCTCTGTACCTGGCATATCTTTCCATCACTCTCAAAAGAAAAAGCCTATTGTCTGGCTGCATATTGAACAATTATTTGGAGACACAAAGGGACATGAAAGCAATGCTCTTCATTTAGAAAAAGGAGACTAGGATTCAATATGGAAACTTTCAGTGAGCATAGACTAATGTCATATACTTGATGGATACTCAATAACTGAGCTATTGTTGCTGAGAGAGGATGGTGCCATCTCTAAGAATCTCTCCACCACTATTATCTTTTCAAGCACACCCTCCTCCGTGAAAGAGCTTAAGTCTGAAGGCTATTACCTGCAGAAACAAGATCTGCTGCACATGGCACCAGCTGCCATGAGTTATAAACGTACTTATTACACTAATGTTGAGTCACTGGATAGGGGCCCACAAAATCTAAGGTCAGGTTTTGAAAAATGTAGGTTCTATTTTGCAACAAATATGTTGTAGTTTAGAGATACTGTGCATTTCTTCACAGTGAAGTTATGTTAACAAAAAGCCATTATGCAGGGATGAATTATGCTTCTTTGCACATTTGTGATGGAATTTAGTTCTTAGTCAAACATGAAGCAGGTTAGACTCATTTCTCATTAATCAGATTTCTGTGAGGATTTGATCTTTCTGGTCATTGGCATCATTCACGTGGGTGAGCCATAAATATTTTAATTATTTTCTATTCATCACACAGCATTGACTCTGGTTACTGGAGGGGTATTCAATGATTCTGTTGCTGCAAAACTTGGCTAACAAATCACCGTGATATTTACTTTTCTTTTTCCAAATCTACAGGGAAATAAATTTATGGATCACTTAACCTTTTGCCCAAGGAACAAATCCAAGTCAGTTCTGAATTAATATTGCACTGAGGATGCAAAGCGAGGCCTGGTTTTCAAAGCAAAGCTGAGGGTTAAAGCAACACTCCAGATAATAGGGGCAGAACTGCTTGTCCTCACCTGAATTAAATGGTGTTCTAGCCCTTGGTGTATTTGCAGAGACATCTAATAGAGTGTTTTTGTTTTCTTTAGCTTTGCTTTGTTTGGATTGGATTAAGTAACAGATTGACTACTACTTTGAATTGGGGTCTCCAGGGCCAGAAAAACTGTAGTCACCAATGTCTCCCTGGACATGGCACAGATAGTGATGTTGCTCTTCACCTGGAGTCTCTGAGCTTCACCCATAGAATCCAGCTGCACTCAGCATCAGAATTTGTGAAGAATGCATCAACAATTTTGCAGATAATTCTGATTTCTACATTATATTCCAAACTTTGCCAAACATGCTGTAAATGTGATGTTCCAGCCTCCTATTCAAATAATGAAATCTCCTGGGCATTCCAAAAATATTTTACTGTAAATGAAAAATGTTGGCTGAAAATAGGCAACATCTTTATGAATTATATCTCATTATGTCTTATGCTCTATGCAGAAAGAACTTGCCCACATGGAAAGGTATCATTGCTCTTTCATACTTAGAGTTACTTTAATGAAAGAAAAGCACCTCTTGATTTGATCAAGGATCTGATTTGATGCAGAAACGGTAGAAAATTTAGCTTTAGCATGTGTTTTCTTCGTAAGAACTAAGCATTTAAAAATGTTTAGAGAAGGCGCATGCTTTGTACATTCCTTTGAACTGTTCTCTGTACAAGCCCTGAGTATTCTTTAAAATCATGCTAATCAATACTTTCAGGGGTACTGCTTCGTAGAATCGTCTTCATCAAGCATACCAACTTTCCTGGGGAAAAAAAGGTAGCATTCTGCTTTCCCTTGCAAAGAGGAAAAAGGGTTTTAATACATGCAGCAGGACCAAGAATTCCCCTAGGATCTGGAGGAAAATCGAAGTGATTATCCATACCCAATGGATTCAGTAGCAAATTGGACCCCCTTTCCCTTATTTACTGAAATTGCCTTAATAAATTCTCCTCTGGAGAGCAAAAACCAATTACACTAATGTAGAAGTGGAAGCAATAATTGACTTCACATCGTGGAAAATGTCCACTGGAAACAGTGATGCAAACAGTGGTGTCCATGTTCAGCATACTGCTGCTGCCCGACATGCTGTGGTGCTTATCATTTCTATTCTGTGATTTAAATTCACAACTGCCGTGAAAAAACGTTTTGTGAATCCTGAATGCTTCTGAGCCATCTCATTTTGAAGATATGCTCTGTTTTAAGTTCTTTATGTGTTAATTAATTTGTCTTTAAATTAGAAATAAATTAAACAACATACATGCCAGTAAATTATTCCTGGAAACTGACTCTAACAAGGTCTTTAAATTTTTATTAAAAAATAAAATAAAAGAACTTTGGGTCCCATTCTGTTGCTCATTTTCTGCATATTAAAACTCTCACTCATTATTAACAGTTCTTGAACAATAAGGCAGAAGCAATCACACAGGACTACATAAAATGTAATTTCAGTAGAGTTCAATAGAAGCATTTCTGAAAATTGTTTTAGGCATTTTCTTGAAGATTGCCAGTAACTGGAAATGCTTTTCAAATGCTAACAAACATTTTGCAAAACCTGAAAATTCGTATGATCTTATTGGGTAAAAAGGCCTCTAGTTTCTACCCCGTGAACAACAATAGTGAAATTTGCACTGTTTTAAAGGCCATTACTATAGGTTTGGTCTACCTTGTTTAAGGAAAAGTTTTCTGTAATTTTTCTTGAATAATGACATAAATCTAGTGCACTTCACCACCATCTCACCATCCTGCTCTTACCTCCTTCATATAACACTAGTGATTTGCCAGGGGTCAGGCACTATGTCTGGAACTAAGAATGCAGTGTGTATACAATGCAGTGTGCCCTCATGAACCTTAGAGCCTTGCTTATTTATGTCCATTAAGTCTGGAGCTGTTTCCTGGAGACCAGTGCTATCCTGAGCTATATACACGAGTTGGGGTGATTTGTGTGTTGTTTCTCAAAGGATTCCCAGAAACAGAAAGATAATGAAGAGGAAGAATTCTCTTTGGTGTTTGTTAGTCCTCTGCAAGTGCTTAGGGCCATGGTTAGTATGCCCACCTGGCAAGCCAAATTACCCTAATCAATTCTGATGATCAATGTGACTGTGCTTAGATTTCCCTTACAATTAAAGGAAAGAACAGGCCTAAGGAGATCATTAAGCAACTTGATCTACTCTTGCTTTCTTCTGGAACTAGTCTAGAGGGATCTTTCCTCACCTCTATCTCTAATTTACATAAATTTGGAGAATGTCCGATGTCTTCAGACTTCTTAGCCTCCCTGTAGGACATGAGGACCAGTTCTGGAATAAGCCTTAAGTCACATGGAGAGTATTAGAAGGAGACATTTCTTGTAGATCAACTTTATACATATATCCAACTCTTGGAGTGACTCCAAGGAATACAAAAGGAAGAGCATGGGCTTGGGAATCATATTTCCCTAAGGCTAATAACAGCTCTGACATTATAGGCTTTGCAGCTTAGTTCCTTAGTTCTCAAATTTCCTCTTCTGTAATATTAGAGAAAATAATTCATTGGAAGTTGGAGATTAAATGAAATAATTTCCCATCTGTCTCTTTTTCTTCCTGTTACTTTGACTACAGAGTTGGTTGGGTAGGAAATTCCTCTGAACTGTCATGTTGGATATTTATAAAACATATTAAGAAGCAAATTTCAATCACAGAAGAATGCAGTAAAGTATATGTAGAAATGTATGAAGAGTTAGCAGTTTTCAAAGGAAACCCATCATTTTAGGGATAATTCACAAGAGGCTATCTGATGTCAATCTACTCCAGAGTTCAGTGACCTGCAGCAGGTAAGCCAGACGGTGGTATGATGAGCCAAGGTGCTGGGCACGTTGCCATTCCCCAGGTGGAAGAAAGTCCAGTCTAACTGCCAGTCTAAGCCTGGCAGAACGAGTCATGAGGTTTTACTAACTGCTGCTGCTCCTTCCATTATACAACTGTCCTTATAGAGCAAGGGGAAACATTGCCAAGTAAAAGCTGGAACTTGTTTCCTAGGTCTGTGACTGAGGGCACAGTGTCCCTGCAATTTGTTTAACCACTTTTATTTATCCCTTCACATTCTTGGCACAGGATTCTGTGACATTCTTTGTGGTGCATGGCAAATATTCTGTCTGGCATATACCCCCTCTCTCCTTTTCCTAATAGGACCCTGATTTTGTTCAGGCATGGGCCCTGTGACAGGTAGCCCTTAGGGGGAGCTCCAGGGATGGGTCCTGATTAGTGCAAGTCTATCAAGGTAGATAATTATGAGAAGGTGGGCTCTTTCCTGATAAAAGTGAACAAGGACAAATTTAACTCCAATTGCTACTGGCAGCCTTCCCAAACTTATAAGGGAACCAGTTTCAGGATAACATCAGTGAAACAGAAATACAGGGCAGAGATAGAGACAGAAATTAAGTGGCATCACTGATGATATCATTGAGCCAATGGAGCAACTCATTCTGCCCCATGTTAGACATCCTAATATCTAAGCCAATGCATCTTCTTGCTATCCTATTATTTAAACCAGTTTGAGTTTCCTGCCATTTGAAGCCCCAAATTATCTCCAACGATTTGCCTGATATATTAGTTTCCAATTGCTGCTGTCACACATTGCTACAAATTCAGTAGCTTAAAAGACACAAATTTATTATCCTACAGTTCTGGAGATGTCTAAAGTGTATCAGTAGGGCTGTGTTCCATCTGGAAGTTTTAGAGAAGAATCCCTTTCTGTGCTTTTTCCAGCTCCTACAGGCAGCCTGCATTCCTTGGTTTACGGCCCTGTGTCACTCCTACCCCTGCTTCTGTCACCACATCTCCTTTCTCGGCTCTGATACTGTTGCCTCCCTCTTTCCAGGACATTTGTGATCATATTGGACCAACCTGGATAATCCACAGTAATCTTTCAAGAGTTATAATTTAATCCATCTGCAAACATCCCTCTCACCAGATAAAGTAACATATTCTCAAATTCTGGGGATTAAGATAGGGATATGTTTGAGGGGCCATTATTGTGCTTGCCACACCTGCTTAACATAGCTGTATGGCTACGTTCCTAAGAGAGATCTTTGTGGTCTGCTACCAATAAGCACTGCTAATATCAAGTATGGTTGACCCTTCAATACTCAGGGGTTAGGGGTGCTGACCCCATACAGTTGAAAATTCCACACTTAACTTTTGACTACCCCAGAACTTAACTACTAATAGCCTACTGTTGGTTGGAAGCGTTACCAATAACGTAAACAGTCGATTAGCACATATTTTGTATGTTATATGTCCTAAATACTGTAGTTGTACCATAAGCTAGAGAAAAGAAAATGTTATTAAGAAAATAATACGAAAGAGAAAATACCTTCACTGTACTGTACTGTATTTATCAATACCACAAATTCACATTGTCTGTGTACAAGATGAATCATCTGTCTGAAATGGCAGGCAACCACAGCTGCAGGCCTCCATCTATGGTACATATCAAGCAATTCAACTTTTTTCTCATAATGTTAAGACTTTTCTCTGCTTCCTGGGAGAACTTTTGGCATCACTAGTGGCACTTCGTATGGGTCCAACGGTGTTATTTAAGGTTTACGATATTGCAGAAAGCACAATGAAAAATACACTGGAACCGGGAGACATCACTTTTTATTGGGATCTGCAACTTACCGAAGAGATGAACTGCTCACGGGGAGATGGTTAGTGTCACATGGTGTTTTAAGTGGAAACTCACAACACTTGAGCTCACCACAATAGCAACAGGAAGTGGCTATGAAATTATTACAGTAGTACAGGGTGTTCTAGAGTTAACTTTAGGTAGTTATTATTTAAAACTGTATCTTTACATTTGTTTCCATTTCTCTCCATTGGGAATGGCACCATGTATGGTCTGTAAGTGCCTGCATGTGTATGTTTTGCTAAATTTTAAATTTTTATAATAAATTTGCATAAGTGCACCGAGGCAGTTCAAACCTGTGTTGTTCCAGGGTCAACTGATACTACATTGTGAAACTGTGTCATTCAGTCATGTGATTTACTCAACATTTACAGAACACTCATTGCTAGGCATTGTACTAAGCATCTCAGTTACAAAGATGAATGAAACCTTTTCCCTTTTCAAAAAGGTCAAACAGACAAGTCGTTGGGAGATCTTGTCAGAGAATGTTCAGTGCCATGTGAACACAGAGAAGAACCCTCACCCTAAATGCTTGGTTAGGCTGACTGTAATAAGCTCTTTTTAATCAGAGATATCAAAGATAATGTCAGTACAATACAAGATTATTATCAAGAAAATATAGTGTCAAACCAAACAATTTCCATTTTGGTCCTATTATTTTGAACTGTTTTTTTTTAGATTGCCATAGGTTTGGTTTCCTTAGGTCAAGCAGGCAGAGTTTGAAGAAATGCTTAAGGAATGTGAGAAATAGAAAACATGGTCTAAATGATTTTGCACAGTATATTTAAAAGTTAACTTACTTCATAATCCATTTATTTAACCAATGTTTACTAAGTTACTAAGTTGTTAGCAGACAAGGTGCTGTATCCCAGAGGCAATTCAAAGGTGATTTAGATTTCACAGTCTCTTGTATTCTAATTTGAGACGAGACAGGTATACTAATAAGTTAAATACATTTAATTCACCTTATAATATTTAATTCTGCCATGAATTGTTCCACTATCGGCTTCTATTTTGTTTCTCAACAATTTGTCACATATTTTCCTTTTATTATTTTTTATTCCTTCTTCTTTTTTATCTAAAAACTTTAAAAACACCTAAGATCATAAGAAAGCAAAAATCACCCATATGCTACTGCTTTAAAAACTGAGTATTTTGCAGAATCTGAAGCATATAGATCTTAAGATCACTGTTATTTTATGTGCCACCAAGAAAGAAAAAAAACCTTCCAATTAAACCAACACACTATCAATTGTAAAACAATTTCCAATTGTAGAAATGTTAACTTGTGAAATCAATACAAACATAGTGAAATCTTCCTTCTCCATTTCTCTCATTCCAGAGGTAACCACTGTGCTTAGTTCATTACCAACTGTAGATATGTTAAAAAAGAAAAAAACAAACACAAAAGCACAGTGGGTATGATGCCATATAGTTCCCAACTCTCCATGGCTAGAAATCTATATACCTCAAATCTATAGATACAGTGTTAGACAACAAAGCATACCTGGTTTACTCTTCCTTTTCTTCACTAAGTTACCACAACTTTACCATATACGTTCACATTTCAGGAACAGTATTGCTGCACAGCGATTTTTTCTTGTATGCAGTGTATAAGTAAGTTTGTGTGTGTGTATTTGTGTGTTGTAGGTGGGCATGGACAGGTGTCTAGCGTGCACTCTCATACTGGTTGAGAGACTATTCGCTGTAGGAGATGTCATGAAAAGCTATATACTAGTCTCAGATAATAAACTGAGAATTTGAAGGCCAAGGTAACGAAAAAATAGAAGAGAAAAATTTTTGCCCTACTTCGTAAACTGGTTATTGGCAACTGTAATAAGTTTCCAGAATACTACCATTGCCCATTTTAGAGACACTTCAACTTCCACATTTTCTAACAATTTCACATATTTTTCTTGGAAACCCAAGCACTTTTATTTACACTAGAAAACCATTTAAATTGAAGTTCTGTTTCAAAATTGGTTGAGGTCTGGAAAGGTCAGTTAGTGTGAGCTAAAGGAAGTGAGCTAAAGCTGCTGTCCTTCCCTAATCTTTAACACGTACCTGCCTGAAAATTAGTTCTGTGGCTGATTAAGGTGAGATACCCTGTTCTGACACATGTTCAAGACCCAAATTCAAACTTTTACTGACAAACAAATACCATGCTTATCTTAAGGGTATTTTAAATATCTGAAAGCACGGTGATCTTTCTACAAGATACTAAGGACTGAGATGAATAGTTGAGGATATTGAATCATGCAGACCACATCTCCATGTGCCAGAAACGTCAAGCACAAGAAATAAATAAAAGACACAGTGCCCTCTCCCAGGAAGGAGTGCTTATTAAAAACCATCTAATGAGCTAAATGATTTTGTGATGTTTTAGTTAATCGAATGAGGTATGCATCTACTTTGATGCAACTTTGTTGCAGAAATCTAATGTTCTATTTCATATAATGATTAGCTGAGTAAATTACTCTAGTGCAGCTCTGTTTGGGATCCCTGATTATTCAACACATTTGCTTTTGGGGCTGCAGGTGCAGGCTGCCTCTCCAGCATTTTGCATATTTTTGAGAAATTTAGAGTTGTTGCTGTTCTGCTTCACTCCGTTCTATTTGATAAAAGAGTTTATGATACCAAATATTTTAGAAAAACAAGTTTGTAAGGCAACAAGAGCTAGAGGTATCAGCTGGTAAAGGATGAATGTGAACAGGCATACTTTTTATTTTTCATGAAATATCGAGAGGTTCATGTTCATAAGCTGGTAACTCCTAAAATTCCCTGTCCTGTGCAGTGTATCATCAGATATATTTTATTGTAAGGATTAATTTTAACCTCTGGCAAATAGATTTTGGACAAATTTGCTTACTTGGGAATTTGATCTGAGGAAAATCATTCTGGATTTTTTTAGAGTCATTTCTAGATTCCCTTCCTGGTATATTGCTGCCAAGCAGATACTTTTGGAAGTTCATTTAACATAATTGGCATAAAGGCAGTGTTTACAAGTTGCCCATAACATAAAATCCAATCTCTTTATCCTATAACTCAAGGTAGGTTCTTTGCCAAGCTGGCCTCAACCTACCTTCTTAACCCCATTGCCAGCCACTGCTCCTCACTGACTTTCTACGTTCTGTTATAGCCTTAGATCCTACTATATTCTAATTTTTCTAGCTTTGGCTTTCATTAGACTGACAAGCTCAGGGATAAAAACCATGTCTGTGTTACTTGCCTCCATATCCCTGGAACATGGTTCAGTTTTGTGCACATAGTGTGCGCTCAAAGATTGTTGCTAAATGATCTTTAGTTGAAGGAATCATTCACATTCTTTCAAATATAACCATGATTTATGATACTGTTGCTATGAGAAAGTAAAATCTGAAAAATCTTCTGTTTCCATTCATCATTGGAAGCAGATAAAAAAAGGTATGCAGCAAAAGTAAATTGCTCACCTTCTCCACCTCTGCCTCTTTATTAAAGAAGGCCTCTCCTTCCCAGTTTGCACTCCCATCAGCAAAATCATCTCCCTCATTGAAAGAGCTTTTAAATTAGGAAGTAAGAGCCGTTGTTCTGATAGATTGGGGTCTTTGCTCTAAGATTTCTCTCTCTCTAGTTCTTTACATGGATAATTAATAAATTGAACATTCCCTGCCATGGACAGCCTATTTAACAATTTAATATATTTCTATTTCTCACGTTAATAAATAATTTATTACCTTTGATCCCACACACAAATACACTACCTTTGGTATTGTTCTGAGAGGATAATCTGCATTATAAGGTTTAACTATACAATGTGTGGCTCTTGTGATCAGTTTCATTGCCTTTTAGTTATGTCTCATGTAATCAGTAGCATCATGAAAGGAAAACTGTAATTCTATATTTTTGCTTTGCCATATAGCACTGCCCTATTATCTTTGTATCTGTTGGTTGTTAGAAAGTGACATTTTATTAAAGATATTATAAAATTGCCCAAACAAATTCCTCAGTATTATAGTTTATTCTGAAAGCAATTTTTTTCTGAAGCAATTATTTCCCTGTATTAAGAAAGTACCAGTCTGGAGGCATATTTAACCTCACCAGGATTTCATAAATATTAAAAACATACAATTTTACTACATTCTTTGGTATACTCTCTGATTTTCCCAGAGACTTGGAGCTACCTAAAATATTCATCATGGTTTTCCTTCCCTTGTGAATACTGCTTTGTCATTGCAGAGCATCAGGAAATGCAGGTAGCCCCATTTGCTGGTACATATATTTGAATAGCTCCATTTCAATACAAGTTTTATTTCTAATCTTAAAAACAGCAGCCTGGGTGACAGAATGTCATGGCATTTATTTGGGGTGGGGGGAAGTGAACAGTGATAGCAGAGGAAGAGTTGGGATTTTCTACTACATGTTGGCAAAATATATACATATATCCCATTTCCTTAATCCTTTTATCAAGAAGTCATGATATTATAAAACACTGTACATAGTCAAATGACATATTCTTTTGCCCTCAATTGTAAATTTCTTGGGACTAAGTCTCTGAAATCCATGTAATCCTCTCCAGGCATGCGGATAAATAGCACAGAGAAAGGCCTTATGTGCTGACCTTGACACCTACCTTTGTATTCTCAACAAAAAATTGGAGTCTTAAAATTTGGTTTAAAACAATTCCCAGAGATATATTTCAAATAATGTTAAACAGGAAGATTCCTTGTTTTATTCTGTTTTCCCTCAAGCTTTTGTTGTATCCTTGACTATATACAGTTTGATTTTTTTGTTTTAGGAAAGAAAGTCTGATCTTGTTTAAATTTGCAGCTTAAATGATAGAGACTTGTTTCTTACACTGGCATGATGCTTCAAGGAAAGTTGAAATCACTATTTGTCCCATTTGGCCATGGAAAGGAAATAGAACACACTGCAGGCTGTTTATACAATTTCTATAATAGAGACGAAACATAATACAGCATGAAATTTAGGTCCCTAATCACCTTTGTATATGATTCTTGAACATCAAATCTCCTGTGTAAAGAATCACTAATATCTGATTGCTGTATGAATCTGTTACCTGATATATCAATTTTATGCAAAAGAGGAGAGACCCAATAGGAGAGAACAATGAGACTGAAATATTCCCAAAGAGAAGACAGGAGAAGGTCTAGCAATGAACTACATATAAGATATATATAATTCATAATATATTACATATCGGCTGGGTGCAGTGGCTCATGCCTGTAATCCCAGCACTTTGAAAGGCTGAGGCAGGCAGATTGCTTGAGGCCAGGAGTTGGAGACCAGCCTGGCCAACATGGTGAAATCCCGTCTCTACTAAAAATATAAAAATTAGCCAGGTGTGGTGGCAGGTGCCTGTAATCCCAGCTACTTGGGAGGCTGAGGCAGGAGAATGGCTTGAACCCGGGAGGCGGAGGTTGCAGTGAGCCAAGATCACGCCATTGCACTCCAGCCTGGACGACTGAGTGAGACTCAGTCTCAAAAAAAAAAAAATTATTATCTATAACTATATATTTATAATTTTATAATCTATATTGTTTCATATCTTATGTGTTATAATTTATATTGTTGGCTTATATGAATTTATCTTCCTGAAACCAAGCAAATACTAATGAGCAACATATACTATTTTTTTTTTTTTTTTTTGAGAAGGATTTGTGCTCTTACGGCCCAGGCTGGAGTGCAATGGTGTAATCTTGGCTCACCTCAACCTCTGCCTCCCGGGTTCAAGTGATTCTCCTGCCTCAGACTCCCGAGTAGCTGGGATTACAGGCCTGCGCCACCATGCCCAGCTAATTTTGTATTTTTAGTAGAGATGGGATTTCTCCATGTTGGTCAGGCTGGTCTTGAACTCCGGACTTCATGTGATCTGCCCGCCTCGGCCTCCCAAAGTGCTGGGATTACAGGTGTGAACCACTGCGCCCGGCCAACATATGCTTCTTAAAACACTGAGTAGGCTGTCATTACACAGGGACAACACATTTTCCCTGTCGAGTATATATATTAGAGCAACCTCACTGAAGAATGTCCTCAACGTTAGTCTACATTCTGGAGACCTCCAATCAGATGTGATGCATTATCCCAGTAATAGCCCACCTTAATCTCTGAAACTGACAATGCCTCCATTAAAGTGAAAATCCCTCCAGGACTCTAATGCGATCTGGAGCAAGCACAGAGGATGGGGACTAAAAGCCTGGAAGTGGAACATTCAGCTACGAGTAGACCTGAAAGTATCAAGAAGTTTAGGGATAGTATAGAGACTTGGCCCAAGTATGACTTCATTTGCTCATCCCTTCAACAGAATTGTGTTATTATAGTTTGCTCTAACGTATGCCTATGAGAAATAAACACGTTAGATTTTTCAATAAAATGGCATCCATAAACAAAGAGAAATATGTCTTAAAATTGAAAGCTTGTACTCTTTGACAAACGTCTCTCCATTTCCTCCACCCCAGCCCCTGGTAGCTACCATTCTGCTCTCTGCTTCTATGAATGCAACTTTTTAACATTACATATATGTTAGATCATACTATAGTTAACAATACTGTATTGTATACTTGAAATTTGCCAAGAGAGTAGACCTTAAATGTTCTCACCACACACACTCTCTCTCACTCTCTTGGTGAGGTGTTAAATGTGTTAACTAATTTGATTGTGGTAATAACTTAACAATATGTATGTATATCAAGACATCACATTGTACACCATAAATTTATATAATTTCTCTATTATACCTCAATAAACATAGGAAAAAAGATCAATACATGTTATGGTGAGCACTGCTGTTTTAATACACAGCACAGCAATCAAAATGAGAGACATGGTAGAGACTGGATTAAGGACATGGATGGGAGTGGACACATAGCAATAACTTTAAAATTTTGTCATGACTTCTTTTTCTAAAAACAACTCTACTGAAAAAAATGGGTAGAATTCCATTTTATTTACATAATGTCAGTTTAATATGGAGAGATTTGTGGTGGAATTGCAGAAGAGGACCTGGTAAAGATGGATAAACAAGGTTACTCAGGAAACTATGGGGCAAATAAACCTGGAAGGGAAGCATTATAGACACCATGGGAAGATAGTTAAAAGAGAGGTTCTGGGCAATATTGTGGGAAACTGCAGAGATAAGAACCAAATGAAGGGTCAGCATTTGCCAATGACCAGATCATTTTTGACCTTTGAAAAAAGAGTTTTCAACATTCATTACTGAGGTGAGGGGTAGAAATGTATATTTTTATTTTTAATTCTTTTAAAGGATGAAGCAGATTAGTTGAGTGGGGACATGATCCAGAGGTGAGAGATTATTAATGCCAGAGAAGAAATCATTGATAGAATATCATCTTAGCAGAGGCAAAATATGATAAAATCAATATTAGTGATAGACAGTTTGACCTTGAAAAGAAGTTACTTCTTCCCCTGAGATAGCAGGGGAAAATATCTAAATAAGTGTGGAAAGAAAATTGAGGGAGTTCATAACCTCATGATTTAGAGTCTTTTAACTAGAAAAAGGAAAGAAAGAGGGCATGCCACATGTTGAGAATCAGGAACCAGGTGTGGGGGCATATGTCTAAAGAAAACATTGAAATAAATTATTGTAGAGAATGAGAAAAAGAGCCGAGGAAGAATATTGAGATACAGTTAAAATGTGAGTAGGTTACAGACCCTCTTTAAGTGGAGAAGGAGGTAGAAGCAAGGAGAATCATTATCAAGTGTCTGCCCTGAGCCAGGGTATTTATGTCATGTGGCTTTTATAACCTCCTATAATATGAAAAGAAAAGTTATCTTCATTTTACGGACAAGAAAACTGAAGCTCGCAGCATTACAAAACTAGTAGTGAGTTGCAGAAGAAGATTCTGGTCCATGTTAGACCAAACTTCTTCTTTTTCTTCATATACAGTCTTTAAGTTGAGACAGTACTTTGATACAAGGTGAGAGGTTGCCAAGAGGTGTGCCCATGATAAAGGAACACAGCATTTTCAATGCATAAATGATGTAATGCACAAATCTTAATTAGATACATATTCATTAAATTCTAAAATCTCCTGAGTTGTCCACTGGAATTCTCATTTATGGATTATAAATGGATATAATCTGTAAATGAGAATATATATATACAATAGGACTAAGGGGCCAGGCAACAGCACGTGAAATAATTAAAGTACGGGGTTCTGTTGTGGAAGGTGAGAAGCAAATCCAAAAGGGCGAAGTTGAACAACATAAGTATTGAGGAATTCTGGTGAAGATTTTTGATTAAGGGGATATGAAAGAGAGTAGAGGTGATAAAGAATTGTAAAATTAAGATATAGGCAGAAATGGGAATTTCAGAATTTAGATTCTTAGAGGTATAAGGGTTTCAGCTAATTACAAAGGTCCATGGTGTGATTATGTGAATTAGTTTCTAAACTGACTTGAATTTCTGTCATTGGAGTACGAGGAATCAAAGACTGAATTAGATTCTAATCAAAGTAGATGGACCATCTTTTACATTCGTTCAGGATAATAGTAATAGTGGAAAGAGGGTAACTATGGACTAGGTACTATTTTCCAAAAATAGGGAAGGATGGCCCAGAGGTTGTTGATTGAGGTGAGATTAAGTTGATATGGGTAGAAATTTTGCTTCAAAACAGGGTGAACTACTTTATGCTAACCTGAGATGAGTAGCATGAGGTAGGATGAAATAGAACAAAAATAAATTTCTCCTTATGCTGAGAAAAGAAAAATGAAGTCTCTACTTGTGAAAATGACCTATTGGGCCTTATTGTGAGAGAACACCAAGTATTAATGAAGCAAAGAGGTAGAGAGGTTTTTCTTGACCACAGACTAGGAAATCAGAGGAGATATTATAGTAGAAAAGTTTGATAAGAAAAGACAGGAAAAGATAGGGTTGGAAGCAGAATGAAATGTGGGTTGCAGGTGTGAGTAAAGAAGAACATGGGATATCTGAACAGATGTGACATTTTAGGAAAGAAACATATAACTAGTGCGATGATGAAAAAAGTGATTTCAAAAATATGCTAATGACAAGGGACTGATAGAGAGCATTTTAATGGTTTGCTTATGTAACTAAAGAGGAGGCTCCGTAGACTTCATAGAAAGTTCAAGCTGTGATAGGAAAAACTCAATATTGAGATCCTTGTCTTTAAAAGGAGAACATTTTTTTCTAACCACCATGTCTGCACAAAAGCTTTCAAAGCTTTTTATCATGTGTTTATATTATTCTAACCTTCAAGATATAGGTCAGAGAATTGGGGGAAAAATGTTCATATATTGTGAGAATGATGTTTATTGTGGGAAGAGATAGAAATTGATAGAATTAAAACATTTAGAATGACAATCCAGCAACAGAATTTTCTTCAAGGAAAAAAAGTGGAGCTGGGTGATACAGCATGATTATAATCAGAAGACAATGTGTCACACTGGACAAGTGGTAGGGAAAAAGGGCATGAGAGAGTTGGGAGTATATTTATATGAAACAGCAAAATCATTTTGTCTACAGAATTTTTAAAAAGTATGTTGGGAGTAAAGGCATTATTTTATGTAGTCTATCTATGTTTCCTGAAGAATCTTCTTTGAGTTCAGAGAGTTTTCATCTTTTCCCTGTAGAACTGCTACTTCCAATCACACATCATAGAAGCCTTTTCCGCTTTTAGGTGTTTACTATAAATCATAAGTACTAAAATGTCATTAATCCATTAGGCTAATTAGGGTCAGTTAAGTTTGATGTAGAGTTTCTTTAATGTTATGAAACTCTTCCTCCCTCTCATACCAGAATAGGTGGTTTCAAACATGCATGAAAGATAATGAAAGTATGCTTTACAGGAAATCAGTCAGTACAAGTGCAGCTAACTATGAATCGTTTGCCTTGTTATAATAGATGTGAAGTTTATTGATCACATGAATTGTTATAGTAGGTTCCAAACTTTCCACTCTTGAGAGTCTAGCCGTTTGGTTTTTAAAAATTTGTTTTAAATATTTTTTTCATCACTCTTAACCTTTTCTGTATGAAAGCATTAAGATATTACAAATTCAATTCCTTGATATGGCATTTTAAAGCAACAAGAATTTTGTCTCTGCCAACTTTCCAATCCTGTCCCCCACTAATTCCCCACAGGAACCCTCCTCCCTAGGGTGACCAAAGAGGTGCAGTTGGAGAGAGGCCAAGAGCAATAGTAGATATAGCTCTCTCCTTCCTTACCACCTCTGTGTAATTGGGCTTCAGAGTTTAAGGCTTCGATCTGAAAAGAGTATAACAGATTTTGGGATGTAACAGGCTAGGAAAGTTTACTTGGGGGCAGCATTCATGCTAACAAATGTGTTTTTTTTTCAACTATATCAAGCTGTTTAGGTACTACATGTAGTCTAAGTTAAAGCAGATGGCAGGAGCTGAAGCACTGGGCATTTAATTCCATTACTTTCTCTTTGTGTATTTACCTTTCCCTGCTGTGTTCCAATTGTTTTCCAATGATTAGAAGCTCATTCAGGCAGCAATCAAACCATGTTTGGTTGATTTTATGGTAACTCAAACATATTCAATGCATAAATGATATAATGCACAGATCTTAATTTGATACACATTCATTAAATTCCAAAATCCCCAGAGTTATCTACTGGAATTCTCGTTTATGGATTATAAATGGATATAATCCATAAATGATAATATATAGAAACATATATGTTTTTAAACCATCACTTTACACTGCGTTGAGTAATCGTTCTCTAAGAAAATTTAAAAATATTTCTAGTCTGAGTAATGCTTTACAAAAGTAGGTCGTACCAAAACTCTCCTCCATAGTGGAAAAGTCTACTGGTAGAAGCTCTATACCTGCTACGACCATAGTCACAGTATCAGTCATGCACAGGAATCACAGTGTAAGAGTCCTTTAAAAATACCTGGCAAGGCCAGACGCAGTGGCTCACACCTGCAATCTCAGCACTTTGGGAAGCTGAGGCAGGAGGATCACAAAGTCAGAGTTTGAGACCAGCCTGGCTAATGTGGTGAAACTCCATCTCTCCTAAAAATACAAAAATTAGTTAGGAGTGGTGATGCATACCTGTAGTCCCAGCTACTTGGGAAGCTGAGGCAGAAGAATCACTTGAATTTGGGAGGCAGAGGTTGCAGTGAGCCGAGATCATACCACTGCACTCTGGCCTGGGCTACAGAGCGAGACTCCTGTCTCAAAAAAAAAAAAAAAACCTGGCAAATAGAATCGTTCTGATGACCAGCCTCTTAACATTTTTTTCCTAGGTATGCATTTATAGAATTCCTTTTTATTTTTAGTTGTAAGGATAAATTTATTGGTGCTTTATCAAGGCTACTTAGAATTTGATAATAGAATATGTCAGACTGTCACTTGTAGAAAGAAACAGATCTTGAAGAGAGTGAAGAACTTGTTTTATACGACAGACTAATAAAGTTGTCATCTCTCCCTACAACCCTGTTTTTGAATGTCATTTTTCACAGCAGGGAAAATTAATGTATTTCAAAAGATCTAAAGTATAGGAAATGAGCATCAGTCACCTTTATATCATAATGGAAATACTGTGAAAAATCAAAATTTTAATCAATTTGGGGAAACAAGGATTTTTTTTCCATTTGGTTCTTAACACTACCCTCATATTATATAAAAATAATCCTGAAGCATGCATTCTCTTCTATTTAAAATTCATAGGGTTACATTTCTGATGTCTTGTAATTTTGTTATTCACTTCACTGGTAGTGGTACTTTATGCTTCAACTGTTAGATCACATTAGGATAGCATCTTCCAATCAGTCAAAATGGCAGTCATTATTAAAGGCTGCTGTTAGCAGAAAGAATTTGGTCTTGAATATCTGACCAACTGACAGTTCTTCAAGTCACTTAATAGGGAAAGGAAAGCAATCCTGATATGAAGAGTTTAAGTAGGTGCTGATATTCACGTTCAGATTCATATTTGCTCTTCAAACTCACTATATCCAAAATTGAACTCATAATCTTCTCCCACAAACTCATGCTTCCTCTTGTATTTCCTATCTCTTGTTAAAAGCAGGAGCGCGCCTTCTGTCACTCAGGCTTGAAATCTCAGTTATCGTCTCTCTTCCTTATCCTCTAGCAGCCACATTCCTTGGTCCTTTGGAAGGTACCTTTACAATGTGTCTCCTTACCATTCTCTTTTTTTACTTCTCATTTACACATTTCTTCCCTTCTGGATTGTCACAATATTTTTCCAATAGCCTTTGCAGGCTTTGTACCATTTCACATGACATACTGACATCTGAATAACTTCCTAAAGCTATAAATTTGAGAAAGGTACACCTCTCTGCTCACAAACCATATATAGTTCACCTCTGCCCAAAGGAAAAAAAAGGAATGCATTTATCTGTCATTCAGGAGACCCCACAATCATCTCTGATCTACCACCCCACCCTTATTTGCCATGAATTCTTCCTCCAAAGTGTCCCTGTATTTCAGCTAAGGTAGCCTTCTGGGCACTCTTAGAAAATGCTGTTTACTTTCAGTTTAATCAGAAACCACTTTGAAAACAGCACTGTTTAAATGCTGTCTCTTCGGTGAAGCTTTTAGTAACTTCACATCCATCCCAATATCCAACCCTGTGCTGATTCACCTAAACATTGCAAAGACGGTGAGGATACCAAAAATAAATAGCACTCTGATGACTGTCCTTAAGAATGTCAATGTCTAATGGGAAAAATAAGGCAAACAGTAGCATAAATATAACATAAAAGGTAAATAACTTTCACCTATAATAGACTTATTAACAAAGTACTATGGGAACACAGAGGAGTAAGTACCTCTTTTTGGAGTCAGGGAACATTTTAAGGAGAAAGCGTGACTTGAGCTATTTGTACAAGTACAACAAATGAAGGACATTTTACATGGAAGAAACATCAAAAGGTGGTAATGAGTTAATTAATTCAACAAATATTTATTGAGAATCTGGTATATGTCCGACATTACTAGTCACTGGGGATACTATAGTAGAGTAGAGGAAAGGAGCAGGAAGAATTACAAGTCATGTTGTAATAGAATGAAAAGATAGTGGTGACTCTTTAGAAATGAGAAGGTGTGAAGGTGGTAAAAAGTCCACTAAATCTTTTGGGTTTCTTGATTAGAAGGGATGGTGAACCCATTAGTCAAATTAGAGAATACTAAAGAAAGAATACGTCTGGGTTGTAAAACGGAGCCACTTGTGTCAAATTCTAACAAAATAGAGTTGAGAGAGGCCATGAGAAAGAAGCTCCCATGCTTGAATGTTTGTAACAGGACTTCTCAAAAGACATTCCTCCACATAAACTGTGAACAAAACTTATAGCAAGAACTTTTTCAAGATTGTAGCATTCCAGGTAAGTTGCTTGCCCAAGGATACTCACCTAGAAATTAGCTAACACCAACTTCTGTAACCCCTATTACCTTCGGTCTTTGTAACCTTTGGTTTCAAAATAGCTTACATGAACTTCTTTTCTTTGTCTTTAAAAGATGCCCTCTTTCCTCAGCCCCCCTGCATATGCCCATGACCTGCCATTGCTTGTGTACTCTGAATTGAAATTCTCTGCTATTCCAAAATAAATTCATTTATTCTGGAGAGCTTGTCTCTCTGAGTGAGTTTCTTTTTAGGTTGACAGGGTCAGTTTTTAACCTATTGCATTTTAATTGCATGTAAGATATCCATGTGGTAAACGGAAATGTGGGTCCACAGGACACATCAACATTAAAATAATATTTAAAAGTATGGAAATTGATTTAAAAATATGTACTTTGAGACTAGAGATGTCTCAGAAACTAAGAGAAAATATTGCTTAAAGAAATAAGGAGCGGTCAACAGGTTTCAATAGTGAAGGGCAGAAATGTAAATTTTTGGATTTAGCCATCGAGAAGCCCTTTTATTTTTGAGGATGATAGCAGGGGCAGATTACAGTGGTTGGAGTCATGAATGAGAATTGCAGAAGTACAGGTAGTACATCGAGACTTCTAGCTCAAGAAGCTTTAGAACTATAAGGAAAGTGAAATATATGTTCAGAAGAATTATTGATGGGGAAGAAAACTTGGGAAAAGTGGTAAGTTGGAGAAAACATAATAACAAAAAGGTAGAGATTAAAGTAATAGGAGAGAGGGAAGAAATGATGAACCTGACCCTGCAGTGCAAAAGAAGAAAATGGTATTAAGAGTCCTGGTATTAAAGAATAGTTCAAGAACATTGAAGGAAGACAAATATGAATCAATGGAACTTTAGAGATGGAAATGACAAAAATTGGGGCAGTTAAGTGGCTCCAAATTTGTGAGTGAATGGTTCCTATCTTGTGTTATTATGGCATTTTTTTATTTCTTGTTAAGCATTCATCACATTCCACCCTGAATTACAGCTATTTGTACTTTAACTTTCCTATAAAATTATAAGATGCTTAATATCAAGTACCATGTTGAGTTTTCTTGTGTTTCCTTAATGAACTTGGAACTATGCTTGGTGAATTGCAATTTCAAGAGGAACTGATATAAGGTATTTTTGCAGCTGTCTCATTAAATAGTAATTGTTAAACATATATTTGTTATGTAATGCTTTATCAACTAGCCACAGTGAGGAGGAAACAATTGGCAAGATATTAGGCTATGAGGCTGGAGAGGATGCGAGATTGTCAGGATTCCCCGCATTAAGAAAAAAAGAATTGTGAAAAATGAAATATCAAGTTAATTCACCCATTTAGAACAAATAGCTAGATAAAGTTATACTGATATACGTTCATTATCTTTCTATATTTTCCCTCTGTGGTAGAAAGCATTATTGTTTTAAATTCAAAGTATCATGTATGACCTCTTCCTTAAACATGGAATTCAGGCTTGGCCATAAGATTGCTTCAGCTCCTCAATGTGGAAGAAGTGTACAGCCACATTCTGATGTACTTAGGAATGACTCTGTGACTTACTTTGACCAAATAAGTGTGGAAGTGACATGTTTTATCAGTTTCCTCCTTCTCCTTATAATGAAATGAACAGTATACCAGAATAGTAGCTACTTCCTCAACCTGTATCCAGTGCTGAAGATGACATGAACCAGAATCTAAGTCCCTGCAATGAACATTTATGTGATTGAGAAATAAAACTTTGCTCCTGTAGGTTACTGAAATTTGGGGATTGTTTGTTACCACAGTAAACAATCCTGACTGATAATCCTTCTCTCCAGAAGAGAAGTAGTTATCAGAGATATCTTCAGTTCTAAAGATGAAAGGCCTATTGCCTGATAAACATTCACCCTAGCTGCAGATAAGATATCAACAATAAAACAATTTAAGAATAACATAACGCAATTATCTCTTTGTGAAATATAATTTGAGGTGAATTTTTGAATGCTGTGCAAAATGATTGGAAACAGGTGAAGTAAATAATTAAAAGGCTTCACAGAAGAAAGGGTCTACTTGGAGTTGGGTTTTAAAAAGACATAAAAGGACAGGAGCTAAAAAGAAAAGTGGGGATGTTGTCTCTGATAAGTAGAATTTTATTTCCAGAATCTTCAGAGCCTTCTAAATTTACAAGTTAAAAAGCAACACAAAAGTTGTAAGTCCAACCATCTCTACTAAAATAAACTTTAAAATTGGTTATATGCTTAAACAAAACAACCTGGATGAAGTGTTTGAGTTTCTCTTCCTAAAGATAGCTGCAGGGAGAACTAAGGTTAGGTTAAGGAGTGATCTCACGGTTAGACTAACCATTCACATTTAATGTGACTCTATAATAATAGATAAGCTTAGAAACAAAGGCCAAAACATAAATGAGTGTGTTTATGTGTAGAATGTAGCCTAAGAATTTTCATTTACTTGATAACTAGATTTCTAAATAATGGTTAGTGTCCCAACCACTTGCGCAATAAGAAGATTGAAGCAAATCAAGAAAGCACACATCAGTGCTTTTACTGATCAATATTACCGATTAATATTAAATTATTGGCCATTTCTAACTAGCACTGGGGGTCATAAAATGATACCCCAATATATGCCATTTTGGACTTCAAGCTGAGAGAACATCGTGAATAGCAAATGCAGTGAAAAGGCTTTCTCTGAAGTTTCCCTATCTACCTAAAAGCTGGATCCTCCAGAATATATTCAGTTGTGAATCCCTTCTCCACATATCTTGTTAACTGAAAGAAATTCATGAATGTCGTGCAAGAAGGAAGACTAGAGTTGACACTACACTCAGAGTCCAGATGAACCTTGTCCCAGGCTGTGGTAGATTTTTGGGGGCCCATTCATTTCCCCTAAAAATCATTTTCTCTTCCTCTAAAATTGACTACATTCCTCGCTTTTTTCTTCCCCAGAAAGAGGGTATTTAAGCTTCAACCATTGACGCTTATTTGAGTCTCATATATTTTGGGACTCCCCTGTGCTTGCACATAATAAATTTGTAAGCCTTGCCTCCAGCTAATTTGTCTATTGTCAGTTTATTTCAGCAGATTCAATTATAGAACCTTCAGAGGGAAAGTTTAAACTTCCCTGCACTAGTACAGAGCAAAGGATAATTTTAAATTGTAGCAACACTATTATACTAAAGTGATTTCATCTATTTTGAAAAGTTTTGGCCCTAGTGGACTAATTAAGTATATAACTGCATAGTGATAAACTTTTAGGATAAATGGATTTGCATCTATCTCAGAAAAAATGACAATCACAATCTTGCTTAACAATATGGTAAACTATAGAATTTTGTTTCTGTGAAAATTTTAGAGCTTTCAAAATTTATTTCAAATTATCTTAGAACTTGTTTATAAAAGTGAAGTTGGTGGAAAGTTAAGCTTTTCAATTTGTTCTCTTTGGTTAAAATGACATGTCAACACCCAGACTGAGTATAGCTATTTAAGAGTTAAAGAGACTTGCTTAAATATAGAAAATATTTGTTTTTCTTGCTCAAATAATATTCCAATATATGTTAAATCTAGGAAATATCTAATAATGTTGATCTTTAAAATTCATAATCCATCAGTTATTTGGCTGGGAGAGCTATTAAAGGGAAACTCCTGATGCTTCAAAAATTATAATTCATCTCATATTACAATAATTATTCGTTATATCCTGTCCAGAATATTACACAATTGTGGTGATTTGTAGCTGACTGAAGGTGGTAGGGAAAATTGCTGACCAAGTTCTGTTCAACAAGTTTAGTTGAGAGGATAACTTCCACCTTGTTTTAGAGTAGAGCATCTGAGACCAATCCACATGTTGACAGTGCTCATTAGTAAGCCAATTGTAGACTAAATCTTCTCTCTCAGAGGGACTGTAACCAAGTCAAAGCTCATTAGCAAAAAAGTCCTTGGTGGCCAGACAAGTTTCCTGCAGATTATGCAGACCAAACCTTCTTCATTTAAATGTTTTTTTAATAATTTATCTCAAAAATTTTCTCAATTAGAGCAAATTGACACTACATTTTCCTTAATACATTTAATTAATTCTTTACTGATATATAGGGCATTGAGATACATTCTGTTGCTCTCATCACTTATTTCTCTTGAAAATCCTCTTAGATTTAACCTACACTTTATGTTCCTTTGATATTTACTCTATTAAAGATGTAAATAGAACCCTGCAGTGACCAATTTGAAAGTTAATAGTTCATCTGCAATTGATGAAGAAATACAGGATAGGCATGCCTATGAGAATTAAATGCTCTTTGAAAAGCCAAAGCATTAAACTTTTTTCAGTTTGATAAAATATTCTCTCTCGTGCTCTAAAGTTGTATTAACTCTTTAGCAACACCAAAAATGCTGTTTTGTTGTTGTTTTGTCAAGTAAAAATACTGCCTTCCCAAATGCCCAATATGATTTTAGGAGAGTAGCCTATTTTGTATATAGTAAGGGTATAGGATCTGCAGTCAGGCAGACCTGAGTTTAAACCCCCCCAATTTATCATCATTACCTATACAAACTTGAAAAATTAACTTCTCTAAGATTATTTTCTCATCTATATAATGGGAATAGAAATAGCACTTAACCCACAGGTTGTTGTGAAGATTATATTTGATACACGTCAAATACTTAGAGCAGTGCCTGACAATAGATATTAGCTCTTATTACTATTACTATTGTTGCTGTTATTATTCTCTATAAAATAGGAATAATAAAAATAACTCATACATAGTACACAGCAGAGTCTTATATTATGCCTTCAATAACTGATCCTTTCTTTCCTCTTATAACTCTGTGAAACTGTAAGAAAGTCAGTAATTTTTTAGAAGGAAAAAAAGGTAGCAAATTAATATCAATGAATTCCTTATTAGGAAGTCATAGGTTCTAAATGCAGTAGGCAAAATTATTTTATAATATGAAATAACAATGTATATGACAAGGGGAAGCCAAGAATACCAAACATAGGAACAAATGATCAACCTGACAAGTTAGAAGTACAAGTTTCCTCCTGTTCTCCCTTTCTAACTGTGTGCCCCTCAACCCCCAACTCCCATTATTATTCGAGTCCTTGGAGGCTCTCCATGATCAAAGAAAGCCACTAGAGTACAGAAGACTGCAACAAGCAGAGCTCCTATTATCTGAAACCATGGCTAATGACTCTTCTGCCTACAGGGGTGGTATGAGAAGCAGAAAGAAGAGTGATTAGGTCTCTGTTTTCAGTGGTAGATTCCATAGGTTCTGCTTTTGATAATATGATAAACCAAATGTCCAGAGAACCCCTTCCAGTAAAAAACATATAACAATAATGTACAGATTATGTGAGAAATCTTTTAAAATTCATTAATTGGCATGCATGGGAGAGTGGGCTATAGTTTGGCATGAGGGAAAACTAATAAGCAAAATTTCTAAAGATAAGGTATCACTAAAGGTGGCGTTTGCCCAAAGGATCTATCTGCTCATTTCTGGTGACCTAGAAAACCGTGTACTTTAATGGATCAAGTGATCTGGGGAAAGAAAACCAAGCTTGGGTAGATGCAAGGGTCGGATCAGAGATGCTCATTTAAAACTGGGATGTCCAAATGGTGACACCAAGAGCATCGCATAAGACACTACACACCTCCAGGGAATGCTTTTTACATGGACCACAATGTGAATAGTACCCACTGAAGTTGAATATTGCAGCTCTGGGAGACGCCAACATTGAGTAAATTGGAGAAAAACTTGCACTTCAGAAAGATACATCAAGAATATGTGCAGGTTCCAGCATGGTTCTGGGTAGACAAGAAACAGGATTTTGTTTTTTAAAATCCAGGAAAATTGTTAATCATAAACTCACGTTCCTAAGAGTTTGGACCCAGGATTCACATGAATTATGTGACCTGAAAAGCCCTGACTCTAATAGTTTGACATTTTACTTGAATCCAAACATCCCTAGATACCTGCAGAAGCATGAATAAGCCTTCCCTAGAGGAATCTCTTTAAATCCAGTTCTCAAAGAATTATTATGAAACAGAGGTCACAATAAATACAATTACAAAATAAATAAGGTAACAAGCCACATGAAGGAGAGTTATAAAAAATAATGGACTGCAAGTCAGACCCACAAAGATTGTAGATAATAGTATTATCAATACTAAAATAAGCACATTGAATATATTAAAAAATAAAGGACAATATCAGAAAATGATGAAGGAACAAGAGACTATACAAATGTCTAGTCACATTTTAGAGAGAACAAAATAGCATTTCCACAAAGGAGAAAGAGAAGAATTGAAATGAGAAACTCAGAAGACTGGGGGAGGGGGTAGAGCAGATTAGACATAGCTAAAGGGAGACTTAATACACTAGAAGATACATGAAAAGAAATTGAACAGGATGTAGCCCAGAGAGACAAAGAGATGGGAATATTAAAGTTGACAAAAAGGAGAATAGTGTGAAGTGGTATAAGATATTTCTCATTGGCATTTCAGTAGGAGATCATAGGATATGGAGAGAAATTATTCCAAAAGAAAATGACATAATAATCCATTGGTGCTTTTGATAAAAAGCACCAATCTTAATAATAAATGTAAAGAAATTCATATTGGGCACATCATAGTGAAACTGCAGAGAACCAAAGATACAAAGGAGATCATAAAGTAGCCAAAGAAATGACAGGGACCATTCAAGGGGTGACTATTAGATTAAAAGTGATATCTCCATAATAAGAGTGGGAGCCAGAAGACAGAAGGAGACAGAAGGATGTCTTCAAACTGCTGAAAGAAAATGGTTCCCTACAAATCCATATTAATAAGACTTTGAAGACAATAGGCAAAATGAGGGTATTAGAGACAAACACTGAGATTACTTGGGATGAATGGACTGCCAGTAACATTTTCCAGAATACAAATGACCACAAAAGAAAGGTATGAGATAGAAGAAGAAAACTTGAGACAACCACATAGTAATCATGTAGGTAATACAAAATCATTATTAAAATTTTAACATAATTTTTAGTGTTAAAAAATAAGATAGAACTAAAATATCACCTTATAAAAGTTTAGCCAAGAGAGAAAACTGTGGCGTGAGATAAATTGCTTATAGGTTCTTGCATGGTTCTGAAGAGTTAACATGGATTATCTTTACGGTAAATGTTTATGTTGAAATTTCTAGAGTAACTGCTAGAAGAAGCAAAATAGAGTATATAACTATGAATTAAGAGAGAAATATGGTTGGGGTGGGGCTTTCAGTACATCCAAAATAAGAAAAGAAAAACTTAAAATGCTTTAGAAAACATTAATTTTTTGCAAGTACTGTATACATAGTTGTTTTGTTCTTTGACAGACACCAAATGTCCACTACAGAGAAGAGGGCAGAGAGAAGATTGATAAATTATGGGCAGCCTAGATATTTCTCCACTGTCTTCCATATTGTGTCAATTGGGATCACTTGCATGCAATCCTATGTAGGAAAATGTTTTTCTCATTTTTTCCCCACAATTTCTGACATTGATCAAAAGGACAAGCAATGTGTTTATTTAACATGTTTACTTCAGGAGTAAAATGTATATCATTTTCTTTTTTTCTTTTTATTTTTTTCTCATTTTTTAAATTTTATTATTATTATACTTAAAGTTTTAGGTTACATGTGCACAATGTGCAGGTTAGTTACATATGTATACATGTGCCATGCTGGTGTGCTGCACTCATTAACTCGTCATTTCCATTAACTTGTCATTTAGCATTAGGTATATCTCCTAATGCTATCCCTCCCCCCTCCCCCCACCCCACAACAGTCCCCAGAGTGTAATGTTCCCCTTCCTGTGTCCATGTGTTCTCATTGTTAATTCCCACCTATGAGTGAGAACATGCGGTGTTTGGTTTTTTGTCCTTGCGATAGTTTACTGAGAATGATGATTTCCAATTTCATCCATGTCCCTACAAAGGACATGAACTCATCATTTTTTATGGCTGCATAGTATTCCATGGTGTATATGTGCCACATTTTCTTAATCCAGTCTATTGTTGTTGGACATTTGGGTTAGTTCCAAGTCTTTGCTATTGTGAATAGTGCCGCAATAAACATACGTGTGCATGTGCCTTTATAGCAGCATGATTTATAGTCTTTTGGGTATATACCCAGTAATGGGATGGCTGGGTCAAATGGTATTTCTAGTTCTAGATCCCTGAGGAATCGCCACACTGACTTCCACAATGGTTGAACTAGTTTACAGTCCCACCAACAGTATACAAGTGTTCCTATTTCTCCACATCCTCTCCAGCACTTGTTGTTTCCTGACTTTTTAATGATCGCCATTCTAACTGGTGTGAGATGGTATCTCATTGTGGTTTTGATTTGCATTTCTCTGATGGCCAGTGATGGTGAACATTTTTTCATGTGTTTTTTGGCTGCATAAATGTCTTCTTTTGAGAAGTGTCTGTTCATGTCCTTCGCCCACTTTTTGATGGGGTTGTTTTTTTTTTTTCTTGTAAATTTGTTTGAGTTCATCGTAGATTCTTGATATTAGCCCTTTGTCAGATGAGTAGGTTGCGAAAATTTTCTCCCATTTTGTAGGTTGCCTGTTCACTCTGATGGTAGTTTCTTTTGCTGTGCAGAAGCTCTTTAGTTTAATGAGATCCCATTTGTCAATTTTGGCTTTTGTTGCCATTGCTTTTGGTGTTTTAGACATGAAGTCCTTGCCCATGCCTATGTCCTGAATGGTAATGCGTAGGTTTTCTTCTAGGGTTTTTATGGTTTTAGGTCTAACATTTAAGTCTTTAATCTGAAGTTCTGGCCAGGGCAATTAGGCAGGAGAAGGAAATAAAGGGTATTCAATTAGGAAAAGAGGAAGTCAAATTGTCCCTGTTTGCAGATGACATGATTGTATATCTAGAAAACCCCACTGTCTCAGCCCAAAATCTCCTTAAGCTGAGAAGCAACTTCAGCAAAGTCTCAGGATACAAAATCAATGTACAAAAATCACAAGCATTCTTATACACCAATAACAGACAAACAGAGAGCCAGATCATGAGTGAACTCCCATTCACAATTGCTTCAAAGAGAATAAAATACCTAGGAATCCAACTTACAAGGGATGTGAAGGACCTCTTCAAGGAGAACTACAAACCACTGCTCAATGAAATAAAAGAGGATACAAACAAATGGAAGAACATTCCATGCTCATGGGTAGGAAGAATCAATATCGTGAAAATGGCCATACTGCTCAAGGTAATTTATAGATTCAATGCCATCCCCATCAAGCTACCAATGACTTTCTTCACAAAATTGGAAAAAACTACTTTAAAGTTCATATGGAACCAAAAAAGAGCCTGCATTGCCAAGTCAATTCTAAGCCAAAAGAACAAAGCTGGAGGCATCATGCTACCTGACTTCAAACTATACTACAACTCTACAGTAACCAAAACAGCATGGTACTGGTACCAAAACAGAGATATAGATCAATGGAACAGAACAGAGCCCTCAGAAATAATGCTGCATACCTACAACTATCTGATCTTTGACAAACCTGAGAAAAACAAGCAATGGGGAAAGGATTCCCTATTTAATAAATGGTGCTGGGAAAACTGGCTAGCCATATGTAGAAAGCTGAAACTGGATCCCTTCCTTACACCTTATACAAAAATGTATATCATTTTTTTGATTTTTTTATTTTAATTTTTTGGGGTACATAGTAGGTATATATATTTATGGGGTACATATATATATTTATGGGGTACATGTTTTGATACAGGCATGCAATGTGTAATATAATCACATCACTTAAAATGGGATATCTATCCCCTCAAGTATTTATCCTTTGTGTATATCTTTATTGAGGAGCATGAATGGGAAGAGACTGACATCAGTGAAGACAATTGGTTTCTACAGCCTATATTTTCAGATGTATATTTCTCATTAATACAATTCAGTCACTGCAAAACACATGCTACCATACTTGAACCACAAGTGTGATAGAAGCAGGTTGGAAATTAGTGGCTTTGATATATTTCATGTGATAATAATTGCAATTACGGGTTACACTGACCGTATAAATAACATGGTGATTTTCTTGTGATTAAAGGAGAATTGAGATGCAGGAGAAGTTTAAATATCTTTGAAATCTAGGGGAGGAATCATATCTTTATGCAATGGCATCTTTCACTCCTGGGTGATTAAACACCACATATTAGCATTTGATCCTTGACTGACTGGGTATTTTGTTACCTATGAAATACAGGACTTTGTAAAGGCAGTATGTGATCTGTTAAACTCCCTCTAGAAGTAAAGAAAGAATTTACTGAGACCTTCATCAAGATTGCTACATCTCTTGCAGATTGATTCTGGGTACCAGAACATTCTATAATTTAAACCAATCTAAACTAAATTGTAGGTTTGAAAATATGACTTCTTTTTTTAGCCTTGATTATCTTTTGAGCTTAAGAAATTTATTACACTGATCTCTCTATGCATAGTATTATCACAGAATTTAGAAAAGGAAATCACTGTCGATTTTTTTTCCTCAGTAATTTTATATATATTTAGTAGTAAACTTAAGAAATGTTGAATTAATCAGCTTGATTTTTAGCCTTTTGGTAAAGTTACCTCCCTCTTTCTTGACTGCATTTTTTCCACAGATTTTTGTGAATTTTATTCAATAAAGAAACATTTGATAGTTAGACCAAATAAATATTTAGATTATGACCCATTTGTAACAGGGTGATATAAAATAATTAAAAGAACCAGAGAAGATGCAAGTAGAAAGGGCAGCAAGTTACACATTCAATGTATTAAAGCATTTATTTGTAAGGGGGAAAAATAGAAATGGAGGACCCTGACACACCCATTTATGTCTAGAACCCACAGCAGAGAGCTATTAACATGGGGTGACAGTATAGTAACTATGTGTAAGGTCTCTCTGTAAATGTTAGGAGAAAATAATTGAAAGCAAGTTCAATGACAAAATAAAATGTATGTTAAAGTTAAATGATTAGCTCACAGGCAGCATAAAAACTGAGGGAGTGTAAATAGTTTAGTTTATGTAGCCAGCAGTAAAAGAGCAAAAATATAAATAAAAAAAGAATGACCAAAGCACATAGATTTACCAGAATTTTTTATGTATACTTTAAATGTCAAACAGCCTCAAAAAGTAAAAACTTAGGCAGATGCTTCAATGCTGTAATCAATATCCAGGGAAGAGAAGAGATGAAAAAAAAATGTTAGGAGATAGTCACACATACACACACACACACACAGAGAAAAAAAGTCAAGGACAAAAAGCATTATCTGTGTGACAAATGTTACAGCTCTGAGGCTGAGTATCACAATGGAATTTCAAGACTGAAGAAAGTCTAAATAAAGGCAGTTCCTTAAGGAGAATGTTACAATAGTATTTGGGAATTTTCAAGTGTATCACTTAATAAAGGGAATTAAATGTGATTTATCCTTCAAATATACTGAAATACTTGCTCTCTAATGTGTCAAACCATTAAAATCAAAACTTTGAAAATGATGATAACTGTGAGGACATGATTAGAATATCTGAGATACTTGTTTGTTAACTGAAAAGTACTAACTCATTGCTATACTCTGTTTGGTGTCTCTCCTGATTCATATGTTGAAATTATAATGCCCAATGTGATGGTATTAAGAGGTGGGACCTTTGGGAGGTGATAGGATCATGAGGGCAAAGTCTTCACGAATGGCAATAGGAACCTTAGAACACAGGTGCAAGGCAGCTTGTTTGCCCCTTCTGCCATGGGAGGACACAGCAAGAAGGTACCACCTATGAATTAGGAAATGTGCCCTCACCAACACCAAATCTGTTGGCATTTTGATCTTGGACTTCCCAGCCTCCAGAACTGTAGGAAATAAGTTTCTGTTGTTTATAAGCTACACAGTGTATGGTATTTTGTTATAGCAGACCAAACAGACTAAGAGACTCACAGTCCATTGAAAAAGACAGTATATTTTTTTTGTGTGTCAAATAGAATATACGTTCATTGTAGAAGTTAAAAAATCTAAAAACTAAAAAAAAAATTGATACAATTTTCCCATGCATCACTGTCAATATTTAAGTTTTGTTGTTTTTTTTGTTTGTTTGTTTGTTTTGAGACGGAGTCTCGCTCTGTCACCCAGGCTGGAGTGCAGTGATGCCATCTCGGCTCACTGCAAGCTCCGCCTCCTGGGTTCACGCCATTCTCCTGCCTCAGCCTCCTGAGCATCTGGGACTACAGGCACCTGCCACCACGCCCGGCTAATTTTTTGTATTTTTTTAGTAGAAACGGGGTTTCACCGTGTTAGCCAGGATGGTCTCGATCTCCTGACCTCGTGATCCACCCACCTCGGCCTCCCAAAGTGCTGGGATTACAGGCATGAGCCACAGCGCCCGGCCAATGTTTAAGTATTTTACACACACACACACAGACACACAGACAATCCTATCTGTGTATAAATATACCATGAAGGCATATAATTGATAGATAACTTTAATATATGGATATAATATGACAGAAGTGATCCTACAATGCTACTGAATACATACAAACATACACACACACAGATACACATATGCAGATACTAACCTTATTCTTTCTCTTTTAGTAATTTCAAATTTGCTTTCTGCATTAATATTTTTTCAGCCCTTACATTAAATATTAAACCCCATAGGTTTTCTAGTCACGGAAGGATTACAATAAAATCTATTCTAGTGTATTGATCATACATCCTCATTCCCAAGTAGTATTACAATCTCCACTCTGATCCAATTAATGCTTCTCTGCTTGTCCAGCTTAGCCTGCAACAGGCTGGATGCTTGAAGTCAGGTGGAATATCTGGTCAAATTCTATTTTCTTTTCTTATTCCAAGTTGCCTTTTAGCTGATGTTTTGGGGCAACTTTAGGTTATGCTCAGAGGAAGATATCTTTCTTTTCATGGATTCATTTTAGAAATTTTTTAGAGATCTCCTGTTTAGAGATCTCCTATTACACATCCATTCACCTGGTATTGCCTTTGCTCCTGCTAGCTGTCAACAACCTTCTCTTTAGCTTCTAGGCTTCTAGGAGCTTATTACTATGGTGGGATCATATGGTCTCCATGAGATTCTCTTAGGCAGAATCCCTTTTATGATGAATCTGAGCCTTCCAAGGGGACAACATGTAGACCTGGGGAAATACACACCATTGCTTCACTGTATGGGAGAGGAGCTCACTCCCAACTCAGGCTTCTTTTTCTTTTCCTGCCAACTCCATATAGCCTCTTGGTATCAGATTTCTCTAGGTAGGAGTCAGATAATAATCCTGTGTCTCTTACATATCAAAAGATATATTATCTACTCAAGATGGTTCTTTAAAGCCTGTTTACTAGGCTTAAGTAGACAGGAAAATTCTAGAACTGAAAAATGCAATCTGAAATAAAAATTCACTGTATTGGCTTAAGAGCAGAAGAGAGAAGACAGAGAAGAGAGCCCGGAGACATGTCCCTGTGGGACAATATCAAAGTGTCTATTATATTTGCAACTGGAGTCCGAGAAGAGAGGAAAGAGAGAATGAAGCAAAAAGTACTTGAAGAGTTCATGTTTGACATTTTTCTATATTTGCTGGAAGATATAAGTTTCAGAGGTAAGAAACCAGTAAAACCAAAACAGGGTAAATAAAAAGAAAACCTTGCATTATGGTCAACCTGCTGATATTCAAAGTTATTGAGAAAAATCCTCTAAGTAGCCAGGAAAAAAAGGACAAATTACATACAGAAGAATAGCAGTTCTCATAAAGTTTTGAGAGGAACATTAGCTTTGCTAAGAAATGAATAAGCAAACCAAGGGGTAGGAAAAAATATGCACTACACATATATCTGAGAAAGGAATGGTTCTGAGACTATAGAAAGCACCCCTATAACTCAAAAAAGTAAGTAAAATATTGGTGCAGACACTTCATAAAGATAGATACACAAATGCTCAACGAGCACATGAAAAAATAACTTATTCGTCATAAAATAAATGCAAATTAAAATCACAGTGAGACACCATCCACATTCATTAGAATAACTAAAACAAAAAAGATTGACAACACTACATTTTGATATGAAGGAGAATAACTGGAACTCTTGTGCATTGGTGGTGAGAACATAAAATGATACTAACAATTTGGAGAATGCTCTGGTAGTTTCTTATAAAACTAAAACTTACACATACCTTATGACCCAGCTATATCAATTCCATGCATTTATACCAATGAAATGAAGATATATGCTAACAGAAAGTATTTGGCAAGAGTGTTCATAACTATTCAAAATGCCCAAAAGTTGGACATAGCACAGGTGTCCATCAATAGGAGAATGGATAAACAGACTATAATATATTCAGATAATAAACTCACCAATGACAAGAAATAAACTTCAACAACATGGATTAATCTTCAAAACATTATGCTGAATAAAAGAAGACTTACACAAAAGATTACATATTGTATGACTGCATTTATATGAAATTGTTTTAGGCAAAATGAATCTATAGTTTTCCTACATACATAATCTTGTTTGCTACAAGTGGTAACAGTTTCATTCCTTCTTTTTTCACATTTTATTTGTTCTTTTTGTCAGGAAATGGTAAGGGAATTCAAGGATTCTGGGGACTTGGCTATTTGGCCTTGAATGTACACATGCAGGGAGTCTGCTCCCTGCAGGTAGGTGCCATGCAAAAGCAAAGGATCAATAATAGCCATGATAATATTGAATAATAATAAAGTGGGATACCAAGACATTACTGAGTTACAATAATTAGTGTTGAATTTATTCAGGATAAGCAAATAGATCAAGTGAATTGTAAATTTAATTGTAAAAGTAAAAAAAAATAAAGATGACCGTATATTCTTATAGCCAGAATGTATAAAGAACACTAACAAAACAATTTGGAAAAGACAGCTATTCTGGTTATGTATCACTGTGTAACAAACTGCTCCAAAACTTAGAGGCTTATACCCACTACCATATTCTTATAGCTCATGATATTGTTGGTCAGCAATTTGGACAGGGTGCGGTGGGGGATTTTTCTGCCCCACGTGGCACCAACAGAGTCATCTGGTGGTATATGCTGGGAGATGAGCTGGTGTGGAGGGTCTGAGACAGCTTCATTTACATTTCTGTCACCTTGTTGGGGATGGCTGGAAGGCTAAGCCTAGCTGAGATGGGATACTTGCACTTGCTTCTCCAGAGTGGTGTTCTCACGGTAACTGGGCTTCTTATGTGGCAGCTCAGGACTCCAAAAGTGAACATTTCAGCAAATAAAAAAGCAGCTTCATAACTTTGGTAACCTAGACCTGGAAATCACATAGAATTTCTTCTAATCATACTCTATTGACCAAAGCAGCTGCAAGCCCTCAAAGATATAAAGGAAGAAAACAATGATCTTGCTATTTGATTGAAGGAATGTCAAAGAATTTATGGCCATGTCAAAAAATTGTCAGAGCCCAACCTCTGGTCGCAAATCATTTTCATTTCTTCCATGTGAAAAACACCCTCATCCCTTTTAAACTCCCTTCCCAAAGTCTTATCCTGTGTGGCTCAAGGTTCACAATCTTGTCTCATAATCTGAATTATGTCCATGTGTGAAGGAGATGCTTTAGGTTCAGTTTCTAGGTTATCACTCCTCTTCATGTGACACCTTGTGAAACAGACAAGTTATCTGCCCTCCACACAACCCGTATACAATGGTGGGACAGCATAAGATAGTGACAGTAGACACTCTGCTCAAAAAAGTGGGAGATAAAAGGTGCACAGCAGTCACTGGTCCGTAGTGATCCTAGAATTTCCCAAGTGTGTGTTGCCAATTCTTTGCTTAGGACCCAGAACTGCCCCTCTAAGAATGATTCTCCATGAATCTTGGCTCTGTCCTCTGAGGTCTTGATGCTTTCCTTGGAGTCCTAATTTTTCCATGGAGAGTAGCTTGTGTTCACAGCTGAATGGTTTTCTGAGCTTACTCCCTGTACATAAAAGTTCAGAGTTCAAATGCCTCTTTTCATTTTGTACTGTCTATCCCCTCTAGTCCAAGCTGATATAATTCCTTTAGGTTGCTTATATATCAATTTATGAGCTACTCCATTAGACAAAAAGTTCACTCACAAACCTTTTTGAGAGTAACCTCCCCAACTCATAACACCACTGTGATAATATCGTCAGGATAATACCTTTAGAAGCACTATGGTCTAGCAGAGAGTTTTAAATAATGCCCTTAACATTACTTAAGACTCTTGTTTAACTGAGGTGATCTATGAGGCGCCACCTTAAGTCCTTCTAACATCTTAATAAAGAAACTTTCAGCCCTACCTGGATTCCCCAGGGTAATATTTTACTGGTAATGCCCAGGATTTGATCTTTGCCTTGCAGCTATATTTTATTTTATGGATATTTTGTGGGATATAAGACTACCTTGAGCCTTTATGTTTTTTCCAAATTCTACTAAAAAAAAAACCCTAATATTTTGTTCTTTAGTTCATCTGTCTCATCTCTCATTTTATTATAGGCAGCTAGAAGAAGCCAGGCAGCATCTTCAACACTCTGCTCAGATGTCTCCTTAGCTAGACCATTAAGTTTATTAGGTACATTGACAACTTTTTATGTTACCACAGGCAACAGTATTGCCAAACTTTCCACAGCTACGTAGCCAGGGTCTGCTTTCTTCCACCACCAATAACAGTGTACTCATTTTCTTTTGAGCCTTTACCAATAGCATCTTCAAGGCTGCTGGTCATCTCCAAACCGATGCCACATACTTTTGGTTTTATTATAACACTTATCTTACTTTCAGGTACCAAATTCTGTTAACATTGTCTACTGAAATATGACAAACCCCAAACTTAATGGCTTAAAATAACCATTTTATGATTCATGATTTTATGAATAGGGAATTTAGGCAAGGCTTGGATAGATGATTCTTCCATTTTTAATGATGTCGACAGAGATCATTCAGTAGTTTCATTTGGAGAATGAGCTAGTGTTGTGAGTTCAGAACAGCTTCACTGACATGTCTGATGCTTTGTTGGGAATGGCTGGAAGAATGGGCTTATTTAGCAGAAGTGCTTACACATGGCCCCTTTAAAATTGTAGTCTCACGGGAATTGAGCTTTGTACCTTGTGGTTCAGGGCTTCAAAAGCAAGTTTTCCAGTGAGCAATGTGGCTAATGCATGGCCTTTTATGACCTAGTCCCAGGTCACATAGCGTTATTTCCTCAGTTTTCTATTATTGAAATCACAAGCTTCTACAGATTCAAGAGGAGGGGACATAGACCCCACCTTTCAATAGGAGTGCCAAAGAAAAGAGGAGGGGACATAGACCCCATCTTTCAATAGAAGTGCCAAAGAACTTGTCACCAAGATATAGAACCATTACAAAACCCAAAACAAATATGAACAAGAGATTTGAATCAGGCATTCTTCATAATAGAGAATACCAAGATAGTCAATTAACTTGAAAAAGTTCTCAGCCACATTAGTCATAAGAGAAATGAACATTTAAACTATAATAAAATGCTACAACACACTCCCTGGAAGGGTTAGAATTTACAAATGAACATTTAAACTATAATAAAATGCTACAACACGCTCCCTGGAAGGGTTAGAATTTACAAGACTGACAAAACTGTTTTTGAAAGCATGTGGGTATATTCTCATACACTATGTTTGGCACAACTACTTTGGATAACTGTTTGGCATCAATTATTAAAGCTGAATACACACGTACTCTATGAGAAAAATTTCACACCTAATTATAACCCAGCATATATGCATTTACATGTTTGTGAATGTTCACAACAGCATTATTTGTAATAAGCTAATATGAAAATAATTCAAATGTTAGCCAATAATACAATGAATAATTAGTAGTATATTCTTATAATGGTATCCTGCATAGCAACAAACCTGAATGAACTATTCCTAGATGTGAAAACATGATGAATCTCTCAGATGTGATGTTGAACATAAGAGCCAGGGTACAGAATATATATGATGTGCTTTTATTTGTTTACAGTTCAATAATAGTGGCCTGTTATTATAATATAATAATAACGTATGGTGTTATCAGTCAGCATAGTGGTTACCTCTGGAGATGAGGGAGCAGAAAGGGATTGGGAGTGGGCTTGTGGGTGGCTTTTGAGGTGCTGATAATGTTCTATTCTTAGACTTGAGTAGTGGTTTCAGGGGTATATTTATGTTATAAATTATAATTCAGAGAACTTTCGGGTTTCAACATTTTTGATGCAAGTAATAGTTGTCTTTTTAAATAGAGCAGATAGTTTATATGTTGGAGTAGGAAAATAAGACAGAAAAATTGTTTTAGAAGAAAATTTTGTTTAGGCAAGAAATTAAAAAAAGTCTGAGTTAAGGCAAAGACAGTGGGGAAGGAGACAAAGGGAGAGATGAGAGCGGGCTGAATTGTTTGTCACTAAGACAGACAGAATGGGAATTAGCACATCCAAGAAATCAGAAATATTCATGGGGTCTGTGTCTGTGATCAGGCCAGGGACCAACAGCAGATATTAGCCAAATGTCAAGTCCAGGCAAATGGCAAGTCAATTTCAACAAAGTCTTTGCAAAAAGCTGTCAAAATCCAACTGTGGAGTGACTGGGCTCTGGGTAGGACTCCAGCCCTAGAAGCATTTAGGAAGACTGGGTTAGGGAAGCAAATCTGGGATACCGGGTTCAGTAGTCAAATAAGACTACTGACCTATTTCATTCTTCTGTTGGACTTTAAGTTTACTAAAGGTAAGAACGATTGTTTCCCATCATATTGTGTGGCCTGGAATATAATAGGCATGCAATAAAAATTGATAAATGGGTCAATGAATAAATATATATCTGAGAATAAGGAAAAAAAATACTCATTCATTTGAACTGAGGTACAAGGGGAGGTCTTGGTCAAATGTGCATGAATGAAGAGCCCAGTTACTAGAACTAAGGAAAACCATATGAGATGAGGAGCAATAGCTTCTGGAGCTGACAGTTCAGAATTGTGTTTATTTTCTTCTCTGTGGAGAGGGATGATGCCAGAGTATGGTCTTAGTCTGAAACTGCAACAAGTTTCAGTGATTCTGGTTTCGAACGTTATTCAGCTGCAGGAGCAGAGAATAACATACCTTATAGAATTGGTGATCTTAAATTCCCATGTTATAATCCATATATGAATTATGATTTAGGTCACACTTTAGATAAGATCATGTTAAAAAATTCCAAGTTTGACCCTGATTTTCATTATTTTTAAAAAATTATAGAAACGCTGAACTTTCAAAATATTGACCTTGCTTCTGGCTAATGAAGAAGAACACACAATCATATTCAATTTAAAAAATTTTCAAAAGAACCTGTCAAAAGTTCATATTACAGTAGTAAAAATGATAATTTCTCCAAGCAATTCATATTTATAAAAGCAAGGAATTTGATACCCCAAATAAAAGTCTTTTGATTTTTGAAGTTTGAAAAGCAGAGTCAAGTTGAAGCTTCCGTAGTACCAGGAAAGCCAGTTTTTATTTCAAATACTTCAAAGCCATGACTTTCTGATTTTAAAAAGTTAAACAATTGAAAGGACTTTGACTTTATTAAGTGTTATCTCCTCTACACAAGAAAGTAAGGTTTTGAATAGTCATTCAAATGCACAACATCTACACATACCTCCTTTTTCCAATACATACTGATACTCTCTCTTGAATATAGAACAGCATTTTCAATAAATGGTACTTGATGAATGTGCTTTCAGTGAAAGTATGAGGGTTGAGAAAAAAGAAAAGTTATATTGTAGAAATGGACACCCATCATTATTAAGGTAAGAGAACAAAAAACCTATTTGTTCTTCACAAGTCCATTCGCATATGGTTGAGTTTGAGACCCAGAACTGCATTCTAAATATGTACTCTCACCTTAGTATCATTGCTGGGTTCTTTCTATTCCATTGTTCATTCTACTTTATTATTCCAGACTCAGTAAGCCAGATATTCAATTTTATTAATTATGCTCAGTAAAATTATTTACTGCATTGGGAGTCATTTAGTTATTTCAGTTATGGTTTATTTGAAGTCTGAAAGTTAATTCAGAAGACATTCTTGGGTAGAAACTAGACTAACTAAATGGAAATAGCTTTTAATTAATTTTTAAATCTATTTCCCCATTGTGTCTAAGTTTGTCTTAGTTGGCTTAATGTCAGCTCCCTAACCTGCTAGGGATAATAGTGTAATTACTGACATATAACACCTATGTTAACATTTTGTCAAATATACCTTATTTGTAAAAACATATATAAACATTTCAGGATTTGAAGTGTTTTGCCATGTATTTTATACTTTGGCTTTCAATTTTAATTTTTTTTCTATCAGTTCCTATGACCAAATACAATCCAGTTTAAAATAATATGCTTTACCCTCATTACTCATGTGTGTTAAAAATAAAATAATATAGAAAGATCTATTATTAAAAGTAGGTCTTCTAACACCTCTCTTTTAAAAATCTGATTCTCCAGTTTCTACTTTTAGTTTTACAGCCAGTTTGGCAACTCCATTTGTGTACAACTCTGTTTCTTGATTTGCTTTCTTAATGAGGTATCTATTAATTCCTCCATATATAAGATGAGGACTTTTTTCTTACAACATCCTCTTCTTTCTACTTCCACTAATGTTTGGTAGTACCCTAAATTTTTAAATAAAATAGTTATTATACTTTTTTTTGTAACATGGCATTTTTGGCAGTATCTTTGGCCTTCCCATTTTGTAACATGTACATTTTAAAGACTTGACTTTCCTTCAATTCCCTGCCTGTTGCCTTCACCCCTTTTTTCCATCATCTCCCAAATCTCATCTTTTGCCAGCTAACCTTTTCATTGTCAGGGTTGTGGAGAGTTACATTCAATGCTATGGCTTCAAACAGTACACCCAACTTTATTAATATGTTCAGTCTAATAATGGATAATGAAAAGTGTGTATATGCTTATGACTATGTTATGAACGTATAAATATGTTTAATAATAGGCCAAATAGATTGCATTCTTTTCTAAGGATTTTGTAACCTCTAGAACAGTGGTTCCCAACCTTTTTGGTACCACGGGCCAGTTTCACAGAAGACAATTTTTCCACTGGGGGTGGTTTTGGGATGATTCAAGCACATTACATTTATTATGCACTCTATTTCTGTTACTATTACATTGCAATATATAATGAAATAATTATACAACTGACCATAATGTAGACTCAGTGGGAGCCCTGAGCGTGTTTTCCTGCAACTAGATGGTTCTATCTGGGGATGATGGGAGACAGTGACAGATCATCAGGCATTGGATTCTCCTAAGGAGCACACAACCTAGGTCCCTCACACAGGCAGTTCACAATAGGGTTCCCTTCCTGTGGGAATCTATGCTGCCACTGATCTGACAGGAGGCAGAACTCAGGCACTAGTGCAAGAATGTACTGTAAATACAGGAGTAGCTGTAAATACAGATGAAGCTTCACTTGCTCACCCACCTTTCACCTCCTGTTGTGTGGTCCAGTTTCTAACAGGCCAAGGACCAGTATCAGTCCATGGTCATGGGTTTGGGAACCCCTGCTTTGGGAACCCCTGCTTTAGTAACCCCTGCTTTAGGACATTTACAGAAGGATGTTCCTGGAATTAAAGTCAAATAAATTATTTTTTAAACATATAACCAATTACTTAAAATCGTTCCTTAAAATCAGTTTATACCAGATTTAGATCATGAGTTTTTGAGCAATTTTGTTTTTTTTCTTGGAGTTTCTCATTTTTTTCTAATTTTTCTTGTAGCGTTTTTTCTTTATTACATCCCCAACTAAAAAAGAGAACTTTTAGTCAGTTTTATCTTGTAGTCTTCTGTTAACGGTGCTTTTTGCCTTGGAGACCTCCCTGCCAGAGCCCTTAGACCTTGGAACTTGTTCTCTAGGTCTGCAGAAAGTTAATCTAGAAGATTTCTTCATTGCCATCCTGGAATGAGTCAGTTGTTTTCTAGTTTCCTGTTTAATTAAGAGGAAGTTCTTTTGCTGGAGTACATTTCTAAACATATTGCTAAGGAAAAAAGTGAATTGAACATCAACTTTTTGCCATGTCTGAAAATGTGCTTATCCTGATATTGCTTCAGGGTTGATAAGTTGGCTGGCTCCAGAATTCTAGATTGAAAGTATTTTCTCTCAGAACTTAAAAAACATTGATTCATTTTTTTTCATCCAGAATCTGCAGATGCTTATGAGAACTCAAGACTCTCATCTGATTCACATTCCTTTGCAAGTCATTTTTTTGAAATCTCAGAAGCTTTTTAGAATGTTCTCATTTACAAGTTTCCTTCTCTGCAGACTCCTTGAAAATTTGTAGTTCAAGGGTAATTCTATCTGTGAGTCTCTTATTCATTCAATATGCTGAGTTTTCAGTGAGCTCTTTGAATCTAAAGGCTTGGGTATTTCAATTGTGAGGAATTTTCTTTTATCATTTATTTGCTATCCTCCCTCTCTTTTAATTTTTTCTTTCTAGAACTGCTGTTGAATGAATATTAAACCTCTTGAGTTGATCCTTGGTGTCTTTTGTATTTTCCATCCCTTGTTTTCTGTCTTTCTTTTTCACTTTTTAGGCTTCCAAATATGTATTTTTCAACTCTTTCTAGTTAAATATTTTACTTTAGCAATCATAGCTTTCCACCTAGGACGGTTCTTTCTTTTTCAAGTTGTTCCCTTTTAGGCACTATGCAAAAAAATTTTTTGGGGGACACCAGTGTATTCACAAATTGTTCTGAGTGTATTACTTAAATTTTTAAAAGATCTCTCTGTTTTCCAATGATCTGTGTCCTCCAGGAACAAATTTTCTTTTATTATCTTGATATTTTCTTTATGTTAATTAGTTCCCTTTCTATACCTGATGATGCACCATTAATATGGAGAAAGGTGACTCCTTCACTTAGGTTGATTTTATCTGGTTGCCAGTTAAAGAAGACTGTTTCTGAGTGGAGATGAAAACCCAGTGGGGCAGAGAGGGTGGATGTGGAGTGAGCAGGATCCAGGTGGGCCTGACCTAATCACAGCCTCAGCCAGCACCTTAATTACAGCCATATAGGGCCCTAAGCAAAGAATCCATATATGCCATAATGGACTCCTGACCAACAGAAACTCCAAGATAGTAAATATGTGTTATCTGAAGCTGCTAAGTTTGTGGTAAGAGGAAGAACCAAGCAACATACATCAGGCCTGCTGGAGCAGCAGCAGGTGCGCAGTTCACCCACGGCCCATCATGCTCTGGGGCAGGGCACTGGAATCCAGCAGAAACAACTCAAATACTCACATCCATATTCCTCTCCCTCTAAGAATGTTGCAATATTCTACATATACTTGGAAACTGCCCTATTTTGTTATATTCAGATTCATTTAAAATTTCATAAATTATTCTAAAAAGAAATTGGCAACCCTCCAGGAATTCTGTGTTAACTTTTAAAAGCTCCTGATGCAAAAATGGATAACGCTGGGGCAGGTGAAAGGGTATGTTAAATGTATGAAGAAAGGATGTATACGTGTGTACCCTTCCCATATGCTGTGAATGTGGAGTAAGAGGTTGGAGCAGAAGAATGAGTAGTGTGGGTCTATCGTCAAAGAAAATTAAGGAACAGGGATCTGGATGGAAGACACCCATGAGAGATGAGGGACACATGTCTCTTACTCTCTTGCGTTCTTGTTCTTTCTTCAATCCTTCCCTCCCTTGCATGTAGAATGCATTGGTTTTCTATTACTGTGTAACAAATTACCACAAACTTAGCAACTTCAGGTAACACATATTTATTATCTTGCAGTTTCTGTGGGTCAGGAGTCCATCATGGCATAGATGGATTCTTTGCTTAGGGGCTTACGTGGCTGCAATTAAGGTGCTGGCTGAGGCTGTGATTAGGTCAGGCCCACCTGGATAATCTCCTTTTAGATTAACTCAGTGTCAACTCATAAATAAACTAAATGACATCTACAAAACCCCTTTTGTCCAGTAACATAACCGAATCAAGAGAGTAATATCTCATCACAATCACAAGTTCTGCCCAAATTGAAAGGAGGGAATTTTAAAAAGACAAGGTGGTATTTTAATAATAAAGTGTCAGTTTCTAAAAGTGAGAAATTTATATTGAGAAGTTTATTTTGCAGGAAATGACAGATAAAATAGGTGCAAGTAAGAACAAATAAGCATGTTTTTCTAATACTACAAGCTGAGCAGAAAGCTTTGTTTGGCTGAAATAGAGACGTTCTACTCCTGAGAAGCTCCCTTACAACAAATTTTCTATCAAACATTCCCTAGGATGGTTTGGCTGTCTTAAAAAGAGATGAAATAGTGATGGAAAATTAAATTACAACATTGCTTTGACTTAAACAGCAGGTGGCCCATCCAGCCTAAGTACTATACTTACTTTATTTTATAATACATTTTAAAATTAGTCATCTCAGTTATTTTTGCCTTACTGTCATCATTTAATCTAGTGCCTGGTTGATTATAGACCAACAAGAGATATTTGAAGAAAAAAAATGTGTGGACTTGTCTTTTCAGTTTTCTGTAATTAAGGAGAAGTAGTTTTCCTTCTTTATATTACCAAAAAGGTAACTCAGTCACCTCTGAGCTGTTAACCCAAACTTAACAGGCAATTTCTTAATAATGCAATCAACCTCTAAATAGCACCTTACTTAAATCTAACTCTCTTTGAGCATAAGCAATTATCAGTTTCATTTGATTGGGTATCTATTGATTTACTAGCCCTAAAACTTCTGATTGCTGTGGTTGAATACTTATGAAATATCAAAAATGCTTTCTGTTGGCAGAAATATCATTTATAAATATCAAAAATGAAGACAGTACTAACCAGTGTTAATAAAACATTGAACTGGATGCTATCAAGTGTCAAAATACATAGCTGATGTAACTACTTTAGTTCAAAGTTGTCCAAAGAAATAATTAAAAACAACAAAAATCGCAACTATTCTGTAGTGGCAATATTATACATTGGGACAGAGGCACTGGAGAATCATAAATAGTTAGGATTTCAGATAATTATAGACATTCTTGAAATATGTTACAGTATTTCTACCAAACCATTTTAAGAACCCATTACAAGTAGAAAAAGCTGATAGAATTGTGGCTCACCTTTTCATTCTATTATGGAGCATCCTTATTTAGAAGCTATGTTGATAATAAAGGTCCCAGAGAGAATCAACAGAAGAGAGAGAAACAAAAGATAGAAGGACCAGCAATCTAATTTCACAACCATAGGAATACCACTGGAGGATTTTTTTTAAATTTTATTATTTTATTTTTTTGAGACGGAGTCTTGCTCTGTTGCCCAGGCTGGAGTGCAGTGGCATGATCTCCAGGGTGAACCTCTCAGGTTCAAATGATTCTTTGCCTCAGCCTCCCGAGTAGCTGGGACTACAGGCATGCACCACCATGCCCGACTAATTTTTATATTTTTAGGAGAGACGGGGTTTCACCATATTGGCCAGGCTGGTCTTGAACCCCTGACCTGATCATCTGCCTGCCTCAGCCTCCCAAAGTGCTGGGATTACAGGCGTGAGCCACCACACTTGGCTGAGGATATTTTTTTCTTAAAAGTTACAGGAAATAGATATACTATCAATTCAAAATGAATTCTATTGATTTTCTGCATAAACTTGATTTTGTTTCCTCCCTATTTGTAGTGGATATGCTAAACTGAATGGCTTACAAATAGAATTAGCTAACTTTGGGTTTCACCTATATATAATTTTTAAAGTGGATAATATCTTCAACTTCTAAAAAAAGAGTATGTTATTTCCGCCAGTTTAGATAAATATCTCATCATCTCTACCACTAGTCATGTCCTTTCTAGCAGGAATTTCTAGCAGGAATCCAAGTTCTTTGCTAGAAAAAAAAAATTAAGGTCTTAAGAGTAATTCTTTAGTCACCTGGTTTATTGTCTTGTTTTCAAGTAGAAATATTTAACACTAAGCCTAAAAAAAGAAGATAAAAGACAGAAAGGAAGCCCTGAGTTTTAGGGTTTGTTGATTACCAAAGTATAAATATTCCCACTATGGCTGAAAATCAACCTACCAACGTAATATCCCTTAATGCAGAATTGGATGTCACAATTGGCTCTCATGAGCCAAATGTGAACCAGCATTGGATCATCCCCTATAGCCATGCACTTTCCTGTAAAAAATACCCATAGGAGGTCTGTTGGTTTTATTGTTCTCTCCCTAGAATATCAGAATGGTAGACCTGATTTTAACAGGGCCCAAACAACATTATATCCTCATGGTACTCCTAAGTTAATTTGAAATATAAATGGATATGACTGCCATTATCATGTAGCTGCTCTGCAGCTGTGATTCAGAAACAGCCATCTACATCCCTGATATCTGCAAGAAAATAATGAAACATGCTTGTGGAGATCTTCAAAGTCAATTTTTTGAGTCTCATTTGACAGAAAAAACTGTGTGAGAGGTGTCTAATGGTTAGGTCAGGGTTAAGATTCTAGGGAGTGGATTTCTTAATAAGTTTGTGACTTCAGTATTTTTACAACAAGCTTCCTAAACCTTCTCTTTTTTTCTTTAAATGGTGTAGTCTCTTTTACCCATTTCCAGTGAGAGAACTTTACTACGAAAGAGAAAAAATTAGTTTGGACACAGCAATAACCTTAGCAATTATTCATACAGAAAGGATTGGCACCATGATTTCTTAGAAGTTCCAATGGAGTCCCAGTATGATAAGGTTGTTCTTTCAGAAATGGGGGACTGGCGTCAAGTACCTGCAGGCAAGTGACTGTTTTGCTTCAATTTTCTGTCTCTGTAAACTTGTCTTTGATCAGTTATATTGGAAGAAGTGAGGTAGTCTAGAAGCCTCATTCAACAGCAGAGAACTCCTAGCTCTTAGTCTTTATACTGTTAGAAAATTAATATCTAACATTAATCCTTTCTGAATATTTATAAAAACTTTCTCCTACCTTAAATCTTACTTGTAGAGATATATCATTACATTACTTTCTTTAAGTAAAAGCTTACAACAAAAACACTCTATTTCTATGCATTTGATATTCCTTTATGTAACCCAAACTGTACAGCTATCTAACTCAAACTGTAACTCTCACCTCAGCCTTTATCCGGCTCAATATTTCTAATATTGAATAGTCTTGTGTACAGTGTAGTTTCCTACATTTATATCATCTTTAATGAGCCTTCTCCAAAGTATTCAAAAATGCCTTAAGTTGTAATACTGGCTATTATATTTATATACATGTTTGAAAATTTGCATCAGTTATCCTGGTTCTAAGCTAGTTTCATTTGTGTTCTTCAACCTATTTTTCTAATCTCCAAAAAGGTATACACTAGGGCCTGACATGTCTATACTTGTGTTACTTAGTCTTCCTCATTGAATTATTCTTTGTTTATACCTATTTAATTTTAACTCCAGAGTGTCCAGATGTCTCCAATTTAGCAAATACTTTTAAAATTTAACTGGATTATGCTCCAAAGGGTGATTTGAGACCCCACCCATTTCAAAGGAAAATATAATAAATATAGAATCTTCTTTGTCCAAATTAAATAATAAAAAATAAAAAGGCACCAAAGAACTTCAAATAATATGCCCTGAAGCTCACCATAAAAATGTTTTCAACTACACTTTTAATATTGTCTTCCTTCCAATAGCCAATTCAAATTGCAACAAGATAACTAAATCCATGTGTTCAACTACTAATGAGTACTTTATGTAAAGTGAATCCTAATAATAGGCTTGGGCGTGGTGGCTCACAGCCATAATCCCAGCACTTTGGGAGGCCAAGGCGGGTGGATCACGAGGTCAAGAGATCGAGACCATCCTGGCTAACACGGTGAAACCCCATCTCTACTAAAAATACAAAAAATTAGGGGGTGTGGTGGTGGGTACCTGTAGGCCCAGCTACTCGGGAGGCTGAGGCAGGAGAATCACTTGAACCTGGGAGGCAGAGGTTGCAGTGAGCCGAGATTGTGCCACTGCACTCCAGCCTGGCGACAGAGTGAGACTCCATCTCAAAAAAAAAAAAAAAAAAAAAAGAATCCTAATAATAAAATAATAGACATATGGTTGATATCTAAACATAACACAGGAAAGAAAAACATTTATATGACACCATAAACGGGATGGTAGAGCTACATAAATCCAAGTTTAGTGCTTATAACTGGACTATAGGCCAGAAGACTGTTAGAAATATATAGCTGGAACTTAAATACACACATCAGCATCGTCAGCACATCAGCATCGTCACTAAAATAATCATGTACAGTTTTTACTTAAATGTGGAAAGGTTGAAATTATATATATATCTATATATATATATATTCCTCCATGTTAATTTAGAAAGCTTATTTGAAACAACCCATAGTTGTTTCAATAAATAAAAATAGTTATTTTTTATTCACCTAGGCAGTTCCTTCACTTCAATATTCTGTGTTCAGTGTGTAGCGGATGCTGCGGGGCGTCACAGAGATGTTCTTTCAGGAATGGAAGACTTATTTCTCCAGTTGCTAGGAGTATTGGCTACTGACGGCTACAACTAGGCTCTATCACTGGAAATTTTATTTGGCCAAAGACAGCTTCCTTGCTCATTGTTAGGCATCCACTGACTGGTTCATATGAGGGTACAGGACCTGGTCACATTCTTGATCTGGAACAGTTATGAAGGGCCACCGCAGCTTCAAAACTTCCTATAGGATCAGCTGAGGCCTCTGTTGCAAGTTCATTACTGTTCTTCCTCATCGGTTTTGCTTCTCTCACTCCCGACAGTTCTTTTCCTGCGAGCATCCCTAATAACTCTTTGACATATAAATCTCTGCCTCAAAGTCTATTTCCCTGGAACCCAATTTTAAAAGATTTGGTACCAGAATAGGTCCTAGAAAGCAAACATTAAAATGAGATTGTGGATCTAGATTATTCATAGACCAGTTGGCAATGAGGACCCCATTAATGCTGGTAGGCTGTGTTGTACAAAGAGCTCTTGACATGTTGAAGCTTTGCAATTGTTAAAATGTTATCAGTGGTGACATAAAATGGAAATTCCAGTGACAGTAAGCAATCTGGAAATGAAAGAAGGGCAGGGCATATCTCAGTTCTTTGAGAAATAGCCATTAGAAGGACTCTGAAACCTCATGGCTATTGCTGGATTCCAGGGATACATTGGAGATAATAAAAGGCTGAGGGTAACTAATCAGAGGATCTCCTTGACAACCTATGATATTTTCAACTCCACCAACTGGAGGGCAGTACAAACTGAGGATAAAGCTGGGTGGCAGAATTGCAGAGAAGATGGAATTCTCAGTCTTCAGAAAATTTGCTATGCCAAATTCAGAACCTTGAATGGGAAGGAAAATTGGGATCCAAAGAATTCAGATGGGACATCTGGGTGAAAATAATTAAAAATCCTAAATCCCCAGATTCCTCTGAGCCTTCTGGGTTATCAAAACTGGAGCATGCTTTTCTTAAATTTAGTACTCCCCTTATTCGCAGATGATTCAAAGAACTGAGTCTTGCAAGGCAATATGTGCCCCCCTCAGGATCTATCTATAGCTCCCCTCCTGGCAACCTGGCCAATACCAGAGTTAAATCAGAGCGTGATCAACCTAGAGAAGTGCTGAATCTGTTAGAAGAGGAACTGCATGCCGAAGGAGATAGATGATGTAACTGACATGTATCCCTCAGCCCTACAGGATTATATAAATGGCTGCTTTCTGAGGGTGCTGGGTCAAGGGGCATGGGACATATTGGATATGGGAGAGATTACCTATATGGGAGCACTCTCCTGTAATAAAGGATTAACAACCTGGCAATAGCCCTGGAAGAATGGAATAATATACTACTAGGATTATTCTTGGAAGACTGAGTAAAAAGCAATAACCTACAATAAATACTCACAAATGCCACTGCCGCAGTACATGGTGAAATCTGGAGATTTAGAATTTATAAGTGCTTTGACTCAGTTGTTTCCATCTCAATTCTTTGGGTCTCATTTTTTCTTCCCATTCAAAGCCCTGAATTTGGTGTAGCCAATTTTCTAAAGACTGAGGATTCCACCTTCTCTGGAGCTCCAATACCCAGTCTGACCTCCAAGTCTCAGTGTGGGGATGGCAGAGTGGTATGTTACCTAAGCACAGGAAATCTATCTCCTGATTATGTTCTCTGGAAGAGCCCACAGGGTATTCCATTCATCAAAGTGTTGAGAAATGTTCCGGTGAGAGGGACACCAATGACACTGGGAAGGTAGTGGCAGCTGTCCTTTCTAGGCCAGCACTGACAGTAAGATAGATAGTTACAGAACTGAGTTTTCAGTAAGCAAGGAGGATGATCGAATTCCAAAGTAGAAAGTGGGTGATGATATTAGACTGTCAGATGCAAGGTGGGCACAATTAAGTTAACGAGTGGAAAGATTAGAGTGGGTAGCCAGGGTGGCATGACATGCAGAACATTAAGGAGAAAGTGATTAAAACATAGCTTTGCTAGGTGCAAGATAGATAGCCAACTAGAGTATTGCTCAATCTATGTAATCCAAGGAAATCAAGCATATATAATCGAGAAGCTGAACTCAGAAGCACCAATAAAAAGCCAAGATCTCTTTTCTAACTAACCAGACTTGAGTCAATTCTCAGATCTATGATATTTTAAAAGGAAAGGCATGATTCCCTTGTAGAAAGATTTTGCAACATCATGGAAGGGGTATACAGTAGTCATTCACTTGGTCCTCTCTTAAAAGGGTCCTACAGCCATTTCCTCCGATAATGGGAAAAAAGAAATATTTAAACCATTTGAGAATTGCTGACATTGATATCTCGAGACTAAAGCATCACATCATAACTTTCTTTGTTAAAATTGAGGCAAATGGGCATATAAAGGCAAGGTAATTAAGGAACTCCTATCCCCATTCCAGGTTACATGTGGCCATGGACGTATCTAGTGATCATTTTCAGCTACCTGGTAGGTGACAGAACCCCTATATTAGTTCCTTAGCCTCTGAACTATATAATGGGAAAAATCAAATGTGAGGAGGGGGTGATTTTTGGAGATTAGAGTCACCCTTAAAAAGATAAAAAGATGGAGCGTGGTAGTCTCCATAATATCCCCATTTAACTAACTAATCTGATCACTTCAAAAATGAGACAGATATTGATTCATTATGGTGTAGCACTGAAAACACCAAAAAATATTTTCCCTAATGCTTCTGAGGTATCAGATGTGGTACCTCTGATAGAACAGAGGAACATAGCCTCATGTAATGGATATGGAACCACTGTGTTGTAAATTACATGCTAATGTCTTCAAGAGAGCATCTACCATCAAAGAGGTACCAACAAGTCAATAGACAGATTGACTTAGCCGTTTGACAACAGCCAGTATCTTCCATCAGCCACCCCAGTAGCTGTGGTGCCAGGAACAGAGCTGTGTGTGGACAAAACAGCACAACATACCATTAAAAGAAACCAACGTTGGGTCACTGATACAGAAAAATTCTTCAAAGAATTCCACAAAGCAACATTGTGACAAAATGGTTTTTTTGTTTGTTTTTTTGTGAGGCAGAGTCTCACTCTGTTGACCAGGCTGGAGTGCAGTGGTGTGATCTTGGCTCACTGCAACCTCCACCTCCCAGGTTCAAGTGATTCTTGTGCTTCAGCCTCCCAACTAGCTGGGCTCACAGGAGCATGCCACCATGCCCAGTTAATTTTTGTATTTTTAGCAGAGGTGGGATTTCACCATGTTGGCCATGCTGATCTTGAACTCCTGACCTCGAGTGATCTGCCCACCTCAGCCTCCCAAAGTGCTGGGATTAAAGGCATGAGCCACTGTGCCCATCCCAAAATTGTTTTATTAGACACTTTCTATCCTGGCAGAAGTAGCCTTTCTTCTTATCTGAAATAGATACATTTTCCAGGTATGGGTCTGCATTTTCTGCACACAAAGCTTTAGCCAGCTCCATTATCAGAAGGCTTACAGAGTGTTTATTCAAATGGCATAGCATAACACCTAAGATAATCTCAGACCTAGAGACCTTCTTCACAGAAAAGCAGATGTAGAAATGTGCTCAAGATGATGCCAAGGCTGTCTACCTGAGAAAGCTCTGGGATGGCCTTTTGAGGAGGCCAGATTAGAGAGAATATTTTGCTTGGACGGGGTACCATTCTCCAGCATTCAATCTACACTCTAAACCAATGACTATTATATGGTGCTTTGTTCCCAGTGGATAGGAATATATAAATCCAGAGACCAAATGATAGAAGTAGAAGTAGCTTTACGTACTTCCCAAGGGCCCGATTGCAGAATTTTTCCTTTCTGTCTCTGTAACTTTAAGTAATGTGGATGTATTCTCAGGGGAAAACACTTCAACTGGGTACACAGTAAGAGTTCCATTAAACTTTAAGCTGTGATTGCCACCTGGTCACTTCAGGCTCATCATGCCAACGGCCCAGAAGAAAAGCAGAGGAGTCATTACCCTGGCTGGAGTAACTGACCTTGATGATCAGGAAGAGCTAGGCATCTACCTACCTACCTATGTTTGCTATAGAAGCAAACAGCAAAAAGTATGTTTGGGACCCAGGTGATCCACTTTGCCATTCCATGGTTCTCCCTCTGCCCAATTTTGACAGTAAATGAACAAGCAATGCTACTGTAGCCTGAAAAGGGCATAGAGACCAGTTGCCGGAGCCCCAGGAATTAGGATTTGGGTCACTTCACCAGACCTACATAGATGATAGCCCAGGGTGATGGAAATACAGAATGAAAGTTAAGAAGAGAATCAATGAGTAACCTCAGGAACAACTGCTACATGGGGCTACAGTCTGTCTAAAAGAAACTTTCTCCTGTAAGTTTCTTCAGGACAAAGACTAACCAAAATCTTTCTTTGAGGTGCTGCTCCCAGATGATATGAATTGACTGCATGAAGTAAGGAGATCTGAGAAGCACAGGGTTGAGCCCTAATGGATGCTGTGATACCCCACTTGATCCCTCATTTGGCACCACAACATTCATTCTCCCAGCTGAGAAAGTGTTGGCTCCTTTTGGCCCCCACCTGGGTCTATCGTCAGGAATAGCCCTCAGCTGAAAGAAGTTACCTTGCTCAAGAGTTTGTCCCTTTCCTAAGGCCAGCTAGCAGAGAATGACTTGTTGATGTAGGGGTCAAAGTTTCAAACCCTTTCTTTGATTTGAGACAAATATGAAGAGCCATCCCAGCTCCAGATGTTCCGTAGGATCAACTGAGCTTCTGTTGCCACTGCATTGTAACTTCTCCTTCTGTACAATTCTGTTTCTCTCATTCTCTTACAGGTGTTCCCAAGAGCACTTTCTAATAAGACTCCTGGATGCAGATCTTCATCTCAGAGTATTTCTTGGGGAACCTGAAGTAAAACAGTGCCCTTTCATTTTCCTGCAACATTTCCATTTCCTAATTTATCTTCAACTTCTTCAATTCTATTCCTATGGAGCTAAAAGTTCTAGCTGTGTTTGTGCCGTGCCATACAATTTTCTTTATTTCTTTTCCTTTTTTTTTTTTTGAGACAGAGTTTCACTCTTGTCACCCAGGCTGGAGTGCAATGGCGTGATCTCGGCTCACTGCCACCTCCACCTCCCGGGTTCAAGCTATTCTCCTGCCTCAGCCTCCAAAGTAGCTGGAATTACAGGCACCCGCCACCAAACCCAGCTACTTTTTTTTTTTTTTTCTATTTTTGGTAGAGATAGGGTTTCATCATGTTGGCCAGGTTGGTCTTGAACTCCTGACCTCAGGTGATCCACCTGCCATGGCCCCCCAAAGTGCAGGGATTACAAGCATGAGCCACCGCACCCAGCCTAAACTTTTCATTTTAAATTGCCTACTTTCTGGCCTCTTTAATCTGTCTTCCCTTCTTTTTCTCTCTAATGGTTCCAACATACCTAGACTTTCAAGCTGACATTTCATCGATGATATAGGGGCAAAGTTGACACCTTTGCTAAAAGCATTTTTTTATAGTCTTGTGATATTTCTCCAGGTTAAGATACTATTACAGGGTACTGTTGCATTGATTTATATACTCTAGGGAAAGTACTTGGGAAGAAAATCCTGAAGGTAGGGCTTCAACAGAAACTAACTTAAAAAAGACAAAAATGCCAGAGTCTGAAACTTACCTTTTCAATCTTTTTTTCTAACTAGCTTTTGTTTTTAAACCTTCCATGCCCAGCAGTTCAAATATTCAACTGTAGATTCTAGAAACATTTGTATTTCTTTCCCCACCATCCAAATCTGAGCAGATTTAAGACATTCAATAAAGTAATGTATACAATCATCTAGCTTCAATTTGCATTTTCTTTACCTCTTTGTGCTGTTGCTTTCTCAGAACAGACAATACTGCTATTTGATTCTATGTTATCTATTCATTTGTTTGATTTAATCAAGTAGAATAAATGAAGACTTTTGAAGGTTAAACTGATTTGCCAAAAATATCAAAGGGAAGCTAATGAAGACAAGTTAGAAACATACATAAAACATAATAAGAATTCTTTCTTTAAGGTTTGGCACCAAAGGATTGTAAATAACTTGAGTGTTTTGAACTTGATTTTCTGCTGTGTTGGCTGCATCTTGTCATACTCTGCACCCCACAGAGCTGATTTGAGATGGAGCCATCCCCAGCTTCAAAGACAGCTTTGTTCTCTGAGCAGCTCTGCCTTGCACAGAATGGAATGAGAAACCGCCTTTGTTTTTGCGTCACAGATTGGCTATTGTTCTTTTTGTCACAAAGATATGATGCTACAAAGTTACATTCTAACCATCTTTGTATCCTCGGCTAATCAAGTAACTTAGCTTCTCTGTGCCTCAGTTTTCTTATGTATATAATGAAAAATTTAGGCTAGTTTCCTGAACAGTCACTCCAAGCTTTAAAAAAACCACATACACTAAATAAATGATACATAAAGTGCCTTCCCCCGTGCCTAGAACCTAATAAGTAGTCAATGAATGTTAACTTTTATTATTATTATCACATGTACATGAATTGAAGCTTTCATGAAGAAGTTAGAAGAGAATATGTCAACCAAAAGTAGATTTGGATAGTTTTAATAACATCATCAAAAGATAAATTGAAAATTGTCAGATTAATAGACACTTTTTTCTCATGTGCATTTTGAACTATATAATTTTATAAAATAATAGATTTAAAGATAGATAGAATTTGAGATACGAGATTTAAATCCATTTCAATCCAATTGCACTGCCCAAGTGTGTAATTTCTATCTTTCAGTAGCTCATGCAAGGAAATTGCGGGAGCTCAGGTGTCCAAAGTATACTTGGATCCAACACAATGTCCTTCAACCAAAATTTTCTCAAAGACTGCTAAACACGTTGGGCATGGTGGCTCACGCCTGTAATCCCAACACTTTGGGAGGCCGAGGCGGGTGGATCACTTGAGGTCAGAAGTTCGAGACCGACCTGGCCAACAGAGCGAAACCCCATCTCTATAAAAAATACATACACAAAAGATTAGCTGGGCATGGTGGCAGGTGCCTGTAGCCCCAGCTACTTGGGAGACTGAGGCAGGGGAATCACTTGAACCCAGGAGGCAGAGGTTGCAGTGAGCCAAGATCGCACCACTGCATTCCAGCCTAGGCGACAGAGTGAGACTCCATCTCAAAAAAGGAAAAAAAAAAAAAGACTGCTAAACATTGTCAATTAACTCATGCTCATGAACAACTGTACAATATAAGTTCAGAATGAAATCAAGTTTAACCTAGACAAAAAGCATCTCTTTATTTTTTATTTATAAACTGGATCCTATCATAGAGCCTCTAGGAACATACACAAAGATGAAACAGAATTAATTGACTGTCAGATCATTTGTTTCATGATTTCATAACCCACCCTGCTGATACTCTAGTATCAATTAGATAAGTGACTTATTAACCAGATAGGCCTTTTGCAAATTCCCCTGCAGGCCAACAAATTTTATACTTTTCCATCAGGAAGAGTAAATCAATTTCAGAATAATGGGCATTTGAATAAAAAAGAATCTATACCAAAGTTTTTCTTCTTATTCTCAAATGCAGGATCTCTTAATGGTAGTCCTTTGAAAGTCTCATGACCCAAGAGAGGATGCAAAAAAAAAAAAAATTTGATATCTAGAATCTGCACATTATATGACTTCATGTAGCTAAGTTAATAGTTTGAATTGCACTTAAAAAGTATACTATTGCCCTGAGATGACTCGAGCAACCAAAAGGCAGTTAAATTATCTTAGTTTATTATAGTCCAACTGCAGGTTTGAATAAATACACTCAACAAATGCTGATCAAATTCTACTGTGTGCTTGTTGCTAGATAGTAATGGCCACAATATGCCAGAGTCTGAGCCTTGAAATGTGGTCTCATTTAATCTTTACATGTCCCAAAAGAATTATAATTTTTATTCCTGGGAAACTGAGGCACAGAGAGGTTAAGTAACTTGGCCAAAGTCTCACTGCACCTGGATGGTAGAGCCATGATTCAAATCCTTGTCTGTCTTCTGACAAAAATTTCCTGCCTCACCTTTATTCTTAACTACTTCCTCTTTTTATCATGCAATTGGACTAACTCATTGTTTAAACGATCAGGAGCACTGATGTCTCACAAACATGGTCCAGTTTGATTATAATGTGAACATTTTATAATTCTTAAACTTCTTAAAAACTGGATGCTGAAAGGTATTTATAAAAATGCTTAATTTTACTCTAGAGAAAGATATTCACAATCTTATTTTATCTAACATTTTGTCTTCTGTGGATGGCTTGTAAGAGTTTAAAAACTAGTCAGATTTTATAAGTTTTAGTAGACCAACACTAGTATACAGAATACTAGTGACTTTTTTTTTTTTTTTTTTTTTTTTTGAGACTTAGTCTCACTCTGTCGCCCAGGCTGGAGCGCAGTGGTGCAATCTCGGCTCACTGCAAGCTCTGCCTCCTGGGTTCACACCATTCTCCTGCCTCAGCCTCCCAAGTAGCTGGGACCACAGGCGCCCGCCACCACGCCCGGGTAATTTTTTGTATTTTTAGTAGAGACAGGGTTTCACCGTGTTAGCCAGGATGGCCTCGATCTCCTGATCTCGTGATCCGCCTGCCTCGGCCTCCCAAAGTGCTAGGATTACAGGCGTGAGCCACCGCGCCCGGCCGGAAGTACTGTGACTTTTTAAAAAAAGATATTTGACAAATACCTCTATCATGCTGGGGCTGAGCAAACTTAGGCAACTTACTCTGCCACTCTGAATTTCTCTCTTCTTATTATGATTTCTCATATCTGTCCTACTTCAGCTGTTCAGTCATTCCATGAATATTGGCTTTTTTACTGTTATTAGTTACCTGTGGCTGCCATGATACATTTTCACAAACTTGATGGCTTAAAACAACACAAATTGCTTCTCTCCCAGTTCTGAAGGTTAGAAGTCCAAAATCAAGGTGTCAGCAGGGCCATGCTCCCTTCAGAGGCTCTAGGGGAGATTCTATTCCTAGCCTCGTCCATCCTCTAGTGGCTGCAGCCTTCCTTGGCTTTGGCTGCATCACTCCAGTATCTGCTTCAACTTCCACATTGCCTCCTCTTCTGTTCTGTTTTGTCTCCTTTTCTGTCTCATATAAGGTTACTTTTTATTAGACTTAGAGCCCACCTGGGTAATCCAGGATGATCCCATCTCAAGATCCTTAACTACATCTAAAAAGATGCTTTTTACAGATAAAATGACACTGACACATTATAGGATGGGAGGGGCTATTCAATCCACTATATACAGATAAAATGACATTGACACATTATAGGATGGAAGGGGCTATTCAATCCACTATACCTATTATATTATTGGCCAGGCACTGGTCTTGTGTGCTAGGGCTAGTTTTGGAGAAACAGGCATGATTCCTATGCTCATGGAGGGCAGTTTAATTGTGGTTAACCCTTTGGAAATCATAAAATACTACAAAAATGGAAGTTACTTTTCCTTTAAAATCAATATCTCTATTTCCTTTTCTGCTTTTTATCTCAGTATGCTAACCAGTGAAAAAGTATTGGATGTCATACGAATACTATGCTTCATCTGTAACTGGAATACATGTAAAAAAAAAAAGCTAATCAATAATAAGGAATAGTCTGGAAATAATTTAAAGAAGCTTTAATCAGAAACAAATGTTGGTGAGGATATTGCCAACTAGAATAAGAATAATGATACTTAATGTGGCATGATTTGACCCAAGATAATTTGTAAACAAATTAAGTTTGGTCTGGTTTAGGTTACTAGATTAAGAAGATATTATCCCTCCAAATGATGCCCCATTACATCATTTTTACAGATTAAATTATTTGGGTTTTTAAGGCTTCTCATTATAATAACCAACCCACTAACCCCCAACACACATACTTAAAAGTTCTAAAAAGAATAATGCCTTGGCTGACAGGCTAGCTATTAACACTGGGAAGAAAACAGTTTTGTTCCTTGATACTAAAAGTTTGGTCCACAGATGAGCATCCTCAGTGCCATCTGGTAGCTTGTTAAATAAGGAGTCTCAGGCAACTCCTAGACCTACCAAACCAGCACGTCCATTTAACAAGATCCCTGGTAAGTAGTAGGCATATTATGCTTTGAGAAATAATTCAGATCCTTTCTAGTTAGTACAAAGGGTTGAGCCACGGCATTTGGTATTGTAGTTCTCAAAAGCTGGATTGTGGGCTTATGTTGATTTATGACAAACATCACCATTGTATGAAGAAATGAGAAAAATAAGTAAGTTTGGGAAGCTAAACTTATTTCATTTAAAGAAATATTTTTTCTGATATTATGGGTTTTCTACTATTTTTGGTATTAAAATGTCATTTCCTGCATAAAATGGTAGCAGATGGTCATTTATGACATGCATTTGACATTCTGTGTGCAACTGTATGTCACAAATGACATGCCTTTGAGCATGCCTGTGTGTATGTTTGTTTATTTGCAAAATAAATTTGACAAACACCCACAGCATATTTTCTGTTTAAATTAAATCAAATGACCCATAAAAATCCAAAAGTCGTCTGCATAGATGAGCCACTAAAGAGAAACATGGAGTTAGTAGAGGAGGAGAAAGGAGGGGGTGGGATGGAATATCAGAAACTTTTCTTTACATTTTTCTTTCTATTTTTTTTCCCTTTATGCTGGATCTCTTTGGAGATGCTACACAGACGTGGGTTGGCAAGTCACCAAAATGCCACTAGGCTTGGGAATACTATTTGATAGGCTCTTCATCATGCTAGGAATGTTCACAAAATACAGATCCTCTCATGAGCAACTGGGAAAATTTTGAAGTAGTAGACCACGGTGTGGGAAAGTCTTCTTAAGTCCTAGGATATTCTTAGAGAGGAAATCTTGCATGTGCATCTTCACCAAATATTGCCTTTTGTGGTTTGAAAACAGAAGTTCCTATTAAAGCTTTATTCTTTGCTTCTGAGGTTACTCCATTTTCGTTATCCTGCATCAATATTGAAATACTAAAAACTTTAAAATGAAAACTACATAAAAGTATAAACTTTCTTCCAAAGTATACTTGAAAAGAAATATCAAGGGGAGGTGAAGGGTGAGGAGGTCCTAGAAAATGAATATCATAACATTTATGCATTATTTGAGTAAAGTAATGACATTTAAGGTTGCTAAACTAATATTTTAATTTTTCTGAAGCAGCTCACTGATTCTAGAGGCAAAGTCCTAAGCTATTTTCATTTTTCTATCAAGCCCATTGTTTCTGATGTAAATGTGTTCCATGCATTCATTAATTAAAGGTTACTCTATAGCAGATTCTTTTCTAATTTACTAAAGATCAGACCTTTTAATCATTAGGACATGCATGTTATTTAGTAAATAAAAAGTGCTTATGGATCAAAGACCAAAAAAATTCAAGTTTGGAAAATTATTCTTATGCAGCTTTCTTTACATATAATGTTTCTTACCTTTCTTATAAAATTGGAAGTAAAATAGAAACACATGAGCAAATAAATATTTGATCTTTCCTAGCCCTTGCATTTTATAATTAATGGTGTGATGGGATTTTAAATGTTAAGGAAACAATAATTTGCCATCAGTGGGAATGGGAGAATTTTGTTTATTAGTTTAGTGTAATTCAATTTGTGAAAATGTGCTTCATTGATCTTTGCAAAAGAACTTTAATTGGAAAGAAATATCGCAATCTATTTGCCACACCAATAAGTCCAACTCGCTGCAGTTCATTAAGTACTACACCTGCTATTTAACTTTCTAGGCTGAGAAAAATCCTTGATTTAATACACTTAGGGGTGGCCAGCTTGGGAAGTCAAACAACAGCAGTTTAAACTACTTATTTCTCTACTCACCCATGTAGTTAAAATATGTCCTATTTCCCATCTTGAGATAAATATGACCTAATACTTGATATGGATATTCCTTTATATAGACATAAATTCTTTTCTTAAATATAAGCATAATCCCTTTAAATAAATAAATAAATAAATAAATATATATATATATTTAATCTCACAAGTAAATGGGAAGGTGTGTTTTGTAATACCAGTGCATGCACACAGAAGTGTGCCAGGTCACCCTTTAAAAGCAATCTGAAGCTCAGCGGAGGTAGAGAGACGGGGAGAGCACAGAAGAAAGAACAGGCTTTTTATATTAGGATAAAAACCGTAGGACAAATACTAAATACGCAATATCAACAGCCATCCTCAACAGGATAGGTACCTTTCAGCAAATAATCAAGAAACAGCAGTAGAGAATAAGCAACAAAGTGCAGAATAAATTCCTTTAGATGAAAGAGCTAAAAGTAATGGACTAGAGTGCCCAAAAAAGACTCCATAGCTTTCAGTTTATTTGAAAAAATGAATTCTCACATCAGTGAGTAACCGGATTTGCAGGGATCCTCTGTGTTTGAGTTTGAAACAAAACTAGGGTCATGGGCTTGGTTCCCAGAAGGATCAGTCAGTGCCACCAGGATGCAGTTTGGCTACTGGCTGCTGCTTCCCAGCGTGATTGTAAGGTTATGGGGGCATAGCTTATTACCGACTCACCTTCTTCCCTGGAGAAGTAACTATCACTGAGTAATTTTGATTTTTATAAATAATGGCTAGTATTTTTCTGGTGGTAGATGAGTGTGCAGGTTAATTTTGAACCATAATTTAATTATACTTGAAATATTCAAAACTTATAATTTAACTTGTTAGAGCCAAATGTTTCCATCTAAAATATACCCCAACTTTATATAAATTCTATAAGAAAATGTAATTTATTTTTTGGCAATACATTTTGCTTTCAATTTTTCTGATGCCTTTTTTTTTTTTGCCTAAGGTGAGGCATTTCTGTATGCAAATTAGAAATAGATTTGGTATTCTCTAGTCCAATTAAGGCAATTTTATCTCTTTAAAAACAATCAATTTATTTAACAACTATAGGTACCATTTTCTTATGAGACTTCAAGAAGAGGAAGAATAAAACATGGGGAATACAGAGATAAACCAAGTAGCAAGAACACCTGGGGTGGTTTTAAAAATGTAACACCTGGTTTTCACCTCATTCAGACCATTGAAATCAGAATTTAGGGAGGAAATGTTGGTATATTTGAGTGTCTTGAAAAATGTCCTTGGTGATTCTAACTTGCAGCCAGGGGTGAGGTGAGATTCAATGGAAGAGGGGGATCTAAAACAAACAATTTTAAGTCAGTGTGCTAACAGCATGGATAGAAATATGTCCAAGACAGAGAAACATGTGGAGGAAAATCCACAAAATTATCTCTTTTCATACAACTATGTTTTCATTTGTTTCAGAAATGCAGGTGTAACTTTTGAAACTTAAAAGTTATCTATTAATAAGGAAGACTAAAACAATAATGTATGTACAAAGTATTGTAGAAGCACAAAACAAAGCAGCTAATTCAGATTGGGGGTATAGCAGGCTTTCTCAACAAAACACAGGTTTAACCTTAAGGACAAGTGGAGTTATTTGGGCAATATACCTATTAATGACTTTGAAACTGTTTTGAATTTTCTTATCAATATTTTATTATTTACAAAATACAGAGTTCATTTACAGTGTTTATTTGATTTCAATAATATACCAGTCTAATAAGCACAAATTATAGTCTAGTAAACAAAGGAAATTATGTCCCAGACTTATTGGAATCTAAACTAGTATTTCTGTACACTAAAATAAAAATCTCGGGTCTAAAATAATTAAATGTTACAATTCAAGAAATTCCCTTTTGACTATATAGTAACTTTAAGTAAATTAGAACAATTTGGGGAATAGAGCAATTGTGGCCTAGTAAATAGGGCAGAACCAGAGCCACTGCCTTCAACTGTGTAGGTTGAACGCACACTTTGTGTTCCTGGGCAGAACTGTGCTTACCACAGTGATTTGTAAACCTGAATATTAACATCAGCAAAGAATGTTTGCTTTGCCTTCTATGCAAATGCCTACTAATATCTTCAGTGGCCAAAATAGTTAAATATCCAATCATCATTTATTCTCATCTATTCATGTCTATTCATGAATTTTGCAAATTCCTTGTTCTCTTTGGCTATATGAAGATATTTTTCCTTCTTTTGTCATTGCTTTATTAAACTCTATATGTGAAATTATTTTAATCATACTCTTGTCAAACAAACCTATTTAAGACTAAGGTGTTCCAATTATTCTTTCTCTGATAGCCATTATCTTATTCTTCTCTTTTTTCCTGGGAAGAAAAAGGGAGCATAAAATAGACCAAGTACAGCTTACTGTAGTACTTTCACTGTACTGTATGCCAATCTGTAGGCAATATATTTATACTAATATATCAACATGTTTACGTGATTCTACAAGATCATTAATGGACTTTTTAACAAATACTTCTAACTTTGCCAACCAACATACTTTACATTTATTTTCTTCATTAATTAATTTCGTAGTGTTTACTTCACAATACTTATTTCACAATGTTTATTGAGCAACTGCTAAGTACAAGTGATATGGTTAGGCTTTGCCTCCCCACCCAAATCTCATCTTGAATTGTCATCCACATAATCTTCATGTGTCAAGGGAGAGACCAGGTGGAGGTAATTGAATCATGGGTGCAGTTTCCCCCATGCTGTTCTCCTGATAATGAGTGAGTTCTCAAGAGATCTGATGGTTTTATAAGGCGCCCTGCCCCCTTTGCACAGCCCTTCTCCTTCCTACTGCACTGTGAAGAAGGTGTCTTGCTTCCCCTTCACCTTCTGCCATGATTGTAAGTAAGTTTCCTGAGGCCTTCCCAGCCATGCTGAACTGAGAGTCAATTAAACCTCTTTTGTAAATTACAGTCTTGTGCAGTTCTTTATAGCAGTATGAAAATGGACTAATACAACCAGGATATATGCTTGGGGCTTACAAGAATATGGTTCATACAGGAGGAATGTAGACAAACAGGCAATTAAATAGTATGGTACATGCTATGTGAAGAAAGGCTAGAGTATCATGGGAGCAAGGGAGGCCCTTACCCCATATGTAGGAGTACAAGAAGTTCTGGAAGGAAGTAACTGAGCTAAAAGCTTAAAAAGAGCAGGACTGTGCCACATAAAGGTAAAAGTGGAGTAAACATTTCCAGGCAAAGGTGGCTACCTATAACTAAGGACCCAAAGAAAACAGCATGGCATTGAGAAATCAGAAGAGTCACTGTGGCTAGATAGAAGAATTTAGGGTTAGCGATAAGGTGAAGTAGCAAGAGATGAAGCTGGACTGTTTGGTAGGGGCTAGAACACAGAGGAGTCTAGAAAATAAGTATAAGCTTACTGAAATTGACAGAACGATTTCACCTGAGCTTGTATCCTGTGTGTAATTTTGTCGCACTAGAGATGGTGCTAGAGTAACATTTTAAGATGTGAGGCAGTAGAGAAATGCTCTATGCTATAGATGAAGGCAGCTATTTGAAAAGCATATCCTGAAAAATGCTTGACAAAATTAGTTTTCATTGTTAATTTACCACTGCAGTATCACAGTATCAGAGACATATTGACAGCAACTAAATGACAAATCAAGCTCCTATTTCTTCAATAATATTAATGAGCATATATTGTGTTCCAGGCATTGTATGAGATATTCTGGGGTTACAAATATGAGATGTGAGGAAGAGAAGAATGCCATCTTTTTCTTCAAGAAAATATTGTGGTCAGGAAAACAAAACCACTGATGCTCCTTTAAAAAAATAATCTTCATTTCTGTCATTGTCTCTGTCACCCAGCCTTGGCCACTAGAGTCAACTTCTACCATGACTTTCACCTAGATTACCATAGATAGTCCTTCATTAATTCCTATTATAGTTTTTTTTTTTTTTTTCCAGTGGATCTTTCTGCCTCAGTTATTTCCCTGGTTTGGGATTTTATCACTTCTTTATTTTATTCTGCCCTAGTCTCTTCTCTTCTGCTCTTCTCTCCCACACAGCCCAACCACATTAATGTCTCTGAAACCCTGGTTTCATTCTTTCCCTACTCTGTACATACCTCCTCTCTGCGTCTCTTAGTGCATTATATAGACTACAAATAATTTGGCCTAGCACTAGGAAACCCTTCAGAATCTAAACACAACCTGACCTTTCAGATCTTTTCTACACTTCTTGTGTGTGTGTGTGTGTGTGTGTGGTGTGTGTGTGTGCAAGTTTATTAGGAAAGGAAAGAATAAAGAATGGCTACTCCATAGGTAGAGCAGTCCTTTTCTCCACTTCTTTGAAGCATAAGTGGGGAGAAGGAGAAGGGGGTTCTCAGCCTGATCACATTTTCAAAACTGGCATTGTTTCACTAGTTTATTAAGGTAATATATCTTTAGAAGGGTTTCTAGCAGCATAATGAGAAAGCTTTAGAAGAAATAACGTAAAAAGTAAGATTTTTATGAAAGAAAGCTGGAAAAGGGTAGCATCTTTTAGTTGCTCATAACTTATCTAGATCCTCACTCCAGGCTTGCCTCTACTTCAGCTCGGGTTCTGGCAACACCTCTGTCAGGAGCTGTCGGCTAGAGCCAAGTTAGTCTACTCCGTGTGTTTGGAAGACAAGGTGCCTGTTGTTACCTCTGCTTGCCCACTTGCAACCTTACCCTACTACCCTGTTGCTTAGGCCTGGTCTAAATTTTGAAGCACTATAAAGCCTGATTGTTAAAGAGTCCACTCTCTGGGCTGGGCGCGGTGGCTCATGCCTGTCATCCCAGCACTTTGGGAGGTCAAGGTGGGTGGATCACTTGAGGCCAGGAGTTCGAGACCAGCCTGGCCAACATGGTGAGACCCCATCTCTCTACAAAAAACTAGCCAGGCATGGTGGTGCACACCTGCAATCCTAGCTACTCGGGAGGCTGAGGCAGGAGAATTGCTTGAATCCAGGAGGCGGAGGTTGCAGCGAGCTGAGATCGCACCACTGCACTCCAGCCTGGGCAACAGAGCGAGACCCTGTCTCAAAAAAAAAAAAAAAAAAAAAAAAAAGAATTCACTCTCACTCTTTTATTCAAGTACATCTGGGAAAGGGGCTGGGGTGAGTAAATCAGATCTTCCACTACTGCTTACGTTAAAAGTCTTGTTCTCTAACATTTGCTGGGTTTCCTCCTTCTGTGAGTAGAATAATGATTCTTCCAAGTATCGCATATCAGTCATAATGGGCACAGAAGTGCATATTCCCAGGTGCCATGTTATTGCATGCAACAGACGCTTCCAGATTTGGCCACCAGAAGTAGTAACTTGTTAGATGCTGATGAATCCAGGATCCTGATATCTTACATCATAACTATCTTTAAAAAGAACCATATGCCTGGTAATTAAGAAATATAGCACAATTATATGAATCAATCACCATCCTCCCTTACATACATCCTAATTCTTTTTTGCCAACAGAATTCTGATTTTGTCAAGATACTTGAAGGCTTTCTGATTCACAAGAATGTTGATTACTCTAAAAAAATTGTGGTAATTCCATTTTCTAGACCACGATCGGTTTAGGCAAGGACATGTGATGCAGTTCTGACTAATGAGCTGTAATATACTGGGGAAGGTGACTGGAAAAATTTTTCTCAACTCTGAGAAAAGGGCCACAGGCAGGCATTAGCCACTTTTTCCCCTGCCCATGGTTGTGTCTAATGCCTGGGAATATAGTGGCATCAGGAAAGGAAAGCTGATACAATCACAGAGAACCAGAACCCTGACATTGTTAAACTGATGAATTAACTAACTCTGGACTTTCACCACCTCTGGCCTATTGTTTTGTGAACTAATAAAGCTTCCATTTTTTACATTATTTTTAGCAGTAATTACTAGTATGTTTGTAGTCTAAAGCATCCAAAGTATTCTAGAAATTTATTAACATGGGTTCGGGAATCTTAAGGGTCTTAAGTGACTGACAGGCATCTCTCTAAAACGTGAGAACGATCCAAGGTTGTGCTCACTCCATTTGGGAGACTGATGTTTCAGTTCACATCTTTGATATTTTAATGTAGTCTGTTTTCAATGGAGTATGTGCTCAAATTATTTTTATGTTAATGTTAATGACTTGGACTTAGTGGCAGTAAAATGAAGTGGAAAGAACATTAGGCCGGAAGTCAGAAGACTTAAATTCTTGGCCTTATGTTGACACAAAGTCTCTGTGTGACCTTGGTCAGAAAATTGAACACTCTTGGATGTGGTTTTCTCAACTGTGAAATCAGGAGTTGATACCTGATTTTGTCTAATGGGGTTCTGGTTCTAATTTTCTAGAGCCCAAACATACCTGCAATTTGCATTCAGGAATCAGCAGCAGGCACGGCAACCTGGGATGTTTCTAACAAGGGGATGTTACTGTTTGTGTTGCATTATCAGCCCAAGCCCATTGCATGAAGTTTTGCTACTAGTCCAATAATTAGAGATTTCTTATTAACTTATTTGGATCACAGTGCTAAGGGCCTAGGGTCTGGCAAAATTAGGCCCATTGATGATTTAGTGGAGAGCTGGAAACAGCAGATGTGGCTGTAGAAGTATTATAGAATCCGTGAGAATGGCCAAGATGGGGGCAGTATATCAGCTGCTTGTTAAGTTAGTGGGTCAGGGTGAGAATATGAGGATTTATATTATGTAACATTGATAGGATCTTGAGACAAAATATCCTAGATAAAAAATTGAAGAAAACTACGCTTATTTATTTAAGATTGAGGATCTACAAATTTGGATTAGAGTTATAGAATTTAATATAGAAAATATTTTCTATAAAAGTTATTTTATTCAAATCTCAGAGCCTGAAAAGGTGGGTATAGGGAGGGGAGATTTCTTCACAGTTACCATCTACAACTTTCATCGCGGGTCCTTATAAAAAGAGCCCCAAATAAGGTGCTAGCAACGTTGCAGGCAACAGTAAAAACTGCTCATTTTTGACCAATAGCATTATAAGCAAGGGGCTCTGTCCCTAAATAAAAATGAGGATTCATATGCAGCTAACCTGCTGATGAGGCTAAGAAAGTCTCTTGTTCAACAGCCCATAAACGATGTGGGATGTCCTCCCATCTCAGTCAAATTGCCTCTTATGGTATCTCTGACACTGGCTGCATTTGTTAATGGGATTAGTGCTGTGTTGCATTTCTAGTAGTGTTTTCCTTTATTGCAACTCTGCACAATAGGCTACCTACAGAGGCACTTACTTATTAAGACACTTGAGGTTCATAAATTGCAAAGAAAATCTAAAAAAAAAAAAAACCCAAAAAGTAAAAGGTCAAAGGGAACATGGTCACCACAGTGACCCAAGGCTCCTGTAATATTGAACCAAAGAAGTTGTTATACAGAAGACTGAAAAATCACCTCTTCTCTATTAATCCTTCATGAACAAAAGAAGCTAGGGCAGATCAATGACAGCATATTCTCAAATCTCATTTTATTTACTGCTGTCACTGGATTAAAAGCTAGAGGTCTGCACTACTTTAAAACATATATTTCTATTTTAAACTAAATCGAAACACCCCAAACCAATCAGGGAAATACTTACGCATAATTTGGTAAAAAGAAAAAGAAGGGCCAGGTGCAGTGGCTCATGCTTGTAATCCCAACACTTTGGGAGGCCAAAGTGAAAGGATTGCTTGAGTCTAGGAGTTTGAGACTAGCCTGGACAACATAGTGAGACCCCAACTCTACAAAAAAATTAAAAATTAGCCAGGCATGATGGCGCACGCCTGTAGTCCCAGACACTCAGAGTACTGAGGTGGGAGGATCACCTGAGCCTGGCAGTTCAAGGTTGCAGGGAGCTGTTATTGTGCCACTGCACTCCAGCTTGAGTGACAGAGCAAGACCTTGTTTCAAAATAAATAAATAAATAAATAAATAAATAAATAAATAAATAAATAAAAAAGATGGGGCTGGAGGGGGGAAGAATAAATTCACCTGAAGCTAACCGAATTCTTTCCTTAGATAACCTCATATTCAAGATGAAATTTCTCATGCTTTTTCTTCCATCTGAATGCCAACACAGAACCTTTTAAATATTATAAATGGAGATTATAAGGGAACCAGCAGTAGCAAACATATTTAAATCAGTTAAATACATTTAGAAATAACAGTATTTATAAATTTGACAGTAGCCCTGGTTTTGAGAAATGTTGTTAACAGATGGAGGAAATAGGTGGTATGGGGCTATATTCTTTGGTGTCACTCAAGATGACACTGCAGTCTTCCTGTTCCCTGACTGCTCCACCCCTAATGCTCCCTGCCTCTGTGCTGATGCTTGCCTCAGTTAGCTGTTAATTCCTCTCTTGCTATTGAAAAACAGTGAAACAAAATAAATGAAACCAGGAATTGTGACTAGGATGTGATGGGCTCAGAAGCATTCATCCGTGCAATTATTTCATTAGAATTCTCTCATATTTTTCCAATTCCTTCTTTTTTTTTTTTAATACAGTATCATATTGGTTTAACCTTCTCCACTACCCATCAGGCTGAATGCAGTAGCTACTTTCTTGCTTCAACAGCATTCATTTTTTATTCTTTCCTCATGCATGAGTTACTCTTGTAGTGTTTTTAAAACAGCTTTCATTATAGTACCTTTCGCCCAACTATTTCTCTGGATGTTCAAGAATGTCTTCCATAATGTGAACCCACTTTTTTTAAACATTTCCAACTTATTACACCATGTGCATCCCCTAACTTAATCAATTACTTCTTTGGGTCTCCTGCCCATGCCTTTATTAAACTGTTCCACTTTATTGGAATATCCTCTTTTCTTACCTCCATTTATCCTAAAAGCAGTCATTCCAAATTCAACAAGGTATTTGAGAAGATGTTAAGTAACTTTCCTAAGGTTTCTCTAGTGAGTGATAAGGGTGGGATTCAAACCCACAGAGACTGACTGTAGGGTCTTTGCTCCTATTGCTGAATAAATATCAACACTGAAAATTCAGAATGAGACTTCATGATGTCATTCATGTTTTAGAACTTGGAAACAAGATTAAAGTTAGCACTTAGTATAAACTTGGGGTTTCCCAAAGCACTTTTAGAAATCCTATATAAGTAAATGTAACTCAATATTTGTGCTAATTGTCATCCATAAGTTTTAACACTAGGCAGCTACAACCATATTTACATAAATGGAACTAACTTATGAAAAAATATGTTAAGTATGTGAAAAATGATATTCATGGGATGGTAATAATTCCATTTCTAAGAAAGTATAACTCAAGGCAAAATTAAAATTATTTCCAGAAGCAACTGACCATGTGCATGCTGATTTTCAGTTCATCTAGTTTGTAGTAACAATGCAATGTTAGTCACTGAACCACAGAAAAATTGGAAATAAATACAAAATTATTAGGCCTAGATACAAATACAATGCTGCAAGTTGACAAATCAATAATGCTACTATTAAGTAGATTTATTTGGAATAATTACCAGTGCATAATCATATATTTTGAATTAGCAATAATCTCTTTAGAATACTTAGGAGTCATTTCAGGCAGCTAATAAAGATACGAGCCATTGTTTAGTTGTATAGAAGAAAAAAAGCGGTTAAAAATTAAAAACAAAAGAATAAAACATTAAATGTTATGCTGCCATTCAGTGCTCATGGTCATTATCCTGAATGTGGTATTTAGATCTGATTGTTCATTTCAGGACTTTTATTTTGGAAATAAAACCAAAGAACTTGGAGAAGAATATGGATAGAAGAATTGCAAAGAGGTCATGTGAAAAAAGAGAAAAATATAAAAATTATTTGTAGAAATACTTTAAACTAGTGAATGTTAATTAGTAGGAATTATAAAAACTTTTCAAACTAGATAATATTTATGCAATTCTTACTATGTGCCAGGGCAGTACACTGACCTATTTAAGCCTTACAAGGAGGTATAATGTTTGCATGTTTATGTCCTAATTTTACTAAAAATGAAATGGCAGCTTAGATAAATGTTCCCAAATATATCTTATCAACATTCTAGAATAAAATGAAAAGTAATCGAATCCTTGGGAGCACTCTGACACATGTAAATTAAAGATCCAGGGAAAAGAAAGTCCTTAAAATTAATGAAAAGTAATGTAACTTCACAAAGGTCCTTTCAGGAATGCACATAGTTTGGTAGATAGTAGTAGTATTGGTTGGAATAATTAGTATATATTGCAGCATTGACAAATATTTATGGTGATTTTCATTTTCTTAAAGATGACACTTAGGTAGGTAAATAATAATTTCAATTTCACTAAAGTAAATGTTTGATTTGACTTACCTGTTTTTTTTTAAAGTATTTTGTTTACTGAAAACAATTTTATCTATAGTTAAGTTGTTTAAAATTATGTAATGAAATATTCGCAGGTAGCTTTGTTGGTTTTCTTCCTGTCATCATTTTTTTAATACTAAATGAATTTTTGTTTATTTAGCTTTTAATGAAAAAAGGAGTTGTTGCCATTTTCCACTTCATTTTGACAGTGATAACCCTAACTTGAATGCTTTGTTAGCAGATCTCTCTCAATAGAAATGAGCTTAGATAATCTGCTTCAAAAAAAGCAAGAAAGGGAAAGTCCATTCAGAAATAGAGTACTAATTATATTACACTGTATGAGACTTTTTGCTTAGAATATCTAAATGATACTTCAGAAAAATAATTATAAATCACTGTTGTATTCTAAGGATAGACTCCTGCAAAAGCCAAAAAAATAACCCAATGCCTTGTGCTCCCCATACATAAGGTGATAAAAGATTATTAGTGTGAATGATCAACTTCCCATAAATCAAATCAACACAGCTCAGCAGGTTAGGGCACATGGAGGTCGATACATTGGTTTCTGTTTGTGAGAAGTGAGCATTTAGAGGATGATTAATCTGCTCTGGAATGTGCTAGACCTATACTAAATAATATACCAAGAACCCTATACACACAGCTCAAAGTCAGGTCCATGTACACCTTGAGAATATGAGCAAATTTACCCAGGATGAAAATTACTTTTTCCATAGCCATTGATGTTCAAATGATAAAAAGGATATAATGAGTTATCTTTACTCTGCATGAAACTAAAGTATACTTTGGTGCAGCAGGTACATTTACCAAGTGGTATTCAAGTGCATAAACTGAGAGATAATACAGCTCTAAAAATTACTAACTCACCCTGGGAGGGTTTTTCTTTTGTTTTTAATTTGGAAGACTCTGATATATAATTTTCAGTTTGAATTTAGAAGATTTATCATAACTGTTAAAAGATATGATTCATATCATTAAACACGATCATTTTCATCACAAAGGAAATGATTCACACACTAAAACCCATGTAAAATATTTTTTCTTTCTTTGAATAATTCCTCTTATTAGTGTGGAGATACTTTTATGCTTATAAATTTACAATTTTTCATTTTCAAATATACGCTGTCAGTATTAACTCATTTCATTTGATAAAGGTTTTTATTTTATTACTTCAAATAAAAAAAGAGTAAGGGTGTATGAGGGTGGGATCCACATCACTGACTCTAAGTATGCTATGTAGAGTGGGGCATACATTTCAGCCACAAAAGAGAGAGATTATCATTATTTCCTGGAGGAAATCACATTTTAAACTTAACTAACTAAAGGGAAACATTTAGAAAGTAAATTAGTTTTTTTCCCCAGACAGTTGACTAGAGATGTTGGATGCCATTTCTCCTCAGAAAGAAGATCAAATTTGCAGGTGAATAATCATGACCCAAGTGGAACTGAGGAAAGTGTGCTGAAACCTGTTGGAGAACCCATACAAAGAAGTTGGGATGCAGAAAAGGAAGGCAGCCAGAATCTGGCAGAGATTGACCCCAGAGGAAGTTAGAGTCCTGACAAAAGGTTACAATAGGGGGATCTCTTGCTCCTCTCACCTGTGTGACAGACTACTAACAGCCAAACTGTCGGGGTTCCCCTATCAATCAACCCAGAACAATGCTGTTTGTTGGTGGCAATTTGGGAACTTCCAGCAGGCACAGCACGAGGCAGCCATTTCCTCCATGTGTGCTCACACTCACACCAAACTCAGACTCAGGTGGCAGGGACCACACTGTTTGTGTATCTGTTATGGGTCATTAACCTACCCAGGGAACCTCAAAACCCACGGTGACTTTGGCAACTACAGAGGTCCATCAGGTCCCTGGGGAGCTGTGGGATCCCTAGAGGTATAGTCCTTCGAGTGTGCTGACCCTAGAGAGAGGGAGAGAGGGGGAATGCAGACTGCCAAAGCGCTCCTCGGAACAGAGGAAATGCAGGTAACAGTGCTGATCTCCAAAGGGGGCACTGTTCTGCCCTAGTGGATAGGTGACCCTAGTGGCCAGAAATGGATCTCCCACTGTCCCGTACACTGCTGCAGAGGTAGCCAAGGCCTTTCCTGTTGGAGGTTGCCGTAAGTGTCCTCCTTCCAGCATTTTTTGGGATAGCTGTGTCCTCAGTGAAGGTGTGCCCACTGCTTAGGCTTGTACATAGAACGGGGCTAATTTCTGCCTTTCTACACAGAGTGGCAGCATCACTGCAAAACAGTGTAAACCAACTAACTGCAGAGTCATCTGTTTGGTGTTGGGGGAAGAGGTTCTGCTGAAAGGTCATTTCATCAGTAGCCACCAGACAGGCATTTCTCACAGACCTAAGTTGCATTGTGGCCTGGAGATAAAGGACAGTGACTATCTGAACTGAAGGCCATGAACCCTGAGATAGGGGCATGATATGGAAGTGGATCATATTCCTGACTTCCCAGGATGGGGAGCTGGTGCAGCCCTCTCTTTACCACCCTGGAAACCTCAGTGCATCCCACCACAAACTCCCTCCATGAGCTTCATTAGGGCAGGTGCTTCCACACATCATCTCAATATCCAAAGGGAAACTGGCTCTGGCACCACCTACTGGAGACCAAACTTCACCAAAAACAAAACAAAAACCAAAACAAAACAAAAAGTGGCTGACAGAAGGACACAGTGCTAGGGAGGACATCAGCTACCTGAGATCCCTGTATTCCTGGCCTCCTAGAAGAGAGTGAATTGGCTCATATGCCCAATGTATAGCTACAACAAGCAGAATTTGAGAAAGCCACCACACAAAAGCTATCTATAACCAATGAATTCATACAGAGCCTCGGTTGTCTAAAAGCACCCAGAAGCCAAATGATCATACAAAATATGTACTACAGTCACACCTTCAAGGGAGGAAAAAATAAATATAAAGTCCCTTGCAAACAATAGCAATTTCAAAAAAAAAAAAAGAAAGAAAGAAAATGACGGTTTCTTTAGAAGAGAAGGAATCAGCTCAGTAACTCCAGCAGTGTAAAAAGAGTGCTTTGACACCTCCAAAAGATCACACTACTTCTATGGCAATGGATCCTCAATAGAATGAAAATTTGAAAATGACAGATAAAAAATTAGAAATATAGACTATAAGGAAGCTCAATGAGATCCAAGAGAAAGTTGAAAACCAACAAAAAATAAACCAGCCAACATCACCTCTAGTGCAACAGCACAGTCTCCAGCAGGACACCCCACAACCTGCTGTCCCAGCTGCTGCCTTGCCTCTACCACTGTGGTGAATGCTCTCAGGGAGGTAGGAACCCCTGTATCCACTTGCACTTTGCTGCAGCTGCCACACTTTGGTTCCCCCGGCAAAGTGAACTCCAAACCTCAAGGTTCAAACCAGAGAACAAAGTTGGGGCCCAATAGAAGTCCCCCAGAATTATAGTACACAGTCCAAAGGTTGAGAGCTGAGTGTTGGCCCCCTAAAATCTCCCAGAAATGAAGCTAGTCAGCTGACTCCACCTTATAACACAATCAAACCCTCATGGTCATCAAATAGGATAAAAGAAAAAAAAAACCTATCCAAAGGTCAGCAACCTCAAAGATTGAAGGTAGATAGGCCCACAAACATGAGAAAGAATCAGCACAAGAATACTAAAAACTCAAAAAGTCAGAGTACCTTCTTTTCTCCAAATGATTGCATCACCTCTTCAGAGAGGGTTTAAAGCCAGGCTGAGGCTGAGATGGCTGAAATGACAGAAGTAGAATTTAGAATTTGAATGGAAAGGAAGTACACTGAGCTATAGGAGTACATTGTAACCCAGTGCGAGGAAGCTAAAAATAATGATAAAACATTATGGGAGATGACAGACAAAATGACCAGTATAGAGAAGAACATAGCCACCCTGACAGAACTTAAAAACAAGAATTTCATAATGCAATTACAAAAGTATTAATAGCAGAATAGGCCAAGTGGAGTAAAGAATCTCAAAGCTTGAAGCCTGGCTTTCTTAAATAAGACAGGTAGAGAAGACTAGAGAAAAAAAGAATGAAAAGGAATGAACAAAACCTCTGAGACATATGGGATTATGTAAATAGACCAAATGTACAATGTCTTGGTGTACCTGAAAGAGATGGGGAGAATGAAACCAATTGGGAAAACATATTTCAGGATATCATCCATGAGGATTTCCTCAACCTAGCTAGACAGGGCAACACTTAAATTCAGGAAACGCAGAGAACCTCAGTAAGACACTCCACAAGAAGATCATCCCCAAGACATATAATCTTCATATGCTCCAAGGTCAAAATAAAAAAACAAAATGTTAAAGGCAGCTGGAGGGAAAGTCCACATCACCTACAAAGAGAAGCCCCTGACTAATAATGGACATCTCAGCTGAAACTCTACAAGCCAGAAGAGAATGGGGGCCAATATTCAACATTCTTAAAAAAAAAAGAATTTCCAAACCAGAATTTTATATCTGGCCAAACTAAGCTTCATAAGCAAAGGAGAAATAACATCCTCTTCAGACAAGCAAATGCTGAGGGAATTGTTACCACCAGACCTGCCCTACAAAAGCACCTAAAGGAAGCATTAAAGATGGATAGAAAAGATTGTTACCAGCCACTACAAATACACACTTAAGTACACAGACCAGTGACACTATAAAGCAACCACATAAACAAATCTGCAAAATAATCATCTAACACCATAATGAGAGTCAAATCCACACATACCAATACTAACCTTAAATGTAAATGGACTAAATGCCCTAATTAAAAGACATAGAGTGGCAAGCTGGATAAAGAGCCAAGACCCAATGGTATTCTGTCTTCAATAGATCCGTCTCACATGCAGTGACCCAAATAGGCTCAAAATAAAGGGATAGAGAAAAACCTACCAAGAAAATGGAAAACAGACAAAAGGAGGAGTTGCAATCCTAATTTTAGACAAAACAGACTTTAAACCAACAAAGATCAAAAAGGACACAGAAGGGCATTACATAATGGTAAAGGGTTAAACTCAACAAGAAGAGCTAACTATCCTAAATATATATGCACCCAACACAGGAGGACCCAGATTCATAAAGCACATTCTTAGGGACCTTCAATGAGACATAGACTCCCATACAGTAATAGTGGGAGACATCAATACCCCATTGATGATATTAGACAGATAATTGAGACAGAAAATTAACAAAGATATTCAGGAACTGAACTCAGCACTGGATCAAATGTACCTGATAGATATCTACATAACTCTCCACACAGAAACAACAGATATACATTCTTTTCATTGCAACATGGCACATACTGTAAAATACATAATTGGAAGTAAAACACTCCTCAGAAAATGCAAAAGAACTGTAATCATAGCAACCACTCTCTCAGACCATAGCACAATCAAATTAGAAATCAAGATTAAGAAATTTGCTCAAAAAGATACAATTACATGGAAATTGAATAACCTGCTCCTGAATGACTTTTGGGTAAATAATGAAATTAAGATAGAAGTCAAGAAGTTCTTTGAGACTAATGAGAACAAAGATACAACATATCAGAATCTCTGGGACACAGCTAAGGCAGTGTTAAGAGGGAAATTTATAGCACTAAATACCCACATCAAAAAGTTAGAAAGAAAGATCTCAAGTTAACAACCTGACATCACAACTACAAGAACTAGAGAAACAAGGGCAAACAAATCCTAAAGCTAGCTGAAGACAAGAAAGAACCAGAATCAGAGCTGAACTGAAGGAGATTGAGATATGAAAAACCATTCAAAAGATCAATGAACCAGGAGCTGTTTTTTTGGAAAAAATTAATAAAATAGATAGATAGACTGCTAGCTAGACTAATAAAGATGAAAAGAGAGAAGAGCAAATAATCACAATCAGAAACAAAAAAGGGGGATATTACCATTGACCCCACAGAAATACAAAGAAACATCAGAGAACATTACGAACACCTCTATGCACATAAACTAGAAAATGTAGAAGAAATGGATAAATTCCTGGACATATACCTCTTCCCGAGACTGAGCCAGGAAGAAACTGAATCCCTGAACAGACCAATAATGAGCTCTGAAATCAAGGCAACAATAAATAACCTACTAACCAAAAAAATCCCAGAACTAGACGGATTCACACCTGAATTCTACCAGATGTACAAAGAAGAGCTAGTGCCATTCCTACTGAAACCACTCCAAAAAACTGAGGGGAGGGACTCCCCCCTAATTCATTCTATGAGGCCACCATCATCCTGATCCCAAAGCCTGTCAGGGATACAATAACAAAAACAAAACAAAACAAAAAACAAAACTTCAGGCCAATATCCCTGATGAATATTGATACAAAAATCCTAAACAAATACTGGCAATCTAGCAGCACATCAGGAAGTTTGTCCACCAAGATCAAGTCAGCATTATCCCTGAGATGCATGCAAGTTCAACACACACAAATTAAGAAACTGTGATTTATCACATAAACAGAACTAAAGACAAAAACTTGATTATCTCAACAGATGCAGAAAAGGCTTTCAATAAAACTCAACATCCATCCATGCTAAAAACTCTCCAATAAACGAGGTATTGAAGACACATACCTCAAAATAATAAAATCCATCTATTACACACCCACAGCCAACATCATACTGAATGAGCAAAAGCTGGAAGCATTCCTTTTGAAAATTGGCACAATATAAGGATGCCCTCTCTCACTATGCCTATTCAACATAGTATTGGAAGTTCTGGCCAGGGCAGTCAGGGAAGAGAAAGAAATAAAGGCATGCAAATAGGAAGAGGGGAAGTCAAATTATCTCTATTTGCAGACAACATGATTCTATATCTAGAAAATCCCAGAGTCTCAGCCCCAAAGCTTCTTTGACAAATAAACAACTTCAGCAAAGTCTCAGGATGCCCAATCAATGTGCAAAATTCACTATCATTCCAATACACCAACAACAGTCAAAGAAAGAGCCAAATCAGGAACAAACTCCCATTCACAATTGCCACAAAATGAATAAAATGCCTAGGAATACAGCTTATTAGGGAGGTGAAAGATCTTTATATGAAGAACTACAAAACACTGCTCTAAGAAATCAGAGATGACACAAACAAATGGAAAAACATTCCATGATCATGGATAGAAAGAATCAATATCATTAAAATGGTCATACTGCCCAAAGCAATTTATAAATTAAATGCTATTCCTATCATACTACCAATGACATTCTTCAAAGAACTAGAAAAAAAAAACTATTTTAAAATTCAGATAGAACCAAAAAAGAGCCCAAATTGACAAGGAAATCCAAAGCAAAAAGAACAAAGCTGGAGGCATCATGCTACCAGATTTCAAACTATACTTCAGGGCTATGGTAACCAAAACAGCATGGTTCTGGTAAAAGAATAGACACATAGAGCAGTGGAACAGAATCAAGAACCAAGAAATAAGACTGAACAGCTACAACTATCTGATCTTTGAAAACATGACAAAAACAAGCAATAAGGAAAAGGTTTCCTATTCAATAAATGGTGCTAGGATAACTGGTGAGGCATATACAGAAGATTGAAACTGAATCCCTTCCTTATAGTATATACAAAAATTAATTCAAGATACATTAAAGACTTAAATGTAAAACCCAAAACTATAAAATCCAAGGAAGAGAGCCTAGGCAATACCATTAAGGACATAGGCACAGGCAAAGATTTCATGATGAAGACACCAAAAGCAATTGCAACAAAATGAAAAAGTTGACAAATGGGATCTAATTAAACTAAAGAGATTCTGCACAGCAAAAGAAAATTATCAACAAAGATAACAGAAAACCTACAGAATGGGAGAAAATTTTTGCAAACTGCATCTGACAAAGGTCTAATAACAAGAGTCTACAAGAAACTTAAATTTACAGGCAAGAAACAAAGAACTCCATTAAAAAATGAGCAACGGATATGAACAGGCACTTTTCAAAAGAAAACATACATGCAGCTAACGAACATATGAAAAAAAGTTCAACATCACTGATCATTAGATAAATGCAAATCAAATCCACAAGAGATACCATCTCACACCAGTCAGAATGGCTATGATTGAAAAGTCAAATAATAACAGATTCTGGTGAGGTTGTGGAGAGAAAGGAACACTTACTCATGGTGGATGGGAGTGTAAAACAGTTCAGCCATTGTGGAAGACAGTGTGGTGATTCCTCAAAGACTTAGAGAAAGAAATACCATTTGACCAAGCAATCCCATTACTGAGTATATACCCAAAGGAACAGAAATCATTCTGTTATAAAGACACATGCACATGTATGTTCATTGCAGTACTACTCACACAGCAAAGACATGGCATCAACCTAAATGCCCATCAATGATAAACTGGATAAAGAAAATGTGGTACATATATACCATGGAATACTATGCAGCCATAACATGCCGAGACCAGCTTGGTCGGGGAGACCCTAACGCAGTGGCACTAGAGGAATTAAAGACACACACACAGAAATATAGAGGTGTGAAGTGGAAAATCAGGGGTCTCACAGCCTTCAGAGTTGAGAGCCCTGAACAGAAATTTACCCACATATTTATTAACAGCAAGCCAGTCATTAGCATTGTTTCTATAGATATTAGATCAACTAAAAGTATCCCTTATGGGAAACGAAGAGATGGGCCAAAATAAAGGGATAGGTTGAGCTAGTTATCTGCAGCAGGAGCATGTCCTTAAGGCACAGATCTCTCATGCTATTGTTTGTGGTTTAAGAACGCCTTTAAGTGGTTTTCTGCCCTGGGCGGCCAGGTGTTCCTTGCCCTCATTCCGGTAAACCCACAACCTTCCAGTGTGGGTGTTATGGCCATCAAGAACATGTCACAGTGCTGCAGAGATTTTGTTTATGGCCACTTTTGGGGCCAGTTTATGGCCAGATTTTGGGGGGCCTGTTCCCAACAATAACAAAGAACAAGATTATGTCCTTTACAGGGATATGTGTTAAGCTGGAGGTCATTATCTTTAGCAAAGTAACATAGGAACAGAAAACCAAATACCACATGTTCTCACTTATAAGTGGGAGCTACATTATGAGAATACATGGACATATAGAGGGGAACAAAACACACTGGGGCCTACTGGAAGGTGGAGGGTGGGAGGAGAGAGAAGATCAGGAAAAATACCTAATGGGTACTAGGCTTAATACCTGAGTGATCAAATAATCTGTAAAACAAACCACCATGATACAAGTTTACCTGTGTAACAAACCTGCACATGTAACCCTGAACTTAAAAGTTAAAAAATGAAAACTGCTCTTTTGAATTAATTCAGTAAGAGAAAAATTTTAAAAACCAAAATTTAAAAAGGAAAAAAAACCTAAATACTGGATTATGTAAAGTGAACAAACCTATAACTTATAAGCATTCCTGAGGGAGAAGAAGAAAAAGAAAATCATATTTGATGGGCAAACTTAGGAAAATTTATCGGATCTTGCTAGGAGTGTTGTTATCATACACAAGAAATTCAGAGGACACTTGGAAGATACTATACAAGTTGAACATCACCAAAGCATATCGTCTTCAGACTATCTAAGGTCAATGTGAAAGAAAAAATCTTAAAAGCAGCTAGAAAGAAGCATCACATTACCTATTAAGAAAATACCTTCAGAATAAGTATGCATTTCTAAACAGAAACCCCATAAGCTCAAAGAAATAAGGGCACTGTTTGTGGAGTTCTTTAAAAAAATGCCATCCATGAATTTTATATCCTGACACAAGTAATTTCATAAATGAAGGAGAAATAAAGTCTTTCCCAGATAATCAAATGCTAAGGGAATTCATCAACACTAGAACAGCCCTGCAAGAAAAGCTCAAAGGAGTCCTAAACATGGATACAAAAGGATGATCCTTGCCATCATAAAAACACATGTACGTACAAATCTCACAGATTCTATAAAGCAGTTACACAATTGAGACTACAAAGCAACTAGCTAACAATATTATGACAGGAACAAAATTTCACATATAAATATTAACTTTGAACATAGTTGGCATACATTCTCCACTTAAAAGATAGATAGACTGGCTAATTGAATTACAAAAAACAAAAGACCCAACTATCTGCCGTCTTCAAGACACTCACATAATGGGTAATGACACAGTCTTAAAGTAAAGTGGTAGAAAAAGCTGTATCATACAAAAGAAAAACAAAAGTGAACAGGAGTAGCTTTTCTTATGTTACATAAGAGAGATTAAACCAACAGTAGTAATAAAAGACAAAGAAGCACACTATATAATGAATAAAGGATTCAATGCAACAAGAAAATTTAACTATCATAAATTCATATGCACCAGAGCATTATATTCATAAAATGAAGTATTTGGCCAGGCGCGGTGGCTCACACCTGTAATCCCAGCACTTCGGGAGGCTGAGGCAGGTGGATCACTTGAGGTCAGGAGTTCAAGTCCAGCCTGGCCAACATGGCAAAACCCCATCTCTAATAAAAATACAAAAAAATTAGCCGGGTGCGGTGGTGCACACCTATAATTCCAGCTACTCAGGAGGCTGAGGCAGGAGAATCGCTTGAACCCAGGAGGCAGAGGTTGTAGTGAGCTGAGATGGTGCCACTGCACTCCAGCCTGGGTGACAGAGTGAGACTCCATCTCCAAAACAAAAAAACTGAAGTATTCACAAAACAAATACTATTACACTAGCCCTACAAAAAGACACTGGCAGCAATACAATAATAAATAGTGGGGGACTTTGACACCCCATTGACAGCACTATCACCAGTCATTACATGACGGCATTATCAATGAGGCAGAAATCAACAAAGAAACTTTGGACTTAAACTGAACTCTAGACCAGGTGGACCTGATAGACATTTAAGGATTATTATACCCAACAACTTCAGAATATACATTTTTATTATCTGTGCGTAGAACATTCTTCAAAAATAATTACATATTTGCCTATAAAGTAAGTCTCAATAAGTTCAAAAAATCAAAATAACATCAAGTATCTTCTGGGAACATAGTGGAATAAAATTGGAAATCAATACCAAGAGGAACTATCAAAACTGTATAAGTACATGGAAACTAAACAACTTGCTCCTGAATAACTTTTGGGCAAACAAACAACAAAATTGAGGCAGAAATAAAAAAAAAATTCAATGCAAATGCAAAGAGACACACAACATACCAAAACCTATAGGAGAGAGCAAGCTCAGTGCTATGAAAAAATTTTTAGTATTGAATGTCTACATCCAAAAGATAGAAGGATCTCAAGTTGATGACCTAATGTTGCACCTCAAGGAACTAAAAAACAAGAACAAATAAAACCCAAAGCTAGCAGAAGAAGAGATAATAATGATCAGAGGAGAAATAAATGAGACTGAAATAAAAAACATAATACAAAGGATCAGTGAAATGAAAAGTTGGTTCTTTGAAAGAATAAACAAAACTGATAGACTTCTAGCTAGATTAACCAAGAAATAAAGAAGATTCTAATAAATATAATCAGAAATGATAAAGGTGACATACAACTGATACCACAGAAATGTAAAAGATCATGAGACTACTATGAACATCTCTATGGAAACAAACTAGAAAGCCTAGAGGAAATGGATAAATTCCAGGAAATGATTTTCTGTTTTCCAGTCTGGATGCCTTTACTTTCTTTCTCTTGCCTGGGTGATTTGGTTAGGACTTCCAGTACTATGTTAAATAGGAGTGGTGAGAGTGGATATTCCCCATCTTGTTCTATTTCTTAGGGGAAATGCTTTCAACTTTTCCCCATTCAATATGATGTTGGCTGTGGGTTTGTCATATATGGCTCTTATTATTTTGAGGTAGTTTTTTTTTTTTGATGCCTAGATTTTGAGGGTTTTTATCATGAAGGGATGTTGGATTTTATCAAATGCTTTTTCTACATCTATTGATATTATCATATGATTTTTGCTTTTAAATCTATTTATGTGGTAAATCACATTTATTGGTTTGTGTATGTTCAATTATTTTTGGATCCCTGCACTAAAACCCGTGTGATCATGATATATTTTCTTTTTGATGTGCTTCTGGATTTAGCTTGCTAACTTTTATTATTATTATTATTATTATTATTATTATTATTATTATACTTTAAGTTTTAGGGTACATGAGAATTTTCGCATCTGTGTTCATCAGTGACACACTGGCCTGTAGCTTTTGTTGTTGTTGTGTCCTTGCCTGATTTTGGTACTAGAGTAATAATTTTTTTTAAATGAGTTAGGAAGGAATCCTTAGTCCTCTATTTTTAGGAATAGTTTTCATAAGACTTGTGTCAGCTCTTTGTACATTTGGTAAAACTTAGCAGTGAATCCATCCGCTCCTGGGCCTTTCTTTTTCTTGGAAGATTATGAATTAATGGTTTAATTGCATTATATGTTATTTGTCTGTTCAGGATTTTTATTTCTTTCTGGTTCAATTCTTAAATGTCTTAGTTATGTTATCACTAATAATTATGATAATCATGTTAAATTGTGTGTCACAAAAATAACCAAATTTCCTTGTCAATTATGCCTTTATCTGTGACTAATCTAAGACTTTTGTCATCTATAGACAATTGTTAGCTTTTACTTTGATTCTTCTACAGTACAAATTTACTTCTTTAAAAAAATTTGTAAAAAAGACTCAAATATAGGTTTCTAATAATTTTAAAAATCATAACATTGGACTCATAAAAAACTTCTAGCACTCTCATTAAAAAGCTTATGTGTTCATGAGGATTGCTAACCCAACATCCAGCAAAACACTAAACCAATGGAGGACTAAAATAATTTTTAAATTTTACTTAAAAGATTACTGATCCTTTTCATTTTGTTTTCCAGAGGGGAGAAAATCTTTTTCTTTTGAGATATTTATAGCTTTTAACAATTGAATAAAAATTGTTACAAATAAGCAATTGTTTATTTGTAAGCAAAATTTGAAACATATTTCTTTCTCTCTACCTAATTTTTCCAGAATTTAAAAACTATATGTGAGAATTCTTAATTTATGGCAATTTAATTATTTACATAAGTTCAATAAAAATCTGTTCTCTTTTATAATAGGAAACAATTAGAGATACCGGTTATTTTGCCAAGGCTTTGACTAAAATGACATATTTTCAGAAATGATCAGACTACTTTAAAAAATTAAAGTTGACTTATAAAGTTGATAAAAGTCCCTTAAAAATGGCCTTGTACCTTGTCTATGCAATTTCTTTACAAAGTTACTGAACCGTAATAAATAAGAAATGTCACTTTCTAATAGGCCCAGAAACACCAAGTTATTCTGATACTTCAAAAAGAGAAAAATTTACCCAATTCATACAGGTATCTACAGGCATAGATAAATCATTGACTTGAGTAATCTGAAGAGACTTTTAAAAAGTTTAACCTGAGATTCCTTATTAAAAAGTTTCAGCAAAGCCAACTTAAAAGAGCCTATATGGCCAATCACCATTTTTGCTGTATTTTATGCAAATAATCAGGCCATGTATAAAAAGATTAAAACTTACTTTGCCAATAAATTTTTTACTATTATTTTTTCTTTAATAAAAGTGAGAGACTGGAAACAATTGTGGTACACAGAAGTATAGGCTGGGCACGGTGGCTCATGCCTGTAATCCCAGCACTTTTGAGGCTGAAGCAGGCGAATGATGAGGTCAAGAGATCAAGACCATCCTGGCCAACATGATGAAACCCCATCTCTACTAAAAATACAAAAATTATCTGGGCATGGTGGCATGCACCTATAGTCCCAGCTATTCAGGAGGCTGAGGCAGGAGAATCGCTTGAACCTGGAGGTGGAGGTTGAAGTGAGCCAAGATTGCGCCACTGCACTCCAGCCTGGGTGACACAGCAAGACCCCGTCTCAAAAAAAAAAAAAAAAAAAAAAAAAGTATACTACACTTGTTTTTAGATTCTAGCCTTGTCCATTATATTTGGACTTTTACTATTTGTCTACAATTTATTTAGACTACATTGTACATTCATTCCTGACTATAACATTTCTTACTACACACCCTCTGTCTGACTGATTTTCTGAGCTTTTCTCACAGATACTCCAAGATTTTTACTTCACTTTACAAGGGGTCTTAAAGTTTGGATTCACAATTCTGTTAATAGGGCTTATAATTTACCTCATAGTTCACTGTTCAATTAAATGTTACACTAAAATAATAGACAAAAATACCAAATTTGTTCATACTATACCCCTGACTAGGCACTCACAAATATTTAGAGTTACTACCTGAGAATTTCATTCCTCTAATCCTGACTCACACCATGGCTATGCCCCTTGCCAAGAAAAAAATCTAGAGCAGTCTTTGCCAAATTTGGACCATATTAATTCTTGCACCTCAAGATTGAAAAAGAAATCGAGCCTAGGGAAAACTAAAACTGTTCCCAAGAACACTTTATAAAATTAAAGGGAAAAATAAAATACAAATAGGCTTACAATATAATCAGCAGTAATCATTAAGACAGTTTACCCTTCAGCCCATTTTCTTGTATTAAGTTGCTGCTTACTTCCCCAGGATAATGCAGCCCTTGTCACAAGACTCTGTTCCTTTTCTGTACTATAGATAAAATCTGAGACATTACAAGATAGTGAATTTTCTGTTTGATTTTCTCCTTTAGGTTCCACTTACCAATAAAACTACCATTGCCAGCTAGTCTAAAGGGCACAGCAAGGAGCTGAATCATAAAAAAATACAGTTTCTACGTTCTGATAATTTCATCATCATCCTCCTTATCTCTGTTCACTGCTGACATGATATTATACCTAGAAACCCTAAGACTCTTCCAAAAGACTCCTAACTTTGATAAATGACTTGAGCAGAGTTTCAGGATACAAAAATCAATGTACAAAAAATCAGAGACATTTCTATACAACAATAACATTCAAGCTGAGAACTAAGACAGGAACTCAATCTCATTTAAAATTGCCATGCAAATATATATATATGTGTGTGTGTGTGTGTATATGTGTGTGTGTGTGTATGTGTATGTGTGTGTGTGTGTGTGTGTATATATATATATATGCATACATATATATATATATATATAGGCATACATCTAACCAAGAAGGTAAAAGAGCTCCACAAGGAGAACTATAAAATACTGATTAAAGAAATTGCAGATGACACAAACAAATAGAAAAACATTCCATGCTTTTGGAACTGAAAACATTATTAAAATGATCATACTTCCAAAGCAATCTACAGTATCAATGCAATTTCTATCAAATTACTAATGTCATTTTTCACAGAATTTGAAAAAACAATCTTAAAATTCATACAAAACCAAAAAAAAAAAAAGAGCCAAATAGCCCAAGCAATCTTAAGCAAAAAGAACAAAGCTGGAGGCATCACAATACCTGACTGCAAATTATACTGTAAGTCTATAGTAACTAAAACTGCATGGTTCTGATACAAAAATAAAATACACAGATCTATTAAACAGAATAGAGAACCCAGAAATAAAGCCACATATGTACGACCAACTTATATTTTCCAATGTCAGCAAAAATAAACAATGGGGAAAGAAAGAAACAATGATAATAAACAATATCATCCAATAAATGGCACTGGAAAACAGGCTAGTCATATGCAGAAGAATGAAACTGGACCCATACCTCTCACCACATGCAAGAATTAACTCGAGGTAGATTAAAGACTTAAATGTAAGACCTGAAAATATAAAAATAAATATAAAAATCCTAAAAGAAAACTTAAGAAAGACTGCTCTGAACATTTGGCCTAAGCAAAGAATTTATGACTAAGACCTCAAAAACAAGTGCAACAAAAACAAAAATATACAAATGAGACTTAAACCAAAAAGCTTCTGCATAACAACAAAAAATTAACAGAGTAAACTGACAACCTACAGAATTGAAGAAAATAATTGCAAATTATGACTCCGACAAAAGATTAATCTCCAGAATCTACAAAGGACTCAAAAAACTCAACAACAATAACAAAAACAACCCCATTAAAAAGTACATGTGTTAGTCTGTTTGCATTGATATAAAGGAAAAACTGAGACTGGGTAATTTATTAAGAAAACAATTTTATTTGGCTTGTGGTTCTGCTGGGTATACATGAACCATAGTGCTGGCATCTGCTTCTGGTGAGGGCCTCAGTGAGCTAACAATCATGGCAGAAAGTGAAGGGGAGCCAGCATGCCACATGGTGACAGAGTGAACAAGAGAGAGAATGGGGAGGTGCCACATTCTTTTAAACAATCTCGTGTAAACTCAGAGAGAGACAGAACTCACTCATTACTGTGAGGTGTGCACCAAGCCATTCATGAGGGATCTGTCTCCATGACTCAACCACTTCCCACTATGCCCCATTTCCAACATTGGGGATGGCATTTCAACATGAAATTTAGAGGGGACATACATCCAAACTATTATCAGTGGGCAAAGGATATGAACAGACACTTCTCAAAAGAAGTCATACAAGTGGCTAATAAACATGTAATAAAAGGTAAACATCACTAATCATCAGAGAAATGCAAATTAAAACCACAATAAGATAACACATCACACCAGTCAGAGTGGCTATTATTAAAAAGTCAAAAAACCACAGATGTTGGTGTGGATGTGGAGAAAAGAGAATGTTTGTACACTATGGGAGTGTAAATTAGTAAAACCTCTATGGAAAACAGTAGGAAGATGTGTCAAATAACTAAAAATAGAACTACTATTTGACCCAGCAATCTCACTACTGGCTATCTACCCAAAGGAAAAGAAGTTATTATATCCAAAGGACACCCATACTCACATGTTTATTGCAGCACTATCCACAATAGCAAAGTCATGAAATCAACCTAAGTGCACATCAATGGATGATAGGATTAAACATATATACACTATGGAATTCTATGCAACCATAAAAAAGAATGAAATTATGTTTTCTGTAGCTACATGAGTAAAGTTGGGGGCCATTATTCTAAGTGAAATAACTCAGAAACATAAAAATCATAAATCACTTATTCTAACTTTTAAAGGGGAGCTAACAAATGAGTACACATGGACATAAAGATGTAAATGATAGAAACTGAGGATTCTGAAAAGGGGGAGTATGGGAGGAGCATGAGGGTTGAAAAATTACCTATTGGGTACAATGTTCACTCTTTGGGTGATTGGTATACTAGAAACCCAAACCTCACCATTATGCATTATATCCACTTAACAAACATGCACATATATCCCCTGAATCTAAAATTTAAAAAGATAAAAATTAAAAATACATTAACTGAAGGTGGCTAAGAAAATGGTTTGTGAATATGTAATATATAACAGAGCAGCTGGTCCAATCTCATATCCCTTCTTTTCCCTTTTTTTTTGAGACAGTCTTGTTCTGTGGCCCAGGCTGGAATTCGGTGGCTTGATCTCAGCTCACTGCAACCTCCGCCTCCTGGGTTCAAGCAATTCTGCAGCCTCAGCCTCCCAAGTAGCTGGGATTACAGACATGTGCCACCACGCCTGGTTAATTTTTGCATTTTCAGTAGAGATGGGGTTTCGCCATGTTAGCCAGGCTGGTCTCAAACTCCTTGGCTAAAGCAATCCACCCACCTCGGCCTCCCAAAGTGCTAGGATTACAGGCATGAGCCACTGTCCCTGGCCTTCATATCCCTTCTGTTCCAATTAAGGAGAGCTTAGGGAGGGAGGGTATTCAAAATTCCTTGAGTACCAATTGTTGGTATAAATTATTTATTGTGAGTAAGATTAAAAAAATACGCTTAATAAATGCTAGCTAGCAAAAACTGTTTCATTAGAGTGTGGAGTAAGTTTAGGGTTTTGTTAAAATCATTTCTCATGGTATGAGTGTTAGCAGAGAGTTCGCTGTATAACAAAGCAGGCATTGATAAAGAAGTTATCTCATGGATCCATTAGTTGAATAATGCCCCACCCACTTTTGCTCCTTGGTTGCCAGACTTCAAACTTGTCAGAAGATGGTGATGAGAGCAGAGATTCTGGTATCAAAAATGGAGTGAAGTGGTAGACCTGAGCACTAACCTCTTGATGATAGAGCTGGGTACTATTTATTTTACTCCTCAACCTCTCCAAATGATCAATGGGCCTAAATTCCCCAGACCCTAGACAGATGGCACTGTGACCGTGGCTAGAGCAAGTGCTCATACAGGGATACAGGCATTATCATTCTTTTCCAATAAATCAAGAATTTTGTATTCTGTGAAATAAAAATCAAGTGTGTATTAGAACAGTCATTAATGTTGGCTACATACTAAAGAGTCAAATCTAGCTAGATGTGTAGTGGCATCAGAAAAACATATTGGGAGAGGCATTAAGATCACCAGCATTATTATGTTTTGTTTGATAAACTCTCTTCTTTGGGGAAGACACCTATAAACATAAAGCAGGTTATTTAAAGCCAGCTAAAGATTGAGTATACATAGTCAAATATCAGATAATCTTTGGAGTCCTTATGACTAAATTCATGACTTGCTGCTAACAAAGTTCAATTATTAACTATAGTTAAGGTTTGATAGATGGCAAGTTTGCAGTGGCAAATCATGAATCACTGCTCATCACAGATCTAGGCTCTTTAATAAGTACAGTTGGCATTTCAATTAATAATATTTTGGCTGTCATAAGGGAAGAGGGTTGACTAGATGCAGCTATTATATGCCTCTCCATAAAGTGACACCAAAATGGCAAGTAGATATTCATAGTTCAAATGAGTCATCTATAAGAGAACACCAATATTCAACAGAGAAATTATTGGAAGCAACAAAGTCAAAGAATGAAAGGGAAATGAGGCAGCCTTCTCAGTTGGGATTGACTGGGAGCTGGAAGAAGCTCCCAGACACAGGGAAAGGGAAAATGTGTGATCCCCAGGGCTCCACATTCCTGCCATGGACTTACACAATCTTAGCCAAGAGCAAGCCCCTCGGCACCCACGAGCCTAGAAACTAACATAGGGAGCTGCCTACAGATTGCGCAGAGGCACCGCTTAAGAGAGGGAGCTCATGCTGGGTTTCACAGTCTTCTCAGCCTTGAGCAGCTGCAATATGGCACCATTCTGAGAGCTCAGTTCCAAAAGGACGGCATCCTGCCCTGGAGCTGATGGTGCTACTGCTACAGTCAGTCCAGGGAGAGATAAGGGAAGCCAGACATTTCATACACCCAAAGAACAAATCCACTGCTGCTGCTGTGGGCTGTTGTGGGACTAAGATATGAGGCAACTGTATGTCCCATAGCTGCCTGTCTATGTTGCTGTCATTGAGAGTGGCCCCACCTTCCCTGGTTGTAGGCCCATAGCTGGTACCATTCAGAAAGCTTAGTCTTCAAAGGCCTGCATTCTGCCCTGGGGCCACTGCTACCAGAGCTGCCACAGGAGGGAGATGGAAGGCCAGGAACTTTCACATGTCCCAAGGAGAAATACCACTGCTGCTACTGCAGGACCAGTGCATAAGCAAACCATGAGCTCCACAGCTGCCTTCCTAGGCTGCTCCCAATGAGAGTGGCCCCAGCCTCCCCAGAAGCAGACTCATAACACAGCCACTGCTGTCCCAACCTGAGCATTCTGCTAGTGACCTGGGGAGTATTCTGCCTCTGCCTATCATACGTAGTGCCTGAACATACTACCAGGGGTCCTGATGACAAATCTGCTCACCAGCTTTCATCTGAACAGTACCCAAGCACACATTCCAAAGGCCTAGGGATTACCAGACCAGCTCACCATCACTGGCACTTGAACACTACTGCCAGGGTCTGAGGTCAGGATTATCCAACCTACCAATACCACCACTGCAGACACTAACCCATATGAGCCAGCTGCAGGTCAAGGGACTTGCCCATCCAGCCTGTTGCAGCCACTGACAACACCAACACCAACATGAATTGGTGTTCCACTGAGTTGTGCTACCACTGCTTATGCCATTATGCACACCACACCACTGCCCAGAGGCCCAAGAACCCACACACAAGCCTGGCCTACTGCTGCCACTACTGGCATCTGAGAAAGCCATCTGGGGGCCCAAGAATTGGCCTGCCTGAATGTGCTAACACCAGAGCCAGCATACATTGCTCTACGGCTCAAGGTAAGGCATGCTTAGCCCACCACTACCACCACTGGGACTCAAAGACTGGACTATCCAGCATCCTCGTCCCCAGTAAGACTTTACCACATTCTTCACTAATAACTGTGTTCTAAGCCCTAAGCCACCGAGGAATTCAAAGATACCACTGACACTTTACAGCTGATGAAATCACAGATACTACAATATCGCATGCACTCAAAATTGAGGCCAAAGTTCTCTACCCAACCAACAACATATATAAATCTTCAGGAAAATGTCTTTCTCTGCAAAAGTAAGTTTAAAAAGTTGGAAGAAGCAACTACTACACCAGATGCACAGATATCAATGTGAGGATACAGGAAGCATCAAAAAGCAAGGAAATATGACACCTCCCAAAAATATAATTTTCTAACAACATATCCCAATCAAAATAAATCCATGAATTCCCAGAAAAGTAATTCAAAATGCTGAGTTTAAAGAAGCTCAGAAAGATAAATAAAAATGATTAAAGCAATACAGAGAAATCAGAAAAACAAGTCAGGATATGAATGAGAAATTTTCCGAATAGTTATTTAAAAAAAATCAGAAATACTGAAAATGAAAAATTTATTAAATGAAATAAAAATACATCTGAAAGCTTCAATAATAAACAAGATTAAGCAGAAGAAAGAATCTCAAAACTTGAATATGGGTGTTTTGAAATTGAATTATCAATGTCCCTGAGGGTGAAGAGAAAACAAGAGTTTAGTTAAGATCCTATTTAAAAAAACAATAAATCAAAACTTTCCAAGTCCAGCAACAGATTTACACATCCAGATACAGAAGGCCCAGTGATCCCCAAACAGCTACAATACCAAAAATTATCCACAGCATATTATAGTCCAACCATCTAAAGTCAGTATTAAAGAGAAAACTATATAAAACAGCAAGAAAAACATATTGTCACCTATAAAGGAACTCCCATCAGACTAACACTGGGGCTCAGCAGAAACCTGTTAGGCCAGGAGAAAATGGAATAACATATTCAAAGTGCTTTAAAAAAAAACAAACTTCCCACTCAAGGATATCATGCACAGCAAAATTATTCTTCATCAATAAAGGGGAAATGAAGTTTTTCCCAGACAAGCAAACACTGATGGCCCTTCACTGGCCCTACAAGAAATGCTTAAGGGACTCCTAAATCTGGAAGCGAAAAGACAACATTTACTATCATGAAATCACATGAAAGTATAAAACTTACTGATAAACCAAACACACAAATGAAGAAGAGATACAACCCAAATTGTACCACTACAGAAAACTACCTAACCACAATAGCAAATGAAAGAAGAAAAAGAAAGGAACAAAAAATATACAACACAACCCGAAACAACAATGTGGTAGGAAGTAAACCTTACATATCAATAATAACCTTGAATGTAAATGGATTAAATTCTCCACTTAAAAGACATAGACTGGTTGAATGGATAAAGAAACATGATCTAGGCCGGGCGCGGTGGCTCACGCCTGTAATCCCAGCACTTTGGGAGGCCGAGGCGGGCGGATCACGAGGTCAGGAGATCGAGACCATCCCGGCTAAAACGGTGAAACCCCGTCTCTACTAAAAATACAAAAAATTAGCTGGGCGTAGTGGCGGGCGCCTGTAGTCCCAGCTACTTGGGAGGCTGAGGCAGGAGAATGGCGTGAACCCGGGAGGCGGAGCTTGCAGTGAGCCGAGATCCCGCCACTGCACTCCAGCCTGGGCGACAGAGCAAGACTCCGTCTCAAAAAAAAAAAAAAAAAAAAAAAGAAACATGATCTAAATATATACTGCTAACAAGAAACACCCTTTACCTACAAAGACATATATAGACTCAAAGTGAAGTGCTGGAAAAAGATATTCCAAACAAAAGGAAACCAAAAGCGAGCAGGAGTAGCTATGCTTATGTCACATAAAATCAATTTTAAGTCAAAAACAGTAAAGAAAAAACAAAGGCCATTATATAATGACAAAGAGATTGTTTAAGCAATAGGAAATAACAATTCTAAATATATATACACCCAACACTAAATCACCCAAATTCATAAATCAAGTATTACCAGATCTAAAGAGAGAGGTACACTTCAATACAATAATAGTGGAAAATGTTAATACAGTAGATTTAAATTGCACTTTTAATAGAAACAGTAGATTTAAACTTTATTTTTGACCAAATAGACCTAACAGACATTTACAGGACATTTTATCCAAAATTACAAAATATACATTCTTCTCATCAGCAAATGGAACATTCTTCAGGATAAACCATAGTTTGGGACACAAAATAAGTCTTAACAAATCTTTTATAAAATAGAAATCACACTAAGCATATTCTCAGACTACAATAGAGTAAAACTAGAAATCAGTAAGAGGAACGTTGGAAACTATACAGATACATGAAGATTAAAAACATGCTTCTGGATAACCAACCATTGGGCCAATGAAGAAACTAAGATGGAAATCAAAAAATTTCTTGAAATAAATAAAAATGGAAATACAAAAATACCCAAACTTGTGGGAGACAGCAAAAGCAGTGCTAAAAGGGACATTTATAACAGTAAATATTTACATTTAAAAAGTAGAAAGATTTATAATCAACAACCTAATGATGCACCTCAAGGAATTAGGAAAGCAAGGGTAAGTCAAATCCAAAATTATCAGAAGGAAAGAAATAGTAAATATCAGATCAGAGCTCAATGACATAGAGATTCAAAAAAACACATTCAACAAAACAAAACAAAATTACAGGCCAATATTGCTGTGAAGAAGAGAAAAAACCCAAATAAACAAAATCAGAAAAGGAAACATTGCAATTGATACCAACAAAATACAAAAGATCATCAGAGATCATTATGCACAACTATATGCTAAAATACTGGAAAACCTAGAAGAAATGGATGAATTCCTCACAACATACACCTACCAAGACTGAATTAGGAAAAAGTAAAAAAAAACCTGAACATACCAATTGTGAGTAGTGACATTGAATCAGTAACGAAAGGTCTCCCAGCAAAGAAAATCCCAGGACCAGATGAATTCACAGCCAAATTCTACCAAACATATAAAGAACTAATACCAATTCTCCTGAAAGTATTCAAAAAAATTGAAGAGGTGAGAACTCTCCCTAAATCATTCTATGAGGCTAGCATTACCCAGGTACCAAACCAGACAAAGACACAACAACAAACTAAAACTACAGTTCAGTATCCCAGGCTTATGGATTGGGAAACTCAATTTTGTTAAATTTTCATACTGCTTAAAGCATCTATAGATCCTATGCATTTCCTATCAAAGTAAGAATGTCACTTTCCACAGAATTAAAAAAAATTATAGAATTCATATCAAACCAAAAAAGAGCAAGAAAAGCCAAAACAATCCTCAGCCAAAGGAACAAAGCTGAAGACTTCACACTACCCAACTTCAAAATATGTTAGACGGCTATAATAACCCAAACAAACAGCATGGTTTTGTTATAAGAGCAGACACATAGACCAATGGATCAGTGAGTCCAGAAGTAAATCCATATATTTATTGCCAACTTATTTTTGATAAAGGCATTAAGAACATGCTGGTAAAGGACATCCTCTTCAATAAACGGTTCTGGGAAAATTAGATGTACATATGTAAAATAATGAATCTGGACTGCTCTCTATATATAGAAAAATTAACTCAAGATCCATGAAAAACTTAAACATTAGACCTGGAACTGTAAAAATACTAGAAAAGAACACAGAAAATACACTTCAAGACATCAATCTTACAAACATTTCATGGCTAAGACCCCAAAAGCGCAGAGAACTATAACAAAAATAGACAAATGTGACTATTAAACTAAAAAGCTACATAGCAAGGAAACAATCCGTTGAGTGAAGAGACAACCTGTTGAATGGGAGAAAATATTTGCCAGCTATTCATGCAACAAGAGGCTAATATCTGAAATATACAAGAAACTCAAAACAACTCATCAACAACAACAAAAATCCTATTAAAAAGTGGGCAAAGGGCTGGGAACGGTGGCTCATGCCTGTAATCCCAGCACTTTGGGAGGCCAAAGCAGGTGGATCACGAGGTCAGGAGATCGAGACCATCCTGGCTAACACGGTGAAACCCCGTCTCTACTAAAAATTCAAAATATTAGCCGGGCGTGATGGCAGGTGCCTGTAGTCCCAGCTGCTCGAGAGGCTGAGGCAGAAGAATGGCGTGAACCGGGGAGGCTGAGCTTGCAGTGAGCTGAGATCGCGCCACTGCACTCCAGCCTGGGTGACAGAGCGAGACAACGTCTCAAATAAATAAATAAATAAATAAATAAATAAATAAGTGGGCAAAGGACAATAGACATTTCTCAAAAAGAAATGATCAAGTGGTATATGATAAAATACTCAGTATTGCTAACCAGCAGGGAAATGAAAATTAAAACCACAATGAGATATTACTTTATCCCAGTTAAAATGGCTCTTACTAAAAAGACAAAAAAAATTTAATAGATGCTGATCGGGATGTGAGGAGAAGGGAACTCATACACTGTCGGTGGGAATGAAAGTTAGTATAACCACTATAGAAGACAGAATGGAGATTTCTCAAAAAATCAAAAATAATACTACCATAAGATTCAGCAATCCCACTACTGGGTATTTATCCAAAGAAAAAGAAATATGTGTATCAAAGGGATACCTACCTGCACTTGCATGTCTTTGCGGCACTATTCACAATAGCAAAGATATGGAATCAACATAATTGTCCATTAATATATAAGTGGATTTTTTAAAAATACAGTATATTTACACAAAGGAATACTATTTGGCCATAAAAATAATAAAATTAGGGCATTTGCAGTAACATGGATGGAACTGGAAGTTGTTACATTAAGTGAGATAAGCCAGACACAGCACAACAGATACTATATGTTTTCATGCATACGTGGGAGCTAAAAAAGTTGATCTCATGGAGACAGAGAATAGAATTATAGATGCCAGAGGCTTGGAAGGGTGGGATTGGGGGGGGCGGTAAACCAAGGTTGATTAGTGGGCACAGGTATACAGTTAAATAGAAGAAATAATCCCCAATATTCAAAAGCACAGTAGGGTGATTATAGTTAGCAACAAATGTATTGTATATTTCCAAGTAGCTAGGAGAGAGGACTTGACGTGTTACTAACACATAGAAATGATAAATACTCAAGGTGATGGATACCCAAAATCACCTGACTTGGTCATTACCTATTCTACATATGTAACAAATACTAAAATACAGATAGGTGAAGCATTTTGTTTCAATAAAACACTTTGTGCTAAAATTAATGAAAACTGGACTTTTAAATTTCCTCACACACTGATTTTTCAAGTACATGAGTCAAATCCATTTCCAAGATGTAATTTTCTATTGATATTGATACTTTCATAGAAATCAACTAATGTGAATGCATTCAATTGTAATGATTGATAGAAAAATCAGTATTTTAAGATATTGAAACTCAAAAAAATAATACTGCCTCAAATAGATGAGCAGATGAAAAGTGTTGCAATTTCTGAAAGCCCACCCCCAACTATGGTCTGATCAAGCTGCATTGGCAAGAAAATTCCACTCTTAGAGGACTGACTCCTTTTAAAGAGATTTAATCTCTTTGGATTCATTTAACTACAGAGCACCACTCTTTAAAAATGTCAATATATCAAATACAATAATAAATCTGAGAACTGTCAGCTTATATTTTATTTCATGATGCCATTTCTATAATGGGATACAGAAGGAAATCACTGATAAGTTCTTATAACAGAAAAGATAAAAGAAATGAAATTTGAAGAGTAATTTCTACTTTCAAATACTTTCAGTGCTTGTACAGATAGAGTTCAGCAATCATTCAATGTCAACATTTCAGTGGATATAATCAATAGGAAATGGTTCAGAAAGTAACAGGCCATGCATGATTATGGCATTTGCTAAATATGCAAGGAGGAAAGGTAAGTTAGGTTTGTGTTTCTGATGGTGTAATTATAAGATGTAGGGAATCTTATACCAAAATAAATATGTAAATAAAATACCTTTCCTGAAGAACTTTATTAATCTCCAAATATATCTTTTCAGTCTTAATTCACAGCTAATTCAGTAAATTTAAAATAATTAGAAAAGGTCTTTCATGGCAGTTACAATTCAAATTAAGAGACGAGGAAGATGAGATTCATGGAAGTGATCCATCATTAGCCTACTATGGGTAGCATTAATAATTTCATAGGTCAATCATTTTTAGTGATTCTAATGCAGCCAGAGAATATCAGAACAAGTTATCACTGTTATTTTTTATTTTATTTATTTATTTGTTTATTTTTGAGACACAGTCTCACTCTGTCGCCCAGGCTGGAGTGCAGTGGTGTGATCTTGGCTTACTGGAAACTCTGCCTCTTGGGTTCAAGTGATTCTTGTGCCTCAGCCACCCAAGTAGATGGGATTATAGTTGTGCACCACCACACCCAGCTAATGTTTGTATTTTTAGTAGAGACAGGGTTTTGGCAGGTTGGCCAGGCTGGTCTCCAACTCCTGGCTTCAAGTGATATGCCCACCTTAGCCTCACAAAGTGCCGGGATTATAGGTGTGAGCCACCACGCCCAGCCTCTGTTATTTTTTTATACACTATTTATTTAGTCATTTATAGTATTATTGGGGTTTTACATGGATTTTGGAGAAATAAATTACATAAGCATTCATATAAACTTTTTGGGATCCCTGAAGATTCTTTGTGTGTGTGTGGTGAGAACACTTAATAAGAGCTTAGCAAATTTCAAGTACACAATACAGTACTGTTAACTATAGTCACATTGTTGTACGTTAGATCTCCAGAGCCTATTCATCTTGCGTAACTGAAACTTTGTATCCCCAGACCAACATCTCCCCCTTACTCCGTTCACCACAGCCCAGCAACCACCATTCTACTCTCTGCTTCTTGAGTTCAAATATTTTTGGTTCCATATAGAAATAAATAATGTAGTATTTATCTTTCTGTGTCTGGCTTACTTCACTTTGCATAATGTCAAGTGATGTACAAAAGTTAACTCAATGGAATAAGACCTACACATATTTCCAAAAATCATAAAACTACTAGAAGAAAACATAGGGAAAAAGCTTATTAACATTGGTCTAGACGATGACATTTTGGCTATGACAGTGAAAGCATAGGCATCAAAAGCAAAACTAGGAAAGTGGGATTGCATCAAACTAAAAGCGTCTGCTTTTTAGCAGTTTTTTCATTATTATTTATTTATTATTATTATTATTTGAGATGGAGTCTTGCATTATCGCCAGGGCTGGAGTGTAGTGGTGTGATCTTGGTTCACTGCAACCTCCGCCTCCCAGGTTCAAGTGATTCTCCTGCCTCAGCCTCCTGAGTAGCTGGAATTACAGGCACCCACCACCACATCTAGCTAATTTTTTGTATTTTTAGTAGAGATGGGGTTTCATCATGTTGGCCAGGCTGGTCTCGAACTCCTTGTGATTTGCCCACCTCGGCCTCCCAATGTGCTAGGATTACAGGTGTGAGCCACCACGCCCGGCTAGCAGTTTTAGTAGTTAAGTAGTTTAGTAGTTCAGTGGGTTTCGTTAGTTTTTCATCTGAACAGCAAATGAAACAATCAACAGAATGAAATAGAAACTCATGGATTGGGAAAAAATGTTTGCAAGGCATACATCTGATAAGGGCTTAATATCCAAAATATGTAAGAAACTGTTACAACTCAATAGTTGAAAAAAAACAAAACCTCAAATAATCTGATTAAACAATGAGCAACAGACCTGAGTAGATACTTTTCCAAGGAAGGCAAACAAATGGCCAACAGGTAGATGAAAAGGTGCTGTCATCACTAATCATCAGGGAAATACTATTGAAAACCACAATGAGGTATCATCTCCCACCTGTTAAATTGTCTATTATCAAAAAGATAAAAGATACATATTGGCAAGAATATGAGGAAAGAGAACCTTTGTACACAGTTGGTGGGAGAGTAAATTGGTACAGCCATTATGGAAAACAGTATGGAGGTTCCTCAAAAAAATAAAAATAGATCTATAATAGAGCCAACAATCTCACTTTTGGGGATAAATCCAAAGAAAGAAAATCAGTATATTAAAGATACATTTGTACATCTGTTGATTGTGGTCCTACTCATCATAGCCAAGACATGAAATCAACCTAAGTGTCCATCAGTGGATGAATGGATAAAGACAATGTGGTTACACACAAATACATATGCACACACACACACACACACACACACACACACACACAGAGTAAAATATTATTCAACCTTAAAAATGAGTTTATTGGATAAAAGATAATTTGGTAATGAAGTTTGACTAGATTGGAAAAACTAAAAGACTTTCTTACCTAATGAATGCACCAATCATTTTCAACTTACATAATATTTAGCTGTACTCTTAACTTTCTGCATCTGTAGATCTCAACAGAGTACTGCGCAAAGACCTCCAAATGAATATACACTTTTTCTTTTCAGTGGACAAAAGGAGCAGAGTGCTCCTGAGGGTCTCCTACCTGTAGTTCTTTGATAGGTGCGTGGAGCTAGAGAAACATGAGACAGATGCACCACCAGTAGGGTGTATATTATAATATTTAATGCTCAACCAAGTAGTTAGAATCAATAACCAAAAGGAGAAATACTATATAAATTGGTGCTAGATGCTATGTATAGACCTCAATGTTCTGGAAAGTTAAGGAAGAAACAAATCAAACTAAAGGAAATTAAAGGGATGAGATAAGCTGGGTTTTGGAGAGCTGATACAATTTATCAAGACAAAAAGGAAAAAAGAAGAGCAATATGACTGACATAAAATAATCAGCCCTTGTTAGTGACCTAGAAGATAATCTTTGTGTTTTTTCTCATAACGCAGTCTCTTTCAGAGGATATTCACTGCAGGGTATTTCCTTACACCCCAAAAGAGGGGTGCTATATAAGGATATGACCTAGTCATGAAATCTCTACTTAAGAATGTACAGTGCTTATTTCTAGATGTTATCTGGAAGTCTAACTGAAAAGCTCTCAAATCAATAGGATACGTTTTGATTATTAATTAGCATTTTCATGACATCTTAATGAATGCTTCCATTGTGCTTTATTTAATAAATTACTGATTTTATTGCCCCCTTTATTCACTGGTAATTTAAAGAAGTTTATAATGTCAATTTCTTGTGTTTTTTCTAAAGATTAAATTCAAAGTGCTATTGTACAAATAAGCAGAGCTAGAACTATCACAGATGAGAAAGGAATTGGCTGAATATCTTTATCCTTAATGCCGCAGTGTTATATGTGTACTTAAAGCAATTTGCTCATTAAACAGAAAACTATTAGAGCAGCAAGCAAAAATTCTGCCAATATCAGCAGAAAGCATTAGTTTGGAGTACAATCTTTCTTCTAAATTTTGGCTAAAGCTTTTTATTTTTTTATTTTTTGTAAAGTTAATTCTACAGTTTAAAACAGTGGTTTAGAGTATTATCTCCAGAGTGTTTCTTGCTCCATAACTTAATGGATCTTTCTGTTTCCACATCTGTAAATTAGGGGTAAAAATAGCATCAAACTTATAGGCCTTGTGGCAATTAAAGAAGTTAAGATATGTAATGTATTTAGAAATACCTGAAGTATTTAAAGGAGTGGGAATATGTGAAGTGTTATACAGTGCTAATATGGGGCTGGCATGTATTTAACACCCTATAAGTATTTGCTATTATTTTTGTGGTGGTTGTTGCTGCTGTCATGACTAAACTATAAATCAACAAGAAGAGACCAAAGTCTTTACACTTTTAAGAAGACTGGTTCACACACGTTATTATGATGATAATTCAACAAAATAACTGATGCAGGCAAGATAAACAAATTACTCAGGCAGTAAACCTGTGTACAATCAATTTACTGACAGAAGACTGGTGGGCCCTGCAATTATTAATAATTATTAATAATTATCACAGTTATATACTTTTATGTGTTTGCTAGGCTGCATCTTTTCTTACATATATAATTTTTTTAGAGTATTGGTTGCTGTCATCTATATATCTCATGCTGAGTCAGTATCAGAGTTAGGTGGAGGCTCCTGTCAATTTTTCATCTGAACCTGCTGTGATCCTTTTTGTCTTTTCTCAGCAAATCTGTCAGTCGAAGGTAAAGGCTTCTTCCACCTATTTAGAAAATCCACTCTGCTATCATACATAATATGTCAAGTTGAAGAAACCTACATAGTGTCTCACAGTTTTGGACTGGATATTATGAGACTTGAAATCTGGTTCCAGCACTTGTTGCCAATTACTCCTCATATCCTAAGTTAGCCATTTAAATTGAGCTCACTTCTGGCTTTTATATATTGAGGAGATATATTACAAAGGTTTCTGTGGTCTTTTCTGCTCCAAAATTTTCATTCTAAGATTGTAGAAAAAAATTAATCAAAAATTAAAAGACGGTATTTCTTTAAAATCTTAGTCAAAAATCAAGAAGAATATATCTGTGAAATTGTGTCCTATTAGAATAGGTAGTAAGAATCACTAGGAAATAATGCAATTCCCAGATAAAGCTTCCTCTGTATTTAGAAGAAATAATCAGTCTATCAATTGACTAAACACAAATGTTTTATACAATAAATTAATATTAATCTTAGGAAATACTGAATTGACAGATTTGAACCAGGAACAAAATCCACTAGTGTTTATCAGTGTTATTAAATATTTCTCCTCATTAGATTTATTGTGACCATAGTAGAGTACCATTTTCTTTTTTTCTGATAACACTTTTTTAAGTAATTTTATTATAATTGATTCAATCTACATCATTTATAATTTATGTTTAATTTATGATATTTTGGATTTCTAAATGTTTTAAAACGTGCTTTATTCATATTTTAACAGCGTTAAAGTATAATTGATCTGCAATAAAATGTACACATATAAAGTGTACAATTCAATGTTTTAACACATGTATACACTTCTGGAGCCTTTATCACAATCAAGATAGTAAACATATCCATCACCTCTGAAAGTTTCTTTGTTCTCCTTTATAATGAGAGATTAGAACCCACTGCAATCCTCTCTACAGGAAGCCACTGATGTGCTTTCAGTTATACAGATCACTTTGCATTTTTTTGAGTTCTATATAAATGGGATCACACCATATATACTGTTTTTTGACTAGCTTTTAAAACTCAGTATCATTATTTCTAGATTCATCCACACTGTGTTTATCAGTAGTTTATTACATTTTATTGTATGGACATACTACAATTTGGATGATGGTCATTTGAGTTATTTCTAGTTTTTGACTATTGAATATAAAGGTTCTATGAATATTTGGGTACAAGTCTTTGTATGGACATATGTTTTTGTTTCTCTTAGGAGTATAATGGCTGAGTCATATGATAGGTAGGTATATATTAAACTTTCTAAAAAACTGTTAAACTATTTTCCAAACAGGTAGGAGTCATGCCATTTTACATTCCCACCAGGAGTGTGTGAGAGTTCCCGTTCCTCCCTGTCATCAACTTCATCAGAAATCAGTTGCTCCCTCTTTTCCCCACCTAGCGCTGCTGAGCCTAGAAGTCTCTGCCAAGCCGCAGACGTGGGCATTTGCTCTGCAGGATGTGGTTCATTAAAGTTGTTAAGACTAAGGCCTACTTTAAGAGACACCAAGTGAAATTTAGAAGACAATGGGACGGTAAAATTGATTACTATGCTCAGAAACGCTTGGTGATACAGGATAAAAATAAATAGGAAACACCCAAATACAGGATGATAGTGTAACAGATATCATTTGTCATATTGCTTATGCCTGTATAGAAGGGGATATGATAGTCTGCATAGCATATGCACATGAACTGCCAAAATATGGCGTGAAGGTTGGCTTGACAAATTACGCTGCAGCGTATTGTACTGGCCTGCTGCTGGACCACAGGCTTCTCAATAGGTTTGGTATGGACAAGATCTATGAAGGCCAAGTGGAGGTGACTGGAGATGAAGGCCTTGCCAGAACTACTACTGGCAATAAAGTTTCTGGCGCCCTGAGGGAGCTGTGAATGGAGGTTTGTCTATCCCTTACAGTACCAAACGATTCCCGGTTATGATTCTGAAAGCAAGGAATTTAATGCAGAAGTACACTGGAAGCACATTATCAGCCAGAATGTCGCAGATTACATGTGCTACTAAGTAGAGGAAGATGAAGATGCTTACAAGAAACAATCCTCTCAATATATAAAGAACGGCATAACTCTAGACATGGAGGAGATGTATAAGAAAGCTCATGCTGCTATATGAGAGAATCTAGTCTATGAGAAGACGCCCAGGAAATAAGTTAAAAGAGATAGAACCATCCCAAAATGTCCCTTGCTCAGAAGAAAGATCAGGTAGCTCAAAAGAAGGCAAGCTTCCTCACAGCTCAGGGGCAGGCTACTGAGAGCTAAACCAAATAGTTTTCTATGAAGATTTTTCAGAAAGACGATAAATTTAAAAAAAACGAACAACAGTTGCCCATATGTGGATCTATTTCTGTAATCTCTACTCTGTTTCTTTGACCAAGTTATTTCTTTATGCCAGTCCAATAGTCTTGATTATTGTAGCATCATAATAAACCTTGAGAGCAGATAGTGTTACTACTCCAAATATGTTCTTTTTCAAAGTTGTTATAGTGATTCTATATTTTTTTATTTCCATACGAGTTTTAAAATAAGCTTGAAAATTTCTTCAGTTAAGACCTGCAAGGATTTGAACTGGCATTGTATTTAATCTATAGATAAGTCTGGGGAGAATTGACATCTTAATCATTTTGAGTCTTCTGTTGATGAACAAGTATAGCTCTCTATGTCTTCTTTATTTTTTTCTGCATGTTTTTTAGTTCGCATGGTGAATTACATTGTCTGATTTCAAATATTAAACCAACATTGCATTACCGACATCATCTCTATTTGATCATTTCTGTCCTGCTATTTATACTTTCCTTTCTGCTATGTTGAGTTAATTTTCATGTCTTCTAGTGTCTTAAAGTGATCGTTGGTGTCATCAATTTGAGACATCTTTTCTTCAGTAATGTCAGCATATAGTGCTGTAAATTCCTAAGAACTGCTTTAGCATCATTCCTTAGTTTTTCCTATGTTTGTATTTTCATTGCCATTCACTTCAAAATACTTTTTTATTTCTTCTTTGATCCATGGGTTTTTTTGATTTTCAAATATTTGGGGACTGACTGAATTTTAAGTCTATCCTGTTTTAGTTAGAGAAATACATTGTGTGAGTTGAATCTTTTAAAATTCACTAAGACTTATTTTATGGCTTAGTATATATCTTGGTCAATGTTTCATGTATACTTGAAATGAATATGTGTTGTGCTATTGATGGATGGTACTACAAATGTCAGTTTCCTCACATGCATGTCCTGATCAGTACTCTGATGAATACTTGAGGAGTACCTTATGCAAATATTTGGGGTTCCTTCTGTATCTTTCTCCTCTCCAGAGCTCTATTCTGTGAATTCCAAAAGCCTTGCTGTCCCTGTGCTCTCATTTTCATTTCCTTACCTTACAGAGTTCATCAATTTCCATCTGGGCTCTCCTTTCTCGAGTTGTGGCTCAGAAATTCTCTGAAAGCAGGAAAATGATGCAAATGTAGCACTGTGTTTTTCATCTCTCTGGGTTCCTTCTACTTTATTGCCTAGTGTTTTGCAATTTTAAAAAAATGCTTGTTTCTCAAGAGGTTGAGGAGGGCGGATCACAAGGTCAAGAGATTGAGACCATCCTTGCGAACATGGTGAAACCCAGTCTTTACTAAAAATACAAAAATTAGCTGGGCATTGTGGTGCATGCCTGTAGGCCCAGCTACTTGGGAGGCTGAGGCAGGAGAATCGTTTGTACCCGGCAGGCGGAGGTTGCAGTGAGCTGAGATCGTGCCACTGCACTCCAACCTGAAGACAGAGCGAGACTCAAAAAAAAAAAAAAAAAAGCTTGTTTCATATATTCTGTTTGTTTTTGTTGTTGCTTGTTATTGTTTCAGGCACAAGGGTACATCCAATTACTGTTCCTCTAACTTAGATAGAAGCAGAAGCCAAGTACATGTTCAAAATAAAAAATCTGCAGTGGTGTTTAAAAGATGACACAGGAAAAGTGGTGTTTGAATCACTTGCTTGCGGTAATGTCTGTAATCACAGTTCCACATTTAGGTTAAAATGTAGTTTTTCATTATTCTGTGAATCTTGTTTTCTGAAGTTTCAAATGTAGGTATAAAAACAATTCTTTTAGGTTGAAACACAAACATTAAGAAAATAAATTATTCCATTTGAAAAGTGGGATTTGTTTGCATTCACCGTGGCATAATCCAAAATCAAATGGGAGCTTTAAAGGGAATAATTGAAAGATGAAGGCTCTCAAATTTGCCCCTCATATTTCCTCATTTTATTTACCAGAAAATAAGTTTTTTCTCAAAGATAGTGCTTCTTAGAAAAATATCAAGATTTATAAGGCATTTAGATAGTCTCTTTATAGAAGGACTAGATCAGTCCCACAGTAGCTCAAATATACCACTGTATGATACAGTTCCTCCACCTAGACAAAATAAGGTCAATAATCTTTCATACCTTGAAAGAGGATGTGGTCCGGTTCTAAGATGGCTGCATAGGAACAGCTATGGTCTGCAGCTCCCAGCATGATTGATGCAGAAGATGTGTGATTTCTCCATTTCCAAGTCAGGTACCTGGTTCATCTCACTGGGACTGGTTGGACAGTGGGTGCGGCCCAGGAAGGGTGAGCCAAAGCAGGGTGGGGCATCACCTCACCCGGGAAGTGCCAGGGGTTGGGAGATTTCCCTTTCCTAGCCAAGGTAAGCCATGACAGACTGTACCTGGAAAAATGGGGCACTCCCGCCTAAATACTGTGCTTTTCCAACCGTCTTAGCAAACAGCACACCAGGGGATTACATCCTGCGCCTGGCTCGGTGGGTCCCACGCCCACAGAACCTTGCTCACTGCTAGTGCAGCAGTCTGAGATTGACCTGCGACCTGCGAGGCAGCAGCCTGGCAGGGGGAGGGGCATCCGCCATTGCTGAGGCTTGAGTAGGTAAACAAAGCAGCCAGGCAAGCTAGAACTGGTGGACCCCACCACAGCCCAGCAAGGTGGGCTGCCTCTGTTGACTCCACCTCTAGGGGCAGGGCATAGTTGAACAAAAGGCAGCAGAAACTTCTGCAGACTTAAACGTCCCTGTCTGACAGCTCTGAAGAGAGCAGTGGTTCTTCCAGCACAGCGTTTGAGCTCTGAGAACGGACAGACTGCTTCCTCAAGTGGGTCCCTGACCCCTGTGTAGCCTAACTGGGAGACATCTCCCAGTAGGGGCTGATTGACACCTCATACATGTGGGTTCCCCTCTGGGATGAAGCTTCCAGAAGAAGGATAAGGCAGCAATATTTGCTGTTCTGCAATATTTGCTATTCTTCAGCCTCCGCTGGTGATACCCAGGCAAACAGGGTCTGGAGTGGACCTCCAGCAAACTCCAACAGACCTGCAGCTGAGGGACCTGACTGTCAGAAGGAAAACTAACAAACAGAAAGGAACAGCATCAACATCAAGAAAAAGGACATCCACACCAAAACCCCATTGGTAGGTCACTAACATCAAAGACCAAAGGTAGATAAAACCACAAAGATGGGGAGAAACCAGAGGAGAAAAGATGAAAATTCTAAAAACGAGAGCACCTCTTCTCCAAATTATCGCAGCTCCTCACCAGCAACAGAACAAAGCTGGACAGAGAATAACTTTGACGAGTTGACGGAACTAGGCTTCAGAAGGTCGGTAATAACAAGCTAAAGGAGCTAAAGGAGGATGTTTGAACCCATCACAAGGAAGCTAAAAACCTTGAAAAAAGATCAGACAAACGGCTAACTGGAATAAACAATGTAGAGAAGACATTAAATGACCTGATGGAGCTGAAAACCATGGCATGAGAACTACGTGACACATGCACAAGCTTCAGTAGCCGATTCGATCAAGTGGAAGAAAGGCTATCAGTGATTGAAGATCAAATTAATGAAATAAAGCGAGAAGTTTAGAGAAAACAGAGTAAAAAGAAATGAACAAAGCCTCCGAGAAATATGGGACTATGTGAAAAAAAACAAATCTATGTTTGATTAGTGTATCTGAAAGTGACGGGGAGAATGGAACCAAGTTGGAAAACACTCTGCAGGATATTATCCAGGAGAACTCCCCCAACCTAGTAAGGCAGGCCAACATTGAAATTCAGGAAATAAAGAGAACACCACAAAGATACTCCTCAAGAAGAGCAACCCCAAGACACATAATTGTCAGATTCACCAAGGTTCAAATGAAGGAAAAAATGTTAAGGGCAGCCAGAGAGAAAGGTCAGGTTACCCACAAAGGGTAACTATCAGACTAACAGCAGATCTCTCTGCAGAAACTCTACAAGCTGGAAGAGGGTTGAGGGACAACATTCAACATTCTTAAAAGAATTTTCAACCCAGAATTTCATATCCAGCCAAACTAAGCATCGTAAGTGAAGTAGAAATAAAATCCTTTACAGAGAAGCAAATGCTGAGAGATTTTGTCACCACCAGGCCTGCCTTAAAAGAGCTCCTGAAGGAAGCACTAAACATGGAAAGGAACAACCAGAACTAGCCACTGTAAAAACATGCCAAATTGTAAAGACCACCAATGCTAGCAAGAAACTACATCAATTAATGGGCAAGATAACCAGCTTACATCATAATGACAGGATCAAATTCACACATAACAATATTAACCCTAAATGTAAATGGGCTAAATGCCCCAATTAAAAGAGACAGACTGGCAAATTGGATAAAGAGCCAAGACCCATCAGGGTGCTGTATTCAGGAGACCCATCTCACGGGCAGAGACACACATTGGCTCAAAATAAATGGATGGAGGAAGATCTACCAAGCAAATGGAAAGCAAAAGAAAAGCAGGGGTTGCAATTCTAGTCTCTGATAAAACAGACTTTAAACCAACAAAGATCAAATGAGACAAAGAAGGCCATTACATAATGGTAAAGGGATCAATTCAACAAGAAGAGCTAACTATCCTAAATATATATGCACCCAATACAGGAGCACCCAGATGCATAAAGCAAGTCCTTAGAGACCCACAAAGAGACTTAGACTCCCACACAATAATAATGGGAGACCTTAACACTCCACTGTCAATATTAGACAGATCAACGAGACAGAAGATTAACAAAGATATCCAGGACTTGAACTCAGCTTTGCACCAAGTGGACCTAATAGACATCTACAGAACTCTCTACCCCAAATCAACAGAATATACATTCTTCTTAGCACCACATCCCACTTATTCCAAAACTGACCACATAGTTGGAAGTAAAGCACTCCTCACCAAATGTAAAAGAACAGAAATCACAACAAACTGTCTCTCAGACCACAGTGCAATCAAATTAGAACTCAGGATTAAGAAACTCACTCAAAATGGCACAACTACATGGAAACTGAACAACCTCCTCCTGAATGACTCCTGGATAAATAATGAAATGAAGGCAGAAATAAAGATGTTCTTTGAAACCAATGAGAACAAAGACACAATGTACCAGAATCTCTGGGACACATTTAAAGCAGTGTGTAGAGGGAAGTTTATAGCACTAAATGCCCACAAAAGCAGGAAAGATCTAAAATTGGCACCCTAACTTCACAATTAAGAGAACTAGAGAAGCAAGGCCAAACAAATTCAAAAGCTAGCAGAAGGCAAAAAATAACTAAGATCAGAGCAGATCTGAAGGAGATAGAGACACAAAAAACCCTTCAAAAAATTAATGAATCTAGCAGCTGGTTTTTTGAAAAGATCAACAAAATTGATAGACTGCTAGCAAGACTAATAAAGAAGAAAAGAGAGAAGAATCAAATAGACACAATAAAAAATGGTAAAGCGGATATCACCACTGATCCCACAGAAATACAAACTACCATCAGAGAATACTATAAACACCTCTACACAAATAAACTAGAAAACCTAGAAGAAATAGATAAATTCCTGGACATATACACCCTCCCAACACTAAACCAGGAAGAAGTTGAATCTCTGAATACACCAATCACAGGCCATGAAATTGAGGCAATAATTAATAGCCTACCAACCAAAAAAAGTTTAGGACCAGATGGATTCACAGCTCAATTCTACTAGAGGTACAAAGAGGAGCTGGTACCATTGCTTCTGAAACTATTCCAATCAATAGAAAAAGAGGGAATCCTCCCTAACTCATTTTACAAGGCCAGCATCATTCTGATACCAAAGACTGGCAGAGACACAACAAAAAAGAGAATTTTAGACCAATATCCCTGATGAACATCGATGCAAAAATCCTCAATAAAATACTGGCAATCTTAATCCAGCAGCACAACAAAAAGCTTATCCAAGACAATCAAGTGAGCTTCATCCCTGGGATGCAAGGCTGGTTCAACATATGCAAATCATTGAACATACTCCATCACATAAACAGAACCAATGACAAAAACCATATGATTACCTCAATAGATGCAGAAAAAAGGCCTTTGACAAAATTCAACAGCCCTTCATGCTAAAAACTCTCAATAAACTAGGTATTGCTGGAACATATCTCAAAATAGTAAGAGCTATTTATGACAAACTCACAGCCAATATCATGCTGAATGGGCAAAAACTGGAATCATTCCCTCTGAAAACTGGCACAAGATAGGGATGCCCTCTCTCACCACTCCTATTCAACACAGTGTTGGAAGTTCTGGCCAGGGCAATCAGGCAGGAGAAAGAAATAAAGGGTATTCAATTAGGAAAAGAGGAAGTCAAATTGTCCCTGTTTGCAGATGACATGATTGTATATTAGAAAGCTCACTGTCTCAGCGCAAAATCTCCTTAAGCTGAGAAGCAACTTCAGCAAAGTCTCAGGATACAAAATCAATGTGTAAAGATCACAAGCATTCCTATACACCAATAACAGACAAACAGAGAGCCAAATCATGAGAGAACTCCCATTCACAATTGCTACAAAGAGAATAAAATACCTAGGAATCCAACTTACAAGGGATGTGAAGGGCCTCTTCAAGGAGAACTGCAAACTACTGCTCAACGAAATAAAGGGGGACACAAACAAATGGAAGAACATTCCATGCACATGGATAGGAAGAATCAATATCGTGAAAATGGCCATACTGCACAGGGTAACTTACAGATTCAGTGCAATCCCCATCAAGCTACCAATGACTTTCTTCACAGAATTGGAAAAAACTGCTTTAAATTTCATATGGAAACAAAAAAGTGTCTGCATTGCCAAGGCAATCCTAAGCAAAAAGAACAAAGCTGGAAGTATCACACTACCTGACTTCAAACTATGTTACAAGGGTACAGTAACCAAAACAGCATGGTACTGGTATCAAAACAGATACATAGACCAATGGAACAGAACAGAGGCCTCAGGAATAACACCACACATCTACAATAATCTGATCTTTGACAAACCTGACAAAAAAAAGAAATAAATGGGGAAAGGATTCACTATTTAATAAATGGTGTTGGGAAAACTGGCTAGTCATATGTATAAAGCTGAAACTAGATCCCCTCCTTACACCTTACACAAAAATTAATTCAAGATGGATTAAAGACTTAAATGTTAGACCTAAAACCATAAAAACCCTAGAAGAAAACCTAGGCAATACCATTCAGGACATAGGCATGGGCAAGGGCTTCATGTCTAAAATACCAAAAGCAATGGCAACAAAAGCCAAAATAGACAAATGGGATCTGATTAAACTAAGATCTTCTGCACAGCAAAAGAAACTACCATTAGAGTGAACAGGCAACCTACAGAATGGGAGAAAATTTTTGCGATCTACCCATCGGACAAAGGGCTAATATCCAGAATCAACAAAGAACTTAAACAAATTTACAAGAAAAAAACATACAACCCCATCAAAAAGTGTGCAAAGGATATGAACAAACACTTCTCAAAAGAAGACATTTATGCAGCCAAAAGACACATGAAAAAATGCTCATCATCACTGGCCATCAGAGAAATGCAAATCAAAACCACAGTGAGATACCATCTCACACCAGTTAGAATGGCGATCATTAAAAAGTCAGGAAACAGCAGGTGCTGGAGAGGATGTGGAGAAATAGGAACACTTTTACACTGTTGGTGGGACTGTAAACTAGTTCAACCATTGTGGAAGACAGTGTGGTGATTCCTCAGGGATCTAGAACTAGAAATACCATTTGACCCAGCCATCCCATTACTGGGTATATACCCAAAGGATTATAAATCATGCTACTGTAAAGACACATGCACACGTATGTTTATTGCAGCACTATTCACGATAGCAAAGACTTGGAACCAACCCAACTATCCATCAGTGATACACTGGATTAAGAAAATGTGGCACATATACACCATGGAATACTATGCAGCCATAAAAAAGGATGAGTTCATGTCCTTTGCAGGGACATGGATGAAGCTGGAAACCATCATTCTCAGCAAACTAACACAAGCACAGAAAACCAAACGCCGCATGTTCTCACTCATAGGTGGGAATTGAACAATGAGAACACTTGGACACAGGGGAACATCACACACTGGGGCCTGTTGTGGGTTGGGGGGCAGGGGGAGGGATAGCATTAGGACAAATACCTAATGTGAATGATGAGTTAATAGGTGCAGCAAACCAACATGGCACATGTATACCTATGTAACAAACCTGCACATTGTGCACATGTACCCTAGAACTTAAAGTATAATAAAAAAAAAATTTCCACCATACAGATATAAGAGACATAAATAAATTTCAGAACATAGATGATAGCAAAGTAGATGATAGCAAAATATAATAAAATAATTAGGAAGTGATAAAACACTTTCATACCTTATATCATGTTAAAAAGGAAAATTGGTAAATATAAATTATAATTGTAAAAGCTATACAGATAGAAATGGCACAGATATGACACTTTGAAAGGAAACCAATAAGTACTTATAATTTTAATGAAATGTTGTCAATATTATAGTACTGTATATTAAGATCACAAATTTCCTTATAAGAATTATTCTGATTTTCCTGTGAATGAAATAGATATTATGAGAATCACATATATAGTTAAAACTCTTCAAAGCTTAACCTCTAGATCTGTTAAGCTCAAATGACATTCCTATAAAAACAGACTCCTGCTATTCTTCCTTTTTTCTTTCTTTTTTTTTGGGGGGGGGGTTTCCCACAGTTTCTCTTTTTTTAATTTATTTATGTTTTTCTGAGACATAGTTTCACTCTTGCCCCTCAGGCTGGAGTGCAGTGGCACAATGTCGGCTCACTGCAATCTCCGCCTCCCAGGTTCAAGTGATTCTCCTGCCTCAGCCTTCCGAGTAGCTGGGATTACAGGCACCCACCGCCATGCCCAGCTAACTTTTGTATTTTTAGTAGAGACAGGGTTTTCCATGTTGGCCAGGCTGGTCTCAAACTCCTGACCTCAGGTGATCCACCCGCCTTGGCCTCCCAAAGTGCTGGAGTTACAGGCATGAGCCACCACACGTGGCCAGTTTCTCTTAATAAGGTTTCAATATATTGTTTGAAGTCATAATTTTCTTTCAGCTTATTAGGAGATTAGAAATAATAACTTTCCAACAAACCTCTAAATTTATGAACTTTTGCATAAACTAATTATTAAAATGGATATAGATATGAAAAAATACTTGGTATCATAAGGGACTTATTTACATTCAGTACCTTTGATGGGGAAAAATTTTAAAATATAGTTATTTCTTGTTTGAATAAAAACAAAGCTAAAAAATTCTTTTTTTATCCCCATTACTACTTTGGAAAACTTCCTAATTTCCTATGTCCTATAGTCTTAATTGTTGAAATAATAATGCAGTTTGGCTGGCTTACAACATGTATACTAACTAGTCATTGGTTTTAGAGAAGACAAAAATGCAAAAAAGTATCAGAATTATACTTTACCCTTCAAATTAATTTACTGCTTAAATTAAGATCTCAAAAGTCACAGTTTTTCAGTAAATATTTGTTTTTTCATTCAGAAATCATTTCCTAGACTTTTACTTTCTATTGGGCACTGTTTTCTGCGCAGTGGGTATATTCGGGAAAAAGGTAGAAAAAGGTTACTGTACTCATGGAACTTATACTTTGTTTTAGAAGACAGCTACTGAATATGATCATTATTGTGACACATCCTGTGAAAGAAATAAAAAATGTGCTGTGACAGCAAGTACCTCTGATGGGGAGCTACTTTATAGATAAGATGGTCAGAAAACACCCCTTTACAAGATATTTAAATATCTAGGATATTTAAATCCAAGAACTGTAGGGCGCTATGGAGACAACCACGGGACTAATCAAGCATATGCATTTCAGGCATATGGGAAAGCAAGTGAAAACTCCTAAAATGGCAAAGTTGAGATATTCTAGGAGTAGAAAGCTAATACGTTCACTCATGAGAATATAGAAGCCATAGGTTGACTGAAGGTAAAGTTGGACATGTAGTCAGGAGCCATATCATAGAGGCTCGTGAGTTCCATTTTGGGGAGTTTAGTTTGATAAGCACAGTATGTTGTAAGCAGAAAGTGACAGACCACTCAAATTGGTATCCCGAAGAAAAACTTAGATCCCAAGATACTTTTTGTATTTTATCAACCAACAGGTTTAAATTACACCTTCTCCTATGAAAGTAAAAAATACCCACAAAGGACTTCATTTTTACTTTTTAAATATGTTTGGATTATGGTCCAAAAGAAAGCTTGAACTGTAAAATACTTGAACAAAGACTATGCAAATGAAATTAACAGGATGGTTAAGATGCAGCCAATGTTCAATAATGTTACCATTTCATGTCTAATTTGCTAACAATATTTATGTAGACAAGTAGACTGCACTGGAAAATTATTCAAGTCAATACATTTTTAAGTGCATGATCTTGTACCTGGTGTTCTAAGGGATACAAAGATGAGTGTGATGAAATTCCAATTTTAAAGGAATTAAGACTCCAATAGGAGACAAGCTATGAAACTAAACATATTGATAATAACGGACCTAAAAGTCAAAAGACATTCTCTTTCCTTTAATCCAAGTTCTGTCTCTGGCATTAATTCATTATAAGATCTCGATCAGGAAATAACATTTGCCTTTAAGCAAACATTTCAGGATAAGTTCAATTTTAAAGATAAATAGAGGATACAAGGTGACCCCCATGATTCAGAGGTCATTGTTTGGACTTCTGGTTTCAGCTTAAGTGCTCAAGATAGATTCTTCTCACAGACCTTCTCTGCTTTGCAATTATTTTCTCCTGAATTAAAATCTTCTTTAGAAGTACCTGGCAAAGATCTCCTTTAACAGCTACATGACATATGTTTCACCACCCCCTCCTTCCAATAAGTAGATTGGAGTTGTAAAATACATGCAATATAATTCTTATGGCATTACAATTTGTAGTTTGGCATAGAGTGGATTGAAATAGTTTTGAAAAATTGAATGTACACTAAATTTATTGCATTTAGTAAAAAACTCATGCTTCAGAAAAGATAGACATTTCACTGATCAAAAAATAAATAATAATGTCATTTAAGCAAAACACACACATGCACACATACACACATTAGTGTGCACACACAATTCTATGCTCACCAATTCCAGCCATAATCGTGCAAAGAATAGGCATATGTCCAAAGATCAAAAGAAATCATTTAAAATGGAATTCAATTTCTATATTTGGGAGGTCACATTAGGCTAGATGTTTTATTTTCTTCTCTAAGTTATGAAAAAGTCCCATTGATTTTATCATAAGATTTTAAAACAAAAATTTTTAAACGTCATTTCTTTTCAGAAAGACAACCTTAGGCAATTCCCTTGATTATGATATGCTAATTTTGGATTTTCATGTTTAAACTGAAACAAAGATATTTTGCTATCTATATATTACATGGATACCTTAAGGACATAAATGTCCACCATGATAATTTAAATTTTTAAAACTCTGCAAATTTTTCCCAGAAGATATTGAAAAGACAAATAGCTGATTATTGTGTTTCTAACATAATTCTGTTTCTTTCTATAAATGAAAGTCTGGCAAATTGTTATTAAATGTGATTTTTAGAGATTGGTAGAACTTAGTAACATTTACATGCAGCCATCTCTGACTTTCAAAAAATTACTGCCGAATAGCATAGGGAAAAGCGTTTTATACAGCTCTTCCATGCATGGCCTGTATTAATGCAGAAATCTAGAAGCTAATGGTATATCTAATGACACATAAATACACAAATAAATACATACATACACACCCACACACACACACACACCCTTCAGATGCTTGCTGCCTCTTGTTATATTCATTAAGCCATACCATAATTTCTCTATTGTTTACTTTTATCATAAATTCAAATGCCATCTGTTAATTTATTTATTTTCAGTCATGTTGGTTCTTCTTTCAGCCCCGAAAGATAAAATATTGAGTTTTTGGATGACATGGTTGGTCCTACATAATTTTCCACTAAAATGCCATTAGATATTTCACTTAAGACAATGTCCTCTTAGTTGCATTCATGTTGTCAAAAATGACAAATTTACTTTTTTAAGGCTGAATAGTATTCTATTGTGTAAATATATTACATTTTAAAAATCCATTCATGCACTGATGGACACTTATATTGTTTCCATATCGTGACTATTGTGAAGAGTACTACAATCAACATGGGAGTGCAGACAACTCTTCAACATACTGATTTCAGTTCCTTTGGATATATATATACAGTACTGAGATTCCTGGATCTCACAATAAAGGAACGTTCATACTGTTTTCCAAAATGGCTGTATTAATTTGCAATACCACCTACAGTGTATGAGGGTTCCCTTTTCTCCACGTGCTTGCCAACGCTTGTTATCTTTTGATAATAGTTGCCCTAACAGGTGTGAGGCAATCTCTCATTGTGGTTTTAATTTACATTTCTCTTATAATTAGAGATGTTGAGCATTTTCTCATGTATCTGTTGGCAATTTGTATCTCTTCTTTTGAGAAATGTCCATTTGAGTCCTTTACTCACTTTTTAATGGGGTTATTTGTTTTTCTACTTATTAAGTAGTTTGATTTCCTTGTATATTTTGGCTATTACCCTCTTGTTTGATATATGAGTTGCAAACATTTTCTCCTGATCTATGGGTTTTCTCTTCACTCTGTTGTTTACCCTACTGTGCAGAAGCTTTCAATCTGATATAAGCCCATGTAGTTCCATACAAATTCTAGGATTTTTTTTCTATTTCTGTGAAGAATAACATTGGAATTTTGATAGATATTGCATTGAATCTATAGAATGCTTTCGGTAGTATGGACATTTTAACTATTAATTCTTTCAATCCACAAAAGAATTTATTTGTGGGATATCTTTCCATTTATTTGTGATATCTTTATTTTCTCTTGGTGCTTGTGCTTTTGAGGTTATATCCAATAAATCATTGCCCAGACCAGTCAATGTTATGGATATTTTCCCATTATGTTCTCTTTTAATAGTTTTATAGTTTCAGGTCTTACATTTAAGGCTTTAACCTGCTTTGAGTTGATTCTTATACAAGGTTTGAAATAAGAGCCTATTTTTATTCTTCTGTATATGAATATCCAGTATTCCTAATATCATTTTTTGAAGGGACTGTCCTTTCCCAATTGTATGATCTTTGCACCTTTGTCAAAAATCAATTCACCATAAATGTATGGGTTTATTTCTGGGCTCTCTATCCTATTCCACTGGTCAATATGTCTGTTTTTATGCCAGTATCATACTGTTTGGATTATTATAGGTTTGTAACATATTTTGAAATCCAGTAGTATAGTGCCTCCAGCTTTTATCTTTTTATCTATTTTTTAATCTTTTTAATCTTTTTTTAAAAATCTTTTTAGCTTTTTATCTTTTTGGTAAAAGTTACTTTAGTTATTCAGGATTTTTTGTAGTTCCATACAAATTTTAGGATTTTTTTTTCTATTTCTGTGAAGAATGACATTGGAATTTTGATAGTTATTACATTGAATCTATAGAATGCTTTGGGTAGTATGGACATTTTAACAATATTAATTCTTTCAATTCACAAACATGGGGTATCTTTCCATTTATTTGTGACACCTTTTATTTTCATCAATGTTTTATGGTTTTCAGTATACAGATATTTCACTTCCTTGGTTAAATTGACTCCTAAGTATTTTATTCCTTTTAACTCTTTTGTAATTGGGACTGTTTTCTTAATTTTTTTTTCAGGCAGTCTGTTGTTAGTGTATAGAAACATTACCGATTTTTTGTAGTTGATTTTGTATCCTGAAACTTTACCAAATTTGTTTATTAGTTCTAACATTTTTTGTTGGATTATTTAATATTTTTTCTATAACATCATGTTGTCAGTACACAGAGACAATTTCACTTTATTCTTTTCTGTTTGGATACCTTTTATTTCTTTCTTTAGCCTAAATGCCCTGTCTTGGATTTTCAGTATTATGTTGAACAGAAGTGGTCTTAGAGAAAAAGCTTTCAACTTTTCACCATAGGTACGATGTTAGTTGTGGGGTTGTCATATATGGCTTTTACTCTGTTGTGGAACATTCATTCTATATCTAATTTGTTGAGCTCTGTTGACTGTTCACAATGTTTAAATAGGTTTGCTCCAAAAATAAAGTCTATCTATTGGCAATAGATAAGGGACTTGAAAAACTTCCATGCAAATCATTCAACATTACTAAGATTCTAGCTAACATTACTAACATTCTTGTGGCAACGTATTCTAGATTCAGTTGGACTTAATACATGCTACAGGCAAAACAAACAAAATAGTAATACTTTTGTTTGAATGTTGCTGCCTCTTCGCTACCCTAGTTTTCATTCCTATTAGTTGTCTGTCTTTGTTACTTACAAAGACACTCATAGATAAGGACTTGAACATATATCATTATGTGTCTGTGAGTTTTGTTAAATGCATTTCTTGTTCATTCATTTATTCACTAAATAATTTTCAAGTAGTGTCTTAGACCCTGGGGGTAGAGCAGTAAACAAAACAAACTGAGTCTCAGCTCACGTAGGACTTATAGAGAAATAAAAAGTAAGAATGAAAATAAATAAAGAACAATATAATTTTAGATAATGGCAATGCTAGGGGAAAATTAGAATAATGGATCAAACAGTGATTGGTTGGGAGGGACTGCTTTAGCTAGGATGATTAGGAAAGGCCCCTTTGAGAACTTAACATTAAAATCAGAATACAAATGAGAAACAGCAATAAAAAATTATTAGAACTCACAATAATTTAACTCAAAATGAATTATATACCTAAATGTAAAAGGCAAAACTATAAAACTTCTAGAACATAAATAAAAGAAAATCTACATGACCATTGGTTTGGTGACGACTTTTTAGATACAGTACCAAAAGTTTGATCCATAAAAAAATTATACACTGTACCTCATTAAAATTAAAAACTCCTGCTCTGCAAATGACATGTTAAGAGAATAAAAAGATAAACTAAAGACTGGGAGAAAATGTTTGCAAAACATGTATTAGATAAAGGGGTTATATCCAAAATGTACAACAAACTTTGAAAACTCAATCATAAGAAAATAAATAACTCAATTAAAAAGTGTGCAAAAGATCTGCACAGACACACCATCAAAGAAGATACACAGATGGCAAATAAGCATATGAAAAGATGCTCAACATCATATGTCATCAGGAAATTGCAAATTAAAACAACAATGAGATACTACTGTACACTGATTAGAATGGCCAAAATCCATAATGCGGATATAACAAATCCTGGTGAGAATGTGGAGCCAACAGGAACTCAAATTTATTGTTGGTGAGAATACAAATTTGTACATCCACTTTGGCAAACAGTTTGGCAATTTCTAACAAAACTTAACATACTGTTACCATATGATTCATCAATATTGTTCTAAGCGTTTACTCAAAAGAGTTGAAAACTTGATGTTTATGGCAATCTTTCCCATAATTGCAAAAACACGAAAGCAGCCAAGATGTCCTTCAATAGGTGAAATGATAAACAAACTGTAGTAAAGCCATAAAATGAAATATTATTCAGTGCTAAAAAGAAATGATCTATCAAACCATGAAGAGACATAGGGGAACCTTGAATCCATATTGCTTAGTGAAAGAAGCCAGTCTGCAAAAGCCACAAACTATATAATTCCAAATATATGACATCCTGGAAAAGGCAAAAATATAGAGACAGTAAAAAGAATTTGTGATTGCCAAGAGTTTAGGAGGAAGGAAGAAGAAGGGATAAATAGGTGGCACACAGGGGAATTTTAGGGCAGTAAAACTATTCTGTATGTTATATAATGATGGATGCATGATGTTATACATTTGTTAAAATGCATGGACTTCAACAGCACAAAGAGTAAACCTTAATGGACTTTATTTAATAACAATATATCAATATTACTTCATCAGTTATAACAATTGTACCATACGAATGCAAAATGTTAATAATACAAAATATAGTGTAAGGGGGTGAGAAAGGAGAGGGGGTATATGAAAACTTCCTATACCTTCTGTCCAATTTTTCTGTAAACCTAAAACTACTCTAAAAATAAAGTCTATTAAATAAAAAAAATTAGAAGATCCACAGGCAGGGGCAGGGCAGTCTAGGCAAATGGATTAGTGAGCATAGCAGAAATGCACTTGGCATGTCCATGCTAGTGTGGCTGCAATGCTGAGGAGAGAGGAGTGAAAGATGAAGTCCAAGAGGCAGATGCAGTCGTGACAGCACTTAGAGTCCACAGAGATGGTTTTAATTTATATAAGGTACACTGGAAAAATATTCTTGGTCTTATATAGGAGATTTGATCTGATTTCTCCAAGATCAATTTGCCTATTAGGAGGAGTATGGATTTAGGGCATATGGGTGGGAGTATAGGCAGAGAGAGGGTTTAAGCAGGAAGAACAGGAGGTGGTTTCAACAGTCCAGACAGCCACACAGATTTCTGAAATTTAAATGTTCTGAAATTCAGTTTCTTGTTTATAATTCTGGTAGATGCCACTTTGTGCTTAATTTTAAAAGTATAGACTTAATAATTCTAATAAATTGTCATAGATCTGTTTCTATTACTAGTTTCTACCCAGGATGTCAGTGAACTAAATAATTCCCAAGTGCATGCATGTATAAACTAAATATGCTAAAATACATTCTTTATAAAATGACCAATTTTGGAAGATGTATACACAAATATCTGTGTTATTGCTCTCTGTTTTAATTGCATACTATTTATTTTCACATGCCTTTCTATTTGTATTACAGGAGTTAAAAATCATTCAGAGAAGTCATCCTGAGGGAATTTAGCTTGAAATTCCCGAATTAACTTTCTTTCAGCCAAGTGCTAAGGAGTTGTCCATATGCTGATGTTAAGCCTGAAAGATCTTGGATTACCTTTTGTTTGTAGTTGTGCAGCTGTAATATAATTCTGATCTATTCCATAGCTGCTAATGACTCAACACCTGAGACCTTGAAGTATAACAGCCAAGGTTATTTTGCAATGTGAGGCAATAAAATAAGGTAGGATCGCTCATATATGCAAAAGTACTCTGAAATCGCAAGACTGATATAAAGATATATGCTTCTATCAAGTGCTTATAACAGAAATGATTTCATTGCTATACACACATTCACACACATACAATAATATGCAAAATTTCTTGCAAAACTTGCAAACAAAGCAGGTAAAGACATAAATAATCAGTAATTAAGAATTCACCGGAGAGGACAGATGAGAGATTATGCTGAGTCAAGAAGCTAAAATGCATATATAAAATTTATGCATGTGTGGGGTCATTGCACCTGTGCCCTCAGTGAACCATTCAATCAAGAACAAACTTTCTGTTATAAGATGAAAAAGTCCTGGAGATCTTATGTACATTAAGGTGACTGTAGTTAATAGTAAAGCATTGTATACTTAAAAGTTGCTTAAAGAGTAGATCTTAATTGTTCTCACTATAGAATAAAAGGTAACTATGAAGTGATAGAGGCATTAGCTTGTTACATTTTATAATCCATGCATATATCAAAATATCACGTGTGTACCTTAAATGTATACAATTTTCATTTGTCAATTATACCTAAATAAAACTGAGGAAAATAAAATAAAATAAAATGATACTGTTTGTTTAAAAACACCACAATTTAACATCAAAACTACTGATTCACAATAGCAGGTAAAGAATGATTACAGTAAAAAAAGGTTATTTATATAGTAGAGCAATGCGTCATTATTCCTTTGATACTCATTGTCTATACTTAGTGGTATTTGCGGTTATTTCATTGTTTATTAGAATCAAATACTTTTAGAGCCAAATAAGATCTTGGAATCACTTAGTCAACCCTGCCCCCATTTTATAGATACGGAGATGAAGGATACAGAAAAAATATTGTTTTGACATAAATTATTATTAAAATTATGGTTAATTTAACATGATCTTAAAAATTTCATCATCCTGAGAAAACTTTGAATGATTAGTTTGTGTGTAGCATGGAAGCTATACAAAGTTTATTTTAGTTAGTCTGTGGTGGTTGCTGTTTTGTGGTAATTAAAACATAAATATCACATTATTGTTAAGATAATGATAACAAAGACTCTTCAAAGTACATGAAATCTTTTTTTACGTTAAAAAATACATATCAAGCTGAAATCAATTATAGTATATTACAGGTAATTCAAGAGACCCTACAAATATGGCACATTTTTAAACATAAAAACTCGTTCAAAAAATTAACTCAAAGTTTTAATTTATTCTAATTTCTGAAATTCCCTCCTGTTTCCTTGGTATATTATGTTTTCTCATGCTAAGAGCAGTTTGATAAATGTTTTTCTTATATAATACACTGAAGATGCTGGAATAATAAGGGAAAATTTTAAACATGGAAAGTGACAGAAGGACAATAATGACAAATCCATTAGGCTATCTAATGAATATCAGATAGATAGTCTAATTATATATCTAATGTAAATGTCTAATATTTAGATATTAAACTGTAAGGTCTAAAGGACAGTAAAATAAAACTGTATGAGAATTCCCCTTTATTCATGATAAAAATAAACCAATCTTGTATTTACAGAGATGTTTGTCTAATAATTCAGCATTAGGTCTTGAATTAGACAGATGATCTATGCTACCAAGAATTTTTGGTTGACATTTGCATCAAAATTCCACAGAGGTCTCTCATCACACATTCTTTAGCATAAAAATTATAAATGAGACAAGTTAGAATACAAACTTTAAACTCTTGACTGTAATTATACAGGTATATACATATATTTACACTTCGTTTATTATATCCAAGATGATAGAAAAAAGAAAAATTTAACTTAATAAGCACAAATAAAAAATTACTCTGTTAAAATACATATTGTTACTTTTATTTGAATAGCAAAAATAATAAATGTATAAAGGGCAAATGTGTGTGATAAGATAGTGTTCCAAAAAATTAACTAATTTTCACTACCTCCTCCCCCTCAATTCCTATCAAACTTATAACTTTACTTCCTTCAAGCTAGATTTTTATTCTCACATCCACACTTTCAGAAAGCAAAGCTTTTGGGTTTCAGAAGTCTAAATCCTGAGAGACTAAGAGTATAAACAGTTTTGTTATAAAGGCAGAGCTTTCTTAGCCGCCAGACTAGAAAAGAAGTCCTTCTCCAGGGACAGGAAGAGAATCAGGGAGTGCATCAGTATTGGGAATTCCAGGGGGCTTCTGAAGCCTAGCTCTCTGTGTGAGTGAACGGTATGTGATGGTATCGTGGGAGGGGCTGGTGGAGAAAGGAAAGAGAGAGAAAAAGAGAGGGAGAGGGAGGTATTTACAGTCCTGAGGGAGTTTCAGGAATGCAGCAGCAAAATCTCAGGTTTTTCCTTTTTTTTTTTTTTTTTTTTTTTTTTTTTTTTTTTTTTTTTTTTTTGAGACTGAGTCTTGCTCTTGTAGCCCAGGCTGGAGTGCAGTGGCGCGATCTCGGCTCACTGCAACCTCTGCCTCCCAGGTTCAAGCGATTCTCCTGCCTCAGCCTCCTGAGTAGCTTGCATTACAGGTGCCCACCACCACGCCCGGCTAATTTTTGTACTTTTAGTAGAGACAGGGTTTCGCCATGTTGGCCAGGCTGGTCTCAAACTCCTGACCTCAGGTGATCCACCTGCCTTAGCCTCCCAAAGTGCTGGGATTACAGTTGTGAGCCACTGCACCTGGCCAAGTCTCAGAATTTTACCATACTCTATGGTGCCAGGAGAGAGGCAAAAGAGAAAGGGCTAATGCCTGAATAGTCAAAGATAGATACCCAGGCACTATGTGTTTGAGGGTAAGTAGCATCAAGAAATTAGAAACATGATAACAGATCTCTGGACACAGGAACAAGAACTCATGCTGTAAAGAGAATCCCAGGAGTTAGCTGAGAGAGAGAACAAGACTTAATAGGAGTCCTTAAGATGAAAAGAAAGCCATGCATAGATGACAAATAACCAAAGAAATAATAGACTTTTAATGGATGCCAGTGTAGTCAGATGAACCAAGGACTAAATTATTTTCTCTAATGTTTGGCATCTATAACACAGTAGCATGTGGAAATACTCCCTGGGAAGAAAACGGAGAAGATACCAAATTTACTATTACCTTCTCCTACCAGGTGGTAGAGGCTTACAATGAAAAGAAAAAAAAAAAATTAGATATTCTTTTTCTGGGAGCTCTTTTTAAAATTATCATTTCAATAGTTTTTGGGGGAACAAGTGGTATTTAGTTGCCTGGATAAGTTATTTAGTGATGATTTCCGAAATTTTGGTGTACTCATCTCCTGTGTATACTGTACCCAATGTATAGTCTTTTATCACTTAGAAAATTTTTAAAAATTATATTTCCTTTGTCCCTGAAGTTATGGACTGAGATTTTATCTGTTTTTTTAATATAAAAATAACACTACCCACTAATCAGAACAAAAATCTTTAAGTATAATTCTTTTAATTTAGCTACAAAATCATAGCAGAATAGTTTAATCCTCTGCTAAATAAAATTTTCTTCCTTTGTATTAAAAGATTAAAAATTACATAATCTTAGTAAAATGGCGCAGTTCTTTAACAAAGGGATTTGAGAACCACTTTAATGTCCCTGAGCTTTCATAATGGAAAGATCTGGTCAAAGGAGAACTGCCTGAGACAGATGATCTGGCTCTCTATGTAGATAACGCAGCTGGATAATTCAGGAGTTCACTTAGAAGACAAATGCAAACACACATTGTGGGAATTGTGCTTTTGGTATGGTATTCATCTCCTATTAAAACAACCAAATTTAGGAATACAGACGAAAACAAAAACAAAGTACAAAAACAAAGCTACACAAAGGAACCGGAGACGAAAACAAAACAAAATAAACACCAACCAAACCAACCAAAAATCAAATAGGCAGGTGGAGAGTGAAGGAGAGTGAACGCCTGGAAGAAGGAAATGGCTCAGGGTTATATCTGCCGAAACGTGTGTGGGGGAGGGGTGAGGGGGGCAGGTGACAATCCAGGAAAGGAGAGAGCCAGAAAGTAAAAAAAAAAAAAAAAAAAAAGCTATACGTGTGTGTGTACGCATTTATTTCTATATGTGTATATATACACACACATATATACATATATAATTATATAGTGTAGATATACACTATGTTATATACATATATATTATATATATGTATTTTTTTTCTGCCCAAATATCTGGCTGACCACTGAATCAGGAATGCACAAGGTAAATGCCAAACAACCCAGCCACAGTTAAAACAACTGAACTGATATTTGAGTTGCTGGCCACCTGAAAAGAGACAGACTTGTAGTTTTAGTCCATCCAAGTCAAATGCCTACTAAAATGAATTCAATCAACCCTCCTTAGGAAAAAAGTAACAAAATTAAAAGTATCTACAACCTTATTAAAACAATCCAAAATACAAATAAAAATGATATACTAAGAAAAAAAATGTGACCCATATTTAAGAGAAAAAACAGGTAATACTCCACAACACTAAGATGACTCAGTTGTTGGAACTATTAATAGCAAAGAAGTCTAAGATAACTATGATAATTATGCTTAAAGACATAAAAGAAATTATGTTCTCAAAGAATAAAAATAAAAATACTCAGTAGGGAAATGGAAACTATATAAAATACCAAATTGAAATTATATAATAGAACCATATCTGAAATTAAAAATTCACTAGATAGGATTAATAGCAGAGTGGTGATAACTAACTGAAGGAAAAGAAAACTGAAGAAAGGAAGGCGGCTGAAGATATACTAATATAAATAATCCAATCTGAAGAATAAAAACTTAAAAGATTGAAACATAATAAACAGTGTCTCAGGAGCCTGTGGTACAATATTAAGGTATCTACTGGGTATCTACCCAAAGCAAAAGAAGTCATTATATGAAAAAGACACTTGCCCCCGCATGTTTACAGCAGCACACTTCACAATTGCAGAAATATGAAACTAGTTGAAATGCCCATCAACCAACAAATGAATGGGGAAAATGTGATATATATGTACATATATGTGTGTGTGTATATATATATATATATATACACACACACATACATACACACACTGTGGGATACTACTCAGCCATAAAAAAGAACGAAATAATGGCATTTGCAGCAACTTGGATGGAGTTGGAGACCACTATTCTAAGTGAAGTAACTCAGGAATGGAAAACCAAATATCATTTGTTCTCACCTATAAATGGGAGCTAAGCTAGTAGGATGCAAAGGCATGATATAATGGAATTTGGGGACTCGGGAAGAAGAGTGGGAGGGGGGTGAGGAATAAAAGACTACACATTGGGTACAGTGTACATTGCTCCAGTGATGGGTGCATCAAAATCTCAGAAATCACTGCTAAAGAACTTCTACATAACCAAAAATCACCTGTTCTCCCAAACCTACTGAAATGAAAAATAAAATATCTACCACATGCCAGGAAATTCTACAACATAAGTGCAATGAACAAATTTCTTGAAAAATAAATATTATAAAAACATGAAATGAATAATAAAATCTGAGTAGCTCTACATCTATTATATATTCATTTGTTATCAAAATATTTCTATAAAGAAAAACTATACGCCCATATGGTTTCAGTAGTGAAGGCTACCAAACATTTAAGGAAGAAATAGCATCAATCCAAACAAACTCTTGCATCAAATAGAGTGAGAACACTTCCCAGTTGGTTTTATGAAGGCAACAATACCATTAATACAACATTTACAAATATAAATCCATATATTAATGTCCTTTATATCCCTTGAAAATATTATTGTTAAATTAATCCAGTAATATATAAAAAGAACAATGCATCATGATAATGTTGTTTATCTTCGCTGTTTTACAAAAGCTCAAGATTGGCTTACCATTCAAAAATCATTATCATTCACCATATTAAGAGAATAAATAAGAAACAATTACATGGTCATTTCAATGAATGTTGAAAAGCATTTGATGATCAACACTCATTCATAACACTCTTAGCAAATTGAGAAGCTATTAAGAAACTACAATTACCATCATATTTCATGTTCATATATTGAGTGTTTTAACCTATAATGGGGAACAAAGCAAGAATACCTATTCACATCATTTCTATTCAACATTTTACTGGAGGTCTTAAGAGCGCAATAGGATAAGAAATAAATAAAGTCACAACAAGTGGAAAGAAAGAAAATTCTGCTTGCAGATACCATGATTGCTTATGAAGAAGATCCTAAGAACTTGACAACACAACTACTATGATTAATAAGTGAAACGACCAAAGTCACAGGGTATGAGCTAAGTATATAAAAATCTATCACATTTTTTTTATACTAGCAGCAGTTCAAAAATTAGAGAATTCTATATATAAAAGTATGAAAATACATGCTATTACTTAAGAATGCATTTAAAACAATATTGGAGCTTTACACTGAAAACTACAAAAATTGCTTAGAGAAATTAAAGAACACTAAATAAGTCATGAGATTCATCATTTCCACGGATTGCAAGATACAAAATATAATTATGCCCAAATTAATCTATACATTCCACACCAAAAGAGTTCCCATAATTTTTTAAACAAATTGACAAGATGTTAAAATTTATATGGAAATGCAAAAAATAAAAACTTTGAATAGGTAAAAGAATCTTGAAAAGAAAAACAGCTTTGGAGGACTTCTAACCGTTTGACTTTAAGACTTATTATAATGCTACATTAAGGAAAGTGTGGTACTGGCATAAAAATTGACAATAGATCAATGTAACAAACTGAAGAGGCAATAGAAAGTAGACTCATATATACAACCATTTCACATTTAATAAAGGCACCAAAGGAACCCAGTGTGGACAGTTAAGGGTTTGTTGTTGTTCTTGTTGTTGTTGTTGTTTGTTTGTTTGTTTTAAACACATGGTGCTGAAATCATCAGGTAACAATCAGCAACAACAAAAACTCTCGCCCAGATTTATAACATACAGAAAAGTTAATTTCAGATGGATCATAGATCAATATATTAAAACTATAAAGCTTTTAGAAAACAGCAAAGGAGAATACCTTTTCAAATAAGAAGTAGACAGAGGTTTCTAGGACAGGTCCTAAGAGGCACTAACCGTAAAAGAAAAGAAATAAATGAGCAAGCCACAAACTAGAAAAAACAATTTGCAAAACATATATCTGGCAAAGGACTGATGTCTACAATAAATAACTAAGTTCTACTGCTCAGCAATAAAAAGACAAACAAGCCAATTAAAAATGGGCAAAATATTGAGTAGGTTCATCATTAAAAAAGGTGTATGAATGGCCAATACGTGCATGAAAAGGTGCTCAACATCATTAGACATCAGGGAAAGGCAAAATAAAACTACTATTAGATACTAATATTCACACTCCAGAATAGCTAAACTTAAAAATGTTGACACACCAAATGATGGTGAGGATGTGGAACTGAAACTTCTACAAATTACTAGTGGGAATATAACATTATATCCTTATTATGAGAAAAGTTATGAGATCATTTTAAACCTATACCTGCCCTATGACAGGCTTTACATTTCTCAGTGTTTACTCACGAGAAATGAAAACACTTTCATGAGAGACTATGTAGAAGAATGTTCACAGAAGCTTTATTGATAATATCTGAAAACCAAAAACACCTCATGCCCACATTAATAGCGTAATTCGTAAACAAACCAATATATTCATATAATAGAATACTACTCAGAAATAAGGGATAAACTGATATACACATTAACACATATGAAGAAATCTTACACAAAAGATTCCATTTATTTGCAGCTTTACTGTAGTCAAAAACTAATATATGGTTGAAAACCACCCTGGTAATGATTGCAGCTGAGAGAGGTAGATGGAGATTGAGTGAAAAGGGGCACGAGAGAACAATTTTCTGGGACAATAACATTCCATATCTGGTAGAGATTTGAGTTGCACTGCCTCATGGAAATATTAAACTCTAATCAATAATATGTGTGGAAGTGTTTAGAGTAACTGTATTGATACCTGCAAGTCAATTTTAAATGCATCAAAACATAAGATGCATTGATGTAAGGGTAGGAAGATAGATAAATGGATAAATTAGCTATAATAAAATGTTGATTGTGGATTGAAGGTGGTGGGAGATGGCTACTCAGCATTAACATTTTTCAACATTTCTTTACGTTAGAAAAATCCCAGGGCCAGAGTGACAGACATTCTAATTAATTCTTATGCTTTTGGCTACAGAAGAAATAAATCTGCCCACATCACAGAATGTGTTCCCTGAAGGAAAGACCCAGTTATACCACCAAAAGGAGGAAGTGGGTACACTAGCAAGACAAAGATGCCAGATAGACACTGATTAGATTGATAATGGATTCACTGATGATTGATTTTATGCTAGTAACTTTGATATAGTGAAAATACTTTCATATTAAAGCAACAATGATAATAAGCATTGGTAATGGAAGACTGTGTTAGTTTACTATGCATATTAAAATGCGTTTTCCTCACATTTTATAGATGCAGGAAGTTACACCATTATCCCCTCAGGCTATCAAGTGTCAAAACCAGCACTGGATCCTGGTTTTCAATTCCAAATCCAGTGTTCTTTATTTTATTTTATTTTACTTTTGGTCTTACATCCTTCAGTTAAAAGAATAACATCAAAAGATTTTTACAATTCATAAAAAAAACCAATCTTAGTTTTAAAAATACCTCTCAAAATTAGAAAATAAAAATGAGTTTTCCCCCAACTAAATATATCTTTTACTCCTAGCCTAGTTATAAATATGACTGTAATTAATTTTTGTTTAAAATAGTAACACCTAAGTTTTACATCGTTTTCTCAAACAAATAGAAACAAAAGATTAAGTAAGGAAAGAATCAACGAAACTCAGTGGGAAACTGTCTTCATTCTCAAAGAACTCACATCAACTTGCAATCCTTTTTCCTAATTTGGCTATTCAGGTCTCTCAAACACTACTGACTGACTAAGCTGACCGATTGTTTTAAGATATACAGCCCGCCTAAATTCAACAGCCCTTCATGTTAAAAACTCTCAATAAACTAGGTATTAACGGAACGTATCTCAAAATAGTAAGAGCTATGTATGACAAACCCATAGCCAATGTCATACTAAATGGGCAAAAACTGGAAGCATTCCCTTTGAAAACCAGCACAAGACAAGGATGCCCCCTCTTACCACTCCTATTCAACACAGTATTGGAAGTTCTGGCCAGGGCAATCAGGCAAGAGAAAGAAATAAAGGGCATTCAAACAGGAAGAGAGGAAGTCAAATTGTCTCTGTTTGCAGATGACATGATTGTATATTTAGAAAATCACATCATCTCAGCCCAAAATCGACTTAAGCTGATAAGCAACTTCAGCAAAGCCTCATGATACAAAATTAATGTGCAAAACCAGACACCAATAACAGACAGAGAGCCAAATCATCAGTGACTCCGATTCACAATTGCTACAAAGAGAATAAAATACCTAGGAATACGTCTTACAAGGGATGTGAAGGATCTCTTCAAGGAGAACTACAAACCACTGCTCAAAGAAATAAAAGAGGATACAAACAAATGGAAAAATATTCCATGCTCATGGATACGAAGAATCAATATCATGAAAATGGCCATATTGCCCAAAGTAATTTATAGATTCAATGCTATCCCCATCAATCTCCATTGACTTTCCTCACAGAACTGGAAAAAACGACTTTAAATTTCATACAGACCCAAAAGAGAGCTTGCATAGCCAAGACAATCCTAAGCAAAAAGAACAAAGCTGGAGGCATCACTCTACCTGACTTCAAACTATACTATGAGTGTACAGCAACCAAAACAGCACGGTACTGGTATCAAAACAGATATATAGATCAATAGAACAGAACAGAGGCCTCAGAAGTAACACCACACATCTACAACAATCTGACCTTTGATGAACCTGACAGAAACAAGCAATGGGGAAAGGATTCCCTATTTAATAAATGGTGTTGGGAAAACTGGCTAGCCATATGCAGAAAAATGAAACTGGACCCGTTTCTTACACCTTATACAAAAATTAACTAAAGATGGATTAAAGACTTAAACGTAAGACCTACAACCATAAAAACCCTGGAAGAAAACCTAGGGAATACCATTCAGGACATAGGCATGGGCAAACACTTCATGACTAAAACACCAAAAGCAATGGCAACAAAAGCCAAAATTGACAAATGGGATCTAATTAAACTAAAGAACTTCTGCACAGCAAAAGAAACTATCATAGGAGTGAACAGGCAACCTACAGAATGGGAGAATATTTTTTCAATCTACCCATTGGACAAAGGGCTAATATCCAGAATCAACAAAGAACTTAAACAGATTTACAAGAAAAAAAATAAACAACTCCATCAAAAAGTGGGTGAAGGATATGAACAGATCCTTCTCAAAAAAAAAAAAGACATTTATGCAGCCAACAAACATATGAAAAAAAGCTCATCATCACTGGTCATTAGAGAAATGCAAATCCAAACCACAATGAGATACCATCTCATGCCACTTAGAACGGCAATCATTAAAAAGTCAGGAAACAACAGATGCTGGAGAGGAAGTGGAGAAATAGGAACAATTTTACACTGTTGGTGGGACTGTAAACTCGTTCAACCATTGTGGAAGACAGTGTGGCGATTTCTCAAGGTTCTAGAACTTAGAAATACCATTTGACCCAGCAATCTCATTACTGGGTATATGCCCAAAGGATTATAAATCATTCTACTATAAAGACACACGCACACTTATGTTTATTGCGGCACTATTCACAATAGCAAAGACTTGGAACCAACCCAAATGTCCATCAATAATAGACTGGGTTAAGAAAATGTGGCACATATACACCATGGAATACTATGCAGCTATAAAAATGGATGAGTTCATGTTCTTTGCAGGGACATGGATGAAGCTGGAAACCATCATTCTCAGCAAACGAACACAAGAACAGAAAACCAAAAAACACACATTCTCACATATAAGTGGGAGTTGAACAATGAGAACACATGGACACAGGGAGGGGAACATCACATACTGTGGTCTGTCGTGGGGTGGGGGGCTAGGGGAGGGATAGCATTAGGGGAAATACCTAATGTAGATGATGGGTTGATGGGTGCAGCAAACCACCATGGCACGTGTATACCTATGTAACAAACCTGAACGTTCTGCACATGTACCCCAGAACTTAAAGTATAATAATAAAAAATTAAAATAAAAAACAAAGTTAGAGCTACAAAATTAAAAAAAAGGAATATTTCTATTTCACAAAATGTCAACATATTAGGTTTTGCAAGCAAATCCAGTGTTCTTTATACCATCATTCCATACTGCCCCTGGGAAACAAACGTGGTTCCAAAAATTTCAAAGAATTTCATTTTTTATTTTTACAGACTTGGCCTATAAAATGGGAAATACTTTCCTCTGAGCATATTTTTATGACCAGACATAATAAAATTTTACTTAGAGAGTGGACATCTTTTAAAATCATCCATATAAAAGCAAAATAATAATATTCAAAGCATCAGATCAATTCATTTAAGATTATTAGTCTGATGCAATTCCTCAGAATTTAAAAGGAAACAAACTAAAGGCATTCTACTACTTTATCAGTGTTTTACGTCTAACATTTTCAGCAGACAGAAATAAACATCCCCTTGGCTACTTAGACCCTACTTTTCAGCAATTTGTGCTGTATTTCAGGTATGAATAATTTAACCTTGAACTAAAAAACAGATGCAAACAGATATAGTGGAACATGTCTGAGGCAGTGAATCAAAGCAAGCAAGCACTTTATAGGAGTACGTTTCTTGGACACAGAGGAAGCCCCATGCAGTGACATTGTTCTTGAAATACGTAAATGAGAAAACCATGAAATTCAGTAATGTGCATCCTTACTCACAAAACATGAAATGAATTTGCTAACTGATCATTTTTAAAATCAAATTTTACATATATTGAGCATTAGCACATGAAATATAACCACATAAGACTTGTCATAATCTTTATCAGCTGTACTCAGTTATTGATAATTTTTATTACTAGTACTCAGTTATTAAGGTTATTAAAGATTTTTAAGAAATATTCATTTTTGTGTCACAGAAATAAATGTGAGAGGAAAAGCAAACCCTCAGTTCTTCTAGTCTTTATCTTTTGCCTATTATTATTACTTTTAATTCTTGAAATTGACCTCATACTTCTTCCATAGCTTTGCAGTGACTTTTTTTTTTTCTTTCTGCAACAAGTAAATCTGTAGCCTTAGATTTACTCAGGTCTCAAAGTCTGAGTAAAATTTTAAGTGTGTGTGCAGGTGTGTGTGTGAAAATATATTCACCCAAACCCTAACTTGTATTTATTCACAATGTTACAATATACATAGTAACTTATCATAGGAAAGAACATTAAAAAATATGTCCCAGGTAAGGGAAAAAGAAATCTTTAAATGTTTCCATTTAACTGTATTCATTAGCTGTAATAAAACAATAGTGCTTTATGTGCATATTAGATAGAAAAAAAGACTTTTTAATGGCAAAGGTAGTTTGAAGCTAAATTTCTATTTTTTTAATATGATGTAGCATATTTTTCTGACATTATAAAGTGGAACAAACCATCAAAATAATCAAAATCTGAGAAAATTAGACAATTCATTTTAGAGAAACGAATAACAAAAGTGCTTCTGGTTTAAACTCTGCTTTGCCTTTCTAAACTTAAAAGTTTGACTCTCTCTCTCTCTCTCTCTCTCTCTCTCTCTATATATATATATATATATATATATCTCAAAGCTCCTTTAGAAATATATATAAATTATATATATTTCTTTATATATAGATATAATATATAAATATATAATATATAAATAGAAATATATAAATATTTATATATTTTTCTAAAGGAGCTTTAATTTTACTTTATATTGCAAATTTAAAAGGTATTTTTTATTTTACAAAAGGTTATTGAATTAACAATTAGAAAGCTTTTAACTTGTTTTCTTCCTTCTGTACATACTAAAATATTGAATTTATTCAATATGATTAGGTTTGAGAAACTGAATAATTATTAGAGAATTTGTGAATTCATTCATTTTGCTAACTTATATTGTTTGTAAATACTTAAAATATATTTAACATAAAATTATATCCAAAAATCCATAATATTCCCCTCTGAATGATTTCTATTTACACATTGAAGAGATTTAGTTACTTTTAACTTTCTTTGAGATTTATTTTTCAGAAACATATGTAACTTTTTCATGTGAAATGATAAATAACTGTCAATAAATGTGGCAGAGAGAATGCTTATCAAATGTCTATGAGTGTTCCTCTCTTTACAGACTTTCTTGCAGTTGGGTTATGGCCATGTGAATAATTCTTGTCAATGAGAATGTGAGTGAAACTGATATGTAATTGCTGGTCTGAGGCACTTAAGAAATAAAGTAAGTTTTCTGTGCTTTCCTAACCTCATGGCTGGAAGAAAATTCACAATGTTTGAGTTGCAAAGTGAACATCAGCGGAACTGAATTGTTGAGTCATCATTGGAAGAAAGCTACCAAGAAGAGCTAGCTAGTCACATCAGACAGTACGTGAGTGAAAAATAAACTTTCATCAGGCTAAAGCACTGAGATTAGAGTTTTAGTTGTTACTGTAACATAGCTAGTCTTCTTCTAACTAATATAGTACTTCAATCTACTTTTTCTCAAAATGTTATGTATTTAGGAGGCTCCAAATCAGCAATATTTATAATTTTAAAAATTTAAATCTTTGAACTAAACTTTTTACTACTACTAGAAATACTGTTATATCCACCATGTGTATCAGTCTAAACAGTTTTAAATGTTTACGTGCTTTTCCATTATTTTTATTTTCCTGCTAAATGTGATGCAAATCATAGTGTGATTTTACTTTCCATCTTATTGTCAATCGTGTTTACTTGTCATATAAAAATAATTTGTTTTTTACAGTTACTAGTTAAATGAATTTGTTGACATGTTATTCATTTCTGTGAGTACTGTTATTTCTGATTTCCCTTCCTCCCCATGTCCTCTTCCTTCCTCTTCTCCTCCCCATCCCTATCTTTCCTCCTTCTCCTTTCCCTCCTCTTCCTTCTCCTTCTTCTAGTGTACATCTGTGGGTGGTAAACAGTCAACTTTTATGCTGAAAAATGTCTTTACTTTGGCTTCACTTTTGAATTTGAAAATGCATTTTTATGTTCACAAAAATCTGGATTAGTTTGTCCATCATGACTTTCAAAATAACTCTACTTTGTTTACTGGCCTTTATCTGGTACTTGATTGTGGGCAATCTGTCTGAATTTTCTGGTAGTTTTTCTGATAGCTCTGATAGCTTTGAGGATTTCTTTCCTAATTTTTCACATTCTTCAGTCCCACATAGTGTGTTTGGGTATAAATTTATATTTCTTTGCCTTCAGAGGGTGCTATCAATCTGTGGGCTCATGGTTTTCTTCAATTCTGAAAATACTTACCTATCATTTCCTTAAATATGCTTTCTCTGCCATACTAGTCTTTTGTTTTTCAAGTATGCCAAAACTATTCTTGCCTTAAAACTTTTATCTGCTGTGGTTCCAGTTTTTAGAACAGTCTTCTCCCAGATATTTGCAAAACTTATATCATCAGATCGTTCCAGTTTTTCTATAAATTTAACTATATCTGAGAGTCCTTCCTAGACCATCTTGTCTCAAATATCGCTTTCTTTGTCACTTGCTATTCTCTTATTATGCATTAATTTTTGTATAGTATCAATTGCTTCTCTCCTTTATATACTTATTTGTTCATTTGTTTATTATCTTATCCCACCATCTTATAAAATTAAAATCTCAGGAGGACTTTTTGTTGGCTTTTTCATTGCAAAATCAAGTGCTTAGAATAGTGCCTAGCACGGCCGGGCATGGTGGCTCACACCTGTAATCCCAGCACTTTGGGAGGCCAAGGCAGGTGGATCATGAGGTCACAAGATCAAGACCAACCTGGTCAACATGGTGAAATCCCGTCTCTACTAAAAAATACAAAAATTAGCTGGGTGTGGTGTCACACGCCTGCAGTCCCAGCTACTCAGGAGGCTGAGGCAGAAGAATTGCCTGAACCTGGGGAGTGGAAGTTGCAGTGAGCTGAGATTGTGCCACTGCACTCCAGCCTGGCGACACAGCAAGACTCTGTCTCAATAATAATAATAATAATAATAATAATAATAATAATAATAATAATAATATAAGAATAGTACCCAGCACATAGCAGGTATTCAGTAAATATTTCTGGAGTGAATAAAATTTCCTCTAACCTCTTAGTTCCAGCACTCTTGTTAGATGCATAGTGTCAATATTTTTATGTTTCTTTATGTTGTTTTCTGTGTTCTGGATGAATTCCTTAATATACTTTTATATCTGAACTAGAGATTGCTCTATTTTGTGTTTTTTAATTTTAATGACTATAAATTTAACTTCTATGATTTCTTGTTGATTTTTTTTTCTTTTGAGACACGGACTTGCTGTTGTCCCTGCTGGAGTGTAATAGTGTGATCATGGCACACTGCAGCGTCAACCTCCTAGACTCAAGCCATCCTGCTGCTTCAGCATCCTGAGTAGCTTGGATTATAGGTGCATACCACCGTGCCCCGCTAATTTATTTTTTGTAGAGACAGGGTCTCACTCTGTTGCCCAAGCTGGTCTCAAACTTCTGACCTCAAGCAATCCTCCTGCCTTGGCCACCTGAAGTGCTGGGATTACAGGCATGAGCCACCATGCCTGGATCTCGTTGATTTTTTGTCACATCAGCTGTTCTTATTTCACCTTGGATTCATGAAAATGTACCTGTCCTCCCATATACCTAGTCCAATGTTTGCTATAAAGCTATGGTTGCAGAGAGTGTGTTGACCTTGGAGTAGAAGAAGCATCTCAAACTATAAACTTTTATCTTCTTAACCAAAGTATATAACTACATACTTTGTATGATTAGCTTTTAAAGTCACACTCTAATTAATCACTGTTTCTTGTAGGCTTTTATTCAGTCAGCAAACATTTACTGACCATCTACTATGGGGACAATATTTAGTAAAGGTGAAGGATCCATTGATGAATATTAGTTATGTCCCTTGAGAGGCTCCTAACATTCTAGATATCCACACTAATCCAGTATGTAAAAACAGAATATAAAACAAAACCTATTAGACTTCAGATGAATCTATTCAAGATTCTTTTTTTTTGGAAAAAAGATATAAAAGAATATCCTAAAAGATATTCTTTTGGTTATATTCATGATGGAATATATCATCTCAGTCGCACTTAACAAATGATTCTTCTGAGATACATGATTACATTCTTTATAGATTTCACTAATGAAGATTCAAGAAGGCTAGGATTAAAGCCACAAAGAGTAGACTATACACACCCAGCCTGTAGCCCTCAAAAATTACATTTTCAATTACAATTTACAAGTGGTTTACTCCTATGATGCAGTGTTGTGTCTTGGTGTAATTAAAACTAAAAAACATTTTATTTTTAATGAGTTCATGATATGATAAACAAAATTATTGTTATAGCATGTTTTCCTGAAACAATTCAAGGCACTTAACTAACATATCTCTGACAAAAACATTTATGTAGTCAATTAGAAAGGTTATATTTTTTTCAAAGAATAAAGAAGCAATTTGTGGCATGGAATCATTTTTCTTTACCTAAGGAATGATACTGTATACTGCATTAAAAATATCTCCAAAATATAGCAGCTGAAAGCAAAAAGTATTCTATTATATTTAACATTCCCCAAAGCTCTGGAGTTCAGAAAGGACTTGGCTGGGTGGTTTTAGCTTAAAGTCTCTCCTGTGGCTGCAGTTAGAGATTAGCTGAAGCTGCAATGGTGAGTGGCTGGGGAAGCTGAGGACTGCCTGGCTGCTCTGCTTGGTTGTTCTCTGGAATATAACTTGGGCTTCTTTGCAGCACAGTGGACTAAGCATAGTCAAGGGCTTATAGTATGCTCAGGGTTCCAGCATAAGTGCTTCCATATACAAAGCCTTGATTACTTGGCTTTTCCTAATCAACCTTCAGAAGTCACTCAATGTTAATTCTGTCAATTCTATTAGTAACAAGGGAGTTCCAAGCCCACCCGGTTTCAAAGGGAGGGATCATGGATTTCACCTCTCAATGAGAGGAATGTCATCGTGACATTGTGGAAGAGAATGTTGGATGAGAAATATTGCTACTGCCAACTTTGGAAAATACAATCTGAATCTGCCATAGCCACTAAGAGAAAAACAATGTCCTCATAATTTGTGCGTTTGTAAACTACGGAGTCCAGGGATTTGTCTAAAGTCCCTCTGTTAGAGGCAGAGGTAGAAAGACAACATATATCTCCTAATTCCCTCTCATTTTTTTTTTGTTTGTCAACAGGTTTCTAGAAGAAAATTCAGGACCTAGAAACAGTTAATATAAGTTGTATCCTTGGGAATTTCCAAGCATACCAAATGACTACCAGGTATGGAAAATCTGCAATACCCATACAATGGGGGCGTATACTAGAAATCTGTCTTTACATTTGATGGCTTAACTGTGCATGTAAATTCCACAGTGCAAATTTATGCATTTGATTATTTATTCATTCAAAACGTACGTTTTAGGCCCTTTGAAGTGTACTAGGGAATATTTGAACACATATCAGGTAAATTTAAAAAAATTCCTCTGCTTAGGGCTCTAACCCAATAAAACAGTGCAAATGTCAAATGTAATACAATATTGACAGGAATACCTAATTTGAAGAACTGAAAATTATTTGCTTGAGTTGACCTGAAATGCCCTTAAATTTTACCAGCAGATGGTCAGACACTGCCTTGGGTACACACTAGAATGTATGTTTAGTATATTTTATAAAACAAAAGTCTGTCCCCTTTATGTGTGAAAAATAGGTTCTTTTAAAATACAAAATAGTTTTCTTTAAAGAAAAAATGTTTCAGACTATTTCCAAGTCTTTCTCTAAAGCATTCAGCCAATATATTATTAATTCTTTTGATTGTATAGAGAAAAATGCTCAATGACTTATATTTTCTTTAATACCTTTTTTAAACATCTAATTTTTCAAATTATAAAAATGTATCATTAAGATACAGGACTTAGGCCCTACAAAAGGTGGTGCAGAAGGCAGTTTAATGGAAGACAATTGCATTATCATTGGGGACTAGGGGAAAGAGATGGTGGAGAAGTGCCAGGTAATCAGGGAACTGCAGCATATAGGGTGGAAAAATATGCCGGGAATAGCGTGGATATTAAAAGCATCTACATAAATCTATATAAATCCTAAATCCGTGATTTCAGAATGCTGCTGTATAGTCAGAATAATATTCTTGTGCAGTAATTTGGCAATTATGGAACAGCATGCAGAAGTAGAAGTTTATAGGTGCTATTTGAAGACATGCATAATTTATAGATAGAATGCAGATTCAGACAATAGTAATTCAAGGACACTGGAACATGAGAACAGCAACCAATGGTTCTAGGAATCTGAAGAATGTCCTGGCATAGTAAAAGGTTTGGAAATGTAGTTAAGAAAGCATTGAGTTAGACATACTTTTTAATAGAAAGCTTAGAGATAAAAAGAGAATAAGGAGACATTTCAGAAGAGGTAGGCAGGTTAAGACTACAGAAACTTCTAAACAAAGTCTTGTTGAGTGTACAAAGAATAAAAATATACGTTGAATAAAGGGCATTAATGAAAGTATAATAATCAGCTATATTAGTAACAAAGATGATTATGATAAAATATAGAATTCCAGTGTTATTTATTTAAACCAATGGAGCATTAGTAGTCATAATACACTTTTCAAAATAGAAATTGATTCTTACATAACTATTTTTAAAAATTCTCTAAAATTAATTTTAATTACATTCCAAAAAGTTTTAATAATATAGAAGCTCACTTACAGCAATTATTTATCTTACTAGTATTTTAATGTATGATTTTTTGTGGGTTTGTTTTTTATCATATTAAATCCTTACTTGGCTTCCTATCAGGGCCTCAGAAACTATGAAACTTAGTTTGTTTCTCAATTACTCCATAAACATGGAGAGTAATTTAAAAATCATGTGCATAGTCATTTTAAGTCTTTTTTTTTTTTTTCGGAACTTCAGCTTATCATTGAAGAAGTCACATGCTGAGTGAGCTGAAAATTCTATTAATTAGTTACACACTAGTAAGTAAGCCTTAAATCCCAGTGCCAATTAAATCTATTTATAATTGCATTGGGAGCTGATAAATAATAGGTCATGTTTTCAATTTTCATATGGATTCTGATCTATGGCATTCTATATAAAAAAGTAATTATTTTAAATATATCCAATTTAAATATTTTTCAGTATTTTTTATAATTTGAAGGCATTCCTTTATTTCCTATACATATGTAACTGATTGAGTGGATTCCCAAGAAAGCTATTACAGTAGGAGTTTTTGTTATTCGCAATGCATTACGATTAAAATTACTTATATAAGAATTTATAAATGGCTGTGAAAGTTTTAAATTTGAACTTTAGAAACATTACTGGTGATCACATTACACTTTCCTGTCTTTCTGTCGTATATGTGTCTTGGGGGTAAAACCTGACCCAGGCCCTAAGGTGACTGTGCAGATTTGAGGAACTCCTTCATTCCTATTTGTAGGATGTCAGAGAAGGGCTATGGGTAGAAGGAGATGCTCTGTTCTATTTACTGTTGCCAATCCAAACTCTATATTGTTTGATATTTCATAACACAATTTAAAAGATCATTTCATTCAAATTTTTAGGAAATTATTTGCCTGTAATCACTAATTGCATGTAATTGGTGAGCTAGTGAAGATAATTATTGACATTTAAATATAAACATAAATTCCCAAACAAGAAGTGATATATAGTCTTAAACTAGACACTAGTAGTATATAATGTATAGTCAGAAATTAATTCTTTAGAACACATTATAACCTTTTATGTGAATATTTATATATCAAAGATATTATAAAAAGATAATTCATACTATACTCATCAATATATGAGATTAATTAATGATTTACATTAACATATGACTCAAAAAAATTAGGCCAGGTACTATAGTTAAATTTTATGAGCCCTGACTCAGAGAGAGAGGTTTATTAAAATTAAACTACACTTTGAGAATATTTTATAAATAAATATAGGCAAGCTTGTATATTATAATCAAGTTTGTTTTCTTCAAATCGTTGGTTCATCTTAAGGGACCACTGAAAAGATGGTAAGTTCTTAATACCAGGCTTTTCTTCCTTGATTACCGATACCACTTAGAATAATGTTCCTTTTGGTTCTATTTCTACAGTCAATTTGATTAAAACTCATTTATCACTCTAAAGAGACAAATATTTCCAGACATTGAACCAGGTTTCTAGGCTCTTTCCTCTATCCTGTCTTTGAACACTTAGTTACCACTTCTATAAATTTGGATGATGCCTCAGGCTCTTATACAGGATTTTATTATACATGCTTTTCATTATGACTCAAAACATTTATCTTTCCAATTATTGATTTTCCCAAGTCCTAAGCTTAAGAGAATTCAGTTTTACTAACCAGTGAGTCATTCCTGAGGTAAATTTTTATTTTATCAACAGGATAAAACAATCGATGTAGGGCTGCAGCTACCCAAGTGATAGTTAATAGATCACATTTAGCATCTGATTAGAAGATGCTACATATGTCCTGAAAAATGTCATCACACATTTTATGAGGTTTTTGACTCTAAGAGACCTATGTATTCAAATTATGGTAACTTTGAAATATGAATTTTGCATTATTTTTACACAGTGGGCATTTATTTTGTTATTTGTAATATTAACTTGTTCAGTGTTATATTTTCATTTTTTATAACCAATGATTAGGGAGATTCTTCTACTCAAAAATGTAGAAAAATGCAATATTTTTTTCTTATTTTTTGAAACAAAATATTTTGGTAGATTCAATGACTAGAGTTGAGAGACTTCTTACTGGTCAAGAATTAAAGACTGGAAAAAAATGCAAATTCAAAATAATTTGGTGTAAGTCTCTGAAGGAGAAAAGAAAACAACCTTCTGAAGCTTCCTTCCTTTCTTTGACACGGGTGAATCAGAATTTGTAGGATTACCATAGTCTTTTTATGATTTTGACAAGGAAAAACTGTACTGGGCCATCTCTGCGGTGTCATGTATCTTCTTGTGACACCGATAGTCCAGCCCACACTGAAGTATGTTCCAGAGAATTATGGGAATGAGTAGGTGCCTGACCACTCCATGTATGTTGTCTTGTGAGTTTCGTGACTGGGTGAAAGTTACAAGATGATTGGCTGATGTTTGAAGTAAAGTCCCTCAGAAGAAAGGGAAGCTAATAGGTTGAAATAAGAATTAGACCTGTGACCTTAATTTCATGAAGCCCCTGTTCTAATGGGCTTAGCAAACCAGTCTGAGAAATATAGAATTATAGTAACAAGAAGTTGGATCAGTTTTCCAAGTGCTGACTAATTTATCTTCTTCTTTCTAGGCAAGAGAATGTTAAGCTATACCAGACAATTTAATCACCTGCATCCAGGATATGAAATCCAGAAGTTTCAATACTATTAGCAGACTCTGACCATCAGAATTTTTTTTTTTTTATACAACTTACATTTCTCTCATGAGAGTTTAAGTCTGCTTCCTTGTCTTATACTCAGGGAAGATGAAAGGCAGGTAACATATCCTGTAAAATAATTAACTGTAAGGTTGTTAAGTTATTCTCCTGCCTTTGCTATTGCAGTTTAAGTAAACAGTAAATTAGTTTAAACTTTTCCTACATCATTACTTTAGTTAATGAATTCTATTTCTTAGAGCAGTTTTAGATTGATAGAAAAATTAAACATAGAATGCAGACATTTCCCATCATCAATTTATTTCTATTTAACTAAATGGTTAAAAACTCTTATTCTTTTGAAAACGTCACTAAGGAATTTATGTTGTCAAACAATAAAGCCATATTTACTGATACTGCATGTAAGGGTTATGACAACACAAAAGATGCTGGGAAAATGGATGAGCACCTTCAAATAATAGTGCATAATGATGTTGGACTAGCTGACAACATTAAAGTCTGCAAAGGTAAAGGTTAGAAGAGACCTAATGGCTTCTTCCTCTTTTTTTTTTTTTTTTTTGGCAACGGAGTCTTGCTCTGTCGCCCAGGCTGGAGTGCAGTGGCGTGATCTCCGCTCACTGCAAGCTCCGCCTCTCAGGTTCAAGCAATTCTCCTGCCTCAGCTTTTCGAATAACTGGGAACTACAGTCGCACATCGCCACACCCGGCTAATTTTTTTTTGTATTTTTAGTAGAGACAGAGTTTCACTGTGTTGCCCATGCTGGTTTTGAACTCCTGAGCTCAAGCAATCCACCCACCTCGGCCTCCCAAAGTGCTAGGATTACAGGCGTGAGCCACCGCGCCTGGTCAGCTTCATTTTTTTAGAAAGATGTAATTATCCATCTTTATGTACAGCTGAGGGAAAATAAATTATCTATACCTACCGTTACTCATATTTCATAAAATGAGTTGAGACTGTAGATATAATTTCTAATCTACTCTAATATTATGACAGATATTGGAAGGTAAAGGTTGCCAAATAAAAGTAGTCCATCAAGATATGTATTTTTCATGATTATGAACTTTTTCAGCATACATTTACATTTAATTATGTATGTACTGTGGATGTATTTTTCTTTCACATAAAATAAATGCTCAGTAGAATTTCTATAAATTCTAGATCTTTATATTTTTTATGATGACTGATTTGCATTATAATCTTAGATGATTTTTATCTTGCATAATGGGCCAATTTCTACATAGCATCTAGAAGCCATTATCTGAAGTAGATTGTATAGCTAAATTTTATGAATCTTTAGAGAATTTATAGAAGAACAAACAAGGAAAACATCTTTCTTGCTTTAAGACTTCTATCTTGATTGTCATTCTGAGACATATGTTTTAAGCATTATTTTGGTGGCTGTGTATACTAGAAAAGGAGCTTGTGTAGTTGGAATAGAAATCAGATATCTTTACGGAGATGGTTGTTTATCCATCCACCATATGCTAGACAATGATAAAGCCTGATGAACACAATGATGAAAGGACATAGACCCTGCCCTCAAAGAGTTTACATTCCTAAGAGAAAGTGCCTAAAAACAATTTTAAAAAATACACTTAGCATTTGAATTATTTGACTTGGGAATTCTTTTCCTGGAATTAATATGAAGGAATGTAGAAACATTCAGTCTTCTGAAGACAGTTTTGTGCTGCTTTGAGAATGCTGGATTAGAGGTGATATGGACAAGACTTTCCACCAGGGCAAGGTGGAAAGAGCATTGAGGTATAAGGGAAGGACATGGACATTATGAGACCCATGTGTGTTCCTCAGCGTCCCCAGGACTTTGGGAAGACACCAGTTGATTTCTGTGGTCCTTTCCTCATCATTCTTTAATGACCACCTCACATAGGCACACAGTGCTTATCTGGCGTGGGTATTGACTACTTGGCCTTGATGGTGGAGGATGTAATGATGGGTAACATTTCCTACTATTTTTAGGGCTTTTCTTGGTCATTTTTTTTCAATGAGAATTTTATGAAATTTATATTGTTTTAAATTGCCACAGTAAAGCAGAAGCGTGCATATGCTTCCCAATTTATGCAGCTGACTTCAGGTACTTTAATAACAACCAGATCCATTATGTTTTCAACAATAGCAACTTTCCTCTCCAGGATTCTGGGTGGGGGCTGTCATCCTGAGTGTCCTCTATCCCTGTCTCCAGCTCCAGTGCAGCTCTGACAGTGCTCCATCCTTGTCAAAAGGACTGCAGGGAACAGCAATAAAGTAATGTTTGGCATGGTAGGCTGCAAACTGAAAATAGCTAAATAAATGAAAGTTTGCTCTGATTATTAAAATAGTCTTAATATACATACTTTAAGATGAGTGTTTACATTTGTTTCCTCAAAATAAATTTGAAGTCCCCTTTCACAGAAAAGCAAAATAATGAAAAAGAAGAGAGCTTTACTAAATCTAGAGAAGCTATCTCATTTTGAAAATGAGGATTTATTGTTTAATGGGTACAGAGTGTCAGTTTTGCAAAATGAAAAAGTTCTAGAGATCTGTGGTACAACAACATGACTATAATTAATACCACTAAACTGTGCACTAAAAATGATTAAGGCTGGGTGCAGTGGCTCATGCCAGTAATCCTAGCACTTTGGGAGGATTGCTTGAGGACAGGAATTTGTGACCAGCCTGGGCAACATAGTGGCACTCCATTTCTACAACATTCAAAAAAAAATTTAGCCAGGCATGGTGGTGCTTGCCTGTAGTCTTAGCTATTCTGGAGGCTAAAGGAGGAGAATTACTTGAGGCCACAAGTTTGGGGCTGCAATATGCTCTGACTGTGCTATTGCACTCCAGCCTGGGCAACAGAGTGAATCCTTGTCTCAAAAAAAAATATTATGAGTTTTTTAAACCAAAATTTAAATTAATAGATAGCATTTCTGCAAGTAACTATTTCAGAACTATAACTCTAGTATCCTCAAAGAAGTCCTCAAAGTTAGATTTCAAATAGGAGTTTTATGGTGAACAGCCAAGTGTGGCAATTGAATGCCAGTTTTCAAATAATACATATCACATATCCTTTATTCCTAAAAAATGTAGTGCAGATAAGCTTGTTGTAGTGAACAAAGATGTTTCTATTAAGCAAAGGAATCATTTAAGTAGCTATGCTTATGAGCTTCAAGAATTACATTTTTATGAGTAAAACAGATAAGGATGTAGATTTTGTGGGAAGAGGTAGCTAGATAGCACATGAAATCCTAAACTATGTAAGTGATCTAGTATGTAATTTAATTCATGCAATATTCACTTAACAGTGTGCTTTGTTAATCACAGCAATAATGTTAATTTAACAAAGTATCTTCAGCATATATTACTAGTTTCTGATTAAAATGCAATTACAGTGTTGCTGTATGAACTTGGCACTACTATTGAATGAACCCATTAATGCTGGGAAATCAAATTCTTGTATTGAAAAGGTAACAGTAGGATTATTTATAATGATATAAAATAATTCACAAAATGATCTTGAGCATGAAAATAATCCCTGAATAAAGTGCACCTTCATTTCAAGGGGCTGACAAGATTAGAGAGACAAATTACATGGAAATTGGGTAGTATGAAATGGCCAATGGTGAAAGGGTGCTAACTCAAGCAGATGGAAAACGAGGCATAAAATATCTCATCATATGTATTCAGATTGTGCAGTCCTACCATTGGCAACTTCAATTTGAGGTAACATCAAGAAAGCTGGAAATAATATATCTGAGCTCCTAGTCTATAAAGATACGTGGTATTTTCTGAAATAAAAGCAAATTGTATGATTAATTAAAAGTTGTTAATGGAATAAAAAATATTCTTGATGCTAATGACAGTCTAAATTTAAATAAATTTCTGCAGCATAAGAACTTCTTCATAATTCAAATGTTTGTTTTAGAATTAGATATAATGCTCTAAATCCTAAATCTACAGCAAAAAGCTTACAGATTTAGAAGAATGATAGCATGGTTTCTATACATGAAACATAGGAATTAAAACTACTGTAACTATTAGTTTTAATCTGCATCTATAGAACCCAATATAAGTCCCATTAAACTTCTTTCTTTTTCCAAGTTCTTTAAAAATCATACTTTTACACTATAATATACTATATATTTTACCTTGTGTGTATACTTTCACATCCAGATGACTTTTTAGAGAGGAAATGAGATGAAGTAAAGATATAGTTACTCCCAAGAGTAAACTCATAACTGGAATTATGTTATACATATTATTGTTTAATTTAGTAAATGACAAAAATTGAATCAACAAAATATTGGTCTCTAAATTATTACCACATTTTACAGTAATGAAAGAGATGACTATGATTTGCCTTTTCCTTTTTTCTGGGAGGACTATATGTATTAATCATTTAACTTATTAAATTTTTGAAACAAAAATCACAGTTCCCTTTACAAATTCAGTAATGTAGGAGTCTTAAAACATCTCAGAAATATCATCCTGTAAAGACATTCTCCATGAGCGTAGATCATTAATGATTACATGTATGGTAATTATCTTACGAATAAAATGCTAACAGCAATTAATGAATTAAGATCTGTGTTTTTTTTTTAATGTTTCATGGTCAATTTATCAAACACTATTAACTGAAAATGTGGTCCAGGTCTCTTGTGGAACACATCCCAAAATTCTCTTAAGTGCTTTCTTTATCTTTAGAAGTGTTACCTATTATAGGAACAGACCCTAAATCCAGAGAATAAAGAGAATAACAATGTGATTGAACAAGAGATAAAATTGTGCTTTCCTTTTGCTATGTGATTGCTGTCCCTGAAAGGGTCAATACTCTACATATGATATTTACTAAGAAATATCCTGGTGCTTAAAATAATATTCCACCTGTCCTTTCATGATAAGGTCTAAGGATCACAATTATACATTATGGATACGGAAAGAAGATGTCACTCTGGGGAGAATGCGTTCCATAAATAAAATGAGTAATGCCAGGTGGAGGATTCAAAATAGATATCATGCAGTTTTCCTAAGGAAAATTGCATAAACTCTGTCACTCTCAGCTTTGCCATAGCCTTATGGTTATTTCTTATATCACAGTCACTTTCAGTTTGCAAGATGATTTCAAGGAACTCATCTGAATCCAGAAGACACCTAAAAACCTCATGATCTAAAAATCCCTATATATGATTGCTACCTTATTTGGTGAATCGTAATAAATGCTGGGAAATTAGATATAGGCAGTGAATTCAAAATTGTATCTTTTTTTTTTTTTGAAACGGAGTCTCGCTCTGTCACCCAGGATGGAGTGCAATGGTGCGATCTTGGCTCACTATAACCTCTGCCTCCTGGGTTCAAGCTATTCTCACGTCTCAGCCTCCCGAGTAGCTGGGATTACAGGTGCCCGCCCCCATGCCCGGCTAATTTTTGTATTTTTAGTAGAGATGAGGTTTCGCTATGTTGGCCAGGTTGGTCTCGAACTCCTGACCTCAGAAGATCCACCCGACTAGGCCTCTCAAAGTGTTGGGAGTGTGGCGTGAGCCACCAAGCCTGGCCCAAAATTATACCCTTAAAAACTGTATTCATACCCAGTTTCCTTGTAATAGTAATTCTTTATAAGCACCTATGCTCTTATCATTTTTACTGTGTTAAACTTGAGCAGCTTAAACTGTATCTATAGCTATGCCTGGCACACAGGAATTAAATGCTCACTAGATGTAGCAGTAATTATTATTGAGCTTCAATTACAAGTACTAATTGATCTGAGTTAGCAAGACACCTAGCTCAGATGGGAGCTATTTACACAATAATATAGTCTGGCAGATGGGTAGGCCCTAGTTATCAAAGTTATGAATGAAATAAATATATTTACACCCCTACTATGTTTCTTTCATAGGAGGTAAGAATTTAATGCCCATTTTCTTCCTCAGAATAACCATTGATGCCCACCACACTGTACTCTACACATTGTACTGCTGTGTCCTGAAAATTAGTTCAAAATAAGCTAAGAGATAGACACAAATTCTAATTGTACTACTGGTTGTAGAATGAAATGATAGAGTTGGGTATATATTGTACTGTTGTCATAGCTATAATACATAAAGACAACAAATAATTTAATTGCATTATTGGAAATAAATGTTGTTTGTATAAAAAAATAAAACCTACATAGTTTAAACCTTGCAATTTGGTATTACTTTGCCAATGGGCATGAAGATGTAAAAAGTAAATTTTTAGTAATTGTTAAAAAAAAACCTTGGCGACCACAGACAATTCTTCTGTCCCACCAGTGGTAAGTTCTTCAATGGAATAAAGAGGGTGTCAGAGACACTTTTTAAAATTCTTCTCAATATGTAACTATTAAATCATTCTATGCAGGGTTCCAGGAGGTGTGTTTAAAGCTGTAGGTGTTTAGTGGAAGACATCTCAATGCTCGAAGGACAAGTTAAGTTCAATATTTATTTATTTGAGGAAGAAAATGCACATTAAATTCTTTACCTTCTATTAAATATCATACCAATAAATATGGTATAATATTTATTTCAGGAGTAAATATTAATTTAAGAAAGCTATGGGGCATTATTTATTGGAGAAAATATGTTTAAATCATTGAGTTTGGACTCAATGGACTCATATTAAGTAAGTTTGGACTTTCATTTAATAAAATCAACTTACATTTTATTTCAGGTGTATAAATTTGCTTTTGCAAAATGTGCTGTTGGACTTAGGTTGCTATTAATTAAAGGTATCTAAAATCAAATCAATACTACACAAATATTCAGTTACAATCTTTTTATGAATATCACAAAATCTAGGTATACATTAACTTATTAATCCATCAGTGTCACTTAAATGCAAAATCAGTTTATTTCCAAATTATTTTCAAGAGGGTCATAATTTGAAAGAATCTTTCATAATATTCCAGACTATGACCTCAATATTTCTGAAAAGTGGTGCATAATCATTAGTTGATACTTTTCTTCCCTTATCATGTTTAGAGACACCAATTCATAAAAGGGAATTAAGAAATAAAAAATTGCCTCTGTGTGTGTGTGTGGTACATGTACATGTGTGCATGTGAACATGTGTGACTATGTGTGTATGCAACATAAAAATAATAAAACCCTTTTCCTTATTCATGACCACAGTGTTTTGCTCAACAAAAGTTTGTTGAAAATTTACAAGAAAAAAACAACCCCATTCAAAAGTGGGCAAAGGACATAAACAGGCACTTCTCAGAAGGCATACATGCATCCAACAAACATATGAAAAAAAGCTCAACATCACTGATGATTAGAGAAATGCAAATGAAAACTACAATGATATATGATCTCACAGCAGTCAGAATGGCTATTATTAAAAAGTCAAATAAACAACAGATGCCAGTGAGGTTGTGGAGAAAAAGGGATTCTTTTATGCTGTTAGTGGAAGTGTCAATTAGTTCAACAATTGTGGAAGACATTGTGGTAATTCCTCAAAGACCTAGAACCAGAAATAGCATTTGACCCAGCAATCCCATTACTGGGTATACACCCAAATGAATATAAATAATTCTATCATAAAGATACATGCACTCCTATGTTCATTGCAGCACTATTCACAATAGCAAAGACATGGAATCAACCTAAATGCCCATCAATGATAGATTTGATAAAGAAAATGTGGTACATATACACCATGGAATACTATGCAGCCATAAAAAGGAATGAGATCATGTCCTTTGCAGGGACATGGATGTTGCTGAAAGCAATTATCCTCAGTAAGGTAATGCAGAAGCAGAAAACCAAATACCACATCTTCTCACTTATAAGTGGGAGCTCAATAATGAGAACACATGGACACATGGGGGGGGAAACAACACATACTGGGGCCTATTGAAAGGTGGCAGGTGGGAGGAGGGAGAGCATCAGGAAGAATAGTTAATGGATGCTGGGCTTAATATCTAGGTGATGGGATGATCTGTGTAGCAAGCCACATGTTTACCTATGTAACAAACCTGTACATGCTGCGCATGTACCCCTGAACTCAAAATAATTAAAAAAACCACAAAAGTTTGTCGAACAAAAAACTGCATACATGAAATATGTAAAAGTAGATGGTGCTTACTGGTAATTATACCTCATAATTTTTTTTACATCCTCATGTACAGGATTGGAGGATTTGGGAGAAAGATGCAGATGAAAAATTATTATCCAAATAATTTGTATAATCTCATTGAAATTATCACAGACTTTTCTATAAATGGTTATTACCTCAGTGGGCAGATAAGAACCCTGATGCACAAAGAATTGAAGTGATCATTTCCATGATATACACAGAATGTGTCAAAGTATAGATCTGGATTCTAGACCCAACTTTTTAGTTCCTGTCTTAGACTTCTTTCCAAAGTATGTACCATGACCCTTTATGATGTACCTTCTATGGCAGTCCAACTGTACCTCTTGGTTGAAATAGACAGCAATAGATCAAATATCCTAGTTTTATTGATTTTAATTATTCCCTTTCCTTTTACATCTATGTATCCATCCATCCATCTATTCTACCATCATCATCATCATCATCATCATCATCATCATCATCATTATTATCTATTTTTACTGAGAATTAGGGCACATATACAGAAGGCTACAGAGATTAATGTGTTATTGTAAAGCAAACACCTATGTAACTGCCCTCAGGTCAAGAAAGAGACTATTGCCAACACCCCAGAAGATAACCCTCTTGTGCCACTTTCTATTTCCAGGGGCTGTTCTCCCTCCTGGAGGCAAACCTCTATGCTAACACTTATGGCCCCCCCTTTTTTTGACTTGCTGTGAAGCTCTTTATAGTATGTACTTCTAAATGATATAAAACAGTTTTGCCTGATTTTGAACTCTTTATAAAAAAGAATCATAGGATATGTATTCTTTGGTTTTACTTCTTTCACTGCACATTTTATTTTGCTCTGTGCTCATTCATTTCCATCATTGGATGCATTGCATTGCATAGATATGCTACATTTTATTTATCCATACTAACTTGGATTGACATTTGGGTTGTTTTTTTAATGCTCCTCTTAACTAATGCCCCTGGCTTTTTTGAAATATTTATTCAACAGAGAAAATCATACCACATCAGAATTTGATGATGCTGTTTTTATGTAAGGTGGTCTAATAAAATTCTAAAGAAGGAAAAGCAGGATGACACTAAATATAGTCATTGAATATACATTATAATTCATTTGTTATTATATATGACACTAGAGATATTTAAAGAAATTTAAAATGAACTACTGTCCAAACATGCATTTGGCACTTTTAGAATAAATTGAGTAAATCCAATACAATCTGAGCCCCCCCCGACTCCTTCACAGTCAGAGGTGAGCAGTAATTTAGTTAATATTTGAATGCAATGATTTATATTTCTCAACACACTATAAGAATCTGAAATATTCTCCAAAGTTCTTCCATAGCTACCAATTCTATGACTAACTGGACTTTTCACAGCCACTGAAAACTCTGAATCACATTCACCACGAATGTTGCAGTTATCAGAAGAGAATATTAAATAAGAAAATGAAAATAATAAAGTGAACTTTATGACAAGTTTGGATGAGATACTGAAATATTTCATACCAATTTAGAATATATTTAAGGTAAAAGATACTATACTCTCTGAGATATTTCTAGCTTGAAATTCTAAATTTGACTTTTCATATTACCAGAAAAAAGAATAAATAGCATCTACCATATGTTTACTTTTTTTCTACAACTTCTTCCTTAACTATGACTGCAAGAATAAGAAAGTGTATTTAAAGATTTATGTAACAAAAATAGCTGTTAGTGCAGGGTAGTACATTCTAATATCACTTTTAAGTGATATTAAATGTTTGTTCTATTCATCTTAAAAATATATTAGTTAAACTTTTAAAAACATATCCACTACTATTGCATAAAAACAAATTATATAATATGTTTAGTGGTTATACAATAATTAAACACATAGAAAAAGTATTTGGATAAAACTGCATATAGTCTCTTTTTAATAAAAGAAACCATTTAAAATTTTAATCTCATTCTTTGAAAGAAATAAAAGTCACATTGAATTTTTAACTATTAATTTAGCAGTTAAAATACATAAATATATCCTCACATTCTCTTAAAGAAAACAGACAATGGTCCCCAAGGAAAACTGGCAATGAATTTAAGGAAAATATAATGCCTCTTGAAGGACAAAAGTATGTGCAGTTTACTGCAAGTTTCTTTGTGCTCTTTCCTTATCCTATCACCTCTTTTCTTCTTTTGGGGGCTCAATGCTGGAGTAATGCCACTTGGCTACATGAAGCCCTCTAGCATAGATGATGTATTTTTCTTTATTTTAATAGGAAAATAGAAATTTCAAAATTGTAAATGGAGAAATACCATGATTTCTTATATGCATGAGTATCGTTATACAATACTTATAAACTTATAAGTATTATTTATTTAACTGTAGTCTATTCTGAGACAATTTTTGCCTCATTTCTAAATCATGGGTTGTCTCAGTTCACTCTGAAGTCGAATAAATACTACTTCATATCTGACATAGTTCTTTAAAGAGTCTAGAAAACATGTCATAATAGACATGCATTTAAAACATCCACTTGCAAAATTAATTTGAATAATTTTTACCTCTATTCTAGATTGACTTGTCTACCTTTCTATTCCAGGCTAGATTGCATTTGAAATATTTTAGTCAATAAATAGCATAGATAATATCAAACCCTGACCTAATCCTAGACTCACTTAGTTGTTTCCATTAAGCACTGTTCTGGGACATGGTTGGTTATTCCAACGATGTCTGGATCCAACGACATAGGACACCAAGCATTATTACAGACAACATCTGAGATTGTAATAGACTGAAGCGGGTTAGAACTTGTCAACCAAAGAAGGCATTATAACCCCTTGACTATGCTTCCAATTTAAGATCTTTGGGATGGATATGGTTTCTCAATAACTGTCTCTTCCCCAACAGCTTTGAGACCCAAGATAGACAGATGGTTTGGTTCTGTTTGGCCCATCTTGTTTTCAAAATATTCTTTGTAAAATTTAACTCAAAAAACTGCCACAACTGCTTGCTATTTCTGTAATGACCCCTCCTCATTGCCTCCCCATTCATCACCTCCACAACAATGGCCTTCTCTCTTGGCTATCAGACACCAAATTAGAACTAGCCTGTACTTTGTGCCTCCTTTTGGAAATTGTCCAAGAATGTTGGTGTCCTCTGGAGAGATCTTGGTTTTGCATTTCATCTCTTCTGCACCAGCATGTGCATAGAGGTGCATTTTAATTCCCTGCTGAGAGCAAACTCTGAAAGCAACCTACTGTATCTATAAATATCCAATTATTTATGAACTAATTTTAAACTATCATAATATTTCTTCCTGAGATTAAAAGTTGTTTTCAATACTTAAAAGTTTAATGTAATAAATATTTAATATCACTGACGGGATATTTATTTATGTCTCACCTTGTTGCAAAAAGAATTTGTGCACAGCCAGAGCTGCAGCTAACATTGACATTACCTGATTGATAGTGAGGTCAATGTATTCTTTGGTTTTTCTAGAAATGAGCATTTTTGTGGACTCACAAAGGGTTAGAAAGTCCTCTTTTCCCTCGTCATGTTTATTGGCCTATTAGCTATACATTTTGGTTAATGTAGAAATTAGTTAGCTGATAGAAATATTATCTAGAATCACGTAACAATAATGCCAAACAATATAATTTAATACACAAAATACCCTGATCACTATGGGTTCACTGTTGTGAAATAATTAAAATGAGGAGGCTGAATATTAAATTTTTATTTTCATTGCTTCACATACTGAAAATTTAGGGAAATCATTCCGATTTAGCTATTTTTTCTCCATCTGCTATAATATATTAGGTGTTTGCCTGTTTATTTTTTCACATTCATCATATGTAATGCTGGAGTGTAAGAGAAAACTGAATATGAGGTTGAATCTGCAAAAATAGAATAGTTTAACATTACTGTGCTGCATTTTGCTGACACTTGTTATGAAAATAATATATTTTCATTAATTTCATAATGCTATACAAACTGCAGCAGACCAGAAGTTTGTGTATATTATACATTTTTATTAACATGTATTCTACACCATATTCAAAGCTGTCTCCCATGTTTGTATTGACTGTAAATATTTTCTAGGGGCATCAAGTCACCTTTTTTTTGTATCTGATTCCCACAAATATAAAATAAGCTGTGAACTATTGTTTTTGTTTTTAATCTTCCAAATTATAGTTTTTTAATAAACTGAATGAATATTAGCTTAATTTTTATGCTCTAAAATATTTAAATTATTGCATTCTAATAAGAAAACTCAATTGAAAACATTTTGGATTTCAAATACATATATACACACACACATATATATACACACATACACATATAAATATATATACACATACATATAAATATAATATACAGACAATAGCCCTTCATAATAATGAAAATTAAAAATGTTTGCACTGTTCTTTAGATAACAAATGGCAGGATAATAAAGATGCATGCCCATTCTTCTCTCTCACATCTTTAGCTATTTTTATGGATTAAGATATTTTCTCCCCTACTCTACTGAAAGATTAGTTACACCTCATGTTCCAGGAACCACCTGCCTCCTCTTCCTTTAATCTTAGAGCCAGAAGAAGCGTTTTTCCTATGTGCCCATCGTAGTGACCTTTACATCCTTTATATACTTTCTTCTATAGTGAAATTATCCTTTTTTTTTTTCCTGCTTCTCGTGGTAGATGGCAAGATCCATAAGAGAAAGAACTCTGTTTTGCTTCTGGTTGTATCTCCTGTACCTACCATAGTCCCTGGTATAATACTTGTTGAAAGAATGAAAGTTGGCTCCATAGCAGAAACTATGTAACATAATTCTTTGCAGCTGACTTAGACTTTCCTTTTCCTTTAATGTTTCTATCCATTTAGGCTGAAAATTATGAGTTTGTTAATGGAGACAAATGTTAGTGAAAGTCAAATCAGATATTGGTTCTGCCATCAATGTAGCTGAGGAGCTTTGAAGAAGCTAATCATAATCTTCCTGAATTTCATTTTTCTCATTTGTTAAATATTGTGATAATACTTTGTCTTTTAAATGTAGATTAAATGATAATATGACTGCAACAGTGCTTGAAGAGATAAAAGCTCAATAGGAGAGTAGTTGTGCAACTTTACCTTTTCATCAGAATCAGTTTGAGGTCAAAATACTGATGGCTGGGCCCTAATTGCAGACTTTCTGATTCAGAAGTTCTGGGGTGATAGAGTTTGCAATTCTCACAAATTTCCAGGTACTGCACACTTTGAGAACCATTGATATAGTCTACTGTTATTTTATAATGGTTAAACAGTTTTGCTTTTTCTCCTATTGATAGTATGATCCAAAGATATGAAAATAATTTGGCTATTCCCTCTCCTAACTATGTTCTTTTCTATTCCAATCCTTGGTAGCTTAAAAAATTACTTATAAAAATGAGGTAAAATATTTCCTATGAATGCATTTTAATATGTTAACATGATAAATTACTTGATCAGCTGTGATATAATGCTATCAAAATGAAAATAAATGAAAACAAGCTTTTGAGAAAACTTTTTCAATTATATGCATATTGAATTATGATTTAAATCCATGAGTCATAAAATATAGTTGAAATTTGCAGAAAGTTAACAAACTTGAATAATAATTGATTTGCAATTGTACTAAGTTCTTAAGGAAAGTAGGATTGAATCATGAATTTAAACAATTTGATACATTAATCTACTTGGCCCACTCTACTAATTGGAATGCATGCTTGCAGCATACTGTGTGACAGACTTGGTGAAAGATTATTTCTTTGCCAGGGCATATTCAATATTCAATTATTTTCTTGTTAATAATTTATCCTGCATAATAGAGAAAACACTGTAAATAACCATCTGTCTCAGGGAGCTGCTTTTATATTTACAAATAGTCACAGTACAGAATCTCATCAAAAGGAACATAGAAAGAAGGTTAACTGCTTAGATTCAGGAATTTTTCAGACTTCCATCTCTAAACTAGCCATTATTCTTAGCTCCTACTCTAGGTACAATAATAACAAACTGAGATTTGTCTAAGGGGAAGAAAATAATAAGATAGGAAAATTAAAGTTTTAGATATACACATTTACACACACACACACACACACACACACACACACACACATACACCTTCCACAAGAAAGAAATTTATTAATAGCAAAAATTCCTGGCTACTCAACTGGAAGTTAGAATTTTCAAAATGGCTTCCATCTATGGCAGAAAAGAGAGAACTGCTATAGAACAGCTACAGCAGTTACAGCAATGATTAATCAAGGAAGGAAGAGAAAGAGGCATCAGGATACAGAATACGGGTCTTTGGGATATGGGTAAGTACATATTGGAGTCCTAACTGGCAAAAGCGTTGAATCAAGGATAATAGGAAATGTTATATGTAGTTTTTGGTAATAACAAAATAAATTCTTAATGTTGTTGGCTTTTATTTACTTAATTCTCTCTTGTCTAAAGCAGATTTTAGGTATATTTGTAGTAAATATTAAAACTGTTTCTAATACTGTTTTGACTTTAGCTTATTAATTTTGACATTATTGATGCAGCAAATTACCCAGACTGTGGTTTATAGTCAGAATAAGAAGATGTGGAATCTCTAAAATTTCCATAATCACTATTATTTGACCACAAATTAATTGGAATAATTATCAGGAGGAAGAATGAGTTTAACAGATTCTAGGCATGAAGTTTATATTAATTTTATTGTAACATTTTAAAAATTAATTGCTTATATTAAAAGACCTTCTGGAAAACACTACACTAGACTTGGTTACATTTTCTGGACTAGTGTGCTAGACTGGTACATTGTCATGCCTTTGAGACATCCTTAATATTTTAATCATCTTTGAATTATTTTGATTCATACTTGGCAATCCAATTTAGCTGTTGTCTGATGTCAATAAAAGAGAAAAAGTATAAGATATCAGAGTGCATGGGGTGAAATTTTCAAAGATCTGATTATTGAAACTTGAAGAAATCAAGTACAATTTAAGAGCCAGGGGATCAGCTCCAACCAGAAATTGCCTTGTCTTTTTCCAAAGACTGAACTGAATAGTTCTTGAATTTCATGTCTTGTATCTCTTATTTTTCACTTAAGTGTCCAAAATGTGATCTTGTGTGATCCTATTAGTGTGCTTACCAGGGTAAGCTTTGGGGGGAGTATTTGGAAGTGTTTTAAACAGCCTTTGAATCACTTTTCTGTTCTAGGCACTGCAACCACATTTTGGTGAACAACAAAAGGTCAGAATTTGGAATAAGGCCTTAACCAAACTTGCTTGTCTTCCAAACTTGACACTTGTCACAGATATGATGGTTGTAATGATTTTTGTGTTTGTGGTTGAGGCTGTTTGTTTTGTTTGCTCTTTAAAGTTCTTGTGATTTTGAAGTTCTTTTTATTAAATAATCAGAGACCTTTTACCCCCACACCATGAATGTGCGCTTGGCCAGGTGACTTGATTTGGCCAATAGGACATTATCAGACTTAACACAAGCAGAGGTTTGAAAAAGTATGTGCATTTTTCACTTTGTCCCATGTACTTTCACCTTCACTATGAGAAGAATCCAAGGGGCAGAGCTGAGTCATACCAGCTAAGACTATCCTAGACGGGCTAGCCCCTACCAACCTGCCAGCAAACTTCAGACAAGGGAAGAAGCAGAGCTGAGATCCATTGAGACTTATGAGAAATCATAAGTGCTTCATGTTTTAAGCTAATAAATTTGAAGTAGTATGTTATGCAGTAATTTGCAAATGAAAACCTTTTCAGATTCTGTCTCCAGCCTACATTTAAGTAATGGTTGAAGTCCCACTGTTGGCTTTCTACCGGAAGTAGTCAGACTCCTTGATTCAGAATAACTACCTAGCCAGGAAGAAAAGATACCACTTCTAGACTGTATAGGGCCAGAATGTAAGTAATGATGTTTTCAATGCATTTGTAATTGCTTCTGGGTGTCTACATAGGCAGGCAGTTTATAAATTTGATTTCAATAACACAGTCAGTTTAAATGATTAGAAGGAAACAAACATCCACATATATTCCAACAGTTTATTTTTCAGATCAGATACTATATTATAAGTAAAGTAAATGTATTTATGTGCCAACACATAGATTGGACACACAACAATCACAAAGATAGTTTTTCCTCTCTCCTTTTTGATGTTTGATGTCAATGAAAAATATATGAAATATTTTCTTAACTGTTTTAGAGTTGAAGAAGCCTTTGTGATTATTGTGTTTTTGGTAATAATAAAAGCCTGTCACATATATGGAGATAATTTTCATATTAAGTAGATAGTAACTTAATATTTTACATATTGATATTCATGTTTCTTATGTCTTCAAAACAAATACACTTAGAATAGAACCATGTGTCCCTGCCTTCCCTGCTTTCACTCTGATCCAAGCATCCATCAGCTTTCCCCTGGGTTATCACAATAGACTCCTTATACCCTCATTCTCCACAATCTAGATTTAGGAAAAGCCAGATTAATTCTTCTAAAATGTAAGACTGTCCAATGAATTCCTACCTCACTCAGTAAAAGAAAAAAAAGGTCCCCAAATGGCCAGCAAGGCCCTACAATATTTGGCTCCATCTCCCTTGCTCCACGCATCTCTACATTTTGTCCACATCTCCTGTTGGTCATCCTATCATTGACTTATTGTCTTGCAGCTACATTGGACTTCTTGCTTCCCCTTGAACAGCGGGGAGCACTTTTTAAACTTGAGGTTTGTTCTTGCTGCTCTCTTCTATATGCATGGCTTAAATGTTACCTTATTCGTGAACCCTTCTCCAACTATTCAATAAAAATGAACAAATTCCTCCCTCTGTTAGCAATCCAATCTCTTCTTGTTTCAACAGCAACCATTATCTGTTAATATTGTGCACCAGTTAATTTCCCTATTATTTGACTCTACCCCTGCCCACATATTGACAACCCTCACTAGAAGATAAGCCCTATGAGGTCAGGGACAGTTCTACTCTGTTTCTTGGCTGCATACTCTGTTTCTAGAAAGTTGCCTCACTTATATTGGTGTTTCATAAATATTTGTTGAATGAATGAATGTTTGTTTGTAGTATTAATTTGCTTACTTTCAACAAGTAAAACATTTTGAAAACTTAAAATTTCCCAGGATTATAAAAGAAACCTTAAGGTTAATACCATTTTTTATCCAACAACAAAGCAAACACAGCTGTGTTCTTAGGGTAATTATTTGTACAGCCTTTCCCCAGAAATCCCTTAGTCTGCAACTCCTTCCTCTGATTTAATTCTCAAGTTTTTCAGATGAAGTAGGCATTATTTATTGGTTGCAAAGCTTTTTCAAACTTATTATAAACTAAATTTGTATTTCATCTGTGATTGTACTTATACATCAAAATTATAGTATTTGCACATACTGAAGAAATTATAAACCTCAATCATAATGGCTCATCTTTAAGAGAAATAATATAAATTATGTGTACATATATTTATGGGACATTCACTGTTTTTGTTCTGATTTTTAAGAAATCAAGTCATTGTTTGTGAAACATTTTAATTAGTTAGCAAAATCATCAATATGAAAGAAAATTCATGTATGGCTGTAGGAAGGCAAGCTGGTGTCAGGCTAAGGAAAGTGGCCAAGGAAACAGGAGTCTTAAGAAACTCAAAATTACATTGTTTGAATGGTTTTCCATTGCCCCTGGGAAGAAGAGCAGAAACCTTGGCTTAACTTTCAAGGCCCTTTATGATCTGGGGCCAAGGAGACTACAGCCCCACTAACAGCTGGTCTTTGCACTTACATTCTCATTTCTGTCCCTATTGAACAGCTTACCTTTCTGCAGAATGCTCTAAGTTTATTGATTCACTTTACCCATTCTGCTCCCTATGGAGAACTTCTCCTGATTCTTTAAAACCCATTTCAACATCTCTTCCTTTGGTCAGCCTTGGTCAATGCCTCATAACTGAAACATGCCCTCTTCTGATCACCACACTTTATTAGTATAGCAGTCACTACATTGCGAGTTTTCTGCATATGTCTGTGTCATCCACACTTGAATACCTATTTATTAAAGGCAGGAATCATCTCTTACTTATATTTATATCTCTGGTACAGTATATCATTAAACTTTGCACTTAATAAATATTTTAAGAATTATAATTTAAAATTGATATTTTATTATAATAGAAGTATCTTTTGATGAGAAGAAATACTTAAATTTAGGTTACTTTTAAATACCATTACCAAAACTATTTTATTGCTTTAAATTTTGCTACTAAATACCAACCTCTTAAATTAATCAAATATTTTATTTCAGTAGATTGCATTTTATTGTTCTGAAACAAAAGGTTGGATATAACTTTATTTTTTTTTTGGTTACTCCCTCACTTCTATGTTTATTTTTACCAATTTGATTTAGTTCATATGCTATACGTATTCAGAAACAACTCTCGAAGTGAACCTACTACTGTAAAATATTGCAGAGTGCTCACATGGGAAAATTACTATTCTAGGAAAATAAATCTTATAGTAATTTAGTATTCATTATTATAATGGATACTTCAGTGAATATTTCAACATCAGCTTTTTGCTAATGACCTATATGCTTCAACCCTTTCTCAAGAACTTTCATTTTTTGAATTAAGACTTAACATAGATTACCTCCCAGTGAGATAAAGTCTCCCCAGGAAGATCCAAATAATAATAAAAAATAGTTCATAATAATGGAAATCTTTTAAAATGCAGGTGTTTGTGATTATCAGGGATTTCTGCAATATATTTCATATTAAGAAATGAAAGGTAAAATTTTTGACATTAACCACAAAGTGAATGTCTTTTTTGTCAAGAAATTAGTTCTCAACAAGTGACTAAAAATTGAATAACATGTTTCTGAATATTCATTTGGTTCAAATAAATGGTATTTAACCTTGGTTCACCTTAAAATTATCTGTAGAGTTTTAAAAAATATAACCCAAGGCCACACCTTCAAAGATTACTATTTATTTGGTATGAGGCACATCCAGAGAGCATTTTATAGAAGCTCCCAGTCAATTTTAAAGTGCAGTGGGATAGAAAATCCATGGATAGACAGTCCTCAGGTGGATCTCTTGAAAATGTATGTTTTAGCTTGATTAGTCACAGAACTTGACTAAAAATGGATGTTTCAGACACTGTTCATGATAATTACATTGCTAGCAATAAGTATTCTACATGGTAAGCAACTATGTCATGAAGTGTAAAAAAAATTAAAGCAAAAGCCATTTATTTGATCCTGTATTTCACAGATTGAGTGACAAAAATTTTCTTCTGAGATTAAAATTTAAGGCTATAATTTGGCTGAAAAGATTAACAAGAGTTTGTGTAGGTGGCTGGTTCATTTCTGGCTCCAAATAGGTCATTTTACTACAATGTGCTCAAGAATAGCAAGGAGGGAGTGGTGGCTCACGCCTGTAATCTCAGCACTTTGGGAGGCCAAGGCGGGTGGATCACCTGAGGTCAGGAGTTCAAGACCAGGCTGGCCAACATGGTGAAACCCCATCTCTACTAAAAATACACAAATTAGCCAGGCATAGTGGTGGGTGCCTGTAATTCCAGCTACTCAGGAGGCTGAGTCAGGAGACTCGCTTGAACCCAGGAGGCGGGGGTTGCAGTGAGCCGAGATTGTGCCACTGCACTCCAGCCTGAGTGAGACGAGCGAAACTCTGTTTCAAAAAAAAAAAAAAAAAAAAAAAGAATAGCAAGGAAACTAATTTCTCAACACATTTTAATGTCTTAGCTGTGAGATAGATGTACCATGAAACATTCAATACCACTTTTCTGTGAGAATGGATGTCACTAGGCAAAAACACATATTTTTATTTAAAATAATTATTCAGATATTATCTATTTTTAATGTTTTTTTTCAATTGGCAGTTTACCAATTTTAATGTAATCCTTAAACAGTATTGGCTGATTTTGTAATAAAACATTCTAAAAAATATCATGCTACTACACTCATCAAAACCAACCCCAAACATAAGAAGAATGTACACTAACAAGCATGTAATTGAAATGCTAAAGTGAAAACACGAAAAATAACATGAAATATTTTTCTTTCTTTAGCATTCCTCTGATGCATAGAGTTTTAAAGCCATTTTTGTCTGTGTGTAGGCTCTGGAAAGTAAAAATGTCACTTTTTTTCTTTTTTGAGAGATCAGGTGGGGGTCAAAAGCTAAAGAGATGCATTCAAAAAAACAAATATTTACTCTTTAGCAGTTTCTCTCTTTTAATAAAGAGAGTTAAAAGAGAAAGATAAGCCATTCCTAATATCTATGACATTCAGTGGGACATCTTACTTTAACCGCTTTGTAGGTTTATTTAAGATAAATATTGCTGAAATATAAAATGGATGTGTCTATGTCTTTCTTTATCTTGAGTAAGAAAAATAGGCTGAAAAAATCATTGAAGAAAATCGAGACAAATGGCAAGCATGAGAAAAGAATGGAGCACAACAAAGCCTCGGATATTAGACAGTCAAGAAAGAAATAAGATAAGTTACAAAGAAAACATCATTCAAAAAAAACTACATTTAAAAGTAATTGGCTCTGATCAAAATACTTGAAATACTGTGAAAAGAAAAATAAAACTACTGTGAGAGTGAAAAACTTTTGTAGTAGGAGAGGCAATAAAATAGAATTTCATATGCATATCAAACTGTAGTTAAACTTCTAAAGAACCTGAACCTGATAAATATTTCTTATGGGGAAATTCTAAAATGCAGATGTTATTTTAGCCAGGAAGCTATTGAATGTGTGTGACACTCCGTTAGAATTATCAAAAGCAAAATAAAGGAATACATTGGCCCTCATAACTGGGGAATTGGGTGAAAAAGAAACTACAAAAGTCCTGAATCACATGCTCACCCCTAAGGCAGAGAGTTTGAATCACTCTCTTTTAACCATATGGAAAAAGAATGTAGTGAGTATGCTCCCCAAAAGATAAAGTAGATAAAGGATAGAATATAAAATACCTTCAGCACATGTCATATGACAGCTTTTATTTTAACCATGTTAATTTTATTACGTTTTAAGTAAAAAAGCCCCTTCAAGATTAATCCATTGATCCCTATAAATACTTGTTGGGGGTTTATTATTTCCTGGCACTACCTGAAGCATTAGAGGGAGAAACCTAACAGAAGCCTTCGATTCCCTGAATTTTGCCATCCAGTTTTAGCATATTCAGCTATAACAAATTCCATATTAGTGATATGTACAAAGTGTTATGAGAACACAGAGTGTTTAATTATGATTGGACGTGAGAGGTGTGAATGGGGAGTCTGAGAAGGCTTTGGGTTGGGGAGTAGCAGTGACTTAACTTTAAGGTTACCTAACAAATCTTACTGATTAAAAATTAACAAACTCAAATGCAACTAAAATTAGCCAAACATTAAGCTTTTCCGTGTCGTAAGCAGACAGTACCTTGGTAATCTTCAATTATCTGAAACTATATCTATCCAGAATCAGAAGTCCAAAACAAGTTTTTAGATGGCTGTAGGTAAGCTAAGTCATTTAAAATCATCTAAGGCTGATTTTCTAGGTAAAAGTTATAAGCAGATTAGATATAAGAAGATCTGGACCAAGGATTCAAGACTTTCTAAAAATGTGTTAACATTCTTATAAGATATTTAAATAGTTACTTACATATTTAAGCTAACTTAGGTATAAAAATCCTATTTACAGTCTTCTATTTTTAAACATCATATTCTATATCTTGTATTCTATTAAAGTTAATATGTTGATATGTTTTCAACTATATGTGTAAAATGTCCTTATAAACTATTAGATATGAAGGAGTATCAATAAAAAAATAATCAAAATGTAATGTATCTCTAGAGGATGAACCTGCCAACAGGTTTTGCTAAATTATCTTTTTTCATGTGTAGTAAGTTTATTAATAAGGTTTATACTGTCTATACTTCCATCATCAGTTAACAGTAATTAAGAAATATTTGGTTTGGTATTTCAGATGGAAATAAACAGCTGGGAATTGCCACATGCAATAATATATTTCAGTGAGAGCAAATTTGAATAAGTTACAGTAAAGACACACACAGACACAGAGAAACTAGAAGGGACATTTTCTAAGAATTTGGAGACTTTTATGGAATAAAATATTGTGATGTATGACATACAATATCTAGTTCTGTTCTGGGCAGTCTATTCCAAATGCCTAAAAAAGTAACTGGCACAGAGCAGGTACTCAATAAATTATCTTGTTTTGTTTCTTCTTCTTGGATTTTTTTAAAAAATTGGTATTTGTAAGAAAGTATAAAAATAGCAAACACTTAGCACTTTATATATGTGAGGCAAATATTTCAAGCCTTTTAAATTCAGTCCTTCATAGATGATAGTACATAAAATTTTACATAAGTAAATAATTCTATTTGATAAGTTGTTTCTATTCTATTTGATAAGTTATCAAATAATTCTATTTGATAAGTTGTTTCTCTTTTACTTTACAAAGTTTCTATAAATACTACTCATTATAATCAATAATCAATACTTTTCAGTTTCTCCTAAAAATAGATTTAACAAAAGATTTCTAAACCATACAAAACTGAGAATTAATAACAACACTGATTCATCTAATATTAAATGTAAATTCAGATTTAACAGGAGATTCCTGATATTTCCAAATGCCCAAATTTGTGGATACCACAATTACATTTAATTACCTTCATAAAAGGCAATAAAGTTTAAATTTAAATATTTGGGTCCTTAATTATTTCATAAATAGTAAACCAAAACAAATGTAGAGTTATTTTTTAAATAAGCCCTATAGCTTCACCTTCTGTTTCCATTTCCAAGAATAGTAGTTGGATTTTTAATTTCCCAAGGCCATTTTTCACAAAACAACAAAACCCCTTCAAAACCCAAGCCTTTCAACAATAATTTTAATTATTTTAGGAGAAGTTCACCCAACAAGAGTGGCCACTGGTAAATTACACTGGGATGGAGGTGCTGAGAGTCAGCTAAGCCCACTTGTCAGTGACTTGCCACATTTACCCACTAGCTTTGCCACCTGTTCCAAACTCATGCCTCAACAAAGTGACATGACTACCTGCCATGCATCTTCAATGTCACTTGTGAAACTGTAAATGTCATATCTGTATATTTCAAGGATCTATAATATTCAATAATAAATCAAATCACATTCCCCACTCTCCTCATGTAGTATAGTAAAACCTGCACAATATGAAGGCGTTATTGTACAAGTATCTCTTATCCTCTCTTCCCAGGTTCTTCTGCCAAATGAGTACAGACCAGAATTCTGATCTTCCTGGCAGGAGCAAAGTGGGAATGGGTTACGGCAGGGCAATGGACAGGCAATCAGATTAAAGGCAGCGTGGAGGCAAAACATAAGTCTCAGGGTCTCTAGTATTTTTCCGTCAAGTTTTCCCAGATTTGGCACAAACCAGTGCTGGGAAACACACCCTCTACTCTTCTCCCCATTGCTTCTATTTTCCAGAACAGCAATTCTCAAGGGTGGCTTCAGGACTTCTAGGGGTCCCCCAGACTGTTTAAGGGGACCTCGAGGCCGTCCCTTTTCCAACCCCAGATCTATGTGAAACCAGATTTTTTTCCTATGCTTCAACCAAAACAACACATCATAAAAGACTGACAACAGAAGCTGATGTAAGAATCGAAGTCTTTCATGCGACACATTAAAGCATTTTGAAAAATGTAAAACAATGCTATCATTCTCTCTTTATTTGTTGTTTTGGAAAATGTAGATTTCCATAAAACATTTGTTTATGCTGGGATGTAGTGAGTTTATTATACATATTGAAAAAAAATATGCATTAACCTAAAATATAGTCAGTGTCAAAAGATATAATCCAAATAAGCAAAGGTCTTTGGAGTCCTCAGTAACATTTTTAAGAGTATAAAAAGGGTTGGAGACAGAAGTTTGAGACCCACTGCCCCAGAAGCAGCTACAAAAGCACTTCAGAATGTCTAACAAAACACCATGAGCCACTCCCAGGGAAGCTACATTGCACTTCATCAGGCATGCCCAGGCATTACCGTTTCCTTCATTCTACTAGCCTTCTTATAAAGCTGCTCTCACCATCCTCATTTTCAGATGAGAACATGAAAGTTTGCAGATATTAAATAGTTGTGAAACATAACATAAACAAAATTGTGGCCTATTCTTTTAGCATGTGGAAAGTGTGTATAGCCTAGTGGCTGTTTCCAAGTATCTCTACTATGATTTTTGTGTTTATTAAGTACTCTTAAGAGTGGTGGGATAAACTTTCATAAAATAATGTATTTAAATTTGGAAGTGACAATTTAAAACTAGCCAGACTGATAGGGATCTTACTTTTGGAGCAGAATGATATTTAAAGCATCGGCATAACATAGTCAGAGGGGGTCACATAGGTGCTTTCAAACATGCACAGCCCTTTCTTTAATTTTACAACTTCCCTTTCTTTTCTCCCTTGCTTTTCCCCAAGTCAATTAAAATGCAAACAGGAGCTTTGACAAAAGGCAGCAAGACAAGTAAGGCATGGGATAGCACTAAAATATGACTGCCTAATGTATGCAGAGCAATTGGAATAATTGGATTTTTAAAGTCTAAGCATTGCATGCTTTACCCTTTATCTCCCATTAAATCGATTTGTGCCTTGCTCTTTTTATATCTAAAATGTTAACCTTTTTGAATTTTTAATAACTAAAATTTTGTAACACTTTTATTAAAATGTGAGTTTGTGTTAAATCCACCACTTGGCTCTTATAAATCATTGTTCCTTATCTGAAATAATGGATTTTAATGTCTGATGAAGTTTGTATTTGTTAATCTATAAAAAAAGATTGTAAAAATTACTTTATAATTTAATGTTATCTTAATCATAGTTTTATATATTAATATCTTGTGCCTATGCAGGGTGCCAATACAGAATTTTCATTATCTGCCCAGTTTCCTTCAACATAATACCTGCCTCCAATGAAAGAATAAGTTTAAAACTGTCCTTTATGTAGTTAGATGTTCAGAACATTGAAAATTTTAAATATGCCAATCTGCATTCTATAATTAACATGAAGTTGTGAAATCAACAGAGAATTCAATTAATGTATTTTATAAAGGTGAGAAAATATTAGTCTTTACCCAAAATTTGGAAAATATATTTGTACTGCAAAAATGTACTGTGCTCCAAGATTTCATTTTAAGAATCACAGCACTGGCCGGGCGCAGTGGCTCACGCCTGTAATCCCAGCACTTTGGGAGGCCGAGGCGGGCAGATCAAGAGGTCAGGAGATGGAGACTATTTTGGCCAACACGGTGGAACCCCATCTCTACTAAAATACAAAAAATTAGCTGGGCGTGGTGGCATGTGCCTGTAATCCCAGCTACTTGGTAGGCTGAGGCAGGGGAATCGCTGGATCCTGGCAGGCGGAGGTTGCAGTGAGCTGAGATCGTGCCACTGCATTCCAGCCTGGCGACAGAGCAAGACTCCATCTCATCATCGTCATCATCATCATCATCATCATCATCACAGCATTTTTCAAAGATTTTGAATAATCCAAATGTCTCCCAAATTCTAGTTTCAGTACTTTTTCATTCATTATAAGATACTATTTATGTATTTTGCCAATATCTGAAATTTCACACATAAAAAACCAATGCTCATAATTTTCAATCCCAATCAATATCCATTCATAAAATGCTTTCTCCAACCTTCTGTCATTATTCTACCAATTTAAAATAAAACTTGGCTAATTTTATTGTCCTGAGGCATGAATTTCAAATTCCTGCCTCCAAGACTTTACATGCAATTGTTTGCAACCAGAATGGCCTTTCACTAACTTTTTGCAATGGGTATCTATCAGGCCTTTTCAAAGCTAACTCACATACTCTATTTTGATTTAGAAACAGAGTCATGTTTTCTTGGAACTAAGGCAGGAAAAAGTCTGAATGGATTAGGATCTAGACTGAATTATAACAAAGGTGGGATTTAAGCCAAAATCAAGGTAGAGGTCAGAACTGTTTGACAATATTGACAGATTAAGCTTATAGTAATGGTTGACAGAGGAGTGTATTGCAACTGGCAGAAGGAACAGAGGTCAAAAGAGAGACCACATAGGCTCAGTAGGAAAGCAATAGCATTATCATTGCAACAGTACGGGAAAGAGTTACAAAGAACACTTGTTGCTTGACAAGAGTTCACACTCAGTCATTCATCACTTATTTTCTTCAGTAATTTCACTGTCACATAAAAAGCAAGTTCAGACTTAGTAAGGAGAGACTTTATTTGAAAGTCTGTGGCAAGAGACTTCCTAGAAGGCTGGGGAAAGATAATGTTGCACTGGGGAGAAGGAGGTGACCATAAGGTCTACAAGCTTCTGAAGGGAGGAGTAAACAAAGCAAGAAAGAAGCAGTGTGGGGAAATGGAATCAAAGGTGGCCTGATAGGCTGGTAGGTTGGAGAATATCTTCCGTGAGGCCAGTCTATTCTATTCTTGGGAGGAGCTGAATGCTGGCTCACCTGGAGGTGAGCCAGAGGTCAGGGATCTTGAGGAAGGTTGGTTAACAGTCATTTTGTTCCAGCTGATCAGTTGGGACAAGCAGTTCCATTAGTCATTTCTGAGGCAAAGAATGGGAATTTGGAGGGTCTGTGTCTGGCCTTGCCTTATGTGAACAAGGGGGTCATCTATGAGTCTTGTCTAAGTCATATTGAGAAAGGTGGTTTCTGGCAATGTCTTTTTCTGGAACAAAAGAGTGATGGAATTTCTTAACCTTTAAATAAAATTTAATATTGTCATCACTAACATTTATGAAGTACCTTCTACCATATAACCATTGTACTGGGCCTTGGAGATGCAGAGATACGTTTTTTAAAGGCAGATTTGCCATAAATGTAATGAACCTTAGGCTCTGGTGACCCTCAACTGCACAGGTTGCTGTGAGATACTGACAGCTGCAGAGCATTCTAGATGGTAGAAAAAGCCAGGTTCCTATTAGGAAATATTTCTATGTAAGCATTTCTGGTAAATTGACAAGGGAGTTTGAGTCTTTAAATTTCCAGGCATTTGTTGTGATTTCTTTCCCAGTTCTAAATAAATATACCTAATTTTATATTAATAATATTATATTCTTTTTTTATAAAGAGGGCATCCCAGATTGCATAAACTTCTGTACCCACAAAATTTAGATCTGCCTAAATAAAATGATGTGGCTCTCAAGTACATCATTTGGAGATGGGTAAGAAACTCAACTGATATTTATAAGAATAGGCATTGGAATAGGTGAATCAGAGAGGAGACAAACCTACAGGCCTGGAATAGAGAATGCCAGGAAGGAACAGGAATTAAGGGAAGTTTTCAGTATCATAAGAAGTAACATATCAAAGAAAATATGGAAGACTGGGCATATTGGGAGGCCAAGGGAGGCAGATCACCTGAAGTCAGGAGTTTGAGACCAGCCTGGCCAACATGGTGAAATCCTGTCTCTGTTAAAAATACAAAAATTAGCCGGGCATGGTGGTACATGCCTGTAATCCCAGCTACTTGGGAGGCTGAGGCAAAAGGATCACTTGAACCTGGGAGGTGGAGGTTGCAGTGAGCCAGATTGTGCCACTGCATTCCAGCGTGGGTGACTCTGTCTCAAAAAAAAAAAAAGTAAAAAGGAAGGTTGGGAAGGATATTTTAGGCAGAGGGAACAGTATGTATGAATGACATGGAGATATAAGAAAGCAAATTGTTTCCATAGAATAAAAAAATATTGATATGGCTGGGTATAGGACACATGCGATGGAATAGTGGGAATGTAGGTTTGAGAAGAGAGCCCGAGTTCTATCACAAAAGGCACTATAAATAGAGTTTCACCTTAAATGAAGGGGCCATGAAGAAAATAAGATCCCTTAAAATTTCAAATTTATAAACAGATCACACTCATCTACAATTTTACTTCTAATGGATACTTATTGGTTCATAAAGGCCATGACCTTTATGGTCCAACTGTAAAGCAGAGGTAGCACCTTCACCTACCCAGGACCTCTTACTGACTATTTTGAGGAGATAGTAGTATACCCAGTAGATAGAATTGATTTTTTGAGTTATCACACAAGTTCTTTTTTTGAATACATGTGATTCTTAATTGGGCTCAATCCTTCTCTGAGCACATACATTCCAGGGGACAGTTTCCAAAATCTGGAGGAATATTTGGTTGCCACACTGGGTAGCTGGTAGAGGCCAGGAATGCTGCTAAACATCACACAATGCACAGAACAGCTCCTGTACATTATATTAAACTCAAAATGTCAACAATAATGCTATAGTTGAGAAGATTGCCACAAAACCTATGCTTGCTCCCTTGGGTTCAGGGAAGAATTCTAGCAGCTGGTCTCTGACCCTGGCCTTGACACAGCTCCCTGCCTGTTCACACTGCCTTGCGTTGTTGCACAGGTGGTTTCAGTGTGCTCAATGTGTATGGAGTTCTGTGAAGTCATCAGCTTTGCTTAAAATTCAGGCATTCAGGAATAAGTGACAGCTTTGTATGAACATTTGAATAAAAAAATTCAGGGGTGGGGATAAGTGGATAATCAGTCTGCTTTAAGATTGGATTAGGAATAAAGGTATTAATACATAATATGGTGCATGCATTATTTGCTTCCCCTGTGTGTGTGAGAAACTGGGAAAATCAATTTTAAAAGATTAGAATTCCCTTCACAACTCTGGAATGATTTGCAAATCTGGAAGGGTAAGGGAAAGGACAAGAAGGATAAGAAGCAGCTGAGTCTGAGTTGTTCAGGCAGCAGATGACGGGAATACACAACACACAAAGAACAAAGTACTCAATAGGGGAGGAAAAAGTTCTTTGATTATATTGACAATAATGGTGGCCCACCGTGCCTTCAGAGGTTAACGGGCAGGTGAGGAGTCTGTGCTGTGTGGACTTACATGTTCTAGTGTGCTGTGCACAGAGATGTGGCATTTCACAGTTCTCCCTCTAAAATTCCTCAGGTCCTGAAACTGAATCTTCAACTGGCTATTAGTTAGGGATCTTTCAATCTCAAGTGACAGAAATTGTATTCAAACTAACTGAAGAGAAAAGAAAGACTTTTTTGGTTCATCTATCGAAGGGATGAAAAATAGAAAGAGTAGAGCTAGCTGGGGTGATTCTGGAAACAAAAGCTCTTCCAGTTCTTGTTCCTTGCTTGGTGGCTTTAGTCTGCCCTTCTGGAGCCTGACTTTATCCAATCAATGGGGGTCTAACTTAGCATATAAATAGTGGTCCTCAACTAGGTACAGATACAGGGCACAATCACGGTGGAAGCCCTTGTGAAGCCTTCACTTCACAAGAGTCAAACAATGGACATGTAACCCGTGTATCAGGTAGTGCCAAGTTCTGTGAACCAAAAAGGAAGAAAGCAAAGAGATTGATGGATGCAGGGAGTGGGTGGTCGGGGAGGTGAGAAGGAGGAATTAATATCATAGGGAGGTCAAGGAAGTTACCTCTGAGGCGGTGATACTTGAGTAAAACTTGAAAGAAATAAGTGAAGGGATCACTTGTAGGTCTGGGTGATGAGCAGTTCTGGTAGATAAAAGACAAAATCAGGGAAAGCTTGCCATGTCTGAGGAACAGCAAGACAGTCAGAAACAAGAGAGTGAGGGAGAAATGGAGGAATTTAGAGAGGGGTAAACCAAGTATGTCTTGTCAGGCCACAGAGAGTAAATATTGTTCTATAATAAATGTAATGTGAATTCACTGGAGAATTTTAAGCTAAGAAATTACATACATAATTTGGTTTATATTTTACAAGTATATTTTGCTCTCTGGACAACGGCTTTAGCAAGATAAGAATGAAGTGGAAGACCAAATAGGCACCAAGTGTCACAGTAGCCCGAAACTAGAGTGGTAAATTGGAGGCCAGGAGAAGTGGGAAGTTTTGGGGGTTGTGGCAAAGGAAAACCAGCAGGACTTGCTGATGGGTGGAATGTAGGGTATAAGGAAAGATGATTTTACTCTGATCATATTGGGGGAATAATAGTGCCATTTTCTGGTCAGGGAAAACTGGGATGGAGCAAGCTTACTTGACAATTTGCTGGCCATGATAAGAAAAATTCTTAGTAATGATCAATTGATCCAAGCCTGGACCACTCCTTGGACCACTAGGGAGATAGGAGCCTGTGGCTTTCTCAGTCTTGGTTGCAGGTCCCCTCTCTAGTCAGGGAGCTGGGATTTGCTACCACAAGAAGGCAGTGAAGAAGTGCTGAAGAGACATAGCACTTCTACCAAACTACTTACAAGAGGTCTTTTCCAAAAGATGTAAGACCTCTCAGATATCAGTGTCCTGGGAAATAGGCCCATAGATGGATTATTCCCCCATGACTGTAGGATCACTCACTCACATTATTTCACTTCATTCTGAAAAGATCCTGAGGAGTTAGCAATATTATCCTCAAGGCCAGTTGTACCCATATGACAGTGTGGACTTTTGTGGGCCTGACCACTTCAAAATCATTTGAGAACCATGTTAAAAATATGAACAACAACAAACACTAAAAATGAAACACATTTTGATTCAGCAAGTTAGAGTAGGTCTCAGATATTTTGTTTTTCATGCTCCCCTGGTGATTCTAATATGCAGCCAACATGAACTAGACTAATACATTCAAATGTAGGGAATTTTTTTTTGCCTCTTTACTAAAAATAATTATTTCTGAATTAAATTTATTGCATTGTAACTGTGGGGAAAATGTTACGTGCTCAAGAGTAAAAAATAAAACAAGTGAGTAGCAATATTATCATCCATGCAGTCATTATCATCTTTAAGACTCATATGACATGGTGCATAACGTTCATTGCTTTGGTTTATCACTTAAATATATTATGGCATCTTTCTTTTGTTGTCAGATATTCTAGATAAATATGATTTTAAACAGTTACATATTATTTTTGTTATATAACTATCATAAGATCCATATATAAGTACACACACAAATATGTGTGTGTGTGTGTGTGCGCGCGCGCATGTGTGTGTGTATTTTTTTGCTTAATTCCAAATTGTGGAGCTTTTGGTTACCTCATTAAAAAGATTTCTAGGAATAGAATTCCTGTGTTGAGTTATACATGTTTCTAAGGCCTTTGATATTTACTGGTTCCCATCTACCAAAGAAAGATTATTTATTAAATAATTCTTCTTTTTTCCAATCATTTGTAATGCTTAAAAGTGTATTTTTCAGAGTTACATAAATATGTTAACATTTATTCAAACCTATTACCAAACACAATTGATCTTTGGAAATATGCATGGGGTAAGAGCACAAAACCCCCAGGAAATAGAAAATCCACACATAAATTTTGACTCCACAGAAACTTGACTACTAATATCTTACTGTTATCAATATCATAGTCAATTAACACATAAAGAGACTAATATCTAAATACATTTTATACTGAATTTACTCATGACATACCTTTTATTTTTTCTTATTTCTAGGCTACATGGTTCATCTGCAAGTTTTTTTCAGATTGTCACAAATCTCCAAGAAAATTTTCAGTAAACTTATTGAAAAAATCCATGTATAAGTGGACCTCATAGTTCAAACATGTTCGAGGGTCAATTGTACTCAAAATTATCATAAGGATCTGAAAACACAGTCTTTCATGAATACTTAAAAAATATTTCTGATATTGATAGGGAGATAAGACCCTTCCCCCCAACTTCTTCCTTACCCTCTAATCCTGTCCTGGAGTTTCAGCTGATACAAATCACAGCTGACTCAAGTTGATCAAGCAGATTAAGAAAAATGTAGGAGGGCATATTGATTTCAATGGTAATTTGGTTCAATATCTGGGAGTTGTTATAAACCTTAAATTCTCCATTTTTCTTGGTGAGAAAAATGTGTATAAGAGTAGGGCTGGTAAAAGGTCATATGACAAACACTGTAGATGGCCTTAGGAACTTCCCTGAGGTTATCTCCATTTCCAAAAATAAATAAATATACTTGAGTATGGGGCCTTGGTGACAAATTAATCAATTATGTAACCTTATTGACTATGGAAGGTTGCAGGTTAAATAGGCTTAATTTGGCTCAAGATAAGGTGGAAGTGTTCATGTTTCTGGGCAAAGCCAAGACATCATTGCTATGAGCCTCAGTACCAGTAACTGATGAATTGGGAGCACTAGTCAAATTGGTAACAATACCTGGAACCAAAGGCTAGAAACCTCTACTATTGTGGTAAGACAACTAGGTCAGCTGCAAAGACGTATTACTTCCCATGGTCCATAAAACTCTTTCAAGATGTTGAAGAGCAAGAGCAAGAGCAAGAAAGAAGAGCAGAGGATATTTCTTTGTGGCTTTTTGTGTGAGTGGATATGCTTTTGTTTGAATAGTTTTCCCAGGGTATTTGAACATCTCTCGATTGATGCATGCTGTTAAAGTTTCACATAAATGAGAACTTTGTTTACTGTTATTTTATGGCTCAGGAGACAGTGATGCTAGGGGTGTGAGACACAAGCAAAATTCCCATTTCTCAGATAGGCTGCAATGGGTTTCTCTACAATTAGGCTGGGGAGTTTCTGATCCTTCTTCCTATCTAGAGTTTTAGTTATATTCCCAGGACATCAGGCATGAAGAGATATAATAACTACACTACCATAGTGGGTGAAGGGACCCTTATTTAGGCATGGAGAGGCATGAAGTGGTCTGTTTTGAGTCTGGACTCTAGGTAGGAAAGGATCCTTTTAGCTAATGGGATCTAAAACATTTATGATAGCATTGGGAGAAATAAAGACCCAGGTAGGTATTGCAGCAGCCAGAAAAAATAATGATAAAAGACTAATAATAATAACAAAAAACAGAGCAATTGGGTTCAAGAAATAGAAAACTTCATCCCGTAACCATAAAAACAAAAACAGTTGCATTAACTACTGAAAGTTTACTATGTGCCATGCAATGATGTAATTATTTATTTCTTCCCCACCACAAACCTATGAGGTAGGTACTATTATAATCCCCATTTTATAGAAGAAGTAACTGAGGCACAGGAAGATTAAGTGCCCTGTCTATGTTATATAGCTATTAGCCCATTTATCCCTAGTGTTCCATTATTGGAACCCTAAGCATGTGGGAGTTATTTATATCCTACTGCTCAATGTCATCACCAAGGTCTGATTGCAAAAACTAAAAAAAAAATTGCAACCTCAGGCATAAATGGGTTAATCCAGTTACACAGTGGGAGAGTTGAAATTTGGATTAATTCATTCTAGCTCTAGAGCCAATGCTTTTAACTATTATACTATTATACTATGACTGATATGTTTTCTGGGCTCATTACACAAAATAAAGTCTTCAACTGAAATAGTTTGAAAAAGATTCAGCACTCAAAGCCTTTACTTTGAGCATGTCTACACAGTTCATGCCAAGGACTATCAGTATTCTCCATACTACTAGAAGTAGAGTCCTTACCATTTTGGCGTCTAATCAGTTTAAACAGAGAACTCCAGAAACTCCAAAACCAACTAAAGAAATCCATCCTTAAAATTCCATTTCTCTCTAGAGAAATTTGAGATTTCTCTAGAGGTGAAGTCAGTGTAGAATAGCAACACAGGTTTTTAATTCTGGAAACCTAAATTATTCTCTTTTATGTTATCATAAAAGACAACATAATACAGATTTTGGTACCGAAATCTGTATTTTTCAGGGTTCTCCAGAAGGACAGAATGAATAGAGTATATGTATATATGAAAGAGAGTTATTAAGGAGAATTGGTGCACATGATCAGAAGGCAAAGTCCCACAATAAGCAGTCTGCAAACTGAGGAGGTAGGAAGCCAGTAGTGGCTCAGTCTGAGTCCAAAAACCTCAAAAGTAGGGAAGCTGACAGTGCAGACTTCCGTGTGTGGCCGAAGGCCTGAGAGCCTCTGGCAAACCACTAGTGTAAGTCCAAGAGTCTAAAGGTTGAAGAACCTAGAGTCTGATGTCCAAGGGCAGGAAGCATCCAGGACAGGAGAAAGATGGAAGCCAGAAGACTTGGCAAGCCAGCTTGTCATACCTTCTTCTCTGCTTTGTTCTAGTCTCGCTGGCAACTGATTGGATGGTACCCACACACTTGAGGGTGGATCTTCTTCTCCCAATCCCCTGACTCAAATGTTAATCTCCTTTGGAAACACCCTCACAGACACACCCAGAAACAATACTTTACCAGCTATCTAGGCATCCTTCCATGCAATCAAGCTGACACGTAATATTAACCATCAAAATAAAGAAAAGCTAAGCATGAGAAATAATAATAAGAAATAAGCATGAGAAATCAATGAAAATAAGGCCACCTTTTGGGGCCTGATATTTGAGAAGATAGATCAGCACTGCTAGCATAGAAACAGGATCCACTGCTTAATGAGCAAAAACTGAAACTTTGGAATTAGAAATTGTGGTATATCTTTACTGAGCACATAATCAAGTAAATTATCAATTTTATTGGTGGAAGATGTAATATGATGAGGAGAGGAACAGGAAAGGAAGGGGATAAACAGTCATGAATCTTTTGCTGCTTTGGTAAGTTCCACATAAACTAATCTGGTTAAGAATTGTTGAAGAAAAAGCACCTGAACTGGGTGGACCCTACCTGATGTTGAGAATCAGCATTCTGGCACCCAGGGCAAGCAGGAATAGAAGAATGGTACCCCTTATAAAATTCTGATTTGAAGGTAATATTTTAGCCTGGAGGTGCATCACACTACACAATAGGTCCAAGAAGCAGAATGCTCTCAGTGAAGGATTAAATGTTCTGGCAATTCTAAAGAAACTACCTCTTTAATAGTCTGATTTTCTATTATATTAGGATCAACTTTAATGAGGTTGAGATCAAACCTCTGGCAATGGTTTTTCTGACTTAGATCTTTATACATTTTCTAAGATTAATTTTTTACATCAATCTCTCAATATTGTATATGAAAAAATGTTCAACATCACTAACCATCAAAAAATGCAAATCAAAACTACAATGAGATATTATCTCATCCCAGTTGGGTGATATTATAATAGGATGGATATTATAAAAAAGCAAAAAATAACAAATGCTGATGAGAATGCAGAGAAATAGGAACTCTCATACACCTTTGGTAGGAATGTAACTTAGTACAGCCATTATGGAAGACAGTATGGAGGTTCCACAAAAAACTAAAAATAGAACTACCATGTGATCCTGCAATCTCACTGCTGGGTATATGTCCAAAATAAGGGAAATATGTATATTGAAGAGACGACTGTACTCCCATGTTTACTGCAGCATTATTCACTATAGCTAAGATATGGAATCAGCTTAAGTGTCCATCAACAGATGAACAGATAATGTGGCATGTATACACAATGGAATATTATTCACCCATAAAAAAGAAGGACATCCTGTCATTTGCAGCAACATGGATGAGCCTGGAGGACATTATCTTAAGTGAAATAAACTACACACAGAAAGACAAATATTACATGTTCTCACTCATATGTGGCAGCTAAAAACGTTAATCTCATGAAGGTAGAGGGGAGAATGATGGTTACCAGAAAGCTGGGAGAAAGAGTGGGAGAAAGAGATAAGGAGAAGTTGGTTAATGGGTACAAAAATACAGCTAGAGGGGAGAAATTAGTTGTAAGTTCAATAGATATCAATATATATATATTTTTTGAGACAGAGTGTCACTCTGTAGTGGTGCAATCTCGGCTCACTGCAAACTCCGCCTCCTGGGTTCAAGCGATTCTCCTGCCTCAGCCTCCTGATTATGTGGGACTACAGGCGTATGCCACCACACCTAGCTATTTTTTTTTGTATTTTTAGTAGAGACGGGGTTTCACCATGTTGGTCAGGGTGTTCTGGATCTCCTGACCTCGTAATCTGCCCACCTCGGCCTCTCAAAGTGTGGGACTACAGGTGTCAGCCACTGCGCCCGGCCAGTTATCAATAATTTGTTGTACATTTCAAAATAGCTAAAAGAGGAGATGTAGAATGTTCCCAACACACACAAAAATAAGCATTTGAGGTAATGGATACTGCAATTACTCTGATTTGATTACTACACATTATATGCATGTATCAAAATATCACATGTATTCCATAAATAGGTATATTATGGATCAATAAGAAATCTTTCAATATACCCTCAAATTGATGACATATATAGCCTAATTTAGCATATTTTGATGTATTATTTTTGTTTATTTTTATTTATGGGTTTTATATCCTCAACTAAAGCATAAATATCTTTAGGTGAGATGTGCTTCAAAATTTTTTATATACTCAAGCTGATGTGTGACCAATGCTTTTGTATAATACTGACTGTGTAGTTTAAAGTTATATTTCTTTGAGTAAAAATTATTCAATATATGAAGTCACAAATATAAAATTGAACATATGAAATTATTATGTTTTTCAGGATCTTATGATTTTTAACTCCTACAGTAATAAAAACAACAAGGCATCAAAAGTAAAATACATTATCAACTTAAATGTTTTGCATTTCTCTAAGTGTGTCCCTCATTTCCAGGAGTTGTGATTGTTTTTTATTTATGCTATTTCACTGAAGATTTTTCCCTTCATATGTTGTATCATTTTTTTGATATAGCTTCTTCTTCTTTCTTTTTTTTTGGCAGAGTCTCGCTCTGTTGCCCAGGCTGGAGTGCAGTGGCGTGATCTTGGCTCACTGCAACCTCCACCTCCCAGGTTCAAGCAATTCTCCCAGCCTCTTGAGTAGCTGGGATTATAGATGCCTGCCAACATGCTCAGCTAATTTTTGTATTTTTAGTAGAGACGGGGTTTCACCATGTTGGCCATGCTGGTCTCAAACTCCTGGTCTCAAGTGATCCACCTGCCTCAGCCTCCCAAAGTGCTGGGATTGCAGGCATGAGCCACTGTGCCCAGCTGATTTATTTTTTATTTTTTGATTTCATTAATTTGGACTTCACCTTCCTCTAGTGCCTTTTGGATTAGCTTAATAATCGATTTTCTGAAATCTTTTTCTGGTAATTCAGAGATTTCTTCTTGGTTTCGATCCATTACTGGTGAGCTGGTGTGATCTTTTGGGGAGGGGGGCATTAAAGAACCTTGTTTTGTCATATTACCAGAATTGTTTTTCTGGTTCATTCTCATTTGGGTAGATTATGTCAGAGGGAAGATCTGGATCTGAAGGCTACTGTTCAGATTCTTTTGTCCAAGAGGGTGCTCCCTTGATGTGGTGCTTTCTCCCTTTCCTAGGGATGGGGCTTTCTGAGAGCCAAACTGCAGTGATTGTTATTTATCTTCTGGATCTAGCCATCCAGTGGAACTACCAGTCTCTGGGCTCATACAGGGTAGTGTCTGCACAGAGTCCTGTGATGTGAACTGTCTTCAGGTCTCCCAGCCATGGATACCAGCACCTGCTCTAGTAGAGGTGGCAGGGGAATGAAGTGGACTCTGAGGGTCCTTGGTTGTAGTTGTGTTTATTGTGCTAGTTTTGTGTTGGTTGGCTTTCAGCCAGAAGGTGGTGCTTTCAAGACAGCATCAGCTGCAGTAGTATAGGGAGGATCAGGTGGTGGGCAGGGCCATAGAGCTCCCAAAAGATTATGTCCTTTGACTTTGGCTACCAGGGCAGGTACAGAAAGACCATCAGGTGAGGGCAGGGTTAGGCATGTCTGAGCTCAGGCTCTCCTTGGGCAGGGCTTTCTGCAGCTGCTGTGGGGGTGGGGGTGTGGTTTTCAGGCCAAAGCAGTCATGTTCCCAGAGGGATTATGGCTGCCTCTGATGCATCATGCAAGTCACCAGGGAAGTGGGGGAAAGCTGGCAGTTACAGGCCTCATCAGCTCCTATGCAGCCCAAAAGGCTGGTCTCACTCCCACTGTGCCCCCACAACGGTACTGAGTTTGTTTCCAGGCAGTGGGTAGGCAGAGCTGAGAACTTGCTCCAACAACCAGCCTCCCGGCTGTGAAAGTAAGCAGGGCTTTCAGGTTTTGAGCTTCCCCACCTGCCACAGCTTCTGTGCTTGTCTGCACCCCTGATTCGCCCCCTTCTCCAGGTTCCGTCCAGGAAACTTTGGTTGAAATTGTTACGAAGTTCAGCTGGAAATTTCCTTCTTCCTGTGGTCTTTTTCCAGTTCCTCTGGTAGCCCTCCCCAAGGACCCCTGGGAGACAAAGTCAGAAATGGCTTCCCTGGGGACCGCGAGTGTCCACAGGGCTCTTCCCACTGCTTCTTCTATTCCCATATTTTACTCAGCTCTCTAAATTTGTCTCAGCTCCAGGTAAGGTCAAATCCTTATCCCCTGATCTGGAACTTGAGGTTCCCCAGTGAGGATGTGAGGATGTGTGTTCAGGCCGATGATCCCCCTTTCATACTTTGGACAGTCACAGTTTTTTGGCTGTCTCCCAGGGCCTGCAGCAGCTCTGCTTCCTTCAAAGGGTCTGTGGATTCTCTCGGCTTTCTGGTATGTTCCTGTGGTAGTTCTTGGAGCCAAAATTCACGATTTGAGTCTCCACATGCTGCTCTATCCACTGGAGTGGGAGCTGAAAGTTAGTCCTGCCTCCTATCTGCCATTTCCCCCCTTCAACTTAAATGCTTTAAAGAACTTAGAAATATACCAGAACCAGAAAATAAAATAAAACACATTATTGAAAGTAATATGGAAGTTTATGTTTAAATTGGACATCATCCAATTATATTTATCATGATATAATTATCTTTATTTTCAATTATAAATCTCTCACAGATATAGAAAAATGAAGACTGTATTTTTCATTTAGTGTGAATAAAGCACCTTTGCTGACAACATAAAAGAGAATAATTTAGGTTTCCAGAATTTAAAACCTGTTTTGGTATTCTACACTGACTTCACCTCGTGAGAGATTTCAGAAAATGAAACTTTAGATTTTTTTTGTACCAAAAGAGAAGGCAATTCTCTCAGGTCTGTTTCACAGAATCATATTCTTTAACAGCTTAGGAGATAGCCGGAAAACATCTGTGATGCTTTCTCTGGTGGCACTAATAGAAAATTCAAAATAGAGTATTTATTTCCTTTGTTTTTCTATTTGAATACGTTTGTTTGGAGACTGATGCTTTGGCCATTTATTTGTGTATCTTAGATTCAATTCTCTGTCTCTTGGCCCTTAAAGATGTAGATCAGATTAGCTCAAACCCAACTTTCATATTTTATGGGAAGTGCAACTTCCTTCTTAAAACTGCTTCAAACTCCTGCCAGTGCATGTGGCTTCGTGATCACTTCTGACTCCTACTCCCTACCTCTATGGATTTTGGGGCTTCAATCTTTCTTTCTTGAGGATAATTTACCTCTGCCCCGATGGTGACCATAGTCAGAATTTATCCCTTCTCTATAATTTTCATTAAATACTCATCCAAGGCCTTTCCTAGTATTAATATACCTTACCTTACTGAAGGTTTTCATATTCTAGGAACACAGACAGACTGAGATTAAATATTAGTCATTTATGTCCTTCAAAGTCCATCAGCAACCCTCCCATGTTGCTCAAATATCTTTCCTTATCCCTCTTTTCTTTCTGTAAATACTTTTGTCATCAATTTAAATACAGACATATCATAAGGCAGCCATCAATTTAATGTATTTAGGTTGTAAAAAAATTTTCAAGTTAAACTCTTTCTTTCTAAATGACTGACTTTGTTGGTGTAACGTCTCCCACATCCAAAGTAAATAAACGTGTTATAAGAAATGTGATTTTTGGCTGAGCATGGTAGCTTAAACCTGTAATCCCAGCACTTTGGCAGGCCCAGCAGGGAGATTACTCAAGCCCAGAAGTTTGTGACCAGCCTGGGCAATGTGGCAAAACCCCATTTCTACACAAAATTACAAATATTAGCCAGGCATGGTGGTGTATGCCTGTAGTCCCAGCTACTCTGGAGGCTGAGGTGGGAGGATCACTTGAGCCTGGGAAGTTGAGGCTGCAGTGAGTTGTGATTGTGCCACTGCACTTTGGCCTGAGCAACAGAGCAAGACCCTGTCTAAAAAATAAAAATAAATAAATAAAAGGAAAGGAAAAGAAAAGAAAAGAAAAGAAAGAAATGTGATTTTTGACATTGCAGCTCAGGCAATAGCATACTCATTAATTAATTTGATCCAAAAGATTATTTCCAGAGAATATCATATAATCTATTCCAGAATTTTGGTTGGTGTTATGCCAATAAAATGTAGTCTATCCCATATCAGGCATTGTAGAGGACATGCTGAAGTGACCTAACTAGCATATGACCTCAGTAGCACACCAGTTAAATGTATGAAAATTGATGCATTTAAATATATGAAATGTTTGTTCTTTGTAGGAACTTTTAACATCCTCCTTATATGGCTACTTATTCTTTCCAATGGCTATCTTCATAAATACAAATGCAAACCACATGTAGGTCTATCTTGTCATGTACTGTGCATTAATGAGGCCTGAATTCATTCATATGAAAGCTTAGAGTTTGCAGGTATCTCTCATGTATTCAAGGGCAGGAAAACTAGCTAGCTGAAATGGGATATATCTTAATTTCCCCTATTACAAGTAAATTAAAATGTTTATTATTTAAATATTTTCACTTAGCAGCTAGATTTTAAGAAACTAATCGAAAGTGTTTAGTCAGGAATCTCTATTTTGGATTTTATTGATACCTTGATGGTGAAGCACCAACTCTGAAGTAAGAATTTATGCTACTTAATTGTGGCCCTGTAGACAAATTTGGCTCCGTCTTTAGAAAAAGAGACATTTACAGTTATTTTTGCTAATTGATCCACAAAACAATACCAGTCTGTGTCCCTTTGATATTGACACCACTTTTCCAGAAGTTTTTCCTAGTATCTGGGCAAACACAAAAGCTGAGCTGATCCAGTGGATCACCTGTTAATTGGCCGGAAGAAGCAACTCTCTTTACAATTACTCTGTGTCTCAGACAATGTCTTCCCATGTGTGGTAATTATTATTTATCAAATATGTTAAACTTGATTTATTTTCTTGAATCAAAAGCTAATGGGCTGGGGAAAAAGGAGACAGGCCTTTGGTGTTAAGTAATATTGTCTGTGTATCCATGTTCTATATTTGTTTCACAAACATTAAAATTAATTGTTTTCTCAAAAACCTCGAATTTATAAACTTTGAATTTTTATCAGATTACAATTTTTATAAACTTATATTTTATGAGATCTTGTTTGTTTGTTTGAGATGGGGATCTTGCTCTATCTCCCAGGCAGGAGTGAAGTGGTGCAATCTCAGCACACTGCAACCTCTGCCTCCTGGGCTCAAGCAATCCTCTCACCTCCCCCTCTTTGTAACGTTATGAAAAAAGGAAACTACAGACCAATATCCCTGATGAACATAGATGCAAAAGTCCTCAACAAAATACTAGCTAACCAAATCCAACAGCATATCAAAAAGATAATCCATTATGATCAAGTGGGTCTCATATCAGGGATGCAGGGGTGGTTTAACATATGCAAATCAATAAATGTGATACATCACATGAACAGAATTAAAAACAAAAATCATATGATCATTTCAATAGATGTAAAAAAGTAGTTGATTGAATCTAGCATCCCTTTATGATCAAAACCCTCAACGACATTGGCATAGAACAGACTTACCTTCGAGTAATAAAAGCCATCTATGACAAACCCATAGCCAACATCACACTGAATGGGGAAAAGTTAAAAACATTTCCCCCAAGAACTGGAACAAGACACCACTTCTATTTAACATAGTACTGGAGGTCCTGGCTAGGCAATCAGACAAGAGAAGAGAGAAATAAAGGGCATCCAAATTGGAAGAGAGGAAGACAAACTGTTGCTGTTTGCTAATGATATGATCGTTTACCTAGCAAACCCTAAAAACTCATCCAAAAAGTTCCTAGATCTGATCAGCGAATTCTGTAAAGTCTCAGGATACAAAATCAGTGTACACAAATCAGTAGCACTGCTGTACACCAAAAATGACCAAGCTGCGACCCAAATCAAGAACTTAATCCCTTTTACAACAGCTGCAAAACAATTCAAATACTTTGGAATATACTTAACCAAGGAGGTGAAAGATCTGTACAAGGAAAATTACAAAACGCTACTCAAAGAAATCATAGATGATACAAACAAATAGAAACACATTCCATGTTCATGGATGGGAAGATACAATATTGTGAAAATGACCATACTGCCTAAAGCAATCTACAGATTCAATGTAATTCTCATTAAAACACCATCATCATTCTTCACAGAACTAGAATAAACAATCCTAAAATTCATATGGAGCCAAAAGTAGCCCACATAGCCAAAACAATACTAAGCAAAAAGAACAAATCTAGAGGCATCACATTACCCGACTTCAAATTATACTACAAGGCAATAATTATCAAATAGCATGATACTGGTATAAAAATAGGCATGTAGACCCAGGGAACAGAATAGAGAACCCAGAAATAAGCCAAATACTTATAGCCAACTGATCTTCGACAAAGCAAACAAAAACACAAATTGGGGAAAGGACACCCTGTTCAATAAATGGTGCTGGGAAAACTGACAAACACATGTGGAAGAATGAAACTGGATCCTCATCTCTCACCTTATACAAAAATCAACTCAAGAAGGATCAAAGACTTAAATCTAAAACCTGAAACCATAAAACTTCTAGAAGTTAACATCGGAAAAACTCTTCTAGACATTGGCTTAGGCAAATAATTCATGACTTCAGACCACAAAAGCAAATGCAACAAAAACAAAAATAAATAAATGGAACCTAATTAAATGAAAAAGCCTCCGCACAGCAAAAGAAACAATCATCAGAATAAACAGGCAGCTGAGAGAGTGGAAGAAAATATTCACAAACTACACATCTGACAAAGGGCCACTATCCAGAATCTACAAGGAACTCAACAAATCAGCAAGACAAAAACAAGTAATCCCATCAAAAAGTGGACAAAGACATGAATAGAGAGTTCTCAAAAGAAGATATACAAATGGCCAACAAACATATGAAAAAATGCTCAATATCCCTAATTATCAGGGAAATGCAAATTAAAACCATAATAAGGCACCACATTACTCCTGCAAGAATGGCCATAATTAAGAATAAAAAAAATAGATGTTGGCATGAATATGGTAAAAATGGAACACTGCCACCAGCAGTGTTGCTGGTGGGAATGTAAACTAGTTAACCATTATGGAAAACAGTATAGAGCCTCCTTAAAGAACTAAAAGTATAACTACCATTCGATCCAGCAATTGCACTACTCGGTATCTACCCAAAGGAAAAGAAGTCATTATATGAAAAAGATACGTGGACACACATGTTTATAGCAGCACAGTTCACAATTTCAGATATGGAACCAACCTAAGTGTCTACCAACCAACAAATTAATGAACAAATGTGGTATATTTACACCAAGAATACTACTCAACCAAAAAAAGAATGAAATAATATCTTTTTGCAGAAACTTGGATGGAGCTGGAGGCCATTATTCTAAGTGAAGTAACTAACTCAGGAATGGAAAAACCAAATTTTGTATAATCTCACTTGTAAGTGAAAGCTAAACTATGAGTATGCAAAGGCCTAAGAATGATATAATGTACTTTGAGGACTCAGTGGGTGGGGGAAGGGTAGGAGAGAGGTGAGGGATAAAAGACTACATATAGGGTCCAGGGTACACTGCTCAGGTGACGGTGCACCAAAATCTCAGAAATCATCACTAGGAAGAACTTATCCATGTAACCAAATACCAGCTATACCCCAAAAACTATTGAAATAAAAATAAAAATTACACAATAAAAGAGGTCAATTCTGCTACCATGTTTGAAATAAAGTGAAAACAAGTTATCTATAAGATTATACACGATTTATTTGTGGAGTCATTGATTACAAAAACCTTGGGCCATTTTCACCCAATGGCCAGGTAAAAAGTCAATAGCAAATTGGGCCTAAATATTACCTTTTACTGATAAAAAGAGTGAGAATCGATATGATAATATTTATTTCATAATATATATATATTTTAGAAATCTGGGTGTTTAATATTCACTTTATTAATAGGTTAATTCAGTGGAAAAACACATATAAAAAACACAGGTGATTATAATGTAAACTGATGTTACCACACATAGCTATCACATACATTACAATGAAAAGTACCAAAATGTAAATAACAGAAGTAGAACTCTGATGAAACAAAAATCTGAGAAAATACCTCTAAAAGAAGTTGTATAGAGTACCCAAAACAGTTTTATTAATAATGCCAATAATATTTTATTTGCAATGACAATGATATTTTAATTTTTCAGTAAATGTGTAGGAGATTTGAGAATTTTCACTATGGAGATTTATTTATAGTCCATTCATACTGTAGTCCATACAGTATGTATGGTCCATTCATAGTCCATTATACATAGTCCATTATACATAGTCCATTCATATTGTAGACTATGTCCAAAACAATGATGTTTTATTTTAATGTGAACTTTATTAATTCAGAAATTCTCTGACTTCCAAATAAAGCTAACAGCCTTTAAAAATGATATTAACGCCAAAATGGGAATATAAACTCAGTAAGCATTTTTCTTATTTATTTTGTCTGTATAAATTACATGTTGAGATTTATTCACAGATTTCAAAATGACTGAACAGTGTTTAAGATATATTGTATCAGAACTCTAAATAATATTGCAAGTCAATATCTGACCTACATTATTTTCATAACATTCATTTTTACTCAAAACTGAGTGGAATATAGTCAGGTTAATTGCCCTAACTTTCTCTAAGCAAGTTTCAAAGCTTCATATTGGCAGGTGTACCTGTCTTCTGTTAACTGAATATCCCAGGGCCATTTAAGCCTTTAACTATTATTAATTATGGCTGTTAGATTTATACATTATCATAAGAAGCTGGCATCAAGTGGTCTTCCCTCCACTTAGATTTCTCATCAGTTATTCTTATAAGCACATACTCTGAAGTCATTTTTCAACCGAATATAAAGCGAGAAAATTGTAGGCTCTGTGGTTTTGATGGATTATATTGTGCTATATGATTCAGTGCATTATACTATCCTTCAGGTTTTCCCTACATTATTCTTAGCTCAGCTAAATTAGTATTCTGCTTTTGATACTTAAATGTTAAATCCAATTAAATTAAGAAATTTTCCTAGTTTGTATATGATGCATGTTTTAAAATTCAACCACAAATAATGTAACAGGCATATAGACTGGTTTCACTCTTTGTGTTTCACTCTTTCTTTTCCAATTATTTTCTTTGCAGTTTCTGAGCACCTTCTGCATTTTTCTTGGTTTGTAGTGTATATTTCAGTTGGAATTAGGAGAATATTCTGGGACTAAGTGATATTTACCATTCTTCCATTCTGAATTTAGCAATGATAGTTGCCTTTATTGTGCAATCCCTGAACTATTAAACAGTCAATACGGATGGCCTCTGTGTCTACTATCTTAGGGTAGTTTTTCTGTTTTCGTATTTGTTAAGTGGTATCTAAACATCATGAAGTTCCTCTGGATGCAGAAGAGATAAGGCATCAAGACAAGAAATTCTTTCATGCTTAAGTTCTGATAATCAAGATCTTAAGATGCCAAGGCTCCACAGGGAGAAAACGGTAGAGAAGTTCAAAGAACAAAGGGGAAAGATTGAAATGGCATGTTGATTTCTGTCTCTCTGGCATGGTTTCTTCCTTCTGTCCTATATCTCCACCTTCCCGAGGCATACAATACTGATGGTTATGACATTCAACACGGGATTAAGAAAACATAGTGAAAATATTTCTTTAAGGGCCTGAAATTTTCATTATTATTAAATATGGGCGATTCTGGTTCTGGTAACTTTTTACACTTATTTTGAACATTTTTCTAAGGAAGTACTGTGATATAGTAGAAAGACCACTAGGTACTGGTGTTCCTCTGGCTCAGTCCTGGGCATTTTTACTAATATCACTCTCTCTGTGATCCTGGAAGATAGCAGTTGTTTATTTGACTTTAAATAAAATCATAATGTTGGTGACTTCAAATTCATAACTCCAGCTTGAAATTCCCCGTCAGAATCTAGACTTCCATAGCTAGTTTTTTTTACTTGAATTTCATCTGATTCTCATAGGAATCTCAGACTTGCCAAGTGTCAACATGAACTGCTGATTTCCCTCCTGATTCTGTTTTCTACTTTTGCCCAGTCTTCTTCATCTCAGTAATGACCTCAGACACTATTTAGTCACTGGATCAAGCCAGAAAGCCAAGGGGGTCAAGTCACTTGCCTTACTCACCTCTGCACTCCCATCTCTAATCCATCACCATGCCCTTTCAGTTTTATGCGCAAAGTTTGTTCTAATATATCACTTATCTCCACCTCCACCACTGTTTCTAGTTCAATCTTGCACTTCTATTACAGCCCCATCAGTGGTCTCCTCATATCTAATGCTAACCCCCTGTAATTCTTTTCCTAGAGTTGTTAGAGTAATCTTTGTAAAATGTGAATTGAATAATAACATTCTGTGCTTGAAATATGTCAAGTCTATATATCTCTCAAATATCTATCTATCTATCTATCTATCTATCTATCATCTCTCATCTATCTGTGTGTGTTTGAACTCAGTATCTTCCCCTGGTCACTCTGCCTTTTCCTACATTTTTAACTCTTCCTAGAACTTGCAAAGAATTTTCCACCCTTAGGGCTTTTATACACATCATTCCTTGTGCCTGGAAGTGTTATTTGTTTTCCTGGCAGACTATTCCTTTTATTTTAGGTTTCATATTAAATAGCACTTTCTCAAGAGGCCATCCCTGTAGCTTCTGCTGGTTATTTTCTTTCATTCATGTAATTCAAAATGTATTATAATTATTTTTGTATCTACTGTTATCTGCCTATTGCATTACACTATAAGTTTTATGAGGGCCACGCTATGTTTTACTTATTCATCCCCAAATCCCCAGAGTTTAACACAATGGCTACCACATATGGATGCTGTGTAATAAATGTGTATTAACTAAAAGATATGGTTACATATTCCAGTCGTAGTAGTAAATGTGCAGAATTTTTCCCTTTACCAAATGGTTTCAGAAACAGGGCTTTCTGAGTTATCAGGAAAAATCCTCCTTTCTTAAAATCTAACAATATGATAAGGATGCAAATTTTGTGATCTACTATATGCATCTGACATCCCTTTTTGCCATTTTATTAATGTTGTGACTTTGAAAGTGTCAGAAACATCCTGAGTCATTCTTCACATGTAAAATGAGAATATTTATTTGACTAGCAAACCTCTATTGTGTTATAAAGATCTAATGCAATAATGTGCACAAATATGTCTTATGCTAGTAAAACAGACACAAATTTGAAGAATTATTGCTCTGGGCTGTTAGATGTCAATTTGACAATGTGAAGTTTTACTGTGTGTACCATTCTTCTATCTCATTTTCCTGCTTCCAGTTTTCCTGTAATTTCAGATACCAAACATACAAACTAGAATAGTTTGTAAAGTAAAAGTATAGTGTTTCTGAGCAAGTATGAGGAAGAGGATACAGTCTATGAGTACACATATGTGTATTAGTGCATATACTTCATGACTATTATGATCTAGGTAGACAGGTTTGCCTATAGTAGATTTTGGAGATCCAGGGCATATTTTGTCTTTAATCAAGACTGAAGTGAATTTTCATGTATTGCCATTTCATGTATTGCTAGAAAAAGCAAAAGCCCCATGACAACTCGCCAACTATTTGAGCCTACTGGTCATATAATGCATTGCTTTAGAATGAGTCAGTTACAGTCTTAAATAATGTCTTGCTTGTCCAAGTCATGTTTAGCATTTTCTGACTATAATAGTTGAGTATTATATAAAGAGTAATTCTCTTTAAACATCTCTAAAGAATGCCAACCAATTTTTTCTGGTGCAAAGGTGCATCTGAATGGTGCATTGCTTTAACGTTGGTAGTGTCTGAGAATTTTATCATTAAAGAAATTAAACTAAATGATCTACTTTTTTACACAGAGATGATACTTAGTGTTGAATGTTTTGTTTTGTTTTTGCAGTAGAGAGAACATTTGCACCAATATAGCCACATTTTCTCACTTGGTTTTATTCTTTGTTTTGTTTTCAAAGCAAGTGTCTGAGGTCATGAAATGGAGGACAATAACCTGTACTGAATATAAAATAGGAACCATCATTTAGTGAGTATCTCCCTTTTGTCAGCAACTTGACACACATTTTTTTCACAATAATCCTCAGGTAGCTACCCATGACAGACGTTGCAGAGATGATGAACTGGATTCAGAAAAGTTAAGTAACTACTCAAGGTTACACAGCAAATAAATCACACAGATTTATTACTGCCAGGACCTTTTATTTAACTGAACCATTCTGCCTAAAATCTTGGCAGACATAGCTTTGAGCTCTACCCCCTTCTCTCTCTCTCTCTCTCTCTCTCTCTCTCTCTCTCATACACACACACACACACACACACACACACATAAAAGATCTCTTTGAATTAGATGTTAATGAATTTTAGCAAAAGCTCTTAAAATTTTAATTGGATGAGTATCTTGGTGCAGCAGTTCTAGTAGAGGCGACCAGAGCTCCTCCCAGTTCCCTTTCTCTGGTCAGGACAGCACCCATCCACCAGCTACTGGAAGTGTTGGCTGCTAATTGCTCATAGATGTATTTTTTAAAATTACCTTTTGATAAAATCCATTTTGCTTGGAAATGTCTGAGAAATTATGCCTCACCCTCTATACCAGTGGCCTTAACAGCCAGTAGCCGACTGATATGGGGATACAAAGCTTGGTCGCTTTGCCTCTAGATGGGACAACTCTATAGTACTGATCATGTAGCAGAGGTCCTTGTAGGACCAGGCTGACAACAGACTTGAGCTAAAACTTCATCGTCACTTGGCTTCTGTCCCTTCCCTGATCTGCTTCTCTCATTCCATTTGGGTTTCTCTTAAAAGCTCTCTCTTGCATACAAATCCCCATTGCAAAATCTCAAGCTGTTCTAGGGGAACTTGATGTAAGACAGAAGCTTATTGCAGTCTCATTACTTATTTTTTACAATGCATTACAGCAAGAGAGTAATAATCATATATGGGCACAATTTTGTAAACAGAGTATTTTGCTTACCCATGGGTCTCTGTTAACCAGAAGATACAGTGTATGAAAGACACTTAAGAAAAACAAAACCATCCCAAATGCCATAAAATATTAGAACTGTCTCTTTGGAAAAGTACAAAAAAAATAAAGGAATATACAATACTACTAAGTGCAATAAACAGAACAAACTATAGTATATGACAAAGAGAAAAGAAAACAGCTTTTGAAAGAATACATTACAAAAGCATAGCTAAACACAGCTAAATAAACTCTGTGAACAAAATATTATTTTCTCCTCAATTTTGCTCCTGAGACAGCAGAACCAATCTTTCATAGAAGAAACAAATCTCCATTTTTTTCTAAGAAATAGAAAATAAAGAGTTTCACCAGGATTGTAAAGTTACTCGGTAACAAATTTAACATTATTCATTAATTATTTCACACAGGCACTATTTTCTTAAGGCATCAGGAAAAAAGAAACATTAAGGAAAGATGAGCAGTGAAGGAGAAAATGACTACACTGTTCTATATCAATCATTTGCGTGCCTTCCTTAATATATTCTGAACTTGTCACTAATATGAACACCATCACTGGAAAGGTAGAATGCTTCGTTTCTTGAAGCCCTCTAATTTTTGTTCAAATTGTCATAAACTTCTACCTAGAAAGGAATCATAAACTTGCATGTCTTCACAGAGTTTTCAACCTTTGTGGTAAACTCTTTAGCTTCTCTTAGAGCAATATTTATTTACTTCCTTACTAATCCATTCTTTTGTCCTAGTCCTGTTTTTTTTTTCCCAAAGTAATGTCCAATGATTCATTCAGACTGCTTGAATAAGAAACTAATGGAAATGAAGCTCAGGAATTTGCATATTAAAACCATTTTAAGCAAGGATCTTCAAATTGTACGTGTTCCCTTGGGATCACAAATAAATTCTTATAAGTACATGGACACATAACTATACGGAAATCGTTTTCTAGAACCTCAAATTCTATGTGAACTCTTTTTTATGATTGGTTCACAGCATCCTGGTTTTTCCTTTTTTTTTTTTTTTCTTTTTTTTTTTTTGAGACAGAGTCTCACTCTGTTGCCCAGGCTAGAGTGCAATGGCATGATCTTGGATCACTGCAACCTTCGCCTCCCAAGTTCAATCAATTCTCCTCTCTCAGCCTCCCACCTAGCTGTGATTAGGGGCATGCACTACCACACCTGGCTAATTTTTTGTATTTTTAGTGGAGATGGGCTTTCCCTACATTGGTCAAGCTGGTCTGGAACTCCTGACCTCAAGTAATCTGCCCACCTTGGTCTCCCAAAGTGCTGGGATTACAGGAGTGAGCCACCATGCCCGGCCCTGGTTTTTCCTTTCTAACTTCTGTTTTCATCATCACACTTTTCCTACCTTACTAAAGAGGAGCAAATTACTGCTCAAGGTATAACATTAGTTGGTATACCAACGAAGGGGCAATTTGAAAATGCATAGCTCCCACTGGAAGAGTCTAGCAAGGGAACCAAAGAGAGTTCTGATAAGCATTATTGAAAGTGGCTGTGCCTTTTTTCTCACTAAATCAAAAATATCTCAGTGAAGGACCCCTGCTTCTGCTAGGTGGTCTCTGTCCTATCTGTCCATCTATTGATTGATCATTCTCCTCTTCTACAATTCTGTCATTCTGTGATTCTATCTAGAATTCAGAAGAAGAATGGATAATTGAGGTAGGCTTTTCTGACCCATAGTAAGCCTGATTTGGCAGACTGGTTTGATAATGAGGACTGGCTTTTTACCATTTACTATAAATTGAATAATCTAAACCTGTCGCTACAAGCTTTTGACAAATATGTATTTACAGCACTTTTCTATCTTAGCTCAGGCTGCTGTAACAAAGTACCATACGCCAATTAGCTGATAAACAACAACAGTTTATTTCTCACAGTTCTGGAGGCTGGAAGTCCAAGAACAGGGTGCTATCATGAGATCTGGTGAGGGCGCCTTCCTGGTTTGCAGAAGGCCACCTTCTTTCTGTGTCCTCTCAAGGTGAAGAGGGAGCTCCAGGCTCTTTCTCTTCTTATAAGGACATTGATGCCATCATGGGGCCCCCACTCTCATAATGGCATCTAAACCTAAGGCCGCACATCTGAAAACCATCACATTTGGGGGTAGGACATCAACATATGAATTTGAGGCAGACATAAAGATTTGATCTGTGATGATATATCATATACAACAGGCTGGAGATAATAGCCTTTGTAGTCATTTAAATTTGTAAAAATAATTTGAGCTATCAATTGTATACAAGGGTATATAATAGTCTTTGTAGCCATTTAAATTTATAAAAATAATTTGAGCTATCAATTTTATATGAGGGTATATATTCGTTTTCAAAATTTGGGGGCATATATGAAGAAGAAAATTGAAGTGCACTGCTCAAAAATTTTCAAATTATTTCTCCTATATAAATTCCAAAGCAAACAACACAATCTGGCAAGTAGGGAGGAGAGGAAGCTTGTAAAGGTCCCACTCATATTCCCTTTTAATCTTAGTCAACTACCTTTCACTCCAAGAGTAATGCCAGGAGGAGGGGAGAGATTACCAGTATTGAGGCAGACACAGACGAAAGACGTGGAGCATATTCTAGTAACATTGTAGTATGACTGTGTAGAGAGTGACAGGTGTGTGGCTACATATGTCTATATGCATGCATCAAGGTAAAAAGAGAAAAAGGAAAGAGATAAGACAGAGTTTGATAGTGCAAAACAGGAAACTGGAAGATAATTTCAGAGTAGGATGTTCATTCTGGAGACTGGTTCAGTCAATTAAAATTTTTATTCATTCAATTTTTTTCCAACTGTATGATCCCAATTTCGGAAAATTTCAGGTGGCATTTACTAGTTGTTAAAGGGGATTGTTGATAATTTTGATGATGCAAAATATAATCTATAGGAGCTCAGTTTTTGGTAAAGAAGCACATATATCTACTTGAATTACATAAATTAATTTACAAATAAAGGACTTAACTATATAATTAAGTTGATTTTTTAAAAGCACCTCTTAAAAACTTTTCTCTTCCCTAGAGTATTTTCAATAGTTCTATCAAAATATCATGGAGAAAAATGCAAAAAAAAAGGTGTTTATGCATTCAATACAAAAAAAAATCATGTTTAGCATTTGCTGCTTTGGTGATAGTCTCCTAGGATCACATTTCACTGTAGTCTTGAAAAATTCTCCCAATTCAAGCCCTTATTTTAAAATATGCAAAATGCACAGGTACATAGAGCTTTGTCCAGAGAAAAGAAGACTGTTTACCTGACTGGCATTTAAAATGGTTATCAAAAACTTCTCAACATTACTTGCAGCAGAAAAATCATGAATGTCCTGGCAGAGACAATGATAAACCTAGCTGACATGAAAAATAAGATGCATTCAGTGTTTAATAGCTTTGGTGATTTTTTTTTTAATGTGAACTGCATGTTTCCTAAAATTCCCCTTTAGTCTTCTGTTCTCAAAAGCCAGCTCTCTCATTATTATTCCACATTAGTTCCATTTGCTAGTTTGATGACTAAAGGCCTGGTGGCCAGATGCAAATTCTGCTTTATGATGTTAATTTAACATCAGATGTTGTGAGTCTGTCATTCGCCAAAAGCTTACAGGAGTCTCACAATCATTTTGAGAAGTACTGCACAAATCTATGCAATACAACATACTTATACAAATGGATTTGTTAGTTCTGAAAGTGAACATTCACCCAACTAAAAGGTAAAAAGACCACGATTCCTTTGTAAAGAGTTGAGGTCTTTCCTGGACAAGAGATGTTGCTATGTATAAAATGTTACCTGTTTCCTCCTAAATCACACCCAGACTGACACACCTTGCTATAAATGAAGCACAGAAAGGGATGCAGGACCCCACACTTGAATCAGTAAGTGATTATCATCAAATTAGTTGATGACTGCTATGAGTAAAGGATGAGTTAAAAAATAGATGTGTTGCTTAAGAAGTGTGGAAGTAATTGCAGTAACAGAGATTTTCAAATTTGAAAAATAGCAGTTCAGTGTAATATCAAAAGAATTCCTAAAATTAGTATTCAGAACCACAGCAGGTAAATATAAGGATAGGAAGAGACTTAGAAGTAAAGATATCTCACCTCTGAAGACTGAGCAATTGCATTTGCAAAGAGTTTGCATTTTTATGGATATGAAGAAATACTCTATGTGGATTAGGTACCAAAGAATGTTTGGTTTTGAAATACAGAGAAATAGATCCAGATATTTAGTTTAATAAGTCCCTTTTATTCTAAACTATGGAATTTCAATTATTTTAATTTATGGTTTGAAGAATCAGATCTAAATGTAATTTTCAGACACTGCACTATGATTGTGCATAAACAAAGATTAAGTGCAGGTGACACATACTTTGTAATACAGTGCTTGGCAAATGGTACTTGCTTTATAAATGTGTGGAATGTATATACAACATCTTTGAGAGACTGTATGCAATAAGACAAAATTTCCCTTTAGATCCTCATTACACTTTCAAATATACTTAATGGCCTAACTAGTCCTTTATTGGCAATGCCTTTTGAATTTCCTTTGTAGACTTTCATTCTAGCCTTGGCAAATGAATCTCACATGGTCAAGTGAGAGATTGAGCTACATGAGATGTGGGTATCCAGGGAGAAGTGGATATGCAAAGAAAGGGATGATATGGGCAGAGGAGGGGCAGACACTCTGACCTATCTATCCCAGTTTCTCATAACTTGGGCTTCTTATGGTTCTGGATGGAACTGCTGCAATAAACCGTCAGCATTTAAAGTCATATGTTCTCAAGGTCCATCCAATACAAAAATCGCTTAAATAGTAGTGCATTTTGATATTAAAGGAGAAGAGGTATGGCTAGAGAGAATAGCTCAAAGTACTACTTTGTCCGAAAGTTTGGAGCCTATTTCATTTTGTTTACATTTTTTTTTCTTCCTCATTTCATCCTTTCCTCCGACCAGAAAAAAAAAAAGGTTAAGCGATATGGAGTTATAAGAGTAACCTGAAAAACTGGACAGCTTAGATAGCCAAGATTTGGTTAGGCGGATTTGTCTTAACCTGAGGTTTGTTATGGCAGACATTATTGTTTACATGACTAATTCCCAGACTTTTTCTTCCTTGCTGTCTTCTGCTACAGTGGATGAAAAAGCCTGTTTCTCAGCTTCCGTTCAAGCTAGGGGAGATGATATTGTTCATATGGGCCAGTAAGATGTTAGTTTAATTGCTAATAAAATGTAGAAAAACTCTTGCTTTCTGATAAAAGGGACAATTCTTTTTGAATGAATTAATGGGTAGATGAATGAGTACTTAGATTTAATAATCATAGCTAAGGAAAACATTTGTTTGCCAAGATTTTACTTTCCCTTTTTGAATTGATTTACATCAACTTGCCCATATAAAATATTGCTAGGTAACACATAGCATAGTACCTCTCACCTATGAAGCACCTAGACAAAAGTGAAAGAATAATTGAGAAGTATTTGAAACAAGAGATTACTATGGATTAAAACAGGAATATACCGGAACTTTGTGTGTGTGTGTGTGTGGGGATATATATTGGTGTATGTACTTACACTTAACGTATAACTATTTTTGCAAATGAGAGTACGCCCATATAGTGTCCTACCATAGTGGTTCCTCAAGTGTAAACTTTGAAAGCTTCTATTTATCCCTCCTGTTGAAACTACTTGCAGCCAGGTGCAGTGGCTCATGCCTGTAATCCCAGCACTTTGGGAGGCCAAGGTGGGTGGATCACCTAAGGTAAGGATTTCAAGACCAGCCTGGCCAAAATGGCAAAACCCTGTCTCTACTAAAACAAAATACAGAAATTAGCCTCGCATGGTGGCACAGGCCTGTAGTCCCAGCTACTTGGGAGGCTGAGGCAGGACAATTGCTTGAACACAGGGGGCAGAGGTTGCAGTGAGCTGAGATCGTGCCATTGCACTCCAGCCTGGGTGACAGAGTGAGACTCCATTTCAAAAAAAAAACAAAAAAACAAAAAAACAACTACTTGCATATTGCATGTTTCTGTATTGAGCTCTTTTTTATCCCATAGGAGAGGAATTTTGACAATTTGTAGTGTACTTAGTCAGGTTAGTATTCATTACCTCCATCTATTCCTTCTCTTTGGAGTGACATGTATGCTCCAGAACACTTATGTCATGTTATTTCAGTGGAAGGAGGGGGAAGCTGTATGGTTCTCAGCCATGGTTATTCATCCAGATTCTACAGATTCATCTGTAACTCTTCTAATTCTCTGGACGTACAATTTTTCCTACATTTTACTAAATAATTTCATCATCTTCACTCCTCATTCTTCTCAAGCCCCAATGACTTTCATCTTCCCCTCTCTCCTGCCCCTGCCCATGGAGTCTTTATTTGCTTAGAAGAAGGAAAAACTCAGAGTAATTAGATTCTCATAAATCTTTCCTTCATATACCTGGACCATGCATTTTAACTTCAGAGGTGACAATCTTATGCTTTATACTCCAGCTTCACTGTGAGCTATGAGACTCCTCCTGTGGCAGTGGGGAGCTTATTCAACACAGTTCTGTGGTGGAAGACAATGTGGTAGGGTGAAGGTGTCAGGGAATTCTTTTAATACTTGACAATATAATTCCCCAGTTTATCCAGTAATGCTTGTTGAAAGAATCATTTAATTTTCAGCTCATATTCTTTGTTATCAATTCAACTTTTATTTTTTGAACATTATTTTATGCCTGGTACAGTGCTGGGTATTTATGAACAGAGTGCTGTAGAAGACAAACAAGGACTCTGCCCTAACAGAACTTACATTATAGTGGGGGAGATAGGTTGCTAACAGTTAAAGGAATAGAAAAACAAGATGAGTATGGATTGTGAAACATGATATAAAGGAAACAAACAGGATGAAAGGCTAAAAGGGCATATCTTGTTGGGTGTGTATTGTGGGGCTGCTTTGGATATAGTGGTCAGGTCCCTCTGCTCTCTGGTCTCCACATGACCATACATCTGTTCCATTTAGCCTTTGCCCCTTTGTCACAGACTACGCAGGCACACTTGGACAGGTCTCCAATAATTCTGTCTCTGTCTGGCCTGCAAGTTTTGCTTGCTCTGTGACACCTTCTCACATCACTCCAGTTTATGTACAGTTGTCCATTCTTCGAAATTTAAAAAATACATTTATGTAACTGTTTAATGTTTAAAAAAATACCTCTTTGTAATTTCTCTAGTTTTCTTGATGTGCAGTTTATCTCATCATCATTCTGTAGACTTTTTTTTTTATCACATAGGAATTCTTTCAGGGACATTTAAGACAGGTATATCTATTTATGCGAATTTATTTTATTCTGTTTCTTATTTTGGTCCAAATTAGTATTCTCATTTCCAAACACAAACTGCTTCTACCCAGTAACTAAGAAATAAGCTTCTGTACAATAACCATAAATTATCAGGTGCATATTATGTGGTAGGAATTGTGTTCACTGATTTACATAAAATGTCTCATTTTATGCATATAATAACCTTATGAGATAGGTAGACCCAAGCTCAGAAAGGTTATTTTCTTGAATTGTCTATGTTAGATTACAGTGGAGTGTGCTTAGAAAGCAGTGAGCCTCTAGAACGAGCACTTTTCAAAGCATTTTTCAGCCTCTGCAAATAAGCCTATTTTTTTCATGCAAGCAAATTACCTTTGTCAATAAGCTATGCATGTTAATTATGAATGTTAATAAGGACAACTGATTATTGAGATTAATAATCAATGTAATCCTAAAAGGCCCAGCTGCTATATTTTTATATCCATAGAATATTCTAAATGCAAAAGCAAAAAAAAAATTTTTAAAGACAAAATTTTCATTTCTATTTTGTCATTAAACTACTTAAATTTTAGTGAAGACTTTATTTTGAAATTAAAATTTATTGGACAGAAGACTATTTCCCTAAAATTTAAATGGCTAAAAAGCAAAAATTGGAAAGCTTTAAGTTTTCAGTGATAAAAGTGATTTGTTGAATTATATGGCAATAATTATACTTATAAATCCTACTATGAGATCAGTCAGCCATGTGCTGCCCTTTAAAAGAAACCAAAACTGCTGACAGATGTCTGCGAGCTATCAGGCAATAAGATTTTTATCAAATTATGACCTTTTGTTTTTGGCCCTGAAACTGTTTGCAGATTCCCCCTTAAGTAATGCACAGGTAATATTCAAGCAATAGTTAGCCTCATAACGTACCACAGTTCTCCCTGAGAATGTTGTGGGGTGACAAAAGAAATGTCTTTTTTTTGCTGTCATTTAAAGCAAAACAAATCAGTGTAAACATTAATATTTTATGAGTGAGCCTAGCTAACCCAATTACATTAAAAGTAAACTAGTAAAAATTGGCAATTATAGAGACACTATAGTTGGGATGAGTGGCTGTTAGTATTACTAATAAAGCTTGAAAAGCTTTCAACTAACTTTACATTTATATGACAAAAATAATCCTTGGTGAGTTTTAATATCCAATAATTATAATAAAATTTTATTTAAATGGTATACCAAGAATTATGCATTTTATCATCAAAATGACAAACAAAAGAAACAAGAAATGCAGAGAGATGTTTACCACATGTCAGTGAAGAACAAAAATATCAGACTATAAGCATATTTATTTCATATGATATATGGTTGGCAAACTGGCTCTGGTTTGCCAACTCTTTGTTAATGGTCCATGATAAGTATATAAATTGAAAATAAACATTTAGAATGTGTACTATAAATACATGTATAGTAAAGACCACAGTTAGAATAGCATGGACCTAAATGGTATTGAGATAATGAGTCAAGATTTATGTCAAAACCCCCAAATGTTTTAAGATATGTACTTATCCTGTATGGAGCTTAAATTTGCCTCAACCACTTGTGATTGCTTCTTTATAATCTCAGATGGGGTAATCTATACACGGAGGCTTCGGTGAAGCCTTTCATTGGTCTTCATAAAAGCACATTTGAGGAAAAGACAAGCAGGCTCTCACTGCAAGTTTGGACTACACAGATGACGAAAATATTATCAGCCAGGACAGGTTTCTAAGCTGAGCTAAAATGAGACAGGAGTGATAGGGCTGACCTATCTCCAGCACCCTTGTCCCTGCTTCCCTTTCATCATGGTTTGCCATGTAACAAAGTTCAAGCCAATTAGGTATAAACAAAAGTGTGTTATGGTTTTTCTGGAAGAGCTTCTGCTTTCTTTATTGAAGAAAAATGAGCCACTTCACTCCTTTTCCTGACTTGAACAAGCTGAGAGCCATAGTAGCCACATTTTAGCTGAGAGTAAAAGGGCCGAGAGACTTGCAGAGGTGTACACCCTGATGTCATTGAGCCTTCACACCAATAATAGTAGCTCTTGTCTCCAGAATCCTTGTTATCTAAGAAAAATAGCCCCTATTTTTAAAGCTTCTCTTCACCAGTAATTCTCCTCTTTGTCCCTGAGTGAAAGTCTGTCTATAATAGGGCATAGTAATCTCAAGAAGTAAATTTAGGCATGATATGGGGACAGAAATGGATCTGCTTCAGGTTAAGTCTGAGTTCAGATAACCACAAATAGAAAAATATGTAGTAGATGTATGGATTTTCAAAGTGAGGGAAGCGGGCAGTAATTCAAATAGGGATGGTACATTTAGGTATACAAAGGAATATTTTTAAAAGAGGAAGAATAATGAAACTGGAGATTATCACTAATTTACTGTATTAGGAAAATAACCAATGGTTAGAGTCATTGATTCCTCTAACAAGTATTTGTGTATTTACTATATGCCAGGCACTTCATCGCTATGACCTCTTCTAGAGTTCCTTATAATTGGGATATAAGAAGCACATAATTGATGGCCACAGTAATAAAATAAAATTTAAAGTGTATGTCATATTATTTTTTTCAAAATTTTTCTGAAGTTTGGAAAAAATCTGAGCAATGTGATCTGATATTTATGTACAATAAAGTGACATGATTCTGGCACCTTGTAAGGAGATCGTTTCTTACAATTGCTAAAATACAGAGCAAGTATAAAAACCACAGAATCTACTGGAGCAATTATTTTGGTCTTTATCCCAATTTATAACATTAATATTTATATATCTTGTATATCTCTAGCTTCCTGGCTTACTCATCAGGTAACAGCCATGAAAGGATTAAAGGTAAACAAAGAAACAAAAAGCAACTAACTTTGACTTAAAGATTTGCAGTCCTTTTCATCCCTATTATAAAATACATTTACCTAAGGTACATGTCTATAATCTTGTAGCATTTATATTGGACAGAAGAAACAATTGTGAGACTGGCTGTTACTTTTTAATCTTAGTTGTGTAACGCACATATTAGTCCATCTGTTCATTATTCACATCAATTTTAGACTATATACTTTGAAAAGGCATAGACGGTATTTAAGAATATCCAGTGTACTACTGGAGGCATTGGTATATTTAGTTTTAAAATCAAGAAAACTGATTACCCAGAGTCTCAAACTTATAAGAATAATAAAATAAACAAACTGATAACAACAGAGCTTGTTATCTGGTATGGAATATTTCTAGGATCTTTGATTTTATTACTTTCCCTTCTTTTGTTATATATATACATGTACAATATATATATGTATATATATTTAAATCTCCAGCAAAAGGTAGAGAGAAGAAAGAGATAAACTGTCAGTTCATTTTATTCCATGATCAAGTAGAAAACATTTAAAAGATTAAAGACCATGAAGCTTTTTAGATAACATAGGGCTTTAAATCACTGTTGCATTTTCTGTTCTCAATGAGTTTGTACGTGTATGAAGAGTATGTGTGTGCTGGTGGTGGCTGAATTTAACAGCATGCAGTTGTGATGCCTAGAGGCCATCTAGAAAAGCACTTTAAGTCACTGTGATGCAAGAGGCATGGTAGATAGAGAGCCTTTCAACCACAACTTTGACTAGGTCAAATCGTCTTTTTCCTATTGTTTACACTTTAATGTAAAAATTAAACACATCTACTTGACTACTGGGTACTTGCTGGGCTAAAATATACAATTTTACATCTTATGGAAGTGACAATGGCAGAGAATTGCAAGACTCTTTGCTTTATGGAATTTAAACTTAGATGTGTAAAGAATGCAGTAAGAGTGGAGGAAGAAAAGAAGAAAAAGGATTTAGAGAGAGACGGCCTCTAGCAAAGCTTGCACCCTGGATAGAGAATATCTGTGAGTGGAGCAGATTTTACATGTGCCCTCATTATGTTTCTTCATGGTGTTCATATATAGAATTGGTGGCCAGCAGAGGCAGGCAGTGAGAAAAAGGACTGCTTATAAGATAGGAAGCTACGTCTAAAGCTCCCCTGGGATGCCTTGGGATGCCTTGAAAATCCCATCATACTTTCTGTCATGTCAAGTTAGAGGCCTCTATTTTGTACCATTCCTTTAGCCAAGAAGTATGACTTCCCTTTTCTCTGTTCATTACATCATGTTCAGTTCTTATTTCTGTCTGTTAGTACTAGGCAGAGAGGGACACAAATTGAAAATATAAAAATCACATTTCTCATGTTAGATATTCCTTTGTTACATCTACTCACATTTATTGCTTCTCTTTCTTCTCAGATGTTCTCTGTTAAGCTATGTTCTGACTATTGCTAATTTAATGCCTTTCAAGCAATATTTATGTCATTTTTATAAAATTATTTCTAAATTTATTTGGAAAACAAACTATGCTAAGTAAAATTACCCAGAAGTCTTGTTTACTTTTGGATGGTACATAATAACTATCTTTAATAAAACTGAAAACTAAACCAATCGGGGGCAACTTTAACTGAGAGACAACAGAAGTTTGTAATAAAATCCACTCAAGGCCCAAAATGATCCCAGGTTGGTTTGGCATGAGTTTAAACTAGGTAAAGATTAAAGGTCACGTTGCATCTAGCCCAATGTGAGAACTTTCAGATTCAATATGAGTTGTTAATTATTCCGAAAATATTCTTTAGGTATAAGAAAAATCTAATCCTGGAACCACTATCAGAGCCCATACTGCAAAGAAATAATTTACAATTTGCACTTAATTATAAAAATATGTGTCTAGGTGTCTTAACTCCAAGTATACATCCTTTTTCTTACTTTGGTGATTATTCTGTATCAGTGCAGTGCATATTGCTTTCCTGAATGCTACCTTGTTTTTATGGCACTAACTTGTCATTTAAAGGAAGGATGAATACTGACTACAAAGAAAAAGTTTGTTGGTAATTAAATAAGATGGAAATTATTATCTATTTATAGCTTATTGAATTTATTTTGGAAATACTTGGATACTAAATACTATTCTAATGATTATAACAGGACTATATATCTGAGTTATTTTGATGATCAACTGTCCTTTTGCACTGAAATATCACAGCCATTAATTGTTAACTCATAGATCACTGTGGCAACATATGAACAAAGAGGGCTAGAACAAAAAATTTCCACTCTGCTCTGGACAAATTCCCTAAATACCATGAAATATGCAGAAATGTCAGGCTTGCCGCATTCTTCCCTCAACATATGTATAAAACATATAAACTCAAGCATACACCACTGGGTAAGTTCCCAGTTTCCCTCTGAATTACTCCCCAGTTGCAGGAAATATAGGTATTATAATTTCTGGTGGTTTTAAAATATACATTGTCATATTTAGTAAAACAGTAGTTTGTCATGAAATGGGAAGGAGGGATGAAAGATGCAGAATATTATTTATCTGTGTAATTTCGCATATACCCATACTATTTATCTAAGAGGTTTTATATAAAATTGACAGTCTTTTCCTGAATAACTGCTAACCCAGAATGGCTTAGTAATAGCTGAACTATTCTAACACCATTTACATGTTTTTCCAAAACATAATATTACATATAAACTGTTAAATTCTAAGCACATAAAACCATTTATTTTCCACTCATAATGTTCAGTATGATTTGAAATTAAATTTAAATTTAAATGTAATTGACAAATACCAGTTGGCTTACTGTTGCAAATAAACCTAGACTCCCAAATACATGTAAATATTTTTGGATAGTTATTGTCCACAAGAAAGCCTCCTGTAGCCATACATTTATCTAAGCACATTCATATCTATTCTATTGAGAGCACTGTCTATCGGATTCATTTTATTTCACCTCTTAAGTTATCTAGTGCCACATTTGCTGATTCTCTAAAAAGCAACCCAGTTTAGAAAACAGAAAGAAATGAAGACAGGAGAGACCATTTTGTAGAGAAAAGTGTTTTTGACGTCATGGAGCAATTCTTTGTGGAAGAGGGAATGCTCCTCTGAGAAAAGAGGTGGCTGCAAACAGATGGTCTTTGCTAAGTTAAACTGACAAGACTACAGGTAACTGGTTTCTTCTATAAAAGAAGCAGTATATACGCTGGGGTTTCAGCACCACAGTGCCTAATTATTCCTGACATATTGCCCATTTCGTATGCTTACAATATTATGGCCAAACAGAAAAAAAAAATTATACCAACTGATAGCATAAAACTCAATGGAAACAATGCAGGCTATAAAAAAATTGACCAGAGAATTGGATCTTTTAGATCACAGGTCCAGCTTTTCTAATTTGGCAAATGGTGAAAAACAAATACTATTGCAACAAATTCCTACAGGCTAGATGATTTTGTTTTGGTTTTATACACTTAAATTTTGTGTTACTAAATATTTCTAAAAGTAGAGAAGTGATTAGAGTTTGGCAATATTTTCATTACTCAGGTATTGTAGTTTTATAGTGATTGTAGATTGTAGAGTGGGTCATCTTAGTTTGCAAAAGAAATGTTCATACGTCAAAAGAAAATTGTATAAGCTTTCTACTAAATGACGGTAACAACTGGGCTTTTATTTACACGCTATATATAATAAACTATATATTATTTGCATGCATACTATATATAATAAACACTTCTAGGAAGATTTTCAGAAGGATACATTTTCAAAATATGTTTCTTTCTGATAAAAATCATCAAAATGTTTTTGTAAGGAAATTCAGCTTCGAATACTGGGTAATAGAAATTAGAAATATTACTTTAATATTTTTCAAAACACTGGGTGTGCTACAAAACAAACTTAGTTGTATGTGCACGTGTGCTCTATTTATGATATTTGTTATCGACATATTTTCCTGCATGTGAATCAGCCTCATTACTCTATAGACATTCAAAAGCAATATAGACTTAAAGATCATCTTGAAAATCACTTTTTGATTCACTCTATTCACTCAAGAAATTTCTTGTTTTTATTTCTTGTTAGCAAGTTCTAGCTTTGGAGTAAAACACCCACATCCAGATGTTTCCTCAGCACAAGCGTGCTGAACCAGTACCATAGTATTTTTTGTTCAACCACCTGTTTATTAGCATCTGTTTCTAATTTTATATATGCAGTTTTTCACATTGATTACCCTCACTTTCATTATTTCACAAACTACATAATATAGCAACCATTAAACTCCTACATTCCAATTTCCTAGATTGGTTTATTATAAAAATATAGCACAGTGTTTGCAAAACTCTGATATCTCCTGTCTGAAGAAAGATAATTCAGTCAAATAAGAACGTTTTATTCTCAAAATACCCTAGTTAGGTATATTTAGATTTAATGACATTTTAAAAATAAGCTAATTTGGGTTAATAAAAGTAAGTACCTATATTTCCTCTCAGTTTCTTCTGTGTAAATGTATTTGAAAATATATATAAACACAAATATATCTACTTGAGTTTATATGTACAAATAAAGTATGAATATATATATATATATATATATATATATATATATATATATACATACACTTTGTGAAGTTAGATATAACAATTCTGGCCATATATATATATATATATGTATATATATATATATGTATATATATATTCTGCTTTTTTAACTTAAAATTTACCTTGAACTTTTCTCCATAATTAAGACATATAAAATATTTACTTATAGGAACAAACTTATGGTTTTTATTAATTATTATAAAACTTCATTGTTTGTTAGGTTAATTTGATACTAGCAGAGGTACTATAAATACTCAGCAAACTACAGTGCTAAGTACTAAGCCATTCTGTAACACATCAATGTACAACGGAAAGCAAATATAACTTCCATAAGAAGCATTTTTGTTTCACAAAAAACCTACCTTCTGTCATAATTCTTACAAAGATGACAAAAGAATTTATTTCGCCTAAAAAATAGAGTTGGGAGAAAAAGTGAGGGAGTGATATTAGAAAAAGTACTATTTGAATAGAATATTAAAGAATGAATCAGGGTTTGCCAGGCAGAAGCAGGAAAGTCACAGCAAAGATGTAAAATCCTGAGAATTCCTGGAATACTAGAGAATTGCTGGTAGAACCATAGGTCCCATTAAGAATTTTAAAAAATGGAACTGTCACCATTAAGTCAATCTTTTTAAAGACAATTCATCTAAAGGGTTAGATTTTGAACCTATTCTGCAAGCAAAATAGATACATTTGGTAATGGTCCATATGTTAAGAAAAAGAAGTTAAGGAAAATTCAGGGACTTTGAGCTTAGGCAATGGTATGAATGATGCTCCTTTCTGCAGGAAATAGGGTCTAGGTGTCTAATAGGACAATAATTTCATATCCATTGGCAAGAAAAATGGTTTTAGTTTTCATATAAATATCATAAGCTCACATACTGAGAATTGTGTTTAAGAGATTTATTCCAAACATAATTCTTGAAATAATCTTAATTCTTAAATAATTCTATATTCATCAGCACTCCAGAAGTGAGGGTTTTTCCCCAATTATAACTGAATATAGATATACCACAAATAGAAATTTTTTTAAAAAAAGCTTAGCATAAAATTCTGGCTCCGGAGATACGTTAATAAAGTCTAGAAAAGCCAGTGTAATTTTAAAAAATTGATAGCACATATTTTTTTGCCAAAGAACTATTTTTAGATACATATATAAAACACACACACACACACATTCAATAAATTCCACTAGAGACTCTTAAGGGCACTAGTGGAATTTGCTCTAGAGTAAGCATACATGGAAAATTTTAAAAGAAATTGACCATCACTGTACTTCTATTGTTATATGAAATACTTGAATAAAGACTCAGGGGAAGATTGTCTTACCGAGCTCCCAAGGGAAAATAATATACAACTATACATTCTTTGGAATCAAAGGAACAGGAAAGGAATCTTTTTGTTAGCTTACCTTTAAAAATTCACAAAATTATAGGGTTATTTCATTTTCTTTGTGCATAGACAGAGCAGCCATTTGTTAAAATAAATCTTTGAAAGACCGCTTAGTAGCCTACTTGGAAAACTACAGCTACAGGATAGAGTGAACAGATAAGAGGGGCATATTAAGATCTGTTTGGAGGATTTTTTTTCATTGTAAGTTTTATGATATTCTACAGGTATATCCTGTAGTTTTCAAACCTGGCATTTATTTTTATGGATGACTATCTATAGCACCTCTAGCTAGCAATAATATTGTTTTTTTTTTAAAAAAAGAAGTTTCTTTCCTTTACAGTATCTTAACATTTATCTACTTAGATATTGTTCATTTGGATCCATTTCACCACATAGTTATTTGTCAGGAAATGGTGGTAAATGCTATATTTGAGGACATTGTCATCAACAAAAGCCTTTAATAAACCTGTATTTAATCTGAAGGTATCCATACATTAAAAGATGAATTTATCAGTGGAATACAAATTAGTATATTATAATAGCTCCTTGGCAAAGTATAATTTTATTTATAAGCAGTAAAAATGTTTTTATTATGGGATATTCCAAGTAAATCACAACATATAAAATGGCTAACACATTAATTCTCATTGCTGTTTCCCTCCCATTCCCCACAACCAAACACCACTGCCTCATATGACAAAGTACTCTCATCTGCACCTTTATACATAAAGAAACTTAACTACTGAAGGATTCAAAATTTTATTCAAGGCCATCAAATTACAACAAAAAGGAAGAAGAATTTTATACTGATTATAATGATTTATCAGTTTTTTCTCCTTGCTGTTCTGACCAGGAACTGTTTTCTTGCTTTTTAATGTATTAAACTAAAAGTAGTCTGAAATAACTGATTTTTTAAAAGCATATATATTGTTTGATCAACCTAACCTCTATCACCCCTTCTTTTGACATTGCTCTTTTTTGTTTTGGCTTTGAGGTGTCTTCCCATGTCTCATTGGGTAAAATCTTAGAGGACTGTCAATCAAGATACCCCGATCTCCACTAGCCAAGAGGAAGTGCTCTGCTAATCAGATGTTCTTTTCTTTAATTCAAATCTTGAATGGAATAACACCTGGACAGAAAGTGGCTAGAGCCATCTCATCTTGAGATGAGACGTACTCATGTTGACAGTACTCAGAAGACCACATTCATCAATCCAATTCCTTTTATTCACAGAATTTCTCTGATTCATATATATATATTTCTTTATATATATATTTCTTTATATATATATTTCTTTATATATATACACATTTCTTTATATATATACATTTCTTTATATATATATATACATTTCTTTATATATATATATACACACATTTCTTTATATATATATATATTTCTTTATTCCTGGTTCCTCAATTTAACCTTCTTTCGAATTCTGCAAACTGCATCATATCCTTCTAATCTATTTCTTTCTTAGGAGAGATAGCAGAATCAATTTCTGTTGACTGCAACCCAAGAATTATAGCTGATAAAGTAACAATTTACAGGTTCAGGTAGACACAGGTTGACTCTCCACTGAAGATTCAGACTGGCTTCTGCAGGGTAGAGTTGTGGCTCGAAAATGGCTACTATGCCAAGGAATACAGTTCTCAGTCTCCTTTTTATCTAGGCAGGGTATGGAACTAGTACTTGCTAACTGAATGAAGTGGTTATTTATTGAGGGCCTCTGGCCCTAGTAGTGGAAAATATTTATTTTAGATTCGTGCAAAAGTGATGAAGAAAGCTTTCCCTATCTTTTCCTGTCCACTGGCTAGATGTTTATGCCCAGAGTGACCTTTGAAGCTAAATACTGAAAATGGAACAGCCTTTGCCATCCTGGGCTACTGAAATACTGTATGTATGGCACAGAATCCTTCTCACATTGGATTGATGTGAGTGAGAAGTAAATATTGATGATGTTAAGCCATTAATTTTTGCATTAATTTCTTTCAGCACTTAACATTAAACTAATACCTGCAGGCAACATTAACTGAACTGTTTCAACATTAATAACTTCTCTTCACGTCCCTTGTAAGTTGGATTCCTAGGTATTTTATTCTCTTTGAAGCAATTGTGAATGGGAGTTCACTCATGATTTGGCTTTCTGTTTGTCTGTTACTGGTGTATAAGAATGCTTGTGATTTTTGTACATTGATTTTGTATCCTGAGACTTTGTTGAAGTTGCTTATCAGCTTAAGGAGATTTTGGGCTGAGACAATGGGGTTTTCTAGATATACAATCATGTCATCTGCAAACAGGGACAATTTGACTTCCTCTTTTCCTAATTGAATACCCTTTATTTCCTTCTCCTGTCTAATTGCCCTGGCCAGAACTTCCAACACTATGTTGAATAGGAGTAGTGAGAGAGGGCATCCCTGTCTTGTGCCAGTTTTCAAAGGGAATGCTTCCAGTTTTTGCCCATTCAGTATGATATTGGCTGTGGGTTTGTCATAGATAGATAGCTCTTATTATTTTGAGATACGTCCCATCAATACCGTATTTATTGAGAGTTTTTAGCATGAAGGATTGTTGAATTTTGTCAAAGGCCTTTTCTGCATCTATTGAGATAATCATGTGGTTTTTGTCTTTGGTTCTGTTTATATGCTGGATTACATTTATTGATTTGCATATATTGAACCAGCCTTGCATCCCAGGGATGAAGCCCACTTGATCATGGTGGATAAGCTTTTTGATGTGCTGCTGGATTCGGCTTGCCAGTATTTTACTGCAGATTTTTGCATCAATGTTCATCAAGGATATTGGTCTAAAATTCTCTTTTTTGGTTGTGTCTCTGCCTGGCTTTGGTATCAGGATGATGCTGGCCTCATAAAATGAGTTAGGGAGGATTCCCTCTTTTTCTATTGATTGGAATAGTTTCAGAAGGAATGGTACCAGTTCCTCCTTGTAGCTCTGGTAGAATTCGTCTGTGAATCCATCTGGTCCTGGACTCTTTTTGGTTGGTAAGCTATTGATTATTGCCACAATTTCAGAGCCTGTTATTGGTCTATTCAGAGATTCAACTTCTTCCTGACTTCATACTATACTACAAGGCTACAGTAACCAAAACAGCATGGTACTGGTACCAAAACAGAGATATAGATCAATGGAACAGAACAGAGCCCTCAGAAATAACGCCGCATATCTACAATTATCTGATCTTTGACAAACCTGACAAAAACAAGCAACGGGGAAAGGATTCCCTATTTAATAAATGGTGCTGGGAAAACTGGCTAGCCATATGTAGAAAGCTGAAACTGGATCCCTTCCTCACACCTTATACAAAAATTAATTCAAGATGGATTAAAGACTTAAATGTTAGACCTAAAACCATAAAAACCCTAGAAGAAAACCTACGCATTACCATTCAGGACATAGGCATGGGCAAGGACTTCATGTCTAAAACACCAAAAGCAACGGCAACAAAAGCCAAAATTGACAAATGGGATCTCATTAAACTAAAGAGCTTCTGCACAGCAAAAGAAACTACCATCAGAGTGAACAGGCAACCTACAAAATGGGAGAAAATTTTCGCAACCTACTCATCTGACAAAGGGCTAATATCCAGAATCTACAATGAACTCAAACAAATTTACAAGAAAAAAACAACCCCATCCAACAGTGGGCAAGGGACATGAACAGACACTTCTCAAAAGAAGACATTTATGCAGCCAAAAAACACATGAAAAAATGTTCACCATCACTGGCCATCAGAGAAATGCAAATCAAAACCACAATGAGATACCATCTCACACCAGTTAGAATGGTGATCATTAAAAAGTCAGGAAACAACAGGTGCTGGAGAGGATGTGGAGAAATAGGAACACTTTTACACTGTTGGTGGGACTGTAAACTAGTTCAACCCTTGTGGAAGTCAGTGTGGCGATTCCTCAGGGATCTAGAACTAGAAATACCATTTGACCCAGCCATCCCACTACTGGGTATATACCCAAAGGACTATAAATCATGCTGCTATAAGGACACATGCACACGTATGTTTATTGCGGCACTATTCACAACAGCAAAGACTTGGAACCAACCCAAATGTCCGTCAATGATAGACTGTATTAAGAAAATGTGGCACATATACACCATGGAATACTATGCAGTGCAGCCATAAAACGTGATGAGTTCATGTCCTTTGTAGGGACATGGATGAAATTGGAAATCATCATTCTCAGTAAACTATCACAAGGACAAAAAACCAAACACCGCATGTTCTCACTCATAGGTGGGAATTGAACAATGAGAACACATGGACACAGGAAGGGGAACATCACACTCTGGGGACTGTTGTGGGGTAGGGGAAGTGGGGAGGGATAGCATTAGGAGATATACCTAATGCTAAATGACGAGTTAATGGGTGCAGCACACCAGCATGGCACATGTATACATATGTAACTAACCTGCACATTGTGCACATGTAACCTAAAACTTTAAGTATAATAATAATAAAATTTAAAAAAAAAACAAAGTATGCAGGATAAATCAGAGATCTAATGTGTAACATGAGATGCAATTCTATGTTAGATATTTTTGTTAAATAAGTAGATTTTAGCTGATCTTGTCTCAGAAAAGTAATTACGTAAAGTGATGAATATGTTGATCTGCTTCACTATAGTAACCATTTATCTATATGTACCCCATACATCATGTTGTAAATCTCAAATATACACAATAAAATGTATTTTAAAAAGAAAAAAACATTAATAACTTTTCACTTAAAATATATGTTTACTTATTTATTGTTCTTAAGGAATTTTATGATACTTGATGCACCAGTATCAGTTGCAAATCAGCATCTTCAAGCCTTATTCTTAAACTAGTATCATGAAATTATTCAATTCTATGGAAAAAGATAAAATTTGTCTTACTACATAGGAGTAGAACTGATTTGATGGTATTCTGTTAGTGCAAGGAGCCAAAGTTCTTTAAAAGCAAAGAAAAGTTGCTGAGAAAATATGTTCGAATTTAAACTTTAAAAGAGTTTAATGAGAATTTCTTAGAAATCATCTTGCAAGTTTGTGAAAAGTAATGATAATGACTAGAGTCAAAGGCCCTCAATAAATGTTTTCTGTGATGTTATAAAATATATAAACTATTTATTGATATGCTAGCATCTGTACAAGGGGAATATAAATAACTCAGCAAAGTGCAACAAAACAACAAAATATATTTTGTAAATTAGAGAAAAGAACACTGATAAAGGAGAGCTTTGACAGTCTAAGCACCCATAAACTATCTATTTCAATGTAAAGGAGTCAAAAATTGATGCTTCACATTTTTGCCATGATAATTAAGGTCCAGTGTAACTAAGGTGGTGGCCTGAAGTAAAAGTGGCCAGACCTGTACCTCAGAATTTTCTGAGGTACAGAAAATTATCTCCTTTCCTGAAAGTTGTTATGATCTTAGAAAAGTCTCATGGACTCTAGTTTCCAAGGTTAAGGAGTCACAAAATATTGTAATCTTGTGAGGCGCTCTTGGATGTAAAGGCACAATGGCAATTTTCTGAGCCTAGACACCCTTCAGCAAATCCCACACCCATTTGTATTTATCCATCACAGTGCTATATGGCAGCCTGCCCAGAATCCTGGATAATGATATTGGGACTAGAGTTAAAAAGTTCTAAGGATGAAGGTGGTATGAGTTTATAATTTCTAACACCATGAAGAAATGGTTAGAGTTATATCAAGGTTATTTCCTAGAGAATGAAATGGGCTGTTAGAGTTGGCACAGGTAGATTATTTGAAGTGTGCAGACAATAAGACCAAAGAGGGTACAGCAACATGTCATGTAATCAAATTCACTGTTTCAAGCTACAGGACATAATCATGAGCTTATACCACAACACTTCTATTTCACACATCCAATTGACCTGAAATTGATCAGTACTTGCGATATCCTGAAGATAGGCAGTCTGAATAGCATAAATAAAAGGCTTATTTGATGATAACCCTGTTTCCTAAATCACAAGGTTTTATTATCTTCTCTGAATGAAAGTAATATCCCTTTTTATGTATATACAACCCAGCAAGGGACACAAATGCAACAGAAACTTTCTAAGCTATTGAACTTCAAGGGATGCTTTCAGAAAATGAGGTTATGATGACCTTCAGGAGGTTTTAGTATCTATCCGATTGTCTGCAGGAGCAAGCTAATCAGTAGATGATGATCTTGTATTTATGTGAGACACTAGGTAGAATTGCAGCAATGAAATTAAATATATATTTAATTAATTTTATTTTAATTTATATCTTATATGTGTATGTATATGTACGCACACCTAAGTGTGTGTGTATATGTATACACACCTAAGTGTGTGTGTATACGTATACACACCTAAGTGTGTGTGTATATGTATACACACCTAAGTGTATGTGTATCCCTCTCCCACAAAAGGCATTTTTTTAATGACAGAAAAGTCATTTGAATTGATATTTTTGCTAACTGAACCTCTCTGAAACAAAAACATAATGCATGTGGAGTCAAGTGGTATAAAATTTATATTATTTATATGGCTTCATCTGAATTTTAGCATTCTGTAACATTTTTAGATCAAAGAAATGTCTTTGATGAACTCAAACCAGAGAGATCAGGTTACTGGCCAGCTAAGTCCTACTGAGTGGGCAGGCCTCCAAATAGTTCACTCATATATTTTTCACTGTATTGCTGGCAGAAATTATGCCGTTTTCCCTTTTTATCCCCAGGATAATTAACTTGTTCATCACCAAGTTCACTGGCTTAATAGCAATACAATCCAGGCTCAAACGCTTTAAGGATACTTTCCAGGTAAATGAGACCACATTTAACTGAAAGTTTAAACAAAATTAACAAGTCAGTGTAGTGAGGCTCCCAATCATCTTAGATAACTTTCTAATGTTGTATATATGTCTCTAAGAAGAGAATATGTATTACCATACTCTCTGCTAGACAAAAGAAGTTTCTATTCAACAGCCGTTCGTCTTACACTCAAGGGAAGGCAGCATTTCTCTCCAAAAATATTGGAGAGAATATCAATGGGGCTAATCTCTTCAAAGTGCTCGGAGCTCAAAGCAATTGCCTGCAGTTGTAAAGAGTCCCCACCCTCATTATCTCAGCAAAAGAAAAATGACCAAAATGCAAAGTACTGACCGGCTTTGGGGACAGAAGTGCTCAAAAGAAAGTTAAACACTAACCAACTCACTTTTAAGCGCAACACTTTGAATTTCAATTTACTTCCTTTGAATAAAGGAGTCAAATTATGATTGTGTTCTTTTTTAACACAAAATGGGGAGTTAAAGTGGTATAAAATTAAATTATATTGGTTAGTAACAAATAAATACATTAATTTACATCTCAGATACTATTATAGTCCAAGAAATAATGACTTTTTCAATTTAATTATGAATACTCAAGGATTATCAAATTATGAGTTACGTGATATAACAAGTTCTTTTCTTGGCATCTTATTTCATATGATAATGTTCTAACCTACAAAAGAAAGATGGTGTTTCTGGAAACCATTAATAGAAAACATTGGGATATATCATACACAATCATAATGACTTAGTTTTGGAAACAACATAAAATATTTAATTCAATGTTTAATTGTAGTATTCCATACACAAAATCCTGCTGGTGAGATAGCTGCATTTGAAGTAACAACACTTGCTCAGGCTACCTTGTCACAGTTTCCCACCATTAAGTAAAATAGTACCACATCCTTTGGAAGTTCTCAGATACTGAGTCTGGAACCTACCCGGGGGGTTTGTTCCCCTTTGCTCTCAGGTAATCGATTCAGCGTTATCTTAATTTCCTTATTCATTCCACTCTAATCACGTGGACCTCTGCAACATTTTTTTAACTAATGGTCTGCCTCCTGGAACTTTCAGCCTGAAATGTTCTTGCCAAGACCTGTGCATGACTTGCTTCCTCAGTTAGGAAAGTTGCTTTTTCTCAGAGGCCTTTCCTGCACATCTTATCTAAAATATGACTATCCACTCTTTCACTGTGTATACTTAACATGGCTTTATTTTGCTTATACCATTTATGAATGTGTGTGTGTGTGCATGTGTGTGCGTGCGTGTCATGTGTGAGACAGAGACAGAAAGAAAGAGGTAGTTAATTTTCTGCTTCTCTGTGTAAACAATAAGGGCAGAGACTTATGCCTTATTCACCATGTTTATATGAATATTTCATTAAGGCTCACAAAAAACAACATGCACTATTTTGTTATTCTCATTTTACAGAGGCGAAAACTTAAGCATAGAAAAATTAAGGAACTGTCTAGGCGCAGTGGCTCACACCTGTAATTCCAGTACTTTGGGAGGCTGAGGCAGGCAGATCACTTGAGGTCAGGAGTTTGAGATCAGCCTGGCCAATATGGTGAATTTCCATCTCTACAAAAAAAATACAAAAATTAGCTGGGTGTGGTGGTGCATGCCTGTAATCCCAGCTATTCAGAAGGCTGAGGTGGGAGAATCCTTTGACCTCGGGAGACGGAGTTGCAGTGAGCTCAGATGGCACCACTGCACTTTAGCCTGGGTGACAGAGCAAGACTCTATCTCAAAAAAAAAAAAAAGAGAAAAAGAAAAAAGAAAAGAAAACAGAAAAAAAGAAAAAGAAAAGAAAAATTAAGGAATTTGCCCAAGGTTAGAGAATGAATAAGTGGTAGAATCTAGATTCAAAACCAGTCAGTGTCACTCTGGAGACCTTGGTTCCTAACTGTTCTACTGTCCCTGTACATAACTAAAATGAAAAAAAAAAAGTATATAATTAGACTGAAAACATTATATTATCAAATATATATTATATAGTGATTTTATAGTTTCATAAAAAGTATACAATTAACTCTTTTATGATTTCATGATTTTTCTTTTACATGTGTTTCATATTCTTTTCAAAAATGACTGCAGTAATTATAAGACATTTAGAATAACAAAAATACACATTTAAAAAAATATTGCCTCCTGTGGGCATATAGAAGGGATCTAAATGTTACTGTGTTTTGAGAACATCAGTAAAGTATCCTTTCCTTTCCTTCTCCAGTTTGGAACCACCCCCAGGAAAAGGCACAGGATTTATAGGGAGAACAGAATGCAGCTAAAATGTGATAAGGCCAAGCTGAACACATAACACAAATTTGTTGGCTCATGGGCATCCTAACACTCCCCACAGTGAATGAACCATGCCCACCTAATTATTGGCAGCATTGTGGTAACTCAGGCCTCCACTGCTGGTGCTGTCTGCTGGCAGTAATAGATGGAAGAACCTGTGTGACTAGATGACAAGTTTTTCCAAGGAGAGCGGCACAAGTAGAGGCTATTCAATGACACCAGTTACCAAGATAGATACCACTTTCATAGAGGGAGAGAGGAAGGAGGGACAGAGCCGGAGTTAGAATTATGCTATGTAAGTGTTTTAACCCTGACAGTAGAGTGGAAAATCTCTTCCTTCCAGACATATGTGAAGTCCAAGGAGTTAAGCTTTATTAACTTCCATTAGGTATAAATGCTAACTTTCACTTGGCTTCAGCTGAGTCTTCTTCATCTGCCCTTCTCCTCCTCTCTTTCTAACTCATTTGGGAGGAGATGGGTAAGACTTAGTGTTAGATGTGGGAGGTCCTTAAGACCAATATGGCCAATTAAAACAAGTTAAAAAGATACCAGCTCTTCTTGGTTTCATACTAGCATTATTTATTTTCATTTTTTCTCTTTCATGTACAGAAACATTTTTACTTGATTTTCTTAATATTGAAAACTCGTTATATATTCACTTTAGAAAATTTAGAACAAAAGGCAAAACACTTCTCAGAGAATGCCTACGCACATTGTAGTGGTTAGCATGCCAGGCCTTTTATGAGCAACTGTGTCGGTCAGGGCCCCGCCAGGAAACAAAGAGCCCACTCTCAGAGGGAAGTTTTAAAGAGACTTATTAATGAAGGGACTAAATATTTACCAAGGGGTAAAGATAGAGGAATAAATTAAGGAAATACATATGTAAATTAGAAGCAGTGAAGAGTTGTTACTGACACTAGGCTTGAGGAGAGAAAATGGCCTAACAGGAGCCTGGCTGAGAACCAGTCTCAGGAGTAAGTCGGCCTGATGGGAGCTGTAGCTGGAGAGTAATGCAGCCACTGTGCAAGTGCACCCGAGCCCGGGGGCGTGGAGGGAGTAGATGCTCCAATCTCCCTCTCTTCCTGCCCTTCACTCTCCTGTAAGTGCCTCCCATTCGTCAATTCCAAACACAAGTCAATAGGCAAGTCAGCCTCCCAGGGAATAGAGGAAGGCAGAGAAGAACATAGAATGGATGAGTGGAGGAATGGGGCCAATGGAGAATGAGCAGCACAGCATCCTGTCTATATACCTCTCTATCTAGATGATTATTGTGAAGTTACATCCTATATCCCATTTTTCCACTGCCTTTGTTTTCACTATGTACTATGAAAATCTATCTTTATATTTCATTATATGCACATTTATGACATTTTAATAGTCACATGGTATTCCATTGCATGGATTTGAGATATTATATTTGAACAAGACTTATGCTTAGACATTTAATTTATTTTCAGATAATCTTCAGTGATTATCTTTTCCTGATTGGTGTCTAGAGATGTCTTTTTGAATTATTTTATAATTAATATGAACAATGCCCTCTTTATTTTAACATTAAGCACCTAAATGAGAAACTCATTTTTTCACGAGAAAGCTAATTGACTTTGAATTGTAGCAAATATGGCTTTCTTAACACAAATTCTGCCTTCATTAATGAAAATAGTGGAGCAGTATGCTAATCTGGTTGACTGACATATGATGGGGTTATAAGCACTACTCTCAACAGCATATTCACCACTTTATGCTCAGTTGGCTGTCCCAAAGCCAGGTCAAGTCTTTCTTATAAGTAGCAAAGTTTAATTGTTGACTATGATTTCAAGGGGGTGGGGGGCAGTGGGGACAGAGAAAAATTATAGAATAGTTTAGGCCCAGGCAGAGGAAGAATGGAGGTAACAAATCTAGACATATGACCTAATGAAACTGTCTTAAAACAAACTGGATGTCAATTTTGGCAAAAAAAAAAAAAAAAAAAAAAAAAAAAAAAAAAAAAGGATGGTGATGCAAAGCATTTTTAAAAGGGGTCATTTTTGATCATGAGAAGACAACAGGACTAAGCATTAGAAGATATGTTGGTGGAATGAATTGGATTAAAACCTATAAACGGGTATGCAGATACAGTGTATTATTACTAAGAAGCCCCCTACGTTGAGATGAGGTTTCTAAACACTATTTCACATTACTTCAAAGTTCCAGAAAGAATAAGCAAAATACTCCAAAATTCTCACTGATATAATAGTTTTCCCCCTAAAATGCAAACTTTTTTTTCATGCAAACTTATGCAGATGCAAATATCTTCAAAGAGATTCTCAAACTAATTTAATAAAACTTATGTCTGTCAGGCTGATAATACTAAAAATTAAACACTTCTAAATGTTATCAACATCAAAATGTCTACATATTATAAATTTCCATACAGTAAAGAGGGAGAAATTATCCATTGATGTGGAACTAGAAAGTAGCAAACTCATGAACTATCTCCTCCTCAGCAGAACATCTAATAGCCCTTATACAAGAATATAAGAGTAGTTTACAAAATTTTTCATTACATGATATTATTAATTGCTGTCTCTTAGCAGTGTCCGGAGCATTTAAATTTCTACACCATTTTATACTGTTAAGTCTCTGATTTAAGTCCCACCATGTCTTTAGACATAAATAGGAATGATTTGCTGTGGATTGATCATCCATAATTAATAGCAGACAAATTCATTGGTTGTTCTTTTATTTGAGATCAAATATATTAGCTCTCTTTTAAGTTGCATGTGTTGGTCTCTTGGCAAGATTTTAATTTACCTATACCCCATCAAATGTACATGCATTTAAAAAATTGAGCTAACTTATAATTATTTCTTCTTTTTAGAATAAAGACCAGCGTTGGTGCCACAGTCAAGACCATCCATAATCTGCCCTTGGCTAACACTTTGATCCATCTCTCATAGTTTTCCTTATCCAATCTCACTCACAAAAAGCATAATTTAGATTTAAATCTTTTGCACTGCTGTTTTTTTTCTGGAATGCTCTTCCTGCTGATAACCATTTGACTGATTCCCTCAATTCATCCAGGTGTCTGCTCATGTGTATCACTTCATAGAGAAGTAATCTCAGAACATCCTTTCTAAAGTAATATTCCACTTCATCACTCTTTGTTCTCTTAACTTGTCTTAATTTTTCATAAGACTTATCACCACTTGGCAAATATGTTGGCATTAATTTCGGTAGCTATTTATCATCCACCTCCCATTCACTGAACCTTCTTTCTCAAGTAGAATGTAAGTTCTATGAGAGCAGATATATTTTTTCATTGCTCTATTTTTACTGTCTAGAATAGGGCATAGTAAATATTTCCTGAAAGAAATAAGATCATCAAGGGAAAGACAAGGTCAAGACAATCACAATGTAGCATTGTGAGGGTTAATTTTATATGTCAATTTGGATAGGCCATTGTACATATGGTACCCGGTATTTGGTCAAACACTAGTGTAGATAATGCTGTACAGGTATTTTTTTTAAAGACGTGATTAGTACTTGAACTCACAGACTTTGGGTAAAGCAGATTACCCTCCATAATGTGAGTGGGCCTCATCCAATCCAATGATTTCATCCAATCAGTTGAAAGCGTTAATAAAGAAAGACTAAGGCCCTCAAGAAAGAAGGAATTCTGCTTCTATACTACCTGTGGACTCGAGCTGCAATATCAAGTTTTTCTGAGCCTCTAGACTGTTTGCCTAACCTGTGAATTCACAATTGCCAGCCCCCGCAATCACATAAGCTAATTCCTTAAAATAAATCTTTTCCTCTCTCTCTCTTTCTCTCTCTCTCTCTATATATATATGTATATATGTGTGTATATATATATGTATATATGTGTGTGTATATATATATACACACACACATATACACAGACACACACACACACACACATATATACATACACATACATTCTTATATATACACACACATATTGGTTCTGTTTATCTGGAGAATACTGACCAATACAAAAATTTTTCTAAGCAAGCATACTGATGTAGGAAACAATGCAACTATTATGAGTAAATTAACCATCTCAAAAATATAAATATCAGATTGGGGAGAAAAACAAAAATAAATAAAAACAAATTGCCATAAAAAGGTATGGAAAGTAAAGGTATGGAAAAGATTACTTGGAAAATATGACATAAAAAGGTTTGCCAACTTTAATGTGAGATAAAATAGAACTTAAGGCAAAATCACATGAAAGAGATGTTATATTTGACAAAGGGAAAAAAGATCAAGAATGTATAATGATTATTCATATATATGTATCTGGAAACATAGCCTCAAAATACATACAGTGAAAACTGACAGATTTATATGGATAAATTAGTTACCATTTGTGGTTAAGGATTTTAATATATGCATGTCAGAAACTGAGATCTCAAGCAGTCAAAAAATAAATTGTATAAATTATTTGAATAACTAGTTAATAAGCTAAATTGAAAGTTCTATAAATTTTTTGAATCAACCAATTGCTGCACAGAAATGCATTTTTTGCCTAAACAAGGGGCAGTGAACAAATTGTCTATATTTGCATAGAAGATGAACTTAATGCAGATCATGTTCTCTAACAGATTGAAATACAGTTTGAAATTTTAAAAGGGATAACTCCAAAAGTCTCAAGAAATAGAAAACTCAATGGATACTTTTTAAAAAGAAGTACAAAGAGTGTGGCTTCATTTAGATATTAAGCAGACAATACTAGAACATCACGGCAACAAAAACAGTATTGTGCTAGATCAGAAACAGGCAATGTTACCAGCATATTAGAAAGGAAAATTCAGAAAATGATGTGTCTATTGGTTTGAAGTTGATCTCTAATAAAAGTGGCATCACAAATCAACGAGACAAGTTTCAATAGTAGAGTTGGTGGTGTTAAGAAAACTGACTTATTAGAAAGAGAAATAAAGTTGAATCTCCCTCTATAGTCATTATTGTTCCCAGTACTTACTTCTTCCCTGTAATAGGGTTAAAAATCTCCACCTATTACCATGAAACTTGTCTTTGATATCTGTAGTAATAGGATATATGTCCCCATCTCAGTGGTTTTGTACTTGGTTTATAACTTGCTATGACCTTCTTATGGTCAATGGAATGTTAAACAGACTTAAAATTTGTGACATCTCAAAAAAGATTTAAATGTGATTGCACAAGTTTGGTTTTTCATTTGACCTGCTCATTCTATGAGGACATGTCCCACCAAAAGGTCCTGGGATCTGAAATCAGACACATGGCATTAGGCTGAGCCCAGGAAAGCAAGTCAGCCTTGAACTGTCCTGAAGCTTTCTGATAAGGGAACGAGAAACAAATGCTTCTATAAGTCAGGAAGATCCTGGGTTTCTTTGTTATTGCAGGAAAAATGGACTGATAACACTCCCTTGCACCTCGGATTAAAGACCTAAAATGTAAAAGCTACCAACGTAAAGCTAAAAGAGAAAGATGCTAGAAGAGAAGAATATTTTTGTGACCTAACAGCAGGGTTGATATTCTTCAGCAATCCCTCCTCCAAAAAAATACAAAGACAAACAAAATAGTTTTGACTCTTTAATTTTTTAAAAATTTTTTAAATTTATTTTTAAAGTTATTTTTATTTTAAGTTCTGGAGTACATGTGCATAATGTGCAGGTTTGTTACACAGGTAAAAGTGTGCCATGGTGGTTTGCTGTACCTATCAACCCATCACCTAGGTATTAAGCCCAGCGTGGGTTAGCTATTTTTCCTAATGCTCTCTCTACCCATCAACCCCACCCCTCTACAGGCCCCAGTGTGTGTTATTCCCCTCCCTGTGTCCATGTGCTCTCACTGTCCAACAGACACTTCCCAAAAAAGACAGTCATGCCACCAACAAACATGTGAGAAAAAGCTCAACATCACTGATCATTAGAGAAAGGCAAATCAAAACCACAATGACATACCATCTCATGCCAGTTAGAATGGCAATTATTAAAATGTCAAGAAACAACAGATGCTGGTGAGGTTGTGTAGAAATAAGAATGCTTTTACACTGTTGGTGGGAATGTAAATAAGTTCAACCATTGTGGAAGATGATGTGGAAGTTTCTCAGAGATCCAGAACCTGAAATACCATTTGATTCAGCAATCCCATTACTGGGTATATATCCAAAGGAATATAAATCATTCTATTACAAAGATACATATATACATATATGCATTGCAGCACTATTCACAATAGCAAAAACATGAAATCAATCTAATTGCCCATCAATAATAGACTGGATAAAGAAAATGTTGTACATCTCCACCATGGAATACTATGCAGCCATAGAAAGGAACAAGATCATGTTATTTGCAGAAACATGGATGGAGCTGGAAGCCATTATCTTCAGCAAACTAATGCAGGAACAGAAAACCAAACACTTCATGTTCTCACTTATAAGTGGGAGCTGAACAATTGACTCAATATAATCTAAATATTTCAATTTAATAAAAGACATTCTAGATGAAATCAGTAAACTTCTGTTTGAGAAAAATGTTTAGTGCAGAATGCCTTTAGGTAGCAAGGGGCTTATAGGAAAATTATGCATCCATCATTACAGCAATGGATAAATAAAATAGTAAGATGAATAATATGAAATACTATCAAGTAGACAGAATTGATTAAATTGATAGGCATATATTAATGTGGGTAAAATGTAAGAACATGCTGTAAAATGAAAAAGCAAGAAATTGAATGGAATGCATAGCAAAACATAGTTTTTAGAAACTTACATACGTACATACACAGAATAATTTTCTCTATATATACGTTCTTCAAGGATATCTGCAGATCTAAGAGAACATATTAAAGACATTTAAAAACTTCCATGGAGAATGGGAAAGAATGAAAGTAGGAACGGCACATAAAAGGAGATTAATAAGTTTATCACATACTGAGAAGTATGATTAATTCAGTTATTTGTACCTGATGAAAAAGAAAAAAAAGGATGATAAAAATGATTACAGAGAAAGGAGCTAAGGGGGAGTAAGAACAGCAAAAGAAGTAGAAGGAAAATAAGCACAAGTAGCAGAAGGATCCACTGTTACAACCAAATTTGGATAAGGAAAAATGGTACCTAAAGTAGTATAAATACAAGAAAAAAATCAAATATTATGAAAGGCATAAAGGATAAAACAAAAAAGCAGTAATAATCAAAACTTACACTAATTACTGAGTCCATTAATTTAATTGAGTCCATTAGAAGAGAATTAGGTGGTTATATAGCTAATATTATAGGAATGCCCATCTTTTTTCTCCACCTTCAAATACATGCTATTCTTTACAAACAGCACTCAGATGACACATGTAGCATATAACATGTGGAACAGTTTGTTTGCAATACTCCTAGTCATTACCTGCAAATTCATGTCTATTGTTTCAATTTGCTTTGTAAATAGAGTATTTTCTATCTCTTTAACACTGAATCCTAGAATTTAGAACAGTGCCTGGCATATAGTAGGCTTACATTAAATATTTGTCAACCGAATTAACATAATTCTCACTGTTAGACCAACAGATATATAAGAGAGGGAATGATAACATTTTTGGATAGAAGACATGGTCTGAAATGTATGTCTATTATTCAAAGATGCTTATCATTATTTCAAAATATTTACAGAGTATTGATTTTCATAATAACAATATGCTATTTATTCCTTTCAATTATTTTTTCTATTGGTGATAGAGTGCATGGTAGGAGATGTTACATGAAGATGACTTTAAACAATTTTTATTTACACTTCTCTTATAGAACAAGTGAGAAAATATACTTCTGAGTTCAATCAGATTTGAGTAAATCATATTTGAATATAGTTTGAAATTCAATTTTAGATAAATATAACTACAAGTTATCACAAGTGCCAACTGTGCAGGCTCTATCTCCAAGAGTAGTGTGCTATTTGTTCTGGGTTGATTTGCACATCTGTTGAACTACAGCTTCCCTTAAAGGATTATCCTATTAAAAAGTATCAGCTTGGCAGACTAAAGATGATTATCTATTCAATTTTGTATACACAGTCTATTAAAAAGATGACAAATTCTTGAGCTACTTGACTTTGGGTCATGCAGTATGTGTGCACTGCAAATTTTAACTCTTGATTTTCAATCTAATGACTAGTATATGCTATTAGATCTAAATAACACATTCCTCTTAAATGTAATAACTGCTCCTTAGGAAAAAAGTAAAAGGTCTAATTATCTCTTCTTTCTTTGTATAAATTTATTTCTATTGATTAAAGTATGTATGAAGAATGTCATCTTTTCATGTTTCAAAATGACCTATGCCAGCCTATACATGTAATTTTTATTATATCTGCAAACATACCAGCATAGCTAATTATATGCACTGGAGTAGTTTCTTGCCTAGATGATACTAAGATGTGTATAGTTACGCAACTAATTTCTCATACTTGCCACATAGATACAAATCTTTTGAATTTCTTAAATGTGTTGAAAAATAATTTGGCATTAGCACATTGTTTATATACATATATCTTCACTAAATATGATTACACTAATTTAGAATTCATCATTATTTGGGCATGTGCTAGATTAAAATTGTTTTTATATAACTGTGTGCATCGTTATATAGTTGCTTTGTAAACAATTTCCAAGGAGGTATTTAAGTAGGAAAATATTTCCAAGCACCTTTTGATTGTCTATACCTATAGCGTTCCAATTATATTATTACAATTATACTTTTATGTAACTGTATCAGAGCGCTAAACAAAAATTATAAATATACCTATTTTAAAAATACTACCCCAAATTAAGGAATTAACCAATGACACTCCTTTGACTGCACCTGCATAATGCTGCAATTTGTAAAGTTATTTTTCGGCTCTGATTTAATCAGAATGAGTCAGGTTCTTATATAGTCCTGTAAGAAGACTTTGATCCAGTCATTAATTTAATTTATTAAAATGTTGGAATTTATGCATTTTTTTTGTTCAAAATTCCTGTTGCTACAGAGACCGTGTTGTGAGGTATGCGAGAATAACAATTTAGTCTTGCTGAGCAATACAGCTGCCATTTATGTTTGGGGCTCAATTTTTAAATAATATTTTTATATCAAATTTTATTTCTGTTTTGGATCGAGGAAAAGTGGAATGTTTTACTTACATTTTGATGTTTTATTTTCAAGTTTAAAATAGCATAGAGGAGCATTTAAATTTTATTTTAGAATATTATGTTTGACTCAGGATATCATGTTCTAATTATTCTAAACATAGGAAAAAATGCAATTGTTTAAAACTTAGGCTGTGAACCTAATTGATAACGTCACCTAATCAAAACCTGTATTTTATTCATGATAAAGTTGAGGTCAAGAGAGGTTAAGTGTCCTACTCAATTTCATATTACAAATCACAGATGAACAACAATTTTACTGTTTAGACCCTCGTTTGTTCCTGATTCAAATGTCCTTTTCTGATGGAGACATGAATAATTTCTCGATGTTTCTGAAAATTCAGTCTAGACTCAGAGAAAAGATTTGTGGGTATTGGGGAACCTTAAAACATTGTGCTTAAAGTTGTGAAGACAATTACAAAAGGGAGGATTCATAATTTGTGCAATGATGTTATCATTAGATTAAGTATACAATCTTTCAAGCCTGATATCAGAAAGGAACAAGACTTCGTTTCCTGAATAAATTATATTTTGTAGAAGTCAATAACTTTAATTTATATTAATCTATCATAAATCATGCAATTGAAATGCATTTTAGTTATCATAATTTATGAGTCATCATTAGGATAGTCTAAATATTTAATAACTGATATGACATGATCACCAACCAATCAGAATGGACATTATACAAATCAGAACAGGTTTATGGTTATAAAACTGCACAACTATGACTATTATCCCTAAATTAATATATTTTTGGTTGTTTTTAGTTAAAGTTTTCAAGGTGTCCCCATTATTATTAATATGTTATTTTCCATACTTGCTGGCAGATAAATAAAATTGCTTCTAGCCTAGGGGATAAGAAGACAAAATCAAAGAGAAAAATAGTTAAATTTCCAGATAAAGCATAACAGTTTTTTTTACTGTACAGTTCCTAATTTACATTACATTAAAATTACATTTTAATGAAATGCAATTCTGACTTTTACAGAACTGTAAGAACATGTGTATTTATTAATATACACATGTAATTAAATCTCTTAAAACTTTAAAATGGGAGGAAGGAAACCCAACTCATGTGCTGCGGTGATTGAAAAAGGAAGCATGATTCCTGGAGCATAGCATACCTCATTCCAGGTATTAGTCATAGACTTGTGCATCCAAAGAGCCACATAGTCTGACATCCTTCAGTTTCTCCAGTTCCTTTCTCCAGAATCAGTGAGGCCCAAATTCTACTTAAGAACAAAATGGATTTGCATATACAATAGGGTCACTCAACAGGTAATGAAATAATGGGATTGTAAAATAATTCAGAAGGACCACCTGGTCACCTTTTCTCTCTTGTATTTTATCCTCTCCTCTTACAGCTCTGTGTCCAGATGTGGTAGAATGGGCTTGTTCTTCGGAAGAACATCTTAGTTTGGATCTGCCTTATGCTTTAGAGATAAAACAAGTTGGCCTGCTTTCTTCTTCTTTTTAAATTATTTTTTGTCTGTTTGTTTGTTTTTTAGAGACAAGGTCTCATTCACTCATCCAGGTTAGAGTACAGGGGCAGGACTATAGTTGACTGCAACCTGGGCTCAGCCATCCTCTTGCTGCAACCTGGGCTCAGGGATCCTCCCACCTCAGCCTCCTGAGTAGCTGGGACTACTGTTGTCCTACCATATCTGCCTATTTTTAAAATGTTCTGTAGAAATCAAATCTTGCTATGTTGTCCAGGCTAGTCTTAAACTCCTGGCCAAGAGATCCTCTCTCCTCAACCTCCCAAAGTACTCGGATTACAGGTGTGAGCCACCATGCCTGGCCCAGTCCACTTTCTTCTTTTCCTATTTCAGTTTTTAATAATTATTTTTAAGCAGACCAGGCCTTAAATAAAAGACAAAAAAGTGCTCTGGAGGTGCTGGCTGTCTTTGTCTCTCAGTTTTCTCAACTATAAAACAGAAGCAAGAATAACAATCTCATTTTGAGTTGTGGTGACAACTAAATTCAGCCCTAATTCCTTGAATAGGAATTTACACTGCAGTGTAAGGTTGGAGTTCTAGCTCCCAGGAGGAAAACAGATGTAATGAGAATGCCTCTTGCACATAAGACCTATCAGAAACCTGGAAGATAATACTAGGGAGATTCTCTTTTAGTGTTTTCTTCCAGAGGCAACTAATTGAAAACTAATGTCAATAACAGGATTCCATGTCTTAGCTTTGAGTCAACTATCACTAAGTGTCATTAATGGGACTATTTCAATATTCATAGCAAATGAATCATTTCTCCTAACAGATGCCATGTATCAATATAAAGCCAAATACAATTATTAGAATAAGAGTCAGAATAACATAAACTTACAGATTTTAGTCTCTGGATTTAGACTCTGGATTTGAATTTCAACTCCACATTTAATCAGCTAGGTGACAGTGGGCCTGTTAATGCTTTGTCTCTCAGTTTTCTCAACTATAAAACAGGGGCAAGAGTAACAATCTCATTGAGTTGGGGTGAGAATTAAATAGGTGAATACATGAGCCAACACGGTGGTTCAAAAGACTTTAGTGTAGGACAAGATCCAGAGGTGTGAGTTAATGTTGCTTCACTATGGAGGCGATATTCTTCTGAGCACTCTAACTCAGCAATTTTATTTTTATGTAAAGAGCAAGATAGTAAATATTTTAGGCTACCCTCAGGCATGGTGTCACGTGTCTGTCTTCCTAGCTTCTCAGGAGGCTGAGGCAGGAAGATTGCTTGCACCCAGGAGTTCCAGACCAGACTGGGCAACATCATAGGACCCCGTCTTTAAAAAAAAAAAAGTAAATCTTTTAGACTTTGCAGGCCATATATCTCTGCTGCAAATGCTCAACCTTGCTGTTGTAGTTTGAAAACAGCCTTAGAGAATATGTAAATAAATAAGCGAGGTTGTGTTCCAATAAAGCTCCATATATGAAAAGAGGCCAAGCTGGCCCATGGGCAGTAGTTTGCCAACCTGCTGTCTTTTTGAATTGTAAGGTTTTCCCATTCTTGTTGGTGCGAACACAAATTATTTCCAGGCCTGTGTGAGCTCCTGGGATTTTCCTTCTAATGCTTAAGATAGATTTTTTTCTGGCCTCAGGCTTTCATGTATTCACTCTTAGCCAGCTGAAGACTGGAGGGGACTCTGCAGATCTCCAGTTCTCTGTGTGTGGCTCATAACTCTCCTGTACCCTGCCCTGCAAACTCAAGCTGCCTTGGCCTTCCTGGACTACCCACTGGCTCTTCAACTCTGGGAATTAGCCAAAAGTCCCTTCATCCCTGAGTTGAAACCTAGAAACTTTCTCCAGGCTATATTCTGGAGCAGTCATAGGGCTCACCTTGTTTACTTTCTCTCTCTCAGGTATTACAGTTTTTTATTGCCAAATATTACATGTCTGAAAGCCCTTGTTTCATATATGTACATACATTTTTGTTTCTTTCAATCGTTTTAGGTTAGGAATAAATCTGGTTGGTCTTTGTTACAACATCTTGTCTGGTAGTAGAAGTCCCTACAGATTTTTATCATTTTAAATACAAAAAAAATCTGAGGCTCAGAAATATTTGGAAATTTTGTCAGGATCATTTTGCTAGTAACTAGTGGAGAGAAAATTCAAAACTTGGGCTTCTAACTTCTAAATAAATGTTCTCTCCCTTACACTATACTGCTTCTATCAGAGGGAATTAACTGCAAATTTCCTATTAAATAAAAAATGATGAACTGTAGATTTTTCTAGAAGAAACTGATGAATCAAATATGAACCAAGGGTTTTAGAGTTATCTTGTTAGGTTATGAAAAAATGGGGGGGGGGGGTCTGATACTTTTTGCATTTTGAATGGAGTCATATTTTCGTCCCATTTTGGGATTTCTATTGTGGTTCCGATTGTGGAGAACATAATGTTGGGAAACTTTGCTCATTTTAATGATCTGATACTGATAAGCTTTCTACTGGAAAGTGCCCATCTGGCTCAAACTTCAGCTTCTGCATTTTCTTAGGACTTAGGATGTGACTTCTTTGCAAATTTCCTGGAATTAGTTTTACAAAGGAGAGAAAAATATTGCTAAACTACATAAACATGGTGAAATGAGAGACGTGGAAAAGTATGTATATAAATTCTCATGGTTCATTTTTATTACTTTCACTACGCAATTCCATTTAACATTTTCTGAAATAGCAATAAATTTTTGAATGATCAAACATATGGCATTTTGAGTAGGCCAGGTGAGAGACATTATTTAGGTAGTGAATGTTCACAAAAATGTGTAGCATTATATTACCAGGAGGCTTTCTGTTTAATGAGAAAGGAGCACTTATCCCTTCACAAATACTTGGGATATAAATATATACTACTATACACATGTATCTGTGTTTGTCACAAGCAATGTATTTGATAATAAAACATTATGTAAATAATGCTGTGCCACATACAACTTTTTAAATGTATGAGAGGCTGATTTTTTACAGCAACAGGAAAAGCTAAACTCTAGGGGGTGATTCCTATATGTTTATATCTTGACTTAAAATATATATGTATATATCGCATTACATATAACTTTACTGATTAAGCAATTTTTAATATTACATAAAAGTGAGGTTTTGATCCTTGTTTCTTTTATTATTTGTTTATTAATACTTATGCTTTCCCTAGAAAACTTCTACAGTGGCACCCAGCCTCAAGCATCTTTCTTGTGCACCAATATGTTTAATTTCTCTCATCCCTAAAAGGAATGAGTTGACCTCTCAGACCCCTTCAGCACTAGGATAAAACATGGTAGACTGTGGGTGGCAAGCCACCCAGGCGCCGAGGCAAGAGACCAAGGACACGAGCTGTTCCAGAATAATAAAATATAAAACAAGAATAGTTATACCAGATATAGATCTTAGATATGATTATATATGAATATCAATAATCATTAGTTTGTAGCAATTATTCTTTATTCCAATATTATAATAATCCTCACTCTATAATCATGACCTAGGAAAAACCAGGCCATACAGAGATAGGAGCTGAGGGGACACAGTGAGAAGTGACCAGAAGACAAGAGTGCGAGCCTTCTGTTATGCCTGGACAGGGCCACCAGAGGACTCCTTGGTCTAGTAGTGATGCCAGCGTCTGGGAAGACACCCATTGCCAGGCGGACCGTGGTCTAGCGGTAGCGAAATGTGTCAAGGAACAACACCCACTACTTAGCAGACCGGGAAAGGGAGGCTCCCTTTCCCCGGGGCAGTTTAGAGAAGACTGCTCCTCCACCTCTTGTGGAGGGCCTGACACTAGTCAGGCTTGCCCGCAGTTATCCGGAGGCCTAACCATCTCCCTGTGATGCTGTGCTTCAGTGGTCAAGCTCCTAGTCCGCCTTCATGTTCCATCCTGTATACCTGGCTCTGCCTTCTAGATAGCAGTAGTCAATTAGTGAAAGTACTAAAAGTCTCTGATATGCAGAAATAATGGCATAAGCTGTCTTTCTCTCTGTCTCCTCTCCCTCTCTGCCTTGGCTGCCAGGCAGGGAAGGGCCCCCTGTCCAGTGGACACGTGACCCACGTGACCTTACCTATCATTGGAGATGACTCACACTCTTTACCCTGCCCCTTTTGCTTTGTATCCAATAAATAACAGCACAGCCAGACATTCGGGGCCACTACTGGTCTCCGCGCATTGGTGGTAGTGGTCCCTGGGGCCCAGCTGTCTTTTCTTTTATCTCCTTGTCTTGTGTCTTTATTTCTACACTCTCTCGTCGCCGCACACAGGGAGAGACCCACCGACCTTGTGGGGTTGGTCCCTACAGTAGATGAAGATGCTGAGTTCCTTATTAGAGAATATCATTATCCCTTTGAGTCCACGTTAGAACACTGCAAGGCAATTGTCTCTTCCATTATTTCCATGAGGAGAAATAGGTAATGTGCCTAAAGTCTAAAAGGTGCTGAACATGTGATTAAACCTAAGGGTCTGAAATATATAGTCTATATTCTTTTTCTTCACCTTTGGTTTTCCAACATTTTTGCCAAAGCTACATTTTAAAAATGATACTCTGTGAATAATCTCTATTTTAAGACAGATAAGGTACTATTTATTAGTACATATATACTTTTATAAATCCACAAAAGCAATATTTACTTATGAGGTTAATAAATAGAGAAAATTTTGTTATACATCAAAATTTGAAATTTAAGATTATAGATAACAGTTTCAGCCTTTTAATGACCTCTACTTTCAATTTATTCCTATACTGTGTTGGATTTGCAGTGATAAGAAATCCCTTATTTATAAAGATCTGTCATTTCATAAGAAAATAACTCTTTTTAAACAGTACACCTCACAACCTTGAGACACCCTTAAATTAAACTGATCTAGAGACATTAAATATTATTAGCAACTTTTATGTAATGGCCACTTAAAGTATCTAATAACCACCCACATTCCTTATATGAAATATCTCAGACAGGATGCTATTTATAATTCCACATGTGTTACATAACATTATGATGACATTACATGTGTGTTTTCAATAGTCCAAGAGCACAGCGGAGACAGCAGACCATTGCCTGGCCTCACATTATATAAGTTGTGACAAATAACACGCTAGGTGTATATAACTGCACAATTTAGTTCTGTCACAGAGTTTTGACTAGAAAAAATGGTTAGACATAACTAATGTGAGCCCTCAATACATGTTCATTATTGCCAATAGGGTCAATTATATTCTTGCTTTTTTTGAAAAAGATTACATCATATAGGCTTGTATTGGCTTGCCACTGGGAATAAATAAAGGTATATTCAAATGAATGTGTATTTTGAGATTACTAAATTAGATTTTATTTTATTCTCATATTTTCATGATACAATTTTGTTACACTTCTCTTTAAATCATTTTTTTTCCTGAATAAATGCAACTAGAAGAGACCTATGTGCCCCATCCTTATTTCAATTTTGTTTGGCTCTTAATTTGCACTCTTCTTTACTCTCTTGAGATGAACATAATTTCTAGCACTTAACTTTGTGACTTTCACCTCTTTCTTCATTCTCTCATTAGATTTTATGTTTGTTTTCCCCAGTTTCTTCAATTTTTGATATAATTCAACCTTTTAAATGAAGAGTCATTGAGGACTTGTCTTGTACAGAAGCACAGATTTCTCATTATTCAATGAGAAAATCCTTATGACAGTAATTTCTCACACACATGGAACTAAAATTTATTATGGTATGTTCCTTAAAGAAATGGTCAAAGGGATGGGAAGGTCAGGTTGAAATCATATTCCTTCAGACTGATAAAGTGTTTTCATTAGAGTCCCTCGTTCATACGTGTTGTCTTTGATGTTTCTTGCTGTTCTACTGCTGATTCTTATGCTTTTCTTAATATTAGTGTATCACCAAGTATATATCAGTCATGGAGAGAAAAAAATAGGTTTGATGTACCAAGGGCCTTAAAATCACACTGACCTGTATGACAGAAGATAGGTACTGTAATTTATTTAAAATCATGTTTATCTAAGTATGCAAATAACTTTTGGGCTGGATGACAAGGATGGCAAAGAGCAAGTGGCAACATATTTAATGACAATAAAATACATGGCTATTATTAATTGTAATGATATTTCAAAGCACCTTTTAACTTCTACTATTAGGAAGTACAGACAAAATTTTGAAATTTCGGAGTTCAAAATTCAAAGACATGAATACTTGAATGCTAGCTCAAGATAATAAAAAGGGATTTAAGGATGTGAAATGTTTATGAAAATCAAGTGAAAGCTGTAAGAGTTCCTTTAGAGCTATGGTGTCAATGTAGATTATATATGCCAAAAACTATAAATTGACCCTTTAATAGGCTTTTGCAATATAAGATGAAATTCCCATAGTTGAGACTTCTATTTTGAAGAGTGTTTTCTTTTTTTAATTCTGGCAGACCATAAATGTCTTAACAAGAATATTACTAAAACATTTTTAAAGAAGCCATTGTTACTAGTGTGGTTCATATGCCAATCTGTAATGGGAACATAACTTAAAGTTTGTTAAGAAGACAAACTTACCATTTTCTAAATTTCAGATATGTGATGGCAATATTATGAAACCAGTCCCAAGAAACACACAATTATCTTCTGGCTCTAGAATTACTCCTGGTATATTCATACTTTCTGGACTAAAGAATAAACGTGGACTATCTTAAAACAATAAAATATTTTCTTCTTATTTGTTCTTTACTTCTTCACCTAAAATCAAGTTTTTGCTATCGCCACAACTTTGATTTACCACAAATAATGCTCAAAGATTCAAAATATTCTCAAAACTTAAAATAGTTTAAAACATGTATCACAATAGCAAAGAAAAAATATATTATTCAATAACATATATACATTATTTAGTAAACTCTATCATTAAAGATGCAGATGCAACTGTATTTTTAACCTTATAAATGGACAACTGGAATTATTGTGTGGTTCATAAAATCAGCTGCTACACTATTCCTCATCAACAAGGATAAAATATTTTATCTAATTGATAATACTTATATCATTGTGGAATAAAAACTAAATATAATAACATTATAGAATGCACAGCACATAATTGCAACAATAAGATAAATGTTTATCTCAAATTAGTTGTAAACTCTACACAATATGGGGTAATTCATTAAATTTTTAACATTAAATTATTACACTAAAAATATTTCAGGTTCATTTTTGCTAAACTTTTGTTCTTCTCTACTGTTAGCTATTTTGCCTTTAGAAAATCGAATTTGCTTACCTTGGATGATGATTCTGAGGAATGGAGGTTTGAATATTTTGCATGGCACTGCTAACAAACCTATGCTATCTAGATTAGTACACATTATCACCTATATTATTTCTGACTTTAAATATATGAATATAATTCTTTCATATGACATGCTATACGTAATGATAAAATATATCTTAATGTAATGTAATATAATGTAATATTAAGAACAGACATTTACGTAGAAATACATACATTTAAGGAGAAACAAAATAGTTTCAGAACAAATATTAATGTTATTGGCTTAGTCAGAAACATTAGACAAAAATGATCCTACCTGATGAATCAAAATTCACCTCATTGCCAGGACTTGGACCTATATCGATGGACACAATTGGTAACAGCTTCCGAAAGTCCCACAGCTTTGTAACCCCACAGGCATCACAGGATGCTATCATGTGACCCTTCAAAATATAAGATAAACAAAAATAAAATGTGTATGTATGTATATATATATATATATATACACACACACACACATATATATATACACACACACACTACATATATACAAATACATATAGTAACCTATAGACAAAAGGTAAGTGTTACAGTTTTATTACAGCCATAAGATTACATTCCTCTAAACTAAGAAATAGTTGTTAATAACTTTATTTTGGACATAAAATTATTAAAATGATATTCTTAATATATAAAATCCTACACTAAATTTTTGGAGTTAACGTTTCAGACAAGCATTTTCATTTTAACTACATTAGAAGATGTAACAAAACAAAAACATGTACACTCATAATTTGCATATATATACATATATCATATAATGCATATGATATATGTGACACATAAAAACTGTGAATGTGGGAAAATTATACCACATGCATATCTCAGCTTTTATGCTCACAGTTAGTTAGCATTGATAATTTATACCTCAAATAGAGAAAAAACAAAAAGAGGTAGGAAGTAAAATGGACACAGTGAGAGAAGAATATCGCATAGCAGGTAGAATGACAGGGACCAGGTGAAGTTGATGGCAATGAAATGGTGCCTATTGTAGTCTGTTAGTCAAAATTCTCAGAAAACATAGTTGGGCTTGCTTTGGTAACATGTAGTGGAACAAGGAAGAAGGTAATTGGATAAAGGGGAAGGAAAACAGAAGGAAGGGTGAATGGATTCAAGTGACATGGCAATGGAAGGTGGGGAGAGATAGTTTTGCAGCATAGTAGCAGTGGCCCAGGCTCATCAGTTCAGTTTGGAGCCCAGGGTCTGTCTACACGCCTCCTGCTGGTCTCTCAGGAAATGTTTATTGAGCATCTACTTTGTGACAGAAATTGGAGATATGCTGGTGAATAAGAGGGGTTTCTGCTCCCCAGCAACTCATAGTCTTCACTCATTCTCATCATTCTGGTCATTTAATTTCTTTGTCCACTCACAAATTGAATGAGTATTGGCCACATTAAAATCATCAATTATGTTTATAAAACATCAATATACTGTTTCCCATTTGATGTACAGTTTCCCTTTCAGCTGCAGTTCAAATTTTTTAATGTCAACTTAAAAACTATCCTCTCATTTTCTCCCTACGTTATTTAAAATGTTAATGTTAATACCTTAATTATCCTATAATTTTCCTTATCATTTTGAACTAGCTCACATATTTTCTCACTTACTCCTTGATTTCTATTCTTTCTGTAAAAATAGTACATCCTGTATTACAGTTCAAGTGGACTCATTGTTTTTCTCTAAACACACCAGTAATGCAATGAATGCAATTAGTTTTAAAATTCTATAACTGTTGTCACTGGCACAGTAATACAACAGCCTTGTCCCCAATCTAATAAATGAGATGCTTAATCTTTTTTATGACTTAAAAGGAACATGGAGAACTTGGAATGCCCTCAAATATGTAAACATGTATTATAAGAATTGTGAGGAATCAGTGAATTTCATTTCAGAAAAGGAAAGAACAGTTCTCAGTATCGGCAAGGAATATTAATGTTAGAAATTAGAAAGAATTCTTTCCAAATATAAGGGCTTTCAATGATCTGAGAGAAGTCACAGAATGGAAATTTTTTTCAATTTTGGGAACAGAGTAGGTAAGTTTTTATCGGAATTTAATCTGGATGCACCTCTTGCCACAGGCAGGTGGATGGACTTGATGTTCTTTCATTGTCTGGAGTCTATGGATTAAAGAAAATCTTGAAGTATACTTTATCCCATTGAATATTAAAATTTGAGGAAGTATACTTAAAATAAAAAATAGTTTCATCATTGTTATTGTGTGAAAATGAGTAGGTAAATAGTTTTAATATTTTTACATTTAATACTTGAAACTTCTATTGCTGTCAAATGATCAAGTGCAATAGTTTGATAATATGAAAGTGAGTCAATATTTATGAAATGCTTTTAATGAGCCAGGTACTGTGCTAAATGCTTCATTAATAAACTAGTACATAGCAACTTCAAGCAATTTTGAATAACTAACATCCTTTAGCTAGACTTTTTCCATTGCCTTAGAAACTTAAAAGCCATGACAAAGTATGCATTATGGTAAAATGAATATGAAAATTTTTTTTTTTTTTTTGAGATGGAGTCTCGCTCTGTCACCCAAGCTGGAGTGCAATGGCACAATCTTGGCTCACTGCAATGTCCGTCTCCCGGGTTAACGCCATTCTCCTGCCTCAGCCTCGTGAGTAGCTGGGACTACACAGATGCCTGCCACCACACCCGGCTAATTTTTTGTATTTTTAGTAGAGACGGGGTTTCACTGTGTTAGCCAGGATGGTCTTGATCTCCTGACCTCATGATCTGCCCACCTTGGCCTCCCAAAGTGCTGGGATTACAGGTATGAGCCACTGCGCCCAGCCAAATATGGTAATATTTTAAGTAATAGAAATAAGTTTGCATTTAGATTTGAGAACTGAAAGATACTTGGTAACGGAAGAACAGCTTAACTATATATCCAGTTAGCTAGTGAGGCAGATGCAGTGTCTATTACAGTGTTTGGAGCATAGCAGAGCTCAACCAAGTATTTGTTAAGCTGATAGATGAGTAATGCTTCCACAAAGGTTACCTAAAAGTTTTATTTTGGTCCAAGTCCTTCCAAAGCAGTTTTGCAGGTGAATATTAATTCCAACCCTGATAGGTCTGAATCACTTACAAGACAGAAAGCAATGGAAGAGGCAGAGAATCCAGAATCAATACTTAGAATATTCTAATGCCCTGTATCCTTCTTCTTTCTCCCATTTCAGGAAAATTGGAGGGCCATCTGCCAATCTCCTTCCTCGAGACAGAATAAACTAGAATGTTGTTAATCCAAACTGTGTAGTTTGAGTTTTGAGGGATGTGGAGATGGAGAGATGTGGGAAGGAGATTAGTTGACAACCTAGGGAAAAGTCATTTTACCTACAATTTATGACAGTCAAGCTATAGTTTAAGGCATTTAACGTAAATTAAGAAATATTTCAAAGAAAATGTTTTTAAAGATAGGTGAGATTTCATGACAATCTTAATGAAAGTCAAGACTCAAGAGGTTTGGAAATCTCTAAAATGCAATTCTGGTTATCATTGGTAGTAGTACTGATCCTGAGGATGGGAAGCTACTGAAGGTGGATGTGCAGAAAGCTCAGATTGAGAGCTATGATTGTTTTTGTAACACTGCATCTCCAGCATCCAGTATAGTTCTTACTACGTGTTAGACATTTGGTCTTTGAATAAACAATTGAATGAATGAATGAATACAAAGGGAATGAAGAGTAATCAACGTTGACTCTATGTGATTTAAAATAATTTGTTTCAAAAATATAGAAATATTAACTGAGCCGAAGCCCAAAAAAATGCTTTGTGGTCATAAGACTCAAATGAATTTAATTATGCCAGTAGAATTTAGCCAAGTGGACAAAGGGTACAGCTGAGATGAAAATGAATAGTCACCACTCCTGATTGCCTCTGTTAAGCCTCCCACCACCAAATTAAAGATCCTATAATGAGAAAACCATATAGACATGAAGTTAATAATAAATTAGAGAGTAGAATAACATAAGATCAATCTAGCTTCATCTAGGCTGCTGAGAATTTATAAGAGAAAAATTTAGCAATAGGTATCAAGTATCACAAAAATGTCCAAACTTCTGAAACTTTTACTATTACTTCTGAACTTTATTATAAATTAAAGAAAAATGTATTATGAAAAAACCAATGTAGCATTATTTATAAATACAAAATGGAAACAAGTGAAATTTGCAATAATAATCTAATATGGAAGAAGTAAACCTTGGGCTGTGGTGGGTTCAGAAAACTGCTTGAGGCAACTGTTATGTAAACTTGTTATCAACAGATGCAGAGAGACAAGCAGACTGAACTACTATCTCTCTGCACAGAGGTTCCAAATGTATTTATATATGGTAAAACTAAGAAAGAAAAGGAGAAAACTGGAATGTTAATGAGGTCATTAATAATTTAAATAAATAATTAAAATACTATTTTATAAACCAATAGTATTCCTTAATATAAACATATCTTATGGCATTGTATAATTTTTTAAAACAAATATTTCAAACTTGGGCATTATCCTAACTTTTAGGATTACGGGGCTAGTGCTCAGGTTAAGAAATATTATATAGTAACATAATTTTTTCTATGAAAGTCCCTATGTCTTTATATTGCATCTCTAAAAGAAATAGGATATTAACCTATTTTGGAAGACTCAGGTCCAATTTGATTGTAGTTTGAACCTTCAACCTGATGAGTCAGCTAAGTAGTTTCTTGGTTCAACTTGCTGGGTTTCATATACACGTATGTTATATATATAAATACCTTTTTCTTTTGGAAAGTCAATTTACTGAACAATAAAAGCATTTTAGGCCCAGGACATTGTTTCCTTTCTTCAGTGATTCCTGAAGGCTGAACAATAGAATATATATAATATTCTGTTGTCAAAGAGTTATACTGCATACTAGAAAAATTAAATGAATGATTTTACATCAACTATGTATACATGAGAATGTTGTAAACACTAAGTGAAGGAACTTTGTTTTGTTTGTTTAGCAGTACATTCTAGTGACCTAGAATAAAATATAGTTCATGTTCAATAGATAATTGTAGAATGACTATATGAATATCTTAGATAAATAATTATAAAGCCATTAAAACAACAATTATAGAACCAATGTAAAACATGGAAAAATTTATGCCAAACTGTGGTTACATTAAAGTATATAATACACATGTACAATGATTAAATGGGGAGTTACGTCATTTATTAAAGCTTTTGTGTATTTTTATAATCCTTTAATACTTTAAATGTGAATAACTACAAATAATTAAACTCCTCAAAGATAACAGTTATATATTATTCAAATATCATTGCCAAACATATTACTATTTATTTCATGAGCTTTTAATTCATTTTATTTTACTTTACTTTTAAATCTTATTTTTGAGATAGGATCTTGTTCTGTTGCCCAGGGTGGACTGCAGTTCAATATTGTAATCTCAAACTCCTGGGCTCAGGTGATCCTTCCACGTCAGCCTCCCAAGTAGTTGAAACTACAGGTGTTTGTCAACACCCCCAGCTAATTTTTAAATTTTTTTTATAGACAGGGTCTTGCTATGTTGCTCAGGCTGGTCTCAAACCTGTGGCCTCATGTGATCCTCCCACCTTGACCTGCCGAAGTGCTGGGATTATAAGCATGAGCTACTGTGCCCAGTCTCATGAGACTTTAAAATATGTCACTGGTACAAGTACTGAAACTGAGAATGGGAAGGTACTAAATGTGTTTGCATGGAAAGCTCTCAAAGAAGTTTCCATTTAGGTCTGGAGCTCTTTCTGTAACACTGAATCTCTAGCACCCAGCACAGTTCCTGCTACATGTTAGGTATTTGATTTTAAATCACTAATTGAATGAATAAATATAAAGAAAGTAGAAAGTAATCAATGTTGATTGTATGTAATTTAAAAGAATTTTTTCACAAATATAGAAATTTAAATGAGCTAAAACTCAGAAAAAAATGTTTTTGTGATCATAAGACACAAAATCGTACATTTGCATAATTCTTTATCACTTATAACATACCTGTAAATAATGTCACAGCTGACTCTCACAACTATATGATGAGTCAAACTGTGATTCTACCTCATAATATAAAACTAAATATATTCTAGAAGAATTAAATAATTTATGGAAGGACCCTGGTCAAGATGGTCTTAAAAAATACCTATGAAATGAGACAATTAAAAACTAGTAATAGCTAACACTAATTGGGTAATTACTATGTGTCACTCAGGGTTCCAAGCATTTGTATACAGATATATACATATATCAGGAAACCAAAAAAAAAAAAAAAAAAAAACCCAAAACTATGATGGAATAGGTGATCACCTCCATTTTATGAATGAGGAAATTGAGCCACAGAAAGCTTAATTAAGTTGCCTACAGTTCACACAGTTAAAAAAGAAATGGCCAGGATTTAAGGCCATGTGGCTTTAGAGTCACTAAGCTGTACCATGTCTCAAAGACAGAGTGAGGCTAAAAAACGATTTTTAAAAGTATGAGGCCTTGAAGAGTTTGAGGACAGGATGACAGGCATACTATGCACTAAGTAAAAACAGAACAGAAACACAAAATAGAGAATAGGGATGAAAACATAGGCTCTGGGTTTTGGGTTTGGAAGCAGACTGGTCATTCAGCTTGTGTGGAATAATAAAGAGACTAAAAGAGCTTTGTGTCAGATGGAAGATAAACATCAACTTACTGCTAAAACCATGGCTGGGGTAAGATTTCCTGACAAAATGAAGCTGACAAAAGTTGCCGGCTAATGTTGTTTGAAGCTACAATTTTTGTTAATCTATACATTTAAGGACTCTGGAGTTAACACACAGTCTTGCCACCTGGACCTTTACCAAGTAGCACACTCAGTGACTGGATCTGTGGTTTCAAAACCAGAGGGCAGATTTCATCTACATTAAACGTAAAGCCTATCCTAGGTCACCCTGGAACTAGGGGCCTGGGAGACCTGGGGCAAAGGAGATAGTTACAATACTGAAAGTTATGGAAGGGTAAGCACAAAGAAAGAGGAAAAGAAATAAAGGGAGTTAAAAGAGATGATCAGACCTTTTACTTACTCAAAAGAAGCTACCAAAAATTTTCCATAACATGCAAGGAGATCTAAAGCTAATATAGTCAATAATTGGAAGATAAAAGTGATCTGTATAGATTAAAATTATGAAAGACTGAAAAAGATTTTAAAGTGTGAGTCTCAAAGATTTGAAAGTGTGAGTCTCAAAGATTTGAATAAAGAGCTATTACTCATTAAATAAAAAAGAAATGAAACAAACACAATCTAAAATGACTTGAGAAATCCAAGAGAATTAAAATGTTAGTCATTGAAGAAATAGGGCTCTATAGATAGGATGTACTCTATTCTAGACAAAGTTGAAAAGAAAGTGAGTGGATTGGAATATCACAATCTGGAAAATTTAGCTAGATTGTAGACACAGAGATTGAAAGATAAAAGCATGTAAACCATTAAGAGACTTGAGGGTGGGGGTGGAGTTACATATTCCAATATATGTTTTATAAGCATTCCAAAAGAAGATAATGTAAAGACAGTCAGAACAGCAGTATCCAAAGGTGTAATGGCTGAAACTTTGCCAGAATTGAAGAAAAATATAATATCAAGACTAAAATTGCGCTCCAAATATTGAGTATAATGCATAAAAATAAAACTGCACCTAAACAGAGTGTAATGAAAAATGTGGGATATTATGGACGAAGAGATATTTACCTACAAGTGAAAAATGACAGATTACCTATTTAAAATATTTTAAAGACATTTCAATTAATTTTTTAAGTAGATATTAGAACCAGTGGGATAATGTCCTCATTGTACCGGGGGAAAAAACCTCAACCTAAAATTCTATGCTTTAGTTAAATATCACTTTGGATTGAATGCATTTTCATTTAATGAATACAAATGTTTAAATATCTTATGGAAAGAAGTATTAATGTTTGTATTTCACCATGAAAAAGTAAAATCCTAAGTATAGCATTGGTCAAAATATATAATGGTGAGCACAAATATTTAAAAAATCAGTAATTTTTTTGGTTTTTTTTTTTTTGAGGCCGAGTCTCACTCTGTCACCCGGGCTGGAGTGCAGTGGCCTGATCTGGGCTCATTGCAACCTCTGCCTCCTGGGTTCAGGTGATTCTCCTGCCTCAGCCTCCTGAGTAGCTGGGATTACAGGCACATGCCACCGTGCCTGGCTAATTTTTGTATTTTTAGTAGAGACGGAGTTTCACCATGTTGGCAAGGATGGTCTTGATCTCCTGGCCTTGTGATCCACCTACCTTGGCCTCCCAAAGTGCTGGGATTACGGGCATGAGCCACCGTGCCCAGGCAAAAATTCAGTAATTTTTAATCAAAGTTGATTTAGTTAAAATCAAAGACAAAATGCTGAATCCAAACCCTAACTCTAATTCTAACCCTAACCTAATCTAAATCTTATCTTAAGCAAAATTCAGGAAATAAGTTAAAAAGAAGCAAATAAAACAAGATTAGCAGAAAATACAAGTTATTGTTATGGCAATACCAATACAGAAATATATATCTCTCTCTCTGTCACATCCCCCCACCCCCCACCCCCCCCCCCCCACCAATGGGATATACTTAACAATTAAAAGTAAGAAACAACTAAAATAGTTTAAATAATAAAGAATACAACTATGTGCAATTTACAAGAGAAACATTAAAAACAAGCAGAAACAATAACAAAATTCCCAAAATATTCAAGAGTGAAAATAAAGGAATAAAATCATTAAATGCTAATTCCTAAGAAGCTTGTAGAATAGTATCAGTGTCAGAAAAAAATAATTACAGAAAAGAAATTACTAGAGTCTATTACTAAAGAATAATAAAGGGAATACTCTAGCCACAAGGTATAACTAATAAATTTATATGTAAAGACAAATGACGTTTTAAAATATTTTAAAAGTTATCATGAGTATAAAAATAAATTATTTTCCCAAATAATGGGGAAGATTGTAATACAAGTCCATCAGAATGATAGATAATGCAAAAAAGGAAAGATATACAACATTTTACCACCCCTTCAAAAAATAAAGCTTGATCTAAAATGGAAAACAGTATTTGCCAAATATATAGTATCATCAAATATATGTGAAGTATGTGATAAGCCACAAAATAAGTTTCAAGAAATGACAAAGAAGTGTTATAAAGGCCACATTTTATGACGATGATGCAATTAAATTAGAAACTAAAAATTACACCAAAGGTTTAAAAAAAAGTTTGGAAGCTAAAAGAAAAAAACACAAAATAAATTACAAGTTTGGAACTGGTGACAAACAAAACAAAAAAAAAAGAGAGAGAAAAAGGAAACTCTGCCAAAATATTTAAAGAGATTTATTCTGAGCCCATGAGAGTAACCACATGCTGGGGAAATACAGTCTCAGAAATCTTGTAAAAGTGTGCCTGAGGCGATCAGGTTACAGTTTGGTTTTATACATTTCAGGGAGACAGGAATTTCAGGTAATATAATAAACCAGTACATGGGAGATACATATTGGTTTGGCCCAAGATGGCAGGACATCTTCAAGTAGAGCCTTATAAGTCATAGGTGGGTTTTGGGATTTTTTAGTTAGCAATTGGTTGAAAGAGTTAAGCTTTGTCTAAATAGTTGGACTCAGTAAAAACAAATGCTTAGGTTAAGATAAAGGGTCTGTTATCTGTCATGTGACGCTATGCTAGAGTCAGGTTGGAAAGTAAGCCACAGTATACTGGGCTTCAAACAGGCCTCAAAAAAGCCCTATTTAACAAGATGTTAAGGCGTGTAGGCTTGACTTTACCCAGGCCATTAGAAAGGAATTTGAGCAGGAAGAAAAGCTCAGAGTTCAGTGCTCAGAATTAATCCAAATGAAGGAATTCATATTATATTTGTTGAAGGAAGCTGAAGCCATTATTAATAAAAATTTGTAATTTCAGATGCATTTTTTAAAGCGAAATTTAAAATAAATATATTAGAATTAAATTGAAGACGCTCTTTTCTACAGAATAGAAAAGGTAGAAATAATTAATATATGATGAATGAGAAGCAAAATTAAAGTTATTAAAATAATAAGAGATAACATCAACAAAATCAAAAGCCGCTCTTTGAAAAGTGTAGACAGACAAATTGAAAGGTTTGTCAAAAACAGACAAAAATAATCACAAAGAAAAAAGTCATAATTAAGCAACAACAGGGAAAAGGGGATAATTAAAAATATGGTAGAGATTAAAGAAACCACACCAAATGCTCTGAAGGACTTAATGTTCACTGTTAATTCTTCAGCAAAATGGCATTTCCAGAACAAAATAAATTTAAAAGTCAACTGGCAATAAACTTTGAAAAAATTGTCTTAAATATAACAAAAAGAAATACAAGAAATAAAGAGGAAAACCACTAAGACAATACAAATATTGCTCTTGAAATGAGACCTAGACAGAAGAAAGAATGATTAAACACCTGAAAACCTTTTCACTGACCCTAGGACTATAGTTGAGTGAAATAAATTCAAACAGTGTTTTATTTGGAGTAGATCCACTTAGCTTGGTTACCCAGCCCAAGATCACTCTAGCAGTCATAGGTTTGCTATCTCACTTTTTTTGAAGAACTGCCTCTCATTTCCTACACTGTAGCTGGTGTCCTCATAGAAATTCATCTCCCTGGATGGAGTCATTATTTAAGGGGTAGGAATCTGGCTCAGGTAGGAGCAATAAGATTACCTCCCTGTATTTTCCAAACTAATGTGAGAGAGATAAGCTATTTCCTCTCTGAATAAAAGGTTTCAGAAAATGTGTAATATGCATATACATGTGTAATCTTCCTTCTGATGCTCAGGTCTAGTACAATAAAGAAACTAATAAGAGTAAGACCATTCAGGAAGTCAGGTGGTATTTGAGTTTTGGTTCCTGCTAAATCTAAATGCCAGTTGCCAACTGCTCAGTCTGAAGTCTAGGTTTGTGAGCTGAAGAAGTAAAGGATGTATGGTCCTCAAATATGCCAAATTGGTATATTGACTATTTTGAGATAAAAACATTGGAGAAATTATAGTTTCAGAAAAAGAATGGCTGAATTGTCTTTTCTTGCATGCAGCAGGCTTTAAATATTCTTTTGCAAGGGGTGCTTTCCCAGTACCAGGGCGTGAGAAGAATTCTTATCACCAGATACTGGGACTTAGCCTTGAAATAGGCCTGAATAAATAATCTCCCCCAAATAACCCTTATCTTCCACTAGCTTTCCACCTCTCATGTATCTCCCAGTATCTCCCCTAGAACTTACTACCCTAGCCAGGTCCCCTTGTTGTGTAATTTCTTTACAAATTTATATTTTTTGTCTAAAAAATATAAAAGCATTTTCCTTTGGCCATTCCTTTGGACTTTGCTCTCTGATGAAAATCCTCATGTAAATGTAAAATTAATAAAACTTGTGTGCTTTTCTCCTGTTCATCTGTTATATCAGTTCAGTTCCTGGACCAGCCAAAGAGCCCAGAAAAGAATAAAAAGGCAGTGGGAGTGATCTTTCCCTCCTCTATAGAGCCAATGAACACCCTAATTTTGCTTAAATTAGTTTGATTTGGGGTTTTTTAATTAACATGTCCTTTTTTTCTATCAAATTAGAATAGATTTTTAATGACAGCATTGATGTTGATAAAACTGCAATACAATCAGATTTGTATTACTGGTGGATGTAGTAATTGACAACTAAAATTAACAGTTTTTGCCATGACATATGCTCAATATTTATAGGATTATTTTTTATGTGCAACAATTGTATTTTACAAATGAGGAAAATAATGCTTAAAGAGATAAAGTCACTTCCCTAAAATTACCTAGTTAGAATGATTTGGAGTGTGGATTCAAGCCCATGTATGGTTAACTGCAGAGTCCAAGATTTTATCCACTGTATTACATTTTATTTTCTCAAAACTACTAGAGTATATCACAAAAGTTTAAAAATATAGAAAATATTTCCCCATCAGGATACATTAAATAGTCAATAAGATACAAATTTGTCACATAGATGTTCCTCACACTATTATTTACAAGCTAAAACTGTAGAAACCTAAAAAATCATCAATAGATAACACATACATATATACACAAATATATAAAACTATAACATGTATAATTATATAGCTAAACTATATTTTGGCATTTCCAAATATATATGTCATTAGATAACATATATAAATATATAACTAAACTATTATAATGGCATTGCCGAAGATTATTAATGACGAAAAAATATGTAGTTCAATGAAAATAGCAGCATGCAAAATTGTCTATGTTGTATGTATACACAAAGCATATATTGAAAATAAATCAGAAATGGTTATCTTCAGGTAGTAAGCCAATGCACATTAATTTTATTTGTTCTTTTCAATTTAAAAAGTTAGATTTCATGAAATTATCATACATTAATTTTTATCATCAGAAAAATATTTTTGAATAAAGAAATAATGAAATCAAAACATCACACACAGTACCTGTCAAGTGATCTAATTTTTATTTTCTAAAATTCTGCTATGCAAAATGGGCAAGTAAGAGGGGTCATCAAGCAAATGGCAGAGACATTAAGTCCGGGAAACATCAGCTGCCTTCAATATGTGAAGGTAATGACCTGCAACTTGGTATTAAGGTATAACTATAATAAAATGTTTAGGCTCATTAGGAGGAAAATTAGTATTTCAAACATTTTTAGTACTGATACATTAGCATGTCTCTTAGGACAGGCCTATGCAGCATTAAGCAATAGCTCATTACACCATTTCCTCAATACTCTAATGGCACAAATAAAGCAAATAAATTATGGAATTAGAACGGAAAGAGAAGGTAAGATTTGGGAATGCTTAGAAAGTTCAAGTATAAAGAAGGAGGAAATATAGAGCACTGGAAAGATGTGGATAAGTTTGTAATTTTGGGTGTATACTTCTTTCCTATGCCATCATCAGTCTGTTAGGCATTAACAACTACCATATCACCAATCATGCTCCATGGATATGAGCTGGAAATCTCAAAAATAATTACCGAGCAGCTAAAGTACACAACACAGCACTACATCATTACAATAACTTGTACAAAGTGATTTATATGTACTATCTCATTTAATTCTACATCTTTATGGTTAGGTACTGGTACTGCTCAATATTACAAATGAGACAACCAAGGTTTAAGTTATTAAACTTGCCCAGAGTCATTTGGTTAGCAAAACACAGGCTCGGAATTGAAAACCTGATGCTATGGTTTGGATATGGTTAGTGTGGCCCCACTAAGTCTCATGTTGAAATATGATCCCCAGTGTTAGAGTAGGGCATGGTGAGAGATTTTTGAGTCATAGGTGTGGCTCACTCATGAATGGTTTGTTATCATTCTTGTAGTGAGTGAGTTCTCACTCTACTAGTTTCTGTGAGAGCTGCTTGTTAAAACCAGCCTGGCACTACCCCCTCTCTCTTCCTCTCTCTCACCATGTGACAGCTACACTCCCCTTCTCTACCTGTCAGCTCCCCTTCCTCTTCTGCCATGAGTGGAGGCTCCCTGAAACCCTAACCAAAAGCAGATGACAGCACCATACTTCTTGTATAACATGCAGAACTGTGAGCCACCCAAAGCTCTTTTCTTTATAAATTGCCCAGCCTCCGATATTCCTGCAGTCGGCAGACTATAGAAGCATGGCGCCAGTATCTGCTTCTGGTGAGGGCTTCAGGCTGCTTCTTTTCATGGCAGAAGGCAAGGGGAGCCAGTGTGTGCAGAGATCACATGGCAAGAGAGAAAAGCAAGAGTGAGAGAGAGAGAGAGAGAGAGAGAGACAGAGAGACAGAGAGAGAGAGAGATAGAGGAAGTTCCAGGTTATTTTTAACAACCAGCTCTTGTGGGAAATAAGAGTAGAAACTCACTCATCCCCTCCCTCAGGGAAGGCATTAATCTATTCATGAGAGATTTGCTCCCATGACCCAAACACCTCTTACTAGGTCCCACCTTCCAACACCATTACACTGGAAATTAAATTTCAACATGAGATTTGGAGGGGTCAGACATCCGAACTCCGGGACCCATGAAACCACTTAGATGCATAAACATGCATACTTTGTTATTGGGGTAAAACACACCAAAACAGCTAACAGAGCTTTAGGAGCATGTCAACAAGTACCACATGTATTAACAAAGAACAAATCAAGCAAGCAGGTGTTTAAATTGACAAGGCAGAAGAGTAACTAGAAATAAAGACAATGTATATAAAGCAACTAATATTTACTGAACTCTACTGTGACCCTGGCTTGGACCAAGAGGAAGAAAAACAATTAATATATGACCTCAACAAGCTTCTGGTTGATTGTCAGAGAGAGGAGTAACTAGGCAATTACAATAGAAGAGTTAAATGCTAGAAGTAGGTATTGTTTAGAATACAAATTGATCACCTAATTCAAGACTGTAGAATCTAAGAAAGTATCTTCTAGGAGCGGAACACTAGGATAAATTCATCAGGTGAATACAGCTTTCTGGAAATGTAATGTTTTAGATAGATGAAGATTATGGACAAATAATAGGGAAGAGAAGGCAGGAAGGTGTCATTTTTATCGAAAACGGCACAATGTCAGAGCACAAAGCAGAAATTAACATACTACTCCATGGGGAATGTGGTGAATTAATGATGAGGTTAACAATGTGTAAAAATTCCAAAGTTTCTGGAGCTCACACTGAGGAATGTAAATTTTACATATGATGTAAAAAAAGTTCTTATGTGTTTTGTACATAAATATCGATACGTTAAAGGGAATGTTGAAGGCCACTAGTCTCAGTAAGTTAAGAAGGTATTATCTAGTGCAAGACTGTGTCTCTGAGATCCTGAAAAACAAGTGAAGATTGCTTTCTTGTGGTACTCAAGTTTGTTATAAGTAAGAGGTTGACTGAATTCGGGCAAATTTGCCTCATTCTATAGAAAACCTATCTCTTCATTCATCAAACAAATATTTATGGAGCCTGTGCCGATTTTAGGTGGTGGACAAGCCTCACGGAACGGGCATGCTTCTGTAAAGAAACATACAATAAATTAAATAAATCAGTAAAATATGTGGTATGTTAAATGTTAAAAGCTATGGAGAATTTTTAAAAATGTAGACAAGGAATGTTTGGCAGACAGGGTGTTGAAATACAAATAGCCTGTCAAGACTAGGAATGTGTGACCTTTGAATTAAGACCTAATGGATTTGTGGGGCCAAGTTGTGCTGTGAGAATGAAGAGTGATTCAGGAAGAGGGAAGAGCAAGATCAAGGGCCCTGAGGCAGAAGCGCTAACAGTAAATAGGCCAGTGTAGACTTCAAAGTCTTTTCATATATGAAATCAGGAAAGAACAGGTGCTATGTGTTGAATTGATTCAAAAAGCGTGGATTTGGAGATCAGTCAGAAACTATGAGTCGTCATTAAGTCCAGACTGCTGGAAGCACAAAGGAGTATTCCCATGATTTCAACTAATATTAAGATGTTTATGACTCTTGAATCTACATCTCCAATTCACAACTCTCTCTTAAATTCCAGGTCTTTATTTCCAACTACTGATAGCATTTCTCACTTGGAAGTTCCCCACGTACCTCAATGTCATCCTGTTCAAAGCCAAATTAATCTTTTCCTCAACTTGAGCCTTCTGCTGCACTTTCCATTTCAACAAAAGGATCCAAACTCCAGGCAATCACCAGAGCTTTTTATCCCATTCTCCATCTCTTTCCTTTCCAATTCTATTCAGTTGAAATTTGCCTCCAAAAATCCCTTATTTTAGCCTGTCATCAACTCACACTGGGACACATGCAGTGAACTTCCTCACTTCAACCCTCTATCTTTGCAGGCCATTTTATTATTTATTTTATTTTATTATTATTTTTGAGATGGAGTCTCGCTCTGTAACCCAGACTGGAGTGCAGTGGTGTGATCTCAGCTCACTGCAACCTCCACCTACCAGATTCAAGTGATTCTCCTGCCTCAGGCTCCGGAGTAGCTGGGATTACAGGCATGCATCATCACGCCTGGATAATTTTTGTATTTTTTAGTAGAGAATTTTCGTCACGTTGGCCAGGCTGGTCTCGAACTCCTGACCTTAAGTGATCTGCCTTCCTCGACCTCCCAAAGTGCACAGGCGTAAGCCACCACACCCAGCCTTGGAAGGCCATTTTTACAGCAAAGTTTCTCAAATAGAGGTGATTTTTTCTTCCCAGAGGACTTCTGGCAATGTCCAGAGACATCTTTGATTTCGCAACTAGAAAGTGCCCCTGGAATTCAGTTGATGGAGGCCAGGGATGCTGATAAAAGTCTTATAATGCACGAAATAGCCCCCACCTCCAACAGGGAATTACCAGTCCATAAAATCAGTATTGCCAAACCTTGCTCTATGCTAATGGTAGGTTTTTTTTTTATTATTATTTATTTATTTTTTTTATTTTATTTTATTTGAGATGGAGTTTCACTCTTGTTGCCCAGGCTGGAGTGCAGTGGCACGATCTCAGTTCACTGCAACATCCGCCTCCCAGGTTCAAGTGATTCTCCTGCCTCAGCCTCCCCAGTAGCTGGGATTACAGGCGTCTGCCACCACGCCTGGCTAATTTTGTATTTTTAGTAGAGACGGGGTTTCTCCATGTTGGTCAGGCTGGTCTCGAACTCGCGACCTCAGGTGATCCGCCCGCCTAGGCCTCCCAAAGTGCTAGGATTACAAGGCATAGGCCCAGCCATGACAGTCATTTTTAAATGCAAATTTGAGACTCTCAAATGTAAATTTGACCTGCCTCCTTCCTGCCTATCATCTTCCTTAAATTTCCCCATATGTTACTCTATTGGCTATTCCTCAAATGCACCAAGTCCTCATGCTTTTCTTCTTAGTTTCCACTGACTGGGATACTCATTCCTTATTTATTTTTCTGGTAAATATCAACCATTCTTAAAACTTGGCTCCAACACAACTTCTTCTAAAGTCCTCTAAGTGACACAATGTATTCCTTCTGTTGCTTCCATAAATTCATGTTACAAAACTGCAATCTCTTATATACATGCCCGTCTTTTCATTCTAGACCATTGTTTAATACATGTGGCTACTGAGTACTTTAAATGTAACTACAGCAACTGAGGAACTGAAGTTTCAGTTTTACTTATTTTTAATTAGTTAAAAATCTCCTCATGTAGCTAGCACCTATCACATTGGACATTTTAGATTAAAAATCATCTTTTTATTACAGAAAGTTCTATTGGACAGTACTGTTCCAGATCATTTACACATTCAGTTTTGGGTTTATATTATATACTTAGTAAATATTTGAACAAATGAATGAATGAATCATTATTTCCATACCTGGAAAGTCAAAGCAAAACTTCTCATATTTGCAATAGAACTCTTTCAAGAATTATACCCGATATACCCACTGATTATTTTTAAAGTCTTTATTTTTTTTAGAGCAGGTTTAGGTTCTGAGCAAAATTAAGAGGAAAGTATGAAGATTTCTCATATGTCCTGTCTCCCCTACACATGCATAGCATCTCACACTAGCAATATCTGCCACCAGAGTGGTACACTTGTTACAATTGGTGAACCTACATTAGCACATCTTCATCATCCAAAGCTCACAGTTTACATTAGGGTTCACTCTTGGTGGTGTACGTTCTATGGGTTTAGACAAGTGTAACCATCATTATAAGAGTATTTTCACCACCCTAAAAATTGTCTATGCCCTGTCTATTCATCCCTCCCTCCCTCCAGCCCCTGGCAACCACTGATCTTTTTACTGTTTCTACAGTTTTGCCTTTTCCAGAATGTCACATAGTTGGAGTCATACAGTATGTAGCCATTTTAGAGTGGCTATTTCACTTAGTAATGTGCATTTAAGTTTATGCCATCTCTTTTCATGGCTTAATAGTTCATTTTTTTTTTAAGTCCCGAGTAACATTCCATTGTCTGGATGTACCATACTTTCTCTATCAATTCACCTACTGGAGGACATTTTGGTTGCTTCCAAGTTTTCACAGTTATGAATAAAGCTACTCTATGTGGAGGTTTTTGTGTAAATATAAGTTTTCTCCACTGACTTTTAGTTAGCCACTTTTGGCACTTATAACATGTTACCTTATACAAACAAATAGTTACCTACTTTGTGGATAGAGTTTGATTTTTTTTTTTTTTTTAATTTTGAGTTAGGGTCTTGCTCTGTCACCCAGGTTGGAGTACAGTGGCATGATCACAGCTCACTGTAATCTCAAACTCCTGCTCTCAAGCCATCCTCCCACTTCAACTTCCCGAAGCAACTAGGACCACAGGTGCATGCCAATATGCCCAGCTACTTTTTTTTGGTAGAGATGGGGTCTCGCTGTGTTTCTCAGACTGTTGTCAAACTCTCAGAAGTTTGAGCTACCACACCTAGCCTAGTTTATCAAGAAAAAGGACTAGATCTTTACTTGTTTGAATCTCCCACGACACCTAGCATAATGCTTATTTTGCAGATGCCAAATTGAAAGCACAGTCCTGAAGGAATTGAATATAGACTGGCCCAACTTCCTGGCTGCCAAATACGATGCAAAATTAGTGGATTTCTGAAGGTGAAGGGGAGAAGAAGGTTTAATAAATCACAGAGAGTCTTTCTACTCTAAAGACAATTTTTGAAACTAACGTTTTATTCAAGGAGAAATGGAAGTTCCTTACATGGCATATGAAATTGATGCATTCTCCCTCTGGCAGTGAGCCTCTTCTAAAAGCACTAAAAAAATGTTCTGACTCTCATGTGAGTTTACTTCATTTTCAGTGTCATTATTGGCATTATTTCAGATATTCATGTATGAGATCTTTGTCTTATAGGCCCTTGGTGTTTTCTGCCGATGTGACTTGTCACATTGCAGCAATATCTTTTGATATATTTACATAGTAACATACTGTAATGTCAAAGCAGGGCAGTAGGGTTTCTGGAATATGAAGAAATAAAACCAAAGAGATATGAAGTAAAAATTGAAGCTTACTACTCCACATCTGAAGAGCGAGTGGTGTTAAATTTTTACAGTTTGGCATCACTCTGTATGTCAGAAGAAAGATCTCAGGTTTGCTGTGGTGTTTGCTAGTGTTAAAGCATGCCTCTGGCCAACAGACAAAATGAAGTCTTCATGGCTGACTGAGGTTCTCAAAGTTAATACAGAACCAGGTGGCCACAGCCAAGTGAGGGAGCTGTGTTCTCAGAAAGTACTCCATGTTCTCAGAAAGGTGTTGTAAAAGTGTCACAAAACCTCCCTTTCTGTGATTAATCCAAACCAGTTTCTGTTGTTGTCAAGATAAACTGTGGCCACGACCCTCAAACTCTCACACCGGCTGCTAGAGACTTCCAGTTTGGGGCTTGGAAGCTTGCCAATCAGGGCTTATCTATTTCAACCAATCAGAACTGAATAAGTTTGAATGCTTCATTTGCATAAATGGATTTGGTTGAGAACTGGGGTGAGAATTTTCTCTATTGAAGCCAGACCCCCACTTTGTTCATTGGAAGGCACGCTCACTTGTATTGTAGGCTATGCCTCCCCAATTTGAGATTATTGTTAAGAAAATAAAGCTCTTCTTTTCTCCTCTACAGATCTCATGGTTTTTTGTTAATACCGGTAAGTATTGAGTCACAAAGAATCTTTCAGAGTTCAGAAAAACCAGGTGTTGAAAATAAATCCTTGCTTCTCTAAAAAGCCTTATAAGTCATGCATTCATAGTCTATAGTTTTTCTCAATTTCAAAAGGAAAATGTTAGTGATTATCAATATATTTCTGAAAGATAATATAAAAGTTGTCCAGATCAAAGTATTCCATGGAATAGAAAAGTAAAGTCTTGAGAAATTAAGGGATTTGTCTAAGCCTTCGCATGAAATTCATGGTCCAAGCAGAACTATAATTAAGGTCTTCTTCAAACATACTGCCAACTTTTATTTTGTATAGGAGGAAGGGCTAACTATAAATGTTAAAAATAATGCTATTATTATTACAATTGCATATCTTCTGGTGAAATCTGTTGACACTTAAAAACAGATGCTAAAAAAGACTTCCAGTCACAATGGAGTCAAAGGGATCAGGTATATCCTCCTGCCTGAAACAACCAAAAACCTGGACAAAATATAGAAAACAATGGTTTACAAGACACTGCATATTAGGTAACAAAGGGCAATAATCATCAAGAGATGAAAACGAATGAAGTCAGCCAGAGAAGACTACGTTGACATACTACCTTGACGATTTCTATCCCATAACACAAGGACAGGGAACTGAAACAAAGCACAGCAGACTCCCTAATTAAAGAAACGAAGCTGAGGGTCCAGGGATGCCAAGGCAGGTAGAATTTGCGAGGCAGAGTGTACAGAAGAGGTGAGGTGAGAGTTGCACAGAGAAAACCCTGGAGATCTGCAGAGAAACCTCCTCTAGTATTTAGCTCAGTAATGATTGGCATATGACTGTGAGGAAATTACTTAGGGGCCTAGGAAGAACTACCTGAAATGATTAGAGGGAACACGAAAAGATGTTCAGATTACACTGGGAAAGTGAGGACTGCCCTAACAGACAGAATGAAAAATTTCAAGATTTGAGGTCACTGGGTAGATTAGAAGACAAAGAAGGGGTACTTCCCCGCTTTAGTAGCGGGGAAGTAATTAGCCCTAGTTTGAGCACTGCTTCTTTCCCACCTAACAAATCTGGAAGTACTAACCAGTTTCTAAGTAACTTGACAGCATTCCAGAACAAAGTTCAAGACTATTTGTAAAAATACAAAATATCTAGCATCCAACAAGGTAAACTTGATGAATTTATGAGGCACTAGGTAATATCACCATATTACATATGAGAAAATTTAGGCTACTTCTAATTCACACAACTGGTAAGTGATAGTTGGGATCTGAAACTAAATCTGGTTGAATTGAAATCCGTTAGATAAGAAGACAGGAATAAATTCATATGTAAATCAGATTAAAGATATTTCTTTGGAGTGTTTTCATTCAATTTGGATGCATATTAATTGATTTTGGCACAGCAATCTTGGAACTGGCCAAAGTTGAGGGTAAATATAAGAAGGGTTAGGGGACAGTGGAGAAGGTTGTGGCTCACTAGTGAGCATAACCAGACAATGAAAAGCCTTGAGTAGAGCTTAGAGTTTTAAAATCTCTCTTGTTGCTTTCTCAATTAAACTGAGAAATATAAGATTTAACTAAAACATGCCAATAACTCTCCCAACCAATCTTAAAGCAATCATAATATGACACATATGCACAATTAATGTGGCCACCCAACTGGGCAATTCACATACACACAGATAGACATATACACAGGATGTACTTTCCTGAAATGATTATAACTTGAGAGGTTTTCCCCCTGCCCGTCAGCTTATTTTCTTCTGAACAACTATTTTTAAATGAGGCACTTATGCCATAGTTATTTACATTTGAATGAAGCCTACACTGATAATTTTACTTCCTAAAACAACCCATGATGATGGGTGATTCAACTTGAGAATTAAAGGACATTTAAGTGCTTTAAAATATCAATTTGCCAAATACTAAATTCTACCACTTTTTAATACATTTAATCAAGCTGCTCTAACCCACCCTTTTTTCTAGAACAGTCTGTTTCTATCTCACCACTGGTCTACTTTTTATTTTGTTATAACAAACTGACCAAAGAAATTTGTACATACTTTAAGATGATGAAACTTCTTTTATAAAGAGTTTTGAAAACATGATTAGTCATTCATTAAGTATCACCCAGACAAGCTTTCCCTGCCAGAATGGCCTAGTGCCGGGTGAGGGTGTGTGGTGAGGAAGAGGACAGGACTGATGCAGTAGGGAAAAGGGTAAGACATGATTCTAGATCTTCATGAGCTATGGAATCATCCTGGCTAATTTGTAATCCTCCTAAACAAAATAAAATGCATTGCCATGTAAATTTACATTTTGGAAATATTTACAGATAAAAATGAAATACATACAGGTGAATCTTTGATTTAACACAATTGAAAATAAATATTGTGTTTTCCTTCCAAACTCTCCTCCTCCTTGGATAGACCAGTATTCTGTTTGTTAACCTGTAACTCAGCTCACTCCCACTCTGCTCTTTCCATCTACCAGATAAAGAAACACAGCATTCCTTTTGGGGTTTGAAAGGAACAGCATGTGATATTGTTGGAGTAGTTTTTGCATAAATTTACATAAGAAACTGAACATCACTGGACCCCCTGAAGAGTAAAAGCTAGCCACAGTTGATACTGCACTTGAAATAGTAAACCAGGGATGACAATTTTAATGAGGCAGACACTTAATTTCATTAATCTGTTGTCCTTTATCCAGGGAGGAAGTCAGTCCTTTTATATTCTCCAAGATATGAAAGGCAGAGGGCAGGGATTGACAATTAGAGAAGCACTAGATTTCTGCAGCAGTGATTAGAGGTCAAAGAGGGATTTGGAATCCTGAATGTCCATATTAGCAGCTGACATAGTGGCAAACTGCAAAATTCCATCAAATCTATTTCTTTTCCCTTGTGGGAAAAAATATTTTTATCTACTGAATTCAGTTTCACAAACACTTACAGAGAACTTACTACAAAAAATTTACAACTTCAGATTTCTAGTAATTTCAAAATAATCATTTCTTAAGTACTTGGGGATAATCCTTTTAAAAATATATATGTATGTTTTATACACCATAGAGAAATAAAACAAATCATCTAGCAAAGATGAGAGCAATGTGTTAATTACTATTGTTAACAACAATGTACTTTTGCTGTTTGATCATTGCAGAAGATATTACATGATGTAGATACACAATCTGTAAGATCTGTTTATTTATTGTGATAGTAACCTAAGGTGTTCCTCAATTTGGCAAGAGTCTTTTAAAGTAGCTAATTATTATTGATTAATATAGTGCTCACTGCAATAACATTGCTGGGATAACCTGCAATGGATTTATTTTCTCTTAATATGTGCATAAGTACAGTCACATAAATTCAGAGAAGTTCCATTATATACATAAAGTTGATAATATATGAATAGGGTTGTGTCATCATAATGTTTACAATACCAAGATTCATGTTGATGACCATAAACCAGGCCTGGCTGTTGCCACTGTTGGAGCTCAGAACACGACACCCTGAAGTATGGCTCCTTGGTGTGCTGAATACTTTGAAATGAAGGAAATTGGAAGGGCCTCTGACCTTCTCCACCTTCCTGTCTTCCGACCCTCCTTCTCCCATGAATGAGTCATAGAAACCAGAACTCCTCTTCCCTAAGGCGAGTCATAGAAACGGAAACTTCTCTCCCCCAAAGAAAGCCATAAAACCTAGGAAGCTCAATCCATCCCTTCTCCCTTCTCCCTTCTCCGTAAAGCCTAGCAAGCTCACTCCATCTCTTCTATTTTGAAGACGTGATTCGAGGTGGGACCTGCCCCATTGCCAGGTGAAAGAAATGCTATACAGAAACGCCAAAAAAAAAAAAAAAAAAAAAAAGGAAGGAAGGAAGGAAGGAAGGAAGGAAGGAAGGAAGGAAGGAAGGAAGGAAGGAAGGAAAGAAGGAAGGAAAAGAAAGTCAGGCCTTACTGGATTTCTTCCCTCGGTCTATTACCATTAGATTATATTCTTTTGCCCAATCACATTTCTACGTGATTGTCCATTCTTCATTAAATCTAAGCATCAAAATAGACAATTTTCCCCGGGTCTTTTAAGTTTTCATTCCTGAAGGCTCCCATGTCAAGTAAAACCCTGATTAAATACATTTGTTATACTTTTCCCTTGTAAACCTGTCTTTTGTTACAGGACTTTTGGCTATGATCCTTAAGATGGGTGAGGAAAGGTGCCATATCTTTCTTCCTGTACTTCATATTGAAGTGACTTGATAAAATATCCAAAATCTATAATTTGATTTATAAAAACAGATTACAGGGTGGAGCTATATATATTTAACTAAAATGTAGAGCCTTTTTAAGAATTATTTCTAACAGACTGTCCTTCTGTTTGCTAGCCTTATTTTTTCTTAGAAATTCTACATTTTTTTTCACTAGTAAAACAATCATATTTCTTTGAAGATATGGAATTGTATCCATAATACCCTGGAGAGGGCGAAGTTACAACCTCACACATCCAAAAAAGTCTGTTTTTACCATTTTAGGTATACAAAACATAACATGATAGAAAAGCAATTCATAATGTAATGACTTGATTTATTTCATAACTTTGTATTTCAGTCTGTAAAAATTGAAAACCAGCTATTCCTTAGAAAAAAATTCTATCCCTCAGACTAAAAAGAGAACATTTTAAATGACTGCAGCCAATTCCAGTATCAAGCCTCATGAAAAAGAAACAGAGTGTATACTTAAGATTCTCTGTGGTCCTAACTTTCTCCAGCTCAGGTGGAATAAGGGATCTAAATGCAACCAGGTATTAAAGTTAGAAACAAAAGGTTCTTTCACTTCACAACCACCCAAATAACAAGTCAGGGAATATTTGCTAAATCTTAAAAAAAAAGAAAACATATATAAAAACTTGAATGGTTTCAGAAAAAAATTCAATGAATTTAGGTTTCTGAATGCAATCTAGGTAGCAGATTAAATTCCTTTAGTTAGAAAACTGTTGAGTGTTTAGGTCTAGCTATTGAGTAAATGGCAGAGCAAGGTGATGATGCACATGACAGCCCAAGGGCAAGGTGAAAGGTGCTCCAGGAAATTCCAGCCCATCCTGCTGGAAGATGTACCTTTTAAAACAGTTTCCCTGCAGAGCCACTTGGTATACAAATTAAATCTCTTCCAGAGAAAGGGCAGACTCTCTTGTTCTGCCCGTGGTTTTGCATGTTAACTAACAGTCACTTCTTCAAGTATGGACTCACAGGGTCACATTCATCCACCAACATACAATTAAGTGGGGAAAATTACATTAAAGGGGATAATCAAGTTTTCTTGTAATTGTGCTTATGAGTAAATTGGTGTGACAATTATTTTTGCTCTAATTATGTGCTTCAAAAACAATGTTTCATGCATTAGACATTATCCCTGTTATGTAAAACAATCTTAAAAATTCATGCTGTTTATCATACATGTAGTTTTTTATACTTTTTAAATCACATGCAAATTAAGACTGGCTATAATAAATCCTAATTAGAGAGGAGTGTATCATTTTATGTTGATATTTTCACGTTACTTAGAACAATTTCGTACTGTGAAACCTGTTTAAATGAGATTTTACTGTATTGGAAGACCAGTTGTCTGAGTGGTCAAATATCCTGATCAGTGACATTATTTCTTATAAAAAAATAAAATATTTTGAACTAGTTTTGGCAGTCATATGCTCAAAACAATCATGGGGAGTCTGCAAAGTATATTAAATTTCAAAATAAAATTTAAAATCAATGATAGAAAATAAATTTTGTTGTGTCACAGCAAACATGGTCCTATGTCCTCTTAAATATCCCTTCAGTTCTGACCTACAGTGACTTTCTGACACTTCCTAGTCAATGAATATTTATTGATTAGTGCTTCTATACTGAGAATTATGCTAAGAATTCTAGGGTTAAAAAAACTTAAGGTATTAGTCACATAAAAAAATCCATTACAAACTTCTCATAGCTGGGTTATCTTTGTATAGGTGACATTACCAATCAGTTATCTATATGATTCAAGATATTCCACCTGTTTAATCTATTCCTAGTTCACTCTATGTGTCCCGATTTTGCTATTCCTCCACGGGACCATGTTGTCACCACTTCAGGAACTTGGCCTCTCTTATTGCCTATGCTTGAGTTATCTTCCTTCAGAACTTTTAGGATTTCTTTATTCTCTCAGAGAATCTCTCTCTGATCATTGCATTTTAAGCCCCAACTCTCACCTTATTGCTGTTTTCTACCTGATTGATTCTTGATAGGTAGCACTTCATATTCCTGAGATTATTCACTTATTTACTGGTTTATTGTCTCTGATTATTAAGAGAATATAAGGTTCCTGAGGACAGGACTTGGTATTTTTCATTGCTGAACTCTCACTATTTAGATTAGTGCCAGGACACAGTTGATGTAAAGGGTTGCTAAGTAGAAATTTCACTACTGAACTGTTTTCATATATGCCAAAAGGTTTTAAAGTTATCCAAAGATACATATATAGAAAACAAACGATTGATTTTTTTTGGTCAAAGAGGAAATGTCAAGAAATATGACATAATTATGTTGCTTTCAATTTTCATAGACCCATCAACAAAATGACAAATGTATGAAATGAACTCCATTTGACTATAGGAGTGATTGGAGGTTAAAATTTGGGGGTGGTGCAATAGAATCTTAAATGTATCATTTTTATCTGTAGTCATTTACAGTATTAGATTTCTAACACCAAAACAAAGTAGAAATAAAGATAGAATACTTCTATTAATTTATTATAGTTACCTTATATTCTAATTAATTTTTTTAATGGCTGCTTATACAAATGCTTTTCTTTTGCTTTACTTTTTTAAAGCGTTTCACTTTTTACTAGAAATTATTTTCTTTCCAAAGTACAAAAAGTATTAAGGCAAAAAGTTAATTTCATAAAATATTTAGTTTAAAAAATCACATAGTATAGGATGGGCTTGAGATATAAAATTATTTTTTGAATATGTAGGAATATTGACATAATTTAAATATTTTCTAAAATAAAAATGGAGATTACATATGCCTTAATTTTATATTCTATTGTTGTTTCCAATTTCCTTGGATAGACAGAACCTGCTTTAGTGTTTTTCACCACACATCTAAAAGTTTTGACTTATGCATCATCTTGGTGCAGTAATGAATAAGAACTGACATCAAATATCAATATTATTGGCCCAGCTAAATGGTAGTTGACATCAAGGTGGATTGCTGGAAAAGTAAGCAAAATTGAAATAATTTTGGTGCATAAATACTGCCTGACATCATTTGTCCTTCAGGGGATCAATCACTGTATGACCTAATTGTTGTTTGCATTTCTTTATATAAAATGGCCAGAGATTGATATTGAGTGCTTGCTGTTTGAACTTAGGTAACAAACAAAATTGAGAAATCAGAAATTCAACTTCCTTTGCTAAAGTGGAGACAGGATCACTTTTTTAGGTAGGCAATTGCAGTTTTTTGTTTATCACTGGTTTTTTAAAAAGGTAATGTGAATTGATGCATTTATGTCTACTTACCGGCAACTTAGGAAAAGCAATTAACCTATCTTAGATCAAATTTAAAACATTTAACTGCCTAATTATTGTATAACATATCCAGATATAAAAGAAACAAAATACTCCCTCTGAAGTTTATACCTATTTTTTTAGTAGGATTTAGCTCAGGTTTCATACAGTTACACATTCTTTTTTAGGATAATTTTAACATTTTATGTTCTTGAACTTTGCTTAAGTGCAAAATATGTATGGCAAGTTTATGTTTACACTACTATTATGTTATAGAAAATTAAATTATAGACTATAAGGAATTTATATTATACATATTTGTGTGTGATTATTTTTTATTTACTTCTACTTATTTGAAAACAAATGGCTAGAAAGGAACATTATCTCCATTAACAATAGTACAGGTTGAGTATGCCTTATACAAAATTCTTAGGAATAGAAATGTTTGAGATTTCTGACTTTTTAAAAATTTTAGAATATTTGCATATACATAATGTAATATCATGGGGATAGGACCCAAGTCTAAACAAAACATTAATTTATGTTTCATATATACCTTATACATACAGACTGAAGGTAATTTTATACAGCATTTTAAATAATTTTATACATGAAACAAAGTTTGTGTACACTAAATTAGCAAAAAGCAAAGGTGTCAGGTGTTGAATTTTCACCTTACGGTGTCATGTTTTGGATTTTGGAACATTTTGGAGTTTAGATTTTTGGATTAGAGATGTTCAGACTTTAGTAATAATAATAGCAGTAGTAGCAGTAGTACCATCTTCTAGTTACTAAGCACTATTTAAAACACATTGTATGTATTATCTAATATTCTCTGTTCTTTTGTCACTCATTTTAAAGATGAGCTAAATAATTTGCTCAAGATCATATGTCTTATGAATAGCAAAGCCAGAATCCGAAAAGTACCAATAGGAGAAAAATATAACTGAAATTGGACAATTGTACAGAGACTCCAAAGGCATGGTAAACTATGATGCCACAGTAGCTTTCTAAGGAACAGCGAATCTGTCCTGATAATTAAATAACTTTAGTTTGCAGCTAAGCATCCGCAGAATTTGGAAGCCTAATCAAGTTGAAATAAATAAGATCTAATGATACAATGCTATAATGAAAGCCTTGTGCTTATATTTGTTCCGAATTCAGCATTCATTTATTTATTCATCTCCTTTTATGAATATTAAATATGTAAAACAAACTATGCTACATAGTGGAGATATTGGGTAAAATGAAATTGGAAATATCCTTTTCTTATTTCTTTTCCCTGAATTCTGGTGTAGAGAGATTTTTGAAAAAAGTAAACAGACAAAAATCCCCAAGACAATTGCTAGCTATGACGGAGAGTTCTACTTCTGCATCTAGATGAATAGAATAATATTTATTAAGATGACATAATGGAGAAAGGAATCAGTGTGGATTATGGGAAAGCAAGTTTCATTTTTAACATATTTTAATGAGATATCAGATGTTTAGGCTGAGTTGCAAAATGACTAATGGTAACTTTGGGGGTCAGAGTGGGATTTACTTGAAAATCATCATCATATAAATAAAATTAAAAGTTACAAGTTTAAATAATATGAATTATAAAGAGAATCTGCTAGATAACAGGATTTAAGATTGAGCCTTGATACACTATAATATTTAGCAGTCAAGTAATAAAGTAGGATCCAGCACAGTAGATTGAGAAGCGGTGCCTGTGGATATTTTATTTCTCAGGGCTCAAGAGAGGAGAACATTTTAAGTGACAATGAAAATTACTCATTGGGTACAACAATACAGAGCTCAAGAAGAGTTTCAGTGAACTTTTTGATTTGGAATTCATATTGGAATAGTTGAGGTGAAAATGCTAGTGCAGGTTTCTAGGAAACAAGGAAATATAAGATAATGAAGAAATATTCCTGCCACTCAAAATTTATAGAAATTATAGATCAAAAAGTAAAAAAAGAAATTAATATATGCCTAAAATCAAACTAGACATAATGAAACAAGGATGGACAAAGTTGAAAAGAATCTAAAATACTACATTTCTATAAGAAATGTAGTAATTGAAATAGAAAAACTCAGTAGAAAGAATAAAATTAAACAGGATTCAGCTAAAGAAAGATTGATTTATAAGACAGTTGGGAAGAAATTAATTGGGATGCCACACAAAGTAGTAAAGCACAGGAAATATAAAAAGAAACATGAAGTGAATGAGAAGATTCAACAGAGATATAAAAGGAATTCCTAAAAGAGATACTAGAGAGAATTGACAAAACACAATATTTAATAACATAATGGCTGAAAAATTTCCAGCATTGTAGAAAGACAAAAGTGCTCATATTGAGAAGACACATCAAGTCCAGAGAAAAACAAAAAAGAAGCAAATCTACATGTAGACACAGCATAGAAAAATTAAAAGCTAAATATGCAAGATATTAAAATGTATGAGAAAGATCCAACCTTATCTACAAAGGATCAACTATTAGATTTATAGTTGATTCTCATCAGCAACAATAGTGACAGAGGAAATAACAGAATGAAAATAAAATAATGACATTTCCAGATATACAAAGACCAAAAAAAGTTTACTACCCACACACTTTCCCTGAAAGAACTATGAGAGACTATCGTTAGCAAGATAAAATGAAACCCTGCAGGAAGGAGAGAAAAGAAAGAAATTAGTTATAGGCAAAGAAATAATAAAACATATTGGTATATCTCATAAATATCAAAGATTTACATGACTAATTTCAAGATGAGACTAGAATGCAAAATAAAAATAAGGAAAAATGGAAAAGTCCAGCAAGAGCTTCTAGAAGGCCCTATGGAATGTCCATCCTAGTAAGACTTAGGTCAACTTCCTGGAAATTTGAAGTCAGGTGAGGCTCCCTGCTCATTTTCCTGCCACGTATTATTTACAGTTTTTGTTTTTATTTTTTCCTTTAGATTGAATTTTCTGTGGCTATTAATAATTTTCTGGAAATTACTGTCATCTTCCTTTTTTGGTTTTGGCTTTGCTTTATAAAAATGACTTAATAAGTAGCTTTTATAGTTCCTTAAAATGTCTCATGACAGATTACTTTAAAAGGAGGTTTAAAATAAATATCTACTTCCAATGGAGAAATCAAGGAGAAATTAAGACATCCGAGCTCTAATACCATAAGAGAATTAAAATTCAATTTAACAAATAAAATTCAATTCAATAGTTTTTCAGGGCCATATATAAATATTGTTTATTGCCTATCTGTTTCTGTGAATCTTTTTTAAAGATGTATTTTGTTTTTCATTGACATGTAACTACATATTTATGGATACAATGTGATATTTTGATACATGGGTACATTGAGTAATGCTCAAATCAGGATAATTATCATATCTATCACCTCAAACACTTGTCATTTCTTTATGGTAAGAATATTTGAATTTCTTAGCATTGTAGTATATTTTAATGTCAGGTAGTATGATACCTCCAGTTTTTTTCTTTATTCTCAGGATTGCTTTGGCTATTTGCAGCCTTTTGGTTCCAAAAAGATTTGAAATTTTACTTCAATTTTTATAGAGAATGTCATTAGTATTTTGATAGAGATTGCACTGAATTTGTAGATCACTTTGGGCAGTATGGACATTGATATGGTTTGGCTGTATCCCCTCTCAATTTCCTCTTGAATTGTAGTTCCCATAATCGCCATATGTCTAGGAGGGATGGGTGGGAAGTAATTTAATCATGGGGGCGGTTACCCTCATGCTATTCTTGTGATAGTGTGTGAGTTCTCAAGAGATCTGAAGGTTTTACAAGGGGCTTTTCCCCCTTTTGCTCAGCACTTCTGCCGCCACCATGTGAAGAAGGATGTGTTTGATTCCCCTTCTGCCATGATTTTAAGTTTCCTGAGGCCTCCCCAACGATGTGGAACTGTGAGTCAATTAAACCTCTTTCCTTTATAAATTATTCAGTCTCAGGCAGTCCTTTATAGCAGTGTGAGAAGAGACTGATCCAGATATTTTAACAATATTAATTCTTCCAGTCCATGATCACAGGGTATCTTTCCATTTATTAGTGTCCTCTTCTATTTCCTGTCATCATTATTTTGTAGATTTCATTGCAGAGACATTTCATGTTTTTGTTTAAACTTATTTCTAGATTTTTTGTAGTTATTGTAAATGGGCTTCTTTGTCATATCTTTTTTGGAGAGTTTGCTATTGCATATAGAAATGTTACTATTTTTTATTGATTTTGTGTACTCCATCTTTACTGAATTTATTAGTTCTAACAGTTTTTCAGTGGGGTCTGTAGAGTTTTCTCTATATAAGATCATATCATCTGTAAAAAGAGACAATTTGTCTTCCTCCTTTCCAATTTGGATGCGCGTTATTTCTTTTTGCTGCCTAATTGCTCTGGCTAGGACTTCTAGTGCTATGTTGAACAGAAATAGTAAAGATAGGCATATTTGTCTTAGTCCAGATTTTAGAGGAAAAACTTTCAGCTTTTCCCTATTTAGTATGATGTTTGTAGGTTTCTCATATATGGCCTTTATTGTGTTGTGGTATGTTGCTTCTATACCTAATTGTTCAGGGTTTTTATTATAAAGGGATTGTGAATTTTATTGAATGCTTTTCCCATGGCTAATGAGATGATCATATAATTTTTGTCTTTCATTCTGTTAATGTGATATATAACATTTATTGAATTGCCTATGTTGAATCATCCTTGCATCCCTGGGATAAATCTCATTTGATGATGCTGAATGATCTTTTCGATGTGCTGTTGGATTTGGTTTGCTAGTGTTTTCTTGAGAGTTTTTGCATCTATGTTCATCAGGAATGGTGGCCAATAGTGTTGGTTGTTGTTGTTGTTGGGTCCTTGTCTGGTTTTGGTATCAGGGTAGTGCTGTTCTCATAGGATGAGTTAGTAAGAACTCTATCCTCTTCAAGTTTTTGGAATAGTTTGAGAAACATTGGTATTAGCTCTTTTTTTACATGTTTGGTAGAATTCAGCAGTGAAGCCTACTTCTGAGCTTTTCTTTGACAGGCAACTGTTGTAGGATCCTGTAACTTCTTTATTTTTATTCTTTTCTCTTTTTCCCTTCTGACTGTATTTTCAAATAGCCTGTCACCAAGCTTACTAATTCTTTCTTCTGTTTGATCAATTCTGCTGTTAATGCTCTCCACTGTGTCTTTTATTTCATTCATTATATTTTTCAGCTCCAGGATTTCTGTTTGATTTTTTAAAATTTCAATCTCTCTATAAAATTTCCCTGATAAATTTCTCAATTGTTTCTCTATATTTTTTGAAGTTTGAGGAGCATCCTTAAAACAGCTATTTTTGAATTCTTTGTCTGAGAGATGACACATCCCTGTCACTTTAAAATCAGTGTCTGGTGCCTTATTTTCTCTCTTTGGTAAGGTAACATTTCCCTGAATATTACTGATAATAGTGGACATGTGACAATGTCTGCATTTTGAAAGACTGGGTATTTGTTCCAGTCTTCACAGTCTGGCTTTACTGTGCCTATCATTTTTCAGAGCGTCTTCCAGAGATCTAAAAATACTAATTGTGTTCCCTGAGCCTGTGATCACTGAAGTTGTCTTAGCACTAGAGGAACCTCTCAGCCCAGGTTTGCTGTGAATCTCACAAAGGTTCCAAGGATGACATGGCTCTCTGTCCTAGATGGACCTGGGGAAGACTTAAGGAGGGTCCCTAGGCTGTTGATGAAAGCTGAGCAGGAACCTAAGACTGAAATATTTTCCAGTGGCCCACACAGGTGTGCTTCCCAGCAGGTCTCTGCGCAGTGGAACTGTGTCCATACAGGTGTGCTTCCCGGCAGGTCCTGCACAAGTGGTCTGGGCCCTCTCAGGATCTGCTGTGTGACAGCAGCTGACGAACCTGTCTCACTGGCCCACGTGAGTGTGCAATTCCCAGCAGGTCTTTGCATAGACAGCATAGTTCCCCAAAAGTAGTAAGGGGAGCTGGAACTGAGTCTGGTGCACCTCAAAATCTGCTGTGAAATGGAGGTTAGTGAACTCATTATGGAGGCTTAGACTCCCAGGTTGAGAGAATATGGGCAAGTCTCCTTCTGTATCCTTGTACAAGCAGTCCTCATGTGGAACCTCAGCTGAGGGAGGCTAGTGCCAAGCCAAAGAACAACTTTCAGTTTCAGTGTGAAGACCACTGTCATTGAGCAGACAAGTCTCTTCACTGAGGCAGTAGTCTGTGTGGTTCCTCTTGGATGCCTGGGCAAATGGTTTTGGCACAGGTTTAAGGCCAAACAAGGATCTAGCCAAGCCCTTTGGGAAATGAGGTTATTCCTAGGCTTGAACCTGGGAGCATAATCAGCAGATCAGCTACGTGGGTGCTGGTCTGTACTCTCAAAATAATCCTCCTAAGTCTTGGGCTCCACTGGGGCTCTGCAGCCTCCTACCTGAATCCTGAAACTCCTGCTGATAGACTTTTGTCTGTGGATGGGTGCAGGATTCTTGTGGGCGGAGATAGGAGGGTTACTTTTTTTTTTTTTTTTTTTTTGAGATGGAGTCTCACTCTGTCGCCAGGCTGGAGTGCAGTTGTGCAATCTCAGCTCGCTGCAATCTCTGTCTCCCGGGTTTGAGCAATTCCCCTGCCTCAGCCTCCTGAGTAGCTGGGACTACCGGCACACAAGACCACACCTGGCTAATTTTTTTGTATTTTAGTAGAGACAGGGTTTCACCATATTGGCCAGGATGGTCTCGATCTCCTGACCTCATGATCTGCCTGCCTCAGTCTCCCAAAGTTTTGGGATTACAGGCATGAGCCACTGTGCCCAGTTGAGGGTTACTTTTTATTCCACCATCTTACTGACATTACCCTTGTTTCTGTGAATCTAGATTGCTAGCTTGATAACATTGAGTTTTACATGTGTGATTCCTACTTACAAATCTGAAATTGTAGAATTTTCCCCAAACTATGTTTATGTAAATAGCTAAATGCAACTTTAAATGGTAACGCAACATGAATGTCTATCCCTAAAGGCACCAAGTAATGAGCAAGGCTAATACCAAATAACTAAAATTTTTGCCTTCTATATATGTACCACATATGGATTTTTTAAATACAACTTTAATAGTTTGTTTGAATATGAACTGTGTCTCAATGCCATGTCCTCAAGAGACCTGTGGGAGTCCCTGCACTCTGCAGTCACAGCTGCTTCTCAACCTCCTGACATTGCTTAGCAGGTATGTGACATAAAACATAATTGTTAAAACAATTAATATAAGTGACCAAAAATTTCCTTAAAAAATGTCAGTCATCATAACAAGACATTATTTTTTAAAAATATTAGTAGTTAATAAATATTTGCAGCAAAGAAAAGATCAATTAATGGAAAATTTTAATGAGGCTGTGGGATACTGATTTGGAGCTATATTGTAATAGTCCTTTTGGTATGAACAAAGTGTGCAAATAAAAACATATTAGCGAGTTCTGTTCCAAGATGGCCAAATAGGAACAGCACCAGTCTGCAACTCCCAGCATGATCAATGCAGAAGACGGGTGATTTCTGCATTTCCAACTGAGGTACCTGGTTCATCTCACTGGGACTGGTTGGACAGTGGGTGCAGCCCACAGAGGGCCACCCGAAGCAGGTAGAGGTGTTGCCTCACCCGGGAAGCACAAGGGTTTGGGGGATTTCCCTTTCCTAGCCAAGGGAAGCCGTGACAGACTGTACCTGGAAAAACGGGACACTCCCGCCCAAATACTATGCTTTTCCGAAGGTCTTAGCAACCGGCAGACAAGGAGATTCTCTCCTGTGCCTGGCTCGGGGCAGGGGGTCCCACGCTCATGGAGCCTTGCTCACTGCTAGTACAGCAGTCTGAGATCCAACTGTGAGGCTTCAGCCTGGCAGGGGGAGGGGCATCCACCATTGCTGAGGCTTGAGTAGGTAAACAAAGTGCCCAAAAAGCAAGGCCTACTGCCTCTATAGACTCAACCTCTGTGGGCAAGGCATAGCTGAACAAAAGGCAGCAGACAACTTCTGCAGACTTAAACGTCCCTGTCTGACAGCTCTGAAGAGAGCAGTGCGTTGTCCCAGCACAGCATTTGAGCTCTGAGAATGGACAGCCTGCCTCCTCAAGTGGGTCCCTGACCCCTGTGTAGCCTAACTGGGAGACACCTCCCGGTAGGGGCTGACAGACACCTCATACAGGCGGGTGCCCCTCTAGGACAAAGCTTCCAGAGGAAGGATCAGGCAGCAATATTTGCTGTTCTGCAGCCTCTGCTGGTGATACACAGGCAAACAGGGTCTGGAGTGGACCTCCAGCAAACTCCAACAGACCTACAGCTGAGGGACCTGACTGTCAGAAGGAAAAATAACAAACAGAAAGGAATAGCATCAACATCAAGAAAAAGGACATCTACACCAAAACCCCATCTGCAGGTCACCGACATCAAAGTCCAAAGGTAGATAAAACCACAAAGATGGGGAGAAAACAGAGCAGAAAAGCTGAAAATTCTATAAACCAGAGCACCTCTTCTCCTCCAAAGGATCACAGCTCCTCACCAGCAATGGAACAAAGCTGGATGCAGAAAGACTTTGACAAGTTGGCAGAAGTAGGCTTCAGAAGGTCGGTAATAACAAACTTCTCCGAGCTAAAGGAGGATGTTCAAACCCATCACAAGGAAGCTAAAAACCTTGAAAAAAGATTAGATGAATGGCTAACTAGAATAAACAGTGTAGAGAATACCTTAAATGACTTGATGGAGCTGAAAACCATGGCACAAGAACTACATGATGCATGCACAAGCTTCAGTAGACAATTTGATCAAGTGGAAGAAAGGGTATCAGTGATTGAAGATAAAATTAGTGAAATAAAGCAAGAAGAGAAGTTTAGAGAAAAAAGAGTTAAAAAGAAACGAACAAAGTCTCCAAACAATATGGGACTATGTGAAAAGACCAAATCTACATTTGATTGGTGTATCTGAAAGTGACGGGGAAAATGGAACCAAGTTGGAAAACTTTCTTCAGGACATTATCCAGGAGAACTTCCCCAACCTAGCAAGGCATTCAACAACATTCAAATTCAGTAAATACAGAGAACACCACAAAGACACTCCTCGAGAAGAGCAACCCCAAGACACATAATTGTCAGATTCATCAAGGTTGAAATGAAGGAAAAAATGTTAAGGGCAGCCAGAGAGAAAGGTCAGGTAACCCACAAAGGGAAGCCCATCAGACTAACAGAGGATCTCTCAATAGAAACCTTACAAGCCAGAAGAGAGTGGGGGACAATATTCAACATCCTTTAAGAATTTGCAAACCAGAATTTCATATCCAGCCAAACAAAGCTTCATAAATGAAGGAGAAATAAAATCCTTTACAGACAAGCAAATGCTGAGAGATTTTGTCACCACCCGGGCCTGCCTTACAAGAGCTCCAGAAAGAAGCACTAAACATAGAAAGGAACAACCAGTACCAGCCACTGTAAAAACATGCCAAATTGTAAAGACCATCGATGATATGAAGAAACTGCATCAATTAATGGGCAAAATAACCAGCTAACATCATAAAGACAGGATCAAATTCACACATAGCAATATTAACCTTAAATGTAAATGGGCCATATGCCCCAATTAAAAGAGACAGACTGGCAAGTTCGATAAAGAATCAAGAGCCATCAGTGTGCTGTATTCAGGAGACCCATCTCACCTGCAGAGACACACATAGGCTCAAAATAAAGGGATGGAGGAAGATCTACCAAGAAAATGGAAAGCCAAAAAAAAAAAAAAAAAGCAGGGGTTGCAATCCTAGTCTCTTGATAAAACAGACTTTAAACCAACAAAGATCAAAAGAGACAAAGAAGCCATTACATAACGGTAAAGGGATCAATTAAACAAGAAGAGCTAACTATCCTAAATATATATGCACCCATTACAGGAGCACCCAAATTCATAAAGCAAGTCCTTTGAGACCCACAAAAAGACTTAGACTCCCACACAATAATAATGGGAGACTTTAACACCCCACTGTCAATATTAGACAGATCAATGAGACAGAAGGTTAACAAGGATATCCAGGACTTGAACTCAGCTCTGCACCAAGCAGACCTAATAGGCATCTACAGAACTCTCCACCCCAAATCAACAGAATATACATTCCTCTCAGCACCACATCGCACTTATTCTAAAATGGACCACATAATTGGAAGTAAAGCACTCCTCAGCAAATGTAAAAGAACAGAAATCACAACAAACTGTCTCTCAGACCACAGTGCAATCAAACTAGAACTCAGGATTAAGAAACTCACTCAAAACCACACAACTACATGGAAACTGAACAACCTGCTCCTGAATTGTCCCTGTTTGCAGATGACATGATTGTATATTTAGAAAACCCCATCGCCTCAGCCCAAAATCTCCTTAAGCTGATAAGCAACTTCAGCAAAGTCTCAGGATACAAAATCAATGTGCAAAAATCACAAACATTCCTATACACCAATAACAGACAAACAGGAAACCAAATCATGAATGAGCTCCCATTCACAATAGTTATAAAAAGATAAAATACCTAGGAATCCAACTCACAAGGGATATGAAGGACCTCTTCAAAGAGAACTACAAACCACTGCTCAACAAAATAAAAGAGGACACAAACAAATGGAAGAATATTCCATGGTCACGGATAGGAAGAATATTGTGAAAATGACCATACTGCCCAAGGTAATTTATGGATTCAATGCCGTCCCCATCAAGCTACCAATGACTTTCTTCAAAGAATTGGAAAAAAACTACTTTAAAGTTCAGGAACCAAAAAAGAGCCTGCATTGCCAAGACAGTGCTAAGCAAAAAGAACAAAGCTGGAGGCATCACGCTACCTGACTTCAAACTATACTACAAGGCTACAGTAACCAACAGAGCATGGTACTAGTATCAAAACAGAGATATAGACCAATGGAACAGAACAGAGCCCTCAGAAATAACAACACACATCTACAACTATCTGATCTTTGACAAATCTGACAAAAACAAGAAATGGGGAAAGGAGTCCCTATTTAATAAGTGGTGCTGGGAAAACTGGCTAGCCATATGTAGAAAGCTGAAACTGGATCCTTTCCTCACACCTTATACAAAAATTAATTCAAGATGGAATAAAGACTTCAATGTTAGACCTAAAACCATAAAAACCCTAGAGGAAAACCTAGGGAATACCATTCAGGACATAGGTATGGGCAAGAACTTCACGACTAAAACACTAAAAGCAACGGCAACAAAAGCCAGAATAGACAAATGGGATCTAATTAAACTAAAGAGCTTCTGCACAGCAAAAGAAACTACCATCAGAGTGAACAGGCAACCTACAGGATGGGAGAAAATTTTTGCAATCTACCCATCTGACAAAGGGCTAATATCCAGAATCTATAAAGAACTCAAACAAATTTACTAGGAAAAAAAAAATCCCATCAAAAAGTGGGCAAAGGACATGAACAGACACTTCTCAAAAGAAGATACTTATGCAGCCAACAGACACATGAAAAAATACTCATCATCACTGGCCATCAGAGAAATGCAAATCAAAACCACAATGAGATACCATCTCACACCAGTTAGAATGGCAATCATTAAACAGGAAACAACAGATGCTGGAGAGGATGTGGAGAAATAGGAATGCTTTTACACTGTTGGTCAGAGTGTAAATTAGTTCAACCATTTTGGAAGACAATGTGGCGATTCCTCAAGGATCTAGAACTAGAAATAACATTTGACCCAGCCATCCCATTACTGGGTATATACCTAAAGGATTATAAATCATGCTACTCTAAAGATGCATGCACACATATGTTTATTGCAGCACTATTCACAATAGCAAAAACTTGGAACCAACGCAAATGTCCATCAATCATAGACTGGATTAAGAAAATGTGGCACATATACAACATGGAATACTATGCAGCCATAAAAAAGGATGAGCTCATGTCCTTTGCAGGGACATGGGTGAAGCTGGAAACCATCATTCTCAGCAAACTATCACATGGACAGAAAACCAAACACCGCATGTTCTCACTCATAGGTGGGATTGAACAATGAGAACACTTGGACATAGGGTGGGGAACATCACACACTGGGGCCTGTCAGGGGTGGGGGCTGGGGGAGGGATAGCATTAGGAGAAGTACCTAATGTAAATGATGAGTTGATGGATGCAGGAAACCAACATGGCACATGTATACCTATGTAACAAACCTGCATGTTGTGCACATGTACCCTAGACCTTAAAGTATAATAATAAAAAAAATTAGCTACTTTGATATTGGACACCTAAACCTCATATCTGTTATCTTGCCCTTTGAAATATGGGAAATTAATGTATGTCTCTCTTGATTGCTAATTCAATAAATCTAATTTGCTTATTTCCATATTTATTAAGTTTAATATTTAGAATGTAAAATGCTGTCTTTTGCAGTTATTATATTGCTTGCCAAAATAAAATGCCTGATTTACAAAATATTATTCATTTCAGCTCCCATTTAATTTTTGTAGGGCATGTGAAGCTATACGCCACTTAATGGACTTTCAGCATAAAACTATATTCTATTTCATAATGGGTCCATAGTGCTTAAATTTTTCCATACCCTGCTGGAAATAAAATATTCCTTGGTATCTAGAACTAATCTATAATACTTTCCAACTAATTGGCTCACTACAGAAAATTAGATAGAATATTTCTTACAAAGACCAATCTATTAAAATGTAATTTTGGTTGAGCCCATCATTAAAATTCCCAGGCCTGACAATGACACAAGCACAATTTCAATTGGAGCAATCAACATTCCCTTAGTAGATATAATTTTTAGTGAGCATTTTTCCTCTTTCTAAAAGAATGATACTAGCAGGATGGTAACAGAATTTTGACTATGCTATCATTGTGATGTTAGATGTAAGTAATCCATCAGATTTCTTTTATAGCTAATTGGAAAAGAAGTGGAATTTGGAATTAAGATTCTCACTCTACTGGGAACTTTGAGACAACCAAAATGTTAGATATAATTAAATCATAGAGTTTAAATGAACCTGAGAGGTCATCTATGTAGTCAAATCTCTTTCATCTGAGAACAGACTTAAATCATCCTTCTTTGATTACTATCTGAACCCTTTTAAAGACATCCTTAATTCACGTGGCAACTGTCTTAATCCATTTTCTGTTGCTATTACAGAAAACCACAAACTGGATAACTTTAAAGAAAATAAATTTATTTCTCACAGTTCTGGAGGCTGGGAAGTCCCAGAGCATGGCACCATCATTTCATGAAGGCCTTTGTGCTGTGTCATCCCATAACAGAAGGAGGGAGGAAAAAGAGCAAGAGAGCAAAAAGACTGAACTTGCAGCTTCAACTTCCTTCAAAGACATTAACCCATTCAGGAGGGAGGGCGCCAGTGTCATGACCTAAACATCTCCTATAAGGCTCCACCTCCAAACACTCTTGCATTGGGGATTAAGTTTGCGACACATAAACTTGGAGGGATACATTCAAACCACAGAAAACTCAAAGGACTCTCCAACAATTTTCATTGTTTGTGAAATCATCCTTACACCTGAATGAATACCTCAAGTGGCAGATAAAATATTTTTGTTTTGTCATCAGTTTTTATGAAGAAGGACATATTTGAAACTTTTCCATGAGTAATTAAAAAGCTGTCAAATCAAAGCTGTTCTGTTCTAAATTGGAGAAAACTTTTTTCTTTAACTGCTTTTTCTTCTCCAGGTTTTCTTACAGAAAAATTACAGAGCAATTATAGTTATTTTAATGATTTTTCATTAAAATTTTATGCAGTCTATAGCCCACCTATTTTTTTGAAGCCCAAATTGGACAAAAGGCTCTTAAAAATGTGTTTAAGTAAAGTTGACTACAGTAGAATTCCTTGTCACTCCTGCTACGACTTGGGGTGTGTGTGGGGGTGTGTGTGTGTGTGTGTGTGTGTGTGTGTGTGTGTGTGTGAATTTTAAAATTCTGCAACCCTATATACCTATAGACTTTTCCTATTGTTTACAACTAATTCCTAAAGTTGTTCTTCTCACCTCATTAACTTACCATTTTAGCTTGGAAATTTGTTTTATAAAAATGAATTTGTATATATGAAGCATTAAAAACAGTTTACTGGGAGAACTGAACTTACCCTGGGATCAAAAATGGCATCATTGATAGAATGCATGTGACCATAAAGTGACTGCTCACATATACCCTAGGAAGACAAAGCAGAAACAGAGTCAAATAAATTTCTTTTGGAACGTAAAAAGGAATTCAAAGATGCTTTTAAGTTTTAAAGTAATTTTTAGCCCCTCCTCCCAGAATTAATACATTCTCACCATAGAAAATTCTAGCTTTTGCTATCAACTACTATTCAGAATAGTACAGACCTAGAGCGGGGAGCATACCATAGTACTGGTATCTACACTGAAATTCTACTGTTGTTGCTTTTACACCACTGAGCTGGTAGTAAACTCTCACTAAGTGGCTGCATTTCTCAATTAGCATAGCTTTCAAGCCCTGAGGCCAAAGACTATTAAGAACTCCCTTATTAGAAAGCTGTTATTTTCAGCACAGCATATCTACTGCTGCTGGGGGTAGGCAGTGGGGTCTCTCTTTTTCTTTTTAAATGATAGAATCACATTTTAGCTCCTGAATTTTCACAGTTCAGCATTAACATTATTACCTGTATAAAAATTTATAAAATATATACAGTGGCATTTTTAAATACAGAATAAGCATTTGTTTTGTGAGAACCAAACTTCACATCTATTCATTCAATTTAACTTATCCAAATAATAGCTAAAATTAAAATTAACTACAAAAACATCCCAGCTTCAGTTTAAATGTTTCCGGGAAAGATGGACCTATAACACATTATAATAGGGATCTAAATATCTAAATGTGGGGCCTTTCATTTTGAACACCAGTGTTCAACGGGCATTCTTGACTCTTGTAGGGAAATAACCCAAATTCTGTAGAACAAGGGAAAGTCATATGTGGACTATTGCTTGGAGAGTCTTGCTATGTGCTTGGAAATTCAGATTTCATTCAACCATTTGTTCATTCGACAAATATTTTTGAGTAATTAATATTTGTCGGCACAATTCTAGGTGCTTAGGATATGTCAACAAATAGACAAAGAACCTTATTCTCACGGACCTTATATTCTAGTGGAGGAGATGGGCATTTTGTGATAAAGGCATAAAATGTACTAGAAGATAATAAGTCTGAAGAGAAGAAATTGTCAGGCAGGGTTAGTAATAGTAGGAATTTTGGGATTTGGGAACTAAGGGAAATCACATTATCAAGTAGAGTTATCCAGTTTGGCTTCACCCAGAAGATAAAGTTTGAATAAAGAATGAAAGTATAGTAAGGGAGTTAGCCAAGAATGAAAGTATAGTAAGGGAGTTAGCCAAGAATGAAAGTATAGTAAGGGAGTTAGCCAATGAAAGTATAGTAAGGGAGTATAGCCAAAGTATAGGAAGGGAGTTTTTCTGGAGGAAAAGTGTTCCAGGTAGGAAGAAAAACTAGAGCAAATGTCTCCAAGTAGATGTTTGCCTCACACATTTCTGGAACAACAAGGAAGCCAGTGTGGCTGGAAAGAAGTCAGTCAGAAGAGTAGATTCACTCAAAAGTCTTCATCTACTCTCATTCACTACCTTGTATTTATTTAACCTTAAATCTTTGAAGGCTGGGAGAGATTACAGAAGAGATTGCAAAATGAGCTACCAAAGGTAGATCATCATGATGCCCCTCACTGTTATTGGCCATTCATGGAGTATCTCTGAACCAAGCAAAGTTGGAAAGGCTTTATAACTAAACTAATCTCTACTTGGTCCTCATTATCGTCATTGTACTCAGCAAGTTAACTTCCAAATATCAATTTAAAGAATCAATTCATGCTACAAATCTTTGTTCACAGAGTGCAAAATTTCCCCACATAAATTTAAATTTCACAAAAATAAATTGAAACACTTTGATACTCTCTCAGAATCTCAACCATCCTTGTTATTATGGCTCAGTATCTTGACACTGTTATAACTTTAAACCAATTATGCTAAGAACTTCAAATCATCCCAATTCTCAAAATAGAAATAAATTACTTACAAAGCCAAAAAGGCAAAGCATAAGATGTCATAGTTTTTTATATTATCTTAGAAATTTTTTGGTTAATTTTGAGAACTAATATACAGTGATGTAATATTAATACTTGTATACTGAGTGGTAATATTTTTACAAAGATATAAATTAGCAAATTGTCTTAAAATATTTTTGTATTAATGAAAGTTTTGCATTTGGTCCTTTTCTAACTTGAGAATCGCTAAACTATTTGATTAATTGGTAATGAAAAGTGTAGTAGCTTTTTTTTTCAAATTCTGAATGCCAAGTTTTAATTCAAAGTAGAATCTCTATGGCACTCTTGAAAAACCCTGGAAATATGGGGTTATAAAGGAAATGCTGACGGACCACATTTGTGCTGCTATAACAAAACCTGACTCGAAGATAAATGTTTCATGAATTAAAATAAGTTTAAAAAGCTTTTCTACACAGCTTTGTTCCCAAGATAAAAGTGAATCTCCTCTTTTTGTGGTATAGGGAATGTGAGGGTTACTAACATTCTAGTCTGCAAACAGCCTTAATCAAAAGCAATACTCAAACTGGGACATTAAAATTTGGAATCTCTTCTTTGATGAATTCTTGTCAGAATAGTTGTCTTTCAAAAGGAGAAAAAATAAAAAAGAAAGAAGAGTTTACAAAAAAAATAATAATAATGTGACCCAATATGCATTGCTCCAGCATTTGATTCAGACAGAGAAGCTGTGTGTAATAATGATCTCTATCACTGACCCTGGGGGTAGAAATGGCCACATTTAATTTTTGGATCTGCCACCTAATAGCTGTGTGACCTTAAACAAATTGCTTTGCTTTACTGTGCTTCAGTTGCCTGATATGTACAATGAGATAATGGCATTTAACCTATAGCTTTGTTAGGAGAATTAATTGAGATAATAATGCACAGGAAATGTTGGTATGTTGCCTAGCACAGAGTAAGGGCCTGACAAATATTGGCTCTTAATATTTGTCATATACTATTGAAATGCTGAATATTTTCCAGTTGACATATCCACCCTTACTTCTCCCTGAGTTCCAACTTTGAATGTCTATTTGCCTTCTTAAAGAGCTCTTGTGGACATGGGTGCTGTTTGTTCTGTTGCCCTCAGATTCATTCTCCGCATGGCTCTGCCCCGCCCTATGCCAGGCTCTCTACTAACTACATTGCCTATGTTCTTAGGACTTCTGGGCTCTGGTTGGATTCAGCCAGAGGGAAGCGCCTGTAGGATATGGATAAGCACAAAGAGAGAATGGATAAATTGCCACTTCTGCTACCTCCCGTTCAGCTGTGATTATGTCGGTGGCCTTATTCTCTACCAAATTCCACAGCTCCTGTATCCTTTCTCATGGCCACTTGCACACTGCATCCAGTAATGCTTTCCTTCCCCTCCCCTTTCAGACACAGTGGTAGTGGGCAGTGATGATTTCCCATTGTTGCGAGTCCCTGGCTGCTGTGCTAGCTCCCTTAATGCCGCCCATACCTCTGTAAACATTAAACTTGAGCTTACTCCGTGAGTCCCCTCTTTCCTGCTGGTGACCTGTCTGATGCAGCACGTCAGACATAATAAGCAAAAGAAGACTTGTTGATTTACTACTTCCCAACTGTCTATTTTGATCTTCACGAAATCTTTATACATATAAATGGCATCACCAGCTGCTCAAACAAACAAACCAAGGCAACCAAAAACCTGGGAATAAGAATACCTCTTTTTCTTCCCCCACTCCAGCCCCAACCCTTATCTACTACAAGTCTTTCTTCAAAATACAGCCCTACTCTGCCCAGCTTCATCCCTTGCCACTATCACCACTCTGGGGGCAGGCCATCATCCTACAGACCCTGACTATGGCAGGAGCCTCCTTCTCCCACTCCACCCCACTCCCAGTCATCCCCTTCACCGCCACTAGAGCAACCAACAAAAGCTGAATCAGACCATGTCACGCTCCTGCATACAGCCAACCAAAAAATTATCATTGCACTAAAAGAACTCCAAACTCTCTGCCTGTGTCTTAAGGCCCTGTATTGTTCGGCTCTTGTCTCTGTATCTGACCTCATCCTTTACCACTCTTCCTTTTCACTGTGTTCCTCGAATATTTTCATATTTCTTCATGGTCAGGGCTTTCTAAGCAGAGTTCTGGCACCTGAGTTAAAGAATGACTGAATAGCAACCCTAAAGATAGAGACCCCTGGGGAGATACAGGGACATCTCACCCTGAGGCATTCTTTCACATCCAAGGATTGCAAACCGATGCTTTCCTTCTTTTTGGGAAGATTTGTTTAGATTTCAGAGCAAAGGTTTCTTTAATGTTCTCTCTCTCTCCCTCCCTCTCTCACTGTCTCTCTCTCTCTCTCTGTTTCCCTCTCTCCCTCCAACCCCCACTCCCCAGAGGGAAGAAAGAAAATTGAGTTTCATGGTTTGGGGTTTCCTTTCTCGTGGTACATAACCCCTTTCCTTCTGTACCCACAAGGTACACCCGGTTCTCACCCAGCCCTCCCTGCCCCCTACATAAGGAATTGAGGAATAGAAAATAAACAGTCTTCTCTCTGAGTAAATGGTTTGATATCTGATCCAGACAACTCCTTTGTACTGTCAGGATAATAACTCTAAGTACAGTTAGATACAAGAACATACAGCTGTCACACTGGCCTTCCTGTTTTCTAACTGCCTGGAATGCTCCCGCCTTTGTGCTTTCTGTTTCCTTTATTGCAGATGTTCTCATCTAGATATACACATGTCCTTATCCTTCCCATGCTGCTTTCAACTCAAACACAACCTTTTTCATGCTGTCTGAGATCTAATTTCCTGACGTCTCTCTTACAACCAGTCATTAGAGTAGCAGAAACTGTTTCATGAAACACTTTTATTTTTCCTCCTGGGCACACAGCCAGACTAGAGGTCAGGCGTGGCCATGTGACTGAGTTCTGCTCAGTGAAATGCAGGTGCTACAGGTAGTTAGGCAAGAGCTGGGCAGGAGAAGCCTCTCCCATCACCCACTGAAATGTTGGGTGATGGTTCCACAATATTGCCTCTCTAAAAATGATATTTAATCTATTAGCCAGAGAGAGACAATCTCCTGATGGTCCACGCTTGTGAACATTAAAGTGTTAATTGAATGCAGGCCCCAGGGAGAAGCAGCTTCTTGGGCATGTGTGTTAAGAGACAAAACGGTGAAGTATGACATTCTGGGGGGCACATGCCACTGGAGAAAGGAAAAAACCTCAGATGGGCATGCATATACCTCCCTAAACACACTGCATGCCTGTGCTCAATTCCAAAGGGTAAGGAAAACACTGCGCATGCGGGAAGCCCACCCTACGCGAAGAATCATGGGAAAGAGGCAAGCCCATGAAGTCCTAGCAACAAGGTTAAAGGCCTCCCTTTTTTTGCTCCCTTTTCTCCCTTGATCCTTCATGAGCCCGCTTAGGTCTCTTCCAAACGAATTTTCCTTTCTTTCCTATTCTAAAGCCTTTTAAAATAAACTCCTCTTCCTGTTCTGGAACTTGCCCCGGTCTCGGTCTCTTTTTCTGCTTTATGCCCCTCAGTCGAATTCTTTCTTCTGAGCAGGCAAAGGCTGAATTTGCTCCAGACACCTATGGATTTGCCGTCGGTAAATCAGGGTAACTCTGATCTCTTCCACTGCTAACACAGACAGTTGTGAAGTAAGTCCAACATAGGCCTGGCCCTTAGAAAATATCCACCATAATCTGCCAAACTCCTGATTTTCCGTTCTTTGCAGGCTATACGCAGAAGGCCTCTAGATGATGAGGCAGCATAAACTGGAAGGAACCTGGGTTTCTCAACCACCACAGAGAGAAAAGCTGCCATTCGGGACCTTACAATTGGGTAGTCCATGAATGAGAACTGAGCTTCCACTGTGTCACATCCCTGATATTTCAGGGTTCAATTATATTCACAGATGCCAATACTTGACAAATAGGTCACCCCATTTTGTTTCCTTCATATCACTCCTCATTAACAAAATTACTTCATGAATTTTTCTCCTTATTTATTGTAGTCTCCTGCCTCTAAAATTACGCTCCACAAGACAAACTCATCCACTCCTCCGTCTTCTCATCCCCAAGGCCTAAGACATCTCTGGTAAGATACGATACAGTTATTGAATGAAAAAGTAAGCACACTTACATGGAGATTATAAATGAAATTGCAAAAAAAAAAAAACAAAAAACCACCCTCACCAGATATGCTTTATTATTGGACAAATAGCTTAGTCTTCTCAATATTTATTTTCATTCTGATCAGTCATGACATGAAATGCGTGCACTTTCTTATTCCCCAACACCTTTGCTTCAGTGTAGTTCTAACCCGGGAGCATATTCACCCATTGACTTTTCCATTGCCTATTAACATTTTAAACAACTATAGGGAAATGGTGATTCCAGGTGGAGGATGCAGCTTTACATTCATCAAGTGTTTATTACATACCTAAAGCATTATGCTAAATGTTTTACAGTTGTTATCATATTTAATCCTCACAGCAATGCTAGGAGATAGGTACTATTGTAATTCACATTCTAGAGATGAAAACAGTGGCATCTAACCCACAAATAAAAAGTGGCAGAGTCATGACACTTTTCCAGTTTTGCCTGATTCCAAAGTCCCCTAGCCCTTTATGTGCAAGAAGATGGAGTGAGTGAGGCTGTTTGCCAAATCTTTCCAATATTCCTCCTTTCTGGGTAGATACGCACCTCCTAACCCTCCATGGGCTTATGAGAGACCATGTAATGAGTTCTGGCTTAAGAGTGGTGAATGGAAATGACATAGAATACTCCTCTCAGGCTCTTCCCAACTTCGCATTTTCAGCAGTTAATGATAGGTGCAAATGCCCTCCAGGAGTCCCTTTTCCCTCTGGCAGAAACAAACAACATTCAAGGTCATGGCTGAGAGATCCACCTGGATCCCTGGGAAGACCAGCAGGAATGCCCCACACCCATCTTCCAACCCATGAAGGACATAGAACTGAAGCAGGACACACATGTTGTGAGAATTGGAGGTTGTTTTTTACCATAACACAAGCTAGCCTAGCCTGACTGACCGTGAACCCTATGTATAAAGATTAAGCTTGTTCCCTCAAAATAGTAAAAGTCTTTTTAGTGTCAATAGTGTCATGTGAAAATTTGAAAAAAAAATTAAGTAATACTCATCAAAAGTCATATTTCAGACAAAAAAACCTTTAAAACTCTTAAAAATTAGGCCAAAATTAAATCATAAAATAAGTAGCCAAGCATATTATCACTAAAATCATTAAAGTGCTAATGCTTATGAATTTCCTTTCTCATTATAATGACTTACTTAATCAATGAATTCCATATTCTTTTGAAAAAATTTTAAGACAAAAATATGAAGTGAGTCCACTTCACTCATTTTTTTTCCTCCAAGGCTAGATTTTAAAATGCCTTTCTACCATAAAGACACATGCACCCATATGTTCACTGCAGCACTATTAATAATAGCAATGACATGAAATCAATCTAAATTCCCATCAATGGTAGACTGGATGAAGAAAAAAAGTGCTACATATACACCATGAATACTATTCAGGCGTAAAAAAGAATGAGATCATGTCCTTTGCAGGACCATGGATAGAGCTGGAGGTCATTATCTTAAGTGAACTAACATAGCAACAAGGAACAGAAAACGAAATACCACATGTTTTGGTATTTAAGTGGGAGGTAAACATTGAGTACACATAGACCCAAAGAAGGGAACAAAAGACATCAGGGCCCACATGAGGGTGGAAGGTGGGAGAAAGACGAGTATTGAAAAACTACTTATCAGGTACTATGCGTATTACATGGGTGATGAAATAATCTGTACACCAAATCCCTGTGACATGCAATTTACCTATATAATAAACCTGCACATGTACCCCTGAACCTAAAAGTTAAACAAATGAAATAAATTAAATGTCAGAGAAAACAAAAAAAATGCCTTTTTGATATGTTAAATCAATTTTTATATTAGTGATTGTATTAGTCCATTTTCACACTGCTATAAAGCAATACCTGAGACTGGGTAATTTATAGAGAAAAAAGGTTTAATTTTCCTGGGGAAGCCTCAGGAAACTTACAATCATGGCAGAAGGGGAAGCAGGCATGTCTTACATGGCAGCAGGCAAGAGAGAAGTGCAAGCAGGGAAAAGGCCAGATGCTTATAAAACCATCAGATCTCATGTTAACTCACTCACTATCATGAGAACAGCATGGGGGACACTGCCCCCACGATCCAATCACCTTCCACCAGGTCTCCCCTCGACACATGGGGATTATGAGGATTGTAATTTGAGATGAGATTTGGGTGGAGACTCAGAGCCAAACCATATCAGTGACATATAATTTACATACACTAAAATGCATAAATCTTAGGGGCTTACCTCAATACATTTTTATCTGTGTATATATCTGTGTAATTGTTATTCAGATTGCGATATGAAATGTTTCCAGCATTCCAAAACATTCTCTCATGCCCTTCTTAGTAAAAACATCCCTACAATTTTTATTAACTATATTTTATTGAGAAAGGAAATATAAAAATATGGTTGTAAAGTCAAATATTACAAAACACTCTCCAATGAAAAGTTAGTCTCCCATTTTAGGCCACCTCCAGAGGCAACTACCATAAATCATGTTTGTTGTATATTTCATGGACTAGTTCATACATATACAATCCCCTTTCCTCACTGTCTCATGTATCTACCTTAGTTCATATAAATGAAACCATAATATATATGCATTTTATTATTATTGTGGTGGTTAAGAATGTGATATTTGAGTGAAGTTGCAGAGTTTAAAACTCAGCTTATTGGAAAATTATTGATACTATCTCTTATTCGTATAAACACTTTACTAAGTACTTTGTGTATAGCAATTCTTTTCATCTCTACCATAGGAAATTAGTAATATTTTAAATCTCCATTTACAGTGGGAGAAATTTATGTAAAGCAATTAACATAATGCCTACACAAGTAAGGGATATTGTTATTTATAGATTAATTTGTAGCTTTTTCTCTATTCCTTGTTATACCTATTAATTTTTGTTGGCTGCTGAGAATTTTAAAAGTCACCACTCTCCCAGGAAAAGACTCAGTGTTCTCTATCCATGCTCACAAGCACCAGAACTAGTTATAAACTCATCTAATCAATTAGCAACAGTTCTACAGCCCTGCTTACAAGTAAACAATCAGAGTGGGTTTTAAACCTATCTAATTAATCAATGACAAGTAACTTCAGTGAGCACTCCTGTAAAAGTCAAATAACAACAGACACGACTTGAAAGTCAGCCAACTGGTTCAGGATTCACTACAGTGAACATGTTTCTAATGCTATTATCAACTTTTTTCTACTTCTGTAACTGGCAAAAAAAAAGTCTCATTGACCAATACAAGCTACTTTTCTAAAACTGACTTCAACCAACTCCTGCCTCTGTAACCAGCACAATCCAAAGTAAACTCTTCACAAAAACTGGATATAAAATCAGCAATTGGATTTGCTCAATGGGTAACTCTGACCAGTATAATTCTTCCACACTTAAGTGTATTATACATTCAGCTTTTTGGTTTCAGATATTGAGTGGTGTTCTCATCCTTAGACACAATTAAGTTTATACTAGTTTGCTAAAGCTACCATAACAAAGTGGCACAGACTGGGTGGCTTAAACGAAAGAGATTTATTTCTTCACAGTTGTAGAGGCTAGAAATCCAAGCTCAAAGTGTAGGCAGGGTTGGCTTCATTATGAGTCCTTCCACTTGGCTTGTAGATGGCTGTCATCCCCCTATATGTTCATATGGCCTTTCATCTGTGTCTATCTGTGTCCTAATCTCTTTATGAGGACACTAGTCATATTGCATTTGGGCCCAACCTGATGACTTCATTTAATTTTAATTATCTCTTTATAGACCTTATCTCCAAATACAGTCACCTTCCAAGATACTGAGGATTAAGACATCAACATATGGATTTAAGGGGACACAATTCAACCCCTTGCAAAGAGCTACAGATATCTTTATTCTACTACTCATAAAATGTCTTAGGAATACAATAGCCATTAGAACATTAACTGGTTGCAAAAGGTAAACTGTGACATTATTTTATACTATTTATTGTATTGTACCTATATTGCATGAATATATTTTGGGCTTATATGCAGTCTCAAAATGAAAAGTTGTATATTTTACATATTTGAATACATATCTAAACAGACTTGGATATCATACAAGCATATAATGTAATGATTAAAAGCACAGTGTCTGGAGCGAAACTACTTGGGTCTGAATTTGGGCTTTGCTGCTTACTGTGCCCTTGGAACACTCTAAGCCTCAGTTTTCTCATCTGTAAAATAGAAATAATATAGTATCTACATGATAGTGCCATTTTGGGGATTTAACAAGTGAATTGGTGTAAAGTGCTTTGATTGCTGCCCGTGACAAAGCAAGTACTCAATAAATGTTAACAATTACATAGTCATAATATGCAGATTGCAAGCTCTATGATAGCAGAGATGACATTTAGTGTACCGTCTTTATCACTTCATAATTATAACCACAACGATGAATTAGCACGTGGGAAGCATTTAATACATATTTTTAAACTAATGCACACACACGCACACACACACACATTGCAAGTTTGGTAAATGCACCCTTCACCAGCTGTCCTTTCCTAACCACATGACCTCCACCCTTTCAAGGTAATTTAAGCAAAAGGGTCAAGATTTTTGATGTTATAAAAGGACACTCATGGAGAGAAAAATCTAAGAAATGGAGCCCTAATAATGGAATGTCACAACCATCTGACAGCTGCACAGCATAAAGTTTTGTGCACTGTTGCGTTCTTGTCCACAGAACCTTCTGTACTTAGCCACTTCAAGTGCACCTGCCAGCCCCTCACATCACAACACAGAGACAGCATTCCTGCGTATATTTTTACAAAATAATTTATCTAAATAAAACACTGAAATTAAAAAGAATCATATTGTGTCATTATGCCCCCTATTTAATTTCAAATTCTGTGACCAGTCAAAAGTACTATTAAAGATGAGAAAGCAAATTGTATCCAAGGGTGAGCAGAATTAAAGTTTATGCCAGCTGCAAGAAAAAATTCTCCTACTTATCACCTACTATATTCTGCTTGTCTCTATTATGGCTACTACCTTAGTTTCCAAGTTTAAAAATTAATGTCAAAAGAATTTTATAAAGATCTTTTTTTATTTGAACAAGGTAAAACATTTTAATACAATAGAGCAATTTATATAACATTTCATATATTCTGGAAATTCTCAAAAACATATTTGTGAAAAAATTCTTTGGAATTTTAACCTTATGGGTTTACAGGTTGTTAAAAAATATATTCCATTATTAATACTGAAATGATCTCACTGGCATATAAATTAGAAACAGAGTAATCATTAACAAAGCTCCTAGTTTTTGTTATTTCATGTAAATAACTAACCATATCTGTGAAAGATTGATTGCAGCTTTTAAAATGTTTGCTGAATCCTTGTGTAATTAAGATGAGTTAAATATGCAAATCAAGCCTAATTAGCTTCATTTATTAATGTTACTTTGCCTTGCCTCTACAAAATTTTTACTGCGGATCTGCTTTAGCATGTAGTATTTTTTATTTCTTTGTTCTAGGTTGAATTGCTGAAGAAACCAGCTGTTTTTCAGAAAGAGAAAAAGCTTTCATGCAGCATTCTTCATTTAGAAGTGAGTGTTTAAAAAAACGCTCCCAGTAGCATAAGAACTGACTAAAATGCAATTATATACATATGTGTATCGGAATATATATATTCCAATCACCTTACATTAGACTATATTTAATGAATTCCCTTTCATTGAAGCAGCAAACCCTCTGGGGATTCCTTTTGATGAAAATGAGCCTTTGTCACAATATGTCCAACACAGTGATTGAGCCGAACAGAGTTAAACAGGCAGCATCAAATGAACCAAAGTACTTGGCAGAATTACATTTTCCTTGAAAAAAATTCTACATTTTTTTTTTGCATTAAAAAAACCAACCTCTCTATGTAAAACTACCAGCATCATAAAATTCACTGGAAATAATGCAAAGGAAATATAGTATAATGGCAGAGGGAAACACTAATATACCAATACAAATAAATATTAAAGTTCAGAGTCAATCTCACTTGCCCCTGATAAGCCAAAGGGAATAAGAATGAAATCTCAGAGCAAATAGAGTCAAAATTTAAATACTTCTTTTTCTATTATATATTCAATTAATTATTCTCACCATTACATTCTATAATTCAATTTTCCCAAATTCAGAAAATTGTTTTACATTATTATTGACTTTACTGCCTGCTTTAGGATATATATACTATTATTATTTTTAATAGGGTTTTATTTTCCCCCATAGAAACAGTCATTTTTCCAAGGTTTCTGAGGGGTTGTAAATATTTTATTGTGGTTAAAAAGCACAAGAGATGTACTATCTTAACAAATGTTTAACTCTACTGTATATTGTTTACCATAATACAATGTTGTACAACAGATCTCCAAAACTTTTTCATCTTGCATAACTGAAACTTTATGCACATTAAGGATCTATATTTTATATGATAGTATTTACTTCCCAAATTATGAAGCCAATACAAGTTTTCATTTTTTTCTATAATACATGAATTTTTAAGATCATTGGTAAAATAGGATGAAAACACATATTCAGAAAGGAAAAACCCTGAAATATAAAATATTCTCAGTTTTATAATAGGTGGCTTTCCTTCGCTCAACAAATATTTCCTTAAAATTAACTAAGTGTCAAATACACTACTAGAGTTAATAGCATATTTAAATCCAAAGTTTGAGCTAAGCCTGACAACAACAGAGTCCACACTCCAAAGTGAACACCAGTCACCGTGTATGATAGACACGTGTGATTAATTTGAAGCTCTTTTTCCATGTGGAGCATATGAAAGGGTTAGTAGTTGAACTGGAGAAAAGGTTTCTGGGGGGGTTTCTGTGTGTGTCTGCTTTCTCTGTTATATGTGATGAGCTAGGGAAAAAAGATAAAAAACAACCGGCCAGAGAAACACACAATTCTCAAGAGGTGAATTACACATGTGAGATCCCCAGCAATGTAGGGACTTTGATAAACGCTATGAAGGGGGTTGGCTTTAAAAATATGGTTATTTTACAAAGTGCTGAGCTAGATTTCCAATGTGCTAAGAACTTTTGAGTTCCTTCCACCTCATCATCCTCCCCACACTCCAACCCTGATGATTCTGAAACCATCATTAAGCAAATGAGGGAACTTAGAAAGTCCTTAAGCAGTCCTCCCACATGCAGCCCCTCCCCAAGTCCTCTCAAAAGTTTCATCCAATTGGCAACGATCTGACGTCCAGAAACCGGCTACCTAACTAGATCCAGGTGTGGATGATGCACCTGGGACGTAGTTTAAGTGTAGCTCCTTAAATTCCATTCCTCTCTATCTGTAGACCTGTGAAACTAAAATAGACAAATCATCTACCCCATATTACCAAATATACATTGTTGGGCAGGCACAGAATAACAACTGTATACATTCCTGTTCTAAAAGGAGGAAAATGAAGGCATAAAAGGGTCATTAGTCCATAATAATTCCAAAATTCAGCCATACAAATTGTGTAAGTTCTGTGAGTAGGTCTCAAGGCCTGGGAATAATTCTTTATGATTCTACAGTTCTGCTCTATTATAAATTAGAAAACAAAGCATGCCCTGGGCACAGATATTGTAGAACAATAATTGTCAAATTTTAGGGTGCCTAAGAACCAAGCAGAAAGCTTGTTTATAACGCATATTTTTACAGAAAAAGGATTTCTGAGGCTCCACTTAAAGAGGTTCTGAATCTATGTACACATGAGTTTCAGGACTTTGTATTTTAATTAGCATGCCATGTGATTCTAACATGTACTTTGGGAAAAAATGATCTACTGCAGTGCTTCTCAAATTTTAATGTTAATATTAATATAAATGCCCTGGAGATCTTATTAAAATGCAGATTCCAATTCAGTAGGTCTGGGGTAAGCCAATGCTCTGCAAGAAACAAGGTTTTTTTGTTTTCTTAAATAAAACACTCTCATTTGTAGCATTTGCAAACTGCCATGGTATAAATATTCCCTCCGTGGACAATTTCAAGCTACCAACTCAATGTCACTGAACTCTGATTTGGGAAGAGTTGTGCGTATTCTGCTTTCACAAATCAGTGTGAACCAACTCTGACACACTACTGCATGGAGCCCAAGATTCTGAATTTCTCATAAGCTCCCAGGTGATATGGTCGTTCCTTGTGCACAGACCACACCTTAAATAATAAGGATCCAGTAGAGAAACATGGAATGCTCCTAGTGAAGGTGATATTTAAGATGAGATATAGACACTAAAAGGTAAGTTAGTTGGGCAAAGTCATGGGATAGAGGGCAAAGATTCAAATAGAGAGTGACCCCAGAGCATGCCATTTATATATTGTTTATGGATGCTTTGGTATTACAATCGCAGAGTTAATTTGTTGAGACAAAGACTATAGGCCTGCAAAACTAGCCTTTTATAGAAAAAGTTTGGTGAATTCTGCACTAGAGCATTAAGTTAATAGCTATACTCTCTTAACAACTACAAAATGTTTTTATCATTATGCTGTGCTATATGGCTGTTAAAAAACCCCACACATATACATACACAAACATCAACCCATAGACACGCGTGCATGAGTACACAATCACATACACACAAAGATACATACACATACATGGACACACAACATACACATATACATACACACACATATATACACATATGCACCCACAAAACCAATAATATAGATAATCCAGTTATTTTAATCAAGTGAAATATATATATATACATTAGAATGATAGAAGAGATTAAATAAAATGTATAGAAGGAATAGCATATAAAATAAGAAAATACAAGCATTACTATGGCAATAAAGTTGAAAATCCAGAGCAAATAGATTACTTCCTAAGAAAATACAAATAACCCAACTTAATTTATGAATTATTATATCACTGTTGAAGAGAAACCACATCATTTATTCCAAAACATATAATTTAAGATACAACTATTATATATATAAAATTACTAACTAGGTAGCTGAAAGTGTTAAAAGAGAGAACTAAAGGATCAGAGAGGTGGTAACTGTACCAAGCAACTACAATACCTAGGGAAGAGGGGCCAAATAAAAGTTTGAGTTATTAAATCTTAAAAGACTTAGATGAAGGGCTTAAACTCAAACCTCTAAAATGAGGTGCTCCTCAGGTGCTGTTAGTGTCTCTGAAGAGGGTGCAATGAGAATGGTTCTATGAGTTTGGCAAAAATTGAAATTGATTTAGCTGCTGCCATAAAAAGAGCTGCTGGGATGAAGAATCAAGGCACAAGAGTCCTCTGGAGGCACACAGGAAGTAGACAAGGAGTACATAGAAAAGGCCAGGTCCTGGCTTCCTCCTCCAGCCTTGCCATCTCCCTTAGCTCCCACTGTGGCCAGAGCTCAACACGGACCCTACTGGTAAACAGAAATGGAAATTGCAATTTCAGCTCCAGGATCACAGAGCTGAGTTTAGAAGGTTGGGTATGAAGCTGACAGGCAATAAGTTAATAATTGGCAGAAGTATAAAATATGAATAAGTTAATTATCAAAATTTTAAATAAAGCTTTTCCATGGCAAAAGATACAATAAATAAGGTAACAGGAAAAAATTTGATTTGTTAAAAATTTTGCAATGCAGATGACAGATAAACAGATAAAGGGCCATATATATATATATATTTATATATATATTCATAGTAACACAGACAAAGGATATGAATAGGCCATTCACATAAAAGGAAATATAAATGGACAATAAATGTATGAAAAGATTTTCAAACTCACTAGTCAGTGAAATGCAAAATAAAGTGACAACTACCAATTCACCTGCTGTTGGCAGTCATGTGGGGAAGAGAGTACTTTCATTTACTCATGGTAGAAATGTGAATCGTTACAGCCTTTTGGAAAAGCAATTTGGTAACATCTATTAACATTTAAAATGATGTGCTCCTTAACCTTGCAATAAAAGCAGCATGTGTAAATTTATATCTGAGTATGTTTTTGCAGCACCATTTATGGTGGCAAAAACCTGGAAATGAAGTGACTGCTCATCAAGAAAATAATTTTGACATAAACTCTTACTCCTTTGCCTACTATATAGTCAATAAAATAATAAAATAGAATCCTATTGATTGATTTTGAGTTATTTCTATCAGATACATTTGAACAAGTAAAGCAAAATGCACAGAAGTAGGTATTGTATTGTACAATGACCAAAGGACCTTGTCTGGAAGTGTGTTTGTGGGATTTTTGCTGTTGTTCTTGGAAATGTTTTTTCTTTTCTGTTGAATTTGGAGGTACAGTTGGATTAATAATAATATTTCATAAAACACATTATGATCAGGTTGTTAATATGTTCATTAGAGTGGATAAAGGGAAGAAGATAGGAATTGTAGGAAACAGGAGATTCTAAGCATACAGGAACCTATTTATGTAAAATGATTTCTATGTGTGTACAGACATATTTAAATGCATAAGTAAACTAGAAAACAAGAGAGAATATCCAATACTTATGCTAAGTAATACAAGCAAGTTATAGACTAATGTATAGCAAGATTATATCTCATTAAAACAAATAAACATTATAGCAATAATTGCATACACTGAATAAGTGTTTACTATATGCCAGGCGTGGTTCTAACAGCTTTGTAAACACATTACTGATTGAATGCTTCTCAGTACATTGTTATGCAGGTATATACAGCAAGTTAGTGTGTACATTGAGAAAGACCCAGCATAAAGTCACAGAGGACTCTGGTGCCAAATCATCTGAGTATTTATTTGAATACTGGCTCTGTTTCTGACCAGCTGTGTGACTTTCCCAGCTTGGTAAGTTGCTAAATATCTTCATACTTCAGTGTTTCCATCTGCAAAATGGAGTAGTATTAGTAGTTTTATTACAGATTTTTGAGAAATAAATGAAATAATAATGTAAAATGCTTAGAACAAATCTTGGGATATAATAAGTACTCCATAAATATCAGCTATTATTATTATTATGAACAAGGAAAAAGGAATGGAAGAATTTATACACATGTTGTTAATTAGCACTGGTTAGCTCAGTGGGATTGAAGTAGGGAATAGAGGGAGAAACTTGGATTTTGTTTTTATGTATCACAGATTTCCTTTTTCTATTTTTATCACACATGAAACATTTAATTGTAGCCAACATTTTATGACCTCAAGACAGACTTAAACTCAGAAACTAAACTAAAAGTAATAATCCAGTATGGCGAGATTTTGGATTGTTCATTTATTTGTTCTCATTTTTTGTTTATTAATCTCATCAACAGATATTTATAGAATGCCTTTAAGGCACTCTATAGGCCCTGTGTTTATATGAGTATATATTTTTACTCTCAAAGGACGCAAAGACTAATGAGGAAGAAACAGACTTTAATAAAATGTCTGCAAATAATCACTGTGATAAACACTAAGAAAGTAAAATCAGGATATTCGAAACAATGTTACATGGGGTTTGGAACTCATGCAAAGCTTTAGTAAGAAAATTATATTTGAGCTGAGATCTGAAGAAGAAGGAATAAAGTATGCAAAGAAAATTGGGGTTGAGGGGAATATTTTATATACAAGCAACTGCTGGTGCTAAATCCATGTCACAATAGCCCATTATTTTATTTGGTTGGTTTATTGGTTCTATCTTCTGCTTGGACCAGTTCATATTTTACTCTTTCTTTCTTTGACCCTTGACACTGTGATTGAGACGTATTAATGACATACAGTGAAGGTGCCTCTCTCTGAGGCACTACATCTGATCGTCACAGTCTATTTTCCGGTAGTGGTTGCTTTTGAAAGACTTGTTGAGCTTCTCAGAGTTTGCGAAGAAATTGAATATTGCTGTTCTTTCATCTTTTTTAGTGTTTAAAATTATTTGTAGATAATTATTTTATTTTAAAAGTCTTTCTTATACTTGTTCTTATTATCATTCTTCTTTTTTTCTTCGTCTTCATCTTTATCTTCCTCTTCCACTTCTTTCTCTTTGTTCATTCTCCTTTATCACCATCATCACACTTCATATCTCCATATATCTCTTTTGCAAAAGCTTTTATTGATTTGTATATAGATGAGTATTTTATTATTTGTACAAGCTTATTCCTGTGTATAGATATGTTATCAATGAATATATTCCTCATTAAAAAATTGAATCTCTAGGATAGCAGTGTAAACAGTGTATTAGAATGGCAGGCATATGTGTACAGAGTCTAGTTAGTTGCCCAGGGAGCAGACACTCATTAACTTGACATTGGATAGAAGTAGTAGAGGTCTTAAAGAGAAGTTGATATTTAGTAAATATTTAGAATATTATATCAATAAAATATGGTAAAGGGATTTATGGATGGATTTAGGGAGGGTCATGGATTGAAATTTTAGTGATGACTTCTAAATTTGAAGAACTGGATGGAATTTCTTAGAGAACCTCAGAGAATGGCAAACTTTGGGAGAGAAGATCATAAATTCAATATTGTAAATACTGTGCTAAGATGTCTTTGAAACAACCAAGGGGGCGGGAGGATGCTAAAAATGTTGTTACATATAGTGTTCTGGACTTGGAATATAGGTTAGAATGAGAGGCAAAATTTGTAGATCATCGGTGAGAGATGGTAATTTAAACTATGAGCCAGGATAAAGAGGCTTAGAAACACTGTAGAGAAAGGTCCGAAGCATGTATTGTGAAAACCTGCATCATTTAAAGGAAAGTCAGGGGAAAATCTTGTATAATAAACAAGGAGAATGATGAAAGTGTTTGTACATGATCTTTACCATTTCTTGAGAATAAATTCTCAGAAGATGGGTTACTAGCTCAGAAATTGTGAATTTCTAAGGCTTTTGGTACATAATGTAAAAATACCCTGTTGAGGAAATTTATCAATTTTTAATTTGCTAAACTTTACTTGTATCTATTACAAATGCCTCCCCTCAGCCTCCAACAACCTCTCCATTCAATTTTCCACATACTGAGAGAGATTTATTGATTACTCTGGCAAGATACTGGGATAGGCACAGAAGACCCAGCAGTGCCCAAAAAAACAACCTCTGTCCCACTCTGCCATAAAGGACTCTACAGTCGAAGTGTTTGAGAAGGTGGGAATGGAATAGATACAGAGCATATTAATATATTCTCTATTTTGAATCTATTACTTATTCTTTAATATGCTTGATTCTGATGTTATTTCAATATACTGCAGGATTTAAGTTTGCAAATATTATATTATTTTTACATCTATATACCAAAGTGAAATTGGTGTGCCATTTTTACTTCTTTCATTTTCTTTCCCATATTTTAGTATCATTGTTATACTAGCTTTATACAGTGAGCAGGCTATCTTTCTATTTTTCAGATCCTGGAATAGTTTAAACAGTATTGGCATTATTGGGTCACTTAACGGGTGAGAGGACTCATTCATAAAGCCATCTGGTCCCAGCATCTGTTTTAGAGGTTAGATCTTTTCAGCTGTTTCAATTTTTTTCCCCAGGGTATGGTTCTATTCAAGTTTTCTACTTGTTTTCTGATTTTTCAATTTTATTAATTTATAATTTTCTAGAATATTATTCTTTCAAAAAATATTGAGTGATATTTTGTCAGGCATCTGTCTTTGTTGTGCCCTGGCCTTTCATATTTTGGAAGTGAATTGTTTATTGTTTAGTATGGCTAATGTAGTTTTTTTCCTGTAAGCTTGTACATTTTTCTTTATTCTTTCAATTAAAATGTCCTTCTAGAATGTATCTATTAGAATAAACATAGTTCTGTGAGTGCTGGGAGCAGGTGCCCAACTTTGTGGAACAGGCTTCAGTGTGGTTTTTTTCACCTGTATCTGATGAGCTCTTTCAAACTGCATATGCAGATGTTAAGTAAGATTGGGAATAGGTATGGTTGCACTTTCTTCAGAATACCATTCATCTCGGTGATGGCTCTTTGTTTACAGACTTCCATAACAGCCATCTTTTATCTAATTTTTTTTTCCAATATTTTTGTTCCTTTGCACAATGTGAGTGCTTCCATCCTCTTCCTCCACTCCCTGGAAAAGGTCTGTAAAATAATCTTCCACATAGCGATTCCTTTGCTGTTGTATCAGATCTGCTATTACATAGTTAATAACCTTTCAATTTATTTTTAATTGTATTCCTCTTCCTTTTCACACTGCATTTTTTCATACTTTTCTGTTTACATATCAGGTCTTTTAAAGTAAATGTCCTTTGGATATTCTTGATGGCATCATTTATTTTTTAATTTATTTTTCTAATTTGTGCAGAATACTATTTTTAGTATTTTTCTTCTAGATCTTCTAGATGTTCTTCCTGTTCATTGCCTCCATATGTGTTTTATTTTTATTCAGCTTCCAAAAAAGGGCAAGATTTGTCTAGATATTTTTTTGTCTATAGCACCCAGTGTCTGGTTGGCACACTAAATTTTACTTATGCTGTAATTTTTGACTCCCATTTTCAAGCTTATAACTGGAAGTTTCTTTTAATTCCCTGGTTAATTCCTGCTGTTGAATAGGAATTAGGTTCTCATCTCCTCTGGCTTTCTGTCTCTTTTTGGTACTTAAGAATAATCACCTATAATTCCCAACATACATTACTTCTCAATTTCTTCCCACCTCCACTCTTTCCTTTGCTGATTTACATTTATTATCATGTGACATCTTTTAGAAAAATGTCTATATATTCTTATCTATATACCTTTAAGAACTTGCACAGTTTCCTGGGACATAATGAATACTTAATAAATATTTGCTGAATGACTGAATTAACATAATCCATATCATAATCAATTTTCCATGTTTGCTAATAGTTTATTGTCATGTTAAGTAGGGGTAAAAAATGAAGAATTGAATGGTATCCATCACTTTTTTACATAATAACACCTTACTTTTATTTGGTCACTATATGTGTGTCTGTACATTTTTTCTACATTATTATATAGCGTCCTTAAAGTTAAGATAGCAAAAAAATCTGCATTTAACTCTTTATTTCTCACCATTATCATTTTGTTGCAAGAATGGGAGCCTTTATATAATGGAATCAAGAAAAATATTTAGGATATATATTAGTACAGTGCCTGAGGCTCTGATATATCAAGACAGAACTGAGTAAAGGAGTGAAGAAACCACATAATAGAATCTAAGAATGAAAAATCACAAGAAAGTGTAAACACTGCAGTTTGAGGTAAAGTGTCTCTCTTTGAATCTGGTAGTAACTACTTGACATCAATGAGTTGAGCAGTAAAAAATAGAACAAAATCATGTTGTTCATTGGGCATTGCAAAGTTAAAAATGCCAATTCTTTCACTGAAAGTAACTTTATTTTTTCTCATACAGTACAATAGTGCCTGAAGACACTTTCTGAGCATGAAGTTTGAAATGTGATTGATCCAATTTGCTTGTTTTTAATGCTTTCTAGGGGCAGTAGAGTAGGGAGGAGACATCGAAAATATAGGCAACTGTATTAGTCTGTTCTCATGCTTCTATAAAGAACTTCTGGAGACTGGGTAATTTATAAAGGAAAGAGGTTTAATTGTTCATAGTTCCACATGGCTGGGGAGGCCTCAGGAAACATAATCACGGTGGAAGGCATCTCTTCACAAGGCAGCAAGAGAGGGAATAAGGGAGGAAATGCCTCTTATAAAACCATCAGATCTCATGAGAACTCACTCACTATCACCAGAACAGCACAGGGGGACTGCCTCCATGATCTCATCACCTCCATAAGGTCCCTCCCCCAACACATGGGGATTACAATTCGGATTACAATTCATGATGAGATTTGCATGGGGACACAGAGCCAGACCATATCAGCAACTGAGGATAGTTTTTAAGGTGCTTACTTCTTGCTTGGTACATAATAAATTATCATGACTAAACATATAGTTATCTTGAACTATGAAGTTTCGAAGAAAAAGACAAGTAGTAACCTCTGGAATTGGTAACAACCTTAATTAATACAGTTTTGTGCAAGGCAATATTTTGAAATGAAATGAAAGAAAATGAAAGCCAGAGTCATGCAGTGTCACTGTCAGAAGTTTACGCTGTATGAGAATAAGTGGTGTGATGGCTGCATCAGATAAATTTTTAAGTCACATATAAAAAGTACAATGTTTCATGAAAGCATAAAGAAACAATCACATATGTTCGGAGTAATTTAAAATTTTAATCTCAAAAGGAGATGTATTTTAAAATCAATTTTTAAGGATGGACAGGCTTTCAAAAGGCAGAGGGCGAAGATGGTGTTCAAGGTATTAAAGAAACACAAATCAAAGATGTAGGGGAGGAAAAGCTTCTGCCACGTATAAATATCACGCAAAAGTGCTGTTTGTGACACTGACCATGTCCACTTCATATTAGCAGATAATTAGATAGCTATGTCACTGTGAAAAGCCTTCAACATCATGATGAATAACTGACCTTCAGTGTGGTAGACAGTGAAGTGTCCTGGACAGCTTATGACTATGTGAATGGCATGATTGGAATTGTTCTCTTTGTAGTCTGGATGTTCAAAGGAAAGGTAATGAGCTACTAAACCAGAATGGGAGGAGTGGAATATAAACAGTAGGGGAAAAATTTTTAAAGGCAGTGTAAAGGACACATTTGCAAGATGTAACAGATGATTTTATATTTGGGAATTTGAGGAAGTATAATCAAAGTTTTGTATTTTTCTCACTCCATGTTGTTGCTAGGACCATTGCCCTAAAAGCAATTTTGATCACTAACTCCATACCAACATATGGAGACTTTCATGATAACTCTCTTTTCTTCTTTTTCTTTCTTTCTTTCTTTCTTTTTTTTTTTTTTTGAGGTGGAATCTCCCTCTGTCAACCAGGCTGGAGTGCATTGGCTTGATGTCAGATCTTGGATCACCGCAGCCTCCGTCTCCTGGGTTCAAGTGATTCTCCCGCCTCAGCCTCTCGAGCAGCTGGGACTACAGGAAGGCACCACCATGCCTGGCTAATTATAAGTCTTTTGACTCACTCTTGTTCGTCCTACTTTCTTTTGCTTTTATATTCCAGTCAAACCAAATTTCTCATGGCTTTACGCAACTTTGACTTTATAAGTTCTGCCCTACCAGCCTCTTGGACTTACCTTCTCTATTTTTAACTGCCTAGTTCTTATTAAAGACTGAAGTAAAGCACCTGCTTTCTGTGAAGCATTTCTTCCAACTCCCTCACACAACATGAATTGCTCTCTGCTTTGTCTTCTAACAGTCTTTCAGTGCTACCTCTAAAACAGCACTTACCACATACTTTGTTTACTTGTCAGTCTTCTTCTTCAATATAATATAAGCTCATTGAAAAGAGATATTGTTTTATTCTGCTTTGTAATCCCCAGGACATAAAATATTCCTTGGCAAGAAGCAGGTACATAATGAATGATGAAGAAATTAGTAACTGAATGTATGAAATGGCATTGACATTTTGAGCCTGAGTCATTAGGAAATAAGTGTGTCACTTATTGAAGTAGGGAATTCAGAGTAAGCTGATAAATTGGGGGAGAGACCTGCTGAGTTAGAGCCTAGGTCAGTAATTGTAAATGTACATATAAAGTTGGGGCAGTGACAACAACCATATATTATCATCTATACAAGGATCTGAAGCCTAAAACACTGGTGGGTTGGATAAAGGAAAGAAAGGAGAGAGACTGAATGTGAGAAAAGCAAAACCTGTTGATAGGCTCTTTATGATTCTATTGATGAATTATAAATGAGGTATTTCCATTGGTTTAGGGGGAGTTCATGTTGTAAGGTGTGAGAAAAAAGTCATAAAATCTAGATGATTTTTTTTTCAAAGATTACGTGCTGAAGGGAGGAAAACAAAAAAGTCATTTCAAAGAGTAACAGAATTGAGGATTTTGTTTTTAGTTCCTGGCTTTGTTTGTTATGACCATGCCCTTAGGCAGAGAAATTATTTTGTAAAGAAGGAGAAGTTACAGATGTAAACAAATGAGAGGACTTGATGAAATGAAGTCTTAGAGAGGGGAGAGACTGAGAATCTCAATCTTTCCCTTGTGAAGAGGTACTGAGGGAAAAAGAATGGTTATTCTTAAGGGAGGCATGTAAAGGAAGAGAAGATGGATGAAAATAAATTTTAAAGTGAAGGGAAAATAAAGAGTATAAATGTTATATGGTTTTCTCAAAACTGTATGAGCTGAAGTTATTCACTGAAAGTCTCGGTGATGTGGATTTAGTATAAGAGCTTTAGTAGAATAGAAAAGGTAGGAATTGCTATGAGGAAGGACATCAATAGTAAGCATACACTAGGAATTTTAAAAAGGATGCAATAATAAGAGTCTAGCTTAGTTTAAAAGAATTACAGTGGATCCAAGAAGCAGGACTTTGTGCATTTCTCTAATAAGATACAGCAACTACCTATTGGGTATTATGGCTCACTACCTGAGTGACAAGTTTCATATACCAAACGTCAGCCTCATGCAACATACCCATGTAACAAATCTGCACATGTACCCCCAAATCTAGAATAAAACTTGAATTTATTTTTTAAAAAAAGAGTTGTTGGGGGACAGATCCCCAGATCCCCAGGTCAGATATGCAACAAAAGCAGAATGAATGGAAGTTAATTAGTTGAGTCTGTTCTTGAGGTTCTTCCTCTCATAAGTTGGGAAACAATGGTAAGAAAATCACTGGAATCACACAGAAATCAGAACACGAGACTTGTTATGGATATAGCTGAATTAGAAAATGTAGATTGGAAACCCAAATCTAAGTATTTTCTCCATGAATGAATGGCTTACCCACATAGCCATTGGCAGAGTTGAAAAATGATCTTATGGCCTGGTAAATAAGAAAAAAAAAACTGCCTCCTTAACTCAGGAGAGGAATAAAGACTGATCCATATACCCACAGGTTCTTTCCCTTAGCTTACCAGTCAGATGATTACCAATCACACACTCCTTTGGGGATGTGTCTATGAGAGGCCCTGGACAAGAGGTCTCAAGTATTCTTCTAAAACTTTCATCCTAGAAATCACACATTCCGTCCCCTCTATGGAAATCTGACAAATTCAGAATAAACCCTCCTTCCTAATAGATGGTAGTATTATTGACAAGGTTGACCACATGTCTGGTTCGGTAGACCTGAAAGTAAATTCATCATGTAAGGTAATTTTTTAAAAGTCAAAGAACAAAATAGGGTCAAAATAAAAAATTTAGAGCTTATTTACTGGAAGTGAGAAAGGTGAGGAGAAGACTGCAATTATTTCAGTGTCAGAGTTTGTGATTATGTTGGTAAATGGTAGAGTTATTTCAAGTTATCAAGAGTTGTAAGGCAAGTCTGAGTGATGGGGTGGGAGAAACAAAGTGGCAATGCTTAACATTGAAAGTGAAGAACTATGAGGCTAGGAAGTAAGAAAAATATCATAAAGGTTGAATCTGTTGAGCATAATGGTAGGCCAGTGATTATTACCAGGCAAATAAATGATTTTTAAGAAATGTGATGTTAAGGCCTTCTCCCATTAAATTAGAATATCTGAAGGTAAAGCCATCGGAGAACTAGTTTTTTAAAGCTTTCCAGGTAATTCTAATGTGCAGCCAGAGTTGAGAACCACTGTATCTGGCAATGATGAAAAGACGAACAGTGTGACAGTGATGAATGGGTCATGCTGTCCTGAAGACAGAAAGATGGATAGGACAAGGAAGAGAAGAGGGCAGAAGTAGACATCAAAAATAGTGGAGATTACTGAGCAGAAGCAGGGCAATCATATCCTAAAAATGGCAGTATAACTAAAGTAGTATTAAGAGTCAACGTATCAGGTTCCCAAAAGTCATGAGACAGTAAGAAGTGGAGGAGAAGGTAAAAGATCTTGTGTCTTTGGGTTTCAGACACATTTTATTTAATGAAAGAAGATTGATGAGGAGAAATTTATTTATGGAAAAACAGAGTTGAGTGGACCTCTTGGGTGAGGAGATTGTTATATTGTTAAGAGTGGACTCAGGGATAGTCAGAGAAGAACTGGGTAAATTAGAGCAGTAGGAGCCAGAAATGAAGGGCAAGTGGAACGTTTTCCTCGATCCAGCTGCAGGACATGGCAGAGGTATCCAAGCCAAAAGCGAGGGGCAAGAAGAGCCAGGAAGAAAGGCAAGGTTTAGTGCCAAAAAGACATAAGAAGAGGATATCAAAGCCACAGGCCGACAATTAAAACAGGGCCCAGAGCCTGAGGAACTTGATGTGGAATCAGAAGGAAGTGGCCAGAAGTGTCTCCATGGTGGCCCCAGCTCTCTTGAGTTCTAATGATTTAGGCAGAGATGGTCACAATTTGCCCCACCCTCTTTCCCTGAATCCTCTCCTTCTTTAAAGAAACCCTCCTAAGGATGAAAAAAAAAAATACAATGAGTAGGAGAGAGCACTAAAAAATGTTGCAATGTGAGGCAAATTTTAGAGGCAGACAGAATCATCAGGTACTGGGGGAAGAAGGGCATTATTAGTTTCCTAGGGCTGTCATAACAAAACATCACAAACTGGGTGGCATAAAACAACAGAAATGAATTTTCTCCCAGTAGTGGAGACTACAAGTCTGAGATCAAGGTGTGTGCTATGTTGTGAGGTCTCTGAGGGAGAATGTTATGTCTCTCTGTTAGTTTCTGGTGACGGCTGGCAGTCCTTGACGGTTGTTGGCTTGTAGATGCAGCATTACAATCTCGGCCTCTGTCTTTATATGGCATTCTCTCTCTCTGTCCCTGTCCCTTCTTCTTTTTATGAGAGCATCAGTCATATTGAATTAGGGCTCCCCCTACTTCAGTATGATCTAATCTTAAGTAATTACATCTGCAAACACCCAATAGAGTGTCATTATTCCCAATTCTGTACCACTGAAAACAGAGATAAGTAATTGGGGGTTAGGATTTGAACATATCTTTTGGGGGAACACAATTCAACCAACAACAGAGATTTTGTTGTTAGGTAAAATTTGGCTAATGCGGCTTGGAGTCTTGGTATGATCCTACTTCTGGAAGTATGTTACTTAGATATCTCAGTTGAATTATGGTTTTCAGTGAAGCAAAAGAGATAATTGGATAGCATATATATATGTTAAATGTAATATATATTATATTTAAATTCTAATATTATATTTTTATGTACATAATATATGTCCATGTTTATTTTACATTAATATATAGCCCTGTATGTGAAAGCATCTGAGATACTATTTTCTTATTCAGTGGTTCTCAAAGTGTGGTTTCTGGATCAGGCATATCAACATCACCTGAGAACTTGAAAAACTTACATCCCACACCTATTCAATTGAAAACTCTGGGGCTGACTCTCCATCTGTATATCTGTATTTTTATAAGCCTTCCTGTTCAGTCTGATTTGAGAACCATGTGATTCTGGTTAAAGAAACTTGCAATTACAAAAACAGGTGTTAAGTAAAGGTTATGTTTGTTTTGATTGGGTACTTTAGTCTGAAAAGCTTGTGTCTTGAAGATTTCGGCTAATAAATTAGACAATTAAAATATTGTTACCCTAAGTTATTCATAAAATATTTAAAATAGCTTTAATGTGGTTAGAATTTTTCTTTTTTCTTTTTATTTTATTTTAATTTTTTTTTTTTTTTGAGACAGAGTCTCGCTCTGTCGCCCAGGCTGGAGTGCAGAGGCGTGATCTCAGCTCACTGCAAGCTCTGCCTCCCAGGTTCACGCCATTCTCCTACCTCAGCCTCCCGAGTAGCTGGGACTACAGGCGCCCACCACCACGCCCGGCTAATTTTTTTTTTTTTTTTGTATTTTTAGTAGAGATGGGGTTTCACCGCGTTAGCCAGGATGGTCTTGATCTCCTGACCTTGTGATCCGCCTGCCTCGGCCTCCCAAAGTGCTGGGATTACAGGCGTGAGCCACCGTGCCTGGCCTTAATGTGGTTAGAATTTTTCAAATGGATCTTGTTTTATAGAACTTGTTATTTGAGAAATTTCTGGGACTAGAGTCTCTTACTGAGTTTGTTGATGGTTTTAATGTCTCAAGTCTTCAGATAATTCTGCTGCCAATGAATTCTCAGCCTCACTTTTGTTTACTGTATGCCAGCTGCCCTGTATGTGTCATTTATTAAGTGATATAATTGAATTCTTACAAATTAACATAAATATTTATCATGACCCTTTTAAGGATGGACAAACTGAGATATTTCTGTTAGGTTTGTCTTAACAGAGGTTAAGTAAATTGTCCACATTTATTCAGTGAAGAATGATAAAAAGTAGATATCAAATCCAATTTGACTGACTGCAGAGTCCACATTCCTTCATCTACCCTATTTGGCTTCTATTTAGAGACCTAAATAGCTGCTTAAAATAATAAAAATTAGTTTTGTTTTTGAAATTCTCTTTTCTCTTCTAAACAAGGACAAAAACCTGGGGTTGGGAAGACACTTAAAAAGTCAGTGTCTTTTCTCTTGTCTCCCATTCCCAGATTCTTCTGAGACAAAAATCTGACTTCTAAAATAAGGCAATTAATAAAATAGGTGGTCCAAGCCAATGATTTATATTATTGGTCCCACATTATCTTTCATCTTGCCGGTAGAAAACTTCTTAGCTGGCTTTCCAATTTGCCCTAAGCACTGCCATTTCAATAGGAATTGCCAGGTTCTAGGTATTGCTTGAAATTTGTTGGGAATTTTAACATGATGATTAAGTTTTTGCATTAATGCCTTCTCTGGAATCCAAACTTTCTAACATGGCTTATTTAAGAATTGCTATAAATAAGAAAACATTTTAACTGTAGCAAAATTTAGCTTTTTAAATATCATGAATTCAGAACACAACAAATTATTCAAACAAAGAGATTTCTTTTCTTTACCAGATTGTGAAAATTACTATTCTCGAGGGCATTGATATATAATTTAGTTCATATTTATAGTTCTTAAATGGTGCCCTACATATCATAAGCTTTATACAACTTGCTGAATGCATAAAAAGGAAAGGTAGAAAGCTAAACACTGCCTTCTGATGGTGAGGTGGGAAGTAGAGAAAAGTTAGTGATTTTTCTTTTTTTCTCAGTGGTTGGGAGAGCTAATTTTGAAGTATGTCATGTCTTTCTATCTTGCTATGATGATCTTTTCTCTTGACTATCTTAGATGTACCTTAGGCTTAGAACAAGCAATGGAAGGGCAGAGATTCTGAGGTGCCATGAAAGACCTAAACGTGTATTCCACAGATCACACCAAGACTGTTACCAAGCGCTAACCCAGCTTCTCGTTGGTTGTTGCTGCCTTTTTCTACTGCAGGAAGGGCAATAGTGCAGTATCTTCCCTACTTTACCTTAGTGAATTAAACTGAATTAGTGATTGTATGGTTTCTGGAAATCCAAAATATTCCTTGTAAGGAAATCATTTTGATAAGGGCGTAGAATTACATTTGAAGGTTTTGTTTCTTAATTTCATAGAGAAATACTCTGAAAACAACAACCCCTAAAGATATTTATCATGTCATTTCCTCACTCTTCAGAAGTGATCAATTATAATAAATTTCCTCAAAGGGTTATTTTTTCACAGAAATATACTATATTTATAGTAATAACTCATCTAATCAAATTCATTGAACTGTTTAAAGAGAAAAGTAAAATAAAAGCATTGATAATTGCAATTAAGAGACACACAGAAAAGGAGCAATAAATAACAGATTTTTTTTTTTTTTTTTTTTTGAGACAGGCTCTTACAGTGGTGTGATCTCGGCTCACTTCAGCGTCGACCTCCTAGGCTCAAGAAATCCTTCCACCTCACCCTCCAGAATAGCTGGGACTCTAGGAGTGCGCCACCATGCCCAGCCAATTTTTATTTTATTATTTGTAGATATGGGGTTTCACTATGTTGTCCAAGCTGGTCTCAAACTCCTGGACTCAAGCAATCCTCCTGCCTCAACCTACCAAAGTGCTGGGATTACAGGTGTGAGACACCACACCTGGCCTAGAATAATTCTTGATGACTATACTTTTAATCTTTGTCAGATATTTTTGGGGTCTCTCTCCTAACGGCAATGCTTCCTTCTTTTCTGGAAACAAGCTCCCCTGTGCCTTCTAAGACACAGAGGCATGTGGAAGGGTCTTTTTCTTGGGAATACTTTGCCTTCCTCTCCCTTGCAGAAAGAATCAGAGGGGACACAGGAACACATCTAAGCAATAAGCTGCCTCTCATCACCTGAGTTCCCCAGAAAAGAGAGGCTAAAGTAAGGATTAATGTGCAAACGCTTTACTTAAGAGATGCAAGCCCAGAGCAGCTGCAATGAGAGAAAGAGAAGTGAGGCAGGGACAGACAGGGAATAAGGCATTCCTGCATTGGCTACTACACAAAAGGAACAGCAAGTTGCTACAGAGTTATATCCTTTGCCATACAGGATTTTGGTGGGCAGAATGCAGGGAAAACTATGACTCTGACTAATCCTGGGAGGGAAGAAGGAATGGGATTCAGTTCAAGTTTGCTTCTTGGAAATCAAACTCCCCTATATTTCTAGGGTACATCATCTGGATATTTTGGCAGCTGCACAATGTGCCTGATTCCATACCCGCCTTCATGGTGTTTAATTGAAGTCTGAAAGTGGTCATTGAGGCAGAATTATTGGCACATGGCTGGCCAACGTGCCTGCACAGGGGCAGCCAAGGGGAGGGGAGAACTCAGCACTCTCAGGACAAGTGACTAGATGACTTTGGAGACAGCAGTGCTGGGAAAATCAGTGAAAAGCCTTAAGATATGTATCTGAAATAATGCCCTTTCCCAAAAACTGAGAATAAGGCCTTTAACTCTACTTTTGTTTTGAGTTGGCCTCTTGCATAGATGAGACATAAAACTGGGAATCTTCAGTGTTAACTTTTTTAAACATGTGTTTAGAAGAACAAATGAAGCCTGCCTGTAGAAGAATAAAGAAGATATTCAGGTTGAAACAGAAACAAGAGTGAGGGACATCCTCTCGGGATCCCTTGAAGGCTTCTCATTCCTGGCTCCAGTCCCTCACAAGGTACAGTTATATTCTTGCCCCTAGGTACCCGGAGGTTGTGGTTGCCTGTTATTATTAATAAATATTTTTTCTCTACTTGCTCTGTTTATTTGTACATGTAATCAAACTAATGACATCTGTATCATCAGATTATAAGATGCAAAATAAATCTCTTCTTGGCCTCCCTTAAATGTTGTTATTCTTAGGCTTCTAGATTCCAGGCTCTCCTCTATTCTCATGCTGCACACTCCTCCAGGCGGCCTGGGTTCATTTCCAAAGCTTCCATTTCCAAAGTCCATCATATATAAGATGACTCTGAACTATGTCTCCAGCTCATATCACTAAATCCAACTTGCTATTGATCAGGGTACAAGTTGATGGTTTCCACTGAATATATCCCAAAGTGAATTTATCATCTTTCAGCCTAGATCTCTCTACCTCATGATCTGTCCCTTGCTTACTTATTAACTTTGCCCAACCAAAAGCAAACTATGAACTCATATGCCATTGTGGTTAAATTCTCACGATCACAGCCCAAGGCACATTCTATAATAAGAACTACAAGAGGTCAAGTAACTTGCTACCATATTTTAAAACTAATAGACTCAGTAGTCAAACATCTGTTTGCCAGAATCTAAGGGCTGTGCTCTTTTTATTGTAGCATACACTCTCTCAACACAAACACACACACACACACACACACAGACACACACACACACACACACACACACACAGAATAAAATAAGAAGAATTAAAATAAATTGAGATACCCTAATTTTCACTTTAGGCCAATTTCTTAATTTTGTTTCAGGCATGTCCTTATTTTAATGATTGAATTTAATTTACAGTTAATTTCCATTTATCAGTATGTTGCTGATCTTTCTGGATGAATATTAGTGTAAAACACTTAATCCCTAGATACCTTCTTTCTGTTAACTAATATGTTTTAGATATAATTCTTCAAGATCAGGTGTTGTGTCTTCAAGTAGTGCAGACTAATTTTAATATCAGTCTAAACAAGCTGTAATCAAGAAGATAAATATACCTCAAAAATCATGCAAGACATTCCAAATTCAAATAGAAACGATTTTTGGGTTATCCATATCACTGTTTACTATTCATTTAAAACTTAAATGCATATGTATTTGTGTGTGTCTGCATTTAAATATATACTCTACTATGTCAAATATACATTTAAATATATAAAAGAGATGTTCACATGTAAAAATGCATTCAAATATAGACATATGCTTAATAAGTTTTTGATTCCATATAAGGGGATATGACAGAAAGAAAATTTATTTGCTAATTAGTTGTAATCAAGGCAGAAATCTTTACTTAAGAAAATTAACAATTACTATAAAAAAGTCTTAAACTCCAGCACAGTTCTTGAATTTACAATCTGTTCATCCTTACTTTAGATATAAGAATGCATTTCCTTAAGCACAACACATGAAGTCATATAGCGCTACAAAAATGTATACTGAGATAAAAATAAATCAGTTTCACTTAATTATCATCATGTGTGTATTTCCCTGCCTTGGACTTCAGGAGTGGGGCTGCTGTGGAATTTCGCCTCTGTGTTAAGGACGTATGGTTCATTATTCCCCTGAGGATATGAAGTTTTTCTTCTGCATATTTCTGTTTTATTTTGTAAGAAAACATTTTTGTTGGAGTATATAACATACTTACAGCAAAGTGCTGAAATCACAAGCGTTTAAGTTGGTGAGTTTATGTCAAGTGAAAATACCTAAGTTGACTTGTAGATCATTACGGCGTCCAGAAGCCTCCTTCATGCCCTTTCTCAATAACTATCTCCCCATAAAGTAAACACTATTTTGATTTTTATCAATAAAGTTTTTAATTTTACATAAATGGTATTAATTATGTACTATTGTACATAATTAATGTACAATAATGGAAGGGAATAGTCTAATCATCTTTGACTTTTGGGTATGTGAGGATTTATTAAATGGGCCACAAAATGTATTATTACTGAAAGAGAAGATAGAAACACTTTCAATTATCAAAATCAAGAAATTCCATTCACTAACGCCATTATGAACTGGAAAGACAACCAGAGTGGGAGAAAATACCTGAAAAAAAAAAGCTAGGGTACAGAAATATGAAGCACTCCTATGTTTAAAAGATTATAATGTTTAAAAGATTATAAAATTCAATTGTTTTGTGTGGCAGTATTTCATTATTTTTCATTGTATATGGTATTTCAACGTATGAAGCTATGCCATTTATTTACTGACTCTACTGTTGATGGAAATTTAAAGTTGTTGTAGGTTTTGACTATTGAAAATAATGCTATTATTAATATTCTTTTCCCACTCTGCATCCTTGCTAACAGTTTGCGTTATCTGCTGTTTTACTTTGGGGCATTTTATTGCGTTTATAGTGGTATCTCATTGTGTTTTCAAAGGACATTTCCTTGATGACTAATGATGTTTAATGCCTTTTAATATATTTATTAGTCCTTTGAATATTTTTTGTATATGTACTGTTCAAATCTCTTGCCTGTTTTTTAATTGAAAACTGTCTTTTTATTATGACTTACAGGAGTGCTTCATATTTCTGTACCCTAGCTTTTTTTCAGGTATTTTCTCCCACTCTGGTTGTCTTTTCAGTTCATAATGGCGTTAATGAATGGAATTTCTTGATTTTGATAATTGAAAGTGTTTCTATCTTCTCTTTCAGTAATAATACATGTTGTGGCCCATTTAATAAATCCTCACATACCCAAAAGTCAAAGATGATTAGACTATTCCCTTCCATTATCTTCTTTAAAAATTATTGCTTTGCACTTCACTTTAAGGTATATAGTTTATCTAGGATTAATTCCTGTGTATTGTATAAGTTTGGAGCAATAGTTTATTACTTGTCATATGAATATGAAATTGATCCTATATCATTCATAAAAACAACCTCTCTTCCATTGTATTTATGTCTTAGTTGAGATTTCCGTGACAGAATACCATAGACTTAGTGGTTCATGAACATAGAAATTTATTTCTCACAGTTCTGGAGGCTGGCAGTCTAAGATCAGAGTGCTAGCATGGTTGGGTTCTGGTGAGGGCCCTCTTCTGGATCACACATAGCTGTTTTCTCATTTTATTCTCACATAGCAGAGAGTGAGAGAACTCCCTTGTGTTCCATTTTAAGGGCACTAATATGATTTGCGTGGATGTAGGTGCACCCTGATGACCTAATTACCTCCCAATAGCCTCACTCCTAATAATGTCACATTGGGCATTAGGATTTCAACATATCAATTTTAGAAGGGACACAAACATTCAATCCATTGCAATTACAGTGTAACTTCTGTTGAAGTGGTGGCAACATTTATATGGGTCTCAGTTTTAGGCCTTCTATTTTGTTCCATTACTCTACTTGTCTATTTTTGAGCCAATATCACCATGTCATTATTAAAGTAAGACTTATAGTAGGTCTTGATATCTGGTAGTGTAAGTTTTCCAACTCTGTTCTTTTTAAAGCTTGTCTGTACTATCCCTGACCCTTTGTATTGCCATAAGAATTTTAGAATCACTTGTCTTTCTATAAAAGAAACTGCTGGAATGTTTTATTTGGTATTTCACTAAATTTATAGATCAATTTGAGAAGAATTGACATCTTTATGCTATTGAGTTCTTCCAATGCACAGACATGAAATATTCCTGCATATATTTAGGTCTTTTAAAATATCCGGCCGGGCGTGGTGGCTCATGCCTGTAATCCCAGCACTTTGGAAGGCCGGGGCAGGTGAATCATGAGCTCAGGAGATCGAGACCATCCTGGCCAACATGGTGAAACCCCGTCTCTACTAAAAATACAAAAATTAGCTGGCATGGTGGTGGGCGCCTGTAATCCCAGCTACTCAGGAGGCTGAGGCAGGAGAGTCGCTTGAACCAGGGGAGTTGGAGGTTGCAGTGAGCCAAGATTGCGCCACTGCACTCCAGCCTGGTGATAGAGCAAGACTCTGTCTCAAAAAAAAAGAAAAAAAAAAAAAGAAAAAATTTCCACCAATAATATTTTTTAGTTTTTAGCATAGAGAAATTCCATATTGTTGACCAATTTTGGTAGGTAGTTGATTTTTTATTGCTACTTTAAGTGTTATCTTACTTTATATTTAATTTTCTAGTTGTTTGTTACAAGTATATAGGACTGCAAGGTATCTTTTCATGTTGATCTTATATTCAGCCACTTTTCTAAAAGGAATAATGAACCACTAATTGTCACTAGAAATTTTAACTTTGTGATGAAAAATTGAAATGGCCTAATATATTTGTATGTGTTCATATTCACACATATGCTGAGTAGCTGTCTGTATATTATTTTGGAAATACAAGTATCTAAAGTACTATAGAAACTAAATCCAAGTTGGGTTTTAATTAAAAAACTGATGTTTGTCCTGTCCTATTGTTAAAATACATTACATTTTTATTTTTAAACATTTTTTAAAAAGTCCTACCCCTCCTAATTAAAATATATTGTCTTCTACTTTTTCTGATAATACAGTTTTTAATGACATCATCTTGGATTCTATTTTTAAATATCTTAAATGTCTATTTTCAAATGCTTTCATTTCTGTTACCTAAATTTTTATCAAACACCTACATTTCTATCTTCAAACTCATATTATTAAATCTATGCCAATTTTATTCAATAGCAGATTTCCCTAAACAGATTCCCTAGTCTAGTATTTCCCTTTAGTGTCATTCTTAAATGGTATATAGCTGAAGAAAAATTCCTGACAAACAATATTTTGAAAATGATTTGTACTCAAGGTGGGTGGGATTGTTCGGGGTGTAGGAGTGGTATGATGTTATATGTTTAATAAGAACATATCTGCCAGCAATTTTTTAATAGAATTTGAAACTTTGAAACAATACAACATTCATTTGGGCATTAGAAAGATCAGAAATAGTACCAGCTTTCTTCATATCCTTAATTAGATATTTCTACTTTATTTTTATATAAAGACTAAAAATTTTGCTTTACTTTGTTATAATGTATCTGTCAAAGTATCTCAAAGGACATTTACTTCTCTCATATAACAGGTGCAAATTTTGTGCTTGCCTTTGTAAAGATGTGTGACAACTGGAAACTGGAAATGTTAAGGGTCATGTATTTATCTTTAGAAAAGTGCAGCAAGAAAAAAAGCACCTTCCTGTAAATAATGCTTTTAAAAAAGTTCAATTTGTGACTTTTATGATTAAGATATTGTTTCTTAAAAAATAGCTTGTACATATTTATGATTAATTTATTTTGAAACCAATGAGAAATTTCACTAATTTTTAAAACCTAAACTCAGAGAGTTTAAAATTAGTTATAATTTCTCTTTTGAGTTAATGAACTAAGTTTCTAACTAAATTACAGTGTTATTGCCTTAAGTAAATAAAGACATAAAAGAATAAGGCAAAAATTGTGTTCTTCATCCTAGATCCTGATTACAATGACCAAAGAAATATATATAACAAATGGGAACTGATGATGAAGGAAAGATGATACTCACAAAAACATTGTAGTGTATTTCAGCAATCTACAACACCAAATTGAAGGAGGATAGGAAAGGCTGACTGACAGCTGCCTCTTCTGTATAATTGGTGCAGTAAACATGGAGACATCCACCAGTAACTCCCAATTTTATGTTGGAGTTCATGTTGGGTTAATATAGAAAAATCAGTACCTTAGTTTTTCAAGGTCGGTCATCTATGCAAATGGTTTTCCTTTGGTTGTTTTCATTATTTTTTCTTTTTCTCCTATATTCTGTATGATCATCTCAAGCTTATCCTCTACATGCCTTATACTGTTTACTGAATTACTTTATTATTTATAGCTTTTAATGCCATACCAGGGAGAAGTCCGACTGCCTGAAGGCTTTTGAGCTAATATGACTATACTTGTATTTAATGTGCTGAGCATAGACTATTTGGGCAGAAGTTTTGCATCTTATCTATCTACAGACCTGCCCTTGCTTTGAGCCCTTGCCTATTCAAATCAGGAGATGCTATTGAAGATCTTCCTAGCTGTATAACTATATTCCTGAGATACTCCACTATTTTCTTGGGATGTGGAATTGTGAGTTATCTATCACAAAAGTCTTCATTTGTTATATGCACCACATACAGCAGAAACTACTCAATATTCTTTGTGTGGATAGACTCCTTTCCTAGTTTCCAGTACTGGTGCAGACCTTTAGATTTTCTCGATTTTTATAATGCTTTGGTTATTTGTACAGTTTCCGGGTAGGGCAGATGAAGGTGAATCATTGAATTTCTTAGTTGACTCAGCCATATTTTTATAACTTTCTCTACTATATTTTCCAATTTATATTATGAATTAAGAAGAAAAAATTATAAAGCCCTGGGCAATGACAGATCAAAAAGAAAACTGCATAACATTCTCAGTTATACTATATATATGCAGAAATCTGAAAAATATTAGTAATGTGTTAATATAATAAAACCATAACCAAGTAGGATTTATTCTAAGAAAGCAAGGGTGGTTATATGTTAGAAACTCTACTGATATAATATAGACTTAATTACATCAGTATATTGATATATCAAAAGAGGGAATCTATATGATCAGCTCATTTGATGCTAAAAAGACAAAAAACAATACTTACTAGGTGAGGAAATATTCCAGTTTTCTAGAAATAGTAAAATATTCCTAATACTGGAGTAAAACAAATAAATGGCTGGAACCGACTAGAAAAAAAATTGCTTTTGTATATATTAAAGCTACGAAGATCTATGTTATAAATCACATAATTCAAAGCAGTGGAGAAAGAATGACATTTGATAAGTAGCCTTTGGACAACTGGCTTAGTATTTGGAAAACAATAAAGATCTACTCCATACCATATGCCAAAATGAATTACATTTGTTGTAAACAAACAAGAATTACAGAAAAAGATAAGTAAATATTCATCTGGTATCAGAGTAGGGGCATCTTTTCTAAATATAAAAATAAGAAATAAAACATTAGGGAAAGTATAGGTATATTTGATCACACAGAAGCATAAACATACTTATGCATTACAAGTATAAAAATTAAAAGGCAAATAACAAACTTGAAAAATACTTGTTGCAAGGAAAAAACTCATGGTCTTAATGCACAAAGAGGTATTTCAAACCAATCAGAAAAAAAAAAAAATTCCCCAAGAGGAAAATGTGCAAAGGATAAAAATAGGCAATTAAAAAAGAGAAGAAACACAAAATTGCCAAAACACATATAAAAATAAACTTAACTATACTCACAATTCAATGTTATTAACCAAAGTTACAATCTCCAGTTTATTGAACAAAGAGTCTCAGTGAGAAGCTCCTGGCCTTGCCTTGGTTGATATAAAGAACCTAATTATCCTAAGCATTTGTCTGTTGTCTATCTGATATTGGACATTAGAAAGGTACCTACATTCTGAGATTTTTAATAAAATCTATGATTTTTTTTAGAAAATTTAGGTTCTTCAGTATATATGAGTAGATATAGAAGTTTCTAAAATACTGAGGGCTTAAAAACAACAAAAAAAAAGGTGACAGAAGGGAACAAGCTTAGACTAATGAGACCTCATTTATCATGTTCCTCCTGATAATGCTTTTACCACCCATCTCCCTTGGTCATATGATTTTAGGTTGGCACTGGAATGAGGGTGAAGGGATAGAATTGGATGGGAACTAGTGACTTTCTGTTTAAGGCAGCTCTGAGTAAACCACTCTCTGACTCATCCTTGGACCAGGCTTTTGCCTGACTCATAGTTTAAGGGAGCTGTCACCCAGACAATAAAATCTCCTTAGATGCTATCTGCCAAACAGTCCTTGCTTAGTTACAACTGTGGGGGAAAGAGTCATGAAAGCAAAACCAGACATCGCTCCGGTTGAAATATCAAAAAGGAAAGTGGCAACCTAAACTCTGTGATGTTTATAACACAGACTGCCAATAACAAAATGGTGTTTCTAGGGAAAAATTAAACCCTTTCAATGGCCTCAAAGAAATTAGCAGCTTAACAATATACACGTATCGGAATGATTAAAACCATTCTCAAGCCTTATAAAAATATATGCAAAAAGATTTAAGTGTCCTTCAAAGATTTTGCATTTTATCTTATGTAGGAAATAATCACACAGAAAATTTGTGGAAGGGCAAAACTATATGGAATGTAATTTGATCTTATGAAATATATTTTAAAAGCATATACAACTTGGGTATTTAGAAACACAGGCTTTATGATTTCTTTTGTCCTAAGTGGCATGTCTTTAGAGTATATATAATGCAACGAATTTCTGAGGTCATTTTGACCTTTACTTCTTAGGGAATAAAGTATTATTCTTCTGTAAAGAAGTTCATAGTTTAATGGATAAGGTGTCAGGGAAAAAAAAATGAGACTAAGCAAGAATACCCTGGTTCTTGGGCTCTCCGTTATAAATAATGCTCTCATTAAAATTCTGCTTCGGAAGAAAGGCAAGTCCATTAGTCTGGGAGCTAATTTTTACTGGCTCCTTGGATGTATGCATATTAAAAATTCAGCTTTTATAATTGCCAGTCATCAACCACCTAGTCAATGCTGTTCTTGGAGATTTTAATTATTTACTTCATTTGCATAGACACTCCAATTTATGATCAACCATTTAGTTATCAAGGGACAGTTTGATAATTTTTCTTTTACATTTTTATTTATCCTTTTTATATTCCTAGGAAAAGCTCTGAGTCAGACCTTGTACCACAGTGAGTCTTATTAGAAAATAAAAACCATGGCCACCTCCATGAGTACTATGTGGGAACCATGGTTACTGATAAAACTTGGGCAAATTAGGGTTTTATTAGAACAAATCAAGGCTCTATGTCCAGTTAAAATATGCCTTTTATTCTGAGTTCAACATAATGGTTTGTGTAAAAATATCTAATAATACAGTACACACCAATAGTGCTTATTTTCTGTAATTCCCTTTCAGGAATGAATCCTTTCTGAAAAATAATCACAAAATGGCATACTGGGCAACTAAAATACAGTCACATATTATTTATCATCCCAATATTTGTATGATCTCTTGTTATGAATTTGCATCATTGTTTCCATTTTTAAGAACTGATTGATAGACACCAGAAATTAAGTGACTAGCTTTAATGTCTTAGGAGCCAGTGATAGTTGTGGAAATAAATTCTGTGTTCCATCCTTATACAACAGGACATTTTCTGTTATACTGCACGGCTTCCATATAGATGCAGTGTTTTCTCATCACTTTCCAAAAAAAAATATTTTGAAGGTTAAATTCTAATTTGAATTCTATTTACAAAGTAACACATTATTTTTTATAGTTTTTATGTCTCTAATCACTGAAGAATGTTTTATAATATCTCTTTGCCCCACTTACAGCTAACATGGTGTCAGACTTGGTGGAAATACGGTGAGAAAGTAGGGGCCCAAAAAGTAAATAAAGAAACCACAATGACATTTACTTAGGACGTTTGATAGCATGAAAATAATATTTCAACAAAATCCTGGCAAGGACCATCTTGAAAAGACCCGGATGTATTCACATCCAGACTATTTTACTTGTATATCATTATGATAGCATTCTTAAAATTTTAGTTTTTTTTTTTTCAGAAAGACATACACATACCCATATGCCTAAAAATCCTTTTCTTATCTTTGCCCAAATTTTGAGTATATTTTATAAGTGTACGCAATAGTAATACCTCTCCTGAATTACCCTTAATTTGGGAAATATCTACCTTGCTTCTCAGGTGGACCAGTGTCCCACATATTTTGGCTTTATGCATGCAGTAGAGCTGATTCTTCCCCAAATCTAATCAAAACTGCCTTTAATATTTGATGTTCACAATAAGGACTACTATTAAAACCTCCATTTCTATTGTGTGCTACACAATGTTTGATACAATATACATATTTTCTAAAAAGAGTAAAATATTGAAAAGGCTTCATATTCTCCTCTAAGAAACAACCTAATTATTGAACAAAACCAGTGCTTTGTCTATCAGCTGTGTTCTGCTACTGGCTCTGGAACAATGAAAGTGATGGATTTGTAATCACTGGTCTTATTGCTCTCCCTCCCTCTTCACTATCTGGAGGCTTTCTTCACATAGAAAGCTGAAAAGTTAATGTGAATGGAACCAAACAGCACCACCTGGAAAGCGTGGGAATTGATTGCTGAGGCTTCCTGCACTGCAAGACTTCAGTGCCATTGTGCCCAGCGCTCCTGGTGTGCAATCTCCTAAAACCCCCCAGAGAGCATACTGGGTGAAGGACAACAGTGGAACAAAGGATGACAGTTCTGGAAATTACAAAATCACTCCTTTGCAATGCAGACAAACTTAGTACCTGAAAATAATTTTTCCTTGGAAAGTTGAAATCAAAGAATAATTTTGATGTGTTTTCCTTTCTGCTCTTCTATTTCCCTTTTCCAGTAAAACATCCATCTATATTCATCTAGTTATCAATACAAGTTTTAACATGTTCCTTTTCCATTATATGGAGAATTATGTTTTTTTCTTTGCTATCTTTATTCTGTACAAAATATTTTATTGTAGTTTTTGAGTTTATTGAGTGTTTTTTCAGTAAACAACATATTTTTATTATATTGAATATTTTGTTGCTGCAAATATTGTCCTGTTCTAGGCACTGGAAGAGAAACACTTACATGAGCCACTTTACCTGTCCATAAAGAGTTTGAAACCAATAAGGAAAGAATAATGACAACTATAATAAATATGGGAAGGAGATATGCAATAAATGTAGGTATAAGTAAAGTTTTATGGAAATGCTTAATTTTAAGGTAGGAGTAAAATAGGGGAGACTAGGAAAAACATCATGAAACAGATGGCATTTTTTCTGAGCCTTGATGTTTGAGAAGGGTTTTGACTGATAACAAAGGAAGAGCTACAGCATTTTAGAAACAAGATTCAGCCTCAGATGGTGCTTGGTTATCTGGGGCAGCCAGAGTTGGTCTTTATGATTGCAATTCAGGTTTGCTGGAGGATTGTGGGAAGGTGAGCCAGGAAAGGTGGCTGTGGCAGACTTCTTTAATTTCATGAGGAAGCTTTACACTTCCTCCTGGAATTAGCAAAAGGTGACAGGGAATTAGCAAGATTTAAGAACAGACACATGTTCTAGGAAGATAAATATGGTGATAGTGGGAAGAAGTGGTCAACAAGCTGGACTTCTAACACAAGGGGAATAATTTGAAGGTGATTTCATCATTAGTTCTAGAACAGATGATAATCTGCACTAGTAAAGTGGTAGAGAATAAAAAGATGAAGAGTATTTGAGTATCATCAGGTATATATAATGTGTCATACGATATTTTGTGGTTGACAAAGTTTGGAGAGAGGAGCTGGTCAAACAGAAGTCAAACATTATGAGTTTGCTTAACTAGTCCAGAATGATATTTAAAGGCCAACCAATGTCTCCTAATTTAATGGAGAAGAATGAGAGGCTCATTTTATCTGGGCTACAGAGAGGGCTTCTTATTTTAACCAGGCCCTCACATATTTCAACATGCATAAAATTAACAGAGGAAATAAATATTCCCCTGTTAAGTATACAAACTCACATAAACTATATGTATTTGGTAATCTGTAAAGTAGGCATACTATGGAATAGCCTGACACTTTCCAGCTTTATTTGTAGTTTTTCTAAATGATCCAGTCAAGTGAATTTGAATCCCTTTTATTTGACTATTCCATTCTCAAATACTAACACCCTGTGCCATTTGCTTTTGTTCTTCCCACTTTAAAAGGTATTTTTCCCTTCACTGTAAAGATTTAGAATATTAGATGAGAACTTTCATAATTTCATTAATTCAAAATTATTTATTGTATACCTACTATGTTCCAGTCGGTGTTCTAAGTATTGTGATGCGATACCATATATAACAGTTTCATATAATGGATTTATAATCGATTTGAGGTCAAAATCCCTTTGCAATTTTAGGCCTATTTATTTTTAAAGATGATCAGAAGAATTATTTTCACTAGGATAAATATATTAGTGACATAATGCTTAAAAACACAGTTTTAGAATGAAACTAACAATAATATATAAGTGTTGATTCTAACCTTGTTAGCTCTGTGGACATAGATAAGTTATTCTGCCTTCTTAAACCTCAACTTTCTCATCTGTAAAAACTGAGATAATATTTATATCAACTTTATAGGTTTATTGTAAGAATCACATGAGAAAAAATATTTAAAGCTCTTAGCACAGTAGAAATACAAGTTACTGTTATTATTATTTATTCTTATATTCTTATAATTTTATTTTGAAAAAATGAAATAAAAGAAAAATTGAAATTAAGACATATGAATCTTCCAAAGTAATAAAACAAAAACTGCATTAAATAGACCCTCTTTTTTGGTCATATTTTCTTTTTAATTCAATCTATAGTTATTAACTTGTACAAAACACAAATCAGTTGTATTACCACACAGAGTATTTAAACATCTTCAGTGAATTTACAGAATTCTGTTTAATAGCAATTACAGGCTAGAAAACTGCCATGTGGCCCATTAAAACTAATTCAAACCAATATATCAAATGAACAGCTGAAATCTGTTCATTTGTTTATATCTGATTTCTGTAATTCAGTTAGTGGGTCAACTTACAATTTAATTGCAAAGACTATGAACTGAGGAACAGTTTATAAAATCACTCCTTGGAATTAAAATGATGAAACGCAGATAGCCCTATACAAAAGGAGGTCAGAATAATACACATACAATGTAGAGGTCTCCGAATATTTCTGGAAAAATACCTACAGGGTTTTACAAAGGGGACCTCCAAGAAATAGATTTTAGCACCCTAAATGAGTTAATTTTTAGAACAAGAGAATAATTGCTCCCAATATTTTATGACATTACCAGTTTTTAAACCTATAAGTATTTTTAAATTATCACAAGGAGCATACTTATTATTTAAAAAGCTAAATATATATAAGTATAATTAAAAACTATGAAAGTGTCCTCTCTCCACAGATTTCTACTCTCTAGACAGACGCAATTAATTATAGCAACTAGATATTATGCTTTCTTTATAAACATGATATGTCATCTCAATCACAGCTATACTCATATCCAAAGACACGTTTTGAAATAATAAAAGGATATATGTTTCCACAATTATTCAATATGTCTATTTTGTTCTTTGCCAAAATATCCTGAATATCTCTCAAAATCAGTACATGACTCTAGGTTGTTGGAATGAGAGCATAATATCCGACTGCATTAATTCTTCTCATTCATTCAGCAGGTATTTATTGAACTTCTATGGAATAGAGATTATGAGAAGTTGGGAGTATATAAATTAACAAAACAGTCGAAAATTCCTGCCCTCATAGGAGAGTTTACAGTGAGAGGAGAGATAGATAATAAACATTATAAATAAGTAATTTATGTATTATTAAAACATAATAAATGATACATTAAATAAAGTAATCTGGCATGGCCTCATGGAAATGGTGACATTTGAAAAAGACTGGAAGGAGGTAAGAAAACAATCCATGTTTATATATGGAGGAAGCAGTTCCTGGAAGAGGAAACAACTGATGCAAAGGCTGTGTTACTGTCTGAATGTCCCCAAAATTCATATGTTGAAACCTAATTGCTCATGTGATAGTATTAGAGGTGGGGCTTTAGGAAGTGATTAAGTCATAAGGGTGGAGCCTTCATGAATGGAATTAGTGACCTGATAAAAAAGCTGGAGGGAACTAGTAATTGCCCCATTGTTGACCTGTTTCTCCTGCCATGTGAAGACACAGTGCTCCTCCTCTCCATAGGATGCACCAAAAGGGCGCCATCTTGGAAGCAGACAGGGAAGCCTTCACCAGCACCTTGATCTTGGACTTTCCAGCCTCCAGAACCATGAAAAATAAATTTTCATTGTTTATAAATTACCCAGTATGTGGTATTATGGCATTTCAGCACATTAGATAAGAGAGGTTGTGAAGCAAAAGTATGGGTGGCATGTTCCAGGAATATAAAGGAAACCAATGTGCCTGGAGAGGCAAGAGCTGGCACTGTGCTGTTTGATATAGTACCCATTTATCACACATGGCTATTGAGCTAAACCAATTTAAGATGTGCTATTAGTATAACATACATTTCTGATTTTTAAGGCTGTGCATGAAAAAAATACCAAAAATCATTTTTATATTGATTACTTGTTGAATTTTTATACTGGTTTCATGTTGTTGAAATGATGTTTTTGAAATGTTGGGTTAAATATAATGTTATTAAATTAATTTCACTTATTTTCAACATTTTAATGTGCTACTAAAAACTTTAAAATTGCATATGTGACTCACATTACATTTCATCATTAGACAGTGCTGAGCTAGGAGAATCATAGGAGATGTTGTCAGAAGAAAAGCGGAGGAGCAGATCATGTAGGTCACTGGAAGGACATTAGCTTCTATTTGAATAAAATGAAAATCCTTTCTTGAGACTGGCCATAGGAGTGACTGATCAGAGTCACATGTTGCAAGAATCACTCTGTTTTACCATGTCGAGATTAAACTATAAGAGAGCAGAGACTAAAAAAAAAAAAAAAAAAAAGAGGAGGCTATTACAACAGGTGCGGTGGTGCCAACAAGATATTGTGATGAATTAGATGTGGAACTGGAGAGAAAGAGAGGAGTAAAATAATAACTTCAAGGTTTTTGTTCTCACCATCTGAAAAGATTGTGTTGCCATCAATTGAAATGGGTTGTGTAGTGGGAAATGCATGTTTGGGGATGTGGTAATGTTGTAGTGAGGTCAGGCGGTTGGTTTTGGTTTCTTTTTTTTTTTTTTTTTTTTTTTTTTGAGTCAGAGTCGTGCTCTGCCGCCCAGGCTGGAGTGCAGTGGCACGATCTCAGCTCACTGCAACCTCTGCCTACTGGGTTCAAGAGATTCTCCTGCCTCAGCCTCCTGAGTAGCTGGGATTAAGGCATGTGCCACCACACCTAACTAATTTTTGTATTTTTAATAGAGATGTGGTTTCATCATGTTGTCCAGGCTGGTCTCGAACTCCTGACCTCAAGGGATCTGCCCACTTCGGCCTCCCAAAGTGCTGGGATTACAGGCATGAGCCACTCTGCCTGGCCCAGGAGGTTGGTTTTTGATGTAACTTTAAGATGTCTATTAAAGATCACAATAGAAATGCTGATAATACATTTTAACATATCACTGTAGCAGTCTTTCTTCTGAATACTACACACTGCGTGTGTGTGTGTGTGTGTGTGTGTGTGTGTGTGTGTGTGCATGCTTTTATTCATTATGTATGCTATTTTCCTGCTTTTTTATTGGATAACAAACACTGGGAACTTTATCTTGTTGGGTGTTAAATTATTTTTAAAATTCCTCCTATAGCTCCATCCTTTTGAGTCTTGCCTTCTAACTTGTTAAATGGGTCCAGAGCAGTGCTCAACCTAGGGCTGCTTACTCCTCACTACTGAAGCAACTTCTGAGTACTGTAAAATACTGAGTATGGTGATTAATTTTATGTGTCAACTTTGTTAAACTATAGTATCCAGTTTTTGGTCAAACATAGGCCTAGATGTTTCTATGAAGGTATATTTTAGATGCAATCAGTAGCTGTAAGTAAAGCAGATTACCTTCCATAATGCAGGTGGGTCACATCCAATTAGTTGAAAGCATTAAGAGAAAAAAACTGAGGACCCCCATGTAAGAGAAAATTCTGCATCAAGACTGCCTTCAGACTTGAACTGCAATATCAACCCTTCTGTGAGTCTCCAGCCTACTGGTCTGCCCTGGAGATTTTGGACTAGCCAGCCTCCACAATCAATTCTTAAAGTATATGTATACACACGCATGCATACATTCCATTGGTTCTATATCTCTGGAAAACTCATACTAATACACCAAATGAAATTATGAGACTTTCCTGAGTACTAACCTAGTGCCCTGTGGATTATGAGTTTTTCCAATCTGTCTGGTTATAACACGCATAATTCCCAGCACCATATCTCAGCTTTTGGCACTGCTTCCCTTCCTCTAATCCTTTCACATGTTCTTTCCAAGCTTTATGTACTTTCCTCATAAATATGTGTTGATTAGTACTCTGCTAAATGCTTCAGGAGATCCGTTTGAAGATATTCGAGTTTCTCTATGAAGGACTTACCTCTCTTAGTACTCTGTCTCACAAACTTGAGTCACTTTTCAACTTCTCCTCTTAGAGAGTCTGCCATATGCCATTTCCCAAAAGCTATCTCAAGGTTTTAGCTGAAGACTCCTTATGGGACTTCCCTAAATTGTTCCCATCACTCAAGTAGCATAGTTCTTCATAGCCTGATGTCTGATGTCTTGAAAATCATTGCTTCTGTAATGTATTTCTTCATTTACATCATATTTTAATTCTAGTTTTATAATATATTTTATTTTGGGAAGGAATTTTCTGAATCCTCTCATATGTAATGTATCAGGTACTTGAGATTTATTTGTGTTGTAGCATTCCAACTCTCTGTCCCACTCCCATGCCCGAGAAAAGCAATCCTATTGGAATTCTGAATATTTGTTCTGATTTCATGAAGACATTTTTAAGATATCTACCCTCTTTACAGTGCTAAATATTCCAATCAAGAACAAAGAAAACCTCTCTCTTTACATGTCATTTTGTTTTCTAAGAGAGTGTTATAGTTTTATCATTATAAGTATTACACATTGCTTATTAATTCCATTCCAAGAGATTTATGGTTGTATTGTTATTATACATTATCCTTTTTCTTTCGATTTTTATTTTGCTATGTTTTCTGTTTTATTTTTGGACATTCATTATAGTAACCCATAATCTTACTGAATTATCTTATGTTTAAAAAGCATTTCATTTTATCCTTTAGGTTTTAGAGATATATAGTCACATTATTCAAAATAAACAATATTTTTGTCTCCTTTTCAAAATAAGGAATGTTTGGGAACTAAGGTTTTCATCCCTGGCTCCTTCTTCCTCCCAACTCTCTTTGGAGTCATTTAGAATATGGTGCATGCAAGCTGGAGGCATCTGGGTAGAGCCGGAGGATGAATCTAATATTCTGCAGATGGTATAGGGAAAAATTTTTTTCCTAAGGAGAATCAACTGAAATCTACAAATCTCCCTGATGAGAGGGCACACTGGCTTTGTGTAGTCTTTCAAAGGTTGCTTGATCCCAGTTACTCTCTTAGGCTTGGAGGAAATCAGTCACCTTGCACTCACCTGCATTACTGGGCTGCATTGCCCGCAGGTCCTGTGAGTGATACAGGGCTCTTACTTATACTCAGGGTGAAAAAAAGAGGGGACTGGGGATGCAGTACCCAGATGCTTCAAGAGAGAATAACACATTTGACAGATAACATAACCTGACCACGGGAGCAAAAATGACTGTGCCTTCCATTTTATTTCACCATCCTCCACTGAAAGTCTGCCTTAGCTCAGAACCCATAATATCCCCATGTGTGAAGGCTGGGGGCACATATAATGAAAATATGGCAAAAAAAAAAATAACCTTAAAGGGTATAAGTAACCTGAGGAATGGTGAGTGATCCAAAATTCTTTAAGTGATAGTTCCCAATAAATTATTACTAGAACTGATGAAGAACTCAAAGAAAACAGTAACATAAAATGAATGAGGACCATCAAACGGATATAGTCAGAAAATCTATAATGATTGTGATTCATAAATTATAAAATAAAACACTGGAATTTAAATTAGAAAAGGCCAGGTATGGCTCAGACTTGTATTTGTAATAAGATCACATGGAAGAAATAACTTAGAACAAAGACCAAAAACCCCACAAGAATATGATAATCATAAGAAACAGATCCCAGAGATCTAACATGCCAACAGTATTTCAGAAGAAGAAAAGGGTAACAAATGGAGTTGAAATAACAAACAAATAATAATCCACTAACTGAAAAAAAAGACAACCATTCAGAAGTCTGAGGATGAAATTTTTTACAAAAATTCTTGATTATATATATATATATACATACATATATATACATACATATATATATATATATATACACATACATATATATATATATATATATATATATATAGACAGAGAGAGAGACAGAGTCTTGCTCTGTTACCCAGGCTGGAGTGCAGTGGCATGATCTTGGCTCACTGCAACCTCTGCCTCCTGGGTTCAAGAGATTCTCTTGCCTCAGCCTCCCGAGCAAGATATTTTGAAAGGTAAAACCATTGTACTGACTGGTCAGATTTTACATTTGCTACTGGAAGCAAGAAGACAGTGGAACACAAACTATTTAGAGAAAAGGACTGTGATCCCCATGTCCTGCAACAAGTCAAGAATTCATTAACCTTTCAGCACCACTGTAGCAGTTTCCTGGGGTTCCCTTAACTTGTGTTATACATTTAATACCCTTCATCCACCTTTTGAATCTCAGAAGCTAATGGAAATTTCTGGTTTGTAATGCCTCTACCTCCCTTTCTCAATACAGTATTTTAATAAATATATTGTTTGTTTTCCTTCCTTTACTACATTTGGATATGGAGAGGGAGAGGAGATACATGCATATCTCATTTTATTGTACTTTGCTTTATTGAGCTTCACAGATATTGTGCTTTTTACAAATTGGAGGTTTGTGGCAGCCCTGTGTAGACAGTGTCTGTCAGCAATATTTTGCCGTCTGCATGTGCTCACTTTTTGTCTCTGTGTCACATTTTGGTAATTCTCACAGTATCTCAAACTTTTTCATTATTATTATATCTGTTATGATGGTCTATGATTAGTGACCTTTGATGTTACCATTGCAATTGTTTTGAAGCACCATGATCTGAATACATATAAGACAGCAAACATAATTAATAAATGCTGTATGTGTTCTGCTTGCTCCATGGAACAGCCACTCCCCCATCTCTCTTCCCTCTCCTTGGGACTTTCTATTCACTGAGAGACAACGGCATTGAAATTAGGCCATTTAATAACACTACAATGGCCTCGAAGTGTTCAAGTTAAAAGGAAGAGTCACACATCTTTCACTTCAAATAAAAAGCTAGAAATGATTAAGCTGGAGGAGGAAGGCATGTACACTTACACAGGGTGAAAGCTAGGTGTCTTATGCTAAACAGCCAAGTTATGAATGCAATGGAAAAGTTCCTGAAGGAAATTAACAGTGCTGCTCCTGTGAACACACAAATGATAGTGACACAGCCTTATTGCTGTTATGGAGACAGTTTTGGTGGTCTGGATAGAAGATCAAACCAGCCACAACATTTTTTTTAAGCCAAAGCTTAATCCAGGGCAAGGCCTTAACTCTCTTCAGTTCTATGAAGGCTGAGAGAGGAAAAAAAAAAACCTTCAGAAGAAAAGTTGGAAACTAGCAGAAGTTGGTTCATGAAGTTTAAGGAAAGAAGCCATCTCCATAACATAAAGTGCAAGGTGAAGCGCCAGTGCTGATGTAGAAGTTGCAGCAAGTTATCTAGAAGATCTAGCTAGCTAAGATAATTGATGAAGTTGGCCACACTAAAAAACAGATTTTCAGTACAGATGAAAAAGCCTTCTATTGGAAGAAGATGCCATCTAGGACTTTCTTAGCTAGAGAGGAGAAGTCGATGTCTGGCTTCAAAGCTTCAGAGGACAGGCTGACTCTTGTTAGTGGCAAATGCAGTTGGTGACTTTAAGTTGAAGCCAATGCTCATTAACCATTCAAAAAATCCTAGGGCCTTTGAAAATTATGCTAAATATAGTCCATCTATGCTTAATGAATGGAACAATAAAGCCTAGATGATGGCACATCTCTTAACAGCATGGTTTACTAAATATTCTAAGCCCACCGTTAAGACCTACTGCTCCAAAAAAAAGATTAATAATATTACTGTTCATTGACAATGAACCAGGTCACCCAGGAGCTCTGATAAAGATATTGGAGATTAGTGTTGTTTTGATGCCTGATAACACAACATCCATCCTGCAGCCCATGGATCAAGAAGCAATTTTGACTTTTAAGTCTTATTATATGAGAAATACCTTTATAAGGTATAGCTGCCATAGCTAATAATTCCTCTGATGGATCTTGAAAAGGTAAAAAAAAAAAAAAAAAAGTAAACTGAAAACCTTCTGGAAAGGAACATTCAAGATTCATGGGAGGGGATCGAAATATAAAGATTAACAGGAGTTTGGAAGGAATTTATTCCAACTTTCATGGATGTCTTTGAGAAGTTCAAAACTCCAGTGGAGGAATTAACTGCAAATGTGGTGAAAATAGGAGAACCAGAAGTGAAGCCTGAGGATGTGACTAAATTGCTATAAGCTCATGATAAAATTTTAATGGATGAGAAGTTGCTTCTTATGGATGAGCAAAGAAAGTGGTCTCTGGAGATGGAATCTACTCCTGGGGAAGATGCTGTGAACATTGCTGAAATTACAACAAAGGATTTAGAACATTCCATAAACTTAACTGATAAAGCAGTAGAAGGGTTTGAGAGGATTGACTCCAATTTTTAAAGAATTTCTACTGTGGGTAAAATGTTATCAAACAGCATCACATGCTACAGAGAAATCATTTATCAAAGAGTCAGTCTATGTGGCAAACTTTATTGTCTTATTTTTAAAAATTGCCACAGCCACCCCAGCCTTCCACAGTCACCAACCTGATCAGTCAGCAGTCATCAACATCAAGGCAAGACTGTCTACCAGTGAAAACATTACAACTTGCTGAAGGCTCAGTTGATTGTGAGAATTTTTTTTTTTTACCAATAAGTATTTTTAAATTAAGGAATGCTCATTTTTTAAAAAAATAATTTCATTGCACACTTAATAGACTACAGTATCATAACTTTTATATGGACAGAGAAACAAAAAAAAATTGTGTGACTTGCTTTATTGTGGTAGTCTGGAACAGAAACTGCAGTATCTCCAAGGTATGCTTATAAATGACTTCTCTCCCTCTCTCTCTCTCTCTATGCGTGTGTGTGTGTGTGTGTGTGTGTGTGTGTGTGTATTTCTACTACATCTTGTGCAAAAAAAAATTCAAGACATTTTGATTAACCAGGCTTGAATAAAGGATGCAGGATTATTTCCATTTTGTGTGTATGGACTTTACTGTCACGTTATTTCAGTTATTAGAAGACAAATTACACACATATAGTAAAGGGGGTATTAAGGGTCAAAGCTTCCTGTCTTTACTTGCCACTCTATATTCCATTTAATAGCTGAAAATTACTAGACATAAGTATAGTAATTATCTGAACACCAACCAGGGATCATATCATTGAACTGATTACTTTAAATTACTGTTGACAGAATCCACTCCAACTAAACAAAGCAATAGTGCTTCACTTCATGGTAAAAATTTTCCAATTTATTGATTTTTTCTCTATTAAAACATGCCTTTCATAAATGATTGCATGGTTATTTCCCTTCAATTTCTCATTCACATGTTTTTAGAATTTTATGTAGTATAAAACAAGAAATGTGCTCCAATATAAGAGTGTATGGTTAGAAGTCATTTATTAAGTTGGTTTGTTTGTAAGCAAAAGATTTTTTTTAAATGAAGGCAATATCTTGCTTTTGCTGGCAGCTACTGTTGGCACTCAGCCACCCATATCCTAATTTTGTAATTTTTATGCCTCTGTGCTAGGCAGATGTTTATCTAAATGATTTAAATCTCTGTCTCCTACATTTTAGACACATTTAGTATTAAGACATGCTCCCTCTGTAACAGCATAGATTAAAAGTTAATTAAGAAGAAGTTAAAGAAGGAGAAAAGTAATTACCTTTTCCATAGGCATGCGTTTCATTTTTGACAGGTTAAAATTCAGGAAATGGAATAAAGGCTTGGAAAGTGGAAATATTTTTAAAAATCATTATTGTTTGCTTCTTTATATACTTAAAAGTGCCAAGTTAGTTAAGAAAAGTAGTCCATTTAGTAATGCAAAATGGGCTATTCGATAATGAAATCTTGCTCATTAGTTTATAGGATTCATGTTTTTAAAGTTACATACTCAAATTATCTATCAAAAATGGAAATCATCAATATGTAGTTGGTAATTCTTACAGGATTTCAAGTAGAGTAGGGTATGAGAAGAGGAATTTGGTGAGTTTTTCCTGGATCTTTAAAAACAAACAAATCCTAGTTAAAAAATAAATGTAATGAGGTGATTTTACATATCTTATTTTATGCTACTGTGATTTAATGGGGGAAAATCCTGCTAAAAGCCTGCCAAATTTAAGTTTCCCTTATATGCTGTGTCACTCCTGCTGTGAATATCACTTTTACCTTTTAAAATCCCTAGAGATATTTTATACAGTGGTGGTGTTAGGGCAAAGGAATTAGTGTATGCATATTATGGGTCTCAGCAAATCTCCAGATTGGGACAAATTATTTTCAGCTTTCCCCAATAGAATACTGCTAATTGTCATATATTTACATTAAATTCTTCATGATAATAAACACTGTAATTAAAACTGCAACATTGCTACCATTAAAAACCATTTAATCACCTTAAATTTGCAACAAAAAATATATCTTTGGGCTGAGATGATATATGTAACTATATAAGCAGAGAGGAACACAAATACATTTTGATTTAGAGATATGGATTCTCTGTAAGAAGTCAAAGGTTATTGTTCATTAAACCATGCTATGTTCAGCAAAAAAAATTATAGAAATATTATACTATATGCCTCAACTCTCATTCTCATTGAAGTTAATAATTTGGTGGATATTTTCTTCATTGGGGTCTGTTAGGCCTCAGAAATATATTGAATTTTGCAAAGGAAGTATTTTATTCTCACATATTCTCTTTTATACTCTTTACTGCTCTATAAAAAACAGTTTAAGAACTTCTGATAAGAACAATTGGATAAATAAAAGCTTGAATTATGAACGCTCTCTGAGATTTTAATTGTTACTTTATATTTAGCCATAAGGAGATATAGGGTTTTAGAATTTTAAAACGGGGAAGTGAGGGCTGGGCACAGTGGCTCACACCTGTAATCCCAGCACTTTGGGAGGCCAAGGCAGGCGGATCACCTGAGGTCAGGAGTTCGAGACCAGCCTGGCCAATACGGCAAAACCCCGTCTATACTAAAGATACAAAAATTAGCCGGGTATGGGGGCGGGCACCTGTAATCCCAGCTACTTCAGAGGCTGAGGCAGGAGAATTGCTTGAACCCGGGAGGCGGAGGTTTCAGTGAGCCGAGATTGTGCCACTGCCCTCCAACAAAAGGGAGGCTCCGTACAGGGCAACAAGAGGGAGACTCCGTTTTTAAAAAAAAAGGGAGTGGGGGTGAGTGAGAAAGTTATTTCATTGTCCTATTATTAACCTTGAATTCTACTTAGCACATAAAACAAAACTAAAATATTCTTATCTATCATTAATGACATGTATTGGTAGAATCCAGAGTTTGCAAAGGACTTTTAAACTTCACTTAGGTATATATTGTAAAATAATGGAAAGAATATAAGCTTTGGCATGAATAGACTGATTCTCAGCTAACCTTGTCACTTACTGGCTGTGTGAGTCTGGTCAAGCTACTTCTTTCTGCCTCTGTTTCATCACTTGTACTGTTGTGATCATTACATTGGCGAAGCTGTGTTAGCCTGGACCTTGACTCCTGATAATTTGTGTACAACGTTGAAATTAGCATTGGAGTCTTTGGTGCTACCAAACCATTTTTCTAGGTATGAATTACCTGTTGAGTGAATTGGTTGTATTCCAGGGGTTTTTCTGGGGAAAGGTTTCTTTTGCTTTGTACTTCTCTGCCATACATAAAAAGCAGTGAGACTACACAGAAGTCCTCATAATTTTCTAGAGGCCTACTCCTGCTTCAAAGGGTCTGAGATATGGTAAGTACTAAGCACACAGTCATACCCATTCTCATCTAAAAAACGTCTTTGCTTTCAGGCCTTATTAAGCAAAGACAATCTTGGTTCTAATTATAACTGAAGAATGTTTAATTTTCATTTTTTTTTGTTCTAGTTAAGAAGATTTAATATAGATTCCAAATTTCTCCTCTTATAAATTAAAACTGAACTGCATTTTTGCTCAAATGGAATTAAATGTGAAACTCAGGTTCAAATGGAATAGCTGTCATCCGTATTTTATGCAATACCCTTTCCATGCTCGAATTGCATGCCTTCCTTGTCTTTCTCCTCCAGGTGAAATAACCTCACTTCCCTTAGCTTTTGTCAACAGGTCTAATTTTCATGTCTTAAATCAATTTTTGGTCCCATGTGAACTCTACAGAATATTTGAGTAGTGGTCTCAAACAGATCAAAAACATTAAGGCCTATTCAAGTTGAATGTAGGCAGAAAAAACTCTGTCATTTCTAGAGAAGACGTTTTCAGTTTTTGCCTTCTTGTCTTCCTCTAACGCACCTCAACCACATTGCTAGGAAATAAAGGATGTTTTATAGAAAGTCAGTAAGTTATGAAGTTTCCCTTTTTTCGTCTCTTTTTAGTTAATATTCATTTTTTTGATGGAACTTTGCTGTAAGGAGCAAACAGAGGGGAAGTATGAGAAGAAAAATCAGTCTCACATTGAGATTGGGTATCAGCATATACAGGGGGAACCAAAGTGCAATTAAAATTGGCAGATAAATTTTTCAGTTTAGTATTTTAAAAATAGCTTTTCTTGATTGAGTTTATATTATTATTCTTATAATATACGATATAAAGAGAAAAGATTTCTCCAAAACTATATCTGGGATATATAGACTGGACCTTGATTCCAGATAATTTAGCTGCAACACTGCAATCAACAGTGGAGTCTGTGGCTGGTGCAGGCAAGTCAGAGTTTTGCAGGTATGAATTATCTGGAAATGAATTGGTTGTGCCCCAGGGGCAAGGTGTCTCTTTCGTTTGTAACTCTGTGCTGCGCTCTGAGTTAAACCAGAAAACGTTGAAAGCTGTGTAACTGTGAACAAAGGTCAAAAGACTTCTAAGGGATTCACTTTTGCTACAAAGAAGGTCGCCTGATAGCTGAAGTAAAATTTGGGTCACCAAGCTCCTTGTCCAGTTAATTCAATTTACTTTAGGAAAAACTGCAATAGGTACTAGGTGGAGAACAATGACAATGCTTCTATCGTAAGAAGCTTTTTAAATTGGCTGCCCTTTTCTACTCCATGCAAAAATAGTCCTACCAATAAAAATGATGTCATAATAATTGAAAAAGTAAATAAAATCATTGTCCTACTTGACATGAATAGAGCTTATATAGCACATTCAAATGTTTGAGAATATGATACAAGTATTTTCTATTCAATATCTATTAATATGCAGTATTACAAATCACATAGGAAGAAAAAAGGGAAATCTATTTTTCATTAAATAAACAGAAATATGTAAAAGCCAAGTCTGCCTCTTGGGCAAAATTTATGAAGTACGTCTAATGATGTAGGATAAAAACCCTATAATATTGAGCTGCTTGCAATGTGACATCAGATTACCAAGGAAATGTTAGTAATGCAGATCAACCATTAAGGCTGATCATTGCAAAGGTGTCACCTGTCAGACCTGGAAGGCAGATTTCTCATGGGTATGTCAGTATTCTTGCTGACTCTGTTAAACTGCATCTATCTGAACTTCTCATTTGTGGCTCACCTACTCTAGGAGCAAGAAAAGTTGTGTCTTGAGATTTTACACTATTGTAAGTATAAATAGAAAAGGCCTAATTAGAATGGGACAGACAGCAGGGGTAGTGCATAATTTAGAAAAGCAACATGAAAGTTAGCACTCTAAGAAAAAAGAAAATACAAAAATTGAAGTGAATAAGATGGGGAGGAAAATAGCAAATCAAAAAGCCAATGAGATTAATACAACTTTGCTCTCCAAAGGCAATTATTCAAGTTCCCTAAATCTGGCCATTTCCTCATTCACAGGCTTCTGCAGATTCCTAATGTGAAGCATTAGTAAAAGCTTTTCTTGGCAATTCCTTTTGGTCTTCTTATTTCTACCCTTAGTTTAATAAATGCCTTTTCTTTTTGAGATGTGATTCCTTTGCTATAAAGTATTTTTAGGAGAAAAGAAAACACCATGAGCTGAATAAAAGACTGGCATGTAAAACACTAGCATTAGCAGAATCATATTTTACGTCGTCCTTGAAAGGGTAACTTCTGGGTGTAGGCCACAGGAGAGGTAATACTAAATTGCCAGAAATATTCTTAGAGCTTAATTAAAACATAACAAACCATTATGTCATCAATATTAAAGGTCAAGACACTGCTATGATTGCATGGTTCAAAAAAGACAGTCATAACTAGTCTTCAGGGAAACAAGCAACCCCACGTTCCTGGCAGAGCTCATCCTTCTGCATTCTGAGTCTACTCAACGATAATGTTGGAGAGTAAAACATGTGCAAGAGTGTTCTACCAGGGACTGTCATGGTTTGGCTCACACCCTATAATCTCTTTTGCAGGTTGATCTTTTTTTACAAAAGCTGAAATGATTTTGGTAGGAAAATAATTTAGTCTGATAACTCAGGAGAAGAAATAGTCTGGTGACAGAGAGGGAGAAAAAGAAGATGGGAGGATGGGGAACCTATGGACACAAAGGGCTGACTGTATATAGATCTGGAATTTTGATTTGTTGCAATGATAATGAGGCAAACATATGGGCTTTTTAAAATACATAATACTTTTATATGTATATATACACATATATGGAGTACATACATTGCTTTCTAATTTTCTATGAGACTTAAAAAGAGTCCCAATTCTGTTCTATGTCATTAATAACATTAATTACTTAAGTAATATGAATTACGTTAAGTTCTTGGACAAGAATATAGCGACTTGAAGCTCTTCTGCTGTGTTCTGCCTCAGTTGCTCAGATCAGACCACTCAGATATTGATGCTGATACAGAAAGGGCCAGATGAATGTTTCTCAAAGTGTGTTCAGAGAATCAGCTTAATTGACTCAGGATGCTTGTTAAAATATGCAGTCCTGGGATCCGCAAGATAAACTGAATTTTTTTTTTTTTTTTTAGCTGGGGCCCAGGACTGTGGATTTAAACATAACTTCATTAGCTGATTCTTCAGCTAAAGAATAGTTGGGCTAGACTTGCCTTCACTTCTTGATCTTCATGATTGAGATTACCACCGTGTCCCTAAGAGAGGTAGTTTTTTCCATATGGCTTCACTTCTCGCCTCTTCCCACTAAGAGGAGCTCACTCATGGGTATTCTTAATATGACCTCTAATGGGACCACACCAGCCGTGTTGATTGTCTCCAAAGGTGTAGAAATCAAGACACCTTTCAAATAAAAGCTCTCACTGAAAGGAATGAAATATACCAATAAAATCTGTTACACATTCTTCTTTTCCAGAAACTATTTCCAGAAACTCTGTTTCAGAACATATGTTATATCTCTTTTTTATTTTTCAAATGACGTTTCTATAAAATGTATAAGAAGGTATTTTTTTAAAAAAGTTTAACCTTTTAATTTGTGACGTAAATATAACTTCCCTTCAAAAATTAATTTCAGGTTGGCCTAGTGCTGCCATCCTGAGATACTGCTCACAGGAGTCCCCAGGGCTGCGTCCAACTTTCTCACAATAAACTTACAATGGCTGTGGGGCAGCCCCGCTGGTCCCCAGCTCTGCCATGGAGCCCACTGAATGCACAACCACAAATGTGATTTTGAGACACATTAGAAAAATAATACTATATGGTATGATGGAAAACATTTATTTAAAAACATGTATTTTGAAGTTCACAATTTATATCAACAGAAACTCCTGCCATCAACTAGCACTAGAAATATATTTACAATGAAATATATGTAACTAGAAAAATTAATTCACTTTACCAGAAAATAAAATTTTCTCCAAACTAGCACTGTCACTTCTGAAAGAAAGCTCAAGAGATTATTGCAAGTCAGAGAGCATGACAGGAGTTTTAAAAAAGCAACTTTCATGTTTATAGTCTGGGTAATCCAGATTTTAAAAGTCAAATATTGACGGAAAAGGAGAGGTGCTTCGGTTCATGTGATCAAGATCAAGACTTCCTTTAATACAACAAAGCTCCATTTAATTTCTTAACTGTTCCTTTTCAGTCAATTGAGATAAGCTTTTTCAGATTGCTATAAGCACATTTTCTCCTTTGAAAATGTCTAAACTCTTTGAGATCAGCCTGGGCAACATAGTAGACCTCATCTCTAGAAAATGTTTAAAATTTAGCTAGGCATGATGGTGCATGCCTGTAGTCCTAGCTACTTGGGAGGCTGAGGCAGGAGGATTGCTTGAGCCCAGGAGTTCAAGGCTGCAGTCAGCTATGCTTGTACAATTTCACTCCAGCCTGGGCAACAGAGAGACCCTGTTGGGAAGGAGAGAAGGAAGAAAGGAAAGAAGGGAGGGAGGGAGGGAGTCTAAACTACTAAATTCTCCTTATATTTCACCAATATGGAATAATAAGATTTTTTTGTTTCTTTTTTAATTTGTGTAGGTACATAGGTGTATATATTTATGGGTTACATGAGATATTTTAATACAGGCATGCAATGTGTAATAATCACATTAGGGTATCCATCACATCAAGCATTTATTCTTTGTGTTATAAACAATCCAATTATACTCCTTCAGTTATTTTACAGTGTACAATTAAATAATTTTTATTATAGTCACCCTGTTGTGTTAGCAAATACTAGGTCTTATTCATTCTTTCTATATTTTGTGTCTATTAATCATTCCTACTTCCCCCCGCCACCCGTCTACTACCCCCTTCCTAGTCTCTGGTAATCATCCTACTCTCTATCTCCATAGGTTCAATTGTTTTAATTTTTAGCTTCCACAAGTAAGTGAGAACATGCAGTTTGTCTTTGTGTGCCTGGCATACTTCACTTAACATAATGACCTCCAGTTTCATCCATGTTGTTGCAAGTGAGAAGATGACATTTTTTTAATAGCTGAATAATATTCCATTCTGTAAATGTACCACATTTTCTTTGTCCAGTCATCTGTTGATAACCTAAGTGTCGATGGGCACTTAGGTTGCTTCCAAATCTTGGCTATCATGAATAGTGCTGCAATAAACATGGAAGTGCAGGTATCTCCTCTATACACTGATTTCCTTTCTTTGGAGTATATACCTAGGCATGGGATTGCTAGATCTTATGATAGCTCTATTTTTAGTTTTTTGAGGAACCTCCAAACTGTTCTCTATAGCGGTTGTATTAATTTACATTACCACCAACAGTGTATGAGGAGGGTTCCTTTTCTCCACATCCTTACCAGTGTTTGTTATTACCTGACTTTTGGATAAAAGCCATTTTAACTGGGGTGACATGATATCTCATTGTAGCATTGATTTGCACTTCTGTGAAGATCAATGATGCTGAGCACCTTTTCATATACCTGTTTGCCATCTGTATGTCTCCTTTTGAGAAATGTCTATTCAGGTATTTTGCCCATTTTTTAAATCAGAGTATTAGAATTTTTTATAGAGTTGTTTGAGCTCCTTATATATTCTAGTTACTAATACCTTATCAGATGTGTAGTTTGCAAGTATTTTCTCCCATTCTGTGACTTGTCTGTTTACTTTGATTATTTCCTTTGCTGGGTAGAAGCTTTTTAACATGATGTGTTCCTGTTTATCCATGTTTGCTTCGCTTGCCTTTGCTTGTAGGGTATTGCTCAAGAAATCTTTGCCCAGACCAATGTCCTGGGGATTTTCACCAATGTTTTCTTGTAGTAGTTTCATTGTTCGAAGTCTTATATTTAAGTCTTTAATCCATTTTGATTTGATTTCTGTGTATGGCAAGAGACAGGGTCTAGTTTCATTCTTCTGCATATGGATATCCTGCTTTTCCAGCAACATTTATTGAAAAGATATTTTTCCCCCAGGTGTGTGTTCTCGGCACTTTTGTCAAAAGTGAGTTCACTGTAGGTGTGTGGATTTGTTTCTGGGTTCTCTATTCTGTTCCATTGGTCTATGTACCTGCTTTTATGCCAGTATCATGCTGCTTTGGTTATGATTAATCAAAGCTCTGGAGCATAATTTGAAGTCAGGTAATGTGATTCCTCCAGTTTTGTTCTTTTTTGCTTAGGATAGCTTTGGATATTCTAGGTCTTTTGTGGTTCCATATGAATATTAGGACTGTTTTTTCTATTTCTGTGAAGAATATCATTGGTATTTTTATAAAGATTGCATTGAATCTGTAGATTGTTTTGGGTAGTATGGACATTTTAACAATACTGATTCTTTCAATCCATGAACATGGAATATCTTTCCATTTTTGGCATTCTCTTCAAATTCTTGTATCAATTTTTTATAGTTTTCATTTAAGAGATCTTTCACTTTTTTAGTTAATTCCTAGTTATATTATTTTATTTGTACCTAATGTAAATGGGATTGCTAAATTGTTTTTTTTTTTCAGATTGTTTACTTTTGACATATAGAAATGGTACCAATTTTTGTATATTAATTTTTTATCCTGGAACATTACTGAATTTGTTTATAAGTTTTAACAGTTTTCTTGTGAAGTCTTTAGGTATTTCCAAATATAAGATCATATCATCTGTGAACCAGGATAATTTAACTTCTTCCTTTCCAATTTGGATATTTTTTATTTCGTTCTCTTGTCTGATTGCTCTAACTAGGACTTCCAGCACTATGTTGAATAACGGTGAAAGTAGGCATCCTTGTCATGTTCCTCATCTTAGAGGAAAAGCTTTCAGTTTTCCTCCATTCAGTATCATTCTGTTGATATGTATCACATTGATTGATTTGTGTATGTTAGACCATCCTTGCATTCCTGGAACAAATCCTACTTGTTCATGAGGAATAATCTTTTTAAGGTATTGTTTAATTCAATTTGCTAATATTTGGTTGAGGATTTTTGTATCAATATTCATCAGTGACATTGACTTGTACTTTCCTTTTTTGATGTATCTTTGTCTGGTTTTGGTATCAGGGTAATACTGGTCTCACAGAATGAGTTTGGAAGTATTCCATCTTCACATATTTTTGGAAATAGTTTGAGTAAGATTTGGATTATTTCTTTTTTTTAAAGTTTTGTAGAATTTATCAGTGAAGGCATTGAGTCCTGGACTTTCTTTGCTGGGAGAGTTTTTATTACAACTATGATCTCAATACTTGTTATTGGTCTGTTTAGGTTTTGGATTTCTTCATGGTTCAATCTTGGTAGGTTGTATGTGTCTAGCCATTTATCCATTTTTTTCTAGGTTTTCAAATTTATTGGCTTATAATTGCTTGTAGTGGCTGCTAATAATCCTTTCAATTTCTATGGTATCAGTTATAGTGTCTTCTTTTTCATTTCAGATTTTATTTATTTGCATCTTCTCTCTTTTTTACTTAGTCTGGCTCAAAGTATGTCAATTTTAACTTTTCAAAAAACTGTCTTTTTGTTCCATTGATCTTTTGTATTCCTTTCTTCATTTCAAATTCATTTATTTCTGCTCTGATTTTTATTATTTCTTTTCTGCTAATTTTGCATTTGGTTTGCTCTTGCTTTTCTAATTCTTTAAGAACTAGGTTAGGTTATTTGTTTGAAGTTTTTCTTCTTTTTTTGATGTAGGCACTTAAAGCTATAAACTTGCCTCTTAGTACTGCTTTGGCTGTATCCCACACATTTTAGTATGATGTGTTTTCATTAACATTTGTTTCAAGAAAATTTTAAATTTTCTTCTTAATCACTTCATTAACTCATTGATCATTCCCAAGAATATTCAGGACAGCCTGCTTGGTGCTCTAACCCCCAGGGATGAGGTGATATCTAAGGTGAAAGACAAAGTCCCCTTTACGTTTCCCTCTGCTTTCTCAAGCAAGAGTCTCTCCCCATAGTTACCACATCTTGGAATGTGCTGAGTCTCAGCTGAAGCCAGAAAGTCTCAGGGTGTCATCCAAGGCCAATGGCATACAACCTGGATATTGCTGCTGATTATTCAGGGCCCAAGAGCTTTTTAATCAACAGGTGATGGATCCTGCCAGGACTGGGTCTTTCCCTTCAGGGCAACAGGTTCCCTTCTGGCCCAGGGTATATCTAGAAACGTCATCCAGGAGCTAGGGCCTGGAAAGGAGGTCTCACAACTCTTACGGTGCCCTATCCTACTCTGGCAGAGCTGGTATTTAAGATGCAAGACAAAGTTCTCTTTATTATTCCCTCTGCTCTCCTCAAGTAGATGGAAGGGGTCTCTTTTGGGGCACAAGCTGTGCAGCCTGGGGCTGGGGGAGGGGCTGCATAAGCACTCGCTTACCACCCTGACTGGTGTCTCAGTAGGTCAATGTGCCACCAAAGTGCAGTGGCTCTGAGCCCAGCTCAGCACTAGGAATTGCCTAGGTGCTGCAGTCCTGGTTTTCTAGCCTACCTTTCAAGTTTATTTAGGGCCCCAGAGCACTTCCGCCCACAGTGTTAAGGCTTGCTAGAACTCAAATTCCAACCACTGGGATGGGCAATTCCTCTCTGGCTAGGGCTGGTTTAAACACTTCCTCCAAGGGCAGATATCAGCTGAGTTCAGTCCAGTTTTGCTTTGTGCTGTGACAGGGCAGCACTGAGTTCAATGCAATGCCTCACAATTGTTGAACTCTCCCTCTCTTAAGTGCAAAAATTTTCTCTCCATCCCATGTGGCCTCTGCCAGGGGATGAAGGAGGGGTGGCAATGGCAATTCAAGACTGTCTTTTCTATCCTTTTCAGTGCCTCTTTCAGTATGAAGTTAAAAGCAGGTACTCTGAATGCTCACCTGATTTTTGGTTCTGATGAAGGCAATTTTGGTGTAGATACTTGTTAATTTTGTGTTCTTGTGGGTGGGATGATGGATGAAGCTTTATATTCTTCCATATTGTTCCACCCTCCCCCAAATAATGTTTCATTTCTTTCTTAAAAGCCATCTATCAAGTTGTCCAGGGGTGGACGTGACTTCAGAGAGTGTCTATAAGCAACTCTGTTGATTGGGAGAAACCACAGCACGGTAGCAGAAAGAATAGTATTTTATGAATGGAAAGATGAACATGACATTTATAGCATTTCTCAAAATTATTTTATTACTTAGAAAATGTATTACTTAGAGTATTTAGAACACAGAAACAGTTCTTAGTCCTTTATAAATTAAAAATAATGCATATGTAAAGATTGCTATTATGATATTCTTTGTATTACATTTTTATGGAAGAAATTGGAAAACAACAAGAAAATGTTGACATGAAATATAAAAGAAACAGAGAAAACAAGACCTTTGGGGAATAATCCACCACACCTCTGCTCAGAAAATAAGACAATAATATATAATTCTTACTCTATATAAAATTAGAGACTAAAGAACAGGGAAGAATAATAGGAAGTTATGTGTAGTTAAGCAGTATATAGATATAGAACTTTGATTTACTACAATAATAATAAGGGACTTATATGGTATATGTATACATATGCTTGTGTGTATTACATGAACATATAAGTGTGTATATGTTATATGAATATATAAACATATATAGTATTAAATATACAAACTATTGACATTATTTTCTAATCTTCAAAGGGATTTAATAAAAAATCTTCATTCTGTCTCAGATACCATAAATATAATATCAATTATCTAAGCAATTCGGCCACTACACTGTTCTTCAGGTGACTGAATCGTAAGGCATGAAGTCTGCTATTTATATACAGATAGACCAGAGCTGCAACCAGGTAAATGAATTGTTCTAACATCACAATATATGACTGAGTTTTTTCCCCATTTCCATTACATCAATTTTTCTGACAATTATGTATTTAATACCCACGGTTTTAGAAAAAAATACAAAAGAGAAAATCACAGCAAATCAATGAAAGAAAGAAATTAAAGCAGCTTGCCTGAAATTGATTAATTTCCTTTTGGGGGGTTGAGTGCTCCTGGGGAAAAATGTTGGCAGCTGACCCCATTCTACCTCCTTGCTAATGAGATATTTGGTTAAATGGACTATAGATATTTGCTAGAAAGAAGAGACTTAATCTCTGAAATGCACTTCACAAGATGTCCTAACTAAGGGTAAACTATAGAAACCAGGATATATCAGGCTCTTCTCCCTGGAAAATGTGAAATAGGCTATACTAGTGTTAGATTTATTAAATGAGGGTGTTTCATAATTTAAATATTCCCACTGCATGAGGTGATCTCAAGGTTGTCATATAGAGATCTGATCTAGTATCCTTGGGCAGAACTGCATGACTAAGGTGAAAATACAGGATCTGATATGTGACCTTTGGTGTACCAGAGTCCTCACTCTACTTTGCATGAGTTTTTTTGACATTATTTAGTAAAGCTTGAATATTAGGTAAGATCTCAGATTCTTATAAGTCTGATTTGAAAATTCATTCTTTTATGTTAGCTCACTGTCCTCAAGAGATTCTTCTGTTAACAACCAATATATAGACCATAAAACCTTTTTTAACCCACTATACTAACAAAGTAAAAATGTGCTATATTTCATCAAAACTTCCCTCTAACAAAGGTGGAATTTTTTTACTGCTGAGCACTTTAGCTTGGGTAGATAAATTTGCAGGAGACTCTTAGGAGAGTTGCATTGCTCTCTGTACTAGAATGAGAAGATTTTTAGACTCTGTAACACAAATCAGGAATGAGAAGCACAGAAATAAGGAAAAGAAAGTGTGAAGACATCATTCACTTAGTATGTTCAAATCTTCGCCAAAGTTTCAATCTTAGGAAACATTGAACTATCTTTATTTCTTGTAGAATCTCTTCCAAAGGATAATATTTTTCCTATGATGAGATAGGGGGAAAACAAATAAAGAAATTTTGTTTGGGCACAGAAAAGAATATGAAGCCTCAAACATGTATAAAATAGAGGTAAGGAGTTTTTGTTGTTGTTGTTGTTGTTGTTGTTGTTGTTTTGTTTTTGTTTTTACTTCTTCATGGGATAAAATTTTGGGGTTGGGGCAAAAGTAACTGCAGTTTTTCCCATTACTTTTAATGCAAAAACCACAATAACTTTTGCACCAAACTAATATATATCCGGGTCAAGTTTAATTTGGTATCCAAGGTTTAGAAAACTTCCAGCTGAAATTAGCTGGGCATGGTGATGCACGTCTGTAATCCCAGCTACTTGGGAGGCTGAAGCAGGAGAATCACTTGGACCCACGAACCCAGGAGATAGAGGTTGCAGTAATTCAAGATCGTGCCACTGCACTTCAGTCTGGGCAACAGAGAGAGACTCTGTCTCAAAAAAAAAAGAAAAAGAAAAAGAAAAAGAAAACTTCCAGCTGATAGGTTTTGGTACACTTATTACATGTTTGTGTATATATTTGTGTGTGTGTGTATATATATATATATATATATATATATATACACACACAGACACACAAATATATACACAAACTATATATATATAAATATATACACAAAAGATATATATAATATATACACAGACTATATATAAATATGTACATATTTAAATTGGATTAAATAACACCTCCCACAAGGTGTTATTGTTTTGTTTAAAAATATTTCAGAAAACATCTTCCCTGTGTGTGTGAAAATACTGCAACAATGTAGATCAGAGCAGTGATCACAGGGAAAGAATATGCATACAGTATGCAAGGAATCAGTCTTCAAGAGGTTGGCATCAGTCTTCAAGAAGAGAATCAAAAGCAAGAAATAAGTGCCCTTTGGAAATTATATGGTGAAGTGAAAAAGAAGCGAGAGAGAAATTTAGATTGAGCAAGATAAGAGACAATACAATACAATTGGAAGACTAATAACTTAGTCCCTTATAAAATCTTCCCCTAAAAAAAAATGCACTTTGTAATGAAACTATGCTTTTTTCACACTGACTACATAGGACATTTTTTAGCCATGATTTAAAAAAAAAAAAGAAACTACTACAAATCACCAACCTAGACCATTAAAATGTAGAAGTGCAAAGAGTCTTTGTTTATTAAAAACTACAAAAAGAAATCAGAGAATGAGAATATAAACAATTCAGCTGATACAATCCTCCTTCTGCAACCCCCAAAAAGTAACAGTGAAAAAGAAGAAAACTTTAACACAATACTCCAAACTAAATTAATGAACAAACACTTTGAGGTATGGAGCAAAAACAAAGCAAAACAGAACAAAAAACTTAAACCATAAATTCAAACACTAAAAAGAGAAAAAAAAGGATTTAAAAAGACAAAATCATATCAGAAAAAGTAAATTACGAGATACCCAAGAAAGAATATATTCAAATAAAAGTATAACAATGTTCATTTAAAAAATAGAAAAACAACAAAGAAAATAAAAATAAAATAAACAAAAAGGCTCAGAAAGAAAGTGCTTAAAATGGAAGATAGGCAAAGAAGATCCAATTTACTATAACTGGAGTCTCCAAGGAATATAAGTAAAATAATGGAAAAGAATTAATTTTTAAAGGACAATTCAAATAGCCTTTCAGAAATAAAAGAAGTCCTGAATCTAAATGCTGAAAGGGCTCAATGAGTAGCAGAGAAAATTGATTAGTAATAATCAGTTCAAAATGATGTTAAAGTAAAAATACCAAATTTTTACAGATGAAGAAGAAAAATATGCAGACTTTAGCCAATAAATAAAGAAATAAAAACAATGACAAGAAAAATAGTTGGCATCAGACTTCCAAAACGCTACATACAAAATAAGGTACTCCATATACCCCATGGAATACTATGCAGCCACAAAAAAGAATGAGATCATGTCCTCTGCAGGGACATGGATGGAGCTGGAGGCCATTATCCTTAGTTAGTAAACTAACACAGGAACAGAAAACCAAATACCACATGTTCTCACTTATAAGTGGGAGCTAAATGATGAGAACACATGGACACATAGAGGGGAACAATACACACCGGGGATTTTGGGAGGGTAAAGGGTGGGAGTGGAGAGAGGATCAGGAAAAACAACTAATGAATACTAGGCTTAATAACTGGGTGATGAAACAAACCCCTATGACACAAGTATACCTATGTAACAAACCTGCACTTACACCCCTGAACTTAAAATAAAAGTTTAAAAGAATGGAAGAAAGAGATATCAGTCCTTCCCCCAAATTCAACTACACTTCTAAAGCAAATGAGAGACCACCAGGCTAGGAGGATAGAGGGGCCTGAATTCTGCTAAGGTGTAGACATAAGCAATTGCCAGCCATTATTCTGGAGGTCCCAGGCTATGCAACTTCCCCTATTACTCCTGCAGATAACATCACTATTGCAGAAGCTAAGCTTGGCCCTTTAAGATATCTTTTCAGGTTTTTTCCATGTCTGACGACCATTGGCTCCACCTGGGCCCACTAACCACTCCTGTGGCCCCACCAGAAATGACTGAGTGTGCAGAAGGACAATTTTCTACAACCCTATGACTGTACCCCTAGCCAATCAGCTGCAAGCAACCCTAGGCTGCAAGCCTAACCACCCCCACCGCTCACCCAAACTATCTTTGAAAAACCCTAGCCCCTAAAGTCTCAGAGAGGTTGTTTGAGTAATAACTCTATCTCACTGTGGTATGGCCAGCTTCATGTGTATTAAACTTTATCTTTATTGCCAAATACAAAAACAAAGCAAAATAAGGTAGAGAGGAGTAGCATTTTCAAATAATTCAAGGGAAGATGGTATGAATGAAAAATTTTATAGCCAGTTAAGTGGTCAGTCAAGGATCAATGCTATGGAAAAACAGTTTTAAGTGCCACAGAATCCAACAAAGAAATGAATTTCTTGTAAATTTGTTGGAGTTCATTGCAGATTCTGGATATTAGCCCTTTGTCAGATGAGTAGATTGCAAAAATTTTCTCCCATTCTGTAGGTTGCCTGTTCACTCTGATGGTAGTTTCTTTTGCTGTGCAGAAGCTCTTTAGTTTAATTAGATCCCATTTGTCAATCTTGGCTTTTGTTGCCATTGCTTTTGGTGTTTTAGACATGAAGTCCAAACAACCCCATTAAAAAGTGGGCGAAGGATGTGAACAGACACTTCTCAAAAGAAGACATTTATGCAGCCAAAAGACACATGAAAAAATGCTCATCATCACTGGCCATCAGAGAAATGCAAATCAAAACCACAGTGAGATACCATCTCACACCAGTTAGAATGGCGATCATTAAAAAGTCAAGAAACAACAGGTGCTGGAGAGGATGTGGAGAAATAGGAACACTTTTACACTGTTGGTGGGACTGTAAACTAGTTCAACCATTGTGGAAGTCAGTGTGGCGATTCCTCAGGGATCTAGAACTAGAAATACCATTTGACCCAGCAATCCCATTACTAGGTATATACCCAAAGGATTATAAATCATGCTGCTATAAAGACACATGCACACGTATGTTTATTGCGGCACTATTCACAATAGCAAAGACTTGGAACCAACCCAAATGTCCGTCAATGATAGACTGGATTAAGAAAATGTGGCCCATATACACCATGGAATACTATGCAGCCATAAAAAATAATGATTTCATGTCCTTTGTAGGCACATGGATGAAGCTGGAAACCATCATTCTCAGCAAACTATCACAAGGACAAAAAACCAAACACTGCGTGTTCTCACTCATAGGTGGGAATTGAACAATGAGAACACATGGACACAGGAAGGGGAACATCACACACCAGGGCTTGTTGTGGGGTAGGGGGAGGGGGGAGGGATAGCATTTGGAGATATACCTAATGTTAAATGACCAGTTACTGGGTGCAGCACACCAACATGGCACATGTATATATATGTAACTAACCTGCACATTGTGCACATGTACCCTAAAACTTAAAGTATTAAAAAAAATCTAAAAAAAAAGAAATGAATTGAGAAATTTCAGCAGTATTACAAATGGTAAGCTTTTAGTATATGTAATTGTAAATCTAAGACTAAAACAAAGATAAAGTTGAGAGTGGAGTAATAATATTTTATGTTATATGCTACATAGTGTGTGTTATATGTTCTGACAAAGTAGAAATAACAGAACTGAAATTGACAGAAGAGAGAAAATAGGGAAGTTGCTGTGTAGGTAATAGTTTGTGTTAAAATATGTCATTCAAAATGCAAACAACACAGAAACATGTTAAAACAAAAGCAAAAGAATAAGAAAATGTAAAAAGAATTAAAAATTGACTGCTAGAACAAAAGTACAGTCTTTCCTAAACACCAAAAGAAATTACAAAATAGAATAAAAGAGGTCAATACTCTACTTTGTATAGAGAAACACAGCAAATATAACACAGTACACATGATAATTATTACATAAAATAACAGAGCTGACATTAGACATTTAGCACGTCAATTAATGTGAATGGATAAGATTAACACAACCATTAGAAGGAAATTATTTTCAATTTGACTCACAAAGTAAAACCCAATATGTTCTGCATCCAAAACATATGCAAAATAATTCAGAAAGGCTAAATAGAAAGACTTGGATACACACACACACACACACACACACACACACACACACACACACACACACACCAGGCTTCTGGGAATAATAACAGAGCAAAGGCAATATTGGTATCAAACAAAGTTAATATTAAACTTTGCTAAGAAGCATTAAATATGGGAAAAATTATTCTTTTCAATGTTAAAAGCCTGAATTCACAAAATAGGCATGACAACTATCAATATCTATGCACCAAAATAACATAGTAGACACTTTTATAAAGCAAAAAATTAAGGAGAATCAAAAAGACACAGATAGAAACATACAAGCCTAGGAGATGTTAATATATCAGAATTGATATAAGATCAATCAAGTGCACACAGAACAGGATATAGAAGTCCTGCAAAACCTAATCAGTAAGGTAGATATTATACACACAGAACTTTACACTCAAGTAATAGTGAATACATCTTCTTCTCAAACATTCATTGGGCATTCTTAAAATGTAATCATATACTAAGTTACATAAGTACATTTCATAATTATAAATATTACAATTTAATCTCTAATAACAAAAAACAGATTATTTTAAAATAAAAAAGGTAAAAGGTCATACGATTGGAATAAATAATCAAAAATAACTTTTATTAAACAAGTTGGGTGAATATGAAAATACAAAACAAATTTAAAGAATTTCTAAACAAGGAATAATAAAAACATACACATATATGTGTATATTAAAGTATACATACTATCTATCTCTATTTATATGAGAATCTGTGGCACATAAAATAGTGATAAAAGGAAACCCTATAACCTCAAACATTTCATCAATAAAAATGAATATGCCTAAATGAATTAAATTATCTGCTTAAAAATACATGAATATATAAAGAAATCAACTAAACGACAACACAAGAAAGGAAATAATTTAGTTAAAAGTGAAATTTAATATAGATCTCACTTTTAGAATATTAGTATTTCACAGACACAAAAAAGAAAATAATAAAACAAAAAGGAAGGTGAAAAATTCTAAAATTGAACAGAAACAGAAACAAATGACCCAGTATACTTTAAATAAATAATATTTTGAATAAATAACACTAAGAAGTAATGGGAGAAGATCTAACCATAGTTGGACTATATGTTTTCCAGCTAAAGACAAAAAGAACCCTAAATAAATACTGAATGCTACTGAGTAGGCCTCTTTCTTAGATGTCTAGGTTAGTAACACTGACCCTACTTTCTGTACATTGTAAGATTAAACATGTAAGTGAATATATTATAAATAATGGGAGCTGTTTGTCACTAGTAGAGAGGACAGTTATAAGTATAAAAAGGGAGAAAATACAATTATCCTGCTATGTTGGAATGGAAGCAGAGAAACCAGTGTGTATCAACTGTTTTTAATATAGCTAGTTAGCTAAATAGAGACAGGTGAGTGAGTGTAATACACAGTTATCTTTCTATTTCTGGCTTTGTTTATTAATATTAACAATGCCTAGAAGCAACGACTCCCCTGTGGTGATGGTTACAGATAGAACCCTAATCTTGATCTCTAATACCATTCTGTACTGAAAGGAACCAGAGTTTCTTGAAGAAATGGCTGACTCCAGTGCTAAGCCAAGGAAAGTACAAGAGGACCCTGCAACATTCTGTGCTGAAAGTTGGGAGAGTGCTCAAAGAATTATGGTCCATGTCAAAAGGGCAACTGTGGCCTACTTGAAAAAATTTCCATTGGCCAAGAATGTGACAATTTGAACATTCAAATAAATAATGACAATAAGAATAACCTATTGTACAAAATAGAAATACATTAATCCACTGATATAAATGAAAATTAGGATGAAGGAAAAGCTATTCCTTTTGGTAGAAAATAAATTAATAAAAATAAATGATGGAATTTAAAAATTATCATAACAACCATCTTGGTAGTAATCAATGAAAGTGAGAATCATCAATGGATATTAAAACTAGTCATGGCAGTGGTGGTTAATCTACAGCGGCCACTGCATGACACCGGCTGCAGTGGGGAAGGCATGCCAGGGCTGTGCACTCCATGGAGCTGGCAGGATCTGGGAACAGGCAGAAGTGCCATCCCCTTCTGAGTTGACAGGGCAGGAACTTCGTGCTCCCTGGGCACAGCTCTGACCATCCAGCCATGGCTGTGGATGTGGGCTTCCTTGTGCTTTTGGAGGCTGGAAGCAGGCAAGAGCACAGTTACAGCCACCCAAGCCATGGCTGCAGACCTGGCAGCTCTGCACTCTTGGGGGCACAGGAAGGACCCCCGCCCCCAGGGGCTCAGAAGTGTCTGCTCCTACTGTCTGCCCTCTCCCTGCTCCTGGCGCACACTCCAATCTTGGAGCAAGATTGGGGCTGAGCCTGGGCACTGTTGCAGGTTGCCAGTGTGTGCACACTCTCAAGGCAGCACTGACATGCCAGTCCCCTGTTGCCTCAGCCCCCTCTGGACTTTGGGCACCAACAAGTATGTGAGGGGGGTTGAGGGGCTGCTGAGGGCAGCTTGGCATTGGCCTACAGGTTTCCCTTGGCATGAATGGCCTGGGCGCCATGAATGGCAGCAGAAAGCAGACAGGCTCCTGGGCATAAGGGGCAGGTCCCTGGTGAAGTCCCACCTGTGAGCTGGGGAGGGCCTGAAGCCTGGGGGCCGGGCTGCTGGGCCCATGGACGCGAGTGGGAACTTGTGCTTTATTCAGGCTGCTCATAGATTAATCAGTGTGCACTTCCTCCCCTCTGAGGCCCATAAAAGCCCCAGACTCAGCCAGACTTGAGGAGATGATGATAAGACCAGCTGCAGAGAGGAGCTACCTACCCCACGGTCTCCTCTCTGCAGAGAGCTGAATACTTGTTGTGACACCCTAGCTGTGGAGAGTAGCTATCCACTGCGTGTCTCCTCTGAGCTGTTACATCACACAATAAAGCTCCTTTTCACCTTGCTCACCATCCACTTGAAAAATAGAATTATTCAGCTCCACTTGTCCACATACCTCATTCTTCCTGGGCACAGGTTCAAGAACTCAGGACCTGCCGAATGGCAGGGATGAAAGAGCTGTAACATGAGCAAGGCTAAAACATGGCCCTTGCTTGCCATGTTGCAGGCAAAAAGAAGGAGAGAAGATCTGCAGCCCTTAGGGGAGCCCAGACCTAGGAGCTCCTTAAGCCAGGGCCGTGACATCCTCTATGGGGCTTTGCAGTTCCTGGCATCTTAAAGCTTCCAGGTGCTGCAGCATTCCCTGGTGCCAGCTGTGGAAGCTGCTTTCAGGATGTCTGGTCTGGCTGCAGCCTCACAGGGAGCCAGCACCTGTGTCAGTGCCTGGAGCTGCCCACCCCGCTGCAGCCAGCGTGCCTGGCTATGCACAGTGGCTAGACCCCATGCTGTCTCTCTCACACACCCCTTGCTGCTCCACTTGCCCTTGGCAGGCATGCAATCCAGGCCAGAGGTGTGAGCTAACAGCAGCCTGCTGAGTTGGCCCAGCAGGCCCAAGCAAAACTCAAGCAAAGACACCACTGGCCATGGAGGTTTCCAGCTGGCAAAGCAATGCCCCAAAGATCCTGTAACACTAATAGGTGAAATCTGGAGAACACATGGGATATTTAACACAGTGTGAAAATAATAAGATATTTTTTAATTACAAAGTTAAATATTCTGCTTTACAGTAGAGAGACAGCAGAGTCTACCATAACCAAGTGATCAAAGTTAACATCACCGTTAATGACACTGATCAACAGCATGTGCCTCCTGATATAAAATTCTGTGAAAAGAGCATCACTTCTGAGGTATTTCTATGAAACCTGCATAAGGTGAATGTAAACAAGAAGAAATATTAGACAAACACAAATCGGGAGACATTCTATAAATAGCTGGCCTGTACTTTTCCAAAATGTCAATATCATGAAACACAATGAAAGAGAAATGAACTATTCCAGATTAAAGGGAACTAAAGAGACAAGACAACTAACTGAATGCAATACATGATTATGGATTTTCTTTTGTTATAAAGGCACTATTGGGGCAGGTTAACAAATTTGAAAAAGTTCTGTAGATTAGATAGCTGTATCAGTGTTAAAACTGAATTGGATAATTTTTCTAAGATTGTTTCAGAGAATGTTGTTGTTTTTAGATATTATACCCTGGTATATTTGGAGGTGTATTTAGAGGTGAAGGGGTATCATGCCTACAATTTAGTCAATATTTTGGAGAAATATAAGTCTATTTCTCTCTCTCAGACAAAGAGAGAAAAATATAAAAAAAAATAGTAAAATGTTAACACTTGGGAAATCTGGGTGAAGTGTCTGTTGTGTTATTCTTACAACTTTTTGGTAAGACTGGACCTATGTCTAAATGAGTGAATGGATGGATGCATGAAGGCATGAATAAATGGTTGAATATAATCTTTTTGTGTCATGTTCTCATCAGCTCACTGCTACCATCTTGTCCCTAGTCCACCAAACTCTTCTGCCTGGATTATTGTCTTCCAGCCCCCTCTCAGTCTCTTCTCAGCAAGAAAGCCACAGTAATTCTTCGAAAATATAATCAGATCATGCCACTTCTCTGCATCTAACTCTGCCAAAAACCCAGTGCCCTTTTCACACTGTACTGAAATAACATGTTTATATATGTTTTTCAACCACAAAACTATAAATATCTCAAGCAAAGAATTACATTTTATTTACATGGGCCTTATTTCCCCTTGCCCACACCCACATACCCATAAGAATAATGACAGTAATCTTGGGGAAAAATAAGTGATCATGCATTTGCTGCAGTTGTCACCTACTTTATCGGTTTATTAGTTATTACACATTATTACCTTAATTTGGTTCCCTCTGCTTTGACCAAAAATATTTCATGTTTCCAATAATTGCAGGAAAACGATAAACATTTTCTGACTTTGTCTTTCTCTGCTGCCTGATTTATCTGAAAATTTTCATGTCAGAGGAGATGTGTGTGTTCTCTGTTAACAGTCTTTTGAATTTCTAAACAAGTCGTGTCTTTCTGATTCTTTGTATAACATAAAAAAAGCATTTTATGGATTATGGATATTTCTGTTCCTGAGGCTTAGATTATGCCATAAGAGGGAAAGAAAAGGACCACTGAACATTTGCTCATCCATAGTCTTTGCACCTAAACTTTTCCAAGCCAGAAACACTTGGTATGCCTCCAAAGTAAATCTACATCAAAAATTAATATAGAATTTGGGGTTTTACTTTATCTTTTCCAAATTCTTCTTTTTAAAAATAATTTCTGAATCTGATCTTTACCAAGGCCTTACAACATGTGATTTCCCTAGAATTCAGCCAAACTGTAAATCCAGTGGCATCTTTTGTTATTGTAGCACTTAAGTTCTTCCTAACTTTATTCTAGATGTCAGAAACTCAGATCCTAGCCTCCGAGAAGCTGTATTCCTGCTCCTTTGTTATTCATACAGGCAATTGTTACATGTCTTCAATATGCCCATAAATTTTCAGCTTCCTATTATGCATTCTGCATTTCATGGCTCTGTTCACTTATAACTATTGACAAAAATGATTAATTATGGAAACAGCAACAGATTCACCATTTTGAGCTGTACCAGCTCAAGACCCTTTGTTTCTTTAATGCTGGTCACAGTGAGACCAATAAGATCAAAGAGGGGTAAAACAAAGTAGATGGAGCTAACAATCACCTTTGCTTAATTCCTGAGGAACATTCTTGAACCTTTTGTTTTGTCAACCAGACATGAGCAACTTCATTAAAGTGTCTCTGCCTGGCTTGATGTGGGACCCCCAAGTGTACCCTAAGACAAATACTTTGAAGTTCATTTATTTGGGAGGTGAACCAGAAAGTGCATGCAAGGGAGGGGAAAAGGGAAATAAAGAAGGGCAAAAGCCAGTAAAGGGTATGCTATGGGAACACTATGAGCAACTGGAACTTGGACTTATTGAAGACTGACATGATTTGTCTCTGTGTCCTCACCCAGTTCTCATGTTGAATTGTAATTCTCAGTGTTGGAGGAGGGGCCTGGTGGGAGGTGACTGGATCATGGGGGCAGATTTCCCCCTTGGTTCTAGTGATAGTGAATGAGTTCTCATGAGATCTGGTTGTTTAAAAGTGTGTAGCACTTCCCCCCTTGGTTCTCTCTCTCTCCTGCTGCACCACTGTGAAGATATGCCTGCTTCCTCTTTGCCTTCTGTCATGATTGTTAGTTTCCTGAGACCTCCCCAGCTGTGCTTCCTATAGAGCCTGTAAAACTGTGAGTCAATTAAACCTGTTTTCTTCGTAAAGGTCTTCCAGTCTCAGGTAGCTCTTTTTATTTTTTCTTTTTTTTTTCATGTTTATTTTATTTTATTTTATTTTATTATTATTATACTTTAAGTTTTAGGGTACATGTGCACAATGTGCAGGTTAGTTACATATGTATACATGTGCCATGCTGGTGTGCTGCACCCATTAACTCGTCATTTAGCATTAGGTATATCTCCTAATGCTATCCCTCCCCCCTCCCCCCTCCCCCCACCCCACAACAGTCCCCAGAGTGTGATGTTCCCCTTCCTGTGTCCATGTGTTCTCATTGTTCAATTCCCACCTATGAGTGAGAACATGCGGTGTTTGGTTTTTTGTCCTTGCGATAGTTTACTGAGAAGGATGATTTCCAATTTCATCCATGTCCCTACAAAGGACATGAACTCATCATTTTTTATGGCTGCATAGTATTCCATGGTGCATATGTGCCACATTTTCTTAATCCAGTCTATCATGGTTGGACCTCTAGCAAACTCCAACAGACCTGCAGCTGAGGGTTCTGTCTGTTAGAAGGAAAACTGACATCCACACCAAAAACCCATCTGTACATCACCATCATCAAAGACCAAAAGTAGATAAAACCACAAAGATGGGGAAAAAACAGAGCAGAAAAACTGGAAACTCAGGTAGTTCTTTATAGCAAAGTGAGAACAAACTAATACAAAGACTCCCTGAAGAATCATATAAAACATGCTTCACAACTGTCCTACTGAGGGACAACAATGCTGAGCTATTTATCCAGTGACTTCTACCTGTCCCCAGGGACATTAACTTCCTCAAACTTGAGCCTAGTAAGCTGTGGCATTGCCTTAGGCAGAGAAACAGAGAGATGCAGATGAAAACCCTTGAGGTGGGAAGTAGATAAGGGACCCAGGAATTGCAGTACAGCTGCAGATAAACGTGAGGTTAGGGGGAGAGGTATCAATGGCATCTGTTACAGTCTCCTAGGTTTATTTTGGAATCAAATCTGCTGTAAGTTCATCATCTCTGAACACAGAGCCATTTAAGTAAAGACTCATAGACTTAAATTAACTTGAAAGACATGTTATTACCAGAAATCTTTGCATTTTTAGTTGATTTCAGATGGACCTCAAATTTCTAACTATGGCACTAAAAATCCAGGACCTCTTTATACCATATACATAAAATATTAATTGACAAGATCTATTTACAATGTCAATATACAATGCCAAAGTAAGAAATAAAAGTGTGTTTATCCATTTATCTGCTGATGGGCATTTGAGTTGTTTCTACATCTCGGCTGTTATGAATAATGCTGTAATGAACATGGGAGTGCTGGATCATATGGTATATACATACAATGCAACAGTTTTTAGCCATAAAAAGAAGGAAATTCTATTTGGGACAACATGGGTGAACCTGGAAGACATTGTGCTAAGTGAAATAATCCAACCTCAGAAAGGCAAATACTGTGTGATTCCACTTAGATGAGGTATCTAAAATAGTCAAAGTCACAAAAGAAGAAAACAAAATAGTGGTTGCTAGGACCTGCGGAAGGGGGAAATAGAGAGTTAGTCAATGAATATAAAGTTTCCATTATGTAAGATGAATAAGGGCTAGAGCTCTGCTGTACAAGAGTGCCTAAAGTTAACAACATAGTATTGTGCACTTAAAATTAGGTTGAGAGACTAGATCTCATGTTGATTGTTCTTACCACTAAAATACACACACACGGAAACTTTTGGAGGTGGTGAATATATTTATTACCTTGATTGTGGTGATATTATGCATAGGTTTATGCATATGTCCAAATTCATCAAATTGTATACATTAAACAAGTGCAATTCCAAAAATAAACCAAATCAATTACACCTCCATACAGCTGTTAAGAGCAAAATGTATTAAATTTCATACGTTTTATTTATTTTTGTTTTGTGAGTGACTGAGTAATTTGTCGCTTCTTTGAAGGCTGAATTAGTAGGGAAAGGCATAGAGTTAAGTTTGAGTAAGATTTGTTTTTGGGGCAATTCCACATTTTCCAAGTCCCTGATCATCTTCTCTTCTCCACATTCTTTTCTTTTGTGTGTTTAATTTTCTCTAACCACATCTTCCTCTTTGCTATCATTCTGGTCCCATCCATTGTCATCTTTTGCATAGATGGATCAGAATAGCCACAGTGGATTTTTCTGCTTCCACCATTGCCTTCCCCTCTCCCCGCCCACTAGTGTGATAAAAGGTAATGCAGATAATGTACCTCTTTGCTCGAAGCCCTCCAATATCTTCCCATACCACCCTGAGTAAATGCCAGTCATCCAAATAGTCTACCAGACTACAGAATTTGTCCCACTCTTCCTACCCACCAACACTCTCTGGCCTCATTTTATATTTTCCAACCCCTCTTTCCTCACTCATCCACTCCTGCTGCTCCTTGCTTGATCCTCAAACACATACCAGGCACATTACTACTCCTGAGTTTTTGTACTTGCAGTTTTCTCTCTCTGGAACACTCTTCCCCCAGATATTGGGAAGGCTCCCCACCAAACCTTATTTAGACCTTGGTTCTAGCTGTATCTTAATTAGAATCACAACATCATTTTTCCCCACCAGCAAAAGATTTCTTACATTATTTCCCTGATTCCTGATTTCTTCTCCACAACATGTGTCATCTAACATACTCATTATTTTTCTTATTTTATCTTTCTCCTTCTACTAAAAGTCTCCCCAAAGGCAGAGACTTTAGTCTTTAAAAAAAAATTGTATCCATAGAATAGTCCCTGCTACACGTTAGGCATTCAGTACTTACGTGTTGAATGATTGATTGTATTACATTCAATAGTAAAGATTTGGGCCAAATATAGTATTGAATGCAATAAAATCATTCAACACATACACATGCGTGCACACACACACAAATATATACACACATACATACATTTTTAACAAAAATGATTTTTTTCACAGATACTATAGTAAATAGTAAAATTATTCAAGATTTCACATCAAGTGATTTCAATGTTAATATATCAGAAATACAGAAGATTCTTATTTAATAATACTCTTAAATATCCTTTAAAATTTTATCAAATGCATGTAAAATTAAAATCTTGGGTTGAGGCATTTGTTATGAAATTATAACTAAGTATTAGGATATATGTATCATCCACAAAGATACAACCAGAGACTAAAGCATGCAAACACATTAAAAAATACCAACAGACAAACAAATTCCCAATTTGGCTGAGTTGAGAATTCTATTCAGTTGAGAATTCTATTCAGTCAAGCCATAGCTTTGCTTCATGAAGTAGTCAAGAATTGTGAAAAGGCTCCATCATCTATCTGCCAAGTGATCCTGAGTTCTGTGGCTTTTAGGAACTAAGACATTGACAGCAGTGTGATTCAAACTCTATGAGCCTATCTAAGAAGTACAATAGACTAGTTCTACTCCTTGTTATTCTATGTCATTTCATCACAAACTCACCACCATTTTCCTATAATCAGATACACAAATTCCAGGGAATACAGAAAATACGGAAAAGGCATGGCTAGTTCAGTGTAATTGGGGACCCAAGTAAAGTAATTTAGGCACAGTAGTATGCTAGCTCCCCACAATCTCACACATCATAAAAATGTGTGTTGCAAATCCTAGATGCCAAAAGTTCCAGAAAACAGTTAAGAAGATGGTAGGGAAAATAAAGGCTCATTTTACAAATATATATTTTAATTAGTTAGCTAAAATAACACACTTAGTCATATATTATACCTTTAAGACAATCACGATACATTCCAAGAAGCACTCAATTTTCCAAGACAAACAGAAAAAATGTTCAACTAGTTTGAATGTCAAAACAAATAAACCAGATAACCATACTAATTTGAAAAAGACTGTCCAAAATCCTGTGTCAAATAATGTAAATATGAATTACAGATATAGAAATTAATGTCAATGGTAGCCTTATGCTTAATGATAACATAAAACATTTTAACTGTCCTAAAACTTATATACTAAAACAGTGACAGGATAATTTTATCTTCTCTAACTTCTAAAACTTAAGTGGTAAGAATGGGGGAAAGTGGACACAGATGGATTGCTGGAAAGAGTATATAGCTAGGAATTGTCAACATCTTATAGATCCTTTATCAATATGATTTAAATGCTTTTTAAAAATGCAAATTTTACCACCTATAAATGTATCTCAATGAAAAGAACTGACAAATGTGAAAAAATAAACCTGCAAGGATGTTTCTGCATTCTTGTTTAGAAGATCAATTACTTAGAAACCATCCAAATATTCATAGGAAAAGACTGTCCAAGCAAACAGTGATACATCTATATCATTAACTATAATATATGTATAATACATTGATAATAAGAATGAGAATGCTTATACAATAATATTTAAAATAATTTTCAAGTTATGCTGTTCAGTAAAGAAGAATTAACTTCTATAATATTTATAGTATGCTATTATTATGAATAGAAGGGTTTGAATGTACATCTTATCTATAGCATACAAAAATTGGAAAGGTTATCATACTAATATTTTATCATTACTTATTTTAAGGGTGTGTTTCTAAGTACTTTTAAAGTCTACTCTTTCCTACACTGAATAGTGTTTTACTTGTGTGATAATGAAAAAAATCTAAAAATAAAATCTCATCAAACAGTGGAATAAAGTTTCTTTGAAACAGATGAAACTTTAGATATACAAAGTCAAAAGATATACAAGATTTAGATAGAAAGGGATTTGAGAATCAGCAAGTCAAAATGGGGAAAGGCTGAAGGGAAAAAAATGATGACTTTGATTTACTGAAGAAGTCTCAAGAAGAGTTCCCTTTTTAAATAAAGGATTTTATATTGTATAGTACATAATTAAGAGTCTGTTTAAGGGCTCTAACTTCTATTTCATTGATTGGGTTATCAATCTTTCTTCAGTTCTACAATATTTACTGTATAGTAAATTTATAGATTAATAACCGGTAGGCTAGTCTTTCTCATGAATCTTTTCCCTCCAGCTTTATTTATCAATTGCTATTATCTAAGGAGATATAAAGGTTAGAATAACTTTATTTACCAAATACACTCAAAGCAGAAACATTATTAGGATCTCCTTGGAATTTCATTAAACCTATATATTAGTTTATAAAGAAATGTGTCTCTTTCAATGAAAGAACCTGGCATATCCTTATACGTGTGTCCATACTTATTTACACACTTCACTGTTATTATGCAGATTTATTCTTTCACATTACACAAACATCTTTATGTGTATAGGATATTTTTGTTGATATTGTTAATTTGCACTTTTAACTTTTGTTTTTGTTTTGTCAGCAAAGAAGAAGCTATTGATTTTTCCATTGAATTTTCCTAGACTAACTTTATGACATTTTTATTAGTTCTAAACTAATAAAAATATACACATGGTTTCTGTGTGTGTGTGTATATATAATATAATATGTGTATGTATATATATGCATGTATGTATATATGTTATTGCAAAAGTAGAAATTATAAGAAGATGCTAACAGTAAGGCAAAGTAACGCTAAGTATGGTTTGCTGTTAGCTTTTCTAAAGAAACTGTTTTTGGACAAACAAATTCTACTTTTTTTCCACTGTTAAATTATGCTTTAATCTTTATTATTTTCTATTTGCTGATATTTCTTCAGCCCTGCCTCTTACCACATTTCTTACATTGTCAATTTCCCTTCAAAAGAATATTTCTTGGATGCTGGGTAGTCAAATAAACAACAAATGACCATCTTAGTAAATCTTTTACAGAAGTTTACAGTTTAATTTTGTTATATCATTAAATTTAAGGTTTTTGTCCTTATATATAGAATGCACAAGTGTCATAACAGTAGGGTATGCAAGGCAGCTTGTCTTCTTTTACAGTATTTTCTTTATTGAATGAAATGCCTGAGTATACTAAATGGTTGAAAAAAAGTCACCATGATTATATGGTGCATCAATGGTTATCCAATTTAAATGTAATTTAATGAATTGCTAATAATTTTCTGGTGCTATAAATCTATATAACAAGAGGTGTTGTTTTACCTTACACGGATCACAATAGCAACCACAGCAGAATGCCGGAAACACTTGCCACAAATGTTGCATTTAATTTCTAGTTTCATCAACGGTATCTAAAAATTATAATTAACATGTGGTACTACAGTGAATTTGAAGTTAAGACTATCTTGAAGTACAGCCAAGCCATCACTATTGAAGTTTTAATGGGTTGAATGTATAAAAGAATGAATAACAGTGACAAGCTTATTCCTAGTAATTTCTATATGTTGAAGTAAAATTAAGAGGCTACAAGTAAGATAGGTCAAATAAACACTATACATACTGTGGAATTACAAACTGATGCAATGAATTGTAGTCACTTAGTTCTTGAAAGTGACAGCAACACACAAAACACTGGGTAAAGCAATTTGCAATGGAATTATTCAATCTCATTAAGCATCATTTAACCCATCAACCAAAGAGACAGAACTACAAATCATGAGAAGACTTGTCTCTAGCATTCTCAGCTACCAAAAATAGAAAAACGTAACTGACCCTTTTTGATTTCCAAATAAATACTCCCAGTGCTAATACTGTGATTTAATTATTATTATTCCCATTTTAAAAGAGAATGCTGAATTTTACAGGTATTAAATATTGTGCCTCAAAATTCACAACCAGGAGGTAAAAGAACTTTAAAAAATCTTGGACTCAAGACTCTAATCTATCTGACTTCAGAATCTGTAATTTTTCTACATTATTATGCTCAAGGCAGAAAAGACTGGAGGCAATCCACTGGGGTTTCCTGTTGGTCAAATATATTCTATGATTAAGTTACCTTCAATATTTATATGTGACAATCCTATTCCTTATTTAATTCAAATAAGTCAAAAAAACATAGTTTTTCTAAGAGATCTAGATTCTACCACACCTGAAAAGGTAGATGCATGCTTTTCCTTTAGTTTCAACTTTCCATCAATCTTTGGTTTTAGCTCTCTATCAACCTTCTATTCATATAATTTCACATCAATCTGAATAAAAGGAAGAAATACTCACTGATATTATTCAAAAGAAGGAATAAACAAATATCTTTAAGTTTAGAATGTATTATATAACTTTTACAAAAATATTGAATTAAGTAATTATGTTTTACAATTCATTTATCTTATTCTTCCCTAAGAAAATAATTGATCTCAATTTTCATTTTAGATATCATTTAAACTATTTTGTGTTCACTACAGATATTATTAAGGAATACAAAAGGAATTAAATCATCTATATTTACTATATCTAAATTTCATACCCTTCTAGATCATAATCTCTGTCCTAATAAAATACTCTAAAATTATTACAAAGAAGCCATTTCAGTAATGAATAAAAATCAGTTGGGTAAGCACGTGGAGAAAAGTTTTTGAGATGATTTAGCCCATATTACTTCTACTCAAAAGATGAATTTTTGTATCTGGTATTTTCTTTTGGCTTGTTCCTTCCAATCCTAGAATTCATTCCAAATCAGAAAATTCAGCATAAAAAAACAGTACAACATGGTGTCTCAACTATGACAGGAGTATTAAGAATATTTTATTCTAAATAATTGATTGGGAATTTTACTTACTTTTATCTCATCCAACACCATATCTCTACATTCCATCTTTATTGAATGGAATCTAAATAAACTGCATGAAGTATAAAGAAATTATTTTTACCTCTTACAGAATTAAAATAATCTCATAAAGCTAATCTATATTTATTTTTCAATGGACATAGTCATTATAATTAATTCAATTAATTAAATTATTTAATGCCATTATTGAATATGATATTTTTTCAAAGGCTGATACCGATATACAAAAATCTAGTCTTCCCGCTACTGGCCAGTGTAATACCATTTATAGTAACTGCAAGGAAAAGAAGAAAGGAATGATATTTGTGATGTGTATGCAAAGGTTTTATATGGAAAGTATGAGATACACAATAGTTTTAGCAAAGTTAAGTAACAATCTTTGAAAGCCTTATAGCATATTAAATTGATCTACTATTTAAGATACAATGTTTTTACTGTGTATTAAAAATACTTAGTTTTAATTTTCAAACAATTGGATTATTTGAGTAAAATGCTTTTCTACCTAAAAGCAAAACATCTGATTTATAGTCTGTAATAACTTAAAACCTATGTACTTATACCTTAAGTTAATGACAAATGTAAATGATATGACTGTAAGTTCTGAAAATCTTATGCATTTTAGAAAACACATAAAGTATTTTTTTCTTTTTTTTTTAATGAATGCCTTAGGAAGCAATTGATAGCCACTCAAATACTACTCCTCTAGGGAAAGATGTGAAAGCCAAACCAGTCAGTCATTTTGGTGGAAAATCAGTATTTTTTACTTTTGTTGTTAATATTACTCTGAAAAAACCATAACATCCATCTTAATCAGTGTGACTTTTCTCAGAACACAGCTTCTACTACATTTTTAATGAAGTGAGAGAAGTTACTTGGAAAACAAAGGCCTGTTGAACATAAGTGATTACCTACTGCAAGCTACAGAGATACCCAGAGAAAACATGAGGGGAAAAGAGAAGGTTTATCTGAAATAAAAGGCATAATAAAATGGGATAATTGAGAACGGGGAATATTAAATTATGTCAGATGCACTGTCAGGGACTGATTGAAAGATAACTTGAAATGTCTAATGAGATTCATGTCATCAAATTGTAGTAGCAAAGAAGGAAGGCTATGTCATTATCAGGAAAGAAGGAAGAGGATAGAATTTGGCAATAACTTGGAGAAACAAAATTGCATAATTTATGTATTTCTTAAATATTTAGTAACAATTCTGTACTATGGCTTGGTGTTAATATAAATGGAAAGAAAGGAAAAGAAATAAAAGTGAAATAGGGTATATCTGAAGAACATGACACAAGTTCTTGAGTTAGAAGAAACACCATGGTAAGACAGATTCTTTTTTTTCCTCCCTTCCCTCCTTCACTTCTTTTTCACCCTCCATTGTTCCCTCACTTCCTTTAACATCTGTTAAGCACCTATTATCCAACCATTGTGAAAATAGAGAAGAAAGCTCCGAGTTTCATGAGAGCAAAATATAACTAAACAATTATATGGCATGACAACTGCTGTAAGAATATCTAAAAGATACTGAGTTCTCATCTGTCACTTTTCTAGGCACATCATATGATTGATCATTTAATACCCATTTTATCCTTATGTGATAAGTAGTACTACTATGCACATTTTACAAATGAGGAAATTGTGGGAAAAATATTTTATACAATATGCCCAAGGACACACTGTAAATAAGCAGCAAATTTTGGGTTTGAATCCAGGCAGAATGGCTGCATGTTCCTATCGTGCTATATGGTCTGATGTAAATACAAGATAATATAGGATATAAGTCCAGAGTTCTATAAAAATGCAATTACGTACATTGATTTTTTTCAAGCATATCTTCTTGTAGCCCATTCCTGAAGCCATTAGTAATTACACGAAATGTTAGCTAATTGGTAAGGCTTGTCTTTTTATGGAGAAAAAAATGTCTCATTCGCCAAGTTCAACATTTTAAAACACTTTACAAAGAAATAATTAGCAAAATTCTACGGGGTACAAAGTTCTCTTGGTTGCCTCTTGGGATGCCTAATCCAGAGGAACAAGCATGGGGAGCTTTGGAGGGAAGGTGAAGTGAACCTTTAAGGATGGATGCAAATTCTTTAGGTGATGAGGGGAAAAGGTGTGTCAGGCAGATGAAATAGTAAAGGGAAAGCTTTTTCAGAGGAAAGATCATGTTATATGTTTGTTAACTTCACACGGTTAGGACATCATGTATTTAATAACTGATGGTAGTAGATGTTTATTTAGTGAGAAAGCAGTAAGTCTCTACACAGGATTTGTGCAACATGAAGGTCTTTGAACCAAGGTGTTCAAAGCAAGGTGTAACACAGTATATAAAATCAATGCAGTGAGGTTTATTTTAAATTTTGTATTGTATTATTGCACTTTCAAGCACTTTGCATATTTATAAGTTGGTTAATTTTAGGTTAACTAGTTGATAAGGTTTGGCTCTGTGTCCCCACCCAAATCTCATCTTGTAGCTCCCATAATTCCCAGGTGTTGTGGCAGGGAACCAATGGGAGGTGATTGAATTATGGGGGCAGGTCTTTTCTGTGCTGCTCTCATGACAGTGAATGGGTCTCATGAGATCTGATGGTTTTAAAAACGGGAGTTTCCCTGCACAAGCGTCTCTTTCTTGCCACCACTGTGTAAGAAGTACTTTTTGCCTTCCGCCATGATTGTGAGGCCTCCTCAGCCACCTGAAACTGTGAGTCCAATAAACTTCATTCTTTCATACATTGCCCAGTCTTGGGTATGTCTTTATCAGCAGCGTGAAAACAGATTAATACACTAGTCCTTTGATGATTAGGATCTTTATAATATTTTGTAAAAAGTCAGAGTGACCAAAAAAATGTTTTCTACTCCCACAAAATTTAAATTTCACAATTTTTTAGCAAAGTGTTTAAAAGAAAAGTTGACCTTAAATATGTGTTATGCTTTTTCTCCCCAAAACACAAATATTCCTAATTTGTTGACCTTTTTTGTGATAATAGGCATTTGCCAACAGTGAACTGTAAGCAGATAATTTTGAAAATAATATGATTAATCATCCTATCAAAATAAAGGTGACATTTTAACAATAAACAAAAAAGGCACCATTTTCGAAAGAAACTTATGATATAGAACATTTGATAACACATATTTTTAGTGTTTCCTCTACCAAATCTACATAAGGGCAGTAACCTTTAAAAGTCCTTGTATCTGAACCTTTAAGACATGTAGAAAAAGAATTTTCCACATAGTATTAAAATGTTTGAAAACTTCTGATTAGTTTGCAAAACCAACTGATTGACCTCAGAACAAGAGGAAACCCTAACAAAATTTTAACAAAAATTCCTTTGCATAATTAGTGGATGAATTTGAAAGTTCAGCCTGCACATTGGTAAGTACAGATCATCATACATTTTTTCCTTTAGGAGTTTTGTATTTTTTGTCAAGGGATCATTTGCAGTTCTGATAGCTGCTAAATCCAATCATAGATCATACTTGTGAATCACTGAATTACAGTCATTAATTAAAATTATTAAATCAGAATTCCTTGAAAATATAAGCATATTGAGTCATCTTTTCTTACTGAACTGTCATTTTTGTGTCATTGTTATTTTTTGGTCAGAAACAAACAAAATTAGAGGCTATAAAAGAAACATGGAATTTTAAATATTGCTAATTGTACCTTTCTGTCATTATTTTTATTTCAGGTGTATATATAAAGTATTACATACATAAAATACCAGCACAGTAGTAATTGCTTAAAACATTTTTATAAAAAATAGTTTGGAGACTACTGTGGTAGAAACTCGAAGGGACTAAGTAGATTAATAGAGGCATGGAAATGGCCAAGGGCATGGAAGAAGGAAGACCGAGGTTGGAGAGGCAGCCTGCGTTCTCACCCTGTCACTGACCACTGGGCTGTTCTTGCGCAACTTACTTCCTCAGGCTCCACTTTCTCAGTTGTGAAATAAAGATAATAATGGTACCCACCCAATCAGATTCCAGTAAGCTATGTAGATTTTATAGGTAAAATGATGGCACAAATTACATATTCAATAAGTGTTAACCATCAATCAGCTCTTGAGACAGTGAGCTTTGGCACAGAAAAACCAAAGCTATAGTTATATAGAATATATAGCAATTACTACATTATTTTAAGATAATTTATCTTTATACATTGTCCCTGAGAGTCTGTGTGTTCATTGAGGGCAGGGATTCTGTCACAGTCACCTCTCGAGAACCTAGGATGTTGCCTAGCACATAGATCTCCAGTAAACATTACTAAATCAAATATGGCTGAGGGATAAAAGAGAGAGGTACAAGCTTCCCTTTGTTTCCACATTCTGGATTCTGAATATTAGGCTCCTCTTAGAGTTCACCAGATCCTATCTATGAAAACCAACAGGCCTATGCAGGGTGCAGGATGAACTGTAGAGCAGACATGGGTCTGGCACCAAACAGGAGCCAACAGGTTAACTCTTTTTGTGAGTTCCTTGTTTATCCACTTTATAGAAACTCGCAGTGACAAGTTACTGGATCTTTTGGCCAAAGCTAAGTCAGGAGAATGCTGTAAGCTGGACAAGTGCCCGCAGTTAGTCTAAGGAGCAAGGAATGGCCACTAAAGGCAGTCCAGGTCATGAACCCTCTGTGTCTGACTCATGGCAAGAGACAAAATGTCAGCAACTCTGACTGTTGCCAGCCCAGCTCTGACACAACTCATAGATGTATTACTCATCTCATTCTCATTCTGTGTTTTACTGTATATTGAAAACATTCTTTTCTTTAAAAAAAAAGCCTTAATATTTTCACTGGGTTTGTGGATGACTAACAATCTCATTGCATTTATTTTAAACAGGCTTCCAAATCACTGTATGTACATTGAGCCTTTTCTTACTGCCTTTAGGTAGGCCTTATAATTTCTCATTCAGTTTGCTATGTGATATATCACTTTCTGACAATAAAGCAATCTTATCTTTCAATTTTAATAAAATAGTCTTCAACTTTGAAGAAAAATACATGCAGTCCTGTAAAACTGAGCAATTTCATGAGTTTCCAAACTGCAAGTTATTTTGTAGCCTCCATTTGGTAATTATAGAGATTTATATCCCTTTTTTCATCCTCTACAAAATTCAGAGCTGATATGTCCAGTTGACTTGGAAACTGACTTAGGCCTCCACGTTAATTATCTTTGATAATAAAGGTGTTAGATCATATTAATGATTTAAAACGAGTATATGTTTGAGAGTGGGAGAAGGAGGTTTAAAACTAATTTATAGGAATATAATCCACTGGTCATTTTCACATTTCATCAAAAAATATTTCAGAGGGTGTCTCAATAGTAACTGATCACATTGAGGTGACAAAATGTACCATTACTGCTTCACTAATAGAAGAAAGTCATTAATCTCCTTTTAGGTCCAGACCTTCAGGATAACCTGACAATTTATCATGTATCAAGGAATTAACATATTTTAAAAATTATAAAGAAGAAGCATGCCAGTATACCATGGATTCAGTTGATGTTGCAAATCAAATAATGTCATCCATATCAATATGTTATACTGTTCTTATCATTACAACATAGAAAAAAACTTTAGCTAATCTGGTTACCCTTTTCAAAATCTCTTACTATTTAACTAAAAATGTAAATTTATTTTAACTTGTTTATGAACCACTGGGATAAAAAACAACTAACAATTCCATATTATACAGACAACATATAACACGTGTCTTTGTCTTTTAAAAACAATGTATATAACAGTATAAATTTTTTAAAACCTGGGTGATTTAAAGTTTTTTTGTTTTGTTTTGTTTTTTAATAAATTAGCTATATCTGAAATGAAGTCGCCACAGTTGCCTAATGCAATGTTAGTGGAATGATTCTGTTTAATTTTTGGATTATCGTATTTCACTTGTAGAATTTTATATCAATATTTTCGTTAACAATTTATATTATCTAGTAATTAATAAGTTGAATGAGTTTCCTTTGCATTATATGCCAGTTTTTTACAGTACATAGCTATCAATTTAAATTTTTTTCTACTTGGTTTGAAAATATTTTTAGAAAATAAACCCATTAAATGAACTTTATTTCTAATTAATGATGCATTTATGATACATTTAGGAATCATATTTCATTTAAACCAAAATATTTTAGAGCCTTTTTTCTAGTATTAATTAATATAAAGCTAGCATGCATAATAGTAACAAAATAGCAATAATAATTGTAGTGATATACATTTTAATTTGCCATTAAGTCAACTTAAAAATATTTATGTTGATTAAAGTCATGCAAATGGGACTTGCAAACCCTTCTATGCTTTTACATTCAATGCATATGCAATTGCACTATGCTGAAGGTACTGTGCTGTGCTGAATCCCTCTTTTTCTCCTGATACTTCAGGGAATAAGGATAGCACAGAAAGAGCTCAGAACCTCAGGGAGGGAGGAAGGTCACCATCAATAAACAGCTGTATGCATTCAAGGCAGATATATATGAGAGGAAACTTTTTAAAATTAGAGCAGTTTTACTTCTAAGCATTAGTGCTTCTGTTTTTCACATAAGAGAAAGTAAATAAGATATAGACTTTCCTAGAACACTCAGTTATAGCACTTGAGAGAGAGAGAAAAAAACCTTGAAGTCAATAGAATTTAGGTCACTGCTAAATTAATATTTTCTCTATGGATATTCCTCTACCAATCACTTTTATACAAACTTCACATCTAAGTTTTTAGTTCAAAATATATTGAAAATCTTACTTTTCCATTGACGCTCCATTAGCAGGAGCAAACTCCACTGCATCAATGTCTGAGAAGCTATTTTAAAGCAAGGAGGAGATTGTCGGACCTTTGTACCTAACAAAAAATCATCCTGATTTTATTTTTAAGTCACGCCTGATGCACTCTTTCCACAATGCCCCCTTGACTTCTGCTTCCTCAGAAGTTTAAATCTCTGCAACATGTGAAGTTGGTCACCAAGACATGGGTAGCTCTACCTTAGTTTTTTCTATAATGTGTGGTGCTGAGCATATTTTGTTCTTCATATATCCTAAATAAATTGGCCTCAGAGGTCTAAACAGGGCTTCACATACTGAACTTGCATCCCTCCTAACACCATCTGCATGTCCATTACCATATTCCTTTATTTATATCAATCATGTTTTGTATATGGGAAATAAAATGGGAGAAATTACATTTCTCTTTCTTATTGACCCAGGAACCAGAAATTATGAATATTTATTCTTTTCTTATAGAGTCAACTGTAGTCATTGTTTCTCTTGTGATCTTTATAAAATATCACTAAGAAGAATATGGAGGCCTTGTTTTACACATATTGGCATTCTTCAAGTTATGAAAATCTGTGCACAATAAACTCTGTTATCTTTTCTCTTTCCTACATTTTCATTTCATCTCCCCGATCTTACCCATAAGCAAATAAACATGCTGTCTCCTATCTGAACAAAGGAGGATCCTTTATTTGATCTTAGAGCTACAATCTTTTCTCCTATTCATCTTCACAGCCAAACTGTTTGAAAGTGTAGTCCCTACATGTTGTTTACTTTGTGATATGGCTTGGCTTTTTGTTCCCCACCCAAATCTCACCCTGAATTGTAATAATCCCCACATGTCATGGGAGGGACCTGGTGGGAAGTAACTGAATCAGGGGTGAGTTTTTCCCATGCTGTTCTCGTGATAGTGAATAAGTCTCACGAGCTCTGATGGTTTTATAAAGGTGAGTTCCCCGGCACATGCTCTCTTGCATGCTGCCATGTATGACGTGACTTTGCTTCCTCATTCACTTTTCACCATGCTGTGAGGCCTCCACAGGTATAAGGAACTGTGAGTTCATTAAACCTCTTCCTTTATAAATTACCCAGCCTTGGGTATGTCTTTATCAGCAGGGTGAGAACAGACTAAAACACTTTTATTAAAATCAAATTCACTCTTGAACCTACCAGTAATCCAGTTCTGTCCAATTTTAGCTCTGAAAATCTCATGACTCAGGAAAACCCTCATTCCTAGACAAATTGGAAAAGTTTCTCACCCTGAACTCCTCCTCCTCCCCACATAATCTTCACCTCCAATCACTCTCCAAATTTGGATAAACTTCCTATGCTTAATGCATTCTCTCCTTTTCATCTACGCTGTTTCCTAGCTCAAATTCTCATCCACTCATAGCCTGTTATATTAGATTCCTCACATGACTGACTCTCTTACTTCCTTATCAAAATCATCTTCTAAAAAGGGGACAAATAAAAGCAAAATTCTAAGGCCCTCCCCCAGCCAACTGAATGGAACATCTCTTAGCCAACAGGACCCCAGAGTAACCTTGAAAACTGAGCTCTCAGCCAGGACAGGATGGTGTTCAGACAAGCCTCCTCATACTCCCTCCCTCCAAAATGACCATTAGCCTTGCTTCCCTAAGTGCTAAACAGAAACCAGCCCTTTCTTTCTTTGATTTTTTTTTTTTTCTGAGATGGAGTTTTGCCCTTGTTGCCCAGGCTAGAGTGCAATGGCATGATTTCGGCTCACTGCAACTTCCGCCTCCTGGATACAAGCGATTCTCCTGCCTCAGCCTCCCAAGTAGCTGGGATTACAGGCATGCACCACCGCACCCAGCCAATTTTGTATTTTCAGTAGAGATGGGGTTTCACCATGTTGGACAGGCTGGTCTGGAACTCCTGACCTCCAGTGATCCACCTGCCTTAGCCTCCCAAAGTGGTGGGATTACAGGCGTGAGCCACTGCACCCAGCCGAAACCAGCCCTTTCAAAAGACCTCAATACTGATATCAACCAGCCACCTGATACTGCCCTTCCTCTTTTAGCCTGATAAGAGACCACTGACCATGAAGTGGGTCTGGCCAGTCCATGGAACATGTGCAGTAAGGGTTTTCATGTCCTCCACTTCACCTTCCGATGTTAGGCGGCTGAAAACTCCAGCCTTGGATCATGCTAAAACTGCCATTTTTGGTACATGGGACCCATGAAGGGGCATGAATGTATACTGTGCATGTGCATGATTCACCTTTCATAAATAGTCATGACTCCTCCTCAAGCTTATGAAATATTCACATACCCAACTCAGCATAAATTCCTGTTCCCTTTGCTCCTCCCTCGAAGTATCTATTTCTGGCTTCTGGCTGGAGGCTATGCTTTCCAGCTTGTCCGAATGGCCACCCTGCAGACTGTAACCCCTTATGAGGAATTTATTTTCCAAATTTATGAACCTTGTCACTCTTCAGTTGACAAGGTAAATCCGATTATGTCACCCTGTTTGCTTAATGCTCTTTAATTCTCTCGGAAATAGTTTAAGACTTTAATCAAATACGTCATGATCTTGTTTTGTCTCTGTACATTCTTGCCTATCATGCCTCTTTTTCCTTAAGCTCTTTCCATTTATATCATTACTGTCAGAACATGCCATTGCAGCCTCACATCTCTATGGCTTTGAGCATGTATTGCCCTCTCCTAAATCTACCCCTCTCCAGATGACCTATATATCCTACTTACCCTCCAGATCTTAGCTCAAGCCTAGGCTCCTTTGAAAGCCATCCACACTCTTCCAGCAGATATGAATCCTCCTCCTTGCTTTCCCCCTGTATTTAGATAGTCTTCCATTTTATTAACGCATGTCTCATTTCATCAAAATAATCTCTCGTTTCTCTTCCTTTACCTAGCTAAAAGATCCTTAAGGAGGGGGCACAGTGTGTATTTCCCTTTTGTATCCCATGAACCAGCAGAGCTTCTATCGCAATAAATAATTGTTGAAATAATGCTTAATGAGATAATCATATTATTTTTACCTGATCACATTTGGAAGGCAGAATGGATACAAGTGCATAGAAAGGATCTTGTAATTATGAACTTTTTACTGTTCTTTTGCCCTGAATGCCCTTGCACAATCACTTTTTAAGTCATATTCCATACCCAAAGAATGACCGAGAGTAATCAGACTTATCAAAAGCTGGGAAAAAAAGTGAATGATTTGCTTACTGTTCTTGCATCCCATATAGACAGGGTCTTGTCTGCAGAGCTTGTGAGAAGAGTATTGGAGAAAGGAAAAAACTCAATGCTGTTCACAGAATCTGTATGTCCATACAAAGTACATCTGCATCTTTCACTATAAAGAGAGAAATTAAGAATTTTAGGAGTTAGTATCTATGCTGTCTATACAATGCTAATAAAAATAATTTAAGGAACTGAGGCATGAAATAATTTTATTAATGGCAAAAATTTTACAATAACAACATTTTAAAAGTAAAATTCTATAGCTACCTTATATTCTCAGCACTTTATACGATTAGTAGCATAAAACTACACTCAAATTACCTTCAATTTATGGAATCACTTGGTAAAGTCATCTTTATACTATCTCATTTATACTTTACCATGAAATGACAGTATAAAAATTATCCCCACATAATAGAGGAATATGTTTAAAAAATTTTGCACTAATTCATCAGACAAAATAAACTTTTTCAGTCATTACTTTTCTTAATTGCTTCTCCGACTTGGTTATATATTAGAATCACCTGAGGCACTTCAGTGGCTACCAGAGACTGGGGGAGGGAAAAGAGACGGGAGAATAGGGAGAGACTGGTCAGTGGGTACAAAGTTACAATTAGATAGGAGGAATAAATTTTGGTGTCCTGTTGCACAGTAGGGTGACTATGGTTAACATTAAAATATTGTATATTACAAAACAGCTAGAAGAAACGCTTTTGAAAGTTCTCGCCACAAAGAAGTGGTAAATGCATGAAGTGATGGATACAGTCACTACCCTGATTGGATCTCTCTACACCACAGATATGTATTGAAACATCAAATTGTACCCCATATGTACAATTATTAATGCACCGATTAATTACTTAAACCAAAAAAAAAAAAAAAAGACAAAATACTCATACCCAGTCTCAAGCCCTAGACATTCTATGCCAATTGATGATGGAGCCTGGGAATTAATTAGTGGATTAATGCCTCTCCTGGTAATTATAATATGCCTTTAGGGCTGAGAATTTAAACCCAGTGGTTTTTAAAATTTTTTACCCAGACTAGCAGTATCACTGTCACTTGGAAACGTGTCTGAAATGCAAATTCTCAGGCGTCATCCCAAACCTATTGAATCAGAAACTCTGGAGGAGGCCCCAGCAATCTGTGTTTTAGCAAGCTCTTCAAGTGATTCTGATACATGTTAAAGTTTGAGAACCACTGATCTAAACTATTAGAAATGACCCAGAAGAAAGGGATAACTGCAGCTGTGTTTTTTTTGCCATTTTACGAAAAGGCTGTTTCTCAATGAAACGGAGTATACATAGAGCAATACCACTCCTCATGTGTAATGACTGATTGCTCTTAAATAACTTTATTTATAAACCTACTTTTAAAATAGAGAACAAATAGAATCAGGATAACTAGTAAGTACTCAGAACAGAGGAGTCAATATAAATGCATTCCTAATATAATAATCAGTCAGTTGGCCCAGGCATTGTGGCTCAAGTCAGTAATCCAACCACTTTGGGAGGCCGAGGCAGGAGACCACCTGAAGTCAGGTGTTCGAGACCAGCCTGACCAACATGGTGAAACCCCATCTCTACTAAAAATACAAAAATTAGCCTGACGTGGCGGCATATGCCTGTAATCCCAGCTACTCGGGAGGCTGAAGCAGGAGAATCGCTTGAATCTGGGAGGCAGAGGTTGCAGTGAGCAGAGATCACACCACTGCACTCCAGACTGGGTGACAGAGCGAGATGCCCTCTCGAGGAAAAAAAAAAAAAAAAAAAAATATATATATATATATATATATATATATATGTAAGTATAAAAATATATATATATAAGTAAGTATATATATACATATGTATAAATCAGATAGTTAATCTTTGATTAGTTCCTCTGTGGCTTGAACCAAGCCATGTACAATAATATAGTGTAGTGGGCAAAACTCTGCAATGGGAGCCAGGAGACTGAATTCCAGTCCTGACTTTGGCAAGAACTAGCATGGTAACCGTTTAACTTTAGTGGCCGTAAATTTTCTTCTTGTGTGAATGAAATTATTTACCTGATGCACTCGGTGATCCTGTCCAGCTCCTACATTCTGAGATCAAAGTTAGAAATGTAAAATGGGAAGGAAGAAGTCAGCTTGAGTACAGCACATATGAACTGTAAGAAGCAAAATATGCCCTTCCTTTCTTAAATGTCAGCATTTTTGAGACATCAAAAGATATGAAAATTTGCATGTATATGAATATGTATGTAAATTATTTAGCAACACTTCCCTTTCTCATCAAAGCTAAGTATTACAGTAATAAGTATTTGGAGCAAGAATATAAAATCAATACATCAGGAATATTTTGTATTAGTTTCCTTACCTCAGTATTTCACAGATAGGCTGATAATATTTTAATCACTAAAGTTGATGATGTGTATACCAGGGGTCAACAAACCACGACCCAGAACTGACTGCTTATTTTTGTAAATAAAGTTTTATTGGAATATGCCAGTCTGTTTACATATTGTCTATTGCTGCTTTCCCATTACAGTAACAGAGTTGCATAGCCACAACAGAGATAATATGGTCCACAAATCAAAAATATTTAATTCATAGCCCTTTGAAGAAAAGTTTGCTGACCCAAGAAGTATACCAATATATTAGAATATTTACGAGTATACTTGGGTTTTACTTATGACATTTAATCTTTTTTGAGGAGAGTGCCAAAACTTACAGAATAAGTTATTTTCTTTTAAAAAATTACTGTTTTATGTACAAATTTTACCTGCTATTTTTAATGAATCTAAAAATGTAAGTATGAACATTTTTTAAGTTTCTATTCCAAAGCCCACTATCTTGAAATAATCATCTTTAAATATTAGTATAATTACTGTAGTTATAGCTCTATGGAGAGACAGAGAGGTGAGGTGGGAGAGAAAAAGAGAGAGATAAAAATTAAGAATTTTATTCCTATTATATTAAAATGGTAAATTATTAAATTATATGAAATTTAACAATAAAATAAGTATAACTAAAGGCATTGCTGAAAGTCACGTAGATACTTTCTTACTACAAGACAAGATCTATCACTATCTAAAAGATAACATTAAGAAAAATATTAAAGTATATTATTTTAATAACATTTCATTTATAAAAAGTATAGTGAAAAAAGGAAAATAACGTATTTATGTTCCTCCCACTTTCTTTTTACTCACCTCTGAAATTTAAAAAAATCTTATTGTTAAATTTAGAATATCAAAAATCATCACATATTTTGATCTGTAATCACAAAGCTCAAACTCAGCGTCCCTCCTTCCCCATCTTCCTAGTGTTTAATATATGTTTAAATTAATCCTCTGCATCCATACTTTTATACAGTTTAATGATTATTCAGTACTTCAACAGCAGTTTCGCTGGTTATAATTTCTTGGGTCACCTGACCTCCTCAAATGTTTGTGGAGAAACAATTCACTGTTAGAGTACTGCAAAGTCTGAGGTCAGTCTAGTCTCTCCAATCTCCCATCCAACCTTCTTTGGGGTTCGTTTGCTGTTTACACCCAAGAGCCCTTACAGTTTCTTTCCCAAATACTGAAGTTCAGAAATTTTAGCACAGCATACCCTAATGGAAAGGTCCACCTATTATGCCTAGACTTTTATTATTCCAGGAAAGTTTCTTCCCCTGTGACTTTTTTTTCTCTTTCTCCTCAATTTAGTCCATTTATTTTGTTTAGAAACACTATGTCCTTTTTTGTCTAATTTGCCTTTACGTTTAATATTTTCTCTACAATTCTTATTTTTTTCATTTTTAATATCTGTTCTTTATAACTCTCAATTATGTTTATTCTATTTGTGTGTTGGGTAGGGGAAGAGCAATCAAAAGCTTTTATTTCTGTTTTCTAGTTCACTTGTTTCCTGATCTTTTTCAGTCTGCTTTTTATTTGCATCTATCATCTTACAAATCATAATAAAATATTTTAACTCTTTTGACATTTTATTATATAAAAACAATTTAAAATATAGCATTTCAGTAATTTCTTTGGAAACAGAGTACTTTTGTGTGAATTATTGATTTCATATCTTTACTCAGGTGATTCCTTTATGCACTTCATGTTCTTCACTGAAATTTGGAGTTTTATTCATTTACTCTTCAATTTTTGCAATTCTTTATAAAATCTGGTTGGTTTCTTTTTATTATGACTTACGAGGACAGCTATTGGGGGATAGCTGTTTTCTAAAGATTAATGGCAAAAGGTGGGAAAATTAATTGGCAGAAGGAGAGAAAGGCACTGACTTCTATTCAGATTTGTTGTCTCCTACAAAATCTTTTCACCTCGTGTGCTGTTGACCCAATCCCTGACGTGTATCTCTTCTCCATTTTTTTGCTTTACTTTCAAGTACAGATGTATGTAGTATGTTGCAATACCCGTAGCATCACAGGCTCTATTTTAACTCTCAATGAGCCTGCCTCCCTCACGACCCTCATTCTGCCTCATCTATGGCAATCTGCTTTATCTCTTTTATCTAACAATAAAAATGGCTTGTTAGGATTTATGCTTCCAACTGTGATAAAGTAACCAGTTTCTGTACTTCTCTTATAATAAGCAACTGTAAAATTACACACATTATCTAAAGTAAATTTTTACTGGCATTGAACTAAACATAGCACAGGAATATAATCCTTAAGAGAAGGAAAAACTCAAAATGAGCTCTGTAACCTCCATGACTTTCTGCTTGGATGCACTTTTTACTATCAAATACGGAAATAGAGCCCAGTAGAACTGAAGTTTCACTGAGTTGAGAAGCAGCGAGAAAAGTCTGGGCTTCTGAGTTGCTTAAAATTTGGAGTGTAGGGTAGCTGACAAAAGGGAGCTGAGCTGGGAATGGCAGTAGTTTGTGTGAGGATTCACCATGAATTTTGGGCGAACGTCTAGATGGCATTTTCATAGAGTAAGATTCCACAAGGTCTAGCAGAGATTTCCTGCTCTATGGTTGATTGCTGAACAATGATACCAGAGATTAGCTACTGCTAGAAAGAATACTCTGGAGTTTAATCCTGGGTGAAGTGGAGATAATTTACTGCATATCTCAGACTCTCACTTGGAGATTCAAGAAAGGCTCCACTATAGGGGTACGGGTAAGGTTCATAAACTAAATTCAAAACAAAAGTAGAGTTCTACTACCAATGAATAAAACTATGCCTGAAAGGGCAAAAATGATCTTCCCATAATTAAACTGCTCCTTACAACAGAACTCAATACCTTTTCCAGGAGAAAACCTAATATAGATTTCTCCAAATTAGTCATTAACAACATCTAGCATGTATTTTTTTTTTTTTTTTGAGATGGAGTCTTGCTCTGTTGCCCAGGCTGGAGTGCAGTGGCACGATCTTGGCTCACTGCAACCTCTGTCTCCCCGGTTCAAGCGATTCTCCTACCTCAGCCTCTGGAGTAGCTGGGGCTACAGGCCTGTGCCAGCACACCAGGCTGATTTTTGTATTTTTAGTGGAGACAGGGTTTCACCATGTCGGCCAGGCTGGTGTCGAACTCCTGACCTCAAGTAATCCACCCACTTTGGCCTCCCAAAGTGCTGGGATTACAGGCGTGAGCCACTACACCCAGCCCCAGCATGTAATTTTTTTTTTTAAATGCTACATATGTACATAAGTGGAAAGGTAAAAATGTAATCCATACACAAGAAAAATAAAAAAATACATAGAACAGAACAGACTCTGAATCAAACATTGGAAATCAAAGACCAAGACTACAAATGATTTATTATTATTATGTTCAAAGATTTAAAGAAACATATAGTTATAATGGGTGCACAGATAGAGAATCTCAGAAGGTAACTGCAAACCATAAAAAAAGAGGTCTATGTAAGAATGGATAAGTAAATGTGAAATTAAAATGTTAGCTGGGTGAGCAAAATATCAGATTGGGTACTGAAGGAAAAAATAGTAGTGAGAATGAAAAGAGATTAATAGAAATTATCTGATTTGAAGAACAGAAAAAATATTGAAAAACCATGGATTACAGTCTCAATAATCAGTAGAAAAATATTACAAGGTCTAACATAAGTATAATTGTGTTATCAGAGAGGGGTGAAGAGAAGGAGGGAGGGAGATGAGGTAGAAATATTTTTGCAGAAATGATGGCTAAAATCTTCTGCAATTTAATGAAAACTATCAACATTGATATTTTTCATGTCAACATTCCTATCAATATTCATATCAAGATTGAAAAAGCTCAGCAAAATCCAAACATGCTTAACAACAGAAAGAATGCACCTAAGTATATAATAGTCAACTGTCAAAAGCAAAACATAAAACAAAATCTCTAAAGCAGCCACAGATAAACATAATGTGCAGAGCAATTATACAAATAGCAACTGACATTTTAACAGAAATAATGGAGGCAGATCACTTTTTTGAGGGCTGAAAATTCAATATTCAGCCCAGAATTCCTTCAATAACGAGAATAAAACATTTTTTAGATAAATAAAACCTGATAAAGTCATTGACAGCAGATGTTTTCTACCAGAAAGGCTGAAAAGAAGTTATTCAGATTAAATTGAAATGACAACAGATGGAAACATTTGCATACAAAAAGAATGTATACCAAACTTTTTAATTTCACACATTTTTTTTTTTTGTAGAGATAGAGTCTTGCTATATTGTCCAGGCTGGTCTCAAACTTGTGGCCTCAAGAAATCTTCCAGCTTTGGCCTCCCAAAATGCTGGGATTGCAGGCACGAGCCACCATCCCTGGCCATATTGTTTTGTTTTAACTGAGGCATTTCAATCTGTAAAGAATTATGCTCTAACTTAAAAAAAAATTCATATACCAAATCTTCCATTAATTAGACTAAAAATTATTTTTATTTGCAGTTTTATTAGTATTTTTAGGCAAATGCAACATTATTATAAATATAAGTACATTTGTGTTATTACAATGATAATCTAACAAATGTATATACACAGAGAATTTATAATCTAGTAATATGTGTCCTTACATCTATATGATATACACTATTGGTAAAATGCTGTACACATTCATAATTTATATTCAGACTTTGTTGTCATTATTACCCAATTAAATGATTCAGGAACACTTTATATTCACTTATGGTGGTGGGGGGGAAGGAGCAATTCTTCAATGATATATTACAGCTCACATAGTTTCCGAAACAAAATAGAAAAGCTAGGTCTTCACATAGCTCAAGGGAAGAAAGTACTGCTCAAGAGGGTAAGAAATCTGCTCGTGAGTCACTGGCTTAAGGTGTGGGGCATCCCTGGCAGACAGGCTGCAAGAGTAGGCTTGTGAAAGATTAATTAGCTGCCAGAGAAGGAAGGCCCATTCAGAATTTCTTTGGAAGGTGAAAATGGACTAAAGTGATGGAGCATGACAGCACTGCAAAGAATGAAAATGATTTGTACATTTCCATCAAAACATAAACACTGAAGTCTCATGCAATTTTCTGTTTCTTATCTTTTTTTTCTATCATTTTTTAGGAAGAAGTTCACAAGCAATAGCTCTTTCTTAACTTACGTCTTGGTTTTCCTTTATTTCCTTTCATCTCCTCTCTTTTCTCTTTCCTTGCTGCTTTAATTTGTTATTTTGGTAACTGAATGATAAATATTTCTCTAAACTTTCAACTTGCTGTAAAGCAGATTTGTCTACTCTTCCAGGTCAGATACATCTTTATTTAAAATGCATCTCCCATACATATGTTAACTCTAAAAGGACACTGTTTTAACACAGAGTTCCTTTGTGAAACATTAAATTTTAGGGTTTTTATTTCCTTTGATATGTTTGTTTTAATACTACTAATATTGAATACAAAGTTGTAACTTAAAATTCAGGCTTGTAGGAATATGCAGGTCAACAAAATGTGGCTAATAGAATTATGAAACATTGATATAAAGACAGTAGCAAGATATTTTTTAAGTGAACATGAAAAAAAGATTAAAAAATATCTATCCGTGTTTTCAAAGGGAATACTAGAATTCATTACCATATTAACCCTTAGTAAGAGCTGGATTTTAAATAGCATTTATATAATTGAACCAAAATAAAATGATAAAATCTATCATGAGTTTATCTGAGATAAAATTATTCATGAAATACCTACTCTAACAATCCAACATGAACATAAGTGAAACCTATTTAAATCCCTAGACTGCAATTCATAACATCCAAGTTCATGAGGGATTTTCCTCACCTCCTAGTTTTCTGTAAAGGTTTATATATAAGCTATTTTTAAAATTCACAAGAATTTTGCACCTTAGCCAGGCAAAGTCCTCGAGTGACACCCAAATTTTACTTCAAAAGTCAAGAATACTTTTATAATGAAAACATTTATTTGTTTTATATTGTCAAAAATAATATAAAATAATTCATCATGTGATAGTTCCTTTCTTTGTAGCCATGAAATTCAGTTGGTTATTCAGTGGAGACGTGAGATCTAAATAAAATCTACCATGGAGTCTGCCGCAAGCTCTACCATAAGATTCACCACAGTCTGTGTCTGTATGAAAATCACGTGGTCTGAGCATCTCAGCCAGGTTGGATCATGGCCAGGCCACAGCTCCTAAACAAAAGAAGTTCTTGGCCAAAACCCTCGATGATAAAAATATACTAATAAATTGAACATTGTTCCCAAATGGTCATAAAAATCCACCTCACATAAAAGGCAGACCCCTAACAACCTCAAGTACCTGGAACACGGGCAGGATCTTGGGTCTAAAAGCAAAAGGTGAACAAATAAAATGATCATAGTAGAGCTAGCAACTCAGAGTGCCTTCAAGTCCTCACTCAGCCTTGTTAAATAGTCAACTGAAACATTTTCGCAAAGAATATGGGTGCAGGAGGGCTGGGGTTAAAAGGCCAGAGTAGCACAAACTAACAGTGAGAAAAAGTGGAAGCTTGGCAGTAAACTGGAAAACCGAAAATATAAAACAAAAAGAAGACCAAATATTAAAATAGCAACCTGAGGCAGGCTGATAAAGATCAAAACAAACAGCTTTATAACTCAACACTTCCTACATCTTACATTATAATTTAAGCAGACATTTATTGAGTGCTTAGTGTTCTAAGCAATTTACATAATTAAATAACAACAATGTGAAAATACGGTCGACCCTCATTATTTGTGATTTCATATTTGCGAATTTGCCTATTTAATAAAATATATTTGTAATCACAAATATTCTCTCTTTGCTCAAATGCTAGCCAGGCTCCTCGGAACTCCCTGACTAGGTCTCATGCTTGGCCTATAAAATCTACAGGCTGTCAGCGAACATGAAATTCTCCCACCCTCCTATGAAAAGACTTGAATAAGCACTAGATCAAGCCTGCATCCCTAGGATGACCCAGCCCCATTTAAGATCCTGCCTGGGGAAGCTCATGGCTGCCAAAAGAATTGACTACTCCAGCCCACACCTGATGATAAGCCGCGGACACCTTTTTTAGGGCTGCCAAAAGAATCGACTACTCTAGCCCACACCTGATGATAAGCCCCGACACCTTTTTTAGAGCATTTACTACAAAGGTCTTACAATTGTGGATCCTTCCTTTATCCCTTTGAGATACCTATGTGTCTCCTACAATTAAGGAGTATGTTTCTCAAAGGACCTGAAAGCCATTCTCTTAAAATGTAAATATCAGGAGGAACAGCTTGCCTCCCCGTCTCTGCTGGAGGATTGAATCATTTACAGTGACCAACACTTTGTAATTTTTTGCTACCCTGACTCTACTGAGTCCCTGCTCACCCTTCTCCCTATTCTACAATTCTCTCTTTAAAATGCCCAGTCCTCCTTGTACAAATCTAAGTTGAATTCAGGTCACGCCAGACCCTCTTCCCTTCTGCAGCAGTATATTACTGATTACCACCTGATCTTACCACTTTAACTAGTGTCCAGCTTTGTTGATCTTTGACAGTAACTCCCAAATTATACTCACAGCCCTTTTTGCTCATTTGTAGACACAGGCATGGGCAGAAGCTTGAAAAATTTGAGTCACCTGATGTGCATGTTCCCATTTGTGTTGAAACTAGGCAAAGCCCTACCTTTGTGTTTCAACTCTCATACTATAAACAGGGTGGCTTTAACAGTCTATTTATTGCCATGTTTTTCATGCTTCTGTGATTTTTTGTTGGTGATTTCCCTATTTAAAACAGCCCTTGGCTGTAGCGCTATGTGCTGTCTAGTGATCCTAAATGCAAAAAGGCTGTGATGTGTCTTAGAGAGAACGTACATTTGTCAGTAAGCTTTGTTCACACACAAGTGATAGTGCTGTTGTCTATGTGGTCCATGTTAATGATTCAACTATATATATTAAATAAATTATCTTTAAATAGGAACATACACAAAACAATGCAGGTATTGATTGGTTGATGAATCAGCTTCCAGGAAATTAACCCCTGTATTTCCCCTCAAAACAATAATCCAGTATTTACTAATTCAGTGTTTGTGGTGACTTTATAGAATATAACTGCCTTGAATAACAAGAACTAACAACACTTATAATTTCCCCAATTAACAGAGAAGGAAACTGAGGTAGAAGGAACCTGAGTAACACTCAACATTACACAATAGTAGAGGCAGGATTTTATCCCAAACAGTTGGTTTAAGACTATGTTCTTTTAACCATTATACTACCTTCCTGATTGTTCACATAAGATTAATATCAACTGAGGAACTTAGATCATCAAGAATTGATGAAATTATGCTCTATAGGCAGAAAACATATACATTGTATAGAAATTATCTTTAATAAATAGACACTATTTGCTTACAGGTGAAATGGCCACTATCTAGAAAATTAATTTATATTAACCGATCTCCCACAGTGTCAGATAAGTCCATTTCTGTGGATTAGAAACATTTTTAAATATATTAACTGGTCTAATACAGTGGTACACTGCAGTTGACTCGTACTGGTTCACACGGGAAAATGGTATACATTGCTTCCCAACTTCACATTCAGCAACTTCAGGTTGATCCTCTGAAATGTGTTATGGTGAGGGTATTTACACTACGGAAGTTGTCAAATGCTACATATCGAGGCCTTTATTATTCTGAGAGTGGGCTTGCAAGCACACCACTATTGGATGCCTAATATTCTCAATGCGATAATTTTATGTGTCAACTTGACCAGGATAAGTATGTCCAGATGGTAAAATGTTACTGCTGGGTATGTCTGTGAAGGTGTTTCTAGAAGAGATTAACATTTGGATCAGTAGACTGAGTAAAGGAGATGTCCCTCGCCAATGTAAGAGGGCACCATTCAATCCATTGAGGGCATAAATATAACTAAAATGGTGAGTTTGCTCTTTGCTCAATCTGGGACATCCATATTCTCCTGCTGTCGGATATCAGAGCTCCTGGTTCTCAGGCCTTTGAACTTGGACCAGGACTTAGAGCACTGACTGCCTTGGTTCACAGACCTTCAGGTTTGGACTGGAACTGTACCACTGGCTTTCCTGTGCCTCCAGCTTGCAGACAGCACATCGTGGGACTTCCTGCCTCCATAATTGCATCTATCTCTCTCTCTCTCTTTCTCCTATTGGTTCTGTTTCACTGGAGAACCCTGATTAATACAGTGTTTATCTAGAATTTATTTACCTTTTATAATTACACTAATTTTTAAAATATTTCTCGAATAATTCCATTTATTATCTAATCATTTTATCCATGTGTTCACTTGAGTTCCCCTTGCCTTATTTATTGTTTTGTTTTTTATTTATTTTTAATCCAGCCCATTTGATACTGAGACTCAGAAGAGTAAGAATGAATGTGAGCTATATGTAAGTGCCTCAATTCTTAAGGATGCAATAGTAAACTATTTCTTTATTAATACACAAATATATGGTTTGGCTGTGTCCCCACCCAAATCTCATCTTGAATTGGAGTTCCCATAATTCCCACATGTCGTGGAGGGACCTAGTGGGAGATGATTGAATCAGGGAGATAGTTTCCCCCATACTGTTCTCTTGGTAGTGAATAAGTCTCAAGACATCTGATGGTTTTATAAGGGGAAACCCCTTTCGCTCGGCTCTCATTCTCTCTTGTCTGCCACCATGCAAGCTGTGCCTTTCACATTCAGCCACAATTGTGAAGCCTCCTCAGACACATGGAACTGTGAGTCCATTAAACCTCTTTTTCTTTATAAATTGCCCAGTCTCAAGTATGTCTTTATCATCAGCATGAAAACGGACTAATACGCACAAACTCTTACTTTACTCTGAAATGTAAAATAAGAATGTGTGTATTAATAAAGAAATAGTTTACCATTGAGTCCTTATTTTACTTTACTTTCAGTGTAAAGTAAAATAAGAGTTATTTACACAGATTTTTTACAGAGTTTAGGTTTGATGCCTGTCATCCGTACCATCAAGGTATGTACTGCATGTGCCACAGTCTAAACTAGTTTAAAATATTATTTTACCTGAATATTATAAAGGACAGTAAGAGCTAAAAGTGAAATGTCACATTGCTGAGTGATTCTCTTGGTTTGGGTTTCTGAAAGTTAATAGACTAAGTAAAATGGTTACATATACTTTACAATCTGTGCCTTATGATGTGGAACTATGAAAGTCAATCCTTCATGTGCCTGAACCCCAGACCTGGGTAAGAAAGAATGAAAGCTCATAGTTTCAATCATACAGTGCTGTTTTTTAATGTTCTGCAGTTAAATCACTTTTAGCTTCTAAAAATTCCATGACTTAAAACCATCAAGGAACCATTTAATGTTTTGTTTTATAGATAAATAGATAGATAGAAAAGGTCAACAGAATTGTTTTGAGGCATATATTTCCTTCAAAAAACTTTAAACACAAAAGGAAATAAATTAGCTTTAAAGATGCTTGGGAATAACTTCATTGTTAACTGTAAGTTGATAAAGAAGTATAACCTCATAAACTCTAAATTCAAAAACCTCTTCTAAAATATTTTATTCAAACTTCTTTCTATCAATTAATTTAATGCAATATGTTCACATGTAGCCACAATGATACATTCAAATTTTATGTCTGTTTTCCTTTCCATATCTACCTCCTGAAAGAGATCTTAGAAAGCAGATATTGGGAACAGGAAAAGTTAATGACAAAGGCAAGATCTCTAGCTCTAGTAGTTTGGCTATTAGAGAGTAAAGGGCCCAGCAAGCATAGAATAAAGGAGAAAAAGCCTGGCTGAAATGAAGGCGAAAACGCTTAGGTTATCCAGGGGCTTGATTGTCAGAGAAAAAAAAAATCTATTTAACCCACCTGTTTCCTCATGCGCAGAGCTTGCCTTCAAAGCTCAGTATCTTCTGACCATAAAGAGCTAGAAACCCGAATGGACCCACAACACACATCACTATCACATTATCCTGTTTATTTCCTTTTTAGCACCAATCACTAGCTGAATTTAGCTTATTTATTTATGTTCTTGTTCCCTCTTACACTTGTCAGCCCTGTGTAGAGTTAAACACTCCATGAGGACTCTGGCCTTATATGTCACAATCCATCACTTAACAGTTGTACATAGCTAGCCCAGAGTGGGTACTCAATAAATATTTATTTTTAATGAAACGACAAATCTTCGTGTTCTCTGAAGAGACACCATTACTTCCTATATTAGTCTGTTTTCATGCTGCTGATAAAGACATACTCAAGACTGTGAAGAAAAAGAGGTTTCATTGGACTTACAGTTCCATATGGTAGGGGAGCCCTCAAAATAATGGCCCAGGAGTGAAAGGCAGCAACAGAAAATGAGGATGATGCAAAAGCGGAAACCCCTGATAAAACCGTCAGAACTCGTGAGACTTATTCAGTACCCTGAGAACAGTGTGGGGGAAACCGCTCTGATAATTCAAATGATCTCCCACTGGGTCCCACCCACAACAAGTAGAAATTATGGGAGTACAATTCAAGATGAGATGTGGGTGGGGACACAGAGCCAAACCATATCATTCTACCCCTGGCCCCTCCAAATCTCATGTCCTCACATTTGAAAACCAATTATGCCTTCCCAACAGTCCCCCAAAGTCTTAACTCATTTCAGCATTAACTCAAAAGTCCACAGTCCAAAGTCTCATCTGAGACAAGGCAAATCCCTTCCACCTATGAGCCTGTAAAATCAAAAGCAAGCTAGTTACTTCCTAGATACAATAGGGGTACAGGTATTGGGTAAATACAGCCCTTCCAAATGGGAGAAATTGGCACAAACAAAGTGGTTACAGGGCCCATGCAAGTCTGAAATCCAGTGAGGCAGTCAAATTTTAAAGCTCCAAAATAATGTCCTTTGACTCCAAGTCTCACATCCAGGTCACGCTGATGCAAGAGGTAGGTTCCCATGGTCTTGGGCAGCTTCACCCATGTGGCTTTGCAGGGTACAGCCTCTCTCTCAGCTCCTTTCATGGGCTGGCATCGAGTGTCTGTGACTTTGCCAGGCAAACAGTGCAAGCTTCCAGTGGATCTACCATTCTAGGGTCTGGAAGACGGTGGCCCTCTTCTCACAGCCCCACTAGGCAGTGCCCCAGTAAGGACTGTGTATGGGGGCTCCAGCCACACATTTCTCTTCCACACTGCCCTAGCAGAGGTTCTTCATGAGCACCCTGCCCCTGCAGCAAACTTCTGCCTGGACATCCAGGCATTTCCATACATGTTCTCAAATCTAGGCAAAGGTTCCCAAGCCCCAGTTCTTGACTTCTGTTTACTTGTAGGCTCAACACCACGTGGAAGCTGCCAAGGACTGGGGCTTGCACCCTCTGAAGCCACAGCCCAAGCTCTACATTGGACCCTTTCAGCCATGGCTGGAGCATCTGGGATGCAGGGCAAAAAGTCCTTAGGCTGCATACAACATGGGGATCCTGGGCCAGGCACATGAAACCATTTTCTCCTAAGCCTCCTAGCCTGTGATGGGAGGGGCTGCCGTGAAGACCTCTGACATGCCCTGGAGACATTTTCCCCATTGTCTTGGGGATTAACATTCCCCTCGTTGTTACTTATGCAAATTTCTGCAGCTGGCTTGAATTTCTCCTCAGAAAATGGGTTTTTCTTTTTTATCACATTGTCAGGCTGCAAATTTTCTGAATTTTTCATGCTCTGCTTCCCTTATAAAACTGAATGCCTTTAACAGCACCCAAGTCATCGCTTGAGTTTTACTGCTTAGAAATTTCTTGCACCAGATACCCTAAATCATCTCTCTCAAGTTCAAAGTTCCACAAATCCCTAGGGCAGGGGCAAAATGCCACCAGTCTCTTTGCTAAAACATAACAAGAGTCACCTTTCTCCAATTTCCAACAAGTTCCTCATCTCCATCTGAGACCACCTCAGCCTGGACCTTAGTGTCCATATCACTATCAAGCTTTTGGTCAAAGCCATTCAACTAGTCTATAGAAAGTTCCAAACTTTCCCACATTTTCCTGTCTTCAATCTGTTCCAACCTCTGCCTGTTAACCAGTTCCAAAGTTGCTGCCACATTTTCAGGTAACTTTTCAGCAACATCCCACTCTACTGGTACCAGTTTACTCTACTAGTCTGTTTCCATGCTGCTGATAAAGACATACCCAAGAATGGGAAGAAAAAAAGGTTTATTGGACTTAGAGTTCTGCATGGCTGGGGAGGCCTCAGAATCATGGCAGGAGGTGAAAGGCACTTCTTATGGAGGCAGCAAGAGAAAATGAGGAAGATGTAAAAGTGGAAAACCCTTGATAAAACCATCAGATCTCGTGAGACTTATTCACTACCATGAGAACAGTATGGGGGAAACCACCCCCATGATTCAAATTATCTCCCACCTGGTCCTCCCAGAACACATGGGAATTATGGGAGTACAATTCAAGATGAGATTTGGGTGGGGACACAAAGCCAAACCATATCACTTCCCAGTATTTAACCCTCAATGCAGTATCCTTCCCTTTGGAATTCATCTTGAAATTTTGAATCTATTGTTTAAAAATATACTTGCTGAGATTTACGTGGATTTTAATTACCTTAATCACATGATCAACAAAAAGGGCACAATAATTGATTGCCCAGTAAAGACTATAGAAACTTCCAGTATTTTAGTTTTTATTTTCTCATCTAACAGTATAATTTAGTTAACTGAAATTTCTGACTTTAATTCACACTCTTGTTCTCAAGAATGTAAGCTCCTTAAGAGTATTAAATGTGTATACCTTGCTTACCATTCTTGATGGTATCAATGTAAGGGTTCCATTTTTCCACTGTGTTGTTACAAAACAAGCTTGTCCAACCCATGGCCCATGGGCTGCATGCAGCCCAGAATGACTCTGAATGTGGTCCAACATAAATTACTAAAGTTTTTTAAAACATTATGAGACTGGCAATTTTTTTATAACCTCATCAGCTATCACTAGTGTATTTTATGTGTGGCCCAAGACAATTCTTCTTCTTTCAATGTGGCCTGGGGAAGCCAAAAGATTGGACACCTCTTCTTTAAAATGTCAGCAAAAGAGTATTTTTTAATGTTTGAATGAGGATATAATTCACTGTTAAAAAGAAAGTGGGAAAATATATTAGGACTAACAGGGGACCTTCAGTTTTGCCACAGTAGATCAAGTACACAACATTACTGTTGACTTTATTTATCATGTTTTTGCTGCCATGATATGTCAGAAATGACTTTATACAAAATGATAAAATAAGAAATTTGTTTTTGGAAAATTAGTTCCCCATTATCTCCCACTTTCTGTTATGTAGGCCGAACCCTTCTGAGCTGAATAAAAGTTTTATAGCAATATTTCACATTTAATCATGTTCAAAAACTAAAGGCCAACAGTATGTAATTTTCTATATAGTATTATTCCTGAGCCCCTGGTATGTCTATTATTTTCTTTTCTTCTTACTCTTTAATAAATTCTATAACAACTATAAGCAAAGGTGAAAGATGAGGAATATTTGGAGGGAAAGTGTGGGTTATGTGAAGCTATCAAAGGAAGAAAATTAAACCTAGCTTGAACTTCCTAAGTCAGCATATGTAGTCCCTAAAAATGAAAATACTAAAAATGGCAAACATAATTTAAACACAGAATATTTTTCTCAATTAGTTCAACTTTTCCATTTACCCAAAGGATGTTGTCCCTCTTTCCAGACCCTAGAGCATTCTAGCCATCTAACAAGAATATAACATATAAGAAAAAATATTTAAAAAACACAATCCAGGCAGGCAAACCTAGAAAGGGCAATTAGTTTAGAATAATAGCATTAGTAGGGCCGGGTGCGGCGGCTCACACCTGTAATCCCAGCACTTTGGGAGGCCGAGGTGGGCAGATCACGAGGTCAGGAGTTCGAGACCAGCCTGGCCAACATGGTGAAACCCCGTCTCTACTAAAGACACAAAAAATTAGCCTGGCCCAGTGGCACATGCCTGTAATCTCAGCTACTTGGGAGGCTGAGGCAGGAGAATCGCTTGAACCTGAGAGGCAGAGGTTGCAGTGAGCAGAGATCGCGCCATTGCACTCCAGCCTGAGTGACAGGGAGAGACTCCATCTCAAAAAAAAAAAAAAAAAAAAAGAATAGCATTAGTAGGAGAGCTTCCTCATTACTTTACTATCTTATTTTAAGGCACTGTGATTCAATGGCCAAGATATATCTGCTTTTATTCTATAACTGAGTACAGTGGCTACATTCTGACTTTTCCTGACAGTCCTGATTTTACAGAATTTTATTATTTTCAGTAAATATAATACATCAAATATGTCTTAAATATGATTTAATTTCCATGTCTCTGAAATAGTTACATGCATAATGCACAAATCAGATCTATACTCTTTGTCAGAACTTAGCCATTAGGTATCTGCTTTAAAATTGTATTTTGGAATTAATTCCTTCATTATCAGTATTCCTGGTGACATAAATGTGTGAGATTCTTCCTCAATGGTAGTATAATTTATTGAAATACTAATTTGCATTTATACTCCTGGTGATTTCCCCCTATTTTTTCCAGTGAAGCAGGGAAACAGGCTTTGTAATTCCTTGCCTCTGGAATATTGGATGGACAGAGACCAGAAACTACCTGGAGTCAGAAGTGTTTCTCATCTTTTATGAAACTCTAAGCTCATGCTAGTTATCTCTGAAAGAAGAGAAGGCTTTAGGGAAGCTTTCAAGGACAAGGAGAAAGAGTGAGGTAGATTCCCTTGGAGTAGGAAAGGGGTATGTATGCTTGTCAGGCTCTGTGAGAAGGAAAGAATTTAGTATCATTCTATTGCATTGCCTGGAAAAGGTAGCCAGATCTCAGAGGGAAACACCACAGGATTCATCTGAGAGGCTGGATCCTAGTCCTAAGTTTCACCCTTCATCCAAAGATGGTCCATGTATAACAACAAAGTAAGGCACATTACCATGAAGCTGGGACACTGAACATTTATTTCAGCAGTGGGCAGATGACCAACAACTAGGAAGGGCTCCTGATGACTAATGTAGAATAAGGCTCCAGGAACTTGGCACCACCATAGGGAAGAGATGCCCTAAGAATGACTAAGGTAGAATTTCTAGCTAGACATATAAGAAAGAGAGTCATGTCTAAATTAGCTTGACTTCTAGTAAACAAGGAAATGCCATATTTCTTACATAACTGATTTGCAGGCAGAGACTCATGTGTCACGGATATACATGTATTCATCACATATTTAAAAGTAATTCCATATATGCTATTCATGGCAAGAAGAGAAAGGAGTTAGGAAAGGTAAAATCAGTTTTTTTCTCTGCTATAATATCAGCACAGCATGGTGCTCTCAAGCTTTAAATCTGCTTTTCCTGAGCCCCACCCCGCCTTATACTTCCTTGGGGCTCCCCTGGGCTCCTCCTCCATGGAAACCCACCTGCAGATAGTCCATGATACTCACTAAGCCCCTAACAGTTTTTGCTGCTGTTTTTAACACACATTAAAACTTAGTGGCTTCTGCACCTCATCATTCTTATGTCAGGCTTTGGTGAGCAACTAGTTAATTTAATTAATCTATGCTTATGAAATGAGGAGGACGCATGAGAAGTCTTCTCAACTAGCATCCTCATTCCCATTTCTCTTGAGCCCATTCCATCAAAGCATATTTTTAATATTTACCTTCAAAATACAATAATAAATACCATAATTAAATCTTTTCTTTATTCTTTTATCAAGAGAAATTATTCCAGTTGCAGGGATCTTAGAACACATAAGAAAAGATGCAAATAAGATAGTGAGCTGGTGGAAAAATAAATATTCAGGGTTATCCAAGACCTTGCAATAACCTTTAAATTATATGATTAACTGAATTGCCTGTCTTTGGATTTGTTCTTTATTATAAAAACAATTTTTGCTCCATTGATACATTTAAGGAAAGCATATTTATTTCCTTTATATTATAGCTGTAATATGGAGAATAAAATTCAGAATAGATGGTATTTAACCAAAGCAGTCATGAATATGTAAGGAAATCCACTTCATCTCAGATCCAGTGAATGGAAACAGAAGGTTTAATAGTAATTATTTTCCCCTAATGTTGTAAAAAAAAAAAAAAAAAGGATGGAAAATCATTTTCTCCCTCTGAAATACCTATGTGAATAATAACTGAACTGTAAGACACATAACTTGTAACAGGATCTAATATTTTATCTATAATCAGTTAATGAAATATGAATCATTCTGTTGACCAGAATGATATAACATGGCAGATTTTTAAGAATCCTTTGAGAATCTGTTATCTCACCTCCACTTTATTTATTCAATGGCCTCTTCCTTTCATATTGAAAATTAAGTTCCCTTTTTTCTTGGTAATTCATTTAACATTTCATTAAAATATGTCACCTGGCATGTGTCCCTCGTCATTACTATGAACTACATTAGGGCACGTTACCTTTTACTGCCATCACAATGGATAGTCACTCCTCCTGCCCATAAAATCACACAAACAGTGAACTAATTAATACTTTCAAAGAAAACTACTGTCTGTAAGAAATAGAAAACCAAGTTTGAAAAAAAAATCACACACATACTTCCTTTGTATTTATAACATCGTATCACACTAATTATTCTCAAATTCTACCCATGGTTTTTGTATCACAAATCGATCTGTTAGAATCATAAACAGAATGGTATTTGTATCCCTCATCTACCATGTGCTTTTTACCTCTCATGTGTGATGTTCCCAAATCAGGGACAGAACTTTGTAGTGAGGACCCATACACAAATACAACAAAGTGGCCAGCTTAGGATATGAAAATGCCAGTTTGTTTTATGGGGTGATAAATATGTCCTATCATGTCTTTACATTTTAAGACCTCTGTTTTATTTCTTGGTAGATTTACATATGCCATATCCAGTTATTCATGTCAAGAATTTAAAACTACCAGTATTTCAATACAGAAGCACATCCTATTACTTTATACTATACTTTATCTTTGGATTCAATATGTTTGTTAAACAAAACCTGAATTTTACGTGAGAAAACACCGTTTTCCTATTAAGCAAATCTTTCTTAAAAAGCTATATGGATATTTATGGAGTCAGTATTTCTTCCCCTTAAAGTTGCATATCCCTTGTTTTTTGGCCTGAACCTAGAACTAGGCTCAATGTAGGTATAATTTCCAGAACAAAAATAGGGATTGAATAGGCAGTGCTATTGTAATTATGCCTTAGGGGGTTTACTTGTGAATATGTTAAGAACAACCATAGTTAACAAATTATTTGTACATATGCAAATGATATATTGACAGCAGTCCTGTTGAAATGACTTCTGCCATTACATTCAATCCTGTACATATGGCAAAATATTTTGCACTGTGTGACTGGGATATTGACCTTGATGCTTCCTAGTTATAAGCATGGGTCTGAAAAGGGTGAATTATGTCAGGCAATCAATTCCTCACAAATTGCATAAATAAACAAATATACCTTCTCTATATTCTGCCCGTTGGGTGTCAGCAGCAGCTGCTACCTGCAGGGTGTCATTCTCTGTAAGCTGTCTCTTAGTTTCACGCTGAGCATACTCTTCTGTTTCAATGAGACAGTGAAACAGCTCAAACTCTGCTTGCTTCAAGTCAACATGATCCACTTGTGTTTGTGCCTGTCACTTCTTAGCTCGTTATGTTGCTGTTAGTTTTGCTTGAAGTATTTTGTTCATCCTTTTGGTATGACCACCCTCCTTCAGATAGCCACATAATTGTTTTCTCATTCAGGTGCCATCCATTTTCATTACACGACTGGTCAGCAGGCTGAAAGTTGGTAAGGATGACTTATATGCCTATTAGACATCTGTATTATAAGGCCAACTTTTATATGACTTTGTTTTATCATCTGTATGTAGCACAATTTACACATGATAGAAATATCGACTGATGCATATAAGTGTGTCAGTTATTACAAACCAATCATCAGGCTTTTGTAATTAGCATGTATTTTGTTCAGCTAAATAACTTATTATGCAATTTTTGCACCTATTATTCGGTACTAGTCTGCTTAATTTCTTCAAACAGTAATCCTTAATTCTATGATTTAAAAAAATCATCAAATTTAAAGAATGTTCCTTTAGAAAACAAATATGTTTAAAGTCCCATCTACTATATCAAAATGAAATTAACAGATAATAATTTTAAAAATGGATATATTAACCTAACTTTAATGTAAAAAATGTAGTCAGTAATATATATCAAAAAATGTGTTTTTCAAAATATATGCTCAGGCCCAACTACACCAAGAGACATAATGATGGAGTCAGTGACTCATACCTACATATGGAATCATTCATTATAGCTGTGACGACCATAAATGCAAACAGTTAAGGTGTACTGTCTAGGAAATTCAAATTCAAGTGGCATTACTGTCACGGAGAAGAGTTTCTGCAACGCTAAACAATTCTCGGTAAGGTTCTGGTAAAATTCAGTAAAATATCACCTTGGTTCAAATAGTAGTTGCATTCCTGGAAAACAGTATGTAGTAAAACTTTATAAACGGGGCTTTGTGTTTATTTTCAAAGTGGACTTGGGTTTTAGGCTAAAAATTAAAATTTGAAAATAAAATGTAAGAAAAATTGTAAAATATATTAACAGGCTTTTTCTTTCTTTATGAGTATGCATGGGGCATTTTGAAGTCCGATGTGACACAAAACAAGTCTTCATTATGCAGGACTGCCCTACTCGCAGCAACATGCTTGGCCTACCTGGCTGCACCCACTACATGACAGCAGTGCCCGTGAATCACTGAAACAAGAATAAATAAATAAATAAATAAATAAATAAATAAACTCTCAATTGTCAAAATGTCCCCTTGAGAGTGGTGAACCACTAGATTAATTATCACACTGACTTTGCCATTTCTTCTTACAGCTCAGTGTGTTGCTTGGTAAAGACTTGGAAATCCACCCATTAAAAGTCCCAGGAAAGGCAATTTTGCATTAATTATTGCTCTCCTTTTAAATCAGTCTAAAATACAGACTGGCTCTAAGTAGGTACATGACTCATGATTGCCTCATCCCTAGCAGTCAGAGCATCAGGACAAGGTAGAAATGCAGCGTGGGACAAGTGCGGGGGTCCAGGAGCACCAGGGAATGGAAAACATGGATTCAGATGAATAAATGGAATGTGAGGATGCCAAACCATAAAATAGTGGATTTATATTTTACTATAAAGACACATGTACACATGTTTATTGCAGCACTGTTCACAATAGCAAAGACTTAGAACCAACCCAAATGCCCATCAGTGATAGACTGAATAAAGAAAATGTGGCACATATACACCATGGAGTACTATGCAGCCATAAAAAGGAATGAGTTCATGCCCTTTGCAGAAATGTGGATGAAGCTGGAAACCATCATTTTTAACAAAGTAATACAGGAACAGAAAACCAAACACCACATGTTCTCACTCATAAGTGGGAGTTGAACAATGGGAACACATGGACACAGGGAGGGGAACATCACACACCAGGGCCTGACGGGGAGTGGGGGCTAGGGGAGAGATAGCATTAGGAGACATACCTAATGTAGATGATGGGTTGATGGGTGAGCAAACCACCATGGCACGTGTATACCTACGTAGCAAACCTGCACGTTCTGCACATGTACCTCAGAACTTAAAGTATAATAATAAAAAAAAGAAAAAAAAATAAGTGGATTTGGAGAAGGAAGAAACTGGGGAGACCTATACCTGCTGCCATCCCTGTAAGCTACTGCTGTTGCTGTTTCCATCAGTCAAGTTCATGTGAGGAAACAAAGTGGTTCAAGCGGCAAAATTCCACAGCTGTTTTACAAATTCCATATGGGGCACTTTTTTCAGTGGCTTCTTAGAGATATTGAGCAAACATACACTGGAACCTTAACAACATGGGTTTAAACTACATGAGTCCACTTATACATAGATTTTCCTCCTCCTCAGCCACCCCTAAGACAACAAGACCATCTCCTCCTGTTCCTCGTCTTCCTCAGCCTACTCAACGTGAAGATAACAAGGATGAAGACCTTTAGGATGATCCCCTTCCACTTAATGAATAGTAAATATATTGTCTCTTCCTTATAATTTTCTTAGTAACATTTTTCTTTTCTCTAGCTTACTTTATTATAAGAACAGAGTATATAATACATGTAATATACATTTGTGTCAATTAACTTATCAGTTATTTGTGTCAATTATCTTATCAGTAAAGCTTCCAGTCAACAGTAGGCATTTAGTAGCTAAGGTTTGGGAATGTCAAAAGTTATACTCAGATTTCTGACTGTGTGGGCAGTTGGTTCCCCTAACCATTGCATTGTTTAAGAATCACGTGTATTGCAAAAAAGTGATTAATTTCTTAGCTCTAATACAGTCTTTCTCCACAATAATACAACTCTAGTATTTTAGCTAAGGGAAGTTTAGCACCCATATTTAGATATGTTAATATTCAAAGGTAAATATAAAACACATTTCTAGGGATATTATTTTTATATAATCTGCCATTTGTAACCACATACATTTCTAATTACCCTTATTTTGAAGCAACAAATAAAGATGTAGAAATGTCAAAGGGGAAGGTACTCAGTTTAGATTGGACACCTTTCTAGTAGACATAAAGATCACCCCATGTCAGATCCTTTCTGAAATCACTCAGGAATAATATATAAATTATTGAAATCAATGCAAATATGATATAAAATTAGTGGCTATTCTAAAATCAAGGCAATTTTTATTTTTTTGCAATATGAACACTATATACTGCTATGACTATTTAATAACATTGTACTTCCTAAGGTTTCATAAAAAGAATACTAGGCTTGGACTCTGGGCTCATTAACCATTTCTGTCATTTACATAACTACAGGCAAATCATATATACTCCCTATATTTATGTATAATCAAGATAAAATGAAAATGTCTGACATCGATTTGAACATTATACAATTTTCAAAATGCTGGCTAAATATTAATAGTATTAACTCTTTATTTGCCTATTAAGGAAGTAGAATTTTGATTATTCCATCAGAAATTGTTTCCACTAGAAGTCATATCTTACGTAAATATAGTGGTTCAGATATGACTGTTCCTGGCTGTGGTCTATCCTGAAGCCATGAGGACTGGTTGGGTCATAAGGAATAGGTATTTTTAGTAAGGGCATGCTCAAATGGATTGATCAAATTAGAGCTTTAGAAGCAAGAGAAATTGAAAAATAAAAGCAGGAAAACCCCATGATAACGCACCATGTGATAATGCAAACGTAGACATAAATGTAGATATAATGCAACTGGCACTTGCTTTTCCATTCCGCAAACTGAGTTAGTTTTATGTTCTGTATGGCAGACAATGGGGATATAGAATGAAGGGTGATCATAGGCAAGTAAACATTAGGGAACTCACTCTTGATAAATGAAAAGGCAGAAAGATGGATACTGTGTTCTTAGTGTTGTCCAGGCCCAAGCTACAGAGTCAGGGCCCACAAAACAAGCAGTAACTAATTGGAGAATCATTCTTATTGTCCTAGCAGTCTCAATCCATTGTAGAATACATATTTTCCCTGTTGATATTAAATCTATTGCAGAACAGTTTCATCATATGACACTATCCCACAACCTGACCCAGCACAAACCTAGATCCAGTTCAAAGCCTTGAAACTCCGGCCTGTTAGCTGCACAGCCTTGCACTGCCTACTTCCATAGCTGCAATAGTAGAACTCCACATTCTACACAACTGAACTATTTGTCCATCTCTACAAAAATACTGCTGAAATTTTGATAGGAATTACATTGAATCTACTTGTTAATTTGGGGAGAATTTTCATCTTTAACCATATTGTGACTTGCAAACCACAAACCCTGTATGTCTTTCATGTTTTGAGGTCTTCTCAGATTTCTTAAGTGTTTTGTAGTTTTCAACATACAGATCCTGTATGTCTTGTTAGAGTTATACCTGTGTATTTATATTTTGGGAGCTATTTTGAATGTTTTTTTTTTTAATTTAAAAAAATCTAAAATGTTGGTACAATTGTGCATGGCTAGTATATAGAAACAAGACTGATTTCTGTGTGTTGACTTTGAATTCTGTAACCTTGCTGAACACTATCCCACAAATTTTGATATGTTATGCTTTCATTCTGGTCAGATTATTTCTAATTCTCCTGTGAATTCCTCTTTAACCTTTGAGCTATTTAAAATGTGTTGTTTAATTTAAAAGCACCTGGAGACTTTCCAGATATCTTTATCGATTTCTAATTTAATTCAGTTTTGTTCAGGAAACATACTCTGTAAGATTTAAATCATCTTAATTTTATTGATCTTGTTTTATGGCCCAAGATACAGTCTATCTCGATGATGCTCCACGTATACTTAAGAAGAAAGTATATTCTACTGTTGTTGGGTGGAGTATACTATAAATCTCCATTAGGGAAATTTGGCTGATAGTGCTGTTCAAGTTCTATATCTTTACTGACTTTCTGTCTGTTAGCTTTATCAAGTGCTCATAGCATGCATTTGTATGAATAATCTTGGTTTATTTAAAGGGGTTAAAAACACTCTCTTGGAACAGTTTAGGCAGTTATCTCACTAATTATTTATCTATCTTACAGTACAATCATTTCAGATCCCCAGATTTTCAATCCCTTTTTTCTCCCACTTCAGCTGGTTAGTTTTTGCAAGTATAAGATGTATGTATTTAAAATACATTATCTCCTTCCACTCAACAAAGTTTGTTATAACGCACTCTAATTACATTTTATCTATTTTATAAATATATAACATTTATACAAATATGTTTATATTTACACTATTATTTTTATATTTATATTAAAATTTTATATTTTTATAATATAAATATGTATATATATATTTTATATTTTATAATTATATAGTTTTTCTGTTATGTATTGCTTTTATGCCATTTATTAGAATTTAAGCCCTTAGGAATTAAAGGCATGCATACCTTTTGAAAATGTGTGCAGATCCCAGTACAGTCCCTTCATCACAGTGCCAAATATATACTTAATTGAGAAATTAAATATCGGCCAAGTGGACAAAGCTACAATTGTCCGAGTTTAGGATTCTAGGCTCAGGCAGAAGCCAGAAAGCTAAAAATGGAAATATGAATAGTGGTATATTAGTTTATGAATGAGTATTTAGGGAGCTGAATTTGGAAATAAAAGATACAGTCTAACTTAATTTGTCAAACTTGTTTAATTTTAACTTGATTTATCAGAAAATCAGTCTGAGATTGAAAGCATAGGTAGCATGGACCATTAAACAAGATCTAAATTACACGATTGCTAGATCCAAAATTCAGACTGTCTATATCCTGCAGGTTAGTGAGCTTCTGAGGTCCTAATTCGGATCTAATGAGAAAGGCAGAATGAGGTAGGCAGGCAGTAGGTATTGCAGAAGAAATTGGAAAGTGTCATGCCCGAGTTAGACCAAGGACAGGGCCAGGTGAAAAGGAGTCAAAGTTTAGACTAAACTGAATGAATGAACAAATACATGTATGAATTAATAAATAGCTGATGAGTATGTGAATAAATATAATGCAAGACAAATTAAGAAGACTTCCCCCACCTTGAGGAAATGAACTTTAGATGTCCTTCTATTTTCCCTACTGGGATTCCCATAAAGTATAAATTTGCTCAGATCTCAAGATCAATAAAAATAAATGCTTTGTAGCATTTTGTTTTTTCCCTCTTTTAACATAAAATATAAACTTTATTTTAAAAACACATATGATAGTTTCTTAGATTTTTTTTTTTTTTTTTTTTTTTTTTTGCTATACCAGAGGCAGACAAATTGACTAGAAACTGTTTTCAGTTAATTGGCATTATTAAATTAGACAAATACTTACACTATGTTTTATTAAAGTGCTATAGTTACATACACAGTCTATTTTCTTTTTTCCCAACTTCACAACGTAGTAATAAGGCATAGTTTAAAACCTATTATGTCTCCTAAGGAAATACGAAAGTACGATATGAAAATAGCTGTTTGGAGGTAAAGTTTCTACCAGACAGCATATGTTATTTCTGTCACTGATGTTTTCTAACAAATCATTTTAATTGTTTCTTTGTAACTGTTCTAGTATTTCATAAGTTTAACAATAAGACATTTTATATGGTTTTAATTTCCTTTTACTTAAAATATACTATTTTTTGTGGATTTCAGTATTTTTCTAAGCTAATGTATAAACATAAACATAATCTAAAATACAGCCCCTTAGAATAATTATATTTAAATGTATGTTAAACAAATATTTATATTGACAAATATATAAGAGAGAATTGAATAGTTAATTATAACTAAATACAATACATGACATAGAAAAAAACTGAAATAAACGGTGGGAAAAATATAGTCCAGCCAATCTTACATACTCATGGGTTCTTTGACTATTTCTCCTCTAGAGTTCATAATATTTCCTCATCTTAAAATGCCTTCCTGGACGCTGGGCAATTCAAATTGTGCCCAACTTTCACTGTCTACCTCAAATCTCACTTTCTCTTTGAAATCTTTCCATATAACCCTAGAAAAGTCAAAGTCTCTTTGTCTGTATTCCCATAGGAATACTAAGCCTCCCTATTCTTTAAGCGTCTACTACTCCCTGCTTTGTATTAATCATTGGGTTAATTTACATATCGAGTGCATATTCATCACAGTGCAAAAAACAACTCCTTTTTCTCATTCCTTCATATAGAAAGAGGAGTTGTCAATTGGATTTATCAGTATCCATGACATAGAATATAGCAAATTCACTAGTGTGCAGGCTATGGCATGTTGGAGGGCCATTCCTTGCATAACTCTGCTCTTTCTCTGAGTTCATGAAGATATGGCCGGTCTTCAATAGCCTCTGCTATTTCCTTGTCTGTCTTTCTATTTTTCTCCATATGATAGAATTGATTAGGAGAATGATTACCATTTGCGTACTCCATCCTTTTATTCCCTCTCTCTTTGCCCACACACCCTAAGAGTGCTGATTATCGTCCCAGTTTGCATTCAGCCAGAAGTTTTCATTGTTTCAGCTTCTAAATTCTGTCCACTTGACTTTGATGCTTTTGTGCAAAGATCTATGTAGAATTTTATTTGGAGAAAGTGCTTTAAAGTATCAGATTCAGGTTTATATGAGCCTACTGGCAAAATAATATAAATTTTTATCAAGACCCTACTGCTACAACAAAAAGTTAGATTTATCTTTGCAAATAGATTTGTCAGTATTTGAATGTCAGAATGGTTTTACAAACTATTTTCCTTTTGCTTTTGTAAGCTTATTTAATATAGAATTATCCTCAGTATCATCAAAAATACATAGAATTTGTGCTACCAAGTAATACAGGTTTTAATAAATCAAACTTTAAAAATTCAAACTATTTTTAGACACAGAAAATTTATTACAAAAGAAATTTTACCTAGAAGTCAATTGTGTTAAACAAAATGAAACAACACCAAAAATTTCTTGACATGGATGTTAGGGACCCACTTCTTAATTTATTCATTCTTTTAATAGATACTTCTTGAGGAACTTCTATTTTCTACACTCAATTCTAAGCAGTAAGACAGAGTACAATTCTGACAAACTACTCCTCTCCTAGAGCTTACATTATTGTGCTTGTGTTTTTCAGACAATAGGCAAATACATATTTAAGACATGCTTAAACTTACCAAAGTTCAATAAATAAAAAAAGGTATTGGAAGGTACCACTTAAGTAGGTAGTCAGGGAAGTTTTCTCTAATAAGATGATTCATAAAGAGAGATTTGAATGAAGTGAGGGAATAAGCCATGTAGATATCTGTGGAAGGGATTTCCAGGTACAGTAACGTCACTGAGGCATAAGCTTATTTGGAAGAGCTGCAGAGGCTAGTGGCGTCAGCACTAGAGAGAGGGATGGGGACAGTGATGGCATATATGGTTGGAGAAGGAGTTGTAGGTGAGGGAGGGCATCTGCCTTAGGATCATGGTAAGGATGTTGGCTTTTCTCTGCTGCACCCTTTGCTTCATTAAAGCTATAACTAAAGCATCTTCTCAAAACACCTGTGGCCCCATAAAGCATGACTGAAGCAGAGGATTCTTGAACTAAGGTGATCCACTGACTGCTTCCCATGTCCCATGCCTTGTGCTGGGTTTTGGAGACACAACATTGTACAACAGAGACAAGGACCATGCGTGGAATTGTTTTACTAAGGTAGAGGAAGTGAGAAAATGTGGTCCTGGAGAGTTATGTGAGCTTTGCTATCCATTCTTCCAAGTTTGAAGAGCACAGAGAAGGCTCTGATATACTGCATAGCATTTTGTATATTGTATATATTTGGTTGCACTTATGGATGTATATAGACATATGTGTGTACTATGGCTGTGTGTGTGCACACTGTCAAACATTTTGTTCCCTAAATCATAAATGAGACATAGTCCAGTATGCAATGTCAATTTGAAGCATATTAAGAAGAACCTCCATAATAAGTTCTCTAATCAGCAATTAGACTTTTTAGTTGGTTGATAATATTCGTGAAATTGGATTTGATATAATAACATATGCATTATTTCAATCATATTCATTCATGCATATAATGATATAAGCAGCATTCAATTTGCCATTGGGAACTTCAGCTAGCACATGAAAAGAATGCTGTACTACTCACAAAATCTCTCAATACTGAGATTAATGCCACTCAGTTCCACTTCTTTATTTGCACTCATTATCTCTTCTATTTTCATGTATGATGTATATGATAAGGGCAGGAATTTATAATGACTTGCATGCGGGTTCCAATGTCACTACTATGATATTACTATCATGCCCTATGCTTAGGAATCTAAGGTATTGTTTTTATCATTTTCTATCTACATTATGCTCTGAACAATGGAGGACAAGAATAGTAGGTAATGGGCTTCTTCAACACCCCCTATTGTGATGGTACACAATACATAATGTTGAAATGACAAGCAAGCTAAATGAACACTATAAAATTTTGTTGATACTCAAGAAAAAATGACTTTCTTTGGGGAAAGTGTGAAATTATTGATACAAAAACTCATATTGTTTGTAGATAATGCAGTGATTGGTGCCCCCAGATTCTTCTTTCATGGAACATTGTAGGCCTTTCAAAGTACCATCACAATTATGTTAAATTTTAGTCTGAATTATACAGTATAAGAAGCTTTGCAAAATTTTGAGTGCATTAAGCAGTTATAATAAATTATGACATTTATTAAAATAATACCTAAGGCATCAGTAAAATCTTATCCAGAAACCAAAGATGACAATACCACAGTTTGGCATAAAGCATAATCTGAGACTATAATACTATTATTATTATTATTCTGAAAAACAAACTGCCTCAAACTTTTTCTTAATAAACTTGAGTTGGCTCACTTTAAATTTGTTCTCTTATTTTAAGGTAAAACATGAAATTTTCAAATGACCTGAAAATGATTGGTATATATAGCATTTCCAAATAATGTTATCAATCATATATTTGTAAAACAGGGTACTGCAGTTCTTTTTTACAAATCATAAGCAAAAAGTTATAATCTTATCCCTTTATTAAAATTTTTTAAAGTTCACAATTTTCAATAGCAACAACTGATATTTATTCTACATTCCACAGCATTGCTCCCAAAAGTATTGAATATATGGAAGACAATGTGATTTAAAGTAAACATTCAAGAGTGAAAATTTCATTAGAAGTTGTATTTTGGATGATTAGAATTAATTTCAGGCAAGTATTTTAAATTATAGTAATTGTAACATTTATTAAAATAATAATTGCAATGCTATTAAACTATATTTTATGACTTTTTAATGACTTACCATTACATGGAAAATTTATGTTGGTCTCCATTGACAAATCAAAAACAAAGCAAATAATATAATTTTCCAGACCACTTCAAGGTTAACTTTCCAATTGTCATCTCATGTTCAGTTATCTTTTACTCTTATGTTGTCAAGTGTTTGAGTTGCTTTGTTAGTTTATAATCTCAAATATACCGTAGTATGTCATAGACACCACCACTCTGTCTTTCACACACACACACACACACACACACACACACACACACACCAGAAACTATACCTTGGTAACAAGTTGTATTTGCTTATGTTTTCTATAGTAGAAGATATATTTTATTTCCAAATAGTCATTGTTATCATTCCTTTTCAGAGCTAAAAAATACTTCAAAACTTTGTTGTATGTAAGTATAAAACACAAAAAGCATATTTTATCTTGCTTTCAATTCCAAAGGCAATAAAATCATAACATAATTCATTAGTAAGAACGGTAAAATTGAGAATATAATAGATATTACATTAAACATATTAAACAGTTGACCTCTCAGAGTTGTTTTGAGAGCAAATATTAGAAAGACTATTTTGTGAGTTTTTTAATTGCTCATTAAAATGATTTCAGACAAATGTATCCAAATACATGGGCACATGGGAGCCTCCATTGTTGAAATTACTGTTGTAAAATAATTTACTAACTTTAGAATATAGGTTAATAACTTTTAAATTGTCGCAAATTGAATACAAATTGAATGTAGTACTAACTAGAACTCTAACGTTATTATAACAACATCATTTTATATTTCACTAAGGACATATTTGTTACAGTTCATCTATAACATATATCAGTTGCTAACTTTAGTATAGTCAATATTTTCTCTATGTCTCTGTTGTAAGCTCTACACTTTCCTTACAAACAGAAAAATATACATAATTTAGAAAAAGGTATAGTGTTTTTGAAATGTAAAAAAATCAGAAACTAGAATTTTAATCCAAGAAAATGGATACCTTCATGAATTAAATTCGGACTTTAAAACCTTTTGTCAACTAACTCATTTGATTATTATATATAAGCATGTGTGTATGTATGTCTAGAAGGGGAATGATGAGAATAGCTTCATATAATCTACCACAATATATCAGTGGCTTTGTATAATATAAATCTATTATATATAATGGGTTTGTTGCGCTCTTCACATTAATATAAAACCAATCTGACCCTCTAATAAGAAGCTACTTAAGTGAATGAAAACAAACTCAAGTCCACCTATAGGTACGCTATTTTCATTTTCTTCCATTGCTATTAATCTCTTTAATGAGTGTATTTTGTTTTCCTTTAAAAACGTTTTGAACCTGAAACTCAGGAAATACATATTTCTAAAATAGCAGCAATAATGAAACTCCATATTATAATCAGTAACTTAATTATTGGGAACATAAATATATGAAAAACTCACTGTCTGGATTGATACTGAGAAAAATAATGTAAAGAAACAAAACCCCCATTGGAAAAAAAGAGCTCCTTGAATACTATAATATCCCAAAGTCAAAGCACTATATTTTTTCCTTATAGGAAGTCCTATGAATTGAATTGATTCCCCCACAAACTCATACATTCAAGCATGATTTAGAATAAGGAATTGATTAGAGTTAAATGAGTTCTTAAGGGTGAAGCACTGATCTGAAAGGATTTGTATTCTTATAGCAGCATTCAAACCCGAAGGCTCTCTCACTTTCTTTGCCAAGTGAGGACACAGTGAGAAGGCAGCCATCTACACAACAGGAACAGAGCTATCAACAAGAAGTGAGTCAGCTGGCATCTTGATCTCGAACTTCCCAGCCTTTAGAACTGTGAGAAACAAATTTCTGTTGTTGAAGCCACTCAGTTTGTAGTATTTTGTTATGACAACCTAAACAGTCTAATACAGGAAGACCCACATAGATTTTTACTCAGAACGTATTTACTCTTATTCTTTTTTTTTGAGACAGAGTCTTGCTCTGTCACCTAGACTGTAGTGCAGTGGTGTGATCTCGGCTCACTGCAACCTCCGCCTCCCGGGTTCAAGCAATTCTCCTGCCTCAGCCTCCCAAGTAGCTGGGATTACAGGCACACACCATCACACCCAGCTTACTCTCTCTCTCTCTCTCTCTCTCTCTCTCTCTCTATATATATATATACACACACACACACACATATATTCTATATATACACACATATATTCTATATACATATACATATATTCTATATATATACACACATATATTCTATATATATACATATACTCCATATATACATATATTCTATATATACATATACTCTCTATATATACACATATATTCTATATATATTATATATACACATATATTCTATATATATTATATATACACATATATTCTATATATATTATATATATACACACATATATTCTATATATATATAGAATATATATACACACATATATTCTATATATATATAGAATATATATACACACATATATTCTATATATATAGAGAATATATATACACACATATATTCTATATATATAGAGAATATATATACACACATATATTCTATATATATAGAGAATATATATACACACATATATTCTATATATATAGAGAATATATATACACACATATATTCTATATATATAGAGAATATATATACACACATATATTCTATATATATATATAAAATTTGTATTTTTAGTAGAGACGGGGTTTCACCATGTTGGCCAGACTCAATCTCTTGACCTCGTGATCTACCCACCTCAGCCTCCCAAAGTGCTGGGATTACAGGCCACCACACCTGGCCTACACTTAGTTTTCATGCGATTTCAGTAAGTCTGGTTCTTTCATGATGCTATAGGCAATGCCATACATGTTTATTGCAAACAAAAACATAGTAATCTGGAAGGGTGGAGAGAAAATTTATCCATCTGGAACACTTATTCCAGTGAGGTAAGATAGAAATTGAAGGCTGAGATAAAGAAAAACTGGCAAAGATAGACAATTTCAAAAGCTCAAGCAGTATAGGAATATTATGTACTATGGAAAACAGTACTATACATAGCAGATCTCCAGGGTATCCTATTTTATTGCAAGAGAAAAGGCATAAGATTTTAGGTGAGGCATGAGGTTTAGGTGGCGATATGGTTCAGGTCTGTGACTCCACCCAAATCTCAGCTTGAATTGTAATCTCCATTATCCCCACGTGTCAAGGGAGGGACCAGGTAGAGGCAATTGGATCAGGGAGGCGGTTTCCCCCATGCTGTTCTCATGATAGTGAGTTTTCACAAGATCTGATGGTTTTATAAGTGTCTGGCATTTCCCATGCTTGCACTCACTCCATCCTGCTGCCCTGAGAAGAAGGTTCCTGCTTCTCCTTTGACTTCTGCCATGATTGAAAGTTTCCTGAGGCCTCCCCAGCAATGCAGAACTGTGAGTCAATTAAACATCTTTCCTTTATAAATTACCCAGTCACGGGCAGTTCTTTATAGCAGTAGGAAAAGGAACAATACAGGTGGGTTAGGTTTCAATTGTCTTGGTAATGTCTTGGATAAGAGTCTTAATTTCCCTGAGACAAACATTCCTGAATTATAAAGTATAATTCCATACCCCCCAACATTTCTTTTTTTTTAATTTAAAAAGAGAGACATGACTAATTGGAGGCCAGAAGTTGTAGTGTAGTAGTCAGCCTCCAAGAGACTCCTAGGAGTCCCCACCTCCTACTATTTCTACCCTTCTGTACACCCTGTCTACATTGTACCAGATTTGGTCACTGTAACCAATAGAATATGTCACCAATAGAACATATCAGAAGTGATGGTATGTTCATTTCTGAGACAGCTTATAAGAGATATTATTTTCCGTCCTTATTTCTCCTCTCTTTCTCTCTCTCCCTCCCTTTCTCTTTCTCTCTCTCTGTTATTACTTCCCGAGGAAAGCCAGCTCCCCTAGCATAAATGCCCTATCGTTTTTTTCTTATAGGAAGTCCTGTGAATTGAAGCACTAACCCCCATTGTGACTATTCAGAGTCACATAAACAACACTGTGGAGAAGTCCACATAGTGAAAAGCCTAATGCCAACAGTCACAGGACCGAGCTTGAAAACAGATCTTCCTGCCCCAATCACACATTCAGAATACTGCAGCACCAGAAAACAATGTGCCTATAGCATCACAAGAGATTCTGAGCCAGCAGCACCTAGCTCAGCTACTCAAAGATTCCTAGTACCCAAAAACTATGTGAGACAGTAAATGTTTGCTGTTCAAAACCACAAAATTTGGGGATGATTTATTATGCAGCAATTGACAAATAACACAAAATTTAGAAATTGGAAGTAGTGTGGTGCCACAATAAATACCTAATATGTGGAATCATTTTGAAACCAGGCAATAGGAAGTAGGTAGAAGGGTTTTAAGAAGAGTTTTAGGAAAACCTCGAACAGACTGTTAGCAAAAGTTTTGACGTTGAGGAGGCTGCCTGTGAACAGTTAAGGGAAAGAAAGGAAAATTTTATTGGAAATTTGAGGAAAGAATATTCTTGTTACTTAGTGGCAAAATGTCCAACAAACCTGTTACTTGCAGTGATGTGGAAGATGGAAAATGTACCTAACAAATGGGGTGATCCAGCTGAGGAAATTTCCATTAAAAATGTTGAATATACTCTGTTTAGAGTAAAATGTGAGAGGAGACTTATCAGTTAAGGACTGGTTTTGAAGATTTCCAGTGTCCCAAGACGGGAAACAAGGATAGAATTAGTAGAATCCAATGACGTGACTCTAAAAGCCTTTGTTAAGACTCCAGAAAAGTTAAAAGGGGTGTCTCATAGTACTCTGTGGTGAAAAAAAAAAAGCCCTATAAAGAATTTAAGGGTGCGCATCATAAATCCTCTCAACAAAAAAAAGTAGAGAGAGATTCCAAGAAGGTAAAGAGTATAGTATCTCAGCCATCTCAGTGGAAGAGGGTAGAGAAGAGGCTTATATAGAAAAGATGCAGGGACATAAATTTTGTCAATGGAGTGATCCTTAACAAGATCCACAGAAGATCTACAAAGTTGTATGCAGATTATGTCACCAGAATCGCCAGTTTTAATTGAAAAGAACAGTGACAGTACAAAATAAAAAGAGGTCCTTGGACCCTTAAATCTATAAATAAGAAGGCAGGCTATAAAAATTACTCAGTGTGAACATGCACTACCATTCATGAAAAGAAAGGGTAACTCAAAGGGAGAAACCAAAAACCCAGAATCTTAAACAAAAAGATACAGAGAGCATTTGGGGGCAGGAATCAGAGTTGGCAACAATTAAGAACTGCCAATATTTGCCTAGTTGGATGTTAAAATTGCTGTGGACCTATGTCTCCTTTGTGCCTTTTATTTTTTGCCTTTATGAACAGGAATGTCTACAACTATTATCCTCTGTTGTCTGCCAGGATATTGGGTATGGGGGGGGCAGTAACCTGCCTCTATCTCTAGATAGAGAGGAAATATCCTCAAGGAGCTGTATTTAAGTAATTTTATCCAAGGAACTGTATTTAAGTGCCTACACTCCAGGAATCTCATCCATGCCTGGACCTAGATAACAGCATATGAACCTCAAGCTGATGCTAAAATGGGATGAGATTTTGGGGAATCCTGGGGGGCAGTGTGTGTATTTTTCATATGTGAGGGAATTTGTATTGTGGAGGTCAGAGGATAGTAGTAACCTCCAATACAGTCCTTGATGATCTCACCTCAGTTTTATTCACATCTTTGTATGGTTCCCTCCCATATCCCCCTGCTTGGTCTCTGACCAACATAATATAGCAAAAGAGAGGGCATATCACTTTGAGAGTAAGTATATGCTATGGTATTCAATTTCCATTGCTACTGTAACCACTTCTCACAAATTTAGCGACTTAAAACAACACCCAGTTATTATATCACAGTTCTAAAAGTCAGAAGTCCTGTTAGGCTCAGCTAACTGTGTCCTTGCTGTGGGTTTGTCAAGGCTGAAATGAAGGTGTCAGCCAGCTGGGTTTTTATAGTGAGGTTTTAGGAAAAAACAAACAAACAAACAAACAAACAAAACCACTTCCAAACTCATTCAAGTTGTTGGCAGAATGCTGTTTCTTGTGGCTGAAGAATGAAGGTTCTCTTTCCTTCCTGTCTGTCAGCCAGAGGCCACCCTGAACTCCTAGAGTCCTCTCTTCAAGCCTTTCATATGGGCCCCAAATGGCACACAAATTTTTCTCACATTGGAATTTTTCTAGCTTTTTCTGCTATACCTCTCCTGACTCCAGCAGAAGAAAATTTCTCCATGCACATGATCATACCCTACATCCCACCAATACTCTTATATAATCTAGGTTAATATCCCTATTTTATAGTCACTGATTATTAACCTTAATTATATCTGCAAGTCCTTTTTGCTACATAAGTTAATATACTTGAAAGGTCCAATAGGATATATTTGTGTGTGAGAGGAGACCTGTTAGTTAAGGACTGGTTTTGAAGATTTATATGTATCTGCTCTCTCACTTTCTGTATATATATCATCTGATATATATATATGTGCACACATGCGTACACATATGCGCACACATGTGTATGCATATGTGCACACATGTGTACGCATATGTATATGTGTGTATATACACGTATGTATACACACGTGTATATATGTATATGCGTACATATGTATGTGTATATATACACATACGCACATACATGTATATATATGTATATACATACGTGTGTGTGTGTGTGTGTGTATATATATATATATATATATATATATCTCCCTCACTGTCTTAGATCACTCACTCTTAGGAAAGCCAGATGCCATATCATGAGAAGCTGTATGAAGCTGTATGAAGAGGAGACCCACATGATACTGAAGAAGTTTGCAAGCCATGTAAGCTTGAAAATAGATCTTCAATCTCCAGTCAAGCTTTTGGATGTGCAACCATAAACAACACTGATGGCAACTTCACAAGAACCCGTTAACCAGAACCACCCAGCCGAGCTGCCACCAGATTCCTAACCTTCAGAAACCATGTGAAAAAAAACATGGTTGTTGCAAGCTGCTAACTCTTGGAGTAAATAGTTATAAAGCAATTGATAAACACAGTGTGTTTTCAATTTTTCTCTTTCCATGTATTTATTTCTTAGACATTCCAGAGTTTTTCTCACCTATTTTGGTAGAATTTTTCCTCTCCCTATCAAATAATTATTCTTAGATTCATCATTTTTTTTCTAATGTATTAACAGGTGAATTTTCTGTTTTCCCCGCTACATTATTATTGATATGACTCTATTTATTTCTTTTCTATTTTACTTAATTATAAAAGCCTTTAGGGTATTTATTTGAGAACTCTTTTCTCATCATCATTTGCAGTTTGGAATGTAATATTGCCATTTCCTTTAATCAAAAACTATATAATTACATATTAAAATTATCTTAGACCTACTTTAGGAACATGTTAATAAATTGTCATTTTATTAAGTATTTTGGTTAACATTTTGCTATTAATTTCTAGTTTTGTGTTAGTGAAAATTGAGAATGTGGTATGCATATTAATATTATTTTTAAAATTTTGATACTAACATTTCACCCTAGGATATTATCACTTTTTCACGTTGTAAATATTCTATAGGCACTTGAAAATAAACTATATTATTTATTTAAATATATGAATAGAAAGTTTGGGATATATATTCTATAAATATATAATCTGTTTAATATACAAATACATCTACATCTATTACAGACCTATGATAGATATCTACTATTGTATGAATATCTTGCTACTATTAATTATATTTAAAGTCTATAAATTTTTATTTATTTTATCTAATCTATTGAGGACTTAGCAAAAAGACTATTGTAATTTCTCACTACTATGGTAGTTTTCTTAATGTCTCTTTTTACACATTTTGTGTTTTTTTTTTTTTTTTTAACGACATCTTACTTCAATACTAGATTCTTGATAACTGTTAAAAAGGGAGAAAGTGCTATGTGACAGTTAAGGTCAAAATCTGTGAGCCTGAGTGAATGGATTCAAATCCCAGCTCTACCATTTGCTGGTTATGTGGCAAGCCAAGTTCCCTAATTTATAGAAGTCTCAGATTCCTCATTCATAAAATGATATGATAAAAATGGTACTTAACTGACAGGCTGGCAGACGTGTAACAGAGAGTTACATGAGCAGCCACTGATAAAGCACTTAGAAAAATATACTTATAGAAAGCATATATAAATTAACATCATATATTTCCTGGCATATAGGAAGCATCCAATAAGCATTGGCTTGTAGCATGATTATTTGTATTGCGGATTCTAAATGGTATTTTAATAAGTAACTTTCTGGTAGTATTTATCATATTTCATTGAAACATACTCTGAAGCTAAATTTAACATAATTTGTTTTTTAACTGCATTTGCCTAGTATTTTAAAAATCTTAGGTGTCATAATGGTTAGATGGGTTTTAAAATAAGCAAATCTTTTATTTATTGACTTAAACTAAGAGTTCCTAGATTTCAAAAGTCTTAATATAATCACATTTATTGTATATATAATTTTATGTATGTAATATACATTTTGTAGGCTCAATGCATTCTACCCATCACTGCCAAACTAATCTTCTGAAGCAGGAGCTTAAATCGTAGCATTTCTTTGCTTAAAAGCTTTTATTTTCATTGTCTTTTAAATAAGAGACAGAACTAATTATGATCATCTGGCTCTATCTTCCACCAAAACTCTACAAATAGCCTACATACTCATAAAACAGGATTCTATTCAGTTCTTCCAGCTAAACTTTTTCTCCCTATTATCACTAACTATAAAAATCCTAGTTAAGCTACAAAGTCCACCTTAAAAGTTATCCTTATTAATCTTTTCCTGACTCCCCTGATTTACTACAGGTCATAAACTACCTGCTGTAATAGATATGTATATGCAGGTCATATCTACCTCTCAAATTCTTGAGGGTCCGTCTTCCACCAGCATACGTCCTACAGTACTTTGTGTAATGCAAGTCTTATAATTCACAGGTTTACTTATTAATTCCATTAACTTAAATTGGAATATAAAATTACAGTAAAGGAGAGCAATATCCACAAAACACCAGATTAGGCAGCTCCAAACATCTGTGCCTTCACAAAAATCATTTAAAACAAGCAGAACTGTCAAAACCAACTTTGTCAGAACTCCAGAAACAGTCAAAAGTATACAGTAACCAAATGAATGCCGAATCAAAAAAAAAAAAAAGGGGGCAATTTAAAAATGGTAGCCAAAAATTGTGGCATTCTTACTCGCCCTTATCCACACCTCTCCATGGCTTTGCTGCAGTCCTGAAGATGTTAACCGGTGTTCTCAGCATGGAACCCTGGCCTCTGGTTCTGGAAGGAGCAGAGCAGGGTTTATTGAAAAATAATTGTTTCTTTGTTCTAACCTGTTTGGGTGCTACCTGAGGGCTGACATAATGTTCTTGTTTCTGTTTCATATCTTGGATCCCACCAAGAGCAGAGGAGACAGAAGGTGCTATTCAAAAAGGGAAGGCAAATGAAGAACCTGCAGCCAACTGAGGTAAAAGAGAGATTACCATTAAGACACACAACTGACTGCCTAAATCTTGGGAGAAAAAGCCAGGAAGGTAATTTCTTTGGGAAATGAGAACACTCAAAAGTGCCTGTATATACTGGGGAATTTGGAAACCAAGAACATGACTAGGATAGGATGCATGCTCAAAAAAGACCCAAGAAAACCTTAAGCTTTCATCATTGGCTGATGTCCACACTCAGCACAAGTAGGAAGTAAAGGTTGGGCCAGAGCTTTAACTGGGCTGGCTAAATCTTAAAAGAGTGACCCAGCACAGAATTAATCGTCAAACACTGAGAGGTGTTTTTTTGTTTTGTTTTGTTTTGTTTCCAAGCACTTGGAATTCAAGAAAATCTATATCAAAACACTAGCTGAACACAAACTAAAGGAAATAAGGGAATCAAAATAGATGCCATCAGAAGAGTGAAAACACAACCCACAGAGTGGAGGAAAACATTTATAAATCATATACCTGATAAGGGAAAAAGTATATGGTTATATTTAAAATATATATCCAGAATATATAAAGAACTTATGCAAGCCAACAACAAGAAGACAAAAAGCAAATTAAAAGTAAATAAAAGACTCTGTGATGGTTAATTTTAAGTGTAAACTTGACTGCATTATGAGATACCCAGATAGCTGACAAAACGTTATTTCTGGGTGCATCTGTGAGGGGGTTTCCTCAAGAGAGTAGTGTTTGAACTGGTAGACTGAATAAAGAAGATCATCCTCACCATTGCAGGTGGGCACCACCCAACTCACTGAAGACACAAATAGAGCAAAAATGAGAAAGGCTGAATGTGCTCTCTGCTTGAGCTGGGACATCCACCTTCTCCTGCATCAGGTATCAGTGCACCTCGTTCTCAGGCCTTCAGGTTTGAACTGGCCAACTACACCAACATCTTTTCTGTGCCTATAACTTGCAGACAGAAGTCATGGGACTGCTCAGCCTCCATAATTGTATAAGTTAGTCCCTCACAATAAATCTCTTTTTATAGATTTATATTATATATATTTATATGTATAATTTGTATAATAAATATATATCTCCTATGGGTTCTTTTTCTCTGATGAATACAGACTTGAATAGACATTTCTCCAAAGGAGATTTAAAAATGGCCAATAAGCATATGAAAAGTAGCTCAACATTTTTCATCATTAGGAAAATGCAATTCAAAATCACAATGGTAACTGAAAGAGTATAAGTGGATTATTTGTAACACAGAGAATAAATCCTGGAGGTTATGAATAGCCCATTTACCCTAATGTGATAATTATACATTGTATGCCTGTATCAAAATATCTTATATGCCCCATAAATATATATGGCTATGCACCCACAAAAACTAAAATTGAAAACACACACACACACACAATTAGATATCACTTGACACTTAACAGGATGACTGTACTAAAAAAAAAAACCAAAAAACAAGAAAATAGCACATGTTAGCATGTCATGGATGTGGAGAAAGTGGAATCCTCATTTATTGCTGGCAGGAATATAAAATGATATAGCCACTGTGGAAAACACTTACACTGTTTCTCAAAAAGTTAAACATATGTATGTGTACCAGCATCTGTTTGAGTATCTGCTGTCAAGTCTTTGCAGTATATTTTTAGAAGCAGAGTTGCTGGATCATATGGTAATTGTATGCTTAACTTTTTAAGGAACATAGTTTCTGTTTGGGGTGATAAAAAATTCTGAAATAGATTCTGGTAATGGTTGCATAATATTGTGAATATAATTAATGCCACTGAAAACTCTACGTTTAAAATGGTTAAAATGGAAAACTGTGTGTTACATATGTTTTAACATAATAAAAATATAATATGTTAATTTTGCATTCAGGTAGTATATGTTGTATTTATATAATCAAAAGATGGCAGATATAATTTGGAAAAACTTGTATAGTTCAGTTTTGCATATATTAGTATTTAATAAATTATCAATTATTTAAAAAGGTTTAACAGCATTCATTCAATGTAGAGGTAAATAAAGTAATTAGCACTATGTAGCTGTGCACTAATGATGCAATAGTTATGATTGAAAAGGTGCTGTTAATGTACTTGGATTTAGAATGTCAACAATTGGCTCAGAATATCCATTTCTCTTGAACATTTCTGATTAATATCTTTTGAAATGTATTAAACATAAGTTTTGAAATAAACTATATAACTTTAGTGGAAGAATGCTTATCTTAATTATTAACTAGCTTACTAGGGTCATTATTGGTTGATTACATTTAAATTGAAATGAAAAATGAAATAAAACAGATGCCAATTTGTTAATATACATATTATATTCACTACCATCAAAAACAACCTAATTACTTTATTTGGTATCAAAACAAGTATAACATTAATATGATTAGTGTAGGAAAACTGTAGTCATGCTTAATGAAAATTAGACCTGTTCTGTCAGGGTTATGAGCAAGAGGTATAATTATGTAAACTAAATAAGTAAATGTACTCTGCCAAATATTCACTCCATACATTTTTATTTTGCATTCACTCTTTATGATAAACATATATATGTACATATTATGTGAATTGTTTATGTTCATGCATATCCTTGGAAGGACATCTACAAAATACTCCAATGAGGCCAGGATGTACTTTCATCTAAAAAGGTATGCCTACAGAACATATGCCCAGTCATGTTCACCAATAGTGTGCTGTTATAAACTTTTAGCATTACTTCGCCAGATGTGGTGGTTCACACCTGTAAACCAGTGCTTTGGGAGGCCAAATTGGGCAGATTGCTTGTGTTCAGGAGCTCGAGGCCAGCCTGGGCAACATGGTGAAACCTGTCTCTACAAAAACATACAAAAATTAGCCAGGTGTTGTGGTGGGCGCCTGTAGTCCCAGCTACACAGGAGGCTGAGGTGGGCAGATCACTTGAGTTTGGGAGGCAGACGTTGCAGCAAGATTGTGCCATTGCACTCCAGCCTGGGTAACACAATAAGATGCTATCTATAAAAATGTTTTTAAAAATAAACAAAAAAAAAAAAAGCAAAACTTTTAGCATTACTTGACTGACAATATTTCACTACAGCTACGGTCTAAATGTTTGTGTTCCCCCAAAATTTACAGGCTGAAACCTAATCTCCAATGCAAGAGTATTAAGATATGGCATCTTTAGGAGATGATTAGGTCATGAGGGCAAAACCCTGAATGAGATTAGTACCCTTATAAACAAAGTCTGAGGGAACATTTTTGCTCCTTCTGCCATGTGAGGTCACAGCAAGAAGATACCATATTTGAAGCAGGCAGCAAGCCCTCACCAAACACCAAATCTGCTGGTGTCTTGATCTTAGACTTTCCAGGCTCCAAAAATGTGAAAAATAAATTTGTTTTTCACAAGTTACTCAGTCTAAGGCATTTTCTTATAATAGCCCAAACGGAGTGAGACAACTACTGTGCCTTTTTTTTAACTGTTAAATAATTATAAGCATAGTGGCTAAAGGGTGTTTTTTTTTCTTCCACATTTTACACACACTCGGTTTATTAAACTGACACCTGAGCTCAGGGTGCCAGATTTTAGAAATTGTCTTAGTCTGTTTGTGATACTGTAACAAAATACCTGGGATTATATGATTTATAAAAAAAGATAAATGTATTTCTCATAGTTACAGAGTTTGTGAAATCCAAGATCAAGGTGCCAGTAAATTCAGTATTTGATGAGGTCCTAGTATCTGCTTCCAAGATGGTGTCTTGAACACTGTGTCCTCACACAGCAGAAGGCAAGGAAGGGGAAGAAAAAGCCAAATGCTATGTGAAGCTTCGTTTATAAAGGCCTAAATCCCACTGCGAGAGGAGCCTCCATGACTTAATCACCTCCCAAATACCTCACTTCTTAACACTGTTGATATTTGGGACTACGTTTCAATATCAATTTCAGGAATTTTGGAGGGAACACCAACATTCAAACCATATCAGGATTAACCACCCGGCACCTCCTATTGCCATTTGATATTAAGTCAAAAATATGTAAGTCATAGGTATCAACCAGCCATAATCTGGATGGAGAATTATTAAAGAGCTCTAACAGCTCCCCACTAAACCAAGGAAAAAGGTCCAAACTCCTATTAATAGCTCTCTGTCTGCCTCAAAATGCTTTGCAAACCTCATTTTCTACCATGTCTTTGCCTATATCTTACTGTTATCTACTTTAGCCAAAGTTAATTTCACACCACTACACAACTGTTGTAGTTCTTGCTCCCATTTTTCTTCCCTTTTTAAATCCCACCTCAAATGCCATTTGTTTACTCAAGTCTTCTATGCTTGCTTAGCTCTGCAAGCTGTCTATAATACTTGTACATCTGTATGTTATCTGACTCTTTGTATGGATATTATTTGTATTTGCCTCCTCCAGTAAGATGTCACACTTGAGAATGGGAACTCAGCATAAAAATAAGCACTAAATATATATGTGCTATGTACAAAAGTTAGAATAATGCTCTGCCATTTACAAAACACTTTGACATTCATTACTTCATGTTTTTATCAAGGTGATATATATTATGATTCACATTTTACAAACTGAATCTGATATTCATAGAAATCAAGAAATGATTCCAATGTCAAATACCCATTAACACCTGATAGAGCCAGAATTTACAGCTTGGACTTTTTACGTCAAATTTGCAGCTTTGTCTCACTAAGAGAAAAGAACTGAAATAAAAAAGTCTAGTTAATCATTGCCCAAACATACAGGATTTTAATTCAGTTCTCCTGAATCTAAGCCCAATGAATTCTTCATTCCATCAGCAGAAGCCTGATACTATAGGCTTAAAAGAAGTAGTTGAGGCCGGGCACGGTGGCTCACACCTATAATCCCAGCACTTTGGGAGGCCAAGGTGGGCAGATCACTTGAGGTCAGGAGTTCAAGACCAGGCTGGCCAACATGGCAAACCCTGTCTCCACTAAAAATACAGGTGTGGTGGCAGGTGTGGTGGCAGGTGTGGGTGTGGTGGCAGGTGCCTGTAATCCCAGCTGCTTGGGAGGCTGAGGCAGGAGAAATACTTGAACTTGGGAGGCGGAGATTGCAGTGAGATGAGATCTCGCCGTTACACTCCAGCCTGGGTGATGGAGTGAGACTCTGGAGGAAAGGAAAAGAAAAGAAAAGAGATGAGAAGAGAAGAGGAGAGAAGAGAAGAGAGACAGAGAGAAAGAGAGAGGGAGGGAGGAAAAGAAAAGAAAAAAGAAGGAAAGAAGAAAGGAAAGGAAAGTAATTTTGAATTTGTAGTTAAATAAACAAATTGCGGCAGCTGTGTGAATAATTCCACACAGTATGTTGGACATTATATAAGTATTCTACCTTTACACATTGAAGTACATCAAAAATTAGCCATTAAATATATCAATCACTGATATCGTAAAAGGAAGCACAATCCCTATAAACCAGCATTATCATTTAAAATAGTGCTATGGTTCTTCAAGTCCCATAAAATTGGCCTAAATGTAGCATACACAGTGACTATGCAAACAGACTCAACATTTCATAAAATGTGCATTAAAGCCCATAAACTACTATACTCCTACATTGTATATTTAACCTAAAATTAAAATGCTACCTTTAATAAACATAAAACATGGTGACAACATCATCTATAATTACCTTACTTTGCTATTTAATAATCATAGCAGGGGTTAAGACATAATTTTCATCTTAGTTATTTGACAAAATTTTATATTTAAATATTTACATCTATATACAAATTTTTCTGTATTGAGCTCTTTAAAATTGACTTTAGACTCACAAATAAAGAGAGTCTATTCCTTTTTTCTCCAATTAGCTGTATATAGTAGTATCTGGTTTTTTGAAAATCTTTTTAGATATTTCATTTGTGAGTTAAACATGTCTCTCTTTTGGTCTCTCTTTACTTTCATTTACCTTTAAGATTTAGCTTTGTTGAATTTGAGGGGTGTTATTGAGCAAAATTCAAAGTGATAGAAAACCAATTCTCTAATGGATACCTAAGAAGAGATAAATAGATTTGTAGACTGCCATATTTTATGAGTTCAACATAAAGAAGGTGCTGATGGAAGATTTTGTCCGACAGAATACAATTTAAGGTGAAATAGTGGTAGGACCTACTACAGTTTTTATGTTCCTATAGTGGAATGTAAATAACAATAACTATATAAGGTATATTGAATATAACAGTTTCTCATGGAAGAAATCATAGAAATCATGATGACTACTTGAATTTACAGGAAAAAAATAGAATTAGATTGAACTAAGTTATTCAAAAGTTGATACAGTCTGAGAACCTCTGGGCTTAAAAGGTGAGCTGACTGAATCTCTCTCAGAGCTGCATGTGACCTGCAAGAGCTGCAGCAGTTTGGAGTCAGAATAAAGCAGAAGAAAATAACTGCCTAGGTGTGAATTTCATCTTCCCCTCATGCTTCCCTTAATGAATGGAGGAACAAAGGTGACTGGAGTAGATCACATACTGTATCAATCAAGATGAAATATCAGGGCAGAGTCAGCAAAAGTAGAGTCAGAAGACTGTGGAAAAAATGATCATGCTAGCAGCCACCAAGCAATTAGTAAAATTTGTTTAAACACGGTGTAAGGTCTAAAAAAGGCATCACTATTTTTAATAAGGATTATTGCTCTAATTATTATAGACATATATGTATACCATAGAAGATTTGGAAAATATGCAAGGATGTGTCAAAGAAAATACAAGTCACCCTTAATCACCTTGCTTAGAAATATTATTTTCAACACCTTGGCAGATGTTTTTTAAAAATTTCTTTCACTTTATCATGTCATCAGCAATGTTTGTATTAATATTTTTAAAGGGATTATACAGCATATAAAGTTTGCTTCTCCTCTTCTAACATCTAATATTAGAAGCATTTCTTATTACAAATTACATTAACGTTTTATGAGATATATACTTTTAACTCTTTAATTCACTGAAAATTTTGGTTTATATAGTAGAGTTAGAAAATTATACAAAGGGAATACTCCAAATGAAGAAACAATTTTTAAGAAAATATATTAAATCTCAGTAAGAACAGTAAGAGACCATGACAATTGAGTTACAATTGTTCTCAGACCCCTCAGGCTCAGTGGAAGAGAAGCTCTACTCTGTCCAAGTACAACCAAGAAGATGTGTCTCCATCTTCTCCCAGAGCCCAGTCTAGTGCTATGGTTTCTTCTCAGGAAGGGAAGATCCCAAACTAGCAATTTTCCTCTGCCCTAGGTATATGTTGCAGAAACTCTATTCTAATGCTAACAGATCTCAGGCTTCCTTTCTCCATCTAACCTTAATTGTAGGACAGAACCTATACTCTGAATGCAGTGAGCTTATTATTCTGGGTCCCATCATTTTGATCCATCTCACTTATAGAATGAAAGTATTCCTACAGAACCAGAGGCTGTCATCCCAACCCAGCACTCCACTCATAGAGTAGCTATGTTATTCCAAGATAAGTGGAAGCTGTTCTTCGGAGAAGTAGTGCAGACATTCTGCCCAGGGACAGAGGCAGACCAAGAACAGAGAGCTTTGTAGCTGTCCCCAAGGAGGCTGACTTTATTTAGAATAAATCATGGAGATGTTTAGAACAAAGTATGGAGAAAAAAGCATAACAGTGCTATAGAAAACAATGGTGACTTTGGTCGTAAGCAATTAAGTGGAGGTTTATAGCCATACGATAGTAAAAATTGAAACGCTTAACAGAGAGAATCAAGGAAAAAGGCTGCTAAAAAGAGAACACCTCTGGTCACACCAAAGCTCACTAACTGTCCTCAAAGACTACATCTGCAAAGGGACTGAGATGTTAATTGGAGCAAACTGTGGAGCAACTTATGCCCTGAGGTATTCTCTAAAATAATAGAGCAATCAGCTACAAATTAATGGAGTCTAATAGCTGAGTGTGATAGCAAGAGAGACAGACCAACCAGAAAATTAAAAGGAAGATGTGAGAAATACAGATGCTTCTCGACTTACGATGAGGTTGCATCCTGATAAACCCATTGTGAAGTCAAAAAATCAAAAGTTGAACCCCAGGGACTCTGAGTCCACAGTAAAAGACAGCCAAGCTGAAACCACTGTCATTTGGGGGAGAGATTGTCAGGGGGACTGCACTCTATGCCTAAAGCTGCCATTGTCTGCTCAGTGACTTCAGAGGCTACACACTGTGGAGAAAACAGACTGCATTGGAACAGTCAGCCAAGCCACTAAACAAATAAACAAACAAGTCCAGGGTAGGGGAAGGAGAATCAATACTGAACATTGCATTGTATTTTCTAAAATGTCCAATTCACAGCCATACACAGGCAAAGAAAATGGCAAGAGAAAGGACCCAAATATTGTACTTATCAGCCAAAGACTGCAAAGGAGATATTATAAATAAAAACTAAACAAAGTCACACTTAAATAATTAAACAAAGGTATGATGGCATTGTCTTATTAAGTAGAGAATGTCAATAAAGAGCTAGATGTTATAGAAGAAGAATTAATGAAAAGTCCAGGGTTGAAAGTACAATAATTAGAGTGAAAATATTAAACAGAGGGTTTAAAAGTGGGTTGGAACATTTTGACTCTGATTGATCTAGGTGTGGATCTCTTCATTTTTATTCTATTTTGAGTTCTTTGGGCTTTCTGGATGTGTAGATTAATTAAGAGAGAAAATCTTGTAAGTAGCAAAAGAGCAGACTTATCATGTACAGGGGATCCCAAAAGATTAACAGCTGACCTCTTATCTGAAACAATGGAGTTCAGAAGGCAATATATGGCATAGTCAAAGTGCTGACAGAAAAAAAAGAAGAATTTTTAACCAAGAAAACTGTGTCCAGAAAAACTATATTTCAAAAAAGGTGAAATAAAAATATTCCCAAATAAATCAATATTAAGAGAATTTATTGCTAGCTAACCTGCCTTTCAAGGAATACTAAAGGTGTTCTTCAGGCTGAAAACAAGTGACATCAGGCAAATATTTGGATCCACACATAAAATACAAATAAATATAAATAGAGATGATTATAAAAGGTAGTATAATTGCATATTTATTGTCCTTTCATCTCTTACCTGACATAGAAAGCAACTATATAAAATAGTATGCATATACTACATGTATATACCATCAATTTTTATTATTCATATGTAGTTATGTTTTATAAAGTCACCAACAATTTCAAATAGGCAAATACTGAGCCATTTCATGTAGTGGAAAAACAGAATTTGGTTCCTGTGAGTCTCTGGCCACAATATTTTTATCAACCAATCAATGCATAACCTTGTTTTATATGTACTTCCATTTAAATTGAAATGAATTGTACAATTCAATCATAAGGCAGAGATTGTCAGAAAGGATAAATTAACAAGATCCAACTATATGTTGTCTGTCGAATACACACTTTAGATTCAAAGATACAAATAGATTGAAAAGAATAGGGAAAGGAAACACCATTAAACAGTAACAGTAAGCATAAGAGAGTTGGAGTAACTATACTAATATCAGGCAAAATAAACCTATAAACCAAAAATGTAAAAGGAAGTTAAACAGGGATGTCCTAAAATGGTAAAAGGGTAAATTCATCAGTACAATATAACACTAATAATAGGTACATAAAATAAACCTGAAAGACCTGAAACAAGAGCTGATAATTTGAAGGAAGAAATAAACAATTCAACAAAAGCAGTCTGAAATTTCAATATCACACTTTCCTAATGGATAAATTAACTAGGCAGAAGCGCAAGAAGGATATAGAAGACTTGAGCAACATTATAAACTATCTAGAACTAACATATCTATAGAAGACTCCACTTTGCAGTAGCAGAGTACAAAGTACAACAGATCATTTTCCAAGATAAATCGTATAGTGGGCCATAAAATAATCCTTAGTAAAGTTTAAAGAAATTAAATCGTAGAAATCGTAGAAATCGTGTTCTCTGACCACAAGGAAATGAACTTATAAATCAATCACTTAATGAAATTTGAGAAATTTTAAAAAATATAGAAAATTTAGCAATATACTCCTGAATAATGTATCAAGTAAGAAATCACAGGAATATTAGCACATACTCTGAGATAAATGAAAATGAAAACACGACATACCAATATTTACTGGATGCAGCTAAAGTAGTGCTCAGATAGAAGTTTATGAATGTTGGTGCTTATTTTTTAAAGGAAGAGCTCTAACCAATAACCATAGCTTCTATCTTTAGACATTAAAAAAAAAAAAAAAGAGCAAACTAAGCATTCAGAAAGCAAAAGAAAGGAAACAAAATAACAGTAGGAAATAATGAAATAGTGATTATAAAAACAATAGAAAAAATCAATAAAATAATAAGTAGGTTCATAGAAAAGATGAACAAAATTGACAAATCTTTAGTAACACTGACCAGAGGAAAAAAAACAGAGAAGACTAAAATTACCAAAATCAGAAACAAGAGAGAGGACCTCACTGCCAATCTTACAGAAATTTTTTTAAAAGACAAAGTACTATGATAGACAACTTAGATTAAATGGATACATTTCTAGGAAGACATGACCTCTGAAACTGACTCTAGAAGAAACAGAAAATTTTAATAAACTTACAATGAGTAAAGCGATTGAATTAGTTAGCTAATGTTGCCATAACAAACTCCACAGACTGGGTGGCTTAAACAACAGAAATTTATTTCTCACATTTCTGGAGGCTGGAAGACCCAGATCAAAATATCAGGTTTAATCTCTGCTGAGACTTCTCTCCTTTATTTGCAGATGGCCATATTCTTGCTGTCCTCACACAGGTTTTTCTCTGTATACACACATACCCTTGCCGTCTTTCTCTCTTTAAAAGGATACCAGTTCTGGCTGGGCGCGGTGGCTCATGCCTGTAATCCCAGCACTTCGGGAGGCCAAGGCAGGCAGATCAGGAGATGGAGACCATCCTGGTTAACACGGTGAAACCCCATCTCTACTAAAAATGCGAAAAAATTAGCCGGGCTTGGTGGCGGGCGCCTGTAGTCCCAGCTACTCAGGAGGCTGAGGCAGGAGAATGGCGTGAACCCAGGAGGCGAGCTTGCAGTGAGCCGAGATCACGCCACTGCACTCCAGCCTGGGCAACAGAGTGAGACTCCATCTCAAAAAAAAAAAAAACATAAAAAAAGGATACCAGTTCTATTGGATTAGGGCTTTACCCTTATTTAACCATAATTACCGCTTTAAATGCCTTATCTCCAAATAGAATTACTTGGGGCTTAGGGCTTCAACACATGAACTTTGAGGGGATACAGTTCAGTCCATAACAATTAGTAATTTAAAAACCCTACACAAAGAAAAGGACAGGCCCAAAATGTTTCACTGGTGAATTCTACCAAACATTCAAAGAAGAATTAATATCAATACTTCAGAAACTTTCCAAAAAATACAAGAGGAAGGAATACTTCCCAACTCATTCTATGAGGTTGATATTACACTTATATCAAAACCAGACAAATACATAACAAGAAAAAAAACCATAGATCAAAACTGCTGATAAATATCAGAGATTTTAAAATTCTCAACAAAATATTAGCAAACTAAATCCAGCAACATGTAAAATGGATTATACACAATGAACAGTGAGATTTTCACTAGAAATGCAAGGATGTGTTAATAATTAAAAATTAATATAATAAAACACTTAAGAAAATGAAGAATAATACCACACAATAATTTTAATTGACCCTGAAAAAACATTTATCAAAATCCAGCAAAAAAAAAAAAAAACTAGGGTTAGAAGACAGCTTTCTTAATCTGATAAAAGGCAGGCAGCTACAAAAAAAAAATAGCTAACAACATATTTAATAATGAAAGATGAAAGTTTTCATCCTAAAATAAGGAGCAAGACAAAGATGGCCGATCTAATCACTTCTATTCAACATTGCACTACATGTTTTAGCTGGGGAAAACGATCAAGAAAAAGAAATAAAAGGTATCCAGATAGAAAAGGAAGAAGTAAAATTCTCTATTTGCAGATTCCATGATCTTGTATGTAGAAAACTCGAATATACATAAAACTGTAAAAACTAATAAACAAATTCAGCAAGGTTACAGGATACATGAGCAATATACAAATATCAATTGGAGAGAAAATTTTGGAGAGATGGCAGAATAAGAAGCACCAGGAATCTTTCTTCCCACCTAAACAACAATTGTAATCGCACTAGAAGAATCTGACCAATATAACTATTTTGGAACTCTGGAGAGCTTGGATAATAAACTGCACTTAATTTTGGTCAATTTCGGCTCTTAACATAATAGTAGCTACCTATCCTTGTCCCCATCGCAGATGGCTGTGCACATGTTCCTGGAGCAGCTTGTCCGTAGCTTATGGGAGCCAGAGTGGGAAAAAAGAAGCGTATTCCCCAAATACCAGAGATTTGTGCTCTGATTACTGATTGCTGCTTCCAATCACAGAAGTGCAGAGAAAGAAGTGGCTGACTATTGTTTTTGTACCTCCCGCATTATTGCAAGCGCTCCCCCACCAGCCACAATAACTTCTAGGGCATTTAAAAGGCCAGTATCATTTTCCTATCACTTCATTTTTCTCTTTTTCCCCTCTTGGGCATCAGACATTAAAGACATTTAGAACATTCAAAAGCAACTGCGTATGTGAGGAAAATTAGAAAGTGACCACACATGTCAATTGAAAGGTGCAGGGTCAAAACAGACCAGAAGAGACCTTAAATTTACACCTCAGGCTAACTCCTGGCACACAGACTGCCTACAACAATAGGAAAACAAAAACAATAAACCAAAATAATTTTTAAAAAACCACAGCAAACCCTGGGGAAGAAAGAAAAATCTGATTGCCAGAGTTACCACATTATTAGATTCAACTATCTAGTTCTCAACAACAAAAAATCACAAAGCCTAGAAAGAAACAGAAAAGTATGGTCCATTCAAAGAAAAAAAAACAAACAAACAGAAATTGTCCCTAAAAAAGACTTGCTGTCAGATCTACTAGACAAGCACTTTAAAATAACTGTATTAAAGACTGTCAAATAACTAAAAGAAGAAGTGGAGAAAGCAAAAAAAGAATAAACAAAAAACAATGTTGAACACAATGGAAATATCAATAAAAAGAGAAAATCCGAAAAGAAATGTGGAGCTGAAACATATAACAACTGAAAGGAAAAATTAACTAAAGGGATTCAAAGGCATATTTGAGCAGGCAGAGGAAACAAATTTGAAGATAGGGTATTGGAAATTATAAAACTTGAAATAGAAAAAGATTGAAGAAAATATTAAACAGAGCCTATGAGATCTCTGAACGTCAACAAGCAGACAAGTATTGTGGGAATACTGTAAGGAAAAGAGAGAGAGAAAGGGTAAGAGAGATATTTAAAGAAATAATGGCTGAAAACTTTCCACATGAGATTTCCATTATTACAGTTTCTTTTAATTTGGTATTGTCTTTTTTTGGAGAGCACTCATAAACCAAAACAGCCACTCTTCTAGAAAAGACCTGAATGGGAGGAAGGTTAGGTTTAGGTGTGTGTGCGTGTCAGGTGAGACAAAGAGGAAGTGAAACCAAAGTGCATGAAACAAGAAATTCATAACTCACAGGTTTCAGAGAGGTTACAGGTACTGATGGGAGGCTGACTGGAATTCCAAAGGCATCAGGGAGCTCAACCAGAGGGTGAGGAGCAGGAGAGAGGAAGAGTACCTGTGTAATTATGCCTTCAGTAAAGTCCATGGTATTATTCCTTAGGGTTTCCTGTGAAGGTTGTAGATTTTCTAGCTTAGAAAACACATATAAATGAATAAACTTATTTAGATGACTCTGTTGTTCACCATTGGGTCTTATAATAGTAACCAACTATGAGGTGTGTTAGGGTTTGGGTCACTGGGATGAGGAACAAACAGGCTATATCTAAACAACCATTCAGGGAAAGGAAGTTTTAACTAGGTGAAAGGTGACTGGATACAACTGGTTTCAAACAACTTACATCAAGCCTGAAGGTGGATATTAAGTGGTGACTATATTACACAAATTTATGACACCACATGTAGTGAAAGACAGGAATATAAACACCCGAGAAGTACAAAGACCTTCAAGTAAGATGAAATCAAAGAGACCACACTGAGACATATTACATTCAAATTTTTCAAAGCCAAAGACAGAACCTTGAAAATTCTAAGAAATAAGCAACTTGTTTCATGCAAGTGATGCTCAATAAGATTACCATCAGATTCTCATCAAAAACTATGGAAGCCAGAAGGCAGTGATGCAAAATATTCAAAGAGCTAAAAGGAAAAACAAAAACCGTCAACGAACTTTCTTATATATCCCAAAAATACCCTTCAAAATGAGGAAAAAGTATGACATTCCCAGATATACAAACATTAAGGTGGTTTGTTACCAGTAGAACTGCCCTGAAAGAAATGTACGAGAAAGTCCTGCAGCGTAAAATGACAAGATGCTGGACAGTCACTCAAAGCCACATTAAGAAATAAAGATTTCATTACTGGTAAGTATATGGGCAATTACAAAAGCTAATGTTATAGTAGCAATAGTTTATAATTCACTGTTTTCTACATAATTTAAGATACTAACACATTAAAAAAAAGTCAAAAAGCTAGTCTTATTTTAACTTCAGTTTGTAACTCCACATTATGTTTTCTGAATAATGTAAGAGGCTAATCCATTTAAAATAATTGTTAGTTTATGTTTTTGGCACATTATATGTAAAGATATAATTTTGGAACATCAGCAACTGAAAAAGTTGGTCAGTGGGAACTGACCTGTAAAGGGGCAGTTTTTGTATACTATTCAAAGTTGTGAGCTCATAATTTTATGTTGCTTTGGCATCCATTTTGAATATAGGTTTAATTTTATCATACCAGAAGCGGGGCTTAGTCACACTTTGCATAGTTTCCAGTTCTCTACCTCCTCCCAAGTCCTCAAGGTGGTTGATCCAGCTTGAGGAACTGGGAGGAGTTTATACAACTACCTCCTGACAACCACCTGCCCATGGGACAGCTAGATATAACCTACCTGACCCACTGACTCCCATATACCACATGGACTGCCAAGACATGCCAAGGCAACCACCTCTCAGTCACAGACTCCACGGAACTTGTGCCTGCTTGCTCTAAACCCATCAGTTAGAATTCCCTGCAGGAAACCAAACTGGGTCACACTCTGGACCCCAATAAGGGCTTTGGCTCACAGGTATTTTGCTCTCTCTTTTGCTCCCCTCCCACTAGGTGAGCATGTGTCCTGGATGGCTTTCCTCTTCTGGTTGGCTCAGCAAGACATGCTGTTCCCTGTTCTTGGGCAAATAATAAAACTGCTTCTGGTTATCTAATGGGCTTTGTTGTGCTGCCTCCTCTGTGTCTTTCCTTACTGGCAATCTCAATCTAATACTCCTCCCAGTCGGGGCTTTTCTAGAGAGTGGCTGTCTTGGCTTATGGCCACTTACCAGAAAGAGACTTTAAGACAAAAAATTAGAAAATCACAACAGAAGTTAAGCTGGTATAAATTCAAATTATAGTGCTATAACTTTAGGATGTTAAATGTAATCTCTATGGTAACCACAAAGAAAATAGCTATAAAATACACACAAAGGAAGTAATTGAAACATTTCACTACTAAAAAAGTCAACTAAACACAAAAGAAGACAGTAATGCTGGAAATAAAGAAAAGAATATTTATAAGGTATATGGAAAAGAAATAGCAATAAAACAGAAGTGCTTCTTCATCAGTAATTAATTTAAATTAAATGGATTAAACTCTCCAATGAAAAGACAGATTAGCAGAATGGATTAAAAACCATGATCTAACTATATCCTGTTTGCAACCGATTCAGTTTAGATCCAAAATCTCAAGTAGATTGAAAGTGAAAAAAAAAAAGTTCATGCAAATAATAAAGCAACGATGGCTATACCAGCAGACAAAATATACATTAATTTTAAAAGTTAATCAGAGCCAAAGCAGGTCCCCATATATTAGTAAAAGTTTCAATATTGCAAGAAGATATAATAATTGTAAACATTTACACAATGAATAACAGACCATCAATGGTCTGACCAGCAAAAACTAACAAAATTGAATGGAGAAATAGTTCTGTAATAGTTGGAGACTTCAGTGTCCTGCATTTCAATAATGGACAGAACCACCAGAGAAAAGATAAGTATGAGAAGAGAACATAAACATCATAATAAAGCAACTTGATCCAACAAACACAGAGCACTCAACATACCAGCAGCTACATACACATTCTTCTTAAGTAGACATGGTACATTTTCCAGGATAGACCATATTTTAGGCCACAAATTAAATCTCAATAGATTTAAAAGATACAAAGTATCTTCTCTGAGTACAACGAGATGAAGTTAGAAATTAATAACAGAGAAAAACTGGAAAATTTAGAAATCATTGGAAATTAAACAACATAATTAACAATCAATGGATCAAAGAAGAAATTACAAGGAAAATTTAAACATACTTAGAGATGAATGAAAACAGAAATGCAACATACCAAAACTTATGGAATGCAATGAAAGCCATGCTAAGGGGAAAAATTATATACATGCATACATTAAAAATCAAGTAAGTCCAGGCGTGGTGGCTCACACCTGTAATCCCAGCAATTTGGGAGGCCAAGGTAGACGACAGATCACTTGGGGTCAGGAGTTTGACACCAGCATGGCCAACATGGTGAAACCCCATCTCTACTAAAAATACAAAAATTAGCCAGGCGTCGTGGCATGCACCTGTAATCCCAGTTACTCGGGAGGCTGAGGCAGGAGAATCGCTTGAATCTGGGAGGCGGCGGTTGCAGTGAGCCGAGATTACACCACTGCACTCCAGCCTGGGTGACAGAGTGAGACCCTGCCTCAAAAAAAAAAAAAAAAAAAGGAAAAAAAATGGAGTAAAGTCTCAAATCATCAACCTGCCTTTACTTAAGGAACTTAAGGAACTATAAGAACAAACTAAGGAACTATAAGAACAAACTAAGCCTAAATCTAACAGAAGGAAAGAAATAATACAGATGAGAGCAGAGATAAACAAAAAAGAGAATAGAAAAACAATTTAAAAAATCAATAAAGGCCTGGCATGGTGGCTTATGCCTGTAATCACAGCCTTTTGGGAGGCCGAGGCGGGCAGATCACCTGAGGTCAGGAGTTCAAGACCAGTCTGGCCAAAATGGTGAAACCCCATCTCTACTAATAATACAAAAATTAGCCAGGCATGGTGGTGAATGCGTAATCCCAACTACTCAGGAAGCTGAGGCAGGAGAATTGCTTGAACCTGGGAGGCGGAGATTGCAGTGAGCCGAGATTGTTGCCTGGGAGACAAGAGCGAAACTCCATCTCAAAAAATAAATAAATAAATAAATAAATAATAAATAAAAACCAAAAATTGGTTCTTTGAAAAGTTCAACAAAATTGACAAACTTTTATCTAGATGAACTAAGAAAAAAGAGAAAAAACTCAAATTACTAAAATCAGAAATGAAAATAGGGATATTACTGTTGATTGTACAGAAATAACAATGATTATAAAAAAGTAGTGTGAATAATTATATGCCAATGTATTGGATAGTGTGGATGAAATGAACAAATTCCTAGAAACACAAAACCTACCATAATTAATCATGAAATAGAACATCTGAGTAGACTTATAGCTAATAATACAGAAATCCAAGAGATCCAGATTAAAGTGATCTTAAAAAAGAACAAAGTTGGAAAATCCTGACTTCAAAACTTACTATAAAGCTACAGTAATTAAGACAGTGTGGTACTATTATAAGGATAGACATGTAGATCAATCTGACAGAATTAAGAGTCTAATAATAAACTACTATATTTATAGTTAAATGATTTTCAACAAGCGTACCCCAACAAGTCAAGGATGAAATAGCGTTTTCATCAAATGTCTTTTCAACTAAAGTTTGAACAAGTGAACATCCACATGTAAAAGAATACAGTTGAACTTTCTTTATAACATAGACCAAAATTAACTCAAAATGGATCATAGACCTAAATTTAAAGGTCAAAATCATAAAACTCCTGGAAGAAAACATAAGAAAAATAAGAGTAAATGCTTATTATCTTGTGTTTGGTAATGACTTCTTAGATGCAACACCCAAAGTACAAGCAATGAAGAAATTATAAATTTATTCTTTGAAGAATTGATAAATCATTTAACCAAAATTAAAGGCATTTGTGCTGCAAAATATACCATAAAAAGTGAACAGACGAGCCAGAAAATAGGAAAAAATTTGAAAATTATTTGCCTAATAAAAAAAGAAATAAAAGAAATATGTAAAGAAATCTTACAACTGAATAAAACTTACATAAATGAATTTAAAATGGGCAATGAATATGAATAGACATTTATTCAAAGAAGACATGCACATGAATAAAATGTGAATGGAAAACACAACGTTACTATCAGGAAAATGCAAATTAAAATCACAATGTTTTATGACTTCACAGCTACTAAGACAGCTATAATAATCATAATATTTTTAAAACTAGATAATAACAAGTGTTAGCAACAATGTGGAGAATTGGGAATTTCTCATAGACTGCTGGTAGGAATAAAAATAGCACTATGGAAAACAGTTTGGTAGCTCTTTTAAACATTAACCTACAGTCACTGTGGGATCCAGCAATTCAGCTCCTAGTTATATACCCAACAGTAATGAAAACATATGTCCAACCTAATGTATGCAGGGCTTAAAACCTAGATGACGGGTTGATAGGTGCAGCAAACCACCATGACACATGTATATCTATGTAACAAACCTGCACATTCTATACGTGTATCCCAGAACTTAAAGTAAAATAAAAATTAAAAGAGAAAACATATGTCCAAACAAAAACCTGTACATAAATATTTCATAATTCATAATAACCAAAAAGTAGAAATGTTTCAAATGACTAGATAGACAAATGTGGTATATCTATATGACACAACAGTATTTGGCAATAAAAATGGATAAGCTATTGATACATACTACAACATTGATGAACTTTCAAAATATAAAAGAAACCAGTCACCAAAGGTTGCATATTATATGATTCCATTTATATAAAATGCTCAGAATAGGCAAATCTATAAAATGGAAAGTAGATTAGTGGTTTTAAGGAGCAAAGATTGTGCCGCAGCACTACAGCCTGGCAACAGTGAGACTCTGTCTCAAAAAAAAAAAAAAAATAGGAGTGACTCTTTATGAGAGTGGAGCTTCTTTTTGGTGTGATAAGATTGTTCTAACATTGGATTATAGCAATGGTTGCACAATTGTCTGAATGTACTAAAAATACTGAATTGTAAACTTTAAATGAGTAAATTTTGTGGTATGTGTATTATATTTATATCTATCTATATCCATTGCATGGGCTGTGTTTCCTGACAACATTCATTTAGACATTTATTCTATTTTGCAGTTTCCACAATTCACCATTTTCATTACATCGCCTTTTCTTCATCATTGCATACAATCTTTTGGTTCATTTAATGAATTGCTTTGAGTACTTTTTCATTTTTTTATGTAAAGGATGCCTTTTTATCCTGATAATTTGGGTCAGTTTGTATGGATATGGAATTCTTGAATTATAATTTCTTCCTTCTTAAACTTCTACTTGAACGTTTCTGTTAATACTTTACATAGTAAAAAAATCTGGTAAACTTTATGAAAAAATTCATTTCAGAATGCTAATAATTTAAAAATTTTTTTCTTTTTAATTTTTCCTTAAATTGATTTCTCAATTTCATTTTTTAAAAATTTCCAAATTCACCATGATGTATGTGTCACGTGTATGTGTCTCTGTGTGTATAAAGATTTTTACCTTAATTTTTCTAAGTATTCTGGGATACATTTGTGTTCCAAGACCTAAATGTTTCTTTAGCTCTGGGAATTTCTTTTGACATATTACTTTTTTATATACTTTTTCTTCTGTAAGTTTTTCTCCTTTTCCTAAATGGCCCCCAACCTATTTATTCTTTAAAATTTTCCTTTGGATGTTAAAATATTTTTTGTTCTGCTTGTTTTCAGTATGTTGTTTCTTGTTTTCTCTGAATATTCAGACATTTTGATTTTTATTTAAAGTAATCTTTATTTCAGATTGTTCCCATTTGAAGTATTAAGTATATTTTCTAAGTTTTGGGGGATTAAAAATATAGTTTTAAACATTGCTTTGTTGAAAAAATATTCACAGAAAGACCTTTATGCTGATTCTTCATAGTGTCCTTCTTTTGAACTACTAGTCCTTTTCATCATATATGTAATATTTCTCACTTTTTTCATGACTAGTAGAAAGCAATTATATGTGTTCTATATCATTTTCTTTGGGAAGGTTTCTACAATTATGTGTTTACCTGTCCAGTTTGTTAGTTTTATTCCAAAAGGGCTGAGGAGATTTTAAGATATCTGGTGATTGAAACTTGTTATTTTAAAATTCTACTTACACATAAGAAATGAGAATGAAGCTACAGCTAACTTTGTCTTTTGACAGGGAGCTTTCTCATTCTGGTAAAGACTTGACACCCATATTTCAGCTATTGGTTATTTCTTTGAAGTCCAAATTATCCTTAAGGGGATCTACGATGGACAGTATTCCTTACATTTCTTAGCCCTCCATCCACGGTTAGAATGGGTTCCATGATCTATCATTCTATGGTTCCCAAATTAGCATTAGGGGCTGATCTAAGAAAAACTATTCCAGAGCCTATCTTTAATTTAGTTCTGACTCTTTCAAATTTGAGTATGTCTGTGTGTTGGCCCAGTGAAGACTCTTTTCTATGTTCTCTTCAGACAAATTTAATTTTGCATGTGAAGATTTATAAATTGGATAGCCATTATTTTTTAGCATGTACATTTTCAGCATCTTATTTTTCAATGTTGATCTAATTTTATTCTTTTATTTATATGTTTTTATTTTAATAGAAAATATGGAAGGCATAGCATTCTATGAATGGTTACAACTGTCTTTTATGACCAAAAATCTCTATAAACGTCTCCTTGTTTTCTGAAGCTTGATGCTCTATCCTCTATTTTCTTTATTAATTACATTTTTATGTATTTCTGCATTCTACCATGCCCTTTAAAATGTGTTCTCCATATCACTATTTCAATTTTCTTCAGTATCAGTTACACTCTTCATTTGTTTTCGATGCATTTTTGTATTCTTCTCATATTTAGGTTTCCTTAAATTATCTATAGTCTAAAGATGATTCAAAACAATTTTCTGTAGAGAATCATTGTACCTCCAACTGGTAATCCTTTAGATCATCCCTCAGTGATTGTCCATAAGTAATATTCTTAGAATATATTAATTTATCATGAAAGCCACTCTATGAAACTTACCATTACAAGGATATTCTTTATAACATCATTTAATGCACCTGCCTATGTTCTTTGATGCGCTCCATCAGTTAAAATCCTTCCTTAGTACCAATATAGTTGTGTGTCTTTGTTTTTAATATTTGGTTTTAGCGAATCTCAAAACATCCTCAGTTATACAAATGAAAATAACTATGTCTTTTGCTTGGCTATTTGAAAGCTTAAATATGAATGTGTGACTCAACGTCAGCCAGTGAGTTATTATAGCATGCATTTTGGCATATTCCTGGCTCCATTTATCTCCTCAATGTTTATCCTTTCTTATTTCTTCCAACTTTAATTTATACTCTTTTGTCATATTTTGTTTATCCTTGTAAACTGGTTTAAATCTTTTCTTGAAAGAAGAGAATATAAATAAATCAAATGAAGTGGGAATGAAGTCTGGCTCAGTCATTCTTTTGCCTCTTATTCATATTTTCTCTTTTATGTGCTTTTGTCTTTTGCATATTGTATAACTATTTAAATTGAGAACAGGAGAAATCATGGCAGGCTCTGCTATGTTGTTGTCTTGATCTTGAATGTTTCTCTACCTTTAAGAGATATGTTACTATTATGACTCTGAATCCATGTATATTCTATTACTTTTGCTATTCTTAGATGAATTTTAAAATTTAGTTTATAATTGACATTTCTATTTGAATGTTTATTTTGTATCATTATGACAACCAAATTTTAAATGCTACAAGCTTTTATAAATATGAAGGAAAGTACATTTTATACTTCCTAAAATTTTCCTCAATTTCCTTACTTAATCAGGATTTACATCATTCCTAAATTATGAAATCCTGAATTTCAAATAGGAGAACTTGACTCCTAAGGCTTGAAGGTTTGTATATTGGGGTGGTATTTTAAATATCTTGCTTATCAAACTAAAAGTGCTTCAGAGGAAAAATATTAATCAATTTATGCTAAATGTATTATTAAAAAAAAAAAAACTATGTCAGGCTAGGCGTGGTGGCTTACACCTGTAATCCCAACACTTTGGGAGGCCAAGGCAGAAGATCACTTAAGCACAGGAATTCAAGGCCAGCCTGGGCAACATAGAGAGACACTGTCTCTACCTTCAAGGTCCCCCAAAATTAGCAGGGCATGTTGGCACAAGCCTGTGGTCCCAGCTACTCAGAAGGTTAATATGGGAGGATCACTTGAGCCTGGGAATTTGAGGCTGCAGTGAGCCGTGATCATGCCACTGCACTCCAGTCTGGGCGACAGAGCAAGACCGTCTTGAGGGAAAAAAAAAAAAAAAAAAAAAGAAAGAAAAAAGAAAAGAGAGAGAAGGAAGGAGGGAGGGAGGGAGGGAGGGAAGGAGAGAGGGAGGAAGCAAGGAAGGAAGGAAGCAAGCAAACAAACTATGGCTGTTCTAAATAATATCTGTAAAATAATCTTAAAGTACAAAGGCAATTTAGAAGCTACTGATGTTAGTACAATGCCCCACACACCTTTTAAACAGCAGACTCCACTGTTAAAGGGCGGTGTGACCTGTGTTCTTATTTCAACTGAAACAATCAAAGAAGAGGAAAGGGCTTAAACATGAGATGTGAGACTGTGCATATGTGCCCCTCAAAAAGCTCATACATGTTACAGCAAAATGTCTGTAACTATGTGAACAGAAGAAAAGGTCACTTGAAAGTTTGAGGTTTTTTTTCCAAATCTCGTTTTTCTTAATTCTTAGAAGAATAAAGAAAAATAAAGATACATTTGCAAAGACTGCTGCGGGCCACAGGAACTGGAATCCAAATGAGAAGCATTGATATGTATGAAGCAGACACTACACGAACCTTTTCTTTGAAATAATGTGACCAGCTTAATTAATTCTAGCTAGAATATATTAACAGTTTATAACAGTTTAATATTCAGGTGAATCCTCCTTCTCACACTGTAGAACTCATGAATAAGAAATATGTGTCAGTTCATGTCACCTAACTACAGATATATGCAGTGAAGGAAGCTGCAGTTACTTCTGATCCTACATTATAGATTTTTCTGTCATCTGAACAAAGGCTACATTTTGTTCACACGTGTAAGAATTGTACTCACTGAAGTATACTTATTCAGGAAAGATTTGCCAAAGGAGCAGAAAGAAGTCATTTCAATTAATGTTAATTTTATAAAATAACCTGAATATTCTGCTTCACAATTCCTTACCAGCATGTAGGTTCACAAGCATCTTTGTACATAGTTTCTGTGTGGATTTTATTTTGTCAGACTAAAATGTGCTTTCATACGCCTCATTATGCAATAAAAATGAAGGCCTAAGTAGGCATGGTAAATAATTTAGGAGTTAAATATTCAGTGAGAATATTCTGTCAGTCCTCAGTCAAAACTTATTTGCTTTGATGACCAAGGTTGAGTACCAAAGACCTCACAATACCAACAAATGTACATTTGAAGGTGAAGGGTTGTGATCTGTTTGGCAAAATGTTTTTAATTCATTAGAGATTAGCCATGTTGGATGAGTAAAAAACGCACATTAAAAAGAACTATTGTAGGCCGAGCGCGGTGGCTCATGCCTGTAATCCCAGCACTTTGGGAGGCCGAGGCGGGTAGATCACGAGGTCAAGACATCAAGACCATCTGGCCAACAATGGTGAAATGCCATCTCTACTAAAAATACAAAAATTAGCTGGGCGTGGTGGCACACCTGTAGTCCCAGATACTTAGGCGGCTGAGGCACGAGAATCGCTTGAACCTGGGAGGTGGAGCTTACAGTGAGCCGAGATCACACCACTGCACTCCAGCCTGGTGACAGAGACTCTACCTCAAAAAAAAAAAAAAAAAAAAAAAACTGTTGTAATTAAGTAGTGTCTCTGCTCCTTAAAATGATAAATAACTGTAGACATTATTTTCATTCAATATGAACAATCCTATTGCTCTGTCTTCTAAATAATACATTACTGTTTGTAAAAAGAAAGTTTCAAAAAGTACTCAGAATTATTTAGTTCACATTCAGTATGGCTGTGCAAACACAAGGCCCAAGAGACCCTATCAAATAATTTAATTATGAAAAGAAGTTCTGAGGGACTATTTAGTTAAGTTCAAGCACTGAGGGAAATATACCTTTTAAAAAAGAGAAGAGTATTAGAGAAGTAATTTAACTGTTTGCAATCTTTGGCAAAAAATGTAACAGAAATATATACAGGAATATGTGTAAAATACATTTATTTTGAAAAGGGATGAAGATTTAAGAATAAATTCTAAGGTAAAATGTGAGGCAGAGAATAAAATAATATGGCATCAGATTAGGGGCTCCATGGAGTAATTTAAAAGAGAGAGACAAATCAGGTGATTGTCACATGGCAGAGACAGCAAAGATAAAGAGAGCTAGAGCAGAAATGTGAATGCTTAATGACATAGAACAAATTATTCATAAAAGCTAGTGTTGGATTACTCAATAAAAAGATAATGCATATTCCTAAACCACCAGCAAAGCATCTGCATCAAATTGGGGAGGTGGTTAAAGGCAAAGATAAAAACAAAAAAAATTAGAGAGTGAGAGAGAGAATTTTTAAAAAGAATTTCGTATTCCAAATACGAGCAAATAGAGTAGCATCAATGGGGTCTTCATGAGGAGAAGTCAAATTTTGATGGGATTTGTTACACACTTCCTTTATTGCTTGTTTTAATTTTTAAATTTTGAATTATATGCAGAAATGCATTTGCGTGTCTGTTTATCTGTGTGTGTGCTTAAGGTCATAAAAACTCACAGTTTGACCCTAATAAGGGGAAAAGAAAGTGTAGCTATTACACTTTGAGGTTAGACAGGAATATTTCTTAGGAAACGATAGTCTCCAACTCAAATTTGAAGGAAAAACTATAGGTGGATTGCTGGAGAAGAGCCTACAGGGAAACTAATTCTGAGAAGTTAGCATGAGTAAATAACAGGAATAAATTAGATACTACTGAGAGTCAAAAATTTTAAAAAAGTGCAGAAATTAACTAGAAAAGGAATACAGCAATTGATGATCAGCAAAGTCAGGTTAAAGTAATTTTTAGATAAGAGGAAAAATAAGACTGGCAAGACAAGGAAAATAGAACAGTCAAAACAATTTTGAAAGAAAAAGAAAAATTGCTGAAGGAATCACACTATCTGATTTTAAGACTTACTATACGGTTATAATAATCAAAACTATATGATATTTGTGAAAGACTGTGCATAGATCAGTAGAATAGAACAGAGAACCAGAAACAGATCCACATAGACTATGGATTTTTTCTTTCCTCAAGGGAATTGTTTCTGTGCCTTTCTCGAAAATTAGGTACTTTATTTGTTTTAGTTTTGCTTACAAATTTTCATCATATGGTATTGGAAAAATTAGAAATTTGTAAGCCAAAAAAAATGTCCTTGACCTAAAGGACAAACGATGTATATCCAGAATACACAGGGCACTTTCAACAGAAACTCAACAGTTAAGAAAACAAACAACTCAACCAGAAAATAGGCCAGAAATTAAAGTTACTTCACCAAAAAAGACATATAGGTGGCAAGTATGTACATAATAAGATGTCTAACATTATTAGCCATGGTAGAAATACCAATTAAAACCATTATGAGATACCACCACACGTTAGAATAGAGAAGATAAGAAATACTGATAGTAATAAATGCTGATAAGGATGCAGAGAAACTGGATTTCTCATTATTGCCAATCATTGTGTAAAATACCACAGACTAGAAAAACAATTTGCACTTTTTAAAATAATGTTAAACATATATTTAACATACAACCCAGGAACTGCATTCATGGACACATATCCTAGAGAAATGAAGACTTATGTTCAAACAAAACCTATATGTAAATGCTCATTACAGCTTTATCTGTGATATTCCCAAACTGGAAATATTCCAGATATCCTTCAAGGAGTGAATAAATAAACTATGATGTTTATATACAATAGACTATTATTCAGCAATAAAAAGGAAGGAACTATTGATACACCCAATAGTTGAATAAATCTCAAGGGCATTATGCTAAATGAAAAAAAAAGCAAACTTCAGATGGTCACATACTATATGATTCTATTAATATAATAATTTTGATTTGACAATGACAGTGATCTAGAACAGATCAGTGGTTGCCAACAGTTAAGAGTAGGCGGGAGAGTATGGTAATTAAGGGGTAACATGAAAGAGTTTTTAAATGGTTGTGGACAAATCTGTATCCTGATTATGGTGTTGGTTGCATTGATTGCTCTAATCTACACATGTGATAAAATTTTGTAGAACTATACACACACATACCAAAAATCTGCATGTAGAAACTGTTGAAATATGAATGAGGTCTGAGCTTGAGTTAATAATATTGTACCAATTTCAAATTTCCTAATTTTGACAATAGGCAATGGTTATGTAAAATATTATCACCGGGAAAATTTGGGTGAAGGATACTCTGAAACTACCATTTTAAAATTTATTCTTAGTTTTAAACGAATTCAAAATAAAGAGACATAAAAGAGTACTAAGAGTAATCTAAAATATACAGAGCAGAGAAATACAGTTAGCCTAAATCATTCTAACAATCAATTTGCAAAAATTTCCCCAACAGGCCGGGCACAGTGGCTCACGCCTGTAATCCCAGCACTCTGGGAGGCCGAGGCAGGTAGATCTCGAGGTCAGGAGTTCAAGACCAGCCTGGCCAATATGGTAAAACCCCGTCTCTATTCAAAATAGAAAAATTAGATGGGTGTGGTGGCATGCACCAGTAGTTCCAGCTGCTCAGGAGGCTGATGCAGGAGAATTGCTTGAACCCGGGAGGCAGAGGTTGCAGTGAGCCAAGATGGTACCACTGCACTCCAGCCTGGGTGACAGAGAAAGACTCCATCACACACAAAAAAATTTCCCCAACAATCTACGTATAAAAATTAAGACAAAAAGTCAGGTCAACTTTTCTCCTAGAAATGATGTGAAAAGTATGTAAGTACCTAGCTCAACTGAAGAAGCATCAATTCTGTCATATAAAATATGGTAAAAATATAACAATGCTACATTTATATTTGCAAGAAAGTGATTATAAGAGAAACAAAGGGCTAAAAAGAAGGTGTATTGTTCGCAAAACGGTTGCTATCTTAGTCAGTTTGGGCTACTGTAACAAATATATTAGGATCTGGGTGGCTAAAATAATAAACATTTATTTCTCACAGTTCTGGAGGCTGGGAAATCCAAGATTAAGTTGCCGTCAGATCTAATGTTTGGTGAGTGCACACTTCCTGCTTTGCAAATGACTATCTGTGATGGTTAGTACTGAGTGTCAACTTGATGGGATTGAAGGATGCAAAGTATTGATCCTGGGTGTGTCTGTGAGGGTGTTGCCAAAAGAGATTAACACTTAAGTCAGTGGGCTGGGGAAGGCAGACCCACCCTTAATCTGGTGAGCACCATCTAATCAACTGCCAGCAAATATAAAGCAGGCAGAAAAACATGAAAAGTCGAGACTGGCCTAGCCTCCCAGCCTACATCTTTCTCCCATGCTGGATGCTTCCTGCCCTCAAACAACTGACTCCACGTTCTTCAGTTTTGAGACTCGGACTGGGTCTCCTTGCTCCACAAGCTTGCAGACAGTCTGTTGTGGGACCTTGTGATTGTGTAAGTTAATATTTAATAAATTCCCACATATATATATACTATATATACACAAACACACACATATATATACTTGTGTATATATATGTGTGTGTTTGTGTATATATATATACTTGTATAAACTTGTATATATACACATATATATGAAAGATACATATATAGATACATGCATATATATACATAAAAAGATATATATACATATATATACACACACATATATATATATCCTATTAGTTCTGTACCTCTAAGGTACCCTGACTAATACACTGTCTTATAGTATTTTCACATGGCAGAGAACAAAGAAGAAAGAAGCAAAGTCTCTCATGTCTTGTCTTTTATTGAGATGGAATTTTGCTCTGTTGCCTAGGCTGGAGGGCAATGGCACGATCTTGGCTCATTGCAACATCCACCTCCTGGGTTCAAGCGATTCTCTTGCCTCAGCCTCCCAAGTAGCTGGGATTACAGGTGCACGCCCCCACGCCCGGCTAATTTATTTTTGTATTTTTAGTAGACACGGGGTTTCGCCATCTCATGTCTCTTTTTATAAAGGCACAACTCCCATTCAAGAGGGCTCCATCCTCATGACCAAATTGCCTCCCAATGGCTCCACCTTCAAATACTATCACATTGGGAATTTAAGCTTCAATATATGAACTTCGGAGGGACACAAACATATAGCCCATAGCACTCCATTCCCAGCCCCCCACAATTCATGTCCTTCTCACAATAAAAATACATTAATTCCATGCCAACAGAAATGTTTTACCTAGTCTCATATCAAATCTAAAGTTCAAAGCCTTATCTAAATATTATCTAAATTATATATGGTTGAATCTTGAGGTATGATTTATTCTGAGCCAAAATTCCTCTCTCCCTGTGAACGTGTGAAACCCGTTAAGTTATGTACTTCCAAAATAAAGTGATGGGATAGGCATAGGATAAATATTTCCATTCCAAAATGGAGAAATCAGAAGAAAGAAAGATGTGTCAGGTCTCAAGAAACTCCAAAACCTAGCAAGGCAAACTCTGTAAGAGCTTACACCTAAGCAATAATCCTCTTGACTTGATGATGCTCTGCCTCTGGATCCAGTGGGATGTAAGTTTTGCCTCTGCAGCACTGCTAGGCAAGAAACACAGGCCCCAGTTGCTCTGCCAAGTGGAGGTCATGACTCCATGGCTCAGGGCAGCCTCTGTATGGCCTATTGGAACCAAGAATATTACCCCACCCATTGGTGGGTTCACATATTGGTCTTGCCCTTTAAAGTTGAGATGGAGGCAGCCCTGTCCCCCAGGCCCATACACTCTGGACCTTTGGTGAGAGTGGCAGCCCTGATAAACTCTGAAAATGACTTGAGGGTCATTCTTCTCTTGTCTTGAAGAATAACATGTTTTTGCAGTTGAATAGCTCTATGGTCCAGTGCTGTAGTGTCTAAGAAGTCCAACAACTTTTCTTCATTTTATTCCATTTTGGTGCCAGTATTTCTGTGGTGTATTTCCGTCTCTATAACTGGCTTCTGTTGAGATGTCTGATTAGGTTCTTGGATCACACTCATACTAATCTTCTTATCAAATGGTAGCCTGGCCACACCCCTTGTGTTCCCCTGCAACATGGATAGGCTAAGAATTTTCCAAATCTCTAAGTTTTGGTTCCTTTTTGCTTAATGATTCCTTCTTTCTCTTCAATTCCTTTTGCTCATCACACTTTACTATAAGCAGTCAGGAGGAACCAAGCTGATCCTTTAAAACTATACACAGAAATTTTTTTTAGCTAAATATCCACATGTATTGCTTGCAAATTCTACCTTCCATAAAATACTAGAACATGAATACAATTCACCCAGGTTCCTTGCCACTGTATAACAAGGAGTGCCTTTTCTCCATTGTCCAATAACATGTTTCCCAATTTTTGTCTGAGATCACATGAGAACGGCCTTTATTGTCCATATTTCTGCTGACATTACATGATCACTTATATATTCTCTAATAAGAAAGAGACCTTTCTAGCTCTCTTCTTTACTTTCTGAGCTCTTACCAGATTCACATTTAAAAGTCCCCTCATAGCAGTATTATATTCTTTTAGCATGCACCTCAAAATCTTTCCAGACTCTACCCATTACCTACTTCCAAAGACACTTCCACATTTTCAGGTATTTGAAATAGTAGCACTCCACTTCTAAGTACCAATTTCTATCTTAGTCAGTTTGGGCTGTTACAACAAAAATACCACAGACGGGGTGATTTAAATAATGAACATTTATTTCTCACAGTTCTGGAGGCCGGGAAATCTAAGATGAGGTGGCCAGAAGATCCAGTGCCTGGTGAAAGCCCACTTTCTGGTTTGCAGATGGCCATCTTCTCATTGTATTTTCACATGGTGGACAACAAAGAAAGTAAGGTCTCTTGTCCCTTCCTATATAAGGGCACTAATCTCATTCACGAGGGCTCTACCTTCATGACCTAATTAATTCCCAAAGGCCTCACCTTCAAATATCATCACATGGGAGATTTAGGCTTTAACATATGAGTTTTGGAGGGACACAAGCACTTAGTTCATAGCAGTCGCCATTATTTCTTTTCCTATATGCACACTTTTGAGTATTCCCCTCCCACATGAACTCTAATATTGGCCATGTGACTTGCTTTGGTCAATGATATAATAGTAAGTAAAGGTTTAAATGAGTTCTTGTTCATTGGAGCTTGCTTTTTCTTGCTGCTGGACCATTTCTGCCACTATGTGGAAAATAAGATATCACAGAGAAACTTTCCCCAGCTGTCCCAACTGAAGCTTCAAACACGTGAATGACTATTCCAGACTACCCAGCTCCAGGTAAGTCAATACAGAAGAAATACCGAGGCAACATCCAGAGAAAAGGGAAATATAAATCATTGATGGATTTGGTGGTGGAAGAATAAAAATGTTCTTCTGATTTCTTCTATTTGCTCAGTGAAATGAAAATCCATGTTGTCACTCAGAGAAAAAGTGAGTGGGGAGAGTGTTAGGGATTTGAATATGGAGGAGGAAGGTGTGAAATACTCATCTCACATTGTAGTAAGTTAATTGATAGAGAAAATTCAGTTGAATTCAACTTGTGAGTTGAGGTTATAAACATGAAATGAAACAGGTCAGCCTGATTCTGATTTTTTTCCATAGCTATGCTCAGCTGAACAGATGTAGGCAAAGCAGGCAGAGAATTAGGTTTAACCAGAGTTGGGGTTTTGACAGGCAAGAAATGTGGAAGAAGAGAGGGGCAAGAAATTGAAACTCTGTGAGGAAGACCTTGGCATCTACTCAGGGGAAGAAGAAAAGAAGAGGAAGGCTATTATCAAGGGCAAAAAAAATGGTGTAAACAATTAATTATTAATACCACTGGCATCAAAGAATTGTTGCAGTGAGTGATTAGAATATACAAGCTGGAGAGATAAGAAATGGTGCTCACAGAGTAGAAAACCTACAATTAAGACTTGAAAGTTGTTGGGACCAAGGGAGGAAGGAGCTGTGAGGCTAGGGTGTTGGCTGGACTTTCTGCTTGGATTCAATATCCACATTGCAAACAAGGATGACAGCAAGTCAAGTGCTATGTTATTCAAAATATGATGAGAGTGATGAAGAGGCCAGTATATGAATAAAATGGAAGGGAAGCTAATGGTATAGTCACAAAGCATGTACTTATAAGAAGTTGTAATTTTGTGGGAGGAGAGAGGAAGTAAAGTGGTCTAGAAGTAAGTGAAGAGTAGGAGGGAACATAAGTTATTAGTTAAGATATTAATTCAACAAATGTTTACTACTTTCCCAGTATGTTCCAAGCTCATTGTTTTGCCTACTGGAAACCCATTAGTGAATAAACCTGCAGATCCAGCGGTAGGGGAAATTTATGTCACGATCCCAAGAACAATCTCTCTCTCTCTCTATGTATGCGTATGTGTGTGTTTGTGTGTGTGTCAATTAATATATATGTATGCAAAATTCTAAAATAAATTATATTTATGTACCTCAGTGATAGCGTCTACATGCTTAACATTCATTACAAGTTATAAATCTCCAGAGAAGGATTAAAAAGAAGGAGTTACAGGCTCAATTAGAAAAGGAAATTGATATTCTCAGGGGATGGATAGCCAGTATAAGCAAGAAGATAAATTGTACCTTGAAGGGATTGAAGACATAGAATATTTTGTTGATGACAGGTATTTAATTCCAAACCATACAGTGGAAGGACATCAGAGGTAAGTGAGAGATAGAGTCTGACTGGTGGATATATGAACAATATCTAGAATATAAGGGATGGCATTTTGCGGTGACCCACATAAATAAGGCTGTTAATTTAATGAGATTAATCCCAATGGCCTCAAGAGAAGGTGAACAATCATTTTCAATTTAGGGATTGGTTCCTCAGTGGTTTGTAAGAATATGAACATAGATAATGAGAATCATTATAACTCAGGTAATGAAGAGATAATTTGTTGTTAGCGATATCACTGAAAGCCTCAAGTCAAACATAATGTAGCCTGTTTATAAATAAGTTAGGAGGAAATAAGAGTTAGGGGTAAGAAGTTATTGCATATACAATTTATGTGTGTTTGTTAACTAAAATGTTATTTGTATAAGAGATTTACAATTCATAAAGATTAGGAACATAGGTAGTATTATTGGGGTGCAGATACATAATTTATGATTATAGTTTTGCATAGACATATGCTATATTAATTTATGTATGTAAAGTAGTGAAGTTAATTTATTCTGGAGATACTGGCATTAATATTTTCTAAAAAGTGCATTTGATTTGTGGCCAGAAGCAGGTGGCTCATACCTGTAATTCTCTCTACTCTAGAGAATAAGGCAGGAGGATCAATTGGGGCCAGTGATTGGACACCAGCTTGGGCAACATAAGGAGAACGCTATTCCTAAAAAATAAAAATAAATATATAATTATCCAGATGTAGTTGTGCCTGCCTGTACTCTCAGCTACTCAGGAGGCTGAGGCAGGAGGATTGCTTGAGACCAAGAGTTCCAGGCTACAGTGAGCTATGATTGTACCACTCCAGCCCAGGCAACACAGCAAGATGTCATCTCTAAAAAAACTTTTTAAACATTTTCACAAAATAGCTAGAAAAATATGCAATGAAATAAATTATATGTCACCTCTAAAATTGGAACCATCAGGTTTTCATAAACTTGTCAGATATTTTAGCACAGCTAATTTTAAAAAGTTAAATGCTCACTTTTTTAATGGTAGTTATGGCTGTTATATAATTATATGTTTTGTGTTTCTAGTTTAAAATTTTGTACCTTTTCAAATGCATATTTATGTAATTACCATAAATTTTCAACAGTAGGTGTATGCCTTGAATTTGTAGATAAGAAATTTTACTAGGACATGTATTGAAACGAAATATGAAAAACAACTATGTCACTCTACATCTTCAACATTAAAGAAGAAAACACTATTTTTGGATCCCTCTGAATTTGTCTGCATATATAAGACATAATTTTTACTACCCAGAGATAAAAATTTTGAACATAAACAGGTTGAGATACAGCACATCTTTGTATATTATCTCTATTTGTTATTGCTTGAATAGCATTTTATATTGATTCTTGCTAATGTATACTTTTCTAAAATTCACTATTTTCTTCCTTACTTAAAACAAAAAGCAAACTGACACAATAACCCCAAAATAAACTGAAATAGAACCATCACAGGAAAGTTTTCTTTTCATGTGAAAACCGCTTCAAATGATCTTAATTGGGTGGTTTATGTGTGACAGGTACCTGAAAAGAATCCTAATGCAAGTGAAAACAAAAATCATCTTTGTAAAGATAAGAAGGCTTGGCACCATTTTTAAGGTTCACCTCATTGGTGGCTTATTACTCTGAAGGTTTTTAATTCTTTCCGTTAATAGAGAACTAGGATTCACACATGACATCTGAGAAAGACAGTCACTCTCAGTGATACCCCCTTGTCATCTCTAGCAGAAAGGAATTAATCTTTTGATCAATGACCAAGTCAGGGAGCTTGTCTAATGATTTATAAGGCACAGGTAACCAGTGACACTTTTTTCTGTAATGTAAGCTCCACAAGGGCAAGGGTCTGGACCATTCCATTCAGTGCTATATCCCCAGCTCCAGCTATATTACTTGGTACATAGTTGGTAAATATTAGATAAATAAATAATCAGTTTCTAAGTAGTAGTGATTTTTAGTAATTAGTTGTCAAATCTAGTGAAGGATAAAAGTATGGAAAAAATCAGGAAGGGATATTTTTCTAGAAGGTGGAATTCTGCTGGAGGTATTTCTTCCCTCATGGCTCATTCTAGATTGTGTGGAGACCAAAGATTATTCCATGGTTCCTTGACTGAAGATGGTATGGTCTTTTTACCCAGAACACAAGTTAACAAGTTCTGCTCTCTTTGTTAAGTGTTAGGATTTTGCATAAACTCATGTCAGACAATGGGAGGAAACATTACTTAAATTTTCTATCAAAATTATATTTCCTAGTCCTTTAAGAGAAAAAAAAACCTCATCTTTATTATCTAAATAGAAATGATTTTCCATATAACAGTAAGTTTAACAATAAGAAAATATTTAGTTTAATGCTGCCAAAATTGTATTGCTTGCCATTTTTTATATTTAGTAACCAGTTTACTTCTTTTATTTTGATTTGATGTCCTTGGACATTTGATTTGTTTCCACAGTAATTGAATCAAATCTTAAATTTTTATTTAAATTAAAATTATTTTAATAATTCCAAAAACAATGTTTTAGGGATATAATAATAGTGGTTGTTGTCTGAAATAAATGGTTTTAAAACAAGCTTGGTTTTGGAGTCATAGATAACACATAAATAAATATTTTGATTGAAATTTAAAATATTTAAGATAGTCAAATAATTACAGTTTTTGCCACTCTAAAATTAATTTTGAGCTGAATAAACTCACTTCATCAATACAAATAAGTATATATACATAAATGTGTGAGAATACACACACACACATACATGTACAAGTAAATCTTAAATATAAAACAAACGTGATTTTCATTTTTTACCTCAGATGGACTATGGCTACATATCATTTTATTTTACCATACATTAGTGTAGAAATATACTAAACCCTTTTAGTCATCAGCATTGAGGAGGACTAAGACTTATGCATTGACCAGATTATTTTGTGCAGAGTTGGAGAAAAGGTGTTGCATATTTAACATGGTAAAGTTCTTGCTTTGATTGGCAGTAATAAAGCAGAAATGTATCATGTTATAAAATATATATATATATATTCGCTTTTATCAGAATATCTTTAGTTTCATTTATACTCATTCTAATTATTTCTAATAAATAGCTTTTTTGGTGTATGAGATAACAAACAGAAAGTGTACATTATACAGCATGTCAGATCCAAATTATACAATTCATTGATATGTAATAGCATTTGCTGTGGAAAGGAATAGGGATGAATTTTAAAATCCTAAGGACATTTACCTTTTTTATTATTGATCCATGTATATTGGTATCAAAGAACGTTCACATCAAGTTTATTGCAGTGGACACTTACTTGAGCCATTCTTCACACATACAAAGCCATATTGAATGTGTGAGAGATTCTCAATTTTTCAAACATGACAGAACTTGCTAAATGAAATCTGAACTTTGGCTTTAATACAATTTTCTTCATAAGGTAGATATTTCTTGAATAGTGCTTATTAATTATGCACTTTTGGGGGGGAAAGGAAAATAAAAAAATACATGCTATATTCTGTTTTCTTCACTTTTTTGTGCTTATTTATGTGTCTATGCTCCGTAATACTCAGACATCATTTCAAGCCCATATGTCAAGGGGAAACAATTCATTTGAATGTACTTGAAAATCCAAGAAGATATAATAATTAATTATCCTGGTGTAACAGGAGAAATTGATCACAAGAGGTCAATTTAAGTATCTTACCATTTCTTATACTGTAACATAATTATATTTTAAGCATTACTTTGGCAGTCTATTAATATATACCTTGGGTGCCCTTTCAAGTATAAGAAGGCAAAGTGGGGATCTTGGCAATATAAGACAGGTATTAATGTACCAATAATCCATGCCCTTGAGTCTTAATACTTCTTCTTACATTATCGTGTTTTAAACCCATTAATATTATACAATATATCCTCCTTTGCTAGCATAGCCAACTTTGCAAATGAAACATAAAGAACATAAAATATATTAACGGAACATTTTGTGTTATAAATACTAAACTCCATTGTATTACTAGTTTGGTGCTATCTTATCATTATTGGTTTTGTAATAAGAAAATTTCTTTTATTTTAGAGTCCACTTTCATGCATTATTTGCCTTCCCCTTCAAAATAATAGTATATATCATTAACAGAAGGTAATTCATCATAACAATCTTAACATTTCATATTTCCTCTTTCTTAATTTATCTGTTTTCTTTACAAATAGACTTCTGTTTCTGTCATCTCATCCAGCACAGGGGTTATGATTGGCTACAGAATTATTAAAATAAAAAGGAAGTGATGCTAGGAAGTGGGCAGAAGGGAAACATTCCATTTTCTTTAATGGAAATGTTAGATGAACAATGAGAAGGCATTCCTCATTCTGTCATGGCTTCTGGATCACCAGCTGATACACCTGGTTGGAAAAGCCTTTTATAATGTTTATATTAGTGTCCCAGTATAAGGAGAATGAGCCTTTGCCTTTCAGGTGTATGAAAATGTAACAGGTCATTTGTTTCCTCTTTCTCTCACAATTCACAGTACTTCAGAAACTCCTGTTGTCTTTATCTTTCAAATCTATCCAGAATACAATTTTTATGACTTTCACTATTCTCATGGCTGAAACCTTCTACATCTTTGGCCTGGATTGCTACAATAGTTCCCCAATTGGTCTTTCTGCTTTTACCTGCTTTTAAGCTTTCACCCCACCTCTGCCACCATCTAATCTCAAAACAGTAGCCAGAGTCATCTTATTAGAGTGTAAAACAGATTGAGACTCTTCTGCTCAAAACCCACTAATGGTTTCCCATTTCATTGAGAATAAAGGTCAAAGTAATTGACAGGGGTTATAAGGCCCTCTATTATATGTACATACTCATTTAACTACCTTACCCCTACCATTCTCTCATCTGCTCACTTTATTCCAGTCATGCTGGCCTCTTTGCTGCTTAGCAGTCACATGGGTCATGCTACCACCATAGGAAAGCTTCCTGATCAGAAGAGCTTGGAATATTCTCCTCCCAAGTATCTGCTTGGCTTGCTGATTCACCTTATTCAGGTTATCCAAATGTCAACTTTATAACAAGAATTTTCTCGACCTTCCTGTTTAAAATTGCAACCCTTTCCAATGCCTGCTATCCCTTTTCACCTGTGCTCTAGTTTTCCTCTACAAAATTTGTCATCTCTAAATATTATATGTAATTATTAATTATTATCATTTTTCATTTGGCTTATTTTCTGCCTCCTGAAAGAATGCCAATGACATAAGGGCAGAAGTTTTTCACTATTATAGCTTAGTAACTAGAATAAGGCATAGAACGAAGTAAGTGCTCAATGCATATTTGTTGGATCTATAAGCAAATAAATAAACCTGTGAGGTCAACCATGTGGAAGGTACTGTTTTTATTCCATCAGCTTAACTACAATGAGCAAAACTCATTCCTATCAGTAAATGTGGTCAATGCTAACATAAAATTTAAATCCTTGGCGTTTTTCATTATTTCAGTGAAATCCTCATTATTGAAACAGTGTCCTACTAATGGAGACACTTACAACAGTTGCATGTTTTTATAATTTATAACTAGTCTTACAAGCATTACCTCCATGCAAACTAACTTGCATATGTTGCTATTGGCAAGCAGGATTTCATGGACTCCAACAGCATTGCGATAGACAATAAAGATGGGAAGAAAGAAGGGGCAAGGGAAGAAAAAAGAGGGAGTAGACTAGCCATCTATTATCAGCAGAAAATTTCCATTACTACTCCTTCAAATAATTTGAGAACACTTCAGAGCTTGTCTTGGTTGCCTTAATAATATGTCATGAGGGAAAAACATATCACCTGAAAAGTATTCATGGGTGCCTATAGTAGACTAGGCAAGCAAAAATACTGTAACAAATATACTGGAAATATAATGTCTCAAACCAAATAGAAGTGTCTTTTTTTTTTTTTTTTTTTTGAGATGGAGTCTCACTCTGTTGCCCAGGCTGGAGTGCAGTGGCGCTATCTCGGCTCACTGCAAGCTCCGCCCACTGGGTTCATGCCATCCTTCTGCCTCAGCCTCCCAAGTAGCTGGGACTACAGGCACCTGCCACCACGCCCAGGTAATTTTTTGTATTTTCAGTAGAGACAGGGTTTCACCGTGTTAGCCAGGATGGTCTCGATCTCCTGACCTCGTGATCGGCCTGCCTCAGCCTCCCAAACTGCTGGGATTACAGGCATGAGCCACCGCACCAGGCCTGGAAGTGTATTTTCTTATTGCTGGAGAGTCCAGAGAATGTTGCAGCCTAACTGAAGTTACAAAACAGGGGTGGCTTTACTTCAAGCAGCTTGACAATTGTTCTTTCAGTTTCAATAATAGGCTTCTAAGATTATTGTGGTCATTGTCACTGGTATTCCATTCCACCACAAGGGGGCAAGAATGAGGAAATAGTACCTGCTACTTTAACTAATATTCTATTGTATAGAACTTAGTGATGCAGACATACTTAACTAATTGAGGCTAATAAATATCATTTAGATATATAGCCAAGTGCCTAACTAATATGGAAGGAGGAAAAAGTGGATTCTAGTGAAAAGCTAACAGTCTCTGCCACAGTTTGGCCTTTTTCTCACCAAATATCTGTCATCCTTTCTTCCACACTTAGAATATTCACTGACTTTCTTCTCTCCACAACCAAAAAAAGAAACATCCCCAGATCTCTTCTTCAGTTACTGCATGTCTCACAGTTCATGATCTGTGGCTGACACACAATCTGCATCATTTGGTTCAGCAGTGTCACTTGCATTATGGTAACCAACAAAACAAAATACAAGTTTTCTGCTTCCCACCACCATCACCACCATGAACACAATGCACAATTGTGAAGTAAGGACAGAATAACTGCAGTATAAACTGTAATACAGAAAACGGAAACATGGGAAACATATAAGCATCACTAGTCCAAATAGTGAAAAACTAGGCAGGCATCATGAGGAACTTTGCCGTGGTACTGAAGAAAGTTCCTTGATTGGACCATGGCTGTCCCCCAGAGGAGCACCTTTCCCCATTGTTCTTTGTAGCTTCTGGCTTAGTTCCACTGTAGGTTCCTTCTTGTTCATTATCCTCTGTGGCCATATTGAGATTGGTGCTATGGTCTCTGCCTTCCTTCTGAACTGTGCAAAAATACAAGTCCACTTTTTTTGGATGCAAGTTTGGGGCTCTGAGGACTGTTTCACTGTTTGAAGAGTCAACGGGATTTAAGGATAGGCTCATAGTTTCCTTGTCAATACAATTCTCTCAAAAACTTGGTAGGTTTCTAATATAGTTGCTTCCAGGCAACGCAATGCCACAGTAACCACAAATTAAAGTAAACACAGTTCTTAAACCTTCTTTATTTTCCTCTTCCCATGTAATTACAAGAGTATTGGACACAATACACTTAGAAATAAGGGCCACAGATTTATCTCCCAACATTAGGGGTCAAGAAGCTGTTGAATTTTGCAAGTCCCTCTGTTTCCTACTATCCTTGGTACAAACCACCCAATTCTTGTCTGTGTAACACCTTGTTAAAACAGCTGGAATAGCAACATTCAGTAACATTTTGGCTGTTTCCGACCCCTTCTCCTTCGAGCTACAAGCTAAGCAGGCACATGGTCTGCCTTCCAAATATCAGAGTAACAGTGTGATATAACTGCTCAGTCAAATACCCAGCTACCTTGGAAGAAAAGCAGCCAGGAGTCAACTAGAATACCTGATCTGATATTATAAATATAAATGGTAGATGCATTGCATATTCCCTTATTGCTTTAAAATTGCTGCATTTTAAATTACTTGTAATCTCATTGAAGGCAATGGTTGAGTATGAGAATTGTCTTAGATCTATAACACAGACCAACATTGTTAAGTCATTTCATGAATACTTACTGCTTAATGTTATATACAAATGCCTCTAAATGCCTCTAAAGAAATACAAATTATTTTTTATAGCTATTTTCTGATTTTTCTACCCCATTTTCATCATTTTATTGATTTGTGTAGGATAAGACAGCATAATTATATTGTAGTTTAAATGTGGATGGGTCAGGGAGAATATTTAGAATACTTTTGCCATATTTACTTGTTGAATCACTCTTTATTCATTTATGTAAGTAAACCACCATGTGCCAAGCACTCTCTGGGTTACACTGGTGTGTGTGTGTGTGTGTGTGTGTGTGTGTGTGTGTGTGTGTTTTCAAACAACCATTAAGTGAAATACATAACAATTTATATACCTGATCATTCAGAAGATAATAAAAAAGCTACTGTTAATTATTCACAGAAACCTTGTAGAGTATGGAATTATTCAGACTGAGTGTCATAGATAATTGTTCATAGATTCTGATTAGCACTCAGTAAATATGAATCTTGATCTGAAATTTTCTATATTGTTGATGCTTCACAGTGATCCAACTTTTTGGTGAGGAACTAAATGGATGGTCTTACCAAGTATTGCCCAATTCAGAAACAGCTGCAGAGCTAGAGATAGAACACCAATCAAGGCTGTTCAAGACTGAGCCAGAAGCTTGAAGGAAAGGACGGGTGTGAAAAGAGAAGAATGTATTCTAAACTCTTCCTTCTCTGGTGACTAATACTGTCTACCAATATAAATTTGGTATTTATTAAGAACTATGCAGCATGGCCAGGCGCAGTGGTTCACGCCTGTAACCCCAGCACTTTGGGAGTTTCTCAAACACTTAGAAGCTTGAGACCAGCCTGGCCAACATGGTGAAACCCCGTCTCTACTAAAAATACAAAAATTAGCCAGGTGTGGTGGCACGTGCCTATAGTCCCAGCTACTCGGGAGGCTGAGGCAGGTTAACTGCTTGAACCCAGAAAGCAGAGGTTGCAGAGCAGTGAGCTGAGATTGTGCCACTGCACTCTAGCCTGGGTGACAGAACAAGATTCAGTCTTAAAAACAACAACAACAACAACAACAACAAATATATATATATATATATATATATATATATATATATATATATATATATATATGCAGTATCAAGCCAAGAATATATGACACAGCATACATAGCTCCAGCACCATCCATCTTACCAAGGCAAATAATCTCTTGCCTTAAGTAACTAAGCCAGTTCAAGTAATCTATGAAATTTTGAAGAAAGACACTAGTTTTAGACATATCTATATTGTATTGATCTGAGAGTAATTATAAATTAGAGCTTGGTACTTTGATTGTGACTCTGAAAGGTATATCAATAGCCACTATAGAAACAATCAATTTCTACTTTATTTGTCAATACTTATCCACCACCTCAATGCCAAAATTAGTACAATTTATTTTGTCCTTGATGATGAAAGTGAACTCTTGACAGTGATGGGAAACTTGAAGTTTAAAGAATTTTGGCATCAATCAGAAGCAATTTTGATCTGTAATATCAAGATTTACTGGGCACCAATTGGAAGTCAGTATTTAGATACCAGGGTCATAAAGAAAAGTTGTCAAGTCAAAGTGTTTGAAATCATTCCAAGTAGGGCTGAGACTACTGAGTTTTTTAACCATAGTTTGCTTTTAAACACCCTGGGTAGTTAAGAGTTCTAAAGACATATTACATTTTAGAAAAGATCACTGTTTTCTATTACGATCCTCAACCAAGTCAAAAGTGATACAAAATTCAAATTAAATACTAGTGCTAAAATTCCATTAATCTATTATAAAAATATTTATGAAATCCAGTCACACATTATAGAAATATAATAAAGAATTATAAATGATTGGATATTCCAGATAAATAGTAAGTACCCATCTGAGAATTAAAAGCTATCTGAAATTGTCACTATTTCAGATAGACATAGGTCTAAAATATGTTATTCACAGTCATGTTTTCTCCTATGGGGCAGGCTAATTTTATTTAGCTATAGCTTTATAACTCAGGTGGGTTATGCTCCTTATCCACTAATGCCCTGGATCTTTCAAGGACTTGTCAGGAAACGGAACTTGCACCTATCATTGTAACAATAATAATTTCACATGCAGGATGGTAAAAACTGAATAAAGTTGCTAACTAAGTAACTAAAAAAGGGAAAAGAACATTAAAATATCATGGAGATAACAACTTCAAGAAAGAGCTACCACCCCTAGGACTGAGCGAACACAGGGAATAAGGTAGAATATTAAAACTTAGACCCTTGAAGGGAGGACCTTCAAAACGGAACCTCAGTCCTCCGAGGAGAGGGCACTTCTCTGCTGTTATGGGTGTTCCTCTGGTGGATGGAGGTCCTTCCAGAGCTAGGACCACAGACTACTGAGAAAGTTTGATGGATGATATATAACCCCTTAGCTGAAGGAATTAGCATATTTGATAGTAGCTAAATTTACCTCTTTGTATCATATCTGCAAACCTAACAGAAGGTAATGAGCATCCAAAAATATATGGGTGATAGTAATTTCAATATTTGAAACATAATGAATTTGTCTACCTTGAATTAAAATCAAAACATAAAACTTCCAAATCCACATGATATGTATAGGATTTTACATACAATACAGTATACTATTTCCTACAATTTGTGAATCGACAAGAAACATTTAATCAAGAATATCACGACATAACAAATTAAGCATAAAGAAAATAATTATTTCTGTTATATTTACGTTCGTTGAACTATTACATTTAATAGTACAGAGCAATAACAAGCCTGTGGAAAGCGGAACTAAAAATCCAACTCTTTAAAAGAAGTATTTGTTTCTATCCTGCTTGAAACAAACAGCTTTCCAATGAAGCAATTCTAATCTTATTACATAGGCTTGATCTTGATACTTACATTTAGAAAGAAATTATTAATCAACAAAGATTAATGGAGTTAGAAATGGATTTCACAAAGATTATTTAAGTAGCTCTCTATAATCTTATCAACTAACAGTTTCTTTTAATGTTTCCCTGGGGTAGCATCAAGGAAAAAAAAAAAAGAACTTTACCACTTTACCCACGTATATGTATCAGCACAGAGGATTAGTAATGTTTAAAGTACTTCTTACCTATTAACATCCCAAATTTTGCTAGTTTTATCCAGTGAGGAGGAAGCCACAAAATTGCCGCAGGAGTGCCATGTGCAGGACCACACTGCGCGGCTGTGTCCTTCAAAGGTCAAAATGCAATCGCCTTTACATAGATCCCATAATTTAACTGTAGTGTCACCACTTGAAGTAGCCAATTTGTCGCCACTATTTGCAAAAACATAAAAAGACAGCTTGTTTAAAAAGTAACATAATTTTTATGAATACTGCATTCTATGAGTAATTTGTGTGTATGTGTATGTATCTGATTTATTTTTACTTGTAGTGGCATATCTAAATGACTAAATATTATTATCTTATTTGGGTCTACACAATTGCTAACTTGAATTGCTTAGTAATTCAAGCTGAAGAGAGAAACTGCTGCTGTGCAGTTTCTAGATTAATTCTGCTAGATTCTTCTAGATTAATTCACTAAATTAGTGTTTTTGTTATCATGTGTTTGTTTGGTTCAGCGTTGTATATATTAGGCTCTGGATGATCGGGCTTCAGAACAATAAAGATTCAGACATGGGCTAAATCAGTTTCAAAAACATAATACAATATGAAACAGTAAGTCAGCATTGCTTATGTTTAGATTAATTAAATGCTTCAGGAGTGCAGTTTGGATGAAGGAAGAAGTGAATCAGGAATGAGATACCTTTGAGTTAGATCATGAGAGATCAAAGAGATGTTTAAGTGCTGGGTGGTTGAGCATGACTCATTCAATTTTGCATTTCGGTAATCAGTAGATCTTAAAGCAGTGGCTTCCAAGTGGTGGACACAAAAGCTAGTTTAAGAAATGGGTAGGCGTCAGGCTCGGGCACGGTGGCTCACACCTGTAATCCCAGCACTTTGGGTGGCCGAGGCAGGCGAATCGCCTGAGGTCAGGAGTTGTAGAAAAACCTGGCCAACAAGGTGAAACCCCGTCTCTACTAAAAATACAAAAACTAGCCGGGCATGGTGGCGTGCGCCTGTAATCCCAGCTACTCGAGAGGCTGAGGCAGGAGAGTTGCTTGAACCCCGGGGACAGAGGTTTCAGTGAGCCCAGATCGCACCACTGCACTGCAGCCTGGGCAACAGAGTAAGACTCAGTCTTAAAAAAAAAAAAAAAAAAAAAAAAAAAAAAAGAAAAGAAAAGAAATGGGTAGGTGTCAATGACACCAACAGAAACATCTAGTTGGTTTTGTGTGTGTGTGTGTGTGTGTGTGTGTGTGTGTGTGTGTAACATCAGCTGCAAGAAAATTTTACTTCCATCATCTTCTACACATCCTTCTGCATTGCATGCTTTTTAAATGTGTTCTCTTAGGTACTTTCTCTCACCGAATTGTAATATACCACTTATTTATCCTCCTCCTCCCTGCCAGACTGTTTTATGATGGAGAATTGCATTTCATCTCTGTTTCTACGGCACCAAGCCTCATGACTGACCAATTAAAGTGCTTAGTAAATGCTTTAGAGTAAGTAAATATAGAAATGCATGCAAGCATGAATGAAATTATGCTATAAATGAAGAAGAAAAAGTTTCTGGCATCTCTGACAGAGGGAATAGTAGAATCAAAAAATATTTTGTTTTCTTGCTCATAGGCTTGGGTATTTTTCAGCTAAGAGGGAAATGTAATTTCTATCTGCAGCGTAGAAACAGCCACCATTAGAGAGAAAGAGCTTGAAGTTTCTGGAGAGAAGGTGGATTATATAATGAGGATATTCTCATTTGAGTTAGAAAAGAATATCCAAGGGGCCAGGTGTGATGGCTCACACCTGTAATCCCAGCACTTTGGGAGGTCGAGGGGGGCAGATCATGAGGTCAGGAGATAGAGACCATCCTGGCTAACATGGTGAAACCCCGTCTCTACTAAAAATACAAAAAAAAAAAAAATTAGCCAGGCATGGTGGCGTGTGCCTGTAATCCCAGCTACTCGGGAGGCTGAGGCAGGAAATCACTTGAACCCGGAAGGCAGAGGTTGCAGTGAGCCGAGATCATGCCACTGCACTCCAGCCTGGGGGACTGCGACTCCATCTCAAAAAGAGAAAAGAGAAGAGAAGAGAAGATCCAATTGATTTTTCAAATTTGACTATCTGAAAAATCACCAAATGGCAGCTAGTCCCTTCACCAACAAAAACTGTTTTTGCCACAATAGTTGGTTTGCACATATGTTTGTCATTCAGAATTTTAGTTTTTAATATTAAAGATTGAACAATACACTTATCCAAAAACATGCATGTAAAAAAATTTAAAAATTATTTAAGCATGCTTCTTTCTCAAATCTATCTTTCCAATGGGTATCATGTTATTATGGACCAAAATCTTAGCATAGGATAAAAATTATTGTGGTATGTTTCTGCCTGTGGCTGAAAAACCCTCTCATATAAGTTTTATATGCTTATTTTGTGTTTTAAACCATGTGCCAGGCAAAAAAAACAAATCACACTGGAATAATTACAACTAGAATGAAGCAGTATTATTTCTTTGTGAGTGCTGTAACTGATATTTAGTCAACAATAAATATAAACAATATTCCCATAAGTTTTTAATATATAGAGTCAGAGCTCATATACTAAATCCAAAATATATCAAATATAAATTTCTGAACATTCTTTTGAAATGGTTTTGCCTTTCAAAAACATGGCCTGAAATATGGAAAACTGTATAACTTTGGTTCATGAAAAAATAAAGGCCATTTCTGAGGGCTGAGAGAAATCAAGAGAGAGAAAAAGAATGGTACACTAAAATCAAAAAAGTGTGTTTTAAGAGATGCAAAAGATCAGAGTTTCCCTGGGCTCCACACAAATAGAAGGAACCAAAGCTCTCAAAAAGAGCACAAGTGAATGTTATGGACTGACTGACTGTGCCACTCCTTTCCCAGATCCGTACATTGATGCCCTAATTCCAATGTGGCAGTATTCGGAGGTAGGGCCTCTGAGAAATAACTAGGTTTAGACAAGGTCATGAGCACGGGAACCCTGTAATACGATTAGTGCCTTTATAATCAGAGAAAGAGACTGGAGTTAACTCGCTCCCTGCATTGTGAGGACACAGCAAGAAGGCAGCCATTTACAAGGCAAGAAGGGGGCCCTCACCAGAACCTGATCAGGCTGGCACTCTGGTCTTAGACTTCTAGGCTCCAGGAGTGTGAGAAATTAATTTCTGTTATTTGAGCTACCCAGTCTCTGTTATTTTGTTATGGCAGACTGAGCTGACTAATAATGTAGATCCACGCTGTTGGTATACAGCCCAAGTTATTAGAAATTAGCTACTCAAAATTCTGCAAATAAAATTCAACCAAGTATGAGCTTACAAAATTATTCTCAAACACATAATGGGAAATAAGAAGCCATGACTGAGGATGAGCTAATAAAATTAACAAATACCCTGAAGGACACTAGTTGTTATAATTAAAGGGTACAAAATATAACTATAAGTAAAGTATATAAGGAAATAACAGCTACAATAAAAAGATCAAACGACGTAAGGTTATAACATGAATCTGCAAATCTGAAAAAAATATATATTTAGAAATTTTAAAAATAAAATTATTGAAATTAAGAAATCAATGGATGGGTTAAATAGCATATGAGAAACAGCAAAATTCAGAGTAAATGAATTGGGAAATAAATCCGGAAAAAAAATGAAAAACATGATATGTTCTCACTCACAGGTGGGAGTTAAGCTACGAGGCTGCAAAGGCATAAGAATGATACAATGGACTTTGGGGACTTGGAGGAAAGGGTGGAATGGAAGTGGGGCGAGGGGTAAAAGACTACAGATTGGGTAAAGTGCATACTGCTTGGGTGATGGGTGCACCAAAATCTCAGAAATCACCACTAAAGAACTTACTCATGTAACCAAACACCACCTGTTCCGCAAAAACCTATGGAAATAAAAAATAAAAATAAATAAAGTACATATTTGAAAAAATTATCCCAACTATAGACAGATGAGGAACTGAACACAGTATAGGTGGTTAAAATTATAAAGGATACAATAAAAAAGTATATTTTCCTAATCAAAATTCCAGAAGAGAATGGAAATAAAAGATAGATGTAACATTCAAAGAATTAAGGGTTGAGAATGTACAGAAACTAGAAAATTTAAGACCTAGAACCACATGTTTGGAAAGAAAAATGTATACCAAACAGGATAAACAGTGGTGTCAATAAAAAGAAATTTTTACTTAGATGCATTTTAGTGAATTGCTGAGCAGCATTGGCAATAATAAGAATTATAAGAAAAAAAGGAGGGAAAAAAGAAAAATAAGGTTATTTATTTATATAGTGATAAATATGTGTTAGAAACACTAATAAGCTCTTTATATATATTTGATCTTCACTATGACTCATAAGATGACTACATTATCTCTAAAACACTTAAACAACATCACAGAGAAAATAAGTCACAGGGGTGAAATTTCTTCAAAGAGCTAATAGAAAATAATGTTACTCTGGAATTATCAAAAATCTCTCTCAAAACAAGAACAAGGCTGGGCATAGAGGCCCATGTCTGTAATTCCAGAACCTTCGGAGGCCAAGGCAGACAGATTACTTGAGGTCAGGAGTTCGAGACCAGCCTGGCCAACATGGTGAAACCATATCCCTACTAAAAATACAAAAATTAGCCGGATAGGGTAGTGGACACATGTAGCCCCAGCTACTTGGAAGGCTGAGGCAGGAGAATTGCCTGAACCCAGGAGGCAGAGGTTGCAGTGAGCCAAGATTGTGACACTGCACTCCAGCCTAGGCAACACAGCAAGACTCCACCTCAAAAAAAAAAAAAAGGAAGAAAAGAAACAAGAACAAGTATTAATGTTCCAACTAAACAAAGCAGTCCTCTCCTACAGAAATTACTAAGGATATATTTTAGGGACAGAAGATCTGAAAGGGAAGAAATAGTGAGCAAACAATTTGGTAAACATGTAAGTATATAGAAATATTTGTGTAGATAAATAAAATGCTTGCAAAAATAAAACAAAAATGCTTGTAAAAATAAAAAAAAACAATAATGATATAGTATTAATAAAGTTCATGTGCTATTAAGAAGAGAAGTAAAACCTTGATCAATTTAGGCTTTACTAAATTCAGTCAGCATGGTAAAATGTTAAGAGTGAGCACTATAAGAATAGTAATAGAGCATATGACTTCCAAACCAGTATAAGAAAAAAAGAAATGGGTAAGAAAAACTTACAATTATAAACATCTAATATATCTAAAAGAAAATAGGAAAGGAGGAAAAAAGCACTAGAATAAATGATACAAATAGAAAATGAATTTTAAAAATAAGTTTTTAGATAGAAATACAAACATATGAACAAATCCAACAAACACAAATAGACTAAAGTGGAAGCTAAAAGACATAAAAGACAAAGATTTTTCAGTTTGGCTAAAAAGAAACAAATTCAGCTATATGATTTTTACACGAGGCACACTAAACTTCTAAGGAGATACAAAGATTGAGAGTAAACAAAGCAAAGCAAAGCAAAGCAAAATGAAAAAGTACCAAAAAAAGTTACCTAGGCCAAAGGAAATGAAAATAAAGATGAGGGATAGGGCCAAGATGGCAGACGAGAAGCAGCTTGTATGTGCTGCTCTCACAGAGAGGAACTAAAAGGCTAGTCAACACTGACCCTGCAGGCCAATCATCTGAGAAACCATGCTGGGATCCATGAAGGCAGCAGGAGAACACAGAGAACAGAGAGGAGCAAAGCTATCTGTCTGGGATCAATGTGGCGCAGAAGAACCTCTACAAAAATGGGAAAGGGTGAGAGAGTGAGAGCTCCCCAGGAGATTCATGCTCTCTGCAGAGACCTGTACAAGACTGGGAGTAGGAAAATCTGCCTGGCCCCCAGCTGTGCTTCCAAACTGAGGGAGAGAGCCATCCAGACATTTTGCAGGGGCAACTATCAAGTCCAAGGGGACTACAAGCCTTTAACCCCAGAGCAGACCAGCACCAGTGCCATCACCTGAATAAAGGCATAGTTGCAGTGCCTGGGAGCAGTAAGATTGCTCCACCCACCCCCTTGCCAGATGGGGCTCAGCACCAGCTTCTAGCCCATCAGTCCCACTTCAGCCTGAATTTGGCCTGCCACTCCACCCACCCCCACCACTGCTAGGCAGGCAGGCAATGCTTACTAGAGCTTCCAGCCCAGTTGTTCCACTTCTGTGTAAATTCAGCTGCAGGATACAGCCTCCTGATGTCCCGGGAAACACTCAGGTGGCAGGAGGCTGCACATGACCCCACCCACTTTTGCCATGGACAGCCAGGTGGGCAACAACTGCTAGAGCCTCCAGCCCAGTCATCCCACCTCTATGTGAGCTCAGCTGGAAGGTGCAGCTTCCTGTTGCCCTGGGAAACACCCAGAGAGCACAGCACCATGTGACCTCACCTGCCCTCATCACTGGTTGCCAGGTGATCAATGTGTGCTAGAGCTTCCCGCCCAGCAGTCCTACTTTTGTTGAACTCAGCTGGAGGGCACAGCCTCTTGCTGCCCTGAAAACACCCAGCTGGTAGGGCAGACAACCCCATCCATCCCTGCTACTCATAGCCAGGCAAGCGACACATGATAGAGTTTCTGGCTCAGTGGTCCTGCTTCAGAGGGAACTCAGCTGAGGAGCACAAGCCTCCTGTTGTCCCAGGAAACACCTGGACAGTAAGGCATGTGATCCCACTGACCCTGCAAGGCAGGCAACACTTGCTGGGGCTTCTGGCCCAGCAGTCTGGCTTCTGTTTGGACTGATCTAGAGGGGGCAGCTTTCTGTTGTCCCAGGAAACACCCAGACAGCAGGGCACACGACGCTGCCTGACACTGCCACTGGCAGCCAGGTAGGCAATGCCTGCTGGAGCTTTTGGCCCAGCAGTTCCACTTCTGTGGGAACTCAACCAGTGGGTAGACTCCTATTGTCCTAGGAAGCTCCCAGAAAGCAGGACAAGCATCCCCACCAACCCCTGCCACTGGTGGACAGGTGAGCCACATCTGATAGGGCTGCTGGCCCAACAGTCCTAGTTTTCCCTGAATTTGCTGAGGGGTGCAGGCAGGCTCCTGTTGCCCTGGAAACACCAGGAGGTCAGGGTAGGCAACTCCACTCACCCCTGCCTCCCATAGCCAGATGGACCACACCTGCTAGAGCTTCCAACCCAGAGGTCCCACTTCTGCCTGAACTCTGCAGGCAAGTGCAACCCCATGTTTCCCCAGGGAGCACATGGACATCAAATTAAGGCCAACCTGGCAAGAATACAGCTTGTCTGTCAACCGCAGCCCTTGCCTGAGGAAACTCAATAGATCAGAAAGCCCAACAGAAGAAATGCGGGCATGCAGACAGTAATCATAGAGGGTGCCACCAAGACCCAGTAGTGTACTAGAATCAAAGCCAGTCAACCAAACTCAATTATAACATAATAAAATCCCCAAGGGCATCAATGAAGAAAAAAACAAAAAAATCAATTGAAAGGACAGAAACTTTAAAGACTGAAGGAACATCAGCCCACACAAATTAGAAAAAGCCAGTGAAAGAACTCTGACAACTTGAAAAGCCAGAGTACCTTCTTTCCTCTAAATAATCATACTATTTCCCCAGCAAGAGTTCTTAACCAGGCTGAAATATCTGAAATGAGAGAAATAGAATTCAGAATATGAACAGGAACAAGGATCATCAAGATACAGGGAAACAGCAAAACCCAATCCAAGGAAGCTAAGAATCACAGTAAAATGATACAGGAGCTGATAGTCAAAATAGCCATTATAAAAAAGGAACCAAACTCATCTAATAGAGATAAGAAACATACTACAAGAATTGCATAATTAAATCACAAGTATAAACAGCAGGATAGAAGAAACTGAGGATAGAATCTAAGAGCTCAAATTCTGGCTCTCTGAAATAACTCAGTCAGACAAAAATAAAGAAAAAAGAATTTAAAAGGAAGGAGCAAAATCTCCAAAAGATATAGGATTATGTAAATAGATGAAAACTATGACTCATTGGTGTCCCTGAAAGAGACAGGGGGAAAGTAAGCAACTTGGAAAACATATATCAGGATATTGTACATGAAAACTTTCTAACATTGCTAGAGAGACCAACATTCAAATCCATGAAATGCATATAACTCCTGTGAGATATTATACATGAAGACCATCTCCAAGACACATAATCATCAGATTCTCCAAGGTCCAAATGAATGAAAAAATGTAAAAGGCAATTAGAGAGAAGAGACAGGTCACATACAAAAGGAATCCCATCAGGCTGGACTTTTCAGCAGAAACTCTTCAAGCCAGAAGACATTGAGTGCTTATATTCAGGATTCTTAAAATAATATTTGAAACAAGAATTTCATATCCAGCCCAACCAAGCTTCATAAGTGAAGGAGAAATAAGATCATTTTCAAACAAGCAAATGCTGAATGAATTCATTACCACCAGAACTGCCTTACAAGTGGTCCTGAAAGGAGTGCTAAATGTGAAAAAGAAAGATCATTATCAGCCACTACAAAAATACACTTAAGTACACAAACCAGTGACACTATAAAGCAACCACACAGACAAGTCTGCATAATAACCAGCTAACAATATGATGACAGGATCAAATTCGTACATATGAATAGTAACCTTGAATGTAAACAGCTTAATCCCCCAATTAAAATACACAGAATGGCAAGCTGAACAAAGAAGGAAGACCCAATAGTATGCTGTCTTCAAGAGACCCATCTCACATACAATGACATCCATAGGCTCAAAATAAAGGAATGGGGAAAAATCAACCAAGTAAACCACCACCACAACAACAACAACAACAAACACAAAAATGCAGGGGTTGCAATCCTAGTTTTAGACAAAACAGACTTTAAACCAACAAAGACCAAATAAGCTAAAGAAGAGCACTATATAATGGCAATAGTTTCAATTCAACAAGAAGACCTGATTAAGTAGAAGATGGCCAACTTGACACAACCAGGTGGAACAACTGCCACCAAGGGACCAAGAAAATTGGCACACTCCTGACAGAGCTTCAGAGGGAAGCCTGTGAGAGTGGATGGAGGGAAGATACAAAAGCTGTGCTCAAGTGGGAGGAAGCTGGGAACCCTACAGGAGGCTACCAGGCAGGGGACTAATTCCTACCCTCCAACAACTCCAAAGGAATGGGTGAATTGAACTGACAAGGATCAACCTACTCTTGCCACAGGCCTCTGGAATCTTGGCAGGAGGAGACCCCTAAACTATGACGGATACTTGAGTTGGAACAAAGAGCTGCTTAGAGAATTGGTAGGGGCAGCATGCCAGCTGATGCAGAGCCAAAAGGATTTGGTGCCTAAGCACTCGTGGCAGAGTATGACAAGAGATGTCCATCCCTGTAGGCTCGACATGCTACCACAGGAGACATTATCCCTAGGGAAACTCTCAGACTTGAACTCTGCATGGTGGTCTTGCCCATCAGATGGGGCTAGTCTGACTTGAGCACCCCTTGGTCTGCTGGCCTCTTCCAGGGCCCCAGCCTGGCCATGCCTGCTTGTAGAACAAGCAGGTGCTCTGGGAGCCCACATAATAGCTCCTGCAGTGGTGAACTGTGCCTGACTGGCAGAGAGGTCCAATGGGGCAGCCCCCATGGCCACACACCAGCCTGCCTATTCCCTACCCCCACTGCAGCTTCCTCCAGGCCCAGAGCCACCACATATATCACATTGCCAACATGTGTGTACGTGGGTGGGTTTTACCTTCCCCCATGCCAACGTGTGTGTGCATGCATCCTAACCTGCCAGTATACAGACCAGTGACACTATAAAGCAACCGCACAAACAAGCTTGCATAACAAGCTAACATCATGATGACAGGATCACATTCACACATATCAACAATAACTTTAAATGTAAATGGGCTAAATGCCCTAATTAAAAGGCACAGAGTGGCAAATTGGATAAAGAACCAAGATTCATTGGTATGCTGTCTTCAAGAGACCTGTTTCATATGCAGTAACACTCAGAGGCTCAAAAATAAAAGGATGGAGAAAAATCTACCAAGCATATGGAAAACAGAGAAAAGCAGGGGTTACTATCCTAATTTTAGACAAAATAGACTTTAAACAGATAGAGACGAAAAAAGGGGAGCATTACATACTGGCAAAGATTTCAATTCGATGAGAAGACCTAACTATTCTAAATATATATGCATTCAACACAGAAGCAACCAGAGTCATAAAGCAAGTTCTTAAAGACCTTCAAAGAGACTTAGACTCCTACAAAATAATAGTGGAGACTGCAACACCCTACTGACAGTATTAGATCATTGAGTCAGAAAATTAACAAAAATATTCAGGACCTGAACTGAGCACTGGATCAAAAGGACCTGATAGATATCTACAGAACTCTCCCCTCCCAAAACAAATAGAATATACACTCTTCTCATTGCCACATGCACATACTCTAAACTCTACCACATAATGAGACACAGAACAATCCTCAGCAAATGCAAGAGAACTATAATCATATCAACTACTCTCTTGCATCACAGCACAATAAAATTACATATCAAGACTGAAATAATCACTGAAAAACATACAATTACATGGAAATTGAATAGCTGCACTTGAATGGCTTTTGAGTAAATAATGAAATTAAAGCAGAAATCAAGAAGTAAGAAGTTATTTGAAACTAATGAGAACCAAGACACAACATACCAAAATTTCTGGGACACAGCTAAGGCAGTGTTAACAGGAAAATTTATAGCACTAAATGCCCACATCAAAAAGTTAGAAAGATCTCAATTTATCAACCTAACATCACAACTAAATGGACTAGAGAACCAAGAGTAAACTGAACCCAAAAACTAACAGAAGAAATAAGCAAAATCAGAGATGAACTAAGGAGATTGAGATATGAAAAAACCACTGAAAAAAATCAATGAATCCAAATAATCAATGGTAATTTAAAAAACTTAATAAGATACAAAACCAAGATTAAACTGACCCCAAAACTCACAAAAGAAATAACCAAAATCAGAGATGAACTAAGGACATTGAGATATGAAAAATCACTCAAAAGATTAATTAATCCAAATAATCAATGGTTATTTGAAAAAGTAAATAAGAGAGACTGCTAGCTAGAATGATAAAGAAGAAAGAAGATCCAAATAAAAACAATTAGAAATTACAAAGGGCATTACACTGATCCTGACATTACCACTGAACCCACAGAAATACAAATAACCATCAGAGACTATTACGAATACTTCTATGCACAAACTAAAAAATCTAGAAAAAAATGGAAAAATTCCTGGACACATACACCCTCCCAAGACTGAACCCAGGAAAAAAAATGAATCCCTGCACAGACAAAAAAAATGAGTTACAAAACTGAATCAGTAATAAAAAGTCTATGTATTAGTCCATTTTCATGCTGCTGATAAAGACATACTTGAGACTGGGTATTTATAAAGAAAAAGAGATTTAATAGACTCACAGTTCCACATGGCTGGGGAGGCCTCACAGTCATGGTGGAAGGTAAAAGGCATGTCTTACATGGCAGGAGACAAGAGAGAATTTGTGCAGGGAAACTCCCCTTTATAAAACCATCAGATCTCATGAGACTTATTCACTAACAAAAGAACAGCACAGGCAAGTCCTGCCTTAATTCAATTACCTCCCACCAGGTCCCTCCCACAACACATGGAAATTATGGGAGCTATAATTCAAGATGAGATTTGGATGAGGACACAGCCAAACCATATCAGCCTATCAACCAGAAAAAAACCCAGGACCAGATAGATTCATAGCCAAATTCTACCATATGTATACAATGAAGAGCTCCTATCACTCTTACTGAAACTGTTCCAAAAAATTGAGGAGGAGAGATTCCTTCTCAACTCATTTTATGAGGCCACTATTTTCCTGACACAAAAACATGTCAGAGATACAACAAAAAATAAAATTTCAGGCCAATATCTTTGATGAACACTGATACAAAAAACCTCAACAAAATAATTGCCAATCAATTCCAGCAGCACATCAAAAAACTAATCCATCATGACCAAGTAGGCTTTATCCCTGGGATGTAAGCTCGGTTGAACATACACAAATCAATAAATATGATTCATCACATAAACAGAACTAAAAAGAAAAACCAGATGATTATCTCAATAGATGCAGAAAAGTCTTTTGATAAAATACATCTTCACATTAACAACCCTCAATAAATTAGGCATCAAAAGAACACACTTCAAAATAATAAGAGCCATCTATGACAAACCCACAACCAACATCATACTGAATGGGCAAAAGCTGGAAGTCTTCCCTTTGAAAACCAGCACCAGTCAAGTATGCCTTCTTCACCATCCCTACTCTACAAAATATTCAAAGTTCCAGCCATAGCAATCAGGAAAGAAAAAGAAAGAAAAGGCATCCATATAAGAAGAGAGGAAGTCAAACTATCCCTGTTTCCAGATGATGTATTTCTATATCTTGAAAACCCCATAATCTTGGCCCAAAAGTTCCCTGATCTGACAAACAACTTCAGCAAAGTCTCAGGATACAAAATCGATGTACAAAAATCACTAGCATTTCTATATACCAACAACATCTAAGCTGAGAGTGAAATCACGAATACAGTCACATTCACAATTGCCACAAAAAGAATAAAATACCTAGGAATACAGCCAACCCAGGAAATGAAACGTCTCTACAACAAGAACTACAAAACACTGCTCAAAGAAATCAGAGGTGACACAGACAACTGGAAAAATCTTCCATGCTCATGGATAGGAAGAATCAATATTATTAAAATGGCCATACTGCCCAAAGCAGTTTATAGATTCAATGCTATTTCTATCAAAGTACCAATGATATTCTTCACAGAATTAGAAAATATTTTAAAATTCCTATAGAACCAAAAAAAGAGCCCAAATAGCTAAGGCAATCTTAAGAAAAAATAGCAAAGCTGGAGGCATCACATTACTTGACTAAACTGTACTACTAGACTACAGTAACCAAAACAGCATGGTACTGGTGCAAAAACAGACACACAGACCAATGGAACAGAATAGGGAGCCCAGAAATAATGCCACACATGTTCAACTTGATTTTCAACAATCCTAACAAAAACAAGCAATGGGGAAAGTATTCCCTATTCAATAAAATGTGCTAGCCAGATGCAAAAGATTGACACTGGACCCCTCCCTTATACCACATACAAAAATAAACTCAAGGTGGATTAAAGGCTTAAATGTGAAACATAAAATTCTAAACACCCTGGAAGATAACCTAGGAAATATCACTCTGGATGTAGGATTTAGCACAGATTTCGTGACAAAAATGCCAAAAGCAATTGTAACAAAAACAAAAATTGACAAGTGTGACCTAATTAAACTTAAGAGCTTCTCAACAGCAAAAGAAACTGTCAGCAGAGTAATCAGACAACCTATATGATATGGTTTGGCTGTGTGTCCACCCAAATCTCACATTGAATTGTGATAATCCCCATGTGTCATGGGGGGAGCAGGTGGGAAGTAATTAAATCATGGTTGCAGGTTTTTCTTGTGCTGTTCTCAAGATAGTGAATGTCTCACAAGATCTGAAGGTTTTATAAAGGGAATTTCAAAGCTGGAGGCATCACACTACCTGACTTCAAAATATACTACAAGGCTACAGTAACCCAAAGAGCATGGTACTGTTATCAAAACAGATATACAGACCAATGGAACAGAACAGAGGCCTCAGAAATAATGCCACACGTCTACAACCATCTGATCTTTGACAAACCTGAGAAAAACAGGCAATGGGGAAAGAATTCCCTATTTAATAAATGATGTTGGGAAAACTGGCTAGCCATATGCAGAGAAGTGAAACTGGATCCCTTCCTTACACCTTATACAAAAATTAACTCATGATGGATTAAAGACTTAAACGTAAAACCTAAAACCATAAAAACCCTAGAAGAAAACCTAGGCAATACCATCCAGGACACAGGCATGGGCAAAGACTTCATGACTAAAACACCAAAAGCAATGGCAACAAAAGCCAAAATAGACTAATAGGATCTAATTAAACTAAAGAGCTTCTGCACAACAAAAGAAACTATCATCAGAGTGAACAGGCAACCTACAGAATGGGAGAAAATTTTTGCAATCTATCCATCTGACAAAGGATTAATATCCAGAATCTACAAGGAACTTAAATTTACAAGAAAACAAAACAACCCCATCAAAAAGTAGGTGAAGAATATGAACAGACATTTCTCAAAAGAAGATATTTATGCAGCCAACAAACATGAAAAAAAGCTCGTCATCACTGGTCATTAGAGAAATGCAAATCTAAACCACTATGAGATACCATCTCATGCCAGTTAGAATGGGGATCATTAAAAAGTCAGGAAACAACAGATGCTGGAGAGGATGTGAAGAAATAGGAAGGCTTTTACACTGTTGATGGGTGTGTAAATTAGTTCAACCATTGTGAAAGACAGTGTGGCGATTCCTCAGAACCAGAAATACCATTTGACTCAGCAATCCCGTTACTGGGCATATACCCAAAGGATTATAAATCATTTTACTATAAAGATACATGCACATGTATGTTTATTGCAGCACTATTCACAATAGCAAAGACTTGGAACCAACCCAAATACCAGTCAATGAGAGACTAGATAAAGAAAATGTGGCACATATACACCATGGAATACTATGCAGCCATAAAAAGTATGAGTTCATGTCCTTTGCAAGGACAAGGATGAAGCTGGAAACCATCATTCTCAGCACACTAAAACAGGAACAGAAAACCAAACACCGCATGTTCTCACTCATAAGTGGGAGGTGAACAATGAGAACACATGGACGCAGGGAGGGGAAGATCACACACTGGGGCCTGCTGAGGGGTGGGGGACTAGGGGAGGGATAGCATTAGAAGAAATACCTAATGTAGATGATGGGTTGATGGGTGCAGCAAACCACCATGGCACATGTATACCTATGTAATAAACCTGCACATTCTGCACATGTATCCCAGAAATTAAAGTATAATTAAAAAAAAAAAAGAGGTGGGGGGAGTTCCCCTGCACATGCCCTCTTGGCCTCCACCATGTAAGACGTGACTTTGATTCTCATTCACCTTCTGCCGTGATTATGAGGCCTCCCCAGCCATGTGGAACTGTGAGTCATTAAACCTCTTTCCTTTATAAAATACCTAGTCTCGGGTATTTCTTTATCAGCAGTGTGAGAATAGGCTAATACACTACAGAATAGGACAAAATATTTACAAACTATGTGTTTGACAAAGTTCTAATATCCAGCATCTGTAAGGAAAATAAACAAATTTACAAGCAAAAAACAAACAACTCCATTAAAATGGGCAAATAACAAGAACAGACTCTTTCCAAAAGAAGACATACATGTGGCCAACAAGCTTATGAAATAAAGATCAATATCACTCATCGATCAGTATACAAATATGCTGATAAAGTATATTTGTGCAAATTTTAAAACAGTTTTAAATAACATACATAAGAGAAGAAATGTTTTAAAATAGAACTGAATGGCAACACATCAAAACTCTGACATGAAGTCAAATCAGTATTTTGAAGGGAATTTAATTTTAACTGGTTATAATGAAAAGAGAACAGACTTAAAATCATTGTGCTGTGCATATATTTTGAGGTTAGAAAGCGTATACTATATATATGATAGAATAATAGAATGGAAGATCAACAAAGACCAAAATGGTTCTTTGAAGAGTAATAAAATAAATAAATTTCTGCTAAGGTTGACAAGAACAGAAAAATTTTCCTCTACTGGCAATTTATTGAGCCAGGTGCCACAAAGATTTTTACAGAAGTATAAAATAATGTCACACTTTTCATTAATTTTTTTGTTTTAGGCATTATATTGATTTTGCATTAAAATGTTTAGTTAACATGCAATGAACTTTCTATAGTTATTTAAATTAATAAATATCTTTAAGATTTCTAAGTTTTAATTTATAATACAATAAGCATCAATAGATATAAGCCCCTAACCAAATCTCTTTAGGGTACTTAATAATCTTTAAGGTAATAAAGGGGTATGGTGATAGCTAATTTTATGCGTCAGTTTTACTAAGCTATGCTACCACAATGTTTGGTCAAACATCAGTCTAAATATCTCTGTGGAGGTATGTTTTAGGTGAAATAAACACATAAATCAGTAGATGTTGAGTAAAGCTGATTATTCTCTACAACATGAGTGGGCTTCTTCCAATCAGTTGAAGGCCTTAAAAGGGAAACACTAAGGTCCCCAAATAAGATGGAATTCCTTCAGATTTAAGCTGCAAAATCAGACATCTACTCTTCCCTGGATCCCCAGCCTGCTCACCTGCCCTACAAATTTTGGACTTAACAGTCCCCACAATCATGTGAGCCAAAGAGAGTCTGTTCTCTCTCTCTTTATCTCTGTCTCTGCATGTATCTCTTTGTATATATATGCATACACACATGTATGTGTATGCATATATATCCATATGTACATATACATATATGTACATGTACATATACATATATGTACATGTACATATACATATATGTACATGTACATATACATATATGTACATGTACATATATATACACACACAGAGAGATACACACAATACATATGTATATATACACATCAACATACAGACACACACACACACACAGACACACAGACACACACACACATATTCGTTCTATTATATTTCTCTGGCAAACCTTAACAAATACAGATCCTCAGGCCAAAAGTTTGAGAACTGATGCCCTAGAGAAACGTTTACACATGTGCTTCAACATATACAATCTCCAGATATGCAGAATGCTCCTTGGAGCATTGTTTGTATTAGCAAACAATGAAAATCATCGAAATAACATGTTAGTAACAAACATGGATAAATAATATGTGGGAAAAGTCACATAATGGATATTATAGAGCAGTGAAAATGAATATACTACAGCTGCACATAACAATGTGGATAAAATGTAGAGACACTATATTGAGGAAAAAATAAGACTCAGATGACCATATACATTCTGACATATCTTAATGAAGTAAAAATAAAATATTCAGATATACTATATATATCATTATATATGTGAATACATGTATGTGACATAAAATTATGTTTAGAAAAACAGATAGTGCCATTCAAAATGTTCAGGTTGATTGATTGTCTCTAGGTGCTAAGTAGGGGAATGGGTCAAATAGGTAGGTGATTTCTATCCTATAAATGATTAAATCTATTGATTAGCTATTTGAAATTTGAAGTCTATTGTGAACAAATGACTTCAAATTTCAGTGATTTAACATGATAATTTGTTTTTTGGGGGTATTGTTTATGATTTGTAGGTCAGCTGGGCCACTTAGCTTCAGGCTGTGGTAGTCGGGGTAGAATTGCTTCTCAATTCAGGTCTGCTAGAGCAACTCTGTCCTACACAGGTACATTCTGGGGCTGAGTCTGAAGGCACAGTAACTACTCAATGGCTATTTTTAACATTGAGGAAACACAGGACAGCAAGCTCTACACCGAATGCACATAGCAAGCCTTGGAATGCTTGATATTGGTTAATATCCACTGGCCAAAACAAGTCAAATGCACAAACAGAAATTCTAGGGGTGGGAAAGCACACTATTTCCAGGAAAGTAAGGAAGCGAGGAAGAAATATTTTGAAGAGCCATATAATTTACAAAAATAATTTTGATCTAATTATAGGCAGAGTTTCTCAGCTATTTGTTTAATTTTTATTATTTATAAATTACATAAATGTCTCATAGTTTCTCTCTTATATAGCAAATATTTCTTACAAAAATTAAATATAGATACGTACAAGAAAAAGCACCATTTAGAAAGCTAAAGATGTTGGATTTTATTGTTTAATCAGAAAGTGTATAACTATTCATAACATTTATAAATGTATATTGATATCATTTCTTTTTCAGAATAAAACTAAAAGCATTTTCAAGTGTACATTAACTGACGCCCAAAGTATTTTACTAACCCATTTTGCAGCAAAGAGAAATAAGCAAGGAAAACAAATTATTGATAATATAAAATACACACTATTATTCTCACTAAAATTACTTTTAATTATCAGTAAAATACAGTTTACAGAATAACCTAGCTAAATATTATGAGTTTGCAGGATTTTGTAGTTATTTTATTATCAGTTAGGATTCAAAACACTATGTTGCATATTGATTGTACATCCTTATGTGCTAAGTGCATATTCAAATTGTGTTCATCTCTTCATGGATACCTCTTTTAATCATTTTTAAAACTTCTTATCATACATATATGTGTGCGTGTGTGTATTTTTTTTTTTTTTTTTGCTAACTGTTTCTCATTTTTCAAACCTACTCAATTGTTCTCTGCTTTCTAATTTAACTGTAATTTCATCAATACATGGAGGCTGCCTCTCCTAGGCCTCTCAATTCCAACTTTTCTTTCCATGGAGAATATGTTTTTGTGTGCTTTATATCATACCTTTTGTTTGTCACTAAGTCCTCTGAAAATTCTTTTTGCAGTTTATGAAAAATATACAAATAATCATCAAGTTTGGGACAACCAAAATTATAATTTGCAAATAATAAGCATTATATTTAGCAACACATAGTATTTCCTATAATGGTTTCATTACACGTATTACATGCTCTTCATGTGCATTCTTGGCATTTTTCAGACTTTACATAACTATAGAAACATAAGAGCTTGTAACTATTGGCAGGGCACCGTGGCACATGCCTGTAATCCCAGCATTTTGGGAGGCCAAGGCAGGGAGATTGCTTGAGCTCAGGAGTTCAAGACTATCCTGGGCAACACTGTGAAACCTCGTCTCTAGAAAAAATACAAAAATTAGCCTAGTGAAGTGGTGTGTGCCTGTAGTCATAGCTACTGGGAGGCCAAGGTGGGAGGATTACTTGAGCCCGGGAGGTGGAAGTTGCAGTGAGCTGTGATCGTGCCACTGCATTCCAGCCTGGGCAGAGTGAGACTCTGTCTCAAACAAAACAAAACAAAAACTTGTTTCTATTGAAAATGACTTTAGTTTTGAAAATCAAATATATTACAGGTGCCAGATTGATGGTAATCACTTTTTTTTTAAAGAAATGTACTGAAGTGTTTTTATGAGAGGGGGTGGAACAGGAGGACTCAATAGTTCTTACATCACTAAGTAGGAAGTGGAAAGTGTAGAAGCAAGAAGACTTGGTTGGCTTCTCATTCTGGCTCTGCATAAATGTCCCCACATGATCTTGGACAGTTTATTTAATATTTACATTTACCATCTCTGAAACTTACTGTCTTTATTTGGAAATATGGATAATAAATTCTGGTTGATATACTTTTAATGATTGTTTTGTAGATCTAGTAAAAGAATTCTTGGCCGGGCGTGGTGGCTCACGCCTGTAATCCCAGCACTTTGGGAGGCCGAGGCGGGCGGATCACGAGGTCAGGAGATCGAGACCATTCTGGCTAACACGGTGAAACCCTGTCTCTACTAAAACTACAAAAAATTAGCCGGGCGTGGTAGCGGGCGCCTGTAGTCCCAGCTACTCGGGAGGCTGAGGCAGGAGAATGGCGTGAACCCGGGAGGCGGAGCTTGCAGTGAGCCGAGATCGCGCCACTGCACTCCAGCCTGGGCGACAGAGCGAGACTCCGTCTCAAAAAAAAAAAAAAAAAAGAATTCTTACAAAAGCAAATTTTTAATTATTTCCACCTTTCAAATTTGGGATTATTTTGTAAAAATTCTCTTGTTATCTCTAGTTAAGACTTTTGTTTTGTTTTGTTTGCTGAAATGAGTTGTTCCTCTCCTAGAAAATCTTCAGTAAAAAGTAATAGATTTATATGATCTGAAGAGAAGTCAGAATATAAGTTCTTATGTAGAATAGTTTATCACTATTTCCGTAACTAGTGGAATAAAATAAATTACTATCGTTATATTGTAGTCTCATTGACCTGTGTCTATCTATTCAATAGAACTATTTGAATTCATAAAAAGGCTATTAGTCACAATGTTCTGTTACCATAGAATATGTATGTATTAATTTCATGCAGCAGAATTACATACAACCAAAATCTAATAAAATTAAGCTCAAATATCTTCTTGCATTGTATTTGTATAAGTAAAAGGTATGATTTTGGTTTCACTGAGTCATAAAATTATTATATTAGAAAAACACTTAGAATTTAGATTACATAAAAATATTAAGGCATATTTGAGATACCTTTAATGTACAGTTTGTGAAAACCCTCCAATCTTTATGAGTTGAAATAAAAGGCCTGTTTTCATGCAAGTTTCTTTAAACCCTTAGCCTTGATACAGCACTTCTGGCTGTATGAGGGTTTGAGGGTAGAAAGTGAGGGCACTCGCACAAAGTAAAGTAAGTACAAGCCCACATCAAGAATGATCTTGGTCTAACGTTTAAGTCTTTAATCCATCTTGAATTAATTTTTGTATAAGGTGTAAGGAAGGGATCCAGTTTCAACTTTCTACATATGGCTAGCCAGTTTTCCCAGCACCATTTATTAAATAGGGAATCCTTTCCCCATTGCTTGTTTTTGTCAGGTTTGTCAAAGATCAGATAGTTGTAGATATGCGGCGTTATTTCTGAGGGCTCTGTTCTGTTCCATTGATCTATGTCTCTGTTTTGATACCAGTACCATGCTGTTTTGGTTACTGTAGCCTTGTAGTATAGTTTGAAGTCAGGTAGCGTGATGCCTCCAGCTTTATTCTTTTGGCTTAGGATTGACTTGGCGATGCGGGCTCTTTTTTGGCTCCATATGAACTTTAAAGTAGTTTTTTCCAATTCTGTGAAGAAAGTCATTGGTAGCTTGATGGGATGGCATTGAATCTATAAATTACCTTGGGCAGTATGGCCATTTTCACGATATTGATTCTTCCTACCCATGAGCATGGAATGTTCTTCCATTTCTTTGTATCCTCTTTTATTTCATTGAGCAGTGGTTTGTAGTTGTCCTTGAAGAGGTCCTTCACTTCCCTTGTAAGTTGGATTCCTAAGTATTTTATTCTCTTTGAAGCAATTGTGAATGTGAGTTCACTCATGATTTGGCTCTCTGTTTGTCTGTTTTTGGTGTATAAGAATGCTTGTGATTTTTGTACATTGATTTTGGATAAAAAAACAAACACCGCATGTTCTCACTCATAGATGGGAATTGAACAATGAGAACACATGGACATAGGAAGGGGAACATCACACTCTGGGGACTGTTGTGTGGTGGGGGGGAGGAGGGAGGGATAGCATTAGGAGATATACCTAATGCTAAATGATGAGTTAATGGGTGCAGCACACCAGCATGGCACATGTATACATATGTAACTAACCTGCACATTGTGCACATGTACCCTAAAACTTAAAGTATAATAATAATTAAAAAAAGGAAAAAAAAAGACAAAAAAAAAGAATGATCTTGGTTGGTTTCCTGAAGTAATCAGTGACTATATCCAAGTGTTCCTGCCTTCACTCCAAAATACTATACTCTTCCTTTGTTTAGCAATCTAGAATCAACCAAGAATCACAAACAAAAGGAGCTGAGAGGACAGCACTATATATAGGTATTATGAATTCTCGTCGAATGAGAGAGGTAGATTTCAGCGTTAAGGAAAGAATAGCCACTGCCTGAGTAGTTTAAAGAAGTTCAGTGAGATCACAGAGGGAGACTGAACCCAAGAAAGAAATAGAGAAACACACAAACCTGAAAAATATTTGCACGATGGCCAAGAAAGCTCTAAGAATATTTGTAATAACTTTGCAATGAGTTTTCTTGCAGAGGGACTCTAGATGTCTCCTTTAAATGCCCCAAACAGGGCAGGTGGAGTTCAAAAGGAGAATGATGTGCAGAACAGCACAGAAAAAGAGTGAACCTCCAGACTAAGGTCTCCCATGCCTTGTGCCAGAACTATTACCTCTTCTTGGATGGATGCATTGTGTAGAGCTCCATGGTCACCTGGGTCAGTTGCTTACTCATCTTCAACTGAATTATTTTCTCTTTTATCTTTAGTTGATTCATAATAATTGTACATATTTATGTGCTACAGAGTGATACTGCAATATATAAGTATACAGTAAGTGAGCAAATCAGGGTAATTAGCATATTCACCACGTCAAGCATTTATCATTTCTTTGTGTTGGGAATATTCAAAATCCTATCTTCTAGATTTTTGAAACTTACAGCAAATTATTGTTAATTATATTCATTCTGCAGTGCTATGGAGCACAAGAACTTATTCCTCTTCTAGCTGTAATTTGTACCATTTCTTTCTATCCTCTCCCTCCCCTTCTCAGCCTGTAATAACCATAATTCTGCTCCCTATTTCTATGTGCTCAACGTTTTTTTAGCTCCCACATGAGAGAGAATGTGCACCATTTGTCTTTCTGTGCCTGACTTATTTATTTCACTTTACATAACGTCCTCCAGGCTCATACATGTTGCTGTGAATAATAGGATTTCATTCTTTTTTATGGCTGAATAGTATTCCATTGTGTATATATACATTTTCTTTATCCATTCATCTATTGATGGACATTTAGGTTGATTTATTGTGAATAGTGATGCATTAAACATAGGAGTACAGTTATCACTTTGATATACTGCTTTTACTTCCTTTGAATAAATAACCAGTAGTGGGATTGCTGAGTTATATGGCAGTTCTATTTTTAGATTTTTTTTTTTTTGAGAAACCTCCACGCTGTTTTCCAAAATGGCTGTACTAATTTACATTCACATTGATCATGTATAAATTTCCTTTTCTCTGCATTCTCACCAGCATTTTTATTTTGTTCTCTTTGATAATAGCCATTCTAACTAGGGTGAGACAATATCTCTTTGTAGTTTTGATTTGCATTTCCCTGAGGATTAGTGATGTTGAGAATCTTTTCATATGCTATCAGGCCATTTGTACATCTTCTTTTAAAATATGTCTATTTATATCTTTGCCCACTTTTTAATGGGATTGCTTGTAGGTTTTGTCATTGCCGTTGTTTTTGCTGTTGAGTCCTTTGAATCCCTTGTATGTTCCAGATATCAGTCCATTGTTGAATGAATAGTTTGAAAATATTTTCTTCCATTCAACAGGTTATCTCTTCATTCTGTTGATTGTTTCCTTTGCTGTGCCAAAGCTTTTTAGTTTGATATAGACCCATCTGTCTACTTTTGTTATTGTCATCTGCGCTTTTTAAGTCTTACCCACAAAATCTTTGTCTAGAATAATGTCCTGAAGCATTTCTCTTATGTTTCTTCTAGTAGTTTTATAGATTTAAGTCTTATATTTAAGCCTTTAATCCATTTTGAGTTGATTTTTATATGTGGTGAGATAGAAGTCTAGTTTTATTCTTCACAAATGGATATTATTTGCCCAGCACTGTTTATTGAAGAGGATGCCCTTTCCCTATTGTATGTTCTGGGTGCCTTTGTTGAAAATCAGTTGGCTGTAAATATGTGGATTAATTTCCAGGCTCTCTAAGCTGTTTCATTTTTCTAATGTGTCTGGTTTTATACCAATATCAAGCTGTCATTGTTACTATAGCTTTGTAGTATATTTTGCAGTCAGGTAGTATGATGCCTTCAGCTTTGTTCTTTTTGGTCAGAATTATTTTGGCTATTTAGGCTCTTTTGTGTTCTCTGCAATTTTAGGATTATTTTTTCTATTTCTGTGAATAATGTAATTGGTATTTTGATAGAGACTGCATTAAATCTGTAGGTCACTTTGGGTATTACGGCCATTTTAACAATATTAATTCTTCCCATCCATGAGCATGAGATGTCTTTCCATTTTTTGTGTCCTGTTCAATTTCTTTCATCAGTGTTTTGAGGTTTCTATTGTAAAAATTTTTTACCTCATTGGTTATTCTTAGGTATCTTATCCATTTATTTATTATTTTGTTTCTATTGTATATGCGATTGCTTTCGTGATTTCTTTTCCAGCTGGTTCATTATTGGTGCATAGAAAGGCTGCTGAGGTGGACATGACTTGCTCAAGGAGCTAAGGGTGAATGTGGCAGGGAGGTGGGGGTGGGACATAGAGTGGGGAAGGTTAAAAATAAAGGTCTCTGAAGTATGAGAGGCCAAAGCACATAAGACCTTCCTGTCTGTTGCTGGTAAGATATTTGGAATTTAGCGTAGGTGCTAAGATATTTCAAGACAGGAAATTTATTTATTCATCTCAAAGTTGATTACAATGTGCTAGACAACTCAACCCAGCATCTTCCTGTGTTTCTCAAACACACCAAGCATGCTTCCTTCAGAACATCTAGGCACATTCTCTGCCTCTGCTACTAGGATATTCCCATGGCTTGCCCATGACTTCAGTGAAGACATTTTCTCTAACTTCACCTTATCTTGGAGGGTGGGCATCGCTTATAACCCCTTTAAAATTTATCTTCCCAACATTTGCCCTCTCCCTGCCATCCTTCCCTGCTTTATTTTTCTTCATAGTACTTACTACCATCTAAGGAATTATATAGCACTTATTTATTGTCTCTCTCCCTGCCAATAGAATGTAATACATAGGGGGCAGGAAATTTTTAAATTTGCTGCTATTTCCCCAAAGCCTAGCATGCTGCTTTGCACACAGAGACTCCCAATAAACAGCTGTTGAATCAATGATTTGATGAATGAAACACAATATTGAATTCCCTAAAATCCTGTTTTAAGTAGATAATTCAAACACTTCTTCAAGTTTTATAAATATTAAGAAAGATGTATGCCAGTGGATTGTATGTGCCATTTGCCACTGGACATTTAATTTGAATATTTTCTTACAGAAGCTTTATTTCATAACATGGTAAACTATTTGCTTTTGAATTTTGCCCGAGTTATTATACGTATAAAATATCTGACTATGCTGGAAGATATTATCACATAACCTTGAGAAATAGCATATCCCCAACCACATAATTTTTTTTTGGATAGATGCATGACATAAATGAATTTAATGAATAAACAATTTGCTCCCATAAAATAAACTGTAAAAATCATATGTCTTATCTTCTTTTACCAGTGAAATGTCAAATCCATCGAGTCTTTTGATCATCACAATAGGATATTTCACAAAATCATGTTAGTGGACCAAATTCCAAGCATTAAATCTGAATTGTACAAGTAGCTTCCAGACTGGTCTTCATTCTAATGCTTTTGCTTTCTATAATCTATTTTCAATACAGAAACCTGAAGAATCCTTTTTATGCCACTTGTCTGCTCAAAACTCTCCAATGGTTTCTCATTTCTCACAGTAAGACCTAAAAACCCTAACAACAAGACCCTAACAACGAAATAAAGCACTGCCCAATCTGCCTACCACCCACCGAGTTACCACTCTGACTTCTTCTCCTTCTACTCATCTCATTTCCTTCTACTCTAGCCACATAAGGACTTGCTCTTGCTATCTTTCTTCCTGAAATGTTCTTTCCCAGAAAACCAATGACAAGGCCCCTTCCCTTCATTTAGACCTTTACAGAAAGACACATCAGAGAAGAGAGGCCTATCTAAATTCCAGTCTCATCCCTAACACTATGCCCTTTACCTACTTTGTTTTTTTTTTTTTTTTTTTTTGCAAAATTTATCCTTATTAATTGATATGGTTTGGCTCTGTGTCCCCACCCAAATCTCATCTTGAATTGTACTTCCATAATTCCCACATGTTGTGGGAGGGACCAAGTGGGAGATAATTTGCATCATGGGGATGGTTTCCCCCATACTATTCTAATGGTAGTGAATAAGTCTCTTGATATCTGATGGTCTCATTATGGGTTTCCGCTTTTGCATCTTCCTCATTTTCTCTTGCTGCCACTATGTAAGAAGTTCCCCTCTCCTCTTGCCATGATTCTGAGGCCTCCCCAGCCATGTGGAACTATGTAAGTCCAATTAAACCTCTTTTTCTTCCCAGTCTCCAGTATGTCTTTATCAGTAGCTTTAAAACAGACTGATACAGTAAATTGGTATCAGTAGAGTGGGACGTTGCTGACAAGGTAACCAAAAATGTGGAACCGACTTTGGAACTGGGTAACAGGCAGAGGTTGGAACAGTTTGGAGGGCTAAGATGAAGACAGGAACATGTGGGAAAATTTAGAACTTCCCAGAGACTTGAATGGCTTTGACCAAAAGCCTGATAGTGATATGGACAATAAGGTTCAGGCTGAGGTGGTCTCAGGTGGAGATGAGGAACTTGTGGGGAACTGGAACAAAGGTGACTCTTGTTATGTTTTAGCAAAGAGGCTATTATGTTTTAGCAAAGACACTTTGCCCCTGCCCTAGAGATGTGTGGAACTTTGAACTTGAGAGAGATGATTTAGAGTATATGGAGCAAGAAATTTCTAAGCAGCGAAACATTCAGCAGGTGACTTGGGTGCTGTTAAAAAACATTCAGTTTTATAAGGGAAGCAGAGCATAAACGTTCAAAAAATGACAATGTGATAGAAAAGAAAAATCCATTTTCTGGGGAGAGAGTCAAGCCAGCTGCAGAGATTTGCATAAGTAACAAGGAGCGGAATTAATCCCCAAGACAATGAGGACAATATGTCCAGGGCATGTCAGAGGTTTTCATGGCAGCCCCTCCCATCACAGACCCAGAGGCCTAGGAGAAAATGGTTTCGTGGACCAGGGCCAGGGTCCCCATGCTGTTTGCAGTCTAGGGACTCGGTGCCCTGCATCCCAGCTGTTCCAGCTGCGGATGAAAGGGGCCAACGTAGAGCTTGGGCCATGGCTTGCAGAGGGTGCAAGCTCCAAGCCTTGGCAGTTTCCATGTGGTGTTGAGCTGTGAGTGAAGGGAAATCAAGAATTGGAGTTTGGGAACCTCTGCCTAGATTTCAGAAGATGTATAGAAACACCTGGATGTCCAGGCAGAAGTTTGCTGCAGGGGTGGGATGCCCATGGAAAACCTCTACTAGGGCAGTGCAGAAGGGAAATGTGGGGTCTGAGCCCCCATGCAGAGTCCCTACGGGGGCACTGCCTAGTGGAGTTGTGAGAGGAGGGCCACCGTCCTCCAGACCCCAGCATGGTAGATCCACTGACAGCTTGCACTGTGCCCCTGGAAAAACCATAGATACTCAATGCTAGCCTGTGAAAGCAGCCAGGAGGGAGGCTGTACCCTGCAAAGCCACAGGGGTGGAGCTGCCCAAGACCATGGGAACCCACCTCTTATATCAGCATGACCTGAATGTGAGACTTGGAGTCAAAGGAGATCATCTTGACATTTTAAAATTTGACTTCCTCACTGGAATTCAGACTGGCATGGGCCCAATAACCACTTTGTTTTGACGAATTTCTCCCATTTGGAACAGCAGTATTTAGCCAATACCTGTACCCCCACTGTATCTAAGAAGTAGCTTGCTTTTGATTTTACAGGCTCATAGGCAGAAGGGACTTTGCTTGTCTCAGATGAGACTTTGGACTGTGGACTTTTGGGTTAATGCTGAGATGAGTTAAGACTTTGGGGGACTGTTGAGAAGGCATGATTGGTTTTGAAATGTGAGGACGTGAGATTTGGAGGAGCCAGGGGTAGAGTGATATGGTTTGGCTGTGTGTCCCCACCCAAATCTCATCTTGAATTGTACTCCCATAATTCCCACATGTTCTAGGAGAGACCTGGTGGGAGATAATTTGCATCATGGGGGTGGTTCCCCCATACTGTTCTAATGGTAGTGAATAAGTCTCATGAGATCTGATGGTTTTATTAGGGGTTTCTGCTTTGGCACCTTCCTCATTTTCTCTTGCCACTGCTAAGTAAGAAGTGCCTTTCAGCACCCACCATGATTCTGAGGCCTCCTCAGCCATGTGGAACTGTAAGTCCAATTAAACCTCTTTTTCTTCCCAGTCTCAGGTATGTCTTTATCAGCAGTGTGAAAACAGACTAATACATAAATGTACTATGTATTTTACTGATTTTTCTTGTTTATTTGCTTTCCTCAAGCTCCCACAGTTTTGTGGGCCTCTGCTTTACCTACTTCTTTATTCTTTGGTATATCCACAGAAAATAAATGCCTTTAACTTAGGCTCCATTTTCTGCCTGAATCCAGTTCTTACAGAAAAATATTTTTTATTGAAAGCTTCAATCTTATCCTCTTGCAAAGTCTTAAATTACCAGATCTCTGGGCCTAAATATGAAAACCCAGCTGTTATACCTGTTTTTCACGAGACTCTAGGAGATGCCTCATTTTCATTCAGACCAGGATCCAGAGCTTGTGATAGCTCCAGAGGCAAGAGCTCTCCATTTACAAACCCCTTGTCTGTTTCTCACCCTGTGTTCACATGGTTCTATAGGACAAGAAAGCCACTCTATTCAGAATGATTTTTTAACCATATACTCCAGGCATTCTTTACACTCAACCTTGGCCCTGCACATCACTGAGTCTGCTTATACAACTGAGAAAATTCTACAACTCAACTTCTTGTCTGCTGCTTGGGTATGTATCTTCCAATAGATGCTGTGCTATAGATTATTGTATTTTTTAATTTATGAATTTATTCCATTCCTTAATATTCACTACAATAAGTGGGACAAATATAAAAATACATACATTCCTGTACAAGTTTACATGTTTTCTTTGGACTAAATATTGAGAATTAGAAGGCAGTACATTCAGAGATCATTTTTTCCTCCTCACCTTCACCAGCATAGAATTACTTTTACTGAATTACCAGTGGTATTATTCCTTTTCACTACAATAACAAAAGTTATAAGACATGGTCTTATGGGCATTACTGAAAGGTTGTTGTTGAGGCTATTGCTCAATAGGTTTTAAATAAGAGTATCATCTACTCTTAAAATGGACCAGGGTGAAATGCGTTCAGGCCTTACTAGCAAAAATAATTATTTAGCTGCTGACAGTCTGAGACCATTTCTTTCAATGACAATGAAAATCACATAGCTGACTAAGCCTCCTTCTTTTTGTAGGCTGCTACGATACTTAGGCCCAAACTGAAGCCCTCCTCTGGTAATTTAGAAAACTCTTGGCTTTTATTAATTAATGAATATCCATAAAGTAGAAAATATTTAAGGCATATTACATGCATTTTAAATATTAATCTGACTCCTAGCTTTATCTTATTTTACATGTCCTATGTTATCCTCTACAGCAATTATTTCTTTAAAAAACATACATGCTATCAAGCCTTCTAAATTTCTTTGGAAAATGAATGATACAAAATATTTAAAATTTAGAAGTTGTACAATGTTCTAGAAATATACAGATGATTGAATAAACTCTGCCTTAGAATGAATTAATTGTAATATTTTCATGTGTATTTTAATATATGAAAACACAGGATATAGTTATGGGACAGAGCAGAATGTAATCAATTCTCTAGGCCTAAAAGGTGGTTATGAAGGCTATGGCCTTTAAAATGATGAACACATCTGAACAAAATCTATACATATGAGTAGGTGTTCACAATGTAAAAATAGGAGAGGAAAAATGATGAATGTCCAGGATGTGGACATTACATTCAGAAATTTTTAAGTAATTTGCATTCAGGAAGAGAAGAGTAACAGAACAATTAGTCTAAATAGATAAGCAATAGTCAAATAATAAAAGGGCTTAGGAAAGGCAGTCCTGAGAAGTTTTAATCTGTAGGCCAAGAGGAGAGATGAAAGAATTTTAAGCGGAGTTAGAAAAATAATCGTGTATTAATTTTAGAATAACTCCAGGGGCATGATGAAGACCCGGTTTGTTGCAGGGAGAGGACAGAAATTATGTTAAAGAATTGCTAACAATTTATCTTACAACCTTGCACTTAGTTTTTGAACTTAATTATTTTAATATCGGTGTTTTGTATAATCACAGTCGTTCCGAGATATTGGTAAATGATTCTCGAGGCAGTCTGTCTCACATTTGTCTTTTTCATTTAACTAAAGGATTTTTCCAAGTCTAACTTGTAACAAATGGAGACACGCCATTCTTGCAGTGAAAAATCCCCCCTGTGATGCATCTGCTTCTCTGTCTTCTTTTGACCTCTGAGCTGAACTGGTAAAAATCTTGAATTGCAAAATTTGTCAGTGTACCCATTTCTGCATTTTAGGAATACATGGTAACCAAAATATGTGAGTGTGATGCTGAGTTCAAGTCTAAGGAGGATTGATTTGTTGATGCATTCTAGGTCAACAAAGGCAGAATATATTTGTCATCATCTGTAGTCTCTGACTAAATATGGAATGCAATACTTTCTTCGCAATCTCTGCTTTGGTACTAAGAGTTGTACAAAGCTGCATCAAGACAAGGATAGTGAAGAGAATTGTTTTTCACAAACTTGTGAAGGTTCTAAGTAAAACTCAGGTCAATATTTTTTAAATAATTATTCTCTAGATAACATTTGGAAGGTAAAAATAGAAAAAAACCTCTTTATTGCATATTTGAGAAGAAGCATTCAATATTAAGGCTCAGATTTTTTCAGTTATTGCACACCTGACAAAGCCACACTATTTGAAGGCCCTAGGATGAGGAAGAGCAGGATAGCTCTATGGTTCTGGAAGCAATAGTGCCTCTGTTTCTCATATAAACGTGGTTGTTTTCCATCAATGGTCATATTATAGAATATTATAGTGACAATTTGAAAACATTTAAATCTAGCATGGTGAAACTGAATTCATGTGTCATGTATCACAGAATTCTAGAATCCCAAGCCTGGAAGAGGCTTTAAATCCATTTAATCTAATCACGGATCTCTCATTTTAATTTTTTCTACTAATATTCTATTGATTTTATAATTTTATCATGCAGTCTCTATATAAAACTTCTAGTAAGAGGGAACACAGTTCATTTGGTTGCAAGTAGCTCTGTTAGAAAGTCTTCCTTTTATTGATATGTTTTTCTTCTATATAAGGGATATCATCCTTGGCATTATTCAGAATTCAAATAATTCCTCTTTCACTCAGTAGCCTTTAGAGTACAGGAGGAAAGCTATCATGTCCTACAAAGACACTCCGTTCATCTCCTTTATCACCCAAATATTATTCTTCAGGCCATTTCCACTTTACAAGTACACCAAGTTCTAAGCAGCTCACATCCACACTATCCTAACTCACAACTGGCCTATTTATATTGAATAAGGCATATATTTCCATTATTCTATTCTAATCTGGTATCCTATCCCTTCAAGTCTTGGTAAGAAAATATATGATCATATGTATTTTCACACACTGAAATATGAGATTCACTTTACTTAGTTTTCATTCCCTGCGGCAACAGATACTCTTTCTTATCCTTTGACTAATTACCTCTCATGTTTCATTTCCAAATTGCTATTTTCCTTTCCATGAGAGATACTATTTTCCTAATAACCAGACTCACATTCAGGTTGAATTTCTATTGATAAGATCAGTTTATTTCAGGACAAGTAAGACCGTCTCTAATATTTTGAGCTATACTGTATTCCTACTCAAGAATCCAACTGAGTATTTCAGTTTATTAAGTCACTTTTCAGAAATCCAAATTTATTCATTTAAACCATGTTTAAAATCCAGCTGTGTAAATCAGGCTCTTCATCCTTAAAGTATAAATAAAAGAAAGAAGCAGTGATAACAATGCATGCATAACCAAGTCCGTGAATTTTCTGACAAAGATTTTATAATCATTAAAACTTTGTTGGTCTTTCTGGGAGAACCATCTGTTCCACCATAAATTCAGTGGGGGAGCAACAGTCATGACCCCAGCAGATTCTCCATCACGTTTCTAATAAACTCCAGAAAAGATCACAGTTTTCATCTGAATTTCACATGTCTCTATAGATCAGATATACTTCACCAGGACTGTACTATTCACCAAGGAATTGATAACCCTCAGGTAAGCATTTAGTTTTCTGTGTGAATTCCTTACCCAAAGTTTTACAAGATTAAGTAAATAAGATATTTTAGGTATACAAATCAAGTGCCCAATGGCTCTTAGTTGTTCTGGAAATAAGATAAATTAGAACATCAGGAAAAATCAGAACGTTCATGTTCTTATCACATCTTTGCCATTTAAAAGCTTTGTTTCTGAAACATACATAGTCTTTCTGGACCTTTCTGTTGTTTGTGAAACACACTTAGTTTTTCAGTATTCTCATCAATAAAAGGAAAAAATGAGATCTCCTTACTGTGATTCTATAGGGTAGATCAAACTAAGGCCGTTTGCCAAAATATAACCTACAACACAGTTGTGGGTACTAAGAGATAAAATTTGTCCATCTTCATATAATAGTTTTTTAAAAATTGTCACTTGCCTGGAGCCCAATGCTTTGAAGAAATTTTACAAAAGAAGTAACCCAAAGATAGGAAATCCTTTTTATAGGAGGATGATTGCTATTGTTTTCATCTTCCAGGAAGTCAGTCCTTTCTTGCAGAAAAGATGGGATTTTATGAGCAGAATAAATGTGAACCCCACTGGGCAATCACTCTAAGTAAGGACTAAATTACTGGCTATGGAACAGTTAGCTATAGCAGAAGCTGGAATTAGAAATTAGATGCACATCATCTGAAGGTATAGATTAGCACCGCGTGTGATGAGCTCAGTGACTGGGGATGCTACCCACTCGAGCTATGCACAAGAAATGCCCTGAGACCAATATAGGCAGATGAGGAGGGTACAATCTCTAGAAAATAAGATAGCTTAAAGATGAAACCATAAGGAAATGCATATGGGTGGATGTAGAAACATAAAGAAAAAACACATTTTAAAATATATCCAAGAAAACAATAAAGTCATAGATACAAAATCATAAAGTGTCAAGAAAGTAATGAAGTTTAAAATATATTGCAACATTCAAAGAAAAACATGAAGAAACCCAGTCTGCACAATAAGCAGCATAAAGACTAGTATCTCATTATAGAATTATTATAATATACTTATTGAAGGTTGAAGGGGTATTGATATTCCAAAATAAACTCATACTTGTAAGTCATAGCCAAAGATGCATCAATGTTGATTTTCTGTTCAATACATCAAATTATACATGATGGTATTACCTTTTATTGATGCATAACATATGTACATAGTTTCAGGGTACAAATAATAATTTAATACACTCATATAATTGGTAAAGATCAAATCAGTGTACTTAGGATATCCATCACCTAATATTTGTCTTGTCTTTCTGCTGGAACTATTCAAATTCTTCTCTTCTAGCTATTTTGAAATATACAATAGATTGTTGTACAATATAGTCACTGTACAAGTCTATCTATCACTAGGTCTTATTACTTCTATCAAACTATGTATTTGTACCCATTAATCAACTTCTCTTCATCCTCCCTTTACCCCTCCCCTTCTCACCACTCTCTGGTAATGACCAATCTACTCCCTTTAATTATGAGATTCACTTTTTTAGCTTCCATATGAGTAAGAACATGTGTTTGGCTTTAACATAAGACAGTGAGAACATGTGAGAACATGTACCAGGCTTATTTCACTTAACATAATGAGCCACCAGTTCCATCCATGTTGCTGCAAATGACAGAATTTCATTTTGGTATAGCTAAATGATATTCTATCATATATATGTATATATGGTGAATTGTATATATAAACACACACATAATAGAATATCATATATATGTACATATCTATGTGTGTGTGTGTGTGTGTGTGTGCGTGTGTGTGTGTATATATCACATTTTATCCATTTAACCATTGATGGACACTTAGGTTGCTTCCACATTTTGGCTACTGTGAATAGTGTTGCAGTAAACATGAGAGTGTAATGTCTCTTCGATATACTGATTTCCTTTCTTTTGATTATATACCCAGTAGTGGAATTGCTGGATCATATGTAGTTCTATTTTTTTTTAGGTATCTCCATGCTGTTCTCCATAGTAGCTATGCAAATTTACATTCCCACCAACAGTATAAGAAAGTTCCCTTTTCTCTGCATCATCACCAGCATCTGTCTTTTTTATAATGTCCTTTTAATAAAAGCCATTTTAGCAGGTGCAGGATTGATATATTATAGTTTTGATTTGTGTTTCTCTGATGATTAGTGATGAGTATTTTTTTCATATACCTTTTGGCCATATGTATGTCTTCTTTTGATAAACGTCTATTCAGGTCTGTTTGCCATTTTACTGGACAATTTATTCATTTGCTATTGAGTTGTTTGAGCTCCTTATATATTCTGGTTATTAATTCCATCAGATGGATAATTTGCAAATATTTTCTTCCATTCTATGGGTTGTCTCTTCACTTTGTTGATAATTCCATTTATTGTGCAGAAGATTTTACCTTGATATAATCCTGGTTTTTCTTTTCATTTTTTTTTATTTTTTATTTTTTGCTTTAGTTGCCTGTGCTTTTACAGTATGAAACACAAAATCTTTGTCCAGACCAATGTCCTGGGGTGCTTACCCAATGCTTTCTTCTAGCAGTTTCATAGTTTCAGGTCTGAGATTTAAGTCTTTAGTCCATTTTTATTTTTGTGTGTGGTAAAAGATGGGGATCCAGTTTTATTCTTCTACATAATTATATAGTTTTCCCAGTACCATTTATTAAATATAGCTTCCACATGAGTGAGAACATATGTAGAATATCCTTTCCCCATTATGTTCTTAGCACCTTAGCCAAAGATGAGTTGGATGCAAATGCACGGATTTATATCTGGGTCTTCTATTCTGTTCCATTGGTTTATGAGTCTATTTTTACCACAATAATTTGGTTACTATGTCTTTGTAATAAATTTTGAAGTCAGGTAGTGTGACTCCAGCTCTGTTCTTTTTGCTCAGGATTGCTTTGGCTATTCAGGGCCTTTTTTAGTTCCATAGGAATTTTATGATTGCTTTTTCTATTTCTGTGAAAATGGCATTGGTATTTTGATAGGGATTGCATTGAATCTGTAGATCACTTTGGGTAGTATTGTCATTTTAAAAGTATTAATTCTTCCAATCCGTGAGCATGAAATATCTTTTCATTTGTTTCTGTCCTCTTTGATTTCTTTCATTAATGCTTTATAGTTGTCTTTGTACAGACATTTAACTTATTTGGTTAAACTGATTGCTAAGTATTTTATATTATTGTAGCTATTGTTAATGGAATTGAATTCTTGATTTCTTTTTTAGATTCTTCACTGTCAGTGTATATAAATACTATTGATTTTTGTATGTTGATTTTGTGGCCTGTAACTTTACTGAATTCATTTATCAATTCTTACTGTTTTTTGGTAGAGTCTTTCAGTTTTTTTTTTTTTTTTTTTTTTTTTTTTTTTTGAGATGGAGCCTTGTTCTGTTGCCACGCTGGAGTGCAATGGCACGATCTCAGCTCACTGCAACTTCTGCCTCCTAGGTTCAGTGATTTTCCTGCCTCAGCCTCCCAAGTATCTGGGACTACAGGCACATGCCACCAAGCCTGGCTAATTTTTTGTATTTTTAGTAGAGATGTGGTTTCACCATGTTAGCCAGGATGGTCTCAATCTCCTGACCTCGTGATCTTCCTGCCTCAGCCTCCCAAAATGCTGGGATTACAGGTGTGAGCCACTGCGCCAGGCCGTCTTTAGGTTTTTCTAAGTATAGAATCTTGTCTTCTGTGAACAAGGCTAATTTGACTTATTCCATTCCAATTTGGATACTTTTAAATTTCCTTTTCTTACCTAATTGCTCTGGCCAGGGTTTCCAGTACTGTTTTGAATAAGAGTGGTAAAGTGGTAAGTGGGCATCCTTGTCTTTTTCTCCAAATCTAGAGGAAAGGTCTTCAATTTTCCCCCATTCAGTAAAGTGTTAGCTATGGGCTTGTCATATGCAGCCTTTATTATTTTGAGGCATGTTCCTTCTACATCCATTTTGATGAGGGTTTTCATTATAAAGTGATTTAAATTTTATCAAGTGCTTTTATGGGCACCTATTAAAATAATCATATGGTTTTTGTTCTGGGTTATGTTAATATGATGTACATATTTATTGATTTGTGTATGCTGAACCATCCTTGCACTCCTGAGATGAATCCCACTTAAATATAGTGAATGATCTTTTTAATGTGTTCTTGACAAAAGTTTTCTAATATTTTCTTGAGAATTTTTGTGACCCTGTTCACTAATATTATACAGTGGGCACTTTTGGCCTCCTTTATAGCCTTTAATCTGTAGTTTATTTTATCTGATATAAGTATAGCTACTTCTGCTCTTTTTTAGTTTTCAGTTGCATAGAATATCATTTTCCAATCTTTTCACTTTCAGGCTATATATGTCTTCACAGATGAAGTTTCTTGTAGGCAGCATAAAGTCTTGTTTCTTTACTCATTCAGCTATTCTATGCCTTTTAATTGGATAATTAAGTTCATTTACATTCAGTGTTATTACTGTAAATAAGGACTTACTACTGCCATTTCGTTGCTTGTTTTTTAGTTGTTTGTAATTCATCTCTTCCTTTCTTTCTTGTTGTATTCTTTTGTAGTTAAAAGATTTTGATTTTCTCTGCTAGTATGGTTTAATTTGTTGCTTTTTATTTTTACTTTATCTATTATAGGCTTTTGTATGTGGTCACCATGAGTCTTACAAAAATATCTTATAGATATAATAAAGTTATTTTACAGATATGACAAGTTATCTTAGATCACAAAGAAAAAATGGAAACAAAGAAAAAAAACAGGAAAAATCTGCATTTTAACTCCATCCCCACAACACACACATACATTTTGGCTCTTTGTTGTGTTAGTTTACATATTTTATATTACATATCTCTTAACAGGTTCCTGTAACTATTATTGTTTTTGATAGAACTGTCTTTTGGGCTTCATACTAGAGTTATGAGTGAATTGCACACCACAATTACGGCATTACAGTATTCTGGGTTTGGCCATGCACTTAATTATAACAGTGGGTTTTATACCTTCAGATGTTTTTGTTTGTTTCCTTCACATTTTTTTTTCTTTCAGATGGAAGAACTCTCTTTGGTATTTTTTGTAAGACATATCTGGTGGTGATCAACTCTTTTAAGCTCTTGTTTGTCTGGGAAAGAATTTTTCTGTTTCATAGCTGAAGGACAGCTTTGTTGAATACAGTATTCTTGTATGGTGATTTTCTTTTTCTTTCAGCACTTTAGTAGAAATGTCATTCTACTCTTTCCTGGCTTGTATGGTTTCTGTTGAGATGTCTGTTTCCAGGTGAACTGGAACTCCTTTTTATTTTCCTTCTTTTCTTTTTCTGTTTTTGGGATTCACTCTTGGTCCTTGACTTTTGAGAGTTTGATTATCATAGGTCTTGGGTAGTCTTGTTTGTCAAATCTGTATGATGTTGTTCGCCTATGTGTGCTTGGATGTAACTTACATGCATGTGTTTTCTCCACACAAGTTTGGAAAAATATGCTGGTTTGTTTTAGTAAGCTTTCTGCCACTTGCTATTGTTCAACTTTCTCATGAACACTAATAATTCTTAAATTTAGTCTTCTGAGGTACTCTTCTATATCTTTTAGGTGATCTTTTTTGGTCTTTAGACTTTTTTCTCCTCTGTATATTTTTAAGTAGGCTGTGTTTGAGTCCACTGACTCTTTCATCTGCGTGGTCATTCTGCTATCGAGAGTCTTCGATGAATTTTTTACTTCAGCTTATGTATTTCTCAGCTCTACGATTTCTGTGTGATTTTTAATTATTTTAATCTCTTTATTAAATTTTTCTGATATATTTCTGAATTTCTTTTCTGTGTTATCTTGCAGATCACTGAGCTTTCTTAAAACTACCATTTTGAATTCTTTGTCAGAGAGCTCACATATTGCCATCTCATTGGAGTCACTTATTAATTCCTTGTTTTTTATGTTTGGGGAAATCATGGTTTCCTGTTTGCTATTATTTCTTGTAGACACATATGTGTGTCTTTGCATTGAAAGATTAGGTATTTATTTCAGTCTTCTCTGTCTTGCTTGTTTTGATTTTTATTGGATACATTTCCTCACAGATTTTTACTGCTAGGTCATCACCTCCTTTTCAGCTCTGGGTGGTAGCCTTCAGCCCAGGTTTGCCTTGGCTCTAGTAAAAGCTCAAAGTGCTGCCTTTCCCAAGTGGAGAAGGTCCTAAAGGGGATGTCCTGGCAGGGAGGAAGGCTGTCTAGGGTTTTGTGTTCTAGGGACCTATTAGATGAACCTCCTTTCGTGTGGTGCTGCTATACAGTCATTCTGATTTGGCATCTCCTTTGGCAAATTACATCTCCAAATTACAGATTACATTTTCCAGGTCTGGGGATGATAATTCTACCTCCATCCTTTGTCACTGGCTATTCTCAGTGATATTTATCCCTTTAAGTACTTGTAATGCTTTCTGTGAGTAAAAACAGAAACATGTCTCCTGCCAGGCTACCCAATATGATGGGGAAGATGGTTGTCCATCTTGATCTCAGTTTTGCCAGTGCAGAAACAGTGAATTGGGAAAAATTTTTCTCTTCACCTGGAGGCAGGCAGAATGAGGGGACAGATATTGCAGATGTGGAAGTCCTATTATCTTACCATCTCCTTAGAGTTATTAATATTACACTTCTTTGTGGCCCCAGGAATTCTCATTTCCTTATTTGAGTTCTGGGATATTTCTGGTGATAATCTTGGCATTGTATATTTGTTTTCGGCTTTCTGTTAGGGGAAGTGAAGCCAGGTTCCATCTACATCACAATTTTGGAACTGGAAGCCTCCTATGATTGTATTGCTTTTAATCATCTTTTCTTTTTTCTTTGAATACCAGCTAAGACATTCAAAATACATTTCATCTAAAGTAGAAAAATATGAATTTCAATGATCTCTACTGACAACTGTTATTGTCAGTGTAGGGTCAGATCACCTCAGAATGATTGTATCTACAGCTCTGCCTACTTAGGTATTAGGTATTATGGTTGGTATCTCTAAAAGTAACAATTTAAAACATATTTTGAAAGCCATAAAATATTACTCCAATATAATACTCATCCTTAATATAATAGGATTGAGATATTTGGGACTATACAGCATGCATGCCAATGATAAACTTCTTCATTTAAATCTCTATTCAAAGTGTCCATCAATTGACTTAAGAATTGTAATTATATTAGCACTACCTGAAACTCTTAATAGCGACCCATTAATGACAGAAATAACCATAGTAAAATTGTTATTATGCTTTTTAATGTATATTCTGTGTTTATAAAATGATGTTTAATAAAGTGTAAAAATTAAAACAAAAAGAAAAATACCAATGATTTCTAAATTAAAAATTGTATTTCAAAGTTCAGAAAGTCTTCAAAGAAAACATGATTTTAAAATAACATTAAAAAAGTGATTGAATATTAATCAAGTGTTAAGTTGGAATGATGACTTTCTAAGCTGTATGCTCATAGAGAAAAATCTCTTCATTCCCCACCTCCTCAAAATGATGTCAATTAAACTACATCAAATGCCAAACTTTAACACATCAAAATTTAACTAATGAAAAGATAGATGAGCAAAGCAACACCCTGCTATTTTATAAATAAAAAGAAATATATTTGATTTATAACTAGTTCATACAAACTGAATATAATTATGCAAGAAAACTTAATAGGCAGCTAATTAACAAAACAAAAAATACAACTGGCCTATATATAGAATAAGAGTTAAAGAAAATAATTGAACAAATATAAATGAAACCATCCTTTCTGTCTACCAAAATAATAAATAACAGTCATCTTTAATTATTGCTCTTTATTATTAAAATGCTGAATTTTTCATAAAGATATTTGAAATAAGAAAGCAAACAATGGAAACACTTTTTTCCCATTACCTACTTTTGAGACTTCTCAGTTTTATAATAGATGATTTACTAATAACAAAATATATTTTGTGTAGCTCACGCACATTTACTCAGTCTTCAAGTCCTGAACAATATTTCTTGGTGCAAATAAATAATTGAATGTCACGAAAAATACAATAAGATTACTTAAAGGAAAATGTCACTTACTAATATGTTTTCAGATTTAACACAATGGTTTCTCTATTTAGATTTTACAGTTCTATATTCGGGTGTTTTCCTCACACAGTCTCTGGATATTTACCAATGCCACTAAAGTCATTAGCTTAGAAATTTTCTAAAAAGTGTCCTTCTCACTGAACTTGAACATGTTTATAAGGCTTGAAATTGCTTAATTCACTTAAAGGACACTAAATTATGGCTGATGTTGCTTTATTGAAATTAAACTCAATCGTACAACTTTCATAAAGGTAACTACAAGGGAAATTACTTTATGATCTCAATATTTTCATATTATAATTATTTCATCTGCATCTACCACCTTACACACTGTAAAATTATTCCTCAACAATTTTCTTCAAATAATAATGTAGAACATTTTACAGTATTATATTCAGAGGGTACAAAACACTTTACAATGCTGTAGCAGTATATTTGAGTGTTGAAGTCGAGATATTTAGTTGATTAGAGGCTTCCCATAGGCAACATTTGATGTCATCATTTTTCTCAACTTGTCAGATGTGGTAGAGTACTTTACATAGGTGGGCGGTTAAAAAATATGTATATATATATGTATATATATATGCATATGTATATATATGTGTATATATATGTATATGTATATATATGTGTGTATATATGTATATGTATATATGTGTGTGTGTATATGTATATGTATATATATATTTTGTGTGTGTGTGTGTGAGCAACAAGGCTGTTTATTTCACCTGGGTGCAGGTTGGCCAGAGAACAGCCCCCTTTGACTGTAAATATTAACAAAGAAGAACAGATATATTTAGTGAGAAAACTTTGTTGTCAGCATTACTATTTCCCCTACCTTAAAAGACACATAGATTTAAAAAAAAAATCTATTTTGTTGCCCAAGGAAATATAACCACAAGTCTAATATGTCTTTGGCATTTTAATATAATGATTACATACCTAGATAATTCTTGTAAGATTTTCTCAGCCTGGTAAAATATATTGAGAACATTTTTACATCAAAATTTAGGTATCTTTTAGATGATATATTTATACACTATATAGAAGGTGATTTAAGTTGTTACTTTCTATCTAAAGTTAAAATGATTTATTTTACATATAATTTTAATTTATATTTTGGATGCAGATGGCTTTCTATCTTCTTAAAGTGCCATTTACTGATATTGTACTCAAACAGCAAAGTTGTTTAAGATTTGGAAATATACCTTATGAAATGTTTAATGCAAAGACATTTACAATATGGCCTTTAAAAAAATCCCTTAAAGGTTTTTTAATAAATATTTTATGGTGTTTTAAAACTAGTAAACAATGAAAAGAACAAATATTAAAGCAAAAATTCAGTATATCATCACAGGTCATTCATACCAGTAGTATATCAGTTCTATGAAGTAGATTTGATTACGTTCTGTGCATTGAGAACTATATTAGCATTTTTATCCCTTGTAGGAGTGAGGGAAGAAATGTTTTCCTCCAAATATGTTTTTATTTTCTAGTCTAATGAGCATCTCACTAGAATAATTCTAAATGAATTGTATGTGCCCTCAGCTCTATTCTCTCTTTCCACTCAGTTACCTGACATACAATGGCAATATGATGTCAATATAAAAGAAAAGGTTAGGAGTAAATTCTTTGCCTTAGAAAAACATCTGTTTTCCAGCTCTATCATTATTAGACATGAGACAGCATTAGTAACAATGGCAATTTTTCCACCACCAACTTTCATGTGTACTTACATTGTCCTATTAATATGTATAATATATAACATATTTATTTATTAAATATTTATTTGTCTAAAGAACTAATAACTGAGTGTATGACAATTCTCTTGTACTGTCAGTCATCAAAGAATAACCTCAGTTGAGTTATTTCAAAACTAGCTTGTGGTCTAATTTAAGTTTTTTAAGAGATAATAATGTACCTAACTTTTCTCAAAACCATATAGAAGTGGCCAAGCTGAGGATAGTTCTAAGTAAATCTCTGAATGCTCTAACTTATAAACAGGAGCTTTGTCAGAAAATATAACTTATAAACAGGAGCTTTGTCAGAAAATAAAATGTTAAATAATTTCCATGGAAAAATAAAGAAATTATGAAACAGTAACATATGTAGCTTATTTGAAAGGTAATATAATTCCCTTGTAGAAAAGTTCACATCACAAATAAGAAAACATAAGTCTATTCAAAGCATCCACAGTTCTTGCTCCTTCAAGGTAAACACTGTTGTATCTTTCCAGAATTGTGTTTCTGAAAGAAATACAAACTAAATAAAAATGCAAAATAAATAATATATGCTCAAAAACATTGAATTTTTGTTTAAACAATAACTCTATCTTTCTAAAAGCAAATTAAAATAAATCAGAACAGAAAAGTACATATTAGGTTGGTGCAAAAGTAACTGTCGCAATTACCTTTGCAACAACCTAAATAGAAAAAGTGGAAAAGATAAAGTACAATTTAATAATACATAACAAACTCTACCATCCGTTAATATCTATAATCAATATTTCCTAAAATGGATCTTAGAATTGTTTCTTTACATGTTGGCAGCTGGAAATAGATGTAGATATATACATAGAAAACATATATATATAATTTTAAAAATTTTTATTAAAATTAGTCATACTCTATATTATTTTACAATATTTTGCTAAAAATTACTATGATCTGAATTCACCTGAAAAAAGGTAAATTAAACTGCAGAAAGTTTTGAACAAGTGCATTTTTCTTCCCCTCCAGTTTTAAATTATGAAAACATTTAGTAGTTAATATTTTTTAAATTACATGTTTCATCACCTGATAGGATGTATTGAAGACACATCATCTTTATGTTATTCATCTCAGAAATCTCTAATTTTAATCAGGAGAAAACATCAGACGAATACGATATGAGAGTCATTTTACGAAATACATAACCAGTAGTCTACAAAAATGTCAACATTGTCAAAAACAAAACAAAACAAAACGAAAAAACAATGGAGGAACTGTCACAGATTGGAGATGAAAGAAACATGACTATTAAATGCAACAATAGATGCTTGATAGGATTCAGGAACAGAGAAACAACATGAATGGAAAAACTGGAGAACTCTGATTGAAGTCTATAGTTTAGTTAAAAGTATGATGCCAGTGTTAATTTCTTATTCTGTTAATTGTATTGTGGTTATGTAATATGTCAACATTAGGGTAAGACAGACTGAAGACAATATCAGAACTCTCTGTACTATATTTACAACTCTTATGTAGGTCTAAAATATTAACAAAATTTTAAAGTTTTAAAAATAGAAAAAAAATCTTATATTTCACTTTTATAACATTTCTTCCAACTCCCAGCTCTGAAAGCACATAAAAATCAGAATTGTTAAACTTCTACTCCTTACCAGATTTTGATAATTTTAATATTTCTCTCCAACTGTTATGATATATACCAGCATAGTGTCCATTGTTCTAATTTTAAATGGTTTTAGTCATCTTCATGAGTCCTTTATCCACAGTTTCTTTCACCTGTGTTATTTTGATTCATTTTTTTTGGTTGGAAAAATTTGATTTCCAAGTTTTTTTTTTCATAAACGGTTTATAAGTCATATGCCCTCAAGTTCTAATACATTTGAGATCTACTTGTTGCTGTGATAGTTGCTTGTTTCCCCTCAGAAGTTTGTTGGCACTCCTCTCATATTTTTTGGCATTAAGCATTACACCAATCCTTTCGTCACTGCATCTCAATTCATCATTTGTTTGGGTGGATTTTATTCTCATGTTTTTGCTGCTGCTGCTGCTACTGTTGCTGTGGTTGTTTTTTCAACAAGGCCAGTGTTGGGGATCAGAAAGTGACACCTTAAAATGCAGTCCTCAAATACAGCCTCAGAATCAATAGTCCTCTCTGACCTATTCCTGCTTAATGCCCCTCTTTCTCTAGCTGCTCATTCTACCCGCCACCACTCTCCTCCTGCCCAGGCCAAAGGGATTCTAGTTTCTGAATATCCGTTCCCCATGGAGGCAGGACATAGAAACCAGAACGTCTTTTCTCAAAAGCCAACCACAAAACCTAAAAATATTACTCTAATTTTCTCCTAGCCTTTCTGTGTAAAAATTGGCCACAGAGAAATTATCTGACCTACCTTGTTTGACTGTAGGTCATAAGATTCCAATCCTGACAGAATCTTCTACCATACCCAGAAAGGGGAAATGCTGCACAGAGAGGTCACGAAAAACCAAAACAGGCATGCTTTGCTGGGTTTCCCTACTTAGAAAATTAGCACTAGATCATACCCTTTTTATCCAATCATATTTTTACATGGCTGTCTATAATTTATTGAAGCTAAGCATAAAAATAGAGTTTCTCCTGTATATTTTGGTCTTCATTCTGAAGACTTCCAGGTCATGTAAAACTATAATCCTGTAAAAATATGTAATTCAGAATCTCAGCTGTTGGATCTCTGAATTATTTTGAGCGTCAAGGGAATGTGAATTACAGGGTCTGAATCACATGACAGGTATGTGTAACTATGGATACTGTAAGGTTTATCTCATAGATTAAGCCATTTTTCTTACCTGAATTGTTTTGTGAAACGTTGTAAATGATGGAAGGGTACCAAGGAATACTCCTTCCTTATCTACTGTTGACTTCCATTATAGATTAACTTCCTTTTTACCATTATCACACAAAGACCTCATGGCTATCACATTGCCTTAAGATGGAATGTTAAATATGCTCCTTTAAATTAGAAAGGAAATGAAAACCAGTTATAAATGAAAGAAAAGTCTCACGGAAAAGAACACCAACTGTAACTAATTAATTTTTGTAACTGATAAACTAGTAGATATGATAAATAAATTCAGTAAAGTTTAAGGAAACAAAATCAATGTGCACAAATCAGTAGCAGAGGCTCCTCAAAGGCCCAAGAATGGACCTGGTGAGGAGGTGAACTCTCTTCCCAACACACTATAGTTCATGGCTACAAATACTAGGAAATATAAAGGAGCCATGCAGTTGAGTATAACCATATCTACTGGTCATTACTAATAAATGCTATCTTCTGGATGAAAGCCCAAACTACAACACCAAAAATACTTTGCTAATATACCCTTCTGTGAAACAAAGGCAAGAAATCAGCCACAGATAAAGACCCTACAGAGAGCATATTGGCTGTCTAAAAACATCCAGAAATGAAACCAACTGACTATATTTAAACTACAGTTAAGGGTACAAAAATCAGCACAAGAACTCTGGTAATTCATAAAGACAGAGGGTCTCCTTACCTCCAAAGGAGTCTACCAGTTCCTCCCCAGCAATGATTCTTAACCAGTTGGAAATGACTGAAGTGACAAACAAGGAATTCAGAATCTGGATGGCAAGGAAGGTCATTGATATTCAAGAGAAAGGTAAAACTCAATCCAAGGAATCCAGTAAAATGATCCAAGAAATGATAGATGAAATAGCCATTTTAAGAAATAACCAAACTGAACTTCTAAAGCTGAAAAATTCTCTACAAGAATTTCATAATACAATTGGAAGTACTAACAGAAGATTAGACCAAGCTAAGGAAAGAAGCTCAGAGCTCAAAGATCAGTTTTTCAAATCAACACAGTAAGATAAAAATAAACAATTTTAAAACATGAACAAAACCTCTGAGAAATATGGGTTTATATAATGAGACAGAGTCTATAACTCATTGGCATTCCTGAGAGAGAAGGAGAGAGAATAAACAACTTGGAAATTATATTTGAGTATACAGTCCATGAAAATCTCCCTAATTTCACTAAAGAGGTTGACATGCAAACCCAAGAAATATGGAGAACAGCGTAGATACTACACAAGACAACCATCACTAAGATATAGCCATCAGGTTCATCAAGGTCAATGAAAAAGAAAAACATCTTAAAGGCAGCTAGAGAGAAGGGTCAAATCACATATGGAAGAAACTAGCACCAGACCTATCAGCAGAAACCATAAAAGCAAGAAGAGATTCTGGGACAATTTTTAGCATCCTTAAAGGAAAGACATTCCAACCAAGAATTTTATATTCCACCAAACTAATCTTCATAAGGGAAGGAGAAATAAAATCTTTCTCAGACAAGCAAACTCTGAGGGATTCATTTCAACTACATCAGCCTTGTAAGAGGTTCTTAAGGGAAAGCTAAATGTGGAATCAAAAGAATGACACCTGCTACCACAAAAACACACTTAGGCACATAGCCCATAGGCACTAGGAAACAATCACACAATAAAAATCTACATGACAACCAGCTAACAACATGATGACAGAATAAAAATCTCACATATCCATACTAATCCCGAATGTAAATGGGCTAAACACCCCACTTAAAAGGCAGAGAGTGGTGGGCTGGATAAAAAGAGAAGACCCAACCATCTGCTGTCTTCAAGAGATATATCACACATGTAAGGACTCAGGCTCAAAGTAAATGGACAGAGAAAGATCTACTATAAAAACAGAAAGCATAAAAGTACAGGAGTCACTATTCTCATACCTGATAAAATAGACTTTAAGCCAATAAAAATTTAAAAGGGCAATGGAAGGCATTACATAATGATAAAGGGTGCAATCCAACAAGCAGACTTGCCTACCCCAAATATATATGCACCCAACACTGGAGCATCCAGATTCATAAAACAAGTTCTTCTTGGCATATCAAAAGGTCTAGACAACCACACTATAATAGTGGGAGACTTCAAAACTGTACTGACTGCATTAGAGAGATCATCAAGGCAGAATACTAACAAAGGAACTCTGGCCTTAAACTTGACACTTAAGCAAATGGACCTAATAAACATCTACTGAACATTCTACCGAACAACCACAACATACACATTCTTTTTCATCTGCACATGGAATATACTCTAAGATCAACCACATAATTGGTCATGAAGCAAGTCTCAATTAAAAAAAGATTAAAATCATCTGGGAGTCAAGCACACTCTCAGACAACAGAGCAATAAAAATAGAAATCAATATCAAAAAGATCTCTTAAAACTACACAAATATATGGAAATTTAACAACTTGGTCCTCAATAACTCCTGGGTGGACACTGAAATTAAGGCAAAAATAAAAAAGTATTGAAATTAATTAAAATAGGCAAACAAATACCAAAATCTCTGGGATGTAACTAATGCAGTCTGTTAAGAGGAGAGTTTATATTGCTAAACACCTTGATCAAGAAGTTAGAGAGATCTCAAATTAACAATCTACCTTTGCACCTAAAGGAACTGGCTAACACGGTGAAACCCCGTCTCTACTAAAAATACAAAAAAATTAGCCGGGTGTGGTGGTGGGTGCCTGTAGTCCCAGCTACTCGGGAGGCTGAGGAGGAGAATGGCCTGGGAGGCGGAGCTTGCAGTGAGCCGAGATCGCGCCACTGCACTCCAGCCTGGGAGAAGAGGAGCGAGACTCCGTCTCAAAAAAACAAAAACAAAAAGAAAAACAAAAACAAAGAAACAACCAACCACAAAGCTAGCAGAAGAAAAGAAACAATTAAAATTAGAGAAGAACTGGATAATATTGCAAAGCAAAAATGCAAACAAAAGACCAATGAAACCAAAAGTTTGTTCTTTGAAAAAATTAGATGAATAGACCACTAGCTAGATTAACAAAAAAAGAGAAGATACAAATCAGTACAATCAGGTATAACAAATATGAGATTACAACTGATCCCACAGAAATACAAAAGATCCTCAGAAAATACTGTGAGTAATTCTGTTCCACAAATTAGAAAATTTAGAGGAAATATATCTTACTAGAACCAAATAATCTCCCAAGATTGAACCAGGAACAGATTAAAATCCTGAATAGGTAAATATCAAAATCTGAAATTGAATACAGAAAAAAACCCAAAAAGCCATGGATAAGTTATATTTACAGCTGAATTCTAACAGATATAGAAAGAAGAACAGGTACTATTCCAAAAATTGAGGACCAGGTGCTGCTCCCTAACTCATTCCATGAAGCTAGCATTAGCCTAATATGAAAACATGGCAGAGAAACAAAAATAAAAAAAGGATCTTTGGGTCAGTATCCCTGATGAATATAGACACAAAAATTCCCAACAAAATACTAGCAAACTGAATCCAGCAGCACATCAAAACATTAACAAACCATGATGTAGTAGGCTTTATTCCTGTAATGCAAGGCTGATTCAACATGTGCAAATCAATAAATATAATTTAACACATAAACAGAATTAAAATAAAAATCACACAATCACCTCAATGGATTCATAAAAAGCTTTTGATAAAATCCAACATCCCTTTATAATAAAAACTCTCAAAAGACAAGGCATCAAAGGAACATACCTCAAAATAATGAATCATCTATGATGAACCAACAGCCAACCTCATACTGAATAGACAAAAAATGGATCCATTGCCCTTGAGAACTGGAATATGACAAGTATGCCTATGCTCATCACTCCTATTCAACATAGTACTGAAAACAGGCAAGAGAAAGAAATAAAAGGCATCTGATATAGTTAGGCTTTGTGTCTCCACCCAAATCACATCTTAAATTGTAATCCCCATAATCCCCATGTGTCAAGGAAGAGATCAGGTGGAGATAATTGAATCATGGGGGCAGTTTCTCCCATGTTGTTCTTGGGATGGTGAGTTCTCACAAGAGATCTGATGGTTTTATAAGGGGTTGTTCCCCCTGCCTTGGCACTTCTCCTTCCTGCCGCCTTGTGGAGAAGGTGCCTTGTTCCCCTCTTCACCTTCTGCCACGATTGTAAGTTTCCTGAGGCCTCCCCAGCCATGCTGAACTGTGAGTCAATTAAATCTCTTTCCTTTATAAATTACCCAGTCTCAGGCAGTTCTTTATAGCAGTATAAAAACAGACACATATAGCATCCAAAGAGAAAAAGAAGAAGTCAAAGTATCTCTCTTCACTGACTATATGATCCTACATATAGGAAAATCTGAAGACTGTCAAAAGGCTGCTAGAACTGATAGATAAAACAACTTTAGTAAGGTTTTAGAATACAAAATCAATATGTAAAAATCAGTAGCATTCCTATACACCAATAATGTGCAAGCTGAGAGTCAAATCAGGAACACAATCTCATTTACAATAGCCACAAAGAAAATGAAATACTTAGGAAAATACAGCTAACCAAGGAGATGAGATATCTCTATAAAGAGAACTACAAAACAATGCTGAAACAAATCACAGACAACACAAAGTAACATTCCATGCTCATGGATTGGGAGAGTCAATATCATTAAAATGACCATACTGCCCAAAGCAATTTACAGATTCAATGCCATTCCTATCAAACTACAAACATCATTCTTCACAGAATTAGGAAAAAACTATTCAAAAATTCATGCGGAACCAAAAAAGAGCCTTAACAGGTCATTCAAACAAAGAAGAGCAAAGCCTGAGGCATCACATTATCTGACTTCAAACTATACTGAACAGCTACAGTAACCAAATGGCATGGCACTGCTACAAAAAGAGACATAGACTAATGCATCAAAATAGAGAACCCAGAAATAAAGTCACACACCTACTGCCATCTGATTTTCAACAAAGCTGACAAAAATATGCGATGGGGAAAGGACTCTCTATGTAATAAATGGTGCTGCAATAGCTGGCTAGTTATATGCACAAGAATGAAACTGGACCCTTACCTTTCATCATATATAAAAATTAACTCAAAATGTGTTAAAGAATTAAATGTTAAGACCTCAAACTATAAAAATCCTAGAAGAAAACCTAGGAAATACCATTCTTGACATCAGCTTTGGCAAATAATTTTTGGCTAAGTTGCCAAAAACAATTGCAATAAACACAGAAATTGACAAGTGAGACCTAATTAAACTAAAGATCTGCACAGCAAAAGAAAGTATCAACAGAGTAAACAGGCAATCTGCAGAAATGGGAGAAAATATTCTCAAACAATGCATCTGGCAAAAGTTTAATATACAGAATCTACAAGGAACTTAAACAAATCAACAAGCAAATAACAGGTAACCTCATTAAAAAGTGGGCAAAGGCCATGAACAGACACTTCTCAAAAGAGGACATACAAGGAGCCAATACACATGAAAAAATGCTCATCATCACTAATCATCAGAGAAATACAAATTAAAACTACAATTAAATACTATTTCATACCATTCAGAATGGCTATTACTAAAAGTAAAAAAATAACAGCTATTGCTAGGTTGTGGAGAAAAGGGAATGCTTATACACTGTGGGAATATAAATTAGTTCAGCCACTGTAGAAATCAGTTTGGAGATTTCTCAAAAACTTAAAACAGAGCTACCATTTGACCTAGCTATCTTATTACTGGGTATATACCCAAAGGAAAAGAGATCATTATACCAAAAAGACAGATGCACTCATATGTTCATTGCTGCACTTTTCACAATAGCAAAGAAAAGGAATCAACCTAGATGCCCACCAACGGTGGATTGGATAAATAAAACATGGTACACACACACTATGGAATACTACACAGCCATATAAAGGAATGAAATCATGTTCTTTGCAACTATATGCATGAAGCTGGAGGTCATAATCCAAAGTGAACCAATGCAAGAATGGAAAACCAAATACCACACATTCTCACTTATAAGTAGGAACTAAAGATTGAGCACACTCTGCTATAAAAATGGGAACAATAGACATGGCAGACTACAAGGAGGGGGAGGGAGGGAGAAGGTCATGGTTTGAAAAACAACCTGTTCTGTACTACACTCACAACCTAGTTACAATGAACCCATGCAATAACCTTGCACATGTACTCCCTATGTATAAAATAAAAGCTGAAATTAAAAATAAATCAGTAGCATTTCTATATACTGATAATCATCAAGCTGAGAATTAAATCAAGAAAGCAATCTCATTTACAATAGCTACAAATATGTGTGTGTGTGTGTATATGTATATACACACACACACCCCCATGGATATATTTAACCAAGGAGGTAAAACATCTCTACAAAGAAAACTACAAAACACCGATGAAAGAAATTATAGATAACACGGGCAAATGGAAAACCATCTCATGCGCATGAATTGGAAGAATGAATATCAATGACTATACTATCCAAAGCAATCTACAGTTTAAGTGCAATCTCTATCAAAATACCAATGTCATTTTTCACAGAATTAGAAAAAAAAATCCTAAAATTCATATGGAATCAAAAAAAGAGCTCAAATAGACAAAGCAATCCTAAGCAAAAAGAACAAATTTGGAGGCATCACATTACCTGACCTCAAATTATACTACAAAGCTACAGCAACCAAAACAGCATTGTACTGGTATCAAAATAGACAACAGATTGACAGAACAGAATAGAGAACCCAGAAATTAAATCACACATCCACATCCACCTGATCTTTGACAAAGTTGTTGTCAAAAACATGCACTGGGGAAAGGGCACCCTTTTCAAAAATGGTGCTGGGAAAACTGGATTGCTATATGCAGAAGAATAAAGCTGGACCCCTATCTCCCACCATATACAAAAATCAACTTAAGATGGATTAAGAATTTAAATGTAACACTCGAAACTATTAAAATGATGAAAACAGAGAAAACTCTTCTGGATGGTGGTTTAGGCAAAGAATTTATGACTAAGACCTCAGAAGCACAAGCAACAAAAACCAAACTAGACAAATAGACTTAATTAAACTGAAAAGCTTCTGCACAGAAACATAAATAATCAACAGAGTATACAGGCAACCTGCAGGATGGGAGAAAATATTTGCAAACTATGTATCTGACAGGGTAATGATATCCAGAATTTACAAGGAACTCAAAAAACTCCGCAATAACAAAAATTCCCAATAGCCCCAATAAAAAGTGGGCAAAGAAAATGAATAGATATTTTCCAAAAGAAGACAGACAAGTGGCCAAAAAGCATATTGACAAATACAAGTTAAAAACACAAGGAGAAAGCATCTTAAACTAGTTAGAAGGTCTGTTATTTAAAAGTCAAAAAATAAATATTGGCAATGATAAGAAGGAAAAGAAATGCTTATACACTATTGGTGGGAATGTAAATTAGTCCAACCTCTTTGGAAAACAATATGATGATTTCTCAGAGAACTAAAAATAGAACTGCCATTCAATCCGGCAATCTCACTACTAGGTATCTACCCAAATGAAAAGAAATTATTATATCAATAATATAAACTAGTAAGAAGGTAGAGAGAATTCAAAATGAGTAAGAACACAAGTAGAAAGTCAAAATAAAGATGAACAGGAAGAAGTATTCTGAATCCATTCTATCAGCTACTATGGCAAAGACAAAGTGCTTGTGTTGGAGAGAAGAGGGTATGACAAGGTCAGAAATTTGATCTAGGTCAATCTATGGAGGGTCATGAATGATACACTGAGTATCACTTTTGTCTTTCCATAAATAACAGATAGTGACAGTGTGGTTGCAGAATGTAACATGATAAAATCCATGTTTTAAGATCACAAATCAGTCAGGCCTGGACAATATGGAATTGAGATTGGCACATGGAAAATAAGGCAGTTTGTGTCATGATTCATAAATGAGATCATGAGGCCCTAAAATGGCAACTAGACCATTAGTCAGATGACAATAGTTTTTCAGTGCCATAAGGTGTTGGAAATACATAAGTGGATATTATGGTATCCTCATCCTCTCCCTAAGTTCACAACCCAGTAGAGAACACAGGCATTCATAAAAAATGCCTTATGTGGATGGGAGTGGTGGCACATGCCTATAATCCCAGAATTTTGGGAGGCTAAGACAGCAGGATCACTTGAACTCAAGAGTTTGGGATTAGCTTGCACAATATAGTGAGATCTCATCTCAACAAAAAATATGATTTTTTAATTAGTTGGGTGTGGTAGCGTGTGACTGTGGTCCCAGCTTTTTGGGGAGCTGAGGTGGAAGAATCACTTGATGTTGGGAGGTTGAGGCTGTAGTGAGCCAAGATCACACCACCACACTCCTGACTACACAGCAAAGTGAGACCTTGTCTCAAAAATAAAAACAAACAAAAAAACCCATGTATCATAATTCTGATAAAGACATATAAACAGAAAAACTTATCTGGGAAATTATCTTAAATAATAATTTAAGGGTTGGGGAAAGATATCCTTAATAAGTGGATTTGAAAGCTCAGCCCTGAAGACACATTAAAAAGGATGAAGAAAAGAGTTTGGGGTATATTCTAAGCAGAAAAAGTACATGTTAAAGGCACTGAGGTGCAAGATAAATATCAAGGTCACTTTTCTAGAATCTTCTATGATGTACAAGATCTTTGATGAGCAAAATAGTTGAAAAGACTTAACTATATAGTTAAGCAGAGAAATCTTTGGCAGAATTATCTTGCTAAGCATGTTTTCTCTTCTATAAAAATTACATCATGCATTTTAACATTGTTGAAGACCAAAATAAATAATTTGTGTAAATGGGACTTGTAAAATCTCTTTAAAGCCTGTCGTCAAGTTCAGTGACAAAGGACATGCATCTGAGCGAGGACCCTAATACTGAAATTATGGAGAGACAGAAAAGTATATGATGCAGAAATGAGTTCTAGATGTGGAGTTATAACAAGAAACAAGGCCAGCCAATAACCATAACAAAGATCAGATTGGTATGAGAAAGAGCCATTAAGCTTGAGAAGGGGAAGGATGGAGGGGAAAAGTAAACATTTTAATCAATCCAATACTTTCTTATTAATTTCTCTTTTCCAGACTTACGTCGTAGAATACTTATAATGCTTTTGACATTGAGATATTTGGCCAAAGCTATTGGATTAGTCAAAGTAAAAGCTCAGGTACTGGTGTAATCTCTTCTACTTCATTTATATGTGACTTATTCCTTTCTCCACAAGGAGGCTCTTTTTATTGATAAAATAAATGAAATTGAGAATCCCAAAGGGAATTTGATGTGCACTCATACAAAATAGGTTTGCAATGTGTAAGTAACAGCCAAGATAAGGATTCAACTACACAAAGATTCTTTTTCTTTTCTTTTCTTCTTCTTTTTTTTTTTTTTTTGGTTCAAAGTTAATACTAGTCAGATTTTCTGTCCCCTTATGTATTAGCCAATTAGCTATCCTTGAAGTTTCAAATAACTAAAAGTTATGTACCTACATTTCAAATGCAGGTTTTGTCATTTAAAAAATTTAATGTCATTTACTGCCATTAAGTCTGCATTTGCTTATAGTTGGAAACTTTCACGCAATGTCAAATCTGCAATGCTTTTCACAGTAAACTCTCTACTGGGGAAACTGGTATTTTCTTATTTTCTTCATCAAAGTTAGGACAATTGTCAAACATATCTTGGCAAGTCTTTTAGTTGCTGTGTTTAATATATATACTAAGGTTTTGGATCAGGTTGAGATGTCACAGCTTCCCAAATGTTTCAAAATAATGTTCTGGTTAATATTTAATGTAACTACAGTAAGTCTTATTGAGTTTTGCATCAATCAAAGACATCAAATACGTGAAGGAAAATGAATTTACAGCCGTAATAAAATAAAATCAGAATAATTCCCAATGAATACACACCAGATCATTTTTATTTAGTGTCAAAAATGATGGATAGAGAATAAATGTAAGCTACAGGTCTTGGTTCTTACACATTTGGTTTTAGTCTGGCATCTGTATTTAGTATTCAGATCCTGAAAATGTTAACACTCAGAGGATCTCAATTCCGCAGAGTCTGGTCCCTTTTGTTTTAAATGTAAGACCCAAAAGAGTGAAATTAAAGTTTTATTTTTAAATCAGTGTGAGAGCAAGAATTAGTTGACTCTTTAATTCACTGCAACCACTCCTATGAAGCCTCTCATCATAGTCAGTAAAAAACTTTCTAGTTGACAAACACAACAGACACATTCATTTGATAGTCTATGCCTTGATGCTGTTGACCTTCTCATTTAGCCCTCTTTCATGTATCCCTTTTCGCTTCTTCAGACCCATTCTGTTTTGGCTCATCTCTTGCTTCCTGGAACCTCTTTGATGGACTCTAAACTTATCTTAATTCTTCTGCTTACTTCACAGATTTTTTCAATGAGTGCATCCATTCTATTTAAAACCCTCCAAATGTAGAGTTCCCATATAATTTATCATTAAAATTGGGACACTTTTTAGAGTAACAAGGGGGTGATTCAAAGTGGGAGGATCCCATGAGGCCAGGAGTTTGAGACCAGCGTGGGCAATAAAGTGAGACCCTGTCTCAAAAAAAAAAAAAATTAGTTTGATGTGGTAGTATGTGCCTGTAGTCCCAGGTCGTATGGAGAGTAAGGCAGGAAAATTGCTTCAGCCCAGGAGTTCTAGGCTGCAGTGAGCTATGATGCACCACTGCACTCCAACCAGGGCAACAGAGCAAGATTCTCTTTCTTAAAAAATAATATTTCTATAAGGATGACAGGAATAAACTGGGACTTTTCTGGGCAAACCTAGATGTATGGTCATCCCATGCATATAAATGACAGAGTTCAAAAATGGTCCTAATTCTCCACTTCTTCCTGCATCCAAGCCCTTAACCCTGTAGCTTCATAGTCCCCACAATCCCTCCCTCTGAGCTTTGGCCAATGGAATAAGGCACAGTCATGTGCCATATAAAGTCATTGCAGTCAGTGATGGACTGCATATATGATATGGTTTCATAAGATTATAATGGAGCTGAAAAATTCCTATGGCCTAGTGACATGATAACCTTCATAATGCCATATGGCTACACATTACTCATGTGTTTGTGGTGATGTTATTGTAAACAAATCTACTGCACTGCTAGTTGTTTAAGGGTATATTACATATTATTATGCCCCTGAAGAACTTCCAGTGGGACAAAATGTGGAAGTGGGCCAAAGTGATATTAATGATCCTGACCCTGTGTAGGCCTAGGCTAATGTGTGTGTCTTTGTGTTTAACAAAAAGTTTGAAAATAAAAAATAGAGAAAAATTTATAGAAAAAGCACAAAATATTTTTGTACAGCTGTACAGTTTGTGTTTCAAACTGTTAACAAAATAATCAAAAAGTTAAAAAATTAAATAGTTTATAAAGTAAAAGGTTACGTAAGCTAAGGTTGATTTATTATTGAAGAAAAATGATTTTAAAACAAATTCAGTATAGCCTAAGTGTACAGTGTTTATAGTCTACAGTAGTGTAGAGTAATGTCCTAGGCCTTCTCATTCACTCACCACTCACTCACTGACTTACCCAGAGCAGCTTCCATTCCTGAAAGCTCCATTCATGGTAAATGCCCTAAACAAGTATACCACTTTTTATCTTTTATACTGTATTTTTACTATATCTTTCTGTGTTTCTATATAAAATATTGTTATATTACAATTGTATATGGTATTCAGTACAGTAACTATATAAGTTTGTTATATAGGAGCAATAGCAATGGCAATATGCTATAGTCTGTATAGTCTATGGTATATAGCCTGGAAGAGCAGTAGGCTATACCATCTAGGTTTGTGTAAGTACACGCTCCAATGTTTGCATAGTGATGAAATTGCCTAATGATGCATTTATCAAATGTATCCTCACCATTAAGCAGCACATGACATATATATGGAAATGGAACAGCACACTTTAAAATAGCCAATCGGCCAAAAAAGAAATTATAAGGGAAATCTGAAAATATTTTGATATGAATGAAAACAAAAACACAACATATGAAAACTTATAGGATAATTCTAGCATTGCTTGAAAGAAAATTCACAGATGTAAATGGTACATTTAAAAAGAACAAATATCTCAAATCATAACCAAACCTTCTATCTTAAGCAAGTAGAAAAAGAAGAGAAAAATAAATCCAAATCAAGCAGAAGAAAATAATATTGAATGTAAATAAATAAAAGAATTTAAAAATATATAGAAAATTCAACAATAAAAGTTGATTTTTTGAAAAGAGCAACAAAATTGACTTTAGCTCTACTGAGCAACAAAAAAATAGAGAGGACTCAAATTATTAAAATCAATAATTATATAAAGGCATCATTACCAGATTTACAGAATTATAAAGGATTTATAAGGGAAATTGTTAACAACATGGCAACAAATATGAGAAAAAAATGGCAGCAAATTAGATAACCTGGATAGAGTAGACAAATTCTTGTACTTGAATCAGTAATCAAAACCTTTCCACAAAGAAAAGCCCAAGACCAGATGGCTTCACTGATGAATTTTCCCAAATATTTAAGAAGAATTAACACTACTACTTCACAAATTCTTCCAAAAAATAGGACAGGAGGGAACACTGCCTAACTTATTCTGTGAGGCCAGTATTGTTCTAATACCAAAACCTGAAAAAGGCATCACCCATGTCTCTTATTAATACAGATAAAAATGTCATCAAGAAAATACTAATACACCAAATCCAGCAACATATATAAATGACTGTATATCATAAGCAACTAGCATTTATTTCAGGAATGCAAGGTTGGTTCAACATACAAAAATCAATGTAATAGGCCACACTGATAGAATAAAAGATAAAAACCAAATGATCATTTCAACAGATGCAGAAGCAGCATTTAACAAAATCCAACATCCTCTCATGATCAACATATTCGACTAGAAATAGAAATAAACTTCTTCAACCTAATAAAAGCATCTACAAAAATCCCACAACTAACATCATACTTAACGGTGAAAGACTGATCACGTTTTACCTAAAATCAAAAATAAGACAAGGATGTCTTCATTTGTCACTTCTTTTCAACATTGCACTGGAGGTTCGAGCCAGAGCAATTTGATAACAAAAAAACAATCAAAGGTATCTAGATGAGAAAGGAAAAAGTAAAATGATCTCTCTTCAGAGATGATATGATCTTGTATATAGAGAAGTCTAAAAAATATACTAAAATTTTTTAAATTAATAAATGAGCTCATCAAAGTTGTATATTGACAGGAGGTTAGTATAGAAAACTCAACTATAGTTGTGGAAGAATAGTGTATTTGTTTTCTTTTTGTGCTGTGACAAATTACCACAAACTTAGTGGATAACATAACATGAAGTTACTCTCTTACAGTTCTGGAGGCCATAAGTACAAAATAAGTTTCATTGGATTGAAGTCAAGGTGTTATAAGAGCTGGTTCTCTCTTGTCTCTCTAGGGGAGAATCCCTTTTTCATGTCACATCACTCTTACTCTGACCATTCTGCCTTCATCTTCCACACTTAAGGGAACTTTGTGATTACAGTGGGTCAACCTAGATAATCAAAGATAATCTCCTTATCTTAAAGTCAGCTGATTACAGATTTCCATCACACCTGCAACTTTAATGGCACTTTGTCATATAACATGACATATTCATAAGTTTTGTTCTTTGTCCTGATCCTTTTCATGTTTTCTATTTTTTGACATTGTTTAAAACCTGACATTTTAAATAATTTGAAATTTCTGAAAATCAGGCTTCCTTCTAAGGTTTGTTTTTACTGCTGTTTGCTCTCTCTCTCTCTCTCTCTGTGTGTGTGTGTGTGTGTGTGTGTGTGTGTGTGTGTGTGTGAATTTCCTGAGGTAATTCAGTAAAGTCTGTATTCCATGTTTGGTGTGGTCACAGAAGTTTCTTCTAGATTAGCTTAATAGCCAAATAATGATTGGTCAACTGGTCATTAAATGCTTTGAACCAGTAAGTCACCCAATCTTTGGCAAGTGTCTCTGTGTGCATGTTAGGACACATCTTTAACATTCTGGAAGTTTACAACTTAGCCTTAGCCTTTACCTCCTGCTTGTGCAAGTCCTTGAGGTCAACCAGATGCAAGAGATTAGACCCTTCTCAAGTCTTTCCTATGCATGTGCACAGCCCTCCGCTTGCATGTATGTGTCCTTCCATAGTCTTAGAAATATGTCAGTGTGCTTCAAATCCCCTTTGGACATTTCACTCTCCAGCTTTTCTATTTAGGACTGGAGAAAGTTAAAACATAAAAGAGTTCACTCTTCTTAGTAAGTTTCAGCAATTTTTCTTGAATAAGTGCTCCTTGAGTTGATGTAAGCCTTTGGTTAAGTTCCTGTGTTCCAAAAAAGTGGATTTTAACATTCCCTCCTCTCCCCCCATATTCTCTCTGCTTTTATGAAGGAATATATTTTTGAACGTCCTTATTCTGCCATTCTGGAAGTGCTTCTATTATTGGGTTTTGACTGAAATTTATTCTTGGTGTAATATTATTCATAGAAGATTTTGTATTTTAGGATTTTTTGTCCAATGCAGGACTAATACTAGGTTGTAGGTTCTTCTGATAAAGTGATTTCAGAAATAATGAATGGTATGTGTGTGTGTTTGTGTATGTGTATATTTGTGAGTATGTCCCTAAAATTACATAATACCTTCTGGGAGCATGAAAGAAAGTGACTACATTTCTGGTCTCGCATCTTCAATTCTGTTTATTCTAATTCAACAAATATTTTCTCATTCTCTATAATGTTTCAGTTTACCTTCTGTGTCCCAGGGATACAAAGATGGGTGAGATCTAGACCTTGCCCTTAAAGAGCTTATAGCATTCCTATGGGTTTTTTAAAAATTATTTTCTTTCTACAAAAAGAGAGACAGGCCAATAGACTTAGAGGCAATACTAGTTTTACAGCAAACCAGACCTAGGTTAGAATCCTACTTCTGCCAAACAACAACAACCATAATAATGCTATTTTTACCAAATGCTGATTCTGAGATCAGAACTGTGCTGAATGCTTTATATATATTTTCTCGTGGAACATTCATGAAAACCTTTTGATATATATTACCATCCTTTTCAAATGAGCAACTGAGGTGCTGGGAGTTTAAGTAAAATAACAGAGCAAATACTCTTCCACACCCATACTGGAAAATAAGTCTGATTTTAAAAGTCGCATCTTGTGTATAACCAGATTCTGCCACTTCGTGGAGGAAAGCGCTTGGGCAGTGCCTTGAAATTTATTTATTTATCTATAATACATAAATTTATCTATAATACATAATACATAAATTCAGAGGATAGTTAACACTAGCAAGCCACAATAGACAAGCCGTCCAGTCTTATAAGGCTTAATATAACAAAGATATCTTGATTTGTCTTGGTTATAATCCCATTTCAACAGAAAGCAAGCAGTCTTATGCCATTATAAAGCTATGTCTTTGTATAAAGCTATGTGGTTCTGAAGAGAAGGGAAGAGAGCCTGAAGGAGGTAAACTTTGCTCTTCAATGTGCAACAGCTGAAAATGTGACTTTCATTCACATTTCGCTGGCCAGAGATCAGTTATATGGCCTCAATTTAACTATGAATACAAACGACACAGAGGATGTAGTATTTCTATAAACTGAGGAAGAGAAAGCAGCATCATAAATATACATAGCATTATAATTGCTACGTACAATTGCAATACTTGACATATGGTAGTTGCTGTTTAAAAGGTAACTGCCATCAACATTCAAACCAGGCCTTCCCCAATACAGATATGTCTAAAGATCCTCTCCATTCCAAATTTCCCTCCTTAACATTAGTTGATTAAATATTAAGCAGGTAACTACTATACGTACGGACATTATTATAAGGGCATTTGTAAATGTGTATAAAGCTAAAATTAATACTTGCAAGGTTGGTTTTACAAAGAAAATGTGGTTTTCATTGAGTTGTAGGACTGTGAGAAATATTTATTTTCTTTTTAACACTTTTCTCTATGATGATCCTGTATTACTTTTGGAATTAGACAAAAAAAAAAAAAAACTACTCAAAGCAGTATGCTGTTATTTTTAATGCTTAGCCCTTTCACATAAAGGTGATAACTATATTAAGAACAGAAGCATAATATACACCTCTGCAAAGAATATAAAGTTGAATATTATTACTTAACAGAGGCATGTCAAAATTGTCTTAATAAAAGTCTACTATGTTTTCCAGATTATGAAAACAGCTACTTCTGCAGCTCAGGAAGAAAGAGGACATCATAATTTTTAGAGAGACAGTATATCAATATCTGTATTATTAAAAATAATTTGAAATTTGTACTCTTAACTTCCAGCTTACACCAAATAAAAAGTTTTGCATGTGTGTGTGTATACATATTATATATATATATACATATATATATACATATATATATATATATTTTTTTTTTTTGACATGGACTTTAGCTCTTGTTGCCCAGGCTAGAGTTCAATGGCGCGATCTCAACTCACTGCAACCTCCGCCTCCCGGGTTCAAGTGATTCTCCTGTCTCAGCCTCCCGAGTAGCTGGGATTACAGGTGCCTGTCACTACACCCGGCTAATTTTTGGTATTTTTAGTAGAGATGAGGTTTCACCATGTTGGTCAGGCTGGTCTCGAAATCCTGACCTCAGGTGATCCGCCTGCCTCAGCCTCCCAAAGTGCTGGGATTACAGGTGTGAGCCACCATGCCCAGTCCCATGTATATATATTTTTAAAAATCTAAATAATGTACTCGTCAAGGGGTTTTCATACTATGGTTTTAGGCACTACATAAATATGTGAATAGGTAGCCTGTACAGTGAAGAGAGAACATGAGGTATTTTGGAGAGGTCCATTTATTCACAATTCATGAATCAGCTCCTAAGGGTAGAAGTTCTGTTTAACAGGATGCTGTCAGCTCTATTTCTGCCTCAGGCAGGGAACTCAGGATAAAATGTGGCACTGTGAAATTGTTTAAACCACTAATCCCACTGCTTTCACTTATAGAGATATGTGAGGAGTTACATGCTGTTTCACATAATAAGCTGTGGTCATACAGAAGAAAATGCAACTCCAAGCACTGGTGAACTGGACATTGTATTTACATTCAAAATTATGTTACTATTATGAAGCAGTCGTCTGGTGTAGGTAAAGACCAATTAATATATTATTAAGTAATGTAGCATGAGTTTTACTGATATAACATTATTAACCTGAATATTGATTATGTAACTCTGTGTTTTTGTTGCCCAAAGCTGGTCTAAATGGGACAAAAATAGAACCTGCCTGTGGATAAGGAAGTTCAACCACTGTATTTTTTATATTGTGCAAAAAAACAAATCAAAAAGATGATTTTAAAATGGAATTCTGTTGATGTTTCTGGCCAAGTTTGTTTTCTTTCTAAAACATAATCTAAAATCTAAAATAAAAAAAAAATTCTCATTTTTATAAAAAAAAATAGGATGAGTTTGGCACAATTTTAAAGTAACATTTACATTTTATGAGCTGAGAAGAGTTAGATAACATACATTTTGAAGCAATTGAATTTGGTTTTCAGTTTATAACTATCTTAATCATTTACTGGGTATGAATTTTAGACATGATTTTACCAACTAATGTTGATGGTTGCATATCATTTTTCCAACAGAGTTTGGTATAATCCAGAAAACACAATTGCCTCTTCCCTTCGTAGCCCACTGTGTGGCTGACAGTTTTATAACAACGTTTGAGCTATCTTTTTTTTTTTTTTTTTTTTTTTTGTTGAGACAGAGTCTTGCTCTGTCACCCAAGCTGGAGTGCAGTGGCGCGATCTCAGCTCACTGCACGCTCCACCTCCCAGGTTCATGCCATTCTCCTGCCTCAGCCTCCCGAGTAGCTGGGACTACAGGTGCCCGCCACCACGCCCGGCTATTTTTTTTTGTATTTTTAGTGGAGACGGGGATTCACCGTGTTAGCCAGGATGGTCTTGATCTCCTGACCTCATGATCCGCCCGCCTCGGCCTCCCAAAGTGCTGGGATTACAGGCGTGAGCCACTGAACACGGCCGAGCTATCTTTTTAAGTTCTCAAAATTTCTATCAATGAAAAATATGATGATAGCTAACATTTATTGAACATATGTGTGCCTAGCAACCGTATTTGTGTTTTTCAGATATTATAACACTAGTCTTCACAATCAAACTATAAAGTAGGCATCATTATTCTTTCTATTTTGCAGAAGAGAAACCTGAAAAGACTGGCAATGGTGAGGCTAGCATTCTAAAACGAGCCACTCGTATGACCTCTACCTTGCACAAGGGTATGTTTATGCTCCCACTTTTTGGCAATGTACATTTTCTTCTTTCAGTAGTACAAAGATAGTGCTAATGCACATTCCCTGCATTGATCCATTCATTTACCATTTTCAATGATTGATGAATCACTTTCAACAGCTACCAACATTTCCATCAGTCTACCAAGTAAATGCAAAGAGTGCTTTATCTTACCAATATATGACCTTAATCTAGTGGTAAATATGTAATAATGATGAGTTACACTGTGACGAAAGTTATCCATGTCCTTAAAAAAGATCTGGACAGACAAGTCCTACTGAGGAAATTAAAAACTTAGATAAAAACAGAACCAATTCCACTGTAAACAATAGATAGAAATAATCAGTTATGTGTATAGTTATTATTTTGAGGCAATGCAGTATTTTGAAGACTTGCAATTTTTAAATGCCTTCTGTTTGTATAGTCTGCATTATATTTGTATAAAACTTAAAGGATTTCCACATTCATTTTTTGAGTTATAAATATGTTAGACGGTGTTAGTGTTCAACAAAAAGTAGTCATTATTATTAAGGGAAAAAAATAAAATATGTAGTCAACATTTAAAGAGAGTAAACACCAACTGGAGAAGTAATTAAGCTTCCATAGACAGATGTTAGCTTGGACCCTTGCTCCTGTTTTGACTTTGGGGATTGTCTACATTTTTACCTGGTTGGTTTTATGTTCCCCTCTTGAACTATTTCCTGTAAGCACCATTCTGCTTTTGACTCATTAAGCTTCATGGCATCCAGGTTTGACATTCACCTGGCAGATCTTATTAAGAGTTTTAGCTGTTCCAAAATCCATTCCCCTAATCAATTTCAACACATGGGACCTAACAATATATGCAAACGTGTGTTAACAGGTATAGTTGCTAGATTTATGCCACTTTTTAAAGTAACTTCCAATATCTATAAGTATAATTTATTATATGATGTCCTCATAGTCGGATCATTTATATATTTCATGCTTTCCTAGTACAATTCTTACTTGGTCATGGTATATTGCTCTTTTTAAACATACAACTGCTTTCATTTTCTATATCATTTTTTAAAGTTTTGCATTCAAAATAGTGAAATGGGTCTCTGTTACCATGTGAGTACTGTATCCGTTAGGTTTAAAATTATGTTTATGCTTTATTTTTAAAACCAGTAATGAATTTCCCTTTTATTTTTTCTGTCCTTGGGCTAGGTAATGAAACTAAAAATTACCTGTTTTATTCTAACACTTTTTTTTCTTTCTTTCTTTCTTTTTGGTAAGTTTCTAAAAACTCACTCATAAAACTGCTAAAGATGGGCATGCAAGGTAAAACTTTAAAACTCAGTTTCTTCAACAGTTTTTAATCTAGTCCAGGTTTTTCTTCCATCTTGATTTAGCATTGAGAATGTTTACTTTCACAGAGATTTATTATTTCCTAAAAAATTTAAGCACATATATATATAGTATATATATATAATATAAGTTTCTGTGTATATAGTACTATCTCCTTCCAAGTTGCTATGTATATTACTGTTTTCTTACTTATTAATATATTTTCAGCAGTTTTCCAGGATATCTAATGTATTGTACCTCCTCATTATTTTTCCCCTTGAGGACAGACAAATTCTGAATTTACACATATATGTGCATGTATATATGTATATTATTTATATGTATATAAATATATAAAAAATTTATATACAAATGTTTATATATTTTATATATATATAAGTTCAGAAGTTTTCATAGGTATATAACATACATAAATATACATCCTTTTTCTATTCTCATTATTAATTTCTAATTTTCATTGATTTATTCTTTTGCATTTTTTATTTCATTGTTTTTTCAATTTGAATTCATAATCCACTTATTTTCTTTTTTTCTTATTTAATGATAAAGAATTTAAAGCTATGAATTTTACTCTGAATACGGCTTTGGATACATCTCATAAACTTCGTAAGTGTTGTAGTTGTTAACTGTTTACCAACTATGTAATGAAAGTTTATAGTTCCTCTTTGACTCAGTATTCATTTACATGTGTCTTAAAAATTTGTGATTAATCTCATTCATGGTTATTAATTTCATATCACTTCCTTTTATCATTGAATCTTGGTCATAAATTATGGATTGTATAATTTATACTATGAGGAATTTATGCTAGATTTTGGGTAAAGAATTTATGCCTTTTTGAAAATTGAACCATAAATGAACTCAAAAAATTTATATTCTCTCCTTGTACAGAGGTAAATATATACTGTTAATTATACTACCATGTTAATTCTTCTAATTCCACTACAAATTTTGTTTACTTGACAGATTAAAAGTTGAGAGAGATACCTTGAAGTCTTTGATTCTGATTATTACATTTTTTTACTATCATCTTGTTTTACGAGATTTTTTGTTTTATATATTTCGACATCATATTAGCTGGATTCTCAAGTGTTAGTTATCCCCTCAGTTTATTTTTTTACCTATTAATCTTCTTTTGTCTGATATGAGTATTACTATGTCTATTGTATTTATTATTTAGGCACTTGAGATGTCTGCTATGATACGAGAAATAGGACAAAGAAGATTGATTGGGGTCAGTCAAGGTAAACCACAATCATGTCAAGAATAATTGACCCCCAAACAAAATTTGGATATGTCATCATTGCAGAAGATAGAGTGCCTGACAGTGTCAGCTACCATTGTAGTCAGGAATACATCCAGCTAACAGTTAGAGAAAATATTCAACTAGAAGCAACTGAAATTAAAAATAAAGGAAATGTTAAAAGCAAAGGAAAGAAAAAAATAAGAAAAAGTATATGTGTCTTGTGTGAAGAGCATAGGAGGACAGTAAATGTTAGTATATACTGTGTCCACCCTAGGCCTCTCCCAAGAAAGCAGAATCAACCAGAGCCCAGAGCTGGACTCTGAAGACTATAACTGTATTCATTAAAAAATCAACTACAGATTAGAGTATCATATTTAAATCAAACTTATTTTAGGTTTGATTTTAAATTATAGATGAAGTATACCATGAGATAGGAAATATATTATCTTCATTAATTAACTATCTTTTCTTACCAAATCACATAAGCCAAAGCAAAAGTCAAATATTACAAATTTAAATTCCAGGAAACATAAATTCCAACAACTTTTAATCTATCAACACTATCTGTAGGTACATATATATTTTTTCATATTCATTTGCTATTTAGTGTTGGTTTGCATACAAGGATTATAAAATGTTTGTGGTCTGAGATATAAACTCTTTCAGAATGTGTTTCACCACAAATAAACCAAAATAGAGCTTTTTTTGTTGTTGTTTCTAATGATCATTTTTTCTTTTTTATTAATTCTACAAAAAGAACATTTGCTATTCAATATCTCTCATTTAAAAACACTTATGGTTATATTTATTTTCTCCCCTTATATTTGTCTCATGCACTGAAAAAAAGCAAACAGTATAGCAGTATTTTACTACAATTCTGCCGTAAGAAAGTGCTAAATGTAAATTCATATTATGAGTGAATAATGATGTATCTCACCTCATATTAATTTCAGTAATTGAATGGGAAAACAGGAAGATCTATTAAAAGGACCATTGCTGGTCAAACACTAATGAGAAAATCTCTGAGTCACTGGCTGTCATGGTAACAGGGCATTATCAAAATCTGATTAGTATGCCCAGTAGCTACATAAGCGATTGGCTATTCTTCTAATTGTATTGTCTCTGCTTGCAACATGGGTTTTATGTTCCTAAGAGGTGAGAGGGTGGCAAGGCTCTGTTTAATTTATATACTGGATACGGAATACACTGCATGTTCATAAAGTAGGGTCAAACATCTAGTACTAAAGATAAATTATATTTTGGAAAGATTTTCAAAAGTTAAAAACAAACTTAGTTTACCCTTGTCATTAACTTACAAATTTCTAAATTTAAATAAAATTTTTTTATCTAATTTCATAGACATTCATAGCAAAGATAAAATAAAAACTGATTTAAAAAAGGAGTTTAGTGAAAACATGAAAATAAATCATAAGAAATCTTCCCAAGAACAAAATTTCCAAAAGAATGGTTTAGAAAAGCACCAAGAACTATGGGTTAAAAAAGTAATCAGGCCAGAGAGTTTTAGAACGAAGCAGATCCAAGAAGTATGATGAGCAGAAAACAGGATTGGCAGTAGCAATGGGCCACAAGGAACTATGGGCAGTTTTCCATCTGTGTCTTTAAGAATGATCTCCCTTCTGTGCCCTTGGTCTTTTAGGTACAAATGAATTTAGGTTCAGTGAATTTCAGAAATTACAGGGCCCAGTGTTCTCAGTATTGCTTTGTTCTTTTTAATATCTTGTGTGTCACTGAATTTTTAGAGAAATTGATCGCAGCTATCTGATCCTTTTTGGTACATAAATTAATTCTAAAAGGAAAACTCCAAAGATTAACAAAGGTAAATTCTGGCATGCATTATTGACTAGAAATCTCTGTGCCTTGTCAGGGCTCGTGAGCACAAGGAATTTTAATAATGCTTGTCCTGAGAAGCTTATTACTTTGGTTAAATGCATAAGCATGTGGACTAAGTTTTACATGTACCAAATATCAAAAACAATCAGAAGTCAATATACTGAAAACCAAAGGGGAATTTGTCTATACACTTTGAAATTCAGTGCAGGGTGTGTTGTTGCAGAAAGAAAAACATCATCAAAGACAGCAGAGTGAGCAGACAGAGTAAAGGAGCACATTCCTAGAGAGATTAGGCTATTTCTAGGGGTCCTGTGCACTGACCTGGGATGGAAGCAGCAGTCTGAAAGCCAGTCAGTGTGGCCAAATCCCGTGAGAAGCACATTGCATTTTGGAAGGCCCAACACCTTCCAGAGTCGGTCCTCGCCACAGGAGACTAGGATGTCTTTGTGGGGTTGCATGGAGACACTGCGCGAGGAGAAAGAAAAAAGAGTTATGGGGAGATAATAGCAAATGTTTTCAGAATATGAATAAATGAAATGGCAGTGATTATCCGATTTTAGCAAGGCAGGATAGTTTTGAGAGTACTGGCCCCAAAATAAGAGGAAGCAGGTTCTGCATCCCTGCTATAGCTCTAACACTAGTAGCTTTCTGATCTCCATCAATCTAGTCAGCTTCACTGGATCTCGGATTCCTCATTTGCAAGACAAAGTAGTTGGTTTAGGTGATTGTGCATATCTAATTCTGGTTTGAAAAGAGTAATTATGGTTTTTCTTTAAGGGAAGAAAAATTATGCCAATGGTATTTTTATGTTGGGATATTTGGACCAGTGGTCATGGTTACTATAGAACATCAACATTGTTTTCAAACTATAATATGTCTTAAATCAGCCATTATCCAGGAAAAGATCATGAATCATAACCACATTATCATAGTTCTGTAATAAATACTATAAATGAAACATTAACTCCATGGCCCACTATCTACACAAAGTGAAGGAACTAAAATTCTATCCTACATTACCACTTAAATTGGCTTCAGTCAATGCACAGTACACAAATTACAGTAATGAATTCAAGATATAAGGCAATTCCCACTCTATAAAGGCATAGAGGGAAATGAGAAAGAAGTATGTAAGATTAATGATTAACACATTAAGCACTATTATTTGAACTGGACTCTGATCACTGTGGCTATTTTAATACTGGAGCTCAACTATTTTAAAATCAAAAGTCTACAAGGTTAATGCCTGATATTTTAGCTATGGCAATGCTTTAATCTTATTTGTATAAAGTTTCATCTATGCCTTACAATGTAATGGGAACAGATGTGTCCAATGTTAAGCACCTATTAAAATTCCAACCTAAATATTAGTAACAAATTGTTCAATTTCAATTTGGCCATCTAAATTCAAAGACAATAATACATTTACTTGCCAATGTGGTGCGGTAAGACATATGATGATTTAAAAAACAGCGATCACATGTTCATTTTTCCCTTAGTCTATTCTATAAATGGCCTTGTTCTTTTCTTCTGCAATATGGATTTTAAGAAACACATTTCCCAAAGAAACCATGGCTCTAGTCCACACCAACATGGCTAGCTAACTCCAGGCTTATATGAGAGCAAAACATTTCTCATTATTTATATCTTACATTAATATCATTAAACTCTAAAATTATCAACTGAAAAATTATTTTTAAATTAGACCTACACAGTTTTGGGAATCTACTGGCTTCAGCATTAGCAGCATTCAGGTCAAAGCCATGTAACCACTATGGGCATGGCCTTCTTTCTAGTGAAACATTGTTTCATTTTTCTCCAGCATTTTGCTGCTCAAAATAAACACAGTGGAAGGGAAATTATTCATTTTGCAATTCATCATAATGTTGGTTTGTGACTTTCAGAAGGCCAATTCAAGTAAAGAATTTATTACAGCTCAAACCGGATAGAAGATACATTTATAGAACTTAATTAGAAGAAAAATATGATGAGAGGTAAAAAATGTCAGATTAAAATGAATTCTGTATTCAAATACACACAAGAAGGCAAACTGAATCCTTGAAGCTACTGAGTATGATGTATGTTGGCTCACAGCTTTCCTGGCAGACACATGCACCCTTGACCAGATGATAAATTACCCTCTTTAAGTGAAGATAACTAAAATCATTGATGTTTTTACGAACTTTGAAAGATAAGTTTCCAAAATGACTTTTGTGAGAGGAATTATTTGTAGAAGTTAAGGCAAAAATATAAATACAAACCCACTGATAGCTAATCAGATTTGGAAGTACTTTTTTCTGACTCTTCTCATCCCCTCCACTATGTGGCCTCCTCTGTGACACCTTAAACAACTTGGACTCCTATTCCACATGAACTGATCCTCCTAATCACACTCTGATTTGTCCATATATTCCTTTTCTAACACTGGCATAGATACATACATGTACACACACATATGTGTGTATATATATATATAGATAGATATATCTGTATATATATACATATATCTATAAATATATAGATATACACACATATATTTATATATGTATAAATATCTGTCTATTTATAGATATACACACACACACATATATATATATATATATATATCTGTAAATGACTTTTGTGGGTAATTCTACACACATTTCAGCAAGGCATACAATGTTCTTTAGCTGAATAGAAATATTTTCAGCATATATAGAAAGGAATTTAATGCTTTGATAATATATTAATAAATACCTGGTTTTGAATTATTATGGAATAAGTGCATCAGCAAATACTGGGACATAGCGATAAAGACCCCCAGGGAGGAGTTCCAAATCTCAGTTCAAATCACTCCTGTGGGAGGGAAGCAGTTTAAGGGCTATGGACCAGAAATATTTCCCACGTACAGAAATTGTGTTATTCTCAACTCCATAATGAGACATAACTGTCATCATCATCATCATCATCATCATCAACTAATGGTAATGATATTTAACATTGTTTGAAAATTTAATGTGCCCCATACCTGGTACTAAATGCTTAGTTCTCACAAGTGAAATGAAAGCTCAAAAGAGCTGGGGTTCATATCTGTATTATTTGCTGTATGCTCAACCCCAATAGTAGCTGGCACATAGTAGCTATTCAATAAACATTCATCAAATACATGACTTAGTGACTGATGTTGGTACTATCAGTATTATTATTTTATGCCATTGTAAACAGAGTTAGTAGAGATACCACATAAATTGCCCAAGCTTACATTTGGTAGTGAACGGAAGCCAACTTTGAACCCAGGATGGCTTGGCTTTAAGACTCATAATTTTAGCTACTCCAGCTTAGTATGAATCTTCAATCATTTATTATTTCTATGTGTACTATAAATATCAATAATTCCTGTTACAGAGCTTGGATGTAACTATTATCATTCCCAGTAAATGCTTAAGTCATTTAGTCATTATTAAGCCCTGAGGTAAAGAACCAATTTAGAAATTGCCAGTGTATTGTATCAGAGCTGGGTACCACCAGACACAATAGTGTTAGAGGGGTTAGAAGAACCTGTTCTTTACAGTTAATATGCTCTGGTACTGCCAGAGAAACCAAGGGAGGAGAGCCTCTCCCACAATCTGTCTACATAAGTTTTTGTGCAGATGTACATGCTGCACTTACCAAGATCTTTAAGATCTTTAATTCATTTTCTTGTGCTAATAGTAGAAGTCCGGTATTATACATCAAGTTGTCAGAGGACATTGAGTTTTTTTTTTTTTTTTTTTTTTTTTTTTTTTTTTTTTTGAGACGGAGTGTCGCTCTGTTGCCCAGACTGGAGAGCAGTGGTGTGATCTCGGCTCACTACAACCTCCCCCTCCCAAGTTCAAGCAATTATCCTGCCTTAGCCTCTTGAGTAGCTGGGATTACAGGTGCGTGCCACCATGTCTGGCTAATGTTTGTATTTTTAGTACAGATGGAATTTCACCATGTTTATCAGGCTGGTCTCAAACTTTTGACCTCATGATCCGCCCACCTCGGCCTCCCAAAGTGCTGGGATTACAGGCGTGAGCCACTGCACCTGGCGGACTTTTTATTTTTTATTTTCATAGAGGTCTCTAAAAATAAATGTAGAACAATACTTAATAATCATTGATTCCACAGGCTTTTCATTCATTAAAAATTTACCCAGTTATACTTAGGGCTCACCTTCGACCATTCTGTTTACCTCTGAATCAGTCTTTTGAAGAAGCTGAAGAATAGGAGTAATAACTAATACTTTATAGGATTCAGTTCCTCTTCCCAACATTGCATACATAAATTCATTCAATGGCTATAATACAGGCATACCTTGGAGATACTCCAGGTATCAGGCAATCTTGGTTTCAGACAATCTCAACAAAGTGAATATCACAATAAAGCAAATCATATAAACTTTTTGGTTTCCCAGTACATATAAAAGTTATGTTTACCCTATACTATAGTATATTAAGTATATAATAGTATTATGTCTAAACTGACAATGAAAAAATACTTTATTGCTAAAAAATGGGGCTGATCTTAACATTCATCCAGTCATAATCTTTCTGCTGGTGGAGGGTCTTGCCTTGATGTTGATGGCTGCTGACCAATCAGAGTTGTGGTTCCTGAAGGCTAGATGGTTGTAGCAAATTCTGAAAATAAGACAACAATGAAGTTTGCCACATTGATGTACTTTTCATTTCAAAAAGATTTCTCTGTGGCATGTGATATTGTTTGATAGCATTTTACCCACAGTGGAACTTCTTTCAAAATTGGAGTCAACCCTCTCAAACATCTTTATCAAATATGTTTATGAAATATTTTAAATCCTTCATTGTTATTTCAACAATGTTCACAGCATCTTCACCCAGGAGTAGATTCCATCCCAAGAAACTACTTTCTTTGCTCATCAATAAGAAGCAACTCTTTATCCATTCAAGTTTTATCATAAAATTGTAGCAATTGAATCGCATTTTCAGGATGCACTTCTAATTATGGTTCTTTTGCTATTTCTATCACATCTGATGTGACTTCCTCCAGGGAAGTCTTGAACCTCTCAAAGTCATCCATGAGAGTTTGCATCAACTTCTTTCAAACTTCTGTTAATGTTTATATTTTGATCTCTTCCTATAAATCATGAAAGTCTCTTTCCAGAAGGTTTTCAGTTTACTTTGCCCAGATCCATCAGAGGAATCACTGTCTATGGCAGCTATAGCCTTACAAAATATAGTTTTTAAAAAATAAGAATTGAAAGTTGAAATTACTCATTGACCCACGGGAAGCAGAATTGATGTTCTGTCAGCAGGCATGAAAATAACATTTGTCTCCTTGTACATCTTCATCACAGTTCTTGAGTGACCAGGTGAATTTTAAATGGGAAGTAATATTTTGTAAAGAATCATTTTTTTTTCTGAACAGTAGGTCTCAAAGGTGGGCTTAGAATATTCATTAAACCATGTTGTAAACAGATGGGCTGTCATCTAGGCTTTGTTGTTACATTTATAAATCATAGGCAAAATAGATTTAGCATAATCTTAAAGATCCTAGGATTTTCAACATGGTCAATGAGCATTGGCTTCAACTTAAAGTTACCAGCTGCATTAGCCCCTAACAAGAAAGTCAGCCTGTCAGGTGGAGTTGTTGAAGCCAAGCATTGACTTTACCTCTCTAGATTTAAGAGTTTTAAATAATATGTTCTTCCAATAAAGGGCTGTTTATGCTGAATAATTTTTTTTGAGATGCAGTCTCTCTCTGTCACCCAGGCTGGAGTTCAGTGGAGTGATCTCGGCTCACTGCAACCTCCGCCTCCCGGGTTCAAGCAATTTTCCAGCTTCAGCCTCCTGAGTAGCTGGGATTTCAGGCGCCCGCCACCATGCCTGGCTAGTTTTTGTATTTTTGATAGAGATAGGGTTTCGCCATGTTGGCCAGGCTGGTCTCTAATTCCTGACTTTAGGTGACCCATCCTCCTTGGCCTCCCAAAGTGCTGGGATTACAGGTGTGAGCCACCCATCCTATGCTGATGATTTTTTAGTTTAGCCACCTTCATTCATTATCTTAGCTATGTCTTCTGGATAACTCGTTATAGCTTCTACTTCAGCACTTGTTGCTTCACCATACTTTTATGTTATGGAGATAGCTTCTTTCCTCAAAACTTAAAATGAAAAAATGGTTTCATGAGCCAGGCCCAGGTACTTGCTGCTTTGTGCAGTCTTGGGACTCGGTGCCCTGCATCCCAGCAATGACTAACAGGGGCAAACATACAGCTCAGGCCTTTGCTTCAGAGGGTGCAAGGCCCAAACATTGGCAGCTTACATGTGTTGGGCCTGTGGGGGATCAGAAGTCAAGAATTGAGGTTTGGGAACCTCTGCCAAGGTTTCCGAAGATGTATAGACATGCCTGGATGTCCAGGCAGAAGTCTGCTGTAGGGTGGCTTCCTCATGGAGAACCTCTGCTAGAGCAGTGTGGAAGGGAAATGTGGGTTTGGAGCCCCCACAAACAGTCCCAACTGGGGCATTGCCTAACGGAGCTGTAAGAAGAGGGCCACTGTCCTTCAGACCCCAGAATGGTAGGTTTACTGACAGCTTGCACTGTGCACCTGGAAAAGCTACAGACACTCAATACCCATGAAAGCAGCTGGGAGGGGGCTGTATCCTGCAAAGCCACAGGGGTGGAGCTGCCCAAGGCTATGGGAGTCCACCTCTTGCATCAATGTGACCTGGATGTGAGACATGGAGTCAAAGAGAACATTTTGGAATTTTAACGTTTAATGACTGCCCTACTGGATTTTGGACTTGTCTGGCACCTGTAGCCCCTTTGTTTTGGCCAATTTCTCCCATTTGGAATGGGTATATTTACCAACTGCCTGTATCCCCAGTGTGTCTAGGAAGTAACTAACTTGCTTTTGATTTTACAGGCTCATAGGCAGAAGGAACTTGTCTCAGACGAGAATTTGGACTTGGACTTTTGAGTTAATGATGAAATGAGTTGAGACTTTGGGGGACTGGGAAGGACATGATTGTGTTTTGAAATTTGAGGTTATGAGATTTGGGAGGGACCAGGAGTAAAATGATATGGTTTGGCTCTGTGTACCCACCCAAATCTCACCTTGAATTATAATAATCCCCACATGTCAAGGGCAGGACCAGGTGGAGAAAATTGAATCCTGGGGGTGGTTTCCCCCATGTTGTTCTGATGACAGTAAGTGAGTTCTTATGAGATCTGATGGTTTCATATGGGGCTTCCCCCTCCACTCTGCTCTCATTCCCTCTCCTGATGCCCTGTGAAGGGGTGCCTTCTGCCATGATTGTGAATTTCCTGCGGTCTCCCCAGCCATGCAGAACTGTGAGACAATTAAATCTCTTTTCTTCATAAATTTCCCAGTCTCAGGTATGTCTTTATAACAGCATATTAACCAATACACTTCAGTTAGAAAAAAAAAGTAGTAACTATGAAATGCAACAAAGTGAAATGCGATAAAATGAGATATTCCTGTTCTCCTATGAGTTACGTTTACCACTATCCCCATTTTTCCAGGTGGAGGAACTGGGATACATAGAGGTTAAGTGATCCACCCGAGGTCACAAAGCTAGGAAGTGGTAAAGCCAGAATACATGAACTTGAGTGAACTGTCTCAAGTCCATATCTTTAAGTAGAGTTAGCTCAACACCTCTGTTGACTTTTCCTTTTTTAGATGAAAGCAAGAGCAGAGAATGTTGTTTTATGTGTGTCTAGGGTACTTATTCAGATGCATTTTGAAGTTTCTAAAGAACTGGTCTTTTTTGTCATTTTCTAACCATGTGTAAAAAGTTAAAACTATTGTCACTTGCTATTTTCTGAAAATTGTCTAGATTCAGGGTGGTGGTGGGATGGATCAAGCAAAGATAATTGCTAAAGAAACACTCATGGTCTAAAGCAGAGGTTGGCAAACGTTTTCTGAAAAGGACCAGAGAGTAAATAATTTAGGCTATGGGCCATATGTTATCTGTTGTAACTTTTCAGCTCTGCTCTTGTAGCATGAAAGCAGACATAGACAAAACATAAACGAATGATTAAGGATGTGTTCCAACAAAACTTTAGTTACAAAACCAGTTTGTGGGCTAGGTTTGGCCTGTGGGCCATAGTTTGCTGATCCCTAAACATTTGCATGACATGGGGTAGACTAATGTTTAAAAGTGTTGGCTCTGAAGTAAGATGTGAGTTTGAATTCTTGTTCCAGTGTTAGCTAGCTAGACATTCTTGGATAAATTCCTTATCAAGAATTTTGTCAGGTACCTCACCTGAAGAAATGGGACTACTGTAGGATTGATCACATAAGCTTATTATGGGAATTTTTAAAGTTAATACTTGTACAGGACTTAGAATGGTGCTAGACACATAGTGAAAATTTAGTGAACATTGTCACAGCACAGAGAGACAGGGTATCTGGGGCCTGCCTGCCTAGATTTGAAGAATGGCCCACAACTTAATTACTAGCTGATTATGTTGTACAGCCCAGCTTTTTTATTTGTGAAAACAGGGTAAAAATACTGATCCATCAGGGCATTTGAGTATAAAATAAGTTGATATATGTAAAGTACTTAGAACAATTATCTGAACATTTGTCAGCTTTCCACAAATGTCAACTATTATTACTATTATTCAACATTATTGAACTTCCTTGTAATTTGGCCCTTCATATAGTTAACATCTATCATTCATACTTTTTTCTTTTAAAGACCATGGGTAGGACATTCCCTACTTAAAACTGTAGATATTTACAATTAAACGATGTTTTCTCTTAGTTTTGATAAACATCGTACATTACTGTGTTTTATATGATGTTAAGTCACTCTCTGGCAAAAATGTAGCCATCATAAATAACACTTTCACAAGTTAATATAAGGAAATTTTGTGGTTGTTTCTTTCATGATAGGGATTTCAGGAACACACTGAGGGAAGTAGTGGAGAGTATGTACACATTCACTCCTATCCTTACTTGCACATATGCAACTAGCACAAAGTAGTTGCTAATCTTGGGGGAAAAGCTCATTTTAGACCCTGGGCATGCGGAGCTGAAGATAGCAGGATACCCCTCCTCAAGCTTTGTCCACAAATAGGTCTCCCTCTTGTAACCATAAAATGACTATCATCCTCAAAGATGTCATCCCAAAGTTCTAATAAATAAGAATAATAAGCTTTTGCTTAATTTCTTCCTGGCACCTGCCCTAAGTGCCACAAAGTCATTTTACTTCAAACTTTGAATATAAGCTTTCTACTTCCCTTTAACTTACTATTAATTATAATTACAAGATTCAAAAATAAAGGCTCTGTCACAACATTCCTAAGTTAATAAGCTTATAAGTAGGGTGAAAATCGTACAGGAACACATCTTACAGATTCAAGAAAAGACAATGTGGGTGAATGCTAGTCCTGCTTCTTAATCAAGTCATGCCCTAATGAAGTATCCATAAAATGTTTTGTTAAACAATATACCAGGCATGTTACATAAAATATTATGTTCTGGCAGAGATTTTTTTCGTTTATAATAGGACACATTTCTTATAATAGACCACATGATATATACTTCAAAAGCTCTCCTTTCTAATTGAAATTGTTCTTTCCAGTAGTGGCATTACGAGAGGATATTTTGGAGGGAGTGTGTGTAGGTGTATGGTGAACACTATTAATTATCAGTAGAGTCAGTGACATAAGAATCCACTGTTAGACTTTTCAAAAGAAAAGAATATTAATCCAAAAAAAGATTGTCACAAGAAAGACTAATTAGATACCCTTGTCTTCCCTTTAGGTTATTCAACATTGTAAATGTTTCCTTCACTTCAGTTCACAGGCTCTAATTATTGCCACAGCAGAAGATGCACAGTGGGTGGAAAATAAATCCGTATCAAAATGTGTGCCCCGTGAACATTAGATGACCACTTACCTACCTGTCCTTAAAGACAATACACACTCACAGATTACATATGCTTTTATTCAGGTTGCCAGAACAAATACATAAAAAGGAGTTGTCTGACTGTTGCTTAGCTAGTAACTGCATCTTATATCGTGATGTGCATTAGCATTTATATAAAGTACTTTCACATGGAATTTTTTTATTATTCCAGCAAATATGTGTTTATAGCCTATGATGTAGCATGCAATACAGAGGCATCACCCTCAGGAAACTTACTTATGTGTAGGGGAGAACAGATCACAAAATAACTGAAGAAAATAAGTCAGCTATAAAGAAAATGTAGTAAAGTGATATAATAATTTGGGGGAGAATGTTATTTTTGATGAGGTGGTCAGGGGAGCCCACATTGAAAACATGACCTCCTAGCTGAGACCAGAATGACAAGCAAGAAGTACCTTTAGGATGGTCTAAGGGCAGATGGTTTCAGTCACAGGTGACTGCAAGTGCAAAAGTGCTAAGGCTGCAAGGAGGTGGTGCACTCAAGGGACAGAAGGAAAGCCGAGGTGACTGAAGAGAACAAGCAAGGAGGACTGTGTTGAGGATGGATAGGGAGCGAGAGGAAGGCGAGTACCAAAGTCATATAGGGCTTTTAGACTGAAGAAAGACGACTAAATTTCTCCTAAGATCATTTCACGGTTTTAAGTAGGAGAATTATATATGATTAATATATTTTAAAAAGATATCTGTAGCTGCTCTGTGGAAAATGGAAAGTAAGAAACAAGAGAAGAAACTAGGACACTAACTTGGAGAGTACAGTAGCAACCCAGATCTATTTAAACTACGGCTCCTCATCATCATGGCAGATGCCGCTTTTGTATATTGGTATTTTCACCACTACCTTCAGGAAAGGTCAACTCACAGTTGTCCTCATCATTAAAACATATTTATTAAGTGTACTTAAAAAGTGCCAAGGTGAAATGCAAATGCAATAAAAGTCACAAAACAAATGTGTATACAAAACACAATAATTTAAAATCTGTCAAAATAAGATAGTGGATCTTATTCATTTTCAGAAGACAGCTAAGTAAATGTGAAAAAGATGAAATCTTAATACTTCCCTAGCACTTTAAGTTTTAAATATTGTGAAATTATAGGTTTTCTTCAAAGCAGAGCAGGACTTACATCATTAGGATCTGGAAAGTAGCACTGTCCTTTCATTTTTTACTAGAGTGGAGCATTCTTACAGTTTTTTCACAGTTTGTGGACTTATTAATAATGCCCTAGAGGGTAGTCATAAAAGCTAAAGCTTCAGTTTTCTTTTCTTGTTCAATGTTCTTCCAACCTTATACATATTGTATATGCCTTGCCACCTGGCTGGTAGTGCTAATCCCAATCATTGGCAAGGTAAGAGGCAGCCGAGACTGGAATATCTACTCTGGCTCAAATGCAGGGAAAGGCCTTATGTAGTGACTTAGACCTAATAGATACTCAATGGTACTGCGATTAAAATTCACCCATGTTATAGAACATTGTAACATTCATCCAAATTATCAGTTTACTTTTATTTTAAGAGGGAGTCTCGCTCTGTCACCCAGGCTGGAGTGCAGTGGCGCAATCTTGGCTCACTGCAACCTCCGCCTACTGGGTTAAAGTGATTCTCCTGCCTCGGACTCTCAAGTAGCTGAGATTACAGGCACCCACCGCCACCACGCCTCATTTTTGTATTTTAGTAGAGATGGGGTTTCATCATGTTGGTCAGGCTGGTCTCGAACTCCTGACCTCAAATAATCTGCCTCGGCCTGCCAAAGTGCTGGGATTACAGGTGTGAGCCACCACGCTGGCCCATATTATTAGTTTATAGATTCAACCCAAATCTTTTTAAACATCGTATCAATTCTTTGGTCTTTCTCGTCCAATGTAAAACTTTCCACACAACTTTCTAAAAACTTGTATTTTATTCTTAAATTAGACAGCAACATTTTATACTTCTGAACTAAAATTTTAGTTTAATTATGAATATAAGCACTTCTCTAGGAAAAGTCTTCAGGTTGGATAAAGTCAAATTTTAGCTAACTGTGATTAAATTAATTATTAAATAAGAGTAATACTATTTTGGCCTTTTAAATATACTAATAAGAATGTTCCTTGAAAATTAGTAGACTGGTATGTTATGAGAAAAAAAATCCAAAGTGAAAATAAAAATATAAAGATTTACATTTTATAACATTCAACTCAAAAATCATTTATGGAAAGTCAACATATAAGCAAATAAGCAGCCTAATAATGTTTCCTAAGTCACCACTGACCAAACCTCATCGACACACATTCTCTTGCCCTCCTGTCTCCCATCGCATTTTCTACCCAGAAGAAAATCATAAAAAAAAAAACAGAATTTCTCTTCTCGAAGGTGAGTCTTAGAAACTAGAACCCATCTGCTACAAAGCAAGCCATAAAACCTTCTCTTCTTTTCCTTAAAGACCTTCATTCCAGAGAGGTCCTGCCCTGTACTCGAAAGAAGAAATGCCATACAGGCAGGCCAGAAGAATCTGAACCATCAGGCCTCTCTGTGTTTCCCCTTCCAGTTTATTACCACTACAGCACAGCCTTTTGTCCAATCACATTTCTACTCGACTGTCCATTCTTCATCAAATCTAAACATAGACAGTTTTCCCTGGATTTTAGCTTTTCATTTTTGAAGTTTTCTGTGTCATGTAAAACTTGGATTAAACAAATTTGTTTTGCTTTTCTCTTATTAACATGCCTTTGTTATAGTAGTGCTGGTCCTGACCCTTATAAAGAAAGGTATCACATCTTTCTAGTTTTCCGACAATCCACACAATGTCATTTCCATTTTCTTCAAAGTTATTCAACTTTCTAATACGTGAAAGAAATACCATTTCAAAACACACAGATTCAACTAAAGGAAATTTGTAAACTCCAAAGACAGGAGAATCACGACCCACTATTTAGGTAAATGAAATGAGGACAATCAATGAAACAGGTGAACTACTTCCAGATTTATGAAAATATCTCCTGGAACCTTCCTGCTACCTTAGCAGCTGAACATTTTATGCTACATAGTTTTATATATACTGTGCTTCATGTTACTAAATCACCGCACTTCTTTATGATTTAACAAGTTTGAGAAGATACATTACACATTTATGTTCTAAAGAAACCCATTTCAATAATAAAGTTTATTTGGTTATTTCATGTTTCAGCAATTTATAAGAATTTTGTGTTGTTATGAATGTAAAATGTTCCATTTCATATCTCCTTATTATATTAATGACAGAGAGTAGATTCTTTGGAATGACAGTCAAACTTCCTTATGGTAAGGACTTTAACATGAAAAATCTCTTTTCTAGGAGAATATCTAGAAATATAAACTACATATAGTCTAGAAATAACTGGAAGAATTACAACTGAAGACATAAAATTCAGGTAAATTTACATGCTGAGGTATAGTATAGAATTCACTTCAATGTGGCTCCAATTTATTAGATACCACCAAGCCAATGTGATTATTGTAATGACATATAAATAATGACTTTTTTGTATCTATTTTATAAATAAATTAGAAAGCCAATATTAATTTTTTTATCATTGAAGTATACTCATCAAACTTCAGCACTTTCACAAAATAAACTGCTATGGTTTGGACATGTTTTGTTTCCAACAAATCTCATGTTGAAATTTTATCCCCAGTTTGGTGGTGTCGGGAGGTGGGGCCTAAGTAGGAGGTGTTTGGGCCATGGGGGTGGATCCTTCATGGATGTCGTGGTGCCATTCTCACGGTGATGTGTTAGTTCTAACTCTATTAGTTCCTGCATGGGCTAGTTCTTAAAAAGAGCCTGGTACCTCCCCACTCTTTCTCGTTTCATCTCCTGCCGTGTGATCTGTGCATAAGCTGGCTCTCTGTCACCCTATGCCAAGAGTGACAGCAGCCTGAGGTCCTCGCCAGATGCAGATGTACAATCTTGAACTTTCCAACCATCCAGAATTGTGAGAAAAATACATCTTTTTTTCTTCATAAATTACCCACCCTCAGGTATTGCTTTATAGCAACACAAACCCATAAGGTTTGGAATTTGAGGCACATATTGAAATTAACAAAAGTTATATATATATGTCAATCTGAGTCTCAATTTCTACACTAAAAAAATTCCTAAGACTGAATAAGTTTCTATTATCATATTTCAGTTGCGTCATAGGCCACAAGCAGAAACTGTTGTGAACAAGAGGAATAGATCAAATGTCTGGGTTTGGCACTCACTATATGTAATTTGAGATGCTGGCAAGGGGAAGCTGAAGAGCTGCAAGGGGCGATAACTTGCATCAGTTTCCATTAGATGGGAGAAAGGATATAGGGATGGGACGAAGGGAACAGGGGTATAAACTGGCATTATAAAAACGCTTTGATAAAGTTGTTAAAAATTACTCCATGAACACAAATAACTTGAATTCAGGGGTGGCAACCAGATAGATATAACTACAATGGATAAATGGAATGAAAAGTACATGTTTAAGGGGAAGGATTGGGCGGCCAATTCAGCCAAGGTGAAAATTAATGAACATATAAGGCTGTGAGACATAAATCCAAAAAAGGAAGCTTAGTATCCAGAAATGGGTTCAAACAATGACAAATTAAGAAAACCAAGCAACAGACCTGAAATGAGTCCTGATAATCTGTGATGCAGTAGGACACCACTTCAGATGTCTCTTACTTCCATGCAGTTATCTCTGCATCTTAAATTCTGCTGACATCTTTTTTCTTCTAATTCACGTGAAACCAAGCAAAAATAAAGAGATAATCTATTGACTCCCATCTACTCACTGTGGGTAGGAAAAGAGCACAGAGGGAGCATCTAAACAGCAACTTGCTACAATCCAGACAAGACGTAGAGCTTCCATTTTTACAAGCCAAACAGGAGTGACTCCACAGGTATTCAGTTGCATAATTTATTATCTACACTGAGTTTTACCAAATTCAGGGAAATAAATAAAAGGTATGCACCATTCCCAAGTCTCTCAATCACACAGCTTAATCACCTGTCCTTTAATAAATAACTCAAATTACTTGCCTTATTTCAGTGCTGAATGTCTGCAGCACATACCCCTCTCAAAATTACCCAAAGCTTCCTCTATAACATACGGCACTGCCTCCAGTTACTTTTTGTATTATATGTCTGTGTGTGTGTGTGTGTGTGTGTCATTTGTTTATATTACAACATTTTGTTATCCTTATCAAGGAGAGAGAATCTCACTGCAAGAGTAACAAGGAGAGGTCCGTGTTTGCTGTAGTGTTTCTCTCTCCTTAATCTGCTTGTTTAAACTCTGCCTGGATCCTGTTGTCCTCTCACTACCTAACTTATGTAGGCATAAGAATGCACAAGAATCAAATGGTTTGGATATTTGTCCCCACCCAAATCTCATGTTGAAATGTAATCCCAATACTGAAGGTGGGGCCTGGTGTAGGGTGTTTGGATCACGGAGCTAGGTCCATCAGGAATGGCTTGGACCGTCCCTTTGGTGCTAAGTGAGCTCTCCCTCTTAGTTCACATGAGATCTGGTTGTTTCAAAGTGTGTGACACCTCCCTCCTTCAGTCTTTCTCTCTTGCTCTTGCTTTTGCCATATGATATGCCAGCCCCTCTTTGCCTTCCACCCTGATTAAAAGCTCCCTGAGGTTTCAGCAGAAGCTGAACAGATGCCAGCACGATGCTTCCCATAAAACCTGCAGAAGAATGAACCAATTAAACCTCTTTTCTTTATAAAATACCCAGGTATTTCTTCATAGCAGTGCAATAATGGCATAACACAATGTCCATGCCAAAACCTCTGGAACCTGTGAATATGCTTAAAATAGGAAAATTATCCTGAGGGGTGGGTCTAGTCTAATTACAGCAGTCCCTATGAGCAAGGGAAATTAAATGAGACAGAGGGTAGGTCAGAGAGACTCAAAGCATGAGGAAACTTAATCTGCCTAGCCTATTTTGAAGATGAAGGAATGTTGGCAAGAGTCATGAAACAGGATGTCCTCTGGAAATTGACAAGTACTCCACCTGACAGCCAGCAAGGAAGCAGGAAGCTCAGTTCTACAACCACTAAACCTGAAGTCTGCCCACAGCCTGGACGAGATGGGAAGCACACTCTACCTCATAGCCTCCAGATAAGAGACTAGACCTGCTGACCCTTTGATTTTGCTGAGATTCTAAGCAGCAGAAGCCATTGAGCCTGCACAGATTTCTGACCTACATAACTGTGAAGCGATAAATTAGTGTTTAAGTCACTAAATTGGTGCAAATTTCTTATAGCAGCAATAGAAAACAGATACAGTCTAGCAGTGAGTAACAAAGGAAATTAAATTTAAATTAAAAGACATATATTACATGGAATATGAAATTATAGCTTCTAATATTTTAAATATAAGATAAAGGGGTCTCACTGTATTAGAATGTTGCCTATAAAAATAACTCCATTATTATTTTATTTATAATTATATTATTTTGTGTCAAATTAACTAGATGGAATACAATTTTATGACATGGACTGGTTTTACTAATGACATTTTTATTGGTTTTGAACCACACAGGAACACTGTAATTGAGTCGGAAAAACTGTAGTCAAAAAAGGTGAGTAAAATAAGCTACTTCCATTACAATGAAATGTTAAAATACATCTTATTCTAAGAGGAGTTTCTTCAGGTACTACTGGCAGGTAATTTCAGCAGGGATATATACATACACATGTATATAATATACTACATTATATATAATTTATACTTATGTATGTACTTATAAGTTCTCAATCTTTCTAAACAGGCTTCAACTGATTTTATCAGATTTTTGGATTATCAATGGTAAACTCTTTTTCCCTAAAAGATAAATGTGAAACTAATTTTCAAAACAATTTTCAACAATCTTAAAAATCACAGTAGTTTAAAAAATATTTTGGATCATTGTTGGTATGTTTTAAGTTATAAAAATAATTAAGGCACATGAATTTATCTCAAATTATCTGACTGATAAGTGACTTGCACTAGCCAATGAGATGCTAGTAAATGTATCACACTCAAGAGACTTGAAAAGTATTTGTATAATTAGGCTTGCCCTTTCCCACTGCTACCCCAACCCCACTTTCATCATGAGAAGATATCTACCTGTCCCAGTCTGATGGAGGTTGAGAGACATGGAGCAGAGTAAAAATGTCCTGATTTTCACCTCAAACCAAACCAGCTGATCCACACATCTGAGTGAGTTCAGTTAAGAAGAGAATAACCAACCAGTTGAGCCCAGCTACAAACAGCAGAATGGCCCAGCTGATTGTATCAGATGCCTGAGCTTCATTCAAATCCTTACTATTGTGTGCCACTGAGGTTTTATGGCATTTTGTTTTTGTTTTTAACAAAGAATTAAGGTGATGAAAGGTAACTGATACACATGCATTTTATAACACTGTATCATAAAAGTTGTTCTGTACTTATTTTACCCATTTATTGCTGTTGAAAGAAGAAATTCTTCGTGTACATATTGCTTTGAACTTATTAATACTGTTCATGTTCATTACGATTAAGAACAAGGGCCGCTTGCAGTGGCTCACACCTGTAATCCCAGCACTTTGGGAGGCCGAAGAGGGTGGATCACGAGGTCAAGATACCGAGACGATCCTGGCCAACATGGTGAAACCTCGTCTCCTCTAAAAATACAAAAATTAGCTGGGCGTGGTAGCGGATGCCTGCAGTCCCAGCTACTCGGGAGGCTGAGGCAGGAGAATCATTTGAACCCAGGAGATGGAGGTTGCAGTGAGCCGAGACTGTGCCACTGCACTCCAGCCTGGGCAACAGAGCGAGACTCTGTCTCAAAAAAAAAAAAAAAAGAACACTAGATATATAAAACAAAATAGTAATAATATAAAAACTTTTTATTAGATATTATATGCACTTGTTTTTAATGACAATTTTCTCAGGAGAAAGTATTTAAGTTACTTTAGAAATGACAGCATTTAGAATCACAGTCACAAGACAATGGAGCCAGAAGAGATTGCCCATTTGAATAATGTTTCATCCAAATATACCATGTTACATATGCATTGTGAAAAATGTTGAATTCCAGATTCACTCTTCACTGCCACTTAGTGTATTTTTAGATCATATCCTCAGTTTCCAATTTATTTGTATTGCTATGTATGCAAAATAATTTTACCATTATCCTACGACAACCTTTAATTTGGAAAGCAAATCAATTTCAAAAAGTAATGTTACATAAAGACGAATGACTAAAAACATTAAAAATAGTTACTTTATGACATTGTTTCCTTTCATTGGTAAAGACAGTAAAAAACTGGCTATAACTATGAATATTTAAAACTAATTTAAAAAAATTTATGCTCCTTAGACCCTACACCTTATTAATAATCAGTTAGCATTTATTGACTATTATAAGTCCAAGTCCTCGTAAATCAAAAAACAAGAACATAAAATGTCTTTTCTGTGTCGTTAGATTTATAATCTGAAGTATTTAATTTTGCCTTCTGAAAAATGGTGAATATTATGAATATTATGTGAAATGTTATATTTTTCAAATTACACATGAATTAATTTATTGACCTAATCATCTGTTACCTGTTAGAAATTCCCTAATCATTTGCTTAACATCCTTCAGTCTGCTAGATAACCGAAATCACTGTTTTTCTTCCTTTCTATCAATTATAGTCCCTTTTTACCAATTATGATATTTTCCCAGTAACTTTTCTCCTCCTTCTTGACTCCATCTTTTCCATCTGATCTCTGAATGTTAATTAGGCTGAGATAAAACTTTTGTGTTGGATATTCCTTCCCCGCTAACTTTTCCCATTCATTACTTCAGGTTTCATTGGTCATGCTGCTAAGTTACTGGAAATGTCAAGTGAAGTAGAAAACCTTTACGCAAGCTGAGTGTTCTTGGTTCTAACCCTCTGTCCTCTGACAATCTGAAGACATGAGGACAATAATGAGAAGGCAACTAGGTTTTTGACCTTTAGGTTTTAGCTTTCTTATTTCTAACATTACTGCCACCCATACTTGCCAATCTGAACTATAAACAATCTACAGCTTTTGCAAATGGTCCTAAATAATTAAAATTTTTATAAGTTTTATATTATATTACTATAATGACAATAATCCTAACTTAGGTCATAGTGAGCTCTTGACCAAAAAAGAAGGGGTTCTTTTTGTTTGTTTGTTTTTTGAGATGGAGTCTCACTCTGTCGCCCAGGCTGGAGTGCAGTGGCATGATCTCGGCTTACTGCAACCTCCGCCTCCTGGGTTCTAGAGATTCTCCTGCCTCAGCCTCCCAAGTAGCTGGAACTACAGACACACGCCACCACACCTAGCTAATTTTTGTATTTTTAGTAGAGACGCGTTTGCACCATGTTGGCAAGGCCAGTTTCAAACTTCTGGCCTCAGGTGATCGACCCGCTTCAGCCTCCCAAAGTGCTGGGATTACAGGCATGAGCCACCTCGCCCGGCCTAGAAGGGTGTTTATTGACTCTCTGCATTAGAAAAACTTGAGAAAAAAGACAAACACTGGCATTTGAAAGACTAAAATAATATGGCTTTCATAATCTTGGGGCTGGATTTGATCTTGGTATTTTTTGGTAGCTCCTGATGTGTCTTGTACTTTTGGGTTAGCTGCTTCTTTTATAGGATTGTAGAAAGTTGTGAATAACATGAACCAAGTGCATAGATTAGTCACTGTGGATTGTACGGTTCTGTATGACTGGCTTCATGAGACCATTTCTCAAACTATATGAAACATTAAATTACAAAAATCAGCATTCCTCTGGTACTGCTTATTTAAAAAATAAACTTGCTTAAAATATATAAGAAGTTAAGATTTTACTTTTTACACATGGCACATATGTAACTAACCTGCACATTGTGCACATGTACCCTAAAACTTAAAGTATAATTAAAAAAAAAAAAGATGTCTACAATAATGGCACCTAAAGGCCAGGCACGGTGGCTCACCTCTGCAATCCTTTTGGGAAGTAGTGTAATCAGCATTTTGGGAAGCCAAAGTGGGAGGATCATTTGAGTATAGGTGTTCAAAACCAGCCTGGGCAACATACTGAGACCTTGCTTCTACAAAACAAAAAGTGAAAATATTAGCTGAGTGTGGTGGCATATGCCTGTAGCCTAGCCACTCAGGAGACTGAGGCAGGAGGAAGTTTGAGTCTAGGAGCTGGAAGTTACATTGAGCTATGATGCTGCCACTACACTCCATCCTGGGTGACAGAGCAGGATCCTGTCTCTAAATGATAAAAATAATAATAGCACCTAAAACATAGTTTTTCCAGGTAAATTAGTTTTAACTTTTAGCTGACTCTGGAAATACAGAAAACTTACATCCAAGGACAATTCATATGCAGAAGGAGATGAACATATTACACTAGTAATTCATTTTTCAATGCACTGATAGCCACAATAACTAGTTTAAGATGATATGAACAAAACAAACAAAATGTTAGTTTGGCAAAAAATAAATTAAATCTAATATAATCATTTCCTATTTTTTTAAAAAAATTCACTTCTTAGTAAACTTATATAAGTGCCAAGGTATATCCAATAGAATCAACTACTTATATATGAATTGTATATATGTATATAAATTTTTATAAAACATATACACATTCTATTTCTTACTACTCCTGGTTCTTACTGTTAAAACCGTGAAAATAAAACAGAAGATAAACACCAAATTTTTCTGAGGAAACTGCCAAGAAAATAACCTATGTTCAAAATATACAAATAAAAGTGCACAATATATCTGCTACGATATGTTATTAGACTTAAGTTTTTAGTTCCTTGCCTGTATTACTAATCCAGTAGATGCTTCTCTATGTGAAAGATCTAGATTGTAAAAGCTTTGTGAATTCAGGAAAGAAAATTTTGCCTTTGGAAAAAAAATTCAAAATACACAATTCTTAATTCATTGATCATATGAAGTGTTATAATGCTTTCCTATTTTGTCAACCCTAACAAGGTTTACATGATGCACACCTGTTTCACAAGACTGTGGAAATGAACATAAATGCTTAGTTACAAATTTAAAAATCATTTAGTAGGAAGATTTCAACCCCTAGATATATCCTATCTCATTTTTGCCGTTAAAATATTCTGCTTCTTACAATTAAGGGAAATGTAGATCCTAAAGAATGTAGAGATTCAGAAAAAAAAATTCTTATACATATAACTTAGATTTTAGTTATATTAATATTTGTGCCACTAGGTGTAAGCCCCAAAACATTGATATACAGTATTTATTATGGGTTTTGAAGGTCTAATAATGCATGTATAATTTGATACTATAAACACAGCTATAATTGGTCTACAAGAAAGACTTCCCTGTACTTACAAATATGTCCTTAATTATCAAAGGTGCTAATTGTACTACATTAACCTAACAATATAAATCTATCTTAAACCAGAAAAATAATGAAACCTTTAAAATACATCAACAAGTAAGTCAAAATTATAAGCATGAAAAGAACAATGCTAACGCTATGTAAATTATTGTTACAGTTAAGTGACTTTCAATTTTTAACTCTATTTCCCTTAAAGTGATTCTTTTACTCATTCTACTAAGTTAGAGAATTTTTCTGGAAAAAAAAGTGACATTAAGATGCATTAGGAAAATGCAAAAGCAATTAAGTAGACCAAGGGTCTAACATGAATATGAAACCCTTATTTTCCTGGCACTACCATGTACAAACTACCCTTATGTCATGCCCCACTGGTTTTGTACCAAGTGAAAAAATGATCTTGCCAACTTAAGTCTTTCTATGTGTTCATTGCACCAACCCACTACTCTCATGCTCATGACTATTTTTTTAGGGGTGGGTTGTGACATACAAATGAACATACTCTTTCTTTCCCCCTCTCATTTTTTTAAGGGAAACCAATCAAAAAACAAAAACCAAAAAAGCACTATAATAACAACAAATGTCCTTTGTGTGTATTGCAGGAATAGAAATGCTATATGCCTAAATAAATTAGTTGACAGTAAATGAACTTCTCCAGAGCCATGAAGTCTATTTCAGACACCAGCAGAGGCTGTGTGTGGAGAAATAGTTAAAGACCTACAATGTGCTTAGGCCTCAGCATGGCTTTATTCATTTATAATGCTTATTATTTTAGCTTATGGTCTTAGTTTCCAGTATTCTTCCACGAAACTGCATTACTCCCCAGTTCACAAACAAGGACACTAACACACACTATAATTTTCCACTTCCTTGTTCTGCTTCCATTGTCACTAGGACTACCTAGTGACAGGTTGTTCCTCCAGAAGACCCATGCCACCCCCATCTCACTAACCAATCCTAGCCCTTTTTGAGATTTAGAAATCCTGTCTCAAAGATGACCTCTTCCAAGAAGCCCTTCCTACTTTTCTCTAACTGGTCGTCTCCCACATTTCAACCTCCAGATTTGAACTGTTGATGTAGACAGTTATGGAATTTACCTTACTCTACCTTGAAAGGATTTTTTTTTCTTCCCAAACTATTTAGCAGTGATCGAACTTTCTAAAATTCAAGGTAATTTTCCAAAGTTTAACAAATATTTTGTTTATTTCTCATTTGCTTTTTAAATGATTTCTATAGCAAGGGAAACTAATGTCAGAGTTTGTCTGAGATTGTGGGAGGGGGAAAGTTTCTATTCAATTTTGAGTGGCTGAGTGCCTTCTGAGAAAGCATCATCAATTTCAAGCCTCTTATCCAGCTAACTGAACAGTATAATGTCTTCTGGATGGTTTTGTCTCAATTATCAATGTAATTGCCACAGTTCTTTTCTTCAGTAGGTTAATAGAGATTTGGCCTATATATGGTTATTATTAAAGTCAACGATTAAAAATACAAATTCCTTCTCTTTATTTCCTATCAACATTTTAACATGCATTCCTAATTTCCAAGTATGAAAAGATTATCCAGACTTGAAACAATGGCAAAAAGTATACATCTGCTTTTCAGAAATGGCCTGCTTTAGAAGCCCTCAGGATATTCAAGAGTAATTATAAAGCTGGAATGCTGAAAGCTTGCTGAGCACATGGCTTTCTCTTTCCAGAGAATGCCAATATAAATGTTCTTTTCCTACCTTTTTAATGTTTCTTCTTTTCGTAATAGGAAGAGCCTTCCCCTTATTTCCCCCTCCTCATCTCCTTTCTACAGCTGTTAGCAGGAAGTCATAAATCTCATTTCAAAAAGTTATTTTAAACGGTAGCTCATGAAAATGTGAGTAATTCCCCACTATAGGATTGTACTGTAGCATAATAAAAACCCTGAAATTTCATCAATGGGTTACATGGTAGTATGCATGCTGCATACTGTACATGTCAACTTTACTGCTGTACAACAATAATGTCACATTCCAGGCTGTGAAATATGTTCACTTTTAAGAAAACTATCATTCCATAATTTAAAAAAAAATGTCATTTTAGAATTGTTGTTTTTGGCTACATAATATATGTGAGAGACTTCTCAAAATGTTTTCAAAGTTTGCAACTTGATTAGCCTATATAATAAGGATCACTTATTTTAAATCAGTCACTCCTAAGATCTTGTGATAAGGAAAGTCTATTGATATGGTAGACAGTTTCATAGGATTTATTTGTGATTCTAACATGGTATTTTTGGAAGAGATGGAAAAAATCATAAAAAAATGTTTTCTCATATATGTAGAGAGGAAAAAATACATTTTTAATAACTTCATTAAAATTCTACAATGCAAGTATTTTCTTTTGAATCAAAGAATACAAAGAGCAAAAGATTCAACTAATAATTAATAATTAATAAGTGTGGTGATCCTCCACTATAACTGTCTGCATAGAAGCACTCAGCAGCTCAATATTTTAAATAGTATTGACAGTTGAAGAATGGTGATATTTACAAAAGAGTTAACAAATCCATCTTACAGAAATCATGCATTTAAATGTGTAGTTCACAGTCTCTGAGGATTGGCTTTTCCAATCATCTACAATCTCACTTCCTTTATTTTTTTCTATGACAAACCTTGGAAAGCTAAAACACCTTTCTATATTGTCTTGACGGTAACGGTAACCACGTGACTGTTAAATAAAATTTATAAGAGGGCAGTGGTTTGGACTGAGCTTCTACACTAGGTGCAACTGATCAAACCACAATGGAGTTATTCATGCTTCTGTTCCATGTTGCCAAGCCAAAACTAAGTGGGTTATCTGATCTTTCAAAAAATCAGGAAAGCGAGAGATAATAGCCAATCCCCCAAATGAGCCTGTTGTAGCTGGCATAAGAAAATTTCCTTTGCTTTAACCTTTACAAGGAAAGTAATTTTGAAACAGCCAATCAGCTTCTTGTGCTCTGTTTCTGCTTTCCTCAGTCTTCTCTGTCTATAAAACCTCTGATCACCTCATCGGAACATTCATCCTATTTTATAGAAAAAGGTATTGCCCAATTCTAGAATCATAAATAAAAGCTAATTAAGATCTTTAAATCTGTTATAACTTTGTCTCTTGATGTGACAGAGTTCTGCTCAATGAGGTATAGGCTACAATTTTGGGGAAGTACATTCTTTCCTGCATATAAAGTCAGAGATGGCCCAGCGCAGTGGCTCACGCCTGTAATCCCAGCACTTTGGAAGGCCGAGGCGGATGGATTACCTGAGGTCAGGAGTTCAGGACCAGCCTGGCCAACATGGTGAAACCCTGTCTCTACTAAAAATACAAAAAAATAGCTGGGAGTGGTGGCGCATGCCTATAATCCCAGCTACTTGGGAAGCTGAGGCAGGAGAATCGCTTGAACCCAGGAGGCAGAGGTTGCGGTGAGTCAAGATTACACCACTGCACTGCAGCCTGGGCAACAGACTGAGGCTCTGTCTCAAAAAAAAAGAAATCAGAGATAAGGACAAAACTCTTTGGCCTTTTATTTTTGTCATTTGTCTCTTTCTTTTTTTTTTCCTTTGCTGATCATGAATATGATGCCTAGAAATGCAGTACCACATCTTACAACCGTAAGAACGGCAGCAAAACACTGATGAGGCTCAGGACATACCACCCCAAAATATGACGTTGGAGACAGGAATATTTCACCCTAAAATATGCCTCTTTGGCATCTTAATTATTCTGAACTACATTTCTTGGCTCATGGTCCCTTCCTTCATCTTCAAAGCCAGTGGCATAGCATCTTCTTCCAGTTTCTCTCTGGCTCTGGCCCTGCTTCTGCCATCACACCTCCTAGACTCGTCTACCTCTCTCTTTCTCTTATATGGACTCTTGTGATTACATTGGGTTTACTCAGATAATCCAGGAAAACCTCCTTATCTTAATATTCCCAACTTAATCGCATCTACCAAGTGCCTTTTGCTATATAAGGTAACATATTTATGGATTCCGGGTTTTGGGGCATGGACATTTGCTGGGGTGCATTATTCTGCCTAATACAATATTCTTTTTTACCTTCAGCAAAAATGCAAAATAAAATGCTGGTAATTTAAACTGCTATGAAAATAGCCCGATGTCTTAGTTGCAAAATAGCAACATTTTACCGGGGCTGTAAGAAAGAATACATTTTAAAATTGTATAAAATATTCTGGGAGTTAAAAGTGACTTTTGCATGTTTAAAAGTGATTCTTGCATAGCACAAGGACCATTTGGCATAATTGGGAGTCATTTGTAATTTTCATTTATGAAGAGCATAGAGGTTGTCAGGCTGTAAATGATGTTTCTTTTAACATGTGTTGGGACATAACAAAAAGAATTCCTTTTATACTTGGTATAAGGCCTATATAGTAAATAGATTCTAATTTTCTCCTATTTAGTGCCCTAGCACATCACTGAACCATTATCTGGCATGGTGATCCTCCAGAAAGACAGGAGTATTATATGGATACATAAATATATTTCATGGTTCATTCCTATAATATGGTATTCATAAAAGAGGGAAGCCACTAGGAATCTTCAGGATGATAAAAGAAAAGAATTGATGGTGGCAACAAGAGCAGGCGGAATTAAAATGAGGAGTCTCTGATAAATTCAAAGATAGCAGGGATGTCCCTGAAGCTGACCCAGAGAAACAATGCATGTTTGTTTTGTTTTATTTTTATGAGAGAGAGAGAGAGAGAAGGCACTGTTGGAGGCATAAAGATACTAAGATTTGGGCTGGGCCTGGTGGCTCATGCCTGTAATCCCAACACTTTGGGAGGCTGAGACCGGGGGATCACCTGAGGTCAGGAGTTTGAGACCAGCCTGGCCAACATGGCAAAACCCCATCTCTACTGAAAATACAAAAATTAGCCAGGTGTATTGGTACATGCCTGCAATCCTAGCTACTCAGTGGGTGCTGAGGCAGGAGAATTGCTTGAACCTGGGAGGCAGAGGTTGCAGGAGCCAAGATCTCATCGTTGCACTCCAGCCTGGGCAACAAGAGCAAGACTATCTAAAAAAATAAAAAAATAAAAAATAAAAAAGTATTAAGATTTGGAAAAAGGTCTCATTAAAAAAATCAGGGTTGCTAAAAGGCAAAGAAAAATTTTATAAAGAGCATTTGGATAGCTGTTTGCCACCATAAAAGACTAATAAAAAGTAACCCTAAAGCATCATAACAACCAATGCAAATGCAAAATAATAACAGCAATGTTTTTGATAGTTGAGTTTGATAAAAAATATTAATTGAAAATTTGTCAATACCTCTCTTAGACAATAGAACTAAAAATTTCCACTAAAGCATATTTCTCATGTATTTAGTTTAAAACTTTGTAAAATTTACTTTTCCTTTTAGTTTAACATATTCCTGGATATTCCTCTAAAGGAAAAAAAATTATAAGAAGTAATTATAACATCTGATATCCACAAAACTGTTTTTATTCTCTCAGACATAGGAAATGGGGGGGGGGGCGAATAATGAAAATTCCTTAAGTTTTTAGTTTGAATTGGTTATTAGAGATAAAATTAGTATTACCAGTTGATTGTGTCCACTCAAGCTTCTAGATACGGTTAGTGACAGGTAACAGATAATGTTATCACTGGGTAACTCAATTTCCACTGAATTTGTCTCATATAAAGAAACCACTTATCAACATATACAAACAGTTACTTTCAAAGAATTTAGTAAACATGGGTATAGGTTCAATTTCCTTTATTTAAACCACAGAATAATGGAATCTGTCAAAATGTCACATACATGCCCAAACTTCCATTCTTACTCTGCTTTTAATAAGAAATCATAACCTTTTGATATTAAAATAAAGTACAAATTGGAAAATATGAAAACTGGAAAACTATTCACATAGTTATGGGTTGTTATTCTATAAACTCCAAATTGGAGAGTATTTTTCCAGTGAGAATGTACAATATTAACATGCCAAATCAGTACATATTATTATATAATTATGGAGGTTAAAATTTTAGAGCATAAATCTCCCATTGGGATTATTTTCATTATGTAATCACTTGACAAATAGGAAAAAAGATTATAGTACACAATGAAACCTTAGAAGGAGGGAGATTAAACACAGGACATCCAACCAGGGAGACCATAATGTGTTAGCATGGATTCTAGAGAAATGTGACCAGGGCATAAAGTTCACAATAAGTGTTATTAGATTCAAAAGCAATGGTTGAGTAGTTTGTGCAATTCTTGAAGCTCTATTCCACTCAAAAAGAATAATTATGAGACAAGCTCGCAGTGTGGGATTGTGATTTAACATTTATTATATTAGATTATAAAACAAAGATAATTCTCTGTAACTTACATGGAACTCTGTTTTTCAAAAAGGAAAATGATATTTAGGCTATAAATGGCATAACGAACATGGATACAAGAGAGGAGACAGCCTGGCACTAGAATCAGACATTTCTAGATTCCAATCTTGGTTCAGCATTAGGACTTGCAGCAAGTTATGTAAAATCTCTAAGCTTTGTGTCTGTGTGTTGATAAAATTTCTTTGGACTTGGGTTTCCTAAATTTCCCACTAAAATGTCTATCAAAGTAAAGAAAAAGAAACTCCCCCAAATATTCTATTGTAAATCTAACAGTAACCTACAACCAGAGATCAGGAAACTGGGATAGAGTTCAAATATATTTTGCAACCTAAAATGTTACCCAATAAAAGAACCTAGGACCGAAAGAATCTGGGAAGATATTTTAATCTGCCCAACCCCACAAGAATAGAAACAGATGACAAAAGCTATCAGTCCTTCTTCCTCTGAAAGGGTACTATTTCTGAAGGCAAACAGAATATGATTCCTTTGTTATTTAAATAACAATTTTTTCTGCATTACTTCAGATTCTGTAAATGTCAGGACTCAGAAAATGATACCCCAAAGTACGGTACATGATATTGAGAGGGCCTAAGAAGCAAGGTTTCTCTGACCTCTTTCCACTTCATTTTCTCCCAAAAGATATGTCATAGACCCCAGAATTCCTCTCTCCTGAGGGGAATCATAGAAACTAGAACTCCCCTCCCACAAAGCAAGCCATAAAACCTAGAAAGGTCACTCTCTTACTCATCTGTCCTGAAAGTGAGTCATACAATCCTCATTCCAGATGGGTCTTGGCCCATACCAGGGAGGAAGAAATGCTACACAGGATAAGAAGAATCTGAGCTTGCTAAACTCCACTTAGTTTAATACTATTAGATCATACCCTCTTTGTTTAATCCACTTCTTCACAACTATCTACTTTTTTCATCAGACTTAGCATAAAAACACACCATTTTCCCTGGGTCTACATATTTTCATTTCTGAAGGCTCCCATGTCATGTAGAGCTTTGCTAAATAAAATTTTTATGCTTTTCTCCTGCTAAACTGTTGTATTAGTCTGTTTTAATTCTGCTGATAAGGACATACCTGAGAATGGGAAGAAAAAGAGGTTTAATTGGACTTACAGCTGCACATGGCTGGGGAGGCCTCAGAGTCATGGTGGAAGGTGAAAGGCACTTTCTACGTGGCAGTGGCAAGAGAAAACAAGGAAGAAGCAAAAGCAGAAACCCCTGATAGACCCATCAGAGCTCATGAGACTTATTCACTACCACAAGAATAGCACAGGAAGGACCAGCCCCCACGATTCGATTTCCTCTCCCTGGGCCCCTTCCACAACACGTGGGAATTCTGGGAGATAAAATTCAAGTTGAGATTTGGGTGCAGACACAGCCAAACCATATCATCTGTCTTTTGTTATGAGTGTCTGCCATGACCCTGTGATGGGAGAGGAAAAGGTATTGCCTTTTCTTCCCCATATAACTAATGGGTCTGAATTACTATGAAGAGACAGAGGAAATGGCTGTGATACATTTATCATGGGAGATGTATATAGAAGTAAGAGCATTTAAGTTGGAAAAAAAAGAAAATAGTTTGTTTTACGTGGTCTATCAGTTTACATTTCTGAGAAATAGCCACGTGGGTAGAAGATCCTATCTCAGTGCAACAGGAGCACATAAAATGACATCTGAACAAGTTAGGTCAAGGAGATTTTATATATATATAATATATATATTATATATATATTATATATATTATATATATTATATATATTATATATAATATATATATTATATATATTATATATAATATATATATTATATATAATATATATATTATTATATATAATATATATATAATATATATATATACACACACACATACATAGATACATACATACATACACACACATTCACACACATGCCTCATGCCTCTGCTCTCCACTTGTAGGTATAAAATATGGTTATACCAGGGTTAATACAATTCATACACTATATATGTTAGGAAACAGTCTGGTGGATCTCTACTCATTTGAAAATGAGCAGAGAGAAAACACCTGCTGCAACAATAGCATTTACAGTCTACAAGACAAAGAAAACAGTATTTGAAGCGAGGAAGGATAATATCTGGAGGACAGAGCCAGGAGAATATATTATAGAAATTAGAATAATGCTTAGGATACAAAAATATATTAAAAGTGTGGTTTCCAGAAAGAATAATTAAAATGAAGGAAGAACACAGCGATATGAAAAAGAGAAGGCAGCACAGTAATTGAAGACTGAAATTCAAAGGAAATTTGAATCAAAAAGTATTATATGAAACATATATACAAATTTCATAGCAGAATTAAAATTTGCATTGTAGATAGTGTAGAGATAGTGTAGAGGTGGAATGGTTTGATACCTTTCCTCGCCTATCACTTGGTCATGCTGACTCTCTTAAAAGTCAGGTGACCAAGAGAAAAGCATGGCAAATTTATTTAATCGAAGATTTACATACGTGAGGGCCTTCAGAAATGAAGATCCAAAGGCCCAAAGAAAACTGTCTATCTTTAAGCTTAGGTTGATGAAGAATGGACAGTTGTGTAAAAATGTGATTGGACAAAATAGTTTGATCTCTTGGTAATAGACTGAGGGGAAAACCTAGCAAGGACTGTCTGTTCCAATTCTTCTTGGCCTCTCTGTGTAGGATTCCTCTCTCCTAGGTATAGGGCTGGACTCCTCTGGAATAAAGGTCTTCAAGGAAGAAGGGAGAAGGAAGAGAGTGACCTTTCTAGGTTTTATGTCTTCCTTTGAGGGAGAGGGACTGTACTTTCTATGACCCATAGTGAGAAGGAGGAATTCAGGTTTTTGTCACTTGCTTCAGGGGAGAAAGAGGGATGAGAGACAGGAAGACGGGAGAAAGTCAGAAAGACATTGATTCCAAAGCCTTCTGATGTCCTTCAGTTCAAAGTATTCAGCATGCCAAGGTGCCATACTTCGGGGTATCGTGTTCTGAGCCCCAACAAGAATTAAAAGTGCCAGGCATGGTGGCTCATGCCTGTAATCCCAGCACTTTGGGAGGACAGGGGAGGTGGATCACGAGGTCAGGAGTTCAAGATCAGCCTGGCCAAGATGATGAAACCCCATCTCTACTAAAAATACAAAAATTAGCCAGGCGCCGTGGCAAGTGCCTGTAATCCCAGCTACTCACGAGGCTGAGGCAGGAGAACCACTTGAACCCGGGGGGAAGGAGGTTGCAGTGAGCCAAGATTGTGCCACTGCACTCCATCCTGGGTGACAGAGTGAGTGCTCAAAAAAATAAAAAATTAAAAAAATAAAGAGAATTAAAAGCAAAAATTTCCTTTTCAGAGGCAATATAGCCCAGTGTTCAACAGCATGGGGTTTGGAGCAAGACTGCGTTTTCTCTTACTAGTCACATTATAGTGAGCAAATTATAAAACCTGGTTATGTCTCTGTTTATAAAATGGGGTAAGAATCATCACATATTCAACATATGATTAAGAGGATTAAATTAATTAATATTGTAAAGTTTTAAAATGCTAAATGTCATTTATGATTACAATACCAAACAGGTGATGTGGCATACATAAGCTCTCCTAGGATGAAGAGACAGTTCAAGGAGATAAGGGAAGGGGATTTGCAGGCTTTAGTGTTATAACTTTTGTAAAAACGAACATGCAGAATTGAAGACAAATGAAAATCCATGACACAAATGAAGAAAATTTTCCTGAGCTGAATACAAACAAGCAAACAAATGAATGTAAAATAAAACAAAAACTACCAACACAACAACGACAACCATGAAGAACTTTGAATGTTAGTTAACAGGACTTCATCTAATTTGACACAAATGTAAGAAAGGAATCCTCTGAAAATATGAGGTTAAAAAAAAAAAAACACCTGAATTATGAATTGAAAAGCATTTTGGCAGGGAGAAATATCAGCTGCAATCAAAGATAAAAAGTCATGGTTCAGCCGGGTGTGGTGGCTCATGCCTGTAATCCCAGCACTTTGGGAGGCCGAGGTGGGTGGATCACGAGGTCAGGAGTTCGAGACCAGCCTGGCCAAGATGGTGAAACCCCGTCTCTACTAAAAATACAAAAATCAGCTGGATGCAGTGGTGAGTGCTTGTAATCCCAGCTACTCGGGAGGCTGAGGCAGGAGAATCGCTTGAACTCAGGAGGCTAAGGTTGCAGTGAGCTGAGATTGGGCCACTGCACTCCAACCTGGGGGACAGAGCAAGACTCCATCTCAAAAAAAAAAAAAAAAAAAAAAAGTCATGTTTCACTTTTCAACAATAAATTAAAATAAAATAAAGCAACAACTAAGGAATTTTGAGAAAGAGTTATAAATCAGACCCTTATTCTACCATATATCATTGATATGTATAGGTCATAAGCTATTCAAAACCTCAGAAAACACAGCACTTATAATACAAATGTCCCGAAAGACAAATGCATAAAAATATTTGTCAGTCAACAAAATAGGAATCATAAAAGAATTCAGATTTGGGAAATTTGTGATGGAAAAGGACTGAAAGTGGGCCTTCGAAAGAAGTAAATGAGATTCAGGGAGTACTGAGCAAAATCCAATACAGGATAATGTCAAGTAGTTGGTGTAAATGTGGAACCAAAATAGAAGACAAAAATTAACTCATAATTTTTCACAATGAATTACACATTTTACATGAAAATAATAATTTACTAATAAAAGAACAACTTACTGGAGAAAGGCAGAGCAAGATGGCCAAATAGAAACCTCTACCAATTATCCTTCCTGCAGGAACACCAAATTTAACAACTAACTACACAAAAAAACCACCTTTATAAGAACCAAAAATCAGGTGGGAAATTACAGTACCTGTTTTTAATTTCATATCACTGAAAGAGGCACTAAAGACCATTGAAGAGGGTAGACAGTCTTGATTTGCCAACACTACCCCTCACCCATCCCACAGTAGTGAATGAGTGACCCAGATAGAGAATCTGTGTGCTTTAGGGAGGGACCACACAGTGGTGGGATTTTGCATTGGAACTCAGTGCTGCCAACACCAGGAAGAACTCAGTTGATGTCCATGGAGGGAGAATTTAGACCAGCCCTAGCCACAGAGAAATTGCCATCCCACTGGTTGGAACTTCAGTTTCGGCAAGCCTTGCTACAGAGGGCTAAACGGCTCTGGGGTTCCAAATAAACTTGAAAGGCAGTCTAGGCCACAAAGACTGAAACTCCTAGGAAAGTTCTAGTGCTGTGCTGGCAATGGAGCCAGTGGACTTGGGGTCGTGTGACCTAGTAAAGACACAAGCCATGGTGGCTAAGAGAGTCCTTGTGCCACCCCTCCTACAACCCCAGACAGTGCAGCTCACAGCTCCAAAAGAGACCCCTTCCTTCCACTTCATGAGAGGAGAAGGAAGAGTAAAGGGGACATTGTTTTGCAACTTGGATACCATCTCAGCCGCAGTAGGATAATGCACTGGGTAAAGTCATGAGGCCCTTATTCTAGGCCGTCATTCCTGCATGACATTTCTAGATACATCTTGGGCCAGAAGGGAACCTGCTGCCTTGAAGGGAAGGACCCGGTCCTTGAAGGATTCATTACCTACTGATGAAATAGTCCCTGGGCCCTAAATATTCAGCAGCAGTAATTAAGTAGTATGCACTGTGGGACTTGGGTGAGATTCTGAGATGCACTGCCTTCAGGTGTGATCCAGCACATTCACAGCTGTGGTGGCTAGAAAGAAAGATTCTTTCTGTTTGAGAAAAGCAGAGGGAAGAGTAAAGGGGACTTTGACTTACACCTTAGGTACTTGCTTGGCCATAGTGGGGAAGGGCACCAAGTGGGCTCTGAGGGTCCTTAATTTCAGGCCTTGACTCTTAGATGGCTTTTCTGGGCCTACCAGGGGCAACAGGGAGCCCACATCCCTGAAGAGCGAGTCCTAGGCCTAGCAGCATTCACCACAGGCTTACCGATGAGACACTTGAGCCTTATGTGCACATTGGCAATGCCCTGGTGGTACTCCCTGTGGGCCTGAGCTGGTGGTGGATGACACCAGCTCATCTTTCTGGGGTCACAAAAGAAAAAAGTGGGAAGAACTTTGTCTTACGGTTTCAGGGAAATTTCTAAGGTTTCTGACTCTAGGCCCTGGCTCCCAGACAGCAACTCTGGACCCAGTTAGAGCCCAGGAGAACTTGTTTCTCTTAAGGGAAGGATGCGAATTTGGCTGGCTTTGCTATCTGCTGATTGTTAGAGCCCAGGGCCTTGCTGAATGTAGGCATTAGCCAGGTAGTGGTTACAGTGGGCCTTGGGTGAGAACCAGTACTATGCTGGCTTTAGGTTTAAGCCAGTGCAGTCTCAGTGGTGGTAGCCACAGGGGTGATTGTGTCACCCATCCTCCAGCTGTGGACAGCTCAGCACAGAGAGAGGGACTCTATTCAGGAGAAAGTAAGCAAAGGGAACAAGAGTCTCTACCTGGCAATCCAGATCATTCTTTTGAATCTTATCCAAGACCACCAAGGTGATACCCTTACAAGTCTTCAAGAACCACAGCTTTACGGGGCTTTGGGTACTCCCTAATGCAGATATGGCTCTAGTGACCAAAAACTTGGACCAAAACACCAAAGCCTCTTCAAATACCTGAAAAGCCTTCTGAACAAGGACAGGTACAAACCAACCCAGACTGTGAAAACGATAATAAATACCTAACTCTTCAATGCCCAGACACTGAAGTATATCCACAAGCATCAGGACAATCCAGAAAAACATAACCTCACCAAAGGAACTAAATACAGCACCATGGAACAATCCCAGAGAGACAGAGATATGTGGTCTTTCAGAAAGAGAATTCAAAATAGTTGTGATGAAACTCAAGAAATTTAAAATAACACAGAAAGTAATTCAGAATCCTATCAAATACATTTAACAAAGAAATTGAAATAATAAAGAAAAATCAAGAAGAAATTCTGGAGTTGAAAAATGCAACTGACATACGAAAGAATGCATCAGAGTCTCTTAATAGCAGAATGGATAAAACAGAAGAAAGCATTAGTGAGCCTAAAGACAGGCTATTTGAAAACATCAGTCAGAGGAGACAAAAGAAGAAAGAATAAAAAAGAATAAGCACACCTACAAGACCTAGAAAATAGGCTCAAAAGGGCAAATCTAAGTCACTGGCTTTAAAAAAGAGGTAGTAGAGAGAAAGAGAGAGACGGGGTAGAAAATTTATTCAAAAGGGTAATAACAATGAACTTCTCAAATCTAGAGAGAAATACCAATATTCAAGAACAAGAAAGTTATACAACACCAAGGAGATTTAACCCAAAGAAGACTACCTCAGTGCATTTAATAGTCAAACTTCCAAAGATCAAGGATAAAGAGAAGATCCTAAAAGCAGCAAGAGAAAAGAAACAAATAATATGCAATGGAGCTCCAATACCTCTGGCAGCAGACTTTTCAGTGGAAACCTCACTGACCAAGAGAATGGCATGACATATTTAAAGTGCTGAAGGAAAAAAAAAATATCCTAGAATAGTATAGCCAGGCCCTTCCAAACATGAAGGAAAAATAAAGACTTTCCCAGACAAAGAAAAGCTCTGGAATTTCAACACCAGACCTGTCCTACAAGAAATGCTAAAGGGAGTCATTCAATCAGAAAGAAATGTGTTAATGAGCAATAAGAAATCATCTGAAGATACAAAGGTCACTGGTAATAGTAAAGAATCAGGAAAACACAGAATATTATCACATTGTAATTGTGGTGTGTAGATTACTCATATGTTAAGTAGAAAAACAGAAAAATGAACTAATCAAAAATAATAACTACAATAACTTTTCAAGACATAGTATATGTAGAACTTATACAAGTTTTCTTTTTGTTAGTTTATTTATGCAAAGAGTGTCAAGTTGTCATTAGTTTAAAATAATAGATTATCAGATATTTTCAAGCCTCATGGTAACCTCAAATCTAAAAACATACAATGAGTACACAAAAAATAAGATGCAAGAAATTAAAACAAATCACCATAGAAAATCACCTTCAATAAAAGGAAGAGAGGAAGGAAAGAAGAGAAAAACATGAAACAACTAGACAACAAAAAACAAAATGGCCAGAGTAGGTCATTAATAACATTAAATATAAATGGACTAAACTCTCCAATTAAAAGACATAGAGTGGCTAAATTGATGAGAAAATAAGACCCAGTAATCTGTTGCCTATAAGAAACACACTTTACCTATAAAGATACACATAAGAAGAAAATAAAGGGATGGAAAAAGTTATTCCATGCCGACAGAAACCAGACTAATAGATTTCATAAAAAAACCATAAGAAAAGACAAAGAAAGTCATCATATAATGATAAAGGGATCAATTCAGTATGATGATATATATGCACCCAACACCAAAGCACCCAGCTATATAAAGTAAATATTATTAGAGATAAAAAGATAGACTCCAATATAAAAATAGCTAGAGACTTCAATGCCTCACTTTGAGCACTAGAGAGATCTCCCAGACAGAAAATCAACAAAGAAACATTTGATAATCCATACTATAGAACAAATGGACCTAACAGATATTAACAGAACTTTTCATGCAACAGCTGCAGAATACACATTCTTTCATCAGCATATGGATCATTCTCAAGGATAGACCATATATTAGGTCACAAAACAAGTCTTAAGACATTCAAAAAGTTGAAATAATATTAAGCATCTTATCTGAACACAATGGAATAAAACTACAATTCAATAACAAGAAGAATATTGGAAACTATACAAACACATGGAAATTAAACAATATGCTCCTGAATGATCAGTGGGTCAAGGAAGTGATTAAGAAGGAAATTGAAAAATTTCTTGAAACAAAGGATAATTGAAACTAAACTTACCAAAATGTATGGAATATAGTGAAAACAGTACTAAGAGGAAAGTTTATAGCTATAAGTGCCTACATCAAAAAAGAAAAACTACACATAAACAACCTCATGATGTATCTTAAAGAACTACAAAAGAGCAAACCAAACCCAAAGTTAGAATAATAAAATAAATAATAAAGATCATAGAAGAAATAAATGAAATTGAAAGGAAAAAAATACAAAAGATTAATGAAACAAAAAGTTGGTTTTTGAAAGATAAACGAAGTTAACAAACTTTAAACCAGACTGTGAAAAAAGAGAGAAGACCCAAATAAATAAAATCAGGGATGAAAAAAGAGTTATTTCAACTAATACCACAGAAATTAAAAGGATTATTACAGGATACTATGAACAACTATATGCCAATACATTCAAAAACTTAGAAGAAATGGATAAGTTCCTAGATACATACAACCTACCAAGATTAACCCATAAAGAAATCCAAAACCTGAACAGACCAATAGTAAGTAATGAGGTCAAAGCCATAATAAAAACTCTCCCAGCAAAGAAAAGCCAGGAACTGATGGCTTCACTGCTGAATGTTACCAAACATTTAAAGAAGACCTAATACCAATCCCTCTAAAACTATCCCAAGAAATAGGGGAGGAGGGAATTTTTCCGAACCCATTATATGAGTCCACTGTTAACCATGATACCTAAACGAAACAAAGACACATCAAAAAAAAAAAAAAAAAAAAAAGAAAGAAAGAAAGAAAGAAAACTACAGGCTAATATTCCTGATGAACACTGATGCAAAAATCCTCAATAAAATACTAGCAAACCAAATTCAACAATACATTACAAAGATGACTCATCATGACCAAGTGGGATTTATCCCAAGGATGCAAGGATGGTTTAACATATGCAAATCAATCGATGCAATGCATTTTACCAACAGAATGAAGGAAAAAAACCATATGATCATTTCAATTGATGCTGAAAAAGTATTTGATAAAATTCAACATCTCTTCATGACAAAAATCTTAAAAAAACTGGGAATAGAAGGAACATACCTCAACATATTAAAGCCATATACAACAGACTCACAGCTAGTAGTATACTAAATGAGGAACAACTGAAAGCTTTTTCTCAAAGATCTAGAATATGACACAGATGCCCACTGCCACCACTGTTATTCAACATAGTGCTGGAAGTCCCAGCTAAAGCAATCAGACAAGATAAAGAAATAAAGTGCTTCAAAATTGGAAAGAAAGAATTCAAATTATACTTGTTTGCAGATAATATAATCTTATATTTGGAGAAATCCAAGACTCCACCAAAACACCATTAGAACTGATACATTCAGTAGAGTTGCAGGAAACAAAATCAACAGGCAAAAATCTGTAGCATTTCTACATTTCTACATGCCAACAGTATAGAATTTGAAAAAAAAATCAAGAAAGTAATCTCATTTACAATAGTTATAAATAAAATTAAATATCTAAGAATTAACCAGAGAAGTGAAACATATACAATGAAAACTAGAACACTGATTCAAGAAACTGAAGAGGAGACAAAAAATGAAAGAATATTCCATATTCATAGATTGGAAGAATATTGTTAAAGTGTCCATATTACCCAAAGAAATCTATGGATTTTATACAATCCCTATCAAAATACCAATGACTTTCCCAGAAAGAAAAAGCAATTCTAAAATTTATGTGCAGCCACAAAAGACCCAGAATAGCCAAGACTACCCTGAGCTAAAAGAACAAAATTAGAGGAATCACATTACCTGACTTCAAACTATACTACAGACCTAAAGTAACCAAAACAGCATGGTACTGGCATAAAAAGATATATAGGCCAATGGAACAGAATAGAGAATGCAGAAACAAATACATATATCTACAGTGAACTCATTTTTGAAAACAAGTGCTAAGAACACACAAAGGCGAAAGGAAAATCTCTTCCATAAATAGTGCTGGGAAAACTGAATATCCATATGCAGAACAATGAAACTAGGCCACTATCTCTTGCCATAAATAAAAATCAATATAAATGGGTTAAAGACTTAAACCTAAGACCTCAAACTATGAAACTGCTAAAAGAAAACATTGGGGAAGCTCTCCAGGTCATTGCATTGGGCAAAGATGTCTAAGGTACGTCCATTTTGGTACCAGTACCATAGCCTTGTAGTATAGCTGAACAGAGACCTCAGAAATAACACCACACATCTATAATGATCTGATCTTCAACAAACCTGACAAAAACAAACAATGGGGAAAGGATCTCCTATTCAGTAAATGGTGCTGGGAAAACTGGCTAGCCAGATGCAGAAAACTGAAACTGGACCCCTTCCTTACACTTCATACAAAAATTAACTCAAGATGGATTAAAGACTTATATGTAAAACCCAAAACTATAAAAACCCTAGTAGAAAACCTAGGCAATACCATTCAGGACATAGGCATGGGCAAAGACTTCATGAAAAAATGCCAAAAGCAATTGCAACAAAAGCCAAAATTGACAAATTGGATCTAATTAAACAAAAGAGCTTCTGCACAGCAAAAGAAACTATCATTAGAGTGAACAAGCAGCCTACAAAATGGGAGAAAATTTTTGCAATCTACCTATCTGACAAAGGCCTAACATCCGTAATTTACAAGGAACTTAAACATGTTTACACAAAATAAAACCAAACAACTCCATCAAAAAGTAGGCAAATGATATAAACAGACATTTCTCGAAAGAAGACATTTACACAGCCAAGAAATATATGAAAAAAAGCTCAACAGGCCGGGTGTGGTGTGGTGACTCACACCTGTAATCTGAGCACTTTGGGAGGCCCAGGTGGGCAGATCACCTGAGGTCTGGAGTCTGAGACCAGCCTGACAAACATGGAGAAACCCTATCTCTACTAAAAATACAAAATTAGTCGGGCATGGTGGCACATGCCTGGAATCCCAGCTACTCAGGAGGCTGAGGCAGGAGAATCGCTTGAACTTGGGAGGCAGAGATTGTGGTGAGCCGAGATCACGCCACTGCACTCCAGCCTGGGCAACAAGAGCAAAACTCTGTCTCAAAAAACAAAACAAAACAAAGCAAATAAAAACAAAACAAAAAACTCAACATCACTGATCATCAGAGAAATGCAAATCAAAACCACCCTGAGATACCATCTCATGCCAGTCAGAATGGCAATTATTAACAAGTCTGGAAACAATAGATGTTGGCAAGGCTGTGGAGAAATAGGAACACTTTTACACTTTTGGTGGGAATGTAAATTAGTTCAACCATTGTGGAAGACAGTATGGCAATTCCTCAAGGATCTAGAACCAGAAATACCATTTGACCCAGCAACCCATTGCTGAGTATATACTCAAAGGAATATAAATCATTCTACTATAAGACACATGCACACTTACGTTTATTGCAGCACTACTTACAATAGCAAAGACATGGAATCAACCCAAATTCCCATCAATGATAGACTGGATAAAGAAATGTGATACTTATACACCATGGAATACTATGCAGCCATAAAAAGGAACCAGATCATGTCCTTTGCAGGGACATGGATGAAGCTGGAAGCCATCATCCTCAGCAAACTAACACAGGAACAGAAAACGAAACACTGCATATTCTCACTCATAAGTGGGAGTTGAACCTTGAGAACACATGGGCATAGAGAGGGAACAATACACACCAGGGCCTGTTGGGGGCTGGGGGTTGAGGAGAGGGAACTTAGAGGACGGGTCAATAGGTTCAGCAAACCACCATGGCACACGTGTACTTACGTAACAAACCTGCACGTTCTGTACATGTATCTCATTTTTTTAGAAGAAATAAAGGAAAAAAGAGATGTCTAAAGTAATATTCCACAAGCACAGGCAATCAAAGCAAAAGTAAACAAATCAGATCACATCAAATTAAAGGTTTCAACACAGTAAAGGAAACAATCAACACAGTGAAGAGTCAACTAACAGAATAGGAGAAAATATTTGCAAACTCTGTATCTGATAAAGGATAAATAACCAGAATACAGAAGGAGCTCAAACAACTCTATAGGAAAAATCTAATAATCCACTCAAAAAAATGGGCAAAATATTTGAATAGACATTTCTCAAAAGAAGATATACAAATGGCAAACTGGCATATAAAAAGATCGATGAAATGCACATCAAAACTACAATGAGATATAATTTCACCCCAGTTAAAATGGCTTATATCAAAAAGACAGACAATAACAAATGGTGGCAAGGATATGAAGAAGGGGGACCCCTCATACACTGTTGGTGGGAATGTAAAGTAGTACAACCACTATGGAGAACAGTTTGGAGGTTCCTTAAAAGCTAAAGATAGAACTACCATATGATCCAGCAATCCCACTACTAGGGATATACCCAAAACAAAGGAAAGCAGTATATGGAAAAAATATCTGCACTCCCATGTTTGTGCAGCACTGTTCACAATAGCCAAGATTTGGAAGCAACCTAAGTGTCCACCAATAGACCAATAGATAAAGATAATGTGGTACATATAAAAAATGGAGTACTATTTAGCTACAAAAAAATGAGATCCCATCACTTGCAACAACATGGATGGACCCAGATGTCATTATGTTAAGTGAAATAAGACAGGTATAGACAAACTTCTTACATTCTCACTTATTTGTGAGAGCTAAAAGTTAAAATAATTGAACTCTTGTAGACAGATAGTAGAAAAATGGTTACCAGATGCTAGGAAGGGTAGTGTGGTTGTGGGGGAAGAGGTTAATGTTTAATGGTTACAAAAATTAGTTATAAAGAATAGGATTTCATATTTGATAACACAACATGGTGACTACAGTCAATTAGAATTTAATTGTACTTTTTAAAGTAACTAAAATAGTATACATAAATTGATTGTAACACAAAAGATGAAGGCTTGAAAGAATGGATACCCCATTTACTTTGATGTGATTATTACTTATGCATTTATGTATCAAAATATCCCATGTACCCTATAAATATGTATACCTACTATACACACAATTAAAAATTTAAAAAAGAACTTAATAACAACCTAATCCCTGTTTATTATGAAAAAATAAAATTTTAAAATTGCATCATTTTGCTTTCAACTTTTGATGAAATAACATAGGTTAAAGAATATTTTGTCAACGTAAACTGCCAGAAGAATTAGAGGCTATAAGCTTGTCAATTTACTGGAGAAGAATAAAAGGCAAGAAAACACTTTATAAGGACAAGTTAGAAAATAAATTTAATACTTTTCACAAATTCATAAAAATAGAAAACAATATGACAGAAGAATGAACCTACAAGATTTAATCAACCTATAAAAGACAAGAATTCACAGACTGAGGAAAAGAAAATAGCCGGCAGAACAAAATTTGTCTGTATTTTAATTATTAAAAAACTGCAATACAGGAATTTTAAGGAGGAAAAAAAGATAAGTAAATATTTATGAGAATTTCAGAAAGGAATTTCTTATAGTTGTTTATATTTTTGGAGCATTTTATGCCCAGATCCTTGCCCAATGGGCAAACTTAGTACACATTTAATAATTATTTACATGCAAAAATAAATAAAAGCATTATACATATAAGTAAACAAAATAAAGTTAGGTTGATAGTACTAATTTTATACAATTAGTAATTACATTAAAAAGATAAAAATGGTCACAAATGTCATTTACTATTAATGAAAGATACAATCATAATTATGATATTAAATCATAAATCTATATATCTCTGATGGGATAGAATAAAATATATATAGCAAATTTAAAATTTATTTAGAAGTCTTTATTGCAGTCACTAACAGATTAAGTAGACAAAAACAAATGCAGACATAAAATAATTTAAATAATATGATGTTCTTAGAAAGTTTTTCACACTTCATTCTCAGCAAATCAAGGTTCTACCTTTTTTGTGCTTATAAAAACTGAAAAAGCACTTTTTAAGCATCTATTCCTGTGCAGTCTGCCAAAAATCACCCCAGTCCTAATTTGAATACTTGGAGCCCATCACCAAAGAATACAAGTTTACTGAAGAATCTGTAAGCTACGACAAAATAAAAAGAGTTTCCCACACACAAAAAAAAGGTTACCAAAAATCAATAAAGAAATACAAACATAAATTTACATCTATTTACAGGCATTGATATCTATTTATGGGCAACGTGGCAAAACCCAATCTCTGCAAAAAATACAAAAATTAGCTGGGTGTGGTGCCATGCGCCAGGAATCTCAGCTGCTTGGGAGGCTGGAAGTAGGAGGTCCCTGGATCCCAGGAAGTTGAAGCTGCAATGAGCTGTAATCAAGCTACTGCACTTCAGCCTGGGCAAAACAGTGAGATCCTATCTCAAAAATAAATAAAAGCAAAAACAACGGTGGCTCACGCCTGTAATCCCAGCACTTTGGGAGGCCGAGGCAGGTGGATCACCTGAGGTCAGGAGTTTGAGACCATCCTGGCCAACATGGCAAAACCCGTCTCTACTAAAAAAAAAAAAAAAAACACGAAAAATTAGAAAAATTAGCCGGGTGTGGTGGCAGGCACCTGTAATCCCAGCTACATGGAAGACTGAAACAGGAGAATTGTTTGAACCCGGGAGGCAGAGGTTGCAGTGAGCCGAGATTGTGCCATTGCACTCCAGCCTGAGTGACAGGGCAAGACTCTGTCTCAAAAAAAAAACCAACCAACCAACCAAACAAACAATCAAACAAAAAACAACAAGACCAAACAAATTTAGCTGAGTGTGGTGGTGCACGCCTATGTCCCAGCTACTTGGGAGGCTGAGACAAGAAGATTCCTTGAGCCCAGGAGAACAAAGCTGCAGTGAGCTATAATTGTGCCATTGCACTTTAGCCTGGGTGACAGAAGTAGACGCTTCTGGGAAAAAAAAAAAGTTTTCAAAGAATGTGCATTTATTCCTTTACTCTCACAACAAATATTAATTGAACACCTGTGATATTAACTGAGAATATAAGAGTGAACATAAAATAGTTCCCATCTACCTTCTGAAAAGGAAGACAGATAATAATCAAATAAACAAGTTAACAAATGGACACATAAAATGTTGGCTAGTAATTAGTGCCACTTTTGAGCTTAGAATTTTATCAGAGAAGTCTTTCAAACTTCCAAACGTTTTTCATGTTGGCATTTTCCAGGAAATAAAATAGCTTGAATATCATTTGAAGAAAATAGTAAGAAATGCAAAACTCTCTGATTGGAATTGGGCGTTCAGATACTATACTTTGTAGGGCCTGCTTAAATAAGGAATCATGGGAATAAAATAACAATGTTATTCAATATCTCTACACATTTTGGAGCTCTATTTTATAAAGAAATGTTCCACTCCTTCAAGAGAAACTTCACTGAAATAAAAGTCATAACTAGTATTTCTTAAAAGAGTAAACATACAGATGAATGAATGTACACTTTTAATACTTAGTCAGGTTTCACACTGCTATGAAGTTACTATCTGAGACTGGGTAATTTATAAACAGAAGAGGTTTAATTGACTCACAATTTCACATGGCGGGGGAGGCTTCAGAAAACTTACAATCATGGCAGAAGGCAAAGGGGAAGCAGGCACCTTCTTCACATGGTGGCAGGAGAGAGAGAGCACAGGGGAAACTGCCACTTTTAAACCATCAGATCTCATGAGAACTCACTATCACGAGAATGGCAGCAGGAAAACCACCCCCATGGTACAATCACCTCCCACTAGGTTCCTCCCTTAAAGCATGGGGATTACAATTGTAGATGAGATTTGAGTGGGAACACAGAACCAAACCATATAATGTATGTTTATTTATGCATGCCTTTGTAGGAAAGGGAATGCTTCCTTTTCACCATCTCTGAGGGTTCACTGGAATGAACCAACAATAGATGAGTAGTAAAAAAAGGGCATACAAAGTTTATTCATATATACATGGACTTGGCAGTCCTGCAAATATGAGACCCAAGGCAGAGCCAGATGTTTGAGGCTCATATACACTCTTCATAGGGGACAGGAAAGTGAGAGACTTCAGGAAACATTACAGGGGAAGTAAATGATTTTTAGGAGAAATGAATGAGCCAAGAAAACAATGACCTGAGATAAAGTTCCTCTGAGGTCCCAGGGAGGTGGCAGGAAGGTGAGGGGTGGAACTTTACTGTGAACAATGGTTGTCATATTATGAGATAAACTCTACCAGGTAATATCCAGGAGTAAAGAACTGATGAAAGATCTACTGCGCAAGGTAACAGCTTTTAGTTTTCTCTTTTCCAGTGATTAAACTTTCCTGCTAATTTGATGAGATTCCTATGGAGGGGATCTTTAAAGGACTGCATTTCTCATGGAAAGAAGTTTACTTAGATAAGGAAATTGCAGAGAGAGTCCTTCTTTATGCTTGGGGATGGGGAAGAAACAAGAGAAGCTTACAAAGTTAGGCAGCATTTAACGCCTTCCAGTTCCTTTACTTTTTAATAATTTCAACTTTTATTTTAGGGTCAGGGAGAACATGTACAAGTTTATTACATGGGTATATTGTGTGATGCTGAGGATCAGGGTACAACTGATCACACCACCCAGGTAGTCAGCCTATATAGTACCCAGTAGTTTTTCAACACTTACCCACCTCCCTCTTTCCCATCTCTAGTAGTTCCCAGTCTATTGTTGCCATCTTTATGCCCCTGAGTACCCAGTGTTCAGCTACCACTTATAAGTGAGAACATGTGGTATTTGGTTTTCTGTTCCTGTGTTAATTCACTTGGAATAATGGCCTCCAGTTGCAAAGGACACGATTTCATTCTTTTTCATGGCTGTATAGTATTCTATGGTATATATGTACCATATTTTCTTTATTCAATCCACTGTTGATGGGCACCTAGGTTGATTCTATGTCTTTCCTATTGTAAATAGTGCTGCAATAAACATAAAAGTATATATATATCTTTTGGGTAGAACAGTTTATTTTCCTTTGGGCATATACCCAGTAGTGAGATTACTGCATCAAATGGTAGTTTGAAATTATTTGAGAAATCTCCAAACTTCTGTCCACGGTGGCTAAACTAATTTACTTTCCCACTAACAGTGTATATAGTGTTTCTCTGTTAGTCTCACCAGCATCTTTTCTCTGTTAGTCTCACCAGCATCTGCTGTTTTTTAACTTTTTAATAGTAGCCATTCTGACTGTGATATATATATATATATATCATATATATAAGTATATATATATAAGCATATATATATATATATGCATGCTTTGTACAAAGTAGTAAGTTAAATATCAAGAAATAAATAAAAACTATTATATGTACTGACAAATTATTTTTGGAACATTATATAACTATTATTATAGTGTACTGTGTAATTTTACCTATTAAATAAACAAAAATAATTCCTTTTATCTGTTTTATAAGTTTGCCTTTTAAAATATCAGGCTCTATAAGAAAATACTCCATCTAAGACCCTGGAAAATTTTATTACATTGCTGTAGGGGAAGCTCATTCTTGCAGGCCCTAGTTTGACTACTGATTCTTCTTGGCACTCAGAGAAGTCAATTATCATATTTCTAGAGCATTTATTACAGTAATATTGGGCTTCACAGGTGGAATACTGACAACTACATTCACTGTAAGTTCAGTGATAACATTTCCTAAGGGGAATAAAATATGAAATTATGCATATTTTTAATCCATGAACATAGCATTGTTATCATGCACTGTCAAAGTTATGTGTCACTGGAGGCCTAGAAAACAATATGCCTTAGGAATCATGTGCATAAGAGACATGTGTAAAGGCTATCTTTTTATCACACCAAGATATAAAATATGTTCTGGATATTGGCATAAGTATCTCATAAGATGTCAAGCAGATAGATAGTGGTATTGTTTGTAATAATTTATCATCTTTTAATGCCGAAAATTTAGCACTTTATTACAAATGACATATTTAGAAAAATAAATTTTATTTGAAAAAAATTACAGAGTAAAGCTAAATATATGTGCATGTCCTACGATCTAGCTATTACATTCTTAGAAGCACGCCCATCAGAAATGCCTATGCATTTTAACCAAAAGAAATATTCAAGAATGTTCATAGCTATAAGCTGTGAACTAGTGCAAACTGAAAACAAAATCAATAGGGTCATCAACAGAATGGGAAAATGATTGTAGTCATTCATATAAAAGCATTCTTATACAGCCAAGACAGTGACCAAACTACAACGGCATGTAATGATATGGATGTAACTCACACAAAATACTATTTTAAAAATCACATACAAAAAAGTATATACTGTATGATTCCATTTATGAAAGTTTCAAAAACAGCAGGAACCTTTGATATGGGGAGTTGGTAGCTACTGCAAGGAGGCAAAATAAGGATTCCAGGAGATGACAATGTTTTGTTTCTTGATCTAGGTTTACTTCATGAAAATCTATCTAGCTTGAATATTTTGTGTGTATTTCTGCATATTAATCTTCAATAGAATATTTAATGAGTATGTGAGCTGCCTAATTCTTTGTTCCAATTAGCCTACAGTCCAACTAAGTATATTTTTGATGAAAATAAGGTATAGCCCTCAATTATGAGTCAATATCATGTAAATTTATTTCTACTATTGAAAAAAGTTACAAATGTGCTCTAGGTAATGAGAACCAAATTATAAATAATTGTTATACGTATAATAAGTAAAAATTAATGAACATATCTAATATTTTAAAAAACATTTCATTTGTGGTTACTTTGAGATAAAAATTGATCTAGTTAGTGAACATGTGCCATTATGGTAGTTAAAGGAAGGACAAGGCTTTCATACAAAGGGGCCCAAAGGGATACCCTTTGGCCCTGAGTACCACCTGGGTATTTGATAACCCACTATTGTGGTTTTGTTTTATTAAAAAATCTCATGGGAGTCTAATTGTATAAAATTTCCACAATTGGAGAATTTGAACTCAAAGGAATTTATCTTAAGAAATCACATTTATTGAGATGTAATTTACCTGAACAAAATTCATACTTTATAAATGTATAGCTTAGTAAGTTTGGACAAATTCACACAGTCCTGTAACTACCCTAGAATCATAGTATAGGACATTTCCATCATTCCCCAAATTCCCTTGTGTTCTTTTCAGTCAATTACCTTCCCTGCAAATCTGGCTCCTGGCAACCTTTCTGTCCCAGTAGATTTTCCTTTTCTAGAATGTCATATTAATGAAATCATATAGTATGTAGCCATTTGTTGCTGTCTTCTTTAACTTAATAAAATGCTCTCAGGATGCAAACATATTCATGCATGTTTCAGTTGTTTCAATCTTTTTAAATTTATTGAAACTTGATTGCCCAGAATATCTTGATTATTTATTCTGTTATTGTAGGTTGGAGTGTACTATAAATGCTAATTAGGTTAAGTTGGTTGATAGTTCTATTCAGGTTTTTTATATTTTTTGAATCGTCTGTTTATATATTCTGCTGATTATTGGGTGAGAATTGTTAAAGTCTCCTACTATAATTGTATATTTATGGATTTCTCCTTTCAGTTCTATTGGTTTTTGCTTCATGTATTTAGAAGCTATGGATATATATATATATATATTTAAGGCTGTTATGTTCTCTTGAAAAGTTAACCCCCTTATCTTCATGTAATGTCCCTCTTTATTATTATTATTATTATTGTTTTGAGACAGAGCCTCATTGTGTCACCAGGCTGGAGTGCAGTGGTGCGATCTCGGCTCACTGCAACCTCCGCCTCCCAGGTTCAAGCAATTCTCCTGCCTCAGCCTCCTGAGTAGCTGGGATTACAGGCGTGTGCCACTATGCCCAGGTAATTTTTGTATTTTTAGTAGAGGCAGGGTTTTACTATGTTGGCCAGGCTGTTCTCAAACTCCTGACCTCATGATCCGCCCGCCTTGGCTTCCCAAAGTACTGGGATTATAGGCATGAGCCACTTCACTTGGGCTATTATTCTTAATAATTTTTCTGAAGTATCCTTTCTGATACTGACCATTGTGATGGTTAATTTTACATGTTAACTTGTCTAGACTATAGTGCCCAATTGTTTGGTGAAATACAGATCTAGATGTTGTTATAAAGGTATATTTTTAGATGTAATTAACATTTAAATTGGTAGACATTGAGTAAAGCAGATCACCCTCCATAATTAGGTGGGCCTCAGCCAACCAGCTGAATGTCTTAAGAGTAAAGACTGAGGTTTCCCAAAGCAGCAGCAATTCTTCCTCAACACTGCAGAATTAGAAACCATGCCTGTGTTTCCAGCCTGCAGATTTTGTACTGAAGACTGTAACATGAACTTTTCCCTGAATTTCTACCCCGTCAGCCTGATCTGCAAATTTAGGACTGTTCCCATAAAAATGTCAGTAAATTTCTTAAAATCAATCAATTCATCTCTCTTTCAGTCTCTCTCTCACCCTACCGATCTCTCTCTCTCCCTACCTCCGTCTCCTCCTACCCACTTTCTCCCTCTGTGTCTCAGGCTTGTGACTGCTGCTTTTCAAAGCCCCGATCCTAGACAGGCCTGTGCATCTGAACCTCAGAGTATGGGCTTCTCAGAATTTCTTTCCTGCCTCTTCATGTCAGCTAAACTCTGTTTTGTATTTTTTGATGTGTGTGTGTTGTGGGTGCTTCTTGCCATGGTGGGGAGAGAGTTTGTGTTTTTTGTTTGTTTTATCTCATGGGAGTCCATTTGCATAAAATTTCCAAAACTGGAGAATTTGAACTCAAAGGAATTTTTCCCTTTAAGTTCCTTCTCCAGTAGCAGCAGACCGCCTCTGCTTCTGTATCAGCACAGGAATCTGAACTGGGCATGTTTCTTGCTCCTCTTTCATTGGCAGACAATTTTTGCTTCTACCTGTCCCCCAATAGCAGCAGACCTTTCCCCTGGACCAGGGCACAGGAGTGCTTCCTGTCCTCCTCTAGCAGAAGATAGCTTTTGCTTCAATGAGAGGTGGGTGTGACAAGCATGTGGAGTATCTTGCCTGTCCTCTGTGGTCTCCCGCCTGCCCTCCATCTTTTCTTTTGAGCACATGGTGGAAATCTGTGGAAATTATCTGGTGTGGAGGGTGGAGGTGCTTTTGTGCCTTATGTCCAGTACTCCTAGGGATTCTATTCTGCTACACTAGCCTACATTTGACCTTTGAGATTTCATTAAAATGTTTATTCTTTGCTTCTTACCCATTTTAATGGTTTCCATCTCTTTCTCCATTGCTCTGCTAAAGGTGTGCCCTGCCTCTCTTTGAAGGTGTTTATGGCCCCTTTGGAATTCAGTTCATCTATTTTTTTGTGACTTCAGTTCTCTGAGGGGTTCAGAAAAAGTTATCGTGTCACTGTTCTTCTTTGCTCTCTTCATTAGGGGTTAGAGTGACATTCTTATAAGGCTTCTCATTTTTTAAGTGAAGCAGAACTTCTCAAAGGAAATTTTAAGTCATGGAATGAAGTCAATTTTATAACTTTCATTTCTTTTCTTACCCAAATTTAGACTATGAATTGAAGGCTGTTTCTTAATCTTTTAAAAATCCTATTCTTTATTTTTTCACATACAAACCTCATAACCTTCTTTCAGGTTATCTGAAACTCAAAAAAAAAAGATAACATATGAAACAATGCATCAAAGCAAAGAAACAAAACATGTTTAGTTTTAAGTACTCGTCCCAGTTTCCTAGAGATGATAGGACTTGCCTAGTTACATGTAATAAAACAAAAAATGCTAAATATTTGTTGTATGAATGAATAAACCCAAAGTTAGCTATTAAGTTAAACAGAATTAAAATTATTTGGATACCAAATGTTCCAGATACCAGGAGAGAAAAAAAATCCTAGCATGTTCTGGAACCAAAACACTGTAAGTTGCAGTCTCTTCTCTCATGAACTAATGCACTGCCCTGCACCCTCCTCCCACAAATAAACATACATCTGCTACCAGGTAATCATCCAATCACCTTTATTTCAAACTCAATTCTAATCACTTTTTAAAAAGATATTTTGGTTGTAATAACCTATTAGATTTCCTGTCCTTATCTTTGCCGATTAACCTAAAGCTGAGTCTCTTAGCCTCCAACTACTAACTTAGACCTGCATCAGGTCAGAGACAAATAGCTTCCTCTGCCACACTCTGGTTTCATTTGCAAAAGCAATTCAGTATAATATAGGCCCTTAAAACTTTGCTCTACTCCTGAGTCCCAGTTCTTCTTAAGTTATTCCATACTTATTCCAGTATCCTGGTCCTTCTCTTTTTCTCTGGTACTTTGCCTTGACATGATTTCAAGCACCTAAGTTCCTCTCATTCTGTGATTCTACTTTGTCCTAACAGTTTTCTGTAAGACCAGAGTTCACTTATCAGGTTCCTGTAACAACTGAAAACTGTCTTCCTGGCAGCCTGAATCTCACCATCTCTGTTCTCCACCTCCTCTTTACCATGCTTCTAACTCCTGTTGCTAGGCCCATTTTAGCTCTTGTTGAAGATTTCCTACCCCTGAAACTGTGATTATGTATTATCTCTTTCTGTGTTCTCTGCTTGCCTGAACTCCCTCAGGTCGCCTGCAGCTGAGTGTACCCGTGTCATCCAGCCACCTTGGTGCAGTTTCCAGGATTGACCCCTCACTGCTTGCCTTTCCTTTTCTTACCATATTAAAGCTATCTGTCTCAGCAATCTTATCCATAGTGCTGATTTTATGTTAGGATCATAAAGAAAATATATAAATTATACCAGCAAAAATAATTTCAGTTCTCAACCACTAACCTGACTGAATGCCGTAGCTGGGAAGAATGCATTTCTTTCTCAGCAGACGGTTGGGACAATGCTCCTTATTCTCTTTCTGGCTAGTCTCTGTTGTATTTTTCATCTCATTGCCTTGTCGGTTGGCAGTGAAATGTACAGGGGTATAGAAGAAACATGGTGAGGAATAGAGAAGAAAAACAAAAGAAGAGAGAAGCTTCCAATTTCATTAAATGAGACCATTGGCTCTCCTCACCATCCTGCCAGCACACCAGTCTTCCATATTAGGTGCAAAACACACACATACACAGACACAGAAGATTTAAGAGTTTTATTAGAGAGAATATAAACTGGAGGGAAAGAGAAAGGGAAGCAAACCCTCATCTTGTCATGTTTTATGTCACAGCTAACGATTACTGTAGTATGTTCATTATGGAACCTAATTATTGGTCTTAGCAAATGTGTACCTTAATTATAGTCATTAATAAATGAAAGAGATTTTGTATTTCCAAGAGCTACATTAGACACCAACCTTAATGTTCTTACTGTTAAACAAAGAGAGAAATCTTTGTTTAAAAATAAGCAGAAGTGTAAAAACTGAATATTAATGTATATTTTAATTATTTGTAAAAGTGTATATATTAACTATTGCTTCCTTTTAAAATTTAATAAAAGTCAATATGAAAACAAATTTTCCAGGAGACCCTCCCTTCATCACTACTACACCCTTGTTTTCCACATTCCACACAACCCAGAAGAAGGATCAAACAGCTACACCACAATCCTCACAGTAGTCCTGGCTTCACCAGGAGCCTATTCACTGTTCCAAATCGGAATGGTCTTTCTGCAAAACAGACAATTGCCACAACTTTGAAATATTATCTATTACACATTTTAACACAGCCAGATATTACCTGAGACCCTCAGCCAGTTCTGCAACCAAATAACTTAGACCAATATCAAAATATTTGAGCTAGGTAGTTAGTTCTGCTCCCCACCCTAGTACTTCCGCACCACGAAACTAAAGACCAGTCTTTCCCCAGAGCTCTCATTCTTTTGATACACTTTGCTGCTTGTTCCTCCTGCTGTATTGACTTCCTTCCCTCAAACTCTTCTGAATTGTCCTCTATATCTTCAAATTATCTTATGTATTAGCTGAGCAGATTTTTCTTTCTTTAAGGAGGTGACACCTGTCCTCACATTTGTACCACTTGGATATGGTGGAAGAGGGGTGACTGCATTCTCTTGGATAACTGTCATCTCTTATAATGTCTTATCTTCTCTGAAGAGTCATGCCATAATGTCATATGAGTCTACTTCCTTGCCACTACAATCATTTGAATTTTCAATAAATTACTTAAACTTGCCAAAATTTGGGAGACCTCATACTCTTTCTTTCCATCAGAACTCCCACTATAATTTTAGAAGGCTTCAGGATTCATGTAAATGAATTATCCAATACTCTTAAACCAGAAAATCCTGGACCTTCTTAATGTCCATGCTATTCTCAGTCTACTTTGGCAACAAAATAATAATGTTATATTCTATTTATCACCTTAAATGGCTCTATTTAAAACAATGTAAATACCAGCATTCCATAGTCTGACAAAAGCCTCTAACTATCCTTCTCTCTTACTCTTCTGATCCATGGAACTTCTTAAACAGAGAGAATATTATCTTTTTGATGAATACTTTCCTCTTGACCTGTCAGCCCCCTTAGGGCTTCTATCCTTTTCGTACGATGCGTGGGTGCCATGGTGTATGGTTTATCATCTAAACTAACCTCTCACCAGCTTCCTCAATTATGAATACCATGAATCCCATCCTTCTACCACATACAACTAGAAAAATTCCAAATATAAATCAATTATATAGCCTCCCACCTGATTTCTAGAAACAGAGTTAATGTTGTTAAAGGAAAACATGCACATCTACATATAAACACATGCATGTCAATACCATTAACATTGATAAACCATGTCTCCCCCTAAATAAAAGTGCATCATGTGGGCCCTTGGAATTGTTCATCAATCTTTTCACTTTTTCTTAGCTTCTCTTTTTAATTGTAATTTTAAACTTCCACAATATTCCCACACAACCTCTCCCATTCTCAGCAAGTAACCTTGCTGCTTGTTTTCATTGGGAAAATTGAGAACATCAGTTATTTACATTCCTCCTCTCCTGTCACCTTCTCACCACAAATACCTTAATTGTTATATAATTATTTTCTCTAGTATTGGATGTAGTACCTCTTTTTTCATTTAGAGCTACTGTGTTATTAGCAGAAATATCTAAAAATGACCTTAGATGTTTCCTGTGGGTTGCATGGACAATGAGCTTGCTAGGACCTGGGTGAGTTTTTCCTTTTTCCAACTTACAGTACATACCCAAGTCCACCTTTCCACAGAACCAAAGACTTCTTCTCTTAGCCAGGGTGAATCAGAGAATCTCTCAGACCTTTCAGATTCCTATTTCCTTAGATAGAGAATATCTAGCTTCCCCAGAGAATTCCTAATAATTGGCAAGCACACAAAATCCAGATTTCCCGATGACATAAATCCAATGTATTCCCTTACTGTCAAGGCCACTTCTCATGCTTGCTCTGTTAATGGGGAGACACACAGAGGTGAGGTATTCTTTCACCAAAATGAAAACATGCATGTCCAGCAGATGCCCTGCTCCTGGCATGCTGCACTGTAGAATGATAATGAGTCAAGAGGCCCTTTTACATCTTTGTCTTGCTGATCCCAGTCATGCCAGATTCTCCTTTTTTCAATAAAACTCTACCATTAATCTATGATGTGCATTTTTTTTCCAATTTCTAGCCCAACTTGAGACAACTCCAATAGAACATGGGGCCTGACAAGAGCCAGCACTTCTTAAATTTAATTGTAGACACCTCAACAAGGATCTTAGATCATTAGACACTTTTCTGTATCTTTACTCTTCTATCTCTGCTTCTTTAACTCTCCTTATCTAATTCTCCTTTATTTTAGCCTACATATACATGAAAGATACCTCAGTTCTAAAAAATATAAACAAAAGCAAAACAGTACTACATGGATCCTGTCATCTACTTGGCCTACTCATAATCTTTCCTATTTGCCATATTTGAGGCAAAAAATACATATTGCTTTCTTTTGTTTCCCACTGAGATATCCTCCTAGCCTTAGGCTTGCAACCCATGGTCCATACAACAGCCAAAGTAGTCACATATCACATCACATGAACTTCTTCTTAAAAATCTTTACTGGTTTTGATTTAGAAATTGAGCTCATCCTCCTATACCCCCGGTCTCTGATAACCTCTCACTCACTAAACTATAGCTATACCATTCTTTCCTCTTTAAGGTGTGTTTTCCAGTAAATGTTCTCGTTTGCTTGTAAACGAGTGGCTGTTCTTTCGTTTTTTAGTTTCTGCCTTAGGATCTTTGCATTTGTTGTTTATGCTGCCTAAAATGTTCTTCCACAAAATTTTGAATGTGTTTACTTGTTAACATGCACCTTACTTGGTAAATGTTCTTGTTTACCTGCAAACAAGTGCTCAGAACAATACTCAGCACATAGCAGGTACTCATTTTAACAAACACTATTCTTCCTTATAGAACAGCCTCATTCATACGTGGCTTTACTCATGGCCTCTTCAGTAATTTAATCCATAACTTTACATGGGTAGATCTCATTGTCCAGTGTCTCATTCTTTCCGTGTTTCTTGATTCTAATTTAAAGTGAGTCTGTATTGCATCTTGTTTTCATTTGGGCAGAATATTTGGCACCAAGGCCTATCATAGGTCACTAGCTAGGTGAAACAATAAATAGAAAATATACATCACAGTCATATTTAAGTTGACAGGTCTTTCAGTATAAAACAACCAGTGTAAACCAAGAATCTTCACTGCAAAGAACTTTATGAATTAATGCATTATGAATTAACACAATTTAGCTCAAGCTTATCTTTAGTCCTAATATGTCTACTCTGTAAATTAAGGCACACCTTAACTATATAGTTATTACTGCCCTAAGCAGAAGTTTTCAAAGCCCTTTATAAATATCTTGCTTCTGGATGAAACTGATGATAGTGTGGCCATTCTCCTGTACAATTACTTTTTCCCACTTGACAAGAAAATAGGTTGTGTGGTTTTTACTTTAGCACATTTTCGACACTTTTGCTGGAAGGTAAAACATTGTGCCTAGCCCATTCATCAAGTCAGTCTCATGAAGAAAGGGAATGTACTAGAATAAAAGAGACTTTGTTCAAGGAGGCAATTGGATGTACAAGTCTAGAGGTCAGTAGAGAGAAGTGGGCTGGGATAGGCACTTGGGAAGCTTCATCATAGAGATAACATTGGGAGGTGACAGAATGAATGGCACTATGTAGGGAAATGTTGAGGGGAAAAAAAAAAGAAAACAAGTGGTCCTATGATTTCTGACATCTGCAGGTGGAGTCGAGGACAAGAATCTCCCCCTCCAAATAGACTAAAAAGCAGTGCAAAGAAAAACATGAAGGAGTATGGAAGCAAATGAGTCAAGGAAAGATCCTGTTTTAAGAAGAAAAACACAGTAATCTTTGTCACATAATACTGAGAGTTTAGGACCAAAATAGTGTGTTAGTTGGTAAAGAAGAGTCAAATTTACTGGATAAAACTATTTTCTTTGTCATAGTTAGGATAAGCCAGATGTAGAAGGTTAAAGAGTCAGTGGGATGTAAGGAAGTAGATTTTTTTAAAGGACTGAACAAAACAACACAACAAAAATGTGAATTGATATGGAAAACAGCTAATGTATCCGTGATCTTTGAAAACACGCATTAATTAGCCATGGCATTTACTGTTTAGTAAAGAAACACATGTATCCCTTTGGATTGATGTTTTAAAATTGTCTAGAGACTAGACAAATTAATTTTATTTTTTAACTTATTAAAGGCAAATAACTTTGTATTAGGTACATGTGATTGTATTTCGTTTGTAACATTTGTAATCTTTTTAAAAAATCATCCATGCCTTAACTCAATAACTATATAATATCTTTAGTCTTTGGTTTGTACTCAGCATGTGCATAATGCTTTTAAATTTACCCCAATATTGAGTCCAATGACTACCTTTAGGAAGATATAGGAATTATTAATGTATAAATAATTAATTAAGATATTTACTGCATTCATTAAAACATATCAGTGGGAATTCCTTGTGAGAGTTTTTTTATTAAAGAAAAATACTATTCTCAGGGGATACATAAACATTATGATTAATTTAATTCCAAAATCTCATTTAAGCTAATATTTTCCATCTTTACCATTACAAAACATGTTACACGCTATTACAAATATCCAAATTGTTTGTTTTGGTTTAATCTAATAATGTAAAACATATTAAAGCACTTTAACTGTAAACATTTACCTAAGTAATGGCTACTTCTGCCATCTGGTGGCAGAATTAAAAGTTATATTCATAATTCTTATCAAGCCTGTAAACCAGGCCTCACTAAGCAATTCTAAAATAATCTCCCACATTGCAAGTATCATCTTTCACTTGAAAAACTTAAACATTTACAGGTGTTTTTGTTTTTGTTTTAGTGGGATGATGCTCTCTAGTATTTATTGGAACATTGATATGTGTGTGCTGAGCACATTAATAATGTTGCATGCTGACAAAGAAACCATCAATTTTATATCAGCAATCAAGTTATACATAAAACCTAATAATAATTTTATCCATATATGCTACATATAAAGCGATTTCCAGCATATCTAATTTTCAAGAATTAATAACCATTATATCTAAAGTAAGCTTTTAAAAGGAATGACGTTTTACTATACAACCTGGTATTTATAATTTGCTACACTGCCTACAACTTGGCTTTTTACCATGCCTTAGGCATTATAACAACCATTGCTATATGAAAATATTTTAAAATTTAAAAATAGTTTGAACTCTGAGCAAGTTTATTTGCATTATAGACATTTTACTGTATTTTTATATTGGGATCTTCTCTTTAAGAAATTTGAAAGGTTATGTGTAATTATGTGTCAGAGAATCACAGAATGGAGGAGTTGGAAGGGCTCTCAGACATCAGAAGGTTTGTTTCTCTGCCCAAAAGATGAATATTTTCTACACTATTATTATAAGTGGTTATCCAGCTCTGCTTATATAATTTCAATAATAGGAAAACTCTGCTACAGTTTCGACAACACCCCTCCTCAGATAACTCTTCTAAAAACCTAAAAGGTACTTCCCTGTATCTTATCTCTATTGGCCTTGGTTGGTTCTCTGAAGCCCTGTCAAATAAATTCATATTCTTCACTATTTGAAGACAGTTGCCATGTTTTCACCGCCCACATATTCTTTCCTTTAGGGTAGACATACCTAGTATTCTATTCCTCACATGCCACATCAGTTTCTCCACCAATCTGGTCTTTCTCTCTTTTTCTCCCAGTTTGAAAATATAGACCCCAAGACTGGCCTCTCCTTTCTTGGTGTCATCTGACAATCAAATCAAACTGCTGGTGTTTACCTGGGAGCCCTTTCTATGTGTGCTCTTCTTCTTTCATATCAGACAACTCTGATTAAAGGGAGAAGCCCCAGGTCAGGAAGTAGAATTCTGAGCTTGAGTTCCAACTCCATTACTTATTAGCTCTGTGGCCATAAATACATTTGACAATCTCTTTGACATTTATACTCCTCAACAGTAACATTGGTATTATAATATGTAATGAGCTACAGCCCATTAGCTACATTACAGCCAGCTAAAATTTCCAATAAGCCATTCTCATTATGTTCTTCCCTTCTTAAAGTCTTTGAATGGCTTCCGTTGCTCTGAGGATGAAGATAACGCTTCTTAGTTTGGCTTAAGAGGCACGACGTGAATTGGCCTCCAGCATCCTATCTGGCCTCATCACGTGTCAAATTTCCCAGAGCTCTCTCCTTTCAGGCACATCCGTCTTCTCTTGGTTTCTTATTCTCACCATCCCGCACAGGGCTTATGCTTCTGTGCTTCCTGTCTCGTAATCTTAGTTAGTTAGTTAGTTAGTTAGTTAGTTAGTTAGTTAGTTAGTTAGTTGAGACGGAGTCTCGCTCTGTCGCCCAAGCTGGACTGCAGTGGCGCGATCTCGGCTCACTGCAAGCTCCGCCTCCAGGGTTCACGCCATTCTCCTGCCTCAGCCTCCCGGGTAGCTGGGACTACAGGCGCCTGCCACCACGCCCAACTAATTTTTTGTATTTTTAGTAGAGACAGGGTTTCACCGTGTTAGCCAGGACGGTCTCGATCTCTTGACCTTGTGATCTGCCCGCCTCGGCCTCCCAAAGTGCTGGGATTACAGGCGCCAGCCACAGTGCCCGGCCCTTATAATGTTCTTTAGTAGCCCTCCTTCCTTACTTACCCCTTGCCCATCCTTAGTCAGAGATAAAGAATTATTTCCTAAGAGAATCTTCTGCCTACCTCCCCAACCAAGTTAAAATCACCTAAGGCATGGGTTTGTGGCACCATGTACTTCCTTCCACTCATTCGGCTTCTTTTGTTTGTGTAATTACTTGACTATGTCTGAGTCCTCTAGCAGATTTTAAATTGTATGAGGGCCAAGACCTCATCTGTTTTTTTGTGCCCAATTTTCCCCTAGTACGTGGCCCACTACTTGATCTATAATAGGTCATCAATAAACATTTATATCATATAAATTGTAATTCAATACTGACAAAGAAACTAAAAATTAAGAGTTGGAGAGGCTGGAAAGAGGAAAAGCCCAGGGATATGAATTTAGTATTTAGCAGTGGATCTCCCCTCAAGGAATTTTCTAATTCTGAGATGCAAAGGATCAAAGCTAAAAAGTTAGAGACTCAAGGCCTGTGCCATGAAGTCTGGCTGATTTGTTTGTTTATTTTTGTATATACTGAGGTGGGAGGATCCCTGGAGCCCAGGAGTTTGAGGCTGCAGTGAGCTAGGATGGCACCACCGTGCTCCAGCCTGGGTGACAGAGCGAGATCCTTCCTCTAAATATATACATACATAATACATTTTTAAAAAAAGTTAAAGAGAAAGCCACTGAAAAACAGAGTAAAATTTTCAGTAGTCTTTTGGTGCTAGAAGACAAAAATTGGAGGTAAGAACCTAGTGAACACCTCGCGGCTCTGGATTGGGAGCCCTGGAACTATTCATATATTTTGCTTTGTTTTGTTTTCCTTCTTTTTTCAAACGTTTTTTTCTTTTAAAAAAATCTATCTGGAGGCTTTGATTTTTGAGCTTACTTATAGTCTCTCAGAAGAGACAGAAAGACAATGGGAAGTCTAGCTTATGATACAATTCCAAGGTAAAATCTGTCTCTCACTCCCTTCTCACCTCTGTATTTTCCCCCTTAGGATAAAGAACATCAAATCTTTGTCACAAGATATTTTGTCTCACTCCTCTATTTATGATGCCTCATTATTCTCTCATTACATTTTAGTAGGGTAATCTTGAGTTATGCACTCTCAAGGAATGGGACATCTCTGCCTTTTACAAATTATGTCCAATCTGTCATCTTGCCATATTCCAGGGGACTTTCTATCTCATGTCTATAATTGACTATTAAAGGTTATCTGTCCATTGTCCTACTTGTAGGATACATACATTTCTTGGAATTACCTGGCTTACTCAAATTTTCTGTTATTCACTTATTTCTACTCACACAGATATTATAAAGATATATCTACTTCATAGACAGATATAGGTTATACAAAAAAAAAACTCCAAAAGATTCCTACGTACACTGCCCTGAAGTATAATCCAGATGAGACCAATTACTACCTATTCAGTTATGGTAGCTGCCCAGAATAATTTTTATCTTCTTCTATAGTAACTTCAGCCCCTGATAATTTCTATATTTTCTTCTATTTTGCAATTTTAGTCTACTTTTTTTTTCTGGAAGTGATAACAAGTGGTGAAAGGAAGACATTAAGATTAAAAAAAGAGAGAGACAGAAGTTAGAGTTTGAATAATTCACCACACAAAAATGTACAAATTAAACTCTGAGTAATCACAGTTTATATATTTTATTCTTCTTAACACCTTTGTTCCTTTTTTAAATCATGAATACTCTTAATGTTATTCCTCTTAGGGAATCAGATGTTGGTTCATTTGGTACAATATTAAAAGCATTTATTATGGTCTTTGTCTTCAGAATTAGGGTAGGTGCTTTTTTTAACTTTTCTCAAAAGAAACTATTCTTTCTCACATTGTCTCTGGAAAAAATAGTTGGCTATCTCAGAAAATTATTGGGTTATACAATCAGATCATGATAAGACACTGAACTCCAGGTATGTGTAGATAGATAGATAGATAGATAGATAGATAGATAGATAGATAGATAGATAGAGACATGAATCATTTGGGTTTTAAGTAAACATTTGCTTTCTCAGATATTCTGTTAATCAGATGGAGGGCTGGTTTTAGGCAAAATGGTAAAGAAGGGCAATGAGTCTCTAACACCTCCTCTTTGGCCAGATTGCCATCTTCACCCCAGTCCCTATCTTCTGACCACAGAGGAGATAATCAGAGAGGGACATGGCAAGAACTAAAACATTCCTCCCCTTATCATCTCTCATCAAGTCCATTTCTTCAAAACCATCTCAAGTAACTTAAAAACAACTGTATAATCTCAAGCTTTTCCTTGTAACAGAAAATAAATTCAAACAAAAAAGTGGGCTTTTCTCAGGTTCTTTTCAGACATTATTTGTGTGATGGTGACCTGAAAATGTTGTAGGTAATTTGCCTCAAATGACACTATGATTAAGTAAATGCCTATGTCTTATATATAACTTATAATGTGACTTGGCGTTTATAAAGTGTTTCATCCTGATTTTATAAATGAATAGAGCAAACTCAAACTTATCAAATAAACTAATTCTTATTCACATTATACAATTGGTTCCCACAACAATCGTCAGAAACTTAGTTATTTTTCCAAGCTTGGAATACTTTCATCCCTTCTCATATTGACACGTAAATTCAGTGGCTTATGACCATAAGTAAATGAGTTTGAGATTGAAAATTCAGCATTCTCAAAGTTCCATCTCAGAGTCTCTGTTCCTACCATTGTGCTTCATCTGTCAACCTCCATTTTCTCCTGTGATCTCCTATCTTGGCTTATTTTCTTTACCGTACTCTTTTTGAAATCAACCTTAGCACATAGGTCTACTTGGCTTGGAAGACATTTGTTTGGACAGTGTGTAAAGATCTGTGCCTCATTGTGTAATCCTGAAAAGACTGTGTGCCTTATGATTTGCAAAATATATATTTGACTGTGGAACTAATGTGGCATATGCCTGGACAATCTGTCAATCTCCTATAGTCTTGTTCTTTCTATCTTTTAGTACGTGGTGAAAACAATGGAAATAAATGACAGAATTTACTGACAGCTTTCAGATTTGTATTGCCAAGGAATACATTATTGTTTTGAAGACACCTGATTAGTAGAATCATAAATTAGGAAATAGAGAAAGTATTTATTCCACCAAAAACACATGTGGGCACGCGCGCACGCACACACACACGCAAAGCTCCTTCCTCACTCCTCTATTTAATAGTTTATTATTGTTTTCATTGTTGATTTGACAATAACTATTTTCCAGGTCTGCCAGAAAAGATCTGAAGACATATGAACACTTACAAATGTTGCACATTTGTTTTAATCCATATACATTTCAATAATACATTTTTATTATTTGTAGTATTGGCATTATTGTTTTTATGCTATTGGTGATAATGATGGGATATCAAAGTTTCAAAAATATAGCATCAATGAGAGAATAAAGCTAGAAATATAATGGTAAAGTTCTTGAGTTTCATTGCTTTTTGATTTGACTAAAATCTTTTCTGCTGCGGCAAAACACATGACACTTGGTAGAAAGCATAGCATAATATTGGCACAGCGTACTCTACTGTATTATGTGGAAGTGTAGTAACAGTTCAAGCAGAATTGGGACGTTATGTTTATACAAAGCATCACTACAAATTTGGTATGAGATTTAGAAATTTTTGGATGTAGTATACCTGTAGGCTGGTTTGCTTCCAAGACTATTTTTATTATTTAATTTTAGTTTATATAAGTCAAGAGATATTTTTAAAGAATACACTACTGTGGGATAAAGTCAACACAATAAAACATAGGAAGAATAAATGCCAGCCTCGGCAACTTAGTGAGTCCCTGTCCATATAAAAATTTTTAAAAAATCAAAACAAACGAGCATGGTGGTGTGCACGTGTAGTCCTAGATACTCAAGGAGGCTAAGGTGGGAGGATCGCTCAAACCCAGGAGTTTGAGATTACAGTGAGCTATGATTGTGCCCCCACACTCCAGCCTGGACAAAAGAGTGAGACAAAAGAAAGAAAAGAAGAAAGGGAGAGAGGGAGAGAGGGAGAGAGGGAGAGAGGGAGAGAGGGAGGGAGGGAGGGAGGGAAGGAGAAAGGGAGGGAAATATAGGGAGACAAGATGAAGGAAAGTACACAAGAAATATGGCAGAAGCATGATTTAACAACATTTAATGAGTATAAAAACCAGGATATTAGGTGATCACAAAATAAGTATAAACTGAGACTGTAATATTGCTGCATAGAAGCTAAGATTGCAGCAAATAAAATAATGAATCTCCAGAACAAGGAGGTCAATAGTCTCCCATACTTTATACAGGTCAAAGTATTCTGTCAACATCATAATTTAAGAAAGCCATAGGTGAACTAAAGAACTTTTAAAAGACAGTAAAACAGACAGTGTGAGAGCTGAAAACAGTTTTTTCTTTTTTTTTTTTTTTTCAATCCAGTCTATCACTGATGGGCATTTGGGTAGACACTGCACATGCATGTTTATCGCAGCACTATTCACAATAGCATTGCTGATTTTGTTGTTGTTATAGTAGTTATATGTTTCCTATTGATATTGACTTCCATATTTCTGACCCCGGAACCCATATATTTATTCTGAAACACTTTTATACAAAACAATTTGGCTTGATATCCTCAATTATGGATTCTGATAAGTCCTATAACAAGTTTACTTCTCTGACAAGTAATCATTTATGTTATATTTTCTATAAAACTGTTATAGAAAAACACATAAAATACAATAATAAATGTAAAAACAGAAGGCACATTGTATTGTGTTATACATGTATCCTACAAAGTTGTGCAAAAATTTGTTAAAATAAAAAAATTACATCAGAATGTCAGAATTATTTTAACAAGATGGTTGGCTCACAGATTTCCCCCTAAGTTTTCTGTAATGTTATCATTATGTATTTAGGGTGGGCTTTTCTAAACTCTCATAAAATATTTGATTCAGCAATGTCATAGGATTAAAATCAACATGTAAAAATAAATTGCATTTTTATACATTAGCAATGAACAGACTGAAAATGAAATTAGGAAAATAATTCCATCCACAATAGATTCCAGAAGAATAAAATATTTAGGAATAAATTTAATAAAATAAGTGAAAAATTTATACTCGAAACTATAAAACATTGCTGAAAGAAATTAAACAAGACCTAAATACATGGAATAGCATCCTATGTTCATGTATCAGAAGACTTAATATTGTTAAGATGGCAATACTCTACAAATTGGTCTATAGATTCAATGGAATCTCTATCAAAATCTCTGCTTTTTTGGTTTTGCAAAAACTTACAAGCTGATCCTAAAATGTCTACATAAATACAAAGATGCCAAATTGCCAAAGAAACCTTAAAAAATAACAAATTTGGAGGAATTACATTTCCCCATTTCAAAACTTATTACAAACCTACAGTAAGGAATAGGGTACTGGCATGATGACAGACATGTAAATAAATGGAATATAATTAAGAACCCAGTAATAAACTCTTACATTTATGATCTATTGATTTTTTAACAAATATGCTAGGAAATTTTAATAGGAAAGGAATAGTCTTTTTAAGAAATGGTGCTGAGACAATTGGGCATCCATTGTAAAAATATAAATTTCTACCCTTATTTCACAGCATACAGGAAAATTAAATAAAAATGGATCACGGACCTAAACATAAGAGGTAAGGTTATAAAACAGAAAACATTGGAGTAAATTTTCATAATCTTGGGTCACTCCCTGACTCATTAGATTGTATTAAAAGTACAAGTGATAAATAAACAATACACTAGGCTTCATCAGAATTTAAAAGTTTTATGCTTCAAAACATTCCACAGAGGCCGGGTGCAGTGGCTCACATCTGTTAATACCAACATTCTGGGAGGCCAAGGTGGGAGGATCACTTGAGATCAGAAGTTCAAGACCAGCCTGCCCATCATGGTGAAACCCCATCTCTATAAAAAAAAACAAAAATTAGCCAGGTGTGGTGATGGGCACCTGTAATCCCAGCTACTAGCGAGGCTGAGGCAGGAGAATCACTTGAACCTGGGAGGCAGAGGTTGTAGTGAGCCAAGATTGTGCCACTGCATTCCAGCCTGGGCAACAGTGAGACTTCATCTCAAAACAAACAAACAAACAAAAAATGCCATAGAATGGGAGAAAATATTTGCAAGTCATAAGTCTGATAAGGGATTTATATCTAAAATATATAAAGAACGCTTACAAGTCAATAACAAAAGAGTAAATAATTCAACAAATGGTTAAGGGAATTGAACATTTTTCCAAAGAAGATATATGACTGGGCAATAAGCACATGAGAAGGTACTCAGGAGTAGTCATTAGGGGAATGCAAGTAATGGCCACAATGCCATGCCCCGTTCACATCTATTGAAATATAATCAAAAGAAAGACAGCAAATGTTGATGAGAATGAGAGAAGGTGGAACACTCATACATTGCTGAAAGGAATGCAAAATGCTATAGGCAGTTTGAAAACTGTCTGCCAGTTTCTCATATGCTAAACACAGTTAACCCTATAAGACAGCAGCTCTACTCCTAGTTATCTACCCAAGAGAAATGAAAGCAGATGTCTACACAAAGACTTGTACATAAATGCTCACAGCAGCTTATTCACAATGCCCCCAAACTGGGAAAAGCCCAATTCCTCAACAATTAGTGAATGAATAAACAAAATGTGGTACACAGCCATTCATTGTTTAATGATGGGAATATGATCTGAGAAACGTGTCCTTGGACAGTTTTGTCACTGTGAGTATATCAATAGAGTGTACTTACACAAACCTAGATGGTATAGCTTACTACACACCTAGGTTATATGGTCTAGCCTATTGCTTCTAGGCTACAAATATGTACAATATGTTATTGTCTTGTATACTATAGGCATTGTAACACAATGGTATTTGTGTGTCTAAACATATCTAAACATAGAAAAGTAATGCTAAAAATCCAGCATAAAGATAAAAATGATACACATTTTCTCGGCACTATGAATGAAAACTACAGGATTGTAAGTTGCCCTGGGTGAGACAGTGAGTCAGTGGTGAGTGAATGTGAAGGCCTAGGACACTACTGTACATTACTGTAGACTTTATAAATACTATATACTTAGGCTAAACTAAATTTTCTTTTTAAAAAATTTTGTTCAATGATAAATTAACCTTAGCTTACTGTAACATTTTTACTTTATAAACTGTTTAATTTTTTAACTTTACGGATGTCTTATATTAACAGTTAGCTTAAAACATACATTGTACAGCTGTACAAAATATTTTCCTTATATTCTTATTCTATAAGGTTGATTCTATTTTAATGTTTTTTTTTTTAATTTTAATTTTTTTGTTAAAAACTTAAGATGTACACATTAGCTCAGGCCTACACAGCGTGTCAGGATCATCAATATCACTTTCTTCCACATCCACATCTTCTCTCACTAAAAGGTCTTTAGGAGAAATAACATGCATGCAGCTGTCATCACCCATAATAACCATATCTTCTTCTGAAATTCCTCCTGAAGGACCTGCCTGAGACTATTTTATAGTTAACTTTTTTTTAATAAGTAGAAGTACACTTAAAATAATAATAAATAATACAGTAAATATATAAACCAGTAACTTTATTTATTATCAAGTATTATGTATTGTACATAATTTTATGTGCTATACTTTTTTATGATTAGAAGTGCAGCAGGTTTGTTGACACCAGCATCACCACTAACACATAAGTAATGCATTGTGCTACAACTTAAGGACAGCTATGACATCACTAAGCAATGGAAAATTTTCAGCTCTATTATAATATTATGGGATCATCATCCTACATACAGTCTGTCCTTTACCAAAGTATTAGGTGGCACATGACTGTATATCCATAGAATGGAATATTATTCAGTCATAAAAAGAAATGAAGTACTGATAAATGTTACAACGTGAATGAACTTTGAAGACGTTATGCTCAATGAAATAATTCAGACATTAAAAAACACAAATTATTTACATTAAATGTCCAGAAGAGACAAATATAGAGAGATAGAAAGTAGATTAGATGTTTCCTGGGGTTGAAAGTCAGAATAGGTATGGACTTTTTTCGGGGGTAATGGCAATAGAGTAAAATTAGGTTGAGAAGATAGTTGCACAATTCTGTAAACTTACTAAAAATCCTTACATTGTAGAATTAAAATGGGCAAATTTTATGGAAATTAAATTACTATAATATATAAATAAAAATGCAAAAATATTTGAGAATCCCACGAAAGATCTGTAATAAAAATTTTTAACCATTTTGGGGGGAGTTGAATAGATTAGATGTTTTATTAAGATATATCGTATCCTCCAAAATTCTTATAATTATGTGACTTTTTTCCTTCAAAACACAATTCATGATCTGGAATACAAAGTGTATTAGTCCATTCTTTCACTGCTATAAAGAAACACTTGAGGCTGGGTAATTTATAATGAATAGAGGCTATCTGGCTCATGGTTCTGCAGGCTGTACAGAAAGCATAGTGGCTTCTGCTTCTGCGGAGTCCTCAGGAAACTTAAAATCACTGTGGAAGGTGAAGGAAAAGCAGGTACGTTTTATGTGGCTAGAGTAGGAGCAAGACAGAGGGGAAAGATGCTACACACTTTTAAACAACCAGATCTCGTGAGAACTCACCAACATGAGAACAGCACTGAGGGGATGGTGCTAAACCATTCATGAAAGATCCACCCTCATGATCTAATCACCTCCCACCAGGCCCCACCTCTAACACTGAGGATTACAACTGATCATGAGATTTAGGTGGTGACAAAGATCCAGACCGTATCACCAAGTGTCAGAAATATGAACAAGAATGAACAAACAGAAAATTGTCTGTAATTTCTAATTAAAGGATTGGCGTATTTTTTGAAGGCAGAATGTTTTGTGTGTGAAGGATATATTGATGCTAAGTAGAAAAATGTTGAAAGCATAAGGATTTAGTTTGCCACTGATGGGAAGACATAAAAGTGTAGAAATGACTAGTGGTATTAGTAACCTTTTTGTGTATTTGTCAATTACATTACAATTTCACATACTGAGTACTGTGTAAATAGCTTATATATATTAATCTACAGATACAAACATATCATGAAAATAATTTCTTTTCCAGAATTTGCCAATAACAATTCTTAATCATTGCTAAACATAACATCTCATTACTAGTAAGATTTACAGAGTTTATCTCACAACTACCACATTGAACAGAACTTTCTTACACTTTGAGAATGAACTTTCAATTATCTATAATGATATACTGAAATGGGGCTTATCAATAATTTTTAAAAGTTTGCACAGGTTTTTATTCTCATCGGCTCAATTATCTTCAGAGTCTTTCATCATCATTTGCTACATGTTCAGAGAATGCATATTAATTTTAATAGTGGTCCAGTAGAGAATAAATTAACATTCTAAAGCCAAATTTAAATAAATTTTAGGTAATCTAAAGCTTTAGATTCATGCCATTTATTAATTTCAGGAAAATCAGAGCATGAAATTTAAGACAGATCTGTGTTCTAATTCTATGTCTCTTATCAACTGCCATCTTAGATGTTTATCTTATCCAAATTTGTTTTCTCATTTGCTGGATGCAGGGCATAGTTTTAGTGTATTTTTCGAAGAGTTATTGTTAAGATCAAAGTGATAATGCTGTAAAAGTTACTAAATAACAAAGTTACTAAACAAAATGTACCTATCTTGTGAGATTTCAAGTATATTCTCTGAACTATAGTTTGTTCTTTAGCTACCAGTCCAACAACATTTTTTGTCCCCATCTCAATATCTGCCTTTGGAGATAAGTATTTCGGGAAGAAAAGTTTAAAACAAATGATATAATCAACATAAGGGAAAGGAAAAAGTCAAAGCAAAGTACCCAAAAAGACCAGGAAAGGGAACATGCAGAAAAGGAATCTATTCTTAATAGCCCTTACTATTTACAGAGAGCCTAGATACTTTGTTTCAAAATACTACTTATGAAATTAGGCCACTGTTAGGATTTAAACAGTCATTTATATATTAAAACTGTACAATGTGCATATAAGTTATGTCCAATAAAAACTCACTTCTTGAATAAACTCATACAGAAAAAACTGCTGAAAATATTGACTTTTTTGTTGCTGTAATTAAAATAATTTTTATTTCAAATTCAGCGAGTCTTTTTAGAATACAACAGGAGAACTACTCTCCGATATTAAGAGAGTTCTAAAAAATAAACAGTTAAGGACAAAGCTTGAACTTTAATTTAATACATCCTGGACTTAAAACACATTTCACTGATGCAGTGAGCAGTCTTTATTATACTTTGTAAAAGGTTGAAAAGTTTCTAAAGTTTGGATTTGAATGTAAGATTTAAGAATTTGATGATGTTTGTGAACAAAAGACGTGGTTAAATTCAAATGTACTGGTTATTTAAAAAGGAAATCAACCTAAGACATCTGAGAAGCAATATATATTCATAATCCACTGAGAAGTGTCTCATTTATGCACGGCCCATTAATAAATTATATAGGTAGATAATGGATACTTGGAGGTATTAAGACGTTATACTTTATGACTTCTGGGATATCCAAACTGGACCACAGAGCGAAGAAACTAGCATTTCAAAGAGGCAACATTAACATTACCTTGTCTCTGAGATTCTGATTTTGGGAATAAATCTTACTTTATTCATTTAACATCTTTTAGAGAATTTCATTTTGAATTATTACTAGTGCTTACAATAGATGTAGGTAGACTATATATCTTTGTAACTTACAGAAAACTAGACACTTGAAGTCAGTTTTTCATAAGTATTTTTCAAAGGATATTAAAGTTGTCACATAGAAACAAACTGGTAGCTAGCTATTTAAAACTAAATTTGAGAGTAACTTGTATGTGCAGAAACCAGACTGGCAATTTATTTATTCAGAGTAACTGGAAGGTAAGCAGAAGGAGTGGCATGTACCTATAACTCTTTTAAAATTTTTTGACATTGAGAGGTAAGAGGTATGATGGTAGCTGACGGGTACAGGATAAAGGTTTGCATGTTTTGTTGCTTTGTATGTTTGGGGTACTGTTTATCTTAGTTTGATAGGAATAACAAAATATTGACAGTAAGAATCTAAAGGAGAAAAACTCAATGAAAATACTAGATAAGGCCGCGCGGTGGCTCACATCTGTAATCCCAGCACTTTGAGAGGCCGAGGCGGGTGGATCACCTGAGGTCAGGAGCTCAAGACCAGCCTGACCAACATGGTGAAACCCCGTCTGTACTAAAAATAACAAAAATTAGCTGGGCGCGGTGGCAGGCGCCTGTAATCCCAGCTATTTGGGAGGCTGAGGCAGGAGAATCGCTTGAACCCAGGAGGCAGAGATTGCAGTGAGGTGAGATCACGCCATTGCACTCCAGCCTGGGGACAAGAGTGAGACTTCATCTCAAAAAAAAAGAAAATACTAAAGAAGGAAAAATTACTTAAAGATCTTAGAGTGTTGGAGACGTGGGATTCAGACCTCCTGGGATTGAAGAAAAGAACACCAACATTTCACTCAGATGAGAAGCACTGGCAAGATGGAGGCCAGTTTTAGAGATGTGGCAGCTAGACACTGAGGACTGCCCAGAAGATTCTCATTTTCGGCTGGGCACAGTGGCTCATGCCTGTAATTCCAGCTACTCGGGAGGCTGAGGCAGGAGAATCGCTTGAACCCAGGAGGCGGAGGTTGCAGTGAGCCAGGATCAAGCCACTGCACTCCAGCCTGGGCAAGAGAGTGAGACCCGGTCTCCAAAAAAAAAAAAAAAAAAAAAAAAGATACTCATTTTCACTGAAAATTAGGAAGCAATGCTGTTTGATGAACAATGCTGCTAGAGTGTCCTAAGAGAAGTGAGAGGAGAACATGTTTACAATAGTCATTTCAGACTGGGGAAATTGAACTGACATGAAAAATCAAGCTTATTAGGCAGTGTGAGGCAAATGTAAGTTGAAAATTTTGTAGCACTTTAGGGCTGTTAAAACAAATAGCTGTATATGATCCTTTCAACACACTGAGGGAGGCACAACTGTTGCTCCTTTATGAGAAAACAGAACTTCAATGAAGTCAAATGGAATATTGCACAGTCAGTACAGTGAGTGCGATTTGCTTCCGTCAGCAAAAGCTATGGGATTCCTTGGCACTTTTATTTTATGTACTTAATACTATGAGCCATTGCAAAGTAGTTCTTACTTCAATTCTGTTTTCTGTAACAAACAAACCTGTAAAGTTTTGTTTTGTTTTTAATTGGTAACACTTTTAAACAACATTTCTGAGAATTTGTCTCGATGAATACTGGCTTGGTGTTTTAAGAAAAAAGAAAGACACATTTGGCTTGGGAAGCTATCTTGTTCTGAAATAATTTTGAGAAAAGTTGGCTTCCAATGTGTTGCAAAATACTCAGTCTTTAATATGTTAATGAATGCTTTAACTTCAATACAGGATGACATAATATGTACAAAATATTTAAAACATTTATTCATGAACACCTTTTTCCATTAAGTACCTTGTAGGACTTACTTTCCACAGAATAAACTTTGCAAAACGTGACTTAAAACATTTTTATACTCACTCCTAATCCTTTCCATTAAATGATAAGGGCCTGTCTTAACCATGCTTGACTTATATTTTGGAAGAATATATTTTAGAAAACCCATATGGATATTATAAATACTTTTTTATTTGAAGTATTTAACGTAGATTTCAGAATGAATATTTTTCATGTTTAGGATTAGAATGCACACATTTCTTCTCCCATTCAAGTTTCAGATTTATGCAACTCTGACCACTGCTGAGAGAACACTAGTCTAATCCCTTTTACATGGTTTAATGCTCTTATTTTGTGTATCCTTTAAGCTGTTGTCAAATAGTCTTCCGTAAATATTATGATTATCTAGTCAGGAGTTGAATCTGATGTACCATTTTATTCCTTAAAACTATTTTCTTTGTATAAAAAAAGAAGTTATACTAAAGATAAGTGACATTATTTGCTTTCCACTTTTACCAAAAATGCCTCATGATTCAAAAATAAGGGGTATATGCAAAGGATTTATGTTTTTTTTTTCAAACTTTAGTTTTCTTTAATGAGGAATTTATTTTTTCACTGCAAGGTTAAAAACAAACCCACACACACATTCCAGGTTTGGATTTGTAAAGAAGCCTTGACTGTAAGGATTTCTATATTAGTTTTGCTCTAAAAGAAATTTGGCAATCAAAATGAAGGCTTGTTTAATATTTTAACACTTATTACTATGTCCACACCACTGAAAACTCATTGCTAAATTAACCACAATTGGAGACCATTTCAAATTGCTTCTAAAAAAAATCAGTGATAATTAAACCACCAGGGATTTCTCAGTGGATACTTATGTGCTATTTTCATCTAAAATAGTATTTCTAATTTAGCTGAGTAGAGAATAGATTAAAGCAAAATACTCAGGCAGCAGCTGGATGATGAGTTAAAGTGAGACAACAAAGGTCAGAACAGGCAGAAGAAAGTTATTTCAGACATCTTGATGTGCATCTTCAACTGATGTGACATAATCAGAATTGGCCCATGACAAAATCATTATACAGGCAAAGATTACCTCTTACATCTTAAGCTACCTTCATTATTCTACCTCTATGCATATACACACATGCACACACTTAGACCATACACATAGATGCTTGAGGATGCATATGTACATATATACACAATACTGGTATGCTCACATTGTATATAATTGGTGTTTTTCACCCACAAAATAAAACAGACCAAAACAAATATTATAATAACTGTTAGAAGACTAATATTAATATTTTAAATATATTAATGAAAATATAAGTACAGAAGAGGTAGAAATTAACAAAAAAAAGAAAAATAATCCATTAAACCTTCATGAAAGATATAATATTACACCAAAAATATGCTTTTGGTTATAACGGTCTGAGTTATGGAGAACATTGAAGCTAGTGACGGCAGTTCTTTACAAAGAAAATGTTCAGAGAATGATAAATGATCCACTGGACTTGAACCTAAATAAGTGTTGAGAGTTGAGAGTTGGAGATGAGGAGTTAAAAGTTTATAGAAGTGAAATTATAGAGCTGAAAAGATAATTTTGGAAACTATCGTGGAGAGTCTTGAATGCCAAAAAATTGCATCTTATTTTATAGGCAGTGATGAATCATCAGTGATGCTTAATAATAAAATTCATGATTAATTTATGAGAATAATTTTGGCCATAGAACAAAGGTACTCCACTGGGGAAAGAACAAGGGAGTGGATGATGTTGTGGAATTAGAAGGTAACTAAAATAGCAATAATCAAGTTGAATAATACTGAGGGGACAAAAAAGATGAGAGATCATTTTTGAAGGGCAGATTTTAATTAATATAAGTGGTTAAGAAAGATCTAGAAAAGTGAAGAATAAAAATAATACCACAGTTTTGACTCAAAATACATTGGATGATAATGATATCGTTACCGAAAATTGGAGAAATTAGGGATTTACAAATTATTTTTAACTTCCCTGCTTTAAAAAGAATTTGAGGCAAAAATAGGTGAGTATATTTTGGGTTTGAAAGTGAATAAGTAGATACATTCAATTTTAGTTGAAAAATCAATCTATTTGGAAATTCTAGCATCATAGAGCTTACGGACAAAGTATAATGGAGATACAAGAAAACCAGGGAGGGTTCCTTTGCAACAAAAATAACCATTACATCGTGTGAGTGAATAAGGTTATCACTGAGCCGAACTGTCAAATGTTGAATGTTGTGCTGGAATGGTTTGTCTTTTTAAGCTGCTTTTCAAATAAAAGATAACACATAAATTGGTCTTCAAACAATGTCTCCAACAAAATAATCACCTTGTGTGTATTTTTCAGGAAAGATGCCACACATACTCTCAGATAAATCTGAACATAAAGGCAATGATCATTCTCAGCATTGCAATATTACTTTTTAAATGAGCATAACTATTAGTCATTCTTATTGGAATAAGATATTGGAAAATCTCAATGATAAAGCACATAAATGACTGAAGTCAAATTTATTAAAATGCTGATAAAACATCAAGACCCACACTAACTGTCAAAAATGGTGTTCATCTTACTAAGTTGTTAACCCAAAGTGAAATACTATAGCCTACAGAAAGGATGGTTTTACTTCCAACTTCAAAGTAATTAAATAAATGAGTACACTTATTGAAAGGATTTTTAATCTATTTTTCAATTCCATACATGCATTTTTAAGTGCTTCAGTACAATTATGGTGATTAAAATGGTTCTTCCAAATTATTTGCATTCAATTGCTTATCTTTAAGTATACTGACATTCTTCTTTCAGTGACAGAGAAAACAGGAAAAACGTTCAGACTCCTGTTTTTCATCTATCTTTATAAAGCAAATGATGCTATAAAAACAGAGAGAAGGAATTATACTACTTAGAATTAATATAAATGGAAAGATTCTACCTATGGAAATTGCACAATAATTTGAGAATCACTCATAAAGACGTCACACAAGTATATCATCAATGTCACATCCATAAAACAAGCAAACAAAAACAAATATAAGAGCTGAGAGATGGGTTTAGATGTTGTCTTATTCCTTTCAGCATTTATTAATAATTGAGTATATTCTAGGCAATATTTGAAGCAAGTTTTGAACAGAGGGATTAAGTCAGCCTATACCAAAGGTCCCAGTGATGTAGTCTATTCTAAGGCCTTCCTGTGAAATTTAGCATATCAGGCTCCTCTAGGGGAAGAATTTATGAGTCTCCTAAAAGGAAAAACACTGTGGATATTGGCTATGAGATATAGAATTTATGTAAATAATTTTCTTAGTGTTTCTAATTAAATAAATAACAAAGAATCTTGCACAGAAAGAAAAGGAAGTAGAGATAAACACTACCACAAAAACAATAACAACCCCTAAAATTCCATCATCACAGGGTTACCATTACCAATAGCTTAGCATAAGTTTTCATAATGTTTATATTTATATACATATGTATATATGACTTACTCATATGAGATTTGTATAAATGTGATTGTGTAGCTTATTTCCTTTTTATAGGTTATTATGACCATTTACTTCTATAAATACTTATATTGACTATATAAAATTCAGCTGCTTAATGTATTATAATTTATTTAACTCTTAATTTTTAGTTGCTATGATAAACAACATTACAATAGCACATTTGTACTTAAATTTTTGGATTGGAATCCAATAAATTTCTTAGAATGAGTGATCGAAACTGCTGAGTCAAACCTAAATCTTTCATAAAGGTTAAATTATTCTGTGTGAATATAATGATGATTCAATCCAATAGTGCCTAAGAGTGCCAATTGTCCTATCAACAACACCAGCTCTTATGATTCTTTCTTATTATTTGCACATATATGTTAGTCTTTCTCAAGTAGTGACATGCTCTTCTAGGATTTTTGGACATCTTCAAATATATAGTTTTCACGATAAATTTTTGTGATAGTATCCAGATTTTTAATTCCTAGAAGTTGTATTCCTATGTAAAAGAGTATGTGATTTTAAAATTTTATTTCATAGTATAATATTGCCATCCAAAAATTGTTGTATCAACTGCCACTCCTAAAAACAATGTATAAATTTCTATTCCTTTTCCACCTATCATGAGGTTACTGTAAAAATTTTAAGATGTTTTCCAATTTAATAATAAAACAAATCTGAATTGTTCATATAATTTAAAAATCATTTAATTATATTTTATCCTATAATGTAATTTGATACTTATAACCCACAATGCTTTCCCACTGCCCATAAAATAAAGGGCACATGACTTACATGGCTATCCAAAATCTACAGCCTTCCTATCTCCAAGCTCACCTCACCAAATTTCTCTTGAATTTGGTATTGTAGCTATATTATATTTCATTCAGTTTCTCACACACATCTAAACCCAAGTCATGAAAGAAGCTAATATATGAAAATTACTTAGAATAAGGTAAAAATTCAGTAAATAGTAGCTTAGTAGCTCTTGGTCTATTTATTTATATCTTATAGTTTCAAAAGCAAATAGAAAGCATCAATACCATTATCACTCATCAACTTCTACTTCTTTATCCTCAGAAAAGTATGAAGTCTTGTATTTTTTAAATTTTCTTTATTATTATTTTAAGTTCCAGGGTACGTGTGCAGGATGTGCAGATTTGTTACATAGGTAAACGTGTGTCATGGTGATTTGCTGCACCTATCAACCCATCACCTCAGTATTAAGCCCAGCATACATTAGCTATTTTTCCTAACGCTATTTAACTACTAGTACTCGACTTGGATATGAGACATTAAACTTAATATTGATTATGTAAATTTTCTTAGACCTTTCACACAAAAATGTTGGTAATCAATTTTACTAATAAATAACCTTCATTTGTTTCCATACCACTTATATCATTTTTATCACTTTCCACATGAAATTATTAGAATTGTTTTAACTCTAGTAACTATTACTAATTGCAAATTCCTCAATAAATTTATTGTATTATTCCCAGTTTTTATACACTATTAAATTAAGGCACAATGAGGTAATTAGAACACAGCTCAAATCAGTTTTTAAATATCAAATATATTGTTTCAATATATTTATTTCCCATTAATCTATGCTGAACACATTATTAGACATATGTTAAGCTCTTAGTCAACTATTATTCATAGAGCTTTTCTGCCATATGTTTTATGAATACACAGTTTGCATAGCTCTACATCATCTTCTATCTGAGGCCACAAAGTGTTTGTCATACCAAGTTTAATTAAATTACATGGTAATAGTTTATTTATTTATAGTCCAAAATTTTAAATGATAGCAAATAATTATAAGTTGTTTTATGAAACAGAAAAATCCATGTTTTTAACCTCACAGTTTCTGTATGGCTAGCTAAAATCCATTTAGTTCAATCATAATTCATTAATTCTCAATAATGTACCATTTTTTTCTTTCTTCTAATACTCACTAAAGTGTAATAACATTTGTAATTTGATGTTCAGCCTTTAGGTCAAAGTCACCACTTAAACTCCAAAATTCTAACAAGCTCTCTGAGAGCAAACAGCATATAATTCTACCACGGAGCTCCCATAGTTCTTAGCATTCTTTTACGACAGAAGCGCAAATGTTAAATGGGACGATGAAAGTTTCCTTGAGAAAAATTAAAATCACTAAGTAGCATAGAGAATGAGGAGCATATATTTCCTCTTTAAGTCAGAGAAATAGAGTAAATATTATATCCTTAATCAAGACTATCAATAGTCAAGCACATTAATGAAATAGAAATAAAGAAAACTAAAAAATACATTTGAATTGCTGTCTATATATAAAATTCTTTTTTTTTTTTTAGACGGAGTTTTGCTCTTGTCGCCGAGGCTGGAGTGCAATGGTGTGATCTCGGCTCACTGCAAACTCCGCCTCCCGGGTTCAAGTGATTCCCCTACCTCAGCCTCCCAAGTAGCTGGGACTATAGGCAAGTGCCACCATGCCCAGCTAATTTTTGTATTGTTAGTAGAGACGGGGTTTCACCATGTTGGCCAGGATGTTCTCAGTCTCTTGATCCTCCCGCCTCGGCCTCCCAAAGTGCTGGGATTACAGGTGTGAGCCACTGCGCCTGGCTAAACTTCTTTTGAAGAATAGTAAATATAGATATAAAGTTCTTAATGTTCATTTATTAATTATGTACTTTCAAATGTTAACTCAAAGGACCAAGGATTATTTCCATTACTGAATGGGAATACTCTGCAAAGCAGAAATACCTTATAAATCACTAGTTTAGAACCTAATAAATAGAAATGTCAGCTCTTACTAGAGTAAAAGTTTGACCAATAATATTCCAATGTATGTGAAAATAAAGTGATGTCTGATAATGAGAAAACTAAAATTTAGTGTGTTGTCCTGATAAATTAGAATGTTAATATGAAATGAATATTTTTGGTGTAACATGTAAAATACTATTGATAATCTATACAACTATCAAAGTTTTAAGATCATCCTGTTCAATTGTTTTCTTTCTACAGAACACAGTTGAAGTAGTTTAAAATCATAAAATAATATTTTAATTTTATATAATGTCTTCAGCTTATAGAATATTTTTGATTCTCAGTGCGTCTTATGAATTTAACTTATGAATTCAAAAATCACATCGTATTTGTCCATGTAAAAAAAGTCTAAGTAGTTCTGAATCAAAATGCTAACGATGGTTACCTGAGAGCAGTAGGAGTGGGTGAAAGACATGTAAAGTTTAACTGTTTACATTATATACGTCCATATTGCTTGAATTTTATATGAGAGGTATAGACCTTTCTAATAATAAATATATACCAAACACAAGCATGTACTGAACATTTACTGTGTTGTAAGCACTACACTTAGCCTTATAGAACTAGGATGAATAGGAACTAATCTTCACATTCCACAAGTCCAAGACATGATTGAAAATAATTTTGAAACATAATTACAAATAATCTTAATACATGTGGATATCATAAATAGCACCATACAAAAAATCTCAAGGGAGCATAAAAGTAGGGACATTAGCTACAAAAAAAAAATAATAAACTTGTTCAAGAGTTGCACAAGTTTCCAGTACAATGGAGGTGTAAGAACTTTAGGACATGTGCTTCTCTTTTCTTTCCATTATATTGGAATCTCTTAGAGAGCAAACAGCATATAGTTCTATCACGGAGCTCTCACAGTTCTTTTTTTTTTTTTTTTTTTTTTTTTTTAGAAATAATTGCTGTGCATTTATTTTCCAGTTTTCCTATTACAAATTTACTTTTACTGTAAGTGATACAATTTTATCGTAAGTAAAATTGTATTGTTTTACTGTAAGTAAAAAGTACATTTACTTTTATTGTAAGTGATATTATATGTCTGTTAATTCAGTAGGCTTTATTGGTTTTACTGATAAACTACACAAGGTGGAGGGAGAACAAGATACACTTTAGTTATAAACATACAATGTAAAATATTTTTGGACTAGATAACTATATGAAGCATACAATTTTTAAATTAAGAACTCAAATCCATCACATTGTTTCTAGTTGTGCTAGAAAAAGTGAAATCTTAAAAAGTGAAATCTTTAGTGACTTCCTAATGGTATTCCTTAAAATATGATGGGACAGTGAGAATGATTCGGTCCAGGAAGAAGGAGTGAGATAAGAAATTCTAAATTGCAGTTGGAGTGCCACGAGTAAGCTAAGCCCTTCCATTTCAGCACAGCAGATTTCATATCTCTCCCATCTCTCAGCATCACAGAGTCTTAGAACTAGAAGGACACCAGATAATACCTGAACCTCCCATTGCTGATGCATAGATGACCTCAACAACATGTTAAGCGTGTAGTCATCTACTTTTCTAAAAACCTGTGGCAAAGTCACTCACCTCTTGCAATCTCAGAGAAGCCTTTTTAAATTTTAAAAATTATATTAATGAGATGACAATGCAAACTTCTCTGTAGTTTCTCTTCATAATACAAAAATGTACAAATGTAGACTACATAAGATTACCAAAACTTCACTCCTAACATGTAGATTATGAAGATTACCAAAATCCCATGCCTAAAATATTTTCACTATTTACATACACCTACATATTTTTTTCCCCAAAAGTAGTGTTGTATATGTTCTCCAACTGGCAATTTTCACTAACTGTATTCTGAAGAAAATCTTTCATTTTCATTAGAACTAGCTAATTCCATTGTGTAACTGTACAACATAAACTGTATAAATATATTTTTCTTTAATCATTTATTTGGGGGTGAGATTTTGGTTGTTGCCAAATTTTCACTATGGACAATTATGCAAAATTCCTCATACGTATATATTTTTTTGTCCAGGGTGTTAAGTCTTCTGTGGCATAGGTTTCTGGAAGTAAAATAATTGTGTAAAACAATGTGTTCTTAAAAAAAATAATAGATATAGATACTCTGCCTTCAAAAATGTATTGACTGTATAACTCATGGTATATATAAAAAGGCTTCAAAATCTTCACTCTGATTCTTCCTAAGTCATTAAGATTTTTTTTTTTTTTTTTATTATACTCTAAGTTTTAGGGTACATGTGCACATTAAGAAAATGTGGCACATATACACCATGGAATACTATGCAGCCATAAAAAATGATGAGTTCATGTCCTTTGTAGGGACATGGATGAAATTGGAAACCATCATTCTCAGTAAACTATCGCAAGAACAAAAAACCAAACACAGCATATTCTCACTCATAGGTGGGAATTGAACAATGAGATCACTTGGACACAGGAAGGGGAATATCACACTCTGGGGACTGTGGTGGGGTCGGGGGAGGGGGGAGGGATAGCATTGGGAGATATACCTAATGCTAGATGACACGTTAGTGGGTGCAGCGCACCAGCATGGCACATGTATACATATGTAACTAACCTGCACAATGTGCACATGTACCCTAAAGCTCCCACAGTTCTTAGAACTCTTTTACAGAAGCACCCAGAGTTAAATGAGATAATGAAAGTTTGCTTGAGAAAAATTACAAACATGAGAATATTTAATTCTTACTTTTAGAACATCTATCTGCAAAAAATAAAAGTATGGCATAGTGAGAATTTCACTAAAGTTAGAGTAGGAGTCAATGTCCCACTGCCAGTTCCCTCTCATACTTTTATCAGTGAATTCCCTGGCCTTCAGTTTCTCATCTGTAAAATGTGGTAAAACCTACCATAACCACTTGTTTGGGTTGTTGTGAAGCTTTCAAAAATTCTGTGTTATGACCAATATAGATTCCTGTAATTTCAACCTTCAGTTCCACCTACCTCGATTATCTTTATTGAATAACAGCTATGTAATTTCTTTTTGAAAGGGATCAAAGAATATTTGAAACAAATACTTCATTGAAAGTTGCTGAAGTAATCATGTTAAGTTGTTACATTTGGTACTACATATCTATACGACTATTATAACTACATAATTCTTCTTAAATGCTCTTCCATTAGGTACCATACCTCACTATATAAATATTTGGTTTCTTTTTGAGATTTCCCTGTTTCCATATAATCTTTTACATCATTGTTTAGTATCAATGTTTTTATTAATTATCTACCATGGGAGGAAGAACACTAAAAAACAGTTTCTTCCTTCCCTTCATCTTTCCATCCCTCTTTCTTTCCTTCCTTTTTTTATTATTTAAAAAAAAAAAACTGAAGACTATTACAGTTTAGAGTACAAGAAATATCAACTACAAGTAATAAAATAAACCCACAGACTTTGAAATGAGATAGTATTTCATTTTTGGCATATATTATGCTAATGTAAATGGAGGTGCTATAATTCAGTAAGCAGGAAGGTTTCCATCAATTTGACAGTGTTATTAGCCTCTGAAGAGGTGAAAACACAGAGGAGGTAGTTATTGCTATAGAAAACGTGCCTCTATTAGCTCTTTTTGCTCTAGTTATAAAATGTACTATGAAATTATTTTCCAAAAGGATTTTGGAGATCTTAAACAGTAATTTAAATTTTGATTAAGTTTTATCATTCTTTGGTATTTTGACTTTCATGCTCCAAAAGACAATCACAGAAGGAAAAAGCTCTTCAATGAACACATTCAAGAGCAGTCTTCTTCATGACCAAACTGCAAATACAAAGTTGTCCACGTAATGTGATTTCAGAAGTTCTAGAAAATTTACCCAGTGCACAGTCCTTCCCTAGGTACAGAGTGGATATGCAAAAGTCCTAAATTAAAGATTTTTCTCCTTAATGTAAAATACCGCTTTCCGTTTGAATTTAAATACTGTTGTGAGCAGGACTAAAGACTTTTTAGTCATTTGTAAGGAATAAAGGAAGGTATTCTTTCCTTCCATGGGGAAAGTATGGGCAGGGGAGGGGTTAGGAGAATGAGCACTCTAGATAGCAGAGCTACACATGAAAGCATTAAGAAGGCAGGAAGAAACCTGGGGGGGATTAGGAGAGGGCATCAACTTTTTGCTTTTCTTTTTATTTTATCAAGGTAATATATCTTATATCTATTAATGCCTTCTATAAAAAGCAAATTATTTCTCATTGGGTGATGTGGACAAAAATATTCTATATAAGTTTTCATAGTTTTTCCCTCTCCATAATGGAGAAGACTTAGACAAACACTAACAGATAGCTTCTCAGAAGGCAGAGGCATCCGCCTAAAAAAGGGGAGGTAGGAACTATGAAGATGGAAGGCTTGAGGAATGGAGGAACCAAGAGGAAGACATGCTCAACCAAGGAAGACCTTAAAGGAGTTTTGCTGAGTAACATATAATGTCTGTAATGTAACTCTGTTGCCACCACTTCAGAAGGCAATTTTGTAAAAGCCTATATTATTTTTCAGGGCTTTTTCTGACAATGACTTGACATGGGCCTTCAGGTAAAGCAAATGTCTAGTCTTCTGTGGACTACCAATAGTATCATGTGGAATATGATATACAGCTAGTGGTAATGTATACTATTAGAAATTGATTGTGACCAAACCACCCTTTATTATTATGTGTGTGCTATTTTCTGTTTTAGTTTTATCATTGCCAAATTATAGATAGCCAAGTATTTATAAGATGACTTCTCTGGCAAAAAAAGCATACAGGCAGTTTCAGGAAACAAAATAGAGTTCTCAAAGTTGGGAAAATAAGAAGGAAACAAAGGTAATAGTACATAAATTATTCTCCTTTGCAAATACACAAAGAGCTAAATGCTTTCCCTCAGTTCTTAAATCCAAAGTCAAAAGGAATTCCCTAAGATAGTTGAGATTCACCCCCGCTCACCACCAAAAAAAAAAAAAAAAAAGAAAGAAAAGAAAAATGTTTGGACCTGCTTTGGTAAACTAGCATACATAGGAAGGTTCTACTTGAAACTAACACCAGATTCCACATAGTTGAAAAAACATTAGGTCCAGAAAATAGGAATAATAAGAGAAAAAGGTACAATTCCCCAAGAGGAGAAGATGCCTGGAAATATAAGGAAAGTGTATATATTTCACACAAGTCAGAGAAAAATGGGAAGAGACCTGGAATCAGAAAGACTAAAGATAGTGCAACAGTTACCCTTAAGGGTAGGTTAATTTGAATTTGATAGAGACATCATGTGGCAAATGTGATGCCATGTGATAGTAAAGGTATCTCTTTTACCTTTGCAGATGGTAAAAGTACCTCTCACTAAAAGGTTGGGAGGGTGGAGTGCAGGATGAGGCCAGACCCCAGAGCTGGCTGAAGAGCAGCCAAAGCAAGGACAGATCTAGACATTGCTTTGAGAGAGCATGAAGTACATGACTAGTCCCCATAATTAATAATCTAGTACCATTTTATTCAAAGTCCCTCTGACAGGGTGAAACAGGAGTCAGCATGCCTAGTAGCTATTTTAAGCAATAAATTAGGAATTAATTTGGGTATCCATAGGATCTGGATCTGTACTTTTCTGAGAAGTCATTTTTATGCACTTAAGTTTACTTCATTCCCTTTGCTTCTTCATGTAATAGACACCACTGGTGGCTTATCAAGTATTCCACTTTCTTCCTTACTGGGATAAAATAACACGTTTCAATTTTTAAGTATTCAGACTTCCCTTACATCATCGTTATGATTCAGGAGATGTTATCCCTACCAAGAGCTCCAGGTAAGAATCCTGAGTAGGCTAAGTTGATCACAGCAATTCCATTCCTCTTGCCAATGACTGGTACAGGCTCCAGATATGTCAATCATCTCAACATCTCATGACTACTACTGATCCTAGGGCACCAGATGACCCTATTCAGGGAATGATAATTTTTTTTATAGTTGAAGGAGCGGTTACCTCTCCCTCTTTCTTGATATTAACAAAGCAGATGTTGCTTTAGCTGTGAATGGCAGCCATCTTTGACCATGAATAACAAAACCAAAATATAGAAGAGGGCAGAACTGAACATATCACAAAAGGAATAGAGTTGGAACACTGACTTCCTGGAAATCCTGTTAGGCAAGCACAATTTTTTTAAAATTTTTAAATTCATTTTAGGTTAAGGTTACTCTAATTTGCAGCTTAAGCCATATTAAATATTACAGATCTAAAAATGGAATGTGGAGTTGAAGGTTTGGTTTGATTATACTACTACTGTTATCAATTCTAATGTAGAAGAAACAGACGTATTTAAGAACTCAATAAAGGACATCTGGAAAAAAAGAAGTTGGAGGTATAACTAAAAACAAAGAAAACTTATGGAGTAGCAATATTCTCAAGAAACATTAAGTAGGAAAGAATACATCTCTTTAAAGTGTGAAAAGTTAAAGGGAAAACTGGAAAGGATTGAAATAGATGAAGGCATTTGTGCAGGTTTAGTGGTGGGAAGTTGAGTAACTTCACTCAAGGCAATTTTAACTTTACTTTTGAAGAATTAAGTGATGGGATGAGAATAAAATGAAATATGGTGGCTATGTCATTAGTTTATGGGGAGCAGAAATACTTTGAAATTGCTAGTATGAAGAAAACGTAAATAATTAAGGGGCCAAAGAAGGCTTGCTGAGAATCACTGCAGACATGGAACTGAAAAAAATTCATTAATATTAACTCAAGGCTTTCCAGTTGCATAAGAGAAGTTTGCTTGGTAAACAGCTACATTAATGAAGATAGATCAGTGGGGCCAAAGAACTAGAGATAGTGGCAGAGGTTGGTTGAAGTGATGACTGATGGATTTAGCCAAGTAGGGACAGAACAGAAGGGAGAGAAAGATAATATACCATGGAAAAGAAGAAAATGTGTACTAAGAGTATGAGAGTTGGTAAGCTCTTGACTTATGGCCAGTGGATTGGGTACTGAGAGTTATGACAAAACCTAGGATAGAGTTATTTGAAAAGATGGATGAAGATATAATAGAGATGAAAGCACTAGGGTTGATATGGTCCGTAATAAAGCATACTACATACTGCCCTGGGAAAGTGAAAGGTATAAAAATTTTTGCCCCTATTATAAAGAATCAAAGATTATTTGACTTTAGTAATTAAGTCTATTTTTTAAGTGTGTTCCCCTTTCTTTTATCCTCAATAGCAGGTTTTCAGGTGTCAATTCTCAAAATAGTGTCAAAAAAGTCTAGGTATGACTTTCTTATTTTAACTTTTATAGTTAAGTATATATGTTAAACTAAGAATTCAGATAGACTAATTAAAGATGTTAAGCAACCTTGTGGAAATGACAATCATCGTGTGATTTGTAGTACATGTACTTATCTAATTCTCATCTAGTATCAGGATATTTAAGAATCAAACACTTTAATATTAAACAGTATAACGTTCATTCTATATATTTAGATTTCCTGGGTTGGACAGCTTATACATACAGTATTTTTACATATCCAGAAATTTATTATCTAGCACCTTTCCTAAGAAATTTATTATAATCTCAAGAGCAAAACTAAAAGAGCAAGTTTTTCAAGGATCCTAATTCTTTGCTCTTCAGGAAGATGATATTTTAGAGTATAATTGGATTGCCTGTAAAAAAAACTTGGAGTGCAATTGAATTAGGCACAACTGGAGTGCAATTAAATTGTTCTTACAGGCCAGGCCCAGTGGCTCAAGTCTGTAATCCCAGCACTTTGAGAGGCCGAGGCAGGCAGATCACTTGAGGTCAGGAGTTCAAGACCAGCCTGGCCAACACGGTGAAACCCTATCTCTCCTAAAAATACAAAAATTAGTTGGGCGGCTCACGCCTGTAATCCCAACACTTTGGGAGGCCGAGGCGGGCGGATCACAAGGTCAGGAGATCGAGACCATCCCGGCGAACAAGGTGAAACCCCGTCTCTACTAAAAATACTTAAAAAATTAGCCAGGCGTGGAGGCGGGCGCCTGTAATCCAGCTGCTGGGGAGGCTGAGGCAGGAGAATGGCGTGAACCCGGGAGGCGGAGCTTGCAGTAAGGGGAGATCGCGCCACTGCACTCCAGCCTGGGAGACAGAGCGAGACTCCATCTCAAAAAAAAAAATTAGTTGGGCGTTGTGGTACATGACTGTAATCCCAGCTACTCAGGAAGCTGAGGTGGGAGAATCTCTTGAACCTGGGAGGTGGAGGTTGCAGTAAGCCGAGATTGCACCACTGCACTCCAGCCTGAGCGACAGAATGAGACTACGTCTCAAAAAAAAAAAAAAAAAAAAAAAAAAATTCCTACAAACTGGACACTTGCTGAAGAATGACCAGAAGATTTGGGGTTAGTATTAATATATTGTCAGAATAGTTGAATTTAAGTAGGAAAAACAATAGTTTCTTTAGGAAATATTTTTCAAATGATATACATGAAAAAGGGAAAAATAGTATAATGTTCTCAATTGTGAAGTAACAAAGAAACCTATGACATTTTAATAACTACGGTTAATGTACAGTATTTCAAAAAGTCAGTTACTTTTGTTTCTTTTTTTAATCTTACATAACTCTAAGTTTACCTTTTTTTCCACTATTATAGACCCATCAACATTTCCTTCTTATGAAATTTTTTGCTAAAATTATGTTAATCTTATTAAGAACATGTATGTGTTATATTAAGAATAATGCTCGGGTCCTGGGGTGGGGGGGGGGTGGCATAGAACGCTGGTAAGATATTATGAGATCTCCTTTTCTTGTGATCTTCAAATTTGAAACCAAATTTATTTCTCTATATTAGTCTCTAAAAGTAATGTCTGTAAAAAAGTCAATGTCTTTTCCAGCTTTCTATTTTATTTCTTATAAAACTAACCTAGCGAACTAAACATGGGAGAATAAGAAAAAAAAACTTTTTAAAATTTCACCCTCACAACTTTTACAAATTGATATTCAGAATTTTTTGTTGTTGTTCTGGCCTTTTACTAGTTTTCTATTGCTGCTGTAGCAAATTACCGCAAACTTGGTTTCAAACAACACAGATTTGTTATCTTCCACTTCTATAGATTAGCAGTCAGACATGGGTCTCACTGAACTTAAATCAAGGACCCAGAAGAGCTTCATGTTTTTCTGAGTGCTCTGGTGGAGAATCCATTTCCTTGCTGTTTCCAACTTCTAGTGATCACCCACATTCCTTAGCTTATAGCCCTCTCCCAATTGTCAAAGCCAGCAATGTTGTGTCTCTCTCCCTCCTGCAATCACATCTCCCATGAACAGAAGCCAGAATAAATTTATCCACTTTTAAGGGCTCCTATGATTAGACTGGGTCCACCAACATAATCCAGGATAATCTCTACAAATCAGGGCTCTAACTTAATCACTGTCACAAAGTTCCTTTGCCATATGAGGTAACATAAATCCCAATGATTGGGATGTAGATATTTTGGGATGTTGGGAAGGGGTTACTTTGCCTACTGAGACCTTGAATTATATGTAACTACACACAAAATAATTTATAATGCTTTCTTTATCTAGTTTACATTTATGCCAATGTGGCAAATACACAACCCTTGGAAAGAAAGCAATCATAGCTATTTGGAGCTAATTTATTAGGGGTTTACTAACAATCTCCAGTTCAATAAATTTGACTGAGAGTTTGTACATTGTGTTTCTTAGTTGTAATGGTATACACAAATAAAACCAAAAAATGCAGCTTCCACTTAATAAATCTAAGGTAAAGGATAATTATGAAAAGACCTTTAAAAAGGATATCAGTGACTTCTACTTATAAAGATGTAGAAAGTTGCAAGAAGAACAAATACTATGTTATAACACTTATATGAAGAATCTAAAATAGCCAAACTCATAAAAGCGGAGAGTAGAATGGTAAGTAGCAGGGACTGAGGGGATGGGAAAACAGTGAGGCATCAGTCAAAGTGTACAGTGTTTCAGTTATGTAAGATGAATAAGTCCTGAAGATCTACTATACAGCACAGTGCCTATAGATAGCAATACTGTACTGTGTACTTGGAAACTTGTTAAGAGGGTAGATAGATCTTATGTTAAGTGTTGTTATCACAAAATAGGTAATAACAAATTAGGAGAGTGAGAGGAAACTTTTGGAGGTGATAGCTGTGTTTATAAAATAGAATGTAGTAATAATTTCACAGCTATATGCATATCTTCAAACTTAGTTGTATACATTAAACATGTATTTTTATATATTAATTATACTACAATAAAGTGATTTAGAAAAGTTGCAAGAGCACTTCAATTACAAAGAAATACAAAATGGTATATACAATTATGATTTATAAAGCCCAGCAAAGAACTGAGGATGCAAAGAAAATTTTTAAAACAAAATCTAAAATGTAAGGCATTCAATCTAGAAGAGACTCAGGATGCTTTCGTCTTTGGCAGAGCAGCAGGAAAAGGAGCAAGTCGTCATAAATGCCGGCTAGAAGAAAATAGTTGTACTCTGAGAATCTGAGCTCACTAACAAACTCTTTTTGACAAGTCTTGAGAAAATTTAGAAACAATACAGTAGTGCCGAGACAGATCCAACCTGAGACACAGGTACACTGGGCCTGCTGAAGAATGGGAGCTGAGTAGGAGATATGAGAAAACCCTCCAGCATGCATACTTCATGCACGTACTAAGGAAAAATTTGTGATTCTGCTTTTAGACCATTTGAAGCCTGAGAAGTGAATCTAACTAAAGCTTCAACAAAATTAGGTCCAGATAAAATATAGGTTGAGTCAGCCTGCCACACTACTGGCCTCGAAGAAATTGAGCCATCTCCTATCTAGGGCACAGGTATTATTGACTTCAGTGTTAAGTGTTTCTTTACACAAATATCTGGTATTTTATTTTTAAAAGTGATGGTACCAGAGAAGAAACAAGAAACCAGAACTCTTTTAGGAACTGAATTGTCTCCCCTGTAAAGAATATGTTGAAATCCTAACCCCCATTAACTCAGAATATGAACTTATTTGGAAATAACACCATTGCATATAAAATTGCTTAATATGAGATCACAGGAAATAGGGTAGACCCCTAAATCAATAAGACTGATGTCCTTAAAAGAAGATGACCACATGCAGACAGACACACGAAAAATGCCATGTGAAGATTAAGGATTGGAGTGATGCATCTACAAGACAAAAACATGAAAGATTATAAGCAAACTGGAAGAAGCTAGAAAAGACAAGAAAGAACTCTCATAGAGTTTTCGTAAGGATTATGTCCCTGTCAACACCTTGATTTTAAACTTCTAACCTACAGAACTGAAAGAAAATAAATTTCTGTTGCTTTAATCCACCCAGTGTATGGTAATTTGTTACAGCAGCCCTAAGAAACTGACACATAACCAATAGGCAAAAGAAAAATAGTCAAGATAAAGAGACCAAAAGATATCCCAGATATTAGAATTATCTAACCAGAACATCAAAATAGCTATGATAAATGTATTACACCATTTACCACACATTGCGGTAAAAAATAGGAATAGAAAATAGGAGTGAACAGACAGAGGATTCTAAAAGAGCAATGAATGCTATAAAAACAAGCTAAAAGGAAATGTTAGAAATATAATATATGATAATGAATATAAGAAATTCTTTTGGTTGGATTATTTGAGGACCAGATAGACAAGAGTCTATCTTGAAGAGAGGTCAATAGAAATTTCCAAATTAGGCCAGGCTTGGTGGCTCATGCCTGTAATCCCAGCACTTTGGGAGGCTGAGGCGGGTGGATCACAAGGTCAGGAGTTCAGGACCAGCCTGGCCAAGATGGTGAAACTCTATCTCTACTAAAAATACAAAAATTAGCCAGGCGTGGTGGCAGGTGCCTGTAATCCCAGCTACTCAGGAGGCTGAGATAGAGAACTGCTTGAACCTGGGAGGCAGAGGTTGCAGTAAGCCGAGATCATGCCACTGCACACTCCATCCTGGGCGACAGAGAAAGACTCCATCAAAAAAGGAAAGGAAAGAAAGAAAAATTTCCAAATTAAAACAAAAAGAAACACCATTCCCAGGAAAGGATACACTACCATTATGCCATGAGCAAACGTCATCTGATGCAGGAAAGGTGATGGATATACTAGTTACATGAACTGATAATCACACATTGTATACATGTAATGAAATTTCACTCTATATGCCATAAATATGAAGTTTTCTTATGCATCAATTTGTTTTAAAGTCACCTTCCCTTGAAAGAGCACAGAAAATCTCTCCTAAATGACTTTGCTCAGATTCAAGGGAGTGTGTGAATGCCTTGTGGGAAAAAACTCACAAATGCTGAGAAAATCTCATCTATAAAACAGAATTCCGTAGAAACTGCCTGAAACTAAGACATGATGTCCATCATTAAAAACAAAATTATAAGACACTAAATTAAAAAAATGATAAAAAGAACTCTAAAAGGGATAAACCAAATGATATCAAGATATGATGCATATATCAAAATTATCAAAGACTTTAAAATAATTGTGATTAATATGTTAAAGGCTTTAGTGAAAAACAAACCATATGAATGAAAAAATTGAAAAAAAAAGAATAAGTAAAATAGAACATATTGTATATAAAAGCATCTCAAAAAATTATTAGGGACCAATTTAATGAAAGATATATAAAACCATTACAGTGAAATTATAAAATTATGCTAAAAGGAATAGGAGAATACCTCAAATACCTCATGTTCATAGATTGGAAGACAATATTGTTAGATGTCAGTTTTCCTCAAATTGATGTACAGGTTCAACTCAATTCTAACCAAAATGCATAGGCTTTTTTATAGAAATAGACAAGTTGATTCTAAAGTAGCCCAAACAAACTTGATAAGAAAGAAAACAAATTTAGGAGAATTAATCTACCTGACATTAAGGCTTATTATAAAGTTATACTAATCAGAAAGATGTTATATTGGTAAAAGGATGCACTAACCAGTCAATGGAATAGAAATAAACCCACATATATATAGTAGTACTCTTTTCGCAAGAGTACTACAGCAATTCAATGAGGAAGAACCTAAACATAAAAGCTAAAATTAAAAAACTTCTAGGCAAAAACACAGGAAAAATAGTTTTGACCTTATGTTAGAAGATTATTTGCTACATAGGATACAAAATGTTCAAATCACTGAAGAAAAAAAGTAAAAAATATCTGCTTCCATCCAAGTACTAACCAGGCCCAATCCTGCTTAGCTTCTGAGATAGTCAAGATCTGGCATGTTGAGGGTGGTCTCAGGGTACAAAATCAATGTGCAAAAATCATAAGCTTTCCTCTACACCAACAATAGACAAGCAGAGAGCCAAATCATGAATTAACTCCCATTCACAATTGCTACAAAGAGAATAAAATACCTAGGAATACAGATAACAAGGAAAGTGAAGGACCTCTTCAATGAGAACTACAAACCACTGCTCAAGGAAATAAGAGGACACAAATGGAAAAACATTCCATGCTCAGACAGGAAGAATCAATGTTTTGAAAATGGCCAAAGTGCCCAAAGTAATTTATAGATTCAATGCTATTCCCATTAAACTACCATTGACATTCTTCACAGAATTAGAAAAAAAATACTTTAAAACTCATATGAAACAAAAAAAGAGCCTGTATATCCAAGATAATCCTAAGCAAAAAGAACAAAGCTGGAGGCATTATGCTACCTGACTTCAAACTATATTACAAGGCTACAGTAACCAAACAGCATGGTACTGGTACCAAAACTGACACATAATTCAAAGGAACAGAATAGAGATCTCAGAAATAAGACTGCACGTCTATGATCATCTGATCTTCAACAAACCTGATGAAAACAAGCAATGGGGAAAGGATTCCCTATTTAATAAATGGTGGAAAAACTGACTAGCCATATACAGAAAATTGAAACTGGACCCCTTCTTTACACCACACATAAAAATTAATTCAAGATGGATTAAAGACTTAAATGTAAAACCCAAAACTATAAAAACCCTAGAAGAAAATCTAGGCAATACCTTTCAGGATATAGGCATGGGCAAAGATTTTATGATGAAAACACCAGAAGCAATTGCAACAAAAGCAAAAATTGACAAATGGGATCTAATTAAAAAAAAGAGTTTCTGCACAGCAAAAGAAACCATCATCAGAGTGAACAGACAACCTACAGAATAGGAGAAAGTTTTTGTGATCTAACCATTTGATAAATGTCTAATATCCAGAATCTACAAGGAACTTAAACAAATTTACAAGGAAAAAAACATTAAAAAGTGGACAAAGGACATGAATAGACACTTTTCAAAAGAAGACATTCATGCATCCAGCAAACATACGAAAAAAAACTCAGCATCATTGATCATTAGAGAAATGTAAAACAAAACAACAATTAGATACCATTTCATGTCAGTCAGAATGGTGATAATTAAAAAGTCAAAAACATCAGATCCTGGTGAAGCTGTGGAGAAATAGGAACACTTTTACTTTTGGAGGGAATGTAAATTAGTTCAACCATTATGGAAGACAGAGTGGTGATTCCTCATAGACCTAGAACCAGAAAAACCATTTGACCCAGCAATCCCATTACAGAGTATATACCCAAAGGAATATAAATCATTCTATTATAAAGACACTTGCACGCATGTGTTCACTGCAGCACTATTCAAAATAGCAAACACAGGGAATCAACCAAATGCCCATCAATGATAGACTGGATAAAGAAAATGTGGTACATATACACTATGGAATACTATGAAGCCATAAAAAGGAACTAGATCATGTCTGTTGCAGGGACATGGATGGAGCTTGAAGGTATTATCCCTCAGCAAACTAACACAGGAACAGAAGACCAAACACCACATCTTCTCACTTATAAGTGGGAGCTGAACAGTGAGAACACATGAACACAAGGAGATGAATAACACACACTGGGGCCTGTCAAGGGGGTGTTAGGGGAAGCATATTATCAGGATAAAGAGTTAATGCATATGGGGCTTAATACCTATGTGATGGATTGATAGGTGCAGCAAACCACCATGGGACATGTTTCCCCATGTAACAAACCTGCATGTCCTGCATATGTACCCTGGAACTTAAAATTAAATTAAATTTAAAAATATATAATCTGATCCTAAAATTACAGTGTTGAGAAGATGAAAATGAAAAGGCATGCTGATGAGAGCAAAAAATTATACAACTTAGAAAACAATGCTTCTTAATTTCTTAAAACGTTAAACATGCACCTATCATGATGCCTAGCAATTCCACTTCTAGGTATTTATCCAATAAAAATGACATATCCGTAAAAACAAAAAAATAAGAAAAAAATAAATCATCACAAAACCTTGTACAAGAAAGTTTATAGCACTTTCATTCCTAATAGCCCCAAGCTGGAAATAAACAACCAGGTGCCTATTAATACACATATATAAATAAACTGTGATATATTCATATATTGAAATAAAACTCAGTAAAATAAATACACAGAGCATTGATATAAGCAACAACATGGACAAATCTTCAAATCTTCATGCTGAGTTAAAGAAGCCAGGGACAAAACAGTACATATTGTGTGCTTCTATTTATATGAAGTTTTAGAACCTGCAAAATTAATCTATGGTAGTAAAAATCAGATGCTGGTTGCTTCAGGGTGCAGTGGCTTATTGGGCACACTTTGTGAGTTGATAGCAATGTTCCATGTCTTGATAGGGGTTTGATGGGTATATGAATTTGTTAAAGATGATCAAACTGTATATGGGTATATGAATTTGTCAAAGATGATCAAACTGTACACGTCTGTGCATTTTGTTGTATTGTGTATCAGTCAAAATTTTTTAGCAGAAGCAATAGAAATTGAATTTTAATTAAACAGAAAGAGACATATTTAAAAGATATTAGGTAGTGAGCAATTTCCAGGGATCCTGCAAAGCCAGGCTGGGGAAATCAGCAGGAATCAAGAGAATTTATAAAAATCAGAACTATGTTCAAAAGCATGCCAGGTAACTAGTAGATGAGGATTCCTCTGCCCTTGTTTCTGATACTGGTACTGAGAAGCACGTGCCACAGCTTGGACTTCTGACTCTGGTATACCACCTAATCTGATAACGCTGTCACCAATGCCACTGCCAGAAAAGATATGCTGTTGGCACTACTTCTTTATACCAACTGTCAATTCAAAGTCTGAGTAAGGCTGTCTTCAAGTCCATATTCTACCGCAAATGAACTAAGGATGTACTACCTTCAACTTCTATGGAAATTTTCACTATACTAGAAAGAGATCTCTACAACTCACTGATATATAAAAGGAGGAGAAATTCCTCAAGATAGAATTGGTAATATAAAATTAATAAATGTATCCCCAAACATTTAACTTAGAGTTGACTTTATCCACCCCAATTCCTCATTCAACTCATGTTTGGATTTAATCCAAGCATGTTAGTGAAAGTGCTCTTGCCTAGGCTACCAATACTTCTTTAATGCTAAGTGAACTAGTTTCTTTCCCATCCTTTTCCTACCTGACCTCACCCTTTTTATAATATCATCAACTAATTCTTTCTCATAACCAACCATCTCTTTCCTGGGATTTCCTGACACTACTTTTCTGGTTTCCCTCTTACCTCTCAGACCTTTTCTTATGGATTCTCTATGTTATAGCCTTCTCCTGACTTACCCCCTTCTCTTTTCTAAAGTTTTTGTGTTCAGATGGGCATTGTTCTAGGCATTCCTCTCTGATACATACTTGTCCAGCATGGCCACATCTATTGACATACATTTCTTATGCCTTATAGGCTGATGATTTACAAATTTATAGCCACAACTCAGATCTTTCTCCTGAGCCACACACCCAGATATGTGATTGGATATTTCCATTTGGATTTCTCACAAACATTGCAAATTCAACATATTCGAAATTTATTTTCATCATCTGAGACCTATTATTTTCCCTTTGTTCCATTTTGGAACAAATGGTATCATTTTCCAACTAGTTGTCCAAATTCAAAATTTAGATCTCTTTCCACACCTTCCATACCCAGTCACCTGTCCTCGTAAATATTAAATTCTAAAGATTTACTTGTATTCATATATAGTGCTGTCTTGTGAAGTCTACTAGTCTAAGTTAGAACTCTACAATATTGCCTGAATTCACAACAGAGCTTTCAGAGTAACTTTTCTGTCTACACTCTTGCTCATCTGCAATCCACTCTTGGCACTGGTGTTAGAAAGGCTCATTATGAAATGTAAATTTGATTATGTCATTGCCCTGTTTAGTGACAAATTTTTCCTATAATATAGCTTAGAAAGCCTGCCTTTATTGCATTCTTATCTCTTTTTTCTAGCTCCTGCTTTCATCAGTCCTTTACCCCCAATACTTTATGCTCAAACCATATTAAAATCTGTTTAGACCCCAGAGTACACCTTTACCTGTAGGTGTGTGCCCATGTTCTTTCCTCTTCACTAGATACCCTTTCCTTCTTATTGCCTCCTTTTTTATTTTCTTTACATAATTTGGGGATAAGATCTTAAAAAGCAGTCAAACTTACCCACCATTGCCAAACTGAGTTAAGAGCTGTTCCAGTGCAGCACTTTGACACACTGCCATTTCTCTCATCAGAATATTTGTTACACTATACTATAATTGCTTATTTATACATGCCTGCTAGTCTACAAACTCTGAAAGAGTAGACTACATCTTGTCTACTTCTGTACCATTTTATCACTCAAAGCCATCTCAGTGGCAGGCTCATTTGTTGCCCAATAAATGTCACATTAATTTGAACTACATTAATTTTAAGTTATTCCAGTGGAGAAAGTAGGCAAAACATCAAAAATAGCTTAAAACTTCTGCCTTTAGTAACCTAAAGGATTCATAAATTCTTATATCTGATTTTGTGTGTGTGTGTGTGTGTGTGTGAAGTATGTTGTTCTCTTTTTTTTTCAAAAAGACAAGATCTCACTCCATTGCCCAGGCTGCAGCATAGTAATGTAATCAGAGGTCCCTGCAGCCTCCACCTCCCAGGCTCAAGCGACCTCTCAACCGCCTGGCTAATTTATTTTTATTTTTTGTAAGGATGGGGACTCACTATGTTGCCTAGGTTGACCTGGAACTCCTGGGCTCAAGTGATCCTCTCATTTCAGCTTCCCAAAGTGCTAGGATTACAGGTGTGAGCCACTGCACCCAGCCTTAATTTACTTTCTAATATTCCTACCTACACTACTGATTTTCATTCCTTACTCTAAAAGGGAGAGCATTTATTACATGATACCCTACTGCGTGGTATGGGTATGTATTAAATATTCAGTGATAATTATATGATAGAAAATTAATACTTGGATAATAGAACATATAATGCGTGTTAAGACAACTTAAATCATTGATGGTAAAGACAAGCCCAACAATGTATGAATTAATTTCCCACCTGGAAGATAACGAAGAGAACCTTTTCCTTTGAAGAATGACATGATGACCTACATGGTAATCCAATCAGTGAATGTAAGGGATGATAAACGTATGCCTGGCTATGTCCACAAAAACAACTGGTGATATGGAGATTGAGGAGTCTGGCTCCTGACTGAAAACCTATCCATGATTTTTCAGGCCTGACCATGGGTAATTCCTAAGGTTTTACCCGGCAGGCCTCGCAGGAGAAAGCTACCCTCTCCAACCCAGACTTTGTGCTCAGGTAATAAATCACAGTGTTGAAAGGAAGCTGCAGGCCAGAATTCAGTCCTCTCTAGCTAGCTATTCTCTTTGCATATTTGCATACCTAGCCCATGTGTCTCTGCTGAGACCTCCTCACTGTGAAGTGTGGCACATCTCGAAGACACTTTTCACCACTCTGACTCAGTAGCCTGTACTTCACTTTTCCATTCCTAGCCTCTTCTGCTCCCCATCCCTAATCTAAGGCTCATAAAACTACTAGAGCCTTTTTGTTTGGTGCTTTCTCGACACTGAGACCACCCCCATATCTGAGCTGTCAGAGATTTCTCTGGTTTGAATCATGCTTACAGCATAGCAGTAAGTGATTAAAGGCTTAACTTTCATTTTCGACTTGTGGCTTTCATCAGCTCCCTGACACCTGAAAGTTCAGCTCTTTTTTAATTTCAGCTGAGCTGCTGACAGAGATCACTGCATAGAGCTCCCAACCTGTGACTAGATGTATTTTTATTAAGATATAATTTAATAAATTCACCATTTAAAAGTGTACAATTCATGTTTTATAGTAGAGTCACAAGGTTGTACAACCATGACCACTATCTAACTCCAGAACATTGTTGTCACCTAAGAAAGAAACCTGTATTCTCAACAGTCACTCCCTTTCTCCTGTTCTTTACCTGAGGGTAACCACTAAACTACTTTCTATTTCTATGCACTTTCTGGTTTTGGAGATTTCAAGTAAATGGAATCATACAATACATGGCATTTTATAAAAGTCCATGTGGAAGCCAGTTTCTTATTTAGAGCCTTGAATACGGAATTCCCAAGACACAGTGTATTCTTCCATAAGACTGAAATGTAGCGTTAAAGCCACGAAGCTCTCAGTATATGAAACAGAAGTCCTCCTATACCTTTCAGTCCAAGGTCAGTTCCAGGTCAATGTTACATTCATTCTTGTTTGACTCTGGCCTGTTCTCGTTTACTGAGGAACCGGGATCTGGATCTGTTTCCCTAATCCTATTGTCCTAAACCTATCTACATAGCTGCTTAAGTTTGTTCTATCTCCTAAACATTTCCAACTACAAAAGCATCAACTTCCAGCACAACCATACCTCTGTCATTACCAAAAACAGAACCCCCCTAGTACTTCAGTGTTAGGAACAAAGCAATTAATTGAAAGTTAATGTGATTCCTATAAATGTCTTAATTTTAAAAGAAGCATATTTTTAAAACAAGGTTGGAGGAAGAAGAATGAGTATATACTGGAAGAATTTGAGATAGAAGAAACAAGTAAATAACACACACACACACACACACGTGACATTGTGAATGAATAAATGTAAGGAATGTAAGAATGCAGACAGAAAAAGGTAAGTGGATTCCCTAACTGGGAATATACACATATAGACTCAAGAGGACATAGAAGGCATTCCATAATTGGGAATCTGCTTGCTTTTTCTATCTCCATTCTTCTAAGCCTGATGAAAAAATAAATCACTGAAATTTCTGTTTTAATCTTTTTTTGTTTTGTTTTGATTTGTTTTGAGACAGAGTCTCACTCTGTCACCAGGCTGGAGTGCAGTGGTGTGATCTCGGCTCACTGCAACCTCCGACTCCCGGGTTCAAGCAATTCGCCTGCCTCAGTCTCCCGAGTAGCTGGGATTACAGACATGCACCACCACGCCCAGCTAATTTTTGTATTTTTAGTATAGACGTGGTTTCACCGTGTTGGCCAGGATGGTCTCGGTCTCCTGACCTTGTGATCCGCCCGCCTCGGGCACTTCCCAAAGTGCTGGGATTACAGGCATGAGCCATCGTGCCCGGCCTCTGTTTTAATGTTAATTTTTGTATTTTGTTGACCTTGTTGTTTATTTTCCATGTGATTCAGTGGCCGGAAGTGGAAAAGGCCTGCAATGATGAGAAAGGCACATTTCATGTGACAGAAGAGCACTGACTCTTGCTTGAGTCAAGCATTTATAATTGACATGATGTGCTTTCAGACTTTTATGCATAAAATATCCTTCTCATAATGAGCATTCTTTGAGAAACAAAGTGTTAAAATGTAATAATTATAAATGATTTCAAGATGGCAATGAATTATAATATTGAATATATTACATACTTCATATAATTAAAATATCACTTATAACTTAATATTTTATAGTTTCATAATCTTTTCCATATTCTTTTCATTAATATTAGCTTTTGGGGAATAATATCATGTTCTCTCAGTAGTAGTAAATATTTTGCTTTGATTCAAGATAGTAACACCAGAACTGAATTCGGAGAAAAGCCAGCCAGAAAAATGAAACAATTTAGCTATATAAATAAAAGAAGTTCCTAGAAGTTATTTCTTTTCTAGATTCTCTATTTTTCAGAGAGTTTAAAAAAAATATGTGGAATACAATATATCATCTACTACGTTGCAAAATGTAAGTCCAAGGACACTATATCTAGTTCACTGCCTATTTATTGTCTTTTGTAGTTTATTCTCATCCAGCAACTGACAATTTTAATTTACTCAGGTTTTTTTTTTCCCCCTGAATGTTCCTAATGTCACCCATGCTGATAAAGCACTGCAAAGTAGTATGGGGAACAAAACAAATGAAAAAAGAAAAAAAATTCCAAGCATTCATTTGGGTTCTACCTCAAAAACTGAAAGAAAATTACTCCTAAAAGGCAAAGTGGTGGAGAAATGAAGAAAAAGAGAAAAAAAAACTTAGTCATCATTTTAAAATCTCGTTTACATAGTCAGCATTTTTCTAAATCACCATCTTTCTGAATAACTTAATTAACTCACAAGATATCTAACTAATATTTGTGTAACACTTAGGAGCAATAGTCCTGAGTCTTTGAGGGTATCTTAGAGATTCACTTGTGACTCTGAAAAGAGAGAGCTATGGAAATGAATCCACACCCACCCTTCACATTTGTGTTTTATTTTAGTTGGTTCACACACCTCCTGAAGCCCAACTGTGCAAACCTCGCTCATTAGTCCTTCTCATATTAAAAGCTGCTGCTTCAAAGTTTATTTCATTTGCTTCTCACAATAGTCCTAAAATAGTCAATGAGCTTAAGTAACTTGTGCCAGGTAAAATAGTTCATAAGGATGAGAGCAAGACGGTCATCCAGATCTTGGCATCATGAGTGCAACGAACGGTCTTTCCACAATATCATATTGCATCACAGCTGATATTCTATTCCAAACTTCCAGTTCATTTTTCTTTTCCTTTTTATCGTGGTAAAAAAAAAATGAGATCCACCCTTTAAAATTTTTAAGCACACAGTATAGTATTGTTAACTATATGCACATTGTTGTAAAGCAAATACCTAGAACTTTTTAATGTTGCATAACTGAAACTCTACACCAATTGAACAGCAACTCTCCCCAGCCTCTGAAAACCACTATTCAAGTTTCTGCTTCTATGAGTTTGACTACTTGAATACCTAATATAAGTGAGATCATGCAGTATTTTTCTTTCTATAACTGGTTTATTTCACTTAACATAATGCCCTTAAGGTTCATCCACATTGTATCATTGTAATTTTTAGCTATTATAAATAATACTGCAATGAACATAGGAATACAAATATCTCTTCAATATCCTAATTTCAATTCTTAGTGCTAAATACCCAGAAGTGGGACTGCTGGATCAGATGATAGTTCTGTTTTTGATTTTTTTGAGGAACCTCCAAACAGTTTTCCATTGAGGCTACACTATTTTACATTCACACTAACACAACTCAAGGATTCAGATTTCTCTATATCCTTACAATTTTTATTTTCTGTTATTTTGATAACAGCCATCCTAACATGTGTGAGGTGATATATTTTGTGGTTTTGACTTGCATTTCTCTGGTGATTAGTGATGGTGAGCACCTTTACATACACCTGTTGAACATTTTTATGTCTTTGGAGAAATGTCTAGTCAAGTTCTTTGCCCATTTTTAAATAAGGTTATTTGGTTTTTTTAACTATTGAGTTGTAGGAGTTCTTTCCATATTTTAAAGATTGACCCCTTATAAGATTTGCAACTTGCAAATACTTTCCCCCATTCCGTGGACTGCATTTTCACTCTGTTGGATTGCTTCCTTTGTTGTACAGAAGCTTTTTAGTTTGGTGTAGTTCGACTTATTATCTCTGCCTTTGTTGCCTACGCTTTTGGTGCCTTATCCAAGCAATCATTGCCAAGACAAATGTTATAAAATTTTCCCCTAAGTTTTCTTAAATAGGATTTATAGTTTCAGGTCTTTGTTAAAATTTTTAGTACTGTTTATTTTTGTGTATGGTGCAAGGTAAGGGTTCAATTTCATTCTTTTACATGAGGGTAACCAGTTTTTCCAAATTCATTTGTTGAAACAACTATTATTTCTCCATTGTGTGTTCTTAGCCCCCTTGTTGAAGATAATTTGATTGCATATGTGTGGGTTTATTTCTAGGTTCTGTTTTCTGTTTCATTGGTTTATATAGCTGTCTTTATTCTAGTACCATACTGTTTGTTTTTTGTTGTTTTCTCCATTTTTTATCGTGGTAAAATGAACATAACATATAATTTATCAGCCTATTTTAAGTGTACAGTTCAGTGCTATTAAATGTGTTCATAATGTTGTACAACCACATTACCATTATTCATCTCCATCACTCTTTTTATTTTATAAACTGAAACTCTATTCCCCTTAAACAGTAACTCCTCATTCTCCCTTCCTCCCAGTCCCTGGAAGCCACTGGTCTACCTTTTGGCTTTACAGTTTTGACTACTCTAAGCATTTTGTCAAATACTTTTTCTTCTGCAATTGAGATAATCATGTGTGTTTTTTCTTCTTTGTTCTCTTAATGTGGTGTATTTCATTGATCGACTTTGCTATGTTGAGTCACCCTTGCATTCCAAGAAGAAATCCCACTTGATTGTGGCTTATCATACATTAATATGTTGCAGAATTCTGTTTTCTAGTATTTTTTGAGCATTTTTGCCTCAATATTCGTAAGAGATATTGGTCTGTAGGGTTTTTTTTTGTTTTGTTTTTTTGTTTTTATTTTTGTTTTTTGACACGGAATCTCACTCTGTCACCCAGGCTGGAATGCAGTGGCACGATCTCGGCTCACTGCAACCTCTGCCTCCCGGGTTCATGCCATTCTCCTGCCTCAGCCTCCTGAGTAACTGGGACTACAGGCGCCCGCCACCACGCCCAGCTAATTTTTTGTTTTTGTAGTTTTAGTACAGATGGGGTTTCACCATGTTAGCCAGGATGATCTCATCTCCTGATCTCGTGATCCACCTGCCTCAGCCTCCCAAAGTGCTGAGATTACAGGCGTGAGCCACCGTGCCCAGCCTGAATGTCCCTTTTTCTATTTCTGACTTTGTTACTTGAATCTTTTCTCTCATTTTTTATTAGTTTATTTAGCTAAAGTTTTGTAAATTTTGTTCATCTTTTTAAAGAACCAAGTCTTGGGTTCATTGGTTTATTCTGTTGTTTTTCTATTCACTATCTTGTTTATCTCTGGTCGAATTTTTATTATTTCCTTTCTTGTGCTAGCTTTAGGTTTAATTTGTTATTTTTCTAGTTCCATACATTGTAAAGCTAGGTTGTTGACTTGAGATCTTTAAGAACTTATAGCTATAAATTTCCCCCTTAGCACTGTTTCCTCATCCCATATGTTTTGATATATTGTTTTCATTTTCCTTCATCTCCAAGTATTTTCGAATTTCCCTTACAATTTCTCTTTGATAACGTTCATTGTTTAAGAGTGTATTGTTTAAATTCCAAAGTTTTGTAACTTTTTCTGGTTTTATTTATATTGATTTCTAACTTCATCCTTGCTATGGTTTGAATATGTCCCCCTAAAATTCATATGTTGAAAACTTAATCTCCAATGCAACAGTGTTAGGAGATGGAGCCAAATAAGGGGTGAGTGGGTCATACAGGCAGAGTCCTCCCATAAATCCTGCCATAAGGACTAAAACTACTACTGTCATTATTGAAGTAGCGGGGTAGTTATAAACAAGTTCAGCCCCTGATGTCTGTCTCTTTCTCTGTTTCTTGCCATCTAATGCCTTCTGCCATAGGATGTCCCTTGCCAAATGTTGGCACCATGCTTCTGGATTCCTCATCCTCCAAAACTGTGAGGAAAAAACATTTTTATATAAATTATCCAGTGTGTGGCATTTTGTTATAACAGCAAAAAATGAACTAAGACAATCTTCTTAGGATCAGAGAAGATACTTTCTATAACTATCTTTTCAATCTAATGAGACTTAATTTATGAAGTAACATATAGTCTATTTTGGAAAATGTACCATGTACACTTGAGAAGAATGTGTACGCTGTTGTTGCACAGAGTTAGGTCTAATTGTTTTTTTTTTAATGTATTGCATTTTCTTATTTATCTTTGTTTTTTTTTTCTAGCCATTATTGAGAGTGATTTATTCATCTTCAACTATTACTGTGGAACTGTGTATCATTCCCTTCCATTATGTAAGTTATTTCTTCATATAATTTAGTGATCTGTTACTAGGTTCATAAATGTTTATACTTGTTATAACTTCTTACTGTATTAAACCTTTTATTAATATAGAATGTCCTTCTTTGCCTTTTGTAAACTTTTTGATTAAAGTCTATTTTGTCTGTTCTCAGTATAGCTACCCTGCTCTTGTTTGGTTATTTGCCTGAGAAATCTTTTTCTGTCCCTCTACCTTCAATCTATTTGCATCTTTGGATCTAAAATGAGTCTCTTGTACACACATAGATCTTTTTTAAAAAAATCTATTTTGCCAGTCTTTTGATTAGCTCATTTAATCAATTTATAAGTAATTTCTGAAAAGAAGGAAGCTACTTCTGTCATTTTACTATTTTTGAATTCTTTTTTTTTTCTTTTTTTGAGACAGAGTCTTGCTTTGTCACCCAGGATGGAGTGCCATGGCACAATCTTGGATCACTGCAGCCTCCGCCTCCTGGGTTCAAGTGATTCTCCTCCCTCAGCCTCATGAGTATCTGGGACTATAGGCATGTGCCACCACACCTAGCTATTTTTTGTATTTTTAGTAGAGACAGGGTTTCACCATGTTGGCCAGGATGGTTTCGATCTCCTGACTTCATGATCCACCCACCTCGGCCTCCCAAAGCGCAGGGATTGCAGGTGTGAGCCACTGCGCCCAGCCACTATTTGAATTCGTTATAGCTTATAGATGTTTCCCTACATTTCCTGCATTACTATCTTTTATATTTAGTTGTCTATTTTATTTTCTTTAGTGATTTGCTTAAATTTCTTTCTCATTTCCTTGTATATAGCTATTTTCTTGGTGGTTACCATAGGGATTATATTTTAGATCCTGCATATATAACATTCTAATTTAAATTTGTACCACCATAACTGCAATAATATATAAAAACTCGGCTCCTTCAAAAGCTCCATTCCCCCACCCTCTCAATTTTTGATGTCACAAAATTATATCTTTATGTATTATACAAAAATATAAACATGTAAGTATTTTAAATTCATTAGTCTCTTAAATTATGTACAAAACAAAATTGGAGTTACAAAGCATAATATGAACTTTTATACAAATTTAAATATATATATATTAACCTCTTAAAGCATGTAGAACACGAAAAGTGCAGTTAAAAAGTATTGTTACAATAATATAAGCTTTTATAATTTTCTATGTATTTTCCTTTATTAAGATCTTTATTTCTTTACACAACTTCAAGTTACTGTCTAGTGTCTTCTCATTTCACTCTGCAGGAGGATTTCTTGCAAGTCAGGTCCAATGGTAACAAGCTCTCCCAACTGTTGTTTTCCTGGGGATGTCTTAATTTCGCCCTCACTTTAAGGACAGTTTGGCTGGATATAAGATTCTTGTTTGATAATGTTTTCTGTTTTTGTTTTTCTTTAGCACTTCGAATGTCAGCCCACTGCCTTCTGGCCTGCAACGTTTCTGGTGAGAAATATACTGATAATCTTACTGATTATTCCTTATAAGTAATATATTGATGTTTTTCTGCTGCTTTTAAGATTCTATCTTTGTCTCCACCTTTTAAAGCTTTGATTATAATGTATTTCAGTTTATGTCTTTTTGAGTTCATCTTCCTTGAATTCTGTTGGATTTCTTGAATGTTTATATTAATGTCTTTTATCAGATTTGGAAAGGTTCTATCCGTTGTTTCTTCAAGTTTTCTCTTCTCTTTCTCCTCTCCTCCTGTGACTCCTTGATTGTGTCACACAGGTCCCTTAGACTCTGTTTACTTTTTTCAATTCTTTTTCCTTCTGTTCCTTGATTTCCATTGTCCTATCTTCAAGTTTACTGACTGTTTCCTTTGCTTGCTCAAATCTTCCTTTGAATCGCTCTAGTAAATTTTTTATTTAAGTTGTTGTACTTTTCAGCTCCCAATTTTTTTTAACTTCTTGTGAGGTTTCCTATCCATTGAATTTTTTTCATTTTGTTCATATATCATTTTCTTGACTTTCTCTATATCTTCCTGTAGTTCTTTGATCATTTAACACAATTATTTTAAAGTCCCTCTGTAGCAGATCCACCATCAAGTCATTTTAGGGATTTCATATTTTCCTTTGGACAAGACATAGTTTCTTAATTTTTTGTATGAATTGTGATTTTGGATCTAATAACATAGTAACTCTAAAAATTAGATTCTCCCTCTTACTGAGAGTTTGCGGTTACTTCAGTCAATGATTTTGCTTTTTATATTGTCATAAGAGGATTCTGTTGTAGGCTATCTCTGTGCCAAGAATCAGTCTGAAGTGTAAACTTAAAGACTGTCTTTTCTAAGCCTGTGCCAAAGGAAAGGCAAGGCACAGGCTTAGAAAAGACAGTCCTTAAGTTTACACTTAGTAACTTAGTCATTTTCTGATTGTCACCATATGTGCAGTTACTTTGAATGCCCTACTTTTTAATGTCTAGCTGTCAAAGGGGGAAAAACAGAAAAATAAAGTAGGAGAAGGGCACTGGCCCTTTTAATCTTCTGGAAGTCACTTCAGCCAGCAGGGAGGGGCTTGCAATAATGGATAGAGGTGCAACAATAACCACTCACCTCTTTGCGTCCATCTTTGTGACCAGAAACAGCAATCAGCAATCAGAGCAAAGATTGCCGATATTTGGATGACAGGTCCTTTTTTTGCCCACTCTGGTTCCTGCATGCTCTGTGCAGACTGCTCCAGTAACATGTGCACAGCTGCCTGCTACAGGGGTGACTGTGGGAAATGGGTAGCTACTACTGTGGTTAAGTGCTGAAATTGACTGAAATTAATCATAATTCGCCATGCAAGCTTTCCCCTAGAAGTTGCAAGCCTTTAGTAGATGTCAAAAATCCAAAATAGTTATATATCAGACAGATTCTGCCAGTACAATTGTTCTCTAGGTGGGAAGACAGATTCCTGGTGCTTCCTACTCCACCATATTTCTATAACTATTTCTCCATAATGTTTTAACTACTGTAATTTTGTAATATCCTTTGAAGTCAGGAAGTGCAGGACCTCCAGCTTGTTCTTTAGATTGTTTGGGCTCTTTTTGGTTCTCTGCGGTTGCATATGAATTTTAGAATTGCTTTTTCTATTTCAGAAAAAAAAAACAGCTATGGGTATTTTGATATGGATGGTATTTAACCTGTGGATAGCTTTAAGTAGTATGGACAACAATATTAAGTCATCTAATTCATGAATATATATGTCTATTTATTACCATCTTTATTTTCTTTAGAAATGTTTGTAGTTTTCAGAGAACAAGTCTTTAGTCTCCTGTTAAGTTTATATTTCTATGTATTTTTGATGCTATTTTAACCCAATTTTTAAAAATTTCCGTTTCAGATTTATGTTAGTATATGAAATCACAACTGATATTTGCATATTGATTTTGTGTCCTGCAACTTTGCTGAATACATTTATTAATTCTAGTAAGCTTTTTTATGTGGAATATTTAGGATTTTTTACATTCCATTTCTTTATTCCCTCTTTGCTCTATAAAGACAACACCATAAGGGTTTCATATGCTAAACATTCAAAAACACTTCTTTAAAAAAGCTATCTACTATCAACTGCCTCAAAGCCATCATTGAGATATTAGCTGAATATAACAGTTATTACATCATTTAATTTCAGTGTCAAAGCTTTACTTTCTTCATATAAAAAAAAACTATTTGAGTGTCTTTTTAAATAAATACACATGCATACCCACACATATCCTAGGCCGTTAAATTTTAATTGGCCTGGTATACATTAGCCATTTAGGGGGTTCCCGCTCCCAGAGATCCCATATTAACATGTTTGGAAAAGTCTGGTATTTGCATCTTTGTAATGCAGTGGCTATAGACAAGCAAAAGTTAAAGTCTACAGCTACAAATCCAAACCTATGGTACACCAAAGATGTATAAGCAAAGGCCTTGCTCAATTAGTCTAAAGATTTATCTGGGCATAGATTTTTATTTTCTGTCACCTAGGCTGGAGTGCAGTGGTGTGATCTCAGCTCACTGCATGCAACCTCTGCCTCCTAGGTTCAAGCAATTCTCCTGCCTCAGCCTTCCGAATAGCTGGGACTACAGGAGGATGCCACCACACCTGGCTAATTTTTATTTATTTATTTATTTTTTTGAGACGGGGTTTTACCACGTTGGCCAGGCTGGTCTTGAACTCCTGACCTCAGGTGATCCACCTGCCTCGGCCTCCCAAAGTGCTAGGATTACATGCATGAGCCATCGTGCCTGGCCCATAGACTTTTTTCTTTTTTTTAACACCTATTGGATTGCTAAAATTACTTATGTTTAAATATTTTAACTCCTCTGTGGAAGGACACTACTTTGATTTGTTATGTTCACTCTGACTGATATCTGAGGCTGGCCTCAGGGGTCTGCAGATCTAGTCCTACTCAGCCATTTAAGTAGCTGCATAATCTTGGGAAGATTTTTAAACTATTTCATTAGATAGGGATTTTCATATATAGGTATATAGATATTGATATATTTAGATGGTTAAATGCAGCCACAGGGACTGCAAATATTCTTTTCTACTATTTTATAATATTTTATCATATATGTCTGAATAATTTGGTCACAGAACTTTATTTTCTTGAGTTATTACAGATTCCTCTCTATTAGTTACATATCTCATGCAGTGCTCTTGGGTATATCTTTCTAATATCTACTAAAGTCCACTGCCTATCATCTTCACTGTGACAGCTATCATCTCAGTCATCATTATCATCAGCTTGAAATTTCTGTTTGCTTTTTAACTTTCTATCTTCTCCATTAGAATCTATGCTCTACAAAAGCAAACCCTGTCCTTGTTACGATTCTATTCCTTGTGCCTAGGACAGTACATGAAACACATTAAAATGAAATGATAAAAAAGAGTAGTTTATCTTTCACAAAAAAAGTGCAATGTATGGCATATTCTCACAAGCAGAATTAAACTTTGTGTTTGAGATGTTTACTTTTTTAGTGGATCACTTATCTATATATTTCAAAGGAGAAATGATGTCTCTACCAGGATTTTATTTTTTTAATAAACAATGTTTTTCATATTCCATTACACAGACACCTATGACTTCACATTTTCTATATAACATGATATCAGTCAAAACTATTTTAAAATACTTAACTTGAATAACCAGAGACAAACATTTAAATTTCAAAGTAGAATCACTATCTTTCACTTATTTCTCTAAACTGTGATGCATGGATTGATAACCCTGGAATAAAACATCTTTTTATTTCAAAGACTTCATAACACCAACATAAAAAAATACACTGAACCTGCAAAATGCACCAAATATTCTTGCCAGTAACATGTCATTATAACATCAAAAACATCGAAATTGAGTATTACTGACACAAAGAGTTTGTTGTTATCATTTGATCCCTATGCCTTTTTGTATATTACATCTCAGTACCTTTTAGACATTTAGAGATTCAATAATGGAAACCTAGAATTACTTAGGAAATAGTAATTACAGGTTTGCAAAGATTAGATTGCAACCTCCAGCAGAAAGCTCAAGTGCCAACAGCATGATATCACTATTCAACTGTTTCTTATAATAAGTTGCCTTCGGAAAGTCAGCAGGTGAAATCAAAATCACATTGCTTAACATGTCTTAAGGCCTCTACAGTTAAATGCAGCTGAGCACACACCAGATGATTTTACTCCAACTAACAGGCTTTCTTGCATTCATCAGGTGAATGAGAAGAAACTAGTCATTGGGCTGTGATACATTAATTTTATTTCATTTTGACTAATGTAAGACTATCGTAGGTTTCATATTTATTTTAAAATATGAAAGTTTAAAATATGAAAGTTTTTTAATATTTATGAAGTTTACAAATTTAGATCTCATAAGCTGTCATATGTTTAATATGTTTCTGCATTGTTTTACATCAATTATGAAGCTACACTGACTAGACATAATCTTTAAGTACTTGTCATGAAAAGCACATTAGACTAAGATGAAGCTAAAATGAGTTTTTATATTTTATTATAACACTCAACTAGTATAGAAAAATAAATAAAAATGAGCAAATCCTCATTTTCCAGCTCCACATCACTGCAAATATAAATGCTTTCAAACTATAAGCACAGTGTTTTCAGGCCTTTGTCCACATTGACAAGAGTAAATTAAGAAAACTAGCCTCAATATTTTGGTAAAGGGTAGTAAGCAAGTGAAATAAAATGCCTCAAATTTGTCTTTCTGTTCTAAACTTAGTATCTGGTATGTCTAAAGATGTGGTTCTCAAATTTTAAGATTCATAAGGATCACTCAGGGAGGTTCACAGAGATTATTGGATTTGATCTGAAGTCTAAGAGTTGGAACAGGCCTAATTATCTTAGTTTTTGACCAGGATTCCAGAGAGTTATAATAGATCACCTTTTGATAAATACTAGGTTAGAATTAACTCTCAAGATATCTCTGTGTCCAGTGAGCTGCAGACTTTGCTTCTAACCTATGTCACGGCTTGCTGAACATGCAACTGGAATTATCCTTTTGTTTCTTGACTGTGATTTATCATTCTTATGAAGGTAGAGCATTTTCCTGATTCCTGATAATCTGGCCATATCTACTCAACCCTTTTTCCTAAGACCACACATGTCTTCATGTTCCTAGTTAGGTCTAAGTCATTCATGCCATCTACAATTGCAGTGATGGTACCAGTCAATCTGCAAGTATCCTCACCTGTCCTGGAAGAACCTGCTGCCATATTACATCCACACTGTACAGTGTTGACTATACTACTATTACTCTCTGTAGTACTAGTCCTAGAGCTATGTGAGGTACCTGATCCTGGGTCCACCTGTTTACAGTTTCCTGCTTCTTCCCTACCTGTAGCTACTGGGACTTCAGCATGCCTGAAAGTATTACATGAAACTAATGTCTTAATCTGAATATACATTCTAAAATTATAGAATAATTACATGACATATAATAATTCATACATATATTAAAATTGCTTTATAAAAGGCCTGGCCTGAGAAATATCTTATAGAACCATAAATAATCTGGTGGTATCCCACAAACAGTTCAGTGATTTCTCAGCAGTGTCAAATTTTCCTATGCACTTATGAGAAAGAAAGTAGTAAGATAAATAGCATAAGATTGAAAAAATAGGCTGGGCGCAGCAGCTCACACGTGTAATCCCAGCACTTTGGGAGGCCGAGGCAGGCGGATCACGAGGTCAGGAAATCAAGACCATCCTGGCTAACAAAGTGAAACCCCATCTCTACTAAAAATACAAAAAATTAGCCGGGCGTGGTGACGGGCACCTGTAGTCCCAGCTACTCGGGAGGCTGAGGCAGGAGAATGGCATGAACCTGGGAGGTGGAGCTTGCAGTGAGCTGAGATCACGCCACTGCACTCCAGCCTGGGTGACAGAGCGAGACTCCGTCTCAAAAAAGAAAAAAATTGAAAAAATAATAACTTTTTGAGTTAGCATAGAATTGACTAATGAACTTCAGTATATATAAATACATGTAAAATATTTAGGGAAAACAATCTATGAACATAAGACGATGGTTTGTAAGCTTTTATTCATTGGCTAGGAAAGGGAACTGGAGTCTCTCTATACTGTTCCCTTATTCTACTGCTAACTGAATAGTCAACAAATTGATAGTCTTCCTAATCTAGGTTTTGGAAACTCCCCCACCACACCGGAAAAGCATTAGCCTATTCATTAATGTGAAGTATAATTAGTTGTGTTTTAGTGTACTGTGTAGCTTTTTGTGCTTCACAAAATACAAAGCAGAGAAAAAGAGTAAGAAGGCAGCAAATACAAAACCAAGGCAACAGAGGAATGTCAGTAAAAGAAAGTGAAACTTTTGAAAGATCAGGCATTAAATGACCATGAGAAAAGATAAAATCATGAGTAATTCGATAAGGCCTTTATTTTCCGATCTCACTATGTTTAAAGAAAGCTTAAAACCTTAAGCATTTTAGAAGTTTTCAAGAGAAAGAAAATGTACTATTTATTATAACTACAGAAGAAACACAGAAGTGGAGGAAAGAATGGTAGAGGAGAGAAAGGTCAGGGAAGATTAGCACTGATAATATCTTACAAAGAGGGGAGTCAAAAATCATATTTCTAGAGCTGATGGAAAGGTGATAAAAGTACATATTATTTAAATTAAAAACATAATAAAGAAATTAAAATGGTGATATAACTACATTGGGTGGCTATGGGGAGAGGAGCTGGGAAGAAGGTTAAGAAGACAAAGTCCTTATCTAGTCTAGCAGAAAAATCAACGGAATATGTCTCGCATGAGAAAATCATGATTGTTGGAATACGTGTGTTATTCAGAGATATGAAGTAACCACCAAAATAACAAAACCCAGAAAAATTAAAAAGCAATTGTTTCTAGCTACGGCAATTTGGAGTGGGAGTAGTGGGGCCAATAAATTGCTACCTTTAATTATAGGTATCACCTTTACTTTTTCGGTTTAGTTTACAGTTTTGATTTAATTTGTTATGAATTGTTTCCAATTTGGTTTTGTGGTCTCTCTCAAGACTGGCCATAAGCTCCAGCCCTGTTCTGACCTGGAAAGTAAAAAAACTGGGCCTGAGAGTTTGTAGCATGCCTTTTTTGGGCTATTTCTTTATCCTGATGATGGCCTAATGCCTAAGTATCTCACTGTGACCAGGTCGTCCTTTCACAGGAAACTTGTTTATACAGCAGATACCCTTGTTTATTCTTGTCAAGACAGCCACTGCCCAAAAGAGCTCTGGCTGAATATAAGGTTAAGTTCAGGCGTGCGTGTGCGTCAGGGGAGACACAATAAGGAAGTGAAGCCACAGTGCAGAAAATAGAAGATATTTATTACTCACAGATTCCAGAGAGGTTGGGGTGACAACAGGAGGCTGACGGTAAGACTGGAGGTGGCAGGGAGTTCACCCAGTGAGCAGGAAACGATGGAGAGAACCTGGGTGGCTACACCATTATTAAGGCCTATGAGTGTTACCACTTAGGCTTTCCCTCAGAGGTTGTGGATTAGCTGGTTTAAAGAAAACACGTGTGAAGGGAGAACTTATTTACATTATTCTAATATTGAACACTAGGTTTTCTCGTGATTAGCAGCTGTGGGGTATGTTGAGTTTAGGGTCAGTGGGATGAGGAACAAGTGGGCTATATTGCAAGCAACCATACGTGGAGGAGAAATTTTAACTAGGTTATGACCAGGTTTTAAATAACTATGTCAGCCCTAAAAATAAATGTAGAGGCAGCAACTATAGTAAATAAAATTTATAACATTTACCATATAAGTACATTTTCTTTAGTAAAAAAAAAAATTAACAATTGAAGTAAATAAAATTTAAAATATATTATTGTTAATTGTATCAATTAAATGCAGAGACCAACTACATTTTTGTAGTATAAACATAAAAAATGCATTATGAAATTTTAAATAACTTTCTGAATCATATTGAAGGCTGAAAACAGACTTTACATTGCATTTAACAGAACAACTGTGAGGGTCACAGAACTAGATGACCCAAGGAGTTAATGTATCATCGGTGGTCCAGAAGCTGGCCATGATTAGGAAGCTGTTATGATGAGGATGCAACCCATATTAAGGGAAGCATTATTCTGGTAAGACACTCTACAGATATCAGATAATTCTATCAGGAGTCTGCCAGCAGAAAAACCTTAGAAACATAGCCTAGACTGCTTTCCACCTTCCACATTTTACTCAAGTGCATCTAATTGGCAGAACCCAAATTATGAACAGAACTCAAGCTTCAAGTGGTCCTAGGAAACAGCCTGTGCAGCACAAAAGGTTGAATAGAGAGAGGTGAGGAAGTGACTCAATTCACCATCCACTATGACCAACGCCTAAACAAAGGAACATGAATTTTTAATCGATTGGAATTTACCAACAAGAGAACCTACCATCAAAGAGAATACAATACTTGTAAAAACATCAGTAAAAACTATATTGTAATAAAATATTATTTTAATTTTGGACAAATAGCTTTCTATAATAAAAATTCATATATTCCATTTCATTCATTTATAAAAGTCACAGCAGATAACATAAAGGTATGCTTTAATTTCTTCATTTGAAATTGTGATACATATTTCGATGTAACTCTTGTCATTTTACACTGTTTCAGGTAATATTAAAATTGAAGTTAAATTGTCTCTTTGAATGCAGGCAGCTGGCATTACTAATCTTGTTAAGGCAAATATGTGCTTGCATAACTGTAGCAATGTTAATCTTTACAAATACTTTGTATAGTGCTTTCTGTGTTTACCACCTTAACAACTCAGGTTTCTTGGAGTACTTGTCCTGCAAAGTAAAAATTAATTCTTATTTTGATGCCTATTAGTCGACATAGTTATTATTTCCAGGATACAATAAGTACTCCACTTGGCTTACTGTAAATACACAAAATATTGAATAATGCTGGGCCTCGGGATACAATGCAACAGGGCTAGATAGGTTTAGGTGTGGAAAACAAGATTAAAAGTACCTCAACCAGGGTTTTACTGATAATAAGTCATGGATTCTGCTACAAAATAAAACACATTTATTGAGTGTCTACATAGGCTCTTATAGTGTAAGTCATATAAAAAACAGGTGAACTTATGGAAAGAATTGGTCAAGAGAAAACTCAGTCTTTAAAATAAATTTATAGCCTAAGTAAAGAAATGACAAAAAGGAAAGAAGGAGAACAAAATAAAATCAAACTTATAAAAAGAATATCTAGGTAAGATTCAATAAACTAGGATATTTTCACTAAAAATTATAGCTAAATAGCCAAGATCTTTAGCTTAAGCAGTTTAAATCTAAGTTTGTTTTATTTAAATCTATAGTATACAACATATTCTCATTTCAAGTGAAGAACCATAAACTGATACTAGACACTACTTCAGCTATATGGAGGACAGAGATTTAACGTAGCTTTTCTCTGGGTGCTATCAGGACCATCAGTTATCTGCCCTTGTCACGTCACCCTTACAAGATCCTGAAGCTTCTAATCTACCCCACCTAGCACAGATTCACAGGTCAGGGATAGGAAAGCTTGTTTGGATAACTGATAATGAAATCATCAAATTTCATTTATGCTGCCAGGATATGTTAACTGGGAGAATACAGAAAAATATAAAATGGCCATTAAATACAATTATATAAATAGATTTATATTAAATATAAATGACCATTAAACATAAATATAAATATAATAGCAAAAGAAGAAAAAGTAGAAAATAAGTGGGAGCAAATAAAGTTTTTCTGAGTGTTTTTTGTTTTGTTTTGTTTTTGTTTCTGTTTTTGTTTTTCTGAGAGTCTCACTCTGTCACCCAGGGTGTAGTACAGTGGCGCGATCTCGGCTCACTGCAACCTCCGCCTCCCGGGTTCAAGCAATGCTCCTGCCTCAGCCTCCTGAGTAGCTGGGACTACAGGCGCCCGCCACCATGCCCAGCTAACTTTTGTATTTTTAATAGAGACAGGGTTTCACCTTGTTGGCCAGGATGGTCTCGATCTCCTGACCTCATGATCCCCCTGCCTAGGCCTCTCAAAGTGCTAGGATTACAGACGTGTGCCACCACGCCCCACCCTGAGAGGCTTTTTAACAGGTAAAGAATGAGGCAAATGAAAGTATTTTTTCACACAGAAAAAAACTAAAACACTGTTGTTTTTTACTTAAGCCCTAAGAAATTTTCTATTTATATTACATATCTAAAAAAGAATTAAATTGATCATCTAGGTATTAGTAATTATATCACATGTATTGATTTCTGAATTTGGGAAATTACACAAGATTATGTATAATAGTCCTTACGCTTACTTTCAGATTTCCTTTCTTATTTATATGTTAATGAATGATATACATAAAAATAAACACAGTAAACATATCCAATTAATAACTTTCAGTAGCATGAGCTATTTTTACATATTCTAATAATATTTTACAAAGAACTAATGAAATAAAACTTATTAATTATTTCTTCATTTTTTTTCAACTTAATAAAAAGAGAAAATATAGACTTGGAAAAGAACATAAACTTTTAATGCAAATTTACTTATATCTTTTTAAAGACATGTATATACTCCTATTTGTGTTTTATCTGAAAGAATATGAACAAATGTTCATTCCAGTTCTATGTATTAATCATACCTGAATAAAAGTGCTTCTGAAACATGCACAATGAAATATTTTTTCATTTAGGAATATGTTCCTTTTAAAAGTATTTCATAAAATATTCTTGAGGAAAACAACTCTATTTTTCGTAACCTGAAATTCATGAACTATGCTGTTAACAACTCTATGTCTATTTTTTGTAACCTGAAATTCATGAACTGTGCTGTAAGTTTATAATGGATACTGGAAGAAAAAAAAGAATTGATACATTTTTAAATAATCCAAAAGGATTAAGTCAATAACTTTTTTAAAGACAAGGGTATTATTAACAATAATCGTCCAACTTGAATAAATTAATTGCTATAGAACCCTGAGTTTTATATGGAAAGCAAAGGTGAAAGTTCAGCTGTCTCAATAGCATACTTCTGAATGACAGAATATGTTTTATTGTGGCAAGATTTTGATCATCAGATGAACTGATTCAAACGTTACAGACAAATAAATGATCTTTCTGCTAAACCATAGTCATGTATCCCTTAAAGACGGTGATGTATTCTGAGATGGTATCAAGACGGTGATGTATTCTGAGATGGTATCCTTCTTCGAACATCATTGAGTGTACTTATACAAACCTAGATAGCAGGGCCTACCCCACACCTAGGCTATATGGTCTAGCCTGTTGCTCCTAGCCTACAAACCTGTATAGCATGTTACCATACCGAATATTGTAGCGATAGTAACATAATGGTAACTATTTGTGTATCTGAACACAGAAAATTTGTGCAAAAAATACAGTATAAAGATAAGAATGGTATACCCATATTGAGCACTTACTATGAATGGTGCCTACAGGACTGCAATTTGATCTAGGTAAGAAAGTGAGTGAGTGGCGAGTAAATGTGAAGGCCTAGGACGCTAGTGTACATTACTATCGACTTTATAAACACTGTACACTTAGGCTACTCTAAATTTATAAAAAATATTTTATTAAGTAATAAATTAACCTTAGCTTTCTATATTTTTACTTCATAAATTTTTTAAAATCTGTTTTGTTCTTTTGAAATAACACTTAGGTTAAGACACAAACATGTACAGCTATACAGAATATTTTCTTTATAGATTTCTTTTATAAGACTTTTTGTATTTTTAAAAACTGTTATCTTTTACTGCTTGAACTTTTTTGTTAAAAGCTAAGACACAAGCACATACTTAGCCTAGGCCTACACAAGGTCAGGGTCATCAATATCACTGTCTTCTACATCCACATCTTGTCCCCCGGAAGGTCTTTGGGGGCAATAACATGCATGGAGCTGTTATCTCCTTTTATGACAATACCTTCTTATGGAATACTTCTTAAAGGACCTGAGACTGATTTACAGTTAACTTTTTTTTGATAAGTAGAAGGAGTACACTCTAAAATAATGATAAAAAGTACAGTAAATACATAAACCAGGAACAGTCATCTATTATCACTATCAGGTATTACGTATTGTACACAATCATATGTGCTATACTTTTTCTTTTCTTCTTTTTTTGAAATGGAGTCTTGCTCTGTCGCCCAGGCTGGAGTGCAGTGGTGCGATCTTGGCTCACTGCAACTTCTGCCTCCTGGGTTCAAGTGATTCTCCTGCCTCAGCCACCCTAGTAACTGGGACTACAGGCACGCACCACCACGCCCAGCTAATTTTTGTATTTTTGGTAGAGACAGGGTTTTTGCCATATTGGCCAGGCTGGTCTCGAACTCCTGACCTCGGGTGATCTGCCTGCCTCAGCCTCCCAAAGTGCTGGGATTACAGGCATGAGCCACCGCACCCGGACTGTGCTATACTTTTATATAACTGGCGGTGCAGTAGGTTTATTTACATAAGCATCACCACAACCACAGAGTATTGCCTTGCACTAACACATCATAACGGCTACAGTGTCACTAGGTGATAGGAATTTTTCAGCTCTGTTATAATCTTATGGGACACTATAGTATATGTGGTTCATCATTGACCAAAATGAGGTTAAGTGGCATAAGACTGGATTAACATAGTTTTTCAGAGAGTATTACTGTCAGTAATTGCAGAACTCTGCAACTTCAGGCGGCTTTAGATGGATGGCACTTAAATAAAAGACAATATTCCAAAAGACTTCAGTGGCTTAATGGATAAAGTATGATGAAAAATACATATTTGGTTTCAAGTAATATCTATGTGTCTATGACAAAAAATATGCCAGGGGTCAGAATTTCAGTAAATCTGTTTCCCTGCATCTGACGTCCACAAGTCAAAGCATCTTAAACAATGAGGAACTTAGTCAATTAAATGTTGATCATTCATTTCAGCCAGGAAAGATCTGTAATTCTGATCTTAGCATAACAGCATGAAGCAATTGTACGAGAAATCAAGACATAAAGAGATGAAACCTACCACCTTTCTTAAGTTAAACATGAACAATAGAAAAATCTGTGTTAAAAGTGTACCATCAAATTTTATGTACTCAGTTCACCATTTCAAATAATCTCTTTTATTATTACATTCTAGTATTTAAGGTCAAGAAGTGATTTTTCAAAATCAAACCGATGTCCCTTTTTAAAGTTGATTATTATAAGATATTTTTATAATTATGGCATTTGAATAAAGCACCATATACTAAAGACATACCAATAAGGAAGTGAAACATGTACGCAAAATTCAAAGCTATTTTTAAATATAACAATTTTGGAAAATGCAGATATACTATTTTTCTTAAAAGTATGAATATATCTATAACTTAAATATAAAATCATGATATTTAATAAGTATGAAATAGTTGGGCCAGGTGCAGTGGCTCACGCCTGTACTCTCAGCACTTTGGGAGGTCGAGGTGAGTGGATCACCTGAAGTCAGGAGTTCAAGACCAGCCTAGTCAACATGGTGAAACTCCGTCTCTACTAAATATACAAAAATTAGCCAGGCATGGTGGCAGGCACCTGTAATCCCAGCTACTCGGGAGGCTGAGGCAGGAGAATTGCTTGAACCCGGGAGGCAGAGGTTGCAGTGAGCCAAGATCATTCCATTGCGCTCCAGCCTGGGCAACAAGAACAAAACTTCATCTCAAAAGAAAAAAAATAAATAGCTACATATTTAAAATATGAATGTATCAGAAATAGATCAAATTAATTTATGTAGTATAGATAGTTTTTTAAAATCATAGACATCTGCATTTAATTAATTGCATTGTATAACTGGTTAACTTTTTAGAAAAAAAGAAAAAGCTAATTCACAAATAGAAGTTGAAAACGTGAAACCATAACAGTTTTGGAAAAGTTGTGTAGGTGAATTTATGTTTGATCTTCAAATGAAGAAAAATCAACGTATGTCATACAATACCCAAAATCCATAAATGAGTATAAAACTTTAAAAATAGGCAAAATGGAATTAAAAGTAAACATGTATTTTTGTTTGAAAATCTATGAATGCCAGAATTTTGTTACAGATGTTCTTGTGAGTCACCAGAAATGTTAATATGGAAGTGGTAAAGGTGTATCTAATGGCACCTTATATGTATGGTATTTAAACCACCATATGCCAAACTATGTATCCAGTTGCAGTGTGAAATGAATTAGATTCAAATCACATAGTTATCAGCCTTTTTCCTTCTCAAAGTCTTCCTCCATCCCTTAATGATTAACCACTTCTCCCAGTGTTTTATTATTAAACAGTTCCTAATACTTCCCATTGATTTAAAATCATTATTTGTAGAGAACAATGACACAAAGATACTATGGATGATTCCATTGTCAGATGGAGTCTCTAGCTAAAAAGTATTAAAAACTAGGTAATGATAATATATTATTTTGTGATTACATGTATAAATATCTCACTAAAGACCTGACAAAAAAAAGAGTAAAGACAGAATTCCTTATTCTTAGATAACTGCCAAGCTTGGAGAGCTCAAGCTTCCATGATCACAGACTGATAACCTGGGCAGGAAGCTTGGGATGACTGTGGGGTGGTAAGAGAGAAATAAAGTAAAATCCAGTTTCCAGCCAACATGGAAAATCAAGGAGGAGATTCTCAATTATATAACTGTATCCTCAGAGGGCACATGCGACCCAGAAATATGTGCACCTACTTCATTGACAACCCAAGGAAGCTGAAAAAAAGAAAAAGCTGCTTTGGTTCAGAGCTGTCCAAATATTAATACATATCAACTGAGCAGACAAAACATCCTTCAACCTCCATAAACTACTCTCATATAGGGAGTGCTCTGGGAGGTAGCAAAAGTAAATCCTCTGAAGGAATGAATACACCTTCATTCTAGCCTCAAATATTCCCATGGATAATTTCCCAAGGAAAAAGAGATGCTCACACTAAAATATAACTAAGCATGCAAGAGGCAAGGTACCACGAAGCAGAAAAAGCAGGAATAAGAATCAGCAGAAGCAGAGATGAAAAATCTAAAAAGGAAGTTAAAATACATGAAGAACAGATTGAGTTCTAACACATTTAAAGTTTAAAAGGAGAACAGTGGGAAAATGGGACAGAGACAAGTATTTGAAGATGCTATGGCTGAGAATTTTCTAGAAGTGATAGAAGACAAGACGAGATCTAATGAACCCAAAAACAAGTTAATTAAAAAAGAAATGCGCAACAAATACAACACTGTGAAAATGAAGAGTATAGAATGTGAAAAGAAGTTTTTAGTAGTAGCCCGAGAAGACAGACAAATTTACCACAAAGGAGGGACAGTTTGACTGACAGCAGACTGCTCAACAGCAATAATGGAAGTCAGGTGTCAGAGAATTAATATCTTAAATGTCTTAATATTAAATAATAAAAGCATTCCTGTATGCTGAAAAACATTTTTTAGGATGAAATAAGATATTTCTAGGGAAAAAATAAGGGAGCACATCAGCAAATCTTCACAAAGGGAACATAAAAGATATACTTTGGACAGAAGGAAGTTGATCTCAGGATGGAGTGTAAGACACTTAAGAATAAATTCATTCTTTCACTCAATAAATATATAATTGGTGCTTCCTATAGGGGCCAGGCATTGTTCTAAGCACTAGGAAAAAATCCATGAATGTCAGTGTATTCAGAACATACATTTTAGTTGGAAGAGGAGATACAATAAACACTAAAATAATTTTTTAAAAAACAACAATACAGCCGGGCGCGGTGGCTCACGCCTGTAATCCCAGCACTTTGGGAGGCTGACGCGGGTGGATCACGAGGTCAGGAGATAGAGACCATCCTCGCTAACACAGTGAAACCCTGTCTCTACCAAAAATACAAAAAATTAGCCGGGCGTGGTGGCGGGCGCCTGTAGTCCCAGCTACTCGGGAGGCTGAGGCAGGAGAATGGCGTGAACGCGGGAGGTGGAGCTCGCAGTGAGTGGAGATCTCACCACTGCACTCCAGCCTGGGCGACAGAGCGAGACTCCGTCTCAAAAAAACAACAATACGGCATGTTAAATACTGGCAAATTTGTAGAATTAAGAAATAAGCAGCCGAGCACGGTGGCTCACGCCTGTAATCCCAGCTACTCAGGATTACTTGGAAGGCCGAGACGGGTGGATCACCTGAGGTCAGGGGTTCAGGACCAGCCTGGCCAACATGGTGAAACGCTGTCTGTACTAAAAAATACAAAAATTAGCCAGGCGTGGTGGTGGGCGCCTGTAATCCCAGCTACTCGAGAAGCTGAGACTGGAGAATTGCTTGCACCCGGGAGGTGGAGGTTGCAGTGAGGCGAGATTGCGCCACGCACTCCAGCCTGGGCGACAAGACCGAAACTTCGTCTCAAAAAAAAAAAAAAAAAAAAAAGAAATAAGCAAAATAAGACAGGAGGGATCAAGAGTGTACCTGTAGAGGTATTTATAATTTTATGTGAGGTGATCAGTGGGTATGGTAAATACGTGAGTAAATTTATAAACTAGTAATTGAACAGAACAATAAGATAATGTCTTGTTAGTATCATAACAGAATGAAATTAAAATATACAATAGTAACATGTCAGTCAGAAGAGGTGCAAATGGACTATACTAATGTCCTTGTATTCTTGAAAGGGAAGACAAATGAATTTATTAATATTCAACTAGAAGTATATAAGACAGAATCTGTACTGTCTCCAAAATTAGTAAACAATCTGTAAGTTCCAAAATTCTTAGGGAAAAAATTTAATTGAAAATGCTTTTGTAATAAAAAGGAAACCAAGAAAAGAGAGTAAAAAAAAAATACTAAACACAGAACAGCAAGTACAAAACCAGATGGCAGATTTAAACCCAAACACATTGGTATTACATCAACTATAAATTGATTTAATGCTCCAATTAAAAACAAATGAGAACTAGATTAAAAAAACAAAACTATAAGCCACTTACAAAAGACTTCTACAACACAATTACACAGAAAGGTTGAAAAAAGAATGAAAAATAATAACCATGCACATATGAAGCCAAAGAAACCTAGTGTAACTCTATAAATATTAGACAAGAGAGTTCAAGGAAAAAAGAGAACAACTCAAAATGATACAGGTTTAATTCAACAGGTAGATATAACAATTGCAAATCCAATTTGAGTTAATAATATAATCTCTAAATTTATAAAGCTGAATTTACAATATACCTATCAAGCTATTTGGCACATATATAAAATGACTAATGTAATGTTTAGTCATTGTAAAATCCCTAAGATTTTACACTGCAATAAAAATGGCCTTCTTGGAAACATTCAATTTTAGTTTGCTATGAATTATTTTTTAAAATCTGAAATCAACATTATAATCTCTGCTTTCTTTTATCTGTACTTGATTAATATAACTTTGACTAAACTTTAATTTATCATCTCTGTGTATCATTTTATTTTACTCAGCGGTTTACTTTTTTTTCCTTAGTCTTTCAACAGGTAAGGTTAACTCATTTACAATTATGATCCTAACAGATATTTGCTTCTGGTTTTTGAAGGCAATGGAGCATACTCAGACTTGGGGAGGTAGAGAATACTGATTGGATTTAATTCAAATTCCAACATATAGGAGTCAGCATATCACCCAATCTGTCTGTCCTTAACTTCCTTTATTTTTGAAATGGAAATAATAACAATAATGTATTATTAAATATACTTATACATAGAAAATGTTTAAAGTGGTGCCTGTAGACATGCGCTTAACTAGTATTTTTTATTTTATTCAGATTTTTATCATATATTCTTACTTTACCCTTACCTTTAATAAAGATTAATAAGATTTCTCCTTAAGAAACATTTATTATATTTTAATTTCTTTTAGTTGTCACATTAACTAAAGTTATGAGGCGTTAAATTAATAGTTGAATAACTTAATGCTCAGCACCTGCTGTTTTAGCCCTAAAATTCCCCAAACTTTAAAAACTCACACTATGGCATGATATATTTTAAGGAAACATAGGTTGAAAGAACAGTTAATTTCTGTTTTAATCTGTTTGAAAGTGGTTTCTATTGCCTCAGCAGTCACTGATGGGGATGGTTAGAATGCTGTCAATAAATGATAGTGAAATGGGTTCCAAGTAATTGGTCTTTCTTTGTCCATAGCCCAGCTTCACCTTCACGCCCCATCTTTACCCCACACTCTTGGGTGTTCAGCCAACAGTTACCCTTTCTCTTCCTCTTACTGACTTTGCCACAGCCTCTCACTGAGGAGGTTAGTAAGTTACCCTTGTTATTTTCACTTTACACAGTGTATATGCCCTATAACTAGTAGAAGTCTGTGGCATATGATGCCTTGCTGATACGGGACTTCCCCCTGGAGTTTATTCATTTGCTCATTTCAGTAAGCATGATGAGAGTGAGGCAAATGATGATGGCCTGAACTACAACGCAATCTACCAGAAGACTTAAAATTGACTTCTTAAAAGAAAATGTGGCCCTCTTTACAGGCAGAGCCTTCACTCACCTCTTTTTGGTAGTGAGCAGCTGTTCCTTTCTGGTCCACTCCCATTTCATAAGACATCAACCTTTCACATTTCATAAGACATCAACCTTTCTTTACAGTTTGTTACAGAAACTTCACTCAACTAATGAAGTGTCTACCTCAGATTTTATATTCCTGGAGTCATCTGTTTAAACCTCAGAATAGAGATTATATTGATTATTTTACCACTCTTAGCTCTAATTTAGGAGACATTACTAAAAATAATTTGTAATTATAAATTATCTTACAGCTACATCTCTGATGTAACATGATATTAAATTTAACTTCATTTTTAGGTATATATGTAATGTGTAATGTAATATGATTTTTCAGTCTAAGGAAAGGAGTCATTTTATAAAATCTTTATTCTTAAGAATAAAGGGACAAAATAAATCTTGGCTTTCCAAAAGAATTCATAGTATTGTTGCCCTAAAAACTAAGTGCTTCCAAATGTATTTGAAATTCAAATATATTAATACAAGTTATATTTATATTTAATTTTTCAAAGGATATGCAGAGATTTTGGCCAGGCACAGTGGCTCACGCTTTTGGTCCCAGCACTTTGGGAGGTCGAGGCAGGCAGATAGCCTGAGGTCAGGAGTTTGAGACCAACCTGGCCAACATGGTAAAACCCCACCTCTACTAAAAACACAAAAATTAGCTGGCCGTGGTGGCCCATGCCTGTGGTCCCAGCTACTCAGGAGGCTGAGGCAGGAGAATCACTTGAACCTGGGAGGGAGAGGTTGCAGTGAGCCGAGATCCCACCATTGTGCTCCAGCCTGGGCGACAAAGCAAGACTCCGTCTCAGGAGGAAAAAAAAGAAAAAGCAGAGATTTTAAATTAGGGAATATTGTAATTTAGTGTCAAAACAATTTTTTCCATAAATGATATGCTGAACTATGCTCCACTAAATAAGTATGCCTAGATTAAGAGTTTATTTTTAAAGAATTCATGATAAACTTGTGGATATCTATCTAAGTAAGGTAAGAACTAAATGAAACTTAGGGAAGAAAGAACTTTTTCAAAGGTAACAGATGTGCATTTGAGAATTTATTCAATGAATATTTATCCTGTAAATGAAATATTACTATGCAAAGACACATTTTAATTCTGAATAAAAGCAATGAAACCTACATTATAAAATAAGTAGTTATAAAATTAACCTGTTGAAGTACAAGTAATAGGGGGCCAAATTAACCAAACCACATTATCCTACTGAGGCTACGTGGGAAATAAATAATCTGAAATCAGAACTCTTCATGAACCATTTGTTATAAATTGCTACTAGGATAATAATAAGATGAGCAAATATTAGATGAGCAAATTGCCCAAATAAAACAAAAACTGACTTTTCTGTCATGAGCAGAAGATGATTGATTTTGCTATGTTAACAATCCCCAAATCACAGTTGTTTAAGTAAAAGTAAGCAAAGACTTATTTCCTGTTTATCCTATATGCATATCAAGATCAATATGAGCAGAACAGTCACTCTCTGTAACGTGGCTACCTGTGGCAGAAGAAAATGAGCTTGAGAATGTCATACTGGCAATGAAATCTGGCCAGAAGATATGTCTGTTCCAAACCCACTGGACAGAACCTGTCTTAAAGCCCTATCTCCCCAAATGGAGCCCCTAAAAAGTGCAATCCTACCATGTGTTAAAAAAGAACGGAGAGTTGGAAATAATTGGTGAACAGCATTATAACTATCATATTTTTCATACAGTATATTTTTAACTATGCTAAACTGACAATAATAACAAAAACAATAAAATAATAGTAAACTAATATCAGAAAGCAATGATAATTTTTAATGTCTTATGGCACCTCTGTATTGATATAAGTTATAAGGTATATATTTGCCATGACTTCTCATTTTTAAAATTTTATAGTGGTACTTCTCAACATTCAATTTTTCATATGCCAAGAATAGTAATGTAGCTACTGTTATGAAATAAATTAGTTTCATATCCTTAAAGGCATTATATTTTAAGGAATGTGGAAAATCTTTTACAGGTTTATCAGTCATCACTCTCATATGCTCTATCTTCTGAATAACTGGTCATTAATCTCCTACCTTGCCTAATTTATAAATTAAATTTTATCATAAGTATGTATGTTTAGGGAAAACATAGCATATATAGGGTAGGGTTCAGTACTATCTACAATTTCAGGCATCCACTGGGGGTCTTGAAATGTATCCCCCATGTAAAGACGGACTACTATACTTAACTATACTGGCTCTACAAAATGTTCAATAATGAGATTTGAGAATGTAATCAATTTACAGTCAGTAAAATAACAAGCTGTTCAATATGAATTATCTTGCACTGTAAGGCAATAAAACCAGGATATTATTTGAATGCTAAAGTTTTTAGAAAACTATAAAGTGTTTAGAAAGAGAAAAATTTAAAACTACAATGAAGAGAAACACTTAAGAAATTCAATGAATGAATGAGTGATAATTATGGCTTAAAAGAGGGGCAGAATTTTTTTAAAAATATTGATAGGTAGCAACTATAGACAGAAAAAGAGACACAACTGGGGCAAAATGTCATGCTGACAAAAATCGAAAATAACTTCTCAACCTACATTTACTAATGTTAAGAAGAAAGTATACATGTAAGAAAAAGTAATGAGAGGCCAGGCGCGGTGGCTCACGCCTGTAATCCCAGCACTTTGGGAGGCCGAGGCGGGCTGATCACAAGGTCAGGAGATCGAGACCATCCTGGCTAACACGATGAAACCCCGTCTCTACTAAAAATACAAAAAAATTAGCCGGGCGTGGTGGCGGGCGCCTATAGTCCCAGCTACTCGGGAGGCTGAGGCAGGAGAATGGCGTGAACCTGGGAGGCGGAGCTTGCAGTGAGCCGAGATCGCGCCACTGCACTCCAGCCTAGGCGACAGAGCGAGACTCCGTCTCAAAAAAAAAAAAGAAAAGAAAAAGAAAAAGTAAGGAGAAAAAAAGTTGGTACTAAACGGTTAAATGTTACCAATTATATAACAGCATAGAGAATGTCTTGAAGCCATTAAAAGTGATAATTTTGAAGACTCCGTAGAAATACAGAATTACATTAGCAAACAACAAAAAATATAAAGAGTATAGTATGCTATAACTGCAAACACGTATGCACAAAGAAAATTGGAAGAAAGTGCAAACGTGAATAGAATAGTGTGAAGGTGTAGATTCCCCTTTTTGCTGATATTCGTTAAGTTTTGTTGTATATCATAATTTTTTCTAGAAAGTTATCAGCCATAAAACTGCAATCACAATTCATAGATTTTCTATAGAAATAAAAATTAATAAAAATAAATCAAGAACCATCATCTTAGTGACATAGTGAATAAATTTGAAACTGATAAAATGTTGGCTGCCTTAATAGGGCTGCTAACATGAGTTAGTTGAAAAGATCAACAGCATTGGGCTGGGCATGGTGGCTGACGCCTGTAATCCCATCACTTTGGGGGGCCGAGGTGGGCAGATCACCTGAGGTCAGGCGTTCAAGACCAGCCTGGCTAACATGGTGAAACCCCGTTTCTACTAAAAATACAAAAAATTAGCTGGGCATGGTGGTGCGCGCCTGTAATCCCAGCTACTTGGAAGGCTGAGGCAGGAGAATCACTTGAACCGAGGAGGCAGAGGTTGCAGCAAGCCGAGATCTCGCCATTGCACTGCAGCTTGGGGAACAAAAGTGAAACTCTGTCTCAAAAAAAAAAAAAAATTATTTAAAAATATATGCACACATCAATTAGATTAATTTCTATATGCTTGGAGAAATTTATTTCTTAATTTGGTATTAAGATCTCTATTTTTATTACCCCTGTGAAACACACTTCAGTTGTCATCTTATTAAAATCTGAACCTGTAATCCAAACACTTTGGGAGGCCGAGGCAGGTGGATCATCTGAGGTCAGGAGTTTGAGACCAGCCTGGCCAACATGGCGAAACCCTGTCTCTACTAAAAATACAAAAATTAGCCGGGTGTGGTGGTGGGTGCATGTAATGCCAGCTACTTGGAAGGCTGAAATGGGAGAATAACCTGGAAGGTGAAGTTTACAGTGAGCCGAGATCACACCACTGCACTCCAGCCTGGGTGACAGAGTGAGACTCCATCTCAAAAAAAGAAAAAAAAATCTGAACCTACAGCAATTAGGAACTCAAGAATTGATGTCATCATCATTATCTTTATTATGATAATCCCAAAACATTTTATAAAATGATATAATTATTTATTCACTCTATTAAAGAAACCTTGAGTTATCATGGAAAACAGAATGACAGTGCCTTTTAAAAAGCAAAAGTAACTAATTAAATTATTGAATAGAGTAAGCACAGTGAAATGAGAGGAAACAAATGGGTTTTAAATTTTTATTAAGCTGTATTAAAATTCTACCTCAGTGACATTGAGCAAATTCTTAATCTCCATAAATATCAATTCCCTCATCTCCAGTCATCCTCATTAGGATAGTGGTATCTCTGCCTGTCATTTCCCTCATCTGTATAATGACGGTATCTAAACTTACATTTTATGCCCCATCCATAATATTCAAAACATCCCAGTTGTAGTGCTAGACAATTCTAGACATAATATATCTTTCAAATAGTTTAATAATCTTCACAATGCTATGAAATAACTGCCATGGCAGAGACTGACTAGCTATTAATGAAATTCATCTCCTATCTTTCCTAAACACAGAGATGGAACATATTTCCCACCCATTCCCCTCTTTTACTTAAGTGTGGCAATCATAGCTGGACCTAAATTCTGGTGAGAGGAACGTGGCTAAAACTAGTATGTATCACTTCCACACTGGCCCCTAAAGGCTTTTCATTATTTTGCAATTTTCCCTTATCTTGTCTTGACTAATGGCTGGATACCAACTCCCAGTGCAACCTGGGAAACAATATGAGCTTCAGTTGATGAATCGCATGGTGGAAGAAGCCAGCACCTGGACTAGAGCTAACCTGACACTCAGTAACATTCTGTTTGGAATTTATATTACTGAGAAATACTCTTCTATAGGATTTGAAACATCCTGCATTTGGGGATGTTTGTTACAACTGTCAGTATTACTTTCACCAATTCGGGTGCTATTATTTTTATTTTGAATTGAGAAAATTGAGGAACTTTGAGTTTAATAAATAATTCACAATCACAAATCTGGTAAAGAGTTGCTCCAGAATACTAACCTAAATAATGTGACTCTAGAACCAGCACCTACATATTTAGTTTGGTGATTTATAAAAGATAACCATTATTATTAATCAAATAGGGCATGCATTCTCAACTAGGATAATAGCATGTTCAAGAGGTGAAAACTGGTTTATGGGGAAGGGGTAAATTAGGAGATATTACAGTGTTTTTGGACTTCTCAAGGGCTGCAGTACATAAGCAGATATGGAGTATATCTGCAATAGTAATAAAATTTTATGGGAGAGGGAGTAATTAGGAAAAAAAAATATCTAGAAAGGCACCTTAGGGGACAATAATGAATAAAAGGTTGAGACCTACTGAAACAGGCGATGGAGATTAACAATTGTCACATCATATGAAGTACAAAGCCATCATTTTATTTTATAATTACAGAATTTATTGGATATGCTACTTTTCAAAAGTTTAAAAATAATTCAAAAAAATAAATAGCATATTGTCTGGCTTATAATAAATGCCACTGAAAACTAAAGAAATTCATGTTCATACCAAAAAAAAACATGTCCAAGTCTACATAAAATGAAAGAATGAGAAAGAAGAACCCATAGCATTCTGGTGTATTTGCATATAACCCCTTTATTGCAACTGGATAAAATTAGTTATTTAAAAGTTATTAAAAAGACACTCACCTTCAAAATACATTCCAATTCTAAAAACTTGATTCTATAAATCTACTGCAAGCATATGATTTCTGTTATTTTTTCAAAGAGCATGTCCATATTTAGCAGCATATTTTATAATAAAAGTTTTATCTTATTTTGGAAGAAGGAAAAATACTTAATCTTTGCTCAGTTTATCTTTATTTTTTATAGTGACTATCAAGAAATGTCTCAATGCTTTTTTCTCTTGGTTTGGTGGGGAGAGAAGAGTGTTAGTTTTTCACTTCTAAAAACTGACACCCAATAGCTAAGAACTGAATTTAAGATGTTAGAATTGTGGGCAAATGGCAGTTTCCATCTAGCATTTATCTCTTTTCTTGCTGGGTCCTGCTCATGGCCAGTTTCATTTTACAGTCCTTGCAATTCTTTCCTCCCATCACTCGATCAAGAATGAAAACTGTTAGGTAACCTAAATCATACCCAGGGGCATAAATGCACGCCACAAGAGTAGGCCTAAACTGGACTTTCCCCAGAATTTAGACAGAGAAGTGACAGATGTTATATTCACAGAGAATCACAGTGAGTCTCAGTGTGATGTGAACTTCTAAATCTAGTAAGTTTCAGGTTTAGTAACGGACTCCTTTCTTTCTCTAGAAACTCATTTCCAAAAAAAGGAATATAAAAGTGGCTATAAAACAGAATAAAGGACTTCTGGTTTTAACTCTAATATGCCAAGAGCTTGCAAGTTGCTCCATCCTTAAAATAAGAAAAAGTTGAACAAACTAAAAACCATGAACTTTTCTTGAACCTATCAGAGAACTGAAGTCACTAGGCAAACCATCACCCTTAAATCTGGAGACAAGAGAAACACAACAGAAGTCTCACTTGAAACAGAAGCCACTGGAACCATAAATTGATGAGGACACCACAAAATGGTAATGTTGATAAAGTACTGGAGGTTAAGGATGGACTAGCTTGGAAACTAACTAGAAACCAAATACAAGAAAGTCTTGGAGGCCATAGTCTTGGGGAGGCCTTTACATTTTTGTTTGCTTTACTTTCAGAATCCCCACGATGTTCTCATGAAGACACACACCAAAAAAAAAAAAAAAAAAAATCCCTTCATAACTCTGGCAGAAGAAATGAAGAAATAATCATTGTGAAATACACTCAGGTCTGTTCTCCAAGGAAAATCACTTTCCCCCACCTTTATTGGGATATTCCTCCTCCCAACTGGAGGAAGAAAACTGTTCCCATTTCAACCCCTTCCAGCATTCCTGTCACAACAAAAAATGTGGAACCTACAGAATGAGAGAAAATTTCTGCAGTCTATCCATCTGACAAAGGTCTAATATTCAGCATCTATAAGGAACTTAAATTTACAAGAAAAAAAAAACAACCCCATTACAAAGTAGGTGAAGGACATGAACCCTTTACATGAACAGACATACTCGCAGCCAATAAATATATGAAAAACAGCTCAACATCAGTGAGCATTACAGAAATGTAAATCAAAACCACAATGAGATACCATCTCACACCAGTCAGAATGGCTATTAGTAAAAAGTCAAAAAACAACAGATGCTGGTGAGGTTGTGAGAAAAAGGAAAACTCTTACACTGTTGGTGGGAGTGTAAATTAGTTCAATTAATCTGGAAGACAGTGTGGCAATTCCTCAAAGACCTAGGGGCAGAAATACTATTCAACCCAGCAATCCCATTACTGGGTATATACACACAAAAATAGAAATAATCCTATTATAAAGACATGTGCATGCATATGTTCACTGCAGCACTATTCACAATAACAAAGACATGAACTCAACCTAAGTGCTTATCTTCAAGGAGAACTATAAATCACTGCTCAAAAAAAATCACAGATAACACAAGCAAATGGAAAAACATTATTCCATGCTCATGGATAGGAAGAGTTGATATTGTGAAAATGGCCATAGTCCCCAAAACAATTTACAGATTCATTCAATGCTATCCCCATTAAACTACCATGACATTTTTCACAGAATTAGAAAAAACTATCTTAAAATTCATGTGGAAACAAAAAAGAGCCTGAATAGCCAAGGCAATCATAAGCAAAAAGAACAAAGCTGGAAGCATCACACTATGCAATCTCAAACTATACTATAGGGCTATAGTAACCAAAACAGGGCTACAGTAATCTAGGGTAATAGTGGATCTTTTGAGCAGTGGCTTGTAGTTCTCCTTGAGGACATCCCTCCTTCACTTTCTTTGTTACCTGTATTCCTGGGCATTTTTTTTGCGGGGGGGGCAATCGTGAATGGGAGTTCATTTGTGATTTGGCTTGCCAAGATGGATGAACAGACACATTGACCAATGAAACAGAACAGAGAACCCAGAAATAAGACCACTCATCTACAACCATCTGATCTTTAACAAGTCTGACAAAAACAAGCAATGGGAAAAGGATTCCCTATTTAATAAATGGTGCTGGGAAAACTGGCTAGCCATATGCAGAAAATTGATACTGGATCCCTTCCTTACACCATCAACAAAAATCAACTCAAGATGGATAAAAGACTTAAATGTAAAACCAAAAACTATATAAACCCTAGAAGAAAATCTAGGAGATACCATTCAGAACATAGGCACAGGTAAAGATTTCATGACAAAAACATCAAAAGCCATTGCAACAAAAGCAAAAATTGACAAATGGAATCTAATTAACCTAAAGAGCTCCTGCATAGCAAAATAAACTACCAACGGAGTGAAAAGACAACCATCAAGAGTGGATAAAGAAAATGTAGTACATATACACTATGGAATACTATGCAGCCATAAAAAGGAATGAGATCATATCTTTTGCAGGGACATGGATGGAGCTGGAGGACATTATACTTAGCAAACTAACACAGGAACAGAAAAGTGGTAACTAAATTATGAGAACACATGGATACATTGTGGAGAACAACACACACACTGGGACGTGTTGGAGGGCAGGGGGTGGGAAGAGGGGCAGGATCAGGAAGAAGAGCCAATGGAAGATGGGCTTAATACCTGGGTGATGGGATGATCTGTGCAGCAAACCACCATGGCACACATTTACCTATGTAACAAATCTGCACATCCTGCACATGTACCCCTGAACTTAAAAGTTGGAAAAGAAAAAAAAAAAAAAAAACAGCTGGACATGGTGGCTCACGCCTGTAATCCCAGCAATTTGGGAGGCCGAGGTGGATGGATCACCTGATGTCAGGAGTTCAAGACCAGCCTGCCCAACATGGTGAAACCCCGTCTCTACTAAAAATACAAAAAGAATTAGCCAGGCATGTTAGTGGGTGCCTGTAATCCTAGCTACTCAGGAGGCTGAGGCAGGAGAATCACTTGGACCTGGGAGGCAGAGGTTGCAGTGAGCTGAGATCGCGCCACTACACTCCAGCCTGGGCAACAAGAGCAAAACTCCAACTCAAAAAAAAAAAAAAAAAAAACTCAGATATAATGTAGATGTTGGAATTATCAGACAGGGAACTTAAATTAACTGTGTATAATATATTAAGGACTCTAGTGGAAAACTAGAAAATATGCAAAAATAGAAGGATAATGTAAGCAGAGAGATGAAAACTCTAAGAAACCATAAAAAAATAAAAAAATGTAATAGAAATGAAGAATGCCTTTGATGGACTCATTAGTAGTCTTGGCACAGTAAAGGAAAAAATCAGTGAGCCTAAAAATTGGTCATTAGAAACTTCCCAACCCGAAGTGCAAAGTAACAAACAAGTAAAACAAACAAACAAAACAACACAACATTGAGGAGCTAAGGAACAATCAAAAGGCATAACACATGCCTAATTGGAATACCTGAAGAAGAAGAGAGAACAGAGTAGGAGAACATTGGAAGAAATAATGGCTAGAACTTCCTCCAAATTAATGACAAACACTAAACCAAATATTCAGGAAGCTCAGAGAACACCAAGTAGGAGAACTACATCATATTTAAACTTTAGAAAACCAAAGACAGAAAAATATTTGAAAGAACCCATAGGGGAAATAATGCCTTATCTATAGAGAAACGATAATAAGAATTAGCATAGATTTCTAGTCAGAAACCATATAAACAAGAGAGTGAAGTGAGTTATTGAAAGTATTGAAAGAAAAACCTATCAATCTAGAGTTATATTCAGCAAAATTAAGTGGAAGAGATGGAATAAAAAAGTCAAGACAATCCAATTATCCCACAAAGGGCAGGATACAAAATCAGCTGCTCTTATGGTAAAAATATGCTACTGATTTCCCTATAATTGTATTTTGATCCCAAACTTCTTCTTTATTCACTATACAATACTTATGATATGTTTCATAAACTTTGCCATCAACCACAGCCACTGCAGTTTCTTCCTTAACTGAGTCTTTCCCTAGTTGGTGTTACAATGAGTGAGATTGACTCAATGTCTTTTATATTAGAAATGGGATTCCTCTGATGGTTAAACTGCTAAAATCTGCAAAGTGGACGAGCTTAATCAACTGTGAATGAGTGATTTAGGCCACTGGATATTTCTGAGAGACCTGAGGTAATTGCAAGGAACCATAAGTGGAAACAGACCATGATTTATAAATGAAAATCAAATCACTGGTCCTCTCTCTAATTTGGAGCAAGAGTGTCTGCACGTAAAGAGTTGCTCATTTTGTTTAATTTACAAAAGGAGCATCCTCTCAGTCCAGTGATAGAGAGTTCATCTAGACATTAAATATAGAGGACTTGGTCACTGCCTAGCTGAGGACTGATGTTAGTCTGTTCTCACCAAGGCCTAAAGAGAATACCTTCCACAAAAATCTGATGTTTTTGCTCTCTGATCTTTGGTGTTTACTAAACAAATGTCTTTGCTTGCCATTCCCAAATATCCTCATTTTGAAAATAAGTTATAATAAATAGGGAACATCAGCACAGTTGTCCCTAGACAACTTTACATTAATCGGTAGAAATTCTTATTTCAATGTTGTTTATAAGCTGACAGATGTAGTTAGGCTCTGTAAATATAGTTTGATCAATTCCAGAGGCAAAGGACTGAGGGCCATTGGGTCACTGTCAAGATAATGCTACCTGATAAGACTCCTTGATGGCTGACATTCAGGCTCCTCCTGGCAAAAACTAAGCATCTCAGTTTGCTCTGCTCCTTTGTTGCCACGCTAAGTCTTATAATAATACTCACTGATGCTTACAGTGCTTATATGTACATTTTATTAGCTTTGTATAGCCCTGTAAGGTGAGCAATCTAAAAGGTAGTGTGTCCATTCTAGAATTGAGGGAAGTAAATCTCAAAGAGGTTAAAGAGTCATCCAGAGTCACACAGGAAGTACGTGTCAAAAACCAGACCCTATCTTCTATCCAATAATTCACTTGTCTTCTTAAAGAATATTCTTTGGAATATTAGCTATGTGATATTGTCTATTAAAAAATTCCTGATGATTTTGATAACCGCATATTTTATATTTTTACAACAAAATAACAAAGATCCTCAAGCCTAATAAATGTTGCAAGAAATCTTTTGTAGAGAAATCCAGCATTTCCTAATCGTATTTTACTTCTGAAACAATTTTTCATTGATCACCTATTAATGTTACTATCCCCATCAAAAAATAAATAGTTTGGGACATTTTCCAGTACATCATTCTCCTTATACCCATGCAAGCACTGTGGTCAAGGCTGCCATCATTCCATCATCTTTTTTTTTTTTTTTTTTTTTTTTTTTTTTTTTTTTTTTTTTTTTGAGACGGAGTCTCACTCTGTCGCCCAGGCTGGAGTGCAGTGGTGCAATCTCAGCTCACCGCAAGCTCTGCCTCCCGAGTTCGTGCCATTCTCCTGCCTCAGCCTGCCGAGCAGCTGGGACTACAGGCACCCACCACCACGCCCGGCTAATTTTTCGTATTTTTAGTAGAGACAGGGTTTCACCGTGTTAGCCAGGATGGTCTCGATCTCCTGACCTCAGGTGATCCGCCCGCTTCGGCCTCCCAAAGTGCTGGGATTACAGGCGTGAGCCACCGGGCCTGGCCACCATCATCTCCTTTTTGTATAAAGCAACATCTTCCTAAGTAGCATTCTGTTTCTGTCCTTATTCCCTGTGGCAGAGACTATAACGTGTTCTCTAAAACCCATTTCCTTTTCCTCCTGAACACAGATTTAGACGGCATCTCCCAGTTTCCTTTGCTGCTAAGTACAGCATATGATTGAGTTCTTGCCTGTGAGTTACTGGTGAAAATAATAACCACTGCTGCTCAAGTGCTTTTCGTTTCTCTTCCCCTGACTGCAGAAAGGTAGAAGGAGGCAGTAGACACTCTGGGGGCTGAGACTCTAAGGAAGCCACAAGCTCCACAAGCTGAATCTCTCACCAACTACTTGGAACAGAATTCCTCTCTGCCAAACACATTCATTTAGGTATATAAATAAGAGAAAAAATGATTATTGCATTAAGCCAGTGAGATTTAAGAACTGTCATTTGGCCGGGTGCAGTGGTTCACGTCTGTAATCCAAGCACTTTGGGAGGCCGAGGCAGGCAGATCACCTGAGGTCAGGAGTTTGAGACCAGCCTGACCAACGTAGTGAAACCTCGTCTCCACTAAAAATACAAAAATTAACCGAGAGTGGTGGCGGGTGCCTGTAATCCCAGCTACTCAGGAGGCTGAAGAAGAAGAATCGCTTGAACCCAGGAGACGGAGGTTGCAGTGAGCTGAGATCACGCCATTGCACTCCAACCTGGGCGACAAGAGTGAAATTCCGTCTCAAAATAAAATAAAATAAAATAAAAAGTCATTCATCTAATCTGACTAAAGCACCTCCCTTTTATGTTCTTTACATGTTAGCCAGTTAGATCATAGTAAAATGTAAGTCAATTCATGTCATTCCATTGCCTAGCATCCTTAGAGGTATCCCTTATCACTCAGCTTAAAAACCAAAATCCTTGGAATAGCTTCAGCCCCATTGCTACTTTTCTTCCCTTATCTCCCAACACTCCTTTTCTCATTTATTCCTCTCCATGTCACACTAACGCAATTGCTATGTAGAAACATTTCCACGTCAGCGCCTTTGTACCAGTTCTCCTTGCTTGGTGTACCCTTAGTGCAGGCACTGTCATGGATCACCCTTTCACTGGCTTCCTGTTTTTGCTCAATTATCTTCTCATTGATTTTTTTTCTTGACCACCTTATTTAAAATTGATATCAAGCACTCAAACCAACATTAGCAGGTCCTGTCACACTCCATTGATTTATATATTTTTCTCCACAGCACATATCACCATTAAATTATTTTTAAACTTTTTTTTAAAAAAACTGCCAGTCTCTTCTGCAGAATTAATCTCCAGGAAGGGAGGTTCTTTTGCATTGTATATTTCAGTTACTACTTAATTTGTAATGCCCAGCACAAATGATTAATTGATTGAAACAGTAAAGGCAATTGTCTAGAAAACCAATATTCCTGTATGATATGAAATTGAATTATTTATTTCCTCTAGGCATTGTCTGGTAAACACATGTACTTTAAATTTCAATGTATATTCATTATGTCTTGAGAAGTTGGGGATCGTGATTTGATAATATTAGATTATTATCAAAACAACTATAAAGACAATGATTCATATCAAGATTGAATGCATAAGAATTTTCACAAACTTTCCAAAGATAAAATTCTATTATTATATGCTCAAAATTAAATTTGCGGAGTAGAATGTCTAGTGTATTATATATTGTTCACTATCTTTTGAGAATCCTTAAGCCTAAAATGAGTAAATTGGAACAAAATAATCTGACATTTGTCTTTGACATTAAGGCTGCTAATTTCCCTAAAAAGTACTCTATTTTGTCGGATTCATCAGGACCTTCAGTCTTTTGGATATTTTAAAACAATCCATATGAGTGTGATCACATTAATGAAACCAAGTAGACACTTACTTTTGACACAGCTGTTTTTGTTATTCTAGCTCTTGAAATGTTCAAAGCAAATGCCAAATACCAATTCAAGACCAGTGTAGTGTGGTGCGTATGTGGGCACATTTCTGATAGAAACCGGCGAGCTCCCGATTTATCTTCATGTTGCTCAATATTTGATTGCAATGACTTTCAGAAGCTAAAATTCTTCACTTTTTTTTCAAAGCAAGGTTTGGCAACTAATAATCTCTAACTGTATTCTCTAGCTAAACACATTAATATGCTTTGAGTATTTTGGATAGGAATGGTGGTGTTCAGTTATCCTTGCCTACAGTACTTCCAACTAAGGCAAGAAAGGAAAGGTACCTAATGAAGGGTAGGAATCAATCCAGCTCACTGTGGAGGACTGGATCTCAGTCCTGCTGGAGAACCTCTGCAGTGCAGGACACATCCCTGAGAGATAGCCAATGCTAGGGATGAGAGAGATGGGGTATTTATTTACACACTGTCTACTGCCAGTCACCGACTGAGGGTTGCTCCTGGAAAGTTTTAATGCCCCATCATTTCTGGACTGCCACATAGGTGGGCAAAGTGAACTTCAGCAGGGAGAGGAAGTCCTCAGTATCTCCTTGCCTATTATATTGGCAGTTGGGTATTAGGCTGGCATGCACTGTAGGAGTAAGGGAACGTGGGCAGAGCATTGACTGTAAATACTACAGATGTTGAGAAATGCCGAAAAAGAGATCTCTCTTGACATGGTCTCTGGGTGACAGATTGTAGGGTCCCCCACTTTCCCCCTGCCTTCTTTCAATGTCCTGACCCAGAAACACAGTGACCTAACTGCTCTGTGACCCAGCCAGCTATGTCTTCCCCTTCAGTCTTGAACCTTCTCAGAAATTGATAAAGCTATTTAGGTTGCTGTTGGAAAACACTAAAAGATCAGCCATGTTGTTACATACATAGAAACTAGCTTTGGCCCTGAGCCAAACTTCTTAAACACTCAAGTCAACTCCATTAACTCCATCCCCTCATTGCAGACATATCTAGGTGGAATATCTCTTTTCTCACTGTTGCTAAGACACGCCGCACCCTCTTCTTTATGTAAATTCCCCTAATAAATGCTTGGGATTGATTTTCCTGGCATCTAGTACCTCCTTCTTTGGAATCTCAATCAGCCCCATCTTGGGATGCTATGGGGAAGTCCTTTGTTGGAATTCTGTGCCACCAGTTTTGTAGTGACTCCAACTGCAGGTTTGGCTAGACAGAACAGAAATGAGGATGGATGGGCATTCCATGATGATGAATTTAGAATATGGTTATATCACTAAGGTCAGAGTTTGGGAGTACTAAGAATCAGATTAGTGAGGCACACAGCAATTGAATAACAAAGACCAGAGAGTTGGCTCAGTGCAGTGGTTCATGCCTGTAATACCAGCCCTTTGAGAGGCCTAAGCAGCTGGATCACTTGAGCTCAGGAGTTCCAGACCAGCCTGGGCAAAGTGACAAAACCCTGTCTCTACAAAAATTAGCTGGGCATGATGGTACACACCTGAGGTCCCAGCTGCTAGGGAGGCTGAGGTGGGAGTATCACCTGAGCTCAGGGAGTTTGAGACTGCAGTGAGCCAAGATCAAGCCACTGCACTCCAGCCTGGGCGACAGAGCCAGGCTATGCCTCAAAGAAAAAAAAAAAGGAGCAGAGTCTTATTTGGTTTTGGACGTTTTAGTCACATTATATCTCTCATGCCTTAAATTGAGAGTGTGCATACTGGCCTATTTGTTGACTGAATAAATCAACTATTAGATTTCTCCAACTAATTTCCAAATTTTCACATACTCACAAATTCTGCTTTTCCCTAATACATCCTTTGGGATGATCTGGCATGTTTTCATACTCATCAATTAAACTTAGTTTATCCTTTTTTCTTTTTTTTTTTTTTTTTTTTTTTTTGAGACAGAGTCTCACTCTGTCACCCAGGCTGGAGTGCAGTGGTGCTTTTTCGGCTCACTGCAACCTCCATTGCCGAGTTCAAGCAATTCTCCTGCCTCAGCCTCCCAAGTAGCTGGGACTACAGGCACTCGCCACCACACCCGGCTAATTTTTGTATTTTTAGTAGAGACAGGGTTTCACCATGTTGGCCAGGATGGTCTCGAACTCCGGACCTCAGGTGATCCACCTGCCTCAGCCTCCCAAAGTGCTGGGATTACAGGCATGAGCCACTGCACCCGGCCCAGTTTATCCTTTTTTTAAATGACTTTGACCTACTCTGGAAATACATGGTTTATTTTAATTTTAGCATTTTAAATATTGTCTCCCTCACTAGAAATTCCAGGGTAACATTTTAGTCTTATCTTTCTTCTATCCTTAATGCTAAAGTTACCAATTTCTGTCATTTCTTTCTTTAAAATACCTTTGTGTTTTACTCCTTCCTCCCCATTGTCATTGCTACCACAGTAACGCTCAGACTCACTAAATCATGCTTTCTGACTAGTCATTGCATCTCCATTTATTCACCCTTAAACTCTTCTATAACGTCCCAGTGAGCTATTTTTCCCAAGACAATATTTTCCTTATACTATTTCCACTCATGTCAAGTAAAAATAGTTACTTGGCTTAATGCTAGAAGCAGACCTATGTCTGTTTTCACTCCTACACTTCCCTATTCCAGTCTGTGGAAATTTAATGGGTCTGGGGAGGAAGAAGTTAAAGCAATGTGCCTGTGGTTTATCTTTCTTTCTCTCTCTCACCCTGATGACCAAGAGACATGCCAAAGAAAGAAGCAAGCTACCTAAGTAATCTTTATAAACATGCTGATGAGGCACTTCCTGGTAAATAAACTAAAGGTATTTACAGGGAAGACCATTCTTATCTATAGAATGATCTAGACAGGATATCCCTGGTTTGGCATTTTCTATAGTATACAAACCGAGAGTCTGTGAATTTTTGAAGCACAGCTCCCTGGAAATGGTTATATAAGCCCTATAACAATTTGGCTGTGAAATAAACTTGTTTCATAACCTAAAAATCTCTATTAGCTGAGGTGATCTGCAAACATTCTATTCCTCTGGGTTAGAATGCATTTCTCTTGAAGCAAAGGAAGACCTGGCAAGCCATAAAAGATGTCCCCAACCACTCTCTTTTTTGTCCATGTTTCTTGAGTGCTTGCATCCTTGAAGCTATTGGTAAAATTTGAGACTGGGTAAGCTCTCTGTCCTTCTACATTCAATTCAACAATTTGATCCTTTGTGGTAATTCAGTGCAAAATAACACCCATCTTTCCCTCAGACTTCAGAAGCAAATGAGACAGACAGAAGGCGTAGCATGGATTATAGAACCTGGCTTTCATATGCAAACACAGTGGGTTTCCTAAGATTTTACCCTGAACAACAAAGAGCAGAGAGTCAGCTCTTTATTATTAGTATGATTATCTAAATTAGTATCTAAATCCCAGAGAGGCTAAGCTGGCCAGCCACATGCCATCCACACAGGGGCAGGCTACTTACTGGATGATAAAGAGTAGACCAGAATGCTTATCTAATTATAACAAGAGCAAGAAAGGAGCTATAATTTCCAATCAGATAAGTCACTCTTTATCCATAGGAGAGGAGAAAATCCGGGCTGGAGGAAAGGCCAGGAGTGTTACTCTTCAAAATCTCTCCAAATGGAAGTCCCTGTTCATGTTCTGAATGTTGGTGTCCCCTCAAAATTCATGTGGAAACTTAATCCCCAACATTTTGGTATTAAGAGATGGAGCCTTTGGGAAGTGATTGGATCATGAGGCCAGAACCCCCATAAGTGAAATTGATGCCCTTATAAAAGAGGCTTAGAAATAAAAATCAAATCCTAAGCCCCCCAAACAACTGAGTTTCCTGTTATGAATTCTGGGCACCTATTTTTTTTTCTGTACAGCTCTGACATTTCCCCACAGAGCCCATTTCAACTGCTTGGATGGTGATGTCATCCACTTTCACTGACAATTCAGAGTCAATCTGCATGTTACACAGCCTTTCCAATATTGTCATATCTGTCTTGTATCTTACTTTTTATATCCACTGGATTGCTTGTCCTAAACCGCATCATAATCCTGATCTCATGTGAAATTCCTTCTTATTACCATCCTTAGCAGCAGGTACTGATTCCATCTCAAGTACTAGGTTCTGAAGGCCGTATAGTTTGACCCATGCTCTGCACACAACCATGTTTACTACCAGGCCCTAATACCTGTGCTCTGCATGTGCCCTTCTATTTCCTGCCCTATATAGCTAGGCCTAAAATTTTACAGTTAAAGAAGCATAGAGTAGTTAGGGAAACCTCTTTTCTAAATCTCCCATTCTACAAATGAGAGAACACATTTCAAGGAATGTACAGTCAATTTAAATTCAACTTTAAATTCAAATTTTCTGATGCTTAGTACTATGTTCTTCCAAAAAAGAAAAAGAGATACTTTGTTCTGAGTAGCTGTTTTTCATTTCTACACTCTATCCACCTGTACTTATCTTTCAAATTTGAGTTAACGTCTCTTTCATCACTTCTGTGACTACTCCTATCTAACCTTATTTCTCCCATTTTTAATTCTTTATAAGTAGTTGTTTTTCTATGAGTTTAGACTATAATTAGTTTCATTATTTGTATGTAATATTTCTTCCCCCTTGAGGGCACAAGACATGTCTTACACTTCTTTGGTAATTCCAATTTCAGTTAGTGAAATGTCAATTATGTTTAGAAAGAAAATCTTACCCGTTATAAACAGTTTTTTCTTTTTATTATTTCCTTTAAAATAAAGCACTTGTAATATGATTGTCGGTTAATCACACGCTTAAATGCATAAACTTTTATTAAAAGCTTCCAGTTGGTTCTTTTGATTCTTTTTGCTCCCAGGGAAAATGTGTGATTCTTGGATAAGATAAAGAATCATTAACATAATGAATGCATTATACCCTGATAATCTTAGCACTTCAACATTATGGTAATTAGTAATCTTGAAGTTACTAAATGATTGGCATACTAGGGTTTACTATTTGACATGTACTTTTCCATGCTGAGAACAAAATACACATGCAGTATGATTCAGTGCTGACTAGTGAAAACTATGAGTAAGTCAGTATATTAGTAATTTGCAATGAATGGTTATTACCGTTTAAAGAGGAAAAGTGGTATCATATGATTAAGTATCTTAACCAATCAGGTCAATGAAAGTACAAATTTGTCAATTACATCTATAATTCAAATTGTATCATTTCTAAATGACTAACAGTAAATATAAAATATAAGCACTTAAGTGTTCCTTTTGGTTGATTAGCAAGATATACTGCTAAAATTGGAATTATAGGCCAGGCGCGGTGGCTTACGCCTGTAATCTCAGCACTTTGGGAGGCCGAAGTGTGCAGATCACTTGAGGTCAGGAGTTCGAGACGAGCCTCGCCAACATGGTGAAACCCCATCTCTACTAAAAATACAAAAATGAGCTGGGCGGGTTGGCAGGTGCCTTTAATCCCAGCTACTCGGGAGGCTGAGGCAAGAGGCAGCTTGAACCCAGGAAGCACAGGTTGCAGTGAGCCGAGATCAAGCCACTGCACTCAGCCTGGGTTACAGAGAGAGACTCCATCTCAAAAACTAATAATAAAATAAAATTGGAATTATAATAATGATAGAAAATGTTTTAAGAACTTACTTGGGGCTGGGCACGGTGGCTCACACCTGTAATCCCAGCACTTTGGGAGGCTGAGGTGGGCGGATCACGAGGTCAAGAAATATAAATTGAGACCATCCTGGCTATCACAGTGAAAACCATCTCTACTAAAAAATACAAAAAAATTAGCCGGGCGTGGTGGCAGGCAACTGTAGTCCCAGCTAACTGGGAGACTGAGGCAGGAGAATCGCTTGAACCCGGGAGGCGGAGCTTGCAGTGAGCCGAGATCGTGCCATTGCACTCCAGCCTGGTGGAAAGAGCGAGACTCCATCTCAAAAAAAAAAAAAAAAAAAAAGGACTTACTTCGGCCAGGCACTTGGCTACATGATGTGAATATATCCCAAACCCTTCTAACATCACTGTGAGGTAAATATTTTTTTTCTTTATTTATTTAAGTTTTTAGATGGAGTCTTTCTCTGTCGCCCAGGCTGGAGTGCAGTGGCGCGATCTCCACTCACTGCAAGCTCCGCCTCCCAGGTTCACACCATTGTCCTGCCTCAGCCTTCGGAGTAGCTGGAACTCCAGGCGCCCACCACCATGCCCAGCTAATTTTTTTTTTTTTTTTTGTATTTTTAGTAGAGATGGGGTTTCACCATGTTAGGCAGGATAGTCTCGATCTCCTGACCTCATGATCTGCCCACCTCGGCCTCCCAAAGTGCTGGGATTACAGGTGTTAGCCACTGCGCCTGGCCTATTTTTTTTCTTATACTTTAAGTTCTGGGATACATGTGCAGAACCAGCAGGTTTATTACATAGGTATACACGTGCCATGATGGTTTGCTGCACCCATCAACCCCTCATCTACATTAGGTATTTCTCCTAATCTTATTGCTCCCCTAGATCCCCAGCCCCCGAAAGGCCCTGGTGTGTGATGTTCCCCTCCGTGTGCCCATGAATTCTCATTGTTCAAATCCCACTTATGAGTGAGAACATGTGGTGTTTGGTTTTCTGTTCCTGTGTTAGTTTACTGAGAATGATTGTTCTAGTTTCATCCATATCCCTGCAAAGGACATGAACTCATCCTTTTTTATGGCTGCATAGTATTCCATAGTGAATATGTGCCACATTTTCTTTATCCAGTCTATCACTGATGGGTATTTGGGTTGGTTCCAAGTCTTTACTATTGTGAACAGTGTTGCAATAAACATACGTGTGCATGTGTGTTTGCAGTAGAATGATTTATAATCCTTTGGGTATATACTCAGTAATGGGATTGCTGGGTCAAATGGTATTTCTGGTTCTAGATCCTTGAGGAATTGCCACACTGTCTTCCACAATCATTGAACTAATTTATACTCCCACCAACAGTGTAAAAGCATTCCTATTTCTCCACATCCTCTCCAGCATCTGTTGTTTCCTGACTTTTTAATGATTGCCGATCTAACTAGCATGAGATGGTATTGTGTCCAGAATTGGTGGGTGACCGGAGCTGGTTGCCAATGCTGGCTCGGGCAGCCTGCTTTTATTCTCTTATCTGGCCCCACCCACATCCTGCTGATTGGTAGAGCCAAGTGGCCTGTTTTGTCAGGGTGCTGATTGGTGTGTTTACAATCCCTGAGCTAGATACAAAGGTTCTCCGCCTCTGCATCAGATTAGTTAGATACAGAGATTCGACACACAGGTTCTCCAAGGCCCCACCAGAGCAGCTAGATACAGAGTGTCGATTGGTGCATTCACAAACCTTGAGCTAAACACAGGGTGCTGATTGGTGTGTTTACAAACCTTGAGCTAGATACAGAGTGCCTATTGGTGTATTTACAATCCTTGAGCTAGACATAAAGGTTCTCCAAGGCCCCACCAGAGCAGCTAGATACAGAGTGTCGATTGGTGCACTCACAAACCTTGAGCTAAACACAGGGTGCTGATTGGTGTATTTACAAACCTTGAGCTAGATACAGAGTGCCGATTGGTGTATTTACAATCCCTGAGCTAGACATAAAGGTTCTCCACGTCCTCACCAGAGCAGCTAGATACCGAGTGTCGCCTGGTGCACTCACAAACCTTGAGCTAAACACAGGGTGCTGATTGGTGTATTTACAATCCCTGAACTAGATATAAAGACTCCACGTCCCCACCAGACTCAGGAGCCCAGCTGGCTTCACCTAGTGGATCCCGCACCAGGGCTGCAGGTGGAGCTGCCTGCCAGTCCTGCGCCGTGTGCTCGCATTCCTCAGCCCTTGGGTGGTCGATGGGACTGGGCGCCGTGGAGTAGGGGGTGGTGCTCGTCGGGGAGGCTTGGGCTGCACAGGAGCCCATGGAGTGGGTGGGAGGCTCAGGCATGGCGGGCTGCAGGTCCCGAGCCCTGCCCCGCGGGAAGGCAGCTAAGGCCCCACGAGAAATCGAGCACAGCGCAGGTGGGCCAGCACTGCTGGGGGACTCAGTACACCCTCCGCAGCCACTGGCCCGGGTGCTAAGTCCCCCATTGCCCCGGGCCAGCAGGGCTGACTGGCTGCTTCCAGTGCGGGGCCCACCAAGCCCACGCCCACCCGGAACTCCAGCTGGCCTGCAAGCACCGCAGGCAGCCCCGGTTCCCGCTGGTGCCTCTCCCTCCACACCTCCCTGAAAGCTGAGGGAGTGGGCTCCAGCCTTGGCCAGCCCAGAAAGGGGCTCCCACAGTGCAGTGGGGGGACTGAAGGGCTCCTCAAATGCCACCAAAGTGGGAGCCCAGGCAGGGGGGGTGCCGAGAGCAAGCGAGGGCTCTGAGGACTGCCAGCATGCTGTCACCTCTCAGTATCTCATTGTGGTTTTGGTTTGCATTTCTCTAGTGACCAGTGATTATGAGCTTTTTTCATTTGTTTATTGGCCACATAAATGTCTGCTTTTGAGAAGTGTCTGTTCATATCCTTTGCCCACTATTTGGTGGTTTTCTTTTTTTTTTTTTTTTTTTTGTAAACTTGTTTAAGTTCTTTGTAGATTCTGGATATTATCCCTTTGTCAGATGGATAGGTTGCAAAAATTTTCTCCCATTCTGTAGGTTGCCTTTTTAACTCCGGTGATAGTTTCTTTTGCTGTGCAGAAGCTATTTAGTTTAATTAGATCCCATTTGTCAATTTTGGCATTGTTGCCATTGCTTTTCGTGTTTTAGTCATGAAGTCTAAGCCCATGCCTATGTCCTGAATGTTACTGCCTAGGTTTTCTTCTAGGGTTTTTATGGTTTTGGGTCTTATGTTTAAAACCCCATTTTGTAAAATGGAAAGTAAGACACTCAGAGGTTAAATAATTTTGTAATCTGTATCTTGCAAAAAGATCAGTTTGTTACTATGTATTGCTACATCTGTGTCTATTTATTTTCCTATATTTTAGGGATAATACTACATATTATAGGAGTTAATAGCAGATAATGGATGTAAGATGTCTAACATAGTGAACAGTATTGAAGTAATGTATTTAGAATACTTCTGCTTTCCTTTCTTCCTGTTTATCTTTACTGCTCAAAATGTGGTCCCCTGAAGACCATCTGGAAACTTGTTTAAAAAAAAAAAGAGTTTAAGTCTCCGGACGTTCTGAGTCAGAATCTCTACCTTTCAAATATTGCCAGGTGGTTAAATTCACACTGGAGATAGAAAAGGTCCTACTTTTGCCGGGCGCAGTGGCTCACACCTGTAATCCCAGCACTTTGGGAAGCTGAGGCGGGCGGATCACGAGGTCAGGAGATCGAGACCATCCTGGCTAACATGGTGAAACCCTGTCTCTACTAAAAATGCAACAAAAATTAGCCAGGCTTGGTGGCGGGCGCCTGTAGTCCTAGCTACTCAGGAGCCTGAGGCCGGAGAATGGCATGTACCTGGGAGGCGGAGCTTGCAGTGAGCTGAGATGGCAGGCACCACTGCGCTCCAGCCTGGGCGACAGACGAGATTCCGTCTCAAAAAAAAAAAAAAAAATGAAAAGTTTCTGCTTTTCACAGTTGAGTTACGTAGGGAGCGAGTACAGCAGAAAGAAGCTCTCTATGGATTATGCATTCGACCTTACAGAAACAATTAATTATCTTTTTATTTTTATTTATTAAACAACACTCCTATCTTTACAGCTCTAAGCCTGTCAAACAATTTTATCAGGAAAAAAAATAAGCACAAACTATGAACCAAAGGATGTGCAGGAAAGCAAAGAAAAACTTCAAAGGCTCAGAATATGAAAGTGGTAGAATTCAGGAGTGCAGAGCTGCATCCCTTTTCCCCACTGAGATCAAAGAACTTATTTTCACTTGTCAATACATTTTAATTCTGGCTATGTGTAAACTCCAGGTCCTACCGATAGCAAATAGAATTTTAAAAATTACACTGATGACAGAGTAGCCAAAAAACAATCTCAAGATCTAAAAAGTGTAGCAAAATGTGATTTAAGTTGTATACGGCTAAACTTGAAGGTAGTTAGAAATGATAGGTTAAAGAAAAGAAGTTAAGTTGCCCTCAGAAGAATTATAAACAGAAGATAACCTGATTTACCCTCAAAAAAATAGTTGGTAAGTGATTATGAATGATGCCAAAACAACAGCAGTTTAAGACAATAGCTTCCTGGTTAAGGATGTTTCTTACTCTCTATCTTGGTTTAAGAAAACATAGTTGTTACTTTCTTTCTCCCCTATAATTATCTTCTTAAATCCAAATTCTGAGTTTGCCTCTAGAATTAGACAGCTCTCAATTTAGAAATGTTTGCTTTGTTTACAGTATGCACTTCTGTGTATTATTCACTGATACTCTCACATCATTTTGTACATCAGCTGTTTAACATTTCAAGCTATGCTGTGATGGAGCTGTGTATTAATCTTTAGGTCATAGCTCTATCTCTATTTTCGTATGAAGAGTAGAGTTTTGCAGCAAATTGAATACTGTATTGCATCTTCAATTTATTAATTTGAAAAATCAAAGTATTATAAATAACATCTCCAAAAATGTAATACACTTGAGATAAAAAAAGAACTAAAAGTTGATTTCATTTCAGAACCAAATTAGAGGTCATATGTAAAAATTAGAAAATAAAAATGTAGAAAATTCCCATGAAATCTTTGTTATAGGCCTTAAACAAATAGATGAGGGCAATATTAATCCTTGATAATAGTTTTATCACTTCCTACTAGATACAATAGTGCACTGTGTGGTTTGTAACTTTTTCCCACTTAACTAATTATCTGACCCATGGGGAAGGAGTGGTGTCCCAGTACCCTCCTCACTTGCATCATGACAAAATACTAGTTTTTTCAGTAGTTAACAGTCTTAAAGTACTGCCCCATTTGCATAAGAGCAATAAACTAGCTTTATGAAATATCAGCTTCTTCTGAGGAAAACAGTGTGCTTTGTGACATGCAGAAATTAACCTCAAAAAGCCATACAACTAATGTCAGGTAGATGAAAAGAAAACAGTCTAGTAAAAGATGGCTAGCATTAATTGAGATCTATAGTGTGTCAGCAATTGTGCTAATCTCTTCACAAGAATCATTTCACGTAATTCACTCAATGTATACCATGAGGAAGGTACTGATATTTCACAGATAAGATGCCAGAGGAACAGAGAGTACAACACCTTCCCCAGGATATACACACGGTGCTAGAACCCAAGCTATTTTCACTTCAGCAAACTTCCTTAGCCACTTACAGTTCATGGTGGTAAGCGCTTGTCACGAATTATCTAATTTGATCCTTACTCTAACTTTATGATATTTTATGATGTACTTTAGCAGTTTCACATACACACATGGAAATTTATAACTTAATGTTTTCTCACCTCCATATCCAATCATTAGGTCCAATTTACTCTGTCTTAGATGGATGAATGGATAGATAGATAGATAGATAGATAGATAGATAGATAGATAGATAGACAGATAGATCTACCTAACTTGAATCTTTTCCATCCATCCCACTTTCATTACTTTGTTCAGGCAGCAGTCCGCTCATAATAGTCTTTCTGATCTACCTATTTTCTTCCACTCTTATACTCCTCCAAACCAGTCTCTACAAAGAAGTCACAGTGATCACACTGAAAAGCAAATCCCATCATAGGAACAAATCATTTTAAAACTCTTCAGTAGCTTCTAACGGCCAGCTGAAGTACAAAGTAAGCAATCAGTACATTGAACAAAGAATTATAGCCGTAGAAGCAACTTTGTTATTGTCTCCCTCTCTCCATTCAAACCTACTTAGTGGGGGTTGGGTTCCCGATGTCTGGCACTTAATGAAAACTACATCATTTATCTTCTCTTTTAACTTATAAAGTAGTGATTAGGATCATGTACTCTGTTACCAGATTCGTTGGGTTTAAATCCCAATAAAATTGGGCAAGTCATTTAACTGTGTGCCTCAGTTTTCCCTATGAAATGCAGAGTGTTATGAATTTCTGCATTTTAGCATTATTATGAGGATTAGGAGGTAATAGTTCTTACAATCATGTTTGGCACATAGTAGGGGCCATGCTTGTTCATTATTTTTCTTATTATTAGGAAATGGAAAAATTTGGCTGACTTTAAAGTCAAAGATATAGTTTAGTAATTTAGTAATTATAAAAGCCCTAAACCATATGAATAATTTGAGTTTCCAATTTTGTTCAACTGTAAAAATCTCTTTTATTCCCCTTCCCTGCCACCTGTTAGCTGTTATTTCTGTCTCCCCTCTAGGGCCAAAGAGGAGGAAGAAAAAAAAGGGTGAGAAGAACACCTAAGTTCTTTCTTGACTGGAATTATTGTAAGATGGCTCAGCAATTTCTGAATGTGACAGGTGTTTAAAGCTTTCTTTCCCTTATGGGATGCTTATGAGAGTTTTTGGCAGACACCACAAAAGAAAGTTGAGTACACTAAAAATATTCCACTGCACATCCTGAGACACAGGCAATATATTGTCCTCGAGTTGTTTGTACCTACTTAGCTCCTGGATTTCTGGCTTTCCATCCACCTCTTGGAGAGAGCTCACCTCTACATTCAGTATCTGAGGCAGGATTTACCAGGGATCCAAGATCACTCTCTCTTTACTGTCATCAGTGGAAGATTTGCTAGGAGAGTAGCTTGGGTCGCTGGAAGCAAAGCTCTTCCTGTGTTCCCATAACATCCTTTTTTTCTCATGTTATAGAACTTTTGATAGTTTGTTATCATTGTTCTTTGTGAATGGTTACTAGAATAAAGCAAACTGGATAAAATGTAAGAAGAACATGATTTTATACTTTGTTCAATTTCCCCTTTCAACAGCTTCTTTCCTGTGATAGATAAAATTTCAATTAAAGTTCATTGCTTTTCAAGCTACCTCATGGTCTTAAAAATCCCAGTCCAGTCTGATATAAAAACCCTGAGAGCTAATCACTCTCACCTTCTATCTTCCAGTTTGTCTTGAAATAGATAAAACAGGAAGTCATTACAGCTTCTTTCTTTCCCTGCCTTGAATTTTTACTCTACATTGTCTCTTGAGTCCTCTGTGTGGGATGGAGAAGTGGTGAGAAGTAGAGGAAAGCTGAAATGACTGGCACAGTTGCCTTATGTCATTGACGCCCTAAAGTGGCTGATGTCCAAAATCTGTTTGTTTTTTCTTTTGTAGGGTACTTGTGACTTCTTCAGAGAATCCTCCCCTAGAGACCTCATTTGTTATTCCTAAGAAGTGATTCCTCCAAATGCAGGACACTTATAATGCCCCTTAGTACTGTTTCCAGCCTCCTTTTGCTGTGGTTACTACATCCCTTCAGCAGGACATCTTGGACAAAGTCCTATTCAAGACTTCTCCCAGTTCTCTCTCTTGTGTGGCAACCATATCCGATTTACAAGAAATATGGCCCATCCCCTGCCTCACAAGAAGTGTCCTTCATGACAAAGGCAGTGGTATGGTTTGGCTGTGTCCTCACCCAAATCCCATCTTGAATTGTAATCTGAATTATAATCCCTACGTGTTGGGGGAGGGACCTCAGAGGAGGTGATTAGATCATGGGGGCGGTTCCCCCATGCTGTTCTCATGGTAGTGAGTGAATTCTCACCAGACCTGATGGTTTTATGAGGGGCTTTCCCCCACTGCGCTCGGCACTCATTCTCTCTCCTGCCGCCCTGTGAAGAGATGCCTTCTGCCATGATTGCAGGCCTCCTGATGCCTCCCCAACCACGTGGAACTGTGAGTCCATTAAACCTCTTTTCTTTATAAATTACCCAGCCTCAGGTATTTCTTCGTAGCAGTATGAGAACAGACTAATACAGACAGTATCTCCTCGCCCTGCCACCAGGTAAGCAGGGAAGCTGTCTATCTTCTTACCTTTTAAAAGACAAACAAAAATAAAAGATGCTTATTTTTATTTTATTTTAGTAAACCATAATCTAGCTTTGATACTTTTCCAATTTCTGAGGACTCAAGTAAGTTCTCAGTATGGTCTTTTTTGAGACAGCTTCACTTGATATGGAAGGAAAGAAGAAGCTTTCTTCTTCCCTAGAGAGAAAGAAGGGCAAATGCCACAGGATGCTGACTTCTTTCAATGAAATTATATCTTTCAAATACCAGATTCAAATGAATTTTCAGCCTTGTCTTACTACGTGTAGAGGGTGTGATACTGCCAGAATAATTTCTCTTGTCATCTTTTACAAGTCTGGCTTAGATGGTGCGGCACTCTAATTTGAAGTGCAGTGGTATTTCCTGACTACTGTCTGCAGTGTTAGAGCTATTAAGTATCTTATATGGGTAGAAGTCTCTTTTTAACACTCTTGTACACTGTCACCTATGATATTTTCAAAGGATATAGAACAATGTCTATCTTGCTGATATATTATTTCCCTAGCCCTCAGCTCAGTTTCAGTGAACATAAATATTTGTTGAATAAATAATAAATGAGTGAAAATGCATTTAATTTTGAGGACATTTGCCTTGGTTTTATAGATGGACTGAAATACCTGCGGCTATTACACGTATACTTATATGTATGTATATACATATACATGTATACATACACACAAATATACATCCATGGCCATATCATTGTACATCTAGAAGACACCATTTTCCTAGGCCATTTATATTGCAGTCTATGTAAATAAATGTGCCCTCCTGAGAATGCCATTTGTGTAGATAATGAGAATGGTGCCTCCTGGAATTGTGTAAACCCTTAAAAATATACATTATATATATGTATAAATATTCTAGCATCTGATATTTAACATACTTAACTAATCACATTTATTAAATGTCTACTGTGTACTAAGCTTGATGTTAGAATACATAGTGTTAGATGTCTACAGAGATAAATAAAAATAGAAAATTGTAAGAACGGGTCGGGCGTGGTGGCTCACACCTATAATCCCAGCACTTTGGGAGGCCAAGGCAGGCAGATCACCTGAGGTCAGGAGTTCGAGACCACCCTGGCCAACATGGTGAAATCCCATCTCTAGTAAAAATACAAAAATTAGCTGGGTGTGGTGGTGCACACCTGTAATCTCAGCTACTCAGGAGGCTAAGGGAGGTGAATTGCTTGAACCTGAGGTGGAATTGCAGTGAGCCAAGATTGCACCATTGTACTCCAGCCTGAGCAACAGAGCAAGACTCTGTCTTTAAAAAAAAAAAAAGGAAAGAAAATTGTAAAAAATAAATAAAAATTATTATAGGCAAAAATATATATAAACACAGAAAATAACTAGGATAAATTTTAATAAAATGCTAATGATGTTTTGTCAGGGTCACAGGAAATGAGTTTTTACTTTACTTTTAACGTCTTATGTAAACATGCATAACTTTTGTAGTAAAAATAAACATTTTCTAAATGATCTTTAGATATTGATATTTTATATATTCAGATCACATCAACATGTATTCACCATGATATTAAAAAAAATTTTTGCCATAACAATTTATCCAAAAGTCACCATCTGATAACTGAGAGGAAAGTACATAAACTTGAAAATTGAGTGACTGAGGCAATAAGTTGGATGACTGGACCATGCTAATTTAGGAATATTGATAGTTTATGATTCTGTACAGCAAGCAAACACCGGCAGCTAAAGATTTACTTAAATAGTCTTTTACAAGGAATATATCAAATACTTAGCATATTACAAATGCACTAAAACTTTTATGGTAATTGCTATAGGTTTTCGTTGTTTATTCCTATATTATTACAATTAAAAAAAAAATTCCAGAAAAGGTTTTTGCTAAAAAGATGCTGTTTACTTTCTGTTTGCCTAGCATGTGATGAGGAAACAATATGCTCATTAGTAAATGAGTTAGAACTCATTAAATGGCCACATTACATTATATCAGGATGGGAGAAAAGAAAATTGACCACACGGTCAACATCTTAAGTTACTTCGATACCAGTATAGGCCCTTAATATGGACTCCTAACAACAATGGTATGGATTTCTTTCATTTAAAAGGTCTTGGTCACTAAAGTTTTGCCACGAAAGTAGTACCTCAGAGGAAAACTATTTTACCTTGCACATTGGGGGAAAAGCCATGTTACTAAAGTGTGTTGAGAGAATTATGTCATATTTATGTACGCCTAATTGTAAGAGTAATTTTTCAGAGTCGCCACACTAACACACCACTACAACACAGCCATACAATGTGATTCCCATCCTAATATATGTTTTTGAATATGAACATTGAACTATATGTTTGTGAAATGTTTCATTACTATTTAATACATAGATACATGCTTATACCCTTGTTCCAGAGACTTAAGATACCTTACGCTTAGTTATAATAAAATGAACTTTAAAAAGCATGACGTAATTGTTTATGAATTACATGTAATTTTATCATTTTTCTGAAGATTTATGTCATTTCCTATAACTTCTTTTTTTTTTTTTTAAAGACAGATTTTTGCTTTGTCACCCAGGCTGGAGCGCAGTGGTGCGATCTCGGCTCACTGCAACCTCTGCCTCCTGGGTTCAAGTGATTCTCCTGCCTCAGCCTCCCGAGTAGCTGAGACTACAGGCATGTGCCACCACCCCCAGCTAATTTTTTGTATTATTTTTTAGTAGAGACGAGGTTTCACCATGTTAGCCAGGAGAGTCTCCATCTCCATCCTTATCTGCCTGCCTCGTGATCCGCCCACCTCGGCCTTCTAAAGTGCTGGGATTACAGGCGTGAGCCACTGTGCCTGACCTCCTATAACTTCTAAATTTGTGTACAGTAACTTGCACTTACACATTGATTTCAATAGCAAAATACACAAACTATAATAAACTTTCTTTAAAAAATAAAATATAGCCTTTGAATTAATGATTAGCATTTAGGCAATGGTCAAACCTGTGTATTCTGAGAAATGACCTTAAACATTATGAAATCAAATATTCTTTGTCAGCCTTTGAAGGAAGTGTGTGTCACCACTCTATCTCTTTAAGAGGGACTGGAGGATGGGGCATCAGGTATATAAAAAGAACTATATTCTCCATGTTTTTTTATAACTTTTCTTTATTGGTTAGTAAAATTCTACCTGTATACTTGAAAAAAACAGAGTAAGGTCCACAACATAGCTTTTGATAGTGTTTATTTTTTCCCTCCTAGTATCTTGAATTTTTTGTAGTATGTGTCAAGTTAACAAAAGTAAAATGAACCCCTGTTTAATCAATTAAAGCTCTTTTAATCATAGGTACATGAAACATAATTTAAAACTTTGATTAACTGAATTATAGCTTGAAATATTCCATAAGTGTTTCCTAATTCTTTTTTCTTTCATAAGATATTTGTGAATTTGCAAGACTATGTCCAAATACCCCCAAATCTCGAAGGGAATGTCTTGTCCCTCCTATAGACAGACGTTATGTAAACATTATAGAAAGGACTCTCACACCTTCCTTTTCCATTGCACCTGTTACATCCATATTTCAAACGAGAAAGGATCAAAGACATTTTTTAAAATGTAGATTACTTGATGTTTCAACTTTGCCAATATGCAAGAGGGCCATGGATTGCCATGAACTACCATGGTTATTAAATAATGTACTAAATTTTGTTCAATGCCAATGGTGCACTGACAAAATATAAGGTAATCATTATAGTTTGGGACCTTTTACCAAAGTGTCTGCCCCATAAGTTTTGCTAGAGGGCAGTCAGAGAATAAATGTGAGCCCCAAAGGAACTAATACCATAATGTTAGTCTAAACAGGATAGGCCAACAAGAAGATTCTGTTATGTCTGCTGATATATACAGATATCACATCAACCCACATGAAGATCTTACTCTGCTTTCCCAGTTGTAAACCAGTAAGATGGGACATGAACTATCCCCTTCTGTTTCCCTCCACTCACTTGCCATTTAACATTTTGGGAGAAATAGATACCCCAGTACTTTTTTCCCCCCTTTTTGGATGGAGTCTCACTTTGTCACCCAGACTGGAGTGCAATGGCATGGTCTCGGCTCACTGCAGCCTCTGCCTCCTGGGTTCAAGTGATTCTCCTGCGGTGTGTGCCATAACACCTGCCTAATTTTTTTGTATTTTTAGTAGAGATTTCAAATACTATTTTTAGTAGGGGTTTCACCATGTTTGCCAGGCTGATCTTGAACTCCTGACCTTGTGATCCACCCACCTTGGCTTCCAAAAGTGCTGGGATTACAGGCGTGAGCCACCACACCCAGCCCAGGCTGGTCTTGAACTCCTGACCTCAGGTGATCTACCCGCCTCGACTTCCTAACGTGCTGGGATTACAGGCATGAGCCACCATGCCCGGCCACCCCAATACTTTTAAAATATTGAAATCTTTGACTGAAATTTTACCACTGACATACTCTTCTTAAGTGCTACTATTTCTATAAATGGTATGCAGTATAGGATATTTTATTGTCAATAGTGATCTGGTTATTTTAGGTGGCATGTTAGAAGGGGAAAATGACATACCTAATGGGAGCATTTAAAATTCATTGAAATCTTTTCAACTGATCTTTGTTTTGTACAGTTAATAAGTAACACTATATTTTGCTATGTAATATTTTGTTCATCTTTAAAACTGGTCTATGGAAAATAATATGTAGGCATTACTAAATGTAATGATATAAAAATTTTGGATCAGTCTATTTTAACCATAGTATTGTAATTTCACAGTTTTGAGAGAAAAAAATAGTTTGGTAGAAAATCTTTATTGACTTTCACTGACTCTCATATGTCATAGTATTGATTTGTAACCTAGAAAGATAAAAACATTTTCATTACTCTATCATTGTTCATTAGAAGATAAATATAGGATCTATATCTCCAGATTCAACAAATTACCAGTATTATCACACATGGAACCAAACCCCAGTATCAGTATATCAGATTGTTCTTTTCTGTTTGGGTTTATAAAGAGATATAAGCTAACAAAAAAGTAATTATAGGTGAGTTTATTAGATTTTTTTCCATCACCTTAGAAAATTAGGGTAAATATCACTTACTGAGTGAGAGTCAAGATAGTCTCTCATTCATTTATTGAATCATTCATTCAATAAATATTCCTACATTTTAGGCACATGATAGGCAATGAGGCAGAATGACATATATACATATACACACACATATATGCAGAGCACCTACTTTCATATCAATCTACTAGGGTACACAATGAAAAAATAATAATTATAAAAAAGTAAGTGCAATAAATGCTATAATTAAGACAGACAAGATGTTAGGGGTTCACAAAACCAAGTGACTAATCCATGATTTGGAAGTCAAATGGAAACTTTTGAGAAAGAGAATTTCTAATAACTTGACATGAAGAGTGAGTAACAGTGAGTCAATTTAAAGGATGGGAAAAAAGATCCAACAAGAGAGTGAAAACAGTGTAGTGCATTAGAAGAACTGAAGAAATACGTTTTTAATGGCTTGAACATGATTCATGAGGGGCAGGATGAAGTTGAAGAGGTAAGAAATTGTCATATCATGACAGGTTTTGTAAGCAGTGTCTAAAAATTTGAACTTTATCCCAAAGTAAATGAAAACCAACTGTGATATTAAGCCTTCAAGATGGTGCCTAATAATCTTTGCTTCCCGTTTTTCACATCCTTGTATAGTCACCTCCCACAGTGAAACAGTACTGGCCTATGTGACCAATAGAATATGACAGAAGTGATGAAATAAGTTCTGAGGTTAGTCACAAAAATCAGTGAAGAATTCTGCCTTGCTTTTTAAATATCACTTACTCTGGGGTAAGCTAGCCACCTTGTTGTGAGGACACTCAAGCAACCCTGTGGAGAAAAAAACAACTTGTCATCAGCAACTTGACCGCCATGTTAATGACTAGAAGCAGATTCTCTAGCTTCAGTCAAGCCTTCAAATATATCTGTAGCTACAGACAGTGAGTATAATCTCATGAAACTTCAAGCCATAACCCCCAAGCTAAGCCACTCTGGAGTTGTGGACCCACAGAAACTGTGAGGAAAAAAAACAAAAAGTTTTCATTCCGAAAAACTAAGTTTTAGTGAGTTATGATGTAGCATTAGTTAATTAATTAATCTACCAAAGGTTTTTAAATAGGGAGTGCCGTGATCCAATTTTGATTTCAGAAAAATCTGACTACATTGTGTAGAAAAACTTCAGAATGCAAAAATGGGAGCTAAGGAGACAATTTCAGTATTTGAGGCAAGAAGTGATGGTGTCCCACTAGGGTAAATATTTAGAATTGCATTAATCTTCATTGCTCCATTTACATTTACTGATATTACTTTAAAATATAAATTCTTTCCAAAAAAAATTTAGAATGATAAATATGTTTGAATTCAATTATTTCTTAGCCTTCTCGTTTAATTCAATATTCACAGAAATAACATGAAGTTCTAGAAATGAAAGTAAGCTAGTAGAAGTTTTATTCACTCAACCATTATCCTTCAAAGCTTTGCCAAATGAGGATAGAGTCCAGCACTTTTCTGCCTCCTGCCTCCTGAAATTGATGCCAGCTATTCAGCAGACTCTAACAGATAGCCCTGGTAGTGAGAACACGTAGTGACCCTGCCACCTCGGCTCCATGATGACTTCAAAATCTCTGCTGTGGTTGTGCACAATAACCACACTCAGCAGCAATTTCCAAAATGATACACTTTCTTTTGCCAGGTATATAACAATGCAACACAATTTGCCAAAGCATAAAATAGTAAAGTGCAGCTTGTTTCCTTACTTTCTCTGCAATTATCTATATTGTTTGCAAGATAGACTCAACTCACTTCTCTTTATGGCAAATATCTATTTGCCCTGACTACCAAAGCGTATGGAATTTGCATAAATCCCATATGGGATTTGCATAAATTGTAGGATTTTTAAAAAGAAAACTTGGTTTCATTGGGAGCTTGCTTAATGCTTCTTATACTTAACAACAACAACAACAACAACAACAACAAACCCTCCACCATGATTGGCTCTCCTCTTTTTATTTGAGAGCTCCAAGATGTTATAAATTCTCTTTCAAAAGACTAGATAAATGTATTGCTTTAAGGGAGTTTAGAAGTAAATTGGAAAATTAGGGGAACATAAAGCTGGATGTTAAAGGCATTTTATTTAGATTTTTGCCTAAAAAAATTTTCTTAATAATGTTATAAATGCACCAAGTTTCCAAACCAAAGTCATTCCAAAAGTTTTTCACTATATTTATTCCTACAATTCTACCTACTCTGTTTCCTTCTTTCCCCCACCCTTTCTACCTCCAGCTCCCTCTTAAGAGATGCCAATTGGAAAAAACAAAACAAACAAAAAAACCACTTTAGCAACCATCTCATCCAAAAGATTTTCACAAATAAATCAACTGAAGCCCATCCAGATGAAGTGTCCAAACCAGTGTGACACTTTAAATCAATTAACTAGTCTACTTGATTCCTTCCTTCCTTCCTTCCTCCCTCCCTCCCTTCCTCCCTCCCTCTCTCTCTCTTTCTTTCTTATTTTTGAGACAGAGTCTTGCTCTGTTGCCCAGGCTGGAGCGCAGTGGCACGATCACGGCTCACTGCAAGCTCCGCCTCCCAGGTTCACACGATTCTCCTGCCTCAGCCTCCCTAGTAGCTGCGACTATAGGCACCCCCCTAATTTTTGTTTTTTGTTTTTTTTTAGTAGGGACAGGGTTTCACCATGTTAGCCAGGATGGTCTCGATCTCCTGACCTCATGATCCGCCTGCCTCCGCCTCCCAAAGTGCTGGGATTACAGGCGCAAGCCCATGCGCCTAGCCTATTTAATTTTTTTTTTCTAATTCCTGTTGCCACTACCGTAGTTCAGGCAGACTTCGCTTTTCGTCTGGACAAATTCTACCATTCCCTTACCCCACTTTATGCATCAGTTCCTTTCATTGACTGCACTACAAATAGAGTCACCTTTTTAATCTGTGAATCTAAATGTCAGTCCATTCTTAATACTCTCCAATAACTCTTCAATGCCCAAAAGATAAAGTCCAAACTCATTGACTTGGCTTATTTTATGACCACATTTAGGTGAGAACATGAAAAAGGAAGGGACAACGCTGGAGAACAGGTAGCTTAAAAGGACCTTTATTTCTTTGTATTTGAATTATTCAGGGTTTTTTTTTTATTTGTTCAACTTTGAAAATGAATAAGTAATCATAGTGGTTAACATTTGTGGGGTGCCTACTCCAACAAATGGTAAGCTTAATCCATGCAGGCACGTTGCTAAGGTCTTGACAGATCTCTTTGAGAGACAGAGTAGCAGAGAGTAATTGTGTAAGTGGGCTGTGATGTCACTCTGTGTAGACCCCAGTTCCCACTCAGCCTATCATTAGCTATATGTTACTTATCCTTTCTTTGCCCCAATAGCCTCACCTATTGAATAAAATGAAATACTGTAGTGCCTGTAAAGCCTGACATAAAGTGAACACTTAATAAACTTTGGCTATTAATTATTCTCACAACTCTGTGAGAAAATTACTTTTATTATTCCCACTTTACACTTGAGAAAATTATCAAGGAGAACATTTCATTTCAAAATCCTGACAGAATTAAGGATGTATGTTATATTGTTATATGGCTGTTATAAGATATTGTTCTATTATAGTGCATGATTGTCTTTCTGATGATAAGGCTGCCCAGTGAATAAACACAGACAGGGAACAGGTACTGAGAACAGCCAGAAGAACAAGGGGATGGGGCACTCTCATCTTTGACTTTATATCTAGGAGAACACTCTCAATAAGTAGGTAGATCTTATGTAAGTTTCTTTTCCCACTCACAGAAACAGACGCTGAGCTGAATTTAGGAGTACAAAATATCTTGGAAGGTAATATCTGTGAAGAAACAAGGGGAATGCAGGATTGGGTAGGAGGATCTGCCAGACTGCAATGCAGATCTGACAACGTATCTGCCAGCCCAGCAGACAGCCTCAGAGCAAAGATCACCTTTTACAGAAGTCCCCTGTTGAAAAGAAATGGCTAGGTGCTTGCACCACATTCTTGCTTAGTCACTGACTGAGGTTACTCTGAGGAGAGCATGACCTCCGCTCAAGCTGAGATGGACTTGCGAAGTTCACAGATGGCCCTCACAGATGGACAATGAGTCTTTTCTTGAAAGGGGAGCTGATTGGTGCATCTCTGTGGTGTCTGCCACATATGGTAAGAGCCGTTTGATTCCTAGCCAGGAGCATGAAAGACTAGACTTCCATCAAGATGTTTTTATCTTGGGGTTCCATATGGAATTGAGGAATCTGCAAAAATACAGTGAATTATACTAGGCCCTGGGTTTGTTTCACAGTTTTCTGAGACATAATTTTAGTAAAGTCTTTAAAACGTTGGTGCTCTCTCTGCGCTGGAGAATCAACAAGAGTATTTTGTGACCACATTTAGGTGAGAACATGAAAAAGGAAAGGACAATGCTGGAGAACAGGACAGCCAAGTTCCTAATAATCTTTGAGCAAACCTGTATCAGTCAAGACAGTCTAGGTTGTGCTTCACTAACAAATGATTCCCAAATATCAGAGACCTATAACACTCAGGTTTAGATCTCACTCTTCCTCCATGTCCGTTATTGGTTGGCTGCAGCTCTGTCATGTCATCTTTTGGAACCCACTATGTCTATTATCACAGGAGAGGGAAAAAGAGAATGGCAAAGTGTGTACTGACCATTAAAACGTCTTCCAGGAAGTGACACCCTCCACTTCTATGGACATTTCATGGACCATATCACATGAGCACACCTGAGTTTCACATTGTGGGCAGGTATAATCCTCCCACATAGAAGGGTAGAGCGCGTGGATGAACACTAACACAGTCACGGCAAAACCCAAAGAGAAGCCCACCTCCTTGGGTCTGAGTGCTAGTACTATTGTTAGGCTTCCCTTCCCATTAGCAGCTTGTTGTTTTCCATGCCAATCTTAAATCTTCTTGATATATATCAACTCTAGAAATAGGCCTTTTCAAAGAACAGTCAAAATAAAATACATTTTGAGATTTTAATGTGTCAAATTACACTCCCTTGTAATTCACTGTACTGGAACATTTTGAGGTCTCAGCTTCTATGTGTCATAGATTACGGATAGTTGTATATTGGAAGTATCATATGATGAAATAATTTTGAAAAATTAAAAAGACTATACAAAGATGAAATATTATTGTGTCCGGAACTGGTGGGTTCTTGGTCTCGCCAACTTCAAGAATGAAGCTGTGGACCCTCGCGGCGTTACAGTTCTTAAAGATGGTGTGGCTGGAGTTGTTTGTTCCTTTTGGTGAGTTCGTGGTCTCACTGGCCTCAGAAGTGAAGGTGCAGACCTTCGCGGTGAGTGTTACAGCTCATAAATGCTGCATGGACCCAAACAGCAGCAGCAAGATTTATTGCAAAAAGTGAAAGAACAAACCTTCCACAGCATGAAAAGAGACCCAAGCGGGTTGCCGCAGCTGGCTCGGGCAGCCTGCTTTTATTCCCTTATCTGGCCCCACCCACATCCTGCTGATTGGTCCATTTTACAGAGAGCTGATTGGTCCATTTTACTGAGAGCTGATTGGTCCACTTTACAGACAGCTGATTGGTCCGTTTTACAGAGAGCTGATTGGAGTGTTTACGATCCCTAAGCTAGACACAGAGCGCTGATTGGTGCATTTACAATCCTCTAGCTAGACATAAAAGTTCTCCAAGTCCCCACTAGATTAGCTAGACACAGAGCATTGATTAGTGAGTTTACAAACCTTCAGCTAGACACAAAGTGCTGATTGGTGCATTTATAATCCTTTAGCTAGACACAAAAGTTCTCCAAGTCCCCACTAGATTAGCTAGACACAGAGCACTGATTGGTGCATTTACAAACCTTGAGCTAGACACAGAGTGCTGCTTGGTGTGTTTACAATCCCTGAGCTAGACACAGAGTGCTGATTGTCACGTTTACAAACCTTGAGCTAGACACAGAGTGCTGATTGGTGCGTTTACAATCCCTGAGCTAGACATAGAGTGCTGATTGGTGCATATACAATCCTCCGGCTAGACATAAAAGTTCTCCAAGTCCCTACCCGACTCAGGAGCCCAGCTAGCTTCGCCTAGTGGATCCTGCGCCAGGGCTGCGGGTGGAGCTGCCTACCAGTCCCGCGCCACGCACCTGCACTCCTCAGCCCTTGGAAGGTCGATGGGACCAGGCGCCACAGAGCAGCGCCCTCCACACCTCCCCACAAGCAGAGGGAGCTGGCTCTGGCCTTGGCCAGCCCAGAGAGGGGCTCCCACAGTGCAGCAGCGGGCTGAAGGACTCCTCAAGCGTGGCCAGAGTGGACACCGAGACCGAGGAGGCGCCAAGAGTGAGTGAGGGCTGCTAGCACGTTGGCACCTCTCGTTATCATTGTTATTACATTGTAATTGTTATTAAATGCTATTTCTTTTGAACTCAAATGATTTTTGAGACTCCTACGTCCTTACAGACTGTAGTATCCCCTTCCTATAAGATCATCTTATTTATTTATTTATTTATTTATTTTTTTAGATGGAATCTCTCTCTGTCGCCTAGGTTGGAGTGCTGTAGCACAATCCTGGCTCACTGCAGCCTCTGCCTCTTGGGTTCAAGCGATTCTCCTGCCTCAGCCTCCTGAGTAGCTGGGAGTACAGGCAGGTGCCACCATGCCTAGCTAATTTTTGTATTTTTAGTAGAGATGGGGTTTCACCATGTTGGCCAGGCTGGTCTGGAACTCCTGACCTAGTGATCCGCCTGCCTCAGCCTCCCAAAGTGCTGGGATTACAGGCATGAGCCACCGTGCCTGGCCACCAGGCTGATCTTGAACTCCTGAACCTCAAGTTATCTGCCAACCTCAGCCTCCCAAAGTGCTGGGATTATATGTGTGAGCCACCACGCCTGGCCTAGATCATCTTTTTTAAATGCACAAAGAAAAACAATGATAGAGAATATCTAAGGAAACCTTATAAAAGAAATAGAGAATTTTTAAAAATCTGTAAAAGAGGTAATGAAAGGGACCTTTGTATAGATTAATTGAATTCTTATCAATGAATAACACTCATTTTCATTTAGCATTATCTTTATTTTCCATTAGGTACATCACACATTAAAAATGTAAAAGAATGAAAATCATTTCTGCAAAGTGAGAGAATTACTGAGAAATAAATGTAATGTTGAAAATATAAAAGCTTCATAGCATGATTATCCCTTCATTAAGATGTAAGTAACATTCTAGAAAATGTTATGGTTCTAATGACAATACAATGGAATACACATTTGTCTGGAAAATAGCACACTCAAGAAATTGTAATATTCATCATTACAGCAAAAAAAGGATATAAATATGATGTGTTATATTTCCACCTCTTATAAATAACACCTAAATAATTTATGTCATACATTTTAAAAGGAGATTAGATGATTTTAAAGTGAGCTAACTTTATTTGTGAATTTGATTCATATGTAATTCAGTAAAAGAACTGCATCTATTTCTATGGAAATGGTTTCTTAAATAGAAACCAAATTAACAAATTATTTGTTTTTTTTTTTTAGCAGTCAAAAATTCTAGAGGCTCTATAACATCAAATCAATGCTTAGATTGACATTTGCTCTTATGGCATTGTATGGACCCAGAGATATAGACATTGATGTATTACATGCATGTATACACATTTCTTTACTGAATTACATATGATAATATATTACCACAAAGAGAACTGTAATCATGACAGATAGATATGTTGGAATCATAGCCTACTATTGCTTCAGATATCCAGAGAGAAATTTCCTAACAACTGTAATCATCTGGAATGCCACCATATCCAATGAGAAAACACAAGGAAGGATTCAAGCTGTCCTATCAGACTCACACAAATTATAAACCTTACTTAGTATCAAGCTTTACTGATGACTTCAAGGACAAATGTAATCAAACAGCACAGACAAAGCAGGGAAAGATCCAGAAAGACAATGACAAATTCCCAGGCCTTTCTTATCACATCAGGACACAGTGGCCCAGATTTAACAAACAAAGCTGCTATGGAATGTGCATAGTCACATAACTTACACAAAAGGAAGCTATTTTGGTATGAAACATTTAAATTTTATATTAGGATAGTTACATAGGGTATATACATTTCCAGGGGCCATGACACATAAATCCGTAGGTTCTAGATTTGTTTTCCATAAGCATACTAGACATCCTGCTGCAGCAGTCCATAGATAAGGACTCTCCCATTAGCCCATATTATTAGTATTTGCCAGGTGGTCTGTCACTAACATGTTTTGAGAAATTTTCTTTAAATTTCTTTTCTAGGGCTGTCTTTAGTTAAGAAAGGCCTGCAGGCCTGCCACTAGTCATTTTCTTCCCATCTTTACTATAAATCATAATGAAAAAGTAAACAGTAACTATGAAAACTAAGAAGCAGATCCTGGCAATGAAGAAGTCTGCAAAGAGTGGTCTGGACTATTTGTTGAGATGTGCAAATTCAGAAAAAATAAAAGGTGGAGGAGAAGGAGAACAACGTAAGGAAAACAGAAAAAATAAAGAATGTGGGAATAATGGGGAAAATGGGGGAAAAATAAAAATAATACAAGAGTAATAGGAAAGGTGAAGCAGAAAAATAAAAAGAGGAGTGGGGGTGGCAATGGTGGGCTGTGAACATCAAACGTTGTAGGAGACATTAGAAACTACTACAACAACAGCAATGGAAAAGAGAAGTTCCATGGTAGAATTACCAGCAGAAACAGAACTTAGAGAGGAAAAGAAGAAGCTAGCGATACTAATATTTGCCCACATTTATTAACCCCCTATATGCCAGGTACTATGCGTTGTACTTGATGTGCATTATCTCATTTAATTAATACAGTTTAGTGGGTTTATACTGTTTTACACATTCAGGTGGTAAATCACTTGCTATTTCAGGTAGGAAAAAAGCAAGGTCAGAATTCAAAATCAGTTCAGTGACACCAAATCCAATACAGTTAATCACTGCAGTCGGACATGAGTGTGCCATGGAGCAGGACAAGAGAGCCTGTCTTTCCAACTCAGGACACCTTAGCATGACAATAAGGTGTACAGAACAGAGTATATTTGTCCAGGTGAGTACTAAGAGTGTCAAATAGAAAGTTTTGGGAAATAGCTAAGATAACTGTAAAAGAATATGTAGAATGAGAAAAAAGTAGAGCCCTGTTAACAACACTAATAAAGCAAGGCACAATGGCTCACGCCTATGATCTCAGAGTTTTGGGAGGCTGAGGAAGGCGGATTGCTTGAACCCAGGAGTTTGATACCATCCTGGGCAACATGGTGAGACCTCATCTGTACAAAAAATAACAAAATTAGCCAAGTGTGGTAGCATGCACCTATAGTCCCAGCTACTCAGGAGGCTGAGGTGTGAGGATTACTTGAGCCCGGGAGGTTAGGGTTGCAGTGAACCATGATTGTGCCACTACACTCCAGCCTGGGCAATAGAGGGAGACCCTGTCTCAAAATAATAATAATCATCATAATAATAATAAATTTAAAAAATTGCACCAAGAAAAAGCCATGAGAAAAATGTAGCCCATAAAGGAGAATAAAGAAGAACGGTCAGAGAGCAAATATGTAATTTTTTAAAAATGTGGTATCATAGAACCCAAGGGGAGAGAATATCACCAGAATGGGGAAATCAACTGATTAACAAAGAGGTTGAAAAGGGTAGAAGTAAAAATAATATACTGGAATTAAGAATAAGAGCACCTTGCCAAATATTGAAAGCAGTTTACTAAGGAAAAAAGAAGTTGACGAGAGTTGGCAGAAGATTTGAGTAGATGAGAGATGAGAAGGAAATAATAAAAATAACAAGCCTTAGTTGTTAAAAGGACTATATAAAAAGGGATGGTAGCTAGAGCTGAGCAGGTAGAGGTAGGAAATTCTGTGGTTTTTTGTTTATTAATGTTGTTTTTTAAAAGGAAACTCTTAAGCATGTTTACCTGCTAACAGGAAATGGCCTGAAAGAAGAGAGAGGATAAAGATACAAAGGAAAGGAATGAAGTAGTGGACTGTATTAATTTCCTATTGCTGCTGCAACACAGTACCACAAACTTAGTGGCATAAAGCAACAGAAATTTATTATCTTACAGTTATGTAGGTCAAAAGTACAAAATGAGTCAGACTGGGCTAAAATCATGGTGTTCCTCTTATAAGGACAGTTGTGACTACATTTAGAACAGATCTGATAAATATAGGGTAATCTCATGTACTCAAAATCTTCAATTTTTTCACATCTGCAAAGTCTCTTTTGTCATATAAGGTAACATTCATAGATTCCAGAGATTGGAATCTGAATATCTTTGGGGACCATTATTCAGCCTATCACATTGTGCAGGCTTCAAGATGCACAGCAATTCTATTTTGTCTCACTCTAAATACATGACCATGAGTGACAAAATGGCATTCTCTAATACTCTGCAACTCCACTGCACTGCATATTTACTCTGACACTATGTAAAATGAGTATTCATACCTTCTCCCTTTGTGTAGTGGCCTCCAGCCCTACCTCTTTTCCACCCACTCTTCCCTTTCAAATGATGACCTTGTTAAATAGATTCAATCTAGGGCTTCCTTGTTTTCATCACAAAATTTACCTACCTACCTAAACTTCTACCCATCCCCTTTCTTTCTTTTACAATAAATGAAGTGTCCCTGCTCACGTCAAAGTTCTATCCCTCAATTTGTGCTCTAGCTCCATCTGCGACTCACTTTCTAATGAACTTGGTTCCTGCAAGTATCCTCTTCCTCCTACATCATCAATTTGTTTCTATTGAATCAATCCTAGCAGCATACATATTCTAGAATCTTCCCACTTTATAAAACCCTGCTTTAGCCCACATTCTCTTCCAGCTACTATTTCTCTTCTTGGTCTCCTTTCATGATAAAACTTACAAGAAGAGTTGTCTGTTGTCTCTGTCTCCTGTTGTTTACCTCCCATTCTCTCCTCAAATGACTCCAATTCAGTTGAAATAGTTCTTATAACAAATGACACCCCTCCAGACCAACTTCAACAGCTATTTCACAGTTTTAACATTACTAGTTTCTCAGCTAAACAGTTGGTCATTTGCATCTTTTTCTTTTTTAGCTCTGGCAAGTATGTACATTTGCATCCTCTTTAAGTACTTTCTTTTCTTAGCTTCTATAGCATGTATCACTCTTCCTTGTCTTTTCACCTATCTTGCTAGGTATTTCTCAGTCTCTTTTGTTGGTTCCTCTTTCTCTAATTATTATTTAAGTATTAGAGTGAGCCAGGGATGTGCCCTGAATTTTTTTCTCTTTCTGATTTCTCCCTAGATTATCTCACTTAGTCCCATGGCTTTACCACCCACAAGACATCGGGTACTGAATATTGATGGCCAGTGCTGACCTCTCTTCTGAACTCCAAACTCACATATCCAATTGTCAATTAGACATCTTAACTTGCATGCCTAATAAAGCATCTAAATTTAGCATGCATAAAACTTAACTCAGGATTGCAACTTTATTTTGATCTCAAAAATATTGTTCTTTCATTCTCAATTTAATGAATGACATAACAAAATTAGTCAAGCAAAGAAACAAACAAACAAACAAAAAACACTAGGAGTTATTCTTGTTCCTTTCTTTCTCTTAACTTCCATATCCATAGATCAGCAAATCTTTTGGCTTTACCCTCTAGATATACTCTTAATCTGTCAACCATTCTCTTTCCCTAGTATCACCCTAAAATCAAGCCACCATTATCTCTCACCTACATTACTTGAATTACCTACTAAATAATATCTCTTCTTCTACCCTTACGTAACTCCATCAACATTCAGCATGGTATGGGTTTTTGTTAAAAATCTAAATTGGATGACATCAATCCCATGCTTAACAACCACAAAAGGCTTCCTGCATAACCTACATTAAGCTCCTGATTGACCTTCTAATCTCATCTCCCACTATTACCCATGATTGTTCAACTGCATGTGCATTGATGAAACACACCAAGTCCTTTCCCAAGTTAGGATGCATGTGCTTATTCTTTCCTGTGAATTCACATGCTTCTCCTCTACGTCTTCTCATGGCTGGCTCCTTCTTGTCATTCTCTGACCAAATGTCTCTTCCTCAGGGAAGTGTCTTCACACCCAGGTACTCACTATCTGATATATCTATCACCTTGTCTTAGTATTTTTTCAGTTCTTATTACTAGCTGAAACTAATATTTTTCTAACAGCTGATTACCTCCTTTCAGTGGAACGTCTTTCTGAGAACAGGATCCTAATATGTGTTACTCATTGGTGTGGCCAAAGAGCCCAGAACAGTACCTGTCACAAACTAGGTGATTAATATATGATTTATAAAATGAATGAATGAAAAATAAGGACAGTTTAGCGGATAGTATAATAAGCATAGTTGAAGGAATTATCCTGAACATAGCACTTTTTAAAACCATGATACCTTGTTAGTTAAGTTGGTAGATGAGGTAAGTGAAGAAATTTAAGAACAGTTGCCCTGATGGTCATGTGTTAAGTAAGAAAAAGTTGCAGTCGGAGCTTGAGTAGAATGAGAAAGGTTTAAAATAGCCACTGTGAAGAGTAAGAAAAAGATATGGTTAAAAGATATGTAAAAGATCTAGAAATCTAGAGAATTTTGAGGTCTAATCAAATTTGATGAACCTAAACTCACAGTGGTATCAACCTCCAGTAGTGGAGGGAAGTGGATTAACAAAAAGGTAGAATTTTACATGTCAAGTCTATAAAAAATCAAGATCCAAAGAGTACAGATTTTGTCATGAGATTCACTAATATGAAAGAGCATGAAGATTAGCTTGAATAAAACAGGACCCCATACTACTGGGAGGTAGAAGATGTTGATATAAGAGAAATTACAAGATTCAAAGAATTTAATGAGAGCAAAAAATAGATGGAGTGCAATAATACTTACAGAATTCAGAACAGGAGAGGCAAGGGAGAGTAGAAGGAAGGAAGGAAGGAAAGAAGGAAAAGAGAAGGATAAAGAAAGGAAGGCAAGAAGAGAGGAATGCAAGCAGGAAGGAAGGAAGGAAGGAAGGGTGGGTCAATGAGTTAAAAATCTGAATTCATGAATTTAGACATGGAACACTTCCTGGTAACAGCAATGTCCAGATTATGACCTTAGGAATGTTGAGCTGAAGCAAAATGATGATGCCTTTTGGAATTCAGGGAAGTCAACATATTGAGAGGCCAAGGCGTTAGGAATAGCATCCACGTGATCATTGTGACTTTTTGGCTATACCACATTTCCACGTATACTAGAAAGCAACGCATATGGAACTTGAAAAATATTTATTCATTAAATAAATGAATGATAGTGTTAATTAATAGAGTAGAATGGAAAGTGAGTGCATAGTAAAATTGTGAACAATTAGCCAACACTTCTCTGAATAAGGGAGGAAGTAGTAAGAAAAAGGATATCAATGAGAAGCAGGTGATACAGCTCGATTACAGAAGGCTTAATGTAGTTTGAAGTTTCTATTTTGTCCATAAATTTTACTGTGCTAATAAATGCTTATAATACATTTTACAATTACTTCTCACCTAAGTAATATGCCCTCCTCCTTCTCTTACCTCCTTAGTTTATTCTTACAGATCTCAAGCTAGTAAACTGTGGACCAAGTTCAATCTACATGAGAGTCCATGTCTTTTCTTCGCTTCTTCTTTCTCTCCCTCTCTTTTTTCTTTTTTTTTTTTGTCTTGCATAAAGCACCAAAGAATGAAGTACATTTCAGTATTTATTAGGAGAGTTGACATGATAAATCCATATTTCTGGCTTCTCTTGCAGAAACAAAATACCTGGCATCCCTGGTCTCACAATCTAGCATGGCAACTATTGGTAGAGCTAAGTAGTGACTGCTTCCTTTAGATAGGGTTTCCAAGTTTCAGTGCCAGATAGTCCACTTTCACCATGTTCCAGGCCCCATAGCATTTGATTTTGGCTTCTTTGAATCAAAGCTACAAAAGCAACTACTTGACTTCACACTAAAGAGTTCTACCACCAAGGACTAAATATACTTAAGTCTCTCTTCATGTAAAGCTTAAATTCCACAGAGGCAACTTGGCCCACTGTTGACTTGACTTAGTACCTAGTTATCATGATACTCCATTCTATAAGGAAAAGAATAGGAAATAAGAGTAATGTTAGGTTGAAATCTGCCCAAAACACTTCCAAAAAGCCCATAAATTATTTAGCAAGCTACATCATGTATTTTTGTTTAATGGCCATTATTGTTTTGTTTTCTTTTGTTTTTAATGTGCAGATTGTATAATGGAAGGTAAATAAATGTGAAGTAGTTCTGTCTACGAAGCAAACATGTAAAACTGAAGCGTCAGTGTGCTGAGGTAGGGCTTGGTCTTAACTCTGGTTTTGCTCCAAAGTCAGGCTAAATGTTCGCCTTTGCTCTATGTTCATGTTCTATTTGTATGCTGACTCTGTGCTATTCATCCCTACTGATGGTTCTAAGCACCCTGGCAGTTAGGCCTCATTGCTTTAAGTTGCATGTGCCCTACGACTGAATTCATTGAGCATGAGAACTGATAAATTGCCCAATCAGACCTGTAAGATGCTCAAGTTCAGGAGGAGTCAAAAAGAATTAATATGAAATTCACATGCATTCTAAGCTTACAGAGTGTGCTTGGCATTTTTCTTGGTTATAGTTTGCTTAGAAATGCATGTTGGCATATGAATTAGAAGTCAAACATTGATGATTCTTTTGTAATAAAGATTCCAGTTATATGTTCAAAAAGAAATCTATCTGAATATTTTTAAAATTCAGAACCTGTTGTTTTAAAAGGGTTTTCAGTGAACATTCTTAAAATGTATTTTTTCCTTAAAAACTTGTAGCCATTCCTCATATTACTAACTCAACTAAGAACTGACATATAGTTTTCAAGATAAAACTTTTTTTTTCTTTTTTTTTTTTTTTCGAGACCGAGTCTCGCACTTTCACCCAGGGTGGAGTGCAGTGGCGTGACCTCGGCTCACTGCAAGCTCCGCCTCCCGGGTTCACGGCATTCTCCTGCCTCATCCTCCCAAATAGCTGGGACTACAGGCACCCGCCACCATGGCGGGCTAATTTTTTGTATTTTTAGTAGAGTCGGGGTTTCACCGTGTTAGACAGGATTGTCTCTATCTGCTGACCTTGTGATCTGCCCACCTCAGCCTCCCAAAGTGCTGGGATTTACAAGCATGAGCCACCATGCCCGGCAGACAAAACATTTTTAAGGAAACAGTAAGGCATAACTCTTTCACAGAAAGCAGTTTGAGCTGTTCTTGGACACCAAACACAATAAATCAGTGGCTCTCTCTCTGCTTTTTCTTAATATATTTTATGTATTTTTAGTACAAACACAAGTCAATCTCCAGCAGATTCCATTAAGTGAAGTGAAATTAATGTAAATAAATATGCACAACTCAAATTATGTTAACCCTGTAATCACTTAAAAAAGGTACTGTAACAAATCCAAGTATTGAACATTGTGGTTATATGCCCTTAAATTTTGTTTAAATTATTATTTTTGAGTGACAATAATTAGGTATCTTTTTCATTATGATTGGTTTCATCAAATTTTATATTAATCTAAAATCACTACCCAGAGGCTTATAATGGTGTAATATTTGAAAGTAATTTCAAATTTCATTTTTTTCTAATAATTACTCTCCAGTTTGCTATTAATAATTACAAGTCTGTAATTTAGCTTGTGTTCCATAGATATTTGTTGACATCTTAATTTATCATTTTGGCTTTGGGAATGAACCACATTTGAGTAAATTTGTGATCATCTTTTGAATGAGTCTTGTTTAACTTTTTAGGATAGACTACCGCCTTCTTCATTACTTTTACAAATATTTATTGAAATTCCACTATGTATTAGCCATGCTGTTCTAGACAACTGAGATATATCAGAGAGCACAACAAACAATGATTGCCACCTTTTAGAGCTTTCAATCTGGTGGGGACAACAAGACAAAAAATAAATAATAAACATAATAAATCACAAATCATATAGTATGTTAAATGATAACAAATGCTGAGGGAAAAAGACAAAGAGCAAGAGATTAAAAATTGAAGTGCAGGGCAAACAGAGTTTCTAGCTATCCTTGCCTATAAACCACTTCAAAGCTTAGTGGCTTCAAACAATTTATTATTAACTTGTATTACTGTGTTTTAGCTGATCTAGTTGGCTCTCACTTACAGTTTCTCATGTGTTTACAGACAGATATCAGCCAGGGCTTTAGTCTGGGCTAGAGGTCCAAGACAGCTCCATCACATGGCCAGCAGTTGATACTGGTTGTCAAATGTAGGCTTAGCTGAGGTTATTGATCAAGGTGCCTAAAGGTGGCCTCTCCATGTGTACTGAGAGTGAGCACCCTGACAGCTAGCATTTAAGCAGACCCAGTCAGAATTTGCAAGTTGTCCTCTGACTGCCTCAGAAGATCTAGATTGTCACACCTGCTGCATTCTATTGGCTCCAAGTCAGGGCTAGCCCAGATTCAAGAGGAAAGGGTTACACAAGGTTTATTGAGGGTTATCTTTAGAGACTGGCTATCCTGGGAAGTTGCTGGAATTTTAAGTAGGGTGATTAGGCTTATTGAAGAGTGCTATGGTTTGAATGTGCCCTCTCCAAAATTCAGATGTTGCCAGTGTGATAGTATTAAGAGGTGGGGCCTTTAAGAGGTGATTAGGCCTTCAGGGCTCCTCCGTCACTGTATTAGTCAGGGTTCTGCAGAGAGACAGAACCAATAGGATCTATATATATATCTATATATCTATATCTATATCTGTATCTATCTATATGCAAGCTAGAGAAAGAGAGAAGCCAGTAGCATAGCTCAGTTTAAATCTGAATGCCTCAATATCAGGGAAGCCAACAGTGCAGCCCTCAGTCTGAGGCCATAGGCCCAAGAGCCCCTGGGAGGTTGCTGGTACAAGCCTCACAGACCAAAGGCTGAAGAACCTGGAGTTAATATCCAAGGGCACGAGGAGAGGAAGCCAAGCATCCAGCATAACATGGGAAGAGAAGGAGCAAAAAGACTCAACAAGCTGCCTATCCTCTTCTTCTGCCTGCTTTGTTCTACCTGCACTGGCAGACAAATGGTTGGTGCCACCCACATTGAGGATGAATTTTCCTCTCCCAGTCTACTAACTCAAATATCAGTCTCCTCTGGCAAATAGATGTGTCCCTCACAGACACATCTATTAACATGCTTCATCAGCCATCTAGGCATCCCTCAATCCAGTCAAGTTGACACCTAATATTAACCATCATACTCATGAATGAGATTAGGTATCCTTATCAAAGCAGTGGATAGAGGGAGTGTCTCTCTCTTGCCCTTCTGCCTCTGGAGGCAGTGTAAGGACACAGTTTCCTTCACTCTGGAGGATGCAGCCCTTGCTGGAGAGCCAAATCTGCTGGTGACTTGACCTTGGACTTCCCAGCCTCCAGACTGTTAGAAATAAATATCTGTCTTTTATCAATTCCACAGTCTGTGTTATAGCAGCACAAATGGACTAAGACTAAGACGAAGAGTTAAGTCTAGAAATAGAGGAGTTTGTTAACGAGGCAAATATCTGAAGAAAGGGCATTTCAAGCAGAAAAAATAGCCAGTATAAATGTTCTAAGACAAAATCATGCCTACTGTGATCGAAGAATTTTTTTAATGTGATGGATTGAAGGAGAAATTAATAAAAGATGAGGTCAGACATTATGGAGGCCAGAATATTTATACCAAAAATAAACACTAGATTTAGCAAAATGATGGTCTGATGACTTGATAAGAATTTCAGAGGATGTAAAAACCAGATTGGAAGAAGTATAAAGGAGAAAATGAATAAATGAGTGGTGTGAAGAAATTATAAACAAGTCTTTCTGGAGTAGGATAGCCTCTCTACAGCAGCATAGTAAAGTGCACACTAAAGAGAAAAGAGGGCAGCAGAGAGAAAATTCCAGACATCTGTAAACAATTCTCCTCGAATATTCAGCTGGGTACTAATTAGCACATGTTTGTTAGGACACTAACCAAGGATATGAAAAGAGCCACCTGAAAAGAATAGTGAGAACAATATATTCAGAACTCAGTAAGGCTGAGAATAATGAGTGTTTTCAAACTAAAAAATCTTATTAATTCATATGGCTATTGGGCACTGCTCTTAGAGAGGTCACACTTTTGAAGTGAGACCAAAAAAAAAAAAAAAAAAAAAAAAAAAGCCCCAGCACTAAATTCTGTTCTAAGTTTAAAATCAAGATCCAAAAGGATCAAACTGCTTCTAAGTGATTTAACTGCTTTTCAAAAGAAATCTAAAGAATATAGAATAAAAATATCCAGTACCCAAAAAGTAAAACTCACATTGTTTGGCATCCAAACAAAAATTAACAATACACAAAGAAATTGGAAAATCTGAACCATGTGAAGAGAAAAGTCAATCAAAACCAATCCATAACTGACACAGATGATAAAATTAGACAAGAATATTTTAAGGCCAGGAGCAGTGGCTCATGCCTGTAATTCCAGCACTTTGCAAGGCTGAGGTGGGTGGATCACGAGGTCAGGCATTCAAGACCAGCCTGGCCAAGATGGTGAAACCCTGACTCTACTAAAAATACAAACACTAACCAGGCACCGTGGCAGGAGCCTGTGATCCCAGCTGCTCAGGAGGCTGAGGCAGGAGAATTGCTTGAACCAGGGTGGTGGAGGTTGCAGTGGGCCAAGATCGAGCCACTGCACTCCAGCCTGGGCAACAGAGTGAGACTCTGGCTCAAAAAAAGAGAACATTTTAAGTCATTACATCAAATTTCATATGTTCAAAAAATGAGAGGAAAGATTAAATAGGTTAAGAAGAAACAGGGAAGTTAAAAAGGATCAAATAAAATGTCTGGTGATAGAATTATTAATATAATATCTGAGATAATTTACTAGATGGAAGCAGATTAGAGATTGCAGGAGAAAAATTAATTTGGAGGCATAGAATTCAAAACAATACAAACTGAAAAAAAAATTAACAGAGCATCCATAAACTGTGGAATACTTAAAGTGAACTAATATAAATGCAATGGGATTGAAGACTAAGCTTTGATTTTTTTTATCTCATGCAAATTCCTATCTAAGGGATCTGGGGAGTCATGCCCTACAAACCATAAATTCTCATTAGATGGGTTTTATTTAACCCTATATATCGTGACTTACTTTCCAATCTGACTCTGGCATAACATTACATGACAAAGAAGAAAATCCAAATATTTTATGTGTAACATTACCTGACAAAGAAGAAAATCCAAACATGTTTCTTTGCCACATTTTGAAATGGCCCTGCAAAGCTGTACTTTGTGGGAGAAAATTTGCATATGTAAAGAATCTCTATTAACATAGCTAGATCTTTGTTTTCCCAGGCCCTCCCATTCCTGAAGAGATTAACTGAGAGTCTAGGACCTTTTAAAGGTCTGAATAGGAAACATTTGTCATCTATTGTCTTTAATGGCAGCCACTATGAGAATTCAAAATACCTTGGTCTCCACAATCTTTATCTTAACCTGAACATTTCCTTTCTGTTGATCCAAGGTCTTTAGACAAACTCAACCAATTGTCAACTAGAAAATGTTTAAATTTACCACCTATAGCCTGGAAATCCTCCCCCCAAGTTCAAACTGCCCCACCTTTCTGGACCAAACCAATGTATTTCTCAAATGTATTTGATTGATGTCTCATGCCTCCCTAAAATGTATAAAACCAAGCTGCACCCTGACCACCTTAGGCACATGTCCTCAGTTCCTCCTGAGGGATATGTCACAGGTCATGGTTACTTATATTTGGCTCAGAATAAATCCCTTCAAATATTTTACAGAGTTTGAATCTTTTTGTCAATGGGAGTCTCTAAAGGAAAGGAGAAATAAAAAGGGACAAAAAATTATGAAGAAATAGTAGCCAAAATCTTGCAATTTGAGGAAAACTATATACTCTCAGTTCCGAGAATCATATCAAACTTCAACCACAAGAAACATGAAGAAAACTATGTCAAGATACATTATATTCAAATTGCTCAGAATCAGTGATAAAATCTCGAAAGGGGTCAGACAAAAAAACATATGCCTTTACAAAAGACAAAGATCAAAATGACAGCCAATTTCTAGTAGAAAACAATGAAGTAAGCAGTCAGTTGAGCAACATTTTTAAATACTAAAAGAAATAATAGGACGCCAATCTAGAATTTTATAACCTGGAAGAATATCATTTAAAAAATGCTAAAATAAGTACTTTCAGACAAAGAAAATGAACCAATTTTTCACCAGCAAACCCCACACTACAAGAAATGTCCAAAAAAGTAATTTAGTAAAATGATAATCATGTAAAAATTAAAATTCCCTCAAAGAAATGAAGATCACAAGTAGAATTAACTTTTTTGGGTAAATACATAAGATATTTTCCTTAATAGTTAAATGCATTCAAGTGATAAATGACTTGTACTGTGACTTTTATAACATATATACAATAATATGCATGACAATAATAACAGAAAGGCCAGGAGAAGAAATTGGAAGTAGTAATATTTTCTTACAAGTTCCTCATACTATATGTGAAGAGGTACATAACTTAATATTACTTGAAGCAAGAAACAACCACCAAAATAAAGGGTTATGACTAATAAGGTAACAATATACATAAAATGGAATAAAAATAATCCTAAAGAAAGCAGGAAAAAAGGGAAAAATTACAAAGAACAAAGGAAACAAATAGAAAACAAGTAGAAAATGGTGGGTTAGCCAGGAATGGTGGCTCACACCTGTAATCCCAGCACTTTGGGAGGCCGAGGTGGGCAGATCACGAGGTCAGGACATCAAGACCACCCTGGCTAAAACAGTGAAACCCCACCTCTGCTAAAAATACAAAAACTTAGCCAGGTGTGGTGGCACGCGCCTGTTGTCCCAGCTAGTTGGGAGGCTGAGGCAGAATCGCTTGAGCCCAGGAGGTGGAGGTTGCAGTGAGCCGAGACGGCACCACTACACTCCAGCCTGGGTGACAGAGCGAGACTCTGTCTCAAAAAAAAAAAAAAAAAAAAAAAAAAAAAAGGTGGATTAATACCTAACCATACCAATAGTCACATTAAATGTAAGTGAACTAAATATTCCAATTAAATGGCAGACATTATCAAATTAAACAAGAAAGTAAAATCCAATTATTTGCTGTCTGCAGGGAACTCCCTTTAATACAAAGATACAAATAAGTTTTAAAATAGTGGGAAATAATACGTCATGCTAATAATAAAAAACTGGGATGACAATATAAGAAAAATAAATTTCAGAGAAAGGAATATTAAAATAAAGTAACAGCCGGGCGCTTTGGCTCATGCCTGTAATCCCAGCACTTTGGGAGGCCAAGGTGGGTGGATCACAAAGTCAGGAGATTGGATCAGCTTGGCCAATATAGTGAAACCCCGTCTCTACTAAAAATACAAAAATTAGCTGGGCATGGTGGTGTGCACCTATAGTCCCAGCTGCTCAGGAGGCTGAGGCAGGAGAATCACTTGAACCGGGGAGGCAGAGGTTGAAGTGAGCCAAGATCGCACCACTGCACTCTAGGCTAGGCAACAAAGCAAGACTCCATCTCAATAAATAAATAAATAAAGTAACACATAGAGGAACTAGGAAAATTTTGGGTTTAGACATTAATTATTGGATTATTGGATATGAGATGATTGGATGTTAACTATCTTGATTATGATACCTTTATAATTATATGTCAAAATTTATTAAATTTCACACTTTTTAAACATGCATTATATTACATGCCAACTACTCCTCAATCTGTTAACGAAAACCAGTTTTTAATAGAGATTGAAAAATTGATGACAAAAGCAAACACAATGGCTTAAATGATGTCCTTGAGTAAGCCTGAGTTTTTGTGGTTTATTCATAATTTTTTATTCACTTCCCTATTTCCAATGATTTCTCTCTATAACCATTACTACCACTCTAGTGTCCAAGCTACTATCATCTTTTTCTTGTACTTCTTAAATCCTTTGCTCTTAGAATAAAAAGGAAACTCATAAAAATGGCCTTCAGGACCTATTGTCTTGTCCCTGCCTATTGTTCTATCCTCTCTTCAGATCAAGTTGCTCTTATTCTTCCTTTGCAATCTACACTGATATGTTTTCAGTCCCTGTATTACATTCCTAGGGCTGTTGTAACAAAGTATTACAAACTGAGTGACTGATAACAACAGAAATTTATTGTGCCACACTTCTGGAGGCCAGAAGGCCAAACTCAAGGTGTTAGCAGAGTCATGCTCCCACTGAAGGTGCTAGGGAAGGATCAGTTCCAGGCCTCTTTCCTGGCTTCTGGTAACCTCAGGAATTCCCTGGCTTGAATATGTCCTTATTCTCTGTGTCTCTTCACATAGTCTTTCCTCTGCATGTCCATGCCCACCTTTCTCCTTCTTACAAGAACACGCGTCATATTGGATTGGGGTCTACCCCAGTGACCTCATTCTAACTTTGTAAAATCTGCAAAGTCCTTGTTTCCAAATAAAGTCACATTCTGAGGTACTTGGGGTTAAGACTTCAGCATATCTTTTTGGTGTGACATAATGCAACCCATAACAGTCCCTGTGTTTGTTACACTCCTTCTTGCCAAAGGGTCTTTTATTCAGCCCTTCTGTCTGGGCAGATCTTTCCCTGACTCTTTCAACTGATACCTCCTCACAAATTCTTCAGGTCTAAACTCCAGGGCAACCTCTTAAAGAGGACTTCCTTGATCTGCTTTATTCTGTAAACCCCCTTATCACAGACTCTTATGGTCCTGGAAACCACTCCTTCATAGCACATGTAGAGCTGCAATTTTGCATTGTAGTATGACTTAAACCCATAGTTGTTCCCCCAATAAATTGTTAAATCCGTGAGGATACATAATGTGTCTGTTTTGCTTACCATTTATCCTCATTACATTGCAGAGTTCAGGGAACACAATACATTACCAATAAAACATTTGTTACATAATGGATAAGCTTATTTTTCATTAAATAAGTTGCCCAGTAATGACTTAATGTAACACAGCAGCTTTAAATGATGTTTTTATTATTGCTATAAGAGCGGAAAAGTCATGAGGGTCTGGTAATTTCATTTACTTATTTAACACATATAGTTTATATAGAACTTTAGCAACATTTTCACTGTATTATATTGTAGTCAGTTGGAAATATGAAGTGATCTATTTTCACATTTTAAATAGGATTAACTTTTTTTCTAATATGTGAACATTAGAAAAGTGAAGTGTAAAATCAATTCTGGAATGGTCTTCAAAGAAAAGAGATATTTTCCTCTATTTTCCTGGTTGCAGCAAATACTGAAGTCAGTTTTAGCTATGTGTATGCTCTGATCTAATTTTAACTAAAACCTTCCACTTTCCTTTGCACACCATTGCCTTTAGTATAAACTTAAAAAAGACCTATAGTACTTCATTTCTTAACCATGAATATGCACATACACAAGGCATAAGCTACAAGTTAGTCACACGTTTTTTGTGAGAGAAATGACTGATATTTTGATCTTTATTAGCAAGCAAATTCGGGTTAATTAATCTTTAATGAAATGCCAGTGTTGACAGGATAGCTTCAAGCTTTTATAAACCTTGTACACTGCTAAGTTTGAATCTGACAGGCAATGCTGACAACTTTTTTCAGCTGCCAATCCAATGTTGTCAGCCTACAGTCAGAATGAATTCTTTTTATGTACTTACTAATCCACAAAATTGAAGAAAGAACTTACAAAACTACACAAAACGCTTTCCTACATTTCAAGTTAGAATACTCTGACATTTCTACAAGCTATATTTTAATCCATATACTTAGAAAAATGAAGTATTTAACAGTCATTTGTTCAATTGTAAGAAAAATTGCAAATGAGAACAACTTTTCCAAAGCTGATTATAGTACACTGGCCTAGTTTTTCCAAATGTAACATTGCTAAATATCTACCAAATTATGTATATATGCATACAGAATCAGTATTAAGGCATAACAAGGCTGAAAGGCAATAGACTCTATAGGTGAGGTTTATGCATGTTTGGCATTCACCCTTAACTTGAAAAAAAATATATAAGAACAGAATGTATTTCAATGTGATAAAAGTAAATACATAGAACATAATTTCAACAAATCACATAGTTAAGTGGTATTTATGTATCTTTTTTTTTTTTGGAGATGGAGTCTCACTCTATCATCCAGGCTGGAATGCAGTGATGCGATCTCGGCTCACTGCAACCTCTGCATCCTGTGTTCAAGCCATTCTCCTGCCTCAGCCTCTTGAGAAGCTGGGACTAAAGGAGCATGCCACCATGCTCAGCTAATTTTTCTATTTTTTGTAGAGATGGGTTCTTGCCATGTTGGCCAGGCTGCTCTTGAACTTCTGACCTCAAGTGATCTGCCCGGCTTAACCTCCCAAAGTGCTGGAATTACAGGTGTGAGGCACTGTGCCCAGGCTATGTATCTTTTAATGCACACTTTACACAAGTAATTACTAATTTAAGGCAAACTGGCATTTTATGTCAGATTTCCTGATTTTCCTCTCCCAGGAAAACTTTATTGTTTTAATTCTTTGAGTTTTACTTATATGCTTAGAAAAATCAAGAGCTGTGTTTAATCAATAAGGGAGTTCTTTTGCAATACCACTGAAAAGATCATCAACGTGAATTCATTATTAGGACGCAATATCCAGTTTGTGGCTGTGAGATGTTGAGATGCCATACTTAAGCCAGTCTGTTTTTATACTATGTAATCCCATCAGATAAGACAAAATAGCCATACTTATTTTTTTCTAAGCAGTTGAATCAAATAACCAATACAAATTGACAGAGCAGGATCATCACCATCTAGGACAAACACAGCAATTTTAAGTTCCCCTTGATTAAAAACCGCGTAAATCCAGCCCCAAACCATTAGCCTAATGACTAATGTCAGCATGACCATAAACTACAAGTGACACCTCCGACCAGAAACATTCCAGCTCTGAGATAAATCTCCATCCAACCAGAAACATGCCAGCCCTGAGATAACCTCCACTCCAACCAGAAACATGCCAGCCCTGAGATAACCTACCCTCTGTCCAGAGACATGCCGACCCCACAATAAAACTCTCCTGTGCACAGAAACATTCTGAGCTTGTGATAAGCTCTCCCTTCCTAAACGCTTAAATACCCTTAGTCTGTAAGAGAGAATGCTCCTGACCAAAATTGGCCAGATGCCCCTCTCAGGTTTATTCTCCAAAATAAACCTGTCTTTGACTGTTGAGCCACTTTTTGTGTTTCTTTCTTCTTTAACTCTTACACAAATAACTTCCTATAAATGCTTTCAAAGTATAAAGAAATCAACATCAAAGTGTATATGATTGAATGGGTTCTAGGGTAAAAAGAACCTGACTTAATTCCTATCCTCCAGGGGGTTATGATCTGGTTTGGAAAACAACAAATGCAGCAAAACATATAACAATCTTGATCTTAATCTCATCCTAACCTGCAATTCCAGTTGTCTATGCAGGTGTAAAATTCCCTAAAGTTAGCCTCCTTTTGTCAGGAAATAGGGCAGATACATAGAAAGATAGGAGTCAATTCAAGGTATTGCCTTGAGGACAATTCTGGAAGAATAGGGAGATACATAAGCCTATTTGAAACTGGTGTTTCATTAGGATTGGTTGGGCTGGGTACAGCAGGGACTGACAAAGAGAGATTCTGGAGGTACAGGATCCCTAAAGGTGCCAGAGGACAGCTGTAACAGATTCACGCTGAAGGGAAAGGAGCCTGGATCTGGGTAATGTCTTTATATTTCAAAGGAAGAGAGAAATATTAAGAAAGAAAACTTCACATCTTTAGTTTGTCAAAAATACAGATGGGGAGTGGAAAGAAGAAAGAGGGAAAAGCCAAGGCTGATTCACTAGTTTGACTTGGTAGTTAAAAAATTAAAGTTTTATTTTATGAAAGAAAAAAATGCAGTGCAGAACTGGTTTGAGGCTCTGGGGTATTTTGCTATGCATATTTCAGAAGGTCTTGCTTCCCACATCTTTCCTTGATGAGGAAACCCATGCCCTCAATTTCTGCTTCTTTATTTAGCCATGTTTTGTTATGTGTCTCCACATCTATTTTAGCTACCACTGAGTATAATAAGAATGGATGCCTGTCTCAGAAGCAGCTCATTCATAACCTGGCCATGTGTTAATCCCTCTGCAACAATGGCAAAAGAGATCATCAGATCTCTTTGGAATTGGAACTGGAAAGCATAGAAAGAGTTGTTAGCAAGCACTGTAGCTGGAAAGTCAAGACTCTCAAGAGAAACATACAAGATTATGAGGACTAAGTTCTGATTTTTTATCTTACCCAAATTCCTACCTAAGTGGTCTAGGGAGTCATGCCTGACAACCATAAATTCGCATTAGATGGATTTTATTTGACCCTATATATTGTGACTTACTTTTCAGTCTGACTCTGGCATAACATTACAAGACAAGGAAAAAATATTTAACCCCAAAATATATTTCCTTGCCATACCTTGAAATTGCCCTGCAAAGTATCCTGTGGGAAAAATCCACATCCTATAGAGAATCCTCTTTCCCCTTTGTTTTCCTTCCTTTCTTTCCAGGTCCAGGAGACAATCAAATAAGAGCCAGGTACCCTTTTAGGTCTGATAAGAAACATTTTATAACCTGCTCTCTCTCTCTGAAGTCAGCTATCTGAGAGATTCCTCTGCACCATAAAACTTGGTCTCCACAATCCTTTATCTTAACCTAAACATTCCTTTCCATTGATCCTAGTTCTTCAGATAAACTCAGCCAATTGTAAACCAGAAAATGTCTAAATTTACCTATAGCCTGGAAGACCCCCAACTTGGAGTTGTCCTGCCTTTCTGAACCAAACCAATGTATTTCTTAAGTGTATTTGACTGATGTCTCATGCCTCCCTAAAAATATATAAAACCAAGCTGCACCCTGACCACCTTGAGCACATGTTCTCAGGACCTCCTAAGGGCTGTGTCATGGGCCATGGTCATTCATATTTGGTTCAGAATAAATCTCTTAAAATATTTTACAGAGTTTGACTCTTTTTGTTGACAATTATTAGGAAGAGAAAGTGTAAGTAGCTCCCTACTTGCAAGGATGCTCTACACATATTCGAGCATATCATCCACGAATGAGAGAAAGAGGACTGCTCTTGGAGAACATAGAATACAGGTTTAGGGTCTTGAACTCTTCCCATAGTGCAGGGCCTTGGACATCCATAAGAGCCCTTGTTTTTGCCTTTGTAATAAAACATCTTTTTTTTTTTTTTAACTACTAGAGAAGGTATTTGTTCCTCGTAAGTAAAGACAACACAGGAGTCATTTTGAGTTGTAATGCCAAAACTAAGGCCCTCTGGTGAAACCAATAAGGACTCAAATGGCTTACGCACAAGCTCCCTTCTCCATTATGCTCCTGTGGATAAGGTCCCCCAGCCAAACAAGGCTCCTTATCAAAGGGACTAGGTGGAGTTCTTGCTGATACCTGAGTAGCAGGTTTCAATTTTCTGCCAGTGGTGGAATTTTTCAAATAAGCCAACCACATCCTCCCATGGGAATCAGGTGTCACCCTGCTCTCTTGACACTATGAAGCCTCTCTCCCACAGCCTCTACTTGTTCCTTCTGCTTTTGAGTGCAACTTCATGTGGCCCACGGTGGTGTGCTGTATCCTCTTTCCCTGTGCTAGGAGTGTGTATATGTGATAATCTGCTATCAATTTCATCTGTACAATCTAGTGTGAATATTGTGTATTAGTCTATCCCCATAATCCTAAAACAAGAATCCCTCCCTCACCAAATTGGTGAATAGATTATTAAATCCCTTTGCATATGTATCTAAAGTCTATGGGTGCTTCCTGTGATAGCCCTCTCATCTAGTCTTCCATGTACTTTACCCTTCGTTTGTCATCTTATTGAAAAATAAACCAAAACATCAAACTTAAAGTCTTTATTTTTCTAAAATAATTCCCTTATCAAATTCATTTTAAAAATTTAAAGTATCATGCCATTCTTAAGTTAATGGATATAGTCTTTTTACTGAAGGTAACTTTACAAATATTTTCATCACAGACAAAATGGCAAACACATAAATCACCGGAGCAACAGGGAATTGTGAAATACAGTTAGAACAAAATAAGTAGGAAGTGGGAAAAAAAGTTTCTCCACGTTTTTAAAATGTATTTACAGTTTCAAGGCATCTGGTAAGTGTGAAAAAAGGACGTTAAGGCAAAATTACAATTGTTCTTACTGTCAGGACCAGTGGTACAATTTTAAATCAAATTGCACATTTATTTGGTTAGTTCTACTTTCTGGAGTACCAGAATTATGGGAAAGGAGCAAAACTGCAAAAGAATAGAAATTTGTAATTATTATCTGGTTCTTGGAAATACCAATTCAAACTCTGAAAGAAAGCAAATTTTTAAAAAGAAATTGTAAGTAAAAATGTTTTTCTCAGGTTTCCAGTCAAAGCAATTTTACATGACCATAGTGTATAGATAATGTTAAGCAAACTTATAAATCTGTTTCATGTCACAGAATTGCAGGCTAAGCTTAAATTTATATTTAGAATTAGGTTAGACATTGATTCACCCCCAGGTATCCATTTTTAAGAGCTGATTTGCATGCAGAGAAGGTGTCCTTCGTTAAGGAAGTCTAAGGAGGATGTCTGGTGCATGCCTGAGAGGTGGGAACCAGGAACCAAGAAAAGGAAGCAGCAACAGACACAAACTGCACATTCCCCAGAACAGCCTCTCCTAAACCTCCTACAAGTCTTGACAGGAGGAAGTTATAGGTAAAGGAACCACAACACAAGCATTGCCAGGATGAGATGGGGGCAAAACGGTAAGAGTAGAGTGTCCTCACCCATTTCTGTGTTCCAAACAGCAAGTCTCTGGTAAGGTAAAGCTGAAAGGAAGTGCTGCCTGCGTACAACCTTTCTGTCCTTGGGCTTCCACAGATAGCAGAAAACAGCAATCCCTAGGGCTGCTCTAGGAACAGTGACTGGGCACTGCCAGGAAGTGAGCTTTCTGCAGTAGGAGGGTAGGACAGAAAAACATGAAAGAACTGATAATGGGTGAAAGTGAAATACCAAGGGAGTTGCAGAGTAAACAAGGCAGTTTCCGGCATAAAACATGGCCATTCTGAAGGTGTACCGATAGTGGTTAAGAGCAGCAAGATTTTATCCATTTCTTCTAGATTTTCTAGTTTATTTGTGTAGAGGTGTTTGTAGTATTCTCTGATGGTAGTTTGTATTTCTGTGGGATCGGTGGTGATATCCCCTTTATCATTTTTTATTGTGTCTATTTGATTCTTCTCTCTTTTTTTCCTTATTAGTCTTGCTAGTGGTCTATCTATTTTGTTGATCCTTTCAAAAAACCAGCTCCTGGATTCGTTAATTTTTTGAAGGGTTTTTTGTGTCTCTATTTCCTTCAGTTCTGCTCTGATTTTAGTTATTTCTTGCCGTCTGCTGGCTTTTGAATGTGTTTGCTCTTGCTTTTCTAGTTCTTTTAATTGTGATGTTAGGGTGTCAATTTTGCATCTTTCCTGCTTTCTCTTGTGGGCATTTAGTGCTATAAATTTCCCTCTACACACTGCTTTGAATGTGTCCCAGAGATTCTGGTATGTTGTGTCTTTGTTCTCCTTGGTTTCAAAGAACATCTTTATTTCTGCCTTCATTTCGTTATGTACCCAGTAGTCATTCAGGAGCAGGTTGTTCAGTTTCCATGTAGTTGAGCGGTTTTGAGTGAGTTTCTTAATCCTGAGTTCTAGTTTGATTGCACTGTGGTCTGAGAGACAGTTTGTTATAATTTCTGTTCTTTTACATTTGCTGAGGAGAGCTTTACTTCCAACTATGTGGTCAATTTTGGAATCGGTGTGGTGTGGTTCTGAAAAAAATGTATATTCTGTTGATTTGGGGTGGAGACTTCTATAGATGTCTATTAGGTCCGCTTGGTGCAGAGCTGAGTTCAATTCCTGGGTATCCTTGTTGACCTTTTGTCTCGTTGATCTGTCTAACGTTGACAGTGGGGTGTCAAAGGCTCCCATTATTAATGTGTGGGAGTCTAATTCTCTTTGTAGATCACTCAGGACTTGCTTTATGAATCTGGGTGCTCCTGTATTGGGTGCATATATATTTAGGATAGTTAGCTCTTCTTGTTGAATTGATCCCTTTACCATTATGTAATGGCCTTCTTTGTCTCTTTTGATCTTTGTTGGTTTAAAGTCTGTTTTATCAGAGACTAGGATTGCAACCCCTGCCTTTTTTTGTTTTCCATTTGCTTGGTAGATCTTCCTCCATCCTTTTATTTTGAGCCTATGTGTGTCTCTGCATGTGAGATGGGTTTCCCAAATACAACACACTGATGGGTCTTGACTCTTTATCCAATTTACCAGTCTGTGTCTTTTAATTGGAGCATTTAGTCCATTTACATTTAAAGTTAATATTGTTATGTGTGAATTTGAACCTGTCATTATGATGTTAGCTGGTTATTTTGCTCATTAGTTGATGCAGTTTCTTCCTAGTCTCGATGGTCTCTACATTTTGGCATGATTTTACAGCGGCTGGTACCGGTTGTTCCTTTCCTCGACACATACACTCTCCCAAGACTAAACCAGGAAGAAGTTGAATCTCTGAATAGACCAATAACAGGAGCTGAAATGTGGCAATAATCAACAGCTTACCAACCAAAAAGAGTCCAGGACCAGATGGATTCACAGCCGAATTCTACCAGAGGTACAAGGAGGAACTGGTACCATTCCTTCTGAAACTATTCCAATCAATAGAAAAAGAGGGAATCCTCCCTAACTCATTTTATGAGGCCAGCATCATCCTGATACCAAAGCTGGGCAGAGACACAACCAAAAAAGAGAATTTTAGACCAATATCCTTGATGAACATTGATGCAAAAATCCTCAATAAAATACTGGCAAACCGAATCCAGCAGCACATCAAAAAGCTTATCCACCATGATCAAGTGGGCTTCATCCCTGGGATGCAAGGCTGGTTCAATATACGCAAATCAATAAATGTAATCCAGCATATAAGCAGAATCAAAGACAAAAACCACATGATTATCTCAATAGATGCAGAAAAGGCCTTTGACAAAATTCAACAACCCTTCATGCTAAAAACTCTCAACAAATTAGGTATTAATGGGACATATCTCAAAATAATAAGAGCTATCTATGACAAACCCACAGCCAATATCATACTGAATGGGCAAAAACTGGAAGCATTCCCTTTGAAAACTGGCACAAGACAGGGATGCCCTCTCTCACCGCTCCTATTCAACATAGTGTTGGAAGTTCTGGCCAGGGCAATTAGGCAGGAGAAGGAAATAAAGGGTATTCAATTAGGAAAAGAGGAAGTCAAATTGTCCCTGTTTGCAGACAACATGATTGTATATCTAGAAAACCCCATTGTCTCATCCCAAAATCTCGTTAAGCTGATAAGCAACTTTAGCAAAGTCTCAGGATACAAAATCAATGTACAAAAATCACAAGCATTCTTATACACCAATAACAGACAGAGAGCCAAATCATGAGTGAACTCCCATTCACAATTGCTTCAAAGAGAATAAAATACCTAGGAATCCAACTTACAAGGGACGTGAAGGACCTCTTCAAGGAGAACTACAAACCACTGCTCAGTGAAATAAAAGAGGATACAAACAAATGGAAGAACATTCCATGCTCATGGGTAGGAAGAATCAATATCATGAAATTGGCCATACTACCCAAGGTAATTTATAGATTCAATGCCATCCCCATCAAGCTACCAATGACTTTCTTCACAGAATTGGAAAAAACTACTTTAAAGTTCATATGGAACCAAAAAAGAGCCCGCATCACCAAGTCAATCCTAAGCCAAAAGAACAAAGCTGGAGGCATCATGCTACCTGACTTCAAACTATACTACAAGGCTACAGTAACCAAAACAGCATGGTACTGGTACCAAAACAGAGATATAGATCAATGGAACAGAACAGAGCCCTCAGAAATAACGCCACAAATCTACAACTATCTGATCTTTGACAAACCTGAGAAAAACAAGTATTGGGGAAAGGATTCCCTATTTAATAAATAGTGCTGGGAAAACTGGCTGGCCATATGTAGAAAGCTGAAACTGGATCCCTTCCTTACACCTTATACAAAAATCAATTCAAGATGGATTAAAGACTTAAATGTTAGCCCTAAAACCATAAAATCCCTAGAAGAAAACCTAGGCATTACCATTCAGGACATAGGCATGGGCAAGGACTTCATGTCTAAAACACCAAAAGCAACGGCAACAAAAGCCAAAATTGACAAATGGTATCTAATTAAACTAAAGAGCTTCTGCACAGCAAAAGAAACTACCATCAGAGTGAACAGGCAACCCACAAAATGGGAGAAAATTTTCACAACCTACTCATCTGACAAAGGGCTAATATCCAGAATCTACAATGAACTCAAACAAATTTACAAGGAAAAAGCAAACAAGCCCATCAAAAAGTGGGCGAAGGACATGAACAGACACTTCTCAAAAGAAGACATTTATGCAGCCAAAATACGCATGAAAACATGCTCACCATCACTGGCCATCAGAGAAATGCAAATCAAAACCACAGTGAGATATCATCTCACACCACTTAGAATGGCAATCATTAAAAAGTCAGGAAACAACAGGTGCTGGAGAGGATGTGGAGAAATAGGAACACTTTTACACTGTTGGTGGGACTGTAAACTAGTTCAACCATTGTGGAAGTCAGTGTGGTGATTCCTCAGGGATCTAGAACTAGAAATACCATTTGACTCAGCCATCCCATTACTGGGTATATACCCAAAGGATTATAAATCATGCTGCTATAAAGACACATGCACACGTATGTTTATCGCGGCACTATTCACAATAGCAAAGACTTGGAACCAACCCAAATGTCCAACAATGATAGACTGGATTAAGAAAATGTGGCACATATACACCATGGAATACTATGCAGCCATAAAAAATGATGAGTTCACGTCCTTTGTAGGGACATGGATGAAATTGGAAATCATCATTCTCAGTAAACTATCGCAAGGACAAAAAACCAAACACTGCATATTCTCACTCATAGGTGGGAATTGAACAATGAGAACACATGGACACAGAAAGGGGAACATCACACTCTGGGGACTGTTGTGGGGTGGGGGAAAGGGGGAGGGATAGCATTGGGAGATATACCTAATGCTAGATGACGAGTTAGTGGGTGCAGCGCACCAGCATGTCACAGGTATACATATGTACCTAACCTGCACATTGTGCACATGTACCCTAAAACTTAAAAGTATAATAATAAAAAATAATGAAAAAAAAAAAGAGCAGCAAGATTTGTGAGACCTGGACAATTTTAGATTACAATGACTTTAAGAAAAAAAATCACATCTTATTGCTCCAAAGTCTAATCCCAAAAGAATCAAGTATGTTGTCGTAGAGAACTGGATGAAATTACAAACTGTAAAATTATAAATGAAACTATAAAATTATAACAGCATGCCATTTTTGAATGATATAGAGTTACTTTTACTATTATTTTTACTTCAGCAGGTCGGTCTCCATATTCAACTAAAATACACAGCAAATTAAATTTGTTTAAAGTTTATAACACCTAGAAGAAAAGACAACATATATTTCTCAAGTAATATGAGTATCTTTTGAAGCCTTATAAACAGCACCAAAATAATGAAATAATTTAAAAATATAACTTTATTTATAAATGACACTTGCAACTATTAAGTATTAAAGTTGTTAATATTTCATATAGAATGAATGTACTGTAACATGAGACTTTTTTCACTTTCACAATTATTAAACAACTAGAAATGGAATGAGTATGTCCGTTAAAGTGATAGCATTTATTTTTCCAATGTTCTTTATTTTTTTTTGTTGTTTGTAATACATTTGTTTTATTATAATATTAATTTAGGCTTATTGGGAAATTTCAAAATATAATAAAATGTATAAAGTAACTATTACATTACCTTAGTAGAAGCCAGTGTGGACAATTTGTTGCACCATTTTCAACACTGACCCTGTACAAATATAAAATGTGTGTACATATTTGTATGAACATTTGTTGTATGCATATATTAGATTGTGTATCCTCTTCTGCAATGTGCTTTTTCCCTTGACTCAATGGTCTTGCAGGACATATGCCAAGCTTCTTCAAAACTATAAAACAGCCTACTGTATGGAGGTGCCATGATTGCTTCTAGTCTTTTATTAATAGACAGTTGAATCTTTCCACTCTATTATAATATCTGGACCCAATAACTGCATGTTAAAATGAACCTAAAAATTAATACTGTACATCAGCCCTGTAAGTTTCTCTGCCTATAGTAACATTATAATGACTATATTATGTTTGATTAGCCTAAAAAAGTGACTTTTTATAAACCATTTTTTAGATGTTTTATTTCTAGAAATATTAATTCCTATTCTTAAAATATCTCTTTAACCTAATGATTGCTAATTCATGTGGTGTCAGAAAAATACAGTTATAGAGGTTACCAAATGCTGTGGCAGTCTGATAATTTTATGAGTGTGGTAGGTTTTGGGTTCTTGAAGGAAAGGAAGGGTTTGAATATAGAGGAAAATAGATTTAAAAATTTTTGAATATCCACACGCACATTATTAATAAAGGCAAAAAGTGGTAACATCCTGAAATTCAAGAAAGAGAAGACTAAAGATCAAGTTAAAGACCTGATCATTGGCTGAGGCAGGACAATGGGTGAACCCAGGAGGCGGAGCTTGCAGTGAGCCAAGATCGTGCCACTGCACTCCAGCCTAAGCAACAGTGCAAGACTCCGTCTCAAAAAAAAAAAAAAAAACAAACAAAATAAAACAAACAAACAAAAAAAAACTGATCATTGATGAAAATTAGTTATTTAGAACTAATTCCTAGGATAGGAATATCCCTATTGCAGAGCAGGGCCAATGTGATGCTTTAATTTTCAAAGCATTAAGATGAGGCAATAATGTGATACCCATATAAATATTATAAAAGCAGTTGGAAATATGATTAGAAACTGATAATATAAGAAGAAGGGATGCAAAAATATATGACATGACAATAGACTCAATAAAATAGAAAAGCAAAGAGGTACAAATATAGAGCTCTTGAAGAACAGCAGTAGGCAGTCAGTAAGATGACGGGAAATGTAAACAATGGAACAAAAAAGTAATCAGTGACGCACAAAAAAATAAATATAGTTCCAGAGGTTCTTCCTTTTAAAAAATCTTACCTGAGAAGGGTTGTTTGTCAGTTGGCAATGTTGGAAAGAAAGAGAAAGGAAGGATAGAAATAGGGAAGAAAGAAAGGAAAGAAGGGAGGAAGGAAAGGAAAGGAAAAGAAGAAAAAAGAGCTGAAAGAAACATTTTTTTCTTTGGGGAGCAAATATATCTAGCTTGATAGGGACTGAGTGAGGAAAAGAAGAGAATTCTAGAACAAGACATGTCATGATAGTACTAGGCCCCTGGAAAGGAAAGACAGAAAAGGAAATGAAAAAAAAAAAATCAAAGAAATTCAGTAGATTCAGGAAATGAACCTTCATTGTTTCACAACTTTATAGTAGTCTAAACCTATTCATTTCCACAGTCCATAATAATTCTCGACATTGCTGGGATCTATTTCCTATATTAGTTTTCTAAAGGGGAAAGACTCTATGGCTAAATCACTTTTAGTTACTTCATAATATCTCATGTGCTGATGATGCATAATAAATATTTTCAGATAAATGGGGATAATATTTGATTAGCAATGAACCCAATGGACTCTAGTCTTGAATGTGTATTCATTTGCTGTATAATCATTCCTAGGCCTCAATTTCCTCCTGGGTGACATTAATGATATCCTGGAGATGACATCAAACTGTCTTCTTCAGCTCACAGACTGTCTGAATGAACGTGCCCTGCTCACAGCTCTAAGTAGATCTGGCATCCCTGCAGCACCCTGGCCATAACTGATTATACCAAAGGTGCGGTGCTTAACTCAAGACCATCTAAATTTAGAGAGCAAGGTCTGGGAAATAACTTTTGGGAACATACATAGGGAAACACCATAGTCATTAAGTTATTTAGAGCAATAGTTGAAGTTGGAAGGAGGGTAGAGGAAGAAATCTTATGGAGGAGATGGGAGACAGCAGAAGCACCAGAGGGAGAAAAAGACCAAGATTCAAGGAGAGAGATGGTGACAGCAGTGGCTCTGAAGTGCCATCTTGCTCACAGTTCTGCTATGTATGCCACTCATGGACATCTTCCCCAAAACAAGGCTCCTTACTCTGAGAGTTCTTAGAGAAATCTTGACTCCTTTCAATCAAATAATACCTACAGAGCCAAAAGGGCTGCTTTGGACCTCACTTTACTGAACCTCAATCACATGCTACCCTTAGAATGGCTGCCATAGTCAAGCTCCTACAATAGGGTCCAATTTTCTCCTTAATGTTTTATTTAAATCGACTTATTTATAAATTTTATTTAGCTTTATCCTAAACAATATCAGTCAAAGCTTTGTTTTAATATATCATATTTTTCTAGTATGTTAAAATGAGTACACAATTATCAAAGTGACTATTCCATGTAACTCCCTTAAAATTATGTCATTTTGGGTCTCTCAGTTTGAAAATAATCTGGGAATTGATCAGGGATGATAGCAATGAATAATTTGCATAGTTGCTTTCACAATTAAAGACACTTTTATGTATCCATGTGATGGTTCCTGATTTGTAGGGCAGGTCTCTGGAAATAATTAGAAAGACAAGTCTGACCTCTTTTGGCTTATCGTGTGAGAGTGACATACTTCTGCCTTGAAATTTTAATTCTGCTGTAATTTTTTAATGGCCTTTATTTTGCTTACTGATATATGCGGCATTTGAGAAATTCAAAAACTAAGCAACTTTCTAAAATATTGTAAACACATTTAAAAGCCAGAAATAACACAGACAAGAGAGCAGTTTTATATTTGCATGCATAATGTGAAGAAATTAGTGCTCTGGTGATCAATCAGCACTAGTTAGACAGAGCTCTGGAAAATTAATGTATATACTATCAGTACATGAAAAAATTATCTTTTATTTTTCCTAAGACATTTGAAACATAATAAATATTTAAACTCAAGGAGAAAAAGTTTGATTTTGAAAAGTCAAAAGATAATTTTTAAATCATCCTTTTAGGAAAAAAAAAATCACAAATAAGTGATTTCTTTAAAAAATAACTCCCCTCCTAAATTCTAGATTATACTAGTGACACAACAGTTTATGAGAAAAAAAAGTTTGTGATATGAGGTTAATTTTTAGTATTTTTAAAAAATATTAATAATAAATTATTGCTGTATGAAATAAGTGATTACCTTTTCCACAGTCATTGGCAGATCAATTTTAAGAATTAGAACATGCTTGGCCTGGCGCGGTGGCTCACGCCTGTAATCCCAGCACTTTGGGAGGCTGAGCCAGGCAGATCACAAGGTCAGGAGATCGAGACCATCCTGGCTAACATGGTGAAATCCCATCTCTACTAAAAATACAAAAAAAATTAGCTGGGCATGGTGGCAGGCACCTGTAGTCTCAGCTACTTGGGAGGCTGAGGCAGAAGGGCGTGAACCCCGGAGGCAGAGTTTGCAGTGAGGTGAGGTCGTGCCACTGCATTCCAGCCTGCGTGACAGAGCGAAACTCTTGTCTCAAAAAAAAAAAAAGAATTAGAACATGCTTGCCAAACAAAAAGTAGAAGAAAAAAGCCTCCATTTTCATGATTTCTAAATCTAATCACCCAGGAAGAAGCAGCAAAATACTAGATGTTGCTGAGTAAACAGCTTTTCTCTAGTTTCAACCACAAAGTCACTAAGAGGCAAAGTTTCTATTGCAGGAGGTGAGAATTTACGAGTGGAAGCAGGTGAGAAAATGGAAGCAAAGGTATTTACCAGAGAACAATACTGTGCTAATAAGCTACTGCCTAGAGTTAAGAAATTCAGTTTTCTTTCATTCCAACAGAACACTTCTCATTAAATCCAAGCGCTTTTACTCCCAATGTGAAAACCATAGGACTAGATGAGAATTCATACTGTCCTATTTTACCATTAAAGGATATAAAGATTTTCAAGGTGTTTTTTCTTTATGTATTTATTGATTTATAATTTTTAAAAAAGGCTTAGCAAAACATCTGTTGAGTGTTACTAAACATTACACAGTTTTGTGCTTAACTATTCATTGAATATTTGTGGATATTTCTGAAAACTCATTTTTTTAAAATGAGGAAAGGATTTCTGTAGACTTCTCATAGCTAAACTAAGATAAATGATGCTTTTCTTAGAGGCTGCCTTAGAGGGAATACTATAGCCAAAAAAACAGTATCTCATGACAAAAGCAGAATGTTTACTCTTCTATCCCAAGGCTCAAACTCTAATAGCCATGTAACTTTGGTAATAAGCTACTGATATGAGTCACAGTTTTCCTAAAGACAACAAGAGCAGGATTAAGGCAACTACAATTTTCACATCATATCTATGAGTTAAGAATGCCACTGGAAAAGATTCTCAACTTTAGTTTGAAAACATGAAAACAAATCCCTATCCAAACAAAATCAAACACATTTTAACAATTTTGCTCAGTTAATACCTGTAACTAAGCAAATACGAAAATCATAAGTATTTTTATCTGGTTAGCAAAAGGCAAAATTTGCATTTTGAATATAATAAAAAAAATTATGGTCTATTTTCCAGAGACTTCTTAGAAATACTATTATATTTCTCAGGCCGGGCGCAGTGGCTCATGCCTGTAATCCCAGCACTTAGGGAGGCCGAGGCAGGCAGATCAAGAGGTCAGGAGACCGAGACCCTCCTGGCTAACACAGTGAAACCCCGTCTTTACTAAAAATACAAAAAATTAGCTGGGCGTGGTGGCACACACCTGTAATCCCAGCTACTCAGGAGGTTCAGGCAGGAGAATCGCTTGAACCCGGGAGGTGGAGGTTGCAGTGAGCCAAGATTGCACCATTGCACTCCAGCCATTGTACTCTGGGTGACAGAGCAAGACTCCATCGCAAAACAAACAAAACAAAACAAAACAAAACAAAAAAACACTATTATATTTCTCAAAAAATGTGCATAAATAATGCAACCTGATACCCAAAGAACTGTGCTAAATATTAATTACATAAGAGTGAAATGAAAATATACCACTCTAAATATTTAATAAAATTCAATCTATCTGTAAAAAAATTACTTTACCCAGCTTTAATTAAGACATTCCATACTAATTTGTCTTGGATGTTCACAATCATAATTGCTGTATGCATGGGTGAGTCCCTGAATTGTTTTAATAGAATTTAGTGTGTGTCCTGTTATGTCTAAGACCAATAGTCTATGTATTTCAAAAAAAAAAAAGCACCCATATGAGTACTAACTCATCAGAAAAATTATCTAAACATAGGTAAGATATACTTTTTAAAAAATAGAATTTTGGCCAGGCATGATAGCTCATGCCTGTAATCCCAACACTTTGCAAGGCTGAGGTGGGTGGATCACCTGAGGTCAGGAGTTTGAGACCAGCCTGGCCAACATGGTGAAACCGTTTCTACTAAAAATACAAAAATTAGCTGGGCGTGGTGGCACATGCCTGTAATCCCAGCTATTCAAGAGGCTGAGGCAGGAGAATTGCTCGAACTCAGGAGGCGGAGGTTGCAGTGAGCCGAGATCATGCACTCCAGCCTGGGCAACAGAATGAGACTTTGTCTCAAAAATAAATAAATAAATAAATAAATAAATAGTAGAATTTTTATTCAAATACACTCGTTTATAATTATATAAAATTAACTATGTACTCTACCCTATGTACCTCACCACCCTCTGGAAAAAACTAAAGAAAGCATTTGTAAAAATAGAAAAAGGGCAATGTCCAGTGACCACATTTCTTCTCATGTCTATGTATGTGAGATATGACTTGCCGATTTTTTTAGTTATTGCTATATTTGGAATATAAATATGTTTATTTCTCTCTTTATCTTCCCCACTTAAATGTTCCATAACTTAATTATAATCAGATGATATCTAATGTGGTCAATAACTATGTCCTTGCTAAATCAGAAGAGGATCTCTCCAACGTCAATCTCTTTGACTTTGTAGAAGTATCACTTTCTTCTTTACAGCATCTAAGACAGGAACTTAAAACACAATTTTCCTACTTCTCTGTCTATTACTGTGACTTGTTGAATAGTAGATATTGGGACTGTTTTAGAGATCACTTAGTTTACCTCTGTCATCTTACAATTGAGGAACCCAAAGCACCAAGAACCTGACTGGCCAAAATATCCCAGAGTGGGTGCAAGAACCCGCTTTGGATTTTGCATCTCCCAGAACTCCTGACTCCCAGAGTAGCTCTGTTTCTATGGAACTGCTTCAAAAATTTCCCCTCCTGAATTTCCTAGTGATCTATTTTATATTACATTGCATTAATTATTTTATTTAACACCAACATGTAGTTCATGTCATATGTTCTCATGGTTCCAGTCCGTGACTGATACAAACAATATTATTTATCCAGATTCATGTCTATGTTTTATTCTTTTAAAACACTTTTTCTATAAGAAATCTAAATTAGATGCTCAAAAAGAAGAATATGACTTGGAGAGATGATTTAACCTTTTCTCCATTACCTCCTCAATCACCATCCTCATTCTAACAGGCAAGAGATCTTGAAGTGAGTATCAATACATTTCTGGACTTCATAGAAATGCATTCTACAACTGGTTTATGGTGCTCCATTTGTAGAGTCACCATTGTATCCAGATTTCCATTCTATAATATTTTAGAATATTTAGAATGTTTTAGAATTGCTACTCTCTTAAGCCATGGATGTGTCTCTTCTAATCTGAACTCCTGCACTTTCCTTTGTACTGGCCTTCCTTCTCCACCTACAGAGCCATCAGGTAGTCCTCAGTGTAACTCTTCAAGTCTTCTCTTCTTCTGGAAACTGAATCAAACCCTCTTTTATATTTATAAATAAAGAACATTTGAATTTCTGTAAAACGAATAGCAGTGGGTCTTGTATTCTCTCCTCTGAACTGAGCAGGTTTGTAGATCAAAGTGGGTGAGGGCAAAGCTTAATAAACTTGTCAATTGGACATTAGTAATGGTCCAGTAAATGAAAAATGAAAGTAGATCCCTGATTGGGACACTGGTGTTAGGCAAAGGTTGAAGTATCTTTTCAACATGATACATGCAGTCCTAGGTTTTATAAGACTAAGCATATAGGTGGGATAACTAATGATATCACTGAATCTTTTCTTTCGCAGTGTCAAAATTTTGCTCCCAGTTAATATATGCCAAGCTGAAGATTACACAGTAAGTTTATTGAAAAGGGGGGAATGATAGTATTGTATTAATTCTAAATTTTGTATGATTGACCAAGAGGGAAAATTCAATGATTAGTTAACAAAGTAACAAGAAGCTTGAGAGCTCCCTGAAATAAAGCAGTCTAGTTCAAAAAAAAGAAAAACTCGAATTTTGGGGGGATTAATTTTTGTATTCCAAAGTTGTTAATAGATGTTATGGAATATGTAGAAAGGAAACACAATCTATTCTCATTATTTGTGATTTTACATTTATGAATTGCCCACTCACTAAAATATTTTGTAATCTCCAAATCAATGCTCACAGTGCTTTCACGCCCAACCCACATGTTTCTAACTAAGGTCCAATAAGGCCTTCTCTGCCTTCATGGTTCAACTCTCACATTGTAAATAAGTGTCCTTTTCATGGTCTTTCTAGTGCCAGGTGTTTTGCATCATTTTGCTTTCTGCTGGTGATTTCTCTATTTTAAGTGGCTTGATTTCAGCTCCCAAGCATAGTGAGGAAGTCTAGCTAGTGTTCCTAAGCTCGAGAAGATTGTGATGTACCTCACAGAGAAAATATGTTTGTTAGATAGGCTTCATTCAGGCATGAGTGATAGTGATGTTGGCCATGAATTCAATGTTAATTAATTTAAAAAATATGAAATAAGGCATCTTTAAAAATAAACACACATAAAACAAGGTTATGTATTTATTGGTTGATGAAATGTGACCAGAGATCTTCAGGAATTTGAGCCTTCATTTCTCCTAGAAGCAATGGTTCAGTATTCCTTCACTTTATAGAACATGACTATCAGATAATGAAACTCTACCATCTGAACAATCTCAGACCAATTAGTAGAAATTTGAAATTTGCAATCTTTCTTGTGGAAAAGGAAAACCTCAATTCAACATATCCTTGTCCCTTAATAGGGAAATAATCACAGATATGTTCCCTAATTTATGTGCACGTGTGTTTGTGTGTGTATGTGTGTGTGTGTTTATCCAGCATGGAATACTTAATATCATAATAGCTATTAAAGTAGAAACAACTTATATTAAGTACCTGGGTAAGCTAATTATAACCTTTTTGTACAGTGAAATAATATGCAGCCACAATTTAGCTTCAGTTGGAAAGCTAATATAAACATAACATGTGCTCCTCAAATTTCATTTAAATTATTGCAGAAATGTTTAAAAATGAATTAATCTATATCAGCACTAAGAACAGAAAAAGATACCATCAGAGAACCAGAAATTCTAATAACTTTTATGAAGCTGAAATGTGCAAGGGAAAATATTGAAAGAGAAACCAGAGCAGAAGAAATGCTGGGCAAACATGTGAGATGTTTCAAAATCAAAGTCCACAGATCCATAAAGCAGGCAAGTTAAGCTGAGTATAGTAGTAAATAGGAACATAAAGTGTACTAAATCTCAGAATCTCAAAAAGAGATAGAAAATACAACAAAAATTTAAGAGAAATTGAGAACCCACTTAGAAGGGTCAATATGTATATGAATATGTGTGTGTATATATGTATATATATGCATGCATACAGACACACACATATATGAAGTTTCAGAAAGAGGAAAGAGAAAAAATATTTGAGGTGAAAAAGTCAGAGTAATAATAGAAATTTCTTAGTGTTTCTCTTGAGTCTGAGAATCCAAGAATCCTTGAGTATAATGAGCTTCCTTGAGTATAGTGAGTTAAAAGATCCACGACTAGGCACATAATGGTGACATTCCAGAACTACAAAGAAAAAGGAAAAAACTAGTTTTTCAAGATAACAAAAACATGACACTTTCAAAGAAAGGAAATCTGTTTAAACTCAGAGAGCTTGTCATTTCTTATCACTCTAGCCGTGTACTTAGGTTACTATCTGGATTTTCTAAGAAGAGCTCCTCTTTACCTCTGTTATCCTGAAATAATTATTAATAACGCCCTCTTTAATTTTCAACAGTGTCCTTGTTTAAATAACAAATATAGTTATTCCATGTGTGGTAGAAAAAATAATGTCCCCAAAATGATGTTCACATCCTAATTCCAGGAACCTATAAATAATGTTACCTTACATGACACAAGTGACTTTCAGATGTGTTAAGTAAAGGATTTCAAGACGGGAAGATAAATCCTGGATTATCTGATTGGGCCCAATGTAATCATAAGGCTCCTATAAAGTGGATACCAACGGGTCAGTGACAGAGAAGCCTATGTGACAGTGGAAACAGAGGGAGAAAAGGCAATATGACAGGGACTATAAGCCAAAGAATGAAGGCAGCTTCTAAAAACTTAAAGGCAAAAAATCTAATTCTCCTGTAGAGTCTCCAGAAGAAACTAGCCCTGACAACACTTCAATTTTAGCCCGCTGAGACTGATTTTACTGACTTCCAGAACTGTAAGATAATAAATTTGTGCTGTTTTAAACTAAGTTTATACTAATTTATTGCAGTGACAATGGAAAACTAATACATCATGCACACCACAGATACAATTTAATTTCCCACTTTTTCCCACTAAGATAATATCATGAAACTTTTCTTATTCCATTAAAGTTTTTGTATGCACCCTTTTTGTGTATTAAATAATAGCTCATCAAATGTATGAGCCATTATTCTCTTAACCAACTTTGTATTTTTAGATATTTAGTTGCTGTTACATCTTATATAGGAAGCAAAAATAATTCAAAATGCATTTTTCTCAATAAATCCTTATCAAAATGTTTCAATGTTTCTTGTGGAAGACTGTCAGAATGTAACTATTGCATCAAACAGGATGGATGTTTTATGTATACGTTATCAAATTGCTGTCCATAAAAGTTTTAGTGATTATAATCCTCTAAGTGTGTTTGAAAGCAACCATTTCACTTGTTTTAAAATAATGAACTGCCTTGATGGTTCTCACTTAAAAAACATACTTGCTAGTGTTACATACAAAATACAACAATTTAATTTACTTTTTTGTTTACTATTTTTAAACACTGCTTACTGTTTATTTTTTTAAATGCATATATTGTTGAACGCTTTCACATTAACAAAATGTTTATTTAGTATTGTAAACTAAACTTGAGTCTATGCATAAAAATCTAAGGCCATATTTGATTAAAATTAGAGGAACCATAGTCATGGTGTACAGAAGGGATTAAGAACTCACTATAGAATTTTTTATTTTCCTATTTCATCATGAAAATAAACACCTTCTGTGAACTGGCAGATGTTTCCTACACAGCTCAACAGATCTGATCATACAGTCACACTAAAGTTAATTTTTTGGGCAAATATATTAGCTCCTGTACAGAAATTAACCTGAAAATTCTCAGATTTCAGATTGATGTCCATCTAAGCCCAAATTACCATCATGACCTATTATTGGTGCCCTAATTACATAATTCAAGAAATATGTCTTATACATTCTTGAACCTATCTACATTACAGGTTATTACAACCTCTTGGAATATTGAATCGTATTTTTTTGTCCTTCATTTACAAACATTTGTCAAATGCAAAGTATTTGTCAAATACAAATACTTTAATACAATCTGATCTCTTTAGAGATCTCAGCAACTCATAATCTGTCATAATTTTTTGACACTATAATATTTATTATATTTTGTTAACTATTAGTAAGTAAATTATTTCTGTATTGCTTTCCCAACTAAATAATAAGCTTCTTGAAAAGAGAAAAAATTATTACTGAATGCAATGAAAAAAAATCAGTTATTGACAAATTTGGCCTAAGTATTATCTTCAAACTTCAAATGATGCCTCCTTACTTAGTATTGGTATATGGCTAAATATGTCATATTATATTCCTATTAGATACTGCAAAGATTTTAATTGTACTGTCAACTAACATTTACTGGCTTTCATTTACTCTTGGGATAACACACAAAATCCTAAACATAATATATTTGCAACTACATGGCGTGGCCTAAGGCAACCACTCTAGCTTCATCTCTCATAACTTTCCCTATTGCCTTTCGTTTTTTCCACACTGGCCTTCTTTTAGTTCCTTGGATATTCTGTGTTCACTTTCCATGAATTCTTTCAGTTCTTGCATAGGCTAATCCTTTTACTTAGAGAAGTCTTAAGCTACCCCTCCCACCTCCTACAAATTGTTGTCTGCTACTCATACTTCAGATCTGAGTTCCATATTTAACCTTGTAATGAATGATGTCTATCTTTCCAAACCTTTCCCCTCCCCCTCACCCCTCACCTTTCCCCACAACTATATAAGGTTGATAGACCATTTGTTCACAACTAAACCTTGGCACCTAGCCTAGTATCTGGCCTGGAGAAGGTTTTTAATAAGGTTTATCAATACTGTATATTATAGGTGAAAATAGCTGCTAAGGAAAAGATAGAAATATATTTTAGAAATCCTGGAAACATAACTCACAATAATACATAAGTATCATAAACATTCTGTTAGCAGAACATCAGCACAGTCTTTGAGGAGGAAAGATGGTATATATACTTCTATAGAAACCAGGTTCTTCTGGATAATTATAAGGTGGGGTAATTCAGGAATTATTATCTGGATTCACTGATAATTGAACATAAGTAACACATTTTTGACAAAAAGAATATTTGAATATTTTAATTAAATTATCTTTCAGGGAAAAACAATAACATTATCATTAAAATGCTGTGCTTTTTAAAACAAACTTTTAAACAAAAGACAAAATGAGTGATGAAGGAAATTTTTACATTAAAGTAGCAGTAGAACCTGAAGCCTACTTTGGCATTAAGTCTTCAAAATCCAGTGTTTTAAAATCAAAAGAAACAAATCAAAATATCCCACTTTCACATGCTGAAGCCCATTAAATATTGATCAATCTATTTAAGTTTGAGTATAATCGAGGTATAATAGAGAAGTCTGGTGAGTACACACCTAGCATTCCATTCATATTAGAAAAATACAAATACTTTAATACAATCTGATTATCAAATTAAATGTGAATGTTAATTAAAATAGTTGTATCTTAATCATTATTAGAATATATTTATCTTTTCAGTTTTTATCCAATCTGAAACAAAAATTCTATTCAGTGAGAAAGCAATCTATAATATCATTAAGAACCAAAGGATATGTTTACTAACAACTGTGAATACTTCCTTTTAAAGTCTATGGAGGCATATTCTACAAAGATTTTCCAACATTTATTTTCATACTTAGGTAAACTGTATGCACACCAAACATATATTTAAGATAAAAGTGGTGGTATGTAATATTACACAAACACATGGTGAAACACCAACCAGAGACCTAGCACCACCATGGACCAAGGCTACCTATATGTTGGAGTGACCAGACCCAACACCAGGCAGTGGGGGCTACGAAATCTGGCAGAGTCAAAGGAATGAGACAAGACAAGTTAAGAGTGCATAAAGTGGGACCAGGGGGCCGATGCTAGTATGGAGACTGCAAAGGCCCTGAGCTCTGGAAGCCAGCACTACTTATTGGTGATCAAACAAAGAAGCAGGTGGTGAAGATGTGGGGGTTGAAAGAAAGCAGTATATCAAGCACATGATCGACAGCTGTAATGGTTTAGCATTTCTTTTGAAGCATATGGAACATGTTCTGCTACTTGAAATAATGGAAAACATGTTCTTCTAGTTTAAGATGCAATCGATCTATGATCCTGGGAGTGCTTGAAGCAAGGAGCCAGCAAGTCTAGATGCATTCCAGAGGCCACAAGGGGTTTTATCCCCTGAGCCCTGGATTCCATCCAAGCCAAGAGGGATTTTATGCCCTGGACTTAGATTATGGTGCAGCAGGGCAGCCTTCTACCCTTTGGCACAGAGCTTGCTGTTCCAAAGGCTACAAGGGGTTTTAAATCCTGGCCCCCAGACATGTTCCAAGACTCTTTTACATTATGTCAGACATGCAAGCCCTGACTCAGCTTTTTTCCCAACACTCAGCTTTTCCCCAACACCTACATCATACACACATATGTACATACATACATACATATGTATACACTGAGGCAGGAGAATTGCTTGCACCCAGGAGGCAGAGGTTGCAGTGAGCTGAGATTGCGCCACGGCACTCAAGCCTGGCAACAAAGTGAGACTCTGTCTCAGAAAAAAAAAAAAAACAACAACACTAATAGCCACTCTGTTGTGTAATGTTCTAAATGACATTTAGAAACCTTTGTGCATTATTCTGTATTCTTCAATAACTCTTATGTCTAACTATCCATTGCTTGCACAACTTCCTTTTGCCATATTTCTTTGCTGTGTTATATGTGAAAGCAGTTGTTCTCTAGTATTAAAGTGCATGAGCAACATGGCAGATACCTTTAGAAAGTGTACATTCTCAGTGCTTCCTCTACCAGTATTCTGATTCCACAGATATTCTAAGGTAGGGGCCAGTCATCTTAAAAAAAAGAAAGAAAAGAGAAAGAATCCCAATGGACTCACAGAGTGGGTTTGTTGAAAATGAATATTCCCTTAATGAATATGATAAAAATAAACCTGCACATAAACATATATACAGATGTATATAAATATATAAGTAAATAGCAAGGAACAATTAGTTTTGTTTAATTTTGCTCTTTCATAGGATTAAATATAATTAACAACACACTGATAAAATAAGTGCAGTAATTAGAAAATGGAAAAAAAATACTGACTTAATATGGTTACTGGAATAGAAAAAGTTGAATTTGCCTCATTTTGAGATAGCATTGTTTACTGTGCTTAAATGTGTTTAAAAAGTCCAGGAAGTTGCTTTGTGAGTCGAAAATCATCTCCTAGAAATGTTGCTTAGCCCACTTTGATCTTTTATATTTACAGTGCTGCTTGTAGTTGTATCATCCACAGGAAATCTAATATTAAAAAATAATTCTAGCCTCTGGGACACTTTAAAAATGCTATATTTTAAAAAATGATGTAACTATCCTAACTTTATAATTGCAATTTTTTAAAACAAAATCTGTTTCATTTTTATCATATTCATTAAGGGAATATTCATTTTCAGCAAACCCACTCTGTGAGTCCATTGGGATTCTTTCTCTTTTCTTTTTTTTTTTTTTTAAGATGATTGGCCCCTACCTTAGAATATCTGTGGAATCAGAATACTGGTAGAGGAAGCACTGAGAATGTACACTTTCTAAAGGTATCTGCCATGTTGCTCATGCACTTTAATACTAGAGAACAACTGCTTTCACATATAACACAACAAAGAAATGTGGCAAAAGGAAGTTGTGCAAGCAATGGATGGTTAGACATAAGAGCTATTGAAGAATACACAATAATGCACAAAGGTTTCTAAATGTCATTTAGAACATTACACAACAGAGTGGCTATTAGTGTTGTGTTTTTGTTTTTTTTTGAGACAGAGTCTCGCTCTGTTGCCAGGCTTGAGTGCTGTGGCACAACCTCAGCTCACTGCAACCTCTGCCTCCCGGGTGCAAGCAATTCTCCTGCCTCAGCCTCCTGAGTAGCTGGGAATACAGGCACAAGCCATCACGCCCAGCTAATTTTTGCATTTTTAGTAGAGACAGGGTTTCACCATGTTGGCCAGGATGGTCTCATCTCCTGACTTCGTGATCCGCCCACCTTGGCCTCCTAAAGTGCTGGAATTACAAGCGTGAGCCACAGTGCCTGGCCTAGTGTTGTTTTTCAAATAAAATGCCTCAAACTCTTCACTCCAGCACCTCTCTAGAGACATAGTTCCTGGCAGTTATGGTTAAGTGCAAAGACTCTGGGGCAAGCTATTTACATTTGATCCAGCTCTGCTACCCATGCACGACTTCACCTTTCACTACCTCAGTTGCCTCACCTATAAAATAAGATATTGTAATGAACAGAGCATGAGTGACAGCATGTAAAGTGCTTAGAACAGTGCTTGCCCCATGATAACTGGCTCATTAAATGCTTGCTCCTTAAGGTACAGGGATAAAGAAGATAGATGTCCCTGCTGCTTGTGGCTTGTATCCAGATATTTCATATATACATAAAAATGTGATAAGGACTACACAGGAATAATACATGAGAGAGGAAGCCTGATCTAGTTGGATGAGTTGGGGAAAGAGGGGCTAGATTATGAGGAAGTTGATAGCAGAAGGGGAGGATTGCTGAGGAGAGTATTCTGGGCACAGGGTACGTTTTTAAGCAAAAAGTGGAGCACACCAGCCAGTGAGAGAAGAACAGGAGGGCTTAAGATGAGACTGGAGTAGGCTTGTAAGATTTTAATTCAGAGGAAGGAGAAAAGGCATAGGATTTTCTCCTGGTGTTTTGAGGCCTTTTTATTCTGGAAGGAAACACCTCCTCATAGCAGAATTGTGTTGCATGAGTAACCAAGTAACCCTAGAGGCAAAGAAGCCTGTGAAATCAAAAATTTAAGCTTCCCATTCTGAAAAGTAATAAAAGACAAAGGAGAAAGGGATTGAGAATGGATTCTGAGTAGTTAATTCACATAGTAGACTGCATTTGAAAAAACAATTATAGGAAAAACTACAGGTAGAAAGACTCATTCTCGATTTTTTATCAATGGAAAATGAAAACCTCTACTAATCATTCTTCTGTTTCTTCTAAAATATTTTAAAAGAAGCTAGTATAAATGTGGACTATATCTTTTCTCTCTTTATAGAGAATAGGTTGTAACAGTAAACCATTAAAAAGGGGAACTTTGGTTTTAAGAGGATATTTAAAATCACAAATTTTTGATGATTATCTTCCTTTCTGTAAAAAGTTTCCCAAGGAAGAGATTCAAAACTCTGAAATTGTGTAAGAAAGAACACACTGCTGAAAGGAATTCAAAAGTTGCTATAAGCACCCAAAACTTTCATAAAAACATAAAAATTTAAAAGAGCATACTTTATACTTTACTTCAAATTAGCCTCTAAATCATTTATCCTTTATTTGATTTACCACAGCCTTATTTTCTGCTTATTAGACAATCAATTTTTTAAAAGTACCATATACAGCATCAAATATTCAATATCACTGTAAAATAATAATATAGTTAATGCTCAAGGAGCGCTTCTTATGTGTCAAGCACTCTGCTAAGGTTTTAAGTATATTATTATATCCCCATTTTACAGAAGGGAAATGAGGGAGAAATAGATTAAGTGCCTTCATTGAAGGACTTAAAACATACTTATTTATGTATGTTTAAAATCCAGCCAGTTATATATTCATTGATGCACTTATCACTTTACATAATCCATTAATTTTAAGTTTTTAACATGAATAAAACTTGATATGGAAATAGAAAACATAAACCTAATAAACTCTGCCTTGGTAAAAATGAAAAGACCAGCAAAGGTCACCAAAATATTTTAAAGACTTAAAAAGAAAGAATTTTATCATGTTGAATACTTGGAAATTTCAGTGAAATAATGAAGTTGGAGAATATTTACATTCTATTAACATCAAGATCTAAAGAAATGAAACGTTCAGACAGGCATAGAAAAGGTCTTATTTAAGTTTAATTTTAAACTGTAGCTGCCACTTATTTCTTTGATATGGAACAGATTCTTTCTGAGACTTCAGAGATTCTCCATGAACTATTCAAAGTTCTTTCTAATATACATATTTAAAGTACAAATCCCTGAAATTAAACTGTCAATTTTGAAGCATATAAAATATTGAGATTCTTCAAATTATAGAATACTTTTCTTACTAGAAATATAATTTGCTCATAAGTTATAAATGAACTGCAACCAAATCAGTGTCTACATAATTCATGTAGGCTTTTCTGATAGTTGAGCAAAACCAAAAATCTGAAGGCCTAGGTTTCTTCCTTGCCTACCAGTGAAACAAAATGAACATGACATAAATTAACATGAGTACTACAAGGCCTCATGAGTACTACATGGCCTGACTTCTTCAACAACCCCTGAGGTAAAAATGTGCAAATCTATCCCATGAGTGATTCTAGTCATGATAAAAATGGCACACATCGGCCGGGTGCGGTGGCTCACGCCTGTAATCCCAGCACTTTGGGAGGCCGAGGCGGGCGGAGGAGATCGAGACCATCATGGCTAACACGGTGAAACCCCGTCTCCACTAAAAATACAAAAAATTAGCTGGGCGTGGTGGCAGGCGCCTGCAGTCCCAGCTACTCCGGAGGCTGAGGCAGGAGAACCTGGGAGACAGAGCTTGCAGTGAGCCGAGGTCGCCTGGGCGACAGAGCGAGACTCCGTCCCAAAAACAAAAAAAGGCACACATCAAAACAATTAATACTTGTGCATAATAGCAGGATGTACTTTTGAAACAAATGTATTTTCCTAAAGATACTCACTTTAGTCTATAGCAGCATATTCGGGCAGAGAAGAAAATTTATAATATCTAAGACATTTTATCTTGAATGAAGACTACCAATTATTAGACATAAAGAATTACACAGCAAAAACAATTGCCCTGTAACTACATTTAGTTTCAAAACCCACCAGAAATAGTTCATGGAAATGACTAGGAAATTCCATAACAGTCTCCAAACAATTGTTCGTGTATTTTTTAATATAAAGCTAAAATAAACGAAAACAATTTCCTTTTCACTTATGAAATTGGAACTTAGCTGCAATGCAATTAAGTTCTATTCATTTTTCTTATATTTGATTAGGGATTAGGTACATTTAAAATTTTAATCATTAAGTTGTATTATTATAAAGCAGATGATAGGATTTGATCAACCAAGGGGAACCAACAAGAAATTTATTCAAGGACAGATTTGGAGGTAAGGCTCATCTCAAAACTGAATACACCTATGTGACCAGCCCCAGGATCAAAGAAACAATATTATCTTCATCCCAGAAGCCCCTTATTCAGTTACTACCCCTGCAAGGATTACCGTTATCCTAACTTCCAACAGCATAGCATACCATACCACCCCAACATGTGTTTTAGTTATACATATGTAAATCAATTTTTTTCATCCATTGTCACTAGGTAAAACAGTGGAGTATTTTGAATGCAGATATTTCAGCCTAACAAGCTAAAGTTCTCTTTTGTTTTCAGATATGTATAATCTAGGGTCCAGAGCCCAGGGTTTCCATACAAATCGTTTTATTTTTCTTCTTCCCTCCAATATCCAGCTCAAAGAGTTTTTTAAAAATAGACATTAATTTTCAGATTAGCTCTGGGTTCACAGAAAAACGGAACAGAAGGTACAGAGACTTCCTATATGCCTCGTGATCCTATATACGCACAGCCTCCCTCGTCATCAATATTGGTCACCAGAATGGTACATTTGTTACAATTGATGAACCTACATGAACACATCATTATCATCAAAGTTCACACTTTCACATTAGAGTTCACCCTTGGTGTTATGCATTCTATGGGTTTGGACAAATTTATGATGACATGTACCCACCATTGTAGTATCATATGGAGTAGTTTCACTACCCTTTTAAAATCAGAATGTAATGCTCGATGTATATTTTCTAATAACTCAGAGTAATCACTATGAACATCAAATATTTTACTCTACAGTGGTCCTTTCAAAGTATCATTCACCGTTTAAACATCCCTTAACTGCTAAAATTTTTAAATTATTTTTGATAGTATTGGCATTATTCCTTTTTTCTCCATTGACATTTAATATAATATTGATAGTGGTGCCATTTCTAGTTGTAGGAGAACTGCTGTTTTTAAAGCCTCTTTTTCCTTTACATTGAAACTTCTTCTTTATTTTTTTTTTTGAGATGGAGTCTCACTCTGTTACCCAGGGTGGAGTGCAGTGGCGCAATCTCGGCTCAATTCAAGCTCCGCCTCCTGGGTTCATGCCATTCTCCTGCCTCAGCCTCCCGAGTAGCTGGGACTACAGGCGCCCACCACCACACCCGGCTAATTTTTTTTTTTTTTTTTTTTTTTTTTTGTATTTTTAGTAGAGACGGGGTTTCACCGTGTTAGCCAGGTTGGTCTCGATCTTCTGACCTTGTGATCCACCCGCCCTGGCCTCCCAAAGTGCTGGGATTGCAGGCATGAGCCACTTGCACCCAGCCACATTGCAACTTCTAATATGCTAACATTAAAACAAACAAACAAACAAACAAACAAACAAAAACAATAGATGTTCAAGCGTCCATTAGAATTGAAAGTTACCTGAAAGATTTTCTTGAGAATTATTATTTGATGGGTTTTGAAATTTGTTATTTAGATGTTCAGAACCCTTTGTATTGACATACTGAGTTTCAGTTGTGTTCTCAATAATTTAAGATACAGGCCAGTGGTATTTAGATAAGTGAATATATGAATTAAAGCAATTTAAGAGGTTTTTATTACTCCATTACTGATTTAGTATTGACTATCAGAGAGATTTGTACAAAATCTTTCCAATTTAAACTACAAACCTGCAATCATCAACTCTGTAGTCTATCAATTTCTATATTTATAAAATGACAAATTTTATTATTCTCAAATTTTGTTTCAAATTATCTTCAAAAGTGCTATTAAAAATTAGTATTATAAAAATGTAAAATTTTTTAAGTAAGGCTTAAGCATTTCAATAGTCAAATACATCTTTAGCTGTTGTATGGAAAAGAAATGGTAACTATATGTGAACTGTATGTTTTATATATAGAATATATCAAGTAAAATAATACAAAGCAAGGATTGTGATTTATATGACAGAAATTAATCAGAAATGGTGATTGTTTATAGTTCCAAAGGAAAAAAATAATGATAGTCAATTTGAGGAATTGGATCTATTTTAGAATTCAAAGCTACTATACTTTTATACAATTTTGAGAGATGGATATATTTTCTTACAATTTGCCACTATACACATTGTTTTCTCAAATATAGGTTTTGCTCAATAAGTAGAAATTCATAAAACACCAAGGTTTTGCTTAAGCCTTAAAATCATAGCAAAGGCATTGACCTGTATAAACTAGAATGAAACATTGAAAAATTGCAACAAATTATCTCACTTGAATGATATCTTCAAAGGTATTTACTATCTGTATATAGAAGGGAAAAGTGGGAAGAGAAATGCAAATGTGAGCTCAAGAGCTTAGGGGGATGTGGAAATAGTATGAAAGTCACTGTGTTTGCTATTTCAAAGGGCCTATGACAAGTATTAGTCCCACAGCTTATATTGAGACTACTGAAGAAAAAAGTTCATTCATCCTTTTTACTATTAGGATAAGGAAGAATAATTACATCAGTATTTCAAAATATCGTTAACCAAAGGTAGAGGTTATCCAAGATTTGCTTAGAATAGTCGTTTGCACATGAAGCTAATCAGAAATTTAGAATGGTGTTTGAAACACCTATCCATATCCCGGAGCTGTAAAAAAAGACTTCTTTGACCCAGTGATGCCACTAACATTTCTTTATAAAAGGATAGGAGACTATGAACAACTAGATAGAAGATGCCGGGCAGTGAACCATAGAAGTTGTCAAAAGATGGCCCAGGTATAACAGATTGAAATGTAAAATGCAACACAATAAAACTTTTAGAAGAAACACGGGAGATAATCTTTGGGACCAAGAGCTAGGCAAAGAATTTTTAGACATGACACAGAATCATGATCGGTAAAAGTAAAACACAGATAAACTGTACTTAATCAAGATTAAAAAGACCATATTCAGAGGATAAAAAGGCAACCTATAGATTGAGAGTGTGTATTTGTAAACCATATATCTCACAAAGAACTTGTATCTAGAATATTTAAAGAATCCTGAAAAATTCAATGGTAAAGAAAGCCAATTCATAATAATACAAAAGACATTAACAGACAAATAAACACATGAAAAAAATGTCTGATATAATTAGCTTTACGAAAATGCAAATTATAACCATGACAATATATCACTACCTGTTAGAACAGATAAAATAATACAATATAGACAATATGAAATGCTCGCAAGGGATGCAGAGAAACTGGATTTCTTATACCTTGCTGCTGGAAATATAAAAAAAGACACAATAATTCTGGAAATAGTTGTGCATGTATGTGTATGTGTGTGTATTAAAGCATGTTCAAAAAATTATACATGATTACCACATTTTAGGAGAGCTTGATCCATATGGCCAACATGAGTGTTTGTGACAATTTTGGGTGAATGATTATTGGTGAATATTCATTAAAAAAACAAGAAAAAATTCAACAAAAAGCCTAATCCCTCCCCTAGTATATACCATATGGGGAAAATACAGAACATAATGAGACAAGCACTATTCTGAACACTTTATAAATATCAGCTAATTTAATCCTAGACTATTTTACACAAGAAAAAACTAGGCAAAGAGCAGTTAAGTAGTATACCTGGGGTCACAGCTAATAAGTGGTGATGCTGACATTTGATTTTAGGCTATATCCAGAGCCTGTGCTTTTAATTACTATAAAATATGAGTACTAATGAAATAAGGGGGACAAAATCATTAAACTGAGCTGCCTTGGAATGTCAAAGACCAAAAAGTACATTACATGCACGTAAGACTAATCAGAGAGTAGTCTGGGGTATTACTGCCAATAGAAATGCAGAAATTTCTCAAACCTATATAAAATTATATTTGATTTACTATTTGTATTTTCCACATGATTGAATTTACAAGAAATAGATCTCAATGAAAGTCAATTTATAAAACAAAACTTAGAAATATTAATCAATTGTATACACACAATACCCAAACAATATCGAAACAACCTAAAGATACCATGTGGTGGCTTAGTAATGTGTAGACTTGCCTAGACTAAATTACATTTCCAGAAATTCCTTCCCTTGATATTTCAGATTAGAGTGAACCACAGAGACATTTTCGTGTGCAATTTAGAGGGAAGAAGCCAAGCAGTAGTCATATGGTTTCTTATGTTTGGAAAGAGATTGAGACAGTCAAGAGAGCTTTTGTTGTTAATACATGTCACTCATCTGCTTGCTCAACTGATTACCATGGTGCAGTGGCTAGGCTACCCATGGACCTTCCTGCAGCTTCCCAAACTCTTGGGAGAGGTTTCTGCTTACTGCCAAAAAGGAAGTACCGGTTTCTCCTGTAGGGAACCCCTATCACCAATGTTGTAGAATGAACATGTGCTCCAGTTTGTCCTCAGGGGCTTCAGCTCATATTTGTGGGTTTAAACTTGGCTTTCCTCTCTCCCACTTTACATCCTTCTTTTTCCTTCCTGACTGATCCTGCCCTAGAGTCTTCAAGCACCAGTATCAAATCCAAAATCAGCAAATTTACAGAGACTGTTGCAACCAGCTCACATAATTGTATATACTCAAATCCTTGTAACAAGTTGTGTGTGTTTGTGTGTGTATAATGTTCATAGTGATTCTGCTTCTTATTGATACAGTATTTAGTAGTTATCAAAGGAAAATAATCTCATGGCTTTAAATTCTCAGATTGAATCTCAGTAAGAACCTGGGTAAGTTCTAAGCCTTCCCTAAAATAAATCCTTATCTCCTATAACCTCAGGTCTGAAAGATCTGAAACCAAACCCAAAATCTAATCATAATGGCTGAATTACAATACAAATTGAATTTCCTAACTCACAGAATCATTTTTCTCAAATTTGGGGCATTAATTGGAAATAAATGGAACCCTGAAAATTAGGATGGGGACATATAGGCAAATTTAGATGAAATGACAAGATTGAATCCCTGAATTCCACTAAGCCTACTTTTCTTTCCATTCCTGCCTGAGAAAGCTAGCTTTCCCTTGTCTGTAGAACCTGTAATAGTCTCACTTGAGGTAGTTGACCACTGCTGAGAAAATGGAATGGGCAGTGGAAAAGGGCAGATAGAAGTATCTGCTGCAACCACATGACTGATTGCAGAAATTAAGACTACAATAGTTTTTTCTTCCTTAGTTATATGAACACACACACAAATACATGCACACACATATAACAAGTATTGTTTTTCCCCTTCCTATTCCCCTATCGCCAAACACACAATGCATTAATAGTAGCTATCAGTGCATATCTCACTAAGTAAGTTATAGGATATTAAAGAAGGAGTGTGAATCAGATGAAAGAAGAAAACTGCTTTTTGAAATGGGACTTTGTAACCGTTAGAATGAAGACTAAGTCTATGTTCAGTTATAAGGCAGGAGAGATATGTCATATTTTCATATGAGGCAGGAGTATGGCTTTGTTTACTTGTAGATTACATATGGCTTAAAAAGAAGTGTGGAGCTTTCAGGTTCAAAATGCATGAACTGTAGTGACTATAATGTGTCCACTGGATCAGATTGAACTGTGATTCCCAGAATTTCCTTCTCTGTATATTTCCAATTAGGGTAGGCTACAAAAGATATTTTTTCAGAGAGGATTTTGAGGGCAGAAGTAAAACATCAGCCATATGAATATAATAATGTAAACTAAAAACTGCCATTCTTCTCCTTGAGAGTTCTCCTTGAGAACAAATAAAATTCGAGAACTTCTTTTTCTTCCTTTTCATAAAAAGGATTGGTATGGAATGATGACACTTAAAGTCATGACAGCCTCTGAGCCCCTTTATTTAGAATACACCCTGATGCTAAATCCTGAATAACTGGATGAATCTCTTCTCATAGTTTTGGATAACTAGCTCTGCAATGAGCTTCTTAATAAAATGAGCTGTGCTCCGGACACAGTGGCTCATGTTTCAGAGGCTGAGGCAGGAGTTCGTGACCAGCCTGGGCAACCAAACAAGAACCTTTCTTTACAAAAAATATTTTATTTTAAATTAGCCCACCATGGTGGTGTGTACCTGTGGTCCCAGCTACTCAGGAGGCTGAGGTAGGAGTATCAATTGAGCTCAGAAGGTTGAGGCTGCAGTGAGCAGTGATCAGGCCACTGCACTACCGCCTGGATGACAGTGAGATCCTGTCTCAAAATAAATAAATAAACAAAATAAAGTAAAACAAAATGAGCTGTGCTAAATAAAATATATTTTTACCCTAGTTTATACTGTTGTTGCTGTTTTTCATCTTTCCTGGATTCTGGGTTATTTTTTTAAATTATAAGTGGCATTCTGCCATGATAAGTTGAGAAAAAAATAATTCATAACTACTGCAAACATTGCGACAGCGTGAGTAGAACAGTCATCACCCAGCTACCTCCTCATTGTATAACCTTTCTCCAGAAACACAGACCTATCTTTCCAGTTTAACTTTCCTCCATTTACAACATTACATAAAGATGATCATAAAAGTCTACTATTTTTTCCAGCTCTCTCCTCTCTAATCAATCCTGCCAACTGTTAGTAGGTCAGGTGTCACAAAATTCATTATTCAAAATGTCTCTTTTCTTCTTTAAATTATTTTAACTTATCTCTTAGTTTTCTCTGATAGGAAGTAACTATTTTTTTCTCAGTATGGAAAGAAAAGCTGTTCCATAATTCATAAGTGAGCAATGAAGATTTCACCAAAAAAAGTGAAGACAGAGAATTTAATATACTTCTAACAACACATACATGTATCAATTATCTTACATTATTCATTTAGATTATTTTTTTTCAGACTAAATATATTTTGGTCACCTGCTTTTGCCGCATGGTTATGGTAGGGTCTGTCAGCCATATCCTTTCATTGTGGCCACAGGATTAGGCAACCAATTTAAACTGTGTCAACCAGAATGCCCAATCCTATTCAGAACTAGCATGTGACCTGAGTTAAGCAAATTGGAGTACTTTCCTGGAATTTTTAAAATTTGAGTTGATGGAGGAGGATATGATATTCTTTTCTGCTTATAGTTTGTGGGTTTATAAGCCTGAAATGCCTTTAGCCAAGTCTCCTTTGTTAAAGAAAATTTAAAAAATGAAGAGAGCAGCAGAGATGAGACAATTGATGTGCATGCCTTAGTAAATGTGTGTGTGTGTGTGTGTGTGTGTCTGTGTGTGCCTACACCAAGGCTGATGCATGAATCATTTATCATTTTTTCTCTTTTTGCTATGCAGTTTCAGTCTAGGTTTTACAATGAATTTGTATAAAAGTCAGTGAATTCATTACATTGCTGAAGCTGCAGGTGGTCTATAGCTTAATCAAGGTGTTAATTGGTTGGCACTAAGTGTGGTTTGAGGTTAGTGTGGCAGATGGAACCCAATGAATATAGAGTTTTGTTATACAAACTATAGATGTACTTAAGCTTTCTACATCTGTGCTACATTTTTTTTTGAATAGACATAGGTGATAAAACACCTGCTACTTAATTAACACCCTTTGTAGTCATTCCCAAAGTTAGATTATTCTCAAACCTGCTCTGCCATCTGTAAATGTTAAAACTTTGCTTGCTATTCCTAGAGTTTCATCTTTCCTTTACTTTGCAAAGTAAAATATAAAAAATGGTTACGTCTTGCAAATGAAGGAAAAGAAATGATTATAAAGGGGGTTAATGAATAGATAAATACAAAGTTCTTATAATTTTGAGCGGATAATCCTATAAAAATGAAAACTTTATTAAAATTAAAAGAATATTTAAGAGAGTAGACATTTCTGGGAAAATAGCAAATTTTAAACATCCTGGCTACACTTTGCTATCAAACCTAACACATCTACCTCCTATGAGCCAAGAAGCTGCTGTGGACGTAAGGGAGCCAATGAATTGAAGGAGGCAACTGAGCCTTCAAGTCTCGTTTAGTCCTGAAGAATAAAAAATATTTGAGGTATGTCTTGCACCCTTCAGAGAAGACAGTGCCTGGGGCCTGGTGATATAGGGTCCATGGTTTAGATTAGGCTGAGACAGATCCTGGCAAGAGCCTGACCTACAGAGATTGGAAAAGAGACTCTATGTCACATTAGTTTCTGGTCTGGCTGACCTTCAGAGCTTGAAGAGAAGCTTCAAGTTTCTCTGCATGACTGAGGCTGGGAGACTACAAAAAGATGGGCGAGCAGAGATGGTTTCCTTCTGGGGCTTCAATAAGAAACTTCTAATCTGCCTGTTGTGAAAACAAAGACCGAATGGAGCAGAGGAAACACACCATCCCCTACTCTGTGAATCACTGTATGCCAGCAGCGGGACCTGAGTCTTAAAGAATGAGCAAAATAAAATAATAGCATGCTCCTAATGAAGCTCAAAAGAAAGGTGAAAGAAGCAGAAGACTCAGAACTGGCTCTGGAATAATGGCAGTAGATTACTGTTGTGAAGTAGGTAGATGGCAATTTTTGGTTCCAACCCTGGTGTATAGAATTGCTCAACTGTACGTATATGCATGATACTGTCATAACTGATTCATGCATGGCTGTCTGTTTTTATTTATGCAGTCATCCCTCTTGAGTAGTGTAATAAGCAACTGAGGGCCCACCACACAATACAAAGAGTAGAATCTCACCAATCATTAATATGTATTTATTTTCTCTTCCTTCACCTCATTTCCTCTGTTCCCTCTCCCAAGAGAACAACCCTTCTGAAGCCTGTTTGCTATTCCATTTCTTTTCTTTTCATATTCTTTTTACTCATCTATGTTTCTTTCCAAAATTTTTAATTTCATTTTAATTGTTTTATGTTTAAATTGCTAAGTATTTATGTTTATATTGCTAAGATTCATGCATGCTGTTGTGTGTCATTGTGGTATATTCATTTTGTGGATTTATAACAGCATATTACATGATATTCAGCCACTTGACTAATGTGGAAGCATTTGATTTGATTCTACAGATGTGCTATTGTGAAGAGAGCTGCTGTGAACCTGCTGTTTCCAGAGTACACAGGAGAGATTATCCCCTGGATCTACAGCCAAAATTACTTCATCACACAGTATACAAAATTATACACAATAATATCTAACTGCTTTCCAAAGCATTGGTATCAACTTATGTTTAAAGAAATGATATATAAAAGACTCAGAGGACTCACGTCTTTTTAATCACTTGATATAATGACCTTTTTATTTTATTTTTCCAATCAAATGAATTTAAAAGAGAACTCACCATGGTATGATATGTAATTCTCTAATCACTATTAAGTCCAAAATATGTCTTCATATATGTTTACTAGCAATATATAATTCCTGTTCTGTAAAGTGCTAATCATGATTTGTGGCCATTTATCTATGAAATTGCTGGTGCTTTTTAATTGACTTAGCATTTATTTATATATTGTTGATAATACTTTCTTCATTGTATATAATAAAAATGCCTTCTAGAGAAGAGGCAGAGCAAAATGGTGGAATAGAAGACTCCATCATCCCCCAACCCCGCCCCCATAAGGACACCAAGTTAACAGCTATCTACACTGAAGAAACACCTTCACAAGAACCAGAAATCAGGTGAGCACTCATAGTACCTGGTTGTAACTTTGTATCGTCGAAAGAGGCACTGAAGGGATAGGAAAAACAGTTTTGAATCATGATGCCACCCCTCCCTGACCTGGGGCAGGTTTGGAGGGGTGCCCAGAGCATCTCTAGGCAGAGTAGTGGGGAGAGCACAGCAATTGTGAGGCACTAAACTCAGTGGTGTCCTGTTAGAACAGAAAAGAAAACTGAACCAAACTCAACTGACACTGGCCCACTGAGGGAACCTTTAAACCAGCCCCAGCCTGAGGAGAATCCTGGATCACAGCCATCAGAACTTGAGTGCCTTCAAACCTCAGCACAGATGGCTACAGCGCTCTTGTCTCCAGGTAAATTTGAAAGGCAGTCTGGGTCATAAGGACTACAAATCTTAGGTGACACTTAATGCTGAACTAGGCTCACAGACAGTTGACTGGGGGGGCCACGTGACTACTGAGACACCAGCTGGGACAGCCAAGGGAGAGCTGGCATCACCCCTCCCCTAATCCCCAAGTTGCAGAGCTTCCAGCTCCAAGAGACCCCTCCATTTTGCTTGAGAAGAGGAGAGAGAAGAAGGGAGAGGACTTTGCCTTGCCTCTTGGATACCAGGTCAGACACAATAGGATAGGGCAACAGAGTCCTGAGGTCCCTGTTACAGGCCCTAGCTATCAAATGACATTTTTAGACAAACACCCTGGGCCAGAAAAGAACCCACTGCCTTGAAGGAAGGGACTCAGTCCTGACAGCATTCATCACCTGCTAACTAAGATTCCTTAGTCCCTGAATAACCAGCAGCGATACCCAGGTACTGCATCAAGGGCTTTGGGTGAGACACTGAGACTTGCTGGCCTCAGGTACCAGCACAGCCACAGGAAGGCAGAGCACCAAGCAGACTCTTGGGGTCCCTAATTCCAGGACCTGACTCTTGGATGATGTTTCTGGACCTGCCCTGGGCCAGAAGGGAGCCCACTGCCCTAAAAGCTGAGTTCCAGTCCAGTTCCTCATTCACCACAGCTGCCTTAAGAGCCCTTGGGCCTTAAGGAAACATTGGCTTGTAGTCTGGCAGTACTCCTCATGGCCTGCGGTGGTTGTGGCTGCAGGAGTGAGGCTCCTCTGCCTTTGGAAAGGGAAGAGAAAAGTGGGAAGAACTGCATCAAGTGATTTGAGAGCTAGCTCAGCCGAATACAATACCAGGCAGACGTCTAAGGTTTTTGACTCTAGTCCCAGACTCCTGGACAGTGCCTTTGGAACCACCCAGGGCCTGAGGGACATCGCCACCCTGAAGAAAAGGACACAGGCCTGGCTGGTTTTGCCCCCTGCTGAGTGTAGAGCCACAAGGCCTTGAGTGAACATAAGCAGTGGCCAGGAAGTAGTTACAGCAGGCCTTGGGTGAGATGCAGCACTGTGCTGTCTTTAGGTCTGACCCAGTACCATCATAGTGGTGGCAGCCACAGTGGTGCTTATGTTACTCCAACTACAGATTTAGGTGGTTCAGAACAGAGAGAGAGAGAAAGAGAGAAAGAGACTGACTGAGAGAAAGGAAGGGAAGAGAACAAGAGTGTCTCCCTGGGAATCCAGAGGATTCTCCTGGACCTTGTCCAAGACTGTGAAGGAGGTGCCTCTGCAAGTCTGTAAGAAACACAGCATTACTGGGTTTGGGGAGCCCCCTAAAGTAGATACAGCTTAGATCACAATACCCAATCCTTCCAAGTATCTGGAAAGCTTTCCCAAGAAGGATGTCTACAACTAAGCCCAGACAGTGAGGACTAAAATAAATACCTAAATCTTTAATGCCCAGACACTGAAGAATGTCTACTAGCATCAACACTATCCAGGAAAACATGACCTCACCAAATAAACTAAATAAGTCACCAGGAACCAATCCTGGAAAAACAGAGAAATGTGACATTTCAGACAGAGAATTCAAAATAGCTGTGCTGAAGAAACACAAAGAAATTCAAGACAACACAGAGAAGGAATTCAGAATTCTGTCAGATAAATTTAACAAAGAGATTGAAATAATTAAAAAGAATTGAGCACAAATTCTATAGCTGAAAAATGCAATTAGCATACTGAAGGGTGCATCAGAGCCCTTTCATAACAGAATTTATCAAGCAGAAGAAAGAATTCGTGAGCTTGGGCCGGGCGTGGTGTCTCATGCCTGTAATCCCAGCATTTTGGGAGGCTGAGGAGGGTGGATCACCTGAGGTTAGGAGTTCAAGACCAGCCTGGCCAACATGGTGAAACTCCATCTCTACTAAAAATACAAAAATTAGCCAGGCATGGTGGTGTGCGCCTGTAATCCCAGCTTCTCAGGAGGCTGAGACTGGAGAATTGCTTGAACTGGGGAGGTGGAGGTTGCAGTGAGCCAAGATTGCACCACTGCACTCCAGCCTTGACAACAAAGACTGAAACTGCGTCTCAAAAAAAAAAAAAAAAAAAAAAAAAAAAAGAAGTAGTGAGCTTGAAGACAGGCTATTTGAAAACACACAATCGTAAGACACAAAAGATAAAAGAATAAAAAATAATGAAGGGCGCCTACAGGATCTAGAAAATAGCCTCCAAAGGGCAAATCTAAGAGTTATTGGCCATAAAGAGGAAGTAGAAAAAGAGATAGGGGTAGAAAGTTTATTCAATGGGATAATAACGGAGAACTTTCTATACATAGAGAAAAATACCGATATCCAAGTACAAGAAGGTTGTAGAACACCAAGCAGATTTAATACAAAGAATACCTCAAGTCATTTAATAATCAAACTCCCAAAGATGAAAGATAAAGAAAGGATCATAACAGCAGCAAGAGATAAAATATATATATATATATATATATATATATATATATATATATATATATATATATATATATATATAAAATTAAGATCCAATACATCTGGCAGCAAACTTTTCAGTGGAAACCTTTATAGGCCAGGAGGGAGTGCCATGACATATTTAGAGTGCTGAATAAAAACAAACAAACAAACAAACAAAAACAAGTTTTACCCTAGAATAGCATATCCAGTGAAAATACTCTTTAAACATAGAGAAATAAAGACTTCCCCAGACAAAAAGCTGAGGCATTTCATCAATATCAGACCTGTTGTATTAGCCAGAGTTCTCTAGCGGGACAAAACTAATGGATATATATATATATATACACACACACACATACACACACACATACATATAAAGGGGAGTTTATTAAGTATTAACTCACATGATCACAAGGTCCCACAATAAGCCATCTGCAGGCTGAGGAGCAAGGAAAGCCAGTCTGAGTTCCAAAACTGAAGAACGTGGAGTTCGATGTTTGAGGGCAGAAAGCATCCAGCATGGAAAAGAGATGTAGGCTGGGAGGTTAGACCAGTCTCTCTTTTTTTTTTTTTTTTTTTTTTTTTTTTTGAGACAGAGTCTCGCTCTGTCGCCCAGGCTGGAGTGCAGTGGCGGGATCTCGGCTCACTGCAAGCTCCGCCTCCCGGGTTCACGCCATTCTCCTGCCTCAGCCTCCCAAGTAGCTGGGACTACAGGCGCCCGCCACTACGCCCGGCTAATTTTTTGTATTTTTAGTAGAGACGGGGTTTCACCATTTTAGCCGGGGTAGACCAGTCTCTCTTTTCACATTTTTCTGCCTGCTTATATTCTAGCCATGCTGGCAGCTGATTAGATGGTGCCCACTCAGATTAAGAGTGGGTCTGCCTTTCCCAACCCACTGACTCAAATGTTTATCTCCTTTGGTAACACCCTCACAGACACACCCAGGATCAATATTTTGTATCCTTCAATGCAATCAAGCTGACACTCAGTATTAACCATCACACCTGTCCTATAAGAAATACTAAAGGAAGTTGGTGATGAAAAAACTTGCCGATAGGAGACAAGACTAACTTGTAGCTCCCACTCAGATGGACAGAACTAGCATGTGGAGATTCACATTGTGAACTTTTGCTCCAAGAACCACTGCAGGGAACACAACAGGAAAACCAAAATAATTCACAAACCCTTTGGAAGAAGTGGCTTGCTGCTGCAACCTCCATGAAACAGCTGAAACATTGTGCGTTCCCAAAGTGCGAGAGGTGGAAAGTCTGCCCCCAAACACACATCCTCACTGAGTAATATGGTTTGGCTCTGTGTCCCCACCCAAATCTCATCTTGAATTGTAATCCTCAAGGAGGGACCTGTAATCCCCATGTGTCAAAAGAAGGAGGTGATTGGATCAAGTGGATGGTTTCCCCATGCTGTTCTCATGATAGTGAGTGACTTATCATGACATCTGATGGTTTTGCAAGTATGTGACAATTCCTCCTTCACATGTTCACACTATCTCCTGCTGCCTTGTGAGGAAAGTTCTTGCTTCCCTTTCCACCATGATTGTAAATTTCCTGAGGCCTCCCCAGCCATGTGGAACTGTGAGGCAATTAAACCTTCTTTGTTTATAAATTACCCAGTCTCAGGTAGTATCTTTATAGCAGTGTGACAATGGACTAATACACTCAGGAAAATGAAAATAAGGATCACAAGAGAATAATTTACCCTTACCAAGAGCTGAAACAAAATTAGAGAGCCAAGTAAAATACAAAAGTAGAATGAGCAATGGGAAGAGCCTTGTAGGCATGCCCAATCTTCAGGGAACCCCAAGGAAGCCATTTCTGACTTTAATTTCACAGGGGCCTTTGGGGAACGCAGCCAGTGGAATCAGGGAAGGGCCACAGGGAGAAGAAGGCTTCCACTAAACTTTGTAGTAAATTCAAGAGAGAGTGAATTTTCCTGGGCAGAGTCTGGGGAGCAAATGCAAAGTGCAGACATAAGCACAGAAGCTGTGGCAGACAGGGAAGGGCAAAGCCTAAAAGCCCTGCTTTCTTTCTCAGCAGGGAGTCTTGTAGCCCTGTGTGCCGGAGGCCTGGATATAAACTTGGCACTGTTTGTTGTTGACAGAGCACAGCAGAAGTGAGACTGGCCTTGCTGGCTTCCTGGGAGCTGGGTGAGGCCTGTCACTGCCAGCTTTCCTCCACTTCCCTGACAACCTGTATGACACATCAGAGGCAGCCTTAATTCCCTTCAGAACGTAACTCCATTGGCTTGAGAACAACCCCCACATTCCCCACAGTGGTTGCAGCAAGCCCCACCCAAGGAGAGTCTGAGGTCAGACCCACTTAACCCTGCCCCGACCTGATGGTTTGTCTCTACAAACCCTGGTAGCTGAACACAAAAGACACAAACTCTTGGAAGCTCTATAGCCCTATCCATTACCAGAGAAACCCAAATACTTATCCTGGTGGCCTCAGGGCAAGGTGTATCCCCTCTATACTACTGCAGCTGGTGATCTCTTGAAAGCATTACCTCATGGATGAAGGCCAACCAACTCAAGCCATTACAGCAAGTCATAACAGAACAACCCTGCTCCAAGGAAGGAGAAAATAACAGCTAATTCTACTAACTTTAACACCCTTGCTAACCAGAAGTCCTGAGTCTGTCCATATGACAACTTTACTGCTAGCATACCCAGCATTCAAAAAAGACAGTGGACTAAACAACTACAACCAAGGACTCTCACAGCCTCAAATTCGCTCTCCTGCTACCTCCATGAGAGCAGGTTCTGGTACTTACAGCTGGGAGATCTGAAGACAGATCACATCACAGAACTCTTAGCAGACACTCCCCAGTATCAGACCAGAGCCCTGTAGCCCCACTGGGTGGCTAGACCCAGAAGACAAATAACAATCACGGCAGTCCAGCTCTCAGGAAGCTGCATCCCTAGGAAAAGGGGGAGAACACCACATCAAGGGAGCACCCAATGAGAAAAAAATAATCTGAACAGCAGCTCCTGTGCTCCAGATCTTTCCACTGACATAGTCTACCCAAATGAGAAGGAACCAGAAAAACAATTCTGGTAATATTAAAAAACAAGGTTCTATAACACCTCCAGAAGATCACACTAGTTCACTAGCAATGGATCCAAACCAAGAAGAAATATCTGAATTGTCAGAAAAAGAATTCAGAAGGTCAATTATTAAGCTACTCAAGGAGGCACCAAAGAAAGGAGAAAACAAACTTAAATTAAAACAACCAAAACTTAAAAACAGAATATGGATGAAAAAAATCTCCAGAGAATAGACATCATAAATAAAAAAGAATCACAACTTCTGGAAATGAAAGACACACTTAGATAAATACAAAATACCCTGGAAAATTTCAACAATAAACTAGAAAAAGTAAAAGGAAGACCTTCAGAGCTCAAAGACAAGGCTTTCAAATTAACCCAATCCAACACAGATAAAGAAAAAAAGAATTTAAGAAAATGAACAAATTCTCCAAGAAGTTTGGGATTATTGAACAAACTTAAGAATAATTGATGTTCCTGAGGAAGAAGAGAAATCTAAAAGTTTGGAAAACTTATTTGAGGGAATAATCAAGGAAAACATCCCTGGCCTAGCTAGAAATATAGACATCCAAGTACAAGAAGCTCAAAGAACACCCAGGAAATTCATTGCAAAAAGATTATAGCTTAGGCACATACTTATCAGGTTACTTAAAGTCAAGACAAAGGAAAGAATCTAAAGAGCTATGAGGTAAAATCATCAAATAATCTACAAAGGAAAATGTATCAGATTTACAGCAGATTTCTCAGCAGAAACCCTGTAAGCTAGCAGGGATGGGATCCTATCTTTAGCCTCCTTAAAAAAACAATTATCAGCTAAGATTTTTTTGCCAGCAAAACTAAGTTTCATAAACGAAGGGGAGATAAAGTCTTTTTCACACAAACAAATGCTGAGAGAATTCAGCACTACGAAGCCAGCACTACAAGAACTGCTAAAAGGAGCTCTAAATCTTGAAACAAATCCTCAAAATATACCAAAATAGAATCTCTTTAAAGCATAAATCTCATAGGACCTATAAAACAACAACACAATACAAAAATCCCAAGGTATTCAGGCAACAAATGGCATGGTGAATAGAATAGTACCTCATATCTCAATACTAACTTTGAATGTAAATGGTCTAAATGCTCCACTTAAAAGCTACAGAATGGCAGAATGGACAGAATTCACCAATCAAGTATCCTCTGTCTTCAAAAGACTCATCTAACACATAAGGACTCATATAAACTTAAGGTGAAAAGATGGAAGAAAGATATTGTATGCAATGGACACCAAAAGCAAGAAGGAGTCAACTATTCTTAGACAAAACAGACTTTAAAGTGACAGCAGTTAAAAAAGACAAAGAGGAACATTATATAAAAATGATAAAGAGATAAATGCAACAGGAAAATATCACAATCCTAAATATATATGCACCTAACATTGGAGCTCCCAAATTTATAAAATAGTTACTACTAGACCTAAGAAATGAGATAGATAACACAATAATATTGAGGAACTTCAATATTCCACAGACAGCGCTAGACAGGTCATCAAGACAGAAAGTTAACAAATAAACAACAGACTTAAACTATACCCTAGAACAAATGGGCTTAACAAATACCTACAGAACATTCTACCTAGCAACTGTAGAATATACATTCTATTCATAAGCACAAGGAACATTCTCCAAGATAGGACATATCATAGGCCACAAAACAAGTCTCAATAAATTTAAGAAAATAAAATTATATCAAGTACTCTCTCAGACCACAATGGGACAAAATTGGAAATCAACTCCAAAAGGAACCCTCAAAATCATGAAAATACATAAAAATTAAATAATCTGCTCCTGAATGGTCTTTGGGTCAACAATGAAATCAAGATGGAAATTAAAAATTGATTTGAACTGAATGATACAACCTATCAAACATGACACAACCTCTGGGAAACAGCAAAATCCCTGCTAAGAAAATAGTTAGTAGCATTAAATGCCTACATCAAAAAGTTTGAAAGAGCATGAATAGATAATCTAAGGTTACACCTCAAAGAATTAGAGAAACAAGAACAAACCAAACCCAAACCCAGCAGAAGAAAAGACATAAGCGAGATCAGAGCAGAACTAAAAGAAATTGAAACAAACAAAATGCAAAAGATAAATGAAACAAAAAGCTAGTTTATTGAAAAGATAAACACAATTGATAGACTATTAGTGAGATTAATAAAGAAAGGAAGATAGACGATCCAAAGAAGCTCAATCAGAAATGAAATGGGAGATACTATAACCAATACAATAGAAATACAAAAGATCAGCCGGGCACGATGGCTCACGCCTGTAATCCCAGCACTCTGGGAGGCCAAGACGGGCGGATCACGAGGTCAGGAAATCGAGACCATCCTGGCTAACACAGTGAAACCCCGTCTCTACTAAAAAATACAAAAAATTAGCTGGGCGTGGTGGCAGGTGCCTGTAGTCCCAGCTACTCAGGAGGCTGAGCCAGGAGAATGGCATGAACCCGGGAGTCAGAGCTTGCCGTGAGCCGAGATTAGCCACTACACTCCAGCCTGGGCAACAGAGTGAGACTTCATCTCAAAAACAGAAATACAAAAGGTCATTCAAGGCTACTATGAATACATTTAAATGCACAAACTAGAAAACCCAGAGAAGATGGATAATTCCTGGAAAAATACAACCCTCCTAGATTAAACTAGGAAAAAAAAGGAAACTCTCAACAGACCAATAACAAGCAGCAGATTGAAATGATAATTAAAAAATTGCCAACAACAACAAAAGTCCAGGACCAGATGAATGCACAACTGAATTCTATCCGACATTCAAAGAAGAATTGGTACCAATCCTACTGAAGCTACTCCAAAAGATACAGAAAGAGAAAATCCTCCCTAAATCATTCTATGAAGCCAGTATCACCCTAACACCAAAACAAGAAAAGGACATAACAAAGAAAGAAAACTACAGACCAATATGCCTGATAAACATAGATGCAAAAATCCTCGACAAAATACTAACTAGCTGAATCTAACAGCATATCAAAAAGATCAAGTGGGTTTCTTACAGGGATGCAGGAATGGTTCAAAATATGCAAGTCAATAAATGTGACATGTCATATAAACAGAATTTAAAACAAAAATCACATGATTATCTCAATAGATACAGAAAAAGCATTCGACAAAATCCAGCATGCCTTTATGATTTAAACCCTCAGCAAAATCAGCATAGAAGGGACATAACTTAAGGTAATAAAAGTCATCTATGACAAACCCACAGCCAACATTATATTGAACAAGGAAATGTTGAAAGCATTCCCCCTGAGAACTGGAACATGACAAGGATGCCCACTTTCACCATCTCTATTCAACATAGTACTGGAAGTCCTGGCTAGAGCAATGAGACAGAAGAAAGAAATAAAGGGCAACCAAATTGATAAAAAGGAAGTCAAATTGTCACTTTTTGCCAATTTAGGTTCATACACCTAGAAACCCCTAAACACTCATCCAAAAAGCTCCAAGATATGATAAATGAATTCTGTAAAGTTTTAAGATATAAAATCAATGTACACAAATCAGTAGCATTGTTATACACGAACAGTGACCAAGCTGAGAATCAAATCAAGAACTGAACCCCTTTTACAATAGCTGCAAAACAAACAAAAAGCTTAGGAATCCACCTAACCAAGGAGGTGAAAGATCTGTACAAGGAGAACTACAAAACACTGCTGAAAGAAATCATAGATGAAACAAACAAATGGATACACATCCCATGCTCATGGACAGGTAGAATCAATATTGTAAATATGACCATACTGCCAAAAGCAATCTACAAATTCAATGCAATTCCCATCAAAATACCAACATCATTCTTTACAGAACTAGAAAAAATAATCCTAAAATTCACATGGAACCAAAAATGAGTGCACACACATGATCAAAACAAGACTAATCAAAAAGCACAAATCTGGGGGCATAATATTACCCAACTTCAAACTATACTACAAGGCTATAGTCATGAAAACAGCAAGGTACTGGCATAAAAATAGGCACACAGACCAATGGAACAGAATAAAGAACCCCCAAATAAACCCAAATACTTACAGCCAACTGATCTTTGACAAAGCAAACAAAAATATAAAGCGGGGAAAATACACCCTATTCAACAAATGGTACTGGGAAAATTGGCAAGCCACATGTAGAAGAATAAAACTAGATCCTCATCTCTCACCTTATACAAAAAATCAACTCAAGATGAATCAAAGACTTAAATATAAGACCAGAAACCATAAAAATTTCAGAAGACAACATTGGAAAAACTCTTTTAGACATTGGCTTAGGCTAAGAGTTCATGACCAAGTACCCAAAAGCAAATGCAACAAAAGGAAAGACAAATAGACGGTACTTAATTAAACTAAAATGCTTCTGCACAGCAAGAAATAATCAGCAGAGCCAGCAGACAACCCACAGAGTGGAAGAAAATTTTTGCAAACTATACATCTGACAAAGGAATAATATTCAGAATCTACAAGGAACTCAAACAAATCAGCATGAAAAACTAATCCCATCAAAAAGTAGGGAAAGGACATGAATATAAAATTCTCAAAAGAAGATATACAAATGGTCAAGAAACAAGGGAGTGCTTCAGTCACTAATTTTTTTCATAATCACAATTATAAAAAAATTCTTAACATCACTAATCATCAGGAAAATGCAAATCAAAACCGCAATGCAATACCACCCTACTGCTGAAAGAATGGCCATTATTAAAAAACAAAATATAATAGATGTTGGCATGGGTGTTGTGAAAAGTGAACACTTTTACACTGCTGGTGGGAATGTGAACCAGTACAACCAGTATGGAAAACAGTATGGAGATTCCTGAAAAAACTAAAAGTAAATCTATAATTTGATCCAGCAATCCCACTACTGAGTATCTACCTAGAGGAAAAGAAGTCATTAAATGAAAAAGACACTTGCACATGCTTACAGCAGCACAATTCACGATTGCAAAAATATGAAACCAGGGCTGGGCATGGTGGCTCACGCCTGTAATCCGAGCACTTTGGGAGCCTAAGGCAGGCAGATCACAAGGTCAGGAGATCGAGACCATCCTGGCTAGCATGGTGAAACCCCATCTCTATTACAAATACAAAAAAATTAGCCAGGCATGGTGGCGGGCACCTGTATTCCCAGCTACTCAGGAGGCTGAGGCAGGAGAATGGCATGAACTGGGAGGTGGAGCTTGCAGTGAGTCGAGATCCCATCACTGCACCCCAGCCTGGGCAACAAAGCGAGACTCTGTCTCAAAAAAAAAAAAAGAAAGAAAAAGAAATATGAAACCAGCCCAATGCACATAAATCAACAAGAGGATAAAGAAAATGTGGAGTATATATATATGTACCATGGAATATATATATATATGAGTGAAATAATGGCATTCACAGCAATTTGGATGGAGTTGGAGACCATTATTCCAAGTGAAGTTACTCAGGAGCGGAAAACCAAGCCTCTTACATTCTCACTTATAAGTGGGAGGTAAGGTATGAAGATGTAAAGGCATAAGAATGATATAGTGGACTTTGAGGGTTCGGGAGGAAGGTTGGGAGAGGGATGACAGATAAAAGTCTACATCTTGGGTACAGTGTACACTGCTCGGGTTATAGGTGCACCAAAATTTCAAAAATCACCACTAAAGAACTTATCCATGTAACCAAATAATACCTGTTCCCCTAAAACTATCGAAATAATAAACAAATAAATAAAAAGTAATGCTAAAGGGAGTGCTTCAAGCAGTAAGAAAGGGACACCAACAAGCAATAAATAATCACATGAATGTATGAAACTCACTGGTAATAGTAAGTACACAGGAAAACACACAGTATTATAACACTGTAACTGTGGCATGTGAACTTCTTTAATCCTAAGTAGAAAGATTAAACAATGAACCAATAAAAAATAGTAACTACCACAACTTGTCAAGACATAATCAGTACAATAAGATATAAATAGAAACAATAAAAAGTTAAAAAGTGAGGGAGACAAAGTTAATGCATATAGTTTTTATTAGTGTTCATTTTGTTTGTTTGTTTATGCAAACAGTGATTTTATCAGGTTAAAATAATGGGTTATAAGATAGTATTTGCAAGCCTCAGGGTAACCAAAAAATATACAATGGACACACAAAAAATATAAAGCAAGAAAATAATCATATCTCCAGGGAAAATCACCTTCACTATAAGAAGACAGGAAAGAAAGAAAGAAGAGAAGACCACAAAACAACCCAAAAACAAATAACAAAATGGCAGAAGTAATTCCTTACTTATCAATAATAACATTGAATGTAAATGCACTAAACTCACCAATGAAAAGACATAGACTGGCTGAATGGATGACAAAACAAAATCTTAATGGATCTATTCCTAAGAAACACACTTAACCTACAAAGACACACATAAACTGAAAATAAAGGGATAAAAAAAGATATTCCATGCTGATGGAAGCCAAAAAAGAGCAGCAGCTGTGATACTTCTATCAGACAAAATAGATTTCAAGACAAAAACTATAAGAAGAGACAAATAAAGTCATCATATAATTATAAAGGGGTTAATTCAGCAAGATAATATAACAATGTTAAATATATATGCACCCAACAGTGGAGCACCCAAATATATAAAGGAACTATTATTAGAGCTAAAGAGAGAGATAGTCCCAATACAATAATAGCTGGAGATATCAACACCCCACTTTCAGCATTGGACAGATCTTACTGGCACTATATCAATAAAGAAACATCAGACTTAATCAGCACTATAGACCAAATGGATCTCATAGATATTTACAAAACATTTCATCTAAGAGCTACAGAATACATATTATTTTACTCAGCAAATGGATCATTCTCAATGATAGACTATATATTAGAGCATAAAACAAGTCTTAAAACGTTCAAAAAATTGAAATAATATCAAGCATCTTCTCTGACCACAATGGTATGAAACTAGAAATTAAAAAGAGAAATTTTTGAAAGAGAAATGAAAAAGGAAACATTACAACTGATACTGCAGAAATTCAAAAGATCATTAGTGGCTCGTGTGAGCAACTATATGCCAACATATTGGAAAATCTGGAAGAAATGGTCAAATTCCTAAATACGTACAACCTACCAGGAATGAACCAGGAAGAAATCCAAAACCTGAACTGACCAATAACAAGTAACAAGATTGAAGCCATAATAAAAAGTCTCTCAGTGAAGAAAAGTCCAGGACCTGATGGCTTCACTGCTGAATTCTACCAAACATTCAAAGAAGAACTAATACCAATCCTACTCAAAATATTCTAAAAAACAAAGGTGGGAGTACTTCCAAACTCCTTCTACAAGGCCAGTATTAGCCTGATGCCAAAACCAGACAAAGATACAACAAATAGAAGAAAACTACAGGTGAATATCTCTGATGAATATTGATGCAAACAGCCTGAACAAAGTAATAGCAAACTGAATTCAACAATACATTAAGAAGATTATTCATCATGACCAAGTGGGATTTATCCCTAGAATGCAAGGATGGTTTAACTTACGCCAATCAATCAATGTAATACATCATATCAAAAGAATGAAGGATAAAAACCATATGATCATTTCAATTGATGCTGTAAAAGTATTTGATAAAATTCAACATTCCTTCATAATAAAAACACTAAAAAAACTGGAGATAGAAGGAATATACCTCAACATAATAAAAGCCATATATGACAGTCTTACAGCCAGTATCATACTGAATAGGAGAAAACTGAAAGCTTTTCCTCTAAGATCTAGAGCACAACAAGTATGCCCACTGTCATCCTTGTTATTCAACATGATAGTGGAAGTCCTAGCTAGAGCAATCAGACAAAAGAAAGATATAAAGGTCATCCAAGTTGGAAAGGAAGAAGTCAAATTATCCTTGTTTTCAGATGATATGATCTGATGTTTGGAAAAACCTAAAGATTCCACAAGAAAACTATTAGAACTGATAAATTCAGTAAAGTTACAGGATACAAAATCAACAGACAAATATCAATAGCATTTTTATATGCCAACAGTGAAGAATGTGAAAAAAAATTTAAAAAGGAATCCCATTCACTGTAGCCACACATAAAATTAAATACCTAGGATAACCAAAGAAGTAAAAGATCCCTATAATGAAAACTGTAAAAAACTGATGAAACAAATTGAAAAGGACAACAAAAAATAGAAAAATATTCCATGTTGATAGATTAGAAGAATCAGTATTTTTAAAATGTCAATTCTAGTAAAACAATCTACAGATTCAATGCAATCCCTACGAAAATACCAATTACATTCTTCACAGAAATAGAAAAAAAATCCTAATATTTATATGGCACCATAAAAGACTCAGAATAGCCAAAGCTATTCCAAACAAAAAGAACAAAACTGGAGGAATCACATTACCTGTCATCAAATGATACTACAGAGCTACTGTAACCAAACAGCATGATACTGGCATAAAACCACACACATAGGCCCATAGAACAAAATAGAAAACCTAGAAACAAATCTACACACCTATAGTGAAGTCGATTTTGACAAAGGTGCCAAGAACATACCCTGGGGAAAAGAAAGTCTCCTCAATAAATGGTGCTGGGAAAACCAGATATCCGTAAGCAGAAGAATCAAACTAGTCCCCTATCTTTCACCATATACAAAAATCAAATCAAAATGGATTAAATACTTAAATCTAAGACCTCAAGTTATGGAAGTCCTACAAACTTTCAAAAAACTAGATCTCATGAGAACTCCATCATGAGAACAGCAAGGGGGAATTTCACCCCCATGATTCAATCACTTCCCACGAGACTCTACCTCCAACATTGGGAATTACAATTCAACATGATATTTGGGTGGGGACACAGAGCCAAACCATATCACTTCATAATGTGATAAGAATTAAACGAATTAATACATTTAAAGTACTCAGAATGGTCAATGGAACATAATACATGCTCAACTAATTTAGCAAGTTAGACTAACATATGTTTACCACCGAGTGTTTTCTGGGAGTTTACACTGTTCACAACTACATAGTCCATGGTTTGTTTGTTTGTTTGTTTTGAAATGAATTTATTGCCACTTAAAAACATTTTCAAATTGGTCTTTTTTTGGGGGGGTACTTCTCTTTTTTGTACTTTTTGACACCTGAGAAACTAGCAAGTATAAGTTTCTGATTCAGAAACAAGTCATGCCAAATTTGTTCTACTTTGGGCCTTGTCATTTGCTGTAGTTTTGCCGGTAGTGTTTTCCCTGGATTTTCATTAAGGTCGGCACCATCAGATCGTTTAGGTCTTTCCTCCAGGGCACCTCCTAAGAGTAACCTTCCCTGATTATTCAGTGTTTATATTGTGCCACCACCACAACAACCCCATCTCAAGTCACTACCATGTTGTTATGTATTATTTTCCTCTGATATCATTTATTCCTAAACTATATTAACATTTGTTTATTTATGTCCCAGGTAGACCGTTGCCTATCTTATCTCCAACTCAGCTGAATTTTGAGGAGTATGGTAGTGCTCTTAATTGTTCTTCCAGGTACTAGTCAGAAACAAGTACTCTCTGCCCTTACTACCTTACTACTTATATAAAACTTGATAGTTGGGGAAAAATATGTTTTGGAGGTCTCTAAATCACTTTTACTTCTATCTATGTTTCTATATATTCTCAGTTTTATTCTCATTCATTAATCAGCCATCAATGAGCTGGGTATTTTGCATTCATCATTTTGCTACTCTTAAAATTGTAGAATTACTTTTTTTGAACTGTGTTTTTACATTATATCCCAGCCCACACTGATAAATGTTAGAAGAAATATAACTTACAAACTTACCATTTTTATTATAGACATGATATAATTGATGATGAAACTTATGCCCTCAATATCAGTTCATCTGTGAAGACAGAAACATCTTTTTTTTTTTTTTTGAGATGGAGTCTTGCTCTGTCACCCAGGCCGGAGTGCAGTGGTGCAATCTCGGCTCACTGCAACCTCTGCCTCCCAGGTTCAAGCGATTCTCCTGCCTCAGCCTCCCGAGTAGCTCGGATTGCAGGCATCTGCCACCATGCCCAGCTAATTTTTGTGCTTTTAGTAGAGGTGAGGTTTCACCATGTTCGCTAGGCTGGTCTCCAACTCCTGACCTGATGTGATCCACCCACCTCAGCCTCCCAAAGTGCTGGGATTACAGGTGTGAGCCACTGTGCCCAGCCAGAAACATCTTTAAGTTGCCAAAATAGAGGGAATTTAATGCAGGGCAATGGTTATATGGATGATGGGAACATTGAGAAGTCAAATGAGACAATGAAGCAAATGAGAAAATAGTGACAGACTAGTTAACACGCCTAGGCTGGAGGGAAAATATAAGAAGATGGAGTTTCTGAAGCCAGAGGGTCAGAGGTCCCTGGAAAAAGGAGGCTGTGCCTGTGCACTGAGAGTGAGAGCCAGACCCAGGAAGGAGACACAGCAGCTTCTAGAGACTTTACATTAGACAGCGAGGCTGAAGGAGAAATAGCCTGGCTACTCCCTTCCAATAATTCAATCAGCACTTCCCATTGCCTATACCCAGCCAGAAGTCAACTATTAGGGAACCCTGGAAAAAAGTAGCTTTCATATCAGCACCCTGAAGCATTGAGCAGAGCAAAAGAGGCATGAGGAATAGATCTGAAGGCAAGCTGACCCAGGACTGCCACATCATTCCATGAGGAAGCATGAGTGCAAATTGTACTCATTCCTCAGGATGGGAAATAGATTTGACTCTTCGCAGCAATTGATTTGTTTATATGTAACAGGCTCTAAATTATGCCACCAATCAGGATTCTCTCCTTGTGTTGGATTCTGAAGAACATAAAGTCAATTTTGTGTCTTTCTTTTGGGATCATACACAAGAGACTGACGGAATATATATTGAATTTCACTATTATTCACATTTTAATTCCCTAAATGTTGCTAGTTAGTTGGCTAGGTGCTTCAGCTAGAACTGTGGGTTGGTAACACGTGTAGTCCTTGGTTGCAATGGCTAAGAAGAAATGGCTACAGTGATTCCTGGGGCTGTCATTCTGACCACTTTATTGCTCTTATTGATGAGGCTGTTGAAGGGACAAGTCAAAAATAGTCACATACTAAGTAAGTTTGTGTTACAAGTCTGGGTTTCTGACTCCAAAACCTATAGTCTTTTAACTTCGTTGATGTTTTAATAATTCCTTTCTACTTTTTCTCCAGTCCTTTGCTTATGAGTTTCTTCCTCTGAAAAAGTTGTTGCCTTACCTCTGTCAGAGCTCTTAAAACACTGTATTGTAATAGGCCATTCACCTTGATTTTTCTTTTGCTCTTTTTCTTAGGTATTTTGAGGGTAGGTTCAGTGCTATATATATCTTCATTTTTAGCATCTACCATAGTGCTTAATACAAACAACACGCTTAACAGACACAAACTGACTGAATAAAGGGAATTAATGGTAAATAAAATGAGTACCTTGGTTAGGTAATTTCAGTTTCCTTATTGGTGAGATAAATTATATATTTAATATTTTGACAATTGGCATTGATTTAAAAGTGGATATTAACAAAATTCAAAGTAACTTTGACCATTTAGAGAAAAGTGATGTCACATACACACAAATAATTAAGGCTAGTTAAAGAATGCAAACTTTTCAAAGCAATCAAGTCAAGAAATAGAAGTTACAAGCAAAACACAAGTTGTGCGAATCCAAGTTGTGATGATATGTAAAATAAACGGGTCCATTGTGCAATGTTCTATGATCAGACATTAGTCACTTAATAATTTCTTGTCCAAATTTTTAAATCTGGCACATACCTGTTCTTTGGTTGAAACTGTACGGTGCTTTGAATAAGACTCTTCATAATTTCAAGTACAAAGATAATAAAGAGACTAAATTCCCTCTACATAAAAATTGCAAAGGACCAGCTGTAATTTTAGTGCACAGAAGGGCCATAAATGGATAGAATTTGCTTTGTGCTTTACTAGACTCCTGGGAGGAATCAGGAGCTTCATTTAGGTCTTGGTACTATTTGTGAAACTGGAAACATGTGCATCTTGGAAAACACTCAAGAATTTCCTGACCTCATAAGAAAAGGCTGGAAATCTAGTTGCTGAGAAAGGTTGATCTCACAATTGAACTCTAACTGGATATTCACAAATTTGTAAAAATTTGGCTGTGACAACACTGAGAGATGAAATTTCAAGCTAGTGTTAAAAGAGCACAGCTCTGCTGAGTGGCTTCTTTAACAATGCAGGGCATGAGAATATGGGTGAGGCAATGCTAAGGCTCATGTCTTACTTTCTCTTTGAATAGAATAAAACATGTGATAGGTTTTCAATAGTGACATTTCTATATTGAAAGAAAGAGAAATACTACTTTGGATGATGGGATTGGAGAACTGGAGGAAAGAATAGTAACAGTGATGCTGCGAAGCACTCACGCTATTTTGTGGTATGATAGCTGGACCAAAGACCTTGACTTCAATGTAAACACAAGAGATGCAATTTTTGAGGCTTAAGTTATTTAAAATATGAATACCCATTGGCATACTGTTTTGGTTTGTATGTTTGAGTTCTCAAGCTGATCATTCAGTTCATTCATTTATTTGTCAATTTATTCATTCTCATTCTTTCAACAGTCAATTGTTGAGTTCCTTTTCTTTTTAGACACAAGAAATATATTGACATCATGCTTCAGGAGTTCATAGTGTGGTAAAGGAGACAGACAACTAAAATAATGCACATTGAAATTGCTAAAATAGGACTAAAACTGCTTTGAATACAGGAAGGAGAAAATGATACATTTTGTGAAGCAAATTTTAGAAAGCAAAAAGGGGCTTTCCGCAAGTGGCTTAAATGGTGAGTATTTTTCCTCCAGGTATTGAAAGAAGAAAGACCTGATAGCCAAGAAGAAAGTATGTGTTACACTGTAGTTTAATAATAATCAGTATTTGTTTTAGATTTCAGATTCTTAGCAATTATTAACTTTGAAGACACTGAGTCACATAGGCTGATTGTAATTTATTGCCTCTTTTGCTCCACTGTAATTCTCTCCCTAACCACGTGAGGAACGCTCTCTGCCATGCAGGATCTTATAGCACTTGCAGACTCTTCAATAGTGAGGATCCCGCTTCTATCCTATCTTGTCTCATAATACTGTACTGACACTGTATTAAATTATGAGTTCCTGTGTTATCTTTTTCCCCACTGCCATCCACAGATGGTGCATGGTACATAGTTTGCTGAGTAAAATAGTCTCGCTGTAACTTCATAGGAAATGCCAAAGATAGGAGTTGGAATACAGAGATCAGTGTGACTTTTGTGTGCTTTTGTCTATAGTACTTTGGTCTAAAAAGAAAAAATTCAGGGTGGGCTCAGTGTCTCATGCCTGTAATACCAGCACTTTGGGAAGCCAAGGTGGGAGGATCACCTGAGGTCAGGAGTTCGAGACCAGCCTGGCCAACATGGTGAAACACCGTCTCTATTAAAATTACAAAAAGTAGCCAGGTGTGGTGGCATGCACCTGTAGTCACAGCTACTCAGGAGGCTGAGGCAGCAGAATTGCTTGAACTCAGGAGGCGGAGGTTGCACAGAGCCAAGATGACATGACTGCACTCCAGCCTGGGCAACAAAGAGACTCCATCTTCAAAAAAAAAAAAAAAAAAAAAAAAATTGAGCCCGATAGTAATAATATCTAGTGTGTCATGCAAACTTGTAATTGTCAAATCATACAGATTCACACAGCAGTGATTCTAGAGCAAGACTGTCTAAATTTAAATTTGTAAACAGATGTTGAGTTCAACTGTTAAACTAATGTTATATATATTTTTCATTATTATACTTTCATTGCTGAATCTTTCAGTGTTGAGACTCCATTTTTTTAAGCAAATGAAATTTTCTTTATTGTTTCATTACTGCCTTTACTGCAGCTATTTTTTTCCCCTAAAAATCCGGGTATTTACAGTTTTGTTTTTCATGGTTTAACTCTTGGAACTCATATCTTTTCCTTGATGTCCATCTCTTGTTATCTTTGCTTGGTGCTTTCAGACATTCCTTCCATTTAATATGCTGGACTGCTAATATGATTCCTTATCATGATAATCTTTCATTTTCAGAATCTTCTGGTTTCTGATTTTTCTTTTTACTTCCAAACACACTTTTTTGTATGGAACTTCTGCCTCACAGAGACTCACAAAATGTTCCATATGAACAATGATAACAACAAAATATGAAATTTGACCTCTTCTCACTCCATATAAAAGGACAAACTCCAGAAGATCCTAGGAATGAAATGTCAATAACAAAACTTAAGATTTTTAGTAGAGGCCGGGTGTGGTGGCTCATGCCTGTAATCTCAGCACTTTGGGAGACCGAGGCGGGTGGATAACCTGAGGTCAGGAGTTTGAGACCAGCCTGGCTCACCTGATGAAACCCCGTCTCTATTGAAAATACAAAAAAATTAGCTGGGTGTGGTGGTGGGCGCCTGTAATTCCAGCTACTCCGGAGGCTGAGGCAGGAGAATCACTCGAACTCACCTAGGAGGTGGAGGTTGCAGTGAGCCCAGATTGTGCCACTGCACTCCAGCCTGGGCAACAGAGCAAGACTCTGTCTAAAACAAAAACAAAAACAAAAACAAACAAAAAAAAGAACAGTAACAACAACAAAAAGACTTTTAGTCAAATATTAAAGGTGAAAGTCTTGGGAAAGGTAGGATTTCTTAAATAAGACATAAAAAAACTAAGTATAAAATAGAAGATTGATAAATATGGTTATGTTGGAATTTGACCTGTAAAATAAACCTTAAAGAAATTAAAGATAATCTACAGATGGGGAGAAGTCATTTTATTTTATTTTTTTAAATTGTTGTGGGTACATAGTCGGTATATATATTTACGGGGGGTACACGAGGTGTTTTGATACAGGCATGCAATGTGAAACAAGCATATCATGGAGAATGGGGTATCCATTGTAGCACCTCCCACTTTGCTCTCATGTGAAGATGTGCTTACTTCCCCTTCCCCTTCTGCCATGATTGTAAGTTTCCTGAGGCCTCTTCAGAAGCAGAAGCCTGTATAGCTCACAGAACTGTGAGCTGATTAAACATCTTTTCTTTGTCAATTACCCAATCTCAGGTATGTCTTTATAGCTTTGTGAGAACGGACTAATACATGAAGTAAGTACTTTTATAGTATTATCACTCCATTTAGAATTAAAAAACTGAGGCCGGGTGTGGTGGCTCAAGCCTGAAATTCCAGCACTTTGGGAGGCCGAGGTAAGCAGATGACCTGAGGGGTCAGGAGTTTGAGACCAGACTGGCCAACATGGTGAAACCCCGCCTCTACTAAAAATACAAAAATTAGCTGGGCATGGTGGCAGGTGCCTGTAATCCCAGCTACTTGAGAGGCTGAGGCAGTAGAATCGCTTGAACTTGGGAGGCAGAGGTTGCAGTGAGCTGAGATCACGCCATTGCACTCCAGCCTGGGCAACAGATCAAGACTCCATCTCAAAAAAAACAAAAACCTGAGACAAAGGCCTTAAGTATCTTGTCCAAGATCATGCATTCAGCAAGTACAGAGGAAGTGTATGAATTCCTATTATCTGCTTCAACAAAATACCTTCTTAATCACTGCATCAAGGTATTGTGGTCAAAAGTGTGGAAACTTGGTTCAGACAAATGTAGGTTCAAACCGCAGCTCTGTAACTTACCAGTCAGTGTTTTAACATAACTTAATGTGCAAAAGGAAGACATTTAGTTTTTATCATTGTAATTCACTACTACCCTACTTATAGTTTTTAGCTTTTCCTTCCAAGGCCCCAGGGCTATAAACTCTGTTAAAACTTTTCTACTGTGACACTTCCTGAAGCATCAGTATCTAGTGTTGCCTTTATGTCTTAAATTGTTAAAAGAAAGTTAGAGATATATTCTTAGAGAACAGAAGTATATTCCAAATAATTTCTGAAGATGCTTTTTAAAATTCTGTTTGCTTCTGGAGTCACATGGGAGATTAATGTGTCTCCTAAATGGGCTGTATTGTTACTTTGCTTTTTCAAAGATGATGATAAATAGCCTGATCTTCAACCATTGATATTCTCCCTTTAAAGGAAAAAAATTACCATAATATAATTTGTTCAAGTACAAGCATTTGTAATTTAGAATACTAATAATCAAAATCTAGAATGCAGATGTTTTTTCTGTAGTTTAACTTCTACCAGGTTGTCAGGAATTAAAAAATAAAGATAAAGAGAAAAGCATTTTCCATAAATTGGTGTAAATATGTTATAGTGTAGTTTATTTAATTACTAATTAAGCCCCATGTAATTAATCTAATAAATTGTGTTTAACTTAATTAATTTATTACATTGTTAAATATGTATCATGATGGAATTAGCATCATATAATTTTCTAATAGATAAATTGATAATGTCTAAAATTCACCTTTAAGAGTATATTTATTGTTACAGAATTAGAATATTGAGAGACAAGGTAAAATAAAGGAGGATTCATTGGTGTTTACTCTGGTATGTCTTGGATTATAATTAACACATTTTTTATTATTTTCAGAGGTCAGTTTTTGAATATTAACCAAAATGCCTTGCATGTATTACTACAGCTTTTTAAAGTGCCTAACCTACTCCTAGGTTAAATATTTATTACTGGAACAATTTGTCTCTTCATCCATTTAAATAATTATTTATCAAGGTATTTCAAATCAATGCACATCATCCATTAAAAATAGAGAACCAGTTTAAATGCCAGGTAGAAAGATAATATTTCTTTAGATTCTGACAATGGAACAAAAGAAGTTGATATAAAATGGTACTTCATATAAAAATGGAATACTAAAAAGAAAATCCTGACTACTTCAGGTAAACCTAAAGGTGGATACTAATGAATATTTTCCAGACTCCTCTAATACCTTACTTGTTTATCTATTTTATCTATTTCAAGGAAAGCATAGAATTCATAGTTCAGGAAAAAAACATAATTTTACCTTCGATTTAGTGATGACATAGTGAAAAAAAGTTTCCTACACATGATAAACCAGTAGCTCCTTCACTTAAAAAAAAAGTAAATGATAGATTTATGTGTTAAATACCAGCAGCAGTAAAAAGTGATTTTACATGAGCAATCAATTCATAGAGAAAACAAATTCTGCATTTAGCTTTACATGGCAACCTCCATGACAGACTTATACCCATCAATCAGAGGATACAAAGATTTCCAAATATGAATATCTACACCTAGCAAATGGAGGCGTGAGAATGATTTAATTTTTCAAAATGGAAAGAATAAAGGAGACACATTTAAAAATTTGTGAAGAACAAATGGAAGGCTTCGTTACTCTTCACACACACTCCATGTGTGCCTAACCCAAGAACTTACACAAATTATTCAAATCGATGCATCAATAATGAAAGGTATAGAGTTACATTTCTCTTCTGAATGTCACTTTAGACTTATACTTTAAAAATACACAGACACACACACAAAACAAAACAAGGCCCAAGTGGCACTCCTAATTTTTTCTACCAAAAAGTTATTCTTCTATAAAATATATTGCTAAGTTTGCATAGTCTCTGGATTTTATATCATGCAATCAGAAGAGTCCTACTTAATATGGTGACAGTCTAATAAAGGTGACCAATGATGTTCTCTGAGAGCCTTGGCTTTGAACACAGGTTGGAAGCAAATCACAATTTCTGATCATGTTACTGAAACACCAAGGGTTTGGTCTAGGTCCTGCTGCTCACCGCACAGAAAGCCAACCACTAAGACAATGAGTATTGTCAAGGAAGGAGGTTTTAATTGGGTGCTGCAGCAGAGGCCATGGGAGCTCATTCTCAAATCCATCTCCTTGACACACTAAAACTAGGAGTTTATACAGCAGGAAAGAAATGAAACAATGTGTAAGAAAACAGGAACTAGGGAGCGGCAAGAAAGTAATCATGATGAATGAGGGGGTTCAGTATTTCATTGTCTGGACATGGTGATCTGATGAGTTTCAGTTCTTTGACACGTTTTTTGAGAGGCCTGAAGGTCCTTTCCTCAGGAAGGAACTCAGATAAAACAAATATAACTTTGAAACTTTAAGACCGTAAGAGTCAATTTCTATGTTTATAAAATAAAAATTTTAAAAAGCTAGCTATGGGACTATTGGGTGGTCCATTTCACTCATTTGAGGTTTAGCATAGGAAAAAAAATGCACTCATCTTTAATTGTTCAGGTGTATTGTTGAGTCACAATGTTTGAGATGGTTTATATTTGAAAATAAGCTGAGAGAGGCATGAGAGACTGGGCTCCAGCAACCTTAGAGAAGGGAGCTCCACAGGCTATAGTTCCTCCTCCAATGGTTCTAAGACTTATTGTGAAGTGATAAATAATAAGAGATCTTGCTAAAAAATGTAGTCCTGGTTCCCACCCAAACATACTACATCAGAAGGTTAGGGTTTGGGAGCTTGATGCATTTTTAGCAACTCTCTAGACAATTTTATTATGTGATCTATCTTTAGATCACACTTGGAAAACAAATATATCAAACCTTTCAAATAAATATTCTAAAGATTCAAAAACTTCTTTTAAACAGCTCACCATTGCTAATGGATACAAATGCAGTATTAAACTCCTCAGAATTCTGTATAATCTATCCTATACCACATTTTCAAATGTATCTCACTGTTCCATACACAATTAATTCTCCCTGGTCATATTGACAATATCTGTCTCCAGGTACATTTCTATTTCCTTTCCTATCTCCCTCTATCAACCCTTTGTTGAATGTCTCATCCATCAATATTTCGCCTCCTGAAATTAAATAATTTTCCATGACCATTAAAAATTCCCACTCCATCATGAAGTTTGTCACACTAATCAAACCAATAGTAGCCTCTTTTAATAATACAGCAAGTCTTTCCAAAAAATAGGTTCTGCTTTATTTGTGATGTGTATTGTTTAAATTGTTACTTATCTTTTCATGAGTATATTCTCAGTTGTAACATATTTTTCTTTCAAATGACACTAAAATTAATATAGTGTCTGCCCTGGAAAACCATGATCAACCACAGTCAGAATTTATTGACTAACAAAAAAGATCAATCTAAATATTTCATTAATTTGATTTTTGAAAATAAATAATAAAATCTAAGTTCTTTTTTCTATCACAAATCATAATTTCATACCAAGTTATTCTTCAATAAAGTTAGCCAAAGCATCTTACTAGCTTTCCTTAGAAAATTAAAGGTAAGTACTAAAACTAGTTTTTAGTTTTAGTACTAGAAAATTAAAGGTAAGTACTAAAACTAGTTTTTAGTACAAATAAAACTTGATATAAATCAGTAAAGAGTGATATTTTTCAATTGTCCAGTTAAGCATGAGCTTGAGACTCTTGAAGAAAGATCCACACATTTCAATGTAAAACTCTGATGTGTTTCAATTTCTTAAGCACTTAAATTTATCTGCAGACTCTAATAGTCTTATCATAAGCAAAAATTAAATATATATAATTACATTTGACAATAAAAGCATAAACATTACTTTTCATTTTATCTTTATATAGAATCATTGTATGTATTTATGGTTACAGAGTGATATTTCAGTATATATATACAATGTGTAATGATCAAATCAGAGTAATTAGCATATCCATAACCTCAAACATTTATCAAACCTTTATGTTGGGAACATTCAAAATCATCTCTTCTAGCTTTTTGAAAATACACAATACAGCCAGGCGCAGTGGCTCATGCCTGTAATCCCAGCACTTTAGGAGGCTGAGACAGGTGGATCACGAGGTCAAGAGATCGAGACCATCCTGGCTAACACGGTGAAACCCTATCTCTACTAAAAATACAAAAAATTAGCCGGGCGTGGTGGCGGGTGCCTGTAGTCCCAGCTACTCAGGAGTCTGAGGCAGGAGAATGGCGTGAACTTGGGAGGCAGAGCTTGCAGTGAGCGGAGATCGTGCCACTGCACTCCAGCCTGGGTGACAGAGTGAGACTCCGTCTCAAAAAAAAAAAAAAAAAAAAAAAAAAAAACTCAATAAATTATTGTTAACTACATTTACTCTGCAATGCTGTGAACACTAGAACTTATTCCTCCTATCAAGCTATAATTTTGTACCCATGGACCAACCTTTTTTTCTTTCCCTCTTCCCTAAACTTCTCAGCCTCTAATAACCATAATTCTACTTTATTCTTCTAAGAGCTCACTTTTTTTTTAGCTCCCACCTGAGTGAGAACATGTGGTATTTTATCTTTCTGTGCCTTACTTTACTTAGCATAATGTCTTCCGGTTCATCCTTGTTGCCTTAAATGTCAGAATTCCATTCTTTTTTATGTCTGGATAGTACTCCATTGTGTATATGTACCACATTTTATTTATCCATTCATCCGTTGATGGACATTTAGGTTGATTCCATATCTTGGCTACTGTGAATAGTGCTGCAATAAACATGGGGGTGCAGATGCCTGTTAAATATACCGACTTCCTTTCCTTTGGATAAATATCCAGTGGTAGGATTGCTGGATCATATGGGAGTTTTATTGTTAGTTTTTTGAGGAAGTTCCATACTGACTTCCATAATAACTGCACTAATTTACATTTTCATCAACCTTGTACAAGAGTTGCCTCTTCTCCACATCTTTTCTAGTATTTATTATTTTTTGTCTTTTTTTATATTAGCTATTCTAACTGGAGTGAGATGATATCTCACTGTGGTTTTGATTTGCATTTTCTGGATGATTAGTGATGTTGATCATTTTATATTATTGGTTATCTGAATATCTTCTTTTGAGGAATGTCTATTCATACGCTTTGCCCGTTTTTTAGTTGAATAATTTGGGGGTTGTTTTGCTGTTGACTTGTTTGAATTCCTTATATAGTCTGGATATTAGCCCCTTTTCAGATGAATAATTTGCAAATATTCTCTCTTATTCTACAGGCTGTCTATTCACCTTGCTTATTGTTTCCTTTGCTGTGCAGAAGCTTTTCAGTTTTATGTAACCTCATTGTCTATTTTTGGTTTTGTTGACTGTCCTGAACCATTTCCCCTATGCTTTCCTCTAGTAGTTCCACAGTTTCAGATCCTATATTTAAGTGTTTAATCCATTTTGAGTTGATTTTTGTATAGGCTGAGAGGGAAGGGTCCACAGTTTATAAAGTTTCAGATCTGATACCTATCATCCTTCCTAATCATTGCATAAAATTTAAACACTCTTGAGACTGACTTACATGTTGCTTTACCGTTGTAGTAATTTTTCCATTTATGGCTTAAACTTAAATTTAAGTTATTGCTAAATGGTTATATTTACAAAATAAAACTTGTTTTAAAATAAAATGTTTAACTTTGTTAATGAATGAGCCAACTATCTAACCCTGTAGTATAACTAGTTATTAAGAGAATAATTACTGATTTGTATAAGGTACAGTTAAACTCTTACTAAAAGAAAAGCAGGGAATCTGGAAAGAAAATTTAGCAATTAAAAAAAGGAAATGACTAAGACAAAGAAATCATGGAGTGTTTTAAGGTCTAGCAACCTAATCCACCTTGTGACTTTTCCTTTTTTTAAATTTTTTTTAAATTCTGTGCATGCAAAGAAAAAAAAAAAACAGAAATCCTCATGAAAAATGAAAGAGCATATAGCATATTCAGCAAACTATAAACACGATTCTGTTTAAGGCATAGGATAAATGATAATGTGTTTAAAGATAGAATGGAAAGGAAGGGCCTTCTGTGCCCCTGTTAAAGAGATTGGCATTATGATAGCTTTGGATTTAAGTAACAAATATCTATTCAAGTCCTACTTTAAATAAATGGCAATCTTATTCATAACCTGTTGAGGAAAGCAGATACTTTACAGTTTGGGGGGACTGTTTGTATGTTGGGAGGCAGCATAAAGAGACTAATCTTAAACAAGTAAAAATGCTTATTAATCAGATAATGACTGCTATGAAGGAAAAATATCATAATAGACTAGGGAGTGATCAGGCAGTGAGGATAGAGTAGAAGGCAGGGGCATTGTGAGGAAGTTCATAAAGATTTCCCTTTGAGAAAATGCCATTTGAGCGGAAATACAAATGCTGAGAAAGAGTCAGAAATATGATTTGGAGGAGTGTTCTATGTTGAGGAAATGTTAAGGCCAAGGGCAGACAATGGAAACCTAATGGTATGGACACTATAGTTATATGATAAACTTTAATCAGCTAACTATCCTAAGTGGGTTCTATTACATAGAAAAAGTTATTTATCTCTGCTACGTTTTCACAAAACAAGTTATTGAATTAAACAATTCAATAACTAGGGGCTACAACCTCAACCTTGACAAGCCCTTTTGAGGTGAGTGTAGGGGAAAAAGTAGCTGTGTACAAAGGAAAGTTTTGTAGACACACAGCACCACCAAAGGGCTGGATAGGCTGAGCTGAGGCCTCTTAAAGCTCTAGTGCTCATTCCTACTTGATGTCAATAGGGTTCATAAGAGGCATTTACTTATTCATTTTATTTTTTTGAGATAGTATCTTGCACTGTCATCCTGCCTGGAGTGCAGTGGCCTGATCATGGCTCACTGCAGCCTCAAACTCCTAGGCCCATGGGATCCTCCTGACTCAGCCTCCCCAGTAGCTAGGACTACAGGCACATGCCACTATGCCTTGCTCATTTTTAAAAAAAAAATTATTTTGGGCCGGGCATAGTGGCTCACGCCTGTAATCTCAGCACTTTGTAGGCCAAGGTGGGCAGATTGCCTGAGGTCAGGAGTTCAACACCAGCCTGACCAACATGGTGAAACCTGGCCTCTACTAAAAATACAAAAACTAGCTGAACATGGTGGTGGGCGCCTGTAATCCCAGCCAGTCGGGAGGCTGAGGCAGAAAAATCGCTTTAACCCAGGAGGCAGAGGTTGCAGTGAGCTGAGACCAGGCCATTGCATATTAGCCTAGGGAACAAGTGTCAAACTCCTGGCCTCAAGGGATCCTTCCACTTCTCCACTTCGGCCTCCCAAAGTGCTGAGATTACAGACATAAGCTATGGTGCCAGGCCCATCATCAGCATTTAAATGCCTCATTGTTTTTATGAGTGAAGGGCCCTTCCAGACTAGGTCTTATTAGGAGGGTACTTAGGAATAGCAATTAGCTTCAATCAATAGTGAAACTAGATTATTTTGTACTGTAGAAAAGCTATGTTTGGACTACTCAGTATTAATTTCCCTTCTTTCCCTTTCCTTTTTGGACTTATCTTTTCCCTATTCAATCCAGTTTCATCTGCAGGGGCCCACCTACCCATTACACACGGGACCAACACATGACCTGTGCATGCAAACAAAGACACTACAAACGGCGAGCATCCATCCAGACTGAGCTACAATAGCCTGAACAGATTTTTCATGTTGTGGTTCTTGCTTCCTAGACCCCAAGGTAACTCCATTCCTTCCTATTCCCAATACTGCTTCTTGTCTCAGTAACTTTTGGGTGCTCTTAGTAAATTCCTGTTTGTTTAAATTAGCCAGAGTACCCTATGCAGACAGAGTACCTTAACTGAAGCATATGACTCAGAATGAACTAGATTCTCAAAGTCCTAATATTTAATGTACAAGAGTGAAAAACAAAAACCATCATCCAGGAATCTTTATGAAAACAGGCCCATTAGGAACTCTGCCGTTAGACTGAGATTCAGTAGTTTGGGCCAGAGATCAGGAATCTGCATGTTTAATCAACTCCCTCAGGATTCTAAAGCAGATCATATTTTGAGAAAAAGTAAGCTAGACTTTCTGGCTTCCCCATCCTGACACCCCCCTTCTATGATTTACTGCTATCCAATGCTCAGGGTTACATCTTTTCAGGGTGCCTAATAACAGCGATTGTAGCTATGCTTGTTGTTGTTTGTTTTCTCGCCTCTGTGTTAAGAAAGTTAATGGGATGTTTCTGTTTAAAAGGCCTCCTGCAGAGTAGCAGACTCCTTAGGGAAAGAAAAGTAAACAAGAAATAGTTAACTGTGCCAACACATTAATTTATAGTATAATCTGCTCAATTATGCAGTAAAATTAGAACAATTTGTGGAAGCATGTTTCTTTTCAATCATAGAACATCAGAAAGTGAGTTCACATCTTCCATTGTTATCTTGAAAAGAGCTAGAAAAATGGCACAGAGGGCTTGGGTTTGAATCCCCCTCTTCCACTTAATGGTACATGGCTTTGAGCATTTGTTAACCAAGTTGATCTCCAGTTTCCTAATCGGTAAAATGGATTAATTTCTTTTGTTATTATTATCATACTTTAAGTTCTGGGATACATGTGCAGAACATGCAGGTTTGTTACGTAGGTATACATGTGCCATGGTGGTTTGCTGTACCCATCAACCCATCATCTATGTTTTAAGCCTCGCATACATTAGGTATTTGTCCTAATGCTATCCCTCCCCTTGCCCCCACCCCCAAAATGGACTAATTTCATAGGATTATTGTGATACTGCAAAAAGTAACAATCATTTTGTAAACCCTATAACATAATATATATATGCTATTAGCTACAGTTATAGGCTGGTCCTGCATTCTTGTTTAATGTGTAATTGCAGCTATTTACACAAAACAAACTAATATTATCTAACGTTAAATAACACAACACAATAAACATTTGGCTAAAGTTATCAGGTTAATTTAAGTTAATACATTGTCATGTCTACACTTGCAAAATAAAGTTTTTTGGGTTTTTTTTAATTGTTTTTGTTTGTTCATTTTTTTAGATAGTCTTGCTTTGTCGCCTATGCTGGAGTGCAGTGGCATGATCTCAGCTCGCTGCAACCTCCGCCTCTCAGGTTCAAGCGATTTTCCTGCCTCAGCCTCCCGAGTAGCTGGGATTTCAGGTGCATGCCATCCCACCCAGGTAATTTTTGCATTTTTAGTAGAGACAGGGTCTCACCATCTTGGCCAGGCTGGTCTCGAATTCCTGGCCTCAGGTGATCTGCCCGCCTCAGCCTCCCAGTGCTGGGATTACAGGCGTGAGCCACCGTACCCAGCCTAAAGTTTGTTTTAAATGACAGCTACAATGAGCAAAATCTCAAGAATACGAATACATTATTAATTCATAATAACAATTTTGGTACTCCTGTAGGTGGGTTTTTATCATCTGGCAAGACATGAGGATTGCAACTCTGTTTGTTGTCTGTATCATCTCAGTAGAATAACTGTACCCATAGTATATGTTCAGTAAGTATTTGCAGATTAACCGTCTGTCAACTTGACCTTGGGTAAATCAACTTAACCACTCTGAGACTCTCAGATTAGTTATCAATAAAGTGGTTCTAATAATACCAATCTTGAGAGATTGTTTTAAGAATTAATGTAAATGTATATAAAGCACTTAGGATAGTCCTCAGCAGTGAGAAAAATCAAAGAAATCATTGATTACTCCTTTTAACCTCTACCCCATCATTGGGTAAAATGTTATGGAACTTCCAGGAAGTCCTGTATTGATGTTTTTAAGCAATATTTACATCACAAGCCATCTTTGCTAAAAGCATAAATTATGTACCAACAGTGCAGTATTAACCAATCTTAATTTAAGATTATACTAATGTCCCATTAATATCTTATAAAAGCATAAGAGAGTTTCACAGATAAACTGAAAGAAGAAGATTAATCACACTTAAGATACAAATATTATAATGACCTATGTGGGACTATTGCTAACATTTGTGGTCAACCTTATCAACAGATGGAATACCCAGTTTTCAAGAAAGCGGCATCCACTATCCCAGGACAACACCAGGAGCTGTTGTGATGGGTATTTATTCTCTGATGCCTCTGAAGGACTGATAGCCAAAAGGGCCAGGTATCTGCAATAAGCCAGGCATCAAGGGTTGGTTTAAAAAGAATTTAAAGTAAATTGCATCCACTCTTTCTATCTCTCAGAGTGACAGAAGCCTGTTGATTACCATCAGTGACTGTCTTCTGGGTAGCACTGAGAGATACAAAGTAATACAGGAAAATAAAAAGATATATCATGTATCTTATTATGCCATTTGTATCCCTTTAAATGAAATTTGTTACAAAAATCAGTTGTTGGAAAAGCTTAATCAATCACTTGCAGGACGTTAAAAATCCTAGTGAATGCTGAGAACTTTCATTTTGTTTTAGCAAAACAGACTTAGTTTCATATAATTCCAGAATGTTCTACTCTCCCTTACATACACACACCCCAGCCAACAATGTTTCAATGAGTAAGTTGTTTGGGAAACAGTATTTTACCATACCCTCAATTCAAAATGTTCTCCCAACACAACAGGAGGATGGGATTTTAGAGTGGATTGCTATCCTGTTCCCAAACCTAGAGGAGCTCTTGCTCCCTGACCACACTGTGTGACAAAGAGATTGAAAGAATGATTCATCATAACATCAGTTTCTATTTGAAACCTTTGAGATAAGTACTTCCATTCTTAGTTTATATTCACTAAGCAGTGTTCTCTCGCCTACTTCCAAATTTTTTATTCCTATAGGGAGAGGAATAGGAAGAACCATCCATGCATTCACAAGATACTGCTTAGCATCTATTATGCATCAAGAACTGGAGCTACAGTAATGAAAAGAAAAAGAAAAAAGTTCTGCCTTCACAGAAAAAAATGCATTCTAGAGAAGAGGCAGAGAACAATAAACCTAACTAAAAAATATGTGCTAAGGAGAAAAAAGCACAAAATGTAGATAGGAGGTGTCAGAGATGTTTACAATATTTAGATAGGAAAGAGCTCACTAAGAAACTAACATATGAACAAGAACTTAAGCAGGTGAGGAAAAAATGCCTATAGATATTTGAGGGAAGATTATTCCAGGTGGCAGGAATGGCAAGTGCAAAGGCCCTGAGAATGGAATTACCTAGTCTATTAAAATCAAGTCAAGGAAACCAGTAAGGGGTGGAGTGAGCAAGGAGGCAGAGCATTAGGAGATAAGGTCAGAGAGCAACAGGGCTCCAAGTCATGTAAGGTCTTGTTGGTAATTAGAAGGACTTCAGCTTTTATTTTAAGTTAAATAAAGAGCCAATGAGTTTTGTGAGCCAAGGAGTACAATGATCTCCATATATTTTAATAGAATTACTCTGGCTTTTGTATTGAGAATAGATTTGGCTGGGGGTGAAGGGGAACACAGGGATAAGCAGGCAAACCAGTTTGGAGATCACTGTAATAATCTAGGTGATATGGAATAATAGCTTGGACTATAAGTGGTTAAAAATGAAAATGGTGAGAAGTGGTCAGATACTGCATACACTCTGAAGAAACCCAATAGGTTTCCCTAAATATTAGAATATTTGGTATTGGAGAAAAATAAAATCCAATAATGATTCCATCATTTTAAAAAATTATTCGGGCCGGGCACGGTGGTTCACGCCTGTAATCCCAGCACTTTGGGAGGTCAAGGCGAGCGGATTGCCGGAGGTCAGGAGTTCGAGACCAGCCTGACCAACACATCTCTACTAAAAATACAAAAATTAGCCAGGCGTGGTGGCAGGCACCTGTAATCCCAGCTACTCGGGAGGCTAAGGCAGGAGAATCGCTTGAACCTGGGAGGCAGAGGTTGCAGTGAGCTGAAACGGGGCCTTGGCACTCCATCCAGCCTGGGCAACAAGAGCGAAACTGCGTCTCAAAAAAAATTATTTTAATTTTTATTTTTCAAGGCTAGTCAAGTGGAGCAGTGAGCGCGAAGAAGGAACAAAGAAATCTGTAACAGGTTGTGATCAATTGGTGGTTGATTTTATGATTTTTGAACCAAGTTAACTGGGAAAATGGAGTTGTCATTTACTGAGGCAAAAAAGAAACAGGTTCAGAAGGTTATATCTGCACATGTTAAGTTTAAAATATCTATTAGATATCTAAGTGATGACACAAAGTAGGCAGGTGGAATTCAGCGTGGTGTCTTGGCTCAAGAGAAATATTTGGAAATCAATAATTTAAAGAAGATATAATTCTGAGAGAGAAAAAAGAAAAATTATAATAACTTATCCTAGGGCACTTAAACATGTAGATATTTGTATTTTATGTGTAAAACATATTAATAGTGACATTTCCCCTCTGAATGTTATTTGAACACCTGTTAGTTTTACTACATGTTTGCTAATTCAAAAAAAATTAAACATAAATATCCATATCTAAACTAAAGATAAGAGACATAACATTTCATATGGAAATATTCGCCAATGACTTCAAGCCCTCATTCTATTTTTGCTATAGGTATTTAATATGAATGAATCAGCCAATATTATAATTACACACACAAGCAGTTTTGAGATCAATAAAAAAGTCACTGTATTTACATAAAGCATTGCAACTTTTATTACTAATGTCATTATTATTATAATCAACTATTGATTCTTGGTTTTCATAGTTCCACCCATAAAAAATATTGATTGTGGAGAACATTCTGAAAGAAGTGTTACAAATGGGTAACTTTCTGTGAAGCGCCATAGGGAAAATGGCTATTAATTTTTTTTAAGTAAATAAATCTGTGGTTTCAATTGTAAAACAATATGAAACAAGAGATGTCTTTACTTCTCCAAAATGAAACCTAGTGTTTCTCATTTACATTCTTCAATATGTTATCACCTATTATTAGCTTATTAGCTAATAACTTGATATGTATAAGTGGATAAAAATATGTTTCCTAGTGGAAAACTCCATTTACCCTGGACATTTTATTACTAGTCTAAATAGCAAATCTCCTAAAAATAGAGCATTTAATGGTGTAGCTATCTGTGAGTAAATAAAATAGAAGGCACGATTCAAAGTATTATTAACTAAACACTCCATTTAAACCAAACAAACCCATAAAAATGGATTGAAATCCCCTACAGTATATCTAATATAGCTTACCAAGATTTAACCTTCTTTATTCTTCAATTTGGTAACCATTAAATTTATTTTTTCAAATAGTATGGTATTCATCCAGATTCCTAAATATAAAATCACATAGAAAAAAACATGCTATTAATACATGCTTACCAATGGACTGTCAACTTAATCAATGTTTTTGACTTTTATTTTAAACAAAAAACATGCCATAGGAGCCAAGGGAAAACTTCCCCTTTGCCCTCTGAAGGGTCACTGAAAAATCAAGTTACAAAAGGAAATTAATGGGAGAAATGGCACACAAATTTATTAAGGTGGGAGGGACAACACATGAGGGAGAACCACAGCATGACTACCCCCAACCCCTAGTGGGGTACAGAAATGTATCTATCATCATGAGGTTGTCAGAGACGTTCGAACCAGAGTGACTCCATCTTGAGTGGGAGCTAGGACAATGAGGCTGGGACTTGCTGGGCTGCATTCCCTGGAAGAAAGGTGTTCCTGGCCTCTAGATGTTTATGGTTAAGGAAACCGATTGATAATGTTTACTGAATAGACCCAGACTTGGGAGTGTCCAGATATCCCGATATCTTGAGAACAAAGAGATTCCTAATTTTACTTTAAAGATAATAATATTGATTCTTGCAAAATATAGTAATTAAGAAAACTAATTCTTCACCACAAAACCTTGTAACAGAGCACATCTCCTCATGACCTTTTTTTAATCCTATATATATACAAGCATTGTACCTAGGGTAGACGCGTTCTTCCTCTTACTTTCAGGAATGTCCTACTTTGTCTATGGAGAATCTGTACTTTCACCACTTTACTTTTTTAATAAACATGCTTTTGCTTTGCACTGCAGACTTGCGCTGAATTCTTTCTTGCGCAAGATCCAAGAACTCTCTTTTGGGGTCTGGATTGGGACCCTTTTCCTGTAGCAAGGTTACAGAAAAAAGCTTGGACCATGGCAAAACAGGTTATGGTGATAAAAAGGTTATGGGATGGGGAGAACAGGAGGTCTGGCCAGCAAAAGTGGTCTGGTTATGTAGACGAAATCTCACAGAAAGCAGCCCTCGGAGAGAATAGATGGTAAGTGTTTCTTTCAGATTTTCAAAAGTGTTAAACTTTCAGTCAATCTTTCCTACATTAAGAAAAGGGAAGACCTTAGAGAAAACCTGGCTACATCAAGCCAGATTTTCTCTACAGATGCAAATCTCCCTGCAAAAGGACAGCTTTGCAGGGCTACTTCTGTTTGCAGGTCCTCTTAACAAACTTCTCAAAATTTGTCAAAGAAGTATATTTTGCAGTGAAATACTTTGATTTCCCTCAATACTTAACAGTAAAATATTTAAAAATATTATTAATATAGGGAAGAAAGGGAAAATAAAAAATCAGCCAATAACTTTGAAATAAAATGGCAGGGGTATTTAAATAAAAGTGGCCATAATTACAACAGTAGGAGAGTGACAGCGGGATCTAGTAGGAGGCTCAGCCAGGAGCCTTAGCCAACCATGACCTGGCCTGACTAATCCCTAATTGAAGGCTGCTTTCTCTGTGCCCCTGGGGATTACATTGGCTGGATTATGAATAGGCAGAGGGGATTTTGTTTAGAGAATTAAAACCTGAAGAAGCTATGAATAAAATACACCTGCATACACATCACCAGAACACCACCATCACTACCATCATTAAAAGCTGAATTAAAGATCAAAACTCAATTTGCTGAGTCAAGAAATTCTGAAAGAAAGTAAGATCAATCTACACATTTAATGATGAGAGACATATAAAGTGGCAGTTTGGAGTGAAAAGGAAATAGTGGGGGAGATGGGCAGAAAATGCCCAGAGGGGACAGCTCCTATATAATAGAAAGCAATATAACATGAATATGATTGAAACAGCACTAGGAAAGATGTTTAGTGATACATGGAACTCAATAGATTGCTGTTCATGAGTGCAAGAGGGTGACTGGCTAGTCACTGTGGTATGTAAGAAAACCAACTTAGCATCCAGAAGATATAGCATTCAAAATAAATTTAAAAGACCACGAAGAGGAAAACAGGGAGAGAAAACAAAAGCTTGGAAAACTGAGATGGCAACAGAGGCACAGAAGAATTGGGATATACTTAAAACAGAATTTTAGATGTACAGTCAAAGAGGTTACCATTGCTCTAAAGCAAAGACAATTTAGCCAAAAGTAAGTGAAATGGTTAGAAATAGTCACTATAAATCACTGTTCCAGTAATTTAGAACATAGAATCAAGCTGATAGCTGCAAAAAGGCTTCCAGTGATCTGGGATTTTTCTGGCTTTAATTTTCAGAATGGAAAAATTCAGTGGATAATGTTCAGGCTCTTCATTTTTGTTTTGAAGTCAAGTCTCTGAGATGAATAACCAGTTTTACAATAATTTCTGCAAAATGACTTATGTAATTTTTATAGAGATCTTTTAAAAGATCGTCTGCTTTTATTTTTCTTTTATTTTTATTGCTTTTCTCTTTGAAAGTACAATACCCAGCTGGGTGCGATGGCTCACGCCTGTAATCCCAGTACTTTGGGAGGCCGAGGCGGGCAGATCACAAGGTCAGGAGATCGAGACCATCCCGGCTAACACGGTGAAACCCGTCTCTACTGAAAATGCAAAAAAATTAGCTGGGTGTGGTGGGAGCCTGTAGTCCCCAGCTACTCGGGAGGCTGAGGCAGGAGAATGGCGTGAACGCAGGAGGCGGAGTTGGCAGTGAGCCGAGATCCCGACTGCTGCACTCCAGCCTGGGGGGACAGAGCGAGACTCCACCTCCCATCCCATTACTGGGTATATACCCAAAGGATTATAAATCATGCTGCTATAAAGACACATACACACGAATGTTTCTTGTGGCACTATTCACAATAGCAAAGACTTGGAACCAACCCAAATGTCCAACAATGATAGACTGGATTAAGAAAATGTGGCATATATACACCATGGAATACTATGCAGCCATAAAAAATGATGAGTTCATGTCCTTTGTAGGGACATGGATGAAGCTGGAAACCATCATTCTCAGAAAACTATCACAAGGACAAAAAACCAAACACCGCATGTTCTCACTCATAGGTGGGAATTGAACAATGAGAACACATGGACACAGGAAGGGAACATCACACACCGGGGACTGTTGTGGGGTGGGGGGAGGAGGGAGCGATAGCATTAGGAGATATACCTAATGCTAAATGACGAGTTAATGGGTGCAGCACACCAACATGGCACATGTATACATATGTAACAAACCTGCACGTTGTGCACATGTACCCTAAAACTTAAAGTATAATAATAATAGAATAAAAAATGGAAAGTATAATATCTATCATGGTTGTGAACACCACCTCCCTGCTCCCCTCCTAACACGCACACACACACTCAGAAAAAACAAAACCAGAAAGAGTTGATGGGCATAGATTTGAACCTGTTGTCTCAAGAATTCTTAATAGATAACATTATAAAAAAAATTATACTTCACACTATAAAGGATCACAGTTAAATTTAGTACTTTCTAAAGTATTGTAAATGGATTGAAGTCCAGAAAGCACAAAATTAAACAAGTAGGGAAGGTTCTTATTAGCCTTAATGGAAGGGAAATTACTTAAATGACTTCCTAAAATCGGAGGCAGTTGCACCTGACAAATTATCAACTTTCTCCAGAGAAGAAAACAAGTATTCCCTGCAATCTGCAGGAAAAATAAAATGAAACCCTCCTAGATAGAATCCCAATTGTATCTTAGATGTATTTTAGAATGCACATGAGTGGAAATCATGCAGTGAAGAGGGCAGATAACTCACATTAGACAGAGGTATGGGTTTTGAATCAGTAGATTCCGGTGTGCATCTAAGCCTTGTCCTCAATGGCTAAGTTAATTTCAGTAATTTCTTCATCAGATATAAAATGACAATAATACCTACTAGCACTCTCCTTTATAAAAAGTAAATCATTAAATTAAACAGTGCATGAGAAAATTTTAAAATGTTCTTACTAACACAGGTGCTGTGAGTGAATGGACTTAATCTTCATAAATTTCACAGGAGGAGGTACAGAGCATCTACCAATATTAATCTAGAAAGTTAATTCACACACCTAATATATTACTTAGGCACTGAGAAAATATGGATCAAGACTTCTTTTTTTAAGAAAGGTGCAATAGAAAATATTTAATTCTAAAAATTATTGATTTGCTTTATACAAGGAAAGAAATATTTTACTACAGTATGTATTCATAGTTACATTTAAATTTTAATAATTGATTATGCTTTTGTGAAATAAGAAAAACTATCATGTAAAATATGTTCATGGAAGAAACTGAATTTGAGAACTTTCATGGCTGATTACTATTTGCTATTAAATCAAAACGAAACTGATCAATTTTCAAGACATTTTACCAACTAGTCTCTTCTTTCATCTACCAAACATATCATCTTTCTGATGAGCTCAACACATGCAATATAAACTTCTCCAGCTGATTTCTACTCTATTACGTGTCTCTGCTGTTTTCTTCCATGATAATATTTTGCCTTCTCTATTAAAACCTTCTCCATCCTTTTATTTTTACCCAATGATTCTCATAATATTCTGTAGATTATTCGCCATTGTTTCTGATGCCAAGATGGTGAGATGGTAGGACTGTAGTGCAGATGAAGCTTTGCATTTTGCCGAAGGTATGGATGATGCTAGAATTAGGGAAAGGTTCATTGCTAAATACAGATTGAGAGACACAGAAATCTGCTGAAATCAGCAAGCTAAAGTAGAGAGTCTTAGGGCCAAGTGTAGATAATAAAATCCAGGCTAAAGATAAGAATAGAAATTATGATCTGTAGTAGGCATAGCTGCAAATTAATCACTAGGATCAGGTGGATATTTGGTAACTGCACCAAGTAAAAAGATGTACAAGAATGTGCATGCCACATTATTTGTAATTAGCACAAATCCAGAAGTAATGTCAGAGAAGCATATGTATCATGGTCAAACAATTTATTAGAAAAGTTTCAATCAAAACACAATGAGATATCAATATAAATCAGTAAAATAGCTATAATTGAGAGGACTAATAATGTTGTCGAAAATGTGAATCAGCTAGAACTTTGATCCATTGCTTGTGGGAGCGTGAATTTTTCAACCATTTTGGAAAATGGTTTTGTAATATATAATATGCCTGAACATGTCCCCACTTTGTTGAGCATACATCCACCAAAAGACTCATACACGAATGTGCACATCAGCTTTATTCATAAAAAGCAAACATTAGGAAGAATATAAATGCCTTTCACCATAATTGTGGCATATGTATATAATGGAATGCTACTCAACACCAAAAAGGAATAAATCACTAACACCCACTACTTGGATACATCTCAGCAATATTATGTTAATGGAAGAAACCAGACACCATAGAGATGCCATTAGATTACATTCCTCTAAGGTTAATAAAGTCTTAATAAAGGCAAAATTAACCAATGTTCATTGAAGTTAGAATAGTGGTTACCCATAGAGGATGCCATCTGGAAAGAACCATGAAAAAAATTGCAGTATGGTGTAAATGGTCTATTATATATCCTGATGTAAGTTGTTTATATAATTGTATACATATGTAAAAATGCATCAAGCTGCTTAAGATTTGTGTACTTTACTATGTATATGTAAATTATGCCCTAAAAGTTCTCTTTCAGAAATGCATTCCAGGCTGGGTGCGGTGGCTCACACCTGTAATCCCAGCACTTTGGGAGGCCGAGGCAGGCCGATCACGAAGTCAGGAGATGCAGACCATCCTGGCTAACACAGTGAAACCCCATCTCTGCTAAAAACATAAAAAATTAGCCAGGTGTGGTGGCAGGCGCCTGTAGTCCCAGCTACTCTGCAAGCTGAGGCAGGAGAATCGCTTGAACCCAGGAGGTGGAGGTTGCAGTGAGCCGAGACCGGGCCATTGCACACTAGCCCAGGGAACAAGAGTGAAACTCTGTCTCAAAAAAAAAATATATTTTTGTAAAGATGGGGTCTTGCTATATTGCTCAGACTGGTGTCAAACTCCTGGCCTCAAGGGATCCTTCCACTTTGGCCTCCCAAAGTGCTGAGATTACAGACAGGCTGAGGCCAGAGAATGGTGTGAACCCAGAAGGCAGAGCCTGCAGTGAGCTGAGATCGCACCACTGCACTCCAGCCTGGGTGACAGTGCGAGACTCCATCTCAAAAAAAAAAAAAAAATGCATTCCAAAGTATTTATAGATGAAATAAAGTGTCTGATTTTGCTTCAAAATTATCCAGTATTTTGAGATAGTTGGGTGGACATATATAAAGTGTGATTGGCTACAAGTCACTAATTCTTGATGGGTACAAGAAGTTCATCTTATTATTCTTTACATTTTCATGTATACATGAAATATTCCACAAATCAATCAATCAATAAAAACTATATATACACATATATGCACACACAGAGAGAAAGGAAAAGAGATTTGGTGATGCGAAAAAGATAATAGAACTCAATGTTTATTTATACAAAACATAAAGTTTTGTATTTAATATAAATATTTTATATATAATATAAATAAAATAAATATTTACAAAAACGTTTACAAAATTATGCAGTAAAAAGTGGAAGAAATGAGAAGGTAGCTGGAATAGAATGTTGAATCAACAGAATATTGTGTACATATTACAAATTTAGGTTTTTTTCTTGAAGCAAATGAAGAAGAGTTAAAGAATTATAACCAGAAAAGCCATGCAGTTAGAAAATTAGGAAGATCTATTGTGTAGAAATAGAACTGTAGAAGGGAAAGGTAAAAGAGAAAAAAACAGCTTACAATTTAATAAATAATGTAGATCTATAATATGGCAGTAGCAATAAGAAATAGCATAGATTTATATAATAAGACAGTGCCCATAAGTTTTTAACAAAAATGGACTAATGTGAGAATATGGAAGATACTGAACCTAGGCAATATGATGATTAATTAGATGAAAGTAAGAAGGAAATGAGGACACATAATTCAATTGTTCATTTGTTCAGCACCTATAAATGCCAGGAATTTGATGGGCTTCAAGGAGCAAAAGTAAAAAATATACATGTATATGGTTTCTGCCTCATGAAGCTTGAGTACAATGAAGAGAAATCAGTAATAATGAAATGAACAAAAAATAAAGGAAAAAAATAAGAGTTCTGTAAAAAACAGAACTAGCTTCAGAAATTGAAGGGAAATGACAATTTAAATAGATGGCGCAGAAAAGGCCTCCCTAAAAACACAGCATTTAAACTGACACACAAAAATAAACAGGAAGTCAGGCAGGGCACGGTGGCTCATGCCTGTAATCCCAGCACTTTGGGAGGCCGAGGCGGGCAGATCACCTGAGGTCAGGAGTTCAAGACCAGCCTGGCCAACATGGTGAAACCCTGTCTCTACTAAAAATACAAAAATTAGCCAGGTGTGGTGGTGCATGCCTGTAATCCCAGCTACTCAGGAGGCAGAGGATACAGTGAGCCAAGATCGTGCCATTGCTCTTCAGCCTGGCCAACTTAGTGAGACTCTATCTCAAAAAAAAAAAAAAAACCAGGAAGTCTTTGGGTAAGAGATGGATAATACGGAAAGAGAAAAGAAAGTGGTTAATACTTGAAAAACTGAATTAAAGCCACAGATAGTGACAAAATAAGCAAGGGAATTAATGGAATGAACTGGAGTGTGAATGGTAGGCCAGAGGATTCAGCGCTTGTAGGAAAGAAAAAGAGTTTGGATTTTATTCTATACATCATAAGATAGCACTGAATCATTTTATGAATAGATCTCATCCATTTAGTCTTTTAAATAGTTTATTCGATTTCTATCTCATTCCCCACACAAATATTCCCAAAACAAATTAAAACAGCTAAATAATAAATGGTTCTATGTGGATATAAGATCTAAGTGTAAAAAGCAAAGTTTTAAATCTCTTTTAGTGAATATTAGATAATTTTTGTTATTTTTGAATAGCGTGAATTCCCTCAGTGAGACAAAAATTATAACTATGAAGAAAATAATTAATAAACTCAACTCCATTTAAATATAAACAACTTTTCATCAAAACATGGCATAATCAAAGTGAGAAAACCAGCCACAGTTGGCAAGATACGGAAAATGCGTATAAGCATCAGAAGATTGGCATAGAAACATTTTTAAAATTTCCTTTCAAATTTGTGATAAAACAGAAGCAATACATAGAAAAATGAGCGAAAGATATAAACAAGGGTTTCACAGAAAGTAGAAAATACAGACTCTGTCCCTTACCTTATGAAGTTTAAAGACTAGAGGTGGACAGATTTTGATAAAACAGCTGTTATATTTCTAAGATAGAGGCTGCCTCTGCCTCTTCAGTCTAGTTACAACATGAAAACATGATGGCAGAGCCCATGAGTGTTGACCTGCACTTTTCACGCAAATGAATGAGAAATATATTTTTGCTGTTTTAAGTCTATGAGCTTTTGAAGTTATTTGTTATTGCGAAAAAAGCTGAACCAACTAGCACCAATTGCAAATATGCACTGTAAGTGAATTAAACACCTGAATGCAATATATAAAGCCATAAAGTTAAAAGGATGTGCAGGAGAATATTATTGTAACCTAGCAGAGAATACATTCTTAATCAATTACCCAAGTGGGAAAAATAAATAAAATGAGATCAAAGATTTTATTCAATAAAGAGTTCAATATATAAAACTAAGAAATTGGTAATCATTTGAGAAAAATATACAACATTCAAAACAAAAAACAGATAAATAATATGCAGGAAATTATTAAAAATTATTTTCTGCCAGCTTTTGGGTGGGAAACAAGTTTCTTTTTGTTGTTGTTGTTGCTTTTTTGTTTTGTGAGACGGAGTCTCGCTCTGTTGCCAGGCTGGAGCACAGTGGCACGATCTTGGCTCACTGCAACCTCTGCCTTCCAGGTTCAAGAGAGTCTCCTGTCTCAGCCTCCCGAGTAGCTGGGATTACAGGCGTGCACCACCACGCCCGGCTAATTTTTTTGTAGTTTTTGTAGAGACGGGGTTCCACCATGTTGGCCAGGATGGTCTTGATCTCTTGACCTCGTGATCTGCCCGCCTCAGCCTCCCAACGGGCTGGGATTACAGGCGAGAGCCCCACTGTGCCCGGCCTGGAAATGAGTTTATTATACTAGTTTGGTTTCCCACTGTTATTTTAAATTATAGATCTGGGTCACTTAATGGGGATTTGTTCTACAAAATGTATTATTAGGTGATTTTGTCATTGTGCAGACATCATAGAGTGTACCAAACACAAAGCCAGATGATACAGCCTATTACACACCTATGGCAGGGGTCCCAACCCCAGTCCACAGACCGGTGCTGGTCCGTGGCCTGTTAGAAACTGGGCTGAGGTAAGTGGCAGGCAAGGGTGAGCATTACTGCCTGAGCTCCGCTTCCTGTCAGATCAGTAGTGGCATTAGATTCTCACAGGTGTGCAAACCTTTTTGTGAACTGCACATGCGAGGAATCTAGCTTGTGTGCCTCTTATGAGACTCTAACCAATGCCTGATGACTTCAGGTAGAACAGTTTCATCCAGAAACCATCCCCCACCCTGACCCTGGTTCATGGAAAAATTGTCTTCCACAAAACTAGTCCCCAGTGCCAAAAAGGTTGAGGACTGATGGTATATGGTATAGCCTATTGTTCCCAGACTGCAAACCTGTATAGCATGTTACTGTACTGAATGCTATAGGCAATTGTAACACAATGGTAAGTATTTATGTATCTAAACATTTAAACATAGAAAAGGTACAGTAAAATATGATGTTGCAATATTATGGGACCACTGTCATATACATTTGTACAGCTGATTGTTGACCTAAATATTTTTATGCAGCACCTGACTTTATTCATTTCAGATTTAAGGTGAGTTGATCATACTTTTTTACTTAAAACTGTGTTAATGGGAACCATTCATGTTGGTTTGTAGATATCTATTTCTAATTGCTCCATAGTAATTCATCATAGGCATACACCCTAGCGTTTCACCTTAAAGTTGTATTTAGCCTCTAAATTTATGATGAACACGTAAACACACATATACATGCATGTACACAATGTTAGGGCTCAGAAACTGATACTCCAAAATATGGCATTTTAACATGATGAACTGAAAAAGAAGCCTCAAGGTCTCTCTCCCCTCCATCTCTTCCAAAACACTGGATGAAGTTGGTCTCTGAAATTCCCTTTTCTGGTTAAAGTTCAGATCCACCAAAGAAGAAAACAATTACCTCTGGTCCCTTCCCTGAGTTTTCATTAACTGAACTCATATGACAGGAAGAAAGACTGAAATCTGTCAACATACCTGGACAAACTTTTTTCAAAACCATTGCCTCTTCTGCAGGCCCAACAGACTTTGTCCCAGGCCATTTTATGTTCTCCAAGCCCATTGCATTTCCCTACAATCATTTACTCTCCTTGCTTAAAATCATCCACACTTCCCCATCTCACTTTCCCCTAAGACAAAGGATATATAAAAATCTGTACCTCATTGTGTGGTGGAGTAATGGCTCTGTGATTTTTCCTCCCTGCACGCTAATAAATTTGTATGTCATTTCTCATACTAATTTGCCTTTTATCAATTAACTTTTAAGTGAACCTTCAGAGAGTGAAGGTAAAAGTTTTTTCCTTTGCCTCTACAACACATAGCGAGAAAAGGAAAAGGACAGAGAGTGTCTTTAAACTTCTGCTAAAATTTCTCTCGGGTAAAAATTCAATAATTGGAGTCCAAGGAATATGCATGCTTAATGTCACTAAGTACGGCCAAATTTCTCTCCAGACAATTCACACTTCTACAAACTAATACATCATCATTCCTATTTCCCACATTGTCACAAACAATTACAGCATAAATTGGATGGAGAAAGTTGGTAACTGAAAGATATAAAGCTTTGGAAGAACACCTTATCTATACTATACTTTCATTTAGCCAGGTGAGGCAGATTCAGCACCTACCACAATACTAGGAACATAGAAGAGCTCAGTGAACATTTGTTAAGCAAATATATGGAATCCAAAACCTTCATATCAATGAGGCAAAATTAATTCTAAAATTGATGATTTTGAACCACTTAGGAAAAGGGAATAAATAAAAGATGATGCAGAGAATCCATGGCTGAAGACTTGGAAAATCCTCAAAATTCTATCCTCTCCTCAGGAAGAAAGAATATAATGTTGCAAATCTGAGATGCATAACGTATGTGTTAGGTTTCTTGAAATGGAGAGTTGGAGGATGCTTGAAATGGAGAGTTGGAGAAAGGGGATTGGCTAAGAGTCTAAAACAATTATTCAGTTATTTCAATATTTTATATAAAGCCAAATTAAATTAAAAAATATAAAGAGAAAAAAATTTTAAGTATGAACTTTAAACCAATACAGTTGACCCTGGAACAATATGGGGATTAGAAGTGCCAATTCCTACACAGCAGAAAATCTGCATACAACCTTTGACTCATAAAACACAACTACTAATAGGCCAGGCGCAGCGGCTCATGCCTGTAATCCCAGCACTGTGAGAGGCCAAGGCGGGTGGATCGGGAGGTCAGCCTGACCAAGATGGTGAAACCCCGTCTCTACTAAAAATACAAAAATTAGCCGGTCATGGTGGCAGGCACCTGTAAACCCAGCTACTCGGGATGCTGAGGCAGGAGAATTGCTTGAACCCAGGAGGCAGAAGTTGCAGTGAGCCGATATTGTGCCACTGCACTCTAGTATGGGTGACAGAGCAAGACTCCATCTCAAAAACAAAACAAAACAAAACAAAAAACCAACAACAAACTACTAATAGCCTTCTTGCGGACAAGAAGCCTTACTGATAACATCAACAAGTCGGTTAACACATATTTTGTATGTTACGTGTATTATATACTGTATTCTTACAATAAAGTAAGCTCTATAGAAAAGAAAATGTTATTCTAAAAATCAGAAGAGAGATTACATTTACTATCCATTAAGTGGCAGTGGATTATCATAAAGGTCTTCATCCTTGTCATCACCATGTTGAGTAGGCCGAGGAAGAGGAGGATACTGGCCATGTTGTCCCAGGGCTGGCAGAGGTGGAAGAAGGTCCAAGTATAAGTGGACCTGCGCAGTTTAATGCCATGTTTTTTCAAGGGACAACTGTAGTTTATGTCAGTTGAGCTTGGGAATAGTTTGGAATTGTAAGTAATTTGTAGTTCGTATCAAGAAAGCAAGCAAGAAGCAGCATATAATTCTCAGATAACCCTCCAGAAATACTGCCTTAAGAATTGTCCTTCTTCTTCACTCTGTAATCATTAGGCTATTTGTGTTTTTAGATTATTACAAGTAAACTGAGTTTTAAAACTATATTTGTTTTTCAAGTCTTTAAATTCTGGAAAGAATATTTTAGTTGTGACTATTTCTCCTAAGAGAACAAATAAACATATCATTAAAATTTAATAATATAAAGAATGACCATGAGGAGACATAACCTTTCCTATACACATTTGCTCAATTTAGATGATATAAAGCTAATACTTTTTAAAGGTCAACTTTCTGAGTCAAATATTTCATATTCAAAGGCAATAAGTAACTAGGTTGTCCACAGAGTTTGTTTTCCCACTGAAGCCTATGTAACATGATGAAACATACTAAAATTAGTTATGTTTCATCTCTAGGACCCATTACCAAAATATGTCATGTGAAACTGCTGCCTGGAATTTTCTGTTCTCCTGCAACCACCATGTATTATTCCTGTCTCAGTACCTCTTTCCCCACAAAAGGAGAAAATATGTGCAATTTCAATTTTATTATTTAATTTGAGACCTTGAGTGACTTTAATTTCCACTGAACAAAAATTACAATAGAGACAACAGAGAAAACATAAGAAACAATTCATGAGAGGAGGTCAGATCATTCTTAATAACACTTCATTTAATGCTCAAAACTCAATTGGCTTCACAGTCTTCAATCATCTGGAATTCTTCCCAGTGATCATCAATGTTTAGTACCCTAAATTTTACACTCTAATGAAGCTGGCATCTGGCAATCTTGCCTCTGTGACAAATAACACATTGCTTGACACATTAATAATAAATATTAATTTGATACCTCAAAAGGCATCTTAAAACTACTCACTGTATAGGTAAAATATCATTATTAATTTTGGTATTTGGAAACTATGATGGAACCTATAGAGGCCAAGGGAGAACTTCCCCTTCACCCTCTGAAGGTTCTCTGAAAAGTAAACTGACAAAGGCAGATTAATAGAAGAAATGGTATACAAATTTATTAATGTGTACAGGGGAGAACCACAGAATAATTACTCCAACCACTTAATGGGGTACAGAAGTTTATATAACATCTTGAGATTACAGAAATAATTGGGGCTCAGAGCATGGCCAAAAACAGATGATGATGGTAAGACAGGTTATGGGAGGAAGAGAGAGGAAGCCTGGCTAGCAAAGGTGGTCTTTTTATGTAGATGAAACCTCAAAGATAGCAGCCCTCAGAGAGAATAAATGGTAAATGTTTCAGACTTTTAAATGTGCCAGATTCTCAGTTAATCTTTCCAAAATTGAAAAAGGGAGAGCCTCAGAGAAAGCCTGGCTGCATCAAGGCAGATTTTCTCGACAGATGCAAATCTCCCCCATAAAATATAGCTTTGCATACTTCTGTTTGCAGGCCCTCTGAATAGCCATCTTAAAATATGTCAGAGAAGTTTTTGGGGGGGCAAAAGATTTAAAGTTTTTATTTCCTTCAAGCTTTTTGCAAAATATGTAACAAAATTTTTTTTTCTTAAATGAAATAGCGGCATTTGTAAAGATTTTGGAGAAACAAGGCGCATAGACTTTAGCTACTATATTTCATTGGCCAAAAGTGACACTTATGTAAATTAACTTGAGCAAAAAAAGAAATTATAATATAGCAAGATGAAGTTTTGAATTAAAATCTTGTTTCAGTAAATTTCTAGAATTTAGAAATTACTGGATGTGTGTTTTATTTAAGCACATATGATTCATTATATTTATGATAACTGTTAAATAAATTATTTTGAAATGTTGTTGTTTGTAGAACTGTGGTTGGCAAGAACGAGGACTTAAGGTAAATTAAGGATGGAAAGAAGTCATAAAAATATATATTGACTATATTCTACAATGCTGTAGGAAGACTATAAGCAACTTGAGAAGAAAGTTCTGGAATGTATGGCTAATACTGTAGCTCCAGTGACCAGCAAAATACTTTGAATAAAAATGTAGTAAATATGTGTTGAATTACCAATCAACATGTGAATGAATGAATAAATTTTATTAAAAATAAATTAGATTTAGGCATCTTCTTCAGTGAGTCACCTCTACTGAATTGCAAAGCTCTGTTGGAAAACTTTGTGACAAGGTCACTTCTGCTGAGGCATATTCTCATATCAATTTTATTTCAGATTGTGCCTGTTTAAAAAGCCAGTCTTTGGTGTCTTGTAATGTCTTTTTCACTTGCATTCTCACCATTTTATTTCATAAGTCTCCGCAAAATGCTTTTGTAACCTCCACCCTTTTTATAAAGAGAAAAGTAATTATAGCTGTTTGTATAACTGACCCTATATTTTCTCCTTGCAAGAAAAAAAAACTAGGAGGGGGTCAAATAATCAGAAGTTTGCTTGGTGACTACAGATTCATACTGAAGGCAACGTGTTTAATTTCAGAGGTCTAATGCCATTAACTTGGATAGCCAGCTACATTGTCTCTACAATTGGTGTATACTGATCTGAGAGCTCAATCTTTGTCTTTGACTTTCAACAATCTTTTCCTTACCTTCCAATACCAAACAACCCACTAGGATTATAGAGTTTCACTTAGAATCCTTAATCTTAATTTACTATAATTTCCCCAGTGGCAAAATAAAGTATCTAAAAGTACGAAAACTGTTGCACTCCAGCTGTTTTTATTTGAAAATTTGTTTAATCATATTCTTAAATGTCATCTGAAATTTAGGTCAGAGAGATGCCTCAGATTTGAAGGATTTCAACCTTTATGTTTCATAATCAAAAGTGAGTATGGTTTGAAATAAAATTAGTGTGATCTGAATGAAGACTACCAACAATGCAAATCTGTGTAACTAAAGGCCTAAATAAATGTTATTTCAAGAAAAGATAACCCTTAAAGTACCCTCAAGAAACCAAAATCTAAAATACATCATATTTCATGAGAAAGACAAGGATATTACATATTTTTTCAAAGTTCAAATCAACATGTAAAAGCTCTGCACCATTATCAAAAAGCTTACAACCTCCTTCTGCTTTCAATCAATTCATTTATTATTCCCCATAGAGAAATGTGCCTGGCCTATTGCTTATTAAATTAAAATGTATTATTCTATGTATGTGATATGCTATCAGTTTGATCTTTGAATTTGTCATAATGAGAAGTAAAACAAATAAATGCTGCTGGTAATTTATAATCATTTTGTGATTTGGCCTTGAATAGCAAAATGATGTATCTAGAGCAGACTGACACAGGATGAACATTAACTTTCAGTCAGTTACTAATTAATGAAGCACAAAAGCACATTGATGAAGTATACAATGGTGATCAAAGTACATTTTAATATACTGTTGGATAATGAATGCAATAACTTGCAGAATAAATACTCTATTTTAATAAAAAAACTGCTATCTAATTTTCATGATAGTGATTTCTGTCATTTACATACAAAGACTACATGATTAATATTTCCAAAGTATAAAGTAAAAAAAACCTCAGAATGTTTTAATTCTAATTTTTGTTGACTTGTTTGGAACTTAAAATCCACCATATTACTTAAGGTAGCAATTTAATTTATTTAATGTCTCCAAACAGATATTTCTAGTCTAGGGTTTTATGACATTATAGGTGGTACGCAAAGATATTTATGTTTTGTAACAGAAATATTCTAAAACTATTAACTCCATAACTACCTAAATTATCTAAACTTCTGACAGTTACCACATAAAACAGTTTAAAGGAATCCTAGAAAATGCAGAATATGTCGTTTGATATATGTTAAAAGAAAAGCTGCATTTCTTCTTACCTAATAGACAATAGTTACCTGCCTATGTGTCTTTGTCTAACTTTTTCCAGCTGGATAAACTCAATTGTTATTCTACTTAGCCAAAGAAATGATATTATTAATGAAAGTAACTGCATGATATTAAAATTTTCACCACAATACCCCACTGAGTTTTAATTAATTGCATGAGAGTTACATTGAAATAAAAGGAAAAGTTCATAGGTTAGAATGTGAATTCTTTTGAATGTGTTATTTTTATTTTGATGGAATAGCAGCCTATCATTTGCATACTTCAAAAGTTAAATTATATCATGCTTCTAAATTATCATTTAAAATTTGAATATTATTTTTTTCTCCTTGAGAAAGCTTATCTAGTATACCTATTGAATGCTACGGTTACATTCATAATGTGTAAAACATTAATTACAGAAGGTCAAGGAAGCCCTCTAAAATAAATATAAAACCTTGAGCTAATGTAGATACATAAATAGACAGGCAGGCAGACAGACAGACAGATAAGGATATGGACAATGCAAAAGTAAGTTAATTCCAAAATCATTATAATCCTAATTCTATTCAGACACACAAAAAAATGTACTTTGAAACATTGGAGAATACATTTTAAAAGAACATATGTTCAAGACGAAGGATTTAAAAAGAATGAAAAAGTTTGTGTCAGTTCGCAAACATCTGTTAATTGTCTCCTGTGTGTCTATCCCTTATCACGTCCTGGTTATACATCAGCCAAGTCCCTGCTTCAAGAACTGAGGCAGCCAGAAACGTAAATGATGAATTGCGATAACATTTACTGGGAACCCACAGGAGTAATCACTTAGTGAAACCCAAAGAGAAATGGGAAATTTTCAGGGGGCAATGATATTTGAGATTTAAAAGATGAACAGAGGCTTGCCAGGTATAGAAAGAGAAAAAAGAGTGAGCACACCCCCATTCTCCCCGCAAAAATCACAAATGCATGAAACAACAGTCATAAGGAAGAACTCCAAGTACTCTTCATGAGGCTTGCAATGAAACTTAAAGTATAAAGAGGAGCTATTATGTTAGCCCAACTTAACGTCACAGAGGACCTTATCTACCATGCTGAAAAATTTGAAACTAAATCTGTAGGTCATGGGTATCTCTGAGAGGTTTTATTTAGAAGAAAATTTCTTTGAAAGAGCTACCACTGGGTGGAAAACAAAGGTTAGATTGAAGAGGAAGCGAAGAGTTGAAGACAAGGAGATAAAAGACTCCTAAAATCTGTGCTAGGTATGATGAGGGTCTGACCTACATCAGTGCCAGTAGAGATGGAAAGAATGTGATGCATTGAAAAATATGTGTGACTCAAAGCTAAAGAGTTGAAGTTTAATAAGATGTGGCAGGGATGGCCGGGCGCGGTGGCTCACGCCTGTAATCCCAGCACTTTGGGAGGCCGAGGCAGGCCGATCAGGAGGTCAGGATATCGAGACCATCCTGGCTAACGTGGTGAAAACCCGCCTCTACTAAAAATAGAAAAAAATTAGCCGGGCGTGGTGGTGGGCGCCTGTACTCCCAGCTACTCTGGAGGCTGAGGCAGGAGAATAGCGGGAACCGGGGAGGCGGAGCTTGCAGTGAGCCGAGATCTCTACACTGCACTCCAGCCTGGGCGACAGAGCCAGACTCCGTCCCAAAAAAAAAAAAAAAAAAAAAAAAAAAAAAAAAAAAAAAAAAAAAAGATGTGGTGGGGATGATGGGGTATGAGAAATCTACTTTGATTCTCCAGTTAACCATTATTAAATAGGAAAGAGGATGATGACCTAGAAAAGAGAAGGAATAATTCTCAAGAATTTCAGAGAAAAATATTAGCAATCAAACTGGCAAACCAGATGACTTACAACATTGACAGAAATCTTCAGGAAACATACAAATATAAATAATACAAACCACATTATTTGAATTTCAAAATTAAATATATCTAAAATTTTGCAAATGAAAGCACCTAAAAAGGTATACTTTTAACTTATAAGGCAAGTAATATTAAGAGCTCATAAGCAGAAATGAGACATAGATGATGGGATGGAAACTAAAAAGAGAAGGATAAAAGCATTTTCCAAATCAAAATTGTGATGATAAGTCCATGAATTTGATCAAGGTCTATACAGAATCTTAGCATGCAGGATCTAGTCAGGTTCCAGGAAAGAGCATGGACTTACAGAAAAATGCACTGTTCAATCTGACAGGGGTATTAGAAGCCACACAGGAAAATATCAAGAAGCATATTGAAATAGAACTCCAATGTATCACCTCGGTTTTTCTTACTTCTCAGGCAGCTTCCAGGAAAAGACATTGGCTAATCTTTGAATGAGAAATCAGTATATTAGGTGTTTCTCTACAAGTAAAAATATATATATACATACGGATTGAGTTTTTCCCTAATCAGATAAAAGCAAGAATATAGAAATTTCAGGAAAACATGGTGGTGTTGGTGGGGTGGGGGTGGTATTTACTAAAGTGGAGATTAATATAAGTTTTTAAATCATTAAAATACATTACAATATGTTATACTTGTCTGTTAGAAGAGCTGCGTTCAAATGGGAAGAAAGTGTTAAAACGGTTTCTGCCAGTGCAGAATAGCCACCTGCTATAGGAACAGTATATTCAGTCTGACGAAGTGATCACACCATTTAGGGTCATTTGCATCAACGTCAAATTGCATGTGCTCTGTGTTGCACAGCAAGGAACTTCATTAGCACCATTCAAACTCTGAACCTCCTCCCTTCATGGAGAGCACACATGGATAACAGCTCTTATCTTCAAATGAAGATGTTCCTGTGAAGAGAGACTTCCCACAGGTCCCCAAGGAACTGCTAAAAGGGACTAAGGAGTCATCTAGTCTATTACTAGATTGTTAAGATTGCGGGATGTTTTTTAGATATTAAATATCAGGCAGTAGGGCAGGATTGTAAACATATATATTTAGTTTTAAAAATACTTGCACTTTTCAACCAATAGTTTGATTTACTAACTATAAAGCTTTTATAAAGTATTTCTTTTTTAAGCAAATACTTCAGAATATTAGTATGTAGACTTACAAACCCTTTATTTAATTTTTCCTAATAAAAATCTAAAATACAAGACAGATATAATAAACACTAGAGCGATTCAATCTGAGACATAAAGATATTTATTTTACACGAGTAAAGCAGGTAGATCTACTTTATCATTATGTGTGTGCATGTGATTGTTTTTAAATTTTTATAATTGCACTTTAATATTCAGAGTAAAGCTGTTTTTCTGTTATAGTTCTGCTGGTATTAGAGGTCTTCTTTTGTTTTTTATATGCTGAAAGCCAAATTTTGTAATGGTGAAAGCTGTTTCTTTGCATTACTTTTAAAAATATGAATAAAATTTCAAACATAATTGAGATATACAGAGCAATGAATTTTAAACATGATGACAATATTCTCTCCCGACTGAACCTACTCAGCCTCCTCTGAACTCTTTGCTCAACCAGGCTTTGACTTTTGAGCTTCCATGTTTATTTCTGCATTGTTTAATTCTAGCAAGAATACTGCTTCATGCTAGTATCTGGTCACTCTCAAAATCTAATCGGGTTCCTCATCCTCCACCATACCCCATCCCACAGGTGTTGTCTGATCTCCTGGCCTGTCTTCAGCAAGAATCCTTTTATGTCAGTTTAGCCAGAATTCCTCCTTACTCCTCATGTTTCTTCTTAGCAATTTTCCATCCGCTGACCCCTTGCCACACACACTGTTCCTTGGCTATAAATTATCATTTTTCCTTGTTATATTTGGAGTCGAGCCCAATCTCTCTCCCCACCACAAAACCTCATTGCAGTGGTTTCTATACCTATCATGATGATCCTGATTAATGCCTGCCTTATCATTCTTTAATATCACTGAATAATTTTATAAACACTGGTAGTATTTTTAAATGACATGATAAACATAAAATGATTTCAAATAGTTATTAAAATTTATAATACATATTGGAATTTTACCCCTAATTTTGATCCACATGTCTTTACTATCTTGGAGGCATTGTCTTCTCTTAGAATACATTGATAAAATATTATATAATTCTTACTACTAATTGATGTTAGCAAGAACAAAGAAACTAGAGTTTGTGAAGAAGTGTTTCTAGAAGTGTGAATGACTATTAAAATTTTTCAAAACAGGGCTTTTTAAGGGTCAGAATTAGGTGATCTTCCCTTGACATATACAGGAAATTGAATTACTTTAAAACACATACTCCAAAATCTAATATAGCTTAAGTGACAGATCATAATGCTTCCTATAACCTAGAAGATAAAGATGGCAAGAATATAGAATAAAAATGTACAAAAATGTACAATTATGTTCATGTGTACCCAATGGTTTCCACTTATAAGTGATAATGTGTGGTATTTGGTTTTCTGTTACTATGTTAATTTGCTTAGGATAGTGGCCTCCAGCTGCATCCATGTTGCTGTAAAGGTTTTGTTCTCTTTTATGGCTGTGTAATATTCTATGGTGTATAGATAACATATTTTCTTTAACCAATCCATCACTGATGAGTAGCTGAGTTGATTCCATGTATTTGCTATTGTGAATAGTGCTGTGATAAACATATGAGTGTAGGTGTCTTTTTGGTAAAATGATTTATTTTCCTTTAGTTGAATATCCACTAATAGGATTACTGGGTTGAACAGTAATTCTAATTTTAGTACTTTGAGAAATCTCCAAACTGCTTTCACAGGGGCTGAACTAATTTGCATTCCCACCAACAGCACATAAGCGTTCCATTTTCTCCACAACCTTAGCAACATCTGTTATTTTCTGACTTTTTAATAATAGCCATCTTAACTTGTATGAGATGGCATCTCATTGTGACTCTGATTAGCATCTTTCTGATGATGCTAGTGATGATGCTAGTGTTTCATAAGTTCCTTGGCTGGTTATACATCTTCTTTTGAGAAATGTCTGTTTATGTCCTTTGCCCACTTTTTAATGGGGTTATTTGTTTTTTTTTTTTTCTTGTTGTTTTGTTGAAGTTCTTTATAGACTCTGGATATCAGTCCTTTGTCAGATGCAAACATTGGGGATTCCAAAAATGGGGAGGGTGAATGGAGGGAAAGGGTTGAAAAACTATCTATCATGTACTATATTCACTACTTGGGCAATGAGAGCATTAGAAGCCCAAACCTCAGCATTATGCAATATACCCATGTAACAAACATACATGTGTACCCACTGAACCTAAAATTTTAAACAAGTGCAATTACGTGTAAAAACAGTTAGAATTTAGGTGTTACAGCTTTTATAGGAATTTGGCCATTTTCTAGCCTGATTTTCATAGCAAACGCTCTGAGCTTTTTAATATATATTTTTTGACTGCCAAGTTGGTTGAGAATTAGGATAGAAACATTAATACAGTCATAATTATGCAAACTGAAGAAGAATGGGAGGGAATATTATTATTCCTGAGGTTAGATGACAAAATGTAAACTCAGAAAAGCACACAGAGTCCCCAGTGTTCAAAGGATTTTTTTTTTTTTTTTGAGATGGAGTTTCGTTCTGTTGCCCGGGCTGGAGTGCAATGGCGCGATCTCGGCTCACTGAAACCTCTGCCACCCAAGTAGAAGCAATTCCCCAGCCTCAGCCACCCGAATAGGTGGGATTACAGGTGTGCACCACTATGCTCAGCTAATTTTTATATTTTTAGTACAGACGGGATTTCACCATGTTGTCCAGCCTGGTCTTGAACTCCTGACCTCAGGTGATCCACCTGCTTCAGCCTCCCAAAGTGCCGGGATTACAGGTGTGAGCCATCACGCCCAGCCCAAAATTATTTTTAAGGAAGGGTGAAGCTGCGGTGGCGTTCTCTAGGGAAGACATGATGGGAGTGGGCCCTACCCTGGCACAGGAAATGTTTAAAGAAAATTGATTTGCCACAGTCAGAGCCACTCTCACAGTCCCATCTGCTCCAATTTGTATTATAAAATCTGGAGCAATTTACCAGGTGTAATATTGGGAGAAATTAGAAATCAACTTTTATTGTTTATTGAAATATTCTAATTGATTTGAAAAATTAGCACTTTCCATTTATCAATAAAATACCTACAAATATTTAGCAAAGTTAATTGTTAACAAAATACTTCAAACGGGAATATATGCTTATACTTCTGGTTATATAAAGTAATGATGTAGAGATATTTCTGTTTGTTCATCCACATTGTGATCTAATTTTCTGCCATTTAGAAGAAGTTTGGGCAATTTACATTAGCCCAACACAACTGAGGAAACTTCATACATGAACATAAGCATGTAAGCATTCTATATTATTATTTCTTCTTTGTTCACAAGAGAGTATTGTAAAATGTAATCAACAGTTTACTATACTTTTTGCTTATGTTTTTTGTAAAACCTAATAAATAATGATTGACTAATATAAATTTTAAAAAGTTATGAATAATAAGGTTTATTTTTCCAAGAAGGAGTTGATCAGATTATCGTTTAAATTTGAACTGATTTTTCTAAACCAGCAATTCTACCATGTAAGAATCTTGATATAAGAACTGATTGTACTTTCTGACACCTTGCTACTCAATTGTAGTTTCTCAAAATGGATAGGGAGTCTTTTTTTTTTTTTTTTTTTTTTTTTTTTTTTTTTTGAGACGGAGTCTCGCTCTGTCGCCCAGGCCGGACTGCGGACTGCAGTGGCGCAATCTCGGCTCACTGCAAGCTCTGCTTCCCGGGTTCACGCCATTCTCCTGCCTCAGCCTCCCGAGTAGCTGGGACTACAGGCGCCCGCCACCGCGCCCGGCTGATTTTTTGTATTTTTAGTAGAGACGGGGTTTCACCTTGTTAGCCAGGATGGTCTCGATCTCCTGACCTCGTGATCCACCCGCCTCGGCCTCCCAAAGTGCTGGGATTACAGGCGTGAGCCACCGCGCCCGGCCATGGATAGGGAGTCTTATCACAATATCACTATATTGTACTTTTGGATTCCCTTACAAAAAAAAAAAAAATCACAAATAAATGAGGTGGTTAGTGTTTTCCTTAAAAATAATTTTGAAGCTTTCTAACGGTCTTTGTCATATTAAATTACTATAGACCCTCATTGTAATGGTCCATATTCAATTTCCTGTTAATATAAGAATATGAGAATGTTTTCTTCTTGAATGATTAGTAATGAACAACATATAAATGCTCTGTTAGAAAAGATAAAAAGGAGGAAATGAACTGAAACTATTTCAAATTATGCATGTGTCTTTGATGCTTAATATATTGCTTAAAGAAAAAAATCCCTTTCACATACTACTCAGGTGACAATTTTAAATATCACAGGATAAATGTTACATTTCATTTTATATAGGAACCATACTAAAAAGATTATTTTGTGATTGAATAACAAACCATTATGAAAAATACATGTTACAGTATAATTAGTGAAATAGTATGAGTTTATCTTATTGTAATCTAGGTTCCTCTTGATCAATCATTCTAAACTTTTCATCCATATATTTCTTTAAAGATTTCTAAGGGGCATATGACCCAAAGAGAATTTTAGTTTTAATCATATAATGGGTACGCTAATTCGAATATTTGTGTCCTCCTAAAAGTGTTATAAAGTGGCATACAACTTGGCCGAATTGTCTTTGAGTCCCAGTATTTTGTGGAAGGTAGAACTTGTGAGTGAACTACATTTGAAAAAAATATGATTTATTTTTGCTTACAGTAAAAAGAGAGAATTTAAAATATTTTAATCTGAAGGAAAGCAACACTTTAAAAATTGGAAAATTCTCAGCCTATCCATATTAAAAGGAATAAGAAAGTGTGTTCTGGAAAGAATACTAAGGTGTGGCCAAGTGACTATTTGATAAAGAAATTGGTATGAATAGTCAGGTGCTATTCATCAGGACAATGAAAGAATGGCCCCTAAGGCATTTCAAAGATCATCAGGAGCTGCCCCTCCTATCACAGGGCCAGAGTACTGGGTCTTAGGGCAGAACAACTTCAAAGGAGGGGCCAGGGCTGCCCAGCACCACCTCAGATCATGGGCTCTGCTTCCTGCACTCTGTTGCTGTACTCCTCAATTGACCCAGGTATGGGGCTGACCCAGGTATGGCTGACCCAGGTATGGCTCCAGCTGACCCAAGTACCAGCTCATCTGACCTAGGATGGCTCCAGCTGACCCAGGTACAGCATGCACTGTACCCAGCAAAGTTGTGGGAATGTGGCTGCTTCTATCTAGATTTAGAAGGACTCCCTGGAGAAATGTAGGGCCCAGAAAGAAAATTGCCTCATTGTCAGAGTCTCCACAGAGACATTCCACTAGGGAAATGCTCCATGGAACTATAAGGACAGGGCTGCTCGGAGACTACTGATCATCACCAGCGCAAGATTCAAGCCCAGAAAAGCCATGAGCGCTAAGACCCAGGCACAGAGCTGCTGCAGAGGTGGGGGCCATCACAGACAATCACAATAGCATGGCAAGGAGGCTCAGGCACAGAGACACTGAAGACACTACAAGGGTGGGGCTTCCCAAAGCCATGTGGGCAGGGCTATGACCCCAGAGGGCCCAGAGGGCAGATCCTCAAGTCAAAGATTATTCTCAAGCTTTATTATTCTGGACTTACTTGGATCCTATTGCCCCAGTTCTTCTTCAATGTTTCTCCCTTCTAGAATGCTAATGTTACGTGTCTACCCCATCATTGTAATTTGTAAACACACAACAGGTCTGATTTCACAGATTCACAGGTGGAGAGAAATTTGCCTCAGAATGAATTGTACCTTGAGTCTCACCCATATCTGATTTAGATCATGTTTAGATGAGACATTGAACTTGGACTTTAAGGTAGATTCTGAAATGAGTTAAGATTTTTGGGGCTGTTGGAGTAGAACAAATGTATTTTGCATGTAAGAAGAACATGAATTTGAGAGTGTCGGGGTGAAACGCTGTGGTCTGAATGCTTGGGTCCTCCCCAAAATCTGTATTTTGAAATCCTAACTCTTAAGGTGATAGTGTTAGGAGGTGGTGCCTTTGGGTGGTCATTAGGTCATGAATGGGATTAGTGCTAGATAGCTGTCTTGTTCCCTTCTACCGTGCCAAAAGGCACTATCTATCAAACAGAAAGCAGGTGGGCCTCACTAGACATGGAATGTGTCAACACCTTGCTCATGGTCCAATCCTTTAGAACTGTGAGAAACAAATTTCTGTTGCTTATAAGCTACCCAGTTTATGGTATTCTGTTATAGCCACCTGAATGAACTAAGATACTGGCTCATCATAGAAATGATTGAAAAGGTAATGTTTTATTTCATATAGCCAGTTTTCCACCGAAAACTATTCTAGGGGTAAGATTTCAAATAATAATTGTTATGGCTAAGAAGAATTTAAGTTGAATGTACTACTTCTTTCTTATGTAATCTCTAAAAATAGGAATCTGAATGCATGGTATACGTCAGTATATTCATCACCACTGTATACATCATATGTTATGGAGATGATTAGATTAAATGCTTTCATTTGGAAAAAAAAAGAAGGAGGAGGGTAATAAATGTTTCAAAAGCAGTCCCTTTTAATCTTTTTGGTACTATTTCCTTATCATGGGCAAGAGTCATAAATCAAACCAATTCTGACAATTCTGTCACTTTCAAAAATGATTTGTTGAGGTTAACTTATGCAAATATAAGTGTTTACAAATTAATTTATTGATTTGACAGTGCTTATATTTCACCTCTCCAAGAATAAGAACTTTGATATATTTTAGAGTGAGTGAATTTAAATGCAAAAAAAATGCTTGCTATGAGATGCATGGATGAAATTAATATGTTTAGCAAGAGACGTATGATCATCTTTGGTTGTCTTAAAACAAAGCCTTTATACTTCTAAAAAATCTTTCTGCCAGGCTGGTTACTTACATCATAATCCCAGAACTTTGGGAGGCCATGGTGAGCAGATCACCTGAGGTCAGGAGCTTGAGACCAGCCTGGTCAACATGGTGAAACCCCATCTCTACTAAGAATATAAAAATTAGCCAGGCATGGTGGCACGTACCTGTAGTCCCAGATACTCAGGAGGCTGAGGCACAAGAATTGCTTGAACCTAGGAGGCAGAGGTTCCAGTGAGCCAAGATCGCACCACTGCACTCCAACCTGGGCAATAGAGTGAGACTCCATTTCAAAAAAAAAAAAATCTTTCATCATTCATATGTAAAAGTCAGGAAATCTATTTTAAGGATCCTTCAAAAGGTATTGTTAAATATTCAAGACTTTTTTTTTTTTTTTGAGATGGAGTCTCACTCTCATTGTGCAGGCTGGAGTACAGTGGCACGATCTCAGCTCACTACAACCTCTACCTCCCAGGTTCAAGCAATTCTCCTTCCTCAGCCTCCTGAGCAGCTGGGATTACAGGTGTATGCCACCATGCCTGGCTAACTTTTGTATTTTTAGTAGAGATGGGGTTTCGCCATGTTGGCCAGGCTGATCTTGAACTCCTAACCTCAGGTGATCTACCCACCTCACCCTCCCAAAGTGCTAGGATTACTGGCGTGAGCCACCTTGCTGGGCCTCATTCAAGACATTTTAAAAACGATAAGAGTACATTTTAGCCATGCTTCCTCCAACACACCACCAGGCATGCTAGTTGGACTCACTACTATTACAATATATTTCCTAGCCACCAATAAATTTTTAAAGTGAAGACATCAGTGAACAATATTGATGAATGAGTTTTAGAAATGGTTAAGTTCCCTTTTCCAAAAGTCGAGAGCCTGCCCTATAACTCTGTCTAGTTTCCCTCACTTCCTCCCGTCCATCCGTCCGTCTGTCCGTTCATCCTTCCTTCCTTCCTTCCCTCCTTCCTTCTTTCCTTCCTTTTTCCTTTCCTTTATTTCTTTTTCTTTCCCTATCTAGTTTCTGACACATTTTCTTGAATAGAAAATACTACCTCAATCAAATAGTGAGCACAAAATTCTATGATTTTTTTTCACTGAGATTCTTTGATCTCTCCCATTTTTACTATATATTAGAACAATACTTTCCTAAGCAACACTGAACCCCAAACTTAATTTTCTTCTAAATGTCACCATTGTTTTCCCATTTTCTTTTCAAGTCATCATATATTTCCACTGCAGTTGTAAGGCTCCAATGTCAGTAACCCAACTGCATTTCCCAAAAGTTGGCTTCAAATGCTGGGCCTCATTCAAGACATTTTAAAAACGATAAGAGTACATTTAGCCATGCTTCCTCCAACACACCACCAGGCATGCTAGTTGGACTAGTATAAAAAAAAATCCAATGAAGAAATGCAAAATAAACACATTGTAAACAAATTTGGCCAATACTACATGTTAGGGGGTCATCCAGTAGAGTGCTTATAAGGACATCAGAACTTGGTTGTCACATAACTCCTAGTTTCAAAGATACTATAATCTTGTTAAAGTTTACATTTCTACAAAGGTTAGTCCATGATTTTTCATAAAATGACTGAATGTCAGGTACTTTTTTTCTTTAATGAGCCAAATGGTAGGTGAAAGAAACTGCACTCACGTTGTTCGTAATTTATTGCTACCTTTTGAAACATAAAATTATTTTTAACATCAATCTTCACAGGTACTACAATCTCAAATTGTTTTAAAAGAAATCATAGAAATCCAGATTTTCCAACAAAATTGTCTTTCATTGTCAATTATATTATTTTAAAAAGTAGTCAAGATATCATAATGAAGATCAAATATGGGAGAAAAAATCATAGGAAAAACTATTGCTTTTTTTCTTTACAAAAGGCAGCTGAGAAGATGTTTAAACAGTTAGTTACTGAAACCTCAGACAAAATGGTGTTTTTCTAACTCAGTTACCACCCCCCCAAATGTCAATATCTACTCTGTTATTTGCCTCTAACACAATCTCTTTATGTTTAGTCTTCTATAAAGATTTAGCAGTATATGAAGCATTATACACACATGTGAGTGGAAAAATGCAGTATCATCTTCTACCTTCTGTCATTTCTAAAGAAGGTCAAGCTAGTTAACAAAATTTGGAAAAGTGCTTTACCACAACTGATGTTTTCTCCAAGAACAGTAACAATGACTATTTAAAGGAAAATTGCCAACCAATGTCAAAAAATTGAGAAAATATTAAACATTATATCATATACTTTTGTTTTGGATCCAGCGTTACTTATAATTTTCCAAACTAGGTACAGACTGTTCATGCACTGGCAAGTTGATATGTGTTTCATTCCATTTGGAAAGGAGCCTGTTTTTTCCATGGAAAATGCATTATTGGCAAAAATTATCTGAAATAGAGCAGTCAATTTAATTTATACATCAATATACTATATATACTTTTTCTTTTAAGATGCTCTACTTTATGTGGCATATACAGTAGTCATACCTGAAGCAAAATAGAAAAAAGAAACAATGGCCTAATTTGCTAAAATGAATATAGCTGTTAACTTACCTTTAAATAAAAAATGACATAGCATTCAATAAACCTTAATGTGCCTCTTTCATTTTTACATTTGTGTTATGGTTGTATTATCACCTTTTAAAAAATTTAGTGAAATAACATGCACAGTACTGCTTCAGAAAATGAGGTTCTGTTGATTATATAATTAGTCACTGGTGCCTAAAAAGATAACTTCCAAATAAAAATGAACATTCTATTTATTGCAGAATAGCATTCTCTCCTACCAAAATGCAAGCAGACTGGACCAAAGACAGTAACCTAAGTTCCTTCTCTTCCACTGAAAAAAGTAATTTTCAAGCATTATCAGGAATCACCTGTGACCTACTGCAGCTAAATTTGCTTCAATACATTGAACAACATGCCATCCTACGCACAGAGTGCCCTTTCTAAAAATATTTCTCTAGCACAAAAAATAACTTAAACTGAATATCAAAAACTCCTCTTTTTAAAGTCCCTCATTTTCTATTTCTATCTTCGTTCTTGCCCCAATCTCTAATCACTATAACTTCTGATGCCACAGAGTTCAACTATCTCTTTCAGCCCATGACCTCAAGGCCTCATGTTTCATGGCTAAAGCTGTCTACTCAGCTACCTTCCAATTACAGAATGCTTTTGTATAAGAAAGAACCTGAGGTCAATGTTAAAAATAACTTTTATTCCTTACCACACCTGGCTGTTAAAAACTAAAAGGTTATGCATAAAAGTAAGATCCATGATGATGTTACAAAATAACTTAGGAAGGACACAGTATAGGGAAAAAAATGTCATATTACTTACACTACAAAGTTAAAAGGCTTAGAAAAAGTTTTGGATAGTATCAAAGTTACCACATGTAGATTCTTCATTGTACCTATTCTCTCCTTTTACTCTCCAAGAGTAAAAGGTAAGTGTTTATATTGTAAATTAAATATAATAATATAATTTAGGTTAAGTTGACTTGAGATTGCATCAGGACATTTAAGGATGAGATTCTTCCTCCATTCCATAGTTTGCATTTCATAATTAACCAATGTCTCTGATGACTCTCTATGATGTACAGGGAGAAGGAAAGAGGAACCATCTGAAAATGGCTTACTGCAAAAAAGGAAATCTTGTGGCTCTTTTAAATGAAAGGGCAAGTTGCCTTTGAAGCAAGGCATCAAGCAAAGCACCCTTGATTCACATCTTATAAATCACAGCATCTCTGTTTGGGCCATGCTTCTTCTGGGTATTAGCTATCTTCAGCTGGCTTCCATAATCATAGGCATACAGTGGCAGACATTCTAAGTGTTGCAGCTTAACATCACCAAATCAAGAGGAATAGTGAAAGGCTCCTTTTTAGCTACCTTCATCTCAATTTCCCTAGAGATCCACTGGCTCTAATTGTACTGGGAATGAGATGTGGAGACTAGCTTAATCCAGTCAAAATCAGCTTGGACCTGAGAGTGAGAGCAACAATTCATGGCTATCAAGGGTGGTTTTCTGAAGAACATTTAGGGCCTTTAAATAGAGGGCTGGGAGCAGTGGCCATAAATATAATCCTAGCATTTTAGGAGGCTGAGATGGGAGGACTGGTTGAACCCAGTTCAAGACCAGCCTGAGAAATATAGCAAGACCCTGTCTCTACAAAAAAAATTTTAAAATTAGCTAACTATGGTGGTACATAACTGTGGTTCCAGCTACTTGGGAGGCTAAGGTGGAGAATCACTTGAGCCCAGGAGCTTGAGGCTACAATGAACCATGATTGTACCACTGTACTCCAGGTGGTGCAACAGAGCAAGACTCTGTCTCAAAAAAGAAATAGAGTATAAAAGGTTGCCAGTACCTAATAGCAGATGTTCAGAAGAGATGCCAGATATTATTAATAGTTATGATCATTATAGCATAGTTACTAGTAACTAAAAAGAGCTATAGAGTTACCCAACAAATTATTAAACTCTCTGTGTCTCTGGGTTTTAACTTGTAAGACTGGGTACTATTTTACATTTCAATGTAAAAAACTTCAAAAAAGTAAACTTGAATTAGAAGGGATCTTATTAAGCAAAACAGGAACAAATCCATAAACAAAATATAGGCTTACTTAATTACAAAAGTCTAATTTCTAAATAGTAAAAAAACACACACACACACAAAACAATGATAGGCTGGGAGATACATGTGCAAAACTTCTGGCATGTAAATAAATGTCTGACAAGAAGTACCTATAAATTTGTATTAAAATGATAAATAAAAAATTGTAAGGAATATGAATAAGATTTTCACAGAACAGAAATTATATATCATCCATATACTCATCTAAAGATAATCTATCTCACTGTTAGTAAGAGACAAGTTAAGACAACAATGAGATGACTTTTTTATTCTTCTGAGTAGAGAAAAGTTATAAAGAAAAACAACATGCACTCAGGCAAGGATTAAAAAGATAGCACTGTATCCATTGTTGTTGGGGTTGTGAATCATGACAATCTTTTGGGAAATAATCTACCAACACCAGCTGCAAACAAATCTTAGATATACTTTCCCATAGAATTATGTAATACAATATTTAATGGTATTGTGAGGAGAAAAAGTATTATCTTTTATTTGCTCATAGGTAGATTCATGGTTGAGGCACCTATAACAAAAGACAAATTATCAAGATAAAAGCATACAAATTTAAGTTTTACATGACACAGAAGGCTTCAGAAATGAAGATCCAAAGATATAAAATAATCTGTATATTATTCTTAGTTTGATGAATAAGTGGGTATTTGTGGAGAAGTATGATGGACAAGGGGTCATGATCTAATGGTAATAAACTAATGGGGGAATGCCATAGGCCTGTTTGTGTAGATTCTTCTTTGTCTCCTGCATTTCAGGGATAAGGATATTCCTCTCTGGGTATAGGGTAAGCACCTCTGGAATAAGGGTCTTAGGACCTACTTCAGGGAAAGGTCAGCTAGATTTTAAAGCTTGCTTCAGGGGGAACGAAGTTGGGGGGAAGGTGAGAGTGACCTTCCTACTTCTACTGTTTTCTCAAATGGCAAGGTGCCATATTTGGGGTATAGTATGTTTTGAACCCCATCAGTATTTAGATAAACAATGTTAATCTCCTGATATTTATTTATGTATAATCACTATCAGCAGCACAACTGTGCTTTTTATTTTGATATGATTGTTGATCACAATGTCATCTTGATTAATATTAGATCATGATACAAAATTGTTGGTGAGGAATACCAGGGGAGAATTGGGAGGGATTACCTCATCTCTAATCTTTATTGCTTTGGCTAACAAAATAAACATGTTATTGAAAAGTTGCACATACAATTATAGACTTTTAAGTCAAATCAATGTAAAGGGACATCGAAATTGATTATACAAAAAAGAACACTAAAGATAAATCATAAATGAAACACAAATGAGAATTACTCCTTCTTTATTTAGATATATGTATGAAGAGATCATTTTTAATGGATCCTATCTACAACCTATTTTGTTTTGCCAGCATAAAATATCAAGGAGAGTGCACTTATTTTAGATCAAATGAAAATTAATGAGAATTGTCAATTATTAGGTACATTTCTTTTTAAAAGAGTTTTAATAAGACCAATATCAAAGTATATATTAGAAGTAACTATTGTTATAAAACAGGAGAGAAAGTTTCTTGCTACCAAGCTGCTGAGACCTGAAGACACACACCCTATCTGGGCAACTGCCCTTCTGTAGAGAGAGCAGTGAAATAGCTGCCATCACCCTTTGGAATCAAGCCCCATTTTCCACATCAGCCCTGCTCAGATCCAGAGTTTCTCTTAATACCAAAGAATCCCTTATTACATTACAAAAGTTATAAAGAGATGAATTTATACAATAAACAAACTCAAAGTGTGCTCAAATGAAAATGATCTACAGGGATATTGTAGAAGAAAGTACAATGTTAAATACCTAAAATTCAATACATATATTAAAAATAACTTGAAGATAAAAATACTCTAAAATTTACACAATATAACACTGATTCGGCTACTGTATTATCTTAAAACAATGCAAGTTCTTAAAATTGCCTTATGCTGAGAAACACTTAAATGGGTTTTTATGATAAAACACACAAGAAGTTACTTGAGAAACTGTTATAATTTTTCCTTAGCTATATTAACAGTTCTTACAAAAGGAATGGCATGAAACTCTGGTCACCTATGTAAAAAAAAAATTTACAAGGAAAAAACAAAGCTGATATTTGTTACCTTAATATTTTTTCAAAACTTAAAATCTTTACAACAATATAAGCAGAAAAAAAATAGTTGTCTTTTTCATCTGTCTCCATATTAATGTAGGAAAACTCTTGCAACCTTGACTCTATCCCTGAGTCATTTTACACTTGATTTTAGCCAAAAAGTGTAGAAGCGATGCCTTGAGTCATTCTGATTTCATTCAAGTAGCATTTTCAATTTAAACAACCCATGTCTTAAGTCCTAGATTTTATTTGTAGTTCATAAAATAAGGATTTACTAAATATTGTTCACGAGATGCTTACATCATTTAATAATCTCTAATATTCAACTTTTACAATAATGTGGAAAATATAAGAAAATATTAAAATAGCCTTAATACAAAGTTTATTTTTTGTACAACCAATATAATTTCAAAGAATACACACCTTAGCATCTTAGCTTTTTTCAGTTGACATTAATTTACAAAGTAGTTTTCTCACACTTTAAACAACTTATTGTTGTTTGCTTTTCACTGGCAATTGCTGTCCTGTCTGAAACAACTTAAATCATCAATATTGAAATTATATCAAGATCTTTGAGATCCTATGTTCTTGTCAATAAAGAAAACATGACTGATGTATCACTTTATTATTAAGACATAGATTAAAATGGCAGATTACAGTGGTCATGTTTCGGGTACTTGTCTGCAATCAGCCTCTTTTTCACTAATTTTTTTTTGATGTTTTAAAACATACACATTTCCTCCTTCTGCTACAATGTATTGGAACAGAGGTGGACATTTGATTATACAGAGTTATGTTATGATAATCAGGTTCCTTAAGAGTTTTAGTTATTGCAGAGCAAAAATCGAATGCAAGCAGAGGAAGTTCCTCCTGAGAGGAGGCTGGATAGAGCAAACATAAAAGGCAGTATGAGGCAGAGCGATGGTGACCCCAGGAACAGAGCAAGAGGACAAGAGTCATAATTTCTTTCCCTAATGGTTTTCAATATCTCAGAAGTCTCAGCATTTGTCTCCAGAATGCCCAGCTGGACTTCATTTCTGCAACATGTTGCATTCTCAAATAACCGAGCAACTTTGAATGAGTTACTGTTTCTTGCCTTACCTTGAATAAAATAAAGATAAAGTATGCTTGGTAAATATTTTAATGACTAATATCAGAGTAACATAAAGGAGCAAAAACATAATTATTGTCACTACCAGAATTATCTTAAGTGTCAGGATTGGATCCTCCTATAAGTCTACCTCTATTTTTTAGAAGCCCCAGTACAGACTTTGGAATAGTTAATGTATTTGAGCAGAAATAAACAGTTGAGATGGGCTTATCAGGAAACGGAGGGAAGAGGATTAGGAAACGGGACTGGAAAAATATCATAAAGCCTTACCTGAGCAAGAGCAGCTATCAAGTACAAATTGCACAGATCCCAAAAGGGAATGTAAGTTGTGGTGTGAGAAAAATAAGCATCTGCCAAACAAGGTCCAATTTGAACTCAAGGGTAAGATGATACAGGAAGTAGATAATAATGTTCAAGTCAGGCAGAGCTATTTAGACCAAGGATGTACTTCTGGTTATCTAGGATTATGTTGCCACAGAATATTTTCTTTTTAAATTTAATTCCCTTTTTCTTTCATAAAGAGTATATAATGTTGATTCCTCTATTAAAATGTACCCTTTATTAATTGAACTAATTATGTATTTATACAAGAGACAGAAAGAGAAAAATGAAATTTTGTGGGTTGTTTTTAACTTATATTTTAAGGTCAGGGGTACAAGTGTCCTGAAATAATCATGACACTTAATACATGGGTAGCAAAGAAATATGTACAACAAACCCTCAGTACACAAGTTTACCTATGTAACCTATGTAAACTTGTGTAATGGGGATTGTTGTACAGATTATTTTGCCACCCACGTATTAAGCCTCATACCCATTTGTTATTTCTCCTGATCCTCTCCTTCCTCCCACCCTCCACCCTCCAAAAGGCCCCAGTGTGTTTTGTTCCCCTCTATGTGTCTATGTGTTCTTATCATTTAGTTCCCACTTATCATTTAGTTCTCCCATTAAGTGAGAACAAGCACTATTTGGTTTTCTGTTCATGTGTTAGTTTGCTAAGGATAATGGCCTCCAGCTCCATCCATCTTCCTGCAAAGGACATGATCTCATTCTTTTTTATGGCTCCATAGTATCCCATGGTGTATATGTACCACATTTTCTTTATCCAGTCTATCATTGATGGAAATTTGGGTTGATTCCATGTCTTTGCTGTTGTGAATAGTGCTGCAATGAACATATGCGTGCATACAACTTCATAACAGAATGATTTATATTCCTTTGGGTATATATCCAGTAATGGGATTGCTGGGTCAAATGTTATTTCTGTCCTTAGGTCTTTAAGGAGTTGCCACACTGTCTTCCTCAATGGCTGAATCCAAAGCAAAAAGAACAAAGCTGGAGGCATCACGCTACCTGACTTCAAACTACACTACAGGGCTACAGTAACCAAAACAGCATGGTACTGGTACAAAAACAGGCACACAGACAAATGGAACAGAATAGAGAACCCAGAAATAAGACCACACACCTACAACTATCTGATTTTTGACAAACCTGACAAAAACAAGCAATGGGGAATGGACTCGCTATTCAATAAATGGTGCTGGAATATCTGGCTAGCCATATGCAGAAGACTGAAACAGGACCCCTTCATTATATCATATGCAAAAATTAACTCATGATGGATTAAAGACTTAACTGTAAAACCTAAAACTATAAAAACCTGGAAGACAACCTAGGCAATACCATTCAGGACAATCTTGTGTTGCTTTTTTTAACTTTGAGCAAATGGATTTCCAAACAAAAAGCAAAAGAAACTTAAAATGCAGTATGAAAAACATAGGAATCAATTAAGTAATCTTACAGATTTGTGGCATATACTTATTATCAGAAATTCCATTTTACAATGCAAGAATGATTTGTGAGACACAAAATAACAGAGATTGGTAAAATGGATACATTTCTGTGATAATAATCCTACAATTGAGCTATATCCATTGCATTGTATTGACTAGTGGAAATAATACATAATGTTGATATGAATTGCTGAACAACTAATTCAATGAACAATTGAATGAATAAAAATATAATATGGAATTACACTGAAATCAAGCAATTAGAAATTGGCATGACATTTCATAGATCAATAATATTCAATGTCTTTATTAAACAACCTGAACTTACAGTGGAAGTCACTGGGGAAAAGGGATACACAAAATCATTATAAACAAACCTCCTTTTGAAGCTATAATCAATAATTCCCAATATAAGACTTAACATTTGATTAATTAATATGGGGATAAGACAATAGATCTCAAATGAATAAAAAAGTCAAGAAAAATGTAAATGAAATCAATAAATACCCTTTAATTTTATTATTGCTTTTAAGGTTACTTTCAAAGTATCAACATAATTATGCCAAAACAAAACAAAATCCTATAAAAGGATAAAGTATTGCTGTGGGTTGTTTCAAGAAAATGAAAATTCGCAAGTAATATCTTGTTATTTAAACTAATGCATTCAACTCTGAATATAAGTATGAATACTCGGTTTCCTGAGGAGTAAATACTCTTATCAGATATTCAGCTAGTCTCATCTCCTCACTCACTTTACAGATAAGAATTCATAACTAAAGACTTTAGAGATACTAGTAGCATTGTGTTGATGAATAATGTTTCATAGAGTTTTAGTCTGTGGGAGAAGCAAGAAAAAGCTTTTCACCAGTTAGGTGCAATGCAGAAAGATTTCAGGACAAATAAGAAGTAGACGAAAGGGAAAATAACGGATAATGGTTATGGATAGAAATTGACCATACATTGTCCTCGGTGATCAAATGGGAAGGCAAACTGCAGAAACTGGTGTAAACCATTATTATGGTTGTATGTGTGTATAATATATAAACAATTTATACACACACACAGATGTGTGTTTATAAAGAGCTGTTAAATAGATACTGTCCCATGCTGCACATTGCACCTTATCCCCTAGTTCACAATTGACTAAGAGAAAAATAAAGATGACCATGACCAGGTATAGCTCATATATATATATATCATATATCATATATCATATATATATCATATATCATATATATATCATATATCATATATATGATATATATCTGGTGATCGTAAGGAGTTACAACTACAGTGAGTAAGGGTGAGGGATTAACATGAACTCAATTAGTATGGTTTAACATTATCTAGCAGCATGAGAACATGTTCATGTGTAACAGAAGGTGCTCATTTCACAATATCCTTCTTGGCACATGGGATTTTCCTCCCTGCCCAACACCATGTTTAGCTCCTTAAATGTCAACAACTCTAGTACCACAGATTTTCTTACCACAATTACTCTGATGTAGAGTGCTCCTTGTCTCCTTAAAATTTGGCTTTGTCCTCTACTCCTTAATTTCCTATAACCAGTCAGCATAAATAGCCATGATTTGGAGATGAATAAGTTCACATAGAACATCAAGAAAACAGTCATGGAAAGTAATGGGGCAAAAATTTGATTGTATATAGTCCCAGCAGGGCTGATGAAAAACTGGATAAACAAGATTAGACAGTTTTTCTACAAAGTACTATGGTGAAAGGACAGAGTGATAGCATATAACCTACAAGTAGAGAAAATTAATAAACTTGCTAAAATACAGTTTTACTGGATAAAAATAAACATATCAAAACATAAAGTTATTTATTTCTTTTTTTCTCAAATTATAGTCTGGGTACTAGCAGCTTAGGCATCACCTGACAACTTATTAGAAATGTATTAATATAATCTCAGACCTTACCTCCTTCATACTAAATCTGAATCTGATTTTTTCACAAGATCCCCAGGGGACAAGTATGCACATTAAAGTCTGATTCACACTGGTTTAGGTTGCCCTAAACTTTAAGAGCTTTATGTATTTCATAAATATCATCATGTGGTTACCAAAATTATTTATTCAAAGCTTCTGGGAGTGCTTAGAAAATTATCAAATCTTTGTTTGTACCAGCAAAACAAATATTCACAGAAATTTATGACAAAATTAAGATAATTCCAAACTCCAAAAATAGTAGAAGAAATCATGGACTTACATTTACCTAGAAAAACTTAAAATACGTATAAAAATATATACAAAATATGTATTAAAGGAAATTCCTAAAGCAATTAGAGCAGTGAGAAACAGTGAAATATTTCAAGAGAATTCTATACTGCAGAAAATTAATGGCTGAGCTTTTAGCATTGAAAAGTAGCTACTGTTTACCAAAATGCAATTATATGTAGAATGCAAACAACAGAGATCAATCACATGTACCCATCATGTACAGATTAATGCAATTTTGGTGAAAGTTTTATTTTTGTTTTCTTTTTAAATAACAGCATCCTGTTGAAGAACAGAGAGATGTCAAAAATTATCACAGAGAAATAAAAATGATTGTTCTAGGTAATTAGAATTAATCAAGGATTAAAAACTGAAATCTGAGGTGATTAGAATCTGTGTTGATTAGAGAAGGGGAGGAGCCAAGATGGCCGAATAGGAACAGCTCCGGTCTACAGCTCCCAGCGTGACCGACGCAGAAGACGGTGATTTCTGCATTTCCATCTGAGGTACCGGGTTCATCTCACTAGGGAGTGCCAGACAGTGGGCGCAGGCCAGTGGGTGCGCGCACCGTGCGTGAGCCAAAGCAGGGCGAGGCATTGCCTCACCTGGGAAGCGCGAGGGGTCAGGGAGTTCCCTTTCCGAGTCAAAGAAAGGGGTGATGGACGCACCTGGAAAATCGGGTCACTCCCACCCGAATATTGCGCTTTTCAGACCGGCTTAAAAAGCGGCGAACCATGAGATTACATCCCACACCTGGCTCGGAGGGTCCTACGCCCACGGAGTCTCACTGATTGCTAGCACAGCAGTCTGAGATCAAACTGCAAGGCAGCAGCGAGGCTGGGGGAGGGGCGCCCGCCATTGCCCAGGCTTGCTTAGGTAAACAAAGCAGCCAGGAAGCTCGAACTGGGTAGAGCCCACCACAGCTCAAGGAGGCCTGCCTGCCTCTGTAGGCTCCACCTCTGGGGGCAGGGCACAGACAAACAAAAAGACAGCAGTAACCTCTGCAGACTTAAGTGTCCCTGTCTGACAGCTTTGAAGAGAGCAGTGGTTCTCCCAGCACGCAGCTGGAGATCTGAGAACCCGCCGACTGCCTCCTCAAGTGGGTCCCTGACTCCTGACCCCCAAGCAGCCTAACTGGGAGGCACCCCCCAGCAGGGGCATACTGACACCTCACACGGCAGGGTACTCCAACAGACCTGCAGCTGAGGGTCCTGTCTGTTAGAAGGAAAACTAACAACCAGAAAGGACATCTACACCGAAAACCCATCTGTACATCACCATCATCAAAGACCAAAAGTAGATAAAACCACAAAGATGGGGAAAAAACAGAACAGAAAAACTGGAAACTCTAAAACGCAGAGCGCCTCTCCTCCTCCAAAGGAACGCAGTTCCTCACCAGCAACAGAACAAAGCTGGATGGAGAATGATTTTGACGAGCTGAGAGAAGAAGGCTTCAGACGATCAAATTACTCTGAGCTACGGGAGGACATTCAAACCAAAGGCAAAGAAGTTGAAAACTTTGAAAAAAATTTAGAAGAATGTATAACTAGAATAACCAATCCAGAGAAGTGCTTAAAGGAGCTGATGGAGCTGAAAACCAAGGCTCGAGAACTACGTGAAGAATGCAGAAGCCTCAGGAGCCGATGTGATCAACTGGAAGAAAGGGTATCAGCAATGGAAGATGAAATGAATGAAATGAAGCGAGAAGGGAAGTTTAGAGAAAAAAGAATAAAAAGAAATGAGCAAAGCCTCCAAGAACTATGGGACTATGTGAAAAGACCAAATCTATGTCTGATTGGTGTACCTGAAAGTGATGTGGAGAATGGAACCAAGTTGGAAAACACTCTGCAGGATATTATCCAGGAGAACTTCCCCAATCTAGCAAGGCAGGCCAACGTTCAGATTCAGGAAATACAGAGAACGCCACAAAGATACTCCTCGAGAAGAGCAACTCCAAGACACATAATTGTCAGATTCACCAAAGTTGAAATGAAGGAAAAAATGTTAAGGGCAGCCAGAGAGAAAGGTCGGGTTACCCTCAAAGGGAAGCCCATCAGACTAACAGCGGATCTCTCGGCAGAAACCCTACAAGCCAGAAGAGAGTGGGGGCCAATATTCAACATTCTTAAAGAAAAGAATTTTCAACCCAGAATTTCATATCCAGCCAAACTAAGCTTCATAAGTGAAGGAGAAATAAAATACTTTATAGACAAGCAAATGTTGAGAGATTTTGTCACCACCAGGCCTGCCCTAAAAGAGCTCCTGAAGGAAGCGCTAAACATGGAAAAGAACAACCGGTACCAGCCGCTGCAAAATCATGCCAAAATGTAAAGACCATCGAGACTAGGAAGAAACTGCATCAACTAATGAGCAAAATCACCAGCTAACATCATAATGACAGGATCAAATTCACACATAACAATATTAACTTTAAATATAAATGGACTAAATTCTGCAATTAAAAGACACAGACTGGCAAGTTGGATAAAGAGTCAAGACCCATCAGTGTGCTGTATTCAGGAAACCCATCTCACGTGCAGAGACACACATAGGCTCAAAATAAAAGGATGGAGGAAGATCTACCAAGCCAATGGAAAACAAAAAAAGGCAGGGGTTGCAATCCTAGTCTCTGATAAAACAGACTTGAAACCAACAAAGATCAAAAGAGACAAAGAAGGCCATTACATAATGGTAAAGGGATCAATTCAACAAGAGGAGCTAACTATCCTAAATATTTATGCACCCAATACAGGAGCACCCAGATTCATAAAGCAAGTCCTCAGTGACTTACAAAGAGACTTAGACTCCCACACATTAATAATGGGAGACTTTAACACCCCACTGTCAACATTAGACAGATCAACGAGACAGAAAGTCAACAAGGATACCCAGGAATTGAACTCAGCTCTGCACCAAGCAGACCTAATAGACATCTACAGAACTCTCCACCCCAAATCAACAGAATATACATTTTTTTCAGCACCACACCACACCTATTCCAAAATTGACCACATAGTTGGAAGTAAAGCTCTCCTCAGCAAATGTAAAAGAACAGAAATTATAACAAACTATCTCTCAGACCACAGTGCAATCAAACTAGAACTCAGGATTAAGAATCTCACTCAAAGCCGCTCAACTACATGGAAACTGAACAACCTGCTCCTGAATGACTACTGGGTACATAACGAAATGAAGGCAGAAATAAAGATGTTCTTTGAAACCAACGAGAACAAAGACACCACATACCAGAATCTCTGGGACGCATTCAAAGCAGTGTGTAGAGGGAAATTTATAGCACTAAATGCCTACAAGAGAAAGCAGGAAAGATCCAAAATTGACACCCTAACATTACAATTAAAAGAACTAGAAAAGCAAGAGCAAACACATTCAAAAGCTAGCAGAAGGCAAGAAATAACTAAAATCAGAGCAGAACTGAAGGAAATAGAGACACAAAAAAACCCTTCAAAAAATCAATGAATCCAGGAGCTGGTTTTTTGAAAGGATCAACAAAATTGATAGACCGCTAGCAAGACTAATAAAGAAAAAAAGAGAGAAGAATCAAATAGAGACAATAAAAAATGATAAAGGGGATATCACCACCGATCCCACAGAAATACAAACTACCATCAGAGAATACTACAAACACCTCTACGCAAATAAACTAGAAAATCTAGAAGAAATGGATACATTCCTCGACACATACACTCTCCCAAGACTAAACCAGGAAGAAGTTGAATCTCTGAATAGACCAATAACAGGCTCTGAAATTGTGACAATAATCAATAGTTTACCAACCAAAAAGAGTCCAGGACCAGATGGATTCACAGCCGAATTCTACCAGAGGTACATGGAGGAACTGGTACCATTCCTTCGGAAACTATTCCAATCAATAGAAAAAGAGGGAATCCTCCCTAACTCATTTTATGAGGCCAGCATCATTCTGATACCAAAGCCGGGCAGAGACACAACCAAAAAAGAGAATTTTAGACCAATATCCTTGATGAACATTGATGCAAAAATCCTCAATAAAATACTGGCAAACCGAATCCAGCAGCACATCAAAAAGCTTATCCACCATGATCAAGTGGGCTTCATCCCTGGGATGCAAGGCTGGTTCAATATACGCAAATCAATAAATGTAATCCAGCATATAAACAGAGCCAAAGACAAAAACCACATGATTATCTCAATAGATGCAGAAAAGGCCTTTGACAAAATTCAACAACCCTTCATGCTAAAAACTCTCAATAAATTAGGTATTGATGGGACGTATTTCAAAATAATAAGAGCTATCTATGACAAACCCACAGCCAATATCATACTGAATGGGCAAAAACTGGAAGCATTCCCTTTGAAAACCGGCACAAGACAGGGATGCCCTCTCTCACCGCTCCTATTCAACATAGTGTTGGAAGTTCTGGCCAGGGCAATCAGGCAGGAGAAGGAAATAAAGGGTATTCAATTAGGAAAAGAGGAAGTCACATTGTCCCTGTTTGCAGACGACATGATTGTTTATCTAGAAAACCCCATCGTCTCAGCCCAAAATCTCCTTAAGCTGATAAGCAACTTCAGCAAAGTCTCAGGATACAAAATCAATGTACAAAAATCACAAGCATTCTTATACACCAACAACAGACAAACAGAGAGCCAAATCATGGGTGAACTCCCATTCACAATTGCTTCAAAGAGAATAAAATACCTAGGAATCCAACTTACAAGGGATGTGAAGGACCTCTTCAAGGAGAACTACAAACCACTGCTCAAGGAAATAAAAGAGGAGACAAACAAATGGAAGAACATTCCATGCTCATGGGTAGGAAGAATCAATATCGTGAAAATGGCCATACTGCCCAAGGTAATTTACAGATTCAATGCCATCCCCATCAAGCTACCAATGACTTTCTTCACAGAATTGGAAAAAACTACTTTAAAGTTCATATGGAACCAAAAAAGAGCCCGCATTGCCAAGTCAATCCTAAGCCAAAAGAACAAAGCTGGAGGCATCACACTACCTGACTTCAAACTATACTACAAGGCTACAGTAACCAAAACAGCATGGTACTGGTACCAAAACAGAGATATAGATCAATGGAACAGAACAGAGCCCTCAGAAATAATGCCGCATATCTACAACTATCTGATCTTTGACAAACCTGAGAAAAACAAGCAATGGGGAAAGGATTCCCTATTTAATAAATGGTGCTGGGAAAACTGGCTAGCCATATGTAGAAAGCTGAAACTGGATCCCTTCCTTACACCTTATACAAAAATCAATTCAAGATGGATTAAAGATTTAAACGTTAAACCTAAAACCATAAAAACCCTAGAAGAAAACCTAGGCATTACCATTCAGGACATAGGCGTGGGCAAGGACTTCATGTCCAAAACACCAAAAGCAATGGCAACAAAAGACAAAATTGACAAATGGGATCTAATTAAACTAAAGAGCTTCTGCACAGCAAAAGAAACTACCATCAGAGTGAACAGGCAACCTACAACATGGGAGAAAATTTTCGCAACCTACTCATCTGACAAAGGGCTAATATCCAGAATCTACAATGAACTCAAACAAATTTACAAGAAAAAAACAAACAACCCCATCAAAAAGTGGGCGAAGGACATGAACAGACACTTCTCAAAAGAAGACATTTATGCAGCCAAAAAACACATGAAGAAATGCTCATCATCACTGGCCATCAGAGAAATGCAAATCAAAACCACTATGAGATATCATCTCACACCAGTTAGAATGGCAATCATTAAAAAGTCAGGAAACAACAGGTGCTGGAGAGGATGCGGAGAAATAGGAACACTTTTACACTGTTGGTGGGACTGTAAACTAGTTCAACGATTGTGGAAGTCAGTGTGGCGATTCCTCAGGGATCTAGAACTAGAAATACCATTTGACCCAGCCATCCCATTACTGGGTATATACCCAAAGGACTATAAATCATGCTGCTATAAAGACACATGCACACGTATGTTTATTGCGGCACTATTCACAATAGCAAAGACTTGGAACCAACCCAAATGTCCAACAATGATAGACTGGATTAAGAAAATGTGGCACATATACACCATGGAATACTATGCAGCCATAAAAAATGATGAGTTCATATCCTTTGTAGGGACATGGATGAAGTTGGAAACCATCATTCTCAGTAAACTATCGCAAGAACAAAAAACCAAACACCGCATATTCTCACTCATAGGTGGGAATTGAACAATGAGATCACATGGACACAGGAAGGGGAATATCACACTCTGGGGACTGTGGTGGGGTCGGGGGAGGGGGGAGGGATAGCATTGGGAGATATACCTAATGCTAGATGACACATTAGTGGGTGCAGCGCACCAGCATGGCACATGTATACATATGTAACTAACCTGCACAATGTGCACATGTACCCTAAAACTTAGAGTATAATAAAAAAAAAAAAACAATGTCAAACAAGTAATTTTAATAATAAAATTTCAGGGATAAGTCAAAAAAAAAAAAAAAAAAAAGAATCTGTGTTGATTAGAAATGAGCATCCAACTTTGTCTCTGGAGTTTCTGGTCACTCTATTATATTTCTGTTTGCATCTGACTCTCCTCATGAGAAGATTTAAACAGCACTGGCAACAGCTCAAGATAAGCCAGAAGGATGAACATTATATTATCAGCAGTTAATTATATGAGGATTATTTAAAACTGTTGGCTAACTATGAAAAATAGTTTGATAAGAAAATTAAGTGCTAGAGTCAAAAGATGTGTTCAGAAAATTTAAAAAGTGATTCTTATATTTGGTGTCACAATCTATTAAAATATAACAGTGTGTACCATTAACTATATCAATATAATCTGGCAACTAAATCAGGAAAGGCGAGCTGAATATTTTCAAGTCTTATGCTCTGGGAAAGGGCAGTTTTCTTAAGTTATGAATGTGTCATTATACACCATCACCAGAAGGACCATTTAATTTGGCTTTGAATTAGATTGTTATGCAGATGTTGCAAAAATAATTAAAAATTCTAATTGATTTTTAGTCAACATAGGGTATACCAGATGTTGCACAGTGAGCTTAGGTCATTATTCCATGGTCAGAAATTACTGTGAAGCATAGCAATTTACTTATAATAAAATAATAGCTATGAAATTTAAGGTTGTCGACTCTCAATACTTGGCTGGATTTTTAAAGTAATTAAAAGATCCTTTTTCCTCAAATTGTATTTTTTTCTTAAATGAAGGATTAAAGAATAAAAAAATTGAAGGGGGTGAGAGAAACAAATTGACCCTTAGACAAGGGATAAATGGTTTTTATTTTTTCCCTCTGAATGTTTTGCCTGAAGTTAAAATCTCCTTAAATAAATACTAATAATATAACGTTTTAAATACTTCTGATTCTAAGAGGCTTTGCACTTCCCTCAATTTTTACTCCTGCTAGCATCGTTTGCAATTTCACTATCCAATTTGGATAATTCCTCCAACGACCTAACCACACAATTTCTTAGTTTCTTCTTGTTTAATTACCTCCTCCTTCACTCCAGCAACCCATTGACTTTGCCATACTCTGAAGTTTATCATTATCAATTTTTGAACTGTTCAGCTGGAAAAACTAGCTTTTTGATCACAACTTTCTGTATCCAGTCACCATGACCTCTAGTTTAAAAGCTATTCCCATTCTCCTGGGCTAATGAATCCTCTCCTGCTTTTACTCCTTTTCCAACCCAGTATGAACCTCATAATCATTCAACCCTTAGCAGGACTGGTATTTTCCTCCCTTGCCTTCTATTCTACCAAAATGTCTTCAACAATCGTTATCATTGCTTTGAATCATCAGTATGTCCTCTTTTGCTTCTGGCATTCATCTGGGCTATGGGACAAAGTATTTAAAAGGCCTACCTTATTCAAAACTGGTCTTCCATCCTTCTGAGGCCTGGGCTATTACTAGTTGATTCTTAACTCCTAGCCCTTCAGCATCTCAACTGAAAGCCAGGGAGTTTGTCTCTTGGCAGGCCTTATTTCTAAGTTTCGCTTCCTGACAATCCTGGTGTGTTCTCAACCTCTCAGCTTCCACTTCCTGCTCAGCCACCCAGCCTTTCAATAGATGCTTTGGAATTAAAAACACTAAGGGGAAAAGCAGCTTCAGCTGGCAAGATCATCTATTTAGGTGTTTCCATTCTTTCCAGATTTTGATGTCTGTAAATCTCACTTGAGTAGCTCTCGCATGCTTTATAACAAATGATATTTTATGTTTTGCTTAGGTTTCCAGTTCTCAATGGAAGAATTGCTTAGAAATAAGCTGTTTTCATTGCTGGAAGCAAAAGTCTATATTGAGCTTGTATTTACTTCTGGACTATGTCTCCCTCTGGAATATAAGAACCCTGAAGAAAGTATCTCTTTCTTCTGTTCATTAATGTCTCCAATGCTCTTATAATAGAGCCTGTAATGTAGTAGTCAATATATATTCCTTGTGGAATGAAATGAACATGGAACAGAAAAGAAAACTGAAGAGAAGAGAAGGTAAACAAATTAATAGAACTAGTTGGCGGTAGTGCTGGGGGTAGAGCTAGGCCTAATGTTCTTATTATAGAAAGTAACACTGACACATCTTATTTGAGTAACTCTTCTCAAGAAAATTACTACTGAATTTGTTTAAAATAAATATTTTAATAATAGTGACTATAAAACAACCAGTAAGTTTTTCAATTTTTACAGATAAAATTCATTTTTGTGATTATAATATTTTCAATGTGATGTAATTAAATGTGCAGGCTCAGGAGCCAGACTACAGAATTTAATCTTGGCTCTTGTCATTTAGTAGCTGTTTCACCTTGGGCAAGTCTGTTAATTGTTTTACGTTCAGTTTCCTAATCTACAACATGTAGTCAATAGAGTTAATAGTGGTATAAAACTCACAGGATTCTTGTGCATATTAACAAAGTTAATGAACGTTAAGTACTCAAAACAGTGCTTGACACATGAGACATGTTCAATAAATGTTAGGAGGCGGTGGTGGTTTTTACATCAACAACTATTTCACTAATTGTTTATGTGCTACAAGGCATGTACTACAAGTTGTCACCACAGTAATTTACAAGTAATTTCATTTAAAATATTTCACCCATATATTGTTTCTTCACAGATTTTTATGACTTAAAAAGTTAATGACATACTCTTTTTTTTTTTTTTTTTTAAGACAGAGTCCCACTCTGTCCCCCAGACTGGAGTGCAGTGGTGCAATCTTGGCTCACTGCAACCTCCGCCTCCCAGGTTCAAGTGATTCTCCTGCCTCAGCCTCTCGAGTAGCTGGGATTACAGGCACCTGCCACCACACCTGGCTTATTTTTATATTTTTAGCAGAGATGGGGTGTCACCATGTTGGCTAGGCTGGTCTCAAATTCCTGACCTCAAGAGATCCACCTGCCTTAGCCTCCCAGACATACTCGTTTTTTTTAAATTACTAGTTCAACATAATAGAGTGGGCACACATACTGCCTTTGGCTCCTTTCTTCTATCCTCAGTCAATCATTGAAATATCAGCAAGAGCAAAAGACCTACATCAAGAGAAATGCAGTGAAGGAAGATAAAATGGCAAAAATAGATTAACCTAACCCGAGGAAGTCATAGATCACATCCACACAAGAGAATGCTTAATGTAGGTAGATGTTATCTTCTTTTTACTCACAAAGCTCCCTTTCCTCCTTTCCCTTTCCAATGGGCAGGTAGGGGGAGCAGAAGAAGAAGCTGGTTTTCCATACTCCATGTTTTTCCACATATATGGCACCTGCAATCAGCACACTCATTCAGGGTGTAGAAATGTGATAGCAGAGAAAACCAAAAGAAGCCATGTACATTAATATGTTTAGTCCTTCGTTAATAAATATGTGCAAACAATAAGCACTGAGGAAGATGAACAAAACAATAACAAGAGAAACGAGAAAAACAAAGACCATATACTGCTATGGACTGAATTGTGTTCCTCCAAAATTCACATGTTGAAACTCTACCTGACAATGTGACTGTTTCTGGAGATAGGGCTTTTATGAGGTAATTAAGGTTAAATGAGTTCATAAGGATGGGGTCCTGAACCAATAGGATTGGTGGCCTTTTAAGAAGAGGAAGAAATACTTCTTTCTCTCTGTCTGCCATGTGAGAGCCCAGAAAGAAGGCAGTAATCTGCAAGCCAGAAAGAGAGTTCTGACTAGAAGCTAGCCATGCTGGGACTCTGATTTAGGACTTTCAGCCTCCAGAACTATGAGAAAATTAATGTCTGTTATTAAAGCCACCTAGTCTATAGTATATTGTTATGACAGCCCAAGCTGACTAATACACATACTGATAAGGGAGGAAACAAAAACTCAAAAGTTCAAGAACAAATTATAATTGGCTTTCTCAGAAAGATTCCAGAAGATATATGGCATATGTGAAAAAAAAATCTGTCATTTAAAAGAAGCAATCAGATATTAAGAGTTCACAGAAAGTAAAACTATAATTATGAATATAAAACCAAAATTAATGTTAAGTGTTGAAAGTAAAAAAATGAAGCTATCTCCCCAATTCAGATGAAAAACTAAAAAAATAAAACACAAAAGGAAAACAAAATAGAGACATAGAAGATGAATACAGAAGGTCACTGCTATGGTTGAAATGTCTGTGTTCCCCCGCCATGCCAAATTCCTATGTTGAAATCCTAACGCCCAGCGTGATGGTGTTAGGAAGTGAGGCCTTTAGGCGGTGTTTAGATGAGGGCAGAGCCCTCATGAATGGTATTAGTGACCTTATAAGAGACTTCAGAGAGCTAGCTAGCCCCTTCCACCACGTGAGGACAGAGAAAAGATAGCACCATCTATAAATATGAAATCGGCCCTCACCAGGCATCAAATCTGTCCCTTCCACCACATGAGTACAGAGAGAAAATAGCACCATCTATAAATATGACATTGGCCTCACCAGGCATCAGATCTGCCCCTTCCACCACGTGAGGACAGAGAAAAGATAGCACCATCTATAAATATGACATTGGCTTTCCCAGGCACCAGATCTGCCTCTTCCACCACGTGAGGTCAGAGAGAAGATAGCACCATCTATAAATATGACATTGGCCCTCACCAGGCATCAAATCTGCCAGCACCCTAATCTTGGACTTTCCAGTCTCCAGAACTGTGAGAAAAAAAAGTTTCAGTTGTTTATAAGCTACCCAGTTTATGATATTTTGATATGTTATGGCAGCCTGAACAAACTTAAGAGTCAATATCCATATTTGTATTTTCCAGAAAAAGAGGAGTTAAGAGAGGAGAGGGAAGAATTAAAGAGATAACATGAACTGTTCTATGGCTACTAAAGATCAGAGTCTTCAGAATTAAATACACCACAAAGGGCAAAAGCAATTTCACGTATTTACATAATTTTGGTTAAATTTCAGAACAAAAATCAAAAGAAGAGCCTAGAAACACATGAACTTTCTTCTCCCCTACCTGCAAAATGTCAGCATTTGTTCATATTAGCAACTATGAATTCTGAAAGACAATGGTAAAATGTCTTCTATTTGCAGAAAATGATTCTGAATATTCAATCGTCTGGCCATTGGTATTACCAATCTAATATGAAAGCAAAATAAAGACACTTCAGACATGTAAGAATTCAGAAAATGTACCTTCATGCATTTTCCTTTAAATGATTGGAAGACACTTTCGCTAGAGCAAAATGAAAGACAGTTTCAAGACAGAATAATTGGCTGAGCATAAACTGCAATTCAAGAAACATTGCACATCAGATAGGAATACAACAAAAAGAAATTTCAGAATAATAGGTGGCCAAGGGACCTAGCACAATATCATTACATACCGGAACATTCAAGACATAATGTGATAACAGAGCTGGAGTACATTAGTTATACAACAAAAGGCATTTTTTGATAAAAATAATAAAAATAAAGGCAGTTTGAAATTCTTGTAAAAATAGAACATTAAGAAGTCTTTGTTGAAATAAAACAAACAAAAATATGACTTGATTCTAAAAAAGACATTACATTTAAGAGTAGAATCCTATTGCTCTTCATGTGTGCATATACCACTTCAGGGAGCAAAATTTTGCTAGAGGTAAAGAATTATATGCATATTAACTTTTGTGGGTACATAGTAGGTGTATACATTTATGGGGTACAAGAGATATTTTGGTACAGGCATACAATGAGTGATTATATCAAGGTAAATAGAATATCTATCCACTCAAGCATTTACTATTTCTTGGTGATGTAAACATTCCAATATACTCTTAGTTATTTTAAATGTAAGAAATTATATTTTTATGCACAAATCCAACCAGAATATGTAGTCAATAGTAGTTAAATAATCATAATATTATAAAGTCTATTCATTGAAATCAACTTTCAGAATGAATCTATAGTAAAAAATTAAAGGTAATTCTAACTAATATACATTTTAATAACTGAAATTATTAAAGTACTAGCATATCAGATAGAATTTGGGAAGATGGAGGAAACTGGACAAAAGCTAATGGTTGCTGGCCTGGCACAGTGGCTCACGCCTGTGATCCCAACACTTTGGGAGACCAAGGCAGGCAGATCACTTGAGGTCAGGAGTTCGAGACCAGCCTTGCCAACATATTGAAACCTCATCTCTACCAAAAATACAAAAATTAACTATATGTAGAGGCAGAGGCCTGTAATCCCAGTTACTCGGGAGGCTGAGACAGGAGATTCTCTTGAACCTGGAATGCAGAGGTTGCAGTGAGCCGAGATCGTGCCACTGCACTCCAGCCTAGGCGACAGAGCAAGACTCCATCTCCCCCACAAAAAAAGTTAATGGTTGCTAACTTCGTCATTCATTGTGTGTAGTTGAAAGATAGTAGTTTAAAATAGTTGGAGACTGAAATAAAGCTGAACTTTTACTAACTAAATTTATAAAAAGAAAATAAACTCTTAAGGAGTAGGAAGTGGAACAAGGAAAGAAAAGTAATTCTTAACTCACATTGTGGAGAAACAATGGATTTTTCTTAGAGGTGACATATTAAGAAATACGAAAACATACAACTTATATCACCAGAAAAACTAAAAACAGAGATTGTCAAAAATAGCTATATGTAAGAAAGGGATCTGAGAATATAAATTTAGAGAATCTTTCATTATTCATTTTTCTTCTTCAATGCATTTTGAACTTTTATTTCCATGTCCCTATATTAAAATTATAAAATTATATTTTGGAGGTTTGCTAAAACTTGTTCCATTGATATTACTTTATATCTGAATGGATTCTCTTCATCAAGTTAGAATTGCTTGAAATGCATGTGGATTTCCTTCCTATGAAGGAAAAAAATGACTCATTGTGACTTTTGTTAGTTCAAGGAGTTACAAACTTTCTAAACATAGTTTCTAGCTTTATCTTTTCCCAAATAAGAAATATTCCACATTTTTTATAATCCTCTATATCCCAAATACTTTATTATGCCCTAGAATTTTGCTGAGATCCACAAACCTATTAAGCATTCCTTTTCTTCTATGGAGGCTTCTTAATAAAAGAAAAATTGGAAATAAGAGGATAATCAGAATGGACTTGATATAGTTTTAAACATTTGCATTTCCTGAGTGAATGCATTCAATATTTATAATATATAAACAATATATGAGCCATATGTATCCATATCCAGGCTGGGTGGGGTAGGGAACAGGTTGCATTTTTATCTTTGAATCTCTCAAAATTTTTATGTATGCAAAATTAATGGCCTAATAGCATAAACATGCAAGAAAATACCTATATAAATTAAAAGCATATTATCAGAATGCCGTGTTTAAAATATTGATTGTCAATCATTAAAAGTAATGTAGAATAATTTATTAAGTGTACCTTTGTTGAAAATGAGGCAATTTTTGTTCTATGAAATAATAACATGTATTTATATATTTTTAACTAGAATAAGATTGTCTCTATGAAACCTTAAACTATTACCCCACTGGGAAATTATATCTTTAGGGAAAAACAGCCAGTAAAAAATTTCTTAAGGTTTTGTACATTTTTAGCCATGTTATACATTTCTTATTGTAAGAGTAACTAAAATTAAAATATATGCACTATAATTTTACAAGTATATTGAGAAAATGTTTTATAATGTAACAAATATTCAAAGTCTAAAACATAATTTGTGGTTTGATTAAATCTGTAGGTAAGTTAGATAAGCAAGCATAATTTTATGCAATTTATGTAAAAATGGTCTAGAGCTGTTAATTTTTTTCATTCGGTAAGATTTCTCCTTCCTCTTGTTTCTCCTTAAAAATGATTGCAATTACCAGTAGTGCATTGATGCTCGTGACAATAATTGTATTCTTTTGCTGAAAAGCTTCATGACATCACATTGCCATCACAAGGTTAGAAGCTCATGCACCTGCTGACATCTCTCAGTTAAAATGAGAATAAACACTGCCACTCCGTTTGGAATGTGTAGATAATTCAGAGACGGTTCAGGATGACAGTTGTTATTTTGCTTTAGAAGAGACAGGCATAGAAAACTAGCACTCATAATTGTCTTCTTATTGCGTCAAAAGAATAAAATTAATTTTATATCTTAAATATTTCCTTCAGAGCTTGTATGGCTAAAATGAATTCTATACAGCTGAAGGAATTTGAATGAGGCCTAGGTATTAGATAATATCAAGAAATTACTATCTATTTTTTCATGTAATTATGCCATTATGATTATGTGCTTTATAAAGTTTTTCCCTATTAAAGATACATATTGAAGTAATTATGAGTGAAATGACATGATGTCACGACATGCATTGAAACATCTCAGGAAAGATGAGAGAGGAGAGAAGAGCAAAAAAGTAAATAATATAAAACGAATGATTTTTGAAGCTGAGTATGGTACATGGAGGCTCATTGTACCATTCCACTTTTGTGGGTGTTTGAAATTTTCCATAATAAAAAGGTAAAATTAACTAAAAAGGAATTTCCAAAAATAGCCAAATTAGGACCAAAAGTATTATACCATCTGATTTATATCTTTATGACAGAACTATCTTGTATAGTGAATATTCTTAATTAGATTATAAACCTCTTGAGGATAAAGTTTCTTTTTTAAAAATATACTTTATCTTTTAAGTGGTTAGGTTCACAACAAAATTGAGCAGATACATAAAGACTTTATCTTTTACTTTGATTTTATCTCTACAGTCCCTGTACATGACTAACACAAAAAAAAAATTCTCATGTAATAAATAAGGCTAAATCAATAATTAGAAGTAGTTAAAACATTTTATTCATATTTTATTATAAGCATTTAATAATATTTATGGAATAAAAAGCTTCCAACTTGTTCTCTTTATCTTAGAAACATATGATTTCTTACCAAATTTTGAGTGATTTTCAAAAGACATCTTAAGCTTAAATATATTATAATGAGTTCATCTGTTTCATTTTTAAAATTTTTAGAACCTGTTAGTATGATGCTCTGTGGAAGATGAAAGGGGAATGTGGCTATGGGGCTAATTTTCACATAGTTACTTTATCAGGTCCTAATATGTTTACATTCATTCAAGCACTAATATGTTTATAAGGAACTAATAAAATGTACAAAAACAAGATTTATAAAGTATTCATTCATTGGATCACTATCTAATCTGTTCCTCTGAAATGCTGTTTTTAAAAAAATTGCTTACATGCCAAGTAGAAAAAATAAATATCGTTCAGAAATGAAAACTCACAAAATGCCTATAATGAACATTTTACTCTAGTTCTGATGACTTCCTTGTTTTTTAAAAAATCCCTTTAGAAAGAATAGGATTATGCTGCAAATATATAATCACATAAGAATGCATTTTAAATGTAAATATAGAGAAGAAAATTAATTTGATAGGATTAAACAAGTCAATAGGCAGATTTTGTTGAATCTGAAAAAAGAAGTATTTTCAAAATGTAAACTCAAGCTGGGCACCATGGCACATGCCTGTAATCCCAGCTACTCAGGAAGATGAGGTGGGAGGATTGCTTGAGCCCAGGAATTCTAGACCAGCCTAGGCAGCAGAGTGAGACTTCAACTCAATTTTTTTTAATGTAAACTTATTTAAAAAGTATAAACTACTGCTTTTTATTTTACCATTTATAACTTTTCTTGCCTTTACTTTTCATTCTAATTTTTTTCATATACTATTCCCTGGAAAGACTCAGCAATTTAAAACGTTTTCAGAATACTCTATTCTTAATGGTATACATATAATTATATATACACATATAATTATAATTAGATATAATTATCCATCATGAAAATGTAGTCAATAAGCCAAAATATTTGAAAGGTTTACAATTTTCCAACTTTCAAAGCTGTCTCAAAATATTACATGTATATAAAATTGCAGGAAACAGAGCATATGTTGTGCATGTGTATGTGCTTACAATAAAACAATAACAAAGACTAAGCAAGGAAAGGGCTGGTAAGAGATTTAAAAAGGTGATAGGTAACTCATTATTATAGAGATAGCCATTAGCTGGCAGATTTCAGAGATCTAAAGGCAGTGCTTGTCTGACATGGTCCATTACTCAATCACCTGACTGGAAAATACAACTTATTTACTGAGAAAAAAACCCACAAATAACATATGCTTAATTTTTATATTATGCTATACTAATTTGAGCATATTCCAAGCATGATGCTTAGTCTTAAATATTTTATGTCAGTGAAATACTTTCTTGACTTTTGATATAAAACTATCATGACTGATATTATTTTGGAAATCTGGCAGATACATGAATAGAGAAGTGAAGAAAGAACATCTTCAAAAAAAAGATACTTGATCATTTTAATCTTCTTACATGTGTTAAGACTTATTTTGTAGCCTAGCATATGATCTATCCTGGGGAATGTTCCATGTTCCCTTGAGAAGAAAATGTATTGTTCTGCTGTTGGATGGAATGGTTTGCATATGTCTGTTTTGTCCATTTGGTCTAAAGAGTATAGTTCAAGTCCAGTGTTTCCTTATTATTTTTCTAGTCTGGATGATGTATTCTTTGTTGAAAGTTGGATATTGAAGTCCCCTTCCATTATTGTATTGCAGCCTCTTTCTCTCCAGATCTATTAATATTTGGTTTATATGCTTAGGTATTCTGATGTTAGGTGCACATTTATAATTTTTGTATCTTCATAATGAAGTTATTCCTTTATCATATAATGATATTCTTTTTCTCTTTTTGTAGTTTTTGACTTAAGATCTACTGTATCTGATATAAGTTTAGCTATCCCCGCTATCTTTTGGTTTCTGTTTGTATAGAATATGTTTTCCCAACCTTTCACTTTTATACATGGTTTTTAGAAGTAAAGTGAGGCTCTTGTAGGCAGCATATAGTTAGATCTTGTTTTTTTTTTTTTTTGGTTTTTTTTTTTTTGACCCATTCAGCCCCCTTACATCTTTTGACTGGAAGATGTAATCATTTATATTGAGGATCATTATTAATATGTAAGGACTTACTACTGCCATTTTGTTATTGTTGCTGTTGTTTTTTAGGTCCTTTGTTCCTTTCTTCATTTTTTAGCTGTCTTCTTTACTGATTTGGTGATTTTCTCCAGTGATATGTTTTGGTTCCTTGCTTTTAATCTTTTGAGTATCTACTATAGGTTTTGCATTTTGCTTACCAAAATTCTTACATAAAACAGTTTACAGTTATTACAGGCCATTTTAAGCAGACAAAAACTTTGATTGCATAAAATAAATCTATGCTTTCATTCCACCCCCCATTTTATGTTTTTGATGTCACAATTTACATATTTTTATTTTACCCCTTAAAAATTATTTTAGCTATTATTATTTTAATAGTTTTGTCTTTCAACCGTTATACTAAAGATACAAGTGATTCACACAGTATTATTACATTATTAGAGTATTCTGAATTTGATTGTTTACTTACTTTTACCAGTGGGTTTTATATTTTCAGGGTTTTTGTGTGACTCATTAGTATCCTTTCAGCTCCCTTTAGCATTTCTTGGAAAAGTCTGGTGATGATGAACTCCCTCAGGTTTTATTCATCTGGGAATGTATGTATCTTGTCTCATATGTAAAAGACAGCTTTGCTGGATGTATTTGTCTGTTCTTACACTGATATGAAGAAATACCTGAGACTGGGTAATTTATAAAGGGAAGAGGTTTAATTGACTCACAGTTCTTCATAGCTGAGGAAGTTTCAGGAAACTTTCAATCATGGTGGAAGGCAAAGGAGAAGTAGGCACCTTCTTTACAGGGTGGCAGGATGGACTGAGTGCAAGCAGGGGAAATGCCAGACACTTATACAACCATGACACCTTGTGAGACTCACTTACTATCATGAGAACAGTGTGTCGGAAGCTGCCCCCATGATCCAATTACCTCCACCTACTCCTGCCCTTGATGTGTGAGGATTATAGGGATTACAATTTAAGATTTGAGTGGGAACACAAAGCCCAACCATATCACTGGATAAAACTTATTTTTGGTTGGCAGGTTGTTTTTCCCTTCAGCATTTTGAATATATCATACCATTTAGTCATGGACTATAAGGTTTCTGCTGAGAAGTGCACTGCTAGTCTTATTGGAACTACCTTATTTGCTTCTTTTCTCTTGGTGCTTTTGGGGTCCCCTCTTTTTATTTGTTTTTTGATAATTTGATTATGTCTTGGTGTAGTCTTTTTTGGATTTAATCTGACTACAGATTTTGGACCTTCTTGTACCTGAATAATTTTTATCTTTCTCGGGTTTGGAAAGTTTTGTGCTATCATTTCTTTAGATGAGCTTTCTACCTCTGGTCTCTTTCCTCACCTTCTTAAACTCTTATAACTTGAATATTTGTATTTGATGCTATCCAATAAAGCCCATAAGCTTTCTTCATTAATTTTTTTTCTTTTTTTCTTTGTTCTCCTTTGTGTTTTAAAATAGCCTGTCTTCAAATTCACAGATTTTTTTTTCTGCTTGACTAATTCTGCTTTGACACTTTCCATTGCATCGTATTTTTTCAGCTCTAGAAGTTTTGTTTGTTATTTTTTATAATTTTGATTTCTCTATCATTTTTGTTGCTTATTATTTTTCTTATTTAATTGAATTATTTATCTGTATTTTATTGAAGTTCACCGAACTTCCATAAAACAATTATTTTGAATTCTTTGTCATGCTGTTCTCGTATCTCCATTTTTAGAGGGATTAGCTACTGGGTGATCATGGTGTTCTTTTCATAATGCTAAATCTTATTGGCTTTCTATGTTTCTTGTTGCTTTTACATTGATGTCTGCACATTTGTTGGACCTCTTGCAGACTTTATAAGTTAGTTTCCATGTGGAAAGACCTTTGTCTAGGGTTGTTGCAAGGGAACTTACTGGATAAAGTGCAGCTTTTCTGGTACCAGTGAGAATGCCAGAAATGTAGTCTCTGTGCTGCTGTGGTAACTGAGGTCAGTGTTGATGAAGATTTCAGGGGATCCTCAGCAACCAACACTGTATATGTCCACAGTGGCAGCAAGTGTTGTTAGAGTCTTTGATGGTGATACTTTTTAATGTCCTCATGACCTCCTTTTCTCATACCAGAGAAGTTGTTACTAAGGGGAATCTGTCCTGGAACTGTATCTGTCTTGTGTACTCATTTGTAGTGGTGGTGGTACTGGTATCTGATGGAGAGGCCAGAGAGGTGAGGTTAGGCCTGAAGCATGGGCAAACATGAAGGGGCTATGGCTCTGGAACCCAGGGTGATAATAGAACTGGTACCTGGGGCACTGACTCCCCCACTGCCAAGTCTGTAACAGTATTCAAAGAAAGGGTGTTTGTAAAGCAGCAGAGGAGTCTGCAGGAGTGCACAGGTGTATGCAGAGTTAAAATGGCCCTGAGGTTAGAGCAGAACCTAGCTCTTTATAGAGTAGCTGAGCTTGTGTCTAGAGGATGGGCATCCACAGAGAGGACTTGGCTCTGGGTCTTGCAATACAATCTAGCTCACTATGGCAATGGCTGTGGTATATGAAACATGATCACGCCTATTGTAGTCACAGAGCCCAGGTCTGGGGTATGGTCACTCGTGAAGTAGCCACAGTTCCAGGGTCAGTGCATATACTCAGGGTTGGAAGAGATGGGTATACATTTTGAGAAAGGAGCACCTCTACTTTCAACAGTGGCCACTTCTTGAAGGGGAGGAGCGTGCAGCCCCTCTTTTAACAGAGGATTGTTAAAGTGGTTGAGGCTATTGGTTACCTCAGTGGCAAGAGATGCCTGTGTTCTCTGTGGACCAGGATACTGGTAACCACAGCGGTTCCTGTCAATGAACCATGCTGATAGCCTATACCATTCTTCTTTACTCCTAGCTTTCTTCTGGCATCTCAGGTACTTGGGTATGCTGTTCTTACCAGTGATTCTATGTGGATATTCTCCATATTTTTGCTCCACTGGGTTGCTGCAGATTCTTTAATGTGACTGTGGGCTGCTTCTGGGGTATTTTGGTTTGTAAATAGTTGTCCATATTTTTTGTGTATGGACAGATGAAGGCTAGTGTCTCCTTGTATTAGTCAAGGTTCTCTGGAGGGACAGGACTAATAGCATAGATGTATATATGAAGGGGAGTTTATTAAGGTGTATTGACTCACACGATCACAAGGTGAAGGTGAAGTCCCACAATAGGCTGTCTTCAAGCTGAGGAGCAAGGAAGCCAGTCCAAGTCCCAAAACCTCAAAAGCAGGGAAGCTGACAGTGCAGCCTTCAGTCTGTGGCTGAAGGCCTGAGAGCCCCTGGCAAACCACTGGTGTAGGTCCAAGAGTCCAAAAGCCAAAGAATTTGATGTTTGACATTTGAGGGCAAGAAGCATCCAGCATGGGAGAAAGATGGAGGCCAGAAGACTTAGCCAGTCTAGTCCTTCCACGTTCCTCTGCCTGCTTTCATCCTAGCCACGCTAGCAGCTGATTAAATGGTGCCCACCCAGATTGAGGGTGGGTCTGCCTCTCCTAGTCCACTGACTCAAATGTTAATCTTCTTTGACAACACCCTCACAGACACACCCAGGAATAATACTTTGCATCCTCCAATCAAGTTGACACTCAATATTAAACATCACAATCCTACTCCACTATCTTGATGATATCACTGTTTGAGAATATGTTTTTGAAATGAATAAATTATATCAGCTCTGGAAAACACAGCTTATCAATATATAAATATTTCAACACAGAAACAGTTGAGTTGAGAAAATGAAGAATCATATAAAACTAGAGTTGAGAAAATAAAGAATCATGTAAAACCAGAGCATATGCTAAGGAGAGCCCCACCAGGAAGGTTAGTGATAGAATTCTAGCAGTTTCTGCAGAAATGTCCATAGCATGAAGAAGCAGGGCTCGGGAAGAAAGTAGATATTTGTTGTTGGTTGGTGGAGGGTAGGGAAATCAAGCAATTTTAGAAACCTGCAGAGTCCACAATTCAAAATGTAAAATTAATGCTCATTTCCATGATTTATGGGGCGCAGAGTGTCTGTATACTAAAGCAGGGAGCAAATTCAAGAAAGGCAGATAAGAATGGCTAAACTAGCTTTGACCTAAAACAAAAAATAAGGAGGAGACAAAGGAAAAATAAGCTTCTGATAGGACCAAATATCTCTGCACACCTTCCTTATTTCCTACTTCCTATTTCTTACAAACAACTGATATGAAGACCAAATAAAGGTGAAGGGAGTATGCCCAAACTTGGAGTAGCATGAATGGAGGCAGATTTAGACAAGTGCAAAATATGGCATAGAATTCCCAAGCCTATAAAGATCTTGGGAATTGCTACTGGGCATAGTCAAGGGAGACTCTAAAAACTGTATTCATCTTCATCTATTACCTGACAGATTTGACATGATAGGCAAGGTTCTGGCATTATTTCAGCTAGTTCTTCAAAATGGTATTCAGGTCAAATATAGAAGTGGAGTGGGGACGTCACTGTTGAAAAATTCAGACTGCTTTTACAACCACAGAAAAGAAAGTGGTCAGCAAAAAGTGAGTGTCCCTTCAACTCAGATGCCTTCTAAGGAACTCTCTCTATTCCTATGGCTATCTGAAACCCAACTTAACAGAATAACACTATAGGAAATAGAAACTTTGCCCACTTCTAAGTATCTAAAGATCTGAATAGAAACCTGCACAGATTTTGACAGAATTATGAGATGACAGAAGTGTCCCAACTTCATTTTATCAGGCCAGAACATTTCTGATACTCTGATACCAAAACCTAAAAATAATACTGATAGTAAATTTTAAAAATCCCATTGACTAATCTCATTTACACTATAAATGCAAATAGCACTCAACAAGTAAAATACTGCAGAGTTCTTGAAATGAAGACCACCTGCCAGTACTTTTCTTGGGAAATGCCCCCTAATGCCAGTGAAAAATCACATATCACTACAAGATAAGCCATATTGTGCAATGAAACACATTTATCTTGGTCCAGACTACTTGGTCCAAAAGTTGGGAGAAAAGCCTTCTGAATGATTTCTGGACTTGGAGCCAGAAGGAGCTTCAGAGGAGTCTCTCAAACGACCAAAGCTTTCAGTAGCTTAATTTTTGGAACATGAAGAAAACTGTCTGCAATAGAAGAAAAGAAGGAATAAGCAAAGAAAAATAAAATTAAGAGTTGGGCTTTCCAAATCTCTGACTATTACGGTTAGGAAAATTCTGAATTTTTCTAAAATATCTTGATTTCATGAGCTATCTCTCAATTATAGTAATACATAAAAAGTATTTATTAGATATATTTAAAATGCTAAAAGTAAAAAAAACTTTGATTTAAAAAGAAAATTTAAAATATGCATAAAAGTATAATTCATAATCATGATTAAAAATGGCTGTTCCAAATTCACAGGTAATATCATACTTATTATTTTAACTATAGGTACATTCCCATTAAAGTCAGCAATGATATAAAGGTGATCATTTTTAGCTTTACTATTTTTTATTCCCCATAGCCAATAAATTTAGACAGTTAAGTGAAATAAGGAATATAAAAGTTGGAACATAATATTTGTAACAGTGAATATAATGCATAATAACTACATATAAGTTTAAAGGAATTTTGTAGATCTGATATGATGAAAATGGCAAGAATTTCTTGAGAGATAAAAAAGTATACTTGAGTAAGTGGAATGCCATGACATATTCTTCCATGAGATTGATCAATATTGAAAAGACATAAATTCTCTAAAAGAATATTGTAAATAAAATGCACTCCAAATAAAAGTACCAGCAGCATGTTTTCCCAAGGAACCAAATGAATTGCTAAAGATTTTCTTGAAGATGAAAATCCTAAGATAAGGAGAAATATTTAAATATACATTAAAAGCGCATAATTTGAATAGTGTTAAAATAGTGTCAGATGGTCAGACTATAATAGAAAGAAGACTAGGACTTTGAATATAAATAACCATAGAATTTAAAAATTGGTGGAAAAGTAGCATTGTTCAATAAATGATGCTGATTAATTCTGAAAAAAAAAAGTCTGTGATATTCCTAATTCAAATTATATAAAAACAAATTACAGATAAAATTGTAAAAGTAAGGAAGTAACATAAATATGGTGTTAGAATAAAATAAGTAAATATTTGCCAGTGAACACACCCACATACACACCCAAACTCATAAAGGTATTGATAGATGTGAATAAATGTAAAAACTTAAAAGCATCTTTTTGTCAAATACAACTATAAAAATATTCAGACCCTAAGTGGCATAATAAGGTTTAAAATTTTTAATTAAATTATTACAAAAAATAAGACAAAATAATATGAACAAATTATATGAAGAGATATGTCACCTCCCTCAAATAACAAATATCCAAGTAAAGCACAAATTTTTTAACCTTACTATAAATAAAATGAACACAAATACAGACATATACATACAATTAAAATGCCTTTTTAAAATATTTAACTGATGAGGTTTTGTTCTATTTTGTTTTTAATGCATATTAGCAGATATTGAGATATGAGTACTTCAAACACTACTACTGCAAGGTAAGAAGCCTTTCAAGTTTTTGAAGTTGGTAGTAAGGGATGGGGCAAGATTACTTTCATTTCTTTAGGAGATCTGTTTAGCTTCCACATGGAGAATGTTGGACTAACACAAATGAGTGGTGATGGCAATTTTGTCTAAGATAGAGACAACCAAGTTGCTGTTGGAGAGAAGTGAAGAAACTAAGATATTTTTAGTAGTCAGAATCAATAGGACTGCAGAGTGAGAAGTAAGAAACAGAGGTGACTCCTGATTTGAGCCTTGACAAAGGAATAGGAGTAAGAGAAAATAATAAAATTTTAGACATGTTGATGAGATAGCTGTCAAAATTAACTATTAAAATACCTTTAGAAACTCATAAATTTGAACTTTTATTAATAATGCATCAAATAAAATCTGTAATTTAATATTTTAGAGAAAATAATATAAGAGAAAATTTTTAAATAGATCATAGGAAAATTATTTAAAATCTATAATGTAAAAATTCCTATTTGAATGTTATATTATAGGTCTTTTTGAAGAATAACATTTTAAAACAGAAAAGAAATAAATAGGATTACAAACAAAATTGGTCATATTAAAATTGAGTTCCATTTTGAGTTCCATAGACCACAGGTAGAAAGAAAAAGCATTCAAGTATATGGCATATCATGAAGGTGACATCTTAAATATAACGAGAAAAGAATAATTATAAAAGTTTTATTGGAACAAAACAGTGTCATCTGGAAAAAAAATAAAGTGGCATTCACGCTTTATATGACAAGCCAGGACAAATGCATTTATATTAAAATATAAAATATACAATCATAAAACTATCAAACACGGGAGTAGCCCTTCAAAAGTTTGCATGAAAACAGTTTTTATAATTTTTTATTCAAAACTTAAGAATTATAGACTATAAGCAAACTCGAAAGATAATGACAAATGGGAAAATATTTAAAGTTTATACCATACAAAAATAAATTATCTCATACAAAAAAGGGCTCATAGAAACTGAAATAACCACATCAAAAGAAAAATGGAGAAAACATATGAACAGAAAATCTACAGAACAGAAAGCACAAATAGTAGCTTTTAAAATCATTCTCAATCTCATTTATAATAAGATAACTGAAACTAAAAACTGTCGTGAGTATTTGATTACGCACCTATCATATAGATAGAAACCGAAAATCTTGAAAAAATGCTGTAAGGGTCGGGCGCAGTGGCTTACGCCTATAATCCCAGCACTTTGGAAGGCCGAGGCGGGCAGATCACGAGGTCAAGATACTGAGACTATCCTGGCCAACATGGTGAAACCCCGTCTCTACTAAAAATACAAAAATTAGCCGGGCATGGTGGTGGGCGCCTGTAGTCCCAGCTACCCGCGAGGCTGAGGCAGGAGAACGGCGTGAACCTGGGAGGCAGAGGTTGTAGTGCGCCAAGATCGCGCCACTGCACTCCAACCTGGCGACAGAGCGAAACTCCGTCCCCGAAAAAAAAAGCTGTAAGGAAATAAACTATCAATTTTTTGGTGGGGGTAATATAAAATAATTAAAAATGTAAAAATGATACAATAGTGGAAATCTGGCAATATTAATATTCACCAAAATTACAAGAACTTGACCCTTGCATTCAGTAATTCCTCTTCTGGGGCTTTTCCCTGTAAAGTTTTATGTCCAAAACAATTTAAATATAGGTCATTGATTGCAGTAGCAGAATATTGGACAAAAGGCTGATATGTACCAATTGGAAACAGATTAAATGAATCTTGGTATATTATACAACGTAATACTACAATGTAGATATGAAGTTCTTTCTATGCCAATTTAGAAAGAACTTTAGACGTAAGTGATAAAAACAATGTTCAAAGCAACCTTAAAATAAGCTAAATTTTAGGTACATAAGGGCAAATAAGAATGTATGTTCAAGCTTGTTTGCATATAAATGAATCCTCCGAAGGATACGAAAAAATATATTAAATGGTTACTTGCAGGTGGAGTATGGTACCTGGGTGGAGACAGGACCATGCTGACAATGGGAATTTCACTGTGTACCTAGTTTTATAGATACAATTTTATAGCCATTTGATTTAATTCTCAAATTAAAAATACTCTTTACTCTAAAATCACACTCTTTCTGTATACCATGATTTAAAATGTCATGATTTAAAAATCAATTACACTGTTCTTTAAAAAATAGGTTAAAATGATATTAGAATACTTTAAATGTTTATGTTTACTAATTTTAGTAGAAAAGTACTGACATTTAAGAGCTCTTTTAAATGAAACTACTGATATATAAACATCTGCAAAACATTCAAAAGAAAATAAATTATTAATTCGAGTAGACCAAATAAGTATTCACTTTCAAAGAAATGCAAGGGAAGGATTTAATATTATTTCTCTTTCGATAAAATAAAGAATACACCATGACTATTTTTACTGGAACAATTGCATTTTTGGAGCCCTTTTCTATTATATTATTTCAAGACTATAAAAAGGTGGTATTTCTAATATGATATTTGTCAATGATAGGAAGAAACTATATCAATGATATATTAGGTTATCTTCTGATAATGATTTTTTAAAGAGCCCTGAGGTTATTACTTAAATAGAAAAAGTAAATGATATTTAGTTTGAATTCTGAAGGGAGATCCACAATAAAATACATTATTTTAATCTATGCTCCATAGTGAAATGTAATCTATTTCTATTAGCCTCAGGTTCTTTTCCTTCTCTCTTCTAGCTACATAAACAAAGGAATATAACTGCATTATACAGCTTTTTCAATAGTAATTTAAACTTCCAAAGGGTATTTTAAGAACACATTCATTAAACAGGTTTATATTTCCAATTCGCCAAAGGCAGACAAAGCAACGAGAAGAGATATACTTCTTGTACGGTGATTATAACCCCTACTAACCGTTACAAGTCTCACTCTTATTTCTGAGTGAATTTTTCAGTGATTCATTTGGTCCTTGTGTTACAAGAATATTTTAAAAAGAAATATCAAGAAACAAGGAGGAGGCCGCTTTAACAAACTCTTTAAAATATACATCCACTCTGTCATATCTCCTATGTTTTTCTTCATAGCACTTACCACTAACTCCAATTCTCATATAGTTTTTATTTGTTTATTATCCACAAGAATGGAGTTCCCATTGCCTAGCACAGTTACCGAGATTTAGTAAAATATTTGTTGAGTTAAATTGTGATTATTACATGTTTGTAATGTTCAATCTGAAACTATTATGAAATTCTTTCTGTGTTCAGAGACTAATCTGAGCACTATAAATAAATGCATTGTAGAAAAAATACATATCTAACTTCTGCTTTAAACACAACAAGGTAAAGATATAACAAAAAACAAAGAGAGTAATAACACATGCTATGCTTGCTAAAAAAAAGGGGCACCTGTAATTCCACCCTGCAATATAATGAACAGGAAACAGATGGAGAAATGGTAATGACTTAGCAAAACAGAAGAGAGCAAGCCTAAGTGTTTACAGAGAGGGATACAAAAGAGGATTTAAAAAAATCATGTAAATTAAAGTAAAAGTAGAGAAATTGACTAGTCTGTTTAAGAAGCAGTTAGGCCTGAGAGTCCTTGGTCTCACATCCTCATTCATAGAAAAATTGCAAGATATATTATTTTTAAAAATTCAACACTTGGACCCCATTTCAAAGTAAGGCAAAGGTAAGGCACCCAACTAAAGACAAAAAGAGAAAATGACATTCTAAAAAAAGAGTAGTGACCTTCCCCCCAAGTCCTCTGCTAATCAGCTTTGGGTCACCAGAAACCAGGCTTATATTCCTGGAAGTTCGTATATGGAAGGTGATTCTCTACAGAGAGAAAAGACCTATGGACATCAACATTTGGCATTCTCCAGTTAAAATGATGGTTTGTTTTGGGCCATCACATCACACAAACCCCTCCCAAGCGTAAAGTGTTTCATTCTTAGACATAATGGTGAGACAATGATCACCAAACAATAAAGGAAAACCTCCCACATAAAAAAACAGGAACCAAAGTAGATAAACATATAAAAAGTAACTCAAGATAAGCAGAAGTGATACAAGCAGAAAAAACTGCAAAGATTCCATAATTGATCACGTTTCAATGTAAAAGTAAAACTATAAAACTCCTAGAAGATAGCATAACAGAAAATCTAGATGACCTAGGGTTTGGTGATGACTATTTTGATACAATACCAAAGGCAGAGTTCACAAAATAAATTGATAAGCTGGATTTCCTTAAAATTAAATTTTCTGCTCTATGAAAGACACTGTCAAGAGAATAAAAACAGAAGCCACAGACTGGGAGAAAATATTTACAAAACACACAACTGATAAAGGAGTATTATCTAAAATAAACAAAAGGCATTTACAACAACTCAACAATAAGAAAATAAACAACTTGATTTTAAAATGGGCCAAAGACCTTAACAGATTCACCAAAGATATATAAATGGCAAATAAGCAAATGAAATGATGTTCTACATCATATGTCATCAGAAAAATGCAAATTAAAACCACAATGAATACCATTAAACACATGTTAGAATGACCATAAACCACAAAATGCTGGTAAGGATGTGGATCAACAGAAACTCTACTTCATTACTGGTGAGATGCAAAATGGTACAGCCACTTTGGAAGACAGTTTGGTAATTTCTTACCATACAATCCAGCAATCTCTCTCCTTAGTATTTATCCAAAGGAGCTGAAAACCTGCACACGGATGTTTATAGCAGCTTTCTTCACAATTTTCAACACTTGGAAGCAACCAAGCTGTCCTTGAGTGGGTGAATGAATGAACTGTGGTACAGCTAGACAATGGAATATCATTCAACATTAAAAACAAATGAGCTATCAAGTCTCAAAAAGAAACGGAGAAAACTTCAATGTATTTTACCAAGTGAAATAAGCCAGTCTGAAAAGGCTACAAACTATATGATTCCAGCTACATGACATGTTAGAAAAAACAAAAGTATGGAGACAGTGAAGAAAATCAGTGTTTGCCAGGGGTACGAGGGGGGAGCGATATGAATAGGTAGAGCACAGAAGAATTTTAATGCAGTGAAAGTACCCTGTTTGATACTATAATGGTGGATACATGTCATTATGAATTTGTCCAAACCCATAGAATATATGACACTGAGAATGAACCCTAATGTAAACTACGACTTTTGGTGATAATGATGTATTCATGTAGGTTTATAAATTAAAACGAATATACCTCTCTGGTTGAGGATGTTGATAAGAAGGAGGCTATGTACGTGTGGGGGTATGGGATATATGAAAAATCTCTGTACCTTCTGCTCAGTTTTGCCATGAACCTAAAACTGCTCTTAAAATTAAAGTATATTTTTAAAATTCCATGATTAATAGTCTATTACAAATAAAAGAAGGTATTGTACTCACAGAATATAAGCAGGAATATTATGAAGAAAGATTATGCAGGAATAACAGTTTTTGAAAATTATATATGTTACTTAAAATTAAAATGCCAATTTAATATTTCCAAGATAAAGTCAAAGAAGTTATTCAGAGAGTGGGACCATATAGAAGAAAAAAGGATGGACTAACTAGGAGAGAAAGTGATAAAAAAAAAATCAGAAAGCCAGTACAATAGGTCCAACATTTGACTAGCATGCATTCCTGAAAGAGAAGACAAGAAAAATATGGGAAGCTACTCAAAGAAATTAAACAAAGCATGCACAAGACTTTCATTGAGAAATACGCAAAGCTTCTATTAAAAGGCTTGAAAGAGATCAACAAAATTTTACCATATGCATCAATAAAACCATTTAGCAATGTAATTATTCCAATTATCCCAAAATTAACTTATAAATTCAACACAATTCCAGTGAAAATTCCAAATACAGTGTTTTTTAGGAAGTCAATATGATTAATCAAGGTGTATCTGGTAGAATAAAAGTGCATGAAGAGTTTATGTCAATTTTGATTTTAAAAAGACCAAAGAAAGTGGGGAGGCTCATTATACCAACATGAAAATATACTTACAAGCTACCATAATAAAGCTGTTTGGTCAAGAACAAAGTGACCAGTGGAACAGGATAGAGATCTCGGAAAATTACCAATATGAACAGGATTGCTACATTAAATCTCAAATAAATTGGGATGCAGAAGAATTAAATATGTATATCTGAATAGAAAAACAATAAAGAAAATAAATTACGATGTACTAGAGTATCTCTTTACCTAGGAATGGGGAAAGATCTGAATAAAATTCAAAAATTAAAATCCACAAGAGGAAAATTGGGTACATTAAAAATAAACATTTCCATTCAATAAAGGACACCATAGTTGAAATTAACCAATAAAAAATAGAGAAGTTCCTTGCAACGTCTAAAACTGACAAGGGATCAATATATAAAATTTAAAAAACCCAACAAATAAAAAAGTACTGAGAGTCTAATAGAGAAATAGGCAAAAGATATGAAATGACCATTCATAAAAAAGAAATAAAATGAGATGCTCAACCTAACCAATTTCTTAGGGGCTCTTTAGCTCATCGATTTCTTCTTGAGTAAGCTTTGGTAGTTTGTGTCTTTCAAGGAATTTGTTCATTTCATCAAAGTGTGTTTATTGACCATAAAATTGTTCTTAATACTTTCTGATTATCTTTTAAACATTTGGAAAATTTGTAGCAATGAACCATCACTCATTTTTGTTATTGAATTTGAAACTTCTTTCTTTCTGATCAGTCTGGCTGGATATCTACCAACTTTATAAATCTTCTCAAAGAACCAGCTTTTCATTTCACTGATGTCTCTATCATTTCTGTTTTTTATTCCATTGATTCATTTTAATTTTATTATTCACTTTCTACTGCTTACATTGGGATTAATTTGTTCTTCTGTGACACAAATGTTTCCACAATTCAAGTAAAACAAGAAAATATATAGCATTGAGCAAACTAAAAAAACAACAATTTAAGAACTATAATCAGTAACATTAACTATCAGAGACATACATAGCTGCATCAACTCATTTTTTCTCTTTCTATTTGCATAATCTCAGTGGAAATATTCTGCATCTTTTAATTCGCAATATTCTTATACTTAGTATTTGTTGTTTTGATTTTTCTGGTTGTTGTTTTTATTTTTCTGCATTAACATTCTCATGGTTAATGCATCATAATTAGTGACATCAGTGAGGGTAAGTAATTGAAAAACTTGTGGTAATGCAATGGCTTACTGGGAGGATTTTACTGACAAAGAAAGAAGTAAATAAAAACAGCAGCAATACATAACAATATTTTGTTTCTTATTTTTCTTTATTTTAAACTTGAACTAGACAAATTTTTATCCCAAAAATAAATTGTAATGTGAAGATAATGCTTTCTTCTTAATGAATAAGAAAACACTGAAGAAAGTAAAGCTTTGTAAAAATAATTATATTAGCTAGGTTTCATGTAAAAATAAATAAAAATGAAAAGGATGAATGACCACAAGTACCATCTTCAAAAGAATTTAATATGCACTAACTTAATTTAAATTACATAATAGCAAAGACTTTTACAATTCTTACTTATTCACTTATATATGAGACAGTTTCCCATGTAAACTGTGTTCTTGTTACGTTTCTTTTTAATTACAGAAAAAAATTCTCATCAAACTAATTTAATACATCAAGTATAGCTCAGGTTTAATATTGAGAATTTGTCTATGAAAATAGACTTTTTTTGCTGGATTAAACTAACTCTGACTTTGTGGTACTTACAGACGATGGCACCTGGGACTCATATGGTAACCATAAAGTTGGTATCTCCATCCACTCCCCAGGCCTACTACGTGTCAACCCCCAGTGAGGAAGAACTCAGTGGGTAGGACTTAAATTATGGAAAAAACAATTTCTCAACTGTCAAAAACATTTCTTTCTATAGACAAGGGAAGACGTTAATTATCCACCTGCTTTTGCAGAAGAGAAACAAACCACTATTGCTTTCTTTTCAGCTGTGTGTCGATAGAGGTCTGAAATTCTTGTTCTTTATGTTTATTATACATCTTGGAAGGGTTCTCTCTTCTATTCTAGCCAAAACCTCCTCCAATCTTCAAGATTATTTTTTTCTTTTTTGAGATGGAGTCTGTCTGTGTCACCCAGGCTGGAGTGCAGTGGCATGGTCTCAGCTCACTGCAACCTCCACCTCTTGGGTTCGAGCTATCCTCTTGCCTCAGCCTCCCAAGGAGCTTGGACTACAGGTGTGTGCCACCACGCCAGGCTAATTTTTGTTATTTTTAGTAGAGAAGAGATTTCACCATGTTGGCCAGGCTGGTCTCAAACTCCTGACCTCAGGTGATCCACTTGCCTCAGCCTCCCAAAGTGCTAGGATTACAGGTGTGAGCCACCGTGCATGGCCCAAGATGTTTCAAGAGCATACTCTGTCAGCAGTTTTCACTCTATGCGTCCTAATTTCTGCATCCTAATGGTAAGGCTTTTGAGGGATTTTCCTCTAGAGACTACAGGTTTTCTCCCCAAATCCATCCTCAAACAGCCTACTGCTCTCACTACTCAGACCTCCGTTTCCTCATGGCCCCCATTCTCAGCCTTTCGTTTTCACCGTAAATGAAACAATGACAGAAGTGTCAAAAAAGGAAAAACCATGGTAACAATAGTACTGACCTAATCAATGGCAGAATTAGCACATATGTAAATATTAACCATGCAGAGGAAAGCCCCTCTAGTCTTTACTTGTAACTCTACGAGTGCACCTGCGTGCACACGCACACACACATGCACGCGCACATACACACACAAATAGCTTCCATCCCTCTCCCTAGATTTTCACATTCTCTCTTTTGGTGTGTGTATGTAACCCGAGTGTACTGCAGGTACCATAATGTTCCTGTTCTGTCTGGCATTTCTGTGGTTGTTTTATTTACGGTGAAAAGTAAAGTCTGAAGCATAATATTCCATTTTTTAAGTCACAGCATTGGCTACTTTAATTAAAATGCATAATTATATGCTATTTCACTGAACATTCTCCAACTTCTCCAAATTGTGAAGAACTACAAATGAAACATTCTTTAAAGTATTATTTTTCATAATATGGAAATATTCCTTTAAATATTAAAGTCTTCTAATTCTGTTTGAAAAATCATTAACAAAGCAATTAACTAAAGGCTGAGAAACTTTTGTTAATTAAAGATGAAAAGAAATAATGACAGAAAATGAAATGTAATATTAAATTTTCATTGATTTATATAAAGGTATTTACATTTATGAAAATAAATGATAATTATGTAATAAATGTATATCCACACTGATATTCCCAAGTTCCAAGTTTAGGGAACTTCAGACTTTGTGTAATATAAAGATTCAGTTAGAAATACAATGATTGTTTTTGGGCCGGGCATGGTGGCTCATGCCTGTAATCCCAGCACTTTGGGAGGCCAAGGCGTGTGGATCACAAGGTCAGGAGATGGAGACCATCCTGGCTAACACAGTGAAACCCCGTCTCTACTAAAAATACAAAAAAAATAAAAAAATAAAAATTAGCTGGGCGTGGTGGCAGGCGCCTGTAGTCCCAGCTACTCAGGAGGCTGAGGCAGGAGAATGGCGTGAACCCGGGAGGCAGAGCTTGCAGTGAGCCAAGATCGGGCCACTGCACTCCAGCCTGGGTGACAGAGCGAGACTCCGTCTCAAAAAAAAAAAAAAAAAAAAAAATTAAGAAATATAATGGTATCATTGTGCTAATAAGAAACTCGATTTATTTCACTTCCTTTATCTAAAAATTGTGCTGACCAAGGCGATTACAACACACAAAATATGTCAGTACATTAAAATAGTGGTGTACAAAGATGAAATTAAAAGACTCATTATACCAAACTTAGTATTTAGATTTCTGTCCTTTGGTAAGTTGTTTAAAATTACAACGTTTTTATTTTTTAAATATCAGTAACAACCTGAAAATAATTTTCATTAATTATGTACTTGTATTATTATTTGTTTAACCACGCTTTTAGCAAAAATTAATATGCTTAATAGTATGGTTTATTAACAAGGACAACTGTAGTGTTCACTTTTTGTTCGGTTGTAACACAGTGAAGCACTAAATTCTTGTAGCAAGAAATCACTCAATCATGCATTTTTTTAAGTCAGAAAAATCATGATTGCTTGCTTTGTTTGCCAAACACCAAATAGGTCTGATGGGTACAAAGACACAAACATTCTATAGTGAAAACTTGTTTGGACTTTTTCATAAACACCCAGTGATAGTTGTACAAGTTGAAAAAGACTTGTACAAAACATATTACAAGACTCGAGTAATAAGTTTTTGGCCAGCTAAATTTCACTTTGAACTTAGCTATGTTTAATGTGCTTAATGAGCATTTAAACATTGTCACCACAAGCTATGACTTCAGATAAAACAGATACTGGTGATTTAGCAGGTGTCCATGAGGGGCGGTATCACATTGCCATGAGATCAACTACTCATCGCTGCTATTACTAGATAAAAACATTCTACAGGGATAATTTTGGCACAGCTGAAGAGAATGTTGTACTATGAATCTACGGAATTTATAATATTTAAGAGCATTTCTGCCTCTTCACCATAAATTCAATCACATATCACTCATTGTTCAAACCCTTCCCGAAAGCACAAGAAGGCAAATCTTAATCTAAAGAAGCATATCACCTGTTTTAGAAGATAACCAGATTATGTGCATAGTTTTAAGTTTGAATGAAATAAAATGCATTTTTATAGATCACTGTCACATTATACAGTACATTTCTACTGGCAAAGTGTTTACAGAGTATATCTAATCAAAGAAAACTACAAATATCCTAAATATCAATGATGATTATGTGTGTGTCTGTATGTATGTGGATATATAGATGATAGATAGATAATAGATAGATAAATAGATAAATAGATACGTACATATGTACATACATACTTTTTTGGTTAATACAAAATAATCCTAACCCTGTGAATGGTAAATAGTATTTTTTGTGCACTGAACCTTAAAAATGTCAAATGTTTTATTCAACTAAATCAATGTTAAAGCTATTAGTCAAAGGAGAAAAAAAGATAAGATAGGGAGAAAATACTTAGGGTGATGGCAGAATCCTTTGATGCAGACATTCTCCACATTGTTTTAAAAAGTGATTATTAACATACTCCCTCAGTAACTATGCACAATGGTTGTTTTCTCTAGGTTAACTGAATCAGTGAATTTTATTTTTTTAAGAAAAGGAAATAAACACTTTATTGTTCTTTTAAATTACAGAGAAAGTTATCCTTAGAAAATCATAAAATATACTACTCATTCCTGAGGCACAGAAAGATTTTAATCAAAGTAAATCCTAATTTCTTAAGGACATATATAATAAATTTGACATAGGATGTCAATTTAAACACAGGCTGTAACATCACATCCTACCTAATCCTGATTGAAATGACCAAAGGAATTTAAAATAGGGAAAACTGAATCACTCTGGTAATTAGAAAAATGTATCATCCAAACATTTCATCAAATTTTTTGCTACATGTACAGAAGTTGGGACCATATTGAAAGAAAACAGAGTCATTTTCAATATCGATCTCTGAAAAAGTGGGTTTAAATTTGTTAGAACATTTTCACTATCATAGCTTGGAATTATGTATTGCTTCCATTTGTTTTGTAATTGTTACCTAATCTTATAGACAAAAACCTCATAAAAGTAGAGCAAACATTCTTTTGATACTGTCAGTACTGAACTAATACACGAATGATTGAAAGAATGAAAGAGTGAGTGAATAAACCCCACTGATACTTTCTGTATTAAGAAGCAATAATTGGAAATAAGAGTAAGCTTGAGAAAGGTCTGCTGCCAAGTATGTTAACATCAGGAAGCAGGTGTCCTGAAACACTCAAGCAAACATAACTGACCGAAACATCAGAGAAGTAGGTAACTGACATTGTGACATCAATAGGTTCTATTCCTTAACAGACTGTAAAACCAAGAAGCAGAAAAAACACAAGCACAATGACTATGTAGATTGTAAACTAAACCAAACTGAAATCAAGATACAGAAAAAAAAATGTTAAGAGGTGGCTTTGCCAAAAATAGAGACATCAAAAACCAAAAACACCTGACTGTGGAGAAAGAAGATGTATATGCTTGGCAGTGCTTCCACTCACTGCTCCCTATTACTCTCCAAGTGCAGTATCACTGAACTTATATAGAGCAGAATTCCACTACCAGCCCTTGGAGATTCTTTTTTTTTTTAAATTATAAAAATGTGATCATTTTAATAAAATAACACAACAATGTATGAATTGTCTTAAATACCATCTAGTAATTATTTCCTTGAAAAACATATTACTATATTTAAAGTTCAATCATTAATGTATGATAGGTTGCTTTTTTTTGTTTGTTTGTTTTATTTTATTATTATTATACTTTAAGTTTTAGGGTACATGTGCACAATGTGAAGGTTAGTTACATATGTATACATGTGCCATGTTGGTGTGCTGCACCCATTAACTTGTCATTTAGCATTAGGTATATCTCCTAAAGCTATCCCTCCCCCCTCCCCCCACCCCGCAACAGTCCCCAGAGTGTGATGTTCCCCTTCCTGTGTCCATGTGTTCTCATTGTTCAGTTCCCACCTATGAGTGAGAATATGTGGTGTTTGATTTTTTGTTGTTGCGATAGTTTACTGAGAATGATGATTTCCAATTTCATCCATGTACCTACAAAGGACATGAACTCATCTTTTTTATGGCTGCATAGTATTCCATGGTGTATATGTGCCACATTTTCTTAATCCAGTCTATCATTGTTGGACATTTGGGTTGGTTCCAAGTCTTTGCTATTGTGAATAGTGCCGCGATAAACATACGTGTGCATGTGTCTTTATAGCAGCATGATTTATAGTCCTTTGGGTATATACCCAGTAATGGGTCTACCATCAGAGTGAACAGGCAACCTACAAAATGGGAGAAAATTTTCGCAACCTACTCATCTGACAAAGGGCTAATATCCAGAATCTACAATGAACTCAAACAAATTTACAAGAAAAAAACAAACAACCCCATCAAAAAGTGGGCAAAGGACATAAACAGACACTTCTCAAAAGAAGACATTTATGTAGCCAAAAGACACATGAAAAAATGCTCACCATCACTGGCCATCAGAGAAATGCAAATCAAAACCACAATGAGATACCATCTGACACCAGTTAGAATGGCAATCATTAAAAAGTCAGGAAACAACAGGTGCTGGAGAGGATGTGGAGAAATAGGAACACTTTTACACTGTTGGTGGGACAGTAAACTACTTCAACCCTTGTGGAAGTCAGTGTGGCGATTCCTCAGGGATCTAAAATTAGAAATACCATTTGACCCAGCCATTGCATTACTGGAGATTCTTTATGTATCTACCCTCAGTGATTTTTAAGCAATTTTAAGTTGATCCATATGAAATCCCACTATATAGGATTTTTACACAGTAAAAACGAAATTTCATATAGTTCAACCTAATGCTTGATCCAAATAGCAATTTCTTTATTCAAATTTGAGTAAAAACAAGAAGAAAAAAATCAACATCCTCTTGAAAGAATGTGAACTATACAAAAGACTAAGTCAAAATTTAAGAGGCAAAATAGAAACATTTAAAATAAAATCCAATACACAAACCTTAAACATACAAACGTGCACACACACTCACATACCTCTGGATGAAAGAATAGATAAAATATGCTTTAAATTTCCTTTAACATTTAATTGTAAATTTCCTTTAAAATTTCTTAAAATGTCCCTATTATAATTCAAGGCAAGACTGTACTTGCATTACCTTACTAAATCTCACAGCAACCCTGTAAAATATGTTCAACTATCCACATGACATTTATTACATACAAGTAGATTACTGTCAAGACTCATGAAAAAAAATGTGGTCAAGGTTACAGTTAGAATGTAGTCATTTGTTAGCCTGCACTCTTAATTGCTAAAGAACATTTCTTCTTATGATAGAGACTTTTAAATTCGTATACTCATTTACACATACCTGCACTCATAAATGTTAAAAACTGGCATTTCAAATCAATGAGAAAGTGATGGGTAACAAAACAATTAGAGTTCTGAATATTGTTTAATAATACAGAAAAATAGATTATATACAAAATACATTTAAGGTATGATTTCAATAAGAAATGAAAATTGCAAAGAAATTACAAAAAAGTTTGTTTTAATATTTTTATCTCAGGATGGTGTATGCACTTAGCATAAATGCAAAGGAAAACAGACATAAGTGACATTATTCAACTCAGACATGATTTCCGTCTCTAGAAGTTGAATTTGTGTCTTTTTTATATTTCCCATTGTGTCTACTACACTTGCTTAAGCTTTCTTTTAGGTTCTTGAACATATGATATGTAGTTATTTAAATGTTTTAATATACTTGTATGCTAATTCTATCATCATTGTTATTTCCAGATCATTTATAGATGATTGATGTTTTTGTACTCATTTGGAGTCATGTTTTTCTGCTTCTTGGTATGCCAGGTAATTTTTGTTTGGATGCCAAACATTATGATTTTACATTGTTGGGTTCTGGATATTTAAACATTTTTATAAACATTTTTGATTTTTGCCATAGACCAGGTAATAAAATAACATAAATTTATTTTCTCACAATCTGGAAAGTAGAAATTCAAGATCAAATGTTAGCAGGGTTGGTTTATAGATAGCTGTCTTCTTTCTGTGTCTTTACACGGTCCTGCTTTGTGTGTCTTTATGTCCTAATCTACTCTTCTTTTAAGAACACCAGTCATACTGGATTAGGGCAACCAAAATGAACTCAATTTACTCTTAATTATGTCTTAAAGCTCTGTCTCCAAATTCGGTCACATTCTAATGTGCAGGAAGTTAGAATGTCAACATATGAATTTTGGGGGAACAAAATTCAGCCCCATAATAGTAGCGTTTGTTGATTTGTGACAAATAAATGTGTCTCTTTCCTTTCATTCCCTTTCCCCTTCATGGAGGCAACTATTCTCCTGACTCCATACACTATAAATCATTTACACCAGTTGTTGAACTTCACAGCAAGAGAATCATACAATATACATTATTTTGGGTCTTGCTTCTTTCAATGAGTATGTTTTTGGGATTCGTCTGTGTTTTTGTGTAAATTCATAGTTTATTCCTTTTAATCCTGAGTTGTAGTCCATTTTATAAATATATCACAAATTTTAAACTATTCTTTTTGACGTAAATTTAGATTATTTCCAATAGTTTGTTATTTTGAAGAAAGACGTAATTAACATTTTTGTATAAGTCTTTTGTGGGCATATGTTTTCAATTATTGGGGTATATACTTATGCATAAAGTTGCTAGATAATAAAGTAGATGTGTGTTTAACCTTTCGAGAAATTGCCAACCAGTTTTCCATAGAGGCTGTACTAAAGTGGACATTTTAAATTACAGTATATATATAAAAAATACACATAATGTAAAACAACCAAAAAAGTAGAAATCATTTGCAACATATAAGATAGCCCAAAGATTAACACCATTGTAGAAAAAATGACTTATAAATCAATAAGAAAACACAAATGGATATTATTTTTTAAATGTGCTAAAGGAATGATCAGGTTACATACAAAACCTTAAAAAATGGCTAAAAACTACTGTAGATGTGCATAAACCCTTACATATGAATTTTATCATGGTTTAAGTCAGAATATCAAAAATAAAAATAACGTAAATATGCAACAATAGGAGGTGATCACATGTCAGAAAGTACATAAGATGAAATATCATGCATCAATTAAAAACCAAGCCTTTAATGTCATTCAAAATTAAGCAAACAAAAGTCTGCAAACATAAACTGCATGATTCTAGCATTAAGTTAATATCATGCATGTTTATGCATAAATACATGATTAAAGAATATATATAAAATACTAATAGCAATTATCATTGATTAGTAGGATCATAGATATTATATAGATATTATTTCTTCCTGGTATTTTCTCATATTCTCATAGTTTTCTAATAGAAACACAGATTACATTTATATTCAGAGGAAAAATTAATAGAGTTCCTTCCTAAAAAATACAGGTGAAATAATCCCACATTAATTTCTAAATTTCAAAGACAGAAAAATTGGCATGAACTTTAAAAAAATATATTACAATCAACCTATGGTACCATTCGGTTCACAACACGCAAATTCAGTAAGAGGATGTCAAATGTTGCAGGGACTCCATAATAAAACAGATGAGAATTGTGTTAGAGCAAGTGTCTCACAACCCAAGGAAGGTATTCACAAATTGTTTGTCAGTGAAGATAAATGTTTCTGCCTTTCAGCCTGAAAAGTGTCAGCCCAACCCTAGCTACTCAATAAAAGTGAAGGTCTGGTGCAGAATAATCAGGCATAGGAGGAGGGAGGAGAAATTTGAGCATCCTTCTGCTTAATCTGGCCTTGAAAGCATATATACATATATACAAAAAAAGATAGTATGTGCATATCACATACACACATATATGAATTAGTGTTGTGTATATATGAAAAATAGGGGACATTTGACATCCATTCATGCATATATGTGCTAATTTTCATTTAATATCACATATATACATAAAAGCTACATATACACATAGAAGTATATATTCTACAATACAGAGAAACTATATTCTAAGAATAATGAGTTGCATTCATAGCAGTATACACAGAAATAAATGTGGCAAATAATGTTTATTTTTTGAATGGCTGTATTCCTTTGATAATTTACTATAAAATATGAACACATTTCTTATATAAAGTATTTAATATTGTTAAAACATAGGATTAACCTTTAAATAGCTAACCAACTAAATAACTTTAAATGGTTATAAGATAGAAGCATAAGAATTGTATTATATGGTTTGAAATACTGAGAGAATAAACTTATAGCTTATTATAAAATCATATTCAAGTTTTAGAAATTCAGTTAAACACAGCTGAGTGCGATGGCTCATGCCTGTAATCCCAGCACTTTGGGAGGCCGAGGCGGGCGGATCCTGAGGTCAGGAGTTCGAGATCAGCCTGGACAACATAGTGAAACCACATCTCTACTAAAAATAAAAAAAATTAGCTGGACATGGTGATGTGTAGCCGTAGTCCCAGCTACTCAGGAGGCTGAGGCAGGAGAATCGCTTGAACCTGGGAGGTGGAGGTTGTGGTGAGCCGAGATGGCAACACTTAACTCTAGCATTGGCAACAGAGCAAGACTCCATCTCAAAAAAAAAAAAAAAAATTCAATTAAACTCATATGAAGAGAAACTTTCAAGAAATAAACAGAATTTGTCTTCATAATGTCAATTGCCTTGAAGCGCCTCCAAATTTCTCCCCAAATCAAATTATTTTTAACACAGAGTATATAAAAATTAAATTAGAATTCATAGTTCAGGCCAAAGTAGTGTGACAATAAATGTTTTCTAAAGATTGTTTTGTCAAAGGAAGCATTAAAGAATGCAGATTTATATTTTGACTGTGGTTTTTAAAAAAGAAATCATATCCAGTAACATGACATTATAATAATTTATAAGATTTTGTTTTGTTCTATATGAAGGAATCTCCATAAATGTCCTCTAAACTTCATATATAATGCTCATAATTTTACAAACCAGAATTTTGGATATGAGTTTTTCAAATAGGTATACTTTTAGAATAAAAGAATTTCTTGATGCCAGTATTTTTTAAAAGCAAACAAAAACCCTAATGGGATTGCTCAGTGTTTTTTTGGGTGTTTGTATCAAAATCTAAAAAACGTAACTCTGTACATATACAAGATACAATGTACATAGCTCCCAAAGAGGTACAGGGATGGTTCACTGATTGTAAGATTCCAAATGGATTCACTGTGCAATAGATCATGACTTCCAATTCATATTCATATGATTGTGTAGGAAAAAAATGGAATAAAATTACAGAAAAATTAGTAAAAAAGAAGGACCTTTTTGATGAATGAGAGATTTCAAAAATTTGGGGGTAAATGAAGACAGACTGAAGTCTTCATTATATCAAACAGAAAAATGAAGCTACACTTAGAATGCATGGAAATGATCTGCATAAGAAAAAGATCCATATATCTTTGGCAAAACTCTAAAGAAGCGCTGGACTTGGAATCCGTAGGTACTGTGCAAAAGCCTGGAAAACTGGGGATGGGGGCAGGAGGATAGGATTGGTGCAGTTTCTGTCCATGAAACAACTGCATCTTGCAGCTACTCCCCACGTGCCTCTTCACCATCCATTCTCTCTCCTCTATTGCTAAATTGCTGAGTGCAGGCAGCCTAACACATTCTGCCAAAGAGAATCATAAACACACACACACACACACACACACACACACACACACACTCACATCTTTTTTAATAAACAGAAAAGAAATGCATGAGCAAAACAAAGGCTGATAGGTTATGCACTAGATTTTAAGGCTTCTCCATTCTGGCATTTGGGAGTTCCCCAGAAAAATCCCAAATTGAAGCCTGAGCACATTGCACATCTATGAAAGGTGCTCAAAGACCTGTTAAAATGTCCTAGTGTGAAAACTTCATATATAGGTAAAGAGGACACTCAAATCATTCAGCAGACAAATCATACTCATCCCACATTGCTAAATATGAATAGACAACAAAAGGTCAACAAGTATGTGAAAACCAGCAATAAAAGGATATAGCTCAAGAGGAAAAAAGGAACTTAAAAGAAAAACAGATATTTCAGGAATTAAAAAAGATTATAAATAACTTTAATTAGATTCATAAATTCAAGTAATATTTTCTTATTTAAGCAAGAAGACAATGCTAAGAAAAAATGAGAAAAAGCACAAATATACAAACACATGATTGGTACATAAAATCAAAAAAAGGTTGAAACAGCAGAAAAGATGAATAAAATATATGGAAGAAAAGACAAGAGTATCACTTATAATGACCTTAAATCCAACTAACAGGAATTGTAGAGAACAGAGAAAATAGAGGGGAGAAAGTTACTAGATAATAGAAAATAATTCTAATTGAAAGACTTGGAAGTGTTCATATTATTGCCAAATCAAAAAATAGCCTTACAGCAAATTATTTAGATTTGGGAAGAAATAATAACTGGCAGAACTAAAAACAGAAACAGTTCAAGAGAGTAACTTCTGTCTGGGAAGGATGTTGGTAGAATGAGGTTTGGATCATTTTTCATTATAAATGCTTCTGGTCCTACTTGACTTTTTAAAGGTGTATATAAATTTTGAGAAAAAAGAAAATTACAAAGATGATTACAGTCATGCGCTACATAATGACATTTCAGTCAATGATGAACAGTATATACTATGGTGGTCCCATAAGATTACAAAGGAGCTGAAAAAATCCTATTCCCTAGTCATGTCATACACCACAATGTCACAGCACAATGCAATACTCACGTTTGTTGTGATGCTGGTGTAAACAAACCCACTGTGCTGCCAGTCACAGAAAAGTATAACATAGATGATTATGTACAGAACATAATACTCGGTAATGATAATGCTGTTGCTGGTTTATATATTTATTATTTACTTTCTATCATTTTAGAGTATACTCTAGCTTATTAAAAAGCCAGAGTTAACTCTAAAACAGCCTAAGGCAGGTCCTTCAGGAGGTATTCTAGAAGATGGCATTATTATCACAGGAGATGACAGCTCCATCCTTGTTATTATCTCTGAAGATAATCTCTGAAGATCGTCCAGTGGGACAAAATGTGGAAGTGGAAGAAAGTGATATTGACTGATGATCCTGACCCTGAGTAGGCCTTTGCTAATGTGTGTATTTGAGTCTTACTTTTTAACAAAAACTTTCAAAAAACTAAAAATTATAAAGCATTTTAAAAATAGAAAAAAATGTCTAAAGAATAAGGATATAAAGAAAGAAAATATTTGAGCAACTTCCAGTTTGCATGCTCCATTCATGGGAAGTGATCTGCACAGGTAACGCCATTTAAAATCATTTATACCATGTTTTTAATGTACATTTTCTATGTTTAGTTATACAAATACTGACCATTGTGTTACAGTTGCCTAGAGTATTTATTTTAGTAACATACTGTACAGATTATAGCCTAGGAGCAATAGCCTATACTATATAACTTAGGTGCATAGTAGGCTACATCATCTAGGTTTGTGTAAGTACACTCCATGATGTTCACACAAGAAATCACCTAAGGACACACTTCTCAGAACACACTCAGCTTGTTAAGTGATGCACCCCTGTGTGTTAATGCAGTAGTGTGCTAGAGCTGGCTCACATGGCCAAGGAGAGCCCATTGTTCACCTTTCTCCCTAAAGTCACCATCAGTGACATCAGATTGATAGCTCAAAATCAGCCATAATGCAGGGTTTAATACAGAAATCAGCAAATTCTACAAATCAGGGCTTTTTTGAGGAGTAGAAGGGAAGCCTGGTTGACCAGCAGACCACAATTTATTCTGAGGTGGTTTTAAAATAAAGAGCAATATCCATGGTAACTGCATTGATCATGTTAAAAACATTTTAAACATCCTACAGTTTAGTAACTTAATGAAAATTTAATAAAATTTATTCCTTAAAATAATGAAATTTATGTCATCCCTACTGCTCTAAAGTAGAGAATAGTTTCATTAATGTGTCAATAAAAATTAAATCCTACAAAGAAATATTATCAGCCTGAGTATCTGAAGCTCAACTTAAATCTGTTGTAAAACTTATTCTCATTAGAATTTAATACCAAGTATCATGTTACATAAAATTCTTATCTACTGAGAAAGGACATTTTTCAAGAATCTATAATTTCAGATTAGTTAATACTTCTTTCATTTAGATCAAGCTTGTCCAACCCATGGCCTGCAGGCAACATACAGCCCAGGATGGCTTTGAATTCAGCTCAACACAAATTCGTAAACCTTTGTAAAACATTATGAAATTGTTTTGCAATTTTTTTGTCTGATCAGCTATAGTTAGTGTTTTTTACTGTAGCCCAAGACAATTCTTCTTCCAGTGTGGCCCAGGGAAGCCAAAAATTGGATACCCCTGATTTAGATACAAGAAAGGATTACAGGAAAGGTTTCCAGCTTGCTCAGGCTGTCAAAGAGGGGAGTGAGGCTAAGTTTACTTAAAATATCTTCAGTAGGGAAGTAACAAGTCACTTCTGGTTTTACACGTATAATTTTTGGTGAAATTATTCTGTATTGAGAAGGCAATTAAATGAATAAATCATTCATTCAAGATTAGAATGTATGAAAGATAGAACACACACACACATCTGTTACATACTATATATAAAAATTTAAAAGTTAATATATGCGATTTTGGTAAAACCAAAACAGGTTTCCCATTCTGAAAATTAAATTATACTTTAAAATACTTTATAGTTTTATTTACAACATCAAACTTTACTCAATTCTTACCCCCACCCCCTGCCAAAGACTACTTTTTCTAGGTATTATAATAGTATCTTAGAAAATAAATGTTATTTTTCTCTAAATTGCAAACATAATATTGGAGTTTCACCTATCCTGAAAATTACCCACTGACTCTATTTAGTACCCTTTGGCCATGGAAGAGGTTCTGATGGGCGCCCGTTGAAAACATAGGTTTGTCCTGAACTAAAATCCCATATAAGCTTCATCTCTTCTGTTATATTTTCAAAGTCTATGGTCTATCAATATCCACCTTGTTTGATATTTACATCATGATTCATTTCTTCTTCCCCTTGTCTAATCAGCTTCATTTGTTTTTATATTTTTATTGATTTTTTTCAAGCCTCTCATCCATATCTATAACTACCTTTCAGCAGAGCTTATATGTTGCTGCTACTAGTTTAATTTTTATTTCTATAGTGAATGTATTTTAGAAAACTTCTATGTGCTGCAAGAAATATACAGATGGGTGTGCACTTGGCACCCTTTCTTCTACAGCTTGTTGCATGTTTTTCTGTATATTTCATGTATCTCCTGATCTATTTTTAAAGTATTCTTTTCAGAGTTGTGGCTGATTCCGTTTCACTTAAATTGTTGTCTTATTTTCTGTGTGTTGAGTTTTTAGTGTAATTTTTGTTTTTCGCAATTTCTTTTGGAGTAGAAAATGTAATGAAAACCTTCACTCTGCCATATTTGATCAGAATTTTGTGCTATTCCTGACATTTACTATTTCAGGGAGAGGAACATTATAATGGAGAGGCAAAAAGGCAGAAATTATTATTGATCAGAAGTTGTGATTTAAAGAATACATTAAATGAAGATGCTAAATTCCTCTCCTTAAATCTCAGCTAAAATGACAATAAGGAATAAACAAAAATCCCACAAGGTTAAAGGAAATATAAAAGAGCAACAGAAGCAGAGAGAGAACAACATTTTAGAAGCTGCAAAGCATATGAATGTTAACCAATTTAGCTGTCCTGAGAAAGCTAAAACCAAGCAGCTTGTAGGGGTAACACTCACAAGAAGCAAACCAGTTTTTTCTCTCAGAACCCTGAAAAATATGAGATTATGAGGCACTGAGTAAAGCTGAAAACAGGCAGACTGGTAGAAACTTTACATCAGTAGCATCTAGACTCCAATCTCCTTCCCTAAACTACACATCCTCCTTGGCAGGAGGCAAAAGATTCACTGTCTAAAGACATTGATCCATGGCAGAGATAGCTTTAAGGATACCAGGCACAGCTGAGAGGAAGGGTGAGAATCAGAGGTTAGCTGAAATTGATTTCTGAATAGTGAGACTGTACAGTCATCTTCTCTCTTTCAGCCAAAGCAGAGCACTGGATCCTTCTTCTCTGGAAAACACAAACCAGCCTAGAGAGAACACCTGTAGATTCTAACCTTTACATAGATACTGTTCCTCACCCTTATGATGAGGTCTTCTTGACAACCCCACACACATTCTCAAGTTTAGGACATTGTAGCAATACTTCAACATTCTGAAGGAAAAAAAATTAACCTAGAAATTTGTTCAACCAAGTATGAATCAGAATAATAAAGACATTTTCAGAAATAGAAGTTCTCAAAATGTTCAAGTTCTTTGCCTTCTTTCTCCTAAAGCTGATGGAGAATGCACTCCATCAATATGAGAAGATAATTCAAGAGGGAACAAAATATGGTGTCCAGAAAGTGGGATTCAACAAAGAGATGCCAAAAAGTTTCTTAAGGTGCTGCCAAAAGGAGGCTCCAAGTTGACATCTGTGCAGCCAACCTAGACAGCATGTGGTCCAGATCAGAGCCAAAGGGGTGCTGGAAAGATCTCTATCTCCAAGGGGGAAAGAAGATGAAACCAATTTGATTAAAATAAGTTTTACACATCTTTCAAAAAGTTTGAGGATGAATTCGTAGTAGGTGTATAGAATTAAACAAGAGAAAATAATGAAAATAACCCCAGGAAAAAAGGTTGTACAAAAATAAAATATTATCATAACTTGATTCAACTGAAAATAGTACTTCCATAGTCATATTGTGTAAATACTAAATATTGAGTATTATATGAACACTAAAAATTGAATTAGTGATACATTATGATATAATTACAAATTGGGAGACTGGAGAGAAAGAAAGTGCATAGGAGGGTGAATAAAGAGAAAAGAAGTGTGTGATGATTTAAGCAATATAGGTTTTCTATGTTAAGATACCGATATTAAGAAATAGAGATACAAACTTTAAACCAGAAAAATCCATTTTAAAAGGAGGCTATTTAGAAATGTGGAGATAAGTAACAGACAAATAGGTAAAAGTGTTTAATTCTGGAGAAGCAAGTTGATGAGGATAAGAACAGAATGCTATTTTATTAATTTTATAATTACACTATTATTTTTTATGAAACACATGTACAACCTAGATAATTATAAAATTTGTAGCAAATAAAAACTTAAGAATATATAGATATGTATATCTACATCTGTATCTACCCTGGTAGATCTATTATAAATCTATTATTGCTCTACCTAGGTAGATACAGATGTAGATATACATAGACATGGATATATTTAAGAAAGCACTTTAAAACCCAAGTGTGGAGAAGAAGTGATGTAGAAAATTAGTTATTTAAAAATTGTAACATTATCAGATTTATTAGTGTATTAGTCCATTCTCACACTGCTAATAAATACATGCCTGAGACTGGGTAATTTATAAAGAAAGAGGTTTAATTGGCCAGGTGCAGTGGTTCACACCTGTAATCCCAGCACTTTGGGAGGCCGAGGCGGGTAGATCACAAGGTCAGGAGTTTGAGACCAGCCTTGCTAATATGGTGAAACCCCATCTCTACTAAAAATACAAAAATTAGCTGGGCATGGTGGTGGGCACCTGTAGTCCCAGCTACTTGGGAGGCTGAGGCAGAAGAATAGCTTGAACCTGGGAGGCAGAGGTTGCAGTGAGCCAAGATCGCGCCACTGCACTCCAGCCTGGGTGAACAAGCGAGACTCTGTCTCAAAAAAAAAAAAAAAAAAAAAAGAAAAGGAAAAGAGGTTTAATTGATTTACAGTTCCACAGGGCTGGGGAGGCCTCAGGAAACTTACATACCTGGTCAAAAGGAAAGCAAATATGTCCTTTTTCACATGGCAACAGCAAGGAGAAGTGCCAAGCAAAAGGAGGAAAAGCCCCTTATACAAACATCAGATGTTGTAAGAACACACTCACTATCATGAGAACAGCAGCATGGAGGTAGCTGCTCTCATGATTCAATTACCTCCCACAAGCTACCTCCCAAGAAATGTGGGGATTATGGGAACTGCAATTCAAGATGAGATTTGGGTGGGGAAACAGCCAAACCATATCATTCTGCCCCTGACCCTTCCCAAATCACAGGTCCCACATTTCAAAACACAATCATGCCCCTCCAACAGTCCCCAAAAGTCTTAACTAATTCCAACATTAACTCAAAATTCCAAGTCCAAAGTCTCTTCTTAGACAAGGCAAGTCTCTTCCAACCATGAGCCTGTAAAATTGAAAGCAAGATAGTTACTTTTTAGATACAATGGGAGTACAGGCATTAGGTAAATACACCCATTCAAAATGGGAGAAATTGACCAAAATGAAGGGGCTACATGCCCCATGCAAGTCCGAAATCCAGTCAGGAAGTCAAATCTTAAAGCTTCAAAATGATCTCCTTTGACTCCATGTCTCGCATCCAGGTCACACTGATGCAGGAGGTGGGCTCCCATGGCCTTGGGCAGCTCCACCCCTGTGGCTTTGCATGGTACAACCTCCTTCCCAGCTGCCTTCACAACTGGCATTGTCTGTGGCTTTTCCAGGCACACAGGGAAAACTGTCAGTGGACCTACCATTCTGCAGTCTAGAGGATGGTGGCCCTCTTCTCACAGCTCCACTAGGCAGCACCAACCCCACATTTCTCTTCCACACTACTCTGGCAGAGGTTCTACATGAGGGCTCCACCCCTGCAGCAAACTTCTGCCTGGACATCCAGGCATTTCCATACATACTCTGAAATCCAGTTAGAGGTCTCCAAACCTCAATTTTTGTCTTCTGTACATCTGCAGGCTCAACACTACATGGAAGCTGCCAAGGCTTGGGCTTGAATCCTCTGAAGCCACAGCCTGAGCTTTACCTTGGGTTCTTGTAGCCATGGCTAGAGCAGCTGGGACACAAGGCACCAAGTCCCTAGGCTGCACACAGCAAGGGGGCCCTGGTCCCAGCCCACAAAACAATTTTTTCATCCTAAGTCTCTGGGCCTGAGATGAGAGGGGCTGCTAAGAAAGTCTCTGACATGCCCTGGAGACATTCCCATTATCTTGGAGATTAACATTCAGTCTCTTGCTACTTATGCAAATTTCTCCCCAGAAAATGGGGTTTTCTTTTCTATTGCATTGTCAGGCTGCAAATTTTCCAAATTTTTATGCTCTGCTTCCTTTGAACACTTTGCCACTTTGAAATTTCTTCTGCTAGACACTGTAAGTCATCTATCTCAAGTTCAAAGTTCCACAGATCTTTAGGGCAGGGGCAATATACTGCCAGTCTCTTTGCTAAAGCATAACAAGAATCACCTTTGCTTCAGTTCCCAAGTTCCTTATCTCTACCTGAGACCACCTCAGCCTGGACTTCATTGTTTGTATCACTATCAGCATTTTGGTCAAAGCCATTCAACAAGTCTCTAGGAAGTTCCAAACTTTCCCACATCTTCCAGTTTTCTAAGCCCTCCAAGTCTCTAAGAAGTTCCAAACTTTCCTACATTTTTCTATCTTCTTCTGAGCCCTCCAAACTGTTCCAACTTCTGCCTGTTACCCAGCTTCAGAGTCACTTCCACATTTTTGGGTATCTTTATAGCAGTACCCCACTCTACTGGTACCAATTTACTGTATTAGTCTATTCTCATGCTTCTAATGAAGACATACCTGAGTCCGGGTAATTTATAAAAGAATGAGGTTTGATTAACTCACAGTTCCACATCGCTGGGAAGGCCTCAGGAAACTTACAATCATGGTGGAAGCGGAAGCAAACACATCCTTCTTCACATGGCGGCAGAAAGGAGGATTGCCAAGCAAAAGGGGGAAAAGCCCTTTATAAACAATCAGATCCTGTAAGAAATCCCTCACTATCACGAGAACAGCAGCATCAGGGTTACTGCCTCCATGATTCAATTACCTCCCACTGGGTCCCTCCCATGACATGTGAGGATTATGGGAACTACAATTCAAGATGAGATCTGGGAGGTGACACAGCCAAACCATATCAATTAGTAATTGGGAAATCAAGTATTTTAGACAAAGTGTTTTAAATTTAATAAGACAAGGGCTATTAATAGTTATTAAATTAACAATAATTAGTTGCCTCTGCCTCTCCATAATTTTGAACAAATATAAATACATACATTTATATATGTAATTTAAATATATTCTAAAATGCCTAAAACATATATATATTAGTTTTTTTATATATATGTTTGTTATATATATATAAGTTTGTTATATATATATATATATTTGGCATGTAAGTTTTGGGCATTTTAGAATATATTTAAATTTCATTTACAGATCTCTCTCAAACTAAGTCCTGAAATTATATTTGTGGTAGACACAAAGATGTGCTGCCCAGACCCCCATTTCAAGAAAGGATTTGCTGCCCAGTGTTGGGGTGTGCAAACAGCAGATGGTCTCCAGCTGTCAGCTTCTTCACCTTCTCTGTCTCAGCCACAGAGAGCCAACTTGTATAAGGTCATATTCCTCCAGGGACCAGTAACTGAGAGAGGCAGGGGTGTAAAGGCCAAACCATTTCAGTCAGATGTGGGGCATAACCCCACTGGATTGCCTGAGGCTTTGTCCACTTTTCCCTCTGCCCAGTTCTCTCTTCCCACCCCCCTTTTTAAATAGCTGTTGACAGGATTGCCTCTAGAAATTAGGTAGCCCAAGCAAATATTTTTTGTTAGGTTCCTGTCTACATGAACAATTTTACTTAAAATATATTGTCTCATGTGAAATACCTTGATTTGTCAATAAAGCTTTCGAATAATGGAGAGTGAAAAGTGTTTACATCTGTGTTTATTATCCAATCAACAAACTTAAAGATTCCTTATAGTGGCCAGGCCCCCATCTCCTCCTATTCAGGACCTGGAACAATTTCTTTGTTCTTTTCTGTCAAATATGCCATTCCTGGCTAATTTCTTACAGCCAGCCACAGGAAAAAGATAGCAATGCTATAGATCTTTAGAACCTCTTTATATTGAACAATATAGATGTTCTTGGCTCTGCAGTTCCCTAATTCCATTTATTTGATGCTCACACTATTGCTTATAAGGCTGCATCATCCATCATGAATATTGGTTTCCAATGATACTCCCAAAAGATATTGCTATGCTTCATTGATGTTGACCACAAATGCAAGTCTTCCCAGGGCACGCAGAAAAGCATAAACAATAATTTACTTTGTAGTCATGCTAACTTTACCATTTGTAATGGTAACACATAAATTTTAAACAACACATTACAGCATGGGAGTACTATAAATGTAAAATGACACATTTCCAAACATGACTATTGTGAACTCTTCAGACCACAATGAGTACATTTCTAAAATAAGAGTTTTTTTGATATTGACATTGGCCTTCTGCAGACCAACACCAGCAGGGAGATTAGGTTAGGAACACATCAGTAGTTCCATTCATGCAAGAATATCTGTCCTGCATCAGGCATGGCTTAACACTGACCTAGAAGTGCACGACATACAAACATGGATTGGACACAAGAAAAAACATGAACCAGAGGGTCCACTGGCATTGTGGAGCAAGAGAATAAAAAGCAAAAGCTCTCAGGGGAGATAGGCTCTAACATCCTGGAAGTCTTCCTGAAATATGCTGACAAGCCTGAAGAGAAGGTGTGGTGATTGTCCTTGGGTGCTACAGACTAGAATCAGCACTGCAAGTCAGAATGAAAACAGGTGAGAACCTAGGCAAAAATTGGCAAGAGCCCACACCTGGATCTTTGAATTGTCATATGTCCAATGTGAATGAGAAGTCACCCCAAATCAGCATGGTTCCAGTAGCTCAATCTTCCATGATCGTGTAAAAGAATTATCATACCAGTAAGCAGAAAACATCCACCAACCAGGCCACCTTCCTGGAACCAGAACCCAGACATTAAAGTCCTGAAAAGATGCCATCAACACAAGTTCATGAGCTCCACAGGGCATTGGGTTGAATCCACACACACATAAGAGGATCAGAGAGGACTCCAAAAATGATAAATTGAGATACGGTAACCTGCCAATCAAAGCATCTGGCAGATGGCACTCCCAGCCCCAGACATCCCCTGGCACCAAAGAAAGACCCAAAAATGTCAAGGAAGTCACTCCAAATGGTAGGACCTCTGAGGATCAAGAGCAGGATTTGTCCAAGTCTAAGGGCAGTACTGACTGTTGATCTTTAATAGATATACCTGAATCTCCAACTGAGTGACTGATCCCAAGAATTATGTGACAATAATTCACTTAGGTAATTACATGAAATAATTACAAGTTACTTAAGTGAACAATAAAAGCAAAACTTGTGGAATGCTTTGTATTTTTTGGAAAGATTTTGTTTCCAAGTTTATGAACAGAGCAATTAGAACACAGTAGTAGTCTCCTAGGGCTGTTGTAACAGAGTAATACAAGTTGGATGGATTAAAACACCAGAGATTTATCTTGTCTTTTTTGAGATGGAGTCTTGCTCTGTCACTCAGGCTGGAGTGCAGTGGTGTGATCTCGGCTCACTGCAAGCTCCGCCTCCCAGGTTCACACCATTCTCCTGCCTCAGCCTCCAGAGTAGCTGGGACTACAGGTGCCCACCACCACGCCCAGCGAATTTTTTTTTTTTTTGTATTTTTAGTAGAGACGGGGTTTCACCGTGTTAGCCAGGATGGTCTCAATCTCCTGACCTCGTGATCTTCCCGCCTCAGCCTCCCAAAGTGCTGGGATTACAGGCGTGAGCCACCACGCTTGGCCAAGATTTATCTTTTACAGTTCTGGAGGCCATAAGTCTGAAATCAAGGTACGAGCACAGCATATTCCTTCTGGAGGCTGTGAAAGAGAAACCATCCCATGACTTTCTCCTAACTTCTGGTGGTTGCCAATAGTCCTGGTCATTCCTTGGCTTGTGGTAGCATAACTCCAATCTCTGCCTCTGTCATCACTTAGCATTCTCTCTCTCTCTCTCTCTCTCTTGCTCTTGCTCTCTCTCTCTCCTCTCTATTTCTCTCTCTCTCTCGTGTGTGTGTGTGTGCACGCACATGCATATGTGTATGTGTTTGTGCGTATGTTTGTGTCTCTTCTTTTCTAATAAGGACATCAGTCATACTGCATTAGGGCTCATGCTAATCCAAAATGTCCTCAACTTGTTTACACCTACAAAAATGTTATTTCCAAATGTAATCACATTCACAGGTACAGGGGATTAGAACTTCAACATATTGTTTTGGGAGACACAATTCAACTCAAAACAAAGAGTATACTATGAAAACATGTGTGCTTTCATTTTTTTTTTGTATGATTGCTACAGAAGAATTACATACAAAGGCACTATATATTGCTGAAGAGAGTTTGTTTCTAGGAGTAAATGTTAACATTCTTAGGCATAATTTTAATCAAAGGCATATTAGTTCATTTTCATGCTACTGATAAAGACATACCTGAGACTGGCAATTTACAAAAGACAGAGCTTTAATTTGACTTACAGTTCCATATGGCTGGGGAAGACTCACAATCATGGCAGAAGGCAAGAAGAAGCAAGTCACATCTTATGTGGATGGCGGCAGGCAAAGAGCTTTTGCAGGAAAACTCCTCCTTATAAAACCATTAGATCTCATGAGACTTATTCATTATCATGAGAACAGCAAAGGAAAGACCTGCCCCCATGATTCAATTATCTCCCACTGCATCCCTCCCACAACACATAGGAATTATGGGAGTACAATTCAAGATGAGATTTGGGTGGGGACACCAAGCCAAATCATATCAACAGGTGAAGGATAAAATGTTAAAGCTAACTTTTTTAAAAGTAAGGGTATGAATCAGTAGAAAATTTTAAGGTTTCTATTCAGCATTTCAGAAATGATTTTTTGGTTTTATAGCTACCTTTTTTTAGATACAGAGGGCACAAGTACAAGTTTGTTACTTGGGTATATTGCACTCGGGTAGTGAGCATAGTATGCAATAGGCAGTTTTTTGACCTAACCCCCCACCGGTAGTCCACAGTGTCTGTTATTCCCAAGTTTACGTCTATGTGTGCTCAATGTTTAGTTCTCATTTATAAGTAAGAACATGTGCTATTTGCTTTTAAATTCCTGCATTAATTTGCTTAGGATTATAGCCTCCAGCTCCAACCATGTTGCCACAAAGGACATGATTTCGTTCTTTTTATGGCTGCATAGTATTCCACAGTGTATATGTATAATATTTGCTTTATCCAGTCCACCATGGATAGCCACCTATGTCTATTCTATGTCTTTGCTATTGTGAATAGTGCAGCAATTAACATGCAAATGCATGTGTCTTTTTGGTTTTCCTTTGAGTATATACCTAGTAACAGGATTGTTGGGTTAAATGATAGCTCGTTTTAAGTTCTTTCAGAAATCTCCAAACTGTTTTCCACAGTGGCTGAACTAATTTACATTCCCACCACCACTGTACATGCTCCCTTTTCTCCATAGCCTCACCAGCATCTGTTGTTTTTTGACTTTTTAATAATAGCCAATCAGGCCAGCCATGGTAGCTCATGCCTGTAATCCCAGCACTTCAGGAGGTTGAGGTGGGAGGAATGCTTTAGCCCAGAAGTTCAGGGCCAGATTAGGCAACAAAGCAAAACCTTGTCTCTACAGGAAAAAAAAACCTGCCTCAGCATGTAGTCCCAGCTTCCTGTAGGAGGCTGAGGCAAGAGGATCCCTTGAGCCCAGGACTTTGCGGTTGCAGTAAGCGATGATCATGCTACCTGCACTCCAGCATGGGTAACAGAGTGAGAACATGCCTCAAATAATAATAGCCATTCTGCCTGGTGTACGATGGTTTTGCATCATGGTTTTGATCTGCAATTCTCTGATGATGGCAGATGATGAGCATGTTTTCATATGTCTGTTGGCCACTTGTATGTGTTGTTTTGAAAAGTGTCTATTCAGGTCCTTTGCCCATTTATCAGTGGGGTTATTTGTTTTTTGCTTGTTAAGTTTCTTACAGATTCTAGATACTAGGCCTTTGCCAGATGCATAGTTTGTGAATATTTGCTCCCATTCTGTAGGGTGTCTATCTAGTTTATTGATAATTTCTTTTGTTGTACAGAAACTCTTCTATTTAATTAGGTCCTACTTGTCAATTTTTGTTTTTGTTGAAGTTCCTTTTGGTGCCTTAGTCCAAAAATCTTTGCCAAGGCCCATCTCAAGAAGGGAACTTCCTAGGGTTTTCTTCTAGAATTTTCATAGTTTTAGGTCTTACATTTAAATCTTTAATCCATCTTGAGTTAATTTTTGTATATGGTAAAAGGTAAGGGTCCAGTTTCATTATTCTCCATATAACGGGCCGATTGTCCCAGCACTATTTATTGAACAGGGAGCCCTTTCTCCATTTGTTTTTGTCATCCTTGCCAAAGATCAGATGTGTGTGGCTTTATTTCTGAGTTTTCTATTCTATTCTGTTCCACTGGTCTATGTGTCTGTTTTTATACAAGTGCAATGATGTTTTGGTTCCTGTAGCCTTATAATATAGTTTGAAATTGGGTAGTATGAAGTGTTCAGCTTTGCTCCTTTTGCTCAGGATTGCTTTGAATATTCAGGCTCTTCTTTGGTTCCATATGAATTTTAGGATAGCTTTTTCTACTTCTGTGAAAAATGACATTGGTAGTTTGATAAGAGTAGTGCTGAATCTGTAAATTGCTTTGGGCAGTATGGTCATTTTAACAATGCTGATTCTTCCAAGCCATGAACATGGAATGATTTTCTCTTTATTTGTGTCATCTCTAATTTATTTCAGCAGTGTTTTGCAATTCTCCTGGTAGAGATCTTTCACCTCTTTGGTTAGCTGTATTCCTAAGTATTTTGTTTTCTTTGCCGCTGTTGTAAATGTTATCATGCTCTTGATTTGACTCTCAGCGTGGGCATTACTGGTATATAGAAATACTACCAATTTTTGTATGATTTTGGGTCCTGAAATCTTCCTAAAATTACTTATCAGTTTTATCAGCCATTTAGAAGAGACTCTAGAATTTTCTAGATATAGAATCATATCATCAGTGAAGAGACAGTTTGACTTATTTTCCTATTTCAATGCCTTTCATTTTTTTTCTCTTACTTGATTGCATTGGCTAGGACTTCCTCAGAAATGTTTTAATGCAAACGGTGATGGTAGATCACAGTGAATTAAATAAATTCATTAATATGAAAATCAATTATCATCTTGAAACTTTTTTCTATTTTTTCCATTTAATGAAAAACAACATAATTATTTTTCCAAAAAAGTATTTCTCATCAAATATACACATTTCTCAATGCTATACTCAAAGGCTACCTATGATAGGGAGATTTTTTGACATTCATTTCCACATCACAGTTTGCTTTAGGAGGCCCCCTTATGTGGTTATTGCATTATTTTTCTAAGTATGCCATACAGTTAGATTTTGAGTTCTTTGAGGACAGAGACTGTCTTTACTTCTGGAATTCTACCACCTAAAATAGTGCCTGGCACATATCAATAGCTAAATAGATATTCTGGAATGAAGGAGAAAATAAAAATAAGAAAAGACTTAGGGGTATATAGCGCAACCTTTAACCTTTCTCTGGAGTCAGACCTTCCAGAGGAAGTAAGAAATGTAGATTATTCTCTTTAAAAATAAAGAAGCACTAAGATAAGTTCATTTTTTTAAGAAAAAGATAAAATGTTACAAAAGAACTTGGGCTTCATTTTGTTATCAGATGTTAGTAACGTATGGGCACTTATTGAAGGGAAGAAATGATTGGACCTCAGTGGTGAATTGATTATTTTTATTATGCCATTACTTAAATACACACAAAGAAGTAAGTATAAATTTCCACAGCTGATGTGAATTCTAGAGTGTAATTTCAAGAATGCAAGAAATGTAGGTTCTTAATCTTTCTCTGCATTAGCTGAATTTTTCCTTTGAGCATAATTTCTTAGGGTTTCCCATTTTATGCCAACACTGGGGGTAACACCATAAAAGCCTAAATATCATCCGGCTTTATAGGCATCACTTAAATAATTTATCAATATATCACACAAGTCTCAGTGGAAACTTCTGGTTCCCTCCTCTCCCTATGGCCTATTTTGTTTCAATAGCTCTCTTTCTGCCACTTCATTTTCATTCTTGGGAGTACAGGAATCATTGAGCAATTCCTACTTCACACCGGAGGGCTGAAACTCTGTGATGGTATCTGTCTAGACACACAATGCAACAATTTCTTTTCTGGGGTCTTGTCAGGAAATGAAGAACAGATCTCTTGCATTCCTGGCTCCCATAAAATTATCTGAAGGTAAAGGGAAAAGGGGTGGATGAGTCTTAACTCATTATATTTGTTCTGATGTGCTGTAGCTATGCAGTGAGCCTTTTCTGCTCCTAAGCACTTTAAAGCGCCAAGGTAAGAAAGATATTTTTAAACTCCCCCATCTCCTTTTTCTGTCATATTTTTCCCCCAGGCATAAGTATAGAACCAAACTGTTTCAAATGGGATAAAGGAAATGGAAAAAAAGGAATTACATCATTTTAAAAAGCAGATAATATTTCAAAAACATTTTTTACTCACATACTTTATGCTCGCATCAGGGACACAGCAGGTGTACAAATATGGCTTAGGAAATACTCCAGTTGAGAGCAACAGGGCAATAGACTAGCTAGGGAGGTAGAGGATGAAGTATAGAGGACTTTGGTTTTTATCCTTAGGTAAAAGGAAGTCATCAATGTGACTTCCTCGCATCTAACAATGTGAGGCTGTTAAATAATGGGCTTTCTTGTTTTGAAAGAATTGAGTGACTTTGGAGGATAAAGTGCAGTTTGAAGATATCAGTAGGGGCTACTGAGTCCAAGAAAGACCTAATTTAAGTAACCTTTAAATTGATTCAGATAGAATGGGTTTATATATATATATACATACGTACTACTTATCTAATAGTTTGAATATTTATTTAGTTTATTTCAGAATTACATACAAGTTAGCTATTTTGCAGAAAATAAGACGCATAACACCTGACATGTTATTTTGAATAAAAATATAAATCTACCTCTAGGTGATAAAATTTGAATATGGTTATCAAGAGAGTTTAAAAACCCTTGATGCTTATAAGTGAACAATTATAATTCATCACATTAAGACAACTTTAGAAGAGCATCTGTGATTAATCTAGAAAAATGTGTAGGTTACTTATTATCAAAATGATTACATCCATCATAGTAAAATAACTTAATAGGATTCCATTTTAGGAATGCATAATAATTAATTATCTAGGTTATTAGAGCAATTAGCATAGATTTGTATCTTCACTAGCAAATAATTTCAGTGTTAAAATTATAATTTACTTTAGATTTCTGAGAATTTTAAAAGTTAAAAATATACTCATAGGTGGGAATTGAACAATGAGATCACATGGACACAGGAAGGGGAATATCACACTCTGGGGACTGTGGTGGGGTGGGGGGAGGGGGGAGGGATAGCACTGGGAGATATACCTAATGCTAGATGACGAGTTAGTGGGTGCAGCGCACCAGCATGGCACATGTATACATATGTAACTAACCTGCACAATGTGCACATGTACCCTAAAACTTAAAGTATAATAAAAAAAAATATGCCGACAAAATTATAAATTTCTAATAGTAATTTTTAATGAAGCAAATTATATTTTTAAATGATGTAAACTCTAATTATGATAATATTCTTATATTATCTTCAAAGTTGAGGGCTCACTGTATTTAGCCTAAACTTTCATCAAGAATGCAACATTTATTTAGGAAGTAAAGTCAACTGCATGGAGCACAGCATTATGAATAAATACCAAGGGCCCATTTCCTCAGCTTTCATGCACTTCTCCATAAACCATAATGTGAGAAATAATCTCATGACTTCTTTGGGACTATTTATACGGAGCTTCCAAGGACCATCTAATTTCTAAAATTAGCATCATTATAATCCTGTTTGGGCACTCCATCTTTTCAAAACTCTCTACTCTCTTTGTTCTGTGATACCATTCTGTCTTGATTCTTTGTCATACTCACGATAGATTAACTGTCTGGTATCTATTTACCGCTCCTTCCTCTCCTTACAAAATCCTAATTTTGTCTGGTTGCTCAATCCTCCTCCATACTTTCTGACCAAAGCTATAAGAAAAGATTTGCAATCTATGATTGAGAGAGAAGTTTTCTTCCTCTCTCCCACTGGATATAACATTTGCTGCTGCAAATGGCCTGTTAGTAATTACACAGGAAGCAGCCAACTCATAAATATGAAGGGGACCAGCTTAAGTATAAAATTATACAGCAAGCAGCCACCTCATAAATATGAAGGGGACCAGCTTAAGTATAAAGCAGAAAGACGATGTGACAGAGATTCCGCTATGTGCTTTAACTTTAGCACACATTGTCCAGTCTTCCTTGCATCTAGCTCTGAAAATGTATAACACTCCCAGGGCTGGCCATAAAACTCCCATCCCATTCTGTTTTCACCCTTCTCAAAATCTTGAAGGTCATGTGTCGAAGACACCAGTATTACAAAATTAGAAAGATCCTAAATCCCTGAGATTCCATGGGTCACCACTTGCAAAAAAAAAAGATGCTCAGAAAAGCTATCGAAATAGGAACATCTCCATTGCCCAGGTTTGAATGAGAAATAAACTTATTTTATAACTGTGTGAACCCCAAATTGCCTGAGAACATGCATAGAAATGGAATATTGGAAGCACAGATACAGAAGAGACTTCAAAAATTGTAGGTCCCCATCCTCAAAGTGGTGCATTCATTGAAGGTAGAATATGGTTCAGCCACAGTGTATGACCACGTTAGGTTTGGAATGAGCCTTTGAAAATATAGGGCATAGAGAAGCATAGAAGATATAAATGCTAAGTTCTTTACAAAACAGCAAGTCAAGGATAAAAAGACAAGCAATTAGGTGATAAAACAAGAAACAGACAAAACAAAACATACATACACACGTGACAGTGGAAAAGAGGATCATAGAACAGACAGCATGACATCAGGTATAGCTTTAAAAGGAGTTAGCTGAATGCATTACAACCAGACTCCATTAATGAATCTCCACAGGTTCCAGAAGCACTCTGAGGGCCCTAAAGAACTACCCTGCTGACAAAATTAATATGTATGGAAGATAAGAAAGCTGAGGATATCAGGAATTACCAGCAGCAGTTTGGGGCTATTTCCAGTCTTGGTGGGAGTGCCATAATGACTAGGTTTGATTGTTGGCAGTCTCTTTCAAGTCAATGAGGATTCAAAACTTCCAGTTCCCAATAAACGCAGGAAATGCCTGGAGATAGTACTTTATAATCTGTTCAGCAGAAAGTAATGATATGTGATGGGGGATACTTATTTTGGAAAATCCTGGCAGTGTTTGGTGAAACTGCTAGGGGCCAGATGGAGTCAATCTGACCTGCACAGTGCTGGGCTCTTAATCTCTTGGTTTAGCAGCCACACCCTTCTCTTGTACAAAGGTCCAGTGACAGCTCCAGTCTCCTAGCCGAATTTTTAGGGCTATAAATTAAAGTGCCAGTTCACACAAAGTTTATGCTATGTGATGTGAATCAATAGTTCTCAATCTTTCATCATTTTTTCCAGTAATTATATAGGAAGCAGTTCCCTCACATGGTCTTTAGTAATTAATACAGGAAGCACTTCCCTTACATGGCCTGATAGGTTTAGGGCTCTGTAGCTTGAGTGCAAAAAATAATTTTTTCTTGCAATACGATATGACAACTGATGTATACCTTGTTTCAAGTCCATTTTGTCTGTCTCTCTAACTTTATCATACTACAGAAAAATCAGTAAATGTATACTCCACCTTGTTCAAAAGTCTAGTTTGTTTATCTTCTTTCCCCTTTATATGCTTCTTTCCCTCATCATTGAATTTTAACTGAATTCTACCTCTTATTGCCTTTTCAGTGCCACTGAAAATTTGTTTCACCATTGCAATAACATACTGTAAGTATGACTGTTATTCATTGATAACCATGACTGTTGTGATTTTAGCTAATTAAGCTAAAATATAATCTGTGCTTCTCTATAAAAGGGGTGTAATATATTTTATTTTATTTTTCTCCAGAGGAGAAAAATTAGACATCTATAATGTTTTTCTGGACTTCATAAAGAAAACAAAGCTCAAAACTAAAGTATTGTGAGTGCAAATGTTTTACTAAAAAATGAGATTTTGAAAAAAAATATGCTTTTGTATTTTATTTTTAGTAGATTGGCCACCCTGTTTTATATAGCTCTATAATATGACTTTACATCTATCAAGGGTGAAAACAGAATGAATATGAGACACTTAAAGGAAATAAAATACTGTAATTTTGAAAGGCAAGAAATCTCACTAGAATAAGTTTGATAGTAGAACATTTTTAATTTAAAATACAATGCTAAAAGCTATTGTTATATGAAGATAAGAAATACCAGAGAAAAACAAAGCATGATACACATACAAAGCACAAAGGCCCTTTCTAGGTGGCAACTATTCTTTTTGATGTGCTTGAGGGTGAAATAAGATTTTTTTAAAAAAAGGAAATAATAATTATGCTATAGAAAAATCTAACATTTATTTTCTTAAATTGAATTTTGCCTTTAGAACCAATTTATTTAAAATTACCCCTAACAAAAATGCAGAATTATAGTTCAAGAAGACACTAAGTGATTTATTTAACTATACATTTTTTCCAAATCTCGAAACGATGGTATTTTATTTTAAACTAGCCTTCAAATCATGTTAGTTTTTTCACTGATATTTTAAAAGTGATGGGATTTGAGAATCATCCTAGCTCAAAGAATCTAGTTACTTACTGGTGCTCTCTTTGCTTAGTTGTCATAAAAAGCTAATAACGTCATATAAAAATATTCTGCCAAGTCAGTCTGAATGTCAGTCAATGTGTAAAATCTGAATACCAACAGGATAGCGTTGTATGAAAGAGATAATTATTAAAAATAAGTCAAGAACTTTATATTAATATTTTACTTACATATTCATATACCCAAATGCCATTTAGCATTTTTAATATTTTAATATTCAAAATAACTTTTCCAAAGGGCTTTCAAAATTAAAATGCTATTATTATCATAACTGAGATGCTTTTATAAACCAGAATTACTTATATGGCAGTTTAAACATCACAAAATGAAAAAGCAAGTGTTTTAAACTTTGGTTTCAATAAGATGAACTATAAATTGGTTCCAGGATTGGAAATATATTTAGAAATACAAGTAACATATTAATTATAACTAGGTAAACATAGGTATATTCCATTAAGTATTTACTATATGACACATGTTTCTCACTTAATCCACTCACAGTTCAGTAAAGTTGATGTTTCATGGTCAAGTACACTTGTCAGATTAAAAAATTATGCCTGTACTAAGTCCAGTTATCAATACAAAGGTTGCACAGTCAACAAGTGATAGTGTAGGCAGTGTAACGCGAAAACCCACATTGCTGGTCCCTGAGCTTTAACAAATATCCAAGTTAAAGTTGTTTCCAGTTACATATATCCGAGTCAAATATATTCCATATTACGTTGAAATTTAATATGAATTTATATCTTGCAAGGACATTAAAGATTCACAATTGAAAGTTCATTGAATGCCTCACCAATGGTGACAGCATGTTATACTAATGTACATGACTATCATCTGTAAAAAAATAAAATAATAAAAAAAATGTTAAATAGTTAAAGAATGTGATTAGTTATCTCACTAAATTTATTAAATGTATCCCAATCTATCCAAGTACTTATATTAAAATCATACCAAACTGCAGCTATGTCCTTTTGCTATGGTTGAGGACTAAAACCCATAAACTACACTAGAAACTTTGTCCTATTATGGATGGACCCAATATCTCCAGGAAGGGTTTGAAGTGATATGAAAATAACTAGGATTTCAGATTTCAAAAAGTGCTATATGAGGGATGTCTAAATTTTCCAGGGCCTAGTAAAAATCATTTATCCAGGATAAATCTCAAGGAATTTATCCATTTCTTCTAGATTTTCTAGTTTATTTGTGTAGAGGTGTTTATGGTATTCTCTGATGGTAGTTTGTATTTCTGTAGGATCGGTGGTGATATCCCCTTTATCATTTTGTATTGCGTCTATTTGATTCTTCTCTCTTTTCTTCTTTATTAGTCTTGCTAGCAGTCTATCAATTTTGTTGATCCTTTCAAAAAACCAGCTGCTGGATTCATTAATTTTTGAAGGGTTTTTTGTGTCTCAATTTCCTTCAGTTCTGCTCTGATTTTAGTTATTTCTTGCCTTCTGCTAGTTTTTGAATGTGTTCGCTCTTGCTTTTCTAGTTCTTTTAATTGTGATGTTAGGGTGTCAATTTTAGATCTTTCATGCTTTCTCTTGTGGGCATTTAGTGCTATAAATTTCCCTCTACACACTGCTTTGAATGTGTCCCAGAGATTCTGGTATGTTGTGTCTTTGTTCTCGTTGGTTTCAAAGAACATCTTTATTCCAACGGCATACCAGGAGATTATATCCCGTACATTTTGGTATTTATCTTTCTAGTCTATCAATAGATGAGTAAATAGAGGTTAGATGGACAGATGGATGAAAGTGTAGAAGGGTGAATGGATGGGTAGATAAATAAAACTGCTTATTTCTTTTCCTTCCTTGTTTTTGACCTTAATTCTCTCTAATAATGCAAGAAGATTTCAGGCAAAGGTTTAATAAGACATAGTGAATCTCTCAGAGACATTTATGAAACATGCTTATGAGGTCATCAATTACTTTGGTCTACTCTATCTGGAAATAGAAAATATAGAAAATATTGTATAGAAATCCCAGCACTTTTGGAGGCCGAGGCGGGTGGATCACGAGATCAGGAATTCAAGACCAGCCTGACCAAGATGGTGAAACCCCGTCTCTTCTAAAAATATAAAAAATTAGCTGGGTGTGGTGGCAGGTGCCTTTAATCCCAGCTACTCGGGAGGCTGAGGCAGAAGAATCACTTGAACTTGGAAGGCGGAGACTGCAGTGAGCCGAGATTGCATCACTGCACTCCAGCCTGGGTGAAAGAGTGAGACTCCATCTCAAAAAAAAAAGAAAAGAAAAGAAAAGAAAATATTGTATAGAAAATAACAACACAGTCAGTAAAAGGAGTTAAAGGCTGTGGGACTTTTTTTTTTTTAATTATACTTTAAGTTTTAGGGTACATGTGCACAATGTGCAGGTTAGTTACATATGTATACATGTGCCATGTTGGTGCGCTGCACCCAGTAACTCGTCATTTAACATTAGGTATATCTCCAAATGCTATCCCTCCCCACTCCCCCAACCCCACAACAGGCCCCGGTATGTGATGTTCCCCTTCCTGTGTCCATGTGTTCTCATTGTTCAATTCCCACCTATGAGTGAGAACACGTGGTGTTCGGTTTTTTGTCCTTGCGACAGTTTGCTGTGAATGATGGTTTCCAGCTTCATCCATGTCCCTACAAAGGACATGAACTCATCATTTTTTTTTTTCTTTTGAGACGGAGTCTCACTCTGTCGCCCAGGCCGGACTGCAGACTGCAGTGGCGCAATCTCGGCTCACTGCAAGCTCCGCTTCCCGGGTTCACGCCATTCTCCTGCCTCAGCCTCCCCAGTAGCTGGGACTACAGGCGCCCGCCACCGCGCCCGGCTAATTTTTTGTATTTTTAGTAGAGACGGGGTTTCACCTTGTTAGTCAGGATGGTCTCGATCTCCTGACCTCATGATCCACCCGCCTCGGCCTCCCAAAGTGCTGGGATTACAGGCGTGAGCCACCGCGCCCAGCCGAACTCATCATTTTTTATGGCTGCATGGTATTCCATGGTGTATATGTGCCACATTTTCTTAATCCAGTCTATCATTGTTGGACATTTGGCTTGGATCCAAGTCTTTGCTATTGTGAATAGTGCTGCAATAAACATACGTGTGCATGTGTATTTATAGCAGCATGATTTATAATCCTTTGGGTATATACCCAGTGATGGGATGGCTGGGTCAAATGGTATTTCTAGTTCTAGATCCCTGAGGAATCACCACAGCAAAGCATACAATGTGATGGCTATTGTTTCAATTTAGTGAGCTTAAAGTATCAATCATTTATTTTACCTGAAGCTCTTGCCCCAGTCAAATGAGTAATCTACTTCTCTACATAAAACTGCTGTCTCTTACCATACACTATTGATTAATGATTGTTTACTTAGAGGAAAATGAAGGGATAATAGAGAGTGATCAGAGCTGAAGCAGACCCGCCTTCTAGAATCACACAGGTGAGCACCTAAGAAGACAGAAAAGAGATGGCAGCAGAGATTCAGTGGGGAGATCGAATCATCCTGTCAACAAATTAGCCCCATCTCAAGTCAAACAGCACCAGAAATCAAAGGTGAGTTTCAATAGGTATAAGTAACACTTAGAGGTCCAGGTGAGTAGGTAAAGAATGTCTTAAAGATATATTCATAGTTGATAAGGCCCTGTCTCAGGTCACTACATTGCTGAAAAGGAGGGCTGCCTATTCTAAATAGGCAAAATGAAAGACTATCATCTACTGAGGACATACCATGCTCCAGAAATCGTATCACCTACTATTATGTAGGTCATTTAATCTAATACTTAAACTATCATGAGATGTGTTTTCTTTTGTTTGGTCTGTCCAGGACATAGAACAACGTTCTGAGTATATTTGATGAATATTGCCAAATAAAAGGCTGAATGCCTGATATCAGTGGTAATTTTATTTGTACTATGCAATACTAAATAGTACAAGAACAGGGTCTTTAAAACAACGGTGCCAAAACTCAGAGACACCAGTGATGGAAACTTGAGCAGTACAATGTATAATTATTTAGCATCATTCCCTTTCTTTCTGGTAATAATACCCAGGCATTTTTTAAAGGAATCTTCCCCCAACCCTCTCCTTTCATTATCAGTTCAAACTTATCCCCACCTTTAGGGTAAGTTTTGATAGCTTTCTTGATACAGTGGTCATTCTCCCTGGTAACAGTTTTCAACTCTGGGGTAGCACTTAATTTGATTAGTCAATGCAACACAGGGAGGCATTTGCCTAAGCTTGCAGGAAAGAGAACTTACATTTTGTTTCTTTGAAAGATAATGGAAAGAGAGTCTCTTTTCCTAGAGAGCATTGTGAAAGCATATGATGTCTAAAATTGCTTCAGCCATTTTGCTACCATGAAAGAAGAACTGAGGATAATGCTGATACAAAAGACAGAAAACAGTTAAGATCAGGTATTTGGTAATATCTTTAAGGCAGCAAATCAAGCTTAACCTGCAGCTATTCCTACTTCTGATCTTTTTAATTAATTAATCCAATAATTTCATTTCATCTTTAAATCAAATTTTGTTGCATTTTCAGTCACTCGCAACATAAGGCATCCCAATTTATATTGGTAGCAGATGGGATGGCAGCATGGTTCAGGTGATAAATAGTCTTCAAAATGGCCGTCAGGAAATCATTTAATAAACCTCAGTCCACGAGGAGCTGAGATGAGGGTTCGAGATAAGATGAGGAAGGATTTCTAATCACCATGAGTTAAAGTGGTCCATAAATGAAAAAGGTGTAGAAGGAAATTAGGCAGACAGAAATTCTTTTTACTTTAATGTAAAAAAAATATAACTTGACACACTTGGGATAAAATTTATTAAGTGAAAGCATTTATACCTATCACATTATATCCTGGCATTATGAAATTTATAATGTATATACATTTTTACAATGATTAATGGAATATTCCTGTTTACCCTCACATATACTCTAGTAGAAGAAAATAAATTCACTACAAGTCAATAGCTAAAATAATTAACATGTTTCTATATAATACATAGAAATAAAAATATTATTGCATCAAGAACTATCTTCTCATCTATTGTCCTTATTTCCTTAAATTAAGCACTTAAATAGATTTAGTTTAATAGACTTAGTTTAATTCTAGAAGGTAACTTAGATAGACGTAGTTTAATTCTAGAAGGTAACTTAACCCCAGAAATATATTGTATCCATAAATATCTAATACAAATAGGAAAAGTACAAAAATCTCATAAATTACAAAGAAATCCAAATGAAGCAGACAAGTACATAAAGAGCTATATTAAAATATAATCAGAGCTGTTATTTATAAAAATGATGATATATTATTATATATGATTTATTAATATTAATCAGATATATAAACAAGGATGGAATGGCTAACACAGAAGGATAGTCACAAGGTCTTAACTGCATAAAGCAAGTTTCAGAATAGTCTTTATATGATCCTGACTGGGTGTGGAGGGATGGGGCTTGTAGGGATTTCTAAAAGGATAATGGTTATCCAAATTGTTAATAGGGTTTATCTGTTTTGGTATTTGAAAAGTGAAGTAAAGGGGAGCATGCATTACTCTATTAAAAAAAGAATAAACTCATTTTCATTTTAAAAGAAAAACACCCAATTAAACATCATTATCTCTAAATACAAAGCTGCCACAAGTTGTACGTAATTATGTATTATTTAGCAATTTTACCTGCAGTTAAAAGTTGTCATTATCATCAACTGCTTCATCCTAACCAAATAAATACTAACTTATGTTTTAAAATATTAACTCATCAATATTTTCAATACCAATATTATAACAACACAACCTTTCAAAATAGAATACCAAAAAACATACATTTGTATGGTAGAGTAAATCTTGCAGAGTGATGCTACCAGAATATAGTAGAATTTTACTCATTATCTCCAAATAATTTAAAAAAGAAAAACAAAACCAAAAAAGGTAAAAAAAAATTGTGTCCACATATAAATTTCATTTCAACTGCAGCTAGTAGTTTTGACATTGTACATTTGAAATTGATACCCCCTATCCATTTCTATAATACTCTTTAAATCTCCATTATATATAATATGTGCAGTCCAGGTGAAATTAAAGGTCACAGTTGTCAAGTAGAAAGGTCTACTTATATTTATACAAAACAGTTGCTGTTATAAATGATAATAAATACCAAAATGTCACTGATACAAATGATATTTTGAATGAATGCCAGTACTTAAATGCTCTTCCTCGAACCAAAATAAGTGTTTATCTATGCTGTGGAGCAAGTCTGAGGGGGAAAGACTGTGAGACACAGAGCACATTGCCTTGGAAAATTCCGAAGGGCATGAATTTTTTGCCAATCTGGGCAAGTCTGTGGCACACTGACAGGCAGGGCCTAAGATCAGGTGAAAGTAAATGGGCTCCTATAAATGTATGCATTTTGCACATCTCCACAGGGACATTTAGCCAGAATTCAACCTCACTTGATTATAGCTTGGAGCTTTTATAAACTTCCCCTTTTTTCCCCATTTTCCACCATATTTTCTTTCTTACATCTTCATAGAACATACAGTTTTATAGCCTAGCAGCTTGCCATTATTTTATGGTTTCCAATTGCTTTAATTCTTGCTAGTTGTTTTAAATTGCCCCCTTTTCAAACTTCAAGTGGATCCTTACTTCTTTTATCTTTAGTCTCCCTATTTCCAACAAGCCTTCTTTATCTTCTAATATATTTTTGTTTACTAGGCATATAAAGAAATCCCTAGTTGTCTTTATTTTTAAACTAAAAATAATTTTTTTGCCCTCAAGTTCAACTTTTTTATTTGCTGCCTTCTACTTTCAGGTTTTTAACCTCTCAATTTCTTTTATTTTAATACCTTTAATCTTTATTTCTTAAAGTGTGTCCCTGATTAAAATTTAAAGATGTTTTGTTTTATTACCATAACCAGGGACCCAGGTTTTAAATATCACCCTCTTTCTTTTTCTTCCTTCCCTCCACTTTCACTTCTTCATTCCTTCCCTCTCTACACACTGCCCTCTGGCAATGCATGCTAATCTAATTATGTTCTTGCTTAAGAAATTCCAAAATCTAATCTTGCTACAAACCAGGCATGGAGCCCCTGCATAGTCCTTCCGCTTAGCAAGAGTCACAAACAATCATTCCACCACTATTGGGGAGAGTGAAGATAATGCCAATCAGACTTCCAGACCAGCAATAACTCACAAGATAGCCACGAGAACAAGACACGCAGACCCTGCACCCTGCACCACTCCCACATGTCTGCCATACAAAGTTCCCCTTAAAAAATCCTATGGTAAACTGTAAAATTTAAGATGGTATTTTAGAGTACTAGTTCACTATGTTCTCAGTTTGCTGGCTTTCCAATTAAAACCTGCTTTTCCTCCCACTAACCCTCACCTTCTGTGTTTGGCTTTCAAGTGGTGAGGAGCTGAACCTGGGTCCGGTTACATTTCCACATTTTAATTTATTTAATTTTAAACTCTTAAACCTCTGTATTTTACCATTTCACTTTCATTTACCAATTTCCCTTTATTCCTTGTCACAAAATTGTTCTTGTTTAATGATTTATTTTTAAGGATAGTGCTAAGCTAAGGGAAAATTTCCTCCAAAGAAGAAAAGTTGGTAGCTTTGTCCCCCAGGTTTCCCTGTGTCATTCCTTATGAGCACAAGTGGGTCATTAGCCTTTTTATGAATACCTCTCCAAAAAGAAAAGGTTGATCTCACCTTAAAATATTGAAGTCACATTACAGGTTAAATCAGACCTGAAGGGCATGAGGGGTGGTGAGGAGCAATGGGGCTGTTGCTTCACTTCATCATCAAATGTTCTTCTAAAATGGTACCTTTTCAGTATTTTAAGGTAATATGCCAACATGACCTTTTATGGCAATGTCATAAAGATATCTAAAAGGAAGCACTGTGAAAACAAGATGGTGAGGCACATAAAGAAGGTAGGCAAAGAGCAAAACCCTACATCCCTCCTTTCTGAGGAAATCAACATTTCAATGTCTTCACCCATTGCTTAACTCATATATTCTCAATCAGAGCAAAGCTGCCCCAACAGAGGCAAAAAATTGATTCATGGGGGAGGTGAAACAATATTAGATATTAGAATGTTTTGTGGACTTCCAAAAGTCCAAGATACATAAACAGATACATAGTAATCGGTACTATTAAATTTTCATGATATATAGATGGGAATCAAGGGTAAATGTCTAAGGTTGAGAAACTGGCTAACTCATACTTATTAAGAAGAGTCTTTAAAACTCACCTATATTTGACCCTTCTGTTGTACATATGACTTGACTAGAAAATTCAGACTCACTGTTTTCTAGGAACTCATTCATTCATCAAGTCACTGTGTTTTAAGTGCCAACTATGTTGTCATAAGCTCTACTATGCTAGAATATGTAAAGAAGAGCCAGTTCTTTCCCAAAGAAGTTGATAGCCAGTAGGAGATTCAGATATTCAGATGGGAAAGTGGGCAACTGCTATATACTCCTCTGTAAAATGGATGAATAATAGTACCATATTAAAGAACTGTTCATAGGATTAAATGAGAAATTATGTGAAAAGCCTTTAACGTGATTGGTTCAACTTTTCAAAAAATGTTCATTGTGATCATCATTGTGGTAACATCATCCAAGATTTAAGCATAACTGTTTGCTGATCTCTTAATAGAAATTCATAAACTAATTCATAAATCACATTTTTATTTAGCCTATTATTTCAAAGTTTCTACTTTCATCTAAATGACTTTATAGTAGGGTGAACAAATAAAAAATAAAATATTTTTATTTATAAATGTGGTTCCTTGTATAAAAAGGAAATTTTGAGACAGGTGCAGTGGCTCATGCCTGTAATCCTAGCAATTTGGGAGGCTGAGGCAGAAGAATCGCTTGAGCCCAGGAATTTAAGATCAGCCTGGGAAACATGGCAAGACCCCATCTCTACAGAAAAAAAAAATTTTTTAAATAGCTGGTGCATGCCAGTGGTCTCAGCTACGGGGGAGGCTGAGACAGGAGGACTGCTTGATCCCTGGGGGTCCAGGCTGCACTGAGCCCTCTTCATGCCACTGCTCTCCAGCCTGAGTGACAGGATGAGATTCTGTCTCAAAAAAGAACAGCAACAACAACAAAGATACAACGTTTGAATTTTTTTTAAAGGTTTTACTTACTATGTCCTATTCCAGAATAAAAGCCACTATTTAAATTAAAAAATCACTTTGGAAATAGCTAAATAAAAATAAATGTATGTAATTCTTAAACCACTTTGGTTAATAGCCTAAGACATCATTTGATTGGGCTAATTCAGTATCTAAATCTGTTAATTAACAATTTTCAGGAATTTTTTGTTGGCTTGTTTTTTAAAAAGAAAAATAAGTAAATAGCAATATGACTAGCAGTAAAGATTAAAATCGATAAAATTACTTTTCTAGAACAACTAAGCTTTAGTATATAGTAAGTCCAATATCTATTTTTAATATCTACATAAACATCACAAATAAATGTACATTCTCTGCCAAGCACAAAAAGGAAAAGTATACTCTATTGTCATGTAATAAACAACTAGACTTAAATGTACTACAACATTTTGCACAAAAGGAGAAAAAGTCTCAAAATTATCACTAAGAAATTACGGTAGTTATTTCCCAATCATTCTGTTTAAATACACAGAGCAGGTCTTAAGACATACTAATTCAGCTTCCTCTGAAGAGAATTTCTGGCATTATCATGTCAGTTCCCTGATAGTGTTTTGCATAAGAAAATATTAGGAAGAAAAGCTAGAAAATTTGGACATAGACGTATATTTTTTTCACCAAGTGCTGTTATTTCAGTTTCCTTAAGCATAAATGTAAAACAAATGCAGGTAAATTCTTTCTATTCCTAGATCACAATTTCTCAGGCAGTTAATATTATCAGCTTAATAAATGTTCAATATTATTACTAAAGCAAGGAAAATGATACCTAATATCAACAATTTGTTAGGCTTCTTGAGAAGTTGTTATTAGCCCAATTTAACATAACAAAATGAAAGTTATAAAACTTGTCAATGGCATCTGCAAGAATTATTGCAGAAACAAGTTACCTTAAAAGATTTAGTCTAGAATTCCCTATTGAGATCAGGAATGTGCAGTCCATGGCCATTCCACACTCAACATGCCCTAACTTGTCAAAACTTGGAAGCTAACCAGGGTTAGACCTGGTGAGTACTTGGATAGGAGATTAGAAATATACAGGTACTTTTTCCCCTCTGGGAACGGTCTCTACCCTCACCAAGAATTACCCATGTGTTTGTATACCATAAAACATATTATCTCATTACTCATGACCTACACAGTTTCAACTTTCTTATCCCTTTCCTGATATTGCTTTGCCGTGATTAGGGGCTAGAGCTGTTTGGACACTAGGAGGCCCAAGTCCTTGCTCGGGCACCTTTTAATTCCTTCTGAAGAAAATATGCAAAAAGAACTCTGGGTAAATGCAAACTAGTTTATCTCCGCTCTCAAATATGACAGCTGGACTCCTTCAACCTATTACCTACCACCCCACTCTAAGGCCTAAAATAACATTGGTCGTTCTCTGTCCTTTTCTTCTAGGCCCATAGTCAATAATTGGATCTCTAGGTTGTACTAGTGTAATGATAAAAAGAAGCACAGAAATAAATCTCTGTCTCTCTCTCTCACTTACCATTTAATTCCTAATGTTTAGAACACAAGGTAGGAATTGAGTATACAACCATTGAATGCGTGAAGAAAACCAAGGGGAAATAACTGGGTTTTTCTCGATTCAAGACCACTTTTCTCCTCTCACATAAAGTTGCAAGTTTTAGCGATATGACCCAATTATATTCTTGGCCTTGACCAAATCAATTATCTTCCTCCTATTGGTGGTCTTATTGAAAAAGGGAGGAGATTTTGACTACATTTTACTCCATATCTGTGACATTCATATATCAAATGTACCTGAAATGCCTAGTTTTCCTTTCATATACTCTTCATCAATTGAAAAGTCCTAAGCCCATGGATTCAATCCAGAATACACAATATACTCTAAATTTATATTTGTTACTGAGTTTCCCCATGAAAGCATTCTGTGGGTTTGTCAGGTGTATCCTCATTCCCCAAATGGAGAATGATATGAAATACAGGTGCCAAAAGAATCTGATTGGACAGTTAAAGAATAGAACTGGGAGATTATGGAGTGAAAACCCAGGTGTCAGTTTAGCAAGCTCAAGTTTAAAGGTTAACTGGCTGTCAAAATTTAGAATCGAGAAGGCCAAATAGATGAGGAAAAAGCAGAAGATTCAAGAATCCAGTGAAAGTCTTAGGAATACTAAAGAAACCAGTGTCTGGAAACAGGGACAAGAAAGTCCGTATGAGAATTGGGGGATGACTGTTGAGAAAACAGACAAGCAAGAGTAAGAAACCTAGAATTCTGAGAGAATAAGGCAGGCTGAAAAAAAGGGATCCTCTTTTGTGCTTTCTGAAAAGGGCAAGAGAATTTGGTCATGAGCATATGACAGAAGTAACTCTAATTATTACGAGAGTAGTGTTTATAGCTACCCTATATGCACAGAGAATGCCAGTTATGGTTATGATAATGAGTAGGAAAATTATACCACAGGCATTCATATAAATTTCTTGACATTCAAGCTAAATAAATTTTAAAAGAGAGGGTGACAGCTGGTGATAGCCAGGTTATAAGTAGATAATACACAGTATGTTGAAAAACCTGGCTATAGAACTATAGGCACTCATAATAACTTAAGTCATGCATTCATTCTTTCAACACATATTAAGTCACTTCCTATCTGTCAGGGACTATTCATAGTGACAAGATATGATCTGTGCTCTCAAGAGTCCTTACTGTGGTGTTGGGAGACACAGACACAAAAATAAATCATTAGAATCCATAGGATCTGTTCTATGCACCCCTGTATTATGCATTTTCTATGTTATGTACCTAGTATCAAGAGAACAGAAAGGAGCTCTAGTATAGTATAGAAACATACTTTAGGTTGCTTGAATATTTGCAAGTGGAAAAAGGAGGTAACAGACATAATGGTCAAAGGAACATGAGCCAATGCATGAACACATGAAGGGATTTCATTGAATATAGAGCATAAGGGGTGCAGAAGCAAAGGACACAATAGAACTAGAAAAAAAAATTGGTTAGAGCTACATAGGGAAGAGCCAAATGTGTCTTAAGGGCTTGAAAAATAAAGATTTTAAAGCACAAATAAGATATTGGATCTCTATTTTAGAAAGACTACTATGATGGCAGTAGGAAGGATAAATTCAAGTTGGAGGAGTGACTGGAGGCAGACCATGGGAAACTGCTGGGGAAGCCTAAGTGACAGATGATGGTCTTTGACAGACGTGAATGACTGAACAACTCATTTTGGACATAAAATACACAGGCTTAAGTGATGGATTGCATGTGACAAATAAGTGGTAAAGAGGATGTTAAAAAGACTCACAGGTCATCTTAGATGACCATATGGATGATAATAACATTAAATAAAATGGGAGAAAGTTGGTGAGCATGAAGATGAGGAAAATGATGAAAAAGGAGAGCTGGTATTGAGACCTGCTAAATTTGAGGTGCTCACAAGACATGCAAGTTGAAATGTCCTATTTCATGAGGTACTCTGAATTAACAGTCATTGCAGCTTGGGATAATGTCAGGAGTTTAAAAATTGAAATCAGAGCATCAATATTGTTTTATATGTTTGGTGTATAAATCTAATAAAAGTTTTATTACTTTCTATTAGACTATAAAAGCACTTTTAATATGAAAAATTTAATGATATAAACCAATATGACAATATCATTCTCTAGTCATGGCCCTATAAGAAATTGCCAAAATTGGTTTAAGATTTAGATCTATGACACAGGCACTGATGTTTACAACCCATTCATCATAAAAAAAATAAGTAAGTCAATTATGGGATACCATTCCACATGCATTGACTTTAACACGGACTAAAGACATTGGTTTCACCTCAACTTGCCAAGACATTGGCAAATGGCAATTACTACTGCCATTACTTGATGGGTGCTTCACCTAAATCAAAACTACTGATTGCTCATACTTCACCATGTCTTGCCACCTTTAATTATTTAAACAGAATAATGAATACATGTGTGAATATAATATAGTTTGAAATACTAAATAAATTTTCAAAGAGAACAAGAGATATATTGGTACTTGTTCTAAACCATCTTCTCTGACATTCTGCATTACAAAGATTAACCTTTGCTTTGAACTTGCATTTCCCTTTCTGTTATACAGTATGTAATAGGAAATACCAGTATGTAGCTAAGGAGGAAGCTGGAGTGAGAGATGCTTTCTATATTTATTGGAATATTCTTAATGTATTGTCAGTCCATGGAAATAGACCTGCCTTACCATAATAATATACTCCAGAAAAAGTTTTATGTAAAAATGGAATGTCTTAATTTTTCAAAAACTGAAACTATATCCTAAGGCAGAAAAGCATAGTTTCATTTCTTACCAACCGTAGTTAAAGGGTGGGATTTTTATGTATTGTTGGCACTACACATAATTGCTATATATAATTATAGTATGGCCAACAATGCCTTCTTATAGGTCACTGTGGTTATTAATATAGATCTAGATAATTAAAAGAGAATGAAAAATGTTTACAGTCCCAGGAGGGCAACTGTCGGTCTATCACCGAGTCTATGAAACACTGGAATTGAAAATGCTCTGTGCATCATCTGTGACCAACGATAAAGCCTTTCCATAATTTTGGCTGTGAGTTGACCATAAAAAAAAAAAAAAACAAGGTAGAACACCTTCTGGAAGATGATAGTTGCTCAGGTTTTAAAACCCAATGTCTAAACAAACTTACTTTAAAGTTGAAGACAAACACATGCAATGGCTCTAAAGACAATCTGAAATAAATCGAAAATTGAATCTACTAATTAGATAATGTATTTATTCATAGAACACACCCCAAAAAGATAAATAGCTCATTAAAATGAATGTTTATATTTGCTGCATATTGTACACCTTTCTTCTTAAAATTTAATGGCATAAATATTATTATTTAATAGAAGATAGCTGAATACCTTAGTACTTTGATAATAAACTGTAAAACTAGCAGACTGTATCTTTATATTATAGAAAATATTTTAAATTATTCTGTAAAATACTTATAAGTAATGATCACAAGTGTTTCAATTGTATGTAATTATCACCTTCCTAAGGGGAATTTTCTTGAAGCTAAATGGAGTATAAGTTCTTTCTCTTAGAAATGCAAAATTTAAATATAGACTTGGCTCTAATATATTGTTTGTTTGTTTTGATGGGATGTAAACATAAAAATTACAACATAATTTAAGCTTATTCTAAATATCCATTGGAAAAATACATATCTATAATTATTTTCAAAATATTTAATTTCAAAACTCACATTTTAAAATATAACATACTCTCTTGAAAACATATAATTTAATTAATATAGTTTATATATGGATATATATAATTAAGTACTTAAGCATTATATATATGGATATGTATATATGGATATGTATAATTAAGTACTTAAGCTTTATACTTAAAGCTTATATTATACATATCCATATATAATAATTAAATTATATGTTTTCCAAAAGTTACATTTCTATAATGCCCATATTTTCACAGTAAAAGCTACTTAGTAACTTTATTTCTGGTGTCTGTTTCAATTAAAATACAAGGAATAGTACTGACATGAACCTGTTCGCTAGGCAGCATACACAGTTATGAACTTTGTTCACAGCACAGTCCAAGGTGTCCTATGTATATCTAAGTTCACTTAGAAGTTTAATTACCATCAATCATTTAACATGTCAAACCTGTTCAAACCTGTTCCTCCCTCAGTCTTCCCCATATAAATTAATGGTCACTCTATTCTTCCTGTTCTCAGGCCAAAAACCTTGGAATCATTCTTAAATTCTTTCTTTCACTCCACAACCAGCCCAACAGAAAATCCTGTCGACTCTCCTATCAAAAAAATAATGAAAATCTGACTATTCATTAGCCTCTATATCACTGTCAACTTACTCCAGGAAACCTTATACTTTTCTTGGATTACTGAAATAGTTGCTAACTAGTCTACCAGCTTCTATTCTTGACCCCTATAACAGTATAATTTCCTCACAGCAGTTACAGACACCTTGTTTTTATGTATGTAAAACTGTGTAATTCTTCTGTTCAAAATCCTCTAATACCTTCCTGACATTCTCAGATTAAAATTCAAAGTCCTCTTTACCATGATTTATAAGGCCCTAAGTCACAGGCTCTTTGATCCCCAAGTACATAACTTTATATTCCCCCTCCTATTCTCCAGGGTCACTTATTCTGTCCATGCCGGACCCCTTGCTGTTCCCACAATATTTTGGATATGCTCCCACCTCAAGGGCTTTGCATTTGCTGTTCTCTCTGACTCTAATTTTCTTCCTAGTGCTCCACATGTCTCACTTCATCACCTGCTTCAGGTTTCCCTTACATATCACTTTCTCAAGAAAAGTCCCGGTCACTCTCTTTAAAACTGAATTCATCCTACACTCAGTTTCCCTCTGTCTCACTTTATGTTTTTCTACAGCATTTATGGCCATCAAATACAGCATGTGTTCACTATTGGCTTATTACCTCTTCCTTCAATCAATGTAATCTCCCTCAGAACAGATTTCTGTCTAGTTAGTTAACTGCCCAGAGTAGTGCCTGACACGTGTTCAATAACATTTTTTTGTGTGAATGAGTGAATGTGAAAATCTCTTCAATATTTTTATTTTTAAAATTCATTTATCATATGTGGCCTAACATCTAATTTCACAAAGAGATAGCTCATTAGTCTGGAAGATTAAAGCTTGATAAAGTTTGGAGAACTCTACAACCAACAAATGTTTCAGGGAACCGTGCTTCTTCTATCACATGGCTTAGAACTTTCAAAGTCAACAGTGAATCCCACTGGAAGTCTTAGGGGTTAGGTCTGGAAGTGATATGCACTGCCTTTGGTCATTTTTAGGCACATGGCCAAATTCCCAAGTTCAATTCCAAACTGAAGATATAATCTCCCAATGGGCTCAGAGAAGAGGAAACTGGATTGGTGAGCATCTACCCATCTCTGCCACACATAAACTAGGAAAACACTGCATGCCTACTGAGAACCATGAATGAAATAAAGTAGAATGAAAGGACTGAAAGTGACTAAGGGAGTGAGGAATAAAAATATTAGCTACATTTTTCAGGCACTGCCTCTCTGAGGAGGTAACATTTGAGCTAAGAGAGGTTAGAATGAGCTAGACATGTAAAAACTGGAGAAGTAATACTGGGAGTCTGTGGAGAAGGTAGTGGAAAGACCTTGGAGTAGGAATAAGTGTGGCATGTTTGCAGAATAGTGAGAAGACTGGTGTCATTGAGGAGATAGGGCAAGGGAGAGTGGGAGAGCATGCAGCCAAGGAGGTAGGCAAGAGTCTCATCTTGCAAAGGCCACACAGTAGTAAGTTTGGGTTTTATTTTTTCAACAAGGGGAAGACATCATTGTATTTAAAGCAGGAAATCTGATGATCTGATTTACATTTTCAAAATATGTTTGGCTATTGTGACACCAGTGAATTATTGTGGGGTAAGACAGGGTAAATTAGGAGGCTTTTGCAAGAGTATGAGAAATGACCACAGTAATACAGGTAGAAAGAAGTGGGGAAAAAATTAATATATTCTGGAGGAAAGACCTATCAGACTTTCTGGTAGATTTAATGGTGGGAATTGCAGGGTGAGGGAATGAGGAATTAAAATGACTCCTAGGCTTTTAGCTTGAGTAAGTTCACACAGATTTGGTACGTTTGCAAAAATGAGGGAGATAAGGAGAAGATTAGGTCTTTTGGGGGAAAACCAAAGTTATTTTTTGGACAGATGAAAATTTGGAGAAACCTATTAGATATTCAAGCTCAGGAGAGACATCATGGTGGAGACACCACCATATGGAAAGTATTTAAAGCCAGAGAATGGAAGAGGCCACCTGCAAATGAGAGTGAAAAGATGAAGCTATAAAGTTGAGTCTAGGGCCAACCTATCAACCAGAAATCTGGCCAGAGAGGAGCAGCTCACTGAAGATGCTGAGAAGGATATGAGCCTGGGAGTCAGCAGGAAAACTAGAATCATGCAAATAATAGGAGTCAGGAGAGGAAAAGCAGGAGTGGTCAGAGGTGAAGAAAATGAGAATGAGTGAGTGATGACTGGTGGTGGACACGGGGAGTGGCTAATGACCGGCAAGAGCAGTTTCAGGAGAGGAAAGGAAGAGAACCCGATGGCAGAGGAGAATGGCAAGGACAAGTGGAGGCTATTAATTCAGTCCGCACTTTTGTCAGCCTCCTTAGAGACAATGAGCAGGATATGAGGAAACAGCATAGGTTTGATGGGGAGTTCTCCGGATAAGAAAAAAAAATTTTTAAACAACTTGGCCACAATGGTGAAACCCTGTCTCTTCTAAAAATACAAAAATTAGCCAAGTGTGGTGGCAGGCACCTGTGGTCCCAGCTACTCAGGAGGCTGAGGCAGGAGAATCCCTTGAACCTGGGAATCGGAGTCTGCAGTGAGCCGAGATCACACCACTGCGCTCCAGTCTGGGCAAGAGAGCGAGACTCCATCTCAAAAAACAAAACAAACAAACAAACAAACAACTAGTGGCAGTCACTGAAAGACATGTTCTAGGCTGATGGGAAGCATCGTGTAAGAGTAGAAGAAAGACATCTACCTAAATCAGAGCTCAAAAACTCTCTAAACTAATTTAATTTAAAATCTGTCTGGTTCTTTGGCCTATGAAACCATACTCTATGAAAATGCAAACTAGTAATACATCAATGATTTTTAAATTACCTGGATTTTAATATGCATTTATTTTATTATGACCTTGTTAGAAAAACATTATAAAAACACATTTTGATAAATCTGTTTCTCCAGAGGGGAAAAAAACATAATTATTCTGCACTTAAACACAATCTAACTACTTATTTTAATATTTAAGTTTATAGCAATTATCCTAGGTCGTGCTTGTCATGCATTTTGCCCAAATCATAGGTCATATAGTTGTGTATTACTGGCAAAATTGTATGCCCAACTATAAAAGCAGAGATTTTTTTCATTTTGTTTATTTAAAATAATGCATGGCTTATTCACTATTTTGTAGTTTGCCTTTGGGTTAACCAGATCTGACACAAATTCTTTCTTTGTGATTCGCAAGGTGTCTGAGTCTCGTATATGTATGTGACAGAGAAGGAGAAACGAGAGAGAGAGAGAAAAATAATAACTGCCTTATAGAAATACAAAGGTCAGACATAGTGTGTGTATACAGCAGCTGAATCCTGGCACTTATAGAGGCTTAGCAAAGCATTGTTATTGATATTATTTCCATTATCATTGTCATTACTTTTACTGCTATATTTTTGAAGTTAAGAAACCTACACACCATAGCTGAAGAACTTTCCTTCCACTGATGGCAAATGAAAAACAAAAATAAATTTTAAAAATACATAGTCCCCAAGCACAAAAAAAAAAAAAACAACTTTCTTTTTTCCTTAAAAAAGTATATAATTGGGTCAATAAACACTGTATTGTAGACTTACTAAGATTCTGTATGTGTATGTCTGTAGAGGGGGTGGTATCTGTTTTCTTTTGGTTGTTTTTTTTTGTTTTTTGAGACAGAGTCTCGCTCTGTCGCCTAGGCTGGAGGGCAGTGGCACGATCTTGGCTCACTGCAAGCTCCACCTCCCGGGTTCATGCCATTCTCCTGCCTCAGCCTCCCGAGTAGCTGGGACTACAGGCGCCCACCACCACACCCAGCTAATTTTTTGTATTTTTAGTAGAGAGAGGGTTTCACTGTGTTAGCCAGGATGGTCTCAATCTGACCTAGTGATCTGCCCACCTCAGCCTCCCAAAGTGCTGGGATTACAGGCGTGAGCCACCACACCCGGCCACTGGTTTTAAAATTAAGAACACAGATTATGAAACTATTTGAGAAACACTAACAATTTTAAATTGAGTTTTATATTATGTCTAGTTAAGGACTGGTAGTATAGAATGAGAGTACAGAGAAAGAAGTCGCAGAATAAACTACTACTTTTGCCATGTGTTTGGGAGACTGACAAACACACACAGCAAAAAAAGAAATAGTAGTATAAGGAAGCAGAAAATGAGACCAATTGGAAATGAAGTAGACAGGCAAAAAGTGTCCCATGTAAGTAAGTTGTCCCAAAGTCACAACTTAATCTTCCACTGCGGTATGTTACTCTAAGAGACTAGTGATTATTTTTCCTTTACCGATTTATTTTTCTACTAATAAACTAATAATGTGACAGCCTTCCCTCCTAATAGGCTAACTAGTGAAGATTGTTACAAAACCATTATTCCTTGAGTTGCAGTAGTAGTAATCAGGACAGCTGTCTTTCCAAAGGCTGGAAATAAATTAAGCTGAAATCCATATTTTGCCTTTGACTGAGAGCTAAATGTTTCCCTCTGTTTCTTCTCCACATTTTCATTTAATAGAAGCTTTTCCCTTAACCTCCACTTAATTGCTGTATTGACTAACACGTTCCATTATCTCCACAAAACACACAAGCTGCACTCACTGAACCCCAACTGCTCAGAGCTCTCTAATCACACAAGTAGACCAGCATTGGCCACTCCCATCAGCCAAGGTTCATGATTGTAAAGAGTCCCAAGAGTTTGGTCCTAAACCTGTTTATAAGCCAGTTGTGTTTGTTATTGTAGTATAAACATTAGTTATGGTGATGAAATATGAGAAGGATAAACAGAATTACTGTCAATGAAAATTAATGTTACAAAAAGGTGGGGAGATCATCTGAAGTTGTCTGAAGTTCTTATTTTAGATAAAAGAAATGACAAATTGAAATTGTAGAAGATGCATTATTGGCATGGCTTAGGTAAGAAATATTGTGTAGAATTCCAAACGATAGACATATAAGAAAAAGTCACGACCTTACATCAAAAGACTAGCATATGAATGTACAGGCACTTGTTTTACATTGAAATAGAACACTAAGGTATAAATGTATCATTTTTATGGTTCCCTTTACTAACAGACCTTTTCAATTCATTCACCTACTGCTTTTGGTTATGACAGAAGTATTCATATGTGCTATGTTCTCACGACATATACCATAGACAATATTCTTGCTATGAGGAAATAATCAAACAAATGGGGTTTAGGAAGTAGATTGCACATGCCATATGGTCATCAAGAGCAGAGGAAGCTTTGCAAATGAAAAAAAAATACTCACTATAGGTAAAATATATGTGTTAAAGAGTGGTTAATGTCTCTTCTGAGTCATTAGTCCTCCTTAAGTATAATAGGAGCAATTACAAAACAAATGCCATATATTTTTGTATAAGTCTTAGATTTCTTGAAGAACAATTACATAAATTTGGGACTCTATGACCAAATGCAAGAAAATAATGTTACTTATATAAACTAAACCATAATTAAAATGATGTATCCATGATTATCAACAAAAGCTGGCCACTTAATGAAATGTAAATGTACCATGGAATTATAAGGTTTATATATGCATATTTTCTACAGATTTTTTGAATTTTGAATAAAAATACTCTCCATTTTATAAGATTTAAAATAAATGTGTATGAATATAAATACGCAGATTCATAAAACAATTTATTTCAATAAATGTTGAGTAATACTAAGTCTCATCTTTAAACCTATGTAATTATAGTTCACAAAATTACAGTCCTCATAACAAACAAGTAAAAAGAACTTATTAACAGGGAAAAAGTACATTGGTAAAATTGGTGAGTAAAATAAACAAATGAAATGTATAGTTGCTGAGATCCTATCTTTAAAGTAATCCTAGAAACTTCTCTAAAAATGATTTGTGCATTTTTACTCCAACCTCTACAATAAAATACACAATAGTGCACTTAGTCTGTACTGCCACCAAGTGCTTAAACCAATTACTTTTAAGATTCTTACAGCTACTATAAGCAGATTCTTTCATGCTATGAGTAGCAATTTTGAAAGGCTAAAAGCAAACCATTTCAACCATGAATGGCTGTAAGAGCATTAAAATTTTGACATGAAAATAAAATCTCAAAAGTATTAATAAAACATCAAAAATCCTACCAGCTCACTGGAAGTTCATGGAGTCTAAAAATGTTTTTCAGCTTGTAGTCAAATTTTGCTGGAGAAAGACTTTCTTTAGAAACATTCAGGTTTGGATTTGGTTGCATATCTATGGGAAATTCTGAATCCTAGAGAAAAAAATTAAACAAGAGCTCTGTGTTAAATATCAAAATCACTGCACAGGTTGATACTCTGATTTAATATTAAATTACAACATAAACATTATATTTGCCCAGAATTTACATGAAGTCCTTCATTTCCAATTTTAGTTTTGAGAAAATATTTAAAAAGATAAAATTTTAAATAAGGCAAATATCAATTTATATAACCAATTTCAATTCTAAGCCTCATGTTACATGTTAAAAATTACTTGAAAATACTCCCTATTTGAATTCCAATGAAGCACAATATAGCATTGTCATATATTATTGGTTAATTGTCTTTTTTTAAATAAGCTTTCCAGGCCCAACCGTAGTGTCAGCAGTCGAAAGTCTACAATTCTTATGCCCCTTTTGTCCCCTATAAATGGCCGACTAAAAACACTTTCATTGGGTAACAAAGTTAACATTTGCTAATTGATTGATTATGATTTTCTTTTTAAATCTAAGGACACAGTACTAATTTAAAAACACTTACTGAAAGTAAACCATTTCTATTAATCCTGTCAAATCACACATATTAGAATCCACATCTGTCATTTCTTGGTCACCGCCCGCTCCACCAAGCAAACCATAGCTACAGATCAAAGAGCATTTTCAGTCCATGAGAAAGTAGTCCTTCCTCAGTGGAAAAAAGACATGCTACAAATAAGCACTCAACACATAATGAAGGATAGAGTAATTGCTTAACTGTACTCAAAAAAAGAAGTTATGAATCCCCTTACAGCTAATTCTTTAAAATTGCTCTGAGAGAAGGCTCATATCATGAATTTTTGCACCCATTTACTTATTCAAAAATTATTTATCTCAAACATTATTTTAGGCATGAAAAATCTTTTTTTTTTTTTTTTCGTTTTTGAGATGGAGTCTCGCTTTGTTGCCCAGGATGGATTGCAGTGGCGGGATCTTGGCTCACTGCAACCTCCGCCTTCCGGATTCAGGCGATTCCCGTGCCTCAGCCTCCTGCGTAGCTGGGACTACAGGCGCGTGCCACCACGCCCGGGTAATTTTTTGTATTTTTAGTAGACGGTTTTCACCATATTGGCCAGGCTGGTCTCAAACTCCCTACCTCAGGTGATCCTCCCGCCTTGGCCTCCCAAAGTGGTGGGATTACAGACGTGAGCACCGCCTCTGGCGTGAAATAATATATTTCTAATTAACAAAGTAGTACATATTCGTATAGAAATTTTCTGCATTTCATAATTCTGCAAAAACTTAAAAGCTCGCTTAGTCTCACCACCCAGATATAAATACTATTAACACTGTGGTTTAATTACTTAATTTTTTTCCATCTTTCTCTCTCAATTTTTACAAAATTGGAAGCACGCTCTATTGTCTTCTCTCGTTTTTCATTTATCATTGCTGCATTTTCACATCATTTAGTCTGTTTTGAAGGAATGATGAATGCCACATTTTACTTATTCAGTGATTTTTGTCTCTCTTATGGTTATCAATGTTATGAACAGAGTTTTTGGTCTATAAATCTGCACTTCACTAAGTATTTCCTTAAAGCATAGTACTAGAAGTGTAAATAATTCAAATAGAATAAATATTTGAGAAAAACATGATACCTTTTCACAGACTGCTTTTTAGAAAAGCTGTACCAATTATACTGCTGCCAGTCATGTAGTACTGTGTGCAATTTACCATATCTTTGTTAATGGCGTATACACACACGTGCATACACACATGCACTTAAAAAAATCCATTCTTTCAATAGTTATTTCCTTTGAATAATATTTATTATTGAGTGTCAATTTTATGACAGGCACCAGTTTCAGTTCTTTTAATATATCACTAAACAAAATAGACAAAATTCTCTCCCTTATGGAGCTTACATTCTAAAAGAAGTAACACCTAGGTCAATATAAATAATGAACATATATACTATTTTATATCTGTAAAATAAAAAGCCTATGGAAAAAATTATTGCCAATTCATATATAATTAAGTTAAACATTTTTATATTTGTTATTTATTTGCTTTACTTCATTTTTTCTGAATTGCATATTTATGCTGATTGCCTATTTTTCTATTGTTTTGCTGGTATTTTATTTTAATGATGATGCTTGGGTTGGAAATAGGGGAAGGGTAAATTACTATGTTAGAAAATATAGCAAGATGGATCCAAATCCAGTCTTATATAGTTGTTTGAACTTCATGAAAATATCTGAAACCATAAACACAGCAATTTTTATAAGCATTGTTAAACCAATAATCATAGAAAGAGGTATTTAATACGACCTAATCAACTAGGTCCTGCTGCCTACTTAGTAGAGCTAATAAAATAGTAAAATATAATGATAACTGAACAACTATTTAAAAAAAGATTTACATCGAGAGCGGCAAAACCCTAGTAAAAACAATCCAATCTAAGCATAGATTCACTTGCAGAGGTAAACATTAGATTTCTTATATCACCCAGCCTATGTGCTGAAATATTTCAGGAGACAATGGCCAATACATGGGTAGGCAGGATCAGTGAGGTAAATGTGAGATACATAAATAAGGACAATGTGTGCAGGATAGAAGAGGTAAAATAAATCTTAAAATTATTCTTCCAAGCAAAAAAAACATAACCTTTTTTTGTATTGACAAGATACAATTGGAAGGCAAAGCTAAGCTCTCAGCAGTGTGCTTTAATAGTTCACTGGTCTTAACTCAAAGTGCACATTGAACTCACTAGGCAGCTTTTTAAAAAAATACCAGTATCACTGAGTCACACCCCAAATAAATTAAATAATAATTTGAGAGTAAGGCTCTGGCACTCATGTTTATTTTAAAGCTTTCTATGTGAAATAAAAGTCAGGGTTAAAATAATGGCTTTCCTTAGCAACTCAGCTCCACCACATATAAGTGTGAACTTAGGCAAGCTATTTAACAAGCTTTCAAAATATATATATATATTTCTCTCTGTAAAATGCAACCCCAATCATACCTGTCTTAAACGCTGCATGAAGATGAGATAATCTCTGCAAAGCATTCATCACGTTAGTCACCTAACATGTTCATTAAATTCTTAATAAACATTATCTATTTATATTGCTATTTTTATTATTTCTGCAACTAGTGGCATGTTAATTTCAGCTGGATAGCAAATTCATCATGAATTGTTTCATACTCCACTTATTTATTATGAAATAATTCTATATTAATCAAATTATAAGTTTAATATTCTCCTGGGATATTGATTGAAGCAGACTTGATTTTGACATAATCTTACTGAATCCCAGTTTCATAACCAGTTAATAGCTGGCTATCTATATATGTCTCAGTACCAATAATAAAAGAAGTTATTGCTTTATGGGCCAGTTGGAATTAAATATAGTCTTACATTTTAAAAAATGGAAAACCTGTGCTTGGCCTGTTTCACTTAACATAATAACTTTCAGTTCCATCCATGTTGCTGCAAATGACAGGATTTCATTCTTTTTTATGGCCGAATAATATTCCATTGTATATATACCACATTTTCTTTTTTCACTCACCCCTTCATGGGCACTTAGGTTGATTCCATATTTCAGCTATTATGAATAGTGCTGCAATAAACATGAGAATGCAGCCATCTCTTCATTATATTAAGTGAAATACGCCAAGCACAGAAATAAAAATACTGCATGTTCTCACTCATATGTGGAAGCTAAAAAAGTGGATCTAAGAAGACAGAGAATTGATTGGTGGTTACTGAAGGCTGAAAAGATCAGTGGAGAAGGAAGGATGGAGAGGTTGAATAATGGGTACAAATACATAGTTTCATAGAAGAAATAAGACCTAGTGTTCTGTAGATCAGTAGGGTGACTCTAGTTTACAATAATCTATTGTACATTTCAAAATAGCTAGAAGAGAATAATTCAAACATTTATAACATAAAGACAAACATTTAAGGTGATGGGTACCTCAATTATACTGATGTGAACTTTACAAATTATATGAGTTTTCACATGTACCCTGAAAACAATTAAAAATAATAAAATATTTTCAATTTCAAAGACCCAATGGGTACCTCTTTCTTAACTTGAGTAATACATCAGTTAGGCATCCCACGGGAAGCCAAGCTATCTATTAGGCCTCTTTCCCCATGAGTCCCTTGAGTACCCAGGTTTCCCCCAGACCCTAGATCTGTGCCACTCAACAGAGGTCTGCTTCCCTATCTTGTTATTTGCTGTTCATTGAACTAACATTCACAGGAATTGCCCCAAACAATTTTTAAGTGGAAGTGAAAAATTATTCAATCAGGCATTCTGTCAACATTTGAGTATCTACTCTATTTCAGGCACTATGTTAATTACTAGGTCACAAATATAAGTAGAATACATTGCTTCCACTCCAAGGATTCACAGTCCTGTGAAGGACACAGCATAAATGAAAAAAAAAAATGCATCACTGGAAAAAGCTAGAGTAGAAATATGCAAAAGATAATAAGCAAATAAAGAAGCAATAAAACTATTGGAAAAGAGGAGATAAAATGATCATTAATTACAGATATGATTACACTGATAGATGTTTAGATAGATAAGCCAAAAGGAAAAAGAAACTAAAGGGACCATATTATGATGGCTGATTACATCTGACAAATTATAAAATTAGTAAGTTTCGCTAGTATGCAATGAATTAACAGAAGATATAAAAGAAAAATATTGTCTGGGTGCAGTGGCTTATGCCTGTAATCCTAACATTTTGGTAGGCCAAAGCAGGTGGATCGCTTGAGCTCAGGAGTTCGAGACCAGCCTGGGCAATGTAGTGAAACCCATCTCTACAAAAAATACAAAAATTAGCCAGGCATGGTGGCTCCCACCTGTACTCCCAGCTACTTGGGGGGCTGAGGCAGGAGGATCGCTTGAGCCCAGGAGGCGAAGGTTGCAGTGAGCCAGGATTGTGCCACTGCACTCCAGCCTGAATGGACAGAATGAGACGCTGTCTCAAAAAAAAAAAAGAAAAGAAAAATATTCCACTAACTCTAACTCTAACAGCAATCAGATAAAAATACCTACTAGAACACTAACAAGAAATGTGTTAAGCCTAAAGAAAGAAACTACACTTTATTCAGAGATATAAAGCAAGGTCTTATTAGTATAGATAGTCCATGGACTCAGAAAGTCTGCTGATAAACTTCTGAAGAAGTTCGATTTAAATATTCAATTCAAGTCAAAATATCAACGTGAATCTGGGAGCAAGCTTATCTCTTGCAGTACCTAATGTTGCTTACACTGATCAATACTATTGGGAAATGATAATTAATCACTGACCATTTAAATTAATTTTTAAAAATAAAAAGTTAAAAGATATTTTAAGATATATATTTTTAAAATAAACACCGTATTAAAAGAGATTTTATATGGCTTTTCTTTCCTTGTCTTAATTTCCCATGTGGAGAGGAATTTACCAAAAATGGAGACGTTTTGCTTAGGCTTCTGTGCCCTCATTATTTCATTCATCACTCAAATGGCCCATTACCCGCTGACAAACTTCACACATCACTACCTAGGAGTGACTGACAGCTGACATTATCAGCAAGGCTTGATTGAGCTAATTGACATTCACAATCTAAGTATGAAAATACGAATGGGTCAGGAAAAGTCTTTCTTACTCATATATCTATTCAATTACTTGACCTTTATGTTTGTCTTCATTTCTTGGGCTTTAGACTGTAGGGAGAAGGATGATATTTGCAAAATGATGTTTCCCAAATGTACTTAAATATTTTTAATTTAGTACTCCTCAAGTATCTAATTAGTCTTTAAAGTTTCTATTCTAGATGTTTATATAAAACAAAATAGTTTTATTGTATTTTAAATTTATCCCTGAAACTTTTTTAACTTTGACTCATATAAGATAAGGCTGAAGCCATAAAATGAAAAAAAAGATGTACAACCATAAACATTCACTTAGAAACTTCACAGCATCATTATTTTAACATTATATTTCTTGACTAAACTTCTTATTTGTGTCATAAACTAACGAACAGAGATAAAAGATCTGCTTGATTTAAAAACATAGGAAATGGTTAGATTTATGTTTTCTTAGTATGCACAGTATTTTGCATAGAAGGAATTATTTTAAGAAACACTTTTAGAATACAATTAAAGGCTAACCCACAAAAATTGATATGCTTAGAAAATATTTAGCTTCTAAAGTTAAGTAAGTGCCTATTTTTACTATGTTGAAGAATAATGACTATTACTTTAAAACAAACTCCCGTTAGTCAATTTCAACAGTTCTCCCAAAAGCAAGCCTCTGACAAGGGCATCAACATTATCTGGGGACTTACTTGCAAAGCAAATTCTCAAACCCCTTCCCAAACTTACTAAATCAGAGTCTCTGTGAATGGGGCCCAACAATCTGTTTTCAGTGAGCTTTCTAGGTGATTCTGAGGCTTGCTTAAGTTTGAGAATCCATCTGCTCAACAACCCATCTTTCGAAATTTAGCAAACAGTTAAAAGATTTATAAAGCCTATCTGTAAGCATTAATATAACAGGTTCAATATATATACCATGTAAATTTGTACAGGTGCTCTCATACACTGCTGGTAATAATGCAAACTTTCTAGAAAGAAATTTGGCAATATGTATCAATTATGTTAAATAATGACCAAACACCTTCCATAATTAAGTCCATTTCTAAAAACGTACTCTGAGAAAATATTCAGACCAATTTGCTAAGATCTACATATAAAGTTTTCTATGCATCGTTATTTATTATAGTGAAGGACTAGAAACACCTAAATTTCAAATAAAGGGTGTTTAATTTGATTGAACCATAGAATGCCATGCATCCAGATGATGAAACATTATTTAGTTATTAATAATAATATTCATGAAGAATACGGACATAGGAAAGTGTCCACTTAATATAAATGATATATGTATATTTACACATATATGTGTGCAACTAAAATAAAGTGTGTCCAAATATTAATAGCAACTAACTTCATATGCTTTTTACTTTATAATATTTTGTATTCATTCATTTCTGCATATTCAAATTTTTCTATAAGGAATTAATGTTACTTTTAACACAGAAAATCATGGAATTAAATATGTATGTAATCTATAAATACCATATTTAAAAGAATATAAGCAAATTAACTTAATGGCTTATCTATTTAATATTCTTTTTCCTCTAGCATAAATGGGCTTTGCCACCTTATTAACAATCTGGTTCCTAGATACATAATTCTACACTCTAATCAGAACCGTGATTCACAAAGCCTTTTTCTCATCTATTACCAGACTCTGTGTCAGGGAGTAATCAGATATTTCAAATTGCATGTTCCACTGATGGTTTATAATTACCTAAGAAGAACATAATTATACCTAAACCTAAATCTCAGTTTATTAGTTAATAAAAATGAACATTTTTAAATAAATAAATAAAATAAAAATTCTAAATAAAAAATTAGAAGAATCATTATACCATTTGATTTTATAAACCTCCTCCTTCCTACTAAATAAGAAAATGCTTATAATCTTACTACTGTCAAAACCCAGCACATGGCACTAATTTTTGCTGCTGACATTTCCTTAAACTGAGACAAATTCAGCATCGGGATGTTTAGTAGTTTTAGAGTTATTTACAAATGTCAGTTCTGTGCCCTCTTGTACCTAGGTGTGGCCATGTGATTTACCTGATGAATGAAATGTGAGCAAAAGCAACATGGGGGCAAGCCTGAAGTGCCAGCATGTGTTTGGCCACCCCTTTGTGCCCTTCATTTGATAATATGAAAGTATGGGGCAGGAACTCCCATCCAGCCTGTGGTCCTCAGTGATTATGATGAGCGAAGCTCCCTTGCACAATGTAGTACAAGAGAGATATATTTTGCTGTTTTAATCCACTGAGATATTTGAGTTGGGTTTTTGTGCAGACACCAAAATTTCAAGTTTTAGATAAGATCATACATACTGAGAAAAAGTTTAGGGAAGTCTCATTTTCTCTTCTCATTACCAAGTCAGGATATCCTATTACTGTCTGTAATTCCCAATTATAGTATGTATTTCAGTGATGTTCTGATGCTTCCTTCATTTACAAAAATCACTGCAATGGCAACCTTAATAAACTTGTGTCATAAAGCAAAGAATGAAGTCTGTGCCCTTCTCTTGCACAGACCTTTTCTGAGAAATGGGAATAATGATCCAATTCATTTGTGTTCCTTTTACTAAAATTTCCCTTTGGGGAATGCAAGAAATATTCTGTTCACTATGCACAGTGCCAGAGGGCAGCCAGCTGGCATAGTTCCTACTACTGGCACAAAGAGGACACACCTGGGTTACTTATCCCTCTGTTTCTTTGGAAGCCATACTGGTTGCCCCCATAATCCCCAGGAGCTTAAACAGAGGCTAAACAAAATTGAAGCAGGATTCAGGAGGTCAGGGGGCACTTACATAGTATGTAGTTATTGCTTATGGGTAGCTACTAAAATACAGGTGTTTATTTTGCTAATGGTTTCAAGTCAAGTCAGTTCACAGTTGTGATAAATGGTTATAACAACTTTTAAAACCTTATTAAAAACAAAAAATGTAAGCAATTAATTGAAAGATGACAAAAGTCAATGAATTGGACATTTATCAATAAAAACGTATTCTATTAAGGTTTAGAAAGTAAGGCAGTTTCTCTACTAGCAGTTTACTTTGAAAATGAATGAAGACTTTCTAAACTTTTATTAATTCCTCTTACCTAGCAGCATGTAACCTAAAATTGATAGAAGTGGAAATTTCAATGACTTTTAGATTATACCTCTCTCAACATAATTTTTATTTAAAATAAACAATTCTGTAATCTCTACAAAACAGAGACCAAGAATAAGCCTTATAAAGGTTAAATTTGCCTGAAGATGTATCTGACCAACTAGAAATTGCTGAATTGAATGGCTTGTCATGTTGCGTTCACTGCCTAATATATTCTTTAGTTGGCGGGCTTCCAAAATGAAGAATAAGCACGCATTTTTGTAATTGAAATTGCAATACAGCTCAGCTATCTTATCCTGACTTTAATGCTAACAGGTTAATAATTACAATTTAATAAATATTATTTCTAAGTTATTCAATTTTTCTTTTTGATAAGCTTGTTATGTAATAATAAAAAACATCTGAAAGGGTCAGTTACATGTTATATGTAAAATAATCCTGGACAGTAAATTATAACTTCTGTTTAACACTATGATAATCACATAAAAGTGTTGCAAACCTAAAAATATTCAAAGGGAAAGTGTACAAAATAGAAAGACAGGTAGCCAAAAGCATATGGAGGTTCGGAAAAGTGTGTGCCATATGATGACACAAGTGATCACTTCTGTCAATACTGGGTGCTGAAATAGTGCTAGACAATGCTTTACACCAAAGTGAATTAATGTAACAGCTTTTGAAAATGGTGACCTGTTTCTAACAGATTTACTAAATTAAGAATTCATAGATTCACCTATTTCAGGTATGGTATTACTCTGAGTAAATGTCAAAGATTTTCTGATTAGTTTTGTGGATAGAAAGTATGGATGATATTGACATCTCTTCCCTGCTTTAATCTGCTTCCATTCCTCAAAGGCAAGGCAAAACTTTGCTGTAGCAAGGCTAACTTATTTGCATTATTGGCTAAGGGGATATGCCTAATAGTACTGTCCCAACCAATTGGCATCTGTTTGCTTTACATGCCCAGCTATAAATGCAAGTTTATGCCCAAAGTTATAGCATCTTAGCTAACTGAAAATTTAATTCTCTATAGATGTCCACAAGGATTATCTTTGTGTGGGTTGGCAACTTAAAATGTAATAAAATTCCACAGTAAAATAACTAACTTCTACTATTAGCTACTCAAGATACTTGATCTTATTGTAAGCTTCCATAATTTTATCTTCTTTCTGATAATGCATGCTTCCATACTTCTTATCTTTGAATTTTAAGTAAAGTTGCAGTTATGTCTATTTAGAGCAGAGGTCAGAAATTCAAAAGCCAGGCATCAGAAAAATAATTCAAATGAATGAACTAGGTGGACATATGAAGAGATATATTCTACATGTTTAACACGTAGATCACCTCAACATGGAAACATGCTGTCCCCCTTGTTTCAATAAACATATAACTTTCTTGATCTTTCTTTATCCCATGTTACCCCCTTTTGATATAGATATGAGTACTAGACATAGTTTTCCTCTTTATTGTAAAAAAAAGAATAAATATGAAGATAAATGCCAATGCAGATAAGGCTCAGCACTGGGAAGACAAGTGTGGTGGTGATGGCTGTAGAGGACCGAGGAATGCATGCATGTCTTGCCTAAAGCACCTGTTGCCTCTCAGTTCCAACAAATGGTGGAGGATGTAGGAATGTAAGCCCAATGTTAACAGATAGTGCTTTTTTTTCAAAAGGAGCCATATATTTGGGGTTTTCGTTGAATCATTCAACAAATATTTATTGATAGTCCTAATTTATCAAGCATTATTCCAATTGCCTGAAATACACTAGTAAACACACACACACACACAAACAAAAAGATCTCAATCCTCATGTAGCTTATAATATATTGAGGAGACAGAAAATAAATAATAAACATATACAAGTATATCACATAAAATGTTAGATTAAAAATGCAGTAGAAAGAAAAAGCAGTGTAAGAGAGACTGGAAGTACATGGGGAGAATTTTTTGGGGCATGATGTATGAAATTATACATGCGGCAATCTGGCGAGGCCTCATGGAGAAGGTGACATTCGATTAAAGACTAAGACAGTGATAGAGTTGACCATGATGATATTTAGAAGAAGAACATTCCTGGCATAGGAAAAAGCCAGTTCAAAGTCCAGAATTTAAGAGTAAATGTGGCATTTTACAAAAAAAAAAAAAAAAAAAAAAAAGGAAGCCAGTGTGCCTGGAGAAGAAAAAGAGAAAAGAATACATGTTTAGGTGAACTAGAATAAATTTTTAATGCTGACAGTAAATTTTTATTATAATTATTTAACCCTGAGAAATGTCAACATTGGGAGGACCAAACAAAATGCATCTATGGACTGCCAATTTTCTATCCTTATCCTTGATTTATAACTCATTAAATGTATTAAAAACCCTTAGTAAGATTATTTAAGACTATTGGTTAAATTGAAGATTCTTAAGAGTATTCAGAAGATGAATGGATAAGAATAATTAAGTGAAGCCTCCTTGATTTTAGCTTCCCCCTCCCACCACTCACAGAGTAGGAATATGGCAGAATCTTCCAGAACAGTCACATAGTTTTTATTAATTCATTCAAAAAAATGAATTAATGTATTAATGTATTAATGTGCAAATAGCAGGCTAAATGCCTGGGATACGGAACTATGAAAGGCATTCCCTGATATCAAAGTTCCTAAAGAGAAACTGTTGCTAGTGAATCACCATCCTCGAGAGTAGAGAAGAGGTGGTAATTTTGTAATAGTAGCTACCATCACATTCATGTTAACAGGCCACAAGAACAAGCCACACTTAAAAATTTTCTATTAGTACAAAAATAGTACTCCTATTTATGACATTACAGAATTTACAAATCCCTTTCACATATACTGCTACATTGATATAGACAGTGTTTTATTTTGCTAGCTAGACTTAAGATATCTAAACAGCTCAGGTGGTTTGCTTAGTGAAGTCAGAGTAACTTGTCATAACCTCATGACAAAATTTAAATGTACCTGTTTAATATTCTTCTATCTTTATATGACTTCTGATATACAACCCTGTATTAGTCCATTCTCACACTGCTATGAAGAAATACCCAAGACTGGGCAATTTATAAAGAAAAGAGCTTTAATTGACTCAGCTCCAGATCGCTGGGGAGACCTCAGAAAACTTACTATCATGGCAGACAGAAAAGGAGAAATAGGCACCTTCTTCACAGGGCAGCAGGACAGAGTGAGTGCAAGAAGGGGAAATGCCAGACACTTCTAAAACCATCAGATCTTGTGAGACCCACTCACTATCACAAGCACAGCATGGGGGAAACCACTCCTATGAGTCAATTATCTCCACCTCTTTTACCCTCAAAATGTGGGAATTATGGGGATTACAATTCAAGATGAGATTTTGGTGGGGCCACAGAAACTAACCATATCATTCTGCCCCTGGCCCCTCCCAAATCTCATGTTCTTATATTTCAAAACCAATGATACCTTCCCACAGTCCCCCAAAGTCTTAATTCATTTCAGCATTAACTCAAGAGTCCAAGTCCAAAGTCTCATCTGAGACAAGGCAAGTCCCTTCCACCTATGATCCTGTAAAATCAAAAGCAAGTTAGTTATTTCCTAGGTACAATGGGAGTACAGACATTGAATAAATGCTCCCATTCCAAATGGGAGAAATCGTGAAAACAAAGGGGCTACAGGCCCCATGCAAGTCTGATCTCCAACAGGGCAGTCATTAAACCTTAAAGTTCCAAAATCATCTCCTTTGTCTCCATGTCTCACATCCAGGTCATGCTGATGCATGAGATGGGCTCCCATGGCCTTGGGCAGCTCCATTCCTCTGGCTTTGCAGGGTATAACTCCCCTCCCAGCTGCTTCCATAGCTTGGTGTTAAGTGTCTGTGGCTTTTTCAGGTGCATGGTGCAAGCTGTCAGTGGATCTACCATTCTGAGGTCTGGAGGATGGTGGCCCTCTTCTCACAGCTTTATTAGGCAGTGCCCCATTGATAGATACAGGAGACAGACAAATTCATAGGTGGACAGGGATGGGTCCCTGGTGAAACTTGACCTTCAAGCCAAGGATAGCCTAAAGCCTGAAAACTGAGCTTCCAGTTCCAGATAGAGTCTAGGACCAGAGTGAAAACTGCCATCCCCATCTTATCTACTCTCTCTCAGTTGATTTCTTCTGAATGATGCCTTTTAACCCATCAAATGATGCCTTTTTCGAGCCCACCCATGGACCAATCAGCATTCATTCCCCCATTCTAAGCCCATAAAAACCCGACTCAGCTTCACAGATGGCAACAAGCTTTTGGGTCCCCTCTTGCTTCTGAGAGCTTTCTTTCTGTTGCTCAATAAAATTCTACTCTGCCTTACTCACTCTCCAGTGTCCACATACCTTATTCCTTTTGGTCACAGGACAAGAATGTAGAAATCTCTGAACTGCTTGAATGAAAGAGCTGTAACACTCCTGCTCACCAAGCTGTGGGCAGCGAGAGTAAAAGAGCTGTAACATCCCCTTCCACTACCTGAGCTAAGAGAGAGAAAATGCCACTGGGCCCCGCTCCCTCCTGCTCACTGAGCTATGGGAGTGAAGAAGCCACTGGGTGCCACTCCTTCCCACTCACCAAACTATGCGAGCAAAAATGCCACAACATTTCTGGGGGTTCATCCAGGATCAATTAAAGTTTGAGTAAGAGTGGACCTATGACTCTTTACTTTCATTCCGAGGCTTCTTGTCCTCAGATTTTTTACAAAAACAGATAGAACACTGGGCCTTTGTCAGCCAGTTAAGAGTGGATAGTGCAGCTGCTGGTCTATAAGATTCAGAGAACAGGCTTGCAGGGGAGGATTTTGTCAATCCCCCTTCACCCTCGGGTGTTGGAAATGTTCACTTTATTCCAATCCAGCTTCTCTTCCAGAATTCTAGCTGTCATGTGGGATCAGAATAAGGTCCTGGGGCAATTGAAGGTATCTGGCCAAGGCCATGCCTCGACATTACTGGAAGACTCCTGGATTGGCTCCAATTCCCGACAGCCTGTTCAGGTGTTGCACCAAAACTTCCAGTCTTTCCTATCACATTTTCTTTCTTTCAAGACTCTTGTGGCTTCTATCCCTTCTTTATATACAATGTTACAAGTGTTTTTGCAAGCCAAAAAGATAATATTAGTGGGTAGAATGAATACTTGGCTTAGTTATCGGGAGTGTAAACCTGAACCATGTTGTTTCTGTCTATTCTTAGAAACAGGGGGATGTAAAAATTAAGAGAGTTTTCTTTCCCCTGTTGAAGAAACCCATTAGCATAGTGCAAGAGACCACTTCCCCCAGGGACCTTCCCTCCTCTGCATTTAAGTTGTTTCTTTTCCCACCATGTCAGGAATCAACATAATCCTGAAAATACAAGGAGCTTTTCTATGTGAAGGACTGATTTTTTCCTTTTGGAAGACATCTTATTAGGCCAGGTCCCCAGTTCTCAGGGTTCCTTTTCTTTCCTTTGTTTGAGAAGGATCTATTTCCATAGCTTCACCTTACCATTACTCCAGTGTATTTTTCATGCTTCAGTTTGGAGCCCTAAAAAGAAAACTAGATCTGAGGAACCAGAGGAAGTCAACAACAGAAGGCTAGGACAGAGTGCAGGTAAGCATGACTATCCCTGCCAACTAGTCCTTTCTGCTTCATGGGGGAAGGTCATACTCACAACCATGGCATAAGCAGCAAGAGCCCATCCATGGTGCCAGTACCAGTTACTGAGATTTGAGGGATGCTTCAAATTCAAGATTAGCAAGGGAGAGACTAAGGCATGCCTTTTCTCCCCTCTCTCTTTTCAGGTGGGTAACAAACCACCTGCAGCCTGCACTCCCCTCAAGTGTATCCTGAATCACTGGGACTCCTGTGACCCCTCAGACTTTGAAGAAAAAACTTCTTATATTATTTTGCCCCCATCCTAAAAATCATTTTAGGCAGGTCCAAGCCTTGCTCATGCCCCTATAGAAAATGCCTTGTGAATATAACCCATTAAGATACAGGTCTCCTGAACTCTACAGGACTTAAGACAAATTTAGGGGGATCTTGGCAGGTTTTCAGATGACCCGGACAGTTATATAGAGGCTTTCCAGAATTTAACCCAAGTATTTGAACTCTCCTGGAAGGATGTAATGTTACTTTGGAATCGAATCCTGACTACCGCTGAGAAGCAGACAGCCCTGCAAGTGGCAGAGAAATTTGGGGATGAGCTTTGTACCTCATATAGTGCCAAGCAAGGGGAAGAGCTTTATACAATTGGAAAAACAGCAGTACCATTGGAGGACCCTAAATGGGACCCCAATGATGACATGTGTGATGGTTAATACTGAGTGTCAACTTCAGTGAATTGAAGGAGGCAAAGTATTAATCTGGGGTGTGTCTGTGAGGGTATTGCCAAAGGAGATTAACATTTGAGTCAGTGGGCTGGGAAAATCAGACCAACTCTTAATCTGGGTGGGCACCAACTAATCAGCTGCCAGTATATCTCCTATTAGTTCTGTCCCTCTAGAGAACCCTGGCTAATACAGATTTTGGTACCAGGAGTGGTTCTAGAGGAACAGAATATTAAGGATAGAGTTCTTTCATTGGTTTTAGGGTTTCTGGAGTTGGCTGCTTAATATGATTAGACTCAAAAATGCTAAGGACTCTACTTCTAATAGTATGGAGAACACTGACAGTCCTTGGTGTGAACTGCTTATAGAGATACACAAAATAAATGCATTTGACACTCCTGAGTCACCAAACATGAGAGGCAAGGAGTTAAGTGACTATATATATAATACCTTTGACCATATGTGGGGAATGTAATAAAGCTGGTTGGTTGCTCCTAAGTTCAGTAGACAAAGTGATGAAAGAAAATGAGGAACCCAGGGATTCTATCTCCCAACTTCAGAAGCAGATACTGAGCCTCAAATCTGCCAAGGTTTCCCTGAGAGACCTATCTCCTGTAGAGAACGAGCTGAAATTGTGGAAAAAAAGACAGAAGCTCTTATCATGTGAGTGGCTAACCTACAACAAAAAGTGCATGTGCAGCCTTTCCAGGTGTCTACCATTAAAGTGAGGGCATTGATTGGAAAAGAATGGGACCCTGCAACTTGGAATGGGAACATGTGGAAGGATGCTGATGAAGATGGGGACACTGAGTTTGTAAACTCTGATGAAACTTTTTTGCCAGAAGGAAAAGCATCCCCATGCCCAGTAGTGGCAACAGCCCCTCCCCAACCCATGCTGCCATCAGCCTTTCCACCTTTGTCTGAGGAGATAAACCCTGTGCTGCCTGAAGCAACAGTGATGACTTCCCCTGAGGCAGTTGCCAGGAAAGATAATGTTGATTCTTCTCAGGAGCCACACCCAACACCTGTTTGCTTCTAGATCTATAACTAGACTAAAGTCCCGGCAGGCCCCTAGAGATGAGGTTGAGAGTGTGACCACGAGGAGGTGTACTACACTCGAAAATAACTGCTTGAGTTTTCTAATTTATATAAACAGAAATCTGGAGAACAGGCATGGGAATGGATATTAAGGGTGTGGGATAATAGTGGAAGAAACATAGAGTTGGATCAGGCTAAATTTATTGATTTGGGCCCACTAAGTAGGGACTCTGAATTTAATATTGCAGCTTGGGGAGTAAAAAAGGTTCTAGTAGTTTATTTGCTTGGTTAGCTGAAATATGGATTAAAAGATGGCCTACTGTGCCTGATCTCCCTTGGTTTAATATAGAGGAAAGGATCCAAAGGCTTAGGGAGATTGGGATGCTGGAGTGGATTAGTCACTTCAGACCTAATCATCCTAGCTGAGAGGGTCCAGAAGATATAACTTGACCAATGCCTTGCAAAATAGATTTGTGAGGATAGCACCCGCATCTTTGAAGAGCCCTGTAATTGCTCTTCTCTGTATGTCAGATCTAATAGTAGGAACCGCAGTTCTCATCTACAAAATTTAAACACAATTGGAATAATTGGATCCTGAGATGGCAGGGACCAAGTGGCGACACTCAACCATCAAAAGCAAGGTGAGCATAGGTACCGTAATGGATAGCAGAGACAAAGAAGCAATCAGAATAGTCTGACTCAAGTAGAGCTCTAGCATTGGCTAATTAATCACGGAGTTCCTGGAAGTGAAATTGATAGGAAGCCTACTGTATTTCTACTTAATTTATATAAGCAGAAAACTTCTACGTAGAAGGGACAAAAGATGAATTTGAATTATAAAAACAGAGAATCATGGCCCCTCAGTGAAATTCCAGACTTGAGCCAGTTTACAGACACAGAACCCTTTGAATGAAGGGGGAGCCAAGACCTCTTGAGGAAGGACACCACTACACTACTGACAATTTATGCTGTTAATCTTTCTCCCATTCTTCCCCAAGGAAACCTCCAGCATTTTACTAGGGTAACTGTGCATTGGAGGAAGGGAAAAGATCAGATAATTCGGGGACTAATGGTCACTGCCTCTGAGCTGACATTGATTCTTAGGGACCCAAAATGTCACTGTGGTCCTCCAGTTAAAGTAGGGGGTTATGGAGGTCAGGTAACTAATGGAGTTTTAGCTCAGGTCTGAATTGTGGTGCATCCTGTGATTATTCCTCCAGTGCTAGAACACATAATTGGCATAGACATACTTAGCAGGCTGGCAGAACTCTCACATTGGCTCTCTGACAGGTAAGGTGAGGGCTATTATGGTGGGAAAGGCCAAATGGAAGTCATTAGAGCTGCCTCTACCTAGAAAAATAGTAAATTGAAAACAATACCATATCCCTGGAGGGACTGCGGAGATTAGTGCCACCATCAAGGACTCAAAAGACACAGGGGTGGTGATTCCCACCACATTCCTGTTCAACTCTCCCATAAGGCCTATGCAGAAGACAGATAGATCTTGGAGAATGATCGTCGATTATCAAAAGCTTAACCAAGTGGTGACTCCATTTGCAGCTGCTGTACCACATGTGGTTTTATTGCTTGAGAAAATTAACACATCTCCTGGTATCTGGTATGCAGCCATTGAGTTGGCAAATGCCTTTTTCTCCATTCCTGTCCATAAGGCCCACTAGAAGCAATTTGCTTTCAACTGGCAAGGCCAGCAATATACCTTTACTGTCCTACCTCAGGGGTATATCAACTCTCCAGCTTTGTGTCATAATCTTTTTCGGAGACACCTTGATCGCTTTTTACTTCTACAAGATGTCACACTCGTTCATTACATTCATGTCTTATACTGATGAAATCCAGTGAGCAAGAAGTAGCAAACACACAGGGCTTATTGGTGATATATTTGCATGCCAGAAGATGGAAAATAAATCTGACTAAAATTTAGGGAACTTCTGCCTCAGTAAACTTTCTAGGGGTCCAGTTGTGTGGGATCTTTCAAGACATTCCTTCTAAGGTGAAGGATAAGTTGCTGAATTTGACCCCACCTACAACCAAGAAAGAGGCACAATGCCTAGTGGGCCTATTTGGATTTTGCAGGCAAGACATTCCTCATATGGGTGTGTTACTGTGGCCTATTCATCGAGTTACCCAAAAGGCTGCCAGTTTTGAGTGGGCTCCAGAACAGGAGAAGGCTCTGCAACAGATCAAGGATGCTGTGCAAGCTGCTCTGCCACTTGGGCCATATGACCCAGCAAATTCAATAGTGCTTGAGGTGACAGCGGCAGATAGGGATGCTGATCAGAGCCTCTGGCAGGCCCCCATAGGTGAATCACAGCAGAGGCCTCTAAAATTTTGGAGCAGGCCCTGCCATCTTCTGCAGATAACTACTCTCCTTTTGAGAGACAGATGTTGGTCTGTTACTGGGCTTTGGTGGAAACTGAACGTTTGACTATGGGTCATCAAGTCACCATGTGACCTGAACTGCCTATCATGAACTGGGTGCTTTCTGACCCATCTAGTCATAAAGTGGGGCACGCACAGCAGCATTCCATCATCAAATGGAAGTGGTATATACGTGATTGGGCTCAAGCAGGTTCTGAAGGCAAAAGTAAGTTACTTGAGGAAGTGGCTCAAATGCTCCCCTCCTGCCTCCGTACCTTCTCTTCCCCAGCCTGCACTGATGGCTTCATGGGGAGTTACCTATGATCAGTTGAAAGAGGAAGAGAAGATTAAGTCCTGGTTCACAGATGGTTCTGCACAATATACAGGTACCACCCAAAAGTAGACAGCTGCAGCAGTACAGCCCCTTTTTAGGACATCCCTGAAGGACAGTGGTAAAGGGAATTCTTCCCAGTAGGCAGAACTTTGAGCAGTGCACCTGGTTGTGCACTTTGCATGGATAGAGAAATGGCCAGATGTGTGATTATATGCTGATTCGTGAACTGTAGCCAATGGTTTGGCTTGATGATCAGGGATGTGGAAGCAGCATGATTGGAAAATTGGTGACAAAGAAATTTGGGGCAGAGATATGTGGATGGACCTCTCTAAGTGGTCAAAACTGTGAAGATATTTGTATCCCATGTGAGTGCTCACCTATGGGTAACCTCAGCACAGGAGGATTTTAATAATCAAGTGGATAGGATGACCCGTTCTGTGGACACCACTCAGCCTCTTTCCCCAGCCAAGCCTGTCATGGCCCAATGGGCCCATGAGAAAAGTGGCCATGATGGGAGGATTGGAGGTTATGCATGGGCTCAGCAACATGGATTTTCACTCACCAAGGCTGACCTGGCTATGGGCACTGCTGAGTGCCCAATTTGCCAGCAGCAGAGACCAACACTGAGCCCACAATATGGCACCATTCCTCAGGGTGATCAACCAGCTACCTGGTAGCAGGTTGATTATACTGAACCTCTTCCATCAAGGAAGGGGCAGAGATTTGTGCCCAGTGGAATACACACTTACTCCGGATATGGGTTTGTGTATCCTGCCCACAATGCTCCTGCCAAGACTACCATCCATGGACTCACAGAATGCCTTATCCATCATCATGTTATTCCACACAGCATTGCCTCTGACCAAGGCACTCACTTTACAGCTAAAAAAGTGGGGCAGTGGGATCATGCTTATGGAATTCACTGGTCTTATCATGTTCCCCATCATCCTGAAGCAGCTGGACTGATAAAAACTGTGCAATGGCCTTTTGAAGTCACAATTACAATGCCAACTAGGTGATAATACTTCGCTTGGATGAGGCAAAGTTCTCCAGAAGGCCATGCATGTTCTGAATCAGCATCCAATATATGGTACTGTTTCTCCCATAGACAGGATTCACAGGTCCAGGAATCAAGGGGTGGAAGTGGAAGTGGCACCACTCACCATCACTTCTAGTGATACACTAGCAAAATTCTTGCTTCCTGTTCCCATGGCATTACATTCTACTAGTCTAGAAGTCTTAGTTCTAGAGAGGGGAATGCTTCCACCAGGAGACACAACAATGATTCATTAAACTGGATGTTAAGATTGCCACCTGGACACTTTGGGCTCCTCCTACCTTTAAGACAACAGGTTAAGAAGGGAGTTACAGCGTTGGCTGATGTGATTGACCTGGACTATCAAGATGAAATCAGTCTACTACTCCACAACAAAGGTAAGGAACAGTATACGTGGAATATAGGAGATCCATTAGGGCATCTCACAGTATTACCATGCCCTGTGATTAATGTCAATGGGAAACTGCAACACCCCAACCCAGGTGGGACTACAAATGACCCAGACCCTTCAGGAATGAAGGCTTGGGTCATTCCACCAGGAAAAAAAAAAAAAAAAAAAAAAAAAACCTGCTGAGGTGCTTGCTGAAGGCAAAGGGAATACAGAATGGGTAGTTGAAGAAGGTAGTCATCAATACCAGCTATGACCACATGACCAGCTGCAGAAATGAGGACTGTAATTGTCATAAGTATTTCCTCCTTCTTTCATTAAAAACATGTTTGTGCATGTATACACCTGTACTAAGAAAACATCTTCATTTTATTTCCTTTCCCCTCTATCATGTGACATAAGATTTATTGACTTCACCTCAGCATTTAAGTATTATTAACTTTATGTAATAGTATTTGGGTTGGGGATTGGTGCGTTTCCTGATGTACAAAGGATAGTTTTATTATGTTAGGTGTAATTATTACCTTATTGTTGTCTTTATTTGATTATGTATAATCTCAGGACATGTGTATGGGTTCAAGTTGACAAGGGGTTGACTTGTGATGGTTAATAATGACTGTCAACTTGATTGGATTGAGGGATGCAAAGTATTGATCCTGGGTGTGTCTGTGAGGGTGTTGCCAAAGAACATTAACATTTGAATCAGTGGGCTGGAAAAGACAGATCCACCCTTGATCTGGGTGGGCACAATCTAATCAGCTGCCAGTGTGGCTATAATATAAAGCAGACAGAAAATTGTGAAAAGACCAGATGGCCTAGCCTCCCAGCCTACATCTTTCTCCTATGCTGAATGCTTCCTGCTCTGGAACATCAGACTCCAAATTTTTCAGTTTTGGGACTTGAACTGGCTCTCCTTGCTCCACAGCTTGCAGATGGCCTGTTGTGAGACCTTGTGATTTTGTAAGTTAATACTTAATAAATTCCCATATATATATATGATATATATGTAGGAGATATATATATACACATATATATACACAGATATATATATACACACATATACACACACATATATATACACACACACACACAATAGGAGATATAGGAGATATTATTTTATATATATCTCTATATATAAATACATAGATATATATATCTCTATATATAAATACATAGATATATATATCTCTATATATAAATACATATATATATATCTATATATAAATACATAGATATATATATATCTATATATAAATACATATATATATCTATATATAAATACATAGAGATATATATATCTATATATAAATACATAGATATATATATATCTGTACATAAATACATAGATATATATATATATATCTATATATATAGAGAGAGATATATATATATATCTCCTATTAGTTCTGTCCCTCTAGAGAGCCCTGACTAATACAACATGGGAGAATAGAGGAGGAAACACTTTCAGATGTGCATATTGGTTGCTTATGAAGGACTAAAACTAAGCCTCTCAATTACTCCAAACTATCCATGATAGACCAGGGATCAGATGACCCATTTCCTTTCTGGAGAGGCTAAGAGAAGCCTTGGTACACCTCTCTATCCCCTAATTCATTTGAGGGACAACTAATCCTAAAGAGTAAGTTTAGGAGGCAGCCCCTGGTATCAGGAGGAAGCTGCAGAAGCAGGCCATGGGACAAGATAGCACTTTAGAGAACCTCCTGAAAGTGGCTACTTTGGTCTTTTACAACAGGGATCAGGAGGAGACTGAAGAGAGAGAGAGGAGACACAAGAAAAAAGGTACAGTCTCTAATAGCTGCCTTGCAGGCTTAAAAACCCAGAATCCCTGAGATGCACCTGATAACTCCTACAAATGTGGCAAGCCAGGGCACCTTAACAACTGCCCAGGCAGCATGAGGAAGCCACCTTGACCCTGTCCAATCTCTGGAGGGAACCATTGGAGGGTGGACTGTCCCCAGAGATGCAGGTCACTGAGTCCAGAGCCAGACTCACAAATGGTCCAGCAGGACTGAGGAGTCCTTGGGCTTCTCTCCCTGGCTCCAATAACTCAAAATGTCATTGCCATTCAGGAGCCCCAAGTGACTCTGAAAGTTGAAGAGAGGAAAGTGAACCTCCTCTTGGATACCAGCACAGCCATTTCTGTTCTCCTCTCCAGTCCAGGCCTCCCCTCCTCCCTTAGCATGCCTATGAGGGGCATCTCAAGAAAAACTTTAACCTGATATTTTTCCCAACCACTCACTTGCAGTTGGGGAAACCTCTTGCTTACTCGTGCCTTTTAAATCATGCCAGGAGGCCAACTCCTCTGCTACATAGGGATATTTTACCTCATAAGGGAACTACCATCCTTATGGCTCCAAGGCAGGCTCTTTGTCTCCCACTGGTGCAGACTAATACTAATCCAGAAGTTTTGGCAGCTCAAGGGAAAATTGATCAAGCCACAACCACCATACTGGTCCAACTCCACCTTTAGGATCCCACCTGCTTCACTAACCAGAAGCTAGTTTAGTGAGCCCTAAAACCAGAAGCTAGGAAAGGGCTAGAAGCCATCATTGATAACTTGAAGAGGCAGGCCTCCTCAAACCCTGCAACAGCCCTTGTAATACCCCAATATTGGGAGCACAGAAATCCAAATGGGAATGCAGACTGCTCCAGGACCTCCACCTCATAAATGAGGCTGTGGTTCCGATATATCTGGTGGTTCTCAATCCCTATACTTTGCTAACTCAAATACCTGAGGGAACTAAAGGGCTCACAGTCCTGGAACTAAAGAATGCCTTTTTCTACATACCACTATACCCTGCCTCTCAATATTTGTTTGCATTTGAGGATCCCTCCAACCAGACCACCCAGCTAACCTGGATGGTGTACTTCAGGGATTCTGAGACAGCCCCCACCTGTTTGGTAAAGTGTTGTCAAGGGGTCTCTCTGAGTTCCTTTATCCTCAGGTTAAAATTTTACAATATGTAGATGACATTATCTGTTGTGCCCTAACTGAGGAAATCACTCAGGAAGGCAGTAAGCCTCTTCTTAACTTTCAGGGTAACAGAGGACATAAGATCTCAAAATCTAAGACTCAGCTCTGTCAGACTTCAGTGAAGTATCTAGGTCTACTCTTGTCAGAGGAGACCAGGGCAACAGGTGAATAAAGGATTAAGCCCATCTCCTACTTTCCCCTCCTCAAACCCTCAAACAACTGAGGGGGTTCTTGGGCATTACATGATTCTGCAGATTATGGACACCTGGGCACAGTGAGATAGCTCATCCCTTATATCACCTAATGAAAGAAACTCAGGCAGCTAAGACTCACTCCATAATTGGGGAACCAAATATTAAAAGGGCCTTTCACCAATTGAAACAAGCCTTGCTTGAGGCACAAGCCCTTAGTCTTCCCATAGGGAAGATGTTAAATCTTTATGTATCAGTGAGGAAGGTGTATTAGTCAGGGTTCTCTAGAGGGACAGAACTAATAGGATAGATGTATATATAAAGGGGACTTTATTAAGGAGTATTGGCTCACACAATCACAAAGTGAGGTCCCACAGTAGGCTGTCTGCAAGCTGAGAAGAAAGGAAGCCAGTCTGAGTCCCTGAGTCCCAGAGTTGAAGAACTTGGAGTCCAATGTTCAAGGGTAGGAAGCATCCAGCACAGGAGAAAGATTTAGGCTGTGAGACTAAGCCAGTCAGTCTTTTCCATTCTTCTGTCTGCTTTTATTCTAGCCATGCTGGCAGCTTATTAGATTGTGCCCACCCAGATTGAGGGTGGGTCTGCCTTTCCCAGTCCATTGACTCAAATGTTAATATCCTTTAGCAACACCATCAAACACACACCCAGGAACAATACTTTGCATACTTCAACCCAATCAAGTTGACACTCAATATTAATCATCACAGAGTTCTATCCTCAGTCTGAGGCCCACCCCAACAGCCCATGGGCTACTTGAGCAAGGAACTTGATTTAGTGGCTAAAGGATGACTGGCCTGCCTCTGGGCAGTTGCAGCGGTAGCTTAGCTGGTGCCAGAGGCTACTAAGTTAATCATGGGGAAGAACTTAGCCATTTATACCCCACAAAACCTGGCAGGACTGCTGTCTTCTAAGGGGAGTCTCTGGCTAACAAACAATTGCCTCCTCAAATATCAAGCTCTGCTATTGGAGGAATCTACAGTTCAGTTAAGAATCTGGCTCTCCTAAACCCAGCCACCTCCCTCCCAGAGAAACTTGGGAAGCCTGAACATGACTGTGAACAGATAGTAGTGCAAACCTATGCAGCCAGAGAGGACCTCAAAAAAACCCCTTAGAGGATGCAGAATGGACTCTCTTTACAGACAGAATTTCTTTTGTAGAACAAGGGATAAAGGAGAATACACAGTAGTCATCCTGAATGACACTATTGTGAGTGCACCTGTTTTCTCGGGTGCAAGTGCTCAACTAGCTGAGTTAAATGCCCTCATGGGGGCATTTAAGCAAAGGGAAAGCAGTTAACATTTATACTGATTCTAAGTATGCTTTTGCAATCCTCGATGCCCATGCCATGATCTGGAAGAGACAGACTTCCTCACAGCTAATAGGTCTCTCATTAAGTACCATCGGGAAATTAACAGACTATTATCCTTGGTTTTCCTTCCACGGGAAGTGGCATAATACATTGTAAAGGCCACCAAAAGGAGATAGATGAAATTGCTGAGGGAAATAAACTGGTAGATCAAGCAGCTAAATTGGCAGTTAGAGTACCCCAGATTTCTGATCCACTTGAGGCCCCTCTAATCTGGGAGGGCTCCATAAAAGAAACAAAAACTCAGTACTCTCCTGCAGAAATAGAATGGGCCTCCTCTCAAGGATATACCTTTCAGCTACAACTGGAGGATGGCAAACTTCATCTACCAAATTCCAGCCAATGGAAAGTTCTTAAAATCTTTCACCAAGCCTTCCACGTAGGAAAGGATAAAACCTACCAACTGGCTCAAAGGTTGTTGTCAGGTAAAAATGGTCAAACAGGTCATTAATGCTTGTGAGGCTTGCCTTAAAAATAATCCCCCCAGTCAATGGTGTCTCCCCGCTGGAGCCCAAAGAATGGGAGGCTACCTGGGAGAAGACTGGCAAATGGATTTCATCCATATTCCAAAGATAAGGGGCATCCAGTACCTCCTGGTATGGGTATATACCTTCATTAACTGGATAGAAGCATTTTCATGTCTGACAGAGAAAGTCTCTGAGGTGATAGAAGTACTAATTAATTAGATAATTCCTCACTTTGGGCTCCCTAAGTACCTTCAGGCAATAACAGCCTCTCATTCAAGGTTGCTGTCACCCAGGGGGACTCAAAGGCACTAGGTATACAGTACCATCTTCATGGTGCTTGGAGACCACATTCCTTGGGAAAGGCAGAAAAGAAACATGATATTATCAAAAGGCACTTCAGAAAACTTTCTTAAGAGACTCATCTCCCCTGGATTACTCTCATGCCCATGGCACTACTGTTTTAGAAACACCCCTTTGAAGCTGAGTTTAATTCCCTTTGAAATGACGTAAGGACAGCCTTTTCTCACCAATGATTTCCTTCTAGACCAAGAAACCTCTGATTTGATTAACCATGTAACCTTTGATTTGATTAACCATGTAAGTTCTTTGGCCCATTTCCTGCAGGAACGGAAACAAATGTCAAAGGCCCAAACCCATGAACCAAGGCCACCTTTATTCAACCAGGGGACTTAGTACTAGTAAGGACTCTTCCTTTTCTTTCTCCCTCTCTAGGCCCAGATTGGGAGGGATCATACGCTGTACTTCTTTTTACTCCTTTGGCAGTGAAGGTCACTGAAATAGATTCCACTGTGGAACAGATGGTCACTGAGCTATGGGAGTGAAGAAGCTGCTGGGAGCCACTCCCTCGCACTTGCTGAACTACAGAAGCAAAAAAACTGCAACACCAGTGGGGCCTCTGTATGGGGGCTCCAACCCCACATTTCCCTTCTGCACTCCCCTAGCAGAGTTTCTCCATGAGGGCTCCGCCCCTGCAGCAAACTTCTGCCTGGACATCCAGGCATTTCCATACATCCTCTGAAATCTAGGCAGAGGTTCACAAACTACAATTCTTGACTTCTGTTCACCTGCAGGCTCCACACCATGTGAAAGCTGCCAAGGCTTGGGGCTTGCACTGTCTGAGGCCACAGCCTGAGCTGTACCTAGGCCCCTTTTAGCCACAGCTGGAGTAGCTTGGATGCAGGGCACCAAGACCTAGGCTGCACACAGCAAGGGGCCCTGGGCCCGGTCAATGAAACCATGTTTCCTTCTAGAGCTCCTGGCCTGTAATGGGAGGGGCTGCCAAGACTGTCTCTGACATGCCCTGAGGATGTTTTCTCCATTGTCTTGGTGATTAACATTCAGCTCCTTGTTACTTAAGCAAATTTCTGCAGCTGGCTTGAATTTCTCCCCAGAAAATAGGTTTTTCTTTTCTATCACACTGCCAGGCTGCAAACTTTCCAAACTTTTGTGTTCTACTTCCTCTTTAATGCTTCGATGCTTACAAACTTCTTCCACCAGATGTCCTAAATCATCTCTCTCAAGTTCAAAGTTCCACAGATCTCTAGGGCAGGAGCAAAACACTGCCAGTCTCTTTGCTAAAGCATAGCAAGAGTGACCTTCACTCCAGTTCCCAACAAGTTCCTCATTTCCATCTCAGACAACCTCAGCCTGGACTTCATTACTATCAGCATTTTGGTCAAAGCCATTCAATAAATCTCTAGCAAGTTCCAAACTTTCCCAAATCTTTGTGTCTTCTTCTGAGCCCTCCAAACTGTTTCAACCTTTGCCTATTACCCAGTTCCAAAGTAGCTTCCACATTTTGGGGTATCTTGATAGCAGCACCCACTCTCTGTGGTACCGATTTACTGTATTAGTCCATTAGTCCATTCTCACATTGCTATGAAGAAATACCCGAGACTGGGTTATTTATAAAGGAAAGAGGTTTAATTGACTCACAGTTTCACATCACTAGGCAGGCCTCAGGAAACTTACAATCATGGCAGAAGGCAAAGGAGAAACAGGCACCTTCTTCACAGGGCAGCAGGACACACTGAATGCATGCAGGGGAAATGTCAGATGCTTATTAAACCATCAGATCTCGTGAGACTCACTATTAAGAGAACAGCATGGGGAAAACCACCCCCACTATTCAATTATCTCCACCTGATCCACCCTCAAAATGTGGGGATTATGGGGTTTATAATTCGGGATGAGATTTGGGTAGGGACACAGTCTAGTCATATCAAACCCCCAACTAACATGTGATCTCCTCCAAATACAATCAAAAACTTATTTTGTGTCCAACACCTCAAAAAGGCTTACAATGGGAAGCCATCCAATTTCTAGAGATTGCACTGAGGTGCTTTTATGGCTGAGGCATCAATTTGTAAAGACTGAATATAATAGTGTCCAGCTGAAATTAACTCCATATACTGTCTGCATAGTTATGTGGGCTCTGTTTAATGTAAAATATTGCCTTTGACTGTAGGAATTCCCTATTTTCACTCCAAAAGTCAAGCAATTCTGTAGAAGTGGTCTTTGACAGCATGGGGTAAGATAACAAGTCAATCTCTTAAAAATTGTACTACACAATGCCTTGCCTCTTATTTATTTGCTGTTAATGTGTCACCATCAACACTTTAAGTCATAATCAGAATACAATGTTTTTAACATTTTTTTCAACATCTCATTTATGACTGATAATCTAATGTTAACCAACAATTTCCCTGGCCTGTCCAGGCATTGTCACTGTATTTAGTTTAGTAAGCAGAATACTACACATACATACACATACACATACACACACACATACACATACACATACATCCATGTCCCTGAAACATTGAGCTTCTCCTGAGTCCATAACCATCTGTATCTTTTCTCATTCCTCATCTATTCCTATAGCATTTTTGTCCATGCCTAGGGCTTATCCTATTATATCTTTGCTGGCTTCATCTAATTCTACCTGGATGTTCCACTGCCTAACACTAAACATTTTTTTTAACTTTCACTTAAGTCAGTTCCTCTTCTTGCTTTCATGATTTTGATTAATGGCACTTGCCAACCTGAAATGTGCCATTATTCTAATTATTTTAAGCTTTCTCAAATCACATATTAAAAATCCATTGCTCATTCTCTATTCACTTACTTCTTTCTTATTATAAGTTTCATTGTTTTCACAAGATGTTGCTGCAGCCTCTAATATGTCTCCCTGCTTAACAAATTTCTCAGACAAAATAACATTACTAAAAGACATACATACTTGCACATCATTCATCTATGTATTACCATCGAATGGCACTCCGCTATCCACTGGATAAAGTTTAAATTCCTAAGATTACTCTATAAGATCATCCATAGGGATAACTCAAGCCTATCTCTCTAACATTATCTTATACTGCTCCAATAAATATAACACCCTATACTAAGCCATGCCATATTACCTCTTCCTTTTTGTTGCCTCTGTTAATAATGTAGAACTGCATTTATTACAGAACATTGCAATTGTGTCATTGCATAGTCCTTCCATTCACCTATGAGCTACTAGCAAACAAGGATGGCATATTATTCATTTTTCTCTCTCTAGCATAATACCTTATCCATAATAGTCACTGTATAAATGTGTATTTAGTGAACAAATGGCTCTACCACAAGTGAATGTCCTGTTTATGTTTCATTCGTGGAACAGATTCAACCTATTCTTCTGAGGTAGAAATGGCATGAAAGTAAAATTATAATTTATATTTTTTATATTCATGTATAAATATGTATATTCATGTTTATACAGGAACTTACTTAGGAATGTTATTTCCCTAATTCAGTCACTAGGTGGTATGTACTATAAGAGACTTGCTGAAAACATTATTCATTTTTGCACTATAGAATGATAATGAGTGTGAAAGATTTAGTGGCTCTAAAAAATACATTTACTGATTTACTATGACCAACCGTAGCATTATGTAACTATGACTTTAAGCCATAACACATTTATATTTTAGTAATACCTTTCAAAGAGTCTGATTTAAGTTCTATCTTTTGACTTCTAGCCATGCACATGTATATCAAATTTACTATGCATTCATAACAAAATCAAAGATTAAAGAGTGACAATTCAAGATAACCTTGTTTAAATTATTGCAAACATTTTTCTTATGGTCAAAATTAGCTTAATCTCTTTGCCACGTGATTCTGTTTTATTCCTGATTGAGGTTCCCTGCAACATTAGCAAGCACATGAAAAGAAGTAAAGCACATTTATTTACAGCCATGTAATTTTCAGCAGAGGGAAACAACTAGAAAGGGGTAGAGGCCCTGGTATGGATATATCTTGATACAGTGGCATTACACTTGTTCTATGGATATAGATCAACTAATTACAAGCTCAAGGGGTTCACAGTGTTGCACACAGAGAATGGTATTATATTTGGAGAAGATGGTAACAAACAACATGCAATAATCTAAAAAATAATTTGGACTCGGGGAAAATCAAATCCTGGTACTGCAGGTATCTTTACAGACAGAGTATGGAAGAAAAAAAATGTAAATGCAAGTGAAAATAAATAAACAGATAGTAGATGTAGACAGGAATGGAAAGTCTGCAAAGGTGAGTGGCAGAAGACCATGAAGAAACAGGAAGACCAGATAAAACAACTTGACTTTCACATACAGTGGAGGGACTGAAATCTCTGGCCAAGAATATGATTCTAGAACATATATTCGATTTTTCAACAATAATATACTGTTTGAAATTATTCAGTGGGGGTAAAATCTACACACAATTACAGAAATGTAAACTTATAAATATTTTTCCTTAAAGCTGTGGAGATTTTCAGTAATGATGAACAAGGTTATGTGGAATAACACTCCATTTAAAAGCAAGTAGCAAATATGGTCAAAATATGAACAAAAATAAATGTGTTTGAAAGCATTGGATAATGTAACAATGTAATGAAGAATAATAGATTCACAATCCAAGAGAATAGCGACATGCATGCAGATGAGCCTTGCACTTAGAGTTCATTTTCTTCTGAATCTTTGGCTGCTGCCAGACAATTCTGATGGAGAAAGCAAAGAAATTGAAACAAGGACTACAACTGAAGCTGAAGACCTTCCAAGAAATGGGTTCCAGTGATCACCCCATGGTTTGGATTGAGACTCTGAGGGCTACATACAAGGAATAAGAATGATCCTCATTCCTAGAAATAGACTTGACCTACAGGTACTAAAGTGAAACTTTGAATCATCTCAATCACCCATTGGATTAAGGTGACATGGAATTAATAGTGCTTCTAGCACAGTTGCCTGCAAGATGTCAGTAAAAGATTTCTTTGGAAGAAGATAAAATCACTCTTGAGCCTTAAGTTAGCCCTCTATTTCTTAGGAAAATAATGTCTTGCACCCAAAAAGAAAAAAATAAAACCAAACAACAACAACAACAATAGGCATATGAAACGTAAGACTGTATGACCAAACCCAGGAGAAATGATGGACATTAGAAACTCACCAACAAGAATGCAGAAAATGAAGAACTCAGTCACAACCTTTAATTTGTGAACTGGAAGACTAATCCAAAGAAAGCAACTGGCTGGCATAGGAAGAAGCTAAAAGATATAGAAAAGAATATAAGGTACAAAGTAAAAAAAGGGGAGAAATTCTTCAAAAATGTAAATTGGACTCCCAGGTTGGAAAAGAGAGAAAATGACGAAGAAGCAAGCAATATTTTAGGAGATAATGGCTGAGAATTTTCCCAACTGATAAATGACATCAACACATAAATTCAAAAAACATGGTAAACTACATGTAATATAAATAAAAAGAAAAACATATTTATGTATATTAAAACGTAATTACTGATTATTACAGATAAAGGGGAAATTTTAAATGTAGCCAGAGGGAAATATAGATATATTGTATTCAAAGGGAGAACAGTAAAAATGACAGACAACTTCTCAATAGAATAAGGAGAGCCAGAAGATGATGGAACAGTATCTTCAAAGTGCTGAAAGAAAATATTTACCAATATACAACTGTGTACACAGTGAAAATATATTTCAAAAATGAAGATAAGGGCATTTTTAAACAAAATGAAATAATGTGTTGTGAATAGGCTTACATTTAGGAATTTTTATTTATTTATTTTTTTAGACTGAGTCTTACTCTGTTGCCCACGCTGGAGTGCAGCGGCGCGATCTCAGCTCACTGCCACGTCCGCCTCCTGGATTCAAGCGATTCTCCTGCCTCAGCCTCCCTAGTAGCTGGGATTATAGGCAGTCACCACCACGCCCAGCTACTTTTTTTTTTTTAATTTTTAGTAGAGATGGGGTTTCACTATGTTGGCCAGGCTGGTCTCAAACTCCTGACCTCTTGATCTGCCTGCCTCGACCTACCAAAGTCCTGTGACTACAGGCATGAGCCACTGCACCCAGCCAAGGATTTTTTTTTAATCTTCATCATTTAGAAGGCAAATGATCTCAGATGCAAGCTCAGGGATATATGAAGTAATGATGATAAATGGCATAGGTAAATATGTGAGTATATCTAAAAGAAAATTAATTGTGTTAACAATAATAATGGAGTCTTACAGAATAAAAAATCTATACAAATGAAAATGTGGCAATAGTAGAATAGCAAAAAAGGAAAGGGAATAAATAAAGTTCAAAGATCCTGGGAAGAAGTAAAAGTACTAGTTTATATTAGAATGTGATGAGTAAAAAACTCAAGCAGTCATCTGTAATATGTCCACTAAATATTAACAAGTTATTATTAAAACTAGAGGAAAAATAGAATAAGAAAGTAATAAATTAGTCAAAAAGGCCAAGGAAGGAAAAAAAAAATAAAAGAAGAGGGAATAATAAAAAGAAAGTATGTAGTAAAATTTATCCCAATATGTCATCTAATTACATTGAATGTAAGTATACTAAATGTTCTAATCAAAATAAGTATGCTGTCAGACAGAAATTAAAAGTAAAATTTAAGCATATGCTGTGTTCAAAATACAAAAGTAAAATATGTAGATTAAAAATAGTGAAAGCAAAGTGAAGAAAAGTATATGCCATGCAGACACCAAAAATAAATCTGGTCTGGCTTGAATAATACACAAAGATTTTAATACAAGGGTTTTAAAAAAAAGAAAAGGGACACCCATGATGTTAAAAGCCACAGGGTAGATATAACAATTCAAAAGTTTTTGCATGTTGCCTCAAACTATAAACCTCAAACGTTTAAAAGAACAAGTATGCCTATAATGGCATCTCAATATATGTCCTTTAAAAATAATACCGAACAAAGTGTGAAGTACAAGAAACCACGAAAATTAGAACTTCAGAACAGTCTGCTCAAATTTACAAGTAACTGAAGTACATAGACAGAAATTGCCAAATTCCAGTAAACAATCTCTCATGTCTCCACCCTACTCTAAACCTTCATAGAGGAAGAGCAACCTGAGAAAAAAATGCTTGGAAAAGAGGAATGCTAGCAAAGCATAACCATCAACAGAAAGAGTAAGTCCATCCTAAATAGTCAAATAGGGAAACAATTTCCTGGTAGACAGGATTGCAGGGAAGGAAATTAGAAAAACATGCAACGTTAAGTGGAGGACTTCATAAGGCATGATTTCTGGGAGAAAAGGCCAAAAGAAAAGTAGCTATGCTCTTTGGCAGATGAATAATGAAAGGGAAAAAATGCAATGCGAACATTTAGGATCCTACACAACATTTAAAAAAAAAAATGAAGGACACATAACTCAAAAAAATCCACTAAAAAAACCAGCTTTGTTATAAGATACAAGAAGGCATTAATTAATTAGGAATGTTAGAAACAATACCAAATCAACCAAAATAAGCAGAAGAAAAAATATTAATCCATAGAGAGTTGTTCCAAAAATTAAAATAAAACAATTAATTACATCTGAACTGACAAAAATTCCCTCACAAAATATTCATGAAGCAGAAGAAAACTGTAAGTCACAATTCAAAACTGAGTTACATACACTCAAAGAAGAATTTGGAGAAACAGATCCTTGACTGATAAATTGAACATTAAAGGCAGAAGAGGAGGAAAGAGAAAAGAAATAAAAAGAGCCGACAACTCAGGAAAAAAAATGAAAGCAAAAGACAAAATTATTTAAGAAATAAAAAATAAATTACAAAATACCTAAGAGAAAATAAACTCAAATGAAAATCTATTAAGGAACATTGAAGAATGGTGGGGAAACAACCAAGGGAATGATAACTTTTCAAAACATCAAAAAATTATGTCAGACATACATATGCTTCTTCCTTCTGCTATATTCACTTGTTAGCCATTGAAACTGTTTCCCTAGCCACACACACTGAATAAGCCTTTCTTAATAGAGTTTGGGATTAAAGTACATACAAGGAAGTATTTGCATTCCTCAGTTTGTAAATCAAAAATGAAGTGAAAGATAAAGACTTTTGGGAGCATTTGAATATGCAAGAAAAGCATAATTAAGAAAGTATGTAATTACAGCATACAAATTCTTCTAAAAGCACAGCTAGCAATGGGAGACATGAAAAAACTTAATAACAATATGATAAATAATAACATAATATAGAACATTTTAAAATACCTTACGCACAAAAGTGTAACCACACGCCAAGTCTGGCTGCTCACTGCTGAGAGCCAGAAAACATGAGAGGCAAGGTGTGGCGAAAGGCAGGCAACTTCACTCAAATTCTAGCAGTTGGGGAATGGACAAGCTTATTCCCTTAAAAAACCATTCAAAACTTTAGACTGGGGAGAAGGGTTTTAAAAGGGCAACCTGGAATGGAAGGCATGCAGGAGTGGTGCTGGATACAAGGTCTGTGTGTCCTGTTCTGGTGACTATCTTGAGTCATGGTCCACCTGGAGCAGGGGTCGCCAACCCTCCAGTGGCAGACTGGAACCAGGCCACACAACAGGAGGTGAGCCATGGGCAGGGGAGCATTACCACTTGAGCTTTGACTCCTGTCAAATTAGCAGGGGCATTATATTATCACAGGAGCGCAAACCCTATTGTGAACTGTGCATGTGAGGGATCTAGGTTGCAAGCTCCTTATAAGATTCTAATGCCTGATGATCTGAGGTGGAACAGTTTTGGCCCCAAACTAAACCCCTGCCCTCATCCATGAAAAAATTGTCTTCCATGAAACCAGTCCCTGGTGCCGAAAAGTCTGGGGACTGCTGACCTGGAGCATAGGCTGACATCATCTCAACAATAGCCAGATTGTTGACAAACCGCCTTGAGGTAATCTCTGGAATTTCGGGTGTCCATGCCTGGCTTGTTTCAAGATTAGCCCCTGGAACTTCTAAGTAAGGATATAACTAGATAAGCTACCAGTACAAGGGGATGTTTGGTGGGGAGGGAGGTAAACAGAGTTGTAAAGTATGTTTCAAGGCTAAAACCAAGAAAGGAAAAATTGTTTCAAAATGAATTTTGAAGTTAAGCTACTCCATCACAAAAGTACATGTGAATTTTTCTTTTTCCTCAGGTAAAACTTCAGAATCACATATTTTAAGAAATCTCATTAATGATGAGAGAACTTCAAGGTGCTCTTGTTAGTGGGATAAGAAAATGAATAAAAAGTCAAACTCTGAACAAATTTCATTATCCAGCATTTGCTAACTAGGTAGTTTTGAAATCTGTATTTCAAAAGATAAGACATTAAAATAATTTTTCCACTATATTAGAATGAACTCTAGATTATTTCAAGATCTTTAGAATGACTCTGGAAGTTTATAACACAGAATCAAACAAAACTATAGGATATAGAATATAAAAAGATACAGTTTAAAACTCTAAAAGGGGTGTGTGTCTAACAGATGGAAAGAATACATACATTTGTGCTTGTATTACAAAATTTCATGCATTCTAATAAGACAATAACGTAAACTGACCACTCCTTTTTTAGCTTTGGGTGTGCATTATAGAATGACTGTAAAAGAAGAGCTCAGCCCTTAGTTAGGCTTATGAGAAAAACTGCCCTACATGTGGGCAGCAACAGATCTTGAGGCCTGAGCAGACTCTGGTTAATAAGACACCTCAGGCTGCTTAGAAAGTCACTGCTAAGCATTATAATTTTCTTCCCGGTGACCAAATATCTTTACTTCTTGGAAAATTTTGATTAAGAATAGAGATGAAGAAGTCAATCTATGATATTAATTTGGAAATCTGACAATTTCCAAAGCAATTCTGAAGACATCAACATCTGGAATAGAAATACAGTTTCAACTTCAATCCTATTAACTGTCTTTTAAATATGTAAAAATCACAAAGTTACAAATGGCAAGAGAGATATAGAGAAAATATAATCTTGTTATTATCCTATAGACTAACACACAAATATATGGATTAAAAACCAAAGGAAATAAATAATATTTTAAAATATTTTAGTGTTAGAATTTGGGTAAGAAATATACACTGCTTTCTTAAGATATGATCCATAGTTTGCTAACATCAAGAAAATTTTTAAATTGAAATTAATACATAATTTTTTTGTTTTCTATTAAATAAAACTATTATAATCTACATAGAGAAGAGAGAAAAAGCTGTAGATTATGTGGCCATGATCTCAATTTCGCTGGAGAGTTGTGGTTACATGTTCCCCGTTTGCTATTAAAAACAAGTATATTAGGGATTTCTGTCCATGTACACTACTTTCATACTGAAGAATCAGAGGTTATAGCGAGTCATGGAGAAGGGGAGGAAGAAAGAGAGTAATAGATAAAGGAAGGGAAGAAAAGAGGAATAGATGGAAAGAGAATGAGAATAAATTTTACATTCTCTCAGCAATGAACCAATTTGCTTTTTAATATTGAATCTTTCCTCTGCAATGTTTTTGGACACAACAGCCAACAACATAAAAAAATCTACCTATGTGATTCCAATGAAGTTTCCCTTCATATGCTGTCTTCTTCCATAGAACCAATTCATTGTCATCGACTCCCTTTTTCTACTCTATTTTGAGGCTGGGCCAGGAGAGACCAAGGTGGGCCATCAGTGCCACACTCACTGCCTGGTGCCTGGGTCCCTCAAGTACAGAAACTGGGCTTCATTCTACCTTGTTGCCTTTCACAGCCAGCTCCCACTGGCAGATGTCCACTGGGTCTCCCTTACTTAAGTGGTTCATCCTGCAAACATTTTTATATGCACCTCAGAATCTCTTTTACCACAATTCCCCATTTTATTAATGTTATAAATTATGAAAATATAATTAAACTGCTTAAACTGGAAAAGCTAAGACTCATGTTTTGCTTTTGAATATATCCAAGACAAGTGCTGAACATCCAGTGTAATTTATTGTTATAATGCACATGTTAAAAATATACTGTCACTGCAGAATAGTAGTTTTAGAGTCAGCTCTGATTTCAAATCCCAGCTCTCTCACTTACTACCACTTTATATTCATTGACTTGAAAATTATTTATCATTATGAACCAGACACTATGAGAGGTTAGAGAAAAAACAATGGACAAAAAGAGACAGAGTATCAGACCTCTCAGAGCTTGAAATGGAAGAAATAAATATTGATCAAGAATGATATTGATAAGTGTATTATTACAATACAAGAACCATAAACTGAGGCAATGTTCTAAGAAAAAAGGAAACAAGAGTCTAGGTTCTATGAGATAGGGAATAAAACATAACCTGGCCTAGAGTGAACAGAGGAAAAACTTCCCTAAGAAAATGAGGCTTGAACTGATATCTGAAGAATGCATAGGAACTAATAGCCTTAAAAGCTGTTAATTCAAAAAGATCTCTTCAAAAGAAAACTGAATTCTAATATTTTACATGGTATCTTTTTCATGTTTGTTAATTAATAATAAGAAACATGATTATGTGGAGAATAATTTTTATTAGTCTAGCTGATACAATAGCCCATCTTTCAAAGACAGGTGATTTTAAGTTGTGTTAGGGCATATGCAAAGGCCCAGCCTCAGGAGAGGCCATGATGCATTTCAGCACCTGAAAAAAAGAGACAAGGGGGTTTGTTGCAAGATTCAGTAAGCAATGGCAGGGGCCAGAACATCCCAGTCCCTGTTCACCTTGTTAATAATTATTGTCCTCATCTCAACAACAATGGGAAGTCACTAAAAGATCTGACATAAAAATAGTTATATTTTAATTAGATCACTCTGTTTCCTGAGTGGGTATACCTTGTAGAGAATATTATTGTAATACTCCCAACAAAGGAGGAATGTGATTTGACTAGGGTTAGTTCCAGCAGTAGAAATGGCAAAGCATGGATATAATATATTAGAGAGTTGAGAAAAGAAAAATAAAGAATCTGATGATAAATTGGATATAGAGTGAGGGATGTAGAGGAGCAACAAGGATGGCTTTGAGTTTTCTGGTTTGCCTAACAGGATGGGTGATGATGACAATCACTGAAATACGTACCAAGGTAGTGTTACAGGAGATAGAAAGAAATCATTTAGGTAGTTAGGGTAAAGAGAGTCCCTGGCAGAAAACTTTCTTTCTAACAAAAAGCAGCTCAGAAATTGCTCCCATTCTAACCTCACGCAGTTCAAAGAAATCACCTCTCTTCTAACAAAGAGCAGCCTGGAAGATCAGGCTGAAAAACACAGACAAGCAACTTGGGCACAGAGCTGGAAGTGTCCTGGGTAATCACCAAACTTCACATACAAACAATAGGCCCCAGTAAAAACAGTGTGCCATAATAAGCACATTCATCTCCCTTTCTTTAAGCACACAAAGATAGGGAAGCTGAGCTGGAAGCGCGGGAGTGGAGGGAGGGAGTGGGGTGAGATGGGGTGGGGGTCGGGGTATGGGGCGAGTCAGGGACACCTGCAGCTGCAAGAAAGTGCCTGGAACAGGCACAGAAACTCTCCCTCCCTTTTAGCATGCTCAGATAAGCAGCGCAGAGCAGCACAAACTAAGAGTCGGCCTGCACAAGGGGTGGGGACTACTAGAGGCTCTGCCCTCAACATACGGCACACCCGGTCCTAACCAGTTCTTCAGGCCCCACGGAGATAAGACACACCCTCCTCACTAGCCCATTTATATAAACCCTGACATTTTTACTACCACTCAGCAACCCATTTGGGACCCCTCTCTGTGACAGAGAGCTGTTCTTTTCTTTTGCCTATTAAACTTTTGCTCCAATTTCACTATGCGTGTGTGCGTCTGAGTCTTTGATTTCCTTGGCCATGAGACCAAAACCTGGGCATTTACCCCAGGCAATGAGGCCTTTTAGTAGAGATGGGAGATACTATGAGTTCATGTATGAATATGTTGAATCTGAGATGCCTTTGAGACATCCAAGGTGGAGGTTCAATTAAGAAGTTGGCTGAACATACCTGGATTTCAAAAGAAAGATCTGTTCTGAATATTTGAGAATTAATATAGAGATGGTAACTGAACCTGTGGGCATGGGATAAATTACCTAGGAAAAGAGGATAACGTACTTGTTTCTAACCCTATTGGAATTAAAGGATCTTTTTCTCATTTAAAAAAATGTTGTTTTTTGTTTTTGAAATGCCCCTTTACTATCCTGAAATGAAATAAATATCATAACCTATTTATATACATAATGAGATAATACTCATGAAAGTGCTTCACAATGTGGATAATTGTTTACCTATAGTTCTTTCCCAGCTGACTAAAACAATGATGGATATGTTACATAAAAGCAGTAAAACCAAATAAAATTCATATTATGCCTAATTACTATATGACACAGTAACCATAATAATTATACACATAATTATATGTCAGATCAATTTTGCTTCAGGTTTTAATTAATTCCAAAACAAAACTCATCAAATGTGGTAAACTTTAATAGACTCTTTCACAAAGCATAGTCCTACCTATATATTTCAAAAATATGCAGAACATTATTCTCCAGAGATATAGAAAAAAATTATATGTATGGAAAATGAAAGCATTCTAGTTCTTTCAGAGCAAGCTACATGCAGGTGAATATTGATTAAAACATACATAAATTGTATTTAATGTGAACAAATATATAATAGTTTTGTGCACATAAACTCTAAGGCAAACACATAATGCTAAAAATCATAAATAAAAAATCTAAAGCCACTGAAGTATACATAAAGCAATTTATTATACTTCCAAAAAATAGATCAGCCAAAATAATGCACATTCAATTAGTGTAAAGTAAAAGTAAATTTAAAGAAGATAACTTCATAAAAACTTTATGAAATCACAGAAATATCTCAAATCCCTTTATATGTAAAGATGAATATGTGCACACCTAAAGAGCTAAGATAGGAGGCTACTGTCTCCCAAAATAAATGATACGCAATATAGCCAAGTTAAACGAAGATATAATCAAAGCTTAGGCATTGATTACAACTAGAATTGAGTAACAGAAGCAAATGTCAATAAACAGTTTCTTTTCTTGTTCTTTTTTTCGTTTTTGTTGTTTTGAGACAGAGTCTGGCTCTGTCGCCCAGGCTGGAGTGCAGTGGCACAATCTTGGCTCACTGCAACCTCTGCCTCCCAGCTTCAAGCAATTCTCCTGCCTCAGCCTTCCAAGTAGCTGGGATTACAGGCATGCACCACCATGCCTGCCTAATTTTGTATTTTTAGTACAGACAGTGTTTCACCATGTTGCCCAGGCTGGTCTCAAACTCCTGACCCCTGGTGATCCACCTGCCTTGGCCTACCAAAGTGCTGGGATTACAGGTGTGAGCCACCATGTCTGGCCTGACAGTTTCTTTTTAATCATAAAAAGACTAAGTATGGAAAGGGCTATAAAAGAGAATATATTTAAAAATATATGTTGGTGGAAAATAAAATAATCACATGGGTAGACATTCATTATAAATTATTAACTCTGGAAACTACATGTAGAAATTCTACTAAAAATAAAACTGTATTCAAATTTTATTTTAATTTACATTTTATTTTATCTATTTTATTTTTATTTTTCAACCTTATTTTAGGTTCACAGGGTGTATGTGCAGGTATCTCCCATGAGTAAACTGTGCATTGCTAAGGTTTGGTGTACAAATGATGTCATTACCTAGATATTGCACCTAGTACCTAATAGGTAGTTTTTCAATCTTCACCCTCCTATCTATTGGGGGAACTCACCCCTGATATTTCAAGGTAGGTTCTTTCTATTTTCCATAAGTGTCAGCCAGCTGAGAAATAAAGAGAGACAGTATAAAGAGAGGAATTTTACATCTGGGCCGCGAGGGGTGACATCACATATCGGTAGGACCATGATGCCTGCCTGAGTCTCAGACCAGCAAGTTTTTATTAAGGGTTTCAAAAGGGGAGGGGGTGTAAGAACAGAGGGTAGGTACAAAGATCACATGCTTCAAAGAGCAAAAAGCAGAACTACCAATAAGGGTCTAACAAAGATCACATGCTTCTGAGGGAACAGGACAAAGGGAAAAAGCAGAGCCATTGATAAGGGTCTATATTCAGTGGTGCATGTATTGTCTTGATAAACATCTTAAACAACAGAAAACAGGGTTCAAGAGCAGAGAACCGGTCTGACCACAAATTTACCAGGGCAGAGTTTTTCCCCACCCTAGTAAGCCTGAGGGTTCTGCAGGAGACCAGGGAGTATTTCAGTCCTTATCTCAACTGCACAAGACACACATTCCCAGAGCGGCCATTTATAGACCTCCCCCCAGGAACACATTCGTTTCCCAGGGTATTAATATTATTATTCCTTGCTAGGAAAAGAATTTGATGATATCTCTCCTACTTGCACAACTGTTTATAGGCTCTCTGCAAGAAGAAAAATATGGCCCTTTTTGCCCGACCCCACTGGCAGTCAGACCTTATGGTTGTCTTCCCTTGTTCCATAAAAATCTCTGTTATTCTGTTCTTTTTCAAGGTGCACTGATTTCATATTGTTCAAACTCACATGTTTTACAATCAATTTGTACAGTTAACATAATTATTACAGTGGTCCTGAGGTGATGTACATCCTCAGCTTATGAAGATAACATGATTAAAAATTAAAGGCATGCATAAGAAATTATAAAGGTATTATTTGGGAACTGATAAATGTCCATATTAAAATGAAATCTTCACAATTTATGTTCCTCTGCCATGGCTCCAGCCCGTCCCTCCATTTGGGTCCCTGACTTCCTGCAACATTTCTCCCTTTCTTTTTATATAAATATGCCATGGGGATGAAGGCTTGTTCATTCTCTCAGTTTTGATGCAGGATTCTTTAACTGGTACGGCACACTAAAAACAAGCTGATTAAACAGAGAAACATGATTCCAAAATTTACTACAGTGGGGCCCCCAATAGACTTAATCCAAATCGTGGGGTTTAGTCCAGAAAGACTTTCTTCCACCTGATCTAATGCATCAGCTCCAGGCACAATGGATAAATGAGCTTGAGAGGCTTCAAAAATTTGTTTCTTTAATTTAGTTATCTCCAAGGATAAATTATCTTCCCTTCCCAGCAAGTGTCCTTTGACCATTTCTCATGAATGATTAGTCTCGTTGTAGGAATATGGTGTGATAGAGAAATCAGAAGTATTCCAATTGCACTGCATTTGCATGCGATGTTCGAGACTCATTAGCCGATCTCCAAGCCAAATAACAGACTGTCTTAAATCATTAATTTGATTAGCTAATTTTTGATAAATTCCCTGTTGAGAATTCCACATTTGGGTGGAATTGGCCTGGCAATCATTAACAAAATAAGCCATTTGAACAGATTGGTGTAATGCCACTCCGGCAGTGGTGGCCAGTGCCGTGACTGTAATTAGGCCCATGATCACAGCAATTAAAGTAACAACAAATCTCTTAGATCTTTTGAGAATTTGTTTTAACACTTCATTAATTAAATGTACTGAGGGGGAAGATTCCCAAGGTCTGGGTAAAGTTACTGGTATCCAGATTCCTTCTTGAGCTCGAACCAACATTATACTTTTCCTGAAGCAAAACAGGAGTTAACACAAGTGTATAAATGGCAATTAATGCATTGGACAGTTTGATTATTCGTCCAAAGTTTGCTATTTCCTACTAACAGCACAAAGGAGGCTTAACACAACTCTGTATAGGAATAGTCAGGCTGGAGGTAAACAAAGCAGAATGTTTGAATCTACATTGATACTGAGGGAGAGGAGTGGCGGTGGGAACGCCCGATGTTCTCCACCATAAAGAAGCAATCCGAGGGGCCTAGGGATGCTGAAGAGGTAGGGGGCATACCTGGATTGAGAAGAATTATCATAATGCCAATTGGAGTCCCATAAAGGAGGATAGGCATCAAAAAGAGGAAAAGGGCTCAAAGGGGATTTATCATGGGGTTCAGAATCATGGATGTGAGGGGCAGTACTGGGGATAACAGACAGAAAAGTTTCCCCTTCCCATACTTGCAGTCTGGACATGGCGATAGCCAGTTTCCGAAGTTCTGGGTGTTCTGGGCTCAGAATGGGGAATATCATATGAGGCCTTGTGGGGGTAATGCCCTTATCTTCCCATTTTAAGGGAAAAAATGAGCTGAACCTCCTATGCAAAGTAGGATGATGATCCTTGTCCTCCCAATGAGAAATAAAATAAGTAGCCTCCAGGCATTCCCTTCCACCAGAGGAGCAATTGTTTTTTAAAATAGCCCTTTGGTGCCCAGTCTATTACTAAACCATATGAGGCATTTTTTAATACTACTACATGTGAGTTAACACAATCTTCCCAAATTAAAGTTTTAGATGGGCCCTCAAAATTTTTAGGACATGATTTTCCTACAGGTTTATATTGAAAGTATGGGGTATCTCTCATTACTCCCCCTTTCATTTGTCTTAAAGGAGAAAGGGAGAGGCCGGAGACCAAATGTCCCCATTCCCCTGTGGCTGATCTCTCTGGAAGGCAAGCAGCCCAGACTTGAGTTTCTAGATGGATACAACCAGGTGCATGTCTGAGGCACAGAGGGTATTTATAACCCATAGTAACATTAAATGCAGTGCCTTCCTCTCCTGGTTGAGCGGGGCAACAGTCATCTGTAGCTCCAGGCATCCACACACTATCGTTAGTATAGATTTCCGCAGGAGCATCCATCCAGGTGAGAGGTCAAATAAGTGGAGGAAAAGGCACATAAGCCCGATAAGAATAATTTTGTGTAGTAGGTAAATCAGTTTGAGGGGAAACTGGTGAGACAGAAAGTATAAGGAGGAGAATTATTAAATAAAACCTATTGTTCATTTTTAAAATTCTTTTTACTTTATTTTGTCTGCCTATGTTTATTCAAAGGAGCCGTATTAGAGCTCTGAGATTCTTTCTCAGCTTTGTCTATTCTGTTATTAATGCTTGAACTGCATTCCAAAATTCCTGTAGTGACTTTTTCATTTCCTGAAGTTCAGTTTGGCTCTTTCTTAAAATGGCTATGCCATCTTTAAACTCTTCAATCATTTTACTATTTTGCTTGGATTGGGTTTCAACCTTCTTCTTTATCTTGATGAGCTTCCTTGCCAACCAGATTCTGAACCAATGTCTGTCATTTCAGCCATTTCAGTCTGGTTATGAACCATCGCTGAGGAGCTAGTGCAGTTATTTCAAGGTAAGAATATACTCTGGCTTTAAGAGTTGCCAGAGTTCTTGCACTGTTTCTTATGTATCTGTGTGGGCTGATGTTCCTTTAACCTTTGGAGTCTCTGTCTTTGGAATCGGCCTTTCTGCTTTTATATTCTTTGATGCTCTTTAGGGTTTGACTATGTTGTAAGTTGGATTTAGTTGATTGGCTTCATTTCTGGATGGTTTCAGCGGTCCAAGCCTCAGCTGAGCACTCCTGGGCTGTGTGTTCTAACCCTAAGGGGCTGGAACCAGGTCTGCAGCTTGGTTCTCTGGTCCCTCAGGGTTTTTTGAGGAACCTCTATACTGTTTCACATAGTAGCTGTGTTAATTTACATTCCACCAACAGTGTACAAGCATTCCAGTTTCTCTGCCTCCTTGCCAGCACTTATTTTTGTCTTTTTGATAATATAAAAGCCATTTTAGCTGAGGTGAGATGGTATCTTATTGTAGTTTAGATTTGCATTCATCTGATGATTAGTGATGTTGAGCATTTTTTCACATATCTGTTGGTCATTTTTTTTGAGACGGAGTTTCACTCTTGTCGCCCAGGCTGGAGTGCAATGGCATGTTTTTGGCTCACCGCAACCTCCACCTCTCGGGTTCAAGCTATTCTCCCTCCTGCCTCAGCCTCCAAAGTAGCTGGGATTACAGGAGCCCACCACTACGCCCAGCTAATTTTTTTGTATTTTTAGTAGAGAGAGTTTCACCATGTTGGCCAGGCTGGTCTCGATCTCCTGACCTCAGGTGATCCACTTGCCTCAGCATCCCAAAGTGCTGGGATCACAGGCATGAGCCGCCACGCCCAGCTATATCTGTTGGTCATTGATATGTCTTCTTTTGATCTTTGTCCATTTTCTAATCAGATTACTTGAGGTTTTTTCTATTGAACTTTTTGAATTCCTTATATACTCTGGTTATTAATCTCTTGTCAGTTGAATCGTTTGCAAGTATTTTCTTCCGTTCTGTAGGTTGTCTCTTCATTTTGTTTGGTTGTTCTCATTGTTGCGCAGAAGATTTTTAGTTTGGTGTGATTCCATTTGTCCATTTTTGCTTTGGTCACCTGTGTTTTAGTGATATTACTGTGCCTGTCCTTAATTTGATTTTTATATATGGTGAGAGACAGGGGTCCGGTTTCATTCTTCTGCATATGGATATTCAGTTTTCCCAGCATCATTTATTGACAAGGATTTCCCTTCTCCAATATATGTTCTTGGTGCCTTTATCAAAAAGGAGTTGACTGTAAATGAGTGGATTTATTTCTGAATTTTGTCTTTTGTTTCTAATATTAGTCTATATGTCTATTTTTATGCCAGTACCATACTGTTTGGGTTACTATAGTGTTGTAGTATATTTTGAAGCCAGGTAGTATGATGACTACAGCTTTGTTCTTTTTGATCAGCATTATTCTGTCTATTCTGGGTATTTTGTGGTTTCATATAAATTTTAGAATTTTTTTTCTTTTCCTATGAAAAATATTCTCTATTTTTTAAAAAATTGCTACAATAAAAACTCTAACATATTGATGAAAGAAATAAAAGAGGGAACAAAAAATGGAAAGATATCTCATGTCCATGGATTAGATGAATCAACATTGTTAAAATGCCCATACTACCCAAAATTTAATGCAATCCCTATCAAAATATAAAAGTTTGTTTTCTTATTGTTGTATTTTAAGAACTTCAGAAAGATGTTCTTGAAATATCAGCAAGATGGCAGAATAGGAAATTCTTGACTTTCCCTCCTCTTATGGATGTACTAAGTAAACAGTTATTTATAGGTCAATTCCCTCTAGGACAAATCTCAAAACTAGTTGATAAACCCCTAAAAACTGGGAAACTGATAAAATATCTGCATCAAAAAAGGAAGGAAAAGCTGAGACACACATATGCCACAAACTCCACCCCAGGACCAGTTTTTTATAATCAGGAGAGAACCTCTAACTCTCAACTTCTCTTTGACAAGAAAAGGTTGTGAAATACACTTACAGAGCCCCAAGGTTTACAGTTCCTCCCACAGAGTTGAGCCCTTAATTCACCTGACTCTGAAAACAGAAAATGATTCAGCGTTTGTGTCTCCCTAGGCTACAGAACAAAGAGGTGATTTTAAATGGATGCACGTGTACTTCCAGGGGGATCTATTCACACTCCTCCTCCAACAATCAGTGCAGAGAATAGGCTGAAGTGTCCAGTTCCCAGTTTCTCCTTGGAAATCTGCACACTTTTTCTATTAGGCTTTTAAATAGCCTAATAGAAAAAGGCAGATAAACAATCGACCTACAGGAGCCTGAATTGGAGTGAGAGTACTTCCCACACCTCTCCTCCAGCTTGCTCCAGTGGTAAATCCAGGTCTGCAAAATCTCCCTGGAAACACTTGTGCATGCATCAAGCACCACAACTTTCATGCTCCCACCTAAAGCACTGAGACATTGCTTCACACTTCTCATGATAGCTATTATCTAAAAATAAATAAACTAAAACAAGTGAAGTAGAACAAACCATATGACCCAGCAATCCTTCTGCTGGGTATATGCCCAAAGGTAATGAAATCAGCACCTCATAAAGATATCTGTGCTCCCATATTCATTTCAGCATTATTCACAATAACAAAGATATGGAAACAACATAGGTGTCTACTGACAGATTAATGAATAAAGAAATTGTGGAATACATATACAATGGAATATTATTCAGCCCTAAAAAAAGATCAGTCATTTATGACAACATGGATGAATTTGAAGGACACTACACTAACTGAAATAAGCCAGACACAGAATTACAACATCATACATAAGTATGATATCACTTATATGTAGAATCTAAAGAAAAGTTGAAAACAGAAACAGAGAATACAATGGTGGTTACTAGTGACAAGGAGGGAAAGAAAATGGACAGAAGTAGGTCAAAGGGCTCAAACATATAGGATGAATTAATCTACAGATCTAATGTAAATCATAAGGACTATAATCAATAATATTGCATACTAAAAATTTGCTAAGAAAGTAGATATTAGGTACTCTCACCACAAAATATAAAGGTAACTATGGAAGGTGCTGGACAGATTAAAATTCTTTACTGTAGTAATCATTTTACTATGCATAATATATATCAAAACAGTATGTTTTACACCTTAAATATATACAACTTCTGAAGTCATTTGTATATTTTTGTATAATGGTCCTTTATCAGATATGTCTCCTGCAAATGTTTTATCTCAGTCTTTGGCTTATCTTTTCATTCTTTTGACAATGTCTTTGGCAGAGAAGAATATTTTAATTTTAATCAATTAAAATTAATTATCGATTCTTTCGTTCATGGATCCTGTCTTTGGTGCTATATCCACCAAATCCAAGGTAATCTAGATTTTCTGTTATATTCTAGGAGTTTCATAGTTTAGTAATTTCATTTAAGTCTGTGATCCATTTTGAGCTCATTTTTATAAAGATATAAGCCTTGTGTCTAGATTTATTTTTTTACGAGTGTCCAATTGTTCCAGCAGCCTTTCTTGAAAATACTATCTTTTCTACTTTCTATTGCTTTTTCTCCTTTGTCAAATATCAATTGACTATATTTGTGTGGCTGTATTTGTTGGCCACTCTATTCTGTTCCAGTGATCTATTTGTCTATTCTTTTGCCAGTACCACACTGTCTTAATTACTGTAATTTTATAGTAAGTCTTGAAGTCAGGTAGTGTCACAGTCTTGCAACTTTGTTCTCCTTCATACTGTGTTGGCTGTTCTGTCTTTTGAATACCCATATAAACTTTATAATCAGTTTGTTGATATCCACAAAATAACTTGCTGGGATTTTGATTGGCAATGCAATCAATCTACTGGTCAAGTTGGAAAGAACTAACATCTTGACAATATTGAGTCTTGCTAATTATGAACACGAAATAAATCTCCATTTATTTAGTTCTTTGATTTCTTTCATCAGAGTTTCTCATACAGATCTGGTGCATATTTTATTAGATTTAGACCTAAGTATTTCATGTTTGGGGGTGCCAATCTAAATGATATAGTGGTTTCGGTTTGTTTGTTTTTTGAGACGGAGTCTCACTTTGTCGCCCAAGCTGGAGTGCAGTGGGGCGATCTCGGCTCACTGCAACATCCGCCTCCCAGGTTCAAGAGATTCTCCTGCCTCAACCTCCCGAGTAGCTGGGATTATAGGCATGTGCCACTACGGCTAACTTTTTAAAAATATTTTTAGTAGAGATGGGGTTTTGCCATGTTGGCCAGGCTGGTCTTGAGCTCTTGACTTGAAGTGATCCACCTGTCTCAGCCTCCCAAAGTGCTGGGATTACAGATGAGAGCCACCACCCCGGCCGTGTTTTTAATTTCAAATTCCACTTGTTCACTGCTGGAATATAGGAAAGTGGTTGACTTTTGTATATTAACTTTGTACTGTAACTTGCTATAATGGCTTACTAATTCCAGGAGGTTTTTGGCAAATTATTTTGGATCTTCTACATAAGTAATCATGTCGTCTTCAAACAAAAGTAATTTTATTTCTTCCCAATGTCTTTTGCTTTGTAAATTCAACATTTTATTGAATTCTAACAAACAGAAAAAAGTGCACAAATCTATGTGTGCAGCTCAATTCATTTTTACAAAAATAAATACATCTGTTTAATTACCACCCAGGTCAAAAAATAGAACATTACTGATACTTTGTAAGTCCAACTCCTGATTCCATTTTGTCACTACCCCTTTACCTCTTGTCTTTGGGAATCCTAAATACGAAACCATAGATTTTGTTTTCCATTTTTGAAATATATAGATCTGCATATGTAGATATGTTGTTTCTAGCTGCCTTCATTCCATACTATGCGTATAGAAGACATTCATTTTGCTCCATATTACAGTGCTTTCTACATTTTCATAGATGGATAACATATCATTGTAAATTAATAGATTATTCTACCACTGATAGGACATCTGGGGTGTTACCAATGTGTATCTATTTCAAATAAAGTTGCTTATGTTGAATGTGCTTATATGTATGGCTTAGTTTTGTTTTATTTTTGCTACTCATGGGCCCATATTTCTTGTATGCAGGTATCCAGAAGTGGAATTGCTGTATTATAATGTATGCATATTTCCAAATTTAGTAGGTAAGGCAGTTTTCCAAACTAATTATGCCAATTTATTCATCCACCTATAATACATGAAAATTCTATAAAAATTTAGCTCCAGTTAGATGTGTTGCAAATAGCTTCTCCTATGCTGGGGCTTAACTTTTCCTTCTCTTAGTTGTGTCATTTGATGGAATTAATTTCTAAGTTATAATGCAACCTAATTCATTTACCTTTGCTCTTTGGTTAATGCTTTTGATTATCTGCTTAGGAAATCCTTTCTTATTCAAGAATATATTAATATACCTTTCATGTTTAGATATGCAATAAACCTGTAATTATTCTTTGTATATGGTGTAAGGTAAGGATAAAGTTTCATTTTTTACATATAACCAAATGATTGCATATTTATTTAAATCATTTATTAAAAGTACTGTTATTTTATCACTACTCAGTAGTACCACACTTCTCATGAATAAACCATGTATGCATGGATCTCTTTCTCATCTTCTTATTCTGTTACATTGACTATTTGTTGTTGTTGTTGTTGTTGTTGTTGTTTTGAGATGGAGTCTCGCTCTGTCACCCAAGCTGGAGCACAGTGGCGCAATCTTGGCTCACTGCAAGTTCAGCCTCCTGGGTTCACACCATTCTCCTGCCTCAGCCTCCAGAGTAGCTGGGACTACAGGCGCCCGCCGCCACGCCCAGCTAAATTTTTTGTATTTTTTTTTTAGTAGAGACTAGGTTTCACTGTGTTAGCCAGGATGGTCTCAATCTCCTGACCTCGTGATCTGCCTGCCTCAGCCTCCCAAAGTGCTGGGATTACAGGCATGAGCCACTGCACCCAGCCTACATTGTCTATTTTCCTGTATTATTCTGGTCTTAAAATAAGTGATATCGGATAGAGAAAATGCCTCCCAACTTGTGCTTCTTTGAGTTGATATTGCTTATTCATGGCCCATGGAATTAAATTGTAGGGCAAGCTTGCTAACAACACACACACACACAAAACTGCAGGAATTTCAGTTCAGATTATATAGATATATGGATTAGCCTAGCAAAATTGACAGCTACGCAGTATCAGAGTTTCCAACTCCTGATTATGGTGGATTTCTCCATTTATTTATAAAATTTTATGTCCTCTAAACAAAAATGTATACACTTTTCTAAAGAGGTATTGTATACTTTTTATTAGATAAATTATCATAGAGTTTTTTGTAATTGTAAATGGCATTTTGTTTTTCAAGTTTCCTAATTTCTGTGGCATAAATCTAAGTGTATAATTGGATTTTGTTTATTTATTTAGTATCCAGTAACTTTGCTAAATTCACTTATTAATTCTGAGTTTATCTACAATTTCTTTAACCAATGTCATAATTTTCATAGCCATTTCTAACTTTTAGCATCTTTCATCATCTGGAGAGGCTTAGGATTTTCAAAACCATGCAGACTTCATTCCTTTTTGTTGAACAGTTCTTCCCTTAATTATCTTACTCCTCTTTCATTTTTACCATAAGCAGGAAGAAGAAAACAGACCACACCTTGAACAGTATACTTAGAAATTTCCTTTCATCCAGGTTCATCATTTACAAGTTCTGCTTTCCACTTAACTGCAGGACATAATTCCATTAAGCTTTCTGCCACAACATAATGATAGTTCCCCTTCTTCCAGTTTTAAATAACAATTTCCTTACTTCTTTCTAAGTCCTGACCATGAGTATTCTCAACATCCTTATCTCTACTAATGGTCTGTTTAAGGCAATTTAGATATTCTTTATCATACTTCTTAAAAATCCAAAGCCTCCACAGACTGCCTGGTTCCAAAGCCGCTCCCCTTTTTAAGATATTTACAGAAGCATTCCAACTTCAGGTACAACAGTCTATGTCAATTTTATGTTACTGAGTAACAAATTATCACAAAATTATTGGTTTAAAATAACACAAATTTATCATCTCACAGTTACCATGGGTCAGGAGTGTGAGTAGGAATTGACTGGATTCTCTATTCATGATCTCCCCAGGCTGAAATCAAGGTGTTAACCAGGTTGCAATTCTCATCTGAGTCTCCGAGTCTTCATCCAAGGTTAGCCAAATTAATTTTCTTGCAGCTGTGATGACTGAGGTTCCAGTTTTCTTGCCAGCTATCATCCAGGGAACAATCAGCTCCCTGTAGTTACCCACAGTCCCTTGTCACATGGCGCCACAGAAAGTTAACAATATAAATGTTTACCTTCTTACAGGCCATTAGGAGACAGTCTCTCTGACTGCCTCCATTTCTAATTTCTACACTCTCTTTTTAAAAATGCATCTGATTAGGTTAGACCTATGCAAGATAGCCTCTTTTCATTAACTCAGTTGATTGGGGGTACTAATTACATCTGTAAAAATCCCCTTTTACATATAAAGTAACATAATCCCAGGAGTACCATCTCGTCATACTTACAGGTTTTGCCCACAATCAAGGGGAAGGTTTTGCTCACAGTATAAGGACGTGAGTTATTGGGGATCATCTTTGAACTCTACCTAGAACAGTAGTAAACATCTTCTGTAAAGAACCAGACAGCAAATATTTTAAGCTTTGTGGGTAACATTGTCAGTACTGTAACCATTTTAGTGTGAAAGCAGCCATAGGCAATATGTAAATAAATGGCTATATCTATGTTCAAATAAAACTTGTTATATAAAAATAAGCAGTGGGCCCTAGCTTGCCATCACAGGTTTAAATAAATCTCACATCCTCACGCCTTGAATTGAACACATGAACCAGGCATGGCCTATCAGAATACTCCCCACTCCTGGCCATTGTTGTCTATTTCAAAAATTGGCACATGACCTAAGCAGAGCCAATCAAAGTTTTTACTAGACTATTTGGCAGAGCTATTAATAATAGGTTACCACTTTTTCTGGTATCTATAAATATAGGGCTAAGATAGCCAGGAGTCTTCCTTCTAGTACTTGTCTAAAAATAAAAGATAACAGGCAAAAAAGCCAAAACGTTAAGGTAGATTGAAAGGCAAAGACAGAAAAGGAGACATAAAGAGCTAAAGAGAGACAAAGTAAGCAACACTGCCTGAACCTCTCAGATGCAACCATCCCTAAATCCAAAACCAGCACTGGGCCTCTCTGTAACATTAATCAATAATTTTCCATCTTTTAGCTAAAACTAAGCTACTCTGAAATGAGTTTTGACTTGGTTTGAGATGGGTTTCTGCCACTTGCAACCAAAAGAACCTAGTTTAAGAGCGACAGAGCTATTTACTGTATTAACTAATGAAAACTACCTATACTTTCTGCTTACTCATTGAAAGAAAGAGCAGGAAGAATAATATAAATACGCAGGGAGAGCACTTTGATACCAAAGTAAATTAAGTTTATTGCATTTTGTTTTTAGCTCAAACATCCATGTTTCTCTGAGTATGTTTTTAAAAAAGTATAATATTGAGGAATGATTGTGGGATTGGGGTAAAAAGTAAAGGTCACTGTAGCAGAATAAGTCAAACATCTGTAAGACTGAGGTATTAATGAATCATTTGTGAGGGCATTGAAGTCACCCCTATAATGGCTGAATTTGTGTTGAAATAAGTGAGAACAAAAAGCTTACAAAATTTAGAGGCAAAAGATTTTTTTAGGAAACTACTTTAAAATGCAGGAGGATTTTATTAGTAGTAACAACATAAAGGTTTACCATGTGCTAAGCACCTGACTAAATGCTTTGAAGCCGTTTCATTATTTAACCCGTTAAAAGTTATTTTCAAAAATGGGATATTATAATGCTGATTTTATAAATAAGAGCCTTGAAGGTCAGATAAATTAATTTTCCCAGGGTCCCAAAGTTAGTAAGAGATAAGGCATGGGCAATGTGATTCTAAATCTCTTACCTTTCATAACAATGCTTAAAGACTAAGAGTTTCTCATTTTTGGCCAGGCACAGTGGCTCATGCCTGTAATGCCAGCACTTTGGAAGGCTGAGACGGGCAGATCACGAGGTCAGGAAATCGAGACCACGGTGAAACCCTGTCTCTGCTAAAAATACAAAACATTAGCCGGGCGCGGTGGTGGGTGCCTGTAATCCCAGCTACTTGGGAGGCTGAGGCAGGAGAATGGCGTGAACCCAGGAGGCGGAGCTTGCAGTGAACCGAGATCATGCCACTGCACTCCAGCCTGGGTGACAGAGCGAGACTCCATCTCAAAGAAAAAAAAAAAAGAGTTTATCATTTTTGCGTAGTATTACATGTCATATACTGAGAATTAAAACACTGGAAATTAAAAATATCTAAAAGATTTATTACAGGAGTGCCACTAGTGACACCCAATGCAAATGTTCCCATAAAAGAGAAGAAATTTAGAATTATTTGAAAATAAATTAAATGGTATTTGGAAAGAAACATTATTTAAGATAAAGATTTGCTATTAATAAGCTACATATTTTTAAAGAAAGTGAATTCATATAATTTAATTTCTCAAGATTTATTAAATATATACAATTATAAGGTGTGGGTAATATGAAGTATAAAATATAATACAATAAAATCAGTATTTCCAACCCTCAAATAAACTCATGAGCTACTTGACTGGACAATACATTGAAACAAATTTAATGGAATGATAAGAGTAAAATAATCCAATGATACAATTATATTAACAGAAGTTTTATTTGTGTTAATTGTGTAGATATAATGACATGCTATCATAAGTCTACAGTATTACACATTTTTCTAACTGCCCCCAAATCCCCATTGCTTGCCATATGGGGAACAAATAAATTTAACTGCTTTCAGAGGAAAACAAGACTAATCTTTTGCATCATCCCACTCTACCCAATCCGTTAGCCACACATATTTCTCCTCACTCTTAAATGTGAAAACCGCTAGAAATTGTTTTTAATTGCCCAATTTATTCCTACTTACATCCTACACACCACGGATGAAGAAGCTGTAGAAAAATGTGATTAAATGATTTAACATTAAACACCTAATAAATAACAGCTTGGACTGAAACTCAGGGCTTCTGACTGCAAGCCCAATGTACTTTTGGCTACATCTGACTAGAAATTTGAGCATTACTTAGTGTAGTTCTCAGTCATCTAAGTTAATGAGTATATAGGAATTAAAAGACATCTAAGTAATATGAAGAATAAAAGGAATATCTGGGGAATATGGTGTAACTAAATGAAACATGAACTAGTTCCAAAGACCAGGCTTAAGTTAACTGTCCAAAATTATATAGATAGCAAGTAGTACCGGGATTATAAAGACAGCCTTGGCATATATATTAAGATGATTAACGTTGACCCTTAATACATATTTTATGTCTACGTTATTTAATGGAACACATTAAAACTGATAATTTGCTATAGTAAAGTGAGTTCAGATTGTTTTCTGTCCTGAACAATGTGTCTTTTATCAGTCATTTTAGATTTAATAAATATTAAACTAAATTATATTGAGCTCCATATGGATGAAAAATGTTCAATAACTAAAGAGAATAATTGGTATCTTTAAATTCTTTTATCCCTTTGCTTTTTAAATATTAACTTCTTACATTTTTTTCTAACAGGATTACAATATTTTCTCTTCTTATTTGTATAAATTAAAGAGTTACACGTGCAGTTTTGTTACATGGATATATCATGTAAAGGTGAAGTCGGGCCTTTCAGCGTAACCAGTAATTGAATAATGTACATTGTACCCATTAAGTAATTTCTTGTCCCTCACCCCTGCTTCCACTCACCCACCTTTCCCAGGCTCCAATGTCTATTATTCCACACTATGTACGTGTGCATACATTTTTTAGCACTCACTTATAAGTGAGACCATACAGCATTTGACTTTCTGTTTCTGCATTGTTTCACCTAAGATAATGACCTGCAATTCACTTAAGACAATGACATCATATCCTTTTAATGATATGGTATCATAAGTATACAGTATTACATATCCATGTTGCTACAAGAGACACAATTTCATTCTTTATGGCTGAATAGTATTCCATAGCATTCCATTGGATAAAGAAAATATGTACATTATTTTCTTTATTTATTCATCACTGATGGACACTTAGGTTGATTACATATCTGTCCTATTATGAATAGTGCTGCAATAACCATACAAGTGTAGGTGTCTTTTTTATATGATAATTTCTTTTCTTTTGGGTAGATACCTAGTAGTGGGATTGCTGGATTGAATGGTAGTTCTATTTCTAGTTCTTTGAGATGTCTCCATACAGCTTTTCATAGTGGTTGTATTAATTTACATTCCCATAAACAGTGTCTAAATGTTTCTTCACTATTCTCTGCATCCTCACAAAGTCTATTATATTTTTTCCATTTTATAACTGGCCATATTCTGACTTACGTCAGATGACATATCATTGTGGTTTTAATTTGCAGTTCCCTGATGATTAGTAATGTTGAGCATCTTTTCTATGCTTGTTAGCCATTTATATATCTTCTTTTGAAAAATATCTATTTATTTGCCTACTTTTTAATGGTTTTCTTTTGATTGTTGTTTGAGTTCCCTATAAATTCTGGATATCAGTCCCCTATCAGATGCATAGTTTGCAAATACTTTCTCCTATTCTGCAAGTTGTCTGTTAACTCTGTTAATTATTTCCTTTGCTGGGCAGAAGCTATTTAGTTTAATTAAGTCCCACTTATCTATTTTTGTTTTTATTACTTGTGCTATTGAGGTCTTAGTCATAAATTCCTTGCGTAAATCAATGTCCAGAAGTATTTTTCCTAGGTCTTTTTCTAGTATTTTAATAGTATCAGGTCTTATATTTAAGACTTTAATCCAACTTGAGTTGATTTTTCTATATGCTGAGAGATAGGAGTCTAGTTTTATCCTTCTGCATCCGGCTATCCAATTTTCCCAGCACCATTTATTGAAAACAGTGTCCTGGCTGGGTGAGGTGGCTCATGTCTGTAATCCCAGCACTTTGGGAGGCCGAGGCAGGTGGATCACCTGAGGTCAGGAGTTCGAGACCAGCCTGACCAACATGGTGAAATCCTGTCTGTACTAAAAATACAAAAAAATTAACCGGTCATGGCGGGTGCCTGTAATCCCAGCTACTCAGGAGGCTAGGGCAGGAGAATCACTTGAACCTGGGAAGCAGAGGTTGCAGTGAGCCAAAATAGGGCCATTGCACTCTAGCCGGGGTGACAAGAACGAGACAATGTCTCAAAAAAAAAAAAAAAAAAAAAAGACAAAGAAAAAGGAAAAAAGAAGAGTGTCCTTTCCCAATGCTGTTTGGGTTGCCATAGCCTTGTGGTAAAATGTGAGGTTAGGTAATGCAGTACCTCCAGTTTTATTCTTTTTGCTTAGAATTTATTTAGCTATTTGGGCTCTTTTATGATTCCATATAAATTTTAAGATTATACTTTATAATTCTTTATAATGACATTGGTATTTTGATAGGAATTGTATTAAACCTGTAGATTGCTTTGGGTATATGGTCATTTTAATACCATTAATTTTTCCACTCCATGAGCATGGGATGTTTTTCCATTTGTTTGTGTCATCCACAATTTCTTTCATCAGTATTTTGTAATTTCCCTTGTAGGGATATTTCATCTCCTTGGTTAAATATATTACTAACTATTTTTTCTTCTGTAGCTATTGTAAATGAGATTACATTCTTGATTTCATTTTTAGCTCAACCATTACTGGTGCAGAGAAATGCTACAGATTTTTGTAAATTGATTTTGTATAATAAAACTTTACTAAATACATTTATCAATTCTAAGAGTTTTTGGAGGAATCTTTAGAATTTTCTAATCAAGTATAAGATCATCAATGAATAGAAACAATTTGACTTCCTTTTTTCCAACATGGATGCCTTTTAATTCTTTCTCGTCTGATTGTTCTGGCTAGGACTTCCATTCTAAGTTGAATAGGATTGGCCAAAGTGCACATTCTTGTCTTGTTCTAGTTCTTAGAGGGATTGCTTCAAACTCTTCCCAGATCAGTACGATGTTGGTCATGGATTTGTCATATATGCCCTTTATTATTATAGAAGATATGTTCCTTCTATGACTAGTTTGTGAGGGTGTTTATAGCGAAATGATGCTGGAAATTATCAAATGCTTCTTTCTGCATTTATTAAGATTATCATATGGTTTTGTCCTTAATTTTGTTTGTGTGATGAACCATATTTATTGATTTGCAAATGCTGAACAATCCTGGTATCCCTGGCAGTGGGGGAACCACTTGATCATGGTGTATTATCTTTTTGGAGTGCTCTTGGATATGATTAGCTATTATTTTGTTGAGGATTTTTGTATCTTTGTTCACTCGGGATATTTGTCTATACTTTTCTATTTTAGTGCTGTCCTCTCTGGTCTTTGGTATCAGGGAGATACTGGCCTAATAGAATGAATTATGAAAGATTCCCACCACCTCAATTTTTTGAAAGAGTTTCTGGAGGATGGGTTTCAGTTTTTCTTTGTACAACTGGTAAAATTCAGCAACCAGAATTTCAAACTATCTTCTCCTGGGCTTTTATTTGTTGGGAGATTATTTTTTATTACTGATTCAATCTCATTACTCATTATTGGTCTGTTTAGGATTTTTATTTATTCCTAGTTCAATCTTGGAAATTTGTATGTTCCCAGGAATTTAGCCATTTACTCTAGATTTTCTAATTCATGAACATGTGGTTGTTCATGGTTGTCTCCGGTGATCTTTTTTATTTCTGTGGTAACAGTTGTAATGTCTTCGTTTTCATTTCTGATTACATTTATTTGGATCTTCTCACTTCTTTTCTTGGTTAATCTAGCTAGTGGTTTATCAATTTTGTTTATCTTTTCAAAAAACAAATTTTCCATTTTGTTGATCTTCTGTTATTTTTTAACTTGGTCTCAATTGCATTTGGTTCTGATCTGATCTTTGTCCTTTCTTCTGCCACCTTTGGATTTGGTTTGATCTTGATTTTCTAGTTCCTTCAAATGTGATGTGAGGTTGTTATTTTGTGATCTTTCTTCTTTTAATGCAGCCATTTAACCCTATCAACTTGCCTCTGAGCACTGCTTTTGCTGTATCCCAAAGGTTTTGATATGTTGTGTTTTCATATTCCTTCATTTCAAAAAAATTATTAATTTAATTTTATCATTGACTCAAAGATCATTTAGCAGCATGTTTTTAAATTGCTATGTATTTCTATAGTTTCAAGAGTTCTGCTTGGTATTAACTTCTAGTTTCATTTTACTATAGTTAGAGAAGACACTTGATAAAGTTACTATTTTTTTTAATTTGTTGAGACTTGTTTTGTGGCCTAACATATGGTCTATCTTGGAGAATGCTGCATGCGCTGATGAGAAAAATGTATATTTTGAGGTTGTTGAGTAAAATGTTCTATAAATGTATGTTAGGTCCATTTGGTCTAAAGTTTCATTGAAGTCCAGTGTTTCTTTGTTGTTTTTCTGTCTCTATAATCTTTATAGTGTGTCCGTAGGGTGTTGAAATCCTGCACTTATTGTGTTGCTATCTCTTTCTTTAGGTCTAGTAATATTTGTTTTATGAATCTGTGTCCTCTGGTGTTTGGTGCATATATATTTAGGACTGATATATACTCTTATTGAATTAATCCCTTTATCATTATATAATGACTTTTTCTTTTTTTTTACAGTTTCTGATTTAATGTATGTGTTATCTGATATAAGTATAGCTACTCCTGCTTGCCTCTGCTCTCTGTTTGCATGGAATATCTTTTTTTTTTACCAGTAAGCAGCATGTAGTTGGTTTTGGGGTTTTATTAATATCAATTCTGCCAATCTATATCTTTTAAGTGGAGAATTTAATCCATTTACATTCAAGGTTATTATTTGTATGTGAGGTTTTCTGACTGTCAAAATATTAATTGTTATCTAGTTGTTTTGTAGATTCTTTTTTTTCCCCTCCGTTTGTCTTTCTGGTTTGGTGGAGTCCTGTTATGCTACCATTTGATTTCTTTCTCTTCTTCCTTTGGGTAATTGTGTTATAAAACCTGATAATCTTATCCTTTAATGTGTTTTAATGATGGCAAATATCAACCTTTCTTTCCCATGTTTAGAACTCATTTGAGCATTTCTAGTAGAGCTGGTGATAAATTCCTCAGTGTTTGCTTGTCTGAGAAAAACTATTTCTTTTTCATTTATGAAGCTTATTCTGGCAAGATATAAAATTTGGGGTTGGCAGTTTTTTCTTTAAGCACTTTGAAAATAGGATCCAATCTTTTTTGATTTATAAGGTTTCTGCTGGAAAGTTGCTCTTGGTCTGATAGAGTTTCCTTTATAGGTGTCTAGATGCTTTTCTCTTGCTGATTTTAGAATTTTTTTCCTTTGTGTTGACTTTAGACATTCCAATGAGTATATGTAGTTTGGAAGTCCATCTTGCTGCATATTTTCTGGTGTTTGTTGGTCCTCTTGTATCTAGATTTCTAAATATATTGCTAGCCTAGTGAAGTTTTCATCAATTACTTCCTTAAATAGGTTTTCTAAACTTTTTGCTTTTTCTTCTCTCTTGTGAATACCAATGATATGTAAGTTCAGTCACTTTATGTCAGAGGTGTCCAATCTTTTGGCTTCCCTGGGCCACATTGGAAGAAGAATAATTGTCAGGAGCTATAAATAAAATACATTAACAATAACAATAGCTGATGAGTTTTAAAAAATTGAAAAAAAATCTCATAATGTTTTCAGAAAGTTTACGAATTTGTGTTGGGCCACATTCAAAGCTGTCCTGGGCCGCATGCAGCCCATGGGCCACAGGTTAGAAAAGCTTGCTAACCTGAGAAGTAATCCTGTACTTCTCAAAGGCCTTCTTCATTTCTTTTTCTTCTTTTTCACTTTTGTCTGACTCGATTAATTCAAAAGACCTGTCTTCACGTTCCAAAATGCTCTTTTCTTTTTGGTCTCATCTATTGTTGAAACTTTCCATTGTATTTTGTAATCCTTTCAATGAACTTTTCATTTCCAGAAGTTCTGTGTGTTTGTTTTTAAGATATCTGTCTCCTTGGTAAATTTCTCATTTATATCCTGAATTGATTCTCCGATTTCTTTGTATTGGTTTTCAGATTTCTCTTGCAACTCATTGATCTTCTTTAAAAATCAATATTTTGAACTCTTTATCTGGAATATTGAGTATTTCTTTTTAGTTAGGACATGTCGCTAGAGAATTACTGTGTTTCTTTATGTGTATCATTACACATTACTTTTTCATATTCCTATGTTATTACACTAATTTATTTGCATTTGGAGAAACAGTCACTTCTTATTTTTGAATTTATTTTCTTGGGGGCAGGACTTTTATTTTTTTCTTGAGAATGTGTCTATGATGTATACTGAGTAGAGCCATTTGGCTTTGCTTCTAGGTGTGTTCAACGGCAAAGAATCTGTGGAATTTCCTTGGTTATAAATAGCCTTAGGGTGGTAGCTTTCTCAAATGTTGGTTGTAGTAGTGGTGTACCAGGTGGGTGAGCAGACTCATGTCCTCCTGAGAAGCTGAGGTGTCATGGAAGATGGTGGTAGCAAATGTTATGTGAAACTTATCTTGTTTCCAAATGCTATGCACTTCTGCCAGTAAATTTTGTATTGGATTGTGTAGGCCGAACTTCAGGCCAATAGTTCTTGCTTGCAGGTAAGATCTCTCTGTGGTGATAGCAATAGGGTTTATACTTGATCTTTTTCAATCAGAAAAGTAATCCATTGTCCCAGGCAATTAGCTAGGCCAGGGAGCAACTTAATGATCTGGGTCCTGTGGTCCAGCATTGTGGGAAGGTGGTGGGGGTCAAGTTGGGTGGAACTGGAAAGGGCAACAGGGAAATTCTGCACTCAGGCCCTGCAATGGTGTGTAAAAGCACCATCTCTGGTGGGAATTCAGGAGCAACGGGCAGGCACCTTGGAGATATTCCTGAGGGAGAAGCAATTATTCCTGAGACAGAGCAATTATTGCTGTATCAAGTTGGCACAGGAAGGCAGAGGCAGCCCAGTCCTTAATCTAGGCAAACGAATATAGGACCCACCTCTCTCCTTACTCTTTTTTTTTTTTTTTGAGATGGAGTCTCACACTGTCACCCAGGCTGGCATACAGTGTTGTGATCTTGGCTCACTGCAACCCCTGCCTCCCAGGTTCAAGCAATTCTCCTGCCTTAGCCTCCTGAGTAGCTGGGATTACAGGAGCCTGCCACCATGCTCAGCTAATTTTTTTGTATTTTTAGTAGAGACAGGGCTTCACTATGTTGGCCAGGCTGGTCTCAAACTACTGACCTCGTGACCTGCCCACCTCAGCCTCCCAAAGTGCTGGGATTACAGGCATGAGCCACCATGCCCAGCCTTCTCCTCTCATTCTTTAGACCTGGCAGGGTTCACTCCCCAACCCAATAAAGGGAGCAAGTTGAGACACTCAGTAAAGTCATGTGCAGTATACCTTTAGTCTGCAAAGTCACACTGAGCTGTATAACTTGAAACCGGGACAAAACCATGCCTCTCTGGCAAATCTCCTTCTGCTCCACCCACGAAGGGAGAGAGCCCTATTAAAATGCCCACAGCTGGAGCAAATGCCACACTCATCTCTCAGTTTTGGCTGTGGGAGCCCCTCTGTTGCCCCAAACCCAGCATTACAATCCCCTGTCCAAGCTCCTTTAATGCCCAAGTCTGCCACTGCTGCTAGATCACAGAATCCCACCTGGCTTTGTATGAGCTAGGATTGAGAATCACATTTTTCTATCAGGTCCCAAGTACTGGAAAATGCTTGGGGTGCTTCCTAGTGATGTCCCTTCTCATAGTGTTTTAGCCTCTCTCCAATTTAGATTCAGGGCTTGGGAAGGGCAAGGTATTCTCTCACAGCCTGGATTGTACGGCTCCCCAGTGGAAATGTGGATTGCAGAGGAGTACTTTTTCTCCCTCTCCTATATTGGGACTTCACTCACAGCTCTCAGTCAGACACCACCACACAGGCTGCCCACTTACCTTCTCTTCCCCAATATCTAAAGTTCTTATTCACTTTATGTTGAATTCCTGTGTGCCTTCTTGGATAAAGTTTCACATTGTGAATTCTACACACTATTTTGCTTCTTCAGAGTTGGTGAGGCACTCTAGAAAACCCTCTACTCTGCCATCTTCTATATTAGCTGTTGATGATGTGTTTAACTACATAAGAGACCAGGGCTAGATTCTCTATTTAGTACTATTTCCCTCAATATCACAATTAGGAAATACAATGTACTAATTTTTAGATTAATTATATATCCATCAAAGAAAATTAAATCTACACTGAATATTTTACTGATAGCCACTTTCCAGAAAAACAATCTTTCTTAAAAAGTCATTATAAAGCAGATAAGATGCTCAGTTTTGACAACCAGACTTGAGATATGATGGAAAATATCCTTATAATTTAATATATCAACTCTTTCTGAAGAATAGCAACTTGGTCCTTGCTGTCTTTGCTTTCAGGATGAGAATATGTAGATAAAGATCATTTTCTCTGATTTTTCTGTTCCACCTAAAATTTAACTTTCACATCCACCTATAGACAGAAAATGATAATTTACCCTGCATGTAAACTCGACTTTCTTATTGAGATGTATTGCATATAGAATGAGTGAACCAGAAAATTAGAAGCCAGTCAAAACAGTCCAAGTTACCATTTTAAAATTTACAGGCAAGGTGTATCAAATTAGAAGCCAGTCAAAAAAATCCCAGTTACTAATTTTTAAATTTACAGGCAAAGTATATGAAATTATCTTCTAAATGTGATAAACAAAAAACTAAGGATTCAGCTTACTCATATCACTGTGCGTCTGTCCAGTAAGAAAGATGCTAAAAGTTTTGGGTATACTAATGCAAATTATCTAAAACAAATAGTATGTTTTGGAGAAAGTTAAAGTTAGCTTTAGATTAAGGATGAGCAACTTGAGTGTGATATAATTTAAAAGTAAAAGCCTATGTATTTTGCATATTATTTTATGTTCACAACTTTTTCTCATACAGGTGCCAGACAATGCTGTGAGCTTTTGATGTATTATTATCATTATTTTTACTTTGAATGGAATGTCCATTAATGTAAACTGTATTTATTTTTATACTTTAATTTTCACTAGTTTTGTTTTTAGGCAAAAGGCGAAATAAACCTATAATCTTAAAAGGAAAGAAAAATAATTTGAAATTTAATAGTTAACTCCATTCACATAAGAAAAAAACTTTGGTTATTTATTCATGGAGCAAAATATCAAATAAAGGATCCTATAGAGTGTAGCCCTGTGTGTGTGTGTGTGTGTGTGTGTGTGTGTGTGTGTGTGTGTGTGTATGTATCAGAATAATCTTTTGAAAAAGTTCATCCTTTTAAATATAAACATACACACACACACACACACACACACACACACACCAGATTTATGCTTTTAGAGAACAGTTCACCCTTTTAAGAACAGTTAATGAGGTTTTAAAGAGATGATGGTAGTATAGGAGAAGAGAAGGTTATAGTATCTACCTTCTAGCCAGAGAAGCAAAAATAAGAATTAAAACATCATCATTATAAAAACTAGTTAGCAGTGATAATACATAATACAAATATCAAGAATATTTTTGGTCTGTGTAGGTTGTAGATTTTCTAAAATCTACTTGGATTGTTGAAAAATGAACCATTTATTAGCCATAGGAAAAAAGAATCATTAGATTGCAAGCTCACACCAAATATGCAATAATAAATTCCAGATAAATTAGAGATATAAATATAAAATATAAAACTATAAAAGTACTAGAAGAAAATTTGGGTGCTCATTTCAATAATCTCAAATGAGAATCGTTTTCTTATAAAAATACAAAAAAATCCAAAAAGTAAGAAGAGTGGTAAATTTGGCTAAATAAAAAGTTTCTATGGTTAACATTATCATAAACAAATTTAAAATAATAGAAAACTGCCAAAAATATTTGCAATGTACAAGACAAGAATTAGTGTCCTTCTTCAATAAAGATCATTTATAAATCATATAGGCTGAAAATAAGTACAGAATATTGTGCAGACATTTCATAAAATGAAAACTGCCAGTGGCCAATAAATATATTTAAATGTTTAATTAATAATTGAAGAAATACTAGTTAAAATAATAATAGCAAATATTTTTCACCTATCCTATTGGCAAATATGATAACACATATTGGTAAGAATATGGAATGAGAAAATGCTTCCTGGCACTACAACATGCTCCAGGCTCAACCTGTATGTTTCCTGGCCCAAGCTTAGTATCAGCTATTACTCCATGGAGCCCTGTTTTCTATTATTGGAGCATGAATGCCACCACTTTTAACACAGTAAAATGTCATGTCAGCATGTGAAATAAAATTTTTAATTGTTAAAAGGCATGATTTAGTATACTGAGAAATCTCATAAAATGTTAATAGAATATTCATATAATGCTGATAGTATAGTAGAAATGGAAATACACGACTTTTCCTGCAACAATTTGCACACCTTTTTTTTTTTTTTTTTTTGAGATGGAGTCTTGCTCTGTCACCCAGGCTGGAATGCAGTGGCGCCATCTCGGCTCACTGCAACCTCTACCTTCCTGGTTCAAGCAATTCCCCTGCCTCAGCCTCTTGAGTAGCTGGGATTACAGGCACATGCCACCACACCCAGTTAATTTTTTTGTATTTTTAGTAGAGATGGGGTTTCACTTTGTTGGCTATACTGATCTCAAACTCCTGACCTCAGGCAATCCACCCACCTCAGCCTCCCAAAGTGCTGGGATTACAGGCATGAGCCACCATACCCAGCCTACACATTTATATGCACTAATGTAGTATTGCCACACATTCTTTTTTTGGAGACGGAGTCTCACTCTCTCACCCAGATTGGAGTGCAGTGGTGTGATCTTGGCTCACTGCAAGCTCTGCTTCCCAGGTTCACACCATTCTGCCTCAGCCTCCCGAGTAGCTGGGACTACAGGCGCCCACCACCATGCCTGGCTAATTTTTTGTATTTTTAGTAGAGACGAGGTTTCACCATGTTAGCCAGGATGGTCTCAATCTCCTGACCTCGTGATCCGCCCACCTCAGCCTCCTAAAGTGCTGGGATTACAGGCATGAGCCACCGTGCCTGGCTATATTGCCACACATTCATATATACTCTTACTTTGAGTATATCCCTTATTCCTGACAAAAACACTAGACACACTCCTGACAGTGAATACAACAAATCTTGCTTCTTTTCAAAGGCTCTCCAAACTATAAGGTCTCCCCAAAGGCCATGGCAAAGAAATGAATATAACTCAGTGGCTGGGTTCCCAGCTCAGTAGAGGTTTTATTCCTAAGCCCAGAGCCTAGGAGAAGAACAAGACTCCTGAAAAAGACCCCTAAAATTCTGGATTCTCAAAGCTCAAATTGTAAAAGGGTATCTTTAAAAAATGTAAGGACTATAGCATCTCTAGCATGAGTTCCCAGCAGTATGAAACAGAACAACAGCCAGATCTTAATGGTGCATAAATGTACTATTTATTTTTTATGCCATTAGAGTCATTAAGGTAGCAGAAAATTAACATGTTCAAAGTTAAAGATGGGTTATTAAATTATTAAGAAGTACACTTTAAAATAAGCTCTGATATCTAAGAAAAAGATAACTCCAGTAAATTAGCCATAAAAAGATCTCATTTTTACTAATTGAGAGTGTTTTAATAATATATCTTAATATGACTCTGCTAAGAAAAGAACAATGTGTCCATCTTTTCATATTAGTTCATAAAGTCGGGTTTAAAAAATAAATGTGATTAAATATATATTCAAATCTCTATAATGGTAAAAAGACATATTCTTGCACATAAATTAACTCATTTTTTAAAGTCATTTAATCTTCTAATCCTTCTAATAACAATTATTTTGACTAAACTACTTTATGAAGGAACTGAGTGTCTTTGAAAATTTCCCTCCTCATATATCTGCCTAACATTTGATTCCTTCTCACAACTTTCTTTCTCATGCTGACCCTTTGAGGATCAAAGTGTTCACTATAACATCCTGACTACACTTATTTCCCCCTGAAAGAATCCCTTCCTTCATCTTCCTTTCTCTCTGTATCACTAGAATAAGTATATGAGGAAATTAAGTTTGTCATGGAAAGTGCTCTTTGAGTTCCTGCATCATATCATAAAGTTCAATAACCTGTACAGCCAACTATGAATGTAGGAAATGTACTCTGCTGAAATGCTCTGTAAAAATAAGATATCTCTGATAATACTAGTTTTCACCCAGGATCCTCATTATAACAAAAGTCAGTAAATAAAGGGAGACTATCTATTGCAGACGAGAAAAAAGGCTTTTGAGGGAGAATCTTAAATTTGAGCTTAGTTTAGACACAGACGGACTGAATGACCTGGCAAAAATTAATAAAACTTCCTGGGCTTTAGTATTTTTACCTAAAAAATGAGAATAACATATCTTATTTCAGCATTGTTGAAAGAACCAAAATGAAATGACATATACAAACTGTCTTTCGTTAATAGTGTTAGTATTGTCATCATGATTAATAACAGCTAATAGTTGAAACAGAATTGTCTGAAACAGTAAGATTCACAACAACCAAAGGCAGCAGATTTAATTTTTATCCCCCTTTTACAAATGAAGACACTAAGGCACAGAGAATCTATGTAACTGAATAAGGCCACACAGCTAGTATGTGACCAACCTAGCATCTGAGTACAGGCACCATCCCTCTCTCCAGGGTCTAATTTTCAACACACTGCTATCCTGTATCATTAATTTTAAGGTAACCTAACCCTATTTAAAAATATTTCTTAATTACATATTTGTTTATATCTAATGTTAGGAGCTACACACAAAGAAAGTGAAGCAAGTTTCAGTCTAGGAATAGGAATTTCCTTCTTCATATTATATTCTACCCTTGATGAAAAAATAGAAGTTAAGGGTAGATGAACATTCAGGTTTTAGATAGCAAGAATGTACTGGATCAAAATCTATCATAAAATAAGAGATCATTTGGTCCTGGTTAACACAATCCAGAGAGAAGAATGATTCATCTCCCTAAATGAGATAAAAGTTTATATCAACAGTAGCCAAACCCTTACACTTCTGTCTGACTTGTGAGAAAATAAGTCAATAAAAGACAAGCTTCTAGTGTTTGAAGTAACAGCCTAAGGAAAGGAAGACTAGAGAAGACAGCCTTGCTGTCATGGAAATCCCTGCTAGGGCAGGGAAGAGAAAAGTACTTAGAAGTCTAAGCTGTCATCATAGACTAAGGATGCTGTTAGTTGAGTTATATCTGTATCTTGAGGCTAAGGCTTGGATGTCAAATGCTAGTTCTCAGGTTACACAAAGATGGGAAAAATGGTAGCAACAGGGCTAATCCTTCATCTAGAGGAACCATTAATTCCATGTCAGCAAAGGAGTAAATTACACAGCCTACAAGAATCATCCATCTTGGGTCAGAAATTAGAGAATTGCATTCTTGTGTGTACAGAGGGTGGGAGGGAAGGAGAGTAAGGGGAAGGAACTCTGATACTGTCACAGGATCCCTAGGGTGTCACTTTTCCAGCCAGAAACCTCTGTGGCTGGTGGTACCTTTGCCCAAGTTTTGCTTGGGCCTGCTGGGCTCATTCTGCCCACTCGGCCTGGTAGGCTGTGCTCAGCTCTTGCTACAGCCCAGATTCCACACCAGCCAAAGGCAAGCCAGGAGCAGAGAGGTGAGGGGTGTGTGAGCAAGTGAGAACCAGGTCCAGCCACTGTGCACAGCCAGGCATGCCAGCTGCTGCAGTGGGGCAGGCAGCTCCAGGCACTGGCACAGGCACTGGATCTGTGTAAGCCTGGAGCTGGATCAGATGCACTCCAAGCAACTTCTGCTGTGGGCACCCAAATCTGGATGAGAATTCAGTGGCGTCTGGATGCTTGGAAACATCTGAAACTGCACAGCCCCAAAGAGGGTGTCACAGCACTGGCTCGTGGAGCTTCTAGGTCTGGGCTCCCTGAAGGGCCACAGCTCTTCTCTCCTTCTCATCACCTGCAAAGTGGCAAGCAGGGGGTCATTTCAGCCCTGTTTGGGTTACAGCTCTTTTAGTCCCCTACCAGTTAGTGGGTCCCGAGTTCATTCCACATCCAGGAAGAATGAGGTACATGAAAAACTGGTAGGTGGATGGGCAAGGCAGAGAGGAACTTTACTGGGTGACAGAACAGAGAACAGCTCTCAGGAGACCCAAAGTGGGTAGCTCATTTCTGCAGGCACGTCAGCCCAATGCGTTTCCAGCCCTCCACAGAGAGGAGACCCAGAGTGGGTAGCTCCTTTCTGCGGGCAGGTCGTCCTGATGAGTGTCCAGCTCTCAGCAGAGATCTGGAGTGGGTAGCTCCTATCTGCAGGCAGGTTGTCTGAATGAGTTGAGGAGACCCAAATTGGGTAGCTCCTTCCCACAGCTGGTAGTTTTAATGTCTGTGTGAGTCTGGCTGGGTCCATCTGGGGCTTTTATGGGCTCAGAAGAGGGGAAATACGTGCTGATTGGTCCTTGGGTGGCCATAGGTGGGCCCAGAAAAATCACCACAAGTCCTCACTCCCAGTTGTGGACTCCACTGGGAATTGGGAGCCTGGCCCCCAGGCTTTAGGCCATGCCTGGCTTGAAGGTGGGGCTTCACCAGGGACCCACATTTTTCTGCCCAGGAGCCTGTCTGCCTCCTGCCACCATCTACATGTCATCCACAGCACCCAGGCTGTTCATGCCAAGGGGCACCTGCAGACCTGAGCTGAGCCACCCTCAGTACCCCTTTGGCCTCTCTCTTGTGTTTGTTGGTGCCCAATGTCTGGAGGGGGCCAAATGGCGGGGGACTGGTGAGTCGGCACCACCCCAAGCACACGCACACCTGGCTGGGTTGCAACAGCACCTGGGCTCAGCCACAACTTTGCTCTGCCCCAAAGTGGGTGCCAGGAGCAGGGAAAGGCCAGACAGTGGGAACAGGCACTTCCAAGCCTGTGGGGGCAGGGTGGCTTCCTGGGACCCCGAGAGTATATGGATGCCCAGGTCCAGAGCTGCAGCTGGGTGGCTGCAGCTGTGCCCAGAGCATGGGGCTCCTGCTCCACCACTTGGTAGGAGGCAAGGCTCCCGCCTGTTTCAGGCCTGCTGGCTCTGGGAGGATGCAGCCCCAGCTGTGACTCTCCTGCAGCCCTGGCCACACCTCCCCTGCTGCAGCCATTGTCTTCACAGCAGCCACTCCAGATGGGCCACTGCTGCCATCAGTATAATTTCTGTTTTTCCCATCCACATACCAAACAAGCAGACTAGTGATTCTGTATGTGTATATGTGAACATGCATGATGGGTATTGCTTTCTTTTTTTGGAATGCAAAAGAGTGATTAATTTTTTAAAAAGAATTTAAAAAACTAACAAAAAGTTACTAAAACTAACCCATAAGCCATTCTATAGCAAATATGTATTGCTTCTAGAAACTCCATAGTGGTATTAGGTTATTAAAAGAACTATAAGAATTTTACATAACACAGAATAAACCATGGTTAAACAATATATGGCCTTAAGACAATTATTTAATTCCTTCAAGAGTATTAAGGCAACTTGCATGTTTCCATACATATTCACGTCCTTCACTGCTGTGCAAATTCTAAAATATTTTCTTGGCCTTTGACTTTCAGAGTGAAAGTGTGTATATGTGCCTTCCAGTTTACAATAACACTACTTGTGAGTAATAATGCACTAACTTTTGCTTCATGTAGCAACCCATTTTCTTCTGTTCTCTTTTTGTCATCTCAAAAACAGGTACTATCAGTCAGTTTCTGAAGAAAAATGCAACATATAAAGTATAAGCACACTCTTTAGGGATACACTGACAGTGTCTTTTGATGGATTATTCCAAACAATACATATCACTGTTCTTATATTTCATCATCAGATCAAATGCATCATTTATCCAGGGTTTATTCTCCGTGAAGAGTAAGTTCCAAGAAAGCAATAAACATCATTTTTATTTTGACATGCATTACAAATGTCAGTGGAAGATATGTCACATGCTAGGCAACATTGCAACTGAGATACAGTATAAATGAAAATTGTAAACCAATGTTTATTGCTTTAGTTATTGCTTAATGTTTGATAAAATAAAGGTATAAAAAAATATCTTGTATATACTTAGAAAAAAATATTATCCATAGGGATTATTGTAAATGCAACCTGTCATACGTTCATCTACTTGAGGAAAAGGGAGATAACTACATATAACTGGTACCCATAATGCATCTATTTGCATGTGAAAGTCCCACTGCAGGAGCTGAAGTGAGATACATACTTAGCACTACTTGTTCATACGGATCTCTTACATTATTAAACTCTCTTCATTATTTATTTTTAACATGTCCTTTTAAATCATACTTTTGGTTCAAAACCTATAATCTAATATGGCAAACCACAATGTAGTCCATATATCAATAAGTAGCACACATGTAATGTGAATTCTTTTCAAAGAAAAAAAAGTAGCACATGCTTTTAATGCAAAATTATTTTCAAGAGAAAAACAATCTTAATTTTTTAAAAAGGTGTTCTTTTTCAATGTTATTGGACATCATTATATCTTGAATGCCTGCCAGACATTCATGTCATATATGTATTGCCTGGTGTTAAGTGCTACACGAGTACTACAAATCTCAGCATGTGATCCTTTTCTATAAATAATTTCTTCTTCATCCCTTATTCATTTGACCACAGTTAGTGCTACTAAGATGACCTTCTGTATGAGCATATTAGGGAGTAAAAAAGGCAGCATAATGAGGAGCGTGGAAAGGGCAACGGCTAAAATATTTAATGTAAAGAAAAATTAAAATGTGTACAAATACAAAGAAAACAACATAAGGTCCTGAGAAATGAAAGTTATTGAAAAATATTGACTGAGAATACAAGGGGGAACCATAGACTAGAATTTTCAGGAAGGAGTTATTGTTCAGAGACAACTCACTTGATCTGCATATCCACACAGAAAATAGCACTAGGAAAAAAACAGGTAAGCTTCTCACAGCAGTGAGAAGAGGAGCTAAGAGTAGAGGATTCATTGATCTACACAGGACAGTTTACCCCTTTTATTCCCAGTCCTCATCACTCTCTCTATTCCTACCATACTACTCCTGTAGCATAGCAGCATTAGGAAACAGGCTTTTAGACCTTGGGAGAAAATGGTTCCTTTCTAAAGAAATTGATCAAATACTGGGTAAGAGTAAGAAATAAATCAATCAGTAATTTGTATAGTTGATGGTGCCCCTAAGCAATGCTCCCAGAATTCTGGCTTTTAAAAGACCCAGAGCAATGATCAGCTGCCTATCCACTCATCTATACAAAGCTTTCCAGAGGACATATCCATGTAATCTATGTAGGGATTCAACTCAGATTTTACATTGAGCCATTCATAAAAGTAAACATAAAATCAATAACCAGAAGCCTTTTACAGTAATCCTGAAGCATTACAGGAGACAATAAAACACATTTTAAAAAACAAAAGCAAGATTCCACATAAAAGAGTAGTGCCAGGATCAAAAGACCATACAAAATAAATCTAATTATTACCCTTGAAGAATATACTGCATTCATCAAGATCCAGTAGAGAAAAATAGGAAGTCATGAAAAAATTAGAGAATAACAAACAGCTCTTTGAATCAAACATATTATCAAACCAAAATTTTTAGTATAAATGAGAATGTAAAATATGATAGAAGGTATAAGTGAAACCTCTTCCTGGAAATCCTCCAGACCATGCCCTGGAAATCTCCTAGAATGACCTGGGAACATCCTTTAGGAGCTCCAGATCCTGGTAACAGAGAAGGATGCTCTTGTTATAGTAATGTGTGTATGTTTGTGGGTAGAAGTGTACATGTGTGCATATATATATATGTGTGTGTGTGTAGATGGATATAAATATCCATGTATATCTATAAATACCATGTATGCATATATGTGTATACATGTTTAATAGTATATATGCTGTAGGCCGGGCACATGGCTCATGCCTGTAATCCCAGCACTTTGGGAGGCTGAGGCAGGTGGATCACCTAAGGTCAGGAGTTCAAGACCAGCCTGACCAATATGGTGAAACATCGTGTCTACTAAAAATACAAAATTAGCTGGGTGTGATGGAGCATGCCTGTAATTTCCACTACTTGGAAGGCTGAGGCAGGAGAATTGCTTGAACCTGGGAAGCAGATGTTGCAGCGAGCCGAGATCGTGCCACTGCACACTCCAACCTGGGCAACAAGAGCAAAACTGTCTCAAAAAAAAAAAAAATTGAAACACAATAAATTTCTAAATTTGATCTTTGTTTATAAAAGGAGGAAAAATAGGAGGAAAATATTTTTGATTGACATGATTACATATACATTTACTCATATAAAAATATATTTTTATAGATAAGTAAAAAGGTAAGTTTCTAAATTATGCATAATTACCATTTCAGAATGTAGGATTATAGATTTTTAGTTTCTTCGTTATGCCTTAATATACTTTCTGAATGTTTTGCCATGTGAATATAGTATTTTCTATTTAAAAAATTTAAGTTACAAAGAGAAACTGTTAAGGTTTACCAAAATTAATTTACACTGAAATCAGCAGGAATAGTTCTATAACAGTTTTTAACAAAGCAAGTTATAGCCATTTAATATTTACATAAATCCATGTGCCACTGAGTACTCTATAGTGAAAAAGGAGAAAAACAGGTCTAGTTCCCTGCATGTTGTACAAAAGTAATTTCTTAGAAGTATGACACCATTTTCTCTATATAAGATATTGTGAAGCTGTGAAAGCAAAAACACTAAACAGTTGTCAGAAGTCCTGGCATTTGCAAAAGCCCTGATAACATTCATGTATCCCCCTAAAGCAAAGTTTTCCAGTTTATTTGCCTCAAATAGGTTATGGCTATACCCAAAATATTGTTCCTTGTATTGTGTGTGTGTGTGTGTCTGTACTTTTCTATATAGTATGATGCTTGACCTCTGACCTCCTGAGGCTAGCCAATTCTTAAAGACAGGAAAGTCTAGCCAAGATCATGCCTTTGATAAGCAAACTAACCAATCCAGAGCTTTACCTCCTTTAACAGGCCCATACACCCCACGAGTCAATGTGCCTCTGCTTTAATCATCCCAGAGTTAGGTACCAGGCAACCAGCAGCCACACTTACAGCTTAGAGCCTGCTGAAATTATTCAAACTAGCCAATTCTAAACTGTTAAGTCTGTCCTGCCTTGCCCTTCCTGTGGAAACCTCAGTAAAGGCTCTGGCCTAATCCTTTTCCCTTGCTCCTATGTTTTGCCTCCTGACCACATTGGTGTTTTTCCCAGTTAGCATGGTTTACTGTGCCCCCTGTCTTTAAGATCATGAGTATAATGAACTTTGTTTTCCTGATCCTCTCTTCTGTCTCCTCTTGTGGCTGGATCCAACTGACCATCTCATATAAGAATACAAAACGCTCCTCTTTAGCCCCCACCCCGGGATAGCCAGGAAAGACCTACGACTGCCAGAGCCCAATGGCTGGTCTCCTCAATGAAATGCCTTGTTCATTTATCTCAGTGAATCATATAAATATTTTACCCAAGTGCTGTGGTGTAACAAAAAAAGAAAAAACAAGTCAAGTAATGCTGCCTAAAACATCAAGTGTTATATAGCATGCTGTATTCACACCACCAAGAGTAGGACCACATTCCCTGAAATAGTGTTTACACACGAAGCTGATCTAATTTTCCAGTAACCAATATAGGCTATGACCTAGTTTTGGCTCCTAAAAGTAGGTTTATGACTGCTGGGACCCTACCCCGAGTCTCATCATACAAAGATCTGGTCCCTGATACATTCTGAGTGCCTGTGTAAACAGCAGCCTGTAGCTCACAGACAATGCATATGTGTGTGGCAGAGTTGGTTGCATTTAAAGCCTCTGCATGTACCACAGGCTAGGACTTTGGAAGTATGATCTATTCAGACTCCTGAGAGAATGTCAAGTCTTTCCCAGCCCCCATTCAGCCAAGAGCTTCTGGCATTGATTCCTTCTTACAGCCATGGGCCAGCAAACTCACTGTATGTGACATCCTGCTCATCAGGTTATCACTCACAATGTGTGTCCCTTCTGGCCTTCTACTGATTCCCATCATCTCATCTTCACAATCTTCCATGTTTGTGTTCAATCTTTCTCATTACATGTTTATATTATCCTTATTTTATGATTAACCAACTCCTCTACATCCTCAACATCTTCACAAAGAACTAACTGCAGCTTCCTGCCTTAATTGCAACCAAGTTCCCTCCCCTTAGACCCTATTCCCTTGCAGCAACCTGGGGCTTTTCATTTTCCCAAGTTTCTCCTAAACTCCAGTGTTCTGTGTACGACAGTTAACCAAGCAGCTTTACTCAGATGTCCCAAAGACATCCAAATTCCCTCACGTCATAAACCAATTAATAATATCCTCTCCTCCAAAACCTTCCCCTCATCTTTTCTTCAATTCCAATGAATGATAACACTGTCAACCCAGCCAAAAACATCTGAAGATTCCTGTTTCTCATACACACACTACAAACGTAATCAACCATGAAGATTTGCCCCATAAGTACCAAATCTGTCTATTCTTCCCAATACCTACACTGCTACTTTCTTAGCCAACCTGTGCCCATCTCTCACCCAGATAGATTGCTGCATTTATTCCCAACTTGGCATCATTGAGTCCAGTTTTGTTCCACTTCAATTGTTTTTTCATGTGCTGAAAAAATGATATTTCCAGGCACAAAGTTTCTAAGCCGCTTCAGAGAGTTGGAATTTGAGGAAGTACCTTCAGATAATGACCTAAATTCCTAAGCATGGCTTCAAAGGAACTCCATGGCCTGGCCCAGGTCAGCTGTCAACACTGCATGCTCCTTGCATGCTTCCCTGGCCCCTCTGAAAAGCTTGGGGCTGACCTCTAGATCTTTGCATGTGCTGGCACAGCCTCTCCTTGTTCTCTTACCTAGCTTCCTCCTGCCTACCCATCAAGCTTTAGCTTGGCTGCCTGATATGGTTTGGCTCTGTGTTCCCAGTCAAATCTCATCTTGAATTGTACTCCCGTAATTCCCACGTGTTGTGGGAGGGACCTGGTGGGAGATAATTGAATCATGGGGGCGGTTTTCCCATATTGTTCTTCTGGTAGTGAATAAGTCTCATGACATGGGATGGTTTTATCATGGGTTTCCATTTTGGCATCTTCCTCATTCTCTCTTTGCCTGCTGCCATCCATGTGACTATGTCACAAAGAACAGACAGCACATTCTACCAAGAATGAAGCAATGACATCAGTTACTTATATACATATATAGTCCATTAAGAAGGGACAAATTAGAGCTTTAAGTCCTCATTTATCATTTATAAGACTCTAGGTCAAATAGTTTATCAGCGGTTATTACTTATTTTACATTAAATTTAAGTCAGACTATTTTGGCTTCCTATTGAAGGCACAGTGATTAAAGTTTTGCATTAGCAGTATGTCACAAGAATGGGAATTTATCACTTTTGTGATATAAAATCACTTTTATGTTACATTAATCATGTGACAGTCCAGACTTAGAGGGAAAAACAGTCCCTCAACACTACATTTTTATATTCATTTTCCTGTTTGAAAATGAGAATTTGAAAACTCAAAAGTCATAATCTAAAATAAGAATAAACAAATTGAAATCTAGATTCAAGCTATAAATTAAACTAAAATTTAAAATTTTCAGGTTTTTTAATAAAGAACAGAGATTTATAAATATTCTACAGTAAAAAATGTCTAATTAATTAAGGAACTAATCTTAAAATAATAAAGAAATTTTCAGATTAACATGCTTAAATAAACTGAATTTTTAAGAAACTGAAAATTGTTTCCAAGTAATTAATGCTAAAAGAAAGCTCATAGATCCATTAGCTCAGACCCACTGTAGCAGGAACTACACTAGGAACTGAATAGCAGGAGGTGTAGTTAATTGAGGGGTCTATGTTTGGAGACTACCTACTGCACATATTTTTGCATTTAGTGTTTCCTACTGTCTACATTGGAAAAGAGTGGTTAAAATGAATTATTAAACATAAAAATCCTGTGGTTCTTTGAAGAAACATAAATGAAATGGGAAAGCACAATTAGCTATTATTTTATATTTTCAGGTACAAAGTTAAACATGAAGATTAGTGACACCTGGATAAAAACAGACCAGGGCTATTCTATTTTACCAGACCCAGGGCTTCTGATCAATCTGTCATAACTTTGTTTGCACTGTGAAATATCCCAAAAAACTAACAATATGATTATGGCATGTACCAAACACTATTAGATCGAAAAGAAGTTAAATTGTTGGTTTGTGCTGTCATGGCCAGACATAATGATGATGTAGTCAGATCCATAATTCCAAGGGATGAGATATGGAGTATCACGTATTTCCATTTTTGTTAATTTACCCTGCCATCTTTTTAGCTCACTACCAACTTAACAATTTTTTGTTAATTCACCAAATCTATCAGAAACCTTAATTATGCACTAGTCTGTGCTACAAGTGCTTGGCTCGTAATATCTTTTAAAAACATATTTAAAATATAAATAATATTTGAATAATATATGTAGTCCTCTCAATAGTTATAAGAAAGTTCTTAAATTTCATATGACAGTTTTAAATTGGAAACATATGTAAAGTATAACCTATACAATGTCTAGCACATGATGAGATGCTCAACAATTTTAATTAATTTGTAGATATACACACACATAGACACATATGCACACATATAAAACTATGACCTTTGTAGGAAGAAAAACTATTACTGGATTTTGTTATCCTCAGACTAATATTTCAGCAACCTGATACTTCAAAAAAATTTAAATAATACTTAATCTTATGGATACTATTAGAAATGAATGAACACTTAGGATTAGTTTTTATGACACACATGAACTTCTATGAAATAGCATAGCATTTTCTCTAGAAAACATACATTCAGAAAATGCAACAAGAATGGTAATGCAATTATCCTATTCATTTATGCTTCAGTAAAACCATTTATAGTCTCATTTATAGTATCATTTATAGTACCAACTATAAAACACCATTTATAGTATCAACATACTAATTAACAGCATTACCCAATATAACTCAAGACTACCTGATATTATAAAGATCCTCACATTATACATAGTATGTAGATCCAGTGCTATAAATCTAACATTGCAGATTTTAAAATTATCAATTTAATAATAATGTTTTAAATTAATTTTCTAACCCATTTTGGATGAGACAATTCATATTTTTAATTTTCATTTTTTAAATCTTTCCTTTATGACACTATTATTTGCCTCTACTCCTAGGATCTATCTCTTATCATTATATTCTCCTCTTACTCTTCTATATTTTATGCCATGCTGGTTTCATTTATTTTCTTCATTGCCCCTGTGACATAGAATCAGTCCTAGAACTAAGCCTTTAGCGCTTCTCCAAAAATGGGAAATTCTGGAGGGTAGGAAACTAGTGAGAAGTGAAAAGCCAAACAAACAAAAAAAAATAAACAAACAAAACACTGAGAGTGGCACAAGATGTCACTCTAATTAACTTACAGAAATTAATATGGGAAGTATGATAGGATTTATTGAGGACCAACATAGGATAAAACTTTGATTCATAAAAGTTAAACGAGGTGCTCTTTAGAGTAACAATGCCCATGTCTAATTATTATTTTTTTTAATTTTCTTTTCAATTCTCAGCAAGGCAAGTTACTTCTATATAGAAAGGTGCGCACTTACAGATGGAACAATGGTGAGCACACACTTGGACAAGGGAGGGGAAGGGGTTCTTATCCCTGACACATGTGGCCCCTGCTGCTGTGTTGTTCCCCTATTGGCTAGGGTTAGACCACACAGGTTAAACTAATTCCGATTGGCTAATTTAAAGAGAATGACAGGGTGAGTGCTTTGTTGGGAGTCAGGGCAGAGCAGATAGCAGGTAATTGGAATGAGTTAGGGTGGAGCAGGTGATCAGAATGTGTTAGGGTGGAGCAGGTGATCGGAATGAGTTAGGGTGGAGTAGGTGATCAGAATGAGTCAGGGTGGAGTAGGTAATCAGATGAGTCAGGGAAACGAAAAAGGTTGCTTCACGAGGAAGTTTACAAGTAAAAGGCAAAGAATTGAACATACTGACATATTAATTCTTTGAAAAGAAATTTAGAACCCATATCTAACAATCCTTCCCCTTGTATTCTTTATAGTTTTCTTTTCAAACCTTTTTTTCTTTTTTTTTTAACATGGCTTAGCTGTTTTGCTTGATTTTTCAAAAGAAGTTTCTCTGGATAAGGTGGAGGATAGTTAAGGGAGGTTTTAGTAAGTGCCGTTTTTATGAGCCTCTGCATCTACTTACGGATGTATGGTATGACACAGCACTTGACAAGAATAAGTACACCTATTACGGCTGCGAGGGAAATAAGAATCGAGGCTATTATTCCTTTCCATTTACTGAACTACTGTTTTAGCCATCTTGTAAAGGGGTCATTTACCCCTGAGTTACCGGCTAACTCATTTGATAGAGCAGTCAGACCTTGCAATGCCTTTGTTATACTTCTATTGGGGGCAGTGTTGTTTGGGATGAAGATACAACATTGAGTTTTAATCATGACGCAAACTCCTCTTTCTGCTAATATCATGTCTAAGGCTATTCTATTTTCCTAAGCCATCTGGCTAGTGGCCCTAATTGCTCAGCTATTCCTTTAACAGCATCTTTAGTGTAGTTAATAAATCGCTGTTGGTTGTAGTAGATATAGTTTATCCAATCTACATTTTTATTAATGGTCGCCCACCAAAATATTGACTCAAATTCTGCAGCTATTTGATTTTAGGCTTTAAACTGATCTGATATTCCCTGTGGGACTCCAGTTGCGTTTAAATAGACTTGAGAGTCGAAAGACCTATAAGGGGCTTCTCTTGCTTTACAATGTCTTATTTTTCCTTCCTCTGGTTGTTGAAATGCCAGGGTGAAAGGGATAGCCAATTGGACTAAAGCGCAAGTGCCACTCCAGTTATTTGGCAGAGTGTCCAGTAAAGGTCCACCACAATACCACCACACATCTGCTTGGGGATGAACAAGGGCTAACTGATTGATAAGCTCTTGAAAATTTTTAAGCTCACTGCATCCCTTCAGGTCTCTAAGGAACACTAGGTTTCCTCCCTGTCATGAGAGACACAAAGTTAACTTACTGTTGGGAGACGGAAGCTGGATGGCCCTCGGGGGCTGACCCGCAGGGTGCCGGACTTCAGGATATAGCAGAGAGAGAGAGCTTGGTACGACTTATTACTCCAGGGTGTAGAATCCTGGAAAAGAGCTACCATGCAGCCCATGCCTGGTCGACTGGAGGACCACCTTAGTGGAAAGGGGACAATCTGGGCCTCTGGCTTGCCGTGCGCACAAGTGTAACAATTGCTTTTGTTTAATGTGTGGACGGAATATTTGATCCATTCCAACTAGGCATTTGCATCTTGGTATCCTGTCTTAATTGCCAAAGTTTAAGTCTTTAACTTCTATGATTCTCTAGTAAAATGAATGTAGGGTTTTAGGAAATTACAAAAACCAGTTGGTTTTTGTAGTCCATCTTTGCAGTCCATCTTTGCTCTTCAGTGGGCCACAGAACGTTGGACCAACTACAGCATAAAAGCTCTACATCGGGGGCAAGACTCCTGGTTGACATTTAGGTCTTTATCGAAATCTCCTTGGATTAAATGGTCCCAATTTACTAATGCCCAGTCTGAGAAGAGTCAGGAGGGACACAGGTACTTTTCCTTTTCTGAAATAGAAAACTGTCTTTGACCTGGTAAGTTCCTTCAGGGTATAACAACGCAAGCATTAAATGCAGTAGTTTGAGGCAAAATTGACTTGCTTATGTTAATAACTAGATGGTCAGCAACAGATAGAGGAAAGAATAAAGAGTAATAGAATAGATGAAAGAGAGTTAAATTTTTCTTAGCTTTAGTTCGGTAGGGTTTTCCCCTGGGACTATGGCCCACGACTCTGGAGGGGGTGGCACATTCTTGACTCGGGTGTGATGATTCCATCCCCTTTTTGCTGTACGAACAGCAGTCTCGGTGGTTAGCAGCACAAGGTAGGGTCCTTCCCAGGATCGCTAAAGTTTTCTTTCTTTCCACCCTAGATAAGAACGTGATCTTCAGGCTGGTTCCCGTTTACCGGAAATTCTAGGGATGGTACCTGTGCTAAAAGACTTTTAGTTTTGAGGAAAAGGAAAGTGGAAGATAAACCAAGTATATAATTTCTAAGAAATTGACCTTTTAAGTGTGGGGACATCTGCAGAGGACTTTATAGTCCTTGGTGCCTTCTTACTGAGAAATTTCCTTTAGCACCTATTTTTATTAGTTTTTAGACCAAAGAAAGCCAAATACCATTTTATATTTGATAATGCTTCTTGTATGATTTTTATACCCGATGAGCTAAATTTCACCTTTATATTAGTGTGTTATTAATGTTAAACTTAGTTTTAATAAAACTTTGTAGATATATTTATTCAATTTTTAATGTCTGGCCCTAAGGTAAGATTTTATAGACTCTTTTTAACCTTTTATAATTTTTGTTAAAGAGCAGGTTAGTGCGTTAAGAAAAACCTGTTATGCTTTTACTGTCCAGTTCACAGAAAAACTGGATGATACCTCTTTAACTTTAGCGAGTATGTTTACACACACAATTTTCTTTACAATTAACGTTTTACAACTTGCTTAAACCTTTAAAACAAAATATATATTTTTTAACCTGTTAATGTAGGTAAAAATCCACATTCTTATGCCTCCCTACAATCTTTTTACCAAAAGTATATTTTACTTTTCTTACACACCTTGCACATAAACTGTTTATAGAATAAATAGTTTTACATTCAGGAGGCCTAGTTACTTTTAAATTATACAACATTTCTTGCATAAATTCCCTTTTATAACCTTTTTTTCCCACAACTTTCAGAGATATTTTTTCGACATGCCTCAACTTTCTGACTTGTCACAAACATCCCCTTTAAAAAAAAAAAACAGTTAATTTATTTCAGGACAATAATTTACCATGGAACATTCCTTTTTATGTAAATTCTCCCACCCCACTTTTTTTTTTCCCTCTTGAAGATAACCATTCTTTTTCAAAGCGAACTTCCTTCATGTCTGTGGACTAGACTGTCTAAGGCCACAAGATTAAAAGTTAGGATAATACGTGTTACACTGCTAACTTTTAGCAAGCTACGTTTCTTGAAAACCTTCTAAGTTTGGGATTTTAATTATTCTTTACTATTAATAAGACCTTGTTTAGTCCAAATTAACTTAGAATTGGTATAGATGGTTCCTTCCTGGTTCTGTTTAAGGCTTGGCTGAGTGCAAACAGCTTGCATGTTTGAGCAGACCAATTATTAGGCAATTTTCCTAACTCTGCTTCTACAAGAGTTTCCCTATCAATTACTGAATAACCATTGTGTCTTTTTCCCTCATTCACCCGGGAAGAAACATCTATGGTCCTGTCCTGAAGGGAATTCCTCCTGGGTCTGGTCGGACCTTTGTACGGTAATTAAGATTTAAATCCCCTGTTAGGAAACCTGCTGGGTTAGGGGGATTTTCAGTGGTTAATGTTAAATCATCTTTTTCTAACAGAATAGCCCCATACTTTAAGATTTTTGAGTTAGTAAGCTACCTTTTTGCTTTTTTTGACTTAGGATAGTCCTGAACTAAACTGGTGAGTTGTGCTCAGAATGAGGTTTCCTCTAAAAGTTATTTTTCTACTTTCTTCTGTTAGCAAAGCAGTTGCTGCTACAGATTGAATGCATTTGGCCATCCGCAGATTACTAGGTTAAGGATTTTTTATAGGAAGGCTACAGGTTGTCAGTGGCCTCAGTGCTTTCTGGCTATGCCCTTGTTTACACTTACAACAAGGTGGTATTGGAGTGTTGCAGGGTCACGGAGAAGACCTTCAATTATCAATTATAGGTTTTAAATTTACCCTAGCTTTTAAAGGAATAGGGTACACTGGTTTTTTTGTTTTTTTTTCTTTGTTTTTGTTTTTTTACTACTTCTATTTTTCTCTTTCTCTCTCTCCTGCCTCTCCCTCTCTCTGCCTGTCTCTCTCTGCCTCTCTCCTGTCTCTCTCTGCCTCTCTCCTGTCTCTCTCTGCCTCTCTCCTCTCTCTCTCCTGTCTCTCTCTCTGCCTCTCTCCTGTCTCTCTCTGCCTCTCTCCTCTCTCTCCTGTCTCTCTCTCTGCCTCTCTCCTGTCTCTCTCTCTCTGCCTCTCTCCTCTCTCCTGTCTCTCTCTCTGCCTCTCTCCTGTCTCTCTCTCTCTGCCTCTCTCCTCTCTCTCTCTCTGCCTCTCCTGTCTCTCTTCCTCTCTGTCTCTCTCTGCCTCTCTCCTGTCTCTCTCTGCCTCTCTCCTGTCTCTCTCTCTCCTGTCTCTCTTTCCTCTGTCTCTCTCTCTCTCTTCTGTCTCTCTCCTCTCTGTCTCTCTCCCCCTCTCTCTCTCCTGTCTGTCTGTCTCTCTCTCTCTCTCTCTCTCTCTCTCTCTCTCTCTCTCTCTCCTGTCTCTCTCTCTCCTAGGGTAGGGACCTGCGGGAGTGCAACTACTCTTTCTTCTCCCGAGAAGAAAGGAAAGGGGTTGAACGGGGGGGTTGTGTCAAGTTCAACCCTTGAAATTAGCGGAAGGCTCAACCCCTCAACACTAGGGATGTCTCACCTTGCCTGTCCCGGAAGGCTCAACCCCGTAAACCAGGGGGTGTCTCACCTTGCCTGTCCTGGAAGGCTCAAGCCCTCAAACCAGGGGGCGTCTTGCCTTGCTTGCCCTGGAAGGCTCAACCCCTCAAACCAGGGGGTGTCTTGCCTGTCCTGGAAGATTGACCTATTTCTCCCTTTCCCCCTCTGAAGGTCCTTTGCACACTTCCCACTTGTGCTGTCCTCTCTGGCCGCTCCGCCAAGGTAGAACTGCAAAGAGGACCCACTCACACTGTCCAGCAGTAGGACTTGTCACCATCCACACGAACAACACTGCAAGCAGGGTTGTTTGTGATCATTCACGCACACACACATTTAGCCCTCCAGAATTTGACCACCAAGGTACTCTACCCGCTCCCGCGGCTTCTCCTTCCTTGGTCTGTGCACAGAGTGGTCGCCGCAGTATGTGAGAGTCCTTTAAGCTAGGTTGCTGGCCAGTTTCTTTTCCCTTTTTTTTTTTTTTTTTTTTTAAATCCGCGTCGCTGAGAGCTCGGGTTATTCCTTGCACTGGGGTGGGTCTTGATTTCTCACCCCTGAGGCCACCACACTAGGGCTGGGTGCGCCTCCTCACGAGAGAGGAGAGACCGTCCTGGAGGAGAATGTAATCCCGGGAGAGACCCCAAATTGTTATATATAAAGTTTTGGTGCCACAAAAGAAATTGCACTCGCATATAAAATTTTCTTTTTAATTCTCAGCAAGGCAAGTTACTTCTACATAGAAGGGTGCGCCCATACAGATGGAACAATGGTGAGCACACCGCTTAGGTCTTATTTCTAAACTGAACTTTTTTCTGTATAATATGGTAACATCCTTTATCCTAATAGAGGGAATTAAAATTGTTAATATTTGATTAATTAAAATACAATGCTTTGACTTATTTTGGTTCATAACATTATTTCATAAATCACATAAATAAAAATTACAACTTAATGTATGGTTAAATAAAATAATGACATCACCTTGGCTCTCAATTAGTATATATACACAACTATTCCAAAGTTAGCAATTTAGAATCAAGTGAAATAATTTTTGTTTTGATTATGAAATCCATTTGATCTGGCGTGTGAAATCCTGAAAAGCAGGGCTTTTCCATCTTCCTTGGTATCTCCCATTCCTACCCACTGCCTCCCAAACTGTATGCAAATTTCTGATGAGTAAAGAAATGAATGAATAAAGTAACTGCACATAGTTAATAAGCCATTTCTTCTACTACAAAGCTCCACTATCCAATTCATGATACATCAAAAAAACAAAATTCTGGAAAACAGGAAACTATTGAAAAGGGTGAGAAAATGACATTTACAGTAATTGACCATTGCCTTTGCCACTATCAGCTTAAAGATGCTGAACCTAAGGCAACCTCACTTTTGACTATAATTTTATTTTACTTTATGCCTCTTCTTATTATCCAAATGTAAACCTCTTTTTTGGCATACTTCAACTCCTGTAGCCTTTGTGCTAACCAGATTAAAGAACTTTGAAAACCCTTATTTTGCTTTCTCTTATCCTCCCTAGAACATATAAACTAATCAAGAGTTGGATTTATCCATTGACTATAAAATACTTTAATTCTGAATAAAGAACTTAAATAAGAATGAAATCCTGTTATTAGCAGCAACAGGGATGGAATTGGAGGACATTACATTAAGTGAAACAAACCAGGCACAAAAGGACAAATATCGCTTATTCTCACTCATATATTAGAGCTAAAAAAGTTGGCCTCATGGAGGTAATGAATAGAATGGTGGTTACCAGAGACTGGGAAAAGAAGGTGGGAGAGAAAAGGCAGAGAGGTTGGTTAATGTGTACAAAAATACAGTTATATAGAAGGAATAAGTTCTAGTGTTTGAGAGCACCATAGGGCAACTATAGTTTGTGATAATTTATTGTATATTTCAAAATAACCAGAAAAGAATATTTGGAATGTTCCCAACAGAAAGGAATGATAAATGTTTGAGGTGATGGATATGTCATTTACCCAGATTTGATCATTACACATTGTATGTTTATATCAAAATATCACATGTACCCCATATATATGTGTAACTATTATGTATCCATGATAGTATAAAATTTTAAAAATTGTTATAATTTTCCTCCATGGATTAAATTAGGACAATCATTTACTTATATTCTTCCAAAAAACATAAAAAATGGAAATCTTAATAGCTAAAATTAACTGTAGGATGTTTAATTCCAGCAATATGTAAGACTACATACTTTGAAGGATTCTCCCACTACAAAAACAACTGGCACTTAAGTAAACCTTAGGTTCATCTTGTTGCATTGTTACACTCGACAGTAGTGAAAAAGTAAAGCATGTGTTTACGATTACTAGCTTATGGACAAAATAAAGTAAAATAACTGTATAGGAGCTAGCAACCATAAGCACATGCTTACTGTTGGGGTATGTTGCCAAATGCCAAAACCAGAACTGCAATTTGGAGAGTAAGCTTTAGGTCAGCCATAAGCTTTGGAAGCATAATCCTAGAAATGGTTAAACAAAAAGTATACACACAAATAAGTTCAAGTAAAAAGGAGCTACCAATAATTAAAAAAAAATTTTAAAGAATCAAATATGACCTTTAGAAGTAAAACATACAATTACTCATTAGAAAAATACAAAGCATTTGTAAAAAGATTTAACATATAGAAAGAGAACTGGACAATTAAGAATAAATAAATTTAATTAGATCCCACTTGTCAATTTTGGCTTTTGTTGCCATTGCTTTTGGTGTTTTAGACATGAAGTCTTTGCCCATGCCTATGTCCTGAATGGTATTGCCTAGGTTTTCTTCTAGGGTTTTTATGGTTTTAGGTCTAACATTTAAGTCTTTAATCCATCTTGAATTAATTTTTTTATAAGGTGTGAGGAAGGGATCCAGTTTCAGCTTTCTACATATGGCTAGCCAGTTTTCCCAGCACCATTTATTAAATAGGGAATCCTTTCCCCATTGCTTGTTTTTGTCAGGTTTGTCAAAGATCAGATAGTTGTAGATATGCAGCATTATTTCTGAGGGCTCTGTTCTGTTCCATTGGTCTATATCTCTGTTTTGGTACCAGTACCATGCTGTTTTGGTTACTGTAGGCTTGTAGTATAGTTTGAAGTCAGGTAGAGTGATGCCTCCAGCTTTGTTCTTTTGGCTTAGGATTGACTTGGCAATGCGGGCTCTTGTTTGGTTCCATGTGTACTTTAAAGTAGTTTTTTCCAATTCTGTGAAGAAAGTCATTGGTAGCTTGATGGGGATGGCATTGAATCTATAAATTACCTTGGGCAGTATGGCCATTTTCATGATATTGATTCTTCCTACCCATGAGCATGGAATGTTCTTCCATTTGTTTGTATCCTCTTTTATTTCCTTGAGCAGTGGTTTTTAGTTCTCCTTGAAGAGGTCCTTCACATCCCTTGTAAGTTGGATTCCTAGGTATTTTATTCTCTTTGAAGCAACTGTGAATGGGAGTTCACTCATGATTTGGCTCTCTGTTTGTCTCTTATTGGTGTATAAGAATGCTTGTGATTTTTGTACATTGATTTTGTATCCTGAGACTTTGCTGAAGTTGCTTATCAGCTTGAGGAGATTTTGGGCTGAGACGACGAGGTTTTCTAGATATACAATCATGTCATCTGCAAACAGGGACAATTTGACTTCCTCTTTTCCTAATTGAATACGCTTTATTTCCTTCTCCTGCCTGATTGCCCTGGCCAGAACTTCCAACACTATGTTGAATAGGAATGATGAGAGGGGGCATCCCTGTCTTGTGCCCATTTTCAAAGGGAATGCTTCCAGTTTTTGCCCATTCAGTATGATATTGGCTGTGGGTTTGTCATAGATAGCTCTTATTATTTTGAGATACGACCCATCAATACCTAATTTATTGAGAGTTTTTAGCATGAAGGTTGCTGAATTTTGTCAAAGGCCTTTTCTGCATCTATTGAGATAATCAGGTGGTTTTTGTCTTTGGTTCTGTTTATATGCTGGATAACATTTTCTGCACAACAAAAGAAACTACCATCAGAGTGAACAGGCAACCGACAGAATGGGAGAAAATTTTTGCAACCTACTCATCTGACAAAGGGCTAGTATCCAGAATCTACAATGAACTCAAACAAATTTACAAGAAAAAAACAAACAACCCCATCAAAAAGTGGGCGAAGGATATGAACAGACACTTCTCAAAAGAAGACATTTATGCAGCCAAAAAACACATGAAAAATGCTCATCATCACTGGCCATCAGAGAAATGCAAATCAAAACCACAATGAGATACCATCTCACACCAGTTAGAATGGCGATCATTAAAAAGTCAGGAAACAACAGGTGCTGGAGAGGATGTGGAGAAATAGGAACACTTTGACACTGTTGGTGGGACTGTAAACTAGTTCAACCATTGTGGAAGTCAGTGTGGCGATTCCTCAGGGATCTAGAACTAGAAATACCATTTGACCCAGCCATCCCATTACTGGGTATATACCCAAAGGATTATAAATCATGCTGCTATAAAGACACATGCACACATTATGTTTATTGCGGCACTATTCACAATAGCAAAGACTTGGAACCAACCTAAATGTCCAACAACGATAGACTGGATTAAGAAAATGTGGGACATATACACCATGGAATACTATGCAGCCATAAAAAATGATGAGTTCATGTCCTCTGTAGGGACATGGATGAAACTGGAAACCATCATTCTCTGTAAACTATCGCAAGGACAGAAAACCAAACACCGCATGTTCTCACTCATAAGTGGGAATTGAACAATGAGAACACATGGACACAGGAAGGAGAACATCACACTCCAGGGACTGTTGTGGGGTGTGGGGAGGGGGGAGGGATAGCATTAGGAGATATACCTAATGCTAAATGACAAGTTAATGGGTGCAGCACACCAACATGGCACATGTATACATATGTAACAAACCTGCACGTTGTGCACATGTACCCTAAAACTTAAAGTATAATAATAATAAAATTTAAAAAAAACTATAAATAAATTTTTGGGAATTGAGCATAAGGAGATAAGAATATAAACAATGTAAAAGAGAGTTTAAATAATATGGCAGATAGAATTAGATAGTATAACATATCTAATTGCATCTCTGAAAGGAATGAATTTTTATTAATGGAGGAAAGGAAATATTTACTGCAATCATGAGTGTGAATTCTGAGAAATGATAAAAGACATGCCACCTAAATACAGGAAACATAATACAGTCCATGAAATAAATTTTTAAAAAATTATACCTATTATGACGAAACTTGGGCAAAAAAAGATAATATGAGATCCTAAAACCAGTTAGAAAAATAAAATTAGTAAATTTGTAGATAAATTGAAATAAGCATTGTCTTTATAAATTACCTTTCTTAAATAATAATGTTTCATTATATTAAAAAATATATGACCAGACAAAAATATATGTAAATAGGAAGTGTTTTGATCTTATTTAAAACGTTTGAAGTTTTTCTATTATCCAAGTAATTAATTTTAGATTGTATTACATGTGCATGCTAAATTTTTTCAGAGCAAACACTGAAAGAGAAAAATACATAGTGAAAACAAATCAATGTATTATAAAGCAAGGAAAGATAAATGCAAGCATAAAAAGATAAATTAACATAAAGCAAAAAATAAGATGGTAGAAACACGTCCAAAAACATGAATAATCAAAATAAGTGGAAAACACTTAAATAAATATAAGTGGACAAAATCACCAGATAAATGAAAGAGACTGCCCACTATATACTAATTCCTAGAAACATCAACTAAACATATTACAGAAATGTTGAAAATAAAGGGATGAAAAAAGATGTACCAGGCAAATACTAACATGAAATGCAAGGAGTAGCTTTTTAAAGGAGATTTTTTGTATTTCACTGTAAAAATGAAGAATAGAACAAACACTTGTTTATATCCTTTAATCCAAGATCACCAGTTCTTGAGTTTTATACCAAAGAAACAATAAGATATGAACAGAATTTAATGTATAAGAATTGCCTCATAGAATTATTTGAAACAGCAAAACAACGGAAATAAACAAAATGAGTAGACATGGGAACATAAAATACATTGTGAAATATCCAAGTAATAATGCATTATGACATTATCTAATGTTTCTGAAGAACATATATTATCAAGGGAAATGGCCGCATTCTTTTCATGCCCATGGCAGACAGAGCAAACCTAAATGTGCAAGCATATATCAAGCTTCTGTAGAGTCAGGTTTCTCAAATTATCATTGACCAAAATAAGTTACATGGCCAAGGCCAAGCTCTACATCAATAATCAGGAAACAGCTGGGTGCAGTGGCTCACACCTGTAATCTCAGCACTTTGGGAGGCCAAGACAGACAGATCTCTTGAGTCCAGGAGTTTGTGACCAGCCTGAGCAACATGACAAAACTCTATCTTGACAAAAAAATATAAAAATTAGCCAGGTGTGGTGGTGCAGGCCTGTAGTCCCAGCTACTTGGAAGGCTGAGGTGGGAGGATCAGCTGAGCCCTGGGAGGTCGAGGCTACTGTGAGCCGCGATCATGCCACTGAGCTCTAGCCTGGGTGACAGAGTGACACCCTGTCTCAAAAAAAAGAAAAAAACAAAGACTAAAAAAATCAGGGAAGTAGAATCCTTTCTTTAAAATGATGGGAGGGAGTAAATATTTCTGAAAGGTAATTCCACAAACACACAACTATTAAGTGCAAATTCCACTGGCAACATTTAGTTTCATGGTAACATCTAGGTGTACAGGATACTGAAAAATACAGGTACCTAACTATATGCCCAGCTATATCATGAAAACTACAGGAATAAAGAAAACATTTTTTGGTAGAAAACTAGAAATCTCTGCCATAGCAACTCCCAAGAAATTTCAAGAATTGGTTTCATACAAACCATGCATTCTGACCATGATTTATTTCAACTACAAATACATAATAACCCAAATAAAAAAATAACCCAAAACCCATGCATATGTAAATTTGAAAATGTCCTCTACATAAGCCACAGGACAAAGAACAAACCATAATGGAAACCTTAAAATACTTAAAACTAAACAAAAATTAAAATGCTACATATAAACATCTGTGGGATGCAGTTGAAACAGTATTTGGGGAAAATTAATAGTATTAAGTACTTAAAATAGTAGAAAAGCCAACCATTAATGAGTTATGTATCAACTTAAGAAGCTGGAAAAAGAAACAAAGCATAAACTCAAAGACTATAGGCAGAAGAAGATCATAACAATGAAACTACAAAGTTATACAAGAAAAAAGCTAAACATAATGATTATAAAATCCAAAGCTTGGATCTTTAAAAGTACCAACAAAATTTATATATTTACAGGAAGAATGATGTGAGATGGGAAGGGAGGGGAAAACTGTTGGAAGGGAGGGCAAGAAATAGAATTCACAAATTAAAGAGAATATAATTATGGATCCATTTGAGATTTAAAAGATAATAAAAAATATGATAAATATTTTAAGCCAGTAAATTTAAAACTCAGATGAAATGGTCATATTCATGTAAGCATATTACTTCAGAATTTATAAAAATTGATTAAGGAAGAAATAACTTCTATTACATTACAAAGAAATCTGAATCCACAGTATAAAATCTTCCTATAAATATATAACAGTTCCAATTAGTTTTACAGAAGACTTCTACCATACATTTAAGGAATAGGTCTTCCAGGGTATAAAAATCTTTCAAAGAATAGAAGAAAGGAACTATTCCACAACTTATTCAATGATACTAAAATTATAAAAAGACAGTGACTGAACAGGAAAATTAAAGATCAATTTTATTCATAAACTAGAAGTAAGCATCCTATGAAAAAATGATTAACTAGGTCCAGTGTTATGTAACTCAAATAACACATGATGAATACATTAGTTTTATTCCAGGAATGAAAGAGAATGTTTACATTTTAAAATCCATGGCAACATTTACCACATTAAAATATTAATGGAGAAAACAGTCTCAGAAGCAGAAAATACAATACTTATTCATGATAAAATAAAATCTTAAAACTTAAACATGATAAAATTACCAATCACTTATGGTCAAAAAAATTAATATACTCATGGTAAAACACAAACTTTAAATATCAAAGGAAAACAAATTTTTTCAACTTGATAAAGAATAACCACCAAAGACAATAAATATCATTCCTTGTGTTGAAACATCAGATGCATCACCTTTAAAATCACAAATAGTATAACCACCACTATTTAACCACTTCTATTTAACTTTCTGGAGGACCTAGACAAAGCACAAATATAAGAAATACAAATAAAAATTTTTAGAATTGAAAAATGAAAGTCACAACTATTATTTTTCACAGATGATACTACTTACAAAGAAAATTCCCAAAAAGCCTATAGACAAATTATAGAAACAGGGGGTTTAGCAGAAACACTCTATTTCTGATCAACTTGTAGTAATCAATGCATATCTATACAATAGCAACTAACAAAACACATTTTTTAATTTATGCATTCCTTCAAATTTACATATTTATGGGATAATTACTATTTGCCAGGCATTTTTCTGGCACTGAGAATATAGCAGTGAATACAATTAATAAATATTCCTGCTTTCATGGGACTTACATTCTAGTGGGAAGTGATACAATGAGTTAATAAGTACAACATAGCATATGAGAGATATGTAAGATAGGCAAAAAGAAAAATTAAAGTAGGATAGAGGCCAAAGAAGTGCCAGTGAATTAGAGGCAGCATTAAAATTTAGATTGGATGGCTATGAAAAGTCTCTCTGAAAAGGGAACATTTGAGTAAAGCTTTAAATAAAGTGAGAGATGAGCCATCTGAATTATCTGAAGGAAAATAACACAGACAGAAGATAAAAACTCAAGTGCAAGAGCCTCAAGGTGGGGCATACCTACAGTGTTCTATAAATAAGTAGAATTTGTAGGAGGCTAGTGTGCCTGCAATTGAGCAAAAGATGGGAGGGTAGCAGGAGATAATGTCAGAGAGGTAAAAGGGATCTAGGTAATGTAGGGCCTCAGAGGTTATAATGACCTTACCTGTAACTCAGTAAGATGGGAGGTTACTGGAAAATTTTCAGCAGAGAAATGTCATGGACAGACTTATGTTTTAAGAAGATGACTGTGGCTGCTGTGTTCAAAAGAGACTGAAGAAAAGTAAAGACAAAAGCAGAGATCAGTTAGGAGGCTTTTGCAATAATACAAACTACAGACGGTGGCAAAAAAAAAAAAACAGAGAGCAAAAGTGCTAGTGGTAAGAAAAAATGAAAATGTAGATATTTTTTCAAAGATAGAGCCAAAATAATTTCTTTTTCTTATCAGATGTGAGATGTGAGAGAGAGAGACGTCTCAGGGATGACTCTAGAGTTTTTTGGCTAAGTAACTAAAGTGTGGAGTTTCCATTAATTAAGAAGGAGAACATGGAAGGGGAGATAATTGAAATGAAGAAATGACATTTAACTGGAGGTGTTCAGTAAGCAGTTGGATATATGAAACTAGAGTTCAGAGAAGAGATCTCAGTTGAAGATGTAAATTAAGGGATAATTAATATATAGGCAGAATTTAAAGCCATAAGACTGGATGAGATCACCTAGGGAGTGAAGACAACCAACAGAGGGTCAAGAACTGAGCCTTGAAACACCTCAGTATGCAGAGATTCGGGGGGTAGGGAGCAAACAATAGAGGCAATGAAAAATTATAGCAGTTACTTGCAATAACAAGGCCTAGGAAATGACTATGAAAGTGAGTTAAGTGGATCACTGGAGGAGAGGCTGTCAAGGAACTGAAACTTCAGAGAGTTAGAAGGATCATCCATATCAACATTTCAATCATGAAGCATTATGGAGGAATCACTTTTAAGAAAGTGACAATATCACGGGGATTAATTTTTTTAATTGACAAAAAGATGAGGTGAGAAGAGGTGCCCATAACAAAAAGGTACAATGAGTGGGCAAATCTGATGACATGAGATTCACGGAAGGGTATGTTCATGAAGGAGGGAGAACAAACTGAAAGCAGCAATGAGAAGCAAAGGGGACACTTATCTGACTTTCAGGACCTATGCTACATTTGAGTGGAGTAGAGAGAACAGTTACCCTTAAAGGTACTGTAAGATGTGATGTGTTGTTGCTCTCTCATACTGGCTTAGGAGAGCTGAGTGTGGACATCAAGTCCCAGGCTCCTTATTCAGTGAAGTGAGAAGATAGCTTAAATGGCTATGGTGTGAGTGTTTAACAGCACAGAAACTGGAAAACACTATACAAATCAAGGCTTTTGTTTTCTTCTTCCAAAGAGTTGATTGTTAAAACATTTACCAGAACCTCAATGGATGCAGGGGAAACTATCATGAAGGAAAATCTAGATTTTCATTAGCACAGAAGGTGAAGGGAACACTCATAGTAAAATATTAAAATATAAAGGACTTTTTTGTTGACTGACCTTGAATTCAATAGAGTACAAAGAAAGGGTTTGGGGAGTCAGAAGAGGGAAATATTGGGTCAAAAAAAAAGGATCCTTACGGAGGATTAGAGTTCTGGGATAAATGATTAACTGGAAGTCCTGGACTCCTTTTATGAAGACTGTAAAGAACACAGATAAAGGGTATGGGTGTTGACGAAAGGGAGGATTGGAGGAGAACAAGCCAGGAACACCTGTTGCTCAGAATTTCCCATTTGGCTCCTGCTGACAAATGTCCTGAAGATGGGCAGTCTTAGTCGATGTGCTGGTGTGCACTGTTGTTCTCTTGTCTCCTGCCAATAGTGTCCTGCAGAGGTACGGTCTTATTCCAAGTTTGAGAGTTCCCTGTCCACTGCTGCTGATGGAGGCATGGAGTTAGACAGAGGGCTGTTCTCGCACTGAGCTCATAAGCTTTCTCTTGATTTCTGTTGAAGGAGGCCTCAAAGCCAACAAAGGAACAAGCTTATTTATTTAAAAAGATATCATATACAAGAGCAAAACTATAAGGTACTTAGAATTATATTTAACAAAAACATGTACAAGATCTGCATGGGGAAAATTATAAAATTGTTATTGAAAGATGTTAAAGAATGTCCAAATATGTGGGGAGATAAACTATGTTCATTCACGCATTGAAAGATTCAATATCGAAAAGATGCTAGAATCTCCATATTAATGTATAAAAATATAAAATATTTCAATAAATGTTATGAGAATTTTTTTAGGAATTTAGCAAGCCTACTATTAAATTTATAGGGATAAATAAAGGTATAAGACTAGCTAAAACACTTCTGAAGAAGAATAATAGTAAGGTGAAGATAATTACCTTAGGATATATCCAAATATGTTAAAAACTAAAATAATCTAGAGGTATGCTACTGCCACAGGAATAAACAAACTCACCAGTGAAACATAAAAGAAAGTCCAGAAGCAAACTCATGTATGCATGGAAACTAGTTAAATAACAGTTAGAGCTGATACTTCAGACCACTGAAGAACCATATAATTGTGTTGAAACAGCAATTATCTGAATAAAACAAAGTGAAACTGGATTCCTACTATACTCTACATGAAAAATCAATTTCAAGGAAATTAAATATTTAAAATTGTAAAGCAAAATTGAAGTGATGTTCTATCCAGCCAAAGTGGTGTAGACTCAACTGTCCCCCATTCTTCCCTGGTAACTAAACTATAAACCCTGGAAATGATGCAAGAGACAATCTAAGGGGAACTCTGAAAGGTGGAAACAGGGAGGTAAAATGATCAGAGATTCCAGGACTGGAGGAAGAGCATAATGATAGGGCATTTTATCATTCACCACCCAACAGAAGAAGGTGAGCCAGCCCTGACTCCCAATCTAGCAACAAAAGGCAATGTGATCTCTAACCATAATGGAATCAAACTAGAAATCAAACCGGAAAATCTCTAAACACCTGGAAATTAAACAGCACACTTCTAAATAATCTATACGTCAAAGAGGAAGACTTGATGGAAGTAAAGTATATTCAAAACTGAATAAAAACAAAAATACAATATAACAAAATATGTGGGATTCAGCAAAAACAATGCTGAGAGGAAAATTTATAGCACTATATTCTTACATTACAAGATTAAAAAGTCAAATCAATAATTTAAGTTGTTACCTCAAAAAAGTCTAAAAGGAAGAACATAATAAACCCAAAGCTAGAAGAAGACAGGAAATAAAGATAAAAGCAAAAATCAATGAAATTGAAAATAGGAAATTAATACAAAAGTTTACAAAAAAGCTGGTTGTTTGAAAAAAAGTCCATAAAACTGATAAATTGCTATATAGCAAGACTGACAAAAATAAATGGGAGAAGAAACAAATCACAAATATCAAGAATAAAACAGTGGTATCACTATAGATCTTGCAGTTATTAAAAGAATAATAAGAGAACACTATAAACAACTTTATGCCCATAAATTTAACAACTTGGATGAAATGGAACAATTCCTAAAAAACCACAGACTACCAAAACTCAAGTAAAGTGAGATAATCTGAATAGTCATATAGGCATTAAAGAAATTAAATTTGTATTAATAATTAAAAAGCTCCCATCCAAAAAATCCCAAGTCCATATGGTTTCACTGGTGAATTCTCCCAAATATTTTAAAGAGAATCAACAACTACTCAGCAATTTAATAACATGATCAGCTACTGATCCACACAACATCTTGGATGACTCAGTGGAATTATGCCAAGTGTAACAGTCAACCCCCAAAAGTTAAATATTATATAATTCCATTTAAATAACAATCTTAAAATTAAAAAAATTACAGAAATGAAGAAAAGATTAGTGGTTTCCTGGGGTTAGGCATGGACAGAGCTAAAGGGAAATCAGTGTGGCTATAAAAGGGCAACACCAGGGATCCTCTGGCAGGCAGAACTATTCCATACCTTGATTATATCAATGTCAACATCCTAATCTTGATACTATATTATAGTTTTCCAAGATGTAACCGTTAGGGGAAACTGGGTAAAGACTGTATGGGATCTCTCTGATTTATATCTTACATATGTATGTGAATCTAAAGCTATCTCAAAGTAAAAATATTAGTTTTAAGAAATTACAGAGACAGTACAACACAGTAAAATTTAAATAATTTCTATAGATTAAAATAAAAGTATTTTATCAATGTTAATTTCTTGATTTAGATAATTATATTGGGTTTATGAAAGATAATATCTGTTTTTATGTCTGAATTGGTTGGTAAAGGAAAAAATAAACAAGAAAAATGCTAAAAAAGATATGAACATAGTACTCTGATCTTGAGATAAAAAAGGGTTTCTTAATCAAATGACAGTAAGTGCTATCATAAAAGAAAGTACTGATTAGTTTTACTACATTATAATGAAGAACTTATATTCACTGAAAAAATAATAAAGAAACAGAAAATATAAGTCACCATGTGGAGCAAGATATCCGCATTAATAGAATTGATCACAAAATTAATGTCAATTATACATTTCAAGTATACTTCAAGGGCCAACAATCTAATGGAAAAAAATTGCAAAAGATATGAACTGTTATTTCACAGAAGCTAACATATGAAAAAGAACACGTTCAATTTAATTAGTAATCAGAAAAATAGAAATTAAGACCTAGTGAGGCGACATATTTCATTTGCTTGGGAAAAATAAAAAACCCTGGCAATAATGAATACAGAGAAAGATATAGAGTAGTAGGAGCTCTCTGTGTGGGTTTATAAATATATTCAACTGGTTTGAAAAAAAAATGACACTATTTCATAAAACCCTCATCCCCAATTCCACCCCTAGGTTTGTGTCCTACAGAAAATCTTCCACTAATGCACTTGGAGACATACAAGAATATTCTTGGCAGCACTGTTTATTTCCAAGACATTGGAAACCAACTGAACATTGTAACAATAATACAAAAAAGTAAATATTGTGAAATGACCTAGAGCCACCTACAGCAACACTAAAGACTCTTAGAAACAAAAATCGAATCAAAAAAGCAAGTTGAAGACTACATATGTATTTTGTAATTTTCATTTTAAAAATATATTTTAATTTATATATTATATTCAAATATATGTGATATATTTTAACTAAAACATTAATTGAATATTATTTTTTCATTATGCTATATTTAATCTACAAATTCTTATTTTTCATAAATCAACAGTTGAAATATAGCTAATGTAAGTATTTATAATGACCAAAGTTTTCAAAATGTTGTAAATCCTCAGCATTTTTTTTTTACTGCAGTCTCAGTTATGCATTTTCAAATGATCCAGGGCTATACATGCATAATCCAAAAATAGGGAGCAGAGTTTAAAACCTAAGAATAATTAGTATCTCTTAATTACTTTTATTCTGATTCACATTTGCTTCTCTTTATGTAAGCAGAATATATTTAGTGTAATAATGTAAGTATTTCTGTTTATTTGATTTTCTACTTAGCACAGAATTATAAATATGTTGGCTTAATTCTTATCTATTTAACATGGCATGATATTATAAATAAATATTTTGGTAAATATATTTCCTCAGAGATGTTTAAATGAATTATTTCAACTGCTGAAGATATTCAACACTGTTTTTTTTTTTTTAAGAGACAGAGTCTCGCTCCATCACCCAGGATGGAGTGCAGTAGTGCAATCTCGGCTCACTGCAGCCTCTGCCTCCCGGGTTCAAGCAATTCTCTGCTTCAGCCTCCCGAGTAGCTGAGATTACAGGCACCCGCCACCACGCCTGGCTAATGTTTTTGTATTTTTAGTAGAGACAGGGTTTCATCATGTTGGCCAGGCTATTCTTGAACTCCTGACCTTGTGATCCACCCACCTCGGCCTCCCAAAGTGCTGGGATTACAGGTGTGAGCCACCGTGCCCAGCCTCAACACTATTTTCATATTATTAGTATTAAAATTCCCATTTGCATATGGTTATAGATTTCTTACCAACTTCCATATTTTCAAACTGAAAAAATGTAAAACTAAATTCTTTTTTAGAAACTCCATGTGTGATAAATAAAATTATTTAACATTTTGGTGTAATATTTACAAATCCTGCAAAATAGCACCCAGATCCTTGGTTGATGCCAGAGTCACTCTGCATTATGCAATGACACTTTAGGCAAAAAGTAATAATAATAGCTGCAAAGAAACATTCAAGAATACTGTACTAAATGCAACTAAACTCTACAATAAATGCAAAGTATCAGCACTTAAGTGGATTAGTTGAAGTGTGCCATTATCATGCCAGGGTGACATAACACAACACAATGGCATATACCATTGTATCAGAGTAGAGGAAACCTTTCTCTCCTTTTCACATTTGCATATGGTTACGTTTAAATTACCACCTATTTTATATAATAACTGGCAGGTGTTATGATAAAGATATTAAATAACATTCCATTTTTTCATTAAAGAAATCAAAATATAGAATAGCCCTAAAGAAACTGAGAGTTGTGTACAGGTTTTATGAGCACAGAAGCACTTTTAAATATGTAACAGGGGACATGCAAACATTGGAACATCAGAATTAGCCACCGTAATTCTCTAATCTCCATGTTTCTATTTGTATATAATCTGAAACAGGGAAACTATACTCACAATCAGGGAAAACTACTGGTAAATTGTTCATGCCATTGCATAATAAAATGGCTAAAGTAGTTAAAAAGTAATGAATCTGGAAGTCTTTAGCAGACATATTCAGTGTAACTTATGTCACACTTAAAAGAGAAAAATAGTATTAAAAATTAGAGATCTTTTATCTTCCCTTAGTAAATAACCTTTTCTATCGAAACAAAATTACTTGAGTCTAAATCCTGTTATAAGCACAGTGTTAGATATCTTACATATATTATTTCATTGAATACTAACAAAAAACCCTTTGATAAACATGGTATTCTTCCCAGTTTATAGAGATGGAAACATAGAAATTAGGTAATGTGCCCATGTTTGTACAGGTAATAAGTGGTAGACCTGGATCTAAAATACATATTAGGCTTCAAACTAATTCATACTCTAAAAGAATATTTGCCAAAGTACATAATACAATTTGCTAACAGATGCTAAGGTAAACAAAAAATTGATTATGATAGTTAATTTACACAAGGATAAGTTATAAGCTAAAATATTTTTTTCCCTTAACAAAATATTATGTATCATTTATTTATTTATTTTTTTGAAACGGAGTCTCGCTCCATCGCCCAGGTTGGAGTGCAGTGGCGCCATCTCAGCTCACTGCAACCTCCACCTCCTGGGTTCAAGTTATTCTCCTGCCTCAGCCTCCCAAGTAGCTGGAATTACAGGCACGTGCCACCATGCCCAGCTAATTTTTGTATTTTTAGTAGAGACGGGGTTTCACCATATTGGTCAGGCTGGTCTTGAACTCCTGATTTCGTGATCCACCCACCTTGGCCTCCCAAAGTGCTGGGATTACAGGCATGAGTCACCGCGCCTGGCCATATAATTTCTAAAGATCAAAAGGAATTAAAATAAATGGGCAAAAATGAAAACTCAGCTATAGCTTTTGAAAACTCATTCATACCTTATGAGAAAGCTGTTATTTTAATAGCTATATTGGTAGTATAAACCAAGCTTTGAAAAGCCATTTGTATATAACATGTATTATTGATTAATAAACATAAAATTAAATGATTAAAAAATAATGCATCATAAGTTATTAATGGCAATTAGAAGCTATTTTTTAAAAACTTCAGCAAAAGATATTTTTCTTATAATAAGCTCTGAATAAATGTTGCTAAACCAGCTGCTGCCTGAGCAAATAATCTAATAATTTTACTGTAGGCTTTTAAATTGCTGCTTTAAACGTTTTTAAAATCTTCTTTAAATATGAAGTTGATGTGAATATTTCCCAAAACATAAGTTATTTTTTCTTTTAACCTTTGACATTTGAATTAAGATATAAAATGTTTTAACATATTTGTTGTACATACTGCAATGTTTATGTATCCTTCCTAACATGCCTTCTGTTCCTAGCCATATGGAAATGATCTTTCTTTAATAATGTTTTTATTGTAATAAAAATGCATCATAAGTTATTAATGGCATAACATAAAACCAATTTTAGGATACAGTTCAATGGTCTTAAATGCATTTATATAACTTTCTGCAACAATTATCCTCACCCATCTCCTAGAATTCTTTTCATTGTAAAACTGAAACTCTATACTCATTAAACAGTAACTCCTCATTCCCTCTCCCCCAGCCCTAACAAACATCATTCTACTTCTGTATTTATAATTTTCACCACTCAAAGTACCTCATATACACGGAATCATATAGTATTTGTCTTTCTGTTATTGGTTTATTTCACTTAGCATAATGTCCTCAAGCTTCATCAATGTTGTGGAATTTGCTAGAAATTCCTTCCTTTTTAAGGCTGAATAATATTCCATTGTATGTATATACCACATTTTGCTTATTCCTTCAGCTGCCAATGAACACTGAATTGTCTCCATGTTTCAGCTACTGTGAGTAACACTGCTATGAACATGGGTGTAAAATATCTTTTTAACATGCTGCTTTCAATTCTTTTGTGTATATAGGCAGAAGTGCAAACTGTGAGATCATATGGTAATTCTATTTTTTATTTTTTGAGGAACTGTCATACTGTTTTCCCATAGTGACTATACCACTTTACATTCTGCCAATAGTGAACAATGGTTCCAATTAACTTATGTCCTCACCAGCTTTCTTTTTGTTTTTAATGGAAACCACCCTTATTAGTCTGAAGTGATACCCTACTGCAGTTTTGATTTGTATTTCCTTAATGATTAATGATGTTAAGCATCTTTTCATGTACTTTACCATTTATATATCTTCAATCTAGAAATGTGTTATTAAAGTCCTTTTTTGGATTGGACTTTTTGTTGTTGTTGAGTTTTAGGAATTCTCTATATATTCTGTATATTAATTCCTTGCCAGATATATGATTACAGATATTTTCTCCCATTCTATTGGTTGCCTTTTTACTCTGATGACAGTCTTTCGATGCCCCAAATTTTAAAATGTTTATAAAGTCCAGTTTTTCTATTGTTGCCTGTGCCTTTTGTGTCATATCTAAGAAATCATTGTTAAAATCAATGCCATGATACTTTTGTCCTATATTTTCTTCTGAGAGTTTTATAGTTTTGTGTCTTATATTTAGGTCTTTGATTATTTTGAGTTAATTTTTGTATATGGTATTAGTAAGGGTCCAACTTTATTATTTTGCATGTAGATACCCAGTATTCCCAGCACAATTTGGTAAAAAGACTGTCTTTCCCCATTGATTGGTCTTGGTACTATTGTCAAAATCATTTGATCATATATGTGAGGGTTTATTTCTGGGCTGTTTAGTCTATTCCATTGGTCTATATGTCTGTCTTTATGCCAGTACCATACTGTTTTGATTACTGTAGCTTTGCAGTAGTTTAGAAATAAGAAAGTATGAGTCTTCCAAGTTTGTTCTTCTTTTGCAAGATTGTTTGGGCTAATCAGTGTCCCTTGAGACTATACGAAACTTAGGATGGGTTTTTATGTTTTTGCAAAAAAAAGGTCTTTGGGATTTTGATAGAAATTGTGAACATAGGATATGTTTACATTTATTTATGTCTTCTTTAATTTCCCTCAGCAATGTTTTTTAGCTTTCATTGTACAAGTCTTTCATCTCTTTGACAAATTCCTAAGTACTTTATTCTTTTGACACTACTTTAAATAAAAATGCTTTGATAATTTCCTGTTCTGATTGTTTATTGTTAGTGTATAGAAATACAAATGATTTTGTGTTGTAATTTGGAGTCTGGAAATCAGATTCTCCTCCTTCCCCAGGGTTTGCTGGGTTTTTTACTATTGTTTGTGTTTATTTATTTTTTAAAAAAATTTATTGTTATGGACTGTCTCTGGTCAAGGATCAGTAACCTTACTGTTTTCTCAGGACTTTTCTGAGCCTCCACCTATCCCCAGGCTTGTGTGGTCACTTTCTAATTTTCCCCATATATGCAGTTGCTTCTGAATGTCATAGACTTTAATGTTTGGCTCCCCAAAGTGGGGAATGAGAAAAACGAAGGTGGGAAAAGGAGACTTGGCCCTTTAAGTCCCTGGAAATCACTTCAGCTAGAGAGGGAGACAAGGGTGAATAATGGAGTAAGATAAAACAACAATTGCTATAACCCTCTTTGTCTGCACCTCTATGATAAAAAGCAGTAGTTAGAGATAAGAGCACAGATCCCTGATATTTGCAGGACAGGATGCTTTTTGCCCACCCAGGCTCCTGCAAGGTACTCCTGGAATTTGTGTGCAGCTGCCTGCCACAGAGCTAGGGTGGCTGAAGGTAGGTGCTGATATACTAAGAGTTGAAATTGACCCAACTTAACTATAATTTACTGTCCAATCCTTCCTGTGGACATTGAAAGACTTCAACAGACTCTAGACTTTCCAAATCATTATATCAGACAGATTTTGCTAGTGCCATTGTTATCTAGATGAGGAGGCATCCCTGGTGCTTCCCACTCTGCCACCTTCCCATAATCCTCCCTTCTATGTTTTCTTACTAGATCTTTATAATATTTTAAAACACCATTTCCAGCAGAAACCCAGAAGGGGTATTAGGGATATAAATATGTTTACAGATAGAAACAAAACAATCTAAATATTTTTTCACTAGGGAAGAATTTTCTTTTAAAAGAGCATGCATGGCCGGGCGCGGTGGCTCACGCCTGTAATCCCAGCACTTTGGGAGGCCGAGGCGGGCGGATCACGAGGTCAGGAGATCGAGACCATCCCGGCCAAAATGGTGAAACCCCGTCTCTACTAAAAATACAAAAAATTAGCCGGGCGTGGTGGCGGGCGCCTGTAGTCCCAGCTACTTGGGAGGCTGAGGCAGGAGAATGGCGTGAACCCGGGAGGCGGAGCTTGCAGTGAGCCGAGATCCCGCCACTGCACTCCACACTGCACTCCAGCCTGGGCGACAGAGCGAGACTCTGTCTCAAAAAAAAAAAAAAAAAAAAAAAAAAAAAGAGCATGCATTTCATTCCAACCCAAAAAAGACTAAGAATTTGGGCAAAAAAAGGATGGAAGAAACAAGTTAGCAGCCCCTTATCTTTTCTAATTTCCTTTCTATTTTCTTAAAATACTTTTAATAATAGTGCTTTTTCACCTTTCCTGCACTGTCATTGAATATATAGGTCAAAATACAAGGTGAAAGGTAGATTTTTAATATATTACAAATATTATAATCTAGCTCCAATTTAACTCTACAAGGAGTCATTAAAGTAATGAATTTGGACTACAGTGGATACCATTTGATCCTTTTTTTCCCTTCTACAACAAAAAAGGAAATTCTATGTATAAATATTACCTTTTAAAACTATTCAAATCTGTATGGCACTCTTCCATTCTGCTGTTCCTTAAAATAATATGTTGACACACTGAAAGTTTCACATGTATAATCATCATTCTTAGTCTCAATAAAGCAGTAACTTTTTTCTCTTAATTTTGACTTATGAGATTGCAAAAACCATCCAATTAATTGCATAATGGCTCTTATTTCCTTTAGGATAAAATATATTCCACAGGTAAAATGAAATTATGTTGTAATATTTAGTTATCTTTACAAAGACTAATCCACTGACTATTTTAGTAATCCACTGATTGGCTAAAAAACTTTCAGAAGAAAATGGCTTCCCTAATGTTCACAAAAATTGTTCCCCTAATTCAAGAGAAAATAGTTTAAACCATAAGAATTGACTTTAAAATGTAACCAACTTTGTAAAATATATAAGTAAAATGTGATTTATAATGTTATAAAAGATATATAAGAATTATCATGGAATATCAACAAGCTAGATACCCAACTGGCTTGAGAAGTAAAGATATACAATTGTCTAAGGAAGATTAGACGAGCTTATAGAGGCATGTTTTAGGGAAAGTTATCAATCCATGAAACATAGAATGAACTATTGAAAGACAGCCTGCAAGGTTGTGAATGTAGCCCATGGAGACCAGATTTAGAAGGATGGGAGTGAGAATTAAAGGAAAATGGGGAAACTGCAATAGGAGGTTAGGGATAGTTTCAGGAGACCTCTCAAAATCTCTGCTAGATGCCCTCCTAAATCCAACCAAAATATATATATATTTAATCTAAGTTTGTTTTGCAAATGAAATTTCAAGACAAGACTCTTAGGCCCTTTCCAGTAGGATCTGAACCCATGCCCCACTCCTAGGAGAAATTCACAACTTATTAAATAATATGGAAAAAAGGCATCAATGGGAGTTTGGAAGACATTGGGAAGAATACGATTTAAGACAAGGCCACAATTCTGAACTGAATAAACTAGTAAAATGTAGATACTATTAGAAGACATTTCAAAGATGAAGAAATTAATGTTTGTGAAATATGATAGTTATTTGTGAATTGTCATGTTATTTTTATCTCAAAACATAAATTGCTGTAGATGACTCCAAATATTGTTATAAAGTTATAGTATAATAATATAAAAATTTAAAGATATCAGCAAAGAAGTGAAATTTGAAAACATATTATAGGAAAGTCATTTTAGGAAAACCAACAGTATTTTAGTACATGAATTTTATGGAAAAATAAATTTATTCTGAGTTACAAGAAGTCATACGTGTGTGTGTGTGTGTGTGTGTGTGGACAGAGATGAAGAAATCTGAGACAACGTACTTAAAAATCTTAAATCTTCATATTTCCCTGAACTCTCTGGCCCTGCAAAAATGGCCTGCTTCTCCCTTTTAGAGACGAGCACACCTCTCTTCACCAAGGGCAATTCAGAGTCTTCTGTCTTATGAGACAATACATGCCATTCTTACAATATATTCCCCACCCTCCTTACTGGCCAACAGACCAAAATTCATTTAAATAAAAATAAAACCTATTCAGGTAAGTAATGACTCTGTTATAAAGATGAAAAGAACTACTTCCAAGGAACTGCAGGAACTAGCCAACATGTACCTATGGGTTCCACGACAGTACATGAAGAATTGGGTCCTGAGGTCATTGAGGTAAGAGAGGTAGAATATAAAGTTGGACAAGGCAGAGTTTATCAATATGAGAGTACTCTTCTATAACACAGAACTTAACACCCTAGAAAGGAAACTGGTATTTATGTGAAGCTAGGATGGCTCTTTGAAGCTTAGGGGAAAAAGTGATTACCAAACTAAGTGAACTAGAAAAGCCAATGCTACATTCCACAACAAAGGAGGATCTAAATACTCAGAGAAGTGAGCCTGTGAGAGTGGATACACCATAAAAGGCCAAAAATCCCATGAGATAACCATGTCCACCGGATGACCAGAGAATACGTCCACTAGGAAAGCAGTAAGGTGAGAGGAGCAGCAACATCATTGAGAAGCTCAGTTGTGGTTCTCTAAGATGATAGTAGAGAGTATGTTATTAGAGAACTACACTCCCTGAAAGCAATTTAGATTATAGACTCCTGAGAAAGCAGAGGCCAGCCAGAAGCACGTAAATGTCAAAAGCAAGATGGGCACAATTATGGAAAAGAACAGCAAGGTGGTAAGGGCTATCAGGATATCCTGAACCATAGAACGCTAGGAAGATAGTCAATAGAACATAGAATCTTTAAAGGGCTGAAAGATGGGAAGCCAACAGTGGTAATGTTCAATCTGTACGACCAGAAGAAACAGGATGGATGATCAGGATACTGAGAGCAGCAACCTTGTAAAAAGTCACTATCTCTTGCCTGGTTTCCAGATCTTAGCCAGTTTTCACACACAGAACTTCCTGACGAAAGAAGTTCAGTCCCTATGAAAAAGGATCCTCCTACACCATAGCAAGTACATACAATGATTCCTCCATTCCTTCCCCAGAGGCTTAGGTAACAATACACTACAGAAAAAGAAAGACCCAGACATTGTGAAACTGTTGACACAGGGTCTAGCATGGCGTTGATACTCAGGGACTCATAGTTTTATAACTCTCACCCTCCACCATCTTAGATTTGAGGCTGAGGCATATAGGGACTAAGTAATAAATATAGCTTGCCCAGGTCTGGCTCACAGTAAGATGGAATCCATGAACCCATCTGATGGTCATTTAACAGATTCCAAACAAGTTGAAAGAACATACTTGGTATTTTGCAGAACTTCCACATTAATTCTTGACCTGTGGGATATATGATACTATGGTGGGAAATGCCAAGTAGGAGACTTGAAAACTGCTCCTTTCCCTGTCAAGTTCATAAAAAATAATACTGCATATTGGGGAGGGTGGTGGAAAATGGCACAGATTTAAACAAAGGATGTAGATGTGGATGTTCTCATCATATTTCCATATAATTCCCTAGTCTAGTTTCTATAATAAACAAAGATCCTGGAGGATGACAGGAGACTACTGCAAACTCAACCAAGTAACAGCCTAAATTGCAACTGTTCTACCTGATATGGTATCTTTGCAACAGCAGATTAACATGTACTCAGGCACATCGTGTGTAGTCATTGATCCGGCAAATGTGTCTTCTCATAAAGTGAGATTAGAAGCAATGTGCATTCAGTTGGGCAGACAACAGTACATGTTTATGTTCTTGCCAAGGTTAACATTCCACTCTAGTCATAAAATAGTCTGAAGGGAACTGTACTCTCTAGAAATATTATAGAACATCACTATTTATTGTATTATGTTAATCAGAATGGATAAACATGATGTTTACTAATAATAAGCTTTGTGTGTTATGATTATAGGCAAAAGGAGCTAGTTGGTGCAAACAGGACAGTAGTTCATGTCTTATATGTTTTGACTATCTACAGATGTACTCAAGAGAAGACACAGTTTGGAATGCCAGGAGAATAAGGTCCTACAAACTTGTAATAGGAACCCACTGCTGCCTCTGAGTGTATCCACCATATGGTATACACTCAAGTGGCACACACTCTATTGGAGTGTATATCATCATTCAAGAGGATTCATATAATCTTAATATACACTGATTAAGACCTAGAACATTCAAAACAAATGAACAACTTATTTAGACATCCAAGACAACCCATAAGAACCTTAGCTTATTTTTGCACTTCATTATGAGAAGAACAGGAACAAGTAGAGCTAGAAGATAAGTCAAGAGGGGTCAGCAAGATACTAAATACTCTGCAATCTTAGCATCATGTTGGGGGATATATTTCTATAATAATAGGAATAATATCAGCAACAATAATATCTTTGTATTTACATAATGCTTTTATAATGTATAAAGTGTTTATACATATATTATCCAATATGTCACTTACTTTTATAAAAGGAGGTTGCCAGATCCAACAAAAGAGAGACAGGAGTAGAATCTTACTGTCCAAACATTGCTCAAGAATTCAATCAGAAAATAATGGGGTACAAGATTGAGAGAATCATGTAAAGATCTGGAACATATGGGCTGTGCCATATGTGTTATCTTTACTGAAGCAGATAAAAATACCCTCTACTACTTGTTATGAGGCTACTGATTTGGTGAATGTTTTATTCTCTCCTCCCATCTGTGATGGTAGTTAATCCAAATTGCCTTTACATGACAAAGGCAGCAGAAAACTTTCTACTCCTTTGCCTCGGGGCCATATAAACTCCCCTATTCTCTGTCAAACTAAAGTAACCTTGACCATCTTTATATTCCACTATATTGCTAAAATCCCCCTAAATGGATCTGATGAGCAGGAAGTGGCAAGTACCCTAGATGTCTTAGCAATATGCTTGTGCCAGAGAAGAAACAAACACCAAAGAAATTCTGAAGCCTGGAACATGGTAAGATAATGCTTCTAAATAAAAGGCAAAGTTACTGTATCTTTTGTCCTCCATGCTGAATAAAGAACATAGTATAAATGATGTTTGGACCCCAAAAAGTTTACAACATGTCCAGGATATAAGACAATTCTCCTTGGGCCTTATGGCCCAGCAGACCCAATGGTGCTCAAACTATCTGTAGAAAATGAAGATACTATAGGAAGCCTATAACAAGCCCCAACAGAGGGCCACAGTACTGACCTCCAGACTTCTGGAGAAAAGGCATGTTCACCTTGTTGATAACTACTTTTACATATTCTCTATTAAGGGTTAGCTCCTACTATGTTCATGAGCTCTGACAGATACTGAGGACTTATAACACCAAGCAACTAAGTAAACTGAATTGCTCATCATAAACCAGGAGGTCCTCAAAGACATGAGTCTGGACATGTAAAAGCAATTCATCTTAAAAAAGGAAGAATTATAATTTAAATTGTGCTAGAGAACATCAGAAAAGCACAAGTAAGTTGCATGAGCAGGTAAACTTCCAAACTTCCACTCTTGTTTCAATGTCACATGTCCCTCAACTATACCTACGGCTTTGTGAGATACTCACCATGACCAGCTATCAGAGAATGGATTAAAAAAAAAAAACTAGCCTGATTTCCATACAGGTTTGTACAATGTGCCACCCAAATTCAGCTATAAGTGGACAGTCACTGGATTACAAGTCTTCCAATGGGAGCGCTGAAAGACAGTGATGAATGAAAAGCCTTCAGGTGAACAGAAATCTTGGCAGTATATCTGATCACCTATGTTGCCTAAAAACATAAATGGTACAGCGGATACATCTATACCTATTTATTGGCAGTGGCTATCAGTCTGGCTGACTGGTTAGGGGTTTATAAAAGAATAAGGTTGGAAATTCTGAGATAAGATCTAAGGAAATGGTTAGTGGCTACATCTCTCACAATAGGCAAAAGTGTGGAAATATTGGTGTCCCATGGGTATACTTATTTTAAAAAATCCACTGCAAAACAGGTTTTCAATAATCGGGTGGATCACATGCCTTATCTTGTGAATACTGGCTATTTTCCTTGGCTCTCCCTCTGTATGCTCAATAGGATCATGTAGCCTTGTGTTAAAGATGAAGACTACGTATGGAATCATTAACAAAGGCTTCTCCTAAGCAAAGTTTATTCAGCTACCATCCAGTGCTGAATGTCCAGCTTACCAACAGCACAAACCAACATGGAACCGTTGTTATGGCACCGTACCATGAAAAACCTGCCAGCCACCTACTGGCATACTTATTATGTTGGACCATTTTAGAAGGGTCAGTGTTTTTTTATTTTCACTGGACAAAATATGTGTTCATTGTATCATGTTGGGTTCACTACAGAAATCTGATTGTAAGTCTTCCTCCAAGCCTTCCCTAAAGGAACAGCAGTCATTTACATGGAGTACTCTTTTGCTTCATACCTTTCAGATATAATTAGAAATTGGCTCTGAATAAATGCCCTTTCCTAGAGACCCCAAAACACCATCTAACAGCTAAATTAGGGGCTTATCATAGCCTTCTGATCAACAGTGTTGTGGTATAAGTCTATTTTACGGTAAGCCCAGTGGATTTATGGACCCATTCCTTCATTGTTTCCCTGGCTTCTGATTGTATTCTTGAAATAGATATATTAGTCAATTAGTAAAATCTTACAACCAGGAAAGAGGCACAATGCCTAGTGGGCCTATTTTGATTTTGCAGGCAACCACATTCTTCATTGGGGTAGGTAACTCTGGCCCATTTATCGAGTGACCCGAAGGGCTGCCAGTTTTGAGTGAGGTCCAGAACAGGAGAACGCTCTGAAACAGGTCCAGGCTGCTGTGCAAGCTGCTCTACCACTGGGGCCATATAACCCAGCAGATCCAATGCTGCCTCCATAGGTGAATCACAGCGGAGGCCTCTTGGATTATGGAGCAAGGCCCTGCCATCTTCTGCAGATAACTACTCTCCTTTTGAGAGACAGCTCTTGGCCTGTTACTGGGCTTCGTGGAAACTGAATGTTTGACTATGGGTCATCAAGTCACCATGCAACCTGAACTGCCTGTCGTGAACTGGATGCTTTCTGACACATCTAGCCATAAACTGGGTCATGCATAGCAGCAGTCCTTCATCATATGAAAGTGGTGTATGTGTGATCGGGCTCAAGCAGGTCCCGAAGGCACAAGTAAGTTACATGAGGAAGTGGCTCAAATGTCCATGGTCTCCATTCCTGTCACCCTGCCTTCTGTCTCCCAGCTTGCACTGATGGCATCATGGGGAGTTACCTATGATCAGGTGACAGAGGAAGAGAAGACTAGGGCCTGATTCATAGATGGATCTGCACAATATGCAGGCACCATCCGAAAGTTGACAGCTACAGCACCACAGCCCCTTTCTAGGACATCCCTGAAAGACAGTGATGAAGGGAAATCTTCCCAGTGGGCAGAACTTAGAGCAGTGCAACTGGTTGTGCACTTTGCATGGAAGGAGAAATGGTCAGATGTGTGATTATATGCTGACTTACGGCTGCAGCCAATGGTTTGGCTGGATGGTCAGGGACTTAAAAGAAGCACGATTGGAAAATTGGTGACAAGGAAATTCAGGAAAGAGGTACGTGGATGGACACCTCTGAGTGGTCAAAAACTGTGAAGACATTTGTATTCCGTGTGAGTGCTCACCAACTGATGACCTCAGCTGAGGAGGATTTTAATAATCAAGTGGAAAGGATGCCCCGTTCTGTGGACACCACTCAGCCTCTTTCCCCAGCCACCCCTGTCATCACCAATGGGCCCATGAATAAAGTGGCCATGGTGGCAGGGATGGAGGTTACGCATGGGCCCAGGAACATGGACTTCCACTGACCATGGCTGACCTGGTTATGGCTACTGCTGAGTGCCCAATTTGCCAGCAGCAGAGACCAACACTGAGCCCTCAATATGGCACCATTCCTTGGGGTGATCAGCCAGCTACCTGATGGCAGATTGATTATACTGGACCTCTTCCATCATGGAAAGGGCAGAGGTTTGTCCTTACTGGAATAGACACTTACTCTGGATATGGGTTTGCCTATCCTAAAAGCAATGCTTCTGCCAAGACATCATCTGTGGACTCACGGAATGCCTTATCCACCATCATGTTGTTCCACACAGCATTGCCTCTGACCAAAGCACTCACTTTATGGCTAAAGAAGTGCAGCATGGGGCTCATGCTCCTGGAATCTACTGGTCTTACCATGTTTCCCCATCATCCTGAAGCAGCTGGATTGATAAAACCGTAGAATTGCCTTTTGAAGTCACAATTACAACACGAACTAGGTGACAATACTTTACTAGGCTGAGGCAAAGTTCTCCAGAAGGTGTGTATGCTCTGAATCAGCATTCAATATATGGTACTGTTTCTCCCATAGCCAGGATTCATGGTTCCAGGAACCAAGGGGTGGAAGTGGAAGTGGCACCACTCACCATCACCCCTAGTGATCCACCAGCAAAATTCTTGCTTCCTGTTCCCACAACATTGATCCTGCTGGCCTAGAGGTCTTAGTTCCAGAGGGAGGAACGCTGCCATCAAGAGACACAACAATGATTCCATTAAACTGAAAGTTAAGATTGCCACTTGGACACTTTGGGCTCCTCCTACCTTTAAGTCAACAGGCTAAGAAGGGAGTTACAGTCTTGGCTGGGGTGATTGGCCCAGACTATCAAGATGAAATCAGTCTACTACTCCACAATGGAGGTAGCAAAGAGTATGCATGACTACAGGAGATCCACTAGGATGTCTCTTAGTATTGCCATGCCCTGTGATTAAGGTCATTGGGAAATTACAACATCACAGTCTGGGCAGGACTGCATATGGCCCAGACCCTTCAGGAATGAAGGTTTGGGTCACTCCACCAGGAAAAAATCCACAACCTGCTGAGGTACTTGCTGAAGGCAAAGGGACTACAGAATAGATAGAACAAGGTAGTAATCAATACCAGCTACAACCACATGACCAGCTGCAGAAACGAGGACTGTAATTGTCATGGGTATTCCCTCCTTCTTTTGTTAAAACCATGGTTGTACATGTATACACTGTACTAAGAATATACCTTCGTTTTATTTCCTTTTTCCCTTATCATGTGATATAAGGATTTACTGACTTCACATCAACATTTAAGTATTGTTAACTTTATGTAATAGTATTTGAGTTGGGGACTGATGCATTTCTGGTTGTACGAAGGATAGTTGTTTTATGTTAGGCATAATTATGACCTTATTATTGTCTTTATTTGAAGATTATGTATGATCTCAGCAGATATGTATGGGTTCAAGTTGACAAGGCGGGGACTTGTGATGGTTAATACTGTCAACTTGACTGAATTGAAGGATGCAAAGTATTGATCCTGGGTGTGTCTGTGAAGGTGTTGCCAAAGGAGATTAACATTTGAGTCAGTGGGCTGGGAAAGACAGACCCACCCTTAATCTGGGTGGGCAACATCTAATCAGCTCCTAGTGTAGCTAGGATATAAAGCAGGCAGAAAAATGTGAAAAGACCAGACTGGCCTAGCCTCCCAGCCTACATCTTTCTCCATGCTGGATGCTTCCTGCCCTCTAACATCAGACTCCAAGTTCTTCAGTTTTGGGACTCGGACTGGCTCTCCGTGCTCCTTAGTTTGCAGACAGCCTATTGTGGGACCTTGTGATCGTGTGAGTTAATACTTAATAAACTCCCCATATATATCTTATTAGTTCTATCCTTCTAAAGAAAAAAAAAAAAAAATATATATATATATATATATATACACATCCTATTAGTTCTATCCCTCTGGAGAGCTCTGACTAATACAGTGCTCATCAGGATAAAAGCTTTCTGATTTTGCCAAGTTCAAAGAACTCTAAGCTATCATAAGGTATCTCAAGTCCAGTAACAACTCTTCCATTCGTCTTTAATTTCTCCCTCCTTGCACCTTCAACCTTGCCAGTTAGCAAACTAGGGAAAAAGTAAGGGAAAAAGTAAGAGGAAAAAGTAAGAGGGAAAAAGTAAGAGGAAAAGATTTACGAACGGCCACACACCACCACCATTACAACCCCTTCCACACTGCAAATGTCTAGCCCAAAGAAGTCCTCAGCTGAGGGTTAGGTGAAAATTTAACTTCATGTTAAATGTGGAGCATTTGTGTTACATAAAGCTGGACATATTTAATTACTGATTTGAGATTGTGTTTTGCAACCAGAGTAAACACACACTTGACTAATAATTTCATGAAGCCTGAATGAATTATCACCCTAGGGTAAGGGTTGAATTACCTCCACTGAGCAGCTTTAAGAGTCAGTAGGTCACATAAATAAAGTTGTTATTATGATTACACCTCACTGTTCTAGTTGTTCAAAATACTAGTTTACTGGTACATTGTATTGTATATGGTATTTTTTACTTCCCAACAAAATAACAAGAATCAGACCAACAGCAATTATTGCTATCCTCTAAGACATTAAAACAATGCCTGTAAAATTCTGGTGAAAAATTAATTTAAAACTAGAACTCTAATTCCAGCAAAATATCAACTCAGTGTAAGGTAGAACAAGAATATTTCAGATGTATGAACTTAGATCATTTATCTCCATTGGCCCTTTTTGAAAATTACTCAAGGAGATAATCTAGGAAAACAGAAAAAGCAATCTATGAAGGAAAATATGAGAATACATAACAGGGGCAGCTGAGTGTAAGCCAATGAAGTAGAAGAGAGCGACTGTTTATAAAAGAGAAATCTTTAAATACAGTCCTATGCACTTCAGGTATTCTCCTTCCTCCTCTACAGTTCTAGTTAAATTTGCAATGTCTGCAATAAATTACATTTACTTAAACATAATCCATTTAAAGGCTGTTTATGGGATTAAATGTTAGTATTAATTTACAGACATAGCATAGAAAATAGAATTAAGACTATAGAACAAATGTAAATGTTATCAATTATGACAACATACATAATAATATAATTCAAATCAAGTCAGTAAAGTGCTCTAAATGCCTCTTTGTTACGGCGGAGTCAATAGATATCATGTGAAGTGAATTATTAAAAAAATAGAAACAGAACTCAGTCATTTGTTATAATAATAACAACAAGAAAATTAAGAGAAATACTAGTAAAAATGATTACTCAGTGAAGGTGAGAAGGATTCACCTTATTTTACACTTTAGCCCTTTAATATGACCTATGTTTTCTACCATGCTGTAGGTATTACGTTAAATATCAGAATGCAACACCATAAAATAATATACTATGCATAAATATGCAATGTACTTTTCCTATATTTTAGTATCTTTTTGTCCCATAAAAAGTCAACCTTGCATTATTAATCTAAACTCTTATAAGCAGTAAGCACTGAGTGAATGAATCAACAAATCACTTCTAAGTATGACTTACTACCTGAAAGACAATACTTATACCGTTAGAAGATGAAAATGTTTCTGATGACAATCACCTCCATCATTCCAAAAATCCTTAAATCTGATGTGAGTCTACCTCACATACGATAATCTATAATTATGATAGAAAAACAACAAAACACTAATCTGAAAAAGCACAAGATTATAATAAAAAGCTTATTATAACAAAAAAGTGATTAGTTTTTATTTTATTGTATAAATATTTTATACATTGGATTCTGGTATTGTATAAATATTTTATATTTATACAAATTTATAAATTTTATATTTTATATTTATACAAATTTATAAAAATTCATTGTATAAATATTTTATACAATACCAGAATCCAATGCATGTTTTAGAGAGAAAAAAAATTATTGGCATTACCTAAGTAAATGCTATTATTTGAATTCATACAAATCTATTCTTCTTCTAGAATTACTAAGAAGCTATTATAATTGTAAATATTTTTATTTTAAAATAAGTGCCAGATATTTTAGAACTCTAAGGTAACAACTGCCTTACAAGAAAATCCATTACCTGAGCTAGACTTTTATGTAATTTTCAAAACAATAAACTAAACTCTTCACAGGTTTTATGTAATTTTCTTCATTTTTGATCTCTTTGACCAACCATTTTTAATACCATTTTCTTTAATCACTGGCAAAGATTTAAACTACCAGTCTGATTACAAAGTGAAGGTACTCAAGATATAAAGAGATTGTTAAACGGAGCATAATGCTATTTCATTCTACCTTTAAAGAGACTAAGTAAAGTCTGACGTTACATTTTGAGAAAAGATATAACAAGATATGACCTGGGAGTGATTTCTTTTAGACAGAGGTAGTTTCAAGCAGAAAAGTTAGCAGGTGAGCAGACATGATCATGATTATGTTGGGATAGGTGGCAGAGTGATCCACTGAGCTGTCTCTGCTACTAATAAGCCTGTGTCCCTGAATTAACTACTTACTAGTAACATTTGGATACCTCCACTGTCCATGTATAAACCAAGCAGCCCGGAATATATAACCTCTAAATTCCTTTTCCGGTAAAATAATGATACCATATGAGTGAATGGATCTAAAGATCTGAGAGTTAAGTATGACTTAATGCAAACAAAAACAAATATCATACCTTTGTATTGCCTTTCATCTTTGTTTTACATTTGTTTTGTTCCCTGGCTTCACGAAGACCTTTCTGAGTAGGACCTTCTGGTGCATTTTCTTTTTCACGACTATGATCAACTACAAGATAATATAATTTATTCTTAATATTTGCACTGTTTATCGGTATAAAATGATTGCAACCAAAAATATGAAAACCAAAACCTCAATGATGCATGTATTTTTAAAAAATTCATTAAATTATTGATACCCAAACCATACCAAATGCTTTATGTGTGGTCTCAAAATTCAGTTCCCAAAAATGCAGAGATGCATTACTACAAGGTTAATTAAATACATGGTGAGCCAGTTACAGAGCACAGTTATGACATATCCAAATTCCTGTTATCACAAGGCTTTGTGTGTTTATAAACAGAGTTAAAGATGGTGGAGGAGAGAATGACAAGAAATGACAAAACTTCCCACATGAAACTAGATAATAAATATTTTTATTATAAAAAGAATATTGTATTAATAAAATATTATTGTCTATGCTTCACTATGTTAAGGACAAAAAGGAAAAACACAGGGTAATATTCAAAATAGTTGTAACATTGGTCTCCTACTTCTCATGGACATAATGAGCAGTCTTAATGGAATCATTTGAGAGTGGGGAATTGACAGAAAAAGTCTCTCACATTTTTCTACATATAATACATACACATATATAAGTACACATATTTCCACTTGTATTTCTAAACAGTAAGTTGATTGCAAAAAACTAAGGTTATAATCACTAACACAAATAAACAACTAAACGTTACAAATTATAACACCAGATTTATAATAGAGAAAAGATGATGAACAAAGAAATGTCTGGATGATTTCAATGACAAGGCTCTCTTAAGAAATCCTGAGATTATAAAGGCAGGGAAGAAAATGGCTGGCATTTATTTTATTTTATTTTCTGACTAATTTTTTCTATTCGATACCAGTTCTAGACAAAGGAGAAAATCCTCAAAATAACTCCCACAATAACGTTAAAAAATGTTCCATAACCCCACGTTACATGAAAGTACTTGAGAGACCTGGGTGTCCAAACTGCCTGTCCTCCCCGAAGGTGCTAAGCTAGAGTCCCACAGCATCTAGGATACTGAAGTCTAGAGGAAAGGCAACAATTACAGCTTGTTGAGATTAAGGGAAAATATTTACTTCTGCTTCTCTTTTATTATATTTTCCCCTTCAAATTCCAGGGGTGTCAACCTGATAATAATTAAAAACAATAACTAACATTCATGCCTCATTGATCTTTTACTATTATAATGTCCACTATTCTAAACAACTCATAGGTACAATTTTATGCAATTATGTAAATAATCTTGTGAAGGTCACACTACCTTTTGTTCCCATTGTATATGAGAAGGGGAATGCATATAGTAATATCAGAGGAAAGAAAAGAGAAATCAGTAGGGAGAGAAACTCAAGAATCCAACAGATAATTCCAGGAATATAAGCAGATCTCATGTAGCATGCAAGACATTGCTAAAGGCCACTTCATCAAAGAAATAAAATTAAAAAGCAAGTAAACAAACAAATATGGTAGTAATTACAAAAGTGGAAAATCCAAAAGGGCATGGTTTATGTGTATACATTGTTGCTCTACAAACAAAATGGAAAATACACACTTTAATAAAATTTTAGGACAGTATTCAACATTTAAAACCAAAACTTAGGAATAAACATTGCAGAATGTACAGGGTACTGGCAGAAAAAAAAATGTTTTTCAAGTATTTCTCAATGTAGCGAGAATAAATATGATTTCCACTCTCCAGCAAATAAGCATCACTTTTACTTACACAAAAATTTACAGAACAAATGAAAGGCACAGACAATAAAGTCTGTATCACATTCAGTGTTAAATGCATGTAATTCTCAGATTCCATATAGCACTTCTCAATGTTGAGTAATATCCCAGCAAAGTCTTTGTCTCTATCATAGCTTCTCATGGCTGTCATCTAATGCTTATTAATGACAAAGGCTATGGTACCAACAGGTACTGTGCAGTTTTCCAAATTTTACTTAGGTAAAGTCAACATTTTAAGGCATGCATACTTTCTTGAGATAAAACAAACAGCAAATAAACAAACACACTTTCATTTATAGAAATTCTATTTATTGTACCTTCCAGTGCTAAATTTTACCCACTCAATTGTTCCTTCATGTGTGTACACATTTAATCAATGTTAACATGTTCAGGCTCTTGGATAAATATCAGAAAGACATAAATACCATAATTTAACAAATATTTATTGAGCACTTACTTTGTGCCACTCCCTAACTTCATGCCACTCCCTAACTTCCTTATAGACCAAACAAAACTGAAAAGAGAATTTTTTAACTGAAAAAGGTTTTGAAGAAATTGTCTATAATTTACCCTAGAGAAACAGAAAATGTCTAAGAGATTAGGACACATGTAAACTAAAATGAGGAGATTGGTTAGATCTATGTAATTAGAATTCAGAAAAAGAAATAGAGTTAAATAAGAAGATGTTATATTTGAAAAAAGTATTAATTAGACCATATAGTCTAATAATTACATGAATTTGGCATCTCATAATGCAATTCTGAGCAGCAACAAAACACGAACTTAAAAAGCAGCAATTAATTAAACTATAAGAAATAATGAGTACTTGCTCTACTATTAATTTTGAAGTACTAACTTAAGAGCTACTTTGCTTTACTATATATGACATTTATTTCCTCTTTAAAGCTCTGAAGTCAGCTTTCACAATTTTTCACTTCACCAAGCATTTACAATTTCTAGAAGGTCATCCGGAATTAATAATTTCCTATACATTATAAGATATACTAAAATGCAATTATATGTATCATTATGATCTGGTTTAAAAATAGGCATTACTGCACTGAAATTGCAACCTTAGCAAACAAAAACAACTAATAAAAGGATGACAATCAAAACCAGTAGATTTCATAAGCTTTTTGAAATTAATTTGAAAAAAAAATTTATCTCATAATATGTAATACTAAAAAGTGCTTTCTGTATAGTGTCATGTAAATATTCGATACATATGACCCTTGATAAAAATAAAAACATAATCTGTAATTTTCAGTTTAAATATCTACTCAATAATAATTATTTCATAGTTTCTCCCAGAAATTTTTCTACTTTTGACCTACCATAAAGAATAAATGTAAAATTGAAAACTCTTTTCAGATCAGATTAGGTAATAAAGCATTAATATTATCTTTGTATGGCAGCAATTACGGGGTGATTCTTTAAAATATATTTTATCATTGTCTGAATTTTCTATAATAAACGTCACTTTGGTAGTCAAAAAAGTATGTTTAAAATACTTTGCTAACTTTGCTCCAAATCATTCCAATTTGCATCTTATTCCCTAAATTTAGATTAAATAACAATTAATGTGTCTTCTTCCCAAAGTTTAGAGTAAATGACAATCAATTTGTTGTTTTCTAACTTCAAAGTAAATAATGTTTAATTTGAAGAATCTCTATTGACATGCCAACTTCTGCCGAAAATAAATGGATAGATGGATGGGTGGATGAATGGGTAAATGAGAGAGAGAGGGAAGTATTTTTAAAACTAAACTTAAATGAGCAAGTAAAGCGGGAGGAAGTAACATGAAAATATGAAGAATGACAGGAATTATGAAGAACAACCACTTAACCAATAAATCGTCTTTTCTTTTCTTTTTTTTTTTTTTTTTTTTTTGAGACACGGTCTTGCTGTGTTGCCAGGCTGGAATGCAGTGGTGCGATCTCGGCTCACTGCAACCTCCTGGTTCAAGTGATTCTCTTGTCTCAGCCTCCCAAGTAGCTGGGATTACAGGCACGCACCATCATGCCTAGCTAATTTTTGTATTTTTAGTAGACGGGGTTTTACCATGTTGGCCAGGATGGTCTTGATTTCCTGACCTCGTGATCCGCCTGCGTCGGCTTCCCAAAGAGCCGGGATTACAGGCGTGAGCCACCACGCACAGCCTCTTTTCAAATTACAGTCCCTAAGTAGGATACCAAGTTTTAGCAACTGGAGACGTGACAGAGTCTAAGGGACCACAGACAAATGCTGAGATCAGAAGCTTAGGGAAAAGTGCTTCAAGTTCTGTATCTAAAACTAGAGTGTATGTTTACAAAGAGCATAAAATTATTCAGTACAGGATTTAAATAACTACTTTTGATTAGATAGTTGGGATACATAACTAAAAGAAACTATTTCCCCATGTTGGGTCAGAATTTCTTTTGACTAAAAGCCATTTCAAAATATCACAGATCAAATACAAGTTTAATCTCCAAAGTACATTGTAAACATCACTCAAGAAAAACATGCAATATGTTCTTGTATGAATTAGACTAAACACCAGGAGATAATTTCATAAGGGAGTTATCTGTCAGGCATCAGTTTATTTTAATTGATATGTCAAGGATAAATATATAAAATTTAAACCATTAGAGTAGAATGAATCGTTAGAGATTAATTGGTGCAAACATCAACCCAATTCACAAAGTCCCTCAACCTTTAAGCTTTCTTACATATATTCTTTTTCAGACTATTTAGTCATTTTTGGAGTTACAGTTCATGAAATTATGATAATTTCAAACCATCATTTAATATTTATATCTGATTACATTCTTCTTATCTTAATATGAAAACAATTTTTGAAGTTGACAGAAATGTACACTCTTTGTAAAATATGCAATAAAGAAAAGGGTAGGAAGTAGTCACATAACACAGAGAAAATTATGTTAAAATCCTGGTATACACCTTCTGATATTTTTTCTTTGCATATATTCAACAGGCATACATTTGTACCATATAAATGTTTTTACTTCTTAACATTAAAACATAAGTATTTCTTATGCATGAGTTTTAGACTTTTTATTATTGTAGGATCCACTATAAACATTCACTGGTGGTTAAAAAGTGAGATTGCTTGTATTGTTGTGTTACTTTTATGACTGCAATAAACATCCTTGTGCATAGTCCCTTAGGAATCACTGTGCATAACTGATACTACTTTAACATAAAATATTAGAAAAGTAGGAAGGAGGAAGGGATGAATACGCAAAGCACAAAAGGTTTTTAGGGCAGTGATACTACTCTGTATGACACTATAATGTTGGATACACGTCATAAATGTGTTGAATTCCACAGAACGTACAACATCAAAAGTGAACCCTAATGTAAACTATGGACTTCGGTGATATTAATGTCATGGACACTCATCAGTTTTTACAACTGTATCAATCTGGTAGGGGATGCTGATAATAGGGGAAGCTATGTCTGGGGGCAGGTGGTATATGGGTGGGGGCAGGTGGTATATGGAAAATCACTGTACCTTCCACTCAATTTTGCTATAAACCTAAAACTGCTCTAAAAAATAAAGTTTATCCTTTTTAAAAAATGAATTCAGCTCACAAGACAGAGGCAGTGACCAGGTCCTAAGGACATCATCCTTCTGGATCTAGTCATGTCTGAGAATACTGTCTGTGCCTTCTAGCTATCTGAGCCAAAAAAAAAAATCCTCTTTGCCTAAAAGTAAACACAGGTATACTTAAATTTATGCATTTTATTGTAGGTAAATTATGCACTGTAATTGTACAGATAGGTGTGTTTTGACAAATATAAACAGGCATGTAACTACCACCAAAATTAAGATATAAAACATTTCCACCACACCTCAATTTATTTTCCTTTATTTTACATACCTTATAAACATTACCTTATGACACCATAATTTTATTTTAATCAGTCACTTTTCTTCTGAGGAAATTAGAAAAGGAAAACATATTTCTCATTTTAACCAGAATTTAACATTTTTAATTCTCTGTATTCAATTGTGGTAGATATTAATTTCCTTCTGGCAAATATACTTTTTTGACCAAAGAAACTTCTTTAGTATTTCCTGCTGTACAGATAGGCTTGCAAAAAATCTCCGAGCTTGCCTGCATCTTAAAATGTCTACATTTTATCTAAATTTTAAAGGATATTTTTATTGGATACACAATTCTGAATTAAAATTGTTTCCACACTTTAAAAATACCATTTTATTGTTTCTAGCCTCCAGTATTTCCTATGAGAAATCAGCCTGTATTTGTATTATTGCTTTCAAGATTTTCTCGCGCAGTATGGCCATTATCATGATATTGATTCTTCCTATCCATGAGCATGGAATGTTCTTCCATTTGTTTGTGTCCTCTTTTACTTCATTGAGCAGTGGTTTGTAGTTCTCCTTGAAGACGTCCTTCACATCCTTTGTAAGTTGGATTCTTAGGTATTTTATTCTCTTTGAAGCAACTGTGAATGGGATTTGACTCATGATTTGGCTCTCTGTTTGTGTTATTGGTGTATAAGAATACTTGTGATTTTTGCACATTGATTTTGTATCCTGAGACTTTGCTGAAGTTGCTTATCAGCTTAAGGAGATTTTGGGCTGAGATGATGGGGTTTTCTAAATATACAATCATGTCATCTGCAAACAGGGACAATTTGACTTCTTCTTTTCCTAACTGAATACCCTTTATTTCTTTTTCCTGACTAATTGCCCTGGCCAGAACTTCCAACACTATGTTGAATAGGAGTGGTGAGAGAGGGCATCCCTGTCTTGTGCCAGTTTTCAAAGGGAATGCTTCCAGTTTTTGCCCATTCAGTATGATATTGGCTGTGGGTTTGTCATAAATAGCTCTTATTATTTTGAGATAAGTCCCATCAATAACGAATTTTTGAGAGTTTTTAGCATGAAGTGTATAGATTCAATGCCATCGCCATCAAGCTACCAATGACATTCTTCACAGAACTGGAAAAAACTACTTTAAAGTTCATATGGATCCAAAAAAGAGCCTACATAGCCAAGACAATCCTAAGCAAAAAGAACAAAGCTGGAGGCATCACACTACCTGACTTCAAACTATACTACAAGGCTACAGTAACCAAAACAGCATGGTACTGGTACCAAAACAGAGATATAGACCAATGGAACAGAACAGAGCCCTCAGAAATAATGCCACACATCTACAACTATCTGATCTTTGACAAACCTGACAAAAACAAGCAATGGGGAAAGGATTCCCTATTTAATAAGTGGTGCTGGGAAAACTGGCTAGCCATATGTAGAAAGCTGAAACTGGATCCCTTCCTCACACCTTATACAAAAATTAATTCAAGATGGATTAAAGACTTAAATGTTAGACCTAAAACCATAAAAACCCTAGAAGAAAACCTAGGCAATACCATTCAGGACATAGGCATGGGCAAGGACTTCATGTCTAAAACACCAAAAGCAATGGCAACAAAAGCCAAAATTGACAAATGGGATCTAATTAAACTGAAGAGCTTCTGCACAGCAAAAGAAACTACCGTCAGAGTGAACAGGCAACCTACAGAATGGGAGAAAATTTTTGCAATCTACTCATCTGACAAAGGGCTAATATCCAGAATCTACAAAGAACTCAAACCAATTTACAAGAAAAAAACAAACAACCCCATCAACAAGTGGGTGAAGGATATGAACAGACACTTCTCAAAAGAAGACATTTATGCAGCCAACAGACACATGAAAAAATGCTCATCACACTGGCCATCAGAGAAATGCAAATCAAACCACAATGAGATACCATCTCACACCAGTTAGAATGGCGATCATTAAAAAGTCAGGAAACAACAGGTGCTGGAGAGGATGTGGAGAAATAGGAACACTTTTACACTGCTGGTGGGACTGTAAACTAGTTCAGCCATTATGAAAGACAGTGTGGCAATTCCTCAAAGATCTTGAACTAGAAATACCATTTGACCCAGCGATCCCATTACTGGGTATATACCCAAAGGATTATAAATCATGCTGCTGTAAAGACACATGCACACATTATGTTTATTGCGGCACTATTCACAATAGCAAAGACTTGGAACCAACCCAAATGTCCATCAATGATAGACTGGATTAAGAAAATGTGGGACATATACACCATGGAATACTATGCAACCATAAAAAAGGATGAGTTCATGTCCTTTGTAGGGACATGGATGAAACTGGAAACCATCGTTCTCAGCCAACTATCTCAAGGACAGACAACCAAACACTGCATGTTCTCACTCACAGGTGGGAATTGAACAATGAGAACACTTGGACACAGGAAGGGGAACATCACACACCGGGGCCTGTCATGGGGTAGGGGGAATGGGGAGGGATACCATTAGGAGATATATCTAATGTAAATGATGAGTTAATGGGTGCAGCACACCAATATGGCACATGTATACGTATGTAACAAACCTGTATGTTGTGCACCTGTATCCTAGAACTTAAAGTATAATTAAAAAAAAAAGATTCTATTGCATGTAAAAACCACATTTTGCTTATCCATTCATCTATCAATGGACACTTGGTGATATGGTTTGGGCTGTGTCCCCACCCAAATCTCATCTTGAATTGTAGCTCCCATAATCCCCATGTGTCAAGGGAGGGACCAGGTGGGAGGTATTTGAATCATGGAGGCGGGTTTTCCCATGCTGTTCTCATGATAGTGAATAAATCTCACAAGATCTGATGGTTTTATAAAGGGCAGTTCCTCTGCAAACTCTCTCTTGCCTGCTGCCATCTAAGAGGTGCCTTTGCTCCTCCTTTGCCTTCCACCATTATTGTGAGGCCTCCCCAGCTATGTGGAACTGTGAGTCCATTATACCTCTTTTTCTTTTTCTTTATAAATTAAAAAAAAAAGATTTTCTCACTTCAATTTTCAACAATTTCAACACATTGTGTTCAGGAGTGGTTCTCTTTATGTGTATGATTAGTTCTTTTCTTAGGTGTTTAAGTTTATACTTTACATGAATTTGGGGAAATTTGGGGCCATCATTTGTTTAAGTATTTTTATGCTCCATTTTCATTCTCTTCTTTGGGACTTTAATTTTATATATGTTAAATAGGCAAGTTTTCCTTTAATCTTTTATCTTTCTTCTTTTTTTTTTTTTTTTTTGAGACGGAGTCTCGCTCTGTCGCCCAGGCTGGAGTGCAGTGGCGGGATCTCGGCTCACTGCAAGCTCCGCCTCCCGGGTTCACACCATTCTCCTGCCTCAGCCTCCCAAGTAGCTGGGACTACAGGCGCCCGCCACTACGCCCAGCTAATTTTTTGTATTTTTAGTAGAGACGGGGTTTCACCGTTTTAGCCGGGATGGTCTCGATCTCCTGACCTCGTGATCCGCCCGCCTCAGCCTCCCAAAGTGCTGGGATTACAGGCGTGAGCCACCGTGCCCGGCCTATCTTTCTTCTTTAGACTAGATGCCTTTATGGATCTCTCTTGAAATTTACTGACACTTCTGTCATCTCTAATTTGTTATGAAGTACATTAAATAAAATTTTTGATTGGGCGCAGTGGCTCATGCCTGTAATCCCAGCATGTTGGGAGGCTGAGGCAGGCGGATCACTTCAAGACAGGAGTTCAAGACCAGCCTGGCCAACATGGTGAAGCCCCAGCTCTACTAAAAATACAAAAATTAGCCAGTCATGGTGGCACATGCCTGTAGTCCCAGCTACTGGAGAGGCTGAGGCACCAGAATCACTTGAACCTGGGAGGTGGAGGCTGCAGTGAGCTGAGATCATGCCACTGCACTCCAGCCTGGGTGACACAGCAAGACTCTGTCTCAAAAAAAAAAAAAATTCATTTTAGTTATTCTACTTTTCAGCTGTAGAACTTCAATTTGCTTTGGAATGTATGCTTGTTCTCATTTCTTTGCTTAAATTCCCCATCTGTTCACTTATTAGTATTTTCCATTAAGTCCTTGAACATAATCAAAGTATCTACTTTAGCACTTTCTATCTGCTAAATGCAACAGTTTAGCTACTTAAGGGTAGGTTTCCATTTATTGCTTGTTGTCTTGATTATGGGTCACATTTTCCTGTTCCTATTCATATCTAGAAATGTTTAATTATGTACTAGGCAATGTGGGTAAAAGATTGTAAAGACTCTGGATGACTGTCTTCCTCAAAAGGATGTCATTTTTTGTTCTAGAAGGCAGTTCCATTTTTGGCTGATGACCCTAAAATCCTAGGCTTAATTTTATGCTTCGTTAGGGTGGATCCATGGAAAGCCCTAAATGTTTCTCAAGGCCCTATAACTTGGCAAGACTCAAACTCCAAATTCTGTGTCCTCTCTAAGAATGCTGTGTAAGCTTTGTTCCTGGTTTTATAAGGCGGATATGGGATGCTGAATGTTACTGTGTTGTTAACAAGGTGTGAAAGAGGTCTTTCCACCCAGGCATGGCCAGATTTGCAATGTTTCGCATCACTACTTAACTTCTACAATCTCTGGCCTCCTCTTGATCCTATATAATTGTATCTCTCTTGTAAGTGTCAGGTAGTGTTGTTATGTATAGTATTGCAGCCTCAGCTAAGGACTCATAGTAAACTCCCTCACAAACTGAGCCACTCCTCATTGCAGCTCTCTTCTCTGGTGTCTTTCCCTACAGATTCCAGTGGCTTCAAAAGCTGTGAACTAGGGTCTCTGACATTTCCAATTATCAGGATTGTCATGCTCTTATTGGCTTCCATCTCCACAAAGCTCAGTTTGGAACTTTCCACAGACCCAAAGCCATGGTGATGGCAGAGCTCACCTTATAAATTTTCCTTCTGTCAATTGCCTTCTGTTACTTGAGCTGTCTGTTTTCTACTGCCTAAAAGTAGTTGTCTGATCTTACAGCTTAGCTTTAGAGTTATTTACACAGAGAAGGCTAGTCTGGTACCAGGTATAATGACCAGAAGCAGAAGTCCTTCCATTATAGTTGACTTGTTTTTCTCTATAATTAATCCATACAGTATGATATCTATATTTCTTCTTAATCTTTTTATTAAAATTTTAATTTGTGAAATAGCCACCACTTACTCACCTTTAAATATCTCTAGAATATTAATCACTGATAAGGTTGAGAAATCACCAAACTATATTAAATGAGAGCTTCATCACATTTTACATTTACCTTTAATTTGAGGACCATGGTAACTATGTCCTCTTTGCAGTTTCTTCAATGTTTCTTGAAGTCCAGAAATCTAAAAAGTAAAATTCAAAGAAATGAAATTATACACTAAATGACTTTTAAAAAGGTTACATAAAACACAATATTTAAATATCCATTGTAAAATATAAAAAATATTAATCTCTTTTAAATTTATACCTTTTTTAATAAAACATAAATTTTAACAAAAGAAAAACAGAATTTTAAGTTAAAATATAATTCCACCAGCTAATTATTAATTACTTATTTTAGGTAAGCATCTGAAACATTTATTTCACGGCATAGTTTCCTGAATTAAGAATACTCATTGTACACTTTAATAATTATTCAATTCTCTATTTTGAGAGAGGTTTTTCCTCTGTTCAAATTGTTTCACAATAACTATCATCTTTATATTTATAAAATACAAGGTAATTATCACTTGGAATGTAAAATATGAAGAGGTTGTTTTTATTCCCCCAACTCTTAGCTCATTTTCCACCCACATATATTCTCTATTTTATTAAACATGTCTTATAACTAAGAACTTTTGTTAGCTTTGGTGTCATGATTTACCTGTATTCCTGAAAAATACTTAATTTAAAATTTGACCTTGAAAAGCTATTTCATCTTGCATTGTATATGATTATACCAACACAAAATACCATCTGTTCAATTACATACAGATACACACTTTTTTCTACTATCACTGAATAGTAATATTTCTTTATTAATAGAAAATAACATAATTTATTAATTATAACCTATAGATGAGTGCTCATGAAATGCCTAGGTTAAAAAAAAGTAAAAGATTACTATCTATTCCTAGAAGCCAAAAGAATTATAAATTTCAAAAATAAACTTTTTATTTAGAATAGCATAAGATTAACAGGAGAGTTGCTAATGTAGTACTGAGAATTCCTGTTTTATCCCATACCCTTTTTCCCCCATTAACATCATACATTGTAATGATACATTTTTCACAAATAATGAACCAATATTGATATATTATTATGAACTACAGGCCATATTTTTAGTTTTATTAATTTTTCCATAATATCCTTTTTATGTTTCAAAATCGCATCCAGAATATCACCTTACAACTAGTTTTTAGGTCTCCTAAGCCTCCTCTGGACTGAGACAGTTTCTCAGACTGATATAGTTTGGATATTTGTCCTCTCCAAATCTCTTGTTGAAAAGTGATCCCCAGTGTTGGAGGTGGGGCCTAGGGGGAAGTGTTTGGGTCATGGAGGCAGATCTCTCTGCAGATGCTGGTGCTATACTTCTTCTACAGCCTGCAGAACCATGCGCCAAATAAACCTCTTTTCCTTATAAATTACCCAGTCTCGGGTATTCCTTTATAGCAACACAAGATGGACTAATACACAGATTTTCCCTGATTTTAATGTCCTTGACAATTTTGGGGAGCATTAGTCTGACAGTATTTTACAGAATAGCCCTAGATTTGAGGTTGTCTGATATTTTCCCCATGGTTAGACTAAAGTTATGGATTTGCAAGAAGATCACAGGGGAGTGCCATTATTAGCATATTACATCATAGGTTCATGCTACCAACAGTACTTAAAACTGATGATGTTCACCTTGATCCTTTGGTTACATGATGAGAAGGTTGACAGGTTTCCCCACTGTAAAGTTACTTTCTTCCCTATTTCCCTTGCATTTCTGGATGCAAGTCATTATTTACAAAGTGCAGCCAACACTCAACAGCTGAGTTGTTAAGCTCCACCTACTTGAGGGAAGGATTATCAACATATATTACTCGAGATTCTTCTGTATGGGAGATTTGTCTACTCTCTCACATGTCCTTACTAATCATTTATATTTATACCATTAAGGAATCAAAGATATTTATTTTATATTTTGGGTTATAATCAAACACTACATTATTTTGTTGCTCAAATTGTTTCAGAAGGTTTGATCACTGGAAGCTCTTTCAGGTTGGATTCCTATAATGAGGAACCTGACTTTATTGTTTGATGTTTGAGTGTCAACAGCCTTTAAGTTTTACCTCCTCCTTCTTCCCTTGTGCCCAACATCTGGGCAACTGGACAAGAATGCCTGGGTACTCCCTTGTCTGGTACTGATGGGAGATTCAAATGACTCAAGCCTCACCTCACATATGAGAATTCTCACCCTGGCCCTAACCCCCAACCGCAATAAAAACCCCAAGCCAGTCTCCCTTACTTGCTCTCTCAAGCCATTTCAGAAATGCTTGGGAGGTAATGTGCAGCTCTCCTCAGCAAATTCAGTTCCACAAGTAGTGAATTTATTCACAGCCTCTGTGTGTGTGTGTGTGTGTGTGTGTGTGTGTGTGTGTGTGGCATTATCAGTCTGAATATCCAAATCAAATTTAGTTGGGGATCCACCAACCTCTGCAGGTGCCCACTACAGTTCCTTTGTCATAACTTGACATATCCCATTATTATGTTGAGTTTTTTTTTCTTTTCTGTTCTACTTTTTGAGCATTTCCTTCCTTTCTAGCACAAGAAAATGTCCCAAGTGCTCCAGGCCTATCTAGTATTTTATCTGCCCAGCTCTAGAATCAGACACTTCTCCAAAGAACCCTGTTTCCTTTCCTTTTATTACAGAGTGATATTAGAAATCAAGATCCTAACACTGGATATGTTCATTACTGGTGGAGTGTCACTACTTCTAGACTCTCCAAGCAGACAGACCTAAAATATATATATATATTTAGATTTAGTTTTTAGTATACATATATATATATATACACACACACACACATACATACATATTCTGAGTTAGAATCCCATGATCTAAAAAAGATAAAATATAATTTAGTATACATAGATACCTACAAATCAATTCTATTTCACCTTTTCTTGGGTCATGGAGCTCTAATTCAAAATTCTGAACACTATTTTCAATAATTTCTTAAAACCAAAAACAAAGTTATAGGTTTTTCATTACATTTTAAATAAATGTTGATTCACTGTCTAGTATCTACTAAAGAAATTTGAAAACATGTATTTCCTATCGGATTTTTGTCATCCCACAGTGTGTTTTCACTCTTTCATATGCAAACTAGATAATAATCAAAAATTTTAAATTATTATACAATCCTTCTTTATGCAAGGTATAGGTTTAAGGAGAAACACAGTAAGCTAAATGCTCATTAAGATAAAGTTTTTAAGGAAGTAACAATCAGGAATCCAGCTAGAAAACATAAGATGTCTTACTGCTCTTAACTCACATCCTAAAGTTTGGTTGGAAATGAATTCTCAAAGCGTAACTGCATCAAACGTTGAAATAAAGAAATATTCAAAATATAAGCACAAAAGTAACCTATCTTCTATTTTACATTATAGAGAAACATTTCACATATTTTAAGATATTTTCTCTGTACACATACTTTGAATAAATTCATTCTATAGCTCCATGACACACTACTAATATGTTCAATTTCAAAGGCTAATCTATGCCTGTACACCCAGGATATACCTGATTAGTATGCTACAACAGAAAGAAAGGATTGGTTGGCAATAAATCATTCTTTGTAAGAAGGGTACACAAACAGTTTCCATTCTTTAAGTGGTAACCTTGACTTGTTCCACAAGGACACACCTGGAGAGCTGACAGGACTAGGACTATATTCTGTGCCCTAATTTGGAGAGTAGGTTAATTGAGCCTTGGTTTAGACTTGTATAATGGATATTTGACAGTCGCTTTGGCCACTTAGCAGTTTGGGTTTAGAGAATCATGTGTCTTCCACCTTTTGCAATAGATATCAGATATTTACACAGCTTGTCCTATAACTAGGACTTGCATTGGCTCCATCAATCCTGTGTACCCATTTTGGATTCTGAACAAAATTTAGTGATATAAGGAACAATGTAGAATTTGGAATTTATCCTGAGAATGGTGGCTGCCACATCCAGTTTCCATTGACAAGTATAACAAAATTCTGAAAGAGTATCAAGTATTCAGTATTAGCATTGTCCATGGTAAAACCTGTGGTGACAGCTCAGTGGCAGCAATAGCACCTCCTATTTAAATTTGACTTTCTCAAATTGTAGTGAATCTACCACCTTCAACAGCAGATTTGGTTGAGAGAGAAAAGCTATTTATAAATCCTAACTTCTCCATTTTATTTATTTTTTTCAATGTTATCTTAAGAGTGGGACTAACTGTTCCATATTAGATATCAAGAAATTAGCTCTTTAGAATTTTCAAATTAAGGTCGTTTCCAAGATGGCTGAATAGGAACAGCTCCCGTCTGCAGCTCCCAGTGTGATCAACACAGAAGACAGATTTCTGCATTTCCAACTGAGGTGCTGGTTCATCCCATTGGGAGTGGTTGGACAGTGGGTGCAGCCCACGGAGGGCAAGCTGAAGCAGGGCAGGGCGTTGCCTCACCCAGGAGTGCAAGGGGTTGGGGGATTTGCCTTTCCTAGCCAAGGGAAGCCATAACAGACTGTACCTGGAAAAACGAGGCACTTCTGTCCAAATACTGCACTTTTCCCATGGTCTTAGCAACTGGCAGACCAGGAGATTTTCTCCCGTGCCTGGCTCAGCAGGTCCGACGCCCACAGAGCCTTGCTCACTGCTAGCACTGTAGTCTGAGATTGACCTGCGAGGCTGCAGCCTGGTGGGAGGAGGGGCGTCTGCCATTGCTGAGGCTTCAGTAGGTAAACAAAGCAGCTGGGAAGCTCAAACTGGAGGAGCCCACCGCAGCTCAGCAAGGCCTACTGCCTCTATAGACTCCATCTCTGTGGGCAGGGCATAGCTGAACAAAAGGCAGCAGAAACTTCTGCAGACTTAAACCCCATGTCTGACAGCTCTGAAGAAAGCAGTGGTTCTCCCAGCATGGCATTCGAGCTCTGAGAATGGATGGACTGCCTCCTCAAGTGGGTCCCTGATCCCCATGCAGCCTGACTGGGAGACACCTCCCAGTAGGGGCCGACTGATACCTCATATAGGCAGGTGCCCCTCTGGGACAAAGCTTCTAGAAGAAGGATCAGGCAGCAATATTTGCTGCTCTGCAATATTTGCTGTTCTACAGCCTCTGCTGGTGATAGCGAGGCAAACAGGGTCTGGAGTGGACCTCCAGCAAACCCCAACAGACCTGCAGCTAAGGGGCCTGACTGTTAGAAGGAAAACTAACAAACAGAAATAGCATAAACTTCAAAAAAAGGACACCCACATCAAAACCCCATCTGAAGGTCACTAACATCAAACACCAAAGGTAGATAAAACCACAAAGATGGAGAGAAACAAGAGCAGAAAAGTGGAAAATTCTAAAAACCAGAGTGCCTCTTCTCCTCCAAAGGATCACAACTCCTCACCAGCAATGGAACAAAACTGGATGGAGAATGACTTTGATGAGTTGACAAAAGTAGGCTTCAGAAGGTCGGTAATAACAAACTTCTCCAAGCTAAAGGAGCGTGGTCTAACCCATCGCAAGGAAGCTAAAAACCTTGAAAAAAGGTTAGATGAATGGCTAACTATAATAAACAGTACAGAGAAGACCTTAAATGACCTGATGGAGCTGAAAACCACAGCACGAAAACGTTGTGATGCATGCACAAGCTTCAGTAACCAATTCAATCAAGTGGAAGAAAGGATATCAGTGATTGAAGATCGACTTAATGAAATAAAGTGAGAAGACAAGATTAGAGAAAAAGAGTAAAAAGAAATGAACAAAGCCTCCAAGAAATATGGCACTATGTGAAAAGACCAAATCTACATTTGATTGGTGTACCTGAAAGTGATGGGGAGAATGGAACCAAGTTAGAAAACACTCTTCAGGATATTATCCAGGAGAACTTCCCCAACCTAGCAAGGCAGGCCAACATTCAAATTCAGGAAATACAGAGAACACCATAAAGGTACTCCCCAAGAAGAGTAACCCTAAGACACATAATCGTCAGATTCACCAAGGTTGAAATGAAGGAAAAAATGTTAAGGGCCGCCAGAGAGAGAGGGCAGGTTACATAAAAGGGGAAGCTCATCAGACTAACAGCAGATCTCTCGGCAGAAACCCTACAAGCCAGAAGAGAGTGGGGGCCAATATTCGACACTCTTAAAGGAAAGAATTTTCAACCCAGAATTTCATATCTAGCCAAACTAAGTTTCATAAGTGAAGGAGAAATAAAATCCTTCACAGACAAGCAAATGCTAAGGGGTTTTGTTACTACCAGGCCTGCCTTACAAGAGCTCCTGAAGGAAGCACTAAACATGGAAAGGAACAACCAGTACCAGCCACTGCAAAAACATGCCAAATTGTAAAGACCATCAATGCTATGAAGAAACTGCATCAATTAATGGGCAAAATAACCAGCGAACATCATAATGACAGGATTGAATTCACACATAACAATATTAACCTTAAATGTAAATGGGCTAAATGCCCCAATTAAAAGACACAGACTGGCAAACTGGATTAACAGTCAAGACCCATCAGTGTGCTGTATTCAGGAGACCCATCTCATGTGCAGAGACACACATAGGCTCAAAATAAAGGGATGAAGGAAGAGCTACCAAGCAAATGGAAAGCAAAAAAAAGCAGGGGTTGCAATCCTAGTCTCTGATAAAACGACTTTAAAACCAACAAATATCAAAAGAGACAAAGAAGGCCATTACATAATGGTAAAGGGATCAATTCAACAAGAAGAGCCAACTATCCTAAATATATATGCACCCAAAGCAAGAGAACCCATATTCATAAAGGAAGTCCTTAGAGACCTATAAAGAGACTTAGACTCCCACACAATAATAATGGGAGACTTTAACACCCTACTGTCAATATTAGACAGATCAACGAGACAGAAGGTTAACAAGGATATCCAGGACTTCAACTCAGCTCTTCACCAAGCAGACCTAACAGACATCTACAGAACTCTCTACCCCAAATCAAAAGAATATACATTCTGCTTGGCACCATATCGCGCTTATTCTAAAATTGACCATATAATTGGAAGTAAAGCACTCCTCAGCAAATGTAAAAGAATACAAATCACAACAAACTGTCTCTCAGACCACAGACCACAGTGCAATCAAATTGGAACTCAGGATTAAGAAACTCACTCAAAACCACACAACTACATGGAAACTGAAGAACCTGCTCCTGAATGACTACTGGGTACATAACGAAATTAAGGCAGAAATAAAGACGTTCTTTGAAATCAATGAGAACAAAGACACAACATACCAGAATCTCTGGGACACATTTAAAGCAGTGTGTAGAGGAAAATTTAGAGCACTAAATACCCGCAAGAGAAAGCAGGAAAGATCTAAAATCAACACCCTAACATCACAATAAAAAGAACTAGAGAAGCAAGAACAAACACATTCAAAAGCTAGCAGAAGGCAAGAAATAACTAAGATCAGAACAGAACTGAAGGAGACAGGGACACAAAAACACCCTTCAAAAAATCAAAGTAGCCAGGAGCTGGCTTTTTGAAAGATCAACAATATTGACAGACCACTAACAAGACTAATAAAGAAGAAAGGAGAGAAGAATCAAATAGATGCAATAAAAAAATGATAAAGGGGATATCCCCACCGATCCCATAGAAATACAAACTACCATCAGAGAATACTATAAACACCTCTATGCAAATAAACTAGAAAATTTAGAATAAATGGATAAATTCCTGGACACACACTCTCTCACAAGAATAAACTAGGAAGAAGTTGAATCTCTGAATTGACCAATCACAGGCTCTGAAATTGCGGCAATAATTAATAACCTACCAACCAAATAAAGTCCAAGATCAGACAGATTCACAGCCAAATTCTGCCAGAGGTACAAAGAGGAGCTGGTACCATTCCTTCTGAAACTATTCCAATCAATAGAGAAAGAGGGAATCCTCCCTAACTCATTTTATGAGGCCAGCATCATCCTGATACCAAAGCCTGGCAGAGACACAACAAAAAAAGAGAATTTTAGACCAATATCCCTGATGAACATCGATGAAAATCCTCATTAAAATACTGGCAAACCGAATCCAGCAGCACATCAAAAAGCTTATCCACCAGAAAAGGCCTTTGACAAAATTCAACATCACTTCATGCTAAAATCTCTCAATAAACTAGGTATTGATCGAAAATACCTCAAAATAATAAGAGCTATTTATGACAAACCCACAGCCAATATCATACTGAATGGGCAAAAACTGGAAGCATTCCCTTTGAAAACTGGCACAAGACAACGATGCCCTCTCTCACCACTCCAATTCAACATAGTTGGAAGTTGGCAGTTCTGGCCAGGGCAATCAGGCAAGAGAAAGAAATAAAGGGGATTCGATTAGAAAAAGAGGGAGTCAAATTGTCCCTGCGTGCAGATGACATGATTGTATGTTTAGAAAACCCCATCATCTCAGCCCAAAATCTCCTTAAGCTGATAAGCAACTTCAGCAAAATCTCAGGATACAAAATCAATGTGCAACAATCACAAGCATTCCTATACACCAATAACAGACAAACAGAGGGCCAAATCATGAGTGAAATCCCATTCACAATTGCTTCAAAGAGAATAAAATACCTAGGAATCCAACTTACAAGGGATGTAAAGGACGTCTTCAAGGAGAACTAAAAACCACTGCTCAATGAAATAAAAGAGGACACAAACAAATGGAAGAACATTCCATGCTCACGGATAGGAACAATCAATATCTTGAAAATGGCCATACTGCCCAAGGTAATTTATAGATTCAATGCCTTCCCCATCAAGCTACCAATGACTTTCTTCACAGAGTTAGAGAAAACTACTTTAAAGTTCATATGGAACCAAAAAAGAGCCTGCATAGCCAAGACAATCCTAAGCAAAAAGAACAAAGCTGGAAGCATCAGGCTACCTGACTTCAAACTATACTACAAGGCTACAATAACCAAAATAGCATGGTACCAGTACCAAAACAGATATATAGACCAGTGGAACAGAACAGAGGCCTCAGAAATAACACCACACATCTACAACCATCTGATCTTTGACAAACCTGACAAAAACAAGAAATGGGGAAAGGATTCCCTATTTGATAAATGGTGCTGGGAAAACTGGCTAGCCATATGCAGAAAACTGAAACTGGATCCCTTCTTTACACCTTATACAAAAATTAATTCACGATGGATTAAATACTTAAATGTAAGGCCTAAAACCATAAAAACCCTAGAACAGAACCTAGGCAATACCATTTAGGACATAGGCATGGGCAAAGACTTTGTGACTAAAACACCAAAAGCAATGGCAACAAAAGCAAAAATTGACAAATGGGATCTAACTAAACTAAAGAGCTTCTGCACAGCAAAAGAAACTACCATCAGAGTGAACAGGTAACCTACACAATGGGAGAAAATTTTTGCCATCTACCCATCTGACAAAGAGCTAATATTCAGAATCTACAAATAACTTCAACAAATTTACAAGAAAAAAACAAAGTATATGAACAGATACTTCTCAAAAGAAGACATTTATGCAGCCAACAGAAACGTGAAAAAATGCTCATCATCATTGGTCATCAGAGAAATGCAAATAAAAACCACAATGAGATACCATCTCATACCAGTTGCAATGGCGATCATTAAAAAGTCAGGAAACAACAGATGCTGGAGAGGATGTGGAGAAATAGGAATGATTTTACACTGTTGGTGGGAGTGTAAATTAGTTCAACCACTGTGGAAGACAGTGTGGTGATTCCTCAAGGATCTAGAACCAGAAATACCATTTGACCCAGCAATCCCATTACGGGGTATATACCCAAATTATTATAAATGATGCTACGATAAAGATACATGCACATGTATGTTTATTGCGGCACCGTTCACAATAGCAAGGACTTGGAACCAACCCAAATGTCCATCAATGATAGACTGGATTAAGAAAGTGTGGCACATATACATCATGGAATACTATGCTGCCATAAAAAAGGATGAGTTCATGTCCTTTGACATGAACATGGATGAAGCTGGAAACCATCATTCTCAGCAAACTATCACAGGTACAGAAAACCAAACACCGCATGTTCTCACTCATAGGTGGGAAACGAACAATGAGAACACATGGACACAGGGCAGGGAGCGTCACACACCAGGGCCTATCATGGGGTGTGGGGCTGGGACAGGGATAGCATTAAGAGAAATACCTAATGTAAATGACGATGGGTGTAGCAAACCAACATGGCACTTGTAAACCTATGTAACAAACCTGTACGTTGTGCACATGTACCCTAGAACTTAAAGTATAAAAAAATAGAATTTTCCCATTAATAAAGATTTTCTAAATTGGGATATTTTTAGGGTGAAAGTGGAATTTATTAAAAATTCCCCTGTGCAAATAGGTGTAAATCAGGATTGCTGTAACAAATGAGGACATAGAGCATCCTGTAACATGAAAGAAGATAGGAAGATATTCCATCCAATAGAACAAAGAAGTGAAAAGAGTTCTGTGCCTGAGGGACGAGATGCCTGAGGGACGAGGTAACAACAGGTCAGACATGAGTCCTACTTTATCTACCAAGTGAAAAATGCAAGTGGGGCCAGTTGGAAATGAAGGGCAAATAAAGCCAGATACTCTAGGGATACTCCAGGAATATAAGTATACTTGCTGTTAGCTTTTCAGGCAATAGCCTAGGAAAATTGACAACCCCTTAAAGAGTCCTTCATATTTTACATTGTGCTAGAAAAACACACTACTCTCCAGGTCATGTTGAAAATGGACTGAAAAAGGTATATCTGTGTAGATGGACCCTAACTGGTTTTCAAATTGCTCATGGCTTGTATTTCCAATATAGAGAAATCAGAAGCCTCAACCACCTCAGTGGGGTACATGGAAATGTTAATATTTGATGTACTGGAGCAGAAAAAAAGCTAGGGTTAGGATAATGAGGCCACAGATATAAAGGAGTTCACAGATATTGTGGCAGAGGCCATGGATTTAGCAAGGTGTGTTGGGTTCACATACAAAAGAACTACCCAGGAACTATCCAGGAGCTATCCAGAACTATCCAGGTTTCATGTACCTGGACACCAACCTAATCAAACAAGTCACAGTACACTGGAGAGTGAATATAGCCTGTAGACTTTAAGCTATACGGATAGACAAGTAACTTTTTTACTAGGAACCATCTGGGGAAGAATAAAAAGGGCATGCCATTTGAAGGAAGAAAATGAGCACTAATAACTATGTTTTAGCTAAACATTCAGTTAATATAATATTCAAACACCCTGTGTTAAACCCAAAGAGACTGGTTTAACTCACAAAGATTGGGATAGTCTTTAATATGCAGGTTATCTTTTCTTTTGTCTTCAGCAGGAGTAGGAGTTCAAAGACAAAACCAGTTGCAGATAATAAAGATATATTTCTTTGCACATCTGAACAGTAGTGTGCAAAATTCAACTCTAACTCATAGATCAAATGATTTTAACTTTTTAAACATGTTTTAATCTTGTACACATATCAATCATAAGGCAAATAATTTATCCCTATTTAATAAGTGAGTAAAAAGAAATATTTAAATAACCTGAATCCTCACTTGGGTGTTTTACAACACAACTGGAATTCATACCAGCCATTCCCAGTTCTTAGCTCTTTCCACTAAACCATCAAGGAGCAACTTGAAACACAAATATTGTACATGGTATATGGGAGATAAGCATGAGACCAGGAGGACTAAAGAGAGTAAGATGGGTAGCAAAAGCTTAAGCTTGGCCCATCTGGAATAGGAAATAGGAAGAGATCTGAATCTAGCTCCTAATACCTCAGGATATAGAATAAAGAAAGCCTTTTGTTAGGAGACTGGGGAAGACAGATTAGATGAAAAGAAGCAAGGGTATGAAATTCTGAAGGTTTGATTATAATGCCATAAAATTTAAATTATTGTTAAACTCATTTGTATTAGTTCATTCTCACACCACTATGAGGAAATACCCGAGACTGGGTATTTTATAAAGAATAGAGGTTTTAGGGTAAAAATATATTAAAAAAAAAAAAAGACTAGAGGTTTAATTGGCTCAAGTTCCACATGGCTGGGGAGTCCTCATGAAATTTACAACCATGGTAGAAACCTCTTCAGAGGGTGGCAGGAAAGAGAGTGAGTGCAAGCAAAAGAAATGCCAGACGCTTATACAACCACCAGATCTCTTGAGACTCACTCAATTATCATGAGAATAGCATGGGAGAAACCACCCCCATGATTCAGTTACCTCCACCTGGTCCCGCCCTTGACACGTGGGGATGATTACAATTCAAGGTGAGATTTGGATGGGGACACAGCCAAATCATATTATCATTGTATCCAATATTACTTAAAATTCAAACATTCAAAACACAAAATTAAATTCAAGCACAAGGGGCATCAAGACAATGATGTTTTGCATTTTCGAAGCTAAGAATTTCACTCAAAAGACAAAATAAACTTGATTAAAGCATGTCTTGACAAATAAAATTATTCAAAAGAGTATTATCATCATGTAAGCTTTTGTAGCTTCTCAAAGTTTGGCCAAAAATGAAAATCTCCAGAAAACAATAATAGAATGTTAAGCATAGTTGCAGTTTTATATATTCTAAAAAAACTGATAAATGGTTTTAAAGTGGCATATAAACATTTTGTTTCTTTTTCTTAAATTTTTATGCCAAAGGTATCTCACCCACTACCCTAGGCCTAAGCCTACACAAAAACCCTAAAAGGATGTCAAGCATTAGCAAAAATAACCAAAAACTTGAGTCAGTACCTATGAGGGAGTTTTTATTTATTAAAATATCTCATATAAGTTTCACAGCAATCTTAAATGGTATGTCTTTGGTCTTTGCAGCTACATTTTATATATGAGAAATCTGAGCTCCAATTTGTTTAAATGACTCTCCTAAGGTTAATGTTTATAGCTGTCAAAGCTGGCATTTAAACCCAAGTTTGACCACAATGGCTAAGTTTTTTCTTCTAACTATAATTTAATAATCTGCTATAAATTTATGTCTCAATTAAATGATATTTAATTTAATTTTTTTGAGACACTGTCTCACTCTGTTGCCTAGGCTAGAGTGCAGTGGTATGGGGCCATCTCGGCTCACTGCAACCTCCACTCCCGGGTTCAAATGATTCTCATGCCTCAGCCTCCCACGTAGCAGGGATTACAGGCCTGTGCCACCACACCCGGCTATTTGTTTTTTGTTTTTTTTTTTTTGTATTTTTAGTAGAGACAGGTTTTCACCATATTGGCCAGGCTGGTCTCAAACTCCTGGCCGCAAATGATCCACCTACCTTGGTCTCCCAAAGTGCTGGGATTACAGGCATGAGCCACTGCCCCTGGCCTAATTTTATAATAATCTTTATAGGTAGTTAAATGGAGAAATACTTTTTCTGAATGTTTCCAAATGGATCTCTTTTACATGAAAGTTGGTTGAAAATGTTTTAAAATTAATCTCAGAAACAAAATCAGTATTTCTACTTGTATTATTAAAAAAATGATTAAAAGATCATTTTAAGTTAGCTTTGACTATATCTTTACCTGCCCAACTACTTTGTCTCTTTCCAAGGAGGTCAGCATTTTCTCCTTCAGTAAAGTGTGGTGTTTCTCATGTAACACCCTTATAGTCGGTTCATAAGATGCATAATGTAACTTCAACCTATAAAAAATAAAGTCAATAGCATCTTAAGGGGTTATTGAGTTAAATCAGTAATTTCCATCTAACATCAAAACCTTTTTTTCTTTTTCTTTTTTGCTGTGAAATAAAAATGAATAATCATATAAAGGTTAACACACTACAGCCAAGAAGCACAAAAAGCATACAACTTCACTGCAACTTGAGGGTGGAGGGTGCAGTGAGGGAGCAAATCACGTCTTAACTAGTTCTCTATTTCCTACTAGCACCTTTTGCTGTGTCCAAGTATGTACTCAGAAGATTGCTGCTACCCATGAAATTTTTTAAAATGCAATTCCTTTTGTCAATTTGGAAATAACTATCAGAAAGACAAGGGCCACAAACAATAGATGATTAAACATGGAGTGTCATTCACATCAAAATAAACTAAAGGATAGTCTTTAAAACAAGTTTGGCTAATCTTGTATTTTAAAAATTAAGTATAAAAACATTTTGATATCTAAACAGAAGGAATAATTCAGCCTAGTATATAATATACCTTTAAAAAATCTGTTTTATTTGAAAATGACCTCAAAATCTTTTTATTGAAGTGTAATTTACATGGATAAAACATACAGCTCTTAAGCGTTACAGTTCAGAGTTTTGAGAAATGCACACCCAAGTAGTATACATTATCAAAATATGAAGCATGTCTAACACCCCAGAAAATTCTAGAACTTCATTTATTTGGTATCATATAACATGTTCTCTTTTTTAACTAGTTTATTTCACTCAGTGTAATGTTTCTTTAGATTATTCCACATTACTTTACATAGCAATACTTCACTCCTTTTTACTGTGAGTAGTATTCCCTTGTATGTATGTATATTCCACAATGTGGTTATCCAATATTTTGCTGATGAAAACTTGAGTGGATTTTAGTTTGGGCTATCATGAATAAGGCCTCTTTAAACATTTTTATATAAGTCATGTAATATTTTTGGTCATATATCTTCATTTATTTTAGATAAACACCCAGGAGTTTAATTGCTGGGTTATAATTTATACTTCCAACAACCCTATATGACAGTCCTGGGTACCCTACATTATTGCCAGCCTCTGGTGATATCAGTCTATTAAGAGTTTATCCATCTTATTATCAAATTTGTCAGTTTTATTACATTTTCCATTAACCAACATCTGACTTTGTTGATTTTTTGTTTGTCCATTTGCTATTTTATTGATTTCAGCTCTTATTTTTCATTTCTTCATGTTTCTTGGTTGTAATTTGCTCTTTTTAAGCTTCTAAGATGACATCATTGGTTTTAAAACTTTATTTTCTAAAATAAGCATTTAAAGCCATCAATTTCAATTTAAGCCGCATTGGCTGCATTTCAATATGCTGCATTTTTAATCATTCAGCGCAAAATATTCTGTAATTTTCTTCTTTGCCTCATGGATTATTTAAAGTATACTACTTAATTTCCAAATATTTGAGAAATCCCCTGAGATTTTTAAAAATTGATTTCTAATTTAATTTGGTTGTGGTCAGAAAATATTCTATGTATGACATCCATCCTTTGAAATGTATAGAGACTTGTTTTATGGCTCAGTATACGATCTATTTTAGTGACAATTCCATGTGCACTGGAAAGAGCAAAGTAGAAGGAAATACAGAGAATGCCACAAAGATACTCCTCAAGAAGAGCAACTCCAGGACACATAATTGTCAGATTCACCAAAGTTGAAATGAAGGAAAAAATGTTAAGGGCAGCCAGAGAGAAAGGTCGGGTTAGTCACAAAGGGAAGCCCATCAGACTAACAGCTGATCTCCTGGCAGAAACTCTACCAGCCAGAAGAGAGTGGGGGCCAATATTCAACATTCTGAAAGAAAAGAATTTTCAACCCAGAATTTCATATCCAGCCAAACTAACCTTCATAAGTGAAGGAGAAATAAAATCCTTTACAGACAAGCAAATGCTGAGAGATTTTGTCACCACCAGGCCTGCCCTAAAAGAGCTCCTGAAGGAAGCACTAAACATGGAAAGGAACAACCGGTAACAGCCACTGCAAAAACATGCCAACTTGTAAAGACCATCGAGGCTAGGAAGAAACTGCATCAACTAATGAGCAAAATAACCAGCTAACATCACAATGACAGGATCAAATTCACACATAAGAATATTAACCTTAAATGTAAATGGGCTAAATGCTCCCGTTAAAAGACACAGACTGGCAAACTGGATAAGGAGTCAAGACCCATCATTGTGTTGCATTCAGGAAACCCATCTCACATGCAGAGACACACATAGGCTCAAAATCAAGGGATGGAGGAAGATCTACCAAGCAAAACAAAAAAAAGCAGGGGTTGCAATCCTAGTCTCTGATAAAACAGACTTTAAACCAACAAAGATCAGAAGAGACAAAGAAGGCCATTACATAATGGTAAAGGGATCAATTTGACAAGAGCTAACTATCCTAAATATATGTGCACCTAATACAGGAGCACCCAGATTCTTAAAGCAAGTCCTTAGAGACCTACAAAAAGACTTAGACTCCCACACAATCATAATGGGAGATTTTAACACCCCACTGTCAACATTAGACAGATCAACGAGACAGAAAGTTAACAAGGATATCCAGGAATTGAACTCAGCTCCACACCAAGCAGACCTAATAGACATCTACAGAACTCTCCACCCCAAATCAACAGAATATACAATCTTTTCAGCACCACACCGTACTTATTCCAAAACTGACCACACAGTTGGAAGTAAAGCACTCCTCATCAAATGTAAAAGAACAGAAATTATAACAAACTATCTCTCAGACCACAGTGCAGTCAAACTAGAACTCAGGATTAAGAAACTCACTGAAAACCGCTCAACTACATGGAAACTGAACAACCTGCTCCTGAATGACTACTGGGTACATAACGAAATGAAGGCAGAAATAAAGATGTTCTTTGAAACCAATGAGAACAAAGATACAACATACCAGAATCTCTGGGACACATTTAAAGCAGTGTGTAGAGGAAAATTTATAGCACTAAATGCCCACAAGAGAAAGCAGGAAAGATCTAAAATTGACACCCTAACATCACAATTAAAAGAACAAGAGAAGCAAGAGCAAACACATTCAAAAGCTGGCAGAAGGCAAGAAATAACTAAGATCAGAGCAGAACTGAAGGAAATAGAGACACAAAAAACCCTTCAAAATATCAATGAATCCAGGAGCTGATTTTTTGAAAAGATCAACAAAATTGAGAGACCACTAGCAAGACTAATAAAGAAGAAAAGAGAGAAGAATCAAATAGACACAATAAAAAATGATAAAGGGGATATCACCACCGATCCCACAGAAATACAAACTACCATCAGAGAATACTATAAACACCTCTATGCAAATAAACTAGAAAATCTAGAAGAAATGGATAAATTCCTCGACATATACACCCTCCCAAGACTAAACCAGGAAGAAGTTGAATCTCTGAATAGACCAATTGCAGGCTCTGAAATTGAGGCAATAATTAATAGCTTACCAACCAAAAAAAGTCCAGGACCAGAAGGATTCACAGCCGAATTCTACCAGAGGTACAAGGAGGAGCTGGTACCATTCCTTCTAAAACTATTCCAATCAATAGAAAAAGAAGGAATACCTTCCTAACTCATTTTATGAGGCCAGCATCATCCTGATACCAAAGCCTGGCAGAGACACAACAAAAAAAAAAAGAGAATTTTAGACCAATATCCCTGATGAACATCGATGCAAAAATCCTCAATAAAATACTGGCAAACCGAATCCAGCAGCACATCAAAAAGCTTATCCATCATGATCAAGTGGGCTTCATCCCTGGGATGCAAGGCTGGTTCAACATATGCAAATCAATAAACATAATCCAGCATATAAACAGAGCCAATGACAAAAAACATAGGATTATCTCATTAGAGCAGAAAAGGCCTTTGACAAAATTGAACAACCTTCATGCTAAAAACTCTCAATAAATGAGGTATTGATGGGACGTATCTCAAAATAATAAGAGCTATCTATGACAAACCCACAGCCAATATCATACTGAATGGGCAAAAACTGGAAGCATTCCCTTTGAAAACTGGCACAAGACAGGGATGTCCTGCCTCATCACTCCTATTCAGCACGGTGTTGGAAGTTCTGGCCAGGGCAATCAGGCAGGAGAAGGAAATAAAGCGTATTCAATTAGGAAAAGAGGAAGTCAAATTGTCCCTGCTTGCAGATGACATGATTGTATATCTAGAAAACCCCACTGTCTCAGCCCAAAATCTCCTTAAGCTGATAGGCAACTTCAGCAAGGTCTCAGGATACAAAATCAATGTGCAAAAATCACAAGCATTCTTATACACCAATAACAGACAAACAGAGAGCCAAATCATGAGTGAACTCCCATTCACAATTGCTTCAAAGAGAATAAAATACCTAGGAATCCAACTTACAAGGGATGTGAAGGACCTCTTCAAGGAGAACTAAAAACCACTGCTCAAGGAAATAAAAGAGGATACAAACAAATGGAAGAACATTCCATGCTCATGGGTAGGAAGAATCAATATCGTGAAAATGGCCATACTGCCCAAGGTAATTTATAGATTCAATGCCATCCCTATCAGGCTACCCATGACTTTCTTCACAGAACTGGAAAAAACTACTTTAAAGTTCATATGGATCCAAAAAAGAGCCTGCATTGCTAAGTCAATCCTAAGCAAAAAGAACAAAGCTGGAAGCATCACGCTACCTGACTTCAAACTACACTACAAGGCTACAGTAACCAAAACAGCACGGTACTGGTACCAAAACAGAGATATAGACCAATGGAACAGAACAGAGCCCTCAGAAATAATGCCACACATCTACAACTATCTGATCTTTGACAAACCTGACAAAAACAAGCAATGGGGAAAGGATTCCCTATTTAATAAGTGGTGCTGGGAAAACTGGCTAGCCATATGTAGAAAGCTGAAACTGGATCCCTTCCTCACACCTTATACAAAAATTAATTCAAGATGGATTAAAGACTTAAATGTTAGACCTAAAACCATAAAAACCCTAGAAGAAAACCTAGGCAATACCATTCAGGACATAGGCATGGGCAAGGACTTCATGTCTAAAACACCAAAAGCAATGGCAACAAAAGCCAAAATTGACAAATGGGATCTAATTAAACTGAAGAGCTTCTGCACAGCAAAAGAAACTACCGTCAGAGTGAACAGGCAACCTACAGAATGGGAGAAAATTTTTGCAATCTACTCATCTGACAAAGGGCTAATATCCAGAATCTACAAAGAACTCAAACCAATTTACAAGAAAAAAACAAACAACCCCATCAACAAGTGGGCGAAGGATATGAACAGACACTTCTCAAAAGAAGACATTTATGCAGCCAACAGACACATGAAAAAATGCTCATCACACTGGCCATCAGAGAAATGCAAATCAAAACCACAATGAGATACCATCTCACACCAGTTAGAATGGCAATCATTAAAAAGTCAGGAAACAACAGGTGCTGGAGAGGATGTGGAGAAATAGGAACACTTTTACACTGTTGATGGGACTGTAAACTAGTTCAACCATTGTGGAAGTCAGTGTGGTGATTCCTCAGGGATCTTGAACTAGAAATACCATTTGACCCAGCGATCCCATTACTGGGTATATACCCAAAGGATTATAAATCATGCTGCTATAAATACACATGCACACGTTATGTTTATTGCGGCACTATTCACAATAGCAAAGACTTGGAACCAACCCAAATGTCCAACAATGATAGACTGGATTAAGAAAATGTGGCACATATACACCATGGAATACTATGCAGCCATAAAAAATGATGAGTTCATGTCCTTTGTAGGGACATGGATGAAGCTGGAAACCATCATTCTCAGCAAACTATTGCAAGGACAAAAAACCAAACACCGCATGTTCTCACTCATAGGTGGGAACTGAACAATGAGAACACATGGACACAGGAAGGGGAACATCACATACCGGGGCCTGTTGTGGGGTGTGGGAAGTGGAGAGGGATAGCATTAGGAGATATACCTAATGTTAACTGATGAGTTAATGGGTGCAGCACACCAACATGGCACATGTATACATATGTAACAAACCTGCACGCTGTGCACATGTACCCTAAAACTTAAAATACAAAAAAAAAAGAAAAAAACTCCAGTGAATAAGGTTGATTCACTTCTAGGGTGGTCCTTCAAAACTTGGAAAAAGATAGCCAACGCTGTGAAGTGGAAATGCTGGAGCTACCCTGGCAGACAGTAGAGGAAGCACTCCGTAACACCATAGCAATTATATACTGTTATAAATAGCCTCAATTTTTCTGCAAATTACCCCTGGCTATTTAATTGAGTGACTATGTACTGGGGAAAGATATTTTAAGAAGTGGTCATTCAAATTCAGAAACCTAAAGCAGAATCATGACCCCTCTGTTAGAATGGGAGTCTACAGGGGAACAGAAAATAAGTACAGTCCTGGCTAAAGTCTGCTCACAGCATATTTGGTTCATGTAAGCACCCAGTGATCAACTCCAGTCTTCCTGAGTAAATAATTTGAATTTGTATACTTAACAATTGGAATAAGCTAGCAGAATAGGGAAGGTTATGCCCAGCCTCTTCTTGGATTTCAAATACACACCTATGATGGACTATTTAATATTGCTCCAGAGGTTCTATTTATGTTTTTTCAGTCTTTTTTCTTTGAGTCCCTGCTCATTTCTTTTCAGCTTTTTTCTCTTTGTGCACCAGTTGGATCATTTTCCATCTTCCTGTCTTCATGTTCATTGATCTTTCCATTGGCAATGTCCAATCTTCTAAGACCTATTAGTAAATTTTTCATTTGCATATTATGTTTTTTTCAGTTCTCAAATTTCAGTTTAATTCTGTTTATCACTCCTTACAGTCACCATTTTCTTTAAAACTCTAAGCATTTCATAATAACTGTTGTAAAGTCCCTGCCTGCTAATTCTGTAATTTTCTTTTCTCTGTGTCTGGTTCTGCTTTTTCCTGATTATAGGACATGTCTTCCTGCTTCTAGATATATCTATAGATAAATCAATACGTATAAACTTTATTTATTTATTGTATGTTGGACATACACTTGTCTGAATTTTGTTTTCTTCCTTTAAAGAGTTATTTTCTGACAGACAGTTAATTTCCCAGTGAATCAGCTCGAGTTTTTCAAAGCTTACCTTTAAGCTTTTTGGAGAAAAATTCTAAAGCAACACTTTGTCTAGGACCAACTAGGTCTGCTTCTGTGGCATGGCTTGTGGAGGATATTAAGTAAATGCTCAGAGTATTCAGTGAGGTTACTTCCCTTATGGCTGGTCAGAACTCCTGCATCTCCCAGCACTGTGCAACCTCTGGAATCTCTATTTTGCTCAGAGTTTCCCAGGTGCTGTTTCCTGCCAGGCTTCATGTTCTCTCATCCTATACTTCCACAAGTTAGTTACGTGGCCAAAGACTGAAGAGAACCATTACAGATATTTCTTAAGCTACATTTCATGTACCTCCTTCCTTCTGTGTACACCATGCTGCAAGTTCCAGCTACCTCTGCAGCCCTGAACTCTGATCTCTGCCTCCTCAGCTCTGAAAGCCACCATGCTCTGCTTGGGTTATATCTGGTCAAACTGTGGGCTGAAAAGTACCTTCAGGAAGATATGTGGGTTGATCATCCTGCTCATTTTGTGTTTGTCTTCTCTTAGGCATCACGGTCCTGCTTTGCCAATTTTCCACCATCTTAAAAAAAAAACTGCCTCATGTATTTTGTCCAGTCATGTAGTTCCTTACATTTGGGGAGCTAGTCCAGTACCAGTTGGAGAGCTAATTCTATACTATTTACAATGACATAGCCCAAAGCAGAAATTCCCCAAAAGTCCTCCAAAAGAATAATATTTTATTCCATTAATAATTAAAACAGAGCTTTTTATTTTCTATATTTTCATAGCAGTATTTATAAACGTCATTAATTTGGATATCACATTATACCTCATTGATGATAGCAATAGAAATTAAGTATTAAAGTGCAGTTGCATTATATATACATTTAATGTGTATTAATATGACACTCAGAAAAAGTAACAAAAATAAAAATTTAGGTAGTATGTACAGTTCTATCCTCCTTTCTGATTAGCTTAGTGTGTGTTTATATATATATATAATACATATATATGTAATATATATATACATATATGTAATATATATATACACATATATGTAACATATATATACACATATGTCATATATATATACATATGTATGTAATATATATACACTTTGCTGCATACTATAATCTCCATAAACATTACATATTCATAAATACATACAACACACAGATATAGAATTGTATACACAAAACTATATATACTGTAATCTGTGGATGGTTGAAGAATTTTAAAGAAAATATTGATGGCAAAATTTCCCTTTTTTTACTAACTTTGGAATTTAACTCATTCATGAGATATGGCTTGACTATCTTCTGTTAAAAGAATTAACAACACATAGAATTTCACTGGAATATAACAAGGAAACAACATCTAGAAAAACTCTGTTTAATCTATTTTAAAGGGTGTGTCTATTTTATAAAGTCCATAAGTACTTCATAATTCATCTGTTTGCAAGTTCTAATATTAGCTATAGATAATTCTGAAAATAAGCACGTTCATAATAAGATACTTGTGTTAAATGGGAAATACTGGCCAGGCTTGGTCACTCATGCCTGTAATTCCAACACTTTGGGAGGCCGATCTGAGAGGATCACTGGTGCCCAGGAGTTCAAAACCAACCTGATCAACAAAGTGAGACCCCCATCACTACAAAAAAATTAAAACAAAAAAATTTAGCTGGGTATGGTGGCATGCACCTGTAGACCCAGCTACTCAGAAGGCTGAGGCGGAAGGACTGCTTGAACCCAGGAGTTGGGGCTACAGGATGCCTTAATCTCACCACTGCATTCTAAAATGGGCGACAGAATGAGAGTCTGACTCTAAAAAGCAAAACAAAACAACAAACAAAGAAATACTGTAAAATTTATTATCAAACTAGTTGAAAAATTTACAGAAAAATAAGGTAAACATTTAATGGTTTACAATGAAAGGAAATATGGATACACTATTAATGTATTTGGGTAAAATGTGACATAAGAGATTTCAGACCCCAACTTTGCCTGGCATCAAAACACTCTGTCCTATAGCTGATTTATTATGCAATCGCGCAGCTATCGGGCAAAGTATTCACTGTGTTTGACTGATTAACTTGATACCCAGTTTTGTGACTTGATGGCATCATTGAAGTTTTGTTTTAGGTCTTTATAAAATGAGCTTTAGTGATTCATCCAGATTGTTAAATGGAGATGTTTTTCTTAATGATTAAATGAAGAAATAAAGGCTATCTGAGTATACACCAAGTGTAGCTGTATTACAAAGTAATGTGTGCTTCTTTACCAGGGTGCCTGAAATAATGAAATACGAAAAAAACATGTAATCTAAAATGATGAATTTTATGTGAAAAGTATTCTTTAAACATATTAGGAATTTGAACAAGTATGGTATATTTTTAAATATAAATGGTTAGGGGCTATTGTATTGGACAGTACAGATACAGAGTATTTATATCATCACAAAAAGTTCTGTTGGATAGCACTGCCTTAGAGCAAGCAAAATATAATTTTATTTAAGGATTGTAAATTTATTTTCTTGTTTTTGTAGGGGAGGAAGGTAAAGAAGGAGAGAAAGTAAATCTCAATAATGCCTTCAAAATAATTTCTAAAAGACTTACAAATTCATAGTCATTTAGAGATATGTCCCCTATCCCTGCAATACCACAGCTGCACTTTACTCTCTATGTACACAATTTGATGAACGTAACATGTTTTTTCATGTCTTGGTGCATTTGCAGAGGATGTACTATCTGCAAAGAGCACTGTGCGGACCCCACTTCCTCACTGTCTACTCTTACTCATACTTGAGAATTTAATTCCTGTGGAAATAAATCCTTGAGCCCTCTCACACTCCAGTCGTATTGGGATGATGGCCCTCTTGGGTGGCATAGCAACAATGCAGTGTATTTCAGTATATTTCTGCTTAACTCCTCCCACTTCACACACACAAGTATTTTCTGAGACCCTTGACAGCAAGGGTCGCAACTTACTCATCTTATGCTCAATAACCGTGGAATTAATAACTTTGTCTAAAACTTTGTCATAATCAAATTACTTAACATGTATTAAATAACTCTTTAATAAATATGCCAACAAGTATAAGCTTACCCTTTGAGGTCATTAATTAATTTGTTTTTTTCCTGGACTATTCGCTTATGATGCATTCGATGAAAATCACGTTCTTTCTGAATTTTCAGCAAATCTTCTCTAGCTTTGCTGAAAAAAAAATAGTAACTTTATAAATCACTGCTAATTCTTTTTCGAAAAATTATTTAGTCTTGAGTTCAAATCCAGTATTGTGCCATTCAAAAGATAATAGGAAAACAAATATTTTGCTATAATTCTCATCGAAGATTCTCATCAAACATAATTTGTATAAGGTCATATTAGGTATGGGGGTGAAGGATGAAAGGGCAAAACCTGTAGTTCCAAAAATATGATTCATCTACATTTCATCTAAGTAAATGAAAATTAAAGGTATGCTGCCAGAACATGTCCAAAGTATAAACCATCTATTTCCAAAGAGAACCTTTTTGGCTTGGAAAATTGAAATATATGAAACATGACAATTCAAAATTATTAAAAATAAAGACTTTATGGAATTTAACTCTGAACTTCCTAGAATGTAAAGTTAAAGAGAATATACTAGATTATTCAGTTCTGATAATTGGGAAAAGAAAGCATATAAATTCTAGAAAACCAAGATTTCATGGTATAAAATAAATATATATCATCAGTGGATCTGATTACTACATAATTCATAGCTTGATGAGAATGGTCTTCAATATCAGTGCTGTAATACAGAAAAATTTTTCAACTTGATATATCTTCTGCAAACCTCTGGCATAAAGCAAGCTAAAGGATTCTTTCTAATCCCAGGTTCTATGTGAACATTTAATGAGAATGTTTCACTTACCTCCATAATATATTAGTTTCAATACAATAATGTGAAATATAATTTATAATGAAAAAGTAGTTCTCAGCCTCAGATAACTGACAAAGTGCTACAGCATTGACACTGTCACATTTCCATTCTGAAAAATGGACTGATACCTCATATTAGGATTGAAACAGAAGAAATCTACTTCTCTGGGTCACAATTATTTCAAAATTTTGATTCACATAAAATAAATGCACACGAACAGATTTCTGCTTTAAGCGGTGTCAGAAGTCAATCACTGAGGATCAGCGTATGGGATGCTACCAAAGATGTTTATGAGATAAAGTAAGGCTCTCAATGAAGCATATGTTGATTAACGACTTCTTGATGAAGATCAAATTACATGAGGCATATGGTGCAAGGTCTCTGATCCATTCTTCCAAGTTTCTTTCTTCTTTTCTTTTTTTTTTTTTTAAGTTCTGGGGCACAGGTGCAAGTTGTGAAGGTTTGTTACATAGGTAAACATGTGCCACGGTGGTTTACTGCACCTATCAACCCATCACCTAGCTATTAAGCGCAGCATACGTTCGCTATTTTTCCTAATGCTCCACCTCCCCCAACCACATACTCCACCCCCTGACAGGCGCCAGTGTGTGTGGTTCCCTTTCCTGTGTCCATGTGTTTTGATTGTTCAGCTCCCACTTATAAGTGAGAACATGCAGTGTTTGGTTTTCTGTTACTGCATTAGTTTGCTGAGGATAATGGCTTCCAACTCCATCCATGTCGCTACAAAGGACATGGTCCCATTCCTTTTTATGGCTGCATAGTATTTCATGGTGTATATGTGCCACATTTTCTTTATCCAGTCTATCATTGATGGGCATCTGGGTTGATTCCATGTCTTTGTGATCGTAAATAGTGCTGCAATGAACATACACATGCATGTGTCTTTGTAACAGAATGATTTATATTCCTTTGGGTATATACCCAGTAATGGGATTAAGTCTATGTGTGTCTTTGCATGTGAGATAGGTCTCTTGAATACAGCACACCAATGAATCTTGCCTCTATCCAGCTTGCCACTCTGCATCTTTTAATTGGGGCATTTAGTCCATTTACATTTAAGGTTAATATTTTATGTATCAATTTGATCCTGTCACTATGATGCTAGCTGGTTATTTTGTAGACTTGTTTGCGTAGTTGCCTCATATTGTCACTGGTCTGTGTACTTCAGTGTGTTTTTGTAGTGGCTGGTAATGGTTTTTCCCTTCCATATTTAGTGCTTCCTTCAGGAGTGCTTGCAAGGCAGGCCTGGTGGTGATGAATTCCCTCAGCATTTGCTTGTCTGAAAAAGATTTTATTTCTCCTTCACTTATGAAGCTGAGTTTGACCAGATATGAAACTCTAGGTTGGAAATTCTTTTAAGAGTGTCGAATATTGGCCCCCACTATCTTCTGGCTTGTAGGGTTTCTGCAGAGATCCACTGTTAGTCTGATGGGCTTCCCTTTATAGGTGACCTGGACTTTCTCTCTGGCTGCCCTTAACATTTTTTCCTTTATTTCAGCCCTGGAGAATCTGATGATTATGTGTCTTTTGCTTGATCTTCTCATGTAGTATCTTACTAGGGTTGTCTGGGTTTCCTGAATTTGAACACTGGCCTGTCTTGCTAGGTTGAGGAAATTCTGGATGATATCCTGAAGTGTGTTTTCCAACTTGGTTCCATTCTCTCCGTCTCTTTCAGATACTCCTATCAGTCATAGGTTTGGTTTTTTAACATAATCACACAGTTCTCAGAGGTTTTTTTCATTCCTTTTCATTCTTTTTTTCTCTCCTCTTGTCTGCCTGTCTTATTTCAGCAAGATAGTCTTCAAGCTCTGATACCCTTTCTTCTGCTTCGTCTCTTTGGCTATTGATGCTTGTTATTGCACTGTGAAGTTCTCGTGTTGTGTTTCTCAGCTTGATCAGGTAATTTATATTCCTCTCTATACTAGTTATGTTGGTAAACAGCTCCTGTAATGTTTTATCATGGTTCTTAGCTTCTTTGCAATGAGTTAGAACATAATTCTTTAGCTCAGTGAAGTTCATTATTACCCATCTTCTGAAGCCTACTTCTGTCAATTCATCCATCTCAGCCTCAGCCCAGTTCTGTGCCTTTGCTGGAGACATGTTGCAATCATTTGGAGGAGAAGAGGCACTCTGGCTTTTTGAGTTTTCAGGATTTTTGTGTTGATTCTTTCTCATCGTCATGAGTTTATCTACCTTTGATCTTTGAGGTTGCTGACCTTTGGATGGGTTTTTGTGGGGTCCTTTTCATTGATGTTGTTGTTGTTTTCTGTTTTTCTTTTAGCAGTCAGGCCCCCTCTTCTACAGGGATGTTGCAGTTTGCTGGAGGTCCACTCTAGACCCTATTTGCCTGGGTCCCTCCCACCCCTGGAGGTATCACCAGCAGAGGCTACAGACCAGCACAGATGGAAGCCAGCTCCTTCCTCTGGAAGCTGTGTCCCAGAGGGGCACCAACCTGATGCCAGTTGGAATTCTCCCATATGAGTTATCTGTGGACTCCTGTTGGGAGGTCTCACCTAGTCAGCAGGAGTGGGATCAGGCACCTGCTTAAATAAGCAGTCTGGCTGCCCCTTGGTGGAGCGGGTGTGCTGCACCCTCATCTGGGCTCCCCTGACTCTCCAGAGCCAGCAGGCAGAAAAGACAAAGACCACTGATCCATGATACCGTAGCTGCCCCTCCTAGTGGCTCCTCTCAGGGATATCAAAGTTCTGTTCATAAACTCCTGTCTAGGGATGCTGAAATTCCCACAGAGAGGCCTCACCCAGTGAGAAAAAATGGATCAGTGTTCTACTTAAGGAAGCAGTCTAGCCATGAACTGACACAGCTGCTGTGCTGCGCTGTGGGGAATTGCTCCTAGTCCAGACCACCCAGTCTCACTGGCACCTACAGCAGGGGACAATGGCCAACTGGAGCCGCAGTGATGGTGGCCAACCCTCCTGCCCTCGGAATTAAGTCTTCCTAGGCAGTCTCTGACCTGCTGCGTTGGCTGGCAGGGATTCCAAGCCAGTGTGTTTTAGCTTGTGGGGTTCTGTGGAAGTGAGGCCACTTGGCCCCCTGGCTTCAGCCCCCTTCCCACAGGAGTGGACAGATATCCTGCCTCATGGGAGTTCCCAGAGCTGGAGTATGCAAATACTGTGTCTTGGTGCCTGCTGAAATGGCCAGCCACCCAAGCAGCTGCCATGTCTTTACAGTTCTGTGCTTGGGACCCAAGGCCCTGGTGGCGTGGGCTCGCAAGGGGAACTCCTGATCCGCAGGTTGCAAGGATCCATGACAAAAGCAAGGTTTTCAGGGAGGGGTAGCACAATCCCTCACCGCCTCCTTTGGCTGGGGGAGAAAGCTTCCTTTGCCCACACAGCTCTTGGGTGGGCCCTCGATGCTCTTCTTTGCTCTCCCTGGGTTGCGCCAACCACCTAGTCAGTCCCAATGAGAAAAGCTTGGTACCTCAACTGAAGATTCAGAATTCACTGGCTGTTTTCATCCTTCTTGGTGGGAGCCACAGAGTGGAGCTGTTTCTATTTGGTAAACTTGGCTACTCTCACCCCCTAAGTTTCTTTCTCCCCACCTCCCAGCACACCCTATTTTTTTAAAAATGACCTCTACTGTTATTTTACTGCCAATTTTGTAGTTTTCATTACACGTAAATAAACAATGTTCAGGTGACTCACAATACTCATGGTGAACTTTCTCCACCTAAACCTCAACCTCATTTTCATGCCAACAATCTTATACGTGCAAGAAATTATTGATTCGAACATTCAGTCTTGAAAAATCATCTGAGGAATATATGAATGATTAGATAAACAATTTATTCTTTTCTGATTTTAACCCATTTGCGTATATCAAGAATATAATTTGACAAATAACATAAGCTGACAACATAAATTGAGAAATAATATAGATACTGATATTGAATGAAGTGCTTTTTATCTTTTCTAATTTGTTATTGTATTGCTTCTGGTCAAGATGTCTCTGTTGTAAAAACAAAAATTAATGGTTATTTTCCTTTAAATATATATAGTGTATTTTTTAGTGTAACAGTTACATATACTCACTTTAACAAAAAAGATAGTGCAATTTAGGACAGTTTTGCATTTCAACAACAATAAAGCCTGTATTTAAAATAGGAATACATGTCCATCTTCCAATTTTTAGATTGTAGATAGGGATGTAATTTTCTCAAGTTCATTATGAGATTCTTTGGGAACAGTTCATTATGTTTGTGACAACCTTTTTGAATTGTCTTGTTATTTGCATGCTTTCATCTCTTCCAAAATATTACAAACTTCTAGTTTTAACCATTTATCTATATTGCTAAATGAAAATATAATTTTTAATTATTACTTTTTAAAATTTTTGTGGGTACATAGTAGATGTATATATTCATGGAGTATATGAGATATTTTGAAACAGGCATGCATGTGTAATAATCATGGAAAATAGAGCATCCATCCCCTCAAGCATTTATCCTGTTACAAAAAATCGAATTTTACTTTCGGTTATTTTTAAATGTACAATTAAGTTATGACTACAGTGACCCTATTGTGCTAACAAATACTAGGTCTTATTCATTCTAATTTTTTCTGTACCCATTAACCATCCCTGGCTCACCCACACACACACACTACCCTTCCCAGTCTCTGGCAACCATCCTTCTACTCTCTATCTCCATTAGTTCAATTGTTTTGATTTCTAGATTCCACAGATAAATGAGAACATGTGAAATTTGTCTTTCCATGCCTGGGTTATTTCACTTAACATAACGACCTTCAGTTCCACCATGTTGCAAATGACAGAATCTCATTCATTTTTACGGTTGAACAGTTCTCCATTACATATATGTACTACATTTCCTTTATCCATTCATCTGCTGATAGACACTTAGGTTGCTTTCAAATCCTGGCTATTGTGAACAGTGCTGCAACAAACATGGGAGTGCAGATATCTCTTTGATATACTGATTTCCTTTCTTTTGGGTATATACACCCAGCAGTAAGATTGCTGGATCATATGGTAGATCTATTTTTAGATTTTTGAGGAACTGCGAACTGTTCTTCACAGTGGTTGTACTAATTTACAATCCCACCAACAGCGTACAAGGGTTCCCTTTTCTCCATATCCTCGCCAGCATTATTACCTGTCTTTTGGATAAAAGCCATTTTAACTGGGGTGAGATGACAGCTCATCATAGTTTTGACTGATATTTGCCTGATGATCAATGATGTTGAACACCTTCTCATATACCTGTTTGCCATTTGTATGTCTTTAGAGAAAAGTCTGTTCAAATTTTTTGTCCATTTTTTTAATTGGAGTATTAGACTTTTTTCCTATAGAGTTTCTTATATATTCTGGTTATTAATCTTATCAGATGAGTCGTTTGCAAATATTTTCTCCCATTCTATGGGTTTGTCTCTTCACTTTGTTGATTATTCCCTTTTCTATGCAGAAGCTTTTTAACTTGATGTGATGCCATTTGTCCATTATTTTCTTTGGATGCCTGTGCTTGTAGGGTATTACTCAAGAAATTTCTGCCTAGACCAATGTCATTGAGAGTTTCTTTTAGTTTTCTCTTAGGAATTTCATTTTGATTTGATTTTTGCACATGATGAGACATAGTATTCCAGTTTGATTCTTCTTCATATAGATATCCAGTTTTCCCAGCACCATTTATTGAAGAGACTGCCTTTTCCACAGTGTATGTTCTTGGCACTTATGTCAAAAATGTGTTCACTGTAGGTATGTGGTTTTGTTTCTGGTTCTCTATTCTGTTCCATTGGTCTATGTGTTTGGTTTTATGTCAGTACCATGTTGTTTTGGTTACTATATTTCTGTAGTATAATTTGAAGTCAGGTAATGTGATTCCTCCGGTTTTGTTCTCTTTGCTTAGGATAGCTTTGCCTATTCTGGATCTTTTGTGATTCTACATAAATTTTAGGATTGTATTTTCTATTTCTGTGAAGAATCTCATGGGTATTTTGATAGGGGTCACACTGAATTTGTAGGTTGCTTAGGGTAGTATGGACATTTTAACAATATTGATTCTTAGAACCCATAAACATGTAATGTCTTTCCATGTTGCTGTGTCCTCTTCAATTTCTTTCATCAGTGTTTTATAGTTTTCATTGTAGAGATATTTCATTTATTTGCTTGTTACTTCCTATCTAATTTTATCCATGGCTATTGTAAGTTGGATTACTTTCTAATTTCTTTTTCAGATTATTCACTGTTAGTATACAGAAATGCTACTGATTTTTGTATGTTGATGTTGTACCTTGAAACCTTGCTGAATTTATCAGTTCTCATCATTTTTTTGGTGGATACTTTAGGTTTTTCCAAATATAAGATCATATCATCTGCAAACAAGGATAATTTGACTTTTTCCTTTCCAATTATATGCCATTTATTTCCTTCTCTTGTCTGATTGCTTGGACTTCCACTACTACATTGAATAATAGTGGTGACAATGGGCATCCTTTTCATGTTTCAGATCTTAGAGGAAAGGATTTTAAGTTTTCCCTATTCAGTATGACACGGTGGCATGACAAATATAGTGTTTATTGTGTTCAGGTATGTTCCTTCCATACCAAATTTTTTGAGAGTTTTTATCATAAAGGGATGTTGAATTGTATTAAATTTTTCTCAGCATGAATTGAAATGAACATATGGTTTTTGTTGTTCATTCTTTTGATGTAATGTATCACACTGATTAACTTGCATATGTTGAATCATCCTTGCATCCCTGGAATAATTCCCACTTGGTCATGATGAATTATCTTTTTAATATATTGTTGAATTCCGCTGGCTGGTATTTTTGTTGATTTTTGAATCAACATCAGAGATACTGGCCTGTGGTTTTATTTTTAGATGTGTCTTTGGTTTGGGTATCAGGGTAATATGGGTCTTGTAAATGAGTTTGGAAAAGATTCCCTCTTCCTGTATTTTTCGGAATTGTTTGAGTAACACTGGTGTTAGTTCTTTAAATGCTTGGCACGATTAAGCAGTGAAGCCATCAGGTCCTGTTATTTTCTTTACTGGGAGACTTCATATTACAGCTTCAATCTTGTTTATTGTTATTGGTCTATTCATATTTTGTATTTCTTCATGGTTTAATTCTGGTAGCTTGTATCTAACTAGGAATTTATCCATTTCCCCTAGATTTTCCAATTTATTGGCATGTAGTTGGTCATAGTAGCTACTGATGATCCTTTGAAATTCTGCAATCCCAGTTGTAATGTTTCCTTTTCCATCTGATTTTACTTATTTGGGTCTTTTCCTTTTTTGTGCTTTAATCTGCCTAAGGACTTGTTGATTTTGTTTATCTTTTCAAAAGAATAACATTTTTTGTTTCCTTGACTTTTGTATTGCTTTCTTCATTTCAAATTCATTTATTTCTATTCTGTTCCTTTTTATTTATTTTTTATACTAATCTTGGGTTAGGTTTGCTCTTGCTTTGCTAGCTTTTTAAGATGAATCATTAGGTAATTTATTTGAAGTTTTTCTTCTTTTTTGAAGAAAAAGGCACTTATGTAAGTGCCTATAAATTCCCCTCTTAGTACTGCTTTCACTGTATCCCATAGATTATGGTATGTTGTGTTTCCACTATCATTTGTTCCAAGAAATTTTTCAGTTTTCTTCTTAATTCCTTCACTGATCCACTGGTCATTCAGGAGCATACTGTTAAATTTCTACATGTTCATATGGTTTCCAAAATTCCTCTTCTTGTTGATTTATAGTTTTATTCCATCGTGGTCAGAGAAGATGTTTGATATTATTTCAATTTTTGAATGTTTTAAAACTTGTTCTGTAACCTAACATATAGTCTATCATTGAGAATGGAAATATCTATCAAGTCCATTTGTTCTATGGTGCAGATTAAGTCTGATGTTTGTTGATTTTCTGTCTGGAATACCTGTCCAATACTGAAAATGGGATGTTGAAGACTCCAGCTATTACTGTATTGCGATCTCTCCCTCTCTTTAGCTCTAATAATATTTGCTTTATATATCTGGGTGCTCCAGTGTTGGGTGCATATATATTTACAATTGTTATATCCTCTTGCTGAACTGACTGCTCTATCATTAAATAATGACATTCTTATGACGGTAAATCCTGCCAAGATCAGGTTCTTCCCTTCAAGGCAGTGGGGTCCCTTTTAGCCCAGAAAGTGTCTAGAAATGTTATGTGGGAGCTCAGGCCTGGAATGGGGGCCTCAGGACCCAGGCATGCTGCAGAAAAGGCACAAACCAGTGCCTACTTCTGAGGCCCCTGGGGAAAGGGCAACACACAGGCACAGGCAAAGATACTTTGCAGGTGAAGGAAAAGTAAAAGAAAAACTCTCTACCCCTGATAGATGGAGAGGTGTATTAGTCCATTTTCACACTGTGCATAGACATACTTGAGACTGGGAAGAAAAAGAGGTTTAATGGACTTAACAGTTCCACATGGCAGGGGAGGCCTCACAATCATGGAGGAAGGCAAGGAGGAGCAAACACATCTTACATGGATGGCAGCAGGCAAAAAAAAGTGAGCTTGTGCAGGTAAACTCCCCTTTTTAAAACCATCAAATCTCATGAGGATTATTTGCTGTCACAAGAACAGCACGAGAAAGACCTGCCCCCATGATTCAATTACCTCCCACTGGGTCCCTCCCACAACACATGGGAATTCAAGATGAGATTTGGGTGGGCCAACCATATTGCACACCTGGCCCCTCTCAAATCTCATGTTTTACATTGCAAAACACAATAATGCCTTCCCAACAGTCCCCCAAAATCTTAACTCTTTTCAGCATTAACTCAAAAGTCCACAGTCCAAAGTCTTATCTGAGACAAAGCAAGTCCCTTCCACCTATGAGCCTGTAAAATCAAAAGCAAGTTAGTTACTTCCTAGATACAACGGGGCTACAGGCATTGGGTAAATACAGCCATTCCAAATGGGAGAAATTGGCCCAAACAAAGGGACTACAAGCCCCATGCAAGTGCAAAATCCAGCAGGGTAGTCAAATCTTAAAGCTCCAAAATGATCTCCTTTGACTCCATGTCTCACATCCAGGTCACGCTGATACAAGAGGTAGGCTCCTGTGGTCTTGGGAAGCTCCACCCCTGTGGCTTTACAAGGTACACCCTCCCTCCTGGGTGCTTTCATGGGCTGGTGTTTAGTGTCTGTGGCTTTTCCAGGTGCACAGTGCAAGCTGTCGGTGGATCCATCATTCTGGGGTATAACGGATAGTGGCCCTCTTCTCACAGCTCCACTAGGCAATGCTCCAGTAGGGACTCTGTGTGGGGGCTCCCACCCCATATTTCCCTTCCGCACTGCCTTAGCAGAGGTTCTCCATGAGAGCCCCACCCCTGCCGCAAACTTCTGCCTGGGCATCCAGGCGTTTCCATACATCTTTTAAAATCTAGGCAGAGGCCACACACCTCAATTCTTGACTTCCATGCACCTGCAGGCTCAACATCACATGGAAGCTGCCAAGGCTTTGGGTTTCGATCCTCTGAAGCAACAGCCTGAGCTGTACCTTGGCCCCTTTTAGTCATGGCTGGAGTAGCTGAGATGCAAGGCACCAAGTCCCTAGAATGCACACAGCAGAGGGACCCTAGGCCCAGCCCATAGAACTATTTTTTCCTCCTAAGCCTCTGGGCTTGTGATGGCAGGGGTTGTCGCAAAGGTCTCTGACATGCCCTGGAGACATTTTCCCCATTGTCTTGGTGATTAACATTCAGCTCCTCATTACTTATGCAAATTTCTGCAGCTGGCTTGAATTTCTCCCCAGAAAATGGGATTTCCTTCTCTACCACATCATCAAGCTGCAAATTTTCCAAACTTTTATGCTCTGTTTCCCTTTTGAAACTGAATGCCTTTAACAGCACCCAAGTCACCTCTTGAACGCTTTGATGCTTAGCAATTTCTTCCACCAGATAATAACCTAAATCATCTCTCTCAAGTGCAAAGTTCCACAAATCTCTAGGACAGGGGCAAAATATCACCAGTCTCTTTGCTAAAACATAACAAGAGTCACCTTTGCTCCAGTTCCCAACAAGTTCCTCATCTCCATCTGAGATCATCTCAGCCTGGATTTCTTTGTCCATATCATTATCAGCACTTTGGGCAACGCCATTCAACAAGTCTCTAGGGAGGTCCAAACTTTCCCAAATTTTCCTGTCTGCTTCTGAGCCCTCCAAACTGTTCCAACCTCTGCCTGTTACCCAGTTCTAAAGTCACTTTCACATTTTCTGGTATCTTTTCAGCAATGCCCACTATACTGGTACCAATTTACTGTATTAATCCATTTTCACACTGCTGATAAAGACATACCTGAGACTGGGAAGAAAAAGAGGTTTAATGGACTTACAGTTCCACTTGGCTGGGGAGGCCTCACTATCATGGTGCAAGACAAAAAGAGCAAGCCACATCTTACATGGATGGTGGCAGGCAAAAAAAAGGAGAGCTTGTGCAGGGAAACTCCCCTTTCTAAAACCATCAGATCTCGTGAGACTTATTATTCCCTATCAGGAGAACAGCATTGGAAAGACCTGCCCCCATGATTCAATTACCTCCCACCAGGTCCCTCCCTCAACACGTGGGAATTCAAGATGAGATTTGGGTGGGGACACAGCCAAACCAATCAACAGGTAACCATCTTAGGCCTTAATATTCCATCACAGCAAGTAGAAGTATCCTACTCCTGAGGTAGCAGTATGAAACTCCTACAAAGACCAACTACAGATAGAAGGCAGAGTTTGGCCATAACACAGAGGATGGACAAAGAGACAGGAAAAGTCCTCATTCCTAAGGCTCAGGTACACAAGACCTCCCTAGTGAATATGGACTAAAAAGAGAGAAACTCTCTGCCATCTCCCTGAGATGGCAGACTGTTTGGCATCATCCTTACTGAGTACTAAGTGAAGAGGAGGAGAGAATTTAAGTAAAGTGAATGGAAAATAAGTAAATGATTGAGTTGATACTTTATTGTGAAAGCACAAGAACCTCACTTGAATTCTCATTTAGAAAATGATTCCATTTTCAATTAGAAGTATAGAGAAAGGCTGTGTGTAGAAGAGATAAATTGTTTTGAAAAAGGATCAATGAATCTCTTCAAATAATTTGCAAAAAGAATAATGAATAAGATCTTAGAACATTCATTTTAACCCTGTATTTTTAAAAAAAAGTTGTACAGAATATCCTGAGCGGGCTATCAAAACAAGTTAGCTCTAAAGCATGTCAAGTTGAATGAGTTTATCTAAAAAATAATACTATATTTGTTTTAGAACCATAGATAAAAATCCAGTATTATGTCTTTATAATCAGCTAACAGATATGGTTACTTCATTGGAGTAATGCTAATATGATAATAATATCATATTCAATATAGGAAATTCTTCATTGCAATGTGACCTTGTCAAGCTATATAACCTCTGTAAATATCAAATTTAGCACCTCCAAAATGGACATATAATGAGCTTCAAAGCGTATTCAATTAAATATTTTAGTAAAGTGGCTTACATAGTCTTGCACATAGCAAATACTAAATTACTCAATAAATGTTTCTGTACTCATAATCATCATCATCATTTCATAATACTGCTATTCAGTATAGTAAAACAGACACACACAATTCTTCTAAGCGCTAAATTTATCTTCCTACAATAAGGAGTGTGCCAGTAAGTAAATATCTTCTAATCAACCAAAAATATTAGGATATGTGAATATTAGTAACACTGTGTATCTTTTAAAAAATGAATTTAAAATTTTGTGAACGTCTATTTTGAGTATACTAAATTGTCTTAATTTCAGTCACTTGAATTACATAAATGAGCTTATTTTTATCTTATGTGAAATGTAAACCCACAACATGTTAAAAATACTTTAAGAAATAACGCTGCAAAATTTCTTAAGCAGAACCATAAATGTGCAGCATTGCATCAATTCACTTTTTAAATATACATTAGAAGCCTATTTGTGCTCGTCCCAGGAAACAAAGCATAGGAATTGACTGAAGTATTAGACCTTAAAGTTTTTCTGACCATTAAATTGGTTTTCAGGGACTTTCTTTCTGTTTGCACAATGAAGTCTATTCAGTAGAACAATTTAAATTCATTTCATGGTGGTGCTTCTCCTATTATGACCTTCCTGCTGCCCATCTGCTTAATAAATGGAAAATAAAAGTTGTACTAAAGAATAAAGTTTAAAATATTCATATAAGCAGCTAATATTTTAAACTATATAATATTTCCTCATCACATTAGTAGAGCATCTTTGTGTTAAAAAAAAAAAAACACAGCAAACAGACATTGTTTCAAGTACAACGCTGTTAAGAGTTACTCAGTGGAACATTCTATTTAAATGTGTACATCATAAAGAAAACAATTTGCACATGCTTTGTCTTAATAAAATGGTACAATGATTATTTAACTTCTCCATTTCAGGAAACCAGCATATCAAAGTCTACAATTCAATTATGCAATATTAAGGTACAGATATTCTTATCGAACTATAAAATTATTGCCCCAAAACTCCATTTTCAATATGATATGAATATTATTTAATAGTATGCTCAAAAATATTTTGAAGTGAATATCCATGGTAAAATAATTTTATTAACTGAACAGTTTTAAGTATTTTTGAATGATCATTTAATAATGAGTTTATTGGATTATCTTGTTATAATTTGGCAAAGTAAAGCATATAAACATTTTCTTGTTTACCTGCATCGAAGTAGGCTATCTTTGTCATATATTTTTCTCACATGAAAAAATTGAATCAAAGTAATTTCTGATAATAGTAGTTACATAATTAGCAAATATTCCATTATCTTCAATTGGTTATAAATGAATTTATTTAACCCACTAAATTTTATATTGGAATAACTGTTGGATGGCCAAAATGGAATTCAACCAGATTAGAGAAAAACTTTCATTATATCCTAACCAAAAAAGAAAGGGGTATATTCACGTCCAGAAAAAAATACCTTCTTAATTTAACAAGCAATTACCTAAACACTAAAGCATGAAATTTTATAAGCCTCATTATTATCTTTATTTTCACAGTGTTTGTTTCTGAAAGTCATAAAACTAAATGGGTCTTCACAAAAGCTGGGCACTCTTTGACCTTTTATAGAAGTAAATTTTGAAAGTGAAATAAAGGCCCCTTAGTAAACCACCTTAATTTTTCCTCAATATTAATTGCCATGTAATTATGGTTTTCTTTATGCCTATACTCTCTGGCAGATTGTAAAATAAAGTATGTCATTATTTTTTAAATGGCAGTTTTTCATCTTCCTGTTAGTAATCCCAATCAGTATTATTTTCTTCAGGGCTCTCAACAAAGCCTTTCTGGTCTGCATTATATTTCCTTACTGTAAAAGCCTGGCAAAGGAAGACAATACTCAAAATACGGCAAGACTGGTTACATTCCCAAGAAAATAATGCCTACCCCAAATAAATGCCATGAAAGGGGCAAAAATCACCAATTAACTGCTCTAAAAATTATTAAAAGCTTAACTAAAGAGCCAAAAGTTTAATAGCACACAATCACTTAAGCTCCTTCTATGTACCAGGCACAGAGATAGGCCCCGTGGGTATAGTGAACACAAAACATAGTCTCTATTATATGGAACTGAAAATGCAACAACAAAATATAAACATTAGATAATTCAATATGAAGGGCATAAATTTCAAGCTCCTTCATAAATATAAAGTATTAAATTAAATATAACTTAAATGGAGAGATATGCTATGTAAATAGGACTAAAACTTGTGACAGTATCAATCCTTCCCCCCTCAAAAAATAGATATGCACACACACACACACACACACACATATTTTTCCAAAATCAAGTTATATTTTCAACTTAATCCCCATCCTATGTCACACCTACATCACCCGTGTCTGTGGAAATTGGCAAACTTATTCTAAAGGGTCAACTGATTTTCAATAAAAGTGCCAAAGAAATTAAATGAGACTTAAAGATAATTTTCTCAAGAAATGGTGCCAGAACAATTATGTATTCCTATAGTAAAGAAAATTAACTTCTAGCTTCTACCTCACACAATGCACAAAACTTAAGAACAGATCCTATGTTGAAATAAAAATCTATATTTTAAGCGTTTTAGAAGAAAACACAGAATATCTCTGTGACCTATAGTAGAAAATGATATATTCAACAAAATGTCAAAATAAATACCATAAAAAAGATAAGATATGCTTCATTAAAATTTATAGTGTCTGCTCAACAAAGACACCATTCATAAATTAAAGACACAAGCCACAGACTGGGAGAAAATATTCACAATATTCTAACAAAGCACTTATATCCAGAATATACAAACAACTCTTACAATTCAATTATAAGATCAGCAAGCAAAAAACATAAACATACAGAAAGCAGGATAAATGCTTTGTAGAATGCTTTTTAGAATGGTCAAAAAGCAAAAAAAATTATGTTTAATATCATTTGTATACAGAAAATGCATATCAAAAATACAAGATGCCACAACACAACAGTTAAAATGGCTACAACTGAAAAGACTAACAACACTCAATGTTAGTAGCTGTTTGGAGCAACTGGAATTCGCATGTATTCCTACTGAGAAAGCAAAATGGACCAACTTGAATGTGGGAATATGTACGAGCAGTTCATACAGAGTTAAACATCCATCTATCCCCTTGATCCAGAAATTCCACTAAGTTTTTATAAGAAATGAAAACATATTCCCACCAAATATTTGTACCTCAATGTTCACAGCAGTTTTATCTTTAATAACCAACTGTTGGAAATAACTAAATGGAAAAAGGATAAAAAAGTTGTAGTATACATTATACAACAGAATACTACTTAGCAATAAAGAGGAACAAATTACTGATACAGGCAAAAATAATACATTGTACAGACTTTATGCTGAGTATAAGATGCCAAACACAATAATATACTGTGATTCCATTTATGAAATTCTCAAACAAAACTAATCTAAAGTGAAAAAATTCTTAAAAGTGATTGCTGGGACAGAGAATGACTGAGAAGGGACATGAGGAAAACTTCTGGATAGATAAAAATGTTCTACCTTGAGATGAATGTGGATGTTTAAGAGTTTATCCGTTTGCCAAAATTATATAGCTAAGACATATACTTCAATGTATATAAAGCATAACAAAAAATAACTGTAAAAATTATATATTATAATAACTTGAGGTACAGTAGGGAATGGGTAAGAGTAGAAGTGAAATAAGAATGACAAAAGTAGAGTGTTGATTATCCTATAGGTCTATGAGGTTCATTAGTCTATACTGTTTACTTTCTTTGAGTATATGGTAAGAAGGTAACATGAGATCTACCCTCTTAACGAATTTTTAAGTGTACAATACACTATTGTTGGTTGTAGTACAATGATATATAACAAATCTGTAGCACTGATTTTTGTTTACCTAAAACTTTATGCCCTTTGATTTGTAATGCCCTATCTTCCTCTCCTGTCATCCCCTGGAAACCACCATTCTACTCTGATTCTATGAATTTTACCATATTAAATACCTCATATATGGGGAATCATGCAGTAATCATCCCTCTGTGACTGTCTTATTTCACTTACCATAGTGTCCTCAAGGTTCATGCATGTCCTCACATATTACAGAATTTCCCTCTTTTTAAAGGATGAGTAGTATTGCATTGCATGAATGTACCATATTTTTTTTACCCATTCATCTGTCAATGAACATTTAGGTTGTTTCTATAATTTGGCTGTTGTGAATAATGCTGTAATGAACACAGGAGTGCTAATATCTGCCTCAGATCCTGGTTTCAATTCAATTCACTTCAAATAAATACCCAGGAGTGGGATTTCTTGATCATATGGTAGTTTGAATTTTAATTTTTTGAGGAACCTTTATTCGGTTTTCAGTGGTGGCTGCACCACTTGCATTCCCACCAGTAATGTGCAAGGGTTCCAATTCTTCCACATTTACATCAACACTTGTTATTGTTTGTATTTTTCTATTTTTTTTTTGAGACGGAGTCTTGCTCTGTCGCCTAGGCTGGAGTGCAGTGGCATGATCTCGGCTCACTGCAAGCTCCGCCTCCTGGGTTCACACCATTCTCCTGCCTCAGCCTCCCGAGTAGCTGGGACTACAGACACCCACCACCATGCCCGGCTAATTTTTTGTATTTTTTAGAAGAGACGGGGTTTCACCATGTTAGCCAGGATGGTCTTGATCTCCTGACCTTGTGATCTGCCCGCCTCGGCCTCCCACAGTGCTGGGATTACAGGCGTAAGCCACCGCGCCGGACATATTGTTTGTGTTTTTCTAATAATAGCCATCCTGAAAAGTATGAGGTGATTTCTCGTTTACTTTTGATTTGGATTTCCTTGACAATTAGTAACATTGAGCATTTTTCCATGCAGAAGCCTGTTCACATGCTTCTGCTCAAACTATTAGCTTCACATGCCACCTGGGGGAAAAAGCAAGTTTCTAGCAAAGGCCTCTACCACTAACCCACTGGTTAGAGCCACTATAGCCTCCTTGCTAATCCTCTAACAAGCCAACCTGTCTTCACCACATCCTCTTTATACTTCCTTTTTCCTCTGCCTGGAATTCCATTTTCCCAAGTTTATACTTGGCTTTTTCCCTCAGTCTCTTCAGGTTTCTGATGTGCTCCCCTGCTCCCTGCCCCACCCCTTACCAATCCTACATAAAACAGCACCCCGTCTGTCTCCTTTACCCATGTTATTTTTCTTCATAGCACTTACCACTACCTAATATATGTTGTATTTGTCAATATTCACATGTAGTCAATAGTTATCCTAATGTACTTAAAGAGTATCAACTGTTTGGAGTTAAGAAAAGGAAAAGAAGCCTGTCACTAAGGTAGAAGGAGGGGCAGAACAGTATGATGTCACAGATGCTAAGGGAAGATAGGAATAAAAACCAGGATATACAAATGGAAAAAAAAGACTGCTAAATTTGGGTGTCAAACAGTTCTCTTGTGTCCAAGGCCAACTGAGAAAAAGTGAAATGAAAGTCAGACTGCAAGATGTTAAAGTTCAAGTACACTGGTGCTTTCAGGAATCAATCACCCAAACGAGTTTTTTGTTTTTTTTTTTTTTTTTTTTTTGCATTGTCTACACTATGGAAAGAAGACATAAAATGCTAGTGAAAACAGGCAAGAAGATCAAGCAAAAAGGTTTTAATTAATAAAACTCATAATAGTTATTTATAAACTTCAGACCAAAGTAAATCTTTTGGCATGACAACTACCAAATAAAACAAGGTTTATGAATGAATATAGTGTCTAAACTGTGAAAGATACAATTCTAAGTGGTGTTTTATAATCTTTTTTTTTTACTTTTTTTTATTTATTTATTTATTTATTTTTATTATACTTTAAGTTTTAGGGTACATGTGCACAAAGTGCAAGTTAGTTACATATGTATACATGTGCCATGTTGGTGTCAACCACCAAATCTCTGCAACTGTGGTCACCTGCTTTAAGTGCAACTTTAGACTTTTGCATTTAAAATAACAATTGGTCTACATTTCAATAGAAAACGTATGCTCTCCTTTTCTGAGAAAAATATTGTTCTTCAATATCCAGTATGGGAAATACTTTTACTTCCAATGTAACTATAAATTTTTAATAAGATCATTTTCTCCATAAAAACATCTATACAGAAATGTTCTCAACAGTTATTTTCCCAACTTTATATTTTGGAAGACAGATAATCTATATTTATAGCAGGTACAGAGAAAACCTATAGTCTAAAATTGACACTGTTGACAACAGAGAAAATGACAATTCCCTGCTTTAATTATGGCAATTCAAATGATATTTTAGTGGGAAATATTTTCTCCTTTCATTTCCTTCTTCATACTTCATCGTTGCTGAATTTAAAAAATATTAATGATGTGATTAATAAAAACTTAGAGATGACAGCATTTAGAGTTATTGATAATAGCTGACATTTCAAAGCACTCTGTGATTTACAAAGCTCTTTAACATAGCTTGACTCATTTAATTATCACATTATTCCATAGAAATTAATAACACTATGCAAAATAATTCCCAGGTTAATAAGAAAACTGGGAGTAATTCAATAAACTGAGTTAATAAGTAACAGAATATTAGAAGCCAGGTATTTGAACTTTAAGATCAATACTCTTTCCATGGCAACTTTCCCCCAGATAAATATTAATTTTATAGCTGTATTATTTATTTGATTTTCCTAGATACATCACTAAATGCTATTAGTATAATCAAGAATAATACATATCTGCAACCTGACTTTTTTGTGTATTAAAAATTATTATTAGAAAAGTATTTGATATCTATTTTATTTTGCCTTAAGAAATATCCTATTCTATTTTGCCTGTTTTATTTTGCCTTAAGAAATATCCTAATCCTAAAAATACAAACATTAGCTCAAGCTCAATATAGGGAATCTCATGTTTATTACTAATTGCTATTTGAAAATTATCCTCAGAAGTCAAATTGAAAAACCTAGATGATTAAACACTACCATTTGGGGCAGGCTGGTAGCATGACAGATGTAGTTCGGAAAACTTTTTTCAAAACTTAATTGCAGCACTATTCACAATAGCCAAGAATGTGGAATCAACCTAAGTACCCATCAACAGAAGAATAAATAAATCAAATGTGGCACATATACACAATGGAATGTTATTAAGCCATTTTTAAAAAAAGAATGAAATCCTATAATTTGCAGGAACATAGATGAAACTAGAGATGATTATGTTAAGAGAAATAAGCCAGGTACAGAAAGACAAATATTGCGTGTCCTTACTCATGTGGAAGCTAAAATAGTTGATCTCATGGAGGTAGCAGGGAGAATGATAATTACCAGAGGCTGGGAAGTATGTGGGGAACGTTGGGTGGAAAGGGGAGATGAAGAGAAATTGGTTAATGGATACAAACAGTTAGATAGAAGGGTTAACTTCTAGTGTTCAATATCACAGTAGCGTGACTACAGTTAACAATAATTTATCATCTATTTCAAAATAGTTAGATTTGAAATGTTCCCAACACACACAAAAAATCATAAATGTTTGAGGTGATGGATACCCTAAATACTCTGATTTGATTACTACACATTGTATGTATGTAATCAAAATAACACATGTACAATTATCATATGTACAAATGTATTTGATACATATGTATCAAAATATCACATGTACAATTATCATATATAAATGTATGTACAATTATGATGTATCAATAAAAAACTACTGACAAAACGAAACAAAACTTCATTCTACATTTTCTAAGAATGTATCAGTAGAACCAGGCTATAAGGAAGCACTTTACTAAAATGTGCTGTGAAAGCACACCATGCTTAATATCCACTCAACAAAATAAAGATTAAGCATCTACTAAGGATCAAGCAGCTTCCTTTCAAATCTTCCATGTCAAGTAGAGTAAAGCAAACACAAATTTTCCTTGTCTAATTTTTTAGATTTTAAGTTCTATTGAATGAGATAGATTTGAGAAATAGCCATAAACTGTTAAAATTAAAACTATAATCTGATATGTTAGTAAGACAAGATGTTTTATTTGAGTGATACATTTTAATCCTGGCTTCTTTTAACATTAAGTTAATAATCTGCATGAGTAATATGTTATTTCGTATTATTGCTATTAAACATAATATTCAACAAACAACCAGTACTTGACAATGACTATTCAATGTCACTGGAGCTAAACTTATGGCATAAAGAGGCTGCTTTGATCTATTTAAAAGAAAATTAGCAAACTCAAGCAATAATTCAAAGGAGATCAGGAACTGAAACAGTGTGCCAGGCAGCACTGTGAGAAATATGCTATACCAAATTCCCAGTGAATCCATTAGATGAATATACAAAATCATAGTGAGCAACAGGGCAAACAGTACAAAACACTTTTGAGAAATGGAATGAAGAATAGAGAGAACACTGGTTCTAGTAATATATTCTTCTGAATCATCATACACTTCTAATGTAAAATATAAAATTCTAAATGGTACATTACATCCATAGACAATACAAAATTTATATACCTTGCAAAAACATTTCTACAAGTACAGATAATACTTGAATAAATGATATCATACAAATTATTTACTGCCATCTTTTACAAGAGCTTAAATATTTTCTCTACTTCTCAATGAAAAGGCATGTTTCTTTAAACTTATCAAAAATCTTAACAATATTATGTTCCTATATGGTAGTTCCATTAATCTAATTTTGGTTTTAATATGATTCTTTAAGTGAGAAAGGCCCTCTTTAACTATATTTAATAAAAATGAATTAATAAATAAAACACGAACTCTGCTTCACATCTGAGCATTGATTTTTCCATATAACATTGCCTCAGATAAGCAGATTCACCCCAAGTTAATGCATTCACACATTCCTTGTCAGAATAACACTGGCTGTTTATCTAAAATTGTTCACCAGGAATTGCATGTCTTCCATTAATTGCAGAAAGAAAGAAAGGTGTGGAGAGATCTGGCTTCTCTTCTATGAATAAATTTATGCCAGGAAATTACAAAACAAAGGTTTCCTTTCAGTAATTTTCTTTTAAGTTAGAAGAAAATTTATTTTCATAAAATATATTAATAATGTACTCTTGAATGAAAAAGGAACTTACAAAATATGGTATTAGTGCAGTTTATATTTAAAAGTTACTCATAAATATGCATTAATATAAATGCATTGAGGAAAGTCAAGGCTGCTATTCAACAAAATGGTAAGTGGTTGGCCCTGGGTGGTGAAATTATGGATAGTTTATATTTTCTTTTTTAAAATTTTTTATTTTTATAGATTAAGGGGTAAAAGTGCAGTTGTTTTACATGGATATATTGCATAGTGATGAAGTCTGGGTTTCTGGTGTACCAATCACCCAAGTAGTGGACATTTTACCCATACTTGCTTTCCTCCAACTCTCCCACCTTTTAAAGTCTCCAGTATCTATTATTCCATTCTATATGTCCATATGTACTTATTGCTTAGCTCCTACTTATAAGTGAGAATATGTGGTTTTTGACTTTCTGTTTCTGAGTCATTTCACTAAGGGTGAGGGCCTCGAGTTCCACCCATGTTGCTGCAAAAGGCCTGATTTCATTCATTTTTATGGCTGAATAGTATTCCATTGTATATAAATGTCACATTTTTTATCCCATCATCTGCTGATGGACACTTACGTTGATTCCATGACTTTGTTATCATCAATAGCACTGCAATAAACGTAAGAGTGTGGGTGGAATTTTTATACAACTGAGTAGATACCCAGTAGTGGAACTGCTGGACTGAAGTCAAAACCACAATGAGATATCATCTTACACCAGTCAGAACAGCTATTATTAAAAAGTCAAAAATAACAGATGTTGGTGAGAACGTGCAGAAAAGAGAACACTCATACATGGTTGGTGGGAATGTAAATTAGTTCAACCTGTATGGAAAACAGTATAGAGAATTAACTTTTTTTTAATAAACTTTATTTTTAGAGCAGTTTTAAGTTCATAGCAAAATTGATTAGAAGGTACAGAGATGTCCCATACACCTCCTACTCCCACACATGCACAGCCTTCCCCATTATCAATAGCCCCCAACAGAGGGATACATTTGTTAACAACTGACGAACCTACATATCATTATCACCCAAAGTCCACAGTTTATATTATTCCTTCTGGAGAATTTTCAAATACAGAAATTCCTCTACCAGGAATAAACTAGCAATTTCCTCTCGGCTTTCTATAAATTTAATTATTATTTCAGAAATTAGCCTATCTTTACAGGAGAAAATGTTATAAACCATGAAAAGACTATCAAATACACAAGGAAGTGAATGTTATATAAAAAATGTACCATCTCCTAAACAACTACCTGCATTCCCTTCTTGTTGGTAAGTTATAATTGTGATAGTTCTGATCATCTGTTTAATTAATTTGCTAATGAAGCCTCTCACATTCTTTACAACTAGAAAAATTCAGTTTTCAAAAATTAAGGCTCTGGTATATTACATATATCAGCTTCACTCAACTCTTTTATTTAGTCCAAAAGAAAAAGAAGAAAATGTCATTTAAAAAATAACATACTCAGCTGCTTGTTTGTAGTGCTTCAAATCTTTCTTTAAATTTTTGTTCTCATTTTCCAAAAGCATAATCTGGGTGTAGACATCTGGAACATTCCCAACAGTTCTAAGTTCAGTCACTCCTTTCTGTATTAACTCATACCTAGGATAAAATCAAACAAAAGGGTTTATATCATTTCTTTCTGCCAAATTGGCTTAATTTATGTACAATTCAAAAAGTTAAGTCTCAGGGAGTGTTATAGTAATTAGTTGCAGTATTACATTTATAAGTTAAAATGTCCAACAGTCATAATATATTTTAGAATAAAATATGACTTCTAGGTACCAATACCATCATGGTGTATAAAATATAATAACTGAACATCTCCTATGTTCCAGGCACTGGTCTAGACAATATTAAAATTGACAAAAATGTCTACGTCCCTATTTCATGGAGTTTCCATTCTAGTGGGGAGGGTGATAAGTTCTATGAAGTTAAATAAGCTGTCTGAAAGATATAGGAAGAATGAGGTGGAAACACTGATGGGAGTGCTTGTGCTATTTTACATAGGGTGGGCATGAATGACAAACATGACTGACAAAGTGATATCTGAACAGAGATCTAAAGGAAATGAGGGACTGTGTTATGTGGATAGCTGGGAGAGAAGCAGCTGGGGCAGATGGAAAAGTAAATGCAATGGCCCTGAACCAAGGAAGTGTTTGGCAACTACAAGAAAGAACAAACAGCCAGGGTACCTGGAGTGTCTGGAACTGAAGCCAACTAAGTGACCAAGGAGAGAATGGTGAAAGATGAGTCAGGAAAACAGCAGGGAGTCACAGTGAGGAAAGCAATTTTACTCTGAATCAGAAGTAAACCATAGGAAGGTTTTGAGATAAGTGACACTGACCAGATTTATGTTTTAAAGGGATTAGTCTAGCAAGCATAGAATCAGAGAGACCAGTTAGCAGGCTATTGCAGTAGTCAAAGAGAGAGCATGGTGGCTTGAAAGAAGTTGGTAGCAGTGGAGATTATGAGAAGTACCTTCTAGAAATGCTGTCAAGGTGGGGCCAGCAGGACTCTCTGATGGATCAACTGTCAGGTGTTGGTAAATGAGAGAAGGCAAGTGCGACTCCAGGGTTTTTGGCTGAGCAACAGATAGCCATTTATTTACTAAGTGGGGACAAATGCAGGAGGAGCAGAGTGGCTGGAGTAATCAAGGGATTGTTTCCATTCGTGTTAAATGTAATATGCCTAGCAGACATTTAAGTGAAGACAAACGTTGAGTATACATGTTCAGAGTTCAGGAAAAAAGTCAGGGTTGGCAATTTAAATTTGGTAATCAACATTATAGATACTATTTAAAGTCATGAGACTGAAAAAGACCAGCTAGGCAGTGGGAAATGAAAGTAAAGAAAGAAAGAAATGAAGAGGTCCTAGGAGTGAGCCATAAACACTACACTGCTTCCAGGTTGAGGGGAAAAGAAAACACTACCAAAAAAGACGAAGCAAGAGAGGCCCGTGAAATAGTGGGAGAATCTGAGAGCTGTGCCCAGGGGCCAAATGAAGAAAGTGTTCTAAAAAGGAAGAACTGAACAACAGTGACGAATGCTGCCAGGAGTCTGAAAAGAATACTGAGAATCAATTACTGAAGTTGGCACTGTGAAAGTCACTATTAAAAAAAAAAAAGTTTTCAATAGAGTCATGCAGATAAAAGCCAAACTGAGAGTACGTCTGAGAGACTAGGAAATGAGGAAGTGGCAACAAACTTTTTTCAAGGAGATATGCTCTAAAGCAAAGCACAGGGAATCAAGATGAACTTAGAAGAAGATATGAAATCTAGGGCGGTTCTTCTCTTCCTTTTTTAAAATGTGAGATATTGTGCATCTGTATGCTTATGGGAATGACTCAGCCAAGAGGGAAAAAACTGACAATGGAGGTAAAAGCGGGACGATTACAAAAGCAGTATCCTTAAGTCTGTGAGAGGGGCTGGTATCAAGCAGACAAGATGAGAGTTGGCTTCAGATAACATTAGAGTCTGAGGGAGAAGAGAAGAATACCTGAGGCCAGAGGCAGCAGGGTGGTAAAGAGGGAGGTGGGAGTGATGGAACTTCTATTTTCTCAGTCAAATAAGAAGCAACATCAGAGAATCAATTGCAGATTGTAAATAATTACAATTTTAATCCCTGTGTATGGCAATCAATAAAGTTAAAAAAAACAATTTGAGCACAGAAAAATATTTCAAGTAATAAGGTTATTAATAAATCCCTACAAAGCTTACTCTAGATGAGCTAAATATTAGAGCTAATTATAAATTATCAGTAGTTTCATATTATAAATCATAATAATGTTACATATTTATAAAGTCACATATTTTGTGTTATATACTTTATCTGATTTTTTCTAAAAAAAGAGCAAGAGGACCCCCCCATAGAATATCCTGAAGATTAAGATAATTGAATCAATATTCCATTATATTTGCCACAATTCATAAAACAGGAAATAGGTATCAATTGAATCATAAATTCAGTAAGTAATCTGTACTAGGAATGTGATATACTTATCTCAGAAGAGAAGACATAGGCTTTTTCTGACCATAAAATTGGTTTTCAGCACCTTGCTTTATTTAATGAGGAAAAACCACTAGAGAAATTTTCTATGAGGAAAAAAGTGATTTAATAGTTTTTCCTCTAAATTAAATACTATAAATAAAATAGTATGTGATAAAAGAAGCACAAATCCAAATACAACATTTATTACATAGTATATATCTCAGGACATTCAAAAATTATTTATCAGGTAAATTTTCTGCCATCCATGTAAAAATATGAAAGATGACTTCAGGCTCATTTTTAGATAATAATACAAGTAATTAGGAATTTTAATGCACAAACTACAGAAGTATACTTCTCAATAAAATCTGAATTCTCATACATAATGTTTTTGTGGTTTGCTTCAGTTTGTATGTATCTGTTGTTTTGTTTTGTTTTAACAAATATCCTGACTTTTTATTTTTTCTTCTTTTTCACTCACTCTTAAAATAAGACTCAAAAGTGTTCAGGTGGGAAAAAAGATTGCCATAACTATTAGAAATTTGAAATATAATTTGCTCTTAATGAAATTGCCAATAAAATTATCACTAATAAAACTGCATTAATTATCTTAATATTTACCAGGAGATCCATCAACTACTTAGAATTATGTAGAAATGGAGAATATATATGAATTTCAGGGAGAAAGTGCATAGAAATTTCATAAAATTTTGTCCACATAACAAAAGCATTTAAGACCCACTGCCATAAATGATGAATATTATGACAGAATTCCAGTAAAAACAGAAATGGTGTCAGAAGAATAAGGATTATTTTTCCCTCATGGTGGCACCCAAGGCATAGGATGTAAAAGACAGGGGAAAGGTCATCTTGATTATAATCTCCTTATACGAAGCCTATAATGAGAACTTTTCCTCCATGTTTTCATAAAGATTTAGGGAAATACATTACCAACACAGACAAAATTATTTTAATTCCTGTACAAACCGAGGATGTCAGAATCCCCAGCACTATCGCGACTATCACTTAGAACCAGACAGTCCCTCTCAGGAAAAATATAGCATGGCTGACATGTTTATTACTGGCCCCAAGATTCCTCAAACCAATATAGAAAATAGGCACAAATTTGAATTCTAAATTAATATTTTCTGAAGTCCTTTTAGTATCCAGCCAAGCCAAAAGGCACCTTTATTAATTTTTTCAAAGATTCTCTTGTATAATTGCACAATATAGCCCTGTGGTTAGGAGACTGGTCTTTAAGATCAGTATGTCCTAGGTTGACTCTGCCACTTACTGGCTATGACTTGGTGACACTCACTGATGAGATTTCCTAATCTCCCTATCCCCTTTCCTTACCCGTAAAATAGAAATATGGCTGTGGCTACCTGCTAGATACAGTTGTTGGGAGAAGTAAATGAAATAATGCATGAGAATATACTATATCAATAAAAATGATACAAAGTAAATTTCTGAGTGATAAGCCTAAGGCTTCACCTTCTTAAATATTTTTAAATCCCTCATATTTAATAAACATGTTATTAATTTTGTTTTAAAAATTTAAATTAAATACTCACCTAAATGGCTGCTCTCTTAATATCATAGTACATAAATCTGTGCAGATGTATTTATAGTGGTCAAATGTATCATAATGTAACATAGCAAAAATTAGCTTTTGCTAACTTTTATGTTATGTAGAAGAGTCACTACATTCCTGTGTTAAACTTAATAATGAATGGGGAAAAAATATTCTTATGGGACATATAACTAGAAGCCAAGTTCTCATTAATTGAAGAAACAGCAGTAAGATCAAATGACAAAGGAACAAATATTTGTGTAGTGTTCACTGGGAGTCATTAATGTATACACAACACCACACATATTTCCTGTACATACTTGGGCAACATAAGGGCTATATCAAAGGTAATTTTAATTCTAGGCTCTGGCTTTAAAACTTAACCATCCCCAGAAAGTTGTAACTGCACTGCTCACATTTAAGTGATTAAATGTTATGACAAATTTTATTGTCTAAAAGCTGCAATATTTCTTTCATGCAAATTAATGAAATATACTCTTAATTTACAATCTCTTCCATTATTAAAAAAAATTAAATTAGTAATTAAATGTTATAAATAATTGTACTATTACTTTTGATGGCATTTTCATTGCCACCCTACCTTCAGTGAAATGGTGCGAATAGGCCAAACTGGAGAGAACTAAGTGTTGAATACGAAGTAAAAAGGTGAAGAAAGAAAAAAAATTTAAACTCTGTTTTCAAAATATTGGCTGGAAAGGGAAAAATGGTTTAAAAAGAAGTGTAGTAAGAGGCAAAAAAAGTAAGAATGTATCTTTAGGGTGAGTAGTTCTGACAATGTTAATAGGGGAACAGTCAGTGTAGGAAGACAGATGGATGACATATGCTCAGGTAAGGGTACTGGAATTAGATTATCATATTTTCTCCATTTTAATTTCTTCTTTAATTTTTCCCCCCTGAGAAATTACCATTGCCCATTGAGAATTCTAAAATAGGCATATAAATAGAATTGAACCATCGACTAAACCTGCAATGGAAACTTTTCAGTGGTTCATAGAACAAATTCCTACTATGTTCTGGCAACTCTTTTCTGTAAAGGGTCAGAGAATAAATATTTTAGAATTGGCAAAACTATATTTACAGGCCATATCTCTCCTGTTGTGACTAATTAACTTTGCTTTTACAGAGTGAAAGCAGCCATATACAATACCTAAAGAAAGGTTATATCTGTGTTCCAATAAGATTTTATTTTAAAAATCAGGAAGCAGGCCAGATTTGGCCCAAGGATCTTAGTTTTCTAACCCTCGATTTAAAGGATCTATTGCATTTTCTGCTTGAGGAGTGAAAGAACCTATATCAAATTTTACTGCCCAGTGTTTTGTTTGTTTGCTTATTTTAACAAACTAACAAAGGAAAATCCTTGTTTGGTCATGTTTTGAAAGATTAAGTGAATTCATAGCAAATGATATATTCTAAGTGTTTTTTCCTGTGGTAAAAATGATAAAAAATAATATATTTAATATTCCTATAATTTTACTATGTAGAATAGGTAAAGTTTTCTAATCAAAATAAAAAATGTTTCATATGAAATAAGGTATTCAATACAATGTAATCTCATTGCAAACTGGCAGCTAGGGATAAGGATAAAATTACTTGAACCACGATATTCTAAACTCATAAAGAAATGCGTTATACCAATTTTATCTTATGACTAGTATGCTTAGTTTGGGAGGACTTTAAATCCTAATACTAACAGTAATCTTAGTTTCCTAAAATTTCATCTCATCAATTCAGATTGCTAAATCTAAAAGGAAAATATGACAATAGTCACCGAATTGTTAACAGTATACTTGGATCCAGATTATTCTAAGAAAATCATTTTACACTTTGGACTGGCCTAACATATAAGCATCACATGTCCTAACACACATTGTTGAACACAGAAAGTTAAGTGAATCATATTAATCTTTCACTTTATTAGCACTGTAAATTAATCATCTACCTACTTTTACAAAAAATATATTTTCTAGTACATTTGTAATTATTATATTTCTTAGGGATATTTTTATAAAAAATTATTTTAAATAATTCACACTATTTCCAAATTTAAGAGAAGCAGTATTATTTTTCTTCCACTGAACTTTGTTTTTCTTAGACTGTATTAATGAAAAATAATTCTCCTCATAGAATTTATTAACATTACATGTGCAATTTAAAATAATGAAACTGACTGCGCTTATGTGCATGTTCTCAGAAGATGAGAACCAAAAAAAGCAAAAAATAAAAATTTATACCACAGCTGGATGAGTAAAAATCGCAAATTATCCATACATTGCAAATTTATTTAAAATTAGGAATTAGTCCTAATTATAAACATCTTTAGGTATCATATTAATCCCCCTTTCTAGAATATGCAATAGCTATTAAAGTTCAAATACATTTTCATAGCTAATCATTTAATAAATTTATTTAAACAATGTCAGGAAACTGAAAATATGCCTGGTGACATTATTATTATAACAAAGGAATAAAGGTACACCTACTGATTTTCATAACTAGTTATTAAAATTTTCAATTATAACAAGAAAATATTTTGTTTAAGTGATATTCAAAATACAATTCCACTTACTTCTAACTGAAGAATATTCATAGAAATATAATTAATCAGCTATGTGAGTAGAAAAAGACAAGCCATTACACTATAAATAAAACAAGGAAGTAAAGCAGGACTGTTTAGTATAATGTCTAAATACAGGAAATACTCTCAATAATTATACAAAAATATTAGGAAATGTTTTCATAAAATATCTTTGTGTTTTATAACTCCAGGAGATATTCAAGTGTCTTGATTTTTTAAAAATTACTTAAACTTAAATATTTGGGAAAGATGTTTAATAAAAATGTCTTTGTAACTGCTATTCTGATTTGTGTGTGTGTGTGTGTGTGTGTGTGTGTGTGTGTGTGTGTGTGTGTGTGTGTGTTGTGGTTTCAGGGCTGGAGATGGGAAAAGTTTCTAGTCATTTTTCATAGGCTGAGTCATTTCAAAGTCTCCTAAGACACTTAAAAGTGTATATGTTAAATGTTAGAATTTTAAGAGAACTATTTATCTACATAATTGTTTACCATTCAGACTGAAAGCAATCAAGAGTTCTGGTCATTCCCATTTTGATCAAGAAATTGCAGAGAAAGTCTTCTATTACTTCAGGTACTGCATGCTTTGAAGGAAGAACTGTTTTCCGTTCCTGAAATTTAAACGTGCATTTATTTATTCTGAAAACATCAAAGCATTAATTAATGATATAGATAAGCCTTCGACTCATTCATTCATCCATTCATTTTTTTTCAACAATGTTTGTTGACTGTTATATGCCAGGAACCATTAATATTTTAATTACTGGGGATAAAGCAGATGAAAGCAAACAAATCTCTGTCCTCCTATCTATTAGTCAAGTGGATGGAGACAGAATATGAATAACTAAATAAAAAACATATACTATGACAGATGGTACTAAGTACCTTGGGGTGGGGAGAAAGTAGAGGACTAAAGATAGAACCAAGTGTAGGACAAGTATTTATGTGAAGCTGGGTTGCTACGTATTTAGGGTGGTGAAGATGTCATTGATAAAACTGTTATCTGAGCATAAATCTAGACAAAGAGGCAGAGTGTCTTATGTTCCGGTTTGTATCTGCATCAGCAAGTGCAAAGGCCCTGCAGCAGGAGTGTGATTGGATTGTCTAAAGGATAGTAAGAAGGTAGGTTTGCCCTTTCAATAGCACATAGCATGTTAATCAAAAAAAAGAAAAAAAGAATGCATGGACCTTTTAATGCTTTTAATTATCATTTAAAAAGAAATACAGTAATTTTAGTACCATGACTTTTAGAAACACTATGGAGAAAATAATTAGTGACAACAGGAGCTTACACTAGTATTCCACATGGAAGTCAGTCAGTCTATCAACTAGATCAGGGGTCAGCTAACAGTTCTTATAAATAAAGTTTGTTAGAGCACAGCATGCCCATGCCCATTTGTTTACATATTATGTATGGATGCATTTGCACTACATGAGATAGTTGACTAGTTGCCACAGAGTCCTCATGGCCCTCAAAACCTAAAGTACAAGTTGAGCAATCCCTAATCCGAAAATCCAAAATCTGAAATGCTCCAATAGCCAAAAATTCTGAAGCACCAACATGATACCACAGGTAAAAAATTCCACATGCAAGTACTTAACACAAACTTTGTTTCATATACAAAATTATTTAAAATATTGTATAAAATTACCTTCAGGCTGTGTGTACAAGGTGTATATGGAACATAAATGAATTTCATGTTTATAACTGGGTCCCAGCCCCAAGAGATCTTAGTGTATATGTCAAACTAAATAATCCAAACCTATAGCTTTTGGAACTTTATATTTGTTAAGGCTTGAGAGGAACGGGACTATGTGGCCTGAGCCACATAGCATGAAGCTGCAACTTCTGCTTCTTCAATTATAGATTAAATGTCTTCATTACTGTCCTAAAAATGATTACAAAACACGGAATACCACCAGATATAAGACCACTTTAGAACACTGCCCTTCCTTGCAGAATGTCAAAGCAATCTTCCTTGGAATGTAGCAAGCTGTAATCAATCAAATCATTACAAACTATGTAATGACCTTGTATGGAAAATGTTGCAACCCTGTTAACTTCTGTTTCTGCCTATATAAGTGAAAACTTCCCCACTATGGAACACTCACTCATTCTTTTGGAGACTGTGTTTCCCAGGTGGCTATCCTCAAGCTTTGCACTTGAATAACACTAAATCATATTTTCAAAATATCATTATCATTGATATGTATTTGCAAATATTCCAACATCTGAAAAAAAATCCAAAATCTGAAATACTATGGTCCCAAGCATTTTGGATAAAAGATACTCAAACTGTATGTAGTATTCTGACAGAACATCTTAGCAGACCTAAAACTAGAAAAATGAAGACATTTCAGCAAGCAACAAATGAAATTAGTACAGCCATAAAAATTATTATATCATGTAAGTCAGTGTACAAAATAAATAAAATAATTGGTAGTTTTTTAAAAATACCAAGGAATAGGGAATACTAATTCTATTTTATGGAATGAAGTGTTGCTCAATAAAAATAAAATTAAAAAAATAAAACAATCATCGTCTCTTGAGTGCTGTCATTTTCTTCGCATTGGCAAGAAGTCTCTAATTTGTTTGCTGACTATTTGAATAAGCAGATCTATTCTCACCTACAGAAACTCAGCAGCAAATTTTCCTTTCGCCTTCTCTTTCCCAAGCTGTTAATGGTTATACAACAGGTTACACAGAATGCACAGAATGTTTACATGGAAATCCAATGAGGAAAGAGGATCTTTGCTGCCCCAAAAATTCTTTCCAAAAGTGCTATACAAAATTCGACAATCATTAAAAAGTCAGGAAACAACAGGTGCTGGAGAGGATGTGGAGAAATAGGAACACTTTTACACTGTTGGTGGGACTGTAAACTACTTCAACCATTGTGGAAGTCAGTGTGGCGATTCCTCAGGGATCTAGAACTAGAAATACCATTTGACCCAGCCATCCCATTACTGGGTATATACCAAAAGGACTATAAATCATGCTGCTATGTTTATTGCTGCATTATTCACAATAGCAAAGACTTGGAACCAACCCAAATGTCCAACAATGATAGACTGGATTAAGAAAATGTAGCACATATACACCATGGAATACTATGCAGCCATAAAAAATGATGAGTTCATGTCCTTTGTAGGGACATGGATGAAATTGGAAATCATCATTCTCAGTAAACTATCGCAAGAACAAAAAACCAAACACCGCATATTCTCACTCATAGGTGGGAACTGAACAATGAGAACACATGGACACAGGAAGGGGAACATCACACTCTGGGGACTGTTGTGGGGTGGGGGGAGGGGGGAGGGATAGCATTGGGAGATATACCTAATGCTAGATGACGAGTTAGTGGGTGCAGCACACCAGCATGGCACATGTATACATATGTAACTAACCTGCACATTGTGCACATGTACCCTAAAACTTAAAGTATAATAATAATAAAGTAAAAAAAATAAAAAAAAACAAAATTCAACACTGATGTTTATTACTGATAGCTGCTATGACATTCACAATAGTGGTGAGTTGAGGCAAATTTTGGGGCTACAGAAAAATCCTGACAAAGGGGTAGAGTGTAAAATTACTTTTGTAAAGTTCAAAAAGAATAATTTGGAAGGAGGCAGTTCAAGATGGCTGAATAGACACCTCTGATCATTAACCCTGCAGGAACACCAAACTGAAGAACTATTCACACAAAAAGGCAACTTCATAAGAACCAAAAATCAAGTGAGTAATCACAATACCAGGCTTTAACTTCATATTGCTGAAAGAGGCACTGAAGAAGGCAGAAAAGACAGTCTTGAGTTGCTGACACCACACCTCCCCCATCCCCTGGCAGTGGCCAAGTGGCATGGAGAGAAAATCTCTGTCCTGTGGGAGGGAGACTGTAGTAATTATGGAATTTTTTACATTCGAAAATAGTGCTGCATCATCATGGCAGAAAGCAACACCAGGCAGAACTCAGCCATCACCCAGAGGGAGCATTTCAACCAGCCCTAGCAAGAGGGGACTTGCCCATCCCAGCAGTCAGAACCTGAGTTCCAGAAAGCCTCACCACCACGGGCTAAAGGGTTCTGGGGTACTAAATAAACTTGAAAGGCAGTCTACACCACATGGACTGTAATTCTTTGGCAAGTTATGATGCTATGCTGGGCTCAGAGCCAGTGGACATTAGGAGCACATGACTTAGTGAGATACCAGCCAGGGCAGCCAAGTGAGTGCTTGTGCCACACCTCCCCTAACCCCGAGAGACTCCTTCCTTCCACTTGAGGAGAGAAGAGTAAAGAGGAAAGAAAAATAATGAACATCAGAGCAGAAATAAATGAAATTCAAATGAACAAAACAATACAATAGATCAATAAAACAAATGTTGGTTTTTTCAAAAGATAAACAAAATTGACAAAACATTAGCCAAAAAAAAATTTTTTTAAAGTAGACTCAAATAAATATAATCAAGAGGAAAAAGGGGACATCACAACCAATACCAAAGAAATTTTAAAGGATCATTGGAGGCTACAATGAGCAACTACGTGCCAGTAAATTGGAAAGCCTAGAAGAAATGGATAAATTCCTGGACACATACAACCTACCAAGATTGTAACATGAAGAAATCCAAAAGCCAAACAGACCAATAACAAGATTGATGCCATAATAAAAAGGCTCCCAGCAAAGGAAAGCTCTGGACACAATGGCTTCACTGCTGAATTGTATAAAACATTTTAAAAAGGAACTAATTCCAACCCTACTCAAACTTTTCTAAAAATCACAAGAAAAGGGAGTACTTCAAAACTCATTCTATGAGGCCAGTATTACCCTGATATCAAGGCCAGACAAAGACATGTTAAAAGGCCAATATTCCTGATGAACATAGATGCAAAATCCTCAACACCGTATTAGCCAATTTAATTCAACAACACATTAAAAAGGTCATCATCATGACCAAGTGGGATTCATCCTTGGAATGCAAGGATGGTTCAACTTATGCAAATCTATCAATGTGATACATCATAACAAAAGAATGAAGATCAAAAATCATATTATCCTTTCAATTCATGCTGAAAAAAGCATTTGATAAAATTCAACATCCCTTCATGATAGAAACCCTCAAAAAACATGGAGATAGAAGAAACATACCTCAACACAGTAAACGCCATATATGACAGACCCACAGGTAGTATCACACTGAATGGGGAAAACCTGAAAGCCTTTCCTCCAAGATCTGAAACATAACAAGGATGCCCATCGTCACCACTATTATTCAACATAGTACTGGAAGTCCTAGGTAGAGCAATCTGACAAGGGAAGGAAATAAAGGGCATCCAAATCAGAAAGGAAGAAGTCAAATTATCCTTGTTTGCAAATGCTATGATGTTATACTCGAAAAAAACCTATTCACCAAAAGGACTGATAAAGTCAGTAAAGCTGCAGAATATGAAATCAACATATCAAAATCAGTAGTATTTCTATATGCTGACAGTTAACAATCTGGTAAAGATATCAAGAAAGAAAACACATTTACAAATAGTTACAAATAATATACCTAGAAGTTAACTTAACCAATCAAGTGAGATCTCTCTACAATGAAAGCTATAAAATACTGATGAAAGAAATCGAAAAAGAAACAACAAAATGAAAAGATAGTCCATGTTCATGGATTAGAAGAATCAATACTGCCAAAATGTCAATACTATCCAAAGCAATTTACAAATTCAGTGGAATCCCCAACAAAATAAAATGCCAATGACATTCTTCATAGAAACAGAAAAAATAATCCTACAATTTATATGGAACCAAAAAAGTCCCACATTAGCCAAAGCTATCCTGAACAAGAAGGAAACTGCACGAATCACATTATGTGACATCAAATTATACTACAGAGCTATAGTAAACAAAACAGTATGGTACTAGTATAAAAACAGATACATAGACCAACAGAACAGAGCACACAGAAACACATCCATACGTCTACAGTGAACTCATTTTCGACAAAGGTATCAAGAACATACATTAGGGGAAAAGACAGTGTCTTCGATGAATGGTGATGGGAAAACTGGATATCCATATCCAGAAGAATCAAACTAGACCCCTATCCCTTGTCATACACAAAATCAAATCAAAATGGATTAAAGACTTAAATTTACACCCTCAAACCGTGGACCTTCTAAGAGAAAACTCCCAAAAGAAACTCTTCAGGACACTGGTCTGGGCAAAAATTTCTTGAGCAATACTTCACAAGCACAGGCATCCAAGACAAGTAATAGACAAATGGGATCACATCAGTTAAAAAGTTTTGCACAGCAAAGGAAACAATCAATAATGTGAAGGGACTACCCATAGAATGGGAGAAAATATATGCAAACTATCCATCTGAAAAGGGATTAATAATCAGAATATATAAGGAGCTCAAACAACTCTAAAGAAAAAAAGTAATTTTAAAATGGGCAAAAGATCAGAATAGACATTTCTCAAAAGAAGATATACAAATGGCAAACAGTTAAATAAAAAGGTGCTCAATATCATTGATCATCAGAAAAATGCCAATCAAAACTACAATGAGCTATCATCTCACCCCAGTTAAAATGGCTTTTATCTGAAAGATAGCCAATAATGAATGCTGGCAAGGATGTGGAGAAAAAGTAACCCTCGTACACCATTAGTGGAAATGTAAATTAGTACAACCACTATAAAGAACAGGTTAGATGTTCCCCAAAAAAACTAAAAGTAAGAGTTATTTAATATGATTCAGCAATCCTACTACCAGGAATATACTCAAAAGAAAGGAAATCAGTATATCGAAAATATATCTGCACTATTGTGTTTATCTCAGCACTATTCACAATAACTAAGATTTGGAGGCAACCTAAGTATCCATCAACAGGTGAGTGCAGAAAGGAAATGTGCTACATTTATGTAATAAAGTACTATTCAGCCATCAAAAAGAATGAGATCCTGTCATTTCCAACAACATGGATGGGCCTGGACATCATTATGTAAGTGGAATAAGTCAGGCACAGAAAGACAAACTTCACATGTTCTCACTTATTTGTGGGGGCTAGAAAGTAAAACAATTGAACTCACGAAGGCAGAGTCTAGAGCAATAATTACCAGAGGCTGGGGAGGGGAGAGGGGATGGTTAATGGGTACAAAAATATAGTCAGAATGAGTAAGATCTAGTATTTGATAGCACGAGAGTGACTACATTCAACAATAATTTATAGTAATTTTTAAATTAATGAGTATAATTGGATTGTTTGTAATATAAAGAAATATAAATGCTTGAGTTGATAGAACCCCATTTACCCTGTGATTATTGCACATTGTACACCTGTATCAAAATATCTTATGTACCCGATAAATATATGTACCTAGTATGTATCCTCAAAAATTAAAAATTAAAAAAAAAACTGGACTATTCTTCCAAAGATTATTAAAAAGACATTACATAAGAAGTACAGGATGCCAATTCAAATGTCATGGGAGATACCAAACTAGCAGAGTACAAGATGTCTGCCTTCAAGTCTTTGCAGTGTGCTGGTTACTAGCACAGGAAATTATATATAATTGTAAGGTCAGGGCAAAATATAGTTGGAAGTGAACATTCATTATACAACAATAAATGCTACCTCAGTTTTTTTGGTCAATAAATTTGAAAATGATATTTTAGGCTGATTGTTGGAAGGAACTTGGAAAACAGGAAAAGGAAGACAGACAGCAGGAGGGTGTATCTATTCTCATTTCTAAAGACACTTATGGGCAGGTTAAAGGATGTTTGTTGTATGTACGGTTGCAACACACCTGGCAGATTCCTGCCCTTTCAAATAAATGTTTGCATTCTGTGTCTTCCTGAATGTGCACCATGCACACACCTTGAAGCATTCCCACAGAAAAGAAATACGACCACCTTAAACTGTGTTGGTTCTTATTTATACTGTACAATAAAATGTATAAGCTTGTAAATATACCTCAATTTATAGTTCTTCTGCATTTATACACAACACACACACACACACACACACACACACACACACACACCCCTTCCAAGCTCTAATGTGATCATGAATATCTCTTTTACCTTTACGTAGGATATTTATTCAACATATAATTGGTGAACATCTCCCATGTACCAGGTACCATGAAAGGTGCTGGGAATTAAACATGAAGAAGACAGTTCTGTCTTGAGGAACTGAACGGTTCATTTAGCAAAAACAAAACATTATAATACAGAAGCTCTTTTGTTACAAATTTTGATTACAAAATCCTACTCAGGTATCCACAGATATCATACATGCAACCATTATGTATACTTAAGAAATTTAAGTTACACTTTTATCCCTATTATACATTATATACAACTCTCATTACGGCTTTTAACTAACTTAATTATGAGGTTAACAAAACACCACAGAATAAGCACAAAAAAGCAAGCAATCTACAAACTAGCGAAACATGGTCTCACTTTGCAGACTGCTGAATGATCAAAAATTACTCTAGCCACATGTGACCCAGAAATCTGTTGAGGACAAACAATGGTAGCTCTAGCACATAGCTTCATTTTGTCTATGAACATTCTAAAGTTGACATTTTCTAAGTAGACAGGATTCTATATTGTGTTATGATTGCAACAATAGAAATCTGCTAGGTGAAGTGATACACAATGGAGAAGAATATTTCCCTTGCCTTAGATATGTGAATGAAGGCTATGTTAAGGAGACTATTAGGTTGAACGTTACAGACGATGAGGAAATACAACAGATAAAGAAAGATAAACCAATATTCAAGGCAAGAAAACATCTGAGGCAAAAACAAGGAGTGACAATTCAATCCATTAAGGCTCAGGGTCTTACGGAGAAAGGGCCAAAGATAAAGTGGAAAAACTAAACAGGAAGCATATCAAGAAGGCAAAGGCAGGTGGAAGGGTAGACACATTGGGAATTTACGTAGAGGGGAGATAAACTGAAATTTGCATTAGACACATCTTTTAGGTGGGAATAGAAGGAAGCATAGTACCAGCAGCATGCTGTAGCTCAGATGAGAAAAGAAAGAGGGTAGCTTTAAGGTAGACTAAGTGAGGATGAAGGTAAAGAGAAGGATATGAAAGATGTTGAGGACATAAAACTTTCCAGACTTAAGAACTAATTAAATGTTGAATTGCAAAGAAGTGCTAAACCACATATTAAAATTAAGTATCTTGACAAATTTTGAACTGTTTTAATGTGAGTTCCTTTGACAACTTTAGTTGACCAGTGAGAAACAAAAAAATAAACAATGAAATCCAAGTGGTCTTAAAACTTAAATGTTACTTTATTTGGGGCTTCATTTCATCAACTCCTTAATTCACATTAAGTCAAATATATTGGCTTGGATAATCTGTAGACATGGCTTTGAGTACAAGGAGCCTGGGTCTCTAACTAAAATTAAGTGTGTACATGGAGAGAATGGGAATTCAATAATGACAAACAGCTCTTTTTCTTGAGACTAGTAATTGAGTCTAAAAGTAATGAAAATTGTTTAAGAATTTAATCCATTAGCATTATGATGTGAGAGTTAACATAATGGTATAGGTTGATGCAAAAGTAATTGCGTTTTTTTCCGTTAAAAGTAATGGTATAGCCACAATTACTTTTGCACCAACCTAATATTAATCCCTCGTGAGATTAAGATCTAAATAAAAGGAATACATATTTATTAATCCTAGACTATATTTTGGTATATTAACATAATAGCAAGAGAACTTTTTTATATTAATTCTTAACATATTTGAAAATTTCTGAGAATAGAATTCTATAAAATGTCTCAAACTTTATGTTCTCGCAACACTTTATACTATTAAAAATTATTGAGTACTCCAGACAGCACTTATTTATCTGAGTTATACCTATCAAGAATTATATATTGGATATTAAATTTTAAAATATTCATTTATTTACTTTAAAATAACTATAGCAAAACTTCTACACAGATAACATAGACAGAATTTTTTTAATAAAAACTAACTACATTTTCCAAAACAGAAAAAGAACTAATGAGAAGAGTGACACTGTTACAAATTTTTACAAATCTTTTTAGTATTTAGAGGAACAGCTAGATCCCCATATTTTTTTCTGCATTTGACCTGTTGTGATATGTTGTCTCAGTTGAGCTACATGAGGAGAATCCTCCAGCAGGTGTGTAGTTGGAAAATGAAAGACAACATAAATTCCCTAAAAGGGGTCTTGGGGACCCCAAAAGATCTCCCACAATACTTTGAGAACTATTGATACATATGGTAAAGAACATTCTCGCTTGGGTCAGTCATCAATTAGTCTTCTCCAAAAATAGTTAATTATTCCAAAGAAATTCCATAAATTCTACTTAAATTCTCAGGAGGAAGAGGAAGAAAAGGAGGAGGAGGGAAGGGAGAAGAAAGAGGAGGAAAAGGGGTAGCAGGAGGAGGAAAAGCATCAGGGAATTGAACAATTATATGACTTGGGTGTCTTGCTACTGTCATATTTAAAGATCAAAATTCTACATTTATAAAAATTAGAAGTCATTACGTAATTACAGCAGTATAAAAGACCTCTGAGATTGTACCTTGAAAATTAACAGAATAAACTATCAATAACCAAAGAGGCTGAAGAATTATCCAAAAAAATGGCAAAAATACACTTATAAAAAGGCTCAGAATTTAGAAGGGGAGACCCAGCTTCAATGTAAGTAGACCTTTCTTTTCATATATTTACATACAAATATCCCTAAGTAATACATACAGACACACAGACACAATCTAACGAACATATATATAATCCTACCTTTACTTGTATTCATACCTGTAAAATACTTAAATTTCAAGAAACTACTGATAGTATAATCAAACTACATAACTGTTATAGATTAATAACATTTCCTATCTTCTCAATATTTTTCAAGAATAACTTTAAATATAATGAAAATTATTTAATTCAGAATTCAGATCATTGAACCCACTAAGAAAACGGATAGTATCAAATACACAATTTAAAATTTATAAAGCAAACCATGCAATCAATTCTCAAATATTTAATCTATACTACCCACATTTAAAGGAAATCATAAGAACTTGGCCCAGTGTGGTGGCTCACACCTGTAATCCCAGCACTTTGGGAGGCTGAGGCAGGTGGATCACGAGGTCAGGAGATCGAGACCAACCTGGCTAACATGGTGAAACCCCGTCTCTACTAAAAATACAAAAAAAAAAAAAATTAGCTCGGTGTGGTGGCAGGTGCCTGTAGTCCCAGCTACTTGGGAAGCAGAGCTTGCAGTGAGCCAAGATTGCGCCACTGGACTCCAGCCTGGGCGACAGAGTGAGACTCCGTCTCAAAAAAAAAAAAAAGGAAATCATAAGAACAAGAATGTATTTAAATGTCAACTATTCAATAAGTCGCAATAAGTCATTTTTTGTTAATATTTTAACAAATAAGATAATTTACATTATTTCAACTTAACTTTCCTAATAGTATCATAACCATTTACTTGCAATCTTCAATGAAAATTTTAAGAGTTCTGTGCATAGAGATTACTGTATCCTTTAACAGAGAAGAAAATATATCTTGTTTATGAATATATATAAGATCAGAACAAAAAATGGATTTAACAAGCAATAAGTATTCTTTAAAAGAGAAAGCCCATAGCACAATTCAAATTACTGAAGATTAACATACTTTAGAAATAAAAAGCAAATTAAAAAATATAACTAATATGCTTATGATAAAATGAATCCATATTTAACAGCTTAAGGACAACTTCTGTGAATTTTCAGCATAATACTGTTCCTCCAAAGAATTTTTTAAAATGAGGTAAAAAGAAGCTAAATGAGAGTCAATCAGCTACAGACATGCCAGAAATCAAGAATGTTAACTCATGTAAGGTTATGATAAAGAAAAGCTTCCAATAAATTGATAAAAGAAGAATTACTGATATTTGGCTCAGTAGATACAACAGCTACTACAATGTATTTCTTCCTCAACTTTCCTCTGATTTATCTTTGCATTACAAACACTTTCGACCATGATAGCAGAAGGAAGCAATTACAGTTTTGTTCAGTTTTTTCATTCAATGATCCACTTATCCATTCTCTTATTTAACTGCTATTTATTTAGTGCCAACTATGTGCCAAGCACTGTATTAGCCACATGTACTTTACCAAATACCGATACAAATGAGTGGTACATAAAGAATTTGTCAAAATCCTTAGTGATGTAAAGCAAGAGGATGATGATAAATGAATAAACATATCAGTTGCATGTCACTGAAAATGCTATTCATACATTTTAAAACTATTCCTACAAATTATTGCTTTGAGATATCCAACAGACTAAGTCTATGGAATAGATTTCACTTTGTGTCTACCAAGAAGAAGCTATGTCCATGGGATTCATTAGAGAATGTCATTTACTATGAGCTGCAGCCCTCCATTTACAACAGAATGCAATTAATTCTGGCCTGAAAAAATCTTCCTCTAGAGCTTTTATTCCAATTTTGAGTGGACAGACATTTTGAAAAGGAGTTATTGGACTTCTACATTGAAGAAGTCTACAGAATATGGAAAGAATGATATGGTATAATATGCAGTAAAGTCTCACATACAATTCCACACTGAGGAAGGCAAATCTGCAACCAAAAAGGAGTTTCACAAATTCCTTCACATTTCTCTGTAGTAAAGGGGTTAAACACTGAAAGAAAGCATGCTTCTTAATGTTGGTACAAAATAAAACATTTTTAAAAATATTTTTGCCATCATATTAAATGGTTCACAATTTTAATGAGTTTTCAATTTTAGAGGAATGCCATCAGTTTTATGCACTTTTAGTTCATTGTATTATAATCAAAAAACATCCCCCACCACATTCCTTAACATAATTAGTTCATAAGCCTCACAAGAAAGCCATATTAAGCATTCCCTGTAAGATTAATACTTTCATGTAAAAAAACACAAAATGTTTACAAAACAGACTGTAGAACTTGTATATGACACTAAATTCTAAACATAAATGTTGAAAATTATTGGTTTATCCTCCAGTGAGATTAATCAGAGTTCAGAGAGAAGGTGTCACTTGATACAAAGTCATGCAAGAGTGACCATGATGTGGAGAATGGCAATCCAAAAAAGAGTAAATATGACTGCTTACCTTAAAGTGAAGGCTTGATCACAAATAAACAGAGATGAAAATGATATAACAGATGACTGAGCTACACTAGTATTTACATTTAAAAGACTTTCCAAACTTCATATAAAAAGCACTACCACTAAACTATAGACTACACTAGTGTTCAAATTCTCACCAAAATTTCAGTATCTGTAGCCTGTTCTTGGGCCATCTGAATTGCTTTTGCCAGATCTTCTTCACCTTCTGGGATGCTAAAATTGTCATCTGGTATCTAGATCACAGAGAAAGAGAAGGATAGGAAGAGTGAGCAGAAATATAAAATACTTTATTTCACTTCAGAAATAATTTTGCTTCACAAATCAAAGGATCAAAGAAATACTTTATGTAAAATACCATGTCATTCTGAAGATCCATGAAAAATGAATAACTGCTTTCTTCTGACTTCCTTGTAAATGTCAATAAACGTCACTTCTAATAAATTCAGGATTAGTTTGTGGGCAACTGCTTTTATCTATAATAGAAAATGTAATCTAACAATTCTGCTGAAAAAATAATAAGGCTATCTAAATATCACCATTCTTGCCCCATCTCAAGTGCTTTCCACCATCACTTTTTCAGAACTACTAGCAACTGAAAATCTCTCGTTTATTAAAAAATAAAACTCACTGAGCATTAAAATCTTGAAAGGACGTGATGGATTGCAATTATGATTAATGACAGTTAAGACTTAACACACGCTTCTTATGTACTGATCACTGGTTTAGGCCTTTTACATTTATTAACTCATTCAGGAACTTCATGTGGTACACATAATCTCCATTTTACCAGTAATAAAAAGCCTGTCTCCAATTTTCATCCTGTCTCTTGCTCACCCAGGCTCGCCAGGCTTATTTCCACACAGTTTCATTCACAGCCTCTGTCATCTACCAGTGATTTTATCCTCCAAGTGTCCGAAGTAATGATAGGTCTCGGGAACAATGAATTAAAGGAAAGCTTTGAGATAGGAACCACATTAGATAGAAATACTGTTAAGCTGGAAGGATGCATAAGGCCTCCGCTTCAACTGAGCAGTGGGAATCTAGGAATCCTTGACAAGAGCAGACTGGATGACAGGAAGGAAGTGCCTCCTGAACAGAGATAACAGTTTATGGTAGGAATCTACAAGGCAGGTAATAAGGAGCTGAACCTGAAGGACGATTAACAGGAAAATCAAAAGAATCAGATGTATTTTCCAATTTAAATGTTTAAACAGAATTTTCACATCTCATTCTTAATCAGCTGATACTAGCTAAATTCAGTTGAAAAACTGGTATCTCTTAAGAAAAAAGAATGGTTCTTACATGTTTCAGAAAATAAAATGAGCATTTCATGAGAATGACTGCAATAAATTTACAGAATAAACACCTAAAATTAACATGTTACCTCTTCATATTCATAGTCATCTTCAGATGCTTCAGTTATGGTGACCTCTGAATATCTTGTCAAGTTTTAATCTCAAAAAATATAGAATAAAATTATTGCACAAAAATTGATTTGACCTTCAAATATAGTATTGGATTCAACTATCTCACCAGGAAGTTGGTAAATATATATAATTTAATCTTTAAAAAATTTGTCTTCCCCATATAGCCTATAAATCTAGATATTTAAAAATAAAATACTTCATTATTTTTCACAACTCAAATCCATGAAAACCTACATTGCTATCTGTCTTTTGACTGTTTACTATCTATCTAATGATTTCAAACTTGATTCTATGAAGGCTTGTGAAAATATACATAATATCATAAGGTAGCGTGAATTAGAAACAGGTAAGAAAAAACAGTAACTTTTTCAAATTCATCTTAAACCACAATGAATTTTCCAGAGCTCCTGAGTTAACTATTCACAGTACATGAATAAAATGTGACTTTATTTGGTTTAAAGTATTGTGAATGAACAAAACAAATGCACGCCAATATTTAAGAAAAAAACACATATCAATGCTTTTATCAGTAAAATTTAAATTTTACTTTTCCATGTATCTCCATTTTTAAATTATCTTTATAGGAAAGATAACTTAATTTTTAAGTGAATATAAAGTATATAGCAATCATAATTCAAAATTTCATAAATACTGAAGAAATTAAATATCAATGGAAATGATTCTAACATAAAATAATTCTAAGAGAACTGCTTTAAGACTTTCAAAAACTATAAGTTACTCTAATTACATATGAAAACTTCAAGACAATATTTTATGTTAAATCACAGCACACACCAGCAATGCTTGTTGTTGTTGTTGTTATTATTGTTAGGTTTACATTTTTTTCGATTACACTGACTCGGTTATGCCAAGTTTAAAATGTGTGAATTAAACACTTTAATGCATGGTAATGGTTATGAAAATCAAAGATAAGATTAGCCTAGTTTTCATTTTGCTGCTGATTATAAAATGTCTCTGGCATTGTTTACCAAGCATTAGCTGAAAGGGTATATAACAACTTCTGTTGCTTATAACAAGAACAGATAACACTTACACAGTATTTAATAGGAGACAGGAACTGTTCTAAGTGTTTTCCATGTATTAACTAATTTCATCCTCATCCTGCCTATGAGGCTGGAACTATAACTCTATTTTACAAATCAAGAATCAGAGGCATAAGGTTCCACAGCTAGGACCTAAAAGAGCCCAGATGTTTAGGTTTCACCATATTATATTGCCTCTCCATGTTCTGTGTGGGTTTTCTGTGCTACATAAATACATAAAGTGTTTGCCAATTATTTTCCACAGAGATCTAAACCTATAAATTTATTACTGCTACTAAGCTCCATCACAAGTAATCATCCTGTATGTCTTATCCCTATCCCTTGCAGGGACACTTAAGCCCCATTCCATTATGACCAATCCTCAGATACCAGGTATCTGTCAAAAGGTCAGTATTTTATTGTAAAACATGAATAAGTGCCTCTCCTAATAACATAGTGAAAAGTAATTAGGCTCAAAAATAGCTAGTTAAATGATTAAACAAAAAAATAGTTGCATACTTGCAGTCTATTCCATAACCTTAATTCATCCATATTAAATACTACAAGGAGTAAAATACCTCCTTTATTAATTATCTATTACTGTAGAACAGATTCTAATAGTATTTGCCTCACTCTCTAATTCCTTGCCATCAGCCTCTTTAAAGATCATAAGGCTTCTACTAGCAATCTGTTCGAGGTATTTTATCTTTCACTAACAAAGTATTTCCAACATCTCCCTAATCCCCAGTTTCAAAGCTACTCTGTTACTTCTTATTTAACACCCTACTCCAGATACTGAACCTGAAGGTCATGCTAAGTGAAATGTTAGATACAGAAAGACAAATACTGCATAGTCTCACTTATATGTGGAATCTAAAAAAAATTCCAACTCTACAGAAACAGACATTAGAAGGGGAGTTACCAATGAATAGAGGGTAGGGAAAATGGGGGGATGTTCATCAACGTTGCACAAACATTCAGTTATAAGATGAAGAATTTATGGAGACCTAATGTATAGCACAGTAACTATGGCTAATAATAATGGAGTGTCACTTGAAATTTGTAAAGAGAGTAGATCTTAAATATTCTCACCACAAGTAATATAAAAGTGAAAAGGTAACTATATGAGGTAAATAGGTTAATTAGCTTGGGTGTGGTAATCATTTCACAATGTATATGTAAATCAAAATATGTTGTACACCTAGAATATATGTAATGTTGTCAATTACAACTCAATAACGCTGAAAAAGGAACAATAAGCATTTATTATATTGTAGTTTCTCTGGGTCAAGGGCTCAGTAGTGGTTTATCTGGTAGAATCTGACTTGGGGGTCTCTCATGTCATAGTCAAAATAACAGGAGAATTAGAGTCATCTGAAGGCTGAGATGAGGCAACAGGATCCATTTCCATGGCAGCTCACTGACAATGTACTAGTTTCCCAGAAGACCTCAGTTCTTCCCCATGTGGGTCTCTCCACAGGCTGCTTGAGCATCCTCAAGATATGGTGGGCTAACTACCCCCAGAATAAGCAGTCCAAGAAAACAATGTGGATGCCACAATAGCTTTTCTAACCAAACATCAGAAGTCACACATCATTTCTTCAATATCCCACTGGTTACATGGGTCACGTCTACTCAGTGTGTGAGGATTACACAAGAGCATGAATATTAGGAGGTGGGGCTCACTGGATGCGTATTAGTTCATTCTCATGCTGCTATGAAGAAATACCCAAGACTGGGTAATTTATAAGGAAAAGAGGTTTAATTGACTCATAGTTCTGCATGGCTGAGGATACCTCAGGAAACTTACAATCATGGCGGAAGGCACTTCTTCACAGGGCACCATGAAAGAGAGAATGGGTGCAAGCAGTGGAAATGCCAGACACTTACAAAACCATGAGATCTTGCGATACTCACTCATTATCACAAGAGCAGCATGGGGGAAACTGGCCCTATGATCCAATTACCTCTACAAGGTCCTGCCCTTGACACATACGGATTATTACAATTCAAGGTGAGATTAGGGTGGGGACACAGAGCCAAACCATATCAGGGTGTCATTTTATTTTAGAGACTGGCTTCCTTCCATACTATAAGAATGTTAAGAGTCAATATATGTAAAGCATTTAGATTAGTGCCTGGCTTATAGTAAATGATATACAAGTGTTTGTTGTCATTTCTTTTCTCACTCTGGAAAGAGATGAGTATCTATGGAAAAAAAAATCTTTTAAATTTCTCATGCCTCTGTTCCCCCATATGTTAAAATGAATAAATAAAAGACATTTTAAATTTCCCTCCAGTTATAGATTTATATCTTTCTGATAGTTTTGTTTTTTTTTGTTTTTTTTGTTTTTTTTTTTTGAGACGGAGTCTCGCTCTGTCGCCCAGGCTGGAGTGCAGTGGCGGGATCTCGGCTCACTGCAAGCTCCGCCTCCCGGGTTCACGCCATTCTCCTGCCTCAGCCTCCCAAGTAGCTGGGACTACAGGCGCCCGCCACTACGCCCGGCTAATTTTTTGTATTTTTAGTAGAGACGGGGTTTCACCGTTTTAGCCGGGATGGTCTCGATCTCCTGACCTCATGATCCGCCCGCCTCGGCCTCCCAAAGTGCTGGGATTACAGGCGTGAGCCACCGCACCCGGCCTCTGATAGTTTTATATAATGAGATAAAATTTCCGAAGGTTCAGCTAGAGGAAGTCAGCCTCTTTTCTATGAAAAAGCATGACCCCTTCTGAGAGACAGCTCCTAGAAAGTAATTTTGTAAGCGGTCATTTGTATGTCTCCAGAAAAGCAATGCCATCCTTCACCATGTTCACATCATAATAATTTCAAAAAGAAGTAAATACTCTAAAAGCTTCTGGATAGACTTTAAAGTTGTAAATAAGCCAACCGCTGATAAGATTATATGAGGAAGATGTCACATGGCAATATAGAGTAGAAAAAAAGTGATTTGTCCTCGAAGCATAGAAAATATCAATCAACACTTACATACTCCTACCCAGCAAATATTCTAGACAATGGCTTTTTATCACCTAAATGTATTACTTTCCCACAATCAAAAAAGATTAAGAGAGTACATAACTACCATTTTATAAAGCTTAAAAGTATTTTCACATGGACCAAAACTATATTTATTCTCACACAACCCAGTGAGGTCAAACAGCACAGATATACCCATCTCTAAATTAAAAATGAAGAAACTGAATCAGAGATTAAAAGATTTGCCCAAGATCACACAGCTGTGAATGACAAAGATAAATTCCTGAGATACAAATGCCATAAATTTGCTGCTACATAGTACTGTTTCTACAGTGACACAATAGGAATACACAACTTTTTTACCAATATCCTAGGTAATGAACTCACCTATTTTTTTCCAAAAACTTTCAAGTGTTATATTAATAACAGGTAAATCAAATCACATAAATAGCTCAATTTGAAGACCCCCAGAGGAAAGAGAAGTAGAAAAGAGCTACAGGCTACAGACTCAAAACGAAATCTAACCAAGGGCAAGAGACTGATGGGACAATACGTCAGGTAGTGGACAAAACAATCAAACTAGGAAGATACATACTTTGATTGATTTTTATGTATCCACAATATAATTTATATTTAAAATTTCCCAAAGGCAACTCAGTTTAAATGTCACAATGTTATTAAAGACATAAATGTACTTTGACACTTATGTTTGTACGCATCTGTTTACCTGGCTAGCTAGCTGGCAGTAGGGACAGGTGCACAAACTGATCCTAAAGTGATTCTGCTACAGTTTGCAAATACACACACTATACAAAATGTAACAATTAATGAATGTGGAAATTGGAGGAGAAAAGGAAATAGCATTATAGAAATATGATTAAGATGCAGCAGATACCATAGGTCTCATAAGATTGGTCAAAAATAACCCCCAGATTTGACTCTAAGCTTCCCAGTAACCAGGGTAAAAAGGGACATGGAATCAGATACCATCTCTGTATCGACCCAATGAAAACAGATGAGTTTCTCAACAGATATCCAGGAATATCTGGTTCCAAAGCCTGAGAGAAATGACATTCTTGGGTTCTCATAAAAAGAATAGTGCAGTGTAGAGATATCAATCCCCTTGGCCCTTGGGACGGTAAAAAAGGCAGAGTGAAGTAGGATGTGATGGAGTACTGTATGTGAAAAACTTTGGAAAGCATTGTTTTGGATAACAATCTTGCCAGAGTAGAAAAGGTTAATTCGTCAAGAATGATAAAACTCTGTACACTCTGGTTCTACTTTCACGGAGCAACTTTCTCATCTGTAATTTAATCTCTTAGGTGATCCTACTCTCCAGGAAACATCCATACAATTAAGCTAATCACAGTTCTCATGCAAAGTTATTCTTTCACTGAAATAATAAGCTAGCATTCTGGCCTAAATCCAGTTTCTTAATGTCAAGCTGCCTTTGAGCCCTCACAAAACTCCCTTCCCTCTAACTGCCTAGTATTCCTTCGAAGAACACTGGTGAATTTCAGTTCCAAAATTTTTTTCTGCCCTGTCTGTTCCCCTCATATCTGGTTCTTACCTATCTGCACACTTGGCCTTGACTTGACACTTAATACTGTGCCTTGTTTTCTAGATTGTTCTTGCCTGGGGTAGTGTCCATGGCTCCCCTTTTCTCCCTGCCCTGAAGCCACAGCCCACAGTACCATCCAAGTCCAGGCCAGGTTCTGTATTTCTAGTCATAACCTAGACACAGACTGAGGCTCCCATTCCTCCCAAATCTGCATTTGCTCTGGAAGGAATTTAGTAGCACTCGTGAGTTTCATAGCATGAATTAGTTTCCTGGTATTTAGTCACCATGGGTGAACTATCTCATAGTTTCTGCACTAGCAGAGCCTGCACCAGATCCTGATATTCTCGATCTTTTCAGAAAATGGGAAAATGTAACACCCACACTGAAACTGCCAGGGAGCCCTAAGCCCATCACAGTACTACAGAGAACACAACTGCCAGAAACCTCGGTGAGACATTTTGGTTGGCCTAATGGCGCAGAGCTTGAGGTGCCAATTGGTATGAGGGGGAGACAAATAACATTCTGCAAATGGACCAGAGCCAGAAACCAATGAATAATTTTCAGATGTGAGCAGCAAAGTACCTTACACACTGGTCTCTTCCACTGCTGCATTTGTAGGTAGTGTTTACTGCCAGCAGTAGCAGCATCTTTATGAAGAACTGGAGTGAAACATATAGCTAATTATATTTTACATGATTTCCCAAAGCTACTATAGACAGAAATCATTTTGTAATCCTTGCCATCACTGCAGAGCCAACGTACACAGACTCAATCTAAAATCTAGCCTGGATCTTCCATGATCAACATTTTACTTATTAAGTTGAAATAAAAATACTGTAAATAGCAAATATCATAGTCTTGGTCCCTTTCTTAGGAAGGCCAGTTTAAATAAGTTAACTGAATAATACAGACAAAAATGGAAGGTAGCTGGCATGCTTGTGGTCACATTCCCTTTTGCCAATTGCTCCCTGCAGTTTTTACCACACAGTCTTCATGAGGACTCAGAATTCTTATTAATATCCTATACCAGGGAGCCACTACCAATTCAACAGAATTGGCAAGAGTGGAAATGTACTGGCCACCCCTGTCCTACATAGCTGTTGCATATCTTCTACCTTCATAACTGGAAAATAACTTTTGTTCAGCATGTAAGACTCAGTGCTCATGGCAGCTGGTGGTATAAGTCTTTCCAACTTCTAAGCCAGGAGATCCAAAGATATGGACTCCACATGTGATATTTCTATCTGAAAATATAAAGGCTAGAGATTAAGATATTTATCTACAGCCTTGCTACTTCAATTACAGTCCTTAGACCAGCAGCAACCGCAGCACCAGGAAGCTTCTTAGCAATGCAGAATCTCAGCCCCCTTGCCAGACTTATTGAATTAGAATATTTATTTAAAGCTCCCCAGGTGAGTCATATGCACATTAACGCCTGACTAAAGGACACAGAGCAAAACACATTTTTTTTCTCTCCAAATAGCCTATGACTTTTACACAAGTAAATATCAACACTCTGGATTTAGTAACATAGTTCTTAGTCTGTCTATATGCAGGTTGTGTATCCTTTTCATTTGAATATACACGGGGTATGTATGTTCTAATATCTAAGAACCCATGCACAAATTAAGTTCCAGTGATAAGAAATACACTTTAGGGTTCAGAACAATTATAATACTACAAACATTTCAGAGAAGTACCATTTTATAACAGAAGAAAAAGTGGTTAACACATGTATCTAAGAGAATGTTAGTTTTAAAAAAGAAAAAGAAATCTATGCATCCACCTTTCTAAATGTTTTACTTACTCAACTACAATGTTTAGCTTTAAAAAAAAAAAAAGTTAAAAACCATACAGTAAATTTAAAAAAAGGAAAGGACAGGTGCGGTGGCTCACACCTGTAATCCCAGCACTTTGGGAGGCTGAGGCGGATGGATCACGAAGTCAGGAGATCGAGACCATCCTGGCTAACACAGTGAAACCCCGTCTCTACTGAAAATACAAAAAAAAAAAAATTAGCCAGGTGTGGTGGCAGATGCCTGTAGTCCCAGCTACTCGGGAGGCTGGGGCAGCAGAATGGCACGAATCCGGGAGGCAGAGCTTGCAGTGAGCCGAGATCGTGCCACTACACTCCAGCCTGGGAGACAGAGCGAGACTCCGTCTCAAAAAATAAAATAAAATAAGGAAAACTTCAATTTTAATTAAAGTTATCAGTCAACATTACTATGGCAATGAAAGACTAGATAGAACTGTTACTTAAGAAGACAGCAGCCTGGTACAGTGGCTCATGTCTGTAATCCCAGCACTTTGGGAGGCCAAGGCAGTAGGATGCCTTGAGCACAGGAGTTCGAGACCAATCTGAATAGCAGAGTGAGACCCCCGTCTCTACCAAAAACAAAAACAAACAAACAAAATTAGCTGGGTATGGTGCCGCACATCTGCAGTCCCCGCTACTCAGGAAGCTGAGGTGGGAAGATTGCTCGAGCCCAGGAATTTGAAGTTGCAGTGAGCTATGATCATGCCACTGTACTCAAGCCTGGGTAGCAGAGCAATACCTCATCTCTAAAAAAATAATAATTTTTTTTAAAGGTAGCATGGTAGAAGTTAAGATATTTATCTACAGGCTTGCTACTTCAATTACAGTCCTCAGTATCTCAGATAAGGGCATCAGTCTAGTGTGATCCTCATATTTCAGGGTCTAGAGTCCTTAATTTTGGAGTTTCAGAAAGAGTTGACTTTGGGACTCCATTCAGAGCTGATTAGCTTCACAGAACTGGCTTAAACTTACTGAACTCTCAGAAATTGCTGCTGGGGGTTGGGGAGCCTTTTTCATTGGCCAGTAAACTTACACCTACCATCTAAAAAGCCAAATCCTTAGTATTAGAATGCCCAGAGAGAGGAAATAATCAAAAGCTAGAGGAGCCAGATGTCCATATTGAGGGAGGTATGTAACAAAAACAATACCTTGAAGCTCCACTTTCCTAGGGTCCATGTATTCATTTACTATTCCTTGAACAAAGTCTCTTTAGACAAGGAACAACAAAGTCAATTAACCCTTAGCTTTCTTAGTACAAATTCATGCTGGCCTTCCAATTGGAACTAGGCAGTCCCAAATGTCTGCAGCCATACATTAATAGGCAGCCCTTCCTCACTACTACAGTTGAAAACCTCACCCAAGTTGTGTTGATTTCTAATAAGGGATTCATTCATTCACAAAAGACAATCAACCTTCTTTCTAGGTTCTGGAGATACCTACTTGACCCTTTACATATCTATCACATAGCTAAAATCTCACCTTATAGTTTATAATGCTGCAAGTATTTTTCTAATGATGGGTTCTAGAGAGGATTCATATACTCCATAACTCAATTTCTTAGTGTTCTGACAATAGCTAAGAACAATGTATATTTGTATCTCACCTTGTTGAAGTCTAAAACATAAAAGCAATGATATTCTGGGTTCCTTAGAAGAGAAATAGGTGGCACTGTTACAGCTAGGAGATTACAGGGAAAGGGTGTTGCAGGGTAAGAACTCTTTTTCCTGAACCCAGTGTGTAAACCATTATAAAGGACATGGGACCTTCATTAATGTCCCCCACAAGATGGATCCTGGCTGTTTCTGGTTTGGACATTAGTCTATTCATACTCTTCATAATTGAGTATTTAAAAGCAGAAAAGTGGGAGATTTCCTAAAGAATTCAAGTCAACTTCTTTCAAAGTCTTGCTCGATATTGATAGCTCATTGTCTAATGTACTAGGAGCATCTGTTGAGTGATAAATAAGGGAAATCCAGGCCAAATGCAGTAGATTAGAAGTGATTGAGTATATGTGCGAAGCAGAGGACATCAGATTTCTGATTCATCTGTGCATATTATAACTTTTATTTACCCACCATGATAGCTCAATTAAATTACCTGAAAGCAAAGACTTTAAACCAAAGGAAGTCTCACTTTGGCAACTATCATAATTGCCTTAAGAAACAATGTCAAACAACATTACACAGGCAACTCTTAATTAACCATGTGAAGAGTGCCCAGGGATACAGGAATAATTGGTATTCACAAGTAATCCTCAAACTTCATTTCAACTGAGAGTTGAAATGACTAAACCTCTTCCCTCAGCATGGAATATAGCAAAATAAACTGGTTAAATGTTTAACTGTGTATCCCCTGACTACCATTTGGTTAAAATACAAAATAGCAGTCAGTCAACCAAAGAAAGAAGAAAAGCAAATGGGTTGGATAATTCACACAACGGTTAGTAAAATCCTAAAAAGTTACAGTTGCTTATATGTGTTAAAGTTCAAATAAGTGTGATTATTTGAAAAAGTCTTTGTAAGACAGGTTTGCAAACTGCTACATCTTGGCAGGTGTGACTCAGTGATCTCCCTGCACATTAAGTAAACCTGATTTTCATTGCTGAAAGTTGTGTTATGTTAGACTCCTACCATTTATTTCACAAAGATGTTTGCAAAAAGTTACCTCATTGTGTCAATCTCATGTTAACAATTAAACTATGTGTTCACGGAAATAATTTTAATGCAAACAAAATTACAAGATGCCTGGTTACCATTCAGTAGCAAGGGCACTGGATATAGATAAGCTTAGGAAGAATTATGAAAATCGTTGTTAAAGAGGAATATCACTGGAAAAGACTGCCTGTTACATCTACGAAAACAGTATAAAACCTCATTTATGACACTAAAGCACCCATATATTTCTTTCAAATTCATTTCAAGCGATTCAAATTTCTATTCCTGTAAAAGTCGTTTTTGCACCCAATAAAATACTACATATTTTCTTTAATCTTTCAGCTAAATTCTTCAAAGCTCTCTGTAGTGTGGATGTGTACTGAGCCTGAGTCAGGACAGGTTAATCGGCTTGTCAAAGCTCACGAAATGAATCATTGCTGGATTTCTGAAATCTTGAATTAAACCTGGAGAGGATTACAGTTGGACAAACAAATAAGATTTGGCAGATTTTGGAGTTTCCTTGGTATCTTTAAGAACTGAACAGATAATCATCTCTTTCTTACCTCCCTGAATAAAGGAGTTACATGTCTTTTTCTCATGAACCCTCCCCGTCTCCCTAGTAGGAATTAATCTATATAACTAGAGGAAAGAAGTTCTAAAGCCTTACACAAGAAATAGTGGACCTAATTATCCACACATTGTTATTCAATTTTTCTGGTACTTCCGATAAAAATCGCTAATCACCATCTGCTTTATTCCTAATATCTCTGAGCTGTGTAGCTCACCAGATCATTATTTATTTGCTCAAGAAAAAAAAGCAACTATACTATTAGTATTTATTATTAAGTAGTCAAACTTGGAACTACTCAGGAAGATAATGCTATCAAAACTAAGCATTTAAGCATTAACTGGACCATCGAACAGGATCGTGGGTTGGGTATTCTGAGCTTCAGCTCCTTAAAGTCCAATGGCAGAGGTCTTTCCCTAGTCTCCTAACGTTCCTCCGTTGAATTTATTGGGACGGCTTTCTGAAAGATTGAGGGCTTATTTAGGAAACCCATTATTTGAAAGGAGGGTTGAAGCAATTTGTTGTGCTGTCTTAACATAAAAAGCAACCCTCCATCCAAAATGTACTGAGTGGTTACTAAGTATGAGGCCTTGGAAGGTCTCCCAACTCTTCTAACAGGTACAGGACACCCTGGGCTACTAAGGGCGAGAAATTCAGTGAGTGGCTCTCAGGAAGACTGTGGTGGCAAAAACAGCACCTTGAAGTCCAACAGAGGCTCCTCCGGAGTGGCCCCAAGGCTCAAAAGGCGCCGCCAGTGGGAGGCCCTCGCCTTCGTCCCAACACCCATTACCCGCCAGCGCAGCGGGCCGCGCCTCCACGGGAAGGATACGTTCCAGGTAGTAGGCGCCCTCAGCCGCCACCGCGTCCGCCGTGTCCCTCGCGTCCCCGGCTGCCGTCAAACCCATGCCCAACGCCTCTTCCAGGACCCTCACGGCGGAGCTGGGCATCCCTCGCTGAGCAGCCATCTCTGGCGCTTCGGGCCCCCACCCCCAGCAGGCCCACAGCCGTCCCTAAGGGCAACAGCGAAGACGCTACCCAACGGCCCCCGGGAGCTCTCGCGAGATTCCGGCATCTCTCACCCCGCCCCACGGACCAGCCCCGGGCACGTAAGGGTTACCGGGAGTCCAGGGAGCTGTCGCCCTCCCGCGCCTCCCAGTTACCGTGGCAACGATGTTGCCTAGTTAACGCGAGAGCTCGGGCGCAGCTCTGGGAGCGGACAAGATACAGTAAACAATTGGCTTGCATTGCACCTTCCTACCCAAGCAGCTTGGTTTTCTTTCGCTTTGACCCTGTAATTTCTTTCCCACTTCGTTGTCGTCTCTGAATTACCTTTCTCTTGATTCTTGCCCATTAGCATCCTCCAATTTCAGATGTTTGTAGATCCCCAAGTGTTCCCAGGGAAAACTACTAGAAAAGGTGAGTTCTCAACACCTGGAATTTTTTAAAAAATGAAAAAATAAAGTTCTAGAAATCATAATAGAAAGACTGACCCAGGGGAGCTACCAGACGCTCCTCAGATGCTTAGCAATGAAGAACTATGGTGTTCAGCTTTGTCAATTCCTTTCTTGTGATCTTTAATGCATTTAGCTGGACATCTGTTTTGAGTTTGGTTCCATATACTAAGACTTGGAATAGTATTTGTAGCATTGATTCTCGCCAAGGTAAAAACAGTTGCATAAAAATTATGAGCTACAAATTTGGTCCTGACAAATGTATGCAGTTGACACTTGCCCCATCATGTATAGTCTTATTGCTGAGAGGATCTTCCTCAGGTTATATCGCGTATGTATCAGAAGCAAATTCAAGGCCCTTTTCTTTGCAAATATTTTTTTTTCCCTTAACTTTTATTTTAGGTTCAGGGGTACAAGTGCAGGTAAGCTCATGTCGCAGGGGTTTGGTATATAACTTATTTCGTCACCCAGGTACTAAGTGTAGTACCCAATAGTTATTTTTTCTGATCTTCTCCCTCCTCCCACTCTCCTCCTCAAGTAGGCCCCAGTGTCTGTTGTTCCTTCTTTGTGTCCATTTGTTCTCATTATTTAGCTCCCACTTACAACTAAGAACATGCAGTATTTGGTTTTCTGTTCCTGCATTAGTTTGCTAAGGATAATGGCCTCCAGCTGCATTCATGTCCCTGAGAGGACATGATCTCATTCTTCTGTGGCTGCATAGTATTCCATGGTATATGTGTACCACATTTTCTTTATCCAGTCCGTTGATGGGCATTTAGGTTGAATCCATGTCTTTATCATGAATATCAATGAACACGCATGTACATGTGTTTTTATGGTAGAACAATTTCTGTTTCTTTGGGTATATACCCAGTAATGGGATTGCTAGGGCAAATGGTATTATTTTTCATTCTACATTTCTTGGTGAAAACTGGAAGCCAGTGATCCTATAAAAGCTCCCATTTATTACCAAAAGGTAGCAGTAACTTCCTAAGGAGGTGTTTGAGAGTACGTGTGTCAGAGCCAGAGAGACAGCTTTCAGAGCCTGCTTCCATCACTTACTAGCTATGACACATTGGGCAAACTACTACTTAATGCCTCTAGGCCCCAGTTTCATCATTTGTAGAACAAAGACAACAATATTACCTACCTCAAAGTGCTGTTGCAAGGGGTAAAGCAACAAAAAGCATTAAGAACTTACTGGGAACATAGAAGACACTAAGAAATGTTAGCTGTTATTTCTATTAAATGTGTTTGATATTGTTTTATTTTTTAGAATAATCAAGGGTCACAGATATAATAGTCGGGTAATTCATTCCTGGTACCTATTCTTTTACTACCCTACTCTTTGTCCTTGACTTCTCACATCAGACATTTCCTGAGTACTCATTAAATGCAAGGAACAATTACAGGAGGCTGAAAATACAGAAGAATTCTGACATTGGAGAATCCACTGCTTTTACAGAAAGCTTTCTCTTTATTTCAGAAGAAGGCATTACCTTATCTCTCAAGGTTGTTTCCTATAAATCCAGCCTTAACAAATGACCTGGGTAAGGAGTGGTCAAGGCCTTACATTTTTGGCATATCCAGCAAGACATGTAGGAACACAAAAGACATGAAGGATGGTCTCTCAGAGCGATTACTGTTTACTTTTATTTGTTTTTGTTCGTTACAATGGCTCATCTATTTCTGACTTTTTAGATGTAGTGTGTGATCTTCTACAGATGTTTGTCTCCTGCCTCTTCTGTATGACCTTAATTAAGTTCTCTGAGCCTTAGTTTCCTGTTCTGTAAACCGGAGATTTTAGTACCTACCTTACTAAAGTATGAAGACTAAACGAAATATGTAGAAAGCACTTATAACCATGTCTGGTATATCAAATGTTTTCAGTAAATAATCGTTAATAAAATGTGCTTAAAATATTGAATGAATATGCAAGCTTAAATTAGATATTATATTTGGAAGAAACTTAAACATATAGAAACAACTTAAGATAAAAGTTAAATATTTTTAGAAATATGCAGCACTCAGCCAGGCACGGTGGCTCACGCCTGTAATCCCAGCACTTTAGGAGGCCAAGGCAGACGGATCACAAGGTCAGGAGATCGAGACCATCCTTGATAACATAGTGAAACCCCATCTCTACGAAAAATACAAAAAATTAGCCGGGTGTGGTGGCACATGCCTGTAGTCCCAGCTACTCAGGAGGCTGAGGCAGGAGAATCACTGCAACCCGGGAGGCAGAGGTTGCAGTGAGCTGAGATCACGCCACTGCACTCCAGCCTGGACAACAGAGCAAGACTCCATCTCAAAAAAAAAAAAGAAAGAAAGAAAGAAAAAGAACGAAATATGCAGCACTCAAAAAAGGGAAACAGTTTAATAGAGTCATATAAAATGAATAAATTGTGACCAATATCCACTGCTTAATGTAGAGGAGAAATGGGAAAAAATTCTTCTCCAAAGAGTTCAAAAACAGAAGACTTATGACTGAAATAAGTATCATTAACTACACTCCTCAAACAAATAAAAACCTGTAAGTCTAATTCTGTGAAGTTTTCAAGTAGCCAAAATTTTAATTCAGAGTTACTATTTTGATTATATCCATTTCATGGATTTCAAAATTGGAAGTCACCCAAGATATTTGTGGTTCAACTACAATTTGAAACACATTTCACAGGGACCTAAGCAGAAGTGGTTTTAAAAATTCCAATTAAAGCTATGTTAACATTTTCTTTTGTAAACCTTTTGGTCTCTACGATGGTTTGAAAAGCAATGAAATAAAAGCAAAAAATAATTTTAACAAATATAAACAGAACCAATAATTGCCTTCAAGTAAAAACTTGATGCAACCTTTTAGGAGGACTGCTAATATCTTTAAACTAGTATGTATTTTCAAGGAACAAATTTGAAAATAAATGTGTTACATTTGAATTTTTATTCTGTTAATAACTAGTTTAATTAAAAAGAAGTATGAAAGCTTTACTGAGAAAGAACAAAAACTTCAGACCACAGTAATTGTTTGGTTTATAATGCCTTTGCATCCTATAATATTTCCTTTTTAATATACTGCACAAACTTCCTTGGAGTGGAAAAAAAGTGCCTTAATATTTTGATGAATGAACAGCAAACTATCTACTTTCCCTTTGAATGTGTTACTGAAAAAGGTAAATAAAGAAAACCAATGGAGACAGTAAAAATAAAGCAACAACCACAAAAGACAACAAATTTTATCTCCTCCCAGCCTAAATGCTCCGTTTATGTAAAAGTGAAATTATTTTAAAAAGCAAAACCAGAAAGGAAGCTGACAATGGATGTACTCTTTTTATTTTTAGTTTTAAAGCAGAAAATAATTACATGCAATAATACAGTAAAGTGCTATTCAATTTTCAGAAGTTACGAGCATTCATTTGCTATAGATAGAGCCCAAGCCATTTACTGATGCATCTCTTTATAAAAGTAACTATCTTATTTTCTTTCAAGACTTCACTGTAAGTGGTGGCCAATTTTAGATTTCTGAATTCATAGAAGTAGTACTAATTGACAATGGTGGAAAAGTATCATTTCAAACATACAGCATATATATTTCACTTTTTCACCAACAACCACTGAAAACTCATTTCTCTAGTGTTCTGAGCCCATGTAGTTCAAACAGGGTCAATCCTCTGTCTCTGGCAAGGAACATATGTTCCAGGTTTAACCCAAAAGAATATCTCATTATTCTTGGCTACTGTGATCAGTTCTGAAGTTGGTATGTGTCTTAAAAGGAGCCAAATTAGATTTGGTAAGAATTTGTTGGAAATTTTGGGAGATTCGTACTCTGCCCCTTGGGACTTAGTTCTGGAGTTGCTCCAGCATGATTGCAAGTATGAAGAAATTATCTATCTAAGAATTGAGTCAGCATGGAAGACCTGAGTGAAGAAAGAGAAAACTTAAGCCCAGATACAATGACTTAAACCTGTATATACACACATTTATTTCTTTGCTCTATAAGCTAGAAGCAAGAACACCCCCATTACAATGAGCACTTCAGATTTTAGATGTTAACACCATTTTCTAATTAAAAGGATAGAGGGCTCCTTGGAGAGATGGCTGGTTTTAGGGCTTGACTGGGAATAAACAAGATGAGCCTAGAGGATCTTACAGTTCCAGAAAGTAAAAAAGATCCCACCTCTAAAAAAAAAATCTCAAAGTGATGGACATAGGTCAAAAGGACACAGCAGCCAATTGTCCTAGGTGAAGCTAGGACAATTTGAGCAATCAAATTAATAAAGTAGTACTGAAATATAACTCAAAGTATAAAAGAAATATCTGTGAGTCCATACTGATACAAATAAATGATTAAATGATAAATAAATGAATGGAGAAGAATGGGAAAATCTCCCGTGATGAATAATTTCAAGTAATTTATGTAGATACTCTACATTCCAGGAGATGGAGCATAGCTGCATGTTCCTTAAGTATAGACTACACATAGTGAGTTTCTTGTATAGTAAAATCCCAACTTGACAGTGAAGAAAGCTGATAAACACCACCACACCCAGGTGATCAAGATTAATTTCAACAGTGATAAGTCATGTTGACAATATGTACTCTTGGTATGATGTAATGAGAATGGCACTTCATCTCTGTGATCTTACTCCCCAAAACCAATAACCACAAATCAATCAAGAGATAACATCAGATAAATATCAACTGAGGGAAATTCTACAACATACCTTACCAGTACTTCTCAAAACTATCAACATCATTGTATTAGTCCATTTTCACACTGCTGATAAAGACATATGCAAGACTGAGCAATTTACAAAAGAAACAGGTTTAACTGGACTCACAGTTTCATGTGGCTGGGGAGGCCTCATAATCATGGCAGAAGGCAAGAAGGAGCAAGTAATTTCTTACATTGATGGTGGCAAGCAAAGAGAGCTAGTACAGGGAACTCCCGTTTTTAAAACCATCAGATCTAATGGGACTGATTCACTACCACAAGAACAGTATGGGAGAAACCAGCCCCATGATTCAATTATCTCCCACCAGGTTCCTCCCACAACATGTGGGAATTATGGGAGTATAATTCAAGATGAGATTTGGACGGAGACAGCCAAACAATATCATTCCACCCCTGGCCCCTCCCAAATCTCATGTCCTCACATATTAAAACCAATCCTGCATTCCTAACAGTCCCCTAAAGTCTTAACTCATTTCAGCAATAACCTAAAAGTGCACAGTACAAAGTATCATCTGACACAAGGCAAGTCCCTTCTACCTATGATCCTGTAAAATCAAAAGCAAGTTAGTTAATTCCTAGATACAGTGGGGTTACAGGGATTGGGTAAATACAGCCATTCCAGATGAGAGACATTGGCCAAACAAAGGAGCTACAGGCTCCATGCAAGTCCAAACTCCAGCAAGGCAGTCAAATCTTAAAGCTCCAAAATGATCTCCTTTTACTCCGTGTCTCACATCCAGGTCAAGCTGATGCAAGAGATGGTTTCCCATGGTCTTGGGCAGCTCCACCCCTGTGGCTTTGCAGGGTACAATCTCCCTCCTGGCTGCTTTCATGGGCTGGCATTGAGTGTCTGCAGCTTTTCCAGGTGCACAGTGCAAGCTATCGGTGGATCTACCTTTCTGGGGTATGATGGACAGTGGCCCTCTTCTTAACGGCTCCACTAGGCAGTGCCCCAGTAGGGACTGTGTGCGGGGGCCCTGACCCCACATTTCCCTTCTGCACTGCCCTAGCAGAGGTTCTCCATGAGAGCCCCGCCCCTGCAGCAAACTTCTGCGCGGACATCCAGGCGTTTCCATACATCCTCTGAGACCTAGGTGGAGGTTCCCAAACCCCAATTCTTGACTTCTGTGCACAGGCAGGCTCAACACCATACAGAAGCTGCCAAGGCTTCAGGCTTGCACCCTGTGAAGCCATGGCCCAAGCTCTACTTTGGCCCCTTTCAGCCACGGCTAGAGCAGCTGGGACACAGGGCACCAAGTCCCTAGACTGCACACAGCATGGGGACCCTGGGACCAGCCCTCAAAACCACTTTTTCCTCCTATACTTCCAGGCCTGTGATGAGAAGGGCTGCCGTGAAGACCTCTCACATGCCCTGGAGGCATTTTTCCTATTGTCTTGGGGATTAACATTCGGTTACTTGTTACTTACGCAAATTTCTGCAACTGGCTTGAATTTCTCGTCAGAAAATGGGATTTTTCTTTTCTATCACATTGTCAGGCTGCAAATTTTCCGAACATTTATGCTCTGCTTCCCTTATAAAACTGAATGCCTTTAACAGCACCCAAGTCACCTCTTGAATGCTTTGCTGCTTAGAAATTTCTTCTGCCAGATACCCTAAATTATCTCTCTCAAGTTCAAAGTTCGACAAATCTCTAGGGCAGGGGCAAAATGCCACTAATCTCTTTATTAAAACATAACAAGAGCCACCTTTGCTCCAGTTCCCAACAAGGTCCTCATCTCCATCTGAGATTACCTCAGCCTGGATTTCATTGTCCATATTGCTATCAGCATTTTGGGCAAAGCCATTCAACAAGTCTCTAGGAAGTTCCAAACTCTCCGACATTTTCCTGTCTTCTGAGCCCTCCAAGCTGTTCCAACCTCTGCCTATTACAAAGTTCCAAAGTTGCTTTCACATTTTTGGCTGTCTTTTCAGCAACACCCCACTCCTGGAACCAATTTACTGTATTAGTCTGTTTTCATGCTGCTAATAAAAACATACCTGAGACTGGGCAATTTACAAAATAAAGAGGTTTAATTGGACTCACAGTTCCACGTGGCTGAGGAGGCCTCAGAATCATGGTGGAAGGCAAGGAGGAGCAAGTCACATCTTATATCAATGTCAGCAGGCAAAGAGAGCTTGTGCAGGGAACTCCTGTTTTGAAAACCATCAGATCTTGTGTGACTTATTCACTACCACAAGAACAGTATGGGGGAAACCACCCCCATGATTTAATTTTCTCCCACAGAATTTTTCCCTCAACATGTGAGAATTATGGGAGTACAATTCAAGATGATATTTGGGTGGGACACAGCCAAACCATATCAATCATCAAACAAGAAAAGAGGGAAACTTTCACAACCAAGAGATCCCTAAAGAGGTATGCTGACTGAATGTAATGTGGGATCCTAGGGCAAAAAGAATATTATGTAAAAACGAAGGATATCTGAATAAAGTATGGACTTTATTTAGTTAATAATAATGTGTCAATAATGGTTCATTAGATGTAACAAATGCACCATATTGATGTAAGATGTTCAAAGTAGGGAAAACTGAATATGAGTATATGGGAACTTTCTTTATCTTTGCAACTTCTTGGTACATCTAAAACTATTCTGAAATAAAAAAATTTTTAAAGAGTTGCTTGAACCTTTATTCTAACATTTCCTTAAACAAGCCTCACCATTGACCTTTCTTTTAAAACAATAAATTCCTTTTGCTTAAGTCAGTTTCTGTTGGGCTTTCTGTCACTTGCAATTCAACAAGACCTCCTGGTAAATTGACTCTGTATGGAATCACCATTACTTCCATACTATTTCAAGATTTGTTTTGCTGCTGAGGGTTTTTTCCTAAAACTATCTGATATACAATAACATTGTATTGTGTACTTTAAAATGTGTTGAGAGGGTAGACCTCATATTCAGTGTTCTTACCACACACAAAAGGGCTAATATGATGTGCCTTTGTGAATTTAGACCTGAAAGTGCTATTCTCATGACACAGATGAAAAAATATGGTTTGTTTTCATACATAGGAGAAAACTGAATGGGCTACCTTTGAAGTCCAGGGCACCCTCCTCTATCTTGTTCACTTCCTCATCAGGCACTATCTATGGACTGAGAAGAGAAGGACTTTAAAACAGTGGTAAAGAAAGCAACAAAGACAATGACTGGCAAGACAGAAGAATTGTGCAGAGAAAGAGGTAGATAGAAATGGAAGTCTGTTGTTCCCCTCTATGTGTCTATGTGTTTTCATCATTTTGCTCCCACTGATACGTGAGAACATGCCACATTTGGTTTTCTGTTCCTGTGTTAGTTTGGTAAGGATAATGCCCTCCAGCTCTATCCATGTCCCTGCAAAGAACGTGATCTCATTCTTTTTAATGGGTGTAAAGTATTCCATGGTGTATATGTACCACAACACCCCTGAACTTAACTTAAAAGTTAAAAATAAAAAATAAAAAAGGAAAAGCTGAGTTAAGCTATACTATCTTTGTAACTCTTCTGTAAATCTAAAATTCTATCAAAATAAAAAGTTTTAAATGTATTTAAAAAAGAAATGGAAGTCTGACTTGGGAAAGCATTATGACAATTCTAGCAGTGAACATTTAACACACATCTAATGCCCACTTTGAGCAGTGGAGACTTGCTTAAGAAAATTCCACTGTTCGATATGCAGTGGGGTATACAGCAATTTCCAAGACAGTCTTGCTGGAGAGAGCCTTCTTCCAGCCATTGCAAGTTCTCCTGATCCTCAACTGTCACATCCTATACCTGAAACAGAGTAGATTTATCTAAAGTATTGTGTAATCCCTGATTGACTTTAACATGTCTTAGCATGTCTACAATTATGCATATTACATGAAAGAAGAAAGAGACAGAAATAGGGAGGAAGGAAGGAAGGAAAGAAAGAAGGAGAAGAAAAAAATTTTTTCTAAGCACATAATGCAATGCTCAATTCTTTTTAGATAATGGGAAGCAGAGTTTGAATTGTTCCCTTTGTAAAAGATAACTCATTTTAGCTCCATTTCCTTCCTGGAGGTAGGAAAGCAAGTTTGGTAGTGAATAGGCCAGTTAGTACATCGTATCCAAGCTGGTCAGATCCTGGGACTGTTGAGACAGATTCTTGTGCACAGAACCACACAAATCAGAGATTCAGAAAACATGAGAGTAATGAAAGCTAAGACCCATATGTGAAATACATAAGGGTTAGTCAGATTTTAATTAAAAATGTATTTTTTTTTAGAGACAGGGTCTCCCTCTGTCACCCAGGATGGAATGCAGTGGCATGATCATAACTCACTGTAGCCTCAAATTTATGAGCCCAAGGAAGCCTCCCACCTCAACCTCCTGAGTAGCTGGAATAGCTGAGACTACAGATGCATGCCACAATGCCCAGATTTTTCTTTTCTTTTTCTTTTTCTTTTTTTTTTTTTTTTTGAGACAGGATCTCACTGCACTACCCAGGCTGGTCTTGAACTCCTGGCCTCAAGTAATCCTCACACCTTGGCCCTCTAAATTGCTGGGATTATAGGCATGGGCTACCATGCCAGGCCCCTAAAAAATATATTTTTTTATGATAAGCCACTTCTGCAGTTCAATATGTGTACTTGCTTTAAACCCTACTTTGAATCTAAATTACTTCCTTGATGTTAATTGAATTAAGGTCTAGAGGTACCCTCCTACCTGACACAGACACACCCTGATTTTCAGGACTTACGTATTTCATAAATCCTTATCAATAACTTTATAAATTAATTAGGCACAAGCAGATGATTGTAAAGTTTTCATAAAATTTGTAGAAGAAAAATAATTTGTGTTTATAAGAATATCACAGGAACTTTAGAGACAGTAGTTGCTGATGACAAACTAGAGCAGGAGAAAGGTTTCCTGAGACAAGGATGGTACAATTATGCTGACAGCTATGACGGCTTCAATTTTCCCTACTTTAACTACAACCTATGAAAACTGACATCCTATCAATATTCCCTAGCATTACTCTTGCATTTACAGCACAATGTTATTTTTAAATTCTTTAATAATTCCAATATCCAGACAAAGTTTACTTATGTAAATCTACCCATTCATTACCATTTTTTCATATTTACCTACTTTAAACAGTCAATGCTTTGGAATCTTTTTTTGTTTTTACGTAGAAACATTTGAAACATTAAAAAAGAAATAGAATATAAAATATTCAGATGAGTGAACTTAGCAGCCAGGGAACATTTGAATAAGGATGATTGTTCCCAGAGACTGAGACAGTTGAAAATTATTGCTGGTTGATCACGAATTTTTAATAAACATCCCAGAAAATCCAATGGCTACTCGATTATAAACTTGAATTTAGAGGGAAATAAATATTCTATTTTCTAAGAAAGCTTCAGTCATGAAAAACTGCCTCTCTTTAGTAAGATTACTCACTATTTTGGCTTCTGAGAGAGAAGTAATGTGGAAAGTGTGTCTGAGACACTGTCTTTCTACCTGACCTTACTGTGAAGGGCACTCAGCAAATTGCCCTGTACCACTCAAAGCACTCCCATACCACTGTTACCCATATAGTTATGCCTAAGATCTACGGATACCACCCACATGAAGGCATCTACTTCTTGGTGTGGTGAGCGGGCACAAGATAAAGTCTTAAATTAGGAGCAATTTCATGATTTTTGCTAGTTTTCCAGGGCTGAGACTATTAGAACAATGACAGCTAAAACATACTGGATGCTGTATCTGGAATGTTTTATTTGATCCCACAATATAATCCTTTGAAGCAGTTGCTGAGGGAGCAGTGAGAAAACTCAGATGCAGACAGAATACATATCCTGCACAAACTACCTTGTTTAGGCAGTGCTGACTAAGATGTCTTCACCCCTAGGGCAAGCAATTGTCTCTGATGCGAGAGGATTAGCCTGGTAATGAAGCTCACCAATATCCCTCCTCACCCTTTCCATCTTGGAAACACTTTTCCTCTTACTTTTGGTCTTTGCATACAGTAGAGAAAACCGCTCCCTTGGAAATAACCTGTTCCTTTGGGGTTAGGATGTTCTATCACATTAATCTACACTAAACTCTAAACGAATAAGAGAGTGGTGATTCAGTTTTTCTCCCTCTCAAGAAATTATCTCTTTTCTTCATAAAAAACATGTTTCCCATTTTTCATTTGGCTTTTCAAATATATTTTGCTATAAAGTATGTATAGTAGACCACCAATTGTGTAAAGCAAAGTAATATGCATGCTTGTATAGTCTTGTATACTTTTTCTTTTTTCTTTTTTCTTTTTTTTTTTTTTTTTTGAGACAGAGTCTCGCTCCATCGCCCAGGCTGGAGTGCTGTGGTGCGCTCTCTGCTCACTGCAACCTCCGCCTCCCAGGTTCAAGCAATTCTCCTGTCTCAGCCTCTCAAGTAGCTGGGACTACAGGTGCGTGCCACCACGCCCAGCTAATTTTTTGTATCTTTAGTAGAGACGGGGTTTCACTATGTTGGTCAGGCTGGTCTCGAACTACTGACCTTGTGATCCACCCATGTTGGCCTCCGAAAGTTCTGGGATTGAAGGCGTGAGCCACCGCACCCGCCTCTTTCTTTCTAATTGAAGCTGATCAGAGTGGAAGGGTCAAGAATGTACCACACACTCTGCAGGAAATGCTCCTCCTCAAATTTTCTGTGTCTGGAATACCTTAACCCAAATTATTGTTGATTATTAAAACTTCTCTTACACACATACTAAAATATTTACCATTTAGAGTTTTATAATTAGATTAGGTTTTAAAATGTTAAAAATTTAAATGTAACACAATTAAAGTTTCAGAGAGAATTCTGAAATACTCTGTAGAAAAACTTGTCTTCTTGTTTACTTACTGTTAGTATACATGGATGCACTTCTTCAAAGTAACAAAAAATCATTACCTTTTAAAAAACAAATGCTTAGATTGTAGTGATTGACCAACATTAATTAACATAAGTGTAAAAATTATTTATACCTTTAGCAGAACTCTTTTTGTACCTACCATTCTTTGGAGCAGCAATGAAACTCCAAAACTGTAATAAGGGAAGACATGTATCTTTTCAATACTGTCACATTTCTAAACCAACTGTTATATCACTGAAGGTAAGCATCAATGAGTCGGCATAATTTTTCCTGCTTTGTGATCTTTGGCATAGTCACAATATGCAGAATGTCTGGTGTAGAACAATGGCTGCAGCTAAAGGTGAGGATCAACAATCAAGCAGGAATTATATGTGGAAGTCACTGCAAGTCATATTTAGGCACTACATATAGACCTTATCCTAAAATCAATAGGAAGCCACTGAAGTATTTAATTTACAGATTAAAATGGCCAAATACCAGGGGTTGTAACCTTAAAAAAATTATTCATAACTTATACTTTGAATTAAAAACATAATTATACATAAATGTATATACATATATACATATATTTGTGATTATGTGTTTATTAAATGCAGTTTTTTTATTTCTTTTTTGTTTGCTTCATTCTTCTACATCTTCTCACCCTTCCCCCTACATCAACTCATTCCCTGCAAAGTCAATTGTTTTGAAAATATGATACATGTTCTATATTTTTCTCCATGCTCCTTTGCAGCTCACCATGGCCCCTAAATATCACTTCGTGTTCTTACTAAGTAGGCTAGATTGCAAGGCTTATCAGTTTTCTCACACCAAGCAGTTTCTCTTGTCACATTTGTAACAACATAGGTCAAGGAGACCACGGTTTGACTCCCTATCACAACTTGACTATCTATTGGGTAACTTTTTGCTCCCAGCAAAAGGGGGACTAGCTTCTTTGCTGCATACTATGGTTTTTGGTTTGCTCAAAAAGTACAGGACTCTTGGCTCTATCCATTCTACAATGCAACCCTCTTCTTCTGCAGATGTCAGGTGGCTTTCCATGTCACCCCTGTAAGACTCCAGGGCAAAGGGAACTATTACAAATATGAAAATGATCATTCTGTTTTCTGTGCCATGAGTAATAAACCTCTTAGTTTCTGACCCAGGAGTCTCATGTTTTCTATCAACATCTGTAAAACATAAGAAGGCTAACTTGTTAGTTTGCAAATAGAATAAAATCTCAGACCCTTTGCAGTATTGATATTCATATAATTCAAATATGCCTATTCAGATAGAAATAAAGGGCTTCTTGGTTATTTTATGTTTTACAAAAATGGATGACATTATATTTATCTTTTCTCCTCTTGCTTTTCTTACTCAAAAATGCCTTATAGAAAAGCATCTAAGTCAACTTGCATTAATACAGTTTATTTTTGGTGGCTATATTTTATTCTTTGATGTACATATAATGGAATGTATTTAATCTTCCCTGTATAATGCCACCATGAGCACTATCACAATAAAATTCATGTACATGTAGTTTTAATTAATGATGCTTTGCTTTTTATAGTAAAGTTTCTGAGAATTACAGAAGAGCTGGATCAAAGTATGTGTTTGTTTTTAATTTCAATGGCTATTGCCAGATTGCTTTCCCCAAAAAACTATAAAACCTCACATTTTTATCTGTAATATATACACGTACAGCTTTCTCTTTAATTTTTCACTCTTCTTTGGGGATAACCTGATATCTCAATATTACTTTAGTTTTCATTCCTCAACAAATAGTGAACTACAGTGTCATTTTTATGCTTGTCATTTCAATTTACAATATTGTAAAATGTCTTCTATCATTTTCCTATTTTCTTTCTTTTTTTTGTTCTCTCCACTATTCAGTAGGGAATTCCCAAAACATAGACTTTCTTCAATTCCTCCAAGTAAAATCACAGAATTTTAAGAAATCTATATATATTTCATTTATTCACAAATTTTATACTGACTTTATACACACTGTAAAACTCAGAATTGTTTTCAAAAGCTAGTTACCCATTATTGTAATTACTCTGTGTATATATTTTTTTTTTTTGAGACGGAGTTTCGCTCTAGTTGCCCAGACTGGAGTGCAGTCATGCAATCTCCACACACTGCCACCTCCGCCTCCTGGGTTCAAGCAATTCTCCTGCCTCAGCCTCCCAAGTAGCTGAGATTCCAGGCATGCACCACCACACCTGGCTAATGTTTGTATTTTTAGTAGAGATGGGGTTTCACCATGTTGACCAGGCTGGTCTCGAACTCTTGACTTCTTGATCCTCCCGCCTTGGCCTTCCAAAGTGCTGGGATTACAGGTGTGCCACTGCGCCTGGCCTATTTTCTATAATATTCTTGTCAATTTGTAAATATTGATATTAGGCCTTGGCCTATCAATTCTGTTACAAATATTTCTACAATTACCATCTTGTTATTGACTTTATTTCTAATATTTTGTGAAAAGAAATAGCTTTCAAATTTCCTGTGGTCAATTGTGGCTATTTTTTAAAAATGTATACTGAGTTTACAATCTTGATTAAGAATATTTTGTTAAACCTTAGATTGTATAAACACATTCCTTGATATTCTTGCAAGGTTCTTGTATTTTATTTTTCCATATTTATGTCTTTAATTCATCTGGAATTCATTTTTGTGTAAAAGACAAAATAGATTCCAATTTCTTCCAGGTGGATAGACAATAATACCAGAAATGTTTTTAAAATAATTTCTTCCTTCTCATTGACTATCTCATTGTGTACATTAAATTTTTAATTTTATGAGATTTGTTTATGAAATATTTGTTCTATTCTTATAATCTATTCATCTGTTTCTCAACAGTAATACCATATTGATTTGTGTTTAGTGGTTTTCAGTTTTGATATTCTGATAACTGGAAAGTCAAGATCCTTTTCTTGGTCCTTTTGCATACCCTCTTCAGCTCTTTCAGGCAATAAACATTAATATTATTGTATACATTTCCCCCCCTAATGAAACATTTTGGGATTCTATTAATAACTTAATTAAGTTATTAATTTTAGAAGGAGTGACTTCCAAATGATAGTAAACCTTCCTAAGACATATTAGGCCTTCCTATTTATTCAATCTTGTTTTATGTCTTTCAATAAGATTTCATATTTTTATATCATGAAATATTTCCATTTCAAACATATATTAGAATAATAAAAATCACTTACTATATACCTTTTACAGAGATTAAACAAGGATTCTCTCACTTGAGAAAATATATATAACTGCCAGTTATTTTCATGAGTTCCTTGATATAAATCAATTAATTTTGTCCTATGAAGTATTCTCTACTACTTCATTTCATTTGACTTGTTTAATAGTGACTGGATTTAGCCAGTGTCCTCTAAAAACTATTTTCAGGTAAAATTCTATTTAATTTTTAAACTCATTTCTAATCAATATATCTGGATTGGTTGCTTCCTCTTGATATATTGTGCTATAAAACACCAAATAAATAACAAAGAAACATGGTACATTCAAATAAAGGAATTAATAATTTAAGATCCTGATTGATTCAGGTTTAATCATTTCATACTACCTTCTCTTCCTACAGACCCCTATAGGCTTCCATTCCTCTCTTCCTACTTTCTTCATCTCCCCGTATTTAAATTTCAGATGATTTAAACTCTATATGTGTTTTTTATGGTCTTCAGAAAAAAGAAATAGAGTCAAAAATGTAATAATATTTATTCAATACCTATGTGTTTATTTTATGTACAATACTCAGTGCTACGCATTAGTTATAAGAGGGAGGTGGGGATTTAAAGATGAACGGTATATGGTTCCTTGTGTCAGAAAGCTTACATTCTAATGATTACTTATCCGAAAAATTACTCCAGGAAGTTGCCGTTTTAGTAATATATAGTAACCATAAAATCAGACAAATGTTACCAAAACAATGACGGAGAGGGGAGACACAGCTTGGGTTGAGAACAAAATGAAGACTAACAAGGAGGAAAACAATCCCAAAAATTAAAAGAAGAAAAGCGAATTCTACAATATATAATGACATGCAGCTATATAGAATACATTTTGAAAATAAATTTTAAACTTTATGATATCATAGTTTAGTTTCTATTTAAAACTGTAATACTGATTTTATAATTTCAAGGTCAACTATCTTTCTCTCAAGTGGCTCTGGAAAGTTCTGTAAGTTTAGTGCTCAGACCAGCAGCAGCAAGATCACTTGGAAACTTGATAGAAATGCAAAATTTTATGTTTATTTCACTAAAATCATTCCTGTATTTTTATTTATATCTGTTTTAAAATAGAAGATAATTCTTCCCAATAGATCTGAAATCTTAGCAAGGAAATAGTTTAAAAACAGAAGGTTATCCAGGAAAATGATAGTTCCATACTTCACAAATAAGTATATGCAAATTCAGTGAAACTGTCAGTGATTTAGCAAATATACTAGTTTAACATGCATTTAATCATTCTCAAAATATTTGAAAACCCTTGATTATCTAATCATTAAATCAGAATTGTGAATGATAATTTGCAGTTCATCAGCTTATAGTCTAGAATTTTTGAGACCACAGGAGGTATCCATTTATCTTCCTGAGAGTCAAATTTTTAAAAATTTTAAAAATTTTAAAGTTTTTAAAATTTTAGATTTTTAAAAATAGTATTATTTCTACTTCATTTCCATTTGATATTTAAATAAATGTGTGAGCATAAACAATATGTGGTAGTAAAAGGCAAATGTACTTAAGTAAAACAAAAAATGGAGTATGACATCACCAAATGGGAATTAGTGGTTGGTTTTGTAGAAGTTAGTATGCTGTTTTATTTATTTTAAAATATGTTTGTTCTCAAACTATAACAGCAAAACAGCAAAAGAATTAACAGGCCAGGCGCGGTGGCTCACACCTGTAATCCCAGCACTTTGAGAGGCTGAGGCAGGCGGATCACCTGAGGTCGGGAGTTTGAGACCAGCCTGAACAACATGGAGAAACCCCGTCTCTACTAAAAATACAAAATTAGCCAGGTGTGGTGGCGCATGCCTGTAATCCCAGCTACTCAGGAGGCTGAGGCAGGAGAATCACTTGAACCCAGGAGGCGGAGGTTGTGGTGAGCCGAGATCGTGCCATTGCACTCCAGCCTCGGCAACAAGAGTGAAACTTCATCTCAAAAAAAAAAATAGCTAACTTCATTTTTGTTTAAGGGGCCTTTATCTATTCCTGTACATAGGCAAGGATAACTTAACTTTAGAGCACTGAGATACTACACAAAAACAACAAAATATAGTTTTTTAAAACTAACCCTGGAATTAAAGGGTAAGTATGTAAACAACTATGTTTTGTTAAATATTTATAGGAACACTGTGACCCGATCAAGGACGAAATGATTCCCAACCTCCTTAGAGCCTTGCTGGTGCCGAGATGTCTGTGATCATCAGTCACCTCTTCATCCCAACTCCCTTCTATTCCCCCCACCCTTAACATAAAAAGAGCCTGAAATGTGTACTGACTTATTTTAGGATGCAAGTCCACCATCTTCTTGGTTTACTGGCTTTCCAAATAAACTGGTTGTTTCTCCCACCAACTCATGTCTCTCGTGTTTAGCTTTTGAGCAGTGAGTAGCTGAATCTGGGTTTGGTTACAGTTTTATGGCACCCAATGTGGGGCTGTGTGCCTTGGGTGTCCTAGCCTGCGGGATTTCCAATGGATGGAGCAATCGGCCACAGCAGTGTCCCAGGAATTACCATTCACACTATCAGGCAGATCAACAACCAGTCAAGAGTGCCAGTTGCTCATGGCTAGCTGACACCATGACTGGAATTCCAGAGACATCCCAGCAGCTGCCAATAATGCTTTTGTCTCAGAGATTCTCCCTTCTTTCTTCCTTCTTCTTGGTATCAGCTGCCTGTAAAGCTTTGCTGGTGCCAGGAAAAGAAGTATTGACAGGCTCCAAGACTGGTAAGTCACTCCAGTGTGTGCAACCAAGAACTGCCTTCCCTTCCATGTGGGCTTTTCCTCAGAATTCACTGCTTTGTTTTTGTATTTGATCGGGGTATCCTGTGGGAGAGGGAAATAGTTGTTGGACTTTTACCCAATCTGAGAACCAGGTCATTTGAATTTGTCTGTTGTTTTTTGTGGGCCCTGGGCTTACACTTCAAAGGCATGCCAGGTTTTCTGGGACTTCAGCGGGTTACATATTGTGGACTGTTTTGTGCACATTTTAAAACTAATGGGCAAATTGCAGTAAGAAAAATTCAGAGCTCAAATTGTCAATCTACAACTATAAAGTTAAGCAGTGTCTTCTAAAATTCTATTTTTCTCTTTTCTGCCTAATTTGAATCTGCTGTTATTAAGCTACTGATGTTGATATAAAACTCACAAATTTAAGGTTACTTGGAGATTTTGGTTTTCTTATAGTGTTCAACCAGTTCTAGCTAAAATGGAATCATTAACTCATTTAACTGCTCTGCCCAGTAATGCAAACAGTTAAGTCCTGGGACTCTGCCGTGGCTAATTGCTCCACTGCTGTCGGAAATGGGGCAAGCTAGAACATCCAAGACACACAGCCCCATGCTGGGCACTATCAAATTGTAACCAAAACCAGATTTGGCTACTTGCTAGTCAAAAGCCAAACACGAGAGACAAGAGTTGGTAGGAGAAAAAGCAGGGTTATTAGGAGAGCCAGCAAACTGAGAATATGGTGGACTTGTGTCCTAAAATACCATCTTAAGTCAGTACAAATTTCAGGCTCTTCTTATGTTAAGAGTGGGCAGAAGAGAACACGGTTGGGATCAAGAAGTGACTGGTGATCGCAGAAATCTGGGCACCAGTGAGGGTCCGAGGAGGGTGGGAACTTCTTTGGCCTTGAACAGGTCATAGTGTCCTATAAATCTTTACCAAAACATAGTTGTATATGTCCTTACCTTTTCATGCCAGAATTAGTTTTTTAAAACTACATTCTTGTGGGGGCCGGGCGCGGTGGCTCATGCCGGTAATCCTAGCACTTTGGGAGGCCAAGGTGGGCGGATTGCCTGAGCTCAGGAGCTGGAGACCAGCCTGGGCAACGCGGCGAAACCCCGTCTCTACTAAAATACAAACAATTAGCCGGGCGTGGCAGCGTGTGCCTGTAGTTCCAGCTACTCGGGAGGCCGAGGCAGGAGAATTGCTTGAACCTGGGAGGCAGAGGTTGCAGTGAGCCGAGATCACACCACTGCACTCCAGCCTCGGCGACAGAGCGAGACTCTGTCTCAAAAATAAACAAACAAACAAAAAAACAAAAACTATTATTGTTAGTTTTGCATATCATGTTAGTCTTTAAAATTATCCTTGCCTATGTCCAGAAAAGTGTAAAAGCCCCTTAAACAAAAATGTAGTTTTACTAGTTCTTTTGTTGTTTCACTGTTACAAATCTAACTCAACACTAGATCTATAGAGCTACTCTAATGGTACTTATAAGGTAGTACTGTTATTAATCAGCTTGTCAGAAAATATTTTATAATTATAATGAACTCGAAAAATAAATTGTTCAAACTATTGTTAATTGAAATAAATCAATGTTATGTTAGAAATATATCAACCTTTTTCTGGTTGATGAATTTTTCCTTTGGACACAGCCGTTATTATTGTGCTAAGAAATTTTAATTTGTAAATTCTAAATATAAATTTTTTCCTTCTTCATCCATTTTGTCCATCATCTATTTGAGGGTTATAAGTTGTTTTCTTTACCTCTTCTTTTTTATTGTTTATGTATTCATAGTGCTAAGTGGAGCAATAGAAGTTTGAACTCTTACTATTTAACAGTTTCTTATAAGTTGTTTAAACACCCTAGTTATTTCACATATGAAAGATATTGCAGTTAAACTGCCAAAAATATTAAAAGAGTGCAAAGCCTCACTTCAAAGTGATGTTCTAATGTGACCTTCCTCCAAAAGACCAGACTATTTTCTGCTAAGGCTATGGAATCATTACAACTGGATCACAAGGTGTAATTAATCTGTATTTTATTTATAAGAAATGAAAGTTTTTTACTTAGAAGAAAAAAATCTCTTTCAATTGAATTTACTTCCATAGCAAACATAGATTCAATTAAAAATGTAACATTTTCCTATTTAGAGTTGACCTTTGCTAGTGAATAAGATTCTCCTGATATATTTGAAATAATGAGTTTCGAAAGAAAAAGAGGAAGGTGGAACTAAAAATAAAAGACAAAATTTTATTCTTACCAATATAAAAATATTAACTGCTTATAAAATAGTAAAGAAATCTATATGTAATAAAATCTTGAATCAAAAAAGTTGGGTTTAAAACCAAGAGAGAGCAAATCAGGAAAACATTAGAGAACATTTCAGAAAGCTAAAAATTGTAAAACTCCAGCTGTCTAGAATTCTTTGAATAACATTATTTTGCATAGTCAGATTTTATAGACATATGATGTTTTACCTCTAAAAGTTAAAAAGCAAAATTTTGGTTTGTAAATGTTTCTAAAATATATTATACGTTTATCTGAATCCTTAAATAAAAAATTCTGCTGAGAATGTAAGTCTGCATCCAGATGGTGAAACATGATTATTATGAACATCTGCTATTTCACTATCTGTATATAAAAAGTGCATAAGACTGACCATTTTAAATGTCTCCAGACTTTGTACTTTGTGATCATAATAGCTACTTTTCATAATTATGTGGTTTCCTCCATTGTGGATAATCTGCTCTCTTACTTCTACATTTATCACTGTACCTGCATATAGCATCACTCTACAGTTTATTTTGTTGTTTCTAGTCTATATAAGACATGTTAATATTGTGTGCAAAATAATATTAAATATCCTCTGAGAGAAGACCTAATGAAACAAGTTGTCATCAACTTATGTGGAATTTCTTTGGCAGGAGGCTTTTTTGCTTACCTCCTGATGGTAGGTAGAACTTCTATTCAGGATAGACAATATTGCTTGCCGGTGAATTCTAAATAGTTGAAATGTTATTATATGAAAATACAATTAACATAAGGGAAATAATATATTTAGATTCAGACTCTTAGTGTAAACCACTTTGTGTAACCAAAAAAACCCTTTAATTTAAAGCATTCATTATAACAGTGTTTTTAAAGACATGCTATCATAGATTCCTTAAAGGAGCCATAATAAAATAATCTTATTTAAATTTTTACAATTTGTGCACTTCCTATTAAGAGATATTTAAAAAACAACAAACTGTTCCAGTAATTTTTTTACATGTGTGTTTGAAAACTTCAGAATCTTAGAATCATAGAGTTTTAGACCAGGAAACTTTCAAGATAATCTTTCTGATCCTTTTCCTTTATAGATGATAGCCTGATAAATAGACCAATTGTGCCAGTTCATAGTAGAACAAAAAGAACTGGAAGCCAATAAGTGCACATTCAGGATTTTGCTATTCTTACTAACACATGCATTTATTAATGCTCAACAAAATAATTCTAAGGTATGTCAGCTGTCAATTCTTACACGAAGACCACCAAAAAACTGTTGATCAAGTAAAGCTGAGTGATCTTTTTTTTATTTTTATTTTGAGATGGTGTCTTGCTCGGTCACCAGGCCGGAGTACAGTGGTGTGATTTCGGCTCACTGCAACCTCCACCTCCCGGGTTCAAGCAATTCTTGTGCCCTAGCCTCCTGAGTAGCTGGGACTACAGGCACGTGCCACCACGCCCGGCTAATTTTTGTATTTTTTCAGTAGAGTAGGAGTTTCACCATATTGCCCAGGCTGGTCTCAAACTCCCGACCTCGTGATCCACCCGCCTCAGCCTCCCAAAGTACTGGGATTACAGGTGTGAGCCACTGCAACTGGCCAAAGCTGAGTGATTAAATTTACTTCAGCAGGAAAGAATATCAATTTGACAGTTTGAGTCATCTCTCAAAGGTAGAGAGGTTAGGGAAGAACAGGAAGTTTTAGAGTTTGTGCTCATGGGGTATAAACCAGGTCTTCAAGAGGGCAACTAGTTAGAATTGGCAAAAAGGGGAACTAGTTAGAATTGGCCAAGTTAATGCCCTAATAGTTTAGAATTTGAATTGAAAGTTTTAAAGTAAGTCTTAATAAATTAATTAATACCCTGATAGATGATGTTTGTTCAGGTGACCAAACTAATGTTCTTACTAGTTATTTGCCCAGATAAGAAAACTATTTGCCCAGAAAAATTGCTTTGCAAAAAATTTTCTGAAGCAAACAACCAAGATGTTTATTGGTGTAGAGTCTTATTTAAAATGCCCTGGCTCAAGGTAAAGTAATGTTGACACAGGTGGTCTCAGATTATTTTCTGATGTTTGGTCTGATCTCAGGCACATCACTTAATTAGTGTTTCATTTTTCTCATTAGCACAATGAAGCTAAAGCTGTTACTAAGCAAACAGAACATCTTTCATCCTTTATCAGTCATCTACTGCTACAAAAACGTGGTCTTACAAACCACTCCAAAATTCAGGGCAGACAACATATGCGTATGTGACTCAGCTGGGGTTCGGCTGATTTAGGCTAGGTTCAGCTGGCCTTGACTCCAAACTTCGAGTTGAATACAAGTATTTTCCATGTCTTTCGTCATCCTTGGACAAGGCTACACAAAGCATGTTCTTCTCTAGCAGAAAGCAACTGCACAAGAGAGCAAATATAACCACTCAAGCATATTTCAGGCCTCTGCACATGTCACACCTACTAAAATCCGCATTGACCAAAGTAAAATTCAAAAATCAAGTCTAAAAATCACCTGCCATGAGGCCATTTCAAGGACTGAAGAATTGGGGCCCAGGAATTCAATCTACCAAACCTTAGGAAAACATTCTTAAGTTTAGCCTTCCACCAGCCTGAGAGATATAAGAAGACTGACTAAGGCAATATGGTTTGGAAAATGAGAAAGACTCTATGCAGGCATAGAAAAGTGCTTGAATACAATTAACATGGACAGTTTCTCCCTGATATCATTCATTATATCATTTCCACAAATCAGTTTCTTGCCTGTTAGAACTAATGAAAATTTTGGCATTGTGCCAATCAAGAAAATAGAAAATATTGAAATTCTGATTTTGCATGAGATTGCTTCCATGTTAAATTACTTAAATGTACTCAATAAATCTATCAGTTTATAATGAATATGTAAGACTCTTACAGAGTTTACAGAACTTTTTCTATGAGATAAAACCGCTCCAGTGCCCTTTGATTATTCAAGTAGCCCCAAAAGAGCTATCACTGCTCAAGTTATATCCTTCCTTCTTTATTTCTAAATTCTCAATTGCTGTTCTCAGAACTACAATGTCCTTTTGTTCCCATGAGCACACACTATGTTTTTGCTATAACTACTATAAAAAATAATGAGTACAGGATGCATTATAAAATACAAAATAAGTATTCAAAATTCACATTAAAGTAATTATTCAAGTACAAAATATCAATGCACAGTTACCGTTTTTTTTTTTATTTTTGAGATGGAGTCTCGCTCTGTCACCCAGGCTGGATTGCAGTGGTGCAATCTCGGCTCACTGCAACCTCCACCTCCCAGGTTCACATCATTCTCCTGCCTCAGCTTCCCGAGTAGCTGGGACTACAGGCCCGTGCCACCACGCCCAGCTAAGTTTTTATATTTTTAGTAGAGACGGCGTTTCACTGTGTTAGCCAGGATGGTCTCAATCTCCCGACCTCTTGATCCGCCCGCTACAGCCTCCCAAAGTGCTGGGATTACAGGCATGAGCCACTGCGACTGGCCTATAGTTTAATTTTTATTTTTAAGGAAGGCAATCTTGTAGTGGTATTGGCCATAAGTCCAAATGTCAGCCTAAAAAGGATGAGGGTGTCAATATCGTACCCACAATCTACCTATGGTCGATACATAGAACAAGCACAACTCATGACCTGGTGACAAAGCACCATAAGCTTTTTTTTTTTTTTTTTTTTTTTTTTTTTGCCAGAGTCTCAGTCTCATTCTGTCACCCAGGCTGGAGTGTGGTGGTGAGATCTCAGCTCACTGAGATCCCAGCTCACTGCAACCTCTGCCTCCTGGGTTCAAGCAATTCTCCTGCCTCAGCCTCCTGAGTAGCTGGGATTATAGGCATGTACCACCACGCCCAGCTAATTTTTGTATTTTTAGTAGAGATGGAGTTTTACCATGTTGGCCAGGCTGATCTCAAACTGCTGACCTCCCAAAGTGCTGGATTACAGGCATGAGCCGCTGTGCCACCCAGCCACACCTTCAGCTTTCATGACAATGGCAGAAATTTATTAACCCCAGTTAATGAATAAATACAAAGAATAGATTGGAGAATAAGCAATATTGCTGAGATACAATCTCGTTTAAAAAAATAACTTCTGAAGTGACGTTAATTCTAAAAAGTTTAATGGAATTTGTTAGCCTTATAAAACAAATAACATCATTATTTCCACATTGTACCAGAATCTTATAAAAATTACTCATATCAAATGTGAAGACAGGAAAGGATGGTGTGTCATGACTACTTTTTATCCTCTTCACATGAGTTACTATTTTTAAACCTTATACAGTATTTCTATTACATGTTAATAATACTAATAATGAAATACTCCCTCATATGTTAGGATGGCTATTATCGAAAAGAAAAAAGATAGGTTCTGGCAAGGATGTGAAGAAATTGGAAACTTGTACACTGTTGGTGGGAATTAAAATGGTGTAGCCACACAGAGACAAATACTGAATGACCTGCCTTATAAGTGGAATCTAAAAAAGGTAGAACTCATAATGACAGACAGTAGAAGGATGATTACCAGAAGCAGGGGAATGGGGAAAATGGGGAGATGTTGGTCAAAGGCACAAACTTGCAGTCTTAGGATGAATAAGTTCTGGAAAACTTAGTATGGTGAATATAGTTAATAATAATGCATTTTATACCTGAAATTTGCAAAGAGAGTAGATTTTAAGCAGTCTCACCACAAAAAAAGGGAACTATGTGAGATGATAATATGTCAAACAGCTTGATTGTGGTAATTATTTCACAATGTGCATATATATATCAAAACATCATGTTGTACACATTAAATTTATATACCATTTTAATTTTTCAATTATACCTCAATAAAGCTGGGGAAAACAGAAATTACTCCAGAGTTACTTGGTATGTCATCAGCGACTGGATTTCTAAATAATACTCAATTAACTCTACATACGTCTGGTTGTATCTAACACACTTTATGAACTAACTTTACATGAAACTTTCCTTTATGTAAATACTCAGGTTACAGAGTATTGCTGTTTGCAAAACTACAATGTCCTTTTGCTCCCATGAGAATACACTGTGTTTTCACTATAACTACTATAAAATTACTAAATTTGTGCAACTAACTAAAATCAGGCCCCTACCTACTTATTGTACACTTGATAATAAAATGAAGAGAGAGACACTTTAGCTTGCAAAAATTAAGGATATTTTACTGACTTTGTGATTCCCAATAGTCTCCTGGAACCGGTTTCTGCAATGCCTCTGTTCTTGCTAAAAGAAATAATTTTCCATGGAAGCTTATATGAACAGGCCCTTTTTCTCCTAATCATAGTAGCTTCTTGGTTTCCCTCTCAACCCAGCCCCTTCCAGTACCATAACAACCTATTTTCAGGCAGTGTCATTACCAGGTGAGGCAGAATTGGAGCTTTTGGTGTTTTATGTTCTACAGCAATTAGGCTATAAAAACTCTAGATGCATCACAGCCCCAGATTGTTTTGTGTCTGAGTGTGCCATTACAATTCCATGTCTTCCCCCGGCTGTCGAGAACATCACAACAAAATTCTAAATTACATAAATCTCACAGAGTGGCTGAGGATAAAAAGATCTCCTTCAACGTATTCCCATAAACATCAACCAGGTTGTAAAAAAAAAAAAGAAAAATCTCCTTGAGGGATTTTGATCAAGTGAGACCACGAAAATTTTAGGTTACAGGGTAAAGTGTTCTTCAGCATAAAGGCATGGAGAAACAAAGAGAAACAATCCCATTCAGTTATAAAATACCTTGATTATGCAAGTCAGTTATCAAATGTAACTTGCCCTGTTCTGTTTGAATATCAGGCTACACAAAATCTGCTTAAACAATATGCTTCCCTCATATAAGCAATACTTTAAAAATATGAATATGATTTGGAAATAATGATAATAACGGCACCACTAGTAAAAGCAAACCCTATGAATTATAGGGTTTACCTCAGCTTTACAGGAGAGGAAACTTCACAGAGAAGTTAAGAACTTTCCTAAGGACATAAATCTACCAAGTGATGGTGCTGGAATTAGAGAAGATCAGGCACATTCAGGGTGGTATGGCTGGAAACAGTGCTGGGATTAGAAACCCAAGAGTTGGCTCCAAACAATGTGCTTCTTAGTTTGCATCTAGAAGGTGACCAATAATCCCAGTGACGACAGCTTCAATCTTCATCTGTCCTAGAGAATGTACTTGGCTAATGATAACTGTCTTTATTGGATGTATTGAATTCTTTCTGTGTATTGTACATCTGTATGGATTAGACTCATCATACCCTATAAATAGACAGTAATGTCTTCCATTGTACAGATTAGAAAATGGAGGCATAAAGAAATTAAGCAATTTACTTGTGATTCTTTTTTTTTTCTAGTTTAGGCTATCTCTTTTATTCATAGAACTATTAGAAAGTAAAAAACATGTCACATTTCTCAGGACTTAAACAATTTTGAAAAATAACCCAAACTTTTCCCCTTCCACATGTAACTAATATAAATTACCTCTTAGAAATGGAATGGCTATTTTTTTTAATACTTTAAGTTCCAGGATACATGTGCAGAACGTGCAGGTTTGTTACACAGGTATACATGTGCCATGGTGGTTTGCTGCACCCATCAACCCATCATCTACATTAGGTATTTCTCCTAATGCTATCCCTCCCCTAGCCCCCTACCGGCTGACAGGCCCCGGTGTGTGATGTTCCCCTCCCTGTGCCCATATGTTCTCATTGTTCAACTCCCACTTATGAGTGAGAACATGTGGTGTTTGGTTTTCTGTTCCTGTGTTAGTTTGCTGAGAATGATGGTTTCCATCTTCATCCATGTCCCTGCAAAGGATATGAACTCATTCTTTTTTGTGGCTGCATAGTATTCCATCGTGTATATGTGCCATATTTTCTTTATCCAGTCCAACATTGATGGCATTTGGGTTGGTTCCAAGTCTTTGCTATTGTGAATAGTGCTGCAATAAACATATGTGTGCATGTGTTTAGGGTAGAATGATTTATAATCCTTTGGGTATATGCCCAGTAATGGGATTGCTGGGTCAAATGGTATTTCTAGTTCTAGATCCTTGAGGAATCGCCACACTGTCTTTCACAATGGTTGAACTAATTTACACTCCCACCAACAGTGTAAAAGCATTCCTATACTCCACATTTTCTCCAGCATCTGTTGTTTCCTGACTTTTTAATGATTGCCGTTCTCACTGGCGTGAGAAGGTATCTCATTGTTGTTTTGATTTGCCTTTCTCTAATGACCAGTGATAATGAGCTTTTTTTCATGTTTGTTGGCTGCATAAATGTCTTCGTTTGAAAAGTGTCTGTTCATATCCTTTGCCCACTTTTTGATGAGGTTGTTTGTTTTTTTCTTGTAAATTTGTTTAAGTTCCTTGTAGATTCTGGATATTAGCCCTTTGTCAGATGGATAGATTGCAAAAATTTTCTCCCATTCTGTAGGTTGCCTGTTCAATCTGATGATAATTTATATTGCTGTGCAGAAGCTCTTTAGTTTAATTAGATCCCATTTGTCAATTTTGGCTTTTGTTGCAATTGCTTTTGCTGTTTTAATCATGAAGTGTTTGCCCATCAAAAAGTGGGTGCTCTTAATGCAGTGGGAATGTACCCTGTGTGTCATAAGGGCTACAAAATACTGTTTTTCTATGTAAGTTTTTGACGGGGGGGTTTATTAACTTTAAGGTAGAAAATAAAACTTCTTTGTTGACTAATGCTAGGAAATTTTCCCTCCCATTTTTTAGAAAATAAGAACCCATAATTCCCTGCTTGTTTCCTGTAACCCAATATAAATATCCTGCCTAGGTATTCTCTTATCCTCTATCTCCCCCATTGTTTCCCCCGTAGCAGCAGCTATGGTTAAACGTGTTTGCTTTAAATCATTAGTGTTAATGTTTCAGGGTTCCTCATTTACACGTCACTTCCATGGCCCTAGATGATACCTAGGAATGTATTTGTACTGAAATAAAGGTTTGAAAATTTTGCAAAAAATATGATGTTTTACTGTCAATTAAGATGTCTCTGTCCATTCTAATGTCCTCTCATGACAGTTCTATCTTGTATAATGGGATATTAAGGTGGTCACCAGCATTTTTGGTGTCCTATGCCCACTCCATTCCCTTGGTGACTTACCCAGGATTGTGCCAGCAATGTGAAAAGGTACAGGTTGAATTTCTATATGAATATGTCCTATGGTGCTGAGAACCAAAAGAATGTGTGGAGTGGAAGATGAAAATGGTTTGAAATGTGTGGACCCAGAAGCTAGCCCATAGAAAATTCTTCCAAATATCAAGCCTGTAAAACTGTGAGCAAAGAATTTTATTTTCATAGTTGACAAGTGAAAACAGAAATATTCTCCTGTTATGAATAAACTCGATAATGCAACATTTACTATTATAAACACTATAATAGGTAACTATAAATCACCTATTCCCTCTGTTTTGAAAATATTAAAAATTCATCACATACACAAAAAAGTTATTTTAAAAAATCATATAAATGTTTTTTAAACATACAAAATAACATTTTTATTGAAAAAATAGGCAGCTGAAAATGTAGGCCATAGGTGTGTTATAAACAGCTGAATTTTAAAAAATTGTATTTTTTCTGAATTTCGTGATAGTTGTGTTTGTCAGCTTTTCAAAATTTGTTATTTATTGTAATTTCTTTTTTATCATTCAAAATAATTATTAAATTTTATGCTCAGTTTTATTATCATAATTTTTTCTTTTTGTCTGACAGTACCCAGAATGATACAAATTTGAAGTCCTACAAAACTGGATTCTCAAGTAAAGAATAGAAATAATACTGGAGCAGTGAAATTACAGATAAAAATCCTATGCAGTATTTCTTAATGGGAGGTGGGTGATTTTGCCCTCCAGGAGACATTGGACAATGTCTGGAGACGTGTTTGGTTGGCCGGATTGGAGAAAGTACTACTGGCCTCTAGGAGGCAGAGGTCAGAGATGTTGCTAAAATACGCAAGACAGTCCTGCACGACCAAGAATCATCTGATCTAAAGTGTCAATAGCTCCAAGATTGAGAACCCTTGGTCTGTGTACTGAGAACGCCAGACAGAAGATATCAGTGCTGATACAGGATATAACCATTCTGACATGAACTGGAATAAATAAAAAAATTAGATGTAGATTATCCCTAATTGCAGGAGCAGATGATTGAGAACAGGTATGATGGCAGGAGACAACGAAACCAGAATTAGCAAATCTATTTTCCTAACATTTCTGCCTGAAATTTTGACTAATATCCCAGTAAGAGAAGACTGATAGGTAACATTGAATTTACACTGGCATCATGCTGCTCTGTAATATGCTGTTGCTACATCTTTGTCTTTCTAAGTCCACTTGGAAACAGGAGCTAATAATCCTTTATAGAGGTATTACAAAGATTTCAAAAGTCCCCAGTACTCGTTCCTTATAGAGTTCATTATACTGTGTTAAAACTGGGATGGGCCGGGCGTGGTGGCTCAGGCCTGTAATCCCAACACTTTGGGAGGCAGAGGCAGGCGGATCACGAGGTCAGGAGATCGAGACCATCCTGGACAAATGGTGAAACCCTGTCTCTACTAAAATGTACAAAATTAGCGGGGCATGGTGGCATGTGCTTGTAGTCCCAGCTACTTGGGAGGCTGAGGTAGGGGAATCACTTGAACCCAGGAGGCGGAGGTTGCAGTGAGCCAAGATCGTGCCACTGCACTCTAGCCTGGTGACACAGCAAGACTCCATCTCAAAATAAAAAAGCAAAAAACAAACAAACAAACAAAAAACAAAAAAAATACTGGGATGGTATGAGAGGCATTAGTTGAAGTGCCTCCTTCCCATCTCATACTTCCACACAAGTATGTTACCCTAGAAGGCTAACAATCAATGTCTGAAGGAGAGAAACTATGTAGAAGAGTGCCTATGGCGGAAGGTGTTTGCTTTGTTTTGCTTTGCTTTGCTTTTCACCTTCCTCTTAGATCAGGTAAGAGCTTCCAAGAGGAGTGGAAGAAGAGAACCTACGGAGTCAACATTGACAGAATGTCACCCTGGTATGGGAAGACTTGGGTCTTGTTCTCCTTTAGGTCAAGTGGGTGATGGAGCAAGGAAGGTAGAGAGAAAAGTAGTAGACCGCTACATAAGAGTGCTGATCCAAGACGAAAAAAGAATGGCCCACTGCACATCTGGAACTCCTAGAAGCAGTTGCCTCGCATGTGATCCTAGTGCCAGAGTGCAATGGAGCTGGAGAATAGAGATGGCAGCATGAGATGCAGGTCACAGTTGGGTAACCTGAGGCAACCCCAGAACTTTCTACAGCCTCATGATTTAAAATCCAATTCAGACAGAAGGGAGCAAGATGAAACCCTGAACTTAACTGAGTTTAAACCTCAAATGCTTGAGAGAAACTTCAGAAATAACTAAAATCACCTGAATGTAAATAAATCACATTTTCAAGTTTATAGATTGTAAAAATCACACACTACACATGTATGGTTTCTGTACTTCTCAGCTAATCTTTTGTATTGTCTTGCTGAAGTCTCAAATTAAAAAATAAATGTGACCCAGCAACAAGAATCTTCAGGTATTTTTCAAAGCAAGGCACAAGTAGAACAGAATAATATTTTTAGGAAACGTCTTGGTCCCTAGAGAAGGTGGAAGAGAGAATCAATGCCCTGCTTAAAAGACAAGCTGACTGAGTAGTCCCTGGCAGATTAAACTTTGAAGAGCAAATTGTCAGGCTTATATAGCCAGCTGTCCTATTTAAAGCTTTAACAAATAATTTGCTGAACGACATACTAGCCTGTATATGGCAGCATACCAGGAACAGGACACAAAGAGGTATAAGAATGTTGCTCCACTCCAAGGTACACACACGAACCTCTCCTATTTGAATTACAGTATAAAGCGCCTAAAACACCTACAGAGATAATATTCCTTGTCTTACATGGATTCTAATGAAAACAAAGAGGTCAAAGCCTTGAACTTGATAGACTTGAACCAATTTGAAATAGAAAGTAGAGATAATTTTATCTCAATAGCTCTAATAATAAGGCTGAGGCATTCAGCACCAGCTGCAAGCTATTTTGCCGCTAATACCAACCATAAATACAAAGAATAGCAATACCTATAGAATAGTAGAGTTGACTGATGCCAGGCACCTAGACAAAATGCAATGTCGGAACTCTTTTAATCTTCCTGTAAACATGTTCCACCTTTGTTTATACCATTTCAGTTTAAATACAAAATTTTCAAATCACTTATTTAAATTTGGCTTTTTCTTGGCTCTAGTAGTGGATTAAATATAATGTATAGAGGAATCATAGAGTGTACCCTTTATGCCCAAATTACTTGGACTAAAAATGTCTTTGTAACAGATAAAAGACACTCCTAGTATGTTGAAGAAAATCACAAACATGTACACAAGATCAAATATAATAATTATCTTTCACTTTTTTGAGTTAAAGGAAAGCACAATAGCAAATAAAACAAAAACAGATAATCACCCTAGAATTGCTTCCAAATAATTCCTCTATCAATGCATTATTTCACACCATTAATCAACTATGAAAATCCTTGAAAGGCAGACTAGATCCCCAAGATTGAAGCAAAATGAAAATCCTAGAATTGCAAACCCTATTTTTTTGATTGGAACAAAAACAAAAATTGCAAAAGAAGATTGACATGCCTAATTGCTCCCGTGAAAGGAACAATAGCAAGTAGTTTTAGAGAAATGCTTAGAAATCCATTTGTGCCTGTCAATAATATCCACCTTTTCAAGCTGCTAATCCATTAGTCACTAATGGCTGACTTGGTATTAAGCTGGACAATACAAACAGCCCATTCATTGCAGGGAAAAGTAAAGAACTAAATTTTTGTTGTTGTTGCTATTATTGTTTTGCTTTTTTTAGGATAAAAAGTAGCAGTAAATGGATTTGGGATTGACAAAAAGAGCTGAGGGAGGTAATTTCAACAATTTGCAAGAAAATGTAAACACAGATAATCTTCCCCATAAAAATTAAGTTGACTCTAACTTTCATGATCACCGTTACGTTATACATGCAATACTATTAAAGAGGGATAAGAAATATCAAAGGTGAGTAAAGAGTTTTAGTATCTTTACCATGAAGAGATAGATTTTTCTTAGCATCATTTATGTAAAATGTTGTTCTGTTGTGCCAGCAAAAGCAATACAATATTTAAAATCAAATTACACATCGAAGAATTTTAGACAACCACAAGAGAGCAATTAACAGTAGAGGTGTGAAGGAAATTTTGTTCTTTTAAATGAAAGAGTGGCGAAAGAATAAAACCTTGGTGTCATTTCCAATGAATAGTGACTTCCAAGATTGATTCTTGGATGGTAGTCCTGCTTTAAAAGAAAAAATGTGCGTCTTTTGAGCTGAGCCCACTCTGACTCAGCACATTGTTAGAGAATAACAATAGTGCCATCTACTGTCAAATTATGGTATCACTTATTTCAAACTGACTTAAATAGGGGGTTCCATCCAATACTGTAAAAGAAATCTTAAAATTATATAAGTAATATTTATCTAAAATATTCAAGAAAATGAAGAGACTCTTTCCACATAGGCAAGAATTTCGTTCTGTGCTTTCTTCCACTAGTTATTCTTCATGCTCTTATATATTACTTAAAGCACTGTTTTACAAGCGTTATAAAAAATAAATTGAAAATGTACCTTACATGGCAGCAGTAAAGATTTCATGGATAATTTTGAATTAATTGTCCCGTATTTCTAAGTTTATTTTTTCATTAGTTTCCGGGCTGTTTCCTAAATCTAATTAGCAATGTAATTTTCCTTGTTAAATTTGGAGAATTTGTTTTGGGAGACAACTGCACAAAGCAAGATAGTAAAAGAAACATATAGATGTGTTTATAACATTATGGTATTGCTGCTAAGCACTGTCAATAATGAGTTTTAAACGGTAATTGTGAATCCCTAATGTACTTTATATATTAACTATCCTATAGAAGAAAGTTTGAAGTCACAGAATAAATAGACCCCATACATGTAATTCTAATTAAAAGGCATACAGATTAATTGCATTTGTTATGGAAGTCACGAAGACCTTATAGACCTAGACAATGGCAAAAATTAAACAGGCATAGAAGAAAGTAATAGGCTTTAAGTCAAAGAATATTTTTTAAAAAATATACAATATGACCAGAAGCAGTATACATGTTTGCTAAAGCTATTGATAGCATCATTTTTACAGTTGGGCAATTGATAAGGAAATTGGTTGGTTGCAATAGTTAAGCTTGGTTTTTAATTTAGAATCAAGAATACTCTACCATAGTTTTTAAAATGCAGGATATTTTTATGGACACCAAGTTACCAAGTGATTGTGCTGAGATTAGATGCGACTAGGCACACTCAGGGTGGCATGGCCACAGGCAATGTGAGTATTAGACCCCTGAAGTGGGCTCCAAACAACTTGCTTCTCATTTTTCATCTAGGAAAGTAACCAACAGCCCCAGTGACTGGAACCCCAGTCTCAGTCTTTCCCCAGAATCTCTGTAGCTGATAATAACTCTCATTATTTCACGTATCAAATGCTTTCTATGTATCATGCTAAACAACCCTCTGTATGGTTTAGACTCATATCCTATAAATTAGACCTTAATATCTCCATTTTATAGACTAGGAAATGGAAACATAGAGAAGTTAAGTAATTTACCTGTGATATTCCCTTAAAAGTATGCTTGATACATGACTCAAGTACTTAAGTTAAATGAATATGGCCACAAAAGTTATAAACACACAGCTATGCTCCTTACTTTTTCTAGTTTGTTTTGTCTGTAAGGAGCCAGTAGGAACACCATAAGAAGCCATTATTATGAAAGATAAGACATTTTCTTACGGTGGTGCAGCAGATCTCGAGGTGAATGGGAGGGGCAGGGTGTAACTACATAGGGGTGTTGCTGACATGGAGTAGAATGTCCCATTTTTGCTCTCTAAAGATACGTTTTACTTGGATGCTCTAGGAATTATAAAACCTCTCCAACCATTTCAGACAGTTTTACCTTTCTCTAGGGATCCCTAAAGTTCATTTTCTTCCTTTATTTTACTCTGACTTCTTCAACCCCAAGCCAAACCATTACTCAGGAATGCTGGATTTGTGAAGACTAAAATTCATTTTCTTTGGGTTCCCTCAAGACTCTCCCCTAGTCCACCAGTCACGGAAGTCAACTTAAATTAGTGTGCTCGGTTAACTTTATTTCTTTCTCAAATTTTTCTGTTTACATTTTTGCTCCTTCAAATTATCTTCTGTGGTTGCATATATCTGTCCTGAACGACAATAGAAACTAAAATGCAATCCTATTTTTTGTTTCCTATCTAGTCAGTTTTTTTCCTACTACAAAGTGAAGTCTAGCTTATTTCTTGGTGCATTCACTGACTGTGAGCATCAGCACAGCAATTAACTTGTTTGAAATACACCTCATTTCAAAAAAATTCAAATGCGGACAGCAGACAGCGCAAACATGGATCGTAACTGGCTCCTGTTAAGTTAATAACCTGTACCCTCGATCAACGCTAAGGTCAGACTGTCAGCTTCAGAAAACAATGAAAGAAAGATCTGCCTCAAAACTGGGCAACAATGAAATAACCAGGATATGGAGAGGGGAATCTTTCAGATGACAGGGCATAAGAAAATTCTGTGGTTTACAGGAGAAAGATCCTGTGATATGTTTTGAAAGTGGAAGTAAACTGTTTTCAGAGTTGTGTTTTTGTTGTTGTTGTTGTTTTTGAGACAAAGTCTTGCTCTGTCGCCCAGGCTGGAGTGCAGTGGCGCCATCTCAGTTCACTGCAATCTCCACCTCCTGAGTTCAAGCGATTCTCCTGCCTCAGCCTCCCAAGCAGCTGGGACTACAGGCGCCTGCCACCATGCCTGTCTAATTTTTTGTATTTTTAGTAGAGACAGGGTTTCACCGTGTTAGCCAGGATGGTCTCAATCTCCTGACCTCGTGATTCTCCTGCCTCGGCCTCCCAAAGTGCCGGGATTACAGGCGTGAGCCACCGTGCCCGGCCAGAGTTATGTTTTTGATAGATGATGAAGTGGAAAAGAGGAATGTCAGGGTGTGAGCACAGATAAGAAAATAACCCCATGGTGTTTGTGGCAGAGCCCAGCATGGCCTGGGAAAGGTGAAGAGGCCACACTGAGAGACAAGCAGTAACAAGCTGGTTAGGTATCGGTGCCATGCACACGCTGTGGAAGTCACGTTAGTTCAACAAGATTGGGTAATCAAGGTACAGGTCAGGTATGGGAGTGGACTGGGAAGTGTCTGCATCCAAGGGAGTGATTCAAGTCAAAAAGTTTAGCAAGTATCAGAATCCACAGGCCCCAGTGAAACCAGATGACAAACAGGTTAGTGAAGTCAGAACATAGATCAGAAGGCTCAACAGTAAGTGAAAAGGCAGGGCGTCAAGGGTTCATATAACCTACATGATTCAGAAATGCTGGTGGCAGGCAAGACCAGGCAGCAGGAATCCTGAGCCCAAGTTGAGTCTAAACAGCAGAGTGATCAACATTTATGCAACTAACTCTGCAGTAGTCTATCCACAGCAAGAAAATTCTGAGTGGAAAAAAAAAATATTAACTATATTCAGCCTCATCTCTGACGACTTTAAGCCATTTTAACTTCCTGATGCATAAATCATGAGTGAATCCAGCCCAGGTTCCCATACATCAAAATGCATATAAATTTGTACATGATAATAAATGGACAGGTGTGGAGTGGAGATAAATGTTACCATAAAAGGAGTACATTCTGGAGGGCTTTGAAATCTCAGAGAGATCTTTGAAGGTCTTCAACAGGAAAGCAGGCTGGGCGTGGTTGCTCACGCCTGTAATCCTACCACTTTGGGAGGCCGAGGCTGGTGGATCACCTGAGGTCAGGAGTTCAAGACCAGCCTAGCCAATATAGTGAAACCCCATCTCTACTAAAAATACAAAAATTAGCCGGGCATGGTGGCGGGCGCTTGTAGTCTCAGCTACTTGGGATGCTGAGGCAGGAGAATCGCTTGAACCCAGGAGGCAGAGCTTGCAGCGAACCAAGATCATGCCACTACACTCCAGCCTGGGCAACAGAGTGAGATTCTGTCTCAAAAAAAAAAAAAAAAAAGAGAGAAAAAAAAGCAGTGGATGAGGAATTCAGTCTGACACCAGCAGGCTGAGCCACTGGAGAAAAAGAGTGCTAGGAAATTGTTCCTGAGTAAGAAAAAAAATAGGTTTTTAGAATACTAAAAAACAGTTTTCTGGTTTAGTTTGTAGGCTTCTCTCTGCTTCCTTCATAGTTGTCTTTCACAATAAAGTCAAAAATATCGCTTAAGTATTAATATTGGAAGACAGAATTCATGCTTGGCATATAAGCTCATCGTGCCACATGGGAATTCTATTGTTCAACAGGAGGGATACTTTGACTCTTGCCACGTGGGAACGTGTTTAATCCTGAGGCATAACAAGACTACACCAGGGACAGGGTGCAGGGGAGAGGGAATGATAACTCTCCTAATCTGCACTATTGTAACATTTTTAAATTCACTAAATTGCATGTCCCTTGAGAATAAGGGACATTTCTTCTTTATTCATGAAGTCCCAACACTTTCTGCCTGAAAATAAAAGATATTCATAATGTTTATTGGATTAAATACTATAGATGACTTCCATATTTGTATTTTAGAATACTCTTTCATTACAAAGAAATGGAAGTTTTGGAGAATAATTAACTATTTAAAATCTAAACTAAGTAAAATATGTATCTCCTCAAGTTCTGAAAGCTACCACAATTTCATTTTAATATTTGTCAACCTTGAGCACATTCTAAACTTGAGTTTTATAAGTAAGGAAACAAATGAAGAATTAAATCTGTTCAGACTCATTCACACTAATAAGAACAATAAATGTTATTTTTGTTCTGATAAAACTTTTTATAGAAAATAAACTATGCATCAGACATAGTTTTAAAATTAGACATTGGAAACATTTAATCTTTCCATTTAACTAATCTGCACTGTAAAAATAACCAATTGGAAAACTCAAGTGACCTCTCTAGAGAAAAATATTTTCAAAGGAAGAGAACTCCTTACTGTGTTGTGGGCATGCAAAAATTGCTTAGATGGCATAGAAAGCAGTTTCTATTACTATCACTATAAATCATAGCATTTATTTCTTTTTAAAAAATTGGCTGATAGCAAATGATTTCAGTATATATATGTATATATAATTGCCAATTTGACGTTAATTCTGAATTACACCATTTACAACCATGGATCACTTGCACCGCCTAGTGGTCATGCGTAAGTATTTCTTACTCAAGGTGTTGGCATACCTAAGATAATATTTTAAAGGTTTGAAGTACTTTGTTTTGAATATATTATTTTAAACCAAATTCGAATAAAATATTCATTCCTATGTAAATATGGAGTATAAGATAGACACCCAAGTATATAAGGACATGTCTATATTGTACAATATACATATGTAAATAGATCTCAAGAAATTATGTGGTTTATATAAATGTCCATAAAATTTGTGTAAGCCTGAAGCACATCTCTCAAGATTATCTCTTCTCTTTTCTATCACATGAAAAATTAAACAGAGGCTTTTCAGCTCTCAACAGCCATGATTTTAAGTGTGTTCTCAACCCTAACTCCATATTAGAACTGCAAGGGATATTAATAATAATAATACAATGTCTAGGTGTCAGCAAAGAGCATTAAATCAGAATTCTTGAGTATAGGTATGGGAACTTACAGTTTTATAGTTTTTATAGGTGACTCAAGATACACCCAATGTTTCACACCTCTGATCTAAAGGGTGCACATAAAGATTCTTCAGTTGAAAGAGAACACACAAAATGAAAAGATGAGTCCACGTTACCTGAAAGTGTGAGGATGGTGATGTGTTGAATCACTTAGCTCTGCCTGGTTCTGCACAGGGCCTATTATTGTAGAATTACAAGAAGAAGGACACTTGTTTCCTCTCCTAGAGATTTCAAAACTTTTTTTTTTTTTTTTTGAGACGTTATTGGCATACCTGAGGTAATATTTTAAAGGTTTGAAGTACTTTGTTGCCCAGGCTGGAGTGCAGTGGCGTGATCTCGGCTCACTGCAAGCTCCGCCTCCCAGGTTCACGCCATTCTCCTACCTCAGCCTCCCGAGTAGCTGGGACTACAGGTGCCCGCCATCACGCCCAGCTAATTTTTTAAAATTTTTTTAGTGGAGACGGGGTTTCACCATATTAACCAGGATGGTCTCGATCTCCTGACCTCGTGATCCGCCCGCCTCGGCCTACCAAAGTGCTGGGATTACAAGCATGAGCCACCACGCCTGGCCGAGATTTCAAAACTATTATACAAATGCACCAGATTCACTTATTATTTGATAAAATACATTATTGTGCAGTATACTGCCATTGTCCAAAATATATTTTGGAACTCACATTTGTGAACTGCTTTCTATGCTGGAATAAATAGAGATTATATAGAAAAAGATGTGGAAGGATTATTTTTTCATGGAAAAATCACTATCAGATTTGCGCAAGATCTTTTACCATATTTTAATCCATCCCTAGGCGTATGGACAGCTGTTTGTCTTTAAGATACTCAGGTAATTAGTCTATAGTTTGAAACATTGAAAAAAATCAGCATTAAAATCTTGGATGTTTAAAGGTGTAATATGAACTTTTGGGCCATGTGGGAAAGCCAAGCTTTTTAAATGAAAAAGCTAGTTTTACTACCAGTAGACACCTAAAAACATTCTACAGTTCATATTAATAAGACTGAATGTAATTGAATGTCAGCAGATATGGTGATTTATAAAGTATTTCATACCCTGTGTATAATAAAATCCCTGGCACTGAGTCCTAATATTTGATGAAACATGATAGTGGCTTTATTTCCAATAGAAAACTTGATCTAGAACCTTCTATCATTTTTATAGTGAAGTACTTTACCTGTTTCTATCTGTACTCAAGTTTTCATCTTAAATTAAAGAAAAAAATTACACAATATGGATTTTAGCCAATTTCCTTTTTGAGCTATTTCATACATCTTCAAGACAATAAAATAAATATTTTAACAAATATATCAGAATTACATATGTCTAAATGAGTGTAAACTTTTTGAAAACAGACGCTTGAGGAAATTGACATTTACTTCACTGATACTGACTGCCCTTGTCCAAAATATATTTTGGAACTCACATTTGTGAACTGCTTTCTATGCTGGTAGTACATTTTCGAATATCTGTTTTATGAGAAAACTTTGTTTTTGATGGTGGATTTGAATTTTTTAAACAGCATTAAATGACATTTGCAGCCAAGACTAATGGGTAATTGTGTTAAGGTGGATGATGAGTAAAACAAAACAAAATAGAATAAGATGTGTGGGACTATAAAGTAAGCACGGGGGGGTGACGGATGTCACACTAAAGACTATTTTGAAACTCTCCTTAAACCACCAATGAGACATTTCCCAAATAATATCAGCGATATCAGCACTTTGGGGATATGCATAAAGTCTCACAAAACACCTGCTTTAAGGGTAGTAGATGTGCTGTCTTGGTATAGGTTTCTTTTATCAGGGTAATGTTTACTGAACTATTTATTAAATGTTCATTAAGTTGAAATATTTATTGAATTGGAAAACAATTGTAATTAAAATGTTTTATATACACTCACAAAATTGTATATATATCATGAACATAGAGCTTGATTAATTAACACACAAACTGAACACACTCGTGTAACCAGATCAAGAAAAAGAACATTGTCAGGTTTGTAGAGTATTTAAAACAAGCTCAGTGCTTTGTATTCACACATTTATTTAAAATAATGTTGTAAAAGAACAGCATCATCCAGCCACAAAACTTAGGAAGAAATGTAATTTCAACTTAGAGAGCAGGCTCATAGTTCATTTTAATCAATTAAAAATTAAAATGTTTTAATATGATAAAACACATAATGGGGTGCTTTTAACTAAACATGCTTTATAAATACCTTGATAATTTTATAAGAAGAAAATTGAGAGAAGTAAAACAGATTTTGATAAGATTTCTAATATTTATTCATCATTTTAAAATGTGAAATTTGAACATTAAATAAAAATTTCCTAGTAATTTTGATAACTTTAAATGTATATTTCTATTCATGTTGATGTTAAAAAAAAAAAAAAAAGGTTCCCCAAACTTTACTCTCAAATCTGAATGTGCATTCTACCAGCCTGGAGGCTATTGTCAAAATGCAGATCTTGGTTTGATCTTTCTAGGTTGGGGCCCAGGAGTCTGCGTTTCTGACAAGTTCCCATCTGGTGCTGATGTTGCTAGTTCTTGTGCCACACTTTCAGTAGCAAGGGTGTAGACTTCAACTTGGATATATTTAATAGATATCATCACGTAATATTTTGTCGTCTTTCTAGCTCTTTCCCAGTCTCTGGACGTGCCATTTATTTTTGACCTTTTCTTTTCTTCCCTGTTTTTGGTTTGTAAAAAAAAGCAAAAAAACTCCTATTACTGTGAATTGTCTGACTTCATATTCTCAGTGGCGGAAATTCCCTCAAAAACCTCTCCCTTCCCCTTGCCTTGGCACATTCTCCTCCCACTCCCCACACCTGCAGCTTCCTGTAAGCACTTTGATTTTCAGAGGTTAGTTTCTACCTCCGTCTAAGGTTCACCTTAATTCTTCAGTGTGGTTCTGTGTAGTAAAATGAAACTGTAATATCAATGTCCTGGACCCATGAAGGCCAGAAAGCTCAATGATTCAACAGTTTAAAAAATCAATTCTGCTTAAAAACAAACAAAACCCAGAGATATCTAAGGCAGCTGGGCTGTAATACTACAGTTCATCAGCTGGTACCACTATCTGATAAATTTTGTACAATCCTGAAATATTACTGGTTTTTATGTTTTGATTAATGCAAAAAATTAGTTCCTTTATATCAATTCTGCAAGACTGAAGTGCAATAATTTCAAGAATGAAAACAACAGTTGGCGATTTCCAGTATGAAAAAAGGGTCTATGATGCTAACTTTAAAGGTTATAAGACAAAAACAGAACATAAAATTATAAATTTAATTATGACTGGATAAAGCATAAATAACTTTAGATAATGGTTGATTTTCAAATAATATAAGAATTTATCCCATATAGACTTTTAATTCAAAGACTTCGTAAATAAAGGCAATAAAAGATCAATAAAGTTTAAACCAAGACACAAAATCTCCAGAATTCTTTAATATCAACTTTGTATAATGAAAGAAAGAAAAAGAAAAACCTATCAGTAAGATGAATATATGAAATTATGTCTTATTCAGCAATTTGCTGGTAATGGAATTTTCTGACCTGAAAATCACATAATTATTAACCATCTATAATGAATCCATCTATATTCAACTCATTGAGATGTATAAATAATAATCAGAAAAATCAGTCAATTCTGAGCCTTTGCAAGACAAATGTATATATATTTTACAAGATAGGTCTATGAATTACTTCAATTTATCTGTTCCATAATCTGATCTAAATTTTTAATTCTCTTTGCAGTTATGAAACAGTAGTGACAAATGAACATATCAAAAACAATTAAATATATCTATCTGCATTTCTGATTCATTCAGATCATGTTCTAATGAGCCCTGGTGTGAGAATTGAAAACTTGGAATCTAATTTTGTCCCCAGCACTAATTAGCTTGTGATCTTGAACAGGTCAACTAAATTCTCTGACTTCTAGTATCTGATATTGGAACAGATCTTTGGTGCTAGACAGGAAGATTGTAAGAATCCCAGGAGTAAGCTCAGAATCAAGTCTCATTCTGACCTTAAACCCAGCTTCTAAAACTTAGCTTCTTGACACTTAAGACCAGATATTTTGTCCCCACTCCTGGTCGAGGATTCTGGTCTCTGCCTTTCTGCCCATACTTCTGCTTTGGTTCTCATCCAGGATTGTAGTTGCTCTAGGACTAAGATGCAGACTTATTCTTCTAACACTTGCTTAATACTTCAGATTTTCTTCTAAGCCCCAATGTCCATAGCTACCTTCTTCCCTTTGACTCTTACACTGCATAGATTTCTGGCTAATGTTTCTTGCCAAAACCCTCTTGATTCTGAGATTTGCCTATCTACCTGGTCTCCACTTGCTGCTGAATCTCTCCTCATCATACAGCCAGTGTTTTGTAGGGTCTCCACGTCCCGCCCTAGCCTTCGCGAACCATGCAGTTGTTGAAATAACATTGACTTCAAATATCAGGGTCTACGCATGGGATGATGGTCTGCGGGTATAAAACTGAAAATGTTGTTGCAACAAGGCAAACAGGTCAGATGGGGGGAAAAGTGATGAAGTGTTGCATCACTTCAATAGTATATTTTCTTGACCAAATATAGTTGTCATGAAAATTAGCAGATTCAGAGAAAAAATATAGCTTAGACAACTGCTTGCTAATATCAGTTCTAAAAGCATGGTAAAAGTTTATTTCCCATAGGTCATTCAATGACATGTGCTTCTAAGTTAAGTGCCAGTATCTGTAACCAATATCTGTTCTAGGAGCTCTCATTTAAACAAGTGAAAATACATCAAAAGAACTGAAACAAATCAGCAGTCACCATTCAGGATTTATTTGTATTAATCTACTTAACTCAAAACACTTTTTTTCTTGATCTCTACTGTTTACTGCACCTATATCTTAAAAAACCATAAGCCATATACAACAAATACAATAGATAGGAATGTGTATAGCTGGCCAATATTAAAACATCAGGATTGCTTCACATCTGATACCTCTTATTGCAGCAAACCCTGCATCTTCAGTCACTTGCCAGTCATTTCTGATTGATTATTTTTAAAGTATGTATCTGATTTTTTAATCGTTTGTATATTTTTAACAATAGATTCTTAGAAATATAAACTTGTCTGTGTCTAAAAATATGGGTTCCTGGGTCTACAGAGTTAGAATATCCAAGCATGGATGAGAATTTGCATTAACAAACTAACCAAGTCATTCTGTTCTTATCTTTCACAGAGGTCACTGTAGAACAACTGTTGTTTTCATTTAGCCCCTCTGCCTAAAATGTTAGGAAAGCAAAACACTGGTGAACAGTGTTTGAGAAAAATGTAGACTAAATTTAAATACCTGTAAGCAGAGTATACCAACCTCTCATCTCAATTCCCACACCAACTTAGCAACTGCAGAGGTTACTTACATGCCTGGCTGCAGAGGCACTGGAATTTGCTACTGTTGACCTCAGTTATTAGGGGAAAATTATCATTACCTGTTGTAGAAAGATGCTAAGCATATAAGGCAGACAAGGTACTGTGCTGACTTATATTATTTAATTAAAGTAAGCTTTCTTTTCTTTATGTTCTGGAGATCTCCATAAGTTGGAAAGGCCACTGGTCAATGTTGTTTAAGAACAAGGATCATCTTTCAATTAAAATGTTTTCAATTATAGATAGACTGAGCTACATTGGCACAATGGTTTTAAGATAAAAGTAACACAGTTTTAAACACTAATCCATGAGATCTGAAAATAAATAAAATCACTCTTAAATGTTAGGCACTATTTTAGTATGTCAAACTTAAGTATGTTTATTGAGTTTTGAATATTCAATAAACTTTTTTTAATATCTACTATTTTTAGAGATTCAATAACCAAATAGTGTGGCAAAACAAATTCAAATGAAAAATGCATGCTATTTTTAATTTCTCTTGGGTTGTTGGGAGCGTATATAAATATATAATATATGTGTGTGTACATGTGTGTATAAATATATGTTTCACTTTTAAATGACTATTGATTTTCACCTAACAAATATTTCTCCAATTATATATTTTTTACGATGTCTTGATGCATATCTGTATATTCTATGCAATATGTATAAATAGGAGCCTTACAAAAATAACGATATTTTAAAGTATAAGTGTCCAAAAAGAATAGCCTGTGAGTACTAAGCAATGCTCTCTCAAAGGAGAGTTTTTTGTCTGTTTGTTTGTTTGTTTTTTGAAACGTAGCTTTGCTCTTGTTGCCCAGGCTGGAGTGCAGTGGTGCGATCTCAGCTCACTGCAACCTCCACCTCCCAGGTTCAAGAGATTCTCCTGCCTCAGCCTCCTGAGTAGCTGGGATTACAGGCATGAGCCACCATGCCTGGCTAATTTTTGTATTTTTAGTAGAGACGGGGTTTCACTATGTTGGTCAGGCTGGTCTCGAACTTCTGACCTAGCAAACCACCCACCTCAGCCTCCCAAAGTGCTGGGGTGACAGGCGTGAGCCACCGCACCCAGCCTCAAAGGAGAGTTTTACCTTTGAACATTCACTTATTTTGCAGGCTTAGTATTTTTTTTAAGTTAAAGTTAAAGTTAACCGAATGTTATTACATAAAGTCATATAAAAATAGAGCCAACAACTAACTAATAGTATTTGTCTTTTTTATTCTATTTTAAAATATGTAATTATTCTTAAATCAAAACTAAAATCCTGGCAACTAATATTGTTCTGTTATAAAAATAAGCCTTCATACTTGTTCCTGATTTCAAAATATGTAGAGTAAGAAATCCACCTCGGTTTTGTACCTATGTGAGAACTTGGTGTTTACATCTGTTTCTTTCATTTATTGACAACACGCATACTAGGAACAAACTGCTTCTCTTCTTTATGTGGATAGTTCATTCTAATCTGTGTAATAAATATGACCATTTTGTCTCATTTCATAATATTCTGAAACAATCTCCATTTTTCTAGTGTGAGTTATTTCTGGCTGTCCTTGTGTCAATAAGGCACATGATGGCTTGGTTTTAGAAAAACTAAACTTTCCAGTTTGGTAACTATAGAAAAGTTTAAAATGGAGTTATCTCAGGAGAAGGAATTACTTGTGTATTTTTGCAGCTTATGAACCTTAAGTGTGAATGAATTTGATATTCTGCCTTTAATATTATGGCACTTAGTCTTGAATTCTTAACATGGCTTTGGCAACACCCCAAGTCCCAGTGCAAAGGGTATTACACGTTTATCTGTTCCGATTTTAGGTTGAGCAACAAGACTGCTTTTGTTCAAAGAATAACTAACAGATGAGTAATAAAGTCACTTACCCAAAACCAGATTCCATTGTCAATAAGAGGAGATTTGGATTGTACAGTTTCATCTGACAACTATGTTGGAATTCAACTTTTTAGCAGAAGTCAGAAAGCAACTGTTCTTTCAACCAAACTGTTTTTTTCTCAAGAATACACCAGCAATCTCTGAAGCATTTTCATTTGACCACTTTTTTTAGAAGGGGCTCGTAAGCTTGTGTTATACTAAAGCTTAGCTCCTCAAGCAAACTGGTGTTTTCCCTTTTTGTTATCAGTAGAGGACTTTCATTGTTGCTTTTTTTCTTCAGTAGAGTTTTTGAAATCTGCAGGGGCTTTTCTGTTTTTCTTTTGTTTTGCTCTTTTTTGCTTTTTTTTAAAGAAAGTTTTTAAATGTTCATTTAGTAATGGAGTCAAAGTGGAACCAGGAAGGCAATTCTTAAAAAAAAAAAAATTGTCCAAAACTAAAATTCCTGACCTTAATGGAAAATAAAAAATTTTACCATTAAATCATGAGACAAATGCAGTTAGGATATATCAGCTATCAAAGTGCAGAAATCAAGTCTCCATGAGAAATAAACCTTTGCTGCTGGGTATGTAATAATAAATTTATTTATATTATATATTTATTTCTCATGAAAATGCCTACTGCTTAGATAGGGGTACATTGATACTAATTTCTGTGTAGCACTCTTGGTGGGTTCCTCCCAATTCGGCAGACTTAGCACTTCTCCTCAATATAGGAATAAATTTTAAGATAAAATAGATTAAAATATTTTCAATTTTTCTTCTCTCATGGAGACATCTACAATGCTGCCCATGTAGGGCAGCTGGTTAGGAATACATGTTTACTAGACTTATATTTGTACAATTCTCAACTTCAGTTGTTACAGTAAATTAACAATTGCCCCAGCCAAAAAACTATTTTCTCTGTTATGATTTTTCTGTACTTTTTAAACAGATTTCTCTGCCTAATTTTATACACATTTTCTGTTGCCTTCCCAGTCATTTTTTCTTTTTTTCCCAGAAACAATTCTTTCTAATAAATTTTGACTTTCACATAATTATGCTGATTTGGGGTGTCATGTTTCTACAAGGTACCTTTCTCGTGAACTCCAGCATCCACGACAGCCTGCTGTCTTCTCTCCATGGTATTCTGAACAAGTCACCAACCTTGGTCTCTGATAAACAAAACTGAGGCTTAAACTGCCTTTTATTTCACTTTTATTTCACTTTTATTTCACAAAAGGCTCTTTTTAGCCTAATTCCTTATAGTCCATATTCTAATATTATTTCTCAATTTTAAACCTTTTCCTATAATCCAGAGTCAAAGTATTATTTCCAGTTTCTAACTATAAAGTAACTCTAATTGCTTTTTTGCATATGCAGTAATTAGGAAGTGTTTAGAACATGGTGTTTTAGCACATATGATGAAAATTTAAAAACAATCTTGACTTAAATCTAGAATGTTTTTCAAGACAAGTATAACAGAATAGTCACTAATAAATTTATGATGAGGGTCAGAAATGGTAGATCAATGTATGAGTAAGAACATATGCCTTTCCTTTTTTCCTATAACCACGGCACAGTTAATCTAATAGTTTTTCAGTATTCTTTGAACCCTCAGTTAATGACTATAGCTAAAGACAGCACATTAGGTCATCCAATTATCTGATTTATTTTTATATGTTCATGTTTATATTTTCAGATTCTTTCACTATGATGGCAGAAAATCAAGACTTGGAGGAGACTGTTATATAAAGTTTCTCTAACATTCATTACATTTATCTAAGGACTCTATCAGATACTTTCAGTGTGGTCTCTCCTAAGTTCATTGAAATTCAAAATAATTAATTGAAGTAAAGCCCTGCATTTGTGCATGCGTTCTGAGCAATTAAGTGGAGTGAAACACATGTATTGCTAATCTTGCATGCTGTGATTAAGATAGAAATGAAGACGTCCATCAAACGAGATTACTTCTTCATCAACAAGGCTCAGAAATGTTTCTACAGCTGTTTAGATCGTTTTAATTGTATCAGAGCCTCTCACATCATGGTTTAAGTGAGGCACTATTTCCCCCCATTAAAAAAGAGAATATGAAGATATGAGAGTATACTAATCCGCATGTGAAAGAAATCACAATGCATTTAAAGGTTTCTTTACCAATAAAATTAGATTAGCTAAAGAAACAAAAGGCATTTGTGTGTTTATGATCTATTTTCATACTTAACTGCACAAACACGGAGCTGAGAGGACCAGCTGGGTCCCACTTTTCATTATCAAATATTCCTGGATTATTCCCTCTGGCCACTCTAACTCCTTTATTTGAAAAAAGAACAGGGAATGGTACTACCTTCCCTATGTAAAAGTAAATCTAATTGATGACTCACACACAAAAAAACCATGATACTTGTTACCATTTCCTCAATTTCCATTCCTCCTTCCAATAGAAACATAGTTTTTTTAAAGCAACTAATTATTCCAAAAAGAAAAGAACTCACTTATTCTACCAATTTTTTGGTTAGTTACTCAGAATTATTCCTAGTAATATAGACTTGGATTTTGAGTCCCTCAATGGGACTGAAGAATAAGACCAAATGTTGTCTCAGAATAATGAATGATTTGACTCAAAGTGATTTCTTAAAAGCCAAAGTTACCATTTCAGAAAATTCTTTCTCTTGTGGTTCAGCGAGCTATGAAGGAGGTGAACTGAACAGAATGAGAATAAATCAAGATTGGACTTTTCATAGGTATAGAGCCCTTTCTTTGGCTATCTCAAAATACTACAAGTAGTACCACTGTCATATCTCTCATGTAATTAATATACTGAGTTTCATCTTAAAAACCAAGTGCAAAACCATGAACTTGAGTGATTTGAGACAGAAATATATGTATTTGTATTCATAAAAGCTTGAACCAGCAAAAATACCTTTCTATCTAATTATATTACTTTAGCAATTAGTTGTGAAAAGAAGTAGTTTTAATTAACATTTATTTTTTTCACTGTTGTATATTTTAGGATTTCAATTCATTTTGATAGATCTTCAAGTTGAACATAAAAGAAACTCTCAGACTTTAGGAACCTATAGGTCAGAGTGGTTCAACTGAAAAAGCAAAGAGAAACATGCAGACCCGTGGTGACAAATGGCTGAACCCTACACTTTACTGAAATTGGACAAGCAAATGTTTATATCACTAAAAAAAAAAAAAAGAAAAGGAAAAATAAAAAAGAAAAAACCTGGACAAAGTATTAAGTAGTGATAGTGAAAATGACATGCTCTTATAAACAGAATTCAAATATTAAAAATAATATTTTTATGCTTTACAACTTCAATTACAATCACTAAACCAAATGGCAGTGTTAATAACAAATACACTGAAAAAATATATGTTAAGTTAGGAAAAACAAAACAACAGGAAATTGGAATGTCCTATAATAACTAAAAATGCTGTTGTTAAAATGCACTTATTGACATAGAAAAACGTTTACGTTATGCTAAATGTTTAAAGTAAATTATAACAGTGTTTATATTGTATAATGTAACATAATACATAAATAACATACTACATATAATAATATTTAAATAGGTAATATCATCTATTATTCTATAAACTACATATTCCAGAAGAATATACGATAAAATTTTGTGGTAAGGATGTATTTATGACTTTGAATCATTTCTGTCTCCTAATTTTCTTCAATAAACATATGTTACTTATGTAAAAACACTTTTCCATTTAATTCTAGAGCCCTTAGGTTCACTCTAGCAGTTAGTTAACAATATGTGACTCAGTCTCCTCTGTCTTTCCAGTGAAATATTTTCCAATGAAATACTAATAGAAACAAAACAGTATAATTTCTCATCAGCAAAGAAATTAAAGAAGCTCCATCAGCTAACAGCAGGAATTACTTGAAGGAATTACTCCTAAGTACAGTATGAATGAAACCAATTGAGAAATTATGAGGATCAGCCAATCATAAGAAGATTTATCCCTCTGCATTCATTACCCCTGCCTCCAAACACACCTACAACAGAGATGCAGAGCCTCAGACCAGAAAAACCTAAATACTATATTATTCACAAATTGCCTGCTAAGATTGTCAGAATCATCTCCTATTCTTGCATCAGGTCTTCTTATTTTGTAAGTATTTGGCAGGCTGTGCTCACAGTGACCTGACAAGGCCAGACACACAAGAGGAACAGCAGGGAAAAGTAGGAAAGAAACAGGAAGAATACCTGGAGAGTAAGAAAAGGGAATATCAACAATGAATTAAAGAGAAATCCAGGCCAGTCAGAGCACTGTCCCTGCTCCTTGGGGGCAGAAGAAAGAGCGGAAGCTGTTTTCCCTTGGGAAGGGAAGGGAGCATAGAATTTTCCTCTCCTGCCCAGTACTCTTCATTGTTCTTAAAGCAAACCCAATGAGGTAGAAATAATTGTGTCTCTTTCACAGGGAGATCAACAAAGCTCAGAAAGATAAATACTTGGCCCCAAATCACATAAAGGAGATCTTAAAATTCTGAAGCTTCATAATCAACCTTAGTACTCCAAATAATAAAGTCAGTGTTTTTAATTACAAATGCCAAAGATGAAATTAATCCAATGGCAGCATCCATAACCAATATAAATTGAAAGAATATGTGCTTTTATTCAGTCTGTTTTCAAACTAGCAATTTCTTTATTTAACTAGTGGTTCTGATGTCTTTTAAACTAGTAAAAGTAACAAAATTATCATGATTATTACTTTTTATAGTCTCAATCATTTTTGAAGGCTTATGATTTATAACAATGTTATGATTTATTAGTAAGACAAACGACAAGTAAATAAATAAAGCCAATAACTTTCTGGATGTGCCTCATCACCATGACCTACCACTGTTTTCAAAATAAGTTGATGGTGGGATTTGATTTGTCTCTAACTTATAGTTTTTTAATGATTTAGGAAGACAAATAATACCTGTAACCACATAAACTTCTCATATCCTGTTTTGCATACAATGTGAACTTCAAAGTATTTTTAACAGAAATTTAATTAGTCCTGGGTAGATTAGAGATAATGGTTGTGGGATCCTTTTTATTTGCATGACTTTTAAATTCCTTCTGAAATTTCTACTATACATGGTAATTCTACTTAAACTCCTTTTGATAGAAAAATCAGTGCTGTCAACCAAGGACAACATCCTTTCAATTCATACCAAATAGAGATTTAAGTACTGCTAAATCCACTGCCAGCTAAGGACAACCATAGATAAGGCAAGGTTGATTTGAATCACTTTCCACTAACTAATGGAGAGCATTTTTATTTTACACAGGATAATCTTTGGCTGATAATCTAATATGCAAACTTAGTGTGCAATTTATGCAATTATGTCATTATTAAAGTGTAGCATCCTATATCTTCTGCAGATTACTAAATATGCCCCCTCATCTAGCAATCAGAGACCTGTAAAAAAGATGAAATTCGTTTCTATAAGATAGGTAGAAAAGTCAGTTAGCCTATGTTTTTCATCAAATAGCCTTTGATTTGATGCTTAATATTAATTGTTTTTAACTGTGTGAATGTTATGTTATTTAGTGTGTCTAAACCACAAATGGCTCCTGGCAAGACCTCATACCATTAACAATGAGATTAGCAGAGGAAAATTCAAAAACACTCATGGGGATTGTTTGTACTGTTTTTTGTTGGGTATGTTTTTGCTCTGTGGGATAGAAGACAGTTTAAAACAGCACTGCATGAAAAAAGAAGCGACTGACCGCAGGTTGCAAGTATGCTTCAGTGAAGCAGAAGTTTCTACAGCTCCGTCTCAGCAAAGGGGAGGTTTCTAACGGTCCCCTGCTGACTTCAAATGTGTTCACAGCCTGCACGCAGCAGCCACAGTGGAAACTTACCGGTGTGATAATAATCACTTAGAGTGAGACTGTGGTGCAGACCCTCTTCCCCCAACCAGAAATCCCCTGAGTAAAAGCTCTATCCCCTGGGGAGACACAGAGATGTAAAGACTTGAAAACAGGTGTACCTTTCCCTGACATTCAGAAAAATTGGGTATGAACAGCTTTTCACTCTTCATATCCTCAGAGTCCCAAAATTAGCCCAAGCACAGTGTTTCCTAATCTTTAGGCATCTAAGAAATGCCTTAAAACATTTGTTGGGACCATTTTTCACATGTAAAAAGGGACAATTTTTGTTAAAAGAAAAATAAGCCTCTGGTGAGAGAGACAGAGAGAGTGTGTGTGTTTGTGTGTGTGTGTGCATATGCATGTGTGTTTTTCTATATAAATACAGTCCTGGAGTGACACACAGTATATGTCTCTGTAACATGAGGTACAGGATAGAAGGGCAACTATTCCTTTTATTTTTCATATTTCTGCATTGCTTGCCTTTGTTACAATTACTGTTTGGTAGGTTTATAATTATTTTTAAAACTTGCTTTCACAGTTATTTTGAACCGTCTCCTCGGATGAAGGTGAACTATGTACACTTTCTAAAAAAGCGAACTTAACTTTTTGCAAAAGGTGTGGTATGCAAAATGTGTGCATAACAAACTGTTGTGCAAGGATCAACATCTTATGATTCATTAAATTCATGAAGGTGATTTTTAATTTGATTCCACTTTTTTTTTTATTATTTACAGATTACAGAGTGCTTTGCCCACTCCTGGCCGTATGTTAGGCAACCCCATCCCCTCTCAAGAACATATCATTTTTGTTACATTATAATAACACTTAAGATATTACAATGAGTTATTATATTTAAGGAGTAATATAATAAAAGCAAACCTAAAAATATCAAAGTTCAAGAAAATACTTCATAAAACACAAATATTTTTGCTACATTGAACTGAGATATCATGTACTGCTGTCAAACCATTTTCTAACAAGAACTCTAAATGCTCGCACTGGTGTATTAAAAATTCACTCAGCAGGTGGGCAAATGTTGTAAGGATCAAGCAGAACAAGAGAACACAAAAGCAGTTCTAGTTTGTACATAGGTGGACATGGTGATGGGCCCTCAGGAATCTAGATACTCTATTAATTATCTCCCACATTCTTATTTTTCTACTCTAGCCAAACTCACATAAGATTGGAAAACAGAATTTCTGGGGAATCAATAGCATGTTCTTTCTCCAGCTGTGCCTGCTAATACTAGAGAAAAGCTAACCTTACCTTTAGAATTAAAAGATCTATGAAAGCAAAAAGACAGCTTAATTAGGGACACATTTTAGAGTCACCTGGGGACCATTTTAAATGCATAGCTCCCAAGGCAGGCTAACTGAACAGAATTTGTGGGGACGAAGCCCTAACATGTATATACATATTAAATATATTTTATATTTAAACCTCCACAGATGATTAGAATGTCTGATTATCACATATTTGTAGAGGAACCTACAATATTTATCCTATATAATACAATTATTATATAGGATAATAATTATCCTATTATCCTAGGATAATAAAAAGTAAAAGAATCTAGTGGTAAAATAATGTAAAAATCTTTGCTCATTTATCTAATTCCAAAGTTGAGAATTAAGATCATTAACCATTAATAAAATGCATTTAATAAGACAAATGAAACAATTAATTTAAGTCCTTACATAATGTTAATCTAACTCATGTCTGCCTTAGCAACGTGAAGTCAACATGGTGATGTAAGGTAGGTATTTTCTAAATTTCTTTCATCAGTGTTCAATAATTTTTAATTTTAAAAAAGTTAAACATCATTTAAACAATATATTAAACATATTAAAAAACTCAAAAATTCACAAAAAAGTAAATTTCCATTAATAAACACGGTTTCCTGTTTATAAGCATAGCTTTTCTGTCACCAAAGCACTTTTTTAACTGAAACATATATGACCTAATAATATAAACCTTTCTTATATACACTGCTTACTTCAAGAGAACTCAGAGATCTATGGATGCTATATCATCACTTCAAAATTTCTATAAGGAGTTAGTTTTATACCTATATATAAGAAATTGAGGTATACACTTATTAATAAACTCACAGGAGCCTATAGCTAGACCAGAAATAGAATCCAGGTTACGTATTTTTAGACTAGTGCCTCTTTAATTTTCACACACAATATGATACCTACCCATATGCTTCAAAAGGACGCAGATTTTAACAAGGAGAATAGCAGGAAAGAGAGAATTTGAATAACCCTAGAAGTGAATAAAAATCTGCATGGTGTTGCCATAAGCATTATTGAAGTCTTCTCTTTAAACCACCCATGGCTTCCTTCAAATCGTTATTTTTTTATTCTAAGTTCAACTCGCCACTTTTCCTTACTCTAAGGACACATATAGCTCTCTCCAGGACATAACAACAATCATGGGAATAGCTGCTTATTCTATATTCCAGGCACCTCCTATATGCCAGACAGTTTCAGGCATCCACTGAGGCTCTTGGGACATACCCCCAGCAGATAAGTAGGGACTGCTGTACACATGTTAGAGAAGAAAACGTTAAGGAATTCATCAAGAGGCAATAGAGTATAGTATCAAAGTATTAACAGATACTCTGAGATTAGACTGCCAGTTTTAAATACTGGCTCTGCAATTTGTCACCTTTTTTTTTTTTTTTTTTTACCTTGGGCAAATTCCTTAAATCTCATTAGGTACTTGACACAAATTTTATTTAATGGTCGTAACAACTCTATAAGTTAGTTATTACTACCGTTAATAGGCGAGGAAATTGAGGCTCCATGTTTTACCAAATGAAAACTTGAGTTATTTGAACACATTCGTGGGGAAAATGAGAAACTGATATTTCAATTTTTTCTATTTGATTTTGTGTTTACTTCAATTTACTTCAGGTGAGCAGCCAGATAAGGAAGGGAAGGATAACTCAGTGGTGACCAATGGTCACCCTTAGGTTCACTCTTAATACAGTAGTTTCCCCTTCTTGGTGGTTTTGCTTTTCATGGTTTCATTTATCCATGGTTCAAAAATATTCAACTGAAAATTCCAGGAAAAAATAATTCATACGTTTTAAATCGTCCGTTCTGAGTAGTGTGATGAAATCTTGCATGGACCCATTCTGTCCCAGCTGGGACGTGAGTCATCTCTTTGTTCAGCATCTCCACATTGTTTATGCTATATGCCCGTCAGTCACTGTTTAACTGCCTCGGTGATCAGAACAACTGCTACGGTACCACAGTGCTTGGGTTTGGTACTATCCACAGTTTCAGGCATCCACTGGAACTCTTGGGACATATCCCCAGCAGATAAGGAGGGACTGCTGTACACACGTTAGAGAAGAAAATGTTAAAGAATTCATCAAGAGGAAATAGAGTATAGTATCAATGTATTAATAGATACTCTGAGGTTAGACTGCCAGTTTTAAATACTGGCTCTGCAATTTATCACCTTTTTTTTTTTTTAACCTTGGGCAAATTCCTTAAATCTCTGTTATTATTTCATCTTCTTTAAAAATGATACCAATTTTTCCTATCTCAAAGAGTTTTGTAAGGATAAAAAGAGACAATAATGCATTTCAATGTTTAGTTTTCCACGTGGCTCATAACCAGTGCTCAACAAATATCAGCCACTGCTCTTCCAGAAAGGCTAACACTGTTTGAGACCCTGGTGAGGGCCCCAGCACTACTGATTCTGATAATCTCTTTGTTATCAATAACAGCAGACAGCCAATCACAAAACTGTCTCTGGGCAATCACATTTCCCCAAATAGGATATTAATATTTGCGGTAGTAAAAACAGAGATTTTCTGCACATTTTATTTAGACCTAAGTTGGTTTGGAGTTGTTAAAATACCTACCATTTAAAAATACCACTTACTATTATCCAGGCTGTAAGTGTATTATTTCTTTTAATTCTCCAAATCTTGCTATGAGGAAAGACACTATCATCAGAGATACGAAGTAGATGCATAAAGAGGTTATATAACTTTATCATTTAACAAATGACAGATAACGGGTTGTGAAGCCAGGACTCAGATCCAGATATCTAGGCCATATAGTGCTCACTTATGCATTTTACTATAGTGCTTCTCACTATGCTATATATTTGATTATTTTATTCCCATAACTCTGCTTCACAGAAGTCATCTAAGACTTGCTTTATCACTCCCCATTCCCAGCATTTTAAATCCTTGAGTTCTTTTGTGATATGGATAGGCATCATCTAGGCTGAGTCATGAAAGAGGATGCAGGGTGATCTGATTTCTTATTACCTGACAGGACCTTTGCTTTGGGATTATAGCATTCCAGAGTTCCACACCTGATCCCACCATTTGCTGCTATGTGCTCCTTATGTCAAGTCAGCACATTACCAATGTCTTTTGAGTATTAAAAATTGAAAAACAGTGACCATAAAATGTGATACTGCTCATTAAATTAAATGTAAAATGAAAATCTTGCACAAATAAAATTTAGTGTTAATTCTTTCTGACTTGAAGGGTAATATATTAAGAATAGTGTGTGCATTTTAACACGGTGCAAGAATGTCGACATTACAAGTCAGGCTCCTGTTTGGATTGTATGGGGGCATCCTCACCAGGATTATCGTACAGGTTCTCCATGAAAGAGTGCTGCAACTTAATCCAAATTTCCAGCCACCTATATTATGTAGAAAAAGATTTGTTTCAAGACTTCCAATCTTATCTGCAGTTTGTTGATCATAGAGAGTAAGACTTTATCTGAATAAAGATTGTAATTATCACTTGAACCTGAGAGGTTAAAGTTGCAGTGAGCCGAGATCATACCACTGCACTCCAGCCTGGGTGACAGAGCAAAAAAAAAAAAAAAAAATTATAATTAAGTACTCTTTCTTATGAAGCATGCATGCATGTGCAGACACACACACACACACACACACAGAGAGAGCTAGAAAAGATTTCTTACACTGTGTTCTTTACATAAACACAAGGCCTTAGCCTAATTTTTTCCCCTCAAACTTAAAAGTATGTCTCATCCCTGGGACAGCCAGGAGGAGCTTATGGTGGCCTAAGTAGTCTAATCCCTTTACTCCACCGCGATATCTTATACATTGTTATTTTCAATATGTATCATATGTCCTAAGTTTGGGGAGTACCAGTGAAGACATTGTTCAGTGCTCTCAATGTATAGGTAGAGTCTATATTAATCACCAGTGCACATACTTTCAGTGAACAATTGGTATAGTTTATAATTAGGGCTTTATATTGTATGTCTAGATTTGCTGTTTATTTTTCAAATAATTCATTATTATTATTTTACAAAGGTATCTGCCCATGATGAAGTTGGGGAAAAATGGTCCTTTAAACATAGTTAGAGAGGGACATGCTCCAGGCTACATCTATCTCAATAAAAGTAAGGTCATTTCCTCTGCTCTTCTCCAGTGCTGGATTCCCTCCCAAATGCTTTTTTATACTCAAGAAGAATTGATTTTAGTTTCTCAACACTCAAGCCAGGACCCACACCTGCTCCCTTGAGGTTGGAGGAGTCATAATCACTTCCTGATGGCAAGTGCACTCTTGCATGAGACCATGATCCTGGTGTGGTCACCAACTGCAAAGGCCTGGTGTTTATGTGAAACCTAGCTAGTAGAAAACATACTTCATTTGCTTCCATATGGTTAGCACTAGGGTAAGTTTTCCTTGTCTGCTGAACTTTCCCAGGGCTGCCAATGGTAAATACCATTTCTGCCCATTATAGTTTTCTTAAACCTTGACTGTCATGCCCTTTTCTCATGTTACTTGGGTTGCAGTGTTTGAACTTACTAGACTGCCTCACATAACCTGTTCCCTGGTTAATAGGGACAGCATCTATTCTGTATCCTTCATGGATTATATTGCCTCATTAATTCAGAATCGTGATTCTCATTCACCAACATGACCTGGTGTAGGAGTCAGCCCAACAGCCCCATTTCTTCCTACGTTTATGGTAACTTTATCTTAGAGAGAAATTGCCTTTGTATGTTAAAAGACATAGGACAATGCTAATCCCAGCAATTGCCACAACTTTAAATCTAATGTGGAAGAAGTTTAGGGTCTTTATCCCTTTTCTACTAAATAGCAGCTGGGTTTGATCATCTCCTTCCCCAGCAGGCTTCAAGCTTTCCTCATTAGTAGTAGCTTTTGCCAAAGAATATACACCACATACACTAATTCCGCTTCCCCGGAAACTCCTTTACATATTTTTCCATTTTTGTTCACCTTAACATTTTTCATACATCACAGTTCATTTTAGACTTTAGTACCTTTGACATTATCCTGACAGTCAGTATCATTGTAATATTTAAGTAGGTAGCCTTTCTTCTTGTGTCTCACCAATTTAAAATCTGATCTTGTCAGCTGTTTCCTGGGGAGTTACACTGGTTTCGTTCAGTACATTGCCCTGTATTGTGTTTCTTCCAGACGATATGAAAATGTATAGGCCAACAGTACCAATTTCCCTAATAGCTTTCTTCACCTTTTACTGGATGAAAACTATCAGTGAGATAAAACAAGACCTTATCAAATGCTCAGCTTTCAAGAAATTAGATTTTCAGTTAAATGTGCACTTAAAGTCCAACTTGTCATTTGCACCAGGTGAATATTATCTATTCACTTTCTTTGGTCAAGTTCTCTCTAATACTCTTCTACAGTGATAATAATAATTAATTTTTATTGAGCACCTTCTTTATGCCTGGAGATTTGCGTTTAATCTTATTTAATCCTCACAATAACCCTATGTGGTAGGTATTATCATCACCCACATTCTACATATACGGAATTTGAAGGACAAAGAGATTAAATAAGTTGTCCAGGGTTCCACAGCTATAAGTGACATATTCAAGATAGGAGCCCAGGCAATCAACTTCAAAGTTCAGCCTGGTAACCACTGGGAGATACTGCCTAATTTTGTTTCTAATCTCTTTTTAGCCTCACACACATACCCTCCACAATTCTATAGATTTTCCTGAAGGAATATATCTTCACCGTACTGCTCTACCATACCTTTCTTAATAATAGTTCTGTTTCTTTTGAACCCAGGATCATCATATCCTATCATAGTGTATTCTAGTAGTGAATTTCCTCCTTCATGCCCTCTCGTGTCACGTGAACTTCCTTATGTCACAACCTCAGTTTCATTTTGTTTATTAATCATGTTTTTCAACTACTCTGGCCCCTAGGTAATACAAGTAAAACAGACGATCTGACCAGATGAATCTAATTTACTTCCCTCAAAAGTATATGAAATTTTGACAAATACAGAGAGGAGCATACCCTGATAGTTCCATTACTTATCTTAGATAGTTTTTAAGTGAGAACATTAAAAGAAGGGTTATTTATAAGGTTAAAGTTGGAAGAGATTTTGGAATTCATCTAATTCGACACCCGCTTTTACCTTTTAGAAAATGATGCTTTGGTATGTTAAATGATCTGCTTACAGTTAAAGCAGCTAGTTTATATATTATTTTTTCCATAGTAATACTTTCAGTAAGTTATCAACAGTGAAAAATATACTCCTTTTTAAATGTATTTATATTAACTTCATGATTATTTAACATCTTTTTCCCCAATTTAATATGTAGTAAACTTAAAATACACCCTTTTATCACTTTGTATTTTTAGTTAAGAAGGTTATAGTTATTTCAATTAATGTGTAGAAAACTAGATATTGTTATGTAAAAACTTCTACTTTAATTAGGCAACACATATTTTGGAAGACACATGTGATAGCCACGTACACAAAAATTTCATAGTATTTCTGATCAAAAAAAATTCTAAAACGTCAAATATAAAAAAATTGACCAGAAATTATAATGACAAGAACATGAAATGTCTTAATTAGTGACACTAATTAAGTGTCAAAATAATAAAAATAGTATACAAGTTATAAAAGTAATCTCAGAGAAATATACATTCAGTGGAGAAACATACAGCGACATTTTCTCTGTTTTCTTTCTCCCTCCTCAGAGATTTAACGGGTTGCTTCTCTCATCCTAGTAACACTGGATTTGATAAGTATATAGCAGTTACCTATGGTTGTTTATTTCATTATTTTGCCATAAATGTTATTTACTGACACATGTTATAAAACTATTCTGGTTTTAAACATAAGCATTATTTAAAAAATAGTGGAGCATTATGAAGAAAAAGTTTTCAAAATTTACAATTTGATGATAAAAATCTGCATGAATAGGTCAAACTGGATATGCAGGAAGTCTGAGAAAATTAAAAATTGTGGAAAAACTCAGAAGTTTCAAATGTGATTTAGCTTTAATTATAACCAAACTCATATCCTTTCATACATCTGATCTTCATATTAAAAATAAAATTCAAAGGTAATGTGGAAACTGAATTTCATTGAACATTATATACTTCATTTATGAGAATACAAGTTTGCAGACAAGGGCTTGTGGGGTGGTGTGACAATGATATAATGGAGAAGTAATGATCTCAACACAAAGGAGCGCATTTCTTTTCAGCTTTTATTCTCTGTGTGTGTGTGTGTCTGTGTGTGTGTGTGTGTTTTGTAATAGTAGTCAACCTCTCTACCAAGCTTCTCCTCCTTGTAGGTCACATGATATGTAGGATTCACCTCCTCCTCCTGTTCCACTAAAGGCTTATCCTTTGTAAGTAAGAGACTGGTAGCTGACTAAAGCGACTCACCTACATTTAAGACCTATGATTACAAAATTGGGAAGGGTTATGTTTCAAAAAGTGAATAGTTTACTTTTTCAAATACAGGATTAACACATTTAGTGTTCTGGTCACAACAAGCAACCTGGCTTCACAGCCATCCTCAGAAAAGTCGGGAGTTCCACTGAGAATAATATTTCCAAACTAGAAGTGCTTGAGCTCTAGGGCCTAAATTGTAACTTAAAAAAGTGCTAATAAATTGAGGAAAGTCACTTATCCTCCCTGTTCTACAGCATTCTTATCTATGAAAATGACATGATGCTAATTGTTGCACAGTCTTAATTGATCATTTGTATTAGTTTTATGTGTCTATTCATACCTCAATTTCATCTGAAAATAAATTTGGGACAGCTTCTAAAATAAAAGGAAAAAGATTAGGTTAAAAAGTTAAGTAGGAAGATCAGAACAAAAGGAAATATAAGGAGAGAAACAAAAAAATCAAGTCAAGGAAAGGATTGGTAGACAGTTTGCATGACTTTACATTTGAATATTAGCTTCTCCATAGCCAATGACTCTCATCTTAGTGTAAATTGATGTCCTCATTGTCAGAGATAAGCTGTTGATAGTGAGAAAGAGTAGAGAAAGCATAAAAACCCCAACTGCCTCAGGCACATAGGATAAATGTACATTTTTAAATTATATTACAGTTTTGCCTACACTAGAGCACACCCGAAAATAAATAAGATAATTTCTAAAATTTAAAGTGGGTCAGTATTGTTTGGCTCTGGCTATGTAACCAAACTGCTATATAATCTTTGGGAGGCCGAGGCAGGCAGATCACGAGGTCAGGAGATTGAGATCATCCTGGCTAACACGATGAAACCCCGTCTCCACTAAAAATACAAAAAAAAAAAAAAAAAAAAAAAAAAAAAAATTAGCCGGACGTGGTGGTGGGCGTCTGTAGTCCTAGCTACTCGGGAGGCTGAGGCAGGAGAATGGCGTGAACCTGGGAGGCGGAGCTTGCAGTGAGCTGAGATGGCAATACCGCACTCCAGCCTAGGCGACAGAGAGAGACTGTCTCAAAAATAAAATAGAATAAAAAATAAAATGAAAACATCATAATTCCGGAAGTTGAAAGATCTTTTAATTGATGCTGACATAGGAAACAATCCTATAAAATATTTGCTTTTCTGATACTATCATCACTAAAACATGTAAAATCGTCATGGGTAACTGACCCTTGCAAATATTTTCTTTCATTTTTTGCCACTCTCCAATTTTTGTCTTCCTCAACTCCAAATTATGGAAGCAGTTTTCGAGGTCTTACAGATGCATTTCCTTCCAATCCAAAATAAGCCTTAATGATGTTAATGTCAGAAATTAGTTCCATAGCAACTATTATAGGAGCTTTCACATGCACACACATTTCTAGAGAAATGATGTTTGTAATTCACAATAGTACAAAGAAACTTAAACTAAACTTATCTTTTGCCTCTGGTACAAGAAATAGGAGTACTTCAAAGATCTCGAGGAAGTTTCTTAAGAGCTCTCCCTAGGTCAAATAAGTTGTATTATTTTGCTCCCAAGCTCATGTTATTTTAAAGCAAGATCCAGAGCCTGGAAGTGACACTAACTCTTCTATCAAAGTGATTTAAATGATCATACTTTCCGAAGATTAAAAAACTAGAATAATTTTGCCACTGTATTTTACAATTTCCTTTCTCACATATAAAATAATTTTATTATTCTAAGAAAACCTGCTGAGTTAATATGGGAGACATTTCCACTACAAGTACTAAAAAATCAGTCACCCTTACAGTTCATAGAAAGAAAATCAAATTCTATTTTAGTGAAGTTTTCATAACAGCCTTTTGGTAATAATGTTGAAGAATCATGATATATTTAAGAGATATTAATTCTAGTAATAGTCATTTATCTTTGATGTCAGAGAGAGACAAAGGCTTGGGAAATAGAAGATTTACGATGACATATTATAGACTTACTTGGTAGATGTTGGATTTTTTACTCTTCCTCTGAAACGACAGATAATGAAGCTTTATCAACTTCCTTTTATTAAGGCTAAAAATATATCCTATAATAGGATCATAAACATTTGATGAAAATCACAGCTGTACTGAATTTTAAAATTAGGTGAGGATGGGCAAGTAGTTCATAGAAAAGTAAATCAGCATAACTCTCATACACTATGAGTTTACAACCCAGCTTGTTTTAATTTAATATATCTCTGGCTCTGACCTCTTTCCTGTAGTCCAGATATATATTGCCAATTTCCTGAATGAATCTGGATGTCCAAAATGAGTTGATTTTCCTCCCAAGCACATCTGAGACATGTCAGTGGAGAAAGCTCAAATTTAAGAAGATAGAACAGGATGACTGATCTTCCCTTTATTCTTCCCATTGCTTTCTGGGAAGAAGATTAAAATTCTTATTGTTATATCTCTGCCTTAAGTTGTATTCCCCAGAAACAGACTCTCGGAAGATGACTCATGTGAACACGATTAATAGAAAATTTTCCCAGGAAAATCAGGGGCATGGGGTGTGTAGCAAGGAAATAGGACTAGTAAGGTAAGAAGGCTAAGGAGGGGTATATTATAAAGCAAAGTTTCATGGAGGGTAACTTTGTCTCTGTCCCATAGAGGATATCTCTAAACAGTGTGGATCACACCTCAGACTTATCCTGATCAAGCCACAATGGCTGAAATATTTAAACCCCTGAACCTATCAGTGATTGGATAAGAACTACTCCTGGAAGGATATAAGTCCCCAAATACTTCTACCACAGTGGAAAAAAGTAGATTCCGGCAGTCAGGGGCCATCCCTGCAATAAAAAGACACAGTGCTGTCAATGTGAGAATAAAAACACACGTGGAGACAGAGAGCCTGGGAATGTAAAAAATTCAAGCAAGCTATGGCAGTGCACTGACTGTCTGCTTTAATCTACATACTGGTCACAATGTAATCTTATTTTCCTAATACCTACCCCTTTATCACTTTCCATTTATTTACTCATTATTTTCTTCTCCTTTATTCCTTCTATGTGCATCCTGCAGGTGGGGTGAGGTCCTGGGACATCAATGTCTAGCAGTAGAGTGCCACCATAGGTTGGCACCAAGGTTGCAATTCCTTCCTTCCTCTCTGTTCTACTGCTTAATAAAGTCAGGAGATATACATCGTTGGCCAGCTCAGTATTTTAAAAACTTGAATATGAATGCCTTCAGATGAGGTCTTTTTTTTCTAGTTCACCAGAATCTCCTAACACTATCAGTTAGGATTTGATTCAACTGCATGTAACAAAAAACCCAAAGTAACAGTCATTCTCAATGTAGGGTTCACGGACCAGTAGTATCAGCATCATGTGGCAGTCAACAGGTACTACAGTTCTTTTAAGTCATGAAGAACCCAGTCATCTCTCAGCTTCATGGCATAAGAACGCTGCTTTAGCAGCATCCATCACCTCCCCATTCCAAGCAGCAGGTGTGGAGGAAGATGCAGGGGAGAAGATGCAAGGGACTCATGCAAGATGTTTTTTGTTTGTTTGTTTGTTTTTAAAGAGGATAACACTTTCCAATTGGTTCATTGTGCAGAACCAATAGTGTGCTGGAAACATTTGACAAATAGGCCTCCAATCTTCATTGTGTAAATATACCTGCTATGGCTGATTTCAAGCTACCAACTCAACTTCACTGAACAGTGATGGAGAGAGATGTGCACAAGTGACTCTCCCAGCCAAGCCAGCTCCAGCAAATCACTGTCCATGACTAACATATAGCCATCCCTAAATACATGGCAAGTTTCAAAAAGAAGGCATTATTCCAAGGAGTTATGTGCTCAGAGTAAAATTTGAGTATACATTGTTAAAGTTGAAAGGAGGAATGGCTATTGTGCAGACATTGGCTCTTTCTGCTGCAAGATTGCTGTCCTATAGCCAACTTACATTTGTTTGTATCCATCCTTCTTGGACTCTGTAGAAATATATCTTTGTCTGAGATAGCGCCAAAATTCTAGTCAAATGGCTTTCAAAGACAAATACAGTTGAACCTCAAACAACATGGGTTTGAACCGTGCAGGTCCACTTATACACACATTTTTTTTCCAACCAAATTAGGATTGAAAATACAGTATATGCAGAATGCAAATCCCACACATAACCAAGCACTGCCTTTTCATATACTTGGGTTTAGCCTGCTGATTGCAGGACTTGAATATGCAGATTTTGGTATATGCAGGGGGTCCTAGAACCAATCCCTGTGTGTTCTGAGTAACGACTGTAACTGCTCACAGAAATTGCTAGGCAATATATTATAGATGCCAAAATAGCTCAAAATACATTGCATGTGATCACACATGAAAAGCAGCAAATATCTGTAGATAGATGAAGCTTATTCACTAACTAAAAGGTCATATTTTTGCAGTAGGAAAAAATAGAATATTAAATTGCCCATTTTGTGATGCTGTGATGATTCATGTGGTGTGCTAAGAAGCACCAGCTCTGTTGACTGGCAGACCTGGTTCAAACCACAACTCTTCCACTTAGACTGTACAATGTATTCATATTCTTGAAACTTGTGTCCTCATATGTAAGTAAATAACTACTTAAGCAGAGGAAGAAACATAGTATTGGGTACATATTTAGTTCACATATATATATATATAGATAAATTGCTTATAAGAAGGAGCAGCACTAAAAAGGGATGCTCGATACAGTTGCATAGTAACTTTCCAAACTAAAGTTTACTGCTGTTCTGTATATTTGTGAGGTCAGAGTATGTTATGTTAAAGGGCTTTCACTAGCTCACTCTAGTTCAAGAATTTCCTCATAGAAAATGAAGCTATTAGAGCTCTCCTGCCTCTTCCTCCTCAGAACATTTTTACTAGTTAACACTTGGAGCAATTTGTAGTCCTCTTTCCTGCTACCTGTCTTAGTGATGGTGGTTCCAAATCTCACAATCTATCTGAATTTCATCTTTTTTCTATGACTGTGGCTAAATTACTTCTGTCGTGGTTATACTACTGGGCTCTAAATTCAGTCTAGCTGAATTTGAAGTCAACTCTGCCACCTACTATTTAAATTCCTCTAGAAACCTTACTTAATTTCTTTTGTGTCTGTGTGTTCCAACGAAACTGTACCCTTTTTCAAAAACAGCGTTATTGAGATATAACTCACCTACCATTCAATTCACCTACTGTAAAATTCACCTACCCCACAATTCTTTTAACATTGAAAGAGTACGATTCAGTCTTCAAATATATTCACAGAGTTTTGTAGATCTGACAATCTAATTGTAAAACATTTTTTCACCCCAAAGACAATCTATTAGTAGTCAATCCCCATTTCTTCCCTCAACCCTCCCAATTTTTGCAGCCCTAAGCAACCACAAATCTACCTTCTGTCTCTGTAAGTTTGCCTATTACATACACCATACAAATGGAATCATATAATGTTTGCCTATTACATATGTCGTACACATTGAATCATATGTGACTTTTGTGTCTGGCTTCTTTCACTCAGCATAACATTTTCATGTTTCATCCAAATAGTAGCATTATCAATACTTCACTTTTTAAATTACTGAGTAATAGTTGTTTTTTATTACTAAGTAATAGTTGTTTTTCTGTCTAGTTGTTCTATTATTGAAAGTAGAATTCAAGTTTCTAACTATTATTGTTGAATTTTCTATTTTGTCCCTTCCAACCTATCAGTTTGCTACATATAATTTGGAGCTCTGTTATTAGGTACACACACATATATATGTACACATACATATATGTACACATACATACATATGTACACATATATATCTACACATACATTTATATATATGTACACATACATATATATATATATACACATACATATATATATATATACACACATACATATATTATATATATCCTTCTGATAGATTGGCCCTTTTATTATTTAGTGACAGTTTTTATGTCTAGTAAAATTTTTTGTTTTAAAGTCTATTTTCTCCAATATTGGCATAGCCACTCCAGCTCTTTTATGACTGCTATTTGCATGGAGTATCTTTCTCCATCCTTTTACCTTCAACCCATTTTTTAATCTTTGAATCTAAATGGTGTCTCCTGTAGACAACATATAATTTGATCTTGGTTTTGTTTTGTTTCTTTAAATCATAGCTCTACAAGTGATTACAGGGGCAGATGGTGGCTTCCCCTTGTCTTCTTGGTTTGATCTTCTCAATATGGAACTTCAACCCTATGAGTGAGCTGAGCCTGGGGAGGGGTATGCAATCAAGGCCTCGGTATGTCTATGTGTGTGTGGGTTAGGGCTTCTATGTCTAGTGTGCCTGGGTTAGAGCTTCTGCCCTACAGGTGGGGCCTGCATGGGGAGTAGACCCTCAGTCCACTCAGCCACACCTGCTTTTACAACATGAAGTTGAAAGGAATGAGAACTTCTGGTAGCCTACTCCTCATGGGAAGATATTGTAGCCCTGGACAGGGAGTTGGAGAAATAGGGAGTTCCTGTATTAGGTGCATATGCTGAGGTAGAGCTTCCACAACACCAAGCTGAATAATGAAGGAAGTCACAGTTCAAATGCCACATACTCTTATTGTTCTTACTTAGATTTAGTGCATTTTCTTAAATGAATATTTCTACATTTTTTGTATGTCTGTAAAACAATTTCCGGATATTTAAATGAATGCTTTTTATACTCTTCAGCAGTTAAACTGTTTCATGGTGAGACTTTCTTCCCTTATTGTGGAGATCCTGCTCTCTAACCTCTTTAAGCATCACTTTTCTCATCTGTAGCATTTAGCTGATAATAATATTGGTTATATGAAGATTAACTGATATGATGCTATAAATAATCAGAATATGCCACTCCAATCTATAAAATTTTGGCATAATAATTATTTTGAGCTGAAGGCAATTAAGAAAAGGCAACAGAAAAGCACTCTGCCCTTCCCCTACTTGCCTAAAATCTGAGTATATGTCTCCCTTGGGAAGGTGTCTCCTTCTCTCATACTAGGAAAGAAAGAACAATTTTATCACCAGAGATGGAAACAGAAACAAGAAAAATTTGCATAAACAAAATCTTATTAAATAGCCTTTGTCTTCCATTAATTTCTGCTATATATTTACTGCCTGTAAAAGTCCAAATTTATTTTCCTTTGTTTTATCACTTCTTCATAATTTATTGACTTTTGTTAGGATATTATGTAATCCTTTCCATTTCAACCACTTATTTGATCATTATTTCTTTCTATGAAGGCCTCTATGCATATCAAAATTAAAATGCTAACATCAAATAAAATTTGTATGCCTTCTCTCCTGTTAATCTGTGTTTTGTCAGATAAAATTAACGAGTCTCAGCTGCTTAATATTCTTCCTCTATTTTAACAAAATTATCTATCAATACTGTTTTTATTTACCAAAGAATCAACAGCAATGTATTACAGAATAGAAAAAAATAGAAGATCTGCTCCTCAAGCTATAGAATGTTCTATGTGTGTATATACTTGAATTTTAATTTCAGTTCTGTTTCAGGAACTCCTAATGAAATTTTGAATACTCTGTTTTACTGCACAAAATCACTCCATATTTGGTCTTGTTTTTTAACTTCACATTGTACAAAATGATCAAATATGGAACTTATTCTAATAAAGAAGCAGCTTTCTCAAGGGACAGTACTGTTTTCTTTATGTGAAAGGTAATAGAGAAAATAGTCTTGAAACAAATTCCTGGCACACGATTGAACTATATGCATCAACATATGTGACATCGAGACAAAATGTTCTACAACCAGGAGGTAGTTCCATCTCGCTTCTTGGAATGCTAAAACTCTATTTGACCCTGGAACGAGATGGAATGGAAAACAACCAGTTATTTTTTTAAAAAAAGATTCACATTGTAGCTTCTCGTGACTCATTTAGCAATTGAACTTGACCAAACTGGTTCTGGCTGTTCCTTTTTTTGCATTAGCAAATCACATCCAAAGTAAGCTGGTCTTGAGTTCTTTACTAGACTAAACTTGTTATTTTTAGTTATCTAAATGAATTTGTACTCATTCATCTGCAATTTCTTGCACAAACAACTTATATATGTTTGTAACAATACAATCTGAGCTAGAATGAGTTAGAAACATTCCATAAGAACTTTATGAAAATTATTTTTGTAGATGTACTCTCAACTTTTAAAACAATTTTCATGATGTTTTTGAGAAAATCTGTTTAAAAATCCTTCACCAATTTTACTGTGTTTGATACATAATTTATCTGACTTTAAACCATTTGCTCTTATTTCTATGCAAATAATAGTGGAAGAGGTATTGTATTAAGCTATGGTGAGTTGTGAACAATTTAGTTTATTGTATTATTTCCAATCATGCAATTGTTCAGAGAAGTCTTTGCTCAATTAAGGAAGTGATTAAGAGCAAAGGAAATTGAGAATAGTAGTCAATGGACTGGTCTTTCAATATAGGATAAATGGCATCATGGAAGATTATATAGACTCCAAAAAGAAAAGTAGGAATTTACCCTCTCACAACTGTCTTAGTTCAGGATGCTATAACATCCTCCACTCTCCACCAAATTCATATGTTGGAATTTCAACATATGAATTTGGTGGAGAGGGGAGGGCACAAACATTCAGTTCATAACAACAACTGTCCCTATATCAATATAGAATCTCAGCTATACCACATTAAAGTTTTGAAGTATATAAAGTATTTGAAGATATATCAAAATACCTCACTAATGTGTACGTCCAAAAAGCCTCTATGATAGTTTTTCAGGGGCATTGATGCAGTGCGATTTAAAGAGAACCTGACAGTTCTTTAAAGCTTCAAAACAAACATGAATAAAATGAGTAGCATCGAAGAACCTAGTATAAGACGTAGGATTATTTTTCAACGGTACCTTCATAGGTCAACAAACACACATAGGTCAACAAACACGCATCATTTATTTATTCTAGTTATGTCCCCATTTTTATTTCTAACACTGGTTATTTGTACCTCCTGTTTTTTGTTCTTAATAAACTTTGCCAGTCTCAACTAGTTTTTTGTTGTTGTTGTTAATCTTCATTTTTTATCATTCAATTCATCAGTTTGTACATTTGTACACTGTTTTCCACTTTCTTGATTTTATTCTACTGCTTTAAATCTAACTTTCTAAGTTCAATGCTTAACTCATATTTTTCTGTCTTGTTTTCTCTTAGATACGTATAATGAGCTAAAAATGTCTCATTAAGAAATTCTATAATGGGATCCCACAAATTTCTAGTGTAATGTATTCACTGAAATTCAATTCTAATGTCATAATTTACATTACTATTTCTTCTTTGATCCAAAGTTGTTTATAATTTAATTTTTTAGTTTGCCAAGATAAGAGTAAGATCTTTCTTTCCTTACTTATTTTATTTATTGGTTGCATTTTGGTCTAGAAAATCATTCTACATCATATCGATTTTTTATTATATATAGAGATTTCCCCTGAGGGTGATGGGTAGATTATTTTTGTAAATATTCTATATGCACTTGAAAGAATATGTATTCTCTATTTCTTTTGAGAGCCTATAGATTGACCATTAGAATAAGCTTTTAAGTGTGTTATTTAAAATTTCCTAATCATTACCACTTTTGTTTAGCATAATTTATTGATTTTGAGCAAGGTGTTAAGTTATCCAATTGTATTTTTTTCATATAAACCTGTCCATTTTTACTTTATATATTTTGAACCAACATTGTTATATGCCTACAGACTGAGAAATATTTTATATTTCTGGTGATTTGAAAGTTATTATAATTACCGGAGTCTCTGTGAATCTGCTGTGATTCTGGAATCTTCATTGCTCAATTAAACTCCTTTAAATTAATTTGGCTGAAGTTTTTTTTTTTTTTTTTTATCAGAGGGTGTCAGAAGCGGGATCTGAAGTGGAGCTTCTAGCGACCCCAGGAGCCCTGAGTGAATATGCAAGGCACCTGCAGGACCCACTGGTGTCCATTGATCTCTCAGAGCGCTGGAGATCGTGGGTAAGCTCCCTCGTGGATTTCGCAGCTCCACGGATTCCTGTTTTGAGCTCTCCGAGTTTCTTTAAGCAAATTTCTGATCCAAACTGGGTTTGGAGTAACGACAGAAACTGGACTGGATCCAGGAATGGATTTGATTTGGGAATTAACTGGCTTGGATCCAGTTAGAAGCCTCTTACGTCTGACTGGGTCAGAAAGGAGTTGGTAGTAAGCAGCAATATTGCAGGGATTATAACATTTGTCTTTTGAAAATTCACAGGGATTTTTGAGTTCTACCCCTTTGTTTCATTTTTCTTGCACGCTTAGGTAGGAAAAATAATTGGCTAAGTTAATTGAGAGAACCTGAGAGTAAAGCCAGTATTTCAGGTAAAAATGAGACCCTTAATTTCTGGAAAACTGAGTTCCTTCTGGCTTATACATTAGGCCTGGGAGGCAGTGAAGTCTTACAGAAACAGCAAAATCCTACTGAAGATAACTTACTGTGGAACATTCCAAATTAACAACAACGCATTAAAGTACATTTAAAAAATGAGGGCGCTCGGTAAAGTCCCTTTTGGCTAAGAATGAGTTTGGCACTACAGCATGTCAACTGCTATTCTGTTTGGAATAATCTGCCTTGCACTCTTTGCTGTCAGCTGTGGGTGACGGGATTAGGCATGTACAGGATCATGGGACATGGGGAGCTTTTTCATCCCTAAAAGGGGAAATCTGAGAGATGATGGGACTGCTGGAAAAGATCCCTTTGCTACCCAGAAGCAACCGCCTGAACTTTTCAGGGTCGCTGCAATGGGTGGGTCTTTCTTTGGCCTCCCTGATCATTTCGCCTTCCCCACCCTGCCACAGGTAATGCTTTTCTCTCTCACCTTTCCCTTTCTTAACTTTTCTATTACTTAGGGCAATCATCTTGTGTAGACACCACGTGTTGAAGCTCCTTGTCAGAGGTTGGGTTAACAATGATGGGGCCTAACTAGGGGCAAATTTAAGCCTTGCCAGTTTGATATTGGGTGCTAAGGAGAGTGGCTAATGTCTATGTTTTATCACACATATTTTACTCTGGCCAGAAGAAAAAGTTAATTTTCCTTTATGATGCGGTTGGCTCCAGCACGATAGTGTGGCAAGCTGAGTCACTGGGGCCGCTCGGGGAAAGGGAACCCAGAAGCCTGGCATGCCGGCAAAAGGGTAGGAATTTCTTGCCAGTCAGATTCTGGCTTCTCTCTCTGTGTGCAAATGGTTGAATGAATGGTAAAAATCACTGTTTATCTCTTCTGTAAAGTTTTGATTAATGCAAAAAGTAATTCTGAGGCGAGCCTTAAACTGATGTATTTGTGTTCTTTTTTCTGGGTCGAGGGGTACCTCAGGATAAAACATGGGCTTAGGACCACATAAGCTCACTGATCAATTTGGCACAGCAAGCTGGTCAATAATAAACTTTCCTGCAGGTCCCTGAAACAAACCAAAAAAACTGGATGGGGTCTCCATCTTGTTTTATGTCCTTGAGAACGTAACCTTGTAACCATGTGGCAGTATTTTCTCCTGGTCTCCACCTTCCATAGCACAGGAATTTTTGGGTTTATGTCATAGTTAGCTGTAAAAATTATCTTGAGTAGTTAAAAGCCTTCGCAAGCTCAAAATTAACTACTCTAGACTCCTTCTGGGAAAGACAATAGATATAACCCTGTGCTATAGCTCAGTAGCTATGATTTTGGCCTTGTACACTGGTGGTCCAGGTTTGGTTCCCTGCTTAGGAAGCAAGTCCATTTTGGTTTAATATCTGCATAGCCTTGTCTAGTCTCTTCTCCTCCACAGACTATCTTAAATTTTCCTTTCTCTGAGCACCTGGAAGGTTACATTTGGTAAAGTTCAAAAGCCAGAAATATCAGCTGTTTGGCCTGGCTAAAATCAGGTAATAAGAAATTTTGAAAGGACTTCATTAAAGAGTGCTATGGTTAAAAGTCAGCTTAATGAAAAGTGAATATTCAAGCTCTAACTTCCTGGAAGAACAGGAGGCAGCAGAAACCCCTTTCCTGGCCCTGTTCTTCCAAGGGCTCCACCCAAAAGCCAATAACCAATTAAGAAACTTAAAAATTGGCAAATGAAAAACCTTACAATTACTGTACTAATCTTCTTCTGTCTGTCTGGGTAACTATATATGTGTTGTGTGTAATGTTTATATAAAATAGCTCTAATTAATGAATTGACTTAAACAAAAATAAGCACTTAAATAAAATATCTTGCAAGCAAAATAAAACTGTAATGCCTTTTAGTTCATGTAACTTTAGTAATTTTGGGGAAATAAAAACAGATTTAAAGATTATTGATAAAATAAAGACATTTTTATCTAAATTATGCAGGTCAGATATGAGGTTTGCTAAATGCTCTAAGGTCATAAACTGCTTCAACTTTTGAAAATTGTTCAATTTATTTTGGAGACATTAAATTCTAAATAAGTCCTGGGGATATATGGAATTAGCCATGGCCCTAGCTATACAAAGAAGGTTATAAAGAAAAGAGATACTATATAAGAAAGGATGTTGTATGGTAAATTCTTGTCCTAAAGTAAAATGACTGATTGTTTAAGAAGAGGGATGTTTAGAGCAAGTCAGAAAGTCTAAACATGTCATACATTGTCTGTGTAAGTTATGAAAGAATTTATTAAAAGAAATGTATCCCAGAAATGTCGTACAAGTTAAAGGTGATTATGCTAAATGCTTCATAGAATGCCACTGTGACTCTTAACTATACAGCTTGCCTGTTTTACAGCTAGGTAAGGCCTGCAACACGTGGAGTTAGATGCTGGAAAGAGTCAGACCTTATCTGCATTTCTGCCTGGGTCCTAGGCTCCACACCTAGTACATAATAAAAATCCCTTATTTACCAAAGTTTTCACCAAAAGTAAAAGTCACTAAGAGTTAACATTGTAACATGTAATTGAGGCTACTGAAAAAATAAGTTTACATGCAAGGTGTGTAAGGAGAATGAACTGTGTTTTTTGTAAGAGATTATAAGAAAGTACAGAAATGTAAATGTTTGCCTGGGTTAGAGAGTTAAAGGATTGTTTTAAATTAAATAAAGTTTGAACAAGTTGTGGATGGCTTATAAAAATTAATTATAAGAGATTCTGTGTATGAACATTTTGGCTAAAGTTAAAATGGCATTATTCAGGTTTTTTCCCATAAATTGGAAATTGGAATAGAAGCACAACAGAGTTTTCTTAGAACATTGCTCTGCTCTGAGAAAAAAATTGTAAAGGGTTATAAAAGGTTTATAAAAATCTTACCTTATGGTCAAACGAATTAAAACTGAATAGATTTATAAAATGTTATTTAAAAACTAGCTTTAACATGAAAAATACACTAAATGGAAACACAAAATTTGGTTTTCTCTTTTAAAAAGGATTTGTATGTCATATTAAAAGATAATGAAAGATTTTTGTTTACCTTTTAAGTAAACTACAAAAGAAAAAGGGGGAAAGGGAAAGAAAGGAGACAGAGTCAGTTGGCTTCGTGCTATCTCCACTTGGTCTTATTTGGAAAGCTGAGTCTCCTCTCTATCTGAATAATGTTTTCTCCTTTTAAAAGTTTTCAAGTTATCATTTTGGTTAAATGAATGACTTTTGGTAACCTAAGATTATATTTTGTAATATCCAATGTTTTATACTTTTGGTATTTAACAAACCTTTCAAAATCAAGCTCTAGATTATCATGCTAAATCAGCCAATACTAAAATTGTTTAAATATACAATTTGAAGGAAGTTCATGGCCTGTCAAATTACCTGCAATAACCCATTAGTTAGCAGTGCTATGCACCTAAATTGGAGAAGCAACTGGTATTCAAGAGGATATAAGTCCAGTGTTAAGCATGGACTCATGAAGAATGAGGATGGCTGCCTTGTCCTTCCTGAGTCCTTAAAACTTTTGTTATTAAAGGTTCTACATTCCATGACCTGTCATGGAAAAGATAAAATAATCCAAATTGAATATATTGATGTGGTGACTTATAAATTGCAGAGATGGTTTAAAGCCAATGTTTGGTTCCATATTCCTGGGAAGACAATCAAAGCTTCAGGTACATTTAGCTATCTCATGGGCCATTTTAACATTTATAAAGGGATTTCATTCAATTATCATTTTCAGTGCATGTTTTCTGGTTGTATGAAAGCTTTCTCATGCAAGAGGGCTGATGTTATAACAGTAGATTATTATGATACAGTGTATTTTCACCAGGTAAAGAAAGCTTTCTATGGTACACTGAGGACAGTCCTTTCACAATCTATAACCCAAAAATTGGATCTTCTGAGAACATCAGAGAAAGACTGTCCTTGCCGCCCACACTACAGCAAAACTTTGGAGTTTTGAACCTTGGGTTCATAATCTCACAACTGAGGAGCGTCCCTCCACACTCCTGGAACTGTAAACCCATTGGAACCCCTAAGTTAAAACTAACCAGGAAAGTTTTTACCCAGAAGAAGATGGCATCCTTGATGTGAACAGCTTTTCCCAACATCACGGATCAAAACTTGTACTATCACAAGACTCTTATCTTTGAATATTTTTTCCTTGTTTATGTGTCTATGAACGATAGAAATGAAAAGGGGGTCTATTATGTGCACTTATAGGGCATACTTTTATTTGTGAAGAATTTTGCAGACAGCCTTATACATAAATAAACATATATATAAAAAACACTTACATTTAAGTTTATTCATGAATATATAAAGTTTATTCATATATATATATATATATATATATATATATATATATATATAAATTTTTTTTTCTTTTTTTGAGATGGAGCCTTGCTCTGTCACCCAGACTGGAGTGCAGCAGCATGATCTCAGCTCACTGCAAGCTCCGTCACCCGGGTTCAAGCGATTCTCCTGCCTCAGCCTCCCAAGTAGCTGGGACTACAGACACACACCACCACGCCCAGCTAATTTTTGTATTTTTAGTAAAGACAGGATTTCACCATGTTGGCTAGGATGGTCTTGATCTCTTGACCTCATGATCTGCCCACCTTGGCCTCCCAAAGTGTTGGGATTACAGACCTGAGCTACCATGCCTGGCTTAAACTTATATTTTAATAGATAAAGGATGAAGGCCCAATATGGGTGAGAAACAGGTGGCACAAGCATTGCCTCATAATCAGTCAAAAATCCTCTCAACCCACATCATGGATTAAAGAGAACATTGTCAGGAGGCCTTCACTCTTCTAAAGTACATCATTTGTTAGGTCCTTTTTCCATCGTTTAGAATAAAGGACGCAATAATAAGAAATGTCACCCTCACAATAGGTTCTACAGCAAATTCTACTTTAAAGGCTATAGATACACAATAGACTTTAAATTATCTTGTGAGAGTTATGCTAAATAATAGAATTGGCTAAACAGAAAAGTATCTGCGCAGCTGCTGACACTTGTGGCCTATGGAGAAATACATCAAATGTAGATGATAAAAATTCAGTTGAAGGGGATTAATGAAAAGAGCACTTAATCAAGTGAGTAGACTCTTCATCTGGCTCATTCTTTAATCTATTTAATTTTATATGGTTTGGTTTATGGGGAACCTGGCTAAGGAGCATACTCCAAACTCTTGGTATTATCCTCCCAATAGTCATAATAGTCTCCCTGGTGCGCTTTATTCTCTCAAAGGTTTTAAATGTTTGCATGCAGCCATCTGTAGAACGTCAAATGGTCTCCAACTGGAACAACAAAAGCTGAAAGAAAAGTGTGATCACAAATACACCATAACCTATGAATAATGTGCTGAGACTGGAAATCCAAAATGATGGTAACTGAGAGTGGGGCTAAGGCCCTAAATTTTGGTCAGACTTTCATCTGAGAACGTGGCCAAAAAGGGGGAATTTTTTAAAAAACAAAATTATGGGAGGCCTTTAATTTGGACTGAGCTCATGCACTAGTTCCCAACAAACTAAACAAAACTAAAATGGAGTCACTCATGCTAAATGTGATATTAATCAAACTAAGACTTTAAGAAAACACATAGATCCTAGAATAGACCAGGTTTTGTTTTTCTTTTCCTGTAAACAGAATGTTGCAGCGTAAGGAGCTACTCTCTACTCAGTCCTTATTCTCTCCTTGCAAAACCCACTGTTCTACTGTTTCCCAGTGAGTTTCAAAACCATGTAAGTACATTTACAATAGTGATAGTAACATCAATGACTAAAGTTTCAGTCAGTCTCTCAAAATTGAGAAAATGACCAAAAGGGGGGAATTGTTAAAGCAAACTAAATATGACCTGAAAAGGACTCCGTACTTCTATATTTGAGTCCTTGTCGATGTACTGTAAACTAGCTTAACAGTCAGACAAAATTGAAAACCTAAGTTAATAGTATGCACCTGTAACAATGGCTGAGTGTTGGCCACCAGCGGCCATACTTCAACCACTCATAGACTGCTGAATGCTCAACCTGCATTCAAATAAGGCAAACGCTGAGCTGTAACCAATCTCACTATTTCTGTACCTCACTTCCGATTCCTGTACATCACTTTACCTTTTCTGTCTATAAATTTGTTCTGACTATGAGGCACACCTGGAGTCTTCGTGAATCTGTTGTGTTTCAAGGGCTGCCCAATTTGCAAATCATTCATCGCTCAATTAAACTCCCTTAAATTATAAAAAAAGAAAGTTATTATAATTACATACCCTATTAACCCTAATAATTTCTTTTCTTAAGGTCTGTTTTCTCTGATATTAATATACCTGTGCCAGATTGTTTTTGATAATTACTTTGTGGTATCTCCTTTTCTATTCCTATACAATTATATTTTAAGTGAATGGTTTATGCAGTCAAAGTTTAAGTGTCTCTCTTATAAATATCATGAATATAGCTGGGCTTTCATGAAACTCTAGGTTGAGAATCTGTCATTTAGTGAAAAAATTTTACCAGCATACATTATCATGGTGCTATCCAGTGTATTTGGATTTATTTCTAATATATTATTTGAACTTTCCATTTACCATGCATTTTTGTGCCTCTTTTTTCCACCCTTCTTGCTTTCCAGTAGGCTGATAATTTTTATTTCTTCTTTTTTTACTCCACTTATTGTTTAGACGTGTATTCGTTCATTCTCATGCTGCTAATAAAGATATACCCAAGACTGAGTAACTTATAAAGAAAAGAGGTTTAATTGACTCACACTTCTGGGGAGGACTCAGGAAACTTACAATAATGGCAGAAGGGGAAGCAAATATGTCCTTCTTCACATGGCAGCTGCAAGAAGAAAGAGTGCCCAGCAAAGGGGTAGGCCCCTTATCAAACCATCAGATCTTGTGAGAACTCACTATCACAAGAACAAGATGGGGCAAACTGCCCCGATGATTCAATTATCTCCACCTGATCCCTCCCAAGACGTGGGAATTATGGGAACTACAATTGAAGATCAGATTTGGGTGGGGACACAGCCAAACCATATCAAGAGGTATATTATTTTTCTATACTTTTAATGTTTATTCTTAATATATAACACGTTTACTTGCTTAATAATGTTTAAAGGTAATCATTATACAGAGGGGATACTTAGTTCGTTTTTATTATTTCAAGCAATAGATTATTAGGTAGTTCTATATGTACTACACTTAAGCAGTCCTATATGTTCTGATACAGAACAATCTCTAATTATGGAGTTCAATAAGAAAATTCAAGGAACATTTGTGTGTGTGTGTAATATGTTACTTTTTTGCATAGATATATATACACACACATAACTATATGTGGAAATAAATGTATAGGAACAAAATATCTCTCTAAAAGTACACCTATGAAACTGGTAGCAGTGTTTCATTGGGAACAGTGTTTGCTTCTGGAGGGAAGAAATATGTGCATATGGGACCAGTGTAAGAAGGAAAATGCTTCTCACTGAATACCCTCTGTACACATTGAATTTTGTATAACATACATATATTACATTTACAAAAAAGGCAATAATAATTTTTTACGAGTTAATATTTCTTCTCCAGAATAATTCGGGGGACTTAAAATGTTTTAAGCTCAATTTTTCTTACTTTTACATCCTTCTTAGTATCTAATGTATCAGTTAGAGATTGCTGCTTATCTGCAAATCACAAAATCCCAGGAGCATTCAACAAGAAGCAATCATTTATCACTTTTTGGCTCAGCTGGGCTAGGCTAGACATGGCTGGACTGAACATTGGGTCCAAACTCTGCAATGGGTCCAGGTCTGTTTCCAATATCTCTCATCTTCCTTGAACTAGTGGTTACCTGAATCATACTCTTATTGCAGAAAGCTGAAGAGTAAGAACAAACGCAACAGATATGCACATTTCAAGCTTTTTTTCTCTCAGTACTTCTGTTAACATCCCATTGACCAAAGCAAGTTACAAATTCAAGTCCAATATTTATGAGTCAGAGAACTATATTCCTCCCATGGCTATGAAGGGTGGAGAGTGAGTGAATACTTGCTGAATAATAATCAAATCTATCACACCTGGTATTATAGCTCTTCTTTGCTTTGAAATATCCCCCAAATTAGTCTCTTTTCAACACTTGATATTTACTTTGATTTTTCTAAATCTTTACCAATCTATTTGCCCAGGATTGCTCCTTGCATTCTATTTTTTTTTTTACTTTATTCAATTTCCTTCTTAGTAAAATAAATATTTTAGTACAAAGCCTTTTCCTTGAATCCTTGAGTATTAAACTCTCACTGTATTTGTCTAGAACTATGTCTTGAATGATTACTTAGCTACAAAGCAGAAATGGCTAGAACTTAGACTTAAATAATTAGGTAGGTAGTTAATAGTACTAAAACATAACTTGAATTCATAACACTGCCAACTTCTTTGTGCGAAAGTTAGACGTAGGGAATGAATGAACCCTAGAACATGAAATAAACACATCTTGGTGTACTCAGACAAATCTGGGAACTTGAACCCTGTCAAATTTCTCCGAACCTCCCTTCCCAGCAGAAACACTCACTTCTCTCCTGTCTGAGAAGACAACCATTATTTTGTTTCTAGGCTTTAGTAACATCACTAGAGTAGTTACTTTGCAAAATAAAGCCCATTCTTCTCAACACTTACCTTCCAATAGTCTTCATTGCCTCCAGACCTATAACTAGAGGCAAATCCAAGCATGCCCCAGGGGAAAGTACAAAGTGTAACCACACCTAATAATGTCTGAAATTTTGCTAATTTATATTAACGAAGTTCTGAGGAATACAAATTCTAACAATGTCAGGCAAATGAAATGAAACAAAACACTGGACCAGACCGAAGTTATCAGTATAATTTATGTCTCAGAAATTCTGAGTGTAATGTACAAGCTTCAACAGCAGATTCTAAAAGTCAGATTTTTTTAATTTTTAATTTTAATTTTAATTTTTGCTTAACTGAAACTTGGATCCTTGACAGATTATGGTTAATGAGGGTGAGATTCTAGAACTTTTCTTTCATAATATAGAGGAAATAATTGAAAAGCTTAGGAAGATGGGATGTGGAAGTACATATGTTGTATGTGTCTTGCATACCCACCTTTCCGTGATTTCTCACAGGAGGGCCCAGAGCATGCTCCCTTCTTTAAGACATTGAGAAATGCAAGAGAGGAGATCAGTGGCATCTTTGAATAGCTCTGTAAAATCTGGCCTATGGAGGCCTTGGAAAATGGTGTAAATGCCATCACTGTAATGTACTTCCTGATTTCAAAGGGTATAGTGGGATCTCGAAGTGCCAGATAGGTACAAATGCCTCAGAGAAAGCAAAGATACAGATTGGGTGGCCAACACCAGACATGCATCTTATATTTCAAGACCCCTGAGAGTTTTCTTAACAAGGTACCATGACCCCAATACACACACACAGTCTGATTCTCGCTATTAAGATGGCATTCTTGACCCTGTTACTGATGTGAAAAATACCTCAAAGGAAATATTGAGACAATTTGGCAACTTGTAATAAGATCTTAAGTGGTACCCTCTCTGTTGCCCCAAAACTGGTAACGAGGACCCAAAATTTAGGGGAAAAAAGCCTTAAGTAACCTTATTCTCTAAATATCATAGCAATAATTGAGTCCATTGTAAGAACTAGATACCCATTTTGAAGATAAGAGGCAGCTGAACCAGCAATCCTCTCTCTTCTCCCCAACTGTTATCCCTGCTGCATCCTGCCTCATGATCTGTATAAACAGAAAACACAGGAGGATTGAAGCGTGGTGGCTTTCATGTATCCTCCCCCACCATAGGTGGAAGAAGACAGTGGGATGGGAGGGGCGTTTACCTTCCCAAAGGCCAACAAGAGAGGAATTCAAGAAAAATCACTCATGCAAAATTAGAAATACTTGCTGGAAGTAGAAAGTGACATCTTAACCAGTTTAGTCAATGGATTTGTTGTTTTTCCCTGAGCCTACCAGAATCAAGAAAAAATATTATTGGAAAATAATAATAATAGGTTAGAGACAAGGAGGCAACATATCAGCCAGCTTTTCATTTCATTTCTTTTCTTTTCTTTTTTCTTTTTTTTTTTTAACTGTTTTTCATGGCAGGGATGCCTAAATTTCCTGAATCAAGAAACACAAATAGAAGATAGCCAGGTTCGAACTATCTTACTGGTGTATAAGAAAACCTGCCAGATGGGGGGACTATTAGCTGAAAGCGGTCATAGGGGATAAACATGGGCACTGATCAATGTCAGTGCAAGGAGCTCCAGAAGGATGGAAACTTCTCCAAATGTCATTAACACTTAGCAAAGTTTTGACCATTAGTTGAAAGCAGTGATTCAAAAAGAAAACTTTTTTCTTTTTTTAATGTTTGTGCCAAATTGACTTCAGAAGCTTCTGCTAATACATTGTAAGTCTATAGAATGTTGAAAGTGAGTGAGATAGAAAAGAAGTAAAGAAGAGTCTGAGTATTCATATTTGAGTGATTTGGAGAATGATGATTCTCCTGACCAAAGGAGAGGGAGGGAGAGGCCTACTTAGGAGGGGACTGGAAAAAGTTGGGTTTTAGACATTTGACTTCAAGGAGTGCTGAGATATCTCCTAGTGGAAATATCCAGAAAGTAATTGGAAATGTACTTTTAAAAGGGGTAAAAAAGAGGTCAAGAAGGACAGATATGGTAGACATTCAGAAAGAGATGATCACCAAAAATATAAAAGAGAATAAAATCTTCATGGTAAGGTGCTCATTAAGCACACACAGACATCTCTCCAAGTCATAATACAGGGTTCCTTTTGTCTCCTTTAGGACATAACAGAAAATTAAAATATTTAAATAATGCATTAATGATGGAAAAATCAAAACAGAGTGGCCTGTACCCTTTAGCTATTCTGATTACTTCATTAATGAAACAATAAACTATTAATGTTTGATGATGGGTATTGTGTTCATAATAAAATCTCCCGCTTGTTATGAAAAGGACATGCCTTTCTTTTCAAGAAAGCCAAACTTTGTTGAAAGATCCTGTCACTTGATAACTCCAGTTTTGCTATTTAAACAGCCTGGATTTGTCCTTAATGACCAGACAAAGGTCTATCACTGTAAAATTAGGCAAGTCAAACTTTTAACTTTTGGAAAGTTCAAGTTAACTTCCCGAGAACCATGCTTCACAGGACTGAGGGGACAAAATGGATAAGGGCCTAATTTCCTAGACATATAATTTCTCTCCACCAAAGATGTTGTATTTATTTTCTTCTGTAAATTTGGCTTATATGACTTGAACTTCATTCATAAAAACTAAAAAAGATTAGGGTGTCCATTCCAAACAGGACAAGTGTGTGCATCTGGATGTTCATGAGATTTAACAAAGCATGCCCTAATGTGAATAAAGAAAAAAAAATCATCTTTAGTCTGAAAGCATGGGTGTTTTCCCCCCTGTGGCACTTTATGACACTTGGCAGCTCATTATCACACTTCACAGAGTCTCGTGTCAGCGTGTCAGATTTCTCTAAATTTTGACAGAATTAAAGTAGTGCCGTTTGATATAATTGATATTGTACAGTTAATCAGGCAGTGGCTCCATCACAGAGTAACATTCTCAAAAGGCTTAATTACTGAACTGTGAAGATTTACTGCCATCTGGAAGTTCCTTCCCAAAGTTCTGTTCCTGAATTTTATGTAGAGTTCACAAAAATAACTTGGTCCATTTAGAAATCATGCCCTCGATTTGGAAATTAAAATTGTTATTTTTGGAATCTCATTTGGCCTAGAGATCATAGAAGCCTTATGAAAAATAAAGGAGCAATGGCAAATGAGAAAAAAGGAAAGAAAAGTGGAAGCTCTGGAAATTATTTTCTTTATGTAACGTTTAAAAGGGCAGACACTGGAGCCAGATGGCTTGATTTCAAACCCCATTTCTGCTACTTACTAATCATGTGACCTTGGGCAAGTTAGTTAAACTGTCTGTAAAATAAGGATATGAATAGTGCCTACATGATAGCATTAGAGTCACAATTAAACGTATTAACAATTGAAAAGTAATCAGAACTGTGCCTGGCACGCTGTAAGAGCAATGTTAAGTGTTTGCTGTCATTATTATTAAGGCTTTTAAATTACTTTGTCCTCAAGATTGTTCTCACTTTAAGAGACAAACATATCATTTGAAAAACTTCTCCTGAGATAGTAAACTTCTTGTGACTGAAGACTAATAAATTAAGTGTAAAGCAGCACCATCATTTGTCAGGAATCTTATAGCTGGGGTTTCTTTTGAGTAAAAGGTTGAATTGGATTCCCTCTAAATTCATCCTAATCTAAGAGTTTTTGATTTTATAGACTCTGTAAAATCAATTATAAGAAATAAGGTAACTGATAAGAAATTTCAGAAATAGAGGCTTTAATCCAGAAGAAACATTTATTCATCATCTTCTATTCTGTGAATCAATACCTATAAAGAAGGAGGAGGAGGGGGGAGGAAAAGGAGGAGGAAGAGAGAAGAGGAAGGAGAAAAAAAGGAAGAATCAGTGTTATGATGGGAGTTCTCTATTGGTAGGAAGGTAGAAATAATCCCTAGAGAGGAAATGATGTCTTTTATAGCCTGAGTAGAACCCCAGTAGAATATAGTGAGACATACAGAAAAAAAGAAAAGATAAAAAGAGGTATATAAAATTTATTCATTCCCAATAATGAGGAAAATATTGATTTAGACAAAAAAGAATTGGTTTTATAAAATCAGGTCATATATTGACAATATCGCCAGATTTGTCCATTTAAAATGCACTGTGAATATTTTGGTATCATTATATATTCTTCTATTGTATTATTATTATTATTTTGGTTAGGGATTCATAGTGTTTCATTGAACAGACATACCACAACTTATTTAACAAATCCTGAATTGATGAAAATTTGCATCATTTTTATTAGTTTAGTGAGATGAATGTTCTTATGACTATAATACCGGACACCTTTTAAGTACTCCTTTAGATCCTCTTGACCTTACATGTCTTTATTTCAGACACTTTGTGACAATCAATACTGCAAAAGCTCTGACCAGCTTCTTGGCTCAGGCACCTATGATTAACCTCTTTCCCCTCATCCCAGGAATTCTCCATTGACTCAAAGACATTAGATTCTAGGGAACCAGTAGGTGTCCACAGCCCATGGGGTGGAACTTTGACCAATGGGAATGAAAACTGAGCGATACATGCTTATTACCTTTCTCTCCTGGGATGGACAGACCTGATATGCATTTTATATGGTTTCTCAGATGGTCCCACTGGATTTAGCAACATATGCATAAAGCCCTTGTTTCAGGTTCTTCTCTCTGGGGAAAACAGATCATGAAAGATGGTACCAGGAATAGCCTTGGAAAGCAGACCCTCAGAAAAGGGTTTTGAAGCTGGATTACTTAATGGTTAGACATTAATAAGAACTCCCTCCTCCCCTACTGGTGGTAAGAACCTCTGTTATTCAATAGCATCACAATTATTAAGACTTTCTCCTTCAGCTGATTAATATGAGGTATAGGTAGAAGGTGAGACATCTGAATGGTATGGGAGCCATGATAACTAGAGTGATTATAAGGATTTTGGTATAGGCTAGTTTTTGTTAAGTGTGTTGGAAGCCTTGAAAAAAAAGAAAATGAAGTCTCAGAAGAGCCAATCATCAAGGCTAAACAAACTGTGAAACCCAGAGGGCCTATGTGGAAGCTTTGAAGGAGAAAGTCATCTCCTTCAGCTACAGGGCAGAGTTGACTGAAAATTGGGTTTGGAACACAATCATAAGAATGGCAGAGCTTAAACTGGATTAAGATGCAGCATCTGGATAGATCTTCTAGATCAGAGTCAGATGCCATATAGGTAAAGGGTTGGACTTGAGAACTGAAATGAGGACTTTAGGGTGGACAAGCCCAAGAATCACAAACTCCAACATTCTCCTGAATCTTTCATTTTGCTGAAGTAGGCTCTTTGCCAGAAGAGAGGAGGTTCCCTTGCATGGAGAACTTGCAATGACCTCATCTGAGGCTAGTGCCTTGCAAGATGATGCAAGACTTACCCTTGAAATACCTCATTGCCTCCAGGCCAATGACCAAGGTCAAATCTCTGAATAATTACTATGTGCAGTCTCTGCTCTTGGAAGAAATACCTTAAATAGCATGGAATTGCAAGAACTAACTAATAGTATTAGCAGGATTTAGGAGGCCATGTATGAATGGACAGTTAGTGTAGATAATGAGAATGTTGGAATAAAAGTCTAGATAGGGGAGAATTTTTTGATCTGGGATTTCTCAACTATAACTCAGGATTCAATGCCATGTCAGAACTTATGGACATGATCCTAATACTCTTCTGGGATGACTCCTTGAAACTTGACCTAGAGCAAAAGAGATAATTGTAGAAGCCGGAACTTCTTGGAATAGATTGAGAAAGTGGTCCAAAGGTTCATGGAGGTGGGACTGTAAGAATGGATATTTACTATGAGTCCAGAGAATGCATGTGATGATTATATTTTTCAAAGATAGCCACAACATCATATCTTACCTCACAAGTTATTCTACAAACTTACCACTCTCTCATCAAGAAGTGGAGTCTAATTCTTCTCCCATTGCTGGCATTTGCCTATTTCTATTAATAGAACGCAGAAGAATTGACGCTATAAGATTTCTGAGGTTAGGTCACTGGCTGATCTACTATAGAGATGACATCACATTAATTGGACCAGGTGAGCAGCAAATGGCAAGTGACTTGGACTTCTTAGAAAGAACCATGGATTGGGAGGCCGAGGCGGGCGGATCACGAGGTCAGGAGATCGAGACCATCCTGGCTAACACGGTGAAACCCCGTCTCTACTAAAAATACAAAAAATTAGCCGGGCGTGGTAGCGGGCGCCTGTAGTCCCAGCTACTCGGGAGGCTGAGGCAGGAGAATGGCGTGAACCCGGGAGGCGGAGCTTGCAGTGAGCCGAGATCGCGCCACTGCACTCTAGCCTGGGCGACAGAGCGAGACTCCGTCTCAAAAAAAAAAAAAAAAAAAGAAAGAACCATGGATGTCAAAGGTTGCCAAAAAAACTCCACAAAAATTCAGAAGGCTACCACATCAGTAAAGTTTGTAGGGGCCCATTGACCTGGGCATGGTGGAGCATCCTCTTGAAATAAAGATATGAACATGTGGCCCAGACACTCCATCTCAACCACTCTGTTGTACCAATACCCTTTATCGTTAGGTTAGAGTGATATTTTAGGGTTAGTTAAGAATGCACTGGTGCTGCATTATAGCATGGCTTGGGGATGACCCAAATTTCCCAGTGGTAAAGGGAAATTATCCAAACGGGAAGGCTGTGAATGGTACATTTGGCATTCAATTCATATGGAAGGAAAAGAGATCTAGGATAAGGATATATATATGGAGCCCTAAGCATTGGCAAATGGCGAGGCTGGTTTTTGGTGATCTAAAAAGAACAAGATTATAAAACCAATGACAAATCTGTGAAAAAGGTATGTGATTGGACCTGTCACACTGGGCACAAAGCATGAGGATTTGTGTCTAACACCTGTGCATACCAGAGCATATCCACTACAAAGAACAGTATGACTTTTCCTGTGGATGTCAACTGACCGACTCTCTCTTCTTAGCCATAGTAGTGCAAAAATGATAATTGTCATGGTGGAGTCTGTACATGCACTCAACCGTATAGCCTCCCTCTCAGCAAGGATGAGGATAACTACTGCCACTGCTGAATGATCAACCTGCCAGCAGCAGACATCAACACTTGATACAGCATCATTCTTTGGGGAGATAAGAAAGCCATTCTTGATAGGTTGATTACATTGGATCTCCTCCATTCTGGGGGCCAAGTGCTGGCCAAGAGTAAGGAAAATCTTGAATTGATATTGAAGGAGGCAAACCGTAAATAGTAATTACAATCTCAGGAGCAGCTGTATCTGTGGAGATGGTAGGTTTCTGTTTTGTTTTGCTTTTATTTCTCACTCATCATCTTATGTTAAGTCTTTGCAGAGACTGTGGCTGTCCTCCATCTTGAAGGAGACTCTGGCACATTTGACTTGTACCTCTCCTCTTTCAGGGAAGAAGTGAAGGAAACTTATTCTGACCAAAAATGAAGGCTCCATTACATAGTAAGGGAGATGCACGCAAATGAGGGACACAAACCGATCATTGTGTTGCAAGGGATGGACTTTATTGGATACCTCATATGCACCACTTCAGATCCTCTCAGTCTTGTATTTCAGACACCTCAAGGGCATTGATGCATTCTAGACATGTGCAAACTGACAGCACCTCACATCAGACTCAGAATGACCCTCAAGCAGACACGTGGGATACTGTGAAGTGAGGGATAGGGAGGAGCTGTTCCTGTGTAACCAGGAAATGTACTAACTTTTGTCCAATGGGGATGAGAAGAGGTACATAAATGTGCCCCTTTCTCCTTCAGATGGAAAGCCTGAGACACATTTCCTATGACTTCCTGGACCATCCTGCAATAACAGGCAACCTCTTGCCTATGATGGTGACTGAAGTGATAATGCACCCTTTCTGGCTCTCTCCTTCCTCATTTTGCTTCCCTGTCCTAGTGCTTGCTCCTTGGGGTTGACATTCCAATATAGGACTCACCCATGTGGCTTCGTTTCAGGTTTGGCTTTTGGAGGACACAGGCTAAGAAACTAAATTTCTTCACAAATGTATGTTTCTTAGGATAAATTCCCTAGATCTGGAATTGCTGAGTCAAAGCACATTTTTAAGGCTTTGATGCATATTGCCAAAATTGCTCTCCAGAAAGATTTTGCAGTTCCCTCTCATGTGTTTGCTATCATGAGGAATATATAAAGTGGCCATTTCCCCACATACTCGTTAATGATTGGTGTCATTTTTTTACTGTTCTTTAATTCAGGATGTTTTAAAATGGTGTAATCTTGTGGTAATATTTATAATTCTGCATAAGAATGAATTTGAACTTTATTCAGTATGCTTATTGCCCACTTGTTTATATTTAGAAAAGTTTATATGCTTGGTCATTGTTATATCCAGTTTTCATGTAATTTCAAAAGATCTTTTTAAATTAAAGTTATGAATAAACCCATTATCTTTCCTACATGTTGAATGTGTTTTTCCAGTTGTTTGCCTTTTAATTTTGCTTATGATGTTTTTAGACATACAAAAACATATTATTGTTGCTGTTGTTTTGGAGATCTGACCCATAAAGCTGGCTCTTTCTACATGAGAATCATATTATTTTATTATGATAGTGGTATGGTCATTATATTTTAATATAATGCAGGCTTCCAATATGCTTTGTTCATTTTAAGAAATATTGATGGCTATTCTTATACAGTTACGGTCATCTGATATGCTTTGTTTGTTTTAAGAAATATTCAAGGCTATTCTTATACAGTCATCCTTTTTTAAATCCCATTAGTTTGTTGAAGTTTAGCAATTACTTTGGATATCTGACATAAGTGTTCACATGTCATTTTCATTTTGACTTATTTACATTGTGAATTATAGAAATATATCTCCAGATTAAATAACATTTTAATCTCTTGTATAAGCCCAACAGAGTCTCTTTCTATTTCTACTGCTGCTACTTTCGTTTGGAACTTTAGCATCTTGTTTATTTGGAATTTTAATATCTGGTTTATTACACTATCATCTCTAAAAGGCTGAATACCCACAATGCCCCCTCTCCAAACCATTCAAATAGTCAAATATGATGTGTCTGATGTGTTTTTCTGGTTCTTGATATTCTTCAGTGTGAGGTCCATTTAATATAGCACCCAAGGGTCTTCATTATCTAGCCTTTTCGATATCTCTGGTACCTCATCCCTTGCCATTTCTCCTGCACTTTCCAACCCCAACTCCAAGTGTTGTTCCCAGGATGGGCAATATAGCCTGTCTCTGGTGCCATGCCCAGGCTGCTCTGCAAACACTATCACATCCTTTTACTGCTCATCTTTACCTGTCTAATATCTATTTATGATACTTGACTCAGGCCTCACCTTCTCTGAGATGCCTTTCTTGACCCCATTTTGCATGTGTTTTCTTTCATATGTACTCTCTGTACACCTCATATTTACTGCTATCTTTACAATGCTCATACTCCGTAGCCACTGTTAATGAATCTTTAAAGTCTGTCATATAATAAAAAATCAGTTGAGGCCTGGCACAGAGGTTCACACATGTCATCCCAACACTTTGGGAGGCTGAGGATCACTTGAGATTATCCTAGGCAATGTAGTGAAACCCCGTGTCTACAAAAAATACAAAAATAAGCCGGGTGTGGTGGTGCGCACCTGTAGTCCCAGCTACTTGAGATGCTCAGGTGGGAGGATCACTTGAGCCTGGGAGGCTGAGGCTGCAGTGAGCAGTGATTGTGCCACTGTGCTCCAGTCTGGGTGACAGAAGAAAAATCTTGTCTCAAAAAAAAAAAATAATAATAAAAGGTCAGTTAATACATGGTGATAGATGGAATGAATAACTCAGCATCCACACATAAAAAATGAGGATAATATTTCAAATGAACATTATATAATCCTAAAATCAGATAAATATATGAGAGGGCTTTAAACACTGTAAATTGGTATATAAATACAAAGTGAGAACCAAAGAGGAAAAGTTATATTCCCAAATGATTGGAGTAATGGAGCTTTTACTTCATAGATTGAAGAAGAAAATGTAGTGATTTACATATTGAATTCTGTTTAACCCAGTGATACTCAGGAACAACTTTGAGTTTTTAAATATTTCATTTGGGATTTTTTTCATTGGTACTTGGAAATGTGCTTATGATACATAATCACAGTTATTTCTACCTAACCTTTATATTTTGTGACATTCTCAAGTTTAAAATTTTTCTTTTGTTAAAAGGTTATATTTTACCCTTTTTATAAAGCAGTTTTATCAACTATCTTAAAGGAAGAAATCATAATTTTTTTTTACAGTCTAAAAATTGTAGATATCTATATTCACTTGAGAATGCCTTTAAAGGGCAAGTGTGCATCCTAAATAACAAGTTAGGTATATTAAATGAGTATAGTAAAAGTCAGAAAGACCAATCATAAATGTCTAAAGTTGCTGACATTCTTACCACATAAAAAAAGAGCATTCAGTGGAAAGCTTTTTAAGTGACTCATTAAAAAGCAGTTTATAAATGGATTCGGAAACTGTGATCTTCTGTAACTTAAAGACAAATTTTTATGTTAAAAAATGTACCAAACTGATCTATGAAGGCCATTCCATTTAAATGTTTTTATTTAAAAATATGTTTAGCTAGGTGCAGTGGCTCATGCCTGTAATCCCAACTACTTGGAAACCTGAGGCGGGAGGATCACTTAAGCCCAGGAGTTTGAGTCCAGCCTGGGCAGCATAGCAAGACCTCATTTCAGATATATATAAATGTATATCTTAATATATATACCTTTACATATGTATATTTTTATATATCTTTATATACCTTTATATATAATATTTATATACCTTTATAAGTATATATATATTTATCAGTTTATCAGTTTTGAAACTGATATACATATTAGGAATAGACTTCCACTTTAAGAGATACATATAAAGATATATAAAGATACATAAATATATATAAATGTATCTCTTTACATTTGTCTTAATATAATATAAATTTTATTTTATAATTTTCAGTTATTTTAATGCAAAATGGTTGTAATAAATTTACCAGCGGTGAGGTTTATTTAAACACTAATATGTATCTTAAGAAATAGGCAGAGTAATCTGAATCTTGTGCTCATTTAACTCATATTCAATTTATTGACTAAACGTATATCTAAATATTCACAAAATTTTTGTAAGTGCTCACTTCCAATTTTATTCAATTATAATCTAAAAGTATGCATGTTTTAGCATATTAAATTATTTTTGGATTGCTTAAATTACTGTTCTAATTCTGCATCCTTTTTAATTTCTTAATACTGACACTTAAAAAGCCAACATTGCTTTGATTTCTCCTGAATACTTTTACTAATTTTAAATCTATATAAAATATATTTAAAGACAACTTTTTTCTTTCTTAAAAGTAATATAAATATATAATGGAAATTTTCAGTACAGTGCTTGACTCATAATATCATGAATTAAATAACACATTCCATAAAAAAAAGCACTTCTGTTGGATGTTTGTTAGGGAAAAAAAATGGCAGTAGTTGCCTTTAAGAAGCGTTTGAATACAAAACTTCCCTTGTACTTAGCAATTTTCACCTTTAAAACATTTTTTCCATTTTTTGTTTGTTTTTATTCTTCCGGCTTCCAGGGCTGGAAGTTCACCTTCCACAGAGCCTATACTCCCTTCGCACTTCATTCTCTCTCTTACAAAGTTCTCAGCTCTTTCTTTCTGTACCCTTAGTGCCAAAACTCTTCATTCAACAGATACAAAAGCAAAGTGAAGGTGAGGCTCCATACCTGCATATACCATGTTTATAAAGGAAAACAAAACAGATGGGATGGTATGGAGTAGGACATGTGACCAAAATCCAATAATCATCCCTTACTTGTTGATATTGTTCTTGACACTAAATGCTAAAGTCATACATGTTGGTGCTTAAATGGACTCATGATAAATGAAAATATATTTTTTCATCTTTTGGCACTAGGCTTGTTGAAAGTTGTGCAGTATGCTGTTTCACTCCCATTTGAAATGCCAGCCTAGAATTTTTAGCATCATGAGTATGTTGTGGGATCAACACAACAGACTGAGTATTGAGTTTGTAAAAATTGAACTTTGCGTATTTTAAAATACACTTTTTACTTGGTAGGAAGTAAAAAGACAAAAAATAAAATTAAAAAAATCACATCATATTAGGTATAATACAGATTGTCAGCAAAGAACTTCCTATGCCATAAGTAGTATGAACATATTTAATCTTTTAAATATGTCCATTAAAGTGTCCATTAAAAAATTAAATGTCTATTTTAAAAAACTAAACAATTCAGAAGCAATGCTTTATGTAGTGAGAAAACAATACTTCATGCATAATGAAAGAGAGAAATTACTTAAAACTTTCTTTAATCCTAAATTGTTTATCAGTTTTGAAACTCTGCACATAGTAGGGATAGACTTCCACTTTAAGAGATACATTTTGGGGACAAAATTTTAGTTTGGCAGGGTGTTCCTCTTCCACTATCCACATGTTTCTTAAACTCTTTTTCGTCAAGTGTCGAGGGGCCCTTCTTACTTACGACATTCCATCTTCAGACAGCTTAAAACTTTCCCAGGAAAGCTCTAAGTCCATGTTTCCCAAATGTTTAAGCTGATAGATATTATAAGACTTCTTTTCCTCTATTTTCTGAGCCCCCTCATCAAGCAAATGTATTTTATCTATTCCCATTTTATGTTATTTTTTAAATATGTATTTCTATATATGGAATATGCTTTTCATTTCTACAAATGGTTGTTTTTAAAAATGAAAATAGCTTGCCTTTCTGATTAGCAAAATATTCTATGCTCAGTGTAAGTAATTCAGATCATATATTACTACTTTTCATCATGTATACTTCTATTTATATTTTTTACATAAATGGGAACATACTATAATTTATTTTTTTCACTTAACATAACATGTTAAAGATTCTAGGTCCATTCCCGGAAAACTGATTTACTATGTATTTCCCTAATGACTAAAAAGTATTCTACTGGGTAACTGGTATCTTAATTGGCTGATCTAATCCCCTATTTACTAACACCAAATTTGTTTCCTATTTTCATTATCTGATACAATTTTACATTCTTGCACATATATTTTTACTCACCCGTTGGACTACTCCTTTAGGATACAAATCTAAGAAATGGAGAGGAAACACATTCTTTTAGTATGTTACAAAACCCAAATTGCCCTGCACAGTATTTATATCCATGTTCTGTCCCACCAACAGTGTGGGAGAGTACTTATACTGCCCTGTATCCCCATAATCTTACTTATGCTAAGACATCAATTTTTTAAAAATCAAATCAATAAAAAATGAGATTTGTATTATTTTAAACACCTTTGATTTCTAGTAAGATCAATGACTGGTCTGTCTTTGAGGTGATACTTAGAAAATACTTCCTGTTACAGACTGAATTGCATCCCCCAAAATGTGTATGTTGAAAGCTGAATGCCAGTGTGGCTTATTTAAAGATAGGGGCTTTAAAGAGGTAATTACAGTTAAACGAAGTCTTAAGGGTGAGGCCCTAATCCAGTGACTGGTGTCCTTATAAGAAGAGGAAGAGCCACCAGGAATGCATATGCTCAGGGAAAAGGCCACCTGAAGACATAGGGAGAAGGTAAAAGGCCTCAGGAGAAACCAACCCTGCTGACACCTTGACCTTGGACTTCCAGCCTCCAGAACTGAGAAAATAAATTTCTGTTAAGCCACAGGTTTTTTTTTATATTAATAGCAGACCTGGCAGACTAATACACTTCCCCATTTCAAGATTGTAGCATCGTTAATCTGAATTTTCTCCTCATATTTTATAATCTTATTCTTTTCATTCAAATCTCTGTTCTGTTTTGTTTTGTTTTGTTTTTCTTAAAGACAGGATCTGGGGCCGGGCGCGGTGGCTCACGCCTGTAATCCCAGCACTTTGGGAGGCCGAGGCGGGTGGATCATGAGGTCAGGAGATCGAGACCATCCTGGCTAACAAGGTGAAACCCCGTCTCTACTAAAAATACAAAAAAAAATTAGCCGGGCGCGGTGGCGGGCGCCTGTAGTCCCAGCTACTCGGGAGGCTGAGGCAGGAGAATGGCGTGAACCCGGGAAGCGGAGCTTGCAGTGAGCCGAGATTGTGCCACTGCAGTCCGCAGTCTGACCTGGGCGACAGAGCGAGACTCCGTCTCAAAAAAAAAAAAAAACAAAGACAGGATCTGGCTCTGCTGCCCAGGCTCTAGTCTAGTGGGTGATTATAACTCATTGCAGCCTAGAACTCCTGGGCTCAAGGGATCCTTCCTCCTCAGCCTCTCAAGTACCTAGGACTACAGACGGCACCATCCCCCTGGCAAATTAAAAAAAAAAATTTTTGTAGACACAGGGTCTTGCTATGTTACCCAGACTAGTCTTGAACTCCTGGCCTCAAGTGATCCTCCTACCTTGGCCTCCCAAAGTGCTGGCTTTTCTGGTTTACAGGTGTGAGCCACCGTGCCCAGCCTTAAATTTCAAAATATAATTAAGTGGGAGGCAGGGTTCTCTTATATTTTTGCAAACACTAGCCATTTGTTCCAAAACATTTTTTTGGAAAACCCATTCAGTACATTGATTTGAAATATCACCTCTAAATTCCCAGGGACTTACAGCTATGTTTGCTTCTTTACTTTTTAATCTCTTCCATTGATCTGCCTGTTTACTCCGATGCTGTTACTCAAACACTATCACAGTTTCAATTGTCACACCTTAAAAATATGGCTTAAGGCCAGGCGCGGTGGCTCACGCCTGTAATCCCAGCACTTTGGGAGGCCGAGGCGGGCGGATCACGAGGTCAGGAGATGGAGAACATCTTGGCTAACGCGGTGAAACCCCGTCTCTACTAAAAATACAAAAAATTAGCCGGGCGTGGTGGTGGGCGCCTGTAGTCCCAGCTACTCGGGAGGCTGAGGCAGGAGAATGGCGTGAACCCGGGAGGCGGAGCTTGCAGTGAGCCAAGATCGCGCCACTGCACTCTAGCCTGGGCGACAGAGCGAGACTCTGCCTCAAAAAAAAAAAAAAAAAAAAAAAAAAGGTTTACTACACCACAGGCAAATTCCTACTTGTTTCTCTTTTTTTCTCAGAATGTTTCTGGATATTCCTACATTTAGTCTTCCAAATAAATGAGAGTTATGTTGTCATGTCAAATACAAAATGGATCTCTGTGTTATACTTACAAATAGTTTGCAGAAAATTTACATCTTTACAGTATCTGTCTTTCCAAAAAGACATGTCATGACTCTCCATTCATTCTATTAGTTTAGGCCCTTCATTTCGTTGGTTGGTTTGTGTTTTTTCCTTCATACAGGTTGTGTATATTTTTTGTTAAATTTATTCTTAGCATCCTTTGTATCGGGCCTGGACTTTGCAGAGGAAGATAAGATGCCCTGCTGTGTTGGTTTAAGCCTGAAACTCATCCCTCCTTCTAAGGCTTGGCTTATTTCTAAAAACACCATTCTCGAACTTTGATAGGCTTCCAATCAATTTTGTTCTTGCGAACTCCATGGTTTAAAATACAGAACCAGAAATCTTGAAATGAGAGGCTTCTCCCCGCATCGCTACATCCACCTTGTCACTGATTCTCAATAGCTGCAAACGTGACCCGAGAAAGCTTTAGTCGCTTAGCAACAAATGGGACTAGCTCCTCCCCTCCCCATTCTTCTAGAAAGAAAGGCTTAAGCCTCAAGGCCCTGAAGGGAAATATCAGTCAGAACTCACAGTAAAGGATCTTTCTTCCTTAATCTGCCTTTGCTTATTTCCAAAAGCCAGCGCTGCATTCCAAGCTTTGGTCACAGGATGGACTTAAAAAGGGATGTCTCCTCACGTGTGGGAGGGAGCTTGCATTGGTAACTGCCTCAGAGAGGCTCGAGTGCCAAGAATTCTCAGCTCCCCATCCTGCAGGATAACCTTATTCACTGTCAGGATCCCAACCTTATCCTTAGAAACATAGCTTAGTAGAAGACTCTACTGCTGTCATTGAGGGCTCTGAGGGCCGAAATCAGGGGCAGAGACGGCTTCCTCTGCACAGATACCTAACACCTTTGCAGATCCGGGTCTGTTTCCCACCAGGCAGCCCAGGGCAAGCTTGAGTTCCTGTGTTCCTTTTCCCGCTGTACTTCATTTAAGGCTACAAAGAGTTACTGATTCACACTTCCGTTCAGCTCATTTATTTAATTACCCAAATTAAAAAAAAATTTGATCCTCACCAGAGCCTTTTTCTGCCGGGACATAAAGCACAGCGTGACTGTCCTTGGTCAGGTGTCTGTCCTTGATCCAATCAGCTGTAGCCAGAGGTGGGGTAGAGTCAGAGGAAAAAGAATGTGGCCTTTATTCCTGTCTTTGGATACTATTACAAGGAGAGAATGTGACTAGGCAATAGTGATTAGCGTTTCTAGCATAATGTCCTTTGCTATTACCTTTTGAGTTGCATTATTTCAGCTCTCTTTTACATATCATATGGACGACTTTTGATGTCATTGGAGTTTTTGTCTATTAAATAAGTTGTTTAATCTCACTTTTATGTAGATTTAGTAATAGCGATATTTAATTTAATAACAAAGTAAATGTATTAAATGACTTAATTTAATAAAAGCAATCAGCATTTACAGAACTCTTGGTATGTGCCAGGTATTGCCATAATCCCTTGTTATATAAATAACATATTATCTTTTAATTCTTACATGCATGTTATTATCCCCATTTTATAGATGAGAAAACTGAGGCACAAACAGGTCAAGAAACTTGCTCGGTAGCACATACCAAGTAAGTAAACAGTGCACTAGGACTGGAACCTGGGCTAACTGCTTGCAGAGTGCAAGCTTTCCCCGCTCACCTTAGTTTCAGTCTTCTGTTATTTATGCTGTTTCTTCAACTTTTAATGTTTTGCCTCCTGTGGTCTCCTTGATACTGTTCCTGTCCACTTCAGACCTCCCCTCTTCAGATTAGGGTTCTCCCTTCCTTCATCTGAGGGAACTTGGTAACTACGAAAATGTCAGATCAGAGAAGCAAAGTGAGGAGGGGCAGAGTGCTCACTTTACATTCCAGAGATGCCAGCATGGCCTAGGAATGTTGTTGAACTCTGGTGGGAAAGAGGCTCAAGGCCCCGTCATTCCTCAGAGCCTGCCTGCAGCGCCAACCTTTGTCTCTCTAATATTAGGATTTCCCAGAATTTCCTCACTTTCCTATAAGTCTGTGCTACCCTGGAAAAAAAAAATGGTATATGGGTTCTAAATGCTGCCATATTTGGAAGAACTTCTTTAAGATTTGTGGTCTGTGTTTGGTATCATTCCCGACATCAGTATTACTCCCCTGTGCACCCTGCATCCCACTGCACTGTACCTGTCATTGATTTACTTCCAATCAAAGAAGTACATTTTTGTTCGGGGGTGGAATATGTGCCCTCATGCTGCCATCTTTCTGGAATTGTTAACTTCCTTTTGATTCATCCTACATTCCAACAACATGAGGAAAATTTTTCAGCTATCCACTATAGCCATTGAAACTAGGCCTAAATATTTTAAGAATAAACAACCAGCAAAAATTTATTGTTTCTGTACATAGGCTGCACTTAACTGGGGTGCATAAAAAGTAAATTTAAAGGAAACTAAAAATAATGATAATAATAAGCAGTAATGTTAATATTTTATGTAAGAAAATCATTTAGCATATGTCTCTAGTGTAAGTGAATAGCTATCTACCAGGAATCTAAATGTCATTATAAATGCTATTTATTTATAAAAGAAATCTTATTGAAACCAGGAAAAACATTAAAAGAACATTACCCTGCTACCTGGTACAAAGTTCATCAGTTTCTCGTTTGTAGTTTGTATTCTGGGATGTAGCAATGAATTAGATTCTGGATGTCTGACAAAATTTCACAGACTCGAGTAAAGTCAATGGAAGTTTTTCATGAGTCAGATCATGTTCCTTAAGTTATTTAAACCCGAAGTATGGATTTGGACTAATAGATGGATGAGAAATCAATTAAGGTCAAGCAGTTTATAATTAATGTCTAGGCCAATGAACATTGCAGAAAGCTCATTCCAAAAATTATGCCAAAGTAAGACAAAATAATTTTTCAAATAACTGAGAGAATGCTCATTGAGTCTTACATTTTATTGGGAAAGGTAAACAAAATGGAGCAGTAATGTCTCCTTTTAAAAGTAATTTAAAGTTCCCATGCTGGGATTATTACACATTGTACGCCTGTACCAAAATATCTCATGTACCCCGTAAATATAATATACCTACTATGTACCCACAAAAATTAAAAATGAAAGTAATTTAAAGATTAGCTGAAAAATCTTTATATTCCATGAGAATCATCTGTCACATCTTTCTTGAAATCTTACCAATAAAAGTAAAAATGTGTGTGTTTGTCTTTCATTAATATTCCACAAACTAGTATAAGAAAAAATTTCTGAAGTATTTTTTCTGCTACAGAAAAAAGTCTAAATATAATACCTACTAAAACTCATGAAATACAAAATCCTTTCTCACTGCCAGAGTCCTATAAGGGGGATGCAATATGATCAGAATTATTTCTGGTTTTGCAAACATCAATTATGAAAACCATTAGGATTGTGTTTTTACCAGTAACTGCTTACCACATATCTGGGAATTTGGTATACTTTTCACAAATGAGGGAGCTAATGCAGTTTTATGTTATAACTTACCTCAAAATAGTACCATACCTCTCAAGGCACATCCTAGGTCTTGGAGATACTGAGTGCCCCACAGGAAATTGTATCTATGCTCTGAGGGAAAAAGAAAAATATCACAAGACATGTAAACTCATGCAAAGGAAGGGGGTAGAGCAGAGAGAACAAAGAGAACAGAGAAAGGGATAAAAATTTTAAAAGAGGAAATTATGACTGCTATTTCACTACAAAGTAATGATTCTGGTTTTAATGTGAAAATTTTTATTGCTTTTTAGTTATACTACATACATCTTCTAGAAAAGAAAAAAAATCGTTTAAAAAATTATGGCATATGGTTGAAAGCTAACCTTATGCCCTCAGTGAGGGGGCAATTAATTCAGTCAGTGTTTAGCATCCAGTTGTAACCCTGTGACCCTTACAATCCCTTCCTGACAATTCTGGTTCGTGGGCTATTCAGTGTATAATCTTTCTACATTCAATCATTTCTGTAATAAATTTTGTGGCTCTTTTTATTATATATGAAATTATCACTTTACTTTAAAAAATTAAGATAAAATGAGTCTTCTTTACCATATTTTGAAAAAAAAGGATTTTGAAAATGTTTTGACCTTTTGCTCTCAACTTTGAGGACTGATCAAAACTAATATACTGATATTCATTGCATACTGACATTGCCTTCTCTAAGAAGATGCCAAAAACATGTATATTATTATTCAAGGCAACCTGGTAATTTTCCCTTGAAAACACAATTCCTGAGCACCCACAACCCAGCAGCTACATGCAGTGTGCCAGCTTCACAGTTCAACAAGAAGAAATTTTAAAATTTCAAGCAGATGAAGAATAATCTTTATTTGCATTGAGAAATATCTTTAGAAAGTAGAGTATTTTCCAGCTTGTCCTTTCTCTGCCGTGACTGACGTTGGCCTGGATCTAAGGAAGCTGGGACTAATGATACATGATTTCATCTGCCATGTGACATTTGAGACAAATAGCTTGTAATAGAGCATGGAGTAAATAAATAAAATGGAAAGAACCTAGAAAGAAGGACTACTGCTGATTAACAAACTCCAATGTCAAAGAAACAGACCAGTAATGTAGATGAGTGACAAGGGCCCATGTGAGTGCAGATGGATAGCTGAGTGGGTAGAGGGGACCCTGGCAAATTACAGTGAGTGAGTCCTGTCTAGAGGGATAGAATAATCTGCTGATATATATACATATGTATGTATGTATGTGTGTGTATGTTTGTGTGTATGTATACATATTTTTAGAAGAGAGCAATTCCTTAAACATTTATTAGCATACCCTGATCAACACTTGTTCCTGAGTATCCTCACTCAGCCCACGGCTTTAAAACCATATGCAAATAACGGACAACACCAAACTATTCAGCTGAACTCTATACTTTCATACCCAGCTTCCTGTCTGATATTTTCACTTGGACATGTACCAGCCATCTGAAATAGCACAGGTTCTTGATTCGCTCCATTGAAATCCAAATATTAATAGGATCTTCTCTCATTCTTTCCCCTCTCAATGAATAATGCCAGCAGGTGCAGTTTCTCAGGTCAAAACCTTGAAGTCATCTTTCTCTTTTTCCTATCTTCAAATCCATTAGGATGACCTGTGGCTCTACATTCGAAATATGCTCATTCAGGCAACTCCTCACCATGTCCACTACTACAACTTTAGTTTTATATCTGCCCTAAAGAATTGCAAATCATTCTCTTAACTGCTCCCTTGCTTCCACTCTAGCTTCCCCATAGTCTCTTCCACAAAGCAACTAGAGATTCTTTTAGATAATAAAAATTAATACATTTTTCAAACATAAAGTGCCCCAGAAATATTTAGCTTTGAGATGATACTACTGCAGAAAATAAAAGGCTATTTAATACACCTCCACCTTGAAGACTTACCCCCTTTTTTCCGTATCTCTGAATACTACTAAATATGCACATCAATTTCATCACAACCATCACTCCAGAGCATTTTATCATCATCTGAAGTACTATACTTCTTCTTTTGTTAATTATTTTGTGCCTCTAAAATAAAAGTTCCAGAAGGGAGGCTTTGTCAGTGTTCACTGCTGTATCCACAGAGGCAAGAACTATGCCAGGCACAAAGTGGTTACTCAAAAATGAATGGATGGATGGATGGATGGATGGATGGATGGATGGATGGATGAATGAAGAGTTCAGATTTAAATGCAGGCATATAATCTCAAAACTTATGCTTTTGCCAGTAAATAAGTTGACTCCTAGGATGGTGCTAGGTCAAGAAAGGCAGTAGGAGTCACAACAAAGAGTTTCAATTCTATTCTCAGAGCAAGCAGTTATTGAAGGGTTTCAAATGAAATAATGGTGCAATTATATTCACACTTAGGAAAGATTGCTTTGACAGCATCCAGGAGAATATTTTGGATGAAGGAAAACCAATAATTCAGATTTGCAATAGCCTAAGAAAGAGATGCTGGGGACTGGAATTGGATTGTGGCAGTAGAGATTAGAAAGACGGACCACTAAAAAGTTATTTATAAAATAGATTCATCAAGGACTGGTGACTGACTAACTGTGGGGAACAAGCAGACTGGAGTTAATGGTAATTCACAGGTGCCATTCTCTGCTCTAAGTACTAGCAGGTTTGGAGAGATGATTAGTTCAGTGTAGACAGGTTGAGTTTGGATGTTAGTAAGACATCCACTTGGAAGTATCCTAAGGCCAGCTGGATACACTCAATATAGAGATCTAAAGTCTTGTGCCTTATGTTTTTTATTCAGTAGATAACTTATAGTTGGAGATATTGAAGAAGAGTTCATCTAAGCAGACCATGAAGATTAGGAATTGAAAAGAACGTAAGATAGAATCATAAAGAAAACAAGTAAGAGATAGGCAGAGGAAGAAAATCTTGCAAAAGGCAGTAAGAAGGAGTAATTAGTGCATAAAAGCAAAATCTACTGTTGTCTGCCCAGAAAAAACTAAAGCAGCTTACTGAAGTGCCTAACATATTCTCAAGAAGTAGTATGCACCAGGAGACTCTGAATCCAATTACAATATCATTCAAAAGAGCTAATGTGTAAAGCCATCAGAATCGAGTAGATGGACAAGCTGGAAAGACATAATGGGTTGATCAATACAATGTCATGCTTGGTATTAAATATGGTATATGATAAATAAGCAATAACAATAACAGATAGCGAGGTGCTGGGAAATGTCTAGTAGAGGAATGTTGACAGAGGAGATAAAAGAGAAATGAAATACCATACAAAGCTAACAGCTTATATACCCATTCTACCTCAATTTTCCCTCTATACTCAACATTTACTTGTAAAATTTAGCAAAACTCTGAAATCTCTGTAGATTGCCCTTCTCAGCATATATTTTAAAAACTCACTTTAGTTAGCAAACTTTTATGAGTTTCATTCTATTGTACATAGCCAGCCATGTTAATCACTGTTAATTCTCATGATAAAGAAGTAATTCTAATGACAAAACCAGCTAATTGTCCATGGTTATCTCTGAGTATTATAGCAAGATCTCTTATATTGCTGTTTTAACAATTATGAAAGATTTTTTTCAATATAATTTTATATATCAGGGTGGGTACTCAGAATAAAAGTTGAGATTGCGACTGAAAATATGTCTTATTTAGTAATAGCTGACATTTATTGAAATAATTATTATATACTTGGGAACCTTTTAAGTGAATTATGCATATCAGATAATTTAACCCACACAACAACTAGAAAGTAGATTCTATTATTATTGTCATTTTGCACATGTGGAAGCCAACGCCCAGAGAGTTTGAATGTTTTGCTCATCAGAGCCAGGAGCTCTTGCCTTCTGACTCCAACACCTAAGATTGTTTTCTTTTCAGTTATTTTGCTTCCAATATTTTATCATGTTGGCCATTCACTTAACATTTATTTTGTGGTTAGAGCTAAATCTCATACAAAGACTCATCTCTGTCATTTTATATGATGTAGTACTAATTTTTCACAATTTACAATAGAAGCAAATTCTATTGTGTTGCTATTTGAACTGAACAATCATACAGAAATTGAACTCAATAATGAAGCACTTACATATAGATTTTGATATGAAATAAATATAAAATTCTGATCAATATTTAATCTCTTGCAAATAATGGGCTTATTTCCATTTCCTGGTGAGAAAACCTCAAGAGATCTGATCAGCTGACAGAGCAGATGACTGGGAAGGGAACACAGCTAGGTCAAGTATCTTCAAAGTAGTTCCTGAATACCTAGTCCCTTTGCACTGAGATTATTTAAAGCACGCACAGCACACCTTCTGAGTTCATCTTGCCACATTTACCCTTTGTTATCATAAATTTCCAGTTTTCTGTAATTTCTTATACCTTCATCAATATACTTGTTGACTGATAGGCATTTCTGACTAATTTTACTCTTAGAAGACATTAACAATCTAGAAATAATTTTATTTTTAATACTTATATTTATTTTAGCATTTTATATTTAAAATACAAATAAACACCACGTGTTTATATTCTAATATTTTCCATAAATGGACTTTAATGTCATATACATCTGATGAACATAGGTAAAATGCTATATATAAATGGTGAAATTAAATCTTGGAGTGACCGAACCAGACAGCAAAGTCACGAGTTTGATTTAATAATAATGAATAGATTCTTATAATTCAAATAAATGACAATGGAGCATGGAGTAAGTAAATTAATGAGACTTTGTATTCTCAATTGCATTCTAGACAGAAAGATAAATAAGTATACAGATGCTACAGTAATATATATACAGGCACAAAGATACACAGTCAGTAGGGCATGTTAATGAGTGTTGCTCAGGGAAATTTACATCAGAAGTGTATGACCATTAGCAAATGAACCTGGACCTTTGTAAGCTAGCAGTGGAAATAGCAAGCAACAAGAGTGCTTGATTCATAAGGATTTTTTTGGTTTGTTTTTTATTTTTTTAAAAAACACAACTAATTTTTAGTTCAAAAAGTAAGTACAGAAAGGATGAGAGGTGGGTGTTGTGTTGGAACTGTTCAGTATCTTGACTGGCAGATACAGGCATAAACGCAGGAAACGAAATTGTAAAGAACTTCACACACGTATGTACACAATACACTCATGCATACGCATGAACTCACAAATGAGTACAAATAAAAATGGGAAGTCTGAATAAGATTGCTGGATTGCATCAATATGGTTGTAATATTATATTACGGTTTTACAAAATGTTAACATTGGAAGAAACCAAACAAAGTATACAAGGAATATTTATGTATTATTTCTCACAGTGTCATGTGAGTACATGTACAATTATCTCAATGAAAATTTCAATAAAAAGTAATTATATAATTCTAAATTAACTTTATTAAACAGTGAGTTAAAATGAAAATCAAATTAATTTTTTAAAAAACTACTTTTTTAACATGAAAAACACTACAAGTATTTCTCAACTTGGATGATAATAATAATAATATCACAACAATATCATAGAAGAACAAGAAAAATTGCCAGCTCTTGTTAAGTATTTAGTATATCTGACATTGATGTAAGTGTTTTGGTTTTATTAACTCATTTAAACCTTATAACAATCTTATAAGATTGATATTATTTTTATCACCATTTTATAGATAAGAAAACTGAGAACAAGAGAAATGAATAATTCTACCCAGATCAAATATACTAAGATGCATATATATGATATATAAGGTAAATATGGTAAGATATAGTATATCAAGATCAAATATAAGTGTCAAGACTTGAATTAAAAGCAAGACAAATTTCTTTCTTTATTTTTATTTTTTTTTTTTGAGACTGAGTCTTGCTCTGTCGCCTAGGCAGGAGTGCAGTGGCGTGATCTCGGCTCACTGCAACCTCCGCCTCCTGAGTTCAAGTGATCCTTCTGCCTCAGCCTCCCCAGTTGCTGAGACTACAGGCGCCTGTCACCACACCTGGCTAATTTTTGTATTTTTAGTAGTGATGGGATTTCACCATATTGGCCAGGCTGGTCTTGAACTCCTGACCTTGTTATCCGCCCACCTCGGCCTCCCAAACTACTGGGATTACAGGTGTGAGCCACTGCGTCCGGCCGGCAAATTTCTTTTGGCCTTTGACTATCTTCAATGTACCCAAATCTTAATGCAAATCCCCCCTTACTCAAGATAACAAAATTAAACAATAAAACAATAATGTTTTTATATTCAGTTTATTCAACAGTTTTAAATTATTAATATGTGTTAACTACAACATGGTGGTAGTGAGATCAAATGCACAAGTTCACAAGTTTGATTTACTCATTCTACAAATGTTCATTAAGCATGGCTATACACAAAGCAACATCACGAAAGCTAGGAGAAATATGAAAATATGTAAACTACAGTCCTTGCCCTCAAGGAGCTCAAAGTGTGTGAGAAAAGATAAGAAATATAAGTAAATAGATTTAATGCAAGACAACATGTGGTAAGATTGAAATAAATGGGAAAAATAAAATATTTAGAAAAATAAAATAAAATATGAGTACAAAGGTAATTCAGAAAGGTGTCTCAGTTATGATATTTAACTGGTTTCAAGTCAATAAAAGGTAATTTATGAACTTATAAACTTAAAAGGTCACTAGTGGTGGAAGCTGCAGGCAAGGCTTGATCCAGCAGCTCTATGATATTCACCAAGGAGCAGTTTTGTTTCTCTAAGTTTCTTTCTATTGTGGCAAGTTTATTCCAAGGCTGGTTAACCTTGTCGTTGTAGAATGACTAGCATTTTGGAATACGCAATTTTGCAATGACATATTGGAATGACAACCATGATAAGAGGGTAGGTGGGCATGAGAGAATGAGAAAATGGTTGATAGATTAAATTTCTTACCCAAAGCATCAACTAAAGTCTTGGGCTTCCTTCTAACTTGACCACATAAGCCCTGTGCTGACCCTTGACTAATCTCTTTAACCAGGAGAATTCTGTGTATTAAGTTGGCTTACACCCTGATTCACATGTCCTGTCTATGAACGTATCTCTACTGTAAGGGGGCCTGTGACTGTGTCAGTCAGATTGGCATCAGCTAATCAGGATTCATCTTAGGGTAACTGGATGGCTTAATTCCACCCAAAATATGCGGCTGTTTGACAGTGAGGGTGGTGTAGAAGGGATACTAGTGGGCAACCAACTATGTCCGCTGCAGCTCTCTCCATGCATCCATACATACCCTCCTTCCCATATGAAGGCCTTCTTGGAAGAGGTGGCATTTGAGGTGACTGTTGAACAGGAAATAAATATACAATTCACACTTTTCTCGGTGATTTCAAGAAGCATTTCAAGATCTTTTAGTAAATTAAGGACATAATTATATTAAATTTATTGAAGTGAAGAAACAATGAAATGTTGGTTATTCAAATCTCCCAGATGAGTATCCTGTTTCAAATAGAGAAAGCTGTTTCTAGAGGCAAAGTTGTTTTGGCTCCTACATTCTATGAAGAATCTCCCCTTCCTCTTGCCCTTTCCCCAACTAACATCTGAAAGTCAAGTTTTCAAAACTGAAACATGATCAGTTTCATGGATGAAGGTGGGTGCTTAATTCATGGGGAGACAGTCTATTCCAAATATTGAAATGGATTTATATGTTCATGTTTGTGGAGAGGCTTGATATCCCTTGCCTGGAAATGTCTTTGATGTTCTGCAGAGGCCTCTCAACCAGCTTCTCCTAAATTCCTGTTATTCATTCTTTCTAGCTGAGGTCTGAAGTTCCCCTGCTACTGCTTCCCAACTCCTAAGTTTGAGTTTACCCTTCTATGTTTCTGTTTCCCACAGTGAGTCCAGTTTTTCTAGTATGTCTTGTAAAACTTTTATTTCACTTACTTAAACTCCCAGCATAGTTCCTTATTTATAATTGTCACAAAATAAATGTTAAGTAGATTGGAGTCATCATTTTCTGATCTTATTTCATTACTCACTCTCCTTAAATGAGACTGGATTTCCTCAGAAAATACCACAGTACATATCTAGTCTGATAGAAACTATACCTTTGCTTGCCTTTCTCATGCCTACTTGATGGGGAAAAGAGAAAATAACTGATTCTTGGATCTCCAGATTTTTCACTCACACTTACTATTCCATTTTTTTCCTTTGATGTTTAGATATCACAATATACCACTTTTTAGCCCTTTTGCATTTCTACTTTTCTCTCTGTCTCCACCCCCCGGGAAAGATTGGCTCTTCCTCGTTATTTTCAGAATTTCATAATCTGCCTCATGTTTTTCTCCTGTTATTTAAAATTTGGTTGCTATCCTCAACAATGTCAAATCATTGGTTGAATCTTCACATGATATAAATAATTTAAAATTCTTGGCTTTCCTTAAATCCACCAGGCTATGTGTCTTCTCCATAACGTCTCTCCAGCAATCTGACCAACTCCTTGCAAATGGTATCCTCACAAGGTTCAGATTCACTAAGATTTAAGCCTTAATCTCTTTCCTCTTTGACCATAAACTTGCCTACTGCCTGTCTCTCTTCCACTGTACTGTTCTCCCTCTCCATACAGAGCTTCCATCATTTCATCCTTTCCACATAAAACTTAAATATTCAGTTGACACTTCTTGCTACAACTTCCTAAGTCTGGAAACTACTCCTCAATGCTTCAATCTCAAAGAAACTAGGTTTCCACAGTGCAGCCCCCTACCTTAAAATCCCTTCTGTTTTTCTTTTTCCCATCTCAATTTCTTGACCCCATCTTATATACAAAACCTGTTTCATGGGGAGTACTGCTTAATTTAAGGCTTTGCTCATCCAAAGTCTACAGTGATTTTCCATTACCTAAAATGATACTAGGTTTGTTGAGCAATCACTCAGTGAGTGCCACACTATGCATATTATTGATAATGCACAAGTCTGACACACAAGTATGAGGAAACCACAGCTTTGGGAGAGGTTTAAAAGTTTGCCTAGTGTTCCATATCTAGTGAATGCGGCTGCTGAAAATCAGCCCCAGGTCCTGTCCTTTGTTCCACAGAGGGAAAGCTTTGGCTGACCCTTCCAGGCTTTCTGTAATCTGTTTTGAATTTTTAATTTCTCCCTCATTACTCCTCAGTATGAATTATACATTCAAGTTAAACTGGTTTACTTGCAACCCCATGGACAAATCAGTGATTATTTTCACCTTGTATTCTTTGTTCACCCTCTTTCCGATAGAAAAAGTAGGTGTAGAAACAGTTTACTCTTACTTCTGTATTTACTCAAATCCTTCTGAATTTCTAAGGATTCACTCAGCTTTCACCTCCAGAAGACTTTCTGCACACAGTGGTTCCTCTCTCTTCTGAATTCTCACAGCACTTGTCTGTATAACTCACTTGGAACTTTATCATGTAGGTTTTATATTCAAGTTGTCATATGCATATATGGGCTCTTATTGTTAAGAATATATGATCCCTGAGAACAGAGTCTGTGTCTTATGTCTTTGTGTCTTCCATACAGTGCTAAGTATATGAGAAGGTCATAGCACAGAATGTTGAATAAAGTAAACTTAAAAAAAAAACAAACTTGGGTCTAAGGTGTTTTGCTTCTTGGCCTGTGTATGTATTTTCCCTGCAGAAACACAAGTTTAAAAATAGGGTGCTTGTGATGATTAATTTTATGGGTTAACTTGACTGGGCTAAAGGATGCCCAGATAGCTGGTAAAACTTTATTTTTGTGTGTGTCTGTGAGGGTATTTCCAGAAGAGATTAGCATTTTTGTAAGTAGACCAAGTAAAGAAGACCACCCTCACCAGCCTGTTGAGGGCCTAAATAGAACAATAAGGCAGAGGAAGGGTAAATTCTCTCTCTCTCTTTTTGAGCTGGGACATCCATCTTCTTCTGCCCTGGGATATTGGAACTTCTGGTCCCTAGGCCTTTGGACTCTAGGACTTACACCAGCCTTTCCTCCTATCCCCAGTTCTCAGTCCTTCAGACTCAGACTAAATTATAGTCATCCCTTGGTATCTGCAGAGGATTGGTTCCAGGACTCATAGAAAGTACCAAAATCCACAGATGCTCAAGTCTCTTACATAAAATGGAGTAGTATTTGCATATAACCTGTGCACATCCTTTTGAATATTTTAAATCACTTATAGATTACTTATAATACCTAATAAAATGTAAATGTTATGTAAATAGTTGCTATACTGTATTTTTTAAATTTGTATTTTTTAAAATACTTTTCTTTTCTGAATATTTTCTATCCATGGTGGATTGCATCCATGGAACCCACAGATACAGTGGGCTGACTACACCACCAGCTTTCCTGGTTCTCCAGCTTGCAAACAGTAGATGGAGGGACTTCTTGGCCTCCATAATCAAGTGAGCCAATTCCCATAATAAATCAATATATCGATGTCCTATTGATTCTGTTTCTCTGGAGAACCCTGACTAGTAAATTCAGTGCTAGAGCATAAATTTCTTCTTCCTAAGCCTTCTCTGTTTTCTTGGCAACTCAGTGGCCACTTCTCACTCTTTATGCAGAGTAAAAATTACCAAATTTCTTCAGAGTCAATTAGTTAACAAATATTTGTTGAGCACCAATGTAGTTTCTTTGTGGAGTTTTAGGACTTCTGCTTCCAAGGGCATGGAGTTTAAGTGTTAAAGGGGCAGTCACACTCCCTCATTTTGAGTTTGTTCATTCTCCTCTTTGGGTTATTGGGCAACAAGCTTCTAAGTTACTATAGACTCATCCAAAGACTGGTGACCTTCTTAGACTTTAAAATGTTGTTCTACTTGCTCATCAAGATGTACCTCCTTTTTTGTCCTGGAGTTGACAAGGAACTTCAGTGGATTCTGGGTTCATTTTTATTAAACAGTAAATAGAAATTGTCAGTCACTTGGGTATATTGATGACAAGCTATATCTTAAGTGAAGGTAAATGCTCATCAGCCCCTAAAATATTTGCCCAGAGGGCAGCTTTAAATTCTCCTGTATTTACTTAAGAAGACCGGAGGTCATGGCTCTGAATTCTTATTCTAACTAAGCAGGGTGTTTTTATTACCCTAAATCCCTGGAATATGGCAGTGTTATCTCCCTACACAAATCTTGGGATTATTGCCCTGAAGTAACATTAAATGCATGTGGTTTCAAAAAATGAAAAGCAAACCAATCCCAACAACCAAACAAGTAAAAAAAAAAAAAAACTTTGAAGGTGGTTTTGGAACTGAGAGTGAATTGTAGAGTTCAGTTGTACAGTTTTTGCAACTTTTTTCCTGTAAATCTAAAACTAATCTAAAAGTAAAAGTTTATTTAAAAAAATAGATTCTAACAACAAAAAAAGGATAGAAGACAGCGTAAATGTCATTAGTCTCCCATTTTAGTCTTTCAAGTTTCAAATTTCAAATTCAAGTTTCAAATTCTTTTCTTACTATGACGACATTGGAGTAGGAACAGAAAATTCTATCCATTGTATCAATTGAATTGTAAGATATTTCTACTTTTTCTTTTTAAGACCTCTTGCTTGATTTGCTGAGAGTCAATCAGATAAAAAATAAAAGCCATTCCAACCTTCATGAGAGATAAAGACTTAAGTGAATTGACATAATATATTGTCCTTCATATATAATCATAAGGCTGACACACTGTCAATAGCAGTCAGTTTCGAATTAAGCAGTGATGACATGTTGCTGCTGAGCTATTCACAAAGAGCTAGAGGACATATTCAGTGGAAGATGGGCCTGGAGCTTGGTTGGAAGTGGTACTGGGACTAAGTCAGATTCCAGGACACCTGGATGAAAGTCAAAATAGTGCCTGAGGCAAATTTTGCCCACAGCATGAAATTCTTCCCACCTTTGGCCAGGATTATTACCAGGAACTGGGCTAGAACAAAACTTGCCAATAGTGGTCCAATAGTGCACATTTCAGCCCAACAGCCTCAAAAGTGGTATACCCTAAGAGGTCTGCAGAAAAATCCCTCAGGTTAAAGAAAGAAAACATTAGAACTTGTACTTCTATTTATTTTTATCTAAAAAGAAATACATTACACTTTATTGATATTTACTATATGAGTTGACCCTGGTATCCTCACTAGATCTGCTCGTTAGCCAATCTTCAGTAGAAGGGAACATGGTTTTCACAAGCCTTGTTTCTATTAGAAGGGACTTTACTAGGCAAAGTCTTGGTCTTTCTACCCCTCCAACCCGATACTGTCAGTCCTCTCCTTGGACTACTGGAATTCTGTCCTCTCCCTGGGGGACACCTGCCTCTCTATAGCAACACCTAAATGGATTGGGTAAATTTGCTATATCTGGGGTCTTTGTAGCAGGCCCATCTGGTACTTATATTAAGCTACATTCTTTAATCTAGATTTCATAATACTAAACATGAGAATTTGCCTTCATATGTTACATGTTGCTTCATTTCTCAGTTTGTTTAGAAAAGAGGCCCCATTAGAGACCCTAACAGTCTTTTCTCACATGTGATTATATGAGGTTTTTTGAGGGAAATGGAGGAGTTCCATAACTGGAGGGCTTGACAAGGGTAACTTCATTCATTTATTTACTTTCAGTCTCTTACAGTTCACCCATGTGTGACTGATTTTATGTGTGTCAGATATCTTTCATTGGCCCCTCTAGATTTATTTTTCACTCCTTCTTCTTAGCCCTGAGAAAGGGCTCTCTTGATTGTCAGCTTCTGGTTGGTGACATTTTCTGTCATAGCCAGTGGCTATACTGCCTAATAGATACCTGCAAAAATATAAATAAGCAATTCCTTAATGGTAGAGGTAATATTTTAACAATAAGTGAAACAGTAATTACTTTCAAAAAGAATATACATTTTGAAAAGGGATTTTGGGGATGGTGTCTACTAGAACATTCTTTTACAGCTGAAGCAATGTAAGTAAATCTGCCATCTTTAAAAACACTTTTCATATTCTGATAGCTAAAAAATTTAAATACAAAATTTTCTGACATGCCAAAAATATTACAGTATGTTTGAAGTACATTTGTCAAAAACAAACTAGCCAATCCTTTGATTACTTTGTAAGAACTACTAACATTAAGATGGAAATTGAAATTTATAAGTAAAATTTCAAAATCATCTTTGTATAAATTGGTGAGTAGGACTGAAAACAGAGTATTATGATGTTTTCAGTGCAGACAAATATATATTTCTTCCATTTAGTTCTGCCTCTGATTGTAAGGAGTCTTTAACTATGACAAGCACTAAATCTAAGCATTACAATAAACCAAATTACTTGTTTATTTGTTTTGAGACAAGGTCTAGCTCTGTCACCCAGACTGGAGTACAGTGGCGTGATCCTGGCTCACTGCAACCTCCACCTTCTGGACTCAAGCGATCCTCCTACCTCAGCCTCCCTATAGCTGGGACCACAGACGCACATCACCACACCTGGCTAATTTTTGTATTCTTTGTAGAGACCAGGTTTTGCCATGTTGCCCAGGCTGGTCTTGAACTCCTGAGCTCAAGTGATCCATCCACCTCAGTCTCCCAAAGTGCTGGGATTTCAGGATTGAGCCACCATACCCAGCCAAACCAAACTTCTAAACAGGTCTTTTAATTGCTGCAACTAAAAGTTTTAAACCAAGATTTTCAAAAATATAAGTTTTGGTCATTCAAAATAAAATAAAGATGGAAGGAGCCTGGTATTATAAACTCACAGTAATATGTTATGTCAATAGAAATTAACTATTAGTATATTAAGGCATTGAGATTTTGGTGTTTGGTTACAGTAGCTATTCCACCTTGCTAAGTACAGAAATTGGTACTTTGACATGTGCTACTATAATCACAATATCCAAAAATAAGTGGCATTAATTTAGTGGCTGGCCAACAGAAAGTGAGGCTATGATAGAGCAGCCTGGCTGTTTGGAGAGTTCTGCTGTGTCTCAGCAGGTTTTCAGTAAAGCTGTCATGGGAGAGCTTGGAAAGCAGACCACACATCTACTGAATCTGTGGCTCTAGGGCAAGTAGTTGGAACTGTCAGAGGGTTAGTGAGTTGGCCAGAACTTAAGCAAGAAAGATATGCACTCAGGTGAGCTCGAGCTGATTTCCAAGCAGAGAATGGACAGAAGAAAGTTCAGAGATCAAGGGCCTTACATGGTTGAAAAGTTGATAGCTTTTGGACCCCAAATAAAAAATGGTCCTGAGTGACAAAGAGCCGGTGAGATTTCTCAAACAACTCAGCCCTTCAGTAAACATCAGATTAAGAGAGATACTTTTCCACTGTAGCATATTGTTTCAGATAGCCTCAAGGTACCTGCCATCAAGCTGAAGAAGAAACAGGACTAGGAAACAAAGAGTAAGGAGAGTTGAATAACTACATCTAATAAAAACCTTGGCACATGGAATTAACTGGAAGCAAATAGATCAGAAGCTTACTAAGAAATTTTTGAAGAAATTGTAGTGCCAAAGAAATCATGTGTTAGGCTAAAAAGGCCTTAAAAATAACCCATGGGAAGGAAGAGAGATATGAAAGCTGTGCAAGCCCCAAGAAGATAATATTCCCCAACAATTATTTCAGATATTGCCATGGAGGGCAGTAATGGTTAAGAAAGAAACTGAGAGACAGTAGCCAAGAGCCATGGGAAGAAGAATCATGAACAGACAAGAAACTACCTCACATTTTGGGTAGTTGCAGTGCCTACACAGAAGGATTTAATAATTTCTATGGGTCATTGACTGCTCTGTGTATCCTATTCTTCCTTTTTCTGAATGGAAGCTTTTATTACAGTTATGCCAGGGAGACAACATAGATCACCCAATCGAGGTCTGGCTAAATAATTTGCAGTTCAAATTGAAAATGTAAGAACTCTAGTTCAAAGAAGCAAAGAAAATGTGCCATTAAAAGTACTAAAATATAAAACTTTCTCTTATCTTCTGTTGTATGTTTTGAGTGGTAATGGTGTTTTATATTTGTTACTTATTGCCATTCTAAATCAGGGAAAATCTGATTTTAATGTTCATCTTTATCTTGTGCAATGCCAGTTTTAAATACAAACACAATAGCACTAACTTGCATGTAGAATTACTGAACTTATACAATTTGTATTTCTTGAGCTTATACATGCCTACACATTTTGTTTTTCCCGGAACAGTGGAGATGCTGCACACAACTAATTTGGCTATTTTCATTTTGCTTCACAATGTGTGCATAGTCTAGCAATGCTCTCTACCTTTGGCTTACGTTATTCCTTCCTAAGGCAGGAATAAAAGGAGAAGGAACTATGATTGCTCTATCATTCCCTTTCTTTCCATGACATCATTTTAGTGTAAATGGTTGGCAAATACAGGGAAATATAGCAAAAGATTATTTGGACTTTTGTGCTTCTTAGAATGCTACTGCCTTCTTTTTGTGTCTGAAGCATGTTTTCGTCCCAATGGAAAAATGTGGTTTCTCGAAGCTGTCAGTGTCCTGCTCACTCAGTCGTAGAAGTCACATGGCTACCTTGTACTCCTTTTTTTTTTTTTGAGACAGGGCAGTGGCATGATCACAGCTCACTGCAACTGCCACCTTCCTGGTTCAAGCAATCCTCCCACCTCAGCCTCCCAAGTAGCTGGGACTACAGGCGCACACCACCACCCCTGGCTAATTTTTGAATTTTTTTTTTGTAGAGATGGGGTTTCACCATGTTACCCAAACTGGTCTCAAACTCCTGAGCTCAAATGATCCTCCTATCTCCACCTCCCAAAGTGCTGGGATGACAGGCATGAGTGACCGTGGTTTTCATTTGCTAAACTCCCTAGCATCATAGGTCTACTGGAATTCTGTGCTCATGGGACATTAAAAATGCTAATATATGAATGGGACAGCAAGGAACAGCGGACATACTTATTGCAGATATCTTTTCTCACATGCATACTCCGTTATCCCATCAGATTTGATTAAAAAAAAAATGAAAAACAAAAAACAAACAAAAAACCCCACAAGCTTAAAGATAAAATTATTGGCCAGGCACGGTGGCTCACACCTGTAATCCTGGCACTTTGGGAGGCCAAGACAGGTGGATCACCTGAGGTCAGGAGTTCGTGACCAGCCTGACCAATATGGTGAAACCCCGTCTCTACTAAAATTACAAAAATTAGCCAGGCATGGTGGCAAGCGCCTGTAGTCCCAGCTATTCAGAAGCACAGGCAGGAGAAATTTGGAACCTGGGAGGTGGAGGTTGCAGTGAGCTGAGATCCGTGCCACTGCACTCCATCCTGGGTGACAGAACGAGACTCCATCTCAAAAAAAAAAAAAAGATAAAATTATTAGTAATTTCAAGACATTGATAACAGAGCATTAAACCAATTCCAAGGACCCACCTAAGTAGGCCCACCTGATGATTTCACTTGGGTTGAGGATAAGTAAATTCTTTGTGTGGACAAAAGAGTAAAACGGATGTTTTAGGTGAATAAAAAGATTAAGACTTTTGACTCACCAAAACCTATTTCTTTTTTTCCTTCAGAGCACACACACCTATTTGCCAGTCCCCCTGACCCTTCTCTTACTGTTAGGTATGCCATGTGACTGATGCACGGCAGTTCCGTGCTGGACCCCTAGAAACTCCCCCTATGATTCTCTGCTCCCTTCCCTCCTTTGTCTGACAAGTTTATGCAGAGGGGCCAGGGGAGGATTCAAATCTTCCGAAGAGACGATTGATCAACAGTTCAGAAAGGTCCTGAATCTCTCTAAAAGCTTTGGGCACTATATTAAGAGATTTAGGGGCTTATTTGTAACAAATACTAGTTCTCTCCTTACTAGAAGAAACCCCCACCCTCCTAATATGTGATTTGCAACTCAGGAACTTATCACTGAGGGCTTAACTGGCAACAAGGCAAATCAGATTAAGGATGTCAGCTAACCTTGGAAACTGGACAGACATATGAGGTAATTCAGGAGTGTAAAGGAGATTTTGGTGGTGAGAATCACTTGGTGCAGGGGGTGTCACTGGTTGATAACAAAACCTGGGAATGGGGCTAACCCTGGATATATGTGTTAAGTAGCTGTAGTTTTAAATTTGGTGGGCCACAGAGCTGTGGGTGGAGGGTGAGGTAAAGAATATTTTTTAACCAATGTTATATTCTCCAAGTGGCCTTAGCATCCTCCATAGCATCCTCCACCCCATTGCTTTATTCCTTTTCATGTCATATTTGATCCATGACACATAATACACATTGTGATTGTACATGCATTTGTTGAATTAATTATTCATTTTCTGTTTAACCCAGTTTAATGTGTTTCATAAGGTTAACTTCGTCAGTTTTATTCAATCCCTGTGTCTAATAGAGTGTTTATCACTGAATGACCAAATAAATTAAAAAAAAAAACTGGCCCTCCGTATTTATGGGTTCCATATCTGTGGGTTCTGCATCTGTGCGTTCAACCAAACATGGATTGAAAATATTCAAAAAAAATAGAATGTTTGTGTCTATAATGAACATGTACAGACACTTTTGTTGTTGTCATTATTCCTTAAACAATTATTTACATAGAATTTACATTGTATTAGATTTTTTTTAGTAATGTAGAGATAATTTAATGTATCTGGGATGATATGCACAAGTTACATTCAACTACTACAACATTCTATATCAGGGACTTGACCATCGATGAATTTTGGTATTCCTGGGGAGGTCCTAGAATACCAGGATACTGAGGGACACCTGTATATGAATATATGCACATACTACGCTCACCCATTGGGACGTTTACTAATTTAGACTGTTGTCAATTGATTCCTGTCTTGTCCCTTGCTACCACGGTGAATGGATACTCTACTTCTGAGCTCAATTTTCCTTGACTGGGGCCCTGATTCCTGCAACTGGACTTTCCAACACTGAACACCCCACTGCTTAGATCTCTTTCATTTGCCTGCCATTTTGACCATTGCACAACACCTGCCCCACCTCTCCTTAGATAGATCACCTGGGCTTTCTTCCCTTGATTTGGATGGTTTGTCCTTGTTCCTCATGCTGATCCTCTCATTTCTGACCTTTCTTGAGACTCACAATTCCGTGTGTTTGTTACCTCTATCACCGATATTGGCTTCATACTCAGGTCCAAGATCACATATCCAATTGCTGCCATTCTGAATGCAAGTAAACCCAGTCAACATCTGCCTCTGAGTTCTGTATCTCCAGTTGTTCTTAGTATTCAACACAAAAGAGCTTACTTAGGCCCAGCTAACCAACTCTCCTGAACTAATTGTGGTTCATATCAAACATGTACACTTTTAAAAATAAAATGAAACAATTTAAAGGAATAAGGATTTAATTAAAAATATTTTGGTAGTGCTGGAAAAAAAATAGTGACAGGAATAATTAGACATTAATCTCAAAGAAAGGCTTAGGAGGTCAGATATTGTGTCTATACTACTGTTATTTCACACATGACCCCCAATACAAGTACTCAATAAATACTTCTTTATGGATTGCTTGACTATTGTATCTAAAAATTCATAATTTTAACAAATACTGATGTAGTAGAACATGCTACAAAGTCTATTCCTAGTTCCGGTGCTTTTTACCAGCCTTGGCTGTCTGGCTATCCAAATGATTATGTTCTCAGGTCTTTCACAGCCACATTTCATCACACTAGTGACACTACTAAAGTGGTTGAGTGAATGTAGTGCCTGTTCATAAAATCATTTCAAGTAAAGGGCTTCAAGATTTTTCCAGATGTTATTCAAATCGATATAATTATTTACAGTAGGACATAAAACACCAAGGTCTCACACATTTTTTTTCCCTTAGTGAACTAAGCAAAGCCATGTGACAGGGCATTAAGGTACAATAAAATTGGTCACTTCAAAATTTGTTTCCTCAAGCATTCTAATTTTTCTCTAAATTGTGGATAACAGGAATTGACAGTCACATGAACTTTAAGGGAATTAAACACAATAGGCTAAAGCTTTGGTGCCTTGTAATGAATGGGCCACACACAGTGGGTGCAGATCACTAAGAAGTTATTATGTATCTGTTTTGAGATAACCACTTTGCTGCTGCTAATGTTCTCTAACTTTTTATTACATTTTCAAAGCAAGTAAGCCAAACTGGTTGCCATGGAAATGATTATGATGTCACAGAGGATGATGACTTCTCCTAATCTATAAGCAGCAAGAGCAGATGTGCTTGTAAGAAACAAAGATCTTGTTTTCATACAAATGCGCTCAAAATAAAACACAAAGGAAGAAAAATACCCAGAGCACATAATGCAAAGAACAAGAATTGCTTCTAAATAGAATGTTTTACAAAGTTTTCCATAAAGCCTCAGCTGCTCCTCAAGCCACAACCGGCTTGAACATGGATGGCAGACATGAAATTACAGTATTCACAAAATTAGTATTCAGTTTGCAGAATCTCTCTTTCCAAAGCCTTCAGGCATACTTTATGCATGCACAATTACAGAAGCAGGTAATGAGAGAGATTCTGATTTCTTCCTATTGTAGTTATTGTACTTAGCTAGATAAGTCTTGATAAAAAATTGCTTTGTTAAAAAGAAATCTAAGCAATAATTTATTAATTCTATTGAAAATATCTTTTGGCTCTTAGTACAAGATATACTGGATGATTTCTCTAAAACACACATTACTGTGTCCATGGAGACGGGTGGTGACATATCAACTTTTAGTAACGCATCAAAAAGTTCCATAACAATTAATAATCTGCAAGCTACACTAATTTTTTTTATAATTTTATTATTTCATATCACAATTAATTTCACTTCAATTATTAGAGATTTTAAAAAAGGACATTCACAGTTTATGACTATGACCTCCTGAAATACATAGATATGATAAACAATATATCAAATGAATGGGTTGTGTCAAAATATATTACAATGTTTTCATTACATCACATTGAATTTAATCTTATATGCCTTCTAGGTCATTGAGACTCTCCTAAATTAATTCTTTAGATTCTCAAATATTTCTCACAGTAACTTCAACTATTCTTAGAATTAATCAAAGTTTAAATGACAAAAATGAATGACTTATAATAAAATTCTCACTCCCTGCAATGAAAAATAAACTTCCATCCAGTTTGCAACATGGATTTGCAAATAAGAATTTTAAGTTCTGCTATAACTAAATGAGAGATTTGAACTGAGTGAAAATGAGATAAGTTAACTATTTTGATGGCTCCTAAGATCCTGCTCCTAAAGAAATCTACCACCAAATAACCTTTTACATGAAAACATTAAACATTAAGACCAAGATACATTGTGCTACAATTCTGCGTTACTGTTAAGTGTATGTATGTCCAATTTTACATTCAATTTACTGTCAAAATTAATTTTTTATTTAGAAATAAAAAATATTATGAGAATTATATGATAGAAAAACAAGTAAAAATAAACAAGAAAAAAGTAAAAGTTCACTATGTTCTGTAGCCTGAGTTAAAAGAAATTGAGAATAAGTTAACAGGTGTTTCTGAATGCTAGACTTTAATCCTAGTTTTAGTTCTGCTATCATATTGAAGTCATATACTATTTTAAGACATAAGCTCACTTTTTTTAAAGTACATAGTATGAAGATAGTACTCTAAATGAACACCAGTGTTTGAGTTGTATATTAGGAACTGAAAGACTATGATAATATAAATTCTGAAAAGAGGCTAAAAACACTTGACAGCCTTTTTATAAACACTGAAAAGATTTAAGAGACACCAAAGAGATGTTTGTTTAAGAACTACAGAAGACCATAATAGCTTGGTCAATTTAGACAAAGTGCAAAGGCCTAAATTTAAAAAGAACGTCGGTATTTGAATTTAGAAAAAGAGAAAGGAAACTGCATTGAAAGTGCTTTTTAATGAATGAATGATTAGACAGCAGTGGAATATTTTATAACACTTTATTGATGAAGGGTTTTATCTCTATGATAATTTTTATTACAAATATAGTACCAAATCTGTTTAAAGCACTGTATTAAGAAATAAGAGCACTATAAAAACAGTTGACTGAGTCTTTCTCTAAAATTGCTCTAACATAGCAGTGTAGATAAGATACACATACAAGAAAAAATATATTTTATTGAGATAAATGATAACATTATTGATGTAGATAGTAGGTGCTAAATAAGTTAACCTAAAGGGAATCACAAAGCATTCATTTATAACATATGGTATCAGCATAGTTCAGGGGCAAAAATAAAAATGTGGTGTAGCAATTTAACAGAATTAAAGCTGTATATAAATAAAGTGTAACAGACTATATTGTCTTTCCATATACATAGGTTTTTGTCTATAGTTTTTTTGAGCATATTTGATCTGATTTCATTTAAAAATGCTTAAGCAAAAATTTTTCATTTTAAAGACTCCCAATGAGGGCAAACAAACAAAAACTAGGCAATTTTTAGTCCTTGGAGGAGAAAACTTAGTTGGCAGGTTGTCCTAAACTTTGCACTCCCTATGTAAGCATAGGTTAGTTCAGCTGATTGTTGCTATGTGAGGTTTTTCTAGGCACTTACATTATACAAATGCTCTAATTTAGAGTTGACCAAGGTCTGGATAGAAAAATTTGAATCTGATATATGTTATTTGGGGTACTACATTTTGAAGAGCAAGCGTAAGAAATAGGCACTCTGATGTGGAAGAAAATATGTTTTTCATTAGTTTGATTTGTTCGTTTAAAAAAATGACATCAGACATTTGGGAAAAGGTTTTTAAATATTGGGAAGGAAATCAATATAAAGTTAAGGTACAAGCCTGAGCAACATAGAGAGACCCCCATCTCTAAAAGAGTTTTTTTAGAAATTAGTCAGATGTGGTGGTGCACATCTGTAGTCCCAGTTACTCGGGAGGCTGAGGTGGGATTATTGCTCAAGCCCAGGAGTTCGAGGCTGCAGTGAACTATATAGTCACAACACTGTACCCCAGCCTGGGCAACAGAGAGCTATCCTGACTCTCTTAAAAAAAAAAAAAGAAAAGAAAAGAAAATTAAGTTACAAAACAATGATCAGCTTTTATGTCACTGCAATAATTAACTGTAATAATTTCAATCACACTAATTTAAGAATGTTCTTTGTAAAACTGCTATTTAGAATATTCATTTGCTTATCAAAGAAATGCAAATAAAACCCTTAGCCATGAATGAGGCATTGCTCTAAGACTTGATTTGATCAACTATAAATATTAACTCATGTAAACCATATTAAAAACAAAACTTAGGTAAGTTTTATTATTTTCATCTACTATTAACAGATGAGAAAACTGAGACTATTAAGAAACTTGTCCAACTGTTAAGTAACAGAGTAAATCATAGGAGCCTGGATTTGACAGCAGGCCTTCTGGATTGAAAGATCTTGATAATTATATAGCCAATGGTACTTTTGCCAGTATCCCCTGGGTCAAATTCCTCTTGGAGTACTGACCTGGAATTTTTTTTTTTTTTTTAATCTGGGCTGATGATTTCACAGCCTTCCCAGACAATATGAGCTATGTAACCAACACTGTGTTTCCTCTTTTATCTGATTACTATGTTTGCAGAAGTAAGTTTTGTGTTCAATTGTGGCTTTTTCATAACCAAGATTTCTTGATATTTTTCTTTCCCCTTTGCATCTTAGTTTCTCTTATTATTTTCTGAATTTACCCTGAATTCGAATTCTTGTAGGAAGTACTGGTGGATAAATCAATCAACCAGCTTCAAAAGTAGCCATAAATCACTCTTAAAAATAACTATTTCATGTTTTCCCATTTATAAATCAAAGGACTAGAGGCTACTATCAATTATTTAAGATAAAACATAGCTAAACTAAAGGTTCACTTGACAGTGATCTTCACTGCTTTTAAAATTTAACGGGGAAAACATATACACATTCGATTATATTTGGCCTTTTCAAAATATTCATTCTCTCCTTCAGTAGCATAGGTCACAAGGCCCACTTCATATAGTAAGATGAGGATAATGGTAATCTCTTGATTTTACCATCCTACATAAAATGATGCCATGTCCTTTTATCTTTCATCAAAGGCATAATTACAGGGTAGAGAATGAAACACTATGATTCCAGATGACTTCTCTCTATCTAGCCTGAGTTCTACCATTAGCTAGCTGGTTAACTTTGAGTAATCATTTAAATTCTATGAGTTAAATATTAGATGAGTAAATATTTTCATTACACAAATCCACTTCTCCTTCCAGCCTGACTCTTTGATCATTCTCTGGTATTATCCCTTCATTTCACATAGGAAGAAACAAGGACAAGAGCAATGAAGTCACCCAATCAGAGTAAAACAGTCAGGTAATGGCAGAGTCAGAATTAGAATAAAGGTCTCCTGTCTTCTAGAATTGTGTTTATTAAGAAATCAAACGTTGCAGATGCATCTCATCCTCCTCTCTTTCACCCTGGAGGTTACTGCTATTCCAAAAGTGGTGTCTTTCTTTTATAATACTTTTACTACATATACATATGTACAAAAACAATACATATTGTTTTCTATGTTTTTAAGTATTAACAATTTATATGAGAATCCTTTAACAATTCACTTATCTTACCCTGTATAATATTTTAGGGATTTTTGTGGTGGTATTTATGTATTTATATATGTATTGATTTATGTAGTACATATATATGTATGTGTGTATATATATGTATTTGTTGTAGTATTTAGTTGCTGTGCAATATTTCAATGAAATGATACACTTCAATTTGTTTATCCATTCTCTTGGCCAGTAGCTTTCAGTCTTCTTTTGACCCTGTAATCCATAGGGAGTAAAAATAGCTTTTACATGGTGAGCCAATTGATAGATAGATAGATATACCTCTGATACAAAAAGTTACCTTTTATTTATCTTTGTTGTGTGTGATAAACGTACTGTATTCGATTCTATTTTGTTTTTAGATGCTGGTTATGACTGACTAAATACACACAGCCTGCTAATGGGTTACAACCAGGCATTTGAAAAATACTGTTCTAGGGGGATAGTTTTCAAACTGCTATAACATTTCCAATACTCTGATATTCCTGCAGAACATAGTGGGAAGCTAGTGGGGGGTGACTCCAGCTTAGAATTTTTTCTGTCAATGAAAGATGGAATTAAATAGGAATATCTTTAGCATGTGGATCATTTAGGTACAGAAAACAAGTTTGAACCATGGTTTTAAGCAGTGAGGCTTATTATGAGGTAATTCTAAAAAAATGTGTGCAGATTTTTAAACAAATGATTCACATTTTGAATTCATGCTGCTAGCTTACTACTTTAAGAATTCCTATGGACAGTCTATTTGGAAACTGGAAAGAATATTTTTTAGAAAGTGAATAAAAATCCCCCGTTTTAATTTATTTGCCACGGTCATTGAAGAATATCCCTAACTCAGAGAAATGGCTTTACCTACATTTCCATAAAGTACATCAATAAGCTTTATGCCTTCATTGCATTACAGTAATATATTATTTGCAGACTAAAATACAAATGACCTCATTGACTTAAAGGTCTCCTGTGATGATGTTGTAATGAAGATTTCTGTGTTTAGTGAGTTGGGATCATTTCGTTTTAAAAAAGGAATCTTCAATTACAATTTGGTTACATGTTATACTGCTCTTTGAAGGTGCATTTTAGCCTATGGTTGTGACTAGAGACATAAGAATATTTTGCTTTTAGCAAGGGTGGTTAATTTCTGCTTCCTTTTTGGCATTGGCATCTGACTTGAGTACTCTAATCCTTTCGTCATCAGCTCTCAGTGTACAATGCTTGGCAAAATCTAGTGACTTCGATGAATAAACCAGTCTTCATATGATCCAGAGGCCTTAAGCTGCCTTGTTTTTTTACCCTGATTTTGAAGCAAGTAATGGAGTTGGCAGAGACAGAGCTGAATCTGCCAAAGCTCAGAATAAAGAACACTCAAAACATAAGTGCAAAAGAAAGCAAATAGTAGGAGGTTATCATCTCAATTAGGAGTCATTGTACGGCAGTGATCTGGAGGAACTTGGACTCTGGTAAACGTTTATAAAGTTTTCTTACCTGTATCTGTCAGTTTGCAGTACAATAACTGCTGCAATCACTTGCAACAATGCAAAGATATAAATAATAGTAGGCATATTTCACCTATGAAGGCTTGATTGTCCACTTGACTCCAGATGGAAAGAATGAGAAAGTTGACACAAAGATTGAAATGGAAGATGGGAGCTAAAGCTGAGGTTAACCCCTTTCTTCTGCACTTTCAATTACAACACTGCTTAGAACCTCCTTTCTCCTGAATCAATATCTCACTGCTCAATATGCTCTCAAAGCTTTTTCATTATGGCCCCTGGAACTCCTCTTTTAAGAAAAAAAAAACCAAAAACAAACAGGTAAATCCATCTATAGCCTCCTACCTCTTTAAAAAAAAACCATTGCCTAGGCTGGGTGCGGTGGCTCATGTCTGTAATCCCAGCACTTTGGGAGGCCGAGGAAGGTGGATCACTTGAGGTCAGGAGTTCAAGACCAGCCTGGCCAACATGGTGAAACCCTGTCACCACAAAAATTACAAAAATTAACTGGGATTACATGCCTGTAATCCCAGTTACTCAGGAGGCTAAGACAGGAGAATCGCTTGAACCCTGAAGGCGGAGGTTGCAGTGAGCCAAGATTGCGCCACTGCACTCCACCCTGGGTGGCAAAGTGAGACTCTGTCTCAAAAACAAAAACAACAAACATAAAAACAACATTGCCTAAATGAAAAAGGTCTTCTTTGAGGTCATTACTCCTTCTCATCTAGGATGAATATGTAATGTCACATAGAAACCAAGACACTTAAGAATAAAAGGGGGTACTATTAATAATGATGCCAGGACCACAGGTGTAAACTGAGACAGTTCTTGGCAAACCAGCTCATATGGTCAACTTACCCATAGTCCTCTCAAGTGAAGGCTTTTCATTTTCTACTGATTCACCTTGCTCAAGTTTAGACTAAGGAGTCAGCATCCCCTATGTAGTCCAAAGACATTTTCAGAACATATACACTTTCATGTAAAATCCCGGTTCCTCTGATGTTCATGCTTTCCAGCTACCACCTCACAATTCTTCCTCCTCGCTTTTATTTATCAGTTTTCCAGGGATTCATTCTTCATAGACTTTTGCACCTAGTTCAGTATTTCCCTCTCTTCCCCAAGAGCTACATCTCCCGATTATCCTTTCATGTTTCTGATATTCCACCCCCTAGAGGCCATGACTTCTCAACCTCCATTCCGGATTCTGGCACCTTGTTCTCCATCAGAAATTTCTGTTCACAATCTTCTATACCTTCCTATCTCTCACTATTCCCTCTTATGCAAATTATTTAACCTCACTGGGACCCAATTGAGGTCTCTGTACCCCTCTACTTCTATCTGTCAGTACCCTCTCTGTTTTGTATAGCTTACTTGATGATCCATTACTCCAATCCATTTCTTTAAGTCAAGCTCAACTTCTTTGATTCAATGTCTTCCAGCTCCGCAGCCAGTGGAATTTTTTACACTGGATCAATCCTGTGGTTCATTCTTTTCAAGATTCTATCTGGGCTGTGAGCCCAGTTACAGTTATAGCATTGAGCTTATTGATGGTTTATTTGTGGTCACCAGCCTCAACTGGGTCCTCTATTCGGCTTGCCTATTTTTCTACATTTTTTTTCAGTTAGCCTCTCTCTATTTTTATAAAAGCAACTATTTCAAACTTATTCACTCTTCTTACATTTTCAATCCAGTGGCTTTTCAACCTTAATAAATAACATTGATACCTTCTTCATATCTTTCCTAAACTTCCCACCATGACAACGCACAAAATTACTTACATCTTCAACCTTCCTTTCTTACTTATCCTAAGCACATGAGGTATGTCCTCTTCTAGCTGAAGCTACTCCTGCCAGTTGCGCAATAGATTCTTTTCTTTCCTATTCCCTCAGGGACCCCACTTTACCAATTTTCTCATTAGCACTGAGATATGTCAAGGTCTTACTTAAAAGACAAAAGAAAACAAACAAGAAACTTCCCTCAATCCCACATCTTCCTGTAGCTACTAGCTTCTACCTCTCCTTTTACAGCAAAACTTCTTGAAATTACCATCTATACTGACAGCCTCCATTCCCTCACTTATTCTTTTCTCAACAACTCTGCTGTCATTATTACAGGCAGAATTTGATGGTGTTAATCTCTCCTTTTCTCATTCTTAGATCTTTTGGGTTTCCTCTCAGATCTCTGCGGGGCTCCATTGAGTCAGGCTGTTTCAAAAATACTGCTGTCCCTCATGAATCAACTTAAGAAGGCTGTCTTGCTTATGAATCCACTGACATTCTAAAGCAGGTAGAAGGATGGTGGCCATATTCTCGAGGGTCAGGAGAGAAGTCTGGCCAGGTGACAGGGACAGTGCCGAATGGCATGACCTTAGTGAGCTCCACTTTCAAGAGACTGGCTATTAGCCTTCAACTCAAGTTTACAGATGCAGTACTGTACTGTTCTTAGAAAGGAAAACCATGCATTTCTAAACTCATAAGAAATAGGTGGAAAAAAACCAGAAATATCATTTGTTTTTAAATAAAAATATAATGATCATGTATATTCCCTTCACATAGGAAAATCACATGGAGAGTGAAAATATCAGAAAGTCGCTAATGTTGGGCTTAGAACTGATCAAAGAGTTTTGTGTACGATAGACTGCCTAATGGTACCAGGCCTGACAGCCTGCAGTGTCCCCCTCACATCAAGAATGACCTCTGAAGGCAATATTTCCAAAGACTTGCGGGTAAGGTACTCCTCTGTCTTCCATATTACGTTGTGAAGGAACATCATTCCTTCCTTTTTAAATATTCAACCAGTCTGATGCCAAACATTCATCTAACATAAATATGGGAAAATGTTAAACAATATATTTTGAACATACCAGATACCATATTCATTTTATTTGTTGGCTACTACCTGATGTTTTAGGAAGCTCTTCTGGGTTAGGTTATTCAAAATACCCTTAAGCAGAGTTCCCCTAAAATCACTGATTGGCTTTTCAAGTAAATAGTGTCTTTGTTATCAAATAAAAGCATTATTTCTTTTTGTTCTTAGAAAAAATAACCTGTAATGAGAGAGCAAATATGTAACTTCTACACGCATGGGATAGGAAATCCTAATTAAAATAATATAGTTACGTTTCTCTACTCCAGTATTCACTGTATTTGTAAATTAAAAACAAGAGAAACATTCTAATTTCACAAGCTTCATGTATAAACCCTAGCAAAATGTTCAACTTGACTTTTACTATAAACTGAGAGCTGTTCTCCACTGGAAAAAAAATCTGTTTCCTGAGAAATATCGTTTAAGAAGCCGTAACCATTTACAATTACAGTGTTTATCACAGAAAGCCATGCACTCATTATTTACACATGTAGGTGAAGTATGTCTACAAAAGGCAGCCGTATGATCCATCTGTTTCTGGGAGTAATAAATCTGAAATGGTCCCCTTTGAAATAAAATGTGCAAATATGCTTGGTGACCCAGACTTTAAAGTTATGTTCTTATCTGGATCTCTGTGTCACCATTGATTGTTACTCAACTCTTCATAGGGTGACTTTCTTTCAATTCACTCTCAGTGATTCTCTCATGTCATTCACTTATTGAGAAGAGCTCTAGATATTAATAAACATCTGATATTAACATACTAAATGCCAAATAGGTAATGTTTCACACATAGATAAGTTCTGGGTTTGGTAAAAAGTTCTATGTTGATACCACATTCAATTAACCTTCTTAAAACACCCTGGACATTCAGTATGCTTTCAAGAGATACAACAGTGGACTGCGTATTACTCATAAGGCTGGATTTAACTACAGTAAGACGTCTGTATGATTGATGAAAATAATTGGCAATTTAGAGAGACTATAGTATGATGGTTATGAATATGGGCTTTCTAGAACTTAAAATATGTGTTTGACACTGTCTAGCTCTGAAACTGTGGGACCAGGGACAAGTTAATACTGTCTCCAAGCTTTCTTCATGTGAAAAATGGGGTAGTATTACCTCTCTTAAAATGACAGTGGGTGTTAAATGAGATAATGCATGTAACATGCTTACCATGGTATCTGGCACGAAATAAATGGATATAATTATAAAAATGATATATGTGACTTTCCTAGTCCCACTGATACTCTAACTTCATTGAAATCAGTTATATCATCAATTTAAAATGCTATAGATTCTTCGTATGGATTTATTTCTCAATAATAGTACACTTCAAAAGTACAGTCTTCCAATGTGGCCATTTCTGCAATATAGTTTACAGGACTTAGAGTGATATTCTTAGTCTACTGAGTGGGACTTTCCCAGGTGTCTAGTACCTCACCATGACGTCAGGTTTTAAATACTTTTGTGAAGCTTTGGCACAGCTGCTGGGGGAGATACACTGATGGTGTTACTCTCTCCTTTATCATGTCTTACGACAGTTCAGAATGCCACACTAAGTTCTATATTAAGCTAACCTTTTTCTAAACCACAGTCATGAAAATTGGGGGAGATGACATTTGACTTTACTACTTGTAAATGACCTTTCTTTGATTCAATTCCCTTTTCCATAGCTCACGCCCTCTTTCAGAGTTATAAAACAGAAAATGGCTCCCCAGTTCTATCCCTATATGGTTCTCAATTCCCTAGGTTGTAACCATCTGGCTATAAAAATGGGGAAGGTGAATTCTCTGGATTATTTCCTTTACTATCTGTTGGTAATGTGTTCCTCTATTTTTTTTTTTTTTCAGCTTAACAGGATTGTTAAGCAAGTGATTAGACTTTGCTTTACTGTGAAAGAATTTTGGTTTATAAAGAGTTGAAGCTTCTCACAAACACTGGGTATGTACTTCCACAAGCTTTTCACAGGATTAAAAAGACAGTATCATACTGCTATTGGCACTGGTTTAACCACCAAATGTTTCCCTTGAGATGCAACCTGTCATCACTCTGCTTTAGAGTATGGATCTCTCTTGCAGAATCCAACCTTTGATATCACAGATCGTTAGGTTAATCTGTCCTATTTTCACCTCCCAATTCCAAAGTCAAATGATTATGTTTGGTTTTCCTGCTGGTCCCCAGCAAAATAAGTTTCTTTTTAATCTCTTGCATGTAGCTGCGGAAAAATATTCCAAATAATGAGTTTTTTTTTTGTCCTGTATCTAAATTAATGCTCACCAGGCGTCTTCTCCTTTGTTACCCTCTTTTGGTAAGTTATTTCTTTACAAAGTTGAATCATATCTTTTTCATTTCTTGAATTAACACTTCATTGAGGATTCCAATAACTTCCCTGTACTTTTTGTGCTCTAAAATTTTAGGGTTTCTTCTCAATCCTTTTTAGAGTTGACTTTGAGCATCACCACTTGACCCAGTTCAAAATTCCCTTGTTTTTGCATTAATGGAACTCATTTTATCAAATGCTGAACAAATCTGCATTTTAAAAGCAATTATGGTGGGTTTTAATGACATCTTTAAAAATGTGTGCTTTCATTTTTTTCAGGAACCTCTCTGGTCCTCACCCCACTGGTTTAACTCCCGTAATTTATCATTCTCATTTGGGATAGAGTTAGCTTATCACCTGCTCTACAGCAAAACACTCTCTCTGGAAGAAATCTGATAGTATTCTATCAACGTGTGAATTTAAGTCATAATGTTACCTTTTTTAGGGACATGAGTATTTGCATAAGAGCCTTATCTCTAATTGCAAAGTGACACTCTTAAGACTGTTAAAAGAAACTATTGTTCAAGGTAGATGGAATTAGAAGACCCTCAGCATGTGGGACTTATATGCCAGCTGAATAGACCCCAGACTATCAGTGCACTCAGGGAAGTAAAGTTTGACAGTATTTATATGCTTTACTTATGAACTGGATTTGGTATCTTAGAATATTTTCTTTGAAAAGGTAGTTCCATTTTTGGCTTTCTTGCTTCTTCATAGTGCCAATCTAGGTCAACAGGAGTAAGTGAGACCATTGTTCCATATCCCGCTTAAAAAGAGAACACTACTTCAAAGACAAGAACAACATCACCTGACAAAAATAAAAGAAGTTATCGGTTTTAAAACATTGTGCTTATGTGTGCCTGTTATTCTTAACTTTTTCAGGGATTCAAGTTATTTTAGGGTACCTATTCTGGTTGATTATATATCTAGCACAATAAAGCCATTTAAATAAAAAAATATAGAATTCATTTCCAAAAATTTCTTCTTTGATTTTAGGAAAGAATTATAATTTTCCAAATTGTCCCCTCCCACCTTCTGCTAAAAAGACCCCCAAAACTTAAAAACGTACAATTAATTCCTTGAGCAAACAAAAGGGGATTTTACCCAAATTCCTTTAAAGGGTACTTAGGGCTTTTAAATCTAAAATAGATAAAACAAACTACCCAAAGAAAACAAAACCAATACTCCACAATGTACCTTTTAGCTATATTGCCTTGTAAAATTTTTCTTTTGCTGATTACACTTAGTGATTACAAAATTAAACCTGCTGCATTTCTTGATAGTCACCCTGGTTCATGAATTGTCAGGTGGTAACAGGAAATAATTCATTTTTGAAACAGAGGCATTACATAAATGTATTTTATTCCAAATTGCATTTTATATACAATGTTAGCCACTTTTCATATTTATATTTGCAAAATTAATATATAAATGTTAAAAATATATATTTATATATAATTTTATTTTTAATTTATGTAACATTTTATTTTATATACATTTTGTAAATATAACTGTTATCTACCAAGAGGTTCAGATCCTTTGTGTGGCTTGTAAGCCAGAGCTGACCTGTTAAAGATATTTGTAATATGACTTATGAGCCAAGATCTGACCAAATTCTTTATGAAATCAGCATGTATCTTGGAAATGGGACCCTTTTCGTCCTTTGAAAATAGAGTTTAATACATGAAAGCCAGCTGAGTACATCATTTCCTCCATATTCATTCATTTAATAAATGTTTATTGAGTACCAACTTGTACCAAATACTATTCTACTTCTGAGAAAACAATGTTATGAAGGAAATATTCAAGGTGCTACAATAGAAGTTGGTGCAGGAAAATGTTTGGGTAGGATGGGACAGAAAGGATGAGAAAGAACCAGCTACGTGAAAAATGGTAAGGGCTGAGGGGTCTGTTTCCTCCCCACCCTGCCACTTCTTCCCTAAAGTAAAAACTTAACTCTCCAAACTGGATACAGTGGCCAAAGAACATGGTACTCCACTTCCCTAGTGGTATATTTTAATGTACAGTATAGTTATATAAGTACCTTAAAAAAATGTGTACAGTCTATGTCTTCTGGCAAAGGACAGAAATAAATGCACCCTCTAACTATCAAAATACTACCCAGAGAGGCCAGGCGCAATTGCTCACGCCTGTAATCCCAGCACTTTGGGAGACCCAGCACTTTGGGAGATCACCTGAGGTCAGGAGTTCGAGGCCACCCTGGCCAGCATGGTGAAACCCTGTCTCTACTAAAAAATACAAAAATTAGCCAGGTGTGGTGGTGGGCGCCTGTGATCCCAGCTACTCAGAAGGCTGAGGCAGGAGAATCGCATGAACCCAGGAAGCAGAGATTGTAGTGAGCCGAGACGGCGCCACTGCACTCCAGCCTGGGTGACAGAGTGAGACTCTGTCTCAACAAAAACAAAACCAAAACGAACAAACAAACAAAACTACCCAGAGAAATTCTGAACAAAGTGAATTACAGTTTATGCAAGGGTTCTTTCCCATGAGTGGATTGCATTGTGAATCTTAGGACTATAGACTCCACAGGCATGAAATAAAACCCCCAATCTTGGTATGAAAACATAATCTTGATTTCTCTGGATGAGTTAGATACACCATAACCTGCAAATAAGAAAGGAATGTAGGATGTTAAAAAGAGGGAAACATTTGCCAAGATGGTCCAATTCTCCCAGGTGGTCATGAGATCTTTGTTATTCTAAAATCTGGGATCCATTCAGGGGGAGGCAGGGTGACAGAATGTAGTGTCTGAAGCCTTAGCCACTAGAGGGAGAAAGTGTGCCTCTGGTGACTAGGCAGCCAGTGAAAGTTAACTCTTGAAAAGGACCAGCTTCAAGGAAGCTAAATTAAGCTTCAATAAACCAGGGGCAAGGACTACATCAACTTGGTAACTGTGAGGATGTATCTTTAAGATTTCACAATGGATCCTCTTCTACCAAATAATTACATTGTGTAAACTATCAGACATTTCATCTTAATTTCGATTATCTTTATTTCATATTTTCAAGGATCTCTGTAACAGTACAGATACCTAAACACTTAGGTTCAGTTTTTAGGAAGGACTTATGACAATTTCGAGAACTTATGTTATCCTTTACATATTGTGCATTTACATATTATAAACGACATACAGATTTTTTGAGGTAATTTAAGACTAAAATATTTGCTCTCTGTTGGGATGATTAGAGTGACTTACTGGTTCTCTACTCAGACTTTCCCAAATACGACTTTAGGAAAACTAATTTTAGCAACTAAGTGTTTAAAAATCTGCCTTATCAATATATAACTCACAGGAACTGCAATTTTTCTTAAAATCATCATAATGTTATTGCAAGCCTGAGCCCAAATAATTTCTCTCCAACGAAAATTTGTTAATCTTGTTTGCTGTACCACACTATCTACCATTTTCTATAGTTAAACAAAAAGAGACTATCGTTACAATTGTTTAATAATACATTGTATAGGAAAAAAAACTTTCAAGAAGTAATTCATTATAAAAGCTACAGTATCACACAAGTTATATGGTATCCATTACTTCGTTTGTGTCGATGTGAATTAATTCCTTCCCTATATCAAAATGTAAAGAAAAGACACTATCCAAAATTACCTACAGAGTGGTGCTTAAGGTACTGTTGATGACTTAATTTCCAATATATCTTTTTTTCTCAGCAGAAAAAAAAAACCTCAACAACTATTTCTGGGATTCTTCAAAGGAGTAAGAGTACGGTGCCTGTTCCGACTCTTCTAGCATTGATTTTCTTCACAATCTGTGATATGGTTTCTCAGGAACACCGTTTGGCAGTCCTGATAATTTCATGTGTTTTCAAATTTCAGCCATCCAGACTACACAGTTCACTATTTTCAGCTCCTTTCATTTTCCTTTTCCCTTTAATTATAGAAGTCTCTATTCCCTCTTTTCGCAAATGTGGTCAGGAAAGATACTAAATGCTACTATTTGTAGAAAGAATATGCATTTGTTTTTCTCTTGACGGTTCACTTAAGTTCTTTCCAAATAAACAAGCTGTGGTTGATAGTGATAGGTAACACTTCAAGGGTAGCAACTTTTTGTACTCATCCGTTCCTTTGACTTTGGAAGACGTGGCACATGCCCCGGGGGAGAAAAAGCAAGTCAACACTTTAGTTTTTAAACTTGCACTGTTAAAGCACTTTCAAAATAGTAATAGTTGAGCTTCATCTCAGACATGAATGTCTTTCTCAGTCTATTCCCCAGGACCCCTCTTATCCCGCTTCAGGTCCCGGTCAATGCGGTGCGCTTTCCGAAATGGGGCCGCAGAGTTGCCGGCGGAGACCAGTAGGTGGGAGGCTCCACGCACACTCCCCGACTCGGCCGGGACGCGGCTCCCGGACTCCGCGCAGGGCGCCAAGATCGCCGCCCCGCTCCCTTCCCCCGGCCTCCCCACCAATCCCAGTTTGAAAGAAAACTTCACGCGGCCGAAATGAACGTCACCTCACCGCTCCAAGCCTCCAGCCGGCAGAAAACGTGAGATTTATTATGACACGGGGAGGGGAGATGGGGGTCGCCGTGGCACACTCGGAAGCGGGTTACCTGGCCCCCGTCGGGGGCGGGGTCCGCAGTCCGGGGACCAACGGGCTGGGGGCGACGCGGCCGGGCGCGCGGGTGGGCGCGAGGGAGTGCGCGCGTCGCGGAGCCTCCGGGGCAGCACTTGTCCTGTAATCGATTGCCGAGCGCGCCGAGCGGCTTAGCGCGCAGACACGCGCACACGCGCCCGCCAGCCCGCGCGCGCGCGCACACGCGCTCTCATACACACACGCACAGGCGCTCGGGCCCCGCACACACGCACGCGCGCGCACGCACGTCCGCTCGCCCGCGCCCGGGGCTCCGCTGCCCGCCGCCAGCCGCCCGCCGCCGCCGCCGCCGCAGCCGCCGCCAGCCCGCCCTCCGCCCGCGGGCGTCTGCGCGAGCCCGGCCGGCGGGGGAGATGTGCTCGGGCTCCACCGGATCGGTTTCTCGGGGTTTGACCAGCTGTCCCGGGCTAACCCTGCTCCTCGCTGAAGATGGAGGAAGTAAAAACAGGATTACCCTTAGCTACAGATCCACTGCCTTAGTTTCCACCACCAACTGCAGTGCACAAACACACGTTAGGCACAGGAAAGAAAGAAAGACAGAGGACACATTAACAGTAAACACAAACAAAAGGGTGATGGGATTATTTTACTGCATGCACTGCTGAGGTAAATCTCCGCTTGGCTTTTGCGTGGTGAAGAACAGCTCTTGTTTTGTCTTCTGATTCATAGATTATATATAAATATGTGTATGATTTGCAAAGGGGGGAGTGTTTTCAAAGTTAAGTGTAATTATATAGCATCTCGTTTTGCACTGTGATGTGATCAAATGACTTGTTGCTGTTAACCAGTAATAATAATAATAATATAGGTATTTTTCTCTGGGAGGGATGGATTGTGGTTCTGATTAGGGTAATGATTTTTGTAAAGGACGCTCAGGGAATCGGGTTGAAGATGATGTCCTCTGCCTTAATTTATCGTCCCCTCCTTGTAATCTGTTTCTGGGATGTTAATCGATTAATCAGTTCTCATCTCTATAGCTGTCATGAATTTGGACTTGTTTTGCTTTGTTTTAACTTGAATTCCAAGAAGAAAGATTGGGTAGGCTGGAATAAATTGAAGCTGTCCAGATAGAAGGTAATATCCAGATCCTGTTGGAATTAAAAAAAAAAAAAAACCAAAAACCCTGGTATGACACATGTAAACAGGCAGCAGTTAAATCACTTTGACAGGTTCTAGTATGGGCGAAAGAGATGGAATTAAGATTTATTTATTTTTTTTCTTTTTTGCCAAGGGCCAAAAACAGTCCTGTGAAGTTGGCCTGGGTTCCTAGCTGGGTTCTGCCTGACTGTCCCTCCCCTCTACCCGCCCCCCCCCCCTTTTCTTTCAGTTTTCTTGTCTTAGCTTTTGGTCGATTCTTAAGGAACCGGTGGATCAAGTTTTTTCTCTTGTTAATCGCATTGCTATAGCACTGACTGACCTCTCTCTCTCTCTTTTTTTTCCTCTTTCCTGAAAGTACGTGGTGCCATTCCTGAGTGACTTTTCCTACTAGACCATCCCTAAGGGACGAGGGGGAGGGGTGGAAGGAGGAGGAGGAGGAGGACGAGGAGGAGGAGGAGGAGGAGGGGGGTGTTCTTCTCTCTCATTTCTTGGTTTTGTTTATCAGCCGATCTGTTTGCTGGATTTGGGCTTGGAATGACCCACCTGTAAAGTGCTTTTCCTTCCTCCTCCCCTTGAACTCTGCAGGGGGCTTGGCTTGGAGGGGGCAAGGGAGGGAAAGAGAGAAGGGGGAAACACAAAAAACTTCTTTCTTTCTCCCTCCGTTTATCTTCAGCCCGACATTGTCACCTCCTCTTTGAGGGGTTAGAAGAAGCTGAGATCTCCCGACAGAGCTGGAAATGGTGATGAATCTTTTTTAATCAAAGGACAATTTCTTTTGTATGTACATTTCGTTTCTCTTTCTCCTTTTTCTTTTTCCTTCTTTCCTTCTCTGAGGGTTAATAACCATTTCATTGATGGGGCAGCCTTCTTTCGCTTCTCCCTGACGTTTCTTTCTTTTTAATATGTGTGTGTTAAATGTGTACATTTTTAAAGAGATAAGCTCATTTGTAAAATATCCGAAGAAACTGCTCCTCTTTTAAACTTTACGGATCTCTTTCTTTAAAGCCTTATGTAATCATAATTTAAAAGAATGTGATAACAGTACAGCAGGTTGAAATTTAAGTGCTATGTAGTGACTGAGTTGGGAATTTGATCTGATTATTCCATAAAGAAAGAAATAAAAGTTTTTTTTTGGGGGGGGGGTAAGGGAGTGTGGTGGTGAAGAAGGGGAGGGGAGGGAGAAGGGAAGTGGTTTTGGAGACAAGAAGTGAAGCTGCCTGTTTTCCAGTAAGTAATGGAGAAATTCCAGGAGCCAGGGCTAAATATACTTGGCGATCAATACAGAAATGGCTCATTGTGAATAATTTAGCTGCTGGTGCAGTGAGAGTTTTGAAACTAAAGGCAAAAAGGACCAAGGCCAAAGGGGGAAAAAAAAGTAAAAATCTTCTCAGGACTTGTCAATTCTTAAACTTTTTTCCCCACAGAATACAGTTAGATTATCGATCTTTTCATTATGTGAATCAAAGCTAGGGGGTGTCATCTCATACAGTTTACTTTTGTTTCTGAGAATTATGTTCTGTTGTGTGGCGTTTGTGCATGAGAATAATTGCCCAAAGTTTTTTTTTTTTTTAAATGATTCTCTCTAGCACAACCAAAGTTTATGAAATTTTCAAAATCAGACTGTATTAAGTAGGCTTGGCATTTGTGTCCAAGCATGGTCTGGCAGGAAATTAAGGTTACATTGAACAGGTGCTTACACAGAACTTGGGGTAGGTTAAAATGTCAATACAAGTCAGGGAGTTGGCCAACTGCTGTAGAAATCTTCAAGACACCGTTGGGCACTAAGTTTTTTGTTTTGTTTTGTTTTCTTATGTTTGTTTGTCCTCCCCCTCCCTATTAGAACATGATGAACCAACTTGCAACAATTGTGAATAGAGCTATCTGTATACTGGGGAAGTCCTCAAACTGCAGTGTGATTGTGGGAAGTAGTGAATGGTAAAACACTTAAATCCCAGTTAAAGCTGACACATTTGAGCTATACCCCCTATTTTTTCTTAAACCCAATAAATTTTGATTAAGAGAGTCATTCCCTTTTTGCTCTAGCCCATCTCACAGCACACTTATCTTTCCTATCCTATCTCCAGCAGGAATCAGATCATTTGCAGAAAGAGTTCAGTGACTTGCAAATGAGCACATACAGTACACTGTGTATGTTTCTGGGCACAGGTGGCAGCAGCAACATGGACTAACTGCTTGGAGCTTCAAATAAGTTAAGAATTTAATGGCAGATACTGAAAGGAATCATTGTATTAAGGGTATAATCTTTTGTTTTGCAGCATTGCACTTTGACTATGGAAACAGAGGCTATTGATGGCTATATAACGTGTAAGTATTAGTTTTCATTGATTTGTTATTGGTAATAAAGTTGCCTTTGTATTACCTGTGTTTTAATTCCTGGATTATGAAACTTTATTGAGAATTCTGTACTCTTTTTTCTCTCTGTTCACAATTTCACCTTTGAATGAGTTTGAGAAAATGACAGCACTGAAGTGAAATAAGAAGGAAATATAGAAACATACTAAGTTAAGTAGTGTACTTAAATCAATAGTAGCTAGCAGTTCAACACTTTCCTACTTTTTATAATTTACTTTGTTGTAAGTTGAGAATAGGCCAGGTTTCATATATGTCTATTAATATGGTGTGTACTAAATATTTACTTCTCTGTAACCTAATTTTTCAGACATATTATGTGAAAGAGAATTAGCTTTCCTAACTTGACATTTCTTTAGCTACCTGTCTTTTCCATCCTCTCTCTGATAGCCAGCATTTTGGAAAATGCTCATTATAAATTCTGTGTGCTTAACAATTAAATTAGATGTTAAAAGAAAAGTTATTTCTTTCAACTGAAAGATACTTTAGAAATCAACAACTTATGTATTGAGATAATAAAGTTTTGTTAATTTTTTTTATTGTGGGTTGATTATGGCTTCTCATCATTTCATTCAACTGTATATTTCTAAATGATATTTCCTTATAGTTTCTAAGGGAAAAATGTATTACCTTACAGTTTGAAGGCTATGCATGCCATTGCGTGTATAAAGCAAAGTTAGTAATTACATCTTATGTGACAATGAATAGAAACCAAAAGATTATATTTTGTGAAAGCAGGTGACAATGAGCTTTCACCCGAAAGGGAGCACTCCAATATGGCAATTGACCTCACCTCAAGCACACCCAATGGACAGCATGCCTCACCAAGTCACATGACAAGCAGTAAGTCTTCATTTTATGATTTTTTTTTGTGTGTGTGTGTCTCTCCAGCAACAGACTTTAATTTGTTAGGTCTGTGGGGTCCTCTCACATTGTGGTATAGCTACTGTTATAGATTTTGCTAAAGAAAGAACAACACAGATTTATTCCTGTTCATTCTAGTATTATAAAACATGAGCCTGCTTACTAGTCTGAACTATCCCAAGGTGGCATTTGGGAGCTGGTGCTTACCTGTATCAGGTAAGAAAGGTTAGAATTTGCTGGTTGTTGTTTTGACTTGCCAGGTTTATGACTGGATTTTTTGTTGTTGTTGGGTAAAAAATGTGGAAACGTCACTTCCAAAGGACTCTTCACAGTTAAAAAATGAAATAATTTTATGTTGCCTTGGTAGAAAGCTAAACCGTCAGTGATAAAATTACAGTGTTACTTGCTTTTAAAAAATGTGAAAGTTTCTTCTCCAAAGCATTGGAAGTGAAGTGTAATTGAAAATTTATAGAACTCATTTATATCCATTTCTGTAGCAAAGTTGAAAGGCTTTTGTCCAGAGAAGAACTGATAAAATTTGGAAAGATGTTTTGAATTTGTAGGAAAAGACAGTTTTGGCTACTGTTTTTGATAAAGGGTCATTTACTGATGTAATATACATTGTTTTTATGTAATAAGATGCAACTTACATGCTGTCAGTGACAGAAGACAAAATACTTTATTAAGAATATGGTTGCTTTTTTCTTAATTATAATATTTTATCAGTTTAGTTATCAAGTGCAAGTGCTTTATTACTCTTACTCAAAAGTAATTTGAAATCTTGTTTTCTTTATACTTTAGATTTATATTTTATTCTTACATGTTATAGAAAGGACATTGGACTTACATGTAAATATAATTAAATTTACAAGTTTTCTGTTTTGGCAATATGTGAAGGAAAGGCATTCTCTTTCCTTCCCCCCCCCCGAAGATTTAATAACTAAGAAAAGTGAATCATGTACTTAATTATGAGCATATTTGTAAATGTATTCTGACTATCCAGAGAGAGCAACTTTTTCTTTTTACTTCTAACAGCTCTCGAAACTGTAAGTTATTATAAAACTGCAAGCTTAGTAATTAGTAAATACTACTGAAATTTAAGCAATTTATATAGAATACCATTGAATACATTTTGCAATTTATTAACTTTAAGTAATTTTAGCTATTGACTTGAAATTATGATTGAGTTTGAATTTGCTTTATTTATTTAAAAGTTGTAATTCTTTTAAGTAATGAGCACTTCCTAAGAAAATTTAATTATAGAAGCAGTCCTTACAATTCCCGTATCATTTAGAAAGAAAAAACTAGTAAAGTTAGCAGGTGAATGTATACTAAATTATCATACTAATCTCATAATGAATCTTTTGCATTCATGTTTTTTGCTAGTTGATTTGATAAAAAATATACTATGACTACAATTTAGGCAATAGAATTTTTACATTTCAATATACTAGTTATTTGGTGTAATGTTTTTATTTCTCAGATAACTCACACAATTTCCTAAAGAGTAAAAAGAGATAATATGTAGTTTCTATTAGTTAGCTATTGGCTTTAGAAACATTGCATGTATAGGGTAGGGAGTAACTGTTAATCAGAGACTTGACTGTCATCCCCTAGACACAACCACAGGAAAATGCTTGTCAAGTGGTTAATTGGCTGCTTTATTTCTGAATTTGATTCTGGTTTTGCAAGTACTTGCTTCAGAAAGGCAGTTCACTCATCTTTTTAAATAAACAGTGCAGAGTGTAGGCATGATCAATTTGAACAAATAAGAACTGTGCTTTTGACATTTGAGCTTTTCTCACCCAACAACAGTAAACTTATGTTTGGTAGAGAGTTTTTTAACTTACTAGCCTGTGGCAATTCCATGTTAGTACAGGTTTTGGCTAAGATGCACGTGTTTTCAGGTTCTTTTCCAAAGAGTTGCAGGTTAAATATTTTGGCTCTCACTTCAGAGCTGTCTCTTGCATCCTTTATGTAGCCTCTATTTACAGTATCTAGGTTACCCACTTAGGTGTTAGATGGAGAAGATACCCATTTTTCCTCTCTGTTAGATCTAGGAGAATATCAGCATTTTAGATTGCCAAAGCAAATAGTGATAGAGAGGAACTCTCGTCTATTAATTAGAACAAGAGACCTAGAATTGGTCACTCTGATGTTTTTCTGTGACTTGGAATAATTTTTTGTGTGCATCTGGCCTGTCAAATCACTTGTGTCTGAGATCACCGGTTTTCCTAAATCCCTTTACATGCATTGTTGACTTTGTTTAATGAAAAGAACTTATTTATTTTCTGCATTTTTTAATATCTTCAAATATACTTCCTGGAGGGTGCCTGCTTCCAAAAACAGAATTGCAATTTTGATTGAAAGTGTTAAAGCTAAAAGTAAATGTGAAAACCTTTAAGACAGTTTCTAGTAGCAGGAAGGAGAGGATGGGAATATATGTGTAAGGAGGAAAAAAGTTATTTTTAAACAGTTAAAAAAATAAAATAAGTAAATTTTTTTTTTTTTTTTAGTAAAACAGCTAACATTCTGGCCAGAAAAGTATCAATAAGGCATGAGAGCTCACTTATTTTGGCTTTAGGAAGGTGGTCAGTACTACTGTAAGGTCCCAGCATTTGTTTAAGCTATTTGGTAACTCTTCTAAGATGAAGGGTTTCTGTGCAACTTGCTGCCAGCTATTGTATAAAAATAATGACGGCAGCTATCATTATTTGACAGTGCTAGAATAGAGCACTGGTGACTTGGGAGGGAGAGAACTAAAAATGTTATAATGCCTGACAGTTTTTGGTTTTAAAATTTAGCATCTAAGATAAACTTAAGAAGAAGTAAGAGGTATTAGTGATCCTAACATTTTATAATGACTACTTCCTATGGTTTTGAATGAATTTTCTTAGAGAACTTTAAACTTTTTCTTCTGGAATGAGGATGTCTTTGTTAAGAAGATGGACATTGTTGCCTGAGATCATTAGTGTACATATTGAGTCTGCTGACAATCTTCGGTGTCAGGGATGACAGTATATGCCTTGATGGCTATTGGAAATACACAGTGTTAAGTGATTTTTAAAAATAGAATCTGGGACTTAAGAATCTGAGACAGACATCTCAGACAGAACAATATAAAAATAATCCATATTGTATTTCGGCCCATCAGATGAAACTTACTTTGTGATTCCTTCTGTTTCTTGGTTAGCTCATTTCCAATTCTTGCATAGTTGTTCAGTATTGGTTTCAGACTGTTCTATACTGGCAGGTGACTATTTTGAAAATTGTTTAAAGTTCAAAATTTTTAAATTAATTTTATTTTTCTTATCTATTTTTTTATAATGTTTATGTATAAATTTACTTTGCAGGTAGTTACTTAAATGGGTATGAAAATACATCATGATGCAAAATTTGTTTCTATTACTTTAAAGCTGTTAAGTGGATCAACTGTACAGTCAATGCTATTTATCAGTCTGATGGCCAGGTGGCATGTATGGAATCGGAAGAAGTAGTAAGTCTAGTTTTACAAGGCTCTGACCAATAATCAGGTCAGGGAATCTAGTTTATTCTTTTCAGAGTACTTCACATTAATTTTTTTCTTAGCTAGTTTCCATTTTTAGAACCTAGCGAAGCAGAAGTATATTATGATTTCTATTTTTCATATGTGGAAATTGAGGCTTGAAGAAATCAATTTACCTCTTAGAGAACTTAGCAGAAAGATGAAGTTATCAGGATTGGGACATAAAATTGTGATATTACCTTGTGGGTTAGTTAGATAACTGCTATCTCTACAATGTCACCTTCTCAGGGTGTCTGCCGTGTCCAATACTGGCCCATATTTTTGTGACAAATATCTCAGAAATAGAAGAGTTATTATGAGGGTGGAGTGATATCAGATTATCTTTTCAGGCGGGTGTTCTAATGCACTTTTTGAAATAGAGCCTATATTATGGGACTTACCAGCTTTCTGAGTTTTCTTCTGTAGCTTAGTTTGGCAGTCACCCTTGCTTGGATTTCTGTAGGACACACCCTAATATAACACCAGATGGGCTTGATAGAAAATCTTCTGTTTTAAGTCGCCATACTTAGGTTTGTGTATATACCCAATGTACTTTACATTTAGTTCTTGTTTATTAGGGAATTAAATAAAAATAGTTCTGATTTAATTTCTTTACAGGTATCAGAGATAAATGTCATAACTATGTACCAAAAGAGAAAAAAAGGGAAAAAAAAGGAAAGTAAAAGAGGTATAGATTTGTTGGTAATCAACAGCAAAAGTGCTGTAACTTTTTCTTTGCACCTCATTCCGCTCCCAACTCCCTATCTTTTTAGTCTGCTTAGTACTGAGAATTAAAGTCCGTTTTCAAAAAACAAAACAACGTATGGCAGAAAGATTATCCTTATCATCTCTATCTTTGTTCAAAATCTGTCTTTCCCACTAGAAGTACTTTTTTAAAAAAAGGTAACACCATTGATTGTGTTCTATTGAGAGTCTTCCTGTAAGCCATAATGAATTTTCATCTCTGGGTTCCGTGCTCTTCTCTCCTAACTTTTGACATGTTGATATATTTTGAATATTTACATATTTTTATCATATTTGGAAATATCAATAGCAGAGTTCCAGTCCTAAAATGAGGTAGAATATGTTGTTTTTCTTTACTTTTTTCCCTTCTTATCTGTTTATGTTAAATGTATTTGTTGGCCTGTTGGTATTTTCCTTTTGCGAATTAATTGAGACCCAATATACCTCTGTTTTGATATAGGTAAGGAATATTTAGGGATGGTTTCCTTTATTATAAATGTTATAATCACCACTAGAGCGAGAGAAGGTAGAGGGGCATCCTTTATTGAGTGCACTTAGTATGCTAGATGCTTTACTTATTATTTCACTTTGTCTCCACATCAATTCTGTGAGGTAGGCATGTAATTACTCTATTTTATAACACTTAAAACTGAGGCTCAGAAGCAGTAGACTGTGAGTGGTTAAAAATATGGGCTTTGCAATTATGCTGGCCTGGGTTAGAATTCCTGCTTTGCTGTGTGACCTTGGCCATGTCACTTCACATCTCTGAGCTCCAGTTTCCTTATCCGTAGAATAGGGATAAGCAATACCTACCTCAATGGGCTGTTGTGAGATTTCAATAAGGCAATACATGCAAAATGCTCAGCACAACTTCTGGCACATGCTAAGACTCAATAAATAATCACTGCTGCTATTACTCAGAGCAGTCAAGTTACTTTTTTATGGACCTATGACTTGTAAGAAAAAGGGTTTGTTTTCAAATCCAAGTCTATTTGAAATCTGGGTCTTTTGCTCTTTTCTGTATATTGCACAGGTCCAGGGAAGAAAGATAGGGATTTCTGATAATTTAGGGTAAAAATTGAAGCAGGAACCCTCCGTTATTTAAAGCATCTATGAAGATTTTGGTTAAGAAAGAAATAGAGTTTGTCTATATGTCAGAATTGGGGAGGGGGGTGGCGCTCAACATTCCTGAGTATAGTTTTGTGGTTTTGATGATATGTAAAGCAAATCACTGCATATTATTGGTGTTCCAGATATACCAGTCATTACAAATAACAAAAGAAAAAAATTCCCTTAATAGAGTAACCTATTCCTACAGAGAATCAATTCTTAGAGAGTCCTCATCTAAAATCTAACCTCATTTGATGCTTCTGGTAGTACCATAAATTCTCACTTGATGATACCTAATAAAATTGTTGGTTTAATTGTTGATTGTGCACTTCGGGGGTAGTAGTTTAGATGTTCTAAATTTGAAGTAGGCTTAAATGCAATTATTAATTATAAGCATTTGACATTTTGCTGTTCAATTCTAGTTGATCAATTCAATAAATATTTGTGGGATACCTCATATGTGCCAGGTATTGTAAGGTGAATCCAAAGGTGAATAAAGAGTATAGAGTCCTTTTCCTCCAGGAACTCATACTCTAGTGGGACAGACAGACATTAAATAGGGCATTTTACTGTAGTAAGCTTAGTGTCTTGATTATTACGGGGGATGAGAGGTGGTGCTCATTTGGAAATATTTTTTAGAGGGGGAGACTGCTTGAGCCGAGACTTATTAAATGAATAGGATTTAGGAGTAACTGGAAGGCCTTTTCAATAAATAATATATCCACAATAAGAGGTGAGAAATAGCATGCAATATTCTGGGAAATACAAGCAGATTGGTATTTCTAGACTATAAAGTTGGAGTCTAGGAATTCGAGGCCAGGAATGACTTTGGAGAGTTAATCAAGGCAGGATAATGGAACATCTTGTATGAGAGGAAACTTGGCTTTTATTTTCATGGAAGTCAATGGTTTTAACGAAGTAGGTGACTTCAGTCTTTTGACTGACATGGATCGATTTGATTACAATGTGGGGAAAAAGATTGTGGATGGGGACCAGTCTCTAGGCAGGTGCATATTTAACAGGCTGTTTCAATGATTGAGTGAGAAGTCATGCAAGCTAGCAGTAGTGGGATAAAAAGGAAGGAGAAGGATCTAGGTAATATTTAGCATCTTAAAGTAGACAGTACTTGGGTAGTAGAATTAAGGAGACAATAGAGTCAAGGATGGCAACCTTTAAATTACGGGATAGATGGTGGTGGTAGGTTCTGTCAGTGAAGATAGCAAATACTGGAGCAGGTTTCCGGGAAAAGATTTAGCTTAGTTCAATTCTGGTTTGAAGCACCCACAGGGTACAATTTGGGAGAGGGATAGCAATTAGGCACATGGATATAGACTGAAGTATGAATTTTCCTAATTAGTGAAAACTAATATTAGCCCATGGTTTGGTTACTTTTCTGCCCATATTACTTTAACAGTAGTTTAATACCATATTTTGAAAACATTCATGTCTAAGTAATTCTCAGTATTTGATCAGTGGCCTTATTTCCTCAATTGCCCCATTAAATCAAAATTCTATATTGAGTTTTATGTGCACAGGCTTTAATAAACTCTTTGCTTAATGGAATCCTTTATACTGGTCTCAGAAGTTGAATTAATTGATGTGATTGACCCACTGATTTTTAAACAAAAAGCTCTTCAACATTTTGTGGTATATCTAATATCATAACTTCTGTTTTTTAAAAAAAATCATAAGATTAATGTATGCCATATACTCCAGTGCCTCTATTCTAATGATCTGTCTTTATTCTGTAACCTGTTTCCTTATAAATAAATATGCTATTGAAAATATTACATACTTATTACAGGTTGTTAGCTAAACATTGGCCAGTTCTGCCACATTAATAGCTAAGGAATTTAATACTCCTCACCAGAGCCTTTTTGAAGACTTTGAGATAAATATGCAGATACAATATATATTATTTTAAAATGATTTTGTATAGAATTAATATTTTAAAAATATAATATCATACCCCTTGGGATGAGGTTACCTAGATGGGACAGTATAGCATAGATAACATCTTAATCAGCATAATTATTCTGAAATATTTATTACAGAATTCCATCTTAAAAATGTAAGCGCTGACTACCCAAGACACCATAGAATTCCAAATGAATGTTAATGCTAGAAACACTTCTTCTGAGATTTCCTGTATGTGGAGATTCAGAACTCCTTAGAGAGATATTTTTCATCTTTCGATCATTGATCCAGCAAACATTTATTAAGCACTTACTGTGTATGATGCATTGCTGGTGCTGGGGCTCAAAAAATAGGTTTGGGGTGTTTTCTAGAGAAGGATGGTATCTTCAAGGGTCCAAATGAATTGATATTTTGTGTGAGATCGTAATACTGCTTATTGCATTTAGAAGTAAATGAGTGTGATGTGCTAACTGTGACTTACATCCATTATAGATTAATGAGCTGCTTCTCACCTTTTACCTCCAAGAGTTTTTCAAATGTGTGTAAATTTGAGGATGTACAGTGAAACAGACAAAAGGGCAACAAGCCACTTAGATAGGTTCTCAGAGGATAACATTTCCCCACAAAATTATTTATAATGCAGGATTTGGCACTCATCCTTGCAAGTTCTGAAACTAGATTTGTGGCACACTTAGAGTGGATCTGTATCTCAAGGTTGACTGACATTAAACAGGTTTACAAAACTGATATTTAAAATCAGAATGCCAATTTATGTTTAGATATTGATTAAAAATAAAGCACACACACACACACATGCAACCAACAAACATAGGAGCTGGATCACTCCAGTTGGCTTGACTAGATCATTTTGTTCTTGTGAACTGACCTATATGGGTAATCAGTAAAGGTCATTTACTGAGCAAGGAATCTGAATAAAGGGAGTTAGTTATATAATTCAAATGTTTAATGGCATTAGACTAAGAGAACCTAATATATTCAGCATCACAATAGAGATAGCATTGCTATTTGGATAATTATGGTTGAAGTCCTTTGTCCAGTTCCCTCTCCTTTTAATGGACATGGATTTAGATTCCCTAGTTCAACCAAAATACTTCTGAGATTCATTTTTTTTTCCCCTTGGCTTCCTAGGCTAAATCCCCCAGATTCAGTCTGTAACCTATATTAATACATACAATCAGGTTACGACGAGTTCTTTCTGGCCTGAGATCCATTCATTTTCTTTAGTGTGATTTATATTTCTGCTTTAATTTGTAAAATGTTGATTTTATAGCCTAACTTTATGAAGACAATCTTATAGTGCCCATAAAGGATACTTCCTTCAACTACTATTGCCATAAATTCGAACTTCCATTCACAGAAATCTCGACAGCTGATGTGGTCAGCAGTTTAAGAGTTCTTAATATCTATTTTAGATGAAGATGGAAAATAGCACTACCACCTAGGAAAGATCCTTAAGTTAGCTGGTGATATAGAGGCACTTCCAGTTTATAGGTCAGAAGGAAAAAAAACACCAAACCAGTCTCATGAAATTATTGAAGTGATCTGACCGCATCAAATGAGATTTTATAGCAAACTGTTGTATTTCATGTTAGTTAGTAGGAAAGCTGTCTTAATTACTGAGTGTGAATTAAGTAACTTTTCAAAGCATATAGATTTATTTGTGGGCCACACCTTGATTATAAAGAAATTAATCAGGTTTTCCAGATGTGAATCTTTGGGGAAAATGGTCATATCTCTTCATCCCTAGCATATGCATTGTATGCATTGTAGGAGCCCTGTAAATATTTGTTGAATGAAGAAAATACTTAAGATTAGCATATTACATATGTCTGTTTAAATAGTATGCTTCTGATCTACTTGAAAAAATTTGGAAACTTGATTTCTTAGTTGTTGAAATAATCCAAAAATCCTAATTTACTTGTGATTTTCTCTGTTTGGGGATGTGTTATTTTTATAATGTCTCACTCTGAAAAAGATTTTGTAATCTTCAAATTGGTCCCAAAAGCTGATCTCTAAGTTTCTAAACAGTTCTTATGTTTTCTGATTCTATACAACCATGTTCAGTGGAATCCACATGAATGTTAATGTAGATGTTTCCATGACACCACCATCATCATCTTCATTACTACTATTAATATCTTGATATAGCACATTTAAGGTTACAGATTTAATTCCATATACTTGTAATTTTAAAGCCAGTTCTCCATCACTTAAACTGTTTTTAGTAGCATGTACAAGATGGAATGCTTCAATTAGCTTTTCTTATGCACTCCAGATATTTTGATGAGTGTATAATTAATCAGTGTGAAGTCACGTTCTAATAAATTAACATTCTGGGTGTCTACACTTTTGACGTTTTTGTCATTGCTCTCATTATCATTGAAGCTGTAGTTCTCCTTACCCTTGTCTATGTCAGCTCTACCTACTTCTTACTAAGACATTCAACATGCAGGACTTGATCTTATTTTGAAGTGCTAGGGTACTACGTTGCTGTGTTTTCAGTTGAATTAACAGTGAGAATTTCTGGTTGAGTTCTAAATAGGCATAATTTCTTCTACAAGTATATAAAACATTTTCTTTCATGGCCATTTTCATAAATATCCTTGTTTTGTTGTTTAAAAATACACATTTTAACAAGTAATATTTACATATGGAAATATCTTATAGGTCTTCTAATCAGACTTATGCCAATATGCTTATTATTCAGATGGTCTGAAGTAGATGACTTTATTTTCAATACATCTGTTACTTTTTAGACTGAAAAGTGGCATTTCTATAGTTTTTAGGGCTGAGGATGTATATTTAATTCGTGATTGTAAAAGGTCTATTTCTATTAGAAATGCTTGCTCAGATCACCCAAATATCATCTAAAGCTTGAAAATTGAGCTATTCAATAATTTTTAGGTACTAAAAATAGGTGGTACCTAATCATTTTTGTGTACTGCTTTAAAATGACTTACGCCTTAAAAACACTGACTCGAATGTAGTATTTGGAAATGTAAAATGACTTCTATTACATTATTACATTTTTGAAAACTACTTGAAAGCAGCAATAGATTGTGTCTGGACATAACTGAGAATTATAAAAAGAAATATGAGATTTTTCTGTGAGTCTGCTGTTTTTAAGTTCTCGAAGCATGAATTTACACACTGCCATCTGTCTGAATTATGACACATTAATGACCTAATGATAGTTTTAGATTTAATTTTTTTTTGGAAATAAAAACAAAAAGAAACACCCCCGTACCTCAACAAAACACAATTTAAAATAAATTATTTTTTACATAAATAAATCATAGTAATGCTGTTTGCATAAAGTTTTGGGGATGCATTTGAATAGTTTTAGTTGGTGTTACATTTTGAGTACAATACCTGTAACAAATTTGAAGAGATATTTTTTCAGCCAGAGAAGCTATAGTTAACTAGACAATTGATTTCATACAACTCTATGTATATGATAATACCATTTATGTTTTTAAAAGCATATATGTGCATGTGTATGCGTGTGAATGTGTGAAAACAAATAATAAGAACAAGAAGGAAACGTCAAAACTTGATATAGTTGACTTTGGGATATCGGAGGGTAAACAGGGTGTTTTATATTTTATTCTAAATAGTTCTACATTCTTTAAGTCTCTTACAAAAAATAAATTCATATATTATTTGTGTAATTTAAAGAAAAGACCAATGAATTCAGTCAACCATCCTCTAAAAGAAAGTATGGAGCCAGAAAACTGATAGTAGCTCTGATTACATCCATTTAACTTTGAAATTTCAATAAAATTATAGACTCATAAAAATGATCAGCTGTCATCAATGATAAATACTGAAATCAGGCATTTTCATGTACAAATGATATCTTCAGATTTATTGAATACTATTTTACTATAGATTTAGTCAAAATATAAGGTATTTTCTTTTTCTTTTATTCTTTCTTTTTTCTTTTCTTTTTCTTTTTCTTTTTTTTTTTTTTTTTTTTTGAGACAGTGTCCCGCTCTGTCACCCAGGCTGGAGTGCAGTGGCGCGATCTTGGCTCACTGCAACCCTTCACTCCCAGGTTCAAGCAATTCTCCTGCCTCAGTCTCCCGAGTAGCTGGGATTACAGGCGCCCATCACCACGTCCAGCTAATTTTTTTATTTTTTAGTGTAGACAGGGTTTCACTAAGTTGGTCAGGCTGGTCTCAAACTCTTGACCTCGGGCTATCCACCTGCCTCAGCCTCCCAAAGTGCTGGATTACAGGCATAAAGCCACTGCCCCCGGCTCTTTCTTTTCTTTTTTCTTTCTTTCTTTTTTTTTTTTTTGAAACGGAGTCTCGCTCTGTAGCCCAGGCTGGAGTGCCGTGGCGCGATCTGGCTCACTGCAACCTCCGCCTCCTGGGTTCAAGCAATTCTCCTGCCTCAGCCTCCTGAGTAGCTGGGATTACAGGCATGCCACCATGCCCGGCTAATTTTTTTTTGCATTTTTAGTGGAGACGGGGTTTCACCATGTTGGTCAGGCGCTCTCGTACTCCTGAGCTTGTGAGCCACCGTGCCCGGCATTGTATTCTTTTCTTTTCTTTTCATCTCTTGTCTTGTCTTCTCTTCTCTTTTCTTTCCTTTTCCTTTCTTCTTTCTCTCTTTCTTTTCTTCCTTTCCTTTTTTCCTTTTTCTTTCCTTTTCCTTTCCTGAGATGGGGTCTTGTTCTGTTGTTCAGGCTGGAGTACGGTGTCACGATTATAGCTCAGTGCAGCCTGGAACTCCTGGGCTCAAGCAATCTTCTCAAGTATCTGGGGCTACAGGTGCATGCCACCATGCCCAGCTAATTTTTAACAATTTTTTTTTAGAGTCAGGGTCTCACTATCTTACTGTGTTGTCCAGGCTGGTCTTGAACTCCTGGCCTCAAGTGATTCTCCCGCCTCAGCCTCCTGAGTAGCTGAGTTTACAGGTGTGAGCCACCACACTTGGCTAGGTTGTTTACAGTGGCATTTCCAAATAATGTTATATACTCTGAATTGTTTTATGAGTAATATTCATTCATAGCATGAAGTGTCATACACTAAATAATGTACATATAAATATTAAAATGACATATCAATATTAAGGAGACATTGTGGCATCTGATGGCAAAAGAAATCTGAGTAGAATGAGTTAAAACATAGATTTTCAATTCTATCTTGCATGTAACAAACAAGTTTACTTTTAAAAAAGAGCCTTAGTCTCTTTTTCATATTCATCAATTTAAAATTCCCTCGAATGTTGCTAATTTTTTACATTAAAACTATTAAAGAGAAACTATTTTTAGCAAGACAATTCTGGTATGTTGCTAATGGAGGTAGGACCTGCGAAAATAACTTAAGGCCTATAAAAGAAAGAGCAGAGCTGTGAAGTATAGAGAGCATAGAAGAAAGCTGGCAAGAAGAAAGAAAGAATAAAAATAACAGATTCAGAAGTGGAGGACAAGCCACAGACTCCACTTGAGTTAGTAGATCCACTGGAGAGAGCAATAGAGCAAATGAAAAATAGCGTCTTTTCCTCCCCTTTTTCTTTCTTCACAAAAAAATAAATAAAGAGAAATCAGAATTTATAAGTGAATCAAGGAAGCTGCCTGCTTAAGTGATGAGGAATGTGGCAATAAGATTAGAATGGTTTCTGGTAGAAGCTAAATGAATAAGCATTTAGATTCGGGAGAAAGAAGCATACTTCTTCAGATATTTGAAAGCCAGGGAGTAGGAGATGGGGGTAGATTGGTTAAAAGAACTGGGTCCTAAGGGATTGATTCTAGAACAATTAGCCAATTAAAGCAGGATAAAAGTTAGTGGTGCCTAGTTATTAAGTTATATTAGTTATAAACCAGTGCTATTATCAGTGGCCATCTTGGACTAATCTATTGCTTTTATCTTTTGCAAAAATGATTGTGTACTATACTGTGTGTGTAAGAGATATCCTAACTGGTCGTATTCCTAAATTATCGTGGATGCGGTAAACTTTGATCTTGCCCCTCAGTTGTCTTTTTACTTTAGTTTAGTGGGAAAGGAGATTGGAAGGGGGTTAGGGAGACTGTAAGGCTGCCAGAAAGAACTTTCTCTGCTTTTTTTCCCCCTCTTGGGAGATGGCAATGAAGAAGGAACTTGATATTGAGCAGATGAGATGAGGTTTTGCATCCAGTTTTTGTCCTCTGATCGCTGGTTTTTCCATTTTCCTCTCGAAGTGTCTAAGACACAGGCACTGAGGGTTCCAGAAGACTTTCTTGAGATCATACTCTGTTATTTAGAAGGCTCAGGTTGGCTTTTACCCATTGAGACATTTTTAAAAAATTAATCTGCTTTAATACTGTAGTAAAAATTTATCAGTTGTGAGATAAACTTTACATGTGTATCATTGTTGAAGAAAAGGTTTACTAAGCCCATAAATAACAATAATAAAAAGATCAGGGTATATGTTTAACTTGCTTAAAAAAACAAATTTTAAGTCTACTAAGAATACCATTTTATTTGTAAGGTACTTTTTTCAAAATGCTTTTACATCTAGCATAGAATGTGCTGATCAAAACTTGAGCTTAATATTTATGCAACCAGTGTCAGAGTAATCTACTCTTTTTGATAGTACTTAGCATTACTGGAAAATAGTGAATATTTATTTTATTTATTTATTTATTTATTTATTTATTTTTTCGAGACGGAGTCTATCTTTGTCGCCCAGGCTAGAGTGCGGTGGTGCGATCTCGGCTCCACTGCAACCTTCGCCTCCCGAGAAGCTGAGATTACAGGTACCTGCCACCATGCCTAGCAAATTTTTGTATTTTTAGTAGAGACTGGGTTTTACCATGTTGGTCAGGCTAGTCTTGAACTTCTGACCTCAAGTAATCTGCCTACCTCAGCCTCCCAAAGTGCTGGGATCACAGGCGTGAGCCACCGTGCCTGGCCAGTAAACATGTTTTTAAAAATTACAGAATTGAGCAAGTTTTCCTGTTTCTCTCCCTCTGTGGTATATAAAGAAGTGGGACCTAATATATGTCAAATGTGAGGCCCCTAGACAGATATTTTATCTCTTGGAAGCTCAGCTTTATTTGTAAAAAGGGGATATTGCTCTCTGTCAGAGGAGTGGTAAGCATTAGACACAATATATGTAAAGCTTCCAGAACAGTGACTGGCTCATGGTAAGTTAGCCAGAATGATAGCTCCTATTTTATTGTTAGATAAAAAGAATATGAGAAAAAAGTTGAATTACATAATAACTAAGAAACAGGTCCCACAAACATATATCAAATAGTCTTCTAGGAAGGACATGCTTTTAGTCCGCTTTTAATCAACAATAATTTTAAAAATTAGTCCAAAGCATTGCATGGAACATAACATATCTGGATCACTTACTGAATATTTCTGCTTTTCATCTGTTTGAGTGCTGTCAGGTAGACAGACTCAGAATTTTTGTTTGAAAAGAAATGTGTATGCAGATATGAGACAATTATTAATTCTGTTGTATTCAAATCAATTACTGAAGAAATGAAAGTAAAATTACCTAATTAAATTGAATCACACATAAACCTACTCTGTTTGTGACGGGTATAATTGAAATGGTAATTAAGTGGTAGTAATGCATTTCATTTGAGGATGGCAATTCAGAAGATGTGTTTGCTGGCAGGTCTTGGCTGCTTGGTGTACCTCCCTAGGTGACCTTGTCCAGAGTGAGTTTTTAGGATGGACTTATTTACTTGTATAACTAGATGTGTTGGTGAATGAATTCCTAGTATAGCTCTGAAATTTTATTAATTTCCATACTTATGGTGCTCTATGTGTTATATTAAATTCATGTCTCTGTTGCATATCTGGAATTCTCAGAACCACATATACATACCCCAGCAGTGTTCTTTTTTTCTCTCTTGTGTAGAATCAAGGAGAAAACAGAATATTCAGTTTAAAAGGATTTCACATTAGAGTACACATAAACAGACATTTTCCTGAGTGAAGTTTCACCTTTTTTGGGTCAGAGTTACTATTGTCATAGGCACAGGACAGTCGATCCCTAATTCCAAATGATCTTTTTTTTTTTTTTGGATGCCTTTATCACCTCCTATCCTGTTTTATCATTGCTTAATTTCTTGAGTACATCTTATCTCCTTTGTGTGACTGGAAACTCCTTGAGGGCAGGGAAAATGACTTTGTAATCTCTGCAGCCTGAGGGTAGCAGACAGAATATGACTTTTAGCACCTAACCGACTGGGATAGTATCTTTCCTATGCTGTGTTTTAGTTACCTCATTTGTAAAATAGGGAAAGTTAGTGCTTGTCTCTTGGAGTTGTTGTGAGGGTTAATAAACTTAGTAAAGCTTTTATCACAGGGCCTAATACATTTTAAGAAATAATTTAAGAAATATTCATTTATCTTTTCCACAGAAGCTAACACAGTGCCTTATACATAGTAGTCTCTCAATTAAGAAGATTTGCTGTTTATTTTAAAATATATTGTGAGTTAATATCCCTATGTGTTGGTTATCTGATTGACTGAATGCATTAGAGACGTCTCTCAGTTATTCCAGACATTATTATTCAGATTAACCCCACAGGTTACTTCAGTTATGCTATCTGTGTTGAGGATACCAGAGACCAAATCACCCAGCTAGTCTTACCCAGAAGGCAGTTTTAAAATAAATGCTCTAACGATGGCTCTAGCTTAGACAACTTTTAACTCTTTTCTCAACACTCATTCAAACAATACTACATTGGACTAAAAGCTTCTCAAGTACATGACTTCAAAAGCTTCACATGGCTTCAAAATATACATCTTTTCAGCCAGTGTCACTCTAGAATTTAGAGATGGATTTTATAAAACACTTTAAGGGATACCTAGAGAATCTTGAAATGTATATACAAACAGGTCAGAGGTATTATTGGAAAATCTTAAAGATACAATTTAAAAGTTAGTGTTACTATTATTATTTTGAGTAATGAATATTTCTGATCTTTATGATCCAAATCTTTCAAGTCATAAATCAGTCATTTAGTAGATATACATGAAAATGACATGTAATTCTAATGTTGTTTTTAATAAACTTTAATCCAGTAGCTAAATCTCAAAGATCATTTAGAATCCTATGAATCAAATGGCTCTCCCTTAAAACTGTTAAGACAGTTCTGTTGATTCCAGATTGTGAGCCAGACCTCCATTTTCTTAGAGGAGTTGTGATAATTATCACATTTGTCTACAATTATTGTAACAGTACTTGGGTTCATATACACAATCTTTACAAAAGATATTTCCCCCAGTTTTATCCCAACATTTACATTCCCCCTCAGTTGAATTCTTACTAGAAATATTTGCTTAAATATGTCCAAGCAATTTGTTACATGAGCAATCATTATCTAGTTTTACAAGCATTTGTTTGTAATCATTCCTATAGCTGCAAGAAATAAGGCAGTATATTTAATAGCTTGAAGAATACCATGTATTCTCTTTGTTTACATTGTAACAGATCATCTTCTTAAGAAGTAATCTTTTATTGTATCTCTTTCACTGTTTTCTTTAACGTTACAAAAAAATTTTGTGTTATTTGGAAGCTCATGAAATATAATTTGCTTGGCGTATGGTTCTGTGAATTAAGCCCATAATATCTAACTGGCATATATAGGAAAGCAATGTACTTAATCCTAACTGAACTGAAAATTCAAGCTTGTATCCATATATTTTTAGTAGCAATTTAATGATAATCAAGTCATATGCATTTATGTGCCAAAAAGAACTGTTTGTGGTAATCAATCTGTAATTTTCTGTTTGACATTTTTTTCCTTTGAATTACTGTAAAATACTTTCAGCTACTAGTAAGATTATTTTAAATCACAATTAAAATTGATTTTTCCCTGCTTGGGTGGGTCTTAAGGTTGGTGGGGAACTTCAGTGCTCCCCCAAATGCTTCCTTTTCAAGTGTGAAGTTTACGGATATTTTGGATCTTACTGTGTTCTCAGGATCATGTCTCTAGGTAGGCACAGCTTTGATGACTGATGTCTATTAATTGTGTTTGTCAGTTTATAACAAAGCATTTATTGCTCTAAAATGCTCTCATGCTTTGGTATTTTGACTTCTTTCCTGCCTGTGAGAGACCCTAGCTTAGTGATTAGTTTTTGTTTCTGAGTTTCTGTTTTTACCAAGTGTTTTTATTTTCTAGATTACTGGCTATTGGGATAAAGGAAATGATCCAGTTAGAGGACATCAGAAAACTAGAAGCTTTTGATAGAACAACAAGATCTAGTGTCCCTATCTAAAGAGAAGAAATAGAGAAGGTGTGCCTTCATTAGAAGTGTTACAATCAATAGCTGCCAATTACTTAGTGAGCAGAAAACATCTGGTACTCACCTTCATCTATTTGCAGCCTGTATATCTTTATGTACAGGTCCTCTTCTCTCTTTCTCAGTTTATTTCTTTAGATACTGTAGATGCTTTCATGACTTTCAACTCTGCATCTAGCACTGTTTCTTTCCTCAAAGGAAATCCCACATCCAGTCTATCAGAAATCCTTGGCTCTGCTTCTAAAATACATCCTGAATTTAAACAATTCTCACCAGGCCCGCTACTGTAACTTTAGTCTATCATCATTTCCTAGTACCTTAAGCCTAAAATATTGCAACAGTTTAACCGGTCTTCCTGCTTCCATTCTTGCTTCTCTGTAGTTTGTTTTCCACACAATAGACAGAGCCTGACTTTCTAAAACCCAAATCAGATCATAACAATTCATTGCTTTAAACACAAAAGCTTTCCACTGAAACTAGAATACAACTAAAATTCCTTTCCAAAGTCTGTAAGGTCCTAAAGGCTGTGGCCCTGCCTCCATCTCTGACTTCCTCTTCTCTATTCTTTCCCTGTTCACTGAACTTTTAATACCTCTTCCCTTTTTCTTTTCCGGGACATGGCAAGTTCGTTCCTGTCTAAGGACCTCTGTACTTGCTGTTTCTTTGGTTTGGGACACGTTTTCTTCCTTGTTTTGCATGAAAGCCTCCTTCTTTTCTTATTTCCATTTAACTGTCGCCTCCTTGGCGAGGCTTTGCCTGAGCATCCTAGATAAATAAGCCCCTCTCCAGGCATTCTATGACATTATCCTGTTTTATTTTCTTTATTATACTTAATAGTATCTGAATTTACTTAATTTGTGTATTTATCTCTTCTCCCAACACACAGTTGAGGAACATTTGGCTTGTTCATTCATGTAGTAGGGCCAGGAATGTAATAGACAATAAATGTGAACTCACAGATGAACTGACTCCTTGTTCTTTCCCTTCCATAAATAGAATTCTCTGTGTGTGTCTATAAAGCAAACAAAGTGTTTTACACTGTAGTGTTCATTCTAAACCCTCTATTTTAGAAACCTGTACATTGAGGCGAAAGTCACATGGGGAGAGAGTAGTACAACAACGATTAAAAAACCTTATCTTGGCCAGATGTGGTGGCTCACGCCTGTAATCCCAGCACTTTGGGAGGCCGAGACGGGTGGATCACCTGAGGTCAGAAGTTCGAGACCAGCCTGGCCAAAATGGTGAAACTCCGTCTCTACTAAAAATACAAAAAAAAAAAAAAAAAAAGAAAAAAAAATTAGTGTGGTGTGGTGGCCTGCACCTGTAATCCCAGCTACTCTGGAGGCTGAGGCAGGAGAATAGTTTGAACTTGGCGGGTGGAGGTTGCAGTGAGCTGAGATCATGCCACTGTACTCCATCCTGGGCGACAGAAAGTGAGACTCTGTCTGAAAAACAACAACAACAACAACAAAACCTTATCTTCTGACTCTTGGCTTGGTGTTCCTTGCTTTACATGATACACTCTTATGTTTTGGGGTGAGGCCCTGTAGAAGTAGTTAAGAGTACTGATTTTCATATTACATAGACCTGGTTTGGAGTCCTGGCTGTGCACCCTACTTTTGGGTTAAGCCGTAAGGGATTACTGACACTCCATTGTTTTTCAACCTAATAGCTGTGTGACCTTAGGAATGTTCCTTAGATTTCCTAAATTTAGTTCCTTCAGCTGTAAAATGGTATAATAATAATAATACTTGCCTTAAGTTTTGAAGAAATAAATGTAACAATTGCATAGAGCACTTAGCTCATTTTTTGGCACGTTTGCTGTTGTGATTTATAGACTGCAAATATTTGCATATAGCTTTTTAATATTTATTAGATAAGGCTTCTAGGGTTTGAAAATTAATGAATACCAACCCCATTCTAAAGTTACCACTTGCATTCTAGGAAATACATTTGTTTTGCCTTGTTTTAAGATTTAGAATACCTTTTTTATTAAACAGACAAACAAAACAAGTTTGCATCCTCACATTTCACCATTTCACAAATCTATTGTGGTATTTCACAAATCTATTTTATTTTATAATGGTAACTTTATTTAGCTTTTTCTATTTGCTTTTATATTATACTTAATAGTATTTTAATTATTATGGTTGATCATCATGGTAATTTAATAGCCTCTTAGGAAGGGAAATGCTTTATAAAAACAATCAAATCTAATTTCTTTAGTTCCTAGGATATTTTGGAAATACATGTATTCTTAAGTTAGTTAATTGGGTGGAAAAATTGCAGTTATAATTCTTTAGAAAAGAATGTTGACATATCTAACCAAAAATTCTGATGATAGATAGGACTTAAAGAGAAAATGTAAACAAGTGTGTTATTGATTTCAAATTACTTTTATTTGGGTTGGATTAGCTGTCTTTATGCTAGGACTATTTGTGTGTAATATAGATCAAATAAGGTGTTCAGAATGGGATGAACTATCTGGAAGGAAGTGGTGTTATCTATACTACTACAGCTGGAAAATATGACAATTACAAACTTAATTGATCAATACCGTATCACATCATTATTCAATGATTAAGGACTGCTAGGTGAAACTGACATAATGGGGTTTTCTTTTTGGAAAATAGTATCTTAGTTGTATTGGTATTCCACTGGATATTTAGTAAAAGTGCTATTTACTGAGAACATCCTTAGGATTTAGAAAGAGAACTATGTAGTTTTATAGTTACAGAGATTCTGGTGCAGATTTGGGAAGAGGTTTGAAATTAGTATGTAAAGTCAGAACAGCATGACCTCAACTAATGTACTGTTTGCCCTTGACCCCTTCTCCACAACCTGCCACTAATGAAAGGTCTTTGATAAGTGTAACTGCCTTATACCCATTTTATTTACAGTTTTCATAGCTAATGAATAATAAGAAAATTCCACCAGGACCTGATTGTTTACCTCTCTAATAGCAATTTACAAATGGTGTATGCTGTGGCTGTTACAAACCGTGTCCTGTAATAGCATTTGATGTAAGTAGCTGCTCACCATTCCATATTGTGGTTGGAGCTGGAGAAATAGAAAATTGGTCATTTCCCGGCAGATAGCAGTAACTTTCAATTCAGTCAGAATGCTGTATGGGCTGTGATAGGTTTATAATTATTACCCAAAGATTGATGGTTTTTTGGTGTGTGTAAATTTGTGCAGCAGTAATCCATTAAGAAATCAATAATCATTCCATTCTGATGTGTAGTTCCTATTCACTGTTATAAATGTGTACCGTGAGCTGAAACCAATGTGTTTTGCTTTGTTTTTTGAAATTGTATTTGACAGTATTGGAAATGAGGAAATTATTATAATATTTTTTCTTCAATCAAATTTCTTTTTCTTTGTGTTCCCTTGTACCATATGACGTACCTATTGCAAGTCTGCATTTTTCTTTGAAAAATTTTATTTAAAACTATTTCAAATGTTTCTGTCTCCTTTTTACCATCATTTACTTTGTTGTTTAATAATTACAAATTATTTATAAGCTTAAAGCATCTCAGTGTTTCTTTCTGTAATCTGGAGGTGATTTATTACCAACTCTATATGGTCAGGAAAGTAGGAAATTCTTCTCTTGTAAAATACAATTTTAACCTTAAAACGATAATCTCATAAAAAACAACTCTAATGTTTATTTATTACCGGTACCTCCTAGGATGCCATTGTGGGAAGCTAGGATTAAGGCAGCATTGACCCTACTCTCAAAGGAGCTTAGATTTTAGAGAAAGAAAGGCAGAAATCAACACACATAACATAAGGGTGTGAAGAAATGGGAAAAGTGGTAGGGGAAATGTCAACCCTGAAACCATCCATTACGTAAGTTCTGAACTGGAACTTTGGTGTTATGGCATGATAGTGCTAGGGATGATGGGGTGTGGGTGATAAACTTCATCCCACAGGGGATGTGGCCAGCATTACAAAATTCTGACATAGTGTGGGGCTAAAGAGCAGTCTAAATAGAGATTCTAGGTAAAAATGATATAGGAACATAGTATAAAGTTAAAACGGTAGAGAAAGATATAACATGAAAAGTAAAAGCTCCACCACTCAAGTACCCTAGTCCTCAGTTTCCTGTGCTACCAATTCCTTAATTATCTTTCCATAATTTTTTGGTATATACTAGTACAAATCATGTGTCTACATATTTTGTTTCCTTTCCTATTAATAGTACAAATAGGGTTGCATGGTACATACTTGCCCTATGACTCAATTTTTCATTTAGGATTTTTTTTTAATACCAACGTTGTTCTTGGGTGCATATAATACCTTTATACACTGATGATACATGGTGATTTAATTTGCTCCTCATTCACTGTTGGACATTTAGGTTGTTTCTATGTTTTTGTTATTATGTAGACATTGTTTCAGTGATATTCTTGTTCATTCATTTACCTTCTTTACATCCTTAGGATAACTTAGCTGTGTATTTGCTATGTCAAGAAGTCTGTGCAATGAATATTTTAGTAGATAAAGTGTGGCCAAATTGCTCTTTGGAAAGTATAACAATTTACACTACAACTAGTAATATGTGAGTGTCTGTTTTCTCCCCTTGACAAAAATGCATTTTATCCATTTTGGTTCATCTGAATGGGGGAAGATGGTATCTACGTATGTTTGACATTTCTTAATTACGGTTTTTTAAACATAATTTCAAATGTTTGTTGGTTGGAAATTCTGTATTTAATTTTTGTTCCTGAAGAATATTTCTGCTTCAGTGTCTGGGAGAAATTATAATTAAAAACTCTATTAGGAACTAGGAGAAAGAGAGAAAAAAGATTTTATTCGTGATTCATGATTTGAGGCATATTTATTAAAGGATAATGGCAGGGAATGGATGATTTGATGTTAAGTAGAAATTTTCAAATGTTATACACTCTAGAACAGAAGATGTGACTTTTATTTCTGTATCTGCTCTAATTTCACTAGTTATCTTGGTAAATCACATAAGAAACCCTTCCAAAGTATTTAGCATAGCAGTTCAATGAAGTTCAGGGGTTAATGAAATCTGAATTCTTATATCAAGAAACCTTGTCATCCATATAGCCATTCTATTAGGGGAAAAGATTGTGTATCTAATAAGAAGTAGCAAACAAAGAATACAGAAAGAAAAATAAACCTTTACTTAAAAATTATACAATTAATTACATTTAAGTTGCTAGGTGAGGTATAAGGGAATAGATACCTTGTGCAGGATGTAAGGAATAAGGACCTGATTTCTTTTTCTTTCCTATTTCAAGACTGGTAGAGAACTCTGAGTTTGTCAATTGATTAGCAAGTTGAATTCCTTGGAAACACATAGGCAAAGCCTACCCTTGAGAAAAGATGAAACCTGGTACTTTGTTGTTGTTGTATACTTATTCAGGAAATAAGTTGTATACTTATTCAGGTTTAGACTCACCCTGTACTTTCTACACATGGGAAACTGAAATACTCTTGAGAGCAGAGAAAGTTCATTGCATGACATATCCACTTGTACGTGAAAAATTATGCATCCAAGTGTGTCGTGTAGTTTTGTAGCTCCTGGTCTGTCCCGGGAACGGGATGGTTTGCAGACTGTTAGAGAGTATGCTGAAGGTTACCTAGGACCTGGGTTTGTTCTTTGACCTAAAGATAATCCCTAGGCAGAAGGCTTGTACCTGTATCCCTTTCCCCCTTCTGCACAATGGCAGTTTCATGACAGAGCTGATTGATCTTCTTTGCTTTTTGCCTGTAAAATCACATTTAAAAATATCAGGCTTCCAAGTTCTTTTGTGTGGCTGTGTGTGTGTGTGTGTGTGTGTGTGTGTGTGTGTGTGTGTGTGTGCGCGCGCGCGCGAGCGCATGTGTGCGTGCACACAAGGACATGCACCCATGCCATTCATCTCACTGAAAATAATCCTTGAATCAGTTACTTAAAAGTGACCCCAAAGGTCATTTAGAACAACTTCCTTAACAAAGCAAGAATATCCTTGACAGCATGCATGACAGGTGGTCTCTGGGATTTTGCTTGACTGCTTCAAGTGCTAGAGGAAAGGAAGTTTACTGTTCCATTGCTGATCAGCTCTAATTCTTAGAAAGTTCTTCCTTATATTGAGCCCTCATCTGCCTGTCTGAAATGTCACTGCTTTTTTTTTTCACTAAGACTCAAGCTAAATATCTCACAAGTTTTAGATGCTTTGTTATGTATTAGTGCTTGTAGAGCAGGCTTTCATGTAGGTTTTTAGAGTGTTTTGCATTGGCCCTTGTATTTAGAATACTATCATCATTTCTTCTGAGGAATGATGCTCTAGGTGTAGTGCTTAACATATATATTATGTCTTTTTCCACCTTTGTACCAACAGCTGCAAGTAAAGCATGTTAAGTATGGTAAATAACAAAACCAAACCAAACCAAACCCTGAATTTATTTTCAATAACTTGTATCTTATTGTTACTTTTAAGCACTTTACTCTTTTAATTTATTTATTTATTTTATTATTATACTTTAAGTTCTAGGGTACATGTGCACAACAAGCAGGTTTGTTACATATGTTTACATGTGCCATGTTGGTGTGCTGCACCTATTAACTTGTCATTTACATTAGGTATATCCTTTTAAGTCTTTTATTCGACAATTCAAATAACTTATGGTTAAAATAAAATTTTGTACAAAAACTATGCCTATTTTGGAAACAGAAATCCATTGCTTATGTTTCCATTTACATATACAATTTTGACTTTGTGCATAGAATTTTGAGCAGATACTATAAAACCTGATGCTTTGAGGCTTAAAAGTAGGACATAAAGTGAAGAAGGCTATAGGGAGATGTTACAAAACTCACATGAAGGAAGTATGATCATCTTTCAGGATTTTACTTTGCTTAGGTTGTGGAAATTCATCACGGTTTTCCAGCTGACATTTCTTAAGAAAGATTCCTAGGTGAAAAAGATAATATGGAGTCTACTGAAAGTGGTTGTAGGCATCCACATTTCTTCCTCTGAGGATATTAGCAACACTTGAATTAGCTTATGACTTCTTATTTCTCCCTTGCCTGAGTGGCAGTTTTACTGTGCCTTTATTGGATTTACTGTTGTAATTGGATATGGAATTGTGCCGGGAAGCATATATTTCAATATGTGCACCTTAGCAATCTAAATCGTTAGGATGGTGACTCACTCACATTTAACAGGGAAATTAGCTGGCTTCGTCTTTGTGTGAACATTTGAGGAGGAGCTGACCCTAGCTGCAGAAATATCACGTGTTCCAGGTCACCTGTGGCAAAATCTAGCCATGTGAAGGATTGGAGTTTCTTTTGATTATCTAGGCTAGATTTTGTCATCCACCTCTTTACTTTAGTTTGGAGAATTATTTAAGTAGGAGAATCACTGGCTGAGAAATGATTGGATATAAATTTAAGAGCTATGTTAGCCCATTTAATTATGTCACTGCAGATTTGGTAAGAGTGTTTCAGCAAGGTCACGTAGTACTTTTCTGGTCTGCCATCATGGCAAGAGACATTATGAAATTCTTAGGAAAGAATAATCCTTAAAACCAATTTATTTTTAAAATAGTTATGTCATAGGGTCTTTTTCTCAAACTTGCTTGATCGTAAGAATCATCTAAGATACTTGAAAAAAATAAACAGTCCCAGACCTCAACTCAAGTATACTGAATCAAACAAAGTGTTCAAGGGAGGAGGAGCCTGCGACTCTAATTCTGATAATCAGGCAAGTTTAGGAAATACTGTCAGATAGTATATGTGCAGGGACTTGGGAAAGAAAATAGTGGTTGCTCCAAGGAGCTAAGATATTACAGCATTTTACCATCAATCACTAAAATAGTCTCTGCTTTTCAGAAGATGGTAGAAGAACGTGACTGAACTGCATCTTTAGGGTTGGGTGGTAGGCAGGGAGAGTTGTAGCTCTTCTCAAGAAAAAACTAAAAATGTAAGCATATATGCATAATTTTATTATTGTGGTTTGCCCTCTCTCTCTGTCTCTCTGTCTGTCTTTTCTTTTCCTCTACCTGCCTTTGATAATTTTTCCTTTGCTTGGCTTTCTAGGTCTTTTTGATTGAGATGTTTTATAAAATCATGTGAATATTTTCACACTGTATTTTATTACACTCTCTATTATTTATTTCTGCACTTCTCTCTCAGTTGTATTCCTTCAGCCTGTTGACACAAAATAGACACATGTTCCTGTTTCAGCCAGGGAGTTTGTGCATCTGTTGACACTTCAGAAATAATCAGTTTAGATTTCAACAGCTGATTAGTGTGCTGTTCTAACCAAACTGAGAAGGAACTCTTCAGAATGGAAACAGATATTATTCTATTTAGTTTTTTGTACAAATATGTAATAATGGCCATTTTAAACCAATGCTGTGGTTATAAAAGGCCTTTGCTGAAGTTTTGTTTTTCTTTATTGTACCTCAAAGAGGCTATCAAAATGTTTAGTGACCAGTATTCCACAAGTTGTAATATGCCAGGGGTAATCACAAACATTTCATAATGGTCCTTGTATTTATAGCAACTCAATGAATGTTAGAAAGAATATTGGTAGAATTCCAGGAATATCATACATGATCTGCTAACAGTTTCAGAACTCCAGCTTCCACATTGAATTACTACTGAATGTAAGAAATATAGCTAATGGTATCAGTGTAGCACCCAAGTACTGATTTGCCTAAGATAGGAAGCCATATCTCCATGAGCTGGAGCCAAAAGGAAAGAAGAGCTCAACATTTTAAATGCGCTTGTACAAATACTTACCTGGTTGACCTTATATTTCTCCAACAGTCTGAAGAAATAGATCAGAAATAGGATCAGGGAGCATAATAGAATCAGTAGAAATATTATATAATAGAAACGGAATCAGAAAGCATAAAACTAGTTTCTAGAAAAGATCCTATAGGATAACTATTATGCATCTTGATCAGTCAGCAAGTATCTATTTAGTACTTTATGAAAAATATTGTGTATAGGACAGAGAAGAAGAATGCATTTTTTCCTTTAAAGAGAATCAGATTTCACAGTTACATCATACATAAATAAAAAAATTAAATAGCAGTTTAATATTTTAGATGGGAGTTTGAGACATTAGGCAAACATAGTAAAATTATTTTCATATAATTAAAGTACAGCAGCTTGGGCAACATGGCAAAACCCTGTCTCTACAAAAAATACAAAAAATTAGCTGGGCGTTGTGGCACGTACCCGTAGTCCCAGCTACTTGAGGGGCTGAGGTGAGAGGATCCCTTGAACCCAGGAGGTTGAGGCTGCAGTGAGCCAAGATCTTGCAACTGCACTCCAGCCTGGGTTACTACGAGACTGTCTCAAAAATAAATAAATATATAAAGTGCAGGATAAAGTGATTTCTTAGGACTAATTGTAGGTCATCTGCCTTCCAGTTAGAGTTATAGAATTAATCATTGCCTTTCTGTAGTTTTGTCACCTACTTCTATTACAAAAATTTGTTTGCCATTCTTTTTTCTGAATGACTCCCCTTACCTGAGGAATGCAGTCTAATAAGCTCTTTAGCATTTTATACTACAGCCTTTACTAAACAGCCCAATCTATCTTTTTGTCTTCATCTCCTGAAATTCCTTTTCACATATACTGTGCTTCAGCCACAGATACTTGCCATGTCTTGAATATAACATATTCTTTCAAATTGCCTTTTCTTTGCATGAATCCTTCTCCTTTCCTTGGATTTCTGTACTTTTTCTCAACCAGGAAAACTCTCAATCCTTTTCAAAGGTCCAGTGTAACTGCTTATTTGAATTTTTAGTTATTCCCCATATTTCTATAGCACTGAGTATGTACATGTATCTATTATAGTATTCACCACATTGTATTGCTATTGTTTTATGTCTTTGTCTCCCATATTAGATTTTGAGCTCCTCTGGGGCAGACTATGTCTTGTTCATCTGTGTACTTATAATTTTGCCACTGTACCTGGCAGAGAATAGGTGTACCACTTCCCATTGTTTTATGAACAAATGACTAAAAGGAGAGTGAATGAACTTTCATGAAGTGGATGGGAGTAGGAACTGGCCTTGAAGAAAGAGAGATGGAGTTGGCTGCTTTACCTGGGGAATGAAAAGAGGGAGAGACCTGGGCTCACATAACATGTAGTCTGCCTTCAACAGCAAATTCTTTTCTCCAAACAAACAGATACTATCTCACTAAAGTCGAATAAGTGAGACTGCTTCTTTCTTTGCCAGGTACTTACTGACTACTAACTAATTATTTTTCTTCTCCTTCAAGATTGCTAGTAAAGGCCAATTTTAATCTGATATCACATGCCCTTATGCACACAGGATGTGGTAGGGATCCATATATGATGGTGACCTCTGAACCCGAGTCTGTAGAGAAAGCCTTGCATTCAGTACCCAAGTCCATTCATCTTGGCTTCAGGCATATTCTTATAACTCAGAGCTGACTAAGATGGATATGTCTGTAGCTGTGCCTCATCATAGGGTAGAGTATTAATACACAAAATTACTAGGGACTTCCTTATGTGTGTCATCTGTAACAGAATAACAACAGAACAGTGGTACATCCTTTCTTTTTTTTCCTCCTTCTCATGTTTCTTGTCTCCCACACTTTCATCTCTTGTTTATGCTGGCTCGCAGCATTAGATTTTTTATGAAACTTCCTCTGACTAAAGTTAGGGAAATTTGTTTCATCTCAGTCATTTGCTCTTTGTCGAGCTGACCTATTTCATTAAAAAAAATGAGGTTGTGGTAGGATGAGTACTTAGAATGCAGGAAGGGGGCATGCCACCAGTGCCCTAGCAAAGGTTATACAGATAGGGCTGGCTTTAGAGAATTACCTATGAATTGTTTTGGGGCCCCTTTTACTATTCTTTTTTTCTTTCTTAGCACTTCCATTTGCAAACCCACTTCCCTTGTGGTACTTGCTTGTTGCTTCACTGTCCTGCTCAGTCCTGCCTGCCTTTCAGGGTTGCGTGATTCTGATACGTGTCTTCACAATCTTTCTTTATTCAAACCAAAACCTGTCTGTGGACACTAGGAACCCTTTCCCCAGCTTTCCATCCTGTCATAGAACAATTCAAGTAAATGAATTCAAGCTAAGGTTTTTGAGACTGACATAGTTTAATAGATTACTGTTGTTTTATAGTGGCATAAATGCTTTAATAGAGATGTCTCTAGAAATTGGTTCCCAAGCCATAGTAGTAAATTTCTGATAATGGAGATTTCAGGTACCAGATTATGCTGGAGGGTATGGAGAAGAAGTTTGGGAGAGTGATTATTTTTCTTTTGTTTTCTGTCAAATTAATACCATTAAAGTAACTGTCTTTGCAGCCCAAAGGTAGTACCAGACCTGAGTAGAGACTCTTTTTTCACAAGCACAAAATATTAGCACTGATGACTGACTTTGTAGTTACAAAAGTGTTAGAGAATATTAGAATCTGAAAGTGACTCTTTGGCCATTCGTTGACCCTGTTCCAAAAATTTTTCTGGGAAAAAAAGTTTTAGGTGGCATCTGTAAAGCTAAACAAGAACTTTGATTAATATTCTTTCAACTGCCTTTTCAGTTTGTTAGAGTTAGTGTTTTTTACTTTTGTTTTGTTTTAATATAAGGAACTTCTAGTTATAGTTTTACAAATATAGAACACATTTACAAATGTCTTTAAATACCACATAACATATACTCGATAGTCTTAGAACAGAGCCCTCCACCTAGCTAGTCTCTTCTGGATAAGCAGTTCTCAGTCATGTGTAGTGTTGAAAAGGTGTGCTCATTTAATTATTTCCACAGTTGTCAAACCTCTGCCATGGAAAAGAATTTCAACCATTTTGATAAAGCCCCTATAAAACCACAGCTTCTAAATATCCTTAAAAATGGAAAGCCACAGGTATACAAAATATATTTTGCAAAAATATACCAAGTGTTTCTATTGTGGTGTCCAATTCACTTATTCTAGAATAGAAGGAAAGCCTGGTGTGTTGGAAGACAGAGTAAAAAGTCATTAATGTAACAGAGATTGTCTTTTAAGTCCATTTATAAGCCGTCTCTCTTTTTTTAATGAGAATGCCTTTTTGTTCTGTATCCTGATTATGGTAGTGGTTATAAGAATCTATGCATGTTGTAGAACTGAATGCTAAAAGGAAAAAAATGCTCATGTTTTTTGTATGACAACTTTAAAAATAAAATGAAGGGGTTAAAGAATGTCCTTTTCACTTGAAACACTGCTAAAAATGGTGGTTAAATTCCATTGAAAGAAACAACAATAAAAAGGCTTAGTTAATGTGGCAATTGTAGTAGGGTTAATAGTATTATACAAACTAACACTATGAGGAAATACATTTTAAATCACAAATCAGAACTTGGGAAATACACTTTCCCCTGTTCATTGTCAAGAGTGGGAAACGGAAGTATTGTAATTAGCCTTCTGGTGCAAGTGGCAATAAATGCAGTTGCAGTGACTGCAGTGATGGATGTAGGGACTCAGGATCAGAATTTGAAGAGGGTAGACCTAGAGTAATTGTTAGAGCCCCTGCCCTTAGCAGAGCATGTCTTGACTGTTGTGCAGTTAGCAGCTCCTTGTGCCTAGCATTTTTTCTGGAGTAGGTGTTCAATAACTACTGATTAAATTCTGGGGCCTAGGTTCAAATCTTGGCTCTACTTACCAGCTATGTGATCTTGGATATGTTACTTAACCTCTCCATGCCTCATTCCTCTCAGCCCTAAAGGGTTGAAGAACATCTCTCTCATAAGGCTGTTGGGAGAATTAAATGATATTAAGCTTTTAAATCTCTTAGCAAAGTATGGAGCATATAATAAGTGTTCCAATAAATGTGAGATATGATTATTCAGTAACTGTGGGTTGAATGGCAGTATCTCGTAAGGCTTGTGTTGGAGAGGCAGTGTTGAATGACAGTTGCTCCTTTCAGTGCTGGTCTGTTTATTGGGGTCAGGAGTTTTTGTGAAATTAATTTCTTTCGCTGTTCAGCACAGAATACTCAGATGCCTAATATTTTAATATTTGTTTCTTCTCTTCCTTATGTACCTCAAATTCTGGGCTTTTTACCTACGGAATTTTACCCTAAGTGCTGTTGAGTACAAATTACGAGGTACAACAGTTAGATGAATTTTTTATAATATGGGTTACTTTTTCCAAATTGTGATTATTGGATGTGAAAATTGTGATTTTTATAAATTATATTTTAATGATATATGTTTTTTAATAAACATTTTTGATAGAATGAATGCAGGTTAATTAAGGAGAAGGGGAACATGCACAAGTAAAAGGAAGTCAGGGCTAAAGCAGTCATAATTGTACATTCAGAGCCAATTACCATACAAAATGATAATAGCAGATTTTTGTGTGTGAGACAGGGTCTCACTCTGTCACCCAGGCTTGAGTGCAGTGATGCGATCATGGCTCAGTGTCAACTTCGACCTCACAGCCTCAGGTGATCATCCCACCTCAGCCTTCCAAGTAGCTGGGACTACAGGCACAGGCCACCCTGCCTGTATAATTTTTTAAATGTTTTTTGTACAGACAAGATCCCACTGTGTTTCCCAGGCTGGTCTTGAACTCCTGGACTCAAGCAATCCACCCGCCTTGGCCTCCCAAAATGCTGGGATTACAGATGTGAGCCACTGTGCCCCCAGCCTGCAGAAATTCTTAAAGAGCATTTACTGTGTATTAGGCATTGTTCTAAGTGCTTTGCATATAATTCACTTAGCAACTCAAAGTATATCTGTTTAGATTATTTTCTATGACCATGTAAACATGGAAATGGATGGGATTGTATAATAGAAATTATTTATGACATAATTAATTTTCCTTTAACATTGTACGTCCTCAACACTGTTTCATGTTTCTAAGCACATACATACATTATAATTATTAACAGCTACAGAGTAATTCTTTCTGTGGTAATGGACTAACTGGTATCTCTTTTTTGTGTTCCTGTAACGAAGAAAGAGTTTAACATTTAAGATGGTAATAATATGATTTTTGTTTTTCTAAAAATAGTGTTATTAACTAGAAGGTCAATAAAGTATAATCTGTTATCCCTTTACATTAAAAGAGGTTCAAACAGTGCTTTGCTATATTTAAGAGTTTAACCTTGTTTTTGCCTTGTTTTCCTTGTTTTACCCATACACAAAATAAGAAAGCTCTGATGTTACACAGCTTTTTTTTTTTCTGTCATACACCCATACATTGTAATAATGGGGTGGCTAATTATTTGCTAAATGCTTTAAAGTAAAATAAAATCCAAGTATTTATTACACCATGTGAATATTTTGACTTTTTTGGTTTACTGACATTTGGTGTTTAGCATTTCCATTGTCTTTTGGTTTTGACGGGAAAAACTTGGTCTAATACCAATTATGACTGTTCCAAGATAGTAAATGGAACATACTTGTTGAGATTCACATGGTTTGAGTCATGCATTGCCTTTACCTATCCTTTTAATTTATTGTTAAGGCAGGAGTTCAAATTATGGACTGGTTTCAGGGTGTGAACATCAGTCTCTGATTATAATTCAGGAGATATGTGGATCTGAAGTTGATGGACAGGCTGCCTGGTTAGCCAGGCAAGCTCCCATTATCTCAAGAACCTCTGCTGATTAGTTTGCTATCATTTTGAGAGACCTCACTATGAAAACAGACATTTTCCCAGGGTGGCAGAGAGATAAAGGAAATATTCGCTATGTGGTTAAATTCTTCCATTGTTTTATGCCTATGGAATTTTATTTAATAGTATAGCATATTTATTCAGGAGGAGACTAGTGTTGTTTACTCTCTAGTCACTGTTTTCCTTCCTCATACCTCAAATTAGGATCGTTTCATATTTAAGACATTGTAAGACATGATACTATTTTCTTAGACCAGTGCCTGACATTGATTAAAACTTCAGTAAACGTATCGAATACTGAATGAATGGAATTAGGTTTAGACCTGTGTAGGAACATGCAGTATGCTTTATTATAATGTATGCGATTGTATATATTTATTATCCAGCTTTTTCACAGCTGCCATCATCCAGCATTACCTACTATAACTGTGATTCCGCCTTCTTTGAGCCAGATGTAAAACTACACTGTTGTAACTTTTAAGGGTTAACGTGCATTTGCCTTCATTCTAGAAATAGGTTTATGCTTTTGTTTCTTTGATTTTTTTTTTTTTTGAGATGGAGTCTCACTCTGTCACCAGGCTGGAGTGCAGTGGCACCATCTGGGCTCACTACAGTTGCCTCCCGGGTTCAAGTGATTTTCCTGCCTCAGCCTCCTGAGTAGCTGGGACTACAGGCGCGCGCTACCATGCCCAGCTAATTTTTGTATTTTTAGTAGAGATGAGGTTTCACCATGTTGGCCAGGATGGTCTCGATCTCTTGACCTCGTGATCCGCCCAGGTTGCCCTCCCAAAGTGCTGGGATTATAGGAGTGAGCCACCGCACCTAGCCTGTGCTTTTGTTTCTTAAGAGGTTTTTGCATTGATCAAAATCATATTAAATCAGTTACTGTTCAGGTTCACATTTTCACACTTTTTGGAAGACTTTTGGAAAAATCTCTTACCCTGAGTTTCACATTCATTTTCATACACTTTATTTTGGGAAGGCATTTGGTTCATTCAGTGTCATACATCACATGGCCAATTAAATAATCACTATTAATTCCATTTCTCAAGTCCATCCAACAGTAAATAAATGGAAGAAATAGGAAAGGAAGAAAAAACTTGGTCTTTTTAAATATTTGATTTAATTCAAAATAACGTTTTAGATGTTTCTGTAACAATTTACATTTAGGATCTCTCAAAGTCAAACTATCAGAATACTTGTCAGAGTAAAAAAAAACCCGTTGCACCTTTGCCCCTATAACACACACACATCCACACCTTTTTATTATAGAGGAAGATTTGATTTTAGATTACTCTGAGGAAGAAAATTTTTTTTCAGGAAAACCTATTATCCTTAGCAAATATAAACACTGAAAATATATTGAAAACTTTCAGTCAGCTATTATTTGAACTCAAAATTTGGAGTTGGGTGTCAATGTTAGAGATTTTAGGAAGACATTTAAGGCAGAGAACCAGGCTCAAGAGATGTATTAGACGTAACTGATTATTACAGGTATATTAGGAGGAGTTTGGGATTGCAGTTGCAGTGGGAGATAGGCATTCTGGCCATTGCTAGCACTTGTCATCCTTGTGATGAGTATAAAAATAGCTATTTACCTTTATTTCTGTCAAACTTGTGTATCCTTGCCCCTCCTTGCTCAATAGATGCCAACTTTAAGAATATAATCCCAGGCACATTTAGAAACATGCTAAAACAAAACAAACAAACACCTCTCTCCACTCCTTCCCTAAAACAATTAGAAAAAACGTATGTGCCAAGTATCAATAGGTACAGCTGAAGAAAGAGAGATAAGGGGAAAAAAACCAAGCAACAACCAAACTTCTTACCTCCAAAGTAAATTAACTTTGAAACATGGTTCTTTGTTTTTTAGAGAAACAGACATTTGCAGAGTTAGGGGATTTCTTGAGATTGTACCTGAAAGTAGGTAGTATATTTACTAGAGGTTTTAATACCATTTGTTTTGTACAATGGATAAATCCCAGCAAGCTTATGTAATAGTAAAATTATGTGTAAGAAAAAGCTATTCTCCATGGGCTCTAAAGTTAACTTTGAAGAGGCCCCAAAAAAACTGAGTTAAGGAAGAGATAAGATCATTCTTTCCTCCAGGCTGATTTTAAGATGTTTAAACTCCTAAATACTGTAAAGATTAGGCTACTCTCTGCATACCATTTCAGAATGAGTTGGAGTTGTACCATTATAGATCTCCACTAAGTCTCTTAGTGTTATCAACTTCTTTGATAGTCATTGGAGCAAGGGACATCCATATAAAGTAGGAATAAAAGAGACAACTTAATGATTATTTAACTTAGCTAATATTTACTGGTTATCTCAAGGCCTTGAAAGAGAAGATCCAGTTCAGATTCACTTTAAAAAACAATCAGATATTTAGATTATATTGGCATGCTCATAATTATTTTTTTTAGATGATAGGAAGTCTGTATATCTAATGATTTCTCCACAGTTTTTGTATTTTGGGGATGCAAGTTTTTGCTTTTTTTAGCAACTGTAGGATCAAGGGAAATGTTTTGTCAAACAAATCAAATATAATATTTCAAACATATATTTATATGTATTAATTCATTTAATCTCAATAAAACCCTATGAGGTAGATGCTAGTATTGCCCCGCTGTTATAGATGAAAAACTGAGGTGCAATTAAAAGCCATTAAGAGGTAAAGCTGTGATTCAAACCTTGGTTGCCTAGTTCCAGAATCCTTCGTCTTAGCTAATATGATATTTCTAACACTGTAAATTTTAATTTATTATGGGTTGGGGAATCGGTGTAATGTATAGAAACCAACACTTTAGTAAAAATGATATGGAATAGAAAACGTTAGAATATGGAATATTGAGCTGGGCCCAGTGGCTTGCACCTGTAATTTTAGCTATGCAGAAGGCTGAGGCAAGAGGATCACTTGAGCCCTGGAGTTCATGGCTAGTGAGCTGTGATCGTGCCACTGCACAATCTGTCACTGGGAGACAGGGTGAGACCCTGTCTTAAAAAAAAAAGAAAGAAGGAAAGAACTATGATTATGTGTAGTATTGTTTCATTAAGCCATTTTCATAAACATTAATATGTATTTAGACATACATAGACATATGTATATAGTGAGTTGCAATAAAAATATATTTTTTATTGTCTGTCTGGGTCAAAAAAAAGTTTGCAAGCCACTGAACTACACAATCTCAATACCTTGAAAATAGTTGATGTTCAGTAAATCTGTACTAAGTTGAATTAATGTATTGTTAAATAAAAAATAACCCATAAACAGTGTTAGGATAAAATACTTCTGCTGAGCATATAATTTCCCTATGGAGTAGGACTGAAAATGTTAGTCTCACAGTTCTTAACCAATGAAACTGTAATTATCAAACATAATCTATTAGTTTATACCTGCTCCTCAACCTAAAGTTCTCCTCTGCAAATCTTTCTGGTTGGTAATTTTTTATTGCTTTAAGGCTTGGCCTCTTGTCCTTTAACAATATCAAGTAATAATAGTCCAAAAAGAAGAGGCAGTTTCTAAAAAAATAAATTACAATTTGAATTCCCTGAAAGTAATAATTTGTTATTAACAAAAGAAATTTATTTCAGCAGTGCAAGGATGGATCAATAATAGGAAATCTAATATTTATCATATTAAACTAAAGAGAACAATCATATGATTTTCTCTATAGACAGTGAAAAAACATAGGACAAAAATTAACAACCATTCTCTACACCCAGTAAACAGAAATAAAGGGAAACTTCTTCATAGTGATCAAATGTATGTATGTGAGTCCAAAAGCCATTATGATTCATAGGAAAACACATACGCATGCTCAGTAATTTCAGAAACTAGGTAGATTTTGTTTGTTCTCTTTACTCTTTTTTAATATTGTGCTGGACGAAACTGCCAATGGATTTAGATAATAAAAAATAAGATTATAAAAATTTGATAGGTAGAGATAAAATAATCACTTTTTGCAGATGGTATGTTTTGTATCCATAAACTGCAGAGAATCAGCTGAAAGACAAATAATTCATAAACAATAAAATAATTTAGTAATAGGGCAGTTTAAATTAACATGCCAATATTTAAATGTGTAATATTTGTATTAAAGAACATGCAGAAGCGTACTTAAAATGGGGAAGATATACTGTGAAGTATTCTTTCACAGGTAGATGCAATATTGCTTATATCTTATACTGAACTTCAGGATAAACTCTGAATTGGAACAAAGATATATACATGAAAGTTAACCATATAAGTAATAGAAGAAAATGTGAAAGTCTTATTATGGTCTTACTATGGGAAGCTCTTTTTAATAAAATTCAATATCTAAAAGTCAATTTCAAAGGATTAATTCATTTAAAATAATAAAAATTTCTACATGGCAAAAAATAGCATAAATAAAACCAAAAGGTAAACAACAAGCTGGAGGTAAAATTTGCAACTCATATGATGACTTAAACGGTTAATCTCTAATACATAACAGCTCCTAGTAATTCCTGAAGTACAGTAAGTATCTAATAGAAATTTGGTTAAATTATTCTAACACACAGTTCACAGAAAAATACCATTGGCTCCTACACATATAAAGTTTTTCTTAACTTCACCCAAAATAGGAGGTATATAAAACTATACTGACATAGCATGTCTAATTCATTATATTAGCAAAAAACTGAAAATTTTGTGTCATGCTGTGTTGGCAAGGCTGCAAGGAAACAGGGCCTTTTATGTATTGTTGATGGGAGTATAAATTTATATAAATGTGAATTGGAACAAATGCTTATAAACTTTGACTCAGTACTCCTGTTTCTACAAATTTATCTTATAATAATTTGTCAAATGTTGAGTGCACAGATTTATTCATTGCAGCATTGTTTTTCATATCAAAAGATGGGAAACATTGTGCAAACAATGCCCATCAGTAGTGGATTGATTAAATAAATTAGGTATATCCAATAATTGAATATTATGCAAGTATATAAAAAATAAGAATCATGAATATGGAAAGATTTCGAAAATATATTGCTAAGATTAAAAAAAAGGAAGGGGCAGAAGAAAATAAGTTGGGTAAAAAAAACCCCAGAAATGTTTACTAATAATTATATTTAAAAACTCATAGGATAAACAAGAAGGTAATGAAATAATTAATTGTTTGGGAGTGTATAGATAGAGGGATGACAGCTGAGCAGATGAGGGGCTGGGATGGAACAAGACTCTTCACTAGATATACTTTTATACTTTTTGATTTTTGAACCATTCAAATATCTACCTATTTGACAACATCAAAACAAAAGGAAAAAAACACTAATAATAACAACTAAACCACAGTAAATATTAGTTTTTTTGAGAAAATATTTCTATAGGGTGAGACTGAAAGTGTCAGCCCTTCAACTGTTTGCCAGTGGAACTGTAAGAAACTGGTGTAATCCATTAATTTGCTTCCCCAACACCCAATTTAGATGTAGATTCCTTACACTCAGATCATTTGTTGATGGTTTTATTTATTGTGTATATTTAATAATTTTAATTGCATTTTATATCTTTGTTTCCTACACATTAACTCCATCAAGCAATTAATATTGAACAGTGTAATTAAGTGGTAGTTTTAAAACACCAGTTGTACAAAAATCAAGACCAGTGTTCATTTTAGAATTTACCATTTTTATACAATATGCAACTTTAGAAATGATAATATTATTTAAAATTTCTATAGATATTTTACCTTGCTTATGTTTTTCTTCTTGAAATATAGTATTGCCAAATTGCTGTACTGTAACATCATGATAATAATGGTAGTGTTAGGAATTTATTTTCATTAGTGGTCATAGTACAGTTAATATAAATATATAGCACATAAATATAAATGAGAACACTAAATATCTGTTTGGAAATGGGATTCAAGAGCTGTGTCTTAAGTTTTGGTAGGATTCATTTAATAGCTGTGTGAATTACTTAACCTTTCAGAAAGTTAATTTCTTAATCTGTTAAAAAAAAGTGATACTAATACATGCCTTACAGGGTTGTGGTCAAGGTTGGAGTGAATGTCTTTATAATACCTAGTATAGTATCTTCAATGCAAGCATCTATTATTCCTGTGGTTGTGTTACTTATGATATGTAGCCCTAAAATTGCAAGATGAATATTAACAAGACAATATGCACAGTTTGCCACTACCTGTAAGATTTGATTTATTTGAGTAAAATAAAGGGGAGGTGGATTATAAAATTTTCACTGCTATAATTTTGTGTCTGCTTGCATGTTTTACTTGCTGAGAATTTGGTAGGGTCAAGTGTTAAAATCACTTCTAAAATAAGTCTCCTCAAAGTGATTATTTAATACGGAGAATTAATTACTAATTTGAAATATTTTAAATAGTGGTCAGTTATTTAAAAAATAATATATTAATTGGATAGAATAAAATGGAGCTGTTAAAAACCATGTGCTTTAAGAATGATTATGGCATAGACATTTTTTGAAATACATACATTAAAAAGATTATACAAGTTTATATAGTAGGATCTCAAATATGTAAAGAAAAGCGTGCCATATATAAATAGATGTATATTTCATAGAGGAAAGATGAGATGAATATACACCAAATGTGAATAGTGGTCATTTTTGAGTGTTGGGATTCTTTGTGATTTTTGTTTGATTTATACTTTTATAGATTTTACATTTTTTTTTACAATAAGCATATATTACTTTTATATTAGCAAAAAAAGCAATATGTTGTATTGCTTTTTTATGTTTATGTATTCTTCGAGATTGAATTGTAGGATGAGTAGAACCTAAATATATGTACCTTCTTTTAAAGAAAAGCACTTTAAAGCTATATCAACTTTGTTAGTGGAATTTTATTCCAGAAGAGTAGAAGTTGGCACCTGGAAGCACTCTTGGACCGTTTTCCTATTGAGGAGGGGTTTATTTTGGTAAAGTAACACTACCACTGTAGCCCGATGGCTACTGCAGTGGGATCAGATCTCAGGTCATATCAGTTCAGTAGCTCAGCTTGTAGCTCTGATCTCTCAAACTGTGGGGCACAGTGAGAAGGGTTTTTTAGAAGCTGGCCCCTCTGTCTTTTCATGCACACAAATCTGCTTATTATGACCACAGTTCATTGGGGATGGCAGAAGTAGTACATAAAGCTAATGTAAGCATAATATTTTATATTATGTAAAATATTTACGTCATGTAGAAGAAATTTTTTAAAATTTGTAAAATTTTGTCAGAAAAACTTTTTTTCCTCAATAAAAATCACCTACTTTCCAATGGATAATTCTACATCTTATATAGTCCTTATTTCATTTTTTCACAGGTTATCCTAGTTGACATCAAAGCATGCACCCATTTTGAATATTTCGGGAAATCTCATTAAACACTGAAAAGGATAATGCCTTGTGGGTTGCTCCATAGTAATTTCAATCGTTTTTTTCCCAAGTTTACATTGACCCCATTCTCCTATCAACTCAGTAGGGTTTCACGGCCGTTGTTGCTTCCTTTTGCCTAATTTAGCATCATGCCTGATGGTTTACATTTCACTTAATCATAGCTTTCGAGATGTAGCATACCTCTCTTTGTTCTAGAGATATGAAAACTAACCTACACAGTTAGAACACAGGTAAACTTCAGGTCTTTTGATTTCGAATTCAGCATGCATTGTGTTCTGTCGTGTTCCAGTATTCTTGATAGTTCTCTAAAATGTTGTCAAGAAGGGCCTAAGATCTTTGTGATCTCGCCAAAGAGTTTAGAAGTATGTATGTGTGTTGTTTGTTTTTCCTCCTGCAAGAATTCCTGAGATAAATTATCTAAATTTTCACTGAAAACAAGAATTCCTGAGATAAATTATCTAAATTTTCACTGAAAACTCTAATACATGAAGGTAGTTACACAGTTCCAGCAATGACTGAACTTGAACCATGATTTACATACCTTCCCTATTAAGTGCCAGTCAGGTTCTCGCTACAGATGAGCAAATCTGCTTTTTCCACAGTGAGAAAAACATTTAGAGACAATTCTACAATTAGAATTTTGTGATACTAATGGAAAGTGCGTGTATGTACACGTACTTAAAATGAGCTATACAATTTGTTGGGAGTTCAGTGATCCCTCCTTTAAAAACTACAACTGTGAAGCTATAAGACCTCACAGTGATCATCTCTTTGTTGACATAAATGTGATAAACCTTGCCCAAGAAATATATAATTCTTTGTTTGTCTTGCTAAGCCTTAAAGTTCTCATGGGCAAGGGATGAGAAAGGGTCTTCTGAGGACTATTATTTTTTTTGTCTTGTGTTAACAGCCTGAGTGCTTTGTGATGGTCTTTCACTGTGTGTCTGAGGGAACCCTAAGTGTTGTTTCTGACTCTGAGCAGGCTAATTTGCTCATCATAGACAATGGACCTGTTGACAAACAGGTACATTCTCCTTACCGTGTCCTTCTATATGTGATATAGTTGATTTCTAGGTTTATGATTTTCCCCATTATAATTAATCAGCAGCATGATATATCTGCTGTTTATCATATAATGGCTTTCTTGATGGGTGGCATAAGGAATATTTTAAATTAAAATTAAAATTTTTTTGACTTTTGCTCTGAATTGGAGAGATACTTTTTGGTACCTTTGCTCAAGATTACATATTAATCACATGTTAAATATATGTATTACTTAATGTGTTCATCATAGTACAAAATATGAAGAATAGAGTTATGAGTGAGACTTGAGATGTTTCACTTTTAGATTTTTCAAGTGGCAAGAAACTTTTAGATATTTAGTCTCAGAAATGGAAAACCTACTTAAAAAACATTTTTTTTCTTCTTTTCTTTTCTTTTTTCTTTTTTTTTTTTTTAGACAGGGTTTCCCTCACTCTGTCGCCCAGGTTGGAGTGCAGTGGCACCATGATCATGGCTTATGTGGCAGCCTCGAACTCCTGGGCTCAAGAGATCCTCTCACCTCAGCCTCTGGACTAGCTGGGGCTAGGGACATGCGCCACCACCATGCCTGGCTAATATCTCTCTAGATCCGAGGTCTCACTATGTCTCACAGGCTGGTCTCAAACACTTGGGCTCAAGCGATTCTCCAGCCGCGGCCTCCCAAAGTGTTGGGATTATAGACGTGAACCATTGTGCCTAGCCATTTTTTTTTTTCGTAAGAGTAGTTAGACCAACTCTTCCTTTAAAAAACAGGCGCAAGGATCTCTTAAACAGAAAAATAGATTGGTGCCGTCTTTCCATAATTTTCTTTTCAACCACAAAAGAGATTTTTTTAAAAAAAGATTGATTTTAAAGATATGTAAATACTAATTATTTGGATTATAATTATTGGTCATTATGGTAATGCCTTTTTTAAAAAGAGAAATAGCTAATCATGAAGTCTGACAATTTAAATAAAGACAGTTTAGGTAAATTTATATCTTAAAGTGAAAAATGGAATCACTTAATTTTGTTACTATATTTTAGGTCATAAAAATATACTGATTGAAGAAAACGTTTTCAAACAAATTGTACATTTATCTTTTGCCCAAGAAATCTATTTTTATCTGAGCTAGGTAAAACTTAAGTCAGTGTAAAACAAGTTGTTTGGAAACTCTTAAATCTTTTTGAAAACATTACAGCGAAATAACAAAAGTTTTCCAGAAGAGTCTGGTTAAGCATTGAGCTAGAGCACAGCATTTTCACAAGAGAAGTTTTAAGCATGATGTTACCCTATCAATAGTCGTGGCTGAAGAAGTTCTTTGATTTTTGTTTGTTTGCAGAATTCTGATTTGTAGCATTTGATAATCACAAATTTAAAAAGGATCTTTGCACTTGTGTTTTGATTTTGGTCACAATTTTATAAATTGGTATGTTTCGATGTTTTTGTTAGGAAAAAAATGTAATATACTGACATACCACCCCCCCCTTCCCCCCCCACACACTACACTTCTTTAAATACGCCAGATAAAATCATTTAATCAAGCTTTTTGGGAATGTTTGAGTGTGTCAGAGGTGACGTATTGTGTATAGACAAAGGTAAGAGAAAACCAGTCCAGGAATGAGAACATCATTCCTGCACTGTATGTGCATGTGTGTTTTTCCTTTGCTCTAATGGTATTCCTCCCTTCCCCCAAAACCTCTGGTGTATTTTCACTAATAATGATGTCAGGTTAGGTACTTTTGGGAACAGTTGGAAAGGAAAACAGCAAGGGAGAAGAGGATTGGATCTTCGGGCTATGATTGGGAGGGAAGGCAGTCTAGGGAACTGGTTTCTGTGGGTAGCTCATGAGGGAGAGCTTTGCAGTAGAAGAGGAGTCAAACCTTTTGGGAGGGTCAGGGGAATAAATTGGACATTTCAGGGAGTCCCTGGAATTGAAAGAAGCAGTCAAAGCATTAAGGGAAGTCTTTTTGACACTACTCAAAGGAAGCCAGTGAGGGAAAGCAATGAGCTCCTTTGAGAAAATTCTGGGATAGGAGCATGGGGGCCTGGGAGGGGAGGGAATCTCTGGAGTACCTTTGTTGTTGGCTCCACATAGGTCCCTGGTGTGTGAAAGGATCTAGATAGGTGTAGTTATAAATGGGTTGGCCCTGTAAATCTGTTCATATATGTGAATGTCTTTCTGATTTCCTCTTCTTTTTACATTCTTATCTGAGTATGGGAATGGCTGAAGGCTTTATTGCTATCTGTGTGTTGCATGCTATGTGGATCTTTTAAGGCGTGACCTTATCAAAGTTGGCATCTAAATGCAAAAGAAAATGCAGGGCAAGCTTGTTCTAGTTGGGGTTCCTGTCACCAGACCATAGCAATTTGGAACAATGGATACATTACCTGAATTCACTGGCAGCAAGCAGAGTCCCTGCTTCTATGCGTGCCCTTATCAGTGTTTAAAATAGTGCCTCGTACTCTGCGTACTATCTAGAAGAGAACACCTCCTTCCCATTCTCTTCCTTTCCCTATTCTTTATTAATATTTTGGGGGGAATGCTTTCATTTCAATAGTTAGAAAATGTGGAAAAACAAGATTGCAAGGTTGAGGTGAAAGTAGTACAAGATTGGAAGAATGAAACTCTTTTTTCTTCACTCAGTAAAATGATACTTTTGGCTCAGTGCCTGGGGAACATAGGCGAGTTAGGATGGTGCAGACAGGACTAGCAACAAGTTTGTTAAGGAATGGGCTGAGAACCCCTTGCCTCTGCCCTGTGGTTTACTACAGAATTTGAGTTGTAACTTTTTCTTTTTCTTTTTTTTTTTTTTTGTCCGTTAGAAGCAGTGGTAGAGAGATTACACACTAAGCTTTAAAACCACAGCAAAACAAAACTTTTAAAACACTTGTGCGGTAACCTCAGAAGACAGGTTAACACATTCTGTTTTAACTGTACTATTAATGTGTTTTGCAAGTTTGCAATACCTCTAGACATGGAGGTCTTTTTCCCCCTTACATTTTATGTATACTGCAAATCGAATCCGAGGTGTGTCTTGTGAGCATTAAAATAATGAAAACAAAACACAGTTTTATCCAGGAAATATATAATTCTGAATACTAAAAATCTTTTTAATTGATCATTTATGTAATATATCATCACTTTTATTCAATACATTTCAAAATATACTACTCTTTTTAGCAAATTCAAAGTCCTTTTAACATTTTCTTATAAATCTGATATCACTATATTTGTAACTAAGGAATTTTATGGTGAGATTATTTGAGCTTTATTTCTGTAACAGTTGTTCTAAGTTATAAAAATGAACATCTTTAACACATCTATATAGACTTTAAAATAGCTTATTTGTAATTTAAACTATCTTCAAATATTTTGCTATATTCCTGTTTCCCCTAATTATTCAAAGTTTACAAAACAAACATTTATTGACGATCAGTGATGTCACAGTTTTATTGTAAGAAGACATTTCCTTTCAGAGAATTAACGTAGAAATAAGGAAGGTTAAAGAGATTTCCTATCCTTTCCTTAAAGAAAAAAAGGCTATTTATCACTTGCCATCTTATACTCATTCATTCATTCTCTCATTCACTATACATTCAGTAAGTGCCCACTAAACTTTTATTAAGCCTTTCTTTTCGTTCAGTCTGTTGATTTGATAAATCAGAAGATTATCTTTGATAAGTATTCATATAATACTTTTTATTATCCTTTTGTGATTGTTTATTAAGCTATCTGTCCAAGCTTTGAAGACAGTCTGCAATGGTTCAAATCTAAGCATTGCCATTAGTTGTGATATGTGTGTATACATGTCTGTTGGTCTCTCTATCATCATTTATCACAATTTATCATTGTTTACCCAAAGGAATAACTAGCTACTGACTGAGTGACCTTGTATGAATAAATTAATATCTCTGAGCCTCAGTTGACTTACCTGTACAAAGTGAGAATACTTATATTTTTTAAGATTGTTAGATTAGTTGTATATTTAAGCCCCCTCTACGGTATTTAGAACATGTGAGTAACGTGGTTACTTATTATTGTTTATATTGCCATTATCCTGACCACTATATGGACTTGATCCTCCAGTTATTTCCTTGGGTCCATGCCATCTTACCTCTCTTATTTTTCCATTACTGCTTATCTCACAATATTCGAGAGTAAAAAGGAACCTTTTTACAATGAAAGGCTGCCCATTTCTCACATGTGCTTTCCTCTTGATGCCTTCATGCTTGCTGTTTTGCTTACTGTTGTAGAGCAGCAGAATATTACTGAGGAAGCACTTCTTTTTAAAAAAATTTTCTGGTACAGCTGGAAATATGACAAGAAGAATAGAACAATTGATTATTAGTTAAATCAACATATTATTCTATAAATTCAATAGAATTGAGACCCCCCCCCTTCCTTTAAATGTTATATTTGGTCTTATTAAAATTCATTTTGCTATATGCTGTGGATTTTTATGCATTATTTTTGTTTAATTTCTAATGAAGAGTTATTGAGATTTTATGAGATTGACGTCTTATTTACTTAAAAAATTTCCTATTGCTTGTACATTGGGAGCAAACCAAGAACAGGTGTAAAAACAACCTCCCAACTTGTCTTGGTGAATTGTGAATTGCTCTGGTTTATTCTTGTTTGTATTACATTTAATGGACAAGTCCTGTATGGTACTATACATTTTAATTCAGTTTTGAAAATTATCAATTTGCAAATTTTGTCTTTTTCCACTTTCTTTTTCTATTTCAAGAGCTTATTACCTTTGCTCCAGCTGGATAAAAGTTGGGCAAACAGATACCCTGACAACTGCCAACAGCACCACGCCTTGGTTTTCCCGGGTACAGAAAGTAGTCAATATTTCTGGGACTATGCATCTGTCCCATCTCAAAGATGCCGCTCACAAATTCTAGTTTAAATACAGAATTATTGAAAACATGAAAATCACCACTTCTTTAAAAATATGTATTGTATGTGCTTCTTTCCTGGTTTTACCAAAACAAGTAAAAAAGATCCATGTAGCAGATTTAGGTCTACAGCCTGCAAATTGCTTCCTGTTTGCTTGCATGGTGACAATGTTCTAAGTGCCAGTTTTGAATACTAGTAACCTGTCATGGATCAGTTATCTGAAATGGCAGGTTTATTTGTTATGGGAGGAATGACATTATTTCCTGTCCTTTAGACAGAGCTAAAGTGAGAATAAAGTAGTAAGAAAGAATGTTTCTTTGCACTCTAGGTGTGAGTGTACTATCGTTCGTGCTACTGATTTGATTGCCACAGCTACTATCATTAGCATCTTGGACCAAACATGGAACAAGCTGTACTATATTTCATGTATGATGGAATACAGAGACTGATTAAAAATACTCTTAAGGTGCTGGATTATTCATTTGATAGCTGATTGTTATAAGACGTTAGGGTCGTACTTTCCTTTGTGGACATAAACATTTTTAATAATTGCTTTTTAAAATTAAATTTAATTTGGAGCCTAGGTAAGGATTTCCTTCATTTGAACTAATTTTTTTTTTGTAATCTCAGAATTATCTTAATAGTAGGTAGTGTCAGTTGCCAGAAAAACATCAATGTGAAGGAAATTTGTATATCATAATTCTTTCCTAGTGTTTTCTTTAGGCAGACTACAGTGAACGTATCTATTCTAATTCTCATTCCTTTTCTGGATAACCATAGGTAAAGGTACTTTTAATTTGACCTCTGAAAGAAGAAAAAGTTTTTCCAGGTTGGAGAAATAATGAGTAATGCTGGTTAGAGACTGCCTCTCATCTTCTTCTCAAATCTTAGTCACTACCTATTCTAGTGTTTAAATAACTAATGAAAACATTTTTATGGTTTCTGAGATTTTTTTTAAAGCAGGCTTGAAAGATATGAAGTAATTTACTGATAAACCAAATTTTAACATTATAGACATAAGAATGTTGTCTGTCCATCTCATTTTGTTTCATTGTAATATTTTTCCTCATAGGTATAGGGAAAATAGGTGATTTTGTTTAGTCAACAAAGGGTTGTCTCTTCTCTCTCTCTCTCTTTCTTTCTCTCTCTCTTTCTACCATGGCAGCCCAAGTAGGGTTCAACCGTGTAGGTAGGATCTGTATTATTAATTTTCATTATGCCAAAACTGACAAAACATTACGTTGAAATCATAAAGCACTAGAAAAGCAAATACCTAGAAAGTATTATCTGTTCTGTAAGAAAAACAACAAGCTAAACATTTTAATATATTATTGAGTTTGTTGGATTTATAATATTGGGACTTCTCTTTATACAAGTACCTGGCCTTTAAAAAGAAATACTACCTAGAGTAGCCACAGGTACTGTTAATGTTGCCAAGTATTCCTAAGTATATTGTAGTTAGATTAGTGTGAGGAACTTCCTTAAAAAATTTAAGTGTAAACCTGTAAGGTTACTCTTATTGGTTGTTTTTCATAGTTTATTTAGTGACTATTGCACGGTAATGCTTTGTATTAGATCAACATTAAGTTAGAATTCAGTGGCTGTATTAAATAGCCTTTTAAGACAGTATGTTAAATACGTGGCTTTCACCAAGGGGCCCCTATGGTATTTTGGCAATTTTACTATTTTTTAAAATTCATACCTAGTTTGAATTGAGATTCATGTAAGTGAAACACCATTAATAAGGATTTTTAGTTTTAAATTTTAGTTTGTTTTATTATAAAATAGTCAATATCTATCATTCTTAAAATCAAGTATTCTTTATAGTAGTCCTACTTAATATGCAGTCTGTAGGCTGGAAAGCATTTGTTACCAGTCTGCCTTGAAATTAAATATAGAAGTTGAGTAAATGCTTAAAACTGTCACCAAAGTTTGATAGAGTAATAAAAATAGGGGGCTTGTATTTTGTTTTTGTCAAATTTGACTTGATTATACAAATGTGATGAATTAGAAATTTAAAAAACCAATTGGTCCTTCCCACAGAAGGATATTTCATTTGAGAAATATCACTTTAGATGACATTAGAAGAGTTATCCATGTGCTTAGTGTCAGTTAGCTTAAATGCCATACATTAAAATATAAACATATCAAAAACCCACTTATATTAGTAACTTATGTGGATAACCATATGATTTTTATAAAGTAATCTCAAATGAAAATGAAAGCCAATTCTTTAATGAATCTAAAGCAGTAGAGCCTTTACTCATATACCTAGTAATAACTATCATTAAGTGCTTACAATGTGCAATAGGGTGTCTTTTATCTTATTTAATCCTCTAAAAGCACAACGGGATAGGTTCCTTATTACCCTCATTTTAGAGATGCCGAGCTAAGGGTCAGAGAGGTTAAAAATGTGCTGATGGTCACTGAGCTAACTAAAAAAGCTAACATTAAAACATGCTTTTGTTCATAATATGATTACACATCTTGTGCTTCACGTTTTTTCTTTTAAATGAGGAGGTAATAACATGTACTGGGTAAAGAATGTTGTTTTGTGCTTGTAGGTAAAGCTGTGTACCATGCTGTATATGAGGAATTATTTAGAGCTAGAAGAGGAAAGCTCAAGCATGCAAATCTTCAGTGCTGAGTTGGTATAGGGAGTAAGATGAGGCTTCATCACGTACGTTGCTCTTGATCTCAGAGTCTGTTACTACAAATTGTTGATGATCACAAAAATTTAAGGACATCATGTTCAAGTTACACTTGATACAGCTTATAAGAAAGAATCCCTTTTCAAAAAAAGCAGATGAGATGTGATTTTTAAATGGCATCTCTCTACTCTTCATATGTACATAGATACTCAACTTTCAGGAATCATGTATATAATATTGGCATCTTACAGTAATATTTACAATATTTGTTTCCTTCAATCTCTTCAGTTATCTTTATAAAAGAAAGGAGGATGGGGGGAGGAGGCTGACTTTTGTCATGTAGCTTCCTCAACTAAAGCCTTCAGATCTTCATCAGTATATGAATAAACTCAGTTTACTAGATGCTTCCCTTCTGTAAAATTCTGTAAATCAACTAGCTAATATTTAATTGAATTTTTATCTTGTTTTCTTCATTTGGTCCATTTGATTGCTGATCATTGATGTTCATCTGCCTAATAACCTTTGCACAGTGTTTAAGGATTGAGGATAAAAACTATCAAGGGCAAGATTAGAAGAGGTGACTGACTCCCTGATTCTCTGCTGCCCTTGAAGGCACTGGATAATGGAGAAACAAGTGCCTGCATGTGTTGGATTTTGTTAGTTGGATCTAGCTCCAGCAGAATGACAACTGAGGTCACGTCAGCACCTTGGAAGGCCGGGAAGCTGGAACTGGAGCAGCTGAGCCAATCCCCAGACAAACAGGTTTTAACCGGGACAGAGTGAGAGAATGCTTTGCTTTGGAAACTGTCTGCCCATCACCTAAGGCGGTGATTCTATTCCTATATATTTTTTTTCCTGCTGTCTGTTCATTTTTGTATAGAAAAGATTAGTTATGAGGACTTCTTTCTCTTTATATATGGCAAAAAGTAATTGCAAAGTAGTTATGTTAGACTTTGAGATTTTTTTGTTTTCTTCAGATTCAGAAGCAAAGAAAATGTTACTTTTGAAATTAAGATGGTGTGATGGAAGGACCATTTATGGCATTAGTAAGGGTGATCATTTGTTGATTACCATCATTTTGTGTAAGGTTGAATGCCAATTAAATGTCATGGGTGCCTCAATATGTTTAAATATCTTCATATTATATAATGTACATTCAAACCTCTTTTGATTCCAGGAGGAGATTTTCTTGTAAGTCCTAAAATTGGAAACTTGGATTCTAGTCTCATTTTGCGAGTTGCTCTACTCTGTAATTTATTTCTTCTCAATATGTAGAATGGTGGTTCTCAACTTTGGCTGCACATTAGAATCATCTGGATATGTTTAAAAAATACTGGTATTTTTACCCCATCCCATACCAATTTAATAAAAATAGGGGTAGGGCTCAGGCATTGATAATGATTTATTAATTTCCCCAGATAATTCTGATGCACAGTGAAGGTCTAGAGCCATGGATATAGAATGATATCACTGACCTAACTTCTGTGACTTTTTTGAGATTGATTAATTCATGTTAACTGTTTTAATCACTCTTGTAAAAAAAGCTTTCTCTAATTTATAGGGTCTTTTTCAAAAATATAGAATTAGAAGTGTCCTTTGATATACTTCTGTTCCTTGCCAGATTACATTCAACCATTAATTTAAGGTAAGGATGTTTGACAATAGATATTGTAAATATGTAATTATATTTTTTCACCTTTTAATTACAAATAAAATTTGATTTGTCAACAAGTACATATTGATAGAGAGCAGAGGGGGAGAGCTGGAAGTTAGGGGAAAGGGAATGGCATTTATTGAACACTTCCGTGTGCTGTGTGTCAGGTTCTATGATACAATCACCCGTAATATAGGAGTCACAATTTCTGCTTATATATGATGAAATCAGTTCTTAAAGAGTTATTAATTAAGTTTAATTATATTTTGTAAGTCATAGAATCTCAAGGGTATGACTGATCTTAAAAGTCATTTGAATAACTCATCTACTGGACATAAAGGCTAAATGTGAAGGTTTCTGAATACTTTAACATATGAAATCAAGAGTGAATGTTAGGATTTTAAAAGTATGTCATCAAGAAATATGGGGAAAAAATAGCCCAGAGAGAGATATTTGGTAATATGTTATACAGGTTATACAGTGTAACTGTTTGCTTCATGGTGTTGAGTTTTATTTTTATTTTATTTTTCAATTATGGCAGAGATAGAAGTTTAATTCTTTAGATATGATTATTAACTAATAAAACATTTTGAAATATTTTATATCAATTTATATTATTATAAATCTGATTATTTCCAACTATTGCATATTTTTTAGAATCACCATAGTTAACTAGAATGATTCCCAGTTGTACTAATTAGCATAAAAAGCTAATTAATTATCTCATTAAACTGCATGCCATTAGCCTTGATTTTACTGCACATTTGATGTATTATCTCTTGGTCTTTAAAAATATAGAAAATAATAGTTTAGTCTTTCAATAATTGATTTTAAATTGGCGTTTTTCAAAAAAACTTTTGTAATCTCAGGAATTAATAATTAACGCGACAAATTTATTTCCAATCAATGAAATAAATACACTTTAAAATAATAAAATACCATGTTTTACTCACCATATTATAAATGATGAAAGCTACTGAGATTGTTTAACATCAATAACATTGTATTGGTTTTATTGATAGCATTACATTGGTAATGTTGTTTTGACACAGTACTCATGCAAGTTTAAATTGACACCTCATTTTGGACGGCAGTTTTATATATGGGAACTTTATAATGCGCTTGCCTCTCTTTTCACCTAATAATGCCTTCTTTGAGACTTCAATTTTAAGAAACCTGTTAGAAATGCAGACAGATTTATCCACAAAAGTAGACACTGGAGTATTATTATTGGAAATTACTTTCGGTACAGTGCTTAGGTAAATCATGGTTATTCCATAAGCTGAAGTATATATAGTCTTAAAAATTATGCTGTTGAAGAATTTCTTAATGACATGGAAATGCTTAGGTTATTATAGAGAGGTAAATACTTTATAGTATATTATATATACATCCATACATTATCTGTTTATCGATAGATAAAATCTCAAATTTTTTTGAAAAGAAACATGCTAAAATGTTAAAAATAGGGGTAGGTTTAGGTACTGGTTTAAATATCTCTGTAAATACCTGTTTTTATATAATGAGGCATTGTTACTTTCATAATCAGAAAAAGAATAGAAAACAAAGTTTTTACCTATAGTTAGCAGCTTTATTTTGGTGGGGCCATGCTTGATTTGCTATTCTTAGACATTCTAAGACATCTTTAGAGTCAATATTTCCTATTCTCTGGCTATTAAGTTTCTTTCATGTGAAATTCGCATCAAGTTTAGAGTATGATGCTCTCTTGATCAAGTAACATATCCTTAGTGAATGGGTGCTATTTTTTTGAGACTTCAGCTATACCCTCTTCTCCAGTACCTCTTCTAGGCTCTTTTGGACATATCTTCTGGGTTACCTTCTATAAGCTGTATAATATTTAGTGGTTACTGTAACCCAGAGATGGGTTACTTATGACTATCAATTATTGTTAAAGATACTACAAATGGGAATTTTTTTTTCTCCAAGTCATACTACTTAAATTTGATTTCAAATATCTATAATTACCTCGTTAGTAGATAGAAACAATATCCTTAGATGAGCTACAAATACCAAATTAGGAATTTCCCCTGAATTTTGCTTCTGCAGAAATACTTAACAATAACTTATTTTTCTTTAGTTCTAGTGAAATAGTGAAGTGTGCTTCTTAGCATGAACTGAAATGTTAATTTGTTCAACTTTTCATTAACACACATTTCTACCATAAGAAACTTCAGTAAAACTAGATTTAAAAAATTTGAAAGACATATTTTTACAAAAACATATTTTAATCTTTAAAATGTTTATGGTATACCTGTGGTTAAATAACATATGCATGGTTTTAAATTTTTGATTCTTCTATGTTTAAACTCTTTTCAGTGTCTAGATAAATCTTTATTTTTTAAAGCTCTTCATTGAAGATTATTCAAATCTTTTTCTAAGACATTTGACTTTACATATGTTCATTTTACAGACTATTTTAATTCAGTGATTCCCATCTAATTGGTCAACCACCAGTATGATGGTAAAAGTTACCCAAAGAGTCTAATATGCACCCCAGTTTGGGGATCACGTTTTAAAATGAATCTTGGATATTTAAAAATGATTTATTTAGTATATTTTATAACATTCTAATTTTTAATTTAATGATATGTTTTGGCCAATTTTAATTTACTTTATCCTAAAAGAAAGCTATCTATATGCACATTTATTCAGGATTCATTTTAATGTTCACTTACTTAAAGAGTTTATTTACCATTATCACATTTATACTGATATTTGCATAGTTTTCCCCAAAGTCTGTAACTTTGAGTTCAGATCTGAACTTAAGGTTTGTACTTTTAGTTGCCTTTATGGATGTTTATGAACAACTATGAATAACATTTTCAAGTCAATAATTTAAAAACTCATAATTCTCATATACCACTTCACTCAAATTTATTCTGTTTCCAAAATACCTTATGTCTGTCATTAATATAACACTCTCCCCTATATGGTTCTTCAGACTTGAAATCTTGGAATCAGATTACTTAATATTCTTGGCTTCTCCTAGTCTGTCATCTGGTATCTTGTTCTTTTTCCGTTAAGATTTCTTTTGATTCTGTCCTCTCTCCTCTTGCCAGTCCACATCTTATCTAGCCTTTCTTTACCTGTGGCTGATATGCACCCAGCACTTACAGATATGATTATACTGGTTGCTAAAATATTAAAATGCTTTTGTACAGGTTTGAGAAAGAGACTTTTCCTCAAGTCCATTGAGTACCTGTACTCCCTTCATCCCAAGAGCTTTGTGGGTACCCTGCTTAATATGCTGTCAACTGGCTAACCAGCCTGTGTCCCAGCCTGCGCATCTCAGCCTCAGTGTGCCCATGGATGTTCTCTCCCAGGCTAGGGGGGTCTCAGATTCTTCCAGGAAAGATGGTACCCTGGTGTCAGTGCTGGTACACCAGCAAATAGTACTTACATGGGCCCCTGAAGCTATGGTAGTCTCTTGCCAGCTCTCTCTTGCTATTGCTTGTGGGAACTGCAGCCTCTCTGCTGTTGCCAGTTTATAGAATTGTTAAATACGTAGCTATCACCCTATCTTTACTCCAAGCTTCATAGCTGTTATGGTAGATTAGTAGCCCCTTAGTTACTCTTTACCTCTAGCTACTTATCCTTCTGACATACTCAGCATAGTCAGATGAATCTCCCTAATTTTATCACTCCCCTAAGAGATGGAAATTTGAACCCAGTTCAAACTTTTTATCAACTCACTTTACCATGTCTGCTTAACCTGTTAATCCATACCTTTCTCAGATGAACTCAGGTTTACCTTTTCCCACAAGATGTTCTTATTTACCTTTTTATGTTTCCCTTTTCACATGTTCACATCTCTGGAGTTCTCTCTTGTGCAGTTTCAAATCAAACATTTCCTCTAAGTTATATCTCGATTATATTTCAAGTAATTCCTCCTTGAAACTTTTACTAACTTCCCAAATAAGAATGACCTTCTGTTCTTAGAATCCACATAGCAGCTTATGTCTTATAATGTATTAGTTCCCGAACTAGAAAGTTCAAGGTCATGTAGTTGATCTTTCTTCCCAACTTAGGAAACCTTTGTGCAAAGCATGCGATGTACAATGAAGATTTCTTCCAAGACAATAAAGCTAGTGGTTCTGTTATTGGGTATTTCTAGTTATTCCTTCAATTATCTAATAAAATATTTCTTGAGGCTTACTTTGGGTCAGGCACTAAGCTTGCTCTACAGCAGTGAACAAAACAGACAAGGCTCTATCCTTATAGAGCTTACAGTTGAAAGAAGACATTAAAAATGTAAGCACATATATAAGTATGTAATAATTTATATTAGATGCTGTAAAATAAAAATAATAGGACATTATAATTAAAAAGAACATCGGGTCCTTAGTTTATATTGACGATTTAGAGTAAGTGAAATTTAAACTATAGAGGAGGTAAGGAGTGGGGGCCACTCAGATAGCAGTAGAGTATGAGAGACCATTGTATATGTGCAAAGGCCCCGCAGCAGGAAAAAGTTGGCTTTTATAATATGTTCACCAAAGAACTGAAAGAAGGCCTGTGAGCCTGCTATGGAGGGAGATGGAGTGGCTCATGATGTATCTGGAGAGGTGAGAAGGAGCCATGTAATATACTTTATTTTTTTGAGGATTTGGGGAAGAATTTTGGATTTTTATCCTAAAAGCAACAAACAACTATTGAAATAGTGTTGAACACTGACTTGGTAGAATTTGATTTATGATTTTTTTAGGTGTTGGGTGGGGAGAAGAGCAGATATTTAAATCTAGAAGTGCTTATCTTCTGTATTACTTGAATAACTTTCTTAGTTTAGCAAATATAGAGCAGGTACACAATCATTGTCATAGAGCAGAAAACTTTCTGACTTCATTAATAGAAGTCTGCCACTCCCTGAGAATGCACTTGTATTCTGCTCTGTAAAGCTGGTTCCTGGGGAGGAGATCAGTTTACACAAGATGTCCAGCGCCTTCTGGGAGAGAAAGAACTAATACCTAGTCTCTGCTGACATAGAGCTGTGTGGCACTGACTCAATCCCAGTCTCTGGAAAGGGCAATGAGATTCCTGAAATGAAGTTACATTGAGGACAGAAAGGGGTACCCCACCTGGCAACCAACATTCAAGAGAAACCCTTTTGAACTCATGGGGCTGATGATAGAAAATTTTGTATATGCTGTCATCAGTGTAGTTAGTACCTTAGGGAAGAACAGCTGGTAATGGTAGTTGCAAACACAGAAGTAGAGCACCCTTGACTGAGCTGGGCACCAAAGGAAACAGGATCATCACTGTGGCTCGAACAGGGCGGTGGGATGGTACCATCACAGGGGGGACTAACATTGTTGGGTGATAAAAGACCAGTAGCCTTGTGAATAGCAGATTAATTATGGTTTACCAACTCTCTGCGTGGCATGGTATGTAGACTGAAGTTCTGGGGCAAGTGAGAACTCTAGCCAGCTATATTTGAAGTAAAAATTTAAATATGACCATAACTGTACATTGAAATGGTAGAGGAGGTTATTATGGTTACAGTTTATAAAAGATAGCTTATAGGCCAGGCACAGTGGCTCACACTGTAATCTCAGCATTTTGGGAGGCCAAGGCAGGAGAACTGCTTTAGTCTCAAAGTTCAAAACTAGTCTGGGCAACATAGGGAGATCTCATCTCTACAAAATAATTATTTTAAATTAGCTAGGTGTGGTGGTGTGCATATGTGGTTCCAGCGACTCAGGAGACTGAGGAGGGAAGATCACTTAAGCCCAGGAAGTCGATGCTGCAGTGAGCCTTGATTGTGCTACTGCACTCCAGCCTGGGCAACAGAGTGAGACCCTGTCTCAAAAATAGTATGTGCATGTATACAAATACTAGTATAATAAATAAAATAGATAAATTAATAAAAATATAATAAACAAAAAATAATAAGTAAATAAATTAAATAAAAATAGTATGAGTACACACACACATACACACACACACACGCACACACACACACACAGCTTATACTCTCTTTCACAGAATGGATTGGAAAATGTAAGGGAAGAAATGGGGAAGCTAGTGGCCATGGAGAGGACCAGCAATAATTAAGTAAAATATATTAGCACTAGAGTGACAGTTACACAGAGAAATAGAATATTCTTTCTTTTATTAAATTTTCACATCTTTTCTGCATAAGCTACTTTGATCCCACATCTTTCATAAATCCAGCCTTGATCTCATATCTACCTTTCCCTGTTGTTTTTCTCTTGGTTAACATCTCTAATTCCTTTCTTCTTCAGACGGATGATTTCTGGAATCAAAACTCAGCCATTGAGGGGATCAGGTATCCTTGTCAGCTGTGTGTCATGCACAGGTTTGATAAACATGCCTTGCAAGTTTCTTTTCAATCTTGTGAAAATAGCCCTATGGCACACAACCTGAGATCTGTTTTCAAGTTAACATCTTGTCATTAATCAATACTGTTTGGGTGTGGTTGTTCAACCTGTTATGAATGTACCTCTCATATTATTTCCTACATATTTCTCCATTTCGACCTCAAGAACATTATGAGAGCTTTCTTCAGATATGGAATTAAGTTCAGAATGAACAAAGTCCACATTTTTAAACTACCAGTTTAATAATTCCATCAACAATAAAAATATTATTTTTAGTGAACCCATATTGGATCATACTTTTTAAAAAGTTGTTACACAAACACTTACCTTCCAATTTTAATTGGTTCATTGTAAGCATATTTATCTTAGATTGACAAAATTCACATCCTTTGCCTTTAAAAATCGTAAAATTAGCCCGTCTCTGGTCCTCTGGCACCTTTCCTTTCCTCTGAAGGACTTCAAAATGTTCTTGCTGTAGTGTCCCAATCACTTCTGCATCTCCTTTCTGGTTCCTAAAATATATCTCATCTGAGCCTGTATTAATTTCCTTGGTTTGCTGTAACGAACTACCACAGACTGGGTGGCTTAAACAACAGAAGTTTATTGCCTCACAGTTCTGGAGGCTGGAAGTCTGAGATTAAGGTGTAAGCAGTATTGGTTTCATGTGAGGGCTGTGAGGGAGAATCTGCTATGTCCCTCTCCCCTGGCTGCTGATGGCTGCTGATATTCCTTGGTGTTCCTGGCTTATATCTGCATCACCCTCATCTTTGCCTTCATGTTCACAGCATTCACCCCATATGCATGTCTCTGTCTAAACTTTCCCTTTTTGTAAGGACACCAGTCACAATAGATTAAGGGCTCACCCTACTCTAGTACGACTTCATCTTACCTTAATTCATTACATCTGCAATTTTTAAAGAAACTTAGTTTTTAAATTGGCTTGTTTTTTGGTGAAAAGAGTATGATATAAAACCATTTTATTGTATAATTGTCTTCTGTCTGTGTATAGCCAAAGCATCAAATAGAAATGTGAATGCCAAAGTAAGTGAGCCTGGAGTTAGTGACAGAAAAGACCATGTTTGTTTAGTCTCCTTTAGAAATGTTAGAGGAAAAGAAAAAAAATTGGACTTAACCTAAAGGCAGAACCAAGATGTTTACAGACCTTACCAGCCTTGACTTCTGCATAAAGACACATATACTTTAGTGAGCAGATTGAGATAGTTCTGACTCTCTACTACTGGCCGCACTGGCCTGATTCATATAAATTCACCTTCTTCACCATGTACCTGTGACCCTCTAGGAATCCACTGTCACCTCACATATGTCCAGAAACCATTCTCTCAGCTGTCACTAACACACACTGCCCACATTTCTCCCCTAGTTCCCAAATGTTTGCATCCACAGCTCAGGAGGTCCATTGGCAAAGACCCTTTGTTGTTACTTCCTATCAGGAGAAAATCAGTGCTTGAGTCAAGGATGCTTCTGGGTGTTTTGGCAGGAGGTCTCTCCCCAGCTGTGAGTGATATTGTATTGTCTGGGCCTTAAAGAAGCTCTGCTAGTGCCCAGAGTATCAGGAAGTGTCTCTTGATCAATTTCTGGTCATAATCTTTTTTCCAGAATTTCATTTCAGTTCCATCATTTTTTGGCTGTCATTCCTTTACTGTAAGCATTTAATCTCAGGCAAGGAGTCCAATGAAGAACAGATGCTAGGCTCTACTTTTTTCTCTATACTTACCTTTTACTAACCCTTCTCCCCCTTACAGAATTCTCCCAATTTCCTCCTCCTTCTCCCCGTAACAGAATAAGGGTTGCCATGCATGTACATGGTTACAAACCAGATTGGGCCTGGAGAGTGGAGGTTAAATTTTTGGCCCATGATCTGTCAGCCAAAAATGTTCTATTACAAAAGCAGTGGATTTTCTAGTTAGAATCATTCTTGGGAATTGTGACACTTTGCATATTTGGTGTACTTGAGGAACAGCAAGGGTACCAGTTTGGTTTGGTTACAGTGGTCTGAAAGAGGGGAGAGATCTGTATGGGGTGATCATATATTTCATAAATTATCTGGGTCCCATGTGGAGAGTGGACAAAGGGAGAGGACTGCAAGCAAGGTGCCCTGTGAGGAGGCCTGCACAAAAGTGAAGAGGCCTGAGCTGAAGTGAGAAGGTCTGCGTGAAAGTGATTTGTGTGAAAGATGGTGGTGTATCCAACTAGAGCAGGAGCAGTGGGGGTGGTGAGAAGTGGTCTTTTGTAAGTAGAGCCTGTTGGACTTGCTGATGGATTGGAAGCGGCATGTGAGGGAAAAAGAGGTCTAAGGAGTGACTGCTAGTGTTTGGCTTAAGTAGCCTGGTGAATAGTGATGTCACTTACTGACTTGGGGAAATGAAGAGCTCTGTTTTGAACAGGTGAAGCTTGAGAGTCATTCCTAGAATCTCAAATCAAGATGAGTCTTAATCAAAATGTCTTAGCCAAAGGATTCGAGAGCCAGGATGCTCCTGCAGAGTAGTGCAATTATGGTTTCCCTTACAATGCAGCAGAGAACCAAAGCTACCCAACAGTTTTTTAAGACTTAGTGTCCTCACTTATAGGTGGGGATATATTACTTATTTCACTGGGTTCTTTGAAGGTAACATTAGATAATGTTTGTGAAACTCAGTGTAATTCTTGACAAGTAATTAGCACCTAATAAATATCTTCCATTATTGTTGTTATTAATTTTGGTAAAATGAACTTTATTTATTTATTTATTTTGAGACAGAGTCTCGCTCTGTTGCCCAGACTGGAGTGCAGTGGCGCAATCTTGGCTCACTGCAACCTCCGCCTTCTGGGTTCAAGCGATTCTCCTGCCTCAGATTCCCAAGTGGTGTGATTACAGCCGCCCACCACTATGACTGGCTAATTTTTATGTTTTTACTAGAGAGGAGGTTTCACCATGTTGGCCAGGCTGGTTTCAAACTCTTGACTTCAAATGATCCCCCTGCCTCAGCCTCTCAAATTGCTAAGATTACAGGTGTGAGCCACTGTGCCAGGCCAGGAAAATTATTTTTAAAGCTGTTTTTAAATATCAGCTTTGGAATGAAATTGGATATAAATTAATACTTAGTATATCCAGAATCTACAAAGAACTTAAACAAATTTACAAGAAAAAAATCAAACAACCCCATCAAAAAGTGGGCAAAGGATATGAACAGACACTTCTCGAAAGAAGACATTTATGTAGCTGACAGACACATGGAAAAATGCTCATCATCACTGGCCATCAGAGAAATGCAAATCAAAACCACAATGAGATACCATCTCACACCAGTTAGAATGGCGATCATTAACAAGTCAGGAAACAGCAGGTGCTGGAGAGGATGTGGAGAAATGGGAACACTTTTACACTGTTGCTGGGACTGTAAACTAGTTCAACCATTGTGGAAGACAGTGTGGCAATTCCTCAGGGATCTAGAACTAGAAATATCATTTGACCCAGCCATCCCATTACTGGGTATATACCCAAAGGATTATAAATCATGCTGCTATAAAGACACATGCACACGTGTGTTTATTGAGGCACTATTCACAATAGCAAAGACTTGGAACCAACCCAAATGTCCATCAGTGATAGACTGGATTAAGAAAATGTGGCACATATACACCATGGAATAAATACTATGCAGCCACGAAAAAGGATGAGTTCATGTCCTTTGTAGGGACATGGATGAAGCTGGAAACCATCATTATGAGCAAACTATCGCAAGGACAGAAAACCAAACACCGCATGTTCTCACTCATAGGTGGGAACTGAACAATGAGAACACTTGGACACAGGGTGGGGAACATCACACACTGGGGCCTGTCATGGGGTGCAGGGAGTGGGGAGGGTAGAGGGATAGCATTAGGAGATATACCTAATGTAAATGATGAGTTAACGGGTGCAGCACACCAACATGGCACATGTATACATGTGTAACAAACCTGCATGTTGTGCACATGTACCCTAGAACTTAAAGTATAATTAAAAAATAAATTAGTAATGGATAGTCATTTCACATGTGTAGTATACATATATACACACACACTAATGTAAATAAAACAACTTTTTCTTTTTAAATGAGTTGCATTTTTTTCCTCAGAACTACAAAGTATTAAAATCAGGATTTTGAATTTTATGCGTACGTGTGAGGAACTTTCTGAATTATAAATGTGATTAGTGACATGAGTAAATGTTTGCTGCCTCTTAAGATCTGCCATGCCTTTATGCAAATCAAAGTTCCCACAGAAATAATGAGTCAAATACAGCAACAGGCAGTGTTTAAATTAGCATTTTTTTTCCTCTGCTCTGCTTGGGTCAATTTTACTATACATTGCATATCAAGACCTTTGATTTGCTCGGGTTTTCCACTGATTTGACTTCCCCTACCTTTTGTTTCAAAACCTAAGATTACCACTTTAAGTGTACTGGTATTGTGGAAGGTGTTTTATTCAGAATAGAGTAAATATATATTAGAGAATATTATATTGATATTCTCCCTATTGCATTAACAGGGAGATCTTTATGGAGCAAAGGCCAGATCACTTAATAAAACCACAGTCTGTTTTTTGGCAATAGTGTTGAACCTGGAGGAAAGCCAGTCTTAGCCAGTATAACGTTAGATTCCATTCCATCAGCATAATAGTTAATAATAGTTGATTGACAGGGATGTGAAGGGTGCCCTCTTTTCCTCCCCCCTCCACTCCCATTCCACACTAAACTCTCTAGGGAATGTGCCATTCCTTTACCCATTCCTAAAATTCTTTGCTTGAGCACAGCCAAGGGCTGCTGGACTAGTGCCTGACTGTTTGGAGGCTGGAGAGTAGGGGGTCTCTCTGAAAGAGTTCCTAGTCCCTGTAGTCGTTGCTGAGGAAGCCTAGCAATCTCTGGACATCTTTAGGGATATGCAGTAAAGGTGAGCTTCCGGGCTAGTGTTTATGTGTGAAAAATAATCATACTCACCTGAACTACCTTAATACCATGGGATCAGGATCACTTTTGCTTCCCTTCAGCCACACACATTCATCTTGTCCACAGAAATTTAGAGCTTATTTTAGTCTGTTTTTTGTAAATCATACATCATATCATATATTATTTTGCATTGTTAAAACTATATTTTGTTGGTATTTAGTACTGGTAAATTAGTAACATTTGCAGCTTTCTTCCAACTCTTTTTTCTTTTTGGATGTAGGTATTTGCAGGATATGAACTATTCAAACAGTTACAGCATTCCAGGGATTCTTTCCCTGGATTCTACATGCTCACATGGAGTTATATTTGAATACCAAGAAGTATTGTTGAATATTGCTGAACATAAGGTTCACTAGTACAGTGTTTTAGGTGAAAATTCAAAAGTTTTTTTCCAAGTCCAAGTAATTTATGTTTTTAGTGGAGTAATGATTCCTATACTAAGCAGTTTTGTTTTCTTTAATTTGGTGAAGTTAGCATTTGGTGTTGCCCTCAGTTTGGGTTAGCAATTATTCTTTACCCCACGTCTCACCACTGCAGAACCACTTGCTAACTTTTAATCACCACCTTCTCAAGTTTAAGAACTTGGCCAGAGTGATCCCGGAAAGTCTCAACATTTTCCAGTGAGTAAAGTCCATCTCTTTTGGAGATCTTGACACCTATCATTAACAAGGCTGCAACCTCCTTAAGGATAATCGAGAAAGGAGACCTGCTCTTCTGTATGTATAGCAAAACATAAAGAGGTTATACAGCAGGATGCGATAGTTCTTAAATAGAGTGCATGCATTGTCTGGCAGGCTGACCCAACATCGTGTTGCCTCCTTCATTCTACAGATTATGTTATGGGTTTCAGGTGTTTTTCTCAGGTCAGTTTCCCTATCATTAATGCTGCAACACCTTCACTGAGTAGATATCCACTCTCTCATTCTTTTATTACACCATGGTGAAACCAGCACTGCCAACTCTCATGAGTTGATGAATAAACTCTAATTTTACTGCATTTATAAATGAAACTTTAAAAATAGTTTCTGGAATAAGATCATGGTGAATAAAGTCCTAACTAGATTTTTTAAACAAAGCCATGTTTAAATGAATCATATTGAAATACATTAATATATTTAGTGTTGGTATGTTAATATATAAGCCATTTATACCCTAAGATGTCAATAGTGTCACTTGCCTTGCTGGCAAATTTGGCTCATAATAAGAACATGTGTCCAAAAGGCTTTTTGTTTAAAAACATACATAATTTGAAAAATATTTAATTGCTCTTTAGTGCCTTTTAATAAAAGAAGGAGCTCACCTTTCGATTTTAAAAATGCTTACTAAAAATTGCTTTTAACATCATCTGTTTCTAAGTGTTTCTAAGTGTTTTAAAAGAGAAAGATGACTTGGGGAAGAATTCAACTTGATTCTGTAAATATTTTTTGAACATTATTGTGTGCCAGCCACTGTGTTAAGTGCCTGGAATGCAGAGATGAATAAGATTGTTCTTGGGTCATAGCGTACAGCGTAATAGAAGTGACAGTTAAATTATATTTGCGGTGTAGATTCACTATTCTGTTAGGAGCCATTAATTTCACCAAAATTGGACAGAAAGGGATATTCTTTTAGGAAATCACATTGAAACTGGACCTTGAATCATGAAAGCTAGAAAATGAGGACAAATGAGGACATCCAATGCAAAGGGATACTACATGAGCAAAGAGAGTTGTAAGTATGTGATGGGCTCTAAAGGTTACAAAGTACAACTTCAACAAGGCTTAATGTTATTTTATTCTTTCAGATTAGAGAAGGCATGATAATATTTTTTCATGTGTAAAAGGCCTTCAGATAATGCTCATCACCTGATATTGGGACTTAATAGTAACAGAAAATACTTAAGAAAGGGAGAGTTGAAGGAACCTGTTTTTTTTTTCAATTTCTTTTTTAGAGTGACATAGATACATTTTATCATCTTATGATTTTTTTCAGAAACCTTTTTGTAGACCTTGTTACTTCTGTAAGATTTCATATATGTTCATTTCCTTACCCCAAAGCCATAATAAAAATGATTACTAAGCACTTTTCTAACACTGACCATAAGAATGAAATTAACATTGCTGTGAGTAAACTGTAGTTTAGGAGAATCTTTTGTAGTGAGGAACAGAACTATTATTTATTGAGTATCCCTATATGTTAGGTACTGTGTGAGGTACTTTCATACAGTCTATACAATTTACTCCTTAAAACTTCCCTGGAAAGTTATTATCTCAAATTTCTAAGCCAGGGAAGCATTCCAGGGAAACTGAGGCTGACTAATATGCTCTGTGATATACAGCTGGTAAGTGACAGGTTTGGGATGCAAAATCAAGGTGGTTGAATTCCACATCATATGCTCACTTTACTGTAGTTTAGACAGGTGTACTTGAATAATTGGCAGGTGACAAGTGTCAGTTTGGGTATTTAAACTGAGGCCTGACTTACTCCAAATAATCTGTATTCTATCCCCAACCTTTTTGGCACCAAGTACTGGTTTTGTGGAAGACAATTTTTCCACAGCCTGAGGGTTAGTGGGGGATGGTTTCGGGATGATTCAAGAGCATTACATTTATTGTGCACTTTGTTTCTATTATTACATTGTTATATATAATGAAATAATTCTATAACTCATCATAATGTAGAATCTGTGGAGTCCTAAGCTTGTTTTCCTGCAACTAGATAGTCCCAGATAGTCTGGGGGTGATGGGAGACAGTGACAGATCATCAGGCGTTAGATTCTCATAAGGAGCACACAAGCTAGATCTCTGGCATGTGCAGTTCACAATAAAGTTCGCCATCTGAGGCTGGGCGCAGTGCTTCACACTTGTAATCCTAGTACTTTGGGAGGCCGAGGTGGGCGGATCACCTGAGGTTGAGAGTTTGAGACCAGCCTGACCAACATAGAGAAACTCCATCTCTACTAAAAATACAAAAAAAAAAAAAAAAAAAAAAGTTAGCCTGGTGTGGTGGCGCATGTCTGTAATCCCAGCTAGGCTGAGGCAGGAGAATCGCTTGAAACTGGGAGGCAGAGGTTGTGGTGAGCCAAGATTGCGCCATTGCACTCCAGCCTGGGCAACAAGAGCGAAACTCCGTCTCAAAAAAAAAAAAAAAAAAAAAAAGGTTCGCCGTCCTATGAGAATCTAGTGCCATAGCTGATCTGACAGGAGGTGGAGCTCAAGCAGTAGTATGAGAGATGGGAAGTGCTGTAAATACAGATGGAGCTCACCTCCTGCTATGTGACCAGTTTCCTACTGGTTCCTACTGGTCCCTGGCCTGGGGTTTGGGGATGCCTGGCACTAGAACTTATAGAAGTTATTTGAACTTCAAACATTGCAAAAGCAGAGTGTTTTCATTACTTAAAGTAGTGTTTAATTTTAGCATGTCTTACTTTCTGGCTATAGTTTTTAATAGACTTTTCAACTATATGGCTCATTTTAACTGAAGGTTTAAAAAGTCATTTTGTTGTCTCAGAGGTATAAAATTACCATCAAATAAGCAGACATATGAAGGAAAAGAAATATAAAATGCTTTTCTGGACCTCTAAATGAATTGTTAAAAACCCTGCAAACCAAAGCAACATTTCTCCTCTGAAATTATATTTTGCAAACATATTTTAGAAGGAAAACTTGAACTGTCAAAAGTAGTGAAATGTCTCCAGTGTTTATGGATGTAATAAGTGAATTAGCTGAAACCCCATCCAAAAAAATTGTCAGTGAAATTTATGAGTCTTTTTGCTATCTGTATGGAGTTGGCAGCAGGTGTTTCTTACTCACACACTCACCAAACTTTGAAGAAGAGTATTTTTAACCCTTGCTTTATAATAGGCAAGTTCCGATGATCTAAATATTTCTTCATATTCTGTATACTGAGTGCCTTGAGTAATTTGAATGATATGGGATATTGACTATATATGTGTTAAGTTCTAAATCCAATAAACTTAGAGTTTTAAAGTTGACTTAGTCAGAGGGTTTGCTTCATTGCTAACATTAGCACAGATTCTTTTGTGCAAATGTACCTTTTCTTCCTTTTATCTATGTTTTTATCATTATAAATCTTATTTCTTGCATTAATATAACATCACAGGATAAGCTAGTAAAAAGTACATTGGTTTATAAAAGAAGGGACCTATTGACATTTGCTGTACCTTGTATATTTGCTCATATTTCTAGATAGCTGTTTTATTTCCTTAATTTGGCTGTAAACTTCTTGAGAGTAAGGATCATTCTTTATCGTTGTATTTATTCCTCAAACTTAGCACAATAGTTTTTCTATTGCAAGCCTTAAGTATACATTTATTGCTGCTTGATTTCATGAAAAACTGTTTTAACATATAGCACATAACAATGTATAGAACAAAACTAGAAAAATTTCTGTTTGACATGTTATCAAAATCCTAGATATTTCATCACTATTGGGTAACTTGTAGTCAGCCTCACTTGCCTTTAACTTGATCATGAGTCCCACTTGCTCTTCAGAGACCTTTCTTTAGGTCTATAAAGTTCTTATTAAAATATAACTAGTTTAGTTCTTATTTAAACTTATTTAAGGACCTCCCTGACTTTGCAGCCAGACCTCTGACCTTTACAATTGAATATCCTTAATGGACTCAGATTCTGGACCCTACCCCCAGAGGATATTAGGAGGGGTGTAGTAGCTCACTAGTTTAGTACACAGTCACATTTAATGTCAGTTCTGGTCTGACCTTGGTACCTCGGTTCCTCAGGGCATGATTTTATGGTTTGCTCTCAGGGTCTTGAGTTTCTTGCCCTGAAAACCCACTTTCCCCATGACTGGTACCTGATGATCACTCCATTTTTCATACTCCATTGCATTCGCACATGTTATTCCCCCTTCTGGGATATCTTCCCACCAAGTGTGACTGGTGAAACTTCATGTTTCAAGGTGGAATTCAGTCATCTTCTTTGAGAAACCTTCCCCAGCCTACCCAAACTTCTTTGATCATCCCCTCTTTTATATCTTCTCCTTATACCTGAGTCCACACATCTATTAGTGTACTCATCATGCCATATTCTCATTATTTGTTGACTTTCTGTCTATATTGGACTTTGAGCTCATTGTAGTTCAATAAATGTTTAAAAGAGTGAATTACTTCTGTGACTTTGTTTTGGATCATTGCCAATCACCTGTCCTGCATCTACTTGGAGGATATTATAGATACTGGATTTAATTGAATCTACTAATGACATACTTACATACCTATTCTTTTTTTTTTTTCTTCTGTTCTGGCTAATATCCTGATTTCAGTGTACCTACCTTTGGGCCATGCTCCAGTTTGTTGATTGCTGGGATAACCACTGGCTAGCTCTATATGCTGTAAGTCTTTCTGAACTACCTCCTATACTCTTCCCAGGCCTGGTATGTTTCCACTTGACCCTCATGGGCCTTACTCATCTTCCTAGACTCTAGGCCTTCACAGACCTAACTTAATACATGTTGGACATATAAATAGAAACTCTAATTGCTTTTTTATTAGTTGTAATAGATTTATACTAAAAAAACTCAACCTAACACCAAATTTTTTTTTCTTTATGAAAGGGATATTTAATGATTAGGACTAATTTAACAATAGGTCAAGATGGTGCCAAACATTTCATCCCTTATTAAATGGATTAGAGAAGGAGCTTAGTAAATAGCTTTTTTTTTCCTTCCATATGTGTTGCAATTGTCAAACCTATTAGAATTAGTTAGGATTTTGAGTCAGTGATATGTGTGGTATCATTAAACCATTTCTTGCCATGGCTAGCCCATGTCCTTTATCTTAAATTTGTCAGTGATTTAAAGATTAATGTTGTTCCTTTAAAAATATTCACTAGATACATGAAAATTTACTAGTTGTAAGAAAATATTTAAAAGTCTTTTCTGAACATTTAGTTCTCATTTATTTTGAACTAGTCTTAATCACTTGCATTTTACCCATGTCTCTTACAGTCATACATTATTAGAGGGTTTTTTCACTTATTTTCTATTTCAACCATTTTCAAAGTTTTCTGAATTATAATAGTTGCAGTTTCATAACTGTTGCTCCCCCATTCATTGATTGATTTGTTCTCCTCGTTTTCTCTTTCCTTTAATGTTGAAAATTTGGATATATAGAGAAGTAGATATTTAATGAACCTTTGTGCCTCCATATCCCAAAATACTTTCCCTCCCAAATTATTTTAAAGTAATTTCCAACTTTAGAAGTTCACTGACACAGTATTTGTAAATTATGGGTGGGCAAAAGAATCTCCCTTTCCATATTATCACATCATAACAGAATATGACAAGATATCCATATCTATCTATCTATCTATCTATCTATCTCTATATAGATTTTTTAAATATATACTTCAGGGTAAATAGAAGCTCAGGCTTATCTCTTTTTCTCTTAGGAGAGTGTTTTTATTTCTTTTGTTCCTTTGAACTTTGTAGTTGTAAGTTGTGGGAACTGGAATTGGGTACATGTGTTTTTAAGTGTTAGTCAAATTTCTTGCTAAATATTGCTCAGCAGTTTATCAGATTAGGTAATTGGTTTCCTAAAAAGCTTTTGGCAGGGTTCCAGGTGATAGGAGAAATGAAAAGTGAATTTTGATTGGGGGCAGGTGATAGGAAAGCAAATACAAAGTGTGGTTCATTTAGGGTATGTCATAGAAAGCTGGGCATCAAACTGGAGGGTGGAAAAACAGTGGGCACTAATTAGATGCCTTAAGGTGGGTAGCACTTTGGGAAAAATGGAAGTTGCTGCTAGGAAAACATAGAGAAAGTAAAAATCAGGAGATGACAAGCTTTGCCTATTTTAATCATATTTTTACTTGGGCTGGCAAATGTATCCTGCCCAACTGTGGTGGGACAACACAAGCTTTCTCTCTTGGTAGTATACAAGAAATTTATGGAGATGGTTTATAGATGGAGATCTTTTCTTTTCTCTTTCTCTGTCTCTCTCTCTCCCCTTTCTCCTTCCTTCCCTCCCTCCCTTCCTGCCTTCCTTCCTTTCTTCTCTCTCTCTCTTTCTTTTTTTCTCTCTCCCCCTCCCTCCTTTCCTTCCTTCCACCCTCCCTCCCTCCTTTCCTTCCTTCCTTCCTTCCATGCTTCCTTCCTTCCTTCTTTCTTCCTTTCCTTTCCTTCTTTTTTCTTTTCTATTGTGTCACCTAGGCTTCAGTACAGTGGCACAATCATGGCTTACTCCAGCCTTGAACTCCTGGGCTGAAGCAATACTCCTGTCCCAGTCCCCCAAGTAGTTGGGACTACAAACACGCACTACCACACCTGGCTACATTTTAAATTTTTTGTATAGATGGGATCCCACTATGTTGCCCAGGCTCGTCTTGAACCAGTGGGCTCAAGTGATCTACCCAGGCTCCCAAACTGTTGGGACTACAGGCATGAGCCATGACACCCAACCAAGACTCTTCTTTATAGACCTTCTCCCCCTTCTCCCTCAACAAAAAAGAGAAAATTAGACAGCAACAACAATAGCAGCAACAACAAATGCTGTATTTAAGGTTTATTTTTCAATAGATTTAACGTCACAATGATGGGCTAGTACTACTGTCATATCAACCTGACATATCAGAAGTTAGTACTCACCATGCCACTATTGTTTCTCATAGGTTTGGAAACAGAAAACTCAGAGAGCAGTTTGGTTGTGAACACAGTTGGTTAACATGGGAGAGAAGAATCACTTTGGTTTGGCAGGAAATGACAGCAGAATTTCTTTCTATATGGTGGGTTGTCCATCTGGTCTGTCCATGCTAATGAGACAGATAAATGAGAACTGTCAAAATTAGGTAGCCACTCACTCTATTTCACTAAAATGTAAAATTACCCTTCTGGACTCACTTTTCAAAGGGATGAAGAAACACAGTATTTAGAGGGCAAAGCAAAAAACAAAACCTAAGCCCTGCTCTTCAACTTACTTATTAGCTGTGTGATTTTGCTCAAATAATTCTGTTTTCTGCGATTCAGTTTTCTTGTACGTTTACTGGGGATAATAATAGCACCTACTTCATATTCTAGTGTGAAGATCTATTGAGATGGAAGATTTGAAAACACTCTGAACTAAATAAACTGTTTAAGTATGAGTTACATTATAATATAACTCATAAAGAAAAGAGTTTCTCATAACCTCTGTAGGATACTGATTTTGTTTCTGGAAAGAATATAGTAATTGTTGCTGTGAATTGAGAACTAATTTAATGTTAAGAAAAGGGAAGAAAAACCTTTGTTAAAAATAGAAAGTACATTTTTAACATTTTCAACAGAAGATAAAATATTACTGTCTACATTTTTAAGTTTTCTTAGCAATTTCAGCCAATTTCTCTACCCTTCTAAAATAATATAGCAAAACATAAATCTTTGTATTCATGAATTGTTTTTTTTAAAGGACACATAATCTGTTTACACTTGAAGAGTTGAGGATACAGGAATATGTGCGTTTATCAGTGGGATCCTTAGTAGGATCATAAAGCTCTTAAGACGGAAAGGAATATGCAATCTTCTACTCTAACCCACTTGTGTTATAGATTAAACAAAGCTAGATTTTAGAGAGAAATATAGATAGAATTTTATCTTCCAAACTAATGTAAACATGATTAAAAAAAATAAGTACATAGAATAGGCCGGGTGCGGTGGCTCACACCTGTAATCCCAGTACTTTGGGAGGCCGAGGAGGGTGGATCACGAGGTCAGGAGATCGAGACCATCCTGGCTAACACGGTGAAACCCCGTCTCTACTAAAAATACACAAAAATTAGCCGGACATGGTGGCGGGCGCCTGTAGTCCCAGCTACTTGGGAGGCTGGGGCAGGAGAATGGCGTGAACCTGGGAGGTGGAGCTTGCAGTGAGCCGAAATTGCACCACTGCACTCCAGCCTGGGCGAGAGAGCAAGACTCTGTCTCAAAAAAAAAAAAAAAAAAAAAAAAAGTACATAGAATAGTATCAGAACTGGAAGCCCAAAGGTCAATTAAAAAAATTTAAAAAACAAATTGCAAAGATGTTAAGATTGTTTCCCATTTTTATAGTTCATACTTACTTACTATTTTCATTCATTTTGTTGATTGACAGCATTCACTATAGATAAGAGGTAGTTCATGGCAGTGGTTTAATATAAATTATTAGAGAAAATTTAAATACAGAAAGTTCAAGAAATTCATATTTCTGTGATGGAAAAAAGACTAGTATTATTTTACTTGAGCTATGGAATACTACAATTTAATATCTATAACACTTGTGCTTTTCATGGATACATTTTAAGAACCACTGATTTAAACAAGTGACACATTAATACACTTATTTGTTCACTATTATCATATTCATTTGGTGTTAGAATTCTGTAAATGTAGAATTAAGTCACTAGAAAATCCTTAAAATAAGCCTTCTCTATACCAGATTCAGTGAATTTCATGTATATAAGATGGATAATTATTAAGCAGCTTGCATAAAGATATTCCACAGTCCTTTTGGTAAACTTGTACCTGTGTGTAACAATCTTTTATTCTGAGGAAACCAAAATTTTCCTTGAAATGATTTATATATTAGTTGTATGTCTTCAGACTCACTAAGTTCATATACTTTTATTTCTTTTATTTATTTATTTTTTTTGGAGACGGAGTCTGGCTTTGTCGCCCAGGCTGGAGTGCAGTGGCGCGATCTCCGCTCACGCAAGCTCCGCCTCCTGGGTTCACGCCCTTCTCCTGCCTCAGCCTCCGGAGTAGCTGGACTTTCATTTCTTAATAGTGAATTGTAGAATTTGGATGTAGAATTTGGAAGTTGGACATCTCTCAAGCTTCTTTTAAATTAAAATATCATAATTTATCCTAAACAATTGAAGATAAATATTCCATGGTATTAAGTATAGGGAAATGACATATCTCATTTATTCTCTTTTCTATATTAAACATTTAATTCCAAAAATATTATAATAACTAGCAGTGAATATATGAATTTACGTTTGGAGTTAAAAAGCACTTCACATACATATTTCATTTAATTTAAATAAAGTACAACTGCTGAAGATAGATCGATAGATGTTATATCAGTATAACTGTATCGCAAACCACCATGTTTAATTTTTGTGTTGGGATTCTATGCCTACTACACATTATTTGTGTTTAAATAGTTCTCTGTCTTATTCTTCTCTTGTTTATATTACATGTTTAGGAATTTTGTGTTTATTATTTTAGAAAATGAGATTATATAGTAGTTTTGTTTCGGTGTTTTAGAATAAATGGAATTTCTATAAAAAGAGTTTTCTATTTTTTTTTCTAGTGGAAAACTAGGTGATGGTGCATATGACTTTATCCCTAGGAAAAGCATTAGTTTTGTAATGGGGTTTCATGAAGTTTACTTCCGTTCACTTTTTTCCCTGCCTGTTTAAAAAAAATCCTGTTTAGTTTACATGATGTGTAGGAAAGCGTTGGGAAAACATTATTTGTTTTTTTACAATCAGTGATTTAAAAACATAGTCATTAGTGTGTCTGTGTGTTTTAAATTTGTATATGAATTTCTGTGATGCCTTATCTGCTCTGCTCTTTGCTATGTGCCATTAACCTAAATTTGGTAGAGTGTGGTGGTGGTGTATTCTTAGTATTTGCTTATGATTATTTTATGAGTTCTTTGATAATATTATTCCCAGGCAGAGAAAAATCAAAAATCTTCTTTCCATATTCTTTAGTTTGAATGTCAGTGCTTGTATAATATCAAGATAGAGGTCACATGAAAATATTTTATCTTCATTTCTCACCCAAACGAGGATGGTTAAAATACACTGGGTGTGTTTAACATAAACTACTTAATGGTTATTGTGTCAGTATATATCAATTAATGAAAAATTAATCAAATGTTTCCTTTGAGGATTCTAGTTTTGTTAAAAGAAAACTTCTGTGTGACCTCAGAAAATTAATACTTGTATTCAGATTCTCAAATGAGAGTTGATAAATAATATTTATTTAGGTGACATTTGGAGCAAACTGTCACTTTAAAAAATAAACTTCTACTAATGACATTATGACAACATCCACATTGGGGGAACTCAAATATAGGATAAGATATATATTTTTTCTACTGAGTATAACTTGAAAGTACTTGGAATTTGTATTTATTTCTTGGTTCATTTTAAATATTATGGCAAAAACCACAGTTACTTTGGCATCAACCTAATATTTCAGCTGATACCCTAATTTGAAGTATTGCAATGGCCAGTTTGCTAATGAACATAAACACATACAGCATGTGCCAATAGATTGTTTCTCTAAAGCAGCGATTAGCTTTTAGAAAACTTTTCCCAGTGAGATTTACTATTTCATATTTAATGTTAATAAATGGGAATGGGACATGTGTTGAAATAACGATAAGGCCATATTAAGCCAGCAGAACAGAACAAAACTTTAACTGAATGAAATAAGGTAGTATAGACTTCAGCATTTCTCTTTTATTGAGACTGTCTCAGTATCTGTATAGTGTATAGCCAAGGAACAGTTTGAAAGCCACTTTAGAATTGTCTTCTAGAAAAGTACACACATAGTTGAAATCTGAAATAACTGGAAGTTAGTTTTAAGAAAACAAACCGCCTTTTCAGGATCCATGCTTGTCTGTCTAGCCTGAATAATTTAGGCTTACGTTTAATAACCATTTAAATACAATTGTAATAAATTCATCATCATATTAATAAGGTTTGATGAATCAAATTTTTATAGAATGTTTAAGAGAAGGTTTTTTCCTAAATGAAATAATTGCAGAAAATTTGGCATTCTATTACTGTAGCAAAACTTGGCAAAGACCAAAGTACAGAACAGAATCTAGATTCTTAGTGAAATTTGAATCACAGCTTCTATGTGGTAATGCAATGTCAGTCTTCTAAAAAATATGTATGTAAGCAAAATCCATTGATTGGATTTAAGAGTTTTGTTAGGCTTTTGTTATTCTAACTAATGTTCCATCTGGATTTTAATATTTGACATAAATATGTACAGTCATGTGCATGCCTGATAACTTTTCAATGATAGACCACATATACAACATATACAGCGGTGATGCCATAATATTATAAATAGGGTATTTTTAAGATACATTTTCTGTGTATATGTAGATACCATTGGGTTACAATTGCCTACGTATTCAGTACAGTAACATGCTGTGCAGGTTTGTAGCTTAGGAACAACAGGCAATATATACCATACGGCCTAGGTATGAAGTAGGCTATCCTATCTAGATTTGTGATGTACACTTGATAGTGTTCACAGCTAAGGACACATTTCTCAGAGCACATTCCTGTAGTTAGGTGATAGTTGATTTTATGTAATAGTTATAAACATGTCAGAATAATATATTTTCCTTGACTTAGTTTTATATGGGGTTAAAAAGTAAAGGGCAAAATACTGCTACTCTGTTCATGTTTTTAGTTAGAGATGGATGTGTCTCTTCAAAGTTTTTTCTTTTCAATCTTTTTCATTTGTATGATATTTAAATCAGTGCTCTGGATATTTGCAACAAAATAATGAATATTGTCACTTTCTCAGTTTGAGAGGATAGTAAAATACATTCAAGGGACCAGGGAAATATGATTATAGGAGCTGGGTCAAATAGGTACAAGTTTCTGGATCCCAGGGATTGTGAAATGGAAATTTATCTTTTTCTACTTCTGGATGTTACTTTAGAGATAATTCTTCACATCATTCTGAATTTTTAAAATTTAGGTTATTTAGAGATGTGGAGGTTGCAGTGAGCCAAGATCGTGCCACTGCACTCCAGACCTGGCGACAGAGCAAGACTCCATCTCAAAGAAAACAAAAATTATGTTATTCATAAGTTTTTATGGACTTCTGATTCGTTGGAAGTTAACATGGCTTTCACTTCCCTGATTTTCATTTAATTTGTTTAATATATGCTTTACATTTTGGAAAGGTGAAGTGTACATTGATTTTTCTGTTGTTTTTCTTGTAGTGTTACCTCTTTCAAAGGTGTAACATGCTATTAAACATTTGAATAACTGTCATACTCTAAAACCTTTTTATATTTATGAAACATAGATCATGTCAATAATGGATTACTATCATTTGTTTAATATTTTCCTGGCAGTGTTTTCTGTTTAATTTTTGTATACTTCTTCTGTGGTAAATATGGAGTTAGTTTATTTCTGGTTACTTATTGGGAAACTGAGACACTAACATTTACCTCCACTCTTACTCACTGAACTCCATCACTAACCAGCAGTAGAACCTAGGAATCTTACTTCTAGTTCAGTGATTGGTTTATTGTATCTCAGTTTCTAGTACCAGATTAACTATATTAGCTCCTCGTATTAACTTTTATTTGTGATGTTTTTCAAGGAGTGGAAAACAGTCTTCATTTTCCACTTCCCCCAAATCACAAAGAATATGGACTTATGACGTATTAAGTAGACCTTAAGGTTTTTAAGTAAAATATTTACATCTATTCCTGTAAACCTTCTGCTTTCTTGCATCCGAGACAATACTGTACTTATACTGGATAAGTATTCTGTCTGAATATTTACTGAATTTATGCATTATTAAATGAATGAAAAAGGGAAACATTGATTGACCATCATTTGAGAGTATTGAAGAAGCTTAAGCAGAATAAAATTTATAAAACAGCATAAATTCAGTCTCTAACTGAATGGGTTCCAGTGCCTTAGATTTCGTGTTCATGTGTCATTTTCGTTGAATTTTTATTTCTTCTTCTAGGCCATACTTAATTTTTATTGAGTTGCTGTGTTTAACAGTTTTCAGCAAAAGCTTAAAATAAAAACACTAGAAAAATATAAAGTTTAATGTACCTAATATGCAAGGCTTGATAAGGTGCCCTATAAATGGGGAAACAAATAAATATGGTCCTTTCTCTTAACAGACTTAACTTTCAAGAGTGCTGAAATTCACTAAGGCTTATAAAAGTTTGTAACTAAAGTCAGTATGTAGAAAGGTATCTTTGCCTTGTCTATCTTTGAATGAGCTGCTTGGTGACATTATTCCACTACAGGGATAAGTTCAATACCCAGTGAGCGATAATGATAATAAAATCTGCAGATTGTAGACTGTCTACTGCATTATTCCTTACTATTGTATAACACTGTGTATTTTCAGCAAGTTTTACTCAATATATTTGCTGGCGACAAAATGAGTTTTTAAAGAAAAGAATTAGCTGACTAGTAACATTTAGGGAGATCATCAGTCGAAACAGAAAAAAAAAAAAACAAAGGAAAGGAATCTGAAAACTAATCTTTTTTTTGACCAATTAGTGACAGAAATTTCCGAGTTACTCCTTTCTTATATTTCATCGTTAGCTGATTTGATTGGGAAGAGAAAAGAGATTTTAATTTTACCCCTGTCATGCTGGGCGAGAATTCACTGTTTCAAAACAGAACTGACAAGTGAATTTCATTAAGACTGATAATATGGCAACATAGTGAAAGCTTGCAACTATTATCAGCATGAAGAAATTTTAACCAAGCTATTATTTTTGACCAATGTTCTATTACTTGTCATAGCGATCTTGTATCTAATGATGGTGAATATAATGGGTTGAAGAGGTTTCATTTTAGGTTTTCATTCAAAAATTGTGTGTGTGTATGTGTGTGTTTCATTTTAATATTTTTAGGTTTTGCTTGCATTGTAGGGCTAAGTTCATAGTGAAAAAAGACAATTATATAATTTTGTTTATATTTGTCGTGGAAACAGGCTAGGAAGTATTAGTGAGAACTACCTGTTGATACTGACATGTATCTTCAACAGTAAATATTCTGCTTTCTGATAAAGGGATATATGGTAGGGCTACAAGTCCTTAGTTCAGGAATTTAAGTGAATTGCTGTGAGCCTTTCTTCTTCCCAATTCTGTGCCTTTATACTTCTCCTTCCACACAGACAGACACTTGTAGTGGGATTGTGATCTCTTCTTGTCTCCACCTAATATAAACAGAATATGAAGTTAGGACTATGGCTTGATTGTTACTGTATCTTTAGTGCTTAGCAGTGTGTCCGGTACAAAAGTCTTACCCCATAAATATTTGTTGAGTGAAGGAATGAACACTCACATTTTATCACCTTGAAACCGGGCGTAAAAGCCCAGTTCTTAAACTCACTCGTTACATTCAATTCCTTTTCTCTGCAGATTCTTTGCATTTTTCTGTTTATTTTGTTGCATTTCACTTGTTTGCCTATTACTTAGTAAATGAGCTTGTGTTTTTAAATGTTGTATATTTTTATTCCGTAATATTCAGATATCAGTTACTAATAAATATTTGTTTGTATAGTATCTAGTAAAATATAAATGGCCCCATTAATGGAAAAAGACTTTGAATTCCCATATTTGTAGAAACATTTTCCCCCAACTTGGTTTCTTTTATAGCCAGTGATATACATAATGAGGGTATTTGGCTGGTTCAGACACACAGTATTATTCAACATTGTGATGTGGTCCTGATCCTCAGCTTCCTTTTGTATAAAATGAAACTAATACTTATTGGAAAGATTTGTTTGGTAATTAAATGGCTAATGTTGAAGGACGCCCAACTAAATGCACCTTCACTAGATGTTAGTACTTTTCCCTCTCTGTTCATTTGTTCCTTCCATTGCTACCAATTTCACAAAACTAGCCCACAGAATAATAAATTCCTGTGGCCCTATTGGCCCTGGATTTTAACCTTTAAGGGCCTTAAACCTTTCTTTTCCAGCAGTATTATTTTGAGAGACCTGGACACCGTCGTTGACTCTCCTGTCTTTTCCTTTTAGTTCCTCTCAAACACTGTATTTTGCACTGAGACCGTGCTCCCATGTGGCGTTCTGTACTGTCCTTGTCTGAGAACTGCTTACCTTGTTAGGTTTGTCTGTATCCCCAACCAGACTATAAGCCTGTCTTGTCTAGTCCTATAGATCCAATACTTAACAGTGTCTAGTGTGTATACTGTACTCTATAAATTGGTATTTGATAAATTGATTTGCTTATTTGTTTTTCTGTTATTATGGGAAAGTGATGATGGCAAGAGGGAATCCTGAAAATCAGTGAATTCCCTGATCCTGGAATACAATCCAGTGACTTCCCAAGTCCACACTCTTTATATATTAGATGTAAGTAGTAACAGGAGTTTTAATATGTAAAGGAAGAAGCTAAGTTTTCTATCTGTAAAAGCTATTCTTCAGGATTCTATTCCTTAATTTAATTTTGCTATGTAGTTAAAGATAATGGCATTTAAAGCTTAACTTGATCTCTTAATAATGGGCATCTCTTTCCCATAACTAAGCATAGTTAAAATATGTCCTGTGTTTTCCATATTATTTGAAAAACTATCAGGATTTTACTGTATTCATATGAACCTTGTAAACTGATAATTCTTGTGTCAGCTGGAAGTTTAAAGCTTCCTGAGTTTAAGGAAGTTAGTTCAAATTTCTGAAAGGAATTTTTTTTTCCTCTGAGTGTGAAAGTCAAACCAGACATTTGAATATAAACTTAATCTCAAAATGCATGAAAATAATGGAGTGTGTTAGGTGTTTATGGTTAAAAATATCGCACAATTAAAGGCAGGCTACCTTGCCACTAGGTAAATTAGTCATGCAATAGGTTTAATCTACTTAGAAATAGCACTGTGAGGAAGAAAATAAAATTAATTCAGCTGATAGTGTCAGATCATGGAAAGAAAAGAAAAAAACAGCTTACTCTTGCCAAAAACATATTGCTAACTTTGTTCAGGTTGCAGCTTTTGTGTTTCATTTAGGTTTCAGCTTGTCCCAGGAGGTGTTGCTATACTGTGAAGGTGTTAGGCAGTGTAGTAATGGAACAGGAGATAAAATGGAAGGCACATAAAATGTCTCATCATTTGGACCTTCCTGGAGAAACATAGCTTGAATTTCTGAGTGGTCAGCTTGACATTTTAAAGCAGTGAGAAGTTGTGTCATTATTTCTAGAATACTACAGTAGTTAGAGGAAAAAGATTTAAAGTTCATTGCGGTAATTGCTGTCAGGTGCTTTTAGTAAGCATGTGCTGCCTTGAACAAAGGCAACCTGCTAGGAGTGTGAAAGAAGACAGTGGGCTTTGGAAGATGAGAGTGACAAAAACGTAGATTCGGGAATTCTTGTGCTCCTGAAATAATTGCATTCATTTTAAAGGTGGAAGAAGATTAAAATAACTTTTAATGGTTATTCATATGTTTATAGCCTTTGAGAAAACAAAGACTTTAGGCTTCTAAAACTAATACCTTACATAATTTCAGTAACAAAGAGTACAAAACCTGGTGGCTAGCTTGTCACAGGGATCAAGGTAGCTGGTATCACTAGGCTAGGCACAATCCATGTGAAGTGCTGAGGTGATCCCTACTGTAACAGCATTCCCCTCCCTGGAAACCTGCAATTTGCCTCTTAGTCCCAGATGGGGAGGAAACTCCCAAACAGCCGCAAGCCATACATAATGGCAGGGTTCACATCCTGACGGGGACAAAGTAGAGAAAAAGAGAAATTCAGAAGAGTCTTCATAACATTATTTGAGTCAAGGACTTTATGCTTTTTGTGAAGGTTGTAGCACTTCTTTTTTCTTTTTAAAGTTTTGAGTATGTTGTGTGTGTGTGTGTGTGTGTGTGTGTGTGTGTGTTTTCTCCCTCCTGGATACTAGCCAACATTCAACTGAAGGAAACACATGGGGATGGCACATTTATCACATTGCACTATCTTTTGCTTAAGTAGCTAACATTTATTGCTTAATAAAGAACATCCTGCACACATACCAACTAGGTTTCCAGTATATTACTATGCATATGTATAAATGTACATTCACATTTAAACATGCTTTTACCTATGACCCTCAGAAACACCTGAACACATAGAATTAGGCATGCCCAGACGTTTCAAATATGTGATCTAAAAGGTAGATCTTTACCCCAGATTTTGTATAAATAAATTTATACTATTACTTATAATAGTGACCAATAACTATTACCAATTACACAAATTGTTATTTATGGAAAACTTAAAGAATAGTCTGGTTGTATTCTGTAATCATAGATAGATACCATAGATTGAAGGGACCTTAAGATCCTTAACCTCAGGCAGGTAGGCTTTTAAGCATTTTACCTGCACAAATCGGTAGCATTACCTTTATTTCACAGAAAAGGAAGCTAAGCCCCTTAGAAGGTAACTTGTACAATTCCAGGTGACATAGATGTGATCTTCAGTGCTAAATCACCAGTTAATAGAAGAAATAAAACCCAGTTTGTATAAATTTTGATCTACTTACCTGACCAGAAAGCATCAAGTATTCTAAAAGAAGTATTTTTAAATGGATAAGGAACTCTCTTACATCTGATTAATGTAATATCATACATACACAAGTGTTAAAAGAAAGCCATTTATATGCCCTTTAACTATACCTTATATGTCTGTCTACTTTGCTTTCTATGGTGCATAGTCATCACTTTAATATGTTTCACATACTTTAGTTATGAGCTTTAGAAAGCTGTTTAAATGGTGATTTAGAAATGGAGATAACTCATTGAATAACCAAGACTTCAGTTCACAAATACAAGGATGGCATGCTTAAAGTAACTACTTACAATGAGAAGTTATCTTTTTGAATTAGTGATCTTATGAGAATATTTGTTGATTATTTATGCTCTATATTTTGCACTGAGGTTTTATAGTAGCTGAATATTCTGGCATGGTGGTGTGGGGCTTATGAATCCTTGTATTGCTCATTAAATATTTTACAGTGCATAGTTGCTTATATATATAAAAAGACAGACACATATATCTATATGCATACCTTTCACTAGTGCCATAAAAGCAGGGAATGTATCTGTCTTGTTCACTACTGCTTCGTGGTGCCTGGTACAGAGCAGGTGCTCAGTGAGTAATTTTGAATGATTTCTTAAGAGTTCTTCATACTTGGTTGTCCTATTAATAAGTTAACAGCATTTGTCTTTTGAAATTACTGCCATTCAAGCATTAATTCTCTTGTACTTTGCTCAATTTTAAATGCTCTGTGGTTTTAGGATATGTTCTATTGTATATTATCCATTGAGTGTATCCATTCTGGAAAAAATGGTGTCATTCACAACCAACATGTACTCATGCCTTTTTCCTCTCTTCATGCTTGCCCCTATCTTGAGTGCCATCTAGTTCTTCTTTTATATAAGTCATATCCAACTTTTAGTACTATTTTACATGCCATTTCCTTCATAAAGCCTTCTGCATCTTCCCTGTACTTCCATGTAGTAAACATAACCCCAGATTTATGTTTGTTTGATGTTGATACTTATGAAATGCTTTCACATAGATATATTAATAAGAAGCAAGTAGTTCCAAGTGTATTGTTTATACAATTTTATTTAATACTCAGGACAACCCTAGGAGGCAGCTGTTGTCATTATTTTGATTTTATAGATGAGAAAATTGAAACTTAGGTTTCCTAAGGTCATGTGACTTATAAATGAACGAACCTGGCCTTAAACTCCAGGGTGCTGGACCTAGAGCCCTTGCTCTTTAACCACAGGGCTATGTTGCTTGCTTTAAGTGATTGCATGCTTTTCCAGTCTTCACAGTTTTAATGTAGAGGATATTATCTTCACTTCATACAGTAGGAAGCAGGGAGCTAGCAAGTGGCTTCCAACATTTATATAAGTAAGCATTTAAACATAGATGTTATAATCTGGTATTTCCATGATTTAAATACTTCATAGGATGCTTTGTAAATGTTTTTGCCTTTAATTATATGCATTCTGTAATCCTACTTAAAATGCTCATTCATTCATTAGGAGTAGAAAACTAGGTATGAGCATTGTAAAGAAGAAGAACAACAACAACAACAACAAACTGCTGCTGCTACATTGTGGAAAATAAGTATCTGGCACTGATCTGTCAAAAATTGCTTTAATTCCCCTTAATCACCACAAGTTTTCTCTTTCTCACTACTTGATAGATCTTACTGGTTATTAATTTCTAACTGACCAATCCTGCATCTGAGGGCCAAATGCAGACTCTGTTTATTTGACTCAGACCAGTAGTACAGTGTTTATGGAAGAACAGCAGGGAAAGAACTTTTGTAGCCTCGATGTCAATGTGTATGACCCAGGGATGTTTGAACCTGGGGTATGGAAACCTGTTGGGTTCCCCTGTTGCTTCACTTCAGAGACCCGGTAAAGCTGCTGAAGTGTGTTGCACTGCTTTGGCTCCTCCCTCCCTCTGTTGCCGTTGCCCAGTGATAGAAATCCTGCTCTCTTCCTTATCTCTTTCTGTTGAGCCGCCAGCAGCCTTGCCTTCTGACCTTGTTTAAGCGTCCTTAGTGACCTCTGGGAATCCTTGTGGGTCCCTTTGGGAACATACCCACTCAGCTGGATTTTACTTCTTACAGAAGTTAGGTTAAGAATTTTGTACTGCTCTTATTAAAAAGATAATTTCACAATGTAATTTGCTTCACAAGCCTCTTACAGTTACGTTAAGCAGATGGTTGCCAAACACCAGTTCAAAGTAGATTGCTCTTATATGAAATAAAATCCACGCTCAGGAAATTTGGCAGTGTAAGCTGGTCTTCTTCCAAAACAGGCTTACTCAGACAACTTTCTCTTTACCTCAGACTGGCAATCTGCTACACCTGTATTCCACTGTGGAGTAAAAAACATATCAGATTGTATACACTGATTCAAAGGTATCATTCTTTAACATATTGACATCTGTTTTTTTTCTTTACTATTACTAGCTACTTTGCTTTTGGCATCATAGGGAAATAGCAAGAATTTGGTCATCAGTTCTGAGTTCCAGTCACAGCTCTGACTCTCAATATTTGTATGAATTGAATGTGTTACTTCACTGATTTTAAGCTTCAGTTTCCTCATTTGTAAAATGAGGATAAAATTACGTACTTCATGGAGTGGCTATTTTGATTAATTCAGTTGATATATATAACGCACCTAAATTCTTTCCTGTCATTAATGGTTCTTTAATTAATGTTATTTTGATATTGATGATTTGTGTTTAAAACCTAAATCTGTATTGTTATATTTATTCATCATGTGTATTTGATTTATGTGAGGTCTTCGTAATTTAAAAACAGAAATATCATACGTAAATCAGCAGCACTGGTTCAACAAATACATATTGGGTGCTTTGTATGTGTAAGGATAGAATGATTTTACAACTATGAATAAAGGCAGTATTTCCTCTCAAGGACCTTACACTATAGGCAGTGTAGAGGTAAGGCAAATGTTCTGATGAAATCACTGTAATGTAAAGTGAAGTAAATTTCATAGGAGAAGAACTTTTTGCTCAGAAAACACTCATGAAAAAAGGTAGCAGATAAGTGATCCTTTAATGATGTGCTAATTTTTATAGAAATAGGGGAAGTATCCCAGAAAATAAAAGCAGGTGCTTGAGAAAAAACAAAAAAACCTAGTAAGTAGAGATGTATAAATGTGTTTCTGGAAAACTGAGGACAGTGGTTTCACTGGAAAAGGCATGAGTAACTAAAAGACTCATAGGACATATGGCTGAAGGATATGATGGGACTACACTTTGGATATTCTTAAATTCCATACCAATACCTTTGTATTTAATGTGTAGGCAGTAGGCAGTTCTTGAAGACATTTAGAAGAGTAATATGAACTCTGCAATAGGAAGATTAATCTAACAACTGAATATAGATGAATTGGGGGAGAAGAGTGTGGCAAAAGTTTGAAGGAAAGAGACCAGTTAGAAAGTTTCTGATATTGTTCCAGGTGAGAGGTCATGGGGATCTTAAAGTAGTTGTATTGCCCAAGAAGATGCAAAAACAGATGTGCAAGACATAGAAGATATTGAACCTTTAGGACTTGGCAAATGAAATCATTCATCGAAAGGTTGGATAAAGGGATAGACTGCTGTTTGGCTGAGGCATTTCTATTTAAAGTAGGTTTATTTTCTCTGCATTGTATAATTCTCATGAACTAGTTGTCCGCCAAAAAATAGAAACTCCGTCTGTGGGCCACAATGGTGCTACTGTGTTAGCTAATAAAGGTGTGTATTTTGATGATGTGCACGCTATACAAGGTTTCATGGAGTGTGCAGGATCATCAGGAAGTTAGATATTTTGCCCTCCATTCGTTTACATTTTTTTTCCATGAAAGTAGGGAGGAAACTTTTTGGTCTTTATTTTGTTGCCAAGATCTGTTTAAATGTAGATAAAATTCTACATTACCAACTCACAGGTGTGATTTATCTTTATATCAATAATTGACACAAGACTGTCAAAACTTGACCACAAAGGAAATCCTGAAATGCTATCCTTCATAAACTATTGGTTTAGAGATTAAAATTGATAATATTGACTTACTGCTCAAATTGCTGCCTTAACCTACCACCGATAATTCATAGCAGGACAAGGAGTATAGAAATTAATGTTAAAAAAATAGAGAGGAGGAGGAAAAGATTGAATATTGACAGATTCTTCAGCAACTAGGTGTACTGCATGGACATACCCTTGACAACAGCAAAGCAAATTTTAAAATTATGAGGTAGTTGTTTTGAGTGAGACATGCATCCCAGTTTTGATAGAAAGTCATAATTCAATAGTTTGGTTTATGGAAACTTAACATTTCTTTATCTGACCATTCGGGACTTAAGTTTCTGGTATCCTCTTCAACTGGTGGACATAGTTTTACAGCTACCGTAAGAACTGTTTGCCTATGACTGATTTTTGTCCTAAATATAATACTAATGTAAGTTACTTGTTTCATTGGAGAGCCAGTATCATGTCATAGAAGGATGGATAGGCTACGAGTCAAAAGATCTTGAATTGATATCAAGTTCACATTTACTAACTTGTATCCTTTCAATAGCCACTTAACAACCATGCTTCAGTGTTTATCTGTGGCTACCCTTCCTACAATGCAGTCATTCTGAGTATCAAAAAAGAATATGTCAGTATTTTATAAATCATAAAAACTGTTTTATTTTTCTATTATTATTATCATTACTATTATCATTAAAAGGATTCTAAATCTGTAGTCTACCAGAGATTATTTTATCTAGCCTGCTGTTTTCAGAAACATCAAGTGTTATTTCCCCCCATATTTTAGATGGTACTAGTGGCTGAGTCAGGATAAACAAATTTCCCAAGGTCCCATAACAAGTTAAATGGCAGAAGAGGTGGTAGAGACCCTGGTTTTCTGCCTTCAGGTGCAGGGTAACTTTACTACACTATTGTTGGAATAATAACAGTATTTCAGAAATCAGTACTGTCTTGATCTGGAGTAACTCCAGTGGGTTTAAGAAATACATAATATAGCTATATTGAACAGAGAAGAAAGAGGATGGAGAGAAAAGTGAGGTGATGTGATATACAGATTTAGAATGCTACCCAGAAGTGGCTCAGCTGCAGCTCAGTGACACCAGTGTCTGGACATGTCCCACCGTTTATAAAACAAATTCTTTAAGGATGTTGTGAAGAAACTGTTTTTCAAGACTCATCCATTTATTTATCCACAGTCAAAAGGAACAAATACATTGCATGAAATTTTGCTGAGGATATTAAAAAATGATTGCATATACCTTTGTTGTGGTTTTACTTTAATTGTTTAGACTGTTGGTAAATTCTTAGTAAATAATTGGGCTTTACATCACAGTTTTGAAGGCACTTTGTTTTCCTAACACATTATTTAAACAGCTGTTGGGATATTAACATGGATTTAATCATGTTTGGTGTTTCTGTTTAGAAAGTTTACGTGAGAGAGAGTTATATTAGTGTAGAAGCAACTTCAATAAATTATTAGATAGCCATATTGGTTCAATTAGTGTATATAACACCATTTCAAGTGTCTGGCATAGACTGGGAAATGTTCATGCTTATAAGTTATAAAATCCCTTAAGTGCCCACTTGAATTGCCAGGGAACAGAAACCAACCATATAAAAAGTCCACTTACACATCACACCTGAAATACACTTTTTTTCATTTGGTAAGTAAGAATGGTATTTTACTATCTTCTGTTCCACACTGTGAAAAAAATATTTAATTCCCATAATATTTACTTCCTTGAAAAATTAAAAATTAAAATTAAAATATACACTTTGGCAACTAAACAAAAATAAGTCACCAATTTCATAGAAATTAAACTAGAAAGCTTATTTTATACTCTATAAGATCAATAAATACATCACTTTAAATAGAGAAAATAAATCATAATCCCTCTGCATTATTTTCCTGGTTAGGAAACTTGACTAACTTGTTTGTAGATTAGTAGAATCAGGTCATATTAATAATAAAGTTTTAACTTGTAGAAAGTTTAATATGTATATTTAAAAATGTCTTAAATTGATATTTTCAGTTCTCATTACTATGTATGGTGTTTCCAGAACTTGACATTTAAAAATTATAGCAGTTTGTGAAAATAAAATTCTAATGATGAGGGTAGAATTTATTATCTTAATTTGAAAATTTAAAATTAATATATTTATCATGCATATAAAGTGATCTTTTTCTTAAAAATTTTAAAAATTGAGAATTCATATTATTGAAGAAATAAATTTCCAGACTGCAAAATCATATGCTGTCTTGCACAAATGGGTGACTTTGTGAAGTTATAGCATAAAAAGTAGTAAAGTAAAATGTCCAGGTTTTAAAGAAGTGCCTTTTTACATTTATATATTGTTCAGTTCAATAAATTTATTATGTAACCAAATTACATATGTTTGTAAAATATTTCCTGTATTCTAACTCATGAACTCTTTTATGGCCATTTTTGGAGTACATACTCTTGTGTTAATATGGGTTACTTATTTAAGTTAATAGTATTTTTTTTGCTTTAGCTTTAAACCTTTACTATTATTATTGACAAAGTATTAGGCAAGTAGTAGATACTTAATAAATATTTACTGGTTTAATGATTTTTTAAGAGAATTCAGTGCTGTCTTTGTTCTTTATTGGCTAAGGTAGATGAGTTCTATAAATGAATGTAAGGTCTACAAATGTATGTAATGACTGTTGTGCATTTTATTATCCTTTTCATTCTTATGTGAGTAAAATTTGAGTTTTGATTTTTTTTTTTTACTTTTTCAAGTACAATGGTGGCAAAGAAAATGTCCATTATGACATTGATTGGATTAAATTAATTTGTTTTTAATAGATTCACAAAATAACATGATTTTGCTCCATTTGGTTTTAGATTCTACTTTTTTTTCACAATGATCTATACCTGTTTACCTGTGTAAAGGCCTTTATTCAGTTATCCTTTTATTATCATATTAGTGAATTAAAGGCAAGTCTAGTGTAACTGTCCATTCACTATTATGTATCTGGAAGCAATGACTATTGTGAAGCCTTTGATTGTAGAGAGCCTAGAATGGTTACTGAAGGAACTTTTATAATTGAAAATTGTTTGGCTTGAAATTCACTTTAAAAAAGAGTATCTGTGCAAGTGTCTTTACTTCTTGTAATTTGTAAGTGGAATTGCTTAAACTAGGTGTTTTTATGGCATCAAGATTACATTCTAGTGTTTATAAATAGTATTTTGAAAGCATAAAGAAGAAGAGGGGAAAAGCTTGAATTCATGAAAATGTTTATATCCTGAAGCTTTTTTTTGTTTGGAAAAATATGTGGCACTTTTTATCATGAAATATCTTCAAAGCTTTTTCTACATAAACTTGACCATAACAGTTTTTTTCTATTAACTTATTCTTTCCTTGTGTTCACAAACCTGAGTCTACTAAAATATGGATGTAACAGTTATAAATATAAATGCTAAATAGAAGTGCCATTACAACTGAAGTATAAGAAACATCTTTATCATCAAAACTAAAATCTTGTCTCATATCCCCTTTTCATTGCTAACAGTTTGTTCTGGCAAAATTCTTTTTAAATTAAACCATTATTGCTTATTAGCATATGATAACGTGTGTACATTTCCACAGATATGCCCAAGTTTTACATTCTTTATTTCATATCAGAGAAACAAGCTTGAAAAATAACTCTTGGTATTGAGAATTGTAACAGTGATTTTTCATTTTACTCAAATGAACAAGTTTTCATCTTTATAGCCCATTTATGAGGATGTCTTTGTGTTACCAAATTGTAAAATAAATTTCATATAAATCTAATTTCAAATATTTGAAAAGTAAAGCACTCTGAATATTATTGTACAGTGGTTAATAGTTGTAATTCAATAGTTGTGGCATCATATAGTGTAGCTACGAATATTATAACAAAAGTCTTATATATATATAAGTTATAATTTAGAATACACTTAAGTTTACTACTTACATTTAATCATTAATAAGTTAAAATATTAGGTGTTCTACATTAATTGCAAACATCTTAAATAGTGAAAATAAACCATGGGAGAGTTTCTATGAGTGGAGAAAACTTTTCTATGTAATAGTTAAGATTCAAAGAATAATTGCTTTTATTCTAGAATTTCAACCTAATTGTAGTGAGATGGGTGAAAGATTAGTTACACTGGGATTTTGTTTGTATATATGCATCATGTAAATGCAAAATTTAATGTATGACATGCGTATATTAAAATGTGTTGCACTTTATTGATTTACTGTATAAATACAGCAAAATTATATACATTCATATATTCTAAACATACTTCTTTATAGTATTGTTAGAGAATAGATTACTACGGCTTTACTATTTCTTGTCTATTTCGGTTTTAGCAAAATATACATTTTTTCTGTATTTATTTGTAGTATATTCTTCTATAGATAAAAAGTTCTAACTATATTTGTAATATCTCACACTTTTAAAAATCACATTTTTATCTGTTTCATGTTATGTTTTAATTTCCCAATTAAACTTAGTAGTGTAATGTCAGTCATATTCTTCATAATTCTGAGCTATTTTGAAATTTAAAAGACTCATAGTTTCAGGTTCTAAAACTACACTTTCAGTTATGTATTTCTTCATTCCTGAAATGGAATTCTGATACACTTTATGCACACTAAGTGGTATAAAGTCATGCTGTATAAAGTTACACTTTTCAGTGATTTTCTTTCTTAATTTTAATTTTAAATGGCAATTATGAATGGAATATAACACTATATGGGATAACCAATAGCATTTCGCATTGATTTTAAAAGTCTCCCTTACCAGAAAAAATACCATGGAAGAATTACTTAGATTATGGAAAAACCTGTTGATGCAAGATATAGAATCCAGGAGCCATAACTGAAGACTTTAAAAATTCAACATGTGAAATTAGCATATATGCCAAAAAATGCCCTTGAGTAAAGAGATAAACCAAAATGTTTGCAAAAGATATCATAAACACTGGGCTAAGTTCCTTAATATATAAAGAGCATTTAAATTCAGTGAGAAAAGACTGACAACCTGATAGAAAAATGGGCAGACAACTTTGATAAATAATTCTGAGAAAAAATAAAGAACGTTTCAACATGGAAAAAGATGTCTAACTTCACTCATAATTTTAAAATGCTTTTTAAAAACCATAATAAAATACCAGTTTTAATCTGTCAGATTGACAGAACTATGTGGTATTGTAAAATAATGTCTGTAATAGCAAGAAACAAGAAATAATTTCAAATTTCCAATGATTAACTGGATGAACAAATGATGCTAGATTTATAAAATGGATTCAGACTATTTGGAATTTGAAAATTATGATACTGGTTGCTTTTGAGATAGGGCCTGAAAGATAGTGAGCTTGGTTACAAAAGAACTTCATATGTAATTTTTATTCTTTATGTTTTTTGTTTTTTCTTTGCCATGTTTATGGGTTCTTTAAACATACAAAGCAAGTTTAAAGCAATAAAACTCTTAAGTTAGTAAAACATCTCAGTGAATACTACTTGAACATCTCCTATATACCACAACATTCTTGAGCATGCTGGCAATATAAAGATGGATAAAATACTGTCCCAACTCTTTTTAAAAACTAGTAAGGGAGTAACAATTTGTAAATAGGGTAAAACTCAATATAGTTGGTACTCTGTTAGAAATGGGTCCAGGAAGGATGCATATCACTTTGTAGATCTCAGAGTAGTTTATGTACCATAAGTTGATTGATCTTCATAAAAACCCTATGAAATAGAGCACTATATATCCAGGAAAAAAAAGATAAGCACATTTCCTGTATTTACTCATTTAATGCTCACAGCAACCATAGGAAGTCGGTACCATTATCATCCCCGTTTTATAAAGGACATGGTGAAATTAAACCTAAGTTCCTCACTATCCTCGTTCTTAATACCTAAACTGTTCTGCTCGAACTTTATTCAGTAATCTGAGTTCATCTGTACTTTGCAAACATGAGACTCAGTTTAAATAATTAGTTCAAGATTATAATGCCAGTACTTTTCTACCACAGAGCCATTTTGATAGTGCACCCTCTTGTGATAAGTACTAATGACAAATCACAGACTGTGTGGTTTCTCTAAGAAAACAACGGCAATGAAAAGAACTTACTTCCTTTTTATGAAAATATTTCCTCTAATCAAGTAGTACCAAATAAGTTGTTTTGCTTAGTAACTTTGATATGACTTCTTAAGAAATTTTCTATATTACTGGATAAAAAACTGATACTCACTTAAAGCTTGTTTCTGCTTTATGAAAAGACTCTGTCAGCAATCCAGAATGAAGGCTGTGCTAACAAAATTCCAACTTTTCTGTGGGATGATCCAAAAACAGCAAACAGAAGGCATTAAATTTCTTAACAGTGGCAAGTGTGTACATGCATGCTATGCCATTACTGTGATTAGCTGCTTTTTGGTGTGCATAGATTAGAGTTGGAATACTTTGATTTTCAAACAACATGTTCCATAGGTAATTTTTTAGATAGAAAAAATAGGCAGAGTAACTTAAGAGCATGTGAGGTCTGTGTACTACATTTATATAGCTCGAAACTGAATATATGTGTTTAGTTTGATTTTAGAACATTGCCTTGACAGTGTATCTTCATATGTCAAAGACATTTGCTGGATTAAGATCCTGAATTGTTTCTCTTGCCCTGTTCAGAAGCAGGTTTATACAAGTACTCTGATGTGAAACAGAGAATATGAAGTATACATAATGATCATTAAATTAAGAGGAGGCATAGTTCAGTGTGTTAAGCAATATTTAATCTTGTTTCTTCCATAATCCTATCTCAGTCCTAGGAGTCTTAGTGACAGACTCAAAAGCCAATACCAGGATTATTAAAAAAACTTGTTTAAAAAGCAAATGTCTAAGTGAAAGAAACAAATATGTGAGGAAATAGTCATTCTGTTTACCTAGAGTTTTCCTGAGCTATCTTCACTTCCATGACATTTCACTAAAATATCATAGAACACAGTATGTATTAACATGGCATTCGATGATGAACTCTATTCTACTTTATATATCATTTTCATCCATTTAGTAGGATGACAATGAGTAGAAAAGAGATGTAGGTGAGAATACATAACATGTATTTAAAATTTATTTTCTTCTTTTCAAATTACAGCAAATTCAGTAAAGCTAGAAATGCAGAGTGATGAAGAGTGTGACAGGAAACCCCTGAGCCGTGAAGATGAGATCAGGGGCCATGATGAGGGTAGCAGCCTAGAAGAACCCCTAATTGAGAGCAGCGAGGTGGCTGACAACAGGAAAGTCCAGGAGCTTCAAGGCGAGGGAGGAATCCGGCTTCCGAATGGTAAACTGAAATGTGACGTCTGTGGCATGGTTTGCATTGGGCCCAATGTGCTTATGGTACATAAAAGGAGTCACACTGGTAAGCAGCTGAAAGAATAACCTGATGACTGCCTGTGACATCTGATGTTGATATTACCTGACATCTATTCTCTTTCCTTTTTATTCAGGGGTGGCAGTGGTGAAAACTACCTTTTCAGAATTCTGCTAGTATTGGATTGCAGAAAAACAGAGAGTAGCCTGGGTCTTGACTTCCAGCCTTCAAATCTGAATAGCATATCAGAAAAGAAGTTTGGGATTCAGTTTCCACAGTTCTTAATATAGCAATAATATGATAAGGGTTCAAAAGGTATAGGAGAATTTCATTGTGTAACTTAATCTTTTTGTATTTCTATACATATTTTACCATACCCATGGGCAGGTAATATAGTTTGCTAGATAAGAGTTTATACTACAAAATGGCACTCATGCATTTATGTAAGTGAATAATTTTCACTTTATCCAGTTAACTCCTTGAAATACAATTTCTGATTGATCTCTGCCTATCCTACCACAGGTCTCAGTAGCAGGCAGGTGCTTTTGTAGTTCAGGGATGCTGCCATCTTTCTGTAATTGTTGGTTATAACTCCTGCAAGGATATATGTAGGATTGAATATGACAAATAGTGGCTGGTGTGTAGGTTGGAATATGTAATTCTGGGATAGAGTGAGGAAAAAGCCCACAGATTAATTCATACTATATTTTTAAACATTTGAGAGGTGAAAAGTTTTTTGTGAAAACTAACCAAATGAGAAGGTCTTATTTAAATCTTTTTAAACCCTTTGCCAATTTTTTTTTCTTAAAAAGCAACAGAAATGAGATAGTAAGTGGTAAGCTAGGAGGATCGTTGACTCTTAACAAAAAAGATTCAAGTTCATATGAAAATTGGTTTAATGGTAATGATGGCTTTCACTATAATGCAAAGTAGTGTAGTGTACAGTAAAATATTAATAACTAATATTCTCAGAGTTTTAAAATATACTTTTTTGGAAGAAATATAAATCACAATAAATTTATTTAAAAGTTTTATTTCTAAATAGTTTAACAATTACGTGCTTAAAACATTAAAGATACAAGGTAGGTCAAAGTCTTTTTTAATACGAACCTTTCATAATACACATGAAGAAATAGTCAAGTGATTTGTCCATTATCCCTTATGTAGGTAAAGGCATTGCTGAAGCTAGAACCAGGGTTTTCTGATGCCCATACTGGTTTTGTTCAGACACACTATTGCTTGGTATGTCAGTATACCAAGAATTTATTATAAGGTATGACTGTAAACTAAGGCTGATATCTTAAAAATTACAGTGAGAAGTTATACATTAAAATCAGTGTTATCATAATCAAAATCATCAGCTTTAGAACATATATACTTATTCCAATCATACAGTCAATTACATTTTGCTTTTTCGTTTTTTATCTCCTTTTTAAACAGCACGATGTTTTAAAAATATTTATATTACTAGTGTAACTTTTTTCTTTAATTTTTAAGTGTCTTAGAAAAGGTTGAAAGATCAAGCTTGGTATCTATTTGATAAAAAGTAAAGGGAAAAGACTATAAAATAATCTACTTTTCATCTACGCTCATGAACTAATTCTAACGACAGTTCTAAAAACAAGTTCCACAAAGTTATAATATATTCATTATGTAAGAGTGATTGTATTAAGGAAGATAACACTCATTCAAATGTGTAACTTCTCCTATCTAGTAAAATACAAACAAAACACAGTCAGTCTAATGGCTTTTCAGTTGAATTGCATGCAATGTTAAATTTTAAGCTAAAAAATAAACTAAAAACAGTATTTAGAAGATTTTTAATTGATCTTTTATGTTCTGAATTAAGAAAATTCAAAGAACCAGAGTACAGTTTTTAGAAAATTTAGGTTAATCAGTGATTCACTGTAGCTACAATAATATTCATGAGGATTGTTAATTTGTAAATAAAATAATAATTATATACCTACTCTACTGTCCTTTTGTTATTTACTAGTGTGGTAGAGTTGAATTATTTTATTTTTGAAAATAATCTAATTGGCATAATAAAGTTTATAAACAGTTATACAGATTTCCACAAATCCTAGGAATACGAGACTCACTCAACTCATAACAGCAAGGAGTATGTTAAAGTACACTTGCAACACTATCTTTTTTTGTCAATCAGTGTTTATTGGAGCATTGTGCAAATTATTATACTTTCTTCAGATCTAGATTTTTCTTAAAGTTAATAGCCATTTACGGAGAAGCTGTGATACCTGTCATGCTTTGTCAACTTTGAAATTGTGGACATGATATCATTAAACTAGACACTTCAACATATTTCTGATGATCCAGTTTATACATCTGAGTGTGTCCTGCCATTTTCAACACCACTTTAATACCATTTTGAGACTAGAAAGTCTATTTGCATTTCTTTAATTTAAACTAGATTGAGAAAAATGTAGTCAGAATCTAGTCATTAGCCAAATGTTTTCTCCTTAATACCATGAACTAGTCTGCATTTTAGAACTTCCCACTCTTATCAATTGTTTATCTCTCATATTAAAGATACTGTCTTAAAACCTTATAATGCCTTTGAGAAACATATATTTTAGTGTTTTTAGTTCATAGAATATCTAATATAATTTTTTTTTTGAGTTGGAGTCTTGCTCTGTCGCCCAGGCTGGAGTGTAGTGGTGCAATCTTGGATCACTGCACCCTCCACCTCCTGGGTTCAAGCGATCCTCCTGCCTCAGCCTCCAAAGTAGCTGGAATTACATGTGCCCACCACCAGGCCCAGCTAATTTCTGTATTTTTAGTAGAGACAGGGTTTCACCATGTTGGTCTCAAACTCCTGACCTCAGTTGTTCCACCCACCCTAGCCTCTCAAAGTGCTGGGATTACAGGCGTGAGCCACCGTGCCCAGCCTCTAATATAAAATTGATAGTGAAAAAAGATGCACAACCATCCAATTCATTACAATATCATGGAGCATCAGATCGAATCCACTCTTCTTCTTTCTCTGTCATACTCTACTAAAGTACCAATTGCAGTGTCTTATTAATGGTTTCATTTTATTGATTTGGTATTGCTACTTTAGTAAGTAATCAGGTAATATTGTCATCGGATACTCCAGGCACTCTTCACTGGGAATATAGAGAGAAGAGTAAACAAATAGGGAAAGTAAATCAATTCATGCATGAACACATATCGATTGGACATTATACATATAGAATTCCCTAATTTTGCCTCTCCTTAATCTACTCCCATCTTGTAACTCAGTTTTCAGCACCGTATTTTGTACATTGCAGCTTTGTGCAGCCATCCTCTTGCTCAAAGGCACTCAGCAGATGCTTGAGATTCTGCATATTTGTAGGTTGTTCCACCCAACATAGGAGCACCCTCTGTCTTTGATTCACCAAAGCAAGTTGATGCATATATATTTGCATTTTAATTGAATATTTAAATGCAGGTCTAGAAATAGGTGTTTATGAAGGTACATAAAATATTGAAATATAAGATATTCCATAATAAAAATAATATATAATCTCACCCAGTCAATAAATAAAAATGGACCAGTAGATTGTTCTATTGTATTTAAAAATAAAAACAAAACAACAGATTGAGATATGGACATGAAGGACACATGACCATATCTTAATTATTTTCCTCGATCCAGTTTTGTTAGTCTAGATTTTTGTGCCTACCAGGGGAAAGATTAGTCATTATGGTTATAACAAACTACTTAATGTTTTCAGCTTGGATTGCTCCATTAATGTAGTTAGTAAATTTGTGAGATTTTCTTAAAATTTGCTTTGATATACATATGAAGAACATGATTAATATTTTTTTCAGACAAAGTCTAAACTGACTCAAAAAGGGCACATTGATGCAGTCCATTTAAAGAACAAATTATTTACAAGAAATAATTGAGATATGTTGTTTTAAAGTTTCATAGACAGTATGGAGTTTTTGCATATGTACCATTTGCATAGAGAAAAGATAGTTAACTGAATCTTTTACTTAATTATCAGATAATTTTACACTTATTCTGTAATGCCTAGGCCAGGAAATACCCCACGACATTCAATAAAAGGGTTGCTAATGTTTTATAGAAATAACTTTATCAAAAATTGAGTCAATTCACTTTTTATTTGTTATTAGACAGATATGGATATTACTTCTATATTTGGATTATTCCTGGAATATAACTATGTATACTTTTAGAAATCTCATAAATTACCCTCTGTTTTAATCCTTGTTTCTAACAGTATTGTCTTTGAGGGTTTCATTATGATTCCAACTAACTTTAGTTTGGAACACAATAAAACAAGTGGACTCTTGAAATGATAATTATCTTTTCATATAATCAAGACATCAACAGGAGTTAGGCAAATAAAATGAGGAAAGCCATAAAATTAGTATCCAAATGTAAAAAGCATCTATCAAGACTTATTCATAATTCAAATCAATATCTCCCAAAGCCTTATCTTATTGAAATTAAAATGTATTATTTTCAATGCCCCTTTTCTCTTACCAAAAAAAGGAAGAAAACTATTTACCTTCATCATGCCTTGTTCTTCTTTACTTCCCATGTCCTTGGGAACTTACCAAAGACTTCCATAGTATGACTTCCACACTCAGCAACAGGACAATATTTCCAGATATACCTAGACTACCTTTTGTTTATTCTACGCCATTTGGGGATGATCATATAAATTCAGAAGTAATTTCTTATTAAAAAGATTTGAAGATATCTAGAGTATTTTGTAAATGTAAAAACTAAATTACCCTTTCATTAATCGCATAAAACTCAATTAGGTGAATTTTAAAATTCTTTTTAAAAAAGATATTGTTTCATTTTTAGACTAGCATTATTTTTGAAGAATGAACTACTCTAAATTAAGGATTTTGAAATATTTCAACTCAAACATTGTAGGAGGTTTAAAGGAAATTGGAGTCAGCATGCTATAGGAGTATTATCTAAAGGCAGACATGACTTCAAATTGTTCACCACACTTAGTAATTTAACTCTTGTAAAGTTATTGTTAACGAATTTGTTACTTGCTTGGGAAACCTTACGTAGACATATTTTAAAAGTAAAATCAAATTTTTGGAGTGAAAAGTATAATATATATTTGCTATTTTCCTTTTTCTTTAAAAATTTAATTTGTGAAAGAAGTGCCTCCATCTTTCCTTTTATTACTATGGCAGGGGTTGGGAGTGGAAAATTCTTGATTTAAAAAGTTGCAGCCTGTGATTCCATTAGGAAAGAGAATCAAATAATCAAGTTGTATATTGTGTGTAAAAGTAAAAAAGATCTGCCAAAATTCAATTTATTTTAAAACCTTATGTTGGAAGACTTTATATGAGGAGATATAGATCTTACCAGGTTAATCAAACTAAGAAGATACCACTTAAGGGAACTTTAACATTACAGATTTTTTTCAATCCAATATTATCAATATAGGACCTCTTGTACATGTAGCTCATAAGAGCTCCAGATTTCTTAAGAAAAAACCTTAACCCCCACCACACCCACAGATTACACCTTTTTGGTATGTACCTCATTAACTCCCAAAACACTAAATACTACAGAATTTGAGATATACTTGATCTACCAATTTTTAAATTTATCTAGGTTTTATAACAAATCTATATGATAGAATTTTCAATAGCTGCTGCCAGAAAGTGACCATAGTTTATCTTATTTATACCTCTTAGCTTTCTTTAATAAAAGAATCATTGAGTTTGCATTATGTCAAAGGGCCAAAAAACCTTGAGTTTTTATTATTCATTATTATGTGTGTTTCAGTTAAAGATATATGAAACATGACATTTCAATGTAAGCTTTTTGAAAAACTATTAAAATTAGAATCATCATCTAACTGCAGGTAAAGAAATGGTCCAGTTCAACCAAAAGGGAATTGTTTTGTAATGTTCTTTTTATTCTAAACTTAGAGCTTTAGTATGATACATTTTTACTGTTTACTTATATTTGAATTTTTATTTTATTTCATGTATATCTTTAGTGATAGGTGAATTTAAAATAATAGCATTTTCTTTATGGTTTGATAAGGCTATCAATTTGATCCTACTTGCCAGTTGTACTGCTTCATTGCGTACATGTTTTTATATTTGATGACATTGGTGAGTCAGTTGATGGCAACAGACCAAACTTATAATTGAGGCTTAAAAACTTCATAGCAATATCAGTAATAGAAAAACGGGGAGAAAAGATTCCTTTCAAATAATAAGTTTCACAAAAAACATGTACAGGACATGTCTGGATGAATAATTTTATTTGGAAATTTTGCTAAAGGTTTTACTATTAGTGACCAGGAGAATCAAGAAACCTGGCCCGTATTTGAAAATCTTGTACTAATGAGCTTTGTAAGCTGGTTCATTTGCTGTACCTTTTAGTTGCCCCTTTCCATATCAGCTAAATGAGGGAATTAGACTGAAGGTCTCTTTCAGCTCAAATTTTCTGCCAATTTTAAAGAGATAGCATGGTAAAAGAAAGAGAACAAGATTTTGTAGCCAAACTGACCAGGTTCATTTCTCACCTTGACTACTTTCTAGCTCTGTGTAACAAAATAGTTTGATCTATGGACTTTAATTTCTTCATTTGTTAATTAAAATTAAAACAACCTAATTATTGTCATTGTAAGAAAGGATTGAAATATTCTATGGAAAGCATCCAATTGTGTGTAAGGCCCTAAAGTGACAGCACCTCATTGTTCAACCAATGATAAATGCTATTATTGTTATTCTTCTGAGTCAATGATAGGACTTTTGTCACATTTATACATAAAAGGGGAAAGATCATTTGATGTAAAACTTAAGACTTTGGTAACTGTATTGACAAAGCAAATTCTGGGCAGATAAATGTTTAAAAGACTTATGAGGGAGATGAACATTTTTAGCATAGAGAACTGGCTTTGGTTAACAGTGGATGGCAAATTAGTCACTTGCACATACCCTAGTTGATACTTCCCATTTCTTCTCCTTACTGCAGGTGAACGCCCCTTCCACTGTAACCAGTGTGGAGCTTCTTTTACTCAGAAGGGCAACCTTCTGAGACACATAAAGTTACACTCTGGAGAGAAGCCGTTCAAATGTCCTTTCTGTAGCTACGCCTGTAGAAGAAGGGACGCCCTCACAGGACACCTCAGGACCCATTCTGGTAAGTGTCACCAACTCCTTGAGAAGAAAAGTAAAACAGGAAAACTTAGAAGAGTACTATTGAATGATAGTAACATGGCTTTGTTATGTAGTCGGTAATGACCAAGACAATCTTGTTATTGGTGTACATTAAATAATTGATAAATCTTGCAGGATGCATGTATCTTTCATTTTTAGACTTTACGGCTTGGCAGAAAGGAGCACTGTCAACTGAAGAGTATCTTACTTCAATATATTAGAATAAGAAAACAGCTGTTATATATTTTCTATAATTTTAAAATTTTACAATTAAGAATGCAGTCATTATGGTTAATCCAAGATAAGTGAAGATCCAGTATAATATCAGTTATGTTTCGAGTTACTGTAGAGGAAATGAAAACTGATTTTTTTTGACTGATACAGTGCTCAGGCTGGGATCTCTGTGGAAAATAAAATTGTTTCTTTTAAACTTGAAAATATACTCAGAAAATTGGCTTTTCGAGTATTTTATATTCTAATTTTAACTCTCCTTGTATCTTTAGCTCTCAAACAATAGTCATTGGGTACTCTGAAACTTTGCTGTGTTTCATAAATCATTTAAAAAATGTAGAATATGACAAATTCTTGGGAATAAAAGAAAAAAATAAATTTAATGTTTTTAAGAAATGCCAGAATATAACACATAAAAGAGAAAAGAATGATCAGAAATCCAAATGAATCTCATTTGACTTTTAGCATAAATTTTCATAACCAAGAAGTTAAAGGTGGAAAATTAATATAGAATACTCTCAAGCTAGTTTTATTTGTTTCTTCTGTTCATAATGACATACTAAATTTTAATTTTAATATGAAGATATGATGGAAGTGATATTTTAATCTACATTGACAAATCGTATTAGAGAGTGCTGAGGTTGTGAGATAATGCTTATTGTATTATCTCTCTTTACATTTTTCCTTTTTATCCTTAAGGCTGTACTAAGTTTTTAAACATGAATGTGAATCGTGTAAAACTATTTTAAACATTAACTCTTAAATTTGGGGCAGTTACAAAAAAATTAAATTAATGCAAACACGAAAACAAAATATTTTAAGTATATATTTTTCTTTCCTCCCTGAGTTAAAGGAATTCACTTACTTCCAACTACAACATTTTATGTTTTATTTTAAAATTGTGCTATCAAAATTATATCTTAAAGCAGTGTTTTCTTATGAAAAGTTCTTTATTGAAATATACTTCTAGGACATGATAGGCATTTCCATTAGCTTGTCATGTACTCTAGCCAGAGTTAAATTATTATTGAGTTGTCCAAACATTATATAACAAATAGATCTTCGTGAACATATAGTTTTGCCTCAACTTCATGTAATAAATAACTTTAAACATCCATCTTATTTTTGTTGAAATCATGTTGTTTTTAATATCATGGTTTTGTGTGTACATATTATGTTATCTGTCTTCATAAACAAAGACATGGTCCTTATAACTGCCATCGTGCTCATTTTGCAATTTAGTATATCAAGTTATGATTTTTGCAGATATATAAATAGATATATTCAAATTGGGTAATTCAAGAGAGTTTAATGGAGTCCCTATTGGAGAGGGGGCATCCAGCTACTGCATCACCAAGAGCTGATACCAATTCAATCATGCTTCCAATTGGAATCTAAAATACTAGCCATCCCTAATTTTCTTCATAATAGATAGAACATAAAACAGAGTTGCTACAGTTTTTGCTCCTCTAAGTTGCCAGAAAGCTCAAAATTGATCATTATAGTGTTCTTCTTCCAATCAAATACATCTTCCCCTTACTCTTACTCTGTTTAGCACATCGGCTAAATAAGGTTCTTTATCTGATAGGTGACTAAAATTTTATAGGTTCTGAGTCTTCGGTGGTCCTGTCTTTCTTATATTACTATAATTTTTCAATAACCAAAATTATGAGGTAAGTATTTCTAAAGAGATGCCCCAGTAAATCCCCTGAGTTCCAAGCATAGTTCTTCTTGTCCTCATTGTATAGCAACAGCTCCAAATCATTCTGGTAGTCTGGAAAAATTATAAGCCAGTCCCTGTTTATTTAGCAGCTTGACATGCCCAAAATAGCTAGTGAGTATTCTCAGCTTCCAATACAACAGGACCAGATCTCTGAAACCTGGAGAAAACATTCTTCTTTTGGGAACTGAGATCTCCAAAACCACCAATCTGAAGGTTTCAGGACACAGAGTAAAAAGCCTTTAAATGGGTTATTTGATGTTATTAGAGTGGCCACCTCTACCTTAACCTCTTTGTTCTCAGACTCATGCCTTCTGGCTATGGAGGAGATGATGTTGGCCATATATAATATCCTGTAGAACACACCCAAACTCCTCCCAGCTGGCAACCATACATGAACCACTCCTTTGGTAGGCCATTTCACCACTCCATGTAGCCAGCTGATTCTGTGTGGTGATACATGGGGTATGTATGACCCATGCATTCTATAGATTTGCGCTAATTGTATTTGTCTTGCCATAAAAAGGAGTTTCCTGGTTGAAGGCAGTATAGCAAGGAATACAAGGGTAATTGGTAAGGCATTCTGTTAAATCCATATTTGAGGGAGCTTGCAAAAATATTGAAGAGAAAGGGAAGGCATATCCTATTAGGATATATTTCTGCCTCTTCCATGTTGGAAAGAGTCAAATGTAACCTGCCTGCCACTACTTGCTTGGTTGATCTCTCTCAGGAATGGTGCCATATCAGGGTCTCAGCACTGGAAAATTGTGAGCTCAGCAGTGGTGGTAGTTAAATCAGTCATAGAGAAGAGGAAGTCCATGTAATTGAATCTGTTCATAGTTTCTGTGTCCCTACTCCCATTGTCACTTTGTACATTGGCCCACTGAGAAAGTACCAGGTAAGCCTGGTAAAGAGTCTGAGATTCATGAGATTACCCCCTTCAGATTACTAACAGCCTTCACTACAGTGAATGCCCTCTGGAGAGAATTTACATAGAATACCATATCATTACATTTTGTACCAATTCTGAAGGATATATCCTCATAACTCTTCCCTAGACTTTCTGTCACCAGTCGTCCAATTTTGTTCTTTGAAGTCCTTGACCATATGGCCATGCCATATGTCATTACCTCAACTATCTCTTCTTCCATGCAAAGTGTGCAGTTAAATGTACTAGCTGAATGAAATTCTGGCTGCTGGTGGGATAGCCACTGTATTTCAGGGCCCTCTCCCTTAAGTGGACCTGTAAACACCATAGTCATAGCTGGTATTGAATTCCAGACATTCTATTTACAAACCAGATCCACACTGTTTCATCCTCATCAACTAGTCACTGAGAATACCCCATGAGGCCATACATACGGGTTGAAGCAAAAAGATTGAGAAGCAGTAGTAGCAGGTATTAGGGACCTCTGAGCTACTTGCTCATACAGTATACTTGGGCTTCCTCAACTAGCATAAGAAGGCTGCAGGGAAGGAAAATATACCAAGGAAATGCTGTTGTGTACATTTTTGATATGTTGAATTAGATAACACCTAGTTCATGATGCACGGTTTGGGCTACATTGTCATTCCGAGTCCTATGGCCCAGTACACAGTCTTAACCAAAGTTCATTAGCAAGTAAGGAGTGGCTTTTCAAATGGAGATTAGTTATTGTTAGAAAACTGCATGTCTTTACTATAAAACCACGAGGGATCTACACACTGAGGCTTCCATTGACAGAGATGTCATACAGCATCTCCATTTGCCACAGACATTTCCAAAAATCATTGCATCTGCTGAATCTTAGAGTCAAAAGTAGAGGGAGCTTTCATCATGGCAGGGTATGATGTAGATCCTTTTCTTGCCCCAGGCTGCTCTCAAAATGGACAGCCTGTGGATTACCTAGTATATGCACCACAGAAGTATACCCAAATATGGTCTATGTTGCTTCTAAAATCTAGAGAGGCCACCACATTTTGTGCTTCATTTTCACGAAGGAAGGTGCAGGGTGCAGCAATTTCTCACTTACAATGGAGGATCTATTTCAGCATGCACAGATCAGTGGCCTGTAAAATTTTACCAATGCTGAAAGTCCCTGAACTTTCTTGGAGTTTATCTCCTATTCTATAGCATATATCTCTTACTGAGGCATCTCAGGTATTTACTATATCCTGCTCCCAAGTTCACTCAGTGTAATGTCATGAATATAATATTCCAGCTTGATGTTTTTTGGAATGTCAAGATGAACAAGATTTCTCCAGACTATGTTATGACAAAGAGAGCAGAGTTGACCTAGCCTTAAGGTAAGAGAGTAAAAGTATGTTGCTCCTCTAGTGTGAAGGGAAAAAACTGCTTCTGATTATCTTTGTTATACAAATTACCTTAAACAGAAATCAAGTTCATTGCTTCATACCTAGTGTCAGTGGCTATGTTAATATGCTCCAGTAAAGATTGTACAGCTAAAACTGCATCTACAGTTAGCATTATGAAATGATTAAGTCTGCATCAATGCCATGCCTTAGCCTAATAAACAGTTTAAATGGGTGTATAGTGTGAATTATCACCCCTAACATCTTTCAGTTTTCTGATGGTTTCACTACTGTCTGTTATTCATCCATAGAATTATTATTTCTTTTAGTTTGCTGTCTTGGGAGAGGTGATAGTTGTAGGGCTACGCTGTCCAATATGGTAGCCACTAGCCTCATGTGGTTACTAAACACCTAAATATGGCTAGTGCTACATGTTGAAATAATATTTTTTATTTTTCTTGTTTTTTTACTACAGTTTTATGTATATTAACTATACCTCAATGAAGTTGTTGAGGGGGAGGGAGAAGATACTACCATCCCATGTTTCTCTGCTTTCTCATCATTGCCCCACTACCAAAAACTAATGGTCTTAGTATTGTCCATTGTATTTAGCATTGCAATTCTATAACCCTTCAAATCAGATTCTGGAGTTGGTCTTCAGCCTTATTTGCCTTGAGGCTTAAGTGGATAAGGGACCCTTTTAAAGCTGACATAAACTTTCTTGTATTTTGCCTGTATTCTGACTTGAGTATTCCAGGCACTCAGTTTGTCTTCCACCTTTGTGTGCTCCTTAGGGCCATCAGCCATATCATGCTGTAATCTTTATACACTACCATTGCTGCTTTAGCAAGTAATGCCATGGCTCCCAAAGCCTTACCCTGCGTCGTACATCCTTCCATGCTACCACCAGTGACAATTTGAATAATCATCTTGCCAGCACATGCCTTGGATCACTACTGTCCCATTAACTCTGTGATAAGGAGGCTATCCTGCTATCCTTGAATTCCATTTTGACTGGAGCTTTGGGCCATTTCTGATATCAGTAACTCTTTATCAGTCAGGATCCTGACAAGAAAACAGTAAGACACTCAAGTGGGGAAAATTTGGGGACATGCATGAAAGACAAATATTCACAAAAGAATGGTTAGGAATAAGGGTAGTCTACAAAAAGATGGCTGGGTTTACAGTAGTAGGAAGCCATTTACTAGCTCTAGCCTGAAAGAGAAAGGGGATCTAGAGGTCACTGGAATTAAGAGAAATAGGAAAGGGTCTTGAGCACTGACCTTCGGTAGAAGAATGTAGCCTTTGCTAACCTGTGACTTGGGGAATAAACACCCTGACCTCACTCTTTCCACCCTTCAGTCTCTTACTGGTGCCTCACATTGACTAAACTTAACCAGAAGCCAGAGGACAACGGAGCCAATTGATTAAAGCCAATAAAAATTAGCTTTTGCGGGAGCAGAGCAAAGAAGTGTGGAAAATGGCTATGGCAGCCAAACAGAGAATGTGCCACAGATTAACTAAAATTTAAGAACTAGTGCTTAAAATTACTAGTATAGAGCAGGGGTCCTCAACCTCCTGGCTGCAGACCAGTACCAGTCACTGGGTGGCCTCTTACAAATTGAGCCGCATAGCAGGAGGTGAGCAGCAGTGAGCAAGCATTACTGCCTGAGCTCCTCTTCCTGTCAGATCAGTGACAGCATTAGATTCTCATAGGCACGCACCCTATTGTGAACTGCGCATGCAAGGGACCTACTTGGTGTGCTCCTTATGAGAATCTAATGCCTGATGATCTGAGGTGGAATAGTTTCATTCTGAAATCATTCCCCCACCACCTGTCATTTGTGGAAAAACTGTCTTCCATGAAACTGGTCCCTGGTGGTGAAAAGGTTGGGAACTGCTGATATAGAGTATTAAGGGGAATATAATGATTTTAAATTTAATCTCTGTTTTTATGAATATTATTATTGGTAGAAAGTATTAGCCTCCCTTTTTCCTCCAGGTAATAACTGTCCATTGTTTTATTGTATTGTTATTTATCATGTTGGATATTAATACCACATTTCTGCTTCCTATATTGTAGACTTAAAAATTTCTCATCTTGATTTTCATTTAGTAGGTTGGTAACAACAAGCCCAGCACAGATGTGCATGAATACATTACTGTGATAGATGTTACAGTTTAAGAAATGAAAAATACTTTGAAAAATATCTGGAATACAATATGTATTAAGTAAATACTAGGGGTGTGTGTGTGTGTGTGTGTGTGTATTTCATTTACCTTGCATGATCCCTGTACAAGGTGGTATTTTTCTGCTTAGGAACTCTTCTTGTCCTCTAGAGGACACCAAGTAGTGTCTTGGTTTTTATTGCATAGGCCTGGTAGTTAGGTTATTTATCTGGAATTTCTTGAGCTTTCCCTAGACAGTAGACACTGTACTAAGCATTTTCCATGGTTTCTTTAATAAAAAACCTTTTTATCTAACATAAGCAAAAAGAGATTGTAGATTAATAGCAATAAGTCTAGTAACATGGAAAATGCAGTTTTGAAAAGTTTTTACTTTAAAAAATATAAATGTAATATATATTTTGTTATTTATTTTTTTATTTAAGGCCAAGCTCTTTTCTTTCAGTGAGAAATTTGGTTGTTGAATAGCATGTAATTTTTCTGGTCTAAACCATACCCATAACACATTATCTTTAGTTACATTTTCAGTGTCTTTAAGAACTTAAAGATCCTGTGAAGCAGTCAGACTTCTATTCATTTTTAAAGATTTTTTCACTAATTTTTATGATTATTTTTGCCCACATTCACTTCTTTAGAAATATTTTTATCAGCTTATCTTTATTGAATCTTTTCAAAGTGGTAAAATTTGGTTTCATAGAAACAGTATTCTTTTTGTAATTATTTCGTTGGAAATAATTATAGCAGGTAAACTGGCATAAATAGGTTTTGCTACAGTCATACCTGACTCTTAGTGACTACACATACAGCTCAACTGCTAGAAGTATACTCGGACGTACCAAAGAAGAACGTATGAGCTCCAAGAATTCAGTGTTTTTGGTTATCCATTAGTATGTTTTACAAAGAGAATGGAGAGGCAGGTTCATTATGAGAACCTCTCACTTTGGTTATTCCTATTGTACACTGAGGCAGAAAAGAAGTCACACAGGCAGACCCTGGATTTAAACTAAGGCAGCAAACTCCACAATTTGTGCTCATCACACCCTGCTAAGTGATAAATGACACAGCTCGTATGTTTATTCTATAAAGCTTTAACTCTACTGAAGTAACTCCTAATGATTGAAAAAAAAAATGTGCTGTCTAGAAGTCAGGAGATCAAGGCATGTGGGTTTTAGGGTGGCCTTGCTGCAAATTAGCTATGGGACGTTGTCAAGTCACTTAATTTACTCTTTAAATCTCCTGGTGCTGCTATTATATGATGCGAACTACAATGTGTTATCTTTTCTCCCTGGATTTTGCTAATCAGTCACTACTACCACACCTTAAAGAGTAGTCTCCACTCCCTCCAAATTACTTCTTTTTGTTTGTTTGTTTGTTTGTTTTAGTATTTTGCCCTAGTTTATTTTAAAATAAGTTTTCATGAAACCGAATTAACATCTTAAGGTTTATATTGAGTCTTCACAGTGCCAATATTTCTTGTCTACTAATGTCTGATATCCTACATCTGATAGCCTTGAAGTGTCTAAGAAAGAAAAAAATAATAACTTTTTTTATGTGAAATGTAAATGACATTTTAAGAAGGGGAAGGAGAAGAGGGAAAGGGGAGACAAATAAATAATTGAAATGTTTTATGAACAAAGATCAGCTAAAGATTACAGTCAAGTTGTGGCCGGGCACGGTGGCTCACACCTGTAATCCTAACACTTTGGGAGGCCGAGGTGGGCGGATCATGAGGTCAGGAGATCGAGACCATTCTGGTTAACATGGTGAAACCGTGTTTCTACTAAAAATACAAAAAATTATCTGGGCGTGATAGCACACGCCTGTAGTCCCAGCTACTCGGGAGGCTGAGGCAGGAGGATTGCTTGATCCCGGGAGGCGGACACCAGCCTGGGTGACAGAGCGAAACTCCATCCTCCCACCCCCCCCAAAAAAAGATTACAGTCAAGTTATTAGCCCACTGAGAAAGTGAACTGCACTTTTAAAAACATGTCCCAGAGATACATTACATAAAGTTATAGGAAAATAAAAGGTATTAGTCTATACTTGAAACTCTTGCTATTCAGTAATCTTGAGATTTACTATACAAATCATCTACTTTGCTTCATGTGAACTTTTAACATAGTATTTAAGTGACTTTTTTTTTTTTCTGAGACAGGGTCTCACTCTGTGGCCCAGGCTGGAGTGCAGTGGCGTGATCTCGGCTCACTGCAACCTCCGCCTCCTGGGTTTAAGTGGTTCCCCCGCCTCAGCCTCCCAAGTAGCTGGAATTACAGGCGTGCACCACCACGCCCAACTAATTTTTGTATTTTTAGTAGAGACGGGGTTTCACCGTGTTGGCCAGGCTGGTCTTGAACTCCTGACCTCAGGTGATTCGCCTGCCTCAGCCTCCCAAAGTGCTGGGATTACAGGCGTGAGCCACTGCGCCCACCCTTAAGTGACTATTTAATGATGAATCAATGCTTCTGCTACAAAAATGATTTTTATTAGTTTTGTCTCAGATTTTTCAGTTTTATAGGTGATTATAGTTCTTTCATTCTTATAAATTTGATTACTATATTTTGTACATTATATATATTACACCTTTTACTTTCTTTATTATACCTAATACTCTGAGGGGATAGTGTTTAAATTAAGCCCTGGACCCCTATTAGTCAAAATAATATTTAGCATACTTGTTATTTTAAAAATTCTAGGAGGAAATAGAATTACATGTTTTTTCTAATTAGCATTTCAGGTATATTTTGTATATACTCTTATGCTGTACCCAAATTAAAGGTTTAAAACAGAAGAGTGTATAATTTTAATATATGAGAAACATATATGTGTGTTAAACATTTCTTTTTATAAATTATAAAGAGAAAAATGATGAGTAAGAATGTGTCTCCATAGAGGGGAACAACACATACTGGGGCCTATTGGAGAGTAGAGGGTGGGACGAAGGAGAGAATCAGGAGAAAATAACTAATGGTGCTAGCCTTAATACCTGGATGACAAAATAATTTATACCAAAAAAAAAAAAAAACCCATGACACAAGTTTACCTATATAACAAACCTGCACATGTACCTCTGAACTTAAAATAAAAGTTAAAAAAACAGAATGCATCTCATAGAGTCTCAAAATATTTTTCTACCAGATGAAAAATTCAATTTTGGCTAAGAATTATACTGGTTCAGATTACTATGAAAATTATGTATTGCTCAAAAACGGAATCATCCAAATACATTTGAAAATTAAAAATCTTAATTTCCCAAAGACATTTATTCATTGTCTCTTATAAATCTAAAAAAGCCAAATACTTATTAAGAGAACCATATATTTAAGATACTTGTTCTAAAACTAAGTTATTTTTCAAAGATTTATAAGTAAAATGTCCTTAAGTAAGAAAATAAGTAAAGGAATTGTTTTCTAATATTTTTGTTCATCCTCATTTTAAGAAAATAATTATTTCATATTTTCAATAATGCTATTAAATTCTAAGTAAAACCTCAGCTTTCAATTGAACCAGCATTGAGCATATGATATAATTATTTATTTGTGTATATCACTTAAAAATAACTACTTTGTAAAATTAGTTATCTGTATCACATAACTTTGGAGTAAGAGAGATTTGAGGAACCTTACAATGTCAAAGTTCTTTTGACTTAGGGTTGATATGCCTAAACTATTCTGAACATGTATCTATCTTACTTCCAAACACTTTAGGAATGTTGATTTTTACAACACTACTTTGTGACCTACTCAGTGTTTGACAATTTTCAGCTTATGAAGTTTGTTGTTTATGTCTAATTGTCAGTTTAAAGCTATTCTGTTCCATAAAAAGGAACTGGACCAGATGTACCATATAAATCCCCATCTGTTAAAACAACAACTTCCTCCCAACTAAAAAACATTTTTAGTATATATATATATATGGACTATCTTTATTTTTCAAGTCCCTATAGTTCCAAGGACTATATTTTATCCACAAAAATAGCTCAGAAATATTGAATGCTTATACTAGTTCCTAATATTGACTTTTAAAAATCCCAATTAAATAGCCTAGTTTATATTTTGTTCAGTTATGCCTTCACCTATTATGAGAAAATTCCTGTAAAGTATTATGACTCATCCTATGTTTAAATATATTTCCACATTTATCTTTAATAGAATTTCAAACTAACATGCATTTTTAAGGTATATGCTACATGCCCTCAGAGAAACTGGTAAGACAAGATGGTCTTCTTCATATCTTCAAATTTCTTAAAAATAAAAAAAAAAAATTACCATGTGGCTTGGATCAAGATGGAGCTCATCTTTGACCATATTGTTTAAAGAAACAACATAATGTTAGTTGCTCTAGTTTTAAATCTCATAGAAATAGTCTCTTAATTTGTCATGAGAGTAGTGTACCCTCAAACGCATTGTTGTCTCTTACTAAGGAATTTATTATCACAATCACATCGTTTCTTTAAATTGACAACTGATCAGTGATTTCATAAGCTAAAGTATTTTCTAATGTACTGTAGCATTTGTCATCACTTACTCTCTTTTATAATACACCAGTTTCTATTTTGTTTTATTTAAATTATCTTCCCTTCTTCTTTTGAGTGTTGTGGTCTGCTCTTTCTTGTCTTTCTTATAATTCTTTTTCCCTCAATCCTTCATCCATTTGCTTCCATATTACTTCACTTTTTTTTTTTGTAATGACTTCCAGAAAAAAAGTACATAAATAACTTCTTCAGTGTATGTATCATGCAAAATGTTTTGTATAAGATGGGATAGCTGCAAGTTATACACCTTTGGATATTAATAGTAGTGATAGTTTTGTGGAATGATTGAGGACAAAAATTTCTGAAAATTAGGTACTTGGCCAGAAGATTATGATAATCGGTTGTTTTCCTATTTACATTATTTTAAAACCAGACCAGCTGGACACGGTGGCTCACGCCTGTAGTCTCAGCACTTTGGGAGGCCGAGACGGGCAGATCACGAGGCCAGGAGATCGAGACCATCCTGGCTAACACGGTGAAACCCCGTCTCTACTCAAAATACAAAAAAATTAGCTGGGCGTGGTGGCAGGCCCCTGTAGTTCCAGCTACGGGAGGCTGAGGCAGGAGAACGGCGTGCATCTGGGAGGCGGAGCTTGTAGTGAACAGAGATCCTGCCACTGCACTCCAGCCTGGGTGACAGAGTGAGACTCTGTCTCAAAAAAGAAAAGAAAAGAAAAGAAAACAAAACAAAACAGACCACCATGACTTTTTTTTTTTTTTTAAGGATAGAAACATTGAATTAAATTATGCTGGTTTAGAAATTGAATCCAGTGCAGCTCATTCATAATAGTGATGGTGCATTAAATGTAGTATAATTTGTCTTGCAGGCTTCTCATGAGAAGGAACTATTTTAAACTGATTGTAGACCTGGCACCTGGCCCACTTTCTGGGTGATCTCCCAAGTGTGAACTTTCCCTACCCTTAGCCCCTCCTTTCCTTCCTGGAGGTGGCTGATAGAGGTGGATTATACTGATAATTACACAAGCAGTGTCAGTTGCACACATGATTTGCATAACTGTGCTGTGCTGATTTCATCCATCAAATTCTGATACTGATGCCTTTGGTGCCTCACTGTATGCTTTGCAATAAACACTGAAGAAAGGAGATGGGATTAATATTTTCATTCTTGACTCTTAAAACACACACTTGAGGTCCTACTCATTGAAATTTACCTAGAAGGTAAAAGCCACTTTCAGTCAGGCCGGCTGTAAGACAGCCCATTTGATTTCCACCAGGTAGAACGCCTCTTTCCCCCTACCCCAGACCAATAACCATTATGTATCTACTCTTCGTTATTGTTTCTAATAAAAGAAAGTAAAACTTTTAATAGCATATACAATCACATCTTTTATGAATTGTAGTAGTCATGCTTCTTTCAGACCCTATTTCTAGAAGGAATTAATAAGCCTTTCTTTTATAATTCTATGCAGCTCTTTTCACTTTGGTGCAAGTCATTTAGAAGATCAATTTATTGTAGGAAGCTTTCCTTCCTCCTTTATTATCAGGAGTTCTAAAGAAATGGACAAGATTCTTAGCTGCTTTCTCATTGTTCTGAATAATCTACACTGTCCTCATTCCAAAGCTTGCTACCACAGTTTTGTACCCTGCATGGATTTAGTGTGGACAGTCTTAACTTTGGCCATTTCACATTTTCCCTTCCACACCATGAGTCTGCAGGCCTGGCATGTTTGGAACTCCACAACAGAAGTGGAGAGGCTGCACGCAAACTTTATTACTCACCTAGTATCCAGAAGGGCATGACACACTGGGACTTGTGTGTGTGTGTGTGTGGTGTGTTTTGTTTGGATGTTTTTTTCTAACCTAACCTTTACCATTTCTTTCAATTTTTCCTACTTGATCTGTGTATGTGAGTCAAAGAAACCTGTTCATCCACAGCCTATACTATCTTGCCAAATACTGTAAGAAAACTCTCAAATGGTAGAAAATCAGACAAATAAGAAAGATAAAAACCAAGTATCATTCATCATAAGCATGTAAAATATATTTAGAATATAATTAAAGTTTTATGTAAGGTATCAGAAATCTATCAGAGTGGAGTCCTTTTAAATTGTATAGAAATATGATGATAATGATTATAAGCAACTGGATAAGAATAAAAGGTCCTAGATCCAGCATCTCAAAGAAGAGATTTTGCATCTTCATCCCTTATATACCATATTGATTGAATGAATTAATGGACAGATTATTTTATTTGAATATTCTTATATTAACTAGAAAGGTTTTAAAGATTCATGGAGGTCAATGGTGGTTGAGTATGTTTCCTAGTACATGATAAGTATTAGTCTATTACAAAAATTAAAAATTATGGGTATATTTAATAAGTTCTTATTTTGTGACAAGCATTATGTTAAGGGCCTTATTTTGCAGATAAGTAGAGTCAAGTTTAAAGAAAGAGATGTTACCTAATGTCCTCACGCAGTCATTTTACATATTACATGTATGCCTCCTCAGCTTATACAGATTATACTTTCACCTTATTTTTCTTTTATTTTCCATGGTTTGGCAACAATGTATTATTGGATTAGATTTCAAACACACACATACACACCCACAGCACAATAAAACAAGAATTGTATCATGCTCTTATAAACAAAAATCTATCATGAGGCTTGAAGACATATAGCAGCTTAGAACAAAATAAATCTAACAATAGTATAAATTATATTTGTGAGAGTACTTTAAAAATTATGATCTGATATAGCAAAAAAAATCATACCTTGATAACTATATGTTTACATTTTATCCAACTTCCAATATACTCATGAAAGCTGAGATATAAGCTCTGGTCTGTCTGAATCTAGGGTCTCTGCTCTCAGCCACTATACTCCTGCTTCCCAATCTATTCTCCAGATAGCAACCAGAATGTTACTTTAAAATCTGATTTAAACCATGTCACTCCTCTTCTTAAAATATTTTAATGGTTTTCCATTGCTTTTATAATAAAATCAAACTACTAATCATGGCCATTGGTGGTTCTGCCCACTTCTACTGTCTGATCTTCTACTACTTTACGCCTCACTCTGGGTTCTTTGCAACCCGAGGTTTCTTTATTCTTTCCTACTGTTTTTGAACTAATGGATGATCCTAGAAGTCAACACCTTCAGCGTTTTCCCAAGATCTTGGCATAGTTGCCTTATTATCTTTCAGATGTTAGTTTAAATGTCATCTCTTTGAAAATAGTGGCATCCATAAGCAACCTACCAGAAGCATCCCCTTAGTTCTATTTTGCTATCTCTATCTTAATAAAAAGCTTGAATCAGAATCTGTGGTTATGTTGGTGTTTAGTTTATACACATGTTGTCTGTGCCATCCCACCTCACTCGAATGTAAGCTCTGTGAGATTGTGGACTGCAAGACTGTCTTTGTGGAGCTTACATTTTAATAAGGGGAGACGGGCAAGAATCAGTTAAAAAATCATATAATATGTTAGAAGATGTTGACTGCTACAGGGAAAAAAAAAGATTTTCCACTTATTGATCATTTATTGTGTGTTAAGTACCTTGAGTTTTCCATATGGATTAAAAAAAATATATACTCACAGAAATGCTGTGAGTTAGGTACAACTATTTCCTAATTTAACGTAACCTAGGCTTCACACACAACTGGCATTAGGGTTAGAATTTGAGATCCAAGTAAGAAACCACATTCTGGATATACAAATACATATTCTTTATATGAATATTCCATAAGTTAGAGCAAGCTATTTGCTTCTGAATTGATTATTTTGGGAGCTGTTTGCTATCCAAATTATTTGCTTACTCATAAGCCTGAGTTCTTGTAATATAGAAAGTCAGATGAAAGGAAATACAAGCATAACTTCCTTTATTGTGCCTTACTTTATTGCACTTCACAGATAACTGCGTTTTTTACAAATTGAAAGTTTGTGGTAACCCTAATTCCAAGCAAGTCGGTTGATACCATTTTTCCAATGACACATGCTCACCTCATGTCTCTCTGTCACATTTAAATAATTCTTGCAATATTTCACATTTGCTCATTATTATGTCTGTTTTGTGATCTGTGATCTTTCTTGTTATTATTATAACTGTTTTAGGATACCACGAACCACACCTATACAGGCTGGCAAACTTGAATTTTTGTGTTGATAAATGTTGTGTAAGCTCTGACTGCTTCACCAACTGGCCAGTTTCTCTGTCCCTCTGTCCCTCACCTGGCCTCTATATTCCTGAAATGCAAAAATACTGAAATTAGGCCACTTAATAACTGTACAATGGCCTCTAAGTGTTCAAGTTAAAGGAAGACTCACATTTCTCACTTTAAATCAAAAGCTAGAAATGATGAGGCTTAGTGAGGAAGGTATGTCAACAGGCAAAACATGCCAAAAGATAGGCCTCCTGTGCCAAACAGCCACATTGTGAATGCAAAGGAAATGTTATTGAAGAAAATTTAAAATGCTACTCCAGTGAACACACAAGTGATAAGAAAGCAAAACTGCCTTACTTCTGATTATGGAGAAAGTTTCAGTGGTCTGGATAGAAGATCAAACCAGCCACAACATTCTCTTAAATCAAAGCCTAATCCTGAGGAAGACCCTAACAATATTCAATTTTCTGAAGGCCACGAGATGTGAGGAAACTGCAGAAGAAAAGTTGGAAGCTAGCAGAGGTTGGTTCATGAGGTTTAAGGAAAGAAGCCATCTCTATAACATAAAAGTGCAAGGTGAGGCAGCAAGTGCTGATGTAGAGGCTACAGTAATTCATCCAGAAGAACTAGCTAAGCTAATTAATGAAGGTGGTTGTGATAAATGGCAGAGTTTCAGTGTAGACAAAACAGCCTTCTATTAGAAGAAGAGGCCATCTAGAGAGGAGAAGTCAGTGCCTGGGTTAAAAGCTTCAAAGGACAGGCTGACTCTCTTGGTAGGACAATGCAGCTGGTGACTTAAAGTTGTAGCCAATGCTCATTGACCATTCCAAAAATTCTAAGGTCCTTAAGAATTATGCTATATCTACTCTGCCTGTGCTCTATAAATGGAACAGCAAAGTCTGGGTGACAGCACATTTGTTTACAATATGGTTTAGTGAATAAGCCTATTGTTTAGACACTGCTCAGAAACAAAAATTCCTTTCAAAATATTACAGTTCATTGACAATGTACCTTGTCACCCAAAACTTCTGATGGAGATGTACAAGCAGATTAATGTTGTTTTCATGGCTGTTAATACAGCATATATTCTTCAGCCCACGCTCAAGGGTTAATTTAAACTTTCAAGTCTTATTACTTAAGACATACATTTTATAAGGCTAGAGGTGCCATAGACAGTGATTTCTATGATGGATGTGGGCAAAGTAAACTGAAAACCTTCTGGAAAGGATTCAGAATTCTAGATGTCATTGAGAACATTTGTGATTCATCTGAGAAGGTCAAGATATTAACAGGAGTTGGGAAAAAGTTGATTTCAACCTCATGGATGACTTTCAGGAGGTTCAGGACTTCAGTGGATAAAGGAACTGCAGATGTGATAGAAACAGCAACATAACTAGAGTTAGAAGTGGAGCCTGAAGATGTGACTGAATTACTGCAGTCTCGTTATAAAATGTGAATGGATGAAGAGTTGCTTCTTACAATGGGCAAAGAAAGTGGTTTCTTGAGATCGAATCTTCTAGTGTAGATCCTGTGAATATTGTTGAAATGACAACAGAGGATTTGGAATATTACATAAACTTAGTTGACAAAGCAGTAGCAGAGTTTGAGAGAGTTGAATCCAATTTTGAAAGAAATTCTACTCTGGGTAAAATCGTATCAAATAGCATCACATGCTACAGAGAAGTCCTTTGTGAAAGGAAGTGTTGACTGATGTGGCAAACTTCATTGTTGCCTTATGTTAAGGAATTGCCACATCCATCCCAGCCTTCAACAACCACCAGCCTTATCAATCAGTAGCCATCGACATCAAGGCAACACCCTCCTCCACCAGTGGAAAGATGATGAGTCTGAAGGCTCAGATTATCTTTACAGTGTATGTGTATGTATGTGCAGTGCAGTGGTGCAATCACAACTGACTGTAGCCTTGACTGTCTGGGCTCAAGTGATCCTCCCACCTCAGCCTCTCAGCCTCCCGAGTAACTGGGACCACTGGTGCATGCTACCACACCCTGGCTAATTTTGCTAGTTTTGTATTGTTTATAGAGATGAGATTTCATCATGTTGCCCAGGCTGGTCTAGAACTCCTGGGCTTTAGTGATCCTCCTGCCTCCACTTCCCAAAGTGCTTGTATTACAGGTGTGAGCCACTGCACCTGGCCTCTTTAGCATTTTTTAGCAGCAAAGTATTTTTAAAATTAAGGTATATACATTGTTTTTATACACAATTCTGTTGCACACTTAATAGATTATGGTATGATATAAACATAACTTCTATCTGAGTGACCCACTTTATCAGGATATATTCTTTATTGTGATGGGGTGGAACTCAACCTGCAATATCTCCAAGATATGCCAGTGGTTTGATTAATTGAAATCTCATTAAAAGGAAGAGTCTATATAATTTGGATTATTCATTTAATCTGTATGCCTAGTAAATTCTTACTAGCCTTTCTGTTTACTTTTTATTCCCCATAATGAATATTTTGCACATTTGTAATAATGAAACAGTATCAAATATATCTGCTGTTTCCCTTGTGTCTTAGATTTTACTGTACCATCTCCTGGCCACATTAAAACTTTTTGCACCTTTATACTTTCTCTAGCTCTTTTTCCTAAATTCATCAACCAATCTGTTAAATGACTTATGTTACACTTACAGTGAAAGAAGTGAGCATCCCTAGGGGTTAAATGGTTTTTGAATATAATGTTTATTATTATGATTATATATGCCACATTTTAGGCAGCTGGTAAATACATGTTGTATGAATAAACAATTGATATGTATATATTTTTAACAGAAGTGTAAAAATTTAGAGAGATTAAGCATCTACTTCCATTTATTGTTTAATTATTTTATTAGCAATGTTCAAAATAAGCAATAAAATATTTTATGTGGTAAGGAAATGCTGGGGAAGCATAACTGTTACACTGCCAAAATATGTTACAATGTATATTTTGCTTCGTCCCATTTTGCTTCCTTATTTTAGGTGTTAAGTTCAAGAAATCTGAGGAAATGTGTTAACTTAAAGTGATAGAAAAGTAGATGCCAACAACTTAGACTCTTATAAAAATAATCTTACATAAGACATTTTCTTGTTTGAATTGTGACTATTTTTCTTCCAGAGTGCCCAAAACAATAAAAAGCAGTTTTCTTTTGCTTTCAAATGTCTGTGATTTTACTTTAAAGGTCCCATACATACTTTTTTATATACAATTTTTCCTGGTGTTTGTGTCCTGTATAAGATTTTCAGTTTACTTTGAACATTGTTATTACATTATAAAACAAATGGCAATATTTGGATGGTTAATAATGTTAGCTCTGTGGATGCAGGAATGACATTTGTCTCGTTCAGTGCTGTATCTACAGCACCTAGAACGTGGACATGGAATACTGGAGGTGCTCAAGAAATTTATGTTAAAGGAACTAGATGTCTTTGCTCAACACCTGGCACATCCTGTTAAAGAAGAGTAAACAGTATTAACACAGCCTGGCGCAGTGGCACACGCCTGTAATCCCAGCACTTTGGGAGGCTGAGGCGGGCGGATCACTTGAGGTCAGGAGTTCAAGACCAGCCTGGCCAACGTGGTGAAACCCCGTCTCTACTAAAAATACAAAAATTAGCCAGACGTGGTGGCACGTGCCTGTAGTCCCAGCTACTCAGGAGGCTGAGGCTGGAGAATCATTTGAACCCAGGAGGTGGAGGTTGCAGTGATCCGAGGTGGCACCAGTGCACTCCTGCCCTCCAGTCTGGGCGACAGAGCGAGACTCCATCTCACCAAACAAAAAAAAAAAAAAAAGAAAAATAGTACTAATGCTGGCTTTTTTTTTGCCTCTTTTATTGTCATAATGCAGTGTTCTTCACAGTATGTTCACAAAAAAATATTTACTTGCGAAATTAATAGTTGCTAAAATAAAAAATTGTACTATATTTAGTTTTTTTGGAAAACGTTGGGTTAAATAAGTTTTGTCTGTTTGCTTTTTTGTTATTGAAGCTAAACATCCAAAAGAACCTCTGATAATGCTCATATACATTGTAAATCTCTAAGAAATCTGCATTAAATATACTGTCTCACAGACTTGTTTAAACATTTAACATTCATCCCCCCACCCTCAACTACTTTAGTAAACTGTCCTTAGAGAGATAAAAGTTATTTTACTGTAATGATTTTTGACAGACACCTAATTATCCTGAAATGATTTCATATAAAGAGATTCTCTTTGAAAGATATCTCACTTTTCAGGTAGAGATCTGTTTCCTTTCTAAAATATTCTTTTCCCACTTAATCATTTCATTAAAAAAATAAACCTAGAGTCATTAAGACTTCTAAAGATTTAGAAAAAAAAAGTAGGTGTGGATATTTCTAAAAAATTCCATATCAGGCAGAATTTTAAAACTTAAAACAGTAAAGAAATCACAACGTGGGAAACTACCAACAATTTTGACCACAAGAAAATGTAAAACCTCTAAACCTCAAAAAAAGCATAAGTCAAATAGGTAAGTCAAGAAATAAGTCAAAGGCGTTAATATATACAGAGATCAATTTCTGATCAATTTATTCAGAAAGACAAAAGCAGTAAGACCATAATTTAAAAATAGGTGAAGGCATGAAATAGATCATTTGAAAGGACAGCAAACAAATGTCTAATGATTTTTTTGTTTAATATTTCGTTTCACTAATGCAAGTGTAAAAGAAATACAAATTACATTTTATTACCTAGCTCAGTGTTTCCCAAACTTTCTTGGTTCATTGTGACTGTAGTGTCTTAATAATTTTGTCAAAGTTCATTTAGGGCTAAAAGTAATACTGAAAAGTTTCATTTTATTAAGTAGTAAGGTCCAAACAACTTAATAATGATTTGTGCCCTAACAACTTTTTATCCATTTGGGAAAATTATAATATATAAATTGAAACCCAAAACAGGGTTTTGTTTTGTTTTTTCATCTTAGATGGCCACAGTTACTTACTAATGGGATGGTATGCCTTGTTGGGCATACCATTAGTAAGTGAAATCGAAGACTGATTATATGAGAAGATCAATAAAATAGATAAACCTCTAGCAAGATCAATCAATATTAAAAGAACACATAATTTGGCATCATCTAGAATAAAAACCGGAAATCACTAAAAATCCTGTAGCCATTGGAGGCATAATATGGGGATATTTTGAACAACTTTATGTCAAATTCAGCTAGATGAAATAAAAAATAGAAATTATTGACTCTCATTCAGGAAGAAATATACACTCTGAATAGCCCACATTTATTCCAGGAATTGAAATTGAAGTTAAAAACCTTCCCACAAAGAAAACTCCAGATGACTTCACTGGTAAATTCTGTCAAATATTTAAGGAAAATGTAATTTAAGAAAAACACTAAAGGAACAAATTCCTCCAGACAATAGAAAAGGGAGGAGGGAGGCCTCCAAACAAATTATTATATTCAGCATTACTCTGACACCAAAATCAAAGACATTACAAGAAAAAAATACTGCATAACGGTATTCTTCATGATGCAGATGCAAAAGTCCTTAAAATTTTAACACATTGAATCTGGAATATATAAAAAGGATAATATATCATGACCAAGTGGGATTTATCTTAGGAATTTAAAGTTGGTTTAACATTGGGTGAAAAAACATCACAATGTAATTTTCCATATTAACAGACTAAAAAAGAAAAGATTTTAGTCTGTCTTTAAAGTTTCAGAAAAAGTATTTGACATAATTCAGCTTTCACATATTATAAAAATTCTCTGCAACTGAGTAGAAAAGAACTTCCTCATCATGATGGTTATCATTTGATGAGTGTAATAAGAAAATATGGACACTTAGGTTGATGCCATATCTTGGCTATTGTGAAATGATGTAATAAACATGGTAATGCAAATATTTCTTTGACATACTGAGATTAAATCAAATGTATTTCTATATGCTAGGAATGAACAGTTGGACATTGGAATTTAGAAAGCAATGCCATTGATTATAACATCCCAAAATGTATGAAATACTTAGAGTTAAATTAAGTAATATGTGTAAGAACTGTGTACGTAAAATCATAACACATTGCTGAGATAAATTAAAGACTTCAATAAATGCAGAGATGAGACATTATCATGATTTAAAAGATTCAGTATTGTTAAGATGTTGGTTTCTCCTGAAATCGAGTCTGTCAGTTCAGGGCAATTTCAGTCAAAATCCCAACAAGCTTTTTAACAGAAATTGGCAAACTGATTACAAACTTTGTTTGGAAATGTAGACCTAAAATAGCCAAAATAATTTTGAAAAGCCAAATTTGGATGACTTGCACTGCCTGATTCCAAATCTATTCCTAAGACTTGCTCTGTTGGTTTAAGTATAGACATAGAGGTTAATGGAATGGAATAGAGTCCAGAAATAGAACCCAAATTGGTCAGTTGATTTTCAACAAAGGTACTGAGATAATTTAAGGGGGGAAAGGATAATATTTTCTATAAATGGGTCTAGAACAACTGAATACCCATATTTTTGAAAAAAATGGTCTAAGACTCTTATGCCATATATAAAAATTAAGTTGAAATAGCCATAGACTTTTGACAACTATAGTAATTATGTGAATCGATGTTAAACACATATTTATTTGTTTTATCTGTATATATGTAAATATTCTGCAATATGTGAACTAGTATATACTTATTATATATAGTACAGACACATATTTCTTGAGAGGTAAGGGACAAACATCCAAATTAGAGACTTTAGACCAGAGACATACGCTCATATTTCAGAATTTCAGAACATCAAGGACAAACTGAAGTTACTAAGAGCTTTCAGACAAACAGGCCACATATAAAGCTATATTTATATAATACTTTTAAAAAGAAACTTTGGAGGTTAGTAGCCCAGTGAAAAAAAGGCTTCAAAATGTTAAGAGAAAATGAGTTTCAACCTGGAAATTCTAAACCCAACGAAGAGGAAAACATGGGATTCAGGCAGCAGAAGACTAATCATGAGGGGGACAAAGGAAAGTTCTGGATAACAACTCTGTAATAAACCCAGGGTACCATCAGTTCCAACTGGAGAAAGGGGTGCCAATGGTTGTGAGAAGGCAAGAGGAAAGTGAGACTGGCAAGGACCTATGACATTGTTCTGGACTCTGAGTTATCAGTAAGGTGTGAGAACCTCAGAGGAAGGGGTAAGTGGCACTGGATACAGAAACACAAGCAAAATAAAAAGTGAGACGATTATTAACTCTAGGAAAAATTAAAAGCTGCACAAAAAAGGAAATGTAATCACTGTTGAGCCAAATAGTATGTTATGATTAATATTTCTATGACTACTGGAAATTTCCATTTCTATACTATTAATCAGAAATGATTATGTAACTATTGAAAGACCACAGAAGTGAGAATTGAGAGGGTGTTTGTAAGAGAGCTGAATCCTTAACTACCAGGACAGAGAAGCAATAGATTATCTCTAAACCTGATGAATAAAAATAACCCACATATTATTTAGAAATATGAATATAATCACCAAAAGAAGGAGCTGAAAATGGTTGCTTTTTGGGATTTTGATTAGATTGCTTGGGGGCAGGTAGGGCAGCATGGGGAAGAGACTATGTATTTCATTAAATGCCACTTGGGACTATTTGATTTTTTTTATGGGCATATCTAACTATGGTAAAAAGAAAAATAATCATTAACGTAATAAAAGAAAAGGACTCAGAATGCTGAGCAAACTGAATAATTCAGCATTACCATAAATCTAGAATCTGGGAGAAAGTGTTACCTAACAGCAGCAACAAAAATATCATTTCATAATAATGGGGAAATGTTCAAAATATATTGTTCAGTAAAATAAGCAGGTTATAAAATAACAGTGTATAAAATAACTCATTTTCATACCAAAATTTATCTTTGCATGCATTAAAAAAATGCAAGAGGATAATACAGAAATACCAAAGACAGTTATTTCTAAATGATATAATTATGGATTTTACTGGTGATTAAAAAAATTTTATATGAATATTTTACATTTGAAATTAGAAAGAGATTTAAGAAAAACTAATGAGAAAAAGCTATTTAAAGAGTTTGGAAATTATATCATTCATAAAAACTCCACTTATTAGTTCTTTCTATGAGCAAAGCACCCTGCTAAACTCTTCGGAAGTTACAAAGACACATAAGATATTGTTATAATTTCTCAAAAAGGTCAAGATCTAACATGGAGATGAAAATTAGTGTGTAAATACCAGTATAAAAGTCACAGATAATATAAGATAGAATGATAGAGTGTTGGAAGTGTTCTAAGCATGAGGGTCAATACAGGAATAGTTCTTTAGTGAGAAAGATCACGTTAAAATGGAACAGAGTTAAGGAGGTTGGAAGTGGAGGGATGTGGAGGATTTCAAGAGGTAGAAATCATGTGAGGCAATTACAGCAACAAACAAAACTCAGAAGTGTAGGTGTAAAGTAATTTTGACTGGGGCCTGGGGTAGGAGTGGGATGTGTGCTTTGGGACCAGATGGTATAGGGTGCTGAATGCCAGGTAAAGGGATTTCAACTTAGTTCAATAAAACTTAACAGTTATTGAAAGTTGTTGGAGAGAGGAATAAAATAATTACACACGGGAAGAGAAAGCCTATTTGAAGTCTATTATGCCAGGCCCAGGTGAGCAATAATGAAGGCCTGAACTAGGACGTTGATTGTGAGAATGAAAAGAAGGGATCAACTTGAGAATCATTTTACGAGTCCAGTATATAGAATTTAGCAGCTATTTGGAAGTAGGAAAAGAGGTAGAAGGTAACAGAAGTGGGTGCATTGTTGTGAATCTTGAGTATTAGAACAGTGGTAACACTAGCAAAGAAGGGCAGTCAGAACAAAGAGGGAGTTTTGTGGAGGAAGATAGTTTTGGGTATCTTGAATGTTTGATTTGGTTTTGGGGGAATATCCATGAGGCAAGACTCAAAAGGCAGTTGCAAGTATGGATTTGAAGTAGTCATTCAGCAAATATATATTGTCTCCTGTGTTTAATAACTCGATATGTATTATCAATTTAAAATTGAGTAAAACAAGATCTCTCTCCTCATGAAGCTCATCGTTTGGACTAGGGAAATAAATAGGTATCCGATGGTTAATTACAACACAGTTGTTATAAGTAATGCATCAACAGAGTACGAACAGAGTTCTGTGAGAGCAGAGGAGACAGCTATGTCCTGATGCTCTTCGTTTTGGTTGTAGGGAAGGGATTCACTCAGACATTGAAAGATGTACATGGCCAGTTGGAGCTTACAAACATGGGAAATTATTCTTGACCTGATGTGGATGTTTCATAAAAATGAGCACTTCATTTAGAGAGCAAAGAGGGAGAACATTGTACTGAGAACAATATCTGAAGGGATGCATATAACATATTTGCAAGTTAGGAAAAAACTGAGAAGCAGTGAGGGCGAATGTAGGATCTGATCTCAGACGCTAAAACAGGAGACCCAAGACACAAGAAAGCTTGATAGTGGCCAAGAGATTAGGAAGACAGAGGATTAATAAAAGCCTATGGATTTAGTGATTCAGAGACCACTGACTTTTCAAAAATGTTTCAATAATAGCAGAAAAAGTCCGCTTCAGTTGGTAACAATATGAAGTAATAATAATAATAACTATTATAAAAATAAAGGTAGTGAAATATTGGTCCTTTTATATGAATATATATGTTATATGTATTAATTATGTATTACTTTAAAGATAAACTCATGTACAGATAAACACATGTATAGGGAGTAAGTATAAACAATATTTTTATGAACTTTATTTTTAAGAAATAGTATGAAATGGATAGAAAATGGTCTTGTGGAGATAGCAGAGCCATTGAATTTGCAGGGATTGTTGGCAATGTCTGAAAACAATTTTCAAAGGAGTAGTAAGGGCAGAATGTAGACTTTGAAGGAGCTAAGTATATAGAGGAAAATAAATGACTACAGGTCTCAGAAATCCTGAAATCCTGCCTTTCCACCCTCACTCCCCAATTATATAATGACTACTTTTTCTTCAGTTGTCACCTGAAATGTTCCTACTTCAAACAGACCTTCTTGTTCAACCTTTTCAAACTAGTTTCCCCATGTTATACTACACCACCATTCTTTTGCTCCATGCAACTGCCCACAATTTGTAATACATTGCTTGTGTATTTTTTAAATGTCTGTCTGCCTCACCAGACTGTCAGTTGCATACGGATAGGCACCATGGGAATTTGTTTTCCACTTTACATTTTAGCCTCATGAGCATTGGTACATAGTAGTCTGTTATTGAATGAATGAGAGAGGTAAAAGGATAGATTGTCTCCAGAGCAAATTTATTGGAAATAGAATAGTTTTAAGAAATGTCCAAATCCAACATGTCACCTAATAATTGGGTTGCTGGAATAGAATGGAGATGAAGAGTTGGGAAAATTAGGGTTATACATTTAGAACAAAGCCCAACTCAGATCCCTGTTGGACTCAATGATGGGATGAAGAGGAAGGAGTGATGCTTTAAAATAGAGGACAAAATGGGAGAAGCTGAAATAAAGCAGATGGGATAGTAATGAGAGTAGTAAAAAGTGAGTAGAAAACATAAAAACTACATGTCTCTTCCTTCTTATCAGGTGAGTTGGGACTTTTAGAGGGTTGTGAGCCAAGGGGAATAGAATGAAAAACCATGTTTCAATTAAATTGAGAAGGTATAATGATTGCTTACAGAAATAAGGGGAAGAAAGTATAGGAGAATATGCTCATAGTACAACAGAGGCATCATAATGTGATGGGACTAATACCAGGGAAGACCCGGAAATGACTGAAGTAGTTTACAGCGGGCTATTAGCTTCAATGTAAGTGCTTAATAAGTATTAATTGGTTAATAAACTTGTTCAGTATAAATTCATTACTATTTCTAGAGAAATATTACAGAAGAACCCAAAACTGAGTAATGCTAATAGTAAACAGATACTTTTTGTTATGTAGTCCCATATCTTGGAACATAATTACATGTAAATTTATTTATAGTATTTACACTAGATGATTTCAGCAAAACTTATTTTTTGTATTTTTAATGCTGTCACATGGTGATACAAGTTCTGCACAGTATTCTCAGCTACTTCCCAGAAATCCATGGTTCCAAAAAATAGAAGCTGGTTTGCCAAGCATTTTTAAAAAAATGAATAATCACTCCATAAATAACTTTTATGATAGTTTACAAACAATTATGATTATGAAATAACTGATCTTAATTTATGTGTACCTCAATTACAATCTAAAGGTTTGGTGTAGCTTTCTTTTTCATCAGTACAGTGAAACTTTCAGGCAGCCATGAATACCTTGCCTTGTTATAGTATTTCAGTTCCTCTTGTGACCAGTGTCATAGCATGGGTTTATAAGTTAACTGGAGTTAGGGATGCTATCTTTGGTCATGAAAAAGAGTTGTCTGTTATTCTCTGAGCAAAACTAAATAATTCCTCTGGGAGTCAAATAGAGACACGGGCCTGGATCACACGGTGCTTTACTATTGAGGGCTTTGGCACAGACCACCTGGGGTTTTATGTTGTTCTGTATTCATTCAAAACCAAGAGTCAAAGTGCTCTGTGATGTCCTTATGAAGAGTCATGCATTAAAACATGCTTCTTTCCATAGAGATTATATTTTTCTTCTTTGTTTTTTAAGGTTTTTTTTAACTGAACATCTTAGTATTTTAACAGATGTATTGAGATAATGACACTGAGATAATGGCTCCCTAGCTATTAGGGAATAATTCATTTCCTTAATGTGAGATGTTTTGGAAAATATTACTGTCATTTTGTAACTACATATTGTGTAATAATCCTGACTCAAAGCACCTAGTAGGTTAATTCTTGGTATTATAAAAGCTGATGAGGGAGAATATACTTACCTGCCACAAAATTTTGCATGTGTGAATAGTTGTTACCAAGGTGAAAGGAAAGGAAACTCTACTTTCATCTGTACTTTTTCTCACCACTTGAGTTCTTTTTAATCTTCTTGGTACCCAAGAATAATCTCTTTATTAAACTGTGACATTTCAAGTTGTTGCATTTTAAGTTTTCTTCTGTAAAATTCTCTGCCCTTACCCGAAAAGAAAACAAACAAAAAAAAACCACAACTCTTGATGTATCTAGGATACTCCTGATTTGTCTTGAATGAGTCAAAGCTGAGAGTCAGTGTATTAAGAGTGAGATAATTTGAAGACTGATCACCAGGCCCTCAAGGTCTAGAATACAGTCAGAGCAAGAATTTGATTCAGTATTTCCCCTGTTGCCAGAGGTACGATCCACCTGTCTTCTTGTCTTTGTCTTGGTAGAAATGTATTATCTTTTCTTACCAAAATTGGAATGTAAAGGAGGAAGAGATTTAAGTCTGAAAATTATATGAGTGCTTCCTCCAGACTATCAAAAGTTAGCTATTGATTTTGCTTTGAATGTTGATGAGACTAACAGCACACTGACCTTGAGTTCTCTTCACAGTGGGTAAACCTCACAAGTGCAACTACTGTGGACGAAGCTACAAGCAGCGCAGTTCACTGGAGGAGCACAAGGAACGCTGCCACAACTATCTCCAGAATGTCAGCATGGAGGCTGCTGGGCAGGTCATGAGTCACCATGGTGGGTAGAAACTGGATTCATCATTTTTATTTCCCCCTACTGCTTTTGTAGTTCAACATGAAGATAAAATCTTATGCTGTTTAAAACTATTTTAGATCACTTTAACTTAAATGAGTTGAGCTTTGGGATACATTGCAAATAATCTGTATTGAAATTTTGCAATACTCCCAAATTATTTCTGATAATGTTTGAATTAGCATAATAATGACAACCAACCTTTCATATACCAAAGGAAGGTACTATTTACTCTTCTTTTTCATTTTTCTAACCAGATAGTTAGAGCTGATTCCACATTAGTCTGTAGGCTGCCTAAAAGAATGAATTGGTTATTTGAATATTTTCATCTCAGGTAAGTGATCAGTCATATAATTTGAAATTTCTCCAATCGGCCCTTTAATTTTTATGAGAAATTACTGATTTTGCTTTCTACAATGTGCAAAACAATCTAGACCAACATTAGACACCATCTCTCTCCACAAAAAACATTCTCCAAGCAAAACATCCTGATCTCTAAATACACTACGGCAGGTAGGAAGGCAATCCCTAAGGTTTATCAATGAATAATTCTCTGTTCCTGAAAAGTTAATTTTAATAATCAGCCTTATATAGGAAAATAATGAATTTCAGTTCTTAAGATTTGTAATGTCTATCTTGTCTTACTAATTAGATTTGTCTACTGATAAGTTTTATTTATACAAAGACAAAAATCTCAACTTATTAGTACATGTATATCTTTTATTTATTTTTTTAAATTATTTTTTATTTTATTTTATTTTTTTTGAGATGGACTCTCACTTTGCCACCCAGGCTGGAGTGCAGTGGCACGATCTCAGCTCACCACAACCTCTGCCTCCCCGGTTCAAGCGATTCTCCTGCTTCAGCCTGCCAAGTAACTGGGATTACAGGCATGTACCACCAGGCCTGGCTAGTTTTTGTATTTTTAGTAGAGACGGGGTTTCGCCATGTTGGCCAGGCTGGTCTCAAACTCCTGACCTCAGGTGAGCTGCCCGCCTTGCCTTCCCAAAGTTCTGGGATTACAGGTGTGAACCATTGCACCTGGCCACTTGTATATCTTTTATTTAAAAAAGGTTTGCCCAGTATTAAATGGTATAGTTGGGGATTGCGACAGTCACTTTTAAAATATAAATATCTATGTATTGGCTTATACATAGCCAGGTCAAGGATTATTTCTGGGGTTTTCTGTTTGTTTTATAGAGTATATACTATGGAACTGTGTTTGTTGGACAGCTAGTGATTATGTGTTGTTGAGTTGGGAATTTTTTTAATTTAAAATTTTCTTGTTATCCTGAACAACTGAAGCATTTCCTTCTAGTTTCTATAATCTAAAGAATCTAATTCTATTGATTTGTGATCAAGTCCATTTATTTTTATATTATCATCATTAACATTTTTTACAAACCTATCTGTGTATCAAGTCTTGGTAAATTTGATATTTCAAGCTTGCATTACCTGGGCTGATGATGATAGCATAGGATCTGGAACATAGAGATTACAAAATGGTGCGTCTCGGAGTCTGCCAAACCTGCTCTGGCTACTTCGTGTCTGGGTGTGTCACTCATAGGCTGGGTTTGAGGATTAAATGTGACTGGATATGTAATAAATGCCCAATAAATGGTTTGCTTTACTGTTAACATTTGAGAACATTAAATAACTGAATAACAGTAAATGTGCTATTCCCTATAAATTTGTTATTTACCAGCAGTAACTTAAGCATTAGAAGTTTCATTTGCTGACCAAATACACTGTTACTATTTAAATTGATGGATTTAAGGGTAAATTGAGGCTGGAAGCTGATGGAAGCTTGGGGGAATACCAAATCTTCCCCAAAACACCTTATGGCATTGCTACTAGTTTTTCTATATTATATTCTCCCATTGCAGTTCTGACATTTGATGGCGTTATGCATTTCCAACTTTATTTATTATTTTTGCATTCCTAGTTATTTATGGAATTCTGTATTGCATACATACTCCTAAAAGACTATATGGTAATAGGGAGGTAAAATGTAAATAAATTATTATAATCAACATTGAATTATCTGTTGGCAGATTGAACTTTTAGAGAATCAAATGCTAACGAAAAATTTAAACAAGTATATTTTGAGAGAAGCAAAGATATGTCCCCTAAACAACTGGGGCCTCAGTCTTACCCCCTATTCCCCAGATTGCTTAGCCCTCCGTAGGCACAGGCCCTTTACAGGTGGTGCTGAAGCTGGAACCAAGTGGGGGAAAGTGGGAAAGGGGTAGGGGCACTGGGTAGGTAGAGCAGAGGGTAAAACCAAAGAGGAGAAGGGATTGAGGGTAGCTTCTGATACCATTTATAGAAACAAATATTCTTAAATACTGGATATCATTTTAACCACATAAGTTTACATTCATGCCATTTCATACCATACTTTTTCTGGGTTTGTTATAACAATAATTTGAGATTATCCTTAATCTCCTCTATCTGTTGTTAACATGCCTAATGGGAAATTGGCCATACGAGGTAGGAGTTGATAAATACTGTAAGAGAAAAACATGGTTCTGTAAAATGCTGCTAGAGTTCATCATTAACATACGTCTCATATAAATAGCTTGGCATATGTCTCTTTTTAAACAGAACCATGATGAAACTTATATCTATTCCCTTCTCTTGCTGTATGTTATTTATTTGTTTTCCTTTTTTGTGGTAGATATGAGAGTTGCTGTCATTTTGGTTGCCATTAGCTCCATGAAATGATTTAACTATTACTTGTTTTTAAAAAATATCTGACATAGTTATATTTCCTAGTCTTTCTTTTCTAAAACATGTTTTTCCCTGTGTTGTTCTTCTAGTATGGAATTTTTTAAAGGAAAAGAGGCATTTTCACTTTACTCAGAAAACATTTATCAAGAGCTTACTATGTGCCAAGTTATATAGAACATTCTGGGGTATAAAAATAAATGGACCCAGTCTTTTAATACACTTACTTTATAGTCTGGTAGGAAATACATACTTTAAAAAAATAAAATAAAATGAAACAAAAGCTCTAATAAGGATGCATACACAGTTCTCTGGGAACATAGATGTAGAATTAACCTAACTCTGGAAAAGTCAAGAGAGGCTTCTTACATGCAGGAGTGTTCAATCCAAACATGAGGGATGAGTAAAAATTGCATATATCAGGCAGGATACAGAGAATGTATATTCAAGGAGAAAAAGAGGCTTGGAGATATAAAAGATAATTAACAGCTTCCCTGATGTTGAGTGTAACTGCAGTTTAAGGAGTGGTAGGAAATGAAGCTTCTGAATTAGTAGGTTGTGATGCAAAGACAGAGTCTTCTCTGCTAAGCTAGTGTTTGAATTTCATTGTGTAACTGATGGGGGGCCACTAGGGTAACCAAATTTGTTATTAATGAGGTAATCAAATCAAGAAAAATGTCTCCAATGAGGATACATGATAAATGCCTACCTGGGGCAGGGGGTATGGTGTGAGGAGAGACTGGAAATGACAATGCCAAAAAGAAAAAGATGAAGAGGCAACTGCAGAAGAGAACAAGGTGAAATATTGAAGACATATTTAGGAGGTAGAATAAAATGGTCTTAGAAAAGTTGATTGAGTTTGAGGAAAAAGGAGGAATATCATGACTCATAGTTTTGGAAATAATAATTGAGTTTTATGACAGATTATTTATATAATTAAATTATTTAATTGGGTTTGATGAGCTTATTTATTTTATTGGGTTTTAGGGCAGATTATTTATCTTATTTAATTAGGTTTTATGGCAGATTATCTTGTTCAATATTATCTTTATGTTGCTTTTTCAAGTCTGCTTAGCTTGAAGGAAAAGCTTTAAAATCAAACTATGTTATTACCTGTTTTACCTAAACCTAAAGACAAAAATGAAAGTGCAAAGCAGAAGGATAGCCAGCTTAAAATCTATATATATTGTTAGGTTTATGCTTTGAATTGTTTAGGAAAGGGAGGTTCTTTTTCACAGTATAGAGGCATTATTGGGCACCCCCAAACTTTGGAATAAGCTTTTTTGACTTATTTCTATTGGGTGACATCATTCAGTGAACATCCATTGAATATTATATCTCTCTTGTATCATAAAAGGTATTAGAGACACAAATACAACAGAATGCAACCCCTGAGGTTATTTACCAGCTATTGGAAGATAGACCAGTAAAACAACAATTATAGTACTATGTGATAAGCATTATGGAGACAGAGAGGACATACCTAAATCAGCAGAACATCCAAGAGGAATTTCCCGGGATTGAGCTTAGTTTTAAAAAGCAAAAATGTGAACTAATAAATGGAGAAGGGTGTTTCCTGCAGAAAGAACAACATATGTGAACAACTACCAATGTAGCATCTAAAACACTTGGGGTACCTCCATGTGTGTTTGTAAAGAGATGTGGTAGGGAGGAGGAGAGGCAGAAGACTGGATGAAAGGAAGAAATCTAGGATTTTCCACAGGTGACCAGCATGGCTGATGGAGTAAATAGTAGTGTCATTCAGTGATATGGTAATTAGTAGTGTCATTCAGTGATATGGTAATTAGGAAAATAGAAGAAAGAAAGGTAAATGGAGATTTTACTTCTTTTACTATATTCTTTTATGTCTCCATGAAATAGGCAAATAAAACTGTCTAGGAAGATGTTAAATATATAGATCTCAAGCTCTTGAGAGGGGTCTGAGTAGGAAACAAAGATGCAGGATCCATCATAATTTATGTAGTGGCCCAACGTAGTAGTTTTTAATAAGGCAATACGGATAAGTACAGAGTGAGACATCAAGAAGGCCAAGAACACACTAGCAGGAAAAAAATTTCATGAAGATGAGTAAGAGCAGAGTAGGAACATGGAAAGAGTGATTTCACAGAAGCCAAAGCAAGTGTCAGCACTGCCAAATGCTGTCAAGAAAATAACTAAGATAACTGTAAAGTTTTTTTTTTAGATCGGGTAACACGGAGAAAATTTGCAACAATATAGAAGACATCTGTTGTTTTTGCCTGCCTGACATCCCTTCCTCCTTCTCTTGATAACAAGAGTGCCCATTTACCTTTAGAGAACTTTCCTGTTGCATGTAGCTGTGGTGGGACCCTCAGTCCAGGTACTCTGCCCTCTCCTGCTCAGGAGCTAGACATGTGATCTAACCTAGGTCCCTCAGACTTGGAATTTGAATTTGGGTGAACTGTTTGGTTTTTCAAAAGAATACATTGGGAATACACTTATGGTTTTGCCGTTATGGTTATCAACGTGATGAAACAGTGATCTAATGGAATTATGTTTTTATCTTGGTTATAACCTCAAATATAAGGTCAAAGAGGATGTTTGGTTATAAAGTTTGTTCAAACAGGGGAAGTTACCTTATTGGTATATCTTTAGCCCAGATTAATGTCTATGTGATTAATGCATTATTGAGATATCTAGAGAATTTGTTTTATGTTTCTAGCAATGTATACACAGAAATATTTTGATGAGTTGCACCCAGATCCATGAAGCAAAACAAAATCAGATTGGTTACATAATTAAGGAAAAATGTATCAGGTCTTTACCCAATGGCAGACCTTACAAATATGTCTGACTGGTTTACAAAAAGTCAATGCTCAAAATACCTCTACAAAGAGTAGTATAGCGTAATGGTTGAGCCAGGCTCTGGAGCCAGACTCCTAGTAGTAATAACATTCTCTACTAACTAGATGTAAACCCTGAGGAAATTACTTAACATCTCTGGGTCTTTCTGTTCTCATCTGTACAGTGAAGATGGTATTACACCTATTTCATGGAGTTTCTGGATGAATTAAATTAATTATTAAATGCAAAGCCTTAAAACAGCACACAGCACATAGTATACGTCAGTTATTATTATTGCCGATGTGGTAGAAACAAGATCAATTTTTGACATGAAAAGGGCTATTGTAAAGTAGAAATTAGATCAGAACTCTGCCAAAATCATCATTTTCAGTTCACATGAGCTTCATTGAACTCGGGACAAATCATCTGAATTGAGGTGGATGTGGTGTGGGACAGTTCCCACACCCAGGTTTCGTTTTGAGTGTTAAATGCGTTCAAATATGAAAATTCAGGGTGAAACTTAGAGCAAAACTGCCAGGTTTTGGACTACTCATTTCAGAACAAATTAGCATATTTAATTTTGGGGGCAAACCCGTTAACCAGTTTTGCTAGTTTTTTAGCAAAATTTACAACAACATTTTTTTTTTCTTGCCAAATTCTTTCATTTTGGATCTTGGTCTGACATATTTTCATCTTTGGTCCATACTTGGACTGCTTTTTAGTTTTATTGTTATTTCTAATAATGTAGTAAGTGCTTGTAAATCCATCATCCAAACAAAAAGTTAAGATTTTGACCACAATTTGTATCTCATTACCTGGTTCTCCACCACACCACCACCACTGTGCCATTCTTCTGACTCCCCTTACGTGAATTGGTCATCCTTGAATGTTTTTGAAATTCTTTGCTTTTTTGTTGACTCTTTTACTTTTGTGTCACTTTTTTAGTTGTTACTAAAAGAGAATATAATGTTTTATACATAATATCTTGGGACATACTTTTTCAATGTGATAACATCATTAATGATATAGTGCAGACAATGATCTGTTTCCTTGTTCCTCAGTCTCACCTTGAAACTTTTTTCCAAATTAACATCTAATAATTGCACAATCCCTTGCTATTCATAGCCAGAGGACTTCTTATTAAATGTAGATTACAATTCAATTTTTTTGACCCATCTATAGGTTAATCAAAACTTGGATGGAATGTTGATTTCTTTAAACATGTCCAAATCATGAAAACATTTTTTCACACTATGTTTCATTTTCTTCAAAATTGGTAACCTATTGGTTATTAAATACATCAACTGAATTGTGCACTGAATTTTCCTACCTTTCATCTCTTGCTTTCTCACTTATTTTTGTGTCTGCCAAGAGGATCCCCTTATAAATGAGACTACATTTTTTTGTACACAGTGGGACTATCTTATACAAATGAAAGGATCAGAGTAAATCATTTTTACAGGGCATACTGAACAAGTAAAGTTATTCTAAGAAATGAAAGCTTTAGGTTTCCAAACAGTACTGGCACAAGTGCAACTGGAGAAAGCAACAATAAACAACAAGTAATAAGTTATGTTCTTTCCTGAGAACACTGTTTTTAATCAACTGATTCGCCTTGTCTGAGTTGTTACCCTATCCTTAATTAAACATCCTTGGGCAGTATTTCTACTCAAAAAACAACTGTTTTAAGTTCTTTGTCTGCACTATGAATGTCAGTGTCTAAGGGCTAACAGATTAGTCCATAGCAACTTAGAAAAAAGGGATGAATAGGGAACAGCATTGGAGAGTATATGTCAAATGAATTAGGGCAGTAGTTTAGTGAGCCAATGTGCCAATTTAGAAATGGATTCTTCTTCCTGCTGAAGAGCTCTTTTTAAAATAAATTACAATCATAAAGCTGCCACAGTTTACTGTGCATAGACATGTTCAGAATTGGCTCTTCTTCATGAGGGCTGCTTGGTGCAGGTATTTAAGCTACTGCCAATAAGGCTAACAGCTCATCAAATAGAAAATACGCTGCAGGAAAATACATGGGTTAAGAAAAACAGTTAAATACCGTGCTGTTATTTTGTATGTCTGTTTAAGCTTTTCTCTCAAACAAGTTGACTTACTTAAATTGTTTTTTAAAAATAAACTCTAAAAGCCTTGAAAATAGTGCAGTCTTAAAAGTAGTATTGATTTTAGTCAATGCTAAAAACACTTTCAGGGGAATAAGATGAGAAACCACATGAACAAGTTTGCCACCAATAGTGGCAACAGTGTATGTATGTCATGGATTTAAGAGAGACTCAAATAAAAACAAATCCTCTGGTGTATATGTGTGTGTGCAAATTTAAAGAGTATACTTTCACACTAGAGGGTATTCTTTCTACTTGCTTCTACTGAAGCATACTAGCTTTTATAACACATATCGAGATGGCATATCCAGCTTTGTATCATCCAAAATGTTGAAGAAATTATCAGATTGCATTTTTCTATGGTTTTGTATAGTACCTCCTATGGAAGATTGTAAGGAACAAGAGCCTATTATGGACAACAATATTTCTCTGGTGCCTTTTGAGAGACCTGCTGTCATAGAGAAGCTCACGGGGAATATGGGAAAACGTAAAAGCTCCACTCCACAAAAGTTTGTGGGTAAGCATTACAAATGCTTTTGTTTCTTTGCAAGGTGATGTTAATAGGAAAAGGCAAGTTCCCATGTATTAGAAATATATATGGTGTGTTTCAGTTCATGAAATAAATACCCATCTCTTTTCTTCATTATTCTTTTTTACTCTCTGACATTCTGTGTACACCACACTTACACCAACACACACAAATACATATGAGAGATAAAGACTGATAGTGGTCACCATCTCAAAATATGATGATATATAAAGTGAAATAACATGTAAAATAGAAAATATTAATTTCTTTAAAAAATAGTCATACAGAAGAGAAACGGTCCAGCCTATTGGCCAGTTTTGTAATCTGTTTTAAAATTTTCATTAGTGTCAGGTTTTTAGCTGTTTTTTTTTTAACCTATTAACATTTATGCCTAGTGTCCCATTATTGGAACGCTAAGCATGTGGGAGTTATTTATATCCTACTGCTCAAGGTCATCGCCAAGGTCTGATTGCAAAAATTAAAACAAAATTTCAACCTCAGGCATAAATGGGTTAATTATTTTCGTATTTTATCTGGAATGAAGATAATTTTTCTTTTTTTCAAAATTCTGCATTGGAAAAATAATGCAGCAACCTACATTCAAGATGTTTCATATTTGGATCTTTATTTCATATTTTAATCTTTGTTTTTTCATCCAGCCTATGATTTTGAACTGAAAAGATTAAATATCATATATTTAGACTTTCCCTTTTCATTTCCGAACCCTTAGATATTCTTTGATACGCCCAATGTTGGCATCATTCTGGATGCATGCTGTAAGTCATAGATTGTCTCTGAGGATACAAAAAGCATGGACTTTTTAAAAGAAATATGAATAATAGAGATTCAATAAAAAGAATTGTTAAAGAATTGTTATTCATTGTATATATATCTATTAGGATAAAAATATTCAAACAGATTCTGACATTCTAGTGTCAGCATTGTGGGACATCCTGATTAAATGGTGATTGAGACAAAAATCTTTGCTTTGGTTATTTCAGGGAGGAGAGGATAACACAATTCCATTACTTCAATAAACACTTAAAGAAGGTTTCCTTTCAATCTGAAATTGAAGAACTAACACATCACCAAAATAGCACTCTAAGACTAGCTGGAGGGATTTATTGAGAACTCATTGAAAGAAGGCCTAAGGGTGACTATAAGGGCCATAGTTTATATTATGTCAGTTGAAGCCCCTGAGTTATACACAAAGGACTGCCTCAGGCCTTTGGTAACTTTTTTTCTGTTCTTGTGGGTAACTATGAAAAAAAAGAAATAAAGAGCCAGTTTACTTATTTTTAATATTGATTTTTTTGTTGGATGTCATTAAATGCTTAAATCTAACTAGACTCTAATGTAGTTGGAAAAAATAAAATATATTATTATTCTTTCTGTCTTCTGAATTTATATAGTCTACTCTTTGTAACGTTTTTTGTCATGTTTCCTGACTTAGAGATGTTACTCTCAATTTTATTTCACTGCATTCCTTAGAAAAGAGGGACAGCTTTTTAGAAAATTACATTATGATTCTAAAATATTTATATTATATTTTTAATTAAGAATTTGAGAGAATATTTTTCTTTATTTGGATTCTATCCTAGTAATATATAACAAACAGTAGCCATAGTAACTACTTCTGTTATTGTTCTTGAAACAAAAAATTTCATCATTCCACACTTATTATAAATTGCCTTCTCCATGTGCCTCAGTTAAATACTATTCTTTGACCTTATCAAATTCTCCAGACCAATGATCCCTGAACTTCCTGCATATCTACTTGTCTCTCCCTCTCTTTTCTTATTCAGCTTAGATTCCATGGCTCATCACTTCTACATCTCTCTTGCCAATATTCTTGCCTTTCTTGCCTTGTTGGCTGATCTATCATCCCCTTCTCCTGATGAAACCCTACTGTCTTGTAAAGCTGACTGAGCATCCTTTCCATACTTATATCTCACTAGATGTGCACCCCAGCCTGCACATCTGGTACTTTTGGAGAAAATTCCACAGGCTGATGAGTTGGCATCAATATATATGAATGAATAACTGATCCCAAATATCAGCTGGCCTATCCATCCTATGGAGCAGCATCCCTGAAGAATCATCTCTCCTGCTCTCCACCATGACAGTGCCAACCTTCTGTACTCTCTGCAAACATGCTGTCTCACTCCTTGGTGATCTTATATCTATATTCACAGGGGATAAAATCGCTGGAACTGATTTCAACATAATATTACCAATTCTATAGGATTGTATGCATCCATGTAAATGCTTTTATCTTTTTTCCTTATTTCAATGAAACAACTATCCCTCTTTCTAATTAAAGTTCATTCCCCCTCTTGTGCACAGGAATTCTCCTATCCTGGCCCCCCAGATACCTCACGCTATTATTTTTTCCTCTTTCTCACTTACATTTTTAACCTCTCCCCTCTATTGGGCATTTCCTATCAGCATTTAATGCAATAAATTCTCATAATTAAAAAAAATCTTCCTTTAAGCCCCATCTCCTTCCAGGTACACCTGTAGTCTCCTTTTCTTCAAAGATGAAATTGTTGAAAGAATCTCTGTGCTTGTTTTCAATGATTTTTTTTTTCTATTCATTTCCAAGTCCATGCAACCTGTTTTTCTTTCCCACACTCCATTAAAATTATTCTCACTGAGGTCACAACTAGCTTCTGTAGTGCCAAATCGAGTAGACTCTTTTAAGACAGTATCTTACACAGCTCCTAGAGAGTATCTGCCACTATTGAATAGTCAATTCCTTTGGAAACACACTCTTTTCTTGGTTTTTATGACATTGTTCTCTCTCTCTGACTGTGTTCAGTATTCTTTCAGACTTATCCTTAACAGCTATGCAAGTTGGCCAAAGTACAAATGGAGGCCCCCATTCATATGCCTAAATATTTTTATATTATAAATCTAACTGTAAAACTTATTTTCTACCCTTCCAACTTGACTAAGTTCAAATAAATATGCAATTCTCAGATTTCCTGTAGCTCTACACTACACCTTGGCAGCACGAGCAGAACCACCCACTGGCTTACAGCTAGGCTCCTCTCTTAGACCCACTCCTAGTTCTCTCCATTACCAAAGGGGGTCTCACACACACATGTATGGACACCCCAGCCTGCATATCCAGGTTCTTTTTACATTGCACATAAAGACCAGTGCCTTGGCCATCAGGCCTAGGTGTGTGCTTACCAGTAGCACAGTTGGTATGAAGTATTATGGACCCTATGAAGAGGACTGTGTAGTCCCTAGAAGCAGGCTCAGAACCATTTGGGCAAGGAATTCTGGGGTCTGAGTGAGCTTCAGATCAGCACATTCCCTTGGCCCTAGAAGCTCCTCATTTCCTGAGAAGAAAGGCCCAGGGCTCCCTAAACATGGGGCCCAGTGCAAACCCCACTTTCCCTGATCTATGAGTAGGCAGACAAATCTTAGTGTTATTCCAGGTTCTATTTTTGACCCATCCCCTTCACACTCTACCTGGGTGATATCAGTTATTTCCTTGGCTTCAGAAGTTGCTTTCTATCAACTGATGACTCATTTCTACATCTCAAGCCCAGGTCTCTCTTCTGAATTTGAGACTAAACTTACTGGACATTATTATTACTCATAGTCCTCCCAAACTGAATTCATCATCTTTTCTATCTCATTGTCATCTACTAAATTTCCTAGGCCAGAAACCTAGAGCAGCAATTTCCTAAACCCCTTTGCTAAATGAATACCTTCAGGGCACTTCCTTGTTTATCCCCTTCAATCTGTATTCCTTTAGGGAAATATTCAAATTTTTAGCATATTTAGCCTTATATTATCTAACTTGTCTTTCGCACTTGTTTCTACTCTCAGCCTTATTGAAGTATAAGTAATTCCTCCTTTATAAGTGATGCCCTCTTGCCTCTGATCCTTTCTACCAGCTACTCCACCTCATGTTTCTTCACTTGGCTATGTTTACAATCACATTATTGTCCTTGATTCCATTTCCTTCAAGAAGTGTTCCTTTAGTCCCCTGGTATGAGCTAAATATTCCTCTTATTTGACCCCATCACACATACCACACTATGTTGTAAATGATCCTTAAATTGCTATTGTTCCTTCCAAACTGTAAGTTCTTTAAGAATATAGATCAGGTTTGTCTAGCTTAATTTGGAAATGTTTGACATTGCATATATCTTAAGTTGAGTGCCATGAAATAATTTCTCCTCGTTTTGTGTTTCCATTTTTGTTACTCTAATCATTACACTGATCTCACGTAGGGGCCATTTCTTCCAATCTGAGAGTATCTGCCAAAATTACAAGTTAAGCATCCATCCACAACAACATATTAACCATTTATGGGAAACCCACATATGTTTTTAAGAAGCATTTATCTGTAAGATTTACCTATGAAAGTAACTGGTAAATAGAGACCACATTGTCTTAGGGACAGAATTTGTAAAAGACTAAATATTCTGTTCAAAACCAGCAATATCTGGCTAAAAATCAAAACTACTTTTCCCGTTGCAAGCACCAAAACTCTTTTATAGTTAACAGTCAGACATTATGTTGATGTAAAATATTGGAGTAAAATTATATTTGTTGAGGTGTATATTTAAGGAAAAACTGCAAACATGCTTCAATCAAGAAAAAGTATGGGAAGCTAGCAATGGGTGTACGTACCAGCACTATCACATACACATGTCTAAATAAGAAAGGATGATATAAAAATGAATATTAATTTCAAGAAGCAAAACAATGAGACAAGATTTTCCGAGTTTATGAGCAAATACTTTTTGAAATAACTCTTAATTTTATTTTTAAATAACCCTACATTTCATTCATTTTTATTAGGTGGTACTACTTTTAAAAGTATTTTAATAATGACTTTTAAAAAATCTCCAGAATGACATATATGGGTTATATATATTTTTTCTGAAATAGTGGCCGAATCAACCAACTTAACCCTACACAACAGTGAGGTGCCATATGTTATAACCAGATCACTCTCACTTTTATGATCTTTGTAGCTTGGTCACTAATGTTTAAAATATGCAAAATCAAGCATAGTCTCTGACTTGTTTTTACTGGGTATTCTTCCTCCTATTCTCCTTGAGCTCTATTCAAGTGAGAATTTTAAAAGAAAATGAAAATATGATAAACTCAATCATATCTTTCAGACTAGATGCATTCTCATGATGGCATCAGAACAAATGCAAATGGCTTACAAAATTTTTATTGCTTTTATATTTTTTTCATGTCAAGAATATTTGTGGCCAGACCCAGTGTCTCATGCCTGTAATCGTAACACTTTGGGAGGCCAAGGTGGGTGGATCACTTGAGGCCAGGAGTTCTAGACCAGCCTGGCTAACAGGGCAAAACCCTATCTCTACTAAAAATACAAAAATTAGCCAGGTATGGGGGCGCATGCCTGTAATTCCAGCTACTCAGGTGGCTGAGGCATGAGAATCCCTTGAACTGGAGAGGTGGAGGTTGCAGTGAGCAGAGATCACACCCTGAGACTCTGTCTCAAAAAAAAAAAAAATGTGTGTGAGCATCAGCAGAATTGCCCAAATACTTGACTTATAGAGTAATATATACCAAATTATGAAAAATGGAGGCAATCAGTCAACTTCGTACCCTTTCATATTTTTAATCTGATACTAATGTTGTTGTATTTTTTTTTTTTTTTTACTTCTTTCACCTCCCACTCCCTTCCAGGGGAAAAGCTCATGCGATTCAGCTACCCAGATATTCACTTTGATATGAACTTAACATATGAGAAGGAGGCTGAGCTGATGCAGTCTCATATGATGGACCAAGCCATCAACAATGCAATCACCTACCTTGGAGCTGAGGCCCTTCACCCTCTGATGCAGCACCCGCCAAGCACAATCGCTGAAGTGGCCCCAGTTATAAGCTCAGCTTATTCTCAGGTCTATCATCCAAATAGGATAGAAAGACCCATTAGCAGGGAAACTGCTGATAGTCATGAAAACAACATGGATGGCCCCATCTCTCTCATCAGACCAAAGAGTCGACCCCAGGAAAGAGAGGCCTCTCCCAGCAATAGCTGCCTGGATTCCACTGACTCAGAAAGCAGCCATGATGACCACCAGTCCTACCAAGGACACCCTGCCTTAAATCCCAAGAGGAAACAAAGCCCAGCTTACATGAAGGAGGATGTCAAAGCTTTGGATACTACCAAGGCTCCTAAGGGCTCTCTGAAGGACATCTACAAGGTCTTCAATGGAGAAGGAGAACAGATTAGGGCCTTCAAGTGTGAGCACTGCCGAGTCCTTTTCCTAGACCATGTCATGTACACCATTCACATGGGTTGCCATGGCTACCGGGACCCACTGGAATGCAACATCTGTGGCTACAGAAGCCAGGACCGTTATGAGTTTTCATCACACATTGTTCGAGGGGAGCACACATTCCACTAGGCCTTTTCATTCCAAAGGGGACCCCTATGAAGTAAAGAACTGCACATGAAGAAATACTGCACTTACAATCCCACCTTTCCTCAAATGTTGACATACCTTTTATTTTTTTTAATATTATTACTGTTGATAATTCTTATTTTGTGGAGGCAGTGTCATTTGCTCTGCCTAATTACGATAAGGAAGAAACAGAAGAGAGAAGGGGCGGGAATATTGTTTCTTTATCACCTGGCTTGTTTATTTTGTGGGAATTTAAGAGCAGTCCATTTCTACCAAGGCATATCATGCTTTGAAAAATCACTTGATTCATAAAGATTCACCTAAGAGATTCTGATTTGCCACTGATATTCAGAATTATGATGGAAGACAGGAAAGTTCAGAGTTTTCTGGGTAGGACTTTGGTGGTTTAAAAATGGTATAAGTAACTTTATTCTTGAAAGAAGAATGTGTTTCAAACTGTAAACCAATTTTTTGTTCTTCAGAGATCATGGAACACAAACACATTGTTATTTTCAGTGATAACTCCTAAGAGGAGCTGAGTTGTTGTGGGTTCTATGTTTACTTCCCCTATGGAATTTATAATTCAGTATGTTTTACACTGTACCATATAGCAAAACTTTTAAACTACAGGTAGTTAAGGGCCACCTACAATACATCTGAGGTCCTGTGATCTTATTTTTCTAAACGTAAGCACTGTTTTTCCATAGTTTTGATGACTGGCATTTTATAGACACCCTGGCAGCCTTACTTTTAACACCTTTAAGGAATAGTATTTTTATGTAGTTTTCAGAATAACATATGGTCTAAGAGTGGATAAAAGGCAGTCAATAATTTCTGGGAGGGACTTCTACTTTCATAAATTTGTTTGAGAGGTTTTCTTTTAAAGTTGTAATGTGATGGCAGCATAGTATATGTATTTGTTTCTAAAAGTATGCTTACGATTGTCACTTTATCAGCATTTAATCAGTGTTAACCAGTCAGCAGAAAAATATAATTATGCTAACAGTAGGGGGAGAAAACCCACTTAGAAATCCCTTTTCTGGTATTTCTCTTTTCACTAGTTTTTTTCAAGATGTGACCTCCCGGTGTTCTGTCCATAGTTCATTCATCCTTTACTCTTCGAGTAGAAGGTCTTAAAAGTCTTCCTGTCGGCTGTTTCTTTCAAAATCTCCTCAGAGCAATTGCTAATTTGGCCTGAATCTGGTAACTTGAACCCTGTAAGGTTACAGAACTAGGGCTATTTATTTTAGCATTTCTTCAGTAGTATTTACTACTCTTGTTGCAAAGAAAAGGGAATGGGACTTCTTTGTAACCTGTACCTTGGACAACAGATAAAAGAAACAAAAAAATAAGAAAGTTTACTTTTACCCTTCTTGGAGTCTAGAATGTGACAGAACCCCCAAAGGAAAGTCCTGCACATTTTTCTGTTTCCAAAACATTTAATTGTGTAAGTCCTTGTCAGAAATGAATCTCAATCCCTTAGTATAGAATTCCCCTTACATGGTATAGGTTGCCATATTTCATGTGCAGATTTTAATTTCATTTATGTGGGCGCTCTGTTTTTTCTTTGCAGTCCAGCCACATTAGAGGGGAGGAACCGAGTGATATTGATTCAAGTCATTTTAGGGGGACATACTTGGAAGGCAGAACTTGCTGCTTCTGTTTGGGGAGGACAGACCTGACTGTGACTGGATTATCTGATAACCATTTGTGAATACTGAAATTCTGTTAGGCAGTAACTGATAACTGCTCTAAAGGATCATTAAATAGGATGCTGAAATTATGTATCTTAATACAGTGTGGTATGAGAATTACCAAGTCAAGAGAATTGTGGACATAAGCAAGTTTGGCCCCAATACTGCTCTTAACTCATTTTCCAGCTTACTATTTGCTATTTAAATGGTAGGCACCAGCTAAGCACTTCTAAGCACTAACACAGCTAGAACTAGGCAAAAATGGTTAGAACTCAGCTCTCTTCTACTAGTCCCTGTCATAATTATTTTTGGGAAAATGTCCAAACTGCCCCCTTTAAATCTAAGGGAATGCACCAAAACAGAGATATATAGAATGTCAACCATTTCATTTTTTTTTTTCTGCATGCCTTGGTACATAGTGAACATACAACCTATTTAAAGATAAAGCATGTTTTTGAGACTCGCTCACCCCCCCCCACCCAACCACTCCCAAATAATAATTGGGATGCCATTTTTTTTCCTTTTGGATGAGGTAAATAATTTTAAGGTTCACAATTTTGTCTTTTACTGCAATTTAAGGAAACATTTGGATGTCAGTCAATATGTTCATAATTTTGGCTGTGTGCGAATTTCTGCTGGCATTATCTATGAATTTTCTTCCTACTTATTTTTTTTTCAGTATATGAACAATCATGTATCTACCTGCCCCAGGATGAAACTAAATTTAGGTGGACCCTAAACCTTATGAAGACAGTGCTGAGGCACTTTCCTTTTCTGATTTCATCTTTTTGGGAATCTGTTTTATTGAAGGTAGTTAGTAGTTGAGAGTGCATTTGCTACAAGCATATACTTGTATCTTCCTAGCTTCATGAGGAACAGAAAGAGGTGGATATGGCTCAGGGTGTGGCAGGGACAATTGAGGACAAAGTCAATTCAAATTTGTGGGTCAGAAAGAATTTTTGTGGACGTAGTGTTTTTGGAGAAACTCTGGATGGTTATATGTGCATGCCTTTTCTTCAAAAGGAAATACGCAAGGTTGTAGCATCTAAAAATAAACATAAGAGTCAGACACCAAATAAATCAAGTTTTACATAACAGTTGTATGCCCAGTTTGTTTAGGTGAGATTTCACATTACAGAAAGTATTTGAGGAGCATGAAAATGGGTTATCTTCTGTATTTTCCAGTTTGGCAAAAGTTCAGAATTTCATCACATTGCTTTGCCCTAATTTTGCCCAGAATTTTATCTTAGCCTCTCTCTGACAGTGATGAATCATGCTCAAAAGCCATTCTAATTGGACCTTTTTAAGACAGGGAAAGGGATCAGTAGGCGGATTGGAAGAAATTTCAAGTCATTGAAATATTCCATTGAGATTTCCTAAAGGGACAAAATTGGGAAAATAAGAAACTACGACTTAGATTTGGCTACGTAGTAGAAAGTATCTCCCCTACATACATACAGGCAATTGTATGTATGAATCATAGGGTATATGTGTGTGTATACTACACACACATTCTTTTAAAGAGAATTCATGGAAAAAAAAGCAGTTGGAGTGATCAGATGTATTGCAAAAACATACAGAGAATTTAAATGACAGTTAATACCAAGAAATTAGTTGGGTTTACTTTATCAGGTCGTAATAGGAATCACTAAAGAAGTTACTAGTGTGTCTTTAGGACCAGTGGCAACTCTTAAACTAAAACTTTGGGTCCTTATTATCTACTTACAGAACAAAGTGAAACAAACAATGATTAAGCTGATTGGATATACATTCAAAGATATTTAATGTAAAGTTTTTTGGAATACGAAGAAAATTCAGAAAATAAATATTATCAACAGTTACTTATTGGCAAATAGAGAAAGACAAGAATAGTTTAGTGAGCCCGGTATTTTGTTTTTATAGTTTTTATCTCAGTTGTACAACTCACAAAACCATGAAGTCTTTGGTATTTTATAAATGTTTAACAAAATTTACATCAGATTAAGGCATTTAGATGAAAATTATTATGTTCTCACTATCTTCCAAATTTTATTTCATCCTATCTCCAAAATGATTTCTTAGGGTACAAAAAGAGCAGACGGGGCTGTAAAAATACAAGCAAAAAACTGTGTGCCCCTAGTTTCAGGCAGAACTTAAACTGTCAGAGGTACTAGCTACATGATTTGTTTTTTAACTTTGGATTGTTCACGTCCAAAAATGGATAAATTACATTTGTGTTTATCATCAGTTGCATTTTATGTATTATTTTAATAAATACTATCTGAATGAAGACTATTCTAAACCAGAAAATTCCCCAAATCCAAAAGAAAAAAAAAGTGGGAAGAGGTGAAATTGAAGTTTGTGTATATGAAAGTTATCTTAGACATATTTTTAATTCTCCAGTTTCTGCAAAATAATTAAAATATACAGTAACTGGTCTCCTAAATCCTGAATTTAATGTATTAAATACTTATGTTCTTTATATTGGTGCCTTTTTAAAATGCATTGAGAGTGTTGGTTAGCTGTTGCAGCTGTACAACACTTTTAATATGCATTTTTAAAAATCACTTAAAATTGAGTACTATATAATTCATCTCTGCATTTTTAGTGCAAATCTTTAGAGCAATTTCTAATAGAGAAATTTTCAGCTCAGCTGTTAAAAGGAAAAGGAAACTTTGAAACTAGACTTTACTACCTTTTTAGTTTCATAGTATTTCTGAATATGATTACAAGATTATGCAGGTAAAATATAGAGTGAAACTTTACCTGTGAATTGAATTATAATTTGTGTTTTTGTTTTGTTTTTAAGGAAGAATAAGTTCTGTATCAAACAAGAATTTATTAGATAATTTTTTGGTCAATAAAATACAGTATTCATTTGGATTTTCATCTCCAGACTAGTATTGTTCTAGTCTTGGAATCTGTATTTTCTAATCTGTTAGAAAATAGAGATTGAAAATTGATGGAATAATGTGAAAAAGCAGGTAATTAATTCTCCTTGAACAAAGCAAAACTGAACAGTCATATCACATTGCTATTCTCCAAAGCATAATCTCAAATGGTTTCATATCATGGTTGTGTATTACTTGCAATGGGTGTGTTAGGATATGACAGCTTTTTAAAAAAATGAGCTGCTGGTTATACAAAGCAAATGGCATATGACCAAGAAGCTGTGATATGCTAGTGTTTCTTTTTATCATAGTGTATTACTAGGCCAAATAATGACACCTTGAATATTTTTACATTTATTGCAGAAACCTTAAACTTTGGAATTTCCATAAGGTTTTTATGTAATATTCTATTTCTAGCTTTTTAGTTTTATCTTGCTGTACTGTAAGTTTGAGGATATTTTTCACCTGCACTCTTAGGAATAAGTTCATAATTCTGTTTATGGGGCTTTCCTCCCATAACACTGCATTTGTATATTTTCTGTATAAAATATGTGTTGTGTATTAACCTTTATCCCATACAGAGAGTGGTACATGAATGACTAGTTTTCTAAGATGTCCTTTTTATTGTGAATAAAATATAAAAGTTAAAGGCCCTCTGCTAAGTCACATAAAGTACAGCATATAAGTTCATATAGGTACAAATAAATGAGTTTGCAGTGAATTGGGCCTTCAAATTACCTCAAGTGACAGATAGTAAGAAAAGCTTCTTGAGCAGGTGGAGGTCACTGAATCCCCTACTATGCACTTACCAAGATTTTACTTACTTTAATTTACTGGAAATTGATTTTTTAAAAAATGACTACACTGTAACAAGGGAAGGGATCTGGGTTTTTTTGTTGTTTTATTCTTGTTTTTTTTAAGTAGTTCAAATTCTGAAACTGTGATTTAAAAATTTTTTACAGTCAAGCATTCTGATTTTGAACATAACTCCCTTCCCTTTCTGTGTAACAAAGGTCTCTCTGTTATCTCTTAAATTTTGTTACATCTCCCTCAGCCTCTTTCTTTGTCCGTCTCCCTTCTGTCATTGTCTATGGATGTTTACCTCTCTGTTCTCCTAAAAGTTTGAAGATTAGGTCAACTCTTATTTCTAGTTCATTGGTAATTTAATCTTAATTTTTTTTTCGTGATTTTTGTTGGTTGTATAATCTGCTGACGTATTTTTATACTCAAGTGTAGTTTTCTATTAAAAAGAAAAGTGGTTGGATTAAAAATAGTAAGCTATGTAACCCTCATGTTACTTTCACTTTCAAATATTGGGTACCTAAAACATTACTTCAGAGATTATGTAATCCTATTATAGTATGTTTGCTTTCCTTTATTGTTGGATTTTACATTCTGATTTGGCTTTCCTCCAAAAAATGTATATCATGAAAGACTAGACAGTTATTTGCAAGTGTTTAGAAAGGTGTTAAAAATGTAAAGCAAAGAGTCTTAACTTTCTCCTAATTGGGAGAAAAATGCTTTAACATTACTATAATAATATTCCAGGTTTGGAGGGGGTCTCCAGGCCCCATATTTGCTGTTAATAGTTGGACCTTTTAGACCATGTGTTATTTGCAATCCCAGAATGATTGCTTCTGCTATTAGTTAAAAAGATACTATTCTTTTCTTTCTGTACAAGTGCAATACTCCCCTTGAAGTCTTAAAAACTATGGTGATTTTTTTTTCTTTTCTGACCTATTCTTCCTTTAGCTAATGACAAAAAGAAACTCATAAAAGTCATAGTATGTTAAAGGACACAACAAGCAAAGAGAAAAACACTCCACAATCAAAAGATTACAGAATGTGGAAACCACTAGTCTGATCTCATGGTATCTTTATTTAAGCTAAATTTCCATGGAAATTAGTAATCTTTTGCTTGAAAAATGTGTCCTAAAGTTGAACTTTTTACAGATTGAATCTTCTTAGACCCTCGCCCAATGCTCTAAATTAAGAACCTAATACTTAATATTTTTATTTTACTTCTCCCCTTTTAGAAATAAACTTTTAAATAAAAGCAAAGCACTTAGCTGAGTTTTAAACACTTACATATCACCTATTGGAGAAATTTTTTTTAAAAATATTTGGAGCAGTCCTGTTTTCATACAAATTTAAGTAAGAGGTATTTTTCTTATACATATTTATATGTAGTGTGCTAATTTTCTTTTTTTATACCTGTGTCCCTGTAGTAAAACTGCTGTAATATAAATACATGTTTTGTTAAAAGATAACATTTCTTTGGCATTTCTTTTAAAGGCAGTTACTGCATTTCTGCATTTGTACAGTATGTGTCTTGGCCATTTTAGATATTCTTTCTTTAACAATACCAAAGGTAATTAGACTATTTTAAAGACTAATTGCTTGACAGTTTCTAGGGTATTTTGTGTTTTAGAAGCAAAAAAAGAAAAAAAAATAGGTCAAACCAGTAAACCTCATTTTTTTTCAAACTAATAATTTGGGGAAATAAAAACTATTGTTTAAAAAAGAAATATATATATATATATATAAATATATATGTAAAGTTAAAATTCCATACCTTGTATGTCAGGTTTGCTAAGTGTAATGTAGTTTTTTTAAGGCTCAAATACCATACCTCAGAAAATGAGGTTTACTATGGAAATACTGAAACAGTCTTTGCAGCTGTGTGACAAGTCACTCTACTACATACTGATTTGGAGACCTCCGCTAAATAGTTTTATCACTGCAGACTAAAATGTGGGACTTGTATCTTCTTTGTTTTTAATGCACACACATACATGTTCTGTGCATGTATGTGGTTACTGTGTATATGTGTATGAGTGTTGTATATGCATGTGTGAGTGTGTGTCTGTATGTGTGTACAACTAAAGAAGCTGCAGAAACTTTGTAATACTTTGTGAAAAGGATTATATTATAAAGGTTTGTACTGTCTGAGTGCACAGCTACTGGAATAAATTTAGGGAATCTCAGGAACAAGCATATAATTTGTCCAAGATTTATTTCTTCTCAGAAGTGTAAGTGCAGTTTTTAATTCTGTATATTATTTAATATTTTACCAATAAAATAAACTTCTGACATAAAAAGTTTGCTATAAAAACTTTCTGGTGAAAATTCTGTACACAAACATGTCTTCCAAATACAGAAGACTAAATTGTTGACTATACCAGGCTTAAATTATCATTGCCATTGTGTATTTGTCACACTTCCAGTTCCAGAGGTTTGGATACATGTGATATCTGCAATCTACATCTCAATCGTTAGTCATCTCCATCATTACTATATAGTCCACCAGAGCAGAAAACAAAGTATTACATGATTTGTTAAGAATGACATCTCTGCTCTTTAGACAGCTTTCATACATATCTTATTTCACTTTTAAAAAAGAGGAGTGTACATCAGAGCCTATCCCCTTTCTATATAAGAAAATAGACCTTAGGAAAGAAAATTGTGACTTACTCCAAAGAGCATAGTAGTGCACTTAAATTACACAAGAGGTCTGAGTGCTCTGATCTGGTCAATAACACTACTAGAATACACTACTGCTATAGAAACCAGTATTTCTTAGAAGTCAAAGATAAAATTAAGAAGTCATAGCGATTGTTCAATCACACTGGCAAAAACTGGTTGCCAGTTCTGCTTCATGTTGTACAATCACTACGTGAGTCATACACATCTCTTTGTTTCTTAGATTTTACAAATGTAATTTATCTTTTGCCATGAGAAGTTTGTTCTGTTATAAACATCTTCATAACCAGAAATGCAAAAGGGCATATATGACTGCAAATTCATTTTATTGAGTGTTAGCTAGCCACTATCCTTCAGGCCAGTTTGAACTCCACCATCACATTTGAGATAGCTGTTAGAGTTTTTCCTCACTGATATGTATTTATAGAATTTCATGGATACTTACCACATTCCCCAGTAATTTCACTTCCATGTGTCACACAGAATGAAAAATACCATAAATTCAAATGAAATTTTCCTGCCTTGACTGTATCATAATTCAAAATACTAACCTAATTTGGGCAGGGGAGGTTGTGAAGCAAGTGAAATAGCAAAGCAAAAAGAAGAAAAACTTACCAAATCATCCTCCAGTATTAAATTTATAAAGGATTCCTTCAAGATCAGCAAGGAATGTCAAATTCCCCTGGTGTATTATATCAACAGGAGCCAAATGAAAAGGATTTCTTGAAAAATGTGCCATATGCTCTTGACTTTTCAATTGCAATATGGTCAGAGAAATTATAAATAATTTAAATCTTGATATGATTGTAAGACTTTTTATCAGCATGCTCAAGCCAGAAGACTGTTCTTGGGGTGTGAACCACATGGTGAAAGCATTTCATCTAGCATTTTAGCAACCCTCCCTCCTGCTATTAGGGGGTTCCAAATGGACCCGTTAAACTTCCAGGAAAATCCCCTTTTTTGTTAACACCCCTACTGAAATTTCCTGGTGTGTTTATTTAACTTCTCACTAGAGGTTCCAGTGAAGGTAACAATTGGTGAATTTGAATTTTCCTACTTTTCTCCTGTTTGGCACAATACCCAAGGGAGAGGTTTCAATAAAATAGCCTAACTGGCAAATGGGAGAAATCGACAAAGAAGACAAACTTATTTGGACATCCATAATCCCGTATAAAAATGGGTAAAACCTGGGGGAGATCCTGGAAAATAAAGATGTGTTCAGTCTGATAAATATGAATGTGGTAGCCTTTTTCTTCTTGCTCTTATTGCTGCTTTATAATCCTAAACTGTCTTGTATCAGACCAAGTGCTTCTAACTTGAAATTTGTGAGGCAAAGGACAAATCCCTCAAAGCAGTGCAAATGGATACTGCCCATATTGGTGTTGAGTTGTTTGTTCTAGAAATCCTTAGAAGAGCTGTATGAAGCTGATCATCAAACCAAATGGAATGTCTGTGAAGAAGCAAGAGGAAGAACCAAAGGTAAAAAGGAAGTAACCTAAGGGTATTTGTGTTGGGTTTCATTGGGCCTTTGGTAAGCCTGTGGTAGAAGAGGGAGGAGTCACTGTGTTGTCATTTCACCTCACCAGACGGAATCAACTGTCTCCACCGGGATCAGAATCAACTGTCTCCACCGGGAGGGAGTACTTAGTGAAATCCCTTGATCAGGAAGTAGGAGAATTTGGCTAAGAGGGAATGGCAACAGAGTTCATTTTGTATCAATGCCCTGGGCCCACATATTGGTTCTGGTTTTGTGGACATAAAAGCTTAAAAGACTTTGATTAACATCTATCTGTTCTCCTTGACCCTGTCACAATTCTGATTACTCTAAATAAAACACAGCCTTTTTCAATGTGAGAAATTCGATGCAACCACAATATGTGAGTTTTAACCATACCCCTCTTTTTTACAAGTACTTTGCAAATGAGCACGATTGTTCCTGACTTTATCTAATTCACTCTCAAAACACTCATGGAAAATGTAGGGTGTCTGATACTTTATCTTCATTTTATTGGCAAGGAAACAGATTCAGGTTGGTTGTGATTTTGTTCATAAGCACCCCAATCAGTGAAAAAGCTAAAACTAGACTCTAATTCCACATATTCTTAGTTCAGTGTTTTAATTTCTAAACCAGTTTATTCACCATTTTATTGATAAACCCAATTAATAAGAGAATCAGCAGGCATACTTTAAAAGTAATGTTTTGCTTTTCTAATTTTTAAACAGAATTATCCCAAATGAACTCACTGGCACAGTCATTAAGACTGAGAAATACAGTATTAAGTAGCAAGGCAAAAATCATTTGAAATTAAAATATTGTTGCAGAAATTTTTTTAATGAATAAATTATCCTAGCTTGGTTCTTCTAAAGACCCCTTTGTGACCTAATTTAAATAAATGTGGGCTTTTGATTACTTACAAAATTTCCTTCAGAGTTGATCGAATTCTTTGCCGCTTTTTAAATCACTAGATCTATATCCCCATACTAATTTTCCTTAGTTCTTTCATTGCAGAATCTACTTTCTAATATTTATACTTTGTTTTTTGCCTCCTCTGCATTTGAAAACCTTCACCTGACTCATCATTAAATCTATGAATTTATCGGTACTGGAAGTTCTGTCAATGATATCCTAGTGTTTTCAGTGATATCATTGTCATTATGTCTTCCAAATTCAATGAGCAGCCTGGAGATTGTGCTTATTCTTCTTAGGTGCTAAAACCTATTACTAATTTATCTCTTTGATGTCAATTCTGTAGCATAGAGCAATATCAAGATTCACCTCAACCCCAACTCTGTTCTTGTGAAATGAGTGATATATTTATGGTAAAATCCAACCTTATGTTGTCTATCCTTAGGAATGAGACATGTACTACCATTTGGTCAAAGCCAAGACAAGTTTCCCCAGTCTTCAAGGGATGGTTGCTGTAGTGACACCTAGCACTATGTTCTCCTTCTCTTACTTCTCCAATGTAAGTAAATAACATTTTTTTGGCCTTCAAACAGTCTATTCTTTGTCTCCCCACTCCTCCTCACCCCACCCCTCTGCACAGCCCCTCCCCACCCCACCTCCCTTCGCTGTTTGTTTCTTTATTTGTATCAGATTGTAACATGCATATATGTTACTATCATTTGATGACACTCAAGGGGAAAAAAGAAACTGGGGCAGCAAATGACTCATGTTTTTCCAAGCTCTTAGCCAAATTACTTTTTAGTCATCCTAACAAATATGGGAGTTTGGCTATACCATAACACTAATACGTTTTCCAAGCTGCAAGTAGAAGCCCAGAGTCTGCTGCTTTCTTCTTTAATGTCTTGACAAGTCTGATTATAGCTAAGAAAGTGATCACTTGATCACATAACAAGCATGAGAAAAATTCTGCTACAGGCAAGGGTAAAGGAAAGAATTTATTCTTTATTTGCCTTGAAGAATTCAAGTAGCTTTCTTGGGTCTTTAAGATATGAAATGGGTCATGACCTAATTCTTCTGAAATACAGATGAGCTCTGTATTAGATCCCTTATGCTTTTTCTTGTTTTTACTTGAAATTCCAAAAATGAGTGCACAATAATATAGTCAATTCGAACTACAGTATGCTGACACATTGTCTGCTCTAATTAGAAAAAAAGTCTTTTTGACTCTTAAAAATTATGATTAAGCATCATATTGAGAGACTAGCCACCATATTCAATATGATATCTCTCAGCTTTAACTAAATGCCCATTTGTGTTAACATATTTTGAATGATTAATTTATCCTGGTTCATAGTTTCTAATCTATAGAAAACAAAATCTTAACACTAAAGAGCTTGATATGGTGTGGTGAGTTTGAGCTATATAAAAAAAGTACTAACATGTCCTTCCATCAGTGTAGATTATCTTAATGATGTGGGATTTTTTAATGAGCAATCTGTCATAAGTATGTTAGGATACTCTGTATGTTTGGGTTAATTATATTATACTCCTTTATCTGACTCTTAGAATATAAACATGGCATGTTCAGCCCAGTTCAAAAAAAAGAAGCACTTGAGAACTCCCAGAAATGAACAAGATAATGAAGGGTATGTATTTTCCTTTCTGTACTCACATGGTTCATATGAGTATCAGTAGGTCTTGCCAGCCACATTTCCAATGTGTGTATAACCCAAGTACAATTATTAGTCATCACATGGAAGTTTAGAAGTAGCTTTGGGCAATACTAGTGTCCCATGGTAATTAGGCACATCCAAGTATCATGTATTAGTAATGGCAACCTGTCAACCTGCCACTGGACAGCAAGTGTCACCTATAATAATACACCATCACAGGGTTAGGGAAAAAGTAGTATAATTTATTTACTTGCTATGTTTTTATTTATTTATTTATTTATTTATTTATTTATTTATTTATTTATTTATTTAGAGAGTCTTGCTCTGTCACCCAGGCTGGAGTGCAATGACACGATCTTGGCTCACTGCAACCTCCATCTCCCAGGTTGAAGTGATTCTCTTGCCTCAGCCTCCTGAGTAGCTGGGATTACAGGCTCCCGTCACCACACCCAGGTAACTTTTGTATTTTTAGTAGAGACGGTGTTTTGCCATGTTGGCTAGGCTGGTCTCAAACTCCTGACCTCATGTGATCCACCTGCCTCTGCCTCCCAAAGTGCTGGGATTACAGGCGTGAGCCACCACGCCTGGCCACTTGCTATGTTTTAAATCTGCAGACTTTTCATTTCTATTTATCTGCTGTTTGTTCTTTAGTTCTCTGTATGCTGGGTTATAAGTAACCCTCGTATTTCTTAGAAGCAAAGCCTTTTTTTTGTACTTTTTTTTTATTTGTAAGACTAATTTTCAATATTTTGAGACCATGTAAATTACAAATGCCATAGTTGGGAGAATTGGCCCAGTGACTGTTTTACACTTCTAAATTTGTTTTGGTCTATGAGACCTAAATTCATTCTGTTTGTCCAGACTATTATGGCAGAACTCCATAATAAAACTTATTTGGAGAAACAAGGACAGCTCCATCATTGGCCATCTGAATGACAGTAAGAGTGAATGACTTATCTTACCACATTTATCACTATGTACCAAGCAGGCCTGATTTATGTGTAGCAAAACCTTTCATGACAGCAAGGCCTTTGAATATTTTACTATAAAACTATAATGGGCCTAAGTGTAAAAAATAACCTTATCATTTTATTGAGTAATATAAAACAGAGTATCTCAAGATTATGAAAGAATGTACACATTTTAAAACCTAAATTTAAATCTAAATTCAACCTAATTTTAATTTAAACCTAAGTTCAAGGTGAAGGGAGTAAAATATTATCCTTTAAAGATATAAGGTTTTTGCTTTTTTTCTTTTGAGAACCCTGAAAACGTTACCTGATAAATAGTACTAGAGGAATAAAAGACAAGTAGGAAAGGACGTATCCACATATTCTTTCTAGGATTCTGGCTCAGCGACATTATTTATTTTGGGATTCCTAGCAAGGCCACTTTGTGTTCTTGGAGAAATTTAAGTAAAGTCTGCAGAATTAGCCTGTAGGATGAGACAAGGATAGAATGTGCAGATGATTTATATCTCAACATTAAATTTGAGTCTACTTGGAAAATTGGGTAGATCATAAGTTTTGTCCTTTCTTTCGATACTACCTCTTTCTTTCTGAATGACTGGTTCCTGTTACAGTGTCCACAAAAAAAATTATCTAAAATTTAGGAAGTAGAGTATTTATTGCATGCAAGCCCCTTGACTAAATACTGTAGGAAGTTCATTCATTTATTCGGTACTTCCAATGTGCTGGTCTAGGTGCTTAGCACATAATATTGAATAAGACACAATCCCTGTATTCAAGGATACAAAAATCTTACAGTGAGGAAGCAAACAAATAATTAGGCATCATAAAACACGGTAATTATTACCATAAATATGAAAGAAATATACTGTGGAAACAAATGGGTGGGGAACCTAATTCAGCCTGAGACTAAGAAAAATATGTCCTGGTAGAAGTCACAACTAAGCTGAGTTCAAAAAGATAAACAAAAGTAAATTTCACAAAGAGGGAAAGATGAAATGGGAAAATGGAAAACATGTTCTAAGCAGAGGAAAGACATCTACAAAGTCCTGGAAGAGACAGTGGGGCAGACAGGGAAAGACAAGAAGAGTCCAAGAGAAACAATGACAGAAACAGAGAGTGAATAAATATGAATGGTTCCATTCAGAGAATTGAGTGTTCAGTATGGCTTGAGTGTAAGATGGGAACAAGAGATGAAATTGGAGAGTTGAGTAGAGTTGCATGTTAGGGCTTTGTTTTTCAAAATCAAGGAATTTGAATTTATACCAAGGGAAACAAGGACCAATGGAGGCTCTATTTGGAAGTGATATGATTAGATTTGCAAAATTGTTTGGGCTTCAATATGAGATGAGATTGGAGGGATGCCAGACTGGAAGTAGAAGCTGCTGCAGAAATCCTAGAAAAAGATAATCGTGGTTTGTGCTATGGGAGTGGTCTGGAAATGGAGAGATACAGATTCCAAAGATATTCAAAAGGTGGAAAGTACTGGACTGCTCTGTGCTGGATGTATGTCGGTAGTGAGGAAGGGGGGTTAATTAAGGATGATATCCTGGTTTCTGACTGGGAAGGTTAGGTGCATGGTGGTGCCATTTACTCACATCAAAAAACACAAGGGGAAACATAGATTTAAGGAGTAGAAAGGTGATGAACATGCTGAACCTGTTGAGTGTGAAATACCAGTATCACATTCAAGTAAAGATATCTAGTAGGAAATTAGAGATACCAGGTTAATATCAGGAGAAAGATCTGGGCTTAGATCACACACACACACACACACACACACACACACACACACACACATAAATGCATATACAGTCATGTGTTGCTTAACGACAGGGATGTTGTTAGGCAATTTCAGTGTAAACAGTACAGAGTATGTATGTAGTTCTCATGCAAACCTAGATACTATAACCTACTGCTCCTAGGCTACAAAATTGTACAAAATAGTGGTCCTAGAGATGCCTATATAAATAAAAGAGATTGTCTAAAAGCTGTGTGGGGATATAGGGTTGTTCTATAACTGTATAACCTGCCTCTTAGTGAGAACTTAAGCATTACTATATGGAATACAGTGGTCAATTGTGATACAGATCACTAGGCAATAGGAATTTTTCAGCTCTATTATAATCTTATGAGACCACCATCCTATATGTGGTCTGTTGTTGACTAAAATGCTGTTATACAAGGTATGACTATATATACATATGTATATTTATGGTAATTGAAGCTACAGATTTGAGGAGATCAACTAGGGAGAGTACACCAAAATAGAAAACGTTAAAGTCAAACTCATGGCGTTTGTAAAGTATAAGAAAAGTTATACCAAGGAATTCCTTCAGTAGAAGGAATAAGATTCATATGAAAATTAGTATAAAGAAAAGCTGTCACCGAGGGTCAAAATATAGGTACTGGCAGTATGAGGTGGCTCACAACTGTAATCCTAGCACTTTAGGAGGCCAAGGTGGGAGGATCACTTGAGGCCAGGAGTTCAAGACCAGCCTGGGCAACAAAGCGAGAACCCATCTCTACAAACAATTTTAAAAATTAGCCAGGTGCAGTGGTGCTCACCTGTAGTCCTAGCTACAGCAGAGGCTGAGGCAGGAGAATCGCTTTCATCTGGGAATTTGAGGCTACAGTGAGCTAAGATTGTGCCACTGCACTCCAGTCTGGGAGACAGAGTGGTACCCCATCTCTAAAAAAAACAACAAAAACAAACAAAAAAACCAGAGGTACAAGTTACCTGGGACTCCTAGTAGGAGAAGGTTTGGGTGGTAAAGAATAGACTCATGGAAACAGGGGTATTGAAGAGAGATTCTAAAATTGTACTGGGAAGTTTTCAGAAAGACAACTAAAGACTTAGGTGGAAATCAGGGTACAGAGTAATTTTAAGAGAACTGTACCTCAATTTTCAGTTCCTTTTAGTATGAATGTGTATTAGAAACAGAAACAAAGACCAGAACCAGAGAGCCCAAACTTCCGCTGAGCACAGCTTTGTCCAGAGAGTCCCTGAATACCTCAGCAGGGGTCTGAGGAATCTAGGCATATGTCTTTTCTGTCATAAATGTTCAGACAGTTTCTTGTTTTTTTTTTTGTGAGGTATAGGGTAAAGTAATACTTAAAGTTATTCTCTTTATAAATGTGGCATATACAAATGTAAAAAGTAGGGATATATTTCCACTTACCTGTTTGAATGTGTCATGTATTATCATCTCCTTTTGAGCTGGAGGTTATCAGAGAGCATCTCAATTTATAGAAATGGAATCTGAGGCCTTCAGCATGAATCTTTGGGTGAATTTATTTATACAAGCCTGTTTTCTTAACAACTAGTTGGTCACATGGCTAGAAACTAGGGTTTCGTCATAGTCCATGATGCTCAAGGTCACACTGAGAGGCAGGATGTACAGTTATAGAACAACCCTATATCCCCACACAGCTTTTAGACAATGTCTTTTACTTACACAGGCTTCTCTAGGACCACTTTTTAACCACAATCTATTACTGATCTTCTGGTAAACTGCATTCCTTTTAGCAAAATTAACTAAGTTTTCCCATCTATTATCATACAGGTCTTCAGTTACCCTCACATTTGTAAATTAACTGGGTGTATAAATATATGATACCCAAGTAAATCTTTATTTTTTTCACAGCCTACATAAGGAAGACATCTTGCAAATATGATATAAAAAGAGCCTTTATATCAAATTATAATATATTAATATGTCATTACAAATTAATAATCCTGAGAATATTTTCTATATATCCTATAATAAAATATTTCAAAATATTTTACATGTCTATATAAGAATTTATAAGAGTTCATTATGGGTGACAACATTTCACATGAGAGAAAATTTATGACAAGATTTCTAAGTAAAACTAAACCCACTCATGGGTTTATAATTATTATTATTTATAGCAGTACTGTACAGTAGAAATATAATGTGTACCACAAATACAAGCTGCATGTGTAATTAATTTTTCTAGTGGCCATTTTAAAAATATTTAAAACATACAAAATTAATTTTAACATATTTAATTTAATCCAATATATCTAAAATATCATTTCAACATGTATGCATGTAAAAACTTATTAGTGATATACTTTACCTTCTTTGTTTTTTATACTAGGTCTTTGAAACCCAGTGTGTATTTTACATTTATAGCATATCTCAATTTGGGCTACATTTCAAGGGCTCAAAAGCAGATCTATGGTCTATCCTAATAATTACATTGAACTATATAAATACTCCTGCTTTATAACAATAACCACAGCTACCTTTTATTGCCTTGTTATGTGGTAGTCACTATAATAATTTCCATGTTTTTCTTATTTCATCTTCAAAGCTATGATGGAAATTCCATTGTCACCCATATTTTCTAGATGGAATAACAAGAGACTTCAAAGGGTTTAACGGCCTTGCCTAAAGCTGTGGAGTTAACAAGTGATGGACCAGGGATTCAAATACAAAGATTTATATGTACATTGAAATAAGGTATATAAATTATTTATATTATAAATTATTATAATATATAATTATAAAATATCATTTAAATTATTATTTTTTATGTTTTTATATGATTTCATATTTATAATTTTTCAGTAAAGATAGCCAATTCAGTTGTAGGAGAAAGTAAGTTTGTGTTAAAGTGATTTGATAGTTGGAAAAGTTAGACCACTGCCCCACTGAACTTGTGGAACAGTAAGAGAATTTATAAATACTAAAATAAGAAAAATAAACAAAAGAAATTATGTTGCAGAGATAATGATTTTGAATAAAGTAGCTATAGGGCCTTATTTCCTTGCCAAATAAAACCAAAAAAAATGAATAGAGGTGGGAAGAATAATAGTATGTCCTGGATGCATTTCAATGAGATGATATAGAAGACAATTAATATGTGATGCAACGCACTAAGTTGTTGAACCTCTACATTATTAAGTGTATGGAAAGAAAATCAGTAACAAGTGTTTGGAAAACTAGAGAATTGATTTTGGTCTGAATTTTCTAAAATAGGAAGTTAGGAATTTGAGAGCTAAGATATTCGGCACAAGATATGATGTCTGAAGAACTCAGATGAAAATTAGCCAATCTAATTTGGATAAAACTAAAGATGAATGTGATGGTCAGTGGTATGGAGTTGGAGGTCCAGGAAAATAATTAACAAAAAGATGTTCTGTCCTTCTCATGATTCTATGGGGTTTCTCTACTCTTCACTATAACATCACAATGGCTTGTTCTTGCTTCAAGTATGCCTATTTTTTATTTGAATCAGCTCCTTCAATCTCACTGGCCTTGAAGTCTGCAAATTAGATCCCTTTTTCCAAACACTAAGCCATATTTTCCCTACCATTCAAGATACACTTGGAATCGATCTACTCCAGGAAGTCTCTCCAAACCACGTATGGGAAATATGATATCTTATATGGAGGAAAACAATGGCATGGATAATTCATACAAATGTTCTCATTCCATGGGTTAAGTATTGCCATAAGATAAACCAATATCCTTGGGTCTGGTTTGCTTTACCATCACTTTCCCACCTCAGCTTCCACATACCTCTGCTTCAGACCATATAATCCTTATTGCGCCAGTTTGTATCCTTTTTTCTGAGCATTCTGGCCTCTGCCTCTCTTGTTTGCTGTTTACCTAGGAGTCTACTTTTTAAAATCCAGCGAAAGCAATATTAATATTCACAAGCAGGTGGCAAGTAAAAAGAATTGATTGGGGCCAGGAAGTCTTTACTTCCTAGAAGAGGTTTCATCTTACTATCTGATTCAAAGAGATGTAATGGAGTTGAAAGAGAGCATGAGCTTTGACATACACAGAGCAAGGAGGTCCCAAGAGTTATTTGCTTTGTTAATATTACTTAAGCTGTTTAATCTTTCCAGCCTCAGTTTCCTCATCTAGAGTGATATCAAGGATAACTATATGGCACAGCTATTTTATTTATTCATGTATTTATCAATTAATTTGGGAATGGAAATAGCATGTGTCATTTAAATATTGAAAACAAGATATAAAAATACAAATGATTTCTTGTCTTCAAGAGATATGTAATAGATATGTAATGGGAAATAAAAAAATCAGATGTTAGAGTATTTTAAAGTGGTATGTTGGCAGTAAGTGCAGGAACATTGGAGTCGGAAAAAGGGAAATTACACATTTTACTTTGGGGGATAGAGAAATCATTCAGGAAAATCAAGCAGTATTAAGCATTGACACTTGAGCTACAGTGGAGGAAGGATGTAATTATTTTAGATATTTCTTAATATATTCATTCACTCATTTCTTTATTCCTTCAGCAAATATTTATTGTGTGCCCAGTACATGGTAGTGAAAGTAGGGATGAATACAAAAGAGATGGTTGTTTCTAAGACATGCGTATTTCTTCTGTTATCACAGTGCTTATAGTCAATGTGAAAGAGAGGCAGCTATGTTAAGAGAAGTGCTCTTAATAGATCTCCATTTAACTGACTTGGCAAATTAACCAATATTATCAATTTCCTTTGCAAAACACTCTGATTAATATTCAGGGCTCAGTGAAAGCTCACAGCCAGTAGATGACGCTCCAGTAAGCCTACACATTTTTCTCATTGGTGCCGTTGCATGCTTGCCAAGAATTAGTTGTGTTTATTCCCAAACCATTGCCAGTTGACTTCGTATTATAACCATGTAATAAAAATAACATTGCTTCCATAATTCAATGAAATAGAGTATAAAATGAGAGAGTTGCTTCTTTGAAAATTAACTTGAATTTTTTGGAAAGACTCAATAAAGGAGAATTGCTAAAAACTTTCCTATGAAATTAGGTGGAGGAAATACAATGAGCAAAGACTCAGAAAAAAAAAACACTTAATAATCCAGAAAGTTCATATTTAGATTGGCTTGCAAATGTGTTTTTTTAGTTTAAAGATAGTGAAATTAGAAATTATGGATGGTACACTATAGTAAAGAAAGATTGTATGGATCTTCAGTCAATGGACCTGTTTCCAAATTAAAGGCTATATCCTTAAATTAAAAAATAGGGGAATGAATGTATAACTGTATTATATTAAAATAAATGTTTAAGAAATGTAAATATCTTATGCTTCTTAGATTTGAGTCTATTTTAATATTAGCAATCATATGAGATAAGAGGGCTTCTAGTAAAGAAATATATGTTATGGTATGGAAAGTATTAAGACCTTGGAAATCTACAGTGGAGTATACGATCAATCCTAGAGAATAGGAACTCTGAAATAGATTGAGCCAGGCATAGAAAAAGGGGTAGGGACAAGAGAGCATTCAATGTGAGCAAAACAGAGACAAAAAGAGACACAAGAGGCCAGGCGCGGTGGCTCACGCTGTAATCCCAGCACTTTGGGAGGCCGAGGCGGGCAGATCACGAGGTCAGGAAATCGAGACCATCCTGGCTAACACGGTGAAGCCTCGACTCTACTAAAAATACAAAAAAATTAGCCGGGCGTCGTGGCTCATGCCTGTAGCCCCAGCTACTCGGGAGGCTGAAGCAGGAGAATGGCGTGAACCTGGGAGGCGGAGCTTGCAGTGAGCCGAGATTGCGCCACTGCACTCCAGCCTGGGCAACAGAGCAAGACGCCATCTCAAAAAGAAAAAAAAAAAAAAGAGAGAGACACAAGAGGTCCAGATACAAGCTGGACCATATAGTGTGAAAGTACACATGGTACATCATCTGGGCTGGTAGTGGGGGCCAGAACTAGATCTTAGAAAGCCTTAAAAGTGATAATCAAAGTTCAAGATAATTGAACTTTATCTTGAAGGGTTTTAAGTTAGGGGGTTAAATTATCAGATTTGAAGAAAAATAGATGAGCCTAGAGCAGGATGGGTTCATGTGGGACAACATTGGAGCCAAGTGATTAATTAATTTAGGTAAGAGATGATGGCAGTCTGGGGTAAGATGGCTGCAATGGATTGTCATTATGTGATGAATTTTAGAGATATTTGTGAGATATAATCAACAAGATATGGTAACTAGTTGTAGGGGTCAAAAATAGTGGGAGAGGTCAAATATATCTCCTCAATTCTCACTGAAGAAATTGGGTGAGTGGTGTCATTTATACAGGTGTGCAACTTTAATGAAAAAGAGGTTGACTAGGGAGGGTTGGAGGATGAGGAATTCCCTTCTGAAAACACTATGTTTATATCATGCACAAGACCCTTAAGTTGGAAAGTCTTATGAGCAATTGTATATATAGGGTTCAGGAAAGAGGTAAGCTTAGAAATAGAGGATTATTTGGCACTTGCACATAGATAGTAATTGGAACCGTAAAGAGTAGTGTGGATTTCCCAAAGAGAGTTTGTAGAACGTAAAGAGAATTGAAGAAAAGAAAACTGCTCAGGAAAGAGTCCTGGGGGCAGAATATTGAACTATAAATAGAAGAAAAATCGCCAGAAAAGGAGATTAATAAAGGAGAAGCCAAAGAATTAGGAGGAAAGGAAGTGCTCAACGTGTTCATTGCTACTAAGTGAAAAATGCCCAATGGATTTAGGAGTATATAGGTCGTGGGTGCCCATATTTGAGGGTACATTCAGGGGAGGGTCTGGAGCTTAAGGCAGACTCTTGTGGAGTGAGGAGAGACAGGAAAGGGAGAAATGGGAGGTGGAAAATACCATTATTTTGTTGTTTCAAGAGACGTATGTCTGGTGGAGTATATAAAAAGGAAAGCCTGAAAAAGCTGAAAAGGATAGGTCTAAAAGATCTTGAACGCCAAGCTAATGGGAGTTGTATTTTGTCTCATAGAAAATTCAGGGCACAGGGTAAAGTCTATATAATAGAAACCACTTACTATGACAATAGTGTAGGGAATGGAATTAGTGTGGGGTGAGAGGGTTAGTAAAGGAAGTTAGCTAAGGCAAAGCTCGCTCACCCATGGTATACTGGCACACAGGTATGCTGCAAGCAGTTTGCTACTAGAAATGCAGTACTCACATTTGCACAAGACAAAAAAACTGGAGTGGATTCAAGTTTCCCTCTTTGCTAATTCTACTCTTACTTTTTTCCCCAGTATATTTTAGTATATTTCCTATTGGAATGAGAAACAAGGGGGTGGAGTTATAGCCTAAACTTCTAGAATTGTACTTAACATGGAGTATGCCTGACGGAGCATCATGCATGTGAACTTCATCCATTCTGTATGTTGACATCAGGAATAAAAAAGAGGTTGAGAACCACTGAATTAGAGAAAATTGCAACCCTTAAAGCAGAGATGACAAGATCTTAATTAGGCATTATCAGCAGGGAAAGTAAAGAGAGAAAGATTATTGGAGTGAGGTTACAGAGTTAGAAACAATAGGACTCAGAAGCTGATTGGATGTGAGAGGTGAAACATCACTGCCAAAATAGCAATACTCTTTATTGAATGCTTTTAATATGTCAAGCACTCCCAAAAGAACATACACAGTATAACATACATCATCCCATTTCAATTTCCCAACAGTGTTGCAAAGTAGGTATTTTTATTCTGATTTTATAGATAACAAAAATAAAGTTTAGAGAGTTTGAGCAACTTTCTCAAGGCCATCCAGATTTTAAGTGGCATACCTTGGGTTCAAACCCAGGGTTGTTAGATTCAAAACCTTTGTTATCATCATTACTCAAATCTAAAATGACTCTCTTATTAGGTGTCTGGCTGTATGATGGTAAAATCAAATTCAGATGATAAATCCAGATGAAGATCAGGTGTAGGAGAAAAGTGGCCAGTTCAATTTTAAACATATTCGGTTTTTGAAAGCCTGGAGAATATCCCTGGTGAAGACGTCTAATAGACAGTTACATATATAAGTCTAGAGTTAACGGAGATGTCTGGAAGGGGATAAAGATTTATGAGGCATTAGCATTTAAATTGTGGTGAAAGTCATGGGAATGGATGAGATTTCCCAGGGAGATTGCAACATGAGGCGAGGATAAAGTGGAGAGCGAAGAAACACCAAAATGTAAAAGGAGGTCAGAGGGAAGTATCAGCGAGGGAGTCAGGGGAGGAATGTTAATACAAGTTAGAGGGAAGTAGCCAAGGGCGATATCACACTGAAGCAGTAAAGAACAGCAAGAGAAAGGAGTGATCAGTCATCCCATGCTATGGAGTGGTCATGAAAGATGAAGACTGAAAAAATTTCAGTAGATTCAGAGAATTGTGAGTGAGAAATACAAGTTGAAACAGTGTGAGATTTAATTTTAATAATGCACAGTATCATCTAAGGTCTGTCAATCTAAGGTGCATTTTCATTCTAAGTGTTTTTCTAAGGAAACAATAAGAAATTAAGACATTCATTGCAGCATTGTTTCTGATAGCAACCATATCACAGTAGTTAAGGGCACCTACTCTAGAGCCAGCCTGAGTTGAAACCTCAGTTCTGCTACTTATTAGCTCTGTGAACTTGGGCAAGTTACTTTTCTGTGCCTTAGTTCCTTTATCTGTAAAATAGGGACAGTAAGAGGATTACTACTATTAATAAGGTTGTTGCAGCCTGGTTGGTTTTTTATTGTTACATAATAAAAAATCAGGGCAATTGGGGTAGCCATCACCTCAAACGCTAATTATTTCTTTGTGTTTGGAACATTCCAAATCTTCTCTTCTAGCTATTTTGAAATATACAATAAATTATTGTTAATTATATATAGCCTATTGTGCTATCAAACACTAGAACTTAATGCTTCTATCTAACTGTATCTTTGTACCCATTAACCAACCTCTCTTCATCCCCCACTCAGTTGTTCCCAGCCTCTAGGAACTATGAATCTACTCTCTACCTCCCTGAGATAAACCTTCTTAGCTCCCACATATGAGTGAAAACATGCAATATTTGTCTTTCTGTGCCTGGCTTATTTCACTTAACATAATGACTTCCAGTACCATCCATGTTGCTTCAAATGATATGACATTTTTACAGCCAAATAGTATTTCATTGTGTCTATATAAAACATATTTTGTTTATTCATTCATCTATTGATAGACACTAAGTTTGGTGCCATATATTGGCTATTGTGAATAGTGCCACAATAAACATGGAGGTGCAGCTATTTCTCTGATATACTGATTTCCTTTCTTTTGGAGAATACCCAGTAGTGGAGTTTCTGGATTGTATGGCAGTTCTATTTTTAGTTTTCTTAAGGAACCTCCATACTATTCTTCATAATGGCTGTACTAATTGACATTCCGACCAACAGTGTTCAAGAGCTTCCTTTTCTGCACATCCCCACCAGCATTTGTTGTGCAATCTGTTAGCCTACAATACTTATTTGTCCTGATTGGTTTTTACAGTAATTAAATGTGTAAATACCATAAAGTGTTCATTACAGTGCCTAGAACCTAGTAAGAGTGAATTCTTTGTTAAATGAATAGAGATAAAAGTAATCAAAATGCTCAATGGTGAGGTTGATTAAAATAAATTACATATCCATGCACTGGGATATAATGCAACTGTGAAAAATTATGTAGTTAACTATTTAACAATATGGAAAGATACCAATGGACTATTAATTAGAAAAAAGTTATAAATCATATGAGTAGAATGATTCCATATGTGAATAAACAATATGTACCTATGTGTTAGATATGTATGATGATTTTTAGAAAGAGTTGTACCAAGATGCTTATATGTATAGACGGTTGGATTATGAGTTTTTTAATTTTAAATTTTTACACATTTAAAAATTACATAGAAAAGATTATTTTTATGATAAACATTTTTTAACATCCTGGAGGTCAGGATATTGAATAGCAAGTGATAATTATTCTTTGGCAAAACTTTTCTGTGGAAGAAAGTGGACTGAAAGCATAGGAGCTACAGCATATTTATAACCAATGGAGTAGCACACTGTGTAAAATGCTGTGCAGAGTCCTGCTACCTGGGAGGCTTCTAATAAACGGGGGTTGCTATTATTATTATTATTACCACTAAAATGCCTTCAGGTCTCGTAGACTTTCAGCACCAGCACAACTCTACTGAGTAGCCAAGGAGCGGGAAATAAGAGAAGAAACTTTAAAAAAGGAGAGCGTTCTAGAAAGAGAATTCTTCTTGAGAACATTCTGGACAGTGCTCCTGGACAGTGTGCTGGTGCTGAAAGTCTATGAGAACTGAAGACATTTTAATGACAATAATAATAATAGCAACCCTCGTTTATCAGAAGCTTCCCAGGTAGCAGGACTCTGTACAGCATTTGACATGTCCTGCTTCTCGATTGGTTATAAATGAGCTGTAGCTTCTATGCTTTCAGTCCATTTCCTTTCACAGACAAGTTTTACCAAAGAATAATTATCACTTGCTATTTCTATATCCTCACCTTTAGGATGTTAAAAAAAATTATCATAAAAACAATCTTTTCTATATATATGTGTGTGTGTGTGTGTGTGTGTGTGTGTGTGTGTGTGTATGTGTATATATATATATTTTTTAAATGTGTGAAAGTTTTAAAGTAAAATTTAAAAAAAACTCATAATCCAGCTGGCTGTGGTGGCTCATGCCTGTAATCCCAGCACTTCAGGAGGCTGAGGTGAGTGGATCACTTGAGGTCAGGAGTTTGAGACCAGCCTGGCCAACATGGCAAAAACCCATCTCAACTAAAAATACAGAAATTAGCCGGGCATGGTGGCGGGGGCCTGTAATCCCAGCTACTCAGGAGGCTGAGGCTGAGGAGAATCACTTGAACCCAGGAGGCGGAGGTTGCAATGAGCCTAGATCATGCCACTGCACTCCAGACTGGGCAATAGAGTGAGAGTCTGTCTCAAAAAAAAAAAAAAAAAGAAAAAAAATCCCCTCATAATCCAACCATTTACATATAAGCATATTGGTATGTATCTTTCTAAAAATTATCATACATATCTAATACATAGGTACATATTGTTTATTCACATATGGAATCATTCTACTCATATGATTTATAACTTTTTTCTAATTAATAATCTGTCATTGTCTTTCCATGTTATTAAATAGTTAACTACATAATTTTCACAGTTGCATAGTATCCCAGTGCATGGATATATAATTTATTTTAATCAATCTCACCAATGAGCATTTTGATTATTCTTATCTGTATTCATTTAACAAACACTCAATTCACTCTTCCTATGTGCCAGGCACTGTAATGAACACATTCTAGACATTGCTCCTGGAGGTCAGGCCAGGTCCAGAGCTAATTATATATAGGGACTGCCTCAGGACCACAGAGAAGATAAGACTCAAGGTACCAGACAATCTATACAGTGGCCAAGATAATAAGAAAAAATATATTGTTTCAAGATGCTTTCTTCCCACCTGTTATTTTTACAAATTTGTTTTGGTATCTAATCATTTGGGCTAAAAATGCCCTGGTTTATTTCTCATAGAGGCTATAAACCCCTAAAGGTTTATGAACTATATTAATCCTATAATGCTTCCTCCTCTGCTAATCATCTTGTGTATTCAACAAACTCTACTTGAACAACTAAGGTCATGAGCAACATAAACCTACCATGATTAAGAATCATTTCAAATAGCTACAAATAATTTTATAGGCTTATTTTTTTAAAAAGATAACCCGTTTCATTTTGAAATTCTGATTTCTTGGTTCTATTATGGACTAAAATTCTAAGGGTAAAAGCAAATAAAATCCCAGGGAAACCTGCTGTTTTTACAGTCATGGCCATAATCAGAACAAATTTTGGTGAACTTAGGACTTTACAAATTTTAATAATTATATTGTAAAACATAATTCTAAATCAGTTGTATCATCAAATCAGAGCAGTAAGAAAGTGGAAGCTGCTATAATTGTAATGTATTTTTAAAAACTTGAAATGAAAACACAACTTTAAAAAGCAAGTCAGAGTATATCGTGCATATGCTTCAGAATAAAGATAAACACACCATTTAAAGAGCTGCTTAAATTAAAATGTCATTTCTTTCAAGTTCTCTGTTAATAGCCCATCCAGTTAGCTATTGTCCTGAAATTTTAGACTTAGGCAATTAGCCTGTTCAGGTCACCTAAACTTTCTAGATATTTAAGTCTCCATATTTGAAAGAAACACAGCCATGTTATCTAAATAGACAAGTCTAGCAATTTCAAAGTTCAGGTAGACATAGAACATAGAAGAGGGAATTATCACTACATTAGTGGTTTGCCACTACTCCATAACTCAGCCCCTGACTTCCCTGTCCCCTTCCTTCAGCCCCGACACCCCTCCACCCCATCCTAGTCTATAGACAAACAAGCTCTCCAATCTAATTCTTATCAAGATAGAAACAAGGCCAGACCTGCTCTTCTAGATAAAATGCCTTGGCTTCTAACTGCCTGGCTGCTTATCTTTCATCTTGCAGTGTTAACCATAACCCCTTTCCTGACCTGCTCTACTTCTTGTTTTCAGATGAGCAGTAAGGACTGGGGGAAAAACATGCTTAAATGAACAAGTTCACTCTCTCACATCCCTCTCCATTCCCTTTAAAGTCAATTCAAAATATCTTTCCAAAATTATCAGAAATCACATTGTGTGCATTACATGTAACTCGGTATATTTCTAAATCTCTCTTTTCCAACTTTTACTCTTTCTACGCTATACTGCCACATATATCTTTTCCTAAAAATTAAAAATGTTATGTTTTTTTTTTTTGGTTGTGGGATTAGGTTTTCTGAGGAATGGTAGGTTTTGTAAGGGTTTTTTTTTTTCCCCTCCTTTTATTTTTTCTCATTTGTTTGCCTAGATCTGAATAAGCTGAATCATCTTCTCACCTAAGCTGTTTGGTTTGGATACCCGAATTTTTTTGCTTTCATCCAAACAAAGTATTGCACTTGTCTTTCCTGAGCAGGTGAAAGTTAATGCAATATAGACCTTGAGCAGTCAGGCAATGTAACTGCTATGTTTGGACTAGCTTGCTGTGTGAGGTTAGCCTTCCTTGACCCTTGTTCCTTATACATGAAGTGGGAAAAAGAAAAATAAGCTAGGTTCCTTCTGTATGTGAGAATCCTAGGAAACTCTATTGTCCTATATTTTGAAGCAGCTATTAAGTTGAATGGTGTGAGATTACACAGGGTGCTTGCTGGTGTTGTAAACACCACGATCTGGTTTATGACACCTTTATCCCACAAACACTCTTGCACTTGAACCTGCATGTCCTTGAAAATATGGGAGTCTTTTCAAAAGAGTTTGAGCTTCTTGTAAGAAAACCATTCTACTAATATAAGGTGTAACTTTTACTTTTTAGCATTTAAAACTAAGTCTACATTACACATCAGAAAATGATCTGATAGATACCCTGTTTTGATTCGGGTCTTCCATTTTATTTTCTTAGCCTAAAAAAGATCGAATCCAGAATTATACGGCTTCTTTTCATTTTTCATTTTCTTCTTGCAAATTAGATTTCTAATTGACCCTTAGAGACCAATTGCTTAACTGTCAAAATATTATCAATATTGGGAAAATAGTGTCACTGAATTTAATTTATAAATACATATGACATGCTTAACTGTGTATGAGGGATTTCCTTAGATACTAATGGGTGAAAAATAAATACCTGCCTTTAAAGAAATGAGTTCTTTGCCAGAATAATGAACTGTGTAATATTTTACCGTTAACATTGACATTCTCATAATATTAATGATTCCATTTTAAGGATACTACATTCTCAAAAAGCAGAACATACATTTCTTAGTTTTATGTCACCCAGTGTCCATAAACAAGGTTCTAAAGTTTATTTTATTATCAAAACAATTGATCTTCAAATATTACTTTCCTTAAAGGAGATTTATATTTAAAAGCAAATATGATGTTTCATTTCTTATCTTTTCTCCAAAAGATCATAGGCAAGTAAATCTTTAAAGCTTGTTTCGTTTGTGATAAATGCATCTTTCCCGTGACTCTGTTAGGGCTGGGAACTCACAGGGGTAATTGAACTTGTTGCACTTGTAGTTGAAGGAGGGGGATTTCTAATAATCTGTCATTTCTGAAAATTCTTAGTTGCCTATGGTCACAGGAATTTGTCCCCATTTTTATAGGACACTATTAAAACTGGTCTACTTGTGTTAGAGACATGGAGGGAATTCATTTTCACTGGATCTTGTCTTGGTTAGGTATTTAGGTACTGTTTGTTTGGTTTGTTAGGTTTGTCTTTAACCTATAGTAGATCCTTATATGACTATAAAGCAAGGGTTAGGTTTAAATAAATAAAATTATTCAGTGTCAAATGATGGAGTATCTTTCAAGTTCAGTGAAAATGTGGAAAGTACAGTTTAAATTACAGCAGTGGGATTGGGAAACAAATTATATGATAGTACATAGATTTTATAGCCTTTCTAAAAAGGCTTTAAATAAATGTTATTTAAAATTCTCTTCTACTTAGAAAATGTTAAAACTAGTCAGATTAATGTGCAAATGAGAGTGAAAGAAAAAATCACAGACTAGAGCAAATTACAAAGAGGGAGGGAGGAGTAAACCTAACTAGAATGGAAAACTTTCGGGCTGACTTGAGCATAATTTGCTTTAGGAAGATAAATCTAAGGATTGCCTTGGGTCTGGGAAAGGAAAGTCAGGAAGTGTCTGGAAGTAGGAAGGCCAATTGGGCTTTCAGTCAGCCATTCACACATGAGAAAATGGTAGTACGAATTTAGTAACAGTGACAATGGGAGAATGGAGAAAACATACATGAAACATGTTTTGAATGAAAAATAAAAGGCCAGGATATAGTGATGTATTGGATCAGAAAAAGAAAGAAAGAGCTAAATCAAAGATGAGGTTTCAAGTCTGGGCGACAGAAAAACGGTGGTGGGGCTGACATCATGAAGTTAGGAGGGAAAGTTGATGGGAAGTGTCAGAAGAGAATTATATAAAAGTTCAGGGGTTGAAGAAATGAGATTTCTGATAGCTGTCTGTAAATTAGTGGAGCCACAGGCCTGGAACTCAAAGGAGAAGCTGGGGCTAGCAGTTCTGCTTTTTTTTTTTTTTTACAGCCTTTATCATAAAATTGTTTATGAAAATTGTAGGAGTTTCCAGAGTTCACTAAGGCCAGTCATGTTTATAGAGAAAAGCTCAAGTCAACAATAGTACCTACAGTAATAACCACAGTTGGGGGATTTATAAAGGAAGGGAAAGGAAAGGAAAGTTGGAGGGCTACCACAGCTTAATTTCAAGACTTATTGGAAAGCTACAGTCATGAAGACAGCATGATATCGGTGTAATATCACCTATATTACACCTATATTGCAACTGATTTTTGACAGAGTTGCAAGGGCAATTCAATGGAGAAAGGACAGTCTTTTCAACAAAGGATGCTGGAATAATTGGATATACATATGTCATAAAATGAATGCTGATTCATATCTCATACCATGTATAAAAATTAACTATTAATGGTTCACAGACCTAACTACAAAACCTAAAACTAAAATTTCTAAAAGGAAACATAATTTTTTACTCTTGAATTAGGTAGAAATTTCTTAGATATAACACCAAGAACATGATCAAAGAAGAAAATAAGTAAGATTTCATCAAAATTAAAAACATTTTTCTGAAAGATATTGTTAAGAAGAAAGTCAAAAACTGGAAGAAAAATATTTGAAAATCATATTTCTGATAAAGGGACTTGCCTCCAGAATAAATAAAGTACTTTCAAACTCAGTGTAAGAAAACAAATAATCCAATTAAAAAAAAACTGGCAAAAACTTTGAAGACACTTTGCCAGGGAAGTAATATACATGACAAATTAACACATGAAAAGATGGTCAACATCACGAGTTATTAGAGAAATACAAATTAAAACCACAGTGAGATATCACTACACATATATTAGAATGGCTAAACTTAAAATACTGACCATACAAAGCATTAGTAAGGATATGAAGAAACTGAAACTCTCATACATTTGCTGGTGGGAATGTAAAATGTACACCACTTTGGAAATGTTTGTCAATTTTTTAAAAGATATACTACCATATGATCTATGCATTCCACCCAATAGAAATGAAAGCATTTGTTCAATAGAAAATTTGCACACAAATGTTCATAGAAACTTTATATGCAATAACCCTAAACTGGAAATAACATAAATTTCCATTAAGAGGTAGACAGAATTGAAAGCCTGGACAAATTGTATAGGATATAATGAATTCAAATTCAGCAATAAAAGGAAGAAACTATTGATACAGGAAATAGCATGATGAATCCCCAAATTATTATGCTGAGTGAAAAAACCGAGACCAAAGAAGAGTGAATACTGTGTCACTTCATTTACAAAACTTCTAGAAAATGAAAACTAATCTATAGTGACAAACCAGATTAATGATTGCTTAGGGATGAAAGCAGGGGATTGGGGAGAGGGAGGAGAGAGTGATTACAAGGAGTCATGAGGAAACCTTTGGGGGTGATGGATATGTTCCCTATCTTGACTGTAGTCATGGTTTCATGGGTGTGTAAATATATCAAAACACCAAATTGTATACTTTAAGTACATTCGATTTATTATATGTTAACTACTTCTCAATAAATCTGTTAAAAAATTAAACACATTAAACCACCCCTCAAGAGAATCCCTAAAATAAAAATTTAAAGAGGGGGAAAAAAGGAAGGGAAGCTACTGAAAGTTGTAAGAAGAGACAAAAAGTTACCAATAATGAAGCCAGTGTTTCAAGGAGTGTGCAGTTAAAATAACATGACACACAGATATCAAAACTGGCAACTGAGAGAAGTCCAAGGTCCTTGGCAAAGAGAAAGCCACTGACCATCCGTGGAAGTGTAGTAGGGTGACAGCCAGAATGTCAGAGGCTGAAGGGAAGCTATGTGAAACAGAGAGGATGGCAGTGAGCTTAGACCACTTGTTTAAGCAGCTCAGAAATGAAAATGAGAGAAGTAAGACAGTAGCTAGAGGGGACAGACAAGTAAACTAAAGCTTTTTGGTGAAGTTTGAAAGCATAAAAAAAGTAAAAGAGGAATGAAAAAGAAACTGAAGATTCCAGAGATGAAGGTAAAACATGTAGGAACAAGATTCTTGAGGAATTGGAAGTGATGGGATCTAAGGCACAGGTGCCAGAGTGAGCCTTGGAAAGGAGAAATCTGTAATTGTTAACTCCTGACAGTCCTCCCAAAAGGAAGCCTTACAGAGCCCTTGCATGGATTATTTTAAACACTGAGACAAAAATAATAATAATTTTTTTGACGGCAGACTTCATGGAAAACCTGGATAATCCGACATTCTGACATTTCTTAAAACTGATCTCTGACAAAAGAACACATATTAATCATCACGTCTAACCCCCCAAATGTGATTTTTCCCTGCTGTAATCTGCTGACCACAGACCATAGGTCTTTGTCCCAAGCCCAGTGCACAATAGCACTTCTGCTTTGCTGATTGCAGTTTCTTGCTGTTTCAGGAAGATTACTCTGAGTCAGACATTTCACAAGGAAAAGAGGGCAGGAGAAGAGTCAGGGATAAGCTGTGGGTTTATGTGTACAAGGTAATGAGAGACATCTCCATGGAGAAACAAAACAACCATAACTGGAAGGCACTGCTAAGGCTTACAAAATAATGAAAAGGGTATGAAGTTTGGAATTAGACTTGATCTTAAGTCCAGCCTCCCCTTCCTACGTATGCTATGCCCATTCATCTCCTTGCTTCGTCCATGCACTGGGTATACTGTTTACCTCACATGGTTGTTCAAAGAATTAAATAACCTCATGGATTTAAGTATCTGTTAGAACATAGGCAAGGAATATAGGGTAGCTATACTTATTATTTTAATGTGAATATATAGATGTTCTTCATCCATAAAAATACCCCCAAGGTGTTGTAATTCCATGATTGTGTACCGTGTATGTTCAATTAATGCCTGTTAACATTTCAGTGATTAATCTAGCAGTCGTTTTTGTACAACATTGGCAAACTGACTAAAGGTCAGATAACACATCAGCACGCAAGGTTGAAGTGAAAATGCAAACAATTGGCCTTTCTCCACATCAGCATATTGCTTTCTCTTTGGTGCCTACTGGGACTTAATACCACCATTCTCCCTTCTTGTCACCAGTGAAGGCCCACAATGATGGGTCAGTAACTGAGAGGGGCCCTGTGACCCTAGAAGATGAATCCTCAAGGAAGAATCTCCAGTGGAATCCCTGAAGTGCAGGATATTTTGTAAGGCCATAAAATAGGGCTGATCTTCCAGAATATGATTATACTTTTACATTTCTGAATATAAATCCTTATCAAGAAGTGAAATAAAGTAACTCAACTATTTTCTGAAATCAAAGAGAACATGTGTTTTAAGTAAATTAATCCTTTAAAATGCATACCCCGTAGTACCATGAGTCAAATTTAATTATAGTATTAGGCCCACTGCTGAATTATTATGGTTTTTCTGATACATTTAAACTGAGGCTTTTTAGACCAACTTGTAATATATTTCAGGCATCCTCTGTCTAGCAATTTAAAGGATCTAGAATTTGTGGGTTATATATGCTGTTCATTTATCAAGGCAAAACAGAAATTTCTTGATCAGTTCTTAGAATGAATGCATAAACTCAGTAATAAGATCTAGTTATCACGACTGGAAATTCAAATATGTAGTATGAACAACATATCCCGATGACCCTAATCATTAGTGATTTGATGGTAGGTAGGTCAGCTTGTCTCAAGCTTTACACTACAATCAAGAATTAGTTCAAGTGCAAAAATGGAATGTGGTCTTAGTTATCAGGATACATTTGCTAAAGATAGCACACTTCTCGCCCATCTGATCCTCCTGGTGGCAGTTCACTGCATACTGAGTCCTATGACTTAAGAGCTATAAAGGGTCTGGCATGAGTTTTTTTCCTGCTTTATATCATGGCTGGAATTCGTTGATAACCCAATCCTTGGTTATGGTTTGGCTCTAAGCACTACTAAATTAATTCATATATTAAGTCTGAAGAATCTGCACAGATTTTTTTTTCATTTCCTAGGTCTTTGGAGAGTATATGATTAGGCAGAATATCATTGAAGCAAATATTTTCTTTGAGTTAAAAGAGGGAGAAGCATGTACCTGAGTCAAAACCTACAAAAACTGTCCAAACTTGAACTAAGCTAATAATGCTAAGTTAACATTGTAAAGTTAATATTGTAAAGTTAATTTGGCACATGTTTAATGATACACATTATTGTGCTACATGGTAATTAGGCATAAATGGTAAGCAACTAATATATATGACTGAAATTAGAAGTTTTACACAGCCAAACCAAGTTCAAATTGATCATTTCTTCTTGCTTTGTTAATTTTCCATTTTCTATAGACAGCATTAGTGTTGACAGCTTCTCTGATGCCTTGCCTTCGGAAGCTCAGCAGAAAATTATGGTACTGTTTTAAAAATGTACTTGAAATCACTCATTCGTTACAGGTTTGTGCAGTTTAACCAACCCACGCTGACTGCTTACTTAGAAAGTTCTAAAGGGATGCTGAATTAAGTTGCTATGGAATGTAGATCTATGCTCCACTCTTCCCCATGCTGCTCTGTAGCCTGAGTGGCTAAAATATTAATATATGGACCACATACCATACATAGAGTTTCCTCACTGTCTGACTTCCAAGCAGGCAGAGAAGGGAGTGCAGAGAGTGGGGGATATGCATTCCTCAGGCTTCATTCTTTTGGGGTCTCAAGAGGTTCTGCTCTATCCAAGTACCCTTCCTGTCTGTGAGTTCCAGTAACTACCCTGTCCCCCATTGCTCCTTCAGGCCTAAGGGCTATGTAGAAACCTCCTTTCACACTGGTACCCTGCACTGGCCTGAAGTTTCCTTCTACTCAGCTTGTAAAAGGGACATTCAACTTTTCTCACAGTTTTCTAATGTGAATATGCTGTTTGCTTCCTGCTTGGACCCTGACTGATTCAAAAGGTATGATTTCACCCATAAGCATTTATTTTGTCATGGTTAACAAAAAGCAATGTTATTGTAACATCCCAGTATTTCTTGTTTTGCTTGTGTTGTATTTTATCAGTCTTGGTGTGTGGAATGTAGTAGGCACTGAATATCTGCTTTTTGAAAGAATGCGTGAATCTATCTATGTAATGTATAATATTTCCTGAATTACAGTTTTCAACATCAACAGTTTTCCAGTAAGACAATTAGTGATCAAGTCATAAATTGTATGTAGATAAAAAACATTTATTTTGCCATGGTTGCAGGGTCACCTTTGAATTTAGAAACCACCTGCATACATTGTACCAAACTTTGCTTTCTGAGTTTCTTGCTGATTAAATTGCCAAAGTTGTGCCTTTTCACTCACAACATAGCATTGATATAATTGCTTGAATCACCAAAGTAACTGTTTTTTTTTACTTGCACAAAATATATGTTTAATAAATTCAGTTAACAAACCAATTATTGGGTGCCTAATGTAGATAAGATCATTTGATCACTTGTGTGGAGAATGGATTGGACAGGAGAGATTGGAGGCAAAGAGATTAGTTAGGACTCTATTGGAATAGTTTAGAAGAAGCTAAATATTTACTGAGCTTTGTTATGGCTTTGCTTTGGCTGTTTCAGTCCTGCTTAGTTTTGGGGTGTAGCTTTGGAGTGAAGCTGATATTTGAGTTGTTGGGGCAAATTCTTCTGAGTTACAGTGTTTGCTTTCTTTTTCTGCATTACCTTTTCCTTTTCTTTCTTTGGTCAACTAATTTTAAAAGAAAAGACATCTTCCAGGCACTTCAAGTTACTTACAATCTAATTAGGAAACAAAATATAAACACAAGAAATATAATGGCAAAACATGAAAGCAGCAGAAGAGTTAGAGTATGGCTTGGGATTAACATCCATACAAGTGGGTAGAGAGACAGGTGCCAGAAGATTATGGGACTAAGAGGAGGCTATGGGCTGGGAACCTTGGGAAAATTTGGGGATAAGCTTGTCCTTGATGGATAGGCAGAGAACTAGAAAGAGAAAGAAAGATATTCATGGTCAGAGAAGTTCTAAGAAGAATGGTAGAGTTGCAGGAAAGTCTTATTTTTCTTACCTGTTCCTTGTATGTGCCCCCTCCCCTTACCTTTAAAGTGCAGTGCTGTCTGAGTTATGAGCATGGTGGGGAGGTGCTATCTCTGAATGGGGAAAGCCATTCCATTTCCTTTTTTTCCCATTCCTCAAGGCTTAGTGAGACCCGAAACGCTTGTCCAACATGTTGAGGTACTACATGTCTCAAGCCTGGCCTAAGTTCACACTAAAGATCCATGTATAAATTAATTTACCCATTAATTTCAAGAATTAACATTGAATATATTTTATATTTTAATTATAAAATTCATAGGAATACTATTTTTCCAGGAATGGTATGTAAATGGAACATATCAATATATTCTTTAAATTATTCTAAAGTCATGGTGGATAATTTAAAAACCTAGAGCAGATGAAAAGTTGTGAAAAGAAATTTATCATTTATTGGGTGCACGTCAGTTGTAAATACTGATTTGAGTGGTTTATATGTATAAGCAGATTTATTTGTTCCTTGAAACAACTTATTAGTTTAGTGCTGCACAATCATCCCAATATCATAGATGAAACTAGCAAAGGGAGGTAAAATAACATACTTAATGCCCCACAGCCAGTAATTGCTGGACCAGTAATCAAACTGAAGTAGTATTGACTCCCAAGCTTTTGCTATGGAATGTCTTAAGACATCATGTCATTTATCTGATTCCTTGTCTGTAAAAATCTAGGAGGTGGACTTAAATAATCACCAAGGTTTCCATCTGGCCCTAACATTCCCTATTTCGTGATGGTGTGTTCCTCATCTCTCTCACATATGCACCTTGACATTTGCCTTTATGTTAAAAATTAAGTGTTGGGTTCATATCTTCAATTCCCACTCTTTTTACATGGCTTAAATCTGAGCTATTTGTCCTCACTTCTAAATGAATGCTCCCTTTAGAGAAACTCTGACACCAACTGTTCTGTGTTTTGAATAACTTAGAGAGAATAAGATTCCAGGTCAGTAATGAGCAACCCATGACTCAGTTTTGCAATCTTCCCATATTTTCCATGTGATGAAGAACCTATTTTCAGGATACAATTAGAAAATTGCTCTGGATTATTACAAACCTTAACATATTGGTGACTAAGAAGTGCCTGCAATTTTTTTCACTGACACTAAATGGATAATCTAGGTTGAATGAATATATCCACTCTCACAAAAGCCCAAATAAAGCTATCCCCATGTTGAATTTTTTAAGGTGGCCTGTAAACAAGTTTATTTTTCTCGAATTGGTCTAAATAAAAAAGAAAATTGCCCTTTCTGGCACTGGCTCATGACATACAGCCTTGTAGGACACATGCATATTCCAGATCTTACCCAGCTGCCTCATACTGAGGTAAGACCTTTAACCACTGATGGTGCCTAGGGTCTGTTGGGTGAAATGTTGCTTGCAGCTTTTTTTGGAAAATGGTGGGATATATCTGACATTGTTTGAAAAACTGATGGTTATTAAATTAGGGAATTTTTTTGTCTGGGAGACTTCTAGGTAGTGGGTGAACATATTTACTACACGTTACAGCACTTTAGTCTTCACTGAAAGGCCAAGAAGCAAAGTATAAATATATTGGCAAAATGTAAATTAGTGCTAAGTATTCCATATAGGAAAGGGATAGGATAGTGGCTATGCATATCTTTGAGAAATTAAAGAAAGGTAAGAGAGCAAAGAAATATTTAAATAGATTGTTTAAAGATAACAGCTGGAAGAAAGTGCAAGTTCCAAGCCGATTTATTAATATTAACAATAGCTGGGTTATTTTAGTTTTAATACCTATCTCCATCATTCTAAATAGTCTGACTTGCAGCCAGACTACGAAATACCTTTAATGAGTTAAATCCAAAATAAAAATCCATCTGTTCCCACCATGCACATTTGTTTTTTTAGCTAATATTACATGGTGAGTATCTTCCTCTTCACTTATTAGCATAGGCTAAGATTCTCCTGTGGTTTTTTTCTCTAGAAGCTTGTCTTCTAAGGATTAAATACATATAAATAGATGCCGTATTCACTTTATTTAGCTTTTTGCTGTTGGGTACTTTTCATTTCCTAAATTTCTGATAGTTTCATCTAAGCTGAAGTCTGCATTTTAGGCCCAAATGAGACCCAGACAAATAATTTGAAGAAAAGTTTCCACTTCAGTAGTAACAACTTGACTGGAGAATATAGATCACTGAAGAGCCCACCCTGTCTCCTCTGCTAAAACCAGGAAGATTTAAGATCTCAGTGTATCACTTCTTAAACAAGAAGAAACATATTCTCTCTAGAGATGTAAACCACAAAGAAATTCAGTTCTGTTAGCTTAAGTGTCATATATAGCAGGATGAACACATAAAGTCTAAGGGCAACTCCGGGTTCTTTTATAGAAAGACGTGTCTCCCCTAATCTCAAAGTTAGTTTTAGTCAATCTGCATGATGTCGTACTGACATGAATCAACTTTTTCTAAATCTTGAGCGATAAGGAAAATGAGCAAGTTGGGTGGAGCTCAGAAATGAACAGAAAATACATAGCATGTACAGGCATGATTTAGACCAATATCAGTGAATATGACTTCTGAGTGAGAGAGGGGCATATTTGTAAACAATTTGCAAGTGAAATGAAAGAGGTACTGTGATACAAGTAAGCAGTGTTGAATTAACATTTTTGTGTTAAAGAAAAAAAGAAAGCAGAATTGTTTGGTTTCTTATGAGTTCACAGTTTTCTCTGTCATCTCTAGAGTAATTCAAATTGTCTGTCCACACCAGAATTCTGTATACTAAGGGTGGAATGCAGGCTTTTGTACTTTGCAGAGTTCTCTTCTGGCTTTCTACTTGACATGGTATTTTGACTCACTCTGTGAATTCTGACTAATTGCTCAGTACCTGCAGGCCACTGGTTTCCCCACCAGCAGCACAGTAAGTGCTTACTTGCAAAAATGTTCATGTATGAAAATTAGTGTGAAAGACCTACTTAAAGATAATTCATAAACATAATATATCTTAGGATTATAGGTGGTCTTGATAATAAGAGATGTCTTTAAAATTTTGGTTGTCACCTGGACTGTTAAAGGAAGGCCCTCAGCCTTCCTTTCCTTCTCTTCTTCCTAGTAGTTAAATTTATGATAATCACATGTAGAGTCACAGTCAGAATCCGAATAGATTTTTGCAAACTCTCTACTGATTCCTACAGGAGAAGATAACCTCACTCCCACATTTACAGTACTATGATGTTTTCACTGATCTGTTTTGTGATTCCAGATTTATTGCCCTAATTATGAGCTAATGAGCACAGAGCTTTGCAAGGAAATTTGCATTACTTGCTTAAGTAGGACAAATTATCAGCTTAACCAAGATAAAACATACTTTATTGCTTGAGACCCTTTAACTTACCCAAAGAGATGCCTATCATCTAGCCAAGTTAAATCAGCTTTCAGAGAAGGACGCTGACTATTACCTTGAAAACAACTCTACTGCAACTTTACAGAGTTTGCCTGGCAGGTCCAAATACCTTTAAGAGCCCTTTCTTTAATGTTCTCATTTAGCCACTTTTACACCCATCCCCTACTATTTTTAAAGTAGAAGAATATGAAGAAAGCCATTTACAAGTCTCCTTACAACCAAAACAAGAATTCAGAAATAATTTAACAAAGAAAATACAGTGTTGCAAGCATGCAGACTTTTAAGATCTCAAATGATAAGGTTGTTGTCTTAAAGTGCAAATTACAGGTATTCTTTTCTTTTTTTCTCTTGGAGCCAGAAAAAAATAGTAGTGCACATTTTACTTCATTTTTCTTTCTTTCGTATTTTCTCATTGAGAGAAACAACTCTGGGCTTTGTTTTGGAGTTAGATGATCATCACTTTATTAAACAAATTAAAGCTCTTCTTTTTAGCATTTACTTCCTCTTTTTAAGTGTATCTTTCTAATATTAAGTAGCAGTTTGAATATTCTTTGATACATGATATAAAATATAATACAAGGAGACCACCAGGGTCTCCCTAAGGGATTAAAAAGAAAAACTGAGTTAGCAAATTAATCAGCTAAATTAACTAGTTGCTTTGGAAGACATGAGATCTTTAGCACCATCACGTTATACCTCATTAGCTCCATTAGTTGCTTGACATTGTCATTATTCTACCCATTTCTTTCTGTGCAGTTTCACTGTGTCAGCTTTGATTTCCCCCTGTACTTATTTTTTTTCCAGCTTAGAGCTATTGTATCACCTTCCAGGAGCATTGATTTTAAGTCAGGTGTCACAAATTTCCCACTCATCATTTCCTTGCAAGCATGAAACTGACTGTTGCTGCTACTGCTGCACCCATTCATTATTTCAGTATTCATCACTTGTTCCTGTGGGCCAGTTCTTGCATTCTCCTTCCCTGTTAAGCTCAATGTTTAATTATTAAATATTTTAATTGAAAAACATTGAAATAACTTCCCACCAGTGTGCTTTGCCAAAAATAAACCAGAGGGCAAAGGAGAGGTGAATGATACACGCATTTTTGTTAAACAATCAGACATTTGTAAAACATCTATTATTTGGCCAGAACACTAATAGATGACATTGGAAGGTTCATAGAAATATAAGATATCACCACCCATGAGCCTTAAAGTACTTACAGTCTTGCTATTGAAGTGATTTTGAAAAATGGTTTAGAACTTGAACTATAAAGTTCACTTTTTGTTTAGCTTAGATTTAACTTGCCTGGATTACTTTAACGTTTTGGAAATAGTAAGTAAATAACCAGGAAAGGAAGTTTTTTTCCCCCAAACAATGTAAGTAGCAGTAATTATTAAAATTTCAAACAATGAATGGAAATTTTGAAACAGAAGTAACAAGCATTGCCAATTGAAATTTTAGTCTCTCACTAGAGGAGCTTACATACCCATACCAAAAGTGTAATACATGTCTTAACAATTGCTAAGATCCACCACTGCCTCATCATTTTAAATTTTAAAAATTTTGGCCGGGCGTGGTGGCTCATGCCTGTAATCCCAGCACTTTGGGAGGCCGAGGAGGGCAGATCACAAGGTCAGAAGATTGAGACCATCCTGGCTAACACGGTGAAACCCCGTCTCTACTGAAAATACAAAAAATTAGCCGGGCGTGGTGGCGGGCACCTGTAGTCGCAGCTAGTCGGGAGGCTGAGGCAGGAGAATGGTGTAAACCCGGGAGGTGGAGGTTGCAGTGAGCCGAGATCGCGGCACTGCGCTCAGCCTGGGCGACAGAGCCAGACTCCGTCTCAGAAAAAAAAAAAGTAACATACAGGTCATTTTCTTCCTCCAGATAAATAAAAACAAAAATGGCCTTTAGCAAAAACTACTACAGCTATTTAACAATGCAGTATCTGTCCTATGTGGCATAAAGACCTTAACATTTTAAGACAGGAAGGTTCAAATTCACACTATACAGCACATAGAAGTTATGTCATCTATGAACAATATTTCTAAAGTGGGCAGAGGAGATATTACAAATATGGTCATCTCATTTGTCAAATGTTACACTTCCAGATTGGAAGTGATAAAAATTGTGATTTTAGGGAAAGAATGAGGGTGGGGTCAGGAGGAATTTGTATCATCCATGGCAATTTAGATATTTTAAAGCTCCTTTTTGAGCTATGTGGTGTAGAATAATTTTGAAAGCAAGTAATGTATGTAAAAAATACCATAAGATAAAATGTTATTTTACCAAGGCTTAAGCAAGGGGTGAGATTACAAATGTTGACCAAACCAACTCCAAGGGATTATAATGCTGCATTATCTTCATCTGCCAAGCCATCTTTTAAAAAATTATTATTATTCTTTCTTCTTTTCAGCGTTATTTCCAACTTTCGGTTGAAGTCCATCCTGCTTCTCTTTTTGACAGGCAACAATTTTTCTTGGAAAGAACATCATGGTGATAGAATTTTAATCTGAATATAAATTCCATATCTGCATTCCTTGGGCAGGTAATAAGCTCATTTCCCACAGTAAAATATGAGTAATTCTAAAGACCAAATTCACCTATATCATAAGAATGCTGTTAAAATAAAATAAGGGGTTAATGGGTTTGAAAGTACGCAGAGGGAAAACATTTCATCCAAATGCCAAATGTTATTCTGTTTTTTTCACAATTTGTAAACTTCTGCTTCTGTACATTTTCAAGTCACAAATTGTATGCTTACATGTTGAATACTTATGCTTAATTAAATTTGAAGGGATCATAGGCAATATCATTGAAAAGGTAATGGGATATATTGTAGTGAAGAGAAATTTAAAGGACTTTTCATCCAACTGCCAAGCATCAATAATGCCCAATCAAACTTTTCTGGAGAAGTTTTCTGTAGTCACTCCCATTTGGGATGCCATTTGTAGTTTGAGTATCTTGAGTTAAGGTTTTACTTTTGACTGAACGATGTTGGTTGTAAATATGCCTGTAAATTAGATAGATAGATAGATAGATAGATAGATAGATAGATAGATAGATAGACATATATATATATATATATTTTTTTTTTTTTTTGAGATGGAGTCTTGCTCTGTCGCCCAGGCTGGAGTGCAGTGTTGCCATCTCGGCTCACTACAACCTCTGCCTCCTGGGTTCAAGTGATTCTCCTGCCTCAAGCTCCCGAGTAGCTGGGATTACAGGTGTGCACCACCATGCCTGGCTAATTTTTGTATTTTTTGTTGAGATGGGGCTTCACCATGTTGGCCAGGCTAGTCTTGAACTCCTGATCTCAAGTGATCCACCCATCTCAGCCTCCCAAAGTGCTGGGATTATAGGTGTGAGCCACCTTGCCCAGCTGATATATTGTTATAAATACACTCTGTCATCCTCAAGGCAATGTATCATTTGATGTTACATGAAATAACTACACAATTTTCTTGTATTTTGTTTCCATTGATTCTAATATATGAGGTAGAATACTTTGGTAAACACCTATGTCTCTGCAGCCTTTCCTTCGGAGAATTTCCTACTTATACACATATTATTACACCATTTATTCTGCTTTATAAAATGAGCAATGTATAAAAAGTTACTGCTTTACAAATATTAACACAATACTATAATATCAAATACCTATAGTTGATTTTTTAAATAATTATTCTTAACAATTTAGAAATTTCAATTCATTTTGTCCTATTACTTAAGACAGAATAAAGTATTATATTGGGCAGGCATTGAGATATTCTGTATTTATCTCACCTGCAATACCTGACAAAGTAGTTATATTATTTAATTTGAAAGACAGCAAACATTTCATTCTCACTTAGCCTGACTTGGAATTACTGTCTTATCTAATTCTATGGTACTACATAGAGAGACTCCACCAAAAGGGCTAATGAACATAGAGTAAGTTATACATATGGCATTTCTCTTCTGAAACAGCTATCTTTAAATTTAATACGAAGCACCTTAGAGAAACTGCATTTTCAGGGCTTTCAACTTTATGCTTTCTTGAGAATGTATTTAGAAACCTACTCGCTATAAATACTGAGTATTTGTGGGCTCAAAATAAAATGACTTTATAACCAGTAAATCTTCCAAACGGGCTATCTTAAGATAAAGGCCTAGCTTTGCCAGTGATGTACAGAAATATGAGCCTTGCCTAAGGTTATCTTGTACCTATGCTAATATTGCTCAAGATTCCTAATTGTTTGCAAAATTTGCTCATCATCCACATGGAAACAGGAGTAAATTAAAATCATTGCAATAATGCCTCAGAAATGCAACAAATGATTCAAAATATTAGCTTTTTTTGTCTTAATATTTCCCCTGAAATTCAGCCATGCATACATGTCTACACAACTTTCTGGTTTTAACAGTATAAGATTGTTTCTTTGCTGGATCTTTTTCTTTTTTAGTAACACCTCTATCTAGAGACCTATGTATATATTCATGTTAAACTTGCAAAAAAATAATCATAAAGTTCTTAATTTTTCTCAACACACCTATTCTCACGTGGCTGCCATTACACACTGTATTTTTGTCCTAATCATTTCTTTCTTCAAACAATTAAGCTGATGAAAAATATATACAATGTGCAGTAAAGTTGATTATTTAAAACAGAGAGATTCCTCGGAATGCCTGTAGAGAATACTATTTTAGCATGTAGGAAAACATATATAAAACCCTTAACAGCATACCCAATGTAGAAGATCCCCAATAATTGTTAACTATTCATCCTTGCCAACATTTGTAATAATAACTTAAGGCATTATAAGAAATTGAATTTCCTTTTGAGTCAGAAAAAAAGATAGGATTGTATTTCATAACATGTAATTTCATAGGTTACACTTTCCTCATTTAAAATCATTTAAAAATCCATTTTCAATGGTGTAAATGAGAGGAAAAAAAGGGGGGAAGAACACACTACTCCGTTTCCTGTAGATAGAACCTGCCTTTGACTTCCATAAAAGCAGTCTTTCCTGTTCCAAGAAAATTCAGTGTAGTCTGGCCCCAGCAAATTCCATTCCCCAATAATGCCAGCATTTACTGTAAGAATGACATTTTGTTACTTCATATTTTGAGTTACATTCTTCATGTGAGTTCTGAATATCTTTGGTTTTAGCTACTATTTCTTGGTTTACCATTTATATTTAAGATCCTCTTCTCCACTGGTAAGTTCACCTAAATACTACTAACTAGTTTTCATTGCTGGGATCACATAATTCTTTTCTGAAAATCCCTCAAGTGCCTAAATGGGGTTTAATCATCTGTCAACATTCTCATGGTCGTACCTAGCTATTGCTCGATTTTTCTCTGCGTCTTCATGATTTACCCACAAACTCATCTGCATTTCATTTCTGAAGTTTCTTCAATAGTGAGCTCAAAATCCACTCTATTCACAAAGCCTTTCCCATCCTAGTAAAGGCAAATGGAGTCCTTCGGCCATTTTCAGAGATATCATTGCATACTTGGTTTCAATTTGACCAATGTATCCTTTACCCTATAATAGATCTTATATCCAATCATATGAATTTGATCACATGTATTTCATCTGGTTTTTGTCTTATCAGATTCTCTCAAATGTAGAGACTGCCCTACATATTCCTTAAACTGCTCCCCACAGCTCAAATGCATGGATATAAGCAACATATACTTGATTCAACATATTTTTGGTGGTTCACAATAAAACATATGTTGATTTATGACCAGGTGCATACATCTGTAGTTGAGATAGCAAATATTTACCTCCTGTTTATCTATGGCTGTCTAATCACCACTACAAGTGGCAACAATTCTGTCACCTATCTTTCTAAAGGACTGGTAAGAATTACCAGATGAGTAGGAGTCTGTATTTTTGCATTGACAAAGGGGGCAGTAAAATTACAGTCTTTGGGAAAACTATTTTTCTATGTTCTTTTGTATCCTCTTAGTTGTTATTTCTGTGCTAGGTGATGGTGTTATAGCTTGTAGTGTTTGGTTTACTTTTTCCATAGTCCTCCTAATCTTTGGTAGCAAAGTCACATCTGCTTGATCAACAGTTTATTAGTTTAGCCAAGGGCATCTTGACACCAGAGCCTAGCTTGGAATAAAAGCACAAGTCTGAAGTCTTATTAGAAGACATCCCTTGATTCACAGAGAAGCATGCTAGAGATGACATTGTTGTTACCAGTTCATCTTTGCACATGAGGAAGTCTCTCTATCTATCCTTTGTACACCACAGGATGAGTGCTTTAAATCCCTGTTTCATTTTTCCAGGTAGGAAATCATTTCAAATAATGTAACTTCAGGTGTTCAAATGAATAAACAAGTAAGATGACTGTGGAATTGGGAAATAAGATGCCACAGTGGAGTAATTTAAAATGGCATGAAGACGCTGGATAAGATCAAAGAGAGTTCCCTTTTCAGTTGATACCACTTCTGGGGTGGGAAATCCACCTTACTGTGGTCAGTAGTTATTGTCTGCAAAAGCCTGAGACAATTCTTATCTCTGGTACCACAGTGTGAAAGCCTTTGAAACAGACTTGGGTTACCCAAGAGAGCACTGGAACAGAGCAGATAGCAGAGGACAGTGGCAGGCATGCTAGTCAGTAGCTCTTTAGTTAGGTGTATTTCAGGATTATGTATAGATAGTATTAATCTGTAGTAGGAATGTTGGTTCTGGCTCTTGTTTCTGAATTAAAAAATGATTTCTTACATTTTTTTTTTCTAATTCTATGTACAGGGAATGGTTTATTTCTTTAAAAACTGGTGTCTAATAGCTTAGCAGATGTCAAAAGTCTCCTCACCAAATATAATTCAGAACTTTGTATATATGGATTCTTTTTATTCTTTCATTCAGTCAGTTGCACTTCTGAAAAATATAGTCCCTTACTTTGGAGATTGCCCATGCAGTGTCCTAGTGGAAATAGCCTTCCTCCCTCTTCCTTGTCTCTACAGTAGGTCCGGGTTATGCTTTAAAACTTCCCATATCATTTACTTCATATCTTCTTCTCTACTTCGGTGTCTGTCTTTGTTTCTTAATAGTAGATACTAAAAGCATTGAGGAAAAGTAACTCTCCCCTGTAAAAATGAAAACTTATAGGCAAGAAATTGGAGACTTGGAACTTTAATACTCATGGAAAGAAAAGGTAATATCCTTTTAATAAAAATATTCAGTGTGATATTTATTGAAAATTCACAGAACAACAACAAATATGGATGCTATCTATGTCATAGGTTTAGATTTTATGAAAATCCAGTGTCTCCTAGACTTCAGAGTTGGAAGAGACCCTCAATATCAATGAAACCAATCTCTATTTCGTAAGTGATAAAACTGAGGATCAGAAATGTCAAGGGCCTACCCCCAGGCCTCACAGCTAGTGAGATCTTCCTCCTCACACTGTTCTTGGTTTAGTTCCGTTTCTATTCTAACACATTGTCTCCCCTAGAGTAGTGAAAGAATGAAAAGAAATTGCTGTGCAGCAAAACTAGTCATTTGGGAATAAAAAGGCAAAGGTAAATACAGTAAAAAAGAAATGGAGAATGGCAATGTATTTAATAGTAATCTTACCTAGATTCCAGTTATCCTATAATATGATTTTTTAAAGAGCATTATAGAATGTTTTGAAATAAGTAAAAACAGATCTGTGGTTTTGATTCCCTACAATCATATACAGTTAAAAACCTCTAAAAGACATTATAGATTAGAATTGACTTAGCCAGTTTTTACAATATATTCTTTTTCTCATGTAAGATTGTCCCCAAATGATTATTTTTCAGTCCTTATAACCTACTTTAGACTGTTTGAAATGTAGGGCTTCCTTCCTTTCTTTGAAAAGATAATTCCAGTGTAATCTATCTTGGGAATCAAGATAGGATACTTGGGAAACTGTTGTGACCCACAGAAAACATTTTGCATGGCATCTGATAAGGAGGCCACAAATTACAGTCTTCAGATGTGAAATCACCTGGGAATCTCCTAACATCATTTAACAAGTGACAAATAGCCAGGGCAAGGAACAGGATTGCATTCCTCATTAACCAATCAGGGCCATTTGGTAACTGGGATATCATCTGGAAGGAACAGATATCCAAGATGCCTGAAATGTAAAGTGCATTCAGACTTGCTTGCCTGGACAAAGCCCCAGTAGAAGAAAATGTATAGTACAGATACTTGGATGCCATGTAAGGAGTTACTAGCCAGCTGGGCAGAGTGAGTGACATTTGGTTGAGGCAGGGTGTGGGCACAGTACTCCAGGCAATCTGGCTTTCATCTTCCCTCGTATTTATTTGGCAAACTCAGCCATCATTCCTCACTACTCCCCCTCATATCTGAAGCAGTCATCTTGGGGTGAGAGGATTTATTATAAATTTCACATAGTGTTACTTAAAGAGCTTTCCAAGGGAAATAGATCCTCCTGGAAAACATGCCCAGGTCAAAGAGGAATATAGTATGGCAGCACCAACCCTAACCTGGCCTGATTGACCTCAACTATTTCTGGCTTCCTTGTGTCCCTGAGATCTTCCTTTGTACTTCTAGACGAGCCCTAATCATGTTGCAGCCTCTTTAGGTAGGGAAGAGAGAACACACTCACTATGAGATAGAAGCTCCATTTTCCTTGGTAAGCTGAGGTGCTATGAAGGCTAGACAGAAGAAAAGCATTCAGTCATCTTCACTGTTTACTGCCTCTATTTGGGGGGAAGGCATCATTTCCTCATTCTGATAAAGGGTAGTAAAGAGAACATCTATTCCCAGATGACTCATTGGTTTTTAGCTTTCTTTGTCCCTCCCATGTCTGACCGGCTTTATTCAGGACAAAGTTGGGGAATCAGCTGTAAGGAATTGCCTGGTGCAACTTAGTTCAAAGAAGGAAAGATGTGTGCTCACACACGCACACAAATAAGTGGGAGCTGCTTCGTTCCCTCAGAGTCACAGTCTTATGATTTCCTTTGTGCTTTAATCAGGACCATAAGTAGGGCATGTGACTAGGACAAGGAGGTTACCGTTTGAAGGTGGTAATGGAATAGGGTTACATTTGTTCCATTTCCTATGCTCTTTACATTCACGAGATCATTATCATGAAAACGGATTTGTGCTGTGCCATTTCCTGTTCTTGTTACAATCTTTATCATGACAAGAAGGTACTAGGTTTTAACGCCTGGTGTTACATTTAACTGTTTTTAATAACTGCTATGTAGTATGACTTTTCTTCCCATATTGTGTTGTCTGCACAAAAAGTAAAGGTGATGCAGTCCAGGAATTTGAGTGTTGGTTTACTGAGTGTCTTGAGGCTCTGAAATATCAGGGTAGGGGACACATCTTCTTCTTTCGATATCCCAACCTAACCAACAGAACTTTCACAAGAGGCTCTGACTTGCTACTGCATCTTCCACGTAGATTTCAGATGCCCACTTTTCTTATCCCTGACTCTTTATAGTCCAAATGACACTTCTAGTGACAGTCAGATTGTATAACTTAAGGGGCAAGGCAGTACAGTTTCCAATTATCATCAAAGAATTTCCCCAGCATTACCATGCTGAGACTTCAGGCTGTTGATACGGATTAGATCAAAAATAGAACATGGTATAATAAGAACCTTTGCTTCCTGGCATGGGCTAGAATCAGAATAGCTAATGGTACAACACTTTCAAGCTCTCCTTTCTTTAAAAGTAGGTTTAGTCCTTGTGAAAGCTGCTGAGTTGACAGCTCAGGATACTATGGATAGAAAAATGATAAGCTTTCCCTCCCTGCTTTTCCCAATATACCTTCGGCCTGCCCTGGAGGGAATGTCTCAAGAAGAGAAAGGTTAGTTCTTTTTCCAGGTACTTTTAATCTTTGAATTTGGGAGTAGGAGGATTATCCAAGCTGATTATAAAGAATGTTTCAAGATGGGGCTATGTTTCTCCTAAGAACAAAGCTAAAATTGACAGATCATTTCATTCAGGCAACTACAAAACCACCCAGCTAGAATCAGTTTTGAAATCATGTGTGTCTTCTCATAAGGGACCTCCAGAGCTCTCCAAGTGAGTTTTGCAATGGCTTGTGTGTGGTTGAAGTTTTAAGAACTCAACCTTTTGAGGAAGATAGGGTACAGCATTTGCTTCATAGCTAGTGCTAATGAAGAACCAGTCATTGCTAATGCTGACCCACCTGCATTTCTTCATAGCCACCAAGCTCAGAGCAATGGAGCTGACTAGGAGGAACTAAAGACTTCAGTGATAGGTTGGGGTTGGCAGGGTAGACAAAGTCTCCCAAAACTTGGTGGAATAGAGCTGAGAATTCCACCCCTTCCTTACACAAGCCTTATTCATAAACTTTGGGGTGGGGATCCATTGATGCATTTCAGGGGAGTTATGAAATTCCTGAAATTCTATATAAATTTCATTGTAAGCTAATGAACTATTTTTTTTCTCTCCTGAGGGTGTGCCTTCCTAGCTTTTATCTAATTTTCAAGGAGCTCTATGACGTCCCACTTTTTAAGAGCCACTGCTTTAGATAGTCAAGTCTCTTTCCTCCAGTCCTGGGACCAATTGTCACCCGACCCACTCAGAAGACACTTAGAGAAAAAAAGGCGTTAGATTACTGATAACACTTAAGTTGATTTCTCATTTCCAAAAACTTGACTCCCTCTCATTCAGGCTGTTTTCTTATTTGCTAAATATATTTTTATCTTTGACTTTGAACTTTTTGAAATGACATGTGTATAATGTATTTGATGTCTAGAATAACATCTTATAAAGCAAACTCTTTGACTACATGCATAATCGTGGCTTGTTCATCTGCCAGCACCACCCACCATAAGGAAAGGAAGGGTTCCCTTAATAAGTACTACCTTTTTAAGAAAGTGAAACTAAGAAAAATTTCACCCAACTTATAAAGGATAAAAATCCATTTTTAAATATAGCAATTCTCCTCTCAGAAATAATCTTGAGTGCCAATAAAAACATAACCACATTGCTTGCTCTTATTTAAAAAAAAAAATAGAAAAGAAGCTAAAGAGAACAGCTCCTCCTTTTCCACCGAATATTGTTCTGGGGAGTTCATAAGGTCAGGAACTTGACACTGGTTTCGGGTGGAAGCCAGTCAAGCAGGATTTCTTTGCCCTCTGGACAAATGGTTGGCCTACTTCAGGAATTTTGAGTAATTATTGCTGCTCTCTTCAGCCAGGAGAAATGTACTTTTCACAAAGAGAAGAGCTTGTGGCATTAACTTAATCCCACTGCCTGAGTGCACAAAATCAGTTTTGCTCTGCAGAATTATAGTTCCTAATTTATGAATATGAGAATTATTTCATCTCACCCCTTGGGTCTTTGTGAAAATGAAGCACTCATGGTGTTGCCTAGAGCATGATGTGATGCCCAGCATCATGTACTTCCTGGAGGATATCACTTCATAAATGCAAGGTACTAAGAGGAGCAGATTGCTGTTCCTGGTATGTCCAATGCTGTTTTTCACTAAGAAGTATAGAGGCAGCAGTTTTGTGCCTTCAACCATGCCAGTCAAGAATTTTGAATTTTCACTCTTTCCCATTAGAATTACTCCTAATCATTCCCATAAAGACACATTTGCAGTAGCTGAACTCTGGAGCATCACAGTCAGACATTTGCAATGAGATTATTATGGTATTGTTTTGAAACAAGTAGTTGTATAAACTAAGTGTTTCTATGATCAAGTTCTTGAACAAAATTATCATCTAAATTAATTTGAAGAGGACACGGTTTTGGCAACCACTGGCCACAATTGCCGGTAGCCCTATTTTCATCAGAAAAGCAAAGGTCTCTTCATATTTAACTCCCTCTTAATATCCCTTGGTGGTTTCTATTGTTTTGGAATCATTCTCTACCATACATAACAAGTCCTATGAACCATATGGGATTACCTGTCCAAATTCCCAGGGAACAGGGTAGCTGTGAGTATTTTTGTATGCCCCTATAGCATTGCCATAATGCCACCTCAGATTACTAGAGTAATCCTCACCAAAAACCCTCCAGGCAACTAACATGTCAGGAATTATTCTACTTATAATAGGAGGCCCATTAACACTGAAAAATAATATATTATTTTTTCACATGCACACAAATATATTGATTCAAATGTGTGTACATTTTGATCTAGTATTAACAATCTTGCCTATGTTTTTTTGGTAATCTGAGAGTTTTTGTATTTTTTTTAATTTGAGAGAGGGAGTATTGTGTATTTTTTTTTTTTGAATTACAATCAATCCATAGCATTTAGTTGGTCTTTCAGCCCAAGTGAAACAAACACAACACCAATTCCTAACTTTTACGCAGCCTATGCAAATGACCTTCTATCCAATTAAGCAGGCAGCAAGCCTAGTATTTTAAGTAGAGGTAGTTTCTCAATACTTTTTGACCCATGTTTGTGGATTGCTTTAATGTCATTTCACTACTAAAAAAGAGTTTCTAGATTAAAAAATAGTTTATAGTTTAATTCTGTGATATTACACAATTTGGCTTGGTGTCTAGTCACTCAAGCTTTTCACTTGTATTTTTAAATTACCATTTTAGGGACACAGTAAGAAAAAACAGCTTTAATGGCATTTAGTTATTTTGAGCTCATTAGATATAATTAAAAGTCTACAAGGAAGCTTTTCAAGTCAGTACCCAATTATGGGATTTAGCTAAACTTTTGAAATATGACAGTTAAGTTTGTGGGCATGCTGTACGTCAGAATTTTGCTTCTTATACCCTATTTGGGCCATGTGAATTCAGACAGGCCCAAACTGAGGAATCCCAATTTATGAACCTTCACTTTGTTTGCTCAAACTTGAGTGTCCAGATTTTTTAAACAGCTTATCATAGAAGAAGATTTAACAATGAGATCTGTTCTCTTAACAAATTTTAAAGTGTTCAATACAGTATTGTTAACTACGGGCACAATGTTGTACAGCAGATCTCTAGAGCTTCATCTTTCATAACAAACCTTATACCAACTAAACTTTCCATTTCTCCCTCTCCCCAGCCCCTGGCAATCACCATTCTACTCTCTTCTTCAATGGTTTTGACTATTTTCAATACCTCATATAAGTAGAATTATACAGTATTAGTTCTTCTGTGATTGGCTTATTTTACTTAGCATAATGTCCTCAGAGTTCACCTATGTCATGACATATGGCAGGATTTTCTTTTTTCAAGGCTAAGTAATATTCCATTGTATGTATATACCACAATATCTTTATTCCTTCATCCTTTGATGGACATTAAGAGTTTTTCCATATCTTGGTTATTGTGAATAATGCTAGAGTGAACATGGGAGTGTGAATATCTCTTTGAGATCTTGATTTTAATTCTTTTGGATAAATACCTAGAGTAGGATTGCTGGATTATATGGTAGTTTTGTTTTTAATTTTTTCAGGAATCTCCATACTGTTTTCTATAGTGGCTGTACTATTTTACATTCCCACCAAGAGTATAATAGATGAGGGTTCCAATTTCTCCACATCTTTGTCAATATTTTTAATAACACCCACCCTAACAGGTATGAAGTGATATTTTATTGTGGTTTTGATTTGCATTTCCCTGACGATTAGCAATGTTGAGCACTTTTTCATATACCTGTTGGCCATTTGTATGTCTTTATGGAATTTATAGAATAGACATTTAAAGAAATGTCTATTCAAGTCCTTTGCCCATTTTTAAAATCAGGTTATTTGGTTTTCTGTTTGTTTTGTTTTTGCTACTGAATTATAGAAGTTAAGTGTCTAGATTTGATATTCAATGAGATATCTTCTAGGAAAATGATTTTTATCTGTTTAAAAATACTTTTGTTGGCACCATTTAAATGAATATTGGGAAATATTTTTCTTCTGTCAAGAAATGTTGGTATTAGAAGTATCAATAAAACAAAATTAAGTTCTTTGCTAATTTTTGTAAATTAAGTGATGGTGTTAGCTCCATTATACCTCCTTGATTCCATGAGCATACCAACATTATAGAGCCCTCATATAGAAAATGTATAACCCTCCTATGGTGGCCAGGGAGTGTGCTACCTGAGCCTCTCTCTAACAAAGGCCTTGCTGATCAGCTGCCAGGAATGCAATTAGGTGACGGCCTCCAGCTATAGCACCTTTGGGATCCACCACAGCATTTAAGCTAAGGCCAGGCTTTTCCTGACATAACTCCTAGGTAAGGACTGAGCACAATCACTACAACGCTCCTGATTCCCAGCCATTCCAACTCACAGGCTCCCCTGTGGGCAGTCTTTATGACAGAGCTCCCTGGTTGGGCTGGCTGAGACTTTCTCAGAGCTGCACCCTAATCACAGGCTTTTCCTACTTAATCCTCCTTCCTGCCCCTCACCTTTCACACATGTCATGATCTGAAGGCTTTCCCTGTCTACTCCTGCTCCTTCTCTCCCTTATATTTCAAAATCATTATCCCAATAAATCTCTTGTACTTCTGGTTTCCATCTTGAGGTCTGCCTTCCTGAGGTCCTAACCAGCACACCTCCCCTGAGTCCCAAATGCCTTTCTAGCTATAGTGCCATTTCTTTTTCTGCTCTACAATAGAACTTCTCACGAGAGTGGTCTAATCTGTGGCTTTCACTTTCTACTCCCTGCTCACTTGTTAACCCCCATCTATCTGTCTTTCATTAGTAATACTCCACTGAGAAACTACCATGAAAGTCACCACCTTACTTACCTCCATATTATAAATCCAACAGGTATTTTCCTATCATCTTATTTTGTCTCTCAGTGACACTTGATATATTTTTTCTGTACCCTCAGAAAAACAAAACAAATTTTTCACTGTCAAATCAGAGAGGTGATATCAGGTTGTTGTTAAGAACATAGCCTCTGGATTTAGATAGCTTTGATTTGAATCCTACATCTGCCACTTTTGAGCTGTATAAAGTTGGGAAAATTGTTTAACCCCACTGTGCCTCAGTTTTCCTGTCTGTAAAATGGGGGTAATAATAGTACCTACCTTTTGAAATTGAGGGGATTGAATGTAAGGCAATCACAGCAGTATTTGGCACCGTGATTGCTAGTCGTCGTCGTCGTCGTCATCATCATCATCATCATCATCATTATCATCATTCAAGGACACATGTTTTTGGTTTTTCTCCCCCTTCTCTGTGTGCTCCATCCCTATCTTCTTTGCTAGTTGCTTCTTACAAATGAGACCTCTAAATGTTGAAGTGCTCCAGAGCTTGATCTCTAGCCATACTTTTTCCTAGCCCTGTGAATTTGTATACCACCAGATGCCAATTCCTCCTAAATGCGTCTCCTCAGCCTTGACCCAAATCCAACAGCATATTTGACATTTTTACTTGTATAAAAATGTTTTAACATACCAAAAACAAGACTCATGATAATTCCCCATCTTGTCAAAATCTGTGCTAAGATTCCCCCATCCCCAATTTTCCTTACTTGCTCAAGTTGAAAATCCAGGGGTCTTTGATTTTTCCACTTTTATCTGTCAGATTTGATCCTTCTGTAACTCTATTTCTCCTACTACCTCCTTGGTCTAAACCAGCAAGTTTTCCCCCATCTCTAGCCTGGATTACTGAAATGACCACCAATCTGAGCTTCTAGCTCTCACTTTTTTTCCTGTCTGCAGTGGATTAAGCACCCAATTGCCAAGTTTATCTTTTGAACAGGCAGTGAAATTATGTTTGTGTTGTTTTGTTTTGTTTCGAGACAGGGTCTCACTCTGTCACCCAGGCTGGAGTGCAATGGTGCAATCATGGCTCACTGCAGCCTTGATCTCCTAGGCTTTAGTGATTTTCCCATCTCAGCCTGCTGAGTAGCTGGGACCACAGGCACACACCACTAACCCTTTATTTATTTATTTATTTATTTATTTATTTTGTAGAGACGGTGTCTTGCTATGTTGTCCAGGCTGGTCTAGAATTCCTGGGCTCAAGGGATCCACCTGCCTTGGCCTCCCAAAGTAAAAGTATCTTTATTTTCCTATTTAAAATGCTCTTTCAGCTTCTGATTGAATTTAGAATGAAATCTGAACACTCTTCTTTGGACTACATGATGCTATAAGTCCTGGTGACAGTCTCCCACTGTCTCTTTCTGCAGTGGATTAAGCACCCAATTGCCAAGTTTATCTTTTTCAACAGGTAGTGAAATTATGTTTGTGTTGTTGTTTTGTTTTGTTTTGTTTGTTTTGAGACAGGGTCTCACTCTGTCACCCAGGCTGGAGTGCAGTGGTACACTCACTGTCTCTTGTCAGTGCCCCTCACTGTGCTCAGCCAGACTGGTGCACCCACTGGCCTTTAAACACCCTAAACTCCTATCTGCTTCAGGGGCCTTGGGTTTGCTCTTCCCTCTAAATTCAGTGCTTTTCCTTGACTCTCCCAGGCTGGCTACTTTAACTCAAATTTCAGGTTTTGACTCAGAGGGCACCACCTCTGGGAGGCTGCCTCTGACCAGTTATCTAAAGGAACATCCCTATCCTTGATTATTCAGCCTTTTCTACCATTCATGAAAAATTTGAAATTATCTTGGTTGTTTATTTCTTTGCTTGTTTATGATCTATCATTCCACATTAGAATTTAACCCTCTTGAAAGAGAAAGACCTTGTCTTTCTTGTTCATACTTGTATGCCCACCACCTAGAGCAGTACCTGGTACACAGCAGGCACTTAATAAATATTGGCTGCATTAATACATGAATGGCTGAATCTTGGCAGACAGCAGACAGTTTTACAAAGCAATGACAAGATAATGATTCACAATTTAAAGAGACCACTCTGGATAATAAAATATAGACACAACTCTTATTTTCTGCACTAGAAATTGTAGATGTCAGATAGCCAAGTGGCAATATTAAAAATAGAAACTATTTTAATATTCAAAACATTAAAAAACTAATATCTTTGTCATGGACTGCTATATGAAGTTCAGGTTATGTTAAAGTTTATGTAGATGTTGGGATGAGGGGACATCAACATTTCTTAAATATCTATTATGTGCCCTGAACTCAGCTAGGGTATTCACATTAAAAATTTTCTACATGTACATATTTGTTAGAATATGCTCATTTTCTACATTTATCTTAAATTGATTAAAATAAGCCATAATATTTATATATAAATAGAAAATAGAAATTTCACATTAATTCTTTTTATGATTATAAAATGACACTTGAAATCTAAGTAACATAGATTATGGCACCTTAAGATAATTTAGGAAACTATAAAGTTACTTTTAATTGGGATGTAATGCATTTTACATTTTAGCACATCATAAATCAGGAATAAAAATTATGCTATATTTTAAGTAGAATACTTTCCTGAATACTTTTAGTGATTATGTAAGGCAAAGGAAGGTATTTAAAAGATAAAAATGACAGCAACCAGCTAAGCCAGGTGATTTACTAAGTACTTGGCCAGTAGGGTTTCAGTGAGATAGCCAACTGATCATTTAACCAATTTAAACAACTGAAAAAGTTTAGGTAACTTGTCTAAATTCACTCAGGTAGTAATCATCTTAGCAAAGATTTGCACCCAGATCACTCTGATTTCAAGCTCTTAACCCATTGCTAGGCAATGGTTCAATAGCCTGTAAAGGTAAATCACCCTAATGAGAAAAAGCCAAGTTCTTTACTGCCGTAGCTGCAGCAGTAAAACCCACAAGGGATTTTTCTCTTGGTTCAAATAATATTTTATTAGAACTTCAGTTATAAAAGTCTGTGATGAGACCTGGATCTCTGCAGAGTTGTGGGTGAAGTTCTATGGGAATCCTTTGGTGTATTAGACGGCAGCAGACTCCCTTGGGTGTCTCACTTTCATGAGCACTAGAAATTCACACAAGTGCCAGTGGGAAGATTTGAAAGGCTCCCAGAGCTGACCCAGAGTCTGAATGCCCCTTGCCTGTACTTCCTAGTAGGAGATTCTGACTTGATCAATTCCACAGTTTTGATCATAGCCAGCAGTGACTATACATGGTGTGCGGGCAGTACTTAAAGCTCCCTGAGGGATGAAATGCCTCATCACTCAGCAACCACTTTGGCAAACTAAAGGGTAACATTCATTGGCTCTGAACAAGTGAATAAGAGAAACAGCTCCCAAATCTCTGGAGGAAAACATGATAGAATAAAAAAAAAAAAAAAAAAAAAAAAAAAACTACTGACTTAAAAAAGCCCTTCTAATCCAATCTTAAAATTTTCACAAATCCATGTAATAACTACAAATCTATTTGCAGTTGGAAATCCAGACACTTTAAGGAGGGTCTCAACAAAGTCATGTTTCAAAACATACCAGTTATTTTATTCATTCATTTATTCAATATTTACTAAGTCCCTATTATGTGTCAGATACAGTTCTAGGCCCCAAGGATACAGCCTGAACAAAAAGTCCCTGATCTCAAGGAGAAAGAGAGATAAATAGATAACATATCAGGTGGTGATCAGTGTGAGGAAGAAAAATAAAATAAAGTAAGAAACAGAGGACTGGGAGGAGGGAAATGGATACTGTTTCCTCATGGTAGTCAGGGAAGGAAGGTCTATTTGATAAAAGACATGAAGAAAATAAAGGAGCAAAACTTTCTGACCATTTGTGGAAGGAATAGCAAGAGCAGGATGGTGCATGAGCCATTTATAGAAATCAATGTGGCTGAAGCAGAGTCAAGTTGGGGAAGAGGAGGAGCAAGAAGTACCGTGGAACCAAGGCAGATGCCACTGTGTGGGCTTCCCTAGGACTAAAGCTTTTACTATGAGTGAGATGAAAAGTGATTAGAGGGTCTTGAGCAAAGGAGAAACATGATGATGGTTCATAATGTAAAGGGATCATTCTGGATAAAAGATTATAGGAGTTAAGGTGGACGCTGAGAAATCAGTAGGAAGCTACTCCGATTGTTCAGGAAAGAGTCAATGGTTTGAATCAAGGTAAATGCTATGATGGTCATGAGAAATGGTCAGATCTAGATGTATTTTGAAGGCATAGCTGCCAGACTTTGCTGATAGCTTAACTGTGGAACGTGGCAGATAAAGAGAGTGGTTTACGGATGATCTGGGGCCATTTATGCAGATTGGGAAAATTGGAGGAGAAACCGTTTAATGAAGGTAAAAAAAAATTGAGTTCTTTTAGAGACCTGTTAATTTTGAGACAACTTTAGATAGCCAAATGGAGTAAACAGTTGGATATAGACACCTGGATTTCAGGGGATAGGCCCATGCTGAAGATAGCATTTTAGGAGTCATTCACAATATGAGGATGTAGTTAAACAGGGATCTAAAGAGATCACCAAGGAAGTGAGGCACAATGGTAACAGCTAAAGTTGAGAGAATATTTAGTATGTGCCAGGCATTATTCTAAGGCCTTACTTATATTAAACTCAACCCTCATAGCAGCACTATGAGGTAGATACCATTATTCAGCACTTGAAGAAACTGAGGCACAGAGAGGCTAAAGTTAATCTTTTCCAGATCGCAAAGCTAGATAAGTGGAAGTGGCAAGATTCAGACACAGACAGGTACCAGAGTCCTCCACAGAGGAGCAAGGTCCACATTGCCACTTTCAGACCTTGTTTCTGCTTCAGTGTCCTGTACTCCCCTCAGTAATGGTCAGAACAAAGAATAAAAACAAAAATCAGAGTTTTGTACCATTTAAATTCTAGGCTCACACAATCATTAACGCTAGAAAAGGGAAGATTCATAAACAAGCTGTTAAAAACAAAACACAACAGTCAAACAAACCTTCCCTTAAAAGAAAGGCAAACAACCCAAGGAAAGAAACTAAGATACTTTTTATCTTATTCTATTTACTAGATTTCATCTATAGGTTGTAAGATGCCTTTCAATTTGAGAGATCTAAAAGCAGGAGGAAATGTGTCTTAGAATTAATGAAATATGACATTTAAACTTTTTTCAGCAGCCTGCTTATTTTGTTGACTATGCTCTAAGCATTATTTCACCAGGAATGCATTGTTTTTAATATGCTTGCCATTATAGTAGACCACAATGCCTCCTCTATAATAGAAATGACTTTCTTTTCTAAAAATAATATTCAACGTGAGCAGTAAAACCTTCATTTTTAACCCTCTAGTTATCTTATTGTGCATAACAGTTCAGAGTGATGTTCATAACGATGGCTGATGATGGGCACAAGAAACATGTATAATTTTATATTTTTATTGAGAGTGGGATCTTTATCTCATTATCTTGATATTGCTAATATAGCAGGGGCTTGCCAAATCTTTACTAAATTAAAATATAGACATTTCAACTTAAAATATTGTTCCTAGTGTCAAAATATTACCATGTACATATGCAAAATTCATATACAATGCTCACCTTTTATCACTTTTGAATTTTGCTGATGTGCCCAAGTGCAATATTCATGAAAATAACCATGTTATTTTTGCTGAGTTAATGTGTATATTTATCAAACTTCTTTATCTTGGGTATCTCTGGACATGACCAAACAGAGCATGCAGCATGCCACTAAAGAAGTTGTTGCCATTATCCAGGGTTGGCAAAGAGGAACTGCAAAGAGGCAAACAATTAAAACAGTAGCACAAACCTTGAAAACATTATGCTAAGTTAAATAGTGGTGATGGCTGCACAACAATGTGAATATATGTAATGCCACTCAATTGTGTACTCAGAAATTAATTTTGCATTTTATATATATATATTTTACTGCAATAAACAAAATGAACACAAACTGTAGGGAAGCTACAATGCTACATTTCTCCATTCTTACTTAAGTGGTTTTCTAAAGACTTGGCAGGAAAAGTGGGAATGCATGTACCCACTTATAGAAGCATATGTGCACACATCTACCGGCATAACATGCTTCTTGTCTCCAAACAAATGATTTTCCCATCTCCTCCAAAGCCAGCATCAACCCTGAAATTTGGTTTTTAGTTTACTTCAAACATGCAATTTACCGATTGATTTTAGGATATCTCTTCACTCAGTACTTGCTTACAGACCCCTGGAATGAAGGCCTGAATTTGCCCTGGGTTGAAGAGGCCTCCTTTGAAGTCATGAGCTGTTTGTCCTTGGGTCATTTACAATGGGACCTCATCACCTGCTGGGAGAATATGAGAGGCTGTTTGAGAAAGTCTTAAAAACAAAGTTTCCCAGGGTTGGGAGATCAAATACTTTGGAAAATACAGCTTAACGTCTTTTTCTCCTAGAACCAGGATATGATGGAAAGGGCACACAGCCTTGCCAGCTGGCAGATCTCGGTTCCACATCTGTCCAAGCTCCCATTTCCCATGTAATTTTATGCAAGTTATTTCTCTGACCTCAGTCTCCTTATCTATAAAATAGGGAACATTAGTACTTATTTTGCTTGGTTGTTATGAATATAGGTGTATCATGTGGGCACAAAGTAAATTACAGTATGCTGACATGACCAATGAAAGTTTAAGTCTTGAGGCTGTCTCCAAGCCTGTCCGTATGGAGAAGGCTTTGCTTGTGATCCCGTGGCAGGCAAAACAAAATCTGTAATACTGAAGGCCATTTAGTATAATGGAAATAAATCAAATGGTTATTTTAAACCCAAAGGAACTATAGCTACTTTGCTTTATATGGGGAGTGACAAACTCATATCAAGAGAAGTCAATCAATACCATTCCCTTCTCTGGAGAGTCTAATTGGGGCTGACTAAAGCAAAGACCTGGATTTCAGTGGCTCTCTCTAGTACCACTACAGGGAAAGAGCAATACTAGATAGCCCCTTGTTTACACCAGCCTGTTGATGTGTCTGTGGTTATGCAAGGGTGGAGAGCATAACTCTTCTGTCTAATAAAGTGAAAGGAATAGAAATTTGAGGAAAGCTCTGAAGCAGCAGCACCAGTGGGATAACTGTATAAATTACCTTGTTATCCCCAGACCTTTAATAGAAAGTGCTACACACTCACCTGATGTTTTTGGAGGGCTGGGGGAATCAAGGAGAAAGTTCTTTATTCAGCTTCAGGGGTTATGTGGCACAGTACAGACACAGCTCTTGTGGGAAGGCATCACAATTAATAACGTAACCTTAGAAGAAGCAATTCAGAGTCAGAATTGGCCAGGAAAAGCACATACCATCCTCACCTTCCCCTTCCCTGTTAGAATTTATGGTAAGAATGAGGAATATGGGGTTACCACCACGTGTGGGATAAGGCTCAAGTCCATTCCACTGAGTTGAAAAAGACAAGGCACCTCAGCTGATGCCTAAGGTACTCTAGTAATGGGCTGAGAAATTGGTAGGAAGACGGGTGCCCTTGCAGGCTCAGATACTGTTACATGCCCCTGAGCAAAATTCAGGATTGCAGAGCAGGAATGCACTCTACTCTCTACTTCTTGCAAAGAAAGGATCTCGTTAACTCTGGAGAAGAGATTTATTTTTTTCTATAGAATTGTTGTTATGTAATTACACATAAAACATATGTCTAGCTTCTTAAAGGGAACTGGCTTCAAATGAGAAAATTTATCAAAATTTCCTTTCAAAGTGTTTATCACTTGCTAACATGCATATTTCATACTCGAGCTCGCTGTTTGGATAAGAGATTCATAACTTCATTGAAAACACTGTCTTATTTCTTGAAAGCAGAGAAAAGGTGTGCAAGGAGACAGGCTCGCTCTTAGATATAGCTTAAATGTAGAGATAGATAAATTACCCGTATTCATTGTACTCTGTTTCACTGTTTGGTTTTGTTGTTTTTCTTTTTAACTGCCTAGAAGCTTGTTTCTCTGCTACAATTAGAATTTAATCACTGGTAATTTAAGACTAATAGACCCACAGATGGACATCTGTAATTAGGAAAGTATTTTTGCTTTTCGTTGCACCACTCAGTTTTTTTCCCTTTTTTAAAAAATACATTTTTGTGTTAGTGAAGCAAACTACTAAAAGTACTGAAAATACTACAAGTTGTTATTTGAGTTATTTCCTCTGTAAAATTACAGCAACTCATTTTCAGCTGGCTAGTTAGCTATCTGAAAGGAGGATAGCTGTGCTAGCTCAATGCTTGCAACACAGTAGGTTCTCAGGAAATATGTTACATGAAATAAATTAAAGATGGAATGAATCAATGAGTGAACCCATGAATGAATAAACTAATGAGAGTTGCCCCAATTTCTCTCCATCTCTAGGTAACAGTTCTGCTCTCTGCCCACCTTTTGTACCATTTCCCCATCAACAACATCCCCAACAACAGCACACGCACACTGGCACCAACCAGTGTGATTATATGAATGTTTGTCTAGGCAAGTGGGTACATAAACATTTTAGAGGTCTAGTCTTATGAAGTAGAAAGGTTGAAGTCTAGGGAAAGGAAAGGAATCTCTCTTCTCCTTCAAGTGCTTTCCATTTGTTCAGTGAGTACCGGTTAAATGAATGACAAGCAAATGCTCGATTCTGGCTATTACTCTTTCATCTGAGCTCTCTTGATTATCCCAAATAATTTTTACAAATGGCATAAAATAGAGATTTTGGTGTTTATTAAGACTGTATATTTAATTATGCTATTGTTTTCTCACAGAAGTGATACGAAATATATTTTTATTACATTATTCAAGATCAAATGGAAGTGCTCTCTTCCTCTCTCCCTCTCTCTCTTAACAAACTGTTTCTTCATGGGTCTGTGTGTTTGTGATTAAACAATTACAGAACTCCATCCAAAACTGGAATTTACATGGTGCTGTGAATTCATAATATTTCATCTTGCAGTGATTAAAAGAAGATGCTATACATAGTATTATTGGAATTATAACAGGTAATATTATGTTGCCTGAATAAAAGATTATTAAGGTTATTAATACCCAGAGATTACCAAGGTTTCTGTTCAGGTTTATAACTCTCAGACCTGAGTGACTTTGCCTTTTTCTTTCACTATTGGTACAATGAGAATATCTGCAATTAGATAATTTGCAATTATGTAGGACAGGTATGTAACACCACAGGAGAGCAGAAGCTGCAGCCGGCATGGCACATGAGGAGGAAGACTCAGAGACGCCTGACATATGTAACACTAGAATGTATAATACAAAAACATACATAGGCTGGAAGTTGATAAATAAAACAAAAATTCTAAATGTGTTCGTGTATTTTAAAGGACTTAATCTTTTTACGGTAAAATGATTAGTGCGTATTGACATAAATTTTAAACAGAAAAAAACGGAGAATACAAGAAAATATGTTGGCATTTGTAGGTTGGCTCCAGTACGTTTCAAGTGCCAGCAACTGAAGGTGAACTCTGGTTGCTTCCAGGCCTCCCTTGCATGATTTGGGGTTAGAATTGTCCAAATACCATGAGTAATATGGAAGTTCTCTGAAGGGTAAGTTCATGCTCTGATTTCACATTTACTTTCTGATAATTCGACTGGAAACATAACTGAGAGCCCTTGCTGTGGCAGCTTCCTGGAGATGGGAGTGATATGCAGAGTCACTCTGCTTGGAACTTCATCAGTTTATTCCCAAATCCTGGCAGAATGAATTCAACACTTGCTCCGTCATTGCTGTTGCCATTTCATGCTTAAGAAATAAGACCTAGTTCTTAAATAGCCACTGTCAACCACTTCTTCGATGCTTTCTATTTCAAATGCTATGGCTATGGAATATTCAAATTATGAATATCTAAAATATAAGTGATGTACTATGCTGTGCTTCTTTTCTGAAATACACTTTTACAGTTTTGAGTTTATAGTTCATAAATATCCACTGATATTTCTGTACTTTCTGTCTCTTTTGAAGACAGCCTTTAGATGAGGTTTTATCCTATGGGCTTTGGTGATTAACAGCAAAACAAATTATGTTGTTATAATACTTAATATTTATCATATCCTTTTGAAGAGATGTTCAAAATATGTTAGACATTTTCTCCTTTATGTCAAATGCTTTTATATACTACTACCACTGACTTATTTTCAAATGGTTTATTCTCATTATTGAAATACCTAAATGGTCATGTAAAATTAAAATAATTTATCTCATAAAATGAAAATTATGAAAATAAAAAGGATAAAGTCCACTTCTTTCATTTAATATCTTTGGATTCGTTTAATAGAGTGCTTAAATCAGGGGCTCTGGTAAATTTTACCATGGCTTTACGTTATGTCAGTGGACATTGTGTTTTAATCCAAGACTATGAAAAACTAATTGTAGATAAACAACAATTGAATAAATTACTAATTAGCAAAAAAGATGCCAAATTGAGATCACCTATTAGCATGATTTAGAGCTAATTTTATGCTTCTTTTTAGCTTTTCCTTGGCAATATCTTTTTTTTTTTTTTTTTGAGACAGTCTTGCTCTTGTCGCCCAGGCTGGAATGCAGTGGCATGATCTCAGCTCACTGCAACCTTTGCCTCCCAGGTTCAAGCGATCCTCCTGCCTCAGCCTCCTGAGTAGCTGGGATTACAGGTACCCACCACCATGCCTGGCTAATTTTTGTATTTTTAGTAGAGACAGGGTTTCACCATGTTGGCCAGGCTGGTCTCGAACTCCTGACCTCATGATCTGCCTGCCTCAGCCTCCCAAAGTGATGGAATTATAGGCATGAGCCACCAGGCCTGGCCTGGAAATATCCATATATTTTTATAGTGCTTCTTAAATCACTCTTTCTGTATCTATGAGCACAAAACACCAAAATAATAGTTATATTGAAGGTGTCTTATTTCTACAATTTCCAAGATAGTGACATCTGAGATAATCATTTAACAATTTAAATGAACTTTAAATATACAGACCACAGATCCATTTTTCTTGATTCAATAATATTAATGACATTCCAATACACAAAGTTCCTTATTAAACAGCAGAAAACTTCCCAGAAGTCTTTCCCCTACTTTTGTGTGATATTAAAAAACTTTGGAAAGTGTTCTATAAGAGTTAAGATTTATATATATTAACAATACAGCCAAGGTGCCCCTTTCTTTTTACTGCAGGTTTCTAGACCTTCAGCTCCTTAGATAAAGTTTATGAGAATATTAGAATCTAATAATGATTAGATTCCACTTAAAATTCGTTCTCAATTTATAACTAGAAGTAATTAGAAGTCCCTATCTTAAATCATTCTAGAGATGTACAAATAATATAATAACATTTCTAAGGACTTTCTGTTTCAATAAGAAGAACAGTATAGATTATGTCATTTTCTTGACAATTTGTAGTGGTAAAAACCACTTCACTGTGTCTATTGTTTTTGGTTTTCTGCAGACATGGCTATAGAAAGGGTGATTAGAATGTACTTTTTAAAAAAAGTTCCTAACCCAAGAAAAAGCTAAAAAGAGCCTTCCATGGGGAATAAAGCACTAAAATTAGTTGTCAATCATGCCAATACCTGCTTACAATTTGGTGTCTTTTCCACTAAGTTGCAGCTTCTTCAGTTGTTCTTAATCAGCATTGGTTTTTCATTGCAGTACCTCTTGCATCCATTTCTCTATTTTCAGTGTCCCCGAACTAGTCCTCAGGGACTCCATAACCTATTAGGTTTGACATCAAGTATAGGATCCTAGGTAAGTCATATAGTGACATAGAAGCTCTGTGAACCCGAGTTTCCTCATATGCAAGATGCAAGAGTGAGGGGAAAATGAAATATCTAATATGCCTCTGTCCTCTAAAATTTCATTATACTGCAATTTCAATTCAGGCTCCTCTCACATAGCAGAGCCCTGTCTTTGCTGATCTTTCTGCCTCCAATCTGAATTCTGGCATTTAAGATTTATTCTAGCAGTTTAAATCACTTTTGACTTTGGGAAATCTTTTTGTTAACTTCATTTGCTGTTCAAAGTTAAAACTGTCACCTGACTTTTTCCAGATATTCCTGCCTGTTTTCCAAACTTGAGTAAAACCACTGTGAAAGCTGGAGTTAGTCTAATACTTCTTGGCAGAACCTCATGCAGGTAACTTGGCTTGTTGGCCATAAGTCTCTTAGTCACAGCCACAGGTAATCCATTTCCTTCTTGGCTGTTAGGAAAGGGCCTAATTAGCGAATCCAACAAATTCCATTCCCCACCCCCTTCTTCCATGGGTTAGTTCTGTGCTCCTTTAGGCTTCTTGCCAGGCTGCTGCTCTGAGAGCGATCAAATTACCATTAGAGCCAGCCAGCAACAGCACAATGCTGTTTATCTACCTTCTACCCCACAATTCTTTTTCTTCATCAAAAGTTCTGCTCCATTCTTTTTCTTCCTAAGGAAACCTACCACTTCTCCCATTTGCTTATGATGAATCTATGATTTTGTTATAATTTTTAATGAAATAAAACAACTTACCCTTTTTGTTCCCAGTAACACATCACTGAATTTCACATGATTTCATGAGATTTAACTTCAGGAGCAAATGAAATAAATCCCTCCTCCTACCAAAAAAAAAAATCTTTTTTCATTTATCAAATATGCTACACATACTAGAGAAATGCAAACCCAAATGATTCAGAAAAGTTAGGCGTTTACAATTTTCACAAATAGGGACATTTTATTCTTTATATCATTTCAGTCATAGATTTCTACTTAAATTGACTTTCTTCTTACAATCGTCTTTGTGAGATTAGTGTATGAAATGATAGCATGAAGAAGTAAAAGCTATAATACATCAAGGTACATTTGGCAGAAGAATGACTCATCTTCATGAATTCTGTGTGTATTCATGAAAGAGCTCAGCTGGGCGGCCAGGTGACCGGTAGGAGTGGGTTATTTACCTGGGAGGACCTGGAAAGCTTTTTACACAGTGTCAACAGGATTGTTGTTAAGCAGCAAGTTGGCAAATATGGCAGGGTTGTCATTAAACAATGTTGGGATTCAGATCCACTGACGTTTATTTGCTTTTCAACTGTTCAACAACTCATAGAAAGAACCAAGCTGTCTTTTTTAAAAAAGCACATGCATCACTGCACTCCTTCTCTCTTTTTAAAGCTCTTGGCAACCCCAAAACAGGGTGAAATAATCCTTTAAGGTGAGGGCTTTTTTTTTTTTACATGGTCCTCTGTAAATGAACTTTGGGGGAATTCGTGAACTTATGCAAATATATGTTGCACTTGGTGTATAAGTATTTGCATACACACAATCTCCTGTCTAGGGGAGGAGGATGTATGCACATCTTTTATTAGAATTTAAAAGGGGTCTGTGAATCAATATAGTTTACAAACTACTAATTCAGGGTCTAAATTGAGCAGCTTTAATATCGGGGGCGGGGGGAGGGAAGAGAGACGTCACTGGAATGATGCATGTTCCTCTCATGCACAATTTTTAAAAGCCTCACCAGCTAGGTAGACATGAAAGTAAGAGATGGAGAACGCTGGTCACTGCTGCAAAGGTAAGAATGGTCTGTTGGGAGCAGCTGAGTGGAGACAGAGAAATTAATGTAATGATTTTCCCTCCCTACCACTTCAAAAATAAAACCAAAAATAAGGCAGGGCCATGTGCCAGGTAAGGTGCCAGGGTGTGCAGGGGAGGGGACAGCCCAATAGTCACTGGCTCATAAACGGTGGTGAGTGAAGCTGCTGGGGTACCAGCAGAGCAATCTCTTCAGAAGCAGGCAGATGAGGCTCGATCCTACAAATGAGCCCTAAGCCAAAGACTATGGGTTTTCACAAACTTGTCTCTCACCTTAGAAACCATGAGACCAAATGAGACCAAAAACAAACATCAAAAAAACAAAAACGAACAAGCCTTTCCACACAAGGGCATCAGTACAGCCTTGCCTTATTCATCCAGACAGGAGTTTCTAGCTTTTGGTACTCTTTGGAAAACTATCAGCGAGTACTGCTTTTCTAAGGGTCTTACTCACCAATTCCAGGCCAAGTGGATATGGGTCAGGACTTACTGCTATTGCACGTGGCTCAATGCACAGTCCTGAGGCTCACATCCAGAGTTCCCTAAATAACCCTCTAATTGCTAAATAAAGGGAAACTGGTGACTCAGAGTTTGTGATGCTTTGTCCCCCAATCCAGATACTTTCCCCACATCCCGTCAAGGTAGCAGGCTTCAGAAATGGCCATCTAACATCTCATTACCTTAATTTTGGTAAGTACATGAACATCAGAGATGCTTTTTTCCACGGGGTTGCCACCTTTCACTATGCCTTCCACATTCAGCCCAGTGCATCTACATCCGTCCGCCATATGTAAACAGTAACAAAGAGAAGTTTGCGGCAGCTGGCTAGAGCTTCTCTCCAAAATAAGCCTCAGAGAATTGTGGGGGCTTTTTGTTTTTGTTTTTTTGATGTTTGTTTTTGGTCTCACTTGGTCTCATGGTTTCTAAGGTAAGAGACAAATTTGTGAAAACCCATAGTCTTTGGCTTAGGGCCCATTTGTAGGATCGAGCCTCAACTGCCTGCTTCTGAAGAGATTGCTCTGCTGGTACCCCATCAGCTTCACTCACCACTGTTTATGAGCCAGTGACTATTGGGCTGTCCCCTCCCCTGCACACCTTGGCACCTTACCTGCCACATGGCCCTGCCTTATTTTTGGTTTTATTTTTGAGGTGGTAGGGAGTGAAAATCAAACTTCGACTTCCCTTGAAGTTTTAGAGAACATTCTTAAAATAGGCTCGTTTGCTTCCTACAATCTTTCCAGTTAACTGCACACATGCACGCAAACTCCATTTCCACAGAAGGTGAGATTTTACTCATCAAAAAGTCAAGTTATCAGAATTAACTGGCAACCTGTTTACTTCAGCAGTGCTGAATCTGCGTTCATATTCTAAATATGTCTATGTGTACTGATGGTATGGTATGTTTCTCAACTCTAAAACGTATCCTCTAGCATTAAAATGAAAACACTGTTGTTGAAACACAAACACCTTGAGTATAACCTCGTGCATAGTCATTTGCATATAATTGTGACAGTGTATGGTGAAATGTAATCATATGGTCCCTAATTTTGTGAATTTTGGATACAATTTCCTCCATAAAAGTTAAACAGACTTTTAGGTCTTGCTTCGTAAATGTATTAGTTCCCTACTTCTGATATATCACATTCGTGGCTTAAAACAACACCGATTTATTTTTGTACAGTTCCGGAGGTCAGAAGTCCACAGTGGCTTTCACTGGGTTAAAATCACGGTCTCTGTAGGGCTGTGTTCCTCTGGAGGTTTTATGGGTAAATCCACTTAATTGCCTTTTCCACCTTTTAGAAGCTACCTGTATTCCTGGTCTCCAGACGTCTTGCTCTATCTTTTTTTTTTTTTTTTGAGACGCAAGCTCCGCCTCCCAGGTTCACGCCATTCTCCTGCTTCAGCCTCCCGAGTAGCTGGGACTACAGGCGCCTGCCACGACGCCCGGCTAAGTTTTTGTATTTTTAGTAGAGACGGGGTTTCACCGTGTTAGCCAGGATGGCCTGGATCTCCTGACCTCGTGATCCGCCCGCCTTGGCCTCCCAGAGTGCTGGATTCCAGGCGTGAGCCACCGCGCCCGGCCCCTCTTTCTCCATCTTTAAAGACAGCAGGGTAATGTTTTCAAATCTCTGCTTATCTCACTCTAGCCCTCCCACCTCCCTCTTACAAGGGTGCTTGTGATTACATTGGGCGCAGCTGGATATCCAGGACCCTCTTCCCCCGCCCCTCAACTTAGCCACAGCTGCAAAGTCCTTCTAGCCGAGTAACAGAACACATTCACAGGTTCTGGGGATTAGGACTTGGCTATCTTTGGGGGCTCAGGACTTGGCTATCTTTGGGGGCTCATTCTTAAACCTACCAATTACAGTCAATTAATGGGTGCCTACATTATAATGCTTACTCTAAACATATTTATCCTTTAAAATTTGGTTAGGAATGAAAGTATTTACTTTTTGTTAGACAAATTAACCCCAGCCAGGTCAGAACTCGTAAATTCAAATGAGAAACTTTCCAGTGCAACATCTCAAATGTGTTTTTGGAGCAAGTCTAGACTAGAGCATTGAGAAAATACAACAGCTCTTTGGGCAAAAGAAGTTGTCAAGGTAATTTCCTTCTAGCCCGTGGTTTTCTCCGCAGATGGTGTAAATAAGTTAGCACAAGAATGGAGTGATGGCACGTGTGGTTAGTATTCTCCCAACCTGCTGAAAGCTGACAAGCCATAAAAACTGTTTTCCATCTTTATTTCCAGTAAAGGAATTAAGTAGCTAGCTTGCTCTGCATTTCTGACTTTTCCAAATGTTGTGACTTTCCGCCACCAGACATGGAGAACAACCACGGCTGTGCCCGGTTCTTCAGGTGGCTGCCAGTCCCCCCGTGCCTGCTCCCTGTCCCTGCCTGCCTTCCCGCTGATGATGACTGACGTTCTGGGACGGAGGAGCAGGTGTGTGGTGTCTGCCCTTGGCGTGTTGAAGCATGACTTGAAAGAGGAAATTTGAATTTTTCTTATTCTTAGAAGAGAGGAGAACCAGAGGGATGACAGATTCCCATAGGAAATGCACACACCTGTTTTTTTTTTTGTTTTTTTTTTTTTGGATTTGGTGCTCTAGGCAGTTTCAGAAAACAAACCCCAGAGTGAAACCATCAACATGAGAATGCCTTTGTGCCCTTCAAAATTATTCTCAAAAGCTAAATAGCACTTTCTGACCAGGTGCAGGAGAATTTTTTCCTCCATTTTTCTAACTCAGAACTAATTTTTATTGCCTTTCTGGGCAATAAATCATTTTTTAAAACCATGTTTGGATAAAATTATCTAGGAGATAACATCAACAATTTTTAAACACTGATATTTTGGTTTATAACCTTTAAAAACAAAATCTAAAGTATTTTGGACAACTATATATTCAAATAAGATTTAGATATGAATATATAAATTGTGTTTGTGGATGATAAATATGTAGCCTACCCAGAAATTAGCCTTATTAATTAAGAGAACTATTATCTGATATTTTTTCCCAGGTTAGGCCTAGGTACAGTTGTGTGCTGGTAAATTTGTAACAAAAGGCTCTCCAGGGGAAGAAAAGCCCTGATTTTCAGTGTTTGCCAATTTCCACGGTATTAAAAGTACTCACACCAAGGCCGGTTTTAAGCAGTGCTCCTGAAGTCCCTGAAGACAGAGTTGAAAAGCATCGTGCACAGTTGACTCTTCTAAGCTAGTCCGAGCTGGCTCCAACACACTACTGCCTATGTAAGTATCTATAAATAATACAACTTAGAGGGTTCATAAGCATAACAATGGGATATATTCAGAATGATTGAATACTGACTCAGAAAGAAAACTATACAATTTTGCTATACCATAAACCATAAAAGTGTATCATAGGAACTGTGACCAAGAATGTAATTGTTGACCTCAGATGGTCCTGATTCTTCCTTTTCTAGCTTCTGGGAACACTCTTTTTTGTGTCCTGTCCTGGTTATGCTGAGAGTCTGCATCTTGCTTCAGAGAATTTACTAAAATCACAGGAAGGTCTGAATTCTCATTTGTACATTCGACACCAAGTATATGGAGGCTTTCCCAATTGCTCTGTGTGAAGGACTTGAGTTTTCTTCCAGCATCAGCTGAAAATACCAAATGCCTGTTTGTGTGGAAATTTCCTGAGACTACAGCTCTTAACTCTCTGACCTGAGTAGTATATGTGTGAATTTTCCATCAGGTTGTATTCTCTGCATTTTTCTCTGCCGTATGGTGGCAAATGATTGTCCTAATGTATAAGATCCCCTTTCAGCCTCCTACCCCCAGCCTCAGTACTGCCCCTGAGCTCGGGAAGAGAACCCCTTGCCCTGGGCTCCTCCTACATTTGAGATTTGACTCTAGATATCTGTTGGCTATGTCCCTTTCCACTAAGTCTGTGGACCCCACTTCTAAGACTATTGTCTGGATTCTGGAGAGTCCAGAATTCTCTGCCTGAAAGGCTCTGAACCTATTGGACCTGTAGTGGCCTCTTTGCCTTATCCATTCTCCAAAGGGTAGACTATGCCAAATCCCAAGATTTTGATTAAGAACAGCTAGCTTGTGTGTTTTTTTGTTTTTGTTTGGTGAGGGTGGTTGTGGATGGTACTACACCTAAAGGCCACCATGGATGTTCACATAGCACTCATGCTTGTTGTGCAGACCATATGGAGCCAATAGCAAGAATGTTAAGGGATCCAGCAAAATCAGAAGGCCTGGGGGCAATGGCTGGGTCTCCCCTACCTGTTGTCACATTTCAGTGTGGACCTCTGAAGATTGCAAGCATCCTGAATTTGAACCTTCCTTTGTAGTGAAGGATGGAATCTATTTCATTTAAGAGCTCGTTGGCTTAATTTAAACTTTTAAATATTTAGACAGATAGTATATGAACCTCCATTTATACTCTTGCACCAGACTCTGCAAATATTGGCCAGGCCTTCCCAAAACACAGTTTTTTTTTTCTTTTCTTTTTTTTTTTTTAGTGTCCTCTTTTCTCTTTCAAGTGTACAGTCTAGGTGAGTAAGGATTAGGTTTTTAAGAGGGAAAAGTCCCAGAGAAAGTGTCATAAGCATGGGAATGAGTCCACCAAAGACTAGGAAGCTGATGATCCAATGTAATTGCCAGAGAGAATGTGGTGGATCTAACCCTTGGAGCTGCTAAGAGGACAAACACTGATGCCCAGACCAGCAGCAGGTCTGGCAATGGCAACTGTCTGGTCTCATGGACAGGAATACAGACTGGGTTAAACCGAGATCTACTTGTTTCTCCTATTTCCTAACTCTCCCCTACAAGGCCATCACTTTCCTCCTTGTGTGCTCAAGAAACCTAATAAATGTCCTGCAGGAAGAGTTACAGGTGCCTCAGAGTTCTGGACTCTCCTGCAATTGCTGTGTCACCTTAATCTTTTCTCTTTGACCATGGTCAGTTTGTGATTTGCTGAAGTGAACCAATGAGCATTTTAAACCCCATTGGGTAGGAAGAGTCATTTTCTGCTTGGACTCTGGACTGGAAACAAACCTTCCCATTGTGCAGCACTATGGTCCTTTCTGTGTGCTGTCATTAATCTTTTCTCAACTGCCCAGCTGCAGTGACTCTAGGACATTACAACATAATTCCTTCCTACTCAATATCATGTAGGCCACATATATGAACAGACCATTTCCTGACATTTTTTTCAGAAAAATCAGTATCAGTGTGGGAATTCAATGACACTCTAGACTTGTGTCATTTTTATGTACTAAACAAAATGGTACTATAAAAATTCAACATAGTCTCAAGAAGGTCCCAGTTAGTGCACATGTAATAACAATACTCAAGTTTCACTGGCAATTCTTGCAGGAAGGATATTCTGGTATCTTCTAATTAGTAAAAAAAAAAAAATACTAAGATAAATATTTTTGTGAACTTAATTGGGAAAATAAATGAAACTATCAATTAGCCAGGATTTGGGGAGCATCTGAGAACTATGAGGTATGCAGTAAACATGTGACTGAACTGCCTTTGCATGGATGCTATCATAAAATACATTACCAATTGGGTAGAGATAAATCTAACACACCAAAAGCAAGAGTAGAAAATAAAAACAAATCACCCTGCTGCTATTCCAAGGACCAGATTTTTTACCACAATTAGTACTGACTCTCTGAGTGCTATAGGCTATTGAGACAAGGAAGAAATCTATGAAGGGGAGTTAGGGAAAGCTTCCTGGAAAAAAAAAAAAAAAGGCTTGAGCTGTGCTTTAGGAAGATGTGCAGTGGAAGGAGGAGATTTCCATGGGATGGGGACATTATAAATATTTATATGCCACAGTCAAATACCTTGACTATGCCACAAGGTAACTAGATTTTTGGGCAGACATTATTCTGGGTATGCCTATGAGGATGTTTGGAAGAGATTAACATTGTGTAGAAGGAGTAAAACAGGTTGCCCTCCCTAATGTAAGTGGGTCTCATCCAATCAGTTGAAGGTCTGAATAGAACGGAAATGCTGACTCTCCCCTAAGAGAGAATTCTTTGTGTCTAGTGGCCTTTGAACTAGGACATGGTGTTTTTTTCCTGCCTTCACACTCAAATTGAAGCATCAGTTCTTTCTTAGTCTTGAGCCTGCTGGCCTTTGGAATGGACCACACCATCAACTGTCCTGGTTGTCAGGCCTTTGGACTTGGGGTGGAACTAAACTATCAGCTCTCCTGGGTCAACAGCTTGCCGACTCATCCTGCAAATCTTAGGACTTGCCAGCCTCCTTGATTGCATGACCAATTCCTTATAATAAATCTCTTCATATATGTGTGACCACATCCTATTACTTGTGTTCTTTTGGAGAACTCTGACTACTACACTAAGTAAAGACGCACAACATTTGCAAGACAATGCAAAGTTTGACCTGACTAAATTAGAAAGATTATGTTGTGGGGAAATTTAAGATAGTTGGTTTGATAGAGTCAGAGAAGATGAAGGAGAGTTGAGATGGATTTAGATTGGTGATGCAATTAAAATACTTACTCCTAAAGTCATCACTATCTCACTAGTCAGTGTTATCCTATTTTCCATTGAGCCTGAATTTGAGGATTTTGTCTCAATAGTGTATCTCCAAACATTCCCTAACAATCATATAGAGTAAGTGCACTAGATTAAACCTTTTGCAAATCACATAGGGATCTAGTTAAAATGCAGATAATGATTTAATAGACCCAGGGTAGAACCTGAGTTCTGTTGCTACTCCAAGGACCAGGTTTTTGAGTAAGAAACATTCCTTGTATAGTTATTGCTGCTTGAATCAGGGAGCCACTGAGGAAATACTACCTGGCCTCTGAAGGAATAAGGGCTGGTCCCGGAAAAAGACAGTATATTCTGGACTTTTTAAAAATTGTACAGTGCATATTACCTCACAAATATTGTCCTGGGAATGCATTTTCAAGAATTTGCAACATCAAAGAACAAAAATTAAGAGGAAATAAATATTCATCCAGAATATGTCATTTGAGGTGAGCATCATGAGTTTGTCAGAGACAATTTGAATCATCATTTTGCTAATATTAAAAGAGATGGCATTTTAAAATTTGAACTCTGAAAAGCATTTGCTGGAATCATTTATAAAATGGCAATATTAGCCATAATTGGCCTGGGTAAAAACTTGATAGGAGGAGATGGAGGGATTTAGGTAATTCAAATGGATCTTTCAGTTCGGTTTTCTCAGGGGAACAAGGCAGCATGTTGGTGGAAACTCTAAGGAAACCAAGTGGCAAGCCTTCTGAAAGCAAGGACTTGGATTTTCCTTTCAAGACATTTGCCAGAAGAGAAAAAAGCACAAGTGAAGAGATGGATTACGAACCTCTGATTTAGACTGTACCTTAGTCACTTAATGGCAACTCAAGCTGCCAGATCTCTTGTTCCTCCTGTTTTATGCCTTTTCTGTCACCCTACTCAACTAGTGACACTTGCTTTCCCACCAAGGCTCAGCACACCACTTCCAAGAAGATCTGGGCTAGGTGGGTGCCAGTCTGAATCTGAATCGCCCCCGTCCTGGGCTCTCCTTATCAAAAACACTTAGCAAATTGTATTAAACTGTTTTACTGTTTTCCCTTCTCCGACTCTAAGCTACTTGAAAACAATTATGGGTCACATATTTATTTTCATTCATTCATTCGTCATCAGTTATTTATTAAGTGACCTACCACATGCCTGGGCATGGTGATACAGTGGAAATAAGGTACACTCCATGTCCTTAATGAGTTTTGTGCATGAGTGCTGGTGCATGGGTGAGTTCTGGGCAAAGAGATCAAAGAGGGATAAGTGCTTTCTTAGGGATAAGGACAATGACTAAGGGTCATCATACGACAGGCATGGAACTTTGGCCATGGTAGTCTTGGGAAGCTTTCAGTAGGTGATGTAAAATGCTGAATATAATAAATGAAAAATCAATATTGATTGTATTTACTTTATCATCATTCTTAAACTGTCCATATGCTTTAGACACTTCTCTGTATATATACTTCATCAAACAAACAGATATGATGTGTGCTGTTTTTGAACATAATAAGAGATCTGGGGTAGTCTCAGCTGAGTTAGTATGTTGGCTCTAGGAGAGGCAGTCCCCACACCTGGCCTGGTAACTGTCACTCCTCAGTGAATGGCTGGATCTATGTTCAATTGATCTAATCAATTCAAACCTCAAGCTGCTAACCATTTCAACTCCAAGTGGCCAGATAATTGAAAACTAAGTGAATTTTACTGAATGGTCTAAAAAAAAAATGCTTTCATTCTTTAGAGTATATCTTTAGGACATACATTTAGCCTAACCCAGAAATACAGCTTATCTATTTTTAGTACCTGGAAAGAGAGCTTTCAACAACCTCTCACTGACTCTAACAACATACTAGAAGACAGACTTTGAAAAATTTCAAGTAGAAAAGAGTTAAATTTCCCCACCCCCACCCCCATGCGGTGATGATAACTCAGAATGATAAGAGTTTAGAAGAAATGAAGAATAAAAGAGATAACTCTTTTGTTTTTACTATGTGTAGTTACTTGTATCTATTATGACATGGAGGTTAAATTCTGGTAATTTTTGTTTTCATCTAGAAGAGTTGATCATACACTGAAAATGTTCTATTTTTTTTAAGAACATTCTCAGGAAAGGTTTGATCTCATTTAGATGTAAAAGCATTTAAGATTTTCAGTAAAAATGAAAGGACATTGTACTATACCAGTTAATGCGTTTTCTTTGCAAGCAACAGACAGAAACTGGCCAGCTTAAAGAAAAGTGGGATTTAGTGGAAGACTGTGGAGCAGCTTTCAATACCTAAGAAATAGAAGCACAGCCAGACCTCCAGGGAGATAGATGCAGAGCAGTGGTGGGGATCTGGGTGAAGAAATAGATACAATCTCTTTGGGAAGATATAATAAAAATAAAAAATAAAAAACTCAGCTCCAACCATGTTCTGTCCTTGGGCCAGATTCCTGGGACTTCTATCTGATCGGTCTTGGCAAGTGAGAGTAGGGATGGGGAGGAAGTGCCAACTCGCCCCTTTGCACTTTGATCCATAGTTTGACAGTTCCATGAAGATGGTTCATAATGGCGATGGGCAGATCCCCAGAAAATCAGAGGGACACTCTCAAAACAAGGGGAGGGGATACAGGACTGGCAAAAAACAACAAATGGTCACCACAGACATTTTTGTTCTATCAAGGGAAAAAAAGTTTTCTCTCCAAGTTAGTCCATCTGATCTAGTGTTGCTGACATCTTTCTGCATACCTGCATCAGGGGTTCATATACTACCCAGCTTTAATGAAAGGCCATGGCACACTTTATTAATGAAACATTAGTAACAATTTTAGAAGTTGTAGCTGTTCATTGTAAGTCATTTTGCAATTTTACAATGAGTTATTTAATAGAAAGGCAGCATATTTTAAGTAGATACTACCTTGCTCATCTCACTTCTTAGGATGATCACATAAACACCATTTTTTTGTATATAAAAGCATCTAATTTATATTATGTGATCCATGCACAACATTAACATCAGACATTGTGAAAAATTCATGTTCTTTTTTACCTTATGAAATGAAAGATGTTTTATGTTTTGCTTCACGGGATGTTGAATCCATTCAATTTTTACTTTATTTAATTCACTAATGCTCAATTATTATTTTAATCATAACCTGAGTTTGCCTTACCTTATTTTCTCCGTAGTATTCAGTGATGTGGAGAGAGGTAAAGAAGATGTCAGATGTTAAATATAATTAATGTTAAAAACAGATCTGATGAATCAGGGTGTTACTTCTGAAGAGAGTGACTCAACAAAGACTTGCCGGTCATAATTACTAAAAATTAGTCATTCTGTGAGATCTTTTTGCTGATACTAATAGATGAAACACCTTTGAGGGAAACCCTTTTGAAAGTGCTGCAATGTGACCTCAGAGAAACATGCCTTTCCAGACATTATACTAGTTATCAATTCATTCAAGAAGATGTGAGCAAAGTTTTCTTAGAATTTAAATATCACTGACAAGTGTATTTATGAACACACTTCTTTTCCTAGCTAAGTTCTGGGTAAGTGATCTTTGCTCTGTACTTTGCATTCCATGAATTACTTAAGACTAAAGACTTAACCTCTGTAAATCTCAATTTTCCGGTCTGCATGATGGGGACAATATTAGTGCCTACCCCTTAGGGCTAGATTGAGTATTAACTGAAGCAAAGCATGTCAAACTTAGCATAGTACTGGACACATACCAGAAACAAGTTAATATTAGTTAATCTAATTCTTATGAAACAACTTTGCAATGGTTTGAAAATTCCACTGATTTTCCCAGCATATTTGGGAAGTCTCTTTAATTTCATCACACCAGTGGATTTCATCTGCTTTCCAGTTTATGTTGCAACTCCTCTTCCCTAGGACTGTCAAGTTCCTTTTCCAAGTTATCTTTAGTGTGCAATCGGCTAGATCCTTCCTTCTCCGCTTTTCGTGAGGGAATGAACAGGCACATACCCCTCATGGCCAGGCCTCAAAGTGCCAAGAAGAGAGGCCAATTCCCTTGACATTTCTCCGTGTTCCTCAGGGCCATCTGCTTCCCTTTTCTGCCTCATCACCTTTAGAAAAATCCTCTTTTGTTCTCTCGGTTGCCAATGAAGACTGTTGTCACAGTTTGCCAGAAGATGTACTGGCATGCCCAGTGATAATGGACTCCATAGATAGGACTTGGAGTCCTCACGAATGAAATTCCCACTTACCTGGACAAAGTAATAACAGGAGAGATGGCCTCTCAAAGAATACTTTGAAAAATAATAAATTCTAGAGAATTGTATATTCTTAGCATATGATACATCTCATATAAAAGAAAACACTGAGATATTCCTATGGACCTTTTTTCTATTAATACATTATTTGAACTATGTCTTTTTATAGTATTTATTTCCTTAAGATCTTAGACATAAACCTAAGTTTGCAGGGAAATACTCATGTCTGAAAGGAGATGTTCTTAAATTGACATTTTACATATATCAGTTGTCACAACTTAAGATCCCACCTTTACTCAATAGTGCTTAAGGGGTCATGGAGGAAGATTTGATTGATTGTTTTTTATGTATACAAGGGGCAGGCCGGGTGCAGTGGCTCACGCCTGTAATCCTAGCACTTTGAGAGGCTGAAGCAGGTGGATTGCCTGAGCTCAGGAGTTCAAGACCAGCCTGGGCAGCATGGTGAAACCCCATTTCTACTTAGATACAAAAAAAACCAGCCAGGCATGATGGCTCCCGCCTGTAGTCCTAGTCCAGCTACTCGAGAGGCTGAGGCAGGAGAATTGTTTAAACTGGGAGGCAGAGGTTGTAGTGAGCCGAGATCGTACCACTGCACTTCAGCCTGGATGACAGAGTGAGTCTCTGTCTCCAAAAAAAGACAGAGTGAGACTCTGTCTCCAAAAAATGAAAGTATACAAAGGACAGTTGTTTTACCCAGAAAGGAAGAAATAAGAAAGTCAATTATTAGAAATTTGTTTAACTGGCATGTGTTGAGTTCCTATACCTTATTAGATACATTTGAACATTCTTTCATTAAGTTCTTAAAAAATATGAATTAGGTATTATTTTCATCTCCCATCTTACAGATAAGGAAACTAAGATTTAGAGAGTATAGGTCACTTGCCCAAGGTCACGGACTACTGGGAAGCAGGGACATGAATTGAATCAAACTCTTTTCAAATCTAAATTCAGTGCACTTAATTTCTGTGTCATGCCATCACACTTTCTCTCCATGAAAGCTAATTTCTCTTTTAACATTAGGTTTTATAGGTAGTTCTACTAATTATGTTTGTGAAGTTTTGTTTTCTTTTCCCTTCACAAGGGCTGGACACAGATCAGCATTCTCATGTTATGAATGATTTAGCTTCGGATTACTCTTCTGCAAATGGAGGGAGGAGGCAAACCTCAAATTAAAGGCAGGGTTGGAATATAAAAGTCTCAGCTCCTCAAGAGTCCAGAAAAACCTCCTCCCAAGAGTGCTGTGGCCTCTTGGCGCCTCTCCAGGCCCAGCCTGCCTGCAGGACTTGCTTGCTCCATCTTGCCGGTTCTCAACGGAGAACTCTTTGTTTTGGACCCTGTTCTTGTATTCTGCTCAGTGGACTTGAAAATTGGAAGTTTCCTTGCTTCCTGGTCCTTCCTGTGCCTGGGAAACAGACTTGGAATTCTTCTTTTCTTCTCTTCATTCAGCAAAAAGACAACCCCACCAGTTACCATTCCTTGTATTAGTTCTTGGAACCCAGCCTGGGCCAACAGTTAGGCCCCCTGAGAAAAGAAGCCTAACTTCATTTGCCTAGTCCTTCCCTCAATAGATTAAGAAATGAAGAGAAAAAAACCTTCTTAACATATACTACATAATACTAATATTTACTTTAAAAAAAAAATAAAGGCTTAACCCCTGCATTTTCATCACTTGAGAAAATTGATATAAGCTAATATTTTCAATAATTTAAAGAAAATAAACCATTTCTTTCCTGCTCCCCTCCCCTTCTGAATATTCGGCATAAATAGTTGCTTGGGTAGAATAAATTCTCACTATTCATTGGTTTGAATGCTTGTGTATATCCCAAGGGTATACACAATGACCTCTACACACATGACCTCTGTTTTACATAGTCAACTTTTATTTTGCTGAGGCAGAAATAATGCATGCAGCAAAGACTGCCAGCTGTTTACCAAAATCCCTTCTCCTCTTCTTCCTGAGCACACAGCTAGACTATACTTCCCAGTCTCCATTGCAATTCTGTGTGGCCACATACTAGAGCTCTTGCACTGCTGTGTTTTTGCATCCCCTTCTACCTTCTGGCTTCCTGAGATGGAGCAGACTATATGCAGTGGACCAGGATGGCAAGGGCTCTACTGTCCTTTCAGGAGAGCCCTTGCCATCCTGGTCCACTGCATATAGCCGAGCTCCCACTGACCTGGAACCCTCATCCTGGACTGTTGTCCAAAAGAGAGATAGATGTGTTTTTCCCTCAAACATGAGAAGCTGAATTTGGCGGTCTATTTGTTACGATATCATAGCCTGTCCTAACTGAAACAGGGCACATGTAGTATGTAGCACAAGTTTCTTAGCTAGTGAGAGTGCTTAGCAGAAGCTCAGTGCCTGCCCTTCACCAAGATTTGAGGTTTCCTACTCATGGAGTGTCATCAGTAACTCTTGCCAAGTGATAAATCTTTTGAATATTGGTGGAATATGATAACACAAAGTAAACTAACCCCTAAATGTTGGTAGCAAAAGTAAAATACAATTGAGTGTGTCTTAGAGGGCAAAGGTTCTTGGCTAAAAGGTGGTTGTTTTCTAGAGTTTAACAATAAAATACCAAACTCATATTAGAAATAGGAATAATTTTACCATATGCTCCACATATAGAAAGAATAAAAAACTCAATTCTGGAACTGTTTCACCAAATGCTTCAACCAGAATTTTAAAAATAAATATATAAATAACTATGGTCCTGAATTTATAATATTAATGATATGTAGGAATAATTTACATTTTTTGATTTAACTCACAACATTTCAGGTAGAAAATTATATGGTATATATATGGAAATTTAATGATTTACACACACCCACACTTACATATATACCGACATACAAAGTTATCACCTTATGATATATTCCTTCTAAATATTATTTGTTTGATCCAAACTCTAGGATGAATTTACCTTCTTAATTCTCTAAAACTATGATATTAGACCACATATTTTTGCATCTTAAATTGTAAAATTTCAGAACATAGAGAAAAGAAGAAAAGAGATATAAATGATATTTATTCAAGACTATTGAACTCATGTGGAAAAATAGTCCCCCGAGGACGTCAGGTCCTAATCCTTAGAATCTGTAAATACTACCTGATACAGAAAAAAGGTTTCTGTCTGTAGGAACCTAAGAAAAGACATTTTTAAATTAAAAACAATTAAAACATTAAAAATTTAAGGTCTTTATAGGTATGATTAAGTTAAGGATATTGTGATGAAGAGGTTATCACAGCTTATTAGAATGGGCCCTAGATGCAGTCACGTATATCCTTATGAGAGAGAGGCAGAGGGAGAGCTGACAACGAGGAGAAGGCAATGTGATCAGGGAGGCAGATGGGAGTGATGCAGCCACAAGCCAAGAAGTGCTGGCAGTCCCATGAGCAGGAAGAGGAAAGGCCAGATTCTCTCTTAGAGTTCCCAGAGGGAGCATGGCCTGGCTAACTCCTGGATGTAGGCCTAGTGAAACTGATTTTGGAGTTTTGTCCCCTAGAACTGTGAGAGGATAAGTTTATGTGGTTTTAAGCCATTGAGTTTGTGGTGATTTGTTATAGCAGCCACAGGAAACTAATCCAATTCCATTTTCTAACAGCTGAGTTCAACTTTGCTAAGTTTATATCTGTGATATTTTATCCTAAGTCTTTGGGGACCTAAGTTTGTTTTCCTTTTCCTTGGCCTGGAAAAGACAAATGTCCCACCCATTGTATTACATGTTGTTGAATGTCTTTAGTGAGCTCAAGAGAGGGAACATCTCTCTTCTCCAGCTGAGTCTGAGTCATTGAAAAACAGAGTAAGATAGATAGAGAGGAAATTATCAATTTTATCATTGTTAAAGTTGATTTTGGAGGATCGCCTTACTATCACTGAATCTCAGATTTAGAGAGACTTACCTACCTTATTTCCAACATTAGACAATGTACTCTAAAATGTAGGGTCTGAAATAGCAGAGCAGAAAGTATGCTTTCTCTATGCACATAGCTCTCAAGAGAATGAGGAGGTAAAGGGACTCAATAACATTAAATGATTCCCTCTTCTCCTGAGAACAGAGATGTCAGGACTGCTGTGCTAGTGGAAATCTTTTTATATGGAAAGAAGTGCTGGGAGTGGAGATGAAACATTTCCTATGGTTCCATCTCCTTATGGGCCAAGATTGACAGCTATCTGTGGGCAGAAACAGTGACACTCTAGGCTTTACAAGCCGAGTGGAAGACAACTTAAACCATAGATAGATAGTAAAGTCCTAGCTGCTCTCAGCTTAAATGTGAATTTTGGACTTGGGACAGTGTTTAAGATCCTAAATGAGTCTGCTGAAGTCTAGTTAAGTCCTGAATATCCCCCGATTCACACATGGACCTTTGTTTGTTAGCATATTCCACCCACCTCTTCTTTTAATCTGTTAAAGGAGACTTCTGCTTTATACAATCAGGTAATAAAATCTGTCTTTATAAATATACTTGTTAGTATGCATTTAGAAATCTAAGTCCTCACTCTTTTATAGACAGGCACTAATAGGTTACCTACTTTTTTCACCAAATGATTCTTACTTGAAAATTAAAAGAACATTGCATTTAGTGTTAAAAGCCTGTAACCTCAACATGAGGTCTCAATAACCCAGCTGCTATCTATTTATCTTGGTAGATTCATTTATTCTCTCTTTCCTAAGGTTATTTTAACAATGTTGTGTTATTTGTAATAAAAGTTGCTTTTGTTTCCACACTGGGCCAGAATGGATTGAGTAATAACATTAACAAATACCTTGAGCTCACATCCGCACCTTTCACCCTGAATTGTTTTCCAATGCTAACTCATTGTCTCCTCAACATTCCAGTGGCTCAGTGACAGGGGGTATTATTCCCATATTTCAGAGAGAAAAAGGAAAGCATGAAAAAGTCAGAGCACACCTGTATCTAGAAATCAGAGCCTTTGATAATGCTATTCTACTTTTTTTTCCTAAGGGCATACATTGTGTTAAGTATCTCTCCTGGTTGTTCTGAGTGAGATTGCTGAATGTGCCTTGGGCTGCACTGAGGGAAGCATTAGTTGGAGTCCTGTGATTGTGCTTGATGATTAAAGTGTGACATAAACGTTGAAGTACCTACTGTGTGCAGGGCACAGTGTACTTCTACTCTAAATCTTTGGGAATTCCTGAAACCTTGAGGTTTGAATAAGGGTCAAAGTGGGGGCATTGACTTCCTCTCCTATCCTTGCAAGTTTGCTCAGGTAAGGGAGCATTATAAGACCAGGAAAATATGATTATGTCATTTTCAACTAAGGTCCAAAACCACAGAATACTGATCATTTTCAAGGGGTTGACCATTTTCAGTTCTCCATACAATGCTTTCTATCATCCCAATGGGACTTCTTAAAACTGAAACCTTCTCTTTTTGGTGTTATCTAAAATTAAAAGACTTCTTATTTTTTCAAGAGCAATTGCTGTGAACCAGAGGAATTGTGAGCCAGAAATACCAATCAGCAAACGACATTGATGATTCACAGCATTTGATGAAGCACAAAATCTTAATATCGCAATCTCTAAAGGTACTGAAAGTTCTATCTTAACTTCATGTTTTTAATACATTGGAGTTTCTCAAAAGAAATACATTCTTATCAACTGCATTTTTAAACAAAATATTTTCATAATATTGAGCAAGAAATTTGCTGTGAATCATTCAAAGTTATTCATTCATTCTTTTAAAATTTACTTAGTGAACAGGTAAAAACCCATTGATGATCTAGTAACATATTATTTGGTTGTATTTTTTCTTTGTCTTTAAAGGTAACATACTTTACAGACACAACTTTTCATAATGATTTCCAAAGGAAGGTAATTTTGTTTTTGTTTTTTTTTTTTTCAAAAGAAAAATTCACTTTGCTTTCCTAATTTAAAATTTGTCATTTATTATACGGGTTAAAAGAACATAGTTGAGTTCTAAACCTCGTAATGGCCTACAAAGTCAGGAACTGATTGCCTACATCCCAGTAAATGACAGACCTGCATTCTTACTTGCTAATTTGTTCTAGAATGCATCTTCTTATGCAATATTCATTAAATCAATAATATTTTGGAAGAGTCATCTATGGGTCCAGTGCCATCCTAGAAGCCATGGAATCTTTGAAAAGCAAGCTTCTAACTTTAGAAAACAAGAAATATAATTGGGAAATTAGGAAACAAACAAACAAAGAAAACCCCAAGACAAGAGTAAAGCAATACAGGAAACAGACCTCAGACTGTGTAAATGACAAAGACTTCATGGAAGGTAAAGAAAGACCTTTCTCATTGGATGAGTGTCTTATCTGGGAAGACTTTGTAAAGGAAGTGAATCCTGAAGACATAGTGAAATGTAGATTTCCTGAGAGGGTTATAGGCATATTTCATCCTCATTAATTTTTTAAAATTATGTCATTAATGTGTGGGCATTACAGCACATTTGACTGTATATAAAAATATGATGTAATAAAAAAACCTAGAAATGACTAATTCAAATCTTCCTGTTTCTCTCTACTATTCATCATGTGTATTAATATGTATACATATATTTATGTGGTTATAACCATACCATAAATACAGTACACATGTTTAATTATTAAATTTATATAATCAACTCCTTCTACTGATTAAACCTGTTTCTCCAAGATTGACCTCTGGGGAGAAAGCATCTTAACCATTTTCCTGCCAATCTGTAAGTTTTCCCACAACAATTAAGCTTCTTACCTAATCCATATGCTCCTTTCCTATTAGAACAGAGAGTAGTAAGTAGGAAAGAAACAGAAAACTCATATCTTTCTCATGGCTGCATGAAGCTATGTAACTGGCCACATGGAAAAATGGACAATGAAGATTAGACCTTCATTTATTTGTCTACCATGAATTATTTAGTGGTTGCCATGGTATGTGCCAGGGATGGTGCTAACCTATGGTAAGCGAACAAGACAGACACAATCCAGCTCTCAATGAACTCACAGTATAAGGGAGATATAGACATTGCAGTAGAAAATCCTAGAAAAGTGTGGTAAATACTATGATAGAGGATATACAGGATGTTATGGTAACCCATAATCTGGGCTTGTTCAGGAAGTCTTTTGAAGGCATTGAATGTAGTAGTGACTAAACAAAGCTGAGTGGTGACTTGGAGTTAGCTGTAGGCCAAGGAGGGAAAGCGTGAGTTTCAGGAAGAAATAATAGCATGAGGTTTCTCAGATTATGATACAGCAGCAACCACAATAAAGCCCTCAATACGGTTGGAGCGTGGAGGCAATGGGAGGTGCTGGAATGTTAATGTGATTGGGGAGGTTAGAACTGGAGCAGGAAGGACCTTGTAAGCTCTATGAGGAAGACTTTAAGAACAAGGGGGAATCATTAAAATTTAAAAGGAAAGTGACATGATTAGTTTATAATTTCACTCAAAGATTCTATCAAAGGTAGTTACCTTCTAAATTCTTGCTGTAATTAATTTATAAATGCCCCTATGATGCCAAATGCTTCACTCACAATATATTACTGATTATTTACAATAATCTTTAGAGAAGATACCATCAGTATTCCAATTATGTAGCTGGAAAACTGAACTCAGAGACGTTAAGTAATTCGCCCAAAGTCATCTAACTGGTAAATGGTAGAGAACTCAAGGAAAGATCTATTTTACTACAAAGCTTATGTTCTTTCCAGTGGACCAGGCTGCCTTCCAATTATGTTCAGAACTGGCTGTTGAATGAAAATGCCAAAATATATTTGAAATTTAACTAGAACCTAAGGAGCTTCAAAAACAGGTGAAAAGGTGTGGCAAGCATAGGAGGTAAACAGGGCGGGGGTGAAAGGGTTGAGTGAATCAATTCCTTTTAGTAACAGACTCTACTCTATTTCGGTCTGCTTAAGTGAGTTCTCATGCTCAGGAACTTGTCAGCCAACCGATGTAATCCTTTCAGAATAGGCAAGTTTTCTTTTACAAAGGGGGGTTTCATTACCTTGGAAACTCCAAGTAGTCCCCTTTACTTAGATTGTTTGAGTTTCTGGGCTCACCTTAAACAGGGGAAATGAAAGTGTTCTATTATCAATAAATGATGATAGTGACTTTTTTTTTTACAGTAGCCTGCAATTTATATGAGACCTTCTAAAAGATCAGTAAGTTTTAGTAAAGCATCAAAGACAGATAGGCAGTGTAGAACTTCACCAAAAGTTTTGTTATCTATCTTCCATTGCTCATTGAACCTCCTGTAGTTCAACCATATGCACTTAGTATTTGAAATACCTTATTCCCATGTTTATCTGTAAGCCAAGGATAGGTATTCGTAGCAGTTTTTAGTGAAATATAAATAACACACTTCAATTGTTTTGTTCATAATGACTAAGTGTATAGTGTATGTTTACAAATTAAGGAATGCCCAGATACAATCAAAGAGTTCTCAGAGCAAGAATTGTTCTTAGAGAATATCTGATCCACTCCCCTATTTTGTAGATTAAGGAACTGAGACTTAAATTGACCTAGAGACCTGTTGAACATTATTCCCCGTTTCTCTGGACAGTTGTTTCCCCCAAATATGTTTTAGTTGACTTTATACCATCAGTGGTTGATAAAGCAATCTGATTTTAAAAAACCAAAACCCCATCATCTATGTTATTTCTTTATTATACTAAGCTTCAAATCTCTACTTCATGGAAGCCCAGATGGTGGATCAAAAATAACAAAATATAGTATCTCTTTTGTAGACAACATAAAATTTCTTTTTGCCATTTTCTTTTTTGGAGGTGTTTTGACTGTCTCAATTCTCCTATAATTGGCAGCAGCAATGAAAGCTCCAGAAAGGGAATAAGAATTGTTGAGGAAGTGTTTGATAAAAATGCATTAGCTCTGTGGAGAAGCATATCCAGTTATTTCAGCTCACCTGGTTTGACTGCAGAGTGTTACCTCACAGTGAGGAAATGGAGCATTTAATGTCTTGCTCACCTTCTAAGTGACCCCTTCATACCACGCCTGTGTTGGGAGACAAAAACAAACACAGAGCTGAGAATTCCCAAGGGCTGAGGGCCAGGTAATCCTCTCAGAACTACTCTAACCTGATACTCCCTGACTGAGGTGGGACTCTGGTAATCTTTGAGGAAACTAAAATCTCCCTTTCTTTTCTTCTTTGCCTTTCCTATTCATTTTGCTTAAAATAGCCATCACGCAATTCCAAATATTGTAAATGCTCTTATAATAACTCTCTCACCTACTTTCTGTTGGTAATTACTATCTAAAAAGAAAAGCAAGTGCCAACCAAAGATTTTACAGTGGGACAGGGTTGTTGATCTAGGAATAATCAAACAGCTTTAAGTAAAAGGATTGCCTTACCTTACAAAGAAGCATTTGACTGAGACTCACCAAGCACCTCACAAGCACCACGATGCCTTAAAATCCAGCGTGTGAATGAGGCCTCCTGGCAAAGGCTTAAACCATCTGCTCTCTCCTACCTGGAGAAGACCATGCAGATGTTGGTCCACTTTTTTGTGCTGGGAACAAGAGGCAATCCAGTCATTAAGCGAGTCCCCAACTCTCAGCACTTAATTAAACAGGAGGACTTTGTGGCTCCAGAATGAATATAACTGTCAGCGAGAGCCTAAACTTCTTGGCCCTGGTTTCCCAGAATGCCCAATGCAATGTTAATTTTTCCAATTTTTCCGAATTTGTTTGGTGAGTGACTTTCTGGGGTATCTATAGCAGCCAGACATCTCCATGGTCTTTTGGAAGGGAGAAGTTTCTTTCTTTCTGCTCTCTAAGATTCTATCAAAAAATCTCACACTCAATCTACTTAATCAGGAAATGTCATCAAACACAATGGCCATGTATACCATGTTGCCCTGGCATGCTCTGGGGACTGATAAATCCAGGAGTATTGCAGAACCTGAGAAAACCACATGCATTTGAACTCTAGCTCCACTACTTACTACCTGTATAACCTTTGGTGAGTTACTTTTCTGGCTTCAGTTTCCTCATCTATGTGATAAGCATTAGGGTACTTATCTCATAGGGGTTTATAAAATCAAATGAATTAATATATAGAAAGTACTGAGAGCAATGCTGGGCACATAGCAAGTACTCAAAAAATGTTGGCTCTAATCATTTTAAACATGATCAGCCCCAGATGAACACTGAGGAGCAGAAGAATGAATGAACTATTTCTGACCATAAAGAAAATCACTTAAAATTTTACACATCAAAGGTATTCTTCACAGCTACATTTTAAAGAACTCCAGGGGATGCATCACTTGTTTTGTGCAAATGGTGCACCCGGAGTTCTGCAGCTTGGTGATCCTGGTGTGCTTGTACTTGCCCTTTTTGGTTCCCTAGCATTTTGTTTTATGTTGTTGTTGTTGTTTTGGGATTTTTGGGGAGAGGGTTTTTGGTTTTTTTTTTTTTTTTGCTTCTTTCTCCTCCATAAATAATGAATATTTTTACAGTTATGCTCTGTATTGATTTCTTCTGTCACCAGTGACTAGAGTACAATTTATCCTAGGATATTTGAAAATAAGAACAAGTATGTTCTTCTCTGGCGGTTTACTCCCAGATCTAAGACTCCTGTGTGGTGAGATGTGCAGCAAATTAACATACGAACCCAAGTGGTTAAGTCCCTCCAGAATTCTATGGAAAACTTCTTTAAGTTGCCGTTATTGCTGCTGCTGCTAAACCTGGATAGTAGTTGCCAATCTTTTAAAACAAGCTTCTCGGTGTTATTTTTAAAGGATGGAAAACCAAACCTACCCACAATTATTGAGTATGTACTGTATGCAAAGAAATATATAGATATGAAATTACAAGAGAGGCATTCTTCAGAGAGAAACTGAATTATGCTAAGTCTAAATAAGCATTCATACTTTAAATTTTTCCTTCCAAGAGATTTTTAAGTACCTCTTTGCTCAGAAAATGAAAGAATATTCCATTAGAGGAATAGAAATCCACTTCAGTTGAAACTGGGGCCCACTTCGGTGAAAACACCCAAATTCTCTCATATATCAAAGACTTGTTTATTCGGGGCGGGGGGGCGCGGGGCAGGGGGAAAGCCCTGATGTGAAATACTGAGGCGAAGAGACCCCTTGATTTTCTTCACAATTTCAACCTGCAAAAGTTTAGAGACAAAAGATCTACCAAAAGGACCCATTCCTGAGTGGAGTTTTCCGAACTCTTGGAATTGTAACATCAACCATCTCTTCTGCCTCCCATGGGGAAAACTTCTGCCAAAAGCATTCCTGTTTGCTGCCTGTCTGTGCTCTACACAGCCCTTGCCCTAGTCTTTTGTTACTTGGCCAAGTTAAAACAAAGCTAGATAACACACATAGGTGCCAAACACTTTTCAAAAGGTTCCATACGTATTCAGTCATGTAATCCATCCAAAAACTTTTTAAAGTGTGTTCTACTATTTTCAAGTGAGAAAACTGAGGCACCCAGAGATGAAGGCAATTGCCCAGAGTTGTACAAATGCAAGCACAGAATCGGGATTCAGACATAGGCCATCCAGCTGCAGAGCTTCCAGTCTGTCAACCCTCCTTCCTACACTGCTCCAAGGCAGTGAGTGGTCTCCACGTGGGTAATAGATTCACCCCTGGGGCAAACTTTCTTATTCTGATTTTCTCATCAAATTCAACAAAGTCCCCAAATTTTACAATAGAAAAACTCCTCCTAATCATGCACCTGAATTTGCTGAATAAGTTTTCACAAAGCTGGTCTCTAAGTGACATTGCCTCTGAGAGAGAAGCAGCCCTGAGTGGCCTTGGGCAAAATTGTCACATGGATGAAATTCTGTCTGTAAAGAAGTGGCCCTAGAATCCTGCTGTTTAGGGAAAACCCATTACATTTAGCAATTGCTTGGGAACAAAAGTGAGAGCCAGAGGGGGCTTTATGGTTCTGCTTAAGAAAGTCAAAAGTAGTTGTTATTACTTATGAGAAGGGGCGAGAATAGGATGAGGCTAGTGTAAAAACAAAACCAACAACTAGAAACAGTAACATAGTAACAGTCTGGGAACTACATGGCCAAAAGGGCGGTGAAAATGCCACCATGATTTCAGGGACGCAGTGGGGCAAGGGAGAGGAGGTTATCTACATACAATATAGGATATTTTCAATATTTAAGAATGGGGCTTCTTAGGTTTGATTTGAAGGTGTTGGCATTGCTTCAAGGTAAACCCTATTAAGCCACTCCCCCAACCCCACTCCTACACTAGGACCCATCCATACATCTGTTATGATGGAAGGAGGTGGTAGTGGAAATCTGGGAAGGGTTGGTATCACCATTGTGTTCAGCAGCAGGGAAGCAGGAACCCAGAAACAGAGGGAGCTCCTGGGAGCTTTTGCCCAGTGGAAATTTGCAGAAATCACAGAAACAGCTCTGAATGTACCCAAGTCTTGGAATTAGGGCATTTTGCACAAGCATCACCTACATTCAAGGAGCAGGGTGGCCCTAGCCATCATAGAGATGAAATGTCTCCTAGGCTGAGTACACTCCCTCTCCCTAAGAACCCAGATTTGTCATGGAGCCACTTATTTAGTGACCTCGAAATTCAGCTTTACAACTTTCTTGACTGAATGGGAAATGGATTCCTTGTCTGTTTTTCATATTCTATATTCTCTTGACTCCTTATCATAGTTACTTCTTTTTCTTTGTCACTGATAAAAAGAGAGCTGTCACTTTCATTGCTAAGGCTTTCCTCAGAATCTTTCATTTTTTTTTTTTTGAAATGACCTCAGGCTCCTTGTGCACAAACACTGAAACCAAATAGTCATATTATCACTGTGTTCCTAACCCTAGAGCCCTAGAGACACTTAGCATGGGTGTGGGTTTGCATAACAGGGAAACTAGTATTGACCCGGTACAAATGCTAACTTAATGTTTAAAAAGTTCAGGGATAATGCTTCAATGATGCCAAGGTAGGGGTGTATATGTGTGAGTGTGTGTGTGCGTGTGTGTGTGTGTTTCTCTCTATCACCTAAATGTATTTGATGGGGATACAAAGTTCAAGCAAAAGCAGAAAGAAAAAAAGGTTTGCATGAATGGTTAGGGAGAATGGGTCCCTCTTCCAGGAAGGTTAGTGACTCACCGTGTGAGAATACATAAGTCATCTAGTCTCCATTTTCTATCCTCTACCTTTAAAATGGGGACTGCGACACTTGAGAATGTGAGCACTCAAACAGAGTATCTCCAAGGTACATGAGACTCACTCAGGTACTCAAGTGTATGCATCCTTGGAAGGAAAGATTTGAGTTGTGGGGAGAAAAATGTCTATGAAAGTAAGCCTTTCAAGACTTTATGATACTATGATGATATCTGAGAAAGTGGAGGCAAAATCATACTTACCAGAAAAGCTAAAAAGAGAAACTCAGATTACATGGAAACAGGGAGAGAGTGGAATTGGGGGGAAGGCATAGAGAAAATGAAAACAAAAATCCTAATATTCACCAAGGAAAGTATTATGAACTTTGTATACTTTTATTTTTGTTTTCTTCAAGCGAACTGTTCAACGACATTCCAGCATCTGCTGCCTAAACTCATTTCTAATTCACATCTTTAGACACCTGTGCAGTTGGAACAGTTCAGCATTCAAAGGACTTGGACTGGCAGATAAACATGTGATAAACAGATAAAACACCTCACTGTCCGTCCATCTTTTTATCGTTGGCAGGTGCTCTTGAAACAGAATACATAAAAGAAAAGAAAAAATAATCAAACCAACTCTTTATTTTTGCCCTTTTGAATATATTGTAGGAAACAGAAGTTTCTGACATTAGTCTACTCTGATTCAATTAAACAAATACCTTATGCTTGCTCACCACCAAAATGAGGAAGCTGCTTGCCCACAAATTCTCTAAAGGAAGATTCAGAAGAAAAAGGAATTGCAGTTAATCCTTTCCCAGGTCACACCTAAAATAGGTCTCTGCTAATAGGGAAGTTAGTTGTGTTTAAAATATAAATATACATTTTAGAATATGTCGAAGGAATCATTGATAAAAGAGTAGAGTCAGAACTTCAAGTCCCCATTAAAGGGGCTGGAAAATACAAGTACAGTATAGTATTTTCCAAACTGTGTCTTAGGGTCTGAGAACTTCTGTTAGATATTCTCCCAAAAAATAAATCTATAAAGAGTGTTTCTTTGGTTAAGTAATTCTGGGGAAGACTGAGTAAAGAAATTACTGCTTTCTGCAAAATTTGGCAAATGTATATTATGAGTTTCTGAGAGAGAGATGTATATAGTAAGCAGCAACTCTCAAACGTGAAACTATTTTGGCAATGGCAAATAATATCTCATGTTTTAAGGAAAGCAGGCTAGAAAATGCTGACATGGAACAAAATTGTACTTGAAGCTTTGTCTAAGTGTTCTGAGTAGATTATACAATGTATCAGTAAATAAACATTTTGATATCATACCCAATCCACACTAGCCTTCCCATTTTATTTACTTCTAGTTGTATACTGATTTACGGTTTATGCTGAGACATCCAGACTTGACACTCGAATGTGAACGTTAATGTCTCTTCTGATGTGCAGTGATGGGCAGTAAAACCAAAGAAAAAGATCCAACTATCACTTAACAGAGGAGGGCAGTCACTGAGCGCTGAAAGCAGTGGCAATAAATCGCAGCTCCATACAAAGTTAGAAAGTGTCCTTTTGTGTTTAAATGGACACATGGTGTTTGAGAAAAGTCACATTATTTTTTCCTCTCAAAGTGTTTACATTTAGAAAAACATGCTTTGTTTTCTCAATGCAAAATCTCAGTTGTTTTCCAACTAGCCCTGTTCCTCCTCACCCCTTCTCAATTTGGAGTCCTGTTTTTCTCCAGTCCTGCGTGTCAGCTCCATTGCCCTTTTTTTGGGTGTGGATCTTATAACGATTCTGGTAGAAGGAGAACTTTAGCAAAAACAGAGTCATGTAGTTTGATACTGCCTGCTTGTTAAATCTTTGCTGTAATAACATTCTGTTCCTACCTGGTTAAGGTATATTGGAATTTGTCACATGAAAGCACAGCTCCATATCAGCAATAGATGACATTAGAAGAAAGCCATTTGAAGTGACACAGAGACTTTAGTTTAATAGCTGTAATTATTGCCACTGATGAGAATAATGGGGAAAGATATTCATATGTCAAGCAACAGATATTGAAAGAGCCTGAGTCAATCATCTTACATAACTATCCTTAAAAAAAATGTATAAGGATGGGAAGAAGATAATAAGCAAAGCATAAGAAAGGAAACGGAGATGTTTTCCCTTAATTATGGTATCCAGAATATGAGGGAAACAGAACAGTTGTATCTTGTGGCAGGAAGACCGCAAATGAAAGGAGCTCTTTCGTCTTTTTAGTCATATATTCCAGGATCAAAATTCAGGGAGAAAGTGTATTCCCACTGTATGGATCTTTTTCCTTCTGTTGACTCTTGTCTTCCCTGACAACCAGGCAGAAAGCACTCTGGCACGGGCGGGTGATACATCCTGCATAATGCAGCCTATCAGTCATGTAGAACACACCCCACGGCGATCACAATTCTGATTCAAGGCGGGATAAAAAGAGTTCAGTGCACAATGTGGTGTTTAGGGAGGTGATCTGGAAGCATTAACCATACAACTTTGGCAGAAACTGCTTTGTGAATGTGTCAGTGATATCTCAAGTACATGAAAAACCAGCTTTACTGTCCCTTGATACAAGATTAATTTTTTTTTATTTCCAGAGCATTTACCATTGTATGGTAGACAAATATTATCCCTGTTTTTCAGCTGCAGAAACTGGAATGCTAAAAGGTTAAGCAACATTTACAAAGTTACACAGTGAGTCATTTCTTGAATCAGGAAATAAACTGGAGGCCATGATTCCCTTTTCCCTGATTTTGCTGGCCCCACGTGTCATTTAACACTATTTACAGAAGTGTTTTTCTTTATTGTCTTGCAGTGAGCTCTGAGAAGATTTTCTAAGACCTAAAAATCATGAAATGTGACATGTTTTAGGGAGCAGTAAAATTCAGTCAATAACATTAATTCGTCCAACCAGTTTTATTAGCACTGAGTGTGTATAGGAGCCAAAACTTTCCAGTCTTAGTTTTAAATCTACCCATGATTTAAAAATATACACATGACATCTCTTTGCCTTCAGTAAAACAGGGGCAATTATTCCTACTATAGATTTCATAAGAAAATTATGTGATTATATTACATGATATGCTTTGGGTTGAATAAGTGGAATTACTGAATACAATTTTTAAAAATGAGCACATCACTCTTCCTTTACTAGTAAAACTTTGGTAAGTTTCTTATAAAAAAGTTTAAAAAATATTATCTAATTTTAGCATGTGTGTTTGTAGTTGTCAAAATATAAAACAGCCCCTTCTGGAGGTATTTTGTTACGACATAGTTAATATATTGTCATAGTCAGCCCTTGTGCCAACCACTTTGGTATTCTTCCTATGGGGGATTAAGCCTGACCAAATAACCAAACTCTATTTCTCCAAATATCCTGGGTGTTGCTCATTAGTTTTTCTACCCTTGATACTATATTTACATCCCATCTCTAGCTATACACCTTTTAAAACTAGGGCTAAAACGTAGTCAGAAATCCCAAATTGAGTTCCTTAGTACAACTGAACTGTGCTTTTTATAGGTTGCTGCTTTTAAAACGACTTTATTAAATGATAAAAACAGCAAGGATGCAAATATAGGAAAGACAGAAAGAATAACAGAAGTCTGGTTTACACACTGCAGATTTCTGATTCAACTACTCCTGAGTAGAACTCTGCCCTGATAAAATCTGCCTTTCTTACTCCAAATGCCGTTTTGAAGAGTATAGTGCAGGCCTTGCATGCCTATTCTATTTCCCTGGACTTTTTACATTCTAGTTTCTAGCCTTGTTCCACATGGGAGATGCCATCAAATGAACCACCCCAGAGGGGCTTCCTCCACAATGTCCTGACACTTTGTCTCCCTTAATAGTTAGTGAAGGCCTCTGGGAGATTTCTGCCTGCCTTGGTTGTGCTAAAGAGAAACAAGGGGGAGTAACGGTCTTTAAATCAGTTAAGGAGAACAGCCAGACTGGAGGACCCCTCACAATGCTAGCACTGGTAGTAAAAGTGTGACAGCCCCACAGAAAGATAAAATTGGGGGAAATGCCAAAGCAGCTGGATTTCGCACCTATCTTACCACAAAGCTTTTTCTTTCATGACTACATTTTGAGTTTCTAGATTTGGTTTTAGTAAAGAAAAAGGTTGCCTTGGTAAGTTGGTTTCAGTATCTTCATTTTACAGATTAAGAGAGACAGAAAAGCTCAGAAAGGTAAACAACTCATTCTCGGTTATATGAGCCTGAATTGGTAAAGCTGGAATTTGGATGCATTTACCTTTAAAGGGCATCCTCTTCTTTCTGTGGCATGAAGTTGTGCTGTCATCCGATAAGTCATGAGCCCCTCTTGGAGCACTGCAGAGTAGTCATATGTGGGCAGGTGGGCGCAGCCACCAACTAACTTCCCAGGACTTCTGAGAAAGCCCCTTTCCTTTGAGATTTATGTTAAGAAATATTGTTAGTGGCACCCTATCAATAGTAAGAAATAATTATTAATACTAACTAAAAAGTCTCTCTAACTAGGAGAAAGATTTTTTAAAAAAGGAATTAAAAATCATCATAAGAAAAGGATATGGTGAGCATAATATATATGGTAATAATATAGTATTTCATTTTTAAAGAAACCCTACATATTAATGTCTTCTAAACTTTCCATCTGATCCTTTCTGAAGATGATGAAAATATCAAATATGAAATATACAATCAATTCTCATAATTTGCAATTGTTACATCCTATAAAATTGCTGCAAATACTAAACCATTCCCCCTAAGGGAAATACAGGGTCAGGTTCTTCTGTGCCTTGTCACAATTTCATTAACTGATGAATACATAACCTTCTTTTATGTGTGTTTCCATTTAAAGACACATTTAGTATTATTGTTGATTCATTAACATTGAACTTAGAGCTGACAGCACTGTAATTTATGGGTGATTGAAGCTTATCTAATACATATATTTTCTCCCTAAGGCACATCACAGCCTTAGGAACTCTAGACAGCACTTCAGCACCGTGCTTGGGGTTCATTTTAAACTGTGAAACACAACAAAAAGCACAAAAATGCAGAAACAGGTGACAATAAATAGACTGAAAAAAGGCCACTTGTTTACAATATGAGAGCTGAACCAGGAAGGCAGAGCATGGTTTTGTTCTACCTCAGCTGGGACGTGATTAAATTTGTCCCTGCTCTATGCATGTTCGTGAAAGAACACAAAACACTGCTAGTATTGATTCTGGGGTTACAAATAGATTTTTGTGAGTAGGTGAATTCACAAACACAGAACCTGCAAATAATGAGAATCAATTATAAATGCAATAAACAAGTTGAAATGAGTTTTAATCATGTGGCTACTTACTTTCATATCCACATTGACAAATTAGTGGACTTAATCTTTTTTTTTTCAACTTTTATTTTAGATTCTGGGAAGGCATGTGCAGGTTTGTTACAAACCTTTATTGTGTAATGTGAGGTTTGGAGTGTAATTGAACCCGTCACCCAGGAAGTGAGCATAGCACCCAGTAGGTAGTTTTTCAACCCTCCCTTTCCGCTCTTGTGTCCCCAGTTTCTATTGTTCCCATCTTTCTGTCCTTGTGTACACAATGTTTAGCTCCCACTTATAAGCGGGAACACGTGATATTTGGTTTTCTGTTTCTGCATTAGTTCACTTAGGATAATGGCCTCCAGCTGCATCTACATTGCTGCAAAGAACATGATTTTGTTCTTTTTTATGGCTGCATAGTATTCCATGGTGTATATGTGCCACATTTTCTTTATCCATTCCACCACTGATAAGCACCTGGGTTGATTCCACGTCTTTGCTTTTGTGAATAGTGTGCGATGAACATATGGGTGCATGTGTCTTTGTGGCAGAATGATTTATTTTTCTTTGGGCATATACCCAGTAGTGGGATTGCTGGGTTGAATGGTAGTTCAACTCTTAGTCCTTTGAGAAATCTCTGAACTGCTATCTACAGTGGTTGAACAAATTTCATCCCCACCAGCAGTGTATAAGCATTCGCCTCTCTCCACAGCCCTGCCAATGTCTGTTATTTTTTGACTTTTAAGAAAAGCCATTCTAACTGGCGTGAGATGGTATCTCATTGTGGGTTTTGATTTGCATTCCTCTGGTGAGGACTACACCAGGAAGTCTGTTGACCAGTTCTTACCATAATTATCAATCTTGCTTCAGTCTATGACATTTGAAAGCTGATGATGCATTTTTGACTAAAGTTCTAAGGATAAACCAATTCAAATATAATAAATTTAAAAATGATTTTGTCTCAAAATTAAATCACTCAGAGGGATAACAACATAAAATAAATGTTAGTGATAACATGTGATCGTAGGGCCTAAATTGAAAAAGGGAAAGAATTGGAAGATGGTTTTGCATGTATGCCAGACTTTCATTTCAACATAACTGTTGCTGTAATATCCTCCCACTACCTTTTTCATACCAAGTGCTATAATCCCACGCAGTCCACATGATGCTCTGTGCTATTAAGTGAAGTGACAGAAAAATAGGTGACAGAACAGCAGGGTTATATCACCCAATGCCTTGGAATTCATATCTAGAAAACAAGTAGTACAAATCACATAATGGAGGAGTCACTATCACTGATTAGTGATAAATGGTGGTCTTCACAGTATGGTTTTATTATTAGCAACTTGTTTTTTCATCAAAAGTCTACACAAAATGAACAGTGCCACAAATTATACATTTTGGCTCTCTTAGACATTCTATGGATTATAACATACTTGTTTTATTTTGTAGGGTTTTGGTATAAGTTTTAAAAGGTATTAATATGAGTGTGTGTTGAGGGGTTGGGGAATGGTAGCGATAAAATTAAAAATATTGTATAGTTACAGACTGATTGCCATGTGTGTGAAGAATGTTTGAAACAGTTCAGATTAGTACTGGGATTGTGATCGACTTTGAGTTGCTTCGGGTCTAGTAGAAATCCGGTTATTTCCAAGCCTGTGAAATGTGAAGTTCAAGAAAATTGAATCCGTGTATAGCAAAACCATTTTTTCTCACAATTTTTTAACCAATGAACATTGTGTGGGAAATTGATTCCATATGTTTTCAAGTCATTTATGCAACTTGAATAATTAAAATATTCATTGGTAAGAGCTGCCTGATGTCTTTAAAGTCAGGAAATTGTCTTATGCCAAAAGTAGACAAACTCAAACACCAAAAGGTCAAGCTAAGTTTGAAATTTCACAACATCCCAAAATGTAATTATTCTAAAAAAATTTAAGTGTTTGCTAATCCCTCATGCTTATTATCACACGGTAGAAAAATAATAAATTCCTTTAACTTCACAGTATTTATTGTTCCTTTTTTACATTTGAAAAATCTTTGCCTATGTGTCTTTCTCTTGCTAAAGTTACCTCCAAATTATGTTGGGGAAAAGCCTGGACTATTAAGGACATTGGCAACAAAATCTTGTCATCTCTTTTTGTAAAAAATAAACATTAATAAATGCTTCCAGTTCTTTTCTAATTAAAAATAAAGCATAATGATGAAGATACATTTTGCTTCAATTATATCTAAATATTTCTAAGAGTTGTGATTATTATTCCCATTTTTTAGATGTAGAAATCAAAGTCCTGATAGAATAGACAGACTGGGAAACCACATCTTAACTAAATATGTTAAACTTTGCCTGAAATACTTTAGAAATACTTAATGAGAAGCATGCACAAAGGAGATAACGGATACATTTGGCCCTAGTGAAATACTCAAGATTAATCTGTTTACTTCTATGTAAGAGGATGAGATGAAGAAAATGTGAAAATAAGGAATGCTGAAAATGCTACCATGTTTATAGCATAAAGATGACAAAATTAGGAGCTGAAAGATCTACTTTCAAATTCAGACTCTTCTATTTTTTAGCTCTATGAGCTTGGGCAAGTCACTTGATCTCTGAGTCTCTATTCCCTCATCCCTTTAGTGGGAATAATGACACCTTATAGATTTGTGAGAATAAAGTAAGATGTTATTGAATGAGTATTTCATAAATTAAAAATTACTATATATAAATAAAATATTCACAATAGTATGGAAATATAGGGGTAGTCCCTACATATAATGAAATTAGAAACATTTAAATTTGACCCATGTTATTTATTTTGTTTCATACTACAGATTTAATTTTCCCTCATCCTTACTGTGACATAGAATCTTATGAAAACATAACATGTAACTTATTTAAATAAATTATTGCAAAAAACTATAAAAAATCTACTTATTTTCCCATCTTTGCATCATTTTTACAAAAAGAGCCCTTTCTTTGCTTTGTTTATTCTAAACTTAAAACATCTTTAATGTCTTGGAAAATTAATCAATTTAATTTAACATGGACATTTAATTTAAGATGGACAATGGCGTTTCAAATAAGACGTTCTTTCAGGAAAAAGAGGATCAGAGGGCTTGGGGCCCAGGATCTGGGTGGCTGGTGGGGGCGGAAAAAGAAAACAAATCATTCAGTTGGAAACAAGCTGATACCTGCCAGAACAATCCATGGAAGTCACCCATTGCTGTACATGTTGTGTTTATAGTATAATTAAAAATGGATTAAAGAGAACTAGAGCATAGCACCTCTGATTGCTGCTCGCCTTCACACTCAAGAACGAGAAAGCCATACTGTTAAATTTAGCCAGTGGCACTCAACTAAGCCCAAGCTGTCTAGCCTGGCCTGTGGGTTAGGAGTGCTTTAACAAAGGATGAACAGTTAGTTTTCCTCTCTGAGATGTTTCCAGTAAAATAGCAAAGAAAAAAAAAATTAAAAAGTTGATTTTTTTTTTTAAGCCAGAAATGCCATAACTAAGGAACATGAGACATTCTCTTCTCTCTCCTTCTCTTAATGTGATTCCTTGAGCTTTAGAATTGGTAATTCTGAATATATTGGGCCTTTTTATGTGCCTTATTGAGGTTTCAGATATGACATTTTCATTCTCTCAAAGAACATATGACTCTGTACAGGGGCCTTGCTAACCTGTAAATCCTGGGGAATTTAAAACCTTCTTTTTTGTTTTTTCAGTCTACGAGGTGCTAGTTACCTACCCTTTTCCCTGAATAAGGAAGCTGCTTCCTCTGTTCTTTGCCCTTTCCCTCTCCTCCTTTCAAAATGAGTTTCATTGTGTTTACCCAGAAATGGGGCTTTGTGGCAATTAAAAGATTCCAGAGTGGCAGAGGCTAACGTACCAGTAGAGCTGGATTCCAGCTTTCCATGGTAACACCCAGCTTCCCTTCTCTAACCACCTCCTTCTAGTCCACACAGACAATTCTAATCCTACCTCTGTGGTTGCTCTGAAAAGGCATCCAGTTTGGTTATCAGAAAAGATCTTTCTTAAACAAATATTTACCAGCGTCTGTTTTACTCTTTGGAGGAGTGAGTAGAGGAAGGGCTTGATTCTCTTAATCCTTTTGGATCACACATTGTGTAGATGATGATAGAATGTAGTCGAGTGTACTAGCACTGGAGCCCAACCTGCAAGGAGAATGACGCTTTATTGCCTCAATGATCACAAACCTTAAGTGGCTTGATTGGCTACTCATCTCCTGGGTGACTATTATTCCTATCGCCTTCCACTACAAGTCCCTTCCTCTGCATGGCAGAAATCCAGGAACATTCCATGAGGGTTACGATATTTTCCTTTTACAATAATGGGCCTTACCTTTCTCTTGGTTCCATGAACCCTTTAAATGTCAAAGTGATTCACATGGGAGGAACTGATCCTACACTCTTCATTGAAATGCTTAAGGATGTAAGATCTTTTCTCTCATGAAATGGTGTGATGCTTATCTTTTTGCTAATAATGCACTGCAGGTTTGTCACCCTAACATTATCAGTCTGCACGTAGCCAGGAAGTCTGTTGGATAAAAAGGCACAAGGAATGTACAGTATTTGGGGAAATATATTTTCTAGAGCCCTCACTTTTCCTATAGGCTTTAGGACCCCCTAACTACTGTGAAGATTATCCCAAGAAAGGATTGGTTCTCCATGTCCTTATGTTGTTGGATATTTCATTTTTATTAGCCACGTCTTAGTTTGAGGATGGTTCCCATCAGTAGTAACCCAAATTAATTTGTCTTTCATGTAATCTGACTGTATTTCCCACAAATGTTAATAGACGAAAGTTTATTCAAGTTGTTCATTTACCTCACGTTTATTCTGAATTAGATTTCAAGTTCTTTTACAAAAGAACAAGTCAGAAAAAGAAGAGTGAGATATTAAAATCTCAAGAAAGAACACACTAAGCATTTTAAAATTCATTCACAACAACATATTGAGAGCCTTTTCTGCTATAGTTGGACTCTAGCAGGGACCAATTCCTCCACTTAGGACCTAGATCCTATCCACTCCTGCCTACTCAGGGATATCACTGTGGTGGTTTTTTTCTCTCCTGTCTATGTCATCAATTGTTTCACCTCTTCTGAATCTTTCTCATCTGCATACAAATGCGCTGGTATACTCCCATCTTAGAAAGCCCTCTTTTGACCTGACTCACCCTGGCTACTTCTTCATTCCTCTCCTTCCCTTTTTAGACAAAGTCCCTGGAGGTGTTGAGTCCACTTACAGTCTCTAAGTTCTCTATTTTCTCTTGAACTTACTCCAATAAGGCCCCCAGTACTCCAGTGAAATGACTACTCTTGTCAAAGTCACGAATGAGCCTCACAACACCACATACAACGGTCAGTTCTCCATCCTCATGTTACTTAATCTATAGTAGCGTTTAACACTATCATATCTAAAATGTATCTAAGTTGACATTACAGTGCACTATTTCTAGGATCCACAGCTTCAACTTTCTCTTATTGGCTGATGACCTTCAAGTTTACTTCTCGAATCCAGATCTGATAATTGTCAGAGGCATGGATGAATGATGAATGAATTTCCTTTACTACACTTTATCTTAGGTGTTCTGACAATAATATTATTAAACGGAATGCTCATTTTAATACCTTCAGAAGTATTAACTTGTTACAACTTTACTGATGAGACTCTGAAATGTGGTCTTCTTTTTCCAAGGGAAGTTACTTTAGTAACAATCATAAAGCACTGCAGCTTTATCCTTATGTTTTTTTATTTATTATTATTATTATTATTATTATTTTTTTTTGAGAGCAAGTCTTGCTCTGTCACCCAGGCTGGAGTGCAGTGGTGTGATCTCGGCTCACCACAAGCTCCGCCTCCCGGGTTCACGCCATTCTCCTGCCTCAGCCTCCCGAGTAGCTAGGACTATAGGCCCCTGCCACCACGCCCGGCTAATTTTTTGTATTTTTAGTAGAGACGGGGTTTCACTGTGTTAGCCAGGATGGTCTCGATTTCCTGCCCTTGTGATCTGCCCGCCTCGGCCTCCCAAAGTGCTGGGATTACAGGCGTGAGCCACTGCACCCGGCCTATCCTTATGTTTTATAAACAGTGAAAGTTGTACATGTATAGATAGTCTGTCATGCCAATTCTGTGATTTTTTTCAATCTATGAGAAGAATTAACTTTGATGCTAATCCTCACCAATAATTAATTGGAATCTGATCTGTGGTCTCATAAAAACATCATGGATAAAATATTATTTTCATGCTCTTGTCTTCCAGCTTGGCCCCTGCCTCTACTGTGCATTCATACTGCTCTGGACTCAGCTCTGAGTCCCTATGATTGACCTGTATTCTCACAACCAGGAAGCACAATGCCCAGCAGGTTTCTAGCCTGTCTGATCCTGTCCCAAAGCTTGGTAACCAAGTCCTGTTTTACTGATTGTGGTCTACTTAATTCCATGCTTCCTGGTTCTTGACCTTGGCTACAAACTGGTTTATGAAATATTCCTAATAGAAGTGAACTTCCTGTAATAAGAGGACCCTTACAGTAAGATTTTAATTTCCTTACTAATGCAGGAATGAAACTGTTGATCAGAGTTGCAGTATTGATTCTTCCTGTGGCCATGGATACACATATGGGTAAGACATAGAGTTTCTTATGTATTTTATTATAATAACTCCCTCACCACCACCTTTACCATGTGGAACTTACACTAGCCTAGAATGATTTAGATTGGCTTGGATAATCCCAGCATTATAGAGGAATTTTTATCTGTGTTGTAATGTGCTTTTTTCTTGATTAAGAATGAGACAGCAGAAAGGGTATGAGTAGGGATATGAGGGAAGGAATTTATGTTATTCTATATGGGGCAACTAAGCTAAGCTATAAGGATGCAAAGACATAAGAATGACACAATGGACTTTGGGGACTCAAGGAGAAAGGGTGGGAAGGGGGTGAGATATAAAAGACTACGAATAGGGTGCAGTCTCTATTGCTTGGGTGATGGGGGCACCAATATCTTACAAATCACCACTGGAGAACTTACTCATGTAACAAAATACCACTTGCTCCCCAATAACCTATGGAAATAAAAAATAAAATAGTGTAGTTTGATGTGACAATCACTTTTTACAAATGTAACGAGATTCCCCCTCTCAATAAACAATAAACCAAAAAGGAGGAGGAGAAGGAAGGAAGGAAGGAAGGAAGGAAGGAAGGAAGGAAGGAAGGAAGGAAGGAAGGAAGGAAGGAAAGAAGGAAGGAAGGAAAGAAGGAAGGAAGGAAGGAAGGACCCATAAGATCCACTAGTCAAACATGCCAGATAATCTAGAAATTTATTTAGAGAATTTAGTACTCTCCCTGTAGTGATGGCTTAATTCCAGGGGTCGTAATGCAGTGTCAACTGAAAGTGAGCTTGTAGTTGTTTCATGGAACATAGAGATGCTTAAACGGAGAAATTAAGCTCCGGAGAACTCTTAATAAGATAATCACATCAGACCTTGAGTTCAAGTCCTATTTTATAACAGTGTTTTCAAAAAGATGTAGTTTATTGTGGTCAGTTTAGAATAATGGAGTAAGCATTTTTTTCTTTTTGGTTCTTCCTGCCAGTAAACTCTATGACCTTAAGCTATCTATCTAAGGAATAAGACCTAAGCTCTTATTCCTACTTATGAAAAAAAAGGAATCCCATAATTTATTTTATAAAACCTTGGGGCTACTTTTGAAGCACCACATTATTTCAATTCATAAATATTAATGGCAATGAGACCCAGAAAATTGCTGATTTAAAGAAGGAAATTGAACATTTTCACTGGAATCACTGGCAAGATATGCATCAAAAGCTATCATTGCACGTAGTGCTGGTTGATGCCCATATATCAGAAACCTCAGAAGAGAAGCCAACATTTGACTCAGCAGAAAGATTGATCCCTATTGCTGGATCCTCCCATTTGGAATAATGTTCCAGGAAGTTTGTACTACCACTCCCTATGCTGAATAAATACACAGTTTCTGTTTTAATTATGCATCAATCTTTCCTTCATATGAAATTCCCAGATAGGTAGGATGGAAGGTCTTTGATAGTTATTTTACAGGAGTCAAGGATTAGTCTCTGTAGTTTAATTCTTAGAAGCCACTCTTGTGTCTAATATTTCACGTGTGCAGCACAGCAAGGTGCCTCTAATGGACAGCTGACGTAGTGAAAGAAAGTGTGACCACAGAAATCATACTCACTAAAACTAGGTCCAAAGGTTACTTGTTTCAGGCCTCAGGCTTCTGCTTGCCAAGTCTGAGGATGGGGAGGAAACACTAGCATGGTGAGAGTTAAGTATTGGCCTTTCCAGGTCTGGCCATGACCCTTCCATTAGGGCCTCTGTATCCCAGGCAATTAATTGTAAAATGTTGAAGGATCAAGGACCAATGAAACTATTTTGTTACTGAACACTGTGTGTGCGTATGCGTAAAAATCCTGACGTGGCATTGGTTACACTTGAATCTTAAGCAGCAGACTTTTTATGTCAGTCAGTAACTAAATTGGTATATTTTGTGAGTTACATTTGTATTCATTCTCCCTCCTTGGTCTTCAAATAGTTCCTCATATTTAACACTCAAGTAAGGGAAGTGTCCCTAGACTCTTAATAATGATACAATATCAACTTCTTGATGCCTTGAGAATTCAGTGGCCCTTGTTTTAACACACTCAGATATGCACTACATGGATTTTCGTGTCACTGCTGTCTTTCATGGTGTTTTTTGGATTCCTTACTGAAAAGAATCAGTGCTTTTAATACAGAGCTTCAGAAATCAGGTGCCTGGATTAATCTGTCATCAGAGCATCGACACCCTTTGCAGCAAAAAGTTTAGAAACTCAATTTTCCTGGCTTCTGAACAACGCTTTGGCTAAGGAAGGAAAGACAGGAAAAGTTAGGCCCCTAGGTTACATCTTTCTGAGAAAATACACAAGTTTATCAGATAAACTTAAATCAGAGAAAGTTAAAATTATTTTAAAAGAAATATGTCTTGGAAAGTTTCTGTAAGAATAACACAGATCTCTGTCATCAACAAGGTGTAAGTCATTCATAATTAGGATTCTGTGAGAGATGACTCATGTCTCTTGGATAAGTGAACATAAAAGCAATTAGTAGGGTGTGAATTATTTGGTTTCTAAATGGCCTGACAGTTACGACAACCAAATTTAGGTTTTTATCTGTCCAACACTGGTTCAATGTATTCAGCATTTAATTAACTCTTTTATTTCTTAGAGTCAGTGAGCAGCTTTCTTCAAAAACTTATTTTTAATATTTATGATTATACTTTCCTGTTGAAGGAAAGGGAACATGACAAAAAGATGTGATTCCAATAAGCAGCCACCAAATTGGATGTGTCATCCCAGTGAGCATGTCCAATATAATGTGGAACTTCAAATCTCATGATGGACAGCCAAGCACCTGCTCAGCGTACACCATGCACATGATAAACTGAGTGAGCTGGTAAACTTAATTGCACTGAATTCTGTAAAGGACGCTTCACATACTCAAGGCTGTCTCATTTCCATGCTCAAGTGAAATTTATAACCTAACATGTACACATTGATATAAGCATAGGGAACTGAGGACCATGAAGAGATTAAGAAATTGATCATATTCCAGTGATTTATTCCTTGGGTTTATCTGGGTGTTTACATAACAGCGTGGGAGGCAGACAGAATACTGCTTAAAAGCAATGTCTTGGGAATATGACAGAGTCCAAATACTGATTGCAAAAATTTCTAGTAAAATGACTTCATGCAATTTACTCCCTCTATGCCTCAGTTTCCTATTTCATAGAACCTACTGTGAGGATTAAATGCAACATGTTTACTAGATCATGAACTTCTTGAAAATAGTGTCTACGTGTCTCTTGTTTGTTATTGAATCTCTGGTACCCAGCATACTCTCTAGCATATAGTAGGTGCTCAATAATGTTAGGGGAATAATTATGTAAAATATTTACTGTAGTCTCTGACAGATTGAAGGAAATATGATGGTAGTGATAATTTCATTCTTAGGAGCTTTAAGAATCCCTTTAGTGGTTTCCCAATACACTTAGAACAATTTGTAAATTCCCATAAGGCCCTGAATGATCTGACTTCTTTCTGTTCCAATTTTATCTTGAGTGAATCTTCTATTCCTTTTACCTGTAGCCACACTGCTCTTCTTCACTGTCTCAAATAATCCAAACTATTTCCTTCCTCGGGACCCTTGCACATGCTTCTTTCTTTGTATTTTTGCCATTTCACATTCTGCATCCAGTTCTCTTTCCTAACACCTGGTCCTTGTAACTGAGAGCTATATCAGGCACACTACCAGATGCTTTGCTGTGAAATCATAGAAGCAATAACCATGAGGGACTACAAACGTCTCATAGATTTCTATACTAGCCTATTTCCTTATACACTCCAGCAGGTGAACAAGCTTAGTCTCCTGAAAACTCAACAGGTTCACTTATGCCATGGCTGGTTAGTAACCTTTTTCTGATCACTTTTAGACCTTTACTTCCTCAGCTTCTTCCACAGTTGTACAAGGTGAAATTCCTACAATAAATTATGTATTCTGTAACATTGTAGTTATTCTGCTTTCCTTATTAAACACTGATTGCTAAAGTTATTGGTAATAGAACCTTAAAGATCAGTATCTGTAGTTGGTTCTTATCTTATTGGATTTAAAGGCATCCATGTTCCCATGGCCAGTAGCAAAGGAGGCACCAATAATACACTGACAAAACAGTTATTTAAATACTCGCATTTTGGCACCTGTAATAAAGTGCCTATAGAGACAAGGCTTTGGAATGATCAAATTTTTCCATGGAACATTCCAATAAAAATAAGGTGCATTATGTGGTTGATTGGTTGCTTTTAAATATAATAGAAAACTTGGAAAAATAAAATAATATTTTTGGGATTTCAAAATCCCAGCTAAGTATATTGGATCAGGGTGGAAGGAAATACGATTAGATCAAGCTGAATTTGATAAAGGTGCACTATGCAAAGATTCTGGATTCATAACGTCACCTTGAGCAACAAAGAGAGGCTCTAACAGTTTGGTTGGTTGATTGACTGAAGCCTAGACCCAAAGGTAACCTATGCTAAATCAAGCTGTAATATTAATGCTTTCCTGGTGTACTAAAAAGGAAGACATCCAAAGGCTCAGGGAGATTTGAATGTTGGAGTAAATTTATGCTGTAAGATCTTTTTACCTACTCCTTTTTTTTTTTTCCGAGACGGAGTCTTGCTCTGTTGCCCAAACTGGAGTGCAGTGGCGCAATCTCGGCTCACTGCATGCTCTGCCTCCCGGGTTCACGCCATTCTCCTGCCCCAGCCTCCTCAGTAGCTGGGACTACAGGCTTCCGCCACCGGGCCCAGCTAATTTTTTTTGTATTTTTTAGTAGAGATGGGGTTTCACCCTGTTAGCCAGGATGGTCTCGATCTCCTGACCTCGCGATCCGCCTGCCTCGGCCTCCCAAAGTGCTGGGATTACAGGAGTGAGCCACCGCGCCCGGCCCTTTTTACCTACTCATTAATCTTGAGGAGGTCTAGAAGACAACCCATTTACCAAGGCTGTGGAAGGCTGAAAGAAATTCATTCCTGAGGAGAGCTTGTGGCATCTTTGAAGAGCACTGTGGTGGCTAGTTTTATAGGCCAGGAATGATAGGGAAACTCTTGCCATAAAACGGAACCCCTGGAATTCACTGGAGATAATGAGAATTGCTAAATGTCAACAGCTAAATGGTAGCATATCATCATCAAAAACAATGTGAACATGATGATCATCATCGGCAGCAGAGCCAAGGCAGTAATTAGGATGACTTGACCAACAGATCTGACATTGGCCAGATGATAGTGATGTACCCAGAAGTGGAATCGATTGACAGCCTACTAAAATCTTAATTAAGTGGAAAAGCTCTGAGTCTTATGAGCAGGAGTTTACTTGAGTCATCACAATAGAGAGATGTGACCAATCCAACTAATTTTCAGACTTGAGCAAGTGAACAGATTCAGACTACCTTGAATGAATTGAAGGTCGGATTCCCTTGAGGAAAGACCCTGCTACATAGTCAACAATTGATGCAACATCCTCCTCCTATCCTTCCCCAGAGGGACCTGAGGTCACTCACCAGCATGACTATGCATTGGAAAATAGTAAATAATCACATTTTTTAAAGGGATTGTTAGGCACTGTCTCTAAAATGACATTAATTCCTGGAGATGCAAACAGCACTGTGGTCTAACACCTGAAATAGGGGCTTATTAAGGTCAGGTGATTGATGGACTATTGCCTTGGGTTCTGAGTGTCCTCAAATGCTCTTTGTAATTTTTTCCTCCAGTTTTTGAATTATATAGTTGGAGTAGATAAACTTAGCAATTTTCATAATCCTCATATTGGCTATTATGATAGGAAAGGCTGTAATATGTGGAAACCACCAGAACTGGCTTTGCATGCAAAGATAATAAACCCAAAGTAATACTGCATTCCTGGAGGGATTGTAGAGATTAGTAATACTATCAAGTACTTGAAGATGCAGAAGTAGTAATTCCCACCATATGCCTACTTAACTTGTCTATTTCTCTTGTGCAAAAGACGGATGAATCTCAAGAAATGACAGTGGATTATAATAAATTTAATTATCTGGTGACTACAATTGCAGCTATTGTACCAGATGTGATTTTTGCTCCTGGAGTAAAGGAACACATTACCTGGCACAATACATAGACAGGTAGGTAGGTAGGTAGGTAGATAGATAGATAGATAGATAGATAGATAGATAGATAGATAGATCTCAATAGATAGATATTGACTTGGCAACAGCTGTATTATCTGCAGATATAGTCTGCTATTACCAGAGCAGTTTGCCTTCAATGGGCAGGACCAAAAACATACTATCATTGTATATCAATGGTTATATCAACTCAAAAATTCTTGTTTATAATTTCATCTTCAGGAACTTTGAACACTTTTCCATGCTAGGGAACATCACATTTGTCCATTACATTGATGATATCATACTGCTTGGACATGGAGAACATGAAACAGGAGCTACTTAATACCCTTTGGTAAGATGCATATACCAGAAAATGGGAAATTCCACAAAAATTCAGAACCCTGACATCTTGGAGAAATTTCTAGGGATCTTTGGAGAGAGGTATAGCAAGTTTTTGGTTGTATGATTGATGGTTGCATTGTGTTAGATGGAAATATAATTTGCTTTTATCTTTTCTGAGAAATTAAGTATTTGTTTAATGTGAATGCTAAATTGACAAGAGGTAGATTGTGGTGCTTTCGTACTGTCATTTTAGCTAAATTGAAAGTATATTTCTATATGTTTCAGATTAGGGTTGTCTACTAGAGACATTTTACGTGAAATTTGGGAGGCAGAAGTGAAGCAACCATTATACTCTGAAGGCTGTTGTTTCAAGGTGATAAAGAACAAATCCAGAGATGCCAAGAGGTTCCAACTGGTCCTTATCTTGCCCTACTGTGAATGTCTTCTTCTTCCCAAATGCCTATTCTATTTGTGGCTAAGGATTTAAAAATAGGCTAAGTTCCTTGAGGGCAAGATCCAGGTTAAATTCATTGTTAAATCACAGGGACAGGCAGTCAATAAATGCTTGTCGATTTTCTATCAATCAATCAATCACCCTTCTGTTTTCCCTATCATCTTCTATTAATGTGATAAGAATTGCAATTTGAGACCAGAAAAAATCAGATATTTTAATTCTCTTATTTTACATATAAACAAACATTTTGCATTTACCAAAATTTAAATGACTAGTTTATAGAAGAAAAAGTACTAGGATTCCGGTCTCTTGACTCCTAGTTCCCTGCTTTGTCTTCTCCAGTAGATGACTAAATTACAGTGAAAACAACTTGCCTTTGTAAAGTAACTTATATATTTCAAAGAGTCATACATGTTATCTTAGTTAATCCTTTTCACTAACTCTCTGAGGTAAACAGGACAATTATTTTTAATAACAGAGATGAAAATAAATTAAGCTACTTACATAAAGTCATTTTTAATATAAAACTAAAACAATTTTTTCCTTTTATACTTTTTAAGGGATATTACAAAAACTAATTGATTTGTATTGTCTTGCACATGTCTAAATTTGTAGAATCTGTAAATTAGTACATTTGTGGAATATAGACTAGGAATCATTTCTTTCTACTATATTCATGATTAATGTGTATTATCATAATACCCACCTGACTCTGGTGGCTGGGTTGGTGAGAACAGTGACCCAAAAGTTAATATTGTGAAATACATTTGAAATGGGAGAGAAAAAGATCACTGCGTATTCCTTCAATCTGGTTGTAGTCTAGCAGACTCTCTGGGGATTGTCTGATTCTATGAGGGTGTGCACTTTGTCTTTGGTCAGTCTATTTAGCAACTTCGTGGGATGAAAGTTAACTTGTGGAATGGTGTAGATGTTTTCTGTCCGTCGTAAAGCAAATGACTCCTGTTCATCACAAAGCAAATGAATTTTATCTGGTAGAGAATACAAATCTCATTGCAGTATGCATGTGGTAAGAAGGCAGGGCGTCTTTATTAATAGTGCCATCAGACTATCAGATGGGGAAGAGAAAATTATCCAAAAGGAAATCAGGCTGTTCATGTGATGGGACACTTATGTCACTATTAATCAGATGGATGCAAATTACGTGACAATGAAATATTATTTTTTGCCATCAGATTACAAACATTAAAAGGATGGCAATCACATGCAAGGCTGCTCACAGCATAAGATGATAGGGTAAAGCTTTTTGGAGGGTAATTTCAGTAATCAAAATGCCATTTGTAAAGATATTGACCTGCAGCTTTACTCCTAGGCATCTATTGTGCAGTAATGCTTATATATGTGCACAGAAACATGAGCAGAGGTATTTGTTATGACGTGGGAAATCAAGAAGCTGTAAATTGCTGAAAGTACATCAATGGAAATAGTTAATACAAATTATAGTATATAAATACTATGAAATACTCAATATTTATTAAAATGTGGACAATCTACGTGTATGAACATAAAAATATGTTCACATGTACTGTTGGGTGAGCATAGAAAGGCAAATTGGTATCATATATAGAGTCATCACCATAGGTTAAAAAATTAGCACATAAAATGAACTTCTGGAATAATCTACACTAAATAGTGTTTACCTGTTTAACAGGATTAACAATATTTATGTCAGGTGAATTGGACCAGGTGAAGTAGGCCGGGTAAAGAGATACAATCATGTTTTTCTTTTTCTTTCTTTTCTTTGCTTTTTTTGTTTTTTTAAGACAGAGTTTCACTCATCACCTGTCACCCAGGCTGGAGTGCAGTGGCATGATTTTGGCTCACTGCAATTCCGCCTTCCAAGTTCAAGCGATTCTTGTGCCTCAGCCTCTCAAGTAGCCAGGAATACAGGTGTGTGCCACCATGCCCAACTAATTTTTGTATTTTTAGTAGAGACAGGGTTTCAGTATGTTGGCCAGACTGGTCTCAAACTCCTGATCTCAAGTGATCCACCTGCCTCAGCCTCCCAAAGTCTTGGAATTACAGGCAGGAGCCAACGCACCTGGCCTCAATCATGTTTTCCCTAGATCACTTTCCATAGTTTGAATGCATTACCAAAAAATCAGGTGTATATTTATTGCTTTTGTAGCATAAGAACCTTAAAATAAGAAAATAACTTCCCATTCCTAGTTCAGATTTGAGGCAATGAAATTCTCTAGTTCTACTTGTAATATTTAATCAACATGATTATTTCCATGTGTTTCACTGCTGGGAAAGAAAAGAGCAGAATAACTCAGAAGTTATTTCTTGCAAAAGTGTTAGTTATGGAGCTCTCTGAAAATACTGAAACAGGAAGACATTTATACCCAGCTTACCATTATTTTTAGATTGAAAAGAGCGGGGCAACTCTAGGCAAGTGACTTAAATTTTAGAAACCTATGTTAATGAAGTGCCAGTTTCATTTATGTGCTGAAGACTTGCTGTGTGGGACAACCAATATAATAGACTATTTTTCAAATATTCCACTTTCAAAAGTGGCTGCATTGAAATGTCAGGGGGTATGATATGAGGAAGAGGGAATTGAAAGAAAGACCTGAGTCCTATTCCTGGCACTGTGTCCTACTAGTTATGTGACCTTCATCTATAAAATGATATTAATAACCACGCTTCCTTTTTCACAGGGTTGTCCTTTAAGCTTACTGAAATTTCATGTTAGAAAGCGTTTCATAAACCAAATAAAAACATAACGTATTACCATATCAGATCCCGCTTTATAGTTCTGCCTTCTTTTTTATTTTTCATTAGTTTTCAGTTACTTAGCAAAGTACTTGGCACTCAGTATCTGTTTAATAAATAGTTGAATGAAAGAATAAAATCAGGTTAGTTTCACTCCTCTGAGCCCTCATGCTTTTCTGACATTGTACAAGTTAACTGAAACAGGTGAAAGAGTTTGTTTAGGAAATAAAAAATTACCGCATTCCGCAGACTTAGAGCAGTTAATTTCTTGGGAGCAGAAAATCGTTCCCCATCTCCCACTGGGCTCAGAGGAATTCCATTAGGGCAGCCAGACAATAATCCACCAAAGCCACCACATCTCTGCTGGGCAGTAAAACACTCACAGGATTAGCTCAGTCAGTCCTGTCACATAATGGGTTTCTGAAGAGTCAGGAGCATCTCTTTCAGAATTTTTTATTTGGGGTCAGCAGGACAATTTCAAAAAGCTATTGACTTTAAAGGGACAGAACAGGCAAAAAGCCTCTTTTGAAGCACAAAATTCATTGTTCTTTTCTGAAACAGCAAACTAAATGAGATACCCATAGGATGGCAGGACAGTTTGTAGTAGCAAACTAAACCAAATCAAAACCAAAAAGCCTTTTCTTGCCCTTGCTTCATATTGATGAAATGGTTTGTGAATGGATCTATACTCTAACCATGACTGTATTTGGCATCTTTGGAAGGTAGTTTGAGTCTTAGTGGATTCGTCTGGAAGGTTCTTTGGTATAACTAAATTTATCCAATTCCATTGCATTTCTTTGACTTCCTAGGCATCTTTCTCTGTAATACATATTAAGGGTTATACAGGCAATTATAAAATTAAATAACAAATAAGTTCTAAAAACAAGTTTTAGCTCCAGTTGGTAAAAATCTTTAAAATATTAGATTTTATTTTCTTTCTCTTAGAAAAAGAGGAAGTATTCTAGAGAATATAAAAAGACTTCTTGAGTACTAAGAGGTCGTGAAGACAGCTTTGGAAATGTTATAAGCGTCAAGATTCGCTCAAGATACACCTGCTTCTCTTGCAAAAGGTAAACAGACCTGATTTTTTTTTTTTTTCAATTGGAAACAGACCTGATTTTTTTTTCCGTTGGATGTTCCAAAAATATGGAGATGTGTAGAAAGTTAATTTGGAAGAGGGTTGTTAGGATTCAATGTGAGTGACAGAGAAATATGAGGGAGTGTACATGCCTTTACCTTAGTTCCCTGACTCCTGCTTCCCCATCTTTGAGTATGGAATTCATGCCGATTTAATCAGCTTTTCTCGTGTGTGTGGTTTTTATTCATTCTGTCACCAGGTGGTGCTGCACTGTATGATGATCCTATGTGTAGCCCTCCTGTTTCGGCAATCAACAAGTTGTGGTCTTACTAGACCTCACAATTAAGAGCATAATAGAGCTGTAAGTGAAAAGCATAAGTAGATGGTGGGCTGTTACTCTCCATAAGCTTGTCTATATTTGTGCTTCTCTTTGCAGTGTAGTGTTGTTTTTTCTTAATCCCCCAAGGCAGTTTCCTTTATTTTGTCCCAATGTATTATTAAACATCACTTTATGATTTTAAAAAGTAGCTTAACTAGTTTTAAAAATCATTTGTTTTACGTTTTTCAAATTGTAATATGTCACCTTTAATTTTTGCACTCTGGTGAGATATTGTTTATTAGGCAATTCCAAACTAAAACTTACGCCATGTTGGATGTGTCATGAGAATTCTGTTAGTCTCTACCTCTATAGATATTAAGGATAAATATGGGAAAATGAAACCTGCATGAGATAATAGCATATCAGAGTTGATTAGGGCTATCGAAACTTAAAGAACTCATTATACTGGTAAGTTTTGTTGCCACCATAGAATACAGGGCATACTCATTAGAAAAAATTAATACAATTTTAGAAATCAATAAAATTTAATAATTAATTTAAATAAGCTATTATTTAAATTAATAAATTAAATAATTTTTTATTAAACAAAAATTTAAAAAACTCTGTTAGTCTGTTATGTGTTGCTATAAAGAAATACCTGAGGCTGGGTAATTTGTGAAGACAAGAGGTTTATTTGGCTCACAGTTCTGCAGGCTGTACAAGCATGGCATCAGCATCTGCCTAGCTTCTGGTAAGTCCTCAGGAAACGTCTAATCATGGAGGAAGGCAAAAGGGGAGCTGGTGTATCACATGGCAGGAGTGAACAAGAGAGAGAAGGGGGAACGTGCCCCACTCTTAAAATACCAGATGTCATGTGAAGTCAGAGTGAGAACTCACTCATTACTGTGAGGAGGGCACCAAGCTGTTCATGAGGGATCTGCCCCATGGGACCCAATCAACTCCCACCAGGCCCCACCGTCAACCCTGGGGATTATATTCAACTTGAGATTTGGAGGGTACAAATACCCAATATATATCAGAAAACAAAATTTATTTTGCTAGTAATTTATTAATAAGGTAAATTTCAAAGAGAGCATTCCAGACCAGATAAATTATCAGATTTTGATGTAGATCTCCCTTAAAGTATATTTTCAAATACTACTTAAAGGGACACTGGTCTCTGAACTACTGTAGTTTAATATTCTGATATCTCTGTCAAAGCTACATGTTGTAGATAATAACAACAGGTCCCAGATGTTTTAAGTTAATTCTTATTTTAGATATGCCCGTTGTCTCTTAAGCATGTACAGTTGTAAACAGTAAGCTATCTATCTACAGTTTTTTCTTTTTCATACAAAAGCCTCTTGACAAGCTCTTTTCCTTTCTTGCTTTATATGTTCTCTTGTTCTCCTCTTTCTTTTCTCTGCAAAAATCCCATCTGGTAAATTCCACTTACCATTATTGCCTTTTCTGACTATATAGTTTTCTTTTTTTTTTGCTTTGCCTTGCACGGTCTTAAACAATTCTTTTAAGTTTATAGTAATAGCTTAGGTTGTGTTAGTGGAACTTCTTGTTCTTCTAATATTCAGCAGTAGCTGGTAAAGCAATCATCAAACCTCCAGTGTGTCTTGGTGGGCCACAGTCATTTCCTGTTACTCTTCCTACATTCCATCAGCTGGACCCTCAAACCTCACTCTAATCCCCCTGCTAAACCCTATCCCAATCGCTCAATTTTTAGATAATTTTTAATTGTAGTAATCAAAGTATCTATGAATTCTAAATTTTCAAAAGATAAGAAGTATCAGTTTGGCCATTTATTTTCCGGAAAACTTTTATCAGTTGTGTCCTGTAAAGAAAATGGGCACATGAAAGAAACAGTAACTTCTCCTTAATTTTCTTCCTTTGAGGGGAAGGGTGTGGTTCCTGTGATCAACCATTATCTTTTGACATCATGAAATAGTATGTAATGTAAGAGCTTCCCCTCCTTAATATAGATTAAATTAGATCAATGGCTAGTGAAGGAATCACCAAATTTTGAGTGTACTTTGAATATGTACTAGATGATGATTATATTGCCAAAGTCTCATTTAGGGATGAGGTTAAAATGAATAACAAATAAAAAAGAACTGTTTTAGGTTACATTATTTTTAATCTTTCTCAATAGAATAAAAGGCCAAGAGAAGGCTTTATGAAACTGCCTGTGAATAAATTTAAAAATAATGACTGAATATGTTTTGGTAGTATTGAATAATGTACAGAAATCACTCATTTAGGAGATAATTTTAACAAGTAATTTACCAAGGCTTAAAGGATTAAACAGTTTTGTGAGCATTAATGACATACCTGTTGCTGATAGAAGAAAAACAAAAGGATATAGAGCACATATGCTCCATCATGAGTTGCTGTCATTCTAACATATTATTCCAAGGATGTGGGGGTAGGGAGTTGGGAGGGTGTCCTTCTGACAAAGGAAAGAATTTTGACAGCCCAAGTGTTATTAAATAGTAGCTGTACTGACAGGCTTCCCAGTAAAGGCCAGTTAGGCCGGTAAGGAGGCCACATGAAGTCACACAATGGGGAAAGGCACAGAAGGATTAAATAAATCCAAATAGCCTGCATATTCCCAAACTGTGACTTACAACATGGAGAAACAATGACTGCGATCATGGCCCTACAATAATAATAATAATTAAATTATTATAAATTAAATTAGTTTTTAGTAATATTAATATTAAATTATTATACATAATAATAACCAAATCATTACTCTATAACAAATGACAGATTCTAACCTCATCTAAATTTTATAAAACTGGATTACTGGGGAAGTGAGAGAGGAAGGAGTTAAAGCTGTTGATAGTATAGTTCAAAATCCAGGTTCAAGATTCCCTAATCACTCAGACTTCAACTGGTGAACATTAAAAAACAAACAAACAAAAAACACAACAAAAACCTAGCATGTTTGCTGATCTAACTTTTGTTGTTGTTATTGTTGTTTGAGACAGGGCCTTGCTCTGTCACCCAAGCTGGAGTGAAGTGGCTTGATTAAGATTCACTGCAACCTCTGCCTCAGGGGCTCAAGTGATCCTCCCACCCCAGCCACTGGAGTAGATGGTACTACAGGCGCGTGCCACCAAGCCCAACTACTTGCTTTTTGTGGGTAAATTTTGTATATTTTGTAGAGACTTGGTTTCACCATGTTGCCCTGGCTAGTCTCAAACTCCTGGGCTCAAGCCATCTGCTCACCTTGGCATTGCGAAGTACTGGAATTACAGCTGTGAGCCATCGTGACGGCCTGATCTAACTTCTATATGATCACTTTATTTTCAAACGTATGTTTCTCTTTCTGACTTTAAGATATAATATAAAAATGTTTGTAGTTTAGTGCATCCAAAGGTAAAAATCAAGTTTTCCTGGCACATTTGTAGGCTTGAAGATTGCTTCCATAGATAAATGAAAATTTGTTAAAAGTAAAACATACATGCTAGAAAAGATAATATATATGTATATATGTTTTTAAAAGTCAAAAACAACAGTGAGTTTACTATAAAAAGCAGCAGAACCCTGACACATCCAATCCCATTTCACTTCCCTATAAGCTAAGACAACCATTTGCAACACTTTGAGCTACACATTCTGGTATTTAATTCTATATTTCCAAGTAACATGCTTTATTGCTATGTCTTTGCTCTTTAGTTTTATACGTTACCTATAAATTCCTTATTATGAAAGATGAGAATTTATCCTTTTTTAAAAAAATTATACTTTAAGTTCTGGGATACATGTGCAGAACGTGCATGTTTGTTACATAGGTATACACGTGCCATGGTGGTTTGCTGCACCCATCAACCCGTCATTTACATTAATATTTCTCCTAATGCTATCACTTCCCTGTCCCCCCACCCACTGACAGGCCCCGGTGTGTGATGTTCCCCTCCCTGTGTCCATGTGTTCTCATTGTTCAACTCCCACTTATGAGTCAGAACATGCAGGGTTTGGCTTTCTGTTCCTGTGTTAGTTTGCTGAGAATGATGTTTTCCAGCTTTAACCATGTCCCTGCAAAGGACATGAACTCACCCTTTTTTATGCTGCATAGTATTCCATGTTGTATATGTGCCACCTTTTCTTTATCCAGGCTATCATTCATGGGCATTTGGGTTGGTTCCAAGTCTTTGCTATTATGAACAGTGCTGCAATAAATATATGTGTGCATGTGTCTTTATAGTAGAATGATTTATAATCCTTTGGGTATATAGCCAGTAATGGGATTGCTGGGTCAAATGGTATTTCTGGTTCTAGATCCTTGAGGAATCGCCACACTGTCTTCCACAGTGGTTGAACTAATTTACACTCCCACCAACAGTGTAAAAGCATTCCTATTTCTCCACATCCTCTCCAGCATCTGTTGTTTCCTGACTTTTTAATGATTGCCATTCTAACTGGCATGAGATGGTATCTCATTGTGGCTTTGATTTGCATTTCTCTAATGACTAGTGGTGATGAGGTTTTTTTCATATATGTGTTGGCTAAATAAATGTCTTCTTTTGGGAAGTGTCTGTTCATATCCTTTGCCCACTTTTTGATGGGGTTGTTTGGTTACTCTTGTAAATTTGTTTAAGTTCCTTGTAGATTCTGGATATTAGCCCTTTGTCAGATGCATAGATTGCAGAAATTTTCTCCCATTCTGTAGGTTGCCTGTTCACTCTGATGATAGTTTCTATTGCTGTGCAGAAGCTCTTTAGTTTAATTAGCTACCATTTGTCAATTTTGGCTTTTGTTGTCTTTGCTTTTGATGTTTTAGTCATGAAGTCTTTGCCCATGCCTACGTCCTGAATGGTATTGTCTAGGTTTCTTTCTAGGGTTTTTATGGTTTTAGGTCTTACATTTAAGTCTTAAATCCAAGTTGAGTTAATTTTTGTATAAGCTGTAAGGAAGGGGTACAGTTTCAGTTTGCTGCATATGACTAGTCACTTTTCCCAGCACCATTTATTAAATAGGGAATCCTTTCCCCATTGTTTGTTTTTGTCAGGTTTGTCAAAGATCAGATGGTTGTAGATGTGTGGCATTATTTCTGAGGCCTCTGTTCTGTTCCACTGGTCTATATATCTGTTTTGGTACCAGTACCATGCTGTTTCAGTTACTGTTGCCTTGCAGTATTGTTTGAAGTCAGGTAGTGTGATGCCTCCAGTTTGTTCTTTTTGCTTAGGATTGTCTTGGCTATACGGGCTCTTTTTTGGTTCCATATGAAATTTAAAGTAGGTTTTACTAATTCTGTGAAGAAAGTCAGTGGTAGCTTGATGGGGATAGCATTGAATGTATAAATTACTTTGTGCAGTATGGCCATTTTCACGATATTGCTTCTTCCTATCCATGAGCATGAAATGTTTTTCTATTTGTTTGTGTCCTCTCTTATTTCCTTGACCAGTCATTTGCAGTTCTCCTTGAAGACATTCTTCACATCCCTTGTAAGTTGTATTCCTAGGTATTTTATTCTCTTTGTAGCAATGGTGAATGGTAGTTCACTCATGATTTGGCTCTTGGTTTGTCTATTATTGGTGTATAGGAATGCTTGTGATGTTTGCACATTGATTTTGTATCCTGAGACTTTGCTGAAGTTGCTTATCAGGTTAAGGAGATTTTGGGCTGAGACAATGGGGTTTCTAAATATACAATGATGTCATCTGCAAACAGAAACATTTTGTTTTCCTCTCTTCGTATTTAAATACACTTTATTTCTTTCTCTTGCCTGATAGCCCTGGCCAGAACTTCCAATACTGTGTTGAATAGGAGTAGTGGGAGAGGGCATCCTTTTCTTGTGCTGGTTTTCAAAGAGAATGCTTCCAGCTTTTGCCCATTCAGTACCATATTGGCTGTTGGTCTGTCATAAATAGCTCTTATTATTTTGAGATATGTTCCTTCAATACCAAATTTATTGAGTTTTTAGGATAAAGGTCTGTTGAATTTTCTTGAAGGCCTTTCTGCATCTATTGAGATAATCATGCGTTTTTTTGTCATTGGTTCTGTTTATGTGATGGATTACATTTATTGATTTGCGTATGTTGAACCAGCCTTGCATTCCAGGGATGAAGCTGACTTGATCGTGGTGGATAAGCTTTTGATATGCTGCTGGATTCAGTTTGCCAGTATTTTATTGAGGATTTTCGCAACGATGTTCATCAGGGATATTGGCCTGAAATTTTCCTTTTTTGTTGTGTCTTTGCCAGGTTTTGGAATCAGGATGATGCTGGCCTTATAAAAAGAGTTAGGGAGGAGTCCCTCTTTTTCTTTTGTTTGGAATAGTTTCAGAAGGAATGGTACCATCTCCTCTTTGTACCTCTGGTAGAATTCGGCTGTGAATCCGTCTGGTCCTGGGTTTTTTTTGGTTGGTAGGCTATTAATTACTGCCTCAATTTCAGAACTTGTTATTGGTCTATTCAGGGATTTGACTTCTTCCTGGTTTAGTCTTGGGAGGGTGTTATGTGTCCAGGAATTTGTCCATTTCTTCTAGATTTTCTAGTTTATTTGTGTAGAGATGTTTATAGTATTCTTTGATGGTAGCTTGTATTTCTGTGGGATCAGTGGTGATATCCCCTTTATCATTTTTTATTGTGTCTATTTTATTCTTCTCTCTTTTCTTCTTTATTAGTCTGGCTAGCAGTCTATTTTGTTATGTTTTCAAAACACCAGTTCCAGGATTCATTGATTTTTTTGGAGGGTTTTTCATGTCTCTATCTCATTCAGCTGTGCTCTGGTCTTAGTTATTTCTTGTCTTCTGCTAACTTTTAAATTGGTTTGCTCTTGCTTCTCTAGTTCTCTTAATTGTGCTTTCAGGATGTCTATTTTAGATCTTTCCCACTTTCTCCTGTGGGCATTTAGTGCTATAAATTTCCCTCTACACACTGCTTTAGCTGTATCCCAGAGATTCTAGTGCATTGTGTCTTTTTTCTTATCGGTTTCAAAGAACTTATTCATTTCTGCTATATTTCGTTATTTACCCAATAGTCATTCAGGAGCAGGTTGTTCAGTTTCCATGTAGTTGTGTGGTTTTGAGTGAGTTCTAATTTGATTGCACTGTGTTCTAATTTGATTGCACTGTGGTCTAAGAGACTGTTTGTTATGATTTCCATTCTTTTGCATTTGCTGAGGAGTGTTTTACTTCCAATTATGTGGTCAGTTTTAGAATAAGTGCAATGTGGTGCTGAAAAGAATGCATATTCTGTTGATTTGGGGTGGAGAGTTCTGTAGATGTCTATTAGGTCTGGTTGGTCCAGAGTTGAGTTCAAGTCCTGATTATCCTTGTTAATTTTCTGTCTCATTGATCTAATATTGACAGTGGGGTGTTAAAGTCTCCCACTATTATTGTGTGGTCTTGTGTAGGTCTCTACACACAAGAGTGTGTAGGTCTCTAAGAACTTGCTTTATGAATCTGGTGCTCCTGTATTGGGTGCATATATATTTAGGATAGTTAGCTCTTCTTGTTGCATTGATCCCTTTACCATGATGTAATGCCCTTCTTTGTCTCTTTTGATCTTTGTTGCTTTAAAGCCTGTTTTATCAGAGACTAGGATTATAACCCGTGCTTTTTTTTGCTCTCCATTTGCTTAGTAAATATTCCTCCATCCCTTTATTTTGAGCCTACGTGTGTCTTTGCAACTGAGATGGGTCTCCTGAATACAGCACACCAATGGGTCTTGAATCTTTATGCAATTTGCCAGTCTGTGTCTTTTAATTGGTGCATTTAGCCCATTTACATTTAAGGTTAATATTGTTATGTGTGAATTTGATCCTGTCATTATGATGCTAGCTGGTAATTTTGCCCATTAGTTGATGCAGTTTCTTCCTAGCATTGATGCTCTTTACAATTTGGTATTTTTTTGCAGTGGCTGGTACCGGCTTTTCCTTTCCATATTTAGTGCTTCCCTCAGGAGTTCTTGTAAGGTAGGCCTGGTGGTGACAAAATCTCTCAGCATTTGCTTGTCTATAAAGGATTTTATTTCTCCTTCACTTATGAAGACTAGTTTGGCTAGATATGAAATTCTGGGCTGAAAATTCTTTTCTTTCAGAATGTTGAATATTGGTCTCCACTCTCTTCTGGCTTATAGGGTTTCTGCAGAGAGATCTGCTGTTATTCTGATCGGCTTCCCTTTATGGGTAACCCGACCTTTCTCTCTGGCTGAGAGAGAATTTTTCTTTTTACACCCCTTCCCTGTCAGCCCCACCAGCCTTTGCCAACACACACACACACACACACACACACACACACACACACATTGTTTAGCCAGTTCTGTTTTTCACTATATCCTGCAGTTTTAGAAGTATTTGGAGTGAGCAATTCCTAAGTCTTTCCAAAGTTGTGCAACGGGTATTAACTTGTTTCTTGTTCCTCTTACCTGCCTCTGTCTAGTATTTTGTTAAGTCAGTTACCATTCATACATCCACTTCCCACTCTCCAACATTTTGACTTCTGTTTTCTGTTGTTTCTCCCCCTGTTATTTTTATAGTGGTATTTCTTTTTTAAAAAAATTCCTGTCTGTTGTGCATTTTGGAGCAAAAGCAGAGAAAAATGCATGTGTTCGATAAATGTGTTGGGATCATTTAGTTTCATTATCCACTTTGTAGGAATACAAAATTCCAGAAAAGTGGTTTGACCAAGACATTTAGGGTTCCATGGCAGAGCCAGGACTAGACTCCATGACCCTGATTACCAGTATAATTTTCTGCTGCACCACTATCTCTTATAATAGACTGTTAGTCTTTCCTCTTCATCACACAGATGATTGAATTTTTATGTAAGGAACTTACCTCTACCTGTTTAATAATTTAATATCCACAAGACTACTGCAATTCATTATTTGGCACACTGTTTCTGTAAAGTGCTTTTCTATCATTATCCCGATATATATGTGTGCCACACTAGTGAATGATGAAGTATTTACATTTTCACAAGTAGTGCAGCTAAAAGTAGACAGTCATTACATTTATGTATAGAATTAATACTTGAAACCTAGAGAATAGATTTTGGGGGATTGTAGATAACAGGGTTTTTCTTTTTTAAACAATTGTAAGAACAGAATGAATGACCCTCATGATTGGTATAATCTTATAATCCTCATCCCCACTTCAGCATTTTTCTTTTATTATAATAATCACTTTGTAGTTTTTTATTGACATGATACATGTTCCCTAATTTAAAAATTAATCACTATAGAAAAGTACAAAGAAAAAATAGCAACAAATTATTCCAAAACAAAAACACAAATGTAAACCTAATTCCAGGTATCACTTTCACATATATAGAGAAAGAAATTTGTAGAGAGGAAAGGAGGTTTGTCAAAATAATTTTATAACAATGGGCTATTTTAAAAAATCCACTTAATTATACTTCAAGGAAATTTAATAGAAAAAAGGAAATCAGATTTAAACTGCATGCGTTATTGAAGTTCAGATAAACATGGCTTCATCATATAAAGAAAGCATTTGGAAGTAGTCCTTTTAACTTGTGTTTCAGTTTCACTCTGAATAAGTTGACTCCCAGCTATAAAGATTCGTATGTTGTTCAGAGACTAGCTCTCTGGATAATAGTTAAAAGTTGTGGACTCTGAAACATTCAAATCCTATCTCTACAACTCAATAGTGCTATGAAGTCAGGCACATTTCTTAAGCTCTCCATGCCTCAGTCTCCTTATCTGTTATGGCAAGAATAATAGCAGATGCCTCAAAAGAGCTCTGTGATGATTAAATGAGTCCTTAAAACACTTAAGAAAAACTAGGAGCCTCTACAAGTGTTAGAAACTATTATTCACTCTCCCCTTTCAAACTCCTTCAATGTGGTTTGTGTTGACTATATTATTTTTGATTTATCATACTGTATAATATTTACATCCTATTTTGTAACCTTAATGTTACCTATTGTTTAGTTTGTAAACAATAGGTTAGTTTCAATTCCTCTCCAGCCTAAAGAATCTAGTTCAATCTTAGTGAGATAGCTCCTGGCAACATCCTCCACTCCACCTGTCAACCTTCCCTGTCCTCATCTAGTATTCTCCATGTCTTTAATTTCAAACATGTTCTCCTTCCATGGACATGCCAGGCTCCTTAAAACCTTTAGGCCTTGGCTTACGATGGTGGCTTTGGAATACCATTTGTCTCCAGCCTACTTGGCGGATATCTACTTAGCTTGCAACATGAACTTTCCCCATTTCCATAAGTGACACCACAGTCCTTCCAGTCACTTTGACCCCAAACCTAGGACTTACCCTCTACTTATTTTTCTACCTCATACCCCATATCTCATCTAATAGTAAGTTCTATCAGTTTACCTCTGAACTATTTTCCAAATCCAACCACTTTTCATCCTCCTCCCTGCTACCATCCTGATTCAAGTCATCATCATGTCTTGCTTGAATGACCCCAAGGATTTCCTAAGCCATCTCCCTTCCTCTACTCTTGTTCCTTTACAGTCTATTCTTTTTTTTTTCTATTATTATACTTTAAGTTATAGGGTACATGTGCACAACATTTGTACATATGCATACATATGTACAAAAAAGGTTTGTTACATATGCATACATGTGCCATGTTGGTGTGCTGCACCCATTAACTCATCATTTGTATTAGGTATATCTCCTAATGCTATCCCTCCCCTCTCCCCCCACCCCACGACAGGCCCCAGTTTGTGATGTTCCCCATCCTGTGTCCAAGTGTTCTCATTGTTCAGTTCCCACCTATGAGTGAGAACATGCGGTGTTTGGTTTTCTGTCCTTGTGATAGTTTGCTCAGAATGATGGTTTCCAGCTTCATCCATGTCCCTACAAAGGACATGAACTCATCCTTTTTTATGGCTGCATAGTATTTCATGGTGTATTTGTGCCACATTTTCTTAATCCAGTCTATCATTGATGGACATTTGGGTTGGTTCCAAGTCTTTGCTATTGTGAATAGTGCCGCATACATACGTGTGCATGTGTCTTTATGGCAGCATGATTTATAATCCTTTGGGTATATACTCAGTAATGGGATGACTGAGTCAAATGGTATTTCTAGTTCTAGATCCTTGAGGAATCACCACACTGTCTTCCACAATGGTTGAACTAGTTTACAGTCCCAACAACAGTGTAAAAGTGTTCCAATTTCTCCACATCCTCTCCAGCACCTGTTGTTTCCTGACTTGTTAATGATCGCCATTCTAACTGGTGTGAGATGGTATCTCATTGTGGTTTTGATTTGCATTTCTCTGATGGCAAGAGATCATGAGCATTTTTTTCATGTGTCTGTTGGCTGCATAAATGTCTTCTTTTGAGAAGTGTCTATTCATATCCTTTGCCCACTTTTTGATGGGGTTGTTTGATTTTTTCTTGTAAATTTGTTTAAGTTCTTTGTAGATTCTGGATATTAGCCCTTTGTCAGATGGGTAGATTGTAAAAATTTTCTCCCATTCTGTAGGTTGCTTGTTCACTCTGATGGTAGTTTCTTTTGCTGTGAAGAAGCTCTTTAGTTTAATTAGATCCCATTTGTCAATTTTGGCTTTTGTTGCCATTGCTTTTGGTGTTTTAGTCATGAAGTCTTTGCCCATGCCTACATCCTGAATGGTATTGCCGAGGTTTTCTTCTAGGCTTTTTATGGTTTTAGGTCTAACATTTAAGTCTTTAATCCATCTTGAATTACTTTTTGTATAAGGTGTAAGGAAGGGATCCAGTTTCAGCTGTCTACATATGGCTAGCCAGTTTTCCCAGCACCATTTATTAAATAGGGAATCCTTTCCCCATTTCTTGTTTTTGTCAAGTTTGTCAAAGATCAGATAGTTGTAGATGTGTGGTATTATTTCTGAGGGCTCTGTTCTGTTCCATTGGTCTATATCTTTGTTTTGGTACCAGTACCATGCTGTTTTGGTTACTGTAGCCTTGTAGTATAGTTTGAAGTCAGGTAGCATGATGCCTCTAGCTTTATTCTTTTGGCTTAGGATTGTCTTGGCAATGTGGGCTCTTTCTTGGTTCCATGTGAACTTTAAAGTAGTTTTTTCCAATTCTGTGAAGAAAGTCATTGGTAGCTTGATGGGGATGGCATTGAATCTATAAATTACCTTGGGCAGTATGGCCATTTTCACGATATTGATTCTTCCTATCCATAAGCATGGAATGTTCTAATGTTCTTCCATTTGTCTGTGTCCTCTTTTATTTCGTTGAGCAGTGGTTTGTAGTTCTCCTTGAAGAGGTCCTTCACATCCCTTGTAAGTTGGATTCCTAGGTATTTTATTCTCTTTGAAGCAATTGTGAATGGGAGTTCACTCATGATCTGGCTCTCTGCTTGACTGTTATTGGTGTATAGGAATGCTTGTGATTTTTGCATATTGATTTTGTATCCTGAGACTTTGCTGAAGTTGCTTATCAGCTTAAGGATATTTTGGGCTGAGACTATGGGGTTTTCTAAATGTACAATCATGTCATCTGCAAACAAGGACAATTTGACTTCCTCTTTTCCTAATTGAATACCCTTTATTTGTTTCTTCTGCCTGATTGCCCTGGCCAGAACTTCCAACACTATGTTGAATAGGAGTGGTGAGAGAGGGCATCCCTATCCTGTGCCAGTTTTCAAAGGGAATGCTTCCAGTTTTTGCCCATTCAGTATGATATTGGCTGTGAGTTTGTCATAAATAGCTCTTATTATTTGAGATACGTCCCATCAATACCTAGTTTATTGAGAGTTTTTATCATGAAGGGCTGTTGAATTTTGTCGAAGGCCTTTTCTGCATCTATTGAGATAATCATGTGGTTTTTGTCTTCGGTTCTGTTTATATGATGGATTACGTTGATTGATCTGGGTATGTTGAACTAGCCTTGCATCCCAGGGATGAAGCCAACTTGATCATGATGGAGAAACTTTTTGATGTGCTGCTGGATTCGGTTTGCCAGTATTTTACTGAGGATTTTTGCATCGATATTCATCAGGGATATTGGTCTAAAATTCTCTCTTTATGTTGTGTCTCTGCTAGACTTTGGTATCAGGATGATGCTGGCCTCACAAAATGAGTTAGGGAGGATTCCCTCTTTTTCTATTGAGTGGAATCGTTTCAGAAGGAATGGTACCAGCTCCTCTTTGTACCTCTGGTAGAATTTGGCTGTGAATCTGTCTGGTCCTGGACTTTTTGTGGTTGGTAGGCTATTAATTATTGCCTCAATTTCAGAGCCTGTTATTGGTCTATTGAGGGATTCAACTTCTTCCTGGTTTAGTCTTGGGAGGTTGTATGTGTCTAGGAATTTATCCATTTCTTCTAGATTTTCTAGTTTATTTCCATAGAGCTGTTTATAGTATTCTCTGATGGTATTTTGTATTTCTGTGGGATCGGTGGTGATATCCCCTTTATCGTTTTTTACTGCATCTATTTGATTCTTCTCTCTTTTCTTCTTTATTAGTCTTGCTAGTGGTCTATCAATTTTGTTGATCTTTTCAAAAAACCAGCTCCTGGATTCAATGATGTTTTGAAGGGTTTTTTGTGTCTCTATCTCCTTCAGTTCTGCTCTGATCTTAGTTATTTCTTGCCTTCTGCTAGCTTTTGAATGTGTTTGCTCTTGCTTCTCTTGTTCTTTTAGTTGTGATATTAGGGTGTCAATTTTAGATCTTTCCTGCTTTCTCTTGTGGGCATTTAGTGCTCTAAATTTCCCTCTACACACTGCTTTAAATGTTTCCCAGAGATTCTGGTATATTGTGTCTTTGTTCTCATTGGTTTCAAAGAACATCTTTATTTCTGCCTTCATTTCGTTATGTACCCAGTAGTCCTTCAGGAGCAGATTGTTCAGTTTCCATCTAGTTGAGCAGTTCTGAGTGAGTTTCTTAATCCTGAGTTCTAGTTTGATTGCACTGTGGTCTGAGAGACAGTTTGTTACAATTTCTGTTGTTTTGCATTTGCTGGGGAGTGCTTTACTTCCAACTATGTGGTCAATTTTGGAATAAGTGCAATGTGGTGCTGAGAAGAATGTATATTCTGTTGATTTAGGGTGGAGAGTTCTGTGGATGTCAATTAGGGTCACTTGGTGCAGAGCTGAGTTCAAGTCCTGGATATCCTTGTTAATTTTCTATCTCGTTGATATGTCTAATGTTGACAGTGGGGTGTTAAAGTCTCCCATTATTATTGTGTGGGAGTCTAAGTCTCTTTGTAGGTCTCTAAGAACTTGCTTTATGAATCTGGGTGTTCCTGCATTGGGTGCATATATATTTAGGACAGTTAGCTCTTCCTGTTGAATTGATCACTTTAGTATTATGTAATGGCCTTCTTTGTCTCTTTCGATCTTTGTTGGTTTAAAGTCTGTTTTATCAGAGACTAGGATTGCAACCCCTGCTTTTTTTTGTTTTCCATTTGCTTGGTAGATCTTCCTCTATCCCTTTATTTTGAGCCTATGTGTGTCTCTGCAACTGAGATGGGTCTCCTGAATACAACACACTGATGGGTCTTGAATCTTTATGCAATTTGCCACTCTGTGTCTTTTAATTGGAGCATTTAGCCCATTTACATTTAGGGTTAATGTTGTTATGTGTGAATGTGATCCTGTCATTATGATGTTTGCTGGTTATTTTGCTCGTTAGTTGATGCAGTTTCTTCCTAGCATCGATGGTCTTTACAATTTGGTATGTTTTTGCAGTGGCTGGTACCGGTTATTCCTTTCCATGTTTAGTGCTTCCTTCAGGAGCTCTTGTAAGGCAGGCCTGGTGGTGACAAAATCTCCCAGCATTTGCTTGTCTGTAAAGGATTTTATTTCTCCTTCACTTAGAAAGCTTAGTTTGGCTGGATATGAAATTCCTGGTTGAAAATTCTTTTCTTTCAGAATGTTGAATATTGGCCCCCACTCTCTTCTGGCTTGTAGAGTTTCTGCTGAGAGATCAGCTGTTAGTCTGATGGGCTTCCCTTTGTGGGTAACCGGACCTGTCTCTCTGGCTGCCCTTAACATTTTTTCCTTCATTTCAGCTTTGGTGAATCTGACAATTATGTGTCTTGGAGTTGCTCTTCTCGAGGAGTATCTTTGTGGCATTCTCTGTATTTCCTGAATTTGAATGTTGGCCTGCCTCGCGAGGTTGGGGAAGTTCTCCTGGATAATATCCTGAAGAGTGTTTTCCAAATTGGTTCCATTCTCCCCATCACTTTCAGATACACTAATCAGACGTAGATTTGGTCTTTTCACATAGTCCCATATTTCTTGGAGGCTTTATTCGTTTCTTTTTACTCTTTTTTCCCTAAACTTCTCTCCTTGCTTCATTTCATTCATTTGATCTTCAATCACTGATACTCTTTCTTCCACTTGATCAAATTGGCTACTGAAGCTTGTCCATACGTCATGAAGCTCTCGTGCCATGGTTTTCGGCTCCATCAGGTCATTTAAGGTCTTCTCTATGCTGTTTATTCTAGTTAGCCATTCAACTAATCTTTTTTCAAGGTTTTTAGCTTGTTTGTGATGGGTTCGAACATCCTCCTTTAGCTCAGAGAAATTTGTTATTACTGTTCTTGTGAAGCCTTCTTCTCTGAACTCATCAAAGTCATTATCCATCCAGCTTTGTTCTGTTGCTGGCGAGGAGCTGCGTTTCTTTGGAGGAGAAGAGGCGCTTTGATTTTTAGAATTTTCAGCTTTTCTGCTGTGGTTTCTCCCCATCTCTGTGGTTTTATCTACCTTTGGTCTTTGATGATGGTAACGTATAGATGGGGTTTTGGTGCGGATGTTCTTTCTGTTTGTTAGTTTTCCTTCTAACAGTCAGGACCCTCAGCTGCAGGTCTGTTGGAGTTTGCTGGAGGTCCACTCCAGACCCTGTTTGCCTGGGTATCACCAGTGGAGGCTGCAGAACAGCAAATATTGCAGAATGGCAAATGTTGCTGCCTGATCCTTTCTCTGGAAGCTTCATCTCAGAGGGGCACCCAGCCATATGAGGTGTCAGTTGGCCTCTACTGGAAGTTACCTCCCAGTTAGGCTACTCGGGGTCAGGGACCCACTTGAGAAGGCAGTCTGTTCGTTCTTAGATCTCAAATTCCGTGCTGGGAGAACCACTACTCTCTTCAAAGCTGTCAGACAGGGACGTTTAAGTCTGCAGAAGTTTCTGCTGCCTTTTGTTCAGCTATGCCCTGCCCCAAAGGTGGAGTCTACAGAGGCAGGCAGGCCTCCCTGAGCTGCAGTGGGCTCCATGCAGTTTGAGCTTCCCAGCCACTTTGTTTACCTACTCAAGCCTCAGCAATGGTGGACGCCCCTCCCCTAGCCTCACTGCTGCCTTGCAGTTTGATCTCAGACTGCTGTGCTAGCAGTGAGTGAGGCTCTGTGGGCATGGGACCCTCTGAGCCAGGCGTGGGATATAATCTCCTGGTGTGCTGCTTGCTAAGATTGTTGGAAAAGCATAGTATTAGGGTGGGGATGTCCCGATTTTCCAGGTACTGTCTGTCTTCCCTTGGCTAGGAAAGGGAATTCCGTGACCCCTTCTGTTTCCCGGGTGAGGCAATACCCCACCCTGTTTCAGCTCACGCTCCAAGGGCTGCACCCACTGTCCAACAAACCCCAGTGAGATGAACCCAGTACCTCAGTTGGAAATGCAGAAATCACCTGTCTTTCTGTGTCGCTCACACTGGGAGCTGTAGACTGGAGCTGTTCCTATTCGGCCATCTTGGAACCTTCTTCCTACAGTCTATTCTTTGTACAATCAGAACAATTCTGTCCTTTCCTCTGTTGCAAACTTGTCCTGGTTTTATGAGAACTCTGAGGTCTTGCCAGTGTTATTTTTGTTGGATGCTGCTATAAAATGTTTTTTTTTTTTTAAAGTTAGAATGTTCACTAAATGTGGAGTAAAAGTTGAAGATAATCCTTAGATATTGCATGTCTTCTTTAACCAAAAATCTTTGTTTTATAGTCCTGAAATACTGTCTTTTGTTAACAGCAGGAAACAACTTCTGTACCCTTTCCCCCAAAATTTAAGGTCAAATTTAAAACACATTTTTATTTGCTCTTGAAGTTTTAAAGATTTTGCATGCTATGAATCAATGACTATGAGGTGATAAATTTACCTTAGATTCTCAGATGTGTGAGTTATTGTGCACAATTATATTTCTGAAAAAAATCCCTGGGCATTTAAAAGTTGTCTTGTTCCTTGTGAAATAAGGTCCTGCTCTTTCTACTAGTCTTAAGATTTCTCCTAGAAAAGTTTCATTTTTGGTATTTTCAACTGATAAGAAAAAAAAAGAAGGACAGAAGAAAGGAAGGCAGGGAGGGAGGGCAGAAGGAAAAAATATAATGCATGCCAAAATTCCGCATCACTGAAACAAAAGTGAATGGCTAATATTCTACTAGTACAGGTTAAATATTCTTTATCTATAATGCTTGGGACCAGAAGTGTTTTCAATTTTGGGTTTTGGAATATTTGCATATATATATATATATAATATGTATATATGTAGATATCTTGGGGATGGGACCCAAATCTAAACATGAAATTTATTTATGTTTCAGATACCCTTATACACATAACCTGAAAGTAATCTTAGACAATCATTTAAAGTAATTTTTTGTGTGAAACAGTTTGTGTACATTGAATCATCAGAAGCAAAGGTGTCACTATCTCAGCCACCCACATGGGCAATCTGGTTGTCTAGCATCACCATCATTCCTTACTGAATTATATGCTACTGATAAGCCATCATTTTTTACAGTTATTTACACATAAGTACTTAACAGTAAAAAATACGACACACCACTGATACAGTGAAAAAATAATGTGTTCAGGGGAACTAAGCAGCACAGTAGCATCACCAGAACACCCATCTCAGCTGTTAACAGCAACAACGAACAATAGCAGGCTCTTCGTCTCTACCTGTGATGCTGTGTTTTGATTAAAAGATTACTGTACAGTGTATTTTATTTCTGTAAGAAAAATCATCAGAAGCAGTGAAGGATCAGGAAGTGGGTCCTCTGGGGATAAGGAGGCATTCTGCTGGGTGTTTTTTTTTAAATGTTTCCTCTGAAGTAATCTGCCTTGTTAACAACACCTTTTGTCTTACAAGGCTTTCCTTGATTTTATAAACATACATGATTTCTTGTTCTGTTATGAATGCATGCTACTCTAGTCCTTCAAAAAGCTCCTCACACATTTTCGCCTTGTTGTCTTTACATACCTTTTCTGCAGTGCTAATAACGTCATCTTCATTATCACTATTATCAGGATTTCCTTAAATCAGAACCATGTTGGCTATTTTACCATCAGTCAGTGAATGAAAAACTGAAGCCTTACTATCAATGTCAAAAACTTCTTCAGTGTCCACTTTTTCCAGCTGACTAATGGACTCTGAAGGTATATTTTTGCATATGTAAGGAGATCAGGCATTTTTTTTCTCACTTGATATGAGAACCCTTCAAAGTCACCATCTTGTTCATCATCATCTATGAACCTAGTTACAGGCCAGGGGTTGCACCATGCTTATACAACTGTGTCTGTAGTCACTGTGTTCCAAGTATTGGCAACAGCATATATGGTATCCTTCATGCTAAACTCTGTTGGAAAACCTTCTATGCCACCACCTGTGTTCATTGCTGTTAGCATGCTGTTCAAGAAAGTGTTTTCATATTTACTCTTCATTCATGTAAGGATACCCTGGGCATATGGCTGAATTAATAAAGTCAAATTTGGGAAAAAACCCATGGCATAAGCATTACTTTGATGATGATTTCAGCTGGAGGATGAGCAGAACCGTTGCCAAGGGATAACAAAATTTTGCAGTTGTCATTTAGTACAACTTCCCTGCAATGAGTATGAACTGCTGATAGAAAATGTTTGTGAAGCCAATCAGAAAAGATTTCTCTGGTGATCCATCCCTTTTTGTCAGCATAACAATTAACTGGTAAAAAATATATTCCTTGAAAACAGTAAGGATACAAGCTTTGGCCTGTCACAGCAAGTTTATTCTTAATGCATGCCTGCTGCATTAGCCCATCCCAGCACAGTTATTCTGTCCTTGGAATTCTTAATTCCTGTAGGAGTTGTCTCATCAGGTGTAATCAAGGCCTTCTGGGGGCAATAACACCAAAACAGTGATGTTTCATCAATATCATAGATTTGTTTTGGTGTCAGATTTTCATCAGCGATGACCTCAGCAAACTTGTGAATGAATTTCTCTACTGCTTCATTACCACAAATCTTTAAAAAATTTAATGTTGTGGTTTTTCTTACATTTCTGCAAGGAGCCTATTGAATATTAACAGTTCCCTTCAATTTTCAGTTGATCAAGGTAGATCTTTATTTGTTTTATACTCAGCATACTATTATGTGGCACTGTTCACTGCAATGCTAATGAATCCATTTTTCATTACATGACGGAGATCTTCATTTTTAGATTTATTGAGTGTTTTCTACTTTTCATTAATTTCTGTGCATCATTTTCAGCACAGAACTTCAACATTTTATCCTTCTGTCTCTTCAGGTCATATATGTTGGTAATGCCCATACCATTCTCTTCTATAATACATTTCACACACCACTGTGCAGTTTCTCCAACAGCTTAAATTTCTGTGCTACAGATAAACATAAATGCCTCCTTTTTTTGCCACTGTTACTCATAGGGGTATTTACAGGTTTTGTTGACATTTTCAACAGTATATTTATACCACAGAGCAGAGAATAAGCAAAAAACAAACAAACAAACATACAAAAACCCACAGTGAGGAATACATTTAGGTCTTGGCCCTATGCGGGGCATTGCTGGTGTGTCTGGCCCACATGCATGCCATTTTATTACCCTTTGTGGGTGTGATTGCATAGGGGAATTTCAGCATGCATAGAAAAGATATAGTACAGCTGAAAGGGGCTAGAAGGCTCTTTTTCCCTTGGAAACACTAAATAAGCTGTGTGTTACACACCTATCACTTGAGGTCAGGTGTGGAATTTCTACTTGTGGCATTATGTCAGCATACAAAAATTTCAGATTTTAGAGCATTCCAGATTTTTTTTTTTTTGCATTAAGGATGCTCAATCTATAGTAATACTACTTTTCCTAGCATTACTACCAATGATAGTAATAGCAACAATAGCCATTTGTTGAATATTCTCTATGTTCCAGGCCAGAACAAAACATTTTACAAGCATCATCTCATTTAGTATCCATGCTACAATTTAATACTGGTGCAACAAGATGTTAAATAACTTACCCCTGGTTACCCAGATAGTGGGTATCATTGCTAAAACTTGAACCCAGGTCTCTTAATCTGATGCTCTGATGCTATCTAACGCTACTTTACAATATCCCTCATCATTAAATAATGAATACAAATTTTAAAATATACTTCAAGGTTATGTTAAGAAACTGAAGATATTTCTGGTTAGGGTTTCTGTTTCCTCCATTGAAAAGTAGATTGTGTTTCACAGTTTTAAATCACAACAATTCCATTAGCATTCAGCTTTTGCTGTGAAAGGGTTTGGATCTTTGCCATAAAATCCTCTTTAAAGTAAAATTTGGCCAGGCTGTAGCCTAGAAGCAATAGTGGGGCACAATTGATCTACTAAAATAAAATTGCCAGACTTGAGTGGTCTAGCAACCATAATGTAGAATGCTGACTACACAGATTTCAAAGGTCTTTTTTTTAATGTCAATGAAGTACTAATTTTTCATGTTCCAAGATGTTCACAAGTAGTCTACATATATATATTTACTTATTTTGGAATCAGGCAATCAATTATAGAATGGTAATTCTATAAACCATAGCTAGAAAAAGAGGCTTTCTTCACATTTCCCAATTCTCTACCCAACTCAAATTTGTGGGAATTTAGGGTAAGGAACATGTAGCCTGCACTGTAGCTTACAGGATTGATATCTTACTGGCATTTTAGAACTATTGGTCCTAAGTGACAGAAATTCAAAAGAGCTTTAGCAAAAAATAAATTTTGGATTTCTGTAAATGTGAAGTTTGGGACTGTTTGCCTTCAGGTGTATCTGTCCAGTTGGTCTAACAATGTCATTGTTAGATGACAACTTTGCTTCCTTTATATGTCCTCAATTCCCAGGCAGGCAATATTCGAATGGGGGCAAAGATGGAAAATATTTTGTATTTAGTTTAGTACCAATATAAGAATACAGGTGCCTCTGTCCCTGTCACTTCAGCCAAAGCTCCTGGAATGGCTACCAGTGCCTCCTATTGTGTCATGTACTCACCCCTGAGTAATTACCAAGGCCAAGTACAATAGAGTGCTCCGAATGACCACTCAAGCTTGGTACTTGTATTGTAATAGATTGATTTTGTTCCATTTTTGATCCTAGGCTACAATTCTGCCGAATTTCACTTTAAAGGACATCTATCCACTCCTGAAGCTGAGGACTCAAGTCAGTCCCAATCAAATGCCACCGTGGTGGGAAAAATGGAAGAGAAGCTGTTTCTGTTACTAGAAGAAGGACAAATAGATGTTGGTCAGACAAAACAAAAGTCTAGTATACCTGGATATGTTTTTGTCAAGTGACAGAGAAATACAGTAATCTTTCATCAACATCTCATTTTTTGACATGAAATTCTACTTTACCCCAGTTTACTTTAGTTTAACCTTTCTATGCCCTGGCAGATTTAGGACTTGACATAAACCTGTATTTCCAGTCACTTATCTTGGTGATAATTGGAGAGATAATTAAACACCAGCATAGAAAAATGGGGATAAAGTGTGCTGTAGAGCAGGAACTGAACTATTTAGGAAAAACTTATGAAACATAAGAAATGCTAAACTCTACCTTAGAGATCTTCCAACGTCATTAAAAGCAAGTGGTGTATCAAAAAGATTGATGATGTCTGCTTTGGGGTGACTTGACCTTAGATAAAACCAGAGTTTTATGCCTCACTATATATTAACAGGGAGTTTTAAAAATTAGCATCTCAGCTAAGCTGTTTCCATGGCGAGCCTCAAAGTTACTGTCTGTCTCCAGGACTGTGGTGAAATGTAGGAGGTGAGAATAAACGAATACAAATAATATCAGAAAGATATTAAACATTTAGTAGAAGAAATAGGTACACAGAATAAATTTTAACATTCCTATTATAAGCAGCAAAGAAAAGCTAATCAGTGAGTATCTGGTTGAAATTGTAGGAAAGAAAACTGTTAAATGTTTATAATGAACAATGAAATGCAACTACAAATTAATTGTACAGTGCTTATTATTATGAGCTAGGAGTAATAATAGTATCTAACACATAAAGCTATTGTTAGAATTAAATGAGACCATAGTGCACAGTGCTAAGCTCAGATGAACTCCTCAAAAATCGTTAGATATTATATTGAATTTAAATATCCTTCCATATTATTTCATTTAAATTACAGTAAAAACATTGATAACAACTTTCATCATTTCCCTGATGATCTTCTTCCTTGAGTTTAATTTTCCCTGAAGCTCTTAAAAGTTTCTCAATCATGCATTTTCCAAGTAGTTTTATGAACCAAGCTAGTAAAGCTACTGTGGATAATACATTGAGTGTATGCCATGGGCTATGTGGGAAAATTGTAGATGAGTGAGCTGAAAGGACCTCAGAGGAAACCTTCCCTTCATTGCAGCCACACAGATTTTGGGAAAATGAAAAGAGAGAGGGTTTGGGCTCTGTGATGCTGCAGTTTTGCTCAGATGGAAGAGTTATTGGGCCAGTTCCTTGGCAGCATTTACAGAACTACAGCAGGTGCCTAGGGAGGCTTTGGTATTTACAGAAAACACCCTGTTAAGCAACCCTTTATTCTTTCACCCCCTTTTGGTCCCACACCAATCTATTATTAGTTCTGTAGCCAGAGTCATCTTTTTTTTTTTTTTTTTTTTTTTTTTTTGAGACGGAGTCTCGCTCTGTCGCCCAGGCTGGAGTGCAGTGGCGGGATCTCGGCTCACTGCAAGCTCCGCCTCCCGGATTCACGCCATTCTCCTGCCTCAGCCTCCCAAGTAGCTGGGACTACAGGCGCCCGCCACTACGCCGGGCTAATTTTTTGTATTTTTAGTAGAGACGGGGTTTCACCGTTTTAGCCGGGATGGTCTCGATCTCCTGACCTCGTGATCCGCCTGCCTCGGCCTCCCAAAGTGCTGGGATTACAGGCGTGAGCCACCGCGCCCGGCCCAGAGTCATCTTTTTAAGACACATCTGTTAGTCTTGATGAATGTACTGCTTAAGCAAGAAAAGCAGTCATCTGAGGGATTCCAGGTTTTTCTCTCTCCCTATTTCTCACCCTTCACAGCCCATCAGACTTGTGAATTCTTCCTCACAAATGTTCTAGGTATCTTCCTCATTTTCCATCCTCACTTCCACGAGACAGGTACAGGTTTCTATTGTCAAGTCCTGGGACTATTGTGGGAGTACTTTATTGTCTCTCTCTGCTTCTTGGCTTGTTCTTTTCCAAGCTTTCTTCCAGAGAATAACCAGAAGGATATTTATCAAATATAAATTTGGCATTTCACTCCCTTATTTAACATTCTACAGGGGCTATCCCCTGACTTACAGGACAAAGCCTAAAATCCTTCATATGGCTTTCAAGGATATCAGTGATGTCTCCGGCCAAGTGTCCAGCCTCAATTCTTAGGCCCTGCTCCTCCCAATAGTTGGATCTTTAACTTCCAGCCATTTAAATTATGCAAAGCTCCCTTACTGTGCCATGATTTTTACCCTCTGAAGTTGCATCTGCCTTTCCTTCTATCTAGGACCCTCTCCTCCTGCATTTCCAGAAAATTCTTGCTTTTATAAGCTTCAATTCAAAAGTTTTTTCCTATGAAACCTTCATTATCATTGAAGGTCTTTAATTCATTTACTCATTCACTTTTGTTTTTGTTCAATTTTATTGAGTCCTGATTATGCACTGGGCCCATAAATGCTCCTTCTGTTCTGTTCCCACTAAACTTTTCTATTCAGTTATAACAGTGTTCTTATTATGCCATAATTTGTGTTTTTTTTTCCTGTCTTCTTTTTAAAAATACTTAAAGACCTTTAAGGACAAGAGCTATATCTTTTAATCAAATCCTCACAGCTTAGACTAGTGCCTGGCACATAATAGGTACATATTCAATAAGTAATTGAATGTGTGAACTTACCTAGAAGAGTAGGAAAAATTAAAGAGGCACTTGGGTTGGGATTATTCTAATAGGGGTTACCTATGCTATGCTCCTGCCAAGACCCAACCCTGTATACTCTTTGCCTGTTCCTCTGTAGAGAAGCACTGAGCAATCATACTGAGTAGTTGTTGTTTTGTCCTCTTCCTTCCATGTGAGATAGCTCTTCATTTCATCTGATTGGTACTGCCCACTTAACACTCAGAACAGTAGAGGAGCTAGTTGTCTAGAATCCTTATTAGTAAAGAGAAACTTGGGATGAAATAATATCAGAAGATACTCAGTAGTAGTTGTGCAGATCCAGATAACTTTTGAGAACCATTTTTCTCTTCCCATTTTTGGGAAAATAAGATTCATGCCACTTTTTGCATTGTTACTTTGCCTTCCCACAGCCAATAAATAGGTAACTGGTTGCCGTGAGGAGTAACTATTTTCCTGATTAATTGGATGCATTAGGAGATGCTGATGTGTAGTGGGAATCTTAAAACATACTACATATTCCTGTTGCCAAAATATATTCATAGATGGTTTATTTTCTTTATTTTAAAGGAGACTCATGGAATGCTGAAGCACATATGGAACTTTGCACAGTGCTTTCATTCATTTCCAGCTATGTTTATGCACTTTTGTTTTTGTGGTAACATTTGGGTGGCTCCCAAACATAATTATTATACCATTGTTTGAAGTTTTGATTCAAGAATGAATTTGAAAAATAGCTGTAATACCTGGTGCCATTTATATAATATACTAATATGCTCTTATTGTGGCATTCTGGTTAATGAAAAGCATTAAATTAATGTATAAATCAAAGGGAAAAACAAAACTGAAATTACAAGCTCACCATAATGTAATTAAAAGCAGTATGTCTCATATCAAGTTATGGTAAATAGCAAAATTTACCAAGAAGACAATTTACAGCCTTAAATGCCTTTATTGTTAATAAAAACAATTAAAGAGTAAGAGATAGTGACCATCTTAAGAAATGTGCAGAATAACAACAAAAAAGAACAAAAGAATTTAGAGAAAGAGAATTAGTAATATTAAGGTGAAATTAATTTTAAACACTTTAAAAATTAATAGAAAAGACCAACATATCAAAAAATATTTATTTCAAGACTATCAAATAAATTATTTGACTGTTATTAAAAGTGAAAAACAAAATGAAACAAAAAGTGAAAATAAAATTGAGAAAGGAGACATAACTCTAAGTGCAGAATAAACTTAATTAATTATACATTACTAAATACAAATTAATATTCAAAACTTTAAAAGCCAAAGATGTTGATCTCTTAACAAAATGTAAATGACCAAGATTGATTCAAGAAAAAGTGAAAAAAATGGAATGACCCAAATAAATATAATAGAAGCAATAAAAAGATTTGCCATGTAGAAAGGCAACAAAACCAGTTTCACAAATAAGTTCTTTCTGACCTTTACAGAAAATAAAATTTCAAAGATTCTTAAATTCTTCCAAGTAATGAGAAGAAAGTGGAAATCTTTCTAATTCATTTTTAAAGCTAGTATAACATATAGTTTGGACATTTGTCCCCGCCCAAATCTTATGTTGAATTATAATCCCCAATGCTGGAGGTGGGTCCTGGTGGGAGCTGTTTGGATTATGTGGGCAGATCCCCCCGACTTGGTCCTAGCTTCATGATAGTGAGTCCTCATGAGATCTGGTTATTTAAAACTGTGTGGCACCTCCCCTCCACCCCACTTTCTCTCTCTTGCTCCCACTTTTGCCATGTGATGCGCCTGCTCCCCTTCATCTTCCGCCATATTATAAACTTCCTGAGACCTCCCTAAAAGCCAAGCAGATGCCAGAACCATGCTTCCTGTACAGCCTGCAGTACCATGAGTCAATTAAACATATTTTCTTATAAATTACCCAGTCTCAGGTATTTTACAGTAATGTAAGAATGGCCTAATAAAATAGCAACAATGTTAAAGCTGACAAATATACTATAAAAAGAAAAATATAAAATATAGTTTGCAAATATAGATGCAAAAATTCTAAAGAAAATATTTACAAATAGAATCTAGAAATATATTGAAAACTAAGTAGATTTTATTTTAAGAATACAAGGATGGTTCAATATCTGGAAATCAATCAACATCATTTATTACATAATTTTGTTTAAAGGGAACCATATGACTAAACCATTAAATGCTAATAAGTATTTCAGACAATCAAATAGCCATTTCTAACAAAAATATAAGTGAAATAAGAAGGAAACTGCATAAATAAGATATTGGTTTCCCCAAATCCAATATCTAGTGATTATTCTGAGTTGTTAAACAAGAAAAGTATTTCAATTAAAATCAGATATTACACAGGGATACCTGTTATTACCACTGCAACATTGGGAGATTCGAGGGAATGCAATAAGTTAATAAAGTGAAGTAATTGATATAAAGGCTATTGGTGGAAAAATTGTGCATTTGAAAATTCAAATTATATGTAAAAGCTTCTTAGAAAAAATGTGGCATGGTATCTGCATAAGAAACAAATATAAAAAAAGTGTTTTCTTAGAAATAGAAATATGTAATTTCCTCATAATATGACTATTCCTTCACAACAGTAATTAGACCTATAAAAATCTTAAAAATAAACTTAAGATCAACCCCCCAAAATAGAGAAAACTAAAAAAAAAATTGACAAAGGACATAAAAGACAAATGATAACCTTGACTATATTCTAAGATGAGAAGAGTTAATATCTTTAAAATGTCAATCTCCACAAAAGTGATGCATAAATTTAATGCATTTTCATCCCATCAGAATAACATTAGCATTTGGTTTGTTCATTTTCAAATTGAATATAATGAGCTTAAGATTCCTATATAACAATACATTTGATGACAGCCAAGAAAGAGTGAAGAATGGTGGGAAAACATTTGACTTACATGAAAATAAAAATATTTTAAAGTAAATAAAATAAATAATGAATTAGCCCATGATATAAAATCAGGCCAGGAGAAGGGAGGACTCAAAATCCTCCAGAATACACAAACATTAAATAGATGACAATGCTGGTATTTTTCTTCAGTGAGGAAAGCCGGTTTATTTAATAAAGAGTGCAGACAAAACTGGCTTTACTCCTGAAGGAAAACAAAATTAAATTTCTTTGAATTTTTTTATCCAAATGATATAAGAAATAAATTTTAGATAGAACAGAGACCTAAATATAAAACATAAGACAACGAAAAATTGGGAGATTAAATGTACTATCTATAGGTAGAAGAAACCCTTTTAAATAATGTAAGAAATCTAGAAGCTATGAAGAAAAGTATGTATTTGGCTGTGGAAAACACATGGCTCATCCAAGGGCTATTCCCTTCTTTTGTAAGGAGAACTTTCTTGGGCAGGGTGTGGTGGCTTACATCTGTAATTCCAGCACTTTGGGAGGCCAAGGTGGGCAGATCATTTCAGGCCAGGAGTTTGAGACCAGCCTAGCCAACACGGTGAAACCCTGTCTCTACTAAAAATTCAAAAAAAAAATAGCCCGATGTGGTGGCACACGCCTGTAGTCCCAGCTACTAAGGAGACTGAGGCAGGAGAATCACTGGAACCTGGGAGGAGGAGGTTGCAGTGAGCCGAGATCATGCCACTGCACTTCAGCCTGGGTGAGAGAGTGTGACTCCGTCTCAAAAAAAAAAAAAAAAAAATAGCCGTATGTGAGGGCACACACACCTATGTAATCCCAGCTACTCTGGAGGCTGAGGCGCACAAGAATTTCTCGAACCCAGGAGGTAGAGGTTGCAGTGAGCTGAGATTGTACCACTATACTCTAGGCTGCATAGCAGAGAGAGACTCTGACTCAAAAATAAGATAAAATAAATAAAATAAAATAAAATAAAATAAAATAAATAAAATAAAATAAATAAAATAAAATAAAATAAAATAAAATATAAAATAAAATAAAATAAAATAAGAGAAAGAGAGAGCTTTCTCACTGCCCCAGTACCTCTGCTTTCTACCTTTGAACACAACCATGTGAAAACACCATGTTTGTATCTTAGAAGCTATCTTATGTCTAACAGTCAATATTTAGGCTTAGGATAAAAAGCTAAAACACTTAGATGAAAGAGCAAAAGGATGAATGGAAAGGGGATGAATCCATGATGTTCCCTCTAAGCCAAGGAACTATCTTAGAATTTCACATCCAAATATCTTGTTGGTAAGATTTTTTTAAAAAATTCTTTTTTGGAAACTGTTATTCAATTACTTGAGTAAACTTTTTTGTAGTTGATTTGGCTAATATAAGCACTTAAAATGTACAGCAAATAGCTTAAAGTCAGTTTTTGTTTTCAAAATGGCAGCACAGAATCAATCTGGCTTCACTACGCACCCCCACCCACAACAGAAAAACCAAAACCAAATAAACAGCACTGAGATTATCACCAGCATTATCCCAGAATTCAAATATAAAGATGAGACAGTTTCCAGGGCCACAAGTAAGTGAAAAAACGTTGAGCAAATGATAAGGGAATTGGACTTCCATACCTGTGATGCCCCTCCCATCAGTCAGCTTGGCACCAAGCACATGGGAAGTCTGCCTCTAACTCATGGTTTCTACACTAGAAAAAGTGAGGTCATGGCAGATGGCCAGTTTCCCCATCATCTTGGGTTCCCTGGCAGGATATCTGTCCCTGCTTCAACACAGCAAAGCTTTCCTAGTGCCTGAAAGGAAAAATATTCCTTAGGATAGGCAGAGACAAAATGTGGAGATGGGACTACCATCCTCAGCCAGGGAAACTCTGCTCTGTAGCTCAGCCAAAGGAGACGCCAAAGCAGAGTGGTTGTTCAGCAGCATCACCCTGTAGGAAGTACTTTACACAGGTCCTCTGCGCATGAACCAGTCTTCCCACACAGCCAGGATACTATCTGTTTGGGACCCACCCGATTCAGGTCAGGCAGCGTTCTGTTTGCTAGAGCACAGGCAAAGCTGGCTTTCAGGCGCCATCTAGTGCCAAAAAAGAGGCAGCAACCTAGTGGGGAAAAAAGAAAAGGAATTCATCAGGTAAATTACAAAGACTCTAACAAAATGTGTCCAATTATAAAACAAAACAAGCCAGACAGAAAAGACTGGAATCAGTAACTAATCATTCAATGCAAATACATAAATGTACACCCACAAGAAACAACAGCAAACAAGGAGGAACTATGACCTCTCCAAATAGATAAAACAAGGAACCAGTGAATGACCCTAATGAGCACTATATGAGCTCTCTGAGCAAGAATTCAACATAAAGTAAAAGTCAAGTGATAGATTTGGGAAAATTGAGCCATAATAGAAAAAGAATTCTTAAAAAGTAATAAAAGTGGAAAATATATAAATAACTAGGTGGAAATATGAGCAAAATATATGACTAGAGTTTTTACAAAAGGGCAAGTGCCAGTGACCTGTTAACATATGAAAAGGTTCCTAGACTTCCAAGTAAACAGGGAAATTAAAATTAAAATGACAATTATATGATTTTATACACAGCCAACTGGAACATTTAAAAATGTATTAGCCATTTTTCATAGAGATTTGCAGAAAAGTATTCTTCTATGCATTGATAGTGAAAGTGTTGCTATAACCTCTTTGAAATAACAATCTGGGAAAATCTATGAAAATTTAAAATTCCCTTTGATCTAGTAATATAACCCATAGGAAACTCACCCATAAATATGAAAGGGTAGATGTAGAAGAATGTTTAAAACAGCATTATTCAAAATAGTAAAGTTCTCAAACCAAAACTTCACACCTTGGAATATCATGCAGCCACCAAGAGAAATGAATTAGAACGGTTACAGTTTACTCAGAGTTTTCCATGATCAGAGACAAAAACAAGGTGTCAAGTCACATTACATTATAATAGGTTTGAATTTTCTTTTAAACAACACCACAAACAAGTAAATGCCCTGTATTTTCAACTCCAGTATTTAAGATTGTTCTTTACAGGCACCCCAGGGCCTGTTCCATCACTCTTAATATATAACTAAATGATTAGAGCATTAATGATATAAAACATCCACCTGAATTATTAACTACTTATCTTGGTTTTGCCAGAGCAGATGCAGATTAGAGGATACGGCAGTGTACAGGTTGACAGAAGGATAAGAGGACAGTGGAGTGAAGAATAAAGAAAATGACTACCTTTTAAAATAATACAATATAGTTCTATTTATATATAATATTATATGTGTGCATATGAGGATATGTTATTTTGTGTTCACATATTATTTATTAGAAAAAACAGAGTTTAGTTAATTCCTACATATTTTTGGGTGGCCATAATATATTGTTAACTGAATAAAAGGACACCCAGGGTAAGAGAATATGATGCCATTTTGATGTTTTATTTAAAGGAAACCAAAGCCTTCTGTGTGTATATGTGGCTGTATATGCACAGGTGTATATGGGTGAGTGCGTGTATAGGGTGTGTATGTGTGTGTAGGAGAGGAAATTAAGTGAGAAAAGATAAAAATAATTTTATAAACCCTCTTTATATTGTTTATCTTGTTACCACAGTTAGATATTGGTTTTATAATTTGGAAAACGTCAAATGAATAAATTAGAATAAAAACTTTATTTATTATTTACTTTTACTATACTTTAAGTTCTAGGGTACATGTGTAAAATGTGTAGGTTTGTTATATATGTATACATGTGCCATGTTGGTGTGCTGCACCCATTAACTCATCATTTACATTAGCTATATCTCCTAATGCTATCCCTCCCTACTCTCCCCACCCCACGACAGGCCCCGGTGTGTGATGTTACCCTTCCTGTGTCCAAGTGTTCTCATTGTTCAATTCCCACCTATGAGTGAGAACATGCGGTGTTTGGTTTTCTGTCCTTGTGATAGTTTGCTGAGAATGATGGTTTCCAGCTTCATCCATGTCCCTACATAGGACACAAACTCATCCTTTTTTATGGCTGCATAGTATTCCGTGGTGTATATGTGCCACATTTTCCTAATCCAGTCTATCATTGATGGACATTTGGGTTGGTTCCAAGTCTTTGCTGTTGTGAATAGTGCTGCAATAAACATATGTGTGCATGTGTCTTTATAGCAGCATGATTTATAATCCTTTGGGTATATACCCAGTAATGACGTGGCTGGGTCAAATGGTATTTCTAGTTCTAGATCCTTGAGGAATCGCCACACTGTCTTCCACATTGGTTGAACTAGTTTACAGTCCCACCAACAGTGTAAAAGTGTTCCTATTTCTCCACATCCTTTCCAGCACCTGTTGTTTCCTGACTTGTTAATGATCGCTATTCTAACTGGTGTGAGATGGTATCTTATTGTGGTTTTGATTTGCATTTCTCTGATGGCCAGTGATGATGAGCATTTTTTCATGTGTCTTTGGCTGCATAAATGTCTTCTTTTGAGAAGTGTCTGTTCATATCCTTTGCCCACTTTTTGATGGGGTTGATTTTTTCTTGTAAATTTGTTTGAGTTCTTTGTAGATTCTGGATATTAGCCCTTTGTCAGATGGGTAGATTGTAAAAATTTTCTCCCATTCTGTAGGTTGCCTGTTCATGCTGATGGTAGTTTCTTTTGCTGTGCAGAAGCTCTTTGGTTTAATCAGATTCCATTTGTCAATTTTGGCTTTTGTTGCCATGCTTTTGGTGTTTTAGTCATGAAGTCCTTGCCTATGCCTACATCCTGAATGGTATTGCCTAGGTTTTCTTCTAGGCTTTTTATGGTTTTAGGTCTAACTTTAAGTCTTTAATCCATCTTGAATTAATTTTTGTATAAGGTATAAGGAAGGGATCCAGTTTCAGTTTTCTACATATGGCTAGCCAGTTTTCCCAGCACCATTTATTAAATAGGGAATCCTTTCCCCATTTCTTGTTTTTGTCAGGTTTGTCAAAGATCAAATGGTTGTAGATTTGTGGTATTATTTCTGGGGCCTCTGTTCTGTTCCATTGGTCTACATCTCTGTTTTGGTACCAGTACCATGCTGTTTTGGTTACTGTAGCCTTGTAGTATAGTTTGAAGTCAGGTAGCATGATGCCTCCAGCTTTGTTCTTTTGGCTTAGGATTGTCTTGGCAATGCGGGCTCTTTTTTGGTTCCATATGAACTTTAAAGTAGTTTTTTCCAATTCTGTGAAGAAAGTCATTGGTAGCTTGATGGGGATGGCACTGAATCTATAAATTACCTTGGGCAGTATGGCCATTTTCATGATATTGATTCTTTCTATCCATGAGCATGGAATGTTCTTCCGTTTGTTTGTGTCCTCTTTTATTTCAATGAGCAGTGGTTTGTAGTTCTCCTTGAAGAGGTCCTTCACATCCCTTGTAAGTTGGGTTCCTAGGGTTTTTTTAATTCTCTTTGAAGCAACTGTGAATGGGAGTTCACTCATGATTTGGCTCTCTGATTGTCTGTTATTGGTGTATAGGAATGCTTGTGATTTTTGCATATTGATTTTGTATCCTGAGACTTTGCTGAAGTTGCTTATCAGCTTAATGATATTTTGGGCTGACATGATGGGGTTTTCTAAATATACAATCACGTCGTCTGCAAACAGGTACAATTTGACTACCTCTTTTCCTAATTGAACACCCTTTATTTGTTTCTCCTGCCTGATTGCCCTGGCCAGAACTTCCAACACTATGTTGAATAGGAGTGGTGAGAGAGGGCATCCCTGTCTTGTGCCCGTTTTCACAGGGAATGCTTCCAGTTTTTGCCCATTCCATATGATATTGGCTCTGGGTTTGTCATAGATAGCTCTTATTATTTTGAGATACGTGCCATCAATACCTAGTTTATTGAGAGTTTTTAGCATGAAGGGCTGTTGAATTTTGTTGAAGGCCGTTTCTGCATCTATTGAGATAATCACATGGTTTTTGTCTTTGGCTCTGTTTATATGCTGGATTACATTTATTGATTTGCATACATTGAACCTGCCTTGCATCCCAGGGATGAAGCCAACTTGATCATGATGGAGAAGCTTTTTGATGTGCTGTTGGATTCGGTTTGCCAGTATTTTATTGAGGATTTTTGCATCGATGTTCATCAGGGATATTGGTCTAAAATTCTCTTTTTTTGTTGTGTCTCTGCCAGGCTTTAGTATCAGGATGATGCTGGCCTCATAAAATGAGTTAGGGAGGATTCCCTCTTTTTCTATTGATTGGAATAGTTTCAGAAGGAATGGTACCAGCTCCTCTTTGTACCTCTGGTAGAATTTGGCTGTGAATCCGTCTGGTCCTGGACTTTTTTTGGTTGGTAGGCTATTAATTATTGCCTCAATTTCAGAGCCTGTCATTGGTCTATTGAGGGATTCAACTTCTTCCTGGTTTAGTCTTGGGAGGTTGTATGTGTCTAGGAATTTATCGATTTCTTCTAGATTTTCTAGTTTATTTCCATAGAGGTGTTTATAGTATTCTCTGATGGTAGTTTGAATAGAAAGTTTAAGTGCTAATATCTGAGTATGTTAATAGGAATGAGGTTCCTAATGTGTAATAGAGATAATATTTAGGAGATAAGAAGTCAATGTATTTTCAGCCTCAGAAATCCTTAACTGTTGTTGTCCAGAGCCTGGCATCACCTAACATGCATGTCTTCTTGGGCATGTTAGGGAAGCTGCCAGTCAGTATCTAGGACAATTCCCACACCCAGCATGGCCAGGAGCTAGAGAGCTGGACTGGTGCTAGGAGCAGGATAGGGAGAGAAGCCTGAGTCAGTCGTCCTTCTGCTTCTCCACTTCCTGTCTGAGGGAATATGGAGCTGCTGAGAGAGCCAATGAATTTGTACAGAGATCTAATGTTAGAGAAAGGAGGGGCAGCAGGCAGGAAGTTGAGACACAGACCCCAGCAGTAGGTACCACTCATCATCCCCAGCCAAAGGCAGATGGGCCTGTCAAACTCAACAGTTACCAACCCAAAGAACAGAACAAGGGAGTTACTCTGATGTCAGAAAATGTGAAAATGCAGAGAAAAATGCTAGGATTGGGTTCCTCTTCACCCCTTAGGTCATGGGGTCACAAACACCTCCATGCCAAGGAGGAAGAAAATATGAGACTGGGCACTTTACCTGCAGACACTGAGTATGTATGTGAAATACTACTTAAAGATACTGGGTTGGCCTGAGCCTCCTGGGCTGGATTCAGTCTATTCTGCCTTGCTTCAGTGGAAACATCAAATCAGTTAATTAAAAAAAAATCTGACATTGTTTTTATTATTTAAATGCAGTAAAAGTGAAATTGAAACCTGGCTACAGAGATAAATATTGTAAAACATGCTTTCTATTTCTGATAGAAGAGAGATTTTAGAGCAGGTGAGTACTGGGCACTAAGGGTGGAGGTGGGTGGGTATCTCTAAGTCAGGAGAGAGCAGGGAAAAGGGAATGTCCAGACATAAGCCAAGTTTTTCCACTTGACAATTTGCCTTTGGCCTATCCTGTTTGTCTTTATCTGGGCTCAAATAACTAGAAGCTGAAGCTAAGAGGCTTGTCCTTTGTTTTGCATGACAGAGCACAGTCCGGCCCAAGCAATAATTATATTAGAATATCTTACGGAGAAAACAGAGGGAGAGAGAAGGTGCACTTTTGTGGAGGTGTTTTCTTTCGAAATTCTTCTGCATGATCTTCTTTTCCCAAATATAGTTCCAAGGTGTGTATGAGTTCCTTTAAAATGTTTTCTTCTTTTATTATCTCTTTTTTTCTTCTTTCCTGCTCTAAGCATGCTTATTTTTATTGATTTTGGACTTCAACCACCCTGCATTTTGTGGGAAATGAAGAGAGTTAGAAAAGTGAGTCAATAAATTGAGTGCTAGGACAGAGGAAAGGCATTCAACAGAGGATTATTGCCAACCTATTTGCCTAAATTCTCAATTTATTATGCTAGGGATTTGGTTTAAGTAGTGGATCAAAGTGTTCAGTGATTTTAGGAATGCATATGCAGATGCTGCTCACTGTGGACATTTAAAAGATGGGTTTATTTATTCAACAAATATTTATTGAGCAATAAATATAGCCAGCTACTAATGAAATAGCAGTGAAAAGAGAAAAACAACAACAAAGAACAGATACTGTGTACCTGGTCCCATGGAGCTTTACTTTTATGTGGGGAAGAAAAAGAATAATCAAATAAATGATACATAATGTGGCAGGTGGTATTAACCATTATGAAGGAAAAACAAAGCAGATTAATGGATTAGATAGTGACTACCAAGGAGGAGAGAGAGGCTGTAACCATTTTTAAGAACTCCTCTTCTGGGCCAGGTGCAGTGGCTCACACCTGTAATCCCAGCACTTTGGGAACCGAGAGGGGTAGATCACTTCAGGTCAGGAGTTCGAGACCAGCCCTGGCTAACATGGTGAAACTCCATCTCTACTAAAAATACAAAAATTAGCTGGGCATGGTGGCACGTGCCTGTAATCCCAGCTACTTGGGAGGCTGAGGCAGGAGGAGAATTACTTGAAGCCAGGAGGTGGAGGGTGCAGTGAGCCGAGATGGCACCACTGCACTCTAGCCCAGGTGATGGAGCAAGACTCCACCTCAAAAAAAAAAAAAAAAAAAAAAAAAGGTAGTTCTCTTCTGAGAAGGTCACTATTTATTTATTTATTTATTTTTAGAGATGCAGCCTCAAATTCCTGGGCTCAAGTGATCTTCCTGCCTCAGTCTCCTGAGTAGCTGCAGCTACAAGCGGGCACTATCATACGTGGCTAATTTTTTACTCTGTTTTATTTTTACATTTTGTAGAGACGGGATCTCACTATGTTGCCCAGTCTGGGTAGGTGACATTTTAGAAGAGACCAAAATATAGTAGGGAACCAACCGCTGTGATGTTTAGAGGAGCACCTTTTCAGGCAGAGAGACCAGCAAGTACAAAGGCCCTGAGGCGAGTGTGCCTGGCAGGAGTGGTTGGAGCAGTGTAATCATTGGGGAGTGGTTTCTCAGTTGGCCATGGGCAGGTCAGAGCAGAATCTTTGAAGCCACTAGGACTTTTTTTCCCAAGTGATATAGGATGCCATGAAGTTTTGTTGAGCAGAACAGTGAAATAAACTGATCTATGTTTTAACCAAATTGACTTTGCTGTTGTGTTGAGAATAGATTAACAAAAAACCCAGAAATTAGATTTTGAGGAGAAAGGATAAATATTGAAATAGTCATTTTGGAAAGTGGGGAGGCCAATTGAGTTGCAATGTGTAATAGGATTGTTGGAGCACCATGAACCCACTTCAGGTGGTGGTCACACATTTCAAGTCACAGAAGTCAGGATGGTTACGTGTTTTGTCAATTCATGTCCAGCTTCTCATAGCCAAGCACAAAACAAACAAAAGTTGAATTCAATGAAGGTGGCGTTTTGTCAGGCAAGTATACAATAAAGAAGAGAGGCAGCAGTGTTAGGGGACTGTGTGAGGCTGTCAATATCACGATGGATCATATTTTAATACATTGGGTGAGCAGGGAAGTGAGAATGTGAAAAGGATGAAAGACAGGCTAAAGTTGCTAGGATCTCTTTCACCACTAGAATGACGCGTCTTTGGATGGTGTATGAAAGAGATGAAACTGAAAATAAACAAAAAGAGGTGGTCACAAAGTGGGATATTTCAAATGGAGGTTGTTGAGATCTGCACTAGGCAACAGTAGGATCTAGGATATAACCTGGGAGAAGGTGGCTGAAGGAGGTGGAAACAAAATCACTGGACATCAGGAGGTCAAGGCACTGAGCATGAGGATAATAAAAGGATTTTCCACAGTGTCAATCGACATGGATATCACAGTCACCAAGAATGATCGCAGAGTACTGGTGAAGGGTCAGTGAGCTACTTGCTACATTTTCACAGAATGAGGAGATGTGACCTCAGTGTCCGCAGATGATTTCAATAAGATGGGGGTATTGATAGGAGTTTGCCACATGGCATGAACTTCAAAGAGCAAGGATTTTTGTGTGTGTGTGTGGAAAGAGGTAATACTAACTTGGAAATATCAACAAGCAACAAAGGAGAGTGTCTACCACATCTTCTGATTTGTGAGATAAAAAAAAGAAACATTTCACCATGTTTAGAGACTACAAGGAAAGCACTATTGGAAGTGCAACCAGGTTTTAATTATAGGAAGAAGGTAATGGACACACTTAAAGAAGAATTAAGATGAGTTATCAGGAATTCCAGAGAGCCCACTGGAAGGATTTGAGGGAGAGGGGAGGAGTGGAAGGTGGTTCCAGATTAGGGGATGTTCAAAGCAATATGAAAGAGTTCAGGTGACGGGAGACGAATTGTAGCTCTTGGGAGTGAATGAAGTAAACAGGAATGTCGGGCATGATGGGTTTAGTCCTGAAATAAGATTTTGCTATCTGCAGAAAGGATTACTCAGCCCCCTCACATGTCGGGAAGCCTCCAGGGAAGTATGGAAAGGTGAGAAGGAGGATTTAAGAGTTGGTCATAAAAATGCCAAACAGGAAAGGTTTAGATTTACTCAAAATGCCTGATTACTTAACACAGAGCTGCATTTTCAGTACTGCAATTTACTAGTAGAACCCTGGAGTAAATGGTCCAAATAAACTTACCATAATTATGATGACCTTCATATTATCACCAGGTATTGAGTGTTCATCATGCTAAGTTATTTATATCTACTATTTCATTTAATTTCACAAACAGCATTGTAAGTTGGTACAATATAATCTCTATTTCGTAGTTGAAAACAAAAAGTCAGCCAAGGTTTGAACTTAGAGCTCTCTGACTCCAAAGTTAATGTTGAACAATGGTGAGGGTATGGAATTTTGGAAGAGTTTTGGGTAGAGATGAAGTGAAAGTCTGGTTTTGGCACTAAATTCAACTCCACAAATATCAAGTGTCCATATTTCAGCAGTGCACTGAAATGAGAAAGATAAAAAAATCTTGGTCTTAGAGAATCTTGAAATCTATTGGACAGAATGAATACAACAAAATTACAGTCCATTATGACTTATGCAAAGACAAAAATGCTCCTGTCCAGACAGAGTTAATACAGAGGAAGAAATGCCTAACCCTGTATCAGGAAGGTTTTCAGGGATGAATCAGAGTTGTCTAGGCAGACAAAGTGTTAACATGATTAAAGACACAGGTGGATTCCTTAGGCTTGAATAGAAAGAGAGGCCCAACATTTTCAACATTTCAGAGGGAAAAAGGAAGAATTAGTGAAGATATAGTCATGTGTATGGAGGGGGCAATGAAAAAGCTAAAGAAAAACTGTACCTTGGATTTATATAAATTGTATAATCTTTCACATAAAAGCAGTGACTGATAAGAAAAAAATTAGAACTGTCCAGAGCTTCTCATATCTGTAATCATCACAAGTAGGTCTTATCCCCATTATATAAATGACAAGGAAAGAGACAGACGTCCAAATATATTTGACTCAAAAGTCCATGTGCACTCTGCCTCCCACAAAGGAGAATCACAAATATATACCACATTGCGTATAATTCATTTGGCCAAGTTAGGAACAGTATCAACAGAGAAGAAGCTGGGAAAGAAAAAAAATAAAAACAAAAAATGAGTCACATAAGGATACAGAAGGATTCTATAGGTAAAGACACAGATTGCCAAAAATTCTCATTCATCATCATGAACACTTAGCCTAATTTGCTTAAGTGCCAAGAATACAAACAGGCTTAGAACATCCTCTATATCTTGTGTTAGAAATCGACTATGTATGTGAAAATAATTTGTTTATTCATTCATTATTTCACAAAAATATATATGTATATGTTTATTTAGGAGTTAATATGTGCTGGACCAGCTGCTGGTCACTGTGAAATATAAAAATGAATAAGACAGATTGCCTGCCCTGCAGGAACTCACAGTTAAGTAAAGGAGACACAAACAAACAAGTCATAGATATATGGAAAATACTCTAAGAAAGTTCTTAGCTTGAGGGACACTTCATACAGGCTTCAGAGAGAGAGAAAAAAATGTGAGTTTTCTGGCAAATGGTAGATGCTCCAAAAGGCTATGGCTCTAAGTGTTGCCCAGTGGATGTGTGTAGAAGGGAGAGTGTCTGGTAACTTTTTGGTTTCTGAGTTTTGGCCTAGTCAACTAGAACGTCAAAAAGGAGGGATGTGGGTATGTTTATGTTTACCTACCCCAAGTGATCTTCTGAAGAGACAAAATTGGGAACCATGAGTTAAGACAGTGGCTTTTAACCACAGGTACACATTAGAATCATTCAGGGAGCTTGGAAAAAGTGCTGCCTTGGCTCCATTCCAGTCCCATTCAGCTAGAATCTCTGGAGGTGGGTCTCATGCACTAATATTTTTAAAACACAGCCTAGGTAATTCTAATGGTCAAAATGGAAACCCTTGAGTTAACAGGATTCACAGGGAAAAGGATAGTCAAAACAGGAGGCTAAGAAACAGCACAAATGAAAGAGGAGCCCTAGACCTGATGGGAGATGCAAGAAAAAATGTGTTGTAACACTACAGAGCCCTCTTAAAAACATGTGGTCAACTGTTAAATGTCAGAGAAACATCAACACGGTCACTGGACTTGAGAATCAGAAAGTAGCTAGTGACCCTGATGAAAAGAGATTCAAAAGATAGTGGGACAGAAGCCAGATTACAATGGATTGAGACCTGAATGAAGGAGAGAAAGTGAAGAAAGAGTATAGATTATTCTTTCAAGAAACTTGCTTTGAAAGGAAGAAAGAGAAGGTGAGAGTTTGAAAAGGATGAAAAGTTGGTTAATAAAAGATAATTGGTAAAAGCTGGAGAACCTGAGACCTAGAGCAAGTTAGGAGAAAACTAAGTTCTTCCCCTAGGAAAAGGCTTATAGAAGGTTGTGGATATAGAGAAGTTTATACCTTAGGGGCAGGAGGGAAACCTGAAGGAACTCATGACCTATGAAGCCAAAAAGTGGTTGATAATTCAAAGAAGCTAAGGAGAAGGGAACTGAACTAAAGGGGAGATACAAAGGCCTGCTGAGTGCAATTAAGGACATCACCTTACTAAGAGACATTAAAATGAACTAATTGTGCATCTTTATTCAATACATTTCTGAAATATGGGTATAGAAGCTAAACACTGGATAAATGAATTGGTTTGAGATAGGTGAATTATGGGATAAGTAGAGCAGACAAAAGTTAGTACTATCAGCATTCTTCTCTTGTAATATTAGGTACCATATGAATGATAACAGAAGTAATCTTCCCAGAGCCAGCGCAAGAGGGAAAGTCTTCCTGGGAAAACATGATATGGAGAAAAGGAGAGTTAAAATTTTAGGCTTAAGAGAAAGCAGCTCACCCCTGTAATCCCAGCACTTTGGGAGGCCAAGGCCGGAGGATTGCTTGAGCCCAAGAGGTTAAGCCTGCAGTGAGCCATGTTTGCGTCACTGCACTCCAGCCTGGGTGAGAGAGTGAGGGACTCTGTCTCCAAAAAAGAAAGAAAGACATAAAAAATTGTCAACTTCAGTGCCAATGGTGGTAGTGCTCAGACCACAAACACATCAGTTAAGCTGGCAACAGTGACCATTTTGATTAGAGTAGTCCACTTATGAGCATAGAAGAGAGGAAATAGGCAAGGCCCAATTGTTGAAGGGCCTTGGGTGATGGAAAAAGGAGAGCTATACTGAATTCTACCCTAATGAAGAACCACTGTTTGTTTTTGATAATGGAAGGTGGTGTGCAAAGGTGCATTTTAAGGGGGTTAATTTGGCAGCAACCTGTATTGTGCATCTGCATTTTAGAGTTGGCCTAAGTTTAGTTTTTTGGTTTTTTTTTCTGGCTTTCATTATTGAGCTTCTCTTATAATTTATTCCCCCATTTTCCACAATTTTCATTATTTAGCACCTCATAGATTGTTCTCAAACTTAATTCCCTTTGCCTTCTCTGCCTCATTCCACAACTATGGAAATTTTCTCCTCCTTAGGCATTGGTCCTGCTTCCATTTCTATTTATCAGCTGGGATTTTTTCTATCCTTTTAAAACTCCCTCTTCCCTCCTTCATCCTCCTAATGCAGGTTTCCACCTGGACCCTCCACTCCTCTTTGTCTTCTTCAGTGGGCATTTTCCCTCTATGACTCAACCACCACCTCTATACAGGTGACCTGCATGTCTATACCTCCAGCCATTACTGCTATCCTGAGTTCCAGACCCAAATTTTCAAATTCCTATGATAAACCTGCACATGCATTCCCCATGTACCTGAAACTCAGTGTTTCAAAAATGGAATTATCATATTACCCACAACGTAATAGTTTCTTTTCATCTCCAGGAAATTTTTCTCTCTTCTTAAAATTTTGTGTCTCCTAATAACATTGTATCTGTGTTGTTATAGTAGTCTCTTAATTGACTTTCTTGATTCTGGTTTCTCATTGCTTTGATTTGAGCTATACACCTTTGTATAGGAAAAAAACAACTGTTTTTCTCTATATTCACACTCCATGCATCAGTGACCAAATGTGGGATTTTCCCCACACCGAGCAATTCTCCAATTCTCTGCAGACACCAACTCTATGTCTTATAATCCAATTCAATTCTGACACCAACCAGAGTTAGCACAGACCCTATGGTTTACGAACTCAGTTTCACAAGACTTTCTTCTACTCTTCAGGTGCCAACTGCAGTTAGTAAGTCCCCAGGTTACCTACGACTTCTATCTGACTTGGCTACAAATTGGATGTTCCCATGACCCTCTCCTCAGATTTGATAATTTGCCAGAGCATCATTTCACAGAACCCAGGAAAACAGTTTACTTACTAGTGTTAATTTATTGCAAAGGGTATTTTAAGGATACAGTTAAACAGCCAGAGGAAGAGATATTTAGGTCAAGGTCTGGAAGGGCCCCAAACATAGAAGCCTCTGTGCCACACTCTCCCAGCAGGCAGATGTGTTCTCCAACATGTAAGCTCTCTGAACCCCATAGTTTAGTGATTTCTATGTCGACTTCATCACATAGGCATGTTTGATTTTTAATCTCCAGCCCTTCTCTTCTTCCCAGAGGTTCGGGTGCAAGAGCTGAATGTTTCAAGCTTCTAATTATAGTTTGGTGTTTCTGGTGATCAGCCCATATCTAGGAGCCCACAAAAATTGCCTCATTATAATAAATGATGCTCCTATCAACCAAAAAATCCTAAAGGATAGAAGCTCTGTGTCAGGAACCGGGTCAAAGACCAAATATTAGGACAAAAGATACATCCAGCACCCCTACTGGTCAGGAAATTACAAAGGTTTTAGACACTGTATGCCAGAAGCCAGGGGCAGAGACCAAACATTTAATTTTTGTTATGTCACAAGCTTACCAGATAAATCTTCCTGAATCGGAATTTGATTCATATTCTCCAGCTGGCCCTATCCTTAGCCTTCCTGGCCTCTCAAGCTTTAATGGACCTTCCATTGCTCATTGATTCAAGTCCAAAAGCTTAAACTTCTTGACCTTTGCAATCTGTCCCCATCTATTCCTCAAATCATTTGTTCTTCAGTAGCAATAATATTTCTGTTGATCTTCATGATTTTCTGCACTGTTTTTGTGTCCTGAATTGAGTTCTATTAACCCCTCATCTTCATTTTATTTGCTTGTTTATTTAGTAAGTAAATAGTTTTCAACATCTCCTGTAGTTCTAACAGGAGGTAAGTGATTCCCACTTGATAATTTACCTGCCTTACAGGTAATGCATTCTTTGTCTACCCCAAACACAAGCTGCTCCATCTCCACACCCAACTCCCAAACATGACAGTTTCCTGAAGGTAAATGTGACCTTGCTCATAAAAGTGCACTTCTTTTTATTTATAAAAATATTTTTTTATAAGAGACTATGCTCTACTAGTACTTTTTGGTCAACTTTTTTTTTTTTTTTTTTTTTCCTTTCTTTAACATAGGCTTTCTGGGCGGGTAATCTGTGAGGCAGACAAGCATGTCACTACCTTCTTACAGAAATTACTGCACACATAGTGAATGGTATACTCTGGGGCCTCTCCTGGCTTCTTACCCTTTCTGCTTGCACAATAGTTCAGTCTCTACTTTCCTAAGTATGAAAGAACTTCCTTATGTGTGCATGTATTTGATGCCCAAGGCCCTATTCTTTAGCTAGAATTTTAAAGCTGGCTCATGCTTCTGTGTTATGTGAAGAAATAATTAAGGATGCACCTACGAGGATTTTGTACTCTGCAGGGTCCGGAAAGAAAGGAAGTGCTCTGATGGAAGCCCTCCTGGGTCTGGACACCTTTCATTGCACCAAGGCTGTTGTCCTCCAAGAGTTTTATATTAAACTTTCTTTTATCCAGCTCCGCTGGTTGCTTTTCTAATCATCTGAGTTTTAATAAATATAATTTCCCTTGTTTGTTCTGCCTGTAAAATACATTTTTAACAATTGTTTGAATTTTACACTTAAATATTTATTTTGGCCTAATTCTTTCTACTAAATTTTAAACATTGTTTAAATTATCACCTTTTCTAGAAATTACATGTAGCTTCCTGAGAATTTTAAAAGAGAATAAGAACAAAGTAAATATGAACTAATTTGCAAAACACCAGTTGATATTGTAACTTTTTATGCATAAGTGTCTTTTTCTTCCTTTCTAACATGATTGAAAGCTTCATGTGGGTAATCACCAATCATATTTTATATATTTTTTTGTATCCATCACTAGCACCTAATAGGGCCATGGAGATAGTAGACACTCAGTAAATATTTGTTGGCTTTTTGGTTCAGAAACACAATCAACCAGTGTTTTGAAAATGGACTTTTCATAACCTTCAGCTTCAAATAAATCATACTAATTTATTGATCTTAGAATTTAACCAAACCTCATTTTTTTTATTGCTTCCTAGAACAAACTTTTGGTTCTCTCCAACTCTCCAAATTTGAATGAAATTCTGTTGGTTTGATCTTGACTGTTATCTAGATCTCCACATGTTAATAGGAACGAAGTGTTAACTTGCCCGAATTATGAATGATTTCATCTAGTACCATACAGCTAGGAAATCATGAATAATCTTGTCCCTTGAATTTATAATAAATACATTTCAACTATCTTCTATATAGAGGCTTATCTGCAATTTTTAGAGATCAGACTAAAGCTACAGGCTCTTTGGGGTGTATCTGTGTACTTTTAAAATGTTTGATTAGGGAAGTTACTCAAAAAATGTATCTCTTTGCTAATAAATAAAAGTATAATAATGAATCCTGAAGGGAAAAATTGGAGATGAATTTAGAATGTTGTATATGCAATTGAAATTTTGAGTTAATAATTTAGGTAATATTTTAAGGCAAATCACTTGAAAAGTCCACATGAAATCCATGTCAAATAATTGTTAGGAAATAGAAAATGTATGTTAATATGCATGACATCTTCATGAAACCAAGTCATTTTTTTCTGATCTACTCTGAGCTTCAGAATGGGGACAAGATTTAAACTTCAGAATCTGAAGAAGCTTTTTAAAAAGCAAAAAAAGTTTGCATGAAAATTTTATTTAACTTAAAGTTCAATCAATATGAAATAATATTCATTGCAAGTAAGTCAAATCATAAATATTGTAAAGCCTCTGCTAATCCTGTGCTTGCTGCCATAAAGCAGACATGAAAAATAAAATAAAAAGGCAAATATTTGTTCTCATAGTTTATTCCTATTAAAGGAAAAAAATTTTTAAACAATAAAAAGTGAAATAATAAAAAATATCCCTCAAGATTAAAAACAGAAGACATATCACAGGGCAATATTTATTTGCAAGCATATTCTTTGATCTAGTCCTGTGTTTAACCATATGTCATTCCCTTCTTTTTTACCTCCCTCCCTTCTCTCCCAAAACATGGCTGAGCATCTTCTGCATGTCAGGCTCTGCGCAGGGTATAGGGTGACAAGGAAGAACAAAGCCCAGCTTCTGACCTCAAATGCAAAGCATAATTAAAATCTCCAAGAATCCTCATTTGACAGCTCAAACATCCAAACACCAAGAGCTGGAGGAAGGGGGTTGTCTCTCCTCACTAATGATCATTGGGTTCTTAGAGGACTTTTAGCCCCACCCATGGTGTCTCCCAGTCATCAAACCTGTTGATTATGGGATTGTAGCCTGCCCTATACATCTATACTGGACATCTTCATGGAAGCAAGTCAATTTTTCTAATCCAGCCTCAGCTTCAGAACGGGGACAAGATTAAAATGAAATGAACTATTTAGGAGGCAATAGGGGCATTACTTATGTAGCATTACTAAATAAGACTAAGAGGTTAAGTCAGAACTCAAACTTTAGATTATGTTGTCTCAAGGTCATTTTCATTAGTCTAAAATATTTTGAACTTCACCACTCAAGTGTTGTTACTCTCGAAGTCTTGGGAAAACAATGTGGATCAACAAGACTTAGAATTAAATGAAGGAAAATCTACTGTGGGTAAGGAATGTGTATCTTAAGGGAAATAATGGTACTCCCTAAAGTTACCATGACCTACAAGTAAAGAAATCATATAATTCCTGGCACACAATAAGTGATCAATAAAAATTATCATTAAGGAAAATATCTATGTATAGCTTTCAGAAGACAGATGTGGGGAACTACCTTCAAAGATATTTCCATGCCAGTGTCTGTGGCCCAGTCTGAGGAGACAGGTGTCCTCTTATTTCCACGCCCAGGTCAGTGTTTATATGTGGGAGGGGTTTCAAGAGATTATTGTGTTTCCATTTTTTGACTTTTATTTCAGGAATGGTACGTCTGGCTGCCTTGTTCCTCTTGGCCCTTCTGGTTCTGGTATCATAAGTTGTATGAAAGGGAACTGAGGACTCTGCTTCTACTTTCTTCCTTATTGGAAAGATTTGCCAGGTTTACTCATTAAGGGGATGGTGATGTTCCAGGTGGGCTGCAAGGCTAAGTTTCTTTTCTTTATCTGAAATGCTTTTAACCCCTTCCTCAGATCCAGATTGTAAGACCACATCCATGGGAGGTTTGACATTGACACTGGAATCTAGAGTATTACCATTCTTTTGATTCCAGTTCCTGAAATGTTATTAAACAGATGAAATTATATAGTACTTTCTAAGCCTCTCCATAACCATCCTGTGCTGAAATAATTAAGACTTTAAAGCAATGGTGCCAGCCTAGTTCAACTCCCAAACATGGAGCTCAGATTAGAGACTGTTTGAAAAGGTGAGTAATCTTAGTGCTGGTGACTTTAAATTCTGAAGTTGCCTATGAGGAGTGTCGAGTCTGACTAAACCTGACAGTTTGCTTATTCCTTATGAAAATATTAGGTGTCAGGGCAATGGCTCAACAGAAATGACTCTCACACATTCCTTCGAGTAGGAAAAGGAAAGACAAACTGGTTCCTTTTATGTCTTAGGGATATGCGTAAGAGTCCCTGGGAGGCAAAAAGGGGTCACACAGAACAGACGAGTCTCAGCTCACAGTATTATTAATTTGAGGAAGAATGGGTTGGTAGAAAAACTTAAAACTTCGAGGAATCAAGAGTCTTAGGGAAAAAAGGCACACTTCACCCAGAAAACCGGGGCTTATTGGATGCGTGGTAAAGGGAATTGGCAAGGAAGAGACAGGCTCTGCAGGCAGGGAAGTGGACAATTGTGTATTCTTTATGGCCCCAAACCTGGTGAATGACCTTTCTTCTCTCATTCTGTAGTGTTTGTCCCTGATATACCTTCGGGCTGGCACCAGCCTACTTTAGCAAATTGTGTTAATTCTGGATTTGTGGGGCTTAAGCAATTATTACAGTTTGGGTGGAGCATCTGAGGAAACATGTTCCTTGATTTGAAGTTCTGGAATTCAAGCAATTTAGCTTGTTCTTTCAGCTAGAAACAGAAGTAGGGAATATTTCCTAGGTTCTATGTCTTCCTACTATTTTTCACTTCTATTTGTTTGTGTTTTTATTTCTATTCCAACTGTTTGACTTTATTTAGGTTTTAATGTTGTAAATGACCTCAACTTCTGTTAGGGAGTGGAGGCTAGATATAATGTGATAGAATTTCTTTTTCTTTTTTTGTGTGTGATAAGTTGTGTGGTGTCATAACTAATCTGAAAAGTTAAACAGATGTCTTTGAGGAAAGAAAACTGAGATTATGCTATAATCATTTAGTTAATATTCTGGTTGCTCAGGCAAAAATCTTAGTCATGTTTGCATCCTTTCTTTTCCTCACATCCCATATCCAAATCATCAGCAAAGCTCCAGGCTTTAATCCCAAATGTCTCCCAAATCAACCTTTTCTCACCACCTCCAGCAAAATCATCCTTGCCCAAGCCTTGAAAGAAAGTTGGGATTTGCAATGGTCTTCTAACTTATCACCTTCATTTCACTCTGCCTCCTCCCCATTCTCAACCCATAGCCAGAATGGTCCTTTTAAAACCTAAAGGATCATACGATTTTTTCATGTTTCTCATCTCTCTTAGAATAAAAACCGAAATGCTTATTATGGCCTATAAGGCTAAGGATGAAACCTGATTGATCTGAGCTAACCAGCTACCCTTTCCCAGCTTGACCCTTCTGCTACTTAAAACTCATTGAATATGACAACATACATCTACCTTGAAACATCAGGGTTTCACCCTTTTCCCTAAGTATCTTCATGACTTGGTCCTTCACCTCCTTCAGCTCTGTGCTAAATGTAATTTCCGCAGTGCCTTTCATGATCATCTGATATCTGATATCACCATACTCCTTGCCAAGCCACACTGCCTCCTTTACGTTTCTCCTAGCACTTATTAGTGCTTCACTATATTTGTTAGTCTCCCTTGTTAGCAATGTTTGTAGAGACCTTTCTCACTAGATTTATCCCCAGATACTAGTCAGTTTCTGACACATTGTATGTTTCAACAAACATCTGTTGACTAAACATCGAATAAGTTAATAATCAGGGTTAGTCTTCTACATAGGAGAAGTAGATATAACCACTGAGGCGTTCAAAAGTTGGGTCTACTCTCTGTTTACTCACCTATTTTATCTAAGTCTTATTAACATGAGGTTGCATTCCACAGTTAAGAGGAAAAATTAAATACTAGTGAGCTACCATGGTTGCTGTTCAGGAAGGGGTCCTGGACCTCTGTCAGGACAGCCATGGGACTTGTGACCAGTTGGTAAAAGTCATAATTCATATCCAGATCTGATATATAAGCCCATTACTCCATCATAGTCTACAATTTTGCCTAGGGCTAGCCATGGAAAAAAAATGCCCTTTTGTATACAAAATTATTGGCCTATTTAATTCTCTAGTGCATCAAAAGTTACGAATATACACATATCCTAATCACTGGGATTATACATAGTGAGATCATACCCAATGGGACAGATAAAATCTTTCTCCAACTGTGGCTATGGTAATTGTTTCTTTTCCTGGCCACATCATTTTGGACTTCTGGTTTGCTGACTCATTTCCTGTGTTTCATATTGTTCTTTTCTATAATGCTTTCTCACATCATGGAGTTTTACATTAATTGGAGAATATTTTTATTTGTATAGTGGTAGACCACTAGAAGTTCAGATTTTAAATACAGAGCTATCTATAGTGACTATTGCTACAGAGTCAGTCATCTGTCTTCTAAATTGCCCAGACTTTGAGGTTTTTCAAAACACTGGTGCATGTTTTTCCTTAACTATAATATAAAATGGCAATAACAATGTCTACCTAAGAGGACTGTAGTGAGATTTAAATTAGATAATACCCATAGAGCTTTTGGAAGAGTAGCTGGCACAAGGTAAGCCATCTATTGTTAATTACTATTGTTTACTTCAGTAGTAAGGTGACATTGTCTGTGTCCTTTGCCTTACTTCTCTGTATTTGAGGATGTATTTGTGTTGGGAGGAAGGGTGGGACCCTACTCTGCTTTTTGGCTGGAAAAGCAAATTCTGGATTGAATCCAATCAGCGAAATGATTCCTTTTTTGGGAGATTATGATTTTCGTGGCATTTCTGTTATAACACTATTGACTAGAGGGCTCATTTTGAGTGCTGCCTCAGCCTTCTTGGATTTTCATTTTAGACAGTTTACATTTTTTGTCTGCTATGCTGCATTTGTTTATGGGATTCAGTTTAGCTCCACAGATGTTCACTGATCAACTGCTATTGATTGGATGCTAGGGATACAATGGCAATTGATGCAATACCGCCACCTCAGAGATCTTTGCCCAATTAATTACATATGTGCCCAAATTATAATCTATAGTATCCTGGGGTTTTGCTTTTTGCCACATCTTTCTCAAGTCTGTGAACCAGGAAGCAACATCATTCTAACCTGGAAAAATCAGTGCCAGCTCACTGCTGGATTTGACTCAAATCAGCAACGCATACTCATCTAATCCCACATAGTTCCTAATGACATCAGTGGGAATTTTGAGGGTGTATCTGAGAAGAATTTTGTTCACTCTTTGCATTCTTTCTAAGTATAAGCATATGTACCCAGGAAGTTTGATGCTTATCTGTTCTTCCTCAGGCTTCAACATGCCAGCCACCCACTGCTGTGGAACTGTTGAGAACACTTGAGACACATGGTTCTTCAGAATGAGATAAACAGCTAGAAGTAATTTATAAATTATTAGATCTAAAAGGAACCCATGGAGATTATCCTGCTGCCAGGTTCTGGAATCTAGCTCAAACTATGCATTTGACTGATGAGTTACATTACCGAGGTTATAACAGATTACTCAAGGATGCCCTGTGACATCTCAAGGGTCACCCAGCTGGTTGTGGTTTAGGCAGGACTAAGAGTTGCATCTTCTTTTAACACAGTTTTCCATAACTGTGGAGTATCTGAGTACTTCAGTTCTCAACTTTTGTGATGCTGTCAGCTATTACTCTATTTATCTTAAAAGTCTCAATATTGGCAATATGACTTCCTTAAAGGCCAGAGTTGCTAAAGAATTAGGAAAATGATTTAATTTGCTATAGGTGTCTCTATGCAGTGCTTGGACTCTATGCAGTCTTTGGTGGAGAGAGAAGAGATGGGAGTTATGGAATGGTTAGTGTGTGAAGAGCTAGTTCTTTTGCAATTAAGATTCAAAAAAAGCCAAGATGGAACTGCTTCCTGATTTATATTTTGCCCAGTTAATTACATATATGCCCAAATTATAATCCAACATAACCTACAGAATTTTTCAGAAAGGAGGGACCCTTAGAGACCATTAAGTCAAAAGCTGGAAGAAAGGAGACTAACTGAATATCATCCCCTGTAGGAAGATAAGATGCTAATTTTTAGAGGCACTCAGCCTCTAAAATCAATTTTTCTTAACATTGAGAATTATTGAGTGGCTGGAAAAGCATCTTACTCTATGAAATATAGTCACTGTTTAGTGCCTTTCCATTTTATTTACTATTTAAAGCATACAACAGCTAGTTAACCAACTACTTATAAAATATATTTAATGTTTAGAGGCACTCAGTGTGGTTATAAAATGATTTTAAGGGTATACAAACATGGTACATTAACCACATTTCATGAACTATGGTTCCCTCTGGAAAAACAAAAATGTTTTCCCTGGCATCCTGCAACATCTCATCCTGAAGTTTGTAAATGGCCCATACTGCTCAAACTGGCTGCCTCACTGGCTTTTGATGCCAGCCACTTTAGAGCACACACCAGAAAGATCAATATAACCCCTACATAAGTGATAGAGCACCGTGCACTCAAAGGCTGTTAGACTCTTCGATAAAGAACGGCTTGACAGATGCAGTGAAATTAAGCAGCATGCACAAAACCCGAGTAAAGAGGTTGTAGGGCTGTAGTCTTTTTTCAGTGCACAGTGGATTGATGGGTACACCGTGACACAAGATGCACTGAGATGAGACTTGGTCCCTGCCATGTGTATGCATTAGCGAGTTTACGGTCTATGAAAACATGGAGAGAGTGTAACAAAGGATGGGATAAGAATGGAGCCTTTTTCAAAGGAACCTGCTTCAGAGAATTATGATAAGCGAGACATAAGAGGACCTAGCATAAACTTAACAGTGAGGAAATGTTCAATGCTATTTATTTTCAGGCAATATCCTAGTTCCCTGAAAACACTCTACATCACAATGTACTAATCTCTATCTTTCATTATTAAAATTCCATGGCATTGATTATTGAGAAAATGTGATGGAAATGTTGCTTTCAATTTCCCGTTCATGTAATGAAGCTGAATGTGTGATGATGTTCATTTTGTCTTGTTTACTTTGCATGTACCTCCTGCAGCATGCAGCCTGGCAGAAGGGCTTCTACCCCAGGAATATGCCACACTATAGCTGGGGAAAGGATGCAAAGACAGAGAGTCAGGGCAGCCTGGAGTAAACCCATACTTTGATTTGTCATATGGGGGGCAGTATTACCAGAAGGGGTAGTCAATGTAAAGTTCTAACCAAAGATAGTTGATGGGAAAGTAGACCAATTTCTTAACCAAAAGTTTTTTAAAAAGCATAAACTATAAAGAGTAGATAATGTTAAGGAATAAAAATAGACAATAAAAATTGTTTAGTGGGAGCTGTAGCTTACAGTGCAATGTGTTTCAGTTCTCTGGGCCACTTCAAAACGTGCTAGACGGGAGTTCCAGTTTTGGTTCAGCACGTAAGAAGCTTGGAAGTCATCACTCCATTCTAACAGTTAAAATACTGAATAAACTGAAAGGCAACAAATCTTAGATCCCTCAGAGAATTGAGAACACAGGGCAAACCATTATCCCCCGAATTGGGAACAGACTGGCAAATACAGAGAAGCACAACTTAAAGGAGAATAAACCTTGTGGGAGCTGGGTCAAGAGAGGAAAACTTAAACTGTAATTGGCTAATTGCTGAAGGCTCAGTATGAACAAACCTGAATGCTAAAAACTCCAGGAGAGCCCAGTTTTAGGTGAGCCCCATGTTTTCTAGGTTCTACTTTCAGGAGCTCTACCAGGTTCTCACAGTAAAAAGGAAAGAAATATTCCCTATCCTTTCTGCATGGAGAGGGAAAAAGCAGCCATTGTGAAATATGCTCAGATAATTCTGTTATTCCTAACACATGCTGCCCTCAAGAGAAACTATTTTGCTGGAACCTAATCTACTGGGGTTTTATCAGCACCTAACTGACATCAAAGAAGGGAAGTACCCAACTCCAGCCCCCTCTAAGCCATCCTGTCCCACTAAGTGGGGGCAAAACTTAGAAGCACTTGTGAAGATTACAGCCCAGCAATACAGCCTCATTATATGACTGAGACCTAATCACAGGACTATAGTATGCTTCTCCTCCCACCATACCTTACTACCATATAACTAAAAGATTATTTACTACAGTTCCTTTTACCTAGTACATCATGTCCCGCTTTCAACAAAAAACTACAAGGCATAATAAAAGGAAAAAAAAAAAAAACACAGTTTGCAGAGACAGAACAAGCTCAGAACCAGACTCAGATATAGCAGGGATTTTGAAATTATCAAACCAGTAATTTAAAACAACTATTATTAATATGCTACAGCTTCTAATAGAAAAAGGTAGACAACACTCAAGAACAGATTAGGTAATTCAGCAGAGAGATGGAATTCTAAGAATCAAAAAGAATTGTAGAAGCCAATAACACTGTAACAGAAATGAAGAATGCCTTTGATGGTGTGGTTAGTACATTAGACATATCTGAGGAAAGAATTAATGAGCTTGAGGATATGTCCATAGAAACTTCCACAACTAAAAAGCAGAGAGTGGAGTGATATATTTAAAATGTTCAGAAAAAAGGAAAAAAAATACCAACCTAGAATTTTGTATCTTTTATTCTTCAAAGTGAAGGAGAAGTACAGATATAGCTGACTGTATTATGCTTCACTTTATAGCACTTTGCAGATATTATGATTCTTACAAATTAAAGGTTTGTGGCAATCCTGCATTGAGCAAGTCTATCCATGGTATTTTCCCAACATGTGCTCAATTTGTGTCTCTGTGTGATATATTGGTGATTCTCACAATAATTCATACTTTTATTATTATTATTATATCTGTTATGGTGATTTATGGTCAGCAATCTTTGATTTTACTACTGTAATTGTTTTGTGATGCCATGAACTGCACTTATATAAGAGGGCAAGCTTAACTGATAAATGTCGTGTGTGCTCTGCCTGCTCCACTGACTCGCCATTCCCCCATCCCTCTGCCTCGTCTCAGGCCTCCATTTTCTCTGAAGCACAACAATATTTAAATTAGGCCAATTAATAACCCTATGATAGCCTCTAAGTGTTCAAGTAGAAGGAAGAGTTGCAGGTCTCTCACTTAAAATCAAAAGTTAGAAATAATTAAACAGTGAGAAAGGCAGGTCAAAATGCGAGATAAGTTGGAAGATAGGCCTCTTGTGTTAAACAGTTTAGCCAAGTTGTGAATGCAAAAGTTCTTGAAGAAAATAAAAAGCGCTACTCCAGTGAACACATGAATGATAAGAAAGCAAAAGAGCCTTATTGCAAATATGGAGAAAGTCTAAGTGATCTGGATAGAAGATCAAACCAGCTACAACATTCCATTAAGCCAAAGCCCGATCCAGAGCAAGGCTGTAACTCTCTTCAATTTTTTGAAGGCCAAGAGAGGTGAGGAAGCTGCAGAAGAAAAGGAGAAAGCTAGTGGATCTAGCAAAGACAATGATGAAGGTGGACATATTAAACAACAGATTTCCATTGTAGAGGTAAGAGCCTTATATTGGAAGATGCCATCTAGGATTTTCATAGCTAGAGAAGTCAATGTCTGGCTTCAAGCCTACAAAGGACGGGAGAATCTCTTGTTAGGGACTAATGCTGGTGGCTTGAAGTTGAAGCCAATGATTACCATTCTGAAAATCCTAGAACCCTTAAGAATTATGCTAAATTTACTCTGTCTGTGTTCTGTAAATGGAACAACAAAACCTGGATGACAGCACATCTGTTTACAGCATGGTTTTCTTAATATATATTTTAAGCCCACTGATGAGACCTATTGCTCCAAAAAAAAAGATTCCTGTCAAAATATTACTGCTCATTGACAATGCACCTGATCATCCAAAAGCTACAATGAAGATATATAAACAGATTAATGTTGTTTTCATGACAGCTAACATAACATCCATTCTGCAGCTCATGGATCAAGAAGCAATTTCAACTTTTAATTATTATTTAAGAAATACATTTCATAAAGCTAGAGCTGCCATACATAGTGATTCCTCTGATGGATCTGGGCAAAATAAATTGAAAATGTTCTGGAAAGAATTCACTTTTGATGCCCATTAAGAACATTCTTTATTCATGGGAAGATGTCAAAATATCAACATTAACAGAGGTCTAGAAGAAGCTGATTCTAACCCTTATCGATGACTTTGAGGGGTTTAAAACTTTAGTGGAGGAAGCAACTGCAGATGTGGTCGAAATAGCAAGGGAACTAGAATTAGAAGTGGAGCCTAAAGATGAGACTACATTGCTATAATCTCATGATAAAACTTGAACGAATGAGGAGTTGGTTCTTATAAATGAGCACAGAAAATAGTTTCCTGAGATGGAAACTTCTCCGGTGAAGATGCTCTGAACATTGCTGAAATGACAATAAAAGATCTAAAATTTTACATAAACTTAGTTTATAAAGCAGTATGCAGGGTCTGAGAGTATTGATTCAATTTTGAAAGAAGTTCTACTGTGAGTAAAATGCTGTCAAACAGCACTGCATGCTACAGATAAATATTTTGTGAAACAAAGAGTCAATTGATACAGCAACTTCAACGTTATATTTTAAGAAACTGACACAGCCACCTCAACCTTCAGCAACTACTACCCTGATCAGTCAGTAGCCATCAATATGGAGGCAAGACCTTCCACCAACAAAAAGATTACAACTTGCTAAAGGCTCGGATGATAGCTAGCATTTTTTGGCAATAAAAATTTTTAAATTAACTTATGTCCATTGGGTTCTTTAGACTTACTTCTGTTGCACACTTACTGGACTATAGTAGCGTGTAAATCTAACTTTTGTATGCACTGAGAAACCAAAAAATCCATGACTTGCTTTGAGACATTCGCTTTATTGTGGTGGTCTGGAACCAAACCCACAGTATCTCTGAGGTATGCCTATTAAGACCTTCCCAAACAAACAAAAATAGGAGAAAATTTGTTGCCAGTAAACCTGCCTTGCAAAAAATGTTAAAAGAAGTTTTTCAGAGAGGATAATAATATAGGTCAGAAATTTTGCTTCACATAAAGAAGAGCATCAGAGAAGGAATAAGTGAAGGTAAACAAAAAAGAACTTATTTTTCTCTACTTAATTGGTTGAATATACAACAGTTTGTTAAAAATAATAATAGCAGGCTGGGCACAGTGGCTCACGCCTGTAATCCCAGCACTTTGGGAGGCCAAGGTGGGCGGATCACGAGGTCAGGAGATTGAGACCATCCTGGCTAACACAGTGAAACCCCAGATCTACTAAAAATACAAAAAATTAGTGGGGCGTGGTGGCGGGCGCCTGTAATCCCAGCTACTCAGGAGGCTGAGGCAGAAGAATGGCGTGAACCCAGGAGGCAGAGGTTGCAGTGAGCTGAGATCGCACCACTGCACTCCAGCCTGGGCTACAGAGTGAGACTCCGTCTCAAATAAATAAATAAATAAATAAAAATAATGGCAATAATGTATTTAGTGATTGTAACTTATGGATAACCTTGCACTATCCATGAGGCAGTATAGTGTTATTCAAAAGTAGATTTGGATTAGATGCAAATGTATATTGAAAATGCCAGAGCAACCACTAAAAAAAAGTAAGTAAATAAATAAGTATACTATAGGTGATATGCTAAGGAGAAAAAAAATGGAACCACACAAAATGCTCAGTTAAACCACAGAAGAGTGGAAGAATAAAAAACAATGAATAGAATGCAGTAATATGGAAGATATTAATCCAACAATATCAATAATTAAACATCAATTGTCATTAACACAAAAAGAGATTGTCAGAGTGGATCAAAAGACCCAACTATATATTGTCTACAAGAAACGCACTTTAAATATAAAGACATATCAAGATTAAACATAAAGGGATGGAGAAAGATATAATAACTCGAATCAAAAGAAAACTCAGTAGCTACATTAATTTTAGATACAGCAGACTTCAAAGCAAGGAATGTTATCACAGATAAAGACGGACTTTACATAATGATAAAAGGAGTCAATTCTTCAAGAAGACAGAACAATCCTTAAAGCGTATGCACCGAACAACAGAGCATTAAAATACACGAGGCACAAACTTATAAAACTCCAAGGAGAAATAGAGGAATACACTATTATAGTTGGAAACTTCAACACTTATCAGTAATGGACAGATTCAGCAGCCAGAAAATCAGTAAAGACATAGTTGAACTCAACAGCACTATCAATCAACTGGATATAAATGGCATCTATAAAATACTTCATCCAACAACAGCAGACGACACATTCTTCTCAAGCTCACATGGAACATTCACCAAGACAGACCACATTCTTGGCCATAAAACACACCTCAACAAATTTAAAAATAAAAATCATACAATGTCTGCTCTCAAATCCCTCAGTAAAATTAAACTAGATACCAGTAACAGAAAGGTAGTTTGAAGATCCCCAAGTACTGGGAGATTAAACAACACACTTGTAAATAACACTTGGATCAAAGAAGAAATCTTGAGAGATCTCAAAGACAATATTGTCAATATGTTAGTTCTTCCTAACTTCATCTATAGATTCAATGTAATCTCAAGGGAACTTGCAGCAAACTCTCTGTGAACATTGACAGATTGATACTAACATTTACATGGGGAGGCAAAAGACCCAGAGTAGCCAACACAATATTGAAGGAAAACTAAGTCAGAGTACTGACACTACTTGACTTCATGCCTTACTATAAACTTCCAGTAATCAAGATAGTGCAGTATTGGCAAAAGAACAGACAGGTCAATAGAACGGAATAGTGAACACAGAAATAGATAGCCACAAATATAGTCAACTGATCTTTGACAAAGGAGCAAAGGCAACATAATGGAGAAAAGACAGTCTTTTCAACAAACAGTGCTGAAGCAACTGGACATCTGCATGCAAAAATAATCTGCATGCAAAAATAAATACATAAATCTAGACACTACCTTATACTTTTCAGAAAAACTCCAAAACACTGATAACAGCAAATGATTCCAAGGATGTGGATGGGAATGCAATATGGTATAGCCACATTGAAAGACAGGCTGGCAGCTTCTTACAAAACTAAACATACTCTTACCACATGATCCAGCAGTTATATTCCTTGATAATTATTCAAATTATATTTTATTTACAAAAAACCTGCACACAAATGTTCATAACAGTTTTATTTATAATTGCCAAAACTTGGAAACAACCATAATGTCCTTCAGTAGGTGAATAGATAAACAGTGGTACATCCAGACAATGGAATATTATTCAGCCCTAAAAATAAATGAGTTATTGGGTACAAAAAAAACAGAAAGAATGAATAATACCTACTATTTGATAGCATATCAGGGTGACTACAGTCAATAATAACAATTGTACACTTTACAATAACCAAAAGAGTGTAACTGGATTGTTTGTAACACAAAGCATAAATGCATAAAGGGATGGATACCCCCATTCTCCATGATGTGATTATTTCACATTGCGTGCCTGTATAAAAACATCTCATGTACCCCATAAATATATACTCACAAAAATTAAAAATAAAAAAACATAAATGAGTTCTCAAGCCATGAAAAGACATGTTGGGAACTTAAATTCCTAATCAGAAGAGCTCAATCTGAAAAGGCTACATATTGTATGTCTAACTATATAGCATTTTGGGAAAAACAAAACTATAGAGACAGTTATAGATCCATGGTTTCCAGGAAGGATGCAGAGACAGAGCAGAGAGGATTTTCAAGACAGTGGAACTATTCTGTATGATACTATAATGATGGACGATACATGCCATTATACATTTGTCAAAACCCATAGAATGGAGAACATCAAGAATGAACTCTAATGAACTATGGTGTTGGGGTGATAATGATGTGTTAACGTAGCTTCATCAAAGATAACAAATGTACCATTTGATGTGGGATATTGATAGTGGGGGAGGCTTTGCCTGTGTGAAATCAAAAAAGTATACGGAAACTCCCTGTACTGTCCACTCAATTTTGCTGTGAACCTAAAATTGCTCTAAAAATTAAATTCTAGGTCAGGTGCCCTGCTGTGGGAGGCCAGGCATTCCCAACAGTGTGGGAGGCTTAAGCAGGAGGACTGCTTGAGTCCAGGACTTTGACGACAGCCTGGGCAATATGGCGAGACCCCATCTCTACAAAAAATTTAAAAAGTTAGCCAGGCATGGTAGTGCACGCCTGTGGTCCCACTTACTTGAGGGGCTGAGGCAACAGGATCGCTTGAGCCAGTGCACTCCAGCCTGGGCAACAGAGTGAGACCCTATCTTAAAAAAAAAAAAAAGTAAAAAGTCTATTTTTAAAAATGTGCTAGGCATTCGATGAACTTTAAAGATTATGTTTCTAACAGAAAATAAACAACCTTGCATTAGTGAATGGAATTTTTTTAGGACAAATGCTATGTTGAAGCACAGAGAAATGTAAAGAATATGTAAGACAACTTAGGTGAAAGCTTTAGATATCAGGTTCTATGAACATACTCAAAAACGAACGGTGAAATGGAAATCTTAATTGAAACGTTTAAGTTCTAAGGATCAAAATTTTTACCTTTTTTTGGAATAATGTCAATGGAAAATACTGCCTGAAGACTTACATTCGGGTATGGCTGCTTTTTTTTTTTTTTTTTTTTTTTAAGGCGGGGAGCACTTTTATGTAGACTTCATTTCTCCCTAAATGCTTAGAGGAGAACGGCCTGGTGGTCTGGGTCCCTGCTCCCTTCCCAAAAAGTGGCGTGGAAGCTCTGGCAAAGACGAGTGATGTGGAAAGCGGTTCACTGATTGGAGTAGGAAGCGTAAAAATACCCCCACCTCGGAAGAGCTGCTGAAGGCCAGGCCCGTGTGATAGTGGTCAGGCAGCCCATTGACCATGCTGGGGAAGACAGGACGTTCTCCCAGGTCTGGCTACTACTGAGTCCTGGGTGTTCTCGGGACCCCTCTGTGTGTGCGTGTGCGGCTTCGCTGGCTTAGGGGTGGCTCGCTGGGGCGCCACGGAAGGTAAGGGGAATGCCTCCTCTCTCGGCGCAGAGCAGAGCTTGTGCGGATGGGGAACGGCCGCGACTCGCGGCCAACCCTGGCGTTTTCTTCGCCGCTGTGTCGGATGTGGCGCGTGGAGGAGTCGCTGGAGAAATGCCGGTCAGAGGACAGAAAGGCGACCTGACGGCGGGGAGGGAAAGGCGGTCGAGCCCAGAAGAACGAAGCGAGCGATCGAGGGGCACGGAGGTCTCCTCGGCCCGCTCGGTCCCCTCGGCCGTGTGGGTCCGGTCGGTCGTCTCGGGGCTGCCTTCTGCCCGCCGGGGCTGCACGTCTGTTGGCGTGGTCATGCCTGAGCCACCCGTCCACGGCTTCGCGGCGGGGCAGGTCCACGCCCCAGGCGTCTGCCAGGTGGGCCAGCAGCAGCTGGGAAAGGTGGCGGTGCGCGCGCTCGTCCCAGTGCACGCCGTCGGGGAGCCGGTGCCGCGTGGCGTGGCGGAAGTGGAAATGCAGGTCCAGCACGTCAAAGCCGCGCCTCGCCGCCTCGGCGGAGCTGTAGAAGTTGGCCTCCATCACGTCTTCGCGCAGGCGGGCGCGGCGGAGCTGGCGCGCGCATGGGAGGCAGCTTCCCGAGATGGTCTCGGCCACGGGCATGGCCGTGTTCCACAACAGAAGGCAGGACGTGGGCAGCGCCCAGTCCAACCGCACGAACAGGCTCTCCACGTCACGCCGGTAGCTCCTGGGGAAGCCCCGGCCATCCCTGGCGAGGTCCCAGAGGCAGGAGTTCATGACCACCACGTCCGGGGCGGGCTCGGCCCTACGCAGCTCCTCCACGACGCGCTCCGCGTAGTGCGAATACACGCGCGTGAGGAAGTAGAAGCGCACCAGGTGGTGGCCCGAGCGGAACTGGCGCACCTCGCGGTAGTGGCGGTCGTAGTGCATGCGGCCACTGCTGCAGCCCACCAGCAGCATGTCGCGCTCGAAGCTCAGTTCGCCCTTGGCCTTCAGCTGACTGGAGGACAGCAGGCAGTCCTTCTGAAGCAGGAGCACCAGGTCCTTGTACACGGCCAGCTGGACCGAGTCCCCCATGACCACCACGAACTTGTTGTGCAGCAGCTGCCGGACTTCGCAGGCTCGCAGCTGGGCCATGGCGGCGGAGGCAGGGCGCGCGGCCGCACTCCCGCCTTTCCTCAGCGCTGATCCAAAGAGGATTCAGGGACCTGCAGGACCGCTAGGTGTAGGACCGCTAAGGTCGTCTCTGCTCGGCGCCGGGGCTTGGGCCGAGGAAAGACGCTGGGGTCGCGCCCCTGAAGGCCGCCTGAGCGCGGTTTACTTCAGCCGGTATGTGACCTCTGAACCGCGGACGCCCCCTTGCGAGTACTGGCTCCACCTGGCGGAGGGGAGGCGCGGAACCCCCGCGGGAGCGCCCCGCTAGCTGTGGGGAGGCGAGGGCTCCATTTGGGTGGATCTGTGCTGGCTTTCAGGTACCGCCGCCGCGGACTGCGTTTAGTCTGCACTCAGCGCCGCCTGCCCACGGCCTTCTCTTTGTTTTACCAGCAGCAGCTGGCTAATGGAGGCCGCCGTCCAGTGTGGAGGCCGCTTCTTAGCGTTGGCTCTTGGCGTTCCTGTGTCCAGCGGAGAATGTCTTCATCGCCGGCTTGGCTCTCCTTCCGCGCCAACTCCTATCCTGGGGCATTTGGGAAATGCTTCCTCTGGAGGAGGGGTGCCATTCCCAGGGGTAGAGCCCGGCCTGGGGACTGACCTGCTAGGTCAGTCTGTTGGCAGAATACTCAGGTCAACCTGTACTGATAGAATACTCAGGTCAGTCTGTGCTGGAGGGTTCAACTCTATTTTAGTTAAAATCTTTTTTACCAGCTCACGGAGGATTCACCTGCACTTATAACAAATAATACAAAGATCGCAGTGTACCCTTTACCTATTTCCCCCACCGGTGGCATCTTGGACAGCTGTAGTACCTCGGCGCACTCAACATACAGACCCTTTCCTCTGCACAAGGATGCCTCCCATTGTCCTTCCAGTGCCAACCACCTTCTTCCCTCTCCATTGCCCTGATGCCTGGCAACCACTAAGCTGTTCCCCACTTACAGAATGTTGCCATTTCAAGAATTCTATTTAAATGGAATGGCGTAATATGTAAGCTTAGGGGACTGGCTTTTTCCCCCTGCAGCATTGTTCTCTGCAAATTCGTTCAGTGTGTTTACTTTGTAAACCCTGACCACCTGTTTTCTGTACTAGGAAGTGAGTTTCCAGTGGTACCAAGGTGTCAATACTTTGTTCCCTTTTTATTGCTGAGTACTATTCGATGGTATGGATGTACCATAGTCGGTTTAACCAATCACCTGTTGAAAGGACTGTAGGGTTGTTTCCACTTTGGGGCTATTACACATCACATTGTTACGAGCATTCCTGGGCAGGTTTTTCTACAAACCTAGGTTTTCATTTCTCCAGGATAAACCCCAAACTGCAGTTGCTGGGTGGTATAATGGTTATGTATTTATCTAGGGCTTTAGGAAATGCCCAGACTCTTCTCCAGAGTGGTTGTACCATTTTATATTCCCACTAGTAATGAATTTAGTGGCTAATTTCTTTGTTTCTGAGATGTAGATATGCATGTCCTGGATTTGTAAACCCTGGAATCCTTTTCTATATGGAGATGAATATGACTTTCCTGGTTGTATGAACCCTGGTTTCCTTCTTCCTTGGATATGGGCATTTAAGTGTCAAGCTGTGTAACGCAGGTCTCCTTCATCTTTCGGTATGGATGTGAGCTTCTAGCCTGTGTAACCCTAGCCTCTTCATCCTCATTTAGGAATATGAGCTTTCTGCTGAATAAATCTGGACTTCTTTCTCTCCATCCTTGGTTCTGAGTGCAAAATTCTTGAACCTGTTTTTAACAGAGGTTAATAAACAATCACCTTTTAAAATATTCCTTATTATTGTCCTATTTATCAGTTAACACCTTTGTGTGAAACAGCTAATTTTGGAGCCAGTTATTGTAATTTTTAGTTATGACCTAAACATTGTGAAAATTGTCAAAATCAAAATGCAGTCACTTGTGTTAAAAATCTCTGACAAATAGAGGTAAGGAAAGCCATGAAGGGAGAATTCTCATGCATAAATGCCTCATAAGAAGTATCACAAAAGTGTCCACAAAAACCACAATCTTGAACAAAGGCCATCACAACCTTACAATCTTACACCTCTGTAGAACATCTGCCCAGCAACTGCCTGTCCAACCTTGGACTGGCACCACCTTTGTTGTTACTGATCCTTGTAGCCAGAATAATTATCTAAAAACAGTGACACAATCCTCATTTTTCCTTTAAAAACCTCTGTCTTCCTTTACTTTCCTGAATACTCACATAGTTGCTATGGCACGTACGTTTTCACTGAAATACCTATTTCTGAATAAACATAATTTTCTTTTGCACAATCTCCTTCTGTGTTTTGTATTTAGGTTGACAGTATAAATTCATGAAAACCATAAAATTCATAAATAGACCATTATCAAGAATTGTACTTATCTATACATTAAGGGGACTTTATATGCTTCCATCCTTACCTATTTTATACATCTATATATATTACTGGATATAAATGAATTGGTTTGGTAATTTCTTCTCATATTTTACATATTTCTAATTAGTGGGAGCGTCAAAGCCTTTTGCCTTCACTACAAACGAAAGCACGATTTATATTGGTTTAACGACTACTTTTTGGCCCCTAAAATCAATTGTTTGTCCTTATTGCCAAGAAAGAAAGTTGAAATTATTCACTAGTGTATGTAAGAATTATCTGAAATTTTATATTATTTTGTGAAAACAAAATGATTTATTTGTATGTTGCATTTTAAAGGTAATAACTGAATAAAACAAGTCAGTTTGTAATAACCTACACAATCACCTTTTGTTCAGACTACCTTCATGGACATGCTACCCTCTCTTGGGGAGATTTTCTCACTTTCAGGATAAAATGAAGAAAAATGTTTTAAATCCAAGTTATGGTGATATAGAAGCCTCATACTACATCTTTTTTTTTTTTTTTTTTTTTTTTGATATGGAGTCTTGCTCTGTCACCCAGGCTGGAGTACAGTGGCACTATCTCAGCTCGCTGCAGCTTCCGCCTCCCAGGTTCAAGCGATTCTCCTGCCTCAGCCTCCTGAGTCGCTGAGACTACAGGTGCCCACCACCATGCCCGGCTATTTTTTGTATTTTTAGTAGTGGTAGGGTTTTGCCATGTTGGCCAGGCTGGTCTTGAACTCCTGACCTTAGGTGATCTGCCCGCCTCAGCCTCCCAAAGTGCTGGGATTACACACATGCGCCATCGTGTCCAGCCTCATACTACATCTTAAAAATGAACATGTATGGCTAAAGAAGCATTATATTTATTAGAATACTATTATAATATTGAAGTTGAAACTTCAATATGATTAAAGGGAAGAAACCAATTTTAATTTCTCTTAAGGAGCTATTTTTTTTTTGCAAAGATAAAGAGGTCTGTCTTGAGAGCACAGTGAATAAATACTGTCATTTAACCAGTTAATTTTTACAGTTTTTATCTACTTGTTTATCCATATTGATTTTTTTTAAATCAGTTGATTTATAGATTTGTGGGTTTTTTTTTGTGTTGTATAAATACAACCTTAAAAGACATTGTTTTGTGTTGTAATTCCACTCTACGTACAAGGACATTTCACTTTAGGACCAGTAAATGTTAAAGCTAATAGAAAACCACGTCAACATTTACTTTGTTTAACTCATTTTCCAATATTATCATTTTTTAATTGTTTATTTCCAATGCCTAAAATTTGTTATTAATGATATAAAAATATGCAATATGTTCAATTTAAAGTATAACATAATATGAACTTACTTTATGATATTTTAAAATATTTTTTCAGTATTTTTTTCAGTATTTTTCAGTATTTTTTTAAAGTTTTTTTTCAGTATTTAAAAAAATTGCAAATGTAATACATGACCTTAAAAATTCTAGAGAAGAATAAATAAATATTCAATCTTTTATTTACTCCTACCTGTTCTCAAAGATGTGTACCATCCAGTCCTCTTTTACAATGTCACAAATAATTAAATGTGTATATGCTTTTATATTTTTACATAAAATTCATTATTTTCCATAGTATTCTGTAACTTACTTTTTCATGTAACATTATATGACAAACATTTACCTTGAGTCAAGTACCCTAGAAAACAGATCTTAAAGAAAAAGCTGATATGCTCACTTATTTGCAGGTAAATCCCAGAGAAATAGGAATAAGGGAAGAAAAGAGAACAAATACGATGGGATACATTACTGGGCTGACTACTGTGGGTGTCAATTGCAACTGACGGCATGATCTCATGGGATCATCTTCCCAGATGTTGAGTAAACTGTTTCCTCTCAGGACAGTTAATCTCTGAAATGAAGGGAGAAAAGTGTATCTATTACCTCAATCTCCCACATGTCAAAAGTTCATTCACCGTCCAGGGCATTCAGTTCCCCTGTGATTCCAGATTACCAGTGTGTGAGAACCAAATGGATCCCCCTGCCACTGATAGCTCAGCAGCAACAGAAAAGCCCTGGGGCCTAAGGTGGACAGTATAGTAAGGTCTGAGAAAGTGAATTGTCACCGTAACACCTGGGTAAAACTAGTAGCCTGTCTCTTTTTTCGTGAGGACACCAGTCATATTGGATAAAGGCCTGGACACAGGTACTATCAAAAGGATCTGATGTGCTAGTATGTATTGATGACTGAAACATGCTTTTCCGTGTTTCTTATGTCTTACAGGTATAGCTCATACCTTTAAATGGCTGAATAGTACTTCATTGAAGGAATATACTACAAGTTATTTAAATAATCTAATAATATTTGTGATGATAATAAAGGAAAAAGGAAATAAAGCAAGGAAGGATGGGAAAGGGCAAAATAGTGCCTTTGGTCTTTGGTCAGGAAGTTGTCAATGAATTCTTTCATCCAAAACTCCAACCTCCATTTCCTACCTCTAACTCACTCAAGATCCAATCCCATATGCATTCTTCCAATTCCTGCTGATACTTATTAGCTAGGTCATGAAATGCCTTTAGCATGGAAGCTGGGATTTTACTTCCGTGCACAAGTTGTGTTAAGACATGATCTGGCTATTGGCCTAGAAGCAGTGAGAGATGATAATGTCACGCCCTGAGATCTTGCAAATTTACAATTTCAGTGTAATCATTACACAGTCTCTAGGCAAGCAGAGACTGTTCTTCGCTGGTGAGAAGGATGAGGCTGCTTCTATCCGCCAGGAAATCTCAGGAGAATCCAGGGGTTCAAGATTACAATGCTCATCCCCCTAAATGTCGTTATCCAAGATACTAATGGTCTCCATATTTTCTATCTGGGTTCTGACAATGACTTGGGAGAACGCTTGCAACTGTACATTTAGTTTCATTTACATCTCTAACAATGCCATAAATGGATTCCAGTCTTAATTTTTCACCACAGTCTGTCCTGAGTTTCCATTAATGCTGCCATAGCAATCCTCTGGGAATCAGAGCATGCCTTGTTAGCAATTAACTGCTTTGAGCCTATGATTTTCTTTTTACAAGTTATTTAGGCCTATCAAAAGTAGCTACCTTACTCCATTATCTTTTTATTTATCATGTACCCATACTGATTACCACAGATACTTGGGCTCCTTCTTTTAGCTTTACCTTAAGATTAATTGTGATACCATTGTGTGCCATGGGTTATTAGCATCCTACTTAACACAGTAATGATGTCCCTCTTGCCTTCCAACAAGTGGGCATCCAACTCCAAAATCCCATTGTAAAGGTCTGTGTTCTAGAACAATTTCTAGTGCCAATTGCTTGACCCCTTGTATTAGTTTCCTGGGGATATCATAATAAATTACCACAAATTGGGTGGCTTAAAACAACAGAAATGTATAATCTCCTTTTTGGAGAGATGAGAAGTGCAAAATGAAGGTGGGTGTCGTCAAGGCCATCTTTCCTCTGAAATCTCTAGGGGAAGATCCTTCCTTGCTTTTTCCAGTAAGTGGTAGCTCTATGAGTTCCTTGGTTTATGGCAGCATAAGTCCAATTTCTATGTCAGTCTTAACATGGTTTTCTCCCTGTATGTTTTTGTCTCTTTTTTCCTGAAGAGGACACCAGTCATATTGGATAAGGGCCAACCCCACTCCAGTATGACCTCATCTTCACTAATTACATCTATAATGATGCTATTTCCAATAAGGTCACACATTCTGAGATATTGAAGGTTAGGACTTCAACACATCCTTTGGTGAGGCACAATTTAACTTATAATAGCCCTCACTCCTTAGAAAAAGAGCCTGAGCCAAGGATTAAATGTTGATGGAGAAGTGTAATCCCATTGGTGAGAGAATGAGGGAAATGGGAAATGTTGGAGGGAAGACCAGGAAGCAATTCACAGTGAAATATTATCATTTTAGCCACATTTCTCAACAAGCCACAGCAAAGCACAGTTGTTTACAAAGCAGATGTGCTTATTTATTCATGTATGATATTTTCAGATAAAGAATAAAGAGAAAATCAGTCTCAAGCAAGTCCATCCCAGGGAGTCAGGAATAGAGGATAACTTTTCTGCTTGGTGCTCTTCTGAATCCTGTCTCCCGTTGGTTAGAATTTGTCCATTAGGGATTTAACTCCTCTATAACTGGGTTATAATATCTAGACCCTTTAGCAGCAGCTTGGTAAATCCAGCTGTGTGGTGCTTTATCCATGTCTGGAAGCAGTGAGAAGAGTGAGAGACTTCAGGTATGTGACCAGGCAGTCATGTGAAGGGGTGTTACATGTTTAGGTCTACAATTTCAGCTCCCATCACCATTTGCTTGATATTCATGAGGGAGAGGAGTAAGAGGAGAAGTCTTCCCCTTTCAGGTATGATTCTCTAAATAATTACTCTGATATTTTTGCACAATCTACTCTTGCTGTTTGTACTTATTAACTCTGAGCGTGGAAAACCTTTGAGAATTCCTTTAATATTCAGACTTCTTCTACTTAGGGCATTTGGGGCCATAGTTTCCCTGCTCTATTTCCCCCAGTGATCAGACCCTGTCTACTTCTAATATCTTCTCAAATTGTCATCATCATCTCTTATTTTCCAAAACTGCAATTTTTATTTAAAAATTATTTTTCTATGATTTCATAGTAACTAGGAACAAGAGGAAAATAGAAAACTGTGCTTGTTCTGCCATCTTAAACTGAATGATACCCACTTAGTTTTTTGATTGTGGAAATAAGTATACCACTGTTCTAGTTTCACTAATAGTTCTATTGGATTTATAAGTTAGAGTTATTCTGGGTTTAAGAGTTAAAGAGTAAACTGCATAGATGGTAATTAACATAAGGAGGAAAAATAAGGGCCTTAGGAAGCTACCAGACTGAAAATTTAGAGAAATTGATTATGATAAACAGATGAGCTCATTGGCCCAAGAGGCTTTTCTGACCATTCTATTCATGTCTCTTCCCTTTCTCCATCACTCAAGATCCATACCCTGCTTGATTTTTCTCCACAATCTTTATTGCTGCTTGAGATTTTATTAATTATTTGTTTATTTTCTACCTATTCCATCAGATTTCATGAGGAAATGGCTTGTTTCTGTTTGTTGCAGTATCCTCAGTTCTTAGGATGATGTTGGGTACATGTCTGGTTCTTAATAAATACTTACTTAATGAAAGAAAGAATGAGCCATGGAAGTTCATTATTGGAAGAGATCTTTAAAAACTACTTTAAATACCCATTGAAAGCTTGAATTGCTTAAATAACATGTCAACTAAGCAGTAATTCAGACATGATACTATGTTTGTTTATGCTTGGTTTTGGGAAACTTTCTGCTTTCCATGGCAGTCCATTAGTCCTCAGAAAGTTGGACCATAATGAAGTATCTCTCTGATATTTTTAAGGATCCTTTTTTATTCCTTGAGATAATAGAGGACAGTGATAATTATTCTTCCATGTGGTAGCATTTAATATATTTGGATACCATTTGGATGCCATGGTTCTCCTGAGTAGTCTCTTATACTGGCCCCGGATCTCTTCAATTATTACTTCCTAGGCATGATTTCTGTTCTGTGTTATTGCATGGCTCTATATACAAATAGGTATAATGACAGAATAAGAAAGAGAATTCACAAGTATGTAACCATGACACAGCAAGAATTTCTTTATATGGTGATAAAGTTGATTCCTGTGGGGTAATGTCCCCCTTCCCTTCCAAAAGGTAGTGAGATTTGGTTATGGATCATCTGTCCTGGTGAATTCTTAACTCTGCAAGTTTCAGGGGGAAGAACTAGGGAAGCAAGAGTTGCCTCTTCCACTCATAAGTCTCTATGTTTCTTTTATCTCATGTATATCCTATGCTCTTCTTTGGTTTGCTGACTGAGCAGTAATCTCAACACTGTCATGTTCACATTGTCATTTACATCAGTTATTAAAGCTGCACCAGCTTTTGTGGTTGGTCCTAGTCTATAAGTGTCTTCTCCAATCCTAGTTATTCTTTTCAGAATGCATTGCAAGTCAGATATGGCATTCAAAAGTAACCCAAATTTTCCAGGTATGGTCTGATCAACACAACATAGGTTTGGATTATTACCTCCTTTGTTCAATTAATACTGCCTAAAACTTAATCCGCTTTTTTGGAGGATCTGCCATGCTCATGATTCACATTGCCTTTACCTTCCACTAAACTCCCTGAGTCATTTTAATAGCTGATAAGTATGGTCTTCCCTGTCCCAAACTTATGCCTCTGGCTTTTTGAATTTGAGAACAATTCTCAAGACTTATTACTGCTAGATTTATTCTATTGTTCCAGTTAGGCAAGATCTTTTTATACCATTGCTACAGCCTGTCAAGATCTTTCTGGATTCTAATTCTTTCATCCCAGTTAGACAATGTCCTTCTCAGCAATCTGCAAACCATGCTTTAATACATGTTCTTTTTATGTCTGCAAGTCAATAATAAAAATTCTGAGCTAGATAGGACAGGGTAAAGGAATTGAGATACATATGCAACTCCCTTCAGTTTTACATTGATCCAGTTTTCAGTAGACTTTGGATATAGTTGTTTAGCCTATTATTGATCCACATAATTATTTTGCTTCTAGTACATATTTCTCCATCTTATACAAAGGAAAATTGTGAAATTGTGTCAAACATCTTTCTGAATTCCTTATAGATTGGTTTCACAGATTTAACAGCATAACCTCACAAAGATGTGCAGGATGATGTCTGTTATCTTCTTCCTGCTTCTCCTAATCCACTATCCACCCTGATTTGTGTCCCTGGAAGCTGTCTTCCATGCACTGCATTAACTTGATTCCTTTGTCCTGCACTGGCAAGAGATTGCAGGAGGACATGAGGAGAATGAGATCAAAATATGTATTTCCCCAGATTGCTCTCTTCATAGCCAGAGATAATCAGTAGTTTAGTGTAAGTGGCTTAGTTCTTCTACCGAAGTCCACAATGTCCCTCCAATGGACTCTGCTTCAGCTGAAGATACAGCTACAACCCTCTCCAGGTTCCCATACATATTTTCCTCCTTGCCTCTTCAAACCTAAAGACCAGGGCAGGCTGCATAGTCTTGCAGCTTGTGTGATCATATAGGGTCTCATGCTTGGTTTAATGCTAGGCTATCCCTGTCATGAAATTCTTAATCATTTTTTTAGTGGGGTGGGGGTGCCTGCAAATTATGCAGACAGTCCTTCTGTGGTTGGTACTGGTTCTCCCCAGTTGCTTTACTGTCCCTCTAAGCTTCCTTTAACCCTGACCCATGTTTTTATGAGGATTCTCTTTTCTAAACTCTCCTCTAGTACGTTAATTTGTTATGTGTGCATCTGTTCCCTGCCTAGACCTTGACTAATACAGAAGGAAATGAGGCGAGTCTAATATTGTTTATGGAAGTCTTTGTTGGCTCCTAGTGATCATTGCTTCTTTAGGTTCTCTACACCTATTCCTTTATATAAACGATTCTAAAATCTTAGCTGAAATCAATGTAACTTTTACTTGTCTTAATTTGCCAAATCTTTCTTTGTCCCATTTGTCAAAGATTGGCTGGTATTTGCCTGTCTCCAGTTTTATTCCTCTTTACTGTTTTTGATCGTCCCTCAAAGGTCACTGGCAATGTTTGGTTTAATGATTTAATTTGAAGATTCTTTAGAGACCTTTAGAAATAATTCAGGACCAGAAGTTTAACTATGCTTCCCCAGCTAAAGCTACAGTTTCCTCTTATCAACATGTCTTGTCTTTTTTTCAGTCCAAAGAGAGGTTTGCTTTTTCCTTGTCATTAGTCAATATATCATTGGCCCCCAACAGAGAACATTCCCTTCCTTTCCTTCTACTTGCACTCATAGAAGACTTAAAATACTTTTTTTTTTTTTTAAAAAAAACCTTCCTCTATTTGGTGCTACAAACATCCTGAAACTTAATTCTGTGCCACCATCTAATATTAATTGTTTCCTCACTGTTTCTTTCATCAGATAGATCTTTTGAACCTATAGAGAGGACACAGATATTAACATACAAATTCAGAGACTGAAGTCAACCTCCACTCCCTTCCAGCTCTAAGAAGGAAGGATCCTTTATTGTTTCTGCCTCCTTAGGGCTGGCATCCTGTCATTCTGATTGGAATCCTAGGAACGGGAAAATATCAGATTGATTTTCAACAGAAAAGGCCTGGAAATAGAAATGATTATGGGGATTCAAGTTTGGACTACAAAGCAGAAAGGTTTCAGGTAAGAGTTTAAGGAAGAATCCAGAAAGATGGTAGGTGTTAGGGAGGTACTGTCATGAGGATGGCTGAGGCCTAAAGAAAAGGCACATTTTGTTTCGCTACAAAGTGTCTGTTCAAGAGACTATAAGTTTATTGTCTATACTCTGCACTAACAAGAGTTTACTATTTTTTTATCTTGTTTTACATGATTTTACTATTCAAGAAACTTAGGAAACTAAAGTTGTAAATATCTTTATTGTTAATTTCAGGACCTCACAGAAAATCTATTTATCTAAACATTCCATTTACCATTGTAGGGGCCATAGAAAAAAATTTATTTTCCTCTGAAATTTTGCAGAAAATCAACTTAGAAATGTAGGTGAATAGGAGAAAAGCATATAAAATTTATTTTACTGTGCATAACATAAGGAAATCACAGGAGAATGATTACCCAATGACCCAGTGGGGTACAGATGCTTATATACCCTTCTTCATAGGGCAAAGGGAGATGGGGTGAGTGTGGCAATTTGAGACATAATAAATGATTTTTAGGTGAAAATAAATGGATTTGAAGAAGATACAATGGCCTAGGACAAAGTATTTTGATCCCACAAAACAGACAGTGACTGGTAAATGATTCTCTTTGAAATACTGAGTGGACCAAAAAGGAAGACAATGGTTTGGACAAAAGTCTGTCCAGGTCTTTTAGTCTTTGTTCTTGCCATATGAATTAAGTTAATGCAAATTCAAGGAAGGGAACAGAGGTAATTGTTTTCTTCTTTGGTGGGTCTGGACTTCAGGCAGATAAAGGAACTTCAGAGACCAGCTTCATCAAGTGCTTTGATAGAGACAGAGGATTGAGAGACAGGAAGGGGTAGGGGAAGGTCAAAGAGACCTTGAGGTTGCTTCTTTAGTTCAGTATGTCAAAGCTGCTGGGGTACCAGTTTCTGAGCCCCAATAACTTCATCAGAGAAAATACCTTTTCTCAGGACAATATAGCACGAAAAGAGTGTTTCCTCTTCAAAAATTCTCTTTGAAACCATATCCATGCCATGTTCACCAATCCTAAACAATAACATTGTGAATCTTCTGCAGTCCTAGTCTAGCTCCCACTTTGAAGGATCCGCTGACCACCCCCTACATCTTATTAATACCTGCAACTTTTTTCTCTCGAATTCAGATGTGACTAAGACTGTCAAAATAACAATCTCCCTTAGCACAGTAAACAATAAAATTAGCTTTGCTTTATCAACAGATTATTTTCGGGCTGGTGTCAGCATTTAAGGATCTGATCACAGAATACTCTTTTCACGTAAACTTATTTACATCCTGGAGAACAAGTGTTTGAAGGAATACACTTGAGGGGATGTAGGCTTACAGGATTGTGCAGGAGGATTCAGTCCCTAAGAAGACCTGGATTCAAGCTATCAAAAATCATCTTTTCAGCCTGGCACAGTGGCTCACGCCTATAATTCCGGCACTTTGGGAGGCCAAGGCGAGCAGATGACAATGTCAGGAGATGGAGACCATCCTATCTAACACGGTGAAACCCCGTCTCTACTAAAAATACAAAAAATTAGCCAGGCTTGGGGGGCACGCGCCTATAGTCCCAGCTACTCAGGAGGCTGAGGCAGGAGAATCGCTTGAACCTGGGAGGCAGAGGTGGCAGTGAACCGAGATTGTGCCACTGCACTTTAGCCTGGGTGACAGAGTGAGACTCCGTCTCAAAAAAAAAAAAAAAAAAAAAAAAGAAAAGAAAAGAAAAAGAAAAAAATCATCTTACCTTCAAATTACATGATATTTCTTAAGGAAAGCATCTCTGTCAACATGTTTGTATACACTAAGAGGAGTTAGTCCTTCCTTCATGTATTTCTTCTATGGATAATTTAATACCAGGTGTTATGGTCTGAATGTTTTCCCCAAAATTCATGCATTGAAACTTAATCGCCAATATGATAAGAGGTGGGGTATTTAGATGCTGTGAAGTCATAAGGGTAGAGCCCTCAGGGATGAGATTGGGGCCCTTATAAAAGAACTTGAGGGAGTGGGTTCATTCTGTCTCACTCTTCTGCTATGTGAGAACACAGTGTTCATCTCTTTTTCTCTTTCCGTCTCTTCCACCATATGAGAACACCTAGACAGTACCATCTATGAGGAACAGGCTCTCACCAGACAGCATACTTGCAGTGCCTTAATCTTCCTAGGCTCCAGAACTGTGAAAAATGAATTTCTATTGTTTATAAATTAGGCGCCTCAGGTATTTTGTTATAGTAACACAAATGAACTAAGACACCAGTATGAAGAATTTTATTTTCAATTTTCTTGAAATGAAATCCAATTTGTCTTTCTTCTGCATTTTTTTTCTTACGAAGGGTGGGTCTCAAAAGTTTGTATCTGGAATTTTAAAGAGAATGGACTGAGATAAAGAACTCTTAAAAGGTCCTCCAGATGGAACTTTAAAATTTCCATTAACTAATGCAATCTAGTACGCCTCATCTCGGTAAGGACAAGTCTTTGTCCCACAGCTGTCTGGGGTTTCTAGGAAAGCTACACAATTTTAGGAATCTCTCAGTAATCTGCTCAGTAGGCTTTATACAGGGAGATGAATCTGGGAGAATATAGCCGATGAGGGATATTCCCTGTGTCTTATACCCTCATCTCTCCAGATAGCATTACCTGTCGTCTGCTGTTTTGTCACCTGCTCATGTCCTCTCCTCTCTGCCATTTCCTTCTCCACTGCACCTCCTACCCCAAGCTGACCCCATCAGGTGAGGTCGGCAGAAAACAGAAGCCTAATTCAAACCATTGCACTATGTTACTGTATCTCATAACTAAAAATATTAACATTAAAAAAGTTAGACATCTTTAACTACCTGAACCTCACATTTTTCATTTGACCGATGACTATTATAGCAACAGTCCTTAGTACCTCAAAGTTTGTTATTGTGACTAGAACATGAAAGAACTAAAAAAGTAAAACTTTAAATGAATGTAAACCATTATTGAGATGTAAGGGTGGTAATAGGTATAGGTACTATTTCACATTAAAGTAAAAGTACAGTAATAGGAAAAATGATGTACTATCCTGGCCACTCTAAATATTTTTACTATATTAATATGGTTTTCAGAAAAATTTTAGTATAAGATAACGGCTGTCATTTTTGCCTATCAGCTCAGCTTTAGTTTTGAGTTTAATTCATTCAGGCTAGAAAACCACGGCAATGATCAAAGATATAATTATAACATATTTATAGCCTATTATTATTGTAACATTCTGAAGCAAAGGGCAAAAATTCCACCCAGTGAACTTGTTCTTCCTGTTACTGACACAAGATTGAGACATTTAAATGCTAAGACATGGATCCCTGAGGCAGAACATAAAATATTTATAATGAAGGGAGTATGAGCCAATAAATTTCAGTTATGAATGTTTTTAGCTAGAAGAAATAATAAATAACTTTCCACAGGCAATATTTCAGTTTGCATTTATTGTACCTCATCATACCAGATTTTCAGGAAACAATAATGATTGCATAGTAGGACACTAAATTACTCTCATGTTTAATGAACGATTAAACTGTTAAGCTTTGATTAAGATACAAGAGCCTCCCTAATTTGACTGTGAGAAGTGGTTTCCTTGGAAAGGTATAGATCGTGATAATACCAATAAAGAGATTTTAATTTATATACTTTCTATTGAATAAAAGTAATTTCAGATATAAGTAAGCCATGTAAAAGGATTACCAAACTCATAGGTTTAGGGAAGAAGGGAAAGGAGAGCATTTAAGTAATAGGGAAATGAATTATGTACTTGGGATGTCTTATCTCTAATCCATTTAAACAGTTTTAAAATTGGGTTGGGAAAATGGCCTAAATTACACACAATGATACATAAAAATTGCTAGGACAAGTCAGGCGCAGTGGCTCTTGCTTGTAAACCTAGCACTTTGGAAGGCCAAGGCAGGAGGATCACTTGAGCTCAAGAGTTTGAGATTAGCCTGAGCAACATAGTGAGCCCTTGTCTCTACAAAAAATTTAAAAGTTAGCTGGGCATGGTTACACGTGCCTGTAGTCCCGGTGACTCCAGAGGCTGAGGTGGGAGGATTGCTTGATCCCAGGAGGTAGAGGCTGAAGTGAGCCATGATTGCATCACTGCACTCCAACCTGGGTGACAGAGAAAGACACTGTTTCAAAAAAATTAAAATTAAGAAAATAAAAATTGCTAGGAGATATTGTGGTACCTGGGAAATAATGCAAGATGAGAGGCAGAAGACTTAAATCAGAGTTCTGCCTTTGTAACTTACTAGCTGTGTGACTCTGTACAAGTCAGTTATCTTGTTAGACTCTCCCGTTTCTTTATTTATGAGACAACAACAAGAAGACATATCTTGCATAGTTGTTGTAAATATGAAGTGAGATATCAGCCTGGGCTCTCCAGGAAGCAGAACCTGAGTGCAAGCTTGTTATCGGCTTTTGTGATCCTGGAAAAAGGTAGGAATGAGGGACAGGGAAACCAGGCCAAGAAGGAGAGAGAGCCAATGACTTGCCAGTAGATGGTGGTTATAAGTGCCACTTTCCCAATCACGAAGAGATTGAGAACTGTCACATGAAATGTCAATCAGGATCATCCATCTAGGGGAATAAAAAGATAATTTATTAACTCTTATTTCCTTCCCGCATTGATCACCCATGCAGTGTGTTATGGGCTGAATTGTTTCTGTCCCCGTCCTTGATTTATATGTTGAAGTCTTAACTTTCAATACCTCAGAATGTAACTCTATAGGGTAACTATGTTGGATATAAGGTCTTTAAAGTGGTGATTAAGTTAACATGAGGCCCTTAGGGTAAGCCCTAATCTAATATGACTGGTGTCCCTATATAAAAAGAGGAAATGTGGACACACAGAGGGACACCATGGGGTTTGTATGCAAGAGGGAAAGACCAGGTGGCCATCTGCAAACTAAGGAGAGAAGCCTCAGAAGAAACCAAACCTGCTGACACCTTAATCTTGGACTTCTCGCCTCCAAAACTGTGAGAAAATACATTTCTGATAGTGAAGCCACCCAGCCTGTGGTCTTTTGTTACGGCAGCCTTAACAAACTGATAGAGGGTGTTAACTTTCCCACACTCTGGGTGGTACATGTGTAAATGGAGAGTGGATTTTATTCCTGGTCCCAAGCTGAGGTGTCAACAGAATAGCCCCAAGTGGGAAATGAGAGGTAGATTCTTGGGGTGAAGTGCTGTCATGCTGCACCTAAGCCCTCACAGATCAGGTGGTCAAGTTGGTGTCTGGAACAGGACAGATACAACTAAGAAAACCTGAAAAGGTGCACAAAAGGTATTAATACAATATACAACAGTATTTTTAAATGGCAAGTTTGTTACTAATAATCAAAACTACCTTTTACTACTTTATGGATTTATGTAGGATTCTTTAGGAATGCTTATGGCTCATGAAAGCGTAATTACATCACTCAATTTCATTTTAAATCATGTACACGTACAACTTTCTGAGACCAGAAAGTTGTACCAAATAGCCACATGTTTATTTCAAAGAGAAAGCAAAATTTAGCGTCTTTATAAAAAAGTAAACAAACTATATATACCTAAAAAGATAAAGCATTAGACAAAATGTAGCATTGCTTTCATTGTTTTTGTATATGTGCCTGCTTCCCTTGAAATCCATAGCACCAGGATTTGGCCTTCAAATTCCATGTACCATGGTCTATTGCAAAGAATCTTGAATTGGACACACTAGAAAGATGAGTGATTTTCTTGGTCAAAGAAGGCGTGCATATGGTTATAAGTTTGGTTACATGAGACCACAAAAGCTTTCTGTTATATTTGTGGAGATGTTGGGAAATATCTCCGTATTTCAGGGGTAGTTAAAGGGTTTGTGGATTGGTGAAGTGAGAAGGACTGAGAGGAAATGTGGTTTCTGTGGGTGCAGAAATGGAGTCAGGAGTCCTGAGTGCTATGACATGAACAAGTGCGGAGGGATGTGCCCACGCAGAAATATCAGCGACTGAAAACTTACCAGTGACAAAGTTTGCATTTCAACAAACTTGGCATCTGACATGCTTCTTATGTACATTCTAGTCTAAGAAGACAACAGGCTGAAATCCCTCCTCAAAGATGGCACTGAGTAGGAAGTCAAACTGGTTTTCATACAGATATTATAAAAATGTTGCTTGCTGAGAAGACTGGTCAGTGTTGGTAAGATGAAATGTGAACACTAAAATTGCAGGCTTTGCAGAAGTCATCATTTAATAACTACCTTATTTACCTAATAACTACCTTATTTACCTAATAGTTGAAAAACGGGAAAATAAGAAAAGACATATGTACTTGCTCACCCACTGTTTAGCTTTGTGTTCATCTCTGGCTGGATGCCATTTCCAGGTGTTTGGCATTGAGCCAAAGACTAAAATTAAACATTTGGTACAGCTCTGGGTGAGACACAGGGGTGATGTAGGAAAGCTTGTTCAATTCTTGGCCCCTGACACTACTATTAGTGCCTCACTTTTCAGGGCTGTCAAGTGTACCCACCCATTTAAAGGAAAATGGAATAAGATAGAAATGTGATTAGAAAAAATCTATTAACCCCCATATATTAAAGCAAAGTCTCCCTTATAGTACACTGTTTACTTAAAAATTTTAAGTACATTTTCATTTCTTTGGAAAAAACACATAGGATGAGTAATGCTTTTATTCTTTTCAGGGGTTGGTCCAAAGCATATTCTAACAGTGCTCATAGGTATATGACATTGTGAAAATAAAATTTGGAAAAGCAAAAACCAGAAATTCAGACATCAAAAAATATATAGGAGTTTTCCTGTAGATGAATTCATCAGGTTGTATAATTTAATTCTCAGTTTTATAGATATGAAAACTCTATTTCGGTAGTACTACAGAGGTGACTACAGATTGGTGCCACAATCAAAGGCACAATAGAATGATATCTAATGTAAGTTAGAATGAATCTGGATTAATTTGTCACTAACATGGAGAGGTCTGCTTGATTTGCTATCCATATATTATAGGACAATAGGGCCTTAGCAAGTGCTTATCTTCTGGATAGGTATACTTCATTGCTTTGAATGCTTTGTTGTGTATTGAGGAAAAACAAAGAAAGGTTGAGAAATGACATAAACATAACATTAAAGAAAAGTGAAAATAGTTCAAAAGTAAAGGATCAGTGGATTTCTAATCGTGGCTGACCATTCCTTCATTTTTGTTATCAGAAAGTAGAGAGTACAGATCTTTGTCAATCAGATAAGTGAAGCCATACTGACTGGCCTCTCTCCACGACTACAGAGACCCCAGGGACAGACCTGACACGGTTTTCTATGCTAACATTCTATAAAAAAGCTGTAAGAGCTCAGCAATAGCCATCAGGTGTATTGGTCATGGGTGGAATGGTCAGAGAAGCATTTGCCCTAGTATAGGTAACTTTTCTTGCATCAGAGATGAAGCCTGGGTACTGCCTACTTACTCTTTTTGATCTCCAATGTTTATAAAATGCCCAATGTCTAGGGTTCAAAGAAAGGAAAAGGGTACAGGAGGATATGCATGTTTAACATTTTGATACCTGTATCACAATTAATGGTGGCTCTGCTTTAAGATCCTCAATATGGACTATGCTTACTTTGGTCTCACACACATTAGAAAGGAAAATTGAAGGGCTGAGAGACATAAATCCTTTCTGTGGATTTATGGCCTAAAATTATAACCAAAGTATGCCCTTTCCCTGGCTTGAGATACCTGGAAAGCAGGAATTTGCAATCATGAAGGTTCCTCAAAGAACAAGGACTTAAGGCAAGGGGAGATGGTTCACCTTGACACAGGTGATGTTTTTGTCTCAGCCATGGGGGAGCCTGATAATGCACTTGACCCAATATGCCCATAGAGTGAGCAGAATTCCCATCCCTAAATTCATCTCTCAAGCTCCATACAGTCATTTTTTTTACTTTATTGATTACTATGTTACCCTCCTATAATCACACCTTCGTTTCTTTCCACACACACAGCCCTCTTCTGCAGCTTTGTTAAAATAATTGATTGAATCTAGTTAAGCCCTTTCTTTTATTTTTTGGGCATGAGCAACATTGGATCGTTCACTATTCTACAGGTTGTCCAAAAGAGTCTGGAATCATTGTCAAACAGTATGTTGGTTATATTTTCAAACAATATATGAAATATGTTTTCTTGCAACCTCCTGACACATTTTCAGATGAAATGTTTTAAAATTTAAAGCATATATCTAAATACTTAGGTATTAGTTTTAAAAAATACAGTAAGTACAGTACTTTCCTTAGGTTTCTAGACTTTTTGGATACTCAGTTCTATATTCATTGTACTTTTCCAGAGTAAAAATTAAACCCATTGCTTGATATATCAACAGATCATAACCAACAATATTTTGAACATATAATTTTGAAAATATAATTACCAAATAATTTAAAAATAGGTTTATCCATGTTTCCCAACTTTTTAGATACCTCGTGATTCTTTTAGACAAACGCTCAGGGTCACACTGTTTAAAGCTTCAAATAGAACAGGACCTAATGGTATTTACTGTCACTTAATCTTAGCTACTGACTGATTTATTACTGAGGCTCTGTCTTTTTTATTTTTTCCATGTCACATAATCAGATTTTTTAGATAGGAATTTCAGAATTCTATTCCCTGAATAAATAATGAATGCTCACAAAGAATCCCAAATGTTCTACCCTTGACTTTGTATAGTTTGCTCCAGAACAATTATTGTAGCATCTAAATCAGCAGGAACTGTTCATTAGAGATGTGAACTCTGGAAAACAAATCCACCATGCCTCACTTGGCAAGGCTGTTGTCAGCCTTGCATGCAGCTTGTCCTTATAATAAATAAAGAAGTAAGTAATAATAATGGCACAGATTAAAGTTATGCCCCACAAAGTTAAAAATATTGCCAACATTACTCACGACATCTGGGTGCAGGGAAAGACTTACTATGACAAGAGAAATTAATAGTAATAATAATCAGAAGAAGAAGAAGAAATAATAATAAGGGGAACAGATAGTATGTAGCATTGAGAACCACTCCAAAAGTATTTTAACACCTCAGCTGAATTCATACTTGCAGCTTCTCTCAAGTGTGATATTAAGTCTTAACCAGAGTCTGGCTAGATCTGTAGGCCTCTAGGGCAAGCCTTGGAGCTTCAGTGACTTGTGCAGGGACAACATGTGGTTGAAAGCCATGGTAATCTCTGTCTGGGAATCAGGGTCAGACAGTCTCCCGAAGCTGGTGAGCTGCTTCTGTTTGAAATCTCCTTTCTGAATGTTCTTGGGCCTGTGATGCTTACCTTCTGAAACCTGAATCCAGGGTCTGACAAGTCCTAACATACTGTAGCTCCTGATACCTACAAAGTCTTTACTCAGTCTAGCCTATTGATTCCCTGAACTTGTTGCCTGAGGCAGAGAGGGAGCTAATTAAAAGAAAATGGAGCTTTGAAAATCTCTCTCAGATGCTGCCACAAACCTTGGGAATTTGAATCACTGCCCTACCTAGGAGCTGACAACAAATCTTTCTCCATGCTGCTGAACTAGGAGTGAGATGCCTTTAAAATGGGGGAAAAAAAAATTACAAACCTCCCTGTTCCCATCTTATTTTCTCTCTAAGATTTTAAATGAAGTAAAAGATATTTTAGAGTCAAAAAAAAAGATATGTGCATGCATGCATGTGTGTGTGTGTGTGTGTGTGTGTGTGTGTGTGTGTGTGTGTGTGTATTTTGGATCACCATAGCATATATTTCCTGGGTATTTATAAATATCAGTTAAATTTTTAAAAAATTCTTTCTGTGCTATAAGGGTGGTTTATTTCATTGTATAGGTAGGAAAAATGAGACAGAGAGAAGTTAGGTAATTTTTCTTAAGTAATCTGAGTCAGCCAGAAAGACAGTTGGATGAGATTACAGTTGGATGAGAGTTGCTGACACTGAAATACATGTGTAAACCACTAGACCACATCGTTATCTTTCTTTTTTGAATTGACTATAACAAAACAGCACTTCTGTGCTTACAAAATCCTTGACTGTTTTTTTCTGAAGCAGTTTCTAGGTAGACAGAACAAATAAATCCTAAAATTGTCACTTACCACCAGCCATAATGACCCATCCCTTCCTTTTTGAACATATCATGACCATCAGAGAGTGGGGAAAATATTTAACACTGAGACCCTAATATTCGTTGTTTACACTTATGGCCATGTTCAGATTGTATCACTTCCAAAAAGCTGCAAAGGCATTTTGCCAGGATGGCTCCTTCTTCTGAGGCAAGGGCCAGAAAGATGAAAATAGACCACAAGGCTATCATTAGATGAAAACAATAGACTGGGACTCACCGTTCAGAAATCCTGAACCTGCTTCCCACATCAGATAATTTGCTAGCTGTCCATGGGAATTCATCATCCTACATTTTGAATAAAATTACAGGTAAAGAAAAATCAGAAGACAGAAGTTTATTCCTGAACAACCAAAATAGGCCTTTTCTAATGACCAAGAATGATTCACATTCAAGATTCAAAACTCAAAATATAGAGTACATGTCTTGGTAGCATAGGGTAGGCCTGTAAAAGTTAACAACTATGGATCAATCCAGGTTCAGACTCTTGTATTCTCATTTTCTCCAGAACTAGAGAGGTGAGAAGCATAAGCTACTATTCCAGATATAGCAGAAAACCAGAACCACCTGGAGGAAATGGGACTTTCATGTAAGATACACCAGTTATCTACAGCTGTGTAACAAATCATCCCCACACTTCCTTTGTGAAAACAAACAAATTTATTATTTATCATGGTTCCATGGGTTGGCAGGGTGGTTTGTCTGCTGATTTGCCTTCTTGGCTCATTCAGGCAGCTGCATTCTACTAGCTAGTCAGCTGGACTGTCCAAGGTGGCCTCATTATCATGTTGGTGTTGGCTGTCAGCTGGGTCACATCAGGTCTCCCTGTCTTCTGCTGCTTCAGTAGAGTAGATTGGCTTCCTTACCTGGAAGTTTTAGGGCAGTTTTCCAACAGGGCAATAATAGTGCTTAAAAGTTCCAAACAGAAACTCTAAATAGTGTTTTTTAAGGAGTCACTTTTAATGAGTACATGACAAAAGACAGGAGAGTATGATGACAATTTTTTAAAAAGTACAATGAATAAAGCTGTTGTTTTAGGGCTACAACTTGTCTCAGTGCTTTTGGGAGAGACTAATTCTGTGGTGATTGAGGTTTTACATTTCCACGCAGTTTCCATTTAAAGAATACTTGAGAAAAACATGCGAAGACCTATACTTTTGTTTTTAGAAACTTCATTGTTGAATTCCAGTTATTGGACTAATGTCATTAGAGAACTTTCAATGTGACCCTTCTGTTTGAGTGATTCAATTCATATCTGTATCAATTTCTTTTTCTAAATCTTGGATTTATGCAACCTAAAACACTGCTGGAAGGAATAAAAATGGTGGTGAAACAAGGAATACAATCTAATATAATGGTTTTGTCAGGGAAAAAAATACAGGTTGTTTCTGTGAGAGTTTCTATGTGTCCATGGTTAGATACATTATTATCTGGGAAAGAGAGTGATGGCCGTGGGGGATGGGGTGCTGGATAACATGGAGAATTGGAAAAAATAGTGCTTGTTTCCAGACCAAACTTCAGGGGTTAGCCTTAGTGAAATGTTGTTTAGTTTTTCTTTATGGGGCAGACAGGCTCTTGTGAAATGAATGAGAATTTAGGACTTTGTTATGCCTTCTTATGGCTTTAAAACTTCCTTTTCTCCAGCATCTCTCCACCTGTGCCCATGGAAGTCTAAGTGGCAATATTATGACCCTCCAGTATGTGTCATCCAGACCAGTGGTCCCCAACCTTTTTGATACCAGGGACTGGTTTCGTTCAATTTTTCCATGGCCAGGGTTGCGGGATGGTTTCAGGATGAAATTATTCCACTTCAGATCATCAGGCATTAGTTAGATTCTCATAAGGAGCGCACAACCTATATCCCTCATGTGCACAGTTGACAATAGGGTTTGCACTCCTATGAGAATCTAATACAACTGCTGATCTGAAGAAGGCAGAGCCAGATGATAATGTTTGCTTGCCTGCCACTCACCTCCTGCTGTGTGGCCCAGTTCCTAACAGGCCACTGACCAGTACTGGTACCATGGCCTGGTGGTTGTGGACCCCGATCTAGATCATGAAGCTCAGGAATGGTCTCAGCTGAGGAATAATATTGGCAGTAAGAAAGTTTGTGCGTGTGTTCTAAGTGTTAAGGTTCTAGCAAGCCTTTACTAATGTCTTCTTCAGCTGAATAATTGTTTGTTATCTAGTTGGAGGAGATGCTAAAGAAAGTGTTAAAGGTCAAAGTTTTCATTCTCTTTCATTTCTTTTAGTTTCCTACTTCTGGAAGGGAAAAAAAGTTTAAATTTTAAGGGTTTTGATGTGGTTAAATAAAGACATGATGTACATATTGGCATGTGCTATCACAATGTGGTGCTGGAGTAGTCATGGAATCAGAATATATTAGAATTTTTTAAAAATCTCGACTACATTCCAGTGTAGATAACCACTGCTTGGTTGGATGGTTTGACTTCCAGTAGTATAATGTTTACTATTGTGAGACAGCTAGTTTCACTGTTGGATAGCACAAATTGTCAAAAGTCATTTTCATATTGAATCCAAATATGCTAATACTTTCATTCGTTGGACCTGCTTTGGCCTAGTGGGTTGAATAAAATGGCTGTATTATAACGATCATCTGTGTAGCACGTATTGTTTTAAATGTTTTACATATGATAATTTATTTAACCCTCACAACCCTGTAAAGTAGATACTTTTATTAAACCCACTTTACAGATGTGAAAACTGAGGCATTGAAATATTACTTTGAATTTCCCAAGGTTGTGTAGCTATTAAAAAGCAGGATTGGTATTTGAACCCAGGCAGCTAGATCCCAAAGCCTTTGCTATTAACAAGTACAGATACATATCAAACTGCTAACAACTGCCAACAGCAATATTTGGTAATTGATATAAGAAACTACACACATCAGCAGCTGTTGCAACCAATAAGCATTTTGTTTTACATTCCCAAGCATCTAATTCTGCAAACTCAGAAAGCAATTAACCATAATCCATTGAGAAAAACACCGAAGTTTTTAATGCTTATTCCTGTAGGTAGCCCTTGAATACTTGAGACAAATACCCTGCATTCCGTAAGACTTCTTTCCAGGCTAAACGTCACTAGTTCTTAATAATATTAATACTTCATGTTCATCTTCAGCCAGAAAATACTTGTTGAGCACATAATTTTCCCCCAGACACTGTACTAGGCACTTCATAAAAATAAAACACCTGCAGATTCATTTCTTGAGCAGCTTATGGGTTTGGGGGGAAAGAAAAATAAGTTTCAATTGTTTTAAAATGTTAGAAAGAATTATAATAGAATTATGCTCAAGGTTCTTTGGGAACAGAGAGACCTCTAAATATTACTGAGGTATTAAGGAAGGATTTCCAGAGACGGTTATACTTTAATTGAGACTTGAAGGATTGGTAGGAATAAGATAGGAGGGAAATACTATAACAGCAGAAGAAACAAATGGGCAAAGCCTTGGCAATATGACAATACGATTTGTGCAGAGAACTGCAATTTAATAAATAAAATAAAATGTACATCTAGCAAGATGGCTGGAGATGAGAAGACAACTGGGTTTTCTATTCTACACTGAGATGGAAGGAAGCCATTGTGATAAGTTTAGTTTGCAAGTGATTTCATTCAACAAATATTTGTTGGGTTTATACTATATTTAAGCTGTGCTAGACATTTGCTATTTGTTGTGAGCAGGATAGAAATCATCCCTGTCTTCTTAATACTTATAGTCAATTGGAAAATGACAAGTGATAACAATAAATGTGGTGCTATGACAAGGGACATATAGAAAGTGATAAGAATACACATTTCCAGAATCTAATTTGTCCTGGGATAAGGATCCCTCTTTCTAAGGAAGTGAAAGTAGTTCATTTGGAAGGTGATTAGGGAAGAGTGGAAAAAAAGATTAAGAAAGTAGGAAACCCAATATGGAATGCATTAATGACCAGGTCACTTATTTGAACAATGGGGGATCAGTCCCACTGTGGAACTCTGGAAGACTGTGTAGAGCATGCCTCGGAATTTTTATATCTGAGGGGTGAAGAAGCCAGGATATTTATCTATCAAATCCAAACTATAATTGATTGAAGATCGTTCTTAAAGATGTCAACTCCACAACATTTCCAGGTTTGCCAGCATGTAGGGTGAGTGTAGGTTTGCAAGCTCCTGTAGCCAGAGAAAGCTCTCATGCAGAGTCACGGTGCTTGCAGTAAAATGTATTCAGGTATAGTGTCCCATACAGAGTCTTTTGTTTTGTCAGTGGCTAGGTGGTTGGTCACAATCTAATAAAATATAATGGGATTGATAATGAGATGAGCTATTATCTCTGTTGCTCTAACTGGTTCCAAGGCCAAATTTGAAACATATCATTTGTGTTTTCTACCAATCATTCTGGATTTCCCTCACCTTGTCAACACTTTCACTGATCTAAATTGTTTGCCTGGTGAGATTACGCAGAACATCATCTTTTCATCCCTAAGTGGTCTGAACTTTTAGTTCTCCCTTCACAGGAAGCTGATGACCAGGTGTACTGTCCAGTTTGCCCTTGCCATCATCTTTCATGGCCACCCATGAGTTGGGCTGTAGTGCAAGAGCAGTCACCTGATTAATGTCTTGCCCCAACATATAGAACAAACCTATCAGGATATAGGAATGCACCATGGGACTATATGTGTGACCTGAAGAAGAAAGGTTGATGACTTGGGGTGAAGAGGGGTCTGGGCCACCTCTTCACATTAACTTATCTGATCTGGACCTTTTAGAACACAATCCCCATTTCCACTGTACTCTGAATTTTTACTGTTTTAGGATAGAAAGGGAAGGATCTGAAGGTGGCTATTTCCTGATGGGCATTTTCAGTTTCATTGTCAATTGATATCTCATGGCCTTGCATTTAGCATCTACCAGGGCCCATGCAACTAGTTTCTACTGGTAGCTTGCCAGAATTTCTCTTTTATTTGTTTTCTTCTGCATATGAGATGGCCTTGCTCAGAAATCTTAGATTCCGCCAAACAGTTTCATTTGCCTTATATATCTCTACCAAAATGAAATTTGATGGGTCAGATGGCCAAATGGCAGATCTTTAATCTGCTGCAGAGTCCTTTCTTTATCTAGTCTTTAACAAATTTGGGAACTGTCAGTATTACCCTATAAATGTGTAAAAACAGTAGTTCCAAGTATAGTATATGCTATATCTAAACTATAAGGAGGTCTATTAAGGGTTATGCTTTTTTTCTTAGTGGCAGAAGGGGCAAGGTATGTGAATTTGTCCTGTAACTTTGAGGGTATATCCAAGCATTCCTCCAGGCAATAAACCTCTAAAACTTTACCAATATGGCAGGATTTTGATTAATTTTTGGGGTTGTCACCAGCGTACATATGGATATTACTAGTGGCACATATATTTGCATTTCTTGCTCTCCAGCAATATCAATATGATGCAGAAGTGCGATGTTTATGAAAATTTTAAGATTATCCAGAACTATATTATGACAGAGGGCAGAAGAATTCCCTTAGCTAGAAGCAAAACTGTAAATATGTACTGATATCCACCCCAGGTAAAAGCAAACTGCTCTTAGTCCCTCTTTTTTTGATGGAGATGGAAAAGAATGCTATCTCTAGATGAGTAATCTCATATTAAGTTCTAGAGCCCATGCTGATCTGTTTTAGTTAAGACACTTCATCTGACTAAATGTCTGCAGTTCAGTCTTTTACCTTCAGACCTTCTTACGTCCATCTGGTTGTGTAGGCTAATGCCAGTGAATTAAATGGAGATAAGGTGAGCACCATTATGTCTGCATTGTTTAATCTTTGAGAGTGCTACAATTCTTTGCTATTCTGTCCAGAATGTAATATTGCTTTTAATTTACTATCTTGACCTGGGGCATGAATAGTTTCAAGCGTTTTCACTAGGCCTTTATTATCCAAAATGGCTCTAACTCCATATGTCAGGGAACTATTGTGAGGATTCTGCCAGCAAGCAAATATATCCAAAAAGATTATGCACACAAGGTTCTAGTAAATGATCACAGGGTCAATGGGCTCACAGTGAGATGGACTTTGACCAGGACTTATTTATTGCCTGACCTCTGTATGCTTTCACTTTAACAGGGGACCATGAAGGCATGTTGGGTCCTGTATTAGTCTATTTTCATGCTGCTAATAAAGACATACTCAAGATTGGATAATTTATAAAGGAAAGGGGTTTAATTCAGCATGGCTGGAAAGGCCTCAGGAAACTTACAATCATGGTGAGAAGGGAAGCAAACACGTCCTTCTTCCCATGGCAGCATCAAGGAGAAGGGCCAAGCAAAAGGGGAAAATCCCCTTATGAAACTGTCAGATCTTGTGAGAACTCACTATCACGAGAACAGTATGAGGGTAACCACCCCCATGATTCAATTATCTCCCACTGGGTTCCTCCTGTGAAACATGGGGATTATGGGAACTACAATTCAAGATGAGATTTGGGTGGGGACCCAGGAAAACCATGTCAGGTTACCTCTTATCAGTATCAGTTTAGACCTTGTATTCAGTGGCTCTCATAAAATTTAAGTATTTTCCTTTCCCAAACTTATAGAGACTTTAGTAAATGGCCTTAGGTCATTGTGAGAAAGAATTAGGGTGATGGCTATGGTATATATTTGCTGTAACCTTCTGGAGTCCTTCTTAAGTGCAACAATCATGTCATTCATTTAAGGAGTCCTGTGTCTGAAAACTGACTCAATCATAGAAACTGCATGAGAGATTATAATCTTCCATTGCAGTAATTGACATTAGCTTTTCCCTTACCAGTTCTAGATCTTTTTGTTGTTGTTGTGATCATGTTACATACTCATTGGCTAACCATTAATGTCCTCCCTAGAAACACCAATAATCGATTTGCCATTACCTCAAATATCTGTAGGTCAAGCCCCATGGTTGTTGATATGATTTGACTCCGTGTCCCCACCCAAATCTCATCTTGTAGCACCCATAATTCCCACATGTTGTCAGAGGGGCCCAGTGGGAGATAATTGAATTGAATCATGGGGGTGGGTCTTTTTTGTGCTGTTCTGTGATAGTGAATACATCTCACAACATCTGATGGCTTTAAAAATGGGAGTTTACCTGCACAAGCTCTCTCTTTGCCTGCCACCATCCCTGTAAGATGTAACTTTCCCCTCCTTGCCTTCCCCCGTGATTGTGAGGCTTCCCTAGCCATGTGAAACTGTGAGTTTTCCATTAAACATCTTTCATTTGTAAATTGCCCAGTCCTGGGTATGTCTTTATCAGCAGCATGAAAACAGCCTTGATGTTATTCACTGTAACTGTCAATATCTGACTTGCTATTACAGAATCCTAATGTCTCCATGGACACTCAGTCCAGATCCATTGCAATATCTCCTTCCTTTGTAAACACTGTGCAATAGAGAACAGCCATCCGTGAGCTTTTCAATGATGCTGCTGCCCCATTCACTACCGCATTTCCTATTCACTACTGTTTCAATGAAAAGAGTGTCTTCTGCTCTACTTCTGCCCTCAGAGGGGAACACAGAAAACTGCTGGGCTTTCTCATGTTATGCAGTAAATTCATCCCAGCATACGCACATCTTTAAGACCTTTGACATCCTCCTCAGTACTTTATCAAGACTGTTTTAGCAACTCTACTTCATTTACTATAGGCCATTGTTATTTCTTAGCTTCAAACAGACATTGTGGTGCAATATTTACACTGTCTCCAGGCACTCTTATCAGGATATTAAACTAGAGGCACAGAAGAGGTCTCTATTATTCAGCTTATCCTTCCCCCAATTCCCATCATTACCCTCAATATCCATCCCAGGTATATTCTCCTAGTTCCTGCTTTAGCCAGATCCTCCCATTCTTTTGGTGAATACTTGCTTTGCTCCTGTGGTAGGAACAGTATTTCCCTGCTCTGATGATACTGAGATGTGACCCTAATTGCTTGTCCAGAAACGGTGAGTTGAGGCAAATACAGCTCCTGAGAAATGAGCATTCTCTTGCAAATCCTTTGCCTTACAGCAGGGGAGAGTTTTTCATAGACTTCAGGCAATAGGAGCCTGCCCTCCTATAACAAGTGAAGTCACTTTTGGCATCCGACAGGATTCTAGAGGTTCAAAATTCTCAAACATATTTACTCAGATGTCTGCATCCTACATCATATAATCTAATTCCTTTCCTGACAGAGGCTTTTAATTCAGCCTCCTTCGTAACTCTTTCACCCCTCCAATCAAATTTTGGGGCTGATTTAAAGCAATGTGTGCTCCCTGGCAACAAGTGATAAAGATTTTTTTTTTAATATTGCCATGAAGACATTCTGACTGTCACCCCCAGTCCTGTTGACAATTGTTGACCTAAGAGTGTCATTTTCTTCCGTCGGGGGTTTAATGGCTGTTAACCATACCCAACCAATTTCACAGACTTTAAGATCATGTGTTGCCTTCTTACTTCTACCTGATCCCAGTTCATCAAAGATGAAATCTAAGAATTTGCTTAGTAATAGTGATGCTATTACCTACAGCATGCTACAACTTATCACCAGCCCATGTGTTACCAGCAATGGGACCTGTTGCTATCCGACTGGTGAATAATCAGTTCAAAAATACAGTCCGAAGTTTTGTTTTTTAGGTCTATTTTAGCACTAATTGTCTTAAGTTCAGTTCTTTCAAAAGCAGAACTTGAGATAAAAGATTTGAGTGAAAGCAGTTTGAGAGGTGGGTCTGCAAAAACTTTTGTAGGTAAGGGAGGAAGAAAGACAGAAGATAACAAAGTCAACACAGGGTACATTAACAGAGAAAATTACAACTTAGGAAACTAGTACCTAACCCCACCAGAGACCTCTGAAAGACTGTGCAGAGCATTCTTCAAAATTGTTCCCCTCAAAGTGTGAGGAAACTGGAAGTTTATTTACAAATTCCCATTCATGGTTTGTCAATTGCTGCTCCTGAGTATGCTAACCCCCCAGCATGTCTGGCCTGCCCTACATGCTAGCCAGGCATACTCTCGTAACTAGAGAAGGTGATCGGGCATAGTCACAGGTGTTTACACTATGACTATGTCAGCCTGTACAGAAATGGTGAAAACTGACCAGACATGGAAGAGGAGCGAGCATCTGCTATAATGCATCAAATGTTAGTAGCAGTATGGGGAAAGATGAGACAGAATAGGTAAATATTAATAATTACACAAGGCCAGTTATAAACTATTTTAAAAATGGATACTATTTTTATGTTTTTTAAGAACACAAGTGTTTTCTTCTCCTTTTTCTGGAATCAAGTATATTCCAACTAGGACAAAGAAAAGAGACAGACACTCTTAAAATAATAAAAGATAATGGAAGTCCACAGCACTGTGAAAATTCTGACGATCTTGCAGGTACCATTCAAGGAGAGTTGGCCAGTGTGAGATTGCTTTTCCCTGTATCTCTTCTCCATCTCCATCTAGAAAAAACTTAACAGAACTGACAACTAACATGAGAAGAGGTATGACCCTGGGAATGAGGAAAAAGGGGCAAAAAAAAACTTGTTAAGGGAAAAGAGGACACAATATTCAAGAGCTAAACATTCTTGAGGCTGGCTATTTTGACGGTGAAGAGGTTAGTAGAATGGAATAAAGGGGCTGCTCTTGAATTTCCATACCTCCCTTGTGGACCTTCTAATACTTTCGAGTAACTACAACTTTAGCCTGAAGTAAAAGATTGTTTTATAAAGGCTCCTGGATCCTTTTGTGTTCTTGACCCAGAAAAATAAGAGCTTTGGGGATCATGAAGTCTACTCCTCCTTCCCACCCCCATTTTACTTCATATTAGGGAAGTAGTACTGAGGTTACCAAGGGATTCTAACAGGGGACATGAACATATTTGCATGTCTGGAAAATGACTCCTTGCTACCATGCCTTGTGAAACTATGTTAAAAAAAGAAAGAAAAAATGGGGAAAGGGAAATTCATCAGAAGGCTGTCACTATAGATCAGGCAAGGACGTATAATGGTTTGATTTAGGATGGTGGCATGAGGACAAAAGTAAGGGTGGCGTTTTGAGATATATTTGGGAGGTGGTGACTCAATGATTGATTTAATTTAAAGCAAATAGGAGGAAATAATGGCTCCTTTGGCAACTGGGTAGATACTAGTGCTATTTCATGAGATATTACGTAATTTGAGGAAGAGAAGGATAATTGGAGATAGATGCATATAATGAATTTAGTTTTGAGTTCAAAGTGTTTAGGACACATTCAAATGGAGATGTCTAGTAGGAGTTAGATGCGGAGCTCAAGATATGAGTTTGGCTGGAGACAGAGTTTTGGTAGGAATTATAAGATAGAAAGTACTTGGAGTCATGTAAGAGCACAAGATGGCTTGGAAGTAAAATGTAGTGGGAGGAGTAGGAGACCTAACTTGGAGGTTACTAGGGATTAGGTCAAGCAATGAGCAGCCAAGATTTGCATGTTTTGTCTTGAAACACTACAACAAATAAATATTATTTGGTAAAGAATTTAGAATTTCCAAAATATTTGGTTGTGGAAAGAGATATTCAGAGATCATAGCTGAAGGCCAAGAAGGGATTTCAAATGTGGTTATTTGGCTGAAGGAAAAAGGAGTTGAGGTAAGAATTCATACTCTGGTGGTAGCTGGGTGGGCTAAGAACTAACTAAAGTAACAACTGGTGGGTGGCAAAGCATTCGCCTTAATCTACAGGTGGCAGCTCAGTGGAAATTCTGCGTTGGTAACTGCAGGAGGATTGGCGACCATCTCTGAGTAGAGTAATGGGCTTGGCACTGTGGCCTGGAGCAGTGTGAGCGTTGAGAAGTGTAGGAATATTGTATACATGAGGATAGCACCCTACCTGTCTTATGATGAGATTTGCATTTTATAAAGATTACTCTGAAAGGTGCAGATGATAGATTCTGGAGGTACAGCCTGGCTCCAGGGGGACAATTTAAAAGGCTACTGCAAATGCCCAACAGAAAAATAATGGGTCCTTGAACTAAGGCAGCAGCAGAGGGAGTGAAGAGGAATCTGCACACATGAGAGATACTCATATAAATTAATCTCTATGACAAACTGGCTGATGAGATGCAGAGGATGAAGGGCAGTGATGGCAAGGGAGGAGTGTAGGATGGCTTTCTATTTCTGACTTGCTGACCAAGTAGAGGGTGGTGTCAACATCTGGGGTAAGTCATGAAGCAAGAGGAGCAGATTTTGGAAGGAGGGGGAGTAGAAGAAAGATTCTCTTTTAAAGTTGTTGATTTTGAGATGCCCTTAGGAAATCTTGCCAACAATGCCAAGTAGTCATTTGGCTCCAGAGATCTAGTATTATAGCTGGAGACATGGGTTTGAGTTAATGGATGTATGAATCGTTAGAATATAGATGTCTACTAAACAATGGTTATGGGAAGGACACTGGGTAAGACTAAGTATATGAGAAGAGGAGTGGTTGAAGATGGAGCACTGGGTCACATCAGCATTATGGGGACAGATGGAGGAGGCAATGAAAGCTAGAGAGATCAGAGCAAAAGGTAAAAGGAAAGTCAAGAGAGTAATGTCACAGATGAAATGAAAGACAGTTTCAAGAAGGGAAGAGTTGTCTAGATTCTCAAATACTGCCAAAAAAAATCACGAAATTGCTCACTGACTTTGATAACATGAAGCTCAGTCATGACCTGAAGCAGAACAAATTTTGAGGAGAACTGCAACACAATTAAAAATGCGTGGATTGAAAAGTGATAGGAGGACCATATCGTGCTCAGAAATCAATTGGAGATGTATTAAGGGATTAAATGTGAAATCTTTAAAACTTTTAGAAAAAAAATATAGGAGACTATCTCAGGTGTTTTGAGTAATGAAGAACTCCTTCAAAAAAGAAACGAATAGTGTTAACATAGAACAAAAGTCTTAAATTTAACTACTTTGGATTGGAAAGCTTCTGTTCATCAAAAGGTATATAAATAAAGTTAAAAGTTTCCAAGTAACTGAGACAAAATTTGCAACACATTTAACCAATAAAGGGTTAGTTTCACAAACACACACACACACACATTTTTAAAACCCTTATAAATCATTAAGAAAAACAAGTAACAAAATAGAAAAATAAACAAATAACATGAATACACATAAAACCAAATGAGTAATAAGTGGGGAAGAAAAGGTATTTAACCTCTTTAATAATCAGAAAAATGTAGATTAAAAGCATAATCGAATATAATTTTATAGCCACAAAAATCAAGAAATCTGACTATATCAAGTGTAGAGAAAGATGAGGAACTATGTTAAAGTTTATACACTGCCGGTGGGGTGACAAATTTGTACAATAACTTCAGAAGACAATTTGACATTTCCTTGAAAAGTTGGGCATTTGCATTTCTTTCTTTTATTTTTTGTTCTTTCTCTTTCTTTCTTTCTTTCTTTCTTTCTTTTCTTTCTTTCTTTCTTTCTTTCTTTCTTTCTTTCTTTCTTTCTTTCTTTCTTTCTTTCTCTTTCTTTCTTTCTTTCTTTTCTTTCTTTCTTTTTTTTGAGACAGACTCTCGCTTTGTCACCCAGGCTGGAGTGCAACAGCATGATCTCTGCTCACTGTAACCTCCACCTCCCGGGTTCAAGCAATTCTCCTGCCTCAGCCTCCTGAGTACCTGGGATTACAGGTGGCCACCACCACGCCTGGCTAATTTTTTTGTTTTTAGCAGAGATGGGATTTCTCCATGTTGGCCAGGCTGGTTTTGAATGCCTGACCTCAGGTGATCCACCCACCTCGGCCTCCCAGAGTGCTGGGATTACAGGCGTGAGCCACCGTGCCCGGCCTGCATTTCTTATAATGAAAAAATTGCAGTTTTCAATATATACTCTAGTTTGTGGTATTTCCAAACTGATAATTTCCTTTTATATGTACCTAATGTTGTAATACATTTTTCAGTGAATAGGAGGATTGTCGACCAATGTAGACTATGCCTTTTAAATGCTTAAGTATGAAGGGAAAGAAATAGATAACTTGTGGGTTTCTAGTTGTATTTCTCTGGTCTTTCTTGAACATATTCCTTTTCAACCATGACCCCAGAATTGGTACATGGCTCTCTTGCTCCCAGTTTGTTTTCAATCTTGTATAGTGTTCACTGTCAATGCAGTCAGTAATTACCTTGGCTTTCTGAGCAGCCCCTTCCTATTTGTCTCATATTGAATTTGCGGTCAGTTTTTGGGCCAGCCTGAGAATCTGATCAGCATAGAAAGCGTAGTTTCTATGGATAACAGGAATTCTGGACTTTCATAGCAACTGATAATTGCAATAATAGAATAGCGAGTAGTGAGGCCCAATTTACTGATTTCTAGAGCTTTCTGACATTCCTGGAAAATGACTCAGTTTATTTAAGGCCTTATGGAATTAGAAAAATAATCCTAGATAAGGATGATGCTGTTATCTATAGAACTTTATAGGCAGCATTCCAAGTGTTTCTCAGATGTTACAGCTGTCTGGAAGAGACTCCACAAAGAGTATTGCCAACATTATTTTTTATTTTTAGTAAATAAAATTCAGTATGGGCCGAATCAATGTCCCATTAAAAACACTTTGAGAATTGGGTCTGAGTCATCTTGGTTTTTTCTTCTCTAATTCATTTGTTTTCTAGACAGGGTGATTGAGTGGTTTCTTGATTGAGTGATTTCCAAACTTGACTCAAACCAACTATCATATGCTAAGCCTGTAGCTTGATTCTATCAAGTACAGTGAGCAAAGTGCGCACAGCTCTAGAGATGGGAATCCTTCAAAGCTCATCATCATCAAAAGGCTCAGGTTGAATCTATAGCCATCCATGGCACTATGCTATGTTAGTAGTGTGCAGTTTCAGAAAGGCTGCTGATTCTTCAGAGTAGGTAATGAGTAAATATCCTAAGGAAAAATAACTTCAAGAACACGTTACAGAATATGCAGTCTGAAGTTTCCACCGTTTGTGTTCACTGAAATTTTTATTATTTTCCTTTCATGTATGCTGCATATTTCAATGCATAAAAGGCTTTTGTATATACTTTGACTTTAGAATTAATCTGTGAGATAAGCAAAAGGCTAAATTATCACTCCCATTTTAAAGATAAAAAGATTGAGATTTAGAGGCAGTAAATGACTTGCACAAAGTTACAGACATAATGAATAATGGAGAAGGGGCTTGATGTCAGCTACATCTTTTGATTCCAAGTTTAATGTTTTCTCAATTATACAACACTACAGAGTTGTCCACCAGATATGGTAAAATGCAGTAAGATGACCATGTTCTTAAATTCTAACTAAATTTGTTTTCCTTTCTTTCTCCATGTAGCTGTGTTTACGTAGCTGGTCATTAATTCCAAATGACGGTTATCATAAATTTAATGACATAAAGTTATTATATTTAGCTTTTTAAAAGTAACTCATAAGAAGATCACTTATATATTTAGCTCTGAGCTATTTTTTGAATTGCAGGTTAAGTTTTCTATGCTCAATGGCAGGTGTATTACAAAATTTCATTTCTGCAATCTCTTATAGTCCTAAAATTCTATGATATGATTTTTAAAACTTGACTGTATATTTTGCACTAGCAGCATTAATATAAATAAAGCACATTTGTTACATGACTAAGCTGTATTGGTATTTGTTAAATGTTGTACAATTTGTGAATAGGTACTATTATTGCCTTTTACAAATACTAATACAGAATTTAGGATCTGAGTAATCTTAGTTCACCAAACTAATAAATGTGCTAAGGTTTGAACAATCTGCCTTATTTTGCAATTTTTACTCATACCCCCATGTTCTACTGAAGTACTTTGAAATTCATAAAAGTTTGAAGTCTGGGAAACAGGTATCAGTCAAAACTAGATGCAATGCTTGATGATGCATATGAAAATTTTGGGTCAAGACTTCTGACCTCATGGGGGAAAATTCAGGCTTTTTGGGTTGTACTCCTCTTTAAATGGAGATCAAATATGAACTTCATAAGGTGGTTATAAAAATTAAGCCAAATAATGGATGCAAAATATTTGTTATGTAGTATGACCTCAATAAAGTCAGTTTTTCTCAGCCTTTTCTTTTACAGTATGTCACTTAGAATCTTTTTTAAGAAACAGAAAGCCCAATGAAACATATTTGAGAAAACAACTTATATAACAAGAAAACCAAAGGTAGGCAATTCTGGGTACCACTAACTAACACAGTGGTTTGACAATATTCCATGCACCCAGGTTCTCTCCTTTTTGCTCGGCAGCTCTGTCTTGTTCTTTCATGGTTGCTGGATGAGTCCATTTGCCAGGTATTCCATGTAGACACAGCTATATCCAGTAGAAAAAGTGGAAATCTTTCTTCCAGGACTTCAGACTGCCATCAGATAAGAATTTTGAAACATCCTTTTCCAGAACCAATTACTGTCCAGGGAAATAGAATTTACATAACTAGCTTTGACTAAGTAAATTCCCCTCCCAGGGTGGGAAGGGGCTGACCATCCCTTAAAGTATATTGTCACTGGAGATCTGAACAGAATTGGGGTTATATTAACCAGGAAGAAGAAGGTGGGAAATGGCTGCGACGTAGGCAGTTATAAGTGTATAATACCATACCTAAGAAGAAAGTGAAGTGTGAGGCAAAAACCTCATTTCTAGAGAGTTCAACAAGAATTCTCAGAAATGAATCAAATTGAGAACTTGAAATAGAATAATTGGAATGAATTGAGGCTTAAGTCAAGGGCTTGGCCACAAGGGATAGAGCCAGAACCCAAGAACTAGGACCTGTAACAAAGTCAGCAAGTAGCAGAAAGCAATGAGGGTGACTTGAGGCTCTGACACTAGCCTAGAGCTTTTGGCATTTTCTTTGGACAAAGAATTAGTCGAAGAATCTAGGGTGATAACTGAGCATATAGATAGGATCCAAAATGGACCCAGCACTCAGCTCTCTCAGCTATGCCTTCAATCTGTTTTCTTCTACTGGTTCCTTCCTTTCAGACAGTGAATATGCTCCTTTCTCCAACCCTTAAAAAAATCTTTCTTTACCTTATTTCAGTAGAATTCTTTTCTTGACTGCCCCTATCAATATCCTGGCTGCTCATACCCGCATTTCTACTTAGAATCCAGATTTTCATTATCCATACTGCCTCACAATGTACTTTATCTACCTTCACAACTCTGTCATAGTTGCTCTGTGAGGTAATTAATGTTATCCTAATTGTCAATGCCAATGGTCACTTTCAGGCCTTTTTCATATTCAACTTCTTTGTTGAGCAAGTTCTCTCAACCTTATTTAATATACTTTATAAGGGAAAAATCCACAACCCTTTGGCTTCCATGACAAAGCTCTCTATGGCTCTTTCTGAGCTTTTCAGACGAACCTTTCTCTATGCCTTTGTGAGCCCCCCTTCCTTAGCTCACCCTGTGATGTTTCTGAAGTGTCTGATCCTAAATCCACTTAAAAATTGTTTTTTACTTAATGTGATATAGAAAACCGTGTGTTAAAGTTAATAGAGCAAGATAAGGGGATAGAACTAAATTGTTGAAGCAAGAAAAGCTATCCTTCCCCCCAACTTTTATTTTATTTTGCCAATGTAGAAATGACTGTCTTATCTTGTGTCAGCCCAGCATCTATCATTTTATAATGAGTGCCAACTTAAATCAATTGAAACTCATCAAACTCCTGTGGTAGTGTGGTGATGTAACATGCAGGAGTAGTAGGCCAGAAGGCTTCTCTTTGTTAAAACAAAAAATGAAACAAGCAATGATTGTTGGCTGTCAACCTGACATGTTCTGGCACCAAACCAAACCAACCCTGGGGCCTTTAGAGGATTTCAAGGCTGTGAAAACTGTCTTAATTATAATATGCTGTGCTTCCACAGATATGTTTTTAAGAGGATCTCATGTAGCTTAATCCACAATCTCATGATTAGCTCCTGCATTGTTATGTAGTATAGAAGAGTCAACATTAGGGCAGAGTGACAAAATAAGGTTATCTAACATACTCAGAAGCAAACAATGCTAGCAAAAATGAGAAAAAAAAATCTGCATTCTTCACTCTAACTGTGGTGCAGTAGTGGAGTAATCATTTCTTTCCCTTAACCCTCCTACCTACTCATCCCTGACCCCAACACTAGGTTATAAAATAGGCATTTCATGTGTCAGATGATAGCATTTAATGCTTTGCTTTGTGAAAAATTACTCAGAAAAATTTAACTGAAAAAGTTCTTGGTTATAGAGGAAATAATTACTATTCAGTTCATGCTGGATTATGGATGATTTCTAAGTGAGAAGACATTTATATACAAAGATGCTCGCATGCTTTTGGGGGAGAAACTTTAAGCAGGGAAATAAGGCAAATACTATATATATATATAGAGAGAGAGACAGAGGCAGCAATATTCATTCTATATATATTTTTGAGACAAAGTTTTGCCCTTTGTTTCCCAGGTTGGTGTGCAATGTTGTGATATCGGCTCACTGTAGCCTCTGCCTCCTGTGTTCAAGCAATTTTCACGTCTCAGCATCCTGAGTAGCCGGGATTACAGGTGCCCGCTACCACGCCCAGCTAATTTTTTTGTATTTTTAGTAGAGATGGGGTTTCACCATGTTGGCCAGGGGGTTCTTGAACTCCTGACCTCAGGTGATCCACCTGCCTTGGCCTCCCAAAGTGCTGGTATTACAGGCATGAGCCACCATGCCCAGCCAAGGCAAATACATTATATATTTAAGAACATAATGGTTATGAAAGTTAATGGTGAGTGTTAAGTAAAAGTTTGTAGCTCTCTGCCTGTTATAACTATTGACAAAAATGTCTTTATAATGTGGATTAATTTTGCAAAGCAGTCAAGGTTACCTTCACCAAGAAGGACATTTGAACTGGCATATGAGATACCCTGTTCTTGCCCTAGGATCATTCACATATTCAGTTTATTTCTGTTTGGGTTTTTTGTTTATACCATACAAATATGACTTTTTAAATTTTTATTTTATTTTATTTTTGTTTTCTCACTCTACATCCTATCCAGCACTCCATCCTGCCCATACTATGTATTTTAATCTGGATCTCTGACCACCTCTAGCCTGTTTCTACATGCCTTACTTGCATCTGTGTCCATACTTAACCTCAGCCTGCTAACTTAAACCCTCTCATGCATGAGTCTCTTCTGGCTGGATCTAAGGCCCTCAGATTCTTCCTGAATGAATTAATTGTACCCATGGCTCCTGTCTATGTGGACCTCTCAGGACATGACCTCTTATGCCACATTTGCCCTCACAACCTGTAGCCTAGCTTTCCTGTTCTGGCCTAGCCTTCCTCACTTCTCTTGTGACTCAGCAGTGAAGTGACAGGAGAGTTGAGGGAGGGGTTGGTTTGGGGAATGGAACATTAGAAATAGAGTAAGATTGTTCTGAAGTCTAAAGGAAGGGAGCCATAACTAGCCAAGAGATGGATGAACAAAACCAGGCAAATCTCAGGCCAATAGTCAAGACAGTGCCCAAAAAGGAGAGTAAGGTCAGGGATAGGTTATCTAAGAAATTACTCAGGAGCTCACATCTAGAATGAGTTTATGCTTAGAGATTAATCCATGGGAAAAGGGAGATCAGGATATTATTATGTTTAGTAATATTTGTTAGAGATTTTATCTTGCATGCCTTTTCTTAAACCTTTGCTAGAGTATAGGTTCTAGTCTAAGAATCTGAATCCGTTGTTGATGGTAATCATGGCAAAACCCGAGCAAAGAGAAGAAAGCTAGCTCCTTAGGAAATGAGATGTAAAGAAACAAAATTTGGTTCCTAAAATATGAAGGCAGAGGAGAATCAGAAACAACTTTGGTTTTTCCCTAGAGCCATAGATCTAGTATTTCTTACATGCATTCTAAATAAGGGCAGACTTAGAACTAAAATTTGGGGGATGGTGGGGAGGGAGATTGAAAGTAGGACTATGGAACCTGAGGCAGGCAACTTTTTCTGAGACTGCCATTCTCAATCCTCAATTTCTCATTTCTACAGTTTTCCCTCTCTGTGGATTATTTATATTGTTTAAAAACCATCATGGTAGATCATTCTAAATGCTGTGGCATGCTCCACGAAAGTTATATTCAACTGTGTTCCTGCTAATTATACCTCCACCACATTGTCACCCCCTTAAAAATTAGGATTGCAGAACATGAATGAGTACTATTATAAGGATATCCATGAATCTGATATCATTTCCAAATAAAAGGAAATTTATTTTTAAACTTTAGTATTTTAATGATAAATAGAAACAGACTGAATGAACCATATTTCAGAATTGGCATGACATATATATACTTCAGCATGTATATAAAACATTGAGGCTGATTTGTCTAAGCATATCCTAACTACCAAGGCAGTGCATCTGTAGTTAAGAAAAATTCAATCTCCCAAAGTCTTTAAATGTAATGTGTTCCTTCCCTAAATGTTTCTTGAGACCATTAAAGGTGGGATTACACAGCACATCACAGAGCAAAATTTCTTTACATTTTTCTCCTGAACGTCTCTCCTTCCGCAAAGTGCCCCTTCTCCAGCAGCATAAATGGCTTAATCTCTCCTCTCTTCTTGCGAAGATTCCAGCATGTACCAACTCTGTTCTCAGTCCTTACTCACTTCTCCATTCCAGCCCTCAGAAACCTGTTTCTTCTTCAGGGGGCAGCTCCATGCCACTTCCTGTGTAGAATGAGTTTGTCTTAGTGCCGTCCAATTCTTCTCTCCATCCGCTTCCCCTAATCAGCACAAAGAGTCTAAGTAGCTGAGCAGCAGGAATGTAAAATTTCTCTGGATGTTTATATGTTTTTCTTTTTCTCTGTCCTGTAGAATTTCATACCTAAAAATCCGGTGTCTAAGCATCTAATGCAGAGGTTGGCACATGGTAGATGCTCAGTAGATATTGATCATATTTGAATAAAAGATTTGAAGATTTCATTTTGATAAGTAGGTAGGACAAATTCTGTAAGCTCTGTGGTCTTCAGGATGAAGTAATTATGATTATTTCACATGTGATTTTGACTAAATAGTCATGCTACAAACTCTGACTTGCTGCAGAGTTGAGTTCAAATTCTGGCTTAATATTGCTTAAGTGATCTAATTTTCAATTTTCTCACTTGTAAAAGGGGGATAATAACTATACGTACCTATAGTTTTTTAAATTTATTATTATTATACTTTAAGTTTTAGGGTACATGTGCACAATGTGCAGGTTTGTTATATATGTATACATGTGCCACGTTGGTGTGCTGAACCCATTAACTCGTCATTTAGCATTAGGTATATCTCCTAATGCTATCCCTCCCCCCTCCCCCCACCCCACAACAGACCCCGGTGTGTGATGTTCCCCTTCCTGTGTTCATGTGTTCTCATTGTTCAATTGCCACCTATGAGTGAGAACACGCGGTGTTTGGTTTTTTGTCCTTGTGATTGTTTGCTGAGAATGATGGTTTCCAGCTTCATCCATGTCCCTACAAAGGACATGAACTCAACATTTTTTATGGCTGCATAGTATTCCATGGTGTATATGTGCCACATTTTCTTAATCCAGTCTATCATTGTTGGACATTTGGGTTGGTTCCAAGTCTTTGCTATTGTGAATAGTGCCGCAAAAAACATACGTGTGCATGTGTCTTTATAGCAGCACGATTTATAATCCTTTGGGTATATACCCAGTAATGGGATGGCTGGATCAAATGGTATTTCTAGTTTGAGATCCCTGAGGAATCGCCACACTGATTTCCAGAATGGCTGAACTAGTTTACAGTCCCACCAACAGTGTAGAAGTGTTCCTATTTCTCCACATCCTCTCCAGCACCTGTTGTTTCCTGACTTTTTAATGATTGCCATTCTAACTGGTGTGAGACGGTATCTCACTGTGGTTTTGGTTTGCATTTCTCTGATGCCCAGTGATGATGAGCATTTTTTCATGTGTCTTTTGGCTGCATAAAGGTCTTCTTTTGAGAAGTGTCTATTCATATCCTTTGCCCACTTTTTGATGGGGTTGTTTGTTTTATTCTTGTAAATTTGTTGGAGTTCATTGTAGATTCTGGATATTAGCCCTTTGTCAGATGAGTAGGTTGCAAAAATTTTCTCCCATTCTGTAGGTTGCCTGATCACTCTGATGTTGGTTTCTTTTGCTGTGCAGAAGCTCTTTAGTTCAATTAGATCCCATTTGTCAATTTTGGCTTTTGTTGCCATTGCTTTTGGTGTTTTAGACATGAAGTCCTTCCCATGCCTATGTCCTGAATGGTATTGCCTAGGTTTTCTTCTAGGGTTTTTATGGTTTTAGGTCTGACATGTAAGTCTTTAATCCATCTTGAATTAATTTTTGTATAAGGTGTAAAGAAGGGCTCTAGTTTCAGCTTTCTACATATGGCTAGCCAGTTTTCCCAGCACCATTTATTAAATAGGGAATCCTTTCCCCATTGCTTGTTTTTCTCAGGTTTGTCAAAGATCAGATAGTTGTAGATATGCAGCATTATTTCTGAGGGCTCTGTTCTGTTCCCTTGGTCTATATCTCTGTTTTGGTACCAGTACCATGCTGTTTTGGTTACTGTAGCCTTGTAGTATAGTTTGAAGTCAGGTAGCATGATGCCTCCAGCTTTGTTCTTTTGGCTTAGGATTGACTTGGCAATGCAGGCTCTTTTTTGGTTACGTATGAACTTTAAAGTAGTTTTTTCCAATTCTGTGAAGAAAGTCGTTGGTAGCTTGATGGGGATGGCATTGAATCTATAAACTACCTTAGGCAGTATGGCCATTTTCACGATATTGATTCTTCCTACCCATGAGCATGGAATAGTCTTCCATTTGTTTGTATCCTTTTTTATTTCATTGAGCAGTGGTTCGTAGTTCTCCTTGAAGAGGTCCTTCACATCCCTTGTAAGTTGGATTCCTAGGTATTTTATTCTCTTTGAAGCAATTGTGAATGGGAGTTCACTCAGGATTTGGCTCTCTGTTTGTCTGTTATTGGTGTATAAGAATGCTTGTGATTGTTGCACATTGATTTTGTATCCTGAGACTTTGCTGAAGTTGCTTCTCAGCTTAAGGAGATTTTGGGCTGAGACGATGGGGTTTTCTAGATATACAATCATGTCATCTGCAAACAGGGACAATTTGACTTCCTCTTTTCTAAATGAATGCCCTTTATTCCCTTCTCCTGCCTGATTGCCCTGGCCAGAACTTCCAACACTATGTTGAATTGGAGTGGTGAGAGAGGGAACCCCTGTCTTGTGCCCATTTTCAAAGGGAATGCTTCCAGTTTTTGTCCATTCAGTATGATATTGGCTGTGGGTTTGTCATAGATAGCTCTTATTATTTTGAGATACATCCCATCAATAACTAATTTATTGAGAGTTTTTAGCATGAAGTGTTGTTGAATTTTGTCAAAGGCCTTTTCCGCATCTATTGAGATAATCACATGGTTTTTGTGTTTGGTTCTGTCTATATGCTGGATTACGTTTATTGATTTTCATATGTTGAAACAGCCTGGCATCCCAGGGATGAAGCCCACTTGATCATGGTGGATAAGCTTTTTGATGTGTTGCTGGATTCGGTTTGCCAGTATTGTATTGAGGATTTTTGCATCAATGTTCATCAAGGATATTGGTCTAAAATTCTCTTTTTTTGTTGTGTATCTGCCAGACTTTGGTATCAGGATGATGCTGGCCTCATAAAATGAGTTAGGGAGGATTCCCTCTTTTTCTATTGATTGGAATTGTTTCAGAAGGAATGGTATCAGCTCCTTCTTATAGCTCTGGTAGAATTCGGCTGTGAATCCATCTGGTCCTGGACTTTTTTTGGTTGGTAAGCTATTAATTATTGCCTCAATTTCAGAGCCTGCTATTGGTCTATTCAGAGATTCAACTTCTTCCTGGTTTAATCTTGGGAGACTGTATGTGTCGAGGAATTTATCCATTTCTTCTAGATTTTCTAGTTTATTTGCGTAGAGGTGTTTGTAGTATTCTCTGATGGTAGTTTGTATTTCTGTGGGATCAGTGGTGATATCCCCTTTGTCATTTTTTATTGCGTCTATTTTATTCTTCTCTCTTTTCTTCTTTATTAGTCTTGCTAGTGGTCTATCAATTTTGTTGGTCTTTTAAAAAAACCAGCTCCTGGATTCATTGATTTTTTGAAGGGTTTTTTGTGTCTCTATTTCCTTCAGTTCTGCTCTGATCTTAGTTATTTCTTGCCTTCTGCTAGCTTTTGAATGTGTTTGTTCTTTCTTCTCTAGTTCTTTTAATTGTAATGTTAGGGTGTCAATTTTATATATTTCCTGCTTTCTCTTGTGGGCATTTAGTGCTATAAATTTCCCTCTACACACTGCTTTGAACGTGTCCCAGAGATTCTGATATGTTGTGTCTTTGTTGTCATTGGTTTCAAAGAACATCTTTATTTCTGCCTTCATTTCGTTATGTACCAAGTAGTCATTCAGGAGCAGTTTGTTCAGTTTCCATGTAGTTGAGTGGTTTTGAGTGAGTTTCTTAATCCTGAGTTCTAGTTTGATTGCACTGTGGTCTGAGAGACAGTTTGTTATAATTTCTGTTCTTTTACATTTGCTGAGGAGTGCTTTACTTCCAACTATGTGGTCAATTTTGGAATAGGTGTGGTGTGGTGCTGAAAAGAATGTATATTCTGCTGATTTGGGGTGGAGAGTTCTGTAGATGTCTATTAGTTCTGCTTGGTGCAGAGCCGAGTTCAATTCCTGGATATCCTTGTTAACTTTCTGTCTCGTTGATCTGTCTAATGTTGACAGTGGGGTGTTAAAGTCTCCCATTATTATTGTGTGGGAGTCTACGTCTCTTTATAGGTCACTAAGGACTTGCTTTATAAATTGGGTGCTCCTGTATTGGGTGGAAATATATTTAGGATAGTTAGTTCTTCTTGTTGAATTGATCCCTTTACCATTATGTAATGGCCTTCTTTGTCTCTTTTGATCTTTGTTGGTTTAAAGTCTGTTTTATCCGAGACTAGGATTGCAACCCCTGCCTTTTTTTGTTTTCCATTTGCTTGGTAGATCTTCCTCCATCCCTTTATTTGGAGCCTATATGTGTCTCTGCACATGTGTTGGGTTTCCTGAATACAGCACACTGATGGGTCTTGACTCTTTATCCAATTTGCCAGTCTGTGCCTTTTAATTGGAGTATTTTGCCCATTTATATTTAAGGGTAGTATTGTTATGTGTGAATTTGATCCTGTCATTACGATGTTAGCTGGTTATTTTGCTCGTTAGTTGATGCAGTTTCTTCCTAGCCTTGATGGTCTTTACAATTTGGCATGTTTTTGCAGTGGCTGGTACCGGTTGTTCCTTTCCATGTTTAGTGCTTCCTTCAGGAGGTCTTGTAAGGCAGACCTGGTGGTGACAAAATCTCCCAGCATTTGCTTGTCTGTAAAGTATTTTATTTCTCCTTATGAAGCTTAATTTGGCTGGATATGAAATTCTGGGTTGAAAATTCTTTTCTTTCAGAATGTTGAATATTGGCCCCCACTCTCTTCTGGCTTGTAGAGTTTCTGCTGAGAGATCAGCTGTTAGTCTGATGGGCTTCCCTTTGTGGGTAACCCAACCTTTCTCTCTGGCTGCCCTTAACATTTTTTCCTTCATTTCAACTTTGGTGAATCTGACAATTATGTGTCTTGTAGTTGCTCTTCTCGAGGAGTATCTTTGTGGCATTCTCTATATTTCCTGAATTTGAATGTGGGCCTGCCTTGCTAGATTGGGGAAGTTCTCCTGGATAATCTCCTGCAGAGTGTTTTCCAACTTGGTTCCATTCTCCCCATCACTTTCAGGTACACCAATTAGATGTAGATTGGGTCTTTTCACATAGTGCTATATTTCTAGGAGGCTTTGTTTGTTTCTTTTTATTCTTTTTTCTCTAAACTTCTTTTCATGCTTCATTTCATTCATTTCATCTTCCATTGCTGATACCGTTTCTTCCAGTCGATTGCCTCGGTTACTAAGGCTTGTGCATTAGTCACGTAGTTCTCATGCCGTGGTTTTCAGCTCCATCAGGTCCTTTAAGGACTTCTCTGCACTGATTATTCTAGTTATCCCTGCATCTAATTTTTTTTCAAAGTTTTTAACTTCTTTGCCATTGGTTTGAACTTCCTCCTTTAGCTCAGAGAAGTTTGATCTTCTGAAGACTTCCTCTCTCAACTTGTCAAAGTCATTCTCTGTCCAGCTTTGTTCTGTTGCTGGTGAGGAGCTGCGTTCCTTTGGAGGAGGAGAGGCTCTCCGATTTTTAGAGTTTCTGGTTTTTCTGCTGTGTTTTTTCCCCATCTTTGTGGTTTTATCTACCTTTGGTCTTTGATGATGGTGATGTACAGATGGGTTTTGGTGTGGGTGTCCTTTCTGTTTGTTAGTTTTCCTTCTAACAGCCAGGACCTTCAGCTGCAGGTCTGTTGGAGTTTACTGGAGGTCCACTCCAGACCCTGTTTGCCTGGGTATCAGCAGCAGTGGCTACAGAACAGCAGATATTGGTGAACCGCAAATGCTTCTGCCAGATCGTTCTCTGGAAATTTTGTCTCAGAGGAGTACCCAGCTGTGTGAGGCATCAGTCCGCCCCTACTCGGGGGTGCCTCCAAGTTAGGCTACTAGGGGGTCAGGGACCCACTTGAGGAGGCAGTCTGCCCGTTCTCAGATCTCAAGCTGTGTGCTGGGAGAACCACTACTCTCTTCAAAGCTGTCAGACAGGGACATTTAAGTCTGCAGAGGTTATTGCTGTCTTTTGTTTGTCTGTGCCCTGCCCCCAGAGGTGGAGCCTACAGAGGCAGGCAGGCCTCCTTGAGCTGTGGTGGGCTCCACCCACTTCGAGCTTCCTGGACACTTTGTTTACCTACTCAAGCCTGAGCAATGGTGGGCGCCCCTCCCCCAGCCTCGCTACCACCTTGCAGTTTGATCTCAGACTGCTATGCTAGCAATGAGTGAGGCTCCGTGGGCATGGGACCCTCCAAGCCATGTGCGGGATATAATCTCCTGGTGTGCCGTTTTTGAAGCCCATTGGAAAAATGCAGTATTAGCGTGGGAGTGACCCGATTTTCCAGGTGCCGTCTGTCACCCCTTTCTTTGACTAGGAAAGGGAACTCCCTGACCCCTTGTGCTTCCCGGGTGAGGCGATGCCTCGCCCTGCTTTGGCTCATGCATGGTGCGCTGCATCCATTGTCCTGCACCCACTGTCCAGCACTCCCCTGTGAGATGAACCCAGTACCTCAATTGGAAATGCAGAAATCACCCGTCTTCTGCATCGCTCACGCTGGGAGCTGTAGACTGGAGCTGTTCCTATTCGGCCATCTTGGCTCCACCCCCCAACCTATAGATTTTTTATAGATTTTAATTAGATAATAAATGTAATACATAAACTCTTTTTCATGTTTTCTGGTAAGTGCTCAATAAATGTTAGTTTATTATTCAAATAACTGCAAGAAATATATATGTATTGTTTGGCAGATTAGTTTATAATATTTTATTAGTAAGAATAAATATTAACATTTCTAAGAGATGCAACTCTATCTAGAGACTGTCTTAGGTGAGAAAATTTTTAAAAATCTTATATTGATTCATCATATCAGAAACTTTAGTTAGATCAATTCTAAAAAAATATGTTTGTTAGCAAGTTCTTTTGAGCCCAAATTCATTCTGTTTCCCAGTGCTGTTGATTCTCTTTTTGCAGCATCTTCTCTGACCTGAGCATTATTATTTCCATCCCTCTAGTTCAAGGCTTCATTGGATTTAACATTTATCCCCTTCTTTAGCCTCTCTCATTTTCTGCCTCTCCTTCCCTTCCTTCAATGCATTCTCTATTTCATTGACAGATTAATCTTTCAACAACCCAATTTTAATTGTGTTATTCTTCTGCATGTGAAATGTAGACTCCTGGAATTATGTGTATGGTACAAGATGAGGGTCCAGTTACATTCTCTTGCATGTGGAGATCTAGTTTTCCTGACATAATTTGTTGAAGACACTATAATTTCTCCATTGTGTCTTCTTGGCACCTTTGCCAAAGATCAGTTGGCTGTATATGCATACGTTTTTTTTTCTGAGCTCTGTATTCTGTTCCATTGGTCTATATAGTGTATTTATGTTAGTGCCATACTTGTTTGATTACTATAGCTTTTTAATATGTATTAAAATCAGAAAGTGTGAATCTTCCAGCTTTATTCTTCCCTCTCCAGATTGTTTGGTCTATTTGTGATCTTTCTGGTTTCACATTAATTTAAGATTGTTTTTTCTATTTCTGTAAAAACTGCCATTGAGATTTTGATGGAGATAGCGTTGAATCTGCAGATCACATTGGGTAGTATGGACATTTTAAGAGTAGTACATCTTACAATCCAGAAACATTGAAATCTTTCCACTTATTTGTGTCTTTTTTAGTTTCTTTCATGAATGTTTTATAGTTTTGAGTGCATATGTCCTTCACCTTCAGTTAAGTTTATTCCTAAGCATTTTATCATTTTGATGCTATTGTAAATAGAATGGTTTCATTTATTTCCTTTTTTAATAGTTTGGTGTTAGAGTATAGAAATGCAACTGTTTTTTGTATGTTTTCTTTGTATCCTGCAGTTTTACTGAATTCACTTATTAGTTCTGTCAGGTTTTGGTGGAGTCTGTAAAGTTTTCTACATAAGATCCTGTCATCTGTAAACATTGATAATTTTACTTCTTCCTTTCTTATTTGTTTGCTTTTTATTTTTCTTGCCTAATTGCTTTGTCTAGGATTTCCAGTACTATGTTGATTAGAAGTGGTGAGAGTGGATATCCTTGTCTCTTTTTTTATCTTAGAGAAAAAACTTTCAGATTTTCATCATTGAGTATGATGTTAGCTGTGGGCTTATCATATATAGCCTTTATTGTGTTAAGGTAAATTACTTCTATACCTAATTTGTTGATAGTTTTTATCATGAAAAGGTATTGAGTTTTGTCAAATGCTGTTTTCTGCATCTATTGAGAATACCATGTAATTTTTATCCTTTGTTCTGTTCATGTGGTGTATTACATTTATTGATGTGTACATGGTTAACCATCCTTGAATCCAAGGGATAAATCCCACTTGGTCATAGTGTATTATACATAAGACCAGGAACTAAAACTCATAGTTTCTAATTTTGGTCTTAACAATGATTTCTTGGATGTGACACCAAAAGCACAAACAACAAAAGCAAAAATAGACAAGTGAGACTATATCAAACCAAAAGACTTCTGCCCAGCAAAGGAAATAATCAACAGAATGAAAATGCAACTTATATTTTGGGAAAAATATTTGTAAACCATATGTCTGATAAGGGGTTCATATCCAAAATATAAAGGAACTGCTACAACTCAATAGTTTTAAAAAAGAAAAAAAACAATTTTAAAAGGGACAAAGGAAAAAAGACATAGAAATGGCCAACAGGTATATGAAAATGTACTCAACATTACTAACCATCAGAGAAATGCTAGTCAATACCACAATGAGATATCACCTCATTCCTGTTAGGATAGTTATTGTTTTTTTCAACTTTATTTTACACTCAGGGATTACATGTACAGGTTTAGCCCCCACTTACAAATGAGAACATGCAGGATTTTATTTTCTGTTTGTGCATTAATTTGCTTAGCATATTGGCCTCCAGCAGCATCCATGTTGCTACAAAGGATATGATTTCATTCTTCTTATGACTGAGTAGTATTTCATGGTGTATATGTACCAAATTTTAATTATTATTAAAAATAAGAAAGATAACAAGTATTGGCAAGGATGTGGAGAAATTGGAACATTTGTAAGCTATTGGTGGGAATGTAAAATGGTGCAGCCACTGTGAATAATGGTATGGGGACTCCTCAAAAACTTAAAAATAGAACTACCATAAGATTCAGCAATCCCACTTTTGGATCTATATCCAAAATAATTGAAATCAGGATCTCAAAGAAATATTTGCATTCCTATGTTTATTGCAGCATCATTCACAATAGCCAAGGTATAGTAGGAATCTGAATGTCTATTACAGATGAAAGAATAAAGAAAATGTGTTATATACATACAATGAAACACTATTTAGTCTTAAAAACGAAGGAAATCTTGTCATTTGTGACATCATGAATGAAACTGGAAGACATTGTGCTAAGTGAAATAAATTAAGCACAGAAAGACAAATAGTGCATGATTTCACTTATATATGGAGTCTAGAATAGTCAAATTAATCAAAGCAGAGAGTAGAATGGTGGCTTCTAGGGACTGAGAGGAGGGGGAAATGGGGAGATGTTCAATGAGTATAAAGTTTCAGTTATGCAAGATGAATAAATTCTAAAGATCTGCTGTACAGCATCATGCCTATAGTTAACAATATAGTACTGTGCACTTAAAACATCTGTTAAGAAAGTAGATCTCATGTTAAGTGCTCTTATCCCAAAATAAAGCAAACAAACCAAAACACCAGATGGACACAGGAAATAGTTGGGAGTGATGGATATGTATATTACCTTGATTGTGATGTTGGTTTCATGGGTATATGCATCTGTCCATACTCATCAAATTGTGTACGTTAAATATGTTCAGTTTTTGTTATATCAATTATACCTCAATGAAGTTGAAAAAGATTGAAATGAGTTTTTTTAATAACTGTAAACTCCTTGACCTTCCTGGCACAGCTGTCAACACCCCTGCCATGCTGTGATTTCAGTGTTATCTCCCACTTTTCTTCTTCACTACCATTATGCCCTAACCAATTGGAATTAGCTGCTCTGCTGGGCATCTGGACTCCTTGCCACAGCTCTTATGGTTGCTTCTACCTGGAATACCATGATTTTTGGTTCAAAAATTAACCCATCTCTCTGCCTTTCATCCCAAACACATCTAAACCATGACCCAAAAGATGAAAAGAATTTCTTTTTTAAAAACACCGTAGAAATAAATTTCCAATTTGCTTCAGTAATTTAGCAAAATATTGAGCAACCTATATATATATCCTATATAATATATCCTATATTATGATAGTTATTGTTTTTTCAACAATAGTTATTGTTTTTATCATTCATAGGCACAGGTATTTGAATAGCTAATGTATATGCATTTTATATATATTTTTAAGTGGCAATCTAGTTAGTGGAGAGAATTGATTTAACCTTCAAAGCACTACATCATTTCCTTTAACTGTAGGACCTGGCCTTGTGTGCAATATATGCAAAGAAGTCTTGACTATTCATTCAAGTTTATAATGATGGCATTCAAAAATGCCCTTGCACATTGTTTTTCTGTGTCTGTGTTTTTTCCACTGTATTCTCAGTGCGTGCACAAAGCTTGAATATAATAGACTCTCAATAAATATTTGTTGAGTAAATGAATAAATATGTGAATAAAAGTACCTTAAAATGACAAGTTTTATGAATAAAACTATATAAATGACCTGTGTATTAGTCCGTTTTCACACTGCTGATAAAGACATACCAGAGACTAGGTTTTTACAAAGAAAGGAGGTTTAGTTGGACTTACATTTCCACATGGCTGGGAAGGCCTCACAATCATCGCAGAAGGCAAGGAGACATCTTACATGGATGGCGGCAGGCAAAGAGAGAGCTTGTGCAGGGAGACTCTCATTTTTCAAAACCATCGGGTCTTGTGAGACTTATTCACTATCACAAGAACAGCACGGGAAAGACCTGCCCTCATGATTCAATTACTTCCCACTGGATCCCTCCCACAACTCGTGGGAATTCAAGATGAGATTTGGGTGGGGACACAGCCAAACCGTATCAACCTGATAACAAAAAGTTAAGAAAACTTTAAAAATAAAGATTCTGAAGAAGGGACTTTTAATTTGACACACAGCCACTATTTATATAACACTTTATCTTTGCCAAAGACCATACAGATACTAAGTAATAAACTAGTGACCCTTTTTAACCCATGCAAATTAATATTGCCTGCAAGCACAGTATGAGACTAAATTATACAGGAGCTGAAGAATATTGGGCAATGAGTCTTAAAAAATGAGTTAAGGTGTTTGACCTGATACTATATAAAAATATGTTAACAGAATCCTGTACAAGGAATAGTTCACAGTCTAATTTTTGTCCCTTTTCAAATCCAAATACATGTACTCAATGTCAGCTGCCTATTGATTTAGAAAGGTGATATAGAGTAACAAAATACATGTGATGAGTTGGAATGAATTAAACTCTAGCTATGTATCACTTGTTCTCTACAGGAGAGAAATTCATAAATCATAGAAGTGCCTTGAAATGCAGGTTTTACTAAAGTATGGTAACATTTATTTTGTCTTTTAAATAGGCATAAGAGACTCATGAAATTTAAATTCTACCACCCCAAGGACAACATTAACCTTCGTTAATCTATTCCCCCTTTTGGGGAGATACACATTTATTATTTAAAATGTTTTAAGAGTTTGGTATTCAAACAAAACTTTGCAATATATTAAGTTTTAAATTTAGTGATATTAACTTGATTGTTAAAAGAGAGAAATGGGCAATGGTATTAATAATAAAAGGCAATGGGGAAAATTATATTTGAAATACAAGAAGGTCAGTCTAAAGAGTAGGACTCCGAGAGAGTGGTTACTCTGACTGGGGTTCAAGTCCTGGCACTTATTAGCTTTGTAATTCTGGGCCGGATTCTTAACAAGTGTTTTCTTCAGGTTTCCCACCTGTAAGTTAAGAATAATAATAATGAGACACTTCTTGATGTGTATTGAAAATTGCACAACATGAAGTCTGTGCCCGAAACTTTTCATTAATGGCTGAGACAAAGATATCTGTTACTGGACTTCTTACATCATAATATTACCGTAATGTGTTTACTTTTGGAAATACACTATGATTCTCAACTTTTAAAAAACTTCCAAAGTTCACTATTTAGTGCTTTTTGTTCATTTTTAAAATTTTTGTTTGCTAGACAACTATTTTCTTAAGACCCACAGGGTGCCAGATGCTTTAGTCAAAGATGAAGACCCCATACTACTTAAAGGAATTGACAAACTAAGGGTGGCACCAGGTCATAGAAATTCATAATTACGATACAATATGGAACTAGATTGAATAAAATGTGGTGGCAACACAGACATTCAGCTACTGTCCTCCTTTCCCACCATTCATTTGACAAATATGTGTACCAAGTCACTGTTATGTGCCAGAGACTTCTGGGCACAGGGGATAGACCAGGGAAGAAAATAAACTCCTGGCCTCCCTGAGCTAAAATTCCAGTGGGATAATAGAGAGTATATTTATGAGCAAATAAATAAAGAAAACTGAGGTCCAGTGAGTGCTATGAAAAAAATTAAGCAGCATTAAAAACCAGAGAGTGACTGGAGTTGGAGTTTTAGAAAGGGCGGTCAGCAAAGGCCTTTGTGAGGGGTAAAATGTGAGCAGGGACCTGAAGGAAGTGGGGTGAGGAAGCAAGCCTTGTAGACGTCAGAGGAATAGACTTCCTGACAGCTAATAGTAGGTAGAAATGCCTCAGGCTATTGTCAAAAGATGGCAGTGAGGCCAATATGGTCTCAGTGGAGCACGTCAAGGGAAGAGTGCTTTGAAATAAATTAAGAGAAGTAGAGAGGTCAATCATAGCAGGGTTACAGGAGGTTTTAGAGAAGGGGAGCAGCAAAATCCAAGTTGCATTTTGGCTGATGTGTGAACAGTCTCTGTTGGTAGTAGAATGGAAGCTAAAGGCAGAGAGCCTTTGTTTTTCCCTGGCTTTGAACTTGCTGTTGAAGCTATTTCACATGAACCTAGGAGATGGTGGTTGGCTTTTTCTTAAATCTATTTCCTGGCCATCCCCCTGGCTATGGAGTTTTCCCATGCCATATACTTTGGCATATTGCACCTCAGATGTAATTCATTTGTGCTTTTCTTGTCACTTTGGTGTAATAACAGGCCCTTCTGCAGACTTTACTTTCAATCAGAACCTTCCTTTTTCTTTCCCTCACCTTCAAAGCTATTTTTATTATTGTCTAAGACTTGGACTCTCCTGCCACTATTGCCATTTAACTATGTCAAATGATGAGACATGTGACATCACAGGTGTAAGCTCCATCTAAGCTATTATACATAGAAATTACTGTCCTTTGATTTCAAAGTTTAATTTACTGAAAATATTGAATAGGAAAACACACTACTTTAAAATATTGTCAATATTTTTGGCTAATTTTATATATTCTTCAGTGATTTTCTTCCCCTAGTCTGTTATGTTTATTTCATTCAACAAATATTATTAAGCACTTGGGGCCCTGTGCTAGTTGCTGGACATGGTTTTGTCACTGAGATCAGTGGATAGTCATTTTAAGGAAAAAATTTGTAACAATATATGTTTCCTGAGTTTTTGGTTAATTTTTGTTACTGACTTGTATATATAAACGTATATATATATATGTGCCTGTATGTGTGTATATACAATATTTTATATATATACATATATGTGTGTGTCTCATGTAATAGTATTTACTATTTATTTAGCTATCTCTTTGTGCCAAGCATTTTCCTGACATGACTTAAGCCCCTCAGTAACCATGCAATATGTATTATTAGTATTTTAAAGATTAGGAAATTGTGGAGCTAACTTGCCCAAGATCAAGAAGACAAAAAGGATGAAGAACCAGAATTCAAGTCCGAGTCAATGTGACTCTAATGCTCACACTGATTCCCCAAAAGAGTGTTATTGTAGCAAAATGAAGAATGTGTTCAATGGCAAAGAAATGTACTTCTAAGAAAAGCAAAACTGGGCTTAGAAGTCTTTGCCCTCAAAATCACTTTTCTGTAAGTCGAGATTCCCAGTAAAGAGAGAGATATTTCATTTTCAGTGAACACATATGGATATTTACATCATTGACTTCATCTTTTGAGCCTTGTACAATACTCATCTGCATTTTCCTCTTTTTGTTAGTCTGTTGCTTCCCTATAAATAAAAGATTGCAAAAAGCTCTTAAATCACATTCAATGAAACACTAAATCCTTAGGCTTTTACAAGCTTTTGTAAAACTGTAGTGATCTTGGTGAAAAATGTCCTGGCTGGTTATCTAGTGAACAGATGAGCTCACCCCTGGTATGCAAAGCTGCCGAATTAGCTGGTTAAACAGGCTGCTGAGATAATTACATTGTCTGTTTTGTGACACATTACACCGGTGCACTTGGGATTAACCTGTTCTCTTGTGTCTACTTCTGATCAGTTTTTTAGACAGTCTTTTATCTGATGAAGGAGCACAGACATCAAAAGAGAAAGGGGCGTGGGTGAAAAGAAAGGGCTCACATGAAGCTGAAGAGTTAAATTTTCTATTTAAATTACTGAACATATATCCCTTATTTCCATAACTTTAGTTGCTCTCTAGAGACCTCTGCTGGAAGTGATAGGTATAGATGAACATTCTATTTTCCCTCCCAATTCATTGTTTTCATTTTTACTGTGGCTATTGTATCATAAACTCAGTAACTAATTTAAGAATGAAATTCCAACATTCATGTCATATACATAACACATTATCTACAAAGATGTACTTGAGACAGAAAACTTGTGAGTTTTAAAAGTTTTGCAGGGCTTTCTAATGCTGGAAATCAACTATGATACTTAATCAGCACATATTTATATATTTGTTAGGCACCTACTATAGGCTTAGTAATTATAACTTTCTGTTCATTTATTATTTCCATATTTTGTTAATGCTACCAAGGTTCAAGTGGAATTGTTTAATTTGCAATTAAATGTTGCACATATAAAAACACAAAACAAACCATCCCTAAAGATTTTTATGAGCCTTTAGTTCCATATCATTATCCTGAAGGGGAAAAATTATTTAGACCTTCTGATTATGTGGGAATGTAGTGCATGTAAGATTTCATCATCAGTGATAATTTAGATAAAGAACAATTAAGAGAATAAATAGAAAACCTACTCATTAACAGCCTGTGGCAACTCAAATTGAATTTAACCAACTATTGAGCCTCTGGCTACAGGGAGATGCAATTTAAAGCAGGTATAATAGATTTTAGCAACTAAAATTTGTTCGTCACACTGTACCAACTAAGATATTAGTTAAATGGGGCAAGAAATTTCCTTTCATGTTAATGAACAGCAGATTTAACTCCTGCGGTCCTTTATATTTTCCCTCGAAATAGCTGTGCTTGACTTGATAGGCCAGCATTCAAATGAGGTTCTTGCAAAAAAGTATACAAGCTTTTGGGATGAGATTTAAGTCAGTCGAATCTGCATCCTTTAGGTACTTCTGATTTGTTTAAGCAATCTTTAAAAATATTGATATATTTCTTCCCTGGAGAAGGGTCCACAATATAATGTCATATGCAAAGGCTCTGAAAACTTCAACTGTAAATCTCTGTAGAAATGTTAGAGCACATGTTGACATGGGAACATCTCTAAAAATAATGTGTTTTCTTTTGGCATACTGCTGGCCCACAGTAAGTGCTTTGTAAAACTATCATTTGTACTCATTCCTACTGGATTAGTAGAAAACAGGCATCTATGCTGTAAGTTCGCTAATAATTGTGCATAAACAATTATGCACACAATATAAACAATTATGCACAAATATAAAGAATTTTTTAAAAATATTCTTATCAAGACAGATAAAGTCTATGTTCATCATTTTTACCGGAGTCAGTTCTACTGAGATTAGATCTGTCTAGCTTTATTATTATTGCTTAATGCAGACAAAAGAGAAAATAAATCATCATAATTGTGTTTTTATTATCTTGGCTAATATACAGAAATCTTAAAATGTGTGTGTGTTTATTACTTGAGTTTCAGTGCCCCTTACACATAATTTTACCAAATTTTGTGATGAAACAAAAAGTGACTGAGATAACTTTATAAGATAAATGTATTTTCTAGTCAATTCAGGAAAAGGTGATTTTTTTTTCTTTTAAACTTTCAAAAATACTTTTGGCTGCACAGCTGTGTATTATAGTATCACCTAATAGTACTCTGGTATTGGACCTGCTGAATATCAGATACCGAGACTAAAGGACATTAAAATAATAGTTTTATATTTTCTAAACTTTTGGTTTGGATTTAATCAGTTTTTATGTTTATTCACAATGATTAGTGTACTCTTAGCATATATGCCTAATTTCTATTAATCCAGTGGGAATGAGTACAAATGATAGTTTGATGAAGCACTTACTATGGACCAGAAATATGCTAAAAGCTTTTCGTATTTAACCTCATTTAATCCTTCTAATGATCCATTGAGGTGGTGATTATTAAATACATTTTACAGATGAGGATATGTGTTTTAAAGAAATTAAATAACTTGCTGATGTTAGCATGGTCCAGGAGTTGCAGATCCTATCTTCAAAACCAGATTTTACTCTAAAGCCCAACGTGAGTACTATGTAAAGAGTACTTCTGAAAATGCATGCATTAATGCACTTCTTCCAGACTGGTGCCTCTTTTGGTAGTTGCATAGGCTTTGTATGTATTACTTAGAGAAGAGACTGGTGTTTAGCGTGGTAGAACCAGGATTAGAGCTCTAGTTTTCTTTCCCTGAAGCCCATGATCTTTCCTTCCACTTTAGTGGTGACAGTGGTGCTGATATCACAGATTCAAATTCCTAAATGCAATTTCTGTAACACAAAATGCATAGAGAGCAGTCTTTGGAAAGATATTATGATGAGTGACTTTGAAATAAAATTAACTTGAGCTTGAATCCCAGGATGCCACTTAAGTAGCTGTGTAATAAAGCAAGGCATATAGTATCTCTGGAATTCTATTTTCTCATCTGAAAAATGGAAATATGAATACATACCATAGGGAATACCTGTGAAGATTAAATATGATGCAAAAGTGCATAGCACATAAAAAGTTCAAGGGAGTTTCCCATCTCATCCCTCTCTCATAGCAAATTTTTGAAAACTACATGTGCATGTACATGTCACAATTAGATGTGGAAAAAGTCAAAGAAAACTGTACTGAAAGTGCAACCACGAATTGTAAGAACAATTCTGACAACATGGAATGGAATTTCAAGGGGAGTATTTGAGGAGAAAATGGGACTGGAGATGAACCTTGAAAGATGAGGAAAAGAATTTGTATAGTTTGAGAAAGGGAGTTATTTTATACAAGGGAGACAATGCTAGCTGAACTGCTTGGGTGTAATAAAAGTCTAATTCAGTTACAAAAATACCATTCCAGTGAAAAGCTTTAATGAGATTTCTGCACCCCAGCAGATGACCCACTTATTTAAATACCACGCAATATCCAATACTACAGAATTCCTTGATCACATGACAATTTAGTCAGTCTCTGGCAATTGGGTATAATTTAATCAGCATAGAAGGTGAGAACATTTTACTCCTAGTCAGCATATTGCCTCTTGAGTTAGCATTTTCCACTGAGCCCAAGTCTGGCTTCTGGTCCAGTGGCTTTCTAATTCTTTACCAGAAGAGTGTTTCTGTGCTTTCACTATTCCTACTCTGAGACACTTTTGCATGCAGATCATAGAGTGGCTTACCCTGTTTGCTCCATGAGCTCTTACTTTAATCTCTGCAGAAGAGGCATTACTTTCATTCTAACTTATTGGTGGTTAGTGTGATTAAATTTGTTCTCAAAGGCCTTTGCAAATCATGAACAGTAAAAGGGGAACAAATAGGCCTGGCATGGTGGCTCATGCCTGTAATCCCAGTACTTTGGGAGGCCGAGGCAGGCAGATCACTTGAGGTCAGTTCGAGACCAGCCTGGCCAACGTGGTGAAACCCATTTCTATTAAAAATATGAAAAAATTAGCTAGGTGTGGTGGCATGCACCTGTAATCCCAGCTACTTGGGAGGCTGAGGCAGGAGAAATGCTTGAGCCTGGGAGGAGGAGGTTGCAAGATTGCGCCATTGCACTCCAGCCTTGGAAACAAGGGTGAAACTCCATCTCAAAAAAATAAAAAATAAAAAAGTGGAACAAATATGGAACATCTGTCATTTATGTTGCACTCTGGGCACTTTTCATGAACTCTTGGTAAAAGCATACTTAGCAGTGGCCTTTCTTGAAGGGAAATATGTCAATTAAATTCACACACAACTTTTGATGTAGCTTTCTATTTCTAGCATATTATATGATAGATATACTTCCAAAAGTATCCACAGGGGCAAAAAACTGGAAAAAAGCTAAATATTAACCAAGACAGGAATGAGTGAATGTGTTGAGATATATTTATCCCGTGACCTATTCTATGGCTGTTAAAAATGAGTTATTTGTTGAAGACAGAGGGGACAGTGAAAACAAAAATAAATTTGATTTACTTGTGTTTATATGGAAAGTGCTAAAGTACACTGTTAAATAGAAAGAAAGGAAAATTCAGAAGAATGAGTGCCCATTTGGATAGCCAGTTGAACAGGCATTATTTATTAAAAGAATATTCTTGTCTCAGATACTCTACAGTGCTACCTTTGTCATAAATCAAGGCTCTCTCTCTCTCTCTTTCTATATATATATATATATATATATATATATATCTGTTTCCGGACTCACTGTTTTGTTCCATTGGACTATTTGTCTATCCTTGTGCCAATGCTGTATTATATTAAATATTTTAGCTTTATGGATAAGTCTTGATATACAGTCTCGACTTTTCTCTATTCCTTCAAGTTTACCCTGGATGGTCTTGGCTCTTTGTATTTCCATACCAGTTTCTAAATCAGCCAATTTCAACCTCATACACAAGACTTACTCATTTTAAAATTTAGATTGCACTAATTTATGTGACAATTGGGGGAAAGTGACACTTTAACAAATATTGAACCTTCAAGTACGATGAGCGCAGCATGTCATTCTATTTATTTAGGTCTTTAAAAATTTCTTTCAATACTATTTTAGAGTTTTCTGAGAATGGATCTTGTATAGTTTTCATTAGCCTTATTCCTGGTTAGCTTATATCACTGATGCAATTTATAAATGATATTGTTTTAACGCAGTTCAATTAAGCCAATCTTTACCAATTTATGGAGAAATTTCTGATCATCAAAAGACACCATTAAAAGAACAATAAGAAAAGCCACATCATTTCTTACATGTAACAATAAAAATGTATACACAATCCTGCAAAACAATAACAAAACGACAGACAACACATTTTTTTAATGGGCAAAATACATGAACTGGTATTTCCCAAGAAGATACACAAAGGGTCAATAAACATTAAGAAATTAGTCATTAGGGAAGTAAACATAAAAATCACAATGAAATACCACTATAAACCCACTCAAATGGGCCAATTTTTAAAAAAACAACCATGATAATACTGTAAGGGAGTAAAGCAACTGGAACTTTCACATTCATAGCTGAGGGGAGACAACATTTGAAAAACTGGCACTATTTATTAAAGTTGAGCATAACAAATATAACCTAACAATTACACCCCTATATGAATACCTAATAGTAATTCAAACATATGTTCAGGGAAACATTTGTACAAAATGTTTATTGCAGCATTATTCACAATAGCCCCAAACTGGAAACAACTGAAATATCTTTCAACAGTAGAATGGATCAACTGTGATTTTTATATATTAGAATATTATATTCTATATGCATGTCACTGCTATGTTCCTGTTATTAGAAGTCTCATGGTAATAAAGTAAGAAAACAAACACCTTCTATCATGGATAAATTTTGCAAACATTATGTTGAGAGTAAGCAGTTTGACACAGAAGAAGACAGTTGGTACAATCCTACTTATCCAAGCAAACTAATTTATAGTTTTAGGATTCAGGATAAGAGTTATATCTCTGGGAAGGAAGGAGAGAGTGGTGATTCGGAGAGGGCAGGAAAAGGGCTTATTTTAAAAAGCCCTTCCCAGTGCTATTATAAGCTTATAATATTTAATTTCTGAATCTTAGTGATAATTACATGGGTGTGTTCAATTTATAATTCATCAGCAATCTATTTACTAATTGTGTACTTAATATATTCTCATATAGTTCAATAAAAGCTTTCTAAACATACCATGGCAAATTGAACTTTTCTGGACACACACATTAAACACTTTACTGTTTTCTTGATGGGTAGGACTATGTATTCGGAGAGAAGAAATCTAAGTTTTTACTTTATAACTTCTTTATTATTTATTTTTATCCATATATACATTTAGCATATATTGTTTGTATAATTGTTATCCATAGGTCCATTTAGCATATATTGTTTGTATAATTTTTTGACATTAAAAAGTTAAAATTGGCCGGGTGAAGTGGCTCATGCCTTGAGTCCCAGCATTTTGGGAGGCTGAGGTGGGAGAATCACTCGGGCCCAGGAGTTCGAGACCAGCCTGCCCAACATGGTGAAATGCTGTCTCTAATTAAAAAAATAAAATAAAAAAGTTAAATCTGTGAAAATATATCTAGGAAATCACTTGTATGTGATAGAACTTAACACTTAGATAGATGGGACTAGATTGCCATTATTAAGTTTTCTTCTCAAGTTAATTGCCTTGCTGAAATTTACACAGTCAATAATAAATATGACAATAATTTCATGACCTCGTACATTGTTTATTAGAACCAGTTTCTGGGTTCAGAGTCTACTTTTCATTTCACTACAATATAGAATTTTCCTATGATGCCACAGTATACTTAATTCTTTCATAGTTATGATTTTGTGGCCATAACTTAAGATCTTATTTACCAAAACACTGAAAAATTATGACTCTGGTCCTTATCTTGGAGGCAGAAAAAGCTTGGATTATGGAATTAGAAAAATCTGAATTTATACTTGATTTCATCTGTTACTAGCTGTGTGATCTCACACAAATTTCTTAAACTCCTTGAGTTTCAGTTTCTTTATCTGTAAAATGAGGATACTGTCTTAGTCCATTTAGTATTGCTATAAAGGAATGCCTGAGACTGGGTAATTTATAAAGAAAAGAGGTTTATTTGGCTCTTGGTTCTGCAGGATGTACAAGAAGCATGATGCCAGCATCTGCTTCTGGCGAAAGCTTCAGGCTCATGGCAGAAGATGAAGGGAAGCTGCTGCGTGCAGAGATCATATGGTCAGAGCAGAAGCAAGAGAGGCAGGGTGGGAGGTGCCAGGTCACAACCAGCTTTCACGGAAACTAACAGAGCAAGGACTCACTCTTCCTCCCCAACTCCACCTGAGGGAGGGCATAAATCTATTCATGAGGAATTCAACTCCATGACCCAAACACCTCCCCCTAGGCCCTATCCCTAACATTGGAGATCAAATTTAAACATGAGATTTGGAGAGGTCAAACAAACCAAATTATAGCAGTCATATAAGGGATATAATAAATAACAATCTTTGGAAGTCAATAGATCTTTTGGACTGCAGCTAATATTTCATGATCTCTAATATGCAAATGTTTATTTTTATTTTAGGTTTATAAGAAAAAACACTTAAATAAAAATTATTTTTCTCATCTCCTTATGATTTAAACTCAAGTTTCTTATCTTCTATGAAATTATCATAAAGTTTATAAATATCAGTAATTTTATGGGTTCACTTTTATATTAAAATCACCCTATAGGTGTGAGGGATCTTAGTTAGATCTAAATGAGGTAAAAAACAAATAAAATATTTGTGACTTCCAACAAAGTCACAAATCTTTACAAGTATTTTTTTAGTAGATTATCATGATACTCTTTGGTGGTATACATAGTAATCCTCTACAGATTTTCAACTATTAAACTTTTGGTGAATACCAGTAAAGCTGTAGCCTCAGGTAACCCTGACACAAATAACAGCCACCAATAGAAGGCAATGGTGATTACAGCAAAGTGTACTTTTGAAGTTCCAGAATCCAACTAAGCCTATGTGTGTAGAAAAGGGGTTTCTGTGTAGCTAAATGTAAGTATATTTAAAGTTATATCTCTGTGAAAATATTTGAGGAAAATATAATGACTCTGTTGTTTTAATCCTAAAATTTGGTGTTAGAAAACTCATCATCCTTCATATGCTGAATTGAAAAAAAAAATAAAATTTGAATGCTCACAAAAATGTCAAGTACTCCTTCAATTTATCAACTGTCTCCTAATAAATGTTGGTTTGAACAGAGTCAATGAAGGATAAGGTTTCATGAAATAATAAGATTTTAAAATTAATAATTGGGATTAATTCAATTGGGAAGGGATTAAGCATTTTTATAATGTGGTTCTTAGAAATATGTTAATTTCACCATCTCAGTAGTAGATTTTGCTTTCATTAAATGAATTCTACCTAACATTTTAGGGAAAGGGAGAGGAAAAAGAATTAATGTTTATTGCCCAAAGTTGTACAGGTGCTTTATGTAATTTATTGTCTAATACTAAAAGAAAATCTTACAGGTTAGAGATTATTTCCTTCATATTACAGATTAAGTAACAAAAATCCAAAGAGTTCAGGAAACTTGCCCAACATTCCAGAGATAGGTGTAGCAGAGATTCAAAGCCAATTCTCTCTCAATCCATAGCCAGTGTTTTGTTAAAATGATTTGGTTGTATTAGATTGATTGTGTTTATTTTTATTTATCATTAAATTGTAAGCGTGTTCATATTTATACATTTATTGTTTGTTAATTTATATTAACAACAAGGGGCTGAATATTTTTAAATTACATTTCACTTTATGTTTTTGCTAATTTTATAGTTATAATGATTGTAAGTGTTATAATGTGGCAAAATTTTAATGATTTATTTTCTAATAATTAAGGTCTTCTTCCTTGGGCCAAAAAATCAGATTCACATTTGTTAATGTAGGTTGTACCTTAACATTGTGCATTATAGAGACACATATATAGATGTCATTCAGAACAGACAGCAATTCAAAAGGCTTTTGGATGGTCTAGAATCCTTTTGTATAGTGGCCTGAACCATATAAAAGCAACTGAAATCACACTAAAATTCTAGAATTCCTAGCTGCTGTTTACTTTTGATGGTATATAGAAATGTCTCTCAATTCTTCCCAGAGTTTTAGAATTGTGTTCATTAAGCCAGAGGCTATAAATATTAGAAGTCACTGGAAACATTTTCCTTGGGTGAAGATAGTAGTTTTATCCTATTCTTTTTCTTGTCATTTGGGGATGATTTAGTCTTTGGGTGAGAAAAGTGACCAAGAGTAAAGAAGAAAATTCTCCAGGTGATTAGTACCATTTTCAAAGGGCCATCAAAACATTTCTTCCTTTTGAAATAATTTCCCCCGATTTTTGGAGTGGTTAGTTTATTCTCATGTGTCTCACACATCCAAGATTATTTGAAGATTTTAAGTGTTACAATATTATTTTAATTAATGGAACCATATATTTTATGTTTATAATACATCTTTTTTTTTTAGAGAATGGAAGATTGTGGGAATAATATCTATCTCCTGCACCTACTCATTCTGCTTCCTTCTTCCTCCTTCTCTGAATTGCTCCCACTCATCCTATAGAACTCAGCTGAAAACTTACTTTCTGGGGCGGTGCCTTGTCTGATATCCTAGATAAGACTAAGCTTCCTTTGTGTGTAGCCCTTCTCACCCTATGTTTTTATTCTAAAATTTTTTTATTTGTCAAATAATGAATGAATATAATCAATGGTTTTCCCACATAGCCTCTAAATTTTCTAAAGTTTTGTTTTTTATGCTTGTTTTTATATTGTTTGGCTTTTCTTGAAAGTAGACTGGCCCAGCATGGTGGCTCAAGCCTGTAATCCCAGCACTTTGGGAGGCCTAGGTGGGCGGATCGCCTGAGGTCAGGAGTTTGAGACCAGCCTGGCCAACGTGGTGAAACCCCATCTCTAAAAGTACAAAATTAGCCGGGCATGGTGGTGGACGCCTGTAATCCCAGCTACTCGGGAGGCTGAGGCAGGAGAATTGCTTGAACCTGGGAGGCAGAAGTTGCAGTGAGCCGAGATCGTGCCATTGCACTCCAGCCTGGATGACAAAGTGAGACTCTGTCTCAAAAAAAAAAAAAAATAAATAAATAAATAAATAAATAAAGTAGACCATGGCCACCCAGATCCATTTCATTTATGGTACTGTTGAGCTGGGTCCTTAATTAAAATGAAGTTATGCTAAATGTAAAAATGTACATATAAGTATGCATTAAACATAAAGCAGTATAATAATTTAAATCATCCTGTCACAACCTCACAGAAATATGTAGATTTCATTTGCCTTTAGCAAAAATAGAGCCCTTTATCTTTCTTATCTTTCTTAAAATGCTATGCTCCTCAGGTTCAATATCAAAAGCAACCATCAGTCCATAGAGTGTACGCTGCAAAGTCTCAGTTGCTTTTGTAGTACTCGTTAAACCTGAAAGACACTCTTAATTGCCTAAAATATATGTAAACAACTATACATTAATGGGTTATGTGGGTTATGTTACTACAGTTTAACTGGGCTATGTTCCAAAATATACAAACTTTGCATGTACATTTCCACAGTATAAAAATACTTTTATGTTCGTCAGAGTAATTAGGAGATTGTAAAAAGAACTTGACAAATTATGTGAATTCACTACCATAGCCTTATGAATAAAAAGTTTATTTACAATGAAAGCTTGGAAGAGAGACCTGGTGAAAATTGGCCAAACATTGATCGGGGGTGGGGCTGTGGGAAGTGAAGAGGATATAATTATAGACTGAAAGTATTTGAAGGTACTGATGGCCAGGAAAAGAAAAAATCCTCATATTTGATGTTTTCCTTTTTGTTTTTTTATTCATTTATATACATTCAATTGTTATTTGTATACTCTTTTTTTCATAATGCCAACATAAGGCTCTTAATATAGGAGGCATCTGATTTTACTGTTTTACTGATGTGAAACAGTAAAATTGTATAGCATATGTGGTAGTAGCAGATTGAAGTGAGCAAAATAAAAACTCGTGTGTGTGTTTCTGTGTACAGATACACACTCTTATAAAAGTGGATTCCTTGAAAGGTAGTGAGAGCTAAGAAATAAAACCATGAAATATCTAAACAGTAGACTTTTTAACAGTTTGCAAATTGCAAGGAAGGAAAAGAGGTAAGTTATTGTAAACTTTAGATATGGTAAAATTGTGTTAATCTATAGCAGTGCTGACCAGTGGAACTTTCCAGTGATGAAAATGTCCAAACAGTAGTCCTAGATACCTGTGATTATTGAGCACTTGAAATGTGTCGAGTGTAACTGAGAAACTGAATTTTAAATTTTTTATTTAATTTCAATTAAATTGGTAAAGGCTACCATATTGGACAGCACAGATCTACAGTCAGAAGCTTTCCCAAGGCTCACCAACTTTCTTTAAGCTTTATTTATGGTTTTGCTTTCAATCCCCCACAAATCTCAAGTAGTTTAGCTTCTAGATAGCAACATACTGGGACCATGTTGATCTCAGTAAAGAAACATAGCCTGACTCTGTAAACATCTTATATCTATGTGATATAATCACATTTCTTTTGTTCATTAGTTCCAAAAATATTTAGGGAATATAAACTATATCACAGAGAGGAGAGAGGTCAGCACTGGCCAAGTCCCTGAGAAGACAGTATTCTTAGTATGTTTAAGGCGCATCAAGGATGATTCCAAGGTTTTTAGATTAAGCAACTAGATGAATAAAGTTCATCTAGCTCACTATGATGGGAAAGCCTGGAGGAGGACTGGTGTGTGGGGGGAAAAAATCAAGAGTTTAGTTTTAGATAAGTTCCATTTAAAATATCCATTAGATACCCAAGTGCAAATGTTGAGTGGCAGTGCAAGTTCTGGGCTGAAGATATGAACCTGTCAACTACCATCATAAGATGATATTTAAAACTGTGAGCCTGGACATAATTTCTTTGGGAGTGAGTATAGATATAGAGGAGGACTGGGTCACTATAACATGTTGAGCCTGAGAATGTGTGGCGGAATCAATAAAGAATTTGGGCCAGAGAAGCTGGAGAGCAGCAGAGAATGAGTAGGGACTTAGAGGTCAAGTAAGTAGAGGGTATTTAATGGTAGGGAGTGATTACCTACACAAATGCTTCAGAGAAGTCAGGCAAGATGGGAGCTGAGAATTGGCCATTAGATGTGATGACTTGGAGGTCATTAGTCACCTTGACAAATAAGGTAAGAAAAGATGATATGGTTCTTTTCCAGAAAAATCTTACTAGTAGGCAATCAAGCAGGCTGGTGGATTCTAGGGAATGGTGCAAAAGAAGTCTGTCCTTTCTCTCTTGGGATACCAAGCAATTCTGGTTTCACCTTGGATGGCAGGAAGGAATTCCTCCTCCAAGGACGTCTCTTCCTCATCTCTTCCTCGTCTACAATTCCCTAAGCCTCCTTAACCTTATGCTATCTCTGTAAGGTTTTACTGATTGCTTTGCTCTAGCCCTTGCTAATTTCCTTTCATTTTTCCCTCCCTGGGCCTAGGGAGGCTCTAGGGATGGAGTACAAACCAACTTTTATATTAAAATATATTTCTTTTTACAATGTCATATATTATTATAATTTGAAAATATGTCTATGGGTCTCTATATTTTCCTGACAAAATAAAACTCCCTTTTATTATTAGTTTGATTTTTAAGTGGTAACTTGCACATCTCAAACCCAGTAATTCCAATTCCCCTTAGGCTGACCTTTTTTTTTTCTTTTGCTATAGCATGTATCACCTTCCTGCATAATTGCTTGTTAATTGTGTTCATTGATTATTAATTGTTTCTTCTGCTAGATATAGACCCCAAGTGGGCAGTTATTTATTCCTGTTGTTGCTCACTGGTACATCCTAAGTCCTTAGTATATTGCTGAGCTTGTAGTAGGTGCTCAGGAAATTGTTGCTGAAGAAATGAATGCTGTGGTCTTCAGGAGTGGATATGGGTTGTGCTATGTTACAGGAAGTGGGTATGTGTAACAGTGGAAGCATTATGCTGTCACAATTAATATATGATATTAATTGCTGTGCAGAAAATTCCTTTACCTTGATCAATTCCATCTGCTCTGAAAATTAAGTCCAGGCCATTGGAGTAGAAGGCCTGGCTTATAATATTTTAATATCTCTGGAAAGAGTTAAGGTTTTTGCTGATCCTCAGGCATATAAGGTATAGGAAGGGATGGTGATACAGAGAAACGCATTCTAGAAAACTAGTACAGGAACTTGTTACCTTGTTCAGATAAAACCAAGTGCAAAACAATCTAAATGTAGACTTGTCTCAAATATCAAAGCCCAGAGAGATGCCAGGCCTTCCTCAGTTCAGGAATCAGTGAAAATCAGCCTGCTGGCAATTCTTTTTCCAGTACTTCTTAATGATCCAACTAAGCGAAAAGCAGTGGGAAGATTGGTGGGAAATTCATAGCCAGACTGTAGTCACAGGTAATTTGCAACTCTGGAAATACAGGGCTGGGATGGTGAGAGATTGGCTCTGTCTACATAAGAAAAGAAGAATCTCATGGTGACAAGGAAGTGGTGGGGTCTTGTCTGTATTCCTAAACTTCCTTGAAGTTTACACCTGCTTCTCACTTTGTCCTTTTCTTTTGCCTACTTTTGGGTGGAATGAAGTGGTTTATCCTATTTTAGGCTACTAACTTTTGAGGTGTTTATCCTGAGCAGCCTGAGTCTTGGTTAGCATTTCTACTTGGCTGAGATCCACCCATCCACACTCCTTAACTTGTTTCCCTGTCATTGCACACTGGAAACTGAAGCACCTGTAGTCATGCTATAAAACAAATGTGATAATATGTGTGAAGCAGTGGTAAAAAATAAAAACTCAAGGTTCAAGATATGAGTTATAAGAATATTTACTAAATTTATATACTGATTTAATATTTCTTTACTGTTTTATATTTTCTTTTGAAAATTTTTAACACTTGCAGAAGAGTTGCAAGCACATTACAAAAAAATCCCCTGGGACAATTTTATATATATATATATATATATATATATATATATATATATATATATATATACACATATATATATATATATATATACACACACATATATATATATATATATATACACATATATATATACATACATATATGTTTTTTTAATTTTTTGAGACGGAATCTCACTTTGTCACCCAGGCTGGAATGCAGTGGTGCAATTTTGGCTCACTGCAAATGCTGCCTCCCGGGTTCAAGAGATTCTTTCCTCAGCCTCCTGAGTAGCTGGTACTACAAGCATGAGCCACCATGCCCAGTTTATTTTTGTAATTTTAGTAGAAACGGGGTTTTGCCATGTTGGCCAGGCTGGTCTCAAAATCCTGACCTCAGGTGATCCACCCACCTCGGCCTCCCAAAGTGTTGGGATTACAGGCGTGAGCCACCATGCCCAGCCCCCATAAACAATTTAATCTCCTGAAAACAAGGGTATTCTTCTGTATAAGCATAATACAACCATAAAAATCAGAAACTGATACCGTGCTACCATATAATACTCACACCCCATTCAGATGTCATCAATTTTTTCCAGTAATGTCCTTTATAAAAAGGATCTACTTCATAGATTGCATTTAATTGTCAGTTCTTTTCTTTCCCTTCAATCTGGAACAGTTTCTACATATTCCTGTGACCTTCATAATTTTAACAATTTGAGTATTTTTAAAAATGTTTCTCAATTCCAGTTTGTCTGAATCTCTGTGTTAATATTTTCTTATTTTGTGTTTTCTTGATGCTCTGGCATCAGGGGCCTTGCTGACTGGGGAGAAACTGCCTGTCTCAAAACTGGCCAATTCTTAGACATAGCAAGCTACTCTCCCTGAGAGAATGCATTTCTTTCTTTCTTTCTTTTTCTTTTTAAATTGTACTTTAAGTTTTGGGATACATGTGCAGAATGTGCATGTTTGTTACATAGGTACACATGTGCCATGGTGGTTTGCTGCACCCATCAACCCGTCATCTACATTAGGTATTTCTCCTAATGCTATCCCTCCCCGAGCCCCCAACCCACTGACAGGCCCCGGTATGTGATGTTCCCCTCCCTGTGTCCAAGTGTTCTCATTGTTCAACTCTCACTTATGAGTGAGAACATGTGGTGTTTGGTTTTCTTTTCCTGTGTTAGTTTGCTGAGAATGATGATTTCCAGCTTCATCCATGTCCCTGCAAAGTACATGAACTCATCCTTTTTTATGGCTGCATAGTATCCTATGGTGTATATGTGCCACATTTTTTTTTTATCCATTCTGTCATTGACGGGCATTTGGGTTGGTTCCAAGTCTTTGCTATTGTGAACAGTGCTGCAATAAACATACATGTGCATGTGTCTTTATAGTAGAATGATTTATAATCCTTTGATTATAGTAGAATGATTTATTACCCAGTAATGGGATTGCTGGGTCAAATGGTATTTCTGGTTCTAGATCCTTGAGAAATGGCCACACTGTCTTCCACAATGGTTGAACTAATTTACACTCCCACCAACAGTGTAAAAGCGTTCCTATTTCTCCACATCCTCTCCAGAATCTGTTGTATCCTGACTTTTTAATGATCACCATTCTAACTGGCATGAGATGGCATCTCATTGTGGTTTTGATTTGCATTTCTCTAATGACCAGTGACGATGAGCTTTTTTTCATATGTTTGTTGGCCACATAAATGTCTTCTTTCAAGGAGTGTCTGTTCATATCCTTCGCCTACTTTTTGATGGGGTTGATTTTTTTTTCTTATAAATTTGTTTAAGTTCTTCGTAGATTCTGAATATTAGCCCTTTGTTAGATGGATAGATTGCGAAAAAACTTCTCCCATTCTGTAGGTTGCCTCTTTACTCTGATGATAGTTTCTTTTGCTGTGCAGAAGCTCCTTAGTTTAATTAGATACCATTTGTCAGTTTTTGGCTTTTGTTGCCATTGCTTTTGGTATTTTAGTCATGAGGTCTTTGCTCATGCCTATGTCCTGAATGATACTGCCTAGGTTTTCTTCTAGGGTTTTTATGGTTTTAGGTCTTACATTTAAGTATTTAATCCATCTTGAGTTAATTTTTGTGTAAGCTGTTAGGAAGGGGTCCAGTTTCAGTTTTCTGCATATGGCTAGCCAGTTTTCCCAACTCCATTTATTAAATAGGGAATCCTTTTCCCGTACCTTGTTTTTGTCAGGTTTGTCAAAGATCAAATGGTTGTAGATGTGTGGCATTATTTCTGAGGCCTCTGTTCTGTTCCATTGGTCTATATATCTGTTTTGGTACCAGTACCATGCTGTATTGGTTACTGTAGCCTTGTAGTATAGTTTGAAGTGAGGTAGCGTGATGTCTCCAACTTTGTTCTTTTTGCTTAGGATTCTCTTGGCTATACAGGCTCTTTTTTGGTTCCATATGAAATTTAAAGTAGTTTTTTCTAAATCTGTGAAGAAAGTCAATGGTAGATTGATGGGGATAGCATTGAATCTATAAATTGCTTTGGGCAGTATGACCATTTTCATGATACTGATTCTTGCTATCCATGAAGGTAGAATGTTTTTTCATTTGTTTATGTCCTCTCTTATTTCCTTGAGCAGTGGTTTGTAGTTCTCCTTGAAAAGGTGCTTCATATCTCTTGTAAGTTGTATTCCTAGGTATTTTATTATCTTTGTAGCAATTGTGAATGGCAGTTCACTCATGATTTGGCTCTCGGTTTGTCTGTTATTGGTGTATAGGAATGCTTGTGATTTTTGCACATTGATTTTGTATCCCGAGACTTTGCTGAAGTTGCTTTTCTGCTTAAGGAGATTTTGGGCTGGGACAATGGGGTTTTCCAAATATGCCATCATGTCATCTGCAAACAGAGACAATTCAACTTCCTCTTTCCTATTTGAATACCCTTTCTTTCATTCTCTTGCCTGATAGCCCTGGCCAGAACTTCCAATACTATGTTGAATAGGAGTGGTGAGAGAGGGCATACCTGTCTTGTGCCAGTTTTCAAAGAGAATGCTTCCAGTTTTTGTCCATTCAGTATGATATTGGCTGTGGGTTTGTCATAGATAGCTCTTATTATTTTGAGATACGTCCCATCAATACCTAATTTATTGAGAGTTTTTAGCATGAAGTGTTGTTGAATTTTGTCAAAGGCCTTTTCTGCATCTATTGAGATAATCATGTGGTTTTTGTCTTTGTTTCTGTTTATATGTTTGATTACATTTATTGATTTTCATACATTGAACCAGCCTTGCATCCCAGGGATGAAGCCCACTTGATCATGGTGGATAAGCTTTTTGATGTGTTGCTGGATTCGGTTTTCCAGTATTTCATAGAGGATTTTTGCATCAATGTTCATCAAGGATGTTGGTCTAAAATTCTCTTTTTTTGTTGTGTCTCTGCCAGGCTTTGGTATCAGGATGATGCTGGCCTCATAAAATGAGTTAGGGAGGATTCCCTCTTTTTCTATTGATTGGAATAGTTTCAGAAGGAATGGTATCAGCTCCTCCTTGTACCTCTGGTAGAATTAGGCTGTGAATCCGTCTGGTCCTGGACTTTTTTTGGTTGGTAAGCTATTAATTATTGCCACAATTTCAGAGCCTGTTATTGGTCTATTCAGAGATTCAACTTCTTCCTGGTTTAGTCTTGGGAGAGTGTATGTGTCAAGGAATTTATCCATTTCTTCTAGATTTTCTAGTTTATTTGTGTAGAGGTGTTTATGGTATTCTCTGATGGTAGTCTGTATTTCTGTGGGATCAGTGGTGATATCCCCTTTATCATTTTTTATTGCATCTATTTGATTCTTCTCTCTTTTCTTCATTAGTCTTGCTAGTGGTCTATCAATTTTATTGATCATTTCAAAAAACCAGCTCCTGGATTCATTGATTTTTTTAAAGGGTTTTTTGTGTCTCTATTTCCTTCAGTTCTGCTCTGATCTTAGTTATTTCTTGCCTTCTGCTAGCTTTTGAATGTGTTTGCTCTTGCTTCTCTAGTTCTTTTAATTGTGATGTTAGGGTGTCAATTTTAGATCTTTCCTGCTTTCTCTTGTGGGCATTTAGTGCTATAAATTTCCCTCTACACACTGCTTTGAATGTGTCCCAGAGATTCTGGTATGTTGTGTCTTTGTTCTCGTTGGTTTCAAAGAACATCTTTATTTCTGCCTTCATTTCGTTGTGTACCCAGTAGGCATTCAGGAGCAGGTTGTTCAGTTTCCATGTAGTTGAGTGGTTTTGAGTGAGTTTCTTAATCCTGAGTTCTAGTTTGATTGCACTGTGGTCTGAGAGACAGTTTGTTATAATTTCTGTTCTTTTACATTTGCTGAGGAGTGCTTTACTTCCAACTATGTGGTCAATTTTGGAATAGGTGTGGCGTGGTGCTGAAAAGAATGTATATTCTGTTGATTTGGGGTGGAGAGTTCTGTAGATGTCTATTAGGTCTGCTTGGTGCAGAGCCGAGTTCAATTCCTGGATATCCTTGTTAACTTTCTGTCTCGTTGATCTGTCTAATGTTGACAGTGGGGTGTTAAAGTCTCCCATTATTATTGTGTGGGAGTCTACGTCTCTTTGTAGGTCACTAAGGACTTGCTTTATAAATTGGGTGCTCCTGTATTGGGTGGAAATATATTTAGGATAGTTAGTTCTTCTTGTTGAATTGATCCCTTTAACATTATGTAATGGCCTTCTTTGTCTCTTTTGATCTTTGTTGGTTTAAAGTCTGTTTTATCCGAGACTAGGATTGCAACCCCTGCCTTTTTTTGTTTTCCATTTGCTTGGTAGATCTTCCTCCATCCCTTTATTTGGAGCCTATGTGTGTCTCTGCACATGAGATGGGTTTCCTGAATACAGCACACTGATGGGTCTTGACCCTTTATCCAATTTGCCAGTCTGTGCCTTTTAATTGGAGTATTTTGCCCATTTACATTTAAGGGTAGTATTGTTATGTGTGAATTTGATCCTGTCATTACGATGTTAGCTGGTTATTTTGCTCGTTAGTTGATGCAGTTTCTTCCTAGCCTTGATGGTCTTTACAATTTGGCATGTTTTTGCAGCGGCTGGTACCGGTTGTTCCTTTCCATGTTTAGTGCTTCCTTCAGGAGGTCTTGTAAGGCAGGCCTGGTGGTGACAAAATCTCTCAGCATTTGCTTGTCTTTAAAGTATTTTATTTCTCCTTCACTTATGAAGCTTAGTTTGGCTGGATATGAAATTCTGTGTTGAAAATTCTTTTCTTTAAGAATGTTGAATATTGGCCCCCACTCTCTTCTGGCTTGTAGAGTTTCTGCTGAGAGATCAGCTGTTAGTCTGATGGCTTCCCTTTGTGGGTATCCCGACCTTTCTCTCTGGCTGCCCTTAACATTTTTTCCTTCATTTCAACTTTGGTGAATCTGACAATTATGTGTCTTGGAGTTGCTCTTCTTGAGGAGTATCTTTGTGGCATTCTCTGTATTTCCTGAATTTGAATGTGGGCCTGCCTTGCTAGATTGGGGAAGTTCTCCTGGATAATCTCCTGCAGAGTGTTTTCCAACTTGGTTCCATTCTCCCCATCACTTTCAGGTACACCAATTAGACGTAGATTTGGTCTTTTCACATAGTGCCATATTTCTTGGAGGCTTTGTTTGTTTCTTTTTATTCTTTTTTCTCTAAACTTCTCTTCATGCTTCATTTCATCTTCCATTGCTGATACCCTTTCTTCCAGTTGATTTCATCGGTTACTGAGGCTTGTGCATTCGTCACATAGTTCTCGTGCCATGGTTTTCAGCTCCATCAGGTCCTTTAAGGGCTTCTCTGCATCGGTTATTCTAGTTATCCATTCGTCTAATTTTTTTCCCAAGTTTTTAACTTCTTTGCCATTGGTTCAAACTTACTCCTTTATCTCGGAGTAGTTTGATCCTCTGAAATCTTCCTCTCTCAACTTGTCAAAGTCATTCTCCGTACAGCTTTGTTCCATTGCTGCTGAGGAGCTGCATTCCTTTGGAGGAGGAGAGGTGCTCTGATTTTTAGTTTCCAGCTTTTCTGCTGTGTGTTTTCCTAGTCTTTGTGGTTTTATCTACCTTTGGTCTTTGATGACGGTGACGTACAGATGGGTTTTTGGTGTGGGTGGCCTTTCTGTTTGTTAGTTTTCCTTCTAACAGTCAGGACCCTCAGCTGCAGGTCTGTTGGAGTTTTCTGGAGGTCCACTCCAGACCCTGTTTGCCTGGGTATCAGCAGTGGTGGCTGCAGAACAGCAGATATTGGTGAGCCACAAATGCTGCTGCCTGATCATTCCTCTGGAAATTTTGTCTCAGAGGAGTACCTGGCCGTGTGAGTTGTCAGTCTGCCCCTGCTGGGGGGTGCCTCCCAGTTAGGCTACTCGGGAGTCAGGGACCCACTTGAGGAGGTAATCTGCCTGTTCTCAAATCTCAAACTACATGCTGGGAGAACCACTACTCTCTTCAAAGCTGTCAGACAGGGACATTTATGTCTGCAGAGGTTATTGCTGTCTTTTGTTTGTCTGTGCCCTGCCCCCAGAGGTGGAGCCTACAGAGGCAGGCAGGCCTCCTTGAGCTGTGGTGGGCTCCACCCAGTTCCAGCTTCCAGGCTGCTTTGTTTACCTACTCAAGCCTGAGCAATGGCGGGCGCCCCTCCCCCACCCTCGCTGCCACCTTGCAGTTTGATCTCAGACTGCTGTGCTAGCAGTGAGCGAGGCTCCGTGGGCGTAGGACCCTCCAAGCCAGGTGCGGGATATAATCTCCTGGTGTGCCGTTTGTTAAGCCTGTTGGAAAAGTGCAGTATTAGGGTAGTAGTGACCCGATTTTCCAGGTGCCGTCTGTCACCCCTTTCTTTGACTAGGAAAGGGAATTCCCTGACCCCTTGTGCTTCCCGGGTGAGTAGATGCCTCGCCCTGCTTTGGCTCACACATGGTGCACTGCACTCACTGTCCTGCACCCACTGTCCAGCACTCCCCTGTGAGATGAACCCAGTACCTCAGTTGGAAATGCAGAAATCACCCGTCTTCTGTATTGCTCATGCTGGGAGCTGTAGGCTGGAGCTGTTCCTATTCGGCCATCTTGGCTGCACCCCCAACAAAATTGGATTATGTTTATTGATATGCCTATGTTGAACCAGCCTTGCATCCCAGGGATGAAACCAACTTGATAGTGGTGGATAAGCTTTTTGATGTGCTGCTGGATTTGGTTTGCCAGTATTTTATTGAGGATTTTTGCATTGATGTTCATCAGGGATATTGGTGTGAAACTTTTGTGTGTGCGTGTCTCTGCCAGGTTGTGGTATCAGAATAATTCCAGCCTCATAAAATGAGTTAGGGAGGAGTCCCTCTTTTTCTATAATTTGGAATAGTTTCAGAAGGAATGGTACCAGCCCCCCTTTGTACCTCTGGTAGAATTTGGCTGTGAATCTGTCTCATCCTGGGCTTTTTTTGGTTGGTAAGCTATTAATTACTGCCTCAATTTCAGAACTTATTATTGGTCTATTCAGGGATTCAATTTCTTCCTGTTTTAGTCTTGGGAGGATGTATGTGTCCAGGAATTTATCCATTTCTTCTAGATTTTCTAGTTTATTTGTGTAGAGGTGTTTATAGTATTCTCTGATGGTAGTTTGTATTTCTGTGAGATCAGTGGGGATACCCCCTTTATCATTTTTTATTGTGTCTATTTTATTCTTCTCTCTTTTCTTCTTTATTAGTCTGGCTAGTGGTCTATCTACTTTGTTAATGTTTTCAAAAAACCTGTTCCTGGATTCATTGCTTTTTTTGAAGGGTTTTTCATGTCTCTTTCTCCTTCAGTTCTGCTCTGATCTTAATTATTTCTTGTCTTCTGCTAGCTTTTGAATTTGTTTGCTCTTGCTTTTCTAGTTTTTTTAATTGTGATGTTAGGGTGTCAATTTTAGATCTTTTCTGCTTTCTCTTGTGGGCAGTTAGTGCTATAAATTTTCCTCTTAACTCTGCTTTAGCTGTCTCACAGAGATTCTGGTACATTGTGTGTTTGTTCTCCTTGGTTTCAAACAACTTATTTATTTCTGCCTTAATTTTGTTATTTACCCAGTAGTCATTCAGGGGCAGGTTGTTCAGTTTCCATGTAGTTGTGTGGTTTTGAGTGAGTTTCTTAATCCTGAGTTCTAATTTGATTGCACTATGGTCTGAGAGACTGTTTGTTATGATTTCTGTTCTTTTGCATTTTCTGAGGAGTATTTTACTTCCAATTATGTGGTCAACTTTAGAATAAGTGCGATGTGGTGCTGAGAAGAATGTACATTCTATTGATTTGGGTGGAGAGTTCTGCAGATATCTATTAGGTCCACTTGGTCCAGAGCTGAGTTGAAGTCCTGAATATCTGTGTTAATTTTTGGTGTCTTCGATCTAATATTGACAGTGGGGTGTTAAAGTCCCCCACTATTACTGTGTGGGAGTCTAAGTCTCTTTGTAGGTGTCTAACAACTTTCTTTATGAATCTGGGTGCTCCTGTATTGGGTGCATATATATTTAGGATAGTTAGCTCTTCTTGTTGCATTGATCCCTTTACCATTATGTAATGCCCGTCTTTGTCTCTTTTGATCTTTGTTGGTTTAAAGTCTGTTTTATTAGAGACTAGAATTGCAACTCCTGCTTTTTTTGCTTTCCATTTGTTTGATAAATATTCCTCCATCCCTTTATTTTGAGCCTATGTGTGTCTTTGCATGTGAGATGGGTCTCCTGAATACAGCACACCAGTGGGTCTTGACTCTTTACCCAATTTGCCAGTCTGTGTCTTTTTATTGGGGCATTTAGCCTGTTTACATTTAAGGTTAATATTGTTATGTGTGAATTTGATCCCGACATTATGATGTTAGCTGGTTATTTTGCCCATTAGTTGATGCAGTTTTTTCATAGTGTTGATGGTCTTTACAATTTGCTATGTTTTTGCAGTGGCTGGTACTGGTTGTTCCTTTCCATATTTAGTGCTTCCTTTGGGAGCTCTTGTAAGGCAGGCCTGGTGGTGAGAAAATCTTTCAGCATTTGCTTGTCTGTAAAGGATTTTATTTCTCCTTTGCTTATGAAGCTTAGTTTGGCTGGATATGAAATTCTGGATTGAAAATTATTTTCTTTCAGAATGTTGAATATTGCCCCCCACTCTCTTCTGGCTTATGGAGTTTCTGCAGAGTGATCTGCTGTTAGTCTGATGGGCCTCCTACAGGGTAACCCGACCTTTTTTTCTGGTTGCCCTTAACATTTTTTCCTTTATTTCAACCTTGGTGAATCTGACGATTATGTATCTTGGGGTTGCTCTTCTTGAGGAGTATCTTTGTGGTGTTCTCTGTATTTCCTGAATTTGAAGGTTGGCCTGTCTTGCTAGGTTGGGGAAGTTCTCCTGGATAATAACCTGAAGAGTGTTTTCCAACTTGCTTCCATTCTCTCTGTCACTTTCAGGTACACCAATCAAACATAGGTTTGTTTGGTCTTTTCATATAGTCCCATATATCTTGGAGGCTTTGTTCATTCCTTTTCATTCTTTTTTCTCTAATCTTGTCTTCAAGCTTTATTTCATTAAGTTGCTCTTCAGTCTCTGATCTCCTTTCCTCCACTGACCAACTTGACTATTGATACTTTTATATGCCTCACGAAGTTCTCATGCTGTGTTTTTCAGCTCCATCAGGTCATTTATGTTCTTCTCCAAACTGGTTATTCTAGTTAGCAATTCATCTAACCTTTTTTCAAGGTTCTTAGCTATTTTTGCATTGGGTTAGAACATGCTACTTTAGCTTGGGGGAGTTTGTTATTACCCACCTTCTGAAGCCTTCTTCTGTCAATTCGTCAAACTCAATTCTCTGTCCAGTTTTGTTCCCTTGCTGGTGATGAGTTGTGATCCTTTGGAGGAGAAGAGTCATTCAGTTTTTTGGAATTTTCAGCCTGTTTGCGATGGTTTTTACTCATTTTCATGGATTTATCTACCTTTGGTCTTTGATGTAGGTGACCTTCGAATGGGGTTTCTGTGTGGACATCCTTTTTGTGGATGTTGATGCTATGCCTTTCTGTTTGTAAGTTTTCCTTCTAACAGTCAGGGCCCTCTGCTGCAGGTCTGCTGGAGTTTGCTGGAAGTCCACTCTAGACCCTGCTTGCCTGAGTAACCCTAGTGGGGGCTGCAGAACAGCAATGATTGCTGCCTGTTCCTTTCTCTACAAGCTTTGTTCCAGAAGGACACCTGCTAGATGCCAGCTGGAGCTCTCCAGTATGAGGTGTCTGTCAACCCCTATTGAGAGGTGTCTCCCAGTCAGGAGGCATGGGGGTCAGGGACCCACTTGAGGAGGCAGTCTGTCCCTTAGCAGAGCTCAAGTGCTGTGCTGGGAGAGCCACTGCTCTCTTCAGAGCTGGCAGGCAGGAATGTTTAAGTCTGCTGAAGCTGTGCCCACAGCTGCCCCTTCCCTCAGGTGCTGTGTCTCAGGGAGATGGGAGTTTTATCTATAAGCCCCTGACTGGGGCTGCTGCCTTTCTTTCAGAGATGCTTTGCCCAGAAAGGAGGAATCTAGAGAGCAAAAGAATGCATTTCATATGCAAATAAGCCTATCCTGAGCACAGACCCTGAGGCACCTCCTTTCTCTGGCTCTTTCATGCCACGAAGCAATATTCCTTTGCAGGAATCATGCCAGGGTCAGGTATCAGAAAACTAGAGATGCCCCTATGTCTCTGAGCCTACTGAAATTCTTCAAATTAGCCAATCCTAAACCTGCCTACTCTGCCTTGCTTTGCCTTTTCCAAGGAACCTACAATAAAGGCTCCTGCTCATGCTTTTCCCTTGCTCTTTCTCCCTCTTGATCGACCCTGGTGTGGCCCTGCATGACATGGTGTGCTCCTTCCTCTTTGGAACTGTAATAAACTGTGTATTCAATGATGATTTGTCTCTTAATCTGTTGGCCTCACCATACCTAAATACAGGTACACCAAAGAGATATTGTGGATTTGGTCCAGACAACCACAATAAAGCAAATATCACAATAAAGCAATTCACATGAATTTTTTGGTTTCCCAGTGCATACAAAAGTAATGTTTACACTGTACTGTAGTCTACTGTGTGATAGCATTATGTCATTTTTAAAAAGTATATACCTTAATTTAAAAATACATAATTGCTAAAAAGTACTGATGACCATCTGAGCCTTTAGTTAATCCTAATTGTTTTGCTGATGGAAAATCTGGCTTTCATGTGGATGGCTGCTGATGGATCAGAATGGTGGTTGCTGAAAGTTGGGGTGGCAGCAGCAATTTCTTAAAAAAGACAAAGTTTTCCATATCAATTGACTCTTCCTTTCATGAAAGGTTTTTCTGTAGCATCTGATGCTATTTGATAGCATTTTTCACATCATATGAACTTTTTTCAAAATTGGAGCCATCTTATCAAACCCTGCTGCTGTTTCATCAACTAAGTTTATGAAATATTCTATATCCTTTCTTGTCATTTCAAGAATGTTCATAGCATCTTTACCAGGGGTAGATTTCATTCTCAAAAAATCTACTGTATTTGCTCATCCATAAGAAGAAATTCACCATTCATTAATATTTTATCATGAGATTACAGCAATTCAGTCACGTCTTCAGGCACCACTTCTAATTCTAGGTCTCTTTTTGTCTCTGCCACATCTGCAGTTACTTCTTATATTAAAGTCTTGAACTTCTCAAAGTCATCCATGAAAGAGGGGATCAACTTCTTTCAAACTCCTGTTAATATTGATATTTTGATGTCCTCCCATGCATAAAGAATGTTCTCAATGGTTTCCAGACTGGCAAATCTTTTACAGAAGGTTCTCAATTTCCTTTGCCCAGATCCATCAGAGGAATCCCTATGTATGGCAGCTCTATCTTTATGAAATGTATTTCTTAAATAATAAGAGTTGAAAGTTGAAATTAATCCTTGATCCCTGGGCTGCAGGCATGAAACAACATTAATCTGCTTGTACATCTCCATTATAGCTTTTGGGTAACCAAGTGCACTGTCAACAAACAGTCATATTATTAAAGAAATCTGTTTTTCTGAGCAGTGGGTCTCAACAGTGGGCTCAAAATATTCAGTAAACCATGCTATAACCAGATGTGCTGTCATCCAGGTTTTGTTGTTCCATTTATGGATCACAGACAGACTAGATTTAGGATAATTTTTTTTTTTGAGACAGAGTTTCACTCTTATTGCCTAGCTGGAGTGCAATGGCACGATGATCTCCGCTCACTGCAACCTCCGCCTCCCGGGTTCAAGCGATTCTCCTGCCTCAGCCTCCCAAGTAGCTGGGATTACAGATGCCTGCCACCACGCCCAGCTAATTTTTTGTATTTTTAGTAGAGACGGGGTTTCATCATGTTGGCCAGGCAAGCCTTGAACTCCTGACCTCAGGTGATCCGCCCGCCTTGGCCTCCCAAAGTGCTGGGATTACAGGTATGAGCCACCATGCCCAGCCCAATTTAGTATAATTTTTAAGTGCTCTAGCATTTTTGGAATGGTAAATGAGCACTGGCTTCAACTTCAAGTCACCAGCTACATTAGCTCTTGAGAGTCAGCCTTTCCTTTGAAGCTAGGCATTGACTTCCTCTATCTATGAAAGTTATAGATGACATCTTCTTCCAACATAAGGCTTTTTCATCTACATTGAAAATCTGTCATTTAGTGTAGTTGCCTTCATCTATAATGTTAGCTAGATCTTCTGGATAACTTGCTTTAGCTTCTACATCAGTACTTGCTGATTTACCCTGTAATTTTATTTTATGGAGATGTATTTTTTCCTTAAACCTTCCAAACTAGTCTTTGCTAGCTTCCAACTTTTCTTCTGCAGCTTCCTCACCTCTTAGCTTTCAAAAAATTGGAAGACTGTGGGCCTTGCTTTGGATTAGGTTTTGGCTTAAGGAATGCTGTGGCTAATTTGAGGTTCTATCCACTTTCTCCATATCAGCAATAAAACTGATTTTTTTTTTGTTTTCTTGTCATTTGTGTGTTCCCTGTAGTAGCACTTTTAATTTCCTTCAAAAACTTTTTGTTTGCATTCACAACTGTGTTAACCGGCCTGAAAGGCCTAATATTTTGCCTATGCTGGCTTTTGGCATGACTTTCTCACAAAGCTTAATCATTTCTAGCTTTTAATTGAAAGTGAGACATGTGCGTCTCTTTTATTCTACTTGAACATGTGAGACCATTGTAGGGTTATTAATTGGTACATATTTCAATATTGTTGTGCCCCAAGGATAGGGAGACCTAAGGAGAGAGAGAGAGAAAAGGGAATGGCTGGTCAGTGGAGCCGTCAGAACACATAATATTTTTCAATGACGTTTGCTGACTTGCAATTGTTGTGATGCCCCACGACAATTACAATAATAAAGTCAAAGATCACTGATCACAGATTATTACAACAGATATAATAATAATAATAAATTTTTGAAATATTGCAAGAATTATCAAAATGTGACACAGAGACAGGAAGTGAGCACATGCTGTTAGAAAAATGGCACCAAAAGAATTGCTAAATGCAGGCTTGCCGCAAACCTTCAATTTGTAAAACATTACAGTATCTACAAAGTGCAATAAAGCAAGGTGCAATTAAATGAGGTATGGCTGTAATTATGGAACTTAAATTTAAAAACAGTCTCCTCATATTTAGATTCAGGTTATGCATTTTTCGTAGGCATGTGACAGGAGTAATACTGTTATTCTCATTGCATTTTATCAGTTGGGGCACAATTTTGATTTGTTCCATTATTGATGATGTTGACTTTGCTTGATTAAGTTGATGTCTTCCAATGTTCTCCACTGTGAAGTTATTTTTTTCTTATTTGTAATTGTTAAGTCTTTTGTGGGATAGTACAATGTAACTATGTAAATGTTATGTTCCTCATCAAATTTTCAATGTCTTCCTTATTTATTAATATCAATATGGAATAAGTTTCCTATTTATTCAGTTATTTATTTTGATGCTCAAATTTCCAAGGATTGACTAGCGGGATGCCCTAAAACCAGTCCTTAGGCCTTTTTCACAAGTCCTCATAATTCTGTGAGCATTTTCTTACTTTTTGGCACAATAAAATATTCCAGGTTTATCTTATACTTTCCTTGGCCCAGCACTGATATCAATCATTTCTTCAAGGAGTCCTGCTTCTATGATCTGGATGCTAGGTGTACTCAATGCAATTGGGGTGTCACTGCTCCAGACCCTCCCAGTAGATGAGCTAGGAAATATACCATATGGTTATGCACACTTACATATATGTGTGTATGCATGTGTGTATATATGTAAATATGTATACATACATATGTGTTTACATACATTTACAAGTATACTTGTTTTTATTTCTACCTATGTATATACTAAAAACCAATAGCTCCAATTCCAATCTAATATTGCCACAGGGTTTTTTCTTGTTCTCTCCTTTTCCATATTTTTAATTCTCTTCTCCTCCTGCTAGAAGTCTGATACCCATTATCTTTAATATATTTACTTATCTAATCAATTTTCCTGTATGTAATTAGTCTCCTATGGCCAGTTATGCCCATCCCCCCTTGCATGCCTTATGCACCATATTTGGTCTGTGATTCCCCATAAGCACCGTTCCATATTAACTTTCCACTCTACTCAGATTTTGACACCACATGCCAGTCCATCCATGTAATAAATTTTGCTTTGCAATGTACACCTATTGGAACATTTTGTTTACTTTAAAATACTCTTGAATATTGACTGTGATTTTTAAGCATCAATTGATGTGTATCAAACCATACCAGAAATCTATGAAAACATGGTTTTTCACTAGAGGGATAGTACATTAGAGGGATCAAGAATCATCCTTAAAATTTTTTAGAATTAAAATAAACTTGCTTTCAAACCTCCAAATTTTCAGAGTTCAAGGAATTACCTTTGCTGGCTGAAGTGATAAAAAGCAGCACATGGCTTCACCGGGTTACATGCAATATGCATCAGAAATTATTTTATGGCAACTTATATCTTGGTTTTAGTACATAATAATCATACCCACTTCTGGTTAATCTATAAGCACTCTGGTAGGCCATAATGGAAACGTGGGAATGGTACTTTCCAAACCATGACGATGGATCAGGAATACAGGGTTACTTCCTTAATGCATCATGGTCAGGTTAGCTTGGGTGAAGAGCAGCCATCTCAAATCTGACGATCATTGATCAGGAGATTGGCTACTAAGATTACTAGATATAGCTAGTTGTTTAACATGTGACAGACCTCTGTGACTCTCCAGGTCTCTATTAGTACTTCATCTGTAAATTAAAAGTGTTTGTATTGGTTAGCATGCATTTGGCTGTAATGAGCAGACAACTCTGACTCATATTAACCATATAGACAATTCCTTATCTATCACACCAATAAGTTAGCGTTTTAAAGACATCATTAGGAGCTGGTGTGTGTGTGTGTGTGTGTGTGTGTGTGTATGTGTGTATGTGTTTGTATTTTCCTTTCCCTACCATTCTCAGCATGTTTACACATCTACTAGTTCCTAGGCTAGCAGCCTTAATAACCATAAAATGGCAACAGCAGAATCAGATATCCTATCATGACATACAACATGCAATGGAATAGGGGAACTTCCTCTGTTTCTATAATTATTATTAGGGAGGAAGCATTTTCCCAAAGACCATAGCGGAATTTTTCTATTTTAATGGATAAAATTGTATTACATGCCCACTTGGAAACCAGTATGTAATGATTGCCTTCTACCAATCATTATTCACTTTGTAATCGGGGCTAAGTCTCATACCCCTTAAAGTTATGGCGGGAAATAGGAGAGCAGATATCTCAGGGGAGAAAAGGTGGGCGGGTTTAAAAGGTGGTAACAATTGGGTAGGCGGCCACACCATGCCTCCTGATGTGTTGTATTATGCCAAAGTCCTTTTCAACTTTCTGTCTTTCTTTCTTTCTTTCTTTCTTTCTTTCTTTCTTTCTTTCTTTCTTTCTTTCTTTCTTTCTTTCTTTCTTTCTTTCTTTCTTTCTTTTCTTTCTTTCTTTCTTTTTAAATTCAGTTCTCCCACTTGGTGTTCTTCTAATGTTCTCATGGGCAGGACCATGACTATTTCTCCTAGTGCCTAGCACTACAATTAGACTCTTAGCACATATCCATTGAAATAATGAGCAACTAACAATTTCTTAAATCATTGTCTCTTGCCTTTTTTGTTGTGGTGATGACTATTGATTTTTAAGTTATCCTTAGCTGTGGACTTATATGGTACATCTACCTACTCATTTCATATACTGATGGTAGGATGACAGATTTATTTTATTTCTGTATTTAAGTTGAATAAAACATGTGGACTTTTAAGCAATAAAAACTACCTTCCCTTATATACAGATTTCTTCTAGTTGCTCAGGCCTAAATGTGGCATATGAGAGCACTTTGTTGACCATGCCTTGTATTTATTTTCCGCTGGATGTGGTGAGAAAGCCTTTGACAACATATAGCCAATATCCGCAGCAGTTGTGGGAGTCAATTTGGTTTGCATGTCTACCATTGCTATCCACCCACTGAAAGAGTACAGTGTGGTTAAACACAGTGATATTATAGTGCAGAAGGAATTAACAAATTCCCTCTCTGCTTTGTACTTAGAAAGTATCAAAAGCACTCAGGATGTATAATAACTAGTTTATAATTCTGAGAGTTGGGAAAAAGTCAATTCTTTAAGGTATTTACTTTTATTTATGTAAGAAGAATTTTATTAGGAACATCAGCTTCCAGGCATAACTAGAATAAATAAGGTTTTTAATTTGTTTGTTAATTGACAAACTGATTAAGGCTTTAAAGAATCGCACATGAGGTGAAACTTAATTATATGAAATGCTAAAGTTGTTTGTTTCTATTTAAAAATAAAAGCTGAATAATATGACATTTTTAAAATGTTCTAAAGGAAATTAACATGGATTTTAGAGTTTTGTACATAGGAATACATAAGAATGTATTCCTTTGTTTCAGAATACATAAAACCCTGTCCATTTCCTGTACTTTAAGACACCTTGAGAGATCACTAAATGTCTATGTGCTTCAGTTTAACTATTTTCAAAGTAGGAACTTGTGACAAATTAATAATTACTAAACTAAATGTGTTTTGATAATAATTACAGAAGCAATTTTAGAAAAAGTTTCTGTTATATAGTGCTGTTCTAATGGAAAGATTTTGAATGGCATAAATATAATTCTTTAAAAATCCCTACTTGTCTCAAATGTCCCTGTATTTATGATTCCTATAGTTTACCAGGTTCTCAAACTGAAGTTAGTGGAAGCCTAGAGACATAGATGGGGCAAATCATATTGAATGTTTGTGACTAGCAAAAATAAAGGCTAAATTTAACGGAAATTTTCTAGTGTTCATTTTGCTTACTTCTCTGCAGCATTTGAACTGTTGACAAATTCTTCTTTTTAAATAAACAGTTCTATATTCTTTGCTTCTGTGATTCCACTCCCTTTTGAGCTTCCTCTTACCTATATGATTTTTCTTTGTTAGCCACTTTCTCAATGTTTTCCTTTCTTTCTTTACCTATAAATAACATTGGTTTCCACATAGTTAATCCTCCATATATCCTCTGTATATCTCACTTGATACACTCTTTGAAGTTAATTTCACTTGCTCACCATCTATAAACTATTGTTCTTCAACCGCTAGCTCTAAAATGAATCGTTTCCCTGAGTTCCAGATGAGTCTCTTTAGCTCTCCACCTGGGTGTTCCATTGGCATCTGAAAGTCAACATTTCTAAAAATCGATGTCTCTGTTAACCTCATCGTAATCAAATATTCTGCTTATATTTCTTGTTTCAGAAATGGGCACCACCATGATCTTAGTTGTTCAAGCCAGACATTCTGGTACATTCTCAATTCCAATACCTTTTCTCAGGTTCACAAACAATAAATCAACAAATTTCATTGATGGTGCTATCTTAACATCACTCAAATCTATCTGTCCACTTATCTCCAATTCCTTTGTCCCTATTTATTTGAGGCCTCTACTCTTTTCCTTTGATCAATAGAAAGTACCTTCTAATTGATTATTTTGCTCCTTTTTATCCTTTTGCTTCCATTGAGAGAGATCTTTACAGAAAGAAGTCTCATCATAACACTCTCTTATGCAAAACACTTCAAAGTCATAGCATGAAACCTGAATAGAAAATCATGTGTGGGGTACATCACATTCTGTCCCTACTTCCCTATTTAGTCTCTTTACTCTCATCTACTGCCACTCTCCACCTAATAGCCTCAGCTCTATTCAAACTGAATTACTTGGAGCTCCCTAAATATGTCATACTCTTCTTCTCCTCTAAGCTTTTGTGTAGGTTGCAACTCTGCCTAGAACATCTTACCACTTGTCTCTATCTGATGCAGTTTTATTTGCTGTTCAGGAGCCAGTTGAGACATCACCTTTTTTGGGAACCTAACTTTAACCTTTCCCTCCTACTCCTAACCTAAGGCTTTGTTAGATGTGTCTTAGCACCCCATATTTACTCTTTAGTAAATACTTACCCTACTGTGTGAATGAATGATTTAATTACCTTTTTAGCTTATAACTCTATGCAGAAAATAATTATTTAATTAGTCTCATCTACTGCCTATGATGTTTATGTGTCTAGATGTGACAACAACCACAAACCCAAAGGAACAAGTAAATTACACTCAGATCATATCAGACAGTATAAAATGGCACACATGCATAGCAAAGGATATGATTGTTCTGTATTAATCTGATGGATGCTAAGTTATTAGTTAAAACAATTCCTTACTACAGTAGTACTAAAAATAGTTGCATTTTATCCACCTTGTGACTCTGGTGACATCAGAAATGTAGCTTAAAGTTATATTCAAAAGTGTTTTGTTTTCCTTTTTAAAATTGGTTTCCAGCCTCAGAAATTTTTGTTTTATTCCATTGTAGCAATTTCTTTTGTACTGCTATACATATTCTCAAAGTAAAAATGTATCTTTTCCACTTTCTCCTATTTTGTTAGTCTTTGCTTTGGATAACTGAGGCTGACATCAAGGTTTTCAACCATTAGAGTGAAATTGGGTGATTTCCCTTTTGCAGTAAGGAATTTGCTACATATTCAATATTTTCTAAAAATTCAGTTTTGGTTCTAAGCATTTAAGGCAAGATGATTCAATTCTCTTTTAACACAGTTTTATTTTTATTAACTCAATTATTTTTGCAAAGTTTTTATTTGCTCTCTTTGTTAGTGGGACAGTTGATTGTCTTATTGATTTTTTATTTCTTCTCTTCTGGTGGAAAGTGACTATTTCTCTCTTGGAGAGGCATGTGTTCCAAATATTTATTGATGTAAAACAAACCACCTCATCTTAGTGGTATAAACAATAATCATTTTATGATCACAGATTATGTGTTTCAGAAATTGAGAAAGGGTACAGCGAGTGTCTTAATTGGTCCTGTGCTGCCATAATAGAATATGACAAACTGGATAAATTTTTTTTTTAAAAGAAGTGTATTTGGCTCATGATTCTGAAGGCTGGGAAGCCTAAGATCAAGGGCCCATAGCTGGTAAGGGCCTTCTTGCTATGTCATAACATGGCAGGAGGGCAAGTGAGCATTGTAGACAGAAAGAGGAAATCAGGCCAAACCCATCCTTTTATCAAGAGCCCACTCCCAGGACAACTAAGCCACTCTAGAGGTAATGGCATTAATCCATTCATGAGGGCAGAGGCCTCATGACCTAATCACCTCTTAAAGACCCTACCTTTCAGTACTGTTACAATTGTAATTAAATTTCAACATGAATTATGTAGGAGACAATCAAACTGTACCTATAAGCATGGCTTGTTTGGGGCTTCAAATGAAAAAATTCAGAGAAGATTAGATAGCTGGGGAATGGATTAATTTTTAGACTTCTTTACTCACATTTCTGGGGGTTGATGTTGACTATTTGGAGGACTTTAGCTGGTAGTGTTGGTCAGAACAAGATGAGGTAACCCCAACATGGGTAAGATTGGACCTCTTCACACTGTGGTGGCAGTGTTCATAGAAATAATGTTTCAAAAATACCAACCAACCAACCAAACAAAAAACAAATAAACAAACAAAAAACCAAGATGGAAATGCATGGCATTTTTATGATCTGATCATGGAAATCGTTTCAACATACTCTTTTGGGGGATGTGCTCACAAATGTCAGCTGAAATTCAAAGGGAGGAGACTTAGACCTCACCATTAGCTGTCACATTGTAAGAAGAGTCTGTCAGATGAGTTATATTGCAGTGGCCCTCTTTGGAAATTACAATGTCTCAGCATACATTCAATACAATATAGCTTCTGGCAAGGCAAATGTATCATTGTGAATCTGTTTAATTTCAGCTTTAATTTCAGGCATTTAAAAAGCGTTTCTAAAGCTTTTATTTAGGATGATACAAGTAATAGGTATTCATTTAAAAAAGCTTGAAAAATACACAGAAGGAATAAAGTAGAACTATTTGCCACGATTTACTTGCTAACAATTTTCTAATGTCAATGATTTTTTTCATGTGTCAGTTACTTTAGATAATGCCATAATAAACATTTTTTTCATAAATCTTTGACTACTTCTTGATTTCCGTAACATGTATTTCTAGAGGTGAAATTACTACAACAATGGTGTTTATAATCATTGTACAGAAAAACAACCCTCAACCACAGCCAGTATTTGTTTTCATTAATACATTGTTTAATAATTTGTTGGCAGTATATTATAGGTGTCTTACCTTGGATAGTTTATCAAATCTTAGAGTTATTGTTAAAGTACAGTCTTGAGAATAGGAATAGAATAGAAATACCTAATTACTATATAAGTAATCATTCCAGTAGATACCAGCGACTGCTATATGGGAAAATAGTATTGGTCTAAAGGAATAATTAAACATTAGTTCTGAGCATAGCAAACCTTAACTCAATTCTGAACTAACTGCAACTAAAGAGCTGTCTTTAAAAATACTATTTAGACCTTACTAATCACTGTAGAAAAATAATGCATTAGTAGAAGCACCATAACTGTGTAAAAGTTATAGAATATTCTCTAAAAACCTTTTCAATGTGTTTTATGACTGTTACTTAAGTTATGTCCTTATTATTACATTTTCATATATGTCTTCAACCGTTCCATATATTGTTATAGAAGGCTTTACATTTTGAGAAAAAAAGAAATGGTTCGTATACAGTACAGATACTTCCTGACTTGATGATAGATTGGTTTATGGATTTTTCAAATTTATGATGGTGGAAGAGCCATGTGCATTCAGTAGAAATGTCCTTTGAGTACTCATATGACTATTCTATTTTTCACTGTCAATAATGTATTTAATAAGTTCCATGAGATGTTCAACATTTTGTTATAAAACAGGCTTTGTGTTTGATGTTTTTGCGCAACCGTAGGCTAACGTAAATGTTTGAGCATGTTTAAGGTAGGCTAGGCTAAGCTATGATGTTCTCTAGGTTAAGTGTATTAAATGCATTTTTAACTAAATGCGTTTTTAACTTTGGGTATTTTCAACTTATAACGTGTTTATCAGGATGTAACCCAACCATGAATCAAGAAGCATCTATATGCGTAGTTCAACTTCAATTTTTTGGATTTGATAAATTATATAAGAAAAATATAAGGCAAAACTGCTCTAAAATTGTAAGTTATAAGAACAATTTTAATAATGCTGAAACTTCATTGGGTTACTCCTTCCCTATCTGAAAATATTCTGAAATCTTCTATATAATTAAAATGTCTCATTGTAGGAAAATTATTTTATGCAATTATAGCTACTCTATTATGGGTCAAATAAAAATCATTATCAAATTTAGGACATACTATGTGGATATAAGAATATGCTTTAATCTACCAAGTACCATTTCTAGAAACAGTAATAAACAGTGCCCAGAGCTTCTTTGGTAAGTCATGGGCCCCTCCCCTCCACCCCATGTACTGTAGTGATGAAAGTTCCAGATGAGGTGTCATAAGATCTGGAATACTATACAGCCATAAAAAATGATGAGTTCATGTCCTTTGTAGGGACATGGATGAAAGTGGAAATCATCATTCTCAGTAAACTATCGCAAGGACAAACAACCAAACACCGCATGTTCTCACTCATAGATGGGAATTGAACAATGAGAACACATGGACACAGGAAGGGGAACATCACACTCTGGGGACTGTTGTGGGGTGGGGGGAGGGGGGAGGGATAGCATTAGGAGATATACCTAATGCTAAATGATGAGTTAATGGGTGCAGCACACCAGCATGGCACATGTATACATATGTAACTAACCTGCACATTGTGCACATGTACCCTAAAACTTAAAGTATAATAAAAAAAAAAAGGTCAAAAAAAAAAAAAAAAAGATCTAGATCTTCACTATGTGACCTTGAGCAAGTCATTTAACCTTTTTAAATTTTAGTTTCTTATCTGCAACATGAGGAAGGGGACCAGAGTGATCTCAACCTTCTAACAGGTTTTGTAATCATGGCTTGATTTGTAGTTTAATGAGAAAGCTGAAAGCTGACAATCTGAAATTCATTAAGAGATATTAATTGTATATGCACAGAGGAAGGCAATGAAACATTTGACCCACATTCTTCTGTAGTTTGTCTCAGAGGCTTCTACCTGAGAAGTGGTTTATGTAATCTTCTGATCATTCCACCCAATTAGCTATTTATGTGGCACTTAATACTAGTGCCTAGTTTCCTGACAAGGAAAGAAAAAAAAGTTGTATCACTTATGTTACAAAAAGTCAGGCAAATTCTAAAGAGATGCTTATTTGCACATAACTTTTGAATACTTTACTGCTGTGTGCATGATACACTGAAAACTCAGTTCTATAGCAGTAAAACTACAGCTGATATTTAGTGGATAAATCAAGTATCTTATAATTTCTATCTGAACTTAGAAAAGGTTCTCTAGTTTCCTTGGAAGAACTGATGTTACGAATGACAAATTCTGTGCCTGCCTTTAGTCATTTATGATTCTTTAGGAAAAGAGAAAGGAAACAGGTAGAAAATTTAAATCTCAAAAGAAATGCAAATAGAAATTGTTTTAAAATTGGGGATGGGTTAAAACCTATTGAATTATCAATATATTTTTCTTTTTAAACTGAATTTTTCTTATTTATGGGACAAATTGTTAACATTTGCATTTGGCTTGTATAACAAACATGTGGAAAAGGTATTTTCAAACTGGTAAAATTTAGATATATAAATTGATTAGAAAATTTTGAAATTATTTGTGTATGTTAATTATTAAGATATACTTCTCATATATATATCTGGATATGTTGGTGTCATTTAGGGGAGGTATCACATAAAGCCCTCATATATCTTCTCCTATATCTTCATATAAGGTATATACCTTTCATATATTTTGTAATTTTTTAAAAATAAAATGGTTATAGCTAATTTTTGATATTTAAAATTTTTCAGTGTAGAGGCTGGGCGCAGTGGTTCACACCTGTATTCCCAGCAATTTGGGAGGCTGAGGTGGGCAGATCACTTGAGGCCAGGAGTTCAAGACGAGTCTGGCCAACATGATGAAACCCAGTCTCTACTAAAAATACAAAAAGATTAGCCAGGCATGGTGGCACGTGCTTATAATCCCAGCTACTCTGGAGGCTGAGGCAGGAGAATCGCTTGAGCCTAGGCGACGGAGGTTGCAGTGAGCCAAGATTGAGTCACTGCAATCCAGGCTGGGCAATAGAGTGAGTGAGACTCCATCTTAAAGAAAAAAAAAAATTCAGTGTAGGAAAGAAAGCAGGAGCAAAAACTAGTAAAGGAATTATTTAGTAATTTAATTAAAAATTTCTAGAAATACATTTGTCAGCTTTCTCACACCTAACTTCGAATCCAGAAGAAACTCTGTGGTCATAAAAGAGACATCTTCAGTTTATTACTTTCCTCCCTGTGAGTGCTTGTACAATCAGCATTACTAAGACAGATATAAAATCATCTCTGTATTGCTTTAAAAAATTTAATTGTTTTCAGAATTTTCCATAGCCTACAGTGAGTGTATCAAGTATTGTACTAAAGAAGTATTGCAAGGTACTGAGCCATGACTAATTTATTACCTGTAGAAATGCCTTAACGCGTAATAAGGTGTTAATTGCATTCAGGTGACACAACTGTAGTTGGAAAGATAATTTGGTGCACCTTATCTGAGCTGATGGAAGTGTGGAAAGCATTCAGGTTACACTGCAGTAAGAAGGGCAATTTCTTGAAGCTCATCAGCACTTGATAATGGACATTTAGCAGCCTAAATAGTAAATGCCAATTATTCTATCACCATTAATGAAAGCATTTCAATTAATAATAAGAGAAAATGGAAGTTTTGATTTTTAAGGTTTTGAGTTGCTCTCTTTTAAAAAGGCATTGGTGTGACTAACAGGAATATAAATTGTTTATTAAATGCTTATTATCCCCATCGGTAAGTCATTTAGGAGCTTTATGAGATACCTACCCTGAACACCACCAACATCCTCAGATAGAAGGTGAAAAACTCAGTGGATCATCCATAGGGTTACAACTTTCCACAAATGAGGATATGAACTAAGGTTAATGTTTGTAGCTGAAAGAACCGAGTGCAAGATCATAGCATTTTGAGTTGTTGTTAAAATCTACTGTCACACGTTAGTTTGATTTGTCACAGGTATACCACAGACACAGTTTGCTAAAACTTTACTCGCTGTGGAAATTTCAAATATCATTTCCTCAGCTGGGGCTCAGGATCACTCACATGTTTTACACACCGAACTTATTCAAGATAACAAATGATTAGCATTTACAGTAGATCCATATGTTCTAAACCAAAATAAGCCAATATGAAATTGAAAATGTTTAGTTTTTCATATATATCCTGTACTTAAAAATTTTTTTTCTTTAAGTTGGTTTTCACCTTTCTCTGGTATCTCCTTGAGTAGCTTAATAATCAACCTTCTGAATCTTTATCTGGCAATACAGAGAGTCCTAGAAAATCATTGCAGGTTATTAGGCCCATGCTGGCTTTACCTTTTTATTTCTCACAGATCAGTCTCTGGAATAAAATTTATAGTTGATATTTGTACTTGCATTAGTTTCATTTTGGTTTTGTATACACACAGATTGGCATAAATGCAATAGTTATTATCACATGAAAATAATAGCTGACTTTATTTAGCACAAACTGTGGTCTAAACACTGTTTTTGTTTAATGTGCATTATTTTATTTAATTCCCGTAATAGCTCTATGAAGCAAGCATTAGTTTTAATCCCCATTTTCCAGATGAGGAAACCAGAGCTTACTATATTAAGACTATTGTTACATGCCTAGTAAACAATGCTTACTAGTAACTGGAGTGAGGCCAGCTTAGACTTTTTTGATGTCTTAGGCTCAAGTATCATATAAATTGGGTGAATGAAACTTGAATGAGAGTTGTTTTATTCCAGAGTGAATGCCTATGAGGTATATTTTTCTTTTATGAAATCAGTTTAACTTGATTTTCTTTATTTTTCTTTCCTCCTCATCCTCCTCCTCCTCCTTCTTCCTCTTTTTTGGCTTCTTAAATTGTAGAATGGAATTTGGCAAGATTGTAGAATTCGTGCATGCACAAACACCAATGGAATGTTTTGTGGCATAGCTGCACCTGCCTATTGAAAGACCATAAAGTTTGGCCCTTTTAAAAGTTATACCTCTTAGCGATGGTTAAGTTAACTAATTGGCGCTAAAAGAAATTGTTAGGTGATAGCACAATTTGCAACATTGAAGTTGAAGCATGACTCCTTTAGCTTTGATTTATTTATTTGATTGATGCTGAATTATATGCTTGTGAGTCATCAACATGGTGCTTGTAAAATATTATTTCAATAGTGAAAAAACTCTAGCTAAAAAGGGAATAATATGAGAAACAGTAGGAAAACTTATTTATCTTCATTATATTTCACTATTTTATATTTTCTGCTTATGGATAATGTAGAAGATTTGAAAAGAGTTGAAAAGGTTATTAAAATTTAGGGAATTTGAAAAGACAAATACATTTCTGAGTGAGACAATATATGTTTTAGTGCAAATCAAATCTTTTCCCCTTTCAAGCCTCCCATGATTATATGCATGTGACATCTAGCTTACATAGGCATTAGGAATCACCCAGAGAGAGAGAGAAAAAAGCAATAAAAATTCAACAGACAGCCTCAGATGCGTAGAGAATAGGCTAGGAGGGAAGGTTAATGTGAGCAAGGGACACTGTGCTAGGATCTGAAGATGGGGTCCTTGTCCTTAGGAACTTTCCAAATAATTAATGAGTATACATAACACACACACAAACACATACACCACACACACACAAACTGCCACACAAGGAGGTAAAGAAGCCCCATTTGTGTAATATGAATAAACTGCTATAAGACTTCCTGGAAGAAGTAGTTAATTTGTGTGTGGGTGATGTGGACATTTTTCATGCAGAAAGTAATATTTGAGCTGGATCTTGCAATATGGGTAAGTTTTAGAGACATTCTAGGTAGAAGTAATGGAATTAGAAAAGGCATAATGGAAGCAGTGTGTAAGGTTCATTAGATGGAGAAATGAGAGTTAATTAGGGCCTGGATCATGATTATGACAGTAGGAAATGGAGAAAATGAATTAAAGGGAAATTGTGAAAGAAGACTCACTAGATATCTCATGCCCATGATGTGAATGTTCCTTGGTTTACAATGACTTTAGATTTGGATCCTCAGCCTGGAAAGTCCAAATAGCAATGATTTTACTAGTTTAACCAAAGGTAACCCCACTCAGGGAAACTGATAAGCACACACACACACACACACACACACACACACACGAGAGAGAGAGAGAGACACACACACACACACACAGAGACACACACATACACACACAGAAGCCAATTTATTTGTTTATTTTGACAAGTTGCAAGGAAAAACATAATAGGAAGTAAAGAAATTAAAGTTTGCTTAACTTTTGCTATGACAGAGATATTTAAATATGTAACAATTATCTCATCAGACTTCACCTGTTTGTAGGTTCAAACAAAATATCTTTTTGTTTTAATTTCAAAACAGCCATCTCAATCTTATCCCATACCTTAAGGATACTAAGACCTCAAACATTTGCTGTTTCTCCTCTTTTCTAGCTTTCTCTAGAAGAGCCCACAGTGTATTTAATGACTCATTTATCAGGTACCTTTATCTTGGTTTTCAATTGGATGGCCTTGGAGAGACTCTTAGGTTGCTGCTGTGGAGCGAATTTACTCAAGCTATCACCTCCAGTTTCCCTGCACTATTGGCTTTGCCCAGTTGGTTGCTGAGTTTGCTAAGCCATCATCTGGAGCTCCCTTAGGCAATAACCCACTAGCTATCAGTGCACCACTCTTGGCTTACCTCTGCCCCTTTTGTTCCACTATCAATGGCTGTATATTACTAAACCTTCATGGATGTCCTGGTCTGTACTCTATCCTCACTCCTGCTCTAGGAAAATGCTGTCTTTCTCTGTTTTATTCCTATCTGAGTGCTTTTCAGGCCTGACGGGTAAAGCTATTTTTAGTTCTGTTAGCACTGTTCAATGTACACACACACACACACACACACACACACACACACACACACACAGAGAGAGAGAGAGAGACACAGAGATCTTTTTCCTCCCTGGGGTGCAGAGCCACTATGTTGACCAAGATTAACACCAAACCATAGTAATCCCCCCTTATCTGCAACTTTGCTTTCCATAGTTGCAGTTATCCACAGTCAACTGTGGCCCAAAAATATTAAATGGAAAATTGAAGAAATAAACAATTGATAAGTGTTAAATTGCAAGCCGTTCTGAGTAGCGTGATGAAATCTCACACCATCCTGCTCTGTCCTGCACAGAACGTGAATCACACTTGTCCAGTGTATCTTCTACCTGCCCATTAGTCACTTAGCTGCCATCTCAGTTATCAGATGGTTTGTCACCGTATTTTACTTAATAATAGCTCCAAAGTGCAAGAGTAGTGAGACTGGCAATTCATATATGTCAAAGAAGAGCTGTCAAGTGCTTTCTTTAAGTGAAAAGGTGAAAGTGCTCGACTTAATAAGGAAAGAAAAAAAATCATATGCTGAGGTTGCTAAAATCTACAGATCTATGGTAAGAATCAATTTTCCATCATTGAAATTGTGAAGAAAGAAGAAGAAATAGTGCTAGTTTTGCTGACGCATATCAAATCCCAAAAGTTATGGCCATGGTGCATGACAAATGCTTAGTTAGATGGAAAAGGCATGAAAGTTTCAGTTAGAGACATGAACAGAAATGTGTTCCAATTGATGGCGGTTGGGTTTAGTACTATCTGCAGTTTCAGGCATTCACTGGGGGGCCTTGAACATATCCCCTGAAGATAATGTGGGATTACCAATCTCCTCTGACTCTTCAGCCTTGTTGCTGAGTCTAGATCTTCTGCCTGGACTCCTTTATCCATGGTGAATTATCTTCTAATACTTATCCTCTATCCTTGCAATTTAGCTTCTGTTACTTGCCCCAGGTTTGTCACATACATTTTAACTCAGTAGCAGCATGACCCACTTAGAAATTAACATTAGACACTCTTATATCTCTGTAGAAGGGTGACCCACTTAGAAATTACCTTGCTTTTTCTGTTGTCATTTTGTATTGTTGTTGCTGTTGTTGTTTTTCCTCTGCTGTGGGGAGAAGACCTCCAATCTGTTCCTGGGACAGGATTGCACATTTAGAAAGAATGAAAATTATCCATTATGGCAAGGTAAACAGAAATGAGTGTGTCTAAGATCTTAGTTCTTTCTATCCCTAAAGAAGGCATTGAGGCTCTTTTGAGTTTCTGAAGGATACAATATTGAGATTCTGATAGGTGGCTAAGGACCATCACCCATAGAAAGAGGAAGAGTGGGATAAGGAGGAAAGTAGAGTTATGCGGGATAGGAAACACACACTTGAGAAGACGGATACTGGTTTGGGGTCCTTCAGGGTAGAGGTCTGAACCTACTCTGGGTGACTGGTGGCACTGAGATGAGACGGGCTCTGTATGAACTGAAAGGATAGGGTGCCATGACCTGCAGCCTTGGGAGCCTGGGAACGGGGCGTGCATAGCCAAACTTGCCCTAGAGAAAGTATAGCTGCTGGGCAATAGTCCTTCCATGAAGTTGACTCTTAGTGTCAACTCATTCATGATCCCTGATTGAATTTTCACAATATCCTTCAATAGATGACATTATCTTCATTTTTATCGATTCCTGTCTATTATGATAAGTTTATGTGGTAATAATTAGCAAAGAGTTAACTAATTGGAGGAGAAGTTTTGATAGTCTAAATTGCTAGTATAATAATCATGACAGATTAATGCATTTGTTGCTATCAGAGAATGTCTGCCAAAATATTTAAAACATAAATGTTCACTCTCAGGCATCTTTTTCCATAACACTGTTGGGAAATTTTGGCAAATTTTTACTCTTTGATGCCCATCTTTTTATATTCTACCAACCTTCTACTTTACCAGCACTGCAAATACTCAGATATTTGAGAAACCAAAGACTGTTTCTAGAATTACCTTTATCTTTATAACTAAATTTGAGGTATTGTCTGTGTGAACAACACATTTACATTAAATTTATTGGGCAATGTAAAATTAAGGAAGACCCCTACATTTTGTGTTGAATTCCACTTCAAATTTCTTTTGGGAGTATTTCCTGACTGTCCCACTGAATTCATTCCCTTTATTCTGTCAAAATCATTTTGAAGGCTCATGTCAGAGTGGCTATATGTATGGTCCAACAATTAAAATAAATATAGAAGTCAGGAAAAAGGGCTGGTTTTTCAGGGAAAGTTCAATTTAGATATATTGAGACTGAGATTCTTGTGGGACAGCCAGGTAGAATTACCTAGGAAGAATCAGGAAATGTTGAGGTAAGTACCTGTTCATTTAGGAGACATTCAATTAGGACTTTGAATTGAAGACTGCAGAATACAGCACAGCCAAGGAGGAGGGGAATTAAAGAGAATAGAAACAGGCGGAGCATTTTAAAGGGTATCTTGGGCAGCAGGAAGGTGGCACTCAGGCAGCATTGATTTCTTCTCCCAGTTGGTTTCTTCTCTAACTCACTAGCCAAATTTCTGCAAGCACAGCAGCACCAGGAAAATGAAGCTTGACAACTTTCACATTAAACAATTACTGCTTCTGGTAAATCAGTCGAACCACATGTCATGATTCCTGCCCAGGAGGAGCAATAATCTCGGTCAGAGAACAATTCAGAAGCCTGTTAGAGCAACATTGCCACCTCATTTCCAGAACAACCCTGGCTCCAAATGACAAAATCCATGACCAAACCGAAAAAGCCACATTATCTCATCCAAATTACCAGAGCAGGCCCTTCAGATGATTGAGAAGGAAGCGAGGAGGAGATCCTATGCAAGGAGAGCCCATAATGTATAATTTTCTAAATGATGATATATTTTTGTCCCTTTTGGTAGAACTATGTTAAAATTCATAATGACATTATTAAATTTCACACGCACACATACACACAATTTATCAGCCAGTCTCAGGAATAAATCTTACCAAAGGGACCTATCTGTCAGCAAGACAGGACTTCCAAAGGATTCCCCTCATGAACAGTGCCTTTCTATCTTAACAACTAGGGAGAACTTGCAAGTGTCGCAATGTTCCTCAACAAGTTTTTAAAAGACTCCCTCTGTTTGTCATGCTTTATGGTTGATAGAGTCCATAACGATTTCATAATCTAAACTAAAACCTCAGTGCTCACCTCAGAGTTACTGTGTCACCAACCTTACTAAGACTTCTTAAGTTTTCTTTATTTTTTTTTGTTTTTGAAAGTATATCCTCTGTCCCAGGAGTGAGTTAAGGAAATTCTCCTGAATTTCTTGCATGCCTGCCTAATCTATAAAGACTTAGTTTTTCGGCCAGGTGCGGTGGCTCACGCCTGTAATCCCAGCACTTTGGGAGGCCAAGGTGGGCGGATCACCTGAGGTCAGGAGTTCGAGACCAGCCTCGCCAGTGTGGTGAAACCCCGTCTCTACTAAAAATACAAAAATTGGCTGGGCATGGTGGCATGTGCCTGTAATCCCAGCTACTTGGGAGGCTGAGGCAGGAGAATCGCTTGAACCCGGGAGGCGGAGGTTGCAGTGAGCTGAGATCACGCCATTGCACTCCAGCCTGGGGGACAAGAGCAAGACTTTGTCTAAATAAATAAATAAATAAAAATAAAAAGTAAATAAAAACTTAGTTTTTTTGCATCCCTCTGTATTGATTATTTCTTTGCTCACATTCTCTCAGGTACACCGCTTGTTCTACATTATCGTAAGTATGTCCATGTCCTTTACTTGGCATGCATATTTTCTGTAGTTTTCTCAATCAGGTTTAAGTTCTTTAAGAACTAACAGATTGAAGAATCTTCTTTTTAAAATAGTCCTTATGGTTTCTAGCTGTTTGCTAAGTCTGAGTAAAAGTTCACTAAAGGTTAGATTAAACTAAATCAAAATAGGTTTATAAGATATAAGCTTGATTGACTTGCATTCACATGATTATATTTTAAGCTAATAGTTGACCTAAAGTATATTTTTAATAAACAATCTCGTTACTCTAAATACAAATCTGAAATGGTATAGGGATAGTCACTGTAAGATTAGAAAGAATCACACATATAGTTGCTAACACATTAGGCACTCTTGGTGTGTGTGTGTTTGTATGTGTTTGTGTGTGTGCACATGTGTGTGTGTAGTAGTGACAATAACAATAAAATAAGATTGTTGTGACTGTTATTTACTTGCCTTATAGAAATAAAAATAACTACAGAAAAGAAAATATTATGAACCACTGAGTAAAAGACTAAATCAAATTTTTAAAAAAGTGACAGGTAAATTATTTTTTACAAGTAGTGTTTGATTGGTATATAGGCAAAATTTCCAACTAGGTATTTTGTAATTAAGAACCTATCCACACTTTCCTATTCATTTTAAAGTAAGGATTTCTTGACACAGTCAAATTACTATAGTTTATTCTAACTTGATACAAAATAACTAATAACTTGGGTTGAATACAAGTCAAAATTATCTGCTAAGAAGAACATAATATAAAGCAGATACTTTCAAACTTCAGTATCGAACTATAAGATTCGTCTCAAGATGCTTCTACAAAATGAAACTCTGGCAGACTTGTGAAATTTGTGCCTATCTCAACACTTCTAAATTCATATGACTCTAAAACATGAAAAAAAGAGTAGGGAATGTGGTAAAGTCAATATCAAATCAAATATCAATATCAAAGCCTGTCAGTTTCTACACTAGACTCTTATTATTTGGCATCAAAACCTCTAATGAAGGCAAAAGAGAATTAAAATGCGAACTTGCTTTGGGAATTTCATCAGAATAAATATTCTTAGAAATTGTCTCATTCTCTGAAAAAAAAAAAAGTTTTATTGTCCTCAATCACTTCTGATTAAGCCAGGAGCAAGGCAAGTCAGATTGAGGAGCTATTTGTTTTCAACTCACAGGTTACTCAAGTAAGGAGTGAAAGCTTGAAATGACTCAACAAAGCCCTTATTGCAGCTCTTTCATGTGAATATGAGTTTTCACATGCCATGAAATTTGACAGTCTATTTTCAACCTGTTAGTTCCAGATATCTGAGTGCATGGGATAGTCGAATCGAGTAGAGGAGCTAGATCACTTAATAGATGGGTAATACTGTGAGAGAGGCAGAATGATAGTCAGCTTTTACAGATGGGAGGATAAGCTGCTATGGATTTTTAAAAGATTTCTTATAATCTGTGGTATTATAAGAAGTATAATGTGTTATTATAACAAATGCATATATATGTTTCCTTGTGGTGGTCATATTATTACTTGTGTTGGTAAGAAATAGGCCTTTATATTTGAGGTTTTATAGAACCCTGAGCTAACTCTCTGTACACATCAAATAAACAGTCACATATATTGTACGATTTTAAAAGGCTTAGGGAAGTTCCTTTCTAAAATATGTTTTTATAAGCAAAGAGCTTTCTTTTTCACATGATTTCCTGAGATAATGTCCTGGAAATCACCTCTACCTTTTCCTTTTTCATTCTCCATGCTTCTTCCACACAACAACCTTGCCTATCCATCCCAAGTATTACCACTTTCTGTTCTACTCCAGCCCTTGTCATGTCTTTTACAAACTTTTCCTACAGCTTTTTTCTAATTCTTTCCATCCAACCTTCCTTCTTATTGTCTTTTAAGAACCTGATGGTTGATCCATACAAAATACAATATGTAACATGTATTGAAGTCTAAAACTTAATCCTATCATGAATACCACCCAACCCAAGAAAAGAACAGTGATCTAATTCTAGCTCTGCATCATCCACCTATGTGCCCCTATCCTAGCCTATACTCTCCTTCTCCCTAGAGGTAAGAACTCTCTTGAATGTTGTATTTGTTATTCCCTTGATCTTTTAAAAAATAATTTAATTATATGTAGTGTTTTCATGAGTCTTCCTGCTACTAGAGCTAATTATGCCATTTCTCTTCCTCTGTTCTTAACTGTCTATGTGATAAATTGAAATGCTTTGCATACAAGATCATTCATATTATTGCCCCCTTACCTATCTAGTCTCAACTCCTGTCACTCTCCCTGACCACAGAAAATATTCCATATACTTTTATGTCTACATACTTTTTTACATACTATATTTTGTATTTGGAACGTTCACTTAGTCACTCTACAAATTCTATCTAAAATCTGGATCAAATTTTATTTCTGTAAATCTGTTCTTTGTCCTCTCCACCTCTTCCTCTCTTCCAGGTCTTAAACTCAGGCAAAATTAATGAATTGCTCCATTTTGTTCATATAGTGTTTTGTATATATCTTTGCTGTGCCTCTCATCATGTTGTAAATTGGTTGCTTATTTACATATTTGCCTCCTTAGTCAGAATGGGGATTCCACCAAGACAGTGGTCAGTATGTGTGAAAGTGAAAAAAAACTTGCTCAACTGAGGCTTATGAATATTTTATCATATATGTTATTTTATACATTTTATAATTTTAAGCTGGGCATTATGGCATGTACCTATAGTCCCAGCTACTCAGGAGGCTGAGGTAAGAGGATTGCCTAAGATGAGAGGATCTCTTGAGCCAAAGTGTTTGAGGCCAACTTGGGCAACATTAGTAAGACCCTGACCCTAAGGTAAAAAAAGTTTTCTAGCTTAGTTTTTACATTTAGATCTAGGATGCAAGTGCTGGGCATAGTGGCATATGCCTGTAATCCCAGCATTTTGGGAGGCCGAGGCAGGAAGATTTCTCAAAGCCCAGAGTTCAAGACCAGCCTGGGCAACAAAGCAAGACCCCTATCTCTACCAAAAAATAAAAAAAAAATTAAAAAAATTCAGGTGTGGTGCATACACCTGTAGTCTCATCTACTCAGGAGGCTGAGGCAGGAGGATCCCTTGAGCCCAGAAGTTCACGGCTGCAGTGAGCTATGATGGCACCGCTGTACTCCAACTTGGATAACAGACTGAGACCCTGCCTTTAAACAAGTAAAAAAATAAAAAAGTAGGATTTATTTAATTTTTGTTTATAATATGAGGTAAGAGTCAATGGGTTTTTCATTTGTTTGTTTTCTATGCAGATATCCAGTTGTTCTATTTTATTGAAAAGACTTGGCTTTTCCTGTTGAATCTCTTTTGGACTTTTGTTTAAAATAAAATTACCAGGCTCCCATATATATTGCATTATTATTTACAGTAGCCAAGATATGTGTCTTTCAATGGATGAATGAATAAAGAAAATGTGGTATAATCTACACAATGGAATAGCATTCAGTCTTCTAAAAAGCAGGACATATTGTCATCTGTGACAACATGAATGAACCTGGATGACATCACATTAAGTGAAATCAGTCAGGAATAGAAAGACAAATACCTCATGATCTCACTTATGTGCATAATCTGAAAGCACTTGAACTGATAGAAGCACAGAAAAGACAAACGAAAGTTGTGTATATTTATGGTGTACAACTTTTATTTATCAATTTAAGAATATTAGAATTTTTATTTAAAAGAGAAAATAAATAAAAATAAAATGACTATATATGTGTGGCTCGAATTCTGGAATTTCTGTTCTGTTTCCTATATATCTAATTTTTACTACTACCAAACTGATTATGAAGGTTTAGAGTAAATCTTCAAATCGGGTAGCTAATTATTTCAACTTTGTTCTTTTTAAGAAATTGCTTTGGCAACTCTAGGTTATTTGCATTTCCATATAACTTTCAGAATCAGCTTGTCAGTTTTGACAAAAAAAGCCTTTTGGAAATTTTCATCAGGATTGCATTGAATCTCTAGGTCAATTTGGAGCTAGGATACTCCTTTACAATTTAAATGCTTCTGCAAATGTTAACAACAAATTATTGGCATCATAGTGATTATGTGAATGAGAGAGATTTAGCAATAAAAGCAGAAAAGGTCTAGCAAGGATTTCATCTACTGCCATATCTCCATAATTTCGCTTAGAGGTAGCCTTAATTAAACCTTGAATAAGATTTTTCTCTAAAATAAGAAAAACAAAAAACTTATCTATACCTAAGATCCCAGCTTATAATGAAATATGTTTTGCAGTCTTTTTCCCCCTATTCTAAAGAAAAACCGCACAAGATATCTTTTTACACAAAATACCTATGCTTGTTTTAAAAACTACTGTTTCAACATGCAAACAGCCCAGTATTGAGAAATACAGGTTACTGGGTGTCGGGGAAGTACCGTCCACTTGGAACCTTGTCCTTTCTGCATACTTAAGCACCTACTGATGAGCAAAGGAAGGAAATGTTTTCATGATTTAGACAGTAATGCATCAGAAGAGTGAAAACCACTTTCAAAACTACTTCACTTGGAGAGGTATTTTGCCCCTAAAGAAGTTTTCAGAAAGCCTCAGAGGACAAATGCACAGAATTCTAGCTGCTTGAATTTTTTCTTTGACCTTTTAAAGGACTCATATTTTCCTCCATCTGCTTTTGTTTGTTAATCACTGAGTTATTTCTGTTGCTTTTTGGTGTTTAGTATGTTCACATGGGCACTTCTTATTTTGAACAAAACTTTGTAACACTCTAAGAATATATTGAAAGTAGGAAAGTACTACTTAAAACTATTATTAATAGAAGAATCCAGAATGTATTTTATCATGGAACTGAGATAATTGCTGAATGGAAAAGGCAGTTTCCTACTCATTAAATATATAAAATTTGGACTCTATACCTAGAAACATGGACTTTATTTTTTAAGATTTACTCATTTTACTCTGTACTCTTGGAAACCTTCTTTTTGCCCTAGGAAGGGTACTTGGTTCTCATTCCTAAAATGAAGGAGATGTAATTTGTAAAGTCTCCAGCTCTAACTGGAAGACAGGAATTATACAAACACTGTCTCTCAGGACTGGTTTATATCCCTAATATTTCAAACATTATTTCCACAATTATTGTCACAATATTTTCTGTTTTAACTATGGTAGCAGTGGTAATGTATTCATTCAAGAAAATATTTTCTAGACTATAGAAGGTAACTTGATTCAGATGCTTAGAAAACTTTGGTTTTGTGTATCTGTTTGATTCTTGTGCAATTATCATCCATGAAATTCAAGAAAGTCTGAGAGAAATGAAGATCAATCCTCCTCCCCAATCACTACCAAATTACTTAATTCTATCTAAACTCAGACTTAAAAAATTGGATTTTTGTAACAAACTTCTAGAGGAGTTCCACAACTTCTTGTATTATATTTGTTTTGATCTTAGTTACATATGTTACATATACATGCTCCATACATATAAACACAGAGAGAGGGAGAAATAGACCCTGATTTATTATGTTACTCCTCCTTTTTGTAAAAGATCCAGCTACTTTTTTACTTTCAGATTTGATAAATCATGCTCATTCGTTAATATACCCAAATTACCCAGTGTCCAATGCATGTCTTTTTCTGATACTAGCATGGGAGGATACCAGGACATGAGGGATCAACAACTACAGGTATTGCTCTCCTTACATCCTGTCTTCCCACAGTGTTTGTCCCCTCCCTACAGCTCTTTGGAGCCTCTGGAGCTGTTAGGACCACGATTACCATTTCATATGCACTCCTGGGAAGGAAGAAAACTCTCATGGCTGAGTGCTTCCCAAGTGCCAGGTGCTCTGTTAGGCACATAATACATGTGAGTCAGTGTTTCCCCATGGTATGTGCACCCCTGGGGGTACGCAAATCATTTTAGGTAGGGTGATCACATCATTGATTGTCTAGACTGGGACATTTTGTGAGTCAAAACAATGTTATTAATAATTACACCAGGACAACAGAAATAAACAACAGAAAGAATCCCAATGGGATTCCCCTAGTTTTAGGAGATCCATATTTATCTTTTGTGATGCTTTCCATAAATGGTAAGTGATAATGGTGATAATGATACAAAGTTTTCTTTTGAAATGTGTTTAAGTTAAAAATCATAGTAAGTAAAAAAACTGGTCTTAGCTAGACTCAATACAATTTGTGAAACATTATAAGGAATAAGAAATACTGAGGTTTGGGAAATGCTCCATTAATCTCAGCAAACCTGTGGGAAATGTTAGTGTCTTTTGTTTTTAGTTAATGTGGAGAGTGAAGCTAGAAGAGTTAAGAAATTTGCTGACGATTATACAGATAATAAATAGGTGAACTGGTATTTAAACCTAGTACTATATGGCTCACAAATCCATGGTTTTTTCTTAGTAGGAGCTCTGAGTTTTATTTTTATTTTAACCAGGGTCTTAGATTTTTCCCTCTTTCTCTTAAATTGAGAAAAGGTAGAAAAATTTCTGCTCCAGTTTAGGTAGACTCTGTGTAGTTTAGTATAGTTTGGTGTCTTTTTGGCTGAGGCAGCTGGGACTTGGACCGCTCTTGGGTCTTATAGAATCTGCAGGCTCTCAGAGACCTTCCTCTGTTACCACAGCCTCTCCAGTCTTCCCTAGTGTCCAATTCCATTTAAAAGAAGATGCTTTTCTCTCTGGCCCACAGAGAGGCCTGTTTGGGGCCTTACATCATTTTGTTTAATCCTTCTGTTATCCAGAGGACGTGCTATCTGATGGATGCCATTGATGGGTGCTATAGACTGAATGTATATACTCTCCTTTCTCCCCCAGATTCATATGTTGAAACTTGATCCCCAATGTGATGGAATTTGGAGGTGGGGTCTTTGGGAAGCAACTAGGTCATTAGGGTGGTGCCTTCATGAACAAGCTTAATGCTCTTATAAAAGAGACTGCAGAGAAGTCCCCTGTCCCTTCTGACATTCGAGAAAACAGGAAAAAGCCATCTATGAACCAGGAAGCAGGCCCTCATCAGACACTGAAACTGTTAGCACCTCAATTTAGGACTTCCTAGCCTCTAGAACTGTGAGAAATAAATGTTTGTGGTTTATGAGCCACCCTATCTATGGTATTTTTGCTATAGCAGCTCTAACAGACTACGATAATGGATAGCTTTCTGATCTATACAATTTGACCAAAACATAAGCACTATTTGACCTTCGAAGCCGGTTTAATCATTTTTCTAAAACTTCACCTTTATCACACTCATTTTGAGCCAGTACTCTCCAATCTTTGTGATCAAATGCATTCTAATTCACTCAAAAGCAATTTTTAAAAATGCTTCCATATCCCAGCATTCTTCTAAAACTTGGGAAACTTCAATAAACAAAACAGACGAAAAGATACAAAGTCAGTGAGAAACAAAAACTGAAAGACTCTTGAACACAAAGCCCACAAATATGTATATATTTAGTAGATATGTACTCTTTTGAGTCTATACCTTAAATATTAGTAATGTTTAATTCTTTTCTTAGGAAAATATATATAAATGTTAACTTTTTTTTTCATCATTCATGTGAATGATCCTGCACATTCTTTGGGTAAGTGCATCCCAATTTGGGAACCATGTTTAAGTAACTCTCTGCAGAAACCAAGTAACCTCAAGGTTGATATCATTTGTTCTTAAAATGTATGTACGTGTATTAGTCTGTTCTGACACTGCTAATAAAGACATACCCAAGACCGGATAATTTATAAAGAAAAAGAAGTTTAATGGACTCACAGTTCCACATGGCTGGGGAGACGTCACAATCATGGCAGAAGGTGAAGGAGGAGAAAGGCATGTCTTACATGGTGGCAGGCAAGACAGCTTGTGCAGGGGAACTCCCATTTATAAAACCATCAGATCTTGTGAGACTTATTCACTATCATGAGAACAGTATGGGGGAAACTGCCCCCATGATTCAATTATCTCCACCTAGCCCTGCCCTTGACACATAGGAATTATTACAATTCAAGGTGAGATATGGGTGGGGACACAGAGCCAAACTACATCATTCTGCCCCTGGCTCCTCCCAAATCTCATGTCCTCACATTTCAAAAGTATATACCTTCACTCCGTCTCTTCACTACTACCTAACTTTTCTTGTTTCAAAGGAACTGCCTTTTGGGTTTTCACTAGGTTCCTGTTTCCTACCTGAGGAATCTACTCTGGGAAGCAGATCACAAGTGACTGAGCGGTTCTGAGCTCCTAAAATGAGGAAACCTTTCCCAGATCAAATTACTACTTGACATCTTAAGTTACCAGTTCAACAGGTGATTTTGGGGAGGCCAGGAGATTCATTATTCAGTGTATTACTCCTAGCTTTTCTCTGCTCATATAATACCCAATGTAGTAGTTCAATCATTACATTTTATAAAAATAAATTTAATATGCAGTAAATATTAAAAGAAAACAGTGAAAGGGAATATAATTCCTATTTGCCATGCATATTTCAAATTGCAATGTGAAATAGATACATGAAACAGATGCGAGCCAACTTGTTCTTTGACAATCATTGCTAGTTATTCCACAACAGATTTTATTGATCATCTTTCAAGTGCAAGCCACTATGGAAGAATCTTGTGGACTAGACAGAGTACTCAGCCAGAATCCCTATCTTTTGAATGAACTCTTTTATTCTTTAGTTTTTTGAACTTAGCCTACTCTCTAATAATAGCAGCATTTCTAATTTTCAGACATTCTTTTAGCTATTCTCTTTGCTCCTTCTGAGACTCTAAAAAGGCAATAACTGCTTTTATTTATTTATTTATTTATTTTTAAAATGGGTTGTCTATAAATACACCTGGTAATATGACTCACCAACCACCAAGCCATCTCACATAAAGAGGCAGAATTGTTTTGGGGCCACAGAAATCTGGTTTTGAGGGGGTGCTGTCTGGTTTCACAGCCTTGACTCCCATCTCTCTTCATTGGAGTCTTTCAAGGATGTCTCTGAATGGCTTTGCACAACACAGTGAGATGTGGTTTTGTGCAGAACTTAGGGCAAGGGGGAAAAAAAGAAAAGAGAAATAAAGCTTCCCTCTAGTAAATTGGCAGAAAAACATTTCTAAAGGTTACACACCACCCACACATTCCTTTCAAATGATCAAAGTCTTACAAGAGGTCACGGAAGGAGAAAACAGGAGAGAGGGAGCCTGAAATACTTTTTTTAAAGTGCTCTGTATTGCAATTCTTGCTGAATAAGGAACAAATTAGGACTCTTGTTAATCTTTTGGAAAATTATTGGATTGAAAGAAACAAACATTAAATTGAATCGGTAAACTGATATCTCTAAAATGAACAATGCCTATCTCTTTCTACATCTCATTCCAAATTCAACACTGTTTTTGTCCATCGCATTTTTAAGTATTTAATTTAGTTATTTATTTATTTTTAGTTTTAATTTTCATAGTCCTCTATACTTCCTGGTTTCAGCAGAATTCACTAAACTAGTCGTCTTGATATGCCAGTCCATCCCCACATGGGAAATACTTAACATTTAAAAGAAATCTGTCTGGACGTGATTTTCTTACCTATCGGTAGTTTCTAAACTCACACCTTGTCTTTGAAATCGGCCTTAGTTTTGTAGGTATCTTGGGCCATTCTTTATAGCTTGGTTGTGGCTCTCCACTCATTTTCATCAGGTAGAGTGAAATGGTCCCTTGTCTATATTTTCATAGAAATATACACCTCGGTTAGAACTTATAAGTTTTGTTTGCTGGCCTCATCCTGATAGTGGAATCTGCTCAAGGGAAAATACTGTTTTCTACGCATTTGCATCCCTAACTCCTAGCAAACTGTCTGACAGGTAATGGATACTCAATAAATATTTGTTGAAAGAATTAATATATCTTTTTTAATTTGCAAAGCTCCAGGTATAAATCTGTGGTTTTTCTTGACACTCTCCACCAGGTGCAAGTGGCTAGGGACCAGAAATTTTTGTTGTTGTTTAATCCCTCTTTGCCATTTGTTGCCCTACCTTCCTTCCCAGGTTCCCTGTTGCCTTGGTCCATACACAAACAGATTCTATCACAATACAAAAGAAAAGATGTAAAAAAAAACCTCTAGAAGGTACTTTAGGTTTTCAATGAAAGGAAATTTTACAACAGGTTTGTGCTTGATTCTATTAAATACTGATTGCTTAATGCCTATGGTGACTTGCTCATCTCTAGTATTGTATGAGTGAAATTCTGAACATGACAGTCTCTTCTCTTACTCTCCAGTTACAGGTTCTGTTAGCTGCTTTCTCCATTGACTTCTGTCTAAGCAAGCTGCCCCTAACTCCAGGTATCTTATTTGACGACTGCAGTACCTTTCCTTGACCTCTGGCTTTAAGATGGACCTTGGTTTTGAAAAGCATTTTACTTATGCCTTCTTCTGTCCTGAAGTCTAGAATAAACTTAAGGCCAGTACTTGCTTTCTGGAGCGTGGTCTGGTCAAAGTCCCCATGGCTGCTGTAATCAATCTGAGAAATCTGGAAGATCATGAATGCCTATGTAGATCTCTTAATTTGACAACTCTCAACACAGCTCAAGTTGGATTTACTGAGTCCCCACTTTTTTTTTTCCCTTATTTTATTTGCTGTCCTCATCCCTGCCGGATGCTGAGTAATCCCCGCCTCAGGAATTTGTGGATGTTGAGATGATGGACACATAGGTACCATGGATATGAAGTGAAGTGTACATAGTAAATAGAAGAGGGAGTCTAAAAGAAGAAAGTCTATAAATTTAGTCAAGAGGTAAACAACAACCAAGGAGAGAGAGTGGACTGGGCCCTTATAATAGCTATTGAGAGATGACAACGTGCTATCAGCCCTTGATCGCTCTTGGCACCTCCTCAGGCCATGGCGTCCACTCTGGCCGAGCTTCCCGAAGCTCGGCACTGCACTGTGGGAGCCCCTCTCTGGGCTGGCCAAGGCCAGAGCCGGCTCCCTCTGCTTGCAGGGAGGTGTGGAGGGAGAGGCGCAGGCGGAACCCGGCTGCGCGGCGGTCGCAGGCCAGCTCGAGTTCCGGGTGGGCACGGGCTCAGTGGCCCTGCACTTAGAGTGGCAGGCCGGCGCTGCTGGTCCGTGCAGTGAGAGGCTTAGCACCTGGTTCAGCAACTACGGAGGGTGCAGCGGGCCCCCAGCAGTGCCGGCCCATGGGTGCCACGCTCGAATTCTCGCTGGGCCTCAGCTGCCTCCCCGCGGGGCAGGGCTCCAGACCTGCAGCCCGCCATGCCCAAGCCTCCCCCGCCCCGTCGTGGGCTCCCACACGGCCCTACCCTCCCCAACGGGCATCTCCCCCTGCTCCGCGGGGCCAGTCCCATCCACCGCCCAAGGGCTGACGAGTGCGGGCGCGTGGCGCCGGACTGGTGAGCAGCTCCGCCTGCGGCCCCAGCGCAGGATCCACTAGGGGAAGCCAGCTGGGCTCCTGAGTGGGGTGGGGACTTGGAGAACTTTTATGTCTAGCTGGAGGATTGTATATGTGCCAATCAGCACTCTGCATCTAGCTCGGAGTTTGTGGATGCACCAATCAGCACTCTGTATCTAGCTAATCTGGTGGGGACTCCGAGAACTTTTATGTCTAGCTAAAGGATTGTAACCGCACCAATCTGTGCTCTGTGTCTAGTTTATCTGGTGGGGACTTGGAGAACTTCTATGTCTAGCTGGAGGGTTGTAAATGCACAAATCAGCACCCTGTGTCTAGCTCAAGGTTTGTAAAGGCACCAATCAGTGCTCTGTGTCTAGCTAATCTAGTGCGGACTTGGAGAAATTTGTGTGTAGCTAAGGGATTGTAAATGCACCAATCAGCACTCTGTGTCTAGCTCAAGGTTTGTGAATGCACCAATCAGCCCCTTGTCAAAACGGACCAATCAGCTCTCTGTAAAACAGACCAATCAGCAGAATGTGGGTGGGGTCAGATAAGTGAATAAAAGCAGGCTGCCCGAGTCAGCGGCAGTAACGATCTCTGCTTGGTGGAAGCTTTGTTCTCTTGCTCTTCGCGATAAATCTTGCTGCTGCTCACTCTTTGGGTGCGCACTGCCTTTGTGAGCTGTAACACTCACCACGAAGGTCTGCAGTTTCACTCCTGAAGCCAGCGAGACCACGAAGCCACCAGAAGGAAGAAACTCTGGACACATCTGAACATCTGAAGGAACAAACTCTGGACACACCATCTTTAAGAACTGTAACACTGACCGCGAGGGTCCACGGCTTCATTCTTGAAGTCAGCGAGACCAAGAACCCACCAATTCCGGACACACGATGAAGTGGGTTAGGGAAGAATTTGGAGCAAGGGCTAGGGATTTGTGAAATGTGAACTCCCCTCCAGCACCAGGTGATGATTGGCACATGTGGGTCCTCTAAATGTGGCTGCCCAAATATGGGGCAGGCAGGGAGGTTGGGGATCTAAAAGCTGTCAAGTGTCAAACATTAAAAAGAGGTCACTCCCTTTATGCCAACACAGATTATGCATTTTAATAAACTAAGGCAACTCTTTTGCATTTTTATATTTGAGAACCACTGGTTTGTGGGCCCTTCTGATGGAGGTGAGCCTCTGGTTGTCTTAATTCATGTGCTAGAAGAGGCTTTCATCTCCTGATTCCAAACGTGGTCCACACCACAATTGTTTGGGTCACCTAAAGGCACTCCAGAAGGGCAGTCTGCTCTGACTTCTCACACTCTCAGGATTGTGCTGAGCCTCTGCAGTGAGTCTGGGCATTAGGGACAGCAAGGACTTTACATCAGCTCTGCCGAAACATCTGGTGGCCCAACTGGCCACTATGGAATGGGATTCTGAAATGGGCAATGGTGACCACCATCTAATCACTTCCCTTTATTTTTTTATGCATGTTTTTACTTTGCTTTTCCAGTTCAGTGAAATAATTTAATAGGTAGCTCTAAAATAACTTTTTATTTGTCTTCCCAATGACAAGGTCACCAGGATGTTTTATTTTCAGATTACCTTACCAGGAGTAAGTTTCCTGTCGTGCCCATTTCAGGTTTTTCTTTAAGATTTCTACTTTTTCCTGGTAGATGTTTGTTCTACTGTGTTCTAGGGCCTGCTTTTGGAGTGATACAAAGTAATTCAGCTAGTGTTTAGGAATAGGCAGAATAGTTCTACCTGAAAGACAGGTAAGGTTTCCTGACAGAAAGAAATCTCCATGATTAGAGAACAAAAGCATCTAGTGAATGCTTGGATAACTATGTTGTTACTTAGCAAGACTGCTAGCATTTTAAATGTGCCTATATGCATTAAATTTTTGTAGTATCATTTGATGTTTTACTTTAAACAGAAGAGAATAAACCAGTTGGCAGATTCCTTGGATTAGTAAAATAGGCAATGCCCACTTTAAATAGCAGGTCAATATCTGCAATCTAAATGGGTACACCATATTTTTCATTTGAGAAGCACCAAATTCAGCTTGTGGCACCTGTGATATGTTCCATTTGCCTTTCTCACCATGGCCCTTAACGAATCTCTGTATATTAACTGAACATTTACTATAGTAGCTGTTTTAAGTTCATAGTTGTATTACCTTATTGAGTACTTACCAAAAACCTGTGAAGTCGGTACGATTATTGCCCAATTTTATAAAGGAGGAGATTGAGAAGGAGAGAGCCTAAGTAACTTGTCATACAGCTAGTAAGCGGTAGAACCGAAAGTTGGCAGAACCAGGCAACCTGACTCCAGAGCTGGGCACATAAACATTGCAATGCATTATCTAAAAGCAAGTCACTCTCTAGAATAATTTTTTAATAAGACTATGAGAGACTGGCGGTTGTTAGAAATCATCTAATTAGCTCCTGACAAGTCACAAGATAGTTCACATAATCCCAGAACTCATTTCACTTGACAATACATAGCACTCACTGTCTGCTTCTGATAAAACTTAGGAATAGCATGATGTCTGAGTATTATCTTCTTCCCCTGTATTTCTTAGTTTTTGTAAAGTGATTTTGAATTGTGTTTTTCTGAGGCCCTATAATGGCAGGGAAAGGGGTTTGGAAGCACATATCTGGGCTCCCCCAGCTTGAACATGAATGGTGTTTATATGCTCCACATCTTGGGCTTTCAAATAAACTCCTTGTTGAAAACAGGATTGTTTTACTAAAAAAAGAAAGGAAAACAAAACAAAACAAAATAAAAGTTTGAAAAGCTTTAGACTGGATGGTCTTCAAGAGCTGTTCTATGGGAACCTCCTATGACTATAAATTAGCTTGAATTGATCATCTTGCCAATGCAGATGTTTTCACATCAATACAATCCAACAAATACTTGAGTGTCGAACCTGTGCAAGCACTGGGGTTTACACAGAAGGAACGAATTTCATTTCAAGGATCAGAGAGCCTTTCTGGGGGACATGAGGTAGGTAGAAATAAGGTAAAACAAAACAAAACAAAACAAACAAAACTTACATAATGTGCCTTAAGTAAGATCTCCAGAAGGGTATTTTGCAGCGTCTTGTTATGTGGCACACTGGGAATAAAGGTTACTTGGCATGTCCCAAACAACAACAAAAAACAAACATTTAAAGATGAAGTACACAAAAGGGATTGACATATTAAAGGCTCTGAGGATGAGAGAGGAGGTACAGAAATTCCATTTGTGAAGGAGGAGTAAGGTTTTGACAGGTGCAAGTGAGGAGAAGGATATTCCAGGCAAAGGGAATGGAAGAGCAGAGGCTCCAGGGTTTGGGAGCAAGTGGAGTGTTCAAGAGGGTTGATTGGCAGAGACACAAATGGTGGAAAGCAGGTGAGGTAGGAAGGGGTAACTATGTAGTAGGCAGGTATGTGATGGTTATACTGGAGTTGGATTTCATCCTCTGCCATCAATAGGGAAAAAAAATTGTTTGAGACAAAGTCTTGTTCTGTCACCCTGGCTAGAGTGCCGCAGCATGACCACAGCTCACTGCAGCCTCAAAATCCAGGGCTCAAGCCAACCACTGCCTCAATCTCCAGAGTAGCTGTGACTATAAGCATGTGCCACCATGCCCAGCTATGTTTTTCCATCTTTATTTTTGTAGAGACAGAGTTTCAGTTTGTTGCCCAGGCTAGTCTCAAACTTCTGGCCTCAAGTAGTCCTCCTGCCTTGGCCTCCCAATGTGCTGGGATTACAGGTGTAAGCTACCACACCCAGCCCAAGCAAAAAATTCTTTTTTCTTTTTTGAGACAGAGTTTCACTCTTGTTGCCCAGGCTGGAGTGCAATGGTGTGATTTCGGCTCACGACAACCTCCGCCTCCCAGGTTCAAGCGATTCTCCTAACTTAGCCTCCCTAGTAGCTGGGATTACAGGTATATGCCATCACGCCCAGCTAATTTTCTGTATTTTTAGTAGAGACAGAGTTTCTCCATGTTGGTCAGGCTGGTCTCAAACTCCCGACCTCAGGTGATCCACCCGCCTTGGCCTCCTAAAGTGCTGGGATTATAGGCGTGAGCTACCGCTTCTGGCCCAGAAAATTCTTAAGTTACATTTGTGTTTTGGGAAACTAGATACTCTGACACTGTGAAGCATGGATTACAGAGAAAAAGATTGGAGAAAGATAAATAAATTAGGGCATTATTTAAATTGTCTAAATCAGAGAGAATAAAGCCTGGAACTGGGGAATGGCAGTGTGCTTTTTTGTTTGGAGAAGTCAACTTTTGATGAGAAAGGTCAGGAAGATACTTCATCAATAATAAATAACTATAGTTTTTTTTTAAATTTTCAATTATAAGATTGAGTTGAATGGGTAATTTGATGATGTGGGGGGAAATTGTCACACAATTGCTCTCCATTTTCTAAATATATCTGGTTGATAGGTAAATACCTTTAGCAAAGTTTCATGCCTATTGCCATGGTTTGAATGTTCCTGAAGAACTCATGTTGCAAATTAGTTGCCATTGTGATGGTATTAAGAGATAAAACTATTAAGAGGTGATTAGGCCAAGAGGGCTTTATCCTTGTAAATGAATTAATGCTGTTTTGGATGAGAAGAGGTTATTCATCCCAGGAATGAGTTCCTGATAAAAAGGATGAATTTTGCCCTTATTTCTCTTTTTCCCTCTCCTGCCCTTCTTCCTTTCACCATGGCATGACCCAGCATGAAGACCCTTGCTAGATTTGGGCACCTCAACCTTGGACTTCTCAGCCTCCAGAATTGTGAGAAATAATATATCTATAAATTACCCAGTCTGCAGCATTCTGTTATAGTAACCCCAAAACAGACTAAGTTGCCTTTTATTGTCTTTGCATAAGGGAACCATTTATACATATAAGTAATTTTTCTTCTATCACAATCCACAGCTACCTAGACCTAGCACTTAAGACTGCTTTATAGGCCTATCTGACAGTGATTCCTCAAGTCTATAATTAGGCGAGGAGACAAAATGAGTCTTTAAATATGAAACAGTTTGCCCTTTAAATTTTTCTACTTTTACAAGTGAACCTTTTTTCTTAACTATTGGCTTTTCCAATTAGATAAATATTTAACATGAGTCCAGAGGAGACTGACAGTGACCATTCTCTTTTAGCAGTAAGGACTTTAGGCTTTTCTCATTGCTTTAATCTCATTTTAACATTGACCTGGTGTATTCGTCAATTTTCACACTGCTATAAAGAAATACCGGAGACTGGGTAATTTATAAAGGAAAGAGGTTTAATTGACTCACAGTTCAGCATGGCTGGGAGGCCTCAGGAAACTTACAATCATAGCAGAAGGGGAAGGGGAAGCAAGCTTGGACCTTCTCATATCACAGCAGGAGTGAGTGAGAGTGTGAAGAGGAGCTGTCAGACACATAAAACCAGCAGATCTCGTGAGAACTCACTTACTATCATGAGAACAGCATGGGGGAACTGCCCCATGATCCAATAACCTCCCATCAGGTTTCACCCTCAACATGTGGGGATTATGGGGATTACAATCCAAGAGGAGATTCAGGTGGGGACACAGAGCCAAACCATATGTCCTGGTAAATTTTACTGAAAGCATTTTTGACACAAGTGGTGGGTGTGGTGGTAATGGTGGTGGTGGTGATTTTCAGGGAACATTTAATCTAATTTTTAAGCTAATTTTAATTAGTCAAAATTATAATTTGGAACAAATAGTGAAATGAATATAATTGAGTCCTCAGCACCATTTATATTGGTTGTATAACTAAAAAAAGAGCAATGGATGACTGATATATTAAAAAATGGCAAAGCAAAGGAGAAATCAGGGGGTAGAACTATTGGTTTTTTTCTTAGATTTCCTATTTTAAACATCTTTACAGAGCTTAGGAAAGGAGTTCTATAAAGTATGTGTGAGGTGTTTATTTATAATAGCCTTTTTGTGTCTCCTTTAGAAACTTATTTTACAGTATTATTACTAAATTTCTATTTCTTTTTGCTTTATATCATATGGAATATAGAAGTATCCCTTTTTTAAGAGCCCAGACTGGTCTTAAATTCTGACCTCAAGTGATCCTCCCACTGTGGCTTCATAATGTGCTGAGTTTACAGGCAGGTGTGAGCTACTGCCCCCAAACCAAGAAAAAATTTCTTAAATTAGACTTGTGTCAAGAGCTTAGCTCTTAGCTCTTGGCATTCCTCTTTAACAGTTCTTTGTTAATTTCCATGCTTCACGTTATTGTTTATTTTTCTTTATGGAAAAAAATACAACAAATGACTGGTTATATATGTAGCCAGTATTCCCCCCATTAATTCCAGAATCATATATGTACAAAAACTGTTTGGCTGATGAAGTGCAATGATACCTTATGTGAAAAAATGTTTTAAATTCTGAAAAGTTTTTCTACAATTTATTAACTATTCTAAATCTCTATGTTTCTTGTCGTTTTCTAGACAGTTCAATTGAAAATCAGCTTTACCATCTACAGCTAAAATCCAAAATATTTTATATTCATCTTCCAGAAACAGCATCTCATTTCCAATTTTCCTCAGCCACATTAATGGTAATTCGTCTGTCCTTCATTCCGTATCTTTTCTTATGTGGAACTTTTCTAAAGTACTCCTTTTATCCTGTTTCTCATTGCAACCATTGCCTATTTAATAATACCTTGTTATGCATCACTGTCGGCTCAGTTTTCCCAAGGTATTCAGTGTTCGGGAGACAGAAGACAAAATGGTTTGGAGACAGCACTTATTGAAGTAGGCATAAGCTTTATTGATGACTTTGGTTTAAGATTCTCTTCCAAGCAAGGCTATCTCCTGATACACTCTTTAGAGAAGAGAAGTGAGCTCATGTCTACATTCACTGTCCACGTATACTGTCTTCGGTGTACCCTGTGTGTACATCCGGCTCACCTCTCACCGATGCCGATGTCCTATTTCTCCCCTCTGGCCTCTCTCTTTCTTTCTTGCTCTTTCTCATTCCTTCCTCCTTGAACATTGACTCTTAAACTTTTTTATTGCCAGATAGCCAGTTCCTGGGCCCTGTCCAGAAAGCTGGAATCTGAAACATCCTTATAGGTTAACAACACGTTTATGTAAAAAAAAAAAAAAAAAATCAGATGATAATTTAAATGGGAATCTGCCCCAGGTCCTGTGGATACTTGTCAAACTAAATAAGTCTAATAAACATGAGTCTCTGGAATTCCTGTGGTAAACATCTGCAGGGATAGACAGGTATTCAGTAAATATTTGCTTACTGAATGAGTGAATAAATGAGTGAGCAAATGAATAAATGAGTGAGCAAATTTCTCTCACATTCTGTTTTTAAAAAATCACTGGAAAATAAGTGGCAGAAGTGAAGGAAACAGAGGGTACAGGGAGGGTCTAGCTTTTCTCCTTTTGTTTTCCAGTGTGGCGCTGTGTGTCACAGATAGAAATATAAAGAAATTCTGGCTTTTCAGGTCCCAGATTTTCTGTTCCTTAGACATAAAAAAGCTTCAGTAATATTGTGTTCTGGCTTTCAAGAAGCCCAGTTTGGCATATGAAGGAGAAATAATAAGGTCTTATTTTAAGACTTCTGGCATCAGTGCAAATTGAAAATCTTCGGTTGATAACAAAGATGAGAAAAATAGTCAATTTAAGAAGGGTGGAATAAAAGTAACACCTGTGTTCAAGTGTTTTTTTTTTTTTTCTTTTTGACCTGCTTCTTCTGCCAAGGGCAGTATGCCTGAAATCCTGATGACTGTTAATTCTCACAGTGGTACAGGGCTTTGTACTCTGAAAAGCATGTTCATACACATTTCTCCTTTAATTCTTGTAATAACACTATGAGCCTTATCTTCTGCCACTCTCCCCCTCAATGTAGCCACTTAAGACTTCTTGCTGTTCTTGGACCACATCAAACTCCTCCTTGCCTTGAGGCCTCACACATGCTCTGGCCTTGGAATGTTCTCCCCACCCTGTACCTTCTCACCCCTTTTGCTTACGTGTCATTCCCTAATGGGATATTCTTTGACCTCCCAGATTAAGTTACATCTTTCTGTTATCCTTTTTAATTTGTTGTCCATACTTTTTCTTTATGATGATTTCTGTCAGGTACTTACATGTTGTTTGCATATCCAGTTGTTTATCTTCCTCTCCGAAGAAATTATAAGCTGCCTGGAAATAGGGATTGTACCTAGCATAACATCCTCGACTGTCCTGGCACATAGTAAGTGCTCAACGAATGTTGAATGGGTTGTGGCAAAGCAATCATTTGAGTCCCTGCTTTAACAGTGGGGAGAATGAGACTCAAATTGGTAATATGATTTGTCCACTTCTTTCACAGGCATTATAAGTGGTAAAAGTGGAAGTGAAAGGCAGGACTTCTGTTTACAATTTAGTGACAAGGGCCTTCCCTTATCCTTTCTTCAACTTCAGTCTCTGTTATCTCTGTGACGTAGTCAGTAATTTGGACCAAACGTCCAGAGTAGAAGTGATCAGAAGTACTGGGGCAGACTCTAGCTACTTTCTCATTTGCTGATATTTTTCTCAGTAGTGGATATCCTCTTTCCACAGACAAATTCCAGTTGGCGTGGCATAGGTTTTAATGCACCAAACCAAGAAATTCCCACTGCAAAAGGCTGTTCACATACCGTAAAGAAGAGAGTCCAAGAATTTTAAAAAATACAATTTGAACTCCCAGAGCTTGCTTGGGCAAAATTCCCAAGTATCACAAAGGGAGAGTGGCTTGAATGATACCTGTAGAATCCAGCTGGTCTTGCTAGATCTATTTTTGTTTGTATATCTGGAATTACTTCAAAATACCAAATCATATTGGTTTTTACAATTTCCAAATTCTCATCTGTGGGTTTGTATTTTATTCATTAGTGGTTGCTAAGGGTGTGCATTTTTTTCTAAGTGTGAGCATTCTCCACGGCAGCTCTCAACAAATACCCTCCAGCTGAAAGTGGATGTGTCTGGCATTAAAATCACTAACATTCAGGCTGAATCAGAGCCCTGTGTTTATGGGTAGATCACCTCATCCCTCATGCTGCCATTATTGACTTGCATTCCTGAGAGATGGAATAAGCCATCTGAATCAACAGAATCCTAGCGATTTCTGAGTGTTGGTGTGGCCCTTTTGATGAACTTTCATAAGATTTCTGTTAAATTAAATAACATAATTCTAATACTTCTTTAACTTTTAGCGAAAAGGTCTAAACTAAACATGTCCTCTTTTTAAACTTTAGGTGTTTTTTTTTTTTTTTTTGGTCTTTTGATTTTTAATTTTATTTTAAAAAATCTTACTCTGAGACTACTTACCCAACATCAGAAGCCTTAAATTTTCAAGATTTGTATAATTTTGTTGTTATTATTTTTTTGGTGAGGTTTTGGAAGTTTATCTGTTAAACTTTGAACCCTCAATTTAAACTTTAATTATTAAAATATATATTAAGCAATTTTAGGTATTATAGAATTTTTAGATAATCTCTGTTTGGAATCTTAAAAATATGGGGCTTGCGATGAAATGTGAATAATAGGTAGGCTTCACAAATAAAAAGAGAAGTGAAGAGGGAGGTCCAGGCTGGCACCATATGGCTTCAGCCATAGAAATGGGTTTGACTTGTTCAGGAGTCTAGGAGGAATTAACCTAGGCTGCAGCAAATCTGAGATTGGTTGAACAGGTAAAGTGGTGGCCAGATTATAGAAGAACTTGTATAAGTGTTATTCATTTAAAAATATTAGGTTTGGCTGGATGCGATGGCTCAAGCCGGTAATCCCAGCATTTTGGGAGGCTGAGGCGGGCTAATGATTTCAGGTCAGGAGTTCAAGACCAGCCTGGCCAACACGGTGAAATCCCGTCTCTACTAAAAACACAAACAAATTAGTTGGGCATGGTCGCACACACCTGTAATCTCAGCTACTCGGGAGGCTGAGGCAGGAGAATCTCTTGAACCTGGGAGATGAAGGTTGCAGTGAGCTGAGATCGTGCCACTGCACTCCAGACTGGGCAACAAAGTGAGATTCCACCTCAAAGTAAATAAATAAATAAACAAAATGAATAAAATAGATAAAGATAAAAATAAAATGAAATAAAATAAAATATTAGATGGGTGCAAAAGTAATCGCATTTTTTTGCCACCCACGCAATATATATTATATTGGAGTATAATGTGCATACTTATGATTTACTTTGATGAACTGAGTATTGTTATTATAATTTAGTTTAGATATCTATCTTAGGACATTATGAGATAATCTTTGTTCCTCATCCTAGGGTGACATACACCTAGAGGCCCCTGTGCCCTGTGGAGATGGTAGGAGGCATAGGTCTATAAATGAGTAATAGGAATATTTTGCAAAATCTTCAAACAACACAAGCTCATGTAATGAGAGACTTATGGATTCCATACAAAAAATCCCTGGCATGGAACTTTCATAAAATATAGGAAGCCGCCCTGAGCAAGGAAAGGTCACTTGCCATAGCCTTATTTCTGACCAGAGCTAGAAGAAAGAAAGTGAGGTAGCTGGGATGTTTGGATACTGTGGATCCTGCACAGTCAGCTCCTCCACTTCAAATCCTGGGGATGTTTAACAAGTTGATGCCTGGTTGTCTTTGTGATGCTGGAAATAAATATAGTGCCTGATACTGTGTTGGACTCAATATATTTATCAAATGGTTAACTAAATGAAGACTTGATCTGGTGGCACTCTAAATCCTGTTTGAATGTCTCAAATCGGCTTCCTTTCCCATTTGCATCAGTAGACCTTATTGACCTTCCTCATTCTTTTGAGGCCCTGGGCCTTGCTATTTTTTTTTTTTTTGAGACGGAGTCTCGCTCTGTCGCCCAGGCTGGAGTGCAGTGGCGGGATCTCGGCTCACTGCAAGCTCTGCCTCCCGGATTCACGCCATTCTCCTGCCTCAGCCTCCCAAGTAGCTGGGACTACAGGCGCCCGCCACTACGCCCGGCTAATTTTTTGTATTTTTAGTAGAGACGGGGTTTCACCGTTTTAGCCGGGATGGTCTCGATCTCCTGACCTCGTGATCCGCCCGCCTCGGCCTCCCAAAGTGCTGGGATTACAGGCGTGAGCCACCGCGCCCGGCCGGGCCTTGCTATTTTGACACACATTCTTATTTCCTACTTCACTGAAGAGAGAGGTTATCAGCTGGGATTCCTTTATAAGATTCTCGTCCCTTTCTCCAACACCTCCACTGACAGACATATTTACATCTCAACTACCATGTTTCCTTTTCTTTTATTCATGAGAAAGAACTCTTCTGGTGCTGTCACCTTTCAGGGACATTCCTCTATCAATGGGTAATCCATGACAGTCTCTCCTTCCTGTATTTTCAAACTCAACAATCTTCAATTTAATTTAAACTTTATTAGGGATGAGAAAAAAAAAAGCTGAGCAAATAAATATATATTCTAATATCAAGTCAAAACCGTGCTCAGTAATATGAACATCTCCCTGCCTGCCACTATTGCCAGGATGTTATGGAAGAAAATAGCAGGGAGCGTTTACTTTAGATTTGTTTGTCAAGGACACTCTCTCTAAAGAGATGACTCTTAACTAAGACATGCCAAAAGAGGAGTCAGTCATGCAGAGAGAGGAGAATGGAAGAAACTGACTGAACAAAGACTCTGAAGTAAGAAAGGCTTTCCCATTTGACAGCAACTCAAAGAATAAAATTGTGGCTGGAACATAGCAGGGAGGTCAGGGGTATGAGAAGAGTTAGAGATTCACGCAATAAGCCATTTGTTCTAGGAGGTGAAGTCAGAGGGGAAGGCAGAGGCCAGACCATAGAACGCATTGTAAGGAAAGTTAGGATTTTGGATTTTAGTCTAAGTAAAAAGATAGGATCCATTTTATGTTGTAAGAAAATTACTTTTGCTGCAATACAGAGAGGATGTGGAGGACAGAGGGCAAGACTAGAAGTAGAAAGACTTCTTGGAGACTGTTGAGAACTCCAGGTGACATGATGATGGTCGAGATGAAGGTGGAGCTACATACAAGTGGACTCATTCAGGGACTAGTTTTGCATCTGTGATCTCAAGAAGCTGAAGGAGGTCATCCTGAATTATCTCATAGTCAACCTATGCATGGGTTATGGCACCATTAAACAGAAGTGCCAGAGAATATGAAAGAGAAAAAAAGAAAAATGGAGAATAATATACAAATATAGAGAATAAACTTTTGAAAATGTAGACGAAAATGTTGCTTGGTCTATTGGTTCCAATTCCTCTTGCTACTCAAATGAGGTGAAGCCGAGGGAACTGCTGCCTTCTAAGAGTTAAAGACAAGTGAAATGAAGTTCAGGATTACTTATTTTCTTCACAAGAACCCCATGTCATGGGACTTCTTTTCTTCTCCAGGCTACTTCAGCAAGCCTGTTCTCTTTGGAAATCTCCAGAGGAGACAGAGGTGTCAGTGTCTATGGAAATGTACAACTCACACGTTTGGGAATCTGACATGCCCTTCCAAGAACTCCCTCTTCTACTCCGTTCTACTCCACTATGAGGTCAGTTCCAGGAAAGCTGCCAGCAATCATTTGGTTGGAGAAGAAGATGCAATCTCCTATTCTTGCAGGTCTCTAAAGCCCAGACACTAAAATTTTCCCTTTGGAGGCTGCTACTTCACTTGGCCTCTAACCATGATTGCTGCATTCTGTAGTAAGCTAATAATTTCTTCCATCATTCATGTCTCAGTTCCCTTTCTCATCCTTTCTTGAATGTTATTGATGGAGTGAGGGAGGAGACAGCAGTAGTTGATTGAAGTAAGGACAACTGTGCTCTTTCCTAGTAAGGCTCCAGTGGAGGTACCTAGAATCCAAGTGCTCACAGTCAACTGCTTTCTTTAGAATGTGGGGTACATAGAATGTATTGCCCTCAAATGTAGGTCTTTGCTAATTGCTGGACAGCAGGAAAATTTCCACACAACCTCCTCTTAGATTTGTTTTGTTTATTTGATTTTGTGACTACCAGAGTTGACATCAAGAACTGGACAAGAGTTCAAAATTCTCTTGCTACCTTCATTGTCTCTTGAATATTTTATGGCTTACCATTGGACACTTACTGGGTCTTAATGCTTCATGTGTTTGTTTTGATATGTCTTCTGGCCATGAGCATTAATTGGATGGTCCTCCATGATTTTTTCTTTGCTAATAGGTCTCTGTTCATTCTTGGCTTTATTTCTAAAGATTCTCTGGTGGTTCTGGGTACCATTGGTATGTATCAAGATATTTATAGCCACTGACTACTTGCTTTAGGGATGGATATTGTTGTCAGTTTCTTTCCCTTTTTTGGTCCAGTTTTATAAAGTTTGTGATGCACAATTGGAATAATAGGTAGAGGGAAAGAACTAGTGAAGCAGGATAATAGAAAAATAGAAAGAAAGCTACAGGAAATTTATCAGGAATGGGGCTTTTTGGAGACATTTTGGACTTCAAATTGTGAAAGTCCCAAGGACATCTGTGTGGTACAACAGACTTGGGGAGAAGAAAAGGAGGTTTGGTGAGACAGTGCTGTGGGTTATGAGTGTATTCACAATGATGGTTTCTATGTGGTGAAGATAAACGTAGTGCTTTTACAATTACTTTTTGATGCTGATCTTCAATTCTTGAAACTTAAGTTTGTCCTAGGCTACGCTATGTGACTTTCTGATTTTATTCTGGTTCTACAAAGAAAACATAGCCTGATAATTTCAAAATATCCAATATTTCCTTAAATTAAAATAGGAGAGACCTGGAATCAATGACCTTGTGTTTAGTAGAGCAACTGAATGAGGTTTTAAATCTGCAGATATAGATTATGATAGGCTTTCCCCACCCCATGCCCTCCCCCACAAGAGGGCAGTGAGCAAAAGATAAATTATTTTGCATAAGAAAGTAAAAGAAATAGGGAGGCAGAAGCAAATAGTAAGAAAAGGGGGCAAGGGTTTAGAGAGCCAAAGAGAAGAGGACAATGAGCAAGGAAGGAAGGCAGACAAAACAGAAAGAAATGTCTCTACCCTTAGAGTATAACTGATGAAATTTTAGCACAATGTTGTATAATATTATATTTTAAGATAGTATCTTACTTGCTGTACTCTAATTCTCTTTGTTATTCCAAATCCTTGGAAAATTTGTTTACTGATAACAGTACTTTGTAAATAGTACTTTGGAGGAATTAAGGTACAGAGGCACATGGGGAATGCTGCAAAGGAAGGAGACGGAAGACGCAGAAGACAGGGAGCAGAGAGAACACTGATAAGTCAGTGAAAACAAAAAAAAAAAAAAAAAAAAAAAATCCAGACCAGGATATAATGAGCACTCCACCCATCTTTGTGTATTTGGGGGTGGAGTATAGGGAGGCTGAATTTCCCACAGAATCTGAGACAGGTAGTCATACATTCTATTTAAATATTAAAGGAAATGGTGATATCAGAAGACAAGAGATCTTAGGTACACCCAGGTGGTGAGAACATGAGGTTCATAAATATATGTCTTTAACTCAAAGATAAAACCTCGGCTTTTGATGCTGAAAAACTATATTTTGATGCTGAAAAACTACTAATTTTGTAGTAGTTCCAAAATTGCCATGTACAAATAAGGGATATTCACTAGCAGTGTTTATAGTATATTTGCTTTCTATCATAACCTGTCAGTGTTCAGGACAGTTTAGAAAGCAGCAATCTTTGGTCTATGGGCAAAGCTGATTACTCACAGGCGGGTAAAAATCCTCTATCAGGAGGTGGAATGTGATACGTGGATTTTTTGGATTAAAACTTAGAGTAAAACAGACTTATTTTCCATAATTCAGTAATTTAAGGGGCTAAGGTTTCAAAGAAGACATTGGAAAACAATTAGTATCTATTTCATTATGCATGGGGTTCCATGTGGAGCTAGAGTCACAAACTTGTAGAGCTAGGAAGAACTTCTGTGACTTTGGCAATGACTTCTAGTGACCCAGCCAATAGCTATTCTCCCCTTTTGCCTTACTAACATAACCTGGTTTTATTCATGGCGGGAGCAACCCATTTAGAAGAGTGTACTGCCTAGCTTTCCCTTTCTCATAGGTACGACCAAGGAATCATAAGTACAAGTCAGTGGGAAGGGCTTTGGAGGTGATTTAAAAGGGTACTGCCTTCTTTCTGCCTGGGATATAGATATGCTGGCCAGAATCTCAGGAAGTATGTAATAGCCATGAAGATCCAGGCCACACAAGAAGGGTGATGAAGCAGAATAATAAGGGCCGTGAAACACCAGTAACATTGTAAGATGGTAATACTTGCACTAGACTCCTTTTACCTGTGAGAAAATAAATCTCTGTTTCGGTTACTTCTTTGATATTAACAATTGAACACAATCCCTAATTGATGTGGTGATTATTTTGTAAGGTTCCTGCATTTTTCATTAAAGGAGGCACGGAGAAGTCAGCTCAGACCCTCTTCAATGTTATTCTTGTTACATTATGTGCATCCAATATGAAATGATAACATAATTCATTGTAACATAAAATGTTATAGGCAGTTCTCTCTTTGAGACGTGTTTGTCAACTGAAGACAACACTTCAAATTAAAAACATTCAGTCCAAAATCTCATAGAATTTTCAATTTATAATTATGAAATGGAAAGCATAGATCAAGTATATTCTCCTGGATTTAAATTATGAATACAGAATCTCATTTGTTTCATTCTTTTATTCATTGATTATCAATTTCTATTACTATGGTTCAGGTATGGCTCTTATTTCCTTGGATAAATGCAACAGCCTCTTGGCTTTAAACTTGTCCCTGCTGATTCACTTTATATACCTTCTACAAATTAATTTACACTGAAATACATGCTCTCCTTTGTTTAGAAACTTTCAATAGCACCCCATTACTGACTGATTAATATTCAGATTCTTTAACCTAGAAATTCTTGAATTTTCTATAGACTACTCTGGCTTGTACACCTTCAAACCTTTGCTCAGACTCTCCCTTTTACCTCTTATTTACCTCTCTGTTCCACCTGTTTCTCAAAGTTCAGCTCCATAACCAATGCAAAGCCAAGTCTCCTTTCTTTGAACTAGGTGATTAAGGCACTTACCATATTTAGCCATTTAGCTCCTGGAGGTCAATTCATCTGGCACCACCTTCTCGGAGTTCCTCTCATCTCTCTGCAGTTTCCTTTCAGCTTTTGTTTTTAAGCATTTGTGTAAACATTGCATTCATTAAAAGTTACAAATTGGATGACTTGGACAGATCTATCATTCTCTCTACCCAACTTGCTTTAGTCCTAAGTGGAGAATCAGATTTCCTTGCACGGGAAAACAAACAAACAAATAAACAAAACACCTATCCATTATCACAATATGATGGACCCAGCTGAAATATAGGTAGAATTACACTAAATTGGCCATTTTGTATAATTTAAGTTATATATATGATAAAAAAAAGTATCTGAGAGGCTTACATAATTCTTATTGAACTGATGTCATTTTGATTCTTTTTTTTCCTAATGTGATCTTAAATTAAACCCAATAATGAATTAGTCCTGCAAAGGTTGACAAAAAAATGGGCATACCAACACTTAACACGTTTCATACAAGTTATATGTTATTGTGAGAAGTTTAGGGAATACAAAGGATATAAGACTAGGGAAGTTTAGAGACTAAGAATCCCACATATGCGTACTCTCCTTGGAAAACGGGGCTTGGATGGTGGGAGGTCATTTTTCCTGTCTGGGGTGAAGTCCTGCTAGGTCTTGCATAGCCCACATGGGAATTATTAAGATTCCTATACCCCAACCATATCACCCCAAAACTCCAGGAGTTACTTTACATGATTGCCACAACTACCTTTAAGGCACCATGTCACCTGGCCCTCACATCTCAGTTTTTGGTACAATTAGAATTGAGTAACAAAATGGACTGCAACTATGTTACAACCGGTAAAAGAGTGGTAGTGACTTATTCTGTGTTACAGGATTAGGAATTGAGTACTACCAGTTGGCCTAGGGCTTATCACAGTTTAAAACTCAGTTTTCTTTCTGGCTGGTGATGTGTGTTTGTGTATTTATCTTATTACATATATATCCACATATGCATGCATATGTAGAGAGATTTATACTCTGAAGAGGATAATGCATGCAAATCCAAGTATATCCATATGTATGTGTATGTGTGTGTGTCTATATCTATATCTAATCTACATCTATATATGTTAAAAAAAACCACAAATTACCTGTGTGTGCATAGACATCTACACACTTATCTTAATAACTTATTAGTTTATCTCCATTGTTGTTTGATCTTCTAGAAGAATATAATAATAAAACAGCTACTTTTGAATGGGGCAGCTTTTTGAGTCATAGGCTGTTTCTATTTCAAAATGACATTGAGGATTAATTTCTCTCATGATCACCTGTTATTATTTTGCTCAGGCTCCTATATGACAGAAAAACACAATAAGTTAGATTTGATTTAAAGACTCTGATACCTAGTGAACTGAAAATCAATGTGTCCTGAGGGAAAGTCATAAATTTGTGAAACAGATTTAGAAAGCAAGAGACTTTGTTTCCTTTGCTAAATCTAAAGATCTTAAAGGGTTCCTCTTGGTCTCTTGGCGAATAAGTGGGCCAATTTGTTTATTTATAGTGCTCATCTCACCCAGTAGCTTTTCCTTATTGGATTCTGCTACGCTCTTATTGGAATAAGAACCATATTGTCTCCTCTAGTGTATGCTGCCTTTAAAAGAAGGAAAATCATGTCCTCTTGAAGACTATGCACATAATAAACATCTATTATCAAGGAAAGAGTGTGGGCCTTTTTAAGCATTAAGGGCTTCATATAAGGTTCACTAAAATAAAGTACTGTATGAGATAGGTCATTACAGAACTGACTGAGTGGTAATACCAGATTTTGCCTAGAACTTTGTGTAGGAATTGAGTGAAGTAAAGATGCCTTTTTGGGTGGAACATGTCAATTGGAAGAAACCACAGTGCAGTGTGTGGGAAACAAAGTGAAAATAGAGTGAACCAAGTTTATATTTTCTATGTGCATGACTTGTTAGCAGGTATTCATATCTGAAAACCTATACATGGATGAGATACTGAGAGCATGGATTATCATTTACTCTGGGGGTAGGGGGTAGAATAATTTTCTATTCATATTTGGTTTATTAAGAATGAACAAGAAATAGTTTCCCTATTCATTGTTGGGTGGAACTCAGAGCCATTTGGTTGTAACCTTTGTTTTGCTATACATATTTATCAAGGTGAAGAGCCATATGAGAGCTTCCCATAATAGAAACACATAGGTTATTTATCAGATCTGTAGAATTAGGCTTTTCCTCTATTTAAAGTTTTAAAGGTCTTAAATACTCTTAAAAACCCTGTCTCTAAGTTCTAATCTTTATCAAGTTTTTATCTTTATCTTCGTAGGGTTTTTTTTTATTTATTTATTTATTTTTTTATTATACTCTAAGTTTTAGGGTACATGTGCACATTGTGCAGGTTAGTTACATATGTATACATGTGCCATGCTGGTGCGCTGCACCCACTAACGTGTCATCTAGCATTAGGTATATCTCCCAATGCTATCCCTCCCCCCTCCCCCGACCCCACCACAGTCCCCAGAGTGTGATATTCCCCTTCCTGTGTCCATGTGATCTCATTGTTCAATTCCCACCTATGAGTGAGAATATGCGGGGTTTGGTTTTTTGTTCTTGCGATAGTTTACTGAGAATGATGGTTTCCAATTTCATCCATGTCCCTACAAAGGACATGAACTCATCATTTTTTATGGCTGCATAGTATTCCATGGTGTATATGTGCCACATTTTCTTAATCCAGTCTATCATTGTTGGACATTTGGGTTGGTTCCAAGTCTTTGCTATTGTGAATAGTGCCACAATAAACATACGTGTGCATGTGTCTTTATAGCAGCATGATTTATAGTCATTTGGGTATATACCCAGTAATGGGATGGCTGGGTCAAATGGTATTTCTAGTTCTAGATCCCTGAGGAATCGCCACACTGACTTCCACAATGGTTGAACTAGTTTACAGTCCCACCAACAGTGTCAAAGTGTTCCTATTTCTCCACATCCTCTCCAGCACCTGTTGTTTCCTGACTTTTTAATGATTGCCATTCTAACTGGTGTGAGATGGTATCTCATTGTGGTTTTGATTTGCATTTCTCTGATGGCCAGTGTAGGGTTTTTTTACACATGAATTCTTTGACCCCATCTATTGTATTTGTCACCATTATCTATTGATAACCAAGCTTCATATAGAATACAGAATGGAAGATGGGACATCATGTACTTGGAGAACCCTGGGGAAGTTTACCTTCTTTGCTGGAGAAAAAGAGGAATGATGTTATATAAGCAATTCAAATTTCACAGCTGGAAGGAAGTTTAGAGAACAGTAAGTTTAGACCCTCAAAATAGATAAGAAAATTAAATAAAATACTTAGTCACATAGATAATAAGTGGCACAGTCAACATTTAAACTTATAAAAACAAGATTATATTTGCTTAAAAGGAAAATATCTAAGTGCATTTTCTTTTCCAATTAAACAGCATCATTGTTTTATGGACAGAGACTTGGACCAAGTCCAAATACCCAAGCTCTAGCATTCCCTGACCACTCACTGGCTCTGTGACCTTGTATCTCTCCCTCTCTCAACCTCACATTCTTCATCAGTAAAATGAGAACTGACCTCTCATCATAATCTGAATCATCTGAAAAATTAATGACCCTGTATTCATTTATTCTTTCATTCATTTCTTCAGCAAATACTTGTTGAATATCATGGTGTGCAAAACTATGCTAGGTATATATGGAAGAGAAAAATAAATAAAACCCAACCCTTGCCTTTAAGGAATGTACAATCTAATATAAAATATAAACTATGAAATTTTTTTAATATTAAAATTTGAGTGCTCTGTGCTTTTAAATATAAAGTCCTCAGAAATGTACAAAGAGTTTAGAGAAGAAAGGGATTATTTCTCACAGGGAGAGAGCCCTTAGAAGGCTTTATGAAGAAACATTTGTTTTAGCTTTGAAGGATAGATAAGGTTTCATCAGGTAGAAATGGTCTGGGTGAGGAGAGGTCAGGAAGGCACCCCAAACACACAGAAGAAACTTTGAGGAAAAGATGCAAAGAAAGAAAGAAAACACAGATTGTATTTGGCGAACTGGCAGAAGGTCAAATTATTGAATTGGTTGGAGCATAGAATCTGTGAAAGGAAATTAAGACAGATACCTGGAAGGATAGGTTGGAGCTGGGACACAGAAAGTTTCTGACATCAAGATTGTATTAGTCTGTTCTCATGCTGCCATGAAGAAATACCCAAGACTGGGTAATTTATAAAGGACAGAGGTTTAATTGACTCACAGTTCTGCATGGCTGGGGAGGCCTCAGGAAACTTACAATCATGGTGGAAGGGGAAGCAAACACATCCTTCTTCACGTCGTGGCAGGAAGGTGAAGTGCAGAGTGAAGTGAGGAGCAACTCCTTATAAAATCATCAGATCTCATAAGAACTCTCTCACTATCACTAGGACAGCATGGGGGGACCACCTTCATGATGTAATCACCTCCCACAAGGTCTCTCTCCCAACATGTGGGGATTACAATTCAGATTACAATTCAAGATGAGATTTGGGTGGGGACACAGAGCCAGACTATATCAAGGATCAAAAGCTAGACTCTCTTGAGCTAGGTAGATATTGAGGATACAAACATGAATAAGATATGGTGTCTGTACCCAGGGAATTTGGACTTTATTCAGTGGCAATAGAGGAGCACTGAAAGTTAGTGACCAGGAGAGTGTCATGGCTGCTTATGAGCTTCAGGAAGATGACTTTGACAACTTCATATGGGATAGATTAAGATGACAAGAAACTGGAGCCAGGAGTCTGGATGTAAGGAAATGTAATGTTCAACAGGAAGACCACTGGACCTGGGCTTGCTTGGTGGCAGTGAAATTGAAAAAAGAAGAAATAGTTTGGCTTAGTGGCTCTTAAACATTTTGGGTGTTAGTCTTATTTGAGAATCTGATAAAAGCAGTAAACCCTTTCCTCAGAAAGAGAGTCTATACGTGAGGTATGCAATTTTACATGTAATTTCAGGAGGTTTACATATCCTGTAAGGTCATCCAGGTACCCCAAGTTAAGAAATACTGGTCTAAAAAGAGACTATGGCAGCTGAATGGATAGAATGTGTTCCATACAATAGGAAGCTGAAAATACTTCTGAGATTGTAAGCCTGGATGCTTGGGAGAACTGCAGAAATAGGGATGTCTAGAAGAAGAGTTGCTTAAGGAAAAAAGTATTACTCTGTACTCTCTACCCTCTGCTAGGAGCCTTTTTGTAATTTGGCTCTTGCCTTCTTCCACTTTTCTGAACCCTCTACTAAGAGACAGCTGCATTAATTTTAGTGAATGGAGAACAAGTGCTCTAGATTTAGTGTAGCTGAACACACATGGACATATTACTTGCGACATAGGACTCAGGAATCTGTATATCTCTTTCTTATGTTCATATGAGTCTTGCATATTTTAATAGCTGGAAATTAATTTCCTTCATTGGTATTCTAAACATGATGAATGTATTCAGTATTCATGTGGCTCTGATATAAAATTATATGGAAATTCTAGTACAATTTTAGTAATTAATGTCTGTCAATTATAAAGGGTTACAATTATAGCACTCACAGGGAATTATGTAGTATATGAAAAATATACAAATAATCAGAGAAATTAATTTCTGATACCCAACCCTTCTGATAAATCAAGAAAATTAATTAGTAGGTAATCATAATGTGAAGAATGCTAATAAATGGTCAGGACAGAGGAATACTTTATTTTTAGATAAAAAGAAATATGAAAACAGTTTGAGACTAAATAAGAATAAAATCATTTATAATATCAAATAAATATTAAATGTGCATTATAATAAAATCTTTGACATGATAAACATTTGGATCAATTTTATAGTTCTAAATCATATATTATAAAAAATTTGAAAGGGAAGTGGCCTCTTCTTAGTAATCATCTAATCCAACAACATTCTCACTTACCACATGAAGAACTGAAACACAGAAAATGTTATTTTCTCTGTGTTCGGGGACTTAACAGAAGAGCTAGTGCTCTGAATTTGGAAGGAAACCTTTATTTTACCATTAAGTCAAAAACTAATTAGTCCATTTTCACACTGCTATAAAGCTAATACCTGTGACTGGGTAATTCATAAATAAAAGAGGTTTAATTGACTCACAGTCCCACACGGCTGGGGAGGCCTCAGGAAACTTACAATTGTGCAGAAGGTGAAGGAAAAGCAAGCATCTTCTTCACATGGTGGCAGGAGAGAGGGTGTGCACAAGGGAAACTGCCATTTTTAAAACCATCAGGTCTCGTGAGAACTCCCTTACTATCATCAGAACGGCATGGGGGAAACTGCCCCCACAATCCAATCACCTCTCACCAGGACCCTCCTTGAACTCGTCAGGATTACAATTTGAGATGAGATTTCGGTGGGGACCTAGAGCCAAACCATATCATTATGGTTCTTACAAATGGTGTTGTTTTGAAGAACTGAGGGGGTCAAGGGTGTTGAGTGGTTCTCTTGACAGCCTAGGGAGGCAAAGGGCACATTCTCATGCAAATCAACTTTTCCCAAAGCAATTGATAATAAATTAGAAACATTGGACTCTATAATCCTAACATGTATATAGAATCTTGTTAATAAATTAATAGCTGTGCTACCCCTTTCCAAGTAGAGACTTAATGAAAATACTTCAAAGTAATTTTATAAACTCTACTGAATCTCCATCTATAGGATTTCTCTATATAGTAGAAAGGAAGGAGCCTACTGTTCCTATGCCAAAGAAAGGAGCTCCAACTCAAATGTGTTACATACATCAGACCTGATAGTCAGATATAAAGGTGAATTTAAAAAATGATGAAACTCAGTTATCTTATTGTGTATTGACAAAATAGGCATTATATATATTATTACAGTTAAGCAAAACTTAATAAAAATCATATAATTACAAATACACAAAATGCTACAAAGGATTTGTCTAGGATGTTGGGTGATCTGGTCACTGGTTCTTGCCAGAATCTAAAAAGTTATCTGTCTAGGGCCGCTTTTTCCATTACCTCTAAGATGTCTTTGCCCCTGGTGTCTGATTTCTGTCCCTCGGCTGTTAGCCTTCTTCATTTGACTCGTAAAAAAGGAATCATAGTGTTTCACAGCTAGAAGGGACTCAGGAGTATTTTTTTCTCAAAGAATGTTTTATGACCAACTGCATCAGAACTACCTGTGATGTTTATTAAAAAGAGAATGCCCAAGCCCTACCCCAGAACTGCTTAATTTAAATTAGGGCTGTGGGAAGATGGGTGACACAATTTTAAAAGCTTCCCAGGTGATTCTTATACCTGCTAAAGTTTGAGATATGTCGATCAGTGTTTCTTAACATCTGGTCCTAGACCAGCAGTATCAGCATCACCTGGAAACTTGTTAGAAATGAAAAATTTCAGTGCTTTCCCCAGAGCTACTGAATCAGAAACTTTAGGGGTAGAGCCTAGCAACCTGCATTTTAACAAGCCCTCTAGACGATTCTACAGTGAGCTAAAACTTGAAAACCATTGAGCCCAGACAACTCCCCAAGTTGGCCTAGAAGGAAACGAAGGCCAAGTCTTGTTCACTTTAAACATGGGTTAATATTATGAGCAGCAAAATTAATCACAGCGATCCTTTAAAAAACTAATACCTGACTTACTTAAAACTTGAAGTAGACCAAACACATATTGTAACTTTCTATTTTCTTCATATTTATGGGTTAAAGGAGCAGGGATATGACAGTGGTGGTGAAAGAGGGATGAATTTAAGTATGTTTTAATGTTTGCATTTTTTTAAAAGTCTTTGAAAACTATGTTGAAGAACGTTTGCAAAAATGGAAGAATTACCTGTAATATGACCCAAATGCTTTGCATTCACTGGAAGAACGACTCAATTTAAATCATAATGATGATTTCTAGAAATTTTGGCATGGCAGAACAATTTACACAGTTTATTAGAAATTAGACTATAAAATGTTCAATATTATTCATGTTTTGAGTAGAAAGTACACTTTGTAAAGTATTTTATGGTTGCCAATTCAGACATTAGAGCTGGAAAAAGAACTCATTTGGTTTGGAAGATGGTGTCTTTGCCAAAATAGAAGTGATTAAAAGGGCCTGTTCACCTGCATAGTGAGAGAAGAAATTCTAGTCAAGCACATCACTGGTGAAATTGGAAATTTCACAACCCCACCACCCTCTTTTAAAAACACAATTGCCATCCAACCCACCATAAACTTTGCCAGAACCCTGGAGCTCATTGTGCAAATGCTTTCTGTATCTTGTTTCTTGTAATACCCTCAAATTTCTGAGTGTCAATGAAAAAAGTTTCCAGGGGAGAGATGGTCCAGCCTTGAGGTCCATATCCTGTCATTGATTTCTATACAACACTCTCATCGACTTCAATGGGAGTTCCGCACTTGGATCAATGTCAGGATATGGGCCTTTACATTTAGAAGTGAAAGTGTTTTAATAGTGGTTGGCAAACTAGTGATGAATTAGAGTGAAAGACACAAAGAATTGGCTGAAAACTTTCAGACCTATAAGCTACCCTTAACCATTAGCAGAGTTATTATTTTTTTAAAGCAGTGAAAAATTTGTATATGTTGATTTTGGACAGTAAGTTTCCCAGTATACTAATTATATTATTCAAGTCTATTCTGGGTTTCTTATAAAAATGGGGAAAGTAACTCCATAAGTGGCTAAGCAATTTGAATTAAATTGTCCTCTGGACCAATGTGTAACAAAAGCATTTGCCTTCATCTCTTGACTAGAGGCTCGTGGTAAGATCAACCATCAGGATTTCATGATTTAGGACATTATTATATCCCTAAAAACTTAACTGGAAGCACTAAAGTTTAGCTATTTAACCCCTCTCTTGGGATCTAAATATGTTCAGGCAAATATGAAACTAAAAAATGAATTCTAAAAATGAATTTTCACGACCTTTTCTGGTAATCCATTCTAAGTGCTTAGCAGTCATAACCATCACATGTTTTCTTTTAGCAAAATACATATATATATATATATATATACACACACACACACACATATATAACACATTCTAAGGTGTGTGTGTATATACACATACATGTATATATTATAGTAAGTATTTACAGTCATGTGCTGCATAATAATGTTTCGGTCAAGAACAGACCACGTATATGACAGTGGTTCCATGAGATTATAATGTTACATTTTTGCCATACCTCATCTATATTTAGATATGCAAATACTTACCATTGTGTTACAATTGCTTACAGTATGCAGTACAGTAACATGCTATACAAGCTTGTAGCCTAAGAGCAATAGGCTAACCCTATAGCCTAGGTGTGGTGTAAGCCATACCACCTATGTTTGTAAAAGTATACTCTATGATGTTTGCACAGTGACCAAATTGCTTAACAATGCATTTATCAGATCATATCCCTGTTGTTAAGCAACACACAATTGAATGTATATATGTATGTGTGTGTTTATATGTGTGTGTAAATGTATGTACTATGGTATATATTATATGTATGTGTGTGTAAGGTTTTTTTATTTCTAAAGAAATGCAAAGAGTATGTGGCCATAATCTCAATCTAGATGAAAAGATTAATTAAAATTTTCAAATCCCTGTCTTCTACGCCAAATGCTACATGTCAGTTGAAGCTTTCTTCACTTGCCTCATTTACTAATTATTTTATGTCTTTGCTATCCCATTTCTTCTGTCAAAAAGTTATGTGACTATTCGTGTTTATTATGGAATTTTACTGAAGTTAAGTCTTAGTTTTCCACTATAAACCCTCCCAGAGCCTCCTGTAATCGTAAAAGGAAAACACTTAATGCTGAATTGGGAGACAAACATGGCTACAATTCCCAGATTCTCCACTGGATTTATTTACTCACTTAAGTCACTGTTCTTCAGGCTTTAGTGTAAAGAGTATTGGGTGTAAATGTTTCCTCCTTCAATCTAAGTGAAGATTCAGTTATAAATCTCTGTTTTCCTTTCTGACCTTCATCATAATCTCCTCTTGCATGATCATCAGTTTGAGAGAGGGGCAAAAGTTCAAGGTTTTTATTTCAATTGCATCAAAACATCCATCCCCATAATGCTCCCATTCATAGAGCAGTCTGCAGTTTACGTTATTGCTAAAGTTACACAAGCCTGCTCTTCAAATCTCATCTATATTCTAACGTGTAGCAACGTGGTTATTTCTAGTAGAGATAGTTATGTTTAAAATAAACCTAATGAGGAAAGACTTTTGTAGCAAGGAGTGAGGTATGATTAAATTCTGTGCTTTAGAGCAAAAGGACTGGCACTTATGCTTCCATCTTTCTTTTAACTCTCACACTAAACATTGCATATTCTTACTGCCAGGGTTGCAGAGATTAGTTACTGGAAGAGCACATATGTGGGAAGGGAGGAGGAACAAAACCTGTGCCAGGAAAAAGCAGGAAAGAGAATATTTTTGTTAATGGAATAACTGATGAACTCATAATGACAACATTACATAAATGTGTGTACAGAATAGAGAAAAAATGCTAATGTCAATTGAGACATATAAAATGTGGGCATCGCAAATGAATGTTTTCTCCGTATATATAACTGAATATTTTGCTAGTTACTGTCAATCTGTTTTTAAATTGATTTGATTTTAAAGCAAGACTCCCTGCACAACTCATTGCACAGAGATTGATAGATAAATTCTGACAGAGGCCTCTTCTGTAGTTTGATGTAGCCAGCTCCCTACCCAGCACATTTATGCACCTCAAATAAAAACCAAATGGGGCATTAGTACATAGGACAGAAAGATAAATCCAGGAATTGCCACAACAGCAATCGCAGGCAAAACCAAACAGCACTCTAAGAAACAATGAGGGAATAGTTACCATAAAGAAAAAAGTCAAGCCGGGCACAGTGGCTCGCACCTGTAATCCCAGCACTTTGGGAGGCCAGGGCGGGTAGATCACGAGGTCAGGAGTTCAAGACCAGCCTGGCCAACATGGTGAAACCTCATCTCTACTAAAAATACAAAAATTAGCTGGGCGTGGTGACACGCACCTGTAATCCCAGCTAGTTGGAAGGCTGAGGCAGGATAATTGCTTGAACCCAGGAGGAAGAGGTTGCAGTGAGCCAAGATTGCACCATTGCACTCCAGGCTGGGTGACAGAGCAAGACTCCATCTCAAACAAACAAACAAACAGAAAAGAAAAGAAAAGAAAAAAGTCAAATATTCTTTGGCTTCTACTGTATTTTCAGACTCTTACCAACCCAGTATCTCCATTCACCATTTCAACATTTGTGTCATTTGACTTATAGGTATCATTTTACCCATATATTAAATAGTTATTGTATTTGTCACTTCAAATAGATTTTGAGAAAAATAATTGTAATTTGTGATGTGTTTGGGATTCTCTAATGATGGAAACAAACCTAAGTAAAATATTGTGATTTAATTGCTCTTTTGAATGCAAACTTCAGAATAAATTAAATCTGTAAACATTTTTTTAAAAAACTTTCCAAAGCATCAGGTACACCATACATGATTTTAAAAAACCCTGGTAGCAGCATACATATGGACTAAAAACTTGCTAACTTGAAACTTCTTATTTGTTTAAAACATATAAGAATGTATCTGGAAGGCATCTTTCACAAAGTTACACAGACTATGCTTTTAAATTCATTAATATAAGACATATTTTTACCAACATTCTTTTTAATGCTTTTTTCTTTATCAATGGATGAAACCTAAGATTTGTTGCTTAATTGCCTTGCATATTGTAGACATGTCGTATTTTGCTGAATGAATGTTGGCTCAGTAGCTATCCAAGTTAGTTGTTACTTAAAGACTGAGTAAGTGGTTGTTATCTGTGCAAGTTTAGTTTGTGCTTTCTTGGCTCCATACATGGAAAGTTTAAGCTTTCTTTACTCTTGCTTTTTTTTTTTCTTTTGGTGTAGCTGATCAGTGCGTAAAGCTTCCTTCAGGGTCAATGCAGACTCAAACTAGTGTCATTTAAAGTGATAATCCACTGAGATTAACTCCACAAAGAAACAGAACAAAATAGAGCATGTGTGTGTGTCTCTGTGTGTGAGTGTGTGCGTATTGTGTGGGAAAGAGAGAAAATGAACTCAATTTTCCATTCTGAAACTGGACAACAGCTCCTAATACAACTTTGTGGATTTATGCCCTCTGCTACTAACCTCAAAGGTACTGTGCTCATGCAAACCAAGTTCCTAGTCTCCATTAGTTTGGGCCTATAACAATGGGTGGCATTTGCTAAGTATAGCCCCACCCAGTAATTTTTCTGGTGTGCAGCTGTGTCTGGGAGCACAGCTGTGCTTCCGTGAGCCCTCCAACATTTTACTATGCAGCTGTGAGAGTTACTTAGGAAATTGTTAAGAGGCAGCTGCAGAAGCTGATGGTTGTAGCAATCTGCTGGAAACTGACCTGAGTCAGGATTCAGTGGTGAATGTGAGAGACTCTTTTTACCTTCGTATTCTGAACACACACTGATACGTGCTCTGGAATCTGAAGGAAACAAGTTGGGCTTCGATATCTTGTGGTATTTTAGCTACTTTCATTATGGATCTCACTTGACTCTCAAATCATGACTTTATTCAGTAGCCTCCAGATATATTAGTCAATTTTCATGTGAATAGTAACATCGTGGTAAGGTGTTTGGTTCTGTTTGCGTTTGAGGGCTGAAAAATTTCCCTGTATTAAGTACGTTAAACAAAGTACCAGCTCATGTATTGTTAAAAATCAACTAATATATTTAATATACTGTACTAAGTCAGATTTATCCCCCTAAATTGTCTTCTAAATGTTGATTTATTTTTGTAAGGTTAACATTTTCTATTCATATATTACTTTATATATTAGCTAAATTCTTTATTTTGTTGGCTTAAAAGGTATTTGTGAACACAAATGTATGCTCAGTACCATGCCAAATTTGGTAAAAAATATTAAAAATATAAGATCCATTCTCTGACCTCAAAGACACTCAGGATATAAGTATGAAATTTGACACTGAACTTGACTGAAGCCCTAAATAAAGGAAAAAAATGAAAAATACAAGAGAAAAACCATCAATGTGTGTTCAAAACTTGAAAGAGTAAGCAGAAACAGAGTAGGATTTCCAACATTAGGTCATACATCAAGAGGGAAAAAAAAAAAAAGTTGTAAAACTAGAAGGCCAGGCGCGGTGGCTCACACCTACAATCTCAGCTCTTTGGGAGGCCGGTATGGGAGGATTGTTTGAGGCCAGGAGCTCGAGACCAGCCTGGTCAATATAGTGAGACCCATCTCTATTTAAAAAAAAAAAAAACAACAAAAACCTTGTAAAACTGTCCTAGAAAGTGGAAAAAGGACTTCATGAGCAATGATAGGAAGGTGGGGAGAAAATCTGGCATATTCAATAGACATGAACTCTGTGAGGCAGGAGGTACACATTAAGGGAGTTAGAGATTCAGGTCAGATAGATAAGGAAGAAGTAGATTATAAGGAGTTTTAAATGCCTGGTAAGTCATCACATTTGATATTGTGTAAATTGGAAAATGTTAGGGGTTTTAACAAAAGGAAAAAACTGCTTATGTTAGGAAGGGTGAATTATTTACCCCCAGAACCTACCATTTGGCCAGATTTAAAGTAAATACTTGGCTAATATTGAATAATACAATGTTCATTGCTGAATCAAATATCAAGGGCAGTCTTAAATGTAGAGTGAATGTAATTGGTGTATTTTTCAGGGTTCCAGCAAAAACCAAGTACATTTGCTGATACTTTGAAGAAATGTTTTAATGAGGTACTATTTACAGAGATACAACCAGATTTAAGATAACTAACAAGGATTGTAGAGGCACCTGTGGACTAAAAGACATTAGCTCTGGAGACCAAGTTCTGGAGACTAAGTGGTCTGGAGGAAGAGACAAGAGTAGTTGAGCCCAGTGGAGAGTTGGAACCATGAAAGTGAGACTCCTAAACAGAAGCTGCAGTTCAGTAACCATGCCAATAACGAATGAAAGCAGAAAAGAAATAGAGGACCACATACTTCCACCTCTTTCCTTCTGCAGTATGATCACCTACTGATAACCCTCATTGGTCAAACCCAGCCAGGAGCCAGAAAGCAAGGGAGAGTAGCTGATGCATTTGGTAGAGTTTGGCCTCCCAGAGCACAGAGCAGGACTAAGATGAACAGAGAAAGGATCTAGAGGGAAATGGTGGATAATCAGTTTTTTCAATGGGTTTTTAAAGATTTTTTAAACTATATTTCTGAAATGTGAAGATAAATATTTTATCTAAAATTGGGCAAGATAACTGTATGGATTTTTTTAACTTATATATGGCTACTTGAAAAGGAATTATGCTTCTCTTTAATACAGCAGGATTCTCTGGTTATAAAAGTGTTTTGACATACCGTGTTAAGAGTAACATGGGTTTAAGTCATGTACAGAGAGTTCGGAAGAGAAATTTAGATACCCAATAAAAATATGACAAAATCGTTGACCTCGTTATTAATCAAAGAAAAAATTAAAGAGTAAATTAATCAAAGAAAAAATAAAAACAATGTGATTCCATGATTTTCTGATCAAACTGGAATGACAAGAAGAAAGATGAATTCTCAGAGTTGTTTAGAGTGTAGTCTCACAGAATCTTCTCATACTGATTGTGAGAATGTAAAATTGGTACAATCTTTCTGGAAATCAATTTTGTAATTTATATCAAGAAACTTAACTGAATTCATTTCCTTTGCCCTAAAAAAAAATCTATCTAGTAGAATTTATCCTAGAGAAACAGCCACGCAAATTTGCTTTACTGTTAATTAAATAGCAAACATTAGCAACAACTTAAATAATTACCAATTTTGAAATGGTTTCAAATGATATACCTCATTATAAAATAAGTGATTGAGATAGCTTTAAAGGAAATTTATAAAGACAAACGTTAATTACAGTATAAAAAAATACAGAATGAAATGTATTATTTAGCAGGAAAAAAATGGAAAAAGGCTGAAGGTTGTAATGATGATCATCCAAATGTTAATAGTGGTAATCTCTGAATGGTGGGTTACTGATAATTTTTTCCTTCTAGTTTTCTTTTCTTTTTTTTTTAATATAACTTAGCAGTAGATATATTAGATTGGTGCAAAAGTAATTGTGTTTTTTTCCATTAAAATATTTTTCATTTAGGTAAATGACATTGTTCTGTAGATTTCATTTTTTTCTTACTTCTAAAAAATTTCAGCAATTTGTTTTTAAGATCTATTTACATTGTTGGACTTACATCTAGTCCTCCGTGTCTTACTTCAGTTTAATATTTCACCTAGAAACAATATAAATTATTTTTATAATCAAAAAAATATAGTAAAATAAAAATACCTTTCTAAAATGCTAGATTGGCATTATACAATCCTGCAGTTAATCCTTAACTTGAAGGAAAGTTGTATTAGAATACAGCGGTCTCTAAGACCTCGCTGAGTATTAATACAATTTTTTGTTACTAGAAACTTAGACTTTGTGTTTTCTTTGATAATTCAGCAGGCAGAATTCTAAGCTGTAGCTCTTGAGTATTTTATTTTTTGGACAAAGTAAGCAAAGTCATTACTGCTGCACAAGCTAGTTAAACATGGTCTAGAGTAGCAGCTTTCAGACATTTTGATCTCAGCAACATTTTTCACCATGTAAAAAATTATCGAAGAACTCAAAGACCTTTTGTTTATGTAAACTACCATGCCTGGCTAATTTTTCATATTTTGTGAAGGCAGTGTCTCATCATGTTGCCCAGGTTGGTCTCTGTCTTAAACTCCTGGGCTCAAGCAACGCTCCTGCCTCGGCCTCCCAAAGTGCTGGGATTACAGGCATGAAACCCTGTACCTGGTCCCAAGAACTTTTTAAAATATGAGAATACAGAAGCACATCCATTAGCTGGTAGAGTGATGATGTTATCACATGTCATATAGCCTCTGGAAAATTCAACAGTCTACTTGTGACAGAAAGAATGAAAAAGTCAAACAACATCTTACTATTATTATAAAAATAATTTTCATCTCATGGACCCCTTAAAAAGGTCTCGGGGACTCCAGGGGTTCCTGGATCATCCTGTGAGCAGTGAAGGTTTAGATTTTTTCATTCTCTTGCATTGACACAACTCTCACTAGTTCCCAATCCAGAACCCTGAAATAGCATATGCAAGGGCCTAATCTCACTCAGGAGGTTTAGTCTCAGGATTATATCTTCACCACCCTGATTACGTCAAATTTCTTCTACCATTGCACTTACATATTTTTTAAAAAAATTATTGGGCAAAAAAAAACCTTGATGTAAAAGTGACTAATGTATTTTCTTAATCAAAAATGAGGAAGCTGGGTCTGACATATGTTTTGTTCTTTCCACTTATTTTGTTAACTTAATGATATACCTTACCAAGACATAAACATGAAATCATTTTCTCTGGTACTTTAACACAATGTCCTTATTAAAAAAGAATAACAGTATATGAAATTCAATTTCCAACTTATTGTAGCTCTGAAGATTACATCTGGCTTCTTAAACAGGCTAGTCAGTGTGGCACCTATTAGATAATCCTAACAACACCCAGAAAGACAGAACTCCAATACTGAGAGGTGGGAATGCAGACTATCTGCTTGTATTGACATCATGTGCCCATCTGGCTATATGAAGAGACTGGGAGAAAACAAGGGTTATAAGCTGTTGACACATGTTGAGGAGAGATCCTCGAGCTAATAGGCGCTACTGAGTGCCTACAGAATATAGAGAACTGTGAGTTAAATCACTGATTGGGGAGAGAGGGCTGTAGAAAGAATAGAAAGACAAGGCTCTTCAGGAAGAAGTAGGCCATCTTGTTGAGTTGCTGCAGGTAGAATAAAGAGAAGAAACCCAAAAGAGCTCAAAACAGAAGTTCAAGAGGGACTTAACTGTGAAGCTGAACAGCTATACACTGCAGAAATATCACTGCAGAAACACAGGTCACCACTGAACGAAACTGCCATGCGGAATTTGTTTTGAAGTCCTCCATTGCCCCTTTCTCTTCTTCCATTGTCTTGTTCCAGTCACAGAACAATATTCTCCTAAGAAACTTGCTAAGTTGTTCACCATGATTATTACAATAGCCACCATTTGTTAGGCCCTTGCTATGTGCCAGGTCCATGCAAGGTGTTTATGTGAATTATCTTAGTTAAGTGAATTCTCAGAACAACTAAGGAAGGTAGATCCTACTATTTCCTCTATTTCACCCATGGAAAAATTGAAATACAGAAAGTTGGAGTAATTTGGCCGGGCGCGGTGGCTCACGCCTGTAATCCCAGCACTTTGGGAGGCCAGGGCGGGCAGATCACGAAGTCAGGAGATCGAGACCATCCTGGCTAACACGGTGAAACCCTGTCTCTACTAAAAATACAAAAAATTAGCCGGGCGTGGTGGCGGGCGCCTGTAGTCCCAGCTACTCGGGAGGCTGAGGCAGGAGAATGGCGTGAACCGGGGAGGAGGAGCTTGCAGTGAGCCGAGATCGCGCCACTGCACTCCAGCCTGGGCGACAGAGCGAAACTCTGTCTCAAAGAAAAAAAAAAAAAAAAAAAGTTGGAGTAATTTACCGAAGGTCACAAAGCCGATGATGGAGCCGCTAGAAATTTAATGTTACTCCAGCAGAAGAATCTGTGTTTTCGAAGACCAAGTACAGAAGGCAACATTTTACCCAAAAGAATAACTCTCTAAAAGTGGAGTTTTAGGTACTTTATCCTCCTGAGATAGGATAAAACTGAATTTTTCCTTTTTTTTTTTTTTTTTTTTTTTTTTGATGGAGTCTCACTCTGTCACCAGGCTGGAGTGCAGAGTGGTGTGATCTCGGCTCACTGCAACCTCTGCCTCCCGGGTTCAAGCGATTCTCCAGCCTCAGCCTCCCCAGTAGCTGGGACTACAGGCACAGGCCACCACGCCCGGCTAAATTTTGTACTTTTAGTAGAGACGGGGTTTCACCATGTTGGCCAGGAATGAATTTTTTTTTTTCCACAGTGATAAAAAGTAGTTTACTTCTGGTCACTGCAAACTGCAAAGCCTTTAAGGACCTCTAGTTTACACTTATTATGAGGAGGTATCGTCGATACTATTCTGGGACACAGATGAAGAGGAATTTTCTAAAGATATGTTGTAAAATATGTTTTAAAACTAGAAATGCAAAAACTTTCGGTGCCCTGGGATTCAGAGAGTCCAGAACAATAAAGTCAAAGCTATAACTGTAGTCTCTCAGGAAAGGTTACTGAATATGTTTTAAATTGTATTTGCTTAGGATTGTCCTGATTCTATTGAACTTTGCATGTAACATACATAGCTTGTGTACCAGCAAGCACTGCCTAAGAAAAAGATGGCTCTGTGAAGCGTGAACTCTTATGGTAGAAAACAGCACTATGACCGCTGAATAAAGAGGATTAAATAGTAAAACACATTTTGAGCCAGCACAAAAGAACAATGCATGGCACGCTTCCGCCACCTTGTGGAGTGACATATATTCGCATGTCTTTTAGGAACCCAAAGCAATTTTTTCATAAACTTTTTTAAAAAGAATTAAAGAAATGGCAATATTATTTTCAAACACGTTGCCCATTCTTCTGTGTCCTTAATGATTACAGTGTAACTAAGGCACATTTCTGGTGCCCAAAAAGAACGTTATATGTTTATATACTTTATTTTGGTGATCTAAATAATACCTGTTATTTTAAAAAAAAAAAGTAGTAATGAAATAATCTTCCTTCCCACCTTTTCCCTAATTTACACCTGTGAAGGGGATATTAAATCAAATCTAATTTAAGATAATACAAACATAAATTGTTCCACATATAGTCTTTTAGATTTGGTGAATAATGCATATCATGATCAGTATCCAGGGTTCTAGGTTTTTTGTTTTAATATGCATTTGTAAAATTAATGAATATAGGCAGGGCACGGTGGTTGACACCTGTAATCCCAGCACTTTGGGGGGCCAAGACAGGCGGATTACGAGGTCAAGAGATCGAGACCATCCTGGCCAACATGATGAAACCCCGTCTTTACTAAAAACACAGGCACACGCCTGTAGTCCCAGCACCTTGGGAGACTGAAGCAGGAGAATCGCTTGAACCCAGGAGGCGGAGGTTGCAGTGAGCCGAGATCATGCCACTGCACCCCAGCCTGGTGACAGAGTGAGACTCTGTCTCAAAAAAAAAAAAAAAAAAAAGTAATGAATATAGGTGTTAGGGTGCTATATAATACTCATAATAGGGGCATGTAAAAAGAAGAAAAAGTGTCAACCGATTGGTGGAACTTTCCACTTTAAAGACAGCCCAAGCCACAGTTTTCTGTTAATTTTGCTTCATTTTGGTAGACTGAAAATTTATATGCTTTAGGTAAAGAAGTCCATATACAGGCAATTTCACTATACCACCTGTTTTGAATTTGAAAATTTTTCATTTAGATTAAAAAGATAAAATTGGGACACCCAATATCCCAGTTAAATGATGAAAAAAACTATTTCTTCCTTTCCTTTATGTATGTAATCTCTAGTACTCCTATGAACAATGAATATTCCTGACACTGAGAGCTATTATATTCCAATCAGATATCTTTTGACAGACATTTAGAATTTAGAGATGAAAATATGGTGATAAGATATCATATGTTCATAACTAAAGTGCCCTTGTTTAAATGACAATGGAGAGTTTCTGTTCTATAAACAAATTATGATAAAAAATTTTAAGATGAAACTATCTTACGTGATTTGTTTAATCAAAAACAGTCTGCTCTGGATTTTTAGAAAAAGAATTATCATCATCATGGCCAGTCTTGAATCTCAGGCTAGGTTTATCCATAGTGTTTCTCTCATTCCACTTTGTCTAGATAACCTTCCCTTGGGAAGAAAACAATACCTATTTTAGTATAGTTTAAATAAAAATACGGGGGCTGTAAAAATAATACATTTGAAGGTAAACATGGCGGGAATGTGGGGACTGTCTACTGTTTTGGATTTAGAATCATTGAAACCATCAGAAGAAGAATGGTAGTAAAGAATAAGCAGTCTGGAAATGAACAGGCCTGGGTTCGAATCCTAGCTTGAACACTTACTAGCTCAGTGATATTTGGCAAAATGTTCAACCTCTTAGAGCCTTGGTTTTCTCGTACTAAATAGCAGTACAGACACTATAGGATTGCTGAGAAAGAAGAATGCAATAGCAACAGTAAAGCAATGATGCATACAAATGGAAGGAGAAGAGGGAGCAAGAAATATATATTGAGCATTTAATCTTTCCCTTTAATAGAATAAAAGACATTGACAGACTAGAATGTATGGGCTACAAGCTTAAACTCAATGAAGTCTTTGGATTAAAATAGAAATGCAAGTTAACTTGTACTCAGACTTAATAGAGTTAGACAGTAGATTCAAAGACATTCAATAAATTCAACAAATGGTTTATCTCATTTACGTCTCTTTCATTTTACAATACAGTGAGGAATTTATTCTTTTTGGAAGTCCTAGATGCTTTTGCTGAAATTCAATGCTTAAGCTACAAACTTAGGAATCTACTTCCATTTCATACTCACCTTCATGCTCCAAAAGAATCCACCAGCAAATGTGGTCAATTATCTCTCCAAAATATTACTTGCATTCTTTGAATTCTCTCATCTCCGTTGGTGTGCCCTTGTCCGGGTTACCTTCACCTTCAGCTTGGAACATTTAAACGGTCTCCTAACTGGCTCTCTATCCTTTTATTCTTGCCACCTCCAATCTGTGCTTTTATGGAACAACCAGGCTTTATGTACTTCCCCAACTTAAAATTCCCTTTGGCTTCTCTTTGCACGTACAAAAAAGTCCATATTTCATATTCTGACTTACAAGACACTACATGATCTGTCCCGTCCTTACTTCTAGGACCCTTTCCCCAGGCCACCAGCACCCAACCCATTATGCCTTTTCACACAAGCCCTCTTCCATAGTCCTGGTCCCTGTTGGTCCCTTCCTGCCTGCCTCAGGGTGTTTGCCTTGCACACGCTTCTTCTACGCTTCTACTTCCTTTTGTATGGCTACAGGCTAGCTCTTTTTCATGCTTTATATCACTTCCTCAGCAAGTCCGATTCCCTTTCCCCAATCTGAAATAGACTTTCTTTCCTTACTTCCTGTTTATGTATCTTAGAAAGAATATCAACTACAGATCAGGAACTATTCTAGACACAGGATAAATTAATTAACATAAAGACAAATATCTCAAGTAGCTTATATTCTAGTAGAGAAAATAAAATAAATAAGTAAACCGTACAATATGATACTAAGTGCTTTGGAGAAAGAGAAAATGAGAAATGGGGATGAGAAGTTGCTGGGTTAAAAGGAACATTTTATGTTGTACAGTAAGCAAAGTCCTCCCTGAGATGGTGACATTTGCATAAAGACTTAGAGGAAGCAAGGGGTGAGTCATGCAGATACAGGGGGAAGATCATTCCAGACAGAGGGGAGCAGTAAATGGAAAGGCCATAAGGTGGGAATATGCCTAGCATGTTTGAAAAACAGCAAAAGGTCAGCAAATTTGGAGTAGATTCAACTTTTGTCAAACTTACCATAATACGCAAGTTAACTAATCCTTTTGTTTGTTTCTCCTTTCTCTGTGATCTCCACCAGAGAGGAGTAATTTCTCTTTTATTCTTTGATGTATTCAATATACAAGGCCCTCAGTACAATGCCTAACACATAGTAGATGGTCAATAAAATTGAGAAATGAGTGCTCCTTTCGCCTAGTGATGTTGAGAGCAAATGACTCAACTAGGACATGAGTTGTATAGTGTGGCAGCTCCTGGATTCGTGCATTCCTATGGAGAGATGTTAATGTTAGAGGAGGAGATGCTGGCCGGCTGTGCAGCAGCTCCCCACACATGGGCAGGTCCTTCCAGAAACACTTACATGAAAAGAGCTTGGCTGGAGACCATGAAATAATAAAGGAAATTGCATGATCCCAAGAGATAATTTTTCAAGTAATTGCAGGTATAGTGATGAATTATTCTTCCCCACTTTATAGGATGAGCATGGACACTTAGAATCAGAGCACTTTACCAAAAGCATGGACTAAAGATTGGCTGGAACTTCCTTGTCCTTAGGTCTTCCCTTTGCTAGATCTCTGAAAACATCCCTATCACATTAAATTAAAACATGAATGCGTGGACAATGTGTTTCTTTGCCTTGGTTATATTCTTGTGTCTGTGGATGCATACCGGTCATTAGTATAAAGAGGCTGATCTTTGTACTATATTGTTTTCTACCTTATCATGGAAATCTCAGAAAAACAATGCCTTATAGGAAGCAATATTTTCTGGCCATTTAAAAATGGGTTTTGCATTAATATGAGGCCAAGAAGATTATCATGTGGGGAAAAAAATCTAAGTCTATCTGAGCATGCTCCTAAGGGTGATTCAGGGCTTATTGGATGAGTTCTCACATCCAAGAAGCAGATTAATCCCAGTGTTTGATGATAAGTTGTCATGATTGGAATAATAGCTATATGGATCCATGTTTCTCCTGCCATCTAGGTTGTGAGTAGATATGGAGACTCCCTCTTAATTTTGCATTCAGGGTTAGAAGCTCAAATATTAATACTCTTCTCAATCTTGACATCTCTCACTAATTCTGTGAGTGTTCTTCTGCAATTTGCCTTGGTTTCTGTTCCTTTCCTCAGCTTTTCGGGCTACAAGCCCTGTTATTCTTTTCCTTTTCATGGAAGATTTAACTAATTGGAGCTCATTCATTCTCACAGTTTTAGAGATCACCTATACCTCAAGGCGTCCTAAAATCTGAATCTACCAGCCCTCCTTTCTCTCTGGAGCCTCAGGCCTGTATTTCCAGTTAGTTGCATGTACATTTTTACTAATTTCTTATCATCAGGTACTTCAATCCCAACCTGTAAAACCAAACTAACTTTTTCCCTTTGATCTGTTTTTTGCAGTCTTCATTCTCATTTAAAAATATTATTACCGGCCGGGCGCGGTAGCTCACGCCTATAATCCCAGCACTTTGGGAGGCCGAGGCGGGTGGATCATGAGGTCAGGAGATCAAGACCATCCTGGCTAACACGGTGAAACCCGGTCTCTACTAAAAATACAAAAAAAAAAAAAAAATAGCTGGGCATGATGGCATGCGCCTGTAGTCCCACCTACTCAGGAGGCTGAGGCAGGAGATTTGCTTGAACCCGAGAGGCTGAGGTTGCAGTGAGCCGAGATTGCACCACTGCACTCCAGCCTGGCCGACAGCATGACTCTGTCTCAAAAAAAAAAAAAAAAAAATTACCAAACATAGAAATAATGTTAGAAAATTTAAAATTATAATAAGGTCATTCTTCTCCCTCCCTCCATACATTCAGCATTAATTTACTCAACAAATATCAAACACTAGCTGTGCGTCCGGGATGTGAGTAGGCTTTGGGGACAAAATTGTGAGCAAACCCACCTGCCTCATGATGTTTACCCTCTATTCCCATCACTAAGCTCTTTTTATTCTCTATAAAGATATCAATGCATCCCCTACTCTCCATCTTGATAGCAGTGCATGGTTTACGTTTCAGCATTTCCTGCCTTAATAGTGAATAACTATCAAGTTGGTTTCAGTGCCTCCATCATTTTGCCCCTCCAATCAATCCACACTGCCAACAGTCCTCTCTTTTAAACATAAGCAAATTTGCAACAGTACTTGATCCTTACTTAAGCATCTTTGTTTGATCTCCAAGGTTGACAGAATAACTTGTGTACTCAGACAGGTTTGCCCTGACTTACCTTTCTATTTGCATCTCCTTCTTTCCTTCTCTGCACCTTGTATTCCAGGCACACAGAGCTTTTGGCGACATCCTGATTATGTTGCTTTCATGCTACTTCTGTATAAAAAACCATCTGGGGCCAGGCACGGTGGCTCATGCCTGTAATCCCAGCACTTTGGGAGGCTGAGGCGGGCAGATCATGAGGTGAGGAGTTCGAGACCAGCCTGGCCAACATGGTGAAACCCCAGCTCTACTAAAAATACAAAAATTAGCCGGGCAAGGTGGTGCGTGCCTGTAATCCCAGCTACTCAAGGGGCTGAGGCAGGAGAATCGCTTGAACAGGAGGCGGAGGTTGCAGTGAGCCGAGATTGTGCCACTGTACTACAGCCTGGGTGACAGAGTAAGACTCCGTCTAAAAAAAAAAAAAAAAGTACAAATAAAAATAAAAATAAAGAAAGAAAGGGGGGGAAAAAGCTGTGCTTTTCAGGTTAAGTGAACTCCTTATAAACATGTAGTAACCAACTCAAGTTTCCCTCTTTCTTTGAAGGCTTCCCTGATCTCCCTGCTTCTCTGTTGCTACGTAGAAAAGTTTATTGGATTTATGAATTTTCTTTCTTTTATTACTCCCACCAATAATACATCATTTATGATTTCCAGGTTTAGCTTCTTACAAATGAAGCAAGAAGTAAGAGCACTTCTGAAATATTCGAAGCATAGAATCATTATAGATTTTTATGTTTTTTTTTCCCCTAGTGTTTTTTCCATTGTCTTTCTATCTTCTAGCGGGCCATCTTTACAGAATCTTTCCAAAGCGATGAGTCTAATTGGTTTTCTCCTTACTATACTATTTTGAAGTATTTTCACAGAGTTTGACAACCATTGCCAAAATAAATTTTAGAACACATTTATTACTCCTCCAAAATTCCTATACTCATTACCAGTCACTCCTTGTTTGTCCCTAAACCCTCAGCTCTAGGCAACCAGCAATTTACTTTCTGTCTGCATGAATTTGTCTATTCTGGATATTTCATGTAAATGAAATCATAAGTGATGTGGCCTTTTGTGTCTGGATATTTCAGTTAGCATGTTTTCAAGGCTCATGGATATTGTAACATGTATTTGTACTGTATTCATTTTTATGGCTGAATAATATTTCATTGTACTGATATACCATATTTTGTTTATCCATGTATTAGTTGATAGATATTTGTGTTGTTTCTACTTTTGATAATTATGAATAATGTTGCTATAGATGTTTGTGTATAAATTGGTGTGATTAATTTACTTTTCATAGAAATAACTTTCTTTTTTCACTATTATTTGCATAGTGGTTAAAAGCATGGATTCTAAAGTTAGACTGTGTTCAAATTCTCCAACCTACCATCTATGTGACTTTGGACAAATGTCTGACTTTCTTTTGACCTCAGTTTTCTCACCACTAAAAGGAGTATGATAATAGCATCTTCCTCATAGGTGATTGTTATTAAATGAGTAAATTTATAGAAACAGTATAGAACAGTGCCAGGAACATAGTAACTGCTTTATCAATATTTACTATTAATATAATTATTCATGTAATATTTATTAAATTATGTAATTCCAATAACAGGTGGAGATATTATAGCAATATTAGGAACCAACATAACTCATTCCTGATAAACTTAACTTGTGGAATACCTAGTCTCTGGGTGAGGTCATTCAATGTGCAATTCACATTAGTCACTAATTGACAGAGAAAATTAAAATTATTAAAGTTAACCCCTTTGATTACCTAAAGGAAGGTCAGTTAGGAGGGCTTCTACCATATTGAGATTGCTCATAAGGACAAGGTTAAAATTAGATAACATAGATCAAAGGTTAAAATAGATAAAATTACAGACAGTTTTCTGCGTTGCATCTTTTTATAGTATATTATTTAATTTGAGACTGCATTTAAAAAAGGAAAGAAACATGGATTTGGAAAGAAGTTGTATCTATAAGTTTCCAAGTTTCAGGTTAAAAATGACCACTAATGCCAACTACATATATTTCATAAAATTGTCATATTTAACATCGTATTATTTGTGATGTTCAAAGGTATATTGTGAAATCTGTGAACTGAAAATCATTATCTGAATTGTTGTTTGAATGTTTGAGGATTTGCTTCATGTATAAGTTAAATTTGGTCAGGAAAGTGGAAGATATGGTTTGGCTCTGTATCCCCACCCAAATCTCATCTTGAATTGTAATCCCAATTGTAATCCCCATGTGTTGGGGGAGGAACCTCACGGGAGGCGACAGATCATGGCAGCGGTTCCCCCATGCTGTTCTCATGACAGTAAGTGAGTTCTCATGAGGTCTGATGGTTTTATACATGGCAACAGGAAGGAGAAGTGCAGTGAAAATGGCCCCCATGCCCCTCCATTTGCACTGCACATCTCCTTTCTGTTGCCACGTGAAGAAGGATGTGTTTGCTTCCCTTTCCACCATGATTGTAAGTTTCCTGAGGCTTCCCTAACCCTGCAGAACTGCGAGTCAACTGAACTTCTTTTCTTTATGAATTACCCAGTCTTGGGAAGTTGTTTTATAGCAGCATAAGAACGGACTATTACACCACCCGAGTTATTTACAGTAAAAAGGAAGTTAGATGTAGGGAATCTGGAAGGATGAAACTTTGCAAGTGTTGGACCAATAGTTTCAGCTGCCTGCAGTGATCAAAATGGTTACTTCTCAGGAAACTACCCAAAGCCTCAGGCAAAATCTCATGTGAACTCTTGGTCTGGCAGACACACCTCTGCAACCGCTACCTGGAAATAGTGGCTTTTCTTTACCTTCCGCCTTCCAAATCCCATACAAGCTTCTCTCACTGAAGGACTTTAGCCCAGTCCTTACTGGCATAATAATTTGGAAATGCAGTTTGTAGGCTTTACACCCTTGCCACATCAGAAGGTGATCTCAGAAAGCAGGAATGATACAGAGGGCCAAGTAATTTCCAGCAGTGTTTGGTATTTTGATATTGAAAATATTTCCACCGATACTTAGCACTTGATTGAGCATTATACAAGCATTTTTATTTTCCTAAAAATAAATGGCTAGTTCAGAGTGCTAAAATGATAAGCCGGAAAAAAGGAATGACTTCTACAACTACATGCACATTTGAAAATTTCATTTGAATATTTTCCTTACAAGATAAATGGCTGCCCCTGGGTCTTAGGGTAGCCCCATCTGATCACCAGTGCCACACCCATGTTTCTCTTTCTTTCCTTCTTTTCTTTTCTCTCTTCTCTTCTTTTCTCTTCTTTCTTTCTTTCTTTCCTTTTTCTTTCTGTCTCTCTCACTCTTTTTCTTTCTCTCTTTTCTGTTCTGGGCCACAGGGCCCCTTCAGGCAAAGGCTGTGAAGAGATATGTGCCATACCCCTTCTGGACTAGCCCTGTGGAGGGAAGTATGCCCCTCTCTCATCCCAGCCCAGGAAGCTGAGTGTTTTGCCCCTCTCAGTGCTCTGAGCATAGGGGCTCCTCCTCTACTCAAGTGTCAGCCACAGATCTCTGCTCCGTACTCCTGAGCTCTATGCTGCAGCCCTGGGGACACCACAGGACATCCTGTGGCTTGGTGTCAGATTCCAGCTGCAATTGGGGATCTGATGTGTTCCTGGGTTGCTGCAAAAGTACTCCAGTGGAGCAGCAGAACAAGAAGACTTAACTATCCTAAACATATATGCCCCCAACATTGAAGCACCCAGATTCATAAAACAAGTTTTTTTGGCCCATGAAAATACTTAGAAAAACACACATTAACAGTGGGACACTTAAACACCCCACTGACACCATTAGACAGATCATCGAGGCAGAAAACAGCAACAATATTCTGGACTTAAACATGACATTTGACAAATTGGTTCTAATAGACATCTACAGAACACGCCACCTAATAGCTACAGAATATACATTCTTCTCATCTACACATGAAACATATTCTAAGATCAACCACATGTTCGGTCATAAAGCAAGTCTCAATAAATTCAAAAAATTGAAATCTTAGCAAGAATACTCTCAGACCACAGTGCAATAAATATAGAAATCAATATCAACAAGAGCTCTCAAAACAACACAAATACATGCAAATTAAATGACTTACTCCTGGATAACTTTGGGAGGAACACTGAAGTTAAGGCACAAATCAAAAAATTATCTGAAATTAGTGAAAATAGTGACACAACTTACCAAAATCTCTGGAATGCACCTAAGGCAGTGTTAAGAGGAAAGTTTGTAGCCCTAAATGCCTTCAAGATATTAGAAAGATCTCAAATTAACAACCTAACTTTGTACCTAAAGGAACTAGAAAAAAAGAGCACACCAACTTCAAATCTAGCAGAGGAGAAAAACATAACTAAAATTAGAGAACTTAATGAAATTAAGATGTGAAAATCCATACAAAAGATCAATGAAACCCAGAATTGGGTATTCAAAAAAATAAACAAGATTGATAGACCACTAGCTAGATTAACAAAGAAGAAGATAGAAAATCCAAAAAAGTACAACCAAAAATGACAAAGATAACATTACAACCTATTCCACAGAAATACAAAAGGTCCCCAGAGATTACTTGGAACAACTTTATGCATACAAATTAGAATACCTAGAAGAAATGGATAAATTGCTGGAAACATACAATCTCCCAAGATTGAATTAGGAAGAGATTGAAACCCTAAATGGACCAATATTTGGCCCTAAAACTGAATCAGTAATAAAAATTCTACCAACCAAAAAAAGCCCTGGACAAGATGGATTCACAGCTGAATTCTACCAGGTGTATAAGTAGCAACTGATACCAATCCTACTGAAATTATTCTAAAAAAAAAAAAATGAGGAGGAGCGACTCCTCTCTAACTCATTCTATGAAGCCAGCATCTAATACAGAAATCTAGCAGAGACACAATGAAGAAAACAAGCTCAGGTCAATATTCCTGATGAACATAGACACAAAACTTCTAAACAAAATACTAGCTAATCAAATCCAGCAGCACATAAAAAAGTTAATTCACCACGATCCAGTAGGCTTTATTCCTGGGTTGCAAAGTTGGTTTAACATACATAAATCAATAAATTGGTTCACCACATAAAGAGAATCAAAAGCAAAAACCATATTATCATCCCAATAGATGGAGAAAAAGCTTTTGATAAAATGCAACATCCCTTCATGATAAAAACCCTCAAGAGACTAGACATTGAAGGAACACACCTCAAAATAATAAGAGCCGTCCTTGAGAAACCCACGACCGACATCACACTGAACACGCAAAAGCTGAAATGAAAACATTCCTCTTGAGAACCAGGATGAGACAAAAATGCCCACTCCCATCACTCATTTCAACAAAGTATTGGAAATTCTAGCCAGAACAATGAGGAAAGAGAAAGAAATAAAAGACATCTAAATAGGAAAAGTGAAAGTCAAACTACCTCTCTTCACTGATGATATGTTTTTATACTCTGAAAATCCTAAATACTCCACCAAAAGATTATTAGAGCTGATAAACAATTTTAGCAAGGTTTCAGGACACAAAATCAATATACAAAAATCAGTAGCATTTCTTTTTTCTTTTTCTTTTCTTTTCTTTTCTTTTTTTTTTTTTTTCTTTTTTGAGACGGAGTCTCGCTCTGTCGCCCAGGCTGGAGTGCAGTGGTGCGATCTCTGCTCACTGCAAACTCCGCCTCCCGGGTTCACGCCATTCTCTTGCCTCAGCCTCCCGAGTAGCTGGGACTACAGGCGCCCGCTACCATGACCGACTAATTTTTAAAATATTTTTAGTACAGACGGGGTTTCACCGTGTTAACCAGGATGGTCTCGATCTCCTGACCTCGTGATCTGCCCACCTCAGCCTCCCAAAGTGCTGGGGTTATAGGCGTGAGCCACGGTGCCCCGCCAAAAATCACTAGTATTTCTATACACCAATAATATCCAAGCTGAGAGTCAAATCAATAACACAATGCCATTTACAATAGCCACAAAGAAAATGAAATACCTAGGAAAACAGCTAACCAAGGAGGTGAAAGATCTCTACAAGGAGAACTACAAAACACTGCTGAAAGAAATCAGAGATAACACAGACAAATGGAAAAACTTTCCATGCTCATGGATTGGAAGAATCAATATTATTAAAATGGCCAGACTGCCCAAAGTATTATAATTTACAATTTCAATGCTATTCCTGTCAAACTGCCAAATTTATTATTCACAGAATTAGAAAAGATGATTCTAAAATTCATATGGAACCAAAAAACAGCCTGAATAGCCAAAGGATTCCTAAGCAAATAGGAGATAGCCAGAGGCATCACATTACCCAACTTCAAACTAGACTATAATATTACAGCAACCAAAGCAGCATGGTACTTGTATAAAAAACAGACAGATAGAGCAAAGGAACAGAATAGAAAATTCAGAAATAAAGCCACACACCTAGAACCATTTGATCTTTGAAAAAGCCAACAAAAACAAGCAATGCAAAGTGACTCCCTATTCAATAAATGGTGCTGGGATAATTGGTTACCCATATGCAGAAGAATGAAACTAGACCCTTACCTTTCACAAAAATTTACTCAAGATGGATTAAAGATTTAAATGTAACATCTCAAACTATAAAAATTCTAGAAGGAAACCTAAGAAATTCCATTCTGGGCATTGACCTTGGCAAATAATTTTTGGCTAAGTTCCCCAAAGAAATTGCAACAACAACAACAAAAAATTGACAAGGGGGACCCAATTAAACCGAACAGCTTCTGCACAGCAAAATAAACTATCAGCAGAGTAAACAGAGAACCTCAGAATGGGAGAAAATATTTGCAAACTTTGCATCTGACAAAAGTCTATTATCCAGAATCTATAAAGAACTTAAACAAATCAACAAACAAAAACAAGTAACCCCATTAGAAAATGGGCAATAGGAGATGAACAGATATTTCTGAAAATAATAAAGCAGACAACAAACATATGAAAAAATGCTCATGATCACTAATCATCAGATAAATGCAAATCAAAACCACAGTGAGATGCCATCTCACACCTGTCAGACTGGTTATTATTAAAAAGTCAAAAAGCAACAAAGGCTGGTAAAGTTGCAGAGAAAAGGGAATGTTTATACACTGTTAATGGGAATGTAAACTAGTTCAGTCACTGGAAAGCAGTTTGGAGAGTTCTCAAAGAACTTAAAACAGAACTACTGGCCAGGTGCAGTGATTCATGCCTGTAACCCCAGCACTTTGGGAGGCCAAGGCGGGTGGATCACCTGAGGTCAGGAATTCAAGACCAGCCTGACCAATATGGTGAAACCCCATCTCTTATTATTACAAAAAATACATAAATTAGCCGGGCGTGGTGGTGTGTGCCTGTACTCCCAGCTACTCAGGAGGCTGAGAAAGGAGAATTGCTTGAACCTGGGAGGCAGAGGTGGCAGTGAGCAGAGATTGTGCCACTGCACTCCAGCTTGGGTGACAGAGCGAGACTCCATCTCAAAAAAAAAAAAAAGGAACTACCGTTCAACCCAGTAATCTGATTACTGGGTATATATACTCAAAGAAAAGCGACCATTATACTAAAAAGACAAATGCACTGATGCACTGATATTATCATTACCATGCTATTCACAATAGCAAATCTACAGAATCAACCTAGGTGCCCACAAATGGTGGATTTGGATAAAGAAAATATTGTACATATAGATCATGGAGTACTATGCAGCCACAGGAAGGAGGGAAATCATGTCTTTTGCAGCAACATGGATGGAGCTAGAGGCCATAATCCTAGGTAAATTAACGCAGGAACATAAAATCAAATACCACACGTTCTGACTTATTAAGTGGGAGCTAAACGTTGAACACACATGAACATAAACATGGGAACAACAGATATTGTGGATTACTAGAATGGGGAGGTCGAGAGGGGACCGTGGTTGAAAAACTACCTGTTGGGTGGGTATTGTGGTCACTACCTAGGTGCAATATACACATGTAACAAACTTGCACAGGTACTCTCTGTATCCAAAATAAAAATTGAGGCTGGGCGTGGTGGCTCACACCTATAATCCCAGCACTTTGGTCATCCTAGGTTGGTGGGTCACTTGAGGTCAGGGGTTCGAGACCAGCCTGGCCAACATGGCAAAACCTCGTCTCTCCTAAAACTACAAAAATTAGCCGGTTGTGGTGTTGCGGACCTGTAGTTCCAGCTACTTGGGAGGCTGATGTGGGAGAATCACTTGAACCCTGGAGGTAGAGGTTGCAGTGAGTGGAGATTGTGCCACTGCACTCCAGCCTGGGTGACAGAGTGAGACTCCATTTCATAAATAAATTGAAATAAATAAATTTAATAAAATAAAAATTGAAATAATTTTTTAAATAGTTTTTTAAATTAAAAAAGAAGATGAACAAATAGCCAACAGGTTCATGAAAAGATACTCATGATTACTAATCCTTTGGGAAATAAAAATTAAAACCATAGTGAGATATCAGAGCATACCTGTTAGATTGGCTTTTATTAAAATGATGAATGATAACTTTGGCAAGGATACAGAGGCAAGTGAAATGTAATCCAATTAATGTAACGTAAATTAGTACAACCCTTATGGAAAACGGTATGGAAGTTCCTCAAAAAACCAACAATAGAACTACCATGTGATTCAGCAATCCCACTTCTGGTAATATACCAAAGGAATTAAATAAATATTTTGAAGAGATATTTGCATCCCATGTTCGCTGCAGCATTATTCACAACAGTCAACATATGAAATCAATCTAAGTGTTCATCAGCAGATGAATGAAGAAATGTGGTGTACAAACACAATGGAATGCTGCTCAGCTTTAAAAATGAATGAAATTCTGTCATTTGTGGCAACATGGGTGACTCCAGAGGATACTATGCTAAGTGAAACAGCCGGGCACAAAAAGGCAAATACTTCATGATCTTACTTACATGTGGAATCTACAAAAAGTTGAACTCATAAAAGCAGAGAGTGGAATGATGGTTACCAGAAGTTGAAGAAGAAGAAAGGAGAGAGTGAGGGAATTGGGAATTACTGGTCAGAGGGTACAAAGTTCAGCTATTAATACATAGGAGGAATAAGTTTTGATGTCTATTGCACAGGAGGGGAAATATTGTCAGTAATAGTGTATAGCATATTTCAAAATAACAAAGAGAGTGAATGTAAAATGTATCACCACTAAGTGTTAAGTGAGGTGATAGATATGTTAGCTTGTGTACCTAGAATACAAACTACATGTAATAGAATTATAATTTTTGTCAATTAAAATAATATTAACTTTAAAGAGAAAATAAATAAATTCCAAGAGAAAGGACAGTTGGAGGAGGAATCTAGAGATTAAAATGTCTTAAAATGTCATCCGAGAACAATGTAAACCTTATTTCGAAATTACTTCAAAACAAAGTATAAAAAGATAATGACCTTTATGGGGCAATTGAAATTTGAACACTTACAGAATATTTGATATTAAGGATTTATTGTTAATTTTTAGGTATAAGAATAATATTGTAGTTATGTTAAAAATAGTCTTTATCTTTTAGAGTAAATACTGGAACATTTATTATTTTTTCTTATATATGTATATACGGTAAAGCAAAAAGAAATCTTACACATATCAGAAAATTAAAAGGAGAATAATCTTAGTTAATATTGATGTACTTTTTTTTTTTTTTTGAGACAGAGTCTTGCTCTCTTCCCCATACTGGAGTGCAGTGGTGCCATCTTGGTTCACTGCAGCCTCCACCTCCTGGGTTCAAGCAATTCTCCTGTCTTAGCCTCCTGAGTAGCTGGGAATACAGGCATGAGCCACCACGCCAGACTAAGTTTTGTATTTTTAGTAGAGACTGAGTTTCACCATGTTGGCCAGACTGGTCTCGAACTCCTGACCTCAAGTGATCCACCAGCCTCGGCCTCCCAAAGTACTGGGATTACAGGCATGAGCCACCGTGCCCAGTCCATATTCATGTACTTTAGTTAGCTCCTTAGTCATAGCTGTCTAATGTCTGGAACACCATGTATTAATACAAATTAATACAATCTTTTATGCATTTTTCATGTATATCACATACTGCAACTTGTTGGTATAGAACATGGCCAGTAGCCATAGCAGTCATATTCTTCCTATAATTCCAGATGAAGAGTAGCTTTTTTCTAAGGGACCTACATTATAGGCAGTGAATGGAAGGCATTAGTTATATTGAGTCTAGATAGGTTTAGAAAAGCGACATCAGTTATTACTGGCTGTCTTTCAGATTTTTCATATCTTAAAATAAGAACTCTTTTCACTGCCTATGAATGTCATACATTACTAGGTGAGACCATAACTAGCTGGAAGTACAAAGTAAAAATCTTAATCCCAATTCTGACTAAATCTCAACTGTGTTCAAATACTGGTTCCATATTAATTTGTGCAAATTCGATATTTGTAATTTTATATGGCTCAATTCTCTCATCTGTAAAATTGGAATTCTGTGGGAATTGTTGGAAGGCCTAAATATGTTAATAAATGCAAAGCACTTATTACAGTGTCTGACACATATAAAAAATACTAGCAATTACTTTAGTATTCTATAGAGATTTTCCCCCTCCAATACATAGAATTATACTGAAGACTGATTATCCTAAACTTTCAGAGTTTTATTAAATATCTTCAGATATCCCTTTTGACATTTCAGAGACTGTGCCATTTCATCAAATGACTTATTAATCATTTAAGTATATTTTAATTTCATTTATTCTATACAGATCATATGTATTGTTGCATCATATTAATTTTTTTCTTCCTGGCTTATTTTTACTATTATAAATAAACTTTGTATTCTAGTTGTAGGGGAAACTTACTATTTCTTTTTATGTTGATTATAGTGTCACCTTTCTGATTCAAAAAGGAAGAATGTTAGAAAATGTAGTGCTATGAGGTAGAATAGCATAAACATTAAGGCTATGGACTTTGCAGTCATTAAAATCTAGGTTGAATTTTAGTTTTTCCATTTTCAAACTGAATAATCTCAGGTAAAATTTATGAAAGATATAACCTTTCTGAAACTGTCTTCTTGTTGTTGGTGGGCTGGTTCAAGTTCTTGACTTGGTCACACAAAAGAATTTGAGAGAGATTCTGAAGTATAAGTAGACAAAGAAGTTTATTGCAAAGCAACAGTACACTCTGAGAAGCAGAGCGTACTGCTCAAAGTGACAGACAGCTCCTTGTGCCTTAAGGGGAATTCCCTAGCTGTACATACATATTCATAAAATACTGATGAGGTCAAGTCTGCAAAGGCAGACCTGTGGCTGGCACATGCACTCAGCATATACATGCTCTAACATGCATCACATATGTCATTAGCATATAAAATCTCCACCTAGGGGTATGTTTTTTACAATTAAAATGAGGAAACGGTTACTGTAGGCTAAACCTTGAGACTAGCTGTGCATGTGGGACCCCAGAGAAGTCTCCAGCTCCCATAAGGCAGGAGTTTGTAGCTGGTAGCTTCTTGGGCTTTGGTGCAGATTGGATGGAGAGAAGTTACAAAATGAATAAGGAGCTTTTTTTTTCTCTTTCCTGGGGGCCTATCGGGTATCAGGAATTATCTGGAAGTCAGCTGGTATCCTATAGGATTGCTTATCTTGCAAAAGTGTTAGGCGCTGACACAAGGTGGGGTGCAAGTGATGCAAAAGGAGCCTGCAGGGCTTCACGCAAGGGGACAAGTCAGTATGGCCTCCTAACCTTACTTATCCTGCCTCATTTTCACCATCCAAGTGGAGATCTGATTTTCTTCTCACGGTTATTGTAAGGCTTAAGTAAGCCTACATACCTAAAACAATGAATACACTATCCAGCATGTAATAAATGTCATAATATGTTCTGGAAACCATTAGTAGAGTTTTATATTCATTTTTAATTCAGTCATTCCAACAACCTTATACATAAGATATATACTGTTATCACTGGTATTCAAACAACAAACTGAGGTCCAGAGAAGTCAAGCTATTTATTAGAAGACATGAATTTATACCCACATATATTTCACGATAGTGGCCAAATTCTTCTTCTTCTTCTTTTTTTTTTTTGGTTAAGTATAGCTTATATAATAAAATGCAGAAATCTTATGAGTACAACTTGAACATTTTTTACATTCATATAGACTCTTATAATTACCATGCAGATCAAGGTATGAATTATTTCCATCACATCAGAAGACTCCCTGCATGGGCCGTCCAGTCAGTGTCCTCCCTTGCCCTTCCAACATGACCTCTAGTCTGACTTTTAACACTAGAGGTTACTTTTTTTTTTTTTTTTTTTTTGAGATGGAGTCTCCCTCTGTCCCAGGCTGGAGTGCAGTGGCACAATCTCGGCTCACTGCAACCTCCAACTCCCTGGTTCAAGTTATTCTCCTGCCTCAGCCTCCCAAGTAGCTGGGATTACAGGCACGCACCACCTTGCCCGGCTAATTTTTGTATTTTTAATAGAGACGGGGTTTCACCATGTTTGGCAAGAGGGTCTCGATCTCCTGACCTCATGATCTGCCCGCCTTGGCCTCCCAAAATGCTGGGATTACAGGTGTGAGCCACCGCACCAGGCTGAGGTTAGTTTTACTGTTTTTGAACTTCATACAAATGCAATTCAATGTACAATCTTTTGTGTCTGGCTTCTTCCACTCATCCTTTTATTTGTGAACTTGATCTCATGTTGTTGTATATATGAGTAGTTTATTCTTCTCAATTGCTGTGTCCCGTTCCATAGTATGATTATATTACAGTTTACCCATTTTATTGTTGAAGGACATTTGGGTTGTTTCCCGGTTTTATCTTTTCTAAATAAAGCTGTTATAAATATTATTGTTTAGGTCTTTTTGTAGGCATATACATTCCTTTGTTTTGTATAAAAACTTGGGAGTTAGACTGCAGGGTCATGGGGTATAGGTTTGCAAATTCTCAAACAGTGCTTGAATTCTTAAACATGTCATTTTCAACATCATCATCAGCAACAACACTACCATTACTGTTGACAGTTTTAGTAAGTCTGCCTTGCCAATAAGTTATTTGCCCTCTCTGAACAAGAGGGATATCATGTATTTGTGTGAAACCACACTTCCTCTTTTCAGCCCATAGCCTATTGTCATAGAGGTGGACATCACACTCAAGATGGAATGACCATATTCTCTCTCAAAAATCTGATTGAGACTAAAAGCCATTTACTCTTTGTGGATCTGGAACATGGAAACTTGGAAGTGTAATACAGACATTATGCCAAATAGAGAGGGAAGGACAGCCAAGCTGTACAGAGAGAAGAATTAGCCAGTTACACAGAAAGCAAAAGAGAAATACTTCCTGGATTCCTGAGAGTTTTCCAGTTTCTTATTCAAGTATCTAATTAAAGCTTTGTCCTTCATACTATTTACAGATTCTCTGAAACACTCCTATGTTCACTGAATACATTCTTCTCTTTTCCATAAGCTTGCTAGAGTGAGTGTTTGATACCAGTATTCAAAACGTTTTTCTAACACAGTTTTTTTTTTTACCATATTGTTCCTGGAGTTAACTGTGACAATAATTTGGAAAATTATTTCTATTGTATCAACTCACATTCCTCTAATTACAAGCATATATAGCAAATGGTACAGCCAATAAATAATAGGAAGGTGATAAATGTTCTGACTTGTGCAGCAATGAAAGTAAAATGTTATCCTTACAATGTCACTGGCAACATCGTTTGACAGATATCAGAGGAGGGCTTCATTTCTTCACAAGGCCTCATGCTCTGTCTGCTGTCTTCAGCTCAAATGGCAACTTCGGTGAGCCCTAAAGGACCCACCGTTTTCTCAGTGGGTTTTACCACCCTATCCCCATAAACCAATACCCCTACATCTCCTCACATACAATTCTGTAGCAGAAAATTTACATGTGCTTTACTTACACATACCCAGAGTCAAGATGTTTCCTCCTAAGATACACAGATGTTTACACATCTTTCAACACACATGCAAACAAGAGGGACCCTTAGGAGTTTGTTCTATTGATCCATCACTCCCTTGAGTTAGAGCTCTTGGGAGCAAGAGGTATTTGGAGTCGGTGCATCGAGAAATATTTTGGAAGGACACTGTTGGAGGTCAGAATGCCTCATCTGGAGAGCTGGTGAAGAAGCTATGTAATTTAATTGCTCATTCACCTCCTACCCTCACTGGTCTATTGACCTGATTCGAAAATGAACTTGAATGCCGAAGATTGTTTGCCAGTTCAACCTTGGAGAAGCTAAAGGAAGCCTCTTACTCTTTCCATTCTTTTCTCCCACTCTAATCTAATCTATTTCTGATTTATATCCAAATGCCATGGAGGATAGAGGTTCATAATTCTGCCAGATGGATTAAACAGATGAATGGAACAAGCCAGCATCTTTCATTCTAACCTTCTTGCTTACTTTGACCTTTTCCCTCACCACCAGTGATATTTCATTCTTTTATAAGAATTTGTTCCAGAGCTTGAGCAACTAGAATCCTGTTGAGGGTTTGGAATCTAAGGAACTGAATTTCAGAATGACTATGAAAAGTTATGTGAGACTCTCAACCCCATTTCAAGGATAAGTCTTCAAAGTCTTTATCATGTTCTTACCTATTGATTCTCTTCATCCTGAGATAGTGTTGACCTCAACCTACTCCCATCTTGTTTCATTTCCTACTCTCCCTTTTAGTCCACTGAAATATGGTGATCATGATTCCTCCACAGGCCCAGGGTGTCTGTGTCTCAAAGTCTTCAGCCACTAGATCATCACCTGAGGCCAGATGGCTACATGTGGAGGTGGTACTCCAGGTGGATTATAGGCAGGCCAAGCACCTTGGTTAGAGACATGGGAAAAGCAGGGGCTCCCAAACATAAGATAAAATGTAAATATTCATAGTAATAACAAATGTTTATTCAAGACTTACTATGTGCCTGGTACTAGTCTAAGCACTGGACATACAGAAGAACTTGGTTAACTTTCACAGCAGTCCTATGACAGATATACTATTATCCTCAGGAGAAAAAGGCACAAAGAGGCTAATTACTGTCCAAGTCACAGAGTGAGTAAGTGGCTCAGCAGGAATTTGGACTCAAGCCATCTGAATCCAGAGTCCAGACTCTTAATCTCACCTTCCAAATAAAAGAATTAGATATTTCAGGGGGAAAAGTATTGAGTAAAATAAGATCCTGGTGGGCCTAGCCATTATTTTCAAGCCTGGAATTATTTTAATATTTAGTTTATCACGGAAGCATATCAGGAAAGCACTAAACTCTCTTCTGTGTTTGGGTTCTAGTGTTTTTAATCTAACCTTGGACTATTATGCTGTGAGGCGTTGGGCAGTTTCTCTGATCCTCAGTTTCTTGTTTTGTATAAAAGGGCATTAAAATATTCATTCTACAGGGGTGTTTGGGAGGACAAAGGTAAAATATTTGCATCATACTGTAGTGCAGTAGCACATTATATATACTGTTGGGCAGTTTCTCTGATCCTCAGTTTCTTGTTTTGTATAAAAGGGCATTAAAATATTCATTCTACAGGGGTGTTTGGGAGGACAAAGGTAAAATATTTGCATCATACTGTAGTGCAGTAGCACATTATATATACTCAGCAAATGATAAGGATAATAAATAATAGCTGTCATTTAATAATTGATTATTAGGTGACAGGCAATGCCTATATATTATCTCAAGTACTCATATGGAGGCACACTTATGGAAAAGCACTATCAAGTTAATAATATTTAAATCCCTATGGTAGGACTTATGTTCCTTTCTGTTTCCTGTTTTTTTTGTTAGCAAGGCTTATTACAGGAGTACTGAGTATCCCCCAAATATTTGACTATGTATACTTCTCTAAAAGAATTATTCCTAGATCACTAACCTTTAAGAAAACAGAAGAGAGTACCATCTGCATGTCAGCCTTATAGAATAGAAACTTTGTACTAGAAAGTATGACTGGCTAATTTAATTCTCTCAGAATGTTTATTCAGGTTTTCTTATAGCTCAGTTTCAAAAGGATTCTGGTCTAAGAATGAATATGTAGAAGGTGTTTGGATTGTTTGTTTTTGGAGTGATTTCTGTTTACAATAAGATGAAAATTTAATGAAAAGAAATGTGATTTTTCTGAAGCACTACTGACATGCTTTAACTCTAACTGGTAGGTATAAATTAATGTGAAAAAGGGCAATACATTTTTAAATCTTACATAAAATGGAGGTATCTAAACTTTATTTCTTCTTTGAGTGCTAGGAAAGCTATAGACAGTAATGAAAATAGTGCTACTGTTCCCTCTGCCAGCATCATTCTTGGAGCTTTGACATTTGAATTCACAAGTTAGCTTTTATTTTTAACAGTTGTTGAAAATATATATTTTTAAACTCAGAAGTAATTCCCTTTTTCCTAGCAATTTACTTGTGGCATTTAGTCGCATGATTTTTACCTTCATTGAATTTTACCTAGAATTATTTGGAAATGTTAACTATCGGGAAAAAAGCATTCCATAATTTCTAATGGGTTATGCCACTAAGTGATCCAATCTAGAACATGAGTGTATGTGTGTGTATTTGTGTGTGTATATTTGTGTGTATGTGTGTGTGTGCATGTGTGTGTATGTTGACATAGTTGTTCTAATTGAGGTAGCTAATTTATTGTTCAGTATTCAAGGGAAAAAGGTATAAATGCAGAAAATGTTCACTATGAACTTGCCAATAATTCAGATATAAATTATTTCATATAGCAGAAGTTCATAAAAATATAGATAGTACAGAACAAAAACCAGTGGAGAAAAAAAACTGAATTAAATTAAGCACCAGCAGCAGCACATTAAATTGCATTAGGATTGACAAGAGAGTTTTCGTATGGTGTAATAAAGTACTTTCCAAGGTTCTGTGACCTCCTGGATGTACTTGTACAACGACCACAGAACAGGCACGGAAGTGTGACTATCCTTCATATTTGCATTAATGCCAAAGACCGTCATAGAAGTTAATGAAAAGGAAATGTTAGAAAAGATTTCAAGGTTATTCTCACATATTTATGAGAATATTTATGCACGAGGCTATTTATTTAGAATGGGATTGTATCTTAACAACCATAAAACAAGAATACATGTGACCTTGGTTGATCCTTTTTTCCACTTCTCAGGCTTCCATTAGTCTTTCTTTTTATTTGTAGTACATCAGAATCTCCATGTATACAGAGTCTTATTTTCCCCCGGTATTATTTTATTTTAAATTGGAAAAGGGAAATACATATTTTTTCCCCTCTCTGAGTTTCCACTAGGTGATAAGACCTTGGATAACGAGGATAAAAATGAACAAATACTATCAACTGTCCTTAAGGAATTTTCCATCACATATATGTGTGAATGTATCTCACGTTTAGGCAGTTTCATTCTATTTCTATTTTACTTAAATTCAGTAGCCTACTGAATTTATCAAATTTCAATATCTATTGGTATATTCATTTGTTTTATTAATCTGCTGACTTAATAAATCACCTTAATAGATTTACTAATATTAAAATTAAAATATTCCTACATTCCCAGGAAAGCTTCACTTGGTCTTGGGACCTGGTTGTATCAATACACCACTATATTTAGTTTATGGAGTAGCTAATTTTTCATTAGTAGTCATAAGTGAAATTAACCTATAGCTTCCCTTTTTGTCATATTTTAAAACTAAATTTAGGTTCTAAGCTTTGTAAACTTAAATGTGGAGAGGCTTTCAACATTTTTCTGTAAGTATACTGTAATAATTCTCTCTTCTCTGAAAGACAGGCAGGACTTAACAGAATTCATCTAGACACAGCATATTTTTTAATGCTAAATAATTCAGTCTATTTTTTCCATAATTAACTTATGTTCAATTTTCTACTTCTCTTGGTATAATTGTGGTAACCTATATTTTTCAGAATATTTTCCATTTTCTCTAGATTTAAGACTTCTTCCATAGACTTCCTAATTATATACTTTAATCTCTTCCTCATTTGTGGTTTTTATCTACTTTTAAATTTCCAAATGCATACCTTTGTTTTTCTCTCTTCTTTCTTTATTATCAAGCCTATGTTTCCTTTTATTGGTCTTTTCAAAGAAACTATTTTTAATTTTAAGTATTATTTCTATTAATTTTTAATTTTCTATTTCCTATACAGTCACATTTTTCTAGAGTCATTCCTACTTTTTAATTTATTTTGCTTTTCTTTTTCTTGTTTTCAAAGTTACATAACTGGTTTACTTGTAAATTATTTATTAATGATGGAAACAATTTAAGGCTGTGCATTTTTCTCTAAATAGAGAATTCACTAATCTCATGAGTTTTATGATGATGTTGTCCTATTTATGCTAATTTCTAGACAAGTTGCCATTTTAATTTTTATTTCCTTTTAGTTTAATGGTTATTTAGAATAGTATTTCTTAATTTTAAAATATTTTATTGTTTGGGAGGTCTTATATTTTTATTGTTGTTCTCTAAAATTTTAGACTAATACAGAATATGGAACATAAAAACTTTGATTTTGCAACTAATCTTGATCAGTACTGATGGAATTTTTAAATGTTTTATGAATGAAAAGAGAAAGTGGATATTCTATTTATGAAATCAAAATTCTAGACTATCTATTAATCTGAAATTAGCAATTAAATGACTTCAGTATTTTGTCTCCTGGTTTATTTTTTGTCAGATTCTGAAAAAATGTATTAAAGTGTGTCAGTGTCAGGTTTGATTAACTTTAGCTTCAATTGATAGCATTTTATCTTATATGAAGCAATATTTTTAAGACTATTGAGAATTCTCCATGTATTATTTATTTCACCATTGTAAATCTATTCTTTCTTGTTCTATTAATGCTTTCTACCTTAAATCTTGTTATATCTACTATTAATATCTCTCTCCTAGTGTTTTTTTCTGGTTTCTTAATTTTCCTATTTATTTTTAACACATTTGATTCTGTTTCATACATTTATTTCTCATAAGTAGCATATATCTGAGATTTCTTTTTAAATGTAATCTTGAAATCTTTGTCAGTGCTGTATTGGCATTCTCAAGGACAATGATGGTGTTTAATTAATTTTTATCCTCATTAGGCAAGGTCTTCATCACCTGTGAATATTTACAAAGGGGAAAAATGTAATCACATTTACTTCTGCATATTAATTATTTTTTCCTCCTCAATCTGTTCCCTTCTCCCTCTTATTATTATCGTTCACATGCTTTAACTCCCAGCTCTAACTTTCTCATGTCTCTTTTTGCTCATATTTTAAAATTTCTTTAGTATTTTCTGGTTTATGATGATTCTTCCCATTACTTTTCCAGGGTTATAATTTAGTGATGACCAATTTTCTTTTCAATTCCTCTATTAAAATATAAATTCAGAAATCATGCTCTTTGATCAATCTCAGGAATTTTTTAGCCTCTAACCATATCTAAGAACCTCAAGATCTCATTGAGATACCATTTTACACAGTTTCGACTGGCAAAAATTAAGAAGTTTCCCTCAAATTTCAGATCACTGAGGTCTCTTATTGATTGCTGGCAGTAATGTAAAATGCATCTACTTTGGAAAACAATTTGACATTATTTTCTAAGATGAATATTTCCACAAATTGGACTCACAAATTCCCAAGAGGATCTATAAATATGTGCACTAAAAGATATGAGAAAGAATGTTTGTAGCATCACTGTTGGTAACAGCAAAAACTAGCACAACCCAAATATACAATAATTGTTGAATAAATTGTAGTACATCCAGTTTTGTTATATAAAAGTGAAAATAAATTAATGCATGGATTTTTTTTGCATCAATCTTAGTAACATCAAGTTGAGTCAGAAAGCAAGTACCAGATTCCCTTTTCTTAAAGTTCACATGTATCCTAAAACTTAAAGTATAATTAAAAAAAAAAGTTCACAAGACAAGTAAAAGTACAAATATTTAGGCATACCGATGTAAGTAATGAATCTCTAAATAAAATGAAAGAACAAATTTAGAATGCTAGTCACTTCTTTTTTTTTTTTTGACAGAGTCTCGCTCTGTCGCCCAGGCTGGAGTGCAGTGGCGCGATCTCGGCTCTCTGCAAGCTCCGCCTCCTGGGTTCACGCCATTCTCCTGCCTCAGCCTCCCGGGTAGCTGGGACTGCAGGCGCCCGCCACCACGCCCAGCTAATTTTTTTTTGTATTTTTAGTAGAGACGGGATTTCACTGTGTTAGCCAAGATGGTCTCGATCTCCTGACCTCGAGATCCGCCTGCCTTGGCCTCCCAAAGTGCTGGGATTACAGGCATGAGCCACTGTGCCCTGCCCGGTGGTCACTTCTATGTAGGGGACCAGACGAGTGACATCCAAATAAATGTAAGTAATTGGTAATATCCTAGGTCTTGGGTTAGGTAGTGAGTTTATGAGTCTTCATTTTATTTATTAAAACCAAGTAAAGTGTGTGTGGTAGCTCCCACCTGTAATCCCAACACTTTGGGAAGCTGAGACAGAAGGACTGCTTAAGCCCAGGGGTTTTAGACCAGCCTGGGCAACAAACCATCTCTAAAAAAATTTTTTCCCATCCATAGATCTAAAGGTCCATGTTAAAATTAGCTATAGCTGAAATCTAGCTACTACCTGCCTCATCTCAAATCAAGCATTTACTATCAGCTGATCTCTTAGGTTTTCTTATTATTTAATTTTGCTTTGCTGAAATGTCTCAATAAGTATTTTTAGAATGGTTCTTTAACATCAGTGTATTGAGTGCTTGCTTTGTTGCCTTCTTTGTAACTATTTTCTTTGTGGTATTTAATAAAGAAAGTGTTTTTCCTTCATGTTTCCTGTACATCAGATCACTGTATCTCTCTTCTCCCAAACTGCACTACAATCTTTTTAATCTGAGAAGAGAATGATTTTTTATCTCAGATAAAATCAGACAAAAAATCTCAGAGAAAAAAGAGAGAAAAATTTAAAAAGATGATCAAAATTGATATACAACAATAAAATGATTTCTTGCTAAAATAAGATTCTCATACAAATTGAAAATTATCTTGCTTTTGGTACACTACTAGTCTTTGTAGTTAATTTCTGGCTGAAAGAATCTTAGTGTGCTCGTTCCACATTGTTTCACACTGGTTTGGTTCATCTGATTATCTTATCAAGAAAACTAATGGAATCTGACCAAGATCAGTGATTAGAAATTTCAGAGACTGGGACAAGATTTCTGACTAAAGACAGCCAAAAAGAGCTTCTCCCACTGAAAAAGACCAGAATATTGAGTAGACCAGCATACTCTAAACAGAACTTCTAAGAGAAATGCACTGGGGGTGGATGGAGAGATGACACAGACACCAGGATTGAAAGGGGAGAAAGCTGGGAACCCTGCACGAAGTTACCGAGTGCCAGGACTTTTTCCTGGCCCTGAACGGCTCCTAAGAAAGGGGTGAGTAAAGTACATAGCAACCCACTCTCAATGTGAATACCTGGGATCCTAGCTGCAGGAGATCCCATGACCCCCATGGACGTTTGAATTGTCATGGGCTGTTCAACCTGAGAGTCAGCAGAGACAGAGCCTGAGTCTGCACAGAGCCTGAGGGGTTTGGCACGGGGAAAGCTCTGAAAGAACACAGCCATAGGCACCCATCCCCTAAGGCTCTCCATATTTCTCCTGGTGGCTCTGACATTTGTTAACTGCTGGACCTGGAAAGAGCAGGGCTCTCTTTCCCACAGGACCAGGGTGAGTCTGATCTGTTTGCCCTTCTGTCTTCTGGCCCCTCTCTGTCCCTGCCTGACCAGTCCTGTGGGAGCAGGCACACAGCACACTCTCCAGTGTTCTGCTCGAGCGCATTGACTGGAAACCATCACCACAGCCCTTTTACCAATGGCCCCCACCACCCCACAAGAATGCTTTCAATGGTGGTATCTGCCACCCTGCCAGAGCACTTTTACCAGCATCCTAGGAGCACCTCGCCCCCTAGCACAGGTGGTTCTCAATATTGAGAAGCCAGAGGACAAAGCTGTGGGCCCAGTCCCAGACCCCTAGGGTTAGAGCACACAACTCAGAAGTGCTGAGCTGAGAATGGGCCCTCTAAAAGCATCCAGAAGTGAACCCAATCAACTACACTCAACTTACACCACAGTCAAACTCTGAAGGGAAATGAAGAATATAAAAACAAGAAGCTACATCCAAAATACAGCAACTTCAAAAGATAAATGAACATCAGTCCTAACAGATGAGAGAGAACCAGTGCAAGAACTCTGGCAATTGTAAAAGCCAGAGTGTCTCTTTACCTTTAAATGATCACACCTAGCTCCCTAACAATGACTTTAAATGGCTAAAATGACAGACACAGAATTCAGAATCTGGATGGCAAGGAAGCTCAATGAGGTACAAGAGAAAGTGGAAACCCAATCCAGAGAAAACACTAAACTGATCCAAGTGTTGAAATATGGCATAGCCATTTTAAGAAAGAACCAAACTGAACTTCTGGAATTGAAAAATTTACTACAGGAATTTCATAATACAATTGGAAGCATTTACAACAGAACAGGCCAATCTGAGGAAAGAATTTCAGAGCTTGAAGATTGTTTCTTTGAACCAACACAGTCAACAAAATTAAAGAAAAAAGGAATTTTTAAAAAGTGAACAAAATCTCTTAAGAAATATGGGATTATGTAAAAAGACCAAACCTGTGACTCATTGGCATTTCTGAGAGAGAAGGAGAGGGAATAAGCAACTTGGAAAATACATTTGAGGATATAGTCTATGAAAATTTTCCTAATCTTTCTAGAGAAGTTAACATGCAAACCCAAAAAATACAGACAACCTTGGCTGGATATGATACAAGACAACCATCCCCAAGGCACATAATCATCAGATTCACCAAGATCAGTGCAAAAGAACAAATCTTAAAAGCAGCTATAGAAAAGGTATAAGTTATGTACAGAGGGAACCCCATTGGGTTAACAGTAGACCTCTCAGCAGAAACTTTACAAGCCAGAAGAGATGGCACCCTTAAAGAAAATAAATTACAATCAATAATTTCATACACCACCAGAGTAAGTTTTATAAGCAAGGAGAAATAAAATCCTTTTCAGATAAGCAAATACTAAGGGAATTTGCTACCACTACACCAGCCTTACTTACTCAGAGGTCCTTAAGGGAATGCTAAACATGGAAACAAAAAAAGATAGCTGCCACCAGAAAAACACACTTAAGTATATAGCCCACTGATGCTATAAAGCATTACACAACCAAGTCTACATAACAGCCAGTTAACAACATGATGAGAAGATTAAAATCACACATGTCAATAATAACCTTGGATGTAAATGCTATAAATGTCTCCAGTTAAAGGCATAGAGTGGCAAGTTGGATAAAGATGCAAGACCCAACTGTATGATGTCTTCAAGAAATCCTTATCACAAGTAATGACACTCATAAGTCAAAGTAAAGGGATGGAGAAAGATCTATCACGCAAATGGAATAAAAGAGCAAGATTTTCTATTCATATATCAGAAAAAGCAGACTTTAAACCAACAATGATCAAAAATTACAAAGAAGGGCATTACCTAATGATAAAGGGTACAATCCAATAAGAAGACTTAACTATCTTAAATATATACACACCCAATGTTGGAGCACCCAGAATCATGAAACAAGTTCTTAGAAACCTACAAAAGGACATAGATAACCACACAATAATAGTGGGAGACTTCAATACCCCACTGACAACTTTAGACAGCATACTAACAAAGATATTTTGGACTTAACACTAGACCAATTAGACCTAATAGACATCTACAGACTACACACCGAATAACAACAGAGTATACATTCTTCTCATCTGCATATGGCACATTCTCTAAGACTGACCACATGCTTGGCCATAAAGCAAGTCTCAACAAATTCAAAAAAGTCAAAATCATACCAACCATACTCTTGGACCACAGTTCAAGAAAAATAGAAATCAATACCAAGAAGATTTCTCAAAACCACACAATAAAATGGAAATTAAACAACTTGCCCCTGAATGACTTTTGGGTGAAGAACAAAATTAAGGCATAAATCAATAAATTCTTTGAAACAAATGAAAACTAAGACACAACGTTCTAGAATTTTTGGGACACAGCTAAAGCAGTGTTAAGGGGAAAGCTTATAGGACTTAACACCTACACCAAGAAGTTGGAAATATCTGAAATTAACAATTTAACATTGAACCTGGAGAAACTGGAAAAACAAGATCAAATCAACCCCAAAGCTGACAAAAAAAAGAAAAATAATTAAAATCAGAGCAGATCTGAACACAATTTAGATGTAAAAATACATACAAATATCAATAAAACCAAATGTTTGTATTTTGAAGGAATAAACAAGATTGGTAGACCACTAGCTAGGTTAACAAAGAGAAAAAAGAGAGGATCCAAATAACCACAAAAGAAATGACAGAGATGACATTATAACCAACCCCACAGAAAGGCCAAAACAACTTTAGAAACTATTATGAACACATCTCTGCACACAAACTAGATACCCTAGAAGTAGAGTAATTCCTGGAAACACATAATCCCCCAAGATTGAACTAGGAAGAAATTGAAATCCTGAACAGACCAATAATGAGTTCCAAAATTGTATCTGTAATAAAAATAACTACCAACCAAAAAAGGCTTTTGACAAGATGGATGGATTCACTGCCAAATTCTACCAGATGTAAAAGAAAAGCTAGTACCCCCTACTGAAATTATTCCAAAAAAATCATTGAGGAGGGATGCCTTAATAACCCATTGTACAAAGGCAGCATCATTCTGATCCCAAAATCTGACAGTGACACAAGGAAAAAAGAAAACATCAGGCAAACATCCTTGATAAACAGACACAAAAATCCTCAAGAAAATACAAGCAAACCAAATCCAGCAGCACATAAAAAAGTTATTTCACCACAATCAAGCAGGTTTTATTCCTGAGACTTAAGGTTGGTTCAACATATGCAAATCAGTAAATATGATTCACCACATAAATAGAATAGAAAACAAAAACCATATGATCATTTCAATAGACACAGAAAAGTTTTTGATAAAATCCAACATTCCTTCATGTTTTAAAAAAAGTCAACAAATTAGGCATTGAAGGAACATAAGCCAAAATAATAAGATCCATCTCTGACAGACCAACAGCCAACATCCTATTGAATAGGCAAAAGCTGGAAGCATTCCCCTTGGGAAGTGGCACAAGACAAGTATGCCCACTCCCACCACATCTGTTTAACATAGTAATGAAAGTCCTAGCCAGAGCAACTAGGCAAGAGAAAGAAATTAAAAGCATCCAAATAGAAGCAGAGGAAGTCAAATTATCTCCTTTTGCAGATGATATGATTCTATCTAGAAAACTCTGAAGACTCTGACAAAAGGCTATTAGAACTTATAAATGACTTCAGTAAAGTTTTAGAATAGAAAATCATCATATGAAAATGAGTAGCATTTCTACGCAGCAGTAAAATTGAAGCTGAGAACCAAATCAAGAATGCAATCCCATTACAGCAGTCACAAAAATAATAAAATACCTAGGAATGCAGCTAACCTATGCAACTTCAAACTATACTACAAAGCTACAGTAACCAAAACAGCATGGTATGGTACAAAAACAGACACACAGACCAATGGAACAGGATAGAAAACCCAGAAATGAAGTCCCACATCTGCAAACATTTGATGTTTGACAAAATCAACAATAATAAGTGATGGGGAAAGGACTCCTTATTTAATAAGTGGTGCTTGAATAAATGGCTAGCCATATACAGAAAAATGAAACCAGACCCCTACATTTCACCGTATACAAAAATTAACTCATGATGAATTAAAGACTTAAATATAAGACCTCAAACTATAAAAATCATAGAAGAAAACCTAAGAAATACCATTCTGGACATTGGCCATGGCAAACAATGTATGACTGGGTCCCCCAAAGCAATTGCAATAAAAACAAAAATTGACAAGAAGGACTTAATAAACTAAGGAGCTTTTGCACAGCAAAAGAAACTATCAACAAGGTAAACAGACAGTTTCCAGAATGGGAGAAAATACTCACAAACTATCTATCTGAGAGAGGTCTAATATCAAAAATCTATGAAGAATTTAAACAATTCAACAGGCAAAAAACAAGAAATCCCATTAAAAAATGGGCAAAGGACATGAACAAACACTTCTCAAAAGAAGACATACAAGCAGCCAACAAGTATATGAAAAAGTGCTCAACATCACTGATCATTACAGAAATGCAAATTCAAACCACAATGAGACTGTCTCACACCAGTCACAATGGTTACTATTAAAAAGGCAAAAAACAACAGATGTTGGTGAGGTTGTGCAGAAAAGTTAATGCTTATACACTGTTGTTGGAAATTTAAACTAGTTCAGCCACTATGGGAAGTAGTTTGGAGATTCTCAAAGAACTTAACACAGACTACCATTTGACTCTGCAATCCCATTACTGAGTATATACCCAAAAGAAAAAAAAAATCATTCTACCAAAAAGACATACGTGTGTGTGTGTGTGTGTGTGTGTGTGTGTGTTCATCACAGTACTATTCAAAATAGCAAAGAGATGGAATCGACTTATATGCCCACTAATGGTGGACTGGATAAAGAAAATGTGGTACAAGGCCAGGCATAGTAGCTCATGTGTATAATCCCATCACTTTGGAAGGCCAAGGCAGTGGATGGATCACATGAGCCCAGGAGTTTGAGACCAGCCCAGGGAACATGGAGAAACCCCATCTCTGCCCCGCAAAACACAAAAGTTAGCCAGGCATGGTGGTGTGCACTGGTAGTCTCAGCTATTTGGGCAGTTAGAGTGGGAGGATTGCTTGAGCCCAGGAGGCAGAGGTTGCAGTGAGTCAAGATCACACTGCTGCATTCCAGCCTGGGTGACAAAGTGAGACCCTATCTCAAAAATGAAAATGTGGTTCATGTACTCCATGGAGTATTACACAACTATAAAAAAGAACAAAATAATGTCCTTTCCAGCAACATGGATGGCAGCTGGAGGCCATTATCCTAAGTGAATTAATGCAAGAACAGAAAACCAAATACTGCATGTTCTCACTTATATGTGGGGGCTAAACATTAAGTACACACAGACACAGAGATGGGAACAATAGACACCAGGGGCTAATAGACATAGACAAGAGAGGCTCAGAGGGGAGCCAGGGTTGAAAAACTACCATATCTTATGCTCACTTCCTGGGTGATTGGATAATTAATACATTAAATCTCAGCGACACACAATTTACCCATCTAAGAAACCTACACAGCTACCCCCGGACCTAAAATAAAAGTTAAAAACAAAAAAAAGAAAAATGTTCTTATAGGGCTCTTGTCTTCTGTATTGTTTCTCCTTCTTCTCTCTCCCCTTCATTGCGCCAATCTTTTGTCAAGTTCAACTCATCTTGAAATAGAAACTCTGAAGTCACTAAAATGTCAAAATTGCTTGTTTGTGGACAAAGTTTAAGCAATATGCAATCCATGGAACCGCATTAACACCAGCTATCAATTATTGATGCTCCCTGTTTGTCAGGCACGGTACTTAGCACACTATCTACATTGTCTCTCATAATCTTATAGACAAACTGGCGAGGTTGATACCATTCTCTTCATGGAAAAATAAAAGGACACTGGTGCCTGGAAAAGTTATGCAACTTGATCAAAATCAAACAGTTGGTATTGGATGGATTACATATGATTTAAATCCAGGTTACCTTGACCTAATTTCCTTGCTCTTAAATACTTCACTTTACTCCTTGTACTCTAAATATAGAATTAGAATCTTAAAAGTGGAAGGGAGCTTAGGAATTTTCTCACCTAACCTAATGCATAACTACTCTGTATGTCTCTCAGATATTCTTGAACCTTCTAAATGACAGAAACCTCCCTTCAGCCTGAGGCAGCATCTCCTATTTTCAGAAAAGTTTGCAAAGAGTTACATTTATCCAAAATTTGCCTTCTGCTGTAATGCTCTGAAGAAGTTCATCTCACAGGTGTCGTATGTAATCATTTAATGCTGTGTAGTGGGGCAGTATAATGTATCTGTAAAACGAGAACAACAATCAGAACAGTATGTGCAAATTTAAAACGGTGGTAAGGGTTAAATGGGGTAATACATGTAAAGTGCCTGGTACTTAGTAACTTATAAAAAGTGTTAAATTACTTCCATCAGAGCTCAAGCATTCCCTTAAGGCTCTGGGGAGTTCCTTTACCTCCTCTTTCTGGAAGCAAAAAAAAAAAATGAAATTTCAGCAAAGTGATAGTTGGTTCTACATAATGAACTTATTTTAAGCCAGGATTCTACTACAGTCTTATCTTTAATCTTTGACTTTATTTGATATCTGACATTTCTGTTTATTCTTATTCATGTTTTGGCTTAGCCTCTTCAGTTTAATAAATTGTTTGTGTGACCTAGCAGCATTAGTCCAAGCTTTGATAAGTTTTTGTTCCTATTAGCTCCAAATGCTGCAATCTGAAGGTGACTGTTTCTAGGATCCAAGGGCCCTAATAGTATACTCTAGCTTCACCACCCTGGACACTTGGCTATGGGCAGAAGATGGGCAACCTTCATGTGATGGCCTCTCAAAGGTTTGAGGGTAGTTTTTAATGCCATTTCTAGGCTAAATGATACCTGTTGGATCAATTATATAACATAGCCCTTCTTCATCCATGTGTATTTTGTCAATATCTGCCAAAATTTTGTTTTCCAGAACTGCGCAACATATTCCAAGTTTGGTCTGATCTTGACAAAGTACCACTCTTGCCTTCTATGTTCCAGCAACCTAATCTTTTGAATTAAAGTGACAGGAAGGTTGGACTGTTCATAATCTTTTTTGAGCATAGCATTGAAAGAGTATAGAAGAGAGAGAGAGAGAGCGTGCTTGCATTCAGGCAGAATATAATACAGTGGTTAATTTTTCAGCCACTTCATCAATTTTTATTCTGTTCTAAAACTACACAAGAAACACTCTTTGATTCAGTTACTCGTAACCTCCCTTTTTTGGTATCATCAAAGGAACTCACACAAAAATGTTATTCTATTTTGTCCATTCTTATTTATAGATGTGCCTTTATTTTGACCAAAATGCCACAAAATAAGAGTAAGAGGAGACAGTTCAGATTTTAAATGTTTCTTTCCATTTCAATTAAAATTTAAACTAGTGGTGGTATGTAACAAAAAGTTAGCATGCAAGTTAACTCTATTGAAGGAAGTGGAATATGAATTTACCATCTTTACCAAACCAGTTCATTCTCTGTGTCACCTCAGTCCCTGGTCAATTTCTCATGCTATTCATTTGGTATGGTCATGTATGAAAAATTTTAAAATAACTCAAATGCTGTCACTTTACTTGGTATGTTAGGCTTCTTTTTGTTTTCCAGAGACTAGTTAAAAAATGCTGGCTTTCCATGTTCTGTTTTTTTTTTTTTTTTTTTTTTTTTGACTACTTTTAGAAACAAGAAGCATTGGTTTAATTTCTTGGAGGGGGGTTATAAGTAACCAACTTGAGCTAGCTTATGAGAAAAAAATAGGGGATACAATTGAGGGAAAGGAGAGCTAGAAGAAAAGATAGGAACCAGAGCATCTTCAAAAACCCCAGCAGTGGAAATTTGTGGCATTTCCTCCAGAGTTAGATTTCCCAACCCTCTATTGAAGTATTTCATGATAATATAAATTTTGTAAACTCCATGTAGAATTTTGAAATACTTTCATTATTTTTCTATTTTAATTATAAGCAAATGGTTTTAAATGAGAAATATTTTATTTTTACCTCAGTATGTTAGTTGCAGTAGTTTAAGCTACTGTAGCAAAATCTCAAATATTCAGTAAGTTTACTTCTTAGTATGTGATGATCTAAGTAAGACAAGCCCTCCCAAGCAGCCAGGTGGGTGCCATTGCTCCACACAGTCATTCTATGTGTGTTCCTCCATCTCCTAAGGATTTTATCGCTGTCAACATGATACAGCATCAAAAATAGAAAAAATTGCATTCATGATTTGATTTTTAAAAACCTTTTTCTTTTTTAGAACATAAATATATTTTAATGTTTTTCTGAACTTTGTGCTTAAATAATGAAATAAGAATGGTTTTTAGATGTGAATAACCTTTCTTCCCAATAGATGAAAAGCTACACATAAATCACTCTTGTACTGTCTCTTATTAATTTTTTTTCTGTTTGTTTGTTTGTTTGAGATAGAGTCTTTCTCTGTCGCTCAGGCAGGAGTGCAATGGCGCCATCTCGGCTCACTGCAACCTCTGCCTCCTGGGTTCAAGTTATTATCCTGCCTCAGCCTCCCGAGTAGCTGGTATTACAGGCATGTGCCACCATGCCTGGCTAATTCTTGTATTTTTAGTAGAGACGGGGTTTCACCATGTTGGCCAGGCTGGTCTCCAACTCAAGTAATCCACCTGCCTCAGCCTCCCAAAGTGCTGGGATTACAGGTGTGAGCCACCGCACCCGGCCATTGTGTCTTATTAACATTTAATTTCTAGAGTTTTAAAAACATTTATATAGGCAAGGTAAGAATTTCAATCAGATAACTTCAACTTATAATTGTGTTATCCACATATATAATTTTCACTTCCTCACCCTTCCTTCACTATTCAGCCCATGTCCATTTTATTATCAGCCTCTGTTATTCTATAAACCCTGCTCTGCCAAAGGTCACCAATGATCTCAGTGTTATGAATCTAATGGATTTAAAATTTTTCACTATTGACTGTCTTTATAAGCACTCTATTATGTTTGTGTCCTTGATGTCACACTGTCTCAGATGTCAACTTCCTCCTTGGGTACTCCTTATCAGTCTTCTTTATTAATTCCTCTTTTTTTTTTTTTACCTATACCTAAAGTATTATGTCTTCTCATGGCTCAGCCAGGAGTCCTCTTTTCTTCTCATTCTATGTGCTCAATGGCTTTAGATACCATCTCTATGTTGGTAACTCATGAATTCATATTTTGGATTCTGGCCTCTTTTCTGAGCTCCAGATTTATTTCTAATGGTCTACTCTGAGTTCTAACAGGCATATCAAACTGAATGTCTGTCAAAATGTAATGCCTCCAGTTTTCCTCACCTTAGTGAATGATACCTGCATTAATTTAGTTATATAGGACAAGAATTTCACTCATTCATTCAAAAAATATTTATGGAGTATCTATTTTGTGCCAAAGGTTATTCCAAGTGTTAGACCTACCAACAAAAAAAAACCCAAACATTACCTTTTTATTGCTCTCATTCTGCATATCCAATTTATGAACAAATCTTAATCTTATCCAGTTCACTGCCAAAACTTTCTCAATCACATCCAATTCTCTCCATTACCACTGCCCCCACCATAGTCCAAGTCCGTTTGTAGATTTGCTTACAGCATTTGCCAAGGTAAATTTTTTCCTGGATTACAGCCATAGCCTCCTGCTGTTCCTTCTTCCATCTTTGTCACCTTATTAGCATTTCCACATAGAAGTCATAACAATCATTGAAAGTGTAAACCATTTTATTCCACTGTTCAGTAGTTCCAACTGCAAGTAGAATAAAAGTCTAATTTCTTACTAGGTACAGCAATGGTCTGTCACTGCCCACCTCTCTAAATGCAAGTTTCCTCTGGATGCCAAGTTCTAGACACAATGACATTATTTTGTTTCCCAATGGCACCAAACTATTTTTCATTTCTCTTCCTGGAATGCTTCATAATTTTTAATCACTCTGATCTCATGTTAAATATTTATTTTTCCAGAGATGAATCCTAATTTAAATTTTGCTCTTATTTTCTCTCAATCATTTTCCTCATAGGGATCACAGAGTTTATAATTATATGTTTATTTGTATATTGAGTTATTATCTCACCAACTAGATTCTAAAATCCATGAGATTAGGAATCCTGTCTGTTTTGTTCATTTTAGACCAAATACTTAGCATAGCACCTGATATAGCATAATCATTTATTGTATATTTCTTGAATAAATGAATGAATTCTCTTGAGTAAATTTGTGAAAATGTCAACTTTTCTACAGTTATCCTAAAGTGGTTATCTTTTAACATCCATGCCTCCTGTTTTTGATCAACAGTTCATCCTGGATATAAAATAAATAATATATGGCCAAGAATAAAGAATTTAAAAACTAAAATAGTCAACCTGACTGAATATACCCCCTTCAAAATTCAAATGTTGAAACTTAATGGCCAAAGTGATGGTATAAAGAGGTGAAAACTTTAAGAGGTGATTAGGTTATGAGGGCTCCTCATCCTCATAAATGGGATTAAGGCCATTATAAAAGAGGCTTCACCATTAGCTTGCCCTTTCCACCTTCTGCCATGTGAGGATGCAGCATTTCTTCCCTCCAGAGAATGCAACAAAGAGGCACCATCTTGGAAGCAGAAAGCAGCCCTTACCAGACAACCAAACCTGCCAGAGCCTTGATCTTGAACTTCATAACCTCCAAAACTATGAGAATAAGCTTCTGTCTTTTATAAATTACCCAGTCATAGGTATTAGGTTGGTGCAAAGGCAATTGCAGTTTTTGCCATTGAAAGTAATGCCAAGACCACAATTGCTTTTGCACCAATCTAATATTTTGTTATACCAGTGAAAAATGTACTAAGATGCTGACCATGCAAGGGGTTGATGAACTGACCATACGAAGACTCATGAGCATGGTGTTTGTCCTCCACTGAGAGCCACACGGGCTCACTTGACAATTCTTGAACTTCTCAGTCACTGTGGTTGGCACGGTTTGTAACTCCTCTTCTTTTTTATTTAATCCACAGATTTTCAGTTGATTTGTTTGAATATTTTAGGCATATAATTAAGTATTCTAAAATAATTTTGCTTTCTTTCCAATTTTCATAATTCTTTATTACCACACTCATCATTTCTGATTCATCATAAAGTATTTTCTTTTTTGAACAACTGAACTCAAAGTCTCTTAAGATTCTATGGTGAAATCAATTCCTTTAGGACATACTTCAGAATAAGTTAATTGGAGATTTTAAAAATACCACATTTACCAAGTTGTCACTCTGTTTGGTAGTATATGTTAACTAGTGCAGTCTAAACAAGTGGGAAAGTACAATTTGTGTTTAGAATTTATAATTTATTTATGCACAGTTTTTAAATGTGTAAATGGTCTATTTGAGTTTACTTGGCATTTTTTATATGCTACTTATTTAAGAATTTTGGTGAAAGAGAAGAATAGTAAGGAATAATACTAATCTGTGAATATTGAAGTTAAATTTTTTCCACTCCAGAAAGAAGAAATAAAAGTAATTGGAAGCAAATATATAACAAATGACATATTCTTTTTAAAATTAGAGGTTCAAAAACCTCTTTTGAATAATAAGACTAGGCATGGAGGTATTTAAGAAAAACTGTCGGTTTTTAGGAATATGCGCACACATACACAAGTACACTCACACTTTGTACCTAGGTGTCTTTTTTTGTGGGGCGCAGGGTGCAGGTGTGGCTAAAGTGACATGTCAACAACACTGGTTTTCCTACCACTTAACTAAATGGGTGATCTTTTTAGATCTTCATCTGTTATTGGCAGGAATTTTAATTCCCAGAAGGAAATACTTGCTTGAGATGATTAACCCTGTATTGAAGTACTGTTTGCCAGTGTGATTTAAGTGCGACCATAGTTCCCTAGCAGTTCACAGTTCTGTCATTTTAGACTTGACCTCACACTTACTTCCACTCACCTTCCACTTACCCTTTAAAACTGCGAACTTAGTCTTCATATTTATCCTTTTATTAGACTATAAAATCCTGAAGGACTGCTACTATGTTAGTCTCATCCTTGCATCCTCTACAAGGTTTAGTACAATAGCTTATATGCAGTACAAACACAGTAACATTTTTTTATTTGGACTTTTATGTGTATATCTTGTCTCTAAAACTAGTTTCATGATGGCAAGGGCCGTGACAGTTAGAAATTTGTCTACAAGCCCCACTCATCTTTGTGAAGTGGTTCCTTTAAGACAAAGGAGACTTCTATTGGGTATCATTATTCCTCTTCGAAAATACTGCATGGAATGTTAGTTAACCTCAAGCCTTAATACAGAAACCTACCTTCTCTTGCCCTGGTTACTGAACAGCTGCCTTCTGCTCTTATTCCTTGGTCTGCTCTGCTGTGATTTTCTCACTTTTCAAAGCAGTCCACTTGATCAACCAGGTATTTATCTATCTTAGCCAGGCTAAGTTGAATTGTCATGCCTGAGCTGGAACACTCTGGCAACATTACCATGTTTTTTGTCAGTTTTACTCCTCTTCAGACTGAGAGCTAATTTAGTCTGACTCAGTCCCTGAGTCAACCACCCAATATGTGCTGGCTGCCACAAGGTCAATATCCTTGCTTAACCCTATGTAGTAAATTGTGTTCTCATTGCTTCCCAACTCTGGGTCACGCTGATTTTTGTGACACAGCTGGCAACTGTTTATATCACCAGCCTCTAACACAGTACTATATGTAGAGGGCATCAAATACCTTTTAGAGACAAATTCTTATAGCAAATGGTGTGAACGGCATTCAGAAAGTCCCCTTCGAATCCCACCACCAAGCCTCAAATAATTTTAATCATTTGCCTGTGCTTGAAACCCCTACCTGCTTGTGAGATAGTTGACTGGAATCCATGTAACTTGAGACAAGGGAAAAAAGTCTACTGCCAAACTAACTTATTTGGGTGGATTTCTACAGTGTTAGATTAAGTGCATAAACATTAGCTTAATCCTCTAATAAATACAATTTTACAGGAGTATTTATTTTATATTTGTAAATGTATTTATATTACATTTACTTGTTTTTCATCTTGATTTATCACTATCTTAGGCATACCTTTTTTCCTTTAGCAAATCTATTGCTTCTTCCATGCTTAAGTTATCCATAGAGACTCCACCACTGAATTTAGGGGATGGTATTTCCTTTGGTTTGATGCCTGTTTATAATACTCCTGAAGTAATTTGTTACAAAGTTTTCAACTGTTTTTGTTTTCTCTACCTAAAACTCATTTTCTATCTTTACCTAAACAGAAGTTGTTTTCATATGCAGGAGAAGTTGTTCATGTAGGGAGACAACACCTAATTTGATTTTGAAGATCACATAGGAAATACAGCATGTCCACTGATTTCTTGAGAACCTGGTAAATCCAATCACTGTTAGTCACGCATTGTAGTAAAAGATGTTTGTTAAAGTTTTCCGTTTCAAGGAATTTATAACCTAGAGGCAATAACTTATCCAAATATCTATAACACAAACTATATTATGTGATTCATTTCTTTCTAGATCTTATTTTCCTTTTCTTTCTATTTCTGCCATTTGGAAACAATACTTCCCTTTTAAAAATGTCTTCCTTGTCAGTTCTTACAGGAATATTATGTGGAAATTAATTTATATCAATGATAAACCCTAAATTGAATTGCAATTAATTATTTTGCCTGCATTTAGTTTTTAATTTCCTGTAATAGGACTTCACTGTTTTCCAGTATTATCAATGAATGGCATATTCAAAATTTTCAGTAGGATATGTAATTCCTATATATTTCTCATATGTGTCTTGTTAATGGTGACAACTTGGAATGTAAAATCAGCTCTTCTGACTCAAAATCAGCTTTTTCCACCTCATTATGAATGCTCTGCAATGCCACCTTGTGCCCTAAAGTAGTGGTTCTTGATAATTTTTGGTAATACCTTCTTTGTGATGCAAATTATGAGCTCTCTTCCCAGTAAAATGCATACATGAACATACAGTTCAGATTTTGCACACAATTTCAGGTATGTTTTTGGACACTCTGAAGCTAATCCCTGAACTCTGTCATAGCTCTGCTCTAAATTTATGTAATTGGGATCCTGGGAACACAAGGTTGAGCTTGCTATTAGAGAATATTTTGGATATTATTTGACTCACAATTCTTCCATATTAGTGGCAAATAAATGATGCTACAGATCAGAAATGGGATTGAGTTGAGATTTGTAAAATAGGAAAAAAGGAAGGTAACAGTCAAAAGTCATACCAGGATTATTTGTAAAAAATGCATTGCATATAATAGATTCTAAAGATGATAAAGAAATTAATAAATTGATTTTAGGAGGAAAAAATACAGTTTTTGCTTTGTCAGCAAGCAATTCAGTGTTCAATGTAAATAGTAGCAATAGAGAAATGAATAAAGTGAAAAGAGAAGATTTTCAGACCACAAAATTGGGCACGTAAAGCTTTCTGAATCAATAAATCATTGAAACTTTTTAAAAAACAAATATACAATGAGTAAAGAAGCAATAAAATGACAAAGAAAAAGGCCTATAGGAGCCACAACTAACTTGCAGCTCCCCCTTGGAGCTGTGAACACAGCAGGGTGTGGAGACTCACATTGTGAAATTTTGCTCCAAGAACTACTGCAGGAATATACCAGGAAAGCTGAGAGAATCCACAGACCCTTTGAAGGAGGTGGACTGCCAATGCAGGCTACATGGGACAGCCAAGGAACTGTGAGTCTGCTTGCTTTCTCAGCTGGGAGGCTGGTAGCTGGGGGCAAGTTCTCAGCCCTGCTCACTGGCTGCCTGCAAATAAACTCGGTGCTGCTGGGGGAGCATGGTAGAAGTGAGACTGGCCTTTTGGGCTGCGGGCTGTGTGGCAGCTTGGTGAGGCCTGTGGCTGCCAGCTTTCCCCCACTTCCCTAGTGACATGTGTGATATAGCAGAGACAGCCATCATTCCCCTGGGAACATAACTCCATTGGCCTGGGAACCACATCCCCATCCCCTACAGCAGCCACAGCAAGCCCTGCCCAGGGAGAGCCTGGGCTCAGACATGCTGAACCCTGCCCCCACCTGAGGGTCTTTCTCTACCTGCCCTGGTAGCTGAAGACAAAGGACATAATCTCTTGGGAGCTCTATGACCCCACCCACAGCTTGATCCTAGGGCAAGCTTGTATCCTCCCTATACTACTGTAGCTCTTAAAAGTTGTACTCTTAAAAGTGCCGTCTCCTGGCTGGAAGCCAAACAACACAAAACCAGCATACTTAACAGTACAACCAGGGACCCTCATAGAGTCCACTATACTCCTCTGCTACCTCCACCAGAGCAGGTGCTAGTATTCATGGCTGAGAGACCTGAAGACAGATCACATCACAGGACTCTTTGTAGACACTCCCCAGTACCAGCCTAGAGCCCAGTAGCTTCCCTGGGTGGCTAGATCCAGAAGAGAAATAACAATCACTGCAGTCTGGCTCTCAGGAAGCCCCATCATGTCTTGGGGAATGGGGAGAGCACCAAATCAAGGGAGCACCCCAAGGGACAAAGGAACCTGAACAGCAGCCCTTGAGTGTCAGAATGAAATGGTAATTAAAAATTGCCAACAAGAACAAAAAAAAAGTCCAGGACCAGACAGATTCACAGCTGAATTATATCAGACATTCCAAGAAGAATTGGTACCAATTCTATTGACACTATTCTAAATGATAGAGAAAGAGGGAATCTTCTCTAAATCATTCTGTGAAGCCAGTATCACCCTAATATCAAAACCAAGACAGGACATAATAAAAAAAGAAAACTACACACCAATATTTCTTATGAACATAGATGCAAAAATCCTCAACAAAATACTAGCTAACTAAATCCAACAGCATATCAAAAAGATAAGCCATGCGATAGTTTGCTCAGAACAATGCATACCAACATGGCACATGTCATGTATACATTTGTAGCAAACCTGCACATTGTGCACATGTACCCTAGAACTTAAAGTATAATAATAATAATAATAAAAGATAAGCCACAATAATCAAGTGGGTTTCATGCCGGAGATGCAGGGATGGTTTAGCATACGCAAGTCAATGAATGTGATACACCACATAAACAGAATTAAAAACAAAAACCACATGATCATCTCAATAGATGAAAAACAAGTATTTGACAAAATCCAGCATTCTTTATGGTTAAAACCCCCAGCAAAATCGGCACTGAAGGGACATACCTTAAGGTAATAAAAGCCATCTATGACACACTCACAGCCAACATTATACTGAATGGGGAAAAGTTGAAAGCATTCCCCCTGAGAAGTGGAACAAGATAAGGATGCCCACTTTTACCACTTCTATTCAACATAGTGCTGGAAGCCCTATCCAGAGCAGTCAGATCAGAGAAGGAAATAAAGGGCATCCAAATCCGTAAAGAGGAAGTCAAACTGTCACAATTTGCTGATGACATAATCATAGAAAACCCTAAAGATTCATCCAAAAAGCTCCTAGAACTGGTAAATGAATTCAGCAAAGTTTCAGGATAGAAAATTAATGTACAGAAATCAGTAGCTCTGCATACACTAACAGCAACCAAGCTGAGAATCAAATCAAGAACTCAATCCGTTTAACAGTAGCTGCAAAAACAAAAAATAAAATACTTGGGAATATACCTAACCAAGGAGATGAAAGACCTCTACCGGGAAAACTACAAAGCCCTGCTGAAAGAAATCATAGACAACACAAACAAATGGAAACTCAACCCATGTTGAATCAATATTGTGAAAATGACCATACTCCCAAAAGCAATCTATAAATTCATTGCAATTCCCATCAAAATATCACCATCATTCTTTACAGAACTGGAAAAAAAATTCTAAAATTCATATGGAATCAAAAAAGAGCCCACATAGCCAAAGCAAGACTAAGCAGAAAGATCAAATCTGGAGACATCACGTTACCTGACTTCAAACTACACTATAAGGACATATTCACCCAAAACCATGGTACTGGTATAAAAATAGCATATAGACAAATGAACAGAATAGATAACCCAGAAATAAAGCCAAATACTTATAGCCAACTAATCTTTGACAAAGCATACAAAAACTTAAAGTGGGGAAAGGACACCCTATTCAACAAATGGTGCTGGGATACTTGACAAGCCAATGTTGAAGAATGAAACTGGATCCTCATCTCTCACCTTATACAAAAATCAACTCAAGATGGATCAAAGACTTTAATCTAAGAAGTGAAACCATAAAAATTCTAGAAGGTGACATTGGAAAAACTCTTCTAGAGATTGGCTTAGGCAAAGACTTCATGACCAGGAACCCAAAAGCAAATGTAACAAAACCAAAGATAAATAGTTGGAACTTAATTAAACTAAAAAGCTTCACACAACAACAACAAAACAAATAATCAGCAAATAGACAACCCACAGAGGGGGAGAAAATCTTAGCAATATATACTTCTGACAAAGGACTAATATCTAGAATCTACAAGGAACTCAAACCAATCAGCAAGATAAAAACACAATCCCATCAAAAAGGGGACTAAAGACATGAATAGACAATTCTCAAAAGAAGATATACAAATGGCCAACAAACCAACAAACATGAAAAACTGCTCAGTATCACTAATGATAGGGGAAATGCAAATCAAAACCACAATGTGATATCTCCTCCCTCCTGCAAAAATTGCCATAATCAAAAAATGATAGATGTTGGGACGGATATGGTAAAAAGGGAAGACTTTTACACTGTTGGTGGGAACATAAACTAGTACAGCCACTATGGAGAACAGTGTAGAGATTCCGTAAAGAACTAAAAGTAGGTCTACCATTTGATCCAGCAATCCCACTCCTGGGTATCTACCCAGAGGAAAAGAAGTTGTTATATGAAAATGATATTCACAAATGCACGTATATAGCAGCACAATTCACAATTGCAAAAATATGGAACCAGCCCAAATGTCTGTCAGTCAATGAGTGGAGAAAGAAAATGGTATATATATACACCATGGAATACTAGTCAGACATTAAAAAAAGAAATAATGGCATTCACAGTAATCTGGATGGAATTGGAAACAATTATTCTAAATGAAATAACTTAGGAATGGAAAATCAAACATCTTATGTTCTTATGTTCTTACTCACAAGTGGGAGCTAAGCTATGAGGATGCAAAGGCATAAGAATGATACAATGGACTTTGGGGACTCATGGAAATGGTGGGAGTGGGGGAAAGGATAAAACACTATGCACTGGGTACAGTGTACACTGCTCGGGTGATGGGTGCACCAAAATCTCAGAAATCACCACTAAAGAATTTATTCATGTACCAAAATAAATAAATTTTCAAAAGATATAAAATCTTACTCTAATCAAAAACTCCTTTTGTTTAACATTTAATATACATCATGTATGACTATTTGAAGGATTATTGGATTTACTTAATAAATAAATCCCATTAATTCATAACTTACTCTGCTACTATCTCCATAGTTACATAGATCTCTTCATTATTCATCTAAATTTCAAATATTAATCAAGCAAAAACAATTCACAAGTTACCAGGTAGCTTTTAAAATATCACTAGTAAGTCAATTTCCATTGCCATATATCTTCTCTATCAACCAGGTAATTTTTTTTCAGTAGGATGATAAAATGCTCACGCTTTAAATTGCTATCACATTTGGTTACTTTTAGTTTGGAAGCTTGAAGTTCATTTGAAGTGTGGAAATCTACAGAAATTTATCAATTGTTCCTGATTTTAACCAAGTACTTTAAGTAGGAATGACACTTAAACTAAGTCTTACAGGTTGTCAGTTGTCATGACAACATGGGTAGTGTTCCATGAAAAGGGATTTGAGTTTGATCATATTTGAGGTTGTCCTGGCAACATGACAACTGACTTCATGAATGAGATGTCACTTTACCAGTTAAACTGGTTTTAGGATGATTGGTCATCTACTGAAAAAAAAATATATATATATATATTTCTTCAGAATATATACATATAATATCAGAAAAATTCTTGCTGTTTTGAAAAAGACAAAAGAAATAACATTTGAGGCTGAGAAGTGAGGCAAATACATATTAAAGTTGGAAAAGTGATATGTGAGAATGAGATGGGGAAATGGAAAGACAGAGAATAACAGGGAAAAGGTATAAAGACAATAAAACAAATAAGGAAAAGGAGAATGGCATTAATAAGTCAAAGAATTTCATTTTACCATTACTGAGTTGGGAAGGTTGAACAAGGGAAAAAGCCACTGTGGAAATATTAGGGCACTTTGACAAACAGGAGTGCCCTATCATGTTGTAACTCTGTTGTTGTTACTATTGTTATTTTCAGGGTGTCAGATGCAGTATCAATCTAGAAGCATACCAGAAGCATTTATTTACAGGTATCTGACAAAGGAGTTTTGAAGGAAACAGCTTCAAGCTAAATGAGCTCAGCACAACAGAAAACAGCTCTTTATCCCATATCACTTTCATACACTGACAATGAGAAATAAATCTCACGTCAATCAGAGCAGCTGTGAATGCAAATTTTAACAGTAAATATTAACAGTTATGCTTCTAACATGTTTAGATATCTAAGTTGAAATACAAATTGAGTGATTTTACTTTCTTCAAGGAGAAAACCTAGTTCTGATACTCAAGAAAAAGGAGAAGTTTGGTAAAATGAGATGAAAGTAAATAATATACAGTAGATTTCTGTTGTGTGTATATATTTGCACGTGTGCATAAAACTCTGATGTCTTTATGTCTCTTTATTTATTCTATGCCACATTTTTAAACTAGGACTTCTAAACCTTGGTTCCATGGTCCAGAGTCTTTGGGGGTTCAATGGAACCCCTGAAATCAGTTGCCAAATTTGTGTGCATGTATATGAGTATGTGCATTTTCTGGGGAAGATGATCCAAAATTTTAATCAGATGAATAATGACCCTCAAAATATAAAGAATCATTTACTAATGAAAAATGTTGATTCTGTGGAAAAGTCATGAAGAAGAAGGAAAAAAGATAAATAGCCAGGAATTTTTCACTGTGTGCAAGGCAGTCATGGGAAAGGATTCTTGTCTCTGAGTACTATTAAGTACCCTGAAGCTACTGGTGTGATGTTTAACCACCCTCAATATTGCCAGAAACAGAGACTAATGCAGAAGTTAGTTTATAGCACTTATTTAAGAAATAAGTCACTAGAGCATAGTATAAAGGCATCACCAATGATCATCTGTGAACAAAACAAAGATCCCTGCCTTCCTGAAGTTTACATTCTAGCAGGAAGGAAGAGAAGTACAGATACAAGCACAAGATATGATGAGATTTCACTACCTAAGAATTTCCAGACATTTGTAAGTGTCTGCTACTGAGTAGATGCTTAACTAATATTGATGGAAGAAAGAAAGGAAGAGAGGGAGATAAAGAGGGAAGACAGTAATGAAATAGAGCTTAATCAATTAACTATTGTTCTCGTTTTTGCACATCCTAACATATTCTATACATTCTTGTTGTTAAAAGAAAAACTAATTAAATTAATCTTTAATCAGACAAATTAAATTCAGCAGTTTATTTGAGCAAACAACAATTCATGAACTGGGCAGCACTCAGAATCAGAAGTTCAGAGAGCTCCGCCAAGCAGTGTGAGCAAATTAGGTGATATTACTTGTTCTCAGTTTCTTCTTCTACAAAATACAGGAAATTCTGCTGATTCTTACTACTGTCTTATGGTAAGATAAGGTAATGTAGTGTGGCCATACAATACATACTCAATAAAATTTATCTTCCTTTCTGAATGAGAAAAAAAGTTTCTCTAGGTTAGATTGCATACTCAACTTAAAAAATAAACTCTAATTAAATAAATCAAACTCTAAATTTGAAGCGGTTTACTAAAACCACTGAAATAAGCTTTAAGAATCCATGTAAAACAACCTCTTACTGAGGGGCCATCATCACAGAAGACAATTTTGACATCTTTTTTTTAATCACATTAAAATTAAAATGTACTTTCTTTGTGATTTATAGATAGACCAGTTGAAATCAATTTGTTTATCTTCTGGAAGGACACATAATATGGTTTGTATTCTTTTATGAGATAATCAGGTGTGGCTGCCAGAAGAAGCAGAAGGAGAGGCTCAGGAAAACAAAGGTTATTATACCTACAGGAGGAGGGCATGTCATGTGGGGCTACATGGGAAAGACACAAGGGTGGTCAGAGGACAGAAGTAAGGGGAAGGGTTAGACCACTACCGGTATGGAAGTTTCCTGGGGAAGGCAAGACAAGGCAAGGCTGGACGAACAGCTTGGGATTAGCTGGTTTGAATAATTTTGGTGTGCTTTGGATGATAGAGGTGGTCCCTGCTTGCCTGGCATCTAGCCCTGGGATTATTAAGGCAGAGAAAATATTGCCTCCCGGGGTAAGGGCCAGATAAAGAAAGTATAGTTCAGAATTGGTTTGCATGCATATGAAAGAGATGGTTCTGACTAGGTTTTTTGTTATCTTTAAAAATTGTCTATATATGAGAACAATCTCCTTGCCAGAAAGGATTTTTTTAAAGTTGTCGAAACATCACAGTACACAGAAAATTTAAAAATATTTACAACACATAGTGTAGTGATTATAAGCACAAACTCTAGGCTACAATTCTAATACTTACATTTACTTAGCTTGAGTGCATAATTTAACCCCATCAATGCCTCAGTTTCTTCATCTATAAGATTGCAATAGTTGGAGTATATGCTTCATAGGACTTTGTGGGGATTAAGAGAGTTAATACATGTACAGTGTATAAAACAATGCCCACTATACATACATTAATGTATAATGGTAATTAAATATCATATGTTTTAACAATTATAATATTTAAATTCATTGATGACTATGTAAATTTTGGTTTCAAATGGTTATCACCTTTAAGTTAAATAGGAAAGTTTACTTTAACCTTCTCACATTTGTCTGATTTCATGCATTTTGTTTAGTGACAAATTTTAATTTTCATTTAGCAGAATTTTTGGCACCTAGATAAATTACACTAAAGAAGGTAGTAGTTGAAAGGTTTACTTATTTATGTAGGTATCTGAGGGTAAATTATCTTAGCTGATTAAACAAGTAGGCATTCTGCTCAAAATTAAATAGTAGAGTTAGGAATTTGGAGAAATCTCTTGGGAAACAATCTTCCAGACAAAACTTAATTGTTTCATAATTATAGTGCAGAAAGTTGAGTCTTGAACAGGTCTCAATCTACTTTCTGGGAAAAGTTTTGGGCCCACTTACAGGGTCTTGAGATACCCACTTATTTAGGAAACATTGATTATTTGTCTCTGTCTTCTAGAATAGGAGCTCTATGGCAGAATTTTCTGCTTTTCTGTTCTGGGGTATCTTCAGCATCTAGAGCAGTGCCTAGAACTTAGCATGCATTCAATAATTTTTGTTCCATGAATAAATGGTTAAATTCTAAAAGTCAATGTTAGGTGTTAAGGATATAACAATCAGTTAGATGCTCATAACGTGTAAGCAAAAACTGTTAACTTTAACTTTGCCGTTTTTTAAAGCAAATGGATATCCTTTTATTAAACATACACAGAGACACAAACACACACACACACACACACACACACACTCCTAAAACAAAATCTTTGCCTTATAGCTCCATGGCATTCCAAGAGAGGTATCATCTTCCACACAGCCCCTGCTTAATCTGGCTAAATCGGTTAACAACTGAGATGTATAGATCAAGAGAGAAGTCCGTTATTCAAATTAAGGCTTTGCCTCTTTTCTATCTAACCAAACCATTCAAAAACTGCTTATGCAGATAATATCATTATGGCCAGCTCTGAACTTGCCTGCTTGAACCTCAAGTTAACTTGCTTCTCTCAGGTGTTACTGAAGGGATGATTGGAATTTGTGCACATTGTAGGAAAAGCATGTCTCCTTTCCTATCACTTGCATCCAGTGATGTCTTAGAATCAGAACTTAGCTCCTTAGAACTTGGTTTATTTCAAGTATAGTGGCATATAGTTCACGTTAGGATAAATTATTACCATCTGCTATATGTTCAATATGTTCCAGAAATGTTACATCTGTAAATCTTTTTCAACCTTTACAATACCTCTTGGAGATATATATTACCATTCCAGTTTTACAAATATAAAAAAAGGAAACAGAAACCAACAACAACAACAAGAGGTGGGAAGGAAAGTAAGTTATCCCTGGAGACACAGCAAGTAAGAAGTAGACAAGGAATTCAAACACAGGCCTGATGACGCTAAAATTTGTATGTGTCATGCTTTGATATCTATGAAAGCTCTGTGATTTCATTCAGTTGTTGATCTCATTGGTGTATTTCTCTCTCAAAAATTTAACTTTGTCTTATTAGACCATTTTTGTACCCAATCACCCCTGGTCTGATGCAGTACCTTTGCAGAAGGCAAAAACTCAGGCTAGATCTAAATTGTTGCCCATAGTAACAGGCTGTACTTGAAGCTGGGTTCATTTCAGATATCAAATCACTCCAAAAACACCCTGGAGAGACTTTGGAATTATTCATAATTACCACAAATTGAAAGTGATGAGAAAATTGGTGCTATTTTTCTATCAATCTCTAGAAAGATTATTATGCTATCTACTCACTACTCAATTTTTAAAAAAATTCTTAGCTGTGGAAATTTGTTTCACAAGCTTCAATATTAATTCTGAATCTTTGTTTTTCAACACTCCAGCATGCCTCCAATTTCTTCAAGGACTGCAATAAAATTCTTGATATCCACATAAATTAAATGTAATTAAGCTTTGTTTTAAATTTTTTATTGTAAAATTTTAAAACATATTCAATAATAGATGAGTAACAAACCTCCATGCATCCATCAGTTCAGGTTCAATAGTTATCAATAAATGTCAAATCTTATTTCATTTATATCCTCTGATTCCTCCCCCATACCCACCACTGGAGTATTTAACAGCAAATTTCAACTATCATGTCATGCCATCCTGATTAAACTTTATTTTAAATTCAAACGTCATTGAAACAAATGGACAAAGACAAAGAAAAGGATGGGAACACAGGAACAATGTAAAACAAGACCCAGAAAAAAATGCAATGAAAACTCCTCACATTAATTTTACTACAAGAAGACAAAAATCATGCCTCTTTTGTTCATTTTTATAGAAATTAATATTTAATACATGTTTAAGATGATGGTTTCTCTAAAATGTGTGGCAAATAATTCCTGAGTGGACATCAGACACTGAGAGAGACAGACTACATTGCACAACCCCAAAATGTTAAGAAACTGATGACCTTGTAAACTCAAGCACTATTTTTTTCATTACTGACCAACTCAAGCTTGCATTTCATTTTAGTATACTGTGAGAGATGCTCTTGTAGAAATCTTTTTTTTTTTTTTTGAGGCATGGTCTCTCTCTGTCACCAGGCTGGAGTGCAGTGGGTAGGATCTCAACTCACTGCAACCTCCACTTCGGGGGCTCAGGTGATCCCCCAACCTCAGCCTGGGACTACAAGCGCATGCCAACAAGCCTGGTTAATTTTTGTATTTTTTGTAGAGACAGAGTTTCACCATTTTGCCCAGTCTGGTCTGGAACTCCCAGGATCAAGTGATCCTCCCACCTTGGCCTCCCAAAGTGCTGGGATTACGGGTGTGAGCCACTGTACCCGGCCTAGAATTCTTCTGTGTGCTCTATCAAGATAATATATGTAGCATCCAAACAACTCCCACACTTAAACTGCTTTTCTGAGAGTAAGAAAAGAGGCATTATAGAGTTATAAGTTTTGTACTGCTCATCAATAACTACCAATAATAGAGCTGCAGAGTTATACCTTTATTATCTCTTTAAGTCATTGAAATAAAGATTTCTTTTTAACATGCATTTTGGTGGTGATAAAAAATTTCCTACCTACATTATGGTTCTTTCTGTTGTTTTTAGAATCTGTCTAGTTATTCAAAATAATTTTCTGTTTGTAGTCATATCAATGGCATTGGAAAGGCATATAAAGTGATTAGTAGTTTAGTTTATCAAAAAGTCAAATGATGAAATAAAATAATATTATTATGTTTTATAAATTCATTTCAATTCCAACTTAAAATATCAATGCTTTGGCCAGGCGTGGTGTCTCATACCTGTAATCCCAACACTTTGGGAGACTGAGGTGGGAGAATCGCCTGAGCCTAGGAGTTCAAGATCAGCATGGGCAACATGTCAAGATCCCATCTCAACAAAAAATAAAAAAATTAGCTGGGTGTAGTGGTACATATCTGTGGTCCCAGCTACTCAGGAGGCTGAGGCGGGAGGATCTCTTGAGCCCAGGAGGTCGATGCTGCAGGGAGCTGTGTTTATACCACTGCACTCCAGCCTGGGTGACAAAGCAAGACTCTGTCTCAAAAAGTATGTAATATATAAAATAAAATATCGATGCTAAATCTGGACAAAGTTACGCTTCATTAACAACTGGTATTAATTTCCACGTTGTAATCTAATGTGAACCAACAGCTGTCAGTTCTTAAAAGTGCAATTTAAAAAATTAGACTGCATCAGAGAAATGCATATCAAAACCACAATGAGATACCATCTCACACCAGTTAGAATGGCGATCATTAACAAGTCAGGAAACAACAGGTGCTGGAGAGGATCTGGAGGAATAGGAACACTTTTACACTGTTGGTGGGACTGTAAACTAGTTCAACAATTGTGGAAGTCAGTGTGGCGATTCCTCAGGGATCTAGAACTAGAAATGCCATTTGACCCAGCCATCCCATTACTGGGTATATATCCAAAGGATTATAAATCATGCTGCTATAAAGACACATGCACATGTATGTTCATTGTGGCACTATTCACAATAGCAAAGACTTGGAACCAACCCAAAGGTCCAGCAATGATAGACTGGATTAAGAAAATGTGGCACATATACACCATGGAATACTATGCAGCCATAAAAAATGATGAGTTCATGTCCTTTGTAGGGACATGGATGAAGCTGAAAACCATCGTTCTCAGCAAACTATCTCAAGGACAAAAAACCAAATACCGCATGTTCTCACTCATAGGTGAGAATTGAACAATGAGAACACATGGACACAGGAAGGGAAACATCACACACCGGGGCCTGTTGTGGGGTGGGGGGAGGGGGAGGGATAGCATTTGGAGATACACCTAATGTTAAATGGCGAGTTAATGGGTGCAGCACATGAACATGGCACATGTATACATATGTAACAAACCTGCAGGTTGTGCACATGTACCCTAAAACTTAAAGTATAATAAAAATAAAAAGTTACTCAAGTAACTAAATACTACCTGTTTGCCAAAAATTTATGAAAAGAAAAATTAAAATTTTTTTAATTGTGAAAAAAATAAAAAATTAGACTGCACATCAGTTAACACATATAGAATTTTTTGTACATTTTATAGAAAACTTTGTAATCCCTCAAACTCAAATCATAATAATTATAATGGCTTTGGTTGAAAAGTAGTGTAATTGGTATTTTAGTAAATATTTTGACTGTATCATTTAAAGAAAATGGCTGCTTCTAGATACTAATGTACTTAAAATGAAAGCTTATGTTCACCTTATAGCATTTTATTTGAAAAGATAATTTTATGAATCAAATGTGCCCGAACAATTTGTGTAAAGGTAAATTAGATAAGGACACACAGTAATCCCATGGATGGCAACCTATAGTTCACATAAGAATCACCTGGAGGGTTTCTTAAGGCAGATTGCCTAACCCCACCCCAACAGCTTCTGATTCAGGAGGTCAGGGGAAGGCCCCAAGATTTTCATTTCTAACAAGCAAGTGAGATTGATGTTGCTTGTCCAGGGACCAAACTTTGAGAACCACCACAGTAGACCGATGTGTTCAAAGAATTCAGGTTTTAAGACTGTAATAATTATGGAAAAGTCTGTTTTAAATTGGGTCATGCATGGGTAAAGATAAAAATAAGGAGACAGGGGTTGCCACCACTAATTCTAATACTTTCCCTAGTCATCTGACTACATCACCCTCAGGATTTCTATTTCCCATCAACTATTACACATATCTTCTCTTTTCAAACATTCAAAACACACCTTACCTCTCCTTACCCCTTAGCCGATAACATTGCTTTAAATTTATCAGAGTTAATTAAAGAAATTAGAAGAGAACCTTATCCTTCCACTGCCGTATTTACCAGGTGGCTCACTCTTGTACTCACATGCTTTAACATTCATCTTGGTGCAATGGATGCAGGTTCCCTGATTCAGCTGTGGCTCTCCCCTCCACTCACTTACTGGCTCTCACTCCCATTCCCTTAAGAATTTGTCCCCTCAATTATTTCATCCCTTTTCTGGTTTTCTTTGCTTCTCATTTGCATCTCCTTTGTAGTCTGCTTTGCTGAATTCTCCTTCTTTTATCCACCTTAATGATCAGATTGATTCCTAGAATATTATTCCACCTGGAGAAAGAAAGGGAGAAGAAGTTATCCATTGGATCCCATCATCATTGCTCAAGGGCTGTCCCATGATTCATCAACTTCCCTGCACTCCAAGGCGCAAGTTCATGAGGGAGGGGTGGGTTCCCTCAGGGGTCTAACAATTTGGTGTAAGACAAGGCCCTGGCTGAACAGGACATAAAAGTCTCCCACCCAGGCCTCATGTAAGGTGTGGTCAGGTTGCACCTAAGTTACAGACCTGGTCTCTGCAGCAGTGTAGGGAATAAGAGGCAAATCTAAGAGGATTTTGAATTGTTACCAAAGAGAAGTCCATTCCGTGACTCATATATAGACATGTTTTACTAGCTTCAGTATGAATAGATTTTTTCAAAATGGGTCTGAGGCTGAGGCAGGGGCATTGATGTGATATACACAAAGAGCCCAATTTGTGCCAAGCCTAATTTGTGCCAAACTGTAAACAACCCGCTGTTGTTTTCAAGTATCTCTCTAGCTAACATTAAGTTTGTTGTCACCCACAACGGGCTGAGTTAATTATTATTCTTCATTATATCAGTCAATGCAAGGCTAGCCTAATATTCTTCTCTTTACAACGTGGAAATAGAGAATTTCTAGGAAATTTATTAAAGACCATTCACACTGTCATGCAAATGCTTTAAGGTTGTTAGGGAAGTTGAAGGAATCTTCACAACTATATTTTCATTCCTTTCTTCAGCTTCTCATTTAGTCAAGCTTCCCCAAGACTTGCTGTTCCAACTTGAAGTTCAAAGACTACCATCTTCTCTTTCCTCCACCTGCAATCATTATTAGTGCTCACATACTGAACCATAATACACTGATATGCCAGCCTGTGAAATTATTATGTAGAATTGCTTAATACATCACTTGCGTAAAAGTAATGCTGGATGTCACACTAACAGCCAAGGGGATGCAATGTAAAATGATAATGTGGTGCCCTTTAATACCCTACAGCATGGCAAATTTAATAATCATAATAATATTACTAAGTATTGGTGAAGACGTGGGGGAAATTGGAACACTTGGCTACTGCCATTAGCATAAAAATTATAAGCATGTTGGAGAGCAATTTTATGATACCTAGTGTAAGAAAATGTTAATATACTTAAATTGAGCAGTTATCTTTCTAGTGTCTACTTTCAAGGAATTCATTCATGGGTGCAAATTTCACAGAGCAATACTTGTGAGAGTAAAAATGTGGAAATGACATAACTGTCCAAAAGAGGTAGGATTATCAAATCTGGCAACTCAGAAAGGAATGACCAAATATAGGTGACTTATTTATTAAGTTGAATATTATACTGTAGCAATTAAATGCATGGATTAGATAGAAATGTGTTCCTCTCTCTGGATGTATTTCAAAAATAATATCTCTCTATATTTCAAAAATAATGCGTTGTTTCAAAAGGATACATGCAATATGATATAATTTTTGTATATCTTAAAAACACATAAAGCAACAAGGCACATTGTTTATGGAGGTATTTATTTTTAGTAATTGAATGAAAACATACATGGAGATAATGAATAATAACTTCAGGATGGAGGAGACTATTTCTGAGTATGGAAACAGAGGGAAAGAGAAAGGATGGCTATATATGTAATAGTTTAGTTTTAGAGAAAGAAAGAGGAGGGAGAAAGGAGTGAGAAATAAGGGGAGAGTGAGAGACTGAGAGCGAGAGAGAGCAAGAGCAGGAGAAAGGGAATGCGAAAGAGAATGTGACGGAGAGGAGGAGTAAAAAAAGTAATGTTAATTGTGATGGGTATCTAAATGCCTACTGTATGATTTCAAGTTTTCTTGAGTTTTTTAAATAATATAAATATTTTATGAAAACATTCTAAGTTTACCTTTGTAAAAATGGAAAAAGCTTAATTTACTGGCTGGCTGCTTCATTGCTACAAAAGTGCAAACACTTTTCATAAAAGGCGAAAGAGATCACCATTGCAACTATATACAAAGGTATTTGGAGCCTCAATTCTTTTATCCTATATGTGTGTTTGTCTTCAGTGTTCCCTTTCAGTGTTCAGGATAATTTTCTGCTATTTTGCTGTCAGATATTGCAACAAGGGGAGGAATCACAACTGAGAATCTGCTTCCTTTTTTCAAGGTGCTATAGTATACTACTCTGTTGCATAGCTTTTCTTTAGGCCTGAAACAACATACTGATTAGAGCTCACCTTTCTTGGCTATAATTATATCATACTTTCTGATGAGACATAAGCCACTGTGATTGGAGGTCTCAGAACTCTGCACTCATATGTTCAATTAGTCCATTTATTACATACAGACTACTAGTCCAATTTTCAGAAGACCATCTTATTTGAAACTTATATTCTTGGGTGGTGAAGAGAGGTGGTCAGTTTCCTCTCTGTCACTCCAATGTACTTAATAACCATATCTCACCAAATTTGAGTAGTGAGCATGTTAATATAAGTTTTTATGTTCATAATCTTAAAGGTAATCATATGTAATTTTTATTCATTAGTTGTAGGGTCATTCCACCACCTGCTAAAATGAAAAACTTAGATGCTGAAATTATCTTTCAAAACATATAATTTGAGAAGAGACTTAAAATGAACAAGAAGGAAAAGAAGGGAGAGAAAGGAAACCGCCATTGTTAAGATTCAATAATCACAGAAAAAGCGAATTTTGCTAAATACTATAGAACAAACAGTGATCTTTTAGCCTGACTAAGAAATTTCAGTCATCAGGAATAAGAAAAAATCTAGTGATCCACCAAGGACAATTATCTGTGTTGCAAATGCGGAAAAGAGAATATTTTACAGCTCGTTCAATGTTGAAAGCAATTTTCACCAGGAAATCAAGAGAAGTGTAAAATTTTGTTTTCATTCTAGCAGCACTATGCTGTTATATATTTTAAAACTCACTGACATCAGCTATGAAGGGACAAAAAAAGCAGTGGAAATGATTGTATGTATTGGAGTAAAGCAATTTTTTTTTGGTTTATGGTTTATTTCCTTTTTTTTTTCTTGCTTGTGTCTTCTGAGTGCTTGACTAGGGATTCAGGAGAAAGACTTTATTACCATATTTACTCAGCATTTTTGAATGAGTTTTGAACCTTCTTGTGAGAAATGGGAAAGTTCTTCTTCAAAGATCATAAAATGTCACAATTTCTTACTATAAGATTGCTATCCACTATTAGTGTATATATATATATATTCCAAATCAGCTGTCCTAGCTTGCTGCAGCATGCCTGGACAGAACTAGACAAGCCCCAGCCCATACTGCATGCAATTCTTTATTTGGAGATGCTTCTTAAACTATCCCTGGGCAACTTCTTTTTCTTTCCTTGTTCTTTTCCGCTTACCTAATTAAGAAAGTTTTAAACTAACAGCCAATTGGGTAAAGTGTAAAATGTGAGGTCCTATTCTAGCCAATGGAAACTGGACTCACCAGTAGGGTAGACATGTCAGGCTATAAATAACTCTGTCTCCTTTGTTCGGTGTGCTGTCGTGGCTGGACAGCTGAGTAGCACCCTTTCTGCAGAAAGCAAAGCTCACCTTGCTGAGAGATCATTTGTTCCCGTGTTAATTCTTTTTTTTTTTTTTTTTTGGTGATACCAAAAACTTCATTCCCAACATTCTCAAGGCCTATTATTAACTTTCTGGTGCAGAATTCAAGTCATCTTTCCACTCTCTAGGGAATGATCCAAGTTGACTTGAACTGTGCCAGGATTTCCAGTCCATTACCCAAACTCCTTTTCATCAGCCATCCCACCATGGCATCCCCATTTCACTGTCTTACATTCTCTGATTTGCCATTATAATCACCATCGGTTTCTTTGGTCCTTTCTCCTGAAGTTCTTGCCCCAAGCCTTAAAACCAATTAAACCCATATTTCTACTCCTTCTTCCCCTGCAGCTGTGCAGCCTATGTGGGGGGAAAACAATCCACAGCCACACTGGTGGGTAACAGTTTAAACTTATCACCAACACGAGGCAGGCTCTCAGTGTGGTCCAGCTGCCTTCCTACTTCCCCTAGGTCATTTCAGTCCCCTAGATAGCTATTTTATACATTTTCCTTGATCATCAGACTCCCCAAATTTCCTCTCCTCTGCTCATTCTCAGTTGATCACGTTGCTTTTATTTCTCTGAGAAAATACAGCAATGAAAAGTAAGCTCCTCATTTTCCAATGTCTGTATATAGTTTGCCTTTTTCTGCAAGAGTGGATGAACTGCCCCTGTTTCTAGTTGAGGCCACACCTCAACTAGATGCTGATGCTGTGGCTTCAGACTTGCTGCAACAACCTACTGATTAGAGCTCACCAGACTTGCCAGTCTCTCTAGTATAGTCATTTTTTCCTGTTAAGTCATTTCCATCAGCAAACAGGCATGCTTTACTATCTCAACAAATATTTTTCATCCCACATGTGTCCTACTATACTTATTGCCCTTTCTCTGCTCCCATTTTGAGCAAAATTTCTTTAAAATTTTGCTGGAATGTAAAGCACTTGTGTCACTGCCTGGCTCATAACCCTCCAATGCTCTCTACCACACTTAGAAAAAAAAAATCTAGGGGCCTTCCCTTCCCAGCATTACATAAGGACTCCCTTCTCCTCCCCACCATTGCTGCTCTGCTGTTCTTCCCACTCGCGATGCTACAGTTACATTGACCTCCTCTTTGTCCCACTAATAAGCCAGTGCTTTCTCCTCTCAGGTCCTTTGTACTGATTCCCATTGCCTGAAATTCACTTTCCCTAGAGTTATATGGCGTTCATTGGGGGCTCTCTGTTCGTACATCACAGGCTTAATGGTGTCTTCCTTGGCAACCCTATCCAAAAGTGCACCTTAACCCATCATTCTATCCCCTTGCCTTACTTTATTTGTCTTCATCAGCTGACAGGTCATATATTTAGGATCCAAACTCCCTGAGGGCAGAAACTATTTCCTCTTTTTAACCTTATTAAAGTATAACAGATGAAAATAGGAGATATTCAAGGTGTACTACATGATGTTTTGATATATGTATACATTGTGAAATGATATAATTATCACAACCAAGATAATTAACATATCACCTCACTTAAGTACCTTTGTGTGTGTTTGTGTGTGTGTGTGTGTGTGTGATGAGAATACTTAAGATCTACTCTTTTAGTAAATTTCAAGAATATAATACATTACTTTTTTAATTATAGTTACCATGCTGGACTTTAGGTTTCCAGTTCTTATTAATCCTGTAACTGTGAGTTTGTCACCCTTTGATCAACATCTCCCCTTTTCCTCCTAACTGTTGGTAACCACCTTTCTACTTTCTGTGTCTAAGAGTCTAACCTTTCTAGATTCCACATGTAAGTGAGATCATACAGTGTTTGTTTTCTGTTTCAGAAACAGAAACAGAAAACACTTCGCATGATGTCGTCCAGGTTCATCTATGTTGCGACAAATGGCCGGATTTTCTTCCTTTTTAAGACTGAATAATACGCATTGTGTGTATATGACTCATACTCTTCATCCATTCATCTGTCTATGGGCACATAGGTTGTTTCCATAACTTGGCTATTGTGAATAATGCTGCAGTGAACATGGGGGTGTAGATATCTCTTCAAGATCCTGATTTCATTTCCTTTGGATATGTATCCAGCAGTGAGATTAAATAATTCCATTTTTAATTTTTGGAGGAATCTTTGTACTATTTTCCTTAATAGGTGTACCAATTTACATTCCTACCAACAATATATAAAATTTCCCTTTCTCCACATCCTTGCCAACATTTTATCTTTTGATTTTTTTGATAATAGCCATTCTTACTAGCGTGAGGTGATATCTCATTCATTGTGGTTTGATTTGCATTTTCTTGATGATTACTGGTGTGTTCATCTTTTCATATACCTGTTGGCCACCTGTATGTTGCCTTTGAAAAAAATGTCTATCCAAGGCCTTTGGCCATTTTTTAACAGGGTTATTTTGTGTTTTATTTTTTATGTTTTACTATTGAGTTGCATGACTTCCTTGTATATTTTGAATATTAAATCCTTATAGGATAAATGGTTTGCAAATATTTTCTCCTATTGTGAAAGTTGCCTTTTCATTTTGTTGATTGTCTCTTTTGCTGTGCAGAAACATTTTAATTTATTGTAGCACCATTTATTTTTGCTTTTGTTGCCTGTGCTTTTGGTATCATATCCAAAAAATCATTGCCAAGACCAGTGTCATGGAGCTTTTCACCTGTTTTCTTCAAGGACTTTTACGGTTTCAGATCTTATGTTTAAGTCTTTAATCCATTTTGAGTTGAGTTTTGGATATGGTGTAAGATAAGCGTTCATTTTTTTGTTTTTTGCATGTGGATATCCAGTTTTCCCAACAGCATTTATTGAAGAGACTGTCATTTCCCCATCATGTCTTTGTAGCTTAGCTGGCCATATGTGCGTGGGTTTATTTCTCAGCTTTCTATTCTGCTCATTCCATTGGTCTATGTGTCTGGTTTTTTTGTTGCTGTTGTTGTCTGTTTGTTTGTTTTTGAGATGGAATCTCGCTCTCTCACCCAGGCTGGAGTGCAGTGGTGCGATCTCGGATCACTGTAACCTCCGCCTCCCGGGTTCACACCATTCTCCTGCCTCAGCCTCCCAAGTAGCTGGGACTACAGGCGCCCGCCACCATCCCTGGCTAATTTTTTTGTATTTTTAGTAGAGACGGGGTTTGACCGTGTTAGCCAGGATGGTCTCGATCTCCTGACCTGGTGATCCGCCTGGCTTGGCCTCCCGAAGTACTGGGATTATAGGCATCAGCCACTGTGCCTGGCCCTATGTGTCTGTTTTATGCCCTGTTTTATACTCTTTTTTTGTTGGAGGGGCAGGATCTCACCCTGTTACCCAGGCTGGTACCCAGGCTGGAGTACAGTGGCCTGATCATTTGTCACTGCAGCCTTGAACTCTTGGGCTCAAAGGATTCTCCTGCCTCAGCTTCCTGAGTAAATGGGACTACAGGCATGGGCCACCACACCCAGCTACTTTCTTTTAAATTTTATGTAGAGATGAGGTCTCACTTTGTTGCCCAGGCTGATCTTGAACCTCTGGGCTGAAGGTGATCCTTCCATCTCAGTGCCATACTCATTTGATTACTGTACCTTTGTAATACAATTTGTCATCAGAAAGTATCCCATCTCCAGTTGTGCTCATCTTGCTCAAGTTTGCTTTAGTTTTTGGGATCGTTTGTGGTTCCATGCAAATTTTAGATTTTTTTTTCTAGTTCTGTGAAAAGTGCCATTGGAATTTTGATAAGAATTGGGTTGAATCAGCAACTCACTTTTAGTATGGACAATTTAACACTATTGATTATTCTGACCCATGAATGCAGAATATCTTTTCATTTATCTGTGTCTTCAGTTTCTTTCACTGATGTTCTATAGCTTTTAGTGTACAAATCTTTCATCTCCTTGGTTAAATTTATTCCTAAGTATTTTATTCTTTTCGATGCTATCACAAATGAGATTTTCTTAATTTTTTTCAGATAGTTTATTTTTAGTGTGTAGAAATGCCACCGATGTTATGCTGATTTTGTACCTGCGACTTTACTGATTTTTAAAAAATTAGTTCTAACAGTTTTTGGGTGGAGGCTTTGAGTTTTTCTATGTATAAGATTATGTCACCTGCAAATACAGACAATTTTACTTTTCCCTTTTCTATTTGGATGCTTTTTATTTTTTTCTCTTGCCTTATTGCTCTGGATAAGACTTCCAGTACTACGCTGAATAGAGATGGCAAACGTGGTCATTTTTGCCTTTTTTCCTGATTAAAAAAAAAAACCAACGTTCAACTTTTCACCATTGAATGCAATGTCAGCTGTGGGCTTATGACATATGACTTTTTTGTGTTGAGGTCTAGTCCTGCTATAGCTAATATTTCATGAGTTTTTATCATGAGAGGTTCTTGACCTTTTTCTGTATCTAATGAGATCATTATATATTTGTCCTTTGATCTGTTAATATAGTTTATCACATTGATTTCTTTGTTTAGGGATAAATTTCACTTTATTACAGTGTATGATCCTTTTAATGTGCTGCCGAATTGGTATGCTGGTATTGTGTTGAGGTGCAACACAATGCAATTATGTTCACCAGGAATATTGCCCTTTAATGTGCTTTGCTTGTGTTCTTTGCTTGTGCTTTGCTTGGCTTTGGTATTGGGGTAATACTGGCCTTGTAAAACCAGTTTTGAAGTGTTCCTTCCTCTTCTGTTTTTTGGAAAAAAGGAGTTTGAGAAAGACTTCTATTAATTCTTTAAAAAATATTTGGTAGAATTCACCAGTGAAGACATCAGTTCCTGGACTTTTCTTTGGTGGGAGACATTTAATTACTAATTTTGTCTCCTTATTCATTATTGGTCTGTTCAGATTTTCTGCGTCTTCATGATTTAAGTTGGTAGTTTTGTGTTTCCAGGAATTTATCAATTTCTTCTAGGGTATCCAATTTGTTGAAATTTCACTGCCAGCTAGTCCTCTTATGATCCTTTGTATTTCTGTGGTGTCAGTTGTAATGTCTCTTCTTTCTGATTTTATCTATTTGTGTCATCTCTCTTTTTTTCTTAATTAACCTAACTAAAGGTTGATCAATTTTATTTTTTCAAAAACCATCTTAAGTTTCATGAATTTTTCTGTTGTTTATCTATTGTCTATTCCATTTATTTCCGCTCCAATCTTTGCTACTTACTTCCTTCTGCTAATTTTAGGCATAGTTTTTTCTTTTTTGTTTTTATTTGCTTTAGGCGTAAAGTTAGGTTATTTGAAAGCTTTTTGTTTTGTTTTGTTTTATCTATGTAGGTATTTATCCAATAAACTTTCCCCTTTTGCTGCATCCTATGAGATTTGATATGTTGTTTTTCCATTCTTATTTGTCTCAAAAATGTTTTTAATTTTCTCTTTTGACTTCTTATTGATCAATTGACCCCTTTATCATTATATAATGACTTTCTTTTCATTTCCTCAGTTTTGACTTAGTGTCTATTTTTCTGATGTAAGTATACCTACCTCTTCTCTTTTGGTTTCTATTTGCATTGAATGTATTTTTCCATTCCTTCAATTTATATGCGTCCTTAAAGCTGGAAGAGTGTCTTATTGGCAGCATATAGTTGGGTCCTTTTAAAATTGTTAATTCATTCAGCCACTCTGTCTCTTGTAATTGCAAAACTTAATCCGTTTACATTAAAGGTAATTATTGACAATTAAGAACTTACTATTGCCATTTTGTTCATTGTTTTCTGGCTGCCTTATAGATATTTTGTTTCTTTCTTCCTCTCTTGATGTCTTCTTTTGTGATTGGATAATTTTTCTGTGATGGTATACTTTGATTTATTTCTCATCGTTTGTGTATCTATTATAGGTTTTTGCTCAGTGGTCACCATGAGGCTTACCTAAGACAGACTGTAGTTACAACAATCTATTTTAAGCTAATAACAACTTAACTTCAGTCATATATGAAAACTCTAAACTTTACTTTCCTCTCATGTATTATATGTTTTCAAAGTCACAATTTACATCATTTTTATATTGTATATCCTTTAACAAATTATCATAGTTATTTTTAAATTTTTTATCTTTAACCTCTACACTAGAGATATAAGTTATTTACATGCTACCACTACAGCATTAGAGTATTCTGAATTTAACTATATTTTTATTTAACCAGTGAGTATTATATTTTCATATGCTTTCATGTTACTGATTAACATCTTTTCATTTCAGCTTGAACAACTCCCTTTTTTTCCTATAAGGCAAATCTAATGGTGATGAACTCTGTTAGCTTTTGTTTTATAAGGAAATTATTTATCTCTTCTTCATTTCTGAAGGACAGTTTTTCCAGGTAAAGTGTACTTGGTTAGCAGCTTTTCTCTTTCAGCACTTTGAATACATCATCACTCTGGCCTGAAAAAAATTCTGCTGACAAATCTTCTAATAGCTTTGTGGAGTTTCCCTTGTATGTGAGCAACTTCTTCTCTCTTGATGCTTTCCAAATTCTTTCTGTCTTTGACTTTTGACAATTTGATTGTAATATGTTTTGGTGAAATCTCTTTTGGATTGAAATTGGAGGGTTTCGAGCTTCAGGTACGTGCATGTTGATAGCTCTCCCCACATTTGGGAATATTTTAGCCATATTTATTTAAATAAGCTTTCTCCTCTTTTGTCTTTCTTCTCCTGGCTATCATATGATGAGAAAGTCAGCTCTAATGATAGTGTCACATACATCCCATAGGCTTTCTTCATTTCTTTTCATTATTTTATCTTTTTTCTCACTTAACTTAATATTTTCATATTACTTATCTCTGAGTACACGGATTCCTTCTTTTGATTGATAAAATCTACTGTTGGCACTTTCTCTTGAATTTTTAAAATTTCATTCATTGTTCTTCAGTTCTAGAATTTCTGATTGGTTCATTTTTTATATTTCTATCTATTTATTGAACTTGCTCTTTTGTTTTGTATTTTTTTCTGATTTTGCTGTTTTCTATCTGTGTTTTCTTTTAGCTTGCTGAGCTTCCTTAAAAAATTTTATTGAACTCTTCTCATACAATCCACAGATTTCCATTTCTTTGGGGTTGGTTACTGGAATATTACTGTGTTCCTTTGGGTGTCATATTTACATTTTTTGTGTGTTTTTTGAAGTGTTGTGCTTTCGTTTTCAGAATTAAAGAATTTAGTTCTTTACTGACTATCTTAAGGAGAGAAACATTTTCACTACACAGGCCATCTAGTAATTCTGAGGCTCTCTTAGACCTTTTTTATAGATGTGCCCACTTTTTTTAAGTTTCCTTCTCTCAAAGGAACTCTTAAGATTGTATACTTTCTTTTGATCCTGAAAAGCCAGGTCAAATGCTGAGAGCCTGTTGTTTGTTTTCCCTAAGATAGTGCCCTGAAATGTTCATTTGTACCTTCTCCCAATCCTGAATAGTTGAGCTAGTGGTCTATGCAAGATGATTGCATTTGCTGTCCATGAAGGCACACTAGGGGAGCTGGCCCAGCATTGGGTGGAGTGAGGTACCTAAAGTAATTTGAATGTCCATGGGCCAGTTGAGGAGAGTTCACCAGCCAGGCATCCCAAGCAGCTTTTGGGCAGGCTTTTTGATGAAGTCCTTGGAGTAGTTAGTAGGTTCTGTGGCCTCTATTTCCACCTCCCAGCTTTCCCAATCTCTCAGTCACGACAATTACATCAGTATTCTGATGGGATAAGAAAAATTTGGGCTGCTTGGGTAGCATCCTGCACAGCTCAGGGACCCAGTGCTCACTCCCTATGTTCTTATTTTCTCCAGTGGGAGAAATTGCTGGCCAAGGGGACTTCTCTTGGCACTGAGATGTGCCACCTTGAGAAATGGGTGGTTTAGGTAAAATGGAAGTGTTCTTTTACTCCCTTCAATGAGTCTATTCTTGGATTTTATGATCTAATATTGTCTTAGAACTTCTCCGCTGGACTCTCAAACTTCCATAAAGGCACTCTTGTTCATAGATGGGATATGGGAGTAGAATTCTTCTATTTTGCTATCTTGCTAATGTCACTCCTTTGTCTGTTTTCTTTAATAGCTTCTGAAATGCATAGAAGATGTCCAAAATATTGCACGTTGAATTCAGTATTGAATATAAAATACTCTATTAACTCCTTGAAATATCTACTCCTATCTGATTACTACTGACACAGGGAGAAGGGTGTAGTGTGAGAATTAGGAAATTCTCTTTTGCAACAAGAGTCAGAACTTTGCTTGTTCAGGATGTTCCACTTAATGAATTTATTTTCCCCTCATCAATTAGTTCATATTCACTTTATTCCCACCTTTGCCACAATATTCTGATGTTACTGTTGACAGATTAGCTCCTGTTATGTAAGTGCTCTACTCCTTACATGCACACATAATTCACAATTAGTCAGCAAACTTGGCAGCATTTCTGGGGTTGATTTTTGTCTTTGATGATTGTATTAAGGAAGTGAGTTATTTAAATGTTAACATAGTAAGGAAACACCCCTATGTTAAAAGTCATTTTAGGGTACTAGTGACTTAGGACTTGTTCATCAATAGAGTTAGATGAATATTAACCGGGGACAGGGTGGCAGGGTGAGGGGTGCTTATTTTGCTGATAAAGTGATGTTTCTGATAATTGGACAAAAATATTCCAATGAGAACATAAGATATTTCAGTCCAATATTATGACCCTAAAGAGATGTTTTATCCTTAATGGAGTGAAAAGGATACAAGATAAAAGGCACCAATGCTGCTTGGCATTCCAAAAGTGATTTTTTTTTTTCCCACTCTCTTAGGGCCTTTCTTTCCTTTGTATAGCCAGTTAGAATCCAAAATTTAGCAGTAACAAAGTCATGGGGCACAGAATGAATTATCTAATCTGGGTAAGTATATAAGGTTTTCAAAATAGTGGTGGGGTGTGAGTTGAATGTCATCTAATATCTAGGGTTAAAATAGATACGCAAAAGCCAATCAGTAACCAGATCCTCCTAGGATACTGAAGCATCAAAGGAAATAGGTAGCCACAAGTAAGTCCCAAAAATATTTCTGACTTAATGTTATTGCTGCATATATATTTGGGTATAAGTAAGAGTCTTTTTTACAGGAAAACAACACAAGGATGCAACTTTGAAAATACTAATTACTTGTTTAAAAAATACACCGTATCCTAATGTTTGTGATAAAATTTTCTTTAGAACAAATTAAGAGCTAGGCTTTAGAGCTTTAAACTCTTTTGGAAGTGGCATTATTTTTTTTCTGGATAACTGATATGCGTGTCTTCCAATGGATCTCTGCAGCTGGGGTTCAGAAGACTTGGCTTTCAGTCCCTCTTCTGCTACTAAATAGCTAGAGAAGTTTGTATAAATCATTCAATTACTCCGATCTTGTTCTCTTATATATAAACTGAATGTATCACACATATACACATTTGTTGGAGTTACACAAATATTTAATAACATTGGTTTCATTTACAAAACCATTGATTTATAAAAGGAATATATAGGTACCAGGTGATTGTAGAAGTTATCATAGCTCCATATCAGAAGCCCACTGCAAACCATGGATGCTTACTGCTATTTCAGGCTCTCCATCTCACATGTGTAAGCTGCTTGGAAGGACAGGAATGCAGAATCTTTGCTGGACATGATGAAACATCTGCCCTAGTTGACGCAGATGATTCACTCTTCCTTTATTTCAACATGAATCAAGGTGATACTGGTTTCCCAGCTTCCAATTTCCACCTGACCCATAAAATAGCTTTGTACAAAGAGCAGATGTGTTTTCTACTTGTCATGCCAATGAGTTTCAGGTGTGTCAAGGTATTGATGGTTTCAGCCCTCGAGGCAGCAGGACAGGGTCTGGACCACTGACCTCTGGTCATGAGTGTCCTCCCATATTTATCCAATATTGCTATGTAAAATGATCTTTTTTCCCTGTTTCCCATGGCATGAAAGAGGTTGGGAAACACTTGACTAGGTTTATTAGTTAATACATTTACCCACAGACATGCTTTGGATGCCTACTCTGGGGATCTGAATACATCCTGGGAATATAGAGATGATTAAAATTTATAACTTGATCGCATGCCATCTCTAAAATTCTATACTGTATATTTATTATTTCCAAATGGCTAATTTGCAATATGAAAATAAATATGTCAAAGGACAGAGTAGAGAAAACTGAGCATGAAAACTACACAACCTTGGGTGTTAAAAATATTGGAGTTCTTACTACAACTGACTCTTTATAATCTTTTACCTCTTGAGAGTATTCGTTATTTTTCAACCTGCGTTTCTTCACACTATTTTCAAAAGGGTTTTAAGTAAATAATGTCATTTTTTACAGTGAGGAAAATGTGATTATTATTTAAAATAATTAGAAATTAATGTTATATAGCATAACTAAAAACTTAATCACATTTCCATAATACCAATATTATTTAATATCACAATGAATTAAATATCACAAAATGTTTCTTCAGGCAATCAGAAATAAGTGAATGCTGTTAAAACATAAATGATAGTGTTATCTTGAACATCTCTACAAAAATAAAAACCCACTTCCATTCAGTTGTAGCCTCAGAGTCTCTATTTAACTTACTATATTTAGCTGTTTTTTAGTACTGTATGGTTCTAAGGGAGAGTTTAGTTTATTGATATGATGACTAGCACTCATAGGAGATGCACAATACTAATAAAAATTGGCAACAGATTCCATAGTCTTAAAAATGTGCAGCTCTTCATGAGCACAATCTATTTCCAGACATGAAAAGAGCATGTTTGCACATTATACACATCCATTATAATGATATCAAAAATAGTTTCTTGACAAAATAGACTTTAAATATGCATATTTTATTATTAAATGTAATTCTGAGCTTGGATTTCTTTTAATGACAGTTCTGGGAGGTGAATATTCTATCATATTATGCTCAGCAACAACATTCTCCAAAATAGTGATGAAAGATCCGTTTTCTCTTTTTTGTCATGGTTTGCTTTAAGAGTCCTTGTGTATTTTGACCTCCTACTATTTTGATTGCATGCCATCTCTAAAATTCTATAATGTATTTTGAATATATAGGCATAGCATCACCTGCTTGATGACAGTGACACACGAAAATCTGCACAAAATACTAACTGGAAAATTATTTCCTCTTTTTTTATAATGTGAAATAATTTAATGTATTTTTTGTCAACTCAGAGCTCCCAGTCAATCTTCTAAAAGGTAAATAAGACAAAGTAAATTGTCTATGTGTAACACACAAGCAAAATTATTAAACCATAAATTATTGATAACTAATAAATATATTTGTTTTCATATATTTGTTTATGTGTGTGAAAACATACTGCATATTCCCTTTGTTTGATATTTGGCTGGCTTTCAAAGTGTCTGCATGTAATTCTAATGGTCTCACAGTTGTATTCGGAAGATAATTTGAGATTTTTCCCACACATCATTTTGTTAAAATTTTAGTGAGTCTCGTGCATGTAAATATTTTCTTTGTAAACCTTAGCCAAAAAGGGCCGGATGCAATGGCTCATGCCTGTAATTCCAGCACTTTGGGAGGCTGAGGCGAGTGGGTCATTTGAAGCCAGAAGTTGGAGACCAGCCTGACCAACATGGTGAAACCCCATCTCTACTAAAAATACAAAAATTAGCTGGGTGTGCTGGCGCGCACCTGTAATCTCAGCTACTCTAGAGGCTGAGGCAGGAGAATCGCTTGAGTCTGGGAGATGGAGGTTGTAGTGAGCCCAGATGACGCCACTGCACTCCATCCTGGGCGACAGAGCAAGACTCCATGTTGGAAAAAAAAAAAAGCCGGGCGGGGCGGGGTGGAAAGAAACGAAGGGAAAGGAAAAGAAAGGAAGGTGAGGGGAGCAGAGCGGAGGGGAGGGGAGAGAGGAGGGGAAGGGAGAGGGGAGGGGAGGGGAGAGAGGAGGGGAAGGGAGAGGGGAGGGGAGGGGAGAAAGGAAAGGAAGGAACGAAGGGAGAGAGGGAGGGAGGGAGGAAGGAAGGAAGGAGGGAAGAGAGGGAGGGAGGGAGGAAGGGAGGAAGGAAGGAGCCCATAAGTATTATTTTGAGAGATATATATATCTATGAAGTTTGGGCACTATACTCCAAAAAGAAATCTACATGGTGAAACCCCATCTCTATTAAACAAAACAAAATATAAGCTGGGCATGGTGGCAGGCACCTGTGGTCGCAGCTACTCAGGAGGTTGAGTTGGGAGGATTGCCTGAGCCTGGGAGGCAGAGATTGTAGTGAGCTGAGATGGCACCACTGCACTCCAGCCTGGGCGACAGTTAGAACCTGTCTCAAAAAAAAAAGTATTTTGGAAAATGTACCTGTATTCTCTCCTATACTTATGTAAATTATCCATTATTTTCCCCTTCAACAGATAGGAAAGTCAAGGTTCAAATAGCCCAAGTGACTTACACAAAGTCACATGCATGTAAAAAGTGTCCATAAATGTTTTTATTGAATTTTACTAAAATTCATTATTTAGATAATTGGTGTTGATATCATCAAGAATCTAGAACCAGCTACTTCCTTTCGTAAAGTATCTTTCTTCTTCAAAACCTCTCCTGGCATTTTACTTCTTGTGAATACTGAATAAATATGTTCTAACTACTATATACTCACCTTCCCTCCCTTTCACTTCAGAAACAGAAAAAGTGGTAGCCCTGGTTAGCAGAAATAACAGTAACTTTGCTATTCAGATACAATATTGTCTTTTCCATGTCTAAATTAGATCTGGTGCATTTAAATCCATGCAATTTTAATGTATTACATTCCAGTTTCTACCTTCTGAAAGTGTCCATATTAATATCTTACATTCTGATTTTTTTTCTGTTTTTTTTTACCACATACTCCTTATTTTGGGGCTATCATCACAATAATATCACCTTATATTGTGGCAAATGAATTTTTTAAGATAGTTTGGGTGCAATTCAATACTTTTCATCAAAATTGTTACTTGGAAAATCATTCCAGTGACCATTATCTATGTGAACAGAAGGCATCATTCTGTTATTCTATTTTCAGAAACTCAATTTCCTAGATTTGTGTTGAAAACCATGATTACATAGTGCAAGGCCAATGTGAGTCTTCTAATTAGTACTGCTTTTTAGCAGAAAATAAGGAAAAAATGTCTTAGGTTAGCAATATTATGGACCATTTCAACCATACTTTTCTTTCTAAGTACCTGGAATACTCAAAACTAATGGCTGAATTAGGCTGACCTGCCAGCAACTCACCATATAAGTGTTTATTAGAATAGTGTCCCCAAATTCCCTGGAAATGCAAGGGTTCAAATCGGTTTGTACTTCAATCATTTCTTGTCATGCAGAAGGCTGGGAAACTCTAAAAGGTGTTTTTGATATGCCAATTTATGGAGAGACACAATGTTTTTCCCTTTGCTAGAATTTCTAATTTTTTTTTCAAATAGGACTAAAATGTCAGCCTATCCTTCTCATATAGAAAAGAGTGTTTTTAGTAACTTTTAAAGCACTTCTCAATATAAAACTCTTGTTAATGACTGATAGTTTATTTACTTATTGATTAACTGATTGATTCAACTGACTGATTGACTGACTGAGATAGAGTCTCACTCTGTGTCCCAGGTGGGAGTGCATTGGTGCCGTCACTGCTCACTGCAGCTTCAGCCTCCCCAGCTCAGGTGATCCTCCCACCTCAGCTTCCCAAGTAGTTGGGACTACAGGCACCCACTGATTTTTTGTATTTCTCATAGAGATAGCCTGCTGCCCAGGCTGGTCTTGAACTCCTAGACTCAAGTGATTCTCCCGCCTCTGCCTCCCAAAGTACAGGGATTACAGGCATGAACCATTGCGCTCAGCCTGACAGTTTATTTTTCAGTTCTGAAACGAGTTCAGTTTAGACCTTACTTTTTTCTTCAGGAAATTATACCAGCGCTTTCCTACAGATGTCCAAATGTCCATTGGACTACTTTTTATTTTAACTTTGGTATAAAGGAAATAGAATGAAAGAAAACAAAAATAAAATTTAAAAAATTAAAAGTTTAAATTTTATTTTAAAAATCAGAGGATATAAATTTATCCTCTGATCCCTTGGCTTATATTCTTTGACTTTGGATTATATGTATGTGTCTGATCCCTCTTTCAATGTTAAGTATTGCAAACTAATATATCAGCTGTGTAGCCTAGTAGACAGATGAAATTATTTAGAGTAATTTTCCTCAGACCTCTTTCTTTCTTAAAAATGTTTTATTAGGTATATTTAATACTGAGAAATTATATATATTTAAAATGCACAAGTTGATGATTTGATATACATATACATTGTGAAATAATCACCACAAACAAATTAACATATTCATAACCTCAGATAGTTACCACACTTTACTTTTTCTATTCTGGTCTATCTGTTCCATTCTTTTTTCTTTTTTTTTTTTATGGTAACATCACTTAAGATCTACCCCACATTGTTATATATTAAATCTTCAGAACTACTTAGTCTTGTGTAACTGAAGCTTGCATCCCTTGACCAATATCTCTTCATTTCGCCTTCCCCCCAGATCCTGGTAACCACTATACTATTCTCTGTCTCTATGAGCTTGACCATTTTGGATTCCACATATAAGCACAATATTATGCAACATTTGCCTTTCTGAATCTGGCTTACTTCATTTGGAATCATGTCTTCCAGGTTCATCTATGCTTTCATAAATGGCAGGATTGCCTTCTTTCATAAGGCTGAATAATATTCCATTGTATAAAAAATGTATAACATTCCAACATATAAAAATGTTGTATATCCATTCTATCATATTTTCTTTATTCATTCATCTGACAATAGGCATTTAGGTTGCTTCTAGGTCTTGGCTATTATGAATAATGCTGCAGTGAAAATGGGTGGTGCAGATAACTCTCTGAGATATATATCTAGAAGTGGGATTGTTGATTTATGAGGTAGTTCTGTTTTTAACTTCTGTAGAAACTCTATACTTTTTTTCATAATGACTGTATTTATTTACATTCCCACTAACAGTGTATAAGGATTCCTTTTGCCAACACTTATCTTTTGTCTTTCTGATAATAGCCACTCTAACAGATGTGAGATGATAGCTCCTTGTGGTTTCGATTTGCATTTCTCTGATAATTAGTGTATTTGTATAATACAAATGTCAAAGTACTATCACGGAATTACAGATAAAAGTATAGGTGGAATTGTGATACCCTTTTTAAGTGTATGATCATTGCTTTTAACTATGTAGTTGATTTAGTTAAGGTAATGCTAGCTGCTGTGACACATAGATGCAATCTGTGTCATAATAGATGTTTTCATGACGCTCACAAAGAGTACAATCAGTGTAAGCATGTGGTGGTGTTTAGGATTCTGCTTTCTACACCATTTAGGGTTCCAGGCTTCTTTAGCATTCATATTTCAAGGTCTTTGGGGCTTGACATCCAAGAGGAAGACAGAAAAAAGAGCATATGATAACATGGGTGTTTATGGGTCAGACCTTGAAGTGGCATATATGCCACTAAATTCTTTTGAACAGGGCTATTCTTTTCTCCAGGATTCATGTAGTGAAGTCGTGAACCCCAGTATCTCAGAATGTAATCTTATTTTGAAATAGCATTTATATATGTAATTATTAATAGTTAAGATGAGGTCACACTGGAGTAGGGTTGGCCCCTAATTCCATAGGATTGGTATCTTTATAAAAAGGGGAAATCTGGAGATAGACATATATACAGGAAAAGCACCAAGTGAACATGAATTCAGAGATCAAGGTGATGCATCTCCAAGCCAAGCAACAGCAAAGATTACCAGCAGCAACCAGCTAGGAGAGAAGCATGGAGCATTTCTCTCACATCTCTCAGAAGGAACCAACCCTGCCAACACCTTGATCTCAGATTTCTCCAAGGTGGATAACAGGAAGTCTCTTCCAATCACTGCAGCGGGTGGATAGTCCAGGATCTTTAGGTGATGGAGTCTTCTTGATTAAGTCCAGAAGGGGGATTTCAGGTCATGTGAACTATAAGACAAACTGTTACCACCCTTACTTTTGGCCTTCCCCACCCATACAGAGTCAAGATTCAATCAGGAGTCGAATCACACCAGCCATTTTAAAGATGAGAATTCAATATGAAATGTTCATAACTAGTCTTGGAAGAACTAAGGGTCAAAAAAGAATTCCTAAGGTGTTACAGAGCTAGCAACTGCGGGAAAAAGCTACCACCACTAGGGCTGAAGGGGTGAGGAGAAAAAAAATGAATTATTGAAATTTAGAAGCTTGGAGGAGAGGTTCTGTGATGTTGAAATTCAGAATCGAAAAAAGAGAAGCTGATCAGCTGATGCTGGCCCCCATGAATTGGAAGGAAGGGGCTCCGTAGGGTTAGGACCCTGACTTTTCAGAAAGGGGTATAATTCAGCTGGTAACAATAATTTGGAGAAATTGCAATGAAGCTTGTTTTGCAAGTATTGGAAAAATTGCAAACTTGATTAATCTGCTGTCGCTGGAATGGACTGCCATTTCCAGGGTAAAGAAGTGAGGCTGGAGTGGCACAGAAAGAAACAAGAAACGAACAAGAAATATAGTGTCCCTTTCATCACTTCAAGCCTTTTTGTCTCCTGATAGTATCATCTTTTGACTTAGCTTACCAGGGAACCAGTTGGCAAAGCAAAAATGTGTTTGCAGAATCTCAGCAACAACATCACAAAACAGCATATAGGGAGAGGGTTGGAACCTGAAAGATAAGACACCCAATTTTCAGTGATGGAACAGACACAGGATAAGTGCAATAAAACTCCCCATTCAGAAAAGAGAATGTGAGACACAGAGTAGTCACTGGTCCATAACCAATGAGAGTTATTCAGAGTCAGCTGGGCAGGATGCATGAAGACTTTCTTCTGTCAGGGTGGGTGAAACTCTTTAATTATACCTCAGTTCAACAATCTGAGAGAAATTCGATTGCCCACTTGTGTTAGTGATCTGCAAGACCATCCCCAGCTTAGATGATTTGCTAGGAACATTCGCAGGACTCAGGATATAATCATACTCAGGATATAGTCAGCTATGATTTATTACAGTGAGATCATACAAAGCAAAATCAGCAAAGTGTAAGGCACATGGGGTGACGTCTGGAGGAAACCAGGTGTAAGCTTCCAAGAGTTCTTTCCCAGTGGATTCACACCAGACATGCTTAGTCCCCCCAGCAAGTTGTGGCGATCCATGTGAAGTGTTGTCTAGCAGGGAAGTTCATCTGAGATTAAATAGCTGGGTTGTTAATGAGGGCTGGTCATGGAGGCACCCGCTGCCTAGCACATACCAAAATTACAGTCTCCCTGAAGGAAAGCAAAACCATATGGTTTCATGAATATTTTAGGCACAGCGAGCCATTCTTATCAGGAAATGGTGAGAACCCTCCTCATAACTGTTCCCAGACACCAGCCAAGGGCCAAAATTTCAGTCAGGACTTGCTAAAGGTGGCAATCTCAGCTCTGCTATGTTAACTTTTTCTGCATACTATTGCACTTTGAGACTCATTTGCTACTCTAGAGTTATCATATGTAAAACTTTCCTAAAGGTTTTTCCATTGCATATCCACATTTCCAGCCTCTCCCAAAACAATTTCCTTACATCTCATTACTTAGCCATTTGGCAGAGTCACATACTTTAGGTTTTTGCTTGGCAGTACCTTCCCTCTTTGCCTTTTTAAACCAAGTTTTGTGTTGGTTTAGATTTTGTCAAGAAAACAGAAACAACTTAAAAGTGTTCAAGCGGGAAAGTATATTTATAGGACAACAGTTAATACAGTAAGGTAGATGCCCACAAATCCATAATAAAGGAAGGACAACTGAGTCAGAAAGTCCTCTTCTAGACCGTGGGGTCATATCTAGTTTGCAAGGAGCCCAGAAGTTGCAGGAACCACTGGAAGCACCAGTGATGCTCAAGGCTGCCTCCACCACTAAGGTGGATAATTTTCTAGATAATACTTTTGCAAAACCTCCCATCTGTCAAAATCCCCATCTCTCTCAAGTACTACTGAAGAAGCAATAATTTCACAAAAGCTTCTCTTTTACCCTCAAAGTCCAAAGCAAGAGTCTCTCATTGTGGATTCCAATAGCAGGGTTTCTTGGAAATTTAGTTTCAATCATTTAGCTCCTGCAATACAGGCCCTACAAGGGAGAAAATTACAAGTTACCAAGACAATTCAAATAGTAGTTTTATTTTTAAGTATATGTGCATTCACTATACTTTTATCAACATATTTTTTGAAATGAAGTTTGTGTGGTATTAAAACTAACAGAATAAATGGCTTTTAAGAGTAATTAAAATCATCAACAAGTTAAGGGATACTTAACAGGCTGACAAATAAAACATAAAATTCTGATGATTATGAGGACATAAAAAGGTTTTATAACACACAAAATAAAATTAAAATACATCAATGTATTTCACAAAAAAAAAATGGGTTCTGCATTATAAAGCAACATATTAGCGGAACTACAGTTGTAAAATTAGCCCTAAAAATATTCATATTATAGTAATGGGAAATGGAGTTTGTATAAATGCAAAGTAGTAAGCAATTCATGGAAGGAGGTTTTTCATAATCTATTTCTAGTATAAAATGTTTTTAAAGATTCTTTCGCTTGGCTTTCAATTGATCATTGTTTATCTATTTCTATACTCTTTTTATCATCCTTGTAAAAAACAATTTAATATAATTTAAGTGTATATAAAAGTTTCTACGAACTCTACACACACATTGACATTGAGTCAAGGTCCATTTGTCTATGTCAAGGAAACATTATTTTAATCTACTGTATTCAAAGATCTAGGAATTGCGTAACACAGCTTCTCACCATCTTTAGCGAAAGGAGTGATTCTTCCCTGTGCTGAGAGTTTTCCATTTGCCTATTCAAATGACCTTTGTATCTTCTCCTCCCTGTCTTGTGCCCTGGAAGGTGGACTTCCACAGACCACATCAATGGGTTTTCTTGCCCTTGGCTTCCAGTTGTATTTAGCCAATGGGAGGTACTGGTGGTAGCAGATGGGAATGTGTAAAAAAAGTCCACAGTATTTATTCCTCCAGGCAATTTGCCACAACTCCTGCCAAGCAGCCTTCTCCATATAATTTTTTTCTCCAGATTTCAGTAACTATTCTTTCCTCATGTTCTTCGGACCCATGGGTAATAACAGCTCCCCAGCAATGCTGTCCTTGGGGAATTGCACTATATCTTGCAGTATCTCTTCCATAAACCCTGTACACACCTTCATACTTTGTCCTTTCTATTAAACTGTCTTCTATTAGCAAGTTTCAATGTGTCATGTGTGTTCTTCTAGGGCTTTGATTAATATAATGTCCTTTGCAAGCTATGCAATGGAAAGAATTGCTATGACTAATAAAAAATATGCTAATAAACTGGACTCCAGCAGGTTTCTAGATTTGTGATTTAACTGGCCTCTCTGAGAATATCTGGCCTTGAAGTCAAGTCTGCAATATAGCTATATCTAAAATGCAATGAATTCATTTCTAATCTACCAATAAATACTTTCTAATCTCTTACTACGCATGCTGTCATATGTTTGGTGCTAATAGGAGTAAAACAGTACAAGGCATGACCACAGACTTCAAGGTGCTTTCTCTAACTTTGTTTTGAGATGCAGTTTAGTTCTTATTGCCCAGGCTGGAGTGCAATGGTGCAACCTCAGCTCACGGCAACCTCCACCTCCTGGGTTCAAGCGATTCTCCTGCCTCAGCCTCCCAAGTACCTGGGATTACAGGCGCATGCCACCACGCCCGGCTAATTTTGTATTTTTAGTAGAGATGAGGTTTCTCCATGTTGGTCAGGCTGGTTTCGAACTCCTGACCTCAGGTGATCCGCCCGCCTCAGCCTCCCAAAATGCTGGGATTACAGTTGTGAGCCACCACTCCCGGCTGGTGCTTTCTCTCTTAACTGAGTGTTCTATAGACCTTTTCTTAAAATCTTTTATCTGTCACCAGTCTAATGAGCCATATTATATATAATAATTAAATTTAATGTACTAATTACAGTTATCTTATTATAAGTAATAATATAATAAAATTATATAATAACTCATTTATGTTTTTTCTATATAGTAAATTAGTAATTAGAACAGCACATTTATTCCTCCTACCTTTCTTCAGAATAATAGTAAGCTAACATGTCCATTCTGGAAGAGGAAAAGCATGGGAAGGGAAGCAGATATGATATTTTATTATTTAAAATTGTACTGTGACACTTTTCTACCTCTTTCTAAGGCTGAGTGGAGCATAAACTGAGGGGGAAAAAGAGTTAAATATTGTTCTACATGGGTTTTTATAGTGATCTCCCCTAAGTTTTCTTTTAATACCTAGGAATAGATTTATCTGTCTTTTCTAGATGTAAACTAACTAGTTTAGTTATAAAATTCAAGTTTATTGAGTAACATTCCATTAGGCATGAACTTGAATGTTGAGTCACAAAATTCAAACATGAATAGGTATTGTTTCAGTGGATTTCTAAACCAATGACTTATTTTCAGAAGAAAAGATGGGACAAACCTTCAGGCTAAAAACTTAACTTTGGAGTTGTTCATTTTCTTCCTTTCTTTCCTATAATTTATGCTACTGCCACTCCATCATATCCAGTCACTCACCAAATTTTTTGAGTTATTACCTCCACAATATTATATTCATTAATCAAGAAAATGTTTACTAAGTGATATGCTCTTGCAGGTGCTTGAGAAACATTCGTGAACAAAACACAGCTCTTTGCACTTATAGAACAAGTATTCCGAAGAGAGAGATAGACAATAAACAATGGACATGGCAAATAACTATATTATCCAGTACATTGGGAGGTGAAATGTGCCATGAAAAATGACAAAGTAGAAAAAGAGAGGCAGGACTTCCCTGGGTAGTATGGGGTCACAGGAGGTCTTAGTGAGATGATGGCATTCAAGCAAAGGTGTAAGAAGGTGAAGGTGTTAGCTATCTGTGCATTTCAGGCACATGGAGTGGTCACAGCAATGACCCAAAGGTTGGAATATGCTTGGCACATTCAAAGGACAGCAAGAATGGCTGAAGCATGGAAGGCTTCAGAGGGTGAACAAAGTGAAAAGAGTAAGAAATTAGGCCAGAGAGATAATGGAATCAGATTATATAGGATGTTAGATGTCAGTTAAAGGATTTTGGGATTTACTCTGTGTGCAGTAGAGAACCATTGAATGGTTTTTGAGCAAAAAGTGACGTGCTTGGACTAGATATTTTAAAGAAAATTTTGCTGACATTGAGAATACAATGTGGAGAACTAAAATAGGGAGAATATTTTGAAGGCAATTGCAGCAATGTAGGCAGATGTTTTGATGACTCTGGCTACGGTTGTAGCAGTGGAGGTGGTAAGAAATGGGTGAGTTCTGAATATGTTTCCAGGCTAGAGCTGACAGAATTTACTGATAGATTGGATATGGGACTTAAGAAAAGGAGAAGTTAGTGATGATTGCCAGGATTCAGCCTGAGGAACTGAAAGCATGAACTTGTCATCCACTGAGATGGGGAGACTGCAGATGGAAGAAGCTTGGAGGCAAAAGTTAAAAAGTTCAGTCTCACACATATTTAGTTTAGATGCTTACTTACCTCCTCCTTCATTTGACTTCCCATGAATCTACAAAATCAAGTGGTAAGAACCAATATTCATTGAATATTTAGTAAGTTTTAGTTTCATTTCGTCTTCAAAGTAATCATGCCCATTTTGCAGGTACAGAAACCAAAGAATGACACCTAGCATTTTGCATTGTATATCCTGTCTTCTGGTTGTAGACTTCTTCAAAAACCCCAAAGCACACTTATTTCTTCTTCCATGGGATAGATTGTTACTCTTCAAATATCTGTGGTCCCTACCTGTAGGAGGAGTACATATCTGTGTCACATTTGGTACCTATCACTTTCATAGGTACCTTGTATCTCATTAACCATAGCCAGTTGTTTGCCAAACCCTATCAGGTTTTCATGGCTAATGAAATATGAGTGAAAGTAGTAGGTACCAGTTCTGAGCAGAAGCTTTAAAGCCATTACTTTCCCTCTTCCCTCTTCCAAGAGATCTGCAATGTACCAGATCAGCTTGAATTACAGAATAAAGATGAAACTGAACATAGCTGAAGCATATCCTGATGAACATGTGGTATGAGTTAATAATGACCTTTTTTGTTTGTGAGCCATTAAAAAATTGAAGTAATTGGTTACGACAGCATAAGTTAACTTAAATTGTCTGACATGTTTCTGTAATCCTTGTATTACTTCCATTTATTTATTTATTTATATCACCTTCTTTGTTTCAATTTATATTATAATACATAATTTACATACAGTAAAATTCTCACTTTTAATACACAATCATGTGATTTTTGACAAACACATGTACTTATGTAACCATAGTTACAGTCAAGATACAGAATAATTCCATCACCCCCCAAAATTCTCCCACACCCCTTTCTAATAAGCCTCTCCCCACCCCTAGACTCTGGTAACCATAGATCTGTTTCTTTCCCTGTAGTTTTTCCTTTTCCAGAATGTAATCACATAAGTAGTCAAAAAAGGAGAATTGTATAATAGATAGCTTTTCCCATTACTTCTTTTTCAATTATTTGGCTTCAAAGATACCTTAAGTTTCTCCTTCTTCTTTTTTTTTTTGGAAACACACATTCTTATTTTTTACTTTTATAAATTCAGGGGCTACAGATGAAGGTTTGTTACATGGATATATTGTGTACTGGTGAGGTTTGGACTTCTAGTATACCCATCACCTAAGTAGTGAACATTGTAGCCAATAGGTAATTTCTCAACCCTCACCCTTCTCCAGTTTCTTCCCTTTTGGAGTCCACAGTGTCTATTATTTCTTTCTATATGTCCATGTGATTCCACTGTTTAGATCCCACTTATAAGAGAGAACATGCAGTAATTGACTTGGGAGTTTTCTAGGTGTAACATCATGTCATCAGCCAACACAGACAGTGATTGGGTGACAGTGATGGTGGATTAGGTTTGGCAATTCTCCAATCCGCAGGTCCCTACATGGCTCTCTGGATGGCATGCATGCACCCTAGAGGGTCTGGACCAGGGCTGGATCAACAGACATCTCAGCTCCCTGGGGTTCAAGTGCTGGCTATGATAGGGAGGGGCAGGCTGGCCCAGAGGCCGCCAGCAGAATGCTCAGATGGCTGCAGGCTGAATGCTCAGGCAGCTGCAGAACCCTCAAGTGGCAGCAGCCTGGGACAGACCACAGGCCTTTACTGGCTAGGCTCTTAGGAGGGTTCCAGGCCACAGCTGAAATAATCAAGTGGGGGTAGGGTGGCTGCGCTGCAGGCCTGTCACCTGGGAATATCAGCAGGAGCGGTGGAGGCAGGCAGCTGTGCCCATGCCTCCCTCTCACAGGAGCAGACAGTATCTTTTGTCTGGCATGGCGTGATGTCCAGTCTCCTTGCTACCTTCCTGGTTTGGCAGTGGTGGCAGCGGCTGTGATGATGGTAGCAGGATGCCCAGGGCAGATCACAGGCCTCTGCAGTCTGGGCTCTCACAAAAGCAATGGGTTATAGCCAGAATGGCCCCTGTAGAAGGCAGGTTCCCCTAGCAGGAGCAGCAGAGGCAAGCAACTGTGAGGCACACAGTTGGCTTGCTACTCTACATCGTGAGAGTGGCAGTGGTATCTGTCTTCAGGGCATGCAAAAGTGCCTGCCCACCCCCCACCCTGAGATCCCTCCCTAGCAAGGTGGCAGCAGCTCTCATAGATCTGCAGCTGTTCGGGCATCAAAGGCCTGTGGGATGACATATACATGGGCTAAGGCAAAGCCTCTGCATGATCTCCAGGCAGCTCCCTGTGTTAGACTGGAGGCCCAGGAGCGTCCAAGAGGCTCCTGGATTCTGAAAGTCCATAGTGGGAGCGTGGAGGGCTCATTTACTCCTTCCCTGTGTCAGGGAGCTTCTTCCCACTCTATGCAGATCCCAGATCAGCAAGCTGTCTGGCTTCATTCTGCTTTTTGTGATTCCTTTAACTTCTCTGATGAATTCCAGTGTCCTTTCAGGCTATCTCTTCAAACTGCGAGTATTTACTCATTATTTTGATTCATCTCCGTGGAAGAGACATCCACTAGCTGCTTCTAGTCATCCATCTTGAATAAGTACCACAATATTATATTCTTTAGGAAGGAATTAATGTGGTTTATAAAGACACATAAAATAAAGAAGGGAGCCCAATTTAAACTTGAGGCAAATTAATGGAAACAAAGCTGGCAGCCAAAAGAGTTGAACAAAAGTTGAAGCAAAAATACATGCTTATACTTGACACAGCCACTGGAGCAGACCACAAATATAGCTGTAAATTTTCCAGTAACTAAAAAAGGGACTTTTTCAAAAATCAATTTTGCAGTTTAAAATATTTTTGAGATTAAAAACCCACCAATTACTGATGGAATGGATAAGTATTTATGGTATTTGGATCTGACAGAAGTTTTTCCACAGAAAGTCGTCTTGAGATAAGTAACAACATGTGTTCTGAGGCTAATTTTAAAAGGCATATGAGTTACCTGCATCGTGTAAAAATACATTATTTGGGGATGAAGTAAAAGTTGTAATGTACCACTCATTTGAAACCTACCATGTTATTTTCTAAATTGTAAATCCTACCTCTCTAACATAAATAAGAGTACTATGGGGCAGGGAATGGGGGTCTGAGCCAGGATTTCATATCTCTTACTAATCCTAATACCTTGTAAATACCTTCAATACAGGACTATTTAGAAATGATTTGTTGATAAGGAGAATATTAAAGGCAGAGAAAAGAAGAAAGGGATCTACTCATGAACATGTTAGAGAAAATAGGTCCTTAACATTTTTCAGAGACAAAGTGCTATAAGAAGAAAGTGGGTGAGCGCTGTTAAGCTCAAATACTAGTAGTGATTTTAGAGTTGGCAAGTTTCTCTTTCTTTTTTCTCCAACTTGGAAAAAAATGTCTTCAATGCTGTGACTTTATAGGGCAAAATGTAGAAGCCTAATTGCCTTTAAAACACTGGGTTTTGTTTACTTTTAACTACAAATTATGTAAGTACCCATTGTAGAGAATTTGGAAAATATGGAAATGTACACAAAGGAAAATAACAAGCATCTAAAATTCTAAAACCTACAGATCTCCACTGATACCACTTTCAAAAGGTGACACTTCTTATATTCCAAGCTAATTTTTTTCTTTCTCTTTTTTTCTTCTTTTTTTTTTTTTTTTTTGAGACGGAGTCTTACTCTGTTGCCCAGGTTGGAGTGCAGTGGCGCATTCTCGGCTCACTGCAACCTCCACCTCCCAGGCTCAAGCGATTCTCCTGCCTCAGCCTCCCCAGTAGCTAGGAGTACAGGCATGCACCGTCACACCCGGCTAATTTTTGCATTTATTTTCTTTTAGTAGACATGGAGTTTCACCATGTTGGCCAGGCTGGTCTTGAACTCCTGGCCTCAGGTGATCCGCCCACCTCGGCCTCCCAAAGTGCTGGGATTACAGGTGTGAGCCACTGCATCCAGCCTAAACTTTCTTCTTAAAAAGATGTGGTAATTTATTCTTTCTAGTAGTGTTGAGGGTACTGCTTTAGTCAGACCAGTATTATCACATTTATGCATTCAATAAATTCAATAATATTATTCTTAAAATCTGTTGATTTGACAGGTGAAAGGATATCTTGCTTTAAACCTAATTTCCTTCATTAGAAAGGTTGGGCTTTTAGAAATTAATCATTTAGTATATGTACATTTTTTTAGATCTGTTGCAAATATTTTTGTATCCTTATTTGTTGTTTAACTTTTAAAACTTTTCAAACTATTGATGGACCTGTATACTACTTTAGATAATTCAACGCCAGAGTTTACCATCATACTACCAATAATATCATGTAATTATGCTGAGAAAAGTCTCAAACTCAATATGCATGTTATCTTGTAAGATTTACTCTAAAGAAATAGTTACATTAACAATTTGATGTTTACACTTTTGCATTGGTGACAGAATAACAAAAAATTTAGCTTATCATCTAACTTTCATTTAATTACTTATAAATAAACATTACTTCCTTGCTGTTTTGTTTGGCAAAATTAATAGCTTTCTTGTATTCCTTGAAAAAATTGTTATTCGTTTACCATCATCATTATGATGAAAATTTCAGCAGATAATTAATGACATTTTTGTGGTAATAAATATGATACTAAAAGAAACCATCTGGGAAAACTGCCACCATCCTCATTCAGCCATTTAAACTGAAATTATAATTTTAATAAGCCTTAAAATTATCCATTTGGCTGCAGAGGAAATAAACCGTACCTCACTTGCTATTCCTTTACGGCTGATGAACTCACTATTATGTAGGCAAGACGGAGCACATCATTTGTCTCTGGCATACAGATTGATGCATGTAGATTTCAAGGAGACTTGAAATAGATTTAAACTATTCAAAAGTATCAGTAAAACTGAAAGAAGAATCTTTTCTGATGTGTGACCCTTCTAATCAATTGGTGACACTTCTGATCTTTAGTGACACACAAAACACACACACACACACAATAAACATAAACCAAATAAAAAATATAATTTCTGAAGATATGAATTACTTTTTAAAGAAATTGAATAAGTCTTAGCCTTTGGGGAAAAAGCTAACATTGAAAATTATCTTCGTTTCTGAATTAACTCATTAATTATAATACATAATCTTATTTGCACCACTGACTCACTGTCTGACTTTGGACAAATCAAACAAACTCTTTGGGCTTTAGTTTTCTGATCTTTAAAATGAAAGCATCATATTAGATGATCTCTCAGATTCCTTGCTACTTTGGGATTGATCTACCACAAGGCCCTTTGTGGTCTGCAATGACCTAGTTTTATTATTCTGCTGTGGTACAGAGCGTCTACATGGGCACAGCTGAATGACACTAATTAGCAATTGGCATGGCAAGATTACCATTTTTTTTTTTAAATTTCTGTTGGCCTCTCACTGAAAGTTGAAAATTAAATTAATTTTTCACTGTAACTTTCTTAGAGGTGGGTAGGGTGGAAATTAACAAGATAATGAGACAAATGCATGTGTAAAGTGCCTGGGACTTTCTATGATGTAGGTATTCACTAAATGGTACCTATTATCATCATTAATAATGGCTACTTAGAGTGCTGAGGAAGCTTCCTGGTTATTCTTCAAATTCTCACATAGAATATATGAATCATTTCTTTATAAATTAACTGTTTGCTATGTTCAAATGTTGGACTATGCGCTTTAGATTGCTCTGGAAAAAAGATGAGGATAATGCTTATTCCTTCCACATATTTCTTTTGCCATACTTCATAATAACCGTTCACCAGCTGTTTATAAACAATATTTGTTTGTGTCAAAAAACTCAACATGGTATTTGAACTCCAAGATTTCCTGGATTTGTTTGAATGTTTGATGTGTTCAACATGTTTATGAAACATGAAGTCATCCATGTGGGTGCACATATTGAACAATTTTGTAGGTGAATTTATGCAATAGGTTAGTACTCTAGTGCCTATATAAATTAAGCAGTAAGATTACAGTCAGGAAATGCCAACTAGTTCTGGTTTTTCTTTCTTTCTTCTTAGAAGACTTGTCCAAAATTATTTCACAATCAATTTTAAAACTTTGAAGCTGCACTTCCATTTCATGTTTTGAAAGAAAGAAATTTAAAGTGCATTTCATTGAGTTAAAATAAATTACATTCTTCACATACTAGCTCACCAGGTAATCTTACATGGTCTTTCAGGGATTTTCCCAATGTGGATGAACATGTACACAGTTATAGATAAAGAATTTCACATAGGATGGGAAGAATAGATTACCATAGAAAAATGTAGCAGGTGTATTCTCAAGAACCCAGCATTGTTTTTCACTATCTTCTCCCCTGCTGTATTCCTGATCATTCTTTTGTGGGCTTTGAGAAGGAATTGTTTTATGACCAAGTGTCTTGGCCCATTGCAACATATCTGTAATTCCAGTGGTGGGCAGAAGCAATTTGGGCTAAGTGAAGAGTCACTAAAATAAATCCATCACAGATGATCAGTGTTGCTGTATTTGATGTCGTTGGTTGAAAGGTAGAGGATGGAAGAATAATTGAAAAACTAAGAGCTACAGCCTTCCATGAGAAAGTGTGTATGATGTAATCCCCAAAAGAAGCATACACATTTCTATTCCTTCCCCTCACCACAATCAATTTAGATGATTAATCATTGTATTTTCATTTTTAATTAGAAACTTTTAAATATTAATTATAAATGTAGCTTGTGAATGAGAAGAATGTCAGAATTGTATTCCTTATCCCACATCCATTCCAAGGCCAAACTTCAATTCCCAATAGAACTTTTTGTGGCCTCTTTTAACTAAATCCTTTTCTAATGATTTGAGTTTTGTGCATGGAAAGCACAGTAATACATTTCTATCCTTTGCAATAAATTTATCATAAACATCAAGAGTTTTAGAAACATGGACAGAAAATTGGATTTCGCGGGATTCTGTGGCTACTATCTTTAAAAAAAAATCAAATTAAACGAGTTACCTTAGAAAACAAAACTAATTCTTCAGCTCTATTCAACCTTACAGAGGCACACAAATACACACACTAGCAGAACATATAAAAGTCTTCAGCATTACCTTATATTTAATTTTTTAAATAAGTATTGGCCTTGCCCTTCCAAGAAATTTTTAAGATATTCTGCCTTGGCTGAGAATCTATATGACCTTTGTGCCACAGTGTGCTGAGGAATGCCATAACACTGTTAACATTGATCTTTTTTTCTGCAAATGTTCTATCAGCTTCCTTCTGAGGCTTTCTCTTGCTTGTGGGCAGGGTTAGGACAAGCTACTGTACTTGAAAATCTATACTGTTTGCTATCTATAGCAATTAATAAATGATTTTCCTCATTCAGTTGTTAGTCCTTATACCATTAATCAAAAAAGGCTAGATGTTCTGTTTGTTCTCCAATACAGTATAATAAATGATAGGACACATAAAAACAGAAAAGAAGAAATTTCATTTGATGGAATGAGAGAAACAGTATAGAGTTCCCAATCATTTCAAAATGATTCCTGGCCATAGATTTTAAAAGTGTTTCAATAACATTTTATGATATAACACACATGGAAATACAATAAATATCTCTTTAAGATTTTTCCTATTAGGCACTGTGTGAAAATTAAGAAACTTGTGTATTTTATCTCATTTCATTGTCAGCCAACCTACATTGACCAGCAGGGAAAACTATAGGTAAATTATAAGATAAGTAAGTATTTGTTTTATAACCTTTGATCTTCCCTGTTTATGCTTGTTACTGTCTTAGGTGTCTCTACCCCATCCACCCAGTATTTTATCCACCTTTTCCTTATCATAGATTTAGAATCTCACTTACCATATGTAGTTCCAACCAGATTTCCCTTGAAGTCCTGGATCCATTTCTTTAACATAAATTTAAATCTATTATGCATTAAGAATCCCGAGAGCCCAGTCATGAAGTCCCAGCATGAAGTTAAAATCAGGAAAGGGTCCATTAATGGGAAGCAAAATGAGAAATTTGCCGGCCAGATGTTAAAAGCTGAGTCTTTTCTAAATAGCTTCATTATTTACTTTCAAAGGTATATTTCTCAGAATGTCAGACACATTTTTAATCGGTGATTCTGCTCTTTGAAGGCAGGAACAGTGTCTGCTTTTCCTTTGCATACAGCATAATGCATTGTAGAAAGTGGGATTTCTAAAAATATTGTAAGTGTATGTTCATGAATCGATGCATAATTTTAAAAAATTAAAATTAATTTTAGTGTCATAAATATGCTATTTTTGGAATATGGACTATTTGAGTTACTTCTATTCTTCTTATTTTGTGAAAATATGATGAGGTGAATATATTTGTTAAACATATTTAAGCAGCTCCTTTGTTGCAGGAAAGTGCTAAGTACTAGAGACATTCTAAGGTATAAGCATTCGAGATACACCAGTATACCAGACAAATGTGGCTGCTGGCTTCATTGAATATACACGCTTTAAAAAAATTTTTTAAAAGGCAACACTGAAGACTAATTCACTTCTATAATCAAACATACACATTATTTTAACATCTAAAGTGTATTCGTGTCTATCTTTGAATTTCACTCTTTCTCTTTTATTTACCCTTTATATTTCTAGACTAATATGCACAGAAGATTTAAAATTTCTTTGCCTTTTTGGAACTATTAATATTACTTTACTATAGATATTTAATGCCACGTTTGTGCAACATAGTGAGACACCAGGGCTGCATGGCATTATACATTCTGTTTCCCTACTAGTCACCTTTTATCTGACATAATATAACTTTTTTTTCCTTGTGAAACCAATATTTATTGGGAGGAATATTTTACTTTTTCATATAGAGTGCAAAGAATCACTCTCCATTGTCCTAGTATTTTCTTCTCTATAATGATCCTTCTGGATAAAAGGAGAGACTTGTGCTTATTGATGTAACTCCACCCTTTTCTAAAAAATATATAATTTGCTGCCTTCCCTCTCAAAGACCTATGGTTAAAAACTATAAATGAGCTAATGTACCAGAAATTACTTTATAAACTAGGAAATACAGTGAATTTTCTGGTTATTACTCACTTGAAATTAACCCTGCCTTGAATCTGACCTAAGTATGAAGGGTTATGAAGCATATGCATTGCATAATCACATTTTTGTGAAATATTCATAGAGAGAGCAAGAGCGAGAGAAAACAGCCGGGGGTGATGGCTCACATCTGTAATCCCAGCACTTTGGGAGGCCGAGGCAGGTGGATCACTTTAGGCCAGGAGTTTGAGACCAGCCTGGCCAACATGGTGAAACCCCATCTCTACTAAAAATACAAAAATTAGCTGAGCATGGTGGTGCATGCTTGTAATCCCAGCTACTCTGCAGGCTGAGGCAGGAGAATTGCTTGAACCCTGGAGGCAGAGGTTGCAGTGAGCCGAGATTGAGCCACTGCACTCTAGCCTGGGTGACAGAACAAAACTGTGTCTCCAAAAAAAAAAAAAAAAAAAAAAAAAAGAGGGAGAGAAAGAGAAAAACAAGAAAAAGTGAAAAAGTGGGAGGACAAGATGAAGCAATAATTTAACAGTTTATTTCTAGTTGGTCAAATTAGAAAGACTTTTATTTTCTTCTTTATACTTTTCTGTATTTTCTAATTTTCAAAACTGAAAAAATATAGAAAAGAAAAGAAATGAACCTTCAGATATTTTTGCCTTTGCAGTCTCTGCAGACTCCAGTTGTTACGCCTGTTCAGATAGGTGGACACTTGCATTATGTTATTTGAAGATAGCTAGGGATGCCCCCTGTGTAAAAAAACACCACCCAAATAATATTTTATATTCATCTGCCTGTCAGTACTTTAAAATTCAAATGCTCTCGGACGGGGTCATTATGTCACAAAAATTTTTTTAATGGATCGCATTTTCAGATCATATTTTTTAGTAATATAAAAATGGACTGGAAATTTGTATGAAATAAGGCCCTTGTTAAATACATGCTTCTGGTTATTAATTAGCTTGGAAAATACCCTAAAATTCTCAGCTTTGGTTCCTTCCTCAAATGTATGAGATCAGTAAGATTCTCTCAGGCTCTAAAAGTTAGTACTGTAATCCTATGACTGTCCCAGAGTGCTGCACGTGTGATTCCTTTTCACAATCCATTCACTGTCAGTCACCTATTTGGCTTACCCACATCTGACATCTCCAGACCAGGTTCCTTGGAGTGAGAAAAAGTGGGGGAAGAGACAGAGAAGAGGGAATGAAATACCATTTCCATGTATGCCTCGCAATTCCATGAGAAATGACATTATTTTCAAGAAAAAAAAATTGGGAATCAGAGAACTAGTACATTGTTTTAAGTTAGTATGACTAACAACTAGCTGAGTTGGGGATAGAAACCTGGTGTGCCTGTGGCCGAAGTCCCTTACCTTCCTACCTCTCAGAAAAAATCATAACAGACATAATTCTGGCAGGAAGCTGCACCCAAGTCAGTTTTCTTTCCATGCTGCTGGGCCGTGTGTCAGTTGTAAAATTCCAGCCTGTGTCCTGCAGTTTCCATGGATCCCCTGACAGCTGCCTCTATTATCAGTAATTTTCACAATACTGTTGTTTTCTTTTTCATTTCCTTCAGATCTCCCAAGATGATGCCAAGTAGAGTATACAAAGACTGGTGTCCAAAAACTAGAATCTTAGAGATTCGGGATAATTAACTGCCTGGATACTTCCAGGAAAAAACATCTGCTAGAGTTTAGAATCAAGGTCTTACGTGACCAGGTATATATTTTGTAAATTTCTTTCTTGAGAACCTATTCCTTTATGCTTCTCCCAACCCCAGAAGTTCAACAAGTGTGAGCTTGACAAGGCAAAGCTGATAGTTTTATATCACAAAGAACTTGTGTTGTTTTTCAAGATGTGGATTTATGTTTTTGTTTTGTTTTGTGTAGTTGCAAGCAACAAAATCTGACCTGGCTACCATAAGGAAAAGGAGATTTATTGTAAGGCTATCATGTGTGTGTTGGGGTTGTGGTGGTGTTAGGGTAGGTAGGTCATAGACTCAACAAGAAGCTGAGGCCCAGGTTTAGAAACACCTGGGAATCAAGGGGGCTCTAGACCAATCAGCCACAAGAAGTACGGTGAGAGTCCCCTAGCAAGAGCAGTCAGTCTGACCAGCCTAGCATCCCACACGGCTCCTAAAAAAAAAAAAAAAAAAAAAACCCACCTCCAACAGTCCTATGTCCTTGCACCATTCACTCAAGATTCAAAGTCCCAAAGAGTGGGACTTTGAGTTGAGCAAACTTAACTCAGCAGGCAGAGAGAAGACAGATTAGTCCCTTAGGATTTTAGCATGAAACTAACAATATGGTATCTTCATGATTAGCCCCAGTTGGGAATTTCAAAGTAGAGTTCAAAGGTGCAACTATGGATCCTGGACAGATAAAAATAAAAAATTATACATTGTTCTCTATAGATAGTTTAACAAGACAAATAGGTTATAGACAAATGCTGAAGAAGGGATTCTAGTTTTATTTTGTTCTCATTTTTCTGTAGAATTAAATTTTTTATTTTACTTGTTCTGTGCAAAAAAGACTCTTAGAAATTGTCAGAGAACTACAGAGCTGGTTCTTCTTCGGATTGCAGTAGGTACAAATCCCTAGTGATTTATGAAATGATCTGAAACAAAGCAGTCTCAGATTTACATACAGGTAGATGCAATTACGACTTGAGAATGACTAGATTTTATTTTGCTTAAGTAGAACAGTGACATCTAGTGCCTGCAAAATTATGTCACTGGATCTGAAGGAAGATAAGAATAGACATGTTTTTAGGTTGATTAGAGAGAAATGAGGGATCATATATTAGTTATATCTGCAGGATTGGTCTCTTATAATACCCCTTTTAGGTTCCCACGAGTGCCACATTAGTGACTGCAACTCTTTCCTAGCTGTTCTCCTTAACTCTGGCCTCGCTGCATGCCGATATGTTATTCCTGTTTACAATTTTTCAAGGGATTATTATATTCTATTTTCCCCAACAGTTCTGTTTCTCATTATTTCCCAAAACGTATGCTCAGTTTTTGTCAAACACGATTTCTTCACTTTCAAAAGCAAATCAGACCATTTTTATCTCATTGTCAATGATTAATAAAGTTTTTGATAGATGTCTTGAAATTTTGGCTTTGTATAATTTTTGAATGTTTTTTGCATAAATGTTGATAGTTTTTAGAATTTTGGGTTTTGATAGGTTTATTGTAATTTTTGTTTCTATATTATAATAAATCAAGTATTCCATGAGATAAAAAATAGTCATGTGACATTTATGTTTACTTAAAAATACTATTTAGGTGAAACAAAATTCTAATTTGCCTAATATTTAATCTATTTATGTAATAAATTCATTTAATATTTATATAAAATATTATATCACGAATTATCTGTAAAAGATACAACTAGAATAGATTATTGAAGATAATTAACACAAGGCCTTAATTTACAGGTGAGGACATGAGAGCTTAGATAAATTGAATAATATGTATATATATGTAACATTAAATATACATACTGAGAATATATTTAAAAATAAATTAAGGCTGTTTACAAAACTTTATGCAATATAAAATACATTTTGTTAGTCATGAGATAACATTGAAATATTTTATATGTTTATATGTTTATTTACATATAAAATGTTCCAGATTTAAAAATCATTGCATCTGATTGCTTTCATTTGATCTTTATACCAATGCTGCAAAGTGATTTTATGCCCATTTTATAAATTTATTTTTAATGTACTTATTAAACATTGTTTATGTTTCTGGCATTCTGTTATGTGCTGGGAATACAAAGGTATCAGTTGGCTCTATCTTTTAACATCTTTTACATTATTTTTTTTCCCCCATTTGTTATAGTAGGAGAAACTGAAGCTGACGAAGTTAAGTCATAAGATGAAAATCACACAATACTAGGCAGAGATCCAGCAAGGGAACCAAAATCTTTAGTCTCAAAGTCCAGTATTATTTCCATATTATTTTTGCTATTTTTGTTTTAATTTATTCAGAGTTATCCAATGACAATACAAATAAACTTGGAAGGAAAGAATAGTTCTCATTCGTGAGAAAATGATTTTCCTATTTAATTTCCTGAAACAGAATATAAAAGTAACTTAGCTTTATCATTTTTAAACTTAGGCTAATTTATCAATGTTTAATGGGAGATAGGTTATCATTTTCCCCCAAGAAATATAATTTGTAGTCTAGTGAACACTATTCTGGTTATTAAGTAGAGAGATTTGTGCTTTCTTGGGTAACTCTTTTATTCCTCCAATACCATATTACCATTCCTTCCCAAAATTATCTGTCTTATAAACCACAGTTAGTTCATTAGCTGCTACTATTGTTTTCCCTTAGTTATTTCTTTTCATTTCTCCTTCTTTATATTGTATGGTCTACATTATACTACTCAGTGTTACTCAATGCTTTGTGCTCTGTGCACCATAGGCACCTACAACATCAAGAAGAGAAAATTTTGCAAAAATAAAAGATTCAAAAGGCAATCACCTACTTTAAAATAACAATTGCAACATTTTTGATCCCTAATTTTTTTTTTGTAATATACATGTAAAAAAGTTATCACTTTCTTAAAAGAGATATGATTTCACAGTTTAAGGGTCCAGTAATTTCAATGAAAAGTAGTGAATGGATTATGCAATCAAAACCCTTTTCTAGGCCAGATGTGGTGGCACTCATCTGTAATCTTGGCATTTTGGGAGTTGGAGGTGGGAGGATCCCTGGAGGCCAGGAGTTCATGACCAGCCTGGGTAACATAGTGAGACCCTATCTCCAAAAAGAACCCCAGAAATTTTCTGTAATTAAAATGGGAGGACTTTTCTTCTAGACCCCTCATTACTATTAGATTAGAATTGTTAAATGTGTATTTTTGAAGGCAAGATAGCAAATTTAACTAATGAGGATACAAAGAGAATCCCTAATTCAGCACAAAGACAGAACCCAAAAAGTTCATATGGTATGCTGGGAGATAAGGGATACTCTAGATATAAATGCCAAGATGAATCAAGTTTCACAAAAGATGCGTCAGGTTTATTTGAACCAGGAGTGGCTGAGTAAGCAGCTGAACCTGTTGGTTGATTTGTTGGTTGGTTTCTGTCCAAGAAACTCAACAATTATGTCAAAGCAAAATTGTGTTTTTTGGCAAGTGTATAAACTTTCATATAGAAATCACCATAAGTATGTATTTCTACATTCTAGCCACCATCCCTGTGTCTTCTCTCCATTGCTGCTTCTGTCACCCTGGATTGTATTCCTGTTGGTCTGTTACAACAGCTTCCAAATTGACTTCTTTCCTTTAAATTCAGCTTTCCAATCCAATTTACATACTGCTGCTAATTTCAACTTTCTTAAGCATTGTTTTAGTAATTTCATTTCTTGCCTCTGTAAGTAAAATCTCTGTTAAGAGCTAACAAGTTAAATATTTCTTAAACTTTAAGTTATATTTTGCAGCTATTTTATCTCCTTAATTCGAAAGACATATTGGAGTTATCATTTTTTATAGCTAAAATTGACAATTGTAACACTTAACAATTGTTCCTAAGATTTTCTAGATTTGTTTTGTTAATGGTACAGTACAAAATGCAGGGGTCTAATTTACCTTTCTGTCTGCCCAGGATGCCTGGCTCTCTTGGATACAGGCAACACCCAATAAATGCTGATTTAAATTAAACAAAAAAAGCCAGTAGTCCTGGGTGTGGTGGCTCATGCCTGTAATCCCAGCACTTTGGGAGGCCGAGAGAGGAAGATCTCTTGAGTTCAGGAGTTCAAGACCAGCTGGCCAACAGGGTGAAACCTTGTCTCTACTAAAAATATAAAAATTAGCCAGACTTGGTGGTGTGTGCCTGTAATCCCAGCTACTTGGGAGGCTGAGGCAGGAGAATCGCTTGGAAGTTGAGTTTGCAGTGAGTCGAGATCACGCTACTGCACTCCAGCCTGGACAATGGAGCAAAATCTGTCAAAAAAAAAGAAAAGAAAAAAAAAAGCAAGTGGGATCTGAACACTTTGAGTTGTAAATCCCCCTCGAGGCAATGGTTACATAGCAAACAACCATGGTACCTTAGACATGGGTTCAGGGTACCTTGAGGGAGGAGGGAGTTAGACGCCTCTGATTTAAAGGGTAATAAAAGGAATAGGTGAGAGAATAAAGTGTTCTTGTCCTGCTCTTTCCCATACCACTGAGTCAAGTCCCTTTTTTCAAAAATCTTAGAATGGGGAACTTCAAATAGGAGAAATTTATTTCGGTATAATGAAAACATGAACATATTAAGTGAGGTTTATGAATACACACTCTACTTGGTATTATGGAATCAATAAAATGAAAACAAGAGCTTACAATTTAGAGCAGTAGCCATATTTTATCTATAGTATATTTGTAGTGTGTGTGTACCTGTATATTTAGGAAAAAAAATCTATATTTCTCTATCAGCCTATGTTGTGGCTGAAAGTTAGCTTCCAACTTACAAAGGTAATGAAGAAAAAGTAATTCTCACCAAAGGGTTGGTGGAAATCCTCTTTTCTTTGAAATTGTATCTCTCATATATTGTGTGGCGCTATATATATATATATATATATGTATATATATATGTATATATATATGTGTATATATATATGTATATATATGTATATATATGTATATATATATATGTGTATATATATATATGTATATATATATATATGGCACAATATAATTTGAAGTCTTACATTTTATGGGACAATTTTAAAGAGGGAGGTGAATAGGATTGGTAAAAGCAGTCAGTAGGTAGATGCTATATACATGAAAAGTGATTATCTACTCCAGTGGTTTGTATTGTTTTAAATAGGTGACCACTTATCATAATGCCTACTTTGTGACAGAGAACAGTTTCATATATATACAGGAAGAGAAAGAGAAAGTCAGGGAATCTAACAATCCTACAAGGACTACCCTAACCACATTTTAAGCTAGGAAATTGAGATATTGAGAATAGAGAGGTTTGGTCAATTTCCACAAGTTATACATTTGGTAAGAGGGGAAGTCAAAATTAGAATCTGGACGGCCAGTTTCCAGATTTTTCTTTTTTGTTTTTTTTGGAGACGGAGTCCCACTCTGTCGCCTAGGCTGGAGTGCAGTGGCACAATCTCAGTTCACTGCAACCTGTGCCTCCCAGGTTCAAGCAATTCTCCTGCCTCAGCCTCCTGAGCAGCTGGGATTACAGGCGCATGCTGCCACGCTCAGCTAATTTTTTGTATTTTAGTAGAGACAGGGTTTCACTGTGTTGCTCAGGCTTGTCGCGAACTCCTGAACTCAGGCAATCTGCCTGCCTCGGTCTCCCAAAGTGCTCCAGAGGCTACACTCCCTTTCAAAAACGAAATGAATTTTCCCATGGAATTGCATTGTGTTAGGAAGAAAGGATTAACATGAACAGGATGCTAAGAACTTTGCATGTATTTGTACATTCTAGCCACCATCCCTGTGTCTTCTCTCCATTGCTGCTTCTGTCACCCTGGATTGTATTACTGTTGGTCTATTACAATAGCTTCCAAATTGACTTCTTTCCTTTCAATTCAGCCTTCCAATCCAATCTACATACTGCTGCTAATTTCAACTTTCTTAAGCATTGTTTTAGTAATTTCATTTCATGCCTCTGTTAACAACCCCTCAGTGGTTCCCATTTCCTACTCTATTAAGGATAATATCCTAAATGCAGGAAAACTTTCCGCAATCTGATCCCAAATCCTGTGCTGCTGCTTCTTATGGTACTTCCAGATATAGTCTCTGTTGTGTCCCACACAGGGTACCTTGATGGTTACTGGACCAAATTCAGCCCATATATTTGTTTCACTACATGTTGATTTTTAAAGACAAATTTCCAACATTAACAAAGGATGTTCGGCATAAAAATCCTGATTTCCAGCCCTCATGTAAAATTGAAGGTCATCCAAGGTTCATGCTGTTGATAAATCCTGCTCTTTTTGCCTTCAACAGATGTACTCACTTCCTCCTTTGAACACTTAATTAACTTATTAGTTTCTCCCTTAGGGTATTTATCATAGTCTATCTTTGGTTAGTCACTTGTTTATCCCACTACAGAATTGTAATCTATTTTGGAAGTAGAAGATATTTTATATTTTTCAGTGTTTCCCTTATCGCACCATGAATACCCACTGCCTCTCTGGGTTCCTGGTAGATTCAGTTTGAAATAATGGTTATTTACTATTTAATTTCTTTCTATGTCCTGTGTTGAGCAAAACTTAAGAACATCTGAGCACTAGTACTTTTCATTCCCTTTGCAGTTTGGTGTTATAGATTGTGGACTTCAGAACAAGAGATCGATTATTATAGCCACTGTCCTGCTAGCTATGGCCTCAAAATACATGATTCAACGAGCATCACCTACATGATGGACTATTTACAGTACTGCTATGGTTAAATGTGGTAATTGAATCAACATTTTTGTGGGGGAAAATTAAAGGAGATTTAAGGAGAAAACTTGTATTTATAAGAAAGACCTTCTTGAGACACATATTATAAGGAACACTTGGGCTTTGTCAGTACTTAGTGGGTTGTTTGACAAATAGTCAAGACCACGATAACCATTTAAAATATATAAAATGATATCATAAAAGGTAGTAGCTGCATGTTAAAAATAGATTTAGGATCTTGGGAAGAATACCAAAGGCTTTTTTATTCAGTATAATTTAGAGACATTAAAATGAAATATTCACACTGGGATTTTGAAGAGGATAAGAAAAGAAGCTATTTCTTTAAGAGGCACAATATAACAATAACAAGAAAGTACTACCCAGTTATATACCCTTGTTATATAAAATAACAAGGAAATACTACCCTGTACTTGCTCTCTGCTCATGAAACTTAAATCTATTTCATGGGGACTTGAGTGACAGGAGTGAAGATAACTTCCAACAATGTGCAGGTAAGGGAAGAGATAGGAATTGGAAACAGGTCAGGAAATATATTGTCCTTATGAGGTGTGTTTCCGAAACTAAGTTGATGAAGTTTGCTTATGCGTTCCTTTGATCAGGGAGGAAAGGATCAACTGATCTTTCACTCTCTCCCTTCCTTTCTTCCTTTCTCCCTTTCTTCCTTCATCAATCTTCCTCTCTCCCTAATTTTTTCCTAAATAAACTATAAGAAAAAGAGAAATCTTGAAGGAAAATCACAAAGCATGTTAATTTAACCTAACATCGTGTATAGGATTTTTAGTTTGCAGTTCTTGAATTGGCAGTGGCTTTGATATAGGAAATCATTTGAGGTGGCATTATTTGTATTTATTGAATGCTTATTAAGTGTCAGGCCATGTTCTTAGTGCTATATATGAGTTAGTGGAAAACACACTGATCTTGCACTTTCCCTTTGCCAGATAGGCTTCTACAGTGTCACAGATAATAACTCATTTACACCTCATAGCAACTCTATGAGGTAGGTTTGTTATTATCATGCTCATTTTATATATTAAAAAAATGAAGCACAGGGAGATTGAGAATATGGACAAATTCATACCAGTAGGTACCAGAACCAGGATTCACACCCAGGCAACCAGGCAAAGGATGCCTCGCTTTTAACCACTCTGTTACGTTGCTATCTCTGATAAACCTTGACTCATGTAGGTTACAGTTATTATTCCAAATTTCAAATGAAAAAATCAAGGCCCAGAGAGCTTAAATAATTTGCAGAATATTTCACATTTATTAAGATGTGCTTTGCACTGAACTTACTGTCAAAAGATGAGATTTGCATGCCTACTGTACCACTTGCTAGCTTTGTTAATTAACTTCTTTCAACTTTAGCAATCAGTAATAATACATAATTCATAAGATATGTGTCTTAAATACAATGATCACTTGATAACCTGTGGGTAGCACAGAAATCTTACCGTAAGAAAGTATTGTAAGTCACATGGCCCAAGATACATAGGCAAGTGCAGGAATTCACCACTATCATTGGCAAAAGGTTAACATTTAGTTTTCATCAAAATTATAATGTGTAGGACTTGAAAAAGAAAAATGATTAACAGTTATTCAACCATGATTTGAAAATGGTCTTTCAAAATATGATAGAATACATAAAGAAAAACAAAGGTGATTGATTCAAATACATAAAATTTAAGTTGCATAATTTGTTATGTATATTTGTGTGTATACATTTAAAAGCTGAGAAAATGTTAACAACATATATGAGAAATCAGTAAAACACAAACATCAAAAAAATCAAAGATTATATAAAAAGGATGTTTTAAAAATACCAATAAGAATATGAAAAAATGTCCAACTTTATTAGTAATCAAATTAAATGTAAGCATATAATTCATCTCAAATTTTAAAAAATAGTTAAAATATGTTAATATATAGCATTGGCATAGTAGAGTAGAAATGAGGGCTTCCAGGTATGGCTGGTAGGTATAATATTAATATGTATTTCCAAAAAAAACACATTAGCAGATCATATCAAAGTCTTCAAAATATGCATGTGTTTGACTCAGCAATTCTACTGCTAGGAATATATCTGATAGTATAATTTGCGCAAAGATTTAGTTACAAGAATGATCATACCAGCACTGTCTATAATATCAGCTCCCATTAGTTCAAGTTCTTTGGTTATGCTTCAAATAAACCAATCTTGACTACATTAAGCAGGAAATAAATATATTTGAAAGATATTGAGAAGTTTGCAGCATTGACAGGAAGGCTAATGAACCTGGCACGGAAAGAAAAACAAGGTATCACTGGGAGTTGAGTAGCAGAAACAACTCAGTCTTATCAAGGCCCTACAGCTGCTAGAATAAACACACTACAGTAAGATATTTTATTCTGTTTTCCTATTGTGATACTAAAAATGTAAAAGAACAAAAACCAAAAAAACTCTCTGATTCAGAGGTTGTATGGGCAGGACTCTTCATTTATACTCTCAATAAGCTTATAAAACTTGGGGGAGAAGAAATTATACAAAAGACAATATGCGGGCTGTTACAAAAAGAAGACAGAGTTGATGGGTGATAGCCAAAAGGCAAGTATCCATTTCACATACTTAATATCTAAGGACCTGAGGTCATGGTTAAATATATGATGATAGTCCATACAATGGAATTATGTTGAAAACAATACTGTAAGTATTATTCATTAACAGAAAAATATATATTTGGGGACAGGTTAGAATATTGCTTGTGGAAACGAACAAAGACCCTCTTCCTGCATATTTCTCCTCTTTCTAGTTCTCCGTGAAGAGGTCCTTCACATCCCTTCTAAGTGTGATTCCTAGGTATTTTATTCTCTTTGAAGCAATGTGAATGGGAGTTCACTCAGGATTTAGTTCTCTGTTTGTCTGTTATTGGTGTATAAGAATGCTTGTGATTTTTTCACATTGATTTTGTATACTGAGACTTTGCTGAAGTTGCTTATCAGCTTAAGGAGATTTTGGGCTGAGACGATGGGGTTTTCTAAATATACAGTCATGTCATCTTCAAACAGGGACAATTTGACTTCCTCTTTTCCTAACTGAATACCTTTTATTTCTTTCTCCTGCCTGATTGCCTTGACCAGAACTTCCAACACTATGTTGAATAGGAGTGGTGAGAGAGGGCATCCCTGTCTTGTGCCAGTTTTCAAAGGCAATGCTTCCATCTTTTGCCTATTCAGTATGATATTGGCTGTGGGTTTGTCATAAATAGCTCTTACTATTTTGAGATACATCCCATCGATACCTAAATTATTGAGAGTTTTTAGCATGAAGGGCTGTTTTCTGCATCTATTGAGATAATCATGTGCTTTTTGTCTTTGGTTCTATTTATATGCTGGATTATGTTTATTGATTTGCATATGTTGAACCAGCCTTGCATCCCAGGGATGAAACCCACTTGATCATGGTGGATAAGCTTTTTGATGTGCTTCTGGATTCGGTTTGCCAGTATTTTATTAAGGATTTTTGCATCAATGTTCATCAGGGATATTGGCCTAAAATTCTCTTTTTTTGTTGTGTCTCTGCCAGGCTTTGGTATCAGGATGATGCTGGCCTCATAAAATGAGTTCAGGAGGATTCCCTCTTTTTCTATTGATTGGAGTAGTTTCAGAAGGAATGGTACCAGCTCCTCCTTGTACCTCTGGTAGAATTCGACTGTAAATCCATCTGGTCCTGGACTTCTTTTGGTTGGTAGGCTATTAATTATTTTTGTGGACATGGGGTCTCCAGGCTGGTCTCAAACTCCTGACCTCAGATGATTCTGTCACCTCAGCCTCACAAATCACTGCCATTACAGGCATAAGCCACCGTGCCTGGCTGTTATTTTTATTTTTTGTAGGGATGGGGTCTTGCTATGTAGTCCCAGCTGGTCTTGAACTTCTGACCCTCAAGCACTCCTCCCACCTCAGCCTCCCAAGTAGCTGGGATTATAGGTGCAGCCAGGTTCCAAGATGGCCGAATAGGAACAGCTCCAGTCTACAGCTCCCAGCATGAGCGACGCAGAAGACGGGTGATTTCTGCATTTCCAACTGAGGAACACAGCTCCTTGCCAGCAATGGAACAAAGCTGGATGGAGAATGACTTTGACAAGTTAAGAGGAGAAGGCTTCAGACGATCAAACTTCTCCGAGCTAAAGGAGGAAGTTCGAACCCATCGCAAAGAAGCTAAAAACCTTGAAGAAAGATTAGACGAATGGCTAACTAGAATAACCAGTGTAAAGAAGTCCTTAAATGAGCTGATGGAGCTGAAAACCATGGCACGAGGACTACGTGATGAATGCACAAGCTTCAGTAGCCAATTCAATCAACTGGAAGAAAAGGTATCAGTGATTGAAGATCGAATGAATGAAATGAAGTGAGAAGAGAAGTTTAGAGAAAAAAGAGTAAAAAGAAATGAACAAAGCCTCCAAGAAATATGGGACTATATGAAAAGACCAAATCTACATCTGATTGGTGTACCTGAAAGTGATGGGGAGAATGGAACCAAGTTGGAAAACAGTCTGCAGGATATTATCCAGGAGAACTTCCCCAACCTAGCAAGGCAGGCCAACATTCAAATTCAGGAAATACAGAGAATGCCACAAAGATACTCCTCGAGAAGAGCAACTCCAAGACACATAATTGTCAGATTCATCAAAATTGAAATAAAGGAAAAAATGTTAAGGGCAGCCAGAGAGACAGATCGGGTTACGCACAAAGGGAAGCCCATCAGACTAACAGTGGATCTCTCAGCAGAAACTCTCCAAGCCAGAAGAGAGTGGGGGTCAATATTCAACATTCTTAAAGAAAAGAATTTTCAACCCAGAATTTCATATCCAGCCAAACTAAGCTTCATAAGTGAAGGAGAAATAAAATCCTTTACAGACAAGCAAATGCTGAGAGATTTTGTCACCACCAGGCCTGCCCTACAAGAGTTCCTGAAGGAAGCACTAAGCATGGAAAGGAACAACCAGTACCAGCCACTACAAAAACATACCAAATTGTAAAGACCATCGATGCTAGGAAGAAACTTCATCAACTAACGAGCAAAATTAACCAGCTAACATCATAATGATGGAATCAAATTCACACATAACAATATTAACATTAAATGTAAATGGCCTAACTGCTGCAATTAAAAGACACAGACTGTCAAACTGGCAAATAAAGAGTCAAGACCCATCAGTGTGCTGTATTCAGGAAACCCATCTCACATGCAGAGACACACATAGGCTCAAAATAAAGGGATGGCGGAAGATCTACCAAACAAATGGAAAACAAAAAAGGCAGGGGTTGCAATCCTAGCCTCTGATAAAACAGACTTTAAATCAACAAAGATCAAAAGAGACAAAGAAGGCCATTACATAATGGTAAAGGGATCAATTCAACAAGAAGAGCTAACTATCCTAAATATATATGCACCCAATACAGGAGCACCCAGATTCATAAAGCAAGTCCTTAGAGGCCTACAAAGAGATTTAGACTCCCACACAATAATAATGGGAGATTTTACATCCCACTGTCAACATTAGACAGATCAATGAGACAGAAAGTTAACAAGGATATCCAGGAATTGAACTCAGCTCTGCACCAAGCGGACCTAATAGACATCTACAGAACTCTCCACCCCAAATCAACAGAATATACATTCTTCTCAGCACATCACACTTATTCCGAAATTGACCACATAGTTGGAAGTAAAGCACTCCTCAGCAAATGTAAAAGAACAGAAATTGTAACAAACTGTCTCTCAGACCACAGTGCAATCAAACTAGAACTCAGGATTAAGAAACTCACTCAAAACCACTCAACTACATGGAAATTGAACAACCTGCTCCTCAATGACTACTGGGTACATAAAGAAATGAAGGCAGAATAAAGATGTTCTTTGAAACCAAGGAGGACAAAGACACAACCAGAATCGCTGGGACACATTTAAAGCAGTGTGTAGAGGGAAATTTATAGCACTAAATGCCCACAAGAAAAAGCAGGAAAGATCTAAAATTGAAACCCTAACATCACAATTAAAAGAACTAGAGAAGCAAGAGCAAACACATTAAAGCTAGCAGAAGGCAAGAAATAACTAAGATCAGAGCAAAACTGAAGGAGATAGAGACACAAAAGAAACCTTCAAAAAATCAATGAATCCAGGAGCTGGTTTTTTGAAAAGATCAACAAAATTGATAGACCGCTAGCAAGACTAATAAAGAAGAAAAGAGAGAAGAATAAAATAGACACAATAAAAAATGATAAAGGGGATATCACCACCAATCCCACAGAAATACAAACTACCTTCAGAGAATACTATAACACCTCTACACAAATAAACTAGAAAATCTAGAAGAAATGGATAAATTCCTGGACACATACACCATCCGAAGAATAATATGCATCTTAATTCATGTAGTGGCCATTCAGAAGAGTGAGACAAGTGGACAATGAAGGACAAGTGGAGACAGTAAAGAGTTGAGGAGGGAAGATAAAGATCAACACCTCAAAGCCCAATCCTCTATTTTCTGCCCTGTTGATAAATTGTCTTTCATTCAGCATCTAGCCCTCACAAAATCCCTGGATCTTAAGAAATTTACTCTTTTTAAATATTAAAATATTTTAAGGTATATAAAGTACAAAAGTATCCAAACACCTTACTCAATAAAATCAATATTATTTATTTGTAAGAAGAATTTATATTTGAAAAGTATAATGCTTTATAACCATAAATGCTATTTTTCCTAGTTTACTTTTTTTTTTTTTTTTTTTAACTTCACATACTGGGTCTTTTGTCATAGGAAAGTCTTAAAAGTCTTATTTTTTCAAATCTGGCATTTCTCTACTTTATGATTTCTAGCTCTGGTGTCATGATTGGAAAAAAAATTTAATCCTAGAATGGCAAAAATAGTATATGTCTTATTCTATTATTTTAAAGATTTAAAACTTTTTATCTTTGAATCTTTGTGGAATTTATTATGTTGAAAGGTAGTACTTTAAATCTTTTTTATATGAATATTCCAAGTCCTGATAGCATATGCAATATTCAATGATTTGTCCTTTCCTCATAGTTTTTGACTCTCCACTTTGTTTTTTTGTCATATTTTTACATTATTGTCCTATTGCTACTTTTAATAACTATTTTAATATGATGTAATATACTTGGACAAATCTGTTAATAATGCTATTATAATTTAATGATGTCTTCTTTTCAACTTTTAGCAAAGCTTTAGTGTTCTTCTTATAGACTCTTTCAGATTGCTTATTCATTCCCAGGCTTCGTATATTGCTGATTCATTGCTACTGTGATAGCAACTTTTATATTCTGTATTTTAACTTGTTATTACTGATATTAGGAAAACATTTACATGCAAACACATATGTATGGGATTTTGTATGTTGATTAATTGATTTTGAATATCTAATTAGACTTTCTTATTGCTTCAGAAAGGTTTTCAGTTCATTTTTGGAATTTCTCAATAAAAAATATGTCCAAAACAATAATAGTTTTGTCCCATCCTTTACAAAATATTCCTTTTGGGTTTTTTTTCTTTTCTTATTATATTGTTTAGAATCCTCAAAATAATTTTATTGCCACAAAAATATTTTTGTAATACCTGATATGCTTCTCTTATTCTTTAATAATTTTGTATTAATATAATGCCTTTAATGCATTAATACTAAATATTAATCAGTATAACTTTATTATTATTGAGAATGATCATTGTTAATCATATTAAGGCAATTTTCTTCTATTCTTACTTTACCACAAGATTTTCCAAAAAGTCAAGAACAAATATTAAATTTCTATTAATATCCCAATAATTCAGTGAATCAAAGAAAACGATTGAAATGGATTGCCAAAAAGATTTAAATGTTTTAAATTTCCTTTGCTGTGCTTCTTTAGAAGATTATTTTACTCTCCAGACAGCAGCTTTGACTAAAGTTTATGAAGTTACCACACGTAGATTCTCAGTATGCTAGAACAGATAGTTTGCTCTCACATGTACAAGCATAGCAAATTTGCCTAACAAGAGTTTTAGGGTCGACGTATTTTTGTTTGGGTCTCTAAAGATCCCTCCCACTATCCTCTCTTTTCCATTGCAGCATTATTCAAAAGAGCCAAGATATGGAAGCAACTGAAGTGCTCATCAACAGGTGAGTGGATTTTTAACAAGTAGTATATGTACATGATGGAATATTATTTGGCCTTAGAAATGAAAGAAATTCTGTCATTTGTGACCACATGGATGAATCTAGAGGACATTATGCTATGTGAAATAAGCCAGGCACAGAAAGACAAATATCACATGATCTCACTTCTGTGTGGAATCTAAAAAAGTCAAACTCTTAGAGAAGTAGAAAACAGAATAGTGGTTACGAGAAGCAGAGGGGAGGGGAGGAGAGTGCATGGTGAAAGAGATGTTGGTCAAAGGTACAAAGATTAGTTAGACATGAGAAATAAGTTCTGGTGATCTGTACAGCATGGTGACTATAGTGAATAATGTACTGTAGATTTCAAAATTACTATAAAAGAATGGATTTTTAATATTCTCACTATAGGGAAATGATAAGTGTGTGAGGTGATGGATGTATTAGCCTGATTCCATCCTTCCACAAATGCAGACATGTATCAAAAGATCACATTGTACTCCATAAATATGTATATTTATTATTTGTCAACCAAAAAGAAAATAAAAAAATTTAACAACACAATATTTCTGCTTTGTAACCAGTTGAATAAGCTGTATAATATTTTATTATCTTTCTGGTGGCTTATTTGGTGTAGGATTGAAGCAATAGGGCTTGGACATCTAATCATTCAGTCCCATCCTCATTAGTAAACAAATCAAGCACAATGGCTTTGGTTGGAGAAGGTTCACAGGTATGTGTCTGCCTGTGACCAGGTGTTAGAAGCATCGTTTCTGGTACTTCTTGTTCTCTGATAGTTAAAAATGAAACAAAAAAAAAATCATAATGGCTCAAGTTTAAGAAATACTCTTTTATCTCTCTTCCTAGATTCTTTAAGTCCTGTGTTAAATAGTTTCTAAAAGGGAATTCATGCTGAATTGCTGTCTCATAATTATAATAGATACACATTCTCAAATCTGTTTTTTTCATTTTAAGGGTAGATTTCTCAAAACCCATACACATATAGCTTTAGGAATGCCTGGTGTACAGCAGCCCACTTAAGAATTTGGCTCATTACGTCACAATGTAATGATGAACAATGTTGCATTTTACCCACTAATTGTTCATAAGTGTTAATCATTCCAACTAGATTTTTGTTTATAAACCTAAGCCATTGTGAAGACTCAGTAAAAGCAGATTCCCTGTAATACCTAGGAATGCAGAGCAGAGAACAGTTGCCCAGAGACAAGAATTACAGATTTTTAACGATCCCCAAGGGGTTTTAGAGATTATCTTCATCCTTTCATGTTATAGATGAAGATGGATGGCCTTACTCATTAATTATGCTCTAAATAGGAATTTTGCTTCAAATGTCTTTTCTTATTCAAATGCTAATGTCAATAATTGAAAATTGTCAAAGATTATCAAATATACATAACAATTGATATACCAACAGATTATTATGATTTACTGATGGACAGTGATTCTCCTCACATGTCATGTAGAACAATATAGGAAAATTGGTTCTTATAGATCAAATAGTAATAATCATAGAAGGCTTTTCTTTGCTTTAACTTTCAGTGTATAACTTTCAGTGAAAATAAACCAGATAAGAGTCATTTCACTATTTACTCTAAAACCTGTTTTCTATATAAACTTCAGAAAAAACTTGCCTCTGTCACTTTAAAGATTCATATTTGGAAAGATGTATTTGGTTTCATGTTACGAAAAGGTATTAGGTTACCTTTTTGAATTATCAAAGTGATTTATTTATAAAATTAAATTGACATAGTATAACAAATTTTTCTTCTAGAAACGAAATTTCAATTTGTAAAAAAAAGATGGAATAGCATTTTCCATTTCCTATTAATCTAAAAAATCTGCATTTAGAATCCTAAATTCATTTTTTGGTCTCTTATTACTGATCCTTCTGATTTCTCAATAAACCTAAAATATAAACCTTATGTGGAGGAAAGCAAAGGAGGTCATATTTTGGGCCTTAAAATGGAAAGTTGGGAACAAATCAAAGTTTTCTCATTAAAATTAAGTCTACATTAGAAGGGTTGCCTACAAAATAAGAATAGAACCCTATATAGCCATTGCAGGAAAACAAAAGAAGGGATTTGTTTATAATAATGATAAAATTTGTTACAAAAACAGAAAAATGCAAATAGAAGTTACCTACAGTTAACATGAAAAAAAATTGACAGGGTGGATGGGTATCATCAACAAGGCCATTATCACCAGCAGTTATTAATTGGGGAAATAAAGCTACACATATGGTGATTTTATCTTACCAAGTCTTGCAACCCAGTTGCAAGAGAGTTCCAACCCAGTTGGAAAGAGAGAACTTACATGTAAATAACAGAAGAAATAATGATTTCTAAGTTAAGCAAATTATTCTGTAGTCCTTTTTTCTAAACTATGTGTTGCTGCAACCAAATAATTTTTCCTTCATCTAACAACAATATTAAAATGTCTACTGAATTGTTTTACCTGAAGACCTTGTTTCCCGAACATTGGTGGCGAGCTGAAATAAATTATCTATCAAAATTTAGCTCATTTTATACTGTGTTGGAAGAAGTTAAATAATTTCAGAAAAAAAGCTTATTTTTCAAAAGAAAAAATTATAGCTTAAAATACACATACTAAATTGGTTGGATCACAAGGGAGGAAATACAGTGTTTTATACATCTGAATTCTTAAGTATTTAGCTGTGCTCAGTTTTACTGAGCAGTTGCCCTATTCTTAACACACACTAAGAAAGCATCAAGGCTGTTTGAGATAATTACATAGTATAGGCATACCTCATTTTATTGCACTTTGAGGATTGCTTTTTATAAATTGAATGTCTGTGGTGACCCTGCATGGAACAAGTCTATCAATGCGATTTTTCCAACAGCAGGTATTCACTTTGTGTCTCTGGGTGACATTTTGCTAATTCTCATGATATTTCAATATTTTTCATTGTTATTATATCACTTATGGCAATCTGTGATCAGTGATCTTTAATGTTACTATTGATTGTTTTGGGGTAACTCTACAATGGCATCTAAGTGTTCAAGACAGGAAGATTTGCATGTCTCTGACTTGAAATCACAAGATAGAAATAATTAACCTTAGTGGAGGAAGGCACATAAAAAGCAAGATAGGCCAAAAGCTAGGCCTTGTGTGCCAAACAGTTAACCAACTTGTGAATGCAACGGAACAATTCTTGAAGAAAATTAAAAGTGCTACTCTAGTGAACATACAAATAATAAGTAAGTAAAAGAGCTCTATTGCTGATCTAGAGAAAGTTTTAATGGTTTGGGTAGAAGATCAAATCAGCCACAACATTCACTTAAGCCAAAGGCTAATCGAGAGCAAGGCCCTAACTCTCTTCAATTCCATGAAGGCTGAGAGATGAGGAAGCTGCTGAAGAAAAGTAGGAAGCTAGCAGGCATTGGTTCATGAGGTTAAAGGAAAGAAGCTGTCTCCATAACATAAAAATGCAAGGTGAAGCAGCAAATATTGATGTCGAAGCTGTAACAAATGATCTAGGAGATCTAGCTAAGATCATTGGTGAAGGTGGTTACACTAAAAAACACATTTTCAATGAATACAAAACAGTCTTCTATTGGAAAGAGATGCCATCTGGGACTTTCATAGCTAGAGAGGAGAAATCAATGCCTGGCTTCAAAGCTTCACAAGAAAGACTGACTCTCTCGTTAGGGGATAATGCAGCTGGTGACTTTAAGTTGAAGCCAGTGCTCATTTGTCATTCTGAAGAATCCTAGGACCTTCAATAATTATGCTAAATCTGCTACCTGGGCTCTATAAATGTAACAGCAAAGCCTGGATGGCAGACATATCTGTTGACAGCATGATTTATTGAATATTTTAAGCCCACTGTTGAGAACTCCTGCTCAGGAAAAACAAAGATTCCTTTTGAAGTATCATTGTACATTGACAATGCACCTAATCACCCAAGAGCTCAGATGAAGACGTACAAGGGGAATAATGTTATTTTCATGCGTCACAACACAACATCCATTCTGAAGCTTATAGATCAAGGAGAAATTTTGACTTCCAAGTTTTGTTCTTTAAAAAATACATTTTTTAAGGCTGTAGCTGCCATAGATAGTGATTCGTTCAATGGATCTGGGCAAAGTAAATTGACCTGAAATCAATTTTATCTAATATAAGTGTAGATAATCTTTCTCTTTTTTGGCTTCCATTTTGTATGGCATATCTTTCTTCATCCCCTTATCTATTGTGTCTTTGTCTATTTGTGTCATTATAGGGGGATTGAGTTTCTTGTAGGTAGCACATAGTTGGGTCTTTTTAAAAAATCAATTCATTTGCTGTAGGTTTTTTGATTGGAGAATTTAGTTCATTTACATTCAATGTTATTATTGATAGGTAAGTGCTTACTACTGCCATTTTGTTATTTGTTTTCTGGTTCTTTCTTTCTCTCTTTCTTTCTTGCTTTCTTTCTTTCTTTCTTTTCTTTCTTTCTTTCTATCTCTTTCTTTCCCCTCCCTTCCTTCCTTCTTTCCTTCCTTCCTTCCTGTATTCCTTTGTATATAAGTGATTTTTCTGATAGTATATTTTAATTTCTTGCTTTTTATTTTTTGTTGATCTACTATAGGTTTTTGCTTTATGGTTACTATAAGGCTTACAAATAACATCTTGTAACAAATTATTTCCAACTGATGATAACTTATCTCTGATCACAAAGAAAAGAAAAAAATAAGCAAAGAGAAAAGTAAAAACTTTACACTTTAACTCCATCCCACCCTGCTGAAAGACATACCATACTCATGAATTGGAAGAATCAATATTGTTAAAATGTTCATACTATCCAAAACAATTTAGAGATTCAGTGCAATCCTTATCAAAATACCAATGACAGTCTTCACAGAAATAGAATAAATAAATCTAAAATTTATGTGGAACCACAAAAGACTCAGAATAGCCAAGGCAATACTGAGCAAAAAGAACAAGCTGGAGACATTACCTGGCTTCAAATTATACTACAAAGCTATAGTAACCATAACAGCATGGTACTGGCAGAATAACAGACACACAGACCAATGGATCAGAACAGACGTCCCAGAAATGAATCCACACATTTACAACAAACTCATTTCGACAAAGGTGCCAAGACCATACATTGGAGAAAGACAGCCTGTTCAATAAATAGTGCTGGGAAAACTGAACATAAGGATACAGAAGAATGAAACTAGATTCCTATCACTCATATACAAACATCCAATACAAATGGATTAAAGACTTAAATCTAAGACCTTAAACTATGAAAGTACTAGGAGAAAACATTGGGGAAACCCTCCAGGATATGGGTTTGGACAAAGATTTCTTGAGTAAGACCTAAAAAGCAAAGGCAACCAGAACAAAAACGGGCAAATAGAACCACACGAAGCTAAAAAGCTTCTGCACAGCAAAGGATACAATCAACAAAGTGAAGTGACAACACCCAGAATGGGAGAACATATTTGCAAACTCACGCCTGTAATCCCAGCACTTTGGGAGGCCGAGACGGGTGGATAACAAGGTCAGGGGTTCGAGAACAGCCTGACCAACTGGTGAAACTCTGTCTCTACTAAAAATACAAAAATTAGCTGGGCATGGTGGTGGGCGCCTGTAATCCCAGCTACTCAGGAGGCTGAGGCAGGAGAATTGCTTGAACCCGGGAGGCAGAAGTTGCAGTGACCCGAGATTGCGCCACTGCACTCCAGCCTGGGTGACAGAGCAAGACTCTGTCTCAAAAAAAAAAAAAAAAAAAAAAAAAAAGAAAATATTTGCAAACTACCCATCTGACAAGTAATTAATAACCAGAATGTACAAGGAGCTCAGGCAACTCAATAGGAAAAAAACTCATTAAAAATAGGAAAAAGATTTGAATAGACATTTCTCAAAAGAAGACATACAAGTTGCCAACGGGTGCATGAAAAAATGTTCAACATCATTAATCATCAGAGAAATGCAAATCAAAACTACAATAAGATATCATCTCACCCCAGTTAAAATGGCTTTTATAAAAAATACGGGCGATAGTGGAAGCCAGTGAGGATGTAGAGAAAGGGAAACCCTTGTACACCATTGGTGGGAATGTAAATTAGTACAGCCACTATGGAAAACAGTGTGGATGTTCCCCCAAAAAATTAAAAATGGAACTACCATGCAGCAAGCCCACCTCTGGCTATATATCCAAAAGAAAGGAAATCTGCATATTGAAGAGAGATCTGTACTCCTATGTATATTGCAGCACAATTCACAATAGCTATTGTATAGAAGCAACCTAAGTGTCCATCAGTGGATGAATGGATAATGTGATACATGTATACAATAGAACATTATCCAGCCGTTAAAAAGAATAAATTCCTGTTATTTGCAGCAACATGGATAGAACTGGAGGACATTATGTTTTATAAAATATAAAGTATAAAAGCCCAGAAAGATAAATATTGCATGTTCTCACTCATATGTGGGGGCAAAAAATTGAACTCATGGATATAGAGGGTAGAATGATGGTTATCTGAGGCTGGGATGGGTAGTGCAGAGGAGGGATACAGAGAAGATGGTTAATGTGTATACAAAAATACAGTTACAAGGAGTAGAATTTAGTGCTTGATAGAGCAACTATAGTTAACCATAATGTATTATATATTTCAAAATAACTAAAAGAATGGAATTGGAATATTCCTAACACAAAGAACTGATAAATGGTTAAGGTAATGTATATCCCAATTACCCTGATTTAATCATTACACATTGTATACTTGTATCAAAATATCACATGTATCCCATAAATATGTACAACTATTACATATCAATAATAACTAAAAATTTAAAAAATTATAAATTAAAAAAATTAATTGTAAACTTTCTTGAAAGGATTACTATTCTAGATACTATTGAGAACAATCATGACTCATGAAAGGTCAAAATATCAACATTGAAGTTTGGAAGAAGTTGATTTCAGTTGTCATGGGGGACTTTGAGGGGTCAAGACTTTAGTGGAGGAAGTAACTGCAGATGGGGTGGAAATGACAAGAAAACCAGAATTTGAAGTAGAGCCTGGAGATGTGACTGAATTGCTATCATCTCATAATAAAACTTAAATAGATAAGGAGTTGCCTCTTATGGAAGAACAAAGAAAGTGGTTTCTTGAGATGGAATCTTCTTGTAGTGAAGATGGTATGAACATTGTTAAAATGACAGTAAGTGACTTAGAATATTACATAAGCTTAGTTGATAAAGTAGTGGTAGGGTTTAAGAGGATTGACTTCCATTTTGAAAGAAGTTCTTCTGTGGATAAAATGCTATCAAATAGCATTGCATGCTACACAGAAATCTTTCCTGAAAGGAAGAGTCGATCAATGCAGCACATTTCATTGTTGTCTTATTTTAATAAATTGCAACAGCAACTTCAGCCTTCAGTAATCAGCAGCCTAATCAGTCAGCAGCCATCAACACCAAGGCAAGGCTGTCCATCAATAAAAAGATTATGACTCATTTAAAGTTCGGATGATTTCTAGCATTTTTTAGTAATAAAGTATTTTTAAATTAAGATTGTTTTTTAAACATAAAGCTATCACACTCTTGACTACATTATAATGTAAACATAAGTTTAGATGCACAAAAAAATCGTGTGACTTGCTTTATTGTGATATTCACTTTATTGAGGTGCTCTGGACCCAGACCCTCAGTGTCTCCAAGTTATACATCACACTCAACTCTAATTAGTATACAGCTATTAAGTTTCATAGATTCCTATTTGCGATTCTATAGCTAAGGAATATATTACAGTTTCAGGTTAAATCCCAATCGTTGGGGGATTACAATTCAGTTATAAAATTTTTTTCCGAGACCTAAACTTGGTATACAACATCTTGGCTAGAGTAAAACATTAGTTGGTATTTTCATAACATCACTTACCTCTCACCATGAAAATTTATTTTGTAAAATAATAAAACCATATTTTTAGAACATATTCAAATTATACTTGTGGTTTCATGTTTGTTATTTCCTTGTTATCATTTGTTTGTGAGCAAATGTGACCATTGACTTTTTAAAAATTGTTTTTGAATGTATATTTAGATTGTTATAAATTTTAACATCAAAACATTCCATTTTGTTTGCAATACTTAAGTATCAAGCTATAACATGTAAGTGTAACAAAATTTAACCCAAAGTTGAGTGCGAGGAAATAGCATATTTTATATAATCAAATATGTTTTTTCAACATGTATGCACTTGTGGTTTATGTAAACACGTATGTGTTGCTATTATTTTGTCCAAGATTCCTTCTTGCTATGCCATTGCTATTGTCTACATTTGAGAAAATAAAATATACTTTTAGTTCAATTTTCAAAAGAATCAAACATTTGTGGCCTACATATTTTAATAGGGATATTCAAAAGAAGCAATTCTTAGGTCAATATCTATATTAAATACAAGAATATTTTAAAATAAGAAAATTTACAGACAATGTATCTAAAGTATTATTCAGTCTAAAAAAATAAATAAAATAAGAAAATTTACAGACAATATATCTAAGGTATTATTCCATCTATATTACAGTTTAATATGTAATTTGTGAGTAATATGCTTTTTCTTTCCTTCTTTCTTTCTTTCTTTCTTTCTTTTTTTTTTTTTGAGACAGGGTTTCATTCTGTCACCCAGGCTGGAGTGCAGTGGCACAGACTCAGCTCACTGCAACCTCTCCCTCCCAGGCTCAAGTGATCCTCCCACCTCAGCCTCCCTAGTAGCTGGGACTACAGGTGCACGCTACCACGCCCAGGCAATTTTTGTATTTTTTGTAGAGACGGGGTTTTGCCATGTTGCCCAGTCTCGTCTTCTTCAACTCCTGGATTCAAGCAACCTGCCCACCTCAGCCTCCCAAAGTGTTAGGATTACAGGCGTGAGCCACCGCAGCCAGCCGGTAATATCCTTTTTCATCATGTGATACTTTACGGTCCTCTAGGAACCAAATTTCTTTTAGGATTTGTATAAAGTAGGATTAGCTGTTCTGTGTTTTAAACAAGATCTATTGAACCCAAGAGAAAATTCTGACTAACCAACATAAATCAAACAACTTTAAACAGACAAACAAACCACTTTGGTTACTCTTTTAGTTTACTTGCTAAAATTGAATGGGCAAGACATCGTATGTTTTGAGATTGGTAGGAGTTATCAGCTTTTATGAATAACAAATAGCCAATATTTTGTAAAATAATTCTGGGTCTATATGTTGATAAAGCAGTGTGAATCCAATTAACTTTAGAGCTCGTCTCATGTCTCCTTACTGGCATCTGTTTTGTACCCTCTTCACAGAGTTGTGTGCCAAACTTGATTCCCAAATTGCCCATGTAGACTAGATCAATGATTGCAATGCAATTATATTGATGAGAATCAAGAGAATTGAAAAAAAAAATACGTCTAACATCTAACTTTGTTTTATCTGTACAAAAATAGATTTATATTGCATATCAAATATAGTTTCTTTTCCATCCAGACTTTCTCAGCTAATATTTTTAAAGTAGTGTAAAATGATACTTTCTTCATTTAACAATGGCATCTAATTTTAAAAACATATTTTCTTGCTGCAAAATTGCATTTGTTGAATTTTCTATTCTTCAGTGACAGAATATGTATTTATAAAATCAGAGTCACACACAAAATGGCAAGATGAATATGGTCAATTACTATACTTTCATACTTCAAAGCATTGAGTACAAAGTATTCGGTGAATAATCTAATCTGCAAAACAGACGTATTTGAAGAAGCAATAAAGTCCATGAAATAAAAACTCTCTCTCTAGAGGTCTATATTCTTTTCCTGATATATTGTCTTCTGTAATATAATATAATGTAATATAATATAATATGTAATAAAACATAATATAATAACAATTAATCCCCAGAGAAAGGCACATTCCAATATCCACTTCCTATATTAAGTGATGATTTGTTAAAGGGACAGTAAAGATGACAAAATTGGGCTAATTACTGATAAAATGACTATATTATATTTCTTTGAAAACCACAGAAGCAGAATTGGAAAACAAAAACTATTTTAAGTTGTATTTATATGATATATGTAATTATAAATGTTTTATAAATATTAGTTCACTTAATCTTCATAATATTACTTTTAGGTAGCAACCATTATCACCCTCAGCTTGAGGTCAGCCAGTTAATAGGCAGTAAAGCTGGGATCTGAATCTTGGCAGCTGGGCACCAGAATCTGTACTCTCAATCCCTACACTTTGCTACATTTGTGGAATATTATCTTAAGAGGGAATTCAGCGCCTTCTAAAATTTGTAGCAATATTCGTACACGCATTAACAATTCTGTGGTGTTCAACACCAAATTATTTAGAATGATTATTTGGGGTTGTTTCCAGAGAAGGTTATGGAGGTCTTTAACTTTCCCAGAATCATTGCTTTCTTTCATTGGCAAAGGGTCTTTGAACAAGCAATGTAACATCCTAAGACTTCTGAAGGCATTTCTGAATCTAAACAACGCATGTGACTTCATCCCCAATGAATCTTGTGACAAGATTTTTAAGTCATCAATAGTAGTGAGATTTTATTTGGACAATAGAATTCCCAAATATTATCATCTTCTTTCTTACCATATTCATGACTTTCTATGAAAGAAACACAAATACTAATTTGAAGAAATATCATAAATGATTTTTACTAGATGCAAAAGATGTAGTGCAATATGGCGTATTCAGATGTGAGGAATAATGTTACCTAGAGGACCTCTTTCATAAAGATGATGCACGTATATTCTCATTCTTATTGATATTGAGTGTTTTAAGAAATCCCAAATCAATGAAAATGTGGTTTAAAAAAACATTCTTTTTCAAAAATAAAAATAATCTGAAGTCCTCAGAGAGTATTAATCTCAATTACATTTAGAAAATAAAAGAAATTTGTAAATCATAGAATCTTTGACTTGAAAGATACTTTAGAAATCAAAGTATCTTTACTTTGATTTAGAAATCAAAGTCCCACTATAAACCATTCTTTTGTTTTTGACTGCCCAACCTCCATTTTTCCCTTTGCTAATAATACTCTGGTTTTTGGGGAACTTTCCTGCTCCTCACTCTCAGTCCTTGTGATTTGGGTGGGACTGATTTCTGTAATCTCTTGGTCCGAATGGTTAATCAAAATATTTTTCCTTGCCATATAATTCATTCTGGTCACTATATATACCAAGACATGAAGATCCATTTCCGAACTGTTGCTGGGAAAATAAAGCTCTATCTCAACTGGAATGGCTGTTAAGTTTGGATGTTAAACTTATACTGTTGGTACCTATCTTGCCAACCTAAGTTTAAGAGAGTTTACCTGAATAAAATGTACACTTTTGATAGCAGAACCAAGAAGTGGAAAGAGACTAAGTCTGGATGAACTTGTCTGAGCCCCTTAATAGAGCTCGATGGGCTCTATTCATAAAATCTACTAAATCCAGGAATAAGTTCTACAATATTTATTCCTGTGAAATGACCATCTGATATCTAATTAAACAACTTACACTGCAGGAGTATCAAACCTCATAAACAAATCAATGTCTTTTCAACATCAACATGTTTTAGAAATTTTATTATATTGAACATAGATTTGCTTTCCTTTGTTTTCTCCTTCGATCCTAGGTCTGCCTTCTGGTGATAAGCAGGTAAGTCTAATTATCTCATTATCAAAAATATATGTATCTATCATCTAGGCTATCAAAGACATAGTGTTTACCCTCTACATCTTTTATTTTAAGGGAAACAGCTACAATTAAGGAGATTATAGATAAGTATGTATTCAAGTCTTTTATCACCAAAGAAAAGCCGTGATAGTAGTACTTTCTTGTCACAACAAACTTCACTAGTCATCATGTTAATAATCCAGTTTTAAAAAGAGAAAAAAATATATACTGCTAATTAGCTGGGGTTAAACAATGATTTTGTTGGTTGCTTGGGACCCAGCCATACAATTAAAATTGAGCACATGTGATTTCAAAGATGAACAATCTCACCTGCTCAATATTATCTATTTCTGTAAAGTCATGTCAATTACTGTCAGGGTTTAAGTGATTATCCCCTGAAGGATCTAGTTAAAATTAAATTATTTAATTTAAGGGAAATATATAATCTCCCACTAAATCATTAAATGCAATTAATTTGTCGTTAGGAGTAGGAGACAAAGTAATGGAAGACCAGGAAGTTTATAAGGAAATCGAGGTATGGAGTGTCCTTTCACACAAGAGATGATGCCATAAAGGGAGTTAGGTGGGTAATGATATGGGGCCCTCTGTGCAGATGTCAGGGTATGGGCTGGCGATGATAGCACTACTAAGACTATAAGCCGGATACTCATTTCTTTCTGGTAAAGGATCCATTGCTAAATCATAATGCCATGTTGAAGAAAAAGGATATTAAAACCAACAAGGAGAAGCAGATTGTGAAAGCTGAAAACTGGAAGGGTAGATAAAGACAGAACTGCCAGTGTGTTGATTTTATTTTTGTGTTTCGTTGTTAGTGGCATGGCTACAGGAGCACCTTATTAAGTGGAAATTAGCATGAAACCATTAAACTTTTAGAGTATACCTCAACTCCACTTTTATTCTCAGTAAATTTCCTGGCATATTTATTAATTCATCAGATATATCCAGTGTCCCTCTCTTGTGCCAAGTACAGTGCTAAGTGGTCAGGATATCATAGTGAACATAAGAGGTAGTTTCTGCCTTCACATGGTTAGTGGGTAAAACAGATATTAAGCAAATTATCACACCATAGAATTGCAAACTGTGACAAATACTGTGAAGGAAAAGGAATGATACTGTAAGAACTTACAAGGACACATGATGTAGTGGGGGGTATAGGACTGGATATTTGAGTTTAGGTTTAAATGGTTATCACAAAACTGTGGGCCTTGGGAATCCGAATGACTTCTGGTGCTCACTTCAGTGGCAACAGCAACATAGTATTTTATGTTTCTACTGAAGTTGAAACAATTTCATTGTCCCTTCGATTTCATTTGCTTTAACAAATCATGGCTGACTGCCAACATCATATGCAGACCATTACTATTTGAAAAATGGATGGTATACAGGCACAAATCTAAAAACAGACACATGGGTTGGGTGTGATGGCTCAGGCCTGTAATCCCAACCCTTTGAGAGGCTGAGGTGGGTGGATCACTTGAGACCAGGAGTTCAGGACCAGCCTGGCCAACATGGTGAAACCCCGTCTCTACTAAAAATACAAAAAAAAAAAAAAAAAAAAATTAGCCAGAGGTAGTGGCGCATGCCTGTAATCCCAGCTTCTCGGGAGGCTGAGGCAGGAGAATTGCTTGAAACCAGAAGGTTGCTGTGAGTCGAGATCATGCCACCACACTCCAACCTGTGTGACAGAGTGAGACTCTGTCTCAAAAATAAAAAAAAGAAAAAAGATAAACATAAAAAACAGACACAACAATACATTCAAATTCTTGCTATTGAATTGTTCTATTTAAAATTTTATGGTTATTTCTCCCTTTTGTGCAATTATTTTGGTATATTGTATGTCCACTAGGGGGCAGTGCTACCCTTTCTTGGAAAGGAATTAGCTTTGGCAAGCCCAGAGCTTTCACGCTAGATGTTGGGGGCTGGGAAGAAGGAAGAGCTTTCTCCAGTTTGGAAATGAAAGACAAAAAATAGAGACTTTTAAGACAAAAGAAAATGTGATTGTATATCATTTCAAAAGCCAGCTTCAGAAAAAGATTTATTAACTGTTTGTTTTTAATCACTGTTAGTAGAACAGCTACACAGAAATACAAATGAAGAATACCCAATGAAGGAGTTATTCTTGACTCTGTGCCACACTATAAGTTTAATTTAAAATCTGTATTGTTTTTAATCTGTGTCTCTAAAAAATATTTCAAGACCTATTTTCCTCATACAAACCTACAGATATTGAATTTACTTATTGTAAATTGTATAATAAATTTGTATAAAGGACTTTGTAAACATTAATGTAAATTATCACTCATCAAAGAACAGTAATATTTGTGAACTAATTTTATTACACAGACTATTTTCATTAATTTAAAATAATACTGTAGGAAATATAGGTTGATTTTTATAAAGTATAAACAAGAAGAAATGACTACAAATTCTGCTGTGTGAACAATTAATAAATATAATACTTGGCTCTTAGCCTTAATAATTATGCACTCATCTAAGCAAAAACATCATTTGGTAAATTATATAAGCACTTTTATTTTATTTTCCTGATGTGTTCTGCTACATATAATTGTGTCTTAGCTGATCAGCTTAACATATGAAGTTGCAAAAATATTTCTTATGGTAGGTAAAAGAATGAAAATATACCTTTCCTGCATTTCTGATTCAAGTCTTATCACAGCGATTGACATGAGATTTGTTGGTGTTGCACTTCCTTTACCTATATTATTATTATATTTTCATAGCACTTGAGCATTTGCAAAAGAAAGCGCAATTATTTTATAGTTGATTTTAGATTTCTTTTGATCATGAAAATTTAGAATAAGATTTATTTAGGCCACGGGAATTATCTGGTAAACAACATACCTGAAAACAATGTGTAGTTAATTTAAACTAATTGCTTTTGATTATGTGTTTGGTAAATGCCATATTGTCCACCAATGAGGTTAATATTCTCTTGGTTTCTTCCCTTAGATAAAATGTAGGTTTTACTTTTCTTGTGATGGTTGTTAGACTGACCTTGAATACAGCAATAGTTACTCTAAGTTCAATTCTTTAGTATCTCCATATGGGAAACTTCCAGTAAAAATACTTGCATAGATCTTTATGTATTAATGCTGCTTAAAATAAACTGAAAGTAGAAATGACAAAGTGCTTAAATTATTGCAGGAGCAGGAATAAGTACCATATGCTGGTGATAAAACATACAGAAGTTGTTGCTGCCCTTCCACCATGGCTCTATTTTTCTTTTCACGTTGACCTTCTGATTATAGCCACGAGAGATCAAAACATATAATTTAAAATTACCTTCAGTTGATTTGATCAATAAAATGTATTTAACTATATAACATTGGCATACTCTGGAATGTCTGGCATTCTGATGGCAAATTATTTACTTCTATAAATGTTTATAGTGAGAAGTATTGTGAACTACGGTAATGTCTGCCTCTTGCTATTACAGACATATACACACTGCTGAAAATACCTTCAATTTTCTGAGGCTCTAAAGGAACATCCAGCATTCTCTCTCTTCTCTGAAGTTGAAGCATGTTCCTATTAGTAAAAGGCTAAATGAATATGTAGTAAAAATAAAGTATATAAAAGATGAACTTGTCCATCATATTTGAAAAGCTCAGGGAAATAAAGGGTGGGTGACTGAGACTGGATTTTCAATTTCTTTTGTAAAAGGAACTGGCTCCCTAGAAGGCTGAGGTTTAAGAAAAAAAACAAGATAGCTTTTAGTGTTAGAGACTTAAAACAAAAACACAAGGCAGCTGGCATAAGAAAAATTAGCTGCCCTGAGGATGTGTGAATTGAAATGAGATTATGAAGCTCACTTATAATAGCCCTCCCAATTCAAATGTCAGAAAACAGAAAGGGTGACCAAGTTCATTTCCATATGACCCCTACAAAGGCTTAGCAAGTTGTTAGACCCTTTGGGAAAATGCAGTCTATACAAACGCGACTAAATAATTCTTAAACCTTTTTTTAAATTTTAGTTTTTAAGATTATAATCACTTTCACTACTTCTGCAAATCTCAGTTTCACATAAACATTTACTAGATGTCTTCTTCATACCAGACACTTCGGCAGGCGCTTTGTAATCAGGAGCAGGAATACTGATAAAATAAAGCTCATCAAAAAGCCAGACTCCCCTGCTTTTAAATCTGCCTGTTTGAGATGCCAGTCATTTATAGTATCTTTCAGATGGGTGATATCTAGTCATTTTGTATATACTTTACTCATATTAAGCAACCGGTGCCTAAGTTATTTCACTGTGTGTATATGTTTGTTGTTCACTTTTGGGATCTCTAGAACAGGGTGGGGCATCTACTTCTATATTCCAGCAGTAAGTAGACAATCTGTCATGTCTGTTGTACCTAAATCCATGGCAAACTTGGGCCTTGAGCACCTTCAATACAAGAAATTTCTAATTTGTGTAATCTTTTAAATTATACCCAAGGAAAAGCCATTTTAAAAAATCTATTCAAATTTAGATGGCCTGCTAAAGCTTAACTAGTTAGTTTGGTTGAGAATCTAAGCTGGGTTTCGTAACTAATATAACCTATGCTCTTCTATAATATCTTATCAATAGTTATTGACTAAATCTGGTTGCCTTTACTCGATGTGTTTAACTCTTGTCCCCAGTACCTTGTCTTGGAGTGCTCCTGGGTTTTATACTTATTTCCTGAGTTCTGCTCTTTTGCATTTGTTTGAGCTTGCTGATTGTTCACATCTGGTATTGTTATGTGATCGATCTTAGGGCATGAGACTCTTTAAATCTCAAATCATTCTTTCCTTTCTTCAATATTCTCTATCCTTCTTGATCATTGTCCTAGAGTTATTTTATTTCTCCTTTAATGTTTGACAAGGATTTCCTGTAAGTCTCAGAAATCTTAATTATAGCTCAGCCATCATTGTATTTTTTAAACTTTCAAATCTTGAAGTGCTCCAAAGTGTTAAAATTATACAATTAAGTAAACCCTCAGAAATGCATAGAGCACTTATATTAGGTTGGTGCAAAAGTAATTGCGGTTTTTGCCGTTAAAAGTAATGAGAAAAGTATAAATACTTCTATGCTTTTCTAAAAAAATTCAATATAAGTGCACAAGTTTGGCATTACATGTATAAATTATAAATTTAATCACAAGAGGGCTAAGTAAACACATGCTCAGAAATACAATTCACATATGCGGTCACTGTGTTCCTGATGATCCTCACTGAAAACTTTATATATTAACAATTGTTTCACATAATTACAGGTGTGACTATAGTAATTCTTACACTGTGATTTTTCAGTGAGTTTTCTCTTATAAGCTTCTGTTAGGTATATGTTGGGGGAAATATTCTTCTTTTTATTTTTATTATTTATTTATTCATTTATTTATTTATTTTTTTGAGACAGAGTTTTGCTCTTGTTGCCCATGCAGGAGTGCAATGGGACAATCTCGGCTCACTGTAACTTCTGCCTCCCAGGTTCAAGCGATTCTCCTGGCTCAGCCTCCTGAGTAGCTGGGATTACAGGCTCCCGCCACCACACCCAGCTAATTTTTTGTATTTTTAGTAAAGACGGGGTTTCACCATGTTGGCCAGGCTGGTCTCAAACTTCTGACCTCAGACGATCCACCCGTCTCGGTTTCCCAAAGTGCTGGGATTACAGACGTGAGCCACTGAGCCTGGGCCTTATTATTTTTTATAAAGGAGATAAGATGTCATTATTCTCCCAGTCACACACTCTTAAAACCTTAGTGTCATTTTGACTCTCTTTATTCATTATCCTCTCCTTCAGTTGCTAAATCTTGTAAATTATTCCTTGAAAAATGACCTTGTTCTCCTTCAATCTGTTTAAATTCACAGTGAAATCATGAGGTAGTCATATCCCAATTCCCAGACAACATGCTTCTCTTTCCTGGGTTGGACATTCAAGACTCCAAAATCCGTCTCAGGTAAAGTGTCCACTCTAAGCTCCACTGGCCCCTTATTTGAATTGTCTACTCTATTTCTGGTGTCCATTTGTCATTATCTTAACATGTCAGATACATTTCCAATGCTGCATCTTTTCCTGCCTAGAATTTTTGTCCATTTCCTTCCTTTTCACAGGGCTCTTAAAATAGTTGCTCTGACTCACAAACATCTCATAATTGACTACCTTGTTGTTATTTATCTTTGTATATGTAAAATCTGCCTCTTCAAATAGATTACAGAAATGAAATAGATATATCCCATTTTTATATCCCCAACTTATGAAAAAGGTCTTTTATTTAGTAATAGTCTTACTGATTACTTTAACTCTTCCCTACAAAGTGCCTAGATAGTGATTACATATTTGTTATTATGTCATTATGTCTCAGTGAAATGTTATTAAATTTTCATGGCTATTGCTGTTATTATAGCAATATTATTTTCCTCCATGGAACATTGCCATCACCTGGCCCTTTGAGTGTAAGTACAATAATAACACAAATTTAATTAAAAAATGTTATGTACTCCCAAACCAAGTGGATTCCCTTTTCATCAATAAGACAAAACCTCTATTGAATGTGTTATTGCACTGATAAAGTAATTTCAAAATTAGATTATGATGCAAATGAGTTGGCTAGGTTTTATTTTTGTTCTTAGTAGAAAGGCAAGACCAGAGTTGTGATTTTGGTAGGCTTCTAGTTAAAATGTACTATTTCTAACTTTTATACGTATGTTCTAAAAAATGCAAACTGACCTTTAATCAGTCAGTGTTGACTATAGTGTTTTTCTGTGTGGTAGAATACTAACATATTTAATGTCATGGATGAAGTGAAAAAAAAACCCAGCAGCCTTGAAATGTACATGTTTTACAAATGTTGGCAGCATTTATTCTCATTGATATTACAAAATCATATTTCATTTTGTCTTAGATTTTTTAAATGAAGAGGCACACAAGGAAGGAGTCAGTAGATAGATAAAAGCTAAGAGTACAGGCAGATATGTCTCTCAAAATTATTTTTGGTTCTTTAAAAATAATTTGGTTTTATATATTATTTTTGCTATTTTCCTTCAAGGACAAAAGTATATATGTATATTAAAAACTGAAGACATTATACTTTCCATAGACTCCTTACAATAATCTCTTTATAACAAAGAGAGTTATTATCAAGCCAAAGTAGCTTCAGCACACAATCATTTTCAGCAATTTACCAGGTCAGAGTATACCAAAAGCTTTTGTCTTCCCTTCTGTTTTAGATTAAGTTGTTTATTGAAACTTTTGTACCTAATTTTAAACAGAAGAAATTGTAGCCTTCTATTTTAAATATTGACATAATAATATTTAAATCTTCAAGTTTTTCGAATACATGGCACAAGACAATGACCTCAACTATTTTTTAAGACTACAAGCGATTATTTGAATGTGGCATTCTTTTTTATAGCCATAAATAAGTAGTATGTTTACAAAACATAATGATAGTCTGTAACAACAAGTAAAACATGATTTGTCTAAAACCGTATGTGCAGATGAAAATATCTTTTTTTTTTTTTTTTTTTTTTTTTTTTTTTTTTTTTGAGACGGAGTCTCGCTCTGTCGCCCAGGCTGGAGTGCAGTGGCGGGATCTCGGCTCACTGCAAGCTCCGCCTCCCGGGTTCACGCCATGCAGATGAAAATATCTTATGGCTGCAACATATCAGTTTAGTATATTTGTTTTTAAAAAATATTTGTTAATTGAATTAAATTACATAACAACACACATATGAGAAAAATATCTCATAAAGTACATTGAGTAGGTGCAAATAATATGCCAGTTTCTAGACCTTATGTGTTTTTAATATCATAATATCACAGCTCTGGATACATCCCAGAGACAATTCTGTTTCCGAATTATTGAAGGAGGCATCGATATAAACATAAACCAGGATGAATTCATATCTTAAAATAATTTACAATACATTTTGAAGCACACTTTATGTACTAAATTGATATGATGATGACAAAAATCTTCCAAGCTATATATCATGTGGGTGTAATTATTAGGATAAAATTGTGAGAAAAACAGAAAGTGCAAAAACAAAGACATATAAAGATTTTATGGAAAGTGGCAAAGTATCAGTTGGTTTATAAGACTGGCACATAGTGAAGTTTATATTTAAGACTCGGCTTCTTGAGAGCAAGCTCTTGTCTTATAACTCTTTCAAACCTGAGGGTAGAACACAGCACCTAGCCTATAGCAGATTTGTTGGGTTCAGTTGAATCCACAGTAGAAGGGTTTGTAATACATTCAGTCACATGAAACAGAAATACATGACCCATTTCTGCATAGAAAAGAGCTAGAAATATCAGTTCTACTCTTTCGGGGGCCATCTTAATAAACATGGGATGAATTTGATTTGTGACATGAATCCCATGTGATGTTCCTGTGCATATATTTTAAAAAATTCATTTTAGTTTTTATCTAAAATACAGATTTTTGGAGTGCAAGAATTTTATTTATTTTTATATCAACCCAAGTACTTAGTAGAGAGAGCTTCACACATCGCAGTAATGAAATAAATGTCTATTAAATTTGCATTCTATCAAATCCCCTGAATACAGACCAAAAACATTTTCTGGAACATGGTTTGCATATTTTTACCAAATAATTATATCCATCCATACATATATAATATTGTATACATATACACATTCATATGTATGTATATATTAATATTATTTATGTAGGCATGAAACATGTTTCAGTATTAGTGTCTTTCTTCTAATTTGGACAGTTAATTTTTAGCCATTATGTATTTTATGTGTTTTCCTTAGAAGTATCCATTACAATTTTTATTTACATATAATTTTGAAAAAAAGAAAGACTGGGCATTCAAGATTTAAAAAATCTATTTCACAGTGCAACATCAAGTGTTCTTCCAATAGTGTGTTTTTCTATATTGAGTGTGGGAAGGGACTTTGAAGAGATCTCTTGGAACTTTTTGATATTTAGCAAGCATACACTAAATGCAATACATTTTTACCTGTATCTTGAGCCTCATCAATTTGATTCTTTCTTTTATTAGTTGTCTAGAGGGAGACTGGGGAAATATTTATCAAACATGCAAATGATTTTAAGCTCATTGGATTAAGTTATATTTTAGGGTAGAAAAGGAGTAAAATTCAACAAATTACCTTTATAAATCATCTCACAAAAACTACATGAACAACAATGGAAACATGTAAAAAAAAAAAAAAAGGCGGGGGGAATATGAAAGGGAAATGCTCCTCTGCTTCCACTTCTCCCATCCTCTTTAACTCAAGTTTGCTTCTGGACTTCAGTATACTGCTGAAGTTACTCTCAGCATCACCCCACAACTGACTTGTAATTGGCAAGTATATTAGTTTCCTATTGCTGTCCTAACCAATTATCACAAACTTAGTGGCTTAAAACAACAGAAATTTATCATCTTATAATTGTGTGGTTCAGAAGTCCACACACAACACAGCTCAACTGTGTCCTCTGCTGAAATCAAGGAGTCAAGTGGGCCAGGTTCTTATCTGGAAGCTCTGCAGAAGATTCTACTTCCAAGTTCATTCAGGTTACTGGAAGAATTCAGCTCCTTATTGTAGGACCCAAGTCCCTGATTTTTTGACACTGTCTCCTCTTATCTCATGCCAACAACAATATAGAACATGGAATCCTTTGCTGGGAATCTCTGTGCTCTTTCTGCCTCCAATTGAAGAAAGATCTCTGCTTCGCAGGGGTAATGTGATTAGAATAGGCTCACACAGGTAATCCAAGATAAAGTCATTTGGTATAATCTTAATTATATCCCTTACATAACCTAACACATCATGCAAGTAACGCCAGTGGTAAATGAAGGTTATGTGGACCAAATTTTGCTTACCGCACCAGATCTAATTGTTATTCTTAAGGCTTAATCTTCACTGACCTCTCTGCAGCATTTGACACGAAATTATTCACTTATTGAAGCTCTAATTCCTTGAATTAAAAAAAATCTTATTTATTTATTTTTTTTAATTGTGTGGTCAACACTTCCCACAGATCCGTCCCCTTAACAGATGTTTAAATGTACAATACAGCATTAACTGAAAACACAATTCTGTACAGAAGATCTCAAGAACTTAACTCATCTTGCATAACTGAGACTTTAATCCTGTTGATTAGCAACTCCCCATTTCTCCCTCCCCACACACCCTGGAAACCACCATTCTACTCTCTGCTTTTATGAATTTCACTATTTTATATACCTCATATAAGTAGAATCATGCATAAGCATTAATTGAAATAAGACTAATACTAACTATGAATGATTGGGGCATTATTAATGCAAATTTTGAAAGGGAGTCCAAATAACAAAAAGTATCATAATGGTTGAAAACATGATTATTGAGTAACAAAGTTTTGCAGATAATATCTGATGGTTAAAAAAAGTAATTTTGTCCAGGTGCAGTGGCTCACGCCTGTAATCCCAGCACTTTGGGAGGCCGAGGTGGGCAAACCTCAAGGTCAGGAGGTGGAGACCATCCTGGCCAACATGGTGAAACCCCGTCTCTACTAAAAATAAAAAAATAAAAAAATAGCTGGGCATGGTGGCGCGTGCCTGTAATCCTAGCTACTCGAGAGGCTAAGGCTGGAGAATCGCTTGAACCAGGGAGTCGGAGGTTGCAGTTAGCTGAGATCGTGCCACTGCACTCCAGCCTGGTAACAGAGTGAGACTCCGTCTCAAAAAAAACAACAAAAAAAGTAATTTTATGTTGTTTCTTCTAGTGGATCCAGCTTTCCTTTACACTTTCCTCTTCCTGAGTTTGTTCACCTCTTAAATATTGGTGTTTTCCAGCCTCACTCAGCATGTTTCTTTTTACATTTACTTACTAGAAAGGTTTTATCCATGTTCAAAATTTCAACAACCCCTGTATTTATGATCCTCAAATCTATCTCATCAATTTAACAAGCATTTGTTGAGGATCTGTTTTTTTCCTGTTAGACCAAATGTTCTGGAAGGAAAAAGATCATAATGATACTGTTGTCTGGGGATTCCCAACATTTAACCGGTGTGTTGCATGGAGAATGGCTTTTAAAATGTTTGTTAAATGAATAAATGAGCCAGTGAAAAAAGAGATACAGATATAAACATAAAATTGCAATACAGTGTGACAAATGATACAATTAAAGGTGCTGTAGAATCCTGTACAGAAAGAGAACATTTAGGCCAATCTGAAATTTTAAGGAAGATTCTTGGAAAGGATGATGCCTGGATTGGGTCTTGAACACAAATTAAGACTGGAATTATTTACTGACTCCAAACAATTTTCTTTCATCTCTTTTGACTTCCCTTGATTATGTCATTATCCTTGACTATGATAACAACTGAACTCTAGATTTCTATCTTACTCACCTCTAGTCCATTCTTAACTCTGCTGCTCCTGTAATCTTTTTAGAAATGTAAACATTACCATAATACCCCTGGTTTATAAACCTTTAAATTCACCCTCATCCTACATGATCAAGTCCAAGCTTCCTAATAAGGTGCCAGTCGGCCTTTCCATCCTCCTGCTGTCCAGGGTACTTTATAGCCCACTCATACCAACTCTTTTCCAAAACTTCAATATGCCACACATGGCTATGGCACATGCCGGTCCTTCTACTTTAAATCCTCAAACCAGCACCCTATCATTATCTAGGAACTCAAGTTATCCTTCAAGTCTTGTATTAAAGCTTGACCTTCTCCATGAAATCTTTTTGAACACACTGCATCTCCATCAGCTTAATTTAGTTGAGTACATCTCTGCTTTGTGTTCCAGGGCACCTTATGCATAGCCTGGACGTTGCAATTATCCACATTTATTATTATTATTTTTAATTACTAATCTGTTTTCTCCTGTGTAGGCAATTAACTCCATGAGGGCAGAGGCTAGACTTTTATTTATCATGCCCCTATATGTCTCCCAAAGCCATGATTAAATATGTTATTATTTTAATATTTGCTCTATTTAAAGCATTTTACCAATATTTATTTAGTTCTCAGACACAACTGGATACCATTATTCTGCTCATTTTGCAGAGGAGGACACTGAGGTACAGAGAAGTTAACTTAGTCCAGATTGTGCACCTAATCAGTAGCAGTACAAGGACTGGCCCTAGGCAGTCTGGCTCTTGTATCTCTGTTCTTTTTTATTTTTTTGAGATGGAGTCTTGCTCTGTCGCCCAGGCTGGAGTGCAGTGGCGCGATTTCGACTCACTGCAAGCTCCGCCTCCCGGGTTCACGCCATTCACCTGCCTCAGCCTACCGAGTAGCTGGGACTACAGGCGACTACGCCCGGCTAATTTTTTATATTTTTAGTAGAGACGGGGTTTCACCGTGTTAGCCAGGATGGTCTCGATCTCCTGACCTCGTGATCCACCCGCCTCAGCCTCCCAAAGTGCTGGGATTACAGGCGTAAGCCACCGTGCCCGGCCTTGTATCTCTGTTCTTAATCTCTGTTCTGTGGCCTCTTCTGGGGAATTTGTGATTTGTGAGTTACCTCAATATCATGTGAGCACTTTGTAAACAAACAGTGACAAGTTCTCTGTAGCATCTGCCTCTCCTGTCCATCCACACACACAGATACATACAAACTCACAGTGCTTGTGGCCAACAACTGATACTAAAATGACTTGGTTACTTAAACGTAAATATATTCCAAAAATTGATTTATGTTTCTTTCAATGGTCTCTAGGACCTAAAATTTCCAGCAAGTCAGTTTAGCATTTATTTTATCGTTGAAGTCTCATTCAAACTTCACTTCTTAACGTTTTGGTTTTTTTCATGTTTTGGCAGATTTTCCTGGTACTTGCGTATTTTATCAATTAATTTTTTAAAAGTTCAAAAAAAGTTTCCTACTCTTTTACCCATTGTTTTACCAGTGATTCAAGAACTGAAGAGTAAGCCCTCCTGTATGCTTCTTTACTGTGAAGGCAAAGAGGGCTGGCTTGAGTCACCTGCTCAGACCAATAAAATGTGTCAATTGGAAGTGCTTTTCCAAGAGTAGAAAAAAAGATCCCAATGTGTAAATATTCATTATATAGCTTTGAGGAGGGAACTAGTAGAAAATATTTATAGCTTTTTTGTTCCCAAGGGGGTGTGAGAATCCTAGTATGAAGGGGACCTTCCTGTAGCCAGAGGCCGTGACTCTGTGTTTGGACTGACTCTGCAACATTAGCTCCTAGTTAATGGGAACTGTCAGCTACAGTGCACCAAGCTGTCACGTTTATAGCGTACGTGTTAAAGCCAAAATGATAAATTTAATTTATCCTTGATATGCCACCATTCCCACCTCTAAAAGTATCAGAAATTATGGAGGGATTCAATATCCAAGGTAACAGTTTCAAAGAAAAAGGAAAATGACCAAGGCCTTGTTATTGCTGCTGCTGGAGATTCTATTATCATTCTACTATATTCTTTTTAGAAGCATCACTGGAGTATACCAATGTTTAAATATTTGTTTTTACAAAGACACAGGTAAGCGTTTTTTTTTTTTTTCTTTAGTAAGAAACGGAAAAAAGGAAAGGGAAAAGGCAAAAAAATATATATAACACGTTGATGGTTAGCAAAGTAAATATCCATTGCTGAGTTTTTAAAAATATATCTTGCCTTCGTCTGGCAAAGAGGAAACATTTCACTGGTCATTCCCATAGGTTTTACTCATAAATACTGTATTTTAAGCAGATATAGTACAAGCTTCTGGCAGTGTTGACCTTGTGTAATGTGAGAACACATGCAATGGTGTGCATATTTTGTAAGTGTGCTTCAGGTTGGAAATAAATTTCATTTATGAATTTCACTTGTTTTTCATATTTTAGCTAGTGTTTTTCATATTTCATATGTCAAAAATTAGAACATTTCACTAACAAATTATCTACTAAGAATAGTGAATAATGCTTTTGCTTTGAATCACAAATTTATTATATTTTAGATTCTTCGAGATAATTTACTTAGTTGGTTTGGATGAGGTGTCACAGGATTTTTGTATGGTGGTTAAATGGGAAAGAGATAGATTCACGCAGTCCCTATTATTGCATTTTTTAAAAATCTACTTCAAACATTTGTTGACAATGACACTGGAAGATACTTTAGAAATAAAACTTATCAAGTAATGAGTAAGCTATATTTCTTATAAATGTTTTTCCGTTATAACCTCTACATTTTATGTTGTATCTCTTTTGCTCAAGAAGGAAGCAAAAATTATAAATGTTAATTTATTCATTCTGAGCCTATCTGTATTTTATAGATTATAGAAATTGATATACAGGAAATCTTAAGCTTCCTGGTACTTTATATGGATCAATAATAAGTCAGACATAATGGAGTTTTCAGGTTTCTTACCAGCTAATTAATAAGAAATTAGGTAAATTTCATATTAATGACTGTGTGATAAAAATCAAAGTAAATAAAGGAAATTCAGATTGTAAAGACTTACACTTTGATTTTGTGACCAATTTATTTTTCCTGTTGGTTATAAAATATTAAATTTAAAATAGCTAGTCTATCAGTCATTCTCAGCTCTTGATTCACTTTTACTCTTAGGATATCATCTGGTTCTTTGTTTTGTTCATTCCAGGTAGTATTTTAGTTGCTTTGAGGAGTAGAGAGGGGGTTATTGAGTTGGTTGGCTTATTCGTTTGAGGACATTTGATGTATATTATGGTAGCTTTGTTTTATGCATGTGGATATAGAGTGGATTGGTTGGTTCAGGGCCATTTAATAAGGGTTGAGATAGCTTTGTTTTGTGTACAGGATATTGGGTGAGTTGTTTGGTTGTTTGATTGATTTGAGGGCATTTGATGTGGGTTGGGGTAGCTTTGGAGCAGAGGTTTGAGAAGCAGTTTGGTAAGATCACTTTTAGTAGAATAAGGGAGACCTTTCTTCCAGTTCAACATAACTTAAGGCAAGACATAAAATCTTCTCTTGAGAGTAATGAACTGAAGATACTGTAGCTCTAAATGATGATAAACTTCTTCTATTTGTAAAGTAAGGTATAAATGCATAGAGTAAGATAATTGAAAATGTTTCAACAATTTGAATATGTTTCAACAATTTGAATAACTTAATTTTCAATTAATTAAGTGGTTATTCAAAGACATTAAATAAATTATCCTCTTTGGGTATTTTTAGATGGCTTGTAGTTCTGAAACAGCGAAAATCAAGACAGCATTTATAATTCACATTGTGCAAAGCTTAAGGCCAGGCACCCATTTTCTGGGTGCATGCTTGCTGAGTATGCAAAATTCCTCTCCATCCTACCTCTCCAGATTCATTACATACCAGCTCTCATGAGCCAAAGGGCCACATCTGTTGCTACTATTTAGGAAGACAGCAACACCTGGAACCACAAAACGGTTCATATGGCTGTTTCCCTTTCAAATAGGCAACTGGGAAGAGCTGTTATATAATGTGTTTAGTTATGCAAAGTCATTTCAGTCTTAAGCTGTTTACATACAGAAACACTGCCAGTGTTATGAATTTAGCTTACTATGTTTTCAACCAAAAAAATCAAGCAATGAACATATTTACATGTTGTGAAAATAAGTAATTTTGTTGTAGTTGACATCCAAAAGAAGGTCTTCTCCAAATCTCTTTTCTCATGGCTGCTTCCACATCAGGGTGGAGATAATTTTTTTTAATCAAAAGACTATATCCCTTTATTATATCTTTCTAGGTACCAAAATTTTATTTTTTATTTGTATAAATGTAAGGGGTACAAGTGCAGTTTGAGTACATGAGTATATTGTATAGTGATGAAATCTGGGCTTTTAGTGTAATCACTACCTGAATAGTTTACATTGTACCCATTATATAATTTCTTATCCCTAACTTCCTTCCCACCATCCTACCATCCCAAGTCTTCAATGTCTATTTTTCCACACTCTATGTCCATGTATATACATTATTTAGCACCCCCTTCTAAGTGAGAACATGCGGTATTTGACTTTCTGATTCTGAGTTGTTTCACTTAAGATAATTGCCTCTAAGTCCACCAGTGTTGCTGCAAAAGACATAATTTCATTCTTCTTTATGGCTGAATAGTATTCCACCGTGTGTATATATACACATATCACATTTTCTTTAGCTGATCATCCATTGATAGACCCTTTGATTAATTCCATGTCTTTGCTATTTTAAGTAGTGCTTCAATAAACATACAAGCACAGATGTATTTTTGATAAAATGATTTATTTTCCTTTGGGTAGATACTCAGTAATGGGATTGCTGGATTGAATGACAGTCCTATGTTTAGTTCTTTGAAAAACGTCCATACTGTTTTCCATGGAGGTTGTACTAATTTGCATTCCTGCAAAGAGTGTATAAGAGTTCCCTTTCTTCTCTATACTCACCAACATCTGTTATTTTTTTGACTTTTTAATAATAGCCATTCAGACTGGTGTAAGATGATATCTCATTGTGGTTTTAACTTGTATTTCTCTGATGATTAGTGATATTGAGTATTTTTCATATATCTGTTGGTCATTTGTGTATCTTATTTTGAAAAATGGCTATTCATGTCCTTTGCCCAAGTTTTTTTTTTTTTATTTTTTTATTGAGTTGTTTGAGTTCCTTGTAAATTCTGGGTATCTGTCCCCTGTCAGACTGATAGTTGCAAATATTTTTCTTCCATTTTGCAGGTTGTCTGTTCACTCTTTTAATTATTATTTTTGAGATAACATTTATTGAACCAGATATCGCATCTTGCTTAAGGCCAGCCTTTTTAATTTGGGAGATGTCAAGCCATGAGAAAGGTGTCTTTTATGAGAAATGAAGGACTGATCTTGATGACTGTGGTACTTCTTGCACATAAGCTTTCAATAATTTGTATTTGGCAGAATCATAGTCTTGATTTTATGAAAGCCTTACATAAACCAACTGAGTTAATTAGGCATTACACAGCATTTCTATGTCATAGTCATCCATTGGAAATCATAGGGGTCCATAATGGTGCAATACTTCAGTTGTTCATCCTATCATGTCTGTCCTATGGGACAGTTTAACAAAGCACCTAGCATGGCAGCTCCCCAAGAAAAAATGATCAGCAGTAACAATGCATTATAATATCATGGTCACAAAATTATGATGGTATGGTTTCATTAAAATCCATCTGATTATTTATTTGAAAAAGTAAGTATACAGATTCTGTTGATACAAGTGATGTTTTAACATACAAAGCTATTACTTGGGCCTTGCAAACTCTACAAAGTCAAAAAAATTGTGTGTCAAGTCCATCCTAACTGGGGTGTGGATCAAGACAAACTATACTTTGATCATATTTTCTACCCACATAGACCTGTTGGTCAAGGTATAGCTATAGTGGCTGTAGATATAGTACATGTTATGTATACATTTGGGCAACAGACTTCTTAAAGATGTGTTTAGGAAGCTACATAAACAATCTCACCTCCGTCTCTTAATGATTGTGTTGTATATCTGTAGGTAAGAGCCTTTACGTCTTTTATAGTTGACTTTGGCAGGCAAAATTGATTCCTCCCTTACCCCTACCTCAGGAAAGTTGTTCTGGTTTTGTTGCTTAGGAACACATCTGAGGGCTTGAGATTGAAAAATAGCTATAGAGAGCCATGAAATTGAGTAATTAGAATACTGAAGAGCACAAGCCTCTGTGATACAGTAGAAAGAACATTTGTCTTGTTATCTAAAGACTTAAGTTCAAGTCAGCCCTTGCTAGCTGCCGTCACTGAAGCACACCTATTTTTGATTTCTTCATGTCTAAAAGGGATGATAATCCATAGTGTGATTGTAAAATGCCCAATTTATGTTTTAGATGAGACGTTTCCCGGCTCTATAATTTCTGGTGTCGATCTTTGACAACAGAGACTGTCTATCTATCTATCTATCTTGGTCTGAATGTTTGTGTCTCCCCCAAATTCATATGCCGAAACCTAATCATCGACATTATGGTATTAGGAGATGGGGCCTTTGGGAGATGATTAGGTCATGTGGCCTTCATGAATGGAATTAGTGTTCTTTTGAAAGCCCCAGAGAGCTGCCTTGCCCCTTCTATCATGGGAGGTTATAACAGGAAGGTGCCATTTATAAGCCAGAAAGTGGACCTTCACCAGAATCTGGCTGAATCTGCCAGTGCCTTAATCTTGAACTTCCCAGTCTCCACAACTATGAGAAATTAGTTTCTGTTGTTTATAAGCTACCCAGTTTAAGGTGTTTTGTTATTGCAGCCTGAAAATACTAATATATCATCCATATATCACTCAATCTACCTATCTATTCATCCATGTATTTGTGTGTGTGACATACACACAGTAATATACCTGCCTAATGTTTAATATTGGATATCAAGTTAAGAAATAAGCAAATTCCTTGACAGTCTGGTTTCTACTTGCATCAAGACATTGTCTTAAATCCAAGACCTCTTTCATTAGGATGAAACATTTTTGGAATATAATGTAATATCGCTGGGCTGAAGACAACGTCCACAGTGGCAAATGCCATACTACCACAAATAAAAAGAATCCCCGTTATGTCTCCTGTTAATAATAAAAATTTTATAATTATTCTCAGAAATAACCCCTCAAAAAGATACTATCAGAGACTATCAGTTTATAACACTAAACTTTTGAGACATCCTTTAACATAAGGCCCATCTCACTATTGTTTATCTTTTTTTTTTTTTTTTTAATTGAGACGGAGTCTCTCTCTGTTGCCCAGGCTGGAGTGCAGTGGCACAATCTCCGCTCACTGCAACCTCCACCCCCTGGGTTCCAGCGCTTGTCATCCCTCAGCCTCCCGAGTAGCTGGGACTACAGGCGCACATCACCACGCCCTACTAGTTTTTTTGTATTTTTAATAGAGACAGGATTTCGCCATGTTGTCCAAGCTGGTCTTGAACTCCTGACCTCAGGTGATCCGCCCACCTCGGCCTCCCAAAGTGCTGAGACTACAGGTGCGAGCCACCGCACCCGGCCCTATCAATTATTCTTTAAATGAATGATAATGTGGCAGTATAAAAGAGTACTAAATAATATTGTTTCCTCTGCACAAGGTGTACACTCATATTTATATGGTGTACACACACATATATATTTATATATATGAGTGTGTATACCATTTGTGTACACCCTATAAATATATTTATGGTCTACACACACATATATTTATATGGCGTACACAAATGGTATACATACTCATATATGTAAATATATATGTGTGTACACCATATAAATATATGAGTGCATAGACTGTAAATATATGAGTGTGTACACCATGTGTATTCATTCATCCTTCACTAAGTAATTCTTACTATGTGGAAAATACGTCTTATACCAATGAAATAACAAATAAATATACATACACACAAACACATACTCTTGTTCCTGAAATAGGCAACCCATTGTATTGTAAACAAAGTGACAATAGGTGCTATGAGGACAAGCTGACTTCACAACCCACTTGTTGGCCCATGTGGCTATGCTACTTGTTCTGACATCATCTCTTAAATCCTGAAAATAAATCCAATATCAACACTGTATCCATTGTAGATCCTCTCTAGTAACCAGAGAGTGCAGGGAAACAAATTATACATCAAGGCCTTTTGCTGTGCTGTTTGGATGAAACAAAAAAGGAACATCCAGACTCATAATTTTAACCATAGTCTCTTTCCCCTTGCTCTTTCACAAAAAGACAGCAGAATTTGTTCCTGTGTAACAAATGTGTTTCTCATGTTTTGAAAATATTTACTGAGGATTTTTACATCCCAGTTTTTCTTCCAAGAATGCTGAATCATGATTGCTTTAATAGGACAAAGCAAGCTGACAGCCCACATACAACCTGTTATCAAGACACTCTTGAAAATGTGTTCTATTTCTAAATAGTTGAGAAACTTGTGTTGTTTTTTTTAATTCTTTACCATAAAGCTCTCTCCAATTGAATTGCCCTATTCAACACAGTGCATACTTAATAACAACCACTTTCCCTTCAAGAGAGACTACAAGGGAAGTGCCTGTTTATTTAGCTGATCACTTAGTTCTTTGTTGCCTGGCATAGGGTTCCATTGTACATGAAAGGCACAGAAGCAGCACCCCCATCCTGAATGATTTGTGCAGTGTTTTTAAAAACATAGTGCCATGGAGTGAATTTCTATTTTGAATTTTCTGCTTTGTAGCCTTTTACATTATGTCTTAAGCTTGCATTACTTCCTAAAACTGAAGTTGAAATGAAGAATAAAGAAGATGGCATACATCTGATAAGGTTTTTATACTGCTATTCTGTGTTAGGTTAAAAGTAGCCACTATTGGTGACAAGTTTTCTTTACAGGACATGGACAAATTAATCAGATTACTTCAGTTGTAAACTCTATGATGCTAGGAACCATTTTATCATTGCACTTTCTCACTCTGCTCTGTAGGACAGGATTAGTAGTGTAGAATCAGTACTTAATGTGCCTATATTAGAGCTCTTGTAAGAAAACTTGAGTCTAATCTTCAGGGGAAAAATGTATATATATGAATATGTATATTCACATATTTATGAACATAAATATATGAATATGTATATTCACATATTTATGAACATAAATATGTGAATATGTATATTCACATATTTATGAACATAAATATGTGAATATGTATATTCACATATTTATGAATATAAATATGTGAATATGTATATTCACATATTTATGAATATAAATATGTGAATATGTATATTCACATATTTATGAATATAAATATGTGAATATGTATATTCATATATTTATGAATATAAATATATGAATTTAGGCTATCTGTTAACCATTTACTGTGTATATTGATATTCCACATGAATATACACAGTAGACGGTTAATAGGTACCGTAAATTGAAGTTATTAAGGGGTGTTGGAGAGATTGCCAGTAGTCATCAGAACCAAATCTCATGACCTAGATTTGATCCAGGGTTGCTTTGGAAACAGAGGCTTTTGATTTGCTTTTCCTAGTTAAATTCCTTTGCTTAGGCTAAATATATCTGAAGCATGTAGTGTTAGTCCGAACTTCTGAGGACACTCTAATCATGAAAACAATTATCTGGCCACTGGATGCCACTGTTGCTCAACCAGAAATCAGAAAGTGGGAATTCCTGTGGCAATATAATATTAGACAGTTAAAGAACATTACTGCTATTAATGACTGTGGATTTATGCTCCTGAACCATTTCTCTTGATGAATGCACTTTTTTCTAGATGAGTTGCACTTGGTGAGGGCAGGTAAAGTTGAGAAAATATGTAAATGGTTAGCAATGAATTTTTTGGTATATTTTACTTTCACTATCCTGCTACAAAAATACTTTTTTTTCCTGCTTAGTGTACTGTAGCTGACAGTCTCCATTAGTTATCAGCTAATGTTGCAGAGTAAGACCAAACAGGGTGTCATGGCCTCAAGCTATTAGAAGGGCCTCTTCATCCTAACAAAGACCCTGGGGTGAAAATAGTTTGCATGAACAGTCACTGGAACATTATTCAGACTCACTAAGCACTGCATTGCAGATTGACAGAGTTACACAGCTTCTTCATTTATACTAGGCACAAATAAATTAAAAATAGCTGTATTGTGTACCTTTAAAAAGTAACATAAAAATTGTTTGTATTTGAAAAGTTCATACAAGATTTGGGAGTAAAATGCTGAAGTAATAAATAAACATGAGGTCAGTTTAGGAACAACCATAATTGCTTTGTATGACAAGATTTGCATAGCAAACATTTTTTATTAATGTACAGTGAAGGCCACTGGAATGAGTACCAACCTCAGTATCTTTGCAGTATCTGTGCCTTCATAGGAAGGTATAGATTTAGCTAGGACAATTAGTCATTGTTTACTGAAAGGCAGATAGAGCCACAGTTCCTATTTAAATATTTGAAATTATTTTTATCTTGCTAGCTATGTTGATTTTAATATGTGGTTAAAAAAATAAAAGTGCCAATTTTACATTAGCAGTAAATTTCCACTATTCATTTCAACCATCTTTAGAAAACAGGTAGGTGAGTTTTATCAGGAAGACCCTTTTCTAGTCATAAATTTGAATTTATAATACCTTTGCATACATGTATGAAAGGTTTTAATGACCTGAAACATCTATTTTTTCTTGTTATTTTAAAATATAATACCTTTATGGTCTGTCTCTTGATTGGCTTTGTACTTAACACTTTGGTATCATTGATATTTTCTGGCTTTCACATAGTGTAATGAAATTCTGTACTCAATACATTTTTTAAAAGGTACTCATTTTAAATACCTATTTAAAAATACTCGTGCTTACTTTCTTCCTCATTTAAAAATATAATGTAACATAATTATTTTGTTTCAAAAACATAAATACTTCAGGAGGTAAATATGTGAAAGAGTAATGAGGAGAGGTCATATTACCTCGAGAAATATTTACTTTGGGATTTTTAAAATGTCAGTGCCATACCAAACTGGCAGAAGGCTTTGGAATGAATGCCAATTAATTAGAAGAAAGGAGAAAGTAATTTTTCCATTTTATGGCAAAATATTGGGTAAAATTGTATCTATTACATATAAATACATATATGTTACTAACATCTCACAGCAAATACAAAGAGATAAGGTTATTCTTAAATGCAGTCATGTTAAAACACAAATAATTTTATTTTATTTATTTTATTTATTTACTTTTTAGTGGTAAATACTGACATTGATTCACTCTCTTTAAGTAATATTCTGTGAGAGTCATGATGCAAAAAACATGACATTATCCTGAAAAGAATACTGGAGAGACAGAAAATATCTACAATTATCATATTTTCAGTATCATACATAACATCTTCTCCAATGCACTGGGAAGTTACTAAATGGAATGATAAGTAAACGCAGTCAGACAATTAGCAATTCCATTTGCCTAAAAGTATTCATTTAGCAAAGTCACATTAAACTCCATAAAGCAGACCTCTCCTACTCTCCCATTCTAATAAACAATACATTATTGCAATTGTTTTCTTTTCTTCCAGTATTTGATTAGACAAGGAACATTTTTCTTTCTCTATCAGTGTTTACCCAAAATGACTACATAGAAAGAATGTGAAGTCAGTATGCATGTATTACTATGATAACTATTAATAACTTACATTGTAATAAAACCTGATAATATAATTTTCTTAAAAATATACATAAAAGTCACAAGTTTGTTAATGGCAATACTTTATACAGTGTAGATAGATATAACAAAAAAAGATCTAGTGGAAAGTTTCTTCACGCCACAATTACACAAAGCAATATCAATTGTTTATAAATTGGGTTTATCTTAAAAGTAAGTTAGGCTCATCACAGAACACCAGAAATGACCAGTACATAAAATGGCCTTACCTACTATTGGTACAATGATTTTAAATAGACTTGGTATTTGAGAAAGTATTACTTAAAAATTGTTTAATAAATGGTCCCAATTATAGCTCGTTAATTGAGCAAAAAAGTATTTAATTTTATATAGCTTTAGACTTTTTTCCTTACTAAAATTATTTTTGTAAATGTAGATATTCTTACCTCATATTCAAAATATTGCCCAGCCTGGCCTTTCCCTCTCCTAATAAAAGTATTTTCAGGTTTTGGGATATTTGTATCTTTCATTGCCATATTGCTTTGATAGAGTAGCACATTACTAAAATATTTGTTGTATTAGCAATTTAAATATTCAAAGCTGAATGTGAATCAAACTATATTCATGGATGGATTTCCTAAATGATAATCTATGACATCTGATATGGTTTAGCTGTGTCTCCACCCAAATCTCATCTTGAATTGTAGTTCCCACAATCCCCATCTGTCATGGGAGGACCTGGTGGGAGGTAATTGAATCATGGGGACAGTTACCTCTATGCTGTTCTTGTGATAGTGAGAGAGTTCTCACGAGATCTGATGGTTTTATAAGGGGCTTTTCCCTGCCTTCACTCTGCACTTCTCTCTGCTGCTGCCATGTGAAGCAGGACGTGTTTGTTTCCCCTTCCACCATGATTGTAAGTTTCCTGAGGTCTTCCCAGCCCTGTAGAACTGTGAGTCAATTAAACCTCTTTCCTTTATAAATTACCCAGTCTTGGGCAGTTATTTATAGCAGTGTGAAAACAGACTAATACAACATCAGAGAAAAGATATGCCAACCAGTGTTTGTTTTTCTAGTCCTATGGACCTTTGTGACAAGTCAAAAGGGAAAACATGTATCAGCCTATCAACATAAATTAATAATTATCCTTCTGAAGAAAATACATAAATACCTCCACACATCATTTATTATTAGTGTTTTCTCTCTTATCAAACATAATCAGTTTAACTTCTGACTTTAAAAAATTATCTTATATTGCTTTGTGAGCTTTAATAATTCTGGAAGCTTTTCTTCTGGGCCCTCTCCCCTGGTGAATTGCAGTATTAAATGTTTTAGAACATGAAATATTCGCTGAAGTGTATAACCCTGGAATGCAGAAAATTGTGATTTACTTGGGGCCAGGACCAAGAAGAGAATCTTCCAGATGTCTTGGGCCTCATGACAGATTTTTCAGGGACAAGGAGAGGCTTGATAAGGGTAGATGCCAACAAAATTGGAGAACTGCAGCAAAGAAAAGAGAACTGGATTATACTAAGAGGTAATTGATCAGGCAAGGAGGAAAGAGACAATTAAAATGTGAAAAGAAAAGGACTTGACAAGTTTAGGATACTTTCTGAACTCTTAGAATCCTTTTTCTGAAACTTCGAAGATTCATCCATTCCTATGTGAACCTGAGAAGAAAATACATGGTTTCTAAAGGATTACCTTGGTTGACAATTTGGCAGGAGTTCAAGAAAAATTCTAAGAGCTCTTTCTGACCCTAGTCAAAATAACATCCATTTTAAGGTGCATAGTAAATTTAATTTTAGACTCTTTTGATCAATTGATGTATTAATTATAACATGATTAGACCCTTTGCAGAGTTAAGAATATAAAAGGAAAGAAGTGGAACATAAGATGTTACCTGAGAAAGAAACTAGTAAACTTTATCTTGTTATGGATTTCAGGCCAGACCTTAAAAAGTAACCTCAACTCTCATAGCCTCAGTAAGTAACTTCCTGTGTAACTTAGTTTTAAATATACAGAAAAGCAAAAAGGAGAAATGTCTCTTTTCTTTCTAGTTTTTAATTGGCAACTGCTATTGGAGGTTTTCTTTCTCTTTAAGCTTACACAGCAGTACAAAAAGCTACATGGATCACAATATCTTGGTTTTAAGAAAATATATAAAACAGATACATAATAGAAAAATATTTTACTAGAAAAATCTTTCTGCATAATCTTTTTGGAAAACATTACTCTTTCCACAGGTCTTAAATTGTTTTATAGTTTCAACCACAAATCAAAAATGTCCATAAGAACTTGGACAGGCATTGGTAAACGGACATAAAAGCAAAACAGATTTGATTGATTTATGTTCAGTCACTCCTCCTTAGCACTTAAAAAATTAAAGCTTAATCATGCACATAGAAGGAAAACAACGCTTACTCTTGGGAACATCCTCCTTGAATATTAAATTAAGGCAACAAAAGGATTTTTTAAGTTAACCTGTATTTGTGCATTTAAAACATATTTGAATTTTTTCAGTGGTTGTTTTTGGCCTTGAAACATTGAATGTCACCAAAATATCAGAGAATTCCAGAACTCAGAGGGTTAAGAGGAAAGGTGTTATTTCAAATGCTAGGTCAACAAACTATTAATAACAAGCAAAATCTACCACCACTGTGTCTGTCATCTGCTTGATTATCATAATGCCGAGCCTGGTTGGTATTTACCAGTTTCTCCTTGGCTGAAAGAGTGGTAAAGAGCCCAATTGTTGATCAATTCTCAGTAATACAGAAGTGAGCTTATCTGCACATTTTCCTAAGGCCTTGCTATGAACTGAATATTTGTGTATCCCCAAATTCACATCTTGAAGTCCTAATCCTCCATCTGATAGTATTTGGACATAGGGTTTTGGCTAATTATATCATGAGGGTGGAACCTTCACGAATCGGATTAGTGATCTTAAACAAAGAAGAAACAGGGGAGTGAATCTCATTCTCTCTCTCTCTCTCTGGCTCTCTCTGCCATGTGAAGATATAGCAAGAAGGAGCCCATCTGCAAACGAGAAGAGGGTCCTCTCCAGGAACCAAATCAGCTAGCAGCTTGATCTTGGACTTCTCAGCCTCCAGAATTGTGAGAAATAAATGTTTGCTGTTTAAGCCACCCAGTCAATGGTATTTGATATAGCAGCCTGAGCTAAGAATGATAGTTTAAGGTGTGTTCATCTGGTGTCCCAGATGAAGATGTGTGTGGGGGTGAGTGGGAGTAAAGAAGAAGGAATGTAAGAGAAAATTAAAGTATATGGGAATTTTGACAAGCACTTAGTAGGTGAAGAGTAAATCAGAGAGTCATAAAGTATTAGATTTGGGATGTAACAAGCCCTTCCTTTAAAGGTGAGGAAATGGGCACAGTATATGAATTGAATTGCTCATGATCACAAGATGACTTAGAAAGATGAGGAGGAAGATAAGGCACAAGAAGTGAAATTATAATTATATATTTTTAAATGTTGAGAAGATAACTGGTTTGTAATAGAGTCTTGTTTACTTTTCTTACTTGACATTTGTCACAAATTTATATTTATGGCCGATCGCAAAATATTTACAGCAGCAAGCTCTAATATGACCTTTAGGGAAGTCTTAGAAACAAGCTGAAGATTGGAATGAACTATAAGACTCTGGGACAAAGTCAGGGATGTATAATAATTTTACACTGAATTCTGAGTTCAATGTGTTCCTTTCTCCAAACAGCAGCATTCTGTCACTCATTATGTCAAGACTCTCCTTGAATTCTGTTAATAATGGAAGAAATGAAGAGGAGAAGGGGATATGAAAGAGCATCACAGGACAAAGCCATCTCTATATTGGGGTTACAGCTTCAACCAAGGGAAAGTGTGAGAGATCTGGAAGGAAAACAAAAGAATATGGGCCATAGCAAGATATTGTTCTCAAGGGCATAATGACCTCTATGATCTCTCTCAAGTTGGAGAAGTTCTAGTCCCATTTCACACTGTTCTAGTTTCAGGTAACAACAATGAAAATTGAACTAGCTTAAGGCAAAAGGGGACATGAACAACTAACCCACAGGAAGAGCTTGAATATTCTCCAGATCCATCTGAGATTTTGATTCTTTCAAACAGTAGCTTCATTCTTACCACGGCCTGGTTATTCCTATATAGAAGGAAAGAAAAACTAGATGTGGAGTTTTAGATCTCAAAAGCTATCCATGAAAGACTGGATATAAACTCTTTATTTCATTTACAAAAACTGCCAGATAAAGGACTCAGTGGAAGTCCCATCCAATTAACAGTGAGCAAGGCATTTTACTTGGTTCAACTTGGTGTTTTGAGTGATCCAACTTAGAGCCAGGGAGTGGGAGTTGTTGTAGCACGGAGGTAGATCCAAGTTAAACATGTAGAACTGAGGAAAGGGCTGTTTCTGGAAAATGGGCACTCAGCAGGTAATTCCAGGTATTCATCCGTGGCTTGCTAAGTAACACATTGTGTTACCCACATAATTTTTATGCAGGTTCTGAGTAACAGCAACACATTCTAGTTAGGTCCCCTAATAGGGATTTATTATCAAGCTATATGGAAAAGTAAAGAAATACAGAGATTCATCTTGGCCTCTAACAATCCAAGTATCATGTCCTTTCTACATCAGCTAGTAAATATTCCCTACTCTGGTATTTGTTTCTTATAATGACTTAGATGAGATGGGAAGCAAATGAGGGTAGACACTGAAATAACTGATTCTTGACTTGAGCTCATGGCTTCTTTCTCATCCTTTGGCTTGCCCATACAGGGTACTACCTTCCTGTCTACATTTCAAATTATCTGAGCTGGAATCTGATTGGGTAGACAAGGCACCATCAAATATATCATGCTTTTTTTGGCAAAAGCTTTGATGTCAAATCATTTTATAGGCTGCTGTTCAGATACCCATCTGTGGCCACATATCTAAAATTGTTGTTTCAATGTTAGAATGAGTAAAATGGGGATCAAGGCAGAACAAACAGAATTAGAGGGAAACTGTGGGTATGTTGGGTAATGTAATAGGTGAATCCTTGTATGGGCTGTTTAATATCCACAAAAATATATACTAAGTGTTTTTTTAAACCAATGAATATTAATGGAAAATCCTCCTTTGTCAAGAATTATTCTAGAAGATATGGGTGAGAGCAGGGCATATAGAAGATATTCTGTTATAGAAAAGCTATAAAATTGACAGGGGAACAAAAACTAACATAATTGGCACAACTATAAAAAAATCCAAAATATTCAGGCCATGAAGTTTTTGCCCTACAATTTAAGCGAAAATATGCAACTCATTTATTCACTTTGTCTTTTTTTTCTTTTTCTTTTTCTCTCTTTTTTTTTTTCAGAGATAGGGTCTTGCTCTATCTCCCAGGTTGGAGTGCAGTGGCATGATCATAGCTCACTGTAACTATTAACTCCTGGGCTCAAGCAATTCTATCCCATCTCAGCCTCCCAATAGCTAAGACTACAGGTGTGCACCACCATACCCAGCTCATTAAAAAAAAAAAAAAAAAAAGGTAGAGTTGAGGTCTCACTATGTTGCCCAGGTTGGTCTGGAACTTCTGGCCTCAAGGGATCCTCCCACTTCAGCCTCCCAAAATGCTAGAATTACAAGCATGAGCCACCACACCTGGCCCATTCCTTCACTTCGTGCAACATAATTGCCATCAGAAACCAGACTTTTTTTTTTTTTTTACTACAGAGACTTAAACTTTTACAAAAGGAAGATGTTTTTCTCATTTAAATTGTCATTCTAGGGACAGAAAGTAAGTTTTGAAAAGAAGTAGCTTTTATGGAAGAGAGGTGCCTGAGAATTTCAAAAGGATTTAAGACAAGGGGAATGAGAAGAGATTGAATGAAAGAAGAGAAAACAGAGAGAAAGAGTAATTAAAAAAAAGAAAAGAAAAGAAAACAAAGATAATCCCAAAGAGCAGTGTGCACAGTTTTGCTGCAATCAGTACCATTCTGGTCAAGTCTCCGTCATCTGCTCTAGGCTTAGTTCCTCTCTGCCCTAGGCTGCTTCTGGTAAAACCGCACGCTCAGCTTGTTGGGCGTCTTCATGGAGCCTGTTATTTGCTGTGGGTCTAAGAAAGGGAAAGCTTCAGGCTTCAGGCATCTGTACCTCCTATCTGTTCTCAGCTCCATGGAAATTCTTAAGGGATGGGGCTATAGATAAGAGAGTGGGAAATGGAGATCAAGGTCTCAAATGAAAGGCAGGGTGGTTTGATTTTTAAGCTCCCCTGATACTTTTTATTTATATATTTGCTGCTTCTAGAAAAACCAAAAAAGGAAAGTGATTCATACATAGAATGCCTGTACAAATAGCAAACCAATAACTACCCCCAGCAGATTCTGGCCCTTGCCAGGGTGCGGTTTCAGAGCTGTAAAAGGCAAGGGATATGTACATTGAAATGACCCAGTCCCAGAATATTTTAGATTCAGAAAAGGTCAGAGACTTTCGTAACTAGCAATGACCTCCAGATTAGGGACCATGAATGTGCAGAGTGAGGACAAGGAAGGGGCCTAAAGCTGGGTCTACTGTAGAATAAACAGAATCATTTAAGGTTAATTATGTTCTGATGTGGCCTCCTTAAATTCTTTCAGGCTGGGGACAATTTCTAGCCCTTTAAGATCAAATCAGTGGCTTTGGACTAGAATCTGCTTAATAAGAATGAACTCCAAAGGTGAAAAAAAAACATAAAATCTAAAAATCAAAGGATATGCCTTTATAAATGTGAAAGTTTAGTTTGGCTCAATGTTGGTCAGTTTAGAAATGTGGGAGTAATCGGAGAGATGGCATAACTGGGGGCGGGAGGCGGGGCGGTGATTATACCCCTACCACTACCTAATCCTCAGGGGCTACCAGTTACTTGCTGTACACACTTTTAAAGTACTTTCTAATTGTGGACCATGAGTGGCAGAGTACTGCGGGCGGAGGCTTTTTGCTGAAAGCAACATTGACTTTTATTTCTAGGGAAAGTCTTGTCTGTAGATGAGCACCGTGGGGCAACGGAGAAAATGCTGACTTTCTTGTTTAAAAAAAAAAAAAATTTCCGTAAGCGGCCCTCCAATGGTCCGTCCACTCAGCAGGCCAGCTGTCCCAGGCCTCTGCCAGGGAGGGAAGACGAGTGCTTCAGTGCATGGCTTCGGTGAGCCCTTTAAATCCAGCTTCCCCTGCCCCCACCAAGAGGCTCCCTTTCCCTGACAGGTGTTTTCCCAACTCCGGAGGCCCAGGATTTTGGGGAGTGGCTGAGCCAATAAGATTTCCCTTTGGAAGGGGGGGGGAAGGGCGTGGCTAGTTGGGTCAGAGCATGGGCGGGGTTTGCGCGGCTGAGCAGAGCCGGCCTGGTTGCGTGGAGGGTTGTTTTATTCCCACCGCCCCCCGCACCTTTTTTTTTTTTTTTTCTGGAGTCTTATTAATTTCTCTGTGGGCTGCAGCTGGAGACCGCGGAGCGCTGGAAATGACGCTCGGAGCTTTAATTACCGCAGCCGCCGGACAAGTGTGAGGAAAGCTGAGAGGAAAAAGAAGGACGGGATCCGGGGAGAAGCGAGAAGCTCCCCCCGCCCCGCTCCCCTCCCGATTTGGACTGGAGGTGCAAGGAAACTGAAGAAGGAGCAGAACATAGCCCGGCTGCGGGGAGAGGCCGGAAACCTACCGCCTCTTTGCAATCAACTTTTTTTGGAAACCTTTCGCCCCCCTTCCTTTTTTATTGTTGACCAACCAGTGAGAGAGAGAGAAAGTGAGGAGGGAGCGAGCAAGCGAAGGCTCACGCGGGGAAATAGCTGCACAGTCCGGCCCAGAGCGCCAAGCGCACACACCGAGCACACTCCCACACGCGCACACACGCGCTCACACTCGCCCCCTCCTCGGGCCCCGGCCCTGGACCCGCGGGCGCGGACTCGGTCGCCCGCCCTGGGAGTCGCCACACCGCGCGCGCCGCGCCCGCCCCCCTCGCACCCCCACGCGCGCCCGGCTGGGGGATCTCCTCCGCGTGCCCGAAAGGGGGATATGCCATTTGGACATGTAATTGTCAGCACGGGATCTGAGACTTCCAAAAAATGAAGCCGGCGACAGGACTTTGGGTCTGGGTGAGCCTTCTCGTGGCGGCGGGGACCGTCCAGCCCAGCGATTCTCAGTCAGGTGGGTTCCTTCTGGCACTCCGGTCGCCGAACCTGCAGCCGCCGGCGGGGCTGCCTCGAGTGGCTCCCCTGCCCTCTTCACCCATCCCGGGAGGCGTGGAGGGACCGCTTGACCGGGGCCTCTTCCCTGGGCTTTCGGTCACCCCTCTTTCCATTTGAAACTTACCCTGTATGTGTGCGTTTGCTTTATTTATCGTGAAAAATCACTCTGAGTCCCTCTTTTCTCTCCTTAACCCCCTGCTTTTCTTTCCCGAGCGTTTTGTTTGGGAGCCTAAGCGGGATCCCTTCTGGTGGCGCCTGTTGTTCGGGACATGGGAGACCCAAATCCCCAGTCAGAGGAGACTCTTCTGTCCCTGTCGGGTCCCCGAGGGCAGAACCCGCACCGCCGGGGCCGCGGTCCTGGGGCGGTGCTGGCTGGGCCTCTCCCGAGCCGAGCCCGAAGGGCGGTGGAGAGCGGCGCTCAGAAAATCGGGCTTTGCACCTGTGTGTGCTGCTGGCGACCGCTGCGCCCCCAGTCGCCCGAGCCTTGTGGCGTCAGACGCAACTCGCGCCCAGCCCGGGCAGCCGGAGTGCAGCAGGCGGGCGCGCCTCGGTCCGGGGCCCGGAGTTCTGGGCCTCTTCCGCCGGCTTCCCGGAGCCCTCTCCCCATTGACTTGAGGGGCGCTTACTCGCCTGCCTGACCTCTTAAAAAAAAAAAAAAAGGCTTGGCACACTTGAGCCAGAAGCCCGGCCTTCCCGTCGGTTGCCGTGTTTGGCTCCGGGAAGAGTTCTTCCTGTAGTTCAACTTGCTATTGGCCGGAGTCCTTCAAACTTGTCTGTTTACTGCCCGGCCAGGCTGCCGAGCCTGCGGGTCACTGGATCCACCCGAGGCGAAAGCGGCAGCGGCGATGGGTGCGCGGCCACTGCTTGCTGGAGAGCTCGAGCCCCAGGTACCTGGGCAGGCAAAGGGCTAATTGACCCCGAGAGGCAGCGCGGCGGGGCTGGCCCGCCACGGCTTGCAGGACTAATGACAGCACCTGCAGTGCAATGGAGCTCAAAGTTTCTGACACTAGAGTTTCCTGGGGATGAAAGTGGGACGGGAGAGGTCTGAGGAGGACCGGTGTCTTGACGTGGCCAAGGGGTGCCTTTTGGAGAGCCAGAGAGATTTCCGAAACCATCCAGGGATGGTGACTGGAGCGTGGGAAGTAGCTTGAGGTGATAAAGCCCCCGGGAGTGGCGATAGGGAGCGCTTTAGGCCCCCGGAGGGTGTCCTTCTGACCTCACCAAGAAAACGGCTAGCTGTAGTTTTCCCGCTCCGCCGCCGCCGCCGCCGCCGCCTCCTTTGCCTAGTAAATAACAAGTTACAATTATCGAGTCTTTCAAAATGACCTTCGAATGGCACATGTGAGGCGTTTGTGCTGGCCGTTTGCACCCTCCCAATTACTCCGAAATTCTTCACGCATACCAGGTCCCGCGCTCCAGCCACCTCCGGAATCACACCAACACGGACTTGACATTCCAAGCGGCCTCTTAGATACATCTCTTTTTATCTCCCTCCCCACTTCGAGTCCCTTCATATTTTCCCTCAATGGGTTGATTATGCACATTGACCCATTCAAAGGCATTGGCGACCGACATGCAGGCTTAGCCGAGAGGAATTTCTACGAGGCGACCTACTGGGGGCTGTCTGGTTCAGCCTCTGCCACTGGGGGACCCCGCTCCGAGTCCGCAGCAATTTGGTATTAACTGTGCGGCTCCGAGTTGAGCTATGCCGAAAAGCCCTTTTCAGAATTTCTGCAAGGAATGTAATCCAAATTAGTTCTGCAGCTGTCCTCTTCCTCGTCTCAGGCGACACTAGCTCGCGCCCTCGCTTCGTCTCTTCTCGTTTCCCTGGGCGAATTGTCAGACCCACAAGTGAGCCCATTTAGAGCGCGAGGATTAGCGTGCCATTGTTGTTCCGTGTGTGACTCTGTACTTGAAATTCTGGGGGCACAAAGGCGAGCCTCACTTGTTCAAAACACAAAGTGATCCAGATGAAAGGGCCGCACAAAGAAAAGCTCTCGGGTGCATCCCTGGTATAATTGCAACACGCATACTAAGGTGATCCATTGGAAACTGTAAATGCCCCGGGGGACTTCGTTTTTCATCCTCCCCCACCCCCACCCTGCCGCACCTGGCAGGGAAAGTTCAGCTGGTTTTAATGCAGTGCTATTATAAAAACAAGTTACTGTCTGGGGTATGAGTGAGGCTGTGTGTGTTTGTGCCTATGTATGTGTGTGGCTGTGTGTTCCCAACTAAATACATATTGCGCGTCTCCCCTCTCGCGGTTAGCAGTCAGTAGCAGTTTGGAGGAGTTTGTTTTGGTCCAAATGAGAAATTAAGTGCGGATAAGTAAACTAAGCTGCCAGAGGGCGACAAGATGTTGAGTGAATTGCTTTTAGATGAAACAAATTAAGGAAACGAGGGAAGACAATCTGCTTCTCGCATTATTAGACACGCTTGGAGTTCAGGGGAAAGTGGCATATTTTTGAAATGCTAATTTCTTAAGCAGAAGGAATGCACCTTATTTACTGCTCTATGTGAACAGAATAAAAATATAGGGCGGGGGATGCTGTTGTATAGATCTTTAAGATATTTCTTAATTGTAACAGAAGAGAACCTCTTTTTTCTTTTGCTTGGAAAAAAATTCAGCATTAGAGAGGATGTTTTTTAGAAATTCTAAAGGACTTTGTCTCATTTTCAATTATGCATTTTATTTAGATATATCTAGATATAGCCAAAGTCCCTTTATATGGCAATTATAAAGCCTTTGCTAACCAAAGGAATGGTTCTAAAATTCGTCTTCCTTGTATAATGGAAAATTATCAATATTGCCTTGGTATTGAAGAAAATGTATAGTAGCATTGAGGTGGTACTCTTATATACCTTAGTAGATAAACGATGAACAAGTTCAGTTCCCATTTCTTTTTTGCAGGTAACTCAGTCTTGCTTTTCATTCTATAAAAGTACATATAGCTTTCGTACATATTTAAGATACATCATTATATCTCCAAAATCATGGGGTTATTTTTCATTTGAGAAGAAAAATGTTAATAAAAGTTAAGTGGTGAAAAAGGTGTTAAATATATTTTCAAGAAAGCATCAATTCTCTTTCTTACAAGTGTTTACTGTAAGCACATCTATCGGTACAATGTTTTCTTTTTAATTTGAAATTCTCATATATATATATATAAAAGGGGGCTTTTTAGAAGAAGGTGTTATTTTTTTCTTCACAATATGTCTAAATAAATATCTGTTAGTATAACTGCAAATCGCTTGGAAATACTATAACTGTTCTGTTGTGATGAAATGACTCCAGTTATATCAGTATTCCTTTTTTTTGCTCTTAAACTCAACTGCTTTTATTTATTTTAATCATGTATGCATAGAAAGTGAAATTTTGTTGAAAATCAAGGCACTTACTGCTTTATATATATATTTTCATTTAGTCACTGGAAATGTGTCTTAATTAAGAAATTACATTAGAATATTTATCAGAGCATGAACTTTGTGGAAGATTTATGCATTTTTTATTCTAACCTGAACACAGTAAGTTTGCATTGGCTGATTTTTAGAGTTTGCATTTATTTGATGGAAAATCGTATTTCCTCCTCAAAGTGGATTCAAATATGTAGTATTCATGAGCTTTCATCCCTTTGGTTTTTAAATAGAAGTACTATTTATCATCTGTCTTATGCATTCACCCTTTCTGTTACTATAGATTCTCTCTTTACATCTTAGTATTTATTGAGTTTACATGTGTTAATATATATTTTCCCTTCCGCCACTAAGTATATTGTTTTTGTTTGTGTCTTTCCCAGTAACCTGCCACTCAGCCACTGCAGGAGTCCTCTGAGCCAGTTTTCATTCTTTCTGATAAATCTGATATGGCTGGTTGGCCAGACAATCACAAGCCATTCCATTGCTCAGATTTATTCCTGAAAGAAAATAAAAAGGCATCGATCCAAGATCACTGGCACATCTTAAAAGCCTTGACTCCAAGGCCAAACCTTTCCACAGAGAAGTCCCTCTTACCCTTTTTCTTTCTTTCTTTTCCCCTCTTGACCAAGGAAGGAAGGTGGACCACTGCTATTTAAAAAATGCTAGTGAGGCAATGAATTGTGCTCTTTCTAAGTACTCTTGGAAGCTTGATTAGAGCCACCTTGAGATTAATGGCTATGCACAGTGCATATTTTAGACAATAAATTGAATTAGGATGGCTTAAACATTGCAATGCTTTAAAGCGGTATTATTTTTGTGTTATATCAAGCTGGTTATTAGGAAAAGTTAACATGTTCTTAAAAATAGCCATAAGTTTTGGCTTTATATTATAGTGTTCTGCTACTGTTGGATATCCATGTATAGTTTGTAAGTGCCTAAAACATAAATGAAATAAATGATCAAAACGGATTTTCTGATACCTACAAACTTGTTGGTACTTGCTCTGTTTAATTTTACCAGTTTTGAGAGATACTGCTTTGTTGAGATGCTAATATTTGTACTGAAATTAGTTTTTAGAGGTTCAAGCCTACATCTGTTCTACAGAAATTAATCACCAAGCATATTCCACTGTTATCTTTTACAGTGATCTACTGAGTATCCTGTGCAGGGTAGAATTTAATCATATTAACAACTTTTCTCCAGGTTATATCATTTTAGAGATGCTCTATTATGTTACATTTCACCATATGGAACCAAATTACATGTTTTATCTAATACTCATTTTCTGAAGTATTATAAATATTGGCAGTCAGAGTTAAAACCTTACTTTTTATGATTTCTAATACAGCTATTGACTGGAGTTTTCAGTTTATAATGAAAAATAACCCCTTTTTATGAAAAAATTGTAGGTCAATGTTTCCTGAAACTGTATGTCTTCAACATAATTTGAGGGAGACTTTAATTGCCTATTTTGTGGTTAAATGGGACATGGGACGTAGTCACATTGTTTAAATCAGGATTTCTACCTTGCAGAGACAGTTCTCGAGTTTCTTAATACCTTCAGCAACTCACTGCATCTCTTTGTGACTTGGCTTCTCTGCCTGGGAGAGAAATGCATATAATGCACTATTTCTGCACTGTACAGTTTTATGAAAATAACTTTAAAGTCTTTGATATTGAGATACATTCCACTAAATTGTTTTTATAGATGTAATCTAAATTGCACATGTAATCTAAAACATGTATACCTATATTAAGAAACATAATGTAAACTTTCTAGCAAACTGTCTCTATCAAAAGAGTACCTGTCTAATGAAATAAAGAGCTTATTAACTCAAAGGCATTTGTATTTGAGGGCAATTTCCCCAAAATATTATTTTCAGAATTGTTCTATGGTCTCTTTTATTTTTTCTGAGTTGTTGGTTATTCTGAAATATTTATTAAATAAATTGCCGTATTTTCCAATTCTGTAATCAAGATTTAAGGCCACTTCCTTGTTTTCACACTTGATACTTAAACTAGTGCTTTATATTTATACAAACTTTTCAAGAGAGGAAAGCTGTCCCTTTTACAATATGGAGTTGAAATATGTGGATGTTTTGTTAACTAATTCTAAAGAGGCTATGTAGCATGTAATAATTGTTTTAGAGTTATTTCCATTTTGAATTGTTCTGCAGGCCTGTCACTTTGCACAACTCCAGGGGGCAGCAGCCACATAGACTTTAATAGGAATAGTGCATGCCTTAGCTGTGGGTAGTACAGCAACAGCCTTGCTATTGTGTGATGCTAGCGAATAAAGCACTAAAAGTTAGGAGGTTTGGATTCTGGTCATACAATCATTTGTTATGTGATCTGGGATTAGACTACTTGCTTCTGTCTCAATCGCCTTACCTTTATTAGTGTAGCTAAAAGTCATGCCTAAGCTATTAACATCTTGAATGTTTTTAATAATTCAATTAATTAGAAATGGAAAGTTTAGACTTTTTAGAAAAAAAGTTTATTGGTTTTTAATTATTTTTGTAAGTGGACCTCTTTTTTGTTGTTGTTGTTCCAAGTGAAGTCATAGGCATAGCCCTAGTTTCTAAAACAGCTGAAAGGGTAAAATAAAAAGAGAGCTGTGTAGTTAAGCTGCAGGGAGGAGGCAGCTTTGAGGCCCCTGCCGTTGACATTCCCTCACTTTCCTTTCACTGTTGCCTCTACTCTCCTGCACTGGTGTCATAGAAGTCCGGCACTAGAAACCACTGATGTAATCCAGTCATCTTATGTTTTAGGTAAGGAAACTGACAGCGCAAGGAAATTAGATAATATAAACTAGTGGCAGCTCCTGACACCAATATCATTTTCTGTAGCACACATAGAAGTATTTGAAAAACCACTGACACATAAAAAAATAAGGAAACAAATAAAAGGTTATGTTGCATTAAAGAGAATTGAGAAACTGAAATGAAGACAAATGGCTTGGATCCACACTCCTAATTACCATATTGTGTAGTTCTTTCTAAAAGAAAGACAGTGGGATCCTCATGATCATCTTTAATTTATATTTGGAGAGTAATCATTGATTGCATTGATAAGTTATGGCACATGAGGAGTAAAGAAATAAAGCAACTTTTTAAAGACATCGTTCTATAAGAGGATTTCTTTACCTGGTTAGGCCTATGGAGACATAGAATCTTGAATTCCCTAAAAGTCACACAGGAGCCCACAGTACTATCTGTATATAATAGCACTTTTAAGAGTTTCTTTTCTTTCTTTTTGTTTTTTTTTAACCTGGGCTTTATGAAGATGTCCAGTCAGCAGAAAATGCTTATTTTTTCATTTTTAAAATAAGTACTATGAATGCTGAAATAAGATGGATTGTAAAGGATAAACAGTGGGTTCCTCATCACCAGTTAGTTGATGGAGACCTTTAACCAGGAAATCCATGAGAATACTTCAGATTCATCTAGGCCTGTCCTTGGACCTAAGATATGACATGAAATGATAATTTCTATGGTCTTTGTTGGGCCATCCTCTTTCATCATGGCCCTAACTAAGACATAGTTCTATTCTTTGAGCAAGAGCATAAGCAAAGCTTTAAGTACTGACTATAAATTTATTTCTATAGCACCTTTGCCTCACTCTAGTTGGCTTCTGTAAGATGCTACCTCTGGGCCTTTTGACTGCAATATTTTTGACCTAAACTTAATGCTCTCTGGTTGTAGCTGAGTTCCCTCATGTGCCTCAGCCGTCTTGGGCATGATAAGTGTTCTCATGGGCCCATGTGAAAGAAGGGAAGTTTGAAACTTGTTTTGGCAAGAAGAGTCATTTCCTGATAGAAATTGGAGATGAAAGTGGACCCCCGTAAAAGATTAACATAAACACCATGAAACTTCCTGTGCAATATCATTAAGCCTCTCCCATGAGAAGTAACACAGGATCATTACTATTAATCACATTATTTCCAATATTGTAGGGGTTACTGAAGCGTACTAAACACCAATAGGAATATGCAAGATCCAGTTTCTGAGTCCTGAGAGTTAAATTAAAAGGACTCAAGACCGATTGAAGATTTATAATATATTTCATTTCGAACATAGTTTAAATGTGTTGAAAGAGAAGAAAGTGAATGGTACAATAAACACTCTTTTATTTTCCACAAAGATTAGACTTGTAAACAATCGGTTTCACCTGCTAAATCTTTACTGCTCTGCTGACCTTTACTTACTCCTGGTCCCATGTGCTTCTAGTATAGGTGGATATCCAAGTGTTAATCTTTTGAATACAAGTGGGGATCATAAACCTGCTTTCAAAAAATGCGTGTGCTTGTTTTCTCTCCTCTGCTGGGGTTATCTCATGGCTGGTTAGGACTGAAAATAATTGACAACAGATTCTCCAGGCTCTGTGACTATATCAAGTATAGCTGTGACTTGAGCAATAAGTGGCACAGTCTTCTATTTCAGGATGGGTCCCAATCACTATCAAGGGGATGCCTAATAGAGATCATGGGTGGCAGTGACTATTTTGCTCTAGGCAAACTCTTACTGAAATCTTTGTCATTATTTCCTGTCCTTCTCTGTAGGCTTAAAGAATGTGAGAATATGGGTTTCTATAGGGACCTATGAAAACCAAATAAAAATACAACAGGATAATATTTCTTTTATACACATACTTTCATTTTCAGGAATTCCTTTTGTCTGGTAATTTTGTCTAGAACAGAGCAGTTAAATAAGTTTGTTTTAAAGGAAAGTTGACTGCATAGGTATGTTAAAAGCTACTCCCCAAGATTTTTATAAGCATCATCTGGTCCTTAGAAACCTCAGGCAGGGTTATTGCAAGATCCTCTTTATGGGTATTCTTCTTCTTCCACGTCCTCAAACCTCTAAAATCTCCTTCCTGTCACTGTCAGATTACCATTTCTAATATTATCTTAGTTTTTATTCTGAAACTTTTCATGGATCCCTCTTGTAATGTTCAAAGCCTGCTAAAACTGTCTTCAATTTCTTTTTAAATCCATCATAGAGTCTGTTAACATGTACTCTGTCTAAAAACCAGACTGACCTAGTCAATATCTCATGACTATGCCTTCCTTATTGTCCTTACTTTTGCTGATCCCTTTTCCTGGAATTTGTGGCTTACTTGGTGCTTTTACTTGGCCAAACTTTTGAATCTTTTAAGTTTTACTTTAAATTATACGTCTTTGTTACATCTTCCTTCACTGGCTACTCTAGCCAGTAGTCCTTATCAATATCACTTATCTGGCATTTAATCAAACCAACCAATAGTTTTGACTTTTTAAGTACCAATGTTTTTATACTCTGCAGAGACTAATGTGGTGCCACATACATATAAGCTCTTTAAAAATTTTTTTTACATGAATGAATAGCATACATTTGCAGGAACAATTTTAAGCTCGTTCATGAATGGTTATTATTTGTAATTAAACCATATAGTGCACAAAGTAAGCTGTTTGAATAACATAATTATAGAATTCTTAATAATAGCTATTGGGCATGTTTACCCTGCAAATTTCTTTAGTTGCTTTCTTGAGCTTCCTAGGGTATTTCTTCAAGTGGTGTGTTTCTAAGACGCTATCATTCATCCCTATCCCCATTTTTAGAATCTACCCATAAATATGGTGCAATTTCTGTTGGTTTTATTTCTGGCAAGTTAAATATATGTGGAATGTGGATACCACTTTTAAACATGTAAATATTTTGTAGTTCAGTATTTTAATGTTAATGGCTATTATTTTGCTATTTCTTACTTATCTGCCATTTAAACATTTAATCAATTTAAGCAATAAGCATGTACTGATCCACCAGTGTGTATTTCAGGACCATGTTAGGAACTGAAGAGGAAATATAAGAAGCTCAAGATGCCAGCTTTTTCTTTCTTTAAAGAAGAATAGATGAGGCCAATAAAACACAATACAAAAATATGTTATTAAGTGATTTTGCAGACTCTTGGGAGGAATATTTGCCTCCAGATAAAATGTTAATAAATATTTCATGAAAAAGGGTTCCAGATAGAATCTGGCATTTTCTATTCCTAGATATATGTGATAATACAACTTTGTTATAGCTAAGATTTCTCAGTATCTTAAAATAGACAACTAGACATATGCTTACCATTTTAAAAGGATCCTATAAAGGAAGCACTTGCAGTATAACTGAACTGAGAGGTGATGGGGATTCTCTTAGTTGCTCTTTTAGATGATTCACTCTACGTTCTGAAAATGGTGAAATAATTATATTATTTATAGAGTCAGAGTCTACCAGGGAAAATGCACTTCTAGACATTTCTTTTCAGGTTACCAGATTCTAAAGAACTGTCAACATTTCTAGGCCACTAGGGTGCACTAATTGTACCTTAATTTATATTTGCCTAAAAGAGTTAATGTAACTTTCAAAATTACCTAACAGTCTGCCGAGTAATCTATTAATGAGAAAATTGGGAATGGAGATATTAGAAACTTTGCCTGAAGTTCTTTTAGAACTTTCCTGACCTTTTTTACTTTAAGAATCCATGAGAAGAAAGTTTGAGTCAGGGATTATTTTGTAGATGCTCCTATTTTGTAGATGAGGGACTAGAGATACGAAGTAGTATGTAATGGTGAAGCCTAACTGGTGCACTAGTCTGGTCCAGTTACATATCTGCCCTGTCCTGAGAGCCAGCTGGCTCTGCCTTCTGCTTCTCAGCCTCTTGCACGACTTTCTCACGGCGGCAGAGGCTAGTTATGCTTCTCAAAGGCATGGTTTCTCCACTCTACCTGCCCACTGTGCAAGAAAGGGATGCTTAGCATGCCAGATCTTAGTGCCTTCAGGTCAGCAGCTCTTTTTGCTTTCCCTATAGCTACATGAAGAAACTTGTCTAATAAATCTATCAGTTAAGGAGTTCTACTTTAGGTTACCCTGTAGTTTCCCTCCTCCATTGTATTCTTCAGATTTCTTTCTTTGCCATTTAAGCCTTATCTTGAGAAAACTTCGAATCAGGGGCGTATGCAAGATTTGGAAATCATCATTCTCAGTAAACTGTCGCAAGGACAAAAAACCAAACACCACATGTTCTCACTCATAGATGGGAATTGGACAATGAGAACACAGGGACACAGGAAGGGGAACATCACACTCTGGGGACTGTTGTGGGGTGGGGGGAGGGGGGAGGGATAGCATTAGGAGATATACCTAATGCTAAATGACAAGTTAATGGTGCAGCACACCAGCATGGCACATGTATACATATGTAACTAACCTGCACATTGTGCACAGGTACCCTAAAACTTAAAGTATAATAATAAATAAATAAATAAATAAATAAAAGATTTGGGGATCTGCATTTATACAACTTGGGGAACCTGTTTAAAAACAGTATTGAAATAGAAATACAAATTAAGTACAGGGTCTTGTGAAGTACCAGTACAATAGAGGGGTTCTGAAGCTGAAGCTGTTTTAGAAACTTTGTGGTAAGTCTGCCTATGGTTGAAAATTACACATTTTAGGAATATTGCTCTTCCATTAACTGTGAATTTTGGGTGTCATTATACAATTTTTTTGTAATTTTTTCTAGTGCATGTAGTTAGTGTCCATTATTAATGAGGAAGAATGCATTGCTCTGGAAGAAAATTATTAAGTTGGTGCAAAAGTAGTGGCAGAAATCACAATTACTTTTACACCAACCTAATATTACGTAGTGTAAAATCACACTGTAAAGTACCTGGGTATATCTTTGGATGAAATAATGTACTATATAGAGATAATTTTTAGAATATTTTCTCTCTAAATATGAGTATGCCTAATCCAGGTATATATCTATTTTCTTGACATTATGTTTTTAAGATGGTTTATTTAGTACTGTCCCTTACACAGTACTGTAGTTTATAATGGTTGGATGTACTTTAAAGGAACCCTGCCAGTTTGGATATACAAGAGCTATATTATTAAGGTCTTACCCCTTGAAATATAGCTTACTGGACTCGCTGGATTTTTAATCATTTGTTATTTAGAGTGGATAAAAGTCAACTTTTGACTTTTACCCTCAGGCTAAGTTAAATGTGACCATTCTTTAAAATAAGAAAATGGCTTTATTCCTAATTTTTAGTTCCCATACAGTTTACAAATACACGTTTACTCTGATAATACAGCTGTGCAACTAGCAAAGCAGTTGCGCTAACACCCATAAATATAGGTGGGGAGACAATTAACATCCACTAATGTTTTACTACCTAAAGTATTCTTTTAATGTCATTTAAAAAATTTTAACTAGAATAGATACCATTGCTAGCCATGAATGAAACAATGCATTTCAGTTAAAATAATAGAGAGTGTAGATCTTTGGTAATATTTTTAACTAATATGTTAACAAATTTAAGAAACAATAAAAAGATTAGTATTTCAAGTCACAGTTTTAAAAAAATATCAACTAAACAGTTAATAATATTTCCCAGTTGTTAACTTCAAATTTAGCAGCCCATTGTCCCTGGTGATATATTGAAACCTTTAAAAACGTATTCGGAATTAATGGAAATTGAAGTGATTGGTATTCAGATATAATTCTTTAGTGGCCCTTTTCTTTCTTCTAAATACAGGATAAAAATTGAAAGTATAAAAAGCTTCAAGATATATTGAAATAGACAAAACATTTTATGCAACTGTTGGTAAAAGGGGCATTCATTATTTTTTTCTGTGCTTACTGTATTGCTTGTGGCCAGAATTAGCACACCATGAGCCAGAGAAAAAGATAAGACAAATAGAATGGCATGTAGCTAATTTTGTTTGGCAAATTTAGATCCGATACATGCTATTTCACTCCTACAAACTGACTCAGTCACTCTTTGAGAAGTACAGATGAAGTTTGTCTCCCACAGTTTAACAGCTTTCACTCAATATTTATAGGCTATATAAAAATAAATTTCTATAAGTAACATATTTCTTACTGGCAGGATGAGCTCTGTGAAGGCAGATTTATTAATGAAAAAAAAGGAGAACCAAAAATATTTCAATTGTTCCAGATCTGCAGAAAATAAAATACCTGTATGTCAAAATATCAGTAATAGCTTTGTTTCAAGGACATTTGTAGTGGACTTTTGGTATTCAAGAGTTTTACTACTTGTGAGTCAGTCAGAAATCCCATTATTTTATGATAATTTTGTGATTTGAATCTGGTAGAATTTCATATTCTAAAAGTAGTCATTCACCTGCCAGATGAGCCAACAGAATAGAATCCACTGTAATAATCAGGAAGTTGCTTAAAACAAAACAAACAAAACTCAAAACCTTATTTTTGTGGAAAAGTATTATCCAACAGAGTAAACTTTAGTGAAATTTCTTAATGAGGTTTAACTAGTGTGAGAAAATGTTCACCAGATGTGTAACATTTGTGGAAATGTGGTTCTAGAGAAAACCTGGAATTTGTACAATAATATCTATATTGGGGAATGTCAAGATGTGTTCCTAACAGCCTTTTGTAGCACAGTGAATTGTAGAGTATTCAGAGTTGTAATGTTATTTATATATCTGTTAAGGATTTGTCATGACTTCAGACTATATTCTCCATAATCAAGTTCACTGTAGAGAATAATTCTCATTCATGAATTGTTCATCTCATCATATTTCCAGTGGTTATTTCAAGGTTAATTTTTTTCAGATAGCTTCTCTGTTGATTAAGGTTTTCAGTAATTGTACATGTGCTGATAGCACATGTATGCTTTAAACTTGAAGACATCTTTGATTTTGTAACCAGTCAAGGTGAAATGTTTTCCAATGCTTTTCTACTCAAATATATGAAAAAAAATAACTTTACTGTTTATTTTTTTCTTTCTACTAGGAATGTGGAGCCTCTTTTTGACGTTTTCAAATTTCCGTAAACCCTTGTGTAGGATGTGATGAACAAAGTATATTCCATACCAGGATTAATATTCAAGTAGTGTATTTCTTACAACTTTACTGATTGTTAAAACATTGAAATGCTGTTTTACCTGATTGAGTTTCCCTGGTACCTTCCCTGGAACCCCTTTCTCTGACTTAACCCAATCAAACAAGTAAAGAGTTAATACGTGGCACAATGATGGACCTTCATATCTCTTCTCTGGCATATGCTATGATCCATTCTAATGTGCCTTTGACATTACGGTCACTAAATACTGTAAATATTACTGTTACATATAAAAATAATTTTTCCATAAGTGTTTTAAAATAATAGAAATATGAATAGTGTCACAGTAACTTTGCCACAATTAAGTATTAGCCGGTTCGAGAAATGCATTTTTCTGAGATAAGTGTATCACAGCATAGACACCTGTTTTATGTGAGTTGAAGTTAAAAAAAATGACTTAAACACAACAGACAGGATGCCACTGCCCACATATTGAATTAGCCTAGGAGAAAATCATATGAGTGAGGCCTAGGAGAAAATCACCCATGTAATTTAGTATGTGGACAGGGGTGTTCTGTCCACATTTAAAGCAAATGCTATACATTTTCCCAAGAGTGAGTATGAGTGCTGATGGGTCATTTGTGTCTATAAATTAGGCTGCAAGTACTCACAATAGTTTGAATATATGATGACTATCATCTATGTGGTGATAACCATATCACATGCTCATATTATTAGTCAGAATGAATAGTTACCTGGCAAGGTATTAGCTGCTGCAGGTGTGTGTATTAGATATGGGACTATCCCTGGAGGTCACTACATCTACAATTTTCATTTGTGGTAGATAAGGAGAGGAAAAAATTAAAATTAAAACTTTTATTTTTACAAAGTTAAAATACAATATTATGGTAGAAATTATGAACGTCAGCTTAATTATTATAATTTTGGTAACTTAGATTTGGACATGTGTTTTTTAAATTTCATATTACAACAGAATAATAGCATACTATTTAATTTGAAGAATGATTAAAGAAATAAGGAGATGCCAGGCATGGAAAAGAGGAGGCTTGGGAAGGGGACATGATAACTGTCTTCAATAGCTAGGGAGGGCTGTTACATATACGAGGGATTAGCAATGTTCTGTATAGCCTTGGAGAACAGAAACATTAACAGCTGTTTGAAATTGTAAGGCATCAGATTTCAGTTAAACACCATCAAGGAGTTTCTCCTGGAGCTAACCAAAGTCGGAATGGTCTGTCCCAGGAGTTAGTGAGTTCCTTCATGTGTGGGGTGGTAAGCTCTGATCTAACCTCTTCTATGATGATAAGAAATGAGTGAGGCAGCTGAGGAACAACTGGTCCACAATGTTGGGGGTGAGGATTGAGTTCTGTGATTTCTGAGAACTTGTCGTAAGCACACTGTGCCCAAGTATCTTTTCATAGCCTCTAAAAATTAGAGCAGATGAAACCCATCCTTCAAGTCTCTATGGCTAGGATTCCCACCCATCTGCTCCTCATCATCCTACCTGCTCTTCATAGATTAGTAGATTTGTGAAGGATTTTTTTTAATTGTCATTCTTAAATAAACATTTTGCCTTTTTCTTAACAGTCTTCATATTAGATATTCACACTTCTGATCCATTATATTATCACCAATTAATCATTCTCAATTTAAAAAACAATAGAGAATATAAGCATACAAGCTTAAAATATATACACTTTACTTTGCTCTTCAGTTTATGCCAGCAGGTATTTATAACTAAATACTGATTTAACTAAACTGGAAGGAGAAATATATAGGAAGGTGGGAACATAGTTAGGCACAGCAGGAATTTAGAAAACTGGGCCTGCATTTGTGGCTGGGAGATAAAATGTTAAGAAATAACAGCAAAAGAGAAGCACTTTCCTAGGGAAACTGAAAATCAAAAGGAGATAAAAAGACAGATGTACATATGCATGCCTGGCGTAATTACAAATAAAGTAGACCTTTATTAGTCAGCTTTGGAAATATTTTAAGGCCTTTGACATTTCTCTTTTACTACCACTTTTGGATCTACACTATAAACCTTCTAAATAAAATGTTTTGCTTTTTCCATTTGTGGCCATTCTTTTAACATTATTTTTGGTTCCCCTGTATGAAGACTGCATTTCTGTGATGCCTACGTTCTGTTTTAGGCTTTCTGATCTACCACCTCTCCTCACTTTCTACAGTCTATATCCACTTTAATGCCAGGAGGCACCAAGCCCGTTGCTGGTACTTTTATGCATTACGTCTGGTGCCTCCTTAAACCTGCGTGGTAGATGGTATTAATCCTCTGTCATAGATAAAGAAAATGAGACTCAGTTATGTAATTGGACAAATCACACAGCTATTTCTCAACAGAGGCGATATTCTAACAATCAATTTGGCTATTATTGGGTGTATATTAGACTTAGATTTTAATTTACTATTTTTAAGGAGGCAATGAATAAAGGTAATGCACTCAACAAGAAGTAAGTCTATCCAATGCTTCTGTCTGGCTGTGGTCCTCTTCATCTTTTTCTTACTGTCCAGATGCCCTCCCCTGTCTTACCTCTGCGTAGATTATTCTAAGCTCTTACCCCTATACAGAGCTCTAAACCTTCCTGTTTCTACTGCCTGCTCGATATCTCCACTTGGATATGTCACAGCATCTCCGACTCAAGCTATTCAACGTTTTACTTATCGCTTTTCATAATTTAATGTGCTTTTCCTATCTTAATTGTTATAAACTTCTGTACATCACACATTAACTCTTCATTGGTAAAAAGCCAAGAAATCATAATATCTAGTACTTATTAAAGGCCAACTGTATCAGGAAGTGTGCTAGGCACTTCTTATACAATATCTCACCTGACCTTAACAATATGGACACTACCATCCTTATTTTACAAACAAGGAAACAGAAGCTCGGAGAAATTAAATAACTTGCAAATGGCCACACTTGTGCAGGTGGCTGATCAGCAATGCCTAGGCTCCTATTAAATTCACATAGTCTAAATATCAACATTTTATATATGGCGATAAATGAAAACTCCTAAGAAGTATGCTGGCAACATAGATGAATTTCTTAAGTATTTTAGGTCATTGACAGTGATTTTGCTTGATACTCATAATAATTCTAAATAACCAGGAATATTTGTGAATATATCAAATATGGAAATGGGATCAAGTATATTAACAATAGGTGCCACTCTTCTAACTTAACATTGTGGTTTCATTATATTTATAATAACTCAAATAGAGTAACCATTGCAGTAACTTTTTGGAATTGATCATGCGAAGTAAAACTTTGCAAGGAGTAAAATAGAGGAATCTGAGAATTTAAATAGTGCAGGTTTGAGTCCACCATGTGAGTATAGGTGAATTACTTAATCTTTTTAAGCTTCAATCATCCCATCTAAAAAGGGAATTGAATATTAATGTTAACCTCATAGTTGTGAAGGTTAAATGAAATGCATGTAAATGCATATAAAATAGCATCAGGTACATAGTAAGTGCCCAATAAATGTTAATTATATTTTGTATGCTATAGTAGTAGTAGGAGAGAACTAGGGCAGTTAAAGGCAAAATAGAAACATCATAAATTTAAAGTTAGAAAACGTTAAATATGAGAAGAGCATGAACTTTCTCTTTTTCATAATTTGAACTTGACTTTTGTGTGTCCTATGAATATAAACAGGTGATACAATAATGGTTTATAGAATTATTGTACACATGGACTGTCATGAGAACTTTAAGTAGACTATTTGAGGAAGAATTTGGCTCTCTCTGAAGGGCAGTTTTCTCAAATCCTTTTTTTCTTCATATTCTGTTTTTATAGTTTTGGTATTAAAAAAAGAGCTTAGAGAGACAGTTTTGTTCCAAAGATTTATGTTTACCTGGCAAACTCAAATCCTCTGTCCTTTCATCCTTATTGTTTTTTAAAGTGCCTTCAAGAGAAAATGGTTTTTAATCAAATTCATGAGATAACTTTTTATGTTACATTTTATAGGCATTTAAACTTCAATATAGGACACAACTAAAACAATGTATGACTGAATGTATTTTTGGAAAAATTTCTGCATGCTAGAGCAGAATCATCCACATCTATACACAAACACTGACAGAATTTGTCACATAGAAGATAATCTGTAAATTGTTGTGATTATTAAGTGCTTTCCCTATATTACAGTTTTTCACATTTATTAAGGAATCAGGTAAAGGCTATGCATGACATCATAAACTTCACAGAGCTATGCCAGTGGTGTCCACTTGCTAATTAACATTGATGTGCCACAAAACCGTACATGCTTAAAAAAGATATTAGTAATGGCAAGGGCGATTTCTGCTCTTCTACAGTTGAGTGCTTGCTTTTTTGCAACAACCTCAAACTCCCTACAGTCCGTGGGTTAGAATTTCTAAAAAGTTATTTCTCCTATCAACCAATGTGGAAACTTTTTCAAGGATGCTGTGAATTCTTCATTTTTGCAAAAGATAAGAACAAATTTAACAATGAAAGCTATTTTTTTAGACTGAGAGATAGGTAGAAATTTTGTATACAAGCTCCACCACATGTCATTATCTTATTCAGCTGACAGGTGGTGCTCCAGAACAATATGGGCAGTGGGGATGTGTGATTAGATTTCCATCAGTTTCTGGGACAAACCATGAGCTATACCTTTAAGATAAAAACCTTTTAATGTAGTAGTTGAATTACCGAAATTTTTATGTGCAAGAATAGTAACCCAATAAAATAATTTTTACATGCAAATAACCTTATACATTTTAAATGTGTTTTAGATGCAGGCATTGAACTAGACTGGGATGAAGTTTTCATGTAGTTTCAACTCAACTTTTTACTTTACTGCAAAGCAATAAATTGGAGTATTAAACTATAATTAAAATCAATACAACTGATTTTCCTCCATCCGTTGTATTATTTAGCATTATTATGACATTCTGTTTAACCAATGATTGATCATAAATAGAAGACAGAAGTGTTAACAACATATTTTAAGACAAATATGTTTAAATTATATTTTTCCAATTAAGGTATCCTGATATATGTTTCTTTTGTTTTTGGTTGATAAATAATAATTGTCCATATTTATGGGATACAGAGTGATTTTTCAGTACCTGCATATGTTGTATAATAATTAAATTAGAATAATTAACCTATCCATCAACTCAAACATTTATCATTTTCTTGAATTGTGAATACTCAAAATTTTCTCTTAACTTTTTGAAAATATACAATAAATTACTAAACATATTTACTCTGCATTGCTACAGAACACTAGAACTTTATTCCTATCTAGCTATAATTTTGTATTCTTTAACCAACCTCTCTCTATATTCCCCTGTGCCTTATTCTTCCCAGCCTCCAATAACCAAAATTCTACTCTCCACTATTATGAGCTCATTTTTTTAGCTCCTTGTATTTACCTTTCTGTGCCTAAGTTATTTCTCTTAACGTAATGTCCGACAGATTCACCCAGGTTGCCCCAAATGAAACAATTTCATTATTTTCTTAATGGCTGAATAGTCATCTACATTAGGTATTTATCCTAATGCTATCCCTCCTCTAGCCCCCCGCCCCCTGATATGCCCTGGTGTGTGATGTTCCCCTCCCTGTGTTCATGACTAACAGCCATTTTATTTATCCTTTATCATTTTGTGCAGTAGCTTTAATATTACCCAGACCACTGTAGCCATCAATACATTCTTGAAAAAGAATATGATGATTTGTAATTTTTCCAGGAAGATAATTGGGAAATTGTATATATTGCTTGATTAAATTTTAGTGTATTTATATTACATAAAACCTGTAACTCAAAGTTGAATCATGTCTCTCACTTTTCTAATGGTATTAAGATTTTTTTTAAGCATTCAAATTAAATAGAATTTGTTGTACTTTTAAGAAACAATTCAGGGATGACTGAGATCTATACTACATTCTTATTTCTGAGAAGGCTAGTAAGCCTCTCTGGATTTATTTGTGCTTTGAGAAAAAGAGTGTAGAAACGCAGTTTAGGTTTTGTAAGTTTTTCATTTTTCCCAGTCAGAAGTCTTGATTAGAACACCAGTGCCTGTGATTCTGGGTACACACAGGATGGCATTAGTAATAGTCCCATATAACATTTTTTCAGGGGAGATGATATAACAGCTGTCCTTTTTGCCTGTGATCCCTATTTGGAGTAGTCTCAGGACTGTGAAAAAAATCTTCTCTAGGATTATTGCCTGACATGCAACTATTCAGGTCCCCAGACCTGACATTTACTCCCTGCCCTACTTTCTCCCTGGAATCACTGTTTGTCCAGAAGGAGTTAGATATTGGATGGAGATACTGTGTTAGCAGATATTATCTCAACACAGTACTTATTCCTCCCCTCCCGTTCCTGTATTTTAACTCTAAACAAGTGCATTTAACAACTTGGGCTGTCTGTTTTCTAAACTCTTTGGAAATTATTAAGTATAAGTAGATTGTCAAGATTGATCTTCGCAAAAAAAGATCACATTTTTTTCTAATAGGGGCTTGTGGTACCATAAATGGTTAATTTTTACACAAATATTTGATTCTTAGTGGTTTCATGCATCATGGCAATTCTGTTAGTACCTTTTGCTATGCTATATAGTTTTTACAAGTATGCAAATGTTGAAGGATATTTAATAACCCTGACGTTATTAAATGTTCAGTTATCTCCCAAGGTTTTTAAATGGGTCTTGGGAAATTTTGAGATTAAATCATATAATTTGTAACTGAGACATAATATTCATTCTTGAATATAATTTGCAGTGACGGCTTTATGAAGGAAGAACTAATTACTCTCATGATTGAGATCAGAGACAATTATTAGAATTATGTTTTCTAAGGTTATTTTTCTATGTACAAACTATGTCCCTTGAAAACTGCAAGCTGACGTGTGCTTATTGTGCTTATCTAGAAAATCAGTTCCTTATCAATTAGCTTATAGTGTTTTAGACTGATTTATGGTCAAATTAAATAGATCTATTGACATTTTCATCAGAAACTATAAATTAAATATGTATCTTGTAGTTGAGAACAATGAAAACTAGGTGGCCTTAACAAGTGATATTAATAACACTTTGGAGTTTTCTAAGTTTTCCTATATTAGAATAATGTATTTTTACAGGTTGAAAATCAGCACAGCTCTACTCTGAAGGATTGTTTTGTGTTTTATTTCATACAGTGTACAGCATTTAATTCTTATAATAACAAGGTTGCTCACTTTGCCAGCAGGAGGCCCCTCAAAGCAAGATGATGCCTCTCATTTGGCAGATTTCTGTATAAATAAATAACACTCCACACATTCCTTTCAGATACCCAAGTAAGTGAGATAATGCTATATAACTTTTTTCATTAAAAAATAGCTGTATTATGTCAGTGACCTGTAATCAATAGCACTGCAAGGAGAAGCGACAGCCTCATTCACCTTGCATCCATGCAGAAATAACTGAACTCTATTTCCATGGCTGGAAGGAGAAGAAGAAAGAAGAGAATGAAAGAAAAGAGCAACCTTGGAATGCAGTCACTCTCATGCTAACAAGGGGGAGTTTCAACTGACTATTTTTACTACATTGAACTTACCACTCAACACATTGCAAATAACCCTTGTACTCTAAGTATTGGGATAATCATTGATAATAATGGTGTGGTGGGAATATAGTAAACAGTCTTTTGCCATGTCCCTTAATTCTATATAATTTTCTATTAATGTTTCATCAGTTGCCCAAATATTGTACTGAAAAGGTTTTACTGATTGAATATAAAGATGCAGTCATTACAAATACCATTTCTGGGCAAGAATGCAATGTATGTTTAAACTTCTGTAATTCAGGATAAGACAATATCATCTACTTCACATTGCTGTCTACTCTTTCTGACACAGGCCATGAATTGTAAACATGGAAATGTTGTATAAAGAAAGGAAGAATAAGAAATATGCTGTTGAGCAAACCAAAGTTAAGGCCTTTAAATTCTTTCTCAATGAAAATTTCAAAATGTTTGTTAATTTCGAATTTCATCTGTAATTCACAAACTCTTATTTTATTCTAAGACTTTGAACAGATGTTGTGGAGAGAATATAGAAAACTTTTGCAGTGATTGTGGGCCTGAAATTAAAGCCTTTACTAAGAGTTATCTCACTTTGAAATTTGTGGAAGTCGTGCAAACATAGTTCAATGGAATTCAGTTCATTCTGCATAGACATTCAACACATTCTGCCTAGACATTCATTTCTTCAATACCTCACAGGCCTTGCATAGCAGTGAAATCAGACAGCCTGATGTACAAAGACAAAGACCAAGAATATTTGGCCCTAGCTCCTTAATTCAATGATTTGAATCTATATGGGACGTCAAGAGTATAGAGTTTAATACATTCACTATTCACAAAACAACATCAGCAGCAACTCTTTAAATATCCACAACATCTGGGTGATTTTAAACATAAACACATATAAATTCAACACACTCTAATGAGGTTGCAGATTATTTTCTCACTGTGTTAAATACATTTTAACGTTAGCTCTGTTTCTAATATATATGAGACATGGGACTGTTTGCTGGAAGAGCTCTTATATGATCATCTTTTCCAGTTATTTTACAGAAAATAAGTGTAAGATTTAGAGATGTTATTTGCCTAAGAATAGGTTGCCAGTCAGTGGCAGAGACTGGAACTCATGTTGTCTGACATTTTTCTACTGCCCAAAGAATTACTCCATACAAATGGAGGAGAAATAATAGATCACTTTAGAGTTCTTATACTGGATTTATTTTGTACATTTAATAGGTAACTTTTATGTTATTATTAAAATAATATATTTCAGAAATATTGAGAAATACATATAGCAAAAATGAAGAAAATATTATTTGTAATCTTATCACTTAGAAATAATCACTACTATTAGTACTTTGTACTAATAACATTTTGCACATGTTTGTAAATACTTTCTTGATGTGCACATGAGTGTATGTGTCTGTGTGTGTGTCTATAGTACTACTTACAAAATGATATGCTTTCTATTATGTTTAATAACCAGGTTTTGTACTTATTTTATACCCCAAATTTTAATTTCTGAAATTCTTATTTGGACCAACACATTTAGTGATACAATTTTTAGAATTATTATATGAAATCAGTTTACTTATTCACTTCCTTTAATGTTGTCCTTTATGCTTTTATTGTTTTATTTTTCATTTTTAATTACTCTTTTATGTTTAAGAAGCTGGAGATAACTCTTTTGAGTTACATCTTTACAGGTAATTATGATTTCCTCAGAATAAATATTTGCAAGGTCAAAAATTAAGAATTTAAGCTTTTGGTATTTAATGGTTCATTACCCTGAAGAAAGTTTGCGTAAATTTACTTTGCTGCTACCCATTTAACAATTGATTTCAAAATTTTTTTTGTTTTTTTAAAATTTAAGTTTTCTTAGGTGAATACAAATATCAATGAATAATTTGAATATCAATATACTAGTGAACCTTTTCTTTATTTTTTATCTTCATATAGAGATATGTGAAATATAAATGTTATTTCCTGGATATAGTAGTCTTAAGAATTATATATACTGAGGGTTATCTTTAATTTAATTGATTTTAAAATATCTGTTTTATAGTATTGTTTTATATGATAGCATGAATTCTGAGATTCTATTAAAACATTTATATTTCCTAAGTTTATTATATCTTTTTTAAATTTAACACTGAAAAGGAAATAAAAAGATTTTCTTTCCTTTTTCCTCAAATTTGTAAACTTGAATGTTCAATTAATCTGTGGACTACAAACCAGTTATGTGAGGATTAAGTATTTTTAAAAATCCAACCTGCTCTCATGTACGAATTGCTAAATATGATAATTTATTTAACTGAATAGTGATGAACTGATATTGAAAATGTTTTTCATAAATTAATACTTTCACCATTACAAGTAATCTCTGTGTTCTGTGTAGTCAAAGCACTGAGCCATATGCACACATAACCAAAAGTGTTTCAGCTTTCCTTTCCTTCATACTCAGATTTTGACATTTATGAAGTTGCAGTCATTTCTATTTTATCATTTTATATTTCCTATTATATAAATCAGTGAATGTTTACTACTATATTTAGAAATTAAATATATGCTCCTTTTAAAAATATTTTCACATTTTTCCCTCATACAAGAAGCTGTTAATCTTTCAAAATTAATGAAATGTTTGCAATAATATGTATTTGTGACCGACTCCATGTTGTTGCTTTCTCCCTGTTCTGTTGTTTTTCCTTTTGCATCAGTTTACTTCTCAGTGTAGCAATGAATTGATTGACTGATTGATTGAGATGGAGTCTTGGTCTGTCACCAGGCTGGAGTACAGTGGTGCGATCTCTGCTCACTGCAACCTCTGCCTCCCGGGTTCAGAAGATTCTCTTGCCTCAGCCTCCAGAGTAGCTGAGACTACAGGTGCACGCCACCATGCCCAGTTAATTTTTGTATTTTTAGTAGAGACGGGGTTTTACCATGTTGGCCAGGATGGTCTTGATCTCTTGACCTCGTGATCCGCCCGCCTCAGCCTCCCAAAGTGCTGGGATTACAGGCATGAGCCACCGTGCCCAGCCTAGCAATGAATTTATTTTAACACACATTACTAGAGTTGATGTATGTATATAATATTTCATGGGTATACATGACAACTAATGTATTTGAATAATGCTGAAAAATTATGTAAATACAGGATAATATTTAAACAATAAAGTGTAACTTTTATAGGCATTTATATCATTACTTTTAAGTACCTTGTTAACTTTATTTGTAACAAATGTAATCATTGACATTCTACTTTTAAGTATGTGAAAAATACTTTTACCATGTGAAAAAGTTGGGCATTTTGTTTAAGGAAATATGTTGTCAATGGTTTTTTGGGAAGTTTTATCACAGTGCAGCAAAGCTTTTTTTTTTTTTACACAATTTCAGTGCAATGCATTGACACAGTTACTGTTGATAGTGAGCAAACAAGATTTTAAATAAAGTGAGAAAAAAGTGAATTGGAACAAAATGCTATCATGTCTTCTCCTGTCTATAGAAGTGTTTTTTTGTTTTGTTTTGTTATGAAATTTAGATGACTTGGAGCTATTTAAGACCACTTCTTATTAGGAATGGGTAAAAAATAAAGTAGCATGTGGAAAGTGGTCTGTATTTTGGAGTGTAGTAACTAAAACATACACTTTAGAGTCGACAAACCTGAGTTCAAGTTTCAGATTTGGGACTTGCTAGTTGTATGGTCTTTGAAAACTTAAATTGTTCTTTTTATTTATTTATTTATTTATTTTTTGAGACGGAGTCTCGCCGTGTCGCCCAGGCTGGAGTGCAGTGGCGGGATCTTGGCGCACTGCAAGCTCCGCCTCCTGGGTTCATGCCATTCTCCTGCCTCAGCCTCCCGGAGTAGCTGGGACTACAGGCGCTGGCCACTACGCCCGGCTAATTTTTTGTATTTTTAGTAGAGACGGGCTTCACCGTGTTAGCCAAGATGGTCTCGATCTCCTGACCTCTTGATCCACCCGCCTCGGCCTCCCAAAGTGCTGGGATTATAGGCGTGAGCCACCACGCCAGGCCTTGAAAACTTAATTAACTTCTTTGTGTTTTACTCTCATATTTAAAATGGGGAAGATACTTTTACTTCTCAGGGCTGTTCTGATGGCTAAATTGAAAAATATGTATAAGGTATTTAGCATGACATTTCACTCGCTGTAAATACTTGTGAAATGTTACTGTATTTTTCTATAAAGGCGGTAACTTTTTAATGCTATTTTTTATCATCTCAGTATTTTAGGAGATTTGTCTTTAGTATTCCATTTTAGAGTGCTGAATATATAAAACAAATCAATTTATTTCATTTCATTCAGCACATACTTATTGCGTGGCTACTTCCATACCAGTAAAGGCATCAGGAGTTTATTAAACAATCTAGTGAGGAAGACAGATGCAAAAATAGATACTTTCCAAATTTTATGGTAAATGGTAAGCAAAAGTTACTCTGGAATAACTTAGTATAACTAAAGTCTGGAAAACTCTTCTGGGAAAGACAGTTTCTGAAATGAGTTATGAAGATGATAAGAATTAGATGAAGAGTGGAAAAGTGGTGCGGAGGATGTTTCTGATAGGGGAAACTGCAACAATAGTTTTGAAAGAAATAATCTCAAGATGTAATTTGGACAATTTATTTAGAGTGATTAAAGCATAAAGATGTCAGGCACAAAGGAAGAGAGTGAAATGTAGAAACAGGCCACGGGAACTTTCATGTTCTGCTAGGGGCTTTTCTTTTTCCTCTTTCATTTTTTTCTTAAAATAATTGATGGTATTTTATATGCTGATTTGATTTATGGAATTATCTGATAAGGAAAATTTATGTGTGTTATAATCAAGGTGCATGATACCCTATCAAACTAGTATTTGACAACCCTAATAGTCGGTGATATATGCAGAATGAAATAGGAAAATATCAAGTAAAATACTTTTTAAAACTGAGAATTTTGCAGAGATTGAATAATCACTTTAGGCCATACTTCTCAGAAAGGTATTGGGCTTTGTTGTGAGAAGGCAAGAAATGAGGAGGGCCTAGAAATGGAAACAAACAAACAAACAAAAACCATGCAAACAGTTTTAAATACTATTTATTGGGTTCTGCCATGTATCAGGTTCTGTGCTAGGTATTTTTGCATAAATTACACATTCCTGACAACACAGACCTGTTTAAAATACCTGTATCATATTTGTTTTTTTTTGTGTATATATATATATTTGTGTGTATATATATATATACTCAATATGTATATTTTTCTCCCAATATAAAGAGAGGTTAAGTACTTATATAAAGAGTTCTAAAGGTATGAAGTCAGGATTTAAGTCAACTTTCCCCTGACTCCAAAGGTGTAGTGTAGAAACTATTAGAGGGTATTTCAATGATTACTTCCTTTACCTCTTCCTTGCTGGCAGAATAAACTTTAATTCAATTGTCCCCCATCCCTGGGGAGAGAATCATTATTGTTCTAAGCCTATTATCGTCATTTCATTTCTCATGCCAGTTCAGTAGTGAAAATGGGATAGAATTCTGATCAATGAAAGGGGAAATCTGGCAGGCTTCCAGAGAAACTCTCTAATGAAAAGAGAAACACAGGGGAAGCACTACCCATTTTAGCTAAAGATCATTATGTCTGCATATGACACCTGGAACTGGCAGCCCATCCTTTGGTACTGGATGGTGACACGAATGCCATCCCCAAAAAGGCAAAATGGATTCTTCATGACATTGTCGAGCTTCTGAATTTTTACATGCAAGACATTAAATCTCTAATTTTTAAGCCACGTTTATGGCCAAATTATTTTACTTAATACAAGCCCTAAATGTTCAATTACAATACCTTGGCTTACTTGTTCAGTTACCTAAGTAGCAGATTCATTCAAATATATTCCTCTTCCTTTAAGTTGACTCCCCCTTCTTGGTCATTAGAAAGAAATAAATACGTTTGAAAAAAAATAAGTATCTATTCGTTTCACAGAATCTTGGTCTGAAAGAGACGTGAAAATAAAGAGTGAAGACTGGTAGGTTACCTAAGATTATAAGGAACACAGTTATAAATTACCAAGCTGTTGTACAATAATATAATTTCATTGTGCTTTAAAATTGTCCTAAATTTTGTAATAGTTTCAAGAGAAATAATAAACTAAGCGACTCTTTCTTTGGATGTGCCCATTTTTAAGTGTTGATTATCCACTGAACACTGCACTTGAATTTTAGGTGAAGCTATTTGATTCTCATAAAAACTGTGTGGTTAGGATGGAAGGTGTTTTGTGCCCACAAAATGTTTCCTTTGGAAGCCTAATAGGGAATGCTCATCAGCTTTCAATGAAAAGATACTCTGTTTGCCGAAGGTCTAAAATGAGGTAAGACAAGACAAAAAAGTTACAGTGGCATCTTTAATTCTTCTATACATCTATATTATGTCAATCTTTTCAGTGTATTTGCAGGTAAAATAATTTAGAGAAAGAATATTAACTTTTTCCTTCCTTGTCTAAAATATCCGTTTTTTTGAGTACATGCCATGTATAAGAAATTGGCCTAGTCATTTACATATATCATTGCATTCCATTTTTGGGGTCATATATTCTTATTAGTATTTTGTTATTATAATTTTACTGGCTATAAATCAAATAGTCATGAAAATAATGTCGTTGGACATTCCTGGGGATCCCACATGTACTTGGAAAATAATCTTTCTTTAGTTTTCTATTTATTAACGGGCACTTGAACTACAAAATGGCTATTACTTTGTTTCATAGATTATTTTTCCAGATAGACATTTTATTGGTGGAATATGAATGAAATATTATGTCATGTTAACAGATGTCCCACTTATATGTTGAAAATTGATAGGATGTTAGGCTTTTCAATCAGATAAGTATAATGTACAAATTTTGAAGTGCCCTGTTATTCTATCTACTCACAATTATGTGATCTCCTATTAGTTAAGGATTTTCATAGCGTGATAATTCATTTTGATCCTACCATGACATGATGTTTTATTTAAAGTTTAATTGTTTTTCCTATAACTTTTTAAATGCCCAGTAAAATCATATCATTGGATTATGGAAAACCCTTTAGCCAAATCCTATTTAAAACAGAAAAGTGGGATGTGAGGTGACAAGGTCAGTAAGGTCTTAGTCTCCAAGTGTTTTAAAATGCTTTACCTACCTGTAGACATTTTCCCCTTTCTTCTGCACCTTGTCAAACCAGGTTATTACTTCTATAGTTTATATAAACATGTAGCCTTCTGTACACTTGTTTTATTTATATTGTGCAATAGTATTGGAAATCACTCAAGTTGTTGTATGAATACATTGGATGGGAGTAGTTATATATATATATATATATATATATATACTGTGTGGTTAGGATGGAAGGTGTTTTTAGGCTTTTATATATATATATATTTATATGTATATATATACACACACATCTTACCTTTCTGTGTCATGTCTAGTAGTTAAACGTTCTGTATGTAACTATTTATGTTAGTGTATACATTTGACTGCAAGGCGAACTGAAATAGCTGTGGTATATCTTTTTGGGTTTAAAATGTTTCTAATTGATAAATACATGCTACGTGCTGACATTTTACAACAAAATTTTGGGATATTTCATGGTTAACTGTTAATTAAGCATTGAAAGTAGTCTGAAGACTACAAATTTAATAAAATATTTCATAAGGATTAGATAAGCACTAATGAAAATGAAACTCATATCATAACTTAATACATAGAAACTAACTGACTGTAAGTTCAACAGCTTTTTATACATCTAATAATTTAATCAGTGAACAATATCAATGGTAACAATGGTGGCTTTTCCTACAGTTTCTGAAGCAGGGGCTCTGTGATAGATGCTTCATAAACAAGATTTCATTTGAATCTGAACAGGAGGCAGAATTGAAATTTGTGTGACTCCAAAGCCTAGGTATAGTTATTCCCATTTTCATATTCTATATTAGGAATATGGAACATAAACTTATTTAAATTAAATTATTTACAGGTAATTCTTAATAGTAACAATGCATGATGTAGGATCACAGAACATGTAATAATTTTTATACAAAATTAAATAAATATGTTAAGATTGTTAACCTATCGTGATTACAGGCTGAGGAGGGTATTTGAAATTTGCCCAATAATAACACCAACAGAATTTGACCGCCTTACTATTAATTAAGACCTTAGTATCACTTATGTACGAAAGCAATCTTATGAAAAACACATACCAAATGGACACAAGAGTCATAATGGGAAAATGATTGTACAACATATCATTTAAAAACTTCCGAATCTCATTTACTCTCACATATTTTCACTCTGAGATTTTTAAAAAGTTTACAATTATTTGCTTTGGCCTTATCCATGAATAGTAGGGTTTTTAATTACTTACACATCAACAATTCCAAATGGATTGGCAAAATACTGGAAGCAAAGTTTTATTTAGGCTATTCTCAGCTTCTAAGTTATGGGAATATTCTGGAAAGAGAAACTTTAAGAAGAAGGAACTAAAATTTCAGCATGTACGGAAAGGTGTAAGAAGAAATGGTATAAGTCTTAAGGACATTAGAAAATAAATAATTACCACATTAATTCAAAGCCTTACAGTTTTTCAGAGGTTTTTGGCAGACATGAAAGTATAGAAGTAATCAATTATTGAAATTGGCAGATGACAATGACAAAGAAATTTGGAGATGCAATAAAAGCAATAGTGGAAAAATGTCAAAAATATACTCATTTTTAAAGCTTAAGAGAAATGCTAGGAGGAAGATTACATAACTGCTATTGTGATTATTAAGAGTCTTTTAGAAAGACTACTAAAGAAAATGTTCCAGAATGCTGAAATTAGGATAATTACCCACTACTGCTATTTATATTCTGAAGATATATATTTAGATGCCCCTGGATTCTGTACACCATTTGAAAAATTAAATTTAAGGTAGGCTTGTGTTCTCTCTCTAATTGTATTTCAACTGTTGATTCTTATATAAGTTTTTCATAAGTATATAGAGAAACTTATGCCTTTAAATGTGAGTTTAGCTTCTTTTTTAGACATGTGTCTGAAAAATCAGAAGTTTAAAAATTATCTCAAGATAATTGATTCATAAAATGTGACCTCTAAATTATAACACAATGCATAAACCCATAAGTAATTTATATTTATTAGTTTGTTTTTGTGTATGGCCTGGTCAGTTTGATCAGTTTAAAATTGATCCAACTTTATTTCTATATAATAATATGAAGGCATACCTAAGAGATATTGCAGATTCAGTTTCAGACCACCACAATAAGCTGAGTATCACAATAAAGCAAGTCAACAATTTTTTCCCCACACATATAAAAGTTATGTTTCTACTATACTGTTATCTGTAAAGTGTACAATTATGTCCAAAAATACAATATGAATACCTTAATTTAAAAACAGTTATTGCTAAAAAATGCTAACAATCATCTGAGCCTTCAATGGGTTGTAATCATTTTGCTGGGGGAGGGTCTTGCTTGGCTGTTGATGGTTGCTGACCAATCAGGGTGGTGGTTGCTGAAGGGTTGTGGTGGCTGTGGCAATTTCTTAATATAAGACAATGAAATTTGCCTCATTTGTTGACTCTTCCTTTCATGAAAAATGTCTCTCCAGCATGTGATGCTGTTTTGTAGCATTTTACGCACAATATAACTCTTTTCAAAGTTGGAATCAATTATTTCAAACCCTGCTGCTGCTTTTTCAACTGAGTTTATATAGTATTGTAAATCTTTCGTTGTCATTTCAACCATGTTTATAGTATATTCACCAGGAATGGTTTCCATGTCAAAAAACAACTTTCTTTGTTCATCCATAAGAAGCAATTCCTCATCTGTTCATTTGATCATGAGATTGCAGCAATTCAGTCACATATTTAGGCTCTATATCTAGTTCTCTTTCTACCTCATCTGTAGCTGTTTCCTCCACTGTAGTTTTGAATTCCTCCAAGTCATCCATGGGGGTTGAAATCAACTTCTTCCGAACTCCTATAAATGTTGATATTTTAACCTTCGCCAATGAATCATTAATATTTTTAATGGTATCTAGAATGGTGAATTCTTTCTAGAAAGTTTTAATTTTACTTTGCTCAGTTCCATCAGAGGAATCCTGTCTCTGGCAGGTACAGCCTTATGAAGTATATTTCATAAATAATAAGAATTGAAAGTTAAAGTTACTTCTTGATTCAAAGTAATGAGCGGCAGAATAGATGTTGTATTACCAGGCATGAAAACAGCATTATTCTCCTTGTAGATCTCCACGAGAACTCTTTGGTTAGTAGGTTCATTGTCAATGAGCAGTAATATTTTGAAAGGAATCTTTTTTTTTTTTTCTGAGCAATAGGTCTCCAATAGTAGGTTTAAAATATTCATGCTGTCATAACAATGCTGTCAACAGATGTGTTGTCAACTAGGCTAGTTGTTCCATATAGAGCACAGGCAGAGTAGATTTAGGATAATTATTAAGGGCTTTAGGATTTTGGAATGGTAAATGAGCATTGGCCTCAACTTCAAGTCCTGTCTGCATTAGTCCCTGAAAAACAGTCAGCCTGTCCTTTGAAACTTTGAAGCCAGGCATTGACTTCTTTCTATGAAAGTGCTAGATGGCATTTCTTTTAATAGAAGGCTGTCTTATCTCCATGGAAAATCTGTTGTTTAGTGTATCTACCTTCATTAATAATATTAACTAGATCTTCCAGATAACTTGCTGCAGATTCTACATCAGCACTTGTTAGTTCACCTTGCTTTTTGTTATGGAGACAGCTTCTATCCTTAAACCTCATGAACCAGCTTCTATCCTTAAACCTCATGAACCAATCTCGGCTAGCTTCCAACTTTTCTTTTACAGCTGCCTCACCTCTCTCAGCCTTCGTGGAATTGAGGAGGCTTGGGGCCTTTCTCTGGGTTAGGCTTTAGCTTCAGGGAAAGTTGTGGCTGGTTTGATCTTCTATCCAGACTATTAAAACTTTTCTCCATATGAGCAATAAGGCTGTTTGACTTTTTTTTTTTTTTGTTATCATTTGTGTGTTCACTGGAGCAGCACTTTTAATTTTCTTCAATAACTTTTCCTTTGCATTCACAATTTGGCTGTTTGACACACAAGGCCTAGCTTTTGCCTGCCTTGGCTCTCTTGATATGCCTTCCTTGCTAAACTTAATCATTTCTAGCTTTTGATTTCAAGTGAGAGACATGCAATTCTTTTTACTTGAACACTTAAAGACCATTGTATGGTTATTAATTGGCCTAATTTATAATTATTTCATCTCAGGGAATTGGGAAACCCAAGGAGAGGGAGAGAGATGGGGAAATGGCCTAGTGAAGCAGTCAGAACACACACCTATTTATTAATTAAGTTTGGGTATGATTTGTGGCTCCTCAAAACAATTACAATAGTAACATCAAAGATCACTGATTACAGATCACCATAATAGATATAATAATAAAGTTTGAAATATTGTGAGAATTTCCAAAATTCACAAAATTCTATGTGTCCAGAGATGCAGAATTAACATATGTTGTTGGAAAAATGGTGCTGACAAACTTGTTCTATGCGGGGTTGCCACAAGCTCTAAATCTGTAAAAATCAGTATCTGCAAGGCACAATAAAGTGAAGCACAATAAAATGAGATATGCCTAAATGTTTGATCTGGGATTTTATTTTACCCTATATACCTCCTACTAAGTAGCCTTGTACTGTGTCGTAGATGGTGTCAGAAGATATGAGAGTACTGAGTCAGAAACAAAGGACTTTTATTACTCATGTTGCAGCAAGCAAGATAAGCATTGGCATGCTTGTATGAATTTTTCTTGCCTAATTGTATTATAGGCAACACTGACTTTGGGGTATCCCCTACTTTTACAGCAATCAAACAAGCCTGCTGTTTGTCCCTGTAGGAGACATTATATCATCCGTCAAGGTTTCTCACTGCAAACACAGCTCAGAAATAGCTCAGATAAAGAGGCATCGCCTTTTTGGCATAGCCAGCAAGATGTGTAGATGCACAGGAGACCCTTTGGAAGACTGTGTTTCCCAATGATACTTTCCAATTTTATAACATTTTCCTGCTTACAAAGAGTTTTTACACATATGACCTCATTGTGTCCTCACTTGATGTTTAATACTCACTCTCTTCAAGAGTGAGAAACAGGCCGGGTGTGATGGCGCATGTCTGTAGTCCCAGCACTTTGGGAGGCCGATGGGGATGGATCACCTGAGGTCAGGAGTTTGAGACCAGCCTGGCCAACACAGTGAAACCCTGTCTCTACTAAAAATACAAAAATTAGCCAGGCATGGTGGTGTGTGTCTCTAATCCCCGCTACTCGGGAGGCTGAGGCAGGAGAATCGCTTGAACCCGGGAGGCAGAGGTTGCAGTGAGCTTCGATTGTGCCACTGCACTCCAGCCTGGGCAACAGAGCAAGAGTCTGTCTCAAAAACAACCAACCAAACAAACAAAAGAAACAAAAACAAAAGCAAGAGTAAGAAACAAACAGTTGTATATTTGTTTAATGGAGTTATCTGGTAATGTTTCAAATCCCTTTCTAAGAATGCATTGTATTACTAGTATTTTAGTTATAATTACAAAAATCTACAACCATAACTTTACATACATATTTTTCAGTTTTTTTAATTAAAATATTACAGTATTACTTTCCTGGCACACATGTACCAACTTCATTGATACTATCCATATTTTATTCCCTATTCAAATAGCTTGGAGAGAAGGTGATTTGGTAACTCTAAATCATATGCAAACACAACTCAGAAATAGCTCAGATAATAATCAAATCATAATCAAACTTTATTGTACATAAAAAACTAATATATTTGTTAAAATTTTAAATCGCTGGGCTCAGCTGCAGAAACAGATTCCATTCTATACGTTATGGTTCAGACTATGTATCTTCAATTTTATTTGGGAGTTTGGTTCATTTACATTTAATATACGTTGACATTGTTAATTATTTTCTATTTGTTCCATTGGTCATTTATTCCTTTGTTCATGCTTTTCTTCCTTCTTTGAGATTAACGAAAATTTTTTTTTTCTATTTCTCTATAGGCTTTTTCAGGATCTCTTTTTGTATTATTTTTTAATGGTTACTCTAGAGATTAAGACATATATATTTAAGTAATTCCAGTGTGATTATCTATAAACTTCCTTTAAGGAATACTAATTTAGGGGGCTGAAATCTTGCTATACTAGTTATTCCTTTGAGTTAAGGACTTAATGTAGAAGAAAATAAATACAATTTAATAAATAAATAAAAATGCAGCTATGGTTTTGAGGAGTAGAGATGATGTCTAAAAATAAGATTTAATAGCAATCTATGGCTTATGTATACCACCTTCTGATATCTGAGGACTCTGCATTATACTAAAGTTTAATACAACTAGAATTCAGGAAAATTGCAGTAGTAGTCTCTAATCAGTATGTAAGAGCATAAAATTAGTCAATACTCGTCTCTCTATGGTCTCAGGCCAACTATGGCCCATATACATCCATTTAAGCTAATTTTGGAACTGGATGTTAAATAGATGGACATTTTCAAGGTGTCTACAAACATATAGATACTTAACAAATAGTTTTGTTTTCTACTAGGAGTGAATTTTCCTCCTAGTATTTCACCTTACTCTTACACTTGTTTAATGCATCAGCATTTTTTTTTTCTCTTTTTGTTTGAGATCCCTTAAGACATAACTCTGGCTGTAACTGGCAAAAGACAGGACCTTCAAAAATTCAAAAACACCCGTGGTAAATACCACAAAGTAAGCTACTTTTGACTGTTCCTCTAAAGGTCACGTAATGCTTTGTGTTTTCTACAACATGACACAGCATGACAGAACAAAGTAGTTATCTTTTGTACTTGTCAGCATTGTTACATCAACTTCAAGATGATATGCTCCTGAGTATGCTGTTGGTTTTTTCCTTTGGGGGCTTGCACTGATTTCTTTAAAGTATTATATGCATCAAGTAAACGATTCCTTTATTATTCCTGACACCTGAATTTGGTAACAAAAAGTATCTAGATATCACTTCAAAACTGCATTGAGATGCTATTTGCAGTTGAAGTGATATAAATGCAGTCCATTTGGATTTTCTGTCTTTATGTTACCATTTTTACTTAACACCTGTGTTTGCCAGTAGGAAAAGAGGCTATATTATTACTGGATATTGTGGAGGACAACATTTAGACTGGCAGGGAAATATATTTTAAGTTTTAACTGAGAGATTTTAATTAAAAACCTTAACATCATATTTTGATTTGGTAACTCTAAAATGATATAACTTGTAGTAGTTAAGAATAATACTAGCTGATAGAACAAAACAACAACAAAAACCCTGTGTTACAGTAGCTTAACCCAGTAAGAGTTTATTTCTCATTACTAACAGTTCAATGCAGATGTTTCTGGCTGAATTTCTCCCTAGGACCATTTGCACCAGATTCTCAGTATAGCCTGGTGAAAGTCTGAGGCCAAATGGGGGAAAAAGAATGGAAGGTTGCCTTTGTAATCCCAGCATTTTGGGAGGTTGAGGTGGGTGGATCACATGAGCCCAGGAGTTAGAGACCAGCTTGGGCAACATGCCAAAACCCTGTCTGTACGAAAAATTAGCTGGGCATGGTGGCATGTTCCTGTAGTCCCAGCTACTCAGGAGGCTGAGGTAGGAGGATCACCTGAGCCCAGGAGGTTGAGGCTGCACTGAGTCCTGATGGTACCACTATACCTGGGCAGGGTGACAGAGTGAGACCCTGTCTCAAAAAAACAATGAAAAAGAAAGAATGGAAGGTGGCATGTGGAAAGTTTTTAAGAGCTAAGGTTGGCTCTTAGACAAAAATGACATGTTATTTTTTCCCATATTCTCTTGGCTAGAATTTAGTTCATTGACATACCCAACTCTAAGAGAAATATGATCAAGCTGTGTGCTTAGAATTGGGTTTGGTTAACAGCCAGCAGTCTCTGCTATAGGAAATTTAACAAGGGGAGGTTCTGTTGCATCAGAGAGATTTTGATTTGAGGTCAGTCAGCCTTAAGGTAAAAATATAGCTTGGTCATTTTTGAGCCAAGTGACACTGAGTAAATGATTACTCTTCTGTTTGCCATAGTATGCTAAGTTATAGAACAGGAAAATAATACCTACCTCACAGGAGTAATATAAAGATTAAATGATATAATTTGTATAAATTGCCCAGCACAATACAGGGCAAGTTTTAAACATTTGAAAATGATGGTTTTAATTTTTATTGTTAAGTAATACACTTTTTTCTATGATGATTCTTAATAAATATAATTTAATTTGACATTAGCTTACTTCAACACCAGAGCAGTTTTTAAAAAAGAGAATTATTTTATGCATAATAAGCTATAGCTCATTATATAGTTATACATTAATAAAGGAGAAAAATGTGCTCTGTACTTTAATGTCCTGGGATTTATAGTGTAAACAATCCATGAGAATTTACTTATAGGGAAAGCACAACTTTTCATTAATTAACAGAAATAAGTTGATTTTTATACTACTTGTTTTTGTATATAAAATAATCTTGAGAAAAAGACATTAAAACTAAGTATAAAAATATAAAATATTTATTTTAATAACTGAATAAAATTCAGATTTCTGTTTAACTTTCAGAAACCCCAGGTTTTTGGCCATGTATAAATTTTGATCATTTCATTTGTAGTTTTATATTTCGATGGCTTTCTTCATCTTAATTGATAAAATGATTTATTATGGAGTTTGTCTTTGTATTGAAACATAACATCTTATCATCACCAAGTCTCTAGAGTACACTAAAGTTTATGTCAGGTTCTGTGAAGAAAGTCCAAGATGGAGCTCAACCTTTTCATTGCAGTGGGCGATGAATGGTAGGTAGCAGAGTGATTATTCTATGCTTAGACTGGAGCAAATATTTCAAGACAGGTATGATTTTCAGGGTACATACTTAATCCTTATTACAAATATTTGTGTTTTAAATAAAAAATCCTGAAAATTTCTTTTCTGTGGCTGGTCAACGAAGTCTGTGGTTGGGAGTTTTCCTCACTTTCACTGCTGTTGTGTTTTCCCTGGATTTGTTATGCAGCTCTTGAGCTATTGTTTGACTTATCCAGTGTCTTAATAATTTCTGCCTAATCAATTGATGAGTATTTACATGGATCAGGGTTTGACCTTGTCTGAAGTATCATCAGTTTACATTCTAATTCTGTTATACATTTCACAAGGCTCACTCCTTGCCAGCAAACAGACAAATCAGGCATCCTAAGATGTCAGCAGAAAGTCACCACAGAGAACTTTTGGGGAAACATTCTTTTCATGCTAGGATTGCCTGTGACCAGGAAAGGAAAATATATTCATGCTGCTTTGGTGTACTTTGTGTCATTAGATGTGTGGCTGTGTATCTTTGTCCTCTCTAATTAAAGACTCTGCTACTGGTGTTATTTGCTGTGTACAAATGTGTCTGAAGAGAGAGTTGTGTAGCTTACCCATCTGTCTACAGAGAACACAAAATCAGGTTGTTCCTTCGATAATGTCTATTGTTCCCTTGAGAGTCTTTTGATATTTATGAATTTCCCCCTTTTCTCATTCAAATAAAATCACCCTTTAAGGAAGAACAGAGTTAGTATATTGAAGAGTTAGAATATTTTCTCAATATATGCCAGGTGTATTCCAAGAATTTTCTGAACTACTGGACATTTTCTAAGATTAGCAGGTTGCTTTTTTAAATCTCCTTCTTTTCCTCTTTTACTTCCACTGAGAGTAAATGTGTAGTAGTATGTGAAGCATTTAGGATCTCTCAGCTGTATATTGATAGATGGATTGAATATTTTTGTGTAATTTGTTCTATCTTCTTGGTTCAATGTTCATGTTATTCACTAAAGAGCAAATACTTTGTGTAGCAAGGTTAGATATTCTAAATATTCTTAACATGTCTGCATTGTGGGACAAAAGTTATTGCCCTTTCCTGCCATCAACCCTAGAATACAGTTCCTTATTGTTCCCTAGAAAGAAATGGGTGAGTCAACAAAATGAAAAAAAAAATTAAATGTTAGGGCCACTTTAAGAATAGCCCTATAGTAGTCATTTATATGTTAATATTTTACGGTGGCTAATTTAATGGACAGATGGTAATTCATATTACAGTATGAGAGTAGGGCATTTCCCTAGACCAAATTATTGTCTACCCAGTTTTCAATTAGAGAAAACTGCCAATTATCTGGAGTGGGTTTTGTTTTAATTACCGGGTGATTAGGACAGCTAGGTAACTAGCCCGAAGGAAGGAGAGCTCAACTGTGTATGTGAATCCTTATTATGCAAACCTATGAAATAAATACAGAAAGGCCATGTGAATAAACTGCTTCAGTGAAATGGTAGATAATTTACCTGAGGCAGTCTATATCCTTTTACTCATTTGATCAATAAAAAGTAAGTTTGAAATGCTAAAGTCACCATTTATTTGTGAACTACACTTTATCGTTTCTATGAGAAAAAAATAAATTCCGGGGAAAGGGATTATATGTTAGCAATCAGTGTTCAACATGTTTTGTATTTAACATGTGTGTTAATGTATGGTGTCATCTCATGAGAAATCACTTATCAGGTGACATTTGTCATATGAAATATGGCTGAGACTTGAGGCACAGAGACAGGATGAATAAATCCCTATTCTTTTCTGTGTCTTCAGTTTTTTACTTGAGCTCCTTTTCTACATCTGCAGTTATCCTCTGAATATTTCCAATTAAGTGTGTCCCATCACTTTTAACTTCAACAGTTCTAAACGAATCCAATTTCCTCACCAGACCAGCTTCTTTACCAAATTTCTATGTTCTCCTCTCTGCCAAGGGAACCACCACTTCAACATTCCTTCAAACATGGATGGTTATAGTTATTGATTTTATGCTATCATCCTCCTCTTTCTGTCAGTCATCTTTTGGCAAATTTCGTATACCAGTACCTTTATCTCCATTTGGGCTATCATTCCTATCCAGATTCCCACAGGCTCACAGCTAAGCTACTGCAACAGCTGTTGCTGACTAAATATTCTCATGTCTCTAAATAATTATTTAAATAGGGAACAGTGGATTTATACCTGATTCCTCTACATTAAAAAATATTTCTTTCATTATTACATCAAGAGTAAAATATATAAAACATTCTGCCTCAATTTCAAGGTCTTCATTAAGTTGGTACTACCTAACCACTATGAAACAAGAAAGGATTCACAGAGATTTAGCACTTTATATATTTAATATTATAGATAATAAAAAATTACTGAAATGAACTTTGTAATACTATTTAATGCATAGTAAGTCTCACCACTTCCCGTTTTAGACTGTAGAGTCCCTCAAGGATGGGAAGGACTTCTTAGGAACCTACTGTAGCATTTAATGCGGTTTCAACAAAACCAATTAACAACTGATTACTTGAACTAAGAACTTTCATTTTATGAATATAATCTGAATAATTCAGGAAAGGAATTTTCATATTATTGCTTTTATCTAGTCCGGCGACCCCTACTGAAATTGTAATTATATGAAGATCTTTAAATAAAATATTGTTGCCATGACCCTGCTGTGGGTTATTTGGATTTATTGACTTACTCAGATCCACTTGTCCAGAATCTTCAAAGATAGGGCTTAGGAGTATATTTTTGTAGTTACTCAAGAATATTCTGATGCTCAGCTAGTTTAGAGATGTACTGCCCCTGTATACTTCTCCTTCATTAGACCACTATTAATTAATTACTACTAGTAGTTAGGGTCTTTCAATCTGAAGAAAAGCACATTTTTGTAGATGGACTGGTAGGGAAAGTAAAGATTATGAGTCATTTCTTGTAGAATTCTCAAATATCCTGATGTATTTCCCAAAATGTCTAAATATTAATATATTTTAATAAAAACATTATTTCACTACATTTTGGGTGACTCCAAGAATGAAATAATATAATTAATCATAATTGCTTGGACTAAAAGTATTAATCATGATGAAAATCCTGTCCCTAGGTGGAATATATAAGAAAGTGAAAATAATAGAAGTTAACTGAAAATACTTGAACTGTTTTTGCAATAGGAATGTATCTCAATCCTTTGGAGAGTCTTCTAGAGATTGAAAGGCATTTTTAATTATTTATTCTACATTGGCTAAAGCATATTCTAATAGATTTTAGGATTTAAATAGCTTAAATATAATGGTAAATTAGTCAAGTTGGGAAATGGTAAGTCACTTTCCAACATTAAAAACCAAGAAAAATTAATCCCCGTCTTTGTTTAGTAAAGCTGTAGCCTCTTTGATCCTTGGATACTTCCATTTGAAAGACTGGAGGTTCAAAAAAGGGACTTGCAGGAAGTTGGGGAAGGGGTTATTACAAAATCTTTACACTCATCAAAAATCCCATTGTGTACACGGCTGTGCACACATACACACACACACACACACATAGATATGCACACACACACAATAGAAAGGCTTTTGTTTCCCTGTAGGATGAAAATGTAAATAATGATTGGCTAAATAAAATATATTAGGGAAGCAATAAAAGTGGTAGGAACTGAGTGCTGGTCCTATCTAAAGGGAAGGACTCTAAACAGTGCCAATTTATTGTTACAAATTTAGTAATTTTTCAAAAAATACATTTGGAAATATGAAATTTTATGTAAATATACCCAAGTTTAAAATGTCCACAACTTATTCAATTTTTACTCTTTATGCAGGAAAAGCAGCACATGAACTGGCTGAATTTGGTCACTGGCTTCCAATGTTCCGCCTGCTGTATTGTGCCCTTAGGTATTCTTGGAATTGTGTACATGTGAATATCTTTTTTTATTTCTTTCACAGATCTTGTAGTCATTTATTTGACTAATTGATACTTTAGATAAGCTGTGAAGGGAAGAGTAATATTCCCTTCATGAAACGAAACTGGAATGTAGGACTTGTATGTTCCAAAAGGAGATTGAAAGTAAAGGTGGTTGGCTTTCTAGACCTTCATCCAGAGAACTTACATCATTAACAAAGGTATTTGGCTAAAAGTTTATTCATGTTCAATCTATCAATACTATTCACATTGCCTATATCACTGCACTGTCACGTCTTCAGCAGCTAGTGTCTAAGTTAATGAATGGACAGAAAACTTAGGATTCAAATATGAGAATTCTCAATTAAGATTGAATCTCATTTTGATAAAGAAAAACAGAATAAAACCAGTATTTCAAATAGAAAGATCACACTACTGGACTCCAACCTGGGCAACAGAGTGAGAGCCTGTTTCAAAATAAACATAATTAAATAAAAATTAGTATTCAAATAGTTGACTATAAATATTGTTTTTTTAAATTTGTTTAACTTTTAAAAATATAGGGTTTTTTTTTTTTTTTTTTTGAGATGGAGTTTTGCTCTTGTCACCCAGGCTGGAGTGCAATGGTGTGATCTCGGCTCACTGCAACCTCCGCCTCCTGGGTTGAAGTGATTCTCTTGCCTCAGCCTTCCGAGTAGCTGGGATTACAGGCGCATGCCACCACCAGCTAATTTTCATATTTTTTAGTAGAGACAGGATTTCACCATGTTGGCCAGGCTGATCTCAAACTCTTGACCTCAGGTGATCCACCCCCATCGGCCTCCCAAAGTGCTGGGATTACAGGAGTGAACCACCTCACCTGGCTAAAAATATAGTTATTTTTAAAAAGCAAATAAAGTATTGACTGTGGTCCAAGAAACAGAAGAGAAAATGCAGGATATAGAGCATAAGCAGGATTAGGAAAAAACATTAGTAACTCTTTAAACCATATTATTTTCCATCAAAGTAATTTTATGAAGTCAGCATAGAGATAGATACTCTTGACGACTCACGGAGACTGACAAATTTTCTAAAACTTGGGAAAATAAAGCTTGTGTATCAAATGCTTATTTACCAGTATCTTCAAATAATGTATCGTGAATGTTACACAAGGACAAAATTTTATCTTATAGTAGTCTCCCATTATAATATGTGTGTTAGGAAAGGTTAAAAAATAACTATTGTGAACTCTAGTTCATCAGAATTTTGGGTTGCCAGATGTCTCTGTTCAATATATAATGCCCGTAAGTTTTTATCAGAGTCTACTTTTTTAATACTTTGTCCAATTAGCAACAATAATATTTGCAAGTAATGGTGTGATCCATTGAAGATCCATGAATGACTTAAATTGATTATATATGTGTATGTGTGTGTATGCATGCACGTGCACATGAAGAATATAATCTACATGATGTATGTCTGTTTTTTTGTTTTTTTTTTTTACCAGGTCAATCAACAATCGATATACTTTGTCTGTTCCATATTTAGACTGATTCTTTATTCTGGTTTTCTGCTTGAAAATTTTTCATCCTAAAATGTTTTAAACATCCTAAAATGTTTAAAGTGAAATGTTTTAAACAAATTATAAAGATTTCTCTAAGACAACCTCTGAAAGTTTGGTAACTGCAATTTGATCATTACTACAATTGGATAACTATTATTCAACCAAAATACAAAGGTTTATCTAAGAGAATCTTTGAAAATTTGATAAAAATTCTACCTGATGCCGTATCAAGTAATACCAAATATAGGGAAATAGCACTTTATATAATTACAAAAATCACAAATCTCTGGTTGTTATTTTTGTGAGGGAGAATCAGCAAAGTAAGTAATCATAGAGAGCTGTATAAATTATTAAGCACCATAAATAGTAACTACATATTACACCGTTATCTTTGTAGTCTATACGCTTAATAGGTAAAAATAGAATCCTAACTTTCCAATTCTGTACCTGTATGACATTCGTCTATGTAATTTAAGGGATCTGATTTTGTAGGAAAGATAATGTATTCTGGAGCTGATCTTTCCTGAAGGCTATAATTATGTGCCAGGGCTAATTTTAGGCATCAATGGGGCTCTCACAAATGCTGTCAGGTGAGACATAGCACGTGCCTCGCCAGGTACATTTCTATTGGGGCCAAGTATTTATTAACTGAAAAAGTTTCAGCTACATATACTTTTTTTGTCAATACAAACTTGGGACCAGATGGTTTAAGACACATACAGTGTTCCTTTAATTAGTTGCTAGTAGGGTTGAAAATGCCCTTTTAATAGGCAAATAAAATAGTAGGTTCATAATTTAAAGCAATTTATTTTTTTCCTTTGAGGAAGAATGGGTGCTAAAACTTACCAAGTTTAAACTACTCTGACACAACTAAGTGATTCCCACTCCTGGAATTGTTTGCAAACTCTGAATCACAGGGCACAGAGGAAAAGCACATGGGTGAGAGACAGGGGATTTTATTACATAAGAACAGTACTCTTTCTTTTTTATTTCAACAAGGTTTTAATGAGGAAAAAACAATCTTGACAAACATGATGATGTTAAATAACAATAGAAATAAGTAACTAAGGGAAATAGGATAATATTTCACCATGGGCTAGAATCTCCTTCCTTGAAAGGTAGTTGAGGTCGTCTGAAGTGCAGTCTTAAATACATTATATCCCATGGTTCTTCCCATTCTTAATTTTCAATGTAAGTTTCAGAAATAGGAAACTAATTTTTATAAGTATTTTTGGAGTTGAAGGTTTATTTTTCTTTGGAAGCTTATAAATAAAAATCTTGCCATTGTGTCATATCTGCATTAACTCTATTGTAAAGTTAATTAAGCAATAGCTGGGCATTTCATAGGGATTAATGACTAACAGGGAGGAGTAGATAGCTCAAGGTACAGCCAAGGGCCATTAACATCTGCTGGCCATTAATTTCTAGAAAATGCCCAGCATTGAAGTCATTATTGCTATTATAAACTAAAACTAGAAAAGAAATACAGGCATGTGGATTTTTTTAAGGGTGATGCAATTTTAATTGATATGTACAAAGCAGTCATGGAGAACTTAATTCTTGTACATTAGTGAATCACATTGCCAGTCTCAACTCTCATGGTTCCATTCGGGTTATAATTAAGCAGTAACAGTTGTAGACCTGGGCATTTCCTGGGGATTAATGAATAGCTGGGTGGAGTTAATTGCCTAAAGTATAGTCTCAGGCCATTAACCTCAGTTGGTCACTAATCCCTAGGAATTTCTTCTAACTGAGGTCATTTTTTTATGGTAAGAAAAAAAATGTATTCAACTATTTTAATATTAATCCCAGGTCAATTTTATTATCTTGAAACATACCCAATAATGAGAAATATCTATGGAGTCTTTCTGTGTGCACATTTCAAAGTTACCTCTTTTTAATATAAGCACTCAATTAGTGTGGAACATACCTACGATACTTAGAATAAAACCTGTTTGATGAGAAGGACATGTTCAAATAGTAAAACCAATACACAAAGGCATTGATTTACTTGGGTTTGTCAGTTAGTACATTTGATAGACATATGTGTGTTGTTGATTCTTATCTGTATTACTAATTTTTTCCTTGTTTCAATGTGGAAAAAGATTGCCTTTGTTATCAGCTATGTGTAATATTTGTATCCAGTATACATATAATAGTTATACTGGCCACTATTCTTTGTGATGCAAAGAATAAAAATTTAATAAGAATTTAAATTAGAGGTAAGAATTCTTAATAAGAATTTTAATCCGTAATAAGAATAAGAATTTTCCTTGTGTTTCTCTTAGTGGTATATTCTAATAATACTCATTTCTTTGTTTTTATTAATGTGCTACTAATTTCTACTGTAAAAAGTCCAAAGTTAAATGGGCTTATTCAGACTGAAGAGAGTAATCGATTAACAAAAATTCTGAGATTACTACTTAAAATCACATTTTGTAATGAAGACATTACATAAAGAAGCTAAAAGGCAAAGTTACATAAAAGTTTTAATTTAATGAGTGTTAGCACATAAATTGCTACTGTCAAGACAGAAGGAATTGTGTTGATTTGATTTTAGTGAATTCTAATGTTAATGCTTGACTAAATTCAAAGAACATAAATTAAAAATTGCTGAAGTTAAATTTGCTTTATGAAATTTGAACTATGTGTCTGCGAAGTAATCTGTATCCTAAATATGACTGATACTGAGCCAAGTTTTTTAGTATGTGGAATAATTGTTATATTTGCAGAGTAATGAAGCTTAAACATAAACAATATTAGCAATATTTACCATATCATAATAAATATGTTTGTAAGTCCTGGAAATGTTTGTATTTTTATTTAAAAATACTTGATGATGTTAATATTATCTCTACATAACACTTCTATACTTGTCTATTTCTTTGCATTAAATATTAATAAAATTTGAATATATATAAGATGATTTTTAATTAGTGGAAGTTACTATGGAAAATAAAGTACATTTATTTATATGTGTGTTGTGTATACATAGCGACACATTTATAAAAGCAGCTTTCAATAAATAACTAAAGTCATTTTAAGCATAAAATTTAGCCTTTTTGCTATTGAGTATTTAGATAATAACTTTGGTTCTTTATTATTTATAAGTATAGGTACACCTAGATTTCAAGAAATGTGAACCAAATAATCAGAATGTATTTAACACCATACGTTCACTGAAGGATTTAACATAAGAAATAAACATTGACAGAAGTTAGCAGACTTCTAAACACCAAAACCCCAACAAAATTCAATGATTATAATTGAAACTGATTCTTCTGTAAAATATTTAATAAATGACTACTGTATGGAGTAAAAAATTAATTACCTCTACTTTTACTGTAACAGCTTGTTTCCTTATATTTACCATGTGTTGTGGAGTCTATAAAGTACTTTTAGCTTCTTTCTGCCAAAGAAACATATTCTCTTTTAGTAAATGGATGACTCAAATTGAGAAATTAAATGGCTTATTCAGAGTTCCAAAATTATAGGTCTAGTGCTAAAACTGAAGCATAGGGTTTTTTTCTCCATACCTGACACCTTTATCCTATACCTGAGTTTTATAGTTGAAACATATTAGATCTGATCATTTTAAAGGCATGTTAATTCAGGATACCTTTATTTTGCTTATGATTTATCATTTTTGTACATAAAGACATAGGCCATACTATTTTCAATTACATTTAAATCAACATGTACTTAGTAATCCAGTCCTAATATTAAATGTAGGCAATTAATTTTCTTTCTTTTATGTAGAATAATTTATTGCTACATGTATGAAATTACATATTATGGAGTTTGAAAATTATTTTTTAAATTTATTTTAGATTAATGACCAGATTCCAGGTAGTGCTATAATTTTTTAATTCCAATAAAATTAATCTAATTTTGGTCATTAAGCACTGTATGATATAATCTGGTCTATTTCTTTGAAAATTCTATTATTTTAAAATTCAATATATGTTGCTCTTCGTTAGATATTCACATTTTGGTGAAGATATAGATAATCTTATTTGGGTACACAGCTTTCAACATCCTATCCAATTTCATATTTTACCTAAGTAAATTGCATTATTTCTTCAGAGTTTTATATTTGTTTTTATAAGATGTATTTTCTGATTCCACCAAATTTACGTTATTTTTGTTCTCTGCTACTGAATCCTCCTGGCAAAATATCTGTTTTGTCTCTGCTTAAAAGAGCATGCCAAAATTGGTATTTTTTAAAGTAGTATTATAAGAATCTGCTTATAAATGTCTTTGTATGGAACATTGTGTACAACAAAGAATGTCTGTTCTTATGACAGGGAGGGTATTCAGGAACATTGTGAAATGGAGACCAGCATTAGAAAATTCATATAATCCAGATTTTTATGTGATCTTTGGAATGTCAATAGTTTTGAATGTTCATATTGCTTAGGGTGATAAAATAAGTAACAGCATTGCACCTAAGTTTGTAAATTAGAAGAAATCGTAGAAACTGAGGGATGAGCATGCCAAAAATGATAGATTTTAAATAGTAGGAATAAAAATAACTTACTAGACTATAATTTTGAAAGAAGAAAATTCTAGACAGTGAATCAATGAAAGGCAGTAATCTATTTCTCCGTATACTCTGTAGAGAAATTTAAATGTTCCACTGAAATTATATCTACCAAGATAGACCTATTTCAAGCATAATGTTTTTCAAAGTCCACCTCCTTTAAAGCAGTGAATTCAATCAGTAACCTCTGTGAAATGAGTTCCTTTCCTTTTATGGTACAAAGGGAAAAACACAAATTAAACAACATGTTACTGTACTTGTAAGAAGAATCTATTGCCTTCAAAATGGTGGGGATCCTGAGTTATAAAGGTCGTGTGTTGACCCTAACTTTGATTCTGTAATGTTAAATATTAATGAAATAAAGTGAGTCTAGGAAACAAAATGAATTCTTATTATTGCTTTTTTAAAAAGTTTATACATAATAGGTTCTGTATGCAAATACATCAGTTTCTAGAAATACTTGGCAGTAAACTGATTTGCGAACCTCACAAGTTCTAGGGCTAAAACAATACAGACGTTTGGGTCCTTTCTTATACTTATGATCATTCAGTCCATTTGATTTAGTTACAGAGACAGCCTCAGATGCTAGAATACCTTGAAACACTACTCTTTAATAGTTGATTATCTTACTTTTAAAAAAAGAGAAAGATAGTAATAACAGCATCTGTGAAAAGGAGAAGACTGAAAAAAATCAGTTTAGACTGACTCAAAAGAATAAGAAATTGGATTGATTTCAAAACAAAAATACTATTCACTTTCAAGAGTATCAGTAATTTCCAAATGTTTTAAAAACTGTAGTAGAGGCTTATTTAGTTTGTGGAGGCCTTAAAGCCATTTACTAAACACTGCTAAAGTTACTGTTTGATTGCTCTTAACATAAACTATGCAAGGGCTATTAAAGCCCGTAGTTAATTATACAAGAAAAGATTTTACATGAAAATCTTGAATATTATTGAACTTCACCATATTTCCAAGACCGTTAGGATACTTTTTATGTTTGACAACACTATCAAATGTGCAGATCAAATTTACTTATAGAAAATGTCTTTCACACACTATTCAGATTGTATAGAGAATATAATTTATTCAAAAATTCATTTTGAATTTGATTCAAAACACTTTCTCAAACTGTCATTAAATAGTGAGGACTCTGGTTTTTTAACTCTAGAGTAAAAAATAATATACTAATCAGATACAGAGATGTAAAACTTCAGATGTAATTTTCTGGGTAGAATACAAGGGGAAAAGAACTAGACAGTGAGGGCATGAAAATATCAAAGTGAAATTAATAAAAGGAATGAAAAGCAGAGGGAAAGAGAAACAGTGGCAATGCTGTCAAACAGTTATTTGATCTGTTTGTTGTGTATTTGACAGTTCGCTATGTGCAAGGCATTGTGCTAGAAGCTGGAGATGAAACAATGGATAAGATGTAGACTTCAGTTATGACAAACTATAGTATATAGATTAATAGAAATATGCGTGTGAAATAGAGATAGAACAAAGAAAATGATTAGTCATCCCACACCCAGGAGACAAGAAAGAGAAACCTTTACAAAGGTGCTCTTGCAAGATATTTATGAATTAGACAGAAGGTCTAATTAGCCCAGATCATTCTAGGTAGTGGTAAGAGATGGGGCTAGAAACAGTATAATGGGTTTGGGAAACTGCAAGTAGTTCAATATTCTTAGAACATAATATTGTTAGAAACACACTGAAAGAAAAATGAAGGAAGTAGTAAAAGACAACTCGAGATTTTAGACCAGGAGGTTTCTGTGACCATAAAAAGGAGCATGGCCCTTTAAGCAATGGGGAGACTTGGTTTTAAGTCACAGAGGAAGTTGTATATTATTAGACAGTTTCTTAAAGTTCATATTTACACTTGAGAATGTGAATTAAATACAGCATGTGAGAACTCTGCTGAACTGTTCTTCTATAGAATAATATATATATATATGTATATATTTTTTCCCTCAATTCCCAAAAAGAGAAGTCCTAGCTCCACTGATATTTAAGGTTCAGATAATTGTTTCTATTTAAATATACCATACGTTAGAGTTA